>NC_000015.10:63276874-68276874 GCF_000001405.40 Homo sapiens
TTCCACCACTCTTTCATCATTTTACCATCTGTGGGTTATCCCCGGGGTCACTGCTATCCCAGCCTAGGTTTTATACAGGATGGAGTACGAAGTTCCCGCAACTATCCAAACGGTAAAATGTGCTTAAAAAAAAAAAAAAACCTATTTAAAAAGGAATCCTGCTTGTTCCTGCGCTACATTTTTGTTTAGTCTCTTTGGTTGACTTGGAATCTCTGCCTGTTCTCGGTGCATGCGGCTCGAAGGTGGGCTAGGGAGCTTCCCTTCTCTTAACCACCTCGCGGCCGGCACTGGAACCCGATCGGAGTGTATCTGTGGGGCTGCGGCGATGGCTGGGGCCCTAACGTCGCCGAGGACGCCCGCCTCGGGAGCAGGAGCTGCGGCGTGGCCCTGGCGCTTCCGGACACCCGGTAGGGCGGAGGGCCCAACGGTGGGGTCCGCGCTCACCGCCTTGAGCCCGCCCCTGCGCCCGGCGCCCTCAGCCCACGCCCCGCCCAGTCCCCCAGGCCCTAGCGTTTACCCCCACGCCCCGCCTCGCCCCGCGACCCACGTACCCCGCCTCCGAGCCCCGCCCCCGCCCCCACGTGCCCCGCCCCCGAGCCCCGCCCCCGTCCCCGTGCCTGCCCATGAGCCGCGCCCCGCCCCCCGCGTCCCGCTTAGCCCCCCACCCCGAGCCCCACCCACCGAACCCCGCCCGCGCCGGGAGCATCTCGCGTCCCCAACGGGCCCCCGGGTCGGTTTCCGCGGTGGCCATGACTGCGGCCGTGTTCTTCGGCTGCGCCTTCATTGCCTTCGGGCCTGCGCTCGCCCTTTATGTCTTCACCATCGCCACCGAGCCGTTGCGTATCATCTTCCTCATCGCCGGGTGAGGCGGTCGCGTCGGGAAACCCGGACGCCGGGGCTCCCCTCCCCCGCTGGGGTTACCCGCGACCCTCGGCGCCCCCACCGCGCGGCTCGACCTTGTTGCGTTTCAGACGGGAGGAGGGTTGAGAGGGGGAGAGCGGAGATCCGGCTCCCCAAAGGCGCCTCGCCCTCTTAGGAAGAAGCGCACACTGGGGGTCAGGGCCTTTTGCCTGGGGCTCATGGGTGGGGTTTAGTGATCCGTGAAGCTACTAAAGTTGTATAAAAAAATTATGGATAAGTTCATATATGCATCCTTCATTTTCTGGAGGGGGAGTCCCTAATTTCCCTCAGATTCTCAAAGGCATGTGTAATCCCCAAAGGGTTAAAAACCATTGGCGTTTAGGATAGTAGTGCGCGACTTCCGCCTATTAGAATCACCTGTGGCCAGGTGCTTTAAAACATGCCGATGCCCACCCCCACCCCGATCCATTGAATCAGAATGTCTAGGGGATGGGATTCGGGCTTCAGAAAAAAAAAAAAAAATTTAAGCTCCTTTTGGATGGTTCCGTTGTGCAGCCGAAGGGTGGAAACCTGTAAAAACACCGAAGCACCTGACTGTGCGTCTCCTTCTGGGAGCTTGGTAAATACCGGACTCTGGTGTCCCATCGCAGTCATCACCTGCCTCTTACTTGCACATACCACATCCCCCCTCCTCTGATGAGTCTCTCTTGGCACCAGACTAGGCCAATGATTCCCGCTTTTCTGCGTTTCTTCACCTCCCACAAACGTATTGAAAGTGCTTCGCTGCATGTCATTTTAAAAATAATAGAGATTTGGGAAGGGTCTGTAAAGCTTGCTATAATCATTAGAATCCCCAGGGGTGCTGTAAGACCTGGAGGGCTTGGATACTGATCCAGATCAGAACACAGGTTTTCAAGTTGAATTTTATACCAGTCACTTTATTAATAGAGATGTAGATATTTTTCTGGAAAAGATACTCATCTTTGCAGATATCTGATCAGTAAATCCATAATTTCTTGTAAGTTTTAAGAATATGAAAATTGCAGTAATCAGGGTTGTGTATTTTCTTGTTTTGGCTCATCAATGGGCAGAGCATTGATTAGAAAGAGTAGCAAATAACCAAGTTTCTAGCTAGATAGTCCTTGGCAGATAGAGTCTGCAGATGTACTTGCAAGTAGCAGGGTCATTGAAAAAAGTAATTGTTGGGAAACCTCAGCCTTCCTCTTGGACACGTTTGTCTCACCAAGGAAAATGCACCGTTAAGAACAACTGATCAGAGTATCACTTTATGAGGACTTTCTTTTCCTTATTGAAACGTCAAGAAATCTCTTCCTTCTCAAGCAGGTTTTTTTTTTTTTCCTGCTTTTAAACATTATTAATCCTGTACTGATGTTCACTTGTAACTTTTTTTCCCGTATTTTTCAGAGCTTTCTTCTGGTTGGTGTCTCTACTGATTTCGTCCCTTGTTTGGTTCATGGCAAGAGTCATTATTGACAACAAAGATGGACCAACACAGAAATATCTGCTGATCTTTGGAGCGTTTGTCTCTGTCTATATCCAAGAAATGTTCCGATTTGCATATTATAAACTCTTAAAGTAAGTTAAATACCTGCCTTACCTTTTTTTTCCCCAGTTAGATTTTAGTTATGATTTGGTCATTTGAAACGTGAATATAGTATTGTATCTATGCCCTCCTACATAGTACTAAGCCAAGAGATTGGTACATTTCCAGCCTGAAAATCTTGAGTGTTCTTTTATCTTGTGGAAATTTCTTATTTCCTTCCTTTCTTCCTTTATTCAAAAAAATATTTCTTGAGAATCAATCCCAGACACTATCCTAGGTACTGGGGATACATCAGTGATTAAAAGACAGAGTCTCTGGCTTCATGGAGCTTATATTATAGTAGGAAGAGACAGACAATAAATGAATGAACAAGAAATACACTGGTATAGTAGGTAAGTGTCATGGAGACAAACAAGCTAGGGAAGCATTAAAACAACTACAGAAATCATTCCAGCTTAGAATGTATATGTTCTCTTTGCCACCACCTAAGTTAATTCTTTTTTTTTTTTTTTTTGAGACAGAGTTTTCGCTCCTGTTGCCCAGGCTGGAGTGCAATGGTGCAATCTCAGCTCACGGCAACCTCTGCCTCCTGGGTTCAAGCGATTCTCCTGCCTCAGCCTCCCGAGTAGCTGGGATTACAGGTGTGCACCACCATGCCCGGCTAATTTTTGTAATTTTAGTAGAGACAGGGTTTCACCATGTTCGCCAGGCTGGTTTCAAACTCCTGACCTCCAGTGATCCGCCCACCTTGGCCTCCCAAAGTGTTAGGATTACAGGCCTGAGCCACCACACCCGGCCAAGATAAATAATTCTTATGGAGACCATGCCTTCCATTATTTTGACTTTAGTAGGGGAAAACAGGAGTTCCTTTTGTGGTATTTCCTGTAGTTTTAAATCTATAATAGAAAATCACATTTTAAAAAATGCCTTGGGTTCCCTTGTTGGGCCAGAAAGTAGGTCTTCTCTAGGACTCACGAGGACCTCACATGAAACCACTGATTTGAAACACAGCTGGAACTTGGAACCATATTTCCTTTCAGGCAGTCATGAAATTGGCTTTGATTATGTAGTAAGTCTTAATAGAGTGATAAATGTGCTGTCTTTTTTCATTTGTACAAATGAAGTAATTAAGGCTGTCCATGAATTTCGTGGATATAACCAAGAGGAACCTCAACAACAACTCTTTTCATAGGCTTCTGTTAACTTGTTCTTGCCAATATGCTAGGTTTTCTGTATTTGTTACTCTTTGCTTTTAATACCAGATACTGAATTCCCTTTTCGTAATGAAGGAATTTAAATTAGGAATTGAAATCCAGGAAGCCATTGCTTAGAAGCAAAAATCATATCTTAGAAAAGTTTCAAAAATGAAATTCCCATTAGTACCTGGAAATATTACATGGGAATAAATAAATATCAAAGGTAACACTGAAATTTCCATGGTAATACAACATCCCTAACAGATGGACATCTAGCTGTGTTTGAATGTTTCTGGTATGTGGCAGTTACTACCATTCTACAATTTTAAGCTTTAACTGTAGAATATCATTAAGGTAACCACATCTACCTCTGCTGGGCTTGGTGGCTCATGCCTGTAACCCTGACATTTTGGGAAAGCAAGGTAGGCCAATTGCTTGAGCTGAGGATTTCGAGACTAGCCTGGGCAACATGGCAAAACCCTGTCTCTACAACAAATACAAAAATTAACTGGGCATAGTGGTCCCAGCTCCTCGGGAGGTTGAGGTGGGAGGATCACTTGAATCTAGGAGGCGGAGGTTGCAGTGAGCCGTGATTGCACCACTGTGCTCCATTCTGGGAGACAGAGCCAGACCCTGTCTAAAAAAAAAACAAACAAGCAAAAACAAAAACTCCCTTCTGACCGCTGCCTTACTCAAGTACCAGGTAAATGAAGTCTCTGCTGCATGGTTATAATTATCTCCCTTTCAAGAATGAACAGTCCTCATTTCTTCACCTGGACCTCAACAGGCATGGTTGTGGCTTCCAAACCTTTCCAAAAGAAAGGCTGTTTGTTCTTTTTGGTCAGTGGACATGACCCTTTTTGTCAGCGCCTGGTTTTTGCCTGTGCTCAGAACCCAGCATGGTATTCTGCAGTGCAGACTAAGTAGTACCCCTGACTGGGCACTGTACTCTTCACAGCTCAGCCTCACATTGCACTGGGTTTTCCTGTCAGTGACATCATTGGCCCATATGCATTTTCATGCCATGGGTCTAATTTTGAAAAAAAAAAAAAAAAACAAAAAAAAACACAATTTCTAATACAGAATTTAAAGTTTAGGACTTGTATGTTCTAAAACCTGAATTATCAGCGTGACAAAATGAGTATGGGCTGTTCTTCACTGCCTTGCATCTTCATGGTTTCCACCTGAAATGGCAACATTTTCCTGGCACTAACTTAGGGCTCCAAAGGACTGTAGCTGAACATAGATCCACATTATTGTTCCTCTTTTTTTTTTTTTAATTTTAATTTTTAAAATTTTCTTTTTACACTGAGGAGCAAGTGTCCACTTTTTTAATGAGGGCAGGAAAGGAGTAGGACCACATGAGGAAGAAATTAAAGCTGTCAGTCTGTAGGCTCGAATGCCAGGAAGTTCAGAGAAGCCTCTTTAGGTTCCTAGGGAAACCATGTGTGCTTTTCTGAAAGGACCTTTGGAAATTTGCAAATGGTAGGACAGACTTGTACTAGCAGGTACGTTTGTTTGCATTTGCAAAAATCATCTTTTACGAGCCTTTAGAATATTCAAAATTTTCCCAGCAAATTTGAGAAATGTTAAATGTTATGTAGATGTATTAAAACAATTTAAGAATTATTATAATGCTTTATTTATGACTGACATTTATATGGATACATTTACATTGCTCTCTTATTCTATATTGCATTCAAATATAGGGAGTTTGGTTTAATCAATACTTTATCTCCACTGCCAAAGTAGGTCTTGAACTTTTAAATTTAAAGTGCTACCTCAGACTTTTGCTATCAGAATTTGGTGCCAAGATTAAAATGTGGAGAGTTTATACCAGTTTTTATAAATATATGGAATTGGATCAAAATATTCATTGCAATCTAATAATAAATAATAGTTTTATTTCATGAGTTAGACCTTAATCACTTAATCTTACTAATCTTGTTCTTACATGAATGAATAGTAACTTTCAGCCTGGCAGAGCCTTGCATAAAGAGAAATTGGCATGTGTGGTAGCCCTTTCTGCAGTAATTTTTTTAAAATCCAAGTTATGTTGCTTAAAATATAATCATATTTTGCCAAAAACATACAGTTTAGACAACTCTATGTTGCTTGAAACTCCTGTATGTTGCTTGAAACTCCTGTATGTTGCCTAAAACAGACATTAGGATTTTTTCTGTTTGGATGGAAACTTTTGTAATTTAATTCAATTTTGTCTTAAAAGGTTGATACCATAAATATTTTGTAATTTTAGAAAATCTTCCATTTATAGAAAAAACATTAAGATAACCATTGCTACAACTTTTAAGCAGCGTGTCTATTTTTAAAAATTCTGAAAATGGCGTATTTAACTTGTATTCATACTCCTTTCTCTCTCTCACACACACATTCGAAAAAGGATAGAACAAATGAGAAAGATGGTGTGATTTAGCAGTAGTTTTTCAAAATTTATATTTTTGAAATTTGAATTGTTTCTTTTTTTGTTCTTGGGAACATAATAATAAATGCAAACAAAGAATTTTCCACTTCAGTAAGATGGACGTGAACCCAGAAACTGATGATGTTTTGTACTTTCTCACTTCCTGATGTTGACATTGAGAACTCTTAGTGCTGTTAGTTTTCCTCCCACGTACTTCCATAACGTAGAATTAGGAAGCTTATTAAACTTTTTAGTTTATTTATTTAATATATTTGTGATAGTAGTACTTTGTTGTATCAAATAGCTAAAATCTTTGATTGATTCACTGATTGACACAGTCTCGCTCTGTCACCCAGGCTAGAGTGCAGTGGCGCAATCATGGCTCACTGCAACTTCCGCCTCCGGGGCTCAAGCAATCCTCCCACCCTCAGCCTCCTGAGTAGCTAAGACTATAAGTGCGTGCCACCACACCCAGCTAACTTGTATTTTTTTGGTAGAGACATAGGCTCCTTATGTTGCCCAGGCTGGTCTCAAACTCCTGAGCTCAAGCGACCCGCCCACCTCAGCCACCCAAAATGCTGGTATTACAGGTGTGAGCCACCATGCCCAGACAATTTATCTCTTAAATTGATTATTTGTCTTTTTATTATTGAGTTGTAAGAGTTCTGTAGATATAAGTCCTTTTTCAAATATGATTTGCAAATATTTTCTCCCATCTGTGTTGTCTCTTCACTTTCTTGATAGTGTCCTTTGTAGCATCAAAGTTTTTAATTTTGGTGAGGTTCATCTGTTTACTTTTTCTTTAGTTGCTTGTGGTTTAGGTGTATGTATTTGAGAAACCATTACCCAACCCACGGTCATGAAGACTGGCACCTATGTATTCTTCTGACAGTTTTATAGTTTTAGCTCTGATAGCTGGACTTTTCACTCATTTTTAGTTTTTATATATGGTGTAAGGTAATGGTCCACCTTCATTCTTTTGTATGTGATTATCTAGTTGTTCTGTCACCATTTATTAAAAGACCATCTCTCTTTCCTCATTGAATCATCTTGCACTCTTGTTGAAAATCGGTTGACTGTATTTACAGTTTATTGCTGGACTGTCAATTTTATTCTGTTAATCTGTGTGTCTGCCCTTACACCAGTATAAGATGATCTTGAATATTTTACTTTTGTAGTAAGTTTTGAAATGGAGAAGTGTAAGTCTTTTAACTTTGTTGTTGTTTTTTATAAAAACTATTAACAGTTGTTTATTATCATTATGAAGTATTATATACTGTACATAATTGTATGTGCTTTGCTTTTTTTTTTTTTTTGAGACAGGGCCTCTCTGTTGCCCAGGCTAGAGTGCAGTGGTGCAATCTCAGCTCACTGCAGCCTCCACCTCCTTGGCTCAAGCCATCCTCCCACCTCAGCCTCCCAGGTAGCTGGGACTATGGGCACACACCACCACACCCGGCTCATTTTTGTATTTTCTGTAGAGATGGGGATTCACCATGTTGCCCAACCTGGTCTCAAACTCCTGCGCTCAAGTGACTTGTTTGCCTTGACTTCCCAAAATGCTGAGATTATAGGCGTGGGCCACTGCGCCTGGCCAATATGTGCTGTGCTTTTATATGACTGGCATTGCACTAGGTTTGTTTACACCAACATCACCACAAACACGGGGGGTGATGCATTATGCTACAACATTATGACGTCACTAGGCAATAGGGATTTTTTAGCTCCATTATAATAATGACTACCATCATATGTGCAGTCCATTGTTGACTGAAATGTTGCTATGCAACAGATAACTGTATTTTATTTTATTAACTTTTACGTTCAAGGGTACACATGCAGGTTTGTTACCTGGGTAAATTGTGATCCTCTCCCTCCTCCCACTCTAGTCTCAACTAGGCCTGTTTTTCCCTTCTTTGTGTCCACATGGATACAAGTCTTTTATTTATTATCGAGGAATTTATAGAAAACAGAAATCTTCCCACATTTTTTGATTCTACTATATTGATATATTTGTTGACAGAGATTTTTACTATATATGTGTCCCATAAGCTTTAATTCACTTTTAACGGTATCACTATGAGAGGTAAGTTTATTTTTAGGAAAATTGGACATTTTAGTTGGTTACTGCTTCAGAGAAAGAAGATGGTCACTTAAATTTCTGGCTCATGTCCTCACTACCAAATGCTTCCAGATGGAGAGCACCAAAATGGCAGATTGTTTCTTTTGAGTCTAGAAAAGCACTCCCTTCACTAGGCTTATCCCTATTTTGGTTGAATTCTACATTGCCTTAATTTAATGTAATCAATGATATTTATATTTATGTAAAGAATAAGCTGACTATAATGAATACCCATACCCTGAAATTTAAAGTAACACAATGCCCAGAAAGTAAGTATGTTCTGGTTAATTTAATTGTCTATTCTTAGAGTTAACCTGTCTTGTTTCAACATTTGCTAAAAAATCATTTTTAAAATGTTTTGGTTCTTTTGTTGCCTTAATAAATATACTTTATAGTAAATATAATTTAAATATTCTTTGAGTCAGGATCTTACATTATTGCAGAGTTTTCTCACCAACAAGAATTGGTAATAGTGATGCTAGTAGAATTGACCAGCCACACCAGCATTCCTAACAAATCTGCATGGCACTCATGGTAAGCTTATAAATTGGCCACAACAGAAGGATGCATAAGATCACTCTGAAGATCACTTCTTTATTTTATTTTATTTTTAATAGAGACAGGATCTTGCTGTGTGGTCCAGGCTGGTCTCGAACTCCTGGATGCAAGTGATCCTCCTGCCTTGGCCTCCCAAAGTGCTGAGCCACCATGCTCGGCTGAAGATTATTTTCTCTTGAGCAGTATTCTGTTCTTTCATTCAAGGGTTCATTTATGTCCTGTTCTGAGGGTAGCATTTTATTCTGCAAGATACAACGAAAGTATCAGATCACTTTCTCCCTTGAAGCCTTATTGGTGATATAAAACAAATATGTAAAACGTTTTAGAATCAGAAGATCATATGATTAAATACTCGTGAGAGTTCAGACCATCAGTATTATAGGATTTAAGAATAAGGAGAGATTAGTGATTACCAACCATTGGTAGGCAGCTTCTTTAACAAATCGCTGCCTGAAGTGGACTCTGAAGGATGAGTGTAGTTTAGGTTCTACAGAGTGGAAGGTACAAGGGAGGGTGACAGAGCCAGTATAGTCCTGGTGGAAGATAGAACAAAGTGCCAACAAAGCAGGAATAAGGATACAGTACTTTGGGAAGGGGAAAAAAATCAGAGTGGTAGATCCCATAGGATATTGAATTAAATATTTGCCGAGTTCAGCAAGCAGTTGAAAGTGTTGCGGTTTTTATCTTTTTAAATTCAATTCCTGACGGCTTGTTTACTTATATTTTTCTTATTCTTTTATGGGAATGTCAAAAGGTAAAAATTAGTTGGCAATTTTGGTTGATGTTAGTTCATTGAAAATTTGCTGGGTTTGTTTAAATAAATTACAGATTTAGAGTATAACCTGATGCAAAGCCTCAGTGAGTATCTGGGTTTGAAGTGTCTTGTTGGACTTTCCTGATATATTGCTCTTCCTTTTTTTTTTTTTTTTCTTCTTAATTACATGTGTGGTTTTATTTTAGAAAAGCCAGTGAAGGTTTGAAGAGTATAAACCCAGGTGAGACAGCACCCTCTATGCGACTGCTGGCCTATGGTAAGTTAGAACCACATGGTTTCATTAAGGAAAAAAATCATACTTGGCATAAAAGTCATTTGCATCTTTTGTATCTTTGTAGATTTCAAGTAGTTGTTTATTACTGCCTTGGCCTATTGGTGTACATATTTGCTTATTATCCCCGTCTTCCAGGTTCCTTTTGTAAATGAAAATGATTGCAAGTGACCCTTACCTGTATGTCCATTGTATATTAACCAGGTTTGAAAGTTAGATTTTTAATGTGTATGTACCCTAGTTAACTAAGATTTTCTAGATGATGAAACTGTTACTTTCTCTGAATCTTACTTTGGCTTTTCTAGGAGTACTCTTCATATTAAAGCAGTTAATATCTCTGCGTATTACACTTTGAGAATTATGTTTAAGATTGGATCTAGGTTCCCCACTTGGGCTCAGGAATACACAGTTCCCCTTTACACTCAATTTCAGTTCTAAGCCATCAAACTTAACTCTGTAGACTCTGTTATCATAAAGTAAGCCGGAGTTTTGGTGTTGTATCCTCTGTCTCACCTATTTCTTCTGTGCCTTTCTAGACCCTTTTCTCCCCTTTTTCATTACTCTGCTGCATTCTGCCATTCATTTCCTTTCCTCTTCCCGCTTCCCTCTCTGATTCATCATTTAGCCAAGCACATGCCTCTCCAGAGCCAGCTGTCCACTGCTTCAGGAAGAACATAAGCACCCTTTCCCCTCCAACACACTTTGTATTAACTAGTCCTTGGAAATTTGACTTGAAATCTTGGCAGGAAAAGAGTTAACAGTGTTTTTCTTCCTGTTTAGTTTCTGGCTTGGGCTTTGGAATCATGAGTGGAGTATTTTCCTTTGTGAATACCCTATCTGACTCCTTGGGGCCAGGCACAGTGGGCATTCATGGAGATTCTCCTCAATTCTTCCTTTATTCAGGTATGTGTCTCATAGCTGTCAACATTCAGGCTTCTAGTCTAAATGATCATTCTTATTGGGGTTCACTGGCTTAGGAATTTCAGTGGATTGGAATTTATGTTATGTCTTTTAAAGGCGAAATACTCTGAGGCACTGTGAAGTAAAAGACTTAGGAAAATAAAAATTCTGGTTAGAGTGTTTTAGAATTTTGGAGTGGAATTTAGCTTGCGTAAAATTTTATTTTGCTGTACTGACAATGTTGCTATATAGTTGAAATGTTAGAAGTGAATTTTTAAAGGCCATGTGCTCTTTTTGGTTTTTATGATTTTATGTTATCTTCAGTAGAAGCCCTAATCTATAATTGTCATTGTGGTGCCTTTTGTGGGAATAGGCAGTAAAATTTAATCTGAAATTGAGAGGAAAAATGGGATAATAGATGAGTTGATCATTTCATCCAAATGATGCAGCTAAAAGGACCAACTCATTTCAAATTGCTTTTTCGTCCACGAGCTAAAAATTGTCATCATGATGCAGTGATCACAAATTTGAGAGTTGGTAGCGTACATAATTAACATAGATTTCTTCTAAGTTCCACAAGAAGACTCTTTTAAAAATAGGGGGAGAACACCCACTGTATTTTTAGTCGTTTCCACAACAGTTATGCCATTGAAATAACTGAGTTCACATCATGATTTGTATCTTCTTTTAATAACATCTATGCTAAAGCTCCTCAGGGAGCTTATCCTCTAATAAGGGAATAAGAGAAAAAAAAGTGAATAAGCATTTCAGTAACACTTTAAGGTAATAATGGAAAAGATATAAAGAGGTATGACCAATTTTTAAAAATTTCTGCAGTAGTTTAGAGGCATGTTGAATGTCATAGTGATCCCCAAGCCCAGTGGACACTCATTCACCATTCGCAGTAGACCCTTTGTTTCCATTTCAGTTCAGGCCTTGACATCTCCTCTCTGGCTTACCATCATCTGCCCTCAACTGGTTAGTCTTTCCTTGACACACTATTCATGTGAATCCTGTATGCAACTACCTAACTAATCTTCCCTGCTGCAAAAATGGTTTGGCTTTTCAGGGCCTAGAGGAGAGAGTCAAGGCCCTTTAAATCTGGCTGCAAGTTAGAGGACAAGAAAGTGTGTTAATGGGTCATACTTATTTAATGGTGCTTCCAACATAGCAAATTATCTTTCTTTTGAACATTTCATCATTGGCATATTTCTGGCAAATGTGTTAATGATTGATTATACTGAGTGTTAGGTCTTTAAAACAAATGTAATATTAGTAAAGTCTGTTAGAACCCGATGAAAATTAATAAAACATAATCGTAAGGGGTGTTAGTGCTACAGTTTGTTTTCTGTTTTCATATACAGTTAACACGGCTCTCTCTCCCTGCTACAGTTTTCTTTTGATATACAGGTTTTGCCAGCTTTTTTCACTAGATGGTGCTAATTCCCTTTAGTGACCTAGGCTGTTTTCATACGATGTTTAAAATGATTCTTTTGGTAGTAAAAGAAAAATTTGATACCAATTTGGGGATTGTATTTGTAATTTCTAGGAATTAAAGGAAAAATTCAATATTCAGTAAGCTATCTTAATGTCTTTAGCTAAGTTAGCATGGCAGACTGGCTATGTTATAAATTTGTATCTATAGAATGAAAGAACAGTGTTGTTTTATCATTTGCAAGTTTCTTACTGTTATAACATCATTCTTTGAAGCATAAACTTTGAATTATAAATTTAAGAAATTAATTTGTATTACATTTAAAAATAAGATCCCCAAATTTATATTTATTGTATTTATGTTATTTATAACTACTTGTAATTACCATTTATTTAGACACAACTCATTTTTGCCAGGTAAATCCATAACTTTATATGTTTAGTATACTCCATTACAAATGCCTAAATAATAATCAGAATAAATAAGGAATGTAGGGTCACTAATTACAGATTAAGCATTTTTAATCCAAAAATCCAAAATCCAAAAATGCTCCAACATCCAAAACTTCCTTCACCGACATGACGCCACAAGTAGGAAATTTCACACCTGACCTTGTGTGATGGGTCACAGTCAGAACAAGAAAAAACTGTTTCATGCACAAAATTATTAAAAATATTGTGTAAAATTACCTTCAGTCTGTGTGTATCAGATATATATGAAATGCAAATGAATTTCATGTTTTGGCCAGGTGTGGTGGCTCATGCCTGTAATCCCAACACTTTGGGAAGCCAAGGCAGGAGAATCACTTGAGCTCAGGAGTTTGAGACCAGCCTGGGCAATATAGTGAGACCTTGTCTCTACTAAAAATTAAAAAATTCAGCTGGGTATGGTGGTGCCCACCCATGGTCCCAGCTACTCAGGAGGCCGAGGTGGGAGAATCATTGAGCCCGGGAGGTTGAGACTGCAGTGAGCTGTGATCGTCCCACTGCAATCCAGCCTGAGTAACAGAGGGATACTCTGTTTCAAGAGAAAAAAAAAAAAGAATTTCATGTTTAAACTTGAGTCTTATCCCCTAAATATCTCATTTTATATATATAGATGCACAAATATTTCAAAATTTGAAACACTTCTGGTCCCAAACATTTCAGATAAGGGATATTCAGCCTGTAGTATATATCTGTCTATATTAGTATGTGTTAATAAGATCCATACTATATGATACCTGTGTGTACATAGGCTCTTATGTTACAAACAGGCATAGTTTATAAATAATGTTTATGTATAGGTTACTTCTTTTTTATTTGTGGTTATGTTGTAGGCTAGCATTAAATTTTACTAGAATCATTACCATTTCTTGGTAATTTTGTATAGAGACAAAAGTATGGGAATTGGAATCCTAGGTTCGAATCTTATCCTGGCTCATTAATTTAGTATTTTGGGCAAGTCCATTTGATTATTGAATCACTCATTCCATACATAATTATTAAATGTTTTTAGTCTAAAGGAGTTATACCAAGCTATGAAAATAGAGCCCAGTTACCATTCATAACTTCCATTCATAGTGGGGAATAAAGACAAACAGCTAATTACAATAAAGCATGATCAATGCTACAGTGAAATGAGGAAGAGCCATGGGGCACAAAGGACAGGCTGTAACCCATGCTCCCAGGCCACAGTACCTTGGCTTTGCAGCATTTATCACAGGCGTCATTAAGTAATGGTATAGTTATTTGTTGAATGTCTTTTTCTCCAGTTGGGTGCTAAGCCATGCAAGTGCAAGGACGACATCTGTATTGTTCACTGCTCTGTCCTCGGCATCTTGTGGAGTCCTTTATTTCTAGATGGCACTCAATAAATAACTTACAGAAAAATGAAAGCCAGGCACAGCTTATGGAGGAAGTGCCATAACGAGTAGAGATTTACTTAAAGGGTGAATAATAGCTAGGCAGGCAAAGAAAGGAGTTGTCAGAGAAAGATGTTCGAGGCAGAGGGAAGAGGCCTCTTTCCTCCAGGCCTGGAGGTAAGAGCAGTATTGTTCACAGGGCAAAGGAAGTCTTGTCCTTCCATCTAATCTTCAATTTCCTGATCTTTCAGGAAGGGCAGAAATAACGCCTAGCTCAGAGTTGTTGAGAATTAAATGAAATTAATTTAGAGAATATGTATTTAAGTGCTTATAAGCTCTAAACTGGCCTAAGAATATTATTAAGGTGGAGAATTTAGCGCTTGAGATGAGAAAACAGAATTCAGAGAGAAGATAATTTTTCTAGTATTATATAGAATCTGGGTTTTTCATTCCGAATTACCTCCCTTATGCTTTAGAAGAAAAAATGTCTTTAGCTAGTACCTAGTAAAAAAGAACAGCTGATCATTTTATTTTAAAAAATTCCCCAGACCATTTCACTTCTATTATATTTTCTAGACAGTGCACTTAAAACCTAGGCAAGCTTTTAAACTTTTTAGCCACTAAACGTTTCACAAGGGAAAACCAATATGGGTCAGACCACATATGGAGTGTTGTATTGTTCCAAGCATTGTGATTTAACAGGAATACTGAAGAAGTAAAATTCATATAGAAAGAATGTTGTCAGTATGATAGAAGATCTAGAAGCCATGGCCTGTGGGATATGACTGAAGAAAGAAAAATACTGAGCTTGAAGAAAATAAAAGAGGAATGTGGGAGATTATTTTTGTCCCAATTTGTCATTTCCTGTAATAAGTCTCATGGTGGCTGGAATGTTCTTTTCTACCCTTTGACTTTGAGCTCAGTCATGTGGCTTGAATTGGCCAATTAGTGGTTATGATGTAAGTTAGAGGCTTAAAAAGTATTTGCATGATTGGACCTTCCTTCTTGGACTCTGGTGCCATGAGAAGAAGATACCTTGGGAAGTTAATGGCCACTTAGCCTGGACCCTTGAATGAATATACCCAGAGCCACACAGAGCCCACCCCAGGAGCTTGCAGCAGAGTTTTCCAGCTGATCCCAGCCTTTATCAGCAATGCACAGTCAGCCTTTAGACCTGTGAGCATGAGAATAAATTTTTGTTACTGTAACCCAATACATTTTTTATCTTTCATTCACTTTTCTATTCGTAATATTTTAAGAATAATCTCTACAGTGTGGCAGTTTGTTAAAGTTTAGACTCGACTGAAAGCTCTTTGTAAGCAAGACTATCTCAATACCTACATTTCCAAATTCCAAAGTAGTAGAGAAAGTATAACATCTCCTAATGATACAGAAAAAATGATCAACAATAGATTGTAACCTGCAGTTCTTATCCTTTTATGATTTCATTAGAATCTTAATTTCTTGTAATAAGTTGTCACAACTAACTGCTACTGTTTATGATACAGTGATACTCTATACGCTGTATATATCATCGAATTTGTATTTTTCATTATCTGTTTTCTCTTTCTCTTTTTTTCTAAGAGATAAGGTCTTGCTCTGTCACTCTGTCACTGGAATGCAGTGTTAATGATCTTAGCTCTCTATAACCTTGAACTCCTGGGCTCAAGTGATCCTCCCACTCAGCCTCCCAAGTAGCTAGGACCACAGGCATGTGCTGCTATGCCCAGCTAATTTTTGTATTTTTTGTGGAGATGGGGGTCTCCTTATGTTGCCCGGGCTAGTCCCAAACTCCTGGCCTCAAGCAATCCTCCTGCCTCAGCCTCCCAAAGTGCTGGGATTATAGGGTGTGAGCCACCACGCCTGGCTTGTTTTCTTTATATCAATAGTGTAAGCCTTTCTTTCCAGCTGCTCAAATAACTGAGAATAGAAAATTGTACTTTTTGGAATGCACTTTCATTAAATGGATATGACCTATCATAGTCTCTAGTAGCTTGTGATACATTATGAAATGCACACATCACAGGCATCAGTCTTCAGGCAGTGTGTAAGCAGGCAGCTCAGTGTATTGCTTCACAGTCTCTAGCTGAAAGAATGACATGGGCTGCGGCTGTAAGACTTGATGGCTCTTCTAGGTATGTTTCAGGCCACACTGAATCACTGATGTCTCTTTCCTCACACGGATGAATGGCTAGGCTCTGCTGACTACCTTTCGGCGCAGTTGAATGACTTGCACTTCTCCATTCTCTATAGACCTTGTTTCTTCTCATGGGTAAAATTGTCCTTATTTTCGTCAGCCACTGCTGCCTTTATTTTTAGTTATTTATTTTATTTTATTTTACTTTTCTTTTTTTTTTTACTGAGACCGAGTCTTACTCTGTTGCCCAGGCTGGAGTGCAGTGGTGCGGTCTCGGCTCACTGCAAGCTCTGCCTCTCGGGTTCATGCCATTCTCCTGCCTCACCCTCCCCAGTAGCTGGGACTACAGGCGCCTGCCACCACGCCTGGCTAATTTTTTGTATTTTTAGTAGAGATGGGGGTTTCACCATGTAGGCCAGGCTGTTCTTGAACTCCTGACCTCAGGTGATCTGCCTGCCTCAGCCGCCCAGATTGCTGGGATTACAGGCGTAAGCCACCGCACCTGGCCTGTTTTTTTGTGTGTTTTTCTTCTTCTTCTTCTTTTTTTTTTTTTTCTTGAGACAGAGTCTTGCTCTGTTGCCCAGGCTGGAGTGCAGTGGCACGATCTTGGCTCACTGCAACCTCCGCCTTCCAGGTTCAAGCGATTCTCCTGCCTCAGCCTTCTGAGTAGCTGGGATTACAGGAGTGCGCCACCCTGCGCAGCTGATTTTTGTATTTTTAGGAGAGACAGGGCTTCGCTATGTTGGTCAGGTTTTTCTCGAACTCCTGACCTCGTCATCTGCCCGCTTTGGCCTTCCAAAGTGTGGCCTATTTGTTTATGTTTTGAGACAGGGTCTTGCTCTGTCACCTAGGCTGGAGTGGAGTGGTGTGATCATGGCTCACTGCATCCTTGACCTCTGAGACTCAAACAATCCTGCCACTTCAGCCTCAAGTAGCTGGGACCACAGGCACATGCCACTAAACTCAGCTAATTTTTTTTTTTTTCCTGTAGAGATGGGGTCTCACTATGTTGTCCAGGCTGGTCTTGAACTCCTGGGCTCAAGTGATTCTCCTGCCTCAACCTCCTGAAATGCTGTACCTAGCCACTGCTGCTTTTAATTTTCGGTGTTTTGGGGGTTTTGTTTCTTTTTCTTCAGTGAATTTCACAGACATTTTTTTTTTTGTAGCCACAGTGAGCAGGATACCATATTACAGGTTACTGTCCTGTAGATATGATTGCATGAGACAAAAGTCCCATTTTTAAAACATCATCCAGTATGGTATCACTCTTCACTCAGCCCCATAGGAATACATATTTTATTAATTACATCTAATATTTATCATTTGAAAGGGAAAAAAAATCCCACTATTTCCAACTTTATTGCTCAGTCTAGCCCCGCCCCCCGGCAACCTCTCAGCTTGATCCCATGCAGCTCCATGGCCATGTTGGGAATTTGGCCTGGGAATCCCAGCATTTATCAACCTCCTCCATGCCCACTTCTTACCAAAGATGTTCTTCAGTGCTGGGACCACTTGTACCAGTTCACTTTTCCCCCTTTCCACAGCTCTGCTAAAGACAGTCGTAAGGTTCACGTCAGGGTTCCTGCATTGCCCCACTTCCCACTTTTAGGGGAATGGTTCATACTGTAACATGTTTCACTTACTGTGCAGTGTTCCAACACTATTTCCTGGAAACAAACTTATTTGCATAAATGTTTGGAAATCTCTTGTTTCTTTGGAGGAATTAATCAGCTTTGAGGTTTACTTTAATGGGTGGATTTATTGGATTTTACTGCCTTTTATAGTTATTCGAAACCCTCACCAAAGACTTATACTTGAATATTTTTCGTGAGATCAAAGTCCTTTGTTTCGGGTGGTAAGCTACATTTTCATCTCTAGTGAGGCTTTCTCCCTACATTCAGTGGACAACAATTTTAAATACTGCTGACTTCTTATCAGAAATTCTGGAAGGCAGTGGAACAAGGTCTTTAAAATGGTGCACTCCTGCACCCTTCCTCATCTCAGTTAATGGAATTCCATCCTTCCAGGTGCTCAGTTATTTCTTAGAATATTTCCTGATTCTTCCCTTTTTCTCCCATAACTTACATCCATTCCAACTGTAAACCTTACCTGCAATTTCCATCTAAATCTTCATCCAAGGTCTTATGGGCTTAGCTTTGCTTTATAAATGGCATAGATCAGGTTTGAGAGCTTGTTTGGAGCAAACATTTAAAGAAATGGTAAATCTGATTTTGCTGAAACTATTCTAGGCTAGAGACAAACATAGAAATTAATTAGTTTTGTGAAGTCAGTGAAGCATTAATAGAAAGTAATAGAATCCCGAGAACCTGTATCCATTGCCCGCTGCCTGAAGGCAGGTCCCCCATTAGGGGATTGTACTCCAGGCTGCCTTGGGCCTCATGATCCCAATGGCAGCTCTAGCCAGTGAGTTTAGGCCTGTTTTTTGTTTTGTTTTGTTTTGCAGCATTTTTGTGACAGTAGCTGGTTGCTGCAGGGAGTTTCAAATGTTTTTTAATGTGCTACATATAGAAAAAAAGAGTTGACTTGTGGTTCTTCAAAGAGCCTTCTCAGGATCAGTGAGCAGGAGTTAGAGCAGGGTTTCTCAACCTCACCACTATTGACACCTGGGGCCAGATGATTCTTGGTTGGGGGCTGACATGTGTGTTATGGGGTGTTTAACAGCACCCCTGGCCTCTGTCCACTAGATGCCAGAAGCACCCCTGTCCCCCAGTTGTGATAACCCAAAATGTCTACAGACATTGACATATTCCCTCTATGGGCCAAATCATCCCAGCTGAAAATCACTACTGAGTTAAAAGAAGGCAGATTTGGGTTCGGTTTGAGAAGGAACTTTCTCATAGTGGCCATTTAATGAAATGAAATTGGAAGTATTTTGGACCATGTGGGTTATCTTCATTGTGTAGAGGACGGGATCAGACAACTTCTAGCAAACCTCCCAATGCTGACTCCACAGTGATGAGCTAATTTGAGGAGAGTGTTTCATAATTCTTCAGCATTTTCTAGGGGGACTTTAAACATTAAAATAATGTCTTAGAGAAGGTTATTTGATTAGCAATCTATATCTATATTACAGTAAATCAGGCCGCAGAATTCTCTTACATTCTTTAAAACAAAAATGTTAAGTTAAATCCCCATTAGAGAAAGTCATTTTCAAAAGCATTCATTCAGCTCTGGGGCCCGACTCCCACTTGTGCCAGCTGACTGGGGGATCTCTCAAGAGTCTGGAGAGTTTCTACGGCCAGGATGGATGGAGGAGTGTCTCCTGCTTCATGGAACCCTGAAACCCCTGACCTTTCTACTACTTAGAAAAAGAAGCCAAAAGCCCATTGATCTTCACATCCTGCCTCTGGGCAGCTGCGGCTGAGCTTTGGCCTTGGGAAGTCCTCCTTTGTCTGTGGCTGCCACCACCCAGCAGCAGCCTTTGGCTTGCTCTGACTTAGTTAGAGATACCCTGCCCGTGTTAGGGGAAGCTAGGTGATGGCAGTTTCTGTGCTGGCAGGAAGCCAGTATTAGACGCAATTGCTGTCTTAGGCCATTAGCTTTGCAAGGACAGAAAAATAGGCATCGGGAATGAGGGAAAGGAACACGTGTGAAAATGAAGGTGCTTATGAATCTGTGTGTTAGAGCATTTGGGGTATATTCAGGAAGGGTGAAGGAGCCAAATAGTAAATGTTGTTTCTTTTTTTTTTTTTTTTTGAGACGGAGTCTTGCTCTGTCGCCCAGGCTGGAATGCAGTGGTGCCATCTTGGCTCACTGCAACCTCTGCCTCCTGGGTTCGAGCGATTCTCCTGCCTCAGCCTCCCGAGTAGCTGGGACTACAGGTGTGTGCCACCATGCCTGGCTAATTTTTTGTATTTTTTAGGAGAGATGGGGTTTCACCATGTAGGCCAGGATGGTCTTGATCTCCTGACCTGGTGATCTTCCTGCCTTGGCCTCCCAGGCGTGAGCCACCCCGCCCGGCTGTAAATGTTGTTTCTTGAAGATAACACTGAAACGTTTTGCTTAGAAATAGGTTAGAAATATTCACTACCAAGATACTTTGACTTAGAAGTTTATTAGAAGAGGAAGTCCATTATCGACTAGACAGTTACAGTCGTCACAAACTGATATACAGTACTTGTTAGAATTATTCCGCTTTCTGATTAATGTATTACAACATATAAAAATTATGGAAGCTCCTTTTATTAATCTGGGTTATAAACTAACGTTGATATTCTTATGGTTAACTTAGGGAAGTTTTTTTGGCTTAAGAATATTAGAACAGGCTGGGCATTATGGCTCAAGCCTGTGATTCCAGCACTTTGGGAAGCTGAGGTGGGCAGATTGCCTGAACTCCCAGGAGTTTGAGACCAGCCTGGGCAACATGACAAAACCCTGTCTCCACTTAAAACAGAAAAAAATTAGTCGGGCCTGGTGGTGCACACCTGTAGTCCCAGCTACTCAGGAGGCTGAGGTGGGAGAATTACCTGAGCCCCAGGAGGTGGAGGCTATAGTGAGCCATGATCGCACCATTGCACTCCAGTCTGGGTGACAGAGTTGAGAACCTGTCTCAGAAAAGAAAAAAAAGAATATTAGAACAAAGCAAATTTGGGGGTTAGATTTACTGAAGGACTTTTAGAATTTTATATTTAGGAACATTAACTGAGAAAGGTTTAGTAATTAAAAGGTTGTACTCTAGAGATACTATTAGCAAATTTTCATTACTAGCTGGAATTTGTTCCTTTTACTAATGAGAAGGGTTTAAATAGGATGTATGTAGCTGTAGCCACGTGTGTGTGGCAGAATGATGCAGATATCCGGGTCTGTTTCTGTTGGACCTCTTAACCAACTGCAGAGGGAGGAAAGAGTAAATCCCGGCATTCTAACATAGCACGTCGTGATAGTGAAGGCTGTGATGACCATCAAAGCCACCCGGAAACGAGAGCTGACTGCATAAATGAGCCGAGTATGAACATAGCACGGTATTTTAATACATGTCCAAGGGATCTCTTCTAGATATTGTGTTAATAAAATGGTAAACTGAAAGGATGGGGAAAGGTTCTATGAGACTGTGTTTCATGTGTTGTAATAGTCCCAGTGGCTAGAAAGTGCCTGGCCCATGCTGGCCACTGCAGACATACTTGTTATGTGGGTTGATGAAAGAGGGGAGGAAGAAAATAAATGTAAGAGTAATACAAAGTCAGAGGAAGAAATAATCTACAAGAATGAAGAGAAATGCATTTTTGTTTTTATTTTTTATTTATTTTTTTGAGACAGGGTCTAGCTCTGTCACCCAGGCTGGAGTGCAGTGGTGTGATGATGGCTCGTGTAGCCTCAACCTCCCTGGCCTCAGGTAATCCTCCCACGTCAGCCTCCTGAGTAGCTGAAACTACAGCTGCACACTGCCACGCCTGGCTAATTTTTGTATTTGTTGTAGAGACAGGGTTTTCTTATGTTGCCTAAGCTGGTTTCGAACTCCTGGGCTCAAGTGGTCCACCCACCTCAGCCTCCCAGGTGCTGGGATTATAGGAGTAAGCCACTGTGCCTGGCCAGGAATGCATTTTTAAGACATAGTCAAGTACCCAGGAGACTTGGATATAAATGGTCATTGCTGGCTGCTGTCTCACTTTCTCACCTGATAGTACAACTCACTGAGAACTCTGGCTTATTTGTCTTTGAATCTGTAGACCATAGCACACGGTAGCTACCACATATTAAAAAGATATGGATTGCCAAGCACTGTTTTTCCTTGTAACAGCCCTATGTGGTATTATCCCCATTTTAAAAATAAAGGAAATGGAAGCTCAGAGAGTTTAAATAGCTTGTCCAAAGCCACGCAGTGGAGCTGGGATTCTAACTCAGAACCATCTGACTCTAAAGATAATATATATAATCTTCAGGCCAGGCTGTCTAGGTGCTCAGTAGATTGTGTTGAATGTAAAAAAAAAAAAAAAGGAGGAGGGTAGGTGTTAGGAAATAATTTACGGAGGAGAGGTGGCATTTGAACTGGATTGTAAATAAAAGTAAGATTCGGATGTGGTGAAATGGAGAGGGGTGGTGCTGAGGGGCAGAGTCTTCAGACAAAAGGGATAATCTATTTAAAAAGAAAAAAGAAAACCAGAGGTATAGACAGAGTGAAGAAGAGTTCTGGTTTTCTTCCATAGGATGCAGTTGAAGATAGTAGAGAACATGGTGTCAAGGTAATTGGGGTGTAGATTGTAGAGGTCCTTGAATGCTAGTCTGAGGTGTATGGACTTGACTTTGGAGGCAAAGTCAATCCATCAGACTTCTTAGTAAGAAGGACCAAGAAATATGGACCTAGAATTTGGAAGAAAGTCAGGGCTAATGATGTCTTGAGGATGCTTGCCTAAAACTCACAGTAATGCTCTTTTGGACAAGAGGAGACTGAAACTCCTGTAAATGAGAGAATTTTTGTTGTTTTGTTTTTGTTTTGTTTTGTTTTTGAGATGGAGTCTTGCTCTGTCACCCAGGCTGGAGTGCAGTGGCACTATCTCGGCTCACTGCAAGCTCCGCCTCCCAGGTTCACGCCATTCTCCTGCCTCAGCCTCCCGAGCAGCTGGGACTACAGGTGCCCTCCACCACGCCCGGCTAATTTTTTGTATTTTTAGTACAGACGGGGTTTTACCGTGTTAGCCAGGATGGTCTCGATCTCCTGACCTCGTGATACTCCTGCCTCGGCCTCCCAAAGTGCTGGGATTACAGGTGTGAGCCATCGCGCCCAGCCCCTGAGAGCATTTTTAAATGAACTGTAGGCCTTGACTATAGGAGCATAATTGTGTCTCAGTGTCCCTGGTAAACACTTCTTTCCCCACTCAGTATTGGTCGCAAAGAAAGAACATCCAATTGGAAAAGGCAATCGGGTTTTATTCCCTGGCCAGAAAACGGAGAAGGTGAGCTCTTGTGCTAAATGTACTTTCTCCCCAAGCAGTAGAAGGCATAGGGGGACTAGGTGTGGGGCGGGAAAGGAATGTGAGCATGTATGGGATGGGACTCCAGACGTGAAGGTGCTATCCATGAACATATGCCTTCATATATTATATGTGCATGAAATGGCAGGGATTTTCTTTCAGGGGAGGGAGTTTTAGCATTGTAAAGATATGCTGATGATCTAAATGCAAATAGGAGTCACCTATTCCAGTTTGTGCTGGTTTTGCGAGGTCTTCCTCTGGTATCTGGTCAGGGGTCAAGAAGCTCTGGTGCCATCTCGAGCCATCTGGTTTCTTTAAGCAGCTGTGCCTATTGATAAAGGAACTAAAGAAAAACAGTTAAAAAAAAACAAAAACAAGAACTAAGGACCTTTCCCGGTTATTTCATCAGGGCTGCCCTGGTAACATCAATATTCAGAAAGAATGGCAAACATAAGCTGCCAAACAGATGACACCTTAATGGTGTCATTGCTTTCTCTTGACATTTGATTGTCATCTAGATTCTGAAAAACCCTTAGAAAATGAACACCTTATGATTTCTTTAAAAAATCAGTGTTTCCATTTGTGTCAGTTTCTGTCTTGATCTTTTCTGACACAAAAACTTTAAAACTTAAACTGCACTCCTGGGCATCTTCAGCGGTCTCAGCTCCCCGCCGTCACCAAGCATCTCTCTCCAGGGAGGCCTCCTTTTCCGGGGTCATCACCGGGGTTAAAATACATCACTTTAGCTTCATCTGCCATAGCGTCAAAACTTTGGAAACTGTTTCTCTTCTAATTTAGTTAAAATATCTACCACCGTTTACTGAAATAATTACACGTTTACACCAGATATAACAGCTTTCTTTCATCACAACAGTTACGTCTTTTAGTTTTGCATGTTTTAGAATTCATATCAATGAAATAATACGCATTTTTTCACGATACGGTTTTCTTTTCTACATAACATTAGATTCTTGAGATAATTTATATCGTAGACCATATAGTATTCCATTGTGTGAATAGAGCAGGATTTATTTATCCATTCTGGTAATGATGGACATATTTCATTATTACAGACAGTGCTGACTTAAACTTATATATGCTCCTTGTGCAGATGTGTACGTTTCTCTAGAGCAATGGCTCTGAAACTTGACCGTGCCTCAGAATCACCTGGAGGGCTGTTTAAACACGGATTGCTGGGCTCCCACCCCATTGTTTCTGATTCAGGAAGTGCGGGGTGGGTCCCCATAATTTGGAGTTCTAACAAGTTCCCAGGTGCAGTGATCTATTAATTTCAGAACTAATTGCTTCAGAGTCTAGCTCTAGCTGCAGAATTGCTGGAGTGAAATAGAGAATGCAAATTCCTCTTTAATTTGTAATGCTAGACTGTTTTCCTATCAGCAGTATGAAAGAGAGTTGTCAGACTTGAATTTTTGCCAGTCTGGTGGGTGTTAATGATTTCTTATTATGTGGCTGAAAGAGGAAATCTAGATGCCTTTTTATTTTCCATGTTAACCTTTGCAGAATATATAGGGCTTGCCCACTTTAAATAAAGACTGTTAACCAGTACACAAGATACACAGACAACATACACACAGAGGTAGTGTTCCCCAGAAAAAACCTGGTGGTGCTGATCAAATTCAGTGCCAGTTGCCTAAGAAGCATTGTAGATAATTACTGTGATTTTAAATATTTTTCTTTTCTTTCTTCTTCTTCTTTTTTTTTTTTGCTCTGTTGCCGAGGCTGGAGTACAGTGGCATGATCTCAGCTCACTGCAACTTCCGCCTCCCGGGTTCAAGTAATTCTCCTGCCTGAGCCTCCCGAATAGTTGGGATTACAGGCATGTGCCTCCCGAATAGTTGGGATTACAGGCATGTGCCACCATGCCTGGCTAATTTTTGTATTTTTAGTAGAGCTGGGGTTTCACCATGTTGGCCAGCTGGTCTCAAACTCCTGACTCAAGTGATCTGCCTGCCTCGGCCTCCCAAAGTGCTGGGATTACAGGCATGAGCCAGAGCGCCTGGCCATGATTTTAATATTTTTCCATTGCTCTTTTTCAAAAGGATCCGAGGAAAAATTCCACTTTAGTGAGGAGCCTTGTTTAAACAGAAGATACTCCTTTTCATTGAAGTCTCTCTTTACTCGTGCAGAAGGCTCACTGGGAAAAAGCTGGCTGGACATCACAGTAATTTTATTGTATTCCTCAGGGAAGCTGCCTGAAAGCCAGATCTTAGGCGACCTTTTATTGAACAGGTTTACATTCTAGACAAGAAGCTGTGGCAGTCAGTCCCCTGTTCCGCAGTGTTGCTTTTTGAGTGTGTCAAGGCCCTGTTTCTGTCAGGTGGTGTTAAACTCTCTTGCTGAGGTGTGGTGGACACCCCGAGAGCCCGTGCACAGTGCCAGGGTCCTCAGTGGTTCTGATACCTGTAGGAGTGACACTAATGGTCGGCTCTCTTTCAGCTTTCATGACGCTGGTCATTATCTTGCTGCATGTATTCTGGGGCATTGTATTTTTTGATGGCTGTGAGAAGAAAAAGTGGGGCATCCTCCTTATCGTTCTCCTGACCCACCTGCTGGTGTCAGCCCAGGTGAGTGTTGCCGCCATGCTCAGACTGTATTCTGGAACTCAAGTCTATGTATCTAAAATGGTAAATTCTACTCTAGATGAAATACACGCTCATGAGAACATGAGGAAATTCAGAAAAGCTATTTAAGTGAATGAATGAGTCATGTAAGTCTTACCACAAAAAGACCACCACTATTAATTTTTTGGTGTGTCTTATTGAAATATTTTTTTCCCTGCTGTTTATTTGCAGTGATTTGTCTCTCTCTAACCTAGGTCAGTTTGGAAAACTGTTCATTCTCTGTGACAGCTGCGTGGAAAAGTTGCGTATTCCAGACTCGGCACCATGACTGGACCTTATTCCTAGCTCTCGTATAACACATGTGTCCTTGGCTAGCATATTTTATTTAATATAGTTTTTATCTCTCTCTCTCTGTTTCTAATTAGAGTATGATAATCAAGGATGGGGCCTTATCTTCAATCTTCGTATCCTCAATTCATGGCACATAGTAGGTGGCCAGTAAATGTTGGTGTATATTGAATAGTTGATACTATTCTTTTTAATGATTAAAAGGAAAGAACCTAGGAAGTTTGAAAAGTATATACCAAAATGTTCATAGTAGTTCTCTGTCAGTGGCAGATTTCAGAGAATGATTACATAATTGTTTTATTAAAATAACACACCTACAGAAAAGCACACAAATCAGAAATGTACATCTTGATGAATTTTCACAGTGTGAACACACCTGTGTAACTAGCACCTAGATGAAAATCAAAACATTCTCAGCCCCCAGGAGCCTCCCTGTTCGACCAGTCACTGCCCCCACTGAGGGTGACCATGACGCTGGCTTCAACACCACAGCTTGGTGCTGCCTTTTGGTATTTCTGTCAACAGAGTCACACAACGTTTGCTCTTGTGTCTGGCTCCTATTGCTCAGCATGTTTGTGGGATTCATCTTCACATCACTATAGATGGCTCACTCATTGCTGTATAGTATTCTACCATGTGTCTATACCATAATTTACCCATTTGACAGCAGAGAGGCATTGATGTTGTTTCTAGTTTGAGATGGAGTCTTGCCCTGTTGCCCAGGCTGGAGTGCGGTGGCACGATCACGGCTCATTGCAGCCTCGACCTCCTGGGCTCAAGTGATTCTCCCACCACACCCTTCCAAGTAGCTGGGACTATGGGCATGCGCCGTCATGCCTGGCTAACTTTTAAATTTTTTTGTAGAGATGAGCTCTATGTTGCTCCGGCTGGCTTCGAACTCCTGGGCTCAAGCGATCCTCCTCTCTCAGCCCCTCAAAGTGTTGGGATTACAGGCATGAGCCACCACCCCTGGCTTTCTCATTCTTATCTATTGTGAATGGTACTGCTGTGAACGTTCTAATGTATATCTCTTGGTGAACACACACACACACACACAACACACACACACACACACACACACACACACACACTTCTTTTGGGTATACGCCTAGGAGTGGGACTGCTGGGTCATGGGGTGTACATGTGTCGACTGTTCATACCACTCAATTTTCAGAGTGATGGTATCACCTTACACTCTGCCATCAGTTTACAAGTTGTGGTTCGTCCACCTCCTCACTGCATTCTCTTTATTGTTAGTCGTCCTGCTGGCTATGTCATGGTATCATAAATACATAAATTGATAAATTATAGTAAAAGTTTTCATTTACGTTTCCCTGATGATTAATAGGTTGAGCCCCATGTTGTGTGGCTCCGTTGACAGAAATACCAAAAGGCAGCACCAGGCTGTGGTGTTGAAGCCAGCGTCATGGTCACCCTCAGTGGGGGCAGGGACTGGTGGAACAGGGAGGCTCCTGGGGGCTGAGAATGTTTTGATTTTCATCTAGGTGCTAGTTACACAGGTGTGTTCATGCTGGGAAAATAAGGTTGAGCAAGTCTTCAGATGTTTATTGGCCATTCGGATAATTCTTTTTGAAGTGCCTGTTCAAATCTTATGCCTATTTTCTTTTTGATTTTTAGGAGTTCTTTATGTTTTCTGTAAAAGAAAAAATCTTTTGTCAGATGTATGTATTGCAGATAACTTCTGTGGCATGGTTTGTCTTTACATTCTCTTAATGTCTTTCGGTGAACAAAAGTTCTTAATTTTATATAGTCTGATCAGTTTTTCTCTTTATGGTTTCACTTTTTGAGCTTTTTAATAAATATTAACCTAGCTGAATTTTAAGTTTTAAAATTTGTTCTATTTTTCTCATTTTTGGGTTGTAATTTTCTACAACAATCATGTATTGCTTTTGTAATTGTTTAAAAGAGGAAAAATGTTTTTTAAAGAAGAGAAGAACAATACAAAACAGTGCAGCACTCTGTAAAATGAGTTAAAATTCAGTGGATTTGAGGTATAGAATTATTGTGAAGAATAATCTAGAAAATGCTCAATGCCTGCCATGCCCACGGAGGCCTCTTGAGAAGAGCAGTCTTTCTGCATAAGGTGCTACCTGTAAAATCTACCACTTTCTTCAGGCCTTCTTTGACAGCCCTAAGGAGATCACCTTGTTTTTACCCATCCTAGCCTCATCGCAATTATAATTATGCTGTCCTAGCATTCATCACAATTTGTGACTAATTGTTTCTTCATTCATTACCTGCCTCCCTTACTAGTACAGAACCTCCATTAGGATAGAAACTTTGGTCTCACCAAGGTGTACACAGTACCTCTCAGCATTCCATTAGTGTTCTTTAAATGAATACACTTTTGGAACCCACAGCAATTGTGCAACTGAAAAAGACTATTCCCTCATGTTCCCTTGAGTACTAAGGATTCATACTAAAGTAATTTGGAGTTGTCTCACTTTCTTGCAAATTCTAAGAACCAATTTAACACAGAAATGAATAGAAACTAGTTACACGACATGCATCTTGTATTGTATATTCCATTAGGTTCTGCCTAATGACTGCCTTCTAGGGTTACCATCTGAATACAGCAAAACACGGGACCCACAGTATCTGCTGACCAGCTTAGTTCTACATGCCTCAGGGCCTTAACGCATGACACACATCATACGTTTGGTGAAACACACCCAAGTTCTTGAAAGTATTCCATGCTTCCCTTTATCTTTGGTTATTCCACATGTTTAATAAGCTTGCTGTTATTACCCAAGCTGATTTATTTTTCTTTTGCAGACCTTCATAAGTTCTTATTATGGAATAAACCTGGCGTCAGCATTTATAATCCTGGTGCTCATGGGCACCTGGGCATTCTTAGCTGCGGGAGGCAGCTGCCGAAGCCTGAAACTCTGCCTGCTCTGCCAAGACAAGAACTTTCTTCTTTACAACCAGCGCTCCAGATAACCTCAGGGAACCAGCACTTCCCAAACCGCAGACTACATCTTTAGAGGAAGCACAACTGTGCCTTTTTCTGAAAATCCCTTTTTCTGGTGGAATTGAGAAAGAAATAAAACTATGCAGATATGCGTTCCATTCACTTGGCTTTCACACAACTGCTCTCCGAAAGGGGTGCTCAGTGGTGTGCGTCCTGGCTGCACGAGAATCACCTGGGACAGTGTAAAGCCGACTGATTCTGGGCTCCACCTTCCAGAGCTAATTGGCCTGGGCACGTGGTGAGTTTTAAAAGCTTCCCAGGTGATTCTGATGTGCAGCCATGTTGAGACCCACTGGTTTGGTATCCAAATAGGAGCTTCCTGAGAACACCTTAAGTGGATGAGAATCTGGTCTTTAGCTGTCTCCTAACTCAACTCGTGCTGAGCAAGTAAGTATCTGAATGTCAAATCCTGGTTATCTTTTATCTTCCTAAGTTCTGAAGTCACAAAAGGCTAAAGGGCTATCACCCCTGCTCACTGTTTGCGTGTACTTCACCATCTTAGGAGAACACGGTAGGTTGGGCTTCTAAATGCAATAATAAATTACGCTGACTGTGGTAACTTAGCCAAAGTAAGATACTGATTAAGCCGTATTTTTCTGAAGTGCTTCCATTCCAGGTTTTGCTTTCTGAGGCATTACATTGTTTTTGAGTATAGATTACATTTTATTAACTAAAAATGATTGTTTTGTGACTTCCTTGGGAAGGTATTTTAAAATCAGGAATTTTTATGCAATGTCTATAAGCCTGTTTAAAGCTTTCCATGGGCTCTGCCCCAAGGCCGTTGGCTGCAGCGTTCACCATCTGAGTGCCAGTTGCTGGACTAGTTGAGGTGAAGTGCATTGTTTTCTCTCTGAGCAGCTGTGCGGGGAGCTGAGTGATGTGCCCTGGGACAGGCTTCACTGGAGCTGGTGGAAGTATAACCAGAAGCACAAGGAAATGAGCCAAAAGGGTGTCATTGACACTTTTCATTTGCTCCTGTGATACTAACAACACTTTCACCCAAATGGCTTAATGTAATATTGGAAATAGATCTTAAACTGCCAAATCTCACACTATTGCATAATCCATATGCTCTTTAGATCTAGTCAGTGTCTCTGGGTTTTGGTAGCAGATACAGCGTTCCCTTTACAGGAATACCCAAGGTGTTCTTTCAGCTTCCAGACAGGTCCTTTGATTTCCTTTATAAAGGGAAAATTCTGGCAAATCGTGCCTTTACTATTAGAAATTGTTCCCAGTTGATGTCTTTTGGGGAGCTGGTGGCATGAAATGCAAATGACCTATACATTAAAGTGATGTCTCAGTGAATACCATACATGCAGTAGAACATTCAGAAGAGAGGAGCAGCAATCCTGAGGGGCTGGGGGAGTGACAGTGGCAGGACGGATGGGCGGGTTTGACAGATTGTGGTGGGAAGAAGAATGATCATGTTTAAAGCTAACATAGCCAGTGTTTTGGGCTAGCCACACATCATTCCAGAGACCAAAACCTTACTCATGAACTAGACCTTTATCGATATCAGTGAACCCCCATGTTTAAAATATTAGAATGTTTAGAGATAAAATAGAGATAATAGAGATAAAAGAAGAGGAGGGCTTCTATCAATGCTGTAAACAGTCTGATAAGCGACTGTGGTTATTCCCCTAAAGTTTACTTCAGCACTAACACTAGTGCTTCCGCTGGAGTTTGCAGTTTTCCAGCTTTATACAGGATTTTCCTTTGACTGGAAGAGTCAAGGATATAGAGACTCAACAGTGACATTTATTGTACAACATCAAGGGGAATAGGATACTCATCAAACTGGGATTATTCTTATCAAAACATGGTCTTCTTTGAATAAGAAAAATACATAGTTGGTTATTATGGACTTAAAACTGTGTTAAATGGATATTCTGATAAAATATTTGCTGCTCTGTAGAGTGTGGAAAGTCTGAGAATATTAGCTTTACTCATCTTGAGCTTTGAGGATGTTCTCTGTACGCCGATGGTTTCATATTAACTAAAAAAGCTGGGTATTGTAAAATCTCATTTATAAAAACTCAGATGAGAAGAAAATTTTCTTTGATGGTGAGACTGTTGTCTTAGTTCAGGAAATTATTTAATAATCCTTTGTTACCTGTGAATGAAGGAACTTTGTAATTCTGATTTATCGTAAAACATGAGCCTTTCCAGAGTCAGCTTAGACACTGTTGTCGCAAATAGCCATGCTTTGCCTTATGCCAAGGAGGCCCAGAGGGAGGGCCTAGTCTTCCTCTGTTGCTGTACATATATTGAAATGCTTTTTTTTTTTTATTTTGCATTTGTTATCTATAATGAGCTTTCTGAGCCCTGATATTATGTGAGACAAACAGGAGTTATTGATGTTATACACTCCCTTCCATTCAGGATTTTCTGCTTGGAGGGAAATATGTTGACCTTAGAGAATTGTGAATATTGTTGCAATTCTTGAATATATTACCATGTGAATAATAGAGACTGTGTTGCTCTCTAGTATAAGCTATATTTATTTTTGATTCATTTGAATTACTAGTTATAACTGGAGAAATTTTGTTACCTCTATCCTGGCTTGCCTGACTGGCTGTATAATAGCAGCAGCCTCTTTTAGAGCATCTTAATGAAAACATGGATGAAAGGAATTAATGATGATATCTGCAGACTGCGTAGAAAATGGCTTTTGTTCCCAGCGTTAACATTTTCTTCTCAATCACATTTCAATGTTTGTGGAGAGTGGCAGATTCACACCAGAAACACTAGGTGTTCATATCCATAGCATGGATGCAGAATAAGCAGTTGGGAGAGAAGCTTCTTCCTACCTGGTACTCCTCCCATTCACCTCAGCCCAGCCCCAGACAGGCGTTAGCATTCAGTGTGGGCCCTCAGGCAGCCCTGAAGCCTGGCTGGGTCATCAGATGGGGGCAGCCTGTGACGGGCACCAGCGGCCTGATTCCAGGGAAGAGTTCCTGGAGGGTGTTGGCTGTTTTTGTTAGCTCAGTTTTTTTCTGGGCTCCACCATTCCTAACTCCAGGTAGACAAGATAGATGTCACACACAACAATTTTAAAGTATTTTGCTTAGTGCATTTTGTTTATGATTGCAGTGTTTGTTTCTTATTTAATAGGCTTTTTACTTCATTCTATTAAATTTTAGTGTTTAGAAGAGGCGGGTACTGTCACTGTGTAAAATATGTAATATTTTATATGTTATACCATGTCATATATACTTGCAATATCAGACCTTGCATTCAATATACAATGCAATTGACTCTTTGCAGACCTGCATTTTTCAGTGAACAATAAAAAGATTGTCTGGCACTCCTCATTTCCTGTGTTTCCTGTTCTGTGGAATGGTGTATCCTTCAGTATGTTACTACCGTGTTTTGTCTCCTTATGAAACTTGGATGTACATTCTGTTGTTTATGACTGATCAGTTCAGAGACTTTTTTCAAAGAGAAATTCTTTATCTGATTTAAAACTCCTAAGGCTTATTTCATATCTGTGTGTTTAGGAGTAGTTTGGTTCAGAGCATTTCCTTGAGGTATCTTAAACCAAGCCGGGGGAATCCTCAAAGATCCTGGAAGCTTGCTTTGCAAAATCTCCTAATTGTAAAATGGTGAATTTAAAGAATGTTTGTATAATAGTGGCTAAGGATTGGAGTCCGGTGAAGAGGAGAGTACAATTTAGCTTTTACCTGGTGATTCTGAGTAGCCTATAGAGTCCTTTTCTCTTTCTTTCCCTTGGTGAGGAGACAGTGCAGCTAAAGGGTTGAGCTTGGCCCTTGCCATCAGACAGGATACATAGGGGATTATGATACGATACTCAAAACCATTTGATGCTTGTTCACTCTGGCTTGAAATGAGGCTGTTGCAGGCTATGTTGATGACGTTATTGGATGAAACGTTCTCAGGTCCCAAGGGCTCTTTGCTTCTAACCTGTAAACCAGTGGAAGAGGTGGGCATTCCTCAGGTATCAGCCCAGATTCCTGTACAATTTCATTGGCCCTTAAACACTGAATTTTGGTTCTAATTTAATTGTTACTTGTTTGGCATTTAGTTGGAATGGAGATTTCCCTATGACCAGCCTCAACACATGAGAAACCTCTAATGGAAAGAAGTGCATATTTTACTTTCACCTCTTTGAAAATGCTGAATAGAAGGAACCTCTGGACAGGTTGTGGTCCCAGTCTCAATAGAAGAATTAGATACATTGTAAGGTGACCATAATAGATTATGAGTCCCAAGCAGATCCTGGCTTTAATGCTCAATTAATTTATAAGTGGTACTTGTTGCCTCAGTGTGGATCGCTGTAAATCCTTCTAGCTACTAGTAAAATTACACATTTTTTAGAGCTTGCACAAAATCAGATGAAGTTTACAGTGCTTATTCAGGGCTTACCATGCACAGAATACTGCTTAGGCACTTCAAAAGGATGGAAAAGAACGAGATGGTGGGGATCTTTGTCCTTGGAAAACATATAATCTAACTGCACAGATTAAAACACCTAAGTATTATTTTAAGGCAACTACAAAATGCACTACAAATTATGGAATAATATAGAATAGCTTGACTACTAAGATGATGCTTAATTTAGAAGTGGATGAAGGGCACTGGGTAGTGGATATAGATAGGTGATAGCTGAGGACTGAACCCTGGGGGCAGTCAATTGAAAGGTTGGAAAGGAGAGAAGAAGGAAGGAAAACCAAAGGAGTGCAGTGGCTTGACAGCCAGTGGGGAAAGGATGTCAAATGCTGCTGGATAATGGGTAAGAAGAGGAGAGAGAATTGATTGTTTTGTATGGAGAGATGGAACTTGCTGGTGATCTTGATAAAAACAAGATGGAAATCAGAGTGAACACCTGAATAGAATGGATTGTACGGAACAGGAGATGAGGAAGTAGACACAGCATTGAGAACACAGGTATTGTAGAGCAGTGGGATGATGAACCTAAGGAGGATGTGGGGGAAAGAGAGTTTTTTTTTCTTTTTTTCCTTATGATGTAGACTGTAACTGTAACTGCATGTTTATGTTAAGATAAGAATGACTCCATAGAAAGGAAAAAATGACGTAGGAGAGGGATAGGATAGTTGCCAAAGCAAAGACCTGAAAGAGGGAATAGAGAGGGAAATTCTTTTATTTATTTATTTTGATTTTTTTTTTTTTGAGACAGAATCTCGCTCTGTCACCAAGCTGGGGTGCAGTGGCATGATCTCAGCTCACTGCAACCTCTGCCTTCCAGGTTCAAGCGATTCTCCTGCCTCAGCCTCCCGAGTAGCTGGGACTACAGGTGCGCACCACCATGCCCACCTAATTTTTGTATTTGTAGTAGAGACGGGGTTTCACCACGTTGGCCAGGCTGGTCTTGAACTCTTGGCCTCAAGTGATCTGCCCACCTCAGCCTCCCAAAGTGCTGGGATTACAGGCATGAGTACTGTGCCTGGCCAAGAGAGGGAAATTCTTAACGTTAAATGCTTATATTAGGTAAGGAAAAATATTCAAAATCAATGACCTAAGCCTCTACTTAAGAAACTCGATAAAGAAGAGCAAACTAAAGCTAATATAAGGAGAAGAAATGAAATCATAAAAGAACAGGAACCAAATAAATAGCAGTAAAACAATGGGGAAAAATGAAACAAAAATCTGGTTCTTTGAAAAAAACCAATAAAGCTGGTAAAGCTCTGGCCAGATGGAAAAAAGAGAAGGCACAAGTATCAGTAATGACAGGAGACGTCACTATAGGCCCTACATTATTAAATTAATAAAGGATAGTATGGATAACTTTAATGCCAATAAATTTTAAAACGTAAATGGACAAATTCCTTTTTTAAAAAAACCCACAAAATTCACTCGAGAGGCCGAGGTGGGTGGATCACCTGAGGTCAGGAGTTTGAAACCAGCCTGGCCAACATAGTGAAACCCCATCTCTACTAAAAATACAAAAAATAAACCAGGCGTGGTGATGGGCACCTGTAATCCCAGCTACTTGGGAGGTTGAGGCAGAAGAATCACTTGAACCCAGAAGGCGGAGGTTGCGGTGAGCTGAGATAACACCATTGCACTGCAGCCTGGGCAACAAGAGTGAAACTCCGTCTCAAAAAAAAAAAAAAAAAAAGAAAAGAAAATCTGCATATCCTTCTATGTCTGCAGACTTTGTTTTTTCTTGCCTCTTAATATGCCTTGTAATTATTTGTTGAAAGCTAGACATCGCCTCTTGGGTAATAGGAACTGAATTTTAAAAGCCTTGAGTGTAAATTTTATGTTAATCTAGGTAGGAGTTGGATTATATTTAATGTTTGCTGTGGCTGTTAGTGCCAGAGGCTTCGAATTCCTCTGGTGGTCTTGTTTTTGTCTCCCCTTTTGACTGTGGAGTTCCCTCAGTGCCCCTTTTCAGAGAAAGCCTGTGTCTTGCAACTCGTTCAGCTGTAATCCACTGTAAATTAACACTAGAGCCCTGTTGGTATGGCAGTGCGATGTGGAGGAGGGGACATGTATAATAATAAAATTATAATAATAAAATCTAAATCTCAGTATTTTCATGGGCCTGAATCCCTGGGCTGAGAGTTTCTTAACTTTTTCCCCCTTAGATAAGACAGGAAGCTAGAAGGTGGCTGGAGAAGAAAGGTAACTTTCCCCAGCTGGGTTACGGCTTTGGTAAAGTCTTTTTCCTTGGAGAGAGGCTTTTGTTGTGGAAAACACTCTGGATGTATTTTACAATGAAGACAGTATTTCTCACCCTTACACTAGTCCATACTCAGACTCCAGCAATTTGTCAACATTAGCATTTAAGTGTTACTACCAGTTTATGGCTCCAGCAGCTTGCACTCCAGGTAAGCAAATCTCAGCTGTGACTCTGGATTCACCTCTCTCTCCAGATTTTGGAGTGGTGGTTTACCCTGAGACCTCAGTTCTCTGATGGGTTCAAAAGAATTGTTGATTTTTCCATTTGCTTAGCTTTTTCTTGTAAGGATGGGAGTGATGGCTTCCAAGCTCTTTATATGTTAGAGCTAACTGGACATCCTCTGTATCTATTAAATACGTTGAATTTGTAGTTTTTATAAAGAAAACAATTATTAAAATGTACATGTTTATAGGCAATATAGAATCACTATTACACATAACTTTTTGTTCTGTAACAACTAAACAAAATGTCATGATTGAAATTTCAATTCTCCATATTAAATGGCTATATACACACTATGAAAGAATACCTGGTATGCCAATATTTAAATTTTTTGATAATTTATCAAAGGGATAACTGAACTTGTGTCCTGTTAATTTACCTAATCTAGATCGGATTGATAACAGTGCCACTCGCAGGGAATAAAGTTGTGTGAAATGTTTCTGTTTATCCTACTAGATACCAACATATATCACAAATCTGCACTCATGGATATGAATGTAGAGTTTCAGAACAGGCCCGGGTATATATGGGAATTTCATTTATGGTAAAATTGGCATTTTAAGTCAGTGGGGAAAGCATATGTTATTCAATAAATGGGTCTGTTTGATCATTTATTTGATTATATTTGGGAAAAAAAAGCAAAGCTAAGTTTTTACTTTCACTTATTTAAACATATTAAAGATTCAAATGCAAAAAATAAAACCATAAAAGAATCTTTTAAAATTAGAATAGTTTTATAGTCTAAAGGAGGAGAGCTTTTCTCTACATTTCACTTAGGCTACAAACTACAAAGAGGAAAGAAAACAGATTTGACTACATACAACTTTAAAACTGCAGTGCAAAAGACATTCTAAACAAAGAAGACGGGGAGAAATATTTTTGACATATATAGAATTGTCACCTATAATATATAAAAAGCTTCTATAATTAAAAAAATTAATGATACAGTAAAAAGAGATCAAAGCATATAAACAGATAATTCACAGAAAAAATGCAAACAGTCAATAAACATAAAACAAAATGCTAAACCACGAATAATAAAAGCAAAACAAGAAAATAATTTTGGACTATCAGATTATCAAGGGTGAAAAGGATTGATAATAACAAGGATTGTTGAGCATATGGTAGAAACGACATATTATGAAAAAGGATATTAGTACAACCCTCGGGTGGTAATTTAGCAGAATCTGTTACATTTATGCAGTTTTGAGATGTGCATATTTTGAACCAGCAAATTCCTCTTCTAGGAATTTGTCCCATAGAAATGGTGTGTCAGAGGAAAAAGACCACAAACTCACAGTTTTTTCTATTCTCTGAACAAGCAAGCAATCAGTTCTGCTGCAGACACCGGCTGGGTGTCCTCTAATTCAATTCCAACACTGTCTGCCTGGAGATAGCATCAGATCCCACAGGTTCAGGGCTCAGTCCCCAAAACCACGCTCCCTTCAGACACCAGTTGCATATCCAGGCCTCCTGAACTTCAGACTGACCAACTTCAAGTTGGGGTTCCCACAACCCTGCTTTGGGGTTCAATTAATTTGCTGGAGTGGCTCACAGAACTCAGGGAAACACATTTGCTGGTTTATTATAAAGTGTATTATAAAGGATACAGATGCAGAGATTCATAAGGCGAGGTGTGGTGGAAGCGAGATACAGATGCAGAGATTCATAAGGCGAGGTGTGGTGGAAGCGACACAGAGCTTTCATGTCCTCTCTGGTGTGCCACCCTCCAAGAACCTCCACACGGTCCACTATTGAGAAGCTTCCCAAACTCTGTCCTCTTGAATCTTTTATGGAGACTTCATTACATAGGCATGATTGATTAAACCTTTGGCCATTGGCTGTCAACTTAATCTTGAGCCTCCTCTCCTTCCGAGAGGTTAGGGGTAGTAATCAAAGACCCAACCCTGTAATCCTGCCATGGGCTTTCTGGAGACCAGCCCCATCCTGAAGCTGCCTAGGGACTGCTAGCTTTCAGTCAGTCATCATGTACAAAAAGACATCTCTTTGGAGATTCTAAGGTTTTAGGAATTGTTTGCCAGGAAACAGAGATGAAGATCAAATATATATTTCACAGTATCACAGAAATACATCCAAGTACACATGGATCTTGTAATAGTCTTGTAACAGTAAGGAATTTGCAGCAAGTGCCTATCAATAGGGCATTGCATCAAGCAGCAGGACATTGTATAGCCACTGAAAAGAATGAGGATATCCAGGATGTGCTAGAAAACAAAAGCAAGAATAAAAGATAATTCTTTCATCCAACAAGTATTTCTTATGCCAGACATTGTGCTAGATACTGAAAATTTAAGAATGAAAATAGGCATGATGCTGGGCCTTGTACAGCATATAATATAGAATCCTATTAATACATTTTATTAAAAATTTAAAAATGAGTATAAAAATACATATGAATATACATAATGTCTGGAAAATAAATTGTTAGCTAAAGATAATTGTTTAGCCTAACACTAAATTGTTAAAAGTGACTATTTTGGGAGCTAGGATTATGGGGGGACTTTCTGCTTTATACACAATTATTTGCATTTTTCAAAAAAATAGGCATGCATTATTTATGTAATCAGACAAAACCATAATCTAAGCACTTTCATGATTTCTCTTTGTCCTTGGTAGAAAGTGGATATTATTCAAGGTCTTTTGTAATCTGATCCCAACCACTTTTTTCTGTCTCCCACCTGTAAACCAAAGAAAAAGACCGAGGCAAGCCTCAATTGAGAGGTTTATTTTGTCAAGGTCGAGGATGCACCTAGGAAAAAGGAACACAAATCACAGGAAGTCTGTGATCCATGCTTTTTCCAAAGAGGGTTTTAGGACTTCAATATTTAAAGGGAAAGAAGAGACCATAGGGGAAAGAGGAAAGAAAGAAAAGGGAGGAGGGGGGCTGGGCACAGTCACGCCCGCAATCCCAGCACTTTGGGAGGCCGAGGCGGGCAGATCACGAGGTCAGGAGATCGAGACCATCCTGGCTAATAACGGTGAAAGCCCATCTCTACTAAAAATACAAAAAATTAGCTGGGCGTGGTGGGCACGCACCTGTAGTCCCAGCTACTCGGGAGGCTGAGGCAGGAGAATCGCTTGAACCCGGGAAGTGGAGGTTGCAGTGAGCCGAGATCGCACCACTGCACTCTAGCCTGAGTGACAGAGTGAGACTCCATCTCAAAAAAAAAAAAAAAAAAAAAAAAAAAAAAGGAAAGTAGATAAAAAAGGCAAGAGGTTACATTATCTCAAGACTTTGATTAGGCTTTGATTCGTGCTCACTAAGTCTGCATTTTACTCATGAAAGGAGGGGGTAGAGGAACAGTCAATTATGCATTCATCTTGTGCTCCGAGAATCTGCATTTTTCTGTAAGATAAACACCGAGTAGAGGAAGCAGTCAAATATGCATTTGTCTCAGGTGAGTGAAGGGATGACTTCTGTCTTTCTCCCATACCTGTGAAGATATGCTGTTAATTTACATTGTCGGGGGAAATCCAACAGAATTGTTTCAGGGTAAATATCTTGGGGCCTACAAGGAATTTCCTTGTAAGCAAATTATGTGGAGGGGGGCTCTTCCTGGGGAGGGACTTGGCCCTCTATTTTTGCAGCTAGCTATTTAGAAACAAAATGGAAGGCAGTTTTTGCATGACTCAGTTCCCAAACTGAACTTTTCCCTTTGGCACAGTAAGTTTGGGGTCCCAAGATTTTTATTTTCCTTGCACACACCATTCCCAACCCTCCTTTCTCAGACATTCTCAAACACATCCGTGAGGTCTCCTCTACTGAGATGCACGTTGACTCTCAACCTCCACATTTTAGTTCTTGTTTTTAGCTCCAACCAGAAAATGTCCTATTCCTCCTTCAAGATCCTGCTCAAATGTCACTTCCTTTGGGAAGTCTTTCCTGATTAGGCCCAGAAAAGCAAATAACCTTTTCCACTGTGATCTCTTTACACTTTCCTTTAAAATCAAGGAACAATTTACATACAATAAAACGCACAGATTCAAAGTGTACAGCTGGATGAATTTTACCAAATGTGTACACTTGTGTAAGCTCCACCCCAATCAAGATATAAAACATTTCCTTCCCTGCTGGTTCCGTCTCCCTTCCAGATCATCCACAGGGGCAACCGCTAGTTCCCACTTCTATTGCCATAGATCAGTTTCATTTGTTGTTGTGGGTTTTTTTTGTTTTTTATTTTTTTTTTAAACGGAGCCTTTGTCACCCACGCTGGAGTGCAGTGGCACAATCTCAGCTCACTGCAACCTCTGCCTCCCAGGTTCAGGTGATTCCTTGGCCTCAGCCTACCAAATAGCTGGGACTACAGGCATGCGCCACCACACCCGGCTAATTTTTGTATTTTTAGTAGAGATGGGGTTTCACCATGTTGGCCAGGCTGGTCTCAAACTCCTGACCTCAGGTGATCCGCCCGCCTTGACCTCCTAAAGTGCTGAGATTACAGGCATGAGCCACTGCGCCTGGCCAGTTTCACTTGTTTTTGAACTTCATATACGTAGAGTAACACAAAATGTACTCTTTTGTGTCTGGCGTCTTTCACTCAACATAATTTTCTGAGATATCCTCTATATTTTTGTATATATCAAGAATTTGCTATTTTTATTGCTGAATAGCATTCTATTTTACAGAGATACTATAATTTGGTTAGTCACTCTTCTTTTGATGGACACATAGCATTCTGTACATACTGCTCTTCTGTACAGCGGGGCTGGCAATTTCTGTTTGTGTTTCGGGAAAAGCTCTCTCAAACTGTGTTTTTCCTCTGCTCTCATACCACCACAGTAATATCAACGCAGAAGAAGACTTCCATGACCAGAGGTGTAGGTTTTTTCACCACACACCAAGCAGCAGACGCGGGCTGGGTGCCCTCCAATTCCAACATGATCTACCTGGAGATAGTGTCAGATCCCACAGGGTGGGAGTTCAGTCACCTGAGTCTATCTAACCTGCCCCCTTTGTTTCTTCTCTCTCTCTCTTTCTTTCTTTTGATGGAGTCTTGCTCTGTTGCCCAGGCTGGAGTGCAGTGGCACAACCTCAGCTCATGGCAACCTCCACCTCCCGGGTTCAAGCAATTCTGCCTCAGCCTCCTGAGTAGCTGGGACTACAGGCGCCCACCACCACGCCCGGCTAATTTTTGTATTTTTAGTAGAGATGGGATTTCACCATCTTTCCCAGGCTGGTCTCAAACTCCTGATCTCAGGTCATCCGCCCGCCTGGGCCTCCCAAAGTGCTGGGATTACAGGCGTGAGCCACCGTGCCCAGCCCCTGCCCCCTTTTTTTCTTTCCTCTTTTCCAGTAATTCAGTCGTTGTATCTAAATTATGCTTGAATCCCGACCACTTAATCTGTGTTTAGCAGACAGGAGTAGTTCATTAAATCTTTACTTTTGAATAAGGAGGTATGAGAAAAAGTTAGTTGGAAGTTAGTTTGAATAATAGAAGGGGGTTAATCCAGATTTTGTCCATTGATTAAAAAGGAGTGATAAGCTCCTGGGCTGCACTGCTTAGTGGCTGTGTGCTCCTCCATGGAAAGGATGTACCATATTCAGGAACACTTTTCAAATGGTTATGTGTTGAGTGGTTGAGGGGAGACACTAGATGCATGAGATCTGTTGTTGGATATCCAGGTAGCTTCGGAAACTAGTTTCAGCATATGAAGGAACTGGTTATGTTACCTATGTCACTAGAAAGTTCTTTGCTTCTTCCAGAGAAAGCCATTTGACTATGTCATCATCAACAAAGTTGCTATATAGGTCTCAGTCTGCCCTTGACCCCATGGGCCCTGTGTTTTGTTGTCTTCATTGCTGGTCATTAAAAGTTAATATTTGAAATGAGTGAACCCAAGCAGAAATAATGACTTTGACTTACAATACTGAGAGGTCATAGCCAACCATGCGAATAGAGCATGCTCCTTTCTGGCCTCCCACCCACAGGGCGAGTCCAAGGGAAGTATGGACTCGCCCTATGGGTGGGAGCCCAGGAAGGTGCATTAGACCAGCCTTTGCTGAGCTTCTTCTCTAGAGGGACCAGGAGGAGGTAAGCTCTCAGTGGAAATTCCAGGATGGGACTGAGTATCGTTTGGCTGTGTGTGGGATGGAGGTGGTGGTGGGAGGGACTTCTTTTTTTTTTTTTTTTTTTAACAGATTTTTTGAGGTATAATTGACATAAGATAAATGGCACATATTTAAAATATAACATTAGAATCATGTTCACATATGTGGAGAAACCATCACTGCAATCAAGATAATGAACATATGGATCACCTTAACCATTTCTTATACACTTTTGTAATCCCTCCATTCCCCACCCCACCTCATCCCTAGGTGAGGCAATCTGCTTTCTGTCATTAGCACTGATCTGCTTTCTGTCATTAGACTGTACAGCATTAAGAAATTTGTATTAAATGGAATACAGTCATGTGCCACATAACATTTTAGTCAATGATGTATGGCATATACAACAGTGTTCCCATAGATTATAATGAAGCTGAAAAATTCCTATTGCCTAGTTACATCATAGCCATCGTAAAATCCTAGTGCAGTGCGTTACTCAGATGTTTGTGGTGATGCTGATGTAAACAAACCTACCACACTGCCAGTTATATAAAAGTATATAGCATATACAATTATGTTATATACTATAAATGTATATGCTGTACAATTATATAGCATAATTGTATATGCTATATACTTTTATATGCTAAAACGACTCTGTTATGGTTTATGAATTTACTACACTGTACTTTTTATTGGTATTTTAGAGTGTATTCCTACTTAGAAAAAAAAAGTTAACCCTAAAACAGCCTCACGCAGGTCCTTCAGGAGGTATTCCAGAAGGCGTTGCTATTCATAGATGACAGCTCCGTGCATGTTATTGTCCCTGAAGACCTTCCAGTGGGACAAGATGTGGAGGTGGAAGACAGTGATACTGATGATCCTGACCCTGTGTAGGCCTAGGCTAATATGCATATTTGTGTCTTAGTTTTAAACAAAAAAGTTTAAAAAAAAATTTAAAGGCTTATAGAAAAAGGATATAAAGACAGAAAATAACTTGTACGGCTGTACAGTATGTTTGTTTAAAGCTAGGTGCTATTATAAGAGTCCAAAAGTTAAAAAAATTGAAAGTTTATGAAGTAAAAATGTTAGAGTAAATTTATTATTGAAGAAAGAAAAGTTTTCAATCAATGTGTAGCATAAGTGTACAGCATTTTTTAGAGTCTACAGTAGTGTATAGTAATGTCCTAGGCCTCATACTCCCTCCACTCACTCACTCACCCAGAGCAACTTCCAGTCCTGCAAGCTCCATTCATGGTGGACCATTTTTAATCTTTATAACATTTTTACTGTAATTTTTCTATGTTTAGATACACCAATACCATTGTGTTACAATGGCCTATAGTATTCAGTACAGTAACATGTTGTACAGCTTTGTAGCCTAGGAGCAATAGGCTGTACCATCTAGCCTAGGTGTGTAGCAGGCTGTACTATGCAGGTTTGTTCACACGACGATGAAATCTAATGATGAATTTCCCAGAATGTATCCCTGTTGTTAAGGGATACATTGTTAAGCGGTGTGTGACTATATGTATATATATATATATATATATATGCACTATATAGAGAGACACACTATTTTGTGTGTGTCTCTGTGAGTGTGTGTGTGTGTGTGTGTTTATTCCTTCTCTCCAGTTCAGCCTTAGGAAAAGGGAAAGCTTGTGAACGTGTCCTCGGGAACTTGGTTTGCTGAATTAACAGGTGAAGGTAACATCTCAAGAGCTCAGTAGACCCTTCTGCCCAAATGCAGTTGGCAGTCCTTGGTCAGGCTTCACCTGAGTGGAGGCCAGGGATTAGAGCTACCAAGCAGATTGCAGGTGGGAGGTTGTGGTTGACTTTTTGGAAGTCATTAGTACAAATGCTTTTAGTGCCTTTAGCCCCTGGGGTTTTACAAGGTCACCGCGTGATTGGGATAAGCACGGTAAACTCTACGACCAGAAGGTGTTTCCATGCCACGTGATTGGGATAAGCACGGTAAACTCTAAGACCAGAAGGTGTTTCCATGCCACGTGATTGGGATAAGCACGGTAAACTCTACAACCAGAAGGTGTTTCCATGCCACGTGATTGGGATAAGCACGGTAAACTCTAAGACCAGAAGGTGTTTCCATGCCACGTGATTGGGATAAGCACGGTAAACTCTAAGACCAGAAGGTGTTTCCATGCCACGTGATTGGGATAAGCACGGTAAACTCTAAGACCAGAAGGTGTTTCCATGCCACGTGATTGGGATAAGCACGGTAAACTCTACAACCAGAAGGTGTTTCCATGCCACGTGATTGGGATAAGCACGGTAAACTCTAAGACCAGAAGGTGTTTCCATGCCACGTGATTGGGATAAGCACGGTAAACTCTACAACCAGAAGGTGTTTCCATGTCACTGGGGCTGTGGAGTGTGGCCCTAGCACTGTCACTAAAAATCCGAGGGCTGTGGGAGCTCTGGGAGCTTGGCTTAGCCAGAGCCACCTCCTCTTTCCCACTTGGAGGCTAGGGGCAATCCTGCGCCTGACCCTGGGTTGTGCAATGGAGTGAAGGGGACTTAGGGCGGTCAAGAGCCAGAGGCATTGCCGAATTCCTGGGTGGCTTGCAGTCATCATGATACGCTGACCTGGTTGCAATCATTTTTATGGTGAATTATTCAATACAGCAAAGTAATCTGGCCCTTATCTCTGCCCAGTCATTCTATAATGAAGAGGCACGGGGTGGAGCCCGGGGACACCCTCGGTGGCATTGTCGGGCCACATACCTTTCCCCTCACATCCTGCGACAGCTGAATCCGAGCCCGAGGACCACGTGCGGGGCGGTCTCCAGTGTGGATGGCAGCCCGGCTGGAACGCACTGGCAGGTGGTCCCTGTGCCCCAGAGGCCCCGTTTCCTTCCGGAAGCGAGGCTGCAACTGCTCCAGATACCCAGCAGGAAGGCCACGTGACAACGGGAGGGGCACTCCTGTGTGTGTAGGGGCGAGGGGGTGGCGGTGCCAGGGTCCTGCAGTTCACCAGGTGCCCACGTGCCTGCCACCCGAGCGCCATTCACTCCCGACCGCGGGGACCTGGGGCACAGCCGGGCCCACTGCGGCGAGGCGAGGAGATGTGGGGAGAGGAAGAGCGGCGTCCACGATGTGCTCATTTAGGCTTGATTTTCCTCCTGCCCTCCTGTCTCCCTCCCTGGCTTCACCCACAAGGCTTTCTTCTCGGGCTGATTTCTGTGGGAGCTCTCTAGGCAGAACCCTCAGTCTCTGAAAGTCGGGTTCGTCGTCCGGGTCTGCGCAGGGCATGGATCTTGAGCGCTTGGAATGTGACTTAACTGAGAAACGCTACTTTATTTTAATAAGTTTACATCTAAAAGCCGATCATTGATTCCATTATTTGGAAAACAACTTCTAAGTGTGTTTGGAGCAACTCGGATATTGGAATCTTTTAAACTGTAAATTTTATGAAATCTAAATAACGACCAAATATCTACAAGGAAAATCTAGCATCTGAATCGAGTGTGCTGTCAGTGTAAAACACACACCAGATTTCAAAGATTTACTGCAGAAAAAAACACATGAAAATACTGGTTACATGTGGAAATGATAGTATTTTAGATCTGTTGGATTATCTAAAATTAAATTTAAATTAATGTCACTGGTTTTTTTTTTTTTACCTTTTTCTAGTGTGGCTACCGGAAAGTTTAAATTTCATACGTGTCTCATGTTATATTTTATTACATTTCTCTCGGCCTGTGTGCTCTAGATGGTTGATTTGGCTGGATTGAGATGAGGTGATGGCCATCCTAAAGGAGGGCCTGAGTTCCCTCTGCCGACCTATGGCTCTCACTGCTATGCCTCCCTGATCATTCAGCCAGTGGATGTGGAATTCAGGGAGATGAGAGATGCTCATTTCCTGCTCCAGGAGTGCTCTCCCCAGTGGGGTGGGAGCAAGTCCAAGGAGTGAGTGCTTCGTGGGAACTCTGGCTTCCCGGCTGTCTTCATGCCTGTGCGTGGCCATGACACCTGGCAGGATGCCAGAGCAGGGAGAGCAGAAGCATCCTGTGTTCTAGCAGAGTACAGACCATCAGAAATGTTTCAATTCCAAAGCTGGGCCAGGTACTGTCACCCACTGGAGCCAAAGTACCCTTGAACAGTTCACCTCTCTCAGGCTTAGGGTGATTATAGTGAAAATTGGATGCTTTTCTAAATAAGGCAAACAATGATGGTACCTATTTTATAACCTTTACTGGACTGCCTCTTTTTGCCCCAGTCAGAATGTGAAGTCTGGATTTAGACAAAAGATTATTTGGACGGGTGATAGTATGTTTTGCAAAAAGAATTCAAAATAAGGTAACAGGCAACCAAGAGGGGCTGCCCACCTACTAGGTTTAATACTCTCAGGAGTAAAGAGACATAGGACCTGTTCCCTGTATCATGTCCCCTTGGTTGGGAACACCTCCCTCTTTTCCATCCATCTGTTCAAATCTGAGCTATTTGTTCAAGGTGCAGCTCCGATCCCACCTCCTCCAGGGTCTTTATTTAATTCCTCTAGGCTTCCCAGCACCATTAAGCAGCTTCGCGACCTGCAGCCACACATGCCATAGGCCTCCATCCTCAGGAAAGTGATTGAGTCTATCAGCTTATTTTCCTTTGGAGCCAGGTTCTAAGAAGTGGATGCGAGTGACATTATTATTCTGATTAGTTACCTATCCCCATAACAGGGAGCTACAGAGTGCTTTGCAAATAGTAATGCTTTAACCTCGCCTCCAAAAAAAAAAAAAGAACAGCCTGATGTGAAAAACATTTATAATTTCTTGTAGTTACAGTGTGTATCTTCATTATAATCATTCTTACAATAAATACAGAAGTGCTAAACAGACCATTATCACAGTGGCCTGTGGGCTGAGGCACAGGAACTGAGGGGTGCTGCAGACACCAGTGCTTCTCCAGGGCTGGCCAGGACACCTTCAGAGAGGCTAGTGAAGAGGAGAGGAATGTAGGGTGAATTTGAAATGTGATTAATAGAGTCAATGCAGCACATGCTAGAAACAGATACAGAGTTTTTTGTTGTTTTTTAACTATTTTACCAGATGATACTAACTAAACAAACAGAACAAAGAAAGAGATTCAAGATCTCACATGAGTGAGAATCCAGGGCCTTCCCCTCTGGCCCTGGCCCCAGCCTGGGCCTTGTTTTTGCTATTTCCACCTAGGCATCTGCCATGCAGCAGAGTTAGGAGCGTGTGGGCGGCTGCTGAGACTCACACACCACAGTACTGGCATCCTTCAGGGGCAGCTGGCATCAGTGGAATGAGTGCGGATCCGAAGAAAGGTTTCCCAGTTCCAAAGCTGGACCCACAGGAATCCTGTGAGGATTTGCAAAGACATTGATAGTGTTGGTTCTTGGAGCATCTTTCTGCCTCCCGGGCTTTGTCTGGTCTCAGCCTCGGGGCTGCAATCCAGGGCTGTGCTGAGCAGCAAGAGGAGAGGAGAAATGCCACTGTCTTGCACCTCCCAGTAAGTCTCCCTTTTCATGAACAGCCCTTGTGCCAGGTACAATGGTCTCTCTGTTCTCTCACAAAACTCATCCACAAAAGATATACAGAGTCTTTTGACAGACAGTCCCACTGCTCTGGAGTCCTTTATGTTCATTTCTGATTGACAATTTTGGACCAAGGCCAAGAGGCCCCCTAATTCATGTTGCTTCGTCATGAGGGTTGTCCTTGTCATCTGATGATGCATGAGGCATGCTAATGGCAAGGCCGGGATGCCACCCCAGGCTTCGAGGCTGTTAGAGGTCTTGAGTGCACACACACACACAAACACACAGAGAGACACACACACATTTGAGCTCCCATTAGGTCACTTGTAACTTTGCCTAGCAAAACAGGCTCCCAAGACATAAGGCTTGCCATCGTTGTGAAAAGTTGTGATGGTACAGAATAATTTTTTTTTTTTTTTTTTTGAGATGGAGTCTCGCTCTGTCACCCAGGCTAGAGTGCAGTGGCATGACCTTGGCTTACTGCAACCTCCGCCTCCTGGGTTCAAGCGATTCCAGAAGAGAGAATTCTTAGAGTCAGAGGGAGGAGTAGAAGGAAAAAGATATTTAAAAAGCTATGCTTCAAGAGGACATTTCATGCTGTCAAAATGAGACTGTGAATCAGAAAGTTCTCGGGGAACTGCAAGGTGCTCTCAACTAGGGGTCGGTTCCTTCTCAGTCATGGCACTGACTCATCTCCACAGGGTTCTCACCTGCGGGAGGAAAATGGAGGAGTTGCGCCTGTCAGAAACTGTCTGTGTGATTCGGGGAAGAATATGGAGTATCTTAGTAGCATTCCATTATTACTTGCCCCTAAATACATGATGCCAGCCCCCTGCACAGATAACCTCCTGCTTTTATAGCTTGAAATATATTTGATCTAAACCACGATTTGACATCTTCAGAGAGAGAGAAGTAGATAAAAGTCTCCATTCCAGGTTGGCAGTAGGGATCCTGCAGAAGTGGCTGAAATGAAATTTGGCCTACAGAGAATAAGTTCTACAGTCATTTTGTTTCTGCCTATTTCCTCCAGATTCAAAGGCAGATTGGGTCATCTCGGAACTCATGTCTCCTCCAGGACACAGCAACAACACATTTTCAAGGAACAGCCTCATTATTTGTAAAATCTGTAGAGTATAAAACATAACTGCTCCACTGACAGGAGGTTGGATTTGGACTTAATATTGTATTATTCTGTCCTTACATTATGGCTTGATAAACAGAATGTGATTCCAATTCTGATTCCAAAGTGAGACTCTCCCAGATCATCCATGTCTTCTCATTCTCTTTGTCCCTCTAGCTCTCTCTCCCTTCTCATCCCCACCAAGAAGTGGAACTTGAACCTGCCATTCCCTAAGGTCTGTGCAGTGTCTGTGATCCAGAGGACAGGACTGTGAAAGTGTCCCTAATATATCACAATGTATATCTCTTGTTTTCTTTTTCTCTCTACAACTTGATCCTTCCTGTCCCCATTTGTCCCCGAGTTGTAAGGTGCAGATTAAAGGTTTTGTCATAGCAGAAGGAAATCAGAGGGAGATGCCCCGTCTCCAGAGGAAAGAAGTTGAGTTTCCCAAGCAAAACCTAAGCAGAGAGTGCACATTCTTGTCTGAAAGCTTGGAGAAGCAGCAGAATTTCCAGGACACTTGAAAGCACGCTCTGGCAAAGCCCCGGATGAAAGTGTTTTCCAACCATTAATGGCCCACCAGCATGGCTTGGTTTGTGATTCCAGAATTCAGACCACTTCACAATCTCACACAGTTACAGCAAGCAGCTTTGAATTCCTGCTGCTTGGTCTGAGAGTGCATCCCATCCATCGATCGGATGGCTCTGGGGTGGCCATGGTCCCAAGGCAAGGAGGCACCCAGCAGAGGATCCCTGAGGCCTGGCATGTTTGCAGATTGAGCTACAGAGAACACCTTGAGGTGTCGCAAGTGTCCAGAGAGCCGAAGTGTGTAGGGTCCAAAGCAAGGTCCTTCCTGGATGTGCCCGGGAGCTCCGGGGACCTCAAGCGTGGGCCTCAGTCTCCATCTTGGTGGCTGGCTTGTAAATGACTCCCTTGTTATCACCTTTTTTGATACTAGAACAGAAAGAACACATAACTCTTGTTAGAGAGGAGAGCGAGCGAGCCAGAGAGCAGCCTGACTCAGGTATGGAATGAGGCCGTTTTTAAAAGTTGGATTCCTCTCTTTGGGACCTTTCCCCAATTCTGTTGGTCTTGGGAGGGAGTGTCACCAAATAAAGCTTTAACAAAAACAGAACTTGTTCGTTTTCCAACTGTTCTCTTTCACACCTAACAGTAGTAGACCTATATTTTGAAAGAGGTCTCGTTGTCACCCCCCTCTTCAAACCTCTGATTCCATAACAGGGTTCCCAGAAACCTTTTTATTTTTCATACCCCCCCCAAATAAATTAGGTTTTAGGAAAAGCCAAATGTCACAATAAAAACATGGACAAAGGGCATGAAGAGTTAATGTGAGTGAGAGATCAGGTTTTCCTTCATCTTTCTTTTTGAATTCATAGACCAAAAAGCATATGTAAAGATCTTGATAAGAAGACAGCCTGGCTGCTTAACTTCAGGCACAAGCCCCAAGTCAAGAGACTCGTCCAAGGCCATGCAATAGCAGCAAGCAAGGCACACACGCTTCCAAATCTGAGCACAGTGACCCCTGAACCCTTTGAACGACCAGGGTCACATGTGCGTCTCATGCAAAGGAGGCCAGGGCACGGGTGCTTTGGGGACGGCCCTCCTAGGGTAAGTGGTGGTCCAGGTGACTGCGGCTCTTCATGCCACAAAGCTGCCTTCCCAGGCAGACTAATCATCATGGACACATAGCTGTCCATTCCCATTTTGGACCCAAACCAGCTCACCTCTTCCTTCTGAAAAGCCAAATGGACACCACCACCACAATACAGATGCCAAGAATGCCAGCCAGGGCCAGTGAGAGGATGATGCCTGGTGAAGAGGTAGAGGGCACACATTACATTCCTTCCTTCCCCTCCATCTTAGCCCATGGCCCCCGGGTGTGAAATCATGGCCCAGCTGCATAATCATCCACAGAAAGGAATAATTTCCCCATCCCTGTTCTCAGATTCTGGTCTTTGGCTTAGTGGGACTGGCTGGAGTATTTTGAGGTGGCCGTTTGCAAATTCTAGTGGTTTTCCAGCAGATGCTCTCAAACTTACACAAGGGTCATCTGAAGAGCTTGTTTAAAATGTAGGGTTTTTTTTTTTTTTTTAGCCCAACCCCCAGAGATTCAAAGTCAATCTGTTTGGTGCAGGGCCCGGGAATCTGCATTTTGCCAAATACTTACAGCTGATACTGATGCACGTGGTCCAAGAACCACACTTTGATAAGCCCTGGGCTACACAAATAAGAACTTACTCTGTCTTTGCCTGCTGGATTTAAGGCCCATTGGCTGTCTCCATCAGTTTTGCCCCCAAGTTCCATTGCACAGTCCTAAGCAGTCCCAGATGACCAGTAGTCCATTGCCAAGGTCATGCGGCCTGTCAGCTGACCTCCACAATGGGCTCTGGTATGTTTTCAGCAACAGCCTCCCACCATGACCAAAAGAAAGTCTTAGATAGGTTCTTTGAATACACACATGCTGTAGAGTGATTGGATCTTTCATTAGAGGAACATTTGATTGGCAGTTCATCTTTGAATCACAGAGCGACTTGAGGGTAAGACCCATAGCAAGGAGAGGGCCAGGAGCCAGAGCAATAGTACAGAGAAGCAGAGAGGACGGGCTTGGATCACACCAAGAATCACAGTGATCACCCAGCTGCAGCATGCACGGCTGGCTGCCCAGCCACATACCCAGACTCAGTCCTGCCGCAGTACAGACTTGCACTTAAAAGGGGAGAGGAAAAGACGAGGTTACTCTAGAGTCAAACCACACTGGATTTGAGCAGCGTGTTGAGAGACGCTCTACCATTTGTTTGGTCTTAGGCTGACAGACCTCTAGGGATGTCCACCCTTGGCTCAGGGATTGCCTGATGAAGTACAGGAAATTGCCCATCTAGGGAATTCATACTGCAATCCCTCCTTCCGATGCTCCTTTTTTTTTTTTTTTTGAGATGGAATCTCGCTCTGCCGCCCAGGCTGGAATGCAGTGGTGCGATCTTGGCTCACTTCAACCTCCGCCTCCTGGGTTCAAGCAATTCTCTGCCTCAGTCTCCCAAGTAGCTGGGATTACAAGCACCTGCCACCACACCCAGCTAATTTTTGGATTTTTAGTAGAGACAGGGTTTCACCATCTTGGCCAGGCTGGTCTTGAACTCCTGACCTCATTATCCACCTGCCTTGGCCTTCCAAAGTGTTGGGATTATAGGCGTGAGCCCCTGCGCCCGGCCCCGATGCTCCTTTATCACAACAGTTTCCTGGCTAGGGCAAGACTTCACTTGAGTTTTTGTTTGTTTGTTTGTTTGTGTTTTTTTTGAGACAGAGTCTCGCTCTGTCACACATGCTGGAGTGCAGTGGCACAATCTTGGCTCACTGCAACCTCCACCTCCTGGGTTCAAGCAATTCTCATGCCTCAGCCTCCCGAGCAGCTGGGACTGCAGGCGTGCACCACAACGCTTGGCTAATTTTTGTATTTTTAGTAGAGATGGGGTTTTGCCATGTTGACCAGGCTGGTCTCGAACTCCTGATCTCAAGTGATCCACCTGCCTCGGCCTCCCAAACTATGGGGATTACAGGTGTGAGCCACGGCGCCCAGCCAAGATTTCAGTTTTTAATACAACATGGCCAAAGAGGAAAGATGAAGAAAGGTAGGGATCAAAGCCTGCTTGGGCAGGCTCCTGTCCATGTCCCTGGTACCTGCCTCACTTCCTAAGCAAGGAATCCATCACCAGACTTCTCCCCCAGCCCATCAGCTTGTCATCATGGTTTGGTTCTATTTTTGCTTTGTCCCTCCTGGACAAACGCCTTCACCACATCAGCCCCACTTCTCTGCTCCATGGAACCAGGGTATTACGGCTTCAACCAGCAAGTTACTGTTGAGGATAAATAAGGTGAGAGAGAAGTCCTCAGTGTGGCTGAACCCGTGCCCAGCTACCTAAGTCTCACAGTCAGCCTACTAGCCACCTCCTGGGGGGAAAATCACATGAGAATCCATTGTCTTGAGTGAGCAGAGGATCCCAGTCATGAAGTCTCCCCTGAAAACCCTCAGCCTGTTTTTTCCAAGGTTCCCACAGCCATTCCCCATTCTCCTAATCAGGTCCTTTGTCTAAAGAAAGTGTAGATTTACAGGTACCCTTCTGTCTGGTGGTTTTCTCATCTCAATGGAAACTTCTAGCATGTGTGTGTGTCTTGGAGGAAGAAGGGGTATTTGTTCTAACTCACACTGGGAGCCACAGTTGTACAGATGGTGGCCACCCAGCCTGACACAGAAGATCCTGTGCCCATAGAACCCACAGTGGTGGCTGAGGCCCTGGGAGAGCCCTGGTCAAGTGTAAGATGCCAGCAGGGGGCCAAGGACTCTCCCTTGGGGCCCTTAACAGCCTGGGGAACCAGATCTGAGGCTGCAGGGTGAGGTTTTGCTCACTGCCCCTTCTCCTGTCGTATGGCCCAAGTCTAGCTGATTCCCCAGGAGCCATCAGCCGTGTGCTTTTCCGATTGTCTTTTTCTGCAATCTCACATTGAACCTGCAGAGCCTCCCTGGTCCAAGGCTGGGCCCTGGGGGTTCCTGGTCTGGCTTCCCCAGGTGGCACCGGGCTGCTGTGAGGGTTAGCAGAGCAGGCAGGGAGAAGAGCTGTCCCCAAGGACAGGGAAGCCTATTCTCCCTACTCTGCTCACCACCACCAGCTGCTCATGACCTCCCAAGTGGCAGAGTGGCTCCACTGGCCAGACTCCCTGCCCCAGGCCTCTTCGTGTAACCTGAACACAAGGACCAGCCTGTGGCTTGGGGAGGTACTGAGGACATGAGTCTCCACCTGGAGGGAGCTTCCAGTGTTTGTACAGCACAAGCTCTGTTTCCTGCAGGGCCTGTGGCCTCTGCACAGTGGAACTTGGTATTAGGGTTGGTTGTTTCTTTTTTAAATGTAACCAGAGACCATGGTCCCTGGAATCTTAAAAAAACAAACATAATAAACCTAGCCATGGTTTTTCTTCCCAACCCTTTGATGAAATACACTCTCGTTCTTTGTTCCTGAAGCTCCAGATGCTTGTGGTGCCAAACCAGTTCTCGCCACCTGAAGACTATTACTAGGAAGCCTTACCACCTGGCTAAGCCATCCAGGCTGGATGGTTTCTAAAGTCATCTCTTTCACAGTCACCTCAAACATTCTGAGAGTCACACAGGCCCCAGACCACTGAGCAGCCCAGTCTGTGGCTGGTGGGGGTACCCTTCATGCCTGGTCTTGGGGAGCTGAGCAAAGTCTATGGAGAGCAAGGCCCCAGCAAGGGTGGGGCTTTTCTCAGGGCACATGCCCTGCGTGGTGGCTTCTCTGGAGGGAGAGTCTGGCTTCCCCCGGTTATTACGCGGGGTTCCTGTTGGAGGTCCTGTAAGCAACAGCATAGTTGAACCCAGTGCTGTGACCTGGGATCTTTGCTCCTTGAGGACCACTTGTCAAGGCCTAAATGGACTCTCCTTGGAAACAACGAAATGAGACCAAACAGGCATGAAGACAAAGAAAGGCCCAGAGACTGGGACAGATACTTTTCAGCCAAGACTTTGATACAGCAAAAACGAAGCAGCTTGACTGAGCCAACATCATAAGCTGTTAAGGAAGAGGAATGCCGGCGAGGGTGTCACCCGATAGTTCCACCACCTCAGGAAGCCCAGGGCAGGAAGGTGTTGTTGGAATGCTGTCCCTGCCAATCGAGACAGCACCAACCATCATGGAGGCTCAGCTTCTTTGCAGAAATGGGCTTGAGTCCCATTGGAGGCAGATGCCAAAACATCTGTTATCTGATGGGAGAGAGAAAGTCAGCGAGACTTTCGGGACACAGGGAGAACTGTCAGGGCAACCAGAGAACTAGAACCTGAGTGCGAAGCCAAAGCCTGTTTCCCAGCAGAGCCTCGGCTGGGTGAGAGCGAAGCCTCTAGGCACTGTAGAGAACAGGCATCAAAGATGGTACAGGGAGGGGCAGAACTAGAGAAATTCACTTTCAGGTTAAAGAAATGGTTTGTTTCTGAATAGGAAAGAAGGGAGGCGATTCCCACGGAAGAACAATGGGACAGACAGTAGAAATGGAGACAGGCTAGGTCACAGAGGTGGCCCACGAGAGGCATCGAGTGGCAGCCCAACAGAAGGAGCTCTGGGGCTGGCTGGTAAGAGGGTGCACACCATGAGGACGTGGGAGAGCCGCCTGTTCACAAAGTGCTCGGGTATGACTCAGGGCGAGCAGAGAGACGGCAGTGTGACACACACAAGGAAACCACACAGATATAGAAGAACTCGATGGTCACACACCTTGCCCAGGAAGGTACAGACACCCGGAGAAGGTCGGTGAGCTGCTTGCCACAAGGGCCTTGCTACCTGTTCTGGCAGGCCCAGGAGCTGCGTCTTCCACCGGCATCTTGCTGGACTGAGGGATGCTGGTTAAGGGCTTTTGAGGTCTTCTGAAGCCTCAAGCATAAACACAGAAGAGTCCAGCACGAGGAACAAGCACCTCACTTTCACATCTGGAGGTTCCTGGAACAACAGTCTAGTATTTTCTAGCTCTATTTACGATTCTGTTTGACTGTGGACTATAATCCTTTTCAAGTATTATTTTAAAGTACACACTGTTTACATAGATGGCATGTTACGTAGCGATATCCTTAGCCGTCTCCAGCCTTGTAAAAGAGGTCAGAGAGTTTAGATTTATCAGGGGTTTGATAGTTTAAATACACAAAATCTGTTAGGAAGGTAAAAAGCCCCTTATTATTACACCTAATAAAAAATCAGAGAGTCAAGAAACTGCAAATCCAGTGCTATCTTCAGATGATGCTTTGCCAAGACAAGGAAGATGCCCTCACCACAGAGTGGAGCCATCTTCAGAGGACATATTTAACTGCGGAGTTTTCCTTATGAACGCTATGCAACCCAAAACAAGAATTGCTACAAAGAAATCTGCCAACAAGATAGTACCAGATTACATGGGGGAACTGGTTTTATACAGCTATGATGGGACTGAGGGCTTTGCCTGTAGATTACAGGAATGCAGCCCCTGCAGACAGCACGTTGCTCTGAAGGGCCTAAATCCCAGAGCCTCAGGGGCAGGTTACAATGCTGGCACTTGGTGCTTGGCACTCTAAGCTGTCTTCACTGTCCCTGGGGAAAGAATGGGTGGTGGGACGGGGGCCTTTGATCCCTATCAAGCCAGAGCTACAGAAGGCACAACAGCATCTCTAGGCAACTTCCTCCCAGACCTTCAAAACTGACAGCTAAGTTCTGATCGTTAATCTCTCTTAAACAAATGGTTGATTTTTAACATTGTTAGCAAATGGAGACCACAGAAAAACAAGACAATAAAACGAAAAGGTGACAACTGGCCAGGCTTATGTGTAAATCATTCTGCAGAGAAGACACTGAGGAGGGGAGGGAACTGGAGATGGGTCAGGGACATTCTTTCAACAAGCTTATATTGAGCACCAGGCACCATGCCAGGCATAAAAATGAGTAACACGTCAGTCATCCCTGGCCTTAAGGAGCTTGTAGTATGTGTATAATATGTACGTATTGTTCTTTTTCTATTCGTCTTTGCTGTGTGGTAATAATTACTCTATGGTGTGTCAAGTAACATAACAGAGATGGAGACGTGGTTCTGGCTGCACTGAGGGAGATTAAGTCACCTTTAGAGGGATGGGGAGGACTTCCAGGAGGACGTGATTAGAGTTGGGTCTTGAAAGAATTTTCCAGATGGAGGAGGGAGGGGGCATCCCAGACATCAAGTGTGTGTACTTGAAAGCATCTGCCCTACAGTTTTGGGGGCTGAGGCTAAGAGGGCAGGGATGGGGCTGTGGGGAGATGATGTGGAAGGATCGGCTAGGGCCCCATCACCAAGGGTGGGTCCAGCCGTCTGCCCAGCCCCTTTTCCCATTGTCTTTCCTGAACATAGTCTGCCCTGTGCCACGGGCTGTGTTTAAGAGCAAGATGACACCCACCATGGGGTTTTCTGTCCCCCATAGCGCATAACTCGGACTGTGCTCGGGAAACATGTGGTGTGTGAAAGGCACTAGGACCTCACTTCTTAGCACCTTGGACCAATGCTCCTGACTGTTCGGCCTCTGACCCAGACCAGCGACTGAAGGTGGAAATGATGCTGGCTAATCATTTGGATCCTTTGGGAGAATCGATGATATTCTTTCAGCTAATAGCTTTTACTTATAAATGGAAACTTTAAGAAATACAAGGTCAATAATGATAACACATGCATTCTAGCCTCAAAAAATTAGATAATTAGCCATCTTAGCCATGTCTGATTTCCTTCTCCCTCCTTTTAAGGTTTCATAAAATTGCCCAGGTCTAGGCTTAAGCAGATCCTAATTGCAGGACTATAGATTTGCCCTTGCGGTTTGCTGCCTGGCACCCTTGTCTGAGTGTGCCATAGCTGCTCTGGTGGGTGACATGCAGTTGCTTAGAGCAAGCCCACTAATGATGTGATTATAGAAACTTCTTGGCTTCCTTTTGTCCCTCAAGTTTCCATGGCCCTGACATGTTGAGCACAGGGCTAGATGGTGTTAGCATTTTTGTCTGATGGGCTCTTGCTTCATTACCCAGCATCTGGGCCCAGTGTTGGTGCCACTGGCTAGGAGGAGGTGAACTCAAAGGAACCAAGAACCAGGCCAAAGCCCTAAGCCTGAGCCCCTGTGATGTCCCCCTGCCTCTGCCGTCTTTCCCCTTTCCCACTAAGAGCACCTGACTTGAAACCCGAACTGGCCTGAGGACGTGTCCCCTCCCAGGGGCCCACCTTGAGGACGAGTCTTGCTTTCTCCTTCAGCTCAAATCTTCCAACTGCCACTTGGAAGAGGCACTTTTTTTTTTTTTTTTTTTTTTTTTTTTTTTCAGATGGAGTATCACTCTGTCGCCCAGGCTGGAGTGCACTGGTGCAATCTTGGCTCACTGCAACCTCTGCCTTCTGGGTTCAAGTGATTCTCCTGCCTCAGCCTCCACAGTAGATGGGACTACTGGCATGCACCACCATGCCTGGCTGATTTTTTTTTTTTTAAGTAGAGAGGGGGTTTCACCATGTTGGCCAGGCTGGTCTCGAACTCCCAACCTCAGGTGATCCACCTGCCTTGGCCTCCCAAAATGCTGGGATTACAGGCATGAGCCACACCCAGCCAATGGAAGAGGCACTTTTTAAGAATGGAAAAAAGTGCCTGACATGACTTTCACTTTTCCATAAAGAGTGGACGTTTTAACTAAAGGCAACAAGAAACATAACATACAAGAGAGAAAAACTCATACAAAAGGGAGAGAGAAAAAGAATAAAGGGGGGATCCTGAAGAAGTTGCTACTTCAGAGGCATCTGCACCCCTGATAAAGGATTTGTACACTCCTAAGGGTGCACAGTTCTCTCTCACGCTACGTCTCTTGGTCTTACCCAATCATATAAAAAAGAATCTATACTTGAATTCTAAAGGAAGATGGGGAACAAGGTCTCTCTTGGGTTGGTTTGTTCTGCCTCAGTAACTTCAGCCTTACTGTTTCAGGGATAACCATCATCACACTGAAATGTTCATGCCATAAAACAATGAAGACCAGGGCATGTGATATAAAACTCCAGACTCCTATGACATCAGTGAAAACAATGAGTTCTGGGCCGCAGAAACCCTGGGGCAGTGGTTTTCCATCAGGGGAAAACTTGCCCCTCCTGCCTGCACAGAGTTGGCAATGTCTGGAAACAGTTTTGCCTGTTAAAACTGGGGAGGGGCAACTGGCATCTACTGGGTAGAGACCAACGGTGCTGCCAATGCTACAACACACAGGACACCCCCCACTGTAAGAATTATCCTGCCTAAGTTGTCAGTAGTGCTAAGGTTGAGAAACTCTGCCCCCAGGCTAAGGTGTAGCTGGACTATAAACCTCTTAAGGACAGAAATCAGGTCCTGTACCCCTTTTCTAAGCACAGTTGAGGAAAATAGCAGGGTTAAGTTAAATGATTCGGTCCAAATTGTCCCAACCTGGCTAAACTTCAGATCCTTCCCCAAAGTCCATGTACTTTCTCTCATAGGGAATTTTTTTTTAATTTTTAAATTTTAATTATTTAAGAGACAGGGTCTCACTCTGTCACCCAAGCTGGAGTGCAGTGGTGTGATCATGGCTCACTGCAGCCTCAAACTCTTGGGCTAATGTGATCCTCCCACCTCAGCCTCCCAAAGTGCTGGGATTACAAGCATGAGCCACCACACCCGGCCATCCTAGATGATTTTTTAAACATCACTTTTCTCCTGGCAGAATTTTCTGACTCTGTAGTTCTTGTTAACTTCCAGAGAAAGCCCTGAGTAAGCCAGACCCTAATTACAAACATGCCTCAGTGGATGAGGCTACAATTTGAGTCCAAACTGCTCAAGGTTCACACTGACAAAGTCTCACACCGTAAACCTGAAACATCATGTTACAGTCTGAGGCCTGCTCCGAGCTGGGTAAGAAAGGCCTCGTGAATGCAGCCCCCTGGGCAGATGAGGTTTGGGCCTTCACCCCTTTGGGACTGCCTCCTCATTGCTCCTTGGGAAGCAGCCGCACTTGCTGCCTGTGTCTTTGGGAAGTGAAAGGGAGGGGAGGAGAATTCTGGCCAAGCTTCTATAATCAGCCTCCAGATGGACAGGTTTTCCTTGGACTGCCACAGAGTCTCACTCAGAGGAGAAAGCTGGTCCCAACCTGGGCTTGTGGAAGCACCAGCTCTGGGCAAACCGTGGAGGAAGAGCAGTGGCAACGCTGCATTTGGGCTTTGATCTTGACGTCCTAAGCTGGGAGATGGTCTCCAGACTTCTGCTTAGAGGCCCCTCAAGCTCCCCTATCCAGACTGGGAGAATCTACTGAAGCGCTTGGCTAAAAACCTGCCTACGCTGCCCCACTACAAGCAGCTGCTTAGACACAAGCCGGTCTAAGAAGATGGCTAATTATCCCCAATGCCATAGTCCATCGTTACAAGCGGGGGTTACTTTTGGATGTCAGAGTCAAGCTCCTGCCCGGTTTCTTCTGATCCTCTGTAACTGCCCTCAAACACTGTCCCTGCAATGTAAAGTCAGGATTGGCAGTTGTTAGTGTCCACTTAACCATCACAACATATTAGCACCGAAAGGACATGAGATCACCTAATCCAACCTGGCTTTTTTTTTTTTTTTTTTTTTTTTTGAGACAGAGTCTCACTCTGTCACCCAGGCTGGAGTGCAGTGGCATGATCTTGGCTCACTGCAACCTCCACCTCCCGGGTTCAAGCGATTCTCCTGCCTCAGCTTCCTGAGTAGCTGGGATTACCTGGCATTTTGTGGCTGAGGAAACCAAGGCCTGAAGAAGGGACACGATTTGTCCACAGCCTGCAGCCAGGAGGAAGCAAAGCCAGGCCTTGAACCTAGGCCTCCTGACTGTAAGGAGAATATGTGCCACCCCTTCCCTGGGTGTGCATAGGTGAGCTCAGAGAACAGAGCCGGCAATGGGGTCCTGGGATCGCGAGCAAAATTCTATCTGATCTATGTGGGCAAAGTTCCTAATCTCCTGGCAGAGTTTTTATGTTTTTGGTTTTAAGAGTTGAAGTAGTTCCATTTAACCCTTGGATACTACATTCTCCACTTAGAAGAATGAGAAAAGACAGCGTTGTATCCATAACAGATACATTCCATGCACTCAGTTCATTTCCTAGAAAAGAAACTGTTAGTTATCATCACATGGATTTTGAATTTTCAGGAAGGCTACTGTTCACAGATTCTGTTTTCCAACTGAGAAACTGAGGAAAGAGGGAAATGATCTTAATTAGTTGTACCTGGAGAGGAGAAAACACAAAAGACAAATTCTTGGGCAGTTCTTCATGAAAAGACAGAGAATGATGTAATCCTGACCGTAAGGATGGGTCAGTTTCTAAAGCTTCCTGGAAAGGGCCTTCAAATACAGTCTCCATATGTTCAACTAAGTTTAGGAGGTGATCGTTATAACCTCATATAATAAGAAAGGAACCCAAAAAAGTGCACCAGGTGAGACGAGGAGAGCAGATTCTGACAAGTGGGTTAACGGGTTTCTTTTGTTTTTGTTTTTTGGTTTTTTTTTGAGACGGAGTCTCGCCCTGTCACCCAGGCTAGAGTGCAGTGGTGTGATCTCGGCTCATTGCAACCTCTGCCTCCTGGGTTCAAGCGATTCTCCTGCCTCAGCCTCTTGAGTAGCTGGGATTACAGGCATGTGCCACCACGCCCGGCTAATTTTTGTATTTTTAGTAGAGACGTGGTTTCACCATGTTGGTCCGGCTGGTCTCGAAATCCTGACCTCATGATCCACCCACCTCGGCCTCCCAAAGGAGGCAAGACACCGTGCCCGGCTAATTTTTGTATTTTTAGTAGAGATGGGGTTTCACCATGTTGGTCAGGCTGGACTTGAACTCCTGACCTCAGGTGATCCGCTTGCCTTGGCCTCCCAAAGTGCTGGGATTGCAGGTGAGAACGGGTTATCTTTAAATATGAACGCCAGGCCCGGTTTGGTCCACACGTGATGCTGGGGATGAAATGGAACTGCACAGACCAGCCATGAAGATTCCCAAGCTGGGAAGCAGTCGAGAATCTACAGTAAGAAAGTGAGCTTGAAAGTGAACTCAGAGGTCTGAAGAGGGGTGTGGGCCCCAAAAGTGCTCCCTCACCCCTTTCCCCTGATGCCCAGTTTCCAGCAGTGTTGATGTAGGCACTGAGCAAGGAAAACGGTTAATGTTCTACTGGGGAGTTATTGGTTACAGCTGTGAAAGGGAGACCCGAGCCCTTGTAGCATTAGGAAGAAACCAAGCTATTAAGTTTTGTTCAATTGGGAACTTATGTGCTTGTGCTTATGCAAGCTCCAAGGAGGTTAGACAAAAATGCAGTGCACAAGGGTGCTTCCTTGCCTAACAGGCCCTGCTACATTAGACATGGTTGTGGGTTACACTCACTGTTTTACATCTAACATAGGAACATTCTTGCTCATTTGGTGGTGGTGCATGAATCACCTGGCCAGGCCTAAGATAGGCTGGCTGCAGCCTTTGATGCCAAGAAAGCCTAGGGAGGGAAGTTAGAAGTCTGATCTCATGGAAAGGGTCCTATCCTGTGTCTTAGAGAAGGGATCATTGTCTGGAACAGAGAAGTCCCCAGGGAATTCTCTCTTACCCATCTGTGCAAGACTCCCAGGCTTAAAGAGTGCTCTGGTCCATGTGCCTGGGGGCCTCGGCTTTTTGCTTCTCTGCAAAGACTCACTGAAGGGGGGACCCCAGTGAGCCCCACACCTAGTCTCACAAGGCGCCTGGTTCCCGTGGCAGCCAGGGAGCTCTCAGCCAACTTCTTGAGGGCATCAGTGCCAGAGCTGCATTCACAGAAGATCCCAATGTCTTGGCACCACACTCCCGCACCCCCTCCCCCCAGCACTGCCTCTCCTCACCTTGGGAGAAGGAGGTGTATACCAGCCTCTCATCGAACTTCTGGACCTGCCGGAAGTTGTTGATCATTTCTCTGGGGGAAGGGTCGTCCATGTGTGTGCAGTACAGGGCTGTCTCCAAAGCCAGCAGCTGAGGGCAAGAGCAGAAATAGCCCGCAGGCAGAATGACCTCCTCACCTGATCCCCTGGGAAGAGGCTAGCTCTCCGCTCTTGCACCTGGGAGAAGCCTCTGGAACCAGCTTCTGTGGGGCCGGGTGGGAGATATTAGAAAGCAGAGGGAAAGCCACAGAACTGCTTCCCTCCACAGTGGGTGAGTGGGAGCTGGGCAGCGCTGGGTTTATCTTCCCAGCACCCGAGACTTCAGGGAAAGGCAGTGCTGTTAGTTTCCAATTATACCTGGAATCTGCCCTGCGTGGAGGGAAACCTGGGGTGATGGAGTGCTCCTTAACCTCCACAGAGACTGAGTTCCTCTCATGAACTTAAATTAGAGGCCAGCTCTCAACCAGAGGGTCGCAGGGCTTGTTCTGATGGTCATATCAGAAGGAATAAAGGAGGGAGTTAAGAGTTTCACAGGCCATCTGATTGCGGGTTCCATGGCATTTTCATGCACCTGCATAGATTATATAACCCTTTCCCAAGGCAGTTTCTGAGGTAGGATGTTGCTGCTTCCCCACATGTTTCATCCATCTCTTGGTTCATCATGTCCTCATTCCTGTCCACCCACCTGCTGCCATTTACCAGGTGACTCAGAGCAGAAGCTTACTGTAAAGAGGAGCAGCTGTGAGGCTGCCCTGGACGCATGAAGCTGGCGTGGGGCTGTGAGCCAGGGTGTAGTGCTGGCCCCAGCCCCGTCTCCTGGGGAGCCATTTTTCTTCTCATGAATTTAGGCTGTGGAGGACAGGTATGAGCAGTGACATGGAACTCAGATGACCTAACTTTGGGTCTCAGCTTTGTCACTAACCCGCGGGTGATCCCACAGACTTCTACTCTTCTCTCTCATCTCCTATCAAATAAGAAGCTTTAGAGGTGATGGCTAAGGATTTTGTTCCCCAGTTTGCACTAGACCTTGAGCTTCTTGGGGGCAGGGACCCTCACTTAGTCATTGCTGCAATCCCATCTCTTAAATGATTTCATCTGATCCTGTCTTTATTCTGCCCTGTAAAGGAACCAGGCTCTCTCCTGCCTGGGAAGTGAATACCACCCAGCCACTGAGGATATATTAGCAAATGCAGATTTAGAGCTCTTTTTTTTAAAAAAGAACTAGGAGACATCTATTCATTTGCCTAGCTTGACTTCTTTTGAAGCTCAGCCTGGAATTTCTGCGGTGCTTTCAGACACCTGTGATATTTGGAGAGGTTTTGAAGAGCTGCCAATGAAACTAAATGAGGAAATCAAGTCATTGATTGTGATATGGAGGATGATGGGGACTGAGGTGCCGCGTGGACTCTGGCTGAGTCTGGCACGACAGTTACCTGCTCCTGGGAAATTTGCACGGGGTTTCGGAAAACTGTCCAGAGCACAGTGGGGTTGCAAGGGGGTGTGGTCAGGGACCCCCGGTAGCGGTAATATTCAGCGGTCCTCTCCGGAAGCAGCTCTTCAATGTTGAATCCCGGGACGAATGCTTCCTGGCCTAGAGAGACATGTTGCAGAGGTGATAGTGTCAGCCTCCCTCCGTAGGGCATAAGTGCAGCTGAACAGAGCGACTGAGCCTAGAAACATGAACTAGCCCCTTTCAGGGTCATCTAACCCCAGGACCTGGTTGCAACATTGTTCAACAACCTGCTGCTCTTAACCTGGTGAACACAGACAGCACCTGCCCCTTGTGTTTGCTTTTCTTAAAGTCACACAGGGCTGACTACCTCCTTCTCCAGCAGAGAGTGAATATGCATGCAAGGACCCCTCACCTTTGTACTTTACATGTTGAAGGTGACTGAAGATCTTGTCATAGGACGGATTGAAGGAGCCCATCTGCAACAGAGACAGGGCAGGTTAAACTGGGACAGAACAGGATAGGCTGAGCCAGGATTGACGATTGCTATCAGAAGGGCAAAGCTGTGGGTATGTTGCCACCACTGCCTGAAGGATCCACTTTACTGGACAATTATGATGGATCACTAGGCTCTTGGGAGTTAGTGTAATGGTCCTGCCTCTTGCATCTCAGGACGTCCTGTTTTCAGCTTAAGGAGTTGGGCTTGAATGTCCTGGGGCATAGGGTACCGTGTGTGCTCTTGATGATCCAGATATGAGCCTGAAGGCTTTGACTAACATCCATGTCACACAGAACTTAAGGAGCTCTGAGTTCACAAAAGCCACGTCAGACAAATGAGCATGTTGGGAAATGAGGTACATACAGCCTCATTAGGAAAAAAAAACATGCAAGCCAATCAGAAGACATTCCTCTATCTTGGGATAAAAAAAGAATTCATTCCAGGGTACATATAGAGCAGGGGTGCCCAGCCCCCAGGCTGTGGACCAGTACCGGTCTGTGGCCTGTTAGGAACTGGGCCGCACAGCAGGAGGTGAGCAGCGGGCAAGCAAGCATTACAGCCTGAGCTCCGCCCCCTGTCAAATCAGCAGAGGCCTCCCATTCTCATAGGAGCACAAGCCCTATTGTGAACTGCGCATGCAAGGGATCTAGGCTGTGTATTCCTTACGGAATCTAACTAATGCTTGATGATCTGAGGTGGAACAGTTTCATCCCAAAACCATCTCCCTCCCTGGTCCATGGTCCGTGGAAAAATTGTCTTCTATGAAACTGGTCCCTGGTGCCAAAAAGGTTGGGGACCACTGATCTAGAGGTCCCTTGGATCTAGAGGAGCTTGGATGGCAGGAGTTGTATCAAGAGTTCAGGCATCTGATGGGGCAGATGGAGTTTGATGATCCCTTTCCAGCACAGGTCCTCCCCAACTGGGCAATTCCATGCCTTATGCAACAGGGCTAGATGTTGGGGCCCGTTTTTCCAACGGACCAAAGAACATTCCCCATTTCTGCTGCCCAGGCACAGAAAGTGCTGCCTCCAGGCCAAGAGAGAAGGTGCACTACAGGAGGATACCCCCTGCTCTGGAGTTGACACGGAGTCGATACAGGAACAGCTGATTATCAACAGGTATGCATGGAACAAAAGGTGGAATCCCAATCTCATCCCTGCTTCAAATTTCACCTAAGAACCTTTTAAATATCTCTTACCTCAATGAGAACAGCCAGGACAGCGAGGCCTTCTGACTTGTTGCTGGCAGTGCTGGCGTCAGGATAAAGGTCTGAGTTATAATGGACAATGTGCAGCTGCAGTGGGGGAGAAGCCACCCATTAGGAGATAAGCGACTCATGGGAGCCTGTCGCTTCTGCAGAAGACTTGACTCCAACTGTGAGGACAGAACCCCAGCCCCCTCAGCCCCCCAGACTAGGTTAGGTCTCTCAGACCCTCCCCTTATTTTGCCAAGGATAAGGACATGTGCCCAAGGTGGTCAGGGCATGGCTTGTTTTGATACATTTTAGAGACATAATACATCAATCAATACGTACAAGATACACTGGTTTGATCTGGAAGGGCAGGAAAACTCAAATTGGAGGCTTCCAGGACATAGGTAGATTTAACTTTTTTCTGACTGGCAATCGGTTGAGAGTTATCATCAATAGAAAGGAATGTCTGGGTTCCAATAAGGGGTTGTAGAGACCAAGATTTTATCATGCAGAGGAAGAATACAAGTAGCAGGCTTCAGAGAGAATAGACTGTAAATATTTCTGATCAGACCTAAGGTCTGTGTTGATGTTAATGAATGTGGGCTTTTCCTAAATTCCAAAAGGGAGGAGGGTATAATGGGTCATGTCCAACTCCCTCTTCCCATCATGGCCTGAACTAGTTTTCATGTTAACTTTGGAATGCCCTTGGTCAAGAGGAGAGGTCCATTCAGATGGCAGGTGGGTGGGGTGGGGGGCTTAGAATTTATTTTTGGTTTACACAACCCATGCATTTTTGCTGGTTCTTTGTCCTTGAGACTATGACATATTGAGATTTTAACTCTATTTCTTTTCTCTTTTCATTCATCCTTTTCCATCTCATGTGTTTATAAATACAGTTCAACATATGTTATTGAATACAGCTTAATTTTCCCATTTCGAACTTTAAGTGGCTCCTTCTAACTTAAAAAAAATTATATATCAAATTATTTCTTCTTTTAAGTGGTCCTCTATTAAGGATTTCTTCAGAGCTCCTACTTCACCATCTTCCCCTCAAAGGACTTAGTCTGCCACACTGCCCACACCATCTCGGCCTGGCATCACTTTGAGAAACAGAGCTGAATTCTATATGATTAAAACCCCTGAGGTCCTAAGCCCCTATTTCCTTTTACAGCTGACCTTTGAGCTTGTGGTTTGTCTGTACTTTTCTTATTGTGCTCAGAGGAAGTGAAGACTAATCCAAGCATAAAGGAGCTCCCTGTTGAGGAGATTAAGATAGAAAGAATCTTTTTTTTTTTTTTTTTTTTTAATGGAGTTTCGCTCTTGTTGCCCAGGCTGGAGTGCAATGGCGTGATCTTGGCTCACCGCAACCTCCGCCTCCCAGGTTCAAGCGATTCCCCTGCCTCAGCCTCCCGAGTAGCTAGGATTACAGGCATGTGCCACCAAGCCCGGCTAATTTTGCATTTTTAGTAGAGATGGGGTTTCACCATGTTGGTCAGGCTGGTCTCGAACTCCTGACCTCCGGTGATCCACCCGTCTCAGCCTCCCAAAGTGCTGGGATTATAGGTGTGAGCCAACATGCCCCACCAGAATCTTCTTATATGAACTCCATCCCAAAGAACCACTACACTTCCAAGGTCCTTCCTTAGAGGACCCACTTTAGGGACACCCTGATGCCTTTTCTCTAGTATTGGCATTTATGGTCCATCTTAACCAGACTCTTGGTCTGATGCTGTGACTTAATAGCAGAAAATACAAGAAGTAGAAATATTTTAAAACACATAAACCCTGCCAATCTACACCCTAACCTCCTTTGTGAAAGGAAAATAAATCTCGAGACCCCCAAATCACTAAGCCAAAGAGAAAAGTCAAGCTGGGAGCTGCCTCCCATTCTATTCCTAAATAAGACGGCTACAAAGATAAAAAAGCAACACACCTCACATTTTGCCCACTAGGAAATTCACTGTGGGCCGCAAGGTCTTTACCCTAAAACAGTTCTGTTGAATTTCACCGTGACAATGTAAATGGATAACTTATCTTCATGGGTTCAGGACAAAGGATAGAACTCAAAGTCATCCCTCTGCTCACCTGAGACAAATGCATTTCTAATTGCTTCCTCTGCCCATGTCTGTTTTATTTTGTAAGAATGCAGATTCGCTGAGCTAGATGAATGCACAAGTGACTATTCCTCTACCCCTCTCTCACATGTGAACGGCTGATCAAAAACTCAGAAGAATGCGACCTCTTGCCTCTTACCTCCCCACACCTTTTAAACATTTCTCCCTCTTTCCCCAGTGTCTGCCCTTTCCCCTTTAAATATTGAAGCCCTCAAAATCATCTTTGTAGAAAGGCACAGACTTGTCTCCCTGTCTCCCGGGCATGTGTCCTTAACCTTGGCAAAATAAACTTCTAAATGGATTGAGTCTCAGACACTTTTTGGTTTACACCTTCTTTATTCCCCATGGGGGAAGCAGAAGTCTCAACACTGCAATTAGCCTGGAGGAAATTTCAGTTCTTGAGCTTCAGGGAAGGGCCGCTCTGAAATATGTGAACCTCCAGTGGTACCATCCTATTGAACCAGATCCTATCCCTTCCATGCTTGCAAGTAGACCTATGATTAGTCTGAAACATTAAGCAGTTCAGCAGTTATGACTGGAGGGGAATGGTCTCTATTTACCACGGACTCCCCTGGCTGATCAGTCAGCAGCATTTATCTGCTTGTATTTCCCTGTAAATATTCAGAGCCACACCCCCAGTTCAGGGCTATTGGAGTGCCAAAATGGAGCATCTCAACCCCCTCCTTGCCCCACCCCATCCTGCAATTGCATAGGACAAATGCTCTGCCCGTCTTCTAATTTTCTTTTGGCATTTCGGAGTAGCTTCTCAAGGCAACATGACACGATGCTGTGCTGGCTGACATCTTGTCCCTAGTGAGTCTGCTTGCCGTGATGCCCTGCACATTAGACTGCCAGGTACCCCTAGACTTGTGGCCAGGTAGAAGGGTGGCCCTAGACCCATGTCCCCATGTTCTAAACACAACCCATGCCCAGAGAGGGAAAGATAGCATCAAAATGATGCAAACAGCATGACATATGAAGAAAGGCTGAGAAGTTTGGGGGAGCAGTGAGCCCAGTGTGAGTCAGCAGGAGATTTTTATCTGCACAGATAGGAAGGCAATGTCTAAAAGAAGGGCATGTATGTCCCACTGGGCCACCCTGGGAATACTGCCTCCCCAGCAGCATCACTCAGTAAAAGACACAGGGACAAACTTAGCATGTTCAGGAGAAGAAAGGGACCAGGACAGTGCAGATGAGCTACAGGCTAGTGGAGTGGCTGCGCCCCTTGTGCCAGGGCCAGAGGTGGGGCAGAGAGCCTGAAGGCAGCCTGTCCCATGCTCTGGTGTTATCTGCACAGCAGCCAGGTCGAGAAGGTGCCACACCACCCACTGCAGAGCAGCCTCTGCCAGACTGGCAGCCCTACTTACCTCGGCGGCGAAGTGCTGTCCGCTGACGGTGTGCTCAGAGCCGTGCGGGTCATTCGGGTTCCCCCAGTGCAGGTGCAGCTGCGTGGCACTGTAGCGAGACTGGAGGCCCTGGATGTGCATGTCCGAGGGCAGGTTCAGCTTCACTGCGGGGAGTGGAGGAGCAGCCTTCAGAGCCCCGGCCAGCTGTGCACTGCCAGAGAGCAGTCAGGTAGGCAATGCTCCCTCCACCCCTGCTGCCACCCCCTGGAGCCCAGAGAGAGGCAGGTGGATGGAGTGAGGTGCGGAGCAGAGATGCAGCCTAAAGGTCAGACACCTGGGCTCTTTCCCTGAGAATGTTCCCTTTTCCCCAAAGCAACTCCAGTGGCACCAGCACCTTCTTGGTTCACCTTGGAAAGTGATGCCAGAAACGCTAACACTAGACCAACGGATGGGTGTTTATTTACATATTGATGGATCAGACACCTTTAGTGAAGTACCTTCCAAGCTTTAGAATTATATAGCAACAGCAACGATAACTGCTATTTATGAAGCATTTACTTCACTCTGTATGCCAGACCCCAACGTACATAATCTCCAGTCTTCACGGTATCCATCAATATGTCCATTTCCAGATGGAAGCTCAAGGAGACTAAAATTCTCACCTAGATTCTCATGGCTCGTAAGCAGTCAAGCCAGAGTTCAAATCCAGGTTGGTCTGACTCCAAAGCCTGGGCACCCCCCGCCAAACTGTGTGGTTCCTTGAATCGTTTATGGTCCAGAATTCACTCCAGCTGCACAGCCAATGAACTACAGTGCTCAGGCCGGTCTCCTGCCCCATCCTGAGAGATGTGCTTCTTCTGGGAAGTGCGGCCCTGGCAGGATCCTCAGAGCCCAGAGCCTCCAGCATCCCCTGGAGAGAGTGCTCCTGGAATCTCTCAAAGACACCCCCGCCCCGCCCCACCCCTCCTCCTGGATGCTTCCACGGAACACCTCCCTGCCAGATGGAAAAGGACAGGCCTGGCAGCTGAGGGAGACTCAGACATACCCCTCAGGTCTCCAAGGCCTCTCCCTCACCTGAATGGCCATTGTTGGTCAGGAGAAACTGCTTGTTGGCAGACAGATTGTAGCCTTGGAACTCGAGGGGCGTGAGGCTGGCGTCATACTGGAGGATGTCACTGTGCAGGTCTATGGGGGACTGCAGCAGGCCCCCACACGACGGGTACTTCTTGGACCAGCTATTCTCCCCATCAGGACCTGGACACAGAGATCCATGCTCAAGATTTAGAGTTTCTCACAAAGGGATTTTCCTTATCTTCTAATTCTCTGTTCAATACAATTACTCCTTTTCTCCTCTTTTCTGAATCCCCGGAGGTAAATCTTCAAGGCTCAGAGTCTTGGCCTCCAGAATCAGGTCCAGCAACCACTCAGGACCACCTGCTCTTAAGTGATGTGGGGAAAGAAGGACTAGGGCTGCACAGGCCAGAGCCAGAAGGCCACCGAACTCTGCTTTATTTTGTACATTGTTCCTGTTTGACACACACGTCAAGACCTGTTGACTTTCAGCAATTCAGCATCTGCTTAGCCAGTACCTATTATGAGCCAGGAATTACTCTGGGTCTTGGGGCTGCCAGGTTGAATACAATAGAGCCCCTGCTCATCCAAGCTGGCATTCTAGCGGGGAAGAATTTAGCAAATCTGCGGGGCCACCCCAGGTGGGAAAAATTAGTGTCTTACTGACCACAGTGCCAAGTATTATCTTGGTGCAAAAATAATTGCGGTTTTTGCCATTCCTTTCAGGCAAAAACCACAACTGCTTTTGCACCAACCTAAATAGGTCTTTGTGGCTGCTGGCTTTGCAAGTATGACCTTCCTGAAGAGAAACCCCTGAGGACATTGACTCTTGATACCCACATTTAGAGTAACTATAGAACCCAATCTGATAGGGATGATTGACAAATGTTAAATAATTATAGGCCTGGAATCACAGAGTGAAGTGCAGAGTTTAAGCTGGAAAAAAATATGACCACACTATAAACTAATTATTACAATATAATTGACACACTATCAGTGAAGAGGAACAGACTTTAAAAAAAGAAATTCCTCCAGGGCTCAAGCTTCTTGCTAACTACCAGATAGCAGTTCCTCCCCTGGAAATGAAAATAAACATGCTATGTGCAGATGAACTTTCCTACTCCCACAGGGAAAAAGTCTTTAAAGAATGTAAATCTATGTTTAAAAGATTATCTCCACGGTAATTAAACAGACTTTCAGGCCAAGGTTTCTCCAGAAAAGCAAAGAATTGGCATGTCATGGCTCGTTAGGGTAGACCCAGGGTGTCCTGTGGGCTCTATCAGAGCTGGGGATCAAGCTTTGCCATCTGGGGGTCCGTTCATCAGTATTTCAACACAAGGAAGGTGGGTAAATAGAGAAAAGGGGAAAGGAACACCACCTCTTCTGGGAATTCTTCTGTAGACCCCTGCACTGTTTCACAAGGGTGTAAATGTTATATTGGCCCCACAGAATCCCAACCCCCTACATCGTGCTCTCTAACTAGGGGACCGTATCTGAGAGTGGGAAGAATCCGAAGTGATACTTGGTACCCAGGTTCATTTCAAATGCTATGAGGCGTTGGTCCCAGGCTTAGTTAGTTCTTACTTCTAGGTCCGGACACACACATCGGAACCCTACTGATTTTTCAGGCTGTCAACCTTAGGCTATGCATTTTCAGAAATGTTACAGCATGACGGAATTGCAGAATCTCCAGTCCAACCTTTCACTGGACACCAGTCTTCTCACTTGGGCATGGCAGAGTCTCCGCTGAGCTCTACTATTCTTATTTTCAAGGCCTCAAAATAACTCAACTACACCAAGATGGTGACTAGGGAAGAGGGAGGCTGGAGGATATCAAAGCAGGCACTCCAGGGCCAAACTGGAGTAAGACAATTATTCAGCTGGGGGCCAAACCGAATGCTTTAGGGGCAGCGGGGAGCAGAATGAAGCAACCGTGAGGCCTCATGTAGAACCCCAGGGTCAGGAAGAGACACAGCACAGGGTAAGACTCCCTAAGTGAGGCTGCCAGCCTTTTCTGTGCTCACAATACTGCCTGGGCCCACAGCCAGCAGGGCGGAAGCTGCCAGCCAGGCATGAATGCAAAAAACTCAGGAAGTAAAGAGATGCATCATTGAGAAGCTTTCTCTTTGCACACATGACTAAAGGGAACTGGATTAGAAGGGTTTTCTTTTCCCACAGTGGAGGTTCAAAAAGGTTTCATCAAGAGGGCATTTTACTGATAGCTAAACGAGAGCCTCGTGAAGATAGGGACCCCTCATCTTCGTCTCTGTGAACCCATATTATAAGTAGGGTCACGTGCCCCCATGGGCATTTAGGAAACATTTTCCCAAAGAGTGAAAAAGAACAGAGGGCTTGGGAAAATGTGACTTGGGGAATGTTTCCTTTTTCTCTTGCTCTAAATACGCTTTATTGGAAGTTAGGACCAAATAAGGTATTTGGGGGGCAGGAAAGACTAAGGATATTAAAGGCAGTAGAGTTGGTGTTGGCAAAACCTGTCTTGGAAAGAGAAGCAGCTATGTTGGACCAGGGGAGTCCAGAGAATGAGATTCCAGCATCAGCTGTCCCAACACTTCAGTGGGTTATGTTCCCTGCTGGAGCCTCCATTGCCCTTCGTGCAAATGGTGGGGGTGGTGGGCGTAGTGGTGGGGATGGGATGTGTGTGGAAGCTATGTTCTGGAAGGTTCCTTCTGGCTCTTAAGCTCTGATATTTATTAAGAATACTAGGACTAAGCACCTTCTCCATCTGTCAGGCAAATTTGAATGAGTCAGAAAGGTTGCTCATGTCAAGGCAGCTACTGGGCATGTGACAAGGTGCCCAGGGGAACCAGCTTCGGGAATGAGGGCACAGGGCACCGGTGCTCCAGGACTGGCTGGGATCAGACAGCCATCTGCATCAGGAACCTGCCCTGGTCCTGGCTGCCATCCACAGCGGAGTTCGTCCTTGGGCACCAGTCACAGGTCTGTAGGTCAGCAAGGTCAAGAAAGCCTTGTCTTCGCCTCCTCCTCCTCCTCCTCATTGTTATTATATTGTAGTAGCTTTGATCCTTATAACTCTATAACCTTACGGGGTAAGCAAGGCAGAATTGCACCATTTTATGGGTGAAAAATAGAGATTTAAGAGATTTGCCGGAAGTTTGACTTTGGCTAAGTAACAGTTACTTTGCTTGGGTCACAGGACTTATGTGTCCTTCAGTATTTATCCAGGAGATTTTGTGCACCTGGAATTTCCTGGCTTCCCCACGCTGTCCTTGAAGACAAGGACCACGGCTCATCCATCGCTGCACTTCCCACAGTGCCTGGCACAGAGTGGGCCCTCACATGTTTACTAAGCTGAACTCTCAACACCTGTTTCATGCTTGTTCCTTTCCCAGGGAACGTGCACCCACCTTAATTCCCTCATGTATTTCTTCTCCTCAAAAAAGAGGAGGAAAAATGAGATCACTTGCTCAGGTTCAAAATGTACCCTCCTAGCTTTCTAGCTTACCTGTGTGCAAATGGTTTCTGTTTGGGGGCACTAATTGAAAAAGAAATCTGATTTCTGCCCTGTAGCCTGGGAGACGGCCTGCCAAGGAAGTTCATAGGGCCCTCCCCCAGCATGTAATGGCTAGTGGGTGTCCCCGCCTTGCATAGCTGGGGACACTGTCAGAGCAGCCTCCTGTCTTTGTGGCATGTGAGAGATAGAGGTGCCATGAGGGTGGGCACCGGGACAACCAATATCAGAGGTGACAACAGCAGGCCTTTCTGTTCCCTGAGCTGTGACATGTGACTGCACAGTGCTGGCCTTATGCTGGCCGCTACACCCTGGGCTACCATTTTCCAACTCAGTGTCAGCTTTCACACTCATGCCAAGTGCTCCACTGCCAGAAATCCTCCACTGGGAGTGACTCTCCTAAAAGAAGCATTTATTTCCAGCTAAAACTTTGCCTTTGCTCTTCTGAGTTTTGACTTCGCCTCTCCAGTTGGTTGGACTCCTCCCATGATCGTGATACAGGAGGATCACGTGTCTTTCACAGTTTGTTTTTCTAAATAAAGCCAAGGCATTATTTCTTTCCTGTCTATGTGTTTTTCCTGCTCTAGGCAAAACAGAAGTGGTCAGAATTCCTGTTTCGAAAGGTAACAAGAGATTAACATGGCACAGCTCAAAATGCCTCTCGTGATTTCTGATTGGGAATTTTGAGGCCCAGGGTGTAGGACCTGCATTATCCAAGGACCAGAATGTTTTTACAGAAAATTTCAAATGTATACAATGTAGAGAGAGGAGTGGAATGAACCCCATGTCACCCAGCTTGGACAGTTTACAATTCAGAAACAGTCCTGCCTCATCTATGCTAAGCCCATTCTCCCCTTATCTACCTGGATAACTGGAAACAAATCCAGATATATTTCATCTGTATATATTTCATATGTTTCTCTAAAACATAAGGGCTCTTAAAACCACAGTACCATGACCACACCTAGAGAGTTAAGAATTAATACCTTAAGATTACCGAATCCAATTAGAATTCAAATTTTTCCAAATAGGTCATAAATTTTTAACAGTTTGTAAATTTCAGGGTTCACATACAGTCCATATATTTTTTGCAATATTGCAATTAGAGGATGTGTTATGGCCTAGATTACAGCTTGATGGTGGAATGCCTCATCAGAGAACACCTGGGCCCCGCTCCTCCAAGGCTCAACATCTCAGAGCCAGCTTGGTCTATCCTTTGCCCTTAGTGGGTCATGGACTCCCATGCTTCCATGGGTTAGGCCCTCGCCATGTCACACTGCAAAGGCTTCCCACAGGCAACCAGCCCCAGCCTTCCTTGTTACACTGCCAGGCTGGCTCTCCTGCAGTAACCAGATCAATCTTGTCATAGCCTGGCTTGGGTGGCACCACCCCACCACCCATCCGTACACTCCCTTTCTCCCTAGCATGCCCTGCCCCACCCCAACAAGACAAAGCACAGCCTAGCTGTTTTTCATGGCCTTGAAGTGCCCCAACCTGTCAAAGTCTTCAAAGGCCCCCACATCCCGCCCCAGCCTGCCCCATGCTTCAGCCAGCTCCCTGAGCCTAAGAACAGGCTATGCCAACCCACCTTCACAAATGCCGTTATGAAAAAATCTGCTCAAATGCCCTCTTCTTTCCTCTGCACCTTTCCAAATTTCGTCCACTCTTCAAAGTCCAGCTCAGGTCCTGCCAAAGCTACCCCAGTGCTTTCTAGTCCCTGACTTGAACTTCTCGGCCAGCCTACTCGGGTTGTGCACACTAGCAAGCAGTGATGATTGTTAGCCTGCCTCACCTGTGACTGTTAGAGCCAGACTAGTACAGAAACTTATTACAGACTAGAGCTCAGAATATGAGTTTCAAAGACCTTTGGAAGACCAGAACTTTATGTCATATCCCTACTTATGTCTGAACACATCCTTGAATGGATGTGGAGGGTTTTTTTAAGCTCATTTCAGAAATTTAGCCATAAAGGGATGAGAGAAGGGTGTATGCGTGGTGGTTATGGTAAGGTGAGGGTAATGTGAAAGATTTTGTTTTTTGTTTCTGTTTTTGTTTTTGAGACTGAGTCTTGCTCTGTCACCAAGGCTGGAGTGCAGTGGTGCAATCTCAGCTCACTGCAACCTCCGCCTCCCAGGTTCAAGCAATTCTTCTGCCTCAGCCTCCCAAGTAGCTGGGATTACAGGTGCGTGCCTCCACGCCCAGCTAATTTTTTATATTTTTAGTCGACATGGGGTTTCGCCATGTTGGCCAGGCTGGTCTCAGACTCCTGACCTAAAGCGATCCACCTGCCTTGGCCTCCCAAAGTGCTGGGAATACAGGCGCGAGCCACCGCACCCAGCCTGTGTTTTTGTTTTTTATGAAGAGGCTTGAGCAAACTGCTATGCAGACGGCAAAAGAGACCAGAGAAGGAAGGTTGGAGACAGAAGAAAGAGGGGCTCACTGATGAAAGGTAGCCATGAGAAGACAGTGGGGGGATCCAGGCACCAGAGTCAACATTAATTCTGCCCCATGACACTTCTTGGAGGTCATACTCTGAGGTGGACCCCCCTGTGTCTGTGTCAGTGCTCACTGCAGGCAGCTTCCTGGAGAACCTGCCTGGGCCCAAGCTCCAGGGTACATCTCTTTGGGCCGGCTACCAACACGCAGTCAGATCAAAACTTGCCCCAAAGGATACCACTGTAGTGGCAAAGTTTACACATTCTAGATGATGACACGCCCTTTTTCAACAAATAGGCACAATTTCAGGACAATGATAGCTTTTGGTTAGTCCCTCAAAGTTTGTTTTGTAAGGAGGTCTGACCATAATGAAAGGCATGTGTATCTATATGAAAATGATCAAAAATTATGTACCAAATTTGAATACACATTTAATAAGATGGATTGTATTTGCAATAAAAAACGAGTACTCAAATGTTGAATGAAGGAGAAAAATCTCTAAATGCTCTCCTTCTTGGAGTGCAATTTAATTTTGGAGTTAATGCATTCATTTCTTCAACAAATGTGTCTAGTATGTGTCAGGCACTGTACTAGGTGCTGAAGATGCAATGGAGAACAAAACAGCTCTAGTCTCTGACCTTGCGGCACTCACAGACCAGTGTAAGAGACTGATAATAAATAACAAGTAAACCAATGCACAAGGAAATAATTGCAATCTGCAATGAGCGCTGCAAAGGAATTAAACGAGGGCTGCAACAGAAAAATGGAGGGATCCCTGTCAAGCAGATGATGCAGGCAGGCTTCCCAGAGGAGGCGCCGTTAAAGCTGAGATTTAAAGGACAAGTAGAACCAACCATGAGTGAAACGTGAGGAATGGCGTTCACTAGAGAGGGCCCAGCAAGCTCAGAGGCCCCGCTGCAGTGGAGAGGCTGGTATATTCTAGGGATGTGTGATGCATTGACTCAGAAAGAGTCTGGGATCCATCCGGCCTCCCTTTGCCAGGTCTGGGTCCTGCCCTGTGCCAAGGCTGAGCTAGGATCATTTGACACCTGCTTGTGTACATTCCTCCATCTGTTAGAAAGGTCTTCCTGTTGGGAGGCTAGTACCTGCCTCTCTCTGGGGGTCATCCAACAGTCCCGCTCTTGTGGCTAGAGCCACAGAGAACACAGCTAAGCCACAGGACTCAGAGGGGACCGCAGACTTCATGTCCCCTCTAAATCCATCTGGAAACCAGACATCCTCAGGATGGTGTCTGCATGTAAAAGCCATTTTTTTAAAGAGATGGGGTCTTGCTATATTGCCCAGGCTGGTCTCAGACTCCTGGGCTGAAATGATCCTCCTGCCTCAGCCTCCCAAAGTGCTGGGATTATAGATGTGAGCCACTGCACCCAGCCTAGAAGCTACATTTTAAAAACATGTTTAAAATATATTTATAGGTCCTGCAGTTCACTTCTGAAGCTGATTAAAATATCTATGTCTTCTCATAAAAACCCAGTGGGTTCAGCCAGTCAGTAGTGTGGTTCCCACAGCATCACCTTGGTAAGAGGTTGACCCACCGCACAGAAGGCCACAACCTGCTGAATTCTACCTGTTTTCCTGCTGGGTAGGCGGAGAGGCACAGTCATAAACCCCAATGTCCTGCCCAGAAGGAAAGGAGGTGACCAAGGACATGGGTTAATAATTGATGGATGAGGTCTTATGATGTTATTATGTACAAACAGAGGGCGAGGAATCAAACTAGCGTTAGAGTTTTCCTTTGTCAGTATCACCACTGAATCAGAGGTGGTCCCGGGACAGTGAGGGAGGGCTAGAAGGGGAGGGTTACTTGTTATGAATAAAGCTCAAAGCTGGACTTGCCATAGCAGGCCAACTCTTTTTCTTGGATTTTACATTATAGATCAATAAAAATAAACACATTTTCTAAAGATGCTTTAATCCATACTTTGCATCAAACTTTTGTCTAATTTTTGTTTGGGTCAGCTGGAGACGGAGGGTTGAGACTTGGGCTTGGTAAATCCCCCCAAATCTCCCCTTGGGGAGGCAGGAGGATCAGTTGAGCCCAGGAGTTTGAGACAAGCCTGGGCAACATAGCAAGACCCCATCTCTAAACAACAAAAAAAGTGGCTTCTACATGCAGACACCATCCTGAGGATGTCTGATTTCCAGATGGATTTAGAGGGGACATGAAGGCTGCTGTTCCCTCTGAGTCTTGTGGCTTAGCTGTGTTCTCTGTGGCTCTAGTCACAGGGGCAGGACTGATGGATGTATTAACACAGAGAGAGATGGGAATCATTTCCCATCCAGCCATGGTGGTGGGGGCCAGGAGTGCAGGCTGGAGGCCAGAAGAGGTGAACCATAAGGCTGGGGCTGCCAGCTCAGCCCTCCACCCACCCTCAGGAAGTCCTTCTCCTCCACCCCGCCAATAATCCCCGTCTAATATTGCTGGGTGGGGGATGAGGCGGGGACAAAAAGGCTCCGCAGTCATTTACACACTGGTGTCAAGGCCTGCATCAGGTTCCTTCTGGAGATGAGGTTTATTACAGGGAGGCGGGTGGGGTTTCCAGGCTGCCAAAGGTAAAGGGTGACGATCTGTTTGCTTTTGCTTCTCCATTTCTAACCTCCTCTTAGGTTCTCATGACCTGTGACCTTAGAGTATGTTCATCGTGGAGAGGCTCTGCCCACCTCTCTCTGGACTTTTCTGTGTCTGCTCCCACCCCTCCTTTTCGTTCCAGCAGCGCTGAGCTGCTTGCATCCTGCAGACACACCAAGCTGCTTCACATCTCCCTGAAACACCCTCCCCTCGCTGGGGCAGGGCAAAGGGTTTCCCCCTCTTCTGTGCTCCTATACAGCCTTTGCATTTCTCTTCCTTGCAGCAGCCACACTGATCAAAGCAATATTGTCTGCCTTTCCACCCCAGTAGTCCAGTGGTTCTCAAAGCGTGGCTCCAGACAAGCATTATCATCACCGCCTAGGAACTCATTCAAAATGCAGAGTCTCGGGCCCCACCCCAGGCCTACCGAACCGGACACTCTGGGGGTGGCGCCCAGCATCTGCCGTTGGACAAGGCTGCCAGGCGATGCTGCTGCGGGCTGAGGCTGAGAAGCGCTGCACTAGACTGTCAGCTCGCTTTCTGCATGCGTGTACACCTGGCTCCTGCTGCAGAGCCTGGCACACTGAAGTGTTCAACAAACAGCTCTTGAACTAAGCAACAAACAACAGCAAACCACTAAGTTAAACAAACTGCTGACATGCTAACAACCTAACCCCTATCATGAAAACTAGCCAGGCCTGAGCCCCCCATCAGTGCTCACCACATGTTATCCTCCTTCATCTTCCTTGGCCCATTCATGTGAGGAATCGTGCTAGATGTGAAAGTGTTAAGTCCACAGCCCTGTAGCCACCGCCCTCGCAAGACATCCTGCTCTGTCTTTCTTAAACATAATATTCAAATAGGGGGCTCCAGGCTCAGGCAACGACTGGTAACCATCTCTGAACAGAAAGGACTACAGATACCGTCTTTTTCATGCACTGTTATATGCATAACATTTACATGATTAAATATGGTGTTTGAAGTAATTTTTATTCAGTGTTGACCATCAGAAACATGGTCATGTTTCTAACCATGTTTTCATGGCTTAATCTCTTTTTAAAAATTGTCGGCCGGGCACGGTGGCTCACGCCTGTAATCCCAGCACTTTGGGAGGCCAAGGAGGGCAGATCACCTGAGGCCAGGAGTTGGAGACCAGCCTGGCCAACATGGTGAAACCCCGTCTGTACTAAAAATACAAAAAATAGCTGGGCATGGTGGCATACGCCTGTAGTCCCAGCTACTCGGGAGGCTGAGGCAGGAGAATCGCTTAAATCCAGGAGATGGAGGTTGCCGTAAGCTGAGACTGCGCCACTGCACTCCGGCCTGGGTGACAGAGCATCTCAAATAAAAAATTAAAAATTGTAGTAAAATATACATAACAGAGCTTTTTCATTATCTCAAACATTTATTGTTGGTGGGAACATCAAATAGTTTGGCGGTGCCTTAAAACGTTAAGATAGAATTACCATATAATACCAGCAATTCTTTTTTTTTTTTGAGACAGAGTCTCTCGCTCTGTTGCCCAAGCTGGAATGCAGTAGCGTGATCTCGCTCACTGCAACCTCTGCCTCCTGGGTTCAAGCGATTCTCGTGCCTCAGCCTCTCACGTAGCTGGGATTACAGATGCACATCACCACACCCAGCTAATTTTTGTATTTTTAATAGAAATGGGGTTTCACCAGTCTCGATCTCCTGACTTCAAGTGATCCACCCACCTTGGCCTCCCAAAGTGCTGGGATTACAGGTGTGAGCCAACACGCCTGGCCTGATCCAGTAATTCTAATCCTAGATATAGATCCCAAAGTATTAAAAGCAGGGATTCAAAGAGATACCTGTACACCTGTGTTCATAGCAGCATTATTTATATTAGTCAAAAGGTGGAAATAAGTCAATTGTCCATCAACAGATGCATGGATAAACAAAATGTGGCACAGACATACAATGGAATATTGTTTAGCCGTAAAAAGGCTGATCTCATTTTAATGTACCATTTCTTTTCCAAGAATCTAACCCACCAGATGCTTGAGAGGAGCTGGGATAGGTCTTTTTATTTTCACGGCACCCTTTATGGAACCAAACGTATGGCAGATGCTCAATGAATACTCACTGGTTGAGAAAAACTCTGTAGTTTACTTGGCCTAGACTTGAATAGTGGTTGCCAGAACTTGAGTGCACAATCAGAATCTCCTAGAGGGCTTGTTCCCACACAGACTGCTGGGCCACACCCTCAGAGTTTCTGATTCAGTACTTCACGGACGGAGCCCTAGCATCTGCATTTCTAACACATTCCCAGGTGATGCTGCTGCTGCTGGGTCCAGGAACCACATTTGGAGAATCCCCAGCCCAGAGCCATATTTCTCAACCATGGCTACATAGTGGAATCTCCAAGAGCTCCTGATTTTGCTCCCAGCCCCAGTCCCTGAGATCAGGATTAATTGGTCTTGGTGTTGAGGTGGGAGGTGCTTTAAAAAACTGCTCACATGATTCTCATGGGCAGCCAAAGTAGGGAAGAGCTGCTGTGAAACCCTCATCACACTGAAGGCCTTGTGGTTCTTGTGAGCAGAGTCAGGGCCTTTTTCTCTCTGGTCTCAGGGTGAAGTTGCTTTCTTTCTTTCTTTTTTTTTTAAATTAATTTTTTGTTGTGGTAAAATACATAGAGCATAAAACTACCATTAGTAAAATTTAGTATATTCACGATGTTGTGCAACCATTACCCCTACTTAGATCCAGAACATTTCAATATTCCAAAGGAAACCTCATACCTGTGAAGCAGTCACCTCCCACTCTCCCTGCTCTCAGCACCGGGCAACCACTAATCTGCTCTCTGCCTCCATGGATTTGCCTCTTCCGGATAGTTCATATAAACAGAATCATACAATATGTGGTCAATTGCAGGTGGCTTCTTTCATCTGGCATAATGTTTCCAAGGTTCATCCATGTTGTAGCATTCCTTCCTATGCAATAAAAAGGGCCTTCATGCCTTTTTATGATGGCATAATATCCCATTCTATGGATATATCACAATTTGGTTATTCATTCATAGGACTGCATTTTATTGTAGTTTAAATATTTGACTCTAGTTAAATTGCTATGGATTCTCTTGTGTAAAATAGTTATTGACCGAAATAAAATGTTGGTGTTTCTCCTGTTTGAGTTTTAGAAAATAAGCTGTGCAGAGTGCTGCAAGGCAGCTGGAAGGAAAGGAAGATGGAGAAAATACAGCCTGGTTTCCAGAAAATGAGGGCCTGGGGTCAACAAGGCTATTATTTGTGACAAGCTCTTGAGTGAAAAGAGAAAACTTCAAATGATCATGATCATAAAGCCATATTCCACACAGGGTGATGTAGCAATGTTCCCCGGCACTCACGGGAAACCAGTGGGAGAGCGAATACTGTGGGCAGAGGCTGCTTTTGTGACAGGCTCCTTTCCTGGCAGAGAGAGACTTGAAAATGTCACAGGTGCTTTTCATCACTGGTACAGCTGTCTCCCCTGGCTGACAAAAAAATGCTCCCTCTCCCCATCCGCCTTCCCAGCACTCATCTTTGTGAAGAGTGTGAAGCGGTAGGTGAGAAGCCATGACTTGATTTGGCATTTAGACAGCAGGCCGGGGGAAATCGGGGTATCTAATTTGAATGTGACCTTGAACTAACTCTGAGCTGTGGACATCCAATGTTTACTTCCTCAGGCGAGTACCCCTTTTTGCCCCTGACCTGATTACTCTTGTCTCCTCGGCCGAGCATCTTCAAAGAACTGTGTGCATACCCGCATCTGTGTCTTTACTTCCCATTCAGACCTCCCTGCTCTTCCACGCCCATGTCCCACTGAGTCCACACAGACTCTTCGGCCCTCGCACTTCATGCAGCCCTTGACCCTGGTGGCACTAACCCCCCACTCCTGATTTCTGAACCCTCTGTTTCTGGGGACACTGCTTTGTTGAATTGTCCTCCCGTTTCCCTGCCCTTTCTCAGATCTCTGTGGCCACTTGCCCCTCAATGTCAGCTGTCACGGTGGTTTTGTTGTTGGCCCCTTCTCCTTCTTACAGACACACTCCCCTGGGGTGAAGCTGTCCCCTCCCATGGCTTCAACACCAGCTCTGCCCCTGCCCAGTTTTCCTCTGAGCTCCAGACCACCTGCCTGCTGGCTACCCCCTTTGGATAATCCATGGGATCCTAAAACCAGATGTGGCTGGAAGGGGACTCAGGCTAGCAAATCATTTTTAAAAATAACCAAACTCACCATCTTTTCCTCCCCCTTCCTCCCTCCAAAGCTCCCCCCAACCCTCTATGTCAGCTGGTAATACCAGCCACCACACCAAATGCCTGGCGATCACAACTGACTCGTTCCTCTCCTCTCCTTCAACCCTCACTTCCAGCCATCACCTAGAATCACCAGTTGTTAACATTTTGCACACTTGCTTTCTCTCACACCCTCTACTGTGTATATGTACCTTAACCCTAACCATATATATGTACACACACACACACATACACACACACAAATATATATACACATGCAACCTCACTCCCGTCATGAGAAACCCTCAGACAAATAAAAATCGAGGGACATTCTCTAAGATCTATATGCTATATGCTACAAGGTCCGTTCTACATGCTTCAGAAATGTCAAGGGCATAAAAGGTCTAAAGAGATACCACAGATAAATGCTATCTGGATTGAATCCTGGATCAGAAAAAAAATGCTATCAAGGATAGTATGAAGTTTGTTTTAAACTTGACCGCCACTCTCCCAACTGGCACAGCCCTTGTTCAGACCACTTGCCCCACAGCTGTACCCCTCATTGGCCGTGTTTCTCCAGGCTCACCCTCCAGCTCTCCACTCTCCACAACAGTGCACACCAGATCCAGACAGTTCTCTGCTGAAAGTTCTTCAGTGGCTCCTTGAGATAAATATCAAGCTCTGTCATGTAGCACACAAGACCTTCACAATCCCACTCACTTCTCCAGGCTTTGCTTTCCCCACTCATCACCTGTCCAAAAGTGTGGAGGGTCAGAGCTTTTATCCTGCTTGCAAGTTAACAAGTTAGTCTGCCAGTTTCATGGATATCGGCAGAAGACATGAGATGCCTGGGTCAGAGACAAGGGACAGTTTAATACTCACAGCAGTAGCCAGAGTAACGTTTGCACCTGTTTCCCCAGCCCCAGTTCCACAGAATGATATGTGGACCAAGTGACACTGGCATATGCAAACTGCTCAGCATCATTGGCTGAGGAACTCAAGGCTTGGGAAACCTCATTCTTTTAAAGGGGGCGGCTAGCAAACCTGTCCAACATTTACCTCTGAAAGGAGACGTGATCTTTATTATGCTGACAGCAAATAAATCACTCTTTGCCCTGCAGGGAGATATTGTCACTATCATCTAAGACTGTTTGTTACATAAACGTCCTTTAAAAGCAAGTCTGGAACAAAACCTGTCTAGTGTCTCTGTTCACAGATATGCTGAAACATGAAAGACCCATGGAGAACTGTCTCCCAACACTACCCCTCAAACATTAGGCTACTGAGTCTCTAATTGTGCCACGTGCTCTCGCCTGCTTTTTAGGGCCTCTGTTGCCTGCAATGGGATGCCATCCTCATCCCTAAAACACTCACCACCCATGCACATAAATACTCACATATTCTCCTTGCCCTGCTAACTCCTGTGTGTTTCCAGAATTAGCTCCTCAGGCAAGCCTTTGCTGACAGACGCACATGCCCCCGAATTGAGGTTATTTGTCCCCTCTGTGTTCCACAACACCAGCACACGTCATCATAGCACTTAGTGTGCTTCATTGTAATTACCTGCTTATATGTCTACCTCCCCCTCACCTACCAGCCCATTGAAGGTAAGGGCTCTGTCTCTGGTTCCCTGTGACCAGCCCACAAAGGGATTCATTAAAGACTGGAGGGGAGAATAAGCGAATCGGTGAATAAACTATTATTTTAAAGCTGTCAACAGTTTCTTCCTGACACTTGAGGTGGCATCGGATGTAAATACAGTGAAGCTGGAAAGCTAGCATGGGGCCAGGGGTGGGGGGATTCATAAGCATCTTCCACACTCTGGGGCAGGCCGTCTCTGGGCTGTGGAAGGTAGCTCTTTGATAGACCCTCTTACCTACACAGATGTGAGGCAGGGAGCTGCCCAGTGGAAGTGTAGCCCCCAACGGAGCAGTCCAGATGCTGCTGCTTCGAGGTGAGATGCTCTGTTTAATGATACAATAATACAAACTGGAGGCATCTTTAGCAGTTTGTGCCTTTGCAAAGAACACTGTTTTTCAAAGGATGAAGTTAAGCCATCCTAGACCGGGTTGCTGTTGCCCCACCTGTGATGTTATTTTAGACTAAGCCAGTGATTTTCAACTGGGGCGATTTTGCCCTTCAGGGGACATTGGCAATGTCTGAAGACATTTTCAGCTGTCACAACTTGGGGGGGTGCTACTAGCATCTAGTGGGCAGAGGCCAGGGAATCTGCTAAGGATCCTGCAATGTGCAGGACAGTCCTGCACAACAGAGAGTTATCCTGCCCAAAATATCCACAGGGAAGAGACTGGAAGGTCGAGACTGGACTATTGTAATTGTCCCCTCAGGGCCGTGAGGAAAGAGGAACCAGAGCATGCCCCACAGCGGAGGTTGATCTTGATGGAGTTGGCTGCTCTCCCTGTCAGTCGTTCTCTGGGGCAGGAAAGAGTGGTGGGAGAACACAGTCAGGAGGGACTCCAGTCCATGGGACACAGCATGATGGCAGCACCTCCTGGCATTGAGGAGGCAGGAAGAGATCACCACCCTCAGGGAGCACTGATCACACAAACAGCTGTGTTAGATGTTCCTTTTAGGTTGTCATTGTCTAAGCATTCATCATAGGACCTCATTCAAATTTTGTTAAACTCAAGAACTAGTGAGGCTTCTTTCCCTTTTCTTTGTTTAAGCTACCATTTAATGAGCACTTTCTATGTGCCAGGCATCATTCTATATCAGGGGTTGGCTAACTTTTTCTGCAAAAGGCCAGAGAGTAAGTTTTTGAAGCTTTGCGGGCCCTGTGGTTTCTGTCACTACCAGCTCTGCTATTGTAGCCCAAAAGCAGTCACAGAGAATATGCAAACAAATGAATGTAGCTGTGTTCCAAAGAAATTTATTTATAAAACAGGTGTTGGGCTGGACTTGACCCATGGGCCACAGTTTGTCAACTGCCATTCTGTAAGCTTAACATGTGTTAATTACTGCAATCTGAATAACAATGCTATGATATAGACACTGTGTTCCTTTTAATAGACAAAGGAACCCAGGCACAGAAGGATTGACTAATATGACCAAAGTCACACTGCCAGTGAGTAGCAAGCCTGAGCTCTGAACCATGACAGTTCACATCTTCCACGACAGCAGCTTCTCAATGCTCTTTGGAGGGACCAGAGCCCAGGCAGTAGCAACGGCTATGAGGTGGTGAGACGTGACCAGCAGATAAGCCCTGGGCAATGGTCCAGAGCTGGAGGGAGTGGAGAACTAGCCATTTGTGACTTTGTGAACAATCCCTGGGGAGTCTGGAAATTACCCAAAGAGGGGATCTGATAAAAGACAGAAACTTCCTGAAGTTCCCCAGGATGAAGCCTGAACTAAAGTGAAGATTGGCCGCTGGACGTTGACCTGATGCTGGCTCAATGTTTCACGTAACAGCTTTCACAATAAGGATGTTCTTTCTGATATCTTACCTATAGCACTCTTGCTATTATTTAAAGTTTTCCTTTATAGTAAAAAAACCACGAAAACAAAAATCTTTTGCTTTTTCATAGTTCTTCTTAAACCTGAAGACCTTCATCCTGGCTACTTCTGTCTCTTCTCTAGAGATGCGTGAAGTATAGTGGGAAGGTCGAGGGCTTTGGAGGCATTCGACCAACCTGCCAATCACAGCTCTGCCACCGACTAGCTATGTGACCTAGGGCACATTTCTTTGCTTCTCTGGGCTTCACTTACAAAATGGAAGTGGCAGTACCTATCTCACCGGGTGCTGTGCTGTGAGGAATCACTGCGTAAGAGCCATGTCTAGACAAGGTAGACTCTTACGCACGCTGGGTCCCAGGCCCTCCTGAGTTGATTTGTCTCAGTTCTTTCTTTTTTTCTTAGGGGCTGGTTTCCAACCTTTTAGAGCAACTTCTCTCTTTCACTTCACCAAAAACAAATCTAAGGTTTCCTACATGTCTCCTTTTACTTCTAATGAGATGCACATGGTGATGTGGCATTTCCTTTCAGGCCAGTTTCACCTCTGAAATCCGACCATCCCAGATCAATGTCACCTTCTCTCTGGTGCCTTCCCTGAGTCCCAGAGCCAAAAATTAATAGAGAAATAACCCATTCTTTCCTCAATCATCAACAAGTGTTTCCTGAGCACCTCCCCTGGGCCAGGCTATGTGCATCTATCTGCCTATGCAGCTGCTGTGGAGACGCTGACCCCTAAGCTGTGCAGACACACCCTCCTTCTAGATAACTCTTCTTGAGGGTAAAAATGGCTCCTTGGTCACCCTCTGTTCCTCTTGGAAGTCCTAGAACACTGCTGTGCATGCAGCAGGCTCAAGCTCAAAAGCCACCATTGATTAAACAATTCAGCAGTGATAATTTGACAAGTGATAATCAGCCTTTGCAGGAAAGCCAACACCTGATTATTAACCCAAGAAGTACCCATGCCATCATGGGACAGTTATGTGGCAGGAAACAGTTGATGCCTATAATTCTTAACTTTTTACCAGGGCATAACAAGTTTTCTGACAGGGCATCTGTGCAGATGCAGTCTGACCAAGGGATGGGTCGCTCCCTGCTTCATCCTTGCTGATGTACAAGTTAAGCATTCCACTAAAAGGCTTATCAAGAGTGGGAGACTTGGCCGGATGCGGTGGCTCACGCCTGTAATCCTGGCACTTTGGGAGGCCGAGGAGGGCGGATCACCTGAGGTCGGGAGTTCGAGACCAGCCTGACCAACATGGAGAAACCCCATCTCTACTAAAAATACAAAATTAGCCGGGCGTGGTGGCGCATGCCTGTAATCCCAGGTACTCAGGAGGCTAAGGTAGGAGAATCGCTTGAACCCTGGAGGCGGAGGTTGCAGTGAGCAGAGATCGTGCCAGCCTGGGCAACAAGAGTAAAACTCTGTCTCAAAAAAAAAGTGGGGGGGCGGTGAGGAGACTTGGCTAGGTGCGATGGCTCACAATCTTAGAGCACTTTGGGAGGCCAAGGCAGGTAGATCACTTGAGCCCAGGAGTTTGAGACCCACCTGGGCAACACAGTGAAACAGTGAAACCCCGTCACTAGAAAAAAAAAAAAAAAAAAAAAAACAGTGGGACTCTTAGGAAACTGCCACAAGGAGTCTCTTTAAGATTTCACCTAAGCACGGTTCCAAGCAGGGAGCTATAAATGCACATGTGAGTAACTCAGAAACCAGCTGAGAGGCTGGGTCCCAGTTAAACTGTACAGGAGATGCAGCTGGGAGTATGTGTGAGTACAGACACATCTAAAAACACAAATACGCAGATGAACACAGATTGGGGGATGTGGGCGCTCCTCTTCAATCAGTCTTTGCAGCCTGGGCTCTTGCCTCGCAGTGTGCCGTTCTCATATGATATCTGCTCACTGAATCACGGCTTGCTGCCCAGGCCCTGCAGCCCTGGCCCATCGTCCAGGCACATTTCTGGCATATGCCTCTTCACTGTGCATGGCCTGTCCTCTGTGTTCCCTCTTCCAATGTGGTCCTGTCCAGTGCTAATCACCGCACTCCCTCCACTGCCCAACCTCTTCCAAAGATGTGTTCCTGAGGGCACTGTTTCAAGATTGTTCCTGGAGGAACTCCTGCACCTCTTTCAGCCCTGTGCTGCTGACAGCAATGACTGGATTCTATTTTGTCTTCCTAGCAACTGCACTGGTGTGTGTGTGTTTGTTTGTTTGTGTTGCGACAGGGTCTCTCTCTGTTGCTGGGGCTGAGTGCAGTGGCACAATCACAGTTCACTGCAGCCTCAACCTCCTAGACTCAAGTGATCCTCCCACCTCAGCCTCCCAGAGTTCTGGGATTACAGGCATAAGCCACCTCATCCGGACACACTGGTCTTTGATCCACATTTCCCATGAGCATGTCACAACGAACAGTGTAAAATATTTATTTATGTCAATAGGTATTAAGTCTATTGTGTTTTCTTTAACTGCTAAGCCTTTGATCCTGATGGGGGGAAGAAAAGCAAGTGAACTTGGCATAATTCCTGGCAAATCTACACTATTTACTCTTCAAAAAAAATCCCTGCATTTCCTCAACGGCATGAGGTGTAGTGCAGGGCACACAGTGCCTGGCATAAAACGAGCATCCACCAATGGACTGGGAAAGAGCACCGGGAGGGAGTTAAGAGGCCCAAGTTCTGACTCTGCTCCTCAGGCTGCTGGAGCCACCTGACAGTTTTGAGCTTTCCTGGCTTCAGTTGTAAACAGGGGCAGGGTTTGGTGACATGAGCTTCCCCTCCCCTGCCTGGGGCCCACCTAAGCAATAACGGCTGTCTGGGCACCTATTTGAATACTTTGTGAAGCCCAGCAGAGACGGGCTTTCAGCCACAATCAGGCTGCTCCAGGCAATTGCAATGTTGGGTATCTACATTTCTGGCCCAATTATATCAAAAGGTCAGGACCCCCATTTCTCCTCCCTTGGTCCAGATCCTCTCCCTTTCCCCTACATCCCTCTGGTCTCCCTTCCTCTGGGGTTTCACACTCAATCCATTCTCCACCCTGCAGCTGGGATGATTCTCCTAAAATGCTAATCCCAGTTTGTCAGTGTTCTACTTAGAAGGTCCAGCAGTGGGCCAGGTCCAGTGGCTCATGACTATAATCTCAGCACTTTGGGAGGGCAAGGCGGGGAGATCACTTGAGGTCAGGAGTTTGAGACCAGCCTGGCCAACATGGTGACACCCCCATCTCTACTAAAAATACAAAAAATTAGCTGGGCGTGATGGCGTGTGCCTGTAGTCCCAGCTACTTGGGAGGCTGAGGCATGAGAATTGCTGGAAACTGGGAGGCAGTGGTTGCAGTGAACTGAGATTGCACCCCTGCACTCCAGCCTGGGTGACAGAGCGAGACTATCTCAAAAAAAAAAAAAAAAAAAAAGCATGTCCTGCAGTTCCCTGCTGTGTCTAGAACGAGGTCCTGGCTCTTTGGCCTGGCTCAGCTCTTCACACTCTGGCCCCAAGCCCCTTCCCTCATCACTGAGGTCCTCAGGAATCTCCAGAACATAGCAGCTTCCTTCTTTGCACAGGCTGTCCCTTTGTCCCAGAGGCCCTCCATCCCCTGCCCTTTGCCTGGCTTGCTCTTATGTGTCCTTCAGGTCTCATCTTGGACATCACCTCCCCCAGGAAGCCTTCTTTAATCCTTTCCTCCAAAATACTGAGTGAGGTCTCTCTCCTCTGTACTGTAAGGCCCCGCTTAATTGCTCTGTCCTCCAGATTCTTAGTCTCATAATGGTAGGGACCAAGCCTTGTCAACCATTTCCTGAGTACCAATACTTATCCGTTTCTTTAGTCCAATATTTGGCACTTAGTCTTCACTCAGTGAATATTTGTGGAATGAATGTGAACCATTTATCTCAGGCAAGTTGAAAACTTTGGTTGGTTTTTACATCTGCCTTTGATTAATAACAAGTGGGAAATTTTAAACTACTTCATTACTATATAAATATGTTTAAAAACTGTTTAAATCATGGTACCCATGTGGTGGGGGAAGGCAGAATAAAACAGTGGTGAAAATGTAGGGTACCACTAGACTAAGGCTCTTTCTAGATGAAAATCCAGAAATCTGTTACAAGGTTTTGGCTCAGGATCAGGAAATAAGATCCCCAAGCTAGAAGGGTAACACTAAGGTGGCTTATTTATTTATTTTATTTTATTTTTTGAGATGGACTCTTGCTTTGTCGCCCAGACTGGAGTGCAGTGGTATGATCTTGGCTCACTGCAGCCTCTGCCTCCTAGGTTCCAGCGATTCTCCTGCCTCAGCTTCCCAAGTAGCTGAGACTACCGCACATGCCACAATGCCTGGCTAATTTTTGTATTTTTAGTAGAGATAGGGTTTCACCATGTTGGCCAGGCTGGTCTCAAACTCCTGACCTCAAGTGATCCACCCGCCTCGGCCTCCCAAGGTGCTGGGATTACAGCTGTGAGCCACCGCACCCAGCCAGCATGGCTTCTTTAGATTTGCAGGTCATAGAAGAATAGACATTTGCTCAAGTTGGAGACATCAATTTTCCTCTGGGCTTCCTGGTGACCAAAGCCAAAAGAGTCAACAGTAAACACTGCCTCATACTTGCTTCAAAACTTTCTTCCACGACATTGAGAGTTCCATCTTTTCTCCTTTCTCCATTTCTGATAGAGTTTCCAGAAAAGTGGTGTGCCAATGAGGAGCCACCCTGGGAAGGCACCAGGCCCCACTTGCCAATGCCAGCATGACCTTACATAAGGAAATCTCACTGTCATCATTACCTAGGAGACTTTGCAGAGCCCTGTGTCCTAGAAGGAGGGGGCAGCATGTGCCACTTGCCCTGAATCTGCAGGTATCTTTCTGAGAACTGGATGGGTTGCATCCATTTCACACCATAGCTGACCTAGTCACGAGTTAATAATTGCAAAATTGTTTAAAAGTTAAAATGAGCTAAGTGATCTACGTATTTGGAGTTACACCAGCTCTGAGTCAATGTTTATAGACTCAAGGAGGTGGCAGCTAGTATTTGTTTCTTCCTGGTTGGCATAAATTGAACGCTTGTCAGGTAATTGGAAAGTTTTCTCCTTAAATGAATACTTACATAAACTAAAAAAACTAGTGCCTAAATTACTTTGTTTTTACATACTTGTGAGAACGACCCAACATCACCAAAAAGTATACGTGAACTGTGAATTAACTGCAAGTTGGAAAAAGCTATAGTTCAAGATCTCACATGATTCCCCATCATACTTACGTGCTGTGTCAGACCAGGTGCATAATGGCCGTTATTTTTATACCGTTTTGCCTCCACTGTTTTCAGTATTGTTGAAATTAATCGTTTCAGCCCCTTTCTGTGTGTTCTTAGCATCTAACATGGTGCTTCTCTGTATTCGTGGAATAGCTATCCTATTTCATTGCTTCTCAATGCAACTGATAACAAGATATATCCCAATTTCAGAGATGCTAAAATGTGGGGAAAGTGGACATCTTAGGACCAATAAAATAGGACCTTTGACTGTAGCAGGTGCTATCTCTCTTTCTTGGCCTGGTGGTGTGGCCCCTGGAAGAGACTGGCCATGGTGCCTGCGCTCCACCGTGGTGCCTGCACCCTTCGCCCAGCAGTTGCCCCTGCGAAGGAAGAGAGTAACAGGCCAGGAAGGAGGCCCCTGCTCCTTCTAAGACTGCAGGATCCCGAGGAAACATTCTCTGACCTATTCTCTTCCTCAAGGAGAACCAGGACTTCCTCCCTCCTGCCCGCAGCCACCTTCCCACTCATGCTTTGAATTCAGCCTTTTTACTTGAAAGATTTATTTTGAGCAGGTTCACAGGGCAGCACACTGGCTCCTCTTCTTAAGGGGATGCGTTGCCAAAAGCTCTGGCCAGCTCTTGCAGAAGCCATGCCCTGCCCTCACCTGAATGCCCGGGGCTCAAGACCAGCAGGTAGCAGAATGGTCAAGTCGGAGCACAGCCAGAGGCCTGAAAGGCCCTGGCAGGACAGCCCCACAGCTCGTCCTTCCTCCTCACCTGCCAGCCCGCTGCACCTGCGGTTCCAAGGCTTGATGCTGCCCCAGTGGGAAAAGGGCGCTGCATGAGGCTAGGCTGGTGTCAATCCCAAATAGCTCAGCCCCAAGTTTCTTCCTAGGCTCAGGCCTCCACTCCTGAACCCCAAACTAGGCTCAGCCCCCATGGGCTAGACAGGGAACCAGAGAATTTGCCTATTTGCCTGCTCTCTGGGAGACTTCAGGGGCTTGGCTGAGGAGGCCATGGTTATGGAACCAGATATCTGGTTCCTGGATGCCAGGAAAGCACCAGGGAGATGAGACCTGACTTCACCTTGGTCTGAAGAACCAGGCTAGAAAGGACATTCTGGCCTGTGAGGCCCTTGGGACGAGAGCTTGCAGTCCTTGTGTTTTTTAAATTCCTTTCTTACTCAAAAAGGAAATACCCTTTGTTTATTGAAAATATAAAAGGAGTATTTCCTGGCTGTAAAAACTCACAATTCAGAAAAGTGTGAAGAAGCAGAACCCTTCCTAACAAAAATAGAGCTCTCATGCGTTTGGTGCTGTAGAGTTTACAAGGCCTTTCCCTCCATATTAGTTCATTTAATCTGCACCATAGCTCTGCGAGGCAAAGAGAAAGAAACTACAGTTAGCTTTGTATGTGCTAGGCCCTGTGTGAGCCTCTCTCCATGTGTTATCTTATTTGATCCTTACCACAACCCTCTGAAGCACAGCTGGGATTCTCAAACTTGAGTGAGCAGCAGAATCACCTGGAGGACTTGTTAAAACAAATTTCTGGGCCCCGCCCCCCAGAGTTTCTGGTTAGGAGGTAGGCCTGGGATGGGCTGAGAATTTGCATTTGGCTTAGGTGATGCTAATGCTGCTGGCCCAGGGACCACACTTTGAGAACCACTGGTGTAGATGCCATGATTCTCATCTTGTAGCTAAGGAACCAAGGCTCAGAGAGGTCATTACTTTCCTAAGGCGCACCAGACAGAAAGTGGCCTAGCAGATATTTCCATGGAGGTCGCCTGGTTCTGGGGTCTGTAAAGTTTCCGCTTCTTCCTCCTGGTTTTCTGCCTCATCCTCTGTTCCACTATGCCTGTCTTTAGGAACTAATGCTAGCTTCCCTATGTTTTTACTCAGCTGATGAGGCCAGCTGTGAACACAAAAATGTAGGCATTTTGGCAGCCACAGGCCAAAAGCCTCCAGGATACGCACAAACCCCAATTCTGCAATTCAGGAAAGATGAGAAGTAACTATGAGTAGGCGGGCCACACCACATCCAGACAGACCCTAGATGTCACAACTTCAATTAGAAGTAACTGAAACTACAACACAGATTTAATTCAAGATAGGGGGTCGGATTTCTAACCCCAGCAGAAATCCATGGGATTTGGGGATAGGAATTCAGTGTGCTGGTATGAAAAACATGTCTGCCAGGCACGGTGGCTCACCCTTGTAATCCCAACACTTTGGGAGGCCGAGGCGGGAGGCTCATTTGAGGCCAGGAGTTCAAGACCAGCCTGGTAATGTAGCCTGTGTCTACTAAAAAATTTAAAAATTAGCCTGGCATGGTGGCATACGTCCTAGCTACTTGGGAGGCTGAGACAGGAGAATCCCTTGAGCCCAGGTGATGGAGGCTGCAGCGAGCAGTGATTGTGCCACTGCACTCCAGCCTGGATGACAAAGCCCTGTCTCAAAAAAAAAAAAAAAAGAAAAAAAGAAAAGATAGGAAAAGCATATCTGGGCGGGGCACGGTGGCTCATGCCTGTAATCCCACCACTTTGGGAGGCCAAGGCAGGTGGGTCACCTGAAGTCAGGAGTTCGAGACCAGCCTGGTCAACATGGTGAAACCCCGTCTCTATTAAAAATACAAAGATTAGCCGGGCGTGGTGGTGGGTGCCTGTAATCCCAGCTACTTGGGAGTCTGAGGCAGGAGAATCGCTTGAACCTGGGAGGCGGAGGTTGCAGTGAGCCAAGATTGCACCACTGCACTCCAGTCTGGGTGGCAGAGCGAGACTCCATCTCAAAAAAAAAAAGAAAAAAAAGAAAAAAGAAAAACATGTCTGGCCTTTTCCGGCTCTCCTGAGAGTACTTTGTGCCCCTTATTCATCCTCAGGATGGCAGCTGGGAGTCGCGAGAAGTGGCTGGAATGTTTTGAGATGGCCAAGCCTCCCTCCCTTTGATAGAGACAAGAGCCCTCGGTCTATTAATTGCAGGTGCTCCCTGCTGTTTTGAGTCTCCCCTGAGCTCTCACTGCAGCCTGCTTTTTATATTGCAATTCAGGTGTGAGGTCACACAGTGCCTTTATCACTGCTGAAGAATAGAAAGTCAAGAGTTTGCTTCCTGGCCTCCTTTCATGTGTTCCATTTCTAGTTCTGTGTGGGAAGAGGCTGAGAGGGTGTCTGGAGCCCCAAGAAAGTTCATTACAGAAAATAAATATTTCCGCAGATACAGGACAGAAGGCGGGTGGAGGTGTGGGCCTGGAGGACTTCAGGGACATGAAAATGAGGTTTGCCCCAGTGGAGGATCTCCCCCTGATTTCCAAAGGAAATTCTTTAAGACGGACAATGTATTATCTGGGAGAGGAACCAAGGAGTGCAGCAAAAGGAATGCACAGCACTGCCCGGCTCACACCGAGTCCTGCCAGAGCCGAGGGCCACGAGGGCTGGCCTGCCGCAACAGAGAACTGGGCAGGCTGACCTGTAAGCATGTGCGGCCACAGCCACAGCCAGCCACCTGGCACCCCCGTGCCAGGCCACCTTCTTTCCAAGGTTTCCTGAACAGGATGGAGGGGCTGGCCTCGCGGGTGCCCTGTGGGGCTGTGATAGGGGTTGGCGCACCCTCCAGGAGGAAGGCTTGTCATCCATGTTCTTCTGCCATCCCATCGCGTTTAAGACTTTGCAGATCTTGAGCAAACAGGGGTTTTCATCTATTTCTCAACCAGCTCACATCCAAGAAGCAGCAAGCCAATATCTGATATCATCAGGGATGAAACACCACGCCCATTCTCAGCTAACATGATGTGCTCTCGGGTCTAGCTCCAATACAGTCATTCTTTCTGGTTGCTCTGTTGTTTTGAACACACTAGGGTTTTTTTTGTTTTGTTTTTGGGTTTTTTGTTTTGTTTTGGTTTGGTTTGGTTTTTTCTTGGGGAAGGACTAAAAAAGCTATCAGAGTAAGGATGAATCTCCCAGCCAGCTGGAACTTTGTAACTCTTTTATTGAATATGAAATATATACCGAAAAGTGTGTAGACCATAAGCAAACAGCTGGATGAATGCTCAAAAACTGACTGCAGCACCCACACCAAGGACCTGAACGTGCCCACAACCCTTCCTGCCTCCTTCCGGTCATCTTCATCCCCCACAGGGCACATATTCTGATACCTTAGCAGGCTGGAGTTTGTCCTTAGCTCACATGACAACCTGACCTGCAGCTGTCCTCAGTTCACAGCAAGTGAAGCTGCCGGGCTCAGCGGGATTGATGCGGGACTGATTTCCGGCGGGGAAGGTCCATGTCACATCATCCCCAGCCTCTCTCTCATGATGCCACCTCAGCCATGCTAAGCCCAGCAGCCATTCAGCTGCTGTTTCAGCACCCTAGGAGGGGCTCAAAGAGGTGGCGCTGGCCCCATCTTGGCAGTCAGATGGTCCTCCTCTCTCCAGGGAGGAGCCATCCATGCAGTCAGCCTGGTGACTCAGCTATGAGGATGTAGGGGTAGAACTCCCTTTTTTGTACTTCTAAAAGTCCTACCATGTGTGCCAGACAGTGGGAGGCCCCTGGAGAATGACTCAGCAGTGTACGTGCAAAGAAGCTGAGTTCTGCACATGAGCCACCATGCCCAGCACGGAGCCTTTGGTTGGACTTGCCCCATTCAGTGCGGCCCTTATTGCTTGGAAGCCGTTTCCCTCCAGCACTTATGCTGGGCCCTCTGTCTACCTGTGCAGCCCTGAGCACAGGTGCCAGCTGCCAGCCAGGACCTAAGGAGGAGCTAGCCAAGACCTCAGGAGGAGTTTGCCTCCTTAGCTGTCTTCCATCTGTCCTCTCCTGCACGTCCCCTCTGAGGGCTGACTCCACATCACACATGCCCATGTCACTAATAAAAACCAGACTTGCCTTTGTGCTTACCCCATGCATGTCCATGCATCATTAGACTCTGCCCTCTGCTTCCTCAGCAAAGAGCTGCTCTAATTATGCAGGGTAGGAGGGACAGAGGGCTGGCCAGAGCTAGTGGTCAGGGAGAAATGCTTCTGGACAGGTCAGTGTGGCTGCACTGAGAAGCCCGCCCTTGGCGAACACCACGTCATGATGAAGAGGCAGTTAAGATTCTCTTCCCAGCCAGTCATGGTGGCTCACACCTGTAATCCCAACACTTTGAGAGGCCGAGGTGGGCAGAACACTTGAGATCAGGAGTTCGAGACCAGCCTGGCCATCATGGTGAAACCCCATCTCTAATAAAAATACAGAAATTAGCCGGGCGTGATGGCACACCCCTGTAATCCCAGCTACTTGGGAGGCTGAGGCAGGAGAATCCCTTGGACCCAGGAAGCAGAGGTTGCAGTGAGCCAAGATCACGCCACTGCACTCCACCCTGGGTGAGAATGAGACTCCAAAAAAAAAAAAAAAATTTGTCCTCCCACACCTTCACACAATGTCTCTGTTCCCTGTCGCCATCTCATTCTGCCCAGGAGGGCTGTAACAGAGAGATAGGGATAGAGGACCCCGTAGAGATGTGATCTGTGTTTCTATCATACCTGAGAGGCCAGCAGAAGAGGTGGGGCAAGCTTCCTCTCTCTGGATAGACAGGTCTTGGGAACCATGGGTCAGTGATTCTCTGATAGAGTGCAGCTAAGAATCACTTGGGGAGTGCGTTAAGAATACAGGTTTTTCAGGCTCCCTCCCTTTCCCAGGTCTAGCCCAAGGCCTAGAAATCTGCATTTTGGGGAAGTATTCCAGGTGATCCTGATGTGGGTGATCCCAAGCCGTAGTTTGAGAAACACTGGTCTAGACAACCCCTCCTCCAGGTTACAGATGGGGAAAGTGAAGTCCTGGGGCTGAAATGGCTTACTGGGGATCATATGGAATAAAGCCCAGAACCCAAGTGCCACCTTCTTTCCATGCCTGTCACCTCCTACACACGGAACCTGCCCAAGGGGCCCTGTGGCCCAGATTCTGCGATTCTTACTTTGTCAGTTCTCTTATCCTGGCCTGGCCTTCCCCCTCACTGCCACCACTGTAAACTGGATGTGAAGACACGGAACGGGGTTTCTCCACAGGCCAAACACCTTCCTGCCTCCCTCCATCCTTCCCCCTCCACCTCCTACCACCAAGTAACTCTTCCTAAAACACAGACTTACTCCCTGCCCTGCCCCTCCAGGAGCAGGACAAAGTGGGAAAGGCCTGCCCTGACCCTCCACACCTCCCCTGTTTGACCCAGCCTATCTCTCTGACCTTAGAGCCCGTGACTCCGCTATCAACCCTTCTCCACATGCTTTCCTCGAACACCACCTTGCTCTTTCTTGCTTCTGCTCAACATCACCTTAGCCAACAGCACCCACTCCCCACTCACCGAATCCTCCTTATCTTCCAAGGCCCAGGTGAAAGCCCTCCTCCTCCAGGAGGCCTTCCCTGACCATCTAGCCCTAGCACACTCGCCCTCCTTTGAGCACTCAGATCTCTGAAGCATTTGTTTATGATGTTATTATTACCTATTATGTTCTGCTTTGAATTGTGAGCTTTAAGTAATTCCCAACTATGGACCACAGCCTACCCTTCTATTACCCACCCACTTAGCAATGTGCTGTGCACATAATCAGTACATAAGGGATGTTAGCAATAACGGAGCCGTGCAGTGCTGGGGCTGAGGGGACCTTGGCCTGTGGGTAGCTGGTTGGTCAGTTCAGTGACTTTTCTATGCATCTTGGGCTGGTGAACCTCCAAAGGCTGACCTATGCAAATTGGTGTCAGATCTTTCTCTGGACGGTGCTTCCACTGTAGTAATCAACTTCCCGCCTGTCCCCGCCCACAGCCATTGCATCCTGTGGCTTTAACTTTGGCCACAACCCTGCTTGCTTAAAATGCCTCCTGTGCCAGTGAGTCAGTTCCACCCTTCTGCTACCAAAACAATCGATCTTGTGCATCTTCTGTGGCTGTGCCCCAACAAGACATTATCAACATTCCCGCACTGGCCAGGGGACTCAGGTGTCTGGCCTGCCACATCCATTCCAGCCAATGACCAATTTCTAATTCACTGCAACTCTCCAGCTAAGCTGATTTCCAGCTGCTTCTCTGGCAGGCCTGCCAGATGGGGCTAACATGCTCTTGGAGACCGTCCCACAGAAAGCCCAGGCAACAAGCACACTGGTGCTCCTCTCGCTTCATTTAAGACAAGCATCCCTCTTTCACTAAGCACTGACCAACACCTCTTCATCCATCGCTAGCTTACAATCACGGCAACAAGAAGTTAATTCTAGACATACTGACAGCTTAAGTTCTGGGACCTCAGCCAAACTTTCAGAGAGGAGCCCTTTCTTCTTTGTTTATAATAGGATATGTGTCCTGCAAGGGAGAAAGGCTCTCTCCTGCCCAGGACCCTTGCAGTCCGGAGGTGGGGCAAGTTACCTCCAAATCTTGGAGGTTTGGTAGAAATCCTTGCAGGAATCTGAAGCCTGGACACTATGACTCACAGTCCTGTGCCTGGAGCAGGCTCGCCTGCTTGGAGAAAGTGCAGTATGCAACCCAAGTTGAAGTGTTCTTAGGAGATGCCTTTGTACTCTCTTTCTACAATACAAGAACTGTGCTTCCGACCCTTCAAAATCACCTCCACAGAGCATGAAGTTTCTGTTTTTCTCATTAAATACAACCATTTCTATTTTCTTTTCAACAAAAAAGTATTTAAAATCTCTACTTACCAAAATAAGTCCACTTGGAACCTACAAAGAACAAAACACAGTAAGTAAGTACAATGGAACCAGATGAGTAATGGAAAACACTACAGATTTTGTTTTGATATGAGCGAAATTGAAAAGGAGGTCGATGCCCAGAAATTGAAACTTTTTCTTTTTCTTTTTTTTTTTTTTCAAGGTGGAGTATTGCTCTTGTTGCCCAGGCTGGAGTGCAGTGGCGCGATCTCGGCTCACTGCAACCTCTGCCTCCTGGGTTCAAGCAATTCTCCTGCCTCAGCCTCCTGAGTAGCTGGGATTACAGGCACGCACCGTCACGCCTGGTTAATTTTGTATTTTTAGTAGAGATGGGGTTTCTCCATGTTGGTCAGGCTGGTCTCAAACTCCCGACCTCAGGTGATCCGCCTGCCTTGGTCTCCCAAAGTGCTGGGATTATAGGCGTGAGCCACCATGCCCGGCCAAATTGAAACTTTTTCTGAGTCTGCATCAGAACAGCAGCTTCTCAGGGCAACTGTGCTCCAGTCAGCAGCACAGGCAGTTGGTTCATGCAGAGGCTCATGGAAGCAGGAGGGGGTTCTTGAGCAGGTGCCTTCCAGACATCTTAGAGAAGCTAAACTTTATTACCTGAATAGGCAATAATTTCATGTGGCTCAAAACCCAAAAGCCATCAAATGGTATATACAGTAGAAGCTCTTCTTCCCACTCTACCTTCCCTGCTTCCATTAGACAAGGAGGTTAGCTGATGATTGGGAGCCCTTTCATGGCATGGCTACACACACATATGCATTGATCTCCCTCTTTCTCCTCACACAAACATTGGCATACTGGAAATAGTGTTCTGTGTCTTGCTTTTTCCCACTTTACATTTTCTCTCTCTCTCTGTCTCTCCCCTCCCACTCTCTTTCTTTCCTTTCTTTCTTTCTTTCTTTCTTTCTTTCTTTCTTTCTTTCTTTCTCTCTCTCTCGCTCTCTCTCTTTCTTCTTTTTCTTTTTCTTTCTCTCTTTCTCTTTCTTTTTGTGAGACAGGGTCTCACTCTGTCACTGGAGTACAGTGGTGTGATCGCAGCTCACTGCAGCCTCAACCTCCTGGGCTCAAGCAATCCTCCCACCTCAGCCTCCCTAGTAGCTGGGATTACAGGCGCGCACCACCACACCTGGCTAATTTTTGTATTTTTCACAGAGATGGAGTTTCACCATGTTGCCCAGGCTGATCTCAAACTCCTGGGCTCAAGCGATCTGCCCACTCCAGCCTCCCAAAGGGCTGGGATTACAGGTGTGAGCCACAGCACCCAGCTGGGAAAAAGTTTCTCTTTGAGGAAGCTGCTACCCACATCTGAGTTAGAATTCCAGGGGTAGTAGGAATGTGTAGGCAAAGTTCTGCCAGAAAGAGAACAAAAGTCACCCACTACTTCGCACTCCACACTCTTCATGCATAAATGTTCTTCGTTCCTATGTCAAAAAAGGTCTTTTTCACAAGTGCAGAGCTGTGCTCTTGTGACCCTGCCTGCCGGCCTTCCTCTTCACCTCCGAGGAAGGGACCCTGAGTAGAGAAGCATCCCACTGTGTGTCTCAGGTGACTCATCCAATGAGGGGACTGTGCAACTCCTAAATCCCTGCCTCCCAACTTTTCCCAGGGTCTCCGTGGTTCTCGACCCACAAGGGTACAGATGGAAAAGCGTACCCTTGTGGGGAAGCACCTCACATCCCCTTTCTCTCGTGGGAATTAGTTTGCAGTAAAACTTAAGTGACAAGCAATCTGGTCACTTATCACTCCTGGCATTTCCTACTTAAGGAAATTGTGTTTTTTAAAAGTTAAAAAGTGAACTTGGCTTTTTTTTTAAAAAAAAGCCGGTTTAATCTCATATTTTTTGTTATTCTGTTCCATTTCTTTGCCTCAGTGTTTGTAATTAATTTTGTTTTTAATTTTCCAATGTAATTGGTAATTTTTATCAAATTACACTTGCACGTGGTTTAGAAAGTCAGATGGTTCTACAAAGCTGTGTAACAAAAACCTCAGTTCCCTGACATTCCCTAACCATGTACTGCTCCCTAGAGCAACCACTTTGGATCTTTTTAAAATGATTCTTTTGCTATTATCTCCATATCTCTATATAACATGCTAATATTGTTTTACCTTGATTGTTTTATGTTTAGGCATTATTTATTGACATCCCACCCTGGAAGAGAAGAGTTCAGATCTCTTTCTTACACTCATAGCCCATCTCCTCCTTTTGTAGGTGAGGAAATGAAAGTCCACCAAGGTGAAGTGTCCTGACCAATATCATATTCCCACTGGAAGGAGTCCCACCGCATTTACCATTAATTTAGCATTAGTGCCATGAACTTAGGGAATCTTCAAGTCTCCTCAATCTTTGGAGTAGTTAAGTGGAGGAGTCCAGACCCCCTGGAGTATCCGATGAGTATTATGGACCTCTCCCAGTAAAAATTTCCCTAAGCTGGCTGGGTACGGTGGCTCACCCCTGTAATCCCAGCACTTTGGAAGACCAAGACAGGCAGATCGCCTGAGGTCAGGAGTTCGAGACCAGCCTGGCCAACATGGTGAAACCCTGTCTCTACTAAAAATACAAAAATTAGGCAGGCGTGGTGGCGGGTGCCTGTAATCCCAGCTGCTGGGGAGGCTGAGGCAGGAGAATTGCTTGAACCCGGGAGGCGGAGGTTGCAGTGAGCTGAGATTGTGCCATTGCACTCCAGAATGGGTGACAGAGCGAGACTCTGTCTCAAAAAAAAAATTTCCCTAAGCTTAGACACATAAAGTTTTATATACAAGTCATTTCAGAAGGTCCACAGACTCCCCTGAAACCAGCTATGGGTGCATTGAGAGTTGAGGGTCCCAAGATCAACCTCCCTTGAATTAGTAATTAGACATTCAGAACCACGGGGAAACCAAACTTGTATGTGACCCCCAAGTTTACTGCTCACCCCTTTGCTGAAACAACAATGAAAAAAAATAAAGAAAGCATTGCTTTCAAACCAAGCTATAGAAGACATAAAACCTCTTCTGGACATTTTCTTCAGTCTTTTGTGTGAGAGGTTCATTATTAAGATGTAATCCCAGACCTTAGAGATATAATAAGCCAGATCATTACCTCTTAGCAGGCAGAACAGTTGGAGGCCCAGGATGTAAAATTCCACAAATAACAGAGGAGTTCACCCTTACTTTTCCCCTGAGGAGGCACAGGCCACTCCAGTGATCCTGGAGGCCACTAGAAACACATCTGCTGCCTGAGCACTGCTGCCTTGCCAGCAGTTTGCATTGTACCTGCTCACATTCAAATCATAGCCTTATACCCTACATCTTCTGCTACCCTCCCAGGGCTCGCTAATCAAGGTTTTCCCTGTTGTTGGAGTTCTCATCCTCAGATGAGGCCTCAGCATCACACTCTGGAAAGCTCAGGGCTAAAAGTCATAGAGTGGACATCTGGGACTGTGAGGTCGCGGTGGTGACATAGGACTGGGGACTTGTTGAAAGGCAGCAGCCTCCAGAGCAACATTCCCTGCCCTCCTCTCTGTGAGTGAGCTGGCTTGGGACTCCAGACTCGGCACTTTGGGTATAAATGGCAGTGTCTGGAGGGGCTCAGGAGCTGGAGGGCTGGGGAGAAGCGGCGTTGTAAGTGAGGATGGTGAGTCAAGGGGGTTCATCGGGTGAGGATCAGGGCCCCAGCTCAGCTCTGACCTCAGGAAGTCTCTCTAAAAGTGTGTGTATGTGTGCGTGTGTGTGTGTGCACGCGCACGAAAGTGTGCTTTATTCAGGAATTGCACCCCCTGGTTCCCCACTTCTAGCTGTAAGAACAGAAGGCTTAAAAGGATTAAACTGATTCCACAAGCGAGGCCAGGCCAAGGCCTCAGTGGCATCCTGAGGGAGCAGGCCCTTCCTGGAGGGGAATAGTTTCCTTCCCAAGGAAGGTTATCTGTTCCATCTGGGAAACCTGGGAGGCTCAGCCTGAAACCTGTTAGAACCTGCAGACCCAGCTGGTACTGGGCAGGGAGGTTCCCCTGGAGGGAATGCCCAGAGAAAATGGTATTTACCAAGATCCATATCAGAGGTCCTGGGCCCTGCCTGCTTCCTGTGCTGGGTGCTAGAACTTTCCCTGAGTAACCATCTCCTGGGTAGCCCAAGACTGCCTGGCTCTCCACACCAGGTTTGGGCAGGGCAAGCTCTGCAGAATTCACTGAAATGCCCCCCAAAGCCACGGCAACTAAGAATTCCAAGGGTTTCTCCAGAAGACACTTGACTTCACATTATTATGCTCCCTCCTGGGCCCCTGACATTGTTCTTGAACATTCTCCAATGCTGGAAGTTTAAATGCACCAGGCAGAGAGCAGATCACACTTTGACCCCATTACTCAGCTTAACTCCTCTCCACCTCCAACTTTGGGTTCATGCTGACATTCTACACCTCAGTGATTTTTGCTTTGACCTGTCCTCTAAGGCAGTTAAAAACCCAAGGAAACTGCATGAGAATTTACAGAATAAAAGCTGTGCTCTACCCAGGGGTAGGCAGTCTCCTTCCTCAGAGTGAGGCGAAAGTGGAGTTTTGACTACAAACTTCCCCAGTCCCAACTTGGAGAATTGGGAGAGGAGATAAGGAGGAGGGAAAGGGAGAGGGAAGAGGAAGAGCAGGGAAAGTAGGGAAGAAAGGAAGGGGAGGGAGGGAAGAGAACAGGGAAGGGCAGGAAAAGAGAGAGAAGGGAGGCAGAGCTGCCCCAGAGTGAGAGGAGCAACCAGCTATAGGAAAGAGGGCCAACTAATGGCTGTTTCTCCCTTTGGTCTTGGAGCAACTTAGGACTAAAGAGATTTCCAGGGAAACTTTGGTCTCAGTGCAGCTTTCGTAAAAGGAAACATGTAAAGTTTGTGGTTTTAAAACTTGATTTTCACTTTTACATCGCTCCTTTCTCCCAACTTCTGTTACATCGCTTCTGTTTCTCCCTGACCAGATGAGGGAGATAATATCAAGCACATCATGCCAGCTAGTTGACTGGAATTTAATTAAGAGTTATCCACAGCCTGGCTCCCCTGCCCTTCCCCATGGGCACTGTGACCTCCAAGAGAGGAGGCTCAGAGCTTTTATGCTGCTGAGCAGGACACATTTCCCACCACCACTGCCTCGCCAGGAAGAATCTAGTTTCAGCCAGTAAAATCACTTTCGGTCCAAAATCACTTTCTTATTCCAAAAGATTAATGAACCAGCCTTGGCTGTACACGTGTTAGCTCACTGGCCCGGCGTGAGCCCACAGTTCAGGTCCCCTCTGCCACCTCCTCCTGTCACTCCACGGAGCCTCCATTCAGTCCCTCAGCCTCCAGCCTTTTGGGATTTAGTGTTCTAATTACAATCAGAAATATGCTGTGTGTGTGTGTGTGTGTGTGTGTGTGGTTTGTGTGCGTGCGCGCGTGCGTGTGTGTGTGTACGTGCACACACACGTACATTCAGCATAGTAGAGCCCTCCTGGAGAAAAACAATGATTAAGAATGGGATGCATCATCCCTTTGACTTGTAGGTAAGACTTAATGGTAAAGATCCTCTCCTCCAAAGAAAAGCGCCTACCACTGTCTGCGGGTTCTGCACAGGGGCACAGCAAACCTTTCTCTGTGCTTACCCCAATCAGAATGCCACAGTCATGTCTCTACTTTCTAAACGTGGATCAGGGGAACGCTGTTTTAAATCTTGGCTTTGCATCTCCTCCCTGGTTAGCAAGTTCCCAAGCCACATCTTCAGAGCTGGCGGTGCCCGGGAGTACACGCAAACATTTTAACACCAAATCTGCGCCAAGCGCCACTAGAAAGCAACGTGCTTCCCGACCCAACCTCAGCAAAGGAAAACGGAGCATCCTTTCTTGAGAATCTACTATTTGGTACTACACCTTCCCTGCTCCCCGCAGCAATGATTTTACTTTATCATTGAAGAGCCTTCAGCCCAGGGGCGGCTGAGCGCTCAGGAGTGTTAGGAAAGAAGCAGGCGGAAACTTTACCGTTCACTGGGGCCGGGCTGGAAGGCTGTTCCTTTAAGATCACCAGCAGGAGCACGGCCGCCGCGTGCAGGCTGCGCCGGGGCATCTTCGCGGGCTCCTGCGGGGCGGGCGCGGGCTGTGCCGGGGGCTCCCGGTGGCCGCTCGCTCTCCAGCTGCACACCGGGACCGCGTGCGCGCAGCCTGGGTGCCGTGGCGAGTACGTCCGCCCTTCGCTCTCCTGGCTTCCCCGGGCAGCTTTTATGGAGCAACTCAACGCCAAACACTTGATGTCATCGTGCGGGGAGGGGGTGGGGGAGGAGAACGCCCTGCCCACCGGAGGGCTGGCGCCCCAGATCCTAGGTGAGTTGTAGCCTTGACTTCAGCAGCACTCTGCGGGTCCCCGGCGCTCCTCTGGGCCAGGGCTGACCCAGGAACACAGTTCTCCGAGGAGCTGCTGGCAGGCGTGGGTGAGATCCGCCTGTCTCACATCCAGAAGGGTGCGTCTAGGGATTCCTTCAGTGGCATGCCCTTGGTCTGTCACTGGTCCTGTAACAGCCCAACGAGTTCACCTTGCCCGCTGCTTAGACAGAGCCCATTTATCAAGACAGGGGAGTTGCAATGGAGAAAGTAATTCACGCAGAGCTTGCCGTGCCGGAGACCGGAGGTTTTCGTTCCTTTGTTTGTTTGTTTGAGACGGAGTCTCGCTCTGTTGCCCAGGCCGGAGTGCAATAGCGTGATCTCGGCTCACTGCAACCTCCGCCTCCCGGGTTCAAGCGATTCTCCTGCCTCAGCCTCCCGAGTAGCTGGGATTACAGGCACATGCCACCATGCCCAGATAATTTTTGTATTTTTAGTAGAGGCGGGGTTTCGCCAGTTTAAGGCTGGCCTTAAACTCCCGACCTCAGATAATTCACCTGCCTTGGCTTCCCAAAGTGCTGGGATTACAGGCGCCCACCACCACACCCGGCTAATTTTTCTAATTTTAGTAGAGACGGGGTTTCACCATGTTGGCCAGGCTGGTCTGGAACTCCTGACCTCAAATGATCCACCTACCTTGGCCTCCTAAAGTACTGGGATTCCAGTACTCAAATCAGTCTCCCCAAGCATTCCGGGAGTTGTTTGTTTGTTTGTTTGTTCAGACGGAGTCTCCCTCTGTCGCCCAGGCTGAAATGCAGTGGCATGGTCTTGGCTCACTGCAACCTCTGCCTCACGGGTTCAAGCGATTCTCCTGCCTCAGCCTCCTGGGTAGCTGGGATTACAGGCACGCGCCGCCACACCCAGCTAATTTTTGTATTTTTAGTAGAGACGGGGTTTCACCATGTTGGCCAGGCTGGTCTTGATCTCTTGATCTCGTGATCCACCTAAAGTGCTGGGATTACAGGCGTTGAACCACTGCACCCTGCCTCTGGGAGTTTTTAAAGATAATTTGGCAGATAGGGGCTTGGGACTTGGGGAGTGCTGATTGGTCAGGTTGCAGATGGGATCACAGGGGGGTTGAAGTAACGTTTTCTTGCAGTCTTCTGTTCCTGGGTGGGATCGCAGAACTGGTTGAGCCAGATCACACACGGTCTGAGTGGTGTCAGCTGATCCATCCAGTGCAGGGTCTGCAAAATAGGATGTTAGATTTTACAATAGCGATGTTATCCCCAGCAGCAACTTGGGAAGGTTCAGACTCTTGCAGCCTGACGCCGCAGGACCCCTAAACCATAATTTCTAATGTTGTAACTAATAGATTAATCGTACAAAGGCAGACTGGCACCCAGGCAAGAAGGGGGTCTTTTCGGGAAAGGGCTATTATTGATTTTGTTTCTGAGTCAAACCATAAACTGAATTCCTTTCTAAGGTTAGTTTGGCCTATGCCCAGGAATGAATAAGGACAGCATGAAAGTTAGAAGAAAGACTGAGTCATTTAGGTCTGATCTTTGTCACTGCCATAATTTCCTCAGTTATAATTTTTGCAAAGGCTGTTTCAGCCCTACTCAGAATCCCCCAAGTATAGTGCCATTTGGGCAAAAGCCTCCTTCATGCTTTTTTTTTTTTTTCTTCAGGTGCCTGCCTGGACTTAGCACAGGTTAAGGAACTGGACAAGATAGTTACATTCACATGAGTTTCTGCCAATTGTTCAGTGCATCCTGATTAAGTTCTTACCTTCCAAGTTGAGATGCAAAGAGATGAACTGAGAATAGGAGAACAGCACAGTGGGGTACACATGAAGAGCTTATCACAATTCCCCTTAGTAACGGGTAAGTAGATGGGACTCATGCTGGTTCAATACATCATTCCATCCTCACTAGGAAGCTGGGAGAGAGGGTCCCTCTTTTGGGGTGGCAGCAGAAGAAAGGGACTTACATTATTTACTGAGCACCCGTTGTGTGTCAGGCACTTTTTTGGGGGGCTTAGAACATGATACCCCAAAGTATGGCACCTTGGCATGCTGAGTACTTTGAACTGAAGGAAACTGAAAAGGCCTCAGAAACAAGGTCTCTCTGACCTTCTCCCATCCTCCTGTCTCCTGCCCCTTCTTCTCCCGCTAAGTGAATCATAGAAACCAGAATCCCTCTTCCCCAGGCAGGTCATAGAAAGTAGAGCCCCTCTCCTCCACAGCAAGCCATAAAATCTAGAAACATCACTCTCTCCCCTCTCCCTTCTCCTTTAAAGACCCTCATTCGAGAGGGGTCCTGCCCCATACCCAGGAGAAAGCAATGCTACACAGAGAGGTCAAGAAGAATTGGAACGGACAGGCCTTGCTGGGTTCCCCTCAGTCTATCACTATGAGATCACACCCTTCTCTCCAATCACATTTCTATACGGCCATCCATGTTCTTCATCAAACCTAAGCAGAAACACCGTTCTCCCTGAGTCTTTGGGTCTTCATTTCTGAAGTCTCTTGTGTCACTTGTTGGCCTGTCTTTTGTTATTTGAGTGTCAACTGTGACCTTTATGATGGGGGAGGAAAGGGATCACACCTTTCTGTCCCTACAGGCTGTGCTAGACCTACAGGCTGTGCTAGAGAAACAGGAGTGTTTCTCTAGTCTTGTTAACCTGCTGCCCCAATACCCCCTAAATCTTCCCACTGCTGTTGCCACCACTGTAGTCATTTGTGCTTCTGGCTTCCCTGGGCCCTCCGTGTGTCTCTGCACCGCTGCAGGGGCCAGGCTCGGTTTCCTCCCCGCTCTATGATCCTACTCACTGCTGCCTATGCACACTGCTCAGGTCACATGGGCTGCGGAAGGGTGTCCACCCCAGTTCTGGTACAGGACCCCTGGGTTTGTGACCTGGCCTGTCATGCCCTCTTCTCTTGGCCACAGCAGCCAGACAAGCCCTCTCTGATCTCACATCTGTGCTGACCCTCAGCCTGTGCACACTCTCAGGCCAGCCTTAGTGACCAATGAAGCCACTTGTCCGTGGTGGGTTTGAAGGGATGGAGTAACTTCTCCTCCAAGAGCCACCAAAAAGCAGATGCCACCCACATTTCAAGGGGTGTTACTGCTCTGTCCCTACCAGCTCAGCTACTGTGTGGGTTAATAAAGGGCTTTGAAGTCTCCTTAAGGAAGTTGTTACAAAGACAATCTTGTTACAAGCACTTCCAGACCACAGTAGGCTTAGGGATCATCTTTTCTGCCTGATAGAGGGCCTCGAGTGAGCTCTGGAGTGGTGCAGGAGTGTTTCTCTTGTTCAGATTTGTCATCAAGGGCAGTCTGTCTGTTTAGAAGATTAAATGGACTAGAGGAACACAGAGCTTGGGGAGAAACCACTGCAGGCTCAAAGACGCAGAGACCGAATCTGTGGAGGTGAAATCACTTGTTGCGCATGTCACAACCAGTTAAAGGTAAACTGGGCCATGCACACATATTTTGGTATTCCCACTCCAGGTGTTCACCCATCATGTCTGTCTAAACATTAAGTTCATTGTCTCCTGGAACATGCACCTCTAAGTATTCTCCAGAGATCCCCAGAGATGGAGAGGTTAAAATGGCAGAAACAGGTGGACTTCATAGACCAGTAAGGCTAGATTGTGAACTGGGTTTCATAGACAGAATGAACAGGGCTGAGATGTTTACTGCATGGCTGTGTCAGAAACTTGGTTAATTAGTAAATAATGGATAGCAATTAAAAGGGAATTGAGCATGTAAACTGAGACCCAGAATTATTATTATTATTATGAATGGAATGACCACAGGTATTCAAGTTGAATGTCAAGGATCCCCCCCTGACAAACAGCACAGACCCAACCAGCTTAAGTTCCCAACTCTGGGAATCCTTTGTCTGCTTCCTCAGGCTTGTGCAGATGAACATGCAAGGGCTTGCTGTGCCATCATCAGCTGGGGCTGTTGTCAGCCAATAAATAACCCATTGCTCAATGAGTTAGGGTAGAAAGTAGACCTTCTGCACTCAAAATGTGGCAATTGGCCACCAAATGACATGCCTAGACAGGGAATGGTACCCCCTAGGATGTTACCATCTGAATAGACACAAGGGTGAGGCTGGTGAGTCAAGGGGCAGAGAAGCAGGAATGAACAAGGATTTGGTGTTAGGAAGTCTGGGTTGGCTGAAGTGCCTGCCCCACCACTTCCTCAATGGCTGACCTTGACCGTGATGCAAGCTTTCATCCTCTGTAAAATGAAGGTGTAATCCATACCCCTGAGTCATCATAGAATTGATATATGGCTGGAAGGTGATAAGGCCAGTGGACATTTTCTTCATTCATTCATTCATTCATCTTCTATGTGCCAGGCACTATGCTAGGCTCTTGGAGAGTGCACAAACATAAAACAAATAATCTCATGAATAACTATATAATTACAACTCTAATGAGTGCAATAGAAGGTTGAGATATGACTGAGAGGGGCCCACTCTGTCCTGGGGTGGTGAGGAAGACATCATCAGTATAAGGATTATGTTTTGTGACTTCATAAAACCTTTGAAATGCACAGCACATACCAGGCTCTTCTTTCCCAAACCTAGTGCCATTTGGTGGCATTTGCCCTGACATAGCTAGTTGTTAGCCTTTCAGGCATAAAGGTTAGAGTATAGAGAATTTTGTTTCTTAAGGTGATAATTTTATTTCTTAAGATAAGAATGAACTCTTCAAATGGTGTCACTCAATTGGGAATGCACCTTTATATGGAGCTAAAGAAAGGACTGCTGGGAGGAAAATAGACATTTAGTGAGCACCTACTGTTTGCCTGCCACTGTGCTTGACACTTTATTCTTACAACAACATGCAGGGATAGTGTTAGGTTTGCCATTTTATAGATGAGGAATCTGAGGCTTGGAGAAGTTGAATCTTTTCTAGTTCATGAGGAACCCAGATGATTTTGTCTCCAAGGCCCAGGCAGGCTCTTTTCATGGCTGTCCTACAGATACCTCAGATGGAGATGTTTTCTTACTGGGTGCCTCTAAGAGGAGGATTCTCCAGTTTTCCTTCTTTTCTTTTCTTTTTTTTTTTTTTTTTTTTGGACAGTCTTCTCTGTCGCCCAGGCTGCAGTGCAGTGGTGTGATCTCTGCTCACTGCAACCTCCGCCTCCCAGGTTGAAGTGATTCTCCTACCTCAGCCTCCTGAGTAGCTGGGACTACAGGCGTGTGCCACCACACCTGACTAATTTTTGTATTTTTGGTAGAGATGGGGTTTTACTATGTTGGCCAGGCTGGTCTTGAACTCCTGGCCTGAAGTGATCTGCCTACCTCAGCCTCTGAAAGTGCTGGGATTACAAGCATGAGCCACCATGCCTGGCCTACGGTTCTCCAATTTTCTAGATGCTGTGATCGTTTGTTTGTTGATCAGAGGCACGTGTACCGATTGTAGCAATCAAATAATGCTCAGCATGGGATATGGCTGTGTCTGAGGGACCAAGGGACCCTGTATCATACTCTGTGATCAGTGGATAGAACATTTGCCAAAAGAAGAGCTCAGAGCTTTGAATCGACGTAGGTCTCAAGCAAAGGAAGGAGAATGTGAGCCATACCAAATAGCTCTTCTGTTACATTAACGAGGTTTGCTTTGACTTAGGAAGGCCAGACAAGACAGAGGCAGAGAGGGAAGGGGGAGGAAGGGAGAAGAGGGAGGAAGGAGGGAAGAAGGAAGGAAAAGTCCACATTGTATCCTTTGACTGGGCAGTGGCTGAGGGAACCTCTAGGCCAAGACTCACATAGACCCATTGATCTGGGTACCAATGTCTGTGTTTTAAAATATAGCCAGTTTTGTAGTTTTATTCACATCTGCGTCTTCCCTTTCACGGTGATGGCTTGGAGGCGTAACCCCTGTGTGAACCCTCGCTGCCCTGCTCAGTTTCAGGCGGGATCAGTTGGAGGACAGTGTGACCTGGAGGAAAGAATGCCAGGCTTCTGACTCTGCCAGGAGCCAGCAGTGGAATGTCAGCAAGTCCCTTGCCGTGTTTCTGCTTCTGTTTTCTAATCTGTAAGTCGAAATAAGAATGTCTAACTCCACACAGGGTTGGCAGTGGGATGAGGCCGTATATGTGAGAGCACTTTGGGAAGAAATAAATAACGACATTTGTCGTACATAAGATGTCACTCCTAAGAGTGGACTTCACAAGAAAGGAAGTGTGTTTGATCTCAGCTTTGGTTTACTAATCTAAGAAAATAAAAACTGGATTCCAACAAGGGATTGTAAATTCTCACTGCATACCTGACACCAGTTACCATGATGACTCTTGTCTGGTTACTTGATCCCTGAGTCCTTCAGCTCCTACTTCTGTTGAGTGGGGAATAACAGCTCTTCACTGAGACTTTTATAAAGCACTCTGTGTGATTAATTTAAACATCATAATAATTCAAATTTCTATGCATGGGGAAACTTAGCATTTTACGTGAAGTAAACCTTGGTGCAATAGTGTCACCTCTTTCCAGGTGCATTATTCACAATGTCATGGTTAGCTGACACTCAGACATTTAGGAGATATAGTTAGACTGTAATAGCTTAAGGTTTCTCACAGCCTTCTCATTTTTCACACCTGCTGGGGAACCCACTCTCCTCTAGCCTCAGGGATTTGGTCCATATCCTTCCTGTTCTTCTTGTTCTCAGTCTGAAGCACTGTCCTCTCCTACCCGTCTTCTAAACCATAGTGTATTCACAGGCCACATTCCAGCAAGCTCACAAGTGCCAGCCTGACGTGAGTAGTGCTAATATCAAATCTGACAACTTCCGTTCGGAGTCAGGCAGGCAGAATGGTATAGGGGGCAGAGCTTTGGCATCATACGAACCTGGGTTTTGAAACTCCACCATTCACCACCCTGTGTGACTCTGGGCCAGTCATTCAACCTCTTTGAATCTTGATTTCTTCCTGGTTAAAGGGATGAGAGTCCAGCCAGGCACGGTGGCTCATGCCTGTAATCCCAGCACTTTGGGAAGCTGAGGCGGGCGGATCACCTGAGGTCAGGAGTTCGAGACCAGCATGGCCAACATGGTGAAACCCCATCTCTACTAAAAATGCAAAAATTAGCCAGGCGTGGTGGCGCATGCCTGTAATCCCAGCTACTCAGAAAGTTGAGATGGGAGAATTGCTTAAACCCGGGAGGTGTAGGCTGCAGTGAGCTGAGATCACACCATTGCACTCCAAGCTGGGCAACAAGAGTGAAACTCCATCTCAAAAAAAAAAAAAGAAGAAGAGAAAGAGAAAAATAGAGATGAGGGTCCTAGAGTAAGTATACCCCAAAGGGAGAAAGGGAGGAATACATTTAATCAGCTAGGCATATGAAGAACTTAGCACGGCGGCACATAATGAGTACTATGTCAATGATCTTTGTCCTCTGTGGAAACATCCTTACTGGATGAAGTGGGGCTGCTTCTCCCAAAGTTCCAACCCTGGTTTGGGCAACTCCATCAACTTCCATGAACCCTCAGGGAAGAACGAGTAGAGATTTCCAGATATCCCTTTCCCCCACACATTGGCCTCTCATAGAATGTAACTTTGGTCATAACAAACCCAGTCTTATTACTGAAATAAGTTGAAGCCTTCTAAACAAGTAGGCTTAGAACCTCTTTTCCACAGGAAATGCCTGATCACTGGAATTTTGTAGCTAGAAGGTATTCCTGAGCTCAGAGATGCCACATACTATTAAAATTATTGGTAATTTCCTCTTGCTTGGGCACTCAAGCTCTCTACCATTGCAGGAATTCATGAGCTGACTCCTTTATTTCAGGTGCTTCCAAACAAAACTGACAAGCAACACCCAGTTGCCTACATTTTAGTTTGCATTCATCTCCACTGGGTGTAGGGTACTAGGAGCATGCAGCACAATTGTGCTTCTCTTCCAGCTGGAGTCTGTAGACTGAGCCAGGCCACCTTGTTTAGGCTCTAGTGCCTGACAAAGAGCTCAGTGGGCTGGAAGCCTAGTGCAGTTAACACTGATGGCTTTGTAGCTTGGACAGGTGAAAGTCAGCAAGCTTCCCAGTAGACCAATTGATCTGAGTTGCCTCTCTGGCCAGAAGCCAGCCCTGGCAGGGATCCAACTTCCTCTCAAGCACTGAGAAAGGGCTCAGGTGTATCTGGTGGCCGGCAGAGCAGGTAGTCAGCCAAGGCTTCATAGTTCTCACCCACGGCAATTCAGCTAGCAAACTAGAGACACTTCCCCAAGAAGACACAGCGTGGCAAGACTGCTGAGACGCATAAAGAAATCTTAGCTGGTGAGTTACTTCTTTATGCCTGCCCCACTTGAAATAAGAGTTTGGGGCTCCTTTTACTGTGATTAAAACTGGATTATTTATGCTAGCATCTCTGTTTTTTGACACAGCTATGCAAAACTTTTTGATCTTACATGTCTCTGTTTTCTTTACTGTCCAGGATTTTGTGGAAAGTAGAAATGATAGCAAGATATAGTTGGAGTTCTTAAAGAATGTTCAAAGAATCAGAAAGTTCAAACCCCAGAAACTTGGCTTCTCTTTAGAAATTCTGTTTCCCCTGAGGACAGTGGAGAAGGAAAAATACCTCCATAACTCCATTTTTATGATAGGGATTATGCCACTTAATCCCAGTGAATATTTGTAAAATTATTTTGAGACGTTTAGGAACGACATCATAGTCCATAATTACAAAGTGTATTGGTGCTTGTAACTGTAGAGATGTTTGTTTTTAGTGGGGGAATCAGACCTGTCTGTGATAAGAAGGCTCCCTGGGTTCATATCACCCCTGAGATATTCCAGTTCGTAGGAAAGAAGTCAATTCAGAGGCAGTGAATGAGAGAAGTCCCATCATAATAGGTCTTATATAACTAGCCGTCAGCAGAAGGGAACTGCTAAAAACTGGGGGAAAGGGCACAGAAAAGTTATGGAAGGAGCAGTGCTAACTTGCTGCAATTGTCCCAACAAGAAGGAAGGTGCAGGGAAATGAAAGATAACTCTGTGGCCTCTTCCAGGGCGATGAGCAGCATAGTGCTTTTGTGAAGATTCCACCCAGAGTCTGATGCTGGGCAAAGCATGTCTGGCCAAGACTGGAAACAGAACTTTTTTTTTTTTTTTTTTGAGTCTGAGTCTGGCTCTGTCACCCAGGCTGGAGTGTAGTGGCACGATCTCAGCTCACTGCAACCTCTGCCTCCCAGGTTCAACTGATTCTCATGCCTCAGCCTCCCAAGTAGCTAGGATTACAGGTGCTTGCCATCACGCCCAGCTAATTTTTGTATTTTTAGTAGAGATGGGGATTTTGCCATGTTGGCCTGGCTGGCCTCAAATTCTAGCCTCGAACTCCTGGCCCCCAGCGATCCACCTGCCTCGGCCTCCCAAAGTGTTGGGATTACAGGCATGAGCCACTGCACTCAGCCTGGAAACATAACTTTAAACATTGAACTGAAACAGGGAAACATCTCAGCCAAGTGATTTTTATAAAGAGTTATTAACAGGGAACTTTTAAAAGAAAAAAAAAAGTGATAATCCAACCTACCAGATAATGACTCTTCATTCTTACATGTTCCCTTCTTCTTGTCCATGTCAGCAAAGAAATATACCTGGTTACTATGGAGAAAAGATACCCTATTGTATATACTACTTTTTTAAAAACTAACATTGGATTATAAACACTTTCCAACATTTCTACATAGTCTTAATTATTTTAACATTGATAAAATCTTAAGACAAGTTCCAAGAAGTCATGAAGCCCGGAAAGATTAGTGATCTAAAACAGGGAGTCAAATTTCTTAAGTGACTTCCTCTAGAAGTTCAGGGAACTCCTAGAAGAGCAGCAAAGCTCCAACTTGAAGGATCCAGATACATATGACAATAGGTAGACTGTTGGTAAGTCAGTGGCTTGATGGCTTAACGGGGACAATAACAGGAGGCGAGTATACCCACAGGGCCAGACATGCTGGGGAAGGGAGCCCACTAGAATGGGTCCAAGCCCATAGCCAAGAGCAGAAGCTGCCATAGCGGCGGTCAAGGAGGCTTCATTCTAGATCCACATGCTGAACAGTGCTTCATCAGCAGACTCTCTGAAGAAGCTTCTGCACCTTGGAGCTCCCAAAAGAGATCAAAAGCCATGATCAAGACCAAGGGAAAGGTGGGGGAGTTGTGGGAGCTGGACACAAAGGACATTTAACTCCTTGTCCCACTTCCAGCAGCTGCCAACCATCCTCCTCCCACTCACTCCTGGCTCTCTTTTGCTCTCTTCTCTTTTTTTTTTTTTTAAGACAGGATCTCACTCTGTTACCCAGGGTAGAGTGCAGTGGCATGATCATACCTCACCGCAGCCTTGATCTCCTGAGCTCAAGAGATCTCCTACCTCAGCCTCTGAAAGTGCTGGGATTACAGGTATAAGCCACTGTGCCCAGCCTTCTCAATTTTATTTACTTCTGTCCCTTTAACTTACTCCATCCCTCAGACTGAAGAGTCAATGGGCTGTGATCTTTAGTTCCAAACTCTACATGCTGTCCTGGGGGATCTAAGGCAGAGGTCAGAGGAGGAATGAACTCAGATATCACGGAGGGATAGGCGAGAGCATTAGGAAGTTAGCAATGAAGAGAGTGTTCTGGGGAACAAGGTGACATTTTTACTTGTTCCACTTCTTTATTGTTTGGAGTTTTTTAAATGGCAGATATGTTGCAAACTAAAACAATCACATAAAATTTTTTTTTAATTGAAGGAGGTAAATGTTTTGTTTTCTAAGAGAAAGAAAAGAAACTGTCGATAGTGCCAATAAAAGCAGCAGAGAGATCACTCAGCGCATGTGCAAAGACAAGGTCTTGGATAACAAGTTCTGCAAACCACAGAGTGCACAGAATCTAGAAGCCAGGAAGAAGAACGCTGAGACGCGAGAAACTGTGACTGAATGATATGAGAAGGGCCATTTAAAGACTTTTACAGAGAGGACAAGGAGAGAGAGCAAGAAGAGAAGGAGCTCCTAAGATTTGAGAAACTTGAGGCAAATAAACAGAATAAGGGCTAGGTGCGGTGGCTTATACCAGCACTTTGGGAGGCCGAGGTGGGCAAATCACTTGAGGTCAGGAGTTTGAGACCAGCCTGGCCAACGTGGTGAAACCCCGTCTCTACTAAAAATACAAAAATCAGCCAGGTGTGGTGGTATACACCTGTAGTCCCAGCTACTTGGGAGGCTGAGGCAGGAGAATCACTTGAATCTGGAAGGAAGAGGTTGCAGTGAGCCGAGATCGCGCCACTGCACTCCAGCCTGGGTGACAGAGCGAGACTCCATCTCAAAATATAATAATAAACATAAACAAAATAAGGACAGCAGCCATTTCTGAAGCCAGGAGGAAATGTTCCAGATGGAGGGGAGCGGGCAAAAAAGAGAGACAAGAGCAGTGAGGAGAGAGCCATTAGGCGGCACTGCAGAGAAAACTGTTTGGAGTTTTGAAAATTTTTTATTGTGGAAAACTTCCCAACCCATATAAAAGTGGAGAATACATACTCAGGAGGTGGAGCAGGAGGATTGCTTGAGCCCAGGAGTTTGAATCCAGCCTGGGCAGCAGAGGGGGACCCCATCTCTTTAAAAAAAAAAAAAAAAGGAGACAGTATGGTCATAATGAATCCCTATATACCCATCATCCCTTCCCCAGATTATTTTGAAACAAATTCAAGACATCACATTATTGTGGTGGCTCTCAAACTTCAGCATGCATTTGAATCCCCTGAAGGGCTTGTCAAAACATGGATTGCTGGGCTCCACCCACTGAGTTTCTGATTCAGCAGGTCTGGCCTGAGAATCTGCATTCTAACAAGTTCCTGGGTAATACTGATGCTGCTGATCTGAGGGCCTTGCTCTGAGAACCCTTGTAGTTAGTATTTCACCTATAGATATTTCTCTTTAAAAAGGACTGCCTTATTTAGACATAATCATGATGTTATCAGCACACATAAAAATCAATAATAATTCCTTAATATCATGTTTCCCAATTATCCTCTAAGTGTTTTTGTTAACCATTTGTTTGAACTGGGATCCAAACAAGGTCTATGGATTGCAATTGGTTAATATGTTTCTTTAGACTCTTTTCCTCTATAGGTAGAGTTTGAATGGGCAGCATGAGAGACAGTTTGAGCAATAGTTGAGAGAGATATGCAGATGTGTGTTGTGAAAAGACTATAGGCCGGGCACGGTGGTTCTCACCTGTAATTCCAGCACTTTGGAAGACCGAGGCGAGCAGATCACCTGAGGTCAGGAGTTTGAGACCAGCCTGGCCAACGTGGGGAAACCCCATCTCTACTAAAAAATACAAAAAATAGCCAGGCATGGTGGTGGGTGCCTGTAATCCCAGCTACTCAGGAGGCTGAGACAGGAGAATACTCAGAGGCTTGAACCCAGGAGGCGGAGGTTGCAGTGAGCTGAGATTGTGCCACTGCACTCCAGCCTGGGCAACACAGCAAGACTCCATCTCAAAAAAAAAAAAAAAAAAGCACAAACTTTGGTTTTGATCCCACCTCTACCACTTACTAGAGATACATGAAGACAATGAAGATAATAAGTCTATTCATGGACTACTTTGACAATTATATAAAAATTACGCCTGTAGAGTGGAATCCATACATATTACGGCTAAGGAATCAGAAGCTCTGTGACCTGGGGCAAGTACTTAACTTCACTAAGATCAGTTTTCTAATCAATAAAAAGAGAGATTATAGCAATACCTATTTTATAGGGTTGTGAATGAGCTAATGAGTGTCAACATCTTAAGCACACTACCTAACCTGTAATAAGCACTCAGACTTGGTATTGTTATGAAAATAACAATTATTCTAGCCACACAATGAATGTCACTCCTCTTCCTCCTAAATAGGAATGCCTTCTCAGAATCTTGATTTTCAAAGTGATGGATTGGGAGATCCCAAGCCATGAATGTGAGTTTGTGTATTTCCCTTCTTATTTATTTCTCAGTTCAGTTAAAGCCACCATCATCCTCCTAGTTGCCCAGATTAGGACCTTTGGGATCAACCTGAACTCCACCCTACATTCACCATATCAGCGTTTCCATCTTAAGGGGGCTTCTGGGATCCATCCCCAAACGGAATGCAAGAACCTAATGGTGCCTAGCACATGATAGGTCCTTAGTCAGCATTGATTATTTGTATTTCCGCTGCCTCTGCTCTACTTCCAACCACTGTCATCTCCCACCTCCACTGCCCCATCCCCTCTTCCCTGGTCTCTCCCACCCTAGCCTCTCAGTCATTGTCCATCCTGCCAGAGTGACACACTTTCTGTTTTTCCCACCTTCTCATCCTCTCCCCTCTCTTCTCTCCCTCTCTCTGTTTCTGACTGCAACTGTAGTGAGTGGAGTATGGGGCTCACTCATTATCCATCGTGTAAGGAGTTGCTCTTGTTTTATTTATTTGATTTCCCCCCCACCTTCATTTCTGATACCCATTCTCCTTCTTCCCACACGCTGTCACTCTGATATTGTGATAATGTATTCTTGGGTATGTATGTGAACTTACAAAATGTTAGAAATGTTTGTTCCCTGGTGCCACAAAGAAATAGCACTCGAACATACATTTAATTCTCTCAGCAAAGCAATTTTTACTTTCTGCAGAAAGGGTGCTCATCACAGATGGAACAATGGCGAGAGCACACCTGGACAGGGGAGGGGCAGGAGTTCTGATTCCTGACACAGGTAGGCCCTGCTGCTGTGTTGTTCCCCTGTTGGCTAGGGTTGGACCGCACAGTCTAAGCTAATTTTGATTGGCTATTTTAAAGGGGCAGGGGTATGAGTCAGAGTGGCGGAGTGAGTAGTTTGGCAGGAAGGACAGTTAGGAACAGGTAACCAAAGGTGACTTAGGTCAGAGAAGGTGACCAAGGGTGACTCAGGTCAAAGAAGATGACCACAATGAGTCAAGATGGAGCAGGTGACCAGGGGAACAGATGTGAACTACTGATTAGGACTACGGGGAAAGTTGTTTACTTAAACTAGAAGCAAGTGGGCAAAGAGAACCAGGAAGTTAAACTTTAAAATGGAGAATCAAAGAATAAGAGAGCTGAAACTACTGACGTGCTGATTCTTTGAAGAGAAATTTGCAGTTCACTATATTTAACAAAAATATGTTATTTTGTGTGGTTTGGTTTTTAAACCTACCTACCGCATTTACTTATCCATTCCCCTAGCAAATGCCCCAGCTCCCTGCTACCAGTACTACAGTGAGGTGAGTGTTTTTGTCCGTGATCCTTTAGGACCTGTGTAAGAGTTTCTCGGAAGCATATGTCTAGGAGTGGAATTGCTGATGCATATTTATTTTCACAAAGTACGTCTAGGTTGTGACTGCGAACTGCAGAACTCTCTGCCCGTAATGACTCTGTCCAAACCCCTGCACTAAGAGACTTGACCAAACCCTAGCATGGCTTCTAGCAGCTTAAGACCATGTCCCTAGGATGATACCAGCCTCCCTTAAAATGCTTGCCTGGAAGCTCAATGCTGCCAGGAGAATTTACTGTTTATTCTGGCCAAAACCTGGTGATAGGCAGATAAGCCCCTGAGCTCCCTCTTAGAGCAGTTATTTTAGAAAGCTTGCAATTATAAATCTTTCCTTTGCCCTTTGAGATGTAAATCTCCCACCCAAAACGGTCTCCTCAAGGATCTGAGAGCCCTCTCTTTGAAATGCAGATATTCAGGGAGCTATAGCTCTTCTCCCAGGAGGATAAGGGCCTAACTGCTATGGATGCCTTACTTTAGGAGAAGTGTGTTTATCCTTCGGATAAGCACCAGTGAACAAATCCAGGTGGCGCAATCACATAGACTAACCCTCCCTTAACACCCCACAGTGCCTTTCCCTTAATCTTTAAATAGTCTCCAGTACTTTGCATCAGGTACTCTGTTCACACTCTACTCTTTTTCCTTATTGCAGTAGTCCCTGAATAAAACCTGTCCTGGCTGCTTTAACCGGTGCCTGGCTCTATCTTTGACATGCCCTAGAATACAGTGTTTGTTTCCTTTCCGTTTTGTTTCCTTACAACCTGCCAGAGTTTGGTATTATCCAGTCTCCTAATTTTCCAACCTCATGGGTAAAAAGACTTAGTCTTGCTATTGTTTTAATTTTCATTTATCTAAGAACTAGTGAGGTTCACTTTGGGAGGCTGAGGCGGGTGGATCATGAGGTCAGGAGATCAAGACCATCCTGGCCAACATGGTGAAACCCTGTCTCTACTAAAAATACAAAAATTAGTTGGGCGTGGTGGCGGGCATCTGTAGTCCCAGCTACTCGGGAGGCTGAGGCAGGAGAATCACTTTAACCCAGGAGGCGGAGGTTGCAGTGAGCCGAGATCGTGCCACTGCACTCCAGCCTGGGCAACAGAGTGAGACTCTGTCTCAAAACAAAACAAAACAAAACAAAAAAACTAGTGAGGTTGAGCAAAACCAGTGGGTTTTTTGGGGTGAGTCACATATTCATATCCTTGCCCATTTTCCTGTTGTATTCTCTTTTTCTGATTGATTTGTAGGACTTTCTTATATATTCTGTATAATAATCTCTTGCTGGTCTTGGGAGTCTCAAATATTTTTTTCTCAGTCTATCACCTGTCTGTTCATTTAGATAACTATATCTGCCATCGTCATTATTGTTAATTTTGATATAGTCATCAATTTGAGGGGCAGGGAATACAGTTACACTTTTTGAATGTTTTTTAAAAAAATTCTTCCCCACTTCTAAGGTCATAAATATATTCTGACGTATATATATGCATACACATGCATATCTATGTTTTGTAGGGTGGTGTTTCACATTTATATCTTTAATTCTTCTGAAGTTCACCTTTGCTTATGGTGTTAGGAATGCAGCTTAATTTTTTTCCATGTAGTGAGCCAATCTTCCCTACACTGTCTACTAAGCAACCCATCCTTTCCCCATTTACTTGTTTTTCATACATCAGGTGCACATACAACAAAACACATAAGCATACCTATGAATTTCTGACACTTTCTCACCCTTACTCTATTTCCATGCTTCTACACCACAGTGCCGTAATGTTTTATTATATAGCATTGGAGTATACTGGGGCAAGTCATTCCTCTTTGTTCTTTTTCTGAAATTGGCTCAACTGATGGTGGACCTTGTTTTTTTCTTCTATATAAATTTTGAATATGCTTTTTTTATTCCCTCAAAAAATTCTGTTGGGACTATACTGAAAGTGCCTTGAATTTTTAGACTAATTTTGGGAGAATTGTTATCTTTACATGTTAAGTAGTCTTGTCTACCAATGTGGCATATCTCTTTCCTTAAGTCTAATGTCCTTTGATAGTTTTATATTTTTCTCCAAAAATTTATTTTGAATATTAAGTTGATTTTTTAGTTGTGTTGCTCTTCTGAAAATTATCTTATTTTCTATTAGGTTTCCTGGTTGAATGTTCTGTTGTAGAAGAATGCAACTGAGTTTTCTAAACAGATCTTCTTCTTGACATCCTTGCTGAACGTAAGTATTAGTTCTAAAAGTTTTTCTATTAAGTCTGTGAGGTTTTCTATGTAGATAATCAGATCACCTGTACATAACGACAGTTTTGCTACTTCCTTTCAAATCCTATACCTAGTACTTCTTGTCTTATCACATTGGCCAGGACCTCCAATACTATGCTGAGGAGTGGCAGTTCTTAGAAGGAATGTGGGTGTATCTTTACCTGTTATCTCCTTCCTTTCCCCTGATGTACCCACAAGCTTCATCTCCTGCTGGTGCAGGACTAGTGATACTGTTCTGTCTTGCAGTGGAGTTGGGGAAGACTATAATCTGCCCATGGAAATACAAGGGAGGAAAATAGTCTAAGATAAAATCTTCCCCACCTACAGCACTGTCCCTTTTCCCCTGCAGTCTGCAGTCGCAAACACATACACTGGGCTCCAACCATTTGCTGTCCCTCTAGAAACTTCTCACAATTATCACATTAGATTCTCAGATCCATCAGTTGCACCATTTCTGAGACACTCCCAGAACTAGGTTGACAGAGATAGCCAGGAGCCCCTGTTGGGTCCCCATTGTGTCAGTATCCAGAAGCCAGAATGACACTTCTAAAATAGTTATAATCATGAGAATGTTTTAATCAAGGGCCTTTAAAGCCCTCATGTAAGCCCTTTAATATCACATTCAAAGGTCTTAACAAGCTGGCCTCACTTCCTTTTCTACTTCCCATAACACACCCTACACTCCAACTACCCTGGGTGATGTTTTCCCCAAAAAATGCTGTGCACTTTAACCCTCTGTTTACCATACGTTTACCTCTGTATGGAATTCTCTCTCCCCTTTCTCACATTGAGAAATGCTACTCATTCTTCAAAGCTCGGAACAAAAGTTGTCTTCAAGAAGTTTTCTCTAGTTCATGCCATTGGTGTAAATCATTCCTTCTTCAATACTCCCTGGAGCACTTATCTGTCAGATTTGCCTTATAGTTTGTTGCCAGCAGAGCAAAAACTGTGTTTTATCCATATTTCTATCTCTAGTTCAGTTTTTCACGCACAGTAGATGCCCAATAAATGTTTATTCATCAGGTTAAATAATGAAGACCACGATTTGTAGGAAAGATAAGTTTTTAGTAAGAATGAAGTAATCCTTTTCTTGGCTAATCTCAGTTCCAGTAAGATTGAGTGTGAATTTCCAGAAGTGGTGTTATCTTCAGCAATTCTCAGCACCATGCAAATAGGAATGAAAACATATACTGTAGGCCGGGTGGGGTGGCTCATGCCTGTAATCCCAGCACTTTGGGAGGCCAAGATGGGTGGATCACTTGAGGTCAGGAGTTTGAGACCAACCTGGCCAACATGGTGAAACCCCATCTCTACTAAAAATATAAAAACTAGCCGGGCATGGTAGCGGGCACCTGTAGTATCAGCTACTCAGGAGGCTGAGGCAGGAGAATTGCTTGAACCCAGCAGGCGGAGGCTGCAGTGAGCCGAGATTGCACCATTGCACTCCAGCCTGGGCAACACAGCAAGACGCCATCTCATTAAAAAAAAAAAAAAAAAAAAAAAAGAAAACATGTACTATAAACTCCTAGTCATTTTCTTTATGTGATTAAGTCCTCCGAGTGCTATAACAGGTGTTCAACTTGTACAATGCTGAGCAATTATTTAAAACAAAATGTAGGCCGGGCGCAGTGGCTCATGCCTGTAATCCCAACACTTTGGGAGGCTGAGGCGGGCGGATCATCTGAGGTCAGGGGTTCAAGACCAGCCTGGCCAACATGGTGAAATTCCATCTCTATTAAAAATACAAAAATTAGCCGGCCATGGTGGTGGGCGCCTGTAATCCCAGCTACTCGGGAGGCTGAGGCAGGAGAATCACTTGAACCCGAGAGATGGAGGTTGCAGTGAGCGGAGATCGTGCCACTGCACTCCAGCCTGGGTGACAGAACAAGTCTCCTTCTCCAAACAAATAAACAAAAAACCAAAATGTATCTGCCAAGTCTAACATATAAGGGCAATTGTGAAAGTTATCCTGTGGTTAGACATTCCTGGGTCTCTATTCTCGAAGAATCCTGCTAGTTACATCCTTAGTGGGTATCCTTACACACAACCCATAAAATGTACCAATTTGCTGGTGAAAATTATGAAAACAAACAAAATTTTCTTTTGAAATTGTTACCTTTATTTTTGATAGGAATTTTCACTAAGTGGGATTCCTAATTGCCCCATAGATAGATTAGCCGTGCTGTGGACGAGACGTGAAAAAGGTAGATGAGTAAACTGAAGTAAGATGAATAATAGTTATGTTGTCCCTTTTCTTTGAATGATATACAGTAGTTTCTTCCATGTGTTTATTTTTTTTCTTTCCTGGCAAGTAGGTCAAGAAAGTGTTATTAATATTATCATCTTGGTAAACACTGAGATAAGGAGAAATTAAATTAATTTTTTCAGTAGATTGTTACAACACTGGTCCTTAATTTGTTCATACCTCTCTCTACAACATCCTTGGATAATACCTTTCGCACTGACTCAAGGCTTAGCCATGTATCTTTCTTTGGCCAATGGGACAAGAGCAAATGTGACACAAGAAGAAATATTCAAGCACTTGCACACTGAAGCTTGCTTTCTCTTGCTGCTCTTTTATACCCTGAGACCACCATGCTGAGAACATTATGTGAAGCCTGGGCTAGCCTAGTGGAGGAGGAGAGATCACATGGAGCAGAGACAAACCATCCCAGCTAAGTCCTCCTCAACTAACCAGCCTGTCAATTTCATGTATGTGAGGGAGGCCAGCCAACCCCAGTTGAGCCACCTACACACCTCCGATCTGCATACCAGCCTAGATCAGAACGGCTCAACTGACTCACAGAATCATGAAAAATGATGAGTGTTCATTGCTTTAAGCCACTAAGCTTTGGGGTGGTTTGTTTTACCCCCAACCTAACTGGTACATTCCCCAAGAAAGCCTAGTCAGGCTAGATTCTAGGGGTCCTGATCCCCAGATTCATGTTCAATTGCTACTACTCCTCTTCTGTTCAAAGGCCAAATTTAGATATGCAAAACTTAAGGATTTTATTTTGGATCTTATTGAATTTCCCAAGGGCAAAGGCCATGACTTGATTTATCCAGCTGGAATAATACTTTGCCTTATTAATAAAATAATGCTCAGGGAGAGGTGTTACTTCTCTGAAAAGGAACTAAACTTTAGTTGTTTTTACAAGGATAGAAGGGAAAGCTAACTGTTACATGTATAACTCTGAGAATTTATATAGGGCATAGATATTTCTAGTTACAAAGAAGGTTTTAGACTAAGGAACTCTCCTAAGAAATAGAACAGAGAGGATGGAAAAAGCAGGGCCCATATCTTCCTCATGATTTTGTCCCTGATATGGTTTGGCTGTCCCCACCCAAATCTTATCTTGAATTGCAGCTCCCATAATCCCATGTGTTGTGGGAGGGACCTGGAGGGAGATAACTGAATCATAGGGGCGGTTTCCCCCATACTGTTCGTGTGGTAGGGAATAAGTCTTACGAGATCTGATGATTTTATAAAGGGTTTCACCTTTCTCTTGGCCCCCATTCTCTCTTGTCTGCCACCATGTAAGACATGCATTTCACCTTCCACCATGATTGTGAGGCCTCCCCAGCCATGTGGTACTGTGAGTCCATTAAACCTCTTTTTCTTTATAAATTACCTAGTCTTGGGTATGTCTTTATCAGCAGCATGAAAATGGACTAATACAGTTCTTATGGCCCAGACCAGAGTCTTGCAGAGCTGCTAGGCTGCACAACTTCAGGAAACACTATTTACATTGAGGTCTGTGCAAACTGTGCCCTCTGCTCCCATCCCCAGAGTTGTGCAGTGTACATGGGGCCCCTGCATAGCACACAGTAAATATTTAAGAATGAATGTTAGCCAGGCATGGTGGCTCACACCTGTAATCCCAGCACTTTGGGAAGCCGAGCACGTGTGTACACACACACATTTGTGGTATTTAGCAGAAGTTTTTTTGTTTTGTTTTGTTTTGTTTTTTTTTTTAGAAAAGGTCTAGAGCTCTGTCTGTGCAGTGGCACAATTATGGCTCACTACAGCCTCAATCTCCTGGGCTCAGGGCTCAAATGCTCCTCTCACCTCAGCCTCCCAAGTAGCTGGGACTACAGTTGCACGCCCTCATGCCTGGCTAATTTTTAAAAATTTTTTGTAGAGATGGGGGTCCCACTATGTTGCCCAGGCCAATCTGGAACTCCTGGTCTCAAGCGGTCCTCCTGCCTCATACTTCCAAAGTGTTGGGATTACAGGCATGAGCCACAACATCCGGCCTTAGTAACTGAGTTTTAACTGCAACGAAAAATAAACCAAATTAGAATGAGTATCCCTATTGGGTAGCCTCCAGGAGCGCAAGCCACTTTGCTTTGTCTGTGACAAAGTAGGAAAATACCTAAATGAATTGTAAAGATCAACAATAGACCCAGAGAAGAAACTCACCAAATTCTGCAGGTTAAAAACGATAAAAAATAAAAGCTCATTTTGGCTAATGGTGACACCTAGTGGAGTATCAAAACTGTGGGGTTTTCTTGGAGTAAACTATTTTATTTCACACAATGGAGTAGGGGAGTCCCTGGGATTGTGTACCCTTGCTCCCTTCACAATAAGATAAGGAGATGAAGACCTACAGGCCTCCCAGGGTAAGCAAGTACAGTATTGCTCTAGAAGAGACTGTTTCTGTGTGCGGTTGCAGAAGACCTCAGAATCACACCAGAAGGTCTCAGCAAGTGAGATCAGGGGCCACTCATCACTTAAGACAATTATTCCTCTCAGTCTATGCCTTTCCACTTGAATGTCACTCTTTCTCCTGCTCCTTGCCCTCCTTCTTTCCTCTTCTGCTTTTATTTACCCCATGTTTATCCTCTGCCCCCTTTCCATTCTTAGTTCTCTAAGCCCATTGATGCCTCCCAAGATGTTACAAACCCCAGAGCAACACGATCTAGTATGGTAACCACTGCCCCATGTGGCTGTTTAAATTCAAATTAAGTAAAACAAAATTAAAATAAAAATTCAATCCCTCAGTCTCGCTGGTTCCATTGCAAGTGTTCAACAGCACTAGCGGCTACCATATTGGACAGCGCAGACGCGATCATTCCCACCATTGCAGACAATCCTGTTGGAAAGCATGGGCCTGAGGCTTTGTTTACCTCGCTCGGCTCACCTCTTTTCCTTCTCAGCACCTCTTCTCTAAGTGGCAGTTCTTGAGACGGTCTTTCTGCTCCTCCCTGTCCCTCCCTGCTCACTCCAGTCTATTGGGTGGCTTCCTGTTTTCTGTATATTATTATGTAAACTTGTTAACGTGACCTTGCCAAGGTACACACACAAAATATGTAATCACATTGGACAGTTTGTTCAGGACAATGATTTCAGACCATCTTGTTTTCCATGCATTGGAACACATCAAAATATTTTTAAACTCAACACATCAACACGTCATTTAAAACAATTATACCCCAGGCCCTTTTTTTTCTTTTTTAATCTATAGGTTCCTACTTTTTTACCTTGTCTTATGCTAAAGTAGCTTTAAAATTAAACAGTACATCTTCTTAAAAAATACCTAAAAATATATATTTTATGCATAGAACGGCTCTGGAATGAGACACGGGAAACTGGTAACACAGTGCTGTTTGGCTGGGATGGACATTTATGTGGAGAACCCTTGTATAGTATTTGGATTTGTACCAGGCGTGAGTGTACGTGTGCATATCTGTGTAGATATGTGTATATGAAGCTTTTAAAATTAAATTGAATTATGAATAACTTTTGAAAAGAAAAATAATACTTGAAAATAAATCTCACAGCCTTGAAAGGATCAAACTAAAATGATTCCAGGAAGATGAGCTCTCAGACACAAGGTCATTTCTGAATGAGGCTGCATGGTTTCAGTGACGATGTGTCTAATGCGTGGAGATGTGGTACTGTGTTCACTTTATGTGCAATGACGATTTGCTAAGAATTAGAATACTCTGGTAAGTGACACCTTCTGACTGCCAGTGAAAGTTTACATTAGAAAGAGAGCCTTCTGGCCAGGTGTGGTGGCTCACACCTGTAATCCCAGCACTTTGGGAGGCCGAGGTGAGTGGATCACGAGGTCAGGAGTTCAAGATCAGCCTGGCCAAGATGGTGAAACCCCGTCTCTACTAAAAATACAAAAATCAGCTGGGCGTGGTGGCGCATGCCTGTAATCCCAGCTACTCAGGAGGCTGAGGTGGGGGAATCGCTTGAGCCCTGGAGGCGGAAGTTGCAGTGAGCCGAGATCGCGCCACTGTACTCCAGCCTGGGCGACAGAGCAAGACCCCATCTCAAAAAAAAAAAAAAGAAAGAAAGCCTTCCTTTGAGCCTGTCACTTTGGTGCCCATCTCAAAAAGGACCTTGGAAAATGCTGAAAGCTAGATGGATCCTCCCTTCCTGAGGCACACTGAGTCACCTCTCTTTCAAGGGCTTAAAGAACAAAGTGAAAGTAACCATTTCTCTTCCTTTTCCTTGGCTCCCCTGGTCTAGCCATGGCTGTGTGTTCTTCTTAGGATCTTCGGGGAAGAAAAGAGAAGGGAGCCTGAGTTCTTGCCTCACTTCAAAGCTGGTTTTAGCCCAAAGGCACTTCGAACTTGGGATTTATGTAGCATTTATAGTAAATTCTCATGTTTCTTTAAAAAGAAATTTGGGGACTAGAATACCTACAAAATAAGAACTAGTTACACCGCCAATTTGAGAAAAAGGGAAACTGAGGTAGACACAGCAAATGTGTGAGCTGGGATTCACAGCACTCTTGACTTCCTGTAAGTTTCCATGACATCGAAACCATATAATCATATGCCCAGACCACACTATAGCACCTCTGTGTGAATTCATCTAAATAAAGCGATGCCTGGACCACGCCACCCAGGGGAGTTGGTTTGTGGTTCTTTCTGACTGTGGATTTCTACAGTGCCAGCCTGGCTTTGCGGGGAATCATCATCCTTCTAAAAAAACTAAGGTTTACAACTGGGCTCCCCAGGACATGCAGGATTGAGTTTCTAATGATGGGAAGACAAATGGCAGCCCATTCCTCAATTAGGTTTTTGAAAACAAGACATCTGTCACAAAACTACCCCCCTCTCCCCGCCGCCGTACAGAAGTTTACATTTTATTTAAACCTAGTGTTTTTTGTTGTTGTTGTTGTTTTCTGTTTTTGACGCAGGGTCTGGCTCTGTCGCCTAGACTGGAGTGCGGTGGTGTGATCACAGCTCACTGCAACCTTCACCTCCAGGGCTCAAGCAATTCCCCCACCTCAGCCTCCCCAGTAGCTGGGATTACAGGCACATGCCACCATGCTCAGCTAATTTCTGTATTTTTTTGTAAAGTCAGGGTTTCACCATGTTGCCCAGGCTAGTCTCTAACTCCTGGACTATGACCTACCCGCCTCAGCCTCCCGGTTGGGATTACAGGCATGAGCCACCGCACCTGGCCAAAACCTAGTGTTTTGTTTTTTTTTTTTCAATGACTGAAAAAAGAGAAAAAAAATCTATCTTTTAGAAGGAGTAACGAAACATAGGCCTAGAAATTGAGTCCCAGGCAGGAAGCATCTGCTACCACTTAATGTTTAATGGTGTAAGCCCCAGACTGCCGAGGATGGGCAGGATTTTATAGTTTGGAACTTACCAAGCACCATCTATTTTCTAAACTAATTTTGAGTTGATGTGGAATTCTATGTTTTAGGAAGGCAATTTAAAGGGCACAGAATAAGCTAAAAAGAACATAAGTGAGCAAAAGGGGAAGCAGCTATCGCAGAACAGCAGATGGAAGGGTTTCTGCCTCGGCCTGAGTGTAGCTGCATATTAATTAGATGTTATTGTTGCTCGCATTAGAGAAACAAAAAAGTGTCAGTTTTGCACCACAGACAAAAATGTATGAAAGAAAAGAGGAGTAGAGGCCTCAGCAAGAGTAGGAGAATATCACATTTAAAAAGTGCAACTTGTAAAAAAGCGTCCAAGAAAAAAGAAAATCAGCATAATGTTGGAAGAAACTGTTCTGGAACAACTGCTGTTTTAATCCTTCTCCTAGTCTGTTTGTGTTGCCATAACAAAGTACCATAGACCGGGTAATTTATAAGAACAGAAATTATTTCTCACAGTTCTGGAGGCTGGGAAGTCCATGACCAAGGCACTGGCAGGTTTGTTGTCTGGGGAGGGTCTGGTCTCTGTTTCCAAGATGGTGCCACACGGTGGAAGGCAGAAGGGCAAGAGGGACTTACTCCCTCCATCAAGCCCTTTTATAAGGGCACCTAGTCTCAGTCCTCAGGGTGGAGCCCTCATGGTCTAATCCCCTCTTAAGGGTTTCACCTCTTTTTTTCTTTTTTTTTTTTGAGACAGAGTCTTGCTCTGTCACCCAGGCTGGAGTGCAGTTGCATGCTCTCAGCTCACTGCAACCTCTGCCTCCTGGGTTCAAGCAATTCTCCTGCCTCAGCCTCCCCAAGTAGCTGGGATTATAGGCGCCCGCCACCACACCTGGCTAATTTCTGTATTTTTAGTAGAGACAGGGTTTCACCATGTTGCTCAGGTTGGTCTCAAACTCCTGACCTCAACTTATCCGCCTGCCTCAGCCTCCCAAAGTGCTGGGATTACAGGCGTGAGCCACCGCGCCCAGCCAAGTCTTCACCTCTTAATATCACTATCACGTTGGCAACACCTGAAGTTTGGAAGGGATACATCTAAATCATAGCAATCCCCAAACCTTATCCCCAGTATGCGAGACTGTATTCAGTTAAAGAAAACATGTCCTAGAAATGATATATATGCTCAGACCTCAGGAAAGGTCACTGATACAAGGGAGTGTGTGATTTTCTTCAGGAGAAAATGACTGATGACCACAGTGGATTCAAAGAGCATGGAATAAAATCATTGGCTTGGTGACCCAGTCTGAAAACAAGAAAAATGTTAAGCCAGGTGAAAATAGGCTTTTCTGCAGCCAGGCTGCAGAAAAGGGCCAATATCTGTACATGCAAGAATAAAGGGGAAAGGAAAAGGAAGATGCCGAGGCTTCATCAACCTGGACAGAGAGACAAAATGGGCCTATTTATTGTGAGTTCCAAGGCATGCTGGGTAGGGATGCTTAAGAGCCTGTGGTTGCTTTGGGATCCTGACAGGCCCCATCGAAACAAAAGCTATTTGACCTTGGGTGAATCACATAGTCTCTCTGAACATTAAGATTTTATCTGTAAAATGGGAGCGTAAGTTGATGTGCATAAAGCGTCTGGCAGGCAATAAGGGATCAGTACCTAAAAAGAGTTCAGCATTGGATTCCTGTTATTTTCTTTGGGAAGCTTAAGCTTGAGCCATGTTATCACATTTCCTGTCTTCTAATTAGCCCTGACAGGCTCGTAAAAGAGAGACCTGGCTTAGGCACAGCAGCTCTGGGCTCCCATTAGGAGTGGTGGATCGTTTTTTCCTTCTGGCCAGGATCCAGTTGGCCCCAGGTGGTAAACCTAAGAATGACTTCAATTTTTAAACATCTTGTTGCCTTAAGGGGCAAAGGTAAATAAGTCCCAAGAGCCTCAGTTTCCCAGATTCCCAAGTGTTGCCCGCATTACTGCATCTATGTTTCATTCCAGGTATAAAATGCTAGATTTCTGAATGTGGATTTTCCTTCCCAGGAAGCCTAAAGATAATATAGATATCTATTTAGTTGAGTGCCTTTTGCCAGGAGACAGGAGAATGGAGAGAATGATCTGTTGAATTTTATTTTTAAGCACAACATAATCCTTAGCAATGGTTAATTTGCTTAATAAATAATTGTTGAATATTATTACGTTCCAGGGAGATACAAGTGCTCAGGTGAGACAAAGAAAAGTAAAACATAGTCCTTGCCCTTGAAGAGTTTATGGTCCAAACGGGGCTAAAACTAGGACACAAATTATTACACTCAAGGCACAATGCAATAAGGACCACAGACCAGATGGGAACAAAACGAATCAGGGGTTTTGAAGGAAATTTCCTCTAGGAGATTTTTATTACATCAGCAACACTCTAATAAAAATAATACCCTAATAAGTAGTGATTTTCCTTTCTCTCTGTTCCCTTATATATCCTTATCCATACATTTATGTGATTTTTATAGTGTAGTCACAATAAACTTTGTGTCTCGTGAGCATTATGTTATAAGCATTTCCTTTGGCTAAATAGTCTTCATCATCATAATTTCCATCTGTCTGAGTGTAATTTCCTTTAGAGTCCCCTGCTGTGAGATAGTTGGGCTATTTCCAGTCTTTTCACTGTTAAAAATTATGATGACTATGATGCAAGAGGTATCTTTATGCACGTAGCTTTTTTTTTCTTTAGTGTCATTTTGTTTAGCTCAACTCTGCAAAATAGGATTGATGGGCATCAAGGTACAGGAACATTTCTGTCTCTTTTGAAATATATTACTTCATTGTTTCCCCCAGAAGTTTGGGCCCATGTATTAGGCAGGGTTCTCCAGAAAAACACAACCAGTAGGATACATATAGATATATAGAAAAAGGTTTATTCTGAGGGATTGCCTACTATGGAGGCTGAGAAGTCCTGTAACTGCTGTCTGCAAGCTGGAGGCTCAGGAAAGCTGGTAGTATAATTCCAGTCCAGTCCCAATGGTCTGAGAACCACGAAGCCGAAAGCATATGTCCCAGTCCCAGTCCAAAGGCTAGAGAACCAAGAACACTGATATCCAAGGACGGGAGAAGATGGATGTCCCAGCTCAAGCAGAGAGATCAACTTCGCACCTCTTCTGCCTTTTTGTTCTATCTGGGCCCTCAACAGATTGGATGGTGCCTGCCCACATTGGTGAGGGTGATCCTCCCTCGTCAGCCTGTCAATCCAAATGCTTGTCTCTTCTGGAAACACCCTCACAGGCACACCCAGAAATTATGTTTTACCAGCTATGTGGGCATCCCTTAGCTCAGTCAAGTTGATACATAAAAGAAATATCGCAGCCCATTTACAATGTCTCCAGCAATAGATGTACCTGTTTCAGCAAAACGGTGTCCGCACTGGGTGGGCTGTTTTTGGTTTTCTTATAATTTGCTATGATTTTATAACTATGCCATGATGCCTTGTTGTTATTTTAATTCACATTTCTTTGATAACTATTTTTCCATATTCTTCCTAATCGTATCTCTTAAATGAGTTGGCATCCTTTGCCTATTCAGGATAAACGAATAAGATTTCCACTGGCAGAGAGCCAGTGAATTGACATTTTGGGGACAAAAAATGGCTTAGTCAGGCATAGAGGCAGGAAAGCACAAGGTATTAAGGAAAACACAGACTTTTTGGGCTGGGATGTAGGTTACTAAAAAAAAAAAAAAAAAACTGGTGGAGGTGAGGCTAGAAAGGAAAGTAGATGCCAGTGTATGAAAGAGTTTGTTTTTATTTTTTATTATTGTATTTTGTTTTGAGACAGAGTCTTGTTCTGTCACCCAGGCTGGAGTGCAGTGGTGTGATCTGGGCTCACCACAACTTCAACCTCCAGGGTTCAAGTGATTCTCCCACCTCATTCTCCTAAGCAGCTGGGACTATAGGCATACACCAACACACCCAGCTAATTTTTGTATTTTTAGTGGAGACGATGTTTCACCATGTTAGCCAGGCTGGTCTCAAACTACTGACCTCAAGTGATCCGCCTGCCTCTGCCTCCCAAAGCTCTGGGATTACATCTGTGAGCCACCGCGCCTTACCTGTTTTTTGTTTGTTTGTTTGTTTTTTCTGTCACCCAGGCTGGAGTGCAGTGGCATAATCTAGGCTCACTGAAACCTCTGCCTCCCGGGTTCAAGTGATTCTGCCTCAGCCTCCCGAGTAGCTGGGACTACAGGCGTGCACCACCACGCCTGGCTAATTTTTGTATTCTTAGGAGAGACAGGGTTTCGCCATGTTGATCAGGCTGGTCTTGAACTCCTGACCTCGTTATCCACCCGCCTCGGCCTCCCAAAGTGCTGGGATTACAGGCGTGAGCCACCGCACCTGGCTGCCTGACCAGTTTTTAATCCTATAGGGTTTTCTCTTTTTTTTCCTTTAATTTGTACAATATTCCTCATAGGAGTGAACAATTGGGGTGGACTGTCTCTCTCTCTTAACTCCGATGAATCTATAGGACTGCCAGTCAGGAGCAGCCTTCTCCATATGCCCCTGTCACCTCTAGCCAAATTCCTGATCCTCTTGCTTCTTTTCCACCTGGAACCTGCTGATTCCTGGGGCTCCCACCCCACCTGGCTCCTGCTCACCTGCTCCCTGCTTCCATCATCGGTTCGACACTCCTGGAACCCCTGGCCCCACCTCTCCTCAACTCCTCGTGACACTCACTCTCAGTGCAGGCCCAGTCTACTTCTGATTTAAGCTCTGTCCACCTGATCCAGCCTAGGGCCCAACATCAGTTCCGGGCATTGGACCCCAGGTTCTGCACCCGTCCTGGGCTCACCCTGGCCCCCTCAGGGATGTGTTCCCTCTGTCTTCCAAGAGGGTTAAAAGCCATGAGGACTCAGAAGGAGGCATCCAGTCTTTCCTCCTCTATCTGGAGAAAGAGGGGCGGCCTCACAGAACCATAGAGAAGAGGGGTTGTTGCTCTTTGAGAAAACACCTAGACTTGGTTCCTGGGAACTGCTAACTGCAAGGGGTTGGCTGTTCCTGCCCCACGGCACTGACAGGCCTTCTGGAGAATCATCTTAGTTCTACCATTTCCCCAGCCAGAGCAACATGTGCTGCTGAAAGAGGAAAAAGCTGACAAAGTAGCCCATTTCCCTTCCCATGATAAGGATACTGCATGCCCAGCTCCAGGCTCTCACATGCCCAAGGCTGCTTTGTCCAGCCAGATCTGCAGACCAGAGATCCCTTTCAGACATTTGGGGCTCAAACCCCAAGTCTCCTGATGCCCACCCCGGTGAGGAGCAGCCATTCCTGCAGGGCAGGCAGAGCAGAGACACAACCCACTATCCAGGCCAGGTGCAGTGGCTCACACCTGCAATCCCAGCACTTTGGGAGGCTGAGGTGAGAGGATTGCTTGAGCCTAGGAGTTCAAGACCAGCCTGGGCAACATAGGGAGTCTCTAAAAATAAAAAATTAAAAATAAAAAAGTCCTATCCATGAAGTAGAAGCTCAGCAGCCTCCCCATGAGCAGGGTCTTGATGGGAAGGGCCACAGCTGGGGGCCCAGGGGTGGGGGTGGGGTTAGCCAGACTTTGTTTCCCTGAAGGCATCTGTGGCTTGTACACTTGTTAGGAGTCTTGCAGAGGATGGCACAACTGAGTCCCAGCAGCCACTTATGCACTACTTACTGAGAACATGGTGCCCTGCCCAACCCACAAAGCCAATGTCATTCTGTCCAAACCCCCTAAAACGGGAGTTTTGGAAATGCCAAGGATTTCGTCTCCAGGTGCTCCATGTGGACAAGCTCTGCTCTCTGTGGGAGGATGGCATGAAATCATGTCTATGCCTTTTGCAAATAACAAAGAGCTCCACAAAGTGTAAGGGATGATAACTGTGTTTCCCAGCACAAGCCACATCCCTTACAACTCCGCGGGCACTGAAGGACTATCCGCAGGTCTTGTGTTTTGATATTTGGGCAGATTGCCTGGCTCATCTGCGTGGTTTTTCAGCCTGTGCTTTCTTTGCAGACAAGACTGGGATTTAATCACATCAAAGTGGAGAGAGGCCTCAGCTAGGGTCTGGCATGGGCTGTGACAATGTCATTCAGATTCTGAACTTGTTCTTACACTTACCTGGTGCACACTCCTAAGGGAATTTTGGCAGCTCCAAAAAGGAGAAAAACATGGCTTTTGATCCTGGACCACCGTTTGCTCTCATATTGTGGGAGAGCAATTATTAACTTGTCTTCACTTGACATTTAAAAATGTCTTAGTATCTGGTTTTTATTAACAATATCCCACCAGACAGAGCAAGACAAATGAAAGAAAAAGCTTTGAACATTATCTTAGGGACCAGCTGGAGGAAAATAGAAAAAGAAGAATCTTATTAACATGTAATAATAGCTCCCCTCCACGGCACACATTCTCATTTTAGCCTCACAATCACATAGGGAGCTATTATCACCCTTTTAAAAATAAATGCACCCATTATTGAAATAACTAATATTTTATCTGATTTTTAAATGAAAAATAAACTAAGCTTCGTGTCCAGATTTATCAGTGCAGTGGCTTTGGGGACGCGTCTCTCACCACCAAAACAGGAGCTCTGGTAAATGTGTTGGTTTCATGATTCTTGTTATTTTTTCTGGAGATTTTCCATCTGTTCTTCCTTTGGCAGGCTCACACCTAACATTTGCAGGGGCTGGGATGAGAATGTAAATGGGGGCTCCCTGGCCCACGGCTCATGCCACTTCTCTACTTACCCCGGTTCCGTTTCTTACCACCGAGGGCTTTGCATGCATGTATGCAAACAACTCTGTCCAAGCTCCAACCATGTGCTTTCACCAGCAAACAGCTGTCCCTTGACCACCTCTTGGGCCCCTAGGTGTGTACATCAGATGCACTTCCCACCTTTGGGAGGATGGATTTGGGAAACAGTTCAACAAGTCCCTTGAAGAGGGCTTGGGGTCACTTCAGCAGAGAATGCCAGGACCCTCAGAGACCCCCAGGGATCTGGGGAGTGTTCCTTGTCCTTGGCTTCCCTTGGCTGCTTGTTCTCACTCCACAGCGAGGGGCAAAGCCAGAGAAATGCAGAGGGTGCCGAACAAGGACCTCAGCTGCCCTGATCTGGGGTTGATGCTGCCTTTGTACTTAGCACTGCCTGCCAATGGCAGGCCACCTCTGCTGAAAGACAAGGGCAGAGGGTTTGGCCACCTTAGGCCTAGCGACATCTCTGGACCCAGTGAGAAACTCCAATGTCGAATTCAGAGGGACTGAATGTCCCCTCCCGCTAAAAATTCTTCTGATGCTAAAACCGTGTCTGAGCTGTGTTTTGTTTGATAGTTTTTTCCCTAAGGCTGAAATGCCCTAGTTCTTACTTTGTATTAACAAGGCAGCTTTCAGTTGGAAAATCTCAAAGCAACTAGGAACCGCTTCACAGACAAAGCAGGGACAAGAGAGGCTCTCCAAGTTCAGGGATTGGGCAAAGGACAAGATGTCCCTCCTGCCCCTTCCTCTGACAATGAAGCCTCGCTCCCTGGGAAAGGCAGAAGAGTCACTGCTGGGTGCAGGTGCATGGTGAGCTCTGGGTCTGGAAGCCCTAAGACCTGAATGAGCACATCAGATTTTGGGTTTATAAGGACCCAGAATTTCCAAGAGAAAATAAGCCCTTACACTTTCAGGAGAACCAATGTGCAGCCATGGCAAGGAGCTAGATTTTCCTAAAGCAAGCAGCCTCAAACTTCAGAGCCTCAAAGCAGTAAGCCAAATCTATCAGTAGGAAAATGAGGATGGAGTTTCAAAAAGAAAATGGGAACTCATTTAAACTGGCCAAAGGCATTCATGTTTGATACCAGATACGCAGTTTCTAAGAAGTCAGTGCATCCGTGCTAAATAAGATGAAAGTACTTAACTCAGGGCTTCTCAGGGTTTTCTACTGAAGCGTCTCTAATGGCAGACAGAGCCCAGTGGCTTTGCACCCAGAAACCCAGGACCATGGCTCAAAGATACTTATAGAAAATGCAAAATTTCTTCCAAGGTTTGTGTTTTGTTTTCAAAATGTATACAATTGTACATTTAGTTTCGTTTTTTAAAAATCTCCATTTGGGCCAGGCGCGGTGGCTCACGCCTGTAATCCCAGCACTTTGGGAGGCTGAGGTGGGCAGATCACCTGAGGTCAGGAGTTTAAAACAAGCCTGGCCAACCTGGTGAAACCCCGTCTCTACTAAAAATACAAAAATTAGCTGGGCGTGATGGCAGGCGCCTGTAATCCCGGCTACTCGGGAGGCTGAAGCAGGAGAATCATTTGAACCTGAGAGGTGGAGGTTGCAGTGAGCCGAGACTGCGCCACTGCACTCCAGCCTGGGTGACAGAGCGAAACTCTGTCTCAAAAAAAAAAAAAAAAAAAAAAATCCCCATTTGTTTAGCGGAAGGCGTAAAGCTGATAAGTCCATCAGATCATCAGACATGAGGCTTCTACTTCTGAAGGGAGGTCTGAAACAGGTAAACGAATTCAGGTTTTTCTAACCAGGTATTGTGACTGATGAATGATCTAAAAAAGCTGGCTTCAACCAAGACACATGTGATGTCTGATGTTGAGGTTTCTGGTTTTTAGCTATAACTCTTTTATGTTTGCTTCGAGCCTTGGCCTGGTCTAGTACCCCTGCTGGCCTTGTCTGACAAGTACCTGAAGTCAGAGGGAGGCCTCAGTCTACCTTTGTGAGAAGGTGGACCAGGTGGAGCAGCTTGGAAAAGGGGTCCCAAGGTGGCCAACAGTGACCGATAGAGAGGCAGCAAGCCAACACCTGGCAAACAAGCTCAACATCACTTGAGAAACAGAAACTGTTCCCTTCTCAGGACTTCAAGAAGTACTGCAGAGGGGGACAGACTGACTTACTGAAGTCAGGTCACGTGAGAGTGTGGAGCATGTCAAGGCTGTGACTAGCATATATGATGCTCTTATGCAAACCACACAAAAGGAGCTCATCTGAACAATGAATTACGAAATGCACCCCTTTCTTCCACACTGCACATGTTACCAGGCTGGTTCAAGCCCCCACCTGTCCCCTTGCTTAGCTGCCTTTGTGCACTGCACAGCCTGCATTTGCAGAACAGTACTGGTTGGATGTTGATATGGATCTGTGTCCCCGTCATATCTCATGTTGAATTGTAATCCCCAATGTTGGAGGTGGGGCCTGGTGGGAGATGATTGGATCATGGGCACAGCTCCCTCGTGGCTTTGTGCTGTCCTTGCAATAGTGGGTGAGTTTTCACGAGATCTGGTTGTTTAAAAGTGTGTGGCACCTCCCTGCCACTGGTTCTCTTGCTCCCGCTCCCACCATGTGAGATGCCTGCTACCCCTTCACCTTCTGCCATGATTGGAAGCTTCCTGAGGCCTCCCCAGGAGCCAAACAGATGCCAGCATCATGCTTCTTATATGGCCTGAAGAACAGTGAGCCAATTAAACCTCTTTTTTTATATATTACCCAGTCTCAGATATTTCCTTATAGCAATGCAGGAATGGCCTAACACAGATGTTAAACAGAAGGTGACGCTAGAAATTGGAGACCGTGTAAAAACTTGGGTTTCAAAAATAATGTTTATGCCAGGCTCACGCCTGTAATCCCAACACTTTGTGGGGGCTGAGGTAGGAGGACTGCTTGAGTCCAAGAGTTTGAGACTAGCCTGGGCAACATAGGGAGACCCTATCTCTACAAAAAAATTTTTAGTTAGCCAAGTATGGTGGCACACGCCTGCAGTCCCAGCTACTTGGGAGGCTGAGGTGGGAGGACGGCTTAAGCCTGGGAGGTTGAGGCTGCTGTGAGCCGAATTCACACCATTACACTCCAGCCTGGATGACAGAGCAAGACCTCATCACCAAAAAAAAAAAAAAAAAAAAATTAGAAAAAAAAATTCCCTTGAAATCTTCCAGTAACATCGGTGCTCTAGACCAGGCGTCGGCCAGCTATAACCTGCAGACTTAAGCCTGCGAGGCTTAAATCCAACTTAGCACCTGTTTTTGTAAATAATGTTTTATTGGAACAACAACGATGCCTATTCACTTGGATATTGTCATGGCTGCTTTGACGCTATGACAGCAGTTAGATAGTTGCTACAGAAACTATGTAGCCTGAAAAGCCTAAAATATTTACTACTGGTCCTTTATAGTCAAAGTTTGTTAAACCTTGCTCTAAAGAGAGACACCATGTTTTTCCTGTGGCTTTGCATCCCTGTTGACACACTGCTGAATCCTTCTAGAAAATAACTGTAGCCCGTGGCTGGGCGCAGTGGCTCATGCCTGCAATCCCTGCATTTTGGGAAGCAGAGGCGGGAGGATCACTTGAGCCTAGGAGTTTGAGACCAGCCTGGACAACATGGTGCAACTCTGTCTCTACTAAAAATACAAAAAATTTTAACCAGGTGTGGTGGCGTGTGCCTGTAGTCCCAACTACTAGGGACGCTGAAGTGGGAGGATCAGTTGAGCCCTGGAGGTCGAGGCTACAGTGAGCCATGATCGTGCCACTGCACTCCAGCCTGGGCATTGGAGTGAGACCATGTCTCAAGAAAAGAAGAAAGAAAGAAAAAGAAAGGAGAAGAAAAGAAGAAAGAAAAAGAGAGTGAGAGAGGAAGGAAGGAAGGAGGGAAGGAAGGAAGGAAAGGAGGAAGGGGAAGGAAAGGAGGGAGGGCCGGGTATGGTGGCTCATGCCTGTAATCCCAACACTTTGGGAGGCCAAGGCGGGTGGATCATCTGAGGTCAGGAGTTCAAGACCAGCCTGGCGAACATGGCAAAACCCCGTCGCTACTAAAAATACAAAATTAGCCGGGCATGGTGGTGGGCGTGTGTAATCCCAGTTACTTGGGAGGCTGAGGCAGGAGAATCACTTGAACCCTGGAGGTGGAGATTGCAGTGAGTCACGATGTGCCACTGCACTCCAGCCTGGGCAATAGAGTGAAACTCCGTCTCAAAAAAAAAAAAAAAAAGGAAGGAAGAAAGGAGAGAAAGAAAAGGAAGAAAAAAAGAAAGAAAGAAGAGGAGAGGAGGGGAGAGAAGAGAAGAGAAGAGAAGAAGGAAGGCAGGGAGAGGGAGAGAGAGAGAGAGAGATAAAGAAAAGAAAGAAAAGAAAAGAAAGGAAGAAAGCAGGCAGGCTGGGCGCCGTGGCTCACGTCTGTAATTCCAACACTTTGGGAGGCCGAGGCGGGCGGATCACGACGTAGGGAGATCCAGACCATCCTAGCTAACACAGCGAAACCCCGTCTGTACTAAAAATACAAAAAAAAAAAAAAAAAAAGAAAAGAAAAGAAAGAAAAAAATTAGCCGGGCGTGGTCGCGGGCGCCTGTAGTCCCAGCTACTCGCGAGGCTGAGGCGGGAGAATGGCTGCGTGAACCCAGGAGGCGGAGCTTGCAGTGAGCGGAGATCGCGCCACTGCACTGCAGCCTGGGCGACAGAGCAAGACTCCGTCGAAAGATAGAGACAGAGAGAGAGAGAGAATCACAAAGCCTAGACTGACTATTGATCACTGAGCCTTGCTGACAGTAAGGAAACACCAAATCCATTGCTGTAGGTTTCACTTCCCGAATAAAGAATTGATGACTGGAGAAAGTAAAGTGTTTGCTTTAGTGGGTTTTGCTGAAAACCATTGACTTATTGTCTTTCTTTCTTCACTCCCTGACCCTCGGCCCACACCCAAGTGTCACAGAGCCCTTCCAACTGCCTTCCACATGGTGTTCCCATCACCAGCCAGTTTCAGGTCTTAGCACATCTATCCCCAGTCTATTTCTGGAGCCTCCTAACTAGTTTCCCTGCCTCCAATTTTCTTCCTTTCCCCTCTCTCCCTCCTACAATTGCCAAATTAATCTTCCTAAAACAGTGCTGTCACTCCCTTCCTTCAATAACTACGCACTCACTGCCTGCATGCCTACAGCAAGAATGTCAACCCTGCTAGGTGACAGAATGACCTAAATTCAAATTCCGATGCCCAGGCCCCACTCCCCATCCCACCATAGAATCTGATTCGTAGAACTGGTCTTGGACCCCAGCCTGTGTGTTTTTAAAAGATTGGGCATAAGTGATTTTGAGGCACAACCAAGGATGAAACGATTGGCTTACAGACATGGTTCAAACTCCTTAACCCGCCCTCAACCCACTCCTCCAAACCTACTCCCAGTGCTATTCGAATTAAGAATTAACCCCCGCCCCGAAGACTTGAATGAAGGGCTAGGGTTGAAGCAGCTTCTGCAGGGGCTTCACCCAAAGCCCCCACCAAGCACACACAACCAGCAAAGTGGATGATCAGAGAAAAGACCAGCTCGAAGATACAACAGATACAAAGACAGGAAAAACAGATGCCTGGACCCTGCTTCCGTTCCTGAGTTTATTATATCTGAAGAAAGGTGTTCACAGGCCTAAGATTTAGTGGGCAATGGAATCGTGAAAGTGCAGTGAAGGGACTGTTAACATTCCACTTAAGTCACTAACAACAGTTTCCTCCATTATAAGACGAAAATAATTACAATATCTGCTCCGGAGGACGTTGCAAAGTTTACATGGGATAATAAGAATGAAAACATTTTATGCTCATAAACATTTTGAATCTCAATTAGTTTCCAATAGAAATAATGCTATATAAATCTTGGTTAAGTTCCCAGACCAACTCTCAAAAGTTTTTAACCCCAAATAGAACTGAACTAGAGTATAAATACTGCCAGCCTGAATTCTGGGTCCTAGGAGGAGGAGGCCACAGGACATACGAGGCACGAGGTGGGAATAGGGTTTCCTTTCTCCTTTCCCAAGTACGGGATGGCCCTAGGAATATCTAGGAGATGGGAGAAACTTCCCTCTGCCGCTCTCTCTAGATCCAAGTGTGATCCTCGGATTGCCTGCATTAGAATTCATTTATTCAACAGAAATGTACTGAAAGCCGCAATGGGCCAAGCATCTGTTCTTGGCCCCTGTCCCACATTGGGAATCAATCTCTGACAGTAGGCTCCGGGAAGCTATCATTTTTAACAAGCTCTCCAAGAAAGTAGGATGCACAATAAAGTCAGATTCCTGTGCTGGGCTGAGTTTCCTTGAATTTAGGATGCCCTAAGCCATCCAGACCAAGGCCGGACAAAAGTATCTATTACCTACCTCCCCTCCAACCAACAAAATTCCCTTCCCCTCAGTGCAACTCCTGTCTGCTCAGTAATAAAAGGAACATATAGCATCTTGCACTGCTCCTGAACATCTCTATGTTTTCCAGATTTTCTTGTTTGATATTTTAAAGTTAAGAAGAGAATATAAATAGCAACATAGGCAAGGCTGGATCTTATAATTCCCTGTATTTCCCCGATCAGGGCTCTATTAGAATTGCATTCAACGTTTGTTTATTGTCTCTCTCCCTCTTGAACACAAGCTCCTTTGTCTGCGATATTCCTAGTGCCTTACACAGTGGCTGCCACCTAGTAGGTGCTCAATAAAAATCAGTTGAAAGTTGTAAAAGAGAACAGTAATCTCCGGAAGTTAAGATTCCCACATGGTTGCTGATACTCGCAGGCGTAGTCAAATTTTTCAGAGTCTGCCTTTAAGCCCTTAATGGATGCCTGATAATTCTCTGCAGTTTCTGACAGATAAATTAAGAGAAAATAAGAGTCCAAGCCATGTGAAGGAAGACGATTTGGGACTCAGAGGCCATTGTAAGGCAGGCTGGCCCTGGGAACAACCCTGCAACAGGCTCTTGCTTTACCGCCCCTTCCTGGTTCTACACCTGAGCGCTGGACCTACCCCGCCCAGGCCCACTGAGGCCCAGGCACCCCCAACACTTCTGACTTGGATGAAGTGCTATGCCATGGGCCACGGGATCTGGCTTCTCTAGTGGCCGTCCATAGGAGGCAGGAACTCCATCTAAAAATATGAGTGAGTTGAAGCCCCGTGGGTGAACTTTGACCAATGAGAGATGGGGGATAAGATCCTGCAGATAAATTCGTTTCTTCCTCACATCCCAAAAAGACTGTTTTGAGGCACAGTGGCCCCATGTGCCTCTCTGGAGATCTGCCATGTGAACCCAAATGCTTTGTGTTTCTTGTGAAGCTTCAGCCAGCTTGGCAACATCATCATGAGATTACTTTCCTGCCTGTTATGGGTTGAATTGTGCCCCCACAAACATATGTTGAAGTCCTAACCCCCAGTACCTCAGAATGTGAACTTGTTTGGAAATAGGATCATTGCAGATGTAATAAAAGACGAGGTTATACTGGAGTTGGGTGGGTCCTTAAGCCAAGGTGACTGGTGTTATAAGAAGATGAGAGACACACAGACACAGACACAAGGGGAGAACGCTATGTGACAACAGAGGCCGAGATGGGCATTACACCACCACAAGCCAAAGAACATCTGGGGCTACCAGAAACTGGAAGAGACAAGGAAGGATCCTCCTCCTAGAAGCTTCCAAGGAAGCATGGCCCTGCCGGCAGCTTGCCTTCATATTTCTAGCCTCCAGAACTGTGGGAGAATACCTTTCTGTTGTTTTAAGCCATCCCGTATGTATTAGCAGTACTTTGTTATGGCAGCACTTGGAAATTAGTACACCATCTCACTTCCATTTTCCGCTGACTCATGCTGTGCTCTGAGATTGTCCCTCCATAAAGTGTTAGCACAGAAACTTTGCCTTAGGCTTTGTTTTCTAAGGCAGTTAACAAGGTTATATATATGTATGTGTGTGTGTACGAGTTAAAGTCCATAGTGAACTTAGATCAATGATAGATGATTTTTAATATATATGCATTTACAAGCATAATATATATGCATTTACAAGCATAATATATATAATACATATAATGCATTGACTATATATGCATTACAAGCATATATATATATATGCTTAAATTATTTTTGAAGGGACACATAAGAAACTGGTAAAAAGGGTTGCCCCTAGGGAGGAGAAGTAGGGGGCTGTGGGACAAGGACAGATGAGAGAATTTTGTTTTCCTTTTTGTACCCTTGTCATGGTGGATGATATGGGTTTGTTAGTTGTTTATTTAAGGTAAATTTAAAACATTTTAAAGATAATGGCCTAGGAGGGTCTCTGAGGCTCTAAGAAGGACAAAAAGAGTATAGAGGGACTTGTGCAGACCTGGTAACAGGTAAGGGAGGTGTGTGGATGTCCCAAAAGATGCCAGCAAATTCTGGACCAAAGGCTAGTCAAGATGAATTAAGTTTCAGGAAATAAACAAGGGCAGGTGTCTCTCTCCACTACGGAGCTAACACTTGAGCAACCCCAGGACAGAGGAGAACTCCCCAGAGAGAAGAAAGAGAAGGAGAAAATACTGACTTGAGCAAGCTTAAAACTAAAATGACCAAGAAACACATTTAAGTGTCTGAATTTGCTTAGAATTGACTATTTTGTTATTGTTGTTTATATTTAATCAGTAGTTAAAATGGGAGCTCAAGATATTGTTTAAATTACAGAAAAACAAAATTCGATATTTGGGGGATACTCAAGGTTATAGCTTGGGAAATATTATACCCACACCTGTTATTTGGTTTAATCCTCTCAACCACCTGTATAAGGTTAGTATCCCCATTTTACAGATGAGAAAACCAAGACCTAGAGAAGTTCAATGACTTAATCAAGATTATACAACTTTGAGGACAGGCATAGTGGCTCACACCTATAATCCCAGCACTTTGGGAGGTGGAGGAGGGCAGATCATCTGAGGTCAGATGTTCGAGACCAGCCTGGCCGACATGGTGAAACCCCATCACTACTAAAAATACAAAAATTAGCTGGGTATGGTAGCACAAGCATGTAATCCCTGCCCCTCAGGAGCCTGAGGCATGAGAATCACTTGAATGCAGGAGGTGAAGTTTGCAGTGAGCCAAGATCGTGCCATGGCACTCCAGCCTGGGCTACTGAGTGAAACTGTCTCAAAAAAAAAGATTATACAACTTCTAAGTGTTAGAGCTGGCACTTGAATCTAGGCGCATGTAGACTCCAAACCTGATCCTCTCTTCCAGACTCCAGATTTCTTTTTGAGTGGGGTTTATTCCAGCATTTCTAAGAGAGGTTCACACATCTGTCAACTAAGAGGCTGGTTGGCTCTTAAGGACCAAATCATGCTCTTGGGTTGGGGGTAGAAGAGGCAGAATCAGGGGAGGAATGGAAGACATAGAGGGAGAGACGTGAACTTCCACTCCCATCCATCTCTGTATCCCTTCTTGAAGAAGGGTCTCTTGTCTAAATGGCTCCCTCTTCCTTCAACACAATTTGATCTAAGTATGTCTCTCATTCTACCCTAATTCCTGACAACCCAGTGTTTTGGGGGCCTGATTTAAAATGGCTTGAAGCCAGACGTGGTGGCTTACACCTGTAATCCCAGCACTTTGGGAGGCCGAGGTGGGCAGATCACTTGAGGTCATGACTTCGAGACCAGCCTGGCCAACATGGTGAAACCTCGTCTTTACTAAAAATACAAAAATTAGCCGGGCATGGTGGCAGGAGCCTGCAATCCCAGCTACTCAGGAGGCTGAGGCAGGAGAATCGCTTAAACGCAGGAGGGAGGCAGAGGTTGCAGTGAACCGAGATCGCGCTACTGCACTCCAGCCTCAGCAACAGAGACTCCGTCTCAATGAAAAAATTAAAGTTAAAATTAAATTAAATGGCTTGAGTTGACAGGATAGACCATTGTTCACACAACAGGATATCTGTTATTGCCAGAGCACCGCCCAAGGTACAATCTGTGTGTGCCTTGACGGTAATTTTCCTAAAGGCAAACTAGGTATGAGGTCTCAGTTATTCCTGAATAGGACTAAGAGTCAGGAGGATACAGATGAACTTTCCTCCACCGAGGTATTAATAATTATTTCTTAAATAAGTAGATGGATGGAGGATGGATGGATGGAAGGATGGATGGATGATGGGTAGATGATGATTAGACGGATGGACTATCTACTCAGGACCTCTGTTCGTTCTTCACTATCCTTTAATTTATGGTGGCTTACATCATTTCCTTGTTTCCGCCTTCTATGCTTGCTTCACTCAGAGATGGATCTAACACTGCACTAAAATGCGTCCCCTGTCTGTCACAGACTATTCTCTCAGCTTGACTTTATACAATTCAAAGGATTCTGCTTCAGACCAGTTCTGTGTGATTAAAGGGCAACAATATTTCTGGTGCACACTTGTAGATCGTTTATACAAAAATAAAAAGGATAACTGAGACTATGGAAACTGGAAATTATTTGTCCTAATTATGGATAGTAATAGGAGAGCTTTGTGTTCACTAAACACGCCCGCCCGCTTGGCCCCCAGAGTTACTGAGTTCATCTCTGTTTTTATGTTTTGGCCTGCTATCTGGCCCTCCAGGATAGTTAACTCATTTTCCATCACTCCTTTCTTGCACTTTCCATTCCCGTTGAACTGAACCACTTGGTCTGATTTTCTTTTTCTTCTCAGTTATCAAGAGAAAGGTTCTATAATCTCAAACTATAATTGTGGATCTGACTATAACTCCTTGCAGTTCTGTGAGTTTTTGCTTCATGTATTTTGAAGCTGTTTTGAGGTATATAAATCATTAAGATTATGTCATCTTGATGAATTGACCCCTTTATCATTATGAAATTATCTTCTTTATCTCTAGTAATATTCTTTGTTCTGAAATCTATTTTGTCTGGTATTGATATAACCACATTAGTTTTGTTTTGACAAGTGTTAACATGACATATCTTTTCCCATCCTTTCACCTTTAAGCTATTTATGTATTTATTTATATTTAAACTGAGTTATTTTCCTTCTTTTTTTTTTTTTTTTTTTTCTGGAGATGGAGTTTCACTCTGCCACCCAGGCTGGAGTGCAGTGGCCTGATCTTGATTCACTGCAGCCTCCACCACCTGGGTTCAGACAGTTCTCCTGCCTTAGCCTCCTGAGTAGCTGGGACTACAGGTGTCCAACACCACACCCAGCTAGTGCTTTTTTTTTTTTTTTTTTTTTTGTACTTTTAGTAGAGACAGGGTTTCACCATGTTGGCCAGGCTGGTTTCAAACTCCTGACCTGAAGTGATCCACCCACCTCGGCCTCCCAAAGTGCTGGGATTACAGGCCTGAGCCACTGTGCCTGGCCTAAAGTGGGTTTCTTACACAGAGCACATAGCTGAGTCTTGCTTTTTCTTATCCAACATGGCAGTCCCTGCTTTAGTTTCAATATTTAGCCTGTTTACATTTATCATGATTATTCACATGGTTATTATAAACACTATAACATTTATCATGATTATAACACATGCTATGTGTTTTCTATTTCTCCCATCTATTTTTTACTCACATTTCCCTCTTGTTCTTGTTTTTTTTAAGTAATTGGGTATTTTTCATGACTCTATTTTTATCTTCTTTGTTGACTTATTAGCTATAACTGTTTGCTTGCTATTTTAGTGGTTGTGTTCGGATTTATAGTATGCACCTTTAACTTATTGCTTACCTTTAAGTTATATCATATCACTTCATATATAAGAGTCTTACAACAAGGCCTGTCACGGTGGCTCATGCCTGTAATCCCAACACTTTGGGAGGCCAAGGCGGGTGTATCGCTTGAGCTCAGGAGTTCGAGACCAGCCTGGGTAATATGTAACCCCATCTTTACAAAAAATACAAAAATTAGCTGGGCGTGGTGGCGCATGCCTCTAGTCTCAGCTACTCAGGAGGCTGAGTTAGGAGAATCACTTGAGCCTGGGAGGTTCAGGCTGCAGTGAGTGGTGATCACACCACTGCACTCCAGCCTGGGTGACAGTTAAGACCCTGTCTCAAAAAAAAGAAAGAAAGAAAAGAAACTTACTACAGTATATTTCTATCTCTCCCCTCCGGGCCTTTGTAGTATTGTTGTTATAGATGTACCTCTACATAATTATTAAATTATTTTTGCTTTAAACAGTCAATTATCTTTTTTTTTTTTTTTTTTGAGACAGAGTCTTGCTCTGTCACCCAGGCTAGAGTGCAGTGGCATGATTTCGGCTCACTGCAACCTCTGTCTCCTGGGTTCAAGTGATTCTCCTGCCTCAGCCTCCCGAGTATCTGGGATTATAGCCACCCGCCACTGCGCCTGGCTAATTTTTGTATTTTTAGTAGTGACGGGGTTTCACCATGTTGGCCAGGCTGGTCTTGACCTCCTGACCTTGTGATCCACCCGCCTCAGCCTCCCAAAGTGCTGGGATTACAGGCGTGAGCCACCGTGCCCGGCAACAGTCAATTATCTTTTAAAGAGACTTAGCTAAGAAGAAAAAAGTATTTAAATTGTCTATATAGTTGTCATTTCTGGTGCTCTTTATCCTTTAGGTAGATCCATGTTTCCATCTGGTATCATTTTTCTTCTGCTTGTGAGACTTCCGATAACATTTCTTGCAGAGTTAAGTCTGCTGCTGAGGTTATTCTTTCAGCCTTTGTAGATCTGAAAAAGTATTTCACCTCTGTTTTTGAAAGACACTTTCTTTGAGTGTGGATCTCTCATTTGACAGGGCTTTTTGTTTTGTTTTCTGTTTAGTACATTAAAGATGTCATTCCACTGTCTGCTAGCTTGCTCTGCTTTCATGAGAAATCTTCTGTCATCCTTACCTTCATTTCTCTGTATATAAATGTGTCTTTTTTCTCAGCTGCTTTTGATTAAGTGTGATGTGCCTTGGGGTTGTTTTTTTTCATGTTTCTGTGCTTGGGTCTGTTAAGTTTCTCAGTTCGGCGAGTTTACAGTTTCCCTCAAACTTAGAACATTTTTGACTAATATTATTTTTGGCATACCAGCCCCATTTCAAGGACTCCATTCTCCAATTCCACTTACATTAGGCCACTTGAAGTTATCCCACAGTTCACTGATGCTTTGTTATTCTCCTCTGCAAAGTATACTGTGTTACTAGTCCTATTGAGTGCAATTTTTCATTTCAGACATTGTAGTTTTCATCTCTAACAGCTCAATTTAGGTTTATTTGATATCGTCCATGTCTTTCTGTCATGTTCAGTCTTTCCTCTAGCTTCTTGAAATATGGAATATGTAATAATAACTTTTACAATGTGTTATATACAAATTCTATCATCCGTGTTATTTCTGGGTCAGTTTTGACTAATTGACTTTTCTCTTCATTCTAGGTTGAATTTTCCTGCTTTTTTGCATGCCTGGTGCTTTTTGCTTGAATGCCAAATATTGTCAATTTTACTTTGTTAGATATTGAATAGTATTGTATTCATACAAATATTCTTAAGCTTTGTTCTGGGATGCCATTAAGTTACTTGGAAAGAGTGTGATCATTTCAGGTCTTACTCTTAAACTTTGTTAGGCCAGGTCAGAGCTGCATTTAATTTAGGGTTAATTTTCCCCCCTCCTACCAATGCAAGATACTCCTTGGTACTCTAATAAATGCTGCCTGAATTACGAGGTTTTCCACTCTGGCTGCTGGGAAGAGGCATTTTCTGAGGCTCTCTGTGAGTACCCTCTGAGTACCATTCCCTCAAATCCTTTTGGGTGGCTCTTTATCTGGTTATTGGGGCATCAGTTTCCAATTCCTGCTGTAATAAATACCACAAACTTAGTGACTTGAAACACCACAAGTGTATTATCCCCAAATCAAGGTGTCAGCAGGGCTACATTCCTTCTGGAGGCTCTAGGGAAGAATCTGTTCCCTGCCTTTTCCAGGTTTATAGAGGCTGCCTGTACTCCTTGGCTTGTGGCCCCTTCTATTTCAAGGCCAGCAGCATAGCATCTTCAAATCAATCTCTCTCTCTCTCTTAGTCTCTCTGACCGCTGCTTCTGTCATGTCACATCTTACTCCCTCTTATGATTACACTGGGCCCACCAGGATGATCCAAGGTAACTTTCCATCTCAATCTCCTTAGCCTAATGGCATGTGCAAAGTTCTTTTTGCCCCGTAAGAGATTCCAGAGATTAGACATAGACGTCTGGGGTGGGAGGGATTATCCAGTCTGTAAAATGGTCCATTACATATGATTCTTGATAGTTACTACACCAATGTCATCTTAGTCTATGTAGCCAACATCATGACACAAACTATTAGTATTTTTTTAAGTGATTTTGTTTGTTTTCTCAAACTGACCCAGTCTCACAAGTCTGTAACAGCTTAACCTTCCAGAAAGCATGCTCAGCATGACAGAGCTGGGACCATGGAATGCCTTTCTCTGGCAAACAATAGAGATGCCCAATGATGCTAATCTTCTGTGGTAGGAACAGTCAGGGAGAAACAGTAATTCTTTTAGGCCCATGCAACTTTTGAATGTTTATATAACTCAAGTTACTTAAGACAACTAATTTGGAGGGCAACTTGACAACATCTAACAAAATTGAAGACATACATACCCTCTGACCCAAGAACTCTGCTCTAAACATTGACCTTAAAACTCCCACATGTACACGAAGAGACTTATACAAGAAAGTCCATTACAACTTAGTTAGCAGTAGCACAGAATTGGAAACATTGATAGGAGGATGGATAAACTGAGATTTAATCATTGTCTGAGTTCTCTAAAAAACAGACTCTGAGACAAAGATACAAGTAGTTTATGTGGGACGTGGTCTCAAATGTTTGACAGCAAAATATGATACTAAGGAAGAAGCCAACAAGCCACAAGTTGTGTTCTTGTGGTAGACATGGATGTGCTGCCCAGATTCCCCTTCAGGAAGCTGCAGGGGTTGGCATCGGCAGAGGGCCTCCAGCTGTCAGCTCCCCCAGGGTCTGCCTCAGCCATAGACAGCAGCCTCACCCAAGGTCATGCCCACTCCAGGACAGCCCACAGCCAGGGACTGAGCAAGGCGGAGGTATAAAGACCCAGCCATTTGGGTCCACCACGAGACACTCTAATGGGTGCTACTGTACTTGCTCCCCAGCTCCCTGCAGGTTGGCCAAGGCTTTATCAGGCCAGCGTCACAGTTCTCCTCCTCCTTCTGCCCAGTCCTGTGTTCCCCCATTTCCTTTTGGAGGTGTTGATTCCTAATAAACATCTTACATCCCAAATTCCAGCTCAGTTTCTGCTTCTGGAAAACCTGGCCTGAGATGATTATCAAGGAAGTTACCACTGTGGGCAGTGAACAGCAGCTTAATCCTGCTGGGAAATTCTAGGAGGCAGTGTAGAGTGAGGCCTCAGAGTTATCCTCCCTAAGGAGCAAGGGAGCTGGGGTATTTATCTACCAACTTCCATCAGTCATTGGTGAGGGCTATTCCTGGGGGCTGTTAAATCCCAGGCTTTTGGGCCTGCTCCATGTAGCAACAGATCATGCTCCAACAGTCAAGAAAGCCCGTGGACAATGATGTGTGGGTGCTGGCAGTGGGAGCCAGAGAAATGCTGAGTGCTCAGAGGATATAGGCAGGCAAGACACCAACAGAGATTGCTACATTCACAGAAAGGAATATTAAACAGCAGTGATGATGAATTAGCTATTTGCATCAATATGGATGAATCTGTCTGCGGCCATACCACCCTGAACATGCCCAAACTTGTCAATATGGATGAATCTCACCAAAACAATATTGAGTGAAAAAAACAAGGTTCAGAAGAATCTAAACAGTATTATATAAATTGGAGAAAAATTTAAAACATGCAAAACAAGAATATTTTTAAGAAAGATACACACACACATACATATATATAGCAAAAGTAGAAAAATACGATGAACAGTAAATTCAGGAGAGTCATAGTATCAACAAAGAGGGAGGGATGGAATGGAATCAGGAATCAGGAGGAGGCCTTGACTACATCTTAAATGTTTTAAATTTTTTGCTGGGTAGAAGTTACACATATGACCATTATATTATATTCTAATTTTTTTTGTATGTCCAAAATTTAAAAAAATAAAACATTGTAATAAACAGGCCAGACTCAGTGCCTCATACCTGTAATCCTAGCACTTTGGGAGGCCAAAGTGAGAGAATCACTTGAGCCCAGGAGTTGAAGACCAGCCTGGGCAACAGCGAGACCCCATGTCTACAAAAACTTTAAAAAATTAGCCTGGCATGGTGGCACATGCCTGTAGTCCCAGCTACTTGGGAGGCTGAGGAGGGAGGATCACTTGAGCCCAGGAGTTTGAGGCTGCAGTGAGTTATGATTGCACTACTTCACTCCAGCCTGGGCAGCAGAGTGAGAACTTAAAAATAATTATAATAAACAAAGTAAAATCTTATTTAAAAAATTCAAATGATCTGAAAGACATGAGGATTGGCCATTGTGAAAAAAAAAAGACTTGTTTTGTTTTTAACTAAAAATAGCATTAAGGATATTTTTAAATGTAAAAACTCTTTCATGACAAGGGTATAAGAAAATGTGATAGGCGCTACCACTGGAGAGCTGAAATACTTTCAACTTCACTCTTTTTTTTTTTTTTTTTACTTTTATGTTAGGTTCAGGGGTACGTGTGCATGTTTGTTACATAGGTAAACTTGTGTCATGGGGGTTTGTTGTACAGGTTGTTTTGTCACTCAGGTACTAGGCCTAGGACCCAGTAGTTATTTTTTCTGATCCTCCCTCTCCTCCCATCCTCCACCCTCTGATAGGCCCCAGTGTGTGTTGGTCCCCTCTATGTGTCCATGTGTTCTTATCATTTAGCTCCCACTTATAAATGAGAACACACGGTATTTGGTTTTCTGATTCTGTGTTCATTTGCTAAAGATAATGGTCTTCAGCTCCCTCCATGTTCTTGCAAAGGACGTAATCTCATTCTTTTTATGGCTGCATAATATTCCATGGTGTATATGCACCACATTTTCTTTATCTAATCTGCCATTGATGGGCATTTAGGTTAATTCCACGTCTTTGCTATTGTCAACAGTGCTACAGTGAACATACATGTACATGTGTCTTTATGGTAGAATGACTTATAGTCCTTTGGGTATATACCCAGTAACGGGATTGCTAGGTTGAATGGTAGTTCTGTTTTTAGCTCTTTGAGGAATCGCCACACTGCTTTCCACAATGGTTGAACTAATTTACACTCCCACCAACAGTGTATAAGCATTTCCTTTCCTCCACAACCTCACCAGCTGTTATTTAACTTTTTAATAATAGCCATTCTGACTGGTGTGAGATGGTATCTTATTGTGGTTTTGATTTGAATTTCTCTAATGATCACACCTTTTTTATTGTTTGAATTGTTTTTAACATGAACAGGTACTGCTTTATTGAAAAATGAAAAGCACCTGTAATTCTATCAACCTAACACCACTATTTTCATTTTCATTAATCCATTTTCCAGACCTTGCTCACATGCATACACTCTTTGCTAAGTTGCAATCATATCACACATGTATTTTATACCGTTTACACTTAATCATATATGATATGTACATAAACGTTTCTCCATTTCTATGTAGTCTAAATAATCATCTTTTCTTTTTTTTGAAACAGGGTCTCATTTTGTCACCCAGGCTGGAGTGCACTGGCACAATCTCTGCTCTCTGCAGCCTCAATCTCCCAGGCTCAAGTGATCCTCCCACCTCAGCCTCCCAAGTAGGTGGGGCCACAAGCATGCACTGCCATGCCTGGCTAATTTTTGTATTTTTTGTAGAGATGAGGTTTCATCATGTTGCCCAGACTGGTCTCGAACTCCTGGGCTCACATGATCCTCCCGCCTTGACCTCCCAAAGTGTTAGGATTACAGGCGTGACCCACCACACCCAGCCTAAAGAGTCATAATTTTAATGGTTACATAATGTTCTGTCTTGTCAATGCACAGTAGTTCACCAACCATTTCCTTATTTGAGATATTTATATTGCTTCTAAATTTCAGATATTGAAATAACTTTTTGATAAATATACTTGTGGAGGTTTTTATGTTAAATATAGCCTTAGCAGAAACCCCACGGGTGCAATTACTAAGTCAGAGGGTGTGTCTTTGCCCTGCAACACACAAAGCTTTCCCTTTGATGACGATTGTTTACTTAAAGCCCTGGGGACTCCCAAATGCCTGGGAATCTTCATTTTAGACTTAACCTATTTTAGGCTTGGTTTTGTTTTACTGCATTCTCAGGAGAGCAAAGGAGACAGCTGGGAGCAGATGGGCAAATCCCAGTTTGCCCAAAGAAATGTCTATTTTCCAAGGGGCATGAAGAATTTAGGAATAAAGCAGATCTGATTTCTAATTCTGACTTTGCTACTGGCAAATTGTGTGGACTCAGGAAAGTGACCGGCCCTCTTTAAGACTCAGTGTGCTTACCTCTGAAATGGAGCTGTCAATCACATCTGCCTCACAGGCTTGTTCTGAGGATGAAGTGAGAAAATGCCCACGAGGTGCTGGTTGCAGCAGCTGGTGCATAGTAAGTACTCAGTGGATATGAGCTGGTCCTAAGTAAGGTCAGCAAAAACGCTCTTCCCACAGACCCCGAGAAAGCAGAGTCCTGAATGAGGGGCTAGGGGAGTTGCCTTCCAGCTGATATTTCTCAATGGCTGTAATGCTGGTGAGAATTAAATAATTGGAGGAAGCAGGGGGAGAGAGAGAATGGAAAGAATCTTCTCTGGAACTACCAGCCTGTATTCTTTGCATTTCCATATCTAGCATGGAAATGAGAGAAAAACTGATGTGTATTGAGCAACTATAATGTCCCAGGTGCTTCACGTGCATTTTCTCCCCAGGCCTCCCTGCAGGGGTGAGGGAAGACTGCAAAGGTACAAGAATGGATGTTGAGGCTGTCCAGGCATCTCGCGTCTGAATGCGCGAGATGCTAGCCCTGCATCTCCCAGCTGGAGAACTGCACTCAGTTTGTCTCCTCATCTGTAAGTTGGCGAATGATCATTGTGCTGGGAATAAATCATTTTTATAAAGCGCCGGGCACATAGTAAGCACCGGCAGTAGCTATAATGAGCAGCTTGCCCCAGGTCACCCAGAAAGTGGCAGCACTGAGACTGGGGCTGGGTCTCCTGCCTCCGGAGCCCACATTTTTTCCACTGAATCACATTTACCTCTATACAAATGCCCATGGTCCGTGTGATACAAAATACTTGAGAAATACTTCTATGGTGATTCAAGAAAAGAATTATTCTGGGCCCTTTGTACTGTGTTTCAAGTGCTCTGTAATCAAAGAATTCATCCCTCCAGTCATTTCTGAAAGCTTCCCTTCTTTTTCAGGAGCTTAAAAAGGATGCAGTCCCAAAACATAGAAGGATTTACTCCAGATCCAAGCAATGAGTCAGGAACAGAAAGCCTGATGCCCTCACCTGGAACTCTCCCTCCTCCCTGGATGAGGACCTTCCCCAGAATTGCAGGGCACCCACACAAGACCAAGCAAGTTCAGAGAAAATTGAAACCTGACTTTAGAGCCTCTGGGATGTTCACTACACCTCATTGAACCTGTTTGGTTCACAGGTAAGGAAACCGAGGCCCAGTCAGTCACTTTGGTCACGACTGCTCCTGGCGTTAGTGTCTGAGAGAAAATTACTAACCACCCTTGTGCTTCTGGTAAACAGTGTTTGAGGTTTAGTGTCAATGTGAGCAGTCGTATATGAGAACATCTCTGGCTGTGCAGCTAATTACCACCTTTCTAAAGTAATCTCTGCCTGAAATGTACTGTGGCTGGAGCAGTTCAATTTCAGCATTGAATATGAAGTGACCATGGGCTCCGCAGGCACACAGGGATCCAAATTAGGAGAAAGTTGTTCCACTTGTCAACATGGAAGGAAGCGTTGTGTATTTCTTCTTTGTGGTGCCAGATTTAGCACAGGGAGGCTTCTGCCGGATAATTCGTCTTTGCAGTCGTCCTTATAGGAGGGTCTTAGCCCACCACACTAGGTTATTTTCAGCCTGGTGAAGCAAAGAGGGAACACTAGTAGCAGAAGACCAGGCTGAAGGAATTGTCTCTGCCCATGATAGGTAACAAATGGGTTTTGTGGTTCTGAGCCTCAATTCTAGAAAATGGGTGCATTAATATTTACTGTATCTAGACCTAAAGCTTTAAATAACATCTGTAGACTGAAGCCTCCTAACAACCTAACACCACTATTTTCATTTTCATTAATTCATTTTCCAGACCTTGCTCACACACATACACACTTTGCTAAGTTGCAATCATATCACACATGATATATGTGAATCAAGTGTGATTCATATATACGACCGGATTCTAGATTCATACATACGACTGTCTACTAGACCCTGCTCTTGAGACCCAGCTCCCATCTCACTGCTGCCGCTTTCTTGATCTGGGGCAAGTTACCAATCACAGCTACCACTGGGCTCTACTACGTGTCGGGAGCTTTATAAACATGATTTCTTCCTAGCACAATCATCATTCCTCATTTTACAATAGTCAACATGCAAAAATGAAGCTTTCCATTTCCTGCCCCCGAAACCTGCTCCTCCCCTCATCTGCCTCTTCTCTGTGACACCATTGGTTTGCATCCACCTGCTCAGGCCAAAGACCCAGGAGGCCTAACTCCGCTCCCCTCCTCTCCTGCTCCACACTTTTAATCCATCTGCAAGTCCTGCCAGCTTTACCTGCAAAACACATCCAGAACCTGACCCTTTCTCGCCACATACACTATGTCCACATAACTCCTGCCACCGCTTTATGAAAATAATATTTTTAAATGCAAAAAATAACATACAGAGAATTATAAAGGAAACCAATCATATTAACATCTATTTACCAAAATATTTTAAAGAATAGATTTATGAGATATTAATGTATGTGCTTTGTTATTACCACATTAAATAAAAAGATCTGGTGGCAAGTCTAATAACTATTATAATTCCAAAGTAGTGATAAGTATAAGCAATATTTCCAGAGAGCTGCAGGGACTGGATGTAATGTGATATAAAAACATCTGTGATTTCTAGTGGTGACAAAGTCCCAGGCACTGCTCATATTATTGTAGTTTGTTGCCTACATTTATCATTGAAAAGAGTGCTAAAACCTAGTTAGAGGCCGGGTGCAGTGGCTCGTGCCTGTAATCCCAGCACTTTGGGAAGCTCAGGCGAGCGAATCACTTGAGGCCAGGAGTTCAAGACCAGCCTGGCCAACATGGCAAAACCCTGTTTCTACTAAAAATATAAAAATTAGCCAGGCGTGGTGATGCACACCTATAATCCCAGCTACTCAGGAGGCTGAGGCATGAGAATCACTTGAACCCAGGGACGGGGCGGAGGTTACAACGAGCCAGGATCCTGCCACTGCACTCCGGCCTGGGCAACAGAGCCAAACTCACCCTAGTTAGAGGTTCATGAAAATAGTCTTACATACACACACACACACACACACACACACACACACACACACACACACACAACCCCCACTTAGAAGCACATAAACACACACACTCATACACCCACATACATATTCCTCCACTTAGAAGTACACAAACTCCCTACAGTCTGGTTGAGAACACGTGACTGAGTGCACACCGCAGGCGTCCCTGGCCTGGGTGTTTGCAGCAACCTCCCGATGCACCTCCAGGCATCCAGTCTGGCCTCCTCCAGTCCATTCTCAGCTTGGCAGTCCCAATGACTCCCTCCCTGTGGATGTCATATTATATCACTGTCCTACTTCGAACCCTCCAACAATAGCCCATCACCATATGTAAAATCCAAAGTCCTCACCACAACCAATGAGGCCCCAGGTCATCTGGAAACCGCCTTTGCAAAAATTATATCAGTGAGAAAAATTATAACAGTAAGCTAAGCTAAACCTCCCCCAATCTTGCCTTTCCTTTAATTATTCCTGGACTGTTGGGCTGAGCTAAATTTGGAAGACATTTAGGCTACAGTGTAAATAATAGGCCTTGTGCCAAACTCAACTGCTTTTGTAAAGCTAATGGGAGGCCATCAGGCTTGGGGGAGGAGAGAAGCCTGAATCCCGCTAAGGTGCGGATATAAACATTGTCAGCCATTATTCGGGAGGTTATAAGATATGCAGCTTGCCCAATTAGTCCTGCAAATAACACCACTATTGTAGATTGGCCTTTTCAGATATCTTTCCAGGCTTTATCCATGTCTGACACCCATGGCTCCATCTGGACTGCCAACTCCACTCCTGTGGCCCCACCCAGGAGTGATTCAGCCTTTCAAAGGACAGCTTTGACCCCCACTGATTTCATTTCCACCCCAACAAATCAGCAGTAAGCACCTATTACCTGGTCTTCCCCCAAACTGCCTTTGAAAAACCCCTAACTTAGAAGCTTCACACGATTTGAGTCCAGATTCCATCTCCCACATGGCGTGGTCAGGCTTGTGTCTATCATACTCTTTCTCTACTACAATGCTGTGGTCTTTGTTTATGCAGTGAGCAGGAAGAACCCCTCAAGCAGTTACAGTCTGGACCCTGGCTACCTCCCCGTCCTCATTTCCACCACCCTCCCCTCACTCATTTCACACCCTTCTGCCCAACGCTGTTTCTCTCTCCAGTACCCACCTGGCTCCTTCACTCCTTTGGGGCCTCTGTTCAAATGTCACCTGCTCAGAGAGGCCTACTCCGATCCCCCCTTCCCCATGTAAAACAGTCCCCCCTCCCAGTCACACTCTACACTCAGACCCTGCTTTCTGGTCCTACTGAGATGCATTTGTATGTTTCTGTGTCTTTGTGTTACAGTGGGCAGCTAGTCAGGCATAAACAGGAGGAGAGAGCCACCCCCGCCTCACCACCAGGAATGTCAGGCGAACATTAGGTGATGGTCGGGCGGTTGTTAACAGTTTCTCTTAAGGAATCATCCGTCACAGCCAGCTCCAGGGAAAGGCAGTCTCCCTATAGATAGGAAAAAACCTGAAACAAGTGATCAGTAGCTTCCTGATAAGATCAGGAATTGGGTGAGTGGGCTCACACATGTGAGCTCAAAGGCAAAATGGTGGAGTTTCACTGGTATATGACCTTATAGGAACACTTGACTGGAAAGGGGAGAACATCTCAAGTGAGCATGCGTACAACTCTAGGAAACACACTGCGCATGCTCACCTCCCAAGTGCTGGCAGGCCACTGTGCATGCCAACAGGCAACCCCAAGGAAAGAATGAGGGGAGAAGGGACGCAAGATCCCGGAAGTATGCCAACGTATAAAACCCCAAGTCAAAAGCTCAAAGCTCACTTGTCTTTCAAGTCACCCACTTAGCCCTCTTCCAAGTGTACTTTCCTTCCTTTCATTCCTGCTTTAAAGCTTTTTAATAAACTTTCACTCCTGCTCCAAAATTTGCCTCGGCCTCTCCTTCTGCCTTATGTCTCTCAGTCGAATTCTTCCTTCTGAGGGGGCAAGAACTGAGGTTGCTGCAGACCTGTACAGATTCGCCGCCAGTAACATTTCTTGTCTGTCTACCCCACTAGAATGTCAGGCCTTATCACTGCTACCGGGATAATGTAGAGGGACCTATCATGTAGAGGGACAGGGTACACATCTGTAGATTTAGTAAGTGGAGAAATATGAAGTCCGGACTCATTGGCCATGAGAGTTCTGGCAAGGAAGAGGCCAGTCAGGACAGCTGCTGGAGGGCTGGACCATGAACAGGACCTCTGCCAGTTGAAGCATGCCCTCTGCTTTAGTGCCTTGTTACATATACCCTGGTCTACTCATCACTCATGGTGCCATCAGACACTCCATCTCAGAGCCTGCAGTGAGTCCAGAAGAGAACAGGGCCCCAAACAGAAGGAAGTCCTGCAGTCACTCAGCCCACCATCCCAGGAGGCATTGCACAAACTCTGCTGTCATCAACATGCCCCTGGGGGTCTTACACTCCCACCCTGGACTAAGACCTCCTCCTGATGCCTCACAGTGCTCTCCGTGAGAGGAGTGTTGAGAAACACACTTCTAGGGGGTTCTGCTGTCCCCTACAGACCAGCGCTCAGTCATTCCTCCTGGATCTAGCTCTGGTATGGCTTTGCAGGCTTCACTCACAGTCTTGCCCTGAATCTGGGCTCCACTGTCTCCCTGTCTGACACATCTGATCTCTCTGTTTCAGTAGAGCTCCAACTACCGTCTACTTCCTGCAACTGGCCTGCTGCCAACTCCCCAGATCTCTTGTGGAGCTGCCGGAAGAGACAGCCTGCCACAGAAGAAAGCAGCCCTCCTCTTTCATGGCCTCCCACATCTTGAAACAAACACAAGCAAACAAAACAAAAGCTTGAGTCCCAGCCTGATTCACCAGGTTTGGTTCCCAATTGTTGAAATTCCCTTCCCAGGGCTCTCAGAACCAGGGTTGGCTGGAGGGGTGAAAGAGGCTGGCCCTGAGCCCAGTAATAGGACACCAAGGGGGAGCTAAAAGCTGGGATCTGGGGTGAAGATGGGGTCTTCCAAGCTGGGAGGCAGACACCAGGCCAGAGCAACCGGCCTGCCCCAGCTCAGGCCTCTTAACCCATGCAGGGCAAGAGTATAAACAGAGGCCACGGACCACATGCCTCAGTATTTAAACTTATAAATCAAGCTAACATAACATGAAATCAAATATGTTCTATCCTCCTAGCTTGACAAATACTTTCATAACGAGATGGAATGCCAGGTTCAGATTTAGAATTTTCACACTCCTTAAAGTTCCAAGTCAAAATACAGCATTAGGGGAGGGCCCCCAACCTCGAGGTCTCCCCTCCCCCATTTTCTTTCACTCCCAGCTCTGTCTCACACCACGAGGGATCTTGGGTGAATGCCCCTCGATACCCCAGCCCCCCACAAACAGCTGCCCTTTCCCCCCTTGGCCAAGGGTAAGCACAGCAGCAGGGCAGTCTGCCCTTGGCTGGAGAGATGGAAGGAGAGGCCACACGGGCCCTGAAAATGCATTTGGGGACTCTTGGGCAGGAAACTTGGGAGTTTCTGGAGCCTCAAGGAGGGTCTAGTGGGACAGAGCCACTTGGGCCCATGAGATCCTTGACCCATGGAGAAGGGTAGGGCTAGAGGAGGGCCAGGGCAGGCCCTATGAACAGAAGAACCTAGAGTAACTGCCCTGTCCCCAGATCCTGTCACCGAGCAGGTATACTTGGGAGGGTATTGGAGGGTGGAACCCAAGGGAGCTTGCCCAAGGCACTAGGAAAGAAAAGTGTAAACCTTGTTAGAGAATGCTAAGGATAGCTGTTAAAGCCTCAGAGATTTTACTCATTTTTGGCTGTTTCTAAAAATCTTCCCCCAAAGGAAGATCTTGCTCTCATTGAGGATCTGAGAAAGAATTCTCTCCAAGTAGTTTCAAAACATTCTGATGTAAAAACTCTGGTGTGTTAGTCAAAAATAAATTTTGTTGCTTGATGGCTTCACCATTCACAAAATATTCTATCCATCCAATTTAAAAATAAGAGCAGGGTATTTAAAACTCTTTCAATAAACACAAATTAAAACAATGAAGCTTGAATTATTGTTTTAACCTTGTTTTTTAATTGTGATCAGCTTAAGGGAGAGATATCAGGGGAAATGGGAATAAAAAGATACAGTGATTCAAAAATAAATGAAATGGGGCCAGGTGCGGTGGCTCACATCTATAATCCCAGCACTTTGGGAAACCGAGGTGGGAGGATCACTTGAGGCCAGGAGTTCAAGACCAGCCTGGCCAACATGGTGAAACCCTGTCTCTACTAAAAATACAAAAAGTAGCCAGGCGTGGTAGCATGCACTTGTAGTCACAGCTACTCAGGAGGCTGAGGCAGGAGAATCGCTTGAACCTGGGAGGCGGAGGTTGCAGTGAGCTGAGGTTGTGCTGAGTACCACTGCACTCCAGCCTGGGCAACAGAGTGAGATGCTGTCTCAAATAAATAAATAATCTCAGCAAACTAACACGGGAACAGAAAACCAAACACCGCATGTGCTTACTTGTAAGTGGGAGCTGAACAATGAGAACACACGGATGCATGGTGGGGAACAACACACACTGGGGCCTGTGGGGTGGGGGCAGGGGGAGGGAGAGCAACAGGATAAATAGCTAATGCATTCAGGGCTTAATACATAGGTGACGGGTTGATGGGTGCAGCAAACCACCATGGCACACATTTACCCATGTAACAAACCTGTACATTCTGCACATGTATCCCAGAACTTTAAATTTAAAAATTTTTTTTTGGAAAAAAAAAGAATACTACGCAGATGAATATTCTCACACTGGTGCCTTTTAAGACACAGTTGCTACAGATTTTAAGACCATGATGTATTTTTACAGCCACAGGACCAACAGCGATATCATCTCTAGCTACTTGTCCTGTGAGTTGTATGAACTTGTTCTGTCATAGACTCCCAGTCTCTCAACCCTTCCTAGCACTGTCTGGGCATGAACTTCTAGCCTGAGATCAGGGAGGGGGTCCATCTTATTTGCTGGTTTCATAAAAGCATTAAGCCAGTGGTAAGAATCAGGCATCTGAATCACCAGGACTCTTTTTGGTCGCTGTATCAATCTGTTGACCATAATAACTAATTTTCAGATAGGACTGGAACCTCTTAAAATGTGGCATCCATATTGTCTCTCATGGTCCTTTCTATAGCCCTATAGTGAAGGCCAGGTGCCCATCCCTAGGTACAGAGAAGGAAACAAGGAACAGAAAGGTGGAGCTTCTTCCCTGGGGTTTGAGAGCAAGTTCGCTGCTGGCAGAGTCAGGATAAGAACCAAGAAGAAACCAGGTCCCTGCCTCCTGGTGCTCTGTGCTTTCCACTTGGCCTCCCTCTCGTCTGCCAGCTGCATCTGTTGTCACTGGAGAAGAGCAGGGTGTCCAGGCTCCTGAGCATCTCCTGACTCAGCCCTTGATGCACACAGTGACCAAGGGGGGAGTCATTCTGGGCCCTTCTGATGAGAAGGCATGGGTGGAACCAGCTGCGTGTGGCAGGGGAGGACCCAAGAGCTGACTCTGGGAGGACCCGTTTCTGAGAAGCAGAGGAAAAACAGGGCCCAATGGTGCCTTGAAATTAAACACATGGCATCCAGGTGGGCCAAATATGGAAACAAAATAACAGCCATACTCTGGGAAATCACCATCCTGGCCACATCTGAGGACACTGGTCCAGATTAAAAGGGAGAGAGGGAGGGAAAAGGGGCAAGCCAAAGAGGCTGAGCTACTGCCAGGTTTGCCCCTGAGGAGAGACGCCAGGGCTACTGTTCTAAGCTGCGGCTGTGACTGCTGGATGAGCCACAGGAAACTGTCATGGGGATGGCTGTAAGAGGCAGAGCTGAATAAACACATGCTGGATGACAGAATGACTGCATGGACGAGCAGGTGGATGACTGGAAGGAATGGGACAAAATGAAGGGAACCAGTGCTCAGTCATCCTTGTTTCCACAGGCAGAGGGTTCTGGTTGCATTTGCCTCTGTATTTCTGGAACTGTTTTTCGATTTGGAATGTTGGATTCTGGCTTTAACCAAATTTATTATTATTTGTATTTAACTGAAGTGGGCATGTAATGACAGCAGCCAAACTCCAGTGAAGAAACTCCCTCAATACATAGCTTGTTGGAAGACACCAAAGGGGGGAATACACTTGACCCCTCATCTCCTCTCTTACCACCTTCCCACCCACCACCAGCCCAGAAAGAGCACCCATTTCTGCCCTAGAGGAACTCTGAGGTCACCTTTGCAGAAATGTTGTCACCGGCCAGGTCACACCGGACCTTGCTGCTAACATTGGAATGGAGACCCACTATCCAAAAACCACATCTAAACCTATCCTTGTTTTTATCCAGTCCCTGACAAGAATTTACAAAAATACCGACTTGTGACTTGACTGCGAGGGGCCTTTGTTGTTTAATTTTAAGAGTACTTCTGTCCATGCAGCAGAGAAAATAGAGCACTCATCTTAGGGGCAGAAAACCTGGGCTCTGTTCTCAAGTGAGACATTTTATCACTTTGGATCTGAGTTTCCTTATTTGCAAAATGATATGATCTCTACCTCTCACAGGATGTTGTAGAAATCAAGTTGCAAATTAGATGATGCGTCTGAGCATTCTTTACAAAGATAAGCCACTCGTGATAATATTCATCAAGTGTCTGCTTGGTGCCAGGTGCAGTTTTAAGAGCTTTACATGAATCGGCTCATTTGATCTTCACAACACCATGAGGTGGGCACTGGTATTACCCACACCCTCAATGAGGAGACAAAAATGCGCTCCCAGGACCACTCAGCCAGGTAGGGGAAGCCCTGAGAAACGCAGCCAGGTAGTCTGGCTGCAGAGCCTGCGCTGTGAGAATGACACATTCTTCTGGGTGTCAAAGCCATCGTTAGAGTCTGACCATAACTTCATCAAGCCTGTCCATGTTGGAGGGGATGGTTGGGTGGTATTGGCATTGACATTCCAACCAAAGGCTGATTCCAACATGTGTACAAGGACCACCATTATTGCACATATTTGTCTGAAACCATTGGTAGAAATGTTTCTGTGGATTAGTGGCCCATGAAATTGTCACAGAAAAGGAAACGGAAGCTCAAGGAGGTTAACAGCCTTAGACCAAGTTCACCAAGCCAGGAAGCAGCATGAGTGGGATTTGAACCCAAGTTCCCAGAACCCACAAATCTGCCTTATGCCAGGTCACCTCACATACATCCTGTTTAGATGCTGAGCCCAGACAGCCTGGACAATGGGACAAAGTGAGGGAGCACACTGTTCTCCTGCCAATGGGGGTTCTATATGAATAATAAACAATAGTACAAAGACACAGGCGTGGCCAGGCAAAGGGATCATTTTGGAGTATGGGATACTCTCTGGGAAAGAAGACATGAACAGGACACAACAGTGGGGCCTGGGATAGGGCTGTGCAGTGATCATAGGGCAGCTCGGGACGCCAGAGGCAAATGCACAGACTCCAGAATCTTCCCTCAGGCCATCCTGGTGATGAACATACTTTCCCCACCCATGGCCCTGCCAAGTGGCTCTTCTGCCCAGGGGACCTCATCCCTGGTACACATCGCCTATGTGGTTCCTCAGTGGGGGCCTGGTCTCTGAGCTCACCTTGGCATGTCTGGAAGTCCCATACCCTATGCTTTGGAAGGCTAGAAACATACTTCTCTTTAAATGGGCAAGCCCCTCCCCGCACCATCATGCTGTTTAAAAATAAGAGTGGACCAAAACAGCAAGTTGGACTCTCAAACCCCTGTGCTTTTCATCCTGGGCCAGAAAACCATGGGGATGATTTCCAAAGCTCTTTCATTTGCCCAAATAGGGTGCCCACCTCACACTATCCAAAGACATTCTTCAGTATAGCCCCAGACAGGAGCTCAGAGCATTTTGAGCAACTTCGGAGCTCAACTGAGTCACAGCTTTGACTTTTTTTAGGTCAAGACTACTCATCTAAATAAGGCACAAGAGAAACTGGTGTTTTAAGCCCTTGTGACAAGATGAAAATAGCTCCCCCGCCTTCCTCTTCCCCACTCTTCCACCTTCAACACCTAACTTACAGAAGTCACCAGTCTGTGGCCAAGGATCGTAATTCAGACTGTGGTTAAGGGAATACCCGCCGGGGAGGCTCCTCTGTTAGCTTTGGACCAACAAGTGAGGCCAGGCTTCTGGCCGCTGGGCTCTGGCTTGGTCCTGGAGACCCCAAGTCTCTGAGATGTGAGAGATGACATGTGCAGGGTCTGATCACCGGCCATGTGAAGGCACCAGCTGACCAAACAGAGTGGCCATAAGCTGTGGCCTTGGAGAAGCTGCACATCTGGCTGATGGGCAATCATAGCTGCCTTTCCGGAGCATGTCCCCAGTAGGGATTCACATAGAGTCACTGCTAAGGTGAGGTTCAAGAGCGAGCACCCCGCACAGAAGAACAAACTGGAGACGAGAGTGAGGACCATGGTCAAGTTCCACTAAACTGGGCCCTGGTCTTGTTCACTGTTTTCTTGTGTGTCTTGTTCACTGTTCTTCCTAACATCTAACACGGTGCCCAGCTCATAGTAGTCTTCCAGTGGAAAAAGTTTCTCTTCTGGTGGCTACAGAATCAGTATGCTGTCTTGGAAATGTCAGATGTTTCAGTCCCAGTTCTGTTGAGTAACTTTAGTCCACAGTTTCTTTATCTATAAAATGGGTATAAGTCCCCCCAACCCGCCTTCCTCCCAAAGTTACAGCAATTAATAGGGGAATACTTTGAAAACTGAAAGCCTCTGGTAAACTCAAGGAAGTCTAAGTCTTGCTGATGGGGGGTGCTCTTCCTCTCAGCTCTTACGGTGCCCCAGTTTTAAAGCAGTTAGAACCTTGCAAGTACATAGCTGCGAATTATTTCTTTTGATCATTAAAGATAGGGTTGGGCGTGGTGGCTCACACCTGTAATCCCAGCACTTTGGGAGGCTGAGGTGGGCGGACCACCTGAGGTCAGGAGTTCAAGACCACCCTGGCCAACATGGTGAAACCCTGTCTTTATTAAAAATAAAAAAAAAAAATAGCCTGGCGTGGTCGTGCACATCAGTAATCCCATCTACTCCCAGCTACTGAAGCAATTGCTTGAACCTCGGAGGCAGAGGTTGCAGTGAGCCGAGATCACACCACTGCACTCCAGCCTGGGCGACAGAGTGAGACTGCCTCAGAAAAAGAAAAAAAAAAAAAAAAACTGGCCAGATGCGGTGGCTCACGCCTGTAATCCCAGCACTTTGAGAGGCTGAGGCAGGCAGATCACGAGGTCAGGAGATCAAGACCATCCTGGCTAACACGGTGAAACCCTGTCTCTACTAAAAAATACAAAAAATTAGCCATGCATCATGGTAGGCGCCTGTAGTCCCAGCTACTCAGGAGGCTGAGACAGGAGAATGGCATGAACCCAGGAGGCAGAGCTTGCAGTGAGCCGAGATGGTGCCACTGCACTCCAGCCTGGGCAATAGAGCGAGACTCCGTCTCAAAAACAAAAAACAAAAAAAAAAAAAAGAAAGATAAGATCTTGACATTGAACAGACTTTCATATCTGTTCTTGGTTATGGCACTGAAATGTGGCCCCTCCTGTGAGGGTCCTCTTGGGCCAACATCCACTGAAGGGACATTAACTGTCATGTTTAAGTAACTAACTGTGATCTCAATATTCACATCTCAGCAGTTAACCGTGAAGAAGCAGAAATTCTTCACCTCTCCTATGCACATTAAAATAGAACTGACCGCTGTAGTATCCTTTTTAAAAATAAACTGATCTTTAAAGGAAGATTTCTTACCCTTGAAAAGATTCAAAGGAAAGTGCTTACAGACATTGAAAGTATTTCTGAAAGGAGAGTTCCCCAAAGGCTTGGAGCATTGATTTTCAACCCTCTACACATTAGGATCATCTGCTGAGATTTGAAACATCCCCATGCTTTGTCCCCACCTTTGAGTCTTTTGTACGCTAATGAAGGGCCTGGCAAATTGGTGAATACAAACATTAGCTACTATTCAGTGCATGCCTGTCCCGTGGGCAGGCACTAGGACAGGTGTTTGATCAACAGAATTTCATTTGCTCCTTTCTTAAGTGATATGAGTTAGTATTATTCCCATTTTACAGATGAAGAAACTGAAGCCCACAGACACTAGGTAACTTATCCAAGATCACCCGCAGACTCCTGGGTTTATCCAGCAGCAAGGATGAAGAGGCAAAGAGAGGTTAGGCTTGGGACCAACCAACAGAACAACAGGAAGACCATGCTTTTGTGAACTGTTGCTTTCCTCCTTCCCACCTCAGGTTGTTTAACAGGCTGGAGCCACCTATAAGGTTACCATCCAGAACTGCTGAACCATGGTGCTAGGTCTGACTGCACCTGAATCCAATCAGAGCAATGAAATGAATCCAGGTGTGCCCCACTGTGTGTGCAGGGAGAGGGTGGAAAACTAAAATGATGACAAGGCAGTTAAATGGGTAGTTTTGAGCAATCACTTGGGAACTTAGCTCAGCAAACCATGGCTGCCCTTTTCACCCTGGGAGACTCCACTGATTCCATCAGTGGGTCTGAACCTTGGCACATTGGAATCACCTGCCAAAGTACTTTAAAATACTGATATCCAGTAGACCTGCCTCCCAGAGATTCTGACTGAATTAGGCAGGTGGGGTCAGGGCTTGGGGATTTTTCAAATCTTACTAGTTGATTCTAACATGCAGAGGGTTGAAAAATCACTGCGCCAAGCCTTTGGGGGAGCTCTTCTTGTAGAAATACCTTCAATGTCTGTGGCACTTTCCTTTGAAGCTTTTCAATGGTAAGAAATCTTCCTTTAAAGATCAGTGGGATTTTTGAAGAGCAGCTAAAAGTTATTCAGAACTGAATCTGCTGATTAAAAGTGAGCCATCCTTCTTTGTCCAAAACAAAGTGAGATGCCTGAAGACGTGTGTCTGGGTTCCTTGTGGGGGTCTGAGGTGGTTTCAATGGCAATAATTCACTAAGCGTCTGCTACACACCAGAAGCTTTCTGGAGCTCACGGCTGGTTCTAGGTATCAGTGGGGACCAGGATTCAGGCCTCCTTGAATTTCCTGCCACTGGGGCTTCCTCAGGCTGGTGTCCATTTGAGAAACTTTGCCTATGTCTCTATCTCCATGTGGAGTCGTGGCCTCAGGACCTTTGCTTCTGAGGCAAAGATGCTCTGGGGCCAGCTTCTCACCAGGCTGTATTTGATCCCAAGATGCAGCCTGGGGTTGAGGGTGAGTGACTGCCCCGTTCCCTCCTCTGTGCCCACAGGTCCTGCTCAGCTTGCTTTATCTCTTGATGGAGCAGTACCAGAAGCAGGTTAGAAAAAGAATCAAGTGTGAGAGAGGAACAAAGCTCTGAGACAAAGAGAAAGGGAGCCCATGACCCAGCAGCCTTTTGTGGGAATACTGTGCCCTCACCACTAACATGATGTAGCCTTAGCAAGAGTCTGAGCAACTCTAGACCTCAGTTTCCCCAACTGTAAATAAGGGAGATTAAAATGAGGTGGGCGCAGTGGCCTGTAATCCCAGCACTTTGGGAGTCTGAGGCGGAAGGATGGCTTGAGCTCAGGAGTTCAATAACAACCTGGGCAATAGAGAGAGACCCCATCTCTACCAAAAATTTAAAAATTAGCCAAGCGTGGTGGCACATGCCTGTGGTCCCAGCTACTCAAGAGGCCGAAGTTAGAGGATCGCTTGGGCCCAGGAGGTCGAGGCTGCAGTGAGTTGCAATCACACCACTGCACTCCAGCCTGGGTAACAGAGTGAGACCCTGTCTCAGAATAAAATGGATGAGCTTCAAGGTCCTTCTCAGCTTTACGATGCTGTGATTGTGAGATGCTATAGATCTGAATTTTAAAAATCAAGACTAGATGTTAAGATACATGTATTACAACTCTGGCTTCTGCTACCCAGGGGGAACAGCAATGGGTGGGCACAAAAAGTGGCACAAAAACATTGTGTGAAAGTCAGAGATGAATCTTGATGGCCCGTGTTTTGTTCTAGATGTACCCACGTGAGACCTTCCCAGAAAAGGCTGGGGACATTCCCATGATGCCAGAGTGAAAGAAATGTCTTTCTTTGATGCCATTTATGTAATTATCGTCATGTCTGTGGTGGTGGTCGTTGTGGACGTAAGAGGAAACCATTCTGGGTGGGGAGGCCTTTTGCAGGTACCACCTAGCAGCTCGATTGTTTCAGGTGGAGACAAGACTTGCTCATTAATCCTCATGCTTCTGAGGAGGCCTCACCACCAGAGGAGGTGGTGGGGCTGATAATGTGGGCCTCATGAAACAGTGTAGCTTCATGCTGAGAGTGGAGTCCATCAGCTCTATGTTTCCGATCTTGGTCTTGCCATCTACTAGCTGTGTAACTTTGGGCAACTATTTCACCTTTCTGAGCCTTTATCACTGGAAAATAAGTGGGGATAGTATCCACCTTGCAGAATGTAGGGCAGTTTAGATACCACAATGTCCATCAAGCACTTGGCACATAATAAATGATAATGGCACAGTAGCTGAAAAAGCACTACAACCTCCAGGTGTTCTGCCACTTAGGCGATTTGAATCACCTGCACTATTTATTGCAGCATCTACCTAGCAAACCTCATGCCAGGTGAAACTAGCCATTTACCTGGGAAAGGAAAGCTCCCCAAAAAGCAAAGGCAACTGCTCATGGAAGGAGAGAGGGATCCTCAGAGCCAAGACTTCAGGGTCTAGTTCCTGCTTTTCCTGCCACCCTTTTGACAAAGCAGGACTCTGCTCCCCATCTTTGGGGGCAGAAGCACTAAATTACAGCCTTCCCCAAAACATCCTAGCAAGAACATAATATAGATGCAAAGCTTCATTGTAATTCCTAAACCCAAATTATTCAAATGCGGGCTAGAGAACAGCCCAGCATAGGAGGACCTGGCTGGAGGGTGCCCACGTGGTCTCCTGGAAGCCTCTGGCTGACAATTCTAACCCCAGGCTAAATGCATAATGTGCTTATTATACATTTAAGTATATTGCTGATGTTTTGAACAGACAGCTTCAACAACATTTCGGTATGTAGCTATCATTAAGGAGAGTTTTTAAAAATAAGATCCTTTGTACTTGGGGGGGTGGGGTGGTAAGGGAGAAAGGGTATCAACATGATGCTGTAATCTGATCTTTTTAGCTTTCAAATGATGTCACTTAATGACTTGGACCTAAATACACTCAGGAAGCTTAGGCAGCCCCAGTGCGCAGCTGCCTGTGTTGGAGAGGATCTGAAAGTCCTGCCTATCCTGGAGTGCCTTCTTCACCACTTTGCACCAGGCCTAGGGTTGCCCCCATTAGTTACTCTTTTGGGTCATGGTCCCAAAGGGAGAGAAGAGAAGGGACAGCAGAAGTTAGCTTTGTTAGCTCACTTGACATTGGAATCACCTGAGAGCTTTAACAAATACTGATGGCTGGCCTCACCCCCTGGAGAGTCTGATAATTTGTCCCAGGTGCAGCCTGGGCATTGGAATTTTTTTTAAAGTTCCCAGATAACTCCAATGTGCATCCAAGGTTGAGAATCATTGCCCCTGTGCCCTCTCACCCCAACACTCAACCCTCACCTCTCCGTCTTCTTCTACTGCAGCCCTGGTCAGTCCAGCAAGCCCTGGGGCTGAGCAAACACAAATAACTCCACTGCGAGATAGGGATCGTGATCTCCATTTTGCAGATGAAGAAACTAAGACCCCAGAGAGTCTGTTACACAACTTTGCCCAAGGTCACACAAGTAATTAATAGCAGACTAGATCTCTCTGGCTTCAAACTGGTTCCCAGTTCATCGGGCTGCCTTGATAACTTGGGAGCATTAACTCATTAAGCTGTTAATACATCAGAGGATTTCATTTATGGTAATAATGGCCCCTTACATTTTTATGGAGCTGTTAGGGTTCACAAAGCACTTTCATATACTTTGACTTTTTTTAAGCATTATTCCTCCATTTTATTATTTTTAAAATTTATTTTAGGTTCTGGGATACATGTGCAGAACGTGCAGATTTCTTACATAAGTAAACATGTGCCATGGTGGTTTGCTGCACCTATCAACCCATCACCTAGGTATTAAGCCCCACATGCATTAGCCGTTTGTCCTGATGCTCTCCCTTCCCCCGCCCTCTTCCCCCACATATTCTTCCGTTTTAAAAATGAGGAAACTGGAGCCCAGAAACATTGTCTTCCTCATGGTCACAAGATAGAGGAACCAGAATTTGAGCTCAAATCTTCTTACTCCTCATTTCAAAGAAAGAAGTACAATGAGAAACTGGGAGCCTGGTGGGTGTAAATTTTTTGGATGTAGGGAAGATTGAAAAGTTTCAGAGCAGGGCAAGATCTCAGGTTCTCCAAAGGTGGGAACTGAAGAGACATCAACACCCAGGAGGTGCAGAGAGAGAGAGACTGTGGTCCAATGTTAACAACTGGTGAATCTCATCGAAGGGTATACAGGTGCTTGTTGTATGGTCTTTGCAACTTTTCTGTATGTTTTCAAATTTTTTAAATAAAAGGAAAAGTACGAGTAGTTTTAGAAATACCCAAATAGGGCCAGGTGTGGTGGCTCACGCCTGTAATCCCAGCACTTTGGGAGGCTGAGGTGGGTGGATCACAAGGTCAAGAGATGGAGACCATCCTGGCTAACACAGCGAAACCCCGTCTCTACTAAAAATACAAAAAAGCCAGGCGTGGTGGCACGGGCCTGTAGTCCCAGCTATTCGGGAGGCTGAGGCAAGAGAATCGCTTGAACCGGGGAGGCGGAAGTTGCAGTGAGCCAAGATTGCGCCACTACATTCCAGCCTGGGTGACACAGCGAGACTCCATCTCAAAAAAAAAAAAACAAAAAAAACCCCAAAAAAACCCAACAAATAATATTCAAGGTGAGCTGTGAAGAACCAGAGAAAATACTTTTTTTTTCTGAAACTTGGCTGTTGTTTCTAAAAGCACAAAAGTTACTGAATTGTTTGCCTATGTTACTGCAGAAGTGGGAAAATATTGTGTCAAGTAAGCACTGTACATGTCAGGAGTCACTGGGTGAGGTTTAAGTTAATCTTTTAATTGAAAATGCAAATAAAAATAGTAATTTGTGTTGACCTCGGCAATATTCTTCTATAAACATAGATTTATTCAGACTTTACAATTACTTAGTACCCTTTATAATTTAATAGAAATGAAAAAGTATATATAGCAGACTACTATATTAAAATAGCTGCACAAAGAATGTATCTCCTCTTAATTGTTCTATAAAATCCCATGGAAATTTTTGTTCTGGAATGTTGCACACCCTATAATTTTAAAAACAAGCGTTAGAAATGTAAAATGTTTAAACATACAGGCCATTGTAATACCCTTTATCATAAAGAGATAATATGCAAAAAAGTTGAAACAACACACATTTTGTTATGTTACTCTCCTACCTAAAGACTCTGAGTGCCCCTTTAAGTCAACACAAGGCCATGCCCCTTACTTGGGCAGTCATAACCCTCACAAGTGTCTGCAACCCACTTTCCAGAAGCCTCTCCCTCCTCTGCCCCCAGGCACTCTACCAGCCAGCCAGGCCAGGATTCCTGACTCTTCCCTGTCCTTCCTGCCAGGATCTTTGCAAATACTCTTCCCTGGCTGGAAGGCCCCTCCCCTCTCTGAGCAAGTGCCTGGCTTCTCCAAGTCACTGTCCAACCTCAGCCACGCACCACCCCCCACCCAAGCAGAGGTGGCCCTGCCCCTGTCCTGTTGGCAAACGTCCTTGGTGTAGCACTCGCCTCCTTGTATTTTAAGGACATGATAGTGGGATTTTCCTCATTTCCAGAATTTCCCAAGAGCCAACAGCTGGAAACCTTTAACATTTTTAGAGCACCTCCAGCTGCGGGGTCAGCTACCCCTGTATAAACTTTCTGAAAGGCACAGCGCCATTTCTGCAGCGCCAGTACCTCATTTCTCCCCCAAAACCCCACCACTCCACCTCCAATCTCTGCAAGATGCATTGGGATGAGGTTGATGATTAACTTTGTAGAGAGTACAGCTGATATAAAGTGAGACCATTCTTTGCTATCTCCTCCGATGGGTGGGGGGAGGGCAGGGTGACTGGATTGATCCCTGCTGTGCCAAACCCCTATCGACTCCACTGGGGAATGGCACCAGGCTCAAAAGGCCGAAGAAGAGACCCAGAGGCAGTGAAAGACACGTGGGTTTTTTTGTTTGTGTGTCTGTTTTTGAGACAGAGTCTCGCTCTGTCACCCAGGCTGGAGTGCAGTGGCGCAATCTCGGCTCACTACAAGCTCCACCTCCCGGGTTCACGCCATTCTCCTGCCTCAGCCTCCCGAGTAGCTGGGACTACAGGCGCCCGCCACCACGCCCGGCTAATTTTTTGTATTTTTAGTAGAGACGGGGTTTCATTGTGTTAGCCAAGATGGTCTCGATCTCCTGACCTCGTGATCCGCCCGCCTCAGCCTCCCAAAGTATTGTGATTACAGGCGTGAGGCACCGTGCCCGGCCCCACATGGGGTTTTATTAAGGGCTTACATACAGGGGAAAGAGTCCAGTGGTGGCAGGCTGGACAGGAGAACCGCAACTGTTTGCAAAAGGCATGTAGTTTACATAGCATTTTCACTTAGTACCCTCCCCCTAACAACCTCCACCTGGCAACCTTCATTTAAGCCAGAACGAAGGGCCTCAAATTCCTGTACGCCTTCCACAGGAAGGGCCAGGGGCTCAGATGTTGCTCCTAAATAAGGAATGACTCGGGTTGGCCACTCCTGGATTCCTTAGCTCGGAACTGCATTCAGGTGCGTCTGCCATACAGTGTCATTCTCAGGTTATGCATCGCCGTCAGGTGCGTCCACCATACAGTCCCATATGTTAAAGCCAACAATGTGCGCACCAAGATAATTGCCCCAAGACAATCTTTCATAGAGCCACAGAGATTTCTGCCCTGACCAGAGCTGCGGGCATTAGAATGAGATAGAAGGGGCCAAGGCCACCACTCGAGTCCCATTCTTGAAAGGTACTATTGGGGCTTCAGACCTGGGAACACCCTTCCCCTTCATCTCTTCATTTCTGCCTTTCTCCCCTTTTTTTTTTTTTTTTTTTTTTTTTTGAGACAGTCTTGCTCTGTCACCCAGGCCGGAGTGCAGTGGCGTGGTCTCGGCTCACTGCAAGCTCCGCCTCCCGGGTTCACACCATTCTCATCCCTCAGCCTCCCGAGTAGCTGGGACTACAGGCGCCCACTACCACGCCCGGCTAATTTTTTGTTTTTTTAGTAGAGACGGGGTTTCACCGTATTAGCCAGGATGGTCTTGATCTCTTGACCTTGTGATCCACCCGCCTCGGCCTCCCAAAGTATTGGGATTACAAGCGAGAGCCACTGCGCCCGGCCTCTCCCTTCCTCTTTTCCTTTCTTTCTACCTTCCACAAATAGTACCAGGAACTATGCTAAGTAATTTAAAAAAAGAAATATTAAGTGCATACATGTCTCCTACTTGCTCCCAGTCTGCAGGGAAACAGTTATAATTTGTCTTACAATCCAAGCGCTATAATGTGGGAGAGAAAAAGCCCCAGAGGCACAGAGCCAACTCTTCCCAAGCAGTGATATTAGGGTAGGGTTGCCAGATAAAGCACATTTTGCTGAAATTGGAATTTTTATTTTAAAAGATCTCAAATACAAATTTGAATATAGCACAGAACATGTTTGTACTACAATAATTGCTCAATGCTTACCTAAAATTCAAATTTAACTGGGCATCTTGTATCTTGTTGTTGTGGTTGTTGTTAAATCTGGCAACTCTATGAGTAGAGGGATATAGAATAATTGAACTGAATGAAATTCAGTTGCTTTGACCAGTTAGGAAAGCTGCCAGGGCTGGGCGGGATGGGGAGTGAAGTGGAATAGAAGGATGGAATCGGGTTGTTGACGTGAGCTTACATAGGAAGAAATGCAATTTAATTTGATTGGGTGGAATAATATGTAGAGTGGGCCAGCAGATTTAGGAGATGGGTGCTGGACCCCTCTCCTGCTACCGGTCAACATTTATTTTATTTTGTCGTTGCTGTTGTTTTTAGACAGTCTCACTGCGTTGCCCAGGCTGTAGTGCAGTGGTGCAATCTCGGCTCACTGCAGGCTTGACTTCCTGGACTCAAGTGATTCTGCCACCTCGGCCTCCCAAGTATCTAGGACCATGGGCGCCACCATGCACAACTAAGTTTTGTACTTTTTGTAGAGACAGGGTTTGCCATGTTGCCCAGTCTGGTCCCAAACTCCTGGCCTCAAGAAATCCTCCTGTCTCGGCCTCCTAAAGTGCTGGGATTACAGGCATGAGTCACTGCGCCCGGCCTAGTCAACTCCTGCATCCTCTTAGAACAGTCACCAGGGTGAGGAAAGTGAGGTGTTGAGGCTGGGAAATATAAAGAGACACTCATGCTCAGGCCATGCCATTGTGCTCTCTTCCCAGCCCTGCAACCCTTCAACAACCCACAGCCCCATTTCATAGATCAGGAAACTGAGGCTTAGAAAGGCTTAGCAGTGTGTCCGGAGTCACTAAATTAGTTAGCAGTGGAGTCAGGATGCAGGCCCAGAAGGCCTGTGCCTGTAACTCCCTCCCTGTATAGCCTTGCTAATAGCAAGTGGTGAAGCCAAGAGATGAACCATCTCCTTTCCAGCCCATGCTTCACACACGTGACCTCATTTGTGAGGAGTGGAATTTATACATTTCAATTCAGAGTGAGCATAATCTCTGTGTGTGGGACAGAGTGGATAGAAGTAACCCGCCTGTAGAGCAGGGTAGGAGGTGGGGTCTATTGAAATTCTTGACCATGGTTCAGCAGTTTGCCACCCTGGCTATATGCTAGAATGCCTGGGAAGCTTTTCAAAATCCCAGATTTCTGGGGGTGGGGCACAGACTTCATTTTTAAACCTCCCCAGGTTGAAACCTACAATGCTGAAAGTCATACTCTTAGACTTATGAATATCCAACTTATTGAGTTAGCAGAGAGAAACTCCAACTCTGAAGAGAGTTTGTTTTCCCTCCACTCCCCCTGCAAAGGCCTGAGAGTTTTCTGGAGCCTGCATCAGCTAGGCTGTGGTGTACCATCTGACAGGAAGGCTGGAGACCTGCAGCCTTCCTGCTTTCCTGTAAACAGCAGGGGAAAGAAGATAGCAAGATGGGTGTTTGGATCCCAAACATGCTTGTTTTAGTGTAGGCAAGACTGTGACATTTTAAAATTCTGAATTGTGGGGTGGGGGCCAAGGAGAGGAAGGGAAGAAATATTACTAGCTCTATTATCTTGCATATCTGAGGATACCCTTTGCTAGGGGTCCTCTCTCTTGCCTATTTTTTTTTTTTAGAGATGGGGTCTCACTACGTTGCCCAGGCTGGTGTCAAACTCCTAGCCTCAAGGATCCTCCTGCCTTAGCCTCTCAAAACATTGGGATTACAGGCATGATCCACCACGCCCAGTCTCTCTTGCCTCTATCCCCAAAGTTGCCTTATTTATATACCCACGACTAGGGTAAGATCTGAAGTTGCACAGAATCCTGTGACATGTCATGATAAGGGGGGTGGGCCCAGGTCTCAGGTACAGGGAGGTGTGGTCTTCCATGCGCCCCAGCTCAGCCAGGGACAATCTAAGTGGCCTTAATAGATCACTTAACCTACCTGAACCTCAATGTTTGTCATCTACAAAATGGAGATAATCACTCATACTCTGCCTACCTCCCAGACCTGTTCTAAGTGGAATAAAGGAGATTTTAGATGCAAGTTATACTTGGAAAATGTTGACACTTCATACAAGTATACATGTTGCTATTAATTTTTGTGGTTCAAATTAGAATTTCATGTTAACTCTGTACCCTCAGAGAAGGCTGCAGAAATTTCTGTGAATATCTAAAAGGAAATAAATTTTTTTTTTTTTTGAGACAGAGTCTCCCCCTTGTTGCCCAGGCTGGAGTGCAATGGCGCGATCTCAGCTCACTACAACCTCTGCCTCCCAGGTTCAAGCGATTTTCCTGCCTTAGTCTCTGGAGTAGCTGGGATTACAGGCATGCACTATCACACCCGGCTAGTTTTTGTATTTTTAGTAGAGACAGGGTTTCTCCATGTTGGTCAGGCTGGTCTTGAACTCCTGACCTCAGGTGATCCACCTGCTTGGCCTCCCAAAGTGCTGGGATTACAGGCGTGAGCCACTGCGCCCAGCCTCTAAAAGGAATCTTTAAAAAAAATTTTGACACTATTTTGGACTATATTTTTGTGAAGTATTTTAGTTATAAAACCCAGTTAATTTTGCTACTCAAGGAAGGTTCTATAAATCATTCTAGCTTCACATTTCCGGTGACATAGAACCATACTAGTCAGGTGTTTCCAAGGACCAGCAACAACAGCATTGCCCGGGAGATTTTTAGAAATGCAGAATCTCAGACTCCATCCCAGACCTGTGAATCAGATTCTGCATTTTTAACAAGATTCCCAAGTGATTCTGTGCACATTTTTGTTTGAGAAGCCTTGTACTAGTCACTAAACCTACAGAGTTTGAGAAAAGCTAAGGGGAAAGAAAGAACTCCAATGCGTGCTACAGTTTAAGAAGCACTCAGAAAAGTTTCCAGACACTGCTTGAGAGCGAAAGTGCCCCCAACACTGCAGTCTCAGGGTGACTGCTGACACAGTACATGCCATTACCTGTAAGAGAGACTTTATTATCCCATTTAATGGATGAAGAAACTGAGGTTGATGAAGGGTAGGTAACTTGACCAAGGTCATGCAACCAGTTAGTAGAGGAACTGGGATTCTAATTCACATCTGAGTAGCTACTTTATAAGGCAGGACACATTCCACCATTCCACTCCAGTTTTTAGAGTAGAAAACCTACTTATAAATGTTCTTTTTAGGCATTTAGAAGTCTAGCTGAAGTGTATATCTTCACATTGTAACACTTTTCTCATTGTGGATTTCCTCCAATTTCATTTTTCTTGTGTTTTAATCAGAGACCATCTTTTTTAAAATGTAATTTAGATACCATAAAATTTATCCTTGTTTTTTTCTTTTCTTTTTCTTTTTTTTTGAGACAGGGTCTCACTCTTGTGGCCCAGACTGGAGTGCAGTGGCGCCATCTCAGCTCACTGCAACATCTGCCTCCCAGGCTCAAGCAATTCTCCTGCCTCAGCCTCCCAAGTAGGTGGGATTACAGGTGTGTGCCACTACCACCTGGCTAATTTTTGTATTTTTAGTAGAAACGGGGTTTCACCATATTGGCCAGGCTGGTCTTGAATTCCTGACCTCAAATGATCCACCCGCCTTGGCCTCCCAAAATGCTGGGATTACAGGTGTGAACCACCACGCCCGGCCGAAATTCATCCTTTTGAAGTGTTGGTATATATATATATATATATTTTCACAGAGTTATGCAACGATCACCACTATCTAATTTTCATCAGCCAGTAAGGAAACTCCACATCCATTAGCAGTCACTTCCCATTGCCCCACCCCCAGCCCCTAAAAACCCCTAAACCACTAATCTACTTTTTGTCTCTATGGATTTGCCTATTCTGGACATTTTATGGAAATGGAATGATATGATATGTGGTCTTTAGTGACTGCCTTCTTTCGCTTAGCATAATGTTTTCAAGGTTCATCTGTATTGTAGCGTGGATCAGTACTTCGTTCCTTTTTATTGCCACATAATATCTCGTGGTATGGACATAGCACATTTCCTTTATCCATTCATCAGTTGATGGACATTTAGATTGTTTCCACTTCTTGACTATTATGGATAATGCTGCTGAATATATGAGTGCATATTTTGTGTGAACATGTTTTCGGTTCTCTTGGGTATATGCTTAGGAGGAGAATTGCTGGGTCATATGATACCTCTATGTTTAACTTTTTGAGGAAGTGCCAGACTGTTTTCAGAGAATATTTTCACCATGTATTGATACCATATTGGATTTTAAAAGAACAGAAGTTAGTCAAAGAGACCCAGGAAGCCACAAAACTGAACAGACAAGAAATAGACATGATTCAATGAACTTTAACCCAAATCACATCTGACTGTGTAGATGCAGCAGAGTAGGCAAAAAATGAATTTGACCAGAACCCAGGAAAGCCAATTGCCTAACAGCCTGTGACTAGCACAGCACAGAACCCTGGAGAGCTGGGCTCCAGTCTCACTAACTCACTGTGTGACCATGGGCAAGTGCCTTCCTCTTTCTGGGCCTCAGGTCTCTCATCTATAAAACAAGAAGTTGTATCTGGCTGTGATCTTACTGTCTATACTTCTATGGTCACTCCATGGCACTCCCACGTCTTATGCTCATGGTAGTTATGTGCTTTTCTGGTGTAGATATTCAGTCTGAAAATTGCTGGCACACCTGAAGACCTTTCAGGAATGATGACAGCAAGTGGGGAGGGTTTTCCAGTCATCTGCTCTGTGGCAGGCAGAGTCTGAGATCCCAGGGACAGAAGGTGCTCAGCCACTGTGGACTGCATCATGTAGGCATCCAGCTCTTGGATACTGCAAAAATGAGAATGGGATTCACCTGCAAGAAAGAATAAAACAATAGCAATGGCAACCACTGTACCAAACTCCACATGTTTATACTTTACTTTTGTGGAATAACATTTATTATATATTTTCACTATAAAAGTAATGTGTTCCTTATAGAAAAAGTCAAAACATAAAAAAATTTGATGAAAAGAAACATCAATGATAGTACTACCATCCAAAAATAACCACTAATTATACATATTTCAAAGCATGTTGTAATTGATATATACAATTTTTATTTGTCTATTTAAAAAATAACCACTATTTCCAGTTAGATGTTTATTCTTTTAGTCTTGATATTTTTATATTTCTTCTTTACTAAATTGATATTATACTCTATAGTTTTCTATATTTTCACTTATTCTGTCATTAAAAGTCTTCAGAAGTTGGATTTTAATGATTACAGAGTATCCTATCATAGGAATGCACTATCATTTATTTCTATGTAATCATTTGTTTATCATTGGTTGTTATTGGGAGGAGGTGTCTCTAAGCTTTGTGAAAATAAACGACGTTCATCTCTGTTTTGGAAATCTCAAACATGCTGGCATTCAAAGTCTATCACAATTTAGTTCCAACCTTTCTTTCCATCCTCAGCCACCATAAGTCTTTAACACAGGGCAGATGTTCAGCCTACATGCACTGATGGAGCCATTCTGGTTGTTAAAACACTGAAATACTTCGGCACAGGGGAGGGAGGCAAATTGCTAGGAAGCCTCTCTGACTGTTGTCCAGCCCTCCCTCACTCCGCCCCAGTCCCTCCATGGGAACCTCTTCCCTGGCCAGCAATCAAGAGGACTCCTTAGTGCCTGCACTTAACCAGGATTAACTCTTTCCTGCCTTCTCCAGTGTGACCTTTGGTTTATGCTGCTTCCCCCACCGGCAGAATAGTTCCTATTCTGTGGCTAAACCTTGCCCATCCTTCGAAATCCAATTCGAGTCCCACCTTCTCCATAAACCCTTATCCAACTATTCTGGTCCACTCTTGGTCCTATGAACTCTTACAGTATTTTTTGGGGGGGGGGGGCGGGGAGAGGGGGAGGGACGGAGTCTTGCTCTGTCGCCCAGGCTGGAGTGCAACGGCGCAATCTCAGCTCACTGCAACCTCCGCCTCCTGGGTTCAAGCAATTCTCCCGCCTCAGCTTCCCAAGTATCTGGGATTACAGGCACCTGCTGTCATGTCTGGCTAATTTTTGTATTTTTGTAGAGACGGGATTTCACCATGTTGTCCAGGCTGGCCTCGAACTTCTGGACTCAAGAAATCCTCCCGCCTCAGCCTCCTAAAGTACTGAAATTACAGGCATGAGCCACTGTGCTGGGCCTGTTTTTTTTCACTATTATTGCTATTTTCCGAATACTGTTGACACAGCATTTGCAATCATGTGTTGTGATTCAACTTTTCCTTCGAGTTGCTCTTTCTCCCCAGCTAGATCCTGAGATCCTCTGAGACAGAAGTCATACCTTAACTTCTCTTTATTCTGTGGTAGAGACAATGCTGTGTTTTCCTATGCAGTTCCTCTTCCTAGACACAAAGGAAAACTACTTTTCCTGGACTCCTTTGCTGTTAGATTGGGTTTGAACTTGAATTCTAACAGAGAAAATGTAGGCAGAAGTGATGTGGCCCTTAAAAGCTCTCATGAGAGCCGTCAATCCTCTCTGCCCCTTTCACAGTGACTGAGATGGTATAGATGATGGTTTCAGAAGATGAAGACAGCCGGGGTCCCTGAGTCACCACATGGAGGAGAGCCACTCGGGAGAACCACTGACCTGCACTGGACAATGATGTGAGCAAAAACACCCCATCCTTCTGAAATACAATATTTTTTAGTGCATGAAACCATAGACCTCATGCCTGCTTCCTTCATCTCTGTACCCCTATTGGTATTCGATGAATGTGAATATGCCTGGTGTTAGATGTCCTGGGAAGCAGAGCTTGCATGAGCACAAGAAAAGTGACAGGTGTACCAAATGCAGTCTACTCACACCACAGATCCACTCAGCTCACCTGCCTTTCCCATCCCGCACCTGGGCCCCTCACCCTGCTCCTTGGCCAGACTGGTCCTATTGAGAGGTGACAGCGTGCTGGCAGCCCTCGCTCGCTCTTGGCACCTCCTCGGCCTCAGCGCCCACTCTAGCTACGCTTGAGGAGCCCTTCAGCCCACCTCTGCACTGAGGGAGCCCCTCTCTGGGCTGGCCGAGGCCGGAGCCAGCTCCCTCTGCTTGTGGGGAGGTGTGGAGGGAGAGGCAGGGACCGGAACTGGGCTGCTGCAGGCGGCGATCGCTGGCCAGCGGGTGTTCCGGGTGGGCGTGGGCTCGGCGGGCGGGCGTGGGCTTGGCAGGCCGTGCATTGGGAGCGGCCGGCCGGTGCTGCTGGCCCTGGGCAGTAAGGGGCTTAGCACCCGGGCCAGCAGCTGTGGAGGGTGCGCTGGGTCCCCCAGCAGTGCCGGCCTGCCGGCGCTGCGCTGGAATTCTCGCTGGGCCTCAGCTGCCTCCCGGCGGAGCAAGGCTTGGGACCTGCAGCCCGCCATGCCCGAGCCTTCCTTCCTGTCCTTCTCCCAACCCCGCAGGGCCCGAGCCTCCCTGAGGAGCACCACCTCCTGCTCCGCAGCACACGGGCGGGACTGGCGGGCAGCTGCACCTGCGGCCCCGGTGCAGGATCCACGAGGTGAAGCCAGCTGGGCTTGAGTCTAGTGGGGACTTGGAGAACCTTTATGCCTAGCTAAGGGATTGTAAATACACCAATCAGCACTCAATCAGTGTCTAGCTCAAGGTTTGTAAATGTACCAATCAGCACTCTGTATCTAGCTAATGTGGTGGCGACTTGGAGAACCTTTATGTCCAGCTAAGGGATTGTAAATACACCAATCAGCACTCTGTGTCTAGCTCAAGGTTTGTAAACACACCAATCAGCACCCTGTGGCTAGCTCAAGGTTTGTAAATGCACCAATCAGTGCTCTGTGTCTAGCTAATCTAGTGAGGACTTGGAGAACTTGTGTGTCTAGCTGAGGGATTGTAAATGCACCAATCAGCACTCTGTCAAAACGGACCAATCAGCTCTCTGTAAAATGGACCAATCAGCAGGATGTGGGTGGGGCCAGATAAGGGAATAAAAGCAGGCTGCGCCAGCCAGCAGTGGCAACTCCCTAGGATCTTCTTCCACAGTGTGGAAGCTTCCTTTTTTTTTTTTTTTTTTTGCTCTTTAGGTTCACGCTGCCTTTATGAGGTGTAACACTCACTGGGAAGGTCTGCAGTTTCATTCCTGAGGCTGGCGAGACCATGAACCCACCAGAAAGAAAAAACTCTTAACGCATCCAAACATCAGAAGGAAAAAACTCCAGACACACCACCTTTAAGAACTGTAGCACTTAACCGTGAGGGTCCGTGGCTTCATTCTTGAAGTCAGTGAGACCAAGAACCCACCAATGCCAGACACGCTATTGGTAACTCACATTGTTCCTGAGGTCATGGATTCCTAACAACCACCACCATCACTGCATCTACTAATGCCACTGGTTGCTTCGGGCTCCCCTAAGGACAAGGGTCAGGGTGTGGTGCAGTTCCCATCCTTCGCGCTGCAACACGAGCTGCAGTAGCTCAGGCACCCAGACCTGAGGCAGGTCTGGCTTTCTGAGAAGTCCTCCAGAAGGGCTCCCAGGGAAACAGCCTAGAATGCAGGGGAATCAGCCTCCCAAAAGGTGAACTTTGATTAATGAGAGATAGGAGGTGGGCAGGCACTGGCAGGTAGAGTGCTCTCCTCTCCTCCAGGGTCTCCACGCAGCCTGTCCAGAGAAACCCCGCATGGCCCCTGATCTGCTCTGGCCCCTCCACACCTCCCTGGATCTGTGGTTCCTGCCTGCCTGCCTGCCTGCCTCATTTCTCTTTGTTCTCCACTCTTGCTTCCGTGAGATGAAACCAACCAAAAAAGCATTTGTGCCTAAGCTTGGCCTCTGGCTGTGTATTTTGGGATCTCAAACTAAGACAAAGAGAAACTAATATTTGTGGGTCCCTATTATGTGCCAGGCACCGTGAACCTTACCCAAGTTATCTTACTTCATCCTTACGAAAACTGTAAGGTAGTGATTATTAACTCAGTCTTCCAGATAAGGAAACTGAAGAAAGAGGAAACCGTGGAGCCAGCTATTAACTGGTGGAGCGGGAAATGTGAGGCAAAATCAAACATTGAAACATGCGGTGCCCCCTTCGGTTTTGTACCTTTTGTGGCTCCCTAGTGTCTGATCCTTTGGGGAGCCTGCAGTTTCGTCAGTTACATCCTGCAACAGTTTGGGATAGGTTGAAACCTCAGCAGCATCTGACCCATAAAAGAATGTTACTGCGGGGCCTCCCTAAAAGACAAGGGAGGAATCAAGAGAATTCCAAGAAAGGCGTCCGAGCAGGAGGTAAGACAGTAGATTTGAAAGCAGGACTGAGGGAGCAGGAATGGGAAGAGGGGCCCAGCCCCAGCGGGTCAGGGGCCGGACTAGGCTAGCGAGGCCCAAGTGCGGTGGCCCCATGCAGAGATCCTGGCTCGGTGCAAAGGAGATGCCGCTCCCACCGTCTGCAGGAGGCAAGGGCTCCCCTTCCCCGGCCAGGAGCCGGGTGCAAGAGGAGCCTGGGGAGGGAGCTCCAGGCCTGGAGCAAAGGCTCCTCCTAGGGGCCCGCGGTCGGCAGAGAGCGCGGGACACTCACGGCCATGGAGAGCAGCCCGCCCGGTGAATGGAGCCTTTCTCTGGGCACTTGGCAGAACTCGGGGGCCCTCTGTGCAGAGAGGAGGCCCACTGGAATAGAAATAACCTCTGGCTTGCAGAAGCATTTTGTGGAAAGATTCAGGAGCTCAGTAGGCAGAGCAGTCCCAAGAAAGACATTTGGAATGTTGAAACTTTTAGAAGAAAATCCAGACCGTTTTTAGGGCCTCGGGTAAAAAATCACTCTTAAACAAGACACCAAAAGTTCAAGGAAAAGAGGAAGGGTGACTTCACTAAAATTAAGAACTTCTAGTCATAAAAAAACATGACACAGAGAAGACAATCCAGAGACTGGACTCGATCACTGTAACACCTACACCTGGCAAAGAATTCCTGTCCAGAATCTATTTTTAAAACTTCGACAAATCAATAAGAATGAACAATTTAATTTTTTCAATGGGGAAAAGACATGAACAGGCATTTCAGGGATAAGGAAATACAAAAAGACCACCAACATATGAAAAAATGGTCAGCCTCCTTAGTAATAAGGGAAATGCAAACTAAAATAAAAATTAGATACAATTCCACAGCCACGAGGCTGGCAGAAATTTAAAACACAGGCAATCAAGCAGGGGCAAGGATGTAGAACAATGAGAATTCTCATACATGGTTGGTAGGAGAGTTGATTGTTACCACCACTTGGAACAGTTTGGCCTTATCTGATAAAATTAAAGACACGCATACCTTATGACTCAGTAATTCCACTTCTAGATAAATATTAACTCTCATATATAGGCAGTAGGAGAAATAAACAAGCATGGTTTAAAATAGTCCCAAATTGGAAACAACTCAAATGTCCATTTGCTGTAGGAGGAATAAATTCTAACACAGTCCCATAGTGGAAACTATGTAGCTATGAAAATGAATAAACTACAGCTGTACCCATCAACATAGATCACAGATGTGAAAAGCAAGTTATAAAAGAATACTTACAGTATGATTCCCTTGATAAAAGTTTAGAGGCAAGAAAAACTAGGGATAATACTTATAAGGTAAAGCTCTTTCTCAAAAGTAGGAGAGGCTGAATGCAGTGGCTCATGCCTATAATCCCAGCACTTTGGGAGGCTGAGGCAGGATTGCTTGACTCCAGGAGTTTGGGACCTCCCTGGGTAACATAGTGAAACTGCATCTCTAAAAATAAAAACAAAAAAGTAAACAGGTGTGGTGGCATGTGCCTGTGGTCCCAGCCACCTGGGAGGCTGAAGTGGGAGGATCAGTTGAGCCCGGGAGATCAAGGGTGTAATGAGCTATGATCACACCACTACACTCCAGCCTAGGTGACAGAGTGAGACCCTATCTCAAAAAAATAAAAAGCAAGAGAAAGATTAATGCAAAATCGAGGATAGGAGAGTGAAGAGAATGCATCAGGGAAGAACAATAGGAGCTTTGCAGGCACTGGTAGTATTTTTTCTAAAGTTTAGTGTGCGGTTTGTTTTATTGTTATTCCTTAAACTATACTTACACGTTATATATATATTCTTGTATGAATGAAGCTTTCACCAAAAGCTTTTTTTAAGAATGAGAGTTAGGCTTTTTTCAAGGGCAGTGAGACCACTATCAGAGATTTTTCTATGTAGCTGAGATCCATCCTAGTTGGACTGAGGGTGTAAGAACATCAGGACAAAGGAGCTGGGGTGGGGAGGGGTGCTAACAGGGAGGCCTCACTCTGTGCCAGGCTTTAATGAGCAGAATCTCAATGGGCATCAGATGCTGCCTTGTCAATAAAACACAGCCAAGAACAAGCTGAGTTGCTGGAATTCTGAATAATAATGAATTAGAACTTACTGCTGTATCTAATAATCCTTCTGTGACATTTGTATAGTGTTTCACAGTTTATGAAACACTTTTATCACTTTTATATGAGTTAACTCAGTCAGTTCCCGTAATCCCACTGAGAGGCAGGCAGAGAAGATTATTTTTATGCCTATTTTTAATGAGAAAGCAACCAAGTCACAGACAGTTGATGTGACTTGTCTGAGGCTACACAGCCAGAACTGCGTCTTAAATCTCCTGGTCAAGTGCTCTGCCTAGCACAGCTGCTGCCTGCCTGTTCCAAGTGTGGTGGACAGAGATTCTGCCCAGGTGCCCCCTCCCTGTCCCAAGCCCTGCCACATCCTCCCACCCCCAGCATCCTTCCTGGGAGTAGGTCAGCCTGTCCTGGGCCCTGCCCCCTTGCACCCTCCCACCCACAAAGCCTCTCCCTTTTCTGGCCTTGAGTTATGCTCCCCTTGCCCCAGTCTTTAGGATTCTTCTATTTTTTCTTCCCGAAGGAACTTTTCCAGATGCTCTTTTCTTTGGCTTTATCACAAACCCTCTATATGGATTTCTAGCTCCTGCTATACCTCATCAGTTTGTTGACACTTGTCCAGACCAGGACGTCTGTGGGGTGGTGTCCTGGCACACGACTCCTACCTTGAGCACCATAGGGTGCAGCTGTTCTCACTGGGAAACATATGTGAGCGCCAGTTGGAAACTCTCCCTGCCCCAGGTGATTCTGATCAGCCTTTCCAGAACCAGTGGATTAGCAAATGGTTCATAGCTGTGGGAGCCGATCAAGTTCCCTAACCTCTCTGAACCTCCACTTCTACATCTCTGACTTCATAGGTGTTTTTAGGAAATTAAGGGAGGTAGTGCCTACTACATGGTAAGTGTTAATCAAATGTTCTTTTCTCCATCTAATCTTCCCAGAAAATAGTAGTGAGGTGGGTTTTTTTGTTTTTGTTTTTTTAGATGGAGTTTAGCTCTTGTTGCCCAGGCTGGAGTGCAATGGCATGATCTCAGCTCACTGCAACCTCTCCCTCCCAGGTTCAAGTGATTCTCCTGCCTCAGCCTCCCAAGTAGCTGGGATTACAGGCACGCGCCACCATGCCTGGCTAATTTTGTAATTTTAGTAGAGACAGGGTTTCACCATGCTGGTTAGGCTGGTCTCGAACTCCTCACCTCAGGTGATCTACCTGCCTTGGCCTCAGAAAGTGCTGGGATTACAGGTGTGAGCCACCATGCCCAGCGAGATTTTAAACCAAAAGGCTTCCTGACAAAGTCAAGATCTCCCACCCTCACACAGGCGCAGCTTCTAACATCCGCAGTCCTCTTTGAGGAGAAGATCTTGTGTGCTGGCAAAATATTTTAGCTACTGCACAAAACACTGCGTGGCACAGTACTTTGAATTCCCAGAGAGAAAGGCCCAGGGGTCTTGTTGGAGGGTATGTAGGAAAAGGAAACCTACTCCCAAGGCAGAAGGCACTCCCAGAGCATGCTTTGGTAATTATGCAGGCTGGGAGGAGGCAGGCCATGGGTGGAAGAAGAAGGAATGGAGAGGAGAGGAAGCCCGGAAGGAGAGAATCACAGGTTCATTTAAAATAGATGCCAGCTAGGGGTTTAGTCCTTCTCTGGCTTGCTGTGTGAGCTTCTGCAAGTCACTTCACTTCTCTGGTTTGGGCCATATCTGAAGAGGCCTTCTCCAACTGAGACACTCAAGGATGCCATGCATTTTTCCAAGTCACTAGGAAACAACGCTCCAATCGCATACCTTTCATTTGCATTATTGTAACCTAGACTGGTGTCCAACTCTTTTTCATAAACAGTGAGAAATAATGTCATTTCCATGATTGAATCAAGCACACCAAGGGTGTTATAGAATCACTTTTCTTGCTTAGCAGTTCTGGGCAGCAGAAGAGACTTGCACTCTAGATCCTGGAACAGCTGAGCTTTCTTGGGAAGATTCCAGACAGTTATTAACCCAATGAGTAACACCCTATGTGCCATTCTGACCCTCTGGGCTACAGTAATGCAATCTTCTATTGCTTTTCTCTCTTTTAAGAAAAGCCATCAAACAAGGGACTCATTCAAATTTTTAACCACAATATAAACAGACATTTACACAAGAGCAATTATAAATAGCACATGTGCAAAAAAAAAAACCTGCCTACTGGCATCCAAAGATATGCTGCAGAAAGCAAATTTGGGACTCTATTTAAAAATCTTTTCAAAAATGCCTTGAAGCAACAATATTCAATGTACCTGATGTTGCAGCAAAATTGATTTACTGATACAATATTGGTGGCATTCGAAATTAGTAATAGTTCCTTTGGGAACTAATATGGAAACACATAGGAAGAACTATATCCATGATTATTCAGAAGTAATGCAATAAAAATCTGCATAAAGAGGCCAGCACAGTGGCTCACGCCTGTAATCCCAGCACTTTGTGAAGCCAAAGCAGGAAGATCACCTGAGGTCAGGAGTTCGAGACCAGCCTGGCCAACATGGTGAAACCCCGTCTCTACTAAAAATACAAAAATTAGCCAGGGGTGATGGCGGGCTCCTGTAGTCCCAGCTACTCAGGAGGCTGATGCAGGAGAATAGCTTGAACACGGGAGTTGGAGGTTGCCGTGAGCCGAGATCACACCAACGTACTCCAGCCTGGGCGACAGAGCGAGACTCCATCTCAAAAAAAAAAAAAAGCCTCCATAAAGAAGTCAACATCAACAATATCTATTGTAGCAAAAAAAAAAAAATACTAAACTTGAGGGAATTGCTATATAGATTTTGATACAGCCACACATTTGCCTCTTATACAGCAATAAGGATAACTGTGCAGATTGATAGCAGTGTAGAGATGTTTATTATCAGTCAAATACAACAAACTTCAGGATCACATAGGCATTATGATTATAGCTCTGCTAAAAGTGTGCATACGCATCTGAAAGGGCTGGAAGGTATTGAAATAAAATTGGCTGTAGTGTTTGAGAGGCAAAATAGTATGGTTTAAATTACTTTTAATTTTCTGTTTATCTCCAACTAAATAAAAGAAAGCATATCAGTTGAAAAAGAATTAACCTTATCACCAATGTTTCCCACTAGACAATGAGAGCAGGAACCCTGCCTGTCTCTTTCAACAGCGTTTGCCAGAGCATGTGTCTGCCACATGGTAGGCGCTCTGTAAATATTTGTGGACTGATTGACCACTGCTGTCAGCCTCTCTGAACCGGTTTAGTAAATTGCTGATATAGACCTCCTGTTTTCACAAAGATCCTTCTTGCCATCACCTCCACAGTCTCAAAAAGCACCTTCATTTACAAGCAGGCTTTCAAAACCCAGCATCTTCCTCTCTCTCAGTGTCACTGGCAGAAGGAGGACATCACCTTAAAGTACCAGACTCTAGGGCCAGCCTGTGTTGGGAGAACCCCCCCGCCCCTTCTCTTGCAGCTTCCCCCGGGGGGGACAGATCTTCATGGGGACACAAGGGAGAGTAGCTTGATCCCTAAATCATCTGGACACTAACATTTTGCACCAGAAGATGGCAGTCTACACACCTCCTTATGGTGCAGAACCCACACCTTCCTTGACACTTTGACAGTTAATTGTTCAAGTCAAGTTACTCAGCCTACCCTCCACAAAGGTGGGCCAGGGTGAGGGTGTGACAAGGATGGCCAGGGCCTCAGGCCAAGATCAGGAACAGATGTAGGCAACTGATGCCTGCTGTGCCTGATGCTGGGAGAGATGGCACCTCCCACGTTTCACATTTCACAGCTGGGGAAACCAAGCTTCACAGAGGCTAAGACACTGCCAAGTCCCCCACTCCTAGTAGAGAAACACTGCCCAGACCCGAGCCCCGCTCTCCTTACCCAGCACCCACCCTCCTTCCACCATACCGTACTGCCTGCCAGCTCTCCAGCAACAGGAGTCTGTGAAAAAATGGGCAAGGATGTTTCTGAACCCATGGTTAAATGCTTTTAAAAATCACCATGTCAAATTATAAAATTGATCAAACCCTTTGACCTTGGAATACCACTTTGGGAAATATGTTCCAAGGAAACAAAATATGAAATACATATTTATAAATAAGTTTATAAAATATAAAAATGAAACAAAAGCACATATAGAGTTGTGTAGAACTGAGCTTGATACTGCAGTTAAAACCAGAGGCAGCCCAGATGCCCGACCGTGGGGAAAATTGTGCCGTGGTCATTATACTCACACTGGAAATGGCTGTCATGCAGATTAGCACCGACGTCCAGCCTGTCACGTGGGGACTGTTATACTAGTTGTTAAAATAAGTATTTTCATACCAACTGGTAAATAGTAGAGCCAGAGTGTCCTCCAAGCCTCCCTTGCCCCTCTACTGGGATCCTCCTGAACTCCCCCTGATCTAGCAACTAAATAGTAAATGCCTGGCCCAGCAGCCTCCAGGATCCCACATGAAGCAGTGGTCAATGAACATCTTAGTACTAGTTATTAGATATTTTTTAAACCTCCCCTGGCTAAGATTCTGTATACTCATGGAAAAGCGACCTTATTTTGGAATGGGACAAGATATAGGAATATATAAAGAAAGACATTATGTGACTTAACGGTAAGTAAAAAGAAGCAGAAATTAATACAAGGAATAGCAGTGAGGCAAATTTTATTTGTATAAACAAGAGTTTCTAAGAAGCCACAGAGTCTAAATATTTGGTAAACTAGGAGAGGGGAGATTTGAAAAATTTTGTCAGTAGCCTATTTAACAACCTTTCCCCTATTTCCTTCTTAAAAGAAAGTTGCACGGTGGCTCACACCTGTAATCCCTGCACTTTGGGAGGCTGAGGCGGGAGGATCACCAGGTCAGGAGATTGAGACCATCCTGGCTAACACGATGAAACCCCATCTCTACTAAAAATACAAAAAATTAGCTGGGCGTGGTGGCGGGCACCTGTAGTCCCAACTACTCAGGAAGCTGAGGCAGGAGAATGGCATGAACCCGGGAGGCGGAGCTTGCAGTGAGCCGAGATCACGCCGCTGCACTCCAGCCTGGGCGACAGAGTGAGACTCCGTCTCAAAAAAAAAAAAGTTGCAATTTTGTTCACTTGCCTACTCTTCTGATGACCAAATGCTTTGGGGAAGGTTGAGCTCAGAGGTAGTCTGGAGTGGGGTAGGGGTGTGAGTCCAGAGTGCCTAAGCCAGGCATAGTGGCTCAATCCTCTTGCCAAGTATGGATTTAGGCATGGGCTGATGATATAGTTCTGGCAATGAGGTGGAAGGGAAGTCAGCCTGGAGGATTCTAGCAAGACTTTCTTTGCTCATATAAAGGGACAATGACAGGAACATCCCCTGTGTTTCCTTTGAGGATGTCTTGCTTAAAACTAAAGCAAACACCTTGTTGACCAAAGGAGAAGACTAAAAGAGTCTCAGAGAACCCAAACCTTAGCCATGACACCTTTGAGTCACTAAATTAACCAACCTTGAAGCTACTCTAATGCTAGCCTTTTTCTTGTTGAAATGACCTTAGCTGGGTTTTCTAGTATTTAGAATGTAAGCTGTTTATTCACTATTATAGCCCTGTTATCTATAACACCATCTGGTGCATAGTAAGCCCACCATAAATATTTGTTGAAGGGATAAATGAATAAAAAGGAAGGAAAAAATGAATCCTTGCTGATATAGAAAGGTGTTAAGTTTCTTGGTCATCTTGGTGTTAGATTTTTCTGTTTCATTAAAAAAAAATATTCATTCAAAGCATTGCATGATGTTGACTAGGTGTATTAGTTCCAGGGAATTAGTGTTATGGGAAGTGGCAGACAGATCTGGATTTGAGTCTGGATCTGCTACTTACCAGTCAAGTGTTCTTAGGCAAATTATTCATCTTCACTGAGCACACCTGTAAAATGAGGATAAATTATGGGGTCGCTGTGAGTCTTAAATGAGAAGCAACCACAGAGCTGGGCACGTGGGAGGGGCTCTGTAAGTGTTCATTCCTCACCTTCCAACATTCTAAGTACTCAGGTACCATGATGCCAGGATGAATCAGGCCGAGTCTCTCTTTGACCTTGAGAAGGATTTCATGGGCCAGGGGGAGGACTCAGACATAGCAACAAATCAGCCACGTGACCCACATTAACATCACGGGAAATGGAACAAATTGACATCACATACCTCCTGATATGACACACTGAGATGAACAGAGCATTACCTCTGGGATAGTTCTGCCAAATTAGTACAACAAGAACTCATCACAAGGAAACATCAAACAAACCCAAAATGAGGTACTTTCTACAAAATAACTGGCTTAGACACTTCAGAAATGTTGTCATGAAAAACAAAAAGGAGGCTGGGTGCAGTGGCTTATGCCTGTAATCCCAGCACTTTGGGAAGCCAAGGTGGAAGGATCACAAGGTTAGGAGATCAAGACCAACCTGGCTAACACGGTGAAACCCCGTCTCTACTAAAAATACAAAAAATTAGCCAGGTGTGGTGGTGGGCGCCTGTAGTCCCAGCTACTCGGGAGGCTGAGGCAGGAGAATGGCGTGAACCCGGGAGGCAGAGCTTGCAGTGAGCTGAGATTGCACCACTGAACTCCAGCCTGGGTGACAGAACAAGACTCCGTCTCAAAAAAAAAAAAAAAAAAAAGAAAGAAGAAGAAGCTGTTCTAGATTAAAGGATACTAAAGAGACATGACAACTAAATGTGGTGTCTAATCTTGGACTTTCTTTTGCTTTAAAGAACTTTACTGGGGCCAGGCACAGTGGCCCACACCTGTACACCCAGCACTTTGGGAGGCTGAGGTGGAAGGATCACTTGAGGCCAGGAGCTTGAGGCTGCTGCGAGCTATGATTGTGCCACTGCACTCCAGCCTGGACAACAGAGCAAGACCTTGTCTCTGAAAAGAAAAAAAAAAAAACTTTATTGGGAAAAATTTGTGAAATCGGAATAAGATCTGTGGATTAGATAAAATAGTTGGTACCAAAGTTAATTTCCTAATTTTGATGATTATCTATACTTATCTAAGAGAATGTCCTTGGTTTTACAAAGCATATACACCAAAGGAGTAGAGGGGAGTAATGTCTGTAAAGTAACTCACAAACAGTTCAGAAAAAGTAAAATTATGATTCTAGATACAGTACATAGAAAGATAGGTAGGGGCAGCCAGGCGCAGTGGCTCATGCCTGTAATCCCAGCACTTTGGGAGGCCGAGGCGGGTGGATCACAAGGTCAGGAGTTCAAGACCAGCCTGGCCAAGATGGTGAAACCCTGTCGCTACTAAAAATACAAAGAAATTAGCGGGCACCTGTAATTCCAGCCACTCGGGAGGCTGAGGCAGATAACTGCTTGAACCCGGGAGGCGGAGGTTGCAGTGAGCCAAGATCACGCCACTGCACTCCAGCCTGGGTGACAGAGTGAGACTCCATCAAAAAAAAGAAAAAAAGGAAAAAAGAAAGAGAGAAAGAGAGAGAGAAGGAAAGGAAGGAAAGGAAGGAAAGGAAGGAAGGAAGGAAGGAAGGAAGGAAGGAAGGAAGGAAGCAAGCAAGCCAGCCAGCCAGCCAGCCAGGCAGGCAGGCAGGCAGGCAAGCAGCGTAGTGGCTCATGCCTGTAATCCCAGCAATTTGGGAGGCTGAGGTAGGCAGATCACCTGAGGTCAAGAGTTTGAGACCAGCCTGGCCAACATGGCAGAACCCCATCTCTACTAAAAATACAAAAATTAGCCAGGCGTGGTGGCACACGCCTGTAATCCCAGCTACTTGGGAGGCTGAGACAGGAGAATTGCTTGAACCCAGGATGCTGAGGTTGCAGTGAGCTGAGATAGTGCCACTGCACTCCAGCCTAGACAACAGAGTGAGACCCTGTCTCAAAAAAAAGAAAAAAAAAAAGATAGGTAGGTAGTTGGGTGGGTGGAAGGTTAAGGTTAATGTCACAAACAATATTTAGGGTATCGGGCTGAAAGATATACAAGAATTATTTGTACTATTCTTGTAACTTTCTTGCAAGTCTGAAATTGTGTCAAAAATAATTTTTAAACAATTTAAAGGTGACAGTAGATCCAAATGCTGAAGGAGACTGGGAATTTGTGGGTGGGAAAAGGTGGGGAATGGAATTAATTGCAGGCCGAGTAAAGACTTAAGAAAGCATTCAGCTGGCTAGCACCTGAAGATCCAGCTACTCGGGAGGCTGAGGCAGGAGGATTACTTGCAATTAGAAATTCTAGGCTTGCAGTGAGCTATGATCATGCCTGTGAATAGCCACTGTATTCCAGCCTGAGCAACATACCAAGGCCCTGTCTCTAAGCCACCAGGAGATGGTGGCCCATTTCACAGAAAGCTGCATTTGAGCATGTTCTAGAAAGAGGTGCCACAATCCTCCAGGCAGACAATAGGAGGAAGGGCCTTTTAGTCAGTGGCCAGTAGGTATGAGTGAGTAGGGCACTAACAGGCAGGAGGCAGGTGTGGCTGAGGTACTGGATATGGGCACTAAAGATGGATATGTAGGTTGTGGCAAAATTGCAAAGGACCTTGAATGCCCTGCCAAGGCGTTGGGACTTCATCCTGTAAGCAGGGGGTGGGCAGTGACATGATGAGCTAGATGTTGTAGAAAGTGAGGAGGACGAGCCAGGTGTGGTGGCTCACACCTGTAATCCCAGCACTTTGGGAGGCTGAGGCAGGCGGACTACGAGGTCAGGAGATCGAGACCAACCTGGCTAACACAGTGAAGCCCCGTGTCTACTAAAAATACAAAAAATTAGCCGGGCGTGGTGGCGGGCGTCTGTAGTCCCAGCTACTCAGGAGGCTGAGGCAGGAGAATGGTGTGAACCCGGGAGGCGGAGCTTGCAGTGAGCCGAGATCGCGCCACTGCACTCCAGCCTGGGCAACAAAGCAAGACTCCATCTCAAAAAAAAAAAAAAAAAAAGTGAGGAGGATGAGTAGAAATGAGCACGATAGGAGTCGGGGAGACCCAGGAGACTATCGAGGTATCTGGAGGTAAAAGAAGATGCTGAGGGCTTGAATTAATTAAGCCCGTTGGGCCAGAACTGGAAGGGCAATATGTACATTCACACCCCTAGGAGGCAAACTGGCAGGACATTTTTGGTGCTCTCGTTCCAGTTTGCTCTGCATTGCAGAGGCCGTGGGACCAAGTGACTGGTCAGCAAGGGTAAGCCCCTAGTTGGTTTAGAAGGTGGGGAAGTGGGCTGGGCGCAATGGCTCATGCCTGTAATCCTAGCACTTTGGGAGGCCAAGACGGGTGGATCACCTGAGGTCAGGAGTTCAAGACCAGCTGGCCAACATGGCAAAACCCCGTCTCTACTAAAAATACAAAAATTAGCCAGGCGTGGTGGCACACGTCTGTAGTCCCAGCTACTTGGGAGGCTGAGGCAGGAGAATCACTTGAACCCGGGAGGCGGAGGTTGCAGTGAGCCGAGATCACGCCACCGCACTCCAGCCTGGGTGACAGAGCGAGACTCCGTCTCAAAAAAATAATAATAATAATGATAAGAAGAAGGTAGGGTGTGTCCAGTGTCCACTTCTTTTGAACTTTATTGGAGCTAGGGCCTTTATCAGGAACTGAGAGCCATAGCCATCTCATTGTAAATTCAGACCACCACCTACATGACCTGTGCTGGCCAGCTTGGTCTCATACAGCCCCCTCAGTGTCTGATTCCCCAAGATTTTTATATGTTACCCACATGGGTGCTACGGTCAGTCCCATCATGTTTCCAGCTCAGGAGGCTAAAGGCCCAATCACGAATTTGGTTCTTTGTATTGCACAACAGCAGGGCATTTTAAAGTCAAATTGAGCCAATCCACTCATTTGACACTCAACAAATATTTGCCCATTGCTACAGTGTGCTTAAGAGATTTACCCAAAAGGAACAGAGAAAGGGGTAGGGTGAGAAAACACTGAGGTCAGATTATAATGAGAGTGGTTTTTCTCACTGAGGTTTCACTTGGTATGTCCAAATTAGATAGAGATGTGTTTCTCATTGAGTTTGAAAAGGAAATATTATCTTTAAGTCTTTAGGTTCCCAACTTCATGAAGATGGAGCCAGGTGATAAGTGGCATCAAATGCCATTCTGAGCAACATGTTAAACACTCAGAAAGCAAGATGGGTCCCATGTGGCCTGGTGATTTTCCCTAAATGCATGCAGCTCTTACTCGCCCGGAGGCTTGTCCACAGCTGTGGTGGTTATGACGGTGGTGATGGAGATCACCCACTTTGTGCCAGGCACTCTGAAAAGTGCTTCCCTTACATTCTCTCTAAACCTAACCACCTAACCACACCCTGCAAGGTAGACATCTTACACGTGAGGAAATCAGAGTGCAGGGAGGTGGGTGGATTTGTCCAAGATCGTACTGCCATGTAGGGGCAGAGCCAGGATCTGAATTCAGATCTTGTCGCTAAAGGTTATGACCATTCCATCGTCATGCCATCTCCCACTGCTTCAAAATGGGAAGGAAGTTTCCCATTTTTGAACAAAAGCATCTGGCCAATGGATCTCAAACTTTAGTGTGCATCAGAGTCTGTGTTAATAGAATGCAGATTGCGGGGTCTGAGCCCCAGAGTTTCTGATTCATTAGGTCTAAGGCAGGGCCTGCTAATCTGCATTTCTAGCAACCCCAGATTTGCTGGTGTTGCAGCTAGCCCTGGGACCTTGCTCTGAGAACCACTGCTCTTGGGGTTAACAGAAGATGATGCTACTGCCTCCTCCTCCTCCTCTTTCTGTTCATTTTGACATCTCCAAAACCGATCCATTTCACCTGCCTGAAGAAGAGGGCCGGGGCGAATGCTGCCCTCACTTCTGCCCATCTGTTTCCTGGGAGTCTGTGTGGGAGGCTATAGGCTCCTCACTGACCCAGCGCAGAGGATTCCTGGCTAAGCCATTGGCTCCCAGTTGTTTACAGACACATCTACTCTCAGGTCACTGCTCTCTCTCTCTCTCAACCCCAGGGGGCATTCCCAGGCCTCTCTGGGCTTTCTGTTCTCTCACAGCTTCTCTGCAGACTGAACCTGCTTTCATCTGCTTAGTCAAGTGTGGTTTATGAACTCTGATTGCCTACAACACCCTCTCTTCATTAGTCAGACTTTGGACTGGGAATGAGAGATCTTTTCCAGGGTAATATGGGACACACAGGCTGCTTCTGTCACCTGGGATCCTTGCTGCTCTGGGAAAGATAAACTTTCTAGCATCTTGTTGACCTTCCCAAGTTATAGTTTGACAAGGGAACATATGTTTCAAAGGCTTGTGGACTTTTAGACTTGGAAGAGATCTTGGTGGAAAAAAAGGAAGGGAAGAGAACAAACACTTATTGAGAATCTGCCAAGTGTCAGGCACAAGGCCAGAGACTTAATATGTGCCACAGTATTTACTCTTCACAGTAACCCTATGAGATAGGGTTTGGGTTTTTTCATTTTAATCCCCATATATAGATGAGAAACTGAGATTCTAAGTTTAGCAACTGGTAAGGGTCACACAGCTAGCTAGTGGCAGAACCAGGATTTGAACCCAGGTCTACCCATATTCTCTCTTCTACTGCTCGCCCAGCAGTCCATAGCATTGATGGTCTCCATAATGTGATATCCATTGATTGTCCTGGCTTGCTAAGACACCGTGTGTCAGTCATACAGTGGTCAGTGCTGGGGAAGCAAGGACTAGTCCAGTTAGAGAAGCCGGTAGTGGGTGGTAGGAGGAACTGAGAAAACGGGTCATGGTTGAGTGCTGCATGAGCAGGTGGGAGGTGCCAGGAGTCTGTAGAGTTAGTAACAAGAGCTGCTGGGAGCAGGTCAAAGCAAGCAAGATGACAGTCATCTCCAAGGAAAGATGAGCAGCCAGCCAGGGGCCTCGACTCCGGCAAAGCTAGCCAGGGCTGCTCTAAAGAGCCAGGTGCCAGCCCTCCCGCCCAGGTGTGGGTCTGCTTGAAGACAGTCCCCCTGCCCTCCACGTCCATCAGTGTGTGCTTTGTGCCCAGCATTGTGCCCAGCATTGTGCTAGGTGTTGACGCTCCTTTTTTTTTTTTTTTTTTTTTTTGAGACAGAGTTTTGCTTTTGTCACCCAGGCTAGAGTGCAGTGGCACGATCTGGGCTCACTGCAACCTCCGCTTCCCGGGTTCAAGTGATTCTGCTGCCTCAGCCTCCTGAGTAGCACACACCACCACTCCCAGCTAATTTTTGTATTTTTAGTAGAGACGGGGTTTCACCGTGTTGGCCAGGATGGTCTGGATCTCTTGACCTCGTGATCCGCCCGCCTTGGCCTCCCAAAATGCTGGGATTACAGGCGTGAGCCACTGTGCCCAGCCTCCTTTTTAAAAATAAAATTAAATAAATAAAATATTCTTGTTTTCAAAGAGCTCACAGCTCAGGTATAGGTACAAGCAACTGACTACACAGCCAGATAAGTATTATTTTTAACACGGTGTTTCGTAGCTTAGACTGTCAATTCACATACCCACATGATGTCCAGCGACCCTCATGGGAAGCATTCCCGCAGGGGAGAGAGGAAGGGCCCTGTGCGAAGCATTCTGCTCTTCCACGCCTGACATCGCATGGAGCCTTGGCACAACCCCTTGAGGAGCACAAAGGAGGGAGTCCTAACATCTCCTTGTGGGGGATGGGCAAAGCTTCCCAGAAGTATGGGTAGAAGCTCTTCATGCAGAAACCAGGAAGGCAAGGTCACTGCCATTTCTTCCGCTGTGTCATTTCAGCGTGATAGGCACTTTTAGCTTTAGCTAGAAGGAGGGCAGGGGGCTTGAGACTGGCCTCTTGGCCTTTCCTTTTCCACTGCCATCTGAAAAGCCCTAACTTTTTTACATCTATCTTCCTGCAACAGCTCCCTCCAGAAAATCCAGATGTCTAAAGTGCTAGCAAGCAAAGGGCTAGTGGGTGTGCTTTTAGCCGACATAGTCTGGCTTGTGAACAAATGTTAAGAAGGTCTCTTTTTCCTCGCTCTCTGCCATCCATTTTTCCTCAATGACTATTTTCCTAGAGTTCATCATGTGATAACCATGACAGACCAGGGATAGATGAGGGAGGAGCCATCAATGAGAGACGTCATCTGTCCTCACTGAGTCAGTGAAAGAAAATGTTAGGCTGGAATCAATGACTTATTGAGCATGAGGTCAGAGGGGAGGAGATTTACATTTGTCTCTTAAATAGTGGTGAGTGAGAAAGCAAGTTCTGGATTGGAATTCAGCAGAATGGCTTCTCCCTAAGCAGCTGGAAGACCAGGAGCAGGGAGGACATGGGAAGGGACCCTCAAAAGGAAGCAGAGACATTAGCTAGGTGCTGGGGGTCTGGAAAGGCAAGAACCTTCAGGCAGCCTGGGTGGTCACTCGGCTGAGCCAGCACTGAAGGAGCTCTGGAAGGAGGGATAGCTAGTCCTCCCGCCCACACCAACACCAGCACCGATGTGGCTGCCCCCTCTGGTGTCCTCCATGGTGGGAGCCAGGTTGAATGCTGCTCTAGGACACTTTGTAGAGCACCCATGGGGATACTGTCTCTTCAGTGGACTTCTGACTGAAGCAGGTGGAGACCCTCCCTCTCCTCACCAGCACTGGGATCAGGCTGTGGCCAGGAGCCGGATGGAAAGGCAGTTTCATGTTTGCTCACATAAGGGTGACTATTCGGGGCCAGGGGCGGTGGCTCACGCCTGTAATCCCAGCACTTTGGGAGGCTGAGGTGAGCGAATCATGAGGTCAGGAGTTCGAGACCAGCCTGGCCAACATGGTGAAAACCTGTCTCTAGTAGAAATACAAAAAATCAGCTGGGCATAGTGGCGCATGCCTGTAATCCCAGCTACTCGGGAGGCTGAGGCAGGAAAATTGCTTGAACCCGGGAGGTGGAGATTGCAGTGAGCCAAGAAGCTGCCACTGCATTCCAGCCCAGGCGACAGAGTGAGACTCTGTCTAAAAAAAAAGAGTGATTATCCAGGCTGGTTGCAGTGGCTCATGCCTACAATCCCAGCACTTTGGGAGGCCAAGGTGGACTGATCACTTGAGGTCAGGAATTAGAGACCAACCTGGCCAACAACGTGAAACCCCATCTCTACTAAAAATACAAAAATTAGCTGGGCATGGTGGTGTGCATCTGTAATCCCAGCTATTTGGGAGGCTGAGGCAGGAGAATCACTAGAACCCAGGAGGCGGAGGTTGCAGTGAGCCTAGATCGCACCACTGCGCGCTCCAGCCTGGGCAACACAGCGAGACCTTGTCTCAAAAAAAAAAAAAAAAAAAAAAAAAGGCCAGTCGTGGTGGCTCACACCTATGATCCCAGCACTTTGGGAGTCCGAGGCTGGTGGATCACTTCAGGTTAGGAGTTCAAGACCAGCCTAGTCAACAAGGTGATATCCTGTCTCTACTAAAAATACAAAATTAGCCAGGTGTGGTGGCAGGCACCTGTAATCCCAGCTACGTGGGAGGCTGAGGCAGGAGAAGCGCTTGAACCAGGGAGACGGAGGTTGCAGTGAGCCGAGATTGTGCCACTGCACTCCAGGCTGAGCAATAAGAGTGAAACTCCGTCACAAAAAAAAAGAAAAGAAAAGAAAAGAAAAAGAGTGACTATTCAGACAAACCCACCAGATTTGCTTAATCCTCACAACAACCCTAGGGACTATTCTGTTTTTTAAGTGAGGAGAAATTCACATAACATAGAATTAACCATTTTAAAGTATAAAATCCAGTAGCATTTAGTACATTCAGAATATTGTACAACCACCACTTCTATCAAGTTGTGAAACATTTTCATACGTCGTTGAGGTTGTTTTTATGCCCATGTTACTGGTGAGCTATTAAGGCTCAGGAAAGTGAAGTGACTGATTCAAGTTCATCAGTGGGAGAGGTCGGATTTGAGCCCAGATTCTGTAACTCCTGTAGAAGGAGGAAATGTCTCTCTTCAGACTTTGATAACAGCCTCTGAACTGATTTCCTGGTCTCCTGTCTCCCTTCTTCCAGGTGTCTTACACACAATGAGATTCATCTCCTACCACCAGGCTCTAAGAGAACTATCTCCCTCCTTAGCCTCCCAATGGGCGCTCATTAGTATCCAAATAAAGTGCAAGCTCCGTTCTGCTGTAACCTTTATGTTGATCACCAAGCAGCCTGTTTCTCTGGGCCTGTGGTCCTTGGGAAATGCTTGTGAATCCTGGACTCTGACAATCCTGGGAGTGGTGGCTGATCCTGGCACAGCTTCTGCCCTTTATCCTATCCATCAGCTACCAGCCAGACTGCATGCCCTTGAGATTTCTCAAGCGGGGTCTGACACCAGCGTGGGCTCTGTGCACCTCAGTGTGTGTTGCCATTGGAACCCCGTCACTCGACTTGAGGGAAAGGACAGCAACCTCCCATCTCTCCACCTTGGTTGGCTAAGTTATTTTAAGGTCAAATAATGGAAGCAGTGCAGATATTAAATATGTCGGTGCCAGTTGTATATATGTGCTCCCTGAAAATATACTCATGGTGTATTTTTAGGTGCCAAAGGGCAAAATCCTATATGTAATATAATCTTGTTTCAGAAAAAATATGTTTATATAGACAGAACAAATATATATTTTAACATGTTCATCTATTTGCATAAGAAAACATTCGAAAAGATACACCTTTAATGGTAATGTTAACATGTTAATGGTGGTTCTCTCTGGCTGATGTGATTTGGAGTGATTTTAATTTTTTCCTTTGGCTTATTTTCATCCTTGCTAAGTTTCTTTCCATAAAAACATGACCTCTATATGAGAAAAAGAAGGCCGGGTGTGACGGCTGTCTGTAAGCCCAACACTTTGTGGGGCGGAGGTGGGCAGATCACTTGACGTCAGGAGTTCAAGACCAGCCTGGCCAACATGGTGAAACCAGGTCTCTACTAAAAATACAAAAATTAGCTGGATGTGGTAATGCACGCCTGCAATCCCAGCTACTCGGGAGGCTGAGGCAGTAGAATCATTTGAACATAGGAGGCAGAGGTTGTAGTGAGCCAAGATCGCGCCATTGCACTCCAGCCTGGGCGACAGAGTGAGACTCTGTCTTGAAAAAAAAAAGAAAAAGAATAATGAAGAAGAAAAGAGTTTCTGTAGGACTCTGTTTGCCCTCTCAACTTGGCCTTCTCTCACAACTAATTGTGTATTTGCACCTCTACTTTCTCTGCCCCTCAAGAACAGGGATCTCATCTTACTCATTTTGCCTTCTCTGCGACGTCTCCAAGACATGCTCAAGAATTAATTAGCTAGCCAGGGAGCGGACCCCAAGTTCTACTGTCTCTGACCCCTCCTGAGTGCAGGTCTCTGAGGCCAAGCCCCTCGAGCAGGCCTCCAGGAGGTGAAGCTCCTGAGACCTCCCAGGCCTAGGTTCCTGGGGTTTCCCACTAGGCACCTTGTCAGTGAGTAAAGCAGTGGTGGCTGCAGGCAGATGCAACATCAACAGCAAGTCTGCAGGCAAAGACGCTCTCTTGCGCTTGTGGGTTTCTTCTCAATATGATTTCATTACTGTAAGGCAGATGTTTCATTGCCAGGGCAACCAGGGGGTGGAATATGCACAGAGCAGCCTCCACTTTGAACTTTATTTTGTTAAACTCCCACTGGGCCCTGAGCTCACTTCCCATTTGTGGTTGCAAGAATGTAAACATTCTTCAAATCTGCTGGGGTTTTTTGTCTTGATCTTGTTTTGTCTCTTTAGAGGTCTGGCTGACATGTACAGTGTCTTCTGCAATTTACTAATTAGTGTAACTTGTTTCATTCTCACCCGCTCACCTTGATACCTCTCCCTACTGTCTTGTGATCAGACTTGCTCCCTCAAAATAGATGGATATATTTTTCAATGTATTTAAAATGAACTGGAGGCCGGGCGAGGTGGCTCACATCTATAATGCCAGCACTTTGGGAAGCCGAGGAGGGTGGATCACCTGAGGTCAGGAGTTCGAGACCAGCCTGACCAACATGGTGAGCCCTCATCTCTACTAAAAATACAAAAATTAGCCGGGCGTGGTGGCGCATGCCTGTAACCCAGCTACTTGGGAGGCTGAGGCAGGAAAGTCACTTGAACTGGAGAGGCAGAGGTTACAGTGAGCCGAGATCGCGCCATTGTACACTCTAGCCTGGGCAACAAGAGCGAAACTCTGTCTCAAAAAAAAGAACTGGAACGTCAGAATTGGAATTTTCCAATAGGGAGGATATCAAAGGGGACAGCTTTAACTGTTTCTCCTCTCATGATGTGCTCTTTTTCCCCTTGGTTTTCCTGCTCCTGCTCCGCAGCACACACAGGTTTCTAAACTACACTGAGGGGTGACTAGCCCTCTGTGGCCTTGGCCTGTTTGATGTGAATACCCTATCTCCCTGGTGAGGCTTGGAGGCCTCAGTGGGAGGAGCAGTCATGATCGATTCCTCAATCATGACAAAACCCATATAGCCTGCAGTTCCCTCTCCTTCCATTCCTTGTCCCAGTTAAAATACCTTTCAACTAGACTCCACTTTTGGAATTGTCACTGACAAAGTTGTTTTCTGGGGAGGTGAGCCTCAGAGGTTTAAACACACTGGTCTTGCCCAGCACCTGATACTTCATTGTTGGAAGGAATTAAATCTAATTGAATAGAATCAAATCCAAATTGAACGGGCAGGTTCTAAACCAGGCTTGCAGATCAGGGCCATCAGCCTCTTAAATGCAGCCCAGATGAGCCCACCGTTGTCTGGTGTCTGAGAGGAGGAGGGCACAGTGCGAGGGCCCATTCTGGTTGTTTGGGGATGTTTCTCTTAGCTCGTTGCTTGGAGGGTCTACCTGGTTTCTCATAGCTGCTGCCTGGGGTAAATGACTGGCTTTGAATCAAGTCCCAGAGTGCAAGTGTCTGAGGGGAGCCTGGGAGTAAATGGAGGAAGGAAGGAGAGGGAGGGAGGGAGGGGGGTTCCCCTACAGTTTCCCAATGAGGAGATAAAATGTAAGCCCTAGAAACATGGGAGAATTAATGATGTGGAATGAGCTGTGTCACTTGTGACATGAGTCATAGTATTGCCCTCTCAGGATAGATCTCTGCCCTGAAAGTGGCTGAGAACAGCCAAACCCAGAGAGGTGGGTACAGTCATCCTAGGGGTGTAGCCTGACCTTGCACTTGAAGGGAAGGAGGAAAGCCAACCCCTGTGCTAGGATACACGATTAGTGCTCATGACACATCTGTAAGATGTTACTCCCTTTTTACGGAAGGGAAACTGAGGCCCAGAAGGGTCAGCAAAAGCCATCACCCTTGGAGGAGGATAGATCTGGGTTTTGATATCACAGGCGCCATCCCCTAATGCCTGCATAACTTTGGGTCTCCTCCTCCACCAGACAGATCCTGCCACCTGTGGAGAGGTCAGCAGGGGACTCCCTGGTTTGCACAGGACCATCTGGATCAGGTAGGAAGGAGGAGAAAACCACTGGCCTCCACATTCTTTAATCCAGCTTTGCAGATAATAGAGCCTGGACTTTCAGCTGATCTGATTCCTGATCAGTTTCTCAATGAGCTGAAACTCAGAGGGAAGAGGAATGTGATTTCCACTCACAATCACCAGACAGGGAGCCTCTTGTGGGCAGAAACTGTTTCTTTCTTATTTTTAGTAAATAAGAAAGTATGTCATATTTAACACATATGAAAGAAAAAGGCAGCATATCTGTGAGTTATAAGGCATAGTACTAAACACTGTACCTCAGACCAGTCCAATCTGTCCCTTTTCCCTCCATCCCCCTGCCTCTCCGTGAAAGGTAACCACTATCCTACAATTTTTTTTTTTTTTTTGAGACGGAGTCTTGCTCTGTCGCCCAGGCTGGAGTGCAGTGGTATGATCCCAGCCCACTGCAAGCTCCACCTCCCGGGTTCACACCATTCTGCCTCAGCCTCCCGAGTAGCTGGGACTACAGGGGACCACCACCACGCCCGGCTAATTTTTTGTATTTTTAGTAGAGACGGGGTTTCACTGTGTTAGCTAGGATGGTCTCGATCTCCTGACCTTGTGATCCACCCGCCTCAGCCTCCCAAAGTGCTGGGATTACAGGCGTGAGCCACCGCACCTGGCCAACTATCCTACATTTTGAGCTTAACCTTGCCTATTTTTTTTTTTCAATTTTAGCAATCTGCATGCATTTCTGAGCTGTATAAAGTTTAGTTGTACTGCTTTGGGGGGCTCTATACAAATGATATCAAATTGAACTTAATCATCAGTGGTTATTAGAGTTACCATTTAAAGATGAATATGCACCTACGTCACAACTCCTGGGTATATATACCCTAGGGCACTACTTCTCATATTTTTTTGGTTTTAGGACTCTTATGTCCTTAGAAATTATCAGGATGTGCACAGTGGCTCATGCCTGCAATCCCAGCACTTTGGGAGGATTGCTTGACTCCAGGAGGTTGAGACTGCAGTGAGCTGTGATCATGCCACTGCACTGATAATAATTATCAAGGACCCCAAAAAGCTTTTGTTCACGTGGGCTGTATTTATTTATATTTACAGTATTAGAAATTAAAACTGAAAAAAGTTAAAAAGTTTAAAAAAGTTAAAATCAGCTTTAAAATAAAAAATAAACTCAATGGATATTAACACATTTTATGAAAAAAATTCTATTTATGTTAAAATTTAGGGAGATGAGAGGCATTGTTTCATATTTTACGATCTCTTTATTGTCTGGCTTACTAGAAGACAGCTAGAATTTCTATTTGTATTCAAGTGTTGCAATATGTTGTTTTGGTTGAAGTATATGAGAAAATTCCAGCCTCACCCAGATATGTAATTAGAAGAGGTAGGAGTATTTTAATAGCCTTTTCAGATAATTGTGGATGTGTCATGCAGCCTCCAGAAAACTCCACAGCATACCCCTGACAGGATGAGAGTGAAAACTATTATGAAAATAGTTTTGCGGCTGGGAGCGGTAGCTCACGCCTGTGATCCTAGCACTTTGGGAGGCCACAGTGGGTGGATCACCTGAGGTCAGTAGCTGGAGACCAGCCTGGGGTGAAACCCTGTCTCTACTAAAAGTACAAAACTTAACCGGGCATAGTGGCGCACGCCTATAATCCCAGCTACTCAGGAGGCTGAGGCAGAAGAATCGCTTGAACCCAGGAGGCAGAGGTTGCAGTGGGTCCAGATTGTGACACTGCACTCCAGCCTGGGTGACAGTAAGACTATGTCTCAAAAAAAAAAAAAAAAAGAAAAGAAAAAATAAAAAGAAAATAGTTTTGCTCGTGTGGACCCTCTGAAAGGGCCTTGGGGACCCCTGTGGGTCCCTGGATCACACTTTGAGGACTGCTGCCTTAGTGAAACTCTTGTACATGTGCACGACGGGGTTGTGCAAGATTGTTCGTTGCAGCATTGTCTGCAATAGAAAAGAACTGGAAACAACCCAAAATGTTGTCTATCATCAGGAGAATGAATACATGAATCATGGTTCATTCACACATCAGAATATTTGTATAGCAGTGAAAATAATGCCTCTTTTCCCCACCTTTGTACATGAGAAGCCTGTGTATTAACAGAGTCCTTGCAGTTTGACTGAGTAGCTCTTTGACTGGTGTACACTAGAGTGTTAAATGAGGCTGAGCATAAAGTAGGTATTTAAGAGATGGACAAAATGAATGAACATGCCCAAAAGCTGTGAATGGAGAGGCCAAGCCAGAGTCACCTAATTTCCTGTTGTGACTTTTGTCATGTTAAAGTCTCCTCTGGCTGAAGCCTTTTCATTTCTTCTGAAACACTTGATTTCAGACTAATGACTAAAAGCTAACTTCCTGTTTTAAAATGATGTTTATGCCACCACAAAATACTTTGCAAATGGTGGGAGTTAATAAACACAAACCCACAGAGAATCCAGCAAATTTATAAAAGATCTTCCCTTTGGAAGTTTGGGAGCACAGAGCTAAAACAAGTACATTTTGTGTTTAAAATTGAGCCTTCTTGCTGGAATAAAAACATCTCAAGGCAAAAGCATTCCACACTTCTGACCCCGGGTTAGAAAGAACAATGGAGAGCTTTGGCCGGGCATGGTGGCCCATGCCTGTAATTCCAGCACTTTGGGAGGCCAAGGCGGATCACCTGAGGTCAGGAGTTCAAGACCAGCCTGACCAACATGGAGAAATCCCATCTCTACTAAAAATACAAAATTAGCCGGGTGTGGTGGTGCATGCCTGTAATCCCAGCTACTCAGGAGGCTGAGGTAGGAGAATTGCATGAACCTAGGAGGCGGAGGTTGCCCTGAGCCAAGACCGCACCATTGCACTGCAGCCTGGGCAACGAGAGCGAAACTCCATCTCAAAAAAAAAAGAGGGAAATATACTCAAGTTTCTATCGAGGTCATCACTGATAAGACTGAAAGCCCTGAGCATTAGTATCCTAGCAGCTGCTAACCTTGTGTGAGGAAGACACTGCATACCTAGAGAGAGTCCCTCAGGGTTGCAAGTTCCTGCTTTTGATAGTTTTGTAAATATATGACCTGTGAGAAATATAAGAAAATAAATAAGTTGAACATAAAGTCATAGTTTCAAACTTTGATGTTTTCATTCAGCCAAAAATCAACAGAACTAATGGTTAAAATCAGACATTTAATGTGTATTTGCCTTATCAACAAAAAATATTATTCAGGAAGCCTTGGTTTAAAAAATCAATTTTTTGATATTTCCTCCTGAATCAACATCTAGTGTCTCAGACATGAAGGGACTCCACCCTTCCTTTCCTGTGTTCTAACTTCCAAGAGTTACCTATGTCAAATTTAGTAGTATTTATATTGATGACCCCATAAAATTGAATGCCGACTTCTGGTTAACAAAGCATTGTAGACTGAGAAATAGACAGATAAACCAACAGGAAAAAAATTCAGAAATAGACCCAAAATATATGAATTAATACTTTAAAGCTGGCATTTCAAATCAAAGGAGAAAAAAAGGGCTGTTCATTAAATAGTATTGAGACAACAGGCTACACATCATTTTCCATTTGGGAAAACCATTTAAATTATATTGCTACCTCACTCCTTATCCCAAAATCAATCCCAGACGAATAGAAACCTAAATGTCAAACATGAAACCATAAAAGTAAAGGGGATGGCACAGTGGCTCACACCTGTAATCCCAATACTTTGGGAGGCCAAGGGGGGAGAATAGCCTGAACCCAGGAGTTCAAGACCAACCCAGGCAACTTAGTGAGACCTCTTCTCCACTAAAAAAATAAATTAATTAACCGGGTGTGGTGCTGTGTCCTGTAGTCCCAGCTACTTAGGAGGCTAAGGCGGGAGAATCTTGGCCCCAGGAGAGGCTGCAGTGAGCTATGGCCACACCACTGCACTCTAGCCTGTGCAACAGACCAAGACCCTGTCTCAAAAAAATAAAAAATAAAAAAGGTACAAGAAGAAAATATAGTTGAATATGTTTATAATCGTGGAATGAAGAAGCTCTGTCTAAGCATGCCATGTAATACAGAAACCATAAAGGCAAACACTGATAAATTTGAGTGTATGAAACTTTAGCCAGGCGTGGTGGCTCATGCCTGTAATCCCAGCACTTTGGGAGGCCGAGGCGGGTGGATTACCTGAGGTCAGGAGTTTGAGACAAGCCTGGCTAACATGGCAGAACCCCATCTCTACTAAAAATACAAAAACCTAGCCGGGTGTGGTGGCAGGTGCCTATAATCCTAGCCCCTTGGGAGGCTGAGTCAGGAGAATTGCTTGAACCCAGGATAGGGAGGTTGCAGTGAACTGAGATCGTGCCATTGCACTCTAGCCTGGGTGACAAGAGCAAAGCTCTGTCTCAAAAAACAACAACAACAACAACAACAACAAAACTTTAAAATTTTCTGAAGAATAAACCTATAAACAAACAAAGACAAAAAACAAACTAATAAAACTCATTACAGTCCAGGTGCGTGGCTGACACCTATAATCCCAGCACTTTGGGAGGCCGAGGCGGGTGGATCACCTGAGGTCGGGAGTTTGAGACCAGCCTGACCAACATGGAGAAACCCCGTCTCTACTAAAAATACAAAATTAGCCGGGCATGGTGGTGCACGCCTGTAATCCCAGCTACTCCGGAGGCTGAGGCAGGAGAATCGCTTGAACCCGGGAGGCAGAGGTTGTGGTGAGCTGAGATCACGCCATTGCACTCCAGCCTGGGCAACAAGAGCAAAACTCCATCTCAAAATAATAATAATCATCATCATTTCTGGAAAGATAGAGTACTATTTGTTTTACTGTGGTAAAATACACATAACATAAAATGTATTATTTTAACTATTTTAAGGTGTATGATACAGTACATTCATAATGTCATGCAACCACCACCAGCATCCAGTTTCAGAACATTTCATCACCCAAAAGGAGACTCAATGCTCATTAGTACTTCCTATTCCTTCCTACCTCTGGCCCAGCAACTACTCATGTGCTTTCTGTCTCTTCGGATTTGCCTATTCAAGATATTTCATACAAATGAAATGATATAATATGTGGCCTTTTATGTCTGACTTTTTTCAGTTAGCATAATGCTTTCAAGGTCCATCCATATTGTAGAACGTATCAGTACTTCTTTCCCTTTTATGGCTGAATAATATTCCATTGTATAGAGAAACCACATTTTGTTTATTTGTCAGTTGATGACATTTGGTTTGTTTCTGCCTTTTGGGTATCATGCAAAGTGCTGCTGTGAACATTTGTATACAAGTTTTTGTTTGAACACCTGTTTTTCAGTTCTTTTGGGTATATCCCCAGGAGTGCAACTGCTGGGTCATATGATAATTACTGAAAACCTCTTAGTGATTTTTGGATATTGTGCCACATGTATATATTACCTAATAAAAATTGATTATTTTAATAAAAATAACCAAGTAGAGACAAATATATTGTTTTATAATCACAGTTTGGCATCCCTGCAAAATCAGCATTGGATCAATCAGTAGTCTCACAGGACCTAAAAGAAACTGAGGTGTAGGAAGTAAACATGTAATCCCATTTTTAAATATGACTCACAGAAACAGTAGGTCTTCGGGCTACAAATACTCCCCGTCATTAAATGTTTCAGCAGCATTGCCCTGGTGAATGTGGGAAGAGCTGAATATTTTCTAGATCCATGTTTTTTTAAAAGGTAAAGCAGCAATTGAAGTTGAATTCAAACCGGTGATTATGTTGACTTGGTCTGACAATTGCATGGACTCTCACTGGGAGCCCGGACTCACGCAGCACCACCTGTGTCCCCTAGGGGGCGAGCTGGGGAGAGACCGGAGTCCCTGGGAGAGCTCTGCGCGGAAGGCCCGAGAGAATTGGTCCCGCAGAGCTTTTACAAAGGCAAGAAGAGGATCACCGAAAAGGGATCACAGTGGGGAAAAAGGCAAGAAGAGGAAACACTGTGACAAAGAACCCAGCGCTGGGACACTTGGGAAACGTATTTTCTCAAGCACTTTATTTTATTATTTTATTATTATTTTTTTTGAGATGGAGTCTCGATCTGTCGCCCAGGCTGGAGTGCAGTGGTGCGATCTCGGCTCACTGCCACCTCTGCCTCCCAGGTTCAAGCGATTTTCCTGCCTCGGCCTCCCAAGTAGCTGGGATTACAGGTGCCCGCCACCGCGCCTGGCTAATTTTTCTATTTTTAGTAGAGGTGGGGTTTGCCATGTTGGCCAGGCTGGTCTCAAACTCCTGACCTCAAGTGATCCGACTGCCTTGGCCTCCCAAAGTGCTGGGATTGCAGGTGTGAGCCATTCAAGCACTTTATTTTTATAAACAAGGAGACCGAGACCCAGAGTAGCTGCTGATGGTCACAAAGGCTGTAAGCATGAAGTCTGGAAACCTCTGCTGTTGTGCAATGCGCAATGTGGGAAGAGAGGCTCTCCACCTCTGATGGGGCTGTGTTTGAGTCCCTCCTCCCTCCCTTTCCACCTCCCTCCCCACTACCACCACTTACTTAAATGTGTGACTCAGTGTCACTAACTTAACATTTCCCAGCCTGTTTCATTATCTGTATAGTGGGGTCTAATAGCATCTTCATCAGGCTGATGCAAGGAAATGACACCATGTATGCACAGGACCTCCCTTATGCTTGGCATATAGTAGATTCTCAATAAACATTTGTTGTGTGAATGAATATTCTCTCCTCTAGCCCTCTCAAAGGCAATCGTTCTGCTGCCCAACACATTTTTATTGATGACATTTCAGGCAGTATCCTTATGAACTCTCCATATCTAGAAGGCTGGGAAGGGAAGGAAAGCAGAGTTTGGGGTGTTCGTGCCGTTCCTGTTGTGGTAAAAAGCTCCTTTGTGAAGCCTGTGCAGCACCAGCCCCACTTGGAGGCTGCAAATCTGTCAGCCGGAGGTCCTCGGAGCTCCCAGGTCCTGGCCTTCTCTGCCAGCAAAGTGGCATACCTGGGTTATGGATCCAGGGGTCTTCTGAGGCCAACAGAGCCACACACACCCCATCCAGTTCCCGCCTCCCTTCCCCAAGCATCTGACAGAGGCCAGTTTGGCTGTTTCAAGTAATACCAATCACAGTGTTTTATGAGAATTGTTGGTCATGCCCAGCTACACAATCCTCATGCATATTGTCAGACACGTCAGAGTGTGGTAAACTTTATTTCATTGCATTATAAAGTTCAGGTCATGGTTTCTCAGTCTTCGTCATTTACACTTTACATGGCACAAGACTTTTAAAATATTAGGTTGTAAATTGTAATTCTCACAATTCCTTTTTTGGGAGGAAGGAAGGTGTGGATGGGACTAAAATATACTTTATTCATTATTAAAAATGTTGCTATAGTACACAAAATGGGAAAAATACAGAAAAGAAAGAAAAAGGCCAGGTACAGTGGCTCATGCCTGTAATCCCAGCACTTTGGGAGGCCGAGGCAGGTGGATCACTTGAGGTCAGGAGTTCAAGACCAGCCTGGCCAACATGGCAAAATCCCATCTCTACTAAAAATAGAAAAATTAGATGGGCGTGGTGGCATGCGCCTGGAATCCCAGCTACTAGGGAGGTTGAGGTGTGCTTGAGCCCAGGAGGCAGAGGTTGCAGCGAGCCAAGATTGCACTACTGCACTCCAGCCTGGGCGACAGCAAGACACTGTCAAAAAAAAAAAAAAAGGAAAGAAAGAAAGAGAAAGGAAGGAAGGAAGGAAGGAAGAGAAAAGAAAAGGAAATAACGAAAGATTTCCCAGAACTCCACCATTCAACTGCTGTTGGTATTTCTTTTTACAACTTTTTTTAAAGACGGGGTCTTGCTCTGTTGGCCAGGCTGGGGTGCAGTGGCACAATCACAGCTCACTGCAGCCTTAAACTCCTAAGCTGAAGTGATCCTCCTCGCCTCAGCTTCCTGAGTAGTTGGGATTACGGACACACTACCATGTCCGGCTTACTGTTGGTATTTATTAGTGGATTTTAGAAACATTTTAAAATGCACTTTTTACAAAGTTGTGATAATAACATTTACTATTTTAAAAATAGGTTTCCTCAGTGCTTAAAAATGATATTCATTCATTCAACATTTCCTCAATGCTTACTATGTGCCTAGCACTGGGGTACAATGATGAATGAGATAAACTGGACTTGGTGGCTCACACCTGTAATCCCAGCACTTTGGGAGGCTAAGGCAGGAGGATCACTTGAGGCTAGGAGTTCAAGGCCAGCCTGGGCAACATGGAGAGACCACATCTCTAAAAAATAATCTTAATAAAAATAAAAAATAAAAACAAAGAAAAATGAGACAGGGTCCTTTCCAGGGTGATGTGCCTTCTCTTGTCACCACAATTGCAGCTTGTTTACGCATTTGCTAAATGGTTGCTAGGGCTTGGATATTTGTCCCCTCCAAAACTTATGTTGAAGTTCAACCCCCAATGTAGCAATATTCAGAGTTGGGGCCTTTAAGAGGTGATTGGGTCATGAGAGCTCTGCCCTCATAAATGGATAAATCCATTCATGGATTCATGGGTTGATGGACTAATGGGTTGCTACAGGAATGGGACTAGCAGCTTCATAAGATGAGGATGAGAGAACTGAGCTAACACACTCAGTCCCCTCACCTTGTGGTGCTCTGCACCACCTGGGGACTCTTCAGAGAGTTCCCACCAGCAAAAAGGCCCTCACCAGATGTGGACTTTACAGCCTCCAGAACTGTAAGAAATAAATTTCTTTATAAATTACCCAATCTGTGGTATATGTTACAGCAACAGAAAATGACCTAAGACAATGGTGCTACTGAGTAGGGGGAAGCCCTCAAAAAAAAGGGGAACTCTGGATGGGTGTGGTGGCTCACATTTGTAATACTAGCACTTTGGGAGGCCAAGGCGGGAGGATGGCTTGAGCCCAGGAGATAGTGACCTCCTGGGCAACATAGTGAGACCCCACCTATACCAAAATAGAAAAAAAAATAGCCTGGCATGGTGGTGCAGGCCTGTAGTCCCATCTATTGGGGAGGCTGAAATGGGAGAATCGCTTGAGCCCAGGAGTTCAAGGTTACAATGAGCTATGATAATCCCCCTGCAGATTAAAGGCAGAGTAGGGAAGCATGCCTGGTGAGGACAAGGAACAGCAGGGAGACTAGTGTGGCCAGAGAAACACAGGTGCTCAAACAGTGCTTGCTGAGTGATTGAATTACCCCAGCATGTGGTGCAAACACTTTAGTTTGGTCCCCAGAGTGCCACAGTAGCTCTCAAATTGTGTCTCCCACTGACTCCTTTCTCCCAGGTTTTTAAAAAATATCATCTGTGCACATGTTATCGTCCCGAAATTGCTGATGGATTTTTCAAGATCTCATTCTTCCCGCTGTCCTCCTTTAACTCTGCTTTCCATTTAACTGGGTGTCTGCCCATGACTGAGTTTTCCTCTTCCCAAGTCACTTGCAATGGGTCTCTGCACCCTTCTTGGTGTGATTTCTCCAGTGCCGACAACTGAACCTGGTACAGAGTAAGTGTTCCGTTAAAGAGCTCTTGACTGAGTGAATGAATTTCCCCTGAGAGTTTCATCAATCCTTTCTACATCCCCATTATTTGAGCCTTTCCATTGGTCATACCCATGCCAGCTTTACTTACTTCTGCTTTTTTTTTTTTTTTAACTCATGTGAGTTACCATCATCAGTTTTTCACTCTGTCTGTTCCTTTTCCTGGATGGGTGCTGGGTGCCACCTCTCAGTGGCATTCTCATTGCACACCAGCGTCCTTTGATCCTAAAGAGGCTACAGATCTTTTAGGGAAGGAGGAAGAGAATGCCTGCCTACCTGCCTAGCACTCAAAAGAGCAGATCCTTCAAGTCAAAACTCTCACACCTCACCTTGGACCTTTCCAACTCCACCCCAGGAGTCTATCAGAGAGGAAATCTAAACACTGTTTGCACCAGTCCTCCCTCTGCCCACCCCTCCCCACACCACAGGACGAGAAGCTACTCTCAGGCAAGGAGTAAGTTGTGGCTTCAATGTGAGATTGAGCAAGTAGGACTCACACTTTCTAATCAAATCCAGATTTGTCCTTTTCAGCCTTGTTGTGACACCTGCATCATATCACAGCAAAATTTCTTTACGGGACTGTCATAGAGAAACAGGACAAAAACCCTGGACTGGGGTGAGATTTGGGTTTTCATCTTGGCTTGGGCTCTTTACGTCTCAGTTTCCTCATCTGTAAAAGGGTGGATTGGACTAGATGGTCTCCAAGAGTCATTCACGTGCCAAGAGCCTAGCCCAGGATCTTGTCTCCAAGGGAAAGGCTGCCACACAGGACTCAAATCGTCCACAGCAACTGCTCCGTCCCCGGCATCAATCCCCCCACCCCTCCCCCAATCCCACACCACCACCCCATCACAGGAACCTAGACGGTGGACAGGCCAGTGGGGATGGTATGCAGAAGTACATCGACTTATTCAAGGGAGCTTGGCCCTGAGAAAAGCTGGTGGTCTGCCAACATTCTCAGAGGCTGAAATATATCAAAACACCCATTTAAGAATGTACGCTGAGAACCACAGTGGCCAGAGAGAGGGAGGATACTGCTCTGCTCCCACCCACCCTTCCCTCCCCACTATACCTCACCCTCCATGGCCCCTGTCCAGGACTGCTGCTCCTGGAATCCAAGGAAAAGGATTCAATGTGTGTCTCAATGACAGGAGGGGCTCCCTGGCTTTCTAGAGTCCTGCCCTCCTGGCCTCTGTTCCCCTCAACCTCAGTGCCAGAGACACAATGGCCAAGTTCCTTTGAAAATTCCCTTTCTCCATGCTCCAGATTGCCTTTCCTGTCCTCCAGTTATTCAGGCTCACATTAAAAAGTATGAAGATGGCTTTGGGGAGGGACTCTGGTAGGTGTTAATCTTTAGTGTAAGGAGATTAAAGGAGCTGGTTTCCTAGGCAGTGTCTGATTTCTTTAGTTGGGAAGAGAGAGGCCCCGCCTTTTATAAGGGCCTGGGGCTGCCAGCGTTGTGCCCTTGATTTCTTTAGAATCCATTCAGACTTAACCATCCTTTCTGTAGCCAGGCCCAGACTGCATCGAGGTCATCTTTGTCTTTCAACATGAATATTCTAGTAACTTTCTCCCCAGTACCCACTCCAGAGGATCCAGGGCAAAAGTAAATCTCCGAAAGTGTTTGTAGGATGAAGCTGGTGACTCATGCCTAGTTTATGAGTGGTAAGTGTTACATTACATGTTCTGCACATTATCTCATTTATCCCTCACCACTCTATGGGGTAGGCACTATTTTAACCCCCGTTTTATAGGTTTTGGACCTAAGAGGTTTGGAGCGGGTAAGTCACTTGTCCAAGGTCACACATTAGGAGGTGTGCTATCCATTGCTAAAGCCAAGGCTCGCTCTGTCCATCGAGCCACTGTACCAAGTGCCAAACATTTATTAGGAACCTATTCCAGGTGCAAAACCCTGGGTGTGGCCAGCAGATGATCAATATGCACATGAATGAAGAATGGGTAGCTCTTCAATTCCAGGAGCACAATTTCTAACCTGGGAGGTGGTATGAACATGAAGAACTCTACTCCAAAGCAGCCTGAAATAAGTGCTATCTCAGAGGTAAAAGGGGAGTCCCATAGGAACGTGGCTGAGGAGGGAGATCAATACACACTCAGAGAGAGACAGAGAGAGAGAAACAGAGAGAGAGAGAAGCAGAGAGAGAGCGACAGAGAGAAAGAAGGGAGGAAGAGGGTAGGGAAGGAGGGAAGGAAAGGAGAGAGAACATGAATGAGATAAGTGCTGGGAAGAAGTTTTCAAGAAATGGGCTTTGTGCTAGGCCCTGGTAGATGGGTCAACTTCCCCAGGCTGGAGAGAAACAGGCAGAGGAAACAGCTCGAGCCAGGAGCCAGGGTGACAGCATTCAGGATCTGCTCCACAGTCAGGCCTGGGTTGGGCTATGGAGAGAGGCAAGCCTCGCAGGTCAGTCAGGATCAAATGCAGGAGAGTCCAGATGCCAGGGAAAGGTCTGGGCTTGCTTCTGGGGGCAGTAAGGAGCTGCTGAAAGCTGCTTATAGATAAAGCATGACAGGCAGGAAGAGATGATGTGAGCTTGCAGAGAAAACTGGTGATGGGAGGCAGAGATGAGGTCTTCACATGGTTCATCTCTTCTTTGGCCAAGGTCCACTGCCAGGCTGGACACTTCAGGGGGCAGGAAGAGGAGGGATGGTCCCAGCGTTGGGAGTGCTCTGAGCATAGGCCGAGCCTAAGGCCCCTCCAAGGCCTGTGGAGGGGCTCAGAAGGGCAAGTGGCCTAATTCTGAGGCGCAAGGAAAGACCTAAAGGAAACACTGAGGGTCTTAGAGTAGGAGGGGTAGTGAGCACGCACAGGGGAAATTGGAAGGAAATGAACCATTCTGGGACATGGGGAGGAAGAACCTTCAATTCAGCCAAAGGAAAATAAGTGTCCTTACCCCTTGCCCATTCAGGCTCATTACTTACTTTGAAACTCTTTTAAAGAAATGCAGAAAAAAACCTTTTTTTCCAAGTGCAGTAAAAACTCAATGAACTTGAGAAACCAACTGCCTGGAACATTCAAGTCACTGGGATTTTTTTTTTTTTTTTTTTTTTTTTGAGACGACATCTTGCTGTTGCCCAGGCTGGAGTGCCTCAAAATCCTGGGCTCCAGAGATTCTCGTGCTTCAGCCTCCCAAGTAACTGGGACTACATACATGCATCACCACGCCCAGCTAATTTTTAAAAATTTTTTGTAGAGACAGGAACTCACTATGTTGCCCAGGCTCATCTCAAATTCTTGGGCTCAAGTAATCCTCCTGCCCTGACCTCCCAAAATGCTGGGGTTACAGACGTAAGCCACAGCGCCTGGCCCTGCGATTGTTTTTTGATTCAATCTTCGAAGTAGAATAGGTAAATGACCACAGACAAGTTAGTATCAGGATGTTAATCACAGAAAGACCTACTATGGGTGACCACAGAGTCAGCAACATAAGCAGAAGGTGACTCAACCCAGGACCCATTTGAGGGGGATGGAGGAGGCAACCCTGACTAAAAGTTTGCTCCACCCTTTTAATGTTTTTGTAGGCCCTAAGTCCTGAAGACCTTATGGAATCCTCCTCTAATATATAATTAAACATTTTAAAATAAAAATAGGCTGGTGCAGTGGCTCACACCTGTAATCCCAGCACTTTGGGAAGCCAGGGCAGGGGGATCACTTGAGTCCAGGAGTTTGTGACCATCCTGGGTAAAATAGCAAAAAAAAGTATTTTTGTTTAAAAAACTGGGCAGGTGTAGTAGCATACATCTGTAGTCCCAGCTACTCGGGAGGTTGAGGCAGGAGTACTGCTTGAGCCCAGGAGTTGAAGGTTACAGCGAGCTATGATTGTGCTATGCTACAATTAAATCACATCCTCTGATTGCAAAATTCTTAACTTCAATAGAGTTCTTTCTCTTTCTCTCTCTCTCACCTGCTTTGCTAATTCCCTAACCAGCACTGCCCTCACTAGCCTGTGACCATATCCAACAGCCCATTATGAGAAAGACATTTCTTTGGATGTTGAAAATGTCTGCATTTCTAAGAATTCCTGATTGAAAGGAAGAGGATGCTAACAGTTCAAGGCAGCAGAGTAGAGGTAGGAAGAGCTGGGCTTGGGAGGTAAACAGCCTGCCTAAAGAACTAAAGAACTAAAGCAAGTTCTTCAGTCTCTCTATGGCTCAGTTTCCTCATATGTAAAATGGGGAGGAATAAAAGAATAATATCCCTCTTGCAGTGTTGTCCTGAGGATGAGTCCACACACAGCCAGAAAGCATTCAGAAGAGTGCCTGGCACATAGTGAATCTCCTAAGTGTTGCTGTTATCACTTTCACCTACATCACAATGCAGCGGATGCTCATTCTCCCCAACATAGTTAAGTAGTATGAGGCTCTGAAAAGCTAAGTAACTTGTTTTCAGACACACAGCTAGGAAGTAGTAGGATTAGCTGGAGTGAAAACTCAAGTTAGTTTGACTCTAAAGACCCACTTTCTCCCTCCCATTATCCTGCAAATTTCCCTGATTGGGGAATAACATTAGGCTTTAAATTTTTAAAAATATTACTTACCTTGTGATAACCAATGGTACAAAATTCAAAAAGAATAATATGGTGTATAGTGAAAAAGTAATTTTCCCCCTCTCTCTCTTCTCCCAGCCTCCCCACCCCCAGGCCAACAGCTGTTCCCAGTTCCTTGCAGAGCCAGCTTTAGAGTAAGCTTTTCACTGCTAATGCACATTTATTTTCCAGATTAATGTAATTCCCTGAGTGCCTCATCTGTACCAGGCACTCTATCCTGGTGCTACCGCTGCCTTCAGAGGGCTCCTGGGCGTGAGTCTGGAGGTTACTGATGGAGGGAACTACTGTATTGACTGCTGCATTTGGTGCTTTTCCCTCTGCAGCCATCTTTTCCCCTAGTAAAATCAGCTTGCATGGTTTGCACACTGGAAAAAGGCCAGTTCAGTGCCCCAAAACCTCTTCTGTAGCTTGCTTTGCACAGAACCTGGCAAGCAAGGAGCATTATGGTGTCAGGAGCTGACCAGAGGACTCTGTGATGCTGGATCTGGGATCAGCTTCCTCCTCTACGAAACTCCCGACCCTTCCAGTTCTGTAATTGCTCTGCCCCAGGGGCTCTTAGGAAGCATAATTTTCCATGAAGCCTTGCTGCTTCTGGGCTCCATTTCTAGCCAGAAGACCCCAGCTGTCCCACAGGTAACTGAGAAAGGCCAAAGAGCTCTAAGCCCCTTTCCTTACTTTCTCACCGTTGTTCTTTGGACAGTAGTAATGTTAAATATAAATATATTTTCCCCTGCTATTGCTGCCAGAAAATATTTATAATGGGGTCAGCACAGAGCTTTCTCAATGACTTAATTATAAAATATGCTTATAACCTGTGGTGTGATTACATAAATGCACAAAAGCAACTTCAGAACGTGGTGCTGATCATAACATAGAAATCCTTGCTCTCTCTTTCCAAACATTAAGTATCTGGCTGAGGGATATAAAGTAGGGATGTCACCATTTTGGAAGCAGCTAATGTTATTCCCATTTCAGAGATGGAGGCTCAGAAGAGGTCAGGCTGCTGGCCCAAGATCAGTGGTAGAAGCAGGACTCCAGCCTGCTTGATATTTGACTCAAAGCCCCACTTTTTTCCAATGCATCAAGCACCTCATGGAAAGGTCTGGGACTATGAAAATCTATGTTCTGGATGTTTGGGAAATTCATTTTCTGGTCAGCTGAATATTCTGGATAGAAGAATGGACACTGCAGATTAGGGTTAGGAAGGAAGAGGGGAAGACAGAGGTGGAGGTTCCCTAAGCCTTGGATTCTTCTTCCCATCACAATTCACTTCTTAAAGTCTATGAGTCTCTCCTTCTCAGTGGGTTGTAAACTCCTCTGGGACATAGTCTGGGAGAGATCTGGTAACGATAAGGTATGCGTGAGGCTGAGAGTCACATCTCCATTCTAACCCCTGTCTATTTGTTTCTAGCTAGGTAGGCACTGTGGTTTTTATTTGCATTTCTCAGATGACTAATACAGTAAAATTTTTTTTTTTTTTAAGACAGAGCCTTGCTCTGTCGCCCAGGCTGGAGTGCAGCAGTACGATCACAGCTCACTGCAGCCTCAACCTCCTGGGCTCAAGCGATCCTCCCACCTCAGCCTCCCAAGTAGCTGGGACTACAGGCGTGCACCACCACACCTGACGAATTTTTGTATTTTTTGTAGAGATGGGTTTTGCCATGTTGCCCAGGCTATGAACATCTTATAGATTTTTAGTAATTGTTAGTTTGTTTCTTTACTCTGTCTCCCCTTTCTTTCTGTATCTTTGCCCCCTTATCCCCTCTCCCAGGACCTGAAAAAATGCAACCCTGAAAGATGCCAGGGTCCTGGGATCCAGAATCCTCTACTCACAGTTCTCTGTGACAACCCTTTAGCAGCCCTTCATCATCTTACCTTGCCAGCCTCATCTCTCAGCCTTCCATCCCCTTGTACATGACTCTCCAGCCAGACTATCAGTTTCAATCCTCTCTGAGCCCCTTTGAGCTTTTGTAGATACTGTTCCGTGTGCCTGGGACACTATGCACCCTTCCCCACTCCTTCCCCATACTTTACCTTCCTAATGCCTAGGTCTCCGTCAAGTCTCAGGTCATATGCTACTTCCTCCAGGAAGCCTTGCTTGATGCTTCCCCCACCCCCACTCACCAGCCTGGGTTAGTTGCCCCTTGTTTGTGGCTAAGAAACATCCTGTACTTCCCCTTCTAGCACTTATCACACTGTGTTGCAATTGCCTGTTTGCTAGTCTGTTTCTCTTATACCTTGCCTCATCCCTTTGAGGCTTAATCTGTGCGTTGCACACTCTTCTATCTCAAAGCCTAGTGCAACAGTGATATTTGTTGAATGAATGATCTAGCTCAGATCTCTCTAAAATGACAAAAATCTAACCTTCTGCGCCACCTCCCACATCAATCCTCCTCTTTGCCAAGGTCTCAAAAAAACAGACATTTATGGACGGTCTACTGTGTGCCAAGCACCAGGCCAGGCCCTTTACTGGTGATGTCATTTTCACAATTAAAAGGCTTAAAGCTCCGAGTCTAGACAGCCCTTTGACTGAAACTCAGAGGTTCTGATGTCTAATCAGGCAACTAATGAGCAAGGGGAAATAAGTGATACCACAACATTTTCCATCTTGGTAGTGGCAAAGAGATGTCAACAGAATGGAAGACCCGTGTAGCCCTGAGCTGCTGAATCTTCAGTGCCTGGCACGTGGTAGGGCACAGACAAGATGTGCCGAATAAATGAATGTTCGAAGACAGAACACAAGAAGGGCAGACTACAAGCCTAGAAGACCTGTTTCATTCTAGGCCTGGCCTAATGTATTTCTCCTATTTCCTTCATGTGTTATTGATAAACAAAACTGGACACTGAAGTATTTTTGTCATGGGCAGCTGTTCACAGCCCTAGCCAAGGCTTTCCTTTTTTTTTTTTTTTTTTTTTAGATGGAGTCTCACTCTGTCACCCAGGCTGGAGTGCAGTGGCGCAATCTCGGCTCACTGCAACCTCCACCTCTTGGGTTCATGTTGTTCTGCTGCCTTAGCCTCCCGAGTAGCTAGGATTACAGGCGCACGCCACCACACTCAGCTAATTTTTGTATTTTTATTAGAGATGGGGTTTCACCATGTTGGCCAGGATGGTCTCCATCTCCTGACTTTGTGATCTGCCCGTCTCGGCCTCCCAAAGTGCTGAGATTACAGGCGTGAGCCACTGCGCCCAGCCCCAGCCAAGGCTTTCTTGTGATTTCTGCTCAGACAGCGTTGGCTAAAATGGCCACACCTAGCTACAAGGGAAGCCGAGAAATTTCGAGTTGTGAAACCAAGAGGAAAAGAAAGCACATTTGGTGTAAACAGCAGTCTCTTCCACAGCACACAAAGCAGTGTTGCCTCTGCTGGTGTCACTGGATGACTGTGAACTATCACCGGATTGCTGGATTCTCTCTCTGGAAAGGCCCTCAATGGTCATTTAGTTCAACCCCCGATTTTACAGATGGAAAGAAAGATTGGGGCCCAGAGAGAAGTGACTTATCTACTATCAAAGAGTTGTTTGGGGCCGGGCAAGGTGGCTCACGCTTGTAATCCCAGCAACTCAGGAGGCTGAGGCTGGAGCCACTGGAGACCTGGGCAACATAGTGAGACCCTCTCTCTACAAATTTTTTTTTTTAATTAGCCAGGTGTGGTGGCACATGTCTGTGGTTCCAGCTTCTTGGGAGGCTGAGGCAGGAGGATAGCTTGAGCCCAGGAGTTCAAGGCTGCAGTGAGCTGCGATCCTGCTCCAGCCAGGACGAAAGAGACCGTGTCTCAAAATAAATAAATAAATAAATAAATAAAAGTTGTTTGGTGCTAGAGCCACACTGTTTTGCTTAATCTGTCAGTGCTTTATCTGCAAAGTGGGTCTTTAAACAAGAAAACCCCCTCATCTCCTTCATAAAAGGAGATTTCAATGATAAAGAGGAAAGCGTTAAAAGCAGTATAAGTCAATATGTTGATGATGCGGTAATTACAACAATGGCACCGAACATAAATCTTTCTTCAGTTACTCAGAGGCTTGTCTGTGTCCTGTGGTCACTAAATGACTCCATTATTCGGAACTTTGGCTTCTCCTGTGTAATACTGCAAAATCATTGACATGACCATGTGCATGAGGGGTGAAACCTTACCTCTTTTGATAAAAGACCAGTTACTGATTGTGTAAATTTGTGCAATTATTTAACATTCTTTGAACTTTAGTTCTCTCACCAGTAAAATGGAGATGATAATATCCACCTCCAAGGTTTTGTTTTTGTTTTTGTTTTTTTGTTTTTGCATTGGTAGGGGGGAAGGATTAAAGAAGAAATAAAAACCATAGTATTTATTGGGTCCCAACAAGTTGCCACAGTATCAGACACCTAGTTGGGACCCAATAACATGTAAGTTTCCGTTCTCAAATAGTTGAGGTCCTTTCTCTGAATACTTAGGGGACCATATCATATAATTATTGCTGTAATCACTTTAAAAAGGAGCACTTCCAACAACATTCAGTGGACAAATTTTTTAAGATCTGCTATTGCTGAACTAGGTGCTGAAAATCCTCAGATGAAAAAAAAAAAACAAAACACCTATTCCCAAGACAGACTGAAATGTGAACAGAAAATAACAGCACCATGTGAGAAGTGTGCTTGGGTGAGTGACGGAGGGCTTCCCGGAAGAGGCTATGTGCTTCATGGGGAAGGAGTAGGAGCAGACCAAGTAGAAGGGGACCAGACAGGGGAGGACACGGAGGTATGAGGAAGCACAATTTCTATGAGGGGACTATTTGAAATACTTCTGTAACAGTTAAAAAAAAAAAAGTTATAATAAAAGGGAGGGGCCAGGTACCTGTGAGAGCAGTGGGTTTTGGATTTTTTCCAAAAGGTGGGGAACCACTGAAGAATTCCAGCAGGGAGATGATGTGAAAGGGGTAAATGGGAAGTAGTGGGGAGAATGACACCACCAGTATTCCTGAGTGGGGAAGTGAGAGCTGGGTGGTTGGAGCCCACACCCACCCCTCTCCATTTATTTAGTCATTCAACAAATAGTTACTGAGGGCCTGCCACCTACCAGGCTGTATTCCAGGGGCTGGAAATCAGGCAACCAACAGCACTGGCAAGATCTTTGTTCTCATGGAGACTGACAATAGATAAGCAAGTAAACATGCAAGGAAATATTAGATAGGTGCCACTAGGAAAATTAAACCAGGCAACAGAAGAGTCTCTGAGCGGCAGCGGCCCATTCCCTGCCCCCAACACTTACCAAGCCTCCTCTTGATATAACTTTGGTTTCCCAAGGAGGCGTTGCTCCTAGAACAATCTCTATGGTAAATATTAATAATTAAGCCATCTCTCGGAGTGTTTCCAATGAGCCTTCCCTGGGTGAGGATAGTCAGAGCTAGTTTTCCCCAGGGCCTGGTCTGCCTTGTAATTGTTGGTTAAGGACCATCAATTCTGCCAAAAGTCCTAAGTTTAAGGTTTTAGGAAAATCGCGGCAACCTTGAGACCTTTCCTGAAGTGGTTCCCCTGCAATATATGACCTTGCCCTCCCCTCACTACCGACCCCACTTCCATGTATATACACAATTATCCTTTAGGAGAGAAACATTTGATAGTACGGTTGCAATTTTGCATTCCTCCCCTTTGAAAAATGCAAACTTTTAGAACAGGCCCGCCGCTTCGGGCAGGTTTTGCCGCGGAAACCACCCTCCCTCCCCGCCCCCGGATGTCCAGAGGGCTGGGTGGGGAATCCCGGGAGCAGCGCACTCAAGAGCACGGGAGCTGGAGGCTGGAGGCTGGCTCGTCACCATCAGGGCTCCCTGGGATGTAAGTCAGAGCTCCTCAGTGCCAGAGGGATGCGGGCCAAGAATAAAAACGCGAATGTTGTATTAAATGCAGCTGAAGAAACGAGGGACTGAAAAGGCAGATTTCCCAGTGTGCCTCATGGTCTTCCCCCATTTGACTCATTTACTCACTGCGGGTTTCTTTTTCTCCACTCTTTTCTTATTATGGAAACTTTCAAAGACACAGGAAAGTTCACTATTTTAGGGAAATCTAGCAAACGCCCCAGGAGGGCCTCTCTGATTTTGCCCAACTTCTCTGGACTGCCTGATAGAGCTTGCCCTCTGGGGACTATCACAATCGGGACTAAATTAGGGCCCCTGCTCCCAAGGGTTTTTATTCTAGCTGGGGAGAGAAGTCACTAATGGAAACTTTTTTTTCCCTTAAAATAGCTTACACCTTACAAAGCACTTTCACATTCCTGATTCCGTTAAAATCATAAAGCTAGAACTGAAAGGAAATTTAGAGATCATCTCTAGGGGTCAAATATTGGCAAATATTGGGCCACCTGCTAGGCTCTTGCCCATGGTAGACATGGCTAACATACCGCACACTCACCCGTTCATGTCATGTATTCACTTACTTATCAGACATCCTCCATGTTCTACATTGCATGTTAGAAATAAAGCAGAAAACCAGACAGACTTGTTTGCTACCTTATGGACAAACAAGAGGAAGAGAGACATTAAACAAATAATTACACGCATGAAGAGTGTTTTTAGGCCGGGCGCGGTGACTCATGCCCGTAATCCTAGCACTTTGGGAGGCCTAGGCGGGAGGATCTCTTGAGCCCAGGATTTCGAGACCAGCCTGGGCAATATAGGAGACACTGTTTTTTTTTTTGTTTTGTTTTTTGTTTTAAGTGTTTTTAAAAGCCGGTGTTGGGGCAGACAAGGACATCACACACTGGGAGGTACCCTGCGGGTGGGAAAGGGTCGGGAAAGACTCCCTCAGGAAGTGATGTTTAAACTGAAGTCTAGGGGATTAGGAAACGGAGTCTCTGAGAGGGTGAAGAAATATTACATACCAGTATGAAGCATGGCCTGAGTGAGGTCATGCTCCAGGGCCGAACAAGGGGTTATGGATGCTAAGTGGGGGTGGGTGTCCGGAGGAAACAGAAGGTTGGTGGAGCAAGGCCTTAAAGACAAATAGGTTGACATGGAGAGATGGGTGGAAGAACTTGAGCCAAGGGCAGATATTATTGTTTCTCCTCCTCCCGCTTCCCAGGGAAGCAGCTCTCATCTAGTGTCAGTAAAAACAAATACAAAGTTATAATTTATTGGCCACCTAGTATGTGGTGGCAATTTTCATGAATTCTCACATGTTCCTTGCGAGACAAGTATTCTTCTTCCAGTTTTACAGATCTAGAAAAGGCTTGGAACGGCTAGAGACGCTTGCTAAGCCTGGCCGTCAAGTAGGCAGCAGAGCTAAGATTTGAAAGCATGCCGGCCTGCCTTCCTAGGCAGACGCACTTTCCACAACGCATCACTGCCATAAAAATCCCAGGCCGAGGCTTGCTCTAACAGCAAATACCACTTGGAAAAGGACAGATCTTTGAGGACCCAGAAATACTTCTGGGGAAAGGATGAGCAGAGGTGCCCCCGGTGGGTGGATACCATTAGGCAGAGGTCTATGCGGAAGAGGCCGACTTGTGGCGTGGGAGGTAGGGAGGAGTAAGAAGTGATTGACGGGGCGTCCCTGGCTGCTCTAGGACTGCATTGCGGGGAGGTGCCCGGCTCTAACCACTGCCCGGCCCGGTTAATCATTTCCTGACCTTCCTTCCTCCTCTCGCTCTGGCCGCAGGATTGCCACATCAGTCTTCCCCCTCCTCCTGCTCGCCTTCTGGCCCCGAGGCTCCTTCGCCGGGTTTTACAAGGAGCCCCAACTTGGAAGCAATATTTGTAATAGCCCCGGACGTCCTCAAGTGCCCCAGTGAGATCGCAGGCTCGATCCAGGGTATGCCGGCCCAAGCGGCCCCTTGAGGCTTGCCCTCTTCTCTAATCCCTCACTAAAAAGAGGTCAGAGGGTCAGGGATCCAATCTCCATACAGATCAACAAGTTACAGACTCGGTTTCCCCCTGCGGTAAAAAGGGGATGGTAACAGCTGGTAGGGTGTTGCGAGGCTTAAATGCGGTATGGGAAGTGCCTGGCTGGGAGACCTTAGGTATCTAACAAATGCTAGATCCCTTCCCTTCTTATCGCCTGGTAATGGGGAGTTTAGCTTGCCCAGCAATCCCAGGCTACGTTTATCTCACTTGAACTTCCTGGCTTGAAAGTCCTACGATGTGCTGGAGGTAACGCAGATGGTGAGTCACAGTGACAGGATTTGAACGTGGGTTCATGGGCGCCCCTGCGGGCCCACCCACGCAGCATCTAGGTGGCTGGCTAACGCCACGTGTTCAGAACCTAGAAAGGGCTACGGATCGCACCTGCCGCAAGGAGCCTAACGCTAAGTCGGGCGGGACTGCCCTGGCACCCATGAAACCCGCTGCCCGCCTCCCCCGGGGCCAGGCCCTTGGCCTCCCCAGCTTGTTTCTTCGTGTATAAAATGAGGGCCACGGTGCCTGTCTGCCCGAGAGGTTTTAAAGTTCTTCTTTACACTTTGCGGAGCGGCCGGATTTTTACCACGAAGCCACCGAGTAGTCCGCACCACATAGGTTCAGTATCCTCCGCCCACCGCAGGAAACGCCGCGGACGGCCCGGGGTGCCCTGCTCGGCGCCCCACCCTTCCCGGGGCCGGGGAAGCGGCGTGACTAGGAAAGTCACTTCGGAACACAGCCGGACTCTGCGCCACCAGCTGGAGCTCGCCGGGACCCCACCCCGCGGGCTGGGCGGGGGCGGACCCGGGGGCGGGGCGGGGAGGGGCCGGCCTGGAAAGGCGGAAGCCTCCAGTCTAGGGGTGGCTGCAGAACCCGGATCTCGGAGTTACACGTTCTACGGAGCGGGGCGCCGGGAGACGGCGGGCGAGAAAACCCGGCGTCCGGAAGCCCGTGCTTTCTTTGACGCAAGGGCTCGAGACGCAGCCGCCGTCGGCCGAGCGCCCGGCTAGAAGCGACACCAGACGGAGCCTCCGGAGTTCCTCCGCCCCCACCTCGCCGGGTCCTGGAGCCGCAGTCCTCCCAGCTGCCCTCCTCGTGGCCATGGAGTGTCCACACCTGAGCTCCAGCGTCTGCATTGCTCCGGACTCAGCCAAGTTCCCCAACGGCTCCCCGTCGTCCTGGTGCTGCAGCGGTGAGTGCGGCCACGGGCCGGCCCCGCAGCGCACCCGAGGCCGCGGCTCTGCCGGGCCTGCCGTCTAGGGGCCGCAGGCGGCCGGCGCGCGGACTCGGGGAGGGGCGAGGGCGAGCCGGGCCCGGCGGGCTGGGGAGGGTACGCGATGAGGCGGGCGCGTGCGGGAGCGGCGGCGGCTCCTTTGTTTCCCGAGGCCCGACGGCCGGGCCAGCGAAGGAGAGGGCCGCGAGGGGCGGGAGTCCGCGGAGGCCTCGAGCGCGTGGGGGCAGCGGCAGGCGGGGACCCTGGCCAGCTGCGTGCGCCCTTGCCCCGCCCTGCCGTGGCCGGGGGCTGTGCCCGTCCGTGTTGCGGGGTCGCCTGTGGGGCGGGTGTCCGGCCCCCGAGGGGCGGCCGCACGTGTGGCGGGGCCCGCGCCGCGCTTCTCCGCAGACAGGGCGGGAAGAGCGCCGCTCTCCGGGCGCAGCTTTGTCTGGGCTGCGGGGCGCGCGGGGCTCCTCTCCTCCGCCGAACCCGGCCCGGGTTTCCTTTCCCTTCTCCGCAGGCTCGGGCACCTCGAAACCCCGAGAGGCGCTGGGAGCTCGGGCGGCGGAGGTCGGGGTCTTTCATCCGTCAGGGATGGTGAAGTTTGAAAACAGGCTGCGGGCTGAGAAGCTCGGAGGCTGAGCCAACAGCTGCTTTGGAGGGGACTGCTCGAGTTTGTTTTTCAGACCTTTTGGGTTGTCCGAAAATGCGTTGGGATTCCCAGTTCCTGTGTTGTGAAACACTTATTAGATTTATATAAGGCTTTTGAGTAGCTTAAGCGTTTTAACTCCTGCTGGCCCCCTTGGAAGCCCCAGTGCCCTCTCATTGTCTGCTCTAAGCGACTTCTTAGGATCGCACCGGCCACACGGCTTTGCTTACTTCCTGGTAGGGCCCTGGTGCCACCGCTAGTCTTTGTTTATTAGCTTTGAGATGGTCACTGGTATCTTGGGTTATATTAATAGCGTACAATTCGAATTGTGCACTTCAGAAATCTGAAGTTCATTTGAAGAAATATAGAAAAACGGCAATGGTATGATTTAGCTGTGACATGTCTCATTGTGGGCCGGAGCTGGGAAGATAGTTTAGAGAATGCCTTAGCACTTTTGACAGCTTACTACTTAAATAGTGATTATGTTCTTGGAAACAACATCGGTAGGTCCACAAAGAAAAATGTACTCTGGGATAAGGAATAGAAATAACTGCGGTTTCCTGGCGCGCTCAGACGTCTGATGCTTTGCTTGCCTTTGTAAAGTCAGGTATCTTTTTCTGCATGAAGCCTTTGAAAATTAACGGTTAATTGGTTTCACAGAGCAGTATTGCAGTTCTTTTGTGAGGATGCAGAAACTTGTGTAAATTAGCTTTTACCTGTAAATCTGTCGGGATGTTGAGTATAGAACAACAAATAAGGTGTATGGCACTGCTTTACAAATTGGTTGGTGGTGGTACATTAGCTATAACTGTAGCCATTGCTGTGGTGCTATAATTGTAACTTAATTTTTTTCCCAAAAGAAATTTGAAGAAAAAAAAAAAGACCAAAGTAAACACTAGGAGAAGCCTACCTCACAGGGAATGGTGGGATTGCTCTTGCTCATCTGTAGTAAACTACAGAAAGACAACATGGACAATTAGCACACTTCTGGCATTTTTTAGGTAAAATCACATCAAACTTAAAAATGGCTTCACTGGGCACATACATCTAAAAAATGGAAAAGAACTGTGCAAGTGGCAGATGCCCTCTTGTGAGTCAGTCTTGCCTCTGTCAGTCAGGGAGTCCACTTGACTGTGAAAAAGAGATGCAGGAAATTGAGCATCTCTTGAGGAACTTAATAAGTTAAAATGGAGCATAACGAGATGTGCTGATAACAAGAATAAACTAGTATGTGGGGTGATTTCTGTTCAAGGGGTAGGATGACATCTTTGCATCTTGCAACAAAGTGTGTCTGACATATAGCTTTGCAAGCCTGGGTCTAGTCACTTACTTGGATTTGTAGAACCAATAAAGCGAGTTTCGCAACTTTGTGTGAGTCCACACTCTGAATTGAACCCATTTTATGTAGGCCTCCCGTCTTAACCCGTTGGCATCCATTTGTTGATATAATCTAGCGTTATTGTATTAAGCTTGATCTTGTTCTTGCGTGCCTGTCGTTTCAGTGATTAAATGATGAATCTGTGAGTCCTTAACTAACTCATTATCTTGGAGTGTTATATAGTCGTATTTTTTTTCTCCCACACTCTTGATTTTATTTTATTTTTGTTTTTTTCATAGGGGACCAAAAGGGTAGCCGATGTGTTGACTAATACTGTGACTGGGTATTGAATCTGATTATGTTCTTATTAAGGAGGGGAAAATCCCTGTTTTGGCACTGGGACAATAAAAGTAATGCCCTTGCCTTATTTTCTTTGCGAGTTTGCAATTATACCACGGTAAGACAGCCAAGCAAATTGCAAAATGCCACAACATTCTAGGTTCTACCAGTTAGCAGTACCTAATTGGACAAATAGTTCTATTTTCTTTGAGTATCAGTTTCCTTATATAATCTGCAAAGAAAAGGGTAATACTTTGCATTTACTTCACAGGTTGCTGTTAGGATGAACAAGGTAATTTTTTGTGAAAACTTTGAGAAACTTGTATACACTGTTCTAGTAATAGGTGGTATTAGAGGTCAGAACATCTTTGTAAAGAGGACTCTGAATAATTAAATATCCAAAGCCCATTAAATGGGGACTAGAACAGACTGGCTTTATGCTGAATGATGCTTTACAGGGAGATACAGAACTCAACAAGATTACAAGAAGTAAGAAGTAATTATACTTCAGAATTAGCATGAGCTTCTTATCCATGGAAGGCACTGTGTGTTGGGTTATATAATTGTGTATGACAGTGGTTCTTACACTTTTTGATCTTAGGACCCCTTTACACTCTTAAAAATTGTTGAGCACCTGAAGAGCCTTCGTGTAGCTTATATCTGTTGATGATGTTTATTAGAAATTAAAACTGAGAAAAACTTAAAATATGTATTTATTAATATGCTTACAAATAATAATAGACCCACACCCATAACATAAATTGACAGTTTATGTAAAATGTTTTTCAAAACAAAAATTTAGTGGGAAGAATGGCATTATTTTGCCTTTTTGTAACTCTTTGTTCAGCTTTATAGAAGACAGCTGGATTCTTACATTGCTTCTGCATTCAGTCTCTTGAGATGTCACATCATGCAGCCTCAGGAACACCCCACTGCATGCTTGTGAGAGAATGACTGTAAACAAAAGTAACATCTTAAATATTATGTATGAAAATTGTTTTGACCTTCTGGATCCCCTGAATGGGTCCTGGAAACTTTCAGGGGTCCAGGACCACACTTTGAGAACCCACTTGTGTAAGCTATAGTTAACAGTTAAGGATACCTGCTCATATCAAAATAACTTTAAAAAATTAGAGAAATCCTTAAGGCTACCAACGTTTATGTTTCTGTAGAGACCTGAGGTTTTTGAAATGTATTAGCTGGGAAATAGAGCATGGGCTCTAGTAGTCCTTTGCTGCCAAAAAAGTTAACAGTCTAATCTAGCTGGGGGAGAGACAGGAAGCTAACTAGTTAGAAGATACATCCATGTGGTTTAAGGTAAATGTTGAAAATAGCTATCTCCTAATAACGTAAAGGCTGATTTATGTCTAATTGTTGCTTAAGGGATTCTAGTTTAAAATGAAAAAGTTTTAAATAAAAGGGCATTCTCTCAAGCTTTTTGTTATGTGCACATACCAGATGTTATTTTCAGAAGTTGGAGGCTTGGGCATTCCTTATTTTTGTGGGTAAAAGAGTTTAACCAGTGGGAAAAAACAAAAATTGTTTAAAAAGATGCCCTGAATGCAAGTGTTTTGATAACTAAGGAAAGCCAAGGACCAAGCATTTGAACTTGAGGGTTTGGGTTAAACAGCCAGTTAAATTAGAGATATTTAGTAGGATAGGCATGCTAATTTTTCCCTGATTAATTCTTCAATGAGTTGAGAGTGCCTCTTTAAGTTTTCAGTACACACTTGCCTTCATATTACTCTACCCAAGAAAAGTAAGTGTAGATCAAGTAAATGTTCTGCAATTTTGCACCAAAAACTGCAGATAATTCCACCCAAAATACTGGAGATAAACCCTTTTTTAAGAGATCCATTCAGTAGGATGAGGTGTTGATTATTGGTTGTCAGTGGTAATAAATTTGTAATGGACTGATCAGGTTGTGATAAAGAGAAGAAATCAACCTTGATGGAGTGATGGGTTATTTTGTATCGTATTTCTCCACAACCTACATTTAACACTCGTTTGCCCAGTGGACTAAATTTTCTAAATACAATCAGTCATTTCCTTGTCATTAGGTCAAATGCTTTTACTGCTTTTTAGTAACATTCTATGATGTCTTTATTAAGTGCCTAATACTTAATAGAGCAATTAGTAAATATTTGCCTGATAAATAAAGGAACTATCACTTAGATGTGTCTGGCAGGGTCTTTATGTTGAAAATAAACGCAGAGTGAACTTTCCCCAGAATGCTTTCACTAGCCCGCACTCCCAGTATTTTAGTCAGTAAACGTTGGCTGGATTGTGAGCAAATGACCATCTGCAGTGTTGTTATCACAATGAATTTGTGTTCTTTTGGCAGTCTGTATTTATAGATGGGCAGGTGGACAATTTAGTTGTAAATGTGGATGGGGTAGTTAAAAATCAGTGGACAGGTGATACTTTTTTCACATTAATTCTAAAAAGTAGTATTTGAGTTTTATATATCCTTCTGAAGAATTTAAACTTTTTTGGTAATATTTATAAAGCTTAAGTCAAATGTCTTTCTAGTCTTTCTGCAGTATTCCTCCCCAACCCCGTCCCCCAGAATCTTAGAGCAATCTCAGCTTATTTCTAGAGTCTCTAAATGATTGCTCATGGATGTGAAATGTGTGAAATTTAGAATGTGCTCCATGTATGTGTTTTGTTTAAAGAAGCTTCAGTATAGAGATTGAGCCTAACATTTACTTGTTGTGAAGAAGTTTTGACACATTGATGAGAAGTTCTTTCCCTAATAATATGCTTAATAGTGTATACAGAACATCCTTCATGGTCTAAGCAGAAGAAATGATGGAGTTGGGGGAAGAATTCGAACTCTTTGGTGTGGTTTCCTGTTATTTATCCTCAAAATAATTTATTCTCATTCTTTGCTTGTACACCATTAGCCTTAGGCTCGTGTAACAGCCTCCTTTTTCCTCATTGAAATGTATGTAATTTCCTTCTCCACTGGAATATAAAAGATTGATTTTGGATCCTTCAAGCTAGATTTAGAAATACTTATGTTTTTATAGTGTTTGCAGCTCAGTGAGTAGACCAGTGAGTAATTTAGTGTGTAGCTCAGTGAGTCATTTAAATTCCTGTTTTAAAATTTGAGTCCCTCTTCCATCAGGAGCTGATTAACATGTACATTTCCCCTAACCTAACCTGCTCGTTTTTTTTCTTTTTGAGCTTTTCTCCCCTTCTTGAGCTTGTTTGTTTGTTTTTAATATTTTTCCTTCTTTGAAAACAAAATGTTAGTCTCCTTTGATTAAGCTGCAGTCTCTGACCTACATACATACAGGTTTGTGTTCAACCAAGGCATTGAAATAAATAGATTTAGTCGGTAGATTATCATTGTTTGAAGTGGAAAAGGTATGCTGTTTAACATATTTTGATATTTTATGTTTATTCATTGCCTCTTTAGACAGGAGAGCAATTGCATTCTAGGTGTGTTAATAGAGCTTTCCTGGACAGATGGCTTGGAAGGAAGTACTTTGATGGGTTCTCAGTAGGGGCTAGTACTTTTTGGAGGGTGTGTTTGTGATTAAGCTTACCTTGATTGACAGTTTAGAATGCTGAGAATAGCATTAACAACAGTAACAGCTTGTTCATCTTACCTAGAATTGTCTTGTGCCAAGACCCCTCAAGATGCTCTGAGATTTCTGTGTAGTGGTTTCTTTTGAGAATGTAGGTAAGAATAGGTGTCCTTGAGACTGAAAAGAAATTCACCTAAAATTGTTCATTGTGGTTGTATCTTAAAATCTTTGGGGTCGTTGAATGAACTTTGGCTTAGAAATTTGTAGAGATCGTCTTTTTAACTGCTGTGAGTCTGCAGATGTGATTATCTATAGTAATTCCAGATGTTTTCTCATCTATTAGTTTTACTGAGTAGGAAGATAACTGAGAACAACATAAAGTAACTTCAAAGCAGTTTGCTAGCATTTAATCCTGACTAATTTAATTAATTATTCATCCTTGTAGTTTTTCCTATTTTATTGATTATGAAACTGAGACAAAGGTTACGAGTTGCCCAAGATGCTTGGGGAGTATTAAAGATAGCCCAAAGCTTAAACTCTAACACTGTTCAGACTTTTAGCTTGCTTTTTCTTAAAAAAAAAAAAAAAAGAGTCTTTATTTTGTTATTCAGTAACTTAATGCTTGACAATTTAAAAAATACAAAATGTTTGGAACACATACTTTAAATAATTCCTTTGAAGATTTTTGATATGAAAATATATTTTAAGTTCCACATCTCAAAAATTACTTATTTTAAAATTTGGTCTTTTGTTACCCCCCTCACCCAATTTAATATTGAAAGTGCTGGCAAGTTGGAACAAGGAATTGGTGATATAGTTTGGAAGAAACAACTATTTTAAATGTCAACCTTGTTATACTCAGATCTAATATTTTTATAGGCCGAAATTCATATTGCATTAGTTCAGACATAATAAACCAGCCTCCTCACTATAGCTATGGATAAAATGCAATTAGCTTTTGGTTATTTTTAAAATGGGTTTCAGTTATTGAAGTCTCTCCACCCCCCTTATTTTTTCATTTTGTTTCTGTTAGAGAAGATTCTTCTTGGAGGTGGTTTGTTGTAGGGTGGAGGAAGGAGAGAATTCTTAAGGTATAGAATTTTGCATTTGCTTCTGGTAGCTCAGAGATTATTTGAAATCTTTGCTTTTAGTCAGTATACTTTGTTGATTCCATTTAGTTATTCTAAGATTTTCCAATTGTATTTCCTGTAAAAGTTATAGTCTTTAGACCATAAAAACTAAAACTAGTAACTGCAGATCTTTTTTTTTTTTTTTTTTTTTGAGATGGAGTCTCACCCTGTTCCCCAGGCTGGAGTGTGATGGCACGATCTTGTCTCACTGCAACCTCCGCCTCTCGGGCTCAAGTAATTCTTTGCCTCAGCCTCCTGAGTGGCTGGGATTACAGACGCACACCACCATACCCGGCTAATTTTTTGTATCTTTAGTAGAGTCAGGGTTTCACTCAAATTCCTGACCTCGTGATCCTCCTGCCTTGGCCTCCCAAAGTGCTGGGATTACATGTGTGAGCCTCCGTGCCTAGCCAGTAACTGCAGATCTTAAAACAGATTTCCCCTCTTCTTCTTCTTCCTCTTCTTCCTCTTCTTCTTCCTCCTCTTCTTCTTCTTCCTCTTCTTCCTCTTCCTCCTCTTCCTCCTCTTCCTCTTCTTCTTCTTTCTTCTTTCTTCTTTCTTTTTCTTCTTTCTTCCTTCTTCTTCTTTCTTCTTTCTTTTTCTTTCTTCTTTCTTCCTTCTTTTTCTTTCTTCTTTCTTCTTCTTCGGAATCTCACTCTTTGGCCAGGCTGGAGTGCAGTGGCACGATCTCAGCTCACCGAAACCTCCACTCCCAGGTTCAAGTGATTCTCCTGCTTCAGCCTCCCAAGTAGTTGGAATTACAGGCAGCCACCACCATGCCTGGCTAATTTTTGTGTTTTTAGTAGAGACGGGGTTTCACTGTGTTGGCCAGGCTGGTCTTGAACTCCTGACCTTGTGATCCACCTGCCTCGGCCTCCCAAAATACTGGGATTACAGGTGTGAGCCACTGCACCAGGCCTCCCCCTTTCTTAAGATACAAGGAAGTGTATCTTTTCAGTGTGTGCTCTTTATGGATGTATACAATGCAGATGAATTTAGGAAGGCAATTTCAGATTTTGAAAACTGTTGAAATTAAACTTGAACATTGAAAAATCAAATTTGCAGTTGTCTTAAGTGTTTGCATTAGTTAGATGCTTCACAATTAATAAATACTAGCTAATATAATTTTATAAGACCCTTTGAAGAGGGAATTGTGAGTTTATTTTTAAGATAAGCCAGGTTATATCAAAGATATTGTAACCAACTAGATTTTATTTGGAGACTTTGTACTCTGCTTTAGAATCCAGTAGCTCTATCAGTGTGAGCTGTTTCCATTCTTGAGTAGAAGTTTTCTCCTGTTATTTTTTCTTTGTTCTAGCTGGGTTTAAGACAGCCTTCTTTGTAGAAATTGTTGGCCTGTTTATCCTTCACCCACCCTGAAGACACTTAATTTTATGGACTGTTCTTGTACTGCCTCATCACCAGAAAAAGCAGGCTGGAAATTAACTGTCATATTCCCGCAGGTTTAATTTAACTGATTATAAGAAAGTACAGTTATTGTTCTACCTTCTTTAAATCTTTGTCCTTGATGACCAAGCTCAGGTTTTTATTTTTGCTTATTTATTTATTTTTTGGAAATGGAGTCTCACTCTGTCACCCAGTCTGGAGTGCAGTGGTGCAGTCATAGCTCGTTACAGCCTGGAACTCGCGGGCTTAAGTGATCCTTCCACTTCAGCCTCCCAAGTAGCTGGGACTCCAGGCATGTGCCACCACGCTCAGCTAATTTTTAAATTTTTTTGTAGAGATAGGGTCTCGATGTTACCCAGGTCTTGAACTTCTGACTCTGAGTGATCTTTCCACCTCAGCCTCCCAAAGTGCTGGGATTACAGATATGAGCCACCAGTCTGGGTGGGTTTTCTTTTTTAAATAATAGATTTAAATTGTTCATTACTTTGTTTTGAACATTTGTTGCACAATGCCGGAGTAATATTTTGATTAAAGTTTTTGAATATCAAGTTGAAATTTCTAGAAAACAAATTTCTGACTTGGAATGTTTCCCTGAGATAATCGATGGATGACATGTTAGAAAAATGTTCTACTATATTAGGCATTTAAAAAATAACTGTATAATATAGAGACTGTGGGAGCAACAATGGTACAAATTGCTGGTTGAGCAAATTTTAATTTTAGTTGCACACAGTAAAATGTTCTTTGGTTTCATTAAGATTAACTCTTATTTCCATGTGAATTATTTTGGATATTAATAGTGAGATGCTTTAGCATTGGAGAAATTGCTTTATAAAAACTGAAGGATCAGACTTCACCTTAAGTGTATGAAGTAGCTGCCAGACCTCAACATTCGTGCCATGAGAATTTAATTCTGAGAGCTTAAATGCGTTAGTTTCATTTTATTTGCTTTGAATGTTTTGTTTATATATAGTTTTTTTTAGAGCCTCATTTAAAAAATATATGTATTTCTAGTTTTTTTCTTCGAATATATAATACAGATTTTTGGGAAAATGTGGGTCATGTTTGAAAATTCTATCGATTGTAAAAAAAAATTCCGACTCTTGGTTTTGGTTAAATAATTAGAACAGCTATTTAGAAAAACTGAAATAGTTAATGGTTTTGGAGTTTGCAGGTGCCTGTTTTCTGAAATATTGATTATCTATCCCTCGGGCAGAGTATACGTATTTGCCAAGTTTGTATTTCTTTTTTCTATTTCTTCAAAATAAGTCCCGTTGATTTTAAAAGAATAAAGAGTTTCCCAGTAAGTACAAGTGTGGTACTTTTTCCCCCTCCACTTTGTACTTTAGTGTTAACCTTTATTACATAACCACAGAGAATGAGGAAGAGAATTGTACAATGCAGATATTAAGCCTATTGTTCTCCAAGGAAAGTCTTTGATGTTAAGAGGTCCCTAAACCTCTTAATTATTTTATTTACTTGTGAGAGGGGGTGCTTCCTTAAATATATACGAGTCTTTTCTTATATTGCATACACTTGCAACTATTATTTTGAAATAATAGTTGAGTGGTGTTTACATTTATGACCTGATTCATGTCTTTTGAAGTGCCACCACTGTTTCACCATGGACTTGCTTACTCAGGTTGTTGGCAACAGCATGGAATTGCATCAGATCTTGCTGTATTAAATAAATGAAGATATTAGATGTCAGAATTTTTAAGTAGTTCATGGCTTTTGTTTTTATTTTCTATATGATCAGCTTCATAGGGAAAGTTATTTTTGAAACAATTTGAGCTCCTAATAATTTTTTGAAGCTATTTGTGTCTGGTCTTCCAAAGGCAAAAATGGCCCATTTTGACTCTGATTTAGTAATCTCCTTTGGCTTTAGTGGTTTTTATCCTTCCTCCCACTATCCTTTCCCCTCGTTTAGAGGTAGGAGGAGCCCAGTTCCAGTATTTAAAATGAAGATCAAGAGTGGCATAATAGCTTCATTAGGTGTTTTTCACCAAAATAGGTCTGAATAAGTCTGAATTTGTGGTAGAAGGAACCATAACAAATTTGTTTAGTGCATTACAGTTTTTGAGAATATGTTGTTTCACACACATTGTTTCTATATGTTGTTTCCATTTCATGGTGAAAGCATAAGGAATCCATTTAAAAATAGAGTAAAATGCTACAGCCAGTTGGGGGTTGGGGGCAGCCCCGTGGACCAGAATTTGCCTCTGTGTGGGAAGTCAGCAGGACCAGATGCCCCTCTCTTCTTTGGCTCTGTAGGTATCTGGATCTCTTAACATATAGATGACAAGTTTTGGCCAGCTTTGAAATTACATTTGCTAGTGGAGGACACATATCATTAACTCTGCAGTGGGAATAAGGAATTCAGTAGGTGCCTGACCCCAAATGATAAACTGCTATTCTAATTTTTATGCTGTGTAATATATTTTAGACTTTTTAATAAAAAAGATAAAAATTGAGCAATTTCATGAATTGTTATGTTACATCAATTTACCATATGAAGATTAATTCATGTTTTCAGAACAGTAATACACATTTCTGAAATATACAGAGACAGGTAATAGTATCAAAGGGCTTAAAATAGAATTTTAGTCTTCCTCGCCTCCACTCTCAGTCCTGCTGTCCACAGACAATCTCTGTAGGCTCTATTTAGCATTCTCTCTCATATTTACCTGCATAATTCTAACCAATGCTCTGTTATTTCTTAATTTGTCATTTTTAGGTATTATTCCTTGATATCTTGCTGTGGTAAATGAAGACTTCAGTGTTTGCACCACTTGCCCTTCAGTCTCTCCATTTCCCAATATAATTAGATTACATATTTTGGTTACTATAGTGATTCATTTTTCTTTCTTGTCCAACATTTTATTTTTTCTTGAGTCAATAATTGCCTCTTTTAAAAATTGCTTAGTTTACCTTAGACACATTTTCTCTTAAATGTTCCTTTAAACCTGTCAAAGGTCTGTGAATATTATTTTTTAACCCATTCAACGGATTAGATAATCTCCAAGCACTAACTCTTTTCTAAAATCCTTTCCAGAGCCCTCTGACCTCTGCTGTCATTTGAAATAGTTCTCCAGGCTGGACAGTTTTTATCGTGTGATTCCCTCTGTTGTTCTCTTATAATATTAGATCCCTTATTTCTTGGATCCCATGTCTTGTTTTTCTTGGTTTATTTCATTGTTTTGCTGGAGTACATCAAGCTCCTTTCTCACAGGAGGTAATTTTTTTTTCTCTAATTGCATGGCACATTAAGGGAGGTAAATTTTTGAGCCTTTGCAAGTCTGACATTTTTATTTTACCTTTATACTTGATTGCTTGGCTGAATAGAAAATATTAGTAAGAAAATAATTTTCCTTTAGAGTTTTAAAGGCATTGTTGGTTTGTTTCTAGGCTCCCAGAGTTGCTGTTGAGAAACCTGATGCCTTCCTGATTTCCTCCTCCACATATGTCCTTTTATTCTTTTTCCTATAATTCTTTAAGGTATTCTTTTCATCCTCTGTATTCTGAAATTTCAAAATATGGCTGGGCATGGGTAGTTTTTTTTTTATTTTATTTTTAATAGGAAGTGAAGGGATTTTTTTATGTATAGGTTCACATCCTTGAGTTAAAAGACATTTTTTTGTACTATAAATTTGATAGTGTGCTCCTCCCCCCATACTTATATCCCCCAATTTATTCTTTTTTTTCTTTCTGGAACTCTTATTAGTTGGATGTTGGGTGTCCTGAGTGTAGTCTCTGATTTTCTTATTTCTTTGCCTTTTGGTTCTAGTTTCTGGTATATTTCCTTGATTTTTTTTTTTATTATATTATACTTTAAGTTTTAGGGTACATGTGCACAATGTGCAGGTAAGTTATATATGTATACATGTGCCATGTTGGTGTGCTGCACCCATTAACTCGTCATTAGGCTTATTTAACATTAGGTATATCTCCTAATGCTATCCCTCCCCACTCCCCCCAATTTCCTTGATATTTTTTCTTCCATTCCTTCTGTTGAATTTTGATCATTGTATTTAAAAATTTTAAGAGCTCTTTCTCATTTCCCAATCATTCCTTTTTCACATATCCTCTTGCTATTGTTTTGCAGTATCTTCTCTTACCACTCCAGCAGTTCAGAGTATGTTGGTTTTGAAGTTTTGCTGTGCTCCCTGTATGGTTTCTATTTCTCCTGGGTTCCTCTTTTTCTTTTTAAAATGATTCTTTCAGATTGGAGGTTTTCTATAAAGATCTGTTTTGTCTTTGTCTTTTCATATAACAGTGAACTTTTTCATGTAAAAAGCTTTGTAACTGGGTGGGGCTTGTCCACAGTGGGCTTCACTGTGAGGTGGGGAGCAAGTCACCTTCATTGGAGGAAGACACTCATATCTGTGCTGAGAATTTTTTCTGGTACCATTGAGTTTTTCGGTTTTCCCTCTGGGAGGTGGGCACCTGGCCACTGATGTTCTGAGATCAGATTGCAGAAGTTCCATGACTCAGTTGTCCTTAGAGTCCCTAGTCTCCTTGTGTTCAGTCCTGTCCTTACCTGCTGTCTGCTGTGTCCCTATACCTAGAGCTCCTCCCATCTGCATTCTTCCTGGCTGACACTCAGGCCATAGCTTCCTCTGCACTACTAAGATTGTTATTGCTCCCCTAACTTCTTTCTCACTTACAAAAAGCTGTTGAAATCTTTTGTCTGCTTTGGTTACCTCACACTGTTCTCTTTATCTTTGTGGGTTTGTATCTGTTTTTTTCCTTTATTGTCATTTAAGTGGGTCTTAGGTGGGAGAAGAGCTAAGTAGAATTTGCCACGTTTAGTTTAGTGTCCATTTTTAAATGTATATCATTTGTAATCCTGTTTTTAGGGCACAGTGTTTTGCCCTATCAGAAATGGATCTTATTAGTTACTCAGAGTTAAATCATTGAACTGAAATTTTACATTAATCTATTTGAATAAAAATTTATATTCAGATTTACCTTCTCTGATAAATAGAACAAAATATTGTTGCTGTTATCAGAGTCAGCAGAGAAAATAGGCAAGCCAGGGGGTTCGACCTTGCTTGGAAAGTCAGATCACAAGCCAGGCTTTGGATAGGTATATGCCTGTGAAAGAAAGTTGTAAGGTCATTGGGACTACTGCAGTTAATGCATTGTAATACTTTTATTGGACTAGCTCATCATTCATTAATGAAGGCAAGTTAGTGCCAGGTTTATAGGATTTTTGGCTCTGTACATTGGTAATTTAACCTTCTCCCTTGTGTTTTAGTTTTTAAAAAGTATGATCTTAATTGGAAGTAAAGGACACAGATTTTTAATCTCAGAATTTAAAAAGACTTTTGATTTTGATATAATTTTATACTCAGAGAAACACTGCTAAGAATAGTACATACAAAGAACTTCCGTATACTTAGATTTGCCAGTCGTTCACATTTTGCCTCATTTGTTTTATCATGTATATATTTACTCTCTGTTTATATATTTCCCCTTATTAATTTACAGATATAACACTCCTTTATCCATAGTTTTGTTTTTCCCCAAGAACAGGTCTCTTTTTTTTTTGGGACGGAGTCTTGCTCCGTTGCCCAGGCTGGAGTGCAGTGGCGTGATCTCGGCTCACTGCAAGCTCCGCCTCCCAGGTTCACAGCATTCTCCTGCCTCAGCCTCCTGAGTAGCTGGGACTACTGGCACTCACCACCACGCCCGGCTAATTTTTTGTATTTTTAGTAGATATGGGGTTTCACCGTGTTAACCAGGATGGTCTGGATCTCTTGACCTCATGATCTGCCCGCCTCAGCATCCCAAAGTGCTGGGATTACAAGCGTGAGCCACCGCGCCTGGCCGGGTCTTTCTTTTCAATCAGCAGAGAATATTGGTCAAATCAGGACAGTTGATACTGATAGAATGCTGTTACCTAATGCACATTCCATGTTCAGATTTCCTCAATTGTCCCAACAATGGCCTTCATAGCTATTACTCCTTTCTGTTTACCTCCCCAGCCACCCTGGATCTAATCCAGGATCATGTGTTATATTTAGTTGTCATAGCTCTTTAGTTTTCTTTCATCTCCAATAGTTCCTCAGCCTTTGTTTTTCATGTCTTGGCTTTTGGCTTTTTTTTTTTCTATTCTAACATCATAATGTCTTGTTATTTTTGAAGAGTTCATTTCAGTTATTTTATAAAATGTTCTTCAGTTTGAGTTTTCAGAGGTTTCTTCATGGTTAGATTCAGGTAATGCATTTTTGGTAGGAATACCACAAAAGTAATGTTGTGTCTTCTCAGGCATCATATCAAGAGTTGGTCTGTCTTGTTTTTGGTGATACTAACTTTGATTACTTTATTAAGGTAATATTTGGTAGGTTAATCAGCTATAAAGTTACTATTTTCTCCTTTGCTATTAAGAAGTAATTTGTGGGAAATGTTTTTAGATTATGTATATACCTCGTTTCTTACCAAAGTTTTACCCAGTAGTTTCACATCCATTGATGATTCTTGCCTGAATCAGTTATTAGTAGGATGATTGCAAGGTGATGATTTTCTGACTCGTAATTCTTTTACATGTTAGTTGGCATTCTGCTATAAGAAAGAACTTTCTCCCCTGCTTACTATTAATTTGCTTACTTATCTTAATAAGCACTCGGTTTTTTTTTATTCTAAGGTACTCATCATTATTTATTTTGAGGCTCAAATTAGCTTATATTTAGCTGGTGGGAGCACCCTTAAGCTGTGATTTGGGCACGCGCCGTCATTCTTTGAGCCCTTTTTACTTTCTCGCACAAGATGTTCCAGGCTCATCTTGTACTTAGCCTGTTGCAGCCTTGGAATTAGCCATTTCTCCAAGTAGCCCTCATTCTTTTTGGCTGGGAATAATGTTTATAAACTAAGATCTCTCAGCACAGTAGAGCTGAGAAATATAAATAAATAAGCATATCTACATCTGTTTATGTCTGTGTGTATTTGTGTGTTTATCACCATGATTTTATACTGATACCTACAATTTCATTCAACACCACAAGCCTAGTCTTGCCCCTTTCCATATTTGTAACACCTTTCTCCAACAGTAAGAACTGGTTCCCATTATCTACAATGAGTGTGTACTCATTTGCACAATTCTATAATCAGAGAAAATAGTTCCAGAATTGCTAACCCATACCATTGTAAAGAAAACCCCTTATAACTCAAGTTCAAATTTGTTTACAGTTCTTTTTGTCTGTATACTGAAAACATAAAAAGTACTATGTTAAAAAGCTATTTGGTTTAGTTTTAGTCTCCCTTTTAATACACTTATTTAACATAAAGTTTGTTCATTTGTTTGTTTGATTTCTGTTTTAGATTTTTTTTTTTTTTTTTTTTTTTTTTTGAGATGGAGTTTTGCTCTTGTCCCCAGGCCGGAGTGCAATGATGCAATCTCGGCTCACTGCAGCCTCCGCCTCCCAGGTTCAATCGATTCTCCTGCCTCAGCCTCCCGAGTGGCTGGGATTACAGGCGTGGGCCACCATGTCCGGCCAATTTTTGTATTTTTAGTAGAGACAGGGTTTCACCATGTTGGCAGGCTGGTCTTGAACTCCTGACCTCAAGTGATCTGCTCACCTTGGCCTCCCAAAGTGCTAGGATTACAGGCATGAGCCACCATGCCTGGCCCCATTTTAAGATTTTTAAAATCTCATCCTTACTGATTTTATTTTGCTTTTTGAGTATATAAAACATTATCATGGTTCCAAAAGTTAAAACTACACAAAAAGCTGTGCTAAGCAATGTCACTACCTAATGCCGGCCGCTCACTCCTACCCACCCCCTGTAGACAACCAATTTCATTAATTTCTGATTGATCTTTCCTGTGTTTCTTTTTGTAAAGAAAAGCAGGTGGGTATTTTCTTTTTTTCCCTCACAAAAGATAGCAAACTAGATACATTCTTTTGGACTTTTTTTTTTTTTCATTTAGCTGTATATCCTGGATGTCACTCCATGTTTGTAGGAATTTTCCTTATTCTCTTTTTTAAAACAGCTTCTAGTACTCCATCTGTGGATGTGCGACAGTGAATTCAACCCATCTCCTATATGTGGGCATTTAGGTTGTTTCCAATATTTGTAGTTACAAATAATGCAGCAGTTAATACCCTTGTACAAAGATATTTTTGTATTATCAGGTATCTTCAGGGAAGAACACACAAAAAAATTAACTTTTTAATTGTGTGAGCAGCAATATGTAAGATAATACTTCAAGCTATTTGTCTGCCTACTCCACACTTCCACTGTGGTCTTAGAAATGTATCCAAGGCTGTTGAAGTGAAATACTTATCTATCGTAATTATTTTTCTGTTGGGAAACCTTGAAATTAGAGAGCTGGAAGTAGCCTTGGGGACATTTTTAGTCAAGTAGTAGCCGATCATAGGCCCTGGGTCAGGGTTCATTTTAAGCAGTTAACTGTTCCTTGTACACACTCATCAGTGCTTTTCTGTCAGCTCGGCTCAGACCAGCTGTTTCGGATACTTCTCTCTTCCATTTAATTTAATTCACAAGAGGTTCCTTCATGTTGAACTGTTGAGTGGCCACTCCCTGGAGTTATAGAATGGCAGTAGGACAAGACAATTATACATGGGATAGAAATAAGGATTTCAGCATCTGTTTTCTCTGATAGGCCTCAGAGGATTGATGGTTATGAACTGTAGATCGTCAGAGGAATGGCATCTTGGATTCCCAGATGCTGCTGCTGGTCTCCTCCGGTGATTTGTTTATTTGAGACAAAATCTTGCTTTGTTGCCCAGGCTGGAGTGCAGTGGCGCTATCTTAGCTCACAGCAGCCCTTACCTTCCACGCTCAAGTTATTTTCCCGTTGTAGAGGCGAGGTCTCACTATATTGCCCAGGCTGATCTGGAACTCCTGGTCTCAGGCGATCCTCCTGCCTTGGCCTCCCAAAGTGTTGGGATTACAGGCATGAGCCACTGTGCCCAGTCCTCTCAGGCGATTAATGACTTCTAGTCTTTTGTTCCAGCTAGTGAACATTGGAGTAGAAGGGAGACGTCCTCCTGCATTGCTAGATAACCACGTAAAAGGTTGGCTAGCATAGCTTCCCATCAGAGGGGCCACAAGTGGATTACATATGTGTTGAAATAAATGATCCCCTCAGCCTAGAGGTGGCTGTGCTCCCAGACAAATCATTTCTGGCTGTGAGAAGCCTCTTCAGTTAATGTGCATGTGTCATACAGATATTTTCTATGCGTGCCCTGACATGGGAAAGGTTGGGAAAGTAGGCTAAAGCACAGTCTCAAAATTAGCCTCTAAGGATGTTGCTAAACCAAGGATATTGCTCCTTAAAGAGAACCAGGTAATAGAGTGAAGAGGAATTGAATTATTTAGGGTAGAGGTTAAAACCTACTTGTCCATAAAGATAAGCTGATAACCATATCTTAAATCTGGTGTGATATGAAATTCTTACTCACTTCTTTGCTAAAACAAAGTTAGAAATTAAAATGTATTTCTAAGTGACTTGGCTTGTAACCCCATTTTATTGGATATTGGAATATAGAACAGTTCACATTAAAGAACTTAGCATCTTTGTTCATTTGAATTTTGACATTTTATTCATTGCTATACTGATAATGTACTGGCAGTGCACTAAATGAAGTAGATACCAAGGGTATATTATGGTTGATGAGATTAGTGAACCAGGATTTAATGTCTTTTCTGAATACTTCTGAGTTTGATGTATTCTAATAAAGTTTTGACACTTGAGTTGCTTCTGTACTTAAATGTTTTACCTGAGTGGCATTCTATTATCTAAACCTTATCTGTTAAAATGTGCTTCTAAAATGCATTTTTCCTGAAGTATTTTACATTAGATACGTAAAATTTAATGATTCTGACATTTAAGGTGGTTATAACAGTTACATCAATTTTGAAATAAGCTTATTAAAATTGAGTATTTGGTGTTTTGAATATAATTTAATTTAATTCTGGTGTAGGAGGATTTTGAGGGAATGGAACTGACATTCACTGAGTGCTTTCCGTTGATTAGGCCCTGTGCTGTGTGCACTTTATGTAGTTTATCTCATGAAATCTTTACCATAGCCATGTGAGGTAGAAGGTGGGATTTGACCCATTTCACAGAGAGGAGGCAGGCTCTGGAACGAACTTAGCGTAAGGTCATAGAATAAAATAGTAGAGCTACAACTTTAAGACAGTTGGTTCTGAAGCCCGTGCTTGATACAAGTCACATGACCTGTATCATATTTATTTTGAGTCTGCAGTGGAACAAATTCCTACAAAGGCAACTCATTCTGTTTGGTACATTTTTGTATAAAAGAGGGAAGGAATTCTTCTCGAAGGGTTCAAGGGCAGGTGATAAAGGAATTTGGCTAGTTCAGCTAAAACAATGTGGAGCAGAGTTTCCTGGTCACTGTGCCCCTTCCTTTTTAGGTCAGTTGTGGAACAATTTGCTAGGAATTTTGTGAGAAAATTGTGAGTAGTTCCAGCTTACAAAGGCCTGGGATCAGGCATTGCTGGGCATGATGGGGATCAAGTCATGCTGGCTGAGGAATATGTCAGAACTCTTGGGGTAAAGAGAAATAGAAGCAGAATGAGTAATGTTCTCAAGTCTTGTAATTATTTAGAAGCATTTTTCCAAGTTCAACCTTCAGTAAAGCCTGGGGTTTCCTAGAATGCTTATTAAGTAACATAATCCAAAGAAGCAAAAGGAAGGAAGGATAAGGATTTGTGCCTTTTAATGAAGACAAAAGGAATTTCTGCCACTGTTTATGGCACTTTCTTAAGAATCTTTACCTAGAATTTGGGATTTCTATGGAAATAGTGCTTTTGAAAATTTGAAGGTTTTAAACTTACTTGTTACTGAGTTATTGTTAGGAATGATGTTTGTGCTCAAGAATTAGGTTGTCCTGAGATAGAGGTGGCACATCTAGATTTGAGTTATTAAAATATTGATGTGATACACAAAGATTTAGTCCAAAGGACAGTGGCAGCTTAGTTGAAGATAAATATCAAGTCTTTACTCTCACTACTTCTGTTGTAGAGGGAGTAGTATAGTCATTGGATAGCTTTGAATCCTACTGGGTAAAACCTTCTGAAGTTTCTTTTGCATCCTCACTTTTCCTAAACAACAGGTCAGTCATTCCAGTGAGTTGTTTGGTGGGTGTGGATGATGCTGCATCACTGATACTGCTCCCTCTGTTAAGTGGTGGTCTGGTTATCTGTTGCTGCATGACAAACAGCCATACATCCTAGAAGCCTAAAGCAACCATTTCATTTTGCTTATAATTTTGTGGGCCAAGAATTCAGGAAGAACTTGCCTGGGATTGCATCAGGTGGAGAACGTGGACTCACAGAGTTACCAGACGTGTGTTAAGAAGACACTTTGGAGGAGGATGTTCTGGAGTCTTCTTAACTCACCTGTCTGGTACCTCTGTGCTCCTTGGTGTCTCTCTGTCCCCCAGTGGTGTCATAATCTCCCCAGTCTCCCTGCACATGGTTTGGGCTTCTCTCAGCATGTTGGTCTCTGGGTAATTAGACTTCTTACATGGCGGCTGGCTCTCCCAAGAGCAAGCATTTCAAGCAATAGCAAGAGGGAGCTGTGGATTTCATAAGGCCTGGAGTTGCAGGTTGACATAGAATCACTTCTGCCATATTCAGTGCGTTGGGGCAGTCACAGAGCCTGCCCAGATTCGGAGAATGAGGACATAGACCCTGTCTCTCCATGGGAAGAATGTCAAAGAATTTGTGGCCATCTTTAATCTACCACAAGGCCATTAAGCAAAAAGGAGAGGGTTGTTACAAGAAATGCTGAACTGACTTTACCAGCAAATGTAAGCCTACTTTATATAATGATTCAGAAGAGACTGATTGTCAGGAATAAGAAAGGGATAGAGGCAAAAGAGAGCCCCCAGAAGGAGGAAAGTGGAAAAATTTTTCATGGGAAAGTGGAAAGGCAACCAAGATAAACTTTGCTTCATAATTTTATCTTTCCTGCCTTGGACCTGAATTCAGTCTTGGTTCTGTGATCTTGCCCTTGAGTCCCAGGTGGCCACTTCTGACCACTTTGGATTTGGTGCTCATGCCTGGTCTCCTCCCCAGTATCAGGACCTCTGGTTGGCTTCCCAAGCTCTATATTGGTCACCCCTTTGACCCTAAGTATCTCCTGTTGCCCTTTATGAGAACTCTCCTGTTGCCCTGTTCCCTGGGAACCTAACCATCCTCTTTCAGAATGAGCAGCATTGTTGGGGCTGGGGAGACATCAGACACTGATTTTGGCTGCCCTCGGACTGCCTGGGCACCTTGGCAGTTGCTTCATGTAGCTTGATTCCTTCTTTTCTGGATTACATTATGGCTCAGTTCTTGCTCTCTTTTTGTGACTTTACCAACTCCTCCCCCTAATAATTTCAAGGGACTCAAGTTATAGATAGAAGAGACTTCTGAAATTTCAGCATAGAATAGGCTTGTGAACATGCAGTTCAGAGAGGATTTATAGTGTACAGAAGATTTTATGTCTTGCTTTTAAGCATCTAAAAATGTTTCATTTGGAAGGTAAGTTAGGTCCGTCTGGAATATATTTTTACTTATATGTACTGGAATGTTTATAGAATTTTTATGATGATACTGCCCTATCCTCCAGTTTTAAGAGGAATAACAGTTTTACTATTGATACTTTCACGATGTATGTGTGTGTTTTAATAACTGCTGCAAAATTTCAAAATTTTCATTGATTATAATTTTACAAATCCATAGAGCTATAATCTTGGATTTTGATTTAACTTTCCACTCATGCTTGAAAATTTAGAATAAGTTCATTTTATTAGGACTTTATAATACCAGTATCTTTAAATTTAAAACACTTTAAATTTAATTTTTATTATAAAAGAAATAATGCTGTTTGAAAAACTTTTAACAGTATAGTGGCTCCTATCCCCATGTTATTCCTTTTACATAGCTGATAACAGCTACTTCCAGTCTTTAAAAAATTTATATGCCGGTATGTAGTACATACATAGACTCAGAAACACATAGCATGTTATCTTTTTAAAACAAAAGTTTTAGTTTCCTGGACGACTGCTTTGCAACAGTCAGTGCCTTGAAACACTCTATGAGTTTAATTTCCAGCCCTATCACTTAGTAATTTAGCAAGTTACAGTACTGCTCTGTGCCTCAGTTTCCTCTTCTGTAAAACAGACCAAATGATGGTCTGTACCTCATTGGATTGTAGAAGATTAATTAGCACCTGTATATAGCACACAGTATGTACTATATAAATGTTAACTAAATGAAAATGAACTTGCTTAAAAAACATATCCTAGATGTTTCCTTATGGGTTGCTAATATTTTTAGAGTGTTGCACTTTAAAAATTGTGTAGGCGGGTGGTTCTTGAGTTTCACTGTTGTAGCAGCATGTTTGTCTGTAATGATCTTGAACAGTGATTCCACATACTTCCCACACCCTTGTTGCAGTGAGTTGCTGTTACTGATGGGCAATGTGTTTGTGTCTCAGGGATGATGGGAGGCAAGAAAAAACTTGAAAACCATTGGTTTAGAAAATTATACTACATTAGCAGTTAATCTTTTTGTTAAGCCTTTTAAGAGACTTAGGCAGAAAGTAGAGTTGGAAGGATTTTATTTATGGGGGATGATGATATGATTGTTTCATCTAACTTTTGCCAGTCCTTATGTTCTTTAAATTATTTTACTTTGAGACAGGGTCTTGCTTTGTCGCCCAGACTGGAGTGCAGTGGTGTGATCTCGACTCACTGCAGCCTTGACTTCCTGGGCTCACGGGATTCTCCCGCCTCAGCCTCCGGAGCAGCAGGGACCACAGGTGTGCACCACCATGCCCGCCTAATCTTTTTTTATTTTTAGTAGATATGGGGTTTCCCTGTGTTGCCCGGGCTGGTCTTGAACTCCTGGGCTCAAGCAATCCTCCCACCTTGGCCTCCCAAAGTGCTGGGATTACAGGTGTGAGCCACTGTGCCCAGCATGTTCTTTGAATAATTTTATAATTTAGAGGGGACATGATCATCACCTACTCTTCATTTTACACTAAGGAAATAGACCCAGAATGGTAGTGATGTTCTCTCTTCTGTAGCTAGTAATGGTAGAGCCAGAACTAGAATCCCGGTCATCTGATCCTCATCTTTCTGAATTCTTGAGAAGAAAAAGAGCCTTCTCTCCCAGTTGAAACAGCTGTGAATAATGGATGCACTATAAATGGCTTACCTGTCAGTGCCATGTGCTTAAACTATTCTGTGTAGAGACAGTGATGAAGTTGTGTCATAAGCGGTCATGTATGATGTTTTGTCCAAAAATTTAGAATTCCAGACTTGTTGGTAGGCCTCGAATATCAAATATCCTCTATTATGAGATTCTCTGTATGCATACTAACAGGATATTGAAGATCAGTGGCTATGTAGAAATAACATATTCAGTGTGGATGTGCTTTTGTTTTAAGAACTCCTTTTCTTGTGAACACAACCTGAAAAGATGCATGGATTAATTAGGCCTCTATAGGCACAGAACTCCCTGGTTTCTGCTCCGGTCTCTCTTGATAAAGGGCCATCTGCCCTTCCGTATAGCACGGACTAAACCACTTTTGGCCTCTAGGTCACTTAGATGCCTTTGTGTGCCTTCGGTTCTCATCTGGTTTTCAGGAGAGTTAAATGTTTAAGTGGTTTTAGGAGGAAGACTTGAGTCTGAGACATGTTTTAGAGGCTGGGGCTCTTCCCACCCTCTCCATGGCCCAGCATATGTGATAGCTTCTACCTTCTGGAGAATGGCTCTAGCTCAGGAGAGGATAGAGCTTCTTCATCTCCTCCATGCAAAGGAGCCCTCCTGCCATCTTGAAGAGCTTGAGGCTGAGGTGAGAACAGGGACAGAGGAAGATTCTGAAGCCGTAGCTGAAGAGGAGGCAGTGAAAGGAGCCTAGTGAGTATCAGCCTCTGGACTGAGAAGTGAGACACTGCAGTCAGGGTTGGAAGAATCCAAGTAAACCGAAGAAATTTGCTGGAGGACGGGGTATCTTGGTTTGAGGAAATTTTACAATCTGAGTAAAAGATGAGTTTCACTTATGAGACTCCCAGTCACACCGCTATGGCCAAGTGTGAGAAATAAATTGCATGGCTTCCTTTTCCCTGACATCACCTTGAAGTGTAATTGGATGTATTAAAGAGCCCTTATAAATTCCCAGACTTAACTTTTTAAGCCTTCACAAGTGTCTATCCTTATCACCCTTTCTCTCATGTACCAGCATTTAAGACTAAAAAAATAAACACTTTGGTTTAACATTTTTATGTTTTGCTAAATAGATACTATATTCAGAGCCTAAAAATATTTTTATTACTGTGTGGTTTTATTGTGTGGGTATCAGTATGTGTGTGTATATGAGTATTTCAGCTATATTATGTTTCATTTAGGGCTTTACAGACGACCCTGGAAACCTTTAATACTGTTTCCATGGGAAATGTGTTTATCCTGCAGGTAAACTTTTGAATCTCATCTATCTATAAATTGAAACTACCTTTTATAATAAGATAGTCCCCCTAAAGGTGATTAAAATAAATGGTTTTAAGATTATCTGTAGTATTCTTTTATTTGTACAATTACCTGTTCTCTTCTTAACAATAATTGAGAGTTTAATTTAAAGCCAGTGTTTTTCAGTCTATTTTATATTTGTCCTGGGTACATTAAAGGTTCTTAATTTGGATGAAGCATGTATAAACAGAGTGAATATTCCCCAAAGCAATGCCATTTATTGGCTTCAGAATCCCTCATAATACCCTATCCTCTGTATCTTTCTAGCCTTCAAATGTTTATCTGGTGTGACTGTATTATGCCCTCAGAGAGTACTGTATGTTGCCCAGGCTGGCCTCGAACTCTAGGCTCAAGTGATTCTTCTGCCTCAGCCTCCCAAGTAGCTGGGACTACAGATGCAATCACCACCACACTTGGCAGGTAGTAAAGTGGTTTTTTTTTTTTTCTTTTTTTTGAGATATATTAAAAGGCACAGTCCATAGTCACTTGTTTCCAATGATTTTGGAAGTCAGTACTTTATTCCCTTTTACTTTCTCTCCTTATCATTACGTATCTGTCTGTCTAATTGATGCACAATTCACATAACATAAAGTTAACCATCTTAAAGTGAACAATTCAGTGGCGTTTAGTACATCCACAATTGTTTTACAAGTACCATCTCTATCTAGTTCCGAAACATTTTCATAACCCCAAAATAAACTCTATACCAATTAAACAGTTACTTCCCATTCTCTTGACCCCCTCAGTCTTAGAGTTTTTTGGTTTTTTAAAATGTGTTATTGAATTGAGAAATTAAAAAAAATTAAAGCCTTGTGAGATAGTTGATATTATAAGACTAGCTTTATAATACCCTGTTCTAAATGCAGGAACATGAAGAAATGTGTTCATGCACCTTGAGTGGGGAAAAGGAGATCACCAAATTGTGTGTACTGTGTGTAGGTTTACAACCCTAAAGTGAGGAAGAAAGGAACACTTGGTAGGAAACATACCCAAAGCAAAGTCACAGGGATTCTGCTCCAGATTTCTTTTTCCTCGTACAAAGGAGGGACAAAAATCCTCCATAATTAAAAAAATATCCTGGGTAGTTAAAAACTTGGGCCTAGGCCAGGTGCAGAGGCTCATACCTATAATCTGGGCACTTTGGGAGGCTGAGGCAGGGAGGATTGCTTGAGCTAAGGGATTCAAGACCAGTCTAGGCAACATAGTGAGACCCTGTCTCTACCAAAAAGAAAAACAGAAAATTAGCCAGGCGTGGTGGCAGATGCCTGTAGTCCCTGCTACTCTGGAGGCTGAGGTGGGAGGATCAATTGAGCCTGGGAGGCAGAGGTTGTAGTGAGCTGTGATCATGCCACTGCAATCCAGCCTGGGCGACAGAGTGAGACCCTTTCTCAAAACAAAACAAAAACACAACCTTGGGCCTAAACTTACTATTGTAACGTAATTATTTCAGGATAATATTAACCTATAAGAGTTTTTTTCTCCCAGATTTGAGTTACCGTCATCCTTCCTTCCCTCCCTCCCTGCCTCCCTCCCTCCCTCCTTCCCTCCCTTCCTTCCTTCCTTCATTCCTTACATCCATCTTTTTTTTTTTTTTTCCTGAGGCACAGTTTGCTCTGTCACCCAAACTAGAGTGCAGTAGTGCAGTCATATCTCACTGCAGCTTCACCTTCCTGGGCTCAATTGATCCTCCCACGTGGCTGAGACTGTAGGCACGTGCCACCACACCCGGCTAATTTTTGTATTTTTTGTAGAGATGGAGTTTCACCATTTTACCAAAGCTGGTCTCGAACTCCTGGACTCAAGCAATCTGCCTGCCTCGGCCTCCCAAAGTGTTGGGACTACAGGCACGTACCAGTGCACCTGGCCCCAAAGTTCTTAATATTTACTAAGAGAAAAAAGCTTTACTGGAGAAACAAAATATTCATAATATCTCAGTACTCCAAATCATACCTCAAACCATGAATAGCTGTTCAAGTAAGCTGTGTACTAGTTTACTTTTTATTTTGTAAGATACATTTTATTGGGCTTTCTCTTCAAACTGTAAAAACATCATATTCTCATTGCTGTAAGGCAAACACCATAGGGGAGTACAAATAAAAAGCCAGCAGTCTCCCTCACAATAAGTCTTCCCAAGTACCTGCCTAACAGAGTTGTTTTAGCAGTTTGGTAGGTATTCTTCCGCACCTTTCTGTCATGTGGTTTACGTGCACATGTAACAAAATTAGACCCAGTTGAGTAAAAAATGCCTTCAGTGCCTTCAAGGATGGCCCTCATACTGAATGTAAATATGCGAATGCACTAAGAAAAGGGAAGGCCTTTGGCAACTAGAAGGGGATTTCACCACTCAAAGCTTTCATGTTCAAAACTAAAGTTCTGTACTGGCCAAACTGTAGAGTCCCTCAGGCAGTAATCACTGTGCTCTCCTATTCTCACCTCCTGTCCCCTCCTCTCATGCAAATATAGGATGAACATAGTCAAAGATTTATTTAACTCATTAATGAGGGAACCAGTAGTAAGATGGTAAAGCTGGCTCCAAGAGTATTTGGGAACTGAGTGTGTATAGACAGTGAAGAAAAAAACATTGAAATAAAATTGGTAGGTTAGATACAAAACTGGTTAATATCCTACAGGGTAGTATAATTGTAACCTTTGGAGTCTGCTGGACAGAAATTATGTAAAAACTCCATTACCTGTAATTTCATAGAATTTGGGTCCTGGTCAAGTAAGCAGGTCAGTGGTACTATAATTAACTATCTTTGGGAGGAGCTATTAAACAGTGTTTCAGTGTACGCTGAAAGGGCTTACAGTTCTCCATTCACCTTATTTCCAGTTTCGGTTAATTTTTTTTTAACAGTGAGAAAGGCCTGTTGTGATACGGGATTGGGCAAGAGAAATGTAGGTAGAGATCAGATCTTGGAAGAGATGGGTATCCTAAACTAAGAAATTTAAACTTTCTCTTCCACAAATATTTATTGAGCATCTACAACGTGCTAGGTGGTTACTATGATCCTGTGTGGTTGTGCTGCAGTGCTCCTCCCATGCCTCTAGGAGGCTGACTAGTGGCTCCCAAGGGGCTGTATTAGGAAGTCACCTGGGAAGCTACTTTGCGCAAAATATACATGTTCTTTGTACTTCCTTCCCCACGCCAATGTAGATAACCTTGAGTAGAACATAGGTGTTTTCAAAAAGCTTTCCAGGTGATTTTGATATCCCTCCCTTTTAAATATCATTGTTACTTATATAGGACTTATTAAAAAATGAATGAGTAGACAGCAAGCAAAATTTTAATCAATATTTCATTTCCATACCTTCTTGCCTTCCCCACCACTATAATACATCAACTAAAATCATTAATGTCTTGATTATACCATCAGCAAGAATTATGTGCAGTTGTCATATATTTTATGCAACTAAGAATTACTTTGGGAAAACTAGGCTCAGATTTCCTAATTGTAACCTTATGTTGTGCCTCTTAGTAAATAAACTGAAAGAATTGTCATTTGTAGTGGTCTATGACCTACATGGCAATGACATGTGATTAAATGACTAGACTTAAAAAATGTTTTTTAATAGGAAAATAGACTGTCGTTAACTTGTCAGAGACTGTAGCAAAAGGGAATAAGTAATAAAGGAGACAAGTGTATATGTGTTTAACGTGGTTAAGCTATTTGGGTTGAGTCAGCAATTAAAATGAGCCGCTGTTGTGGACATGCATTTAAATTCTTTTCAGTATAACTTAATTAGGCAGCCATTTTGTGTAAATGCATTCACAAAGCACGGATTTGCAACTTCAGCATTCCTACATAGCCATGGAATTTATAACTTAATCACAGGAAAATGGGGAGAAATTGGGAAATAACATGATGCAATTGGTATATTGTGTATTTTTCTTTTTATTAGTGTGCCGGTCCAACAAAAGCCCTTGGGTCTGTTTGACTTGTTCAAGTGTCCACTGTGGAAGGTAGGTGACATACTTATTACTTCACTGACCTATTTGCTTTTTAAAATTTGTCTTTAAGCTTTATGTCAGAGTTTTATTGATTTGGATTTAGTACCATTGTTAATCATAATGCATAATTCCCTGTAGGGCTTCCTTCTCCAGTTGAATCCCTTTGTTCTGTGATACAACTGGGGAAAACATCTAGGGGAGAAAAACTCTTCGTATTGATACTCAGAAGAATTAGTTTGATGACCAAGACAATCTGCTAATAATATTTGAGTGGAAAGATGAGCTAAGGGAATTCTTGAAGTACAAATTTACCTAATGGTTGTTTTTTAAACCTTTTATTAGGGTAAAATTTAAGCACACACAAACATAGAGATGGTATAATTGAACCCCATGTCCCATTCACCCAGCAATTATCAACACATGGCAATCTTTTTTCACCTATTACCTACCCCATCCCCACCTCTACTGACTTTTGTATCAAATCCCAGGTATGATATCATTCTTCTGGGAAAGAAAAAAACCCTTAAAATATTTACAGATAAACGAATTCCTTTTGAAAATGATCTCATTGTGGAGTTCATTATTAATTCCTAAGATATACCAAATGTTTCATTGTTCCATTAAAATACTACTTTCTATGGACAACATCTTCTACCTCACCCCACCCCAGTTTAAACCTGAGCATTTCTTCCCAGTTCTTGGCCTCAAAATAATATTATTTAAATAGTAACTCTTCTAGCACAAACTCAAGTATATTGTCTGTGGTTTTTTGCCTGGTAGCAGCACATTTATTTCCACTGCTCTTCTAGCTTAGAAAATCTACTTTGAATTTACTTTAGAAGTTAATAGCTTAGCAGTAAGGAAATGAGAAATCATACTGAGTCCCATAGGCTGAAATCTATATTGTATTTATCCAGAATATTTCCCCATTGTTATTTTTAAATCCTCATTGCATGAAGAGAGCATCTTTCTTTGTTCAGTGAAGTTTTGATTTTTCACATTTTGAGTCCTGGAATTGAGTATTTTTTCCATGTGCACTTAAGAGTACCTTTGGAAAATGTTAACTGCATTTCTTAATTGTGGCTGTTGTGGTTTTGAAATCTCTAGGATTTGGGGAACCTGAAAATACTTTGTACAGATAACTTTTTTTTAAAAAAGAAGAAAAGTAGAAGCACTTAAATTCTGCAGTTGAAGAGACAGATTCCTCTCCTAGATTTTGAGAGGTGAGAATTATAATGCAATAAAATTTATGTAGTTCTGTTCTCCAGAAGTCTCGTAGTGCTCTACAACCTAAATCTTGATGGTCATGTGCCAATCAAAAGACCTGACAAACTCAAAAATTAGAGATTAATGTTCTTAAACAACAAACTAAAATAGGTTTTGGAAAAATAAATGGAAAAATTTCTAGCCTCTGCAGGTGGACTGTTGTCAATTGCAAACAAGCTTAAATTTAGAAATTTGACATAGTTTTGGAGAAATGTGATGAAGTAGATTAAACAGAAAATTCAGAATAGCCTGAATTTGGATCTCCATTTTACATAGCTGATTGGTTAATATTCTTTTATCATGTAATCCCAGGTGTTGATTGCCAAATTTATTGATTTTTTGGTAATTTTAGACTGCTTGTCTTTAGGGAAATCGTAAAGTGAATATTCTTCCCACTAGGAAACATAGTTTATCAATAGCATATATGGGTTATAAATTCTGCTGGTCTTCATGACACCATCCCATTTAAGTTATTTTTCAAATTTTTGTGATTGTTATTAGAAATTTGTGACATATGTAGTGAAATTTTTCCTCTTGTGCTGTAGACCAAAATGTCTAGTTAAAATCCAAAACTAGATGAGGGAAATATTTAATTTCCTGTTAGCTAGTTTATACAAAACTGTTAACCTCTTCGACTAATATATTTAGGTATCAGGCAAAACATTGCTAATCTTAATATCAGTATTCCTACTTCTTAGTTTATCTCTGATATGCACCGGAACTATTTAAACATCTAGTACATTTAGAAACTACAGCATTGTAGTTAAATGGACTATGTAAAGATGATGAGTTCTCAAAAATGTGCAAGTGGTAATGTGCTTATTCAGTATTATTACTGTAGCAATGAATTACTGTTGTTTTTCATGGTTTAGTATTATAAATATATATGATAAGAATAGGTGATTAAGATTAAGTATTGAACCTATATGATACCTTAGAGTTTGCCTTTTATTTGTTTATTTATTTATTTATTTATTTATTTACTTATTGGACAGAGTCTCACTCTGTCACCCAGGCTGCAGTGGAGTGGGGTGATCTCGGCTCACTGCAACCTCTGCCTCCTGGGTTCAAGTGATTCTCATGCCTCAGCCTCCCAAGTAGTGGGATTACAGGCATGTGCCACCAACCATGGCTAATTGTTGTATTTTTAGTAGAGATGGGGTTTCACCATGTTGGCCAGGCAAGTTTCAAACTCCTGACCTCAAGTGATCTGCCTGCCTTAGCCTCCCAAAGTGTTGAGATTACAGGCGTGAGCCACTGCACCCAGCCTTACATTTTATTAAATAGCGTTTCTTGACCTATACAGTTACATGTTATCTTGAAATATGTGCTAAATGTGCCCACCTTCTAAGCAATTGTTGTTTGGATTCTGAATGAGTAGTAGTTAAGCACAGAAAGAAGAATGCTAATAAAATGATTGCTAACATTCATTTGTTATGAACTATGGATTATGTAATCACCTAACAACCCATGAGACACAAAGTACTATTACGTCCATTTTACAAATGAGAAAACAAGTACAGAGAGGTTAAATAATTCATCCAAGCTCTCATGGCCAGGATGTGATAAAGCCTAATTTTGAATCCAGGCAGTCTAGTTTTTGAGCTTATCCTCTTAATCATTATTTGACTCTAAAATTCATTTTAGTACAGTTTTATGAACAGAGGACTCAGGTATATGCAAAAGTGTAAAGTACAGGGAAAAAATGGAGAAAGAACGTGATCACATTCCAAGTTGAGGTTAATAGTGCCTTGAATGTGCCCAGTTTTCCTGGGTAGAGGGGCTAGGTTTGAAGTTGATCCTTCCCAGTTACGGTAACTCTCCTACTTCCTCCAAGGTAAGTGTTTTTCCTGGTGCAGTTAAGGTGCCTCATGATGAAAATGTCATCTAACTCTCTGCATCTGTTTATTTTGGTACCATTTAACCAACATTTGTTTTGACTGAGTTTTCAAGTAGGCCTTGCCTTCCACACATTGGCTGCTTTCTAGGAACTGGGAAATGTTGCTTCTTAAGGGTCTTCACGTTGGTGGTTAGTGACAGAATTGTGCAGTCTCTAGACGAAGGTGTAGATGGATTTGGGTGTACACCATGTGCATATGGAGCCTTATTTCAGTTTCATTGTGCCTGCTGTAATACTAAATCTGAGTTGGAATGTGTTACACAATTTTTATGAACATAATCAACTTTTGATTATCTTTGTCCATGTAGAGAAATAGCAGTTTTTGTAAGCTTAAGGTGATTTGTGTTTTGTTTGGATTATTTCTAAACAAACATGTTTCCATATGAGAGGAGCTGATTATTCAGGCATTCAAATAAAAGACTGGAAGCTATATTGGTGAGAGATGGAACATTGTCCTGTTTCTCTGACTCTCACACTTTATGTTAAGCAGCAACTTGAGCAGAGTCTATGGCCCTGTGGGAAGTGGCTGAGTAATTTACTTAACAGAGCTTGTCTTTGATAATAGCCCAAGTTGGGGGTTAGTGGTCTGAGAGAAAAAAAAAAAAAGCTATAGTGAAAGCAGCAGCAAAGGAGTTTATAAATAATATCTATGGTACTGAAACCAATTTGCATAGATTATGCCTTTCCTTGCCTGAGCCTACTCTTGTATATAATTAAAAGTTGACTATAGTATTTGGTTGCAAAAAAGGAGCATAGGCGGGTGGATCATGAGGTCAGGAGATCAAGACCATCCTGGCTAACATGATGAAATCCCATCTCTATTAAAAATACAAAAAAAAAAAATTAGCTGGGTGTGATGGTGGGCGCCTGTAGTCCCAGCTACTCGGGAGGCTGAGGCAGGAGAATGGTGTGAACCTAGGAGGTGGAGCTTGCAGTGAGCCAAGATCGTGCCACTGCACTCCAGCCTGGGCAACAGAGCGAGACTCCGTCTCAAAAAAAAAAAAGAGCATATTTTAAGTATTCAGTATAATAAATCACTACATGATTGACTGCTGTTATAGGATTTCTTTATTTTGATTTGATTAATATTTAATTTCATCATTTCCTACTCCTTTAATTTCCAAAGCAATATTTAAAGTAAATTTTCATTTGGTTTTTGTAAGGTATGTGAATGGCCATGCAAAAAAACATTATGAAGATGCACAAGTACCTTTAACCAACCATAAGAAATCAGAAAAGCAAGATAAAGTTCAGCACACAGTATGTATGGATTGCAGTAGCTACAGTACATACTGGTAAGTTAACATTTTCTGGAAATGAGATTTCTTACTGTGTGCAAGTGTGCTCTCCTCCCCTCCCTTCCCTCAGTCTCTAAGCCAGTTACTACTGCTGTTACCTCCTTTTACAACTGTTAGGATTCACGGAGGACTGGAGCCATTGGGAACGCCTATCTTTATTCATTCAGATTTTACTTTGCATTGTTCCTTTCAACTTCTAGGCCTCCTTTTCTCTCCCACCTCCCGTTCCTCATCCATCCTAGCTTCAAGGAAATAGATCTATTTCTTTGTTATTATAATTTCTTTTTCTTGTGTTATTTTAAATTGAAGAACAATGTGATAACCCATGTTCAAAATAACTCAACAAACCCATGTTCCTCCTGTCCCTGGTCCAGTTAACATTTTTGTCATATAATCTTAAAAATTTTAACTGCTTTGTTTAAAAAAAAATTATTCTGACAGTCTCCCTTCTCCCAGTGCAGTTCCACGCTCCTCTTCTACTCCCCCAAAGGTGAATGTCAAGAATTTGGTACGTAGCTTTCCAGGCTATTTTTTCTTTTTTTTGAGACAGAGTTTCGCTCTTGCTGCCCAGGCTGGAGTGCAATGGCGCAATATCGGCTCACCTCAATGTCTGCCTCCCGGGTTCAAGCAACTCTCCTGCCTCAGCCTCCCAAGTAGCTGGGATTACAAGCATGTGCCGCCATGCCCAGCTAATTTTGTATTTTTAGTAGAGACGGAGTTTCACCATGTTGGTCAGGTTGGTCTCGTACTCCTGACCTCAGGTGATTTGCCTGCCTCGGCCTCCTAAAGTGCTGGGATTAACAGGCATGAGCCACCGCTTCCAGTGCTATTTTTTTTTTTTTTAGTATCCTTTAAAAAGAGGTTGGCAACAGGTTCTGTTCCCTCTTTGTAATATAATATTCATGTCTATTTCATATAAATGACAAAGTAGGTATCTATTTTTGTGACTACTTAGAACTAGGTTATTTAGGTTGTGAGTGATGCTTAATGATCCATATCCATTTGGTTATGCTCAGAAAGTATATTCTGCAGTTTTAACTTTGGTGTGAAGCAAATTTCTTTCTGTGACTAGTAAATTATGATGAACAATTCTTGTTTTAATCAGCTTTCCCTTGATTCAGAAGGTTGTTGACATTAAAGGAGGGGATATAAGCCATTTAAAGGATCACTTTGGAGATATTTTTTATTGTCAGACAGCCCTTGAATGTTACATGAAGGCATTACTGGGTAGAGATGGGGATTTAGAGAAGTCCAGATAACAATTTTAATTTACTTTCTACTGAAATGGTGTGAGAATCCTTTCCACATTGTCCTTAGTCGATAATTGTATGATAGGAAGGTGCCCATCAAAAGGAAGAAGAAAGGGTCAGTGGTTTGCCAGGTCTTTTACTTTTTTTTTTTTTTTTTGAAACAGTCTTGCTCTGTCGCCCAGGCTGGAGTGCAGTGGCCGATCTCCGCTCACTGCAAGCTCTGCCTCCTGGGTTCAAGCCATTCTCCTGCCTCAGCCTCCTGAGTAGCTGGGACTATAGGCACCTGCCACCACTCCCGGCTAATTTTTTTGTATTTTTAGTAGAGACAGGGTTTCACCGTGTTAGCCAGGATGGTCTCAATCTCTTGACCTCATGACCCGCCTGCCTCGGCCTCCCAAAGGGTCTTTTACATTTTTACAGGTTCAACACCATTAAATTTTGGCTATTGAATAGACATCTTAAGGGTTATTCATTCAGATCACTACTGTTTTTAGTGATCCTTTGTGTGGAAGATGTCCAGACCTGGAGAGAGAGAAGCTAGAGGTAGGTGAAGATTTCAGTAGAAATGAAAATCTTCCCAAGATTTTTACACAAAGGTTAGTGCTCAGTTTATTGTTATTTGCTGTTGTGAAACACACCTACCAAAGTTAAGCATTAGCCAGGCAGTTAAAGCGTTTGCATTCCCCTTTCCCTCAGGTTTTCTTTTTTTTTTTCGCCCTTTCCCTCAGGAAACTTATATACTAGAGTGATGTGGCTACGTAATTTGCAGAACTGTGTGTTTCTGTGTGTTTGTATTTCTGCTTTAGACAACAGAAATTAATATAATTCTTGAAGTATCTGTCTCACATTGTCATGGGTCACATCATCCTATAGTACCAGATACTGAGAACATTGATTTTTGATTTTCAGTTAGCAATGTGAGTGAATTGCTTAATGGAGGACTTTGGAAATACAATTAAATCGCTGTGTGCTATAACAAGTTTGCCATTGTTTTCTTGCTGTTGGTAAGATTCTGAGGAAACTAACTGTTAAAGAAAATTTTAAGAATTATCTTAATGGAATGGAATTATATTCAAGGCCCTTTAAAAATGTAGATTATATATTTTAATATCTTTATACATTGTATTTTAGGGGCATATTTTATTAACTAGAAATGGGAATTGAATTGGTTTTATTTCGCTATGGTCTGCTAAAGTATATGTCGTTTCATGGTGGAATTGGAATTAAATGGAAAATCTTGAACCTTGGGGAGTATACACTATGATGGAGTCTTCTTGGCCGATTGCCAGGCTTTTGTGTGAAGTTGTACAGAGCTGCAAGTGTGTGGACACCCAGAGCTGCTGAATTCAGGAAGGGAGCTGCAGCTGGTCACATTGTCGGCTCACTTGTGGGTTTTAGAATAAAATGCTAGGGAATCACCCCGTAGCATTACACTGATGGCCTAAAAGAAATCTGTGATAGTTGTAAATTGACGAAGATGCAGTTTAAATTAACATTCCTCCCACACCTCACTGTGATGAAGAAACAGATTTCCTATTTCTGTGTGGAGTGTGTGCATGTGTTGTTTCCTCGTGCCCGTTAGTAATTTTACTTCAATTTATTAATTTTCCTTGTACACTAATTTCTTGTGGTTAGACTGAATGATTGATTTCAGAGGTAAAACATTGGTGCATTAGGTTTAACATGTTTGATTATAAATATCTTGACTAAAGTCAAAGCCTTTTTTGCAGTGTGCTCTGTGCCCTAGAGAAGTTATAACATACTCTGAGGCTTGCAGTTCTTCTTTCCCTGCTTTCCCCTTGCCAATAGTCCCTGCCCTGTCCTATGTTTGCAATCCTTTATGAAGTTATCACTGAACTCTTCTCTTTCCCCAGCTCCAGTTGTAGCTGAATGTAATCTTTCCTGAACTCACAGCTCTTGGAATACTTATAATTTCATGCTGCATGTTAGTTATTTGTAAATGTCCTTGGAGACTGCAGATACCATATCTCAGATCTTTGTATTTTTCCCTAGTATGCAGTGTCTGGTGCAGAGTAGGTGACATACGTTTGAAAGACTGAATTTTGTTAACTGTCTTTCAGAAATGGGGAAGGTTACATCAGATCTATAATACTGTGTCCCCTGATCATCTTGAAGGACTAAAGAGCCACGTAACATTTTTCCTGCAGACAACTTAAATCATGATATAGGTGAACTACTTCATTTCCCTCCCAAGATGGACACCCTTGTAGAGCAGTGCCCCTCCACCTTGATGTAAACAGGAGCCCAGAGAGGAAGCATGCATTAACCAGGCAGAACAATATAAATCAGGTTACTGTTCATTAAGAGAGAAAGCAGTGCGAAAAGGAATGATTCTGATTTGACACAAACCCACTTCTTAAGGAGATAAGCACATTAACTTGAAAATGAAAGGTAAATTAAGATTTCGATGAAAATAAAAATCTTCCCAAGATTTCACACAAGAGCTAGTGTTTAGTTTACTGTTTGTTAGGTAATATTTCATTTGCTCCCATCCCAATTTCCCTCCCTTAACCAATACAAATGGAATTGTATGTGGTGTACATTATTGTGATTGAGAAGAAACAAAGATTAAAATTAGGAACTTTGGTTTTTTTATGGAGGTAGACCTTTGTATTTAATAGATTTAAAATACTGAACCAATAATTTTTGACATCTGACATAGTCTTGTCAACTTCGATATCCTTATCAATAATAGCTGAATTTTTGAGAATGAAGAATTATGAAAGGAATATTAAAAGTATATTCCTTCAGGGCAGGTAATGTTTTAAAGCATCCTTTCAAATGAAGAAATATTGTGAAATATGAATCAGTTGTCTAGAAAAGAGGCTTGAATTTCAGATTTTAAACACTTGTAATAAATGGCAATTTTAATTAAAATGAACATAAAGCTTTATTTGTGAGTTTAAATAGATAATGAATCATTTCCTACAGCAGTTGTGATTAAAAATTTTAAAAAAGGAAAATATTTTGTTGATGTTCTTATAAACGATTTGGACGCAAATTTTCAATGTAAAAAATTAGACAACAGGGAGAGTTTTGTTTATTTAAAAACAATATTTTGAAGTTTAAGAAGAAACTTTCTAATAGAGATAATCTTAAAACATAAAAGGCTCTTCCTTAAGATAAGCTGGTACTTGTCTGCTTTTAACAAAGGATATGGGTTTGCTCTGCAGGTATTCTTCTAATTTTCCATAATTGGCTTATTTGATGGCAATACATCAGAGTTTAGTAAGAGAATTTAAAAATGCTCTTGCTTCCTAAGCAAATTCTTTTAGATTTTAACCTTTCTCAGTTTGAAATAGGTGAAGTCACTAGAATATCAGCTTGCTTTTTCTTTTCAGTATTACTGTCATTTATAATAAAACCAGATGTCAAATTTGCCCGTAAATATCAAAATGTCTTAGAAGTGAATGAAAAGGAGCTGGTGAAACTTAATGAAGGATCTGTCATGTGTCAGGGGTGTTTGTTGCATAAGAGGTTTTATTTATTTATTTATTTTTGGTATTAGTGTTATGCATGGCTTACTGTATAAAGATAGCTTTGTTGCCAGTAAATTAAAGGACTTGTTTCTTTACTGTTGCATAAAAAATGTTTTATTTGTATGATTATTCCTCCTTGTTTCAGATGAGTGAAGAATGGTTTGCTTTGGGAATATTTTCTTAGTTCTTCAAGGACATGATGTGGAAGTCATGACTTGAGTAACTTCAATAGCACTAACAACAGGAATTGAAAAAAACTTAGAATTTTAAAGCTGAGAAAGAGGTAGAGATTTTTCTCTGTCTTGGGTATGACATATATGTTATTCAGTATGGTAGCAATTGAGCAATTGAATGTGGCTAGTGTGAAGAATTAAGTGTTTTTTATTTTAATTAATATTTAAATAGCACCATGTGACTGCTAGCTACTATTGGACAGTGCAGCCTCAAACTATTAAAATTTAACATTAAGTATATTAATGTTATAAACTTTCAAAACCTTAAGATAGAAATCTAACAGAAACTCCAAAAACAAAATAAGCCAATTTTACTAAATAAAATACTGTAGTTGGAAATAACTATAACTTAAAGCAAATCTAACCCAGTAAGCTATCAAAAAGAAAAATTATATAATTACCAAGTAGAGTTAATTTCACCTGAGTTCTATGAACATATTCATTATTAAAGGAAACCTCAAATTATTGTCCCATTGGAAGCAAAATATACATTTATAAATAGCCATTTCTCGTTTTAAAAAACTAATAACATTGAAATAAACAGAAACTTAAGCTCTTCTAGTTTGCCAAAAACCAGAAAGCAAACATCATATACTAAATGATGAAATGCCAAAGCCATTTCCATTATATCAGAAACGAGACTAATACTTCCTGTCATCATTTACATGATTGTCACTATTATTAAGCATTGTTTTGGTAGTTCTAGCCATTGCAGTAAGACAGTAGACAGAAAGTCAAATAATTGGCATAAATATTGGAAACAAAAAATTATTTCTACTTTGAAATGATACAATAGAATAGCTGGAAAGCCCAGGGGGACTCTAGTAGAAAACAGCAATGAGGATTAAATGTAAGACACTTTGGAAAGCTGATGTGTGAGAAATGTACACAAACTAATAGCTTTCTCTTTATTAGTAGTCATCAGTTGAAAATGGAAATGACCAAGCAAAAATATTCAACAGAATGACAAAACTATTGGTTACACCTAGGAATAAATGTGTTAAAGAAAGGTACAGAGTGAAGGTAATGACCCTTATGAAGAAAACTTGATATTATAAAAAGTAGTCCTTTTCTCCCTCAGTTTTTGTCTTCAAAATGTTTACTTGGGACAGATCGTGGTTTACATGATGGTCCTCAAACATATTGTGAACAACATTAAAAAAAAAAGACACATTTTACTCAATAAGTAACATTTTTTGAGAAGCTACTATGTGCTAGGGACCTAGTTTTTAGTGCAGTGGTCTCCAAAATAATGTACTGGCAGTATGGGAAGAGCGTTTAGAACACTGTACCTTTTTATTTGGGAGGAGAAAAGAAACCTTTGTCAAATATTTAACACCTGCTGCCAGAGGTCTGTAGATTTGATGATTGTGTGCCATGAGTTACACACAGACTCCTAAATCAGTTTCACCTGTGGTGTCCTCATTCTGTTTACTTTGAGCATTTTGCATTCTATATCTGCTTAGTTATATGGATTTATTCGTCCCATATAATATGTGTAGCCACATGGACACATGTTCTAAAAGGTTTTAAATTCTGCAAGATAGTGACGATGATGTAAACACAAGAAAAGGGCAAATGGATACATTTTCCTACTCTGTGCTCATCAAACATATTACAGGATAAAATTATTGGCTATCTAATAAAAACACAGACTAATAAGACCTGATAAGTTGGACAAAATGTTTAAAAATTAACATGAAGATGATAGGAAGTATGAATCTATATTCACTGTCATTAATGTCAAACCTTTACCTTATGGTATATTGTACTTTGAGAAATTATGGCCAGGCATGGTGGCTCACACCTATAATCCTAGCACTTTGGGAGGCTGAGACAGGAGGATCTCTTGAGCCCAGGAGTTCGAGACCAGCCTGGGCAACACAGGGAGACACTGTCTTTAAAAAAAAAAAAAAAGGAAATTAGTTTAATAATAGTATGAAGATATTGTGAATAGCAAGACATTTAATATAGTTTATTTCATCTCTAGCTCATTCTTTAAAAATTATTCTTTTTTGTAATATATAATTTAGATTTAATTGTATATATAATTTATTAATACAAATATATACATATATATATAGAATATATATAGAGAGGGTAGTGGATACTCAGTTTTGTGGTTTATTTTTTAACTTGATTAGGAAGCTGATGAAAATAGCTTGAAGGCTTCTTTTGTAACCAAATGCAGGTCTGGATGCTCACTGCTTGTAGAGTCCAGTTAATATGAGTGAGGTCTGGTAGAAAGAAAGTAACTTTATTAACCAAAACTAGTGAAAGGGGAAGTAGCTGGATTTCAATCCAAAGTTATTGTTTTGACTTTAGTAGACTAGTGTTTTGTCTTTTAGAATTAGAGGGGGCAAGTAGTGCAGGGCAAAAACAGGAAGGAAACGAGTGTTTCTAAAGTTAGAATTTTTTAAAGGAAGTAAACCTACATTAAATTTTAGGACAAGAAAACGATTGAGCCATGCTGTGTGTTTTCATTTTTGGAGAATGGGGGAAGAATGTAAAGATGGAGATGACCGAATGAGGAATATTGTTTTGCCATTAAATAAGTGAATAGTGCGAAATGGAAAATACCGAGGGGTAAGAGAGTTCATGGTATATGGGATGAAAGCTTAACTCTAAAACTAGAGCAGGTAACACTGAAGTGAAAGGGAAGATTGGGAGGGAAGGGGTAGGAGATAAGAATATCTAAGCAAGGCTGACATTGTGGGGACCATCAAATACTATACTTAGTTCAGTTACAGATAGCTATGGAATTGAAAGTTTCTCAGGGAAAAGGGAAAAAGATGTACCAAAGGAAATAACCAAAGTATAGAAAAGAATGTTCTTTGAAATGAAGAGAAAAAAGATGAGTTTTTGAGAGTGTATAGAAAGAAAAGTAGCAAGGTTTTAGGCAAGGTTAAATACTAGAAGTTAGAAATAAATCAAAATCTAAAAAGGCATATATAAAGTATAAGTGTAATGAGAAAATTGAGCAGTTTCATTTTTGTTGTTTATTAGTGTCAACAGAATTTGAAATAATTTTCAAGCTGATTTTATTCATTGTTTACCTCCTTAATTATATAATAGAAATAAGTAGCTTGTGTTTCTTATGAAAATTTACCTGCTACTTGATGTATCTTTTTTCAGTGCACGGTAGTAAAATCAGTTGTATATATCCTGTCTAACATCAGTATGCATATTATACTATACTGTACATTTAATTAGGAGTTTATTAGCTGTTGGCTTAAATGAGTTTAAAACTACTTTATGATCACATTTGGCTCAATGAATTTGGATTTGAGACTAATCTTTACATACCCAAGATGATAATGTTACTTGTCTGTCTTAGAAGTAAAGACACCAATATTCTTCTTACCTTCCTTTTTTATATCCTATTTCCTTATCTAACATCTCTAATATGTACCCTAGTACAATTTTCAAGTATTTTGTTTTTTTTTAATGTTCAGTGTACTTACTTTTTCGTAAATACTGCTTTCTTTCTATTAAATATAGTCCTTATCTGACAAAAAGTCCGTCAGAAGTAGAGCTTATCTTTAGGCCAGGCACGGTAGCTCACAACTGTAATCCCAGCACATTGGGAGGCTAAGGCGGGCGGATGGCTTTGAGCCCAAGAGTTCGAGACTAGCCTGAGCAACATGGCGAAAACCCATCTCTACTAAAAATACAAAAACTAGCTGGGCATGGTGGCACGTGTCTGTAGTCTCAGCTACTCGGGAGGCTGAGGTAGGAGTATGGCTTGAGCCCAGGAGACGGAGGTTACAGTGAGTTGAGATCACGCCATTGCACTCCAGCCTGGGTGACAGAGCCAGACCTTGTCTCAAAAAAAAAAAAAAAAAAAAAAAAACAGTAGAGCTCATCTTTTCTTGAAGAGTCATTTAAAATCAGTAAGTAAAAACTTGCTTAGGTATAAATTTTATAGCCTAAAACTTGGTCATATAATGTAGGTAGTTCCTGACTTCTGTTTATTACATGAAGTCCTGTGTATATGAAGATGCTGAGCCTGGACCTCCTCTCCTAGAGGCCAGTCAGATTATCTGAATCCTGCCTAGGCCTCTCCTGTCAGTTTCTCAGTGCCAGTAGTATATAAATAAGAAAGGAGAAATCGAGCTTTTTCAAATACTATGGATTTCAGCTACATTTTGGGAAACATGTATTTCTACCTAGAACGTTTAACTGTGTTTTGTAACATTTATTTCAAAGCAGGATATGCATTCTAGGCTTCAGAGGACCAATCTACACGTTTTTGAAACACAACCTATGAGTTACGTACTTTTTTGTACCACTTATTCTGGCATAATCTTCTTGAAGGGAAAATTAAGAAGAGTGACTAAATTTTTTTCCCAGTGTCTGAGGTATGCATAATTCTGACCAAAAAGCTTCAATACAACTGTAGCGAATCAAGAAAAGATTTTTAGAACTTTTAAATCCATCTGTTTGCCTTTATTTTATTTTATTTTATTTTTTGTGAGATGGAGTCTTGCTCTGTCGCCCAGGCTGGAATGCAGTGGCCTGATCTCAGCTCACTGCAAGCTCCACCTCCCGGGTTCACGCCATTCTCCTGCCTCAGCCTCCCGAGTAGCTGGGACTACAGGTGCCCGCCACCATGCCCGGCTAATTTTTTGGGTGGGGGGTATTTTTAGTAGAGACGGGGTTTCACCATGTTAGCCAGGATGGTCTCAGTCTCCTGACCTCGTGATCTGCCCACCTTGGACTCCCAAAGTGATGGGATTACAGGCGTGAGCCACCGCGTCCAGCCAATCTGTTTGCCTTTTTAAACACCAATATTAGTGGGACAATTTCCAGTTTGAAAGCTGTGTCTCATCTGAAGACTAAAGCAACCCGGTAACATTTACATTTTCATTTATTTGCCACCTTTGCTACTTATTTTCTTTTGACCTCTGACCACAGAGGAAAAAGAAATCAAACCAGGGGAATCTAGGTAGCTAGAGAGGAATGTGCTGTGAGGCTAGTTACACAGAGGAAGGAAACTAACATTTACTAATCCTCTGCCACGTTGACAGGCACTCTCACCTTAGAAGTTTTGACCTGTGGAAGCAGCTGTTTTCCTTAAAGAATAGCGGTAACAACAATCATAGTAATATATACAACTTGTATAATATGAAATTCAAACAGTAGAAAAACGAAAGTTACATTCTTGAAATAAATGTCCCTCTTAGTGACTGACTATAGGAACACCTAGAATTGGCTCTTGAGAAATAGAGATAGTTGTAAAAACCTAAAAAAAAAATTTTTAAACCAGTGAAAAACAAATCCAGCCAAAATAAAATTGAGTTATGGCCGGGCATAGTGGCTCAGTCTTGTAATCCTAGCATTTTGGAAGGCTGAGGTGGGAGGATTGCTTGAGCTCAGGAATTTGAGACCAGCCAGGGCAACATAGTGAGACCCTGCCACTACAAAAGTAAAAAAAAATAGCCAGGCATGGTCGCTCATGCGTGTAGTCACAGCTACTTGGTAGGCTGAGGCAGGAGGATCGCTTGAGTCCAGGAGGTCAAGGCTGCAGTGAGCTGTGATCTGTGATAGCATTGCTGCAGAGCAAGACCCTGTCTCAATAGAGAGAGAGAGAGAGAGAGAGGGAGGGAGGGAGGGAGGGAGAGAGAGAGAGAGAGAGAGAGAGAGAGAGAGAGAGAGGCATAGAGAGAGGCATAGAGAGAGAGAGAGAGAGAGGGAGGGAGGGAGAGAGAGAGAGAGAGGCATAGAGAGAGAGAGAGAGAGAGAGAGAGAGAGGCATAGAGAGAGGCATATAGTGGCTCATGCCTGTAAGCCCAGCACTTTGGGAAGCAGAGTTAAACAATTAGCCAAGCATGGTAGCGTGCCTGCAGTCCCAACTACTTGGGAGGCTGAGGTGGGAGGATCACTTGAGCCAGGGAGACGGAGGTTGCAGTGAGCTGAGATGGGGCCACTGCAATCCAGCCTGGGTGACAGAATGAGACCCTGTCTCAAAAAAATAAATATAGTTACAAAAAACTAAAAAAAAATCTTAGAGACAGGGTCTCTGTCACCCAGCTGGAGTGTAGTGATGTGATCACAGCTCACTGCAGCCTCCAACTCCTGAGTTCAAGTGATCTTCCCACCTCAGCCTCCCAAGGAGCTGGGAGGCATTACAGGTGCACACCATCATGCTTGGCTATTTATTTATTTATTATTTTATTTTTGCTTTGTTTTTTTTGGGGGGGGACAGAGTCTCACTCTGTTGCCCAGGCTGGAGTGCAGTAGCACGATCTCAGCTTACTGCAGCCTCCGCCTCCTAGGTTCAAGCGATTCTCCTGCCTCAGCTTCCCGAGTAGCTGGGATTACAGGCACACGCTACAACTCCTGGCTAATTTTTGTATTTTTTTAGTAGAGACAGGGTTTCACCATGTTGGTCAGGCTGATCGCGAACTCCTGACCTCAGGTGATCCACCCACCTTGGCCTCCCAAAGTGCTGGGATTATAGGCGTGAGCCACCTTGCCCAGGGAATTTTTTATTTTTTAATTTTCATAAAGATGGAGTCTTGCTATGTTGCCCAGGCTGGCCTAAAATTGAGTTCTTTTTTCTTTCTTTTTTTGAGACAAGAGTCTGACTTTATTGCCTAGTGGAGTGGCATGATCTCTGCTCACTGCAACCTCTGTCTCCCGGGTTCAGGCAATTCTCATGCCTCAACCTCCTGAGTAGCTGGGATTACAGACACATGCCACCACGCCCGACTATAAAATTGAGTTCTTATAGTTCAATAAAGTTAATTTATTATCTCTTTATGCTAGTATTATAGAATTTTGGAGCAGGTAGTATCTTAGATTCCCTACATTAGCAGTGTTATATAAAAGAGAAATAATTCAAGTCACATATGTAATTTAAAATATTTTAGTAGCCATATTAAAAAAGCAAAAAGAAACAGGTGAAATTACTTTTGATTGTACATTTTTTTAACCCAGTATATCAGAAATACTGTGTCAACATGTAATCAATGTAAAATTATTAGAGATAGTTTGCACTTTTTTATATGAAATCCTTGAAATCCATTGTGTATTTTACAATTTTAAGTACATCTCAACTCGTGAAGTTTTGATAAAAAATATTTGATCTGTATTTAGATTCATAAAAATTGCAGTTAAAAAAGTAGATTCACACTGTTTTAAACATTGTTTTCCAATAAATGGAGTACCAAACAGTTTTTCTCCAGTATTTGTATCTGTATTGAGAAAAATTACTCTTTTAAGAATAATTGATTTGACTCAGAAGAAGTGCAGCACTGTCAAAATATCCATGCAGGTTAATAAGTCCACTAACACTTGTGAAAACTTCTTATTATCAACGTCAAATTCAGAGGGGCATCATATAAATCGAAAATCAACTCTAAGTTTATCCAAATCAACAAAGCGTTTGTTGTATTTTTTTTCATAGGTTTTGCAGCCACTTTACACAGTGCTGGGCTGCTGCATGTTAATTCATGTTGAAAAATGTGTACGATCATTGATTTGTATTATAAAAATCTTCAATTTTAACGTAAATTGTTATACCTGTCTAGCTAGGTCATGAATAAGCTTTTTCTCTCCTTGGATCTTCAAATCTAGCTAATTGATATGCATTGTGATATAGGGGTAACAATGTAAATCACACTGAGATTTCTAAAAATCTATTCCTGGTTTACTCTTTGATTGTCGAATATTGGCAAGCATTTCTTTTGTTTTGAGAAAATCTGAATTAGAGTTAACAGAATTGTAAATCTTTGCAAAACTCTTCCTTGACTCAAGCAACCAACATTAGCTAATAATGTGGTCATTAAATTCACTGTCTTCTATTTCTTTTAACAGTTCCATAAACTGGTGATGATTTAGAGCATTTGTGCATATGTACTGAACAATTTTTGGGTCTTTTTGAGACGTAGTCTAGCTCTTTTGCCAGGCTGGAGTGCACTGGAGTGCAGTGGCATGATCTCAGCTCACTGCAACCTCCGCCTCCTTGGTTCAAGCGATTCTCCTGCCTCAGCCTCCTGAGTAGCTGGAACTACAGGCGTGTGCCACCACGCCAAGCTAATTTTTGTATTTTTAGAAGAGAGAGGGTTTCACCATGTTGGCCAGAATGGTCTTGATCTCTTTACCTTGTGATCCACCCAGCTCGGCCTCCCAAAGTGCTGGGATTACAGGGATAAGCCACCATGCCCGGCCTGAACAATTTTAATAGCTGCTTCCATGATACAGTCTGCCTTAGGGCACAAATATTTGCATTGTGTTTCCCACAGCAGAAAAAATAAGAGAAATAAATCCAACAAATACTGATGTTGGAACACTGTCTTGCTGGAAACTGACTTTTTTATATCTAGCTGAGAGTTACAGATGTAGAGAATTCAAAAATATCTACAACATAAGATCAGTTTTTAAATTTAAGGCTGCAAATAGATGAAGACATTTCTCTGTAAATTTGAAGGTCATTTGAGACAAATATACCCATAGTATTAATTAGGCATTATCTCTTCTAAAATTCATCTAAAGCTAAAAATACTTGTAACTTTTCAAATGCTGACTTAATTGGTCTTTAATATTGTTAGAAGGGACTTTTATTCACTGACAGTTGCTTGGTGTCTCAAAGATTTTTCACTTTCCGTAAAATATCTTTTTAACTTTTTTCCTCATAATTTAAAAATATAATTTCCTTAACTGAAATAATTTAATTTTTCATCTCATCACCTTAAAATTGTTTTCTACATTGAACAAGAATCTGAACTAGTCAGGCGCGGTGGCTCACACCTGTAATCTCAGCACTTTGGGAGGCTGAGGTGGGAGGATCGCTTGAGGCCAGGAATTTGAGACCAGGCTGGGAAACAGAATACCCTGGCTGTATTTTTAAAAAATAAAGAAAAAAATAATCCAAGCTGTTTTATAGCTGGCCACTTACAAGCTCAAGTTCTGTAAAATCTTCAGGAATGTTTTTGTTTTACATTTAATTCTGATTTCACTGATTGTGACTAATTTTATCAATTATTTTTTGACTGAAGCCAGTTCATATTAAATTGAAATGCATTTGCTGAAAATGTCTCTTAACTGTTGTTTATTATCTTAAAACTCTTTTTTTACCCAGCAGCTTTTTAACTTTGCTCTGCTGCAGCAAATCGCAATTGCCATTCTTTGTGAAATTTGTGACATACCTTGTTGAGTCTTTTTTCTTTTCATTTGATTCTTTCTCAGCAGTATACCTGCATTTGAAAGTAAAAATTTTTCTATTTTTAATTTTTAAGCTAAAAAAATTTAATTATAAAATAATTAAAATAAGTATTTTAATTTAATTGCCAATTATGATTTACATAGGTCACCATAACTCATGGTATCTGCATAAAATGTTCAAATAAACAATTACAATGCTACATTGTTGCATAGAAAAATCATAGAAAAATCACTTGAACTGACTCATTCTGTTGATACAAACTAGATTGGTGATACGCTTTTGGGTAATGCTAGAAATGACATGTTTACCCAGCTGTGCACTCCCACATATCTTGCACAATTTAATAATAAAAGCAAAAGACAATCCTACCAAACTATAACATTGTGCTTAATGGTAAAAGATTTTACACTGCTTCAGTTATTAAGAATTTATATTAATTAAAAGTTTTAAAAATAAAAATTGTATTCCTCAGTTGCAGTAGCCACATTTGCACAGCTCTGGAGTCTAGATCAACTTACTTTGGTGATAAAAGGGTAGAGAGGCAAAGCTGCTGGACCCAACTGGCCTGGAAGAACAGAGCAAGTCCGTAAATGAGTCTGTACTTTAACAAACGTAATTTTATGACCAAGGCTGACTTCATGTTATACCAGAAAGGATTACCTTAATAAGAAATAAATCAGTTATTTAATTTACTTTGAAATAATTTATTTGTTTAAACAACCACTTATTTGTGGCAGTTAGAGGTTCAGTTTTCAATTAGATATTAATGGCATCGTGTAAATATAGAAAAAGTGATCTGAGTTTGCTCTTAAGACTTCACTTTCCAGATAAATGCTAGCATTTCGAGTTTTGGACACTGAGGATTGTTTTATTCAAACTACATGCATAAATTTATGCAAACATAAAATAAAAATGTAAGCAGAAATTCGAGTAGAGTAGCAATACAATTTCATTCTTCAGTGAATGCTTAAGGTTTATAGAGGTACCAAATGCCCTAAGCCCAAATTTACAGACAAAGTAGATCTTATCCTCTTAATATTTATGCCGAGAAGGAGCAAAAAATTAAAACTTTTCACTAATTTAATTTCTTTATGTAGTTGTTATAGGACCAATGAAGAATTTTTTCTCCTGCTGGTAGTACTTTGATAATAGAAAATGGTCCAGGATATAAAAGACTGCTTTTGCTCTTTGTGGAAATGTTGGGAATTGACTTTAGACGCTCGGAGAATATGTTAGAGAAATCTTGATTGACTGCCTGGGTGATCAGTTAATGAGAGTGTGTGTTAAATAATTACATATATAACATTGTAGTGACAGTTTTGAGAAGCATTCACTTAAAATTTTCATTTCTCTGAATAAAAGACACAAGCATGCTTTTTTGTGTAATCTTCTAAAATTACTTTTCCCCACCCCTTTCTCTCTCTTTCTTTCTCCCTCTTTTTAATAAAATGGTTTTCAGATATGTTTTTGGAATCTGCTAGAGATGACCTAATTTTTACTAACTGCTGTGCTTTCAAAGTTTTGTTTGCTCAGAATGGCAGTGTTATTTTTATTATTCTTTGATAGTAATAACAAATGGTTTCATGCAAAGCATATTCAAAATAATATCTTAGTGCCAGCTTGTAAATTGTTTTTGTTAAAATTGGCCTTATCCCAGGAAAAAATTAAATGCTAATGTGAACAAGTTAAAGTTTATATTATGTGTGATTTCTTACATTATTTGCTTTTTGACTTATAAAACACACAGAGTATCGGTTTTTAAATATAGCTTAAATATTTTTCTTCAAAGCACTTATCAGTTGCCTGAATGATATAGCCACTATTTTATACTTTTGTTTTGTAGTGCCTCAGAGTGAAAGAGCATTCTTCTCAGCTCATCTGAATTCAAGCTATTTTAATTAAATTATGTTTAAAATGTGCAGCTTTAACTTTAGTTTTTCTATTCAGATATCCCTACAGGTTAATTACCTCTTCCCTGCTTTTCACTTAAATCTCTCCTTCCCCCAATTCCCCATTAATTTGGGTTGGGAAGTGTCAACTTAAAGCTTTAGGCTTAATGCTACATGAAAAGACTCGGTGCTTTTTATTTCATTTTCCATGTATTAGGCACCACTAAAAAGAATGTAACACATGTAGCAGCTTATTTCATTTTCAAAGGAGGAATTGAAGAGCTTTTGAGTAAAAAACGTGAAAAGAAGCTCATGTTCATTGCCTACGTGGCTTTTAAAAAAGACTCTTGAAAAACATTCCATTGTGAATTCCAGGTCCTCTTTAAACTTACCACCAGCAGTAACTGCCTGCAGAGCCATGTGATCATCTTGGCAACAGCCAGACCTTTTAGTGATTTCATTACTGTGGTTTCCTCAAGCTCTTTACACACATTGATTAATATTTTCCTTGCAGTTATCGCTGTGATGATTTTGTGGTTAATGACACCAAGCTGGGACTGGTACAGAAAGTCAGAGAACACTTACAGAACTTGGAAAAGTAAGTAATAGGCCTTTGGAAAAAGAAGGGCCTAAGAATGGGGTTGAGGAGTCTTTTAGAATTTTTGAGTGGGGTTTTTGTTGATGAGTTTAATAACTTCATGTTTATAATATGATTGAAATGTTAATAAAATAAACCTTGGCTTTGGATAGCTAAAACTTGGCCCATAGTTAATGGTCATAGCTGTGCATTTATTTTATTTAATATTTGTCATAAACCATATCCAAGGTCCCAAGAGCCTCTTTAAAAAATATTACCCAACAATTTATAAGCTACTCAATTTATTTTGAGGGTACAAGAAAAGGGCAGAAAAAGGTGTGAAATCATCATAGAGTTACTTTTGATAATAGAAAACCCCTGTCAAATGTATTATGAGGTCTACTAGGAAGCACTATGATTTATGCATCATTTTTAAGGGAAATTAGGTTTAATGAACATATTGTCCACTTTGCATCTATACAGTGGCACAGGATCCTAGTTTCTTCCTTGCTTGTTAGGGGCAGTTAAATATCAGTTGACATTACAAGGAGCTATGAATACTTTGTCATCATAAAGAAATGAAACTATTTATATGTGAACAGACTTTTATTGGTATAGTCAAATAGTTAGATAAAACTCACTGGACCCGAAATTGAAGCAATAAACAGAAACCCAGCTAGCCATGCCTTTGAAGCTACAGTGGATAGAAGCATGGCTCTGGAATGACTGCTGACTCAAGTGAAATCTCTGTACATCACACCAAATCATTAAGCGCCATCTAATTTATTTTGGCAGTTGATGTGTAGAAGGTATTGTGAAAACATCCACAAAGCAGGAGTCCCTTAGCAAACTTAAGTGTAAAGCCCATAGAATGTTTGAAAATTGCATACTGAAAAGAAATAACCTAACTTCTTTGAGGGCAGTACTGTGTAGTGTTTGTTAAAACCACAGACATTATGTATGTCTCATTGACTAACTAGATGATAAAGCCAATACTGGAAGAATAATGATTTCTTTAAATCTAAACCAATTAAAGTACTTCAGGTTTAAGTACTTCTTGGTTTGTCATCTTTTGGCTCTTTTTCAGAGTACTTCTCTTCTAATTTGATGAGTCCTATCTAGGATTAGAGACAGATACACACAGATCCAAAATATTTAATTTTCTCTGAAACTGTTCACAATAAACATGAAGTCTGAGATTCCTGAAGGAATGTATGTAGTATCACTCTTTGGTGTGGTGATGTCCTTCACCCTCTCAGTCTGAAATAATCAGAACTAAGTCAAAGGGAAAAGAGGGCATTTGAGAACCTGCATGCATTTATACAGTTAAAAAATCTTTTCTTTCCATTGATCACTTCATCAGATGAAAGGTGTCACAGACCACCTGTCTACATGTCTGCTTGGCTCCATGAAAAATCTACCTTACAGCCCATTTCCTATGTTGAAAAACATTACCTAGATTCATTTTTGTGTTTTGCAAACATTGGTTTAATCTGTAGTGGAATTTAGAAACTACGATCATATTTGTGTTTTACTTAACTTTCGACTATTCCGCATGCCCCGTGGAGCAGCACTGTCCAGCAGAACTTTCTGCAGTGACAGAAATGTTCTCCATCCACTCTAATATGGTAACACTAGCCATACTTGAAAAGTGGCTAGTGCAACTGAGACACTGAATTTTAAACTTCAAGTTTAATTAATTTAAATAGCCACATGGAGTGAGTGGCTACTATATTAGATAGCATGGATCTAGAAGATTCTGCATTTTGAGAGTCACTGAGGATAAAATTTAGTAACTTACATTTTTAAAAGGTGAAATGCCTTATTTATATAGGTTACAACTGAAAATGAACTCTTAGGCATTGTCATAAAGAGCATATATACTATGCTTGTGGTTTACCTTCCCCACTTCACAGAATTTGTGAAGGAATAGTTGAACACTATAGAGTATGGAATTGGTCTCTTCATCTTGTGGCTACCAGTACTGTAAGAGAGAGACACACAGTTCTGAAGAACATTTTGAGGTTTGAAGCAACTGTCACTAGTTCTGATGTTTCAAAGACATAATTCATGTGGAAATTCTGTAAGAAAAAAATAATTATTTACTTTGGATGAACTGGGTACTTTTAGAAGGTGGGAGAGAATTGGCGGCCTTAAAAGTCTGTGTTGTTTAACCATAATTTTTACTTCCTTTAGATTAATTTGCCTGAGACATAAAATTTTAAAGTGACCTTTTGAAAATAGAAATAACTTTCTGATAAATTTTAAGCAAAATATTTCTTACATCAAGAAAAATTTTGAGTGATTTTAATTCAGAATTTCCTCACTAATAAGGATGTGTTTTAGAATGTCCTTTGGAGCGTAGCTGCATCTAATGAATGTACATGTGCCTGTATTCCTGTAACTTATTTATCATTCCTCAAACTCAGATCATATCATCATCTATTAAGACAAATGAGCAAAACATGGCATCTTTATTGAAATTAAGAAAGAAATAGCATATGGAGACTTACTGTTAAATTTCAGAACAGTAGTATCAGACCAGGGTTTTCCTTTTCTTGTGAGGAATGAACCTTCTGGTCTGTGAAGCTTCGCAGTCAGTCAGACTGTGAGAGTGGTGGTGGGGAGTGTCCCACGGGCTGCATCTTCCCGGCCAGCTTTGCCAGGAGCAGTGTCCAGCCCACCTCTGCTGGAGGAGCAATGGGGATTTCCAAGGAAGTAGAGCTCCTCGGTTAACTTCAAATACGTGTGGGCCCCAGTAGGCCTGACGAAGCAGTCAGGGAGGTCTCCATGCCCTAGGTGTTGAGGGCAGCTGGAGTTTATTCTTTCACCTGTGGTGTAGCATGCATATATTAATAACTTTTTCACTATCTGTTTGTGTTTTAATAGCTCAGCTTTCACAGCTGACAGGCATAAGAAAAGAAAACTTTTGGAAAACTCAACACTAAACAGCAAGTTATTAAAAGTAAATGTAAGTAATTAAAATTTATTCAAATATAAGAGTTAGTTGAGATTTAATCACTGTTTTGTTACAACTCTAACATGTAATGTTACCTGTTACAGACTTTTATAAATGTGTGTCTTGGATTTGGAGTATTTTACACAATGTTTGCCACCTGTACTGTCGATTGTTGCCGTGACCCCAGTGAGTCCATCTGTCAGCACCTTCTTCCCATCAGCGTTACTGCTGTGCTCCTCTTCCCTAGAAAACAGTTCACTCTTAATACTTGCTCACACTCCTTCGTCATCAGAAAACCCAGCCTTTGTTTTTAAGACTAAGTCTTTAGCTTCAGGCGGCTTTTCCTTTTTTTGAGATGGAGTCCCACTCCGTAGCCCAGGCTGGAGTACAGTGGCGCAGTCTCGGCTCACTGGAACCTCTGCCTCCCAGGCTGAAGTGATTCTCCTGCCACAGCCTCCCAAGGGGGTGGGACAACAGGTGTACACCACCACGCCTGGCTAATTTTTGTACTTTTATTTTGTTTTTGTTTTTGTTTTTTTTTTTTGAGATGGAGTCTCACTCTGTCACCCAGGCTGGAGTGCAGTGGCACAATCTTGGCCCATTGCAACCTCAGCCTCCTGGGTTCAAGCAATTCTCCTGCCTCAACCTCCCAAGTAGCTGGGATTACAGGCACACGCCACCACGCCCGGCTAACTTTTTCTGTTTTAGTAGAGACGGAGTTTCACCGTGTTGCTCAGGCTGGTCTCGAACTCCTGAGCTCAGGCAATCCACCCACCTCAGCTTCCCAAAGTGCTAGGAGTACAGGCATGAGCCACCACACCCAGCCTTTTTGTATTTTTAGTAGAGACGGAGTTTCGCCATGTTGGCGGCCTGTCTTGAGGCGCCTGGCCTCAGGCAGCTTTTCAAGATTCATATCCCATTGTTAGGAAAACGTGTATTGGTCGTTTATGTATGGCTTAGAGTTAAAAGTTTGGGGACAAAAATACTTGGGGTGTATATATTTATATTTTTTCCATTTCTCTTAGTTTTTATAGAATCTTAAAAAGGCATTAAGTCTTAAATGTTATTTTAAGGATTTCCTGTTTTTTGCATTGTGTACTCCATGGTACTCATTAATGGTGATTTCCTCATAAGCTTTCAATAAGATACTTCTATTTAGAACAATCCCAGGATCAGAAACAGCCTTCTAAAAATATCCAGACATTTATACAGAGACTAGAGAGTTTGTTTGAAATATTCATTGGACAGAAAAGGACCAATTCCAAATTGGCTTGGTGCTAGATTTCAGAGGCCTTTCCTTAGCTTTGATGTTTGAAACAGTTGGCCTTCCCTTGGCATTACTGATGGCCTCTTCTTGCACCACTTACAGGGAAGCACCACTGCCATTTGTGCCACAGGCCTTCGGAATTTGGGGAACACATGTTTCATGAATGCCATCCTTCAGTCACTCAGGTAACGCTACAGTCAGAGCTTAAGTGTCTGACATTAAAGGTTAAGAGCACGGGCTCTGGCTCCCTATCTCGTCTGCCACTAACTCTAGTCATATGGTTTGGAGCAAGATACCTTAATTTCCTGTGCTTTTGTTTCCTCATCAGTAAAATTGGGGACAGTAGTTCCTACCTCATGGGGTAGTTGGGAAGATTGAATAATGTAATTTGTCTAAAGTACTTAGAGCAGTGTCCTGCAGTGAATAGTTGTTTGCGGTTATTTCCGGTTGCTTTTTGAATAGGCTAGAACTGAGGTCAGCAAACTTTTTCTGTGAAAGGCCTGATAGTAAACATTTTAGTATTTCAGGCTACAGTCTCTCTCAGATATCCCCCACCCCCCCGCTCTTTATTAAAACAACACTTTAGGGCCAGGTGCAGTGGCTCAGGCCTGTAATCCCACCAGCACTTTGGGAGGCTGAGGCGGGCAGATCACCTAAAGTCAGGAGTTTGAGACCAGCCTGGCCAACATAGTGAAACCCCATCTCTACTAAAAATACAAAAATTAGCTGGGCGTGGTGGCATGCGCCTCTAGTCCCAGCTGCTTGGGAGGCTGAGGCAGGAGAATCGCTTGAACCCAGGAGGTGGAAGTTGCAGTGAGCCAAGATGGCGCCACTACACTCCAGCCTGGGTGACAAAGCGAGACCCTGTCTCAAAAATAAATAAATTAATTAATTAATTAAATAAAACAACACTTTAAAAATTTAAAACTCGCTTTAAGAGCTGCCTGGTGGAGGGCTAGATTTGGCCTGTGGGCTACAGTTTGCAGACCCCTGGGTTACAGAGAGCCTTGTTCAGAGAGCTTATTTCAGTCATTAGTTAAGTTTTAACCCATTTATGTCAGAGGTTGCAATTTTTCTGTATGAAAAATCAGACGTTGGTGATGACCTCGATCAGTAAGATATAAATAACTCCCAGAAGCTTAGCGTTCCAATAATGGAACACTAGGCATAAATGGGTTAATCAAGGTCATAAGATGAGATGTCTTCAAAATATGAGACAAGTAGTAAAAATAAAATAGTCAACAAGGCTGACTTAAGTTTTGTAGAATAAATTATTTTGAAAGTTGCATACTTTTAGATTTTAATGAGACATCAAAGGCCAGAATAAATGATCTTCCCAAGGTTACATTGCTGATAAGAAGCAGAAGGCATATTTGATCTCTCCTGGAAGGCACTGCCTCTTAGCTTATCTCTTCTTGCTCAAAGAGGAAATTATAATTACTACTGAATTCTCCTTAGGATTCTGTATAGTGTATCAAAATAATATGGTCGGTTTCATGGTTTGTTTTTATTTGAGGAAATTATTGAATAACTGGAAACAAGCAACCGAAAAGAAAGAAATGGTGACTACCTATAGCTGGAGGGAGAATTGGGGATTTTTTTGAAAAGAGATTTTGTTTTCAGCTCTTTGTTTTTTGTTTTTGTTTTTTTACAAAGTCATCTGTCTATACTGTTTTCTTAGAGAGAAGGAAAAATCATAATGAAGAATCTGAATGCAAGAGATTGCACTGAGTACAGTTTAAATGAGACAATTGAAAAATGGCAGTTTCAAAATGTATATGTAGGCTTCATCAACTTTCTTTACAGTCCTATTCTTTTCTTTTTAAAATATTTTTCCCTTCCTTTTAAAATAGTAACATTGAGCAGTTTTGCTGTTATTTCAAAGAACTGCCCGCCGTGGAGTTAAGGAATGGGAAAACAGCAGGAAGGCGGACATACCACACCAGGAGCCAAGGGGATAACAATGTGTGAGTTATAAGAGTATGTCCTTTCTGGCTTTGAGTTACAAAACAAATTACTTTCACTGGTGGTTTCCATTGTACTAAGTGAGCTAACAGGCACATGCCTTAAAAAAAATCTTCTAAAAATTGTGTTTAAATATCTAGTTAGCAATCTTAATAATTGTTGGAATTCCGGCCGGGTGTGGTGGCTCACGCCTGTTATCCCAGCACTTTGGGATGCTGAGGCGGGTGGATCACCTGAGGTCAGTCAAGACCAGCCTGGTCAACATGGTGAAACCCCATCTCTACTAAATATACAAAAATTAGCCGGGCATGGTGGCGGGTACCTGTAATCCCAGCTACTCGGGAGGCTGAGGCAGGAGAATCGCTTGAACCCAAGAGGCAGAGGTTGCGGTGAGCCGAGATCGCGCCACTGCCCTCCAGCCTAGGTGACAGGGCGAGACTCCATCTCAAAAAAAAAAAAAAAAATTGTTGGGATTCCTTTATTTACCGTAACAGGAGGGATAAATTTAGCATTCTACTTATTGACTCTGCAGATTTGGGCATTCTAGAATTGGCATCTAGATATGAAGTGCAGTTCTAGGTGTAGATGACTATGAATCTCATTAGTCCATGTGAGTTGATTTGTCCGACAGTGTTAGGTAAACCTGTCTTGGATACTGAAATTAATTTGTAGTCAACAGATTAGTTGTGGGGGAATAAAGTCAATTTTTGGTTGATACGGAGAGGGGGGGAAGAAAACGGACAAGTGCTCATTAAGAACCAATCCTGTATCCTCATTTGGTGTAGACCTCCCTTATTTGTGGTTCAGAAGATCTTTCATTATGACAATTGTAGTGAGCACATTTTTCATAACTTTACAGCTCTTTTTCAGAAGGACTGTGACTCGTACTCCTTATATATTTAATGTTTTCTCTGTCTGCCTCCTCCACTTCCACACACTCCCATTCTCACTCATTCTGAAGGGGTGATCAGACACTTTCCTGCCTTGGTGGCTGAGGGAGAGTAGGACTGAACATGTCAGAATAATGGGCAGTAGGGCGAGAGTCACAGTGCAGGGAAACTGGAAAGCCAGGCGTGGAGCAGGGCTGGAATGACGTCACTACAAGTGGTGTTTGAAGGGAGTTTCCCTCACAGCAGCATCTAGGATGAGTTGAGCAGCATCTAGGATGAGTTGAAAGTGCCTGCATTCAAGGAGGCTTTGCACTCTACAGTAATCAGGTCAGAGGGGACAGCAGTGAAACAGTAGAAAAAATACATGTGTATGAGTTAAGAGAAGAGTTAGTAGTACTTGATGCATTCATGTCATGCAGGGTTGAGTTGCAGGCTGTAGAAATTGCCTTTGGCTGATTTAGGCAGCAAAGGAATTTACTGCAGGGCTATTGGTGAGCTAATCATACTGGGTGAGTGAAAAATCAGGTCTGGAGTCCGAGGCAGCAGCACCGCAGTCACAGTCACCCCACAGAACTGTCCTGTAAGGCCACCACTGCCTCTGGTGCCCAGCGCAGCAGCAGAGTTCCTGTTGCCAGCACTGCTGGAGATGGGTGCTGGCGGACACAGCCATGCTGCTGCCCTGCACTCCGGATGGTGCTCTTTGCCCCCCCTGCTACCAGAGAGGATTTGGTGCCATCCCTTCTTCTTTGTGTCACTAACTCCTGCTTCGGATGGGCAAAGCCCAGGCTGTGTACCTGTGCTCTGACTGCAAGGGAGCCTGAGAAGGCGAGTGTCTGGCTGTTTAGCTTCGGAAGTGGGAGGCAAACTCTTAAAAGTAGGGATTCTCCAACATAGGAAGAGGGTTCAAGTACTAGGAAGTCAAAAATATGATTTGTATTCCAGGGACCTATGTGATTGTGAGGGTTGAGAAAGAAGATATTGAGATTCTCTGAGATACCAATCAAGTATCCGAAAATATGGTGCTTATGTTGACAGCTATGGAAGTTGAAGTTGAGTTGGATCAGTTTAGCCACAGGTGTAGAAAACCAAAATTAAGTGACTTAAACATCCATGGTTTGTTTCCTCACATAAAAGTCAGAGGCTGTCTGTCTAGGGTGGTTTGACAAAGCCATCGGGCTCCTCCTGGCTTTCTTTTCCACCAACCTCCAGAGGCCCTATCCATCCACATAGTCCCCCATGGTGCTGGGGCTCCCCAACTCCGTCCTCATTCCTAGCAGGAAGAAGGAAAGGATTATTATAGGACTACTCTTTCTTTTTAAGACATTTCCCAGAATTTGGACACACTCAGTTTTTTATTGGGAGAGTTTATATGCCCAGGAAAAAAATGAGCGTTCTATTCATATGCGAGAAGAGTGTGGATATTGGGTGATAGGAGAGGTGTACAGAGAGCAGTAGATGCTGGAGCCGGTCAGTGCACATAGAGGTGAAAGTGACAAGAGGACCTCCCGCAGAAAATTCCTGCTGGAAACTGGAGAAGTTTAAATAAAAATAGTCATGAGAAAATCTGACTTTTGGAGTTGAGAGTCACTGGTGGAGAGCTGAGTGGTGAAGGTTAGTGACACAGGCTGGAGTCTGGGGGTGCTAGTGAGTGGCAAGAAGGACAAGGCAGGAGGGGGAGAAAGAAAGCCGAATGCTTGTTTTGCATTTTGAAAATGTACATTCTTAAGTCATTTGGCCTATAACTCACCCAGTGCTGTATGGTTTGCTTGCGTGTTTTAACTCAAAGTGTACAAACATGGCGGTGCATGGGCACACTCAGAGTTAACCATATGGTTACAAATTAGCTTTGTCAGAATTACTGCTACTTTTATGGGTTTTTGAGATGCTCTTATGTATCTTTCAGACTTTCTTCAGAAAAGACCAAATCCTTTTTAAGTGTTCATTTCCTATATATTAGGCATTTTAGATGGGTGGACGCTGTGTTGAAATTGTAGCCTCTCACTAATCTGAGGGCACTGTCCTTTCCTCTTTTGCAGGTCTTTGGTAGAAGAGTTTAGAAAGACACTCTGTGCTTTATGGCAAGGCAGCCAGACTGCATTTAGCCCAGAGTCCTTATTTTATGTTGTTTGGAAGATTATGCCAAACTTTAGGTAAGTATTATATGAAGATATTTTTAAACATTAATATTAGTGTTTATACTGTTCCTGAAATAATTCCTAATGAAGTGGTTGTATTCTAAATATTCTAAATACTTAAGACTGGTTTGGTGTTTTTTTCTTTTTAAGAAGAAGAGCTGAAATTGAATACATCTGACTAAACACATGTGTTTATTTAAATAATAGACTATAGAAATGTCTTTAACAAGAGGTGGGGTATTTTGTTGCTATAAACATAAAGCCCTTATAAATAACTTATGCGCACTAGGAAAACATACTGGACAAAATTTCCTTAATTCTTTCACAATGTAGAATAATTACCATCACACACTGTCTTGTTATTCCAGCTAAAAAAATTAATAAGATCAGTAGAAGTGCATGGTATTATATGAACTGTTCGGAGCTGAGTTCGGCAGCTCTGGGAAGGCTGTGGTCAAGCGCCTGGGATGCACTCTCCAGAAGGCAGCTGTGCCACATCCCGGTGTGGCCAGAGAGCTGCTGTGGTGCCCATGCTTTCTGTCTCACCTCGCTTGAGCAAAATACACCTCTGCTGTACACCTAGCTGTCAGAGGAATCCTGCCTTTTCTCGTAGGTCTGTCATCCCTGTAGGGATTCGGGTGATAGCAGCTTTGAGGCACTACAGGTGTTTGACAGCAGCCTTGGCCACCTTCTGCCGATTTTACCCTTCTGAAGCAAGTCATGGTTCTTACTAGTTATGATTTTGGCACCTAATATACATCCCTTCTACTTTTCTTTAAAAAAAATTCATGCTGTAGTAAACTTAGTCATCTATCTTGCCCTATTGCCTAAAAAGATGTAGTTAATATAGATAAATATTTAAAAGGTAATTAACTTCAAAGGACTTTAAATTGTTGCCTTGCTAAAAAGTCTAGTCTTGAGGATCTGACATGAGTAACTAGTGTTAACCCTAGTCTTGGTTTTGAAAGAAACTCCTTTTATGTATCATACTATTTAAATCTCCTGTCAGGAAAAACATAAGAATTTGAGAATGTCTTGACTTTAAGAAGGAAAGGCAGGAATGACAGTTAAGTTACCACTGTCCAGGTCTGGACCTAATAAAAAAATTTCTAACATAAATCACCTAGTAGACTCTTGATAGAAGTTTAGTCTTTGTGTTTTATTATTATATAATAATAGTTTACATTTATTGAATGCCTACTGTGTGCCACCCACTGGGTATTTTTTATCTGGTCTTCATTAAAAAACAAGCAAGAACAAAATTCCAGCCAAGCAGGAAATATTGCCCCCATTTTAGAGGAGACAAAACTGAGACAGAGAGGAGAAGCGACTTGTTTAAGTTTATACATCTCGTGGGGTAATGACCAAAATTAGAGTCCAGGTGTTTGTGGAGTTGGCTAATAATAGATTTGTTGACAATGATTTGCCCACATACCTTGAACAAGGCCCGTTAACTAATTTGATACTGTTTTCCTTGATCCCCATGGTGACCAAGATCCCTCATTCTTGAAAGCTTAGAAACATTATCATATTTTATACAGTAGAAATCTGCTTTTCCTGTAAATCTTTCCACATCTCTGTCCTTTCTAGCTTCTGTAGCCCAACTGTGAGCATGATGTAGTTTTTAGCTGTTTAATTTCCACATTGGAATATTCCTACTGATGAAGGAATAAGGTAACCAGGCTGACGAATGTAGCATGTGGAGTCTCTGGGGAAGATTTCAGATCATACATGAACTCTTAAATTTCTTGAATGGCTGATGAGAATAGGGTGCTTTTGTATTCTTAGCTGGGCTTGCTCTTAGTTCTGCAGTAATTGAGATTGTTCCCCATTTTTATGTAATCAAAGAACAGTTTTTCTCTTGGTCAGATCTAGATCTTGAGATTATATCATGGATAAAGCTTTAGTGCAGGTCACTGCACAATGCCCAGGTGTGAGGCAGGGAGGTGGGGCTTGCTTTTTACAGCTCTTACCCTGTGAGGTATGCAGGTAAGATTCTTATAACATGCCTGTGTGTAAGTGCATGAATCTTGATTTATGTTTATTTATAATCCCAAAGAAATTTTTTTTAGGTTTAAAAAGCCCATTTTCCTTGATTAACACATGACAGACAGTGTCTAGAGAACTTGATCCTTTGGGATGAAATATGAGGACTCTGAAATACAAACATGCGTGTAGAAGTAGAAACATCTTTCATCTATTAAATACACAAATATATATACATACACACACCCCCAAAACACACACACCCTCAATGTAATCAGCAGCTTTGGATAGAGAAATCATTAAGCCTATTCTTTCTTTTTTTTCCCCACTGAAACTAAAAGCCAGTTACCTAGCAGGGAAAATTTTCTTGAAGTTTTGACCTTTTCCAACATACATATGTACTTACCACACTTCTTATGATTTCTTAGTATGTTCAGCTCTTTCTATCCTTTTGCTTTTCATAAAAATACTTTAAAGTGTATTTTCTTAAATAGGCAAAAACATATGTGGTTCAAAATTCAAAAGGTAACAAAAGAATATGCAGTGAATGTTTTATTCTGTTCCCTAGCCATTCATTCTGTTTTCTGGAAGCAACCATAGTTACTAGAGTTTTGTGTATCCTTTCAGATATTCTGTGTGCATATACAGACAAGTGTGTGTGTGTGTTTATGTCATTTTTAATGTAATTGGTGATGTATCATCTTTTTTTCCCCACTTTGAGATGATTCATATTAGTATACAAATAGCTTCCTCAGACCATTTTACAGTTGTATCATAATTTGTGTCCAAGTCCCCTCCCAGTGGCTTTATGGACTGTTTCTAGTCTTTGCTGTTCTAAACAGTGCTGCAGTGAGTAGTATTTTACATACATGTGCAGGTATCTAAGAGAGAAAGTGCCGGGCTCAAGGAAATGTTCTTCTGTAATTTTGATAGTCTTTTCTGCTAGCCTTTGTCACTCCTTGCTTTTCTTAACACAGCTCTGTCTTGCTGCTTTGCTGTCTCTGTATGTCATGTGCTTCTGCCCACAGGATTTGCCTTGTGGTCCCTATCTCTTTGTCTAGGATCCCGGTTAAAGCTAACACTCTTCAGGAAAGTCTCTTGATGATTCAAATCAGGTCTTTCTGTACAACCTGATTTAATATATTTGTCTTGACTTCCCAAGATGGAACTTTATTTTTTTAAATCAGTTCTTGTTATAATTAATGTTTAAAATGATGGGTAAATAATCATTGGCACATAATTCTTATATTTGCTTGCTCTTCTCAGGTTTATAGACAATGTAAAGGATTTTTGTAGACAAAAAATAGATCTTTGCCTGTGATGCTTTTTTTTTTTTTAATTTTATTTTTTATTTGAGTCTCGCTTTGTAGCCGAGACTGGAGTGCAGTGGCATGATCTGGGCTCACTGCAGGATCCTCTGCTTCCTGGGTTCAAGTGATTCTCCTGCCTCAGCCTCTCAAGTAGCTGGGACTACAGGTGCGTGCCACCATACCTGGCTAATTTTTTTGTATTTTTAATAGAGACGGGATTTCACTATGTTGGCTAGGCTGGTCTCAAACTCCTGACCTCGTGATCCACCCGTCTTGGCCTCCCAAAGTGCTGGGATTACAGTTGTGACCCACCGTGCCTGGCCACGTGTGATACTTTAATTAAAGTTTTATTTAACAATAGTCTTTTTGGGATATTTGTGAAAAGATTTTAAAATACTATGCTATTGATATTTGATATTTAAACCATTTTCACTGTAGCCAAGAATTTTGCTATTGTATTTGTGTGTTTGTAAACACTAATTCATTTTTGTCAGTTTTGTTTTCTGGTGTTTTTGTTTTGAGGAAACTCAGTCATGATTGTTGCCAAATACTGAGTAGGAATACATTTAACTTATTTTCGTTTTGCAGATATTTTGGCCAAAACAACAACTTTAGAATTCTTTTTTTAATGTCAAGGATATTTTAAATATGAGCAGAACCTAAAATTCTAACATATCTTAGGTATTTTAGATTATACATATGTATATCTCTTTCTACATACAATATATACAGATTATATACTGGCACTGCCAAGACACAGAAAATAGTAATGTGCAGGCATGTCATAGTTAAGTATGTGGTGGGAACACATGAGTCCTTTTATGTGCCTATATTCTGGGATGTTAATTTCATTATTTGGAACGTCTGCTTTTCACACTCAAGCAGGTGCAAACTAACGTTTTATTTGATTTTTTTCGAGACAGTCTCGCTCTGTTGCCCAGGCTGGAGTGCAATGGCACAGTGCAACCTCCGCCTCCCAGGTTCAAGTTATTCTTCTGCCTCAGCCTCCCGAGTAGCTGGGATTACAGGTGTGTACCACCATGCCTGGCTAATTTTTTTTTTTTTTTTTTTTTTTGAGACGGAGTCTCGCTCTGTTGCCCGGGCTGGAGTGCAGTGGCACGATCTCGGCTCACTGCAAGCTCCACCTCCCAGGTTCACACCATTCTCCTGCCTCAGCCTCCCGAGTAGCTGGGACTACAGGCGCCTGCAACCACGCCCGGCTAATTTTTTGTATTTTTAGTGGAGACGGGGTTTCACCGTGTTAGCCAGGATGGTCTCGATCTCCTGACCTCATGATCTGCCTGCCTCAGCCTCCCAAAGTGCTGGGATTACAGGCGTGAGCCACCGTGCCTGGCCTAATTTTTGTATTTTTTGATAGATGGGGTTTTGCCATGTTGGCCAGGCTGGTCTCAAACTCCTGACCTCAGGTGATCCGTCTGCCTCAGCCTCCCAAAGTGCTGGGATTTGAGGCGTGAGCCACCACACCCGGCTTGATCATTTTTTATTGGAACATTTATTTGTCTTTAAGATTTGGGGAAATTTGGTTTGTAGTCATTGTGCCAAAACCTTGTGAAGAGACAGTTGCCGCGTGTTCCTGTACACTGTGCTTCAGCAGTGTTCGGAATGGATGGTTCAAGACCTTCTAGGCTTTCTGTGTTTGCAGTGTGCTCTCTCCCCCAGTGATTTGTCACAGCATCCTCATGACAGATTTAGGAGAAGGGGGTAATCTTTGTCTGACGTGACAAATGAGAGAAGGAACAGTGTTAAAATTGGAGCCATAGTTGGCTGGGTATGGTGGCTCATGCCTGTAATCCCAGCACTTTGGGAGGCCGAGGCGGGCGGATCACGAGTCAGGAGATCGAGACCATCCTGGTCAACATGGTGAAACCCCGTCTCTACCAAAAATACAAAAATTAGCTGGGCGTGGTGGCACGTGCCTGTAATCCCAGCTACTCTGGAGCTGAGTGAGGCAGGAGAATCCCTTGAACCAGGGAGTCGGAGGTTGCAGTGAGCCAAGATAGCACCGTTGCACTCCAGCCTGACGACAGAGCGAGACTCCATCTAAAAAAAAAAAAAAAAAAAATTGGAGCCAGTTATTTGCCTCTGTTTTCTTTTCTCCTGTACTTCCGGTCTGTCACAGGGACACTAGTTCTTCATAAATGCATTTCCTCACTAATTCTCAAACAGCTGTTTGGGTGACATTGCTGAAATGTGTATACAAAACATAAACACAGCACCCAAATGTGAGGACTGTTTCCTTTAACATGATTATAAAACAAGAGAAACTGAAGTTGACTACAGAGTCAATTCTGAAGCCCAGTCATACAACTAGAAAATGATTGAAAAGATAACTGAAATTTGTTGAATTTAATATGCTAAATAAAATATTAAGGCTTTCAGATAAGTCAATGAAGTTATACATTTAAATGTTTAGAAAGAGAATTGTAAATGTCTGTTTAGTAAGAATTAGAAAAAGTTCCAGTCTGAGCAGCAGGGAGTGTTCCCTGGTAAATTTCACAAGTTGAAATAGACTCATAACCTACCTTTATAGAATAGCTGAGTGTTCCGTGATCTCATGTAGTTTAAAGAAGATGTGTTTGTAATGGTATAGGAAACATAGAAAATAATGCATTTTGATATAAGAAAATCACGGTATGGTTGGACACATACATTAATGTACACGAGGCACATTGTTTTTTAAAATGGGATGGGCTTGTGTTGACTTGATGAAAATGCAAATTGGTATAGCTATAAGGTGCTGGTTTTCATGATACATTTTAGGAAAATGATGACTTAGATATTAGGTTATTTTGGGGAGAGAATGAAATTTTTTTGTAAGTGATAGAATTTCAGATACTAAAACTACTAATCTTACCTTTGAGTCATGAAAATAATGGATATTGTATTAAATAAGTTTAAGGTACCTCCTTAGATATACAAAGGAACTACCAACTTTGAATGCTTTTGGCTGAATTTTAACATTTTTATTGATGAGCCTTAGAAGAAATACTTGAACACATATATTGATATTTAGTTGCCAGCTAGTTTAGAAAAAGCTACAGTGAAATGCCAGAGTAACTTCTGACTTTAAGTTCCAAAGTTCCATTGGTTAGGGAGATTGTTTTCATAATTTATAATTTCCAGGAAAAGGGGAAAATATATATTGACAGAAACTCTGGTTGGAAGAAATTTTATGGAACCGTTGCCTGGAAGAGTAGTGGGAGTTTTGAATCTTAAGATGACACCAGAAAAACTTAATGATTTAGATTAATTAAAGAGACCTTCCATGCTGGCAAAATGCAGACAGAAGTTTTTTTTATTTTAGTTTTATAAAAGTACTTTATATAGCAATGCTTTCTTTATTTCATCCAAGTAACTTCCCAGACCTTCCACCTGTTCCAGTTTCATTTTGTCTGCCTTTGTTCCTGTTCACTGTCATTGATCTATATATTCGTATAAGAATTTCATATAGTTTCCTGTCTGACTATACTGTAAGAAGTAACCTAAGAATATGTTGTTATATAAATTCAAGTTTTAGGATAGAGCATAACTGTATATGAGCCAATGCATTTTTAAAAAGTATTTAACTCTTTCAGTAAAGTGTTTCTTCCTTTCAGGCAGTGTTTAAAAATTAGTATCTTTCAATCTAAGGAGTCATTAATAATTTTAAATTCCCCTTTCTTATAGTAGTGGTTCACACCTGGTTTTCTAGTGAGGGTAAGAGGTGAAGCTATGACATTGGAGCATCTTCTAGAGAGGTTATGTGGGCAGGGAGAAGAGTCAGAGTCCACCAGGAAACAAAGGTGTAGTCCCATCTCTGTTACTCTCTTGCTGTAGGACGTTGGGGAAGTCACATACCACCCCGCCACCTCCACAATTTCCTCACCTCTGAAGTGAGGAGATCATTGCAAATCCAATTAGCTCCAATATTTTTTGGTTTTCAAACCTATCTTAAACAGTAGAATTCATTCTTGAAGAGAAATTCTGTCACCTGTGGAGCTTTCGGGCATGAAGGTGAGGAAGCCTGGCTGTGCTTGTGAGCACGGGGCTGCCGTCCTTTTCCACGCCTTGGCCTCTTGCTGGTGTGGCTGGGCACAAAGAGCCCTCCACCCGGCCTTATAAGTGACTGTTTGTTTGCTTTAGGGGCTATCAACAGCAGGACGCCCATGAATTCATGCGCTACCTTTTGGACCACCTACACTTGGAACTTCAGGGCGGTTTCAACGGTGTTTCCCGCTCAGCAATTCTGCAGGAGAATTCTACTCTGTCTGCAAGTAACAAGTGTTGCATGTAAGATTTAGTTGCCTTCTGTTTTTTAGGAGGGCCTCAGACATTTCTTTTGGTGTTAATTATGTGTTAGATTTATAACGGAAGGTAGAGGGGTTTCTTGGACATTTGCTGGAACTTTTCGTGCCCTTGAACTTTGTGACCCAGTGAACTAGCACATACCTCTTGCTTCTAGACCAGAGGCATCTTGTATTTGCATCCTGATTTAGTTCTGACTGTGATTAATTGGTATAGATTATTTTAAATTTTGAAAAAATAGAAAATATTTGTACAGTTCAGCATTTAGAAGATTTCCTCCAAATATACTGAATGATAGGCAGGAGACTTAATTTTCATATACCAAAATAATATTTGTTCACTAAAAACAAAAGCTTAAAACATTTTGAATGTGAACTTTCCTAAAGCTTCATTATGGACTTGAACTTTCCTAAAGTTTATCTGTTCTTTAATGAAATCGAGGCATTTGTAAGTTCTCAGAAGTTTTTCTTGCCTCTCAATATGAATAAAACAAAGCTTTTGGATTGCTTTCCCATGTACTAGCAGCCCCCAAGTATACACTGAGATCAGGACACTTATTTTGCTTGAAGAAGGGAAGATTTAATGTTATTTTAGCCTGGATTTTGGTCAGTTGCAGCCTCCTTTGTTCAAATGTTTTGAAAAGTTTCATCAGTATTGAGCTTCATGGGAGAGATTTACAAGAAGACAAACTCCCCCCAAACAGAGAGAAAACAGTAAGTAACATATAGGTGTCATTGTATTGCCTGGCAGTCCATAAATCGGATGTGGTAGGACTACTTCTTTTTAATGGCAAAACAGGCTTATAGCTAACCAAGCAGTGTTAGAAAAGGGCAACCAATGTGAATTGCCATACTTCTCAAAATGATTGTCCCTCTAGGTCCTAGTAGCTGTGATTCCAATTAGAATCCAATATAGAAAGGGAAGGACCTGTGACCTGGGAGAATTGTTCTTCCTGCTAGCACCAAATTAAAAAGTATTAAATGAAAAATTCTGTTTTGTATTTTATCATGGCATATTCATCCACAAAGGATATTGAACTGGGCACTATCATGGATAGGCTGTGTGAGGTGAGAGAGGGTATATGTCTTTATGATTTTACATGATGCCTGGGCACCCTGTGGAATCACACTGTGTAATACTCAGAATGTTCTTTTAGTGCCTCATGAGTTTTCAGGATTAATCTATCCCTTTTCATGACATTTTAAAGATTAGGATTGCAAGTTTTATTACTGAGTTAGGGACAGAAACCAAACATTATCAAATATTAAAAATTCAGATTTCCTTCAGTGCATTGGAAAAGCCATTTCAGGATCTAAGAATATTTGCTACAACTAGAAAAAGGTATCTTGTGCAATGTCTTTGTTGACTTGTGCACACACACACCTACCCCTACTGAAGGTGAAGGTGAGGACGGTGGTATGGAAGAAATAAGTGGCAGATGTGATCTTTATAGCACATAGGAAATCATTAGTGCCAGCTAAAGGACCCTAGAATCATAAGAGCCTATCCAATAAGTATTCAATATTTAAACAGTTGTGGTTATAATAAATGAAACTCATTTTTAATATTAAGTCATGGTATATATGAAACTTAATATTAAACATGTCAGGCAGCTAAAATCTTGATGAGTATCCATTTCCCAGAGGAAGTGATTACAAGGAAGAACTACATTGAGTCTAAATGTAATTCTTAATGAAGCAGTTTCCATTTTAATTAAAGGCAAACTTGTATGTGAACATCAGCATGAAAGGGTCAGTTAGAGTCCCTTCATTTTCAGCAGGGTTTTGTTTTTTTTTTTGCTATGTCCTTTTTTAGTGACACAGATATTAAACCTAAAGCTGAAATGGCCACTAGGTCCTACAGCTCCCAATCCTTCTTCCCCAATGCCATCTTTTAAAAAAAAATTTAAGACAATATGTCTTACAAACAGTACTTTAAAAAGTAATAATAAAGTTACAGCCTATTTATTTTGTCAGTAAAGGAAGGAAGCCTTTTCCTAGAAAAGGAATCAAACTTTTCAAATAGAATTGCTCGAGTAGGTTTTGTCATCATTGCAGTAGGTTTAACTTAAAGTGGCCTAGAAAATACACTTCAGTGTTTAGGAGTAATTGATTCAAGTGACAGAAACTACCTTATATTGCTATTAGCAAAAAAGAGCGTGTATTGGCTCAAGTAACTCCGTAAGTGCACGAAGGCTAATAGACAAGTGTTCATGTAGTACTATTAATGATAGCAAACAATTGAAAGAGCTGTGTTAAGAACAGATATTCAGGCCAGACCAGCAGTATGACCTTGGACTAACTTAACCTCAGCGTCCTCATCTACAACATGGGGCTAACAGTAGCTACTTTACAGGTGTGTTGTGAAGATTAATTGATTGACTAGATGGAAAGAATGTGCTTGGAATGGAGCCTGCGTGTAGTAAGTGCTATTATAAGTGCCTACTACTCCTGGTCTCACTGGTACGCTTTCTCAGTAGTTCTTGCTTCCATTGTATGTCCATACTCTGACACACAGTGGGGCTGTCAGGAAGAATGAGGTACCTGTTTAAGATACACACTTAGGGAAAAACATAAAAGTAAGAAGCAGGTGTAATCTGACTTCATACTAATAAAATAGTGGCAAACACTTTAAGTGCTTTATTTTTGGTAAGTGCTCTTCTAAAAGCACTTCACATACACAACTCTCTCATCTACACACTGAGCCTCTGTGGTGGGTACTCTTCCTGTATTCCTGTTTTATATCTGATGGAGCAGAGGCATAAAAAGGTTAAATAACATTAGGGCAGGTGGTTTTGAAAATCGTTCTTAAAACAGTATATTCTTCATCTCCACAAGGAAATTATTTGCAATATTAAGTGAGCTTTTTAAAAAGTGTTCTCCGCAGTAATATCCAGAATTTTCAATTGTGAAGTCTTACTTCCAGCAGTAATTACTAAATCTGTATTAAATTCCTTTACTTCCTTTTCCCCAAATCTGACAGATGGCTGTATAAAAACTCTAAAACTATCTCAGATCAAGGATGTTCAAAGTCAAGTAATTGTGAGAGTTCCCTGTAATGTAAGAGGCCTTGCAAAGATTCCAATACAAGGCAGTTTCATCCTTTTGAGGCCTAACTTGGGGAGGAAATGGAAGGAGTCATGTTGCCCTGTGCAGAGTCATGCATGTGATCTGTGTTATGATAGCAAATGGCCAGTGTTAGTTACTCTTGGGGAAAGTAGTGGGATTGGATGAGGGCATTGGGGGAGGCCAGTGTAGCTTAAACCTTTTATTTAGTATGTGTCTGTATGGTTTTGAAATTTTTATATTATTTTTTAACTTAGAAATAAATGACTTAAATATTCCCTCAAAGGCAGTCATCTGTAGGGGCTTTAACAAATATTTGTAGTTTTTTAAATGTCAAAGAGATGGCTTCTTACTGAGATATTTTCCTGTGTGGTGATTTTGTTTAGAAATGGAGCATCTACTGTTGTCACGGCTATATTCGGAGGCATTCTCCAAAATGAGGTTAACTGCCTCATATGTGGGACAGAATCTAGAAAGTTTGATCCATTCCTAGGTAAGATATATGTGGCATGTGGATATATAATATTTTATTAAAATAAATTTAATGTTTCCTTCAAAAAATAAGTGTAAAGAGAAATCTAGAAATACATCAGTTTGTGAAATTATTTTGAATGGACATATATGCCTTTAACAGCTCTCTGTTTACCTCTCTCTCCTTTTAAGACCTTTCATTAGATATTCCAAGTCAGTTCAGAAGTAAGCGCTCTAAGAATCAAGAAAATGGACCAGTTTGTTCGTTACGAGGTAAAGATACTTGAATGTTCTAAAAATTTTTTTCTTTAAATAATTGAATAGATTGATAAGCTTCATCTATATGTGGTATCTTTAATTAATATCTTTAATGAATCTGTGTTGTAACTTAACAAAAGTCAAACTTGAATGTCTTTTCCTACTCCCCAAAATGTTATTGAATAAGAATGTGTGCCATAAGATATTGTGTGAAGCATAAAATATTTCTCACCTTTTTCTTCTTTGAAATACTGACTTTAAAATAGAAGGTCTGTAGCAAAAGTTTTTCTGACCAAATGAAACAGAAGTTATTCTGTGGTTATCCCACTAGCATCTATAGGAAGAAAGAATACTCAGCAGAGTTTTATAAATTATAGTATTACGTATTCTGTTGCCTAATAGTTTGAGAAATCTATGGATGATACAACTGCTGCTTAAGCCTGAGGCCCTGCTTTTAAGACTGTTAAAATTCACATGTATTTAGGGAGATTTGAACATATTTTTTGCTTGATGAGTACTAGCTACTGTAATCAAGGCAGAAGACCTTATTTAAAATTTTATCCTAGACCATAAGTGTACAGACAGGTCACAATTAAAATGACTAATTGTTCTTGCTAGTTATATAAAGAAGCTAGGATAGACCAAAGAGGCCGAGTCTGTATTTTATCAGAAACTCTACACTGAAGCTAACAGTTTCTACTCTGATTTGTATGTTCACTAAAAGTAATGCTCTTTTCTCTTCTCTATTTTAGGGAGTATTGTCATGATGGTTTTTTTTTTTTTTTTTTTTTACAAAACAAACTGCACTGTCCAATATGATAACCACGAGTCATGTAGCTATTAAAATTAAATTAATTAAAATTTAAAATTCTGTTGCTTAATCACACTTGAACCACATGTGCTCAGGAACCACATGTGGCTAGTAGGGGGCTCCTGCATTAGACAGCACTACCCTAGGATCAGATTATCCTAGTAGAAATAAAACTTTTGTTGGAGAAGGGCTAGGCTTCTCTGTGCTACTGGCATTCTATGTAATGTGAGGCATTTGGCTTATTAGAAGCAGCAGAGGTCTCAGACACTTGTAGCACTGTTGCTCAGGTCGTTTCTAGAAATCTGTCAGATGATATGTGGGATGACTAGACTACACTCCAGTAAGGAACCAGAGCAACTCTGTATATGAAACATTTTGTAGATGCTCTTAGTTTGTTCCTTACCTACACAACCAGTGTTGATTGTCTCCTTAACAGGAATACAGAAGAAAAAGCCCCACTCCACTTCTCTGCAAAATATATGGCTCTAGTATGTGTCTCCAAAACTGTTTTTGGCCTGTTTGAGATTAAGAAAATATCACAGTATGCTTGATATTGTCAAATGTCACACATTTTCTCTTTATATCTAGGGCATGTGAGTACATGCTAACTTAACCATAAATATCTGAATATCTGGTTATTTACAGTGGAAGTCAGTGAGAATTAAATTAAAGGAATTAGCCTCAAACTGTATCATTTTATAAACTCTTCAATAAGAACAGTAATAATCACATTAGTTTAAAAACTGTTCCTCGCTATAAATACATGGATATATATCTGAACAATACTTTTTTTTTTTTTTTTTTTGAGACCGAGTCTTGCTCTGTCGCCCAGGCTGGAGTGCAGTGGCGCGATCTTGGCTCACTGTAACCTCCGCCTCCCAGGTTCAAGTGATTCTCCTGGCTCAGCCTCCTGAGTAGCTGGGACTACAGGCGTATGCCACCACACCTGGCTAATTTTTGTATTTTTAGTAGAGACGAGGTTTTGCCATGTTGGCTAGGCTGGTCTTAAACGCCTAACCTCAAGTGATCCACACCCCTTGGCTTCCTAAAGTGCTGGGATTACAGGCATGAGCCACCGCACCCAGCCTGAACAGTACTTTCTGATGTTTAACAAAACTTAGTAAATCCAGATGATCTTTGGCTAGAAGACTCAGAGACACTAGTTTGTTTAGGCTTCTTTCCTTGCTTCCTTCCTTTTTTCTATGTTGTTTCCCTCATTCTGAGTTGGTTCTATATGTAGTTCTTATTGACTTTCATAACATTTCAGTTACGACTTATCCCAGAATAGTTTAATATCAAGCAGAGTCTCACTTCTCGAGCCCATCCAGGAGGAGAGTGCATGACACAGCTTATAGATGGCTGATTTTTCCCCAAACAAGAAAAGTGGCAAGTGGCATCTGCCTTGCATCCCACGGAGTATTTTTCTTGGCACAGAATCCTTGAAATCTGATGTGACTGGTATTAGCTTCAGGGGGCCCAGACCATCCCAAGTAGTTTAGGGTTTGGCTGGAAACATGTTTCCTGTATTCTCAGCTGGCTTTCGTTTGAATCCTCAGGCTTGATTTTTATTTAAGAGCTTATTGTCGGCTTTAAAAAGTCGATGACAGGGTCTGGTACCTCCTCACTGTGTTTTTGTTGACCACCCTTATCATTAAGGGCACTTCTCTTCTTGGACATCCAGAATGTCATGGACTTCAGTTGACTGATACACCTTTCTTTATTTACTGGAGATGGAGACTTGTGATTACCTAGTATGTCTTCTACGTGCTTTGAGTCCACCTGGCAAGAACTACTTGTGTACTTTTTGGATTTGTAATTGTTAAGCTTAGTTTTCCTTTAGAAAGGAAAAGTGATGGTGAGAAAGACCCATCTTAAATAACTTAAGTAACTTTTGAAATTAACTAAAAATACGCATATTGCAAAAGGCATTAAATAACCCCAGTTCTAAAACCTGACAGATACCATGAAAAAGAAAATGTAGTTTGATCTCACTTATATTATAGATCGAAGAATCCTAAATAAAGTATTAGCAAATACAACTCAGCAGTGTACTAAAACAATAATATTCAGAGATCAAATAGGACTGATTTAATACTAGAAATATAATTAGGTGAAAACAAATCAAAATGCCCTAATAGGCCAAATGCCTAGGCACAGTGGCTTATGCCTGTAGTCCCAGCACTTTGGAAGGCTAAGGTGGGAGCATTGCTTGACCCCAGGAGTTTGAGACCAGCCTGGGCAACATAGTGAGACCCTGTCTGTACAAAGAAAAGAAGGCCGGGCGTGGTGGCTCACGCCTGTAATCCCAGCACTGTGGGAGGCCAAGGCAGGCGGATCATGAGGTCAGATCGAGACCATCCTGGCCAACATGGTGAAACCCCGTCTCTACTAAAAATACAAAAATTAGCTGGGCATGGTGGGGAGTACCTGTAACCCCAGCTATTTGGGAGGCTGACCCAGGAGAATAGCTTGAACCAGGGAGTCAGAGGTTGCAGTGAGCTGAAATCGTGCAACCGCACTCCAGCCTGGTGACAGAGCGAGACTCCGTCTCAAAATAAATAAATAAAATAATAAGAAAAATTAACTGGGCATGGTGGTATATGCCTATAATCCCAGCTTCTTGGGAGGCTTAGGCAAGGAGGATCACTTGAGCCCAGGAGTTGGAGGCTGCATTGAGCCTGCACTGCTCCTGTACTCTAGGCCTGGGTGAGAGAGTGAGACCCTGCCTCAAAAAAAAAAAAAAAAAAGTCCAAATAGATACTGATAAAATCCCAAATATATTACTGATTAAAAGGAGAAGAAAGGGGTGGGTGCAGTGTAGTCCCAGCACTTTGGGAGGCCAAGACGGGCAGATCACTTGAGGCTAGGAGTTCGAGACCAGCCCTGGCCAACATGGAGAAACCCCATCTCTACTAAAAATACAAAAATTAGCCAGGTACGGTGGCATGTGCCTGTAGTCCCAGCTCCTCGGGAGGCCAAGGCAGAATAATGGCTTGAACCGGGGAGGGAGGTTGCAGTGAGCCGAGATCGTGCCACTGCACTCCAGCCTGGACAACACAGTGACACTCTGTCTCAAAAACAAAGAAAAGAAAAAACTTTTATTAGGAATAGAAATGTTAACTTGGCCAGGCGTGGTGGCTGAAGCCTGTAATCCCAGCACTTTGGGAGGCCGAGGCGGGTGGATCACGAGGTCAGGAGATAGAGACCATCCTGGCTAACACGGTGAAACCCCGTCTCTACTAAAAATACAAAAAAAAAAAAAATTAGCTGGGCATGGTGGCAGGCATCTGTAGTCCCACCTACTCAGGAGGCTGAGGCAGGAGAATGGTGTGAACCCGGGAGGCAGAGCTTGCAGTGAGCCGAGACGGCGCCACTGCACTCTAGCCTGGGCGACAGAGCAAGACTCCGTCTCAGAAAAAAAAAAAAAAAGAAGAAAAAAAAAAGAAATGTTAACTTGATGACAATTATTCATTAAAAGCTATCAGTGATCATCATAGTTAATGGTGAAGCACTGATGATTTTCCAGTAAGGCCAGGAATAAGCCAGGAGGCCTACTGAAATATTGCTCAGATGTCTTCTGGAGGAACAAGGCAATAAACTAGGAAAAGAAATAAGAATAAATTATAGAATGACCAAATTATTAACATTTGCAGGCAGATTGATTATATACCTAGAACATTTCAGGATAATCAGTTGGAAAATTACGAGAAATATTAACAACTATTGCCATGGAGAGTGAGACTAGGCAGGAGGACACCTGCTTTTCTAGAAGCCCTCAATTTTTAAAAAATCAAACACAAGTAATACTTTGATAAATATATTATAAACATGGAGCTAAAAAGTTCAGGCAAAAAGCCAGCTGGCTTTCTGTATGTAGCAAAATAATCTATTCACAGTAGCAATAAAAACTCAAAAGTACTTAATAAATTTAATAAGGAATATGCAATACTTTAATAAAACATTATAAAAGGACAGATAAAGCCTGAATAAAAAGAGCCACATCATATTCTTGGATGGGAAGACCCAATATGGTAGAAATGTCCATTTTCTCCCAAATTACTCCCTACATTTATTCTGATTTATTCAAAAATTCCTCTGTACGCAGAAATTCTCAAGAAGAGCTAAAGAAGTTTCTAAAATGAAAGTAAGGTAGAAACATAGCAGTGGGATAGGAAATGTCCTAGAACTACTAATATAGAGCAGGTGCTAATGTAAAATATTTATGCAAATTTACAATATGCCAAAGAATGTCAAATCAGTGGGACGAATAAGAAATTAGGCAATAAATGGTGTTAGTGTAAATGAAAATTAATTTGGGAAAACATTAATTTCCTCCCTGCCTCATATCCTTTCCCTGATTAATTTGAGGTTTCAATATTTAAATGTGAAACATAAAACCACAGGACACTATAGGAAAGCATCTTTATTATGATCTTGTCATAGGGGAGAGCTTTCTAAGCCAGAACCTATAATGGGAAACGTTTCATAAATTTAATTGAGCAATGGTAAAAGACCATAAACAAAGTGGAAAAGAGATGATAAACTTGAGACAAATATTTGGACATATATGAAAAAGGTGACTTGGGCAGAGTACATGAGTAAGATATAAATGATCATTATAACATCTAAAAAGTGTTAATCCTCACTTATATTCAAGAAAATGTAAGTAAAACAAGATTGGTGAAAAGGGTAAAGATGGATGTCAGTGGAAGAGGACACTCGTGTTGTTGTTATAAGTCTAAATTGGCATGGTTGTTTTTGGAGGTAGTGATCACCATTTTTAATAGGCATTTCCTTAGACATACTAATTTCACTTACAAGGGTGGACAATAGTATGTGTAAAAGATTTTAAACACTTTGTTATTGAAAAAAATCAAACAATTTAAATGTCCACCAGTAGGGCACTGGTTTAATAAATTGCATTATGTGGCAATTAAGAAAGATAAAGTTGACCAGTAACTATGCCATAGAAACATAGCTACAAAATATTGTGTAGTAAAAAACTGTCCATGGAAATATGTGTGTGGAATAATTCCATTTGTGTAAGATAAAAAACATTTATATGAGTGTTAAAATTCTTAAACAGCATACACTGTGCTGTTCACAGTGATTATCTCAGGGAAGTGGGATTCAGGAGGGAAATGGAACTATGAATTATTTTTTTCATTTGTTTTAACCGATGTGTGTCACCTTTATAATACCTATTTGGGGGATAGTAAAAAATGCATATTAACTTAATGTATACTTCCAAACTACTGCTTTGCTAAATTAAATTTATATAGTATATAAAGTTGACCTAATAACTAACTTCAACAAACCAGCTTTATTTCCTGCTTTCCATAGAGATGCTGTTTTAACAGTTTATATCATGTGGAAGACTGACGGTTGTGAAATACATGCCCTGAAATCTTTGAGAATCTTAAGAGTTTCAGAAAGTGGTGCATATATATATGAATATATAATATATATATGAATATATAATATATATGCATATATACTTATTTTAATATTTATATAAATATATATTTTTTCTTTTAGGAAATGCAGTAAAGTACAAATGAAATATTAAGCAGCTTCCTCAGATCCTTACTGAAATGTGAACACTGGATAGCTAGTAGACTCTTTTTGAGATGGAGTCTTGCTCTGTCACCCAGGCTGGAGTGCAGTGGCACAATCTTGGCTCACTGCAACCTCCACTTCCCAGGTTCAAGCGATTCTCCTGCCTCAGCCTCCCGAGTAGCTGGGATTGCAGGCACGAGCCACCATGCCCAGCTAATTTTTGTACTTAATAGAGATGGGGTTCACCATGTTGGCCAGGCTGGTCTCAGACTCCTGACCTCGAGTGATCTGCCTGCCTCGGCCTCCCAAAATGCTGGGATGACAGGCGTGAGCCACCGTGCCTGGCTGCTAATAGACTCTTTACAGGCCATATAATTCACTTCCACATGTGAGCTCTGAGGTGAAATTCACACTCATGCTGCTGCAAAATATTAAACTGAGGTACATTTCAGGGTCATTCAGGCTTTTCAAATAGTTAAAATAGCAGTTGCCAAATCTGTGAATGTTAAGGGTATGTTGTATCTAGATAGTCTTCCCCTTAAAGAAATATATTTCCATGTGTTTATATGTATGTTTGTGTTGGTTTTTGTGTGTGTGTGTGTGTGTGTGTGTGTGTGTGTGTGTGTGTGTGTGTGTGTGTGTTTAGATGGAGTCTTGCTCTGTTGCCCAGGCTAGAGTGCAGCGGTGCAATCTTGGCTCACTGCAACCTCTGCCTCCGGGTTCAAGCGATTCTTCTGCCTAAGCCTCCTGAGTAGCTGGGACTACAGGTGTGCAGCCACCACACCCGGCTAATTTTTTTTTTTTTTTTTTTTTTGGATTTTTGGTATAGACAGGGTTTCACCATATTGGTCTGGTCTCAAACTCCTGACCTCATGATCCACCTGCCTCGGCCTCCCAAAGTGCTGGGATTACAGGTGTGAGCCACTGTGCCCGGCCCATATGTTTGTTTTTTAAAAGACAGGGTCTCACTCTGTTGCCCAGGCTAGAGTGCAGTGGTGGGATCATGGCTCACTGCAGCTTCAACCTCTTAGTCTGAGGTGATCCTCCCACCTCAGTCTCCTGGGACTACAGGCACATGCTGCAATGCTTGTGTTTTTTGTATTTTTTGTAGACACAGGGTTTCACCCTTTTGCCCAGGCTGGTCTTGAATTCCTAGGCTCAAATGATCCTCCACCTCAGCCTCCCAAAGTGCTGGGATTACAGGCGTGAGCCACTATGCCTGGCCTGTATGTTTTAATAATGGTTTTCTTTATACATATGTTTATTGAAGAATTTGGAGAAAACTCAAAAAAGTAAAAAGAGGAACATATACATCCCTTATAAGCTTATCATTCAGACATACTGTAGTTCAGAAATTTTATGTTTAGAAACTGTGATTTAAAAGTTGATTTTTAGGGCCGGGTATGGTGGCTCATGTCTGTGATCCCAGCACTCTGGGAGGCTAAGGATTACAAATAGGCATTAGGTTTCTGGGGATGCTCAGGTAACTTTTTAAAACCCATGAAGAGATGACAGTGGTAGTGGAGATTGTTCTCTACTAATCCAACTAGGGTTTACTATAATAGCACTTTCTTAGGGGAACTCCCCAGGAGGCCCTACTGGGCACACCAGTCTCCTTACCTTCTGCTTTGGCTGTGATCCTGAGGATGTCCCCACCTCTTGGCAGGCAGTACCAAAAGGGAGAACAGAGAGGGGTTCTCAAGGCAGTTAGGGCCACCATTTTTTAAACTGAGGGTTTGAAAAACCAGGCTCAGCTTATATTGCCTCTTTATGAATCATCTTATGGGCCTGACCTGATCATGTCTATTCCTTTTTGGTATCTCATGTGGTCTTAGAAGAAAAGGACTAACTTTCCATTATCTTGTGCATAAATCAGCAGGGAGACCACTACATGGTCACCTTGTAAGTTTAAGCAACTCAAAAAGGCAGGGAGGAAGAAAATGTTGGAAAGCAAGAAGATGCTGGAAGATGCTGGGAGAAGGCATAAAGAGCCTCCTTTGCATTGGAGAGAAGATGAGGACAGGAAGGAAGGCTGCGAGAGGTGCTTTGGTTTCAGAAAAGGAGCAGGGTGATGGCAGGGGCTTTGCCTGGCAGGTAGAAGGAACAAGAGAGCAGTCTAGTATTTATGTGCATTTCACATAAATGCAGATGAGTTACTGTGAAATGTTGATAGATTCTTTCAGTAATCTCAGTGCTCCTCAGGGTATCAAATTCCTGAAATTAAAGCTTCTAAACAGTTACTAAAGGAGATTTAGAATACCACCTGCCAACTCAGTAGTAGCCCTCTGAATGACCCCATGCTTCCACACACGGGGAGACCCCTTCAGAAAGTGGGTCTGTACAGGTTAAATATAGGGGGGGGAAAAAGGCTTCTCTGCTGTTGAGGCATTTCTGCTTCTCAGTGTTGTGTGGCTAGGTAGCACAGGCAACAATGTCTTGCTGGTGAATCATAAACCATCTGGCTAATGGGATGGAGAGGCTGGAGTGACAGTATTTCAGAGTCATACTCTCCCTGCCTTCTTATTTGCCTGTGAAAGTTTCAAGCAGACATTGTCAATTAAAAAAAATGAGCTAGGCACAGTGTGGCTCATGCCTGTAATCTCAGCTACTGGGGAGGATTGCTTGAGCCCAGGAGTTTGAGGCTTCAGTGAGCTATTTTATACTCCAGCCTGCATGACAGAGGAAGAAGACCTTGTCTCTTAAAACAATTTTTTAAAAAATTGTGGTAAAATATACATAGAATAAAATGTAACATTTTAAGTGTCTTAAGTGTGTAATTCAGTGGCATTAAGCACACCCAAAATATTATACAACCATTACTACTTGTAAAAATTTTTGTCATCCTAAACAGAAACTCTGTACCCATTAAACAGTAACTCATTACTTTTCCTCTCTTGTTCCCAGTAACTCTTATTGTATCCTCTATGAATTTGTCTATTCTAGGCACCTCATATAAGTGGAATCATACTATATTTATCCTTTTGTGATTGGCTTAACTTAGTGTATATTCAGGGGTCATCCATGTTGTAAGCATGTCTCAGAATTTACTTCCTTTTTGAGGCTTAATATTCTCTGGTATGTATAGACTACATTCTGTTTATCCATTCATCTGTTGACGACACTTGGGTTTTTCCCACCTTTTGGCTATTATAAATAATGCTGCTATGAACACTGGTGTAGAAGTATCTGAGTTCCTGCTTCCAGTTCTTTTGGGTATATACCTAAGAGTGGAATCGCTGAATCATAATTCTGTTTAACTTTCGGAAGTACTGCCAAACTTTTCCACAGTGGCTGTACCATTTTACATTCCCACCAGCAAGGTACAACGGTTTTGTTTTTTTTTTTTTTTTTTTTTTTGAGATGGAGTCTCGCTCTGTCGCGCAGGCTGGAGTGCAGTGGCATGATCTCAGCTCGCTGCAACCTCCACCTCCCAGGTTCACGCCATTCTCCTGCCTCAGCCTCCCTAGTAGCTGGGACTACAGGCACCCGCCACCATGCCCGGCTAATTTTTTGTATTTTTAGTAGAGATGGGGTTTCACTGTGTTAGCCATGATGGTCTCGATCCTCCTGACCTCGTGATCTACCCGCCTCGGCCTCCCAAAGTGCTGGGATTACAGGTGTGAGGCACCGCACCCAGCCGGTACAAAGGTTTTAATTTCTCCACTTGCTAGCTAACACGTTATTTTCTGCTTTTGTTTTTGTCTTTTAAATAACAGCCATCCTAGTAACTGTGAAGTAGTATCTCACTATGGTTTTGATTTGCATTTCCCTAGTAATTGTGATGTTGAGCATCTTTTTATGTGTCTGTTGGTCATTTGTGCCTCTTTGGAGAAAAGTCTATTAAAGTCCTTTCCCCATTTTTGAATCAGTTTGTTGCTGAGTTTTAGGAGTTCTTCATATATTGTGGCCATTAATCCCTTATCCAGATACATAATTTGCAAATATTTTTCTCCCATTCTGTGGTTCTCTTTATAGTATCCCTCAATACACAATTTTTTAATTTTGATAAAGTTCAGCTTATCTATTTTTTCTTTTGTTGCCTGTGCTTTGGGTGTCATATCAAAATCATTGCCAAATCTAATGTCATGAAGCTTTTCCCCTACATTTTCTTCTAAGAGTTTTATAGTTTTAAGACTTATGTTTAAGACCTTTGATCTATTTAAATTTTTGTATATGGTGTAAGAGTCCAACTTAATTCTTCTGCATGTTGATACCTAGTTTCCCCAGCACCATCTTTTGAAAAGATTGTCCTTTCCCCATTGAGTAGTCTTGTCATTCTTGTCAAAAATCAGTTGACTATATAGTAAGAGTTTTTTTCATTGGTCTGTATGTCTGTCCTTATGCCAGTGCCATCCTGTTTTGATTACTATACCTTTGTAGTAAGTTTTAAAATTGAAAGTATGAGTCCTATAACTTTGTTGTTCTTTTTCAAAATTGTTTTGGCTATTCAGGATTCCTTGAGAGTCCATGTGAGTTTCAGGATGGGTTTTCTATTTCTGCAGAAATTTCTATTGGGATTTTGAGAAGAATTGCATTGGATCTGTAGATTGCTTTGGGTAGTAATAATCATGTTAACAACATCAAGTCTTCCAGTCTATGAATGCAGGATGTCTTTAAAAATTTCTTTCAGCAATGTTTTGTAGTTTTCAGGTATAAGTCTTTTGTCTCCTTAAATGTATTCCTAAGTACTTTATTCTTTTTGATGCTACTATAAATGGAATTATGTTAATTTCGTTTTTGGAAATACCTAACAATGAATACATTGTTAGTGTATAGAAATGCAGCTAATTTTTGTGTGTTGATTTTGTATCCTGTCTTTTCATTCCCTTGACAGTATCTTTTACAGAGCAAAAATTTTTAATTTTAATGAAGTCCAACTTATAAATCCTTCTTTCATGGATTGTGCCTTTGGTGTTGCATCTAAAAAGCCATTGCCAAATGCAAGGTCATCTGGATTTTTTCCTATGTTATCTTCTAAAAGTTTTATACCTTCAGTCCACTTTATTTGTTTTTGTGGAGGGTATAAAAGTCTGTGTCTAGAATTTTTTTTTTTTTTTTGGCATGTGAATGTCTTTCAATTTTGTTCTTCTTCAATGTTGTATTTGCTATTCTTGGTCTTTTGCCATTCCATAATAAACTTTAGAGTAATTTTGTCACCATCCACAAAATAATTTACTGGTTTGAGATTGCACTGAATCTATAGATGAAGTTGACATCAATATAGAATAAAACTGACATCAATAGTGAGTCTTCCTATCCATGAATACAGGATGTCTTTATGTCTTTTAAAATTTCTTTCAGCAACATTTTATAGCTTTCAGGTAGTTAACTTTTTAACTGTAGGGTTTTACATGAGATCATGTGATCTGTCAGCAGAGATAATTATACTTTTTCCTTTTCATTTTGGATGCTTTTTTCTTGCCTGATTGCTTTAGCTAAAACTTCCAATATTATGTTGAACAGAAGTGGCAAAAGTGAGCATCCTTGTCTTCCTGATCTTGGAGGCAAAGCTTTCAGTCTTTCACCATTGAGTGTGATATTCACTGTGGGTTTTCATATATGGCCTTTGTCATGTTGAAGTTCTCCTTTTTTCTAGTTTGAGTGTTCAAATGATGATTTTAAATGTGGAAAATTCTGTGTTTCCTTTCCTTATTTCTTATTCTCCCTATGACCCCCGCTGTCCCCGCCAAGGCCATAGCTTTTTACATGATGTAACAAATACTTGCTGAAGAAAGCACCCATGACTTCAGCTGCAGAGCTCACAAGCACCATAGTGATCAGTCTGAAGGGATTATTAGTGCCAGCCAGCCAGTCTGCTGTGTAGTCAGTGCTCTTTCTTTGTAGCCAGAGATGTAGGACTTGGGAGGCTCCTGAGAACAGCATCACTCTATTTGCAAGTTTGGTTGTAATGTCTGAGACTTGCTTCAGGAATTGTAATGTCAAAATATAATACATCCTTTCCCAGGAACCATCACTGACATAAAATAGCAGGTTGAGCAGGTTGGCAATGTAGTATTTGTGGGAAATTGAGGAAAGAATGGTTAACTGTCCACTGGAGGTTGAGAAAGTCTCAAAGAAGTGAGAATTGAATTGAGTTGCAGGGAGGCGAGAATTGAGTTGTAGGGAGGCAGGCATAGGAATGTGCCTTCTAGGTACTAGGATCAGGCAACAAAGGCATATTCAAGACTGTCTAGTCCTCTGCCACACCTTGCCTCCACTAACTTTCCCTGAAGGGGCGCTGTCTGCTACTGTCGCGGACACAAAGGCTGACTATGGCTTGGAAACTTGAGTACAGAGACAAGAGCGCTTTTCTGTACACAGCTAGGTTTCTGCTTGCTACCCAACTTTAATATATTATTTAAAGATACATACATGTTCTATAAAGACAAATGACATAAAAGTCAGGATAATGGCTACTTCTGGGCAGAGGAAGGGGAATTATCTTTGGTAAGAAGCACATGGCCACACAGGTTGTCCACTGCACAACTCTAGGAGAGGCCGTGCACAGAGACCCTGGCTCCTTGAGTACTCGAGAAAATCCAAGTGTGGGGTCCATAGGCATTCATATTTTTTCTACAGAATAACGTGTATTTTATATAGATTTATGAATATCTGATTGCATCAGGAATTGGCACAGGGGCCAAAGAGTAAATACAGTAAGTCTTCATTTAATGTCATCAGTAGGTTCTTGGAAACTGCAAGTTTAAAGCAAAATGACATACAGCAGGTCCTCCAATAATAGTTTCCTTTAACGTTTAGTTATAACATTGATGAGAAAAAAGTGGTTTATCGTTGCTTCACATAAGGTCACAATTTTCAAGAACCTGTCATGATATTAAGTGAAGATTTACAGTGTTTTAGGCTTTGCACCACATAAGGTCTCTGCCCCAGTGACTCAGTTTGGTGTAGTGTAAAAGCAGCCAGACAATAATGTAAACAAGTGGGCATGGCTCTGTTCCAATGAAACTTTATTTACAAAACCAGGTGGCTGGCTGGATGTTTTAGGACTGTAGTTTACTAAACCCCAGGTTACACAATTACATCTTTAAATGAAAAAAAATGTAGCTGTGATTTATCTAGGAACTGAGAGTACAGCGTCTGGACAGAGAAGGTTGATAGTGTAGCCTTCTGTGATCTATGTTTATTTTTAAATTATCTAAATTTGACTTTTTTTTATGAGTTTGGAGCTTTGTCCTGTATAATGTAACATATTGACAGAAAACTACAATTGAAACTTTAAATTCATCAGGAAACCATTTTATCAGAATTATCCAGATGAATTATCATTAATAGTAAAACCAACACAATTGATCATCACCAGATGTCAGGCATGATGCCAGGTGCTCTACACATTATTTCTCTTCCTTATAATAGTTCTTCAAAGTAGGTATTATTTTTTGTCTCCAGTTTGCAATTGAGAAAGGTTAACTTTTCTAAGGTCGTATAGCTAATAAAGCTGAGATTTTAAACCTGGGTCTTTTTTCTACAGTACATTGCCTCTACAAAAGGCATCTTGTTTTAATGCTGCCAAAATCAATTTGTTTAGATTGTCTTCGCAGTTTTACCGACTTAGAAGAACTTGATGAGACAGAGTTATATATGTGCCATAAATGCAAAAAGAAACAAAAGTCCACAAAAAAGTTTTGGATTCAAAAACTACCCAAGGTGAGTGTTGAATTTTGAGTTATGAAGCAATTTCAATGGGAAAGTGCTTGACTGCTAAGACCATGTCTATAACTTTACACTATGTGAACTGTTCTGTATTTTTCTCTAGGATTTTCAGTAAAAGCTAAACCCCTTACAGAATGAATGCATAAGGTATGCATGGAAGAATGATTGATAGGGCAGCTAAAATGTTATTTACTGAACTGATAGTAGTATCAAACTTTGACTGAAAGGTAAATTAGGTGTTCACAATCTTTGACCGCATCTCTGTCCTCCAGGTGCTATGCTTACATTTGAAAAGATTTCATTGGACAGCATATTTAAGAAATAAAGTTGATACATACGTAGAATTTCCACTGAGAGGCCTAGACATGAAATGCTACTTACTAGAGGTAAGGTGGTTACCTTTTTAGCATGGTGAAAAAATGGCTCTTCAGTAAGATTGTCATCACATGGAGAGGGTAGAGGTCATCGAGATACTGATGTCATTGACCACTGCTCCTTCTTCCTTGTTCTGTAGCCTGAGAACAGTGGCCCGGAGAGCTGCCTGTATGACCTCGCCGCTGTGGTGGTGCACCATGGTTCCGGGTGAGTACAACAGCCAGCTTCTGGTGGGTGGGAATACCTGGTGGCCAGCCCAATGACCTGCAGTTTTGTACCACTCTTGCTAGTTCTTCCTAAAAAATGGATTCAGATAAAGTAGGTGAAATTTCCTTCAGTTTTGGTGCGGAAGAGTACTCCTCAGATGATGTTGTGAAGGCTTAAGGGAAGGTAAATAAAAGTGAAATGAAGAATGGTTCATTTGAACCCAGTATTTACGACCCAGTCTTTATTTGTCCACAAACTCCAAAGTTGCTTATTCGTTTACCAACTGAAATTTAAATGGGGCAAAAGGGGAAATTACTTGGAATAACTTACTCCATATCATCTACTTTAAAGACTCATTTTAAGTCTTGTTAAAAAACATTAATTTTTTCCCCTGAAAGTTTGTATGAGGGGTCTAACCTTCTGGTTTTTGGTTTGAGAGTGGCTATTTTACCTTCAAACTTAAGACTACTATATGTGGGCAGACGACTATCCATGTTGAAAATCCTTTTCCCGCAGAGCTGTGATAAAGTAACGTCTACACTCACATAGTGTTATGAATGACAAGTCTGATTCTCACTACTTTACAGGCACCTGGCTTTTTTCTCCTTGGAGTGTATTCCTGCTTGGTAGTTGGTAGGGACACTTTTAATTTGGTGCCTTCAGCTCATGAAACTCTCTATACTGTAGGTCTGAAATCATTTGTTCTCTGTACCCCTATTATATGCATAGTGAATTTCCTGGATCTCCCTTCCACATGTCTTAAATACTCTAATGATTTCTGTCTGTGTTTCTAAAGACTGCCATGGCCTACTTTTCCAAATCACCAATTTGGGTTTCATCTGTATCCAAATAAAAGATAAGCTCCTCCATAAAATATTTATATTAAATCAGTCACATTTTTCTGACAACTTTTTCGTAACAGCCTATTCTTGTTTTATGATTGCACTATCTTTTTGAAACTATTAGCACTAATTTAAAAATGTAAAGTTCTCTTAGGTTTTCTGCATTCAATTCCTCAGGGTTGATTGCCTTGCTTGTTCTTCCCGGTATTTCTTTCCCCTCAAAAATGTGATTTTGTAGGCGTGCAAAAGGCTTGTTTTTAAAATTTGGTTTTGGTGGTTTATTTGGAATCATAGTAAATGATGAGATGGATCTTTATTATTTAAATAGGGTTTTCCTGGCACCTACAAAGGTCTGTTCTAGCTGCAGGCCTTCCGTCTGACTTGGAGGACTGACTCCAGGGTTGTGTGTGTGAGTGGGTGGGTCATGCTGATAGGGTAGAGCCCCTGATGACCACGGTGTCAGGGAAGGGTGCCCTTCTTTGTTAAGCTTAGTTTTTTCCTAAGATTCTGATGGGAAAACCTGGTACCTAGTTTTCCATGTTTCCGTAGGCTTTGACCTGTGCTTGTTAGGTTGCGAGTTCCTCATCTCTGTTTTCTCCATTAGTCCAGGGCCATCTGCTTTGTGTTCTAGCAAACCCTCGATTTCTGGTCAGTTTGGAGGAAGGTAAAAACATTAATTTAACAAGCATCTTAAATCAAAAGTCTAGGATGTATTCTTATTAAAATTTAAATCTAACATTATATAGTTGTACAGGTCTTTTTGTGATTTCTGAGGTTCTTTTTTCCTTTGGTCTTTTGCCTTTACAGGGTTGGTTCTGGACATTACACAGCATACGCAACTCACGAAGGCCGCTGGTTCCACTTCAATGACAGTACTGTAACACTGACTGACGAGGAGACTGTGGTGAAGGCGAAGGCCTACATCCTTTTCTACGTGGAACACCAGGCCAAAGCTGGATCGGATAAACTTTAATACCTCCTCCAAATCATCATTCACCAACCATACCAGAGAAACATTTCCAGTTTTCCACAAATACTTGATACAAGATTTAATTTCATTATGCACTTTTCAATTTCCTATTTTGGATTTAGTTTTGTCAATGGTAGTGACTTACTGAACATGGGCACCAACTAATTTTGTTGTTGTTCTACCAGAAAACCTCAGCAGATGTTTTGATTTGCTGCTTTAGTTGTAATAATTCAATTTTTATAGGTAGTTGTAAGAACTTAGTCTTATTTGACTTTTTTATTTTATGTTAATGTTTTCAGTTCTCACTTTGAGGCACATTTACATCAATGCTTTTGTTCCTCTCACATGCTGAAAGCAAGATGTGTTCCTTATTGTGAAGAGCGACACAACTGCCTGCTGCCTTTCCACAGCTATAATGGACATCAGGTTGACTCTAAATCAAGGATCATGTGTGCACAATACTTGTGGCCCACAAAATTTCACAATGACTGCTGAGGAATCATTCTTTTTGCCTGTAAAATATAACAAAGGGCATCATTAAGTAGACCAGGTAATTACTGCTTGTCTCTCAAGGCTGCTGTCTTTATCAGCACTAACTAAATAAATTTGTTGGTTCAGTTGTACTTGTCCTGCAAATACAAGAATTACTCTCTTTGTTGGTTTTTTTGGTTTTGGGGCATACTTGTTTGCGGGGAGGTAAGATGGGAGTAAAGACCAAATACATGTAATGTTTAAAAAAAATGCTGTGACTCACTGACATGGTATAGGTGTTACCAGTGAGGTAAAGCCATGGCGTCTGCCTCCTTTTGAATCAGTATCTCATTCCCCCTTAGTTGTACCACTGGAAGTCACGACATGTCCATTATAGACTTACTTACTGCTTGTGTTTGGCATCTGAGTCTGAGGTGTGACCCTCTGGGATTTACTTGGATCATCACCCGCACTTCAGTTTATCACTGGGGGGTGTGCTTCCACAGGAGGAAATTTAGAATCTTCGCTGCTCTGGGTTTTAACACCTCTCTCTGGCCTATCCTGATTGATAGGACAAGTTGAAAATACTGTTGGAGTAAGTAAGTGGAGTTTTCGTTTTGTTTTTTGGGGGTTTTTGGAGACAAGAGTCTCTCTCTGTTGCCCAGGCTGGAGTGCAGTGGCACGATCTCAGCTCATTGCAACCTCGGCCTCCCGAGTAGCAATTCTCCTGCCTCAACCTCCTGAGTAGCTGGGATTACAGGTGCCCACCACTACACCTGGCTAATTTTTTTTTTGTATTTTTAGTAAAGACGGGGGTTTACCATGTTGGCTAGGGTGGTCTCAACCTCCCTCCTGACCTCAGGTGATCCGCCTGCCTCAGCCTCCCAAAGTGCTGAGATTACAGGCGTGAGCCATCACGCCCAGACAGTTTTGTTTTTAAAAAACAGATTTAACTCAAAGATTCAAATTTGGAACCAGAATCCCATTTAAAGAAAGCAGTTGTGGTTTCTACAAGTGTTCTAAGACAGTCCTGTGGTGGTTTTTTTTTTTTCTTTTTTTTGGTTGGGGGCGGTGGGGGTTGGTAGACATAGCCTACCAATTCTCCACAAGGGACAAAATGTATCTTGTGTTAAGCCAACGAGACTTTCTGGCAATTTTTTTTTTTTTTTTTTAATGGAGTCTTACTCTGTCCCTCAGGCTGGAGTGCAGTGTGGCATGATCACAGCTCACTGTAGCCTCAACCTCCCAGGCTCAAGCGATCCTCCCACTTCAGCCTCGAAGTAGCTGGCACCACCACACCCAGCTAATTTTTAATATTTTTACTAGAGATGGGGTTTCACCACGTTGCCCAGGCTGGTCTTGCACTCCTGGGCTCAAGTGATCCACCCACCTTGGCTTCCCAAGGTGCTAGCATTACAGGCATGAGCCACCACGCCCAGCCTGTTCTATTAAAAACATCTTGACCTTTTTTTTTTTTTAAGTTTATGATATAAAAACAGTCTGGTGGCTTTCCCTCAGGTTGGATATCTGAAGTTGTGGGAGCAGATGTAGCTCCATTTCCATTTTAATATTAACTGGATAAATCCCACATCTTCCCAGAACACATCTGCTAAACACTTTAACATGACAAGGAGCAAATTACAATTATGTGTAAACTTATATCATCCAGTACAATGGCCCCTAGCCACATGTGACTGAAATTTAAATTAGAAACTCAGTGCCTTCAGTCACACTAGCCACATTTCAAGTGCTCAGCACCCACATACGGCGTAGGACAATGCTGGTCTAAATTTTCACTCCAAAGAATAAAACTTTGCCATCATGTTTAGGTCTTACAACTTTGAGTCCTAAAAGATAATAGGGAGATGTGTGCTTAAATTAATTTACAATGCTAAATTATATTAGGTTAAACTGTATGAAACCCTGCTATTTGATGAGTTCTGATCTACAAAAATGACAGCTCCACCTGATCTGATGTATCACACATTAACATCACATCTAATTCAACCTGAAATGTGAGTCTCCTTTGATCTTGCAAAGTATCTCCTATGAATCCGGGCTCTTTTGCTTAGAAGGTAGACAGCTGTAACCTCTAACATTGATACTTCGATCTTCAGTCTCTCTGAATGGGCAGCTGTTAAACAGTAAAGGCCTGGGCAGAGTTGATGGTGAAAAAAAGCTGTATTTTTATACCAAATGGAACTTCAGCAACACGTTGGACTACTTTGTCGGGCAGAGTGGTCTTCAGACAGGTGATGCTGTTGGCTTAAGAGATGAACACGTCTTCTCTCTGAATTTGTTTTTATTGGTTGGTTTTACTTGAACAGAAACGTTTGAATGGTGTGAAGATTCTTTAGAAAAGTGATTGGATCCATCTCAATTGTGCACTTGAACAGCAGTGATGTAAATGTGCTTATTTGTGTTTTCATTTTTAACTGTGCAGCCTTACCACACCTATTTTGAAAGCTGATCTTTTGTCCTCTTCAGGGCTTTTCCCTTGTGCCATGTTGTCTCCAGCAATATATGTGGCTTCTGGCTCAGAGCTTCTGCTGAGGCAGGGCCTCGCGCTGAGTCACATGGCTCCTTGGAACAAGAAAACTTTCTCAGAAGTCCCCACACGGGTGGGTGACAGAAACAGTTTGTGGCAACACAAATCTCTCTCCATGGTGGAGAAACCTTTGCTTATCCACTGTATTCTACTCAGTGTATAGTGATGACAGATGTACTAGAATTAAACCAGTCAAGTGTACTGGCCCGGGGTGAGTGTTAAATGTGTATCTCGCCTGTGGAACCTACTCAGCAGCTTGGTTTCTGGGGTTGGGGGCATATTTATTTCTTAAAGCCAAACCTCTCCTTCATTGGTTTAGTGTACATAAGTCTATTTAGATACACTTATCCCACTTTAATCTCCACCAGCCCCTAAACTCTCTCCTGTACCCTCTGTTGCTGAAGTGGCCTCTTCACCTGGGCCCTGGAAAAGCCGATGGAAAAAGTCTGTTCCTGCAGCCAAGGCCTGGGTCCCAGGTGACTAGGAGTAGCCATAGGAAGGTGAGGAAGGAGAAGTGGGCATGTGGTGTCATCTGTAGTCCAAGGTCTCTGCGTCTCGTCAGTGGGTGCAGTGCCTTCCCCCTCAGGTGTGAGCGTGATGGACTCTAGACTGCCTTCCATGAGTGTTGGTCATGCTATGATGTCATCATTTGCCATTAAAACCCAGTTTGTATGATGCCAAGAGGATTAATTGTGCAAGTGACTGATTCATTTAAATTGTAATCACATCCCTTTTCTGCTTCACCAACCTGAACTGTTTTTAAAAATATCATTAAAAGTCTGTTCTCTTTCCTTTTGACTTATTTCTGAACACCTTTTTTCAGTAGAGCCACATAAATGATGATGTACTTACTCAACTCGTGGGCCTCCTCAGTCAACAGGTAGCAAGCTCTTACAGAATCCCCACGATTTGGAGCTGCAGTACCTGGGCCAGGATGAAGTGACCTGTATGGGCAAAGTGATGGCCTGGAGATGAGTGCCTGCAGTCAGGTGCCTGAGGTCCCACTCGGCCTTGCCCAGTGAAATCACCCTCAGTCTCTTGTGACTATTGATCTTATAAAAATGAGGCCCCTTCCCTTCCCCTTTAGAGCTAGACTCTACCCTGAGGCACTAGTTTTGGGGCTCTGAGCAAAGGATACTGGTCATCTTTTAAGGTAAAACAGGCAAATAAGTGCTTTTAAATAAACATCCTGTTTACAGTAAGTTCCTATAGACTACTTCCCTGCCCCCATGCCTCCTGCAGACAGAACCCTGTTTCCACAGTCATCCTTTGCCTGTTCTTGTCAGTCTTCTAAAATTGAAGACACAGGTGCCTGCAGCTCAAATTGTTATGCATCCTTGTTCCGTAGGGCACATTCTTTTGGCAGCTGTGCTGGTCAGAGGCTGCGTGGTTGCTGTCACTGCTGCCAAACAGCATAGCTCTGGACAAGCCCAAAGGGGCAGAGCTTCGTCATCTCCTGGCTGTGCCTCAGACCCTCTGCAGCATGCAGGAGCACATTCCCCCTGGCCCTGGTAGTCTAGGATGCTTCCTGCAGCCTACCTGGAGGAACAGCAGAGGGGCAATGCTCTAAATGTTCTCCCTGCCAATCTTTTGCCATTCCAGCTGGGCTGCAGTAGTGCAACTTGGAAGCCATGCTGAAGCACAGTGACACTTACTCAGTGGAAGGCACAAGTACCACTCTGGCCTTGCAAGAAGTGGAAAGAACCACCTATTCCTAAGGGTCAAACCCTCTGAAAAGCATTGGTTTGAGGAGGATTGGGGAGGGAAAGTGGAGATAATGTGGCTTTCTAATAACACCACCTGTGGTTTTGCAGCATCCATTTTAAGTGGAGAAGTACACCTAGACAGAGCCTAAATTAGGGTGTCAGCTATAATTCAGAACTACATTGATGAGCTTGAAATAGCAGCAGTATCTTGCTCCCCTTCCTTGGGAAATGCTTCCTTTCGACCTCCTTGGTTTGTTTTTAAGAGAACCCCCTACTGTACTTCATCTTGGCATGGTGGAGTAATGGAGGCACAGGGGCACCAGCTGAGGCTGGCTTCTCAGGAAAGCCACTGACAATGGCTACTTCCTTCTTTGCTTGACTGCCTTCTGCTTTAAAGGCAAAGCTGCACCAGCCCTGACCAAACCTTAGTTCCAGAAGTGGGTTCAGCATAGGCTGCTTCATTTGTGTCTATGGGAAAACACAAGGATTCCCATTCCCTCTTATTCCAAATGGGAGAACAAACAGAAGTAACCACTGAGGTGGTGGTCCCTGGGCTGGCAGAGGAAAAACCATTCTCTTCTCACTATTGCCTAGGCAGAACGTGGCCTATACAGCTGCACCATATCAGCATCCCCCAAGCAAACCAAAAAACAACGACTGGGATTCAAAGCAGGAGAGTTAAGGTTGGGTCCTGGGTTTGGGAGTGAAGCAGCATGAGGAAACGGGTCTGCCATATCGTGAAGCCTCGGGTACTCAGGAAGGGGGAGCTTCACGGATAGTACCTCCAGGCACCTTGCCTAGAGTTGAGTCAGAGAGGGCAGGGGTGGCCCACTGGCTTCTCCAAGAGGGAACGGAGGGCACTCATAGAATGGATGGTGTGTGGTCAACTTAAAGGCAAAGATGGACTAAAATACTGAACTTAAAATTGTTTCAAGCAGTTTCACATTAAGAGCTACCTCATCCATCCTGACATTTTGGGAAGTACAGGTTATACATAGTACAAGGCCTTATCAGTGAGAAAATGTAAAGCCAAGTAAATTTAAATTTAAAACACAGAAAGTACTGCTTGACCAAAACTACAAAAACAACAACAACAACAACAAAGCACCAATAAAACATAAAACACAGACACACAACTTTGGAAAGCAGCTACTTCAGTAAAATTCTTTTATGAAACAACTCAGGGTAAAAATCTAGCTGTTGGGGAGGCCCAGGAAAATCCCCCTGCCTAGTGGCAGGCAGCAGGGCTTGAAGGCCAACCAGCCTAGCCTGGAGACAATTACTCTATGGCACAAAAATAACAGGAATGAGGCAGCAGCCATGGACTCTGCTCACAACTCACAACCGTCACCCTTAGCTCTCCACACGCAACAGGTTTCTTCCTAGTAAGGGTGGAGCAAAAGATTCACACTGATGTACTAGAAAATCAAAACAGTTAACATTTACAATTACACTCCTTCCCCCTAAGTACAGACTGCAAAGCCAGACAGAGCTGGCCTGGCCGCCACCACTGCCAATGAAAACGCCTTGGGAAAAGCCAAAAGTGCTCACTGCTAAACACCATTGTCAGCTAAAGGGAAAAAAAAAATCCCTTTTAAGGAAAGTAACTTCAATAGGCTCCTTTTCTGCCAGGACCTCCAATCCCTCTGAACATAAGCCGAACCACAGACTGCCGCACATGTGTCTGGGTCCTGGCTTTTCTTCCCTCACCCCTCCGCAGAGCTTCAGCACCAGTTGTTAGCCAAAAATAAACACCATTCCTCAACCATATATGTCCACCGGCCCAGAGTCGGGGAGGAGGAGAGGAGGCAGGTCAGCCGTCCCCCGGCTGCAGCTGCACTCACATGTGGCCACTGCTCACCATGCACATAACCCAGCTCAACCGGGAGTGCCTGCTGCACCTCTTCTCCTTCCTAGACAAGGACAGCAGGAAGAGCCTTGCCAGGACCTGCTCCCAGCTCCACGACGTGTTTGAGGACCCCGCACTCTGGTCCCTGCTGCACTTCCGTTCCCTCACTGAACTCCAGAAGGACAACTTCCTCCTGGGCCCGGCACTCCGCAGCCTCTCCATCTGCTGGCACTCCAGCCGCGTGCAGGTGTGCAGCATTGAGGACTGGCTCAAGAGTGCCTTCCAGAGAAGCATCTGCAGCCGGCACGAGAGCCTGGTCAATGATTTCCTCCTCCGGGTGTGCGACAGGTAGGCCACCTTGCCTCCTGAGCAGTGCTGGCCCCGCTAGCTCTGGCTTCCCTCTTGGGGGGCAGGGAAGAGCAAATTACGAGACCAAGATGGCTCCACCTTCGGGGCGCCTCAAACTAGGCCCAAGGCAGACATCCAGACCGCCCAAAGCAGGGTCCCCAGGAGACAATAAAATCATGAGGGAAACAATTGCTAATCCTCCTCTTAGCCTCACAGGTCCTGGGCTGCTTCATGCAAACACCAAGAAGTGGGGCCTCCGTACTGGTAGTCATTAAGTGCTGGGTGGGTCCAGCTGGGCCTGGATTTTCAAGGTCAGGCTCTGGGAAAAGGCTTCCAGATGCAGCAATCAGCTCACCCCTCCATTAGGCCTAGCAAGCAGCCCTCAAGGCCTGGGAAACTACGGAGGAAAGAGAGGGTGGGGAGCCAGAGGTGGAGAAGCCAGGGTGCTCAGGTCAGCTGAGCCAAACCAGACTCCAGGAGTAGATGAATTACTGATTTACACAGTATTCCTAAGGAGGGTGGCTTAGCCTAATTTTTCAAATTAGCAAACTGATGCTCCACGAGGTGGTATGATTTGCCCAGTCTAGGGTTGCCAGATTTTAGCAAATATATAGGCTGCCCAGTTAAATATGAATTTCAGATAAACAGTGAATAATATTTTAGTGTAAGTATGTCCCAAATACATCTTGTGTTTATCTGCTAACCCCCACCCCAGACACAGACATAGACACTGAACCACCAGGCCAGGCTCCCTCCATGGTCCCAGCCTCATGGGCAGAGCGGCCCAGGCAAGAACACAGAGCTATTCAACCAGCCTCTCACTGAGCTTCTGCCAGTCCCGTGCTGCCTTTGAGGAAAAACACCCCCTTGATCATATAACAAACTGGCCCTGGCTGTTCATGGAAAACTAGACTCAGCCAGTTTACTGCCACCCAAGTTCATAGCTGCTATTTGCTGGCAGCACGACAGGAGTGGAAGGAAACAGCGTAGTGACCCCACCTTTCTTTTGAGCTGGTAGGAAGAAAACAGAAGATGGACTTGGGGTTGGGCCCCGACTGGACAAGGCTATTTTGATGGGCTTAACAAGGCCCAGGAATTAGACTAGAGTGACATGGGTGGGGGTTGGGGGGAGGCGAATGGCACAACATGTCCTGAAGTTGTTCCATTCTTACTGTAAGAGAACCGAGCTTAATGCCCCAAACCTGCAAGGTGTGAAGTGGACCTCCCAGGCCACTGTACTGATCAAGCAAGGGGCCCTGCTGTCACATAAAGAGCAAAGGGCTTTGCTGTCAGCACTCTGCTGAGCCGCTCAGCTCGTCCAACCATGTGACCCCAGCTCAAATACTTCAAACTCTTGCAACCTCATTTCTTCTTCTATAAAATGTGCTAAATTTTTCTTATCCAACAGGGTAAGAGGATTAAATGACACAGTGGCACCTGGCACATAGTAGGTACTGATGAACGTCTACTGAATCTGGTTCTTCTGGCACTCAGCTCAGGTCGGGAGGAATGGCTGAGGATGGCTGGGCAGGGGGACAGTCCGCTCTTTGTTTTTTCCCTGTATCAGAATTATTCCAAAGATTCTTAGAAGAAAAGATCACCCAACACCTTTGAGGCTTAAACACCTAATCCTTATAACCACCTTGAAGGTAACAATTCCTCCCACTTGACAAATGAGGAAGTGACGCCCAGCAAGGTTCAGACATCTGTCCTGGGTCTGACAGCAAATAAGTCACCAGCCAGTCACCTGAGCTGCCGGAGCCAGTTTCTTCATGTACAAAACTGGGGGTGCAGAGGTTGACGGGGTGACTAATGAGGGCACACAAACCTGAAGGAGGCCCGGGCTCGGTGTGACACCTGGCTGCACCCAACATATTTAAGTTCCTTACTTCCCTCCCCTGGCACAAAGGAGCCGAGCTGGCACAGCCAGGGGCAGTCACGGAGCTGCGGGGGAGGCTGGCAGGGAAAGGGAAACGCTTCCCCAGCCCAGACTCTAGCTCCCTCTGGCTGCGGGGAGCCAAGGCCCCGGCCCATTAGTCGGTCCTTCTGGACTGGAAGCAGGCTGGTCCCGTTTGTTTCCAGGGAAAGCGGGTTAGGACTGCCTGTGGAAGGCCCCGTTGCAGGCTCCTCACAACCCCAGTGGTAGACATTATTCCCCCCACGCAGAGGAAATGAAGGCTCCGTGAGTGACTGACACGGCGATAAACCAAGTCTAACTTGGCTCAAGATCTTTTCTTTGCTGGGAGGGGCTGGTGAGGCTGCAGCAGAGGGTCCCCCAAGCTTTCTGGCCAAGCGACCTGGGTGGGTGTCCGTGACTGTACCTGCTCAGGGCTTGCCTCTAGCTGCCTCCGAACCCTACCCTTTTCCAGGCTGGTGGCCCAGGGGATGCAGGAACAGCTCTAGTCTACTAAGCTGAACCCGGACTCAATGCTAACGCGTGCCCCCACCGCCTTGAGGGTTGGGATGGGCCTGTCACTAGGCCACCTCCAAGGAAACAAATCCCTCTTCCCACTCACGTCCCGCCGGGACATTCAGGGGCCTCAGCTTGAAGCTAGACTGGAGCAATCGCCAAGCACCGCTCCCCTGCAAGGCAGCACATCCAGAGCGAAACAAAGAGTCAAGGGTTGTGGCTCCTGGAACCGGCATTCCCTCTGTCCACAGCCGCCCCAGGACTCTGCTGGGCCGGGGTCGGGGCTTCCCACTAGGGGCTCCCAAGGCTACGAGCCAAGAACCCACGCAGATGAAGGTACGGTGGGGTGCAGGGGCAGAAAGAGGAGGGAAAATGGGCCGGCCAGAAAGCCGACTTGGAACCCTGCAGTGTCATCGCAGCCAAGTGTCTTCACCTCGCAGGGCCCGAGTCCTCCTCGGTAAATGAGTCCACTCGGTCCCATGGGGCGGTTGGGTAGCTTTAACAAGCCAGTGAGCCCCGGGTCACCGCACTCTCCTCACAGGTGCCCCAACCTGGCGTCCGTCACGCTCTCGGGCTGCGGCCACGTTACCGACGACTGCCTGGCGCGCCTGCTGCGCTGCTGCCCACGCCTGCGCGCACTGCGCCTGGAGAACTGCGCGCGCGTCACCAACCGCACGTTGGCTGCCGTGGCGGCGGACGGGCGCGCGCTGCAGACATTGCACGTGGACTTCTGCCGCAACGTGAGCGCGGCCGGCCTGCGCCGCCTGCGCGCCGCGTGCCCGCGCCTGGCCCTGCGGGCAGAGCACAGCGCCGCCATGCTGCCCGACCAGCCCCCGCGCCCGCGCGCGCCCGCCGCGGCCCTCGGCAAGCTGCTGCAGCGCTAGACGCCGCCCCGCCGCTGCCCCCGGGGAAGGAGCGCAGCCCCAGACCGTCCTGGCTTCGAACCCAGCTCTTCCACCTTCAGACCACCACCGCATATTCTGAGCCTCATTTTCCCCGTCTGCACAGTGGGGATAAGAAAGCCTACCTCACGTTACGATTTTATACATAGGATAAACGCAAGATTAAATGGATATTTGGAAAACACTCGGCTGGTTCTCACTCAACACCACCGCCTTTCCCCTCTTGCTTCCGCCCCAGGCTTTCTGCTGTGCGCTCCCCACGGAGGCGGGAGGCGCCTGCACCGTCCTCGGGGACTCCGATCGCCGTTGGACCGAAATCACCTCGGTGGGGAGGACCTGACCACTCGGAGTTCGCCGACTTGCGCTCGGGGGTGACGGGGGCCAGGGCTGCCGCGCGCAGGGGTCTGGGGAGCCTCCGGGCGGAGCGACCCAGCGAGACCCCGCCGGCTCCCGGAGTGTCCTGGGGACCGCCACCTCCAGGAGCCCCGGTGGTGATCTCGGTGAAGCAGGAGGAGGGGAAGCAGGGGCGCACGGGCAGAAGGAGCCACCGAGCCGCTCCTCCTTGCGGTTTTGCCCGCACGCGCGTCTGCCCGCCCACCTTTCCTGGGGCGGATGCGTTCCCGCAGTGACCGCACTCGCGATTGTAGAAAATTCGCTCCCAATTGTTGAATGCTTACATAAACTGCATAGTTACCCATATTTTCTACTGTTCTCATAAGGGAAAAAGAAATGATTTGGAAGAAAAAAAAAGCCTCAAACTAAACAAAAACAAAACCAGCAGCCCTGGCTAAGCTTTTGATAATGGAACCATTATAAGCTGACAAGCTAGATTTTTCACCTGTTGGATTTGCTGGACATGAGCACAAGCCTAGGCTTCCAATTTGAATTTCAGGGCTGTAGTCACTGATGTGTCACATTTAGTGAAGGCTCTCGGCCCCCCGGCAGCCGCCTGGTCCTGGGTCACTGGGGAGAATTCTGGGTGGGTGGAAGAGGCGAGGAGCACTGTGATGGGCGCTGTTCACACTCCGGCTCCACCCAGCGCCAGCTGCGACAAAGCCCTTTACCCCTCCCAGGCCAGGTGTTTCTTCTGTGTGAAAGAGGAGCTTGATCCCTACTCACAGGTTCCTTAATTCATTGCTCAAATAGGGAAACGGCAAGGAAAAAGACAAATTCTGTTCTCATGAAGCTTACCTTCTAGTGGGGGAAGAGACAACAGGTAACTGGTATATAAGAGGGTAGAAGGGCCAGGTGCGGTGGCTCAATGCCTGTAATCCCAGCACTTTAGGAGGCCAAGATGGGCGATTCACGAGGTCAGGAGATCGAGACCATCCTGGCTAACAAGGTGAAACCCCCGTCTGTACTAAAAAAAAATACAAAAAATTAGCCGGGCGTGGTGGCGGGCACCTGTAGTCCCAGCTACTCAGGAGGCTGAGGCAGGAGAATGGCGTGAACCCGGGAGGCGGAGCTTGCAGTGAGCCAAGATCGTGCCACTGCACTCCAGCCTGGGCGACAGAGAGACTCTTGTCTCAAAAAAAAAAAAAAAAAAAAAAAAATGGTAGAAAGTATTTGGAAAAAAGTGCAGGCTGTAACAAGGGCTATTAGGGATTGCTGGCAAGAGATTGGGGGGTGAAGCCTCTGAGAAAGGGTTGACCAATGTAAGCCTCACTGAGAAGATGACATCTGAGGCATGAAGTGAGGCAGGGGGCATAGATACTCCTGGCAGAGGAACAGTCAGTGCAGAGGCCGCGGACTACAGGCATGGCTCATGTGCAAGGAGATCAGAGTGGCTGGAGCAGAGTGAATGAGGAGGGAAGCTGAGTAGCAGGTATCTGAGAAGCAATGCAGCCCGCAGCTTAACTTCAACATGCTTTTAAACTTTTTTCCCATTCTCTTGAGTTTCAAGATATAACCTTGAGGAAACTCAAAATCCTTTCTCCTTAGCCTTAAAATAGACTCCACGTCCCTCCCCTTTCTCACCAGATATGCTCCCTTTTCATTTATCTAACTGTATGCTACTATTTAATTGTGTGATGTCTTAGAAGTTTCAGTGGCTAATCTTGAGACAGACCAAGCCTGGAGACCCAGCTGCAAACCTCCAAAAATTACTTCAAAATGGCTAATTAACAACCTGACCATTGTTAAAATAATGTCAATCCGAGGTCCAGGTGGACTGAAGCCCAAGATAGCCACCAGAACAAAACACACAGACATCATACTCAGCCCATTTCTTGCATGCCTTCCTTATCAAGTCTTCCCTTTTAAAAACCCTAAAAATTGCTTTCCCCTCTAAAAATTGAAGCAGTTACTTTAAATAGCAATCTGGCTACTTCCCCCTTTACTAGTTTTGGGTAATAAATTTGCTTTTTATTACTAGACTTCGTTCTTGTTAATTCAAGCATCTGCACCTGCTTTGTTTGGTTATGGTAAGGGATGGGGGTAGCAGTGGATGGACAGATTAATGTGAGGAAGAAATGAGAGATGAAGGTTCCCCCTCAGCCCAACCTACCCCCAGAAGGAACCAGGGCGCCATGCACAGATGATAGGTGAAGTCCCAGCGGCCCTGGATTTTGTTCCAGGCAGAACATGTGGACAGGCAAGCAGCACCCTGTCCCACACCAGCCCTTCTGGGGACTGCCAAAGGGCTCCGGGCTGGGGCAGTGCTTACTCCAGAAACAGGGTAGCCACAGTAAGCCCTGGCCCAGCATAATCCCTTTGTCAGGAGAGCCAGCTCTGTCACACCACCAGCTGCAGTGGAGTGGCAGGACTCTGCTACTAGCCTGTGAGACACAGGCTGCTTTTTGGTGATTTCTCAGTTTGCCCACCATTGCTTTGCACTCTGGAGAGGCGTTGTTGGGAACGAATTTTTCTCCCATTACTCTGAACACTGTTGAAAGCAAGCTCAGGCTTCCAGGGGGTTGAATGTTTGTCTACAACAGAGCCACTTAAACCCCAGGCCTTTGTTTTCATCTTCTCCAAAAAGCCCCAATTTCTAGTATGTTCTATTTGTCCTAAATTGGTGGCTTAGCCTGGACAACAACAGGATCCTGGCTTCAGGATCTAATGGATCTGGGTTTCCATCCCATTTCCCTCACTTTCTAGCTCTGTGACCAAGGACAGATTGGCCCTCTCCAAACCTGTTTTCTTATCTGAGTACTAAGGATAACAAGGGAACCTTGCTTTTGGGGTTCTTTTAAGGACTGTGATTATGTAAAGCAGGGGTCACTATAGGTTGAGCTAGAATGGGGTAACCTGCATTCCCCGACAACCCCCCTTTCCCATGGAAGCTCTTTTGTAGTAAGGGTTAAGTTCCCAGTTAACCCTCCAATGCCAACTAACTCCCCTGCATCCCAAGACATAGTGATCACAGAACTCAAGCAGTGCTGGCAGCTGTGTCCAGTGCTGTTTCTAGGGACCCAAATTGGCCCCCACCTTAGCCAGAGGAGCTTTGGGTTCTGAAGTGAAGGGTCATTTTAGGTGCCCCCAGAAGGTGGGCACTGATGGAGACACATGGCTCTCCACTCTGCCTTCTAACAGACACTGTTCACCACCAGGCATGAGCAAAACACTTAACAGAGCGCAATACCTCACTTAATCTACAAAACCACTTTTGGAGCTTCCAGATAGCTACATGCATGGAGGTTCCTGGAGGGTGGTGTGTCCAGGGAGGGCATGGAATCTCCGTGCCCCTTCCCCACTAAATTAAAAGGTAAAAAACAGCCAGGTGCAGTGGCTCACGCCTGTAATCCTAGCACTTTGGGAGGCCAAGGCGGGCGGATCACCTGAGGTCAGGAGTTCAAGACCGGCCTGATCAACATGGTGAAAAACTCTCTTCTAAAATACAAAAATTAGCTAGGCATGATGGCGGGTGCCTGTAATCCCAGCTACTTGGGAGGCTGAGATGGGAGAATCGCTTGAACCCGGGAGACAGTGGTTGCAGTGAGCCGAGATCGGGCCACTGCACTCACTGCACAGCCTGCGCAGCTGAGCAAGACTCCGTCTCAAAAACAAAAAAAAAAGTAAAAAACAAAAGAAAAATCCTTTCAAACTTAGGTTAGCATATAACAAAGAGCCCTGCAGACTTAATTAATCCACCAACTAATTCATCTCACAAGCATTTACTGGGTATTGGCCATGGGCTGGGCCAGGCCCTACCTGGAGTGACTCAGCCCTAGTTAGAAGACATGCAGCTGAGGTTGAGGGGGTGTTCTTGAGTGATCTCCAAGCTTTGCCATTCATAGCTTTTGACGAGATATGACCTCTCTGAGCCTCCGTTTCTTTATTTGTAAAATGGGACCAATACCCTCTTGGGACTGGGGGATAGGGGGAGGTATCCTCATATCCTTGGGGGGCTAGAAAAGCTGAGTGCCTGGCACAACACACAAATCCCAGGCACTGGGAAGAAGCAAGCCAGGTCTATCTGTGGGTAAGCCAGGCACCCTTTGTGGCAGACAGAGCTTTTGAGCTGGGCCACAGGTTCCAACCGTTAAGGAGAATATTTCCATTGGCAGGCATGGCACAGCAAAGGCAAAGGTCAAGAAGCCCAAGGCATATCCAGGGAAGGGGTGAGCCAGGGCTGATGGAAGCCTGATTGTATTCCCGAGCCACCCAGAAATGGTTTGGGATTATCTATGCCCTCACAGCCTCTATTAGATCATAGACATCCCTCAACTCCTGCAATGCTAACTCTTTCTAAGGTTTGGCCAAGGCAGCGAATGGTCACTTGCAGGTGAAGGTGGTGGGAGAGAACAGAACCTCACCACTGGGGCAGGACACTGCTCCCTGGCTGAAGGCTGACCTGTCACCACGTTGCACTGGTCTGCATAGGAGCCCCAGTGCCGGCAGAGAGACCAGGGCCACAGGCTCTTAGGTCAGGGTTCCAGATCTCCCCCAGGAGGCAGCAGGCTGCTAGCAGGAGGTGGTGCTCTGAGGCTTGTCTTACAGAGACACACTGGCCTGTTTCTGCACAGGATGAGTGTTCGGAGGGGAAGTGACTGAGCCACCCCGGCTCTACCACGGCACGCTGACAGGAAGCAGAGGCTCCCAGTTCTAGTCGGGGCACACCTATGATCCAACTTTCCCTCTCCTGACCTTGGATTCTTGGTTTATAAAGGCAGAGATCATCTGACCCCTTAGAGACTTTCCCTCCAGCTCTAGGATTCAATGCCCAAGATCTGCTTTTGGCTAAAAACCAAGCTCACAAGATGTGGGCTTCATCCGGCCAGAAGTCCTGGGCAAAGGCCACAAAGCTAGGAGGCCCAGAACAAAGCCATACTTTGAAGGATGTCTGGAGAAATCTTAAATTTTAAAAACTGATGGTCAACGTTTGCTTGAGGCTGCTTAAGGGTCATAAAAACTGCAAGTATCTGTTAAGTGAATGAGGCCAGCAAACAACTGCCTAAGCCTCTCTAAGAGCTGAAAGTAAACCAAGGGAAGCACCTGCACCAGGCCCACTTCAGCTCCTCAGATCAGGGACTTGTGCTTCCCCCTTTCCAGAGTTTTCAAAAAGTCAAGAGAGGCCGGGCACAGTGGCTCATGTGTGTAATCCCAGCACTTTGGGAGATCAAGGTGGAAGGACTGCTTGAGGCCAGGAGTTCCAGACTAGCCTGGGCAACATAGTGAGACCCTGTCTCTGCAAAAATGAAAACATAGTCAAGACAATGAGGAAATAACAGTTTCTGGCAACGAAACAGTGTGTGTTATAAAATCATGGCACTGTGCAGATTCCCCTCACAGGGTCAAACCTGAGCTGCTGTCTGTTAGCCCTGAGCCCAGGACCTGCAACCATGAGTGCCAGCCTTCTGGGGGTCCTCCTGCCCCCGAGTCCAGAGCAAACTGTGGCAGCAGCACAGGGTGAGGCATTATTTTGAATTTAGAGACTGCAGAGGTATCCTTTGCTCTGCATGTCCTCAGCCCAGCTCAGCAAGAGGGACGCAGGAAGCGGCTCAGAAGACCCTAAGAGGCCTCTCCTGGATTCGTCCAGGATCTTGGCAGCACAGATGCTTTTTTTTTTTTTTTTCTCACTCTGTCGCCCAGGCTAGAGTGCAGTGGCGCGATCTTGGCTCACTGCAAGCTCTGCCTCTCGGGTTCATGCCATTCTCCTGCCTCAGCCTCCTGAGTAGCTGGGACTACAGGTGCCCACCACCATGCCCAGCTAATTTTTTTTATTTTTAGTAGAGACGGGGTTTCACCATGTTAGCTAGGATGGTCTCGATCTCCTGACCTTGTGATCCACCCGCCTCGGCCTCCCAAAGTGCTGGGATTACAGGCGTGAGCCTTTCTTTTCTTAAATTCTCTCCTGGTCCAGAGGCCCAGGCAGGGCCTTCCCACCCCGAGCAGGAGGGCTTCAAGCCCAAAGCCCTTCAACGATGCTACTGACTGCGCTCTTAGATCGGTATTAAAGCCTCATCTTTACCCAGAACTCCTGGGGTTCCCCCCAAAGCTGGAGTCTCTCCCTGAGACCCAATTCTAGTTGAAGCCTTTTTTCAATAAAACGAAGATGTCATCATTCTAAATATTATTAGGTATTCTCACTAAGAAAGATCCATTTACCACATTATCTTAGCTGGCAAAACCTTATTTTTCTTTTAATTTCTCTTTGAAGACATACACCTATCTTCCTTGTGGAAAATAACTGCCTGCAGAGGGCTGTCTGTCTGGCACCTCATTTGAGCAGGCTGTCGGCAAAGACCCTGTCCGCGAAGTACAGTGGAAGTAGCCTGTGGCATGAACTTGCTGTAGGTGAGGGAGACAAGCTGTCCACAGGCCTTCCCCTCTTCCTGCACACACTCCAAGAGGCCAAAGCCCTCCCAGCTGCTCTCAAGATGGCCCTTTCCCCCAGAAACACAGGCTCACCCTGATGCTGCTGAACACACACACAGCACTCAGGGCCCGCAGGGGCTAGCTGAGTTTGAGCACCAAGAATGTAACCCCTTCCCCAGACCTCTGCACAATTCTATCATTCAAGGATATGAAAGCCACTCATCAGTTCTCATGCTAATTCACACATTCACTCACTCATTCACTCATTGATACATGCTAAGTGCCTGCTAGCAGTTGCTGGCCTTTCTGTAACACCTTCCACTTGGCTGCCCTCCCCACTGAGACATGTTGTAAACTACCCTGTTCTTTAATTCCATCACGTGCTCATTTTGTCTTTGTAGGTTCTTCATAGGAAGGGCCAGATGGCATTACTGTGGTCCTCTTCCTCCTTGTCTGGTAGAGTCGCCCTCCACATGAGGTAGCTGGGGCTGTCCAGAGAAGGATGCGTGGTACTGAGAGGGGCGGAGCAGCTGAGGGAACAAAGTCAGAGAGACCCAGGATGACAGAAGAACAATGGAAAATAGGGGCTTCCAACCCAGAGGGATCTCCTAGAACCACACGGTTCTCTGATACGTTATTTCCAAGTGAAGCCCACCCTCAATGTAAAGAAATGTTTCTGAATGGGTCAAAAAGCCATCAGAGCAAGACCAGCCTGGAAGCTCATTCTGTTCTGGGCTAATGTCTGCCTCGATGGTAACCCCTAGTCAGAAGCTCCGCAGGAAGCAATACCAAGAGCCACGCTCCAATTCCTGAATCTGCTTTATTTCTCTGCATAAGGAACCCTGAACAGGCAATTCAAATTAAAACAAAATAAATATATGAATATTCATGTAAAACTGTCCTTTCTAATGAACAATTATACACAATGTACAATTTCATGTTCACTGGGTGGATTTACAAAAATGTACCATTCCCAACTAAAAATGCACCAAAATGGTTTCATGCAAACTTATCAAAAGTGACCAAAAATATGGAGGGAAAAACCTGACTGAGAGCACTTCGTTTTTGTTGTTTTTGTACAATCACAGAAAAATAAAAACATCTAATTTCTTTGTTACATTTAGAGTAACTAAATGTGGCCATTGTTTATAATGTTGGTTTATGTTCTTATAACATCTATGTAGTTACCATAAAAGTATATCAACATCAAATCAGAAGTGAGCATTATTGAGGGAGAGAAGGGAGGGTGAGAGCACCCGCACGGTCAGTAGTCAGTGTCGGAGCCCTCGGCGTTGTCCACGTTTCTCGAGAGCATGTAGTTGTCCATGTCGATTGAGCGGCAGTTGTTGATGGCATAGCGCAGGCGCTCGGCCATGACCAGCTGGCTGGAGTACGGGGGCAGCCTCAGCTGGAAGAAGCAGGTCTGTGAGGTAGGCAGACTGTCGTAAGGCTGTGGAGAGAGACCCAGAGCCGTGACTGGGGACATCAGAGTGCCATAAGGGGGAGTGGGGCTGCCCATGACCTCTCCCTGCCTTCAAGATGGAATTAACATGGCCACATGGTTAAGTCAAGTGGACACAGAGACTGGGCCAGATAGAATGAGCTGAGGCCCTACTGCCCCGTGGCCCTCGAGGCTCTGGGTGAAGATGTTCCTTCTTGTCCTCACCTCCTCCAGTGCCTGTGTGTGTAAAGTGAGGAGAAGCTCTGACTGGCAGGATTGCTTGAGAGAATACACTACGCACAGCGCCTGGCACAGGATGAGAGTGTAGTAAGAGGGCACCTGTCCTTCATACCCATCCACCAAGAGGGTGCAGACTGGAAGCCAGCTGCAGGGATGCCCCCACAGAGCAGGTAGAATGGAAAGAACGACTGTGAGGTGCAGCTGGCCATGGGAGCCTCTTTGCCCCCTCTCCTCTCCCTGTCCTCATGTGCATTCTGCCTCCTTTGCAGGCGCCATGGCTGCCTCGCACAGCTCACATAAGGAAGGGGCAGTCAATTAAACTCCAGTCCATCCATTCAACTGACGGTGATGCATCATTTAAAATGATAATTATGATGACTGGCAGCAAAACAGAAAGGTGTTCAGGATACATTAGGAGGTTAAAGGCAGAAAAAATTCTAGATACATCATATAAAAATTTGTACAATTGAGGCAAAGACTATGAGGAATTTCACAAAGGTAAAAATAGCTACTACTGGAGAGACAGGATTATATACGTTCCCTATCCCTCCTTGCAAACATAACTATTTTCTAAACAATTTGTAATAATAGTAATGGCATTATAGTGTTTTTATAAATTTTTAAAACGTTTGCTTAAAAAAAAAAAAAAGAACCTGTCTTCTCTCACTCAACCTCCTCTTGAAATCAGCCCTCCTCCCCAGAGCCCACACCTAGGTAAGCCACATGTCCTGCTATGGGAGGTGGATGGCCCAGCAGCCCAAATGCACCAGAGCCAGTGATGACACAGCTCAACGCAGAAAAACTGAAAGCAGCAAGGAAGGGAGGTGCCACTAGGTGGCTCTGATGACCTAAATGTGAGTACTGTAGAAATGATCTAAAAGCCACAGAGGAACCGACCACGGTAGTCAGTTACTGATGCTGACAACCCTGAGACCGGAGATTAGTGGTGGATTAACTCCTAGAACGGCAGGAGTAGCCCAGGACAGATATAAGGCAAGGGTTGTTTCCAGAGCTGAGTAGAAATGAGCCATTTCCTCCTTCCTACTTCTCTCTGAAGCAACAAAACAGATTTACAACTTACAGTTCTTGGCAAGTCATGCAGAAAATTTATGGAAAGGCTCTTTTATAATCCTTCCTGCACGTGGCTTCTCCAGCAAGCCTAGCCCAGGAGCAGAGCAGCAGCCTGCAGCCTCAGGAGGCAGCACAGGGAGGAATAGCTTTGGCTACACCAGAAAGCCAGACACTTAAACTGGCAGGAAGGGCCTGTGTGTGAAGAGGCCCCACTTCCCTTACTGTTTTCTGAACAAACATCATGGGCCCTGCTCAGAGAACTGCCCAGCTCATGTGGGAGAGAGGGCTTGTGAAGAGTGGGGATGGAGACAGAGGGAGGAGAGGCACTCCTAACTGAATGCAGTAAGTTCTGGGTTTGAGGGCTGTACCCAGTGTTCAGGAGGTGGAGAGAAGGAGTCTGGCTAGGTCTGCCTTCAGCAATGGTAGGGGCACTCCTGGAAAGCATCTAGGAGGGGTTCTTGGAGGAGATGACTGGCATTGGGCTTATAGGATGAGTAAGTGCTTGCCAGAGATAGAAGGAAAGGGGTGTGAAGAAGGACTTACTAAAGCAGAGGGAACAGGTTACATAAAAGCACAGAATTTTAAAAACAGCCTGGTCTACTGGGGAGAAAGGCAAGCAGCCCATTATGACCAGAACATGAGAAGTATCAAGACGTCACATCAGAAAGTGGGGCAGAGGCCAGACTGTGGAAGTGTTTAAGGCAGCTAAGGTCATTGGCATTTATTTCGGAGTCAACAAAGGGGGTCTCTGAAAGGTCTAAAAGGAGGAGAGTGACATGGTCAGACAGGTGCTTAAGAAAGATGACTCTGGCAGCAGTGTGCTTTTCAGACTCTAAGCCCTCTTATTCCTAAGCCATCTGTCAAAATCACAGCTGGGCTGGGGCTCTGCAGCTGGGGCCTTTCATCAGATGGCAGAGATGCAGCCCTGCCTGCTCCACAAGGCACACAACACAAGTGGGCACAGAGGTTATCGTTGCTCCCCACATCTTTGGGTTCCTTCTGGGGCACACCCACCAGTTAATGGTTAATATTTTCATGAAAACAAACAAGGCCATGCCTCAGCACAGGAAGAGGCAGTATGATGATCCTTCTGCCAAGTTCAGCTTTAACTCAGGAAGATGCTGGAAGATTTAGGGAAGGTTGTTGGTTGTAGTATGCTCTCTTCATCCACTTAGGACTCTTCCCACTGAAGCTAAATGATATTTCTAAACAAATTTTACTGCTTGATTTTTTTCATTAATCTGGAAATTCTAAGTATTAATAAGCATGAATCGGCAGGCCTACTTGAGGGTCATAGTTTGTTTTCCCCAACATAAAAGCAACAAGGCGCAGAGGGCCAGGCGTGTTGGCTCACGCCTGTAATCCCAGCACTTTGGGAGGCCAACGTGACCAGATCACCTGAGGTCAGTAGTTCAAGACCAGCCTGGCCAACATGGTGAATCCCCGTCTCTACCAAAATATACAAAAAAATTAGCCAGGCGTGGTGGCACGCACCTGTAGTCCCAGCTACTGCGGAGGCTGAGGCAGGAGAACTGCTTGAAGCTAGGAAGCGGAGGTTGCAGTAAGCTAAAATCATGCCACTGCACTCCAGCCTGGGCCACAGAGTGAGACCCTGTCTCAACAAAAACAACAATGAAGCAATAAGGCAGACATTACAAAGGAAAAAAGAATAGCTTACTTACCCTATCAACCTTCATGATTTGAAATCTCTGAGAAATGTCAGCAGTGTTGGCTGGTAGTCGAGATCTTCCTGACACAAACCTCATGAAAAGCACCCGCTCCTCATTGGAGAACTCTTCCAGCGTGTGCCAGAACCACTGCACCAGCTGATGCTGCTCATCCACCTCACGGTACCGCACCACTTTCTTCAAGACTTCCACAGAGATCTCGGGCATCCCACACACCATCTGCTCCAGTTGTTTTGCTGTGAGGAGGGACAGCAGCGGCACAGGAACAATCCAGGACATCCCTTCTCGGACTGCAGCCACCTGCTCCCGGGAGAGGTTGCTCATTCAATGAGTGTGCGTGAACCTGGCACCCACCAAGGGCCCTGTGGGGCTAGGCGCCTCCTGATGCCTGCTCGTCCGCTCCCCAGACCCTCTACTTGTTTCTCAGACCGCCAGGCACGAGAGTCAGTCAAAAAGGCCCACCCTCCCTGCCTCTCAACCCTTGTTAGAGTGCCTCCCTGCTGTGGGATTCTTACACTCCTGGTTCCAGTTCAAGTCCAATTTAGGAGCCTGCCTTCCCTCTACCACAAAATCTCAGCCCACTGGGGCCTTCCCTGATGCCAGCCCCACTCACTCATATTCCTAATCATATGTGCCCATGTGCTGTCAAACTATGCATGTGTGGACACTTCATCTCATAAAGGTAAGAAGCTTTGGGGGCACTCAACTAGCTGCCTACTGTTTTTTAAATTTATATTTGTCTTTTGAAAATAATTATATCCTTTTTGTAAAAATTATTTGTGCTCATCGTAAAAAAAATCTGAAAAGTACAAAGAAGAAAGTAAAAATGGGAAGTCCTTCTTTAGGAAGGCAATAGAAGAGGCAATGAATTTAGTGAAGAGACTTGGGTTCTAACTCCCAGCTCTGCCAATTATTAACTCTCTTAATTTTTCCGTCTGAAAAAAGCAGATATTGCTGCTCTCATGTGGCTCTGATGAGAACTGTATATGAGTAACTACATGAAATTCTGTGTGACTGGGTAATTCTACCCTGCTCTGTTCTCTTAGCATCATAGTGCTGGGCACAGGCAAGTTGGGGAGTGCCAAGTAGGGTGCAACCAGGGGCTGCCTTGACAGCTTGTTTAGAAAAATGTCTCCTCCAATATTATACAGTAGTGCATACCCTACACACAGACTCACCACTGTTCAAGGTTTGTTTCATAAATACTTCTTTGCTCTTGGCCAACTCAAAACCATCTACCACCATTTAAAAAGTCTAAGAATCTGAATAGGGACCATACCTTAAGGAAGTGAGTAACTATGTGAGGTGATGGATATGTTAATTTGCTTCACTATAATAACCTTTTTACTATCTATATGCATATCCTATATTATCGTGTTGTACACCTTAAATATACATAATAAAATTTATTATATATATAAAAAAAAACTGGGCCAAGTACAATGGTTTGCCCTGTCATCCCAGCTACTTGGAAGGCTAAGGCAGGAGATCCCTTGAGCCCAACAGTTCAAAGCTGCAGTGAGTGCCACTGCACTCCAGCCTGGGTGACAGAGCAAGACCCTCTCTTAAAAAATAAAATAATAAAAAACTGGCACTAAGGTTGTCCCATAAGGATCAGAGATTGGCAGTAAAGGCAGTCTCTTCTGATAGTAAAGGTCAATACCCCACCAAAGTCTGCCAAACGAAAACAAAAACGAACAAGCTGTTATGCTTGGTGGAACACAAAACAAAAGCTGTCTGGAAAAAAAATTAGGCTGAGGTATGGGGCTGGCTGCTTGGAGATGGCAGGGGGACAACTGAGGACAGTTATGGGATAAACACTCAGTTCTAAGAGATGAAGAGGAACCAAAGACCAATTCATATATAAAGAAAGAGGAGGAAGGGCTTGTTACTGAGAACAGAACAAAGCCAGGGCAGAGCAGAACACAGCTGTGGAAAGGGAGTGTCCATCCAACCCTCAGAAGAAGGGTCATCAGAAAAGCCTGGACACCATCTTAGAGCCTGGTTTGGGGTCTTGGCTCTGCTGTGGGCACTCAGTGCTTTCTTCTGTGAAACAGAGCTGGCAATCCTTACCTCACAGAGTAACTATGGGAAAAATGGCACCCAAGAGTGCCTGGCACCATGGCTGGCGTGCAGAAGGTTATCAATACATTTCTAGTCAGTTATTTATTCTCTGAGGATTAAAAATATTCATCAACTGGAGACAAACACTAATCCCTGGCTGTGTAAATAGCATCACTGACAAGACCCAACTTCACTAGGCTAAAGATATCATTTTTCTGATGGGACTTGGCCCAAAGTCTAAGAAGGAGCTGGGAGTGAGGGGTATGGAGTATGTATACTTCAAATCACTAAACTTCTATAGCTTCACAGCCTGAGTCCAGCTCTTGAGAAGACCCCAACATATTCTGCAAATAAAGTATTACTGAAATGCTATTAATGACTGTATTATCAAAAGAACCATTTTTGGACACCATATTTATGACCACATGAGTGGTCACTCATTCACACTCCCATTATTAAATGCTTACTTACCTGTCAGCACAGAACAAGGATAACTCAAATGAAATAGAAAATGCATTCTTCATTCAATTTCTTGCAAGTTGAGGAAACAAGACCTAAATTCTGGGGCCTACTTCCTAGACCATAACATAGAAGTATGTGATATATCTTGAGGAACTTCAAAGTAAGGAAAAAGATCACAGGTTGGTGACCTGGAGGTAAGCTTGTGTGTGCAGGAGATGCCCTCTTAGCTGAGGCTTAAAGAACAGCAGCAAGACAGGGAAAGGGAAATCCATGTGAGGTCATAAGACCAGCATTTGAAGGTTCATTTACGTGGGCCCTGACTAACCCAACTAGAGTGGAGACGCTGAGCTGGGAAGCAGTAAGACATGAGGACAAACAGGACTAAGGAGGAGTAAGGAGGAGTAAGAAGGCAAGGTCTGAATGCCAGATGAAAACAGTCTCAATCCAACCAAAGACCAATTCAGAACCGATTTAAGGCACTGGGTATGGAGAAAAAGGCCTGAGAAGTCTCTGAATAGGGTTTGGAATATAAATACAAAGGAATCACCAAGTGCGGTGGCTCACACCTGTAATCCCAACACTTTGGGAAGCTGAGGCAGGTGGATCACTTGAGGCCAGGAGTTCAAGACCAGCCTGGCTAACATGGCAAAACCCCATCTCTACCAAAAAATAAAAAGATTAGCTAGGCGTGGTGACACATGCCTGTAGTCCCAGCTACTGGGGAGGCTGAGGCCAGAGAATCACTTGAACCCAGGAGGCAGAGGCTGCAGTGAGCTGAGACTGAACCACTGCACTCCAGCCTAGGCGACAGAGTGAGGTGCTGTCTCAAAAATAAATAAGTAAATTAAAATAAATAAATTCATACATACATACAGAGGAATTAACACAGTAAATACATATTAGCAGATTTTGGCATACCCAGTCAGCTCTCATTTGGAGAGAAACCCAAGCATTCATGTGTACCTCCCGAGATGTTTCATCTCACCTGTCTGTCCATCTCATGAAGTCGATATTCAATGGCCCTCTCCACATATTCCTTCCTGTTGGAAAATGTGAGTGGGATACTATTTCCACCAGGGATTATAGGAACCATTTTGCCATCAGCACTCTGGCCAACAAAAGAATCAAGAGGAATCATCTAGGAACAGAAGAAAACAGAATTTTTATTACATGGTAGAAATGACAGCAAAAAGTATTTTACATACAAATACGGCACAGCAATAACAAACTCACAATTTTTAAGGATAAAAACAAGGAACACAAAACAGGTAGGACTGATCAGGCTACTTGATCAGCAGGAATGTGATGACTCAACCAGCTGTAGTTAAAAATGGGACAAAATCTCTCTGTTCACAAACCAAGCCTGTTGAACTCTCGTGACCTCAGGCCTCCCCTTCCACCTTGGTTCTTCACTCTAACAGGCAGAAAAAAATTAAGGGGGAAGGAGCAACTAAGTGCAGGAGCCTGCTCTATTAGAAGCTGTTTAAACTGCTGCGGTTGAGCTGCTAAGGGCAGCAATGGCATAGATATGGCATTGTTCAGCCAGACAGCAAGTGGAAGACTGTATCTCAATTTTACACAGAAAAATTCTAGTCTGTGCATATAGGACGTCAACACCAGTAGAAACATAGACTGGCCAGGATTTACCTCATGGAAACTCTCCTCGGTAATCCCACTGTCTTCAATGTGAAGAATGCTGTTGAGAGTCTGCACGTAGAGCAGATCCACCTCCTCCAGGTCCTCTAGGGTGAGTGGGACACAGCACAGCTGCTTCCACACCAGAGGGGCCAAGTGGAGGTCCAGAGGCTTCTTTGTGCGAATGGCAACCCCCATTAAAATTCCTAAAAACTTAAACTGCATTAAGTGTTCATCGAGGCAGGCAGAAGGGTTAAAAAGGAACCTGTAAAATTAAAGGGAATATTTCAAACAGCATTTTCCTTATTTCTATTAGAAATAAGTTAGCAACAACAGCTATAGCGTTAGTCTATACCTGTACTGTTCAATATGGCATCCATTAGCCACATAAGGCTAAAGTAATTAAATAAAACTAAAAATTCAGTTCTTCGGCTTCCCTAATCACACGTTGAGTTCTCAAAAGCCACATGTGGACCGTAGTTATTGTTTCACACAGCACATGGACTATATTCTGAACTATTTTTAGAAGAACTATGTAAGGATCTTAAGCTACCTGCTCCAGAATGCCTTGTTTTCTAAAATCATTATCTTTTTTTTTTTTTATTATTATACTTTAAGTTTTAGGGTACATGTGCACAACGTGCAGGTTTGTTACATATGTATACATGTGCCATGTTGGTGTGCTGCACCCATTAACTCTTCATTTAACATTAGGTATATCTCCTAATGCTATCCCTCCCCGCTCCCCTCACCCCACAACAGGCCCCAGTGTGTGATGTTCCCCTTCCTGTGTCCATGTGTTCTCATTGTTCAATTCCCACCTATGAGTGAGAACACGAAGTGTTTGGTTTTTTGTCCTTGCAATAGTTTGCTGAGAATGATGGTTTCCAGCTTCATTCATGTCCCTACATGACATGAACTCATCATTTTTTATGGCTGCATAGTATTCCATGGTGTATAAGTGCCACATTTTCTTAATCCAGTCTATCATTGTTGGACATTTGGGTTGGTTCCAAGTCTTTCCTATTATGAATAGTGCCGCAATAAACATACGTGTGCATGTGTCCTTATAGCAGAATGTTTTATAATCCTTTGGGTATATACCCAGTAATGGGATGGCTGGGTCAAATGGTATTTCTAGTTCTAGATCCATGAGGAATCACCACACTGACTTCCACAATGGTTGAACTAGTTTACAGTCCCACCAACAGTGTAAAAGTGTTCCTATTTCTCCACATTCTCTCCAGCACCTGTTGTTTCCTGACTTCTTAATGATCGCCATTCTAATTGGTGTGAGATGGTATTTCATTGTGGTTTTGATTTGCATTTCTCTGATGGCCAGTGATGATGAGCATTTTTTCATGTGTCTTTTGGCTGCATAAATGTCTTCTTTTGAGAAGTGTCTGTTCATATCTTTCGCCCACTTTTTGATGGGGTTGTTTTTTTCTTGTAAATGTGTTGGAGTTCATTGTAGATTCTGGATATTAGCCCTTTGTCAGATGAGTAGGTTGCAAAAATTTTCTCCCATTCTGTGGGTCGCCTGTTCACTCTGATGGTAGTTTCTTTTGCTGTGCAGAAGCTCTTTAGTTTAATTAGATCCCATTTGTCAATTTTGGCTTTTGTTGCCATTGCTTTTGGTGTTTTAGACATGAAGTCCTTGCCCATGCCTATGTCCTGAATGGTAATGCCTAGGCTTTCTTCTAGGGTTTTTATGGTTTTAGGTCTAACATTTAAGTCTTTAATCCATCTTGAATTCATTTTTGTATAAGGTGTAAGGAAGGGATCCAGTTTCAGCTTTCTACATATGGCTAGCCAGGTTTCCCAGCACCATTTATTAAATAGGGAATCCTTTCCCCATTTGTTTCTGTCAGGTTTGTCAAAGATCAGATAGTTGTAGATATGCGGCATTATTTCTGAGGGCTCTGTTCTGTTCCATTGGTCTATATCTCTGTTTTGGTACCAGTACCATGCTGTTTTGGTTACTGTAGCCTTGGAGTATAGTTTGAAGTCAGGTAGTGTGATGCCTCCAGCTTTGTTCTTTTGGCTTAGGATTGACTTGGCAATGCGGGCTCTTTTTTGGTTCCATATGAACTTTAAAGTAGTTTTTTCCAATTCTGTGAAGAAAGTCATTGGTAGCTTGATGGGGATGGCATTGAATCTATAAATTACCTTGGGCAGTATGGCCATTTTCACGATATTGATTCTTCCTACCCATGAGCATGGAATGTTCTTCCATTTATTTCTATCCTGTTTTATTTCCTTGAGCAGTGGTTTGTAGTTCTCCTTGAAGAGGTCCTTCACATCCCTTGTAAGTTGGATTCCTATTTTATTCTCTTTGAAGCAACTGTGAATGGAAGTTCACTCATGATTTGGCTCTCTGTCTGTTATTGGTGTATAAGAATGTTTGTGATTTTTGCACATTGATTTTGTATCCTGATACTTTGCTGAAGTTGCCTATCAGCTTAAGGAGATTTTGGGATGAGATGATGGGGTTTTCTAGATATACAATCATGTCATCTGCAAACAGGGACAATTTGACTTCCTCTTTTCCTAACTGAATGCCCTTTATTTCCTTCTCCTGCCTGATTGCCCTGGCCAGAACTTCCAACACTATGTTGAATAGGAGTGGTGAGAGAGGGCATCCCTCTCTTGTGCCAGTTTTCAAAGGGAATGCTTCCAGTTTTTGCCCATTCAGTATGATATTGGCTGTGGGTTTATCATAGATAGCTCTTACTATTTTGAGATATGTCCCATCAATACCTAATTTATTGAGAGTTTTTAGCATGAAGCGTTGTTGAATTTTGTCAAAGGCCTTTTCTGCACCTATTGAGATAATCATGTGGTCTTTATCTTTGGTTCTGTTTATATGCTGGATTATGTTTATTGATTTTCGTATGTTGAACCAGCCTTGCATCCCAGGGATGAAGCCCACTTGATCATGGTGGATAAGCTTTTTGATGTGTTGCTGGATTCGGTTTGCCAGTATTTTATTGAGGATTTTTGCATCAATGTTCATCAAGGATATTGGTCTAAAATTCTCTTTTTTTGTTGTGTCTCTGCCAGGCTTTGGTTTCAGGATGATGCTGGCCTCCTAAAATGAGTTAGGGAGGATTCCCTCTTTTTCTATTGATTGGAATAGTTTCAGAAGGAATGGTACCAGCTCCTCCTTGTACCTCTGGTAGAAGTTGGCTGTGAATCCGTCTGGTCCTGGACTTTTTTTGGTTGGTAAGCTATTAATTATTGCCTCAATTTCAGAGCCTGTTTGGTCTATTCAGAGATTCAACTTCTTCCTGGTTTAGTCTTGGGAGAGTGTATGTGTCGAGGAATTTATCCATTTCTTCTAGATTTTCTAGTTTATTTGCATAGAGGTGTTTATAGTATTCTCTGATGGTAGTTTGTATTTCTGTGGGATCGGTGGTGATATCCCCTTTGTCATTTTTTATTGCGTCTATTTGATTCTTCTCTCTTTTCTTCTTTATTAGTCTTGCTAGCAGTCTATCAATTTTGTTGATCTTTTCAAAAAACCAGCTCCTGGATTCATTGATTTTTTGAAGGTTTTTTGTGTCTCTATCTCCTTCAGTTCTGCTCTGATCTTAGTTATTTATTGCCTTCTGCTAGCTTTTGAATGTGTTTGCTCTTGCTTCTCTAGTTCTTTTTATTGTGATGTTAGGGTGTCAATTTTCGATCTTTCCTGCTTTCTCTTGTGGGCATTTAGTGCTATAAATTTCCCTCTACACACTGCTTTGAATGTGTCCCAGAGATTCTGGTATGTTGTGTCTTTGTTCTCGTTGGTTTCAAAGAACATCTTCATTTCTGCCTTCATTTCATTATGTACCCAGTAGTCATTCAGGAGCAGGTTGTTCAGTTTCCATGTAGTTGAGCGGTTTTGAGTGAGTTTCTTAATCCTGAGTTCTAGTTTGATTGCACTGTGGTCTGAGAGACAGTTTGTTATAATTTCTGTTCTTTTACATTTGCTGAGGAGTGCTTTACTTCCAACTATGTGGTCAATTTTGGAATAGGTGTGGTGTGGTGCTGAAAAGAATGTATATTCTGTTGATTTGGGGTGGAGAGTTCTGTAGATATCTATTAGGTCTGCTTGGTGCAGAGCTGAGTTCAATTCCTGGATATCCTTGTTAACTTTCTATCTCGTTGATCTGTCTAATGTTGACAGTGGGGTGTTAAAGTCTCCCATTATTATTGTGTGGGAGTCTAAGTCTCTTTGTAGGTCACTAAGGACTTGGTTTATCAATCTGGGTGCTCCTGTATTGGGTGCATATATATTTAGGATAGTTAGTTCTTCTTGTTGAATTGATCCCTTTACCATTATGTAATGGCCTTCTTTGTCTCTTTTGATCTTTGTTGGTTTAAAGTTGTTTTATCAGAGACTAGGATTGCAACCCCTGCCTTTTTTTGTTTTCCATTTGCTTGGTAGATCTTCCTCCATCCCTTTATTTTGAGCCTATATGTGTCTCTGCATGTGAGATGGGTTTCCTGAATGCAGCACACTGATGGGTCTTGACTCTTTATCCAATTTGCCAGTCTGTGCCTTTTAATTGGAGCATTTAGCCCATTTACATTTAAGGTTAGTATTGTTATGTGTGAATTTGATCCTGTCATTATGATATTAGCTGGTTATTTTGCTCGTTAGTTGATGCAGTTTCTTCCTAGCCTCGATGGTCTTTACAATTTGGCATGTTTTTGCAGTGGCTGGTACCAGTTCTTCCTTTCCATGTTTAGTGCTTCCTTCAGGAGCTCTTTTAGGGCAGGCCTGGTGGTGACAAAATCTCTCAGCATTTGCTTGTCTGTAAAGTATTTTATTTCTCCTTCACTTATGAAGCTTAGTTTGGCTGGATATGAAATTCTGGGTTGAAAATTCTTTTCTTTAAGAATGTTGAATATTGGCCCCCACTCTCTTCTGGCTTGTAGAGTTTCTGCCGAGATATCTGCTGTTAGTCTGATGTGCTTCCCTTTGTGGGTAACCCGACCTTTCTCTCTGGCTGCTCTTAACATTTTTTCCTTCATTTCAACTTTGGTGAATCTGACAATTATGTGTCTTGGAGTTGCTCTTCTCGAGGAGTATCTCTGTGGCATTCTCTGTATTTCCTGAATTTGAATACTGGCCTGCCTTGTTAGACTGGGGAAGTTCTCCTGGATACTATCCTGCAGAGTGTTTTCCAACTTGGTTCCATTCTCCCACTTTCAGGTACACCAATCAGATGTAGATTTGGTCTTTTCACATAGTCCCATATTTCTTGGAGGCTTTGTTCGTTTCTTTTTATTCTTTTTTCTCTAAACTTCTCTTCTCGCTTCATTTCATTCATTTGATCTTCCATCACTGATACCCTTTCTTCCAGTTGATCGAATCGGTTACTGAGGCTTGTGCATTCATCACGTAGTTTTCGTGCCACGGTTTTCAGCTCCATCAGGTCCTTTAAGGACTTCTCTGCATTGGTTATTCTAGTTAGCCATTCGTCTAATTTTTTTTCAAGGTTTTTAACTTCTTTGCCATGGGTTCGAACTTCCTCCTTTAGCTCAGGGTAGTTTGATCGTCTGAAGCCTTCTTCTCTCAACTCGTCAAAGTCATTCTCCGTCCAGCTTTGTTCCGTTGCTGGTGAGGAGCTGCGTAATCATTCTGTTTTTAATTTACAAGTCCATGAAACAGGATCCAAAATTCAAAATTTTGCAAATATAAAGATAGTATGTAATTGCAAATACTAAATTTTGTGACTTGCTAGCATAATAACACTTTTAAATAAATTTTGGTGCAGAAAATTCATTATGGGGAGGCCATGTGGGCCTTCAGAAACATAAATCAGGTTTCATGATTAAGTCTGAGCTTCCTCTCCCCTCTATATTATCATTGATTTGGTCTCAATAAATACCAAGTCTTGATGGAAGTGCCTGTTTCCTTTTTTTTTTTTTTTTTTTGAGATGTGGTCTCGCTCTGTTGCCCAGGCTGGAGTACAGTGGCCTGATCTCGGCTCACTGCAGCCTCTGCCTCCTGGGTTCAAATCAAGTGATTCTCCTGCCTCAGCCTCCCAAGTAGCTGGGATTACAGGCATGTGCCACCATGACCGGCTAATTTTTGCATTTTTAGTAGAGATGGGGTTTCACCATGTTGGCCAGGCTGGTCTTAAACTCCTGATATCAGGTGATCCACCCGCCTCAGCCTCCCAAAGTGCTGGAATTACAGGCGTAAGCCACCATGCCTGGCCTGTTTCCTCATCTTTGACAAGAGGATAACAACAATATTTACTCCTTAGGGTTACAATGAGGACTGAAGGGGATAATAGGTGTAAAGCACTTAAAACAGGACCTGGTACATAGTAAGCACTCAATAAATGTGAGCTATTATTATTATTTTAGACATATAATGAACACTTGCTGACTGCCATACCTGTCCCTATTGTAACCCACTTCTGCGGTGGCATTGGGAGAGGGTATAAGAAGGTCAACAATACCAGTTTCAAGTTCCTGCAGAAGAAAGAAAAAAATTTTTTGAGAAATGACAATCAAATGCATGAAGAGAACAAACCAATTACAAGATCATACTGAAAAGAGAATATTTTGAGGAATTTATAATGCCATGTGACAACCAACAATTTCATACTTTATTTTTGTGGTTTCAATTTAAAATGAAATTAGGAAATCCCCCATATGGAAAGCATTCATGTATGAAGAACCAAAAGGAATGAGAAAGTCAATCCAGGGCAGGAGTAGTGGTGGCTGTGAAAAGAGTGTAGTGATGTTCAAATCGAATCAGTAATGATAGCCAACCATTATTTTAGTCACAGGGTTTACTGGAAAAATCCTGATACTAGGTAATGCTGGAAAGGACAGAGCTGATCTGGAAGCAAAGCTGCCAATGCAGATATTAAAATTAGAACTGGTCTAATTTTAAGACCAGTTCGTAACTTTATTTTTCTAACTCCCCTGGAATCTGGCAGTTCTACTTTGTTCTAAAAGCACCAGAATAAATCAGAGCACATGGGTGCTCCTGGATTTGTCTGTTACATAAATGTACATATATGCCATTGTTATTCTGCCAATATTATAACACAACAGATGGTGAGTCATTGGTAGATGCCTAAGAACTGATATTTATGTAGTAAGGTATCTTGACAAAGCGTTTCAAAAGCTGTTGCTCTAATTTACCTACGTATCACTAACAGCATCACTTTATATGAGGCTCACAAATGCATCCTTGCTACATTTATAAAAACATGCCTGGCAGAGTGATCACTGGAAACAGCAAAATGGCCACTAGCAGACTAGATAACTCAGCAGGGGACACTGCAGGAATATACCTGGCACATCTCTGTGATGGTGTCATCAAACACTCCTCCAGCATCATCAGCCCCTTCTCCAACCAGCTTAACCTTCCACGCTCGGGAAGGCAGGCGGAGGTCTGAAGCATTCAGCTTAACTACTTGTCTCGCTATTTGGACAAAAATAGGCTTACACTTCCGTCCTCTTTAAAAGAAAGGGAGAAAGCAATGAAATACAACTCTTACCAATTTCCCCAAAATCACATGATATCTTCCCATCAGTGAATGAAAAAGCTAGTTTAACAGGCAAGCACTGTGCTAGGCCCACTGTAACCACACCAGGTACTAATGTAAGTACTATTACTATCTACCCTGCCTTAGAAGTGAGGAAACCAAGACTCACAGAAATTAGTAATAACATCCATCTGAAAAAATCACAGCTCATTAGTCAAACACACATACATATGCTAACCTGGTTGATATCCTCTTTACAGTTATCTGAGGTCCATAGTTTTTGCCTTGAACCATGGTTTTTCCTATGGAGCGCACCATTGGCAGAGTGTAGACTCTTGGGGCTAACAAAGGCCGAAGTTGTCCCTGTACAATGCCCCAAGTTCCAGCATTATAATGGGATGTGCTGTTCTGTAACAGAAGGTACGGTTATCAGAAATGGTACAATCTAGGCTTAAAAGAAATAACAATTTTCACTTATAGAACATACATTATTTTGGCTGGGCGCAGTGGCTCATGCCTGTAGTCCCAGCACTTTGGGAGGCTGTGGTGGGCGGATCGCTTGAGCCCAGGAGTTCAAGACTAGCCTGGGTAACATGGCAAAACCCATCTCTACAAAAACACAAAAATTAGCTGGGCATGGTGGCATGTGCCTGTACTCCCAGTTACTCAGGAGGCTGAGGTGGGTGGATCACCTGAGTCCAAGGAGGTTGAGGCTGCAGTGAGCTGAGATAATGCTACTGCACTCCAGCCTGGGCACAGAGTGAGACCCTGTCTCAATATTATTTGAAAAATTGAAAAAAGAACATACATTATTTTAAAAATGCACTTTAAGAGCATAAACTCAGGATTAGGAACTATTAGTAACCTTTAAATTTTTCTTCTGATAAAATATATAATTACCATTTTTAAAAACCTTAGAAAATACAGAGAAGGATACACACATGTATGCACAAATTAAGTAATTCCAAATCCTACCATATAGAGATGCCCCATTAATAATTTCATCTATTTCCTTCCAGTTCTCTTCTGTGTATGCACACATAACATTTTTCACAGTTAATATCATTCTGAGCTGCCTTTCTCAGTTAACTTTACATTATAAACATTTCTTCCACTAATTACAGTTTGCTAACACTCTGTTTAGTGCTGCACAGGACTCTGCTGCCTATCTATTTCTAGCAGTGATTTGTCAAATCTCACGCATGCACACACACACACGCACGCACACACAATAGCTAGCCACTTTGTTACTGGACTAGTCCATAAAGATAGACAAATCAGCAAAATTTACTTTATTTCCCCGACCTCCCTTTCCCCAAGACCCAGAATGCTAATTTGTAAGAAGAGAAAAAAGTATCTGAAATTTCTCAGATTAATTTATGTAACAACCCTGACTGTGGTTCCAACAGCTTTGTGTGCTTACATTTTAAAATCATATTTTAGACTTTGTAGAAATGGCTGGTAGAAGTGGCTGGCAGACTTTGTAGAAGTGGCTGGGAGCGGTGGCTCACACCTGTATTCTCAGCACTTTGGGAGGTGGAGGTGGGGGGGATCATTTGAGGTCAGGAGTTCGAGACCAGCCTGACTAACATGGTGAAACCCCATCTTTACTAAAAATACAAAAATTAGCCAGGCATGGTGGCCCAGGCCTGTAATCTCAGCTACTCAGGAGGCTGAGGCAGGAGAATTGCTTGAACCCAAGAGGCAGAGGTTGCAGTGAGCTGAGATTGCGCCACTGCACTCCAGCCTGGGCGACAGAGTGAGACTCCATCTCAAAAAAAAAAAAAAAAAGAAAGAAATGGTATGTGTAGTATGCGTAGCCATTCATACTTGATTTCTGGATAAACCAAAACACAGAAGGAAGACCACTCTGTCCAGCAGCATCATGTCCAACCTCTAGACTGTCCCTAACACAGCAATAAAATGGGAATAGAAGTGTTATCTTATTAGCCATGAAAGAATTTTCCAAAGGCAGAGGGAAAGGCCCTGGGGCCTGGCGAGCATGTCACGGGCACTGCTTACCAAGCCAGTCTGTGCCTGGCTGCTTACCACGCCAGTCTGTTACCTGGTTGTTGGGGCTAAGGTTCAGCAGTCTCCAGGATGAGTACATGAGGTCAGAGAAGTGGTAGAGCAGCCGGAGCCTGGCCCGCACCGTGTGAATGCTGACTTCTCTCAGCGCCCCATACTGGGGGGGCACTGTGTCAGGCAGGCCCAGCTGCAGAGGTACTGACACACCTGTCCAGAAAGCAAATGGGCACTTATGAAGGAAACAGCATTGCTTTCACTTTTCACATTTTGAAAAATTTCAAGCATACAGAGAAGTTGAGATAATTACACAATGGACACCCATTCAAACCTCTATCCATCGATTCATCTTAGTTTGGTGTGTGCATTTGTGTTGGTTTTTAAAATGTCTTTATCAGGGGGCGGAGAAAAAAATAAAATAAAATAAAATGTCTTCATTATTATGGAAATGAAACCTGGTATTTTCTCTTTTTGTTTCCCATTTTATTTAACAATAGAACTTAGGCAGTTCTTTCACAAAAATAAAGCCAAATTTTTCCTTTCATATTTAATAATTGTCATCTTCATAATACCACAAATGTGGGCAAGGACTAAGTAGGCAGTTCTGGAAAATGGAAATGGGAAACTTAGCAGAGCCAACTCCATATTCACTAGGGATCTGATAGCAAGTATTCATGACAGAAACATATAGGTGCATGATTCATGAGGCTTTTACTACAAGAATAAGAGTTCTGTAAGAAGCAAAGACTACAAGGCCTGCAGCCACAGCTACCCTCCTATAAAAACACATAAAAGAATAAAAACAAGATACAAACTCACTTCAGTTTCCTGTAAATAAAGACTGGTACAGTGCAATTCCTAGATTTATTATTATTGTTCGTAGTAAAAACTAACATTTACTGAGTACCTTCTATGTGCCTGGCACTATTCTAAGAGCTTTACATGAATGGGGCCACTTACTTCTACAGCTCTTTGCAGTAGGTGCTATTATTATCCTCATTTTACAGACAAAACACTGAGTCTCAAGGTCACTCAGATCATATGTGGAGGAGCTGGGATTCAGCCCCAGCAATGTGGCCCCAGAGCTTGAACCTTTACCTGTCACACTGGATAGCTTCTGCCCTAAAGTGGAAGTGAAATCCCTCTGAAGCCACTGAGTACCTGAAATTGTCAGTGCGTAGGCAGCTCTGCTCATTCTAGATTCTGTTAATAGAAACCATTTCCTGCTTGTTTGGCATCTACCTGGAATTCCCACTTTTCTCTCTTAGATATCTAAGAAACAAAATCCCTATGGGGAATCTTAGGACCCCCCCTAAGAAATAGAGGGGTTAACAAAACTGGAAGAGAATGCTGAGCTCTTAGGCACAATGTTGCTTCAGGGAAATTCTAGTGCCTTAGACACCAGAAGATGGTAGAAAGACAAGGCTTGAGGGCCTTGTCCAATAGGCTGGACACAGTGGCTCACACCTGTAATCCCAGCACTTTGGGACGCTGAGGCTTGAACTCCAGACTTGAGGTCAGGAGTTCAAGACCAGCCTGGCCAATATGGCGAAACACCATCTCTACTAAAAATATTAAAATGAGTTGGGCGTGGTGGCACATGCCTGTAATCCCAGCTACGTGGGAGGCTGAGGCAGGAGAATCGCTTGAACCCGGGAGGCAGAGGTTGCAGTAAGCCGAGATTGCGCCATTACACTCCAGCCTGGGCAACAAAGTGAGACTCTGTCTCGAAAAAAAAAAAAAAAAGGAAACTGCCCAAATATGAAGAAATGTGTAAGAATGACAAATGTCACAACATTAAGGTAACAGCTACATCTGGAAGGAATGGAAGATAGATCAAATCAGAAAGGGCCCACAGTTGGGTGTTGAGCACACAAGTATGTATTATGGTTTTCTTTAAATCTTTGTGTAGCTATACAAAAATTTCATAATAAATTAAAAATAAAACAAACAACAAAAAGCTTGAAGTAGCCCACCAGTCTTGCTAAACACAGGAATAAAATGGCAGCAAGTTGACTGCTGTGCCAATGCACAGACATCATGTTTCAAATGGTTAACTAAGGTGAGGAATTTGACAAATGGTCTCAGGGCTTTTAATCTTTATTTCTAACAGTGGGCCTTAGAAAGCTATAATTTGTCATTTCTTTTATATATTAAAAATACCGGCCAGGCGCTGTGGCTCATGCCTGTAATCCTAACACTTTGGGAGGCTGAGGCGGGCGGATCACTGGAGGTCAGGAATTTGAGACCAGCCTGGCCAACATGGCGAAACCCCGTTTCTACTAAAAACAGAAAAAATTAGCCAGGAATGGTAGTGCATGCCTGTAGTCCCAGCTACTTGGGAGGCTGAGGCAGCAGTCATTTGAACCTGGGAGGCGGAGGCTGCAGTGAGCTGAGATCACACCACTGCACTCCAGCCTAGGTGACAGAGCAAGACTCCATCTCAAAAAAAAACTTAGTTGCTGCTAAAATTATAAATTTTTGCTTGCATAAGTAATATGTATTCTGCTTTTGGGAGTGCAGAGAGGACGTGGTTCATACTGATGTCAGCAGAACAAATGCCTGCTATGAAAATACTTCCAGTGCTAGTAGCACAAAGAATGCTTTGTGTGGCAGAAGGCTTGATGGTTTCACAACGATGCTGGATACAGTTGGGAACTGGCAAGCAGACAGTGCCATGGGGTACTGCTAAAAAAGAAACGCTGCAGGAGCATGAATATTTCATTCCTCACCTGGTGCTCTTGGTGGGACAGGTGGTGCTGTCCATGCAGCACTGTGGCAGCGGCCAGCCGAGATCTGCCGAACATTTTTCCCTTGCAGACCTGTTACCAGGGTTGGTTCTCGAACATGGTTGGTATGGCCTAAGCCGAGCTGGGAATAAATCACAAATATACAGACATTCAATTAGAAAGAGGAAGAGAGGAAGTCAATATGAAATTTTTCTTAGATGGTGGCAGACATAAATAAGTTAATAACTGTACCATGCATCAGCATCAATAAAACACATTCTTTTTTTTTTTTTTTGAGATGGAGTCTTGCTCTGTTGTCCAGGCTGGAGTGCAGTGGCACAATCTCAGCTCACTGCAAGCTCTGCCTCCCTGGTTCAAGCAATTTTCTGCCTCAGCCTCCCAAGTGGCTGAGATTACAGGTGCCCGCCACCACACCTGGCTAATTTTTGTATTTTTAGTAGAGATGGGGTTTCACCATCTTGGCCAGGCTGATCTTGAACTCCTGAGCTCAGGCAATCCACCCACCTTGGCCTCCCAAAGTGCTGGGATTACAGGTGTGAGCCACCACGCCCAGCCCCCAATAATAAAATACATTCTGATTTTCTTTATCATAACAGTCCTCACAGCTCCGACTGCTAAAAACTAAGCTGCAACAAGGCCATTCCAAATCTAGCAGATGAGTCTTAATGACTAAACACATCCTTGGATTCCACTTACGGAAAGGAAATGAATTCTTGGAAAGTTAAGTAATAACAGAATGATCTATGGAGCTTTTACTTAAAACACACTGATTTCTGTGTAACAATAAATAAACATATACAAAAACATATATGGAAGCAAATTCTAATCTCCAAACCTCTATACTTAGGGTCTGACTGGGACAGCCAGTGTTTCAGCAGCTAAGCAAATCAACATCATTAGGAAGGATCACGTCACGGCACTGCCAGGAAACTCCCAAAGGTGCCTTCAACATTAACTCTCCTCTCAGTAAGAGTGCAACCACAATGACGAGCAGCTTCCTTGTCTGTTAATGCAGTGATGAGGAGACCACAGGAGTCAAACTGAGGCTAATATGAATAATGCTAGACCTTGAACTTAAGGGTCCCTGGCACTAGGGGAAGCCAGACCAAGAGAGGATTTTTGGAGGAAGGGGAAGTGGCTCTGCATGTGGAGCTAAAAGTCACCGTCATAGCATCTCAGACATCTCACACCAAGGTCTCTCCCTCCTTCATAAATAGAGGAGGGTGAATACATCAACCTCTTGAGTCTCTTATCAGTATCTCAGAGGCTCAGTTTAATCCTATAAATAATGGGAGTGACAAGACTTCCTGCAAAAACCTAAAGATACTTTGTATGCCATCATATTATAAAATATAAAAATATTATTGTTTCATTCTTTTTCCCATATCAACTGATGTTCCCAGGACCTAATCTCACATCTTGCTGTAGTAATGATGATAATGTTGACAGTAGCAAATCCTTACATACTGCAGCTTACTACATGCCAGGCACTTAACAGTGTATGAGGACACACACATAAATACTCAGCCAATCCCCTTAATCACTTTGCTGTACTACCAGAATTGTTTTAAACCATGGTATAATACTTCTTTGGCCGCAGTCGAGAGAGAAAGACATAACTAGACTTACAAAATAATCAGTCCCATAGCAAAGTGATGTGCTTGGAGTATTGCAGTAGATTATGAATTTCCTAGCTTATCTCTTTCCCCAACTGAGGAACACTGTGAGATTTCTAGAATATGAGAAAGCAGCAAGCAATATAAATATTTACCTGCCCTTCTGAATTGCTCCCCCAGGCATACACATCTCCATTTGATGCCAAAGCAAGTGTGTGTTCAGCTCCAACTGCCACATCTTCTATGATTACTCCAGCCAGGACAGGGATTTGTTGCGGTCGATTGTGATTGCGAGCACGCCCCTCTGGCAAGCCTATCAGGCGATCTGAAAAAAACAAAACAAAAACATGTGGAAATGTTATGCACCACACAACACAGTGCTTTTATATTTTCTGATCAGTCATTTAGCTTATTATGGTGGAATGGCAATGACACATATAACTCAACTGAGGCTAAAGCTGCTATTCTGGAAAGGTACACCACGTTCTGAATAAATAAAAAGTGTGAAGCTGTTTCTCTGCAAAACATCACAGGCTCTTTATTCATAAAAATTTTTTAAAAAGTTGTATCTAAACTCGGTAACTTGTTTCAAAATAAGAGGCTTCTCCAATATCCACATCTTTGAAAGGATAGGGTCTGACTGACACAGTTCAGGCCCTCAAGTTTCTTATGTTCTTTTTTGAGACAGGGTCTCGCTCTGTCGCCCAGACTGGAGTACAGTGCAGTGGTGCGACCTCGGCTCACTGCAGCCTCAACCTGTCGGGTTTAAATGATCCTCCTACCTCAGCCTCCTGAGTAGCTTGGACCACAGGCACATGCCACCATGCCTGGCTAATTTTAAGTTTCTTATATTCTAAAATGAGAGATCATTCAACTTGTCTTGTCCTCAAACTTCCAACCAACCTCTCCCCTTACCTTGCCAAACTTCTAGAGGGTGCCAGCCAGCCCCTGATGCGCAAAGTCTGCTAGGTCCATTTGGCTTGCCCACCTTCTGCAGCCTAACTTCCACTGTCTCCACTGCACTGAAATTCTACTCTCAAAAGCCATGAGTGAGCTCCTAATTGCCTACTGCAGTGGCTTCTTTTCAGGCTCCAGCCCATGGGAACATCATGCAACCTTCTAATAATGTGGCCTCAGCTTTTCCTGCCTCTCAGAGACTGCACTGCCCTGGCTCATCAGTGACCTCTCTTCCCACTCCTTTCAAAGCCAGCTCTCCCAATTCTTCTTCTTTTTAATCTTTTTTTTTGAGATGAAGTTTCGCTCTTGTCGCCCAGGCTGGAATGCAATGGCACAATCTTGGCTCACTGCAACCTCTGCCTTCCAGGTTCAAGCAATTCTCCCTGCCTCAGCGTCCCGAGTAGCTGGGATTACAGGCGCCTGCCACCACGCTCGGCTAATTTTTGTCTGTTTAGTAGAGACGGCGTTTCGCCATGTTGGCCAGGCTGGTCTCAAACTCTTGACTTTAGGTGATCCACCCGCCTCGGCCTCCCAAAATGCTGGGATTACAGGTGTGAGCCACGGCGCCCGGCCCTCCCAAGTCTTATTCCTGTGCCCACCTGCCCTTTACATCACATGCCCCAGAGCTCTATTTTCTTCTTTTCTCATTCTATACTCTCTCTCTCTGGGTTTTTTAGATGATACGAATAAGGATTTAACTACTATCATTATGCAGCTAATGTCCTAAACCTACATCTTCATAATCAATCCTTCTGGAGTTCCAGATCTAAATTCTCAATAGCCTAGTGGACATTTCCACACATTTATTTAGGGCAAATGGGTCCATTCAACATAACTAAAACTAAATTCCTTACCCTTCCCCACAAACCAGCTCATGTCCTCAGTCAGAGGCATCGATGTTCTCCCACAACTAGAAACTTCAGTCATGGTTTACTTCCTCTTCCTCACACCTGTCTCACATATCCCTAAACAACTACCCTTGCCAAGAATCTCAGTCCTACTGTGAATGCCTGGGTTACGAACCTACTCAAGATTTGAACCCAGAGTGCCTATGAATTCCTCCAGTTCCTAAGATCTGCAGCCCCAGTCCCTAGAAGGGATGAAGAATGAGGCAGGACACAGAGGAGCTCTGATGGTCAAGGCAGTATTTGTGGCAGCATGTCAAGGGCAGTAGAAAAGAAGAGGGGACGGCCCTTGGCAGGGACTCTTCTAGCAAGAGTGCTGGCTCTGGCATAAGGGGTCTTAATGGGGAGGGGAGTTTGTCTTTATAATAAAGCACATGAAAGAGAAGTGGAAAATTATCTATACTGAAAGGAGGTCATAGTGACTACTCACCACCTAGAACAAAAAAAGGACTCAATTTAGAGCACATTCTGTAACACTGGAAGGCCAATGTTTATAATGATGTGTACCCAAGCAAATAAGCTGAAAAATGTCTTACCTTGACCAAAGGTATACACATGACCATCTTTGGTCAAAGCAACAGAAAACTGAGTTCCACAAGCAACCTTTTTTATTCCAATTCCACAAAGGACGTCAATTTTCTACAAAATAAAAGTGTAAGGCACACAACTTTAAGAAGAAAAAAAATCACTCTTGAATTTGCCTAATGGCATGTATCAAGAACTACCTTCCAACAAAAATACTAATTGTCACTTACCTGTTCGACCCAAATCCAAACCTGAAATGTTATTTTCTCCTACTGTTCTGCAAACTAACTGAATTTCAGGGAGGGAGTGTGCAGGGGCAGAGGCAGTTTGACTAAAGTCCCCAGGGCCCTGTGTGAAGCAGAAGCATTCCTCTGGGTAATAGAGACCAGGGAGAATTCCAGGACCTTTTAAAGAACACTAGAAGACCATGTTAGTTTAACATTTTAGCTTTTATGGGCGACAATAACTGCTTTATATGTTCCCCAGAGTCAGTTTTCCTGCCTCTCTGCATACGTAGCTTAATATTCACTAGTCTAGCTATCAGGATGTCACAGACTATAAATGGTGGTGAATCTGAATATAAGCTGAAGCTTTGTAAATCACACTGCTTGTGAAATACGTCAGGAAAACCCACATAAAACAATCACATAGAAGGACTTCTGTAGAGTCAAGAAATCTTCTATAGTATGAATAACAGCTTCTAATTTCTTTCTTCATGGACTCAGATTTCCTTTGTATTGTTTTCTTAAAAGGAGACGTGTACCTGTGTTAATTCAGTGGTAATAATAAGCAGAAATGGCAGCTGCATGCAGAGGGTTACAAAGGATTACTCATAGTTCCTTCCATGACATCCTGGAGATATGTTTCTAACTATTTCTTCCCTACATCAGAGGTCCTACAGTGTGAAACCCATTTTTGGAGACAGAAGCTTATCCTTGCAGAATTTTAAATCCAGTTTAGCTGGATTAATAGCTTATTTAAAATCAAGACCTAGCATGTGGGCATTCAAGAATGCACAACAGAAGCTTCTAAACTTCATTATGAACTACCAAAAGTACTAAAGGTAAATTATTTCCAACTAATAATAACTACTGACATAGATGAAAACTATTTATGTTGTCTGAAAACCTAGACTCAAGGCAGTACTGACCTGAGGTGAAGATTTTGCAGTGGAATTTCCTAAGCCTAGTTTTCCATAGTCTCCATCTCCAAAAGCCCACACCATGGAACCATCTGCTGACACTGCCAAAGTGTGGTTTAATCCACAGGCCACCTAAAGAAATAACAGCATTCCGTAAGGCAAATCACAAGACCTAAAACACACTCCCCCGTTTCTGGGACCCTTTTTCTCTACTTCAGTGAAAAACTTGGCTATGTTTCCAAATATCTACAATGGTTTCAGAGCATACTACAAATGTTAACCAAAGTAAGTCAACAAGAAATAATTCTTAATGTCCATATATAACTTTTTTCTTCAAAGTGAAATCCTTCAAATGTCTGTGGCTAAACCATAATCAGTATGAAAGATAGAGGAAAAGTATACATGACCCAAAAATATTCATTCATATCAAAAAGTATCTAAGGAATGATATAGAAAAAGCCAAAAATATTTCCTTGTTAAAGGACACTCTTGATGTATACAAGACAGAGATAATTACTACTTAGGAGCAGTAGCTACCAGTGATGTTGCAATTCAGCCATACAACTCAAGGATACCAGACAGGAGCTACTAGTATCTGTATTTTTTAAGGGTTTAATAGCAAGTGGTATTAGTATGTTATGGAGGGGGCTTTAAAAATATTCACGTCCTGAAATAAGGGTTACATTTGTTGGTTTGTCACATAAACAAACTTAAATTGACTTAAAATATGAATTTCACATTGGGAAACAGTTAAAATTATCAATTAGACCATAGCAAAATGTACATGAGGTTAGGTACAACTGGTGATCCTGATCTTCCTGAGGGTGTCTAAGCGAACACAGAAGAAATGAGAAACAATGATCAGCTAGAATATCTTATTGATTTATTCCATGCCTGTCCAATCTGATATCCCTCCAGTGCAGTCACTCTCTCTGGAAGTTTTTTGTTAGAGGTATTTCCAAGACCCAGACGACCATAGTCACCATTCCCAAAGGTGAACAGTTTGCCATCTGAAGTGACCACTGCTGAGTGCTTGAAGCCACAAGACATCTAAGACAGAACCAAGGAGAAAGAAAATTTTTAAGAAGGGAAACTAAGAAAAAAGTAAATCTGCCATTTTTGGTATTAATATAGCAATAAACTTTACATAAACTTCACTGAAAACTGGATCTTCAAAGACCAATGCTTTTAAAAATTTTTTTTTTTAATTTTTTTTTAAATTTTAAAGAGACAGTGTCTTGCTCTGTCACCTAGGCTGGAGTGCAGTGGTGTGATCACAGCTCACTGCAGCCCCAAACTCCTGGGCTCAAGCAATCCTCCCACCTCAGCCTCCCAAGTAGCTGGGACTACAGGCATGTGCTACCACACCTGGCTATTTATTTCTATTTTTTGTAGAGACAGGGTCTTGCTATGTTGTCTAGGCTGGTCTCAAACTCCTGGCCTCAAGCAATCCTCTTGCCTTGGCCTCCCAAAGTGTTAGGATTACAGGCATAAGCCACTGCATCTGGCCAACTGGTACATTTATCTGCCCAAGTTGCTCTCCTGCTCTCCCAAGTCTGATCTGTCTCAACAGCCTCAGGAAGCCCAAGCTGAACAGCATACCCTGGAGTAACTACTGCTACTCTTCAGCTGTGTACACATGACCTAGACTAAATGAGATAATAAATGGGGAAATTGTTTGTAAACTATAAGGTGCTATACAATCTTACAATATGATTTTAGAACACTATTTTCCAGAAAATGCATGTTAACTTAGCTTTTGTAACATAAATGATAGGTTAAAAGCAAAGTTTTCCTTTTATCTGTGTATTAAGAACTGTGTGGCAGAAGTTAAACCACACAATATTCCTTCCAAGGGCGTGCAGCACCCTAGTCTGGGCCAACCAGCTGGCTCACGAAAAAGACCATTCTAACCAATACTAACAAGACCAATACTAACACCAAAGCCTATTCAAACTTCTGACAAGCTCAAGAATGAATCTGAACATCCAAAACCAATGGATCTCTTATAATTACTGTGTAATATATTTTTACTATATTTTCTGTTACCTAATTTTAAGAAACCTATTCAACAACTAGTATATTTACAATGAAAGGCAAACTTATCCATTTCCTGCCTGACCTGCACCACTTCTTCTCCTTGTAAGGCCTCGATCTGCCTGGGCCGCCGCTGCCTGTCGCTGTTCCCATGGCCAAGTTTACCATAGTCACCATCTCCCCAGCTAAAGACCTCACCACTTTCAGTTAGGGCCATAGAGTGCCCATCAGAACCACAGGAAGTCACCAGCTGGGTCACCACAAAGCCTGGAACAGAACAGAAACCCAACAGGAGTCACTGGATGTTAAAACTCTCCTCTTTACTTGCAGCTGCTACTGAATACCCTCAATCAAAAACCACCGAATTGGTACTATGAAAATAAGAATAATTTCATTAGTTTTTTTTTTTTTTTTAGATGGAGTCTCACTCTGTCATCCAGGCTGGAGTGCAGTGGTGTGATCTCGGCTCACTGCAACCTCCACCTCCCCGGTTCAAGTGATTCTCTTGCCTCAGCCTCCTGAGTAGCTGGGATTACAGGCATGTGCCACCATATCTGGCTAATTTTTGTATTTTTAACAGAGACAGGGTTTTACCATGCTGGCCAGGCTGGTCATGAACTCCTGACCTCAAGTGATCCGCCCACCTCGGCCTCCCAAAGCGCTGGGTTTACAGGCATGAGCCACAGTAACCGGCCTAATTTCTTTAGTTTTAAATTGAATTTGTAGCCATAACCTAGCAAAACTGCGAATAGTCACCTAAAATAATGGTGATGACAAGGAAAACGAGGATGACAGCAATAGTTACAGTCATTAATGACTGGCTATGCTCTAGCCACTCCTATAAATGCTTTACATGGATTATCTCATTTTCTACTTTCACATAGCACCTATGAAACAGATACTAACATCCCATTTTTACAAGTGGGAAAACTGAGTCACAAAGAGGTCTCGAAGCTTGTGCAATGTCCCAGAGCCAAGGACCAGTAGAACCCATAGGAACCCAGCACACATTCTCATCTTTACTGCTGTGCTCTTCACACTCAGATCACAATGAAAAGAACCTGAGCTTCTAGGAACTTGTTTTGAACTCATAGTTACTTGTATGCTTTTACCTAAAAAAACCGTCGGTGCTCTCTTTGTAGGCTTCAGAGTCATTATGAGTTCAGTTAATGAGCAAGCCGGGGGCTTGTACAGTGGTTTCTCCAAAGGTGTTCTCTCTCCAAGTCACAAAGAACTCTGATGAAGATGTCCTTTAAAGTCTTTAGCACATTTGCAGATTTCCATATAAACTGATTTTTAATTTTAATGAAATACATGCATGATTGCTACTGCTATTAACATCTGCCTACTTACACTTTTGCAATTTTTAAGCATTTGTTTACAATCTTCAGTGGGTCTCAAAAAGTGTTATTTATATTTCACTGAATTCTAGCATTGCTATAAGTAACCTGCAATATAGCTTAAAATATGGAAATTAAGGCTGCACACATGCCTAAATAAGGATTTAAATGTAAGTGAAAACCTGATATGATTTTATCTAGCAAAGGTTTGAGAAGGGCAAAGGTTTGTACGACCAAACCTACATTAGGCCTTAGGTTCTAACCATCTTTTTATTAAGGACAATTTTACCTTGTAAGGCTGAAATAACTGTCAGCACATGAAGGTCATCTGAATTTCCTTGTCCTAATCTGCCATAACTTCCTTCCCCACAAGCCAACACTGTGCCATTGGCCTGGATGACAAAGGTACAATTCTGACCACAAATGACCTAGTATAAAAACACAGAATTAAATATTTTATTCTTTATTATATTGCTTTAACATGCAAGCACTTGAAATGATTCCACGTATACATAGAATGCTTTTATAATTGTTTTATCCTTTTACTGAAAGGGAAGAGTTGATATAACTATGCAGTCCCGTAACTCCTTGATGACTATAAAACTGCTTATTTAACCAAGAGATGTATGAGATTCATCCATTTAAAATAGTTTAGAACAACAAAATGGATGAAAGAAAAAGGAAGGGGTGATGGGGAAACATTAAAGACTGGGCTAGAAAGAAGCAGAAACTCGTACATAAGAATGAGTCATGCAATCTGGACTAGCTGAGGTAAAGAAGAGCAAAAGAGAAAGCAGAGGCCTCGAGAAGGGTTTGGCGCTATATCGTACCAGGATTATTAGAAAAGGGGAGTGGTCGATAAAATCTGGCTAAAGATCCTAGGAAGTTTTTAGCCCCAAAGAGAAAATCACTAATTAGGAGTATCTAAACTGCTAGAAATACATACTGGGCAGGCCTAACACATCATGATGTTAGTTCATTAAACTTGAAAGAAAAATTTAGAAATTTGTTAACTTCTTAAGTCTGATAAAAACCACACCAAGTTTTTATTTGAAAGCTATATATCATGACTTTCTTTAATGATTCCTCATAATAGATTATGAAATGGACAAGCTTTATCCCACAATAAGACAAGCAAAAGAATTAGAATTTTCAGTTCCCATGTTTCTTTTCTATTTTTTATCCTGTTAGTTACCTGTTGGGCCTGTGAGAATGAGGGAGCTGCTGCAGGTACCATTACATTTCTTCCAGCTTCTGCCAGCTGTCCATGCCTACCAGCACCCCATAAGTAGACATCACATTTACCTCCCAGGTGCCAGTCCTAGAAAACCACAATCATCTCAAAATTAGAGTCATCCATTCACTCAAACAGCCATGTACTACGTACCAAGTGTGTGCCAGCCTGTATGGGAGACACCAGGGCACAAACACACAAGCATTTAGAATCAAAACATTGACTGAGAACCATCATACAGTTATCTTCATCTTTACTGACCTCAGGTCTGGAAGTTGCCCAAGACATAATTTGTTCATCCATGCCGTTAATCCATTTACTGTTATCCTGAAAAACAGGGGGTACATAATGATCAATTCTGCTTAGGCAAGATGCACCTGCTCTTAACCACAAAGTCCTCTTCTAATCATTAAGTCTTATTTCCAAAAAAGAATATGGTAATATTATGATAAATTAAGAGCAGTTTTATAATTATGTCAAACTTGATTTTATGCACTGTCAGTATTTCCCTTTATTATAAACACTTTCACTATCACTATCACTATGGCATTGGTGATTCAAAGCTAGCCATGTGTTTTCTGAACACCCACAGGTACAAGGTCATGTGGAGGACCCCACACCCCTGTAAACTCTTTGTGTAGCTGTGGGCAAATTACTTCATCTTTCTGGGCTTCAGCTTCCTCATCTACAAAATTACAGAGTTGGGCCAAATGGGCTTAGAAGGACATTTTCTGATTAAAATATTGTATACTTTTGTGCCACGTGACATTTCAGTCAACAACAAACTGCATGTGTGAAGATGGTCTCTTAAGATTATAAAACCTTATTTTTATTATATCTTCTATGTTTACATACACAAATACTTATCACTGTTACAAATGCCTAGAGCATTGAATACAGTCATATTCTGTACAGGTTTGTAGCCTAGGAGTAATCAGACTATACCGTATAGTCTTGTTGCAAGTAGGCTGTATCATCTAGGTTTGTGTAAGTACTATACACTCTATGATATTCCCAGCGTCAAGATTGCCTAACAATGCATTTCTCAGAACATATCCCCATCATTAAGTGATGCATAGCTACAGTTACATAATTTTACTTAATTTATATTTGTCTGTTTCATATTGTATCAATGTTTATCCAAATGTTTGTATACATAAATCTTAAGTATACAAAGAGGTTGTTAGATCATGTGCTGTCCTGTAGTCTAAACAGGTATTTTATCTATGTCACAGTTTCTAGAGTAGACACTCTCAAATACAAACAGAATGAAATGACAATTAGAATGCTCTTCTATATTTTATTTGATGCTAATTAAAGACATGATTGAAATGCCAAATAAATTAGAATCTATATGTGGCATATAACCCACAAGATGACCAGGAAAAGATGCTAAGATATATACAACTAAAGCACTAACAAAGTACCTATGGACAAAAGAAAATGAGAAAATATGGGACTATGTCATTGAGAGGTGGCAGGTTTACAAGAGTTCAACAGTGCTTACATTATCAATTCCTGTCACTATGGAGGCCTGCCATCAGATTGAAAGTGACTATCTGAAAGAAAAATATTTTCCATTTCTCTTAAGGGTATCCTTCTAGCCATGCATACCAGCAAAGACTTATTAGGGGTCTGCTACATGCCCAATACCCATGATAAAATCTCAGCTGCAAATAATAGCAGCTCACAGTACATTTACCATTAGAAATACAAGTTCATCCTCTGGAACAGGTTCTAGATCTGGAACGGTAAAAGATTCTGGAAACTGGGCTCCATTGGTCAGGGCTTCGGCAGCTTTTATAGTGGTTGAGAAACATTCTAACCAGGCCCATTCATTTGGATTCCAGGATGCAGGGTCAGGGAGACAGTTCTGGTGGTGTGGTGGCACTGGAGGGTTACACAACAGCTGATCCAGATGAAGTCCCACAGCAAGGGAAGCCAAGCATTGCATATAGGGGCTATGAACAAGTTGGTCACCACAAACCACATGAGGCTAAAACAAAATACAAGGATATAATATGTCAAAGAGTTTGTGCCAAATATTCTAAATTAACCTACCGTAGTCTGAAAGTCTGGAATCATATTTTTCAAGTTTACTGTTTAAGCTTTTTGCTAGGAAATAATTTTAGATTTAGAGTGAGTTGTACAGATAGTACCGAGGATTTCTGTATACCCTTCGCCCAACTTTATCCAATGTTAACATCTTATACAACCCTGGCACATTTATCAAAACTAACAAACTAACATTGGTACAATACTAACTAAACCACAGAACTTTATTTGGTTTTCCTCAGTTTTCCCATTAATACTCCTTTTCTGCTCCAGGATCCAATCTAAGCTATCACACTGCATATAGTACATTTTCATCATGGTTTTTCTTGATTGGAAAAAAAAGCAGGTAACTATTTAACCACAGAGATCTGCTCTTCTCACTTTCCTCCTTTATAAGAGAATCCTGGTAGCCATCAAAGGAAAAGCAAAAAGCTGGAAGACAGGCTACTTTAGGATCACTGTCTGGACAAGTTCAAACGCTGCAATTCCTCATTCCAGTATTTAATGACCCTACTCAATTCAACATAGCTCTTCCACTAAATTTTCCACAAAGATTTATCTAATAAGTGGAGACGATATTCAGTCTGATACCCGCATCCATCCCTATCCCTCAACTTTGGAATGGCCAAGCCATATAAAAATAGATATATGTGTGGGTCAGAAAAGGGAAGATATTCTGCTGCATAGGTATTTTAAGAAGCTTTGGAGTGAATAAATAATCTGAAAAGCAGTAATACAAACTTGGTGTTTGTTTCTTTATTTTACTCTGGTGAAAATAAAGCAAGAATAGGCTTAGGGTTGCTGAACAACTCTTTTAGGCATGACTTACCTTCATTTGATTCTGCCCAAATAGCCCCACTTATTATCCTCAGACCTCATGCTTTTAAGGGATAAGTTCAAGGCTATAATCACATTCCAAAGCACCAGGTATCTGTGTATCTCTAGGAGTGAGTGTAATGAGTTACCTTTTCATAGGCATACTGCTCCTGAAGCATCATGGGGAGCCGCTCCAAAAATGCTCTCATGCAGGGAGCCATGTTCAATCCCAGAACACCCTGCTGTTTCAATGCTGTCCTACAGGTTGCCAAAACATGATTGGCAGCTGCCCATTCTGCTGTACAATTCACGACCAAAACATCCTGGTTGAAAATAAATCATGCCACATAATAAATTTGTTTAAATAAAAAATAATGCTATCACCATTTAATCTGCGAAATTCCTTCTAGTAACTGGGACATCTTTGCTTTTTGGATATTTTATATCCAAAAAGGCTATGCTTTTAATGCCTATGGAACTTCAAAATATCCTAAATTTTGTCTAAGTAAAAAATAATGAGAAATAATAAAATTTGTGAACTACCTCTGATTAGCTGGTACTTTTTAAGGAAAAAATGTCAATAATTAACTATTTCTTCAGAACCTGCAGAATAAGGCATCTACTATATTTCAAAAGTCATGTCTGACATGACTACAAGGATAGCTGCAAAAGAGGTAGCACTGCTTTAACTCTGGCTCTGTGGTTTATTCTACACAGGCCACTACTGCCTAGGGTCTGATTCTACATTTTACTTGCAGTAGAACCTTTCATGAAGGTTTACAGCTTATTTTAACATCATTTAACCATATAAAATGTAAATCAAATCAGCACATCGGCTCTAATCTTTAAGGGTATGAAAAATAATACTGTAGGGAATAATGTTATATCATAGAATTACTTCACAGCAGGGGACCAGCAGTTTTACTAGAATATTAAATTTGAAAGCCAAGATATATTTTGTATACTTAGTTAAATGTCTTTGCAATGCTTCTCCTTTTCAAGGAAAAATTGTTTGAGAGAGTTTTTTTTTCCTTTGGGATGGGCTCTCACTCTGTCACCCAGGTTGGAGTACAATGGCGCAGTCTCGGCTCACTGCAACCTCTGCCTCCTGGGTTCAACCAATTCTCCCGCCTCAGCCTTCCAAGTAGCTGAGACTATAGGCATGTGCCACCACGCCTGGCTAATTTTTGTATTTTTAGTAGAGATGGGGTTTCACCATGTTGGCCAAGCTGGTCTTGAACTCAGGACCTTGAGCAATCTGCCCACCTCAGCCTCCCCAAAGTGCTGGGATTACAGGCATGAGCCACTGCACCTGGCCTTGAGATAGTTTAGTGCTACTGTCAAAAATCATGGCAGAAAGTCAAAATCTACTTTATCACTTCCAATGGAAATGAAATTGTTCAATATCTAAGCACTGTCACCAAAGTATGGGGTGTAGTAGAAAAAACACTAGACTATAAATCAGGAGACTTAGGTTCTAATTCTCCTTCTGCTACTAAATAGTTGCACTGTTTTGGACAAGTAGTAATCCCTCTGGACATCAGGTTTCTCCTCCATAAAGTGGGGTGGTTAGACTATGATTTCTAAAGTTCCTTACAAGCTTACACCCTATCATTTGATATAACTACAATATTACCTTTGATCTATTTGAGCAAGCAGCTACTCCAACTTCTGGAATCCATACTGTGGTCTGAATAGCTCCAGAGCCTATCACAACAGTTTGCAAGACAGAGCCATCCTAAAATGAGATATATTTACCAATACACACCATTGAACTGTAGGTATAATTTACATTTAAATTTCTATTTCACATTGACAAAAACATATTCTAAAGTCTACATTTTAGCTAAATTCAGCAACGTCCAATCACATACCTACTACAAAATTTTCTAGGACACAGCTGATTTTAAAAACACTTATCATCAGTAAGAAAAATGTAAGGGCAGAGGATTCTGAAAGAAGTTTCCTCAGTATTCAAGAGATTACTATATAAAATGTTTCTACAATTGGTTAATTTTTATCACATGTGTTTAAGTTAGTGTCAAAATATTCCTTAACATAAAAATAAAATCTATGCTCTTACCCTTAAAGACCAAATGTTCATGAGCCCACCTAGTCCACCAGACACCAGGGCCAACCCATCAGAACTAAAGGCAACAGTCCGAACAGGAGTGATGTGTCCCCGCAGCTGATAAACACACTTGGCTCCTGATGATTTCCTATATCCATCCTGAAATTCATTATTTTTAACATGCATTAAAATAAAGATAAATTATATAAGTTCAAGATTTATCATTCACTCTTGGAAATTTTATATTTCAGAATAAAATTGGCAAGGGGGAGAGATAATTTCTCTCATAAAGGATAGTAAGCTTGACTGAATCAGTAATAAAATATCAATCTGATTCCCTTTGTTGAAGCTTTCATCTTTTTTAAAAAATATATTTCTAAACTAGTTTTCTACTCTTCAAACTACAGAAATAACATCTCAAAGTTCTAATTATCCCTCAGAGACAGGAAAATACTGACTACTTTTTAACCAGTGTTTTGATTTTTAAATTTTCACTTCATGTAATTTTCATTTTTATCCCCTAACATTTGTGAACTGCACATGCTGACTCTATATAAATAGATTCCTCTTTTTGTTGGCTAATGGTTCTGTCTGTCACACATTTGTTCTGCAAGCTTTAGAAGTGACATAGGTAAGGCCTGTCTATAGGGCTGCCCTCCAGCACAAAGAGTAAACCAGACCTATCTGTAGTACTCCCACCTCCACTGCTGTGATATTCTCCTATTAGTGAGTTGGCTACTCCTTCCCTCCCTCTCCACCCTTTCTCCCCATCCTTAAGCTCCTTCTTCCTTTTAGTTATGACAACATAATACTATATGTATTCACTACCCAAAGATGATGTAAAGTGTATTTCTTCCAAGGGTATCATGAGCAAAAGGAAGGCAACAGAATGTACAAACTGGTAGCTCAGAGATGCGATCTGACTGGCCACTCAGTGTTTTAAACAATTTTAAGTTAGGTGCCAATGTTTAATATTGGGAGATTTTACTTAAACATTGGATTCTTAGCATCTATAGAAAAAATAAAACAATCTGGTAACAACAGGCTCTTAATTCTAGAAACTGACAATCAGCTGTGTGCCTTTATATAAAGCATGTAAGCTTCTTTGTTTTTTTTTTCTGTTTTTGCTTTTTACCCTCTCCAAACCTTCTAACCCTAGCTTCATGAATTTATGTTACTCGCCTAGAGGGCTCTCTATAAATATATACATTTGTAACTTCTGTTTAATATAAATAAATCATTCTTCATAGCAAGGATTCTGGCATCAGTTGGAGATTCTTTGGATGGATGTGCTCCCATGGAGTTTCTATTTTAATGTACTAACAACTTATGACTCGTCTATCTGTAGTATCAATTATATCCACTATCACAGTAACAGTCACCACTTAATATGTATAGAATATCTCATTTTACCAAGCAATTATGGTATCTCTGATTTATAAAAAATTAAGCTAATTCAGGATGACAATTACTTATATTTCCCAATGGATCTTGCCCTTTGGGATATAGTAATGACTTTTTTAGTAACCAAGGGAGAATGACTCTGATGTCATATACTTTCCATAGTTTCAGACAGTCTTCAAAAACACCAGAATGTTACCTGGCAATTTGATTCCTGCTCCCACCATCCTTCTGCACTAGTCACATTGGTCTGTGTAGTATCTTGAGGAATGCGCCAAACACATACTAAGCCACTCTGACAGCCACTTAAAAAAATTGATCACATAAAACCAAAACATGTCAATATGCATTAAGTAAAAATATTTCCGAATTGCAATCAATTAAGATCTGATAGAACCACTGCATTATTTTTTAAACTTATTTGTAGTACATACAATCTTTTACAAGAAATACAACCGAGGCCAATATTCTAACAACATCACACCCAGAGATAAGGAGATTACATACCAAGTTTCACACTGGACAACTACTACTCTTTCTTTTCTCTGAGGTAATCTTATAATGTTACACATTATAAGAATAGCAACTGGCAATAAACTCTTTAAGACTACTGAGAAGCCACACTTAATGCAGATAACAGTCTATACCAATATAAAAACTAAGACGTATAGATGCAAATTGACAACATACGTAGCCATCAGTAACTGCAACTTGGATCCTTTCCCTGGAAGGCGGCACCAAGCAATGCCATTTACAATAGATGGATGGCAGAGTGAATGTAGACAGCACCAGCATCCCGAAATAGAGCCCCAGAGTTTCACACTGTCTTCTTTGGCACATGTCATAAGAATATGACCTGTAGGGTCCCACTTCATGCTAATAAGAGTATCCTTAAAATGGAAGGAAGAGAAAAAAAATCAGAGTAATGTTTCCTTCACAAATACTTTAAATTCAGTAATACATAACTTATATTTCTTAGCATCTATATTTCTATAACTCATTTATTTTGAAATCAATATTTTATGCAAATCAGATACTGCCATATCATTCCCAATCACTAGACCAACTTACCCTTTAATGTAGTCTGTGTTATATATATTTGCTGCAGTTAAAGCTCAACAAATGTTAGCAGGATAAATGAATTATGAAATTCTGACTCAAAAGGGATATGTTATCTCTCATTAGCATTTGTATTTATTAAGAGTTATCCTTATTGACTAATAATCATTACAGTATAAAAAAGAAGAGACTTAAAAAAATGCACCCCTTACATCCCAATAGCAAACACTAATGAGAATCTGGGATATGTTTTGTGTTTATATGGCTGTGATCATTGTGCTCTTCTGATTTTATTTTTATTTTTCAATCCTCTTCCACATCTTCTAACTCCTGGTTTCATGCATTTACGCTACTTGCCTAGATGGTCCTGTAAATATCTGAACTGGCAACCTCTGTTTAAGGTAAAAAAATCATTCTTCATGAACGGAATTTCTGACATTACTGGGAGCATTTGAACAGGAGGTATTACCAGGGTGTTCATAATTCACTGTTTTAGCTTTACTCTTTCATGGCTTATTTATTTTTACATAGACTTATCCATGTATATCCATGGTCCAAAGATTCTGTGCAACAACAGAACATTAAGTCATAAGTGACTGATGTAAAAAAATTTTAAAAGAAACTAGTATCAAGCAATAGTAGAGGCTAAAAAAAAAAAAAACCAAGAAGGCTGGGCACCGTGGCTCACGCCCGTAATCCAAACACTTTGGGAGGCCGAGGTGGGCGGATCATGAAGTCAGGAATTCGAGACCAGCCTGGCCAGCATGGTGAAACCCCGTCTCTAGTAAAAATACAAAAAAAAAAAAATTAGCCGGGAGTGGTGGCGGGCGCCTGTAATCCCAGCTACTCAGGAGGCTGAGGCAGGAAAATTGCTTGAACCCGGGAAGCAGAGGTTGCAGTGAGCTGAGATCGTGCCACTGTACTCCAGGCTGGGTGACAGAGCATGACTCCATCTCAGGAAAAAACAAACAAACAAACAAAAACAAAAACAAAACAAAACAAGAAAAAGCAACTATCTGGTAAAGATGCTTTTACCAGAATATATACAAATAGCCAACAGGCATATGAAAAAATGCTCAACATCACTAATCATCAGAGAAAAGCAAATTCAAACCACAATGAGCCATGCACGTTGGCTCACGCCTGTAATCCCAGCACTTTGGGAGGCTGAGGCAGGTGGATCACTTGAGGTCAGGAGTTCGAGACCAGCCTGACCAACATGGTGAAACCCTGTCTCTACTAAAAATATAAAAATTAGCCAGTTTGGTGGTGGGTGCCTGTAATCCCAGCTACTCAGGAGACTGAGGCAGAAGAATTGCTTGAACCTGGGGGTTGGAAATTGCAGTGAGCCAAGATCGCGCCACTGCACTCCAGCCTGGGCGAAAAAGCTAGACTCTGTCTAAAAAAATAAAAATTTACATTAAAAGAAAAAAAAAAACACAATGAGATATCATCTCACCCCAGTCAGGATGGTTATTATTAAAAAGACAAAAAACAACAGATGTCGGCAAGAAAGTGGTGAAAAGGGAACTCTTAAACACTGTTGGTTTGAATGTAAATTAGTACAAACTCTATAGAAAACAGTATGGGGATTTCTCAATGAACAAAAACCAGAACTACCATTTGATCCAGCAATCCCACTACTGAGTATCTACCCAAAGGAAAATAATTCATTTTCTCAAAAAGATGCCTGCACTCATACATTTATCACAACACCATTCACAATAGCAAAGATATGGAATCAACCTAAGTGTCCATCAATGGATGACTGGATAACGAAAACATGGTATATATAAACAATGGAATACTATGCAGCCATAAAAAGAATGAAATCAGGTATTTTAAGCAACATGGTTGGAACTGAAGCCCATTATCTTAAGTGAAATAAGTCAGACACAGAAAGGCAAATATTACATTTTTTTCACTTTTAAGTGGTTATTATTAAAAAGACAAAAAACAACAGATGTTGGCAAGAAAGTGGTGAAAAGGGAACTCACGTGTACACACGGGCCTAGAGTGTGGAATGATAGACAAGGGAGACTTGGAAGGTGAGGGCTGGGAGGAGGATGGATTATGAGAGATTACTTGATGGGTACAATGTATGTCATTTGGGTGATGGATATCTTAAAATCTCTGACTTCTCCACTGTGTAATCTATGCATGTAACAAAATTATATTTGTATCCCATAAAATTACGTTTTTTAAAGATGCATTTACCTTATGTGCATCAATTAGAACAATGCCTCCTTTCTCAAGTGGTTCCTTTGTTCCCAGTAACAGTTTTCCATCAAAATATCCCACTGCAAATGGTCTGTCTTCACTGAACCATGCAATGCAAGTAACAGACACTAACATGATCAAAACAAAAGAGTAAGGAAAAGATAATTATTTGTCATTGTCTGACTTAAAAGACAGAGACTTTGAAACAAATAATGATAATGCAACCATTGCAAGTAAATTTCCAAATAGCTCTTTAATGCATTTAGACAAAATGTAGGCGTACAGTGGGGATTCCATGTAACATACTTTTTAAAAGTGTCGCTTATCTGTGACAAGGGCTACCTACTTTATAATCTTTCATTCTTTTTCAGGTGGTTGTTGAAAAATAGAGACAAAAATTAAATTCCTTTGCTGATTGTAAGTCACCATAGGTTCTTTCCTTTTGGACCAAAATCTACCATGAAACTGAGAAGTGAAAGAACCCAAGTCATAGAAAGAAAATTACATCTCTTTTTTTGCTTATTTAATATTCCCTATTCAGTATGTTTCCATATTCTATCAAAATGTTCTGTTCTCACAATCTATATTTCTACTTGTTTCTTCAAGTATATGTAACACTGAAAGACTACAAAAGAAGTAAAAACAGTATCTGTGAGGGTAGAATGGGAGTGTGGGAACTGAGTAGACAGGAGAAAGACTTTTCACTGTATGCTTTTTAAAACTTGAATTTTTGAACCCTATGAAAGTATTACCTATTCTTAAACAAACAAAACAAACCTCTTCTGTTAATGGAATACCATGTAAGCAGGCACTATGACTTTGAATTACCCCACTTCCCCCAGACAACCAACAAAATCTTGTGAGATGCATTCACGTTCAAAGGAACACCACAGTAAGAAGAAAGCAGACTTCCTAATCTCTCTTGTCAGACCAGGAATTCCCTGCTTCCCCTTCCTCCATTACTTCAATTTTACTCATTTTTTAAAAGACAATTTCATCTCGGCCAGGCACGGTGGCTCACGCCTGTAATCCCAGGACTTTGGGAGGCCAAGGTGGGCGGATCACAAGGTGAGGAGATCGAGACCATCCTGGCCAACATGGTGAAACCCTGTCTCTACTAAAAATACAAAAATTAGCTGGGCGTGGTGGCGAGTGCCTGTAATCCCAGCTACTTGGGAGGCTGAGGCAGGAGAATAGCTTGAACCAGGGAGTCAGAGGTTGCAGTGAGCCGAGATCGCGCCACTGCACTTCAGCCTGGTGACAGAGCGAGACTCCTTCTCAAAACAAAACAAAACAAAACACACACAAAAAAAACAATTTCATCTCTACCAATGATTATGACCTTTTTTTCTCTTGGACAGTCCTAACTTTCAAAGGAGACTTGGAATCTGCTATAAATATTAAGCCACACAAAAGATGAATTACTAATGTTATAATACTATTAAATCTCATTTTGACAGAGATGTGTGGTGGGGGCTAGGAGATAAATATCTTTCAATTCAGTAACTAATTAAAATTAAAACATGACTGGAAAATTTTGAAAACAAAGCCAAGATAATATTCACTTGGTATTTTTAAAAGCAAATGCCAAAAAGCTAAGTCTAGAAAGGAAGTTGGAGACTCCGTCAGCTAGACGTAAGTGCAGTCATTTACCATCCTTTCGATAGCAATGCTCCAATTCTCGACGGTGCATGGTGGACACATCAACAACTTCAATCAGTCCCAGAGATCCATCCATCCGTCCCACCAACAACAATTCTGGAGACTCTCCTGACCAGGCTGTAGCCGGACCCTCTTCTGGCCAAGCCAGGGCAGATACCCAATGAGGCTGAATATCTACTAATCCTTTTCCTCCTAAAAGGGAAAAAATGTTAACTAGTTTTTACTTAATTCTTAAAAAGAAAAAAAGGAACAGAAACAAATACTACTTAATTCTAATACACACTCAAAGCAGTTCCAAATTTCATAATAGCCTACTAATGAATAAGACCATGAAGGCAGGATCCTTCATTTATAATACTATATATGATCATAAAATTAAAGTTTTTCAGCCGGGCACAGTGGCTCATGCCTGTAATCCTAGCACTTTGGGAGGCCAAGACGGGCGGATCACCTGAGGTCAGGAATTCGAGACCAGCCTAGTCAACATGGTGAAACCTCTTCTCTACTAAAACTACACAAAAAATTGGCCAGGCATGGTGGCACGCGCCTGTAGTCCCAGCTACCTGGGAGATGGAGGCTGCAGTGAGCCGAGATCACGCCACTGCACTCCAGCCTGAATGACAGAGCAAGACTCCGTCTCAAAATAAATAAATAAATAAATAAAATTAATGTTTTTCTGTAACCTTTTTTTTTTTTTTGAAAGAGGGTCTTGCTGTGTTGCCCAGGTTGGAGTGAGTACAATGGCATGATCATGGCTCACTGAAGCCTCAAACTCCCAGGCCCAAGCAATCCTTGAGCCTCAGCTTCCTGAGTCCCTGAGGTTCCAGGCATATGTCACCACGCCTGGCTGTCTGTAACTATTAATAGGGCAAAATGGTAGCGTTATAGAAGAGAGTGTAAAGAAAAACACTGAATGTACAAATGTACAAATGTCAAGCACTTAAGTCCTTTCTCAACAATTACTGATAACCAAATTGGCATAAGAAACTTACTTGCAGTTAAGGCTAGCTATTCCTCAAATGTCACACAGAAGTTATTCCTCAAATATGTGACACAGAACACCTATTCCTCAAATATGTAAAAACAAATGAAAATACTAATAAGCTCGATATTACAATAATTATTTTTACTTTCCAGAGAGGTATAATAAAAACTGACAAGAATTTATACCTGCAAAATAAACATAATAGAAATATTTCAAGCAATTCAAAAGAATACATAGCTTAAAATTCAGTGACAACTACATCTCCCCAAACCCTACTCTGAATACTTAGTGGTACAAGAAAAAAAATTTAAGTTTATAACTACTAGGTTAGTTGAAAGTCCCAGAAAGAAAAGTGAATAAATGAGCACTTCCTCTCTAATTTGAAGCACACAGTGCATAGATTGAAATTTCAGAGTTGTTGGAAGGCTTGTGAATTTCAAGGTGAAGAGAAACCACTGTTTGGACTCAGAAGACTAAGAAGAAGGCTTTAAAAAACTACTTTCAGCAGTTTACTAGTGTTTACATGACTCTTACCATTAACTTGCCAGATATTCACCATCTTTTCCAAAGCGCCTGCTAGATATTTGCCACTGATACTCCAGGAAACTGGTGAGAAACTTGGATCACTGGGTGATCCCAGGCTTTCCTCAGCATCCCCTTCCCTAGAATATAACAGACAGATATGCAGTTCTAATCCCCATCATTCAAAAGTAAATTAAATCCCAAACCTTAAAATAAGGGTTTCATATAGACTAGAGTGTATAACTGATTCTTCTGTTTCAAAACCTTGGCTAGCAGTATTTAACAGTTACACACTCATTAATGTTTGTCATCATGTGAAAAATGAATTATAAAAGAGTGATATTAGACTTTTCCTCATTTAATGTAGTACACAACTTGTCAATAAAGACATTCAAATTCTGTATGTGTTGTACAGATGGTTATTATTCAGAAGACATTGATTCTTATTTGCCTAAACTCTTGGGAATACTTCAGAAAAGAAATAGCTACAGCTGGCTATAAAACTATTAAAAATGCGGCTGGGCGTAGTGGCTCACATCTGTAATCCCAGCATTTGGGAGGCTGGGGCAGGCAGATCAGAAGGTCAGGAGTTTGAGACCAGCCTGGCCAACATAGTGAAACCCTGTCTCTACTAATAATACAAAAATTAGCCGGGCATGGTGGCAGGCACCTGTAGTCCCAGCTTCTTGGGAAGAGAAGGCAGCAGAATCACTTGAACCCAGGAGGCAGAGGTTGTGGTGAGCTGAGATTGCACCACTGCACTCTAGCCTAGGCAGCAGAGCGAGACTCAGTCTCAAAAAAGAAAAAAACAAAACAAAACAAAAAAAACTGTTGAAAATGCTACATTCTGATACGGAAGCAATATAATTACTCTAATTCCTAAACAACTCTTAAAGACCTATAGCAAATTAGCCTACTGTTTTACATAGTTGAACATTTATTTACTAGTAGATCTTGATTTAATTCTAAGTCCAGATACAGATGATTTAAAATTATGTTTTCTGAATTGTTATCCTGGAAAGTTAAAAATACACACTGAAAATACAGTAATACTAATCTAAAAGAAAATTTCAAAAAATTTTAGTGACAATATGATTACATTAACACAACCAAGATGAGGCATGTTTAGGATTCTCTTATTTTAAATGGTATACACGTGATGTTAGCACTCACAATCTGTTGAACACACAGGTCTGTTGCAGTGAATATTGCTTCTTGGTAACATTCCATACGCGGATGGTGCCATCATTGCCACTTGTAGCCAAAAGACCTTTTTTATTACACCAAACACATGTCATTACCTAGAAAAGTTGAAACAGGTAGTCTAATAATTTTCTATTCAAATGATTTTATTATTTGAAAAAGTTGTATCCAATTTTTAAAAATCTACCATGAAATTAAAAGAAAAGCATCCATTCCTTTCTTTTCTTGAGATGAAGTCTTGCTCTGTTGCCCAGACTGGAGTGCAGTGGCTCAATCTCAGCTCACTGCAACCTCCATCTCCCGTGTTTAAGCAATTTTCATGCCTCAGCCTCCAAACAGCTGGATTACAGGCACGTGCCACCACAACTGGATAATTTTTGTATTTTTAGTAGAGATAGGTTTCGCCATGATGGCCAGGCTGGTCTCGAATGCCTGGCCTCAAGTGATCCGCCCACCTCAGCCTCTCAAAATTCTGGGATTACAGGCATAAGCCACCACACCCAGCCTCCATTCTTTTCTAAATGGCTTGCAAATATATTTGAAGCTATACTTATTTGAAGTATAGCTTTAAGGTACTATGCACTAATGCATTTGAATTATCTGAGACCTATTATAATCTTTACTAAATATGTTTACTTAATAAGTACTTTAACATTTTATGTTCTATAAAATAAATAACACAGACTAAGAAGTAATTTTAAAAATTGTTTAAGTAGGCCAGGTGCAGTGGCTCACACCTGTAATCCCAGCACTGTGGGAGGCCAAGGCAGGCGGATCACCTGAGGTCAGGAGTTTGAGACCAGCCTGGCCAACATGGAAAAACCCTGTCTCCACTAAAAATACAAAAAAATTAGCCGAGTGTGGTGGTGTACATCTGTAATCCCAGCTATGCGGGAGGCTGAGGCAGGAGAATCACTTGAACCCGGGAGGCGGGGACTACAGTGAGCCGAGATCTCACCACTGTACTTCAGTCTGGGTGAGACTCCGTTAAAAAAAAACTGTTTAAGTAATACAATTCAATCTTCATTTCTTGTTACAGCTCAGAGACCCCATGGGTTAGATTAAAATAGTGAGGCCAATTTCTTTTCCTTTTGCGTGTTGTCCTTCAGTATCTGTGGGTGATTGGTTCCATGATTCCCTGCCCCAAATTTGCAGATAGATTCCTTATAAAAATGGGGTAGTATCTGCATAGAACATATATATATCCTCCCATGTAATTTAAATCATCTCATGATTACTTTAAATACCTAACAGAATGTAAATACTATGTAAACAGTTATACTGTACTTTTCATTTGTATTATTTTTTATTATTGGATCATTATTTTTTACCCCAATATTTTCCATTGGTAGTTGGTTGAATCAATGGATGCAGAACCCACGGATACAGAGGATCAAATGCATAAGTCTTCATCTTTTGTGAAGCTATTCCTTTGGTTTTCTTCTCATCCCCCATCCAATTCTCCAATTCGTATACTATTATATCAAACCAGCATACAGAGAAAGTAGAGTTGGTAACTGCCAGGAACATCTTTGTAATTGTGTGCATGTGTATGTGTACGTGTGAAAGAGAGTGACACAAAGAGAGAGACCTAAACTTTGAGCTCCTTGAGAAGAGAAGAGACTATTTCATCTTACATAACGTGATTAACACACTTTCCACTCAAAATACTTACTCTGTTCTGATGAGCCTCCAATTTGATAAAGGAGCATTTTCTAAGATCTCCTCCCATATCAGCAAGTGTCTGCAGAGTAGTTTGGTTGTCACGGTCGTGTGCAGCAAGAGTGCGCACGAGTTGCTGAGCTGCCCATTGCCGATGCTGTGAGGACAGCCTGGAGGAGAGGCAGCAGGCTGCCAGGGCATTAGCCAACTCCAGAGGGCCTACAGCAGAAGGATCATAGGAAGGATGGGCATACAATTGGGCAATTAAACCTGCTTAAACAAAACATGAAATGATGCTCAGGTGAGATTTGGTGGTGGTGAACAAGCAAATGGGTTAACCCATATCTTTTAAGAATTGGCACTTTTGCAAGCAATTATTTCACTAAAATATGCACACAAGAAATAAAGCATTTATCTCACATCAAATTCTGTAAGAAATCTGATTCATTAAAAATATACATTTTAGGCCAGGCATGGTGGCTCACGCCTGTAATCCCAGTGCTTTGGGAGGCCAAGGTGGGAGGATCACCTGAGGTCAGGAGTTCGAGACCAGCCTGGCCAACATGGTGAAACCCCCATCTCTACTGAAAATACAAAAAAAAAAAAAATTAGCCACACCATGGTATGGTGGCACGTGCCTATAATCCCAGCTACTCGGGAGGCTGAGGCAGGAGAATTGCTTCAAGCTGGGAGACGGAGGTTGCGGTGAGCCGAGACTGCGCCACTGTACTCCAGCCTGGGTGACACAGCAAGACTCCATCTCAAAAAAAAAAAAAATTTATTATACAACAATCAATAGTCTTTGCTCCAAGGACTCAGTAGACTAAGAAAGCAGCAGAAATAATTTTAAAACCAGGATGGAGATGGCATGCCTTTAAGAAAACAGTTTGGCTTTTGTTGCTCAAAAGTGATGGTGTGACTGTAACCAGTCAAGGAACTGGGCTGATAGATCCAAAAGCCAGTATCGGCTGGGTGTGGTGGCTCATGCCTGTAATCTGAGGACTTTGGGAGGTCGAGGTGGGAGGATCACACGAGGCCAGGAGTTCAAGACAAGCCTGGCCAACATGGCGAAACCCCATCTCTACTAAAAATAGAAAAATTAGCCGGGCATGGTGGCATGTGCCTGTAATCCCAGCTACTTGGGAGGCTGAGGCAGGAGAATCACTTGAGCCCAGGAGGTGGAGGTTGTACTGAGCCAAGATTGTGCCACTGCACTCCAGTTTGGGTGACAGAGTGAGACTCTGTCTCAAAAAGAAACAAAAAACAAAAGCCAGTTATCTCTTGGCTAAATGGTCCTGATGAAGAGAAAGGCAGTACTGATAAGTAGTCCCTTCAAAGTGTTATAATCTTAAAACAAAGAGAAAAATAACACTGCCTTCATCTAAATTTTATTAAAGAAACCTACCAGGATTATTATCTATGGTTAACTCAAATCATAATCTATAACTAAACTAATATGGTACATTTTCTAATCTTTGTTTCCATACACAGTGAAAAAGTATCTATGCACTTCTTTTATGTTCTAAACTTAAGAAACTCACGTCATATAATTTATCATATACTAACAATGTAAAAACATTATTTAAAAATAAGAAGTCGATTAGAAGACTGTATGTTTCAGTAGTATGAAACTTACCTTTCTTTTCAACTTCTGACTTATCATAGTTAGGTCTTAGTTTGGCCCCTTTGTCTGCTAGCAATGCCACAAGGGCCTGTGTTACAACAAAGTTTGGGGAGGTCACAAGCTTGTTCTCTTCAGCAATTCCTCGGAGAAAGCTGGGTAGAAACTTTCGCTGAATTGAGTCATCAACTGTGGTTAGATTTACACCTGTTGCAGCAGAAATCAAGTTCTGAAGAAGCAATTGGAAAAACAGACTTAATTTTTACATGTAATTTTGGAACAAAAATATTTCATTTCAAAAGGCTCAAGAATCAGTCAGAAATAATCAATGTAACGGGGAAAAGTACTGAAAGTAGCTTACCTGTGTACACAACTGTACAAGCAGTTTGGCAGCACTAGGAGCATTTGATGCCAGACATCCCACTGCTGTGCTCAAATAGGCCAGGCAAGAGATAGGCTTGTTAGCCTTGCTATGCCCACCTCGTGATCGTTCTGAGGTGCTAGCCATGGCAGAAGGGCTGGTGGAGAGGCCAGCTCTCCCTGCTGCTGCCAAGCACATTAATCGAACTAGCGTTCGGATATCTGTTAGCCCCAGAGACTCAAGACCAGCAGCCAGGCTACAACTGGAACCACTGCCAGTAAAGAAAAACATCTCAGATGGATAAAGAAAATGGATTTCTTAAGGGACCATTTGCAGTCCCACATAACATTCACAGCATCAACAACCATAATAAAATGTAAGCTGCACTATCATTAGCCATACATGTCCTAAGAGTTGCCAAAGGTATCAAGCTGGAAACTGGCATCTAAACGTTCTCTCCTTTTAATAAGTATTGGCATATACTTGAAGTACAATTGAACTGACAAAGTAAAACAGGAATGTTCACAAAGCATAAATTTTCATAAGCTGAACAAACCCATGTCACCGCCCTCCAGATCAAGAAACAGAACATTGCCAGTACCTCAGAAACCTGCTTTGGGCTTTTCTCAGTCACGATGCTCTCAGAAGTAACCACTATCCTGACTTCTAAAGCTACAAGTTAGTTTTGCCTGTTTTTGAACTTTACATCAATTGAATAATTAATATATGTACTCTTTTGTGTCTGGCTTCTTCAATATTATGTTTGTAAGATTCATCCAAATCTTGTAGCATTGAGCAGTTCGTTTTCATTGACATATACATGAAATCTGCCACAGTTCATTTATCCCTACAGATGACAATCAGGCGGTTTCCAACATGGGGCTATTATGAATAGTACTACCATGAATGATTGGTCTTTAGGGGGCACATATTTAAGTATTTCTGTTGGATATATACCCAGAAGTGGATCTCTGGGTCACAGAGTATGTTCCTGTTCAGTTTTAGTTGATACTATCGAACAGTTTTCCAAAGTGGTTATACCAATTCATTTTCTCACTAACAATGTATGGGAGTTTTAGCTGTTTCAGTCACTTTTTTCTCTCTAGTGTTTTAAATGTTTGCCATTCTTGTGGGTGTGCAATGGTATCTCATTGGTGGGTTTTTTGTCTTAGGTTTTTTTTTTTTTTTTTTTGAGACAGGGTCTCACTATGTTTCCCAGGCTGGTCTCAAACTCCTGGCTCAAGGGTTCTTCCCGTCTTGGCCTCCCAATCACACTGGATTTTAATTTTCATTTCTCTGAAGACTCACTGAGGTTGAACATCTTTTCATGTTTATTGGCCATTTGGAGATCCTCTTTTGTGAAACACTTCTTAATGTGTTTTGTCCACTTTCTTCTGGGTTGTCTTTTTCTTGTTAATTTATAGGAATTCTTTACACATTCTGTTGGTTAGATGCATTACTAATATCTTCTCCCATTCTATGGCTTGCTTTTTTACTTTCTTACTTTTCAAATCACTTTTGCTAAACAGAGGTTTTCTATTTTATTGTATTCCAATTTATCAATCTTTTATGGCAGATTCCTTTTGTGACTTGCTTGAGGAATTTTTGCTTGTCCCAAGACCAAGAAGCAATTCTTCTATGTTACCTTCAATAAACTTTATTGATTTATTTTTCTTTTATATTTAGATCTAATAGCCACTTTATAACTATTTGCTTTATATAGTTTGAGGTTGGGACCAAGGCTTTTTTTTTCTATGTGGATAAACCATCAGACCCTGCTTCAGTTACTGAAAAAAACAGCCTTTCTCTATTGCTCTACAGTGTGAACCACTGTCATAAATCAAACCATAAATCAAGTGTTTATTTATATGTATGGGTCAGTTTCTTAACTCTCTTCTGTACTATCCTATTTGCCTATCCTTGAGCCAATAGCACACAGTCTTATGGAAATTTTGTTTTTCTTTCAGGATCTTTCTGCCTTCACTGATTTGCCATTAAATACTCCTGCTTAATCACTTCTTAAACAGCTGTCTTTTAGGTATTTCTGGTTCTCATCCCCTTTTTACATTACACTCCACAGTATCAACACGGCAAGGATCCCCATGATGGCATCTGCAGGCTGACTTAGCTACACAGACGGTCAATACATTTTGACCTTTAGTTTTTGATCCAGCACCATTGGGATCAACAGCCTTAGTTTCCCATTTCAAGCAACAAAATAAAATGTATGCAGTTTACTCAGTTGTGATAATGGCATTATTTTCTACCTAAAAAGAGCCAAGTATTAACTGAATGACCGATTGAGTGAATAACAATGACTACGTCTAACATCTTTCATTCAACAGTACATATTCAAGCTTCTAAAATTCTATCTCACCCTCCCAAACACCACCAGACTTCCAGCTAATGTACACTAGAAGTTAACTTAGCATCATGTGACATAAAATAACACTTACCTGACTGAGAGAAGAGACAGCGCTCTCATGACCATGGTTCTGGCCAGAAGAACCTGAGCAGCAGCAGTCACTCTCCTTAAAGCCACCACACGGTCATGAGGGTTTGCTAGGGCAGCTGCCTGCTCTCCTAACGTTATTCTCCCAGAGGAGCTCTTTTCTACGGAGCCATGGCAACCTGAAAAACATAATTCTGTTTTGTTCTCAACAAGGTAAGAAAAAAATACATCTGAACTACTAAAAACATTTCCTATTCTACAGAGGTTCCATAACAAACCAATGTCTTTTGCTCATCTGGAACTTGGTTATACAGAAAATTTCTTAGGAGAAACTCACATATTTCTAAGTTTGAACTTGGATATTTCTAACTTAGATATTTCTATGTTAACAATGTATTTACCATAGGAGTATTTATACTTAATTTACCAGTAAGTATTTTCTGTTTTGTTCATTTTGCCCATGTATCACATCTACTGATTATAAGTGCTTTGAGAATTTATAAAGGACTGAATTACCAATACTGCCCAATTCTTTATTTTGTATTCCCTATACCAAAAATTTACCACACCCTCTCACCCAAATAAAAAGAAGACTGCACAATAATTTTAAGTTGGTTACAGGATTCTCTTAACACCAAGTTTTTTTTTAAATAACAAGTTCTATAAATCTTTTTATTGCTTCGGTATCATGAAAGACAAAAAAAAATCAAAACATTTATTTTTTCCTCTTGAGACAGGGTCTGGTTCTGTCACCCAGGCTGGAGTGCAGTGGCTCAATCATCACTCACCATAACCTCAAACTCCTGGGATTAAACAATTTTTCTGCCTCAGCCTCCTGAGTAGCTGGGACTAAAGGTGCACACCACCCACCCAGCTACTTTTCTTCATTTTTTTAATAGAAATGGGTCTCACCATGTTGCCCAGCCTGGTCTTGAACTGCTGGCCTCAAGCGACCTTCTTTCTTCAGCCTTCCAAAGTGCTGGGATTACGAGCATAAGCCACCAAGCCCAGCCAAAACTTAATACCACATTATACCTTCAAAATGTTAAAACAACTGGCTAAAGAGACTTGTTGGGGTGAGATAATGTTGAACCATTAGTCTTATTTACTTTTACTTTATTATTATTATTTACCTATCTAAGAAACAAATTATAGTAGATGCTATAAAATCAATGCAAATCAGGATTTCAGTTTACCTATTTGCATCAGAGTCTCTTCCATACTGTTGGTGGCTGTGACCATTGCTACTGATGCTCCCAGTGGATCGCTGTCAGGGAACTGAACTGGTTCTGGTACAATGCGCCGGTCATTTAAACCAAGCGGTCCAGCAAGTAATTCAAATTCTTCTTCACCAGTTAGCTTTTCATCTTCATCAACATCCAACATGTCCCAGTCTTCTGGAATTTAAATAAATAAATGTATAGTATGTGAATTTAAATATTACATAAATCTGCTGGCAATGGTTGTTCTGAAAATACATCTAAAATGCAGATGAGCAGCCAGATGCGATGGCTCACGCCTGTAATCCCAACACTCTGGGAGGCCGAGGCGACTGGATCACATGAGGTCAGGAATTTGAGACCAGCCTGGCCAACATGATGAAACCCCATCCCCACCAAAAAATACAAAAATTAGCCAGGCATGGTGGTGTGTGCCTGTAATCCCAGCTACTCAGGAGGCTGAGACCGGAGAATTGCTTGAACCTGGGAGGCCGTGGCTGCAGTAAGCTGAGATCACGCCACAGCACTACAGCCTGGACAACAGAGTGAGACTCCATCTCAAAGAAATAAAAACAATAAATAAATAAATAAATACATACATACATAAAATGCAGATGGACTGAAAGTCCAGTGACCACATAATGAACTATGGCACCATCTCCTGAAAACTTAACCAAACTGCACTCCTGAAGCATAAGTGAGACTCTCAGGGAAAGGGAGTCAATGTAGTTAAATAAGTTGACAGCAATAGCAAATGCTACAGCTGGTAATAGAGGTTTAAACTAATTAAAAATATTGTCATGGGTCCAACAAAGAGTTCTTAGCTGTCTGTAATCATTAGGGAATGAGTTATTTCAAGAAAATGAGTGCTCCAGAAAAATCAATGCTCATCTCTATTTATTTTTTACTTTCCACAATTAGGGTGGAAATTCAAAATATACCACATCCTTTCCCTACTTTGAAAAAAAAATACACCTAATAGAAATTAATATTCTGTGGTAAAGTTGGTCTTTGAAACCACGTTCTTTTCCTTTGACTTTTAAACCAGCGTTGTTGCTATTAAATTCCCTTGAGTTTTTAAGGGAAAATTTAAGTTAACATGTACACAAATACAAACACACACACACACGAAGGTGAATTTTAGTAACAGATGTTAAGCAGAGAGGATATATAAAAAAACATGTAAAATAAAGAAGCTCTCAAAACAAACTACCTTCATACACACTGTCTTGCTTGCCAATTAGATCTGGAGCTTGTCCCTTGTACCTGCACCAAACATGAAGAACATTGCATTTTTATATAAAACAGTTAGTACCCCAAGATGCAAATTAAGTCATTAGAACATTTTAAGAGGTCATTAATAAAGCAGCACAAAATAAAAAAGTATGTTTCATGTTATAGGCTAACATAATAAAAACTGCTGGTATGTAGGTACACACATGCTTACAAAATCAATGATTATTTTACCAAACTACTGGGGAGATTTCTGGGTTACCTAAAACAACTCTTTTAACCAAATTCTATTCCATAAAGCCTTAAAGATTTTAATAGTTGACAATTAAGGGCAACAAACCTACTCTCTAGGGATTAAGGATGTAAAGAGATAATATTTTTATGGAACTCGTTTAATCAAAAGTCTGTTTTTTTCATCAGGAAAAAGATCTTAATTAAAATGCCAGAAATATGGTAGAAAATACAAATGAAAAGAATTGAGTAGAAGCCTCCTGAGGGTTAAGGCAAGGGTCCTGACCATTACTTGCCAACAAGTCAGAGGTTAACACAGTCAAACTCCAGGGAAGGATATGTTGCTATGCCATTATTCCTGGGAACATGAATTTCTGAAACCCCTCCATCCCTTCTGCCCAAAGTGTAAGAATCACGGGATTTCAGGGAAGGTTAAATGTAACTCCTCACGTGAAAAATCTACAGTTCCCAAGACTTAAGGTATGAGGTATCTTCAGGAGGTCTGGATATCTACACAATTTCAAGGTACCTTTCAGAACTTGTTGACTTAGATTTGGTCTTCATGGCTAAGTACTTCTCCCTGCAGGTGCCACATAACAGGTAGTACGGATTTCCACTCCCACATTCACCGCCAAACCAGCCATCCACATAGGAACCATTGCTGCGATAGCCCTGGCGGTTTGCACTGCGCCCACAGCCTGGATGGTTTCTCTTCATGTGCTGATTGAAGCTGACGACGCTGCATTCACACAGTTCACACACCACCACTTCTTCCCTGTCTTCAGACTCACAAACATGCTGCACAAAAGGATTTCATACCAAATGATTAGTCAATTTAACATAAAACCAAGAAGTACCAAGTAGATTATTTATATTAAATTACTTTATTACATATGCTAGAATATTTCCAACATGTTCATTAATGCTAAATAAAAAATTTCTTTCAAATCAGAATTCAGATAACACAATCGGAAGGTGTTCTTTGCCCTCTCTCACTCTAATAAGTTATATCAATAATACAAGTAACTGAGTATCCTACTGAGAAGAGTTAATGAACATGACAATCTGTCCTATCTCAAAATGAGGCTTTTTAAAAAAAAAACTCCACTAGTGAAAAGAACTAATTTTCATCTGGTCACAAAATGCATACCTACTTTATGAATTTTTGGGAAAAATCATTATGATTCACTTATTTATATAGCAGATTCTCTTTCCTGTAGGACTTACATCTATGAGCTTTTTGGTCTCCCTACTACAAAAATGTAATGCTAACCAATGTATATACAAATCCACCATGTACCTTGCCCCTAAATGGAGGTATTTACAAGATCTAGGTGAGCACTGGTTCCTAGAATAAGGCATTACATTGATTAAATGGAACCTATGAAGGAGAAGAACATGCATTCAGATAGCAATGTGAGCACAGCAGCCATGTTATATAACCTGTCAACGTCTACTGGAACCTGATGCTTGTTTTGTAATTTATCTTTGACATCAGAATCAAATATTACCACAGTATGACTCTATTCATCTTGTCTGGGGAGAGAAACAATAAAATCCCACAGAGAAAGCAAGAGAGACTTTTCCTTATTAGTTTGTAGGTATCAAAGTAACCTCATAACTTTAAATCCCCAAACCTCAGGATGAGATAAAAGACTTTTTAGAGTGTTTCAACTCTAGGCAAGGCTGCTGTTAGTAAGCTATATGAACAGGAGGGCAGGAAAATAAGTCAGAGCAGCCCCCGCTGCAGTCACACACACCCAGGTAGGCCAATCCAGTACCTCTGGGATCCACATTCCCAGAATATCATTGTCACTGGTCAGGTCTTGTCCAAACATAGCTTCCATCGCCTCATCATCAAGATCAATTTCCAATTCCTCATCTAAATTAAAGTCATACAACGCCCCTGGGTCTTGCTGCAAAGATATTCCTTCTCTCCGACTTTGATTCCTGTGGGCCTGCACAGAGCGGTATAATCCCGCTCAGAACAAAACAAAAAAGGCATTTTATTTGCATGCATAAAATAATTCTGAATATTTCGCCAGTTCTTAACTGCCATACATGTAGGTGAGAACCTATCTCAGTTGTCTTATTGGATCTCAGACCATAAAACATCAAATTATACCTATCACGTGTGTTTCCTCTCTTGCAAAAGGGGATAATAATAGCACTCATATCTCACTGGGTTATTGATAGGTTTAAGTAAGAGAATCCATGCGATGCTTTATAATGTTTTTGTTGCTGTTTTTAGAGACAGGATCTGGATCTGTCACTCAAGCTGGAGTGCAATGGCACAATCCCAGCTCACTGTAACCCTGAACCCCTGGGCTCAAGACATCCTCCTGTCTCAGCCTCTGAGTAGCTAGGACTACAGGCACATGCCACCATACCCAGCTAACCGTTTTTTAATTTTTTTGTAAAGACAGGGTCTTGCTATGTGGCCCAGGCTGGTCTCAAACTCCTAGCCTCAAGTGATTTCTCCTGCCTCCACCTCCCAAAGTGCTGGGATTATAGGCATGAGCCACTGATATAATGTTAATCATATAGAAAAAAACTTCAATAAATATTGGCTATTACTATTCTTTTAGGTTTTAAAAAAAATCAGTTACCTTAATTATATGAGAAATATACAGTTCTCTCACTGTTCCTGTAAATTACTGAATCATTACTCATGTTATAGTATTTCAGTGATCAAATTCTGTTTTGACAAATCACATATTCAAGTTTTTGGTTTGGAAAATATATTCCCTATAATTTATATTTTACATGCCCAGAACGTAATCCTAGAATTTACTAATGTAATGAGGGAATCTGGTCCTTATCTAGCAGTGAAGCCCTAACAACCACAGAGCAGTACATCAGAAAAGCCAGGGCCTACTTTTTTGGCACAGTGCCCTTTCCAGCTCCTTCTTACCACTGATGCTAAACATTAAACATGCATCATCACTTCTTAAATTATAATTGACTGAGAGCAGAAGGAAGAGCATTTATATAATTTCTCAAAATCTACAAGTGGCCAGTATAGACTTCTGCACCCAGGGAAACTTAAAAATAAGCCTATGAATGTATGCTACGATTTAAATAAAATTATGTAAATGCATAGAAAATGATATCCAAATAGCTGTTCTGTTAATGTGGAGGGACTGAGCACTTAGTATCATTAGTTTGAATCTTCTTTAATGTGCCTTTACATTGCTTTCAAAATAAGATCTTTCACAAAGAAAAGGATACGGAACATAAAATTACCTGCTCTTGCTAGCAGTGTGCGAGCAGCTAAGTCAAACTTGTGTCTTCTTGTTACCGCTGAGCGACCTCTAGCTGATGGTCCACTTCCAGAAGCTGCATTCTCTGTATGATCCAAATTATCAGGGCTACAAGTGCAAGTGAGAAAGCAACACAAAGTTTTTGAAACCATTATGGAAAGAAAGCATAGGTGTAAGCTTACTTGTAGTACTACTTTATTCTCATTGAGAATAAAATATGTTTATGATAAAATTTGAAACACATCTTTATCCCTTGAACAGTTCAATTATGCATATAACATTTCCTGTGACCTGAGCAATAACTTTGTCTGATTTTGAATTCTTCCAACAACAAAATGATGTTTAATGAAGCTCAAATTTAAATGAGATCAAATATGACCTTAACTAAATCCTAAAAGATTAAATACTTAAAATTTGAAATGATTGAGAATTCTTGCCTAGGAAAAACAGGTATTTTGAAATACGTTATGAAAATATTCACTGAGCTTGTTGGAAAAAGCTTGCATGCCATCTAGGACACAAGCCTTGGTTACTATATGGCTCCATAGTTAAAATGAAAAATAAAGATTTAAAGTCATAAGAAGTGATGAAGGAAAAAAGATTTTAGGGAGAATTTGTAAGATATTCTATACATCTCATTTTAGGATAGGCATTATCACAGCAATCTTTTTACACTTAAAGGGGCATCTTCTACTAGATATTAAAAACTATAGAAGAGATGAAAATATAAATATTACACAGAGAAGACTTAAAAGTTCAATTCTAGGCCAGGAACGGTGGCTCATGCCTGTAATCCCAGCACTTTGGAAGACCAAGGTGGGTGGATCACGAAGTCTGGAGTTCGAGACCGTCCTGGCCAACATGGTGAAACCCTGTCTCTACTAAAAATACAAAAAATGAGCCGGGCATGGTGGCACATGCCTATAGTCCCAGCTACTTGGGAGGCTGAGGCAGGGAACTGCTTGAACCGGGGAGGCGGAGGTTGCTGCAGTGAGCCGATATCGCGCCACTGCACTCCAGCCTGGCGACAGAGCGAGACTCCGTCTCAGAAAAAAAAAAGTTCAATTCTATCAAATACATTAAATCAATGTCCAATATTAAAATGAATACTCGATTTTATATCACTTGTACGAGATAAAATTATTTTATTAGCATGTTTACTTCAAAATAAACTTGTTTCCTTTTTCAGTACAATTTTACACAAAAATTATGAAATTTCTTCTGGCATGAAAACACCTACTCAAATCAAAACTTGTCATGTCACTTTTACCCTTCACAGAAATATAAACTTGTAACTAAAATGCCCATCTTTTCATATAACTATATTTATCAACTTTACATACAATTAGAAGCATTTATGACGGGATATATAATAAATGGGGCTTTGAAATTTATAACACATGGAACAAAAGTACAGAAACTGGAATTTCACCTTTCACTAAAACCTTCCTCCATTTCAGCAGCATCAGCTGATGGTATGTCTCCAGGTGACTGCAAATAACAGGGATCATTTGACTTCCCGCCACTGCCTAGAACGGCTGCTCCAGGCCTAGAGTCTGCTGTGCTGCCCGACTGGGGCTCCTCTTCATCCTCATGCCCAGGGTGCTCTATCATCCACATGGCAAGGACAGTGATATTCTGGGCATCAGCCTCTCCCCTAGCACCTATACAGGGGAAAAACAGTCTGATGCTGACTTTGGGCAAAGAATTAGGTCTTTATGTTATAAGAGTGTTTGCTATGATGCTCTTGTAACAAAATATAGTGTTAAAAATCTTACCAAGTTTCATAGCCTCTTAAAAGTTATGTTGTCTTTAATAAGCTAGGACTTCTCATATCTGTATACACTGATATATAAAAACTTATCCTACCTGTAGCTTCCATGGCTTTGGCAATCTGCCGAAGAGAGAACCCCATTTCCAGCAAGGGAACTGCAATTGCTGGAGGAGGAGGAGAAGTTGAAAGTCTACTGCTTGGGTCTGACAAGGCTGAGACAAAAGGAAGAGAAATAAGAACCTAAATATCACTAGATACCGTGAGTAAAAAGTGTCTTCATAGTCCTCAATTTCCTAGTATTGTCCAAGTTTAATGAAATTTTCCTCTACTCAGAATATGTGGCTGGGCACTGTGGCTCACACCTGTAATCCCAGTTTTACTAACATCCATTTATGTTATACTTTGTAAAGATTTGTGTAGAGGTACTATAAGAGTATGTAAATAACCCACTCCTCATCCAAGTTCCATATTTGTAAATCTGTATACTCAATAAAATTTATTTGTAATCTCAAAATCAATACTCATGTACTTTTGTAGTCATTTGTGACATATGCAGAGGGACTAAAAAGTTTAGTCCCTCAACATATGTGTTCACAGCTGAGGTCCAACAAGGTGATGCTCTGCCTTCATGTTTCAGCTCTCATGTGAAAAACAAGTGTCCTTTTCATAGTCTATTTAGTGCTACATTCTTCGCATTTTTATGCTTTTGGTCGGTGATTTCCCTGATTAAAATGGCCCCAAGCATAGTGCTAAAGTGCTGTCTAGTGTTTCTAAGCACAAGGATGCTGTAATGTGCCTTATGAAGAAAATACATATGTTAGATAAGCTTCATTCATGATGAGCTATAGTGTTGGTGGCCATAAGCTCAATGTTAGTGAATAAACAGTATGTATTAAATGTGGTATCTTTAAACAGAAAGATGCACAAAACAAGATTATACAGCATACTGATCAGATGATGGAAATGTAACTAGAAGTTCACAGGAACTTAACCCTGTATTTCTCCTAGGAGCAATGGTTCAGTATTTGCTAATTCAGTGTTCATAATAACCTTTTAGAACATAACTATTGCTAATAATGAGAATCAACTATTATTCCATGTATTCAGTAAGTTAGAGGAAAGATTGAGCATGTGAAATAAACACGGAAGATGAGATTAAAAAAAAACAAATCAAATGTCTACTGATGAAAACTATAGTGTCTGAATAGAAAAATACACTGGACATTAACAGAACATTAGACACTGCAGAAGAAAAGATGAATGAATTAGAAGATATAGCTATAAAAACTATCCAAAACAAATAATAATTTATTATGGAGCTTATGTGTAAAAGTGAAATGTATGAAAACAAAAGTATAAATGATGAGAAAAGGAAAATAAAATCATCCTGTTGTAAAATTATTACTTTAACTACATATGAAGTGGTACAATATCACCTTAAGGTAGACTCTGATAATTAAAGACATATACTATAAACCAGAAGGTAATCTCTAAAAATATAAAACGAAGTACAGTTGACTCTTGAACAACATGGGTTTGTACTGCTCGGGTCCACTTACATGTGGATTTTCTTCTGCCTCTGCCACTCCTGGGAGAGCAAGACTAGTCCCTCCTTTTCCTAGCCTACTCAACGGGAATATGACTATAATGAAGACTTTTATGATGATCCACTTCCACTTAATGAATAGTAAATATATCTTCTCATCTTTATGGAGTCAAAAGTTATATACAGATTTTCAACTGTTCAGGGGGTTGGTGCTGCAATCCCTGCAATGTTCAAGGGTCAACTGTATAGCTAATAAGCCAACAAAGGAGGTAAAATGGAATAATAAAACTTATTTAATTCAAAGAAAGTTAATTAATTCAAAAGAGAACAAAAAACAGGTGGAACAAAATAGAAAGAAGGTGGATTTAAAACCAACCATATCAATGATCACATTAAATGTAAAAGGCATACACACCCCAATTAAAAGGTAGAGAATATCAGATTGGATTAAAAAAAGCAAGATTCCCTTGAGGTCAGGAGTTTGAGACCAGCCTGGGCAACATGGTACGACCCTGTCTCTACAAAAAATTACAGAAATTAGCTGGGTGTGGTGGCATGCACCTGTAGTCCCAGCTACTTGGGAAGCTGAGGTGGGAGAACTGCTTGAGCCCAAGAGGTTGAGGCTACAGTGACCCAAGGTCACTCCAGCCCGGGTGACAGAGCAAGAGGCTGTCTCTAAAAACAAACAAACAAACAAACAAAGCAAGACCTAACTACTACAACATGCTGCCTTTACCCATTTTAAATATAGAGACACAAATGGATGAAAAGTAAAATGATGAGTAAAGACAAACCATCCTAACAATTTTTAAAAAGCAGGAGTGGCTATAACATCAGAGAAAGCAGATTTCAGGGCAAAAAAATATCACCAAGGATAAAGGCATTTCATAATAACAGAAGGTCTATTCATTAAAAGAACGTAAGAATCCTAAATGTTTATGAACCTAAAGACAGAGCTTTAAAATATATGAAACAGAAACTGAAAACAGGAAATAGAAAAATCCACTATTATCGTCACAGATTTCAACAACACTCTCTCAATAATAGACAGAACAAGTAGACAAAAAAACCAGAAAGGATAAAGAAGACTTGGACAACAGTATCAACCAATTTGAGCCTGCTAAACAATTTATAGAACACTCAACAACAGCACAATACACGTATTTTCCAAGTGCACTTGGAATATTTACCAAAACAGATGATATTCTAGGCTGTAAGACAAGTCTCAATAAATTTAAAGTGATTCAAATTATACAAGATATGTTCTCTGACAATAATAAAATTAGAAAGCAGTAACAAAACGATATCTAGAAAATCCCCCAAATATTTGAAAACTAAATAACATACTTCCAAATAGTCCAGAGGGCAAAGAAGACATCAAAGGCAAATTAGAAAGTACTTTAAATGAAAATGAAAACACAGCATTTCAAAATGTGTGGGTTGCAGCTAAAGCAGTACTTAAAGGGAAACTTACAACACTAAAAATGGCTATATTGGGAAAAATGAAGAGCTGATATGACTAATGTACAGCACATTATTTCTCTCCGAAATGGCCATAATTCAATCCACAGCTTCAACATGAAGATCATAGCTCAGTTTAATGGGGCAGTTCCCCTTCATTAAAATCACTGTTTTACCTTCTGTGAAGACAAAACACAATGCCCACATAATAAAGTCCCACACATCTGGAATGCCAACTTTGGATATCATAGTGCATATCAGCACACGCACCTGTGCGGTTAGCTGGCCTTGCTGACTGGGAATCAGGAGAAGTTAAACTTTGCCTCCTTCCTACTTCATCAGAAGGAGAGGTTGGTAACGAAGATATTGGAGGAGTCTGTGCCCGACGTGTGGGAAGTACAGTGGTAGTTGGGTAACTAGAGAACATTTGCCTTTAAGAAAATAACAGTGGTTAGCATAAAAATCCAATTTACGAAATAATACATACATCACAATCTTCTTATAGAAGAATATGCAACCTGGAAGACTAAACAGGTTAGTTATAGTTTAATGGAGGGTGGGGAGAAAGACTCCTTAGTTTTAAAAATGATTATCTCATGCAGCACTTTCAGTATAAATGTAATAAAACCTTATGATTCTTTCAGCAAAATGCCAGCAACAAAGCAGGTTGGGGGAATACAGCCATTAGCAAAATAGATGAAAAATGCCTGCCTTCACAGAGCTTTCCTTCAACTATAATACCAAGATAAGAGGGGTAATTTGGTATGTACAGTTACAGTGCAAAGAAGGCTTTTAAAGATAGGTAACTTGCAGTTACTTTTAAATATTAATATAAACTCACTAGCTAGTCATGAAATTATTCACATGGATTGAAAGTAATGGTTTACAGGCAAGTTATGGAAAGAAAAGGTAACTGTCTAGTCACCTAGCACAACTGCAAAACAGTACATGAATGATATGTCAGCGGCACAGTCGGGGAAAGGTACGGGGAGGCAGCCCCTTCTCCGATGAGAATGTGGAGCATGGTCAGGGAAAGGTATTGGAGGGAGAACCCCTCTTCAGTTGAGAAATGTGGACAGCAGTCAGAGTATAAAGTCCATAAAGATCCACACTGACTGCTCTTCAGATTTGTCCAAAAGAACTAGGAACTTTCTAAGTATCAAAAATGTACTGTCTACCAAGTCAGTAATACAATGGTATACACACAGGAAGGAGTAGTTCTCTGGTTTTTCCTCTACTAAATGATGTTCGCCCAGTAAGAGCCAAGTGCAACTCTAATGAAGTCCCAGCCAATAGCAGGAAAATGAAGACAGAAGAAATGAGGAGTCATAAGTCCTGGTGAATGCCTATGGGAGCAAGGGGGCATGATTCTACCACTGAATCCCATGCCCACACTAATCAGAGCTGAAAAGGTTACAAGGAGTCACAGTGCTACTGATCTTGTGTGGACGCCTTGAATTCTGTAATTGCCAGAGGGATTAAAAACCATATTAGAATGTCGTATCAGGCAAGCATCGTGGCTCACACCTGTAATACCAGCATACTTTGGGAGGCTGAGGCCACAGGATCACTTGAGGCCAAGAGTTCAAGACAAGCCTGGACAACAAAGCAAGATCCTGTCTCTACAAAAAAATTTCAAAAAATTAGCGAGGGGCCAGGTGCGGTGGCTCACATCTGTAATCTCTGCACTTTGGGAGGCTAAGGTGGGCAGATCCCCTGAGGTTGGGAGTTCGAGACCAGCCTGACCAGCATGGAGAAACCCTGTCTCTACTAAAAATACAAAAAGTTAGCCGGGAGTGGTAGCACATGCCTGTAATCCCAACTACTCAGGAGGCTGAGGCAGGAGAATCGCTTGAACTCAGGAGGCTGAGGTTACGGTGAGCCCAGATCGCACCACTGCACTCCAGCCTGGGCAACAAGAGTGAAACTTTGTCTCAAAAAAAAAAAAAAAAAAATTAGCTGGGTGTGGTGGTACACTTGTAGTCCCAGCTACTCAGGAGACTGAGGCAGGAGGATGGCTTGAATCTAGAAGACTTTGAGGCTGCAATGAACTATGACTGTGCTGCTGTAATCCAGTCTCAGTGACAGAGTAAGCAGCTGTCTCTTAAAAAAAAAAAAAAGTGAGAGAGAAAAAAAGAATAACCTATTATTCCTCTATCTTCCTTATTCTTTGAACAGACGCACCTCCTGAAACTATTATTCCAGTAAGAGAGCTAACATGTAGGAGATATGTGGGGTCTGAAAATGGTACTAGGATTGTACTCCTGCACAAGACCACAGCAGTAATTCTCAAAGTGTACGCTGAAGCCACTGTATCAGAATCACTAGAGAAACTTAATTAAAATGTAAACTATGGGCCCCACCAGACCTACTGAATCAGACTTGCTGAGGGATACAGCCCTAGAGCTTTAAAAAGTTGCCCAGGTGGCCTTGGGCACACCAAAAATTGAGAATCACTACAATAGACACTCCCCTGTTCCACTGTTTAAGATGTCAGTCTACACAGTGAAAATCGTAATGCCTTCTTAACTAAGGAAAGAGGGGAAAGAAGAAAAAGGGAGGCTAACCATTCTGCTTCCCTTATTTCACTTAAGTCATAGTTAAGAGAGCTCATAAAACAGTCTCTTCCCTGAAGGCTCTTCTCTCAAAAGTTTTCATTTGTATATACATCTGGCAAATTAAAGCAAAAAGAAATTTAAGTAAGCATCACTTGGAATTTACAAACCTATTAAAATAGAGTTGGCTAAAGAAGCATCATAAGACATGCCCTTTCGTTTGAAAAGCAGACTTGCTCGAAATTTTTTTAAGAATAAAAATACAGTTAAAGAAGTATGCTTAAAATGAAAACAACCTGAGAAGAGAAAATTATTTTCATGGAGGTGAATATTCCAAATAAAAGTATTTACTTTTTGAGGAAAAAAAAATACTCAAAAACTTAGGGGAAAAAATTATCATCATAAGAGAGAGAATGTTAGACTACTTGCTGGTCAGCACGACAGCTGATTAGACCTGGGATCACCACTAACTGGCTGTGAGTTTTGGGTAAGTTATTAAACTTCTGAGGGACATTTCCAAATTCAGTAAAATGAGCTTGACTATATAATCTCTTAGTTTCTTTCTAGCTCTAGAACACCAAGATTCAGTTGGGCATACTATTCATATGAGGACAACTGTGCCTTCAGAAACACAGGCATCAGTATGGCAGACATTAAAGGTCAACTTCTCTACCTGAGAAGACTAAGAGGCATCACTCCCGGGGACTCGGATGCAGGCACTGTTTCTGTGTCAGTGACTGGAGTGGTGGCAGTTGTGGTGTCCTCCAGAGAGCTGCTCATAAAGGAGGTCGTGCTTGAGGCTGATGGGCTAGTAGTAACTGGTGTCTGTGCCTGCTGGGCAGGGTCACTTTCTTCAGCTTGTTGATCAATCTCTAGAAACCAAAAAAAAGGTTAAGAAAGTAGTAAGGATTTGTTTTTTCAAAAATAACAGCGGGAATAAAAAACTTCTACCTGTTTAATTTAAAAGTTTCTAAATATATTTCACAAGCATCAATTTCTATGAAAGATTGACAGAAAAAAATATTCTTACTTATATACATCTTTGTATTCACTACTGTACTCATTAATTCCAGACTCTACAGACAGTATTGTAATGAGCCCTTGTAATTACACATTTCTGTTTTTAGAGAAGAGGGTTCTCTTAAAAACAAAAAAAGTCTCACTTTTGGTTGTAAGATCTGATAAGAGGTTCTCTAAGGTATCCAATCATTAAAACTGTGTTTCCTTCACACTTTCATTTTGATGCCTATCTTTAATCTACAAATAGGCAAAGATAAAAGCATGTAAATACAAGAAGAGTAAAAACCAAGACAGAAACTTCACAATTTAAAAAGGACAATTTCATTAAAAAACCCACTTAGTTAACAACTCTAAAAGTTTACAAAGTATTTATATATTTTTTTTAATTGTTAAGGAATCCTACAAATAAACATAACTAAAATATGAGTTGCTACAAAGACAAGTAATTCTATTAGGTTTGATAAAAAGCCACATTACTTCACAATCATCATGATCTTAACATTCCTACTTATATACACCATGTACCTCTCTCTCTCTCTATTTACTGTCCAAGCTAAGACAAGAAGAAAAGGAATAAGTACAAAGGAAAAGAAGAAAGAAGGGAAAGAAGGAAGAACAATATAAACTCCATGAAGGCAAGGGACTTTGTTTTGTTAACTGCTGTCTCTCCAGAACCTAAGAAAGTACCCAACACATAGTAGGTACTCAACAAACATTGACTGAACGAATCTCATTTTTATTTCTGCATTCATATTCTCCCCAAATGTGAGGATACAAGATAAAACAGAGCTTTTCTTTTTTTACATGCAATATGCAGCCTATGAAAGTAGAGACTTTAAAATTTATTTTAAAATATCTCTGAGAAGATATCAGAATACTATGTATTTTGGTTTGTTTTTTGAGACAGAGTCTCGCTCAGCCGCCCAGGCTTGAGTGCAGTGGCACAATCTCGGCTCACTGTAACCTCCGCCTCCCAGGTTCAAGATATTCTACTGCCTTAGCTTCCTGAGTAGCTGGGATTAAAGGCACACGCCATTATGCCCGGTTAATTTTTGTATTTTTAGTAGAGACAGGGTTTCACCATGTTGGCCAGGCTGGTCTAGAACTCCTGGCCTCAAGTGATCTGCCCACCTCGGCCTCCCAAAGTGCTGGGATTACAGGCATGAGCCACCATGCTTGCCAGAATACTATGTATTTTGAGTCAGATCAATAAATACTTTTTTTGGTATAAGTTAAATTTTGTTTTACAAAATGTAGTAATAATTGCTGTGTTCTAACACTGGTATAGGTTTAAAATAGCAAAATTATAGACAGAAGATTACTAATAGAAAAATAATAAAAAAGAACTGTTTTCAAGAAAAAATGATGTGAAAATTGCTTTGACCAAAAAAAAAATTTTTTTTTTTTTACAAATCACTTACAGAATGTATCACTTCTGACAATTATGAAAATAATCTCAACAGCACAAAAGCAAAAAAAAAAAAAATCAGATAACATACCTTGCTTAATTTTGCCCCCAAACTGGTCTTCCAAAAGCCCATGAACCACTAATTTATAGATCATGGCTTGCGCTCGTTCCAGATCAGCTAATCCCAATGCTCTCTTTATGGGTGACCGCATGACTGCTCGCTTCACCATGTGTCGCATCAAGAACTGCAGGGCTGCTCGCATCTCCACGTCTTCATGAACAACTGGAGAACTTGCACAGTCTGAGTTGTGGCCATTTTCAGCCAGAACTTTTGGTATCAGCAACAGCTCAGCATATTTACTACAGCCAAGAAGGGCACTAAGTGACTTCATAGCACCGAGGTAAAGATAGGACAGCTGGACTGCTCTGATTTCTGACTGGGCTACATCATGGTTTTTGGACATGTGTTCATGATTTTTTCTTTTCCCTTCTGTTATTTGATGTTGGGATTCCACACTTGGCAGTGTTGGATCTAAAGAAAATGAAGCGATTTCATTTTCTGATTTGGAGCTTGTGGTACTCTGACTTTTGACGTCATCAGATGTTAGGCCTGTTCGCATATCTAAAGCGGATTCACTCTCAGGTTTCTGCTCAACATCCCCTTTCTCCTCGGATTCATGTCGGTGTTTCTTTTCATGTCGTTTGGTGCTCTGTTTGCCCATGTCTTCATGAACGCCAGTGAGATATGTTAGGTCCAGCAGCACAGAAGCCGTCAGGCCTCGGAATCGCGCCACATCAAACGGCAATGGTTCACAGGGTTCCAGATTATACAATGGAGTATCACTAGGCGACCAAAAAGTTGGGAAGCTTTAATAAAGATCAGAATGACACAGGAAGAAGCAAGTGAGGGAAAGACGGGAGGAAGGTACGGAAAATAATGTAGACAAAATAAGGTGCATCATGTACACAATACAGAGAATAATTTACACAAACTAGAGAAATCATTACAAACACAGAGAAAAACGAGTCTATTATGAGAAAATGGGGAGATGTGATACTAAATGCAGAAGCAATGAGATGCTTTCAAATAAGAATATTCACTAATATATAATGTATGCCAGGAGTTAGCAAACTTTCTGTAAGGGGCCAGACAGGAAATATTTTAGACTCTGCAGGGCACACAGTCTCAGCTGCAACCACTCAACCCTGCCATCATAGTGCAAAAGCAGCCACTGATACAACTAAACAAATGGGTGTGGCTGTGTACCTTTACTTATAAAAACAGGAGGTTGGTCAGATGTAGTTTGATGTAAGCTATTCAGAAAATTTGTATAATAAATCTAGTTTATAAATGGTTACTTATAACTTATTTCAGTGAGGACTTCATTTCATAAAAAAGTTTACTTTGTAGTCTCAAATAATGCCTCTATAGTTTAAGCCAAAATATAATTATATATTTCCTGATATTGGCAAGAACTTCCTGAAGTTTAAGAATGATATAATTATACAAAATGTAATAAAAAGCTTTTGCTGGTATAAAGTTTTGTTGTTCTAACCTAAATCTTGGTTCTATATTACCTTTCTATTTTCCTCTAGGCTCATTTTTCTTGTTTTAATTTATTAATTCACTTATTTTGCTATACTGTATACATCTTTTTTTTTTTTTTTTTGGAGACGGAGTCTTGTTCTGTCACCCAGGCTGCAGTGCAGTGGTGCGATCTCAGCTCACTGCAACCTCTGACTACTGAGTTCAAGAGATTCTCCTGCCTTAGCTCCCTGAGTAGCTGGGATTACAGGCGCACGCCACTACGGCTGGCTTTTTTGTATTTTTAGTAGAAAGAAGGTTTTGCCATGGTGGCCAGGCCGGTCTCAAACTCCTGACCTCAGGTGATCTGCCTGCCTCTGCCTCCCAAACTGCCGGGATTACAAGTGTGAGCCACCAAGCCCAGCCTACTGTATGCATCTTAACCAGGCATCATAAATCCTTTCTGAAACAAGGCAAAGAATGAGAGGAAAGGTCGACACTTGCATGTCATTCTGTAAAGCTGTCACTGGTTTCTTAGCTTGGTAGAATGGAGGGGAAGGCAGAGTCCATTAACCCCTGAAATTGTGTGTAAAGTTTATGTGTATGTATTTTTTGGCTAAGATGATCCATAGCATTCACTAAATTCTGAAACAGTACCACTCCAAAACCACAAAGAACCACTGTTTTAGATATTGTTCCGGCCGAGCGTGGTGGCTCATGTCTGTAATCTCAGCACTTTGGGAGGCCGAGGCAGGTGGATCACTTGAGGTCAGGAGTTCAAGACCAACCTGGGTAACATGGTGAAACCCTGTCTCTACAAAAATATAAAAATTAGCCGGGCATGATGGTGGGTGCCTGTAATCCCAGCTACTCGGAAGACTGAGGTGGGAGAATTGCTTGAACCCGGGAGGCAGAAGTTGCAGTGAGCCAAGATCATGCCATTGCCCTCCAGCCTGGGCGACAGAGCGAGATTCCGTCTCAAAAAAATAAATAATAAAATCAAATAAAATTTAAAAAGATATTGTTCTATGTCATACCAACATGTAACTTTACAGGAATCACAATGGGCAGCATAATGAACAGTTACATAATATCACCAATAAATCCATATTTTCAAATGATACAATTATGTAGAGTCATTAGACAAATGAGTCTACTTATCAAGGAAGATACTTGACAGGATGAGTATCCCTTATCCAAAATGCACAGGATCAGAAGTGTTCTGGATTTCAGATTTTTTTCCCAAATTTTGGAATATTTACATTGTACTTAGCAGGTGAGCATCCCAAATCCAAAAATCCCAAATCTGAAATGCTCCAATGGGCAACTCCTTTGAGTGAAAACCTGAAACTTTTTGAGCACCAACATGATGCTCAATGGAAATATTCATTGGAGCACTTTGGATTTTGGATTTTTGGATTTGGGATGCTCAACCTGCATTTCCTTGTAAACATATGAAATTTGTAATTTGCACAAATCCTCTCTGAATTCAAACACACCTAAATGCTTTTAAATACCCAGTTTGTGTTAAATAAATGTAACTTTCACATCTAATCAAAATGTTTACATTGAGGGGATAGAAATATGTGGTTTTATAAAAAGGAAGAATACTTAAAATTACAGATAATGCAAAGCCTAATTTCAGTCCGTCAAACGTTCATATCCAATATTCAGAGCCTTGCTACCACAAAATGCAATGAACAGATTAGCTGGCTGGCTTTTTACTATGCCAGTGTGTAACAGAAATGATCAAAATGCAAAAAGCCAAATGAAAATTGGAAGAAGAATCCCAGTTAAACATATAAACTAAGGAGCTTACCATTTTTTCCCCAAAACAAAACAGAACAAAAAGACTATGTATTTTTAAAACCCACTAGTATTTCAAAGAACATGGGTTTAGGAAATTCTCCTTTAAGAAATTACAGTAGAAACATCTAGCTGCATGAGAAATATTTTTAAAAGTTAACTGGCAGCTCACCTAAAATACATAATTACTCACTGTCGACAGGCAATGGCCTATTTCACCATTAAATATTTGTTTGCTAAAAGTGTAACTCAACAGATCATACCTGATAGTAATTTCTGCTTCATCCCATTGGACCTTGGCAGACGTGCTGCCCTCTTTGACCACTCCCAGCAGCGTGGCATGGCGCCCAGTTTGCTTGTGAACACACCGACCTCCAACTCTAAGACCAGCATCAACTCCTCCTATCACAGCCAGCACGGGCCACACCTCTATGCAAAGAGTCCTCAGCTGCAGCTCTGAGAGGTCAGCGAGGCCATGCCTAGTATGTTTACCTTTCTCTTCCTCTTTGCTCTCCTTCTCCTCTCTCATTTCATTTTCCTCTCGGCTCTGAACCGAGCGGCTTTTCTTTAGCTTCTGACCTGACTCTTTAATACATATCTTAATTTTGTGAAGCCTTTCCATCATTTTTTTGTTAATGCAGTAAGTCCAACGGTCTGTTCGGTGAAGGATACGGATGAGCTGAATAGTGGCCTCAGCCAGCACTGCTGCTACTGGACTACAAATAGGGTCTCCTGGAAGTAAGTCTCGGGGTGTGCCACGCATCTGCATATCACAAATTTTCACCTATATAAAAGTAAAGAGGGTGGAAAACACATGCTATTAGTAGTTCTTCTTAGTCACTATAAATTCTAACATGTAGAATCCCATGTTGAACTAGTATTTGGGTCTCTTCATACATGTGAATTATACCAACTGGCCCCCAAAGAGTAAGGAAATGTCACAGACACACTGAAGTTAGTAGTGGTATGGTCCACTGGAATAAGCTGCCCTGTTATTTACATTTCCTGTAACTCATGAATTCCAGAGATGTTAGGAAAATTTGAAAGATGAATATAGAGACCAAGCCGTATATGACTGACTCAATTTAGTCTAAAATAAGCCTTAAGGATATACTCATTCTCATCCTCAAGGCTCCAGAATGATGAGTCCTGGACATTTTACATTGTTCAAGGGGTGCAAAAGTAAAATCATAAAGTCACAATCTGGATACACACTGCAAATAAGACACAGAAGTAAAAAGAGGAGCAAAACTTGGGTTCAAATCATAACTCTGTATAATCTTGGGAAATTATTTAATCATTCTAAGTCTTAGCTTTTCATTTAAAACCTGACACTAATAATAGCATCTGTCTCCTACAGTTATTTTAAAGATTAAATGAGATTATGCACATAAAGTGCTTATTAGTACATTGCCAGTCACACTGTAAATGTTAAAAAAGGTTAACTGCTATTAGTATTGTGTTTCTCAGAGGTTCTAAAATTTATCAAAAATGCCTTCTAGATAGAATAAATTAATTGATACATAGTCTAAGTCTGAATGAATTTCTTCAAGGTTCACAGATGGCAGAAAGCACCAGGCCATCATTCGAACCAGAACATGACAGAAACTACTTTGGGCTGCAAACCTACATAGGGCAAGGGATGGTATCAGGCACTGGGCTGCATCTTTACTTCATCTCCAGTTCAGTTTTGGTTGTCCTGGCTGTCCAAGAAACAGTTCTCAGCTAGCCTTAAATTATAATTCCTTGACATTAAAAATATGTATTTTTAAAAACATAGAATAAAAGGTAATTTTCTTGGTTAGAATATATCAGGTCCAGCAATTTCATTATGGAAATATTATACATGATAAAACCTGAAAGCTTCTACTACATAATGGCTAGAAATTCTTGAGACTTGACTTAAGCTGTACTATGCATCCGCAAGTGAAAGGATGGAGTAGGGAAAAAAAATCTACCCACCAGCACAGGGAGATCACAAAGGTTTTCTCTGCCTGGGTTTTGGATGAGGTGAAAGAGAAAGTTTACAATGGAGGGTATCCTATTAATACTGTTGTCATGAAGTTCAAATTCACACCATCTACAACACCTGAAAATTCCCCCAGCTGAATGAAAGGTAGTTTCCTCATGATGACTACAACTTCTATTATTCAGCTGATAGCATCTTATTACATTTAAAATTATTTCTAGATTTCTCTCTCATACCCATAATTGCCAGTGAATTAGATTATCCCTAAACTAGGTCTTGTAGTTCTTGTGACTGCACGTTTGAAAGTTGACTCACTGTATTCAAATTGCCAGAACATGAAATAGTGCCTTAATATTAATATATCGTAAAGTCAATTTCTGAAAGTAACCTTCTTCTAGAAGAATGGATTACCTAAGTCAAGTACTTTTAATGGCAGAAGAAATAGCTTATTATATTTATAAACTCTATCTGATGCTAAACAATAAAATAACAAATATTCTTAAATAAAGGTTTGAGACTTCATTACCTTTTCCCCTGGATTGCTACTATAGAACATCACACATGGGTACAACTCTGCTGCATCCACATCTTCAAAAGCTAATTTGGGTTCCTACAGTGTGGCAGCAGTGAGGAAAAGAAAAAGGAAATAGAAATTTTTTTAATTCACAATATCTAACCACATTAGAATTGAAAGCTTTTATGAGACAGAACAAAAGTTACTAGATCAAATTCTCAATTAACCTTGCTAACCGAGAAAATTCTACATATAATAAGTGATCATAATGTGTTCATCTGTTTCAAAAATCTTATTGGGGTTTTACTATCTTCCTGTTTGTTGTTAATAAATGTTTTAAGAACCAGAAAGTATTAGAGAGAAAGGAGAGACGAGCAGATAATCTATAAACTGAATACGTGGCACTTGAATAACCGAGTTGACTATAAATAGAAACAAGAAAAATGTAATGCTTGTGAATGGGTGTCGGTACCTCTCCATTTTTCCCAAAAGAAATGGTCCTGGCTTCCATGTCTAACACACAGGTAATGAAATCTCCTTGAGTAAAGCTGGACAATGTGAGAGTCTGTTCTCCATTGTGATAGAGGTTACCACTGTAGGCCCTATAGAGCCACATATCCGAGGTAGTGCGGTGATTAAAGTCATGTACTGGCCAGCGAGAAACTCCAACACACGTGCCTTCATTACCTCTGTTTTCCTTCACAATATAAAACTAAAATAAAAGTGGGATATTCATTAATACTCAAAAAATCTATTTATATACTATTAACTGCATTAACCAATACTGAAAATATGTTTATAAATAATACTAATGCATTTATGGAAACATGTTATTTTCAGCATAAATAAAAATAACACGAAAATAATCGCATCAATTTAGAAAGATTTTAAAACATTCTTTATCTTGCAGGGCATTTAGAATAACCTTTGAATATCTATAGTATTTAAAATAAGCAATTCTAACTTACAACTTAATAATGAAGCTGAGGAAGTATGTTTAGTCCAGAAATTAATGAAAACTTTAATTCTTTACATATAGATTTTAACTACTCTCTTGCATATACCTCTGTTTAGAAAAAGAGTTAATATATTAAGCCTGAGACTAGGTGTATTGTTTTGTTTTGTTTTGTTTTGTTTTGTTTTTAATTTTCTAAAGAGATGGGGTCTCACTCTGTTTCCCAGGCTGGAGTACAGTAGCATGATCATGGCTCACTGAAGCGTCAAATTCCTGGGCTCAAGCAATTCTCCTGCCTCAGTCTCCTGAGTAACTAGGACTACAGGTGTACACCATCATGCCTGGCTAGTTATTTTTTGTAGAGATGAGGTCTTGTTATGTTACACAGTCTGGTCTTGAACTCCTGGCCTCAAGCAATCCTCCCACCTCGGCCTCCCAAAGTGTTGGGATTATAGGCATCAGCCACTACACCTAGTGTGACTATTACTATTTTCAAAAAGGCATGCTTGCAACACTGGCCTTTGGCTAGGACCTGGGAATTTGACTGGTAAAGTTTCTTACACTGATTTAAAAAAAAAAAAACTTCCCCTACGTGATAAAGGTGGCTCACTGACCTAGAACATTTAAACACACAATGTGGTTTATGCTGAATACCTGCTCTCCTTCTGGGAGTATGAAATGTTGGTACATGTCAGGTTGAAGGTGTCTACGTGACCAGCCCCCAGTAAAAACCTTGGGTTCTGAATCTCTAATGGGGTTCTCTAGAAACATCACACACATGTTATTTTTCTTGCTGGGGAAAGCTTGTGCACTTGTGCTCATGGCAGGGAGAGAACAGAAGGAAGCCTACAGGATTCTTCTATACCTCACCTGTGTCCTTCCCTTATTAACTGGGTGTATATCCTTACCGCATCATTATAATATAAGTCTCCGTCATGAGTGTATCAACGTGTGGAGTCTGACGAGTCCTTCTAGTGAATCTCTGAATGTGAGGGTGGTCTTGGGGACTCATGACTTAGCAGTGGCAGCAATGAGATTCACTAGAACAACCCTGATGCATTAGAATATAGTTAAATATTGCTGGGGAAAAAGAAAGAGACGAAAGGAAAAGATAAAACTCTGGTACCTAGGTGGCTATGGAGTTACACATAGTATGAAACAGAAGGTGGACTGCTATCTGTTGTGAGGGGCAAAAGTTACCTATCAATTTTTAAGATAAATCCAATCACAAGAGAGTTGGTTTGCTACCCCAGACGCTCTTGGCCTTGCTAGCTAAAGTTAGGAAAAAAGAGCAGCTCAGGTAAAAACTGTGCTGTTCTTTCTTCCAGGAACAACTTCTTTCCTGAGGAGAAAGGGCCCAAATATTCCCACAAGTGGGCTTTAGATGAGCCAGAGTAGAAAAATTAGCTTGTAGTTGCTCTCTCCTCCAGTGGGAGGGGAAAGGGTTCAAAAACCCCTGACAGCTTTGAGTGTGGGTGCAGGGGCTCACACCTGTAATCTTAGCACTTTGGGAGGCTAAGGAGGGAGGACTGCTTGAAGCCAGGAGTTTGAGACTACCTTGGGCAAGAAAGCAAGAACCCCATCTCTACAAAATATACAAAAACAAACAAACAAGAATAGAAAGGAACTACTCCAGCTATTTTCTTAAGCTGAGCTTTTGCTATTGCTACAGCAGGTTCTCCCCCTGCCACAATTTACCTTGTAAATGCTAAATTTATTGCTAGAGGTTTGAGTAAACTTAAGATGTGAGAAGGGAGGAAGAAAACTTTTAAAAACAGCTTTATTTTGTGGCAACTACATCTGGATGTATGATTAAAAAAAAAAAAGATGCAAAGGCTGGGCACAATGGCTCATGCCTGTTATTTCAGCATTTTGGGAGGCCGAGGCAGGCAGATCACTTGAGGTTGGGAGTTCAAGTCCAGCCTGGCCAACATGGTGAAACCTTATATCTACTAAAAACACAAAAATTAGCCAGGCATGCTGATGCGTGCCTCCAGTCTCACCTATTCGGGAGGCTGAGGCGGGAGAATCCCTTGAAACTGGCAGGTGGAGGTTGCAGGGAGCCGAGCTTGTGCCACTGCACTCCAGCCTGGGCAACAGAGCTACACTCTGTCTCAAAAAAAAAAAAAAAAAAAGAAAGAAAAAAAATTAAGATGCAAAATGTTACAAGCTTGTAACTTCATAAATGCTAAAGTTTCATCCTGATCAGGGAAAGCTCCAAAAGAAAAACATACTAGTGGGACACAACTTACTTGCTTTTTGTCACCAGTGGGTGGATTGGAATTTAAACTCTATATTAAAAACAAAACAAGTGTCTATAACTGGTGGGTTTTTGCTATGATTTTTTCCTATTGGAGTCTCTGGGAAAACAGAGATAAAATAAAAGAGAGGCAAGCTCTAGATGGAGATATAGACATATGCTTTTAGAGTTTTAAAAAACATTCAGTGGCTAACGAGTTCTTATAAAATCATATGTCTAACACTTACAGGCTGATGACTTTCTAGCCTAAGTACATATTTCTGAGTGGGTCAATCTGGACTCCAAGATTGACAAGCAAACAGAGCTTAGAAAAGCCTTGTTTTCAAGCCTGGACTTAAAACACTATTGTCAGGTCCTACACCATCTAAGGTTTGTTTTTGTTTTTAAGAGATAGGGTCTCTTTCTGTTACCCAGGCTGGCATGCAGTAGTGTAAACAGAGCTCACTGTGGCTTCAAACTCCTGGGCTCAAGCAATCCTCCAGCCTCTGCCTTCCAAGTACTGGGACTGTATAGGCACATGCCCCCATAACTGGCCCCATCTAGATTTAACTGCTGCCCCAAAAAGCTGCTGGCTTGGAATCCTGAACTCACACATTCTAATTGCCTGGACCTGACTATAAGCTAAAACCTGACACTGTGTGCTCTAGGTTATTTCAACCCAAGTGAGTTGTGCTCAGCTAAAAGCAGGCACAAGCTGAATGAACAAAACTCAAAATCTGGGACTGTTGTGGATTTGGAACACTCCCCCTCTGTGGGGCCACAAAGTCTGAAAAACATCTTGGATGCTGGCTGGACTGTCCAGGTTTCTTGCAGGTATCCACGAAAAGAGTGTGTTTTCTGGGGGCAATATACTTCCAAACACTCTTTAAGAGATTGTATTCTCAATACCCTCTAGGTGATGTCCCAACATGTTAAGCTTTCTAGAATAGTTGCAGTTTGCAACAAGGGACTGATCAATTGACTCTACATCCCTCACCTTTCTCCTGATAAACAAGACACACCAATAAAGCAGTTTACTAAATAAAACTGTTCCCAGAAAGAAACTGATCTTTTCCAGACTGCCCACTGGATAAATGATTAGGACGAAAGATGTAGAAGGTTTTATAAACCTATTTTGAAAAAAATAAACTGTAACTGAAATTTTGTCCTGGCCAATTCCTAACCTTTCTGGTTAAGTTGTATGCAAATGTTTTTGTGTGAAAACTCTTCCTCTTGCATCCAACCCTTCTGGACAAAAAGGTCTAGATAAAAATAACAAATGATTTTTAAAAATTAAAAAATTTAAAGTTGTAATTACTAAATGGGACACTCAATTTCATACAGAGAAAAAACAAAAACTCAAGACTTGGGAAAATATGGAGGAGTCGGGAGGGCATTAATGATCTGTTTTTCAGAACTGTTCCTAAAAGTTCTCTACCTTCTAGCGGGGGAAAAAAATCTATGTTGGGCCAGGCGCGGTGGCTCACACCTGTAATCCCAGCACTTTGGGAAGCCAAGGTGGGTGGATCACCTGAGGTCAGGAGTTCCAGATCAGCCTGGCCAACATGGCAAAACCCTATCTCTACTAAAAATATAAAAAATTAGCCAGGCGTGGTGGCAGGCGCCTGTAGTCCTAGCTAATTGGGAGGCTGAGGCAGGAGAATCGCTTGAACCCAGGAGGCGGAGGTTGCAGTGAGCCAAGATCGCACCACTGCACTCCAGCCTGGGTGACAGAGCAAGACTCCGTCTCAACCAAAAACACAAAAGAAAATAAAACTATTTTGTCTTGAAAGCTGCTGTGAGCACTTTAAATTCAAACTGATTGCTGAGCTTCTCATCAAACTTGTCAAGTCTGTCAAAAGACCACAGTGGGTGGCTCCAGCTCCTGCAGTTTCCACAAAACACCTCGAGATGTCATCCACACTCTTGAGGCAGGAATAATGATGTCACAGAAAACAAAATCCTTTAAAACTGACTGCTTTCAGACAGTCCCTCTGAAACCAAGACTCAACTTAATTATTCAGACTGAACTGGGAGCACAGAGTGGAAGGCCCCATGGGGGCAGGTCACATTGGTATCATGTTAACCTGTGCTGCCTATTATATGTTCTGATTACAGGTGCCCTAATAATTATAAATTCTTTGTTTCCAAGGGCAACACATATACCCTAAGGGATTATATTTCTTGTGTGTGCACCTTATCATAATACCTCAGTCCTGGACTGGCCAGAGTTGTCCAGTGCTAAATTGATGACTAATCTACATTTTAAAAGTTAAGACAAAAGCTTAAGAATGAAGTCACATGGCTTTTTAAGATAGACCTGTTGGTTAATGAGATCTGTTGTAACTGGCTAAGTCTAGGACCCCTAAAAGGCATAACTGAAGTCAATATTACTGGCCAATCTTATCCCCCTGCATGGGGTCCTATTGATAGTTTTACTGTATATATACCATGCCCAAGAGATAAAGGAGTAGACTGTGCAAAAGAAGGAGTTAACACAACAGAGACTACTATCCTTAGAAATGCCTGCTTGCAATGTTGGCCCTTGGCTGGCATGGGGGAACTTGACTGGTAAACAGTCCCCTATACTGATATAAATTTTACCTAACTGATACAGGCTGGCTTATTGTATCTAGATTGTACAAACAATATGGTTTATGCTAAATACTAGCTTTTCTTCTGGAAATCTAAAATTTTAGTACATGCTAGGCAGAGGGTACCAATATGAACAGTTCCCTATAAAAATTGTGGGCACTGAATCTCTAATGGGCTTTCCTAGACAAAAACATCACACGCTTTGCTTCATTTTCATTGCTAGAAGAAAATGTGTTCTGTGTGACTCCTTATGGGAGGGCTATAGCATGATTTTAAACATCCATTTTTAACATTTTTGAGATAACTTTAGAATTATAAGGGTTACAAAAATAGCACAGAGTTCCTGTATATCCTTCACTTGGTTTCCATTTATATTATCTTACATAATAATAGAACATTTACATATCACGATTTTTTTTCAGTCTTTCTACACATTTATTATAAGAACCTGGAAAAAAAAGGACTAAAAGACAAAATGCTAAAAACTATTAGATTTTCTACGTACCTTCCACTGATAGCACCCAGAAGTTACTCCTGTAGATGCCAATCCATATCCTTTCCCTCCACTGCCGTGAGTTAAAATCTGTCCATTCTCCACTAGGCAACACTGAGCTTTCTCCGGGTCAAAGGATACTTCTTGGATAGGAAGATTCTCATCTTCTTCTTCCAACTCGCCCTGCTTCTACCAGAAAAGAAGCTGGGTCAGCATTTTGGAATAATCCATGTCTCAGATAAGATATATTCTGAGGCTCCTTGGTTTTATCCTACAAATATTTATTATGTATCTACTATGAATCAGTTACTGTGCAGGGCAACAGGAACACAATGATAAATAGAGCATGGTCCCTTCCCCATAAAGAGCTTAAGGTCATTAATGGACAGAAGACAAATACATACTGCTAGTATTACAGTGGGAGAATAATCAAAATTACATAATAGGTATAGTAGAAACATAAAAGTGTGTCTAACCATGCTTGAGAAGGACAAGGTAATGTTCAAAAGGAGATGACTTCTAAGTTGAGTCCTGAATGATGAGAAGGCAGTAAGCAGCTGGTCAAATGAGAGAGGCATTTTAAGGCAGTGTGTACAGCATGTGCCAAGGCAGACATGCAACAGAGTTCAGTGATTTAAAGACAAGCAGCATGTAATGACTGGAAGATGAAACTGGCAGAAAACAAGTCTAGAAAGAGAAGAAGAAATCAAATCATGGAAAACCTTGTGTGTCATATTGTTTGAATTTTACTCTACTGACATTAGGGAGACCTACACAGAATGATGTATATAGGAGATCTCTGATCACATCTGTGCTTTATAAACATCATTTTACCAAGGATATACAGGATGAAGGCAGAGAGACTGACTAATCAGGATATCCCTGCAAGTTCAGGTAAGAAATAGTGAGGGGGCCAGGTGTGGTGGCTCACACTTGTAATCCCAGCAATTTGAGAGACCGAAGCGGGCGGATCACAAGGTCAGTAGTTTGAGATCAGCCTGGCTAATATGGTGAAACCCCGTCTCTACTAAAAATACAAAAATTAGTCAGGTGTGGTGGCAGGTGCCTGTAATCCCAGCTACTTAGGAAGCTGAGACAGAAGAATCGCTTGAACCGGGGAGGCAGAGGTTGCAGTAAGCAGAAATCGCGCCACTGCACTCCAGCCTGGGTGACAGAGCGAGACTCTGTCTCAAAAAAAAAAAAGAAAGAAATAGTGAGGGCCTGAATTCATTCATTCAATGTGCATTTATTAAGCATCTCTATTCTCTGCCAGGTATCCTATCAGGTCCTCCATATTTAGCAGGGTATTAGGTCTCTGCTCTCATAGAACTTTTATTTTGGAAGAGAAAAAGAAAAAATAAGAAAATACAAGGATTAAGTGGTATGTTGAAATTAAAGCAGGTGACACGACAAAGAGTGTGTGGCAACTACTCTAGATTGATTAGGGAAGGCCTCTCTGAAGATGTGATAACTGAGACCTGAATGACAAGAAATTTCTAAGAAACATATCTAGAGGTAATAGCCAGTTTAAAGCCCTAAGGAATGAGCAGGATTACTGTGTTCAAGAACTACAAGAAGAAGGCAAGTTGCTTAGACTATAGTGAGCAAAAGGGAAAGGTCAAGGAACTCTAGATTTTATCCAAAGAATGACGAGAAACCATTGGAGTATTTTAAGCAGGGGATGAACATGCTCTGATTTACAATTTTAAAAGATCATTCTGGATCCTGTGCAGAGAATGGACTTTAGGGCATAACAATGGAAGCAGATAGAACACTTAGAAGGTTACTGCATAGTTCAGGCCAGAGATGATAATGGCTTGGAATAGGGTGATGACAGAAGAGATGAGGAGGTAGGCAAATTCAAGTCACATTTTAAAGACGAGCCAACAGAATCTAGAGATTGTATGGATAGAGAAATGGGGGTGAGGCATCAAGATGACTCCTAGGTTTTTCACTTGAGTAACTCACTAGGAGGCTGGGAAAGCCTGGGGGAAGAAACAGAACGTGATTAAGGGTGCCATTTTTGACATACTGAGTATGAGATGCCTATTAGACATTTAAGTGATAAGACTAGTAGAAGATGGGAATATAAGTCTAGAATTCAGGGGAAATGCCAGAACTTGAATTTAAAACTTGGGAATCAAGTCTTAAATGAGTCTGAATAAGGTTTCTTTGAGAAGAAATGTGGATTAATGAGTCTGAATAAGAAATGGGCATATGAGTCTGAATAAGGTTTCTTTGAGAAGGAATGGGGATTAATCCAACACTTAGATTGAATAGAAGAAGAAGAAGAACCTATAAAGGAGAATGAGAACAGGCCATTCTATCAAAGTAGGAGAACCAGGACAAGTGTGGAATCACAAAAACCAAGATAGGAATTAAGGTAAATGAAGAGATGGATTCACAAGATATAAATCAATGGAGGCTAGTGACTATATGCATGGGGACATTATGATAATCTAGCATTCCCAGGAATTTGCGTTTGGGAAACTAGGTGAATGGTGGTGCTTTCAATCAGAAATGGGACAAAAAAAGGGGCTGGGGGAAGGGTTTGAGGGGGAGACACCCAGGCTAGCATTTAAGTTTGGAAGGCACTGCAGAGTGATCTTTTAAAACCATAAATCAAAGCATGTTGGTCCCCTGCTTTAGGTATGGATGAGACTGCTGGAAAAGCCAAGGATCAAACTCTGTGGAACACCAACATTTTGAGATGAAGGCAAGGTAAAAGTGGCACCAAAAAAGAGTTGCTTTCAAAGGGAATCAGGATTGGCAGAGAATATACGGAGATCCGGGAGAAAGCGTTTTGAAAATAACAAAAGGCTAGAGTTTCCAGAGGTAAAGTAAGAAGTGGAAAAAAAAGGATACACTATATTTAGCAACAAACACTTATCTTTGTCATTTAATTTCGTACTTTGATACAAGATAAATGGTGGGGTTGAAGAGATAATGAGAAGAAAGTGGCTGAAACATGCAGATTACTCTTCTAAGAAGCTTAGTACTACAGGACAAGAGAGAAGACAGAGAAGACTTCACAGATAAAAATGTGATTTAGGAGAGAGGAAATGAGTTAAGCATGGTTATAAGCTGAGGGGAGGGAATCAGTGGAAAGGGAGACAGAATGCCAAGAGAGGAAATGGAATAAATGATAGAGCAAGGTGCCTCAGAGGAACAGGCATTCAGAGACAAGTGACAGAATATTCACTTATGCTGTTAAGAAATACCTTTTAGGAAAAACCAATTACCTGTAGTTTTATTTCTTGTTCTTTTTCCTTTATCTGAATAGCATGTTTGGCCTGAGCAATGGGTGTCTCCCACATACAATCAGAGAGAAGGGAAAATAAGCGCTCAACAATCTGTTTTATTGAAGAAAAAAGGATAAAATTTGTAAAAAGTAACTTTAAGTATTTTTAGAAAAGCTGTATCATGTTAACTGTAATATTAACTCGCATGCGAAGTTTGATTATACCAGTGTTCAACAGCTACTTTTAGTGGTTATAAGTTAAATATCAGTTTTTAGAAATATTAACCCATTAGAAGCCAGGCACGGTGGCTCATGCCTGTAATCCCAGCACTTTGGGAGGCTGAGGCGGGTGGATTGCCTGAGGTTGGGAGTTTGAGACCAGCCTGGCCAACATGGTGAAACCCCATCTCTACTAAAAATACAAAAATTAGCCAGGCATGGTAGCATGTGCCTATAGTCCCAGCTACTTGGAGGCTAAGGCAGGAGAATCACTTGAACCCAGGAGGCGGAGGCTGCAGTGAGCTGAGATCGCGCCACTGCACTCACTCCAGGCTGGGCGACAGAGCGAGACTCCATCTCAAAAAAAAAAAAAAAAAAAGAAATATTAACCTATTAGAAAGTGGGTCCCATTTTGCCTTACTATTTAGACCTCTGATTAGGACACTCCCACATGTTTCTTCCTATAGCGGTCCAAACCTAGTAAGAAATTCCAGATTTTTCTTTCCTTCTGACCTTGCAGAGTATTCTCTATCCCTCTACTTCTCACACCCCATAACTTAATTTTTTTTGCCCTCTCCTTGGGGGTGAAATAATAAAGAAAGCAGTCCTAAAAGTAAACGTTATGCTATTGAATAAAAGACACATTTACAACTGAAGAGACTGTTAAGTACAGATTTGGGTGAATCATTTTGCAAATATGGAAAACATCTTCTAATAATTTTAAAAATAAAAACCTGGGCCATTTGATCATCTTCTACACCAGATTCACAAGCTGGCAGCACAGCTTCAAGGACATGAAGTGCAAGGAGCCTTGTTCTTAAGTTACCAACCAGAGGGATACCTGGAGGGGAAAAGACCTTTTCTTATTATCAATGTGACTTAAATTCAAAGTTAAAATGAACTTCTGGGAAAAAAATTCCTGAGGCTGCTAAACATTTATGGGTGGAACAAACTTGATTTCAAACTATTATCGCAAGAATTCTGGATCCATCCTGTACCCATGAATGCGTATGAATACATTCATGCTTATGCCTCAGTTTTTATGTATACATAATGGGAAGAGCATTGTAAAAAAGTATCTGTGCCAGATACTATGCTATGCTACACATTTCACACACATACATTCTATTAATCCTCACAAACTGAATTACAGCCCCATTTTACTGTTGAGAAAAATGAGGCTCAGAGAAGTTATGTAACTTGACCAAAGCCACACAAGCTCATAGAGGTAGAGTTTTAAACAGGTCTGTTAATCTCCAAAGCTCATGCTTATTATTCCCTCTCATTGCCTCTCTCCGTCCATGCACTGACTGTCTCACAGGGATTGTTAGGGTTAACCGGGAGTAAACAGACTATACTTTTCTAAAGTAAGCCAACAGCCGGGCATGGTGACCCATGCCTGTAATCCCAGCACTTTGGGAGGCTGAGGCGGGCAGATCACTTAAGGCCAGGAGTTCAAGACCAGCCTGGCCAACATGGTGAAACCCTGCCTTTACTAAAAATACAAAAATTAGCTGGGAGTGGTGGTGCACGCCTGTGATCCCAGCTACTTGGGAGGCTGAGACGGGAGGATCACTTGAGCCTGGAAGTGAGAGGTTGCAGTGAGTTGAGATCACACCACTGCACTCCAGCCTGGGCGACACAGAGAGCCTCTGTCTCAAAATAATAAAAAATAAATAAATAAATGAAGTAATCCAAGGTAGAAAATAGGATACTGATACATAAATATGTAATTAAAAAATACATATAACTGTAATAAGATCAGTTGAAAATAAATGAATATCTGATTTTTCTTTATCCTCTTGAAACTTAATATAAGCCTTACCTTATTAAAGGAAAAAAAAAGGAGCAGTTGTAAGTTATACTAATTAAGAAAAAAAGTATATTGAGCGTGTAAACATATAAAATACCATGTGCCGTAGAGGATTACATTATGTTTTGGCATACTTAGATTAGAGATTATGAAAAAAAGTTCTGGAAATGGATGGCAGTGATTGTTGTATAATACTGTGAATAAGCTTAATGTCACTAAATTGTATATTTAAATGATTAAAATGGCAAATTTCACGTTACGTGCATTTTACCACAATTTTAGCAAAAGAGAACAGGAAAGGACTGACTGTAATCTATGTAAGCAGACATTTTAGGGTAAGGACCAGGGATTAAGCTTATTCTATAGAACTGTGATAAATATCAAACAATCAGAAGTCACAATCAAGGCAACAGAAATCACATTATGATAAGAGAGACTGTACAAATTCAGATCTGCATCCTGATAATCCAAGAAGCAAGGTCGGAATCTGTGCTAAAATATCGTATTAAACAGGATGTTCTCTGCTTACTCTTAGGTTTGTAATCTGAACAAAGAGGATGAAGTTCTCTAGATAAATTCTATGATCTTCTCCAGAGCTACATTATTTATTTTCTGCCAATTTTTACTTCTGAAATTAGAGTTTTCTTTTGATCAAATAGGTACGCAGAAAATAAGAAAGAAAAGCCTTCAAATCAAGGTTACACATGGAGTGTTGCTAAAGTCTGGCATTATCTTAATAAAATGCAAGTAATATCTATAAATACTCTAAGACAAAGGCAAAGGACATGTACCTGAAGAACATTTCTGAGATGCTATATTTAGAAGCACTTCGGTCCACTTTGGGGAAGCCATTTTTGATTGAATTGCTTTTGAAGATACAACTCTGCGAAGAAAAACTAAAAAATCCCCTAGATGGAGTTCGGCTGCATGTTGTTTCCTAAGAGCAGCTACAGTGAAGAGACAAGTTTACGTTACAACCAAGAGCCAACAAGAAATAGTCTTATATCACATAATTTACCTTGAAACTGCAGTAAGCACAAATCTAATGCAAAATCTTAGGCTGTCAGCTACTGAATTCTGAAAACTTAAAGAACAGAATGGGGAAAGGTCAGAAAACAAAGCCTAAACTTGAAACGCCTTTTACATCTCTGTACAATAAAAATGAATATGCTATAACTATGATGACTAAGTATAATAAAGAATTATTGGTGACTAGAGAACAGAACAGTCTAGGAAGAAGTCGAGCTCCTCCTAATTATAATCCAGTTCCCAAATATCAGGACAGGCGCAATGGCTCACATCTGTAATCCCAGCACTTTGGGAGGTCGAGGCGGGCGGATCACTTGAGGTCAGGAGTTCAAGATCAGCCTGGCCAACATAGCGAAACCCCGTCTCTAATAAAAACACAAAAATTAGATGGGTGTGGTGGCACACGCTTGCAACCCCAGCCACTCAGGCTGAGGCAGCACAATCGCTTGAACCTGGGAGGCAGAGGTTGCAGTGAGCCCAGATCATGCCACTGCACTCCAGCCTGGGTGACAGGGTGAGACTCTGTCTCAACAACAACAAAAAAAACCCAGAAAACAAACAGATATCAAAACCCTTGGTGCTGGGGAATTTTCTTTTTCTTTTTTTTTTTTTTGAGACAGGCTCTCGCTCTGTCATCCAGGCTAAAGTGCAGTGGTGTGATCTCAGCTCACTGCAATCTCCACCTCCCGGGTTCAAGTGATTCTTGTGCTTTAGCCTCCCAAGCAGCTGGCACTACAGGCATGCGTCACCATGCCAGGCTAATTTTCATATTTTTAGTAGAGATGGGGTTCCACCATGTTGCCCAGGCTGATCTTGAACTCCTGGGCTCAAGCAATCCACCCACCTTGGCCTCCCAAAGTGTTGGCATTACGGTTGTGAGCCACTGCGCCTGGCCTGGGGGACAATTTAGGTCAGGACTTAGGTTAGAGATGGCTTGTCAGGATCAAGGTTAGAGATGGCTTGTCAGGATCAAATGCTAAGAAAACATCTGAGCTTCCCCCTAGGCAAAATGCAACCTGGGGAAAATCAATCATCTAAAATCTAGGTCTCAGAGCCCAGACAGCCAAGGAGAGGCTGAACCTACAGAATGGGCAGTATGGTCACAACATGAGGGTTAACAGACTCTAAGCAGAGATGTTTGGTCAGAAGCTCATCTAAATCATATATACGTGAAGAGAAAAGAGGTTTGTAAATAAACAAATAAAAATCCCATCATACCTCATAAGGAAGAGGAACTCTACATCCTAATCATATGCACACAATGGGGTTTTAATAAATGCTTGTAAGTAAAGACAGAGAAAGAGGCTTACATTACCTCTGAAATCTTTCTTCTCAGTTTCTCCACTGGAGTCAACTTTTTTTTCTTCTTCTTCACCGTCTTCTTGCTCCCCTTCTCCGAAAGAGGCCATATGTAGTACACCAGTTTGGGACAATAAATTCTTCAACTGACTACAGAGTAGATCCAACAAGGATTGAACTACTTTGGGACTCAGTTTATCAGCATAGGTCCTATGTGAAATAAAAGAAAAAAATAAGTGGCAAACACACAGAAGGGCAAGCATAGTGCTTAAATACATAAAGCAGATTAGAGGGAAAGGGGGAATTCTAAAATGGAGGAAGACCAGACTTCATACAGTTCTACAAAGACATCTACCATACTTACCCAGTAGTGATGGCTAGAATCTGGAGCAACCTTGTACTGGCCACTTTCAAAGCTGTGCTAAGCTGGGAAACACCCGTCTTTGGCAACAACTGCAGGGGCTGTCCTAGCATGGTGTCTGTACCACACAACTGTGACAATACGTTTAGCAGACCAGTGGAAATTGCCAAAGAAACATCTACTGGTTGATAATGAACACTTAGGGCAAAAACTGTAACCAGAAGCAGACGTTGCTGGGCTTCTAAAAGACAAAGAGACAGTTAAGAATCTTCCTTTCAGTAAACAAAGCATTTATTAAAATGAATAATTTTCTAAAATATTAATAACATGAAACACTAAATTATTTATTCTTTACCTATAAGTTTATCTACTAATGTTAAACACAAAATATAGAACATAACTAGTACCATAACCTCGGGCTAAAATGTAACCTGCACTGTACATTTGCAGGAACCGTTTACTTACCAATGTGATGCTTGTTTGCTTGCAGGGCTCTTTCCAGGGTAGCAGACAACTGTTGATAAATTTTATGCACAGCTACCTGGATTTCAATCTGAATATTTCTCTTAGCTGCTCTGATCCCATCCTGAATTACACATAAAGAATTACTTTTTCTATTAGCAACAATAATACCTGCTTGCAAAAAGAAGTAATAACATTTTATTTCTAGTCTATGCTAGAGCCTTACGATGGTTTTTAATTATTTACTATATTTCATATATAAAGTATATAATAATTTTTTTTTGAGGCAGGGTCTTGCTGTATCACCCATGCTGGGGTGCAGTGGTGCAATCCTGGCTCACTGCAACCTCTGCCTCCCAGGCTCAAGTGAGCCTCCCATCTCAGCCTCCCAAGTAGCTGGGACTACAGGCACATACCACCACACTTGGCTAATTTTTTGTATTTTCTGTAGAGACAGGGTTTCGCCATATTGTCCAGGCGGGTTTTAAACTCCTGAGCTCAAGCAATCCAACAGCCTTGGCCTCCCAAAGTGCTGGGACTACAGATGGGTGCCACCATGCCCAGCCTCCAAATTTAATTTTAAATGCTTGATAATTGTTGAGTCTGTATAATCTTTTTTTTTTTTTTTTTTTTGAGATGGAGTCTTGCTCTGTTGCCCAGGCTGGAGTGTAGTGGGGTGATCTTCGCTCACTGCAACCTCCACCTCCCGGGTTCAAGCGATTCTCCCTGCCTCAGCCTCCTGAGTACCTGGGATTACAGGCGCCCACCACCACGCCCAGCTAATTTTTGGTATTTTTAGTAGAGACGGGGTTTCGCCATGTTGGCCAGGCTGGTCTTGAACTCCTGACCTCAGGTGATCCGACCACCTCAGCCTCCCAAAGTGCTGGGATTATAGGTGTGAGCCACCACGCCCGGCCGAGTCTGTATAATCTATTTCCTCACAAAGCAGTTTTTCCTGCCTAAATATGAAAGACATAAAGATAACATTTTTTTCTAAGTTATCAAAGGAATCACACAAACTAGGTAAACGATCAAATCTAAAACGTAAGCTCTTGAAACCCATCCTCCCAAACTCCAATCCCTATCCTTACTTGGATCTATTCCCATCCAAACTGGATAATAAAACTGGATTAATAAAACCGAGCCAGCAAATAATCTACAATAGTACAATAATACCACAGCTCACCTAATCTCTACTGCATTATTTAGGAAATGGAACCAAGGAGCTATCTTAAAAAATTTAAAGTCTTTGTATTTTTAAACTGAATCATAAACACCAAAAAGTTTCACATTATTAAAGTGGCTTTGTAAAATGACAGTTAAAATCTGTATATACTGCAAGGTGTCACCTACCTGATAGTGATGCAATCGGCCACTCTCTCCCTTGCCTCCTGTGTGTCCAACAGTGCCTAAACCAAAACACCCTGCTAGGAACTGCAGCCTCACAGACGTGAGTAGTGTGGAGGACTGGAAGCCTGAACTCAATCTGCTTCCTGCCAGTGAGATGCTACCTTTTTCTTCCATCCCAGACAATAGAACGAGGATCTGATGAAGTGCCTCTAAACGAAGCTTGAGGAAAAAAACATATTTTAGAGTTCTTCACTTAACTCAGACATGATGAAACTCTGTATGCCAAAAACAGTATTTTTAACACTTAGAAAATTCTGACATTTCATATGAATCTATTCTAAGATAAACATTTATTTTATTATTATTACTTTTTTTGAAGATTTTCTAAAAACTCTATAAGCACACATCAGAATAAAAAAGGTTAGAGTACAATAGGAAAAGTAGTAGCTTTGGATGTAGGAGACATGGTTTCAAGGACAGACTCTTTTATCTTACTGTGTGGCCTTGGGAAAGTCACTTAACTTACTGAATTTGTTTCCTCGTATATAAAATAAGACTAATAATACCTTATCTAATCTATTCACACAGCTATTGTGAAGCTCACAAGGAGATATATGTGAAGGTTTCAAAACTATAAGGTAGTACTGCTACTGCTTTCTTTATTAATAAGTTTATATAGAATGAATACTCTTTAGCCCAGGAATGAGAAATACTTCTGAACTATTTCTCTGTGGTTTTCTTGAACTTCTGCCCCTATCTTCCCTAGGAAGACACTCCCCATCACTGTAGTTGATCAGCTTATCCTTCTTCTTTAAAAAAAAAAAAAAAAAATTATTTTGAAATAATTTTAGATATACAGAAAAGTTGTAAAGATGGTACAGAGAGTTCTTGTATACTCTTCCTTGAGCTTCCCCTAATCTTAACATCTTACATAACCATGGTACATTTATGAAAACTAAGACATTAACATTGGTACAATACTATCAACTAAACCTAAAGTAAAATAGTATTAATTAAAAGACTATTTGGATTTTAGTTTTCCATAATGTTCATTTCCTTTTCCAGGATTTAATCCTAGATACCACATTGCATTTAGTTGCCATGACTTTTTAGTTTCTCCTACCCTGTGACAGATTCTGTCTTTCCTTCTTTTTCATGACGACACTTCGGAAGAGCTGTTCATATATTTTGTAGATGTCCCTAAATTTTGGGTTGTCTGATTTTTTTCTCATGACTACAGTGGAATTATGGATTTGGGGGAAGAATACCACATAAAGTGTTCTCATTACACTATATCGACATGACTTAATACAGGTGATGTTAATCTTGATTTTTTTTTTTTTTTTTTTTTGAGATGGAGTTTCACTCTTGTTGCCCAGGCTGGAGTGCAATGGCGCGATCTCGGCTCACTGCAACCTCTGCCTCCTGGGTTCAAGTGATTCTCCCGCCTCAGCCTCCCAAGTAGCTGGGATTACAGGCATCCACCACCACGCCCAGTTAATTTTTGTATTTTTAGTAGAGATGGGGTTTCACCACGCTGGTGAGGCTGGTTTCAAACTCCTGATCTCAGGTGATCCACCCACCTTGGCCTCCCAAAGTGCTGGGATTACAGGAGTGAGCCACCGCGCCCGGCCAATCTTAATCATTTAGTTAAGGCAATACCTGCCAGGTTTCTGCAATGTGAAGTTACAATTTTATCTCCTTCCTATAGCCTATTTGTTAGAAGCAAGCCACTAAGTCCAGCTCACTCTCAAGGAGAGAAGAATTAATCTCCACTTCCTGCAGGGAGAACTATGGAAGAATTGTGGACATGTTAAAACCACAATAATTAATAAATATTTGGGGGAAGATACTTTAAGGCTATGCAAACATCTTATGTCTCTTTCAAGTTTTGCTCACTCATTTTAGCATTCAACAGTGGGTCTTGATTGCAGCAATTATTTCTGTGAGGTTCTAACCTGAAGCAGGTGTCTAATTTAAACTGAGACAAATGGGTCAAAAATGAAGGCTCAGGGCCAGGAGTGGTGGTTCACACCTGTAATCTCAGCACTTTGGGAGGCCGAGGCAAGTGGATCACCTGAGGTCAGAAGCTCGAGACCAGCCTGGCCAACATGGTGAAACTTTGTCTCTCCTAATAATACAAAAAAATTAGCCAAGCATGGTGGCGCATGCCTATAATCTCTGCTACTCTGGAGGCTGAGGCAGGAGAATCACTTGAACCCAGGAGGCAGAGGTTCCAGTGAGTCAAGATCTCACCATTGCACTACAGCCTGGGCAACGAGAGCGAAACTCCGTCTCCAAAAAAAAAAAAAAAAAAGGCTCTGATGACCTATTGTCATCAACTAGTCTCACCCTAGTTTGTAGGAGACATGTGAAGACTTCTGAGTATATTGTTCTGAGAGATGACAATTTTAAAATGCACTTTTGTCTAGTTCAAACAAAATAATGTGCTGTTCTAGTGAAGAATGTTATGTTTAAAAGCTCAGGTACAGGAAAGGGGAAGGCAAGGAATAGAAGAAAAGGAAAGGTTTTCCCTAGAACTATACATTCAATGGTTCAGTTTTAAGTTTCCAGAGCTCTCATAAGGAGTAAATATCAAAGACTTACTTCTGCCCTTAACTGCTGCTGTTCCATTGCAATGATGGAGGCCTGGGGACTTGTAGACATACTTTCCTCTGGCTCTTTAAAACCTGGGGCATTCCCCACATCTCCACTCACAAAGCTTACAACATTTTCAATCAAAGTGTGAACTCCCAAAGACTTGGTAAGATCAAAATCTGACTCAAAGGAATAGGAGGAGTTGCATAACCAGTCTCTGCTATGTTTCAGGCGAGCCCAAGAGTCACTCAGGGATTCCAATTGACTGTGCATAGGACCTATATACAAACAGAATAAACATATATCAATGGCAATCAAGTAGAGCATACATTCTGAAACTAGATAAGGCTGAGTGCTGCTACCATAACCAACTGGTGAAAAATGGATACTCATGTTTGAATACGCGCATGCATTAAGTGAATCTGAGCAAAATGCTTTGGTAAAAACAACAAACAAACAAAAATTAGAGCAATGTAAGAAAATAAAGGGAAAGCCCTGTTTGATGTACCAGTGTCTCTGTAAGCGCTTTAGCAACACGCTGCCACAAGAAAAAGAAAGGCAGAAGCTGTTCTCAAAATGCTTAGCTTAAAATGCTCTGCAGTATTAAACCAGATCATCATTTATGAACAAAAAGGAACTAGGCACTTAAGACACTGCTAGTAAGACCTACTCAAAACAGAAAGATTTCATCTAATTTAACATTATCATTACAAAGGGCAAGTTAAGACTGAACAAAGTGTCTACATATCTGCAATGAAACATTACCAAAAAATGAATATAGAAGGGCAAGTAAACTTACACAAAAAGCAGACACAAACATCACCCTTTGGGTTTCATTAATATAAGGAACATTCTCACTGACTGTGTCATGTGCATATTTACTGCAGGTTGTGAAACTCCTATATAGAGGAAGCAAAGTTTCACAGACAAGAATATGAGATTTACTGTAAAATGATACCTATATAAAATTATCAAGTGGCATCAAAATAGTTGCTAAATATAATACCATTAGATTTGCCAGTGGGTATTTTTTAAGCTAAAATCTTTACATTAGACAGCAAAATGTTAACATGTTTGAACATAACAGCAACTGTCCAAGTCATTTGTCAATATTAGCTTTAAATAAATATATAAATGTCCAATTCTTACAAATCTTTAATTTAACTGGTCTCAGATACATAAATTTGATTAACTACAATCCTTTCGTCATGACATACTCTCATCATTGGTCCATGCATGGCCCAATTTTGAAATCACATATTTATAATAAATATCTGTGAACACAAGAACTAGAAAACTAACAGTAACTTCTATCTATTTGCTCCTCCTCCAGCCCATCTCTTGCTACCTAAAGTTTTATTATCCTGAGGCCTGGGTTTATTATTTCCTTGTTTTTATTGTTTTAATGTATTCCTAAGATGAATAATGGTTTTAGTTGTCGTTGACTTTTAAAAAAGAGTATCATTTTATATCACCTTTTTGGACACACTCTTTCATTCAATATAATATTGCTAATATTCATCCACATTACTAAGTGTAACCATGGTTCATTTATTTGATTGCTGTATAACATCCTATTATGTGAATATACTACATTTCTCAATTAGGGAAGTATCTTAAGGTACCCAATTAAATATGCATAAAAATTATATCAGTTATGTAACTAGATAGAAAAGTTTGGGAAGATAACTACTTAAACACTAATGCCCACAGAGAAAACAAACTAACAACAATATTCAATGTAGAATCTTATTTTTGAATTACTATACTGGTGTCAATTAAACCCTAGGATTTCAAAATTCGTAACACGGAGCTAATATTACAAAGTAACTATGAAATAATTTATATGTATCCTAGTAAAATAATGTAGAATGGCAAAGAATATATGGTTTATCTGCCTTCTGTGTTTTAGAAAGAATTATTAAGATTTAAAAAGGCTTAATTTTCACCACTGCACTCCAGCCTGGGTGACAGGGCGAGACCCTGCCTCAAAAAAAAAAAAAAAAAAAAAAGCTTAATTTTCATTCTTGCTGAACATGAAAAATAACAACCTACCTAAAAATTTCCCCAAATTGTAGACCTGAATATTCTTTCATGTGACACAGAAAAAACTGAAAATTCAAAGAATAATATCATAGATGCATAATGTATTAAGTTAAAAATATTTAAAGAATAAAGTAGAGGCTAATGTAAAAAATATATACATTCTTTTTTCATTTCCTTAAAGCACCTCAAATTCAGAATCTGTATTTAGCCTTAACTTACAAATGATAGATTCTGGCTCCTCACATTGAACTTGTTTTTTGGGGGGGTGTTTTTTTTTAAATATTAAAATTTTAGAATAAAAGGTTCTTCTAGTTACTAATACTTATAAATTACTTTTCAAAATGAATATAAAATGCGCAAGGAACTGATATTAGAACTGCAGAAGAAAAAGAGACCTTAAAGATTATTTAGTCCAATTTTCACAAATGAGGAAACAGAGGCACAAAAAAATTGGTTTGTCACATAATGACATTAATTCCTTAATTTTATGGGAGGTAGTCTTACATATTCATTATTAACCAACTCACAAATCACTGATGGAAATTTCAATTGCCTGCCTATATAAAGGTTCAATTATGAATCTACCAATACTGAACTGTCTTCATATAAACCAAAATATTCTATGGAATGGCTGACGAAGCCCAAAATTAAATCTTCTGCAATTTAAAGCAGGGGTTGGCAAACTTTTTCTGTAAAGGGCCAGACAGTAAATATTTTAGGCTTTGCAGACCATAAGGTCTCTGTGACAACTACACAACTCTGCTGTTGTAGTATGAAAGCAACCACTTAAATAAATGAGTGTGGCTGTGTTCCAATAAAACCTGATAAAAATAGATGCCAGGTCAGTCTTGGCCTCCTAGCTGTAGTCTGCTGAGCCCTAACGGATGAAATTAACCCAAATGTAACTTTGTATAAATAAAATATTAAGAACAGGAAACACACTATGTGGAAGCATCAGGATAAATAATTTCCATCAAAATATTTAGTTTGACATCAAAAAGACTTAAAACACAAAAATTTATAATATGGAAATGGGAGAGGAAAGAACTTTAATTTTTTTTTTAAGTATAACAATCTGATAACTTTGGTTTGCTCTGTACTATCTGAATACAGGAAATATTATATCTGAAAAGGGCATTAAAAGCTTCTACATAACAATTGAGACTAAGCCCAATTCTTAATACTAATTCAGAATCACCTACTATATAAAGAAAATACAAAATCCAACAAAAAATTTTTGAGATTGTTTACTTGTCCTTACAAGTTTGGTTTTTAAATGGAATTTTCAAAATGAACATGGCAGAGCTGCAATACATACTTTATAAACCATAAAATATGTAGGCAAGCTAAAAGGGGAAAAAAATTAAACATGCCATCATGTACTTGCTTGAAGCTCTTCTTTTTTCTGGGGCTCAACTGGCCAAAAAGGAGTAAATACACTACCACACGAGAATCAGAAAACAAAAGGAGAAATTTGATACAGGAGAGAAACATTTACATTCGCTTTTCTTTATATCATCTAATTTGAAATGCACAGACAAAATAGCATTTCACCCATACATGTTATACCATGAAACACACATGTTGATAAATGTTTCCAGTATTATTTTAGCAATAAAACCCTATCAAAATATTTAAAGATTAGGGGCGATAATCAAACCACACAGTATTTTAACTAATAAGATTTCTGATGCTGCTTAAGTTGCTGTTTTGATATCCCACAACTTTTCACTGTATCATCTTCAGCTTAAATATGAAAACTAAAATCAAGTATCTGCAAAAACGTATTGTCTTTCTGTAAACAATCGTACAACCATAGCAAATCTTTTAAGTTTTATCAAAGTACCAAATTACTAACATATTTTTACAGGTTTTGTCAAGAATTTTATCAGGCTGTTATGAAAATTAAATGAGTTACTATAATATTTGTGAAGGGCTTAGAACAATGCTCATATAGTAAGTAGTTTATAAATGTTTACTAAATACAAATTTCATATTGCCTCTGAGGTGCTAAGCAGAAGAAATGTTTCATCCACCTCTTTTAGAAGTAAATTTAGCTGGCCGGGCATGGTGGCTCACGCCTGTAATCCCAGTACTTTGGGAGACCAAGGTGGGGGGATCACGAGGTCAGGAGTTCAAGACCAGCCTGGCCAACATGGTGAAACTCCGTCTCTACTAAAAATACAAAAATTAGCTGGGCTTAGCAGCACATGCCTATAATCCCAGCTACTCAGGAGGCTGAGGCAGGAGAATTGCTTGAACAGGGACCCGTGAGGAGGAGGTTGCAGTAAGCCGTGATCACGCCACTGCACTCCAGCCTGGGCTACAGAGCGAGACTCTGTCTCAAAAAAAAAAAAAAAAAAAGAGTAAATTTAGCTTTGATGCCTCTGAAAAGCTGAGCAAGGTGGCTAAATGTATCTGCCCACATTTCTTTGCCCCTTCCTACATATTCACTTTCTCAGACCAAGGGCTTAGACCAATTGTGAAACATTAACTGAAGTGAGGGGAGAAAAAGGCGCAATTGTGGTTCAACAGCGTGAATCTTAGTATCCCCACTGTCAAATACTGAGATTACAGGCAATGGGCCCTCTCAAGGAGGAGCCTTTGCAGGCATGGAAAGAGCAGCTGAAAATGTGTATACACCCATTGTCATTTATACATCCATTAAACTTCAGTAAACAGGATATAATTAAACAGCATTATCTCTCTCCTATTCCTCTCATCAGGCTTTTAGTAATTCAAGACCACTGAGACTAGTAAATGCAAATGCTGTATGAGGGAAAACATTTTACATTTCCTCCTCAAAATATTGGAAGGGGTAAACAAGCACATAGAATTCTTGGCCAGGCACGGTGGCTCATTTCTGTAATTCCAGCACTTTGGGAGGCCAAGGTGGGTGGACTGCTTGAGCCCAGTTCAAGACCAGACTGAGCAACATGGCGAAACCCCGTTTCTACAAAATAAAAAAATATATAAAATAAATAAATAAAATTAGCCAGGCATAGTGGCATGTGCCTGCAGTCCCTCCCAGCTACTTGAGAGGCTCAGATGGGAGGGTCACTTGAGCCTGGGGAGGTTGAGCCTCAGTGGTGCAGTGAGCTGTGATCGCACCACTGTACTCCAGCCTGGGTGACAGAGCAAGACACTGTCTCAAAAAAAAAAAAGAAAGAAAAAAAAAGAGAATTCTCACTTGGCTGGACATTTGTTTGTCCTTCATGGCTCAAGTCAGAATCAGAATACTCAACAGTTTGAATGGCTCCCAAACAGTTCTCAGACTTGGCAGGTTCAACTGCCCAACTGAAGATTTTATGGCTTAAGGCATCTGGTCTATACTGACAAAAAAGGAAAAAAAATACAGTCATTTATTTTACTATCATTTAAAAGCAAAACAAAAAAACCCTACTGTGTCAAAGGGCAGTCACTAAATATACAATATTTTTGTAAAATCTCTTTGAAAATATAATCTCCTAAATGTGTTATATCCATGCCTAAGTAATTCACATTCAAATTACAGTTTTTTCTTAGTTGGAAAGATGAAGATTCTACTTTCTTTTATTCCAAAGATATTATTTTGTACATGCTGACCTGGTTAACACAGACTGAATCTCAAATTATATTTCCATATGCATGATAGAGATTTGAGAGAAAACAATTTTAACCAATGAACTATTACTTATAAACTTAACTAATATAGTATAAACTATAAATTGGATTTCTTATGCTACTCAGTAAGTCTGGAGCCATTTTCTCTCTAGCGCCAAATGATATACATTTATTAATATAACATACAACTTTTAGCAATTATATTCACCTGAGCTAAACAAAATTAGGAAAGTAAATCTGTTCCAAAAATTTAATTCCTAAGTCAAAATGAACTACCAATTTTCAAAGAATTACCAAATAATGAAATGCATGTTGCACATTATACTAAACATCACTTAATTTTTTTGATAATACAAATACTCTGTAATTTTTTTTTTTTTTTTTTTTTTGAGATGGAGTCTCGCTCTGTCGCCCAGGCTGGAGTGCAGTGGTGCGATCTCGGCTCACTGCAAGCTCCGCTTCCTGGGTTCACACCATTCTCCTGCCTCAGCCTCCCGAATAGCCAGGACTACAGGCGCCCACCACCACGCCCGGCTAATTTTTTGTATTTTTAGTAGAGACAGGGTTTCACCATGTTAGCCAGGATGGTGTCGATCTCCTGACCTCGTGATCCGCCCACCTCAGCCTCCCAAAGTGCTGGGATTACAGGCATGAGCCACGACACCCCACCCTCTGTAATTTTTTTTTAAGAAACTCAGCAGCTTTGGTATGTTATGGTCTCAAAAGACTTCTCGATAAAGAAAGCTCTGGTCTTTATTATTCCTAATATTTCAGAGAAATCATTCTCTGTATTCTTTTTTTTTGAGACAGGGTCTCACTGTTGTCACACAGGCTGGAGTGCAGTGGCATGATCACAGTACCCTGCAACTTCGAATTCCTGGGCTCCTGTGATTTTCTCACCTCAGCCTCCTGAGTAGCTAGAAATACAGGTGCATGCATCCACGCCTAGCTTTTTTTTTTCTTTTTGGCAGAGACAGGGGTCTCACTATGTTGCCCAGACTAGCCTTCCGAAGTGCTGGGATTACAGGTGTGAGCCACCACACCTGGCCCATTCTTTCTATTCTAATTGTAATTAAATGATGAAATATTGCCAAATTTTAAGTAACAACATTTATTCTTTTGAGCTATATACATGAAAATGAAAAAATTATGTGTGCATTGCTTTCCCTCATTTCTGTTTTTTTTCTATGGATGAGAAACCTAACATTCTGCCAAGGAAGCTATTAAGAGAAGGGTTTCATTCTGAAATACAAAAGATTTAATATCATGAAAAAAAATTTTTTCACAGGCTTTTAGAAAACTGCCACTAGTGGCAATTTTTAACACTTCACATTTTCACAACCACTTAATAAATGGTTTTAAATAAAAAATACGTTAGGGTAGGCATGGTGGCTCATGCATACAATAATCCCAGCACTTTGGGAGGCCAAGGTGGGAGGACTGCTTGAGCCCAGGAGTTCAAGACCAGCCTGGGCAAATAGGGAGACCTTATCTCTACAAAAATAATAAAAAACTAGCTGAGCATGGTGGTGCACACCTGCAGTCCCAGCTACTTGGGAGGCTGGAGTAGGAGGATCCCTTGAGCACAGGAGGCCAAGGCTGCAGTGAGCTATGATGGTGCCACTGCACTCCAGCCTGGACAACAAAGCAAGACCCTGTCTCCAAAAAAAAAAAAAAAAAAAAAAGCAGCAGTACCAGTTAATAGAGAAAAATGCTTAAGAGAGTTTTTAGTTATCATTGGATTTACACTATCTAAAACTGCTGGGTTTTTCCTCAATTTGTACACACAACCATGAGTTAACTATACTATTCATTAACAAAAGACCTTAACTCTCAATGACACTCTAATTTGTTCCTCATGAAATTTTTAAAATATTTTTTATGTAAGAGATATAATATCTCTTCATGTAAGAGATAAAGCATCTCTTACATGCTTTATCTTAATAGGCCAAGAGGGAAAAAAAATAGAAACTTTTTATTTCAACGTGTGTGTACACGTGTACGGGGTAAGAAGTTCTCCCTGTAACACCATTTAAACTGTAACAACTCTGTGAGCTAAAACATGGAAAATTTTGTAAATAACCCCTTTCCATCATAATGGAATGTACTGTTTTTAGAATTCTATAGGACTTTTAAAAAGTCAAAATACATGACAAATGAGAAAATAACTGATTATTAACTCCTAAACATTCCCAGATTTTTAAAGCGTACATATTTTAAAGAAAATAGTCTTCGTTTTAACTCTTCTGATAAAATGATTCTGAAATTTTTTGCAGTTACATTTCAAAGACAATCATATCTAAATACATCAGATATAAAAACAGCTTCTTAATTTATTTACTATGCTCTTTTTTTTTTTTTGAGACAGGGTCTCACTAAGATATTTACTATGTTCTTAATACTTACACTTACCTCTCTTTCTGTGAGATGCTGCCAAATCCAAATCAACATTTCGTCTGCCACTCTATTAAAAGTAAAAAGTAAATAAATAAAATTTAGTTGTGAAAAGTATTTTAAGATTAAGATTTAATAGAGTATTAGAATAGAAATTCATGTAATTACAGCAATGTCTTACTTATTCATCATTCAAGTCAAACTAATAACAAAATGTCCCTAAAAACCCACTGAACATAGCTATAAGGAGGCTCAAGCACATATAACTCTGAAACACTAACTAAAAAACTCACATTAATTAACATTGCAGAGTAGCAGTAGTTTTTGTTACCTTTTTCCATTGGAATCTTTGTCTTTTATCTTCCAGACACAGTATGATCTTATTAGCACCTTCCGGATGCCTAAAGCCTTGAAGTAGTGCCTTATTTTCCAAAATTACTACTCCTTCCTCTAGCTTCACTTTCTTTTCAAAACTTCCACTAGCCTTCGCTAGGTGTTTAGAAGAAGAAAATCTGATAGTCTCCGTACTAACAGAAAAATAACAGTCCTAAACCTTCTGGTAGTATTTGAAAAGATTTTTAAATGTCTTTTTAAAAAACCTATTACAATAGACAAATCTCAAAACTGGTGAACTACAGACAGTTTAATAAAGCAGTGAAGGCTTACAAGAAGAATGGAAGTATATTTCTGTGTGTTACCTGTGTATCTGGTGGGGGGATGTAGACAACTGCCTACTTGGCCTATATGTACAGGCAACCATAAACAAATCATATATGACTTAAGCTTGTGCATAGACTTGACATTATGGTATCAGCAATTTCAATTGTACTCTATCATACAATCCAAAAAGCTTGTGTCAAAGAAGGCCCGGAAGTGACAAAACAAGGCCGGGAGTGGTGGCTCACACCTGTAATCCCAGCACTTTGGAAAGCCGAGGCAGGTGGATCGCTTGAGGCCAGGAGTTCGAGACCAGCCGGGCCAACAAGGTGAAACCCCATCTCCACTAAAAATACAAAAGTTAGCTGGGTGTGGTAGCACACGCCTGTAATCCCAGCTACTTGGGAGGCTAAGGCAGGAGAATCACTTGAACCCAGGAGGCGGAGGTTGCAGTGAGCTGAGATTGTGCCACTGCACTCCAGCCCGGATGACAGAGCAAGACTCCCTCTCAAAAAAAAAAAAAAAAAAAAAAAAAGAAGAAGTGACAAAACAGATTCATTTGGAAAATGTTATATAAAATCTTTACCTGGTCATATATATAGATACATGTACCCCTGGTGCAGATAAACACACATTTTCTTATACTCACCTACCTATGTATCAACAGAAATAAGTATTATATATTCTTGGACCATTTGGTGCTGGATAAAACACCAAATAGTCATCATAAAGCTCCTCAAGGCATCACTGTGTCAGGCAATAAAACATTTTCATTACATAGTACCTTTGCCATGAGGACTCATGGAAGAAAACAATCTCAGGCCTCAGAACCAGAAAAATCTGGTTCTCTTGAACAATTTTGTTTTTTATCTTTTAGACACTGTGAATTATGTAACTCATTATGCTTTTCCTGTGTGGTGACCAACCTCTAGCAGAACACCACAGGATATGGGCCAAGATAAGAATATCTTACCCAGGGCTTTATTTTCCTCTCTCAGCCTTTTTCAGTCCTAATTCATTCATCTAAATTATCCTTTTGTAAAGTATCTGTTTTCATATGCTAAATCAAATCCTGCCAGAAACGAGGGAGCTAGGGAATAGACTAGAAGGGTGTAGCAAGAAATGTTAGTAAAAATGACACCTGTCAAACAGTTAAACTTAGGGTTGGTATTCTCTGTTTTAGCAAGCAGAGAATAACAGTAGATAACACGTCATATAATACATTTTATGAAAGAAGGTTAAAACAAAGATTTAACATTAAAGTAGTTAACTTCTAACATTTTAAAAAGCATTTCATTTACGAACAATTCAGAATAAATGAGGTATCAAAGATATGAACGGTAATCTTAAATAACCTCATATAGTATAGAAGGGTAACATATTTCAGCTGGAAAACCCAAACCATCCCAAGTGCTTGCTCCTCTTCATCCACCCCAGGCTCTCTGAAGCTGAAGGCTTAGCCCAGGTCTCCCTTCATCTGAAATGGAATCTGCTTTCTCTCTAGTTCTTGTCTTTTCCATCTTTTGACACTATCTTTGTAATATTCCATAAGGAAAGATGATCAAAAGTCAATCTGGTGTTTTTTGTTTGAGACAGTGTCTCGCTCTGTCACCCAGGCTGGAGTGCAGTGGCGCCATCTCGGCTCACTATAACCTCCGCCTCCCAGATTCAAGTGATCCTCCCACCTCAGCCTCCCGAGTAGCTGGGACAGGTGCACACCACAACACCCAGCTAATATATATATATATTTTTTATTTTTTTGTAAAGACAAGGTTTGGCATGTTCCCAGGCTGGTCTTGAACTGCTGGCTCGAACTCCTGGGCTCAAGCAATCCTCCCACCTCAGCCTCCCAAAGTGCTGGGGTTACAGGCATGAGCCACTGCGCCTGGCCCAATCTTTTTTAAAAATGGGTTTTTTTTTAGTCTTTTTAAAAATTTTCTAAAAACTAAGTGAACAACCAGAAAACCTAACAATCTTAACAATTAAATCTAAGCTCAATCCTCCTCCATTGATCTGTTGTCCCCATTTATAATTTTCCAGATATTTTAAATTGTATTACCAAATTTATTCTTCACAACACAGTTGAGGCAAGTACAACAGGCATTATTCTCCACTTCAAAGATAAAGAAACTGGAGCTCAGGAAGGTTAAATGTCTTGTACAGGTCAAAGTCCATGGTGAGTTTTAACCCTATTCTGAGTCAGATTTCATAGCTGATTTCCCAAAAGTACACCACTTTAATTTTACCCATCCTCCTTTCTATATTTTCATTTCAGTTGAAAGGAGTTATTAATCATTTACAATATGTAAAGCACTGTGTAGGAGATATCAGGGGCATTTAGGAAAAATAAAAACCAAAAAATCCTAGATTTCTAGTGGGTTTACTGGGAAGACATACTAATAATACATAAATAAGTCCAACATAAGACAAACGGTAAATTATCAGACATCCTAACAAACTGTCATGGGACAACTGGGAGAGTAAGGTAGCTGGGAAAGCTTTCTGGAAGAGGTAACATTTTAGACAGTCCTTCAGGGAAAGACAGGATATCAGCAAGGAAGCCTAGGAGAACTTTTAAGGCAAATAGTGCTTTAGCAAAGGCTCAAGAGGTATGCTTGGGGTCTGGCAGATGAACTACTATGGCAAAAATGCAGACCACTGCAGAAGAATACTGGTTCCAAAAGCAGGCAGGTGACACTTCCCAGAATCTTTGATTTCCGAGTAGGCAGTGCAGTCACTCCTAGATTTGATCAGTCTGTAATTTGGACTTGCGTGGACTAGCCATCTCTCTGCAGTAAGACAAGATGTTTGAGTAGGAAAGTAGCACAATCAGCAGGTAGGTGTTTTGTTGTTGTTATGTGTGTTTCCAAGAGTTCTAATTTGGAAAGAAGTGTCTAAGGAGCAAAACTGGAAAAAGTAGGGGGACCAGTTTGAAAATACCTACTCCAGAAACAGGTAATAGGGCACTTCAATTAAAGAAAGGAAAAAACCAAATGCATGTGGAAATTTTGCCAAAATAGATTAGACAGTTATTTATAAATTTAAAAATAATTTCCTGACTACCTACCACGTGCTATTATAGGTGCTTGGGATACAGAAGTGAATAAAACAGCAAAAAATTCCTGTCCTTAAAGAGCTTATATTCTAATGTAGACTAAGACTAACTGATCAATGAATAACTAAATTATACAGTAAGTGATCGGTGCCCCAGAAAAAACAAAGCAAGGCAAGGGGGACAGGAAGTGACTATTTGGAAAAGAAGGAAAATTGACATTTTAAATAGGGTGGTCAGCACAGGCTTCATGGAAAAAGTAACATCAGAATGAAGACTTGAAGAAAGAGAGGGAGTTAGCCATGCAGGCAATAGCATTCCAGTCCTAAGAAACAGCCAGTTAAGGCCCTAAAGGGAACTTGTGTTGCAGATTCACGCAACAGCTAAGAGTCCAGTGTGACAGAAGGAGAATCACTGAGGAGAGTAACAGAAGAGATCAGAGAGGTAGTGGGACCAGACCATGAAGAGCCTATAGACCCCTGTAAGGACTTAGACTTCTAGTCTGAGAAAAGGGAAGTCATTGCAGGACTCTGAGCAGAGAAACGACATGATCTATGTTTCAAAATTATTGCAGGGTTGGGAGCTGGGTGCAGTGGCTCACACCTGTAATCCCAACACTTTGGGAGGCTGAAGCAGGAGGATCACTTGAGGCCAGGAGTTTAAGATCAGCCTGGGCAACAGAGCAAGACATAAAAATTTAAAAAATTAGCCAGAAATGGTGGCACATGCCTGTAATCTCAGCTACTCGGGAGGCTGAGGCAGGAGGATTGCTTGAGCTCAGGAGTTCGAGGCTGCACTGAGCAGCCTGAACTCCAGCCTGAGTGACAGGGTAATATCCTGTCTCAAAAAAAAGGGAAATTATCACAGAGTTAGGAGACTAGATAATGAGTCAGATTGATCAGATTTAAAAAATTAACTGACAGAGAAATAAATGAGCACAGGAATCTCACTAGACTATAAGACTGGGAGTATGAAGTGGAAGCACAGAGATATTAATGCAGATGAAGGAGAAAAGGAGGAAGTATAAACAAAATGTCATGATACAATGAAACGTAAAGACACTGTTCAACTTTCCTTAGATGAGGAATCCTTTATGGAAGCTTTTTTAAAACAATAACTTATTCTTTATGTAGCACTTTATACTTTTTCAAAAATATTTTCCTATCCCTTCTCTCAGTTCATACAACAGAGGAATTTCAGAATTACACATGGAGCTTATAGATAAGTCCATCTCAAACGCTAGCATTTCTCTATGAGCTGTCACATGATATGACCAAGATCCCACCGCTCTTTAACAGTAGAATCGAGACCAGAAGCCAAGTCTGACACATCACCATATACACAACAGGCACTACCATCTTCGTATCACACAGTAAGACACTAAAGCCCAGGGAGGTCATAGCACATATAGAATCACACACAAGGCAGAGGAACAGCCAAATTGAAAACCTAGCTACCAATTAACTCCAAGTCCAAAGTTCCTCAAGTAGAAGCAATCTTCTAGATAGTTTTCGCTTTATATTTTACCAGTGACACTGTAGCATACCTTTACCTCACCTCCTTTTTATATAAATTAGCATCTTATTTATCTTTACCCTAAATGCCTGCAGTCCAGGTTCTGAGGCTTTTTTGATAGTTAACAGAGCTGTTAAAAGATTTTGAGTAGAGGAGGTATAAACAGATTTGTACTTTAGATATGTTAGTCTTGTGAAATGTGGAAGGTGGGCACAAGGCAAGAGGTGAGGCAACCAGTTTGAAGGCTTCTGCACACGTCCACTCAAAAGAGAAAGTTTAAAACAGAGCAGTGGCAGAAGGAAAGGGAGAGGAGAGGACATTGGAGACACACTAACGGTAAAATTTTTAAGACTTAACTGGATTGGGAAGGGGTGGAGAATAAAGGGATCAGGAGATAAGAAAAAAGAGTCAAGGATGATCCCAAGTTTCTTGCTTGGATAGTTAATGTACCACCTACTAAAATAGGGAATAAAAGAGAAACAGGTTTGGAGAGAGACGAGTTCACTTGTAGATAGGTTAAGATTGGGGTAACCCAACTCATTCGGGTGGAATGTCCATCAAAGAGTCAGATATATGAATTTAGAGTTTAAAAAGAAGTCAGAACAAGAGATTGAAACCATTAACACATATGTGGTAAACATATATGCAATATAGTTATTTCTCTTAAAGTTATTTTTGAAAAAATTTTTATATGTCTAAAACAAACATATTACTTACTCTAACCAAAGCCTTACATATCATATACCTTGAAAACAAAAATCTTTCTTTACTGAATCTGGGTATACCTACCAGTGCGTAACCCTCTTCATCTGATTCAGGCTGAGACAAATCAGATTCACTCCTCGATTTGATCAGTCTATAATTTGGGCTTGTGTGGACTAGCCGGCTCTCTGCAGTAAGACTTTCACTCCTGTCTCACATGTACAAAAAAAAAAGTTTTTTGATTTAGGACTGTTAGTGAACATAAAATTGAATGGAATTGGAGCACAGAGATAATATACACACACAGGGAGGAGTAATGTCAGTTGACAGGAAATCCTGACTCTTGTCTGAGCACAAAGACCTTCTCAAAATAATTTGCATGTCACTAAACTACAGAGCAATGCAAGTAACTTCACATGCTTTTTCACTGCTGTTGTTTATATATACGAAAAATTGTGCCTCCTCATTTAATCAGAAATTTATAGCCCATGCTGAATCAGTATCAGTATTTACTTTACTTTAAGTTCATCCTAGTCAATTTGCATTTCTTCTTTCATGTCTATGTTAACATCAGAACACTGTAACTTTGGAAACAAACCATTTCAGTGCATAAAGTAATAAAGGGAAGTGAGTAGGTCATGTTTTCAGTGTCTAGTCAGTCCCACCTGGTCATAAGTCCACCCCCTTCAGAGGCACTTGTTGAAGGTTGCTGCAACTGTCCTTCTTCTCTTCGCTTCTGAAGCTCATCTATCACAGGACTTACTCCTAATATTAACAGGGCACACCGATGGATCACGGAGTTGCATGCAGCAGTGTACACATCCTGACCCTCAGGAAGGTCTGTGCTGACCCTTCGCTCTTGCTGAGACTGAGGAGGTGGATCATCAGCTCGAGCCCCAGACCCTGCCCCACTGTTCATTCTATCTCGGTCTCGGCTACGAGCTACTTCACGGGCTGAGAGGAAACACTGAAAGATTTCTGTAACATGCAACACAAAAACAAGGTCTTAACACATGGGGAGAGAAGAGCAAAGAAAATAACAATAAAAATAGTCAAAAAGTTTGGACCAAAAACTTACTGAAAGAGGGAAAAATTATTTTTTAGACATTATATACAACATAGTTAACTTAGTTAAAATTACATTTAAAATATACTAAAATACTATATTTTCATAAAAATTACATTAGGAAATACTAATCTGCCTTTACAGAATTTTAATGTAATCACAATTCAAATGTTATTAATGAATTGGATCAGTTATTTTCAACGTACGGTCCCAGACCAGCAGTACCCACATCATCTGGGCACTTGTTAGAAATGCAAATTATCAGGCCCACCCCAGACCTTCTGAATCAGAACCTCTAGGTGGGGGACCCAGCAATCTGTGTTTTAAAGGCCCTTCAGCTGATTTTGAAGCCCATAAAAGCCTGTGAAGCACAAGGTTAGGTAAAAATAACTGCTTATTTCTGAAACGTTCACAAGCTTGGTGTGAAAAATGTGAGGTTTCAAAAGAAAAAAAAAACGGACAAAATTTAAGTTATATTAGTTACAACAAAAAATTCCCTTTCCCCTTCCAAAGTCCATATAATCCCTACCATCTACACTTTGCTGTATCTTAAACACATTAAATAAGCACTGTCACTAAAGGTCTTTGCTGAAACAGAATTTAGTTTTAATATATGGGGCAAGATTGCCTCCAGAGTGAGATGGCATCACCAGGAATACCCATCTGATGCCAGCCTTTCCATCAGTGGAGTTAACAAGGTTCTGATGCAGTGGTAGATATTTCACATTAGAAAAGAAATTTTTTGCACAAATTTGGAGCGAAGACAGTATTCTTCTTTTTTTCCTTTTTCTGTTTTTTTTTTTTTTTTTTTTTGGAGATGGAGTCTCACTCTGTCGCCCGGGCTGGAGTGCAGTGGCACGATCTCGGCTCACTGCAACCTCCACCCCCAGGTTCAAGCGATTCTCCTGCCTCAGCCTCCTGAGTAGCTGGTATTACAGATGCGCGCCACCACACCGGCTAATTTTTTGTATCTTTAGTAGAGATGGGGTTTCACCATGTTGGCCAGTCTGGTCTCGAACTCCTGACCTCGTGATCCGCCTGCCTCGGCCTCCCAAAGTGCTGGGATTACAGCCGTGAGCCACCGCACCTGGCCCAAAGACGGTATTCTTAATGGGAAACCAGGCCAAAAAAGTTGGTAAAATACTAAATTCATCAGTTAATATGGAAGTACAAACTTTAAAAATTGATCTGTATATTTTATAAAATTGTGACAATATTTTTGTTATGCTATTAAAAGTCCCTTATTTCTACAAAAATCAAAGCAATAAACCCTCTCAGAGTCCAGAGCTAGAAATCAATTAAAGTGGTTAAGAGAATGGTCATTGGTGTTTGGGGCAGACCTGCTTCTAATTCTAGCTGCTACTAACTGTAGCCTAAGTCATACAATTTTGCATCCTTAAACCTTAGTTCATTCATCTTTAGAATGAGGTAGTACTAGAACTTTAGACAGTTATGATAATGAGCTAATCTATGCAAAGAACTTGACCAGTGCCTGGCATATATAGATGCTCTAAAAGCATAGCTAGTTTAAAAAGTGTTAGTTCCCAGATGACTATCATTCTTTTATTGTAATTGAGGGTTATACTTTACTATATTTTCACCTTCAGTCTGCTTCCAGGAATTTCTAAACTAAATTTATATTCAACTGCAAAAGTTCCCTCAGCCTAGGTTTTTAAAATACAATTATTTTCCTTCCCCATCTCCAACTCCCTTTACTCCATTTGGATCTTTTTCCTTTTGTTTAAATTATGTTTAGTCTTGTTTCAAGCCCCCTCAAAAATCATTTTTAGAAGTATGCAGAACACAAATAAGTTGATAATAAAGTTAGGGCCAAGTTAATTGACAGATACAGACAATCTCAAAACCAAAGGCATTGCTGATCATGTTTTAGGGTACCGACTGAATGCACACTTTAACTGGAAATAGCCAAATCACTCAAAAGATACTAATAAATGTTTTAAAAACTTGATACTTCTCTTTAAACATATAAATAACTACCTTTAAAAACTATCTGAGCCTTGGAATATAAAGGTATGAAAAGTTTTATGCACCCAGTCAATAGCAGTCTCATGTAAATTCTTGCTCCCTATCGAAACAGCAGTGTAGTCAGTGGGTGAAATTTATAATTTTAGAAGTTCCACACGTGGAAAACATTATGGCTCTCCTAATAGGCATAGAAAGGGGCTCTCTTCCTCACCGCTCAGACGTCTTCGAGGCTGGTGGACAACTTGTTGCCCCAGAGGACATATTTTGAATGGCCCTATCTGATGACTCATGAGTTTCATTTCATGATGAGGCTCAGTGAAGCAGGTACTGACATTCCTGCTTCCAGAGCTTCTCAGCCCTGAATATGTAACCCAAAAGCATCAGAATAGTACTAGCACAGTTGTAGGAGCCCCTGTCAGCTAATACAAATTGAGATCACCAGCAGAATATAAAGTCCTTTTAGAAAAACTATGGAGAAACTTTGCCTTTCTCTTTCAAGTTAGTTCCCCTATCAAAAAGCATGCCACAGTTTGTATCTAGAAAGTAAGAAGGGTATACTCACTGCCAGCTGTCATCACTTCATGTTCCCGTTCCTCCTCTTCATCCTCTGGCTCCGGATGCCCCTCTTCCCGGTCTCTCTCAGCCTGTTCTTCCATTTCAGCTTCTTCATCAATAGTTCGAGTAAATGAATGCTCCTGAGGATCAACATCTGCAGAGTCCTGGTTTTCTGATATCTTAAAGAAATTATCAGAAACTACACTAAATACATTTTTTCCAAAATCTTTTTAAAACTTTAAAAAACCTTTAATTTTTTATCATGGAAAATATTGTTGATATCAGTAATAACACATGAACTTTACTACAAAAACCCAAAAGATACACTAGATAAATCTTATAGAAATAATGTATGTACACAAAATATATAGACACATATATGCTCTTCCTTCCTCATTATTTTGATTAAAATATCATGCTGTAAATTTATTCATATCTATATTGCTATTCAGCTATAAATTCCTACAGAGCTGCAACTTAGTAAGTTGTAATGAACATGATACCAAGCATAAAAGGTAATTAAGGCAGAGAATTTTTATTCTATTCCATTTTCTTCAAGTTGTTTATGTTACTATTACTCTGCATAAATGTTTAATAATTCTAAATTTAAAACAGTATTGGTTTTAATTTTTTTTCTTTAACTTTGCCCCTGAACAAACCAAAAATTAGAAATCTGCTAAGGACAATGTTAACTTGATTTCCCACAGTGGTTTCTACCTAGCAGTCATCTAGACAAAGAAAAGAATCCTTAAAACAGATACTCAGACAGTCATAAATACCATTCAGTATAAAGCACAAATGAAAAATTTTAATTGTTATCATCAGATCCATCATAAAAGTTACCTGTGACTCATGACCATTAAATAATTTAAGACTTTTACAGAGATGGGGATACAGAGTAGTCAGACTCACACAGTACATGTCATTTATCCCCATATATGAGTTTCAAATATGAGCCTCAACAAAATGGCAAATTAATACATTTCATGGACTTTCAAGGTCACCAACAAACAGATCCACAAATACTAAGTCAGTATATGACAAAAGTCTACAAATGGAGAGAAAGAGTTTGGTTTTTTAAATCTAAGGACTAAATAATGGAGTGCAAAGCATCTGATTAGTTAAGTTTCAAAGTCAGCACTACAAAGATAATGTTTTATTATCCAGGCTTGCATTTATAATTTTACGATCATGTTATCAAGATTACCAAGCACTTTAGAAATTATCTCCTTTTTGCTGCAAGAATTACTTCTGGACTGTTCTTAATAAGTAGTTTCGGCCAGGTGAGGTGGCTCACGCCTATAATCCTAGCATTTTGGGAGGCCGAGGTGGGTGGATCACTTGAGGTGTTCAAACTCCTCACTCCAGGAGTTCAAAACCAGCCTGGTCAACACGGTGAAACCCCATGTCTACTAAAAATACAAAAAATTAGCAGGGCGTGGTGGTGCATGCCTGTAATCCCAGCTACTCGGGAGGCTGAGGCAGGAGAATCACTTGAACCTGGGTGGTGGAGGTTGCAGTGAGCCAAGATCATGCCACTGCGCTCCAGCCTGAGCGACAGAGCGAGACTGTCTCAAAAATAAAATAAAAAACAAGTAGTTTCAATCTTCATTTCCAATGGTAGACAACTCTAATCATCAGAAAGCCTATTTTCCTAACATTCAGCTAAAATGATTCCCCATTTGATTGTTACCCTTTCGTCCTAGTTGTGTCCTCCGGAACAAGGAAAACATTTATTTCCTCTCTTACAGAGAAGCTCTTTAAGTATTTTTAAGGCAGCTATTATGTGACACACACACACACACACACACACACACACACACACACACAACCCCCTCCTTGGTTTTCACTTCTCTAAGCTGAATATTTTTGATACTTTCTAGTCCTTCTATGACATAATTTTTGGACTTTATCAATCCAAGGTATTGCTTAATGTCCCTCATAAATTATGGCACCCCAAATTAAACAGGATAATTCAAATGTGGCCCAATCAGCACAAAGAGAGGAATAATCATTCATATGATTTGAATCATTCAATTTGTTATTAATATTTATGCAGCCAACTAAAGTTTCTTAGAACCAATATCACACTTGGTAAATGTGAGGTTAAGTAAATCTCAAATCTTTTCCTTTTTTTTTTTCTGCTAGGAAAAGAACTACTCAACATGTATTGAACATATGCAATAACCAAGGCACATTTTTTTCTCACATAAACCAATTTAGAGCTAGCTCTCACAGCTTGCAGAAAAACATAGAAATTAATTGATTTCAAACTTTACCCATCTGTCCCGTGATGATGACCTTGTTTGAATAAGTTCAAGGTTCTTGCAAGCAAGTAAACGACTTCGAACTTTGTATACACAACGGTACACTTCTGATAAGTGTTTACCAGGTTGATATCTAAATGAAGAACCAAAATAGAAAAGTTACCTAATTTCTGACATCATGAGAGCAAATATTTGTCTGAGGATAGTTTTAAGTTACTTGCCGGCTTTCTCCACATGCTTGACTAAGTAAATTTGTGTGTTTCAGAAGAGCTGCAAGAACAAATCTAGACACAGTGTCCAAGAGTGACTCATTACTTAAAGTTGCACTGTCCCAATCTGAAAATAAAAATGATGCATTGACATTTAAAAGGGCTCAGAAAACAGTTCAGAGGTAATTTTTATAGCTTTAGTCATCCAACACCTGAATTTTATCATCTTTCTAAACTGTTACTTAACAAATGCACCTCATTAGATCCCACTTACTGTTCCAAGCGCTGTGGATATAGCAGTGAACAAAACTAAATCCCTGATCTAACAGAGCTTATATTATTGTTAGGAGGAGCAGGGTGGGAGATAAAATTTAAAAGAAAACATTAATATGACAGGTAAGTGCTATGAGGGAAAATAAAGCAGGGTAAGGAGAACAGGGAGTACTGTATATGTGGGATTACTATTTTATATAAGGTGGTCTGGGAAAGTTTCTGATAAGGTTACATTTGAGCAGAGATCTAAATGAAGTGGGGGAAAAAGCTTGTGAAAATGGGTCCCCTCAGAAAAAGCTAGTGCAGAGGATCTGGGATGGGTTCAAGGAGGCCAGTGTGGCTGGGGCAAACCGTGCATGCACAGAATGGGTAGAAGACATCAGAGAGCTGGCTGGGGACCAGATCCCAACGGCCTTGCAGGCCAGTACAAGTCCTCCAGGTTTTACTCGGGGAAAAATGAGAAGCAGCATTAGAAGGCTTTGAACAGAGATACAACATGATCTGAGATGTATTTTTGAAAGCTCACTCTGCTGAGTGGAGAACTGACTTATAGGGACAGCAATAGCAGAAGTAATTATTGCAGTAATTCAAGTGAGAAATGATGATGACTCAGAAAAAGGTAAGAGCAGCGAAGGTAATGACAAGTGGCTGGAGAGTCCACATGCATTTTGAAGGCAGAATTGACAGAATTTGTTGATAGATCAGATCTGTGATGTGAGAATATGAGAGAAGTCAAAGGTGATTCTAAATGTATTTAAAATGTAGTTGGCATTTACTGAGAAAGGAAGACCACATGAACAGTTTCGAGGGTAGGGAGCTGGAATCAGGAGTCTAGTTTTGAATACTCTCCATTAGACATTCTAGAGGAGATAGTGAGTAAACTAGTCAAATATACATGTATCTGGTATTTGATGCCATAAAAGTATATACTGTGAATACAAGTACATTTAAGTGGGTAAGAAATGAAACAACATTTCTTAAAACAGAAATGAAGACATGTAGTTGAAAACCGAAATCACAACATTAGATGATGAGGACTAGTCAGGTGCTTTTTCTTCCCTTTTTTTTTTTTTTTAAGAGACAGGGTCTCACTCCTGCTGTCCAGGCTGGAGTGCAGTGGTGGCTACATAGCTCACTGCAGTCTCAAACCCCTGGGCTCAAGCGATCCTCCTGCCTCAGCCTCCTAAGTAGCTAGAGTTACAGGCATGAGCTACCACACTCGGCCTCTTCCCATTCTTTAATTCTATGTTGGCACACCAGTATTGTACTTTAACAATGTAGTATATTCAGTAGATTTCAAATGGGGGTGGGAGAGTTATTGTCCACCCTGCTCCCAGAGGGACTGCTAGTCTCCGTTCATTTGACAGATTTGCTAAATATCTGGGCTACTTATAAACAAAACAAAACCAACAAAAAACACGCTTGAAAAATTTTTAGCCTCAAATTAATTTTGGTTCTTAATTCCTTCTTAAAACTCTCATCTCCAGAGATAAAAATGTTATATGCTGGTTTTCATTTCAGTATGCCTAAGTCAGAAATTTAAGTTCAGACTTATCCTGCTTTATCAGTAAAAAAAATTGACAAGGACAAATATGCCAGATTTTAAGAAATTCTTAAAGCCCACAGAGAATCTTAGAATGACAATCCTCATCAGGCTCTTAGGAAATCATCCATTCCATGGAATTGCTTGCTATTCTGAGAACTGCTATGACTAAAAAATCCAACAAGACTCCATTTCAAGGAACCTAATATTCAATTTTAAAAGCAAACTAAAGTAACACTCTTTGTTGTGTTTTAAATTTAGCAGGTATTACTCTCCTATGCCATTTTTAAAATAATGGGTTCCTTTAAAACACCTTCATTAAAATTATGTTCATTTCATACCAAACAACAAAGAATGTTTCCACTATTCAGGAATAAAGTCTATGCTTACAGTGTATAAGCAATACAACAAACAGACCCATACAACAAGTTTTTATTCACCTTATATCTAGTTTTTTTTTTAGTTCTCACTGCAAGGTAATAAGTGATAATGTGGTATAGAAAACCTAACTGCACATCCCAAGCAAATGTTACAAATATGAAATATCAGAAAATACATCTTAGAAAGTAAACTTTTTTCCTCCTCATTACTATTTCACCTCTGGTAGGAGTCACCACAACAGAATGAATGAATAAATGATTAACAAACAAAATGGGGCCAGGCGCCGTGGCTCACACCTGTAATCCCAGCACTTTGGGAAGCCGAGGCGGATGGATCACCTGAGGTCACGAGTTCGAGACCAGCCATGGCCAACATGGCATAAACCCCATCTCTACTAAAAATACAAAAATTAGCTGGGTGTGGTGGTGCAGGCCTGTAATCCCAGCTACTCAGGAGGCTGAGGCAGGAGAATCGTTTGAACTCGGAAGGCGGAGGTTGCAGTGAGCTGGGATCACGCCACTGCACTCCAGCCTGGACGATAAGAGGAGACTCTGTCTCAAAAAACAAAAAACAAAAAAAAGATGAGATTAAACATTCAAAGGTGTCATCTTATTGGCAGATCTGAATAATATGTATCTCATTTCATTTTCTTTATAAAAAATAAAGGCCAATAAAAAGTAAAAATGTATTTATTTTTGCCATTTTGATCACACAAGAAAGAAAATCCAAAAAAAATGGACAAAACTAATGACAGGATAAGAGAATGACACAGAGAAAGAAAACTAGAGATAGGTGATTCTGAACAATCCCGATCATCGTTAAAAAAACAAAGGAGCTAAAAAGAAATCAGGTACAGCCTTTGAAAATATGTACATAAAATTAATTTTCTTTGTTGTTGTTGCTTGTTTTTTGAGGCAGAGTCTCACTCTGTCACTCAGGCTGGAATGCAGTGGTGCAATCTTGACTCACTGCAACCTCCACCTCCTGGGTTCAAGTGATTGTTGTCCTTTAGCCTCCCGAGTAGCTGGGATTACAGGCACACGCCTCCATGACCAGCTAATATTTTTTTGTATTTTTAGTAGAGACAGGGTTTTGCCATGTTGGCCAGGCTGGTCTCAAACTCCTGACCTCAAGTGATACCTCCCACCTCAGCCTCCCAAAGTGCTGAGATTACAGGCGTGAGCCACTGTGCCCAGCCTATAAAATTAATTTTCTCAAATAATATTAGAAACTGAAATACCACCACAAACTTGCATAGTACTTTACCATGGTACTTAATAGTATATCTTATCTCAAACTGGAATCTTCACCAGCACTCTAGAGTAGGCAAAATGTTTTATAGATGAATACTGACCACACCTATAGCTTAGACTTCTAAGTACACATCCTTTCAGTCATTAAACCATGGCTTGCAAAGGGAAGATAATCGTTAAACAGACTCTTAAAATAGATCCATTTACATAGCACGGAATATAACAGTCTCCCTTATCCATGATCTTGCTTTTCATGGTTTCAGTTACTTGCGATCAACTGTGGTCCAAAAATATTAAATGGAAAATTCCAGAAATAAACAATTCATAACTTTTAAATTGCATGCCCTTCTGAGTAGTATGATGAAATCTCACGAAGTCACTTAGTAACCCTCTTGGTTTTATGATCTACTGCTGCGGTATCACAGTGATTGTGTTCAAGTAACCCTTATTTTACTTAATACTGGCCCCAAAATGCAAGAGTAGTGATTCAGTTAGCATATTATTGTAATTGTTCTATTTTATTACTGTTGTTGTTAATGTCTTACTATGCCTAATTTATAAATTAAACTTTACCATGGGCAAGTATGTACACACAGGAAAAAACGTAATGTATATAAGGTACGGTACTACCTGTGGTTTCAAGCAATCTACTGGGAGTCTTGGAACACATCACCCGCGGATATGGGGAGACTACTATACTTCAGTAAAATGATTACCTATAAATGTATTATATAAATCTCAATTTTCACACAGTAGGTTTAAGTGGAATACATGTATATAAAAAATAGTTACACTATTTTCCACAAAGGGAAAAACAAATTGTTTAAAAATGTTAATAAAATATCTTTTTCTATTAAAAAAAAGGGTGATCCCTATAATTTTCACTTACATATATTGCATATATATTTGCGAGCATTATGAGCTAACTACAAATTTACTCCCTTTATCTTCTTTATCTTACCTTTACTAACAGCATAGTCCTGCATGCTGATCCAAAGGCTTCGGGCAGGCTCTTTAGAACAACCCAATGCCAAGTCTACATAGACAGCAATTTCAGGCCGCAATTTATAATCAAAAGGCTTCTGTTCTTCATTTCCAGAAAGTGCTACTTCTAACAGGCAACTCATACATTTATCTAAAAAAAATACTCACGTTACCAATTTTAACATCATAAATTTTGGTGCTACAGATAAAATCTTACCACATTTATTTAATGATTATGAAATGATAAACTTCAAACCATTTTAAGTAGATGCTACCAAGGTAAAGTCCTTTAATGTTTTTCAGTTGGAGGTAGTATCAACCCTTTTACATTCTCCAAAAGGATGTGACACTCTACCAATTGTGACACTCCAAAAAAACCTCTGGTATTTTGCAGTCAAATGCTTTACCTCTGAGCTATACCCTACAACTCTGGCGTTTTGGCAGGCAGAGGCCAGAGAAACTAAATGTCCTACACGTGCAATGGTCTTGTATAACAAAAAACCAACGCGTTCAAAATGGAATGATATCCTCTTTGAGAAACAAGGAACCATTGAAAATGCGACTAGACCTTTTTTTAATAGACTTAAGTAAAAATAATCAGTTAAAAATGATCCATGTAAAAGATACCATGAACAATTTCTCAATTGATATTTATATTTGTACAGGTGGTTCCTAACTTTTCAGTGTGACATTTGACATTCAGAATTCATTTCACATTTAAAAATCAAACAAAACCATGTTCTAAGTGATGATGAGGTTCTTGGGCTAGTATCAAAAATCAATTCAACCCATAGTATAACTGAATTATTGTATTTTTATAATTTTACAAAGGCTAATACCTTTTTCTAATACATACAAGTAAACAAAATAAAATTTTAATAGTTTCATGATTTTATAACTTAAAAAGTGAAAAATAACATTAAACAGAAATTGATTTTCTTCATATTAAAGGCCAGTTTAATTGAATAAATATAACAGAAATATGAAGAGGGTAGAGATAGAGATACTTTTGTTCTCAGGAGGTCCTTTAGGACTGTCACAAGGTTAAACACTGACAGCAGTGGAATTATCTTTATCATGTTAAAGACCCCTTGAAAAACCATGATTTTACTTTCTTTAACAAAATGTTTCATAAACACCAGTCCAACATTCACCAGCCATGGCCAAAATCACTTTCTGGTTCATAAATGAAATGATGAATGTACACTCATATTTGGAAATGGAGGAAAATCCTCAACTGCTTCCCTCACTCCCACTCTCCAACCCTCCAAATCCCAAAGTATAATCTTTCTCATTTTGTTTTGTTTTTTCTTTTCTTTTCCGCTCTCCTTCTTTCCTCTCAGTCTCTCTTAGACTTTCCTTCAGGGACATGTTGAGTCTCTTTGTCTTATCAGAGAAATAATAAATTTTAGATCTAATAATATCATGTAGCCTGTCTAATCCAAATCATTATTTTATAGAATCAAAATTAGAAGCCTAGAGAGATTAAAGGACCAATTCTAGATAAAACAACTGGATTATCTGGGGTACCAGATAAGTCTTCATGTTCAGTCTAGGAACTAGCCTGCCAGCAATATATACAAATGGGAGATGCTGCAGAAGGGAAATTCTAAAGGCACTTTAAGTGGCGAAGAAAAAATTAGGACATAATATAATGTCAGCATGAAAGCAAGACAGGCTGGGAGGAAAAGAGGCTGCCACTCACATCTCAGGGGTGCTGCACTGATAAGTCATGGTTAAGTACTCTTACAGTGCTTTACATTCTGGGAAGCAGTTTCATAACCTCCAAGCCTCGGAAAATAAGTGATGAAGCATTGAGTTAGATGACTTGCTCAAAATGAGTGATAAATATGACAGAGTAGGACCAGACCTACAATTTCTATTTCCTCTGGGGGCTCTTTTCACCATATTGTGCTGCACGATTTAACCATTTTTCTTAGGGCTCCAAGTCATAGCCCCAGATTCCCTACACTGCTAATGTTGCAATTGGTGCCTGTCAGTTCTCTATTTAGCAAATCAGAATAGAGAAATCTCCAACTGAGGTACAAACAGGCATGTATTTTAAATGCTGCAGAGAAGCACATTACCCAATTGAGGAGTGTCCATTTCTACACCGTCACTGAACAGTGGCGTTTTCATCCAATATGCAGTGTCCTGTTCCTCTGGAGACACAGGGGAGCCCTGAAGCATGCCACCAAGACACCGCCCAATAAGGAGAGCAATTGTTCTTTCTAGATCCACAAGCCATACCCAGGACTGAGCTGGCTGAGGTAATGGCAGACCAGCAGGATCAATTAGTTCTGGCCCTCCTAAAGACAAAATCATTAGTTATTGTGTCTTTATCTGGTACTTTTAAGATTCAAAATATTTCTCATAGTCTCCTACCGTACTGCAATAAGATACTGATGCAAAATATTTTATGATGAAAACACAAATTATAATACTTTCTGTATTTTTTCTCTTTACCAGACTGATTTAAAATAATATCCAGAGAAGTTATGCTATCAAATAAAATTTTCCTTGGAAAAGTTACTAATTTTAAGATAAACATTAAAACAACATATGACAACATTATTCCAATCAATTATATTCCTACTTTTCATTACCCAGACCAAAATTCACTATCTTTAGGGAGTATTCTGAGTTTATTCCTCCAAAATCAACACACAAATTTATCCATTAAAATGACATTCAAGATTGTTTAATGCTTTTTAAGGCCTGAATTCAGAATTGTCTTAATACTAAGATCCAGACCCATGCTTTCTTTTTTTCTGGGGGGCGGGGGTGGAGGGGAGCAGACAGAGTCTCGTTCTGTCACTCAGGCTGGAGTGCAGTGGCATGATCTTGGGTCACTGAAACCTCTGCCTCCCAGGTTCAAACAATTCTCCTGTCTCAGCCTCCCAAGTAGCTGGGAGTATAGGTGTGCACCACGGTGCCTGGCTAATTTTTGTATTTTTAGTAGAGATGGGGTTTCACCATGTTGGCCAGGCTGGTCTTGAACTCCTGACCTCAGGTGATCCGGCGGCCTCAGCCTCCCAAAGTGCTGGGATTATAGGCATGAGCCATCATGCCGGGCCCAGATCCATGCTTTTTTATTGTACATTTGTTTTTAAAAGTTCTTGACTTCACGAAATGACAGCTATAAGGAACACATACCAATGAAATAAAAATAGAGACTGAAAAATCCAAAAAGCAGTTATTTGAAATGATAATGGATAAGTTATCTAAAAGGAAAATGGATAAATGATTAATAAAATTACTCAAGAAAAAAAGATGGCACAAATTCAAAAAATAGGAATAAACAGGATATAACCATAGATATACTAGAGATTTTTTAAAACCATGAATATTACAAATAACTTTATGCCAATAAATTTGAAAACCAACAAAATAACATTCCTGGAAATATATATATTTCCAAAATGGACTTAAGAAGAAACATAAGATGGAAGGGAATACTAATCACTAAAGAATGAGAATTGCCAGAGTCTGTCTACAAACAAAACACCAGGGCCAGATAGTTTCACAGATAAATTCTTCTAAAACCTCAGGAAGAGATAACTCGTATCTTACACAAATTATTTCAGTGAACAGGAATAAAAGAAAGTTCCGCGTTCATGTTATGAGATTAGTATAATTTTGGTAGTAAAAACTAGGAAAGGATAGCATGAAAAAATAAAATTATAGAAAAATATCAGTTATAAACATAGATGAAAAAATAAAATGACACCTTACTCACCTGATAGACTGAATCTTAGCAAGTTCTGAGACGCTTTAGAAAAGAATAAACTGGCCAGGGGCGGTGGCTCCCGTCTGTAATCCCAGCATTTTGGGAGGCTGAGGTGGGCGGATCACAAGGTCAGGAGTTCAAGAACAGCCTGGCCAACATGGTGAAACCCCGTCTCTACTAAAAATACAAAAATTAGCTGGACGTGGTGGTGCATGCCTGTAATCCCAGCTACTCAGGAGGTTGAGCCAGGAGAATCACTTGAACCCGGGAGGCAGAGGTTGCAATGAGGCAAGATTGCGCCACTGCATTCCAGCCTGGGCAACAGAGCAAGACTCCATCTCAAAAAAAGAAAAAAGGAAAGAATAAATTTGGAACAACTCCATATAAAGCCTAATCAACATCCTGATATGGTTGTAAATTTGACACTTGGACTAAGTGACACTTGATCACTGAACTGTATAATGTTAAAATAAGATAGGCCCTCAAGGTCATCTTTCCAACTCCAATGCTTTTCCTTTTATGCTCCAGCCCAGGATTCTTTCCAATAAAATAAGAGGACTTACTTAAATTTGAAAAGCTTTTAAGATTTCAGTGATGAAATTCCTTTGATAGCCTTAGGATAGATAGACTCCAATGGAAAAACACAGTGATGTGTGCAAGAGGAACAACTTTTCTCAAAGGCATTATTTGCTCTTTTATTGTCTTTACTTACCATGAAGAGGCCACTGTAACTCCTGGTCTTCTAAAAGATCAGCAGCTGGCAGGAGTCTATTAAGGCAATCAAGAGGTGGCAACAAGTCGAGGAGGTAACTCAATAAAGGCCGAGCCACTGACACAGGGAGTAACAGCAGGGAGTTAACAATCTGGCAGAGCATACTGCCAGCAGCTGAGACGTATATCACATCTATGAAGGGCAAGAAATTAAACATGGGACAATTGCTTCAAATGAACTTTAAAAAAAGGAACCTAATAAATATTATTTTAGCTTGGAACTAGAGTAGACTCATTCAACAACTCTCTGTTGAACACCTACCTGGTAGCTGATGTAGTATCAGTGTTTATTCACTTTCAGAAAGTACCACCAACAAACACTTTATAGGAAAGCATATGTATTCTCCGTACCAACAAATTCAAAGGATTAAAACTGTTTTCCTTAAAATTCATTATGAATTTCTCATTCATTAATTTATCTTCATTTTATAATTTACTCAAGAAATATTTATTTACTCAAGAAATATTTATTGACATACCAGGCACAGTTCTAGGTGAAAGGGATACAGCCTTGAAGAAAGTGGTTAAAACTTCCTGTCCCCCTGGTGCTTACCTGCTAGTGAGGGAATGCTTTCATATTTTTTAAACAAAATTTGCTTTTTTAAAAATCAAGATCACCTTAAATCATGTGTTTTTATAATCCATATTGGTTTTAAATCAATTTTATTTCACTATTTCATTGTATATCAGGGCAGAGAAGGTCATTCAGAAATGAGCTCAGTTTGAAAATATTTTAGTTGCTGTGGAACAGCCAAATGGAGGTATCTAATGAGGAAAGGTTTCAGTTTCACAGTGTTCCCTTCTTTCTTTTTTCAGTGGGGGAACTTCAGGGGCAGCTGGTTTTAGATAAACAATAAATTTTGGTTGTCTTTTGGATAACCAAGAAAAGACACCCAGTAGGCAATTAAAGAAAGGCTCTAGGACTCAGGAAAGGTGTTCTCAGCTAGATGGAAATATAGGAGTCATTAATATGTAAATGGTTGTTAAAGACACTGAGACTAGATAAGACCATTGGGGGAGCAAAGAGGATAGAAGGCAAAATTCGGAGGATCCTCAACATTAGAGGGCATGTCCAAGGAAGAGGAGCCTATAGGAACCCACTGAAAAAGAAGAGTCAGAGGAAGAGGAGAGAAAAAAGGACTGTGACTACACAGAAGCCCAAAGAAAGAATTTCAAGAAGGAAAGTGAAAAAATGGTAAATGCTGAAGAGAAAGGTAAAGAAAGAGCAGGTTTTAAAAAAAAAAAAAAAGAGCAGATTAAAAAATCTCACTTTCTGCCATTTAAAATTAATATTTTTGAGTTTATATCATCCAGTGCCTTTAAATTAGGCCTCTGTCATGCCAAGTAGACTCTTTCTAAGACCAATCACTGCTAACACTACCCCCAAACCAAGACTAAAGGAATCTTCAATAGAAGGAAATTCAAGACCATTCCTATTCCAGAGGCTTCTGGCTCTCTTAAGACTTTGGAAAGCCAAGTGTTCTTACTTCTTAATGACTGATTAAATTTGAAATGAAATACCAAACTCACCTCTTAATTTTTCTCCAACACTGCCATTCCAAGGACTTTCTTTGAGCAAATTTGCAGAACGTGAATAAATATCTGTGGCATGAGGCAACAAAAGCTGAAGATGTTTATGAAGCAATGCCACACTGCTTGAGTTCTAAGAAGAAAAAAAGTTCCTAAATTACTACTTTGAAAGATTCAAGGTGTAAAAATATCATGGCCTATCCAAATATCTGAGTTTCAAGGTCCCTGATAGATCACCATAAAAGACAAATAATCGCATACCTCACTAATGTTATTGATATGGCAAAATGCCAGCAGCTGTTTCTGTAGTGAACATAGCAGTTCATGAAGATGAGCAGGCTGACTGTTTTCTGATGATGATGTTCCAAGTAGAAATTTATCACTATTCTTTTCTAGCTCTCCAAATGCTTGATCCTAAAATGACACACAAAGGAAGTTTATATTTGAAGTGCTTGAAACTGAAAGTAACAACCTACCATAAATCTGATTTAAGCAGCATTATATGGGCTGGGTGCGGTGACTCACACCTGTAATCCCAGCACTTTGGGAGTCCGAGGCAGGTACATCACCTGAAGTCAGGAGGTTGAGACCAGCCTGGCCAACATGGTGAAACCCTGGTCTCTACTAAAAAATACAAAAATTAGCTAGGCGTGGTGGTGGGTGCCTGTAATCCCAGCTACCGGGGAGGCTGAGGCAGGAGAATTGCTTGAACCCCAGGAGGCAGAGGTTGCAGTGAGCCAAGATCACGCCATTGCACTCCAGCCTGGGCGACAAGAGTGAAACTATGTCTCAAAAAAAAAAAAAAAAAAAAAGCATTATATCCTTTCTCCCATTACCAATTTTTAAGTATTTGCTATAACCCTTATGATACTAGCTATTAGATGGTAAAATTCATCAAGCTACTTCTATTTGTTTTTTCCATTAAAAAAAAAAAAGCAGCTGGGTGCGGTAGCTCACACCTATAGTCCCAACACTTTGGGAGGCCGAGGTGGAAAGACTGCCTGAGGTCAGGAGTTCAAGACCAGCATGGGCAACACAGCAAGACTTCACCTCTAAAAAAATTTTTTTTTTTAATTAGCTGAGCATGGTGGTGCACACCTCTAGTCCCAGCTACTTGGGAGGCTGAGGTGGGAGGACCACTTGAGCCCAGGAGTTCGAAGCTGTAGTGAGCTATGATGGTGCCACTGCACTCCAGCCTGGGCAACAGAAAGCCTGTCTCTAATAAAATTAAAATTAAAATTAAAAAAGAGATATGACAACTAAATACAATGTGTGATTCTGGACAAGATCATGAAGAGGAAGGGCTGGGGTCAGAAACTGCTATAAAGGACATTATAGGGGCAACTGTAGAAATGTAAATGTAGACTATATATTAAATAACAGTTCTGTATCAATGTTAAATTTTGTGAATTCAATAATTATTCTCTTGTTACATAAGAAAATGTCCTGGTTTTTTAAAAATACATACTTAATATATGCTTAAATACTTAGCGGCAGCCAGCCATCTGCAATTTACTCTCAAATGATTTAGAGAGAGAGAACAAATTTGGCTGAAGAGCACAGGGGAATTCTTTGAATGATTCCTATAACTCCTCTGTGAGTTTTAAATTACTTCAAGTTAAAAATATTTTTTAAAAAGAGATGCTTTGTATATTTAGAAAATATCAAAACTCTATTTTAAAAAGTTAAAAGCACCATTTAAACAACTACTCAAAGAAAGTGACTGCTACTATAATATTTTTTGGTGTATTTCTTTCCTTTGTCCTTTTAAAATATTTTTCATAATATTGTACTGCATATTCTATTTTTGGTCTGCTCTTTTCCAATGGAATCATAAATGTTTTACACATTTTCATAAACCATGTGTATATAAAATATGATAAAATATTCCATTGAACACATGTACCATAAATTACTTAACCACTCCTCTATTTTTAGATGTTTCTGTTATTTCCAACTTTTTTTCCTGTAAATAATCATGTGCTGAATATCTTTAGGCAGAAAATTTGGTTTATGTGTACAATATACAAGACAATATGAGAACACTGTAGGGCCCTTGCTCTAAGTTGTTAATTAGGACCATTATTTTAAAATCTTAGAACAAATTTGGTTTAAATCACATCAGAAAGAGACAATAATTTATTATTTCTACCCAAAAGCAGTTAGTATTTTATTTCCATTTCCATATAATATATAAATCTGCCTTAGCCCTAATATTCCTTTCAACTTTGTTGTAACATTCCTTATAACTTTGGGAAAAATTTTTGGTCATTAACAAATGGCTATATACACAATATTGTTCTTATCCATTTGCAGCCATTACTCCTTAACATCAGATTAAATTTACATTTTTAAATCTGAAAGAAAAGAATTTTGTAGGAAGAATGTTCACTCTGACTTAGTGATCAGCCTTTCAATGTGGGCGGGATAGAGCACTAAGACTTGTATTGGAAGAAAAAGAGTACGTAGACCAGACCCTGAAGAGCCACAGGAAACAATATTAATTGATACACAAACAATTCAAAGTTAAGTTACACAGTACACTCTGATCCTGTAAGTGCTGATGAGTACAGAGATGTGTAGCTATATGCATCTCTGGCTAGATGGGGTTATTTGGGCAAGGTTTCCTAGAATAGTCAAGTCTTACATCACAGATTGGTAGAGAAAAACAACAGGAAATACGTGTACAATGTACAATTCTGGAAAAGGATGATTTCAGATAAGAATGGTGTGTGAGCCGATGATAAAGGGTCTGAAGGGTGGTGGTGGTGGTGGTGTTGTTTTGAGATGGGGTCTCGCTCTGTCACCCAGGCTGGAGTGCAGTGGTGCGACCTCAGCTCACTTCAGCCTCTGCTCCCTGGTTCAAGCAACTCTCCCACCTCGGCCTCCTGAGTAGCTGGGACTATAGATGCCAGCCGCCACGCCTGGCTAATTTTTGCATTTTTAGTAGAGACGGGGTTTCACCATATCGGCCAGGCTGGTCTCAAACTCCTGACCTCAGGTGATCCACCCAACTCGGCCTCCCAAAGTGCTGAGATTACAGGCATAAGACACCGCGCCTGGCCTGAAGGGGTTTTAATTTAATACAAAGAAGTTGTATTCTTTAATATAAAGAAGTTATTTAATACAAAGTTATTCCAGCAGTAAGATGCTGAGAAGAAACCAGCAATAGTGACAATAGCTATAACATTATTAGCACTGAATCATAATGATCTGGCTTAGAACTCAAAGAAATGGCAGGAAAAAAAGATGAATTTAAGAAACACTAGAGATTTAGAATTAATGGCATACTAATACAGGGAAAGCTATAGGGTCCACTGTCCTCTATCCTACTGACCAACCTATTCTCATTCAGTTCCAAGTACATTGTTTCATTATAAGATTATAACTGGCAAGGTTAATCCCTTGCTCATTATTCTTCTCTCTAAAAATGTTCCTATTTTATTCTGTTTATTATTCTACAATATCAGAAAAATCTGGTAAAATTCTAAAATAAATCCCTTTGAAATTCTCAATTACATGTTATTTTGTCCCCACAATATTTCAGAAACCCTGACATGTTTTTCCCCTTGGGGGAGAGGGGTCTAGAGTTTGATTTCTATCATAGGTGTTTAAATGTCAAAATACCTTGACTAAAGAGATCCCTACCCCTTTATTCTTTTTTTACTACAATGAAAGAACAACTTACTGTATAAAATCCTAAATTTCTTAAGAGGGTCTTCATCAAAATTTCAGCCAGGTGGGTATCTGGATGGCAGCTCTGAGTGCCGTAAGGTTGATCTGACAGATTTCCGTAGCCAGTACACACAGAAGATAGGTCAGCAGCATCAGAGGGTGAACTATAGCCAAGTAGGGAGGCTACGTGGGTATGATCTTGCAAACTTGTCAGGATGATATCCAGTTGCATTCTCTAAAGAACAATAAAATAGGAACAAGTAACTAGCGTAATATGCACTAGAAAAGAACACAAAAGGATCCCAGAAAAAAACTATACTAATCCACTTACTAGCTTAATAAATAATCATCTTCAGGAAGTACATAATTATAAAAACTACCCAATTAATCCCATTTAGGAAATGGGATTTAGGAAAATGCAACTTACAGGTTTTTATTTCAGCCTTCATTATAATGCCTAAATCTCTAAGCTAACATGGCATACTATGCATAATGATTTTAGTACTGTAAGTAGAGAGGAGTACGAAATGCCAATAGATAAATAATATGACACATGATTCTACAGTGTGACATTACCAATGACAATTACTTATTCTAATGTTCAAAATAAATCACTTGAAATCTAAACTAATGCAAAATACTCATTAAAAATCATCTGTAGGCTGGGCGCAGTGGCTCACACCTGTAATCACAGCACTTTGGGAGGCCAAGGCAGGTGGATCCGCTTGAGTCCAGGAATTCAAGACCAGCCTGGGCAACATAGCAAAACCCCCTCTACAAAAAATACAAAAATTAGCTGAGCATGGTGGTGCATGCCTGTAGTTTCAGCTACTCAGAAGGCTGAGGTGGGAGAATCACTTGAGCCCAAGAGGTTGAGGCTACAGTAAGCCATGATCGTGCCACTGCACTCCAGCCTGGATGACAGAGCAAAACCCTGTCTCAAAAAGAAAAATAAAAAAATCACCTATGGACCAGGCATAGTGGTCTCATGCCTATAATCCCAGCACTTTGGGAGGCCAGAGCAGGAGGATCATTTGAGGCCAGGAGTTCAAGAACAGCCTGGGAAATACAGCAAGACCCCACCGCTATAAAAATAAGAAAAAAAAATTAGCCGGGTGTGGTGGCACGTGCCAGCAGTCTTAGCTACTCCAGAGGCCAAGGCAGTAAGATCCCTTGAGCTTAGGAGTTCAAGGTTAGAGTGAGCTATGATTGCACCACCCTACTCCAGCGTGGATGACAGAGCAAGACTCTGTCTCCAAAAAAAGATTTAAAAAGAAAGAAAAGTATCAGTAAATATTACACTGCAAATAAGTACCAATTTTTTTTCCTCAAATCTGTATCTCTGAATCTGATAACTTCTACTTGGTTGAGCAAAATGTACTATTTTAAGGTATATAAGATAAAAATGGAAAGAAAAGTATACTCATATTATCAAATACTTTTTCCTAATAGTCATCTATACTCTTTATACAAACGATTTCAGACAAAGTTCTCAGCATGGAACCAACAGTAGCACATACACTTGATTTCAACTCAGCATACTACAAATAAACCACAGAGTGTCTGGCTTAGTACCATAAGAAACACTGGAAAAATTAGTCCTTATTTTAATAATTAGCCCCAAATAACTTAATAAATTATCACTTGCTTCACCTAAGGTTGTTAAGACAACTGGGAATTCTTCCAGCACAACACATTAACCCATCAAGTACTTATGCTCCAAGAACACATGGCAATTTATTAGTTTTATTTCCTTCTCAGTCCAAATTTTTAGGATACTACTGGTTTACTTACACAGCAAGCAAAGGCCTACCTGTCCTTTAGATAAGCTTTCCCATCTATCAGGTCCTTGAGGTAAAAGAGAATGAAGTAATTCCATCCGTTCTCGTAATGGAGGTAACAGCATGGTTGCTCCCACTGATAAAGTTTCAATTACCACCTAATATCAAAAGAGAAAAGTATACTGATTGGCCTGGTTCTTAGTTTTTAATAAAAACACACTTAAAGCGAACTCACTGACTACTAGGATCATGTAAGTCTAAAAAAGATGGCATGATAAAAAAGAAAGCATGCAAGTCCTCCTTCAGATGTCTTTAAGAAGACTATGAATACATATTTTCGATTTGCCACTAAATAGCTAATCATCACCTAACAAATATTTAGTGTTGATTCTATAGCATTCACCCTGGTAAGGCTCTGCGCAAAGTGATTTGGGTGCAGAAATGAATAAGACAGACAAAATCTCTGCTTTCATGAGCCTACAGTCTAATGGGAAAGAAAGACCCTGAGCAAGAAAGTATAAATGTGAAAGGAGTCACATAGGGAAAGTAAAAGGGTGCAGGAACTTGCTTGAGCACACAAACAGGGCAATTAACATGGCCTATGGGCTCATGGAAGATATCCCTGAGGATCAGGCATTTAAGAATTACAGAATTAGAACACATGGACACAGGAAGGTGAACATCACACACCGGGGCCTGTTGTGGGGTGGGGGGAGGGGGGAGGGATAGCATTAGGAGATATACCTAATGTTAAATGACAAGTTGATAGGTGCAGCACACCAACATGGCACATGTATACATATGTAACTAACGTGCACATTGTGCACATGTACCCTAAAATTTAAAGTATAAAAAAAAAAAAAAGAATTACAGAATTAGTAGGACCTGGCTAGACAAAGGTCCAGGTAGTGGGAACAGCATAAGGAATAGGAGCTGCATTATCTTAGGCCTCATAACTTCTCTGGGTCATGGCTTCTTTATCAGTAAAAACAGTGTTGGACTAAGATAAACTCCATAGCGCCTGTCAGTTCTAATACTCAATTTTTCTGTAAGTCAATGTTCTATTAATAATTATTTGAATTACTATAATGATTGAAAAATTCAAGTACACAAGAAGAATAACCCTTCCATCCAAAAGCATGTGTCCTCCAACACAGTTAAGAACAGGACAAATCTTTAATGACTTTCTCAGAGTACTCTACTCAAACTAAAATAAAGCTAAAATCAAAGCTAAAATCAAATTTTAGCTGTGGAAATTCAACAAAGGTGACTAAGGATTAAGAACTAAATGCACATATTCTGTTTCCAAAAGCCCATCTAAAACAATGGGCAGGGGTTGGTGGGATAAGTCAAAAAGACCCCCCTCCCCAGAATGGAAAGGAAAAAACAGCATCAAAATTTTGGAAACAGAAAGGAACAGACAAAGGGTAACTGACTTAAAAGACCTGAAATGGCTACACCCTAAGTCAAAAATGAGAAAAACCAAAAAACACTTTGATTTGTACTGTAGAATTCCTAGAGGCTCATATACTTCTGCAAGAGGGCAAAAAGGAAGAGCTCAAAACAGGAAGATTGGTTGAAAACTGGTTAAGATAATAGGCACAGTTGAAGGCAGGAATACCAAACTAAAATTGGGTGATTTCAAGACAAAGTGTTCATTCTGAATATTGAGACTTCTAAACTCTTTTTCCTCACCAGAAGACTGTCACTCAGGTTTATACCTTCTAGCAGTAGCTTAGAAGAGCCTTCCTTTGAAGAATCTCACTAGCCCAGTAGAAAAGACTTTAAGTGACAGACATGAAATATTACCTTCCCCTAAAATATAGCCCAGTCACATCAATCTACAATAAATTTGACAAACCTCATCTCTCTCTGTGTAGAGAACTTTTAGCATCCATCAGTCTTTTAGCATCACACTCTCTTTTTTTTTTTTTGAGACGGAGTCTTGCTCTTGTCACCCAGGCTGGAGCACAGTGGCACAATCTCGGCTCACGGCAACCTCCACCTCTGGGGTTCAAGCGATTTTCCTGCCTCAGCCTTAAGTAGCTGGGATTACAGGCATGCGCCACCATGCCCAGGTAATTTTTGTATTTTTAGTAGAGATGGGGTTTCACCATGTTGGGCAGGCTGGTCTCGAACTCCTGACCTCAGGTGATCTGCCCACCTCAGCCTCCTAAAGTGCTGGGATTACAGGCGTGAGCCACCACGCCCGGCCATAGCATCACACTCTTACCCATGATTGGCTTCGAAGCCAAAGGTTATTAGAAATTTGAGGAAAGCCTTTATTATGACAGAGACTAAAACTAACAGAAATTGTCTAATTTAAAAAAAAAAGTACATAGAAACAAGAACAAAAATTAGTATCTTCAAAAAGTGTAAGACAGAACGGGAGGCTACTAAAAAAGGAACACTTCCAGAATGAAGAGCTCTTATAAATTAAAAAGATGATAAAAGAAACAGAAAATCTCAATAGAAGGGCTAGAATATAGAATTAAATTTCTTATAAAGCAGAGGGGGGAAAAGATGGAAAACAGGAAGGAAAACACAAGAAAATTAAGAGGACTGGCTCAGGAGGTCAAGTATCCCAATAATAAGGAGTTCCAGAGAGAAAGAAAGAACACAGAAAACAATGAAGAAGAAATCAACAAAACACTTCCAGATATATATATATCTTTTTTCCAGATATATATATATATATCGTTTTTCCAGATATATATATATATATCTTTTTTCCAGATATATATATATATATCTTTTTTCCAGATATATATATATATATCTTTTTTCCAGATATATATATATACATATATATATCTTTTTTCCAGATATATATATATATATATATATATATATATATCTTTTTTTTTTTTAGTAGAGAAGGGGTTTTGCATATTGGCCAGCTGGTCTTCAATTCCTGGCCTCAGGTGGTCCGCCCGCCTCGGCCTCCAAAAGTGCTGGGATTACAGGCGTGAGCCACTGTGCCTGGCCAAGATAATTTTTTAATATTGAAGGTTATGACTTTCCCCACATCAGTTCATATCATTTTGAAATGTGAGAACACAAAGGACAAGAAGAACTTGCTATATAGCATCTAGAGAGAAAAACAGATTTCCATACAAAGGATCAAAAATTTGAAGCACACTGATTTTCTAAGTAACACCGCTGAAAACTAGAAGACAATGAAGCAATGACTTCACAAGTCTTACTGAAAAATGATTTCCAATTTAGAATTTTATGCCTAAACCATTCATGAAGATATTCAATTTTCAAACTGTTTAAGTGTGAGCATATTTTCATTTAATGTATTTTCTATCAGTCCTCTCTCAGAAGCTACTGATGGATGAAGAAACCCAGCAGAAACCACCTTAACCATGTGATTGAGGCCAACATTGTCAGTAATAAGATATATGGACATCATTAACCTCATGTAATAACATACCAAGGACACATTATTTCTGTGGTATTCTTGCCCAAAATACATAACTCAATCCCATCCTGAAAAAAATGACAGAGATATTCAATAAAATAATTAAATAATACTCATGAAATGTCAAGCTCGTGAAAGACAAAGAAAGACTAAGGAATTGTTGCAGGACACTAAATTGTTACAGAAGAGAAATAACAATTAAAAGCAATATGGGATCCCAAATAGGATCCTGCAACAAAACAAGGACATCAGTAGAAAACTGACAAAATTTCTAATAAGATGTTTACTTAATAGTATTAAACCAATACTAATTTATTTGTTTTGATAATTATATAATGGTTATGTAAGACATTAACATAATAGGAAGGTGGGTGAGAGACATATGAAAACTATTATTTATGCAATATTTCCTTAAGTCTACAGGTAGTTCAAATAAAAAAATTTTTTAAAGAAGAAAATTCAGAGAGGGTCAAAGGAAAATGGTGGGAAAGCATACAAGAAACAGCAGCAATGTGGTTACTGCAAATAGATAAATTACTATAAGTTTCAGAAATAAGAAAAGAGGAACACAAATAGCTGTAAACAGAAACAGCCTGTGTGTAACATCCTGGAACAATCTATCTCCAAGTATTCTTCTAAGATGCAATGGCTGTCAAAGAGACCCAAAGAATAAAAAGATAACCCAAAATATAATTTTTTAAGTTTACTTTTCCTTATTTTATTCTAGTACTTTTACCCTTTTCAAAATCTTACACTACCCCGTTTCTGATAAATATTAAATCATCACAGTTCCTACTCACCACCAGGATATTCCTCCAACCCCATTTGAGGGGATATGTCCCTCTACTTGAAAAGTCAGTTTATTTTTTTTTTTTCAAATTGACATATAATCCACATGCCACAGAATTCACCTCTTGAAAGTATAAAATTCAATGGTTTTTAGTCTATTCAGAGTTGTGCAACCATCACCACTATCCAATTTAGAATATCTTCATTACTACCAAAAGAAAAAAAGCCGTGTGCCCATTACCAGTCATTCCTTATCCTGCTCAAGACCTCCAACAACCACTAATATACTTTTTTTTTTTTTTTTTTTTTAGATGGAGACTCGTTCTGTTGCCCAGGCTGGAGTGCAGTGGCGTGATCTCAGCTCACTGCAACCTCCATCTCAAAGGTTCAGGCGATTCTCCTGCCTCAGCCTCCCAAGCGGCTAGGACTACAAGCACACGCCACAACGCCAGGCTAATTTTTGTATTTTTAGTAAAAAAGGGTTTTACCATGTTGGCCAGGCTGGTCTCGAACTATTTATCTCAAGTGATCTACCCTCCTCGGCATCCCAAAGTGCTGGGATTATAGGCGTGAGCCACTGCACCCAGCCCACTAAGGTATTGCTATGGACTTGCTTACTCTGCACATTACATACAAATGGAGTTATACAGGCCGAGCGCGGTGGCTCATGCCTCTAATCCCAGCACTTTGGGAGGTCGAGGCAGGCAGATCACCTGAGGTAAGGAGTTCAAGACCAGCCTGGCCAACATGGTGAAACCCTGTCTCTACTAAAAATACAAACACTAGCTGGGCATGGTGGTGTGCGCCTGCAGTCCCGGCTACTCGGGAGGCGAGGCAGGATAATCGCTTGAACCCAGGACGTGGAGGTTACAGTGAGCCGAGATCGAGCCACTGCACTCCAGCTTGGGCGACAGAGCAAGACTCTGTCAAACAAACAAATAGATAAATAAATAAATGGACTTACACAATAAGCCCTTTGTGTCTGGCTTCTTCACTTAGCATATTTTATTTTTTTTTTTTTCAGACAGAGTCTCACTCTGTTGCCCAGGCTAGCATGCAGTGGTATGATGTCAGCTCACCGCAACCTCTGCCTCCCGGTTTCAAGCAATTCTTGTGCCTCAGCCTCCCAAGTATCTGGGACTACAGGCATGCGCCACCAGACTCAACTAATTTTTGTATTTTTAGTAGAGACAGGGTTTCACCATTTGGCCAGGCTGGTCTCAAACTCCTGGACTCAAGTGATGTGCCCACCTTAGCCTCCCAAAGTGTGCAGATTACAGGTGTGGGCCACTGCATCCAGCCACTTAGGATAATATTTAGAAGGTTCGGTTAGGTTGTAGTATGTATCACTACTTCACTCCTTTTTATGGCTAAATAATATTACATTGTATGAATATACGAAATTTTGTTCATTTGTTTATCAGTTGACAGACACATGTTGTTTTCACCTTTTGACTATTATAAATAATGCTGTTATTAACATTCATGTACAAGTTTTTGTGTGGACATATGTTTTCAATGCTCTTGGGTACAGACCTAGTAGTGGAACTGCTGGATCATACAGTAACTCTATGTTTAACTATTTAAGGAACTGCCTGTTTTCCAAAGCACCTGCACCATTTTACATTCTCATGCAATGCATGAAGGTTCTAATTTCTCCACCTCCTCCAATGTTTGCTATTAGCCAGCCTTTTTGATTACTGTCACTTAGTGGGTGTGAAGTGGTATCTCAGTGTGGTTTTGATTTGTATTTCCCTAATAATTAATGATGTTGAACATTTTTTCATGTGTTTACTGGCTATTTTTTCTCTTCTCTAGAGATATGTCTACTCAGATTCTTTGTTCATTTTTAAAACTGGGGTATCTGTCTTTTTTATTGTTGAGCTGTAAGAATTCTTTATATATTCTAGAAACTAGAACCTCATCAGATCTATGACTTACAAGTATCTCTCCCATTCTGTGTGCTGTCTTCATTTTCTTGAAAGTATCCTTTGAAGCACAAATGTTTTTAATTTTGATGATGTCCAATTTATTTTTCCTTTGGTTGTTTGTGCTTTTGATGTCATAGCTAAGAAACCATTGCCTAATCCAAGGTGATAAAGATTTACATCTATGTTGTTTTTTTTTTTATTTTTTTGTGAGACGGACTCTTGCCCTGTCGCCCAGGCTGGAGTGCAATGGTGCGGTCTCCACTCACTGCAACCTCTGCCTCCCAGGTTCAAGCAATTCTTCTGCCCCAGCCTCCCAAGTAGCTGGGATTACAGGCGTGCACCTCCACACCTGGCTAATTTTTGTATTTTTAGTAGAGACGGGGTTTCACCATGTTGGTCAGGCTGGTCTCGAACTCCTGACCTCGTGATCCACCCGCCTCAGCCTCTCAAAGTGCTGGGATTACAGGCGTGAGCCACCGCGCCGGGCCCATCTTTTTTTTTTTGAGACAGAGTTTCATTCTTGTCTCCCAGGCTGGAGTGCAATGGTGTGATCTCAGCTCACTGCAACCTCCGCTTCCTGGGTTCAAGCAATTCTCCTGCCTCAGCTGGGATTACAGGCACACGCCACTACACCCGGCTAATTTTTTGTTATTTAGTAGATACGGGGTTTCACCATGTTAGGCTGGTCTTGAACTCGACTTCAGGTGATCCACCTGCCTCGGCATTCCAAAGTGCTGGGATTACAGGCGTGCGCCTGGCCCTATGTTTTCTTTTATGAGTTTTACAGTTATAGCTCTTATATTTAGGTCTTTAATCCACTTTAATTTTTTTGTATATGATGTAAGGGGCCAACTTCATTCTTTTGCATGTGGGTATACAGTTGTCCAAGTACCATGAGACACTATTCTCTCATGAAATAGTTTTGGCACTCTTGTAGAAAATCAGTAAGCCACAGATGTATGAGTTTATTTCTAGACTCTTAATTCTATTCCATTGATCTATATATTTATCCTTCTGACACAGCCACTCTATTTTTATTACTGTAACTCTAAAGTAGTATGTTTTGAAGTTGGAAAGTGTGAGCCTTCTAACTTTCCTCTTCTTTTTCAAGACTGTTTTGGCTACTCTGGATCCTTGAATTTCCATATGATTTTAGGATCAGCTTATCAATTTCTGCCAAACAAAGCCAGCAAGAATTTTGATAGTGATTGCACTCAATCTGTGAACCAATTTGCAAAGTATTGACATCTTCACAATATTAAGTCTTGCAATCCATAAACATGAGGTGTGTTTCCATTTATTTCGGTCTTCTTTAATTTCTTTCAATAATGTTTTGTTCCTTCAGTGTACAAGTCTTACACTTCTTTTGTTAAATGTATTCCTAAGTATCCTATTCTTTTTGATGCTTTTGTACATAAACTTGTTTCCTTAATTTCATTCTTTGATTGTACATTGTTGGTGTATAGAAACAATTTTTGTACATTTATCTTTTACCCTGAAGCTCTGCTGAACTCGTTTATTAGCCCTAATAGTTGTGTATGAGTGTGTGTGTGTTCCTTAGAATTTTCTACACACAAAATCATGTCATCCGCAAACAGAAATAGTTTTACAACTTCCTTTTCAATCTACATGAGTTTTATTTCATTATCTTATATAATTGCCCCAGCTAGAATAGAAATGGCAGGAGTGGAAGTCTTTATTTTATTCCTGATCTTAGGGGGAAGGTTTTCAGTCTTTCTCCATTGAATATGATATTAACTATAACTTTTTCATAGATGCCCTTTTCAGGTTAAGAAAGTTCCCTTCTATTCCTAGTTTGTTGAATATTTTTATCATGAAAGAATGTTGAATTTTGTCAGATGCTTTTTCAGCATCCAGATAATCACATTGTTTTTGTTCATTTTTTCTATTAATATGGTGTATTATATTGATTGATTTTCATACTTTGAAAATGGGATACATCCCATTTGGTCATGGGGTACAATCTTTTAGGTAAGTTGCTGGATTTGGTTTGTTAGTAGTTTGTTGAGAATTTTTACATCTATCTTCATAATGGATACTGAAGAATGCATCAGAGTACTTTAATAGCTGGTCTATAGTTTTTCTTTTCTTGCAATGTTTTGGTCCACAATTAGGGTAATACTGGCCTCACAAAATATAGTTGGGAAGTATTAGCTTCTCTTCTACATTCTGGAAGAGTTTGTGAAGAACTAGTCTTAATCCTTCTTTAAATATTTTGTGGAATTCACAAGTGAAGCCATTTGCTCCTGGGCTTTTCTTCATGAGATTTTTCTTTAAGGCCAACAACTCTTTGACTTGCCCTTTGAGACTATTTTCTAGATCCTGTAGGTGTGCTTCAACCTTTTTTATTCTTTTTCTTTTGTCTCCTCTGTGTATTTTCTTTTTTTTTCTTTTTTTCTTTTTCTTTTTTTTTTTTTTTTTTAAATGGAGTCTCACTCTGTCACCAGGCTGGAGTGCAGTGGCACAATCTGGGCTCACTGAAACCTCCACCTCCCAGGTTCAAGCGATTCTCCTGCCTTAGCCTCCCGAGTAGCTGGGACTACAGGCATGTGCCACCACATCCAGCTAATTTTTTTTGTATTTTTAGTAGAGAAGGGGTTTCACCATGTTGGCTAGGAATGTCTCTATCTCTTGACCTTGTGATCCACCCACCTTGGCCTCCAAAAGTGCTGGGATTACAGGCGTGAGCCACCATGCCCAGCTCACTAAGTCTTTCTTCTGCCATCAATTCTGGTATTAAAGGATTCTGAGGCATTCTTCAAAATGTCAATTGCATTTATCAGCTCCAGAATTTCTACTTGATTCTTTCAAATTATTTTAATCTCTGTTAAATTTATGTGATAGGATTCTGAATTCCTTCTCTGTGCTATCTTGAATTTCTTTGACTTTCCTCAACAAAGCTATTTTGAATTCTCTGTGTGAAAGGTCACAAATCTGTTTCCCCAGGATTGGTCCTTGGTGCCTTCTTTGGTTCATTTGGTTAGGTCATGGATGGTGTGGATGCCAGTAGATATTGAAGAGTTAGGTATTTATTGTAGTCTTCACTGTCTGGGCTTATCTGTACCCATCCTTCTTGGGCTTTCCAGATATTTTAAAGGACTTGGGTATTATGATCTAAACTGTATCTACGTTGTGGTTCTTGCAGCCTCATAGAGGTACCACCTTGATGGTCTTGGACAAGATCTGGGAGAATTCTCTGGATTATCAGGCAGAGACTCTTGTTCTCTTCCCTTACTTTCTCCCAAACAGACTGTGTGTGTGTGTGTGTGTGTGTGTGTGTGTGTGTGTGTGTGTGTGTGTGTGTGTCTCTCTCTCTCTCTCTCTCTCTCTCTCTCTCTGTCTCTCCTCAGCCACCTAAAGCTGGGGGTGGAGTGACACAAGCACCCCTGTGGCCAACACCACTATGACTGCACTGGGTCAGACCTAAAGCTAGCACAGCACCAGCACAGCACTGGGTCTCACCCAAGCTTGCCGTAACCACTCCCTGGCTATTGCCTATGTTCGCTCAAGACTCTGTGGTTCCACAATCAGCCAGTGGCAAAGCCAGCCAGGCCGTGTCCTTCCCTTCAGGGGGAGTGAGGTCCCCCAAGCCTCAGGTGGGTCTAGAGGTGCCATCTGGGAGTCAGGGACTAGAGTCAAAAACCTTAGAGGTCTACCCAATGTTCTATTGTACTATGGCTGAGCTGGCACTCAAACCACAAGACACAGTCTTTTTCACTTGTGCCTCCCCTTTCCAAAGCTAGAGGAGCCTCGCCCCATAGCTACCACCACCCCAGGCCACAAGGAGTATTGCCAGACAAGCACCACTGTTCCCTTAAGCTTAAGGCCCAGGGATTCTTAAGTTAGCTTATGGTGAATACTGCCTGGCCTAGGTCTCACCCTTCAGGGCAGTGGGTTCTCCTGTAGCCCAGGACAGGTCTAGAAATGCCATCTAACAATCAAGTCCTGGAATCAGGGATCCCAAGAGTGTATTTGGTACTCTGTCCCTCCATGGCTGTGCTGGTACCTGAAGCCAGAAAGTCTCAGAGGCTCACCCAAAGCCCTTGACATAGCAGCTGGGTATCAATGCTGGTTATTCACAGCCCATGGGCTCTTCGGTTAGCAGGTGATGAATGCTGCCAGTACTGAGTCCTTTTCTTCAAGGCAGTGGGTTCCCTTCTGGCCTGGGGCATGTCTAGAAATGTCATCTGAGAGCTGGCATCTGGAACAGGGAGACTTGCGACTCTGACTGGTCCCCTATCCTGCTGTGACCAAGATGTTATCTAAGACACAAGACAAAGTCCTGCCCACTCTTCCCTCTCAAGTGGAAGAAAGGGGTCTCTCTTGGAGCCACGAGCTGTGTAGCCTGGCATTGGGGTCGGGGAGGCGGGGGGTGAGCCAACACTCCCTTGGTTACCCCAGCTGGTGTCTCAGTATGTCACCTGCCCCTCTGTCCACTGTCTCTGGGACCAGTTCAGCACTAGGACTCGCCTAAGAGTTGCAGTCCTTTTGGCCTAGACTGCCTTTCAAGTTTACTTGGAGACACAGAGCACTATAGCCCTCAGTGGCAAGCCTTGCAGGAATTCAAATTTGGATCACTGGGATCAGCAGTTCCCCTCTGGCTAGGGTTGGTTTAAATGCTCCCTCTGTGCACAGGTGTCAGCTGAGTTTGGTCCAGTTCTCCTTTCTGCTCTAACAGGATAGCATTGAGTTCAATGCCTCACAATTGTTGTGTTCTCCCTCCCCAAGCACCCAGAGACACTCTCTGCACCATACTGCCACTGCTGCAGGGGGAGGAGTGGCACTGCCTATTCAGGACTGTTTTTTCTATCTCTTCAGTGCCTCTTTCAGTGATATGAAGTTAAAACTAGGTACTGTAAGTGCTCACCTGATTTTTGGTTCTTATGAAGGTGGTTTTTTCTGTGTAGAGTTGTTAAAGTGGTGTCCTTGGCAGGGGGAATGATCAGTGGAGCCTTCTATTCCACCATCTTGCTCTGCCTCTCAATTTCCCTTTTGATTTCTGTAGGGTCAGTAGTAATATCTTGTCTTTCATTCCTGATTTGAGTAATTTAAGTCCTCTCTCATTTTTCTTGGTCAGTCCAGCCAGAGGTTTGTTGATTTTGTCTTTTCAAAGAACAAACATTTAGTTTCCTGGATCTCCTCAATTGTTTTTCTGTTCTTTATTTTTTTAATTTCACTCTAATCTACATTAGTTCCTTTTTTCTACTTGCTTTGGGTTGAGTTGACTCTTCTTTTTCTAATTTCTTAAGGTAGAAGGTTAAATTACTGATTCGATATATATTTTTTTTAATATAGATGTTTATAAGCTATAAATTTTCCTCCAAGCACAGCTTTAGCTGCATTTCATGAGTTTTGGTATGTTAAGTTTTTGTTTTCATTAATCTTAAGTATTAAATTTATCTTGTAATTTCTTTCTTTGATCCACTGATAATTTAGGAGTGCACTGGTTTAAAAATTACTGTACTTTCTATTATTACCTACCAAAAGAGTTTATTTTCTGTATTTTGTATTACAAATATATAGATATTTTTAAGTTTCCCCCAAATTTAACATTGTATTATAATACTAAATATGTTTTTTTAAACTATACTCTCCTTATTTATAACCAGTATTCTATTCTAGGCCACTTCTTCCTCCTTAAGCTGACCTTTCTCTCCTTAGCTCTGGTTACAGTTCTAGTAGATGATCCAGTCCACTTATTCAGTTACTACTACTGACCAAGCCATGCCCTAGGTCCTTGCCCTCAGGAACTCATCTTCTGGTGAAAAAAGAGTGACATGTTTGTAAATAAGCAACTAGAATACAATGTGATGTAATGAGAACATATACAAGAAAAACCAAATCTGGTGGGAGAGCAGGAATAAAAAGTTTATCAGAGATGGCATCTGACCTTTGTCTCAAGGATGAGTTAACCAAAAATACTCTCACCAAGAAAACAGGAGTAAGGGAAACAACATCCAATTGAAATTGTCCAATGTACAGTTGAATATATTGTATAGCTAAAATCTCAGAGAAAGACGTGGTTTGAGATACAGATTCACAAGTCCTATTCTCTTACCTCTTGGATTTCATCTGGGACAGTTGAGTCCATCAGTCTGAAGAGCAAATTTCGAAGTGGACCTGCCTGCCTCCCGAGAATGCTGGTAGCTACCCCTCCCGCAAGTGCAAGAGCAAGGTGATTTGAAAGTAGCTTCAGGCACAGCTTGAGAAAACTGTGGTGTTCTCTGAAACCAAATAAACGTCTATGAATTCTCGGATCATAAAAGTGCCTGTGCTATCCAGTTTGGGTAACATTTTTATATCTTTAAAAATTTTGTTGGCTAGGTGCGGTGGCTCATGCCTGTAATCCCAGCACTTTGGGAGGCGGAGGTGGGTGGATCACCTGAAGTCAGGAGTTAGAGACTAGCCTGGCCAACATGGCAAAACCCCGCCTCTACTAAAAATACAAAAATTAGCTGGGCATGATGGCGGGTGCCTGTAATCCCAGCTACTCAGAAGGCTGAGGCAAGAGAATCACTTGAACCTGGGAGGCAGAGGCTGCAGTGAACTGAGATCATGCCACTGCACTCTAGCCTGGGCGACAGAGCAAGACACCATCTTAAAAAAAAAAAAATTTTGTCAAGTCATGAACAACAGTAATTTTTAAAACATGATTTGTGAAATTACAAGTAACTTTTTCCTAGAAGTTATTATCAACAAGTATCTAAGTTTAGCTCTTTTCTAGATTATAAAAAAGTTTCATATAATTTGGGAAACCAAACAAGAAAGAACAGTAAGTCAAAACTCAAAAGGAATAATTTATACACATGCACACACGCGCGCGCACACACACACACAAAGATACAAAACATACATATAACATACCTTGATGAAGGGAAAGGGAGTGGGGGAATCTCACTGTTTATTTTATCACAGTATCTCTCAAGAAAAGAACGCAGGTGTGAGAAGGTACTCTCTTCAAGATCTACACAATAAGGTCGGTGCCATGCAACAACTTGTCTAGAAGGACACATAAGAAAATAATAAAACAGTCTTAAAATGAAATTTTTATGCACGATCAAAAACGAAAATTAAAACATATATTGGCTGGGCACGGTGGCTCATGCCTGTAATCCTAGCACTTTGGGAGGCCAAGGAATGCAGATTACCTGAGGTGAGGAGTTCAAGACCAGCCTGGCCAACATGGTGAAAACCCATCTCTACTAAAAACATAAAAATTAGTCGGGCATGGTGGTATATGCCTGTAGTCCCAGTTACCCAGGAGGCTAAGGCAGGGGAATCGCTTGAACCTGGGAAGCAGACACTGCAGTGAGCAGAGACTGTATCACTGCACTCCAGCCTGGGCGACAGAGTGAGACTCCATCTCAAAAAATATATATATACATATATACATTAAAGCTGAATGAGTTCAACAAGATACAAAGAAGACATTACTGATTATGAAAGTGATAAAACCTTTCATTTTAGCAACTAAGGAAAACCAAGAATTTGCCATCTTTAAGAAGAAAACATACAACCACCACCTGTTTTGGAAGGTTTGGATGTCCACTCACCTGAAAGCAGAGGGCTGAGTCACATGATCTACTAAAGCCCCTCTGGTTCTAAGAGTCCAGAAAATATATATTTCATATTAAGAAAAATATCCTGACTCTATAGAGTGATATACTGAAATCTATTAAAAGACAAAATCCTGAAATTTCTTGTTAATACTTTTCAGTTCTTGGGACCCAACTATCTACATATGAAGTGGGAAGTTGGAGATGTAATGCTAATAGCAAATTATTTATATTCAACTTATTTATTTTGGCTTTTGTGTTAGAGGAATAACTATTGATAAATATTTTTAATTGGTTAGAGTATCATTTTAAAACCCTGAGTCAAAGGCATAGAATGCAAATAAAATACATTCTAAGCTATAAATTAGCCCATGTGTATCTGAAAATATCTGAAATAACCCAAACATTCTTTAAAATTCAATCTCCTAATAGTGACTGAAACTCATCTACCTGATGGACTAAACACGTACAGTTAGCACTTTCGGAAAAAGCTAAGTTTCTGCAAAAATTAACCTCCTTGATTTAAAGTATGACAATTTTTTTTCCAAAAAAAAAAAAAAATTCAAAAACCAACCAGATTGAGAGCACTGAGGTTAAACATTAAATCAATAAAGCCTAGTTCTGATTTTAATTATTTTAATTTCCTCTTGATATGCAGATATTTAATTTTTTTAAATCAGCATGTAGAGATGAGAGAGAACTCAAAATGTTTAAAAGACAATGTCTTAAATACTGGGTATGACTTCTTGCTTCGGAAACATGTCTAACCTCAACATTCAAATAAAAAGAAATCTAATGTCATTTCTATGATAGAGAAAAAGCAATACTATATATGTTCAGAAGAGTATTTTATGAACAAAGCACAATTATTTCTGTTTTTATTAGTGTTTCTACTTTTTATTGGTGTTTATGTTAAAACACACAAGAATTTTTAAACATAGGCACTCTTACCTGTCCCTAGGAAGAGCAGTCCATGCCAGACTATGTGATGTTCCAGCCGAAATCTGCTGAATAGCTATGCCATCTAAGCCACTCACTTTCTTTGGTTTAGTAATAGGACCTGTGGAATTTCCCTGACCACATTGCCCCATTGAGTTATTGCCCCAGGCATAAACTTCATTATCTAAAAACAAAATATAAAGTATTATATAAAAGAAAAGCCAAATTCAAATGTAATATATTTACACAAGACAACAGTTAATACTATTTCCTTAAAAACAAATGACTTTACCATGAGAAAGAGCCAAACAATGACTGTCTCCAATAGAAACATCAACTATTCTTGTGGCAGCCAGTTCTTCAATAAGCTTGGGTCTCAAAGCAGTAGCTTCTGAAGAACCACAACCTAGACAAGCTCCACAGCCCCAAGCATAGACCTGAAAAAAACAGAAATACGTTACACATAACTTCCTGAGATGATTAGATTGTTGGCTTTAGGGATAAATGAAATCTATGAAACTAAAGTGTGGTTTGATAGTAAATAACTTTCTGATGTTAAAATCATTTTGATCATTTTAAAGATTGTTACAGCGATTTATCATGCTGCCTTTAGGCATTCACTGTATAGGCAGAAAAACAGCTGATCTGAAAATAAAAATAACTGGTCATAGAAAAAACAGAAAGGTCTTCTGAGAGGGTCTGCTAAACCACTAATCGGCTTGCAATTTGTTATATTTGCCCCATCTCACCAGCTTTGAAAATACCATCTTAAAACTTCTCCTTTATGTGTTTCTCACTATTCCGGTGAGATTTAAGATTAGAACAAGGTATTATCATATAAAATGGATTATATAAATCACAAAACTGATGTTTATTATTTAGTTTTAGAAATACCTCACCTCATTATTGCAATAATTATCACTTACAAAGAGGGCCATGTGAAGCAGTAACAAGGTAGTTCCCCTTAAACATCTTCATTTTTGACTAATGAATACCAAAAGAATCACTAACTGATTTAAGATGCTTGGGGAAAGGGTTAGGTGGGAAAAAAAAATTTTGTCTTTGGCAAGACAAATAGGTGACTGACTGACAATTTGGCAACCCAAAATCAACAAAATCAAAACAATCAGCAATCTGAATGATTTTTTTTCTTTATCTTCAATAGATTTTGGTAAGATTATATAGATTCTTATCTTCATGCCATCAAATTTGAGAATTTGTTTTTGTCTTGCAATTATTTTAGGAAAGACTGCTGCTGAGAGATTAAACCACTTCAATTAAAAATAAAGAGCACTGTCCGGATGTAGTGGCTTAAGCCTGTAATCCCAGCACGTTGGGAGGCTATGGCAGGAGGATCACCCAAGCTCAGGAGTTCAATACCAGCCTGGACAATGTGGCAAGACCCGATCTCCACAAAAATTTAAAAAAATTGGTCAAGCATTGTGGCACAGGCCTGTGGTCCCAGCTACTCGGGAGCTGGGATGGGGAAGATCTCTTGAGCCCAGGAGGTAGGTCAAGGCTGCAGTGAGCCATGTTTGTGCCACTGTACTCCAGCCTGAGCAAAAGAGTGAGACCCTGAGTTCAAAATAAAATAAAATGAGAACATATATTTGTACTTGTTTCCAGATAACTTACTTAAGTATAGAATGCAACAAGATTCCAGTACATAAGGCATATTTTAGGAGATGTTAGGAACTAAAGATAACGACAGTGAAATAATGTATACTCAAAATCATCACAGAAGATTTCCTAAATCACTCATGAGGTATCATATACACTCATGCACCATTCGGTCAATAGCAGACCACATTATACAACAGTGGTCCCTTAAGATCTAACGGAGTTTTGATGCCAGTATTTTTACTGTAACTTTTCTATGTTTAGATATGTTTAGATACATACTTACCATTATATTACAATTTCTGAAGGTATTCAGTACAGTAACATGCAGTACAGGTTTGTAACCTAGGAGCAATAGGCTATACCATATAGTCTAGGAGCGTAGTAGGCTACACCATCTAGGTTTGTGTGGTACTCTCTACAATGTTCTCACAATAACAAAATGGCCTAATAACACATTTCTCAGAACATATCCCATTAAGTGACACATCACTGTAATACTGTCACTCAGTAAGGCCTACATAGAGTTTTCTCTTGCAGCGTTCCTTCGGTTGAGCACCAGATGAGAAATACTTGGCTTGCCTTTAGAGACTGGACCATACTATATAGTATGGTGGGAAGTCAGTACAGAAGAGGCCTGAAAGTGCTGAGACAGACTGAGGGAAAAGCAAATGTTGATCATTATTTCATGCTCAAGTTTAATGGTAAAGAAAACTATTCTTACCCATTAAAAGTATTTCTGACTTTATTTTTTTCACGCATATATATTTGATTTCATATAACTTAAGGTACTCATAATACAACTATTCTATACAGCAAACAGTTTACAAGTTCTCTTGGAATTCAATGTAATGGATTTATTATTATTATTACTATTATTACTACCACTACCAACTAATAGTTGAATAGTATTGGATAATCTATAGAAACTCTCAATTCTAATGATTATCTTATGTGATCACTTGTATGCAAAGCAGAAATTATTACTCCTTCATAAAAAAAGAAGCACATGATGCTCAAGGGGTGTCTGTTATTTGCCTGTGTGTATACATCAAATACATAAGCATCTTCTAACTTCAATTCATGGATTCTTACTACAAAAACCATAGTGAGAAACACGTAGAAGAGATATTCTTAAGGCAGCAACTAGCTAATGTAATGATGAATAGCTTGAAGATTTTTAGAACACAAGGCATTCTAGTTTCTCAGTGAATAATCAAATTATATGCTGATTTCAGCTTTTCTGCTCCTCTGCCTTGTCAATTAGTCATAAAACACTTTTATACCACTGCCTGACACAAGGTGGCCTCCTATACATGACAGAATAAGTGGCCAGCTCACTTTTTTACTGCCATAACTGATGGATACACAGGGACAAATATTGTCAGTCTATAATTATACCTGGCTCCTCCCTATCCTCAACAAACAAATAGGGTAAGAGTGAAAATACGCATGTAAAAGTTCGAAGCTTATAAGCTATAAAAGTACAAAGCTTATGAGCCTTTATAAAGGCTCATAAAATTCTGACTATCCTAAGCTTGACTTCACACTGTTTCTCAGAAACACCTAACTCTCTCAGAATATTTTCCATACCTAAGTGTTCTCTTTACCCTCCTTTTTGATCACCCTCTTGCCTTCTTAGTTCATATCACTGGCTCCATCAAGATCTAGTTCAGCTTTCCCCGACTATCCATAATGTTTTAGAAAAGGTTTAAGGGAAGCTAAATGCTAAAACATTTTAGAAAGTCAGTTTAATACAAAGAACAGAGGCTCCACTAAGATTTATCTGGGTCACATATGCCAGGTTAGAAAACCTGGTTCCTTCTCAGATACTCTACTTCAAACAGAAGAAGATATTTCATTTTAGCATGTTGCCTAAAAATGTATTTATTTGAACTTTAAAATTTAAATACAAGTATTACTTTTTAGTCACCTAATCCTCTGAAATACTCTAAGTCTTTTATACTCATCCCTTAGTCCTACCTGCCCTGTTGATGTCAAAGCAAGTGAAGACTGGCTCCCAGCACAAACTTTGCGAATGAACATTCCTTGTAAAGCTTCAATAACTTTAGGTTTATACACTCTGTTGGTATCACCATGACCAAGTTTACCTATAAAAACAAACACATTAAACAATTTACTTGTTTTAAAGAACCTCTACTCTTTTTAACACTACTAAAGTTGATAAGGAGCTCTAATGTTTCCATCACTAACCTGGCAGATATGAAAAGCTATGTTTCTGATAGCTGAGGATGTTAACAAACGAGCATTTTTATTACAAGAAAGTTAACAACCACTGATAGCCTTTTATATCTTAATTTCAAGCAATTAAAATCAAGCAATTTAAAATCACTTTAAAAGAAACATAGACAATTATTTTTCTGTCTTTCTCCCCCTTTAATGGCTATATTTCTAACTTCAAATTTGCTGACAAAATATACAGGTACTATATGCGTATAATTTTTCATAAACTTTAAAAAAGAATGTATATGCATATAATTTTTCATAAACTTTTTAAAAAATCAATAGCTCATGAAATTGAAAACTGGACAAATCATTAAAGAAGAAAAACAAATGGCCAATCATCTACAAATCCAACCACACCAGGAATAAAAAAAAGTATAAATTAAATGATACCATTTTCACTATTGAAATTATTTAATTAAATTTAATACATGCTGTTGTTGAAGACTATGGGGAAGTAAGCATTCACACTGCTAGTAGGAGTGACTAATTAAAGTAGACATAGATTTAGTCATTCATTGTGTTGTTAATACTGAAAAAAATTGAAACCATCTAGATACTCAACAATAAGAAACTGGTTTTATAAATTGTGCCACCATCAAATAAAAGAACACTTCAAGCCATTTAAAAGAATGATGTAGAGTCATGCTTGTTGATATAAAAAAGATACTCATGCCGGGCACGGAGGTTCATGCCTGTAATACAAGCACTTTGGGAGACTAAATCTGGCAGATCACTTGAGCCCAGAAGTTCGAGGCCAGCCTGGGCAATAAAGCAAAATCCTGTCTCTAAAAAAAATACAAAACTTAGTCAGGCATGGTGGTGCATGCCTGTAGTCCCAGCTACTTGGGGGGCTGAGGCAGGAGGATCGCTTGAGCCCAGGAGGTTGAGGCTGCAGTGAGCCAGGTTTGCATCACTGCACTCTAGCCTGGGTAACAAAGCAAGACCCTATCTCAAAAAAAAAAAAACTATTAGAGTAAAACATATATATGTCAAAACATATATAAACTTATATAAAACATACACATGTAGGTATACTTTGGTTTTTAAAAACACATCTAAGTAGAAATATATGTAAATATTTGTATAAATGTGTATTTATTTAGAAGTCTATTTCCAAAATGTTAACAATGGTTAAAGTAACATTTGTAAAAGCTCAGTTCATTTTTTAATTTCTGCTCATCTGTATTTGAGTCATTCTACACTAGGCATATATAACTGAAAAATAAATTTTTAAAAAACTCAAGAAAAAAGCCAAAGCTACTGATAAATAATTTTTTACATACCATTGTCTCCTCCTCCAAAAGACCATACAGTTCTCCCATCTTTAGACAGAGCAATAGTATGTGAACTGCCACAAGAAACCTCTCCTACATTGCTGATGTCTTTTACTAATGTTGGAATGTTACGACTATTGCTGTCACCATGACCTTGGATAAAACACACACAACAACAAAGAAACAACATTAACTCTTTTTCTCTAGGCCTTGACTTCACAAGTATAATAAATGTTACAACTTTAAAATAGAATTGAGATTTTTTTAATGCAATGCAATATGAAAAACACAATCATTTCTAACATCTTCTCAATCTTCCAAGGTGCTCCTAAACTGGGTCATAGAGTCACTTCGGTGAACCATTAGAATATTCTTTTCATGCTCCCCTCACAGCACTTACCTTGTGTTGTCCTGTTTCATGCTCATGTTGACTTGTTTTCATTACCCACTAGATTATAAACTTCAGGATCATGATGGTATTGCTTTTATCCCAGAAACCCTACAATGCCTGGTCATAATAGGGCACACTCAGTAAATGCTTGCTAGATTTAATTACATTTAAATATCAGCACTAAAATCTAGGTCTTATCTATATAAAATTATCTTCCTCTGAGCTTAAACTAACAAAATAAATGACAGTCTTTGGCCTAGTAAATCTGCTCTCACGGCTTCTCAGTAACTTAATCATTTCTAATTTTCTAGAAGAATAACTTACATTTTTAAAAAATCTTACCTAATCTTCCAAAGTCTCCTTCACCCCATGTGTATAATTCCCCATCCTCTGTGACAGCAGCACTATGTCTGTATCCAGCTGACACACAAACAACTACCTGCATTGCACACAAGTAAATACGATGAGTATGCACATGTTAAAACATATAGTCCGTATTTGATCCTATACACAGAGACTTCACAGATACTAATATTCACAACCCATCCAGGAATTTCCAGGTACAGTTGTGGAGGCTGTGTTCAGGCCAAGGATGACTGGCTAAGAGTTCAAGTAAGTGCTGAAATACATGCCTGTAATCCCAGCACTTTGGCAGGCCAAGGCAGGCAGATTGTTTGAGCTCAGGAGTTCGAGTTCAGCCTGGGCAACATGGCAAAACCCTGTTTCTTTTAAAAAATATGAAAATTAGCCAGGCATGGTGGCGCATGTCTATAGTCCCAGCTACTCAGAAAGCTGAGTTGGGAGGACCACCTGAGCCCCAGGAAATCAAAGATGCAGTGGGCTGAGATAGCACCACTGCACTCCGGCCTGGGTGACAAAGTAAGAACCTAACAAAAAAAGAAAGAAAGAAAAGAGAGGAAGAGAGAGGAGGGGAGATTAATAAAAAGAGAAGATATGAGCTCAGTTTCTTATGGTTCCAATTATTTGTGTGGGTCCTTGGCAATTACTTAGGTACTCTAAATGCCTCCCCATTCAGGTCTCTATTAAGATGCCACCTCTCCTAAGAGCACTCTCTGACCTACCTCATTACCTAATACCACACCTGCCCAAGGTAACCTTTATTGCTCATTTTTTTCTTTAATATTATCTGAAATTATTCTATATGCTTGTTAACTTATTATCTCTATCCTGAAGACTAAAGGATTAAAGTAGAGACCTTATCTGTCTTGTTCACTGCTACAAGTCTAATGCCTAAAATACTGCCTGACACTTCAAAAGTGCTAAATGTTTGTTAAATGAATGACTCTCAGTTTGCTTATCTGTGAAATAGGGATAATAACTACCTTACAAGAATAATTATAAGAATATAAGAATTAAAATTCAATAATGTATACAAAGGTGTTCTGTAAACTGTAAAGCAGAGATACAAAAGATTAAGCCAAAGGGTTGAAGGGGCAACTGCAGAAAGAACACATCAAAATCTGAACGACATTGTCAATTACAACTCCAATGCATCTAATTATTTTTATAACCAAAAAGAATGCACATACCTTTCCTTGTAGAGGTCCCTGAATAAGCTTGGGATATTTCTGTGTTGAACTATTTCCATGCCCCAGTTTCCCATAATCACCATCTCCCCAACTGAAGACTTCTCCTTCTGTCGTAAAGGCTAAAGTGTGACCATCAGATCCTTTAGAAGATGAAACCTTTTTAATGGATCTGTGAGGCTCGAATGTTAACTTTTTTAAAGTTGACTGATTATTGGAGTCTCCAAGGCCCAGTCTCCCATAGCTGCCTTTCCCGCAAGCTCTAACAGAGCCATCCGTAGAAATGACAAAAGTGCAGTACTGTCCAGCTTCAATCTATAAACAAAGAATCATAAATATAAAATACTTCTGTGAGTATCAAAGTATAATATTTAAGGCTGGTTTTATCAAAGAGCCTCAAAGGAAGTCTTTTAGCAGGATACGGCATGATTCTCCAGAGAGATTAAGGAATATACAGAAATCTAAGAGAACACGAATGGCCTTTTCATGCTCACAACTTTGTTGCTGAGTTCAAATTCTTCATGTATATGTTATCTTTCCAGGTTATTGTCCAGGTTATGATTGAATGAAACAACAAAGTAAAACGCTTAATATCCTCTTATAACTGAGAATGGCAAGACATAAAGTTTTCCTTCCTATAAATTCCTTAGGGTACATTATGGCAAGAACCATATAAAATGTATTCTAAACCTATTTGAAAAAAAAATACATTTTAATGAAAGTAATAATCAAATAGAAAGTTCTAGCTGGGCTACAAATGTAAAAAAAAAAGTGATCATAAGAAAATGAAATGCTAATCTAGCAAAAAGAAATTCCAGTTTTTATTTACTTTTTTTTTTTTTTTTTTTTGAGACAGAGTCTCGCTCTGTCACCTGGGCTAGAGTGCAGTGGTGCAATTTTGTTTCACTATAACCTCCACTTACCAGGTTCAAGCAATTCCTGCCTCAGCCCCCTGAGTACATGAGATTATAGGCACGCGCCATCATGCCCGGCTAATTTTTGTAAATAATTTTAGTAGAGACGGGGTTTCACCATGTTGGTCAAGCTAGTCTCGAACTCATGATCTCAAACGATCCACCCGCCTTGGCCTCCCAAAGTGCTGGGATTACAGGTGTGAGCCACCATACCAGGCCTTTATTTACTTTTACTTGCCATTTGTGGTGAACATAACGGTAAAGTCTGTTGCTATTCTTAACACTTTTTAAAAATCGAGATCCCAATTTAGTTATTTGAAAGTTGGAAATGCTGTCAGGGATACTGGGGACTAAAAATGTATTTTTTATTTATTTATTTTGAGACGGAGCCTCACTCTGTCACCCAGGCTGGAATGCAGTGGCATGTTCTCAGCTCACTGCAACCTCCGCCTCCCAGGTTCAAGCTATTCTTCTGCCTCAGCCTCCCGAGTAGCTGGGACTACAGGCATGCGCCACCATGCCTGGCTAATTTTTGTATTTTTAGTAGAGATAGGGTTTCACCATATTGGCCAGGCTGGTCGCGAACTCCTGACCTCGTGATCCACCTGCCTCAGCCTCCCAAAGTGCTGGGATTACAGGCGTGAGCCACTGCGCCCAGCAAAAATTTATTTTTCTATTAAAATGAAAAAAACTAATGCAGTATATAGACCAGAAATAACCATCGATAATTTTCACTCATTTAAAAAATACTCAGTATTATTTAATGCAAATAAGCATGAATATACACCAGATTATCTACCAGTTTGTAAGCTATTTAGAAAACTTACGGTCTGTGCATCAGAGAAACTAGGAGCCAGTTTGGGTTGCAGTATTTTCTCCTGTGTACCTTCTACCAACTGATGGCTGCTATTGCTCCCCCAAACATAAACCTCACAGGTTTCGGAGACAATGGGAGCATCACCAGTCTGAATGCTATCTGGGCTAGCACATGTTCTCGAATAATCAGAAGCCATTCTGCAAACCTATTAAAAATTTAAAATATGCAACAAATAGTCAAGACAGTTTTAGTCTGGGCATTTTTTATACATATCCTCTGAAATTACTGTTGCCTTTCCTTCCAACACTCTCAAATGCTCAAAGAACCTATTAAATAAAGATAACTAGACTATTTACTCATATGGAATAAACCACTAAAAGACGCTAATGAAGTGGCAAAAGTGGGAAACGGGAGACACACAATCCTTTAGCTAAACATTTTATTACTGCATACAAAACACTGTAGAAAAACAAAGCTTAAGAAATAAAGTAGAAAAAATCACCATGGATAATCTTAACATCTTAATACAATAAATTTTACCTTTTAAATATATGTCCTTCCAGAATTGTTCATATACAAATTATTTAACACAGTCACCACAGAGGATACATAAAAGTGACAAACTGCACAAAAGAGTCATGCAAATCCATGCCTACCTAGTCTTCATGATTGAATAGATAATATTCCATCTAGTAAAAAACATCACAATGTACTCAACCACTTCCCCACCCCCAACTTTTTTTTTAAATAGATGGGGTCTCATTATCTTACACAGACTAGACTCAAACTCCTGGGTTCAAGCAATCCTCCCACCTCAGCCCCCCAAGTAGCTGAGATTACAGGCATGCAAGTAATCATACCTGGCTCCACTTTCCTTTAATAGGGCATTTAGAGTCTATTTATTTGTTATATAGGCCATTTTTAAGGATATAGTTGTTACTATACTTTTTATTACTTCCTTAGTAGAGAATCTCAGAAATGGGACTCGGAATTCAAAAAAAGACAAGAATCCTATGATTCTTGAAACATACTATACCAAACTGCATTCCAAAATGGTGCTATTAATACATCACCAGTAAGGTATGAAAGAAGGCTGTTCTAAAAACAGCGAAGGCACAAAGCAATTAACATTCACACGTATATCTGAATATATAAAATAAAAATCATGGCTTATTTACCATTTCTGTAGAATATAATGGTAAAGTCTGTTGCCATTCAAAAGCCTTTTTAAAACACCAGGCTGCCTGCCAAAAGCATAGGACCCAGAGTGGCCATCCCAGTACCAATTTCACTGAATCCATACTCATAATAAGTATCATGCTTTTAAATTTTTTGGCAAACATAAATGAGGAAAAAGGAAGATGCCCTTATCTTAACTTCACATTTCTTTATTGTTAGCAAAACTAAAGTTTTTCCATCTATTTGTTTACTATATTTTGTGACGTGAACTTCTGTTCACTTATTTATTAGAACTTAATAGATTTTTAAATTGACTTGTATGAACTCAATACAATAAAGATATTAACTGACTACAGTGACTATCAATTTGTTTTCTGCCTTTTAGTTTTTTGGTTTTGCTGAATCAAGCAAAACGATAAAAGAAATTTAAGAAGTCAACATATTAGTTTGCTAGCACATGAAATGGGAGAGGATAGGGTCATCTTGGTCAGATACTTTAAATAGTATCCAAACAATAGAATAATATGTGTGTTAGACAAATATTTTCCAGTGAACATGAGGACAGTATCTGAGGACAGCTGCCAGTCCCTAATAAAAGGTCTGGAATTTTGCTGGAGATAAAGGAGGATAGTGGGGCCAAGGGAGTCAGAATTGCTCATCTACAGGTCTATCACAGCCAGTGTGGTGGCTCATGCCTCTTGATACTGGCCAGCCAGGATTCCTTTCCAGGACAAAGCCCCTACACTGAGAAAAACTACTGGGGGCAGAAAAAAAAATTGAACTGGATAGGGACAACAGAAAGGAAAGATGGAAAGGAAAGAGAATACCAAGACAAAAGTTGGGAAGGGGAACAAACTGGAAAACGACTTTTTTTTAACATTACACACAAAAAAAAACAGAGGGAGGGAGTCTATGGAGTTTAAAAAGCCATCTTAAATCCCAACTCATTCTAAGAGTTCAGGAAAACTAATCCTACGTAGAAATAAGCAACAGAAAAGTATTGAGGTCAAATCCCATATGAAGTTATTATAAAGTTGCAGTGAGCCAAGATCATGCCACTGTACTCCAGCCCGGGCAGCAGAGACACCATCCAAAAAAAAAAAAAAAAAAAAGACACAAAGGAAAAACAGAAATCTGAATTACAAACCCTCAAAAATGAGGTAACATAACTCAAGAATTAGAAATAAGAGAAAAAAATCATTTTGGAACTGAAGACTAAACTAGAAGAAACCCAAAAGTAAATAAATACAGTAGATAATGCCCTAAGAGTAATGAAAGACAAAAAGCATTTTTAGAAATTAAAAAATTTAAAAAGACAAAGTATTCAAGAAAAACTGACAAATATTAAAATCAGGCAAAGATCCAACATGCACATAATAGAAATCCCTAAAGAATAGAACCCAATCAAGGGAATAAAAATAAGAAACTGTAATTTAGGGACATTTTCCTGAAATAAAAAAGATTTGAAACTACATATTGAATTATCACATCTCTAAGAATATCAACCCAGAATGAATAATATCAAGACATATTCTATAGTAAAATTACTGATCTTTAAAGAGAAAAAAAAATCCTTTGGGCTTCTCAGCAAATATGCATGGCTCACATAGGAAAGAAAATCAGATTACCTTTGGACTTTGACAGTAACAGTTTATGCCAGAAGAGAATGGAGTAACATATTTAAGATAGACAAGAAGAAAAGAAAATGTGAACTAAAGAAAAGATGAACTAAAGATTATTATCAACACTGACATTCAAGAATAAAGAGCACAGCAATTATCAACATGCAAAAACTCTGAAATCTTGTTCTGATGAGTCTTTATTGAGAAATCTACTAGAGAATGACCCTCAAACTATCAAAAAGAATAGACACTGACACAGAGACTAGTATTGAGCATTAAATAAGTAATCATTTGTAGAACTAATACTAAATGAAGGTTAAAACACAGAGACAGGCTGGGCGCCATGGCTCACGTCTGTAATACCAGTACTTTGGGAGCCCGAGGTAGAAGGATCACTTGAGCTCAGGAGTTTAAGACCAGTCTGGGCAACCATAGCAATACCTCATCTCTACTAAAAATAAAAATAAAAAAATTAGCCAGGTGTGATGGCACATGCCTGTAGTCCCAGCTACTTGGGAGGCTGAGGCTGGAAGATCACTTGAGCCCAGGAGATAGAAGCTGCAGGGCACTATGATCACAGCACTGCACACTCTAGCCTGGGCAACAGAGCAAGACTGTCTCAAAAAAAAAAAAAAAAATGCAGAGAGTATGTAATAACTATATGGCCTATATAGATGTAATACAATTATTAAAAAACAGGGAAAGCATAATTTAGAAATTAATTTTTTCAGTAATCATACAGCAGTAATTATTTGTCTTATTTTAGGACTGCTGTTTATGTGTCTATGTGTGTAACATGTAATTAAAACAAATGAGTAATAATGGCATATTCTAATTCTCATCCTTGTATCTTTGGGAATTAGCAATCTTAGTTTAAAAGGAAGAAGATATAAATGTAAAGGTTAAGTAAAAATTCTATAGCTGTGAATTTGAAAGTATCAGTATGAACTCATTAGGTATCTTAGCTTTAAAAACACATGTATACACATCCTAGCTCTGTCTACCATGAATATAAAAACCTAGAAATAAGACCAACTCAGTAGCAGTAAGCATTTCTAGCACCCTGATTGTGGTCTTGAAATATCATTTTCCAATAAAAGAAACCAGGACTTTTTTCAGAAAACTAGCTAGATGATTCCAGATTGGGGGCAACAAATGTGTAAGATCAGCCAGAAACAATGAAACGTATCAGAAAGCAAGGAGGCTCTAAAAGATTATGAGGCTTATGTTAAAATAACTTAGGAACCACCCTGAAGAGACTAATAGCCAAAAATGAAACAACATGACCTTCACTGCAGATAATAATTCAATGTGCTGAAACTCAAATAGGCTTAAATCTGTGGGTTCATAATGATTATTTATTTATTTATTTATTGAGATGAAGTTTTGGTCTTATTGCTCAGGCTGGAGCACAGTGGCATGATCTCTACTGACTGTAACCTCCACCTCCCGGGTTCAAGCAATTCTCCTGCCTCAGCCTCCTGAGTAGCTGGGATTACAGACGTCTGCCGCCCCACCCAGCTAATTTTTTGTATTTTTAATAGAGACTAGGTTTCACCATATTGGCCAGGCTGGTCTCGAACTCCTGACCTCAGGTAATCCACCCACCTCGGCCTCCCAAAGTGCTGGGATTACAGGTGTGAGCCACTGCACCCAGCCCATGATATTTTTTAAATGAAGTTAATTGGCCAAGTTTGGAGGATGGTAGGAAGACAATTCATTAAATTGAAAACTGGTAAATAAAGAGCAGATAGAAAGAATCAAGCATTTATTCTGCTCTTCCCATATAAACTGTAGCAGAGTAATCAGTCAATAAGGGAATCTCTTCACAAAAATATTGCAACTAATTGTTGGGAAAAAGCTGAGTGTTGCGAGGGAAACTGAGGCAGGGCTTGCATAATGTCCTCTCGAATGTGTCTAGACTTGCTGGCTCCTTGCTTCTAGCTCTCCTAGGCTCCTATTCCCATTATCTCAAGTAGCAGAACATGTTCCATATAAATGCTAAACCATCACAGCTGTAGACCATGCGCCTGCCCTTTTGACCTCCACATTCTCACCACCTATTTCTTTGTTGGATTACCAATAAATACCGTGGGGTCCCAGAGCTCAGGGCCTTTGTGGGCTCCACAATAGCCATGGCCCCCTGGTGTCCCACCTTTCTCTCTCAAACTGTCTTTTTCTCAATCCTTTGAATCCACCGGACTTTGTCACCCCCACGACCTGGTGTTGGGTCTGATCACCCCAACACTAATAAAAAGAAACGATAGAATTAGAATATCATATTTTTGCAACAAAGCACAAAAGAATTAATATAGTCATTAAGCATCAAGGGCTAATACCACAAAGAGAGACAACCAGATAGAACCTAATGGAAGAATACATGTATACAGACATAACACCTGAGACTGATCAAGCCTCTGGATCCAGCTGCCAATTTATAGGAAATACAGAGGATAAAGAAACATAAGGAACTGCATCATGAGTAATCTATCAGTAAAACCCAGACTGTGGGAAATGCTACAGCCTAGAAAGCCTAGATTCCTGAACAAACATATTGAAGGAAAAGAAAAATGGAGGAGGGAACCTAGAGATTAAAATATTTAAAAGACTTTCCTTTTTTTTTTTTTAATGGGCAAGACTATAGTGTCTAAGGATGCACATCTGGTTGACAGAACTATAAAGAAATGCAAGGAAGTGGTCAAAGTCACAATAGTGGTTACTTTGGGGAGGAGAAAAGAGGTTATGACAAGGCTGTGAAAGGGCTTCTGCAATGACTAAGAAAATTCTTTACCTAGGTACATATTAGAAGGGTATTTATTTTATAATAATTCATTAAGCAATATATGTGTATGCTTTTCTATGTGTTTTACTTAATACAACATTTTTTCAATTAAAGTTACCAGCACATAATTCAAAAATCAAAATAAATGAAAGGGTATACATTGAAAAGAATGTCTCCTACTCACCCCACCCCCACCCTAGATACCCAGTTCCTCTCTCTAGAGGTAACAACTGGTGCCACTTCCTTTTGTAGCTTTTCCAGAGAAAATGGATTATTTTTAAGGGATAAATACATGCCATAGCATTTTAACACAAAGTTGTTAATACAAAAGCCACGATTATTACGTACCTCTTCAAAGAGACATAATGCTGCCTCGTAAAGGGAGCACAAGCCATCCGATGTTCTGGTTGGTTCTCTCCACTGACTCCGATCAGCAGATGAACCCTATAATTAAAACATTGCGGGACACAGCGTAGGAAGGGGAGAGACATATGCATTAAAATTAGTTAAACAGTCTACAAAAACAACACCTATTTGAAGACCTGTTTATATAATTATGTGCACTGAAACCAAATCCTAACATTAGGTCATGAAACTAACTTTTGCAAGGAAGTTTTATTAAACGAGCTGGCTACTGCATCACATGATAAATTAAGTGCCAATCCCTCACTGATTACCTGATTAAAAAGTGATTTATTCCAAGGGACACAGGGCTCTCGAAACAATCAAGGAAGTGGAATTCTGCCAGTTACACACTCTTTGGGTGACCAGTATCCAGAAAATGTGGTCTCAGGAAATACTCCCCATGGGTATATTGCCCACCTGCCTTCCACCTGACAGAATACAGCCAGCTTTAGTAATGACGTGACCAAAGCAGCAGAAAGTCTGTCCCTCCCTTCTTAGTTTCACCACAACCAAGGTCCCAGTGTTACAGTGTTACAACCCCCACCACCAGGTATGTCAGGTGACCATCAAGTGATGGTCAGGCAGTGGTTAACTGTCTCTCTAAAACAATAATTGACTGCAGCCAGCACCAGGGAAAGGCAGTCTCCCAACAGACAGAAAAAAACCCTGAAACTTGTGATCAGCAACTTGCTAATAAGATCTCAGGAGCTGGGTGAGTGGGATCAAGCATGCACATTAAGAGGCAAAATGGAGGAGTTTAACTGGTATATGACCTTCTAGGGTCTTGCTCTGTTGCCAAGGCTGGAATTCAGTGGCAAAGATTATTGCTGTGAAAAGGAAATAAAACCTTGAGACTCCAATTCACCCTGACAAAAGAAAAAAATTAAGCTGACGGCTGACTTATGCAAGAAGCTGCCTTTCCTTTTGTTCCGAAGCAGATAGCTACAGATGAAAGGGTGAATATCCTCATAGGTAACTACTCTCTGTTCACCTTATCTTATATAAAATGCCTATCTACTGAGCGCCAGAGAAATACATAATTCCACTATTCTGCTCCTTTTCTCTTGCAATTTGTGGATTCAGTAATGCGACCATACCCTCCTTTGTTCTCCTCCAGCCTGCTTACCCCCTTTAAATAGTGAAGCCCTCAATATCACCTTTGGAAAAAGGCACAGATCTGTGTAAACCAAAAATAAAATTCAAAGGCCCCCAGCAACCATCTGAATGGACTCCCTCCTATGGGAGGGCACTCTAAAATTTAACCTGAAGAACTGATTCAGGCCAGGACGGGAAGTGGGAGATCGGACATGCCTCATTATATCCATCCAGCGTTAACATCAATACTGATCTTAAGTCTAAAAAGAAACATTTACAGTCTATTCTCTCTAAGCCTGCTACTTGGAGGCTTCATCTGCATGATAAAACCTACCTCTCCCACAACTCCTTATTGTAACCCACACATTCCACTAACTCTTTCAACGAACGGCCAATCAGAATATGTTTAAATCTACCTATGACCTGGAAGCCCCCCACCTCGAGTTATCCCATCCTTTCAGATCAAACCAATAAGATCTTACATGTACTGATTGATATATTATGTCGCCCTAAAATGTATAAAAGCAAGCTGTACCCCAACTGCCTTGGGCACCTGCCACCAGGACTTCCTGAGGCTGTCACAGGCATGTCCTTAACCTTGGCAAAATAAACTTTATTTTATTTTTTTGAGACTGTTTCGCTCTTGTCACCCAGGCTGGAGTGCAATGGCTTTCTAAACTGATAGAGAAAGATCAATTTCTTGTCTCAGACACTTCTTGGTTTACACTCATCTCCCAGGCATTGTCCTTAACCTTGACAAAATAAACCTAAATTGATTTGCGACCTGTCTCAGATAGTTTTTGGTTTACATAACTCACTATAGCCTCAACCTCCTGGGCTCAAGTGATCCTCCCACCTCAGGATCTACTAATAAAGCTTATTATTAAGGCTTATTAACTATTAGTAAATATTAAAATGTATTTATACTATTAATATAATCATAGAGGTCAAACATTAACTTCATCAATATTAATCCGATTAATTTGATTAATACTAATTTATTTATGTTATATTATATATTAGTAATTAATTAAAATTAATATCATTAAAAGCATATTAGCCAGGCACAGTGGCTCACACCTGTAATCCCAGCATTTTGGGAGGCTGAGGTGGGCAGATCACTTGAGGTCAGGAGTTCAAGACCAGCCTGGCCAACATGGTAAAACCTTGTCTCTACTAAAAATACAAAACTTCTCAAGGTATGGTGGCATGTGCCTGTAATCCTAGATACTTGAGAGGCTGAGGCAGGAAAATCGCTTGAACCCAGGAGGCGGAGGTTGCAGATCGCACCACTGCACTCCAGCCTAGGTGACAGAATGAGACTCCGTCTCAAAATAAAAAACAGCACATTAATAAAGCTTATCAACTATTAATGAAGCTTACTTAGAATTTTTTAAGTTTCGTAATACATTAAAGGTTAGGGGTTTTTTTGTTTTGTTTTGTTTTTGAGACAGAGCTTCACTCTTGTTGCCCAGGCTGGAGTGCAATGGCACGATCTCGGCTCACTATAACCTCTACCTCCCAGTTTCAAGTAATTATCCTGCCTCAGTCTCCCGAGTAGCTGGGATTACAGGCATGAGCCACCATGCCCAGCTAATTTTGTATTTTTAGCAGAGAAGAGGTTTCTCCATGTTGGTTCAGGCTGGTCTGAAACTCCCAACCCCAGGTGATCTGCCCACCTGGGCCTCCCAAAGTGCTGGGATTACAGGCGTGAGCCACCATGCCCAGCCTACACTAAAGTTTTATAGGTTTTTCATTTGTTTTTTTTTTTTGAAATGGAGTCTTGCTCTGTTGCCCAGGCTGGAGTGCAGTAGCGCAGTCTCGGCTCACTGCAACCTCCACCTTCCGGGTTTAAGCAATTCCCCTGCCTCAGCCTCCCAAGTAGCTGGATTACAAGTGCACGCCACCATGCTTAGCTAATTTTTTTGTATTTTTAGTAGAGACAGGGTTTCACCATGTTGGCCACACTGCTCTCGAACTACTGACCTCAGGCAATCCACCCGTCTCGGCCTCCCAAAGTGCTGGGATTACAGGCGTGAGCCACCGCGCCTGGCCTATAGGTTTTAAGTTGCTCTATATATTCATCTGTCCTCTTTCTATTCCATCAGGTAAATAAAACAATGGTGAACTTTTCATCAATCTGTATCTACTGGGCAGATAAACAATAAATAATACTTTTAAATAAAAACAGCAAATATCCCCAGCACTTTGGGAGGCCAAGGCGGGTGGATCATCTGAGGTCAGGAGTTAGAGACCAGCCTGACCATGCTGAAACCCCATCTCTACTAAAAATACAAAATTTTAGCCGGGCGTGGTGGCGGGCACCTGTAGTCCCAGCCACTGGGGAGGCTGGGGCAGGAGAATCACTTGAACCCAGGAGGCGGAGGCTGCAGTCAGCCGAGATCGCCCCACCGCACTCCAGCCTGGGAAACAAGAGCGAGGCTCCGTCTCAAAAACAAAACAAAACAGCAAATATCTTGCTACCCTCAAATCAATGAAATGTCAATCACTTTGGAGAGTTCTCCGAAGAGCTGAGTATTACATGGCAGAACTTTTTTGTCATCTAACAAGTTCTCCCTCTGCCTTCAAAAGCTGCTATGATGAAGTCCATGTGAATGACTTTCACACCACTCTCCTCACCCCAGCAAAGCTGCAGAGAAGTTTAATCTTCAGTCTCTTCATATAGCTTCCTTTTCTCCAAGATCTTTATAAATTTACTATGTAAAGCTTCCTGTTGTCATAGTCTCCGTTATCGCCCCACCCCATTAATAATCATTATTCTTAATTATTCTCTTCAGCTGTTCCAAATCCCTCACTTCTCAGATAGCTTTCAATAACTATGATAGCTAATCAGAGCCTTCCAATCATAGCACATTGCTCATCGTCTTCAGATCTCTGATTCTATTCGACTGTTTCTCTTATTGCTGGGTCATCTGCTATTAACCTGCTGCTGCCAAGTCAGTTTTTCTTTTTAATTATTTAGGATGTTGCTTCTCAAATTTCAATGTTGACACGAATTACCTGGTGATCTTGTTAAAATACAGATCCTAATCAGTAAGTAGAGAAGAAGCCTAAGATTCTGCATTTCTAACAAATGTAGGTGATGCCAGTGCTATTGTCTGTGGCTCACACTTTGAGTAGTAAGGCTTCAGAGTCCAGACTCAGGTATGGAATCATATCAGAAGCTAAGTGTTTAAAAGTAACTAGTCCCTAGACATACAATGTGTTGCTACAACAACAAATACTTGGTTGCAACCTCTCCAAATTCCCTAGTTAGCTGTGAAGCATTTCTGAGAAAAATCGCAATTGTGATCTGTGGCTTCGTTATCTAAAAGCCAACTCTAGTGATCACCAAAACAAAAACAGGTAAGGAGTAGACTGATGTACCTTTCTAGGAGCTGGCACCAGGGCCATCATGATCCCTCTTTTATGCCTTTCTACAGTATGGAGAAAAATGTTGAAAACAGCATAAAGTTTTTAGTGATAAACTTGGGTTTAAATCTAGGCTCCATCCCTTACTGGCTCTTACTGAAAGGGTCTCATCCTGAGATGGGAATGATGCCCACAACATTTAGAGCTGTTACATAATTAACTGAAATTATGTGTAAAACATGCTTAGCACAGTTCCCACTACATAGTAAGATCTCAAAACTGATAGCAATAATTATTATTTTGCATTATGTATATATATATTGAGAAAGAAGAGAAAATACTGGGAGCCTTTAATAAATTACTGCCAAATTTAACAATACCAAACCAACAAAATATCCCACAAACACTGTAATGACTGTTGTTAATTTCTCAACAAAAAAGTCAGTATTTAAGGATAAGTCTACTCCAGCTTCAGTCAGTTACGATTGAAGACACACCTAAAACTCATTCTACACAGGCCGGGCACAGTGGTTCACGCCTGTAATCCCAGCACTTTGGGAGGCCTATGCAGGTGGATCACCTGAGGTCAGGAGTTCAAAACCAGCCTGGCCAACATGGCAAAACCCCGTCTCTACTAAAAAATACAAAAATCAGCCAGGTGTGGTGGCAGGCGCCTGTAATCCCAGCTACTCATGAGGCTGAGGCAGGGAGAACTGCTTGAACCTGGGAGGCGGGAGCTGCAGTGAGACGAGATCTTGCCACTGCACTCCAGAGTGGGTGACAGAGTGAGACTCTGTTTCCAAAAAAAACAGGGCTAAAGCTGGGCATTTTTAGAGAAAATAAATTTTGAAAAATATAGCCCATTAAATGTATAACTTCATTTGTTCACATTCTCAACATGATGGAAAGTTCAATGGTCCAAAAATAAAGTCGAAATTAAAATAAATTTTGGGGCCCGGTGTGGTGGCTCACGCCTGTAATCTCAGCACTTTCGGAGACTAAGGCAGGCAGATCATCTGAGGTCAGGAGTTCGAGACCAGCCTGGCCAACATGGTGAAGCCCCATCTCTACTAAAAATATAAAAAAATTAGCCAGGCATGGTGGCGGGCACCTGTAATCCCAGCTACTTGGGAAGTTGAGGCAGGAGAATCGCTTGAACCCGGGAGGTGGAAGTTGCAGTGAGCCAAGATTATGCCACTGCACTCCAGCCTGGGCATCAGAGCAAGACTCTCTGTCTTAAAAAATAAAAAAAATAAATGTTTTTGTTTCACAGGTCTTTAGTTACCTTCCTCTTATCTACCATACTAAATGACAATTTTTTTCCCCTCACATTTGTCTGCTTAAGATATTCAAAGACATAAGATTAGACGGAGTACATTTCCTTCCGTTCTGGCTGTTTTTACTCAAAATTGCTTCAATAACTTCACATTACATATGGGATCAAGTCCCCAAAGCCTATAGCATGGGATACAGGGCCCTGCCTAGCTTGCAGCCTCAATCTCATCTCATTCCATTCCATACATCCCGGGGCTTGCTCTCCCCACAACTCAATCGCTTTGTGAGCCTCTCATCTGAAAAGTTCTCCAGCTCCCCTGACACACACACCTCACAATTGCTGGCAAAACCCTCCTACTTTTCAAATAACCTCAGGGGTACTTCCTCCGTAAGACATTTTCGGTCCCTTTGCCTCCCGCCCTCTTCTTTCATCCCATCATCTCCTCCCAGTACAGACTTCTACTATAGCCCATTATCATTAATTTGAAATGTCTGTGCATCCCTCTTTCATTACACTGTGGGCTGTCTAAAGACATGGATGCTCCAAAGCTTATTCATCTTTTTAACCCAGTGCCTAGCAGTATCTGGCACAACATGTGCAGTAAACACCTAGTGGCATCAAAGGTGAATGGCGTACATATGGTTATTTTTTATAATTTGAAGATGTACACTGAGATTACTTCCCTATTCTCATATAAGTTAATGAATATATTGTGTGTTCCCACCAAATTCATTACATATGTGTGGGCAGCAGAGATTAAGAATCACACAAGTAAATACAATTTACCGATTGAACTTATTTTTGTTAGGTCTTGTACCAGATACTCAATAGATGGTTATGTGTCTCTCCCTCTAACTTATAGCTGGGAGATAAGTTCTGGCCCAGTTACTCAAGGATAGAGAAATTCAAGACGGGGAGGATCAGGTCAGGTTGGGGTCTAGTGTATCAGAAGAGGCTCTACAAACTTCCTAGTTCTCAGACAACAGTAAAGTGTAAGAAACATGGGTTCTAGGCTGGGCACGGTGGCTCACGCCTGTAATCCCAGCACTGTGGGAGGCCGAGGCAGGTAGATCACCTGAGGTTAGGAGTTCGAGACCAGCCTGGCCAACATGGTGAAACCCCGTCTCTACTAAAAATACAAAAATTAGCCAGGCATGATAGCAAGTGCCTGTAAACCCAGCTACTGGGGAGGCTGAGGCACGAGAATAGCTTGAACCCAGGAGGCAGAGGTTGCAGTGAGCCAAGTTCACACCATTGCACTCCAGCCTGGGTGGCAGAGCAAAACTCTACCTCAAAAAAAAAAAGAAAAGAAAAGAAACACGGGTTCTGGAGACCAAAAACATCAGATACTATCACTGACTGTGCAAGAAGAAATAACAAATATATAATTCAGTTTAATAAGCATTCCTTTCCCCTAAAACCAAGCTGAGATTTAATTAAAATTCAATCTAATGTAGGCCTGAGGTGGCTTTGAGACCTAAATTAAGTCAAACACATATTCTTCCCCAGAATAGATCTAGAATTCTGAGAAAAGCAATCTAGTTTTTTTTTTTTTGAGACAGTCTTGGTCTGTCACCCAGGCTGGAGTGCAATGGTGCGATCTCAGCTCACTGCAACCTCCACCTCCCAGGTTCAAGCGATTCTCCCTGCCTCAGCCTCCCAAGTAGCTGGGATTACAGGCACCTGCCACCATGCCTGGCTAATTTTTTTATTTTTAATAGAGACAGGGTTTCACCATGTTGGCCAGGCTTGTCTCAAAACTCCTGACCTCAGGTGATCTGCCCGCCTCGGCCTCCCAAAGTGCTGGGATTACAGGTGTAAGCCACCACGCCTGGCCAGCAATCTAGTTTTTTAGAGGCATCTCTGCCCCAATAAGGAGCTATATTATAGGGTATGGCTTTAGAGAGGAAGGAGGGAGGAACCTCCCTGACTAGCGAATTTGCTATTTTGTCTGGGAATGAGAGGCCAAGTAGAAAGAAAACTGGAAATCCAGCAGTTAAAAAAAAAATTATTTTAGATCTACTTTAAGGTAGGCCTTCATGGAAACCCCGTCTCTACTAAAAATACAGAAACAAAATTAGCTGGGCATGGTGGCAGGTGCCTGTAGTCCCAGTTACTTGGGAGGCTGAGGCAGGAGAATCACTTGAACCCGGGAGGTGGAGGTTGCAGTGAACCAAGATCACGCCACTACACTCCAGCCTGGGCAACAAGAGCAAAACTCCATCTCAAAAAAAAAAAGGGAAAAAGGAAAAATATTTAAACTATCCAGTCAATTATCAAATATGCATACAAGCCTAGACAATGAGGCTAAATGGACACTGAGAAAAGAAATCTATTTTCTGGGGTACCCTCTTCCCATTAAGGAGCAATATTGTAGAATAAGGCCTTAGAAGGTAAGGTCCTCGAGGAAGAGGCTTCTGCCTCAAGGTAACTAGCATTTTGTTCAAACACACCATTGGCAAACATTTAATCATATAACTATATTGTGCAATGATTAATATCTTTTTTGTAACAAAGGTAATGCAAAATAAATAGCCCGTAAAATGAGGAATTAAGTGACTTCTTACAGAAATATTAACATGTGACCATAAATACATTATTTTATTGTTTTAATATATATATATTAAATATATTATTTTAGGTCAATAAATCACTTTACAGACTTGAAAGGAGTATAACATAAGAGGATGTTACCAGAAAGTATTAAGAATCAGAAAACAAAGTTAGAAAAACATGTGCAAATGAGAGGATTTGAATATTGAATAAGAAAACACAAAGAGGCCTACACGCCTCCCACAGCTGGTCCCTAAAGCCTTTCCTAATTATTACATCATTGCATCCCTGGGCAACTCAAGTGAAGAACACAGAACCCATGTCAACATTCCATATCCCAAACAAAGCACGGCATGCTTTTCTTATTTATTTTTATGTAACAGTAAGAAATTCAAATTTTCATAGATCTTATGATCTAAAATCCCCAAGTACTTACCTATGATAAAATTGTAAAACATGACCCAATATTTACCATTTAGTTCATAAATGCAAAAAGTAGGTGAAAACTTAAATGTCCCTGGTTTGAAAATAAATTCAACATAATTGGATTTTATGAGACACTCCTGTCCAAAAGCTTTCTACTTGTTGCGGGTAGGGGGAGACTTGAAATATACATATATCATTTATAAGTGACATTTTTAGTTATTTTAACTAAATAGATTTGTTGGTTGACATCTGGTAACAAAGGATACCGAAAAGACTAATCAATGTAGGCCGGGTGTGGTGGCTCACACCTGTAATCCCAGCAGTGTGGGAGGCCAAGGTGGGCAGATCACCTGAGGTCAGGAGTTCCAGACCAGCTATGGTCAACATGGTGAAACCCCGTCTCTACTAAAAGTACAAAAATTAGCCGGGCATGCTAGTGCACACCTGTAATCCCAGCTACTCGGGAGGCTGAGGCAGGAGAATCGCTTGAACCCAGGAGGCAGAGGTTGCAGTGAGTGGAGATCACACCACTGCACTCCCGCCTGGGTGACAAGAGCTAGACTCTGTCTCAAAAAAAAAAAAAAAAAAGACTTGATCAATGTAACCTAATTAAAATTAAGTCAGCTTTTAAGTGTTTGAGTCTTAATATTTTAAATTTGTATTTTATTTTTTTTTATTTTATTTTATTTTTGAGACAGATTCTCGCTCTGTTGCCCAGGAGTGTTGTGGCATGATCTCTGCTCACTGCAACCTCCGTCTCCTGGGTTCAAGCAATTCTCCTGCCTCAGCCTCCCAAGTAGCTAGGATTACAGGTGCGCACCACCACACCCGGATAATTTTTGTATTTTTAGTAGAGATGGGGTTTCACCATGCTGGCCAGGCTGGTTTCAAACTCCTGGCCTCAAGTGATCCACCCTCCTGAGCTTCCCAAAAGTGCTGGGATTACAGGCATGAGACACCGCACCCAGCCTAAATTTGTATTTTAACATTTGAATTTTTATTCTTGGTTTTCACAAAGGTATATTTCAGTCTTACAAATTCTTGAAATTGATTATACTACGCTATTTTATTATTTATTCTTTAATGTTGTATCCAAGGTTATGATAGTCAAATAATTAATTTCCTCTGACAACACGCTCTTCACAGATCTTTCCTTAGCTCATCACTTCCCTTCATTCTGGTCTCTACTTTAATGTCACAATTCAGAGAGTCATCCCCTGACCACATTAACTAAAACAGCAACTTTTCACCTCCCAAACTCTGTCCTAAGTCTACCAGTCTCTATTCCCTTTCCCTCTTTTATTTTTCTTCTTAGAAATTTTCACTACCTGAAATTATATATTTATTATCTGACTCCTCTACTAGGCTGTTAGCTCCATGGGGGTGGAAACTGTATCCTCAAGGCTGTTGCCCCAAGGTGTAGAATAGTACTTGGCATATAGTAAATGTTTAACATAAATTGGGAAATATGAAAATAAGAGGTTTTTTTTTCTAAAGACCTGCTGATCACTAGCCAAAATCTCTAATTTTTCATAAGTTCGCTAAAACATAAAGTTAGATGAATTTCCCTAGTTCACATGAGAATCCACAAAGCTAAAACTATAAACCTGACTTCTGATGCAGTAGTCTTAACACTGTACCAACCATATATTATCAACATGCATAAAAGTTTCTTCACTCCAAGTATATGAAATATTTAATTAACTCAACAATCACCAAAAGTCTCAAATCATTCACTATTACCACCAATTCATTAAAAACTGCATTGACTTTTCCAAAAACTATTATGAACTTTAAAGTTGAGACTTATAGTACGTACCAAAGAACGCCTCATCTGCATTAATATGGTCATAAAGCAGTCAAAGCTGATCATTCCTTCCTGGCTTGAGAGTAGTTTGCCTTTCTCCATGGTGTGTACAACTGCCGAAGCCCCCAAAGCCATTTCTATCCATTCAAGAAGATATCGCAATGAGCCTCGTTGAGCTGCCAAACCAAGCAGCAACTCAGAAGCTAATCTACGACCTAAAGTGTCTGCCCCAGAATTAGGAATAGTGACTCCTTTAAGAAATGTTGTTACTTGCGATAAGCAGTCCAAGCCCATAGGAGGAATCTTGCTTTCATTTGCTAATGATAATGGTGGCAAAGAGCTCACAACTTCAATTGCAGTATGAATGACATCGTTGCAAAGACTGAGACCAGGTCCTGACACAGGCATCATCCAACTTTGTCTTAGAAGCGCAAATAATAAACTTAGACCAGTTCGAACACCCATTTCTATAAGTGCATCAGTGCTTGACCGGGGGCGTTCACTAACAGAATGGACATCTGCTGAACCAGAACTGCTCTCCGGAGAATGCTGCTGCTGCTTCACCTTGCCTTTGTCATGGTATTTATTAGAAAGTGCATAAAAGACACGCTGGAGTACAAGCAGTCGTTTTCTAAGTGCCCCGGCAAATGGGGAATCTGAACATACCATCTTTGCCAATGCTAGCTGGCTGCTAAGAAGGGCATCCAAATAGTGGTCCTGCTCATCACTTGAAAGAGACTCACGTTCAAAGTCTGGCAACTGTGGTCCTTTGAGGCATAAAACTTGTTGGGGCAAAGGTACTACTTCCTTATTGCTAACCAGTTTAGAATACAGAACAGCAACTCCCTCTCTTGTAGCAATAGATTCACTGTCCTCTGTAATCCAGGAGCTGTTCAAGTGTTCAAGCCATTTCAGCTTCACTGGTGGAATCATAGTTGCCATGTTGATTTATCCTTCAGCCATTAGTCCTGCAAAGGGAGAAGAGAAAACAGTCAAAAACATACAGAGGACTCATAAAATGTTTCCAAAATTTCATCTTACATTACAATTAATGATTTCAAACTGGTGAAATGCAGCCGGGTGCGGTGGCTCACGCCTGTAATCCCAACACTTTGGGAGGCCAAAGTGGGCAGATCACTTGAGGCCAGGAGTTCAAGACGAGCCTGGCCAACATTATGAAACCCCATCTCTACTAAAAATACAAAAATTAGCCAGGCATGGTGGCACATACCTCTAGTCCCAGCTGCTTGGGAGGCTGAGGCAGGAGAATCGCTTGAACCTGGGAGGCGGAGGTTGCAGTGAGCCGAGATCGCGCCACTGCACTCCAGCCTGGGTGACAAAGCGAGACTCCGTCTCAAAAAAAAAAAAAAAAGTTTATGTTAAAAAACAGTAATTTCTTCAGATGTACCTTTTCCATTCAGTTCTGATTCCATTATCTGTGTAACAGTGGGTTCTACAGCTGATGACTCCCAATTTTTTATCTCCAACCCAGGCCTTCTCCCTAAATCCAAATTCATATACACAAGTGCCTACTTGGCCCCTCCACATGGCTATCTAACAGTTTTGGTTATGGTTGGATATCTCAAAATTAACATATCCAAAACTGAGCTCCTATTCTACCAGTACCACCACCCCACCCAAACCTGTCCCTCCTGTAGACTTCTTTCTCTCAATAAATGGTAACTCCATCCTTCTAGTTCCCTGAGCCAAAAACTTTGGGACTCATAATTGTAGAATGGAACACCCACTTTGGAAAGGTGGCTGGCAGTTTCTCATAAAACGAAACATATATCTAACCCTATGACCCAACAATTCCTCTTCTAAAGATTTATCCAAAAGAAAACATAAGACCATAAAAATACTTCAATCAAAATAGTGGTTGCCTCTAGAGGGTGACAGCATGAACTGACTGTGAGGAGCATGAGGACACTTCTTGAGATAATATTCTATGTCTCAATACTGGTGTGGAATACACAGGTTGCGCATTTGTTAAAACCTAGTGGGCTGGGCATGGTGGCTCACACCCATAATCCTAACATTCAGGGACGCCAAGGCAGGAGGACTGCTTGAGCTCAGGAGTTTGAGACCCGCCTGGACAACACAGTGAGATCTCGTCTCTACATAAGAAAATAAAAATAAAAAAACTCAGTGAAAGTGCACTTGAGATTTTTACATTTCACTGCATGTAAATTTTGCCTCAACAAATACTGAATAATGATATGCAAGCTGAAGTATATTTGAGGGAAGTAAACAGACATCTGTAGTTTATTTTGAAATGCATCAGAAATAAGATGCATTGACATATATTTTTTATATACACACAAAATTTTTAATTACAAAATATTGCAGGGAAGGTGTCTCTCAAGCAAGTCCTCAGAATGTCACTTATAATAGCTGGTAATAGAGAGAAACCTCAATCACTGAAGGGAATTTAATTTTCATGACACAGGCAGATCTTCAAGAAAGCACTCCAATGATAAAGATCCCAGACTACAGTAATTAAAAGGAGTTTCTTATATCTCATTATGCCCTGGTAAATTCTAAATATAAAATCTGATGACACTTGCCTTCACAAGTTTATGATTACTATGCTTAATTCATCTTCCTAAGATACTTGTAAAGTATGCACTTAAGAGGGGGGAAAATCATGATCCTCCATCCCACCCTGACTTCATTTGGTATTAAACACCAGCATTGTGCAGAGGACATAAAAGTGCCTTATTTACCTCCATCCCTTCCCACATAAGCCATATGTAATTTTGCTGTTTTAAATTTGGCCAGTTTGATAGCTGTACAGGGATACGTTGTTACTCTAATTTGTATTTCTCTGATTACTAATAAATCTGAACATCTTATGTTTGTTGGTCATCTGGATATGCTCTTCTGGGAAATATTTATTCATGCATTCTCCTATTTTGTTATCTTGTCAACTTGTAAAAGTTTTTTGTATTTTATCACAGTCTGTCCTCAACATTGCAAATATTTCTTCTAAATCTATCTTTTACATACACACACATCTTTTATTTTATAGCTTCTGTTTTCCATTCTTGGTCAAAAGAGTATCCCTGCCCGACTCTCACACCCAGATTCCACATGAATTCTAGATTATATAGGTAATCACCTATACAAAACCACCTTGATATTCTTGAGAGATTTTTTTTAAAAACCTGAGTCTTTAGTCCATCTGGAATTAAAATAAATTCTACATTCATCTGGAAGTTTAATACACTCTATATAGGACAAGCTGAGTCCAATTTTATTGTTTCCAGGTAGAAGGCTAGTTATACCAACACCATTTATTAAGTAATCCAGGACTTCTACATAGTTGAAGACAATGGCAGCTGCATAGCTATCTGCCCAAAATTTAAGAAAAACAAGAAGGAAAAATTAAATTCTATACCAAACCACACCTGTAGCATAACTTGAAGATACAGAATGCCAAAATTGCAAATAATTGTAAATAAAAAAGAGAAAAAGTCAACCAATCCAGGGTACATGCTTTCACCTCCATCCAGCCATAAGGCTTTGTGGCAAGCAAAGGCAGACTAAGAAAAACTGCAGAAAAGACAGAGGAGAAAGGCTAGTGAAGGGGGCTAAAAATGATTTGGAGTGACTCCCAGAAAGATTAAATCCACACCGTATCTGAAAACACTGGAAAAGTATCTGGGCAGATCAGAGCACAGACTACAGGGAAGAGATTTTAAAGTACATTTAATTTAAAGCAGAAGGCACGGTTTAAGACAGCAGGTGCAATTTAAAAAGACAAGTGTTAAATAAGCATTTGTTGAAACGCAGAGGAAAGAAAAAGCAAAAAGGAAGAGAGAAGCATGCTTTAACAACTGAGTGGTGAAGGGTAAAAGAAGAAAAAGGGGAAATATTTAGTGTCCTGCAAGGCAAAATAGACCCATAAAATTGAAGACAGAACAACCCTTTCCTCAAGTAAAACAAACAAAATTTCTGCTATTGTATTTGGACTTTGCTATATTGACTGAAGAGAATGCAATTAAATTAAGAATATTATAAAATACTCGATACCACAAAAACGAACATGAGAAAACTCAAGTGCATACAGAGCTATTGCAGAAAACAAAACAAAATTAAATTTTACATTTATCAATTGAGGGAAATTCCCTGATGACGACAAAGCAAAGTGTAAGTTAACAATCCAAACAAAATTAAATAAACTGAAACATATGATGATATGAAAAATCCTGAATCAAAAATTCAAAAACTGAAAGCAGAAATAGACAAAAAGAAAGAAAAAGAAGAAAAGGAAAGGAAGAAAGAAAGGGAAAGAGGTAATTGAACTCAGGAAAGAAATATGAAGAAAAAGGCAAAATTATCTCAGCAATGAAGAATGAATTATAAAAGTGTTCAAGGAAGAGTAGACTCAATGACATAAAGAAAAATGAAAAGGGTGAGAGAAATAATTAGAAAAAGATAAGAAAAAAGAATAATATTCATATTATTGGATTACGTGAGGAAGAAAAATACAAAACAAACAAAAACAGAGCTGGTTTTATAGCTACAATGCAAGAAAACTTTCTAAAATAGAAAAAATATCTGAATCAATATACAAGGTACTTGAGAAAATTAACCCAGACAATCAACTCCAAGAAATAGCCTAGAAAAACTATTATATTTCAAAGACAAAGATAAAATCCTAAAGACCTCCAAGCAAAGAGATGAAATTACTTTAAAAAGCAAAAGAATTAGCCAGGCATTATTTTAAAACAAAATAGCACAGCCACAGCTTTTATAAAGCAAAAACTACAGGAGATGCAAGGAAACATAAATAGAAACACTAATAACGTGAGACATGAATATACCACTCTTAGTACAAGATGGATCAAGTGAACAAAAATAAGAAAACAGAAGATCTAAACAACAAAATAACTCACTTTTCCACTAACAGGATCTATTTCTGGATTCTCTATTCTGGTCCACTTGTCTATTCTTACAACAGTGACTTGATTACAATAGGCTTATAAATGTATAAATGTTCTGATGACTGGTAAGGCAAGTCCCAAAAGTTTAAGATGATATTATTCAGGCCAGGCACGGTGGCTCACGCCTGTAATCCCAGCACTTTTGGAGGTCGAGGTGGGAGGATCACGAGGTCAAGAGATGGAGACCATCCTTGCCAACATGGTGAAACCCCGTCTTTAATAAAAATACAAAAATTAGCCAGTAGTGGTGGTGCGCGCCTGTAGTCCCAGCTACTTGGGAGGCAGAGGCAGGAGAATCGCTCGAACCCGGGAGGTGGAGGTTGCAGTGAGCCGAGATCACAAGACTGCACTCCAGCCTGGCGACAGAGGGAGACTCCATCTCAAAAAAAAAAAAAAAAAAAAGATTATTTTATTCAATTATATGCCATCCCTTCCAACACACTATTGAGGTTCCAATCTGAATTGCATTAGATTTATGTACTTTCAGAAAATAGACATTTTTATGAAATTTGTTCATCCAAGGACAAAGTATGCATTTCTATTTGCTCCTATCCTATTTTAGATTTTCTTCATATAAATCCTGTGCTTTTCTGTTGATTCTTAAGTATTTTTGATTTTGTGATTACTATGAATGGAATTTCCTCATTTCCATTTCTGGTTAATTACTGCTGTCTAGTCATCTGGGTAAATCCATATATTTTCCAAAATTATACAAAGACAGAACAGGAAATGAATCAAAGAAACAGAGGCCATCTAACAACAGGAAATAAAGAAAGAAAACAAGCAAGTATTAAAAAGGTAAAACAGAAGGCCGGGCGCGGTGGCTCATACCTGTAATCCCAGTACTTTGGGAGGCCGAGGTGGGCGGATCACGAGGTCAGGAGATTGAGACCATCCTGGCTAACACGGTGAAACCCCATTTCTACTAAAAATACAAAAAAATTAGCTGGGCGTGGTGGTGGGCACCTGTAGTCCCAGCTACTCGGGAGGCTGAGGCAGGAGAATGGTGTGAACCCGGGAGGCGGAGGTTACGGTGAGCCAAGATCGTGCCACTGCACTCCAGCCTGGGCAACACAATGAGACTCCGTTTCAAAAAAAAAAAGGTAAAACAGAGACTAAAGGTTAGCTGTAAGACCGAGCACAGCTACTACATCAACATCTGTAAAATTCACCTATTAAAACCAAAAGATAAAGACTGATGTGAAATAATAATAACCTATATGCTAACTGAATAAAACATATATGAAAGTAGTTATGGCCCAAAATTTATAATCTCTGCTATAAATTAAATGTATATAACTATAAATCTAATAAGTAAATCATTTTTTAAATGTATATCCTAAGTGATGGATCTAAAACAAGTGATTTCAAAATGTTGAAGATAAAATGTAGGGTAATGATATAACAAACAAATGCAAACAGAAAAAGTATCATCTGTTAGGTAATAAATGGGACAAAAAGGGTTACTTGGTAATGATGAACAGTATAATCACTAATAAAACTGTCACAAACAGTTTTATTTTACTACAAGCAGAGTTATAAAACAATGAAGCGGAAACCACAGAGAATATAGGAAGAATGGCAACCACAGTAATAGAGACTTAAATACAGCCATACCTCATTTATTGCACTTGACTTTACTGTGCTGTACAGATACTGCATCTTTTTTACAAATTGAAGGTTTATGACAACCCTCATTTGAGCAAGTGTATTGGTGCCATTTTTCCAAAAGTACGTGTTCACTTCATGTATCTGTGTCACATTTTGGTAATTCTTACAATATTTCAAACTTTTCATTATTATTATAACTGTTATGGTAACCTGTAATCAGCAAGCTTTGATTGTTATTATTGTAATTGTTTGGGGGTGCCACAAAGCACACCCATATAAGATGGCAAACTTAATCGATAAATGGTACGTGTTTTGACTGCTCTACCAACCAACCATTCCCCAGTCTCCCTACCCTTGGGACTCCCTATTGCCTAAGACACAACAATATTGAAATTAGGCCAACTAATAACCCTACAATTGCCTCTAAGTGTTCAAGACAAAGGAAGACACCATGTCCCTCACTTTAAATCAAAAGCCAGAAATGATTAAGTTTAGTGAGGAAGGCAGGCCAAAAGCTAAGCCTCTTGCGCCAGTTAGCCAAGTTGCAATACAAAGGGAAAGTTCTTAAAGAAACCAAGAAAGCCACTCCAATGAATACATAAATGATAAAGAAGTGAAATCGCCTTTTTCCTGATATGGGGAAAGTCTGAGTGGTCTGGATAGAATATCAAACCAGTCACAATATTCCCTTAAACCAAAGCCTAAGCCAGACCAAGGCCCTCTCTTCAATTCTATGAAGGCTGAGAGAGGTAAGGAAAATGCAGAAGAGTTTGAAGCTAGCAGAGGTTCACTCATGAGGCTTAAGGAAAGAACCTGTCTCCACAACATAAAAGTGCAAGGTGAAGCAGCAAGTGCTGATGTAGAAGCTGCACAAAGTTATCCAGAATATCTACCTAAGGTAACTGATGAAAGTAGTTATATTAAACAACAGATTTTCAATGTGGACAAAACAGCCTTCTATTGGAAGATGCCATCTAGGACTTTCATAGCTAGAAATAATTCAATACCTGCCTTCAAAGGACAGGTTGAGTCTCTTGCTAAGGGCTAACGAAGCTGGTGGACTTAAAGTTGAAGCCAATGCTCTTTTACATTCTGAAAAACCTAGGGCACCTAAGAATTATTATAAACCTACTCTCCCTGTGCTCTACTAATCCAACAACGAAGCCTGGATGACAGCACATCTGTTTACTACACAGTTTACTAAATATTTTAAGCCCACTGTTAAGACCTACAGCTCAGAAAAAAGCTTCCTTTCAAAACATTACTGTTCACTGACAACGCACCTAGTCACTCAAGAGCTCTACTGGAGATGTACAAGGAGATTCATGTTGTGTTCATGCCTACTAAACACAACATCCATTCTGCAGCACATGGATAAAGAAGTCATTTCTACTTTCAAGTCTTAGTATTTAAGAAATACATTTTGTAAGGCTATAGCTGCCACAGATAGTGATTCCTCTGAGATCTGGGTAAAGTCAATAGAAAATGTTCTGGAAAGGATTCACCATTGTAGATGCCATTAAGAGCATCCATGGTTCATGGGGAAAAGGCCAAAGTATCAATATTAACAAGAGTTTGGAAGAAGTTGATTCTAACCCCTACGGATGACTTTGAGAGGTTCAAGACTTCAGTGGAGGAAGTAACTGCAGACGTGGTGGAAATAGCAAGAGAAGTAGAATTAGAAGTGGAGCCCGAAGATGTGACTGAATGCAGCAATCTCATGATAAAATTTTAACGGATGAGGAGTTGCTTCTTATGGATGAGCAAAGAAAGTAGTTTATTGAAATGAAAGATATTCCTGGTGAAGATGCTGTGAATATTACTGAAATGACAACAAAGGATTAGAATATTACATAAATTTAATTGATAATGCAGTAGCAGAGTTAGAGAGGACTGACTCCTTTTGAATTTTGAAAGAAGTTCTACTGTGGGTAAAATGCTATCAAACAACATTGCATGCTACAGAGAAATCATTCATGAAAGGAGGAGCCAATCAATGCAGCAAACTTCACTGTTGTCTTGTTTTAATAAATTGCCAAAGTAATCCCAACCTTTCAGCAACCCCCATCCCGATCAGTCAGCAGCCATTAACATCAAGGCAAGACCCTCCATGAGCAAAAAGATTACAACTCTTTGAAGGATCAGAGGACTCTCAGCATTTTTTAGCAAAAAAAAAAGTATTTTTTAATTAAGGTACATACATTGCTTTTCTAGACATAATGCTATTATACACTTAACAGACTACAGTATACGGTACACATAACCTTTATATACACTGAGAAACCAAAAAAACTGTGTGACTTGCTTTACTATGACATTGGCTTTATTGTGATTTATTTGCTTTACTGTACTTTTCGCTTTATTGCAGTGGTCTGGAACCAAACCACAGTATCTCTAAGGTATATGCCAGTACTTGACAAATAAGGCAAAGTACAACAGTATATAAACCACCAGTCCTTAAATCTATTGGTAGACCATGAATTCCTTTGAGAATCTGATAAAAGCAGTAGACCGTGACTCCCCAAAGAATAAAACTCATGATCGGGCCGGGTGCAGTGGCTCACACCTGTAATCCCAACACTTTGGGAGGCTGAAGCGGGCAGATCTCGAGGTCAGGAGATCAAGACCATCCTGGCCAACATGGTGAAACCCCGTCTCTAATAAAAATACAAAAATTAGCTGGGCATGGTAGTGGGCGCCTGTAATCCCAGCTACTCGGGAGGCTGAGCCAGGAGAATGGCTTGAACCCGGGAGGCAGAGGTTACAGTGAGCCAAGATTATGCCACTGCACTCCAGCCTGGTGACACAGGAAGACTCTATCTCAAAAAAAAAAAAAAAGAATAAAACTCATGCTCATACTCATAAAAATGAGCAAATTTCCAAAGGTTTCATGGATGTCCTGAAGTCATCTATGTAATCCAAGATGATAAATCTAATCTAAAATATTATCCATATCCTAAAATATGTTCTTTTTAAGTACCAGTGGAAAATATTTTCAAATTGACTATTATCTAACAAATAATTCAAAAATATACACATAATTATAGACCACAGTTCTAGCCAGAAAGTAGTGAAACCAAAAAGAATTCACAAAACAACTAAAATGGAGCAATCTCCAAGATACACTGTTAAAAAAGAAAAATATGTAAAGTATTTGTGTATACTGTAATAGTTCATATACAGTAACATAACTATATTAAAAAGGGTTTAATAATAAATGCTGAAAACATTTTTTTAAAACCTAGGAACACTAGTTGCCTCTGGGAGAAGGAGAATTGGGTTACTGGGAGCTGGGGTAGGAAAGATATTTGCTCTTCACTGCATAAATTTGAATTTCTTATATATGCATGTATTATCATGCAAATTTTTTTTTTTTTCCTTTTTGAGACAGAGTCTCACTCTGTCACCCAGGCTGGAGTGCAGTGGCGCAATCTCGGCTCACTGCAACCTCCGCCTCCCAGGTTCAAGCGACTCTCCTGCCTCAGCCTCCCAAGTAACTGGGACTATAGGTGGCTGCCACCGCATCCAGCTAATTTTTTTTGTATTTTCAGTACAGTTGGGGTTTCACTGTGTTGGCCAGGATGGGCTCGCTTTCCTGACCTCAGGTGATCAGCCCACCTCGGCCTCCCAAAGTGCTGGGATTACAGGCGTGAGCCTCTGCCCCTGGCCTATCAGTGCAAATTTTCAAAAAGCATTTTTAAAGAAATCCAAAACAAGGCAAAACCTAAATTTTTGGAAACTAAGTTTCTCAGACAAAGAGAGGAAGGGGAAAGGAGTTACAAATTATCTAGAAAGTTATATAAAAGAAACATATATCAAAATCAAGGGAATGTAGTCAAAGTTGACTCAAATAAATATATAAAGACTCAAATGCTCCATTTCTAAGTAAGAATTAACTGAAAGCCAGGTGTGGTGGCTCACTCCTATAATCCCAACATTTTAAGAGGCCAAGGTGGGAGGAAGCTTTAGGCCAGGAGTTCAAGACCAGCCTGAGCAACATAGCAAGACATTACCTTGACAAAATGTTTAAAAATTATCTGGGCATGGTGGTACACGACTGTGGTCCCAGCAACTTAGGCTTGGGTGGGAGGATCGCTTGAGCTCAGAAGTTCAAAGCTGTGAGCTATAAGTGCACCACTGCACTCCAGCCTGGGCAATAAGGTGAGACAAAGTCTCTTAAAAAAATTAAATATATTAATAATTCAATTCAAAATTAGAAAAACAAAATAAACTTTAAGAATATTAGGCTGGGCACGCTGGCTAACACCTGTAATCCCAAGGCTTTGGGAGGCCAAGGTGGGCGGATCACTTGAGCTCAGGAGTTCAAGACCAGCCTGCACAACATGGAGAAACCCCATCTCTACAAAAAATACAAAAAATTAGCCAGGAATGGTGGCGCATGATGTGGTCCCAGCTACTCAGCAGGATGAGGTGGGATGATCCCTTGCGCTCAGGAGGTCAAGGCTGCAGTGAGTCAAGATCATGCTACTACACTGCAGCCTGGTCAACAGAGACCCTGTCTCTAAATAAAGAAGGAAAGAAGGAAGGAAAAGGGGAAGGGGAAGGGAAGGGAAATTGGTAAATGAGAAAAATTCAAAAACAACAGGATTGATATCTCAGAGAGATTATTCTTCTTTTTCTTTTTTAGAGACAGAGGTCTCACCGTGTTGTCCAGGCTGGTCTCAAACTCCTGGACTCAGGCAATCTTCCCACTTGGGCCTCCCAAAGTGCTGGGATTACAGGTGTGAGCCACCATGCCCAACCCAAGAGATAATTCTTTAGTGGAAAAAAATGAAAACAATCAGCTAACAAAATTAAGAAAAAAAAGACAAAACATAAGGTACTCAATATTATAAATAAGAATGGAAAGACAAGCTAGATGCACTGCAGTGTGCCTGTAGTCCCAGCTACTTAGCAGGTTAAAGTGGGAGGACTGCTGGAGGCCAGGAGTTCGAGGCTGTAGTATGCTATGATTGTGCCTGAGAATAGCCACTACACGCCAGGCTAGACAACACAGCAAGATCATGTTTCTATTAAAAAAAAAAAAAAAAAAGAAGAAGAAGAAGAATCGAAAGACAGCTGTGAAGAGCAGTTTGCTGGTGGTATCTCAAAAAGTTAAAAACAGAGTTTCCTTATGGCCCAACAATTCGACTCCTAGATCTATACCCAAGTGAACTGAAAACACATGTTCATATGAAAACTTGTACACAAACATTCACTGGAGCATTACTCGTAATAGCCAAAAAGTGGAAACAACACAAATGACCATCAAGATATGAATGAATAAACAAAATGTCATATTATCTACACAGTGGAATATTATTCAGCCATAAATAGGAATGAAATACTGATACATGCTATAATTTGAGCCTTGTAAACATTCTGCCAATTGAAAGATGCCAGATATAAAAGGCTATATAATGTATGATTCTATTTATAAGAAATGTACAGTACAGGATGGCCAAATGCTTAGAGATAGAAAGTAGATTAGTAGTTGCCAGAGGCTGGAGAGGAAGGGAAAATGGAGAAACTGGTAAGATTTTACTTTGGAATTATGAAAATGTTTTGGAACTAGAGACGGTAGTTGCACAATACTGTGAAAGTACTAAATGCCACTAAATCGCTCACTTTAAGATGGTTAATTGTACGTGATGTGAACTTCAACTCAATAAATTATTATTTTTTTTTTTTTTATTTTTTGAGACGGAGTTTCACTCTTGTTGCCCAGTCGGTAGTGCAATGGCATGGTCTCACCATGCCCAGCTAATTTTTGCATTTTTAGTAGAGATGGAGTTTCACCATGTTGGCCAGGCTGGTCTTGAAGTCCTGACCTCAAGTGATCTGCCTGCCTCAGCCTCACAAAGTGCTGGGATTACAGGCATGAGCCACCATCCCCAGTCTCAATAAATTATTATTATCATATTATTATTTTTGAGATGGAGTCTCACTCCGTCACCAAGGATGGAGTGCAGTGGTGCAATCTCCGTTCACTGCAACCTCCGCCTCCAGGATTCAAGCAATTCTCCTGCCTCAGCCTCCCGAGTAGGTGGGACTACAGGCATGCACCACCACACCCAGCTAATTTTTGTATTTTTAGTAGAGGCAGGGTTTCACAATGTTGGCTAGGCTGGTCTCAAACGCCTGACCTCAGGTGATCCACCTGCCTCAGCCTCCCAAAGTGCTGGAATTTCAGGCATGAGCCGCCACGGCTGACCAATAAATTATTTAAATTAAAAAAATATATCTGGCAGATAATGCTTCCCCAAAATGAACTGAGGGTATGTTACTGAAAGAAGAGAGAACCAATGGTGGGCAACAAATACTCAAAAAAAGTTCGCTACATCAAGAATGACTTTGATGGGTCAAACTATTATAGAGCCAGACTCGGTGGCACACATCTACAGTCCTAGCTACTTGGGAGGCTAAGGCAGGAGGATCACTTGAGGCCAGGATTTCAAGGCTGTAGTGCACTATGATCACTCCTGGATAATACAGCAAGACTCCATCTCTTTTTAAAAAACTTACTAACCTGGACAATATGGCAAAACCCCGACTCTACAAATAATACAAAAAATTAACCGGGCGTGGTGGTGTATGCCTGTGGTCCCAGCTGGGGAGGCATACTGGGGAGGCCGCCTGAGTCCAGAAGGTCAAGGCTGCAGTGAGCCAAGATTGTGCCACTGTACTCCAGTCTTGGCGACAGGGTGAGACCCTGTCTCAAAAAAAAAAAAAAAAAAAAAAGACAAAACAAAACAAAAAACCTTACAAGCCAGTTTCATCAAATTGAACTCAAAGGAAAGAAAGTTCAAGTGCATTTAAAGAATAGGAAGTAGATCAGAATAGCTACAATACATAAAGACATTTGTATAAAATTGTAGGAAAATGAAAAGCAGTACAGAATGTGAAAAAGACAGTTAACAAACAAATGAATTTGGGTTTCTATTCTATAATCCAGTACAAGTCAGACTGATGATTTGGGGAACAAAAGTGTTATCTGCACCTAACACAGCATCTGATACCTATATGCCCTCAATGAAGGATGCATTTCAAAAAAACCAATTTAACAGTTATTTACTGTAAATTGGAGAATTGGGATAATATAGTTGGGATACTACCGAAATAAATCAGTAATGAGATTTAAAGAAACTATAATCACAACAAAATAAAGCCCTGATTGTTTTAAGGAAGAATTCTATCATGACTTCAACAGACAATTCCTAAGCTACTTTAAATGTTTTAGGGCATAGAGCAAAGAGTCTCAGTTCTTTTTAAGCAGTCAATAAAGTAACAATAGCAAAACTTAATGAAGCACAAAAAGTACAGCTGTAATACTACCACAGTTGTGGATTTCATAATCTATAATTAATAAAAATCTGCAATTAAAAATATTAGCAGCTGGGCACAGTGGCTCATGCCTGCAATCCCAGCACTTTGGGAGGCTGAGGCAGGTGGATCACCTGAGGTCAGGAGTTCGAGACCGGCCTGACCAACGTGGTGAAGCCCCGTCTCTACTAAAAATACAAAAATTAGCTGGGCGTGGTGGCAAGTGCCTGCAATCCCAGCTACTTGGAGGCTGGGGCAGGAGATCGCGCCATTGCACTCCAGCCTGGGTAACAGAGCAAGACTCCGTCTCAAAAAAAAAAAAAAAAAAATTTAGCAATGAAAATGAGAAAGTACATTAATAGGAGTTCATTCCAGGAATATAATGATGGCTCAACATAGGCAAATCTATTAACATTAACCAATTTCATGTTATGTTGAGATGTTAAAAGTAAACTTGATAAAATGCAAAATCCATTCCTAATAAAAAATCTACTAATAAAGCAGGAATAAAAGGTTTTTTTTTTTTTTTTTTTTTTTTTTTTTTGAGACGGAGTCTCGCTCTGTCGCCCAGGCTGGAGTGCAGTGGTGCAATCTCGGCTCACTGCAAGCTCCGCCTCCCGGGTTCACGCCATTCTCCTGCCTCAGCCTCCCAAGTAGCTGGGACTACAGGCGCCCGCCACTACGCCCGGCTAATTTTTTGTATTTTTAGTAGAGACGGGGTTTCACCGTTTTAGCCGGGATGGTCTCGATCTCCTGACCTCGTGATCCGCCCGCCTCGGCCTCCCAAAGTGCTGGGATTACAGGCGTGAGCCACCGCGCCCGGCCAAAAGGTTTTTTTAAATGATTTAAAATTATATATCACAAAACAAAACCATTAGCAGTATTGACTCTAGAGTCAAGTAGAATATAAGAGTGCCCACTTGTCACCACTATTATCAATAATGAAACTGAGGTCCGGCATGGTGGCTTACGCCTGTGATCCCCGCACTTCGGAAAGCCGAGGCAGGCAGATCACCCAAGGTCAGGAGTTCGAGACCAGCCTGGCCAACATGGTGAAACCCCATCTCGACTAAAAATACAAAAATTAGCTAGGCGTTGTGGCGGGCACCTGTAATCCCAGGTATTTGGAAGGCTGAGGCAGGAGAATCACCTGAACCCGGGAGGTGGAAGTTGCAGTGAGCCGAGATGATGCCACCCAGGTCTCTCCAGCCTGGGCGACCAAGCGAGCCCTGTCTCAAAATAAATAAATAAATAAATAAATAAATAAATAAATGTATTATATATTCTAGACATTTTTATTATTTACATGATACTGAATACCTCAAAAACCCATCAGAAGAATCCAGCTAAATACTAGAAAGAAGATGAAGATCACACAAACAATATTAGAGGAATCAAACTATGTAAGTTAAAAGGAAAACCCCAAAAAGTCTGTCAGAACAGCTAGGTTTGAATCTAGGCTATACCATTTACTAGCTGACTGGGGCAAGTTGCTTAATTTCCCCATGGCTCAATTTCCTTATCTGTAATATAATGGATAATAAAAGAACCTCTATCATTGCCATGAGGGCTACATGATATAACACATATAAAGTTCTTGGACTCATCTCCTGGAACTCAGTACATACTCAATAAACGTAAGCTGCTATTATGATCATTATCATTTTATTATTGCTATCTCTACCACCAATATTGGTTGTAGAAATGGAGATGTATGTAAAAGTACTTTTTAGGCTAGGCGCGGTGGCTCATGCCTGTAATCCCAGCACTTTAGGAGGCCGAGGCGGGCGGATCACGAGGTCAGGAGATCGAGACCAACCTGGCTAACACAGTGAAACCCCGTCTCTACCAAAATACAAAAAATTAGCCGGGGGTAGTGGCGGGCGCCTTGTAGTCCCAGCTACTTGGGAAGCTGAGGCAGGAGAATGGCATGAACCAGGGAGGCGGAGCTTGCAGTGAGCCGAGATCGCACCACTGCACTCCAGCCTGGGCGACACAGCAAGACTCCGTCTCAAAAAAAAATTTTTTTTTTAAAAAGTACTTTTTAAATACTAGAATAATAGACACCCAAACTCAGGATAGTGATTGCCCAGGGGGTTGGTGGGTATCAAACAGGACATCAACTTTGTGTGTTATGTTTCCCTTTCTTTAAGTTTAAAAATGACTGCATAAACACTTGTTAAATGCTGGCAGAAGAAACACAGTAGGGTTTTCTTTTTTTTTTTTTTAATTCTCTGTACTTCTCTTCAGTCTTAAATTTTTCTCAAGGAAAGGAAAAACAAAAAAAGTTTGTATGACCATATTGTTTTCAATTGTAATATAATCAAAAGTTATAATCCCTATCCTATTATTCTTTTAATTTGGGTATATAAAAACTGAAAGATATCTTTATAGAAGGCTTGTTTTTACGAACATCATTTTAACAACAAAAAATCCTAAAAAAGTTTTTCAAAGGGTTGACTGTATCTATCACGCTTCTAACTAAAACACAGAAAGTTTGGAAAATAAATAATAAAGTAGGTTTAATGGGTTTGTCCTTTCCTCGGACATACAGAAATTTGCAGTTTGGGGATAAATACCTGAGAGATGACATATCTATCAACCTTCTCCCCCAGACACTCTGAGATAGTTTTACTTAATAACTTCTCATTGTGTGTATGTACAGATTATTGGAATATTTGCATTGTTGCTGGTTGAGCATCTCTGATCTGAAAATCCAAAATCTGAAATGTTCCAATGAGCATCTCCTTGGTATATTATGCTGGGACTCAAAAATTTTCAGATTTATATGTATATATGTACGTATACATATATTACAAATACGAGCTCTGTGTATATTCTGAAGATGCCTTGTACAAACAGAAAGATGAATCATCAATGCAGCAAGATTTGCCAAACATAAGGGATGATCTTTTTCAAAACAAGATCAGCAGAGGGAAGTTCAAAGAACAAAATAGAACATCCAACTAGTAACATTTCCAATAAAACTTTTAGTTACTGGATAAATTCTGCCTAGTTCTTTCTTTAACACATTATGTTGTGGCAAATGAAAGTAAAAAACAATTCTTCGAGGGAGTTCAAATTGCAAATCCAGGTTCCTTCAGTTCTAAAACACTTAAAATCAATTCGATGTCTAAATGTTTTAAGCTGTAAGCCCATTCACACCAACTATAATCAGCAGTCCCTCTCTCAATGTGAAAATTTAGAATGAATTTTTTCCTTACTAAGAATAAAGAAGTTGATATTTCTTCAAATATTTTATAAAAGCAAGTTTTCAAACCATTTATTTCAAAGCTAAATAATTATCTGTTGGCAGTAACATCTCCTATATTGATGCCCCACACAACTGTTCAAAAACAAAATCACTGATTTAATCAACTGCTTTCCAGTGTAATTCTTGTTATCAGCAACTGTCTGAGTTGGGGGCAAAGTGTAATAATTGATAACTGATTTAATTTTTCATTTTTCCAAAAATTCCAATAAAGTACATAGTAGGTTCACTGATTGATAGCTTTATATTCAATTGACCAATATTCTCCAACCTTAATGTCTTAAACCAGTTTCTAATCTCCTACCTTAGCTACAAAGAGACCAGTGCAATTCAATAAATATTAGATGGTATCAGGAAATTAAAGTTCTAATACCCAAGAAATGATCTTGGGCAAGAACACATACCCTCTTCTCCAGGCCTCATCTAAAAAATAAGGGATTTGAATAAAATAATCTCCGAAGTCCTTTCCACTTCTAAAATAATATGAAAATGAAACCCAAATGTTCAACACACAAAATTGGTTCTTACTACATTCTATCCACCTCTGGAAGGAATACAAAAAGAATATAAATAACTTCTAGTGCAGAAGATATTACTGACTTTTCAAAACCCTTTCCAGATACAACCCTATCAGCAAAGCAGAATGAACGTGTGCTTCCAGGAGTTTGGAGTATCCCCAACTAATTCCCTTTTAAGCAAGAAATTACTTTAAACTCCTACAATTTTGGCATTTTTCTTCATAATATATGGTGTGGTTTTAATGTAAAATAATATTTAGTATTACCTTCTTGGATGATATAGAACGAAAGAACTCAGTTTCTTCCTATTAGACTCTCACAACACAGAACACTTCTGTGACCAAATGTGTGGGAGATTTTCTCCACACGCCAAGCAAGCAATCTTGCAGCAGACGCTAGCTGGGTGTCTTCTAAGTCAATTCAGTTATGACACTACTTACCAGGAGACAGCAACAGATCTCACAGGTTGAGGGCTCAGTCCTAGAAAACTGTCTCCCACTTCTGATTCCAATCGCAAGCCCCAGGTTGTTTTATCTGTGCTTCTGACCAACTAGCTATAAAGCAGGGTTCCCACACCGCACTCCTGGGGTTTGATTACTTTCTAGAGCAGTTCACAGAACTCAGGGAAACACTTATACTTACATTTATGGGTTTATAATAAAGGCTATTACAAAGGGTATCAATGAACACCAGATGAAGAGGATAGGGCAGGATATGGGGCAAGGGGCCCAGGGCTTTCACGCCCTCTCTGGGGATGCCACCCTCCAGGAACTGCCAGAGGCGTCTGAACCAGAGCAACTCCATCTTGAGTAGGGACTGTGTAAAATAAGGCTGAGACCTACCAGGCTGAATTCCCAGGAGGTTAGGCATTCTAAATCACAGGATGAGACAGGAGGTCGGCACAAGACACAGGTCGTAAAGACCACGCTGATAAAACTGGTTGCAGTAAAGAAGCTGGCCCAAACCCACCAAAACCAAGATGGCCACGAAAGTGGCCTCTGGTAGTCCATACTGCTCATTATACACTAATTATAATGCATTAGTATGCTAAAACACACTCCCAACAGTGCCATGATAGTTTACAAATGCCCTAGCAATGTCAGAAAGTTACCCTATATGGTCTAAAAGGGGGAGGAACCCTCAGTTTCGGGAATTGCCCACCCCTCTCCCAGAAAACTCATGAATAATTCACCCCTTGTTTAGTATATAATCAAGAAATAACTATAACTATCCTTAGTGGAGCAGCCCTTGCTGCTGCTCTGCCTATGGAGCAGACATTCTTTATTCCTTTACTTTCTTAATAAACTCACTTTCACTTTACTCTGTGGACTCGCCCTGAATTCTTTCTTGCGCAAGATCCAAGAACCCTCTCTTGGGGTCTGGATAGGGACCCCTTTCCAGTACAGAACCTCTATGGGTTCAGCTATCTGGAAGTTCCCTGTGTTAGAGATGTGTGAACCAAAGCAACTCCACCTTGAGTAGGAGCTGGGTAAAATGAGGCTGAGACCTACTGGGCTGCATTCCCAGACGGTTAAGGCATTCTAAGCCACAGGATGAGATAGGAGGTCAGCACAAAATACAGGTCATAAAGACCTTCTAATAAAACAGGTTACAGTAAAGGAGCTGGCTAAAACTCACCAAAACTGCGATGGCCATGAGAGTGACCTCTGGTTGTCCTCACTGCTACACTCCCATCAGCGCCATGACAGTTTACAAATCCCATGGCACTGTCAGGAAGTCACCCTATATGGTCTAAAAAGGGGAGGCATGAATAATCCACCCCTTGTTTAGCATATCATCAACATATAACCATAAAAATGAGCAACCAGCAGCCCTTGGGGCTGTTCTGTCTATGGAGTAGCCATTCTTTCATTCCTTTACTTTCTTAATAAACTTGCTTTCACTTTACTCTATAGACTCGCCCTGAATTCTTTCTTGCGTGAGATCCAAGAACCCTCTCCTGGGGTCTGGATCAGAACCCCTTTCCTGTAACACCTGAACCCAGTCTTTTTGTGGTTCTATGGAAGCTTCATTACTAGCTATTACTGGTTGAATCACTGAGTGATCAACTCAATCTTTGGCCCTTCTTTCCTCCCCTTCCCAGAGGTTGGGGATGGGGCTGAAAGTACTAACCCTCTAATCATGGCTCAGTCTTTCCAGTGACCAGCCCCAATCCTGAAGCTAACCAGAGGTGACCAGGCATCAGCAAATTCATTAGCACACAAAAAGACACAGATCACTTTGGAGATTCCAAAGATTTTAGGAGTTATATTCCAGGAGACATGAGGAAGACCAAATATATATTTTACAATATCTCACCTACCACCCATTACAACTGGGACTCTAGCAGGAGATGCCACTCTTTCATCTTAGAACAGCTAAGATCCCTACTTTCCCACTCCCCATACCCAGCAGTTTAAGAAAAACACGTAAAGGGTTCAGTGGCTCACACCTAAAATCCCAGCACTTTGGGAGGCCGAGGTGGGCGGATCACCTGAGGTCAGGAGTTCAAGTCCATCCTAGCCAAAATGGCAAAATTCTATCTCTACTAAAAATACAAAAATTAGCCAGGCGTGGTGGTGTGTACCTGTAGTCCCAGCTACTCAGGCTGCTGAGGCAGGAGAATTGTTTGAACCTGGGAGGCGGGGGTTGCAGTTAGCCAAGATTGTGCCACTGCATTCCAGCCCGGGCAACAGAGCAAGACTCTGTCTCAAAAAAAAAAAAAAAAAAAAAAGTAAAGGAATAATCATCCTTTTTCCTACTTGAACATTTAAATGACATACAAATTATATCATTTTTAAATGTATCAATACAGTTTTAAAGCACAAGTTTCTGCTTTAAAGATCTTAAAATTCTGAGGAAGGAAAAACTGGGTCAATTGTCTTAGTTACTAAAGCTTGCCTTTTTCAATGGTTTTATTAAAATATTCTGCTTGCATTTATCATTTTGGAAAAAGAAGTTCAAAGTAGATAAAGAGTAGTGATAATTTTAAAATAAAATAACCAATAAAAACAGATTTCAGAAATGTGTATGAGAGATGTTGATAGCACCTAAGATTGCAGAAGTAGAGATAAAATTGAGAGGAAAAAATATCAGTTTAATATAAGAAAATTAACATTTAATTGGAATTTTAAGTGGCTTGATTTTATTTTCAATCAAATAGAAAAGCTCTGATACAAAAGGTTCCTATTTTGAATTACTCTGAAGATATTTCATGTTTGCCCATTTGAACCAGCAGTATGTTTGAAATGCTTGTTCCCTGGTGCCACAAAGAAATAGCACTTGAACATAAATTTAATTTACTCAGCAAGGCCATTTTTATACTTTCTGCAGAAAGGGTATACTCGCCAGCAGTTCTGCCACGAGAGTACACCGAACAAAAGAGACAGGGTCATTTATAATCTCACGCGTCCACCCTACTGCTGTGTCCAGTTTCCACTGGCTGGAACGGGACCTGACATTCTGTATTTGTCCCGACTGGCTAGCAACTCAGAACTTTTTAAAAGAGGCAAAGGCAGAGGAGAATCAAGGAAGCAGGAAGTTAACTTGTGGAATGCTGAGAAAGGTAAAAATACCTTTAAATAAGGAAGAGGAACAGGCTACGACCTAATGCTTGCTTGAACCAGTATAAGCATGCCAGGGCAAATATTTAGGCTAAATTGTGGGAGCTAAGAACATAAAGTACATTGATTTCTTTATCACAGCTAGCAGATTTTTAAGAATGTTAGCACAGGTCTTTAAATAAATTTTGCTTCTAAGAGAAGTTACTATTTATTCCTAGTTAAATAGGGAGGAAAATCTTTGAAGAGGAACCTTTATTTTTTACAAGTAGAATAAATTAATTATATTTTTTAAACTAAATTTAGTCCACTACTAAAGGGTATCATCCCTTAAGTCCATATGCCAACATATTTTCCAACAGTTACATCTTCTGCAACTTTTAATAAGTTTCTATTTCATTTAATATGTGGATAAGGGTACTACTGAAATGTGACTAAATTCAGTAGTTTCTAATGTAAATTCTAAATTAAAACTTAAACTCACAAAACTGAAACCATCTTTGCAAAATTATGACAGTAAGAGAAATTTGACACAGTTAAGTCCATTTCGCTTCTAACCTCCATCATCGATCATTCCGGGGTGTAGACTGTAAACCAAAAATAGCTGAGTTAGGTCTCAATCAATTTAGAAAGTTTATTTTGCCAAGGTTAAGGACATGCCTGTGATACAGACTCAGGAGGTCCTGATGACATGTACCCAAGGTGGTCAGGGACAGCTTGATTTTATACATTTTAGGGAGACATGGGATATCAATCAATACTTGTAAAATGTCCATTGATTCAGTCCAGAAAGGCTGGACAACTTGAAGCAGAAGCTTTCAGGTCATAGATACATTGAAAGGTTTTCAGATTGGCAATTGGTTGAAAGAATTATTATCTAAAGAAAGAAATGTCTGTGTTACAATAAAGGGTTATGGAGACCAAGGTTTTATCATGCAGATGAGGCCTCCAGGTAACAGGCTTCAGAGAACAGATTGTAAATGTTTCTTATCAGACTTAAAGAGTCTTGTTCTATCAGTAATTCCAAAAGAGAGGAGGGTATTATGAGGCATATCTGGCTCCCCCTTTCCATCATGGCCGGAACTAGTTTATCAGGTTAACTTTGGAATGCTTGCTGAGAGGAGGGGGCCATTCAGATGGTTAGAGAGCTTAGAATTTTATTTTTAGTTTACAAGACCAAGCTGATTTTCAGAGAAATTTATAGTTTGACCTTAAAGCAAGGATGATAATAACCTTTCCCAAAACTAAACCACCTTCATAAAACTAATGAAAGGCCACAAGGTTAGGATTATGAGAGGGGCCTGAATTCTGCTAAGGTGTAGGCATAGTTTCTATCATCCCTTACTGCTCAGGAGTCATATGGCTAGAGGTCACAAGACAAGTATAGCTTCTTCTATCATTCCTTACTGTTCAGGAGTCATGTGGCCAAGGGTCACAATATTTGTCACTTCCTCAATTACTCTTATAGAGAAAATCATTATAATAGAATCTAAGATTGGTTTTTTTGTGTTATCTTTCAGAATGACCCCACCTGGACTCCTGCCTCAAGACTTAACATCCTGTGGCCCTATGCAGAGGCAGACTCATCACACCAGGACTGTTTTTCACACTCCAATCATTTTTTTTTCCCTGACCAATCAACATTCCCCATTCCCTAGTCCCCCACCCATCAAACTATCCTTGAAAACCCTAAACTCCAAGCCTTTGGGGAAATACATCAATTTGAATAATAACTCTGTCTCATGCATGGCATGGCCAGCCTCCTGTCAATTAAACTCTTCCTTTACTGCAATGTAGTGGTCTCTGTTAATTGATTTTGTCTGCGCAGCAGGCAGGGAAAACCTGTCAGGAGATTACAAAATGTTTACTGTATACCTATGAGATTTCAGAACTTCAACTGAATTATCACAAAAATCCGTAAGATAGTTATTAATAACATAAAACAATTTTCAAAAAATTAAACAGTACAACAAGATTACATGCAAGGTGAATGGCAGAGTCAGGATGTGAATATAAGTCCCCAGATTCTGAAGTCCAGTGCTATTTTCACTGCCCCATAATATCACTCCCTGGAAAAATTAACTCTAAATGTTGAGTGGATGTGAATGAGAATCAAGTGTTAGAACTTGTCAAAACACACATGTCCAAGTCCCCAGCCCCACCCAACCTCACTAAAGCACTTATTTTAGAGAAGTGTGACACTACCACCTGCTACTTCTCCCTTCAACCCCAGAATCAGTGCTTTAGGATAAAATTTAACTGAAAATTCTCTCCTTGCTGTAGCTTCCTTATTCAGCTCCCTGATAGCAGGTTCTCCCCAGTTCTAGTGTATCCTCCATCTTTCTACAAACCAAAATCTGATGTTACTCCCTTAGTGAAAACCCCAAATGACTACTCAGTGCTTAACCAGTTAAAGACTAATTACTTTTAACCAACAACTGCCTCTTTACAATCAGGAATTAAAGTGTTTTCCAGGTAATTTTCTTCTACCCTCTCCCACCTACGTAACAGACACTTAAGAAAATCTTACAAGTTCTTAAAACCACCAAGTCATTCCAAGCCTTCAAACCACTGCTTCTATCCTCTTCTCCTTCACTTACTAAAGTCCTTCCTCTTCATATCTTCAAACTTTACAAAAAAAAAAAAAAAACCTTACAGGGCTTTTCAGAACTTGAAAACTAGTGCTTTCTAATTCTCTAACAGGATACCTCTCACTTTGACCTACAATTATTTAGGATTGTCACTCCCCTAACAGATAATGCACTCACTCCTCACTGTGAGGAATGGATTCCACCTTATTTTAATTCTCTGCCATACAACCTAGACCATCATAGTGTTTGTTAAATTAACTAATTAATTACTACTAGTTTCTACATTTAAATATTTTTGGCTACCAAAATGGTAACTCATAGGTATATTAAGGTCAGTTTTTTATACGCCCTAAGCATTTAGTGGTTGCATACTATTTCTTACTTCAGTGGATTTATAAATAAGATATTTTACCATCAGGTTTGGGGGTGTCCCAATTCCAAACTCAAAGCAAAAAGGGCACAAATAATTTCTTTTTTAAAAAAGAAGTTGACTTTTTTAAAGCGTCATCTCTGGGCTTACTTTTTAAGATACGTTTCAGAACTAGGTCATACTTGCACATTTAATTTTCAGACAAGTTAACTTCAAATCAGTCAATGACACGGAGTTGTTCAACAAAATTATAAACTCTGTAGCTTAGCAGAGACACCCTCTTCTGCCTATCTCTTTCCTCAGTTCAGTTCTGATACTTAAGGCTTTAACAAAAAGTAGCTATTGGCCAGGCACAGTGGCTCACGTCTGTAATCACAGCATTTTGGGAAGCTGAGGTAGAAGGATCAGTTGAGCCCAGGAGTTTGAGACCAGCCTGGGAAATATGGCAAAACCCTGTCTCTCCAAAAATTAAAAAATTAGCCAGGCATGGTGGCTTGCACTTGTAGTCCCAGCTACTCAGGAGGCTAAGGTGGGAGGATCACTTGAGCCCAGGAGGTCAAGGCTGCCGTGAGCTATGATCGTGCCACTGCACTCTAGCCTGGGTGATAGAGCAAGACTCTGCCTCTAAAAAAAAAAAAATAGAAAAAGAAAAAGAAAAATATTGATCCTTTCTGCCAGTATCCAAAGGAGGCAATGATCTACAAAACCCCTGGAAGAAAATTATGATCTCCATGGGTAGTAGTGGAGATCAGTTATTAAGGGACTAGGCTTTGAAAGCAAAGAAAAATATAGAATTTGAGGAAAAGACAGAAGATGGAAAATGATAGGACAATAAAATGCCAAAAAATAATGGCAAACACTTAACAAGGATAGCTGCAAGCAAAACTAAAATTGCAGAGAACCCAGAAAGGAGTCAGAGAAATTCTCTAAGCAGGTTTCAGGAGCCATTCCTAAATCAGACTCAAGGTACTCTAAAACATGGCCAGGTGCAGTGGCTACCATCCATAATCCCAGCATTTTGGGAGGATCACTTGAGGCTAGGAGTTTGAGACCAGCCTGAGCCTGCGCAACAGTGTGAGACTCCATCTTTACAGAAAAAAATATTTTTAGTTAGCCAGATGTGGTGGTATATGCCTGTAGTCCTAGCTACTGGGGAGGCTGAGGCAGGAGGATCCCTTGAGCCACAGGAGGTCAAGGCTACAGTGAGCTGTGATCATGCCACTGCACTTCAGCCTGGGTGACAGTGAGACCTAGTCTCTTAAGAAAAAAAGAAGAAGAAAGAAACTGGGGTATGGGGAAATATTCTCTCCACTAATGCATTTGTTAATATTTTTCTGTAATAAAAAGTTAATGAAGTCTGTTTCAAAGGGGAAGAGTTTAAAATTTTTCTGAAGAATAGGTTTACTCTAAAGAACAAAATCTCTCCTCTGACAAGAAGGCCAAGAACTGACCTCTCCCCTTGCTCTCTCTTCTATAGACGCCTGAGATCCTTAACTCCTGGAAGGCACTATGCTCCTTTGTATTTCAGGAACTTTGCACAGGCAGTTCTCTTTATTTAGAGCCTGCCTTCTCCATTCCATCCTCTTTCACCCAGTTAATGTTTAGTCACAAGATATCAGTTTAAACAGTACAGTACCAGAGATATTAATTAGGTACTCAGTAACAGTATCACTAGCTGAATTAAATGTCACTTCCTCTGGGAAGGTATCCCTGACTATACCCATGTGAGATTAGGTCTCTCCCAAAATGTTCACACAGCATCCAGTACTTTACCTTCATAGCACCTTGCATGGTTTGCAATTATATATAATTTGTGCGATTTGTTTAATGTCCATTTGTGGCATAAGAAATACATACTTGGTGTTCGTAATTTCCTTTGTGATAGGGGAATAGGAGCATCTTTTGTTATTCGTAACAAGCCCCTTTCAACCATACCTGAGTTTATGCTAATGAGGTGACTCTTAGTGGGCCCTTAGATAGCTTCAGGATGAAGGCTGGTTGCCAGAGAAACCAACCAAGTGATAAAAGTGTTGGAACTTTCAGTTCCACCACCAGACCTCAAGGGAGAGGAAAAGGGGTGGAGATAGAGTTAATCACCAATGGTCAACGATTTAATCAACCAAGCCTACGTAATGCAGCTTCCATAAAAACCCCTAGACAGGGTTCAGAAAGCTTTCAGGTTGGTGAACACATCAAGATGCTGGGAGGGTGGCATGTCAGGAAAAGGCATAGAAACTCCATGCCCCTACCCCCTGTATCTTGCCCTATGCATCTCTCCCATTTGGTTATTCCTGAGTTGTATCATTTATAATAAACCAGTCATTGTAAATAGGATATTTCCCGTGTTCTGTGAGCCATTCTAGCAAATTACTCAAAGGTGAGGGGGTAGTTGTAGGAACTCCCCCGTTTGTAGGCAATTCAGAAGTGTGGGACTCAATACATGCAACTGGCATCTGAAGTATGAGTAGTCTTGTGGGACTGAGCCCTTAAACCTGTGTAGTCTGATGCTAACTCTGGATAGTGTCAGAATGGAAATGAACTGCAGGGACAGCCCGTTGGTATCTGGAAAGTTGAAGAACTGATTGGTGTACGCAAAAAACTCACACACTTGTTGTCAGAAGTGCTGTGAGTAAAAACAGCAAAGACAATCTTTCACATTAGTCTATAAAGACTATCAGAGCAGAGGCAGTATCGATTTTGCTTATATCCCTAGTGTTTATTAGCATAGGTAAAGCACATAGAGGGAGCTCAATAAATATTTCCTGAATTAAGCTAAGCAATCTGAATCCAGGTAGTCCATTATGCATATTGAATATAATTTAATCTCACATATTATCTTACTCTGAACTGACCTAATGTGAGCAAGTGCAAGTGTGGTGGTACCACAGTGGATATATCCTAGGGATTCTATCTGCAGTCCACTTCAGTCTCCTCCTCTTCATGTACATACATTTTTGGATCCCAGCAACTCCCAAGGCTTTTACCTATCTCATATGCTAATGAATCCAGTCAAAACTTCTCCTGAGCTCCAGACCTGGACATCCACTGCCAGCATGATATACCCACTCAGATGTACCAAAGGAATCTCTAACACATCATGTTTAAAACTGAACTCTCGACGTCTACCAACCCATGTCTCCCCCAATACACAGTACTTAGAGAATCATAAGAGAAAGTGTCAATAAAGACTTCTCAAGGGCATTTCTGAAAGTGCAGGAGGAAGAGCCCATTTGCAAAGTTCTATAACTGAAACTTAAATGTACACTGTGGTCCAGGTCTCCCCACTCCTGCCACATGTACTTCTAGAAGGCTTCATTCAGCTGAATGATTGATGTTGGTACTCTTATTCATTAAACCACACAAATTATCAATGGTTAGCTGTGCAAAATTGAACTCCTGCTAAAAAAGAAAAAACTTTTTCGTTGTTATTATTGCTATTTAAGAAAGTACACTTAGAAAAGGAAAAGATTTGCTGAGTTTGCTGGCAAATTGTTTTTGCTACATCAATAATGAGAACTAGTCAAATAAACCTGGAAACAGACGTGCCTATTCGGTGAGTAAAGAACTACAGACAAAATCAAATCAAACTAATGGGTTTTCACTTGCATTCTAGAACCACCAGTTCACAATCCTGATCAACCAGCTAAATATTGGCAAAGGAAAAACTGCAGTTTTGTTTTGTTTATTAATTTAAGGTAAAAATTTATAACACTAAAAGCCAATTGTTTTTTTTCCACTCCTGGTACAATGCACAAATCCAAACTGACATACATACATAAATTACCAAAGATTCACCAATGAAAAGAAAGGTTAGAAAACTACCAAGGAACTGGAAAAAAACCAATCAGCACTACAACTATCTTTCTAAAACTGAAATAAACGAGTTACTGCAAGTAAGTTTAAGTTCCTATAAGTGAGTTTATCAAATTCTGAAGCTTTTAGCATTCTCTAGGTGAACAAAGCAATAATAGCAGTTACAATTCACTGAAGCACTTTCTATGTGGCAGAAAATACATGTATTATTTACTCTTCAGAGCAACTCTATAAAATAGGGGCTGCGTGTGGTGGCTCATGCCTATAATCCCAACACTTCGGGAGGCCAAGGTGGGAGGCTCACTTGAGCCCAGGAGTTTGAGACTAGCCTGGGTGACATAATGAGACCCCATCTCTACAAAAAATAATTTGGCAGGCATAGTGGTGCACCCCTATAGTCTCAGCAACTTGGGAGGCTGAGATGGGAGGATCGCTTAAGCCTACGAGGCTGCAGTGAGCCATAATTGTGCCCCTGGGCAACAAAGTGAGCAACCCTGTCTCAAAAAATAAAATAAAATTTAAATTTAAAAAACTAATAAAAAGAAAAAAGTACTTGTATTATCCCCATTTTCCAGGAAGGGAAGTGGAGGTACAGAGAGGCTAAATAGCCCAAGGTCACAACTGCCAGTAATTGATAGAGTAAGGATTCAAACCAGACTAGTCTGCCAGGTGACCCCTTAACCACTAAATCATGCTGCTTCTTATCAACATCGTGGTGTATATCATGCTCTTTTTTTCTCTCTTTTTTTTTTGACACAGGGTCTGGTTCTGATGCCCAGGCTGGAGTGGCAGCGACACAATCATAATTCACTGAAGCCTTGAACTGCTGGGCTCAAGCTATCCTCCCACCTCTGCCTCCTAAAGTGCTAGGATTATAGGCGTGAGCCAACACGCCCAGCCCCATACTAACTTTTTAGAAATTAAAACCTCAGAAGGTTTTAATGAACCAATTGCCAATTCAGTTCCTTCTTAAAAGTCTTGTTGCTATGATAAAATACATTCCTCCTAACCACTCTTTCAAGATTATTAAATGATCTCAATTGGGTAACAAAAGAAGCAAAACACTTTTCACAGTCTCAGAAACTTGCAAGGCAGGAAGGCAATGGACTGAGAATAGCAAAACAATTCTAACTGATAGAGAAAACATTAAAGATGTACATTATCTGACTTTTAAGCTTATTATTAATATAAAACTAGTAACTAGTAATCAAGACGTGGTAGTGGCAACAAGATAGTGGTACTTTCATCAAGATAGATCAACAGAACAGAACTGAGGGTACAGAAATAGACCCACATATATATGGCCAACTGATGCTTATCTAAAGTGTCAAGGCAGTTTAATAGGAAAAGGATAATCTTTTCAACAAAAGGTGCTGGACCAACTGAATATGCAAACAGGAAAAATAAACCTTGACCCTAATTTCATACCATATACAAAAATCAACTCAAAATGATTCACAGACCGAAACGTAAGAGCTAAAACTAAAAAGTCTCTAGAAGAAAACATAGGAGAAAATCTTAGCAATCCTGGGTAAGATTTCTTAAATAGCACACAATAAATTGATAAGCTAGACCTGATCTAAATTAAAAACTTTTGTCCTTCAAAAAGTATTGCTAGCCGGGCACAGTGGCTCACGCCTGTAATCCCAGCACTTTGGGAGGCTGAGGCTGGTGGATCACCTGAGGTCAGGAGTTCAAAACCAGCCTGGCCAACATGGTGAAACCCGTCTCTACTAAAAATACAAAAAATTAGCCGGGCATGGTGGCGGGCGCCTGTCATTCCAGCTACTTGGGAGGCTGAGGCAGGAGAATCACTTGAACCCAGGAGGTGGAAGTTGCAGTGAGCCGAGATCGTACCATTGCACTCCAGCCTGGGCAACAAGAGCAAAACTGTCTCAAAAAAAAAAACAACACTGTTAAGAAAATGAAAAGACTTAGATATGATGAACACATACATAAATAAGAAAATGAAAAGGCAAGCCCCAAGATGAAAGAAACTATTTTGTAAAACATATCCAATGAGACGTGTATCAAGAATATATAAAAAGAACCCTTACAACTCAATAAGAAAACTCAATTTTTAAAATGAGCAAAATATCTGGACACTTCACCAAAGATACATAAACAGCCAAAAAAGCGCATGAAAGGATGTTCAACACCATTAGTCAGTAGGGAAATGGAAATTGAAACCACAACAAGATACTATTACAAATTCAATAAATGGCTCAATTTAAAGACACAGATAATACTAGGTATTGGTGAGGATGTCACCACCAGTGTGTAGAACTCTCATACACTGCTGGTAGAAATGTGACATGGGAAACTGCTTGGCAGTTTATCATAAACACACGCTGTACTTAGCACATATGCAACAATTCTACTCCTTAGGTATTTGCCCAGAAAAATGAGAATACATGATTACATAAAGACCTGGTCATCAGTATTTATAGCGTCTTTATTCATAATAGCCAAAAACTGGAAACTCGACTGTCCATCATCTGATGAATGAATAGGTACATCATAATATATGCATACAATGGCATACTACTCAGTAATAAAAAGGAATGAACGACTGATTCAAACAACACAATGGTTATTCATTACAAGCAAAATGAATAATAAGCATTATTATTCATTATTTGGAGATTCAACATGGATGAATCTCAAAAGCATTATGCTAAGCGAAATAAGCCAGACACAAAGACTACATAACTATGGTTCTAGCTGCATGAAATTCTAGAGTAAAAACCACGGTGATAAAAAGCACATCAGTTGTTGCTAATGGCTAAGGAACAGGTGGAGAAGATTACAGCCAAGACATAAAAGGGAACTTTCTGGGTATGATGAAAAGAGACTATATGATGATTGTGGTGGTAGTTACATAACTGTATTAACATTTATCAAACTGTTGTCTTAAAATGGTGAATTTATGGTATGTTAATTATACCTCATCAAAGCTGACCAAAAACAAACAAAAGGTCAGACACTATGGCTGAGGCCTACAATCCCAGCACTTTTGGAGGCTGAGGCAGGAGGACTGCTTGAGGTCAGCAGTTCAAGACCACCCTGGGCAATACAGGGAGACCCCATTTCTACAAAAAATAAGTTAGCCATGTATAGTGGTACGCTTCTGTGGTCCTAGCTACTTGGGAAGCTGAGGCAGGAGGATTGCCTGAGCCTGGGAGGTCAAAGCTGCAGCAAGCCATGATCATGCCACTGCACTACAGCCTGGGAAACAGAGCAAGACCCTATCTCAAAACAAAAAAAAAAAAACAAACAAAACCCAATTACTTGCAGGCCCTGCCTCTTGTCCACCCAATGCTGGTATTCCCAAAAGTTCTAGAACCTCCTTTTTCTTCTCAGTATATATTTTTTCTTAACATCAACCACTTCCTGTTCATTGCTAAAGCTTAACTCATCATCACTACAGATACCTCCCAAATCACCTCTGATGAGCATTTCTGCAGAACACAAGTGGTTTTTTTTTTTTCTCTTTGAGATAGGGTCTTGCTCTGTTGCCCAGGCTAGAGTGCAGTGGCTATTCACAGGTGCAGTCATAGCTCAGTGCACCCTCAAGCTCCTAGGCTGAAGCAATCTTCCCACCTCACCTACATAATCTTTACCTGTCAAAATCCACACTTTTCCTTCAAAGGCCTATCTCAAAGGTGACTTCTTCCATGAAGCTTTTCATGTTGTAATCACCCTACGCTCACCAACACAGATTTACTCACTTCCTCCTCTAACTCTCTTACTTTTGCTTACACACATGTACATTTATCATACTCTGCCTGGTTTGTTATTATTTGCGTACCTGTCTTCATCACTACTGCTCCATCCACCCCACAACCAGACTCATGCTTTGCAAGGCTGGTACTCTGCCCTACTCTTTTGTCCCTTTCAGCCACTGGCACCCTAGCTTTCTCACTGCAAGGGCTCAGAACATTGTAGAAGAGGAATTAATTCTGGTCTAACAAGTCTACGGAGAAATAACAAAATTAGTTACAGTGGGGGCTATAAGGATAAATCAGATAATAGATTGCATTCTGCCTTTGTTGTTGTAAGTTGGAACTCTGCCCAGAGAGAGATTGCCCCCACCCACTCCGAGACAGTCTTGCTCTGTCATCCAGGCTGGAGTGCAGTGGTGTGATCTCAGCTCACTCTTCAATTCTCCTGCCTCAGCCTCCCAAACAGCTGGGATTACAGGCATGCGCCACCGCGCCCGGCTAAGTTTTATATTTTTAGTAGAGACAGGGTTTCACCATGTTGGCCAGACTGGTCTTGAATTCCTGACCTGGTGATCCACCCACCTCGGCCTCCCAAAGTGCTGGGATTACAGGCATGAGCCACCACACCCGGCCTGAGTGATTTTTTTAAGGCTCAAAATCCACTAAACCAAATCTTCCTCCAAGAGCATTTTCATTATAACACTACCCTACTTTATAAATTTGCAATAATTTAAAATGGGTCCTGGACTAGGCATTCTCTATTTGCCCCCAACCTCCTCAAATCAAGCCTATTCTCTACCCTTCAAGCTCTGCTTTGCACCCTGTGAGGCTGTCCTCTGGCATTACACTGCCCAAGTTCTCTTCTTACTTCCAGTTGCATTGGGCCATTGAGAGGCACACATAGGAGGAAATGGGAGGATGAGAAGTAAAAGAAATTGGGGTTTTCATTTCTCTAGCTCCCTTCCCACCTCACAAAGCCATTTCCTCTAGGGCTACAGGTCCTGACCACTAGCTTGGCTTCCATTGCTCCAGCTCTCATCAGTTTCCAGTGTTCCTCTTCTTTTCCCCTCAGACTTAAAAGTGTACTAATGGCTTCCCAATAGTGTTAGGCCTTGGGAACATGACAATACTCTGCTGCTCTCCTTAACCCTTCCCAAAACTCTACAACTAGTCCATTTATTTCCTGTCAGGACCCTCACTGATGTAGATAGCTCCCCAGGCTTAAAATCACTTAGTCTGCTTAAGGTTCACAATCAACTGTCCCCACCAACCTAATAAATTTTACCACACCACACTCCCCAACTGTCTCTGCTCTAGTCAGGTAGGAATTCCTACCAATTCCTACATCACTCAGTTGAGATATGTTCAATCCTACCTTTGTGCCCCCACTCATGCTGTTGTCCTCTGTAATGCCCGCCCCTTCCTTTCCACTTATACTTCCTACAGTTACTAATTCAAATCCTACCTCCCCCGCCCCCTGCCCAAATTAAACCTGCTTGAACAACCTTAACCCTCAATTATCTTTCTTATCTTGGAATTTCTGTATCTGTCACAAGGAACTACTTTGAAAATAAATATTAGTTGTTACCCTATATGGTCTCTAATTGTTCATCATATATCCCCTAAAGGTAAGTAACATCAGCTATTTTAAGTTTCTTCTTTTGTATTCCTTTATGGAAGTTTAGCATAACATTATAGTAATTCTAGTTGACAAAAAAAAAAAAATACATCACTACAATGTCCTAGTACAAAAAGTTTGTGACAAGCAGCTATAAGCAAATTTATTATGTTTTTAATGATTTTGTTTTCAATGTAATGATTCTGAATAACGGCTGCTATCAAACTTGGGTGGTTTCTTTTTTAGAACATCAACGTACTTTTTCTTTCCTCAAAGAAACAGGGTCTTGCTCTGTTGCCTAGATTAGACTGCAGTGGCACAATCACAGCTCACTGGAGCCTTGAACTCCTGGGTCCAAGTGATCCTCCTGCCTCAGCATCCTGAGTAGCTAGGACTACAAGCACATGCTACCACTCAGCTAATTTTTTTCTTTTTTCCAGAGACAAGGTCTCACTATGTTGCCAAGGCTGGTCTCAAACTCCTGGCCTCAAGCAATCCTCCTGTCTCAGCCTCCCAAAGTGCTGGAATTACAGGCGTGAGCCACTGTACACTGCTCATCAATATACTTTTTAACGAAAGGATCTTTGGGGAAAAAAAAGAGTAAAGTAAGTTATCCACTTGTCAAGTTCAACAGTCTGTTACGGTAATAGATACAATTAATCCAGAAATGCAAACAGAAATGTCAGCACACACAAATACCTTAATTTGCAGCTGACCAGTGGCCACAAAGCAGACACTAGATGTCAACAGAAGTATACTTTCTAGAGGAATGAAGATCCTGAGGGTCCTTATCATATTGTCTGTAGAAAAAAATCACCTCCCATGTCTTTAGAACCATCAATCTGTTAGCAACTATAAAGGAAAGCCTACATCATGACAATCAACATTTTTAGTAAATTTATCCTCACAGAACTCCCAATGTTATATCCAATTGATACTTCAAGAACTCATTCTTATGGCCTCCCTAAAATAAAAAATGAAGAAATAGCAAAAATATCAGAAGTAAGTACTCTGGCTAGCTCCTCAAATAGTCACAGAATACTTACATATGAGTATGATTTTAAGGAGAAAAAAATAAAATTCAAAAGATTATCTGAAAGAGTTAATGGTATCAAAAGAAATAGGGATGGAGGGGGAAGACACAATAGTATCAACCACTGACTGGCTTCAAAGTTACCTTTAACCTCTTCATCAAAAAATAAACAAAAATAAAGGCATGAACCCCTAGTATATTCTAATGAACCAAGGGTCAGTCCTATTTGTACATTTTTCTAAATCTGTAATTATGTGTTAATTTTAATAAAGGTATTCTGACTTACCACTACAAACAACCTAACAAGAATGTGCAAGATTTATCCATAGTAAATTCCACTGCATACAAAGCAGTGCTCCTAAAAGACTCAGAACCTCAAAGCATATAAAGATACATAAGCAATTACAGTACAATATGATAATGTTCCCATAACAAGGCTACACATCAGGAGCTGTGGATAACACTAAGATAATGAAGAGAAAGAATGGCCAGGACACAACAGACCAATCCTGGGCCACTGCAAAAGTTGAGTTGAGAAATATGGGCCTAAAATAAAAGAGGAACAATATATTGAACTTGTACGGAGTTGAATTTTAAGGACATTTAGAAGGTATACTCAGCAGGACTAGGCTCAGTCAACATTTTCTTAGTGTAGTTTTAATCAAGAAACAAAGTACTGTTTAAACTAAGAAATATCCTATTCATTGCAGCCTTGTTTAGAATAGCAAAAAAAAAAAAAAAAGTAATAAAAGCAATGAAAAGGGGAAATGACGTTTTTTGTTTTCTGCTTTTTTAAAATAGAGATAAGGTCTCACTATGTTGCCCAGACTAGTCTCGAACCCCTGGGTTTAAGCAATCCTGCCTCAGCCTCCCAAAGTGCTGTGATTACAGGTGTGAGCCACTGCACCCAGCCAGGAAACAATCTAAAGTCCACAAATAATAAACTGGTTAAATAAATTATACACATATACTAGAATTCAAGGCAGTCATTAAAATGAATGAGGAAGATCTACAATTATTTGGAATGTATTAAGTTGAAAATGATTACTATGATATACTAAGTTAAAAATACATTAAGATGCAGACCAAGCACCCACATCAAAGTATACATACAAAAGAATTAAAAGCAGAGACTCAAACAGATATTTGTACACCAATGTTAATAGGAGCATTATTCATAATAATCAAAAGGCAGAAATAGACCAATTGTCCATCAACAGATGAATGGATAAACAAAATGTGGTGTATACACATACACTGAAATAGTACTCAGCCATAAAAAGAAATGAAATTTTGATATATACTATGAGGAGATCTTTAAACTATTATGTTTCATGAAATAAGCCATTTGTGTAAAAATAAAAAAAAAGAGGGGCTATATATATGAATGCATTACTAGAGTGGTTGAAAATCTCTGGAAGACACATAAGAAACCAATGACAGTTAACTCTGGGAAAAACTAGGAAAATGAAGATACAGTATGAATGAATGAAAGGGAGATATATCTTTTGCTATAACCTTTTTTATACTATGTAAGTTTCTTAACATTTGCATATATTGCTTCTTTTTTTTAATTTAAAAAAAGGGCAAAGATAGTTTTCTATGGATGCTAAAACCAATGGGAAAGCGTTGTAGGAGAGACAACTTTCACGTGATCTCAAAATACCACCACCTAATTGTTTATTAATTACAAAGGGGAAAAAAGTGTACATTTGCAAAGAAATAATCTGGTGATAGTCACCACCTTAAGCAATCAAATTTAGCATTACCTATAAAGAAGGAAAATGGCACTGAGTGCCTCCTGAGGTGATTTAAGGAGTACATAACATCACCTACATAGTGTTAATGCAGCAAATGTTTAACTTGAATATGTGATATTAAAGAACCAAGAGGCAAATTCACATTGTAGGACATTGTATAAGACAACTGGCCTAGATTATTCAATAAAGTTAATGTCATTTGGGAAAAAAAAAGGCTGGGGTTTACTCTAGATTTAAAGAAACATAAACACCAAAAGCAATATATGAATGTGATTGGATCCTGGACCCGAAAAAAACAAAAAGCAACTATAAAAGATATGTGGGAAACAAGAAAGATTTAAACACAAATGTTGCATATTAGGTGACAATGAATTAATGTTATTTTCCATCGGTGTGATAAAAGTATTGTGGTTAAGTTGGAGAATGTCCTTCTTCTTAGAAGATACATGCCAATGTACTGGGAGAGGACAGGGAGGATCATGATGACTACAAATTAGTCTCACTTAAAGCAAAATGTATGCATGTTTAGAGGGGAGGAAAAAAGCAGTTGCACCAAAATGTTGCAATTTGTGAATCTAGGTGAAAAGCGCTATTCTTCATTTTTTCTATAAATCTGAGAAATTTTCAAAATCAGAATTTGGGGAGGAGTATAGAAACAGCTGAATCAGGCACAGCTGAGCCCCGGTAACATAAAAGATGAAAGGGGCCGGGCGCGGTGGCTCACGCCTGTAATCCCAGCACTTTCGGCGGCCGAGACGGGCAGATCACGAGGTCGGGAGATCGAGACCATCCTGGCTAACATGGTGAAACCCCGTCTCTCCTAAAATTATACAAAATTAGCCGGGTGTGGTGGCAGGTGCCTGTAGTCCCAGCTACTCAGGAGGCTGAGGCAGGAGAATGGCGTGAACCCAGAAGGTGGAGCTTGCAGTGAGCCGAGATCGCGCCACTGTACTCCAGCCTGGGCGACTCAGTGAGACTCCGTCTCCAAAAAAAAAAAAAAAAAAACAGAAAGGAAAAAACAAAGGTTATCTTTGACAATGAAAGTATACATAGGAATTAAATGATAAACATGGTTTTTCTATTGTTAACCATGTTCTTCCTGATGGAGCATATGTAATAAACTCATTCATTCCCAGGAGTATCTGTATTAAACAAATCTTACTTTTAATTTCCTTACAACATAATCATTTTTAAGTAATTACAGTGAATCCATCTCTATAAATTTAGAGCCAGATTTGTAACTCTCGCTCAAAAATGAGCTGGCAGAAAAACACTGTTCCCATAAACATAGACACTAAGTTGCCTACCCTTCCTACAAGTAAGAGAAAAGCCAGACAGCAAGATGACAAGTTTACTTAGGGTTGTGTTTTTACAAATTACACAGAAGGAAGCTAAAGGGCAGCGAATAGCCTGGTTCACCAAAAATCATAGGAAGACACAACCTTCCATCTCTTAAATCTTCAACCCACATTTCCATTGTTTCAAAACAGTAGGAATTCCTATGTTAGAAAATATCTAGGCAAATCTGTATTGTAACATGACTGGAGGTAAGTTTTAGCAGGGAAAATCTAAAAGGCCAAACTGATTTGGAAATGTGTATGGGCTTACTTTTCTTTGAATACATCTATTGCCTTGAGAATTCACTTTCACACAACACACTGAAGTCACACTATAAAGATCTGATTCAAAAGGAAATGGGAAGTTTCTCCTGTTTCCTCATCTTGAACTGTATCTAACTCCCTCCTGAGAATCTCTCAGGTTGACAAAAAATAAGCAGAATATGAAAATAAATCCATCCCTGTGGAACTCATGAAGCTGCACACTAGTAAGCTTCACTTCTATGAATGTATATTATACTTTGATTAAAAAAGGTTTTTAAACATTTTTAAATAAAAGACATAGGTACAAATTTAACAAAACGAACAGGATCTACATGCTAAAAATTATAAAGAAAAAATAAAAATAATAAACGAAAAAATTATTAAGGAAAGAAATCAAAGATAATCAAAATAGATGGAAAGACATGCCACATTCCTAGATTCGAAGACTAAATATTATAAAATGTCAACTGTCCCCCAAATTGATCTATAAATTGAATGTAATACTTAACAAAATACCAGAAAGATTTTTTTGGAGTTATAAGCAACCTTATTTTAAAATTTTAAGTGGAAAGAGTAAGGAACTAGAATAGCTAAAAACACACACCTTACCATCAACTTACAATCAACGATATTGAGATACATAAATGAAACATATTGCCAATCCTCAAAAAGAAGATTTTCAAAATAAGACCTTCATAAAAATCTGCTTGGGCAGAGAGAATGATTAACAAAGCAAATTATTAGATATTGTCAATAAATCAGGAAGATTTGCTAAAGAATCTACAGGTGGTTTCTCAAGAATTGACTTCAAGTACAAAAATCCATTTTACAACACAACAGGTTCTTTTCCCTCCCACCACTACAACAGTACTGATAATCAGAGATGGACACACACACACACACACACACACACACACACACACACAAACTCGTAAGTACACACACTAAAAGAGCCCATACATAGATTACTCCAAAAGAGCCACACTTTATTCTTCTTAATGTTTACAAAATCTGAGTTACTTATCTTTTAATCTAGGATAGTGCGAAAGGGTTTTTTTTTAATATCAACCCAAAAAATAATCAATAACCCCAAAGTCTAAAGAAAAAACAATAAAATGAAGATTTACACTACTCATTGTCTCCTTAAATTAACCTAACCCCAAATAATTTTTTACCTACTCACCTAGCCTTTACTAACAGGTCAGCTATTAGTGTGGGAAGAAGAGGAGAGGAAACTATCCATCCCAGTTTGCCCAGGACATTACCATTGTATGCCTGTGTTTCTGTATGTACCATTTTACTGTGGCAGAGGCAGGAGATCAAATGCCTATCAATGTCCTCTTTCAAGAATACAGCATTTTGTCCAGGTATGGTGGCTCGCGCCTGTAATCCCAGCACTTTGGGAGGCCGAGGCAGGTGGATCACCTGAGGTCAGGAGTTTGAGACCAGCCTGGTGAAACCCCGTCTCTACAAAAAATGCAAAAATTAGCAGGGCATGGTGGCGGGTGCCAGTAATCCCAGCTACTTGGGAGGCTGAGGCAGGAGAATGGCTTGAACCCAGGAGGCAGAGGTTGCAGTGAGCTGAGATCGCACCATTGCACTCCAGCCTGGGTGACAAGCGCAAAACTCCATCTCAAAAAACAAAAAACAAACAACAACAAAAAAAGAGTACAGTATTTTAAGTTATAAAACTATATGTACAGAATTTGGAAAAGAGTATTTCTGTATATAAATAGACCTATTAAAAATCTGGACAACTATACATCATAATTTAACAATGATTATTCTGTGTGGTGGGATTACAGATGGTTTTCACCTTTCCCACTATCTAAAAATCATTTTTTACAACAAATATATTACTTTTCACACTTAGAAGGGAGTTATTTCCATTTGTTAAAATGCAACTTTTCTTTGTGACCCAAATCCTCATCTCAAGAGCACACACTACTCTTCTTTAATACATGTTATTTGCCAAGAACTAAGGCAATGTGATTTAGTATAGACAACATTAGCTTTGTGGGTGGGGGAGGGGGTTGGAGGTTTTTGTTTTTTTGAGATACAGTCTGGCTCTGCTGCCCATGCTGGAGTGCAGTGACACAATAGCTCACCACAACTTCCACCTCCCAGTTTCTAGCAATTCTCATACCTTAGCCACCCGAGTAGCTGGGATTACAGGCGTGCACCATCACATCCAGCTACTTTTTGTACTAGTTTTTGTATTTTTAGTAGAGACAGGGTTTTGCCATGTTGGCCAGGCTGGTCTTGAACTCCTGGCCTCAAGTTATCTGCCCGCCTCGGCCTCCCAAAGTGCTGGGATTACAGGCGTGAGCCACCACACACGGCCAACATTAGCTTTCAAGATGCAGAAAATTTAAATCCAAGAATCAGCTCTGCTGTGGAAAATATGAAACCTACCTGTCTACGTCTCAAAATTGTTAAGAGGATCAAATAAGAATTCATATGAAAGTATTTTAATGCAATGTACTAATGTGAGCTATGATTATTACAAGTTCATGAATAAAACTGTATAACCTCAGATCTCATGTATAAAATGAGTGGGGTCCTAAATGAGTTCCAAAGCATTTCTAAATCTGAAATTCTGTATTAACAGTGTCCTCTTAACTCAGCCTTCTACCTGCATCTAATCTACCTCCCCTAGAAGTATACCTTGTTTTATGGATAATGGTTCCCAGGTCTTCATGCTTTCTATCTTCACTAGGACGTAGCCAACTCTCCACATTCGTCTCTTATGGCTCTGATTGTCTAAAAGTTAAATATGTCCGTTCCCTCCAAAAAGACTTTAAATCCCCTCTTAATCTAATTTATATTTCACGCTCTCCACCTTCCATATCTTGCAATATAGAGTAGTGACTATACTATGCACATGAAACCTGAAGCCAGGCTACCTAGGTTTAGATCCTGGCTTTGCTATGTCACTAACTCTGCAATGTAACCTTGAACAATTTACTTAATCTTTCTGTGCCTCAGTTTCCTCATCTATAAAATAGGTATAACAAGAGTATGCCTACTGCAGAAGGTTGTGTAAAGTAATGAAAACCGTGCCTGGATGTAGTAAATGTTACATAGTGACTGATGAAGTCCTTTTCTAACCTTGCCTCTCTAAAAGTGTAATGCTTACAGGCTAAGATGAAACAATGAACCAACATTTGCCTCTGGCTTTTTCTCACTGAAAAATGTCTTATTTACCTATCAAAAGTTTCTCCATATCACTGTAGTGAAGTCAAACACACTCTTCATGGTTGGATATATTTTTTTTACTCTGTTCAAATCCTCTAACCTAACATGTTAGTCCGGTCTCATGCTGCTGTGAAGAAATACCCAAGACTGGGTAATTTATAAAGGAAAGAGGTTTAATTGCCTCACAGTTCCACAGGGCTGGAAAGGCCTCAGAAAACTTACAATCATGGCAGAAGGGGTTAGCAAACACATCCTTCTTCACATGGGGGCAAGAAGGAGAAGTGCCTAGCAAAAGGGGGGAAAGCCCCTTTTAAAACCATCAGATCTCATGAGAACTCACTATCAGGAAAACAGCATGAGGGTAACCATCCCCACGATTCATTTACCTCCCACCGGGTCCCTCCCCCCACACGTAGGGATTATGGGAACTAAAATTCAAGATAAGATTTGGGTGGGGACACAGCCAAACCATATACCTAACATTTCCCAAAACTTGTTCCTCAGATCACTAGTTCCTCAAGATGTTATAAGGAGGAAAAAAGGTTCAGAGATCAAATAAATTTGGAAAATACTAATTTAATGTTAAACAGGCTTCTTTACTGTAAGTCTTTTACATGTTAATATGTACTTGACATTCCAAGAGAGAATAAAGTACACATTGTTTCCCAAGTTTATTCGACTCCAGAGCCCTTTTGTCAAGGAGCCACATTGGGAAATGCTGCTGCTCCAGTTCTTTGACAGCTTTTAATAAAAATATGCTGTCTTATGTAAACTCAATATTTTATTAATCTGATTCACACAAAAGGTCTGTTCTCAAGTTCATGCTGAGAAATCTGGCTCAAGAAACTAGTAACTACTGCCCTGCACAAATTACTTTTGAAATTTCTGAATATCAACATTGTCCTCTTAAAAAGAACAAACATCAGTGACCAGCTCCATACTCTAAGTCACAAGCTATTTATTTCATGATGAGATTTTAACCTATTTATTTACCAACATCCTTTAAATAAAGTGTATTTATTCAACATTCCCAAATTATCAATAATGAAGACTTGCACTCTTCCTTTAAAGGAATTCCACCACAGAACCTTGCCAATCATCCCAGTACCAGTGCTGGCATACAGTGTCCTAAACATACAACTTACAGGGTTGAAGAAATACTTAAAAAAGAAAATGCCATCTAACACATGAATGAAGAAGGAATAATAGAATTTCACAATTTTGCAATCACTGATGAATTAAGAAGTCTAAGCAATTATCATCAACAGCTGCTAACATCACAAAGAGACATAAGACCTTACATATCTCCCGATGGAAACAAAAATCACTCCTATGAAGTACTCTTACTGAGAGGGAAAAAAAAATACAAACCAACCTATCAATTTACAGGAAATTCAGGAGACAGGAAGAACATGTTAACTGACATTACAGAGATGCAATGAGACTAAGGGAAACTTATCAGGGCAAACAACCTGCTTTCTTTTAAAAAATAAGAAAAAAAAGAGATGAAGAGAGTCTAAAGATTTAAAATGATGTAATAAACATGCCAAACTACTGTAAAGTATGAACCTTATTTGGATGTCACTTCAAGCAAATAAACTATAGATCTATATCTATCTATAAACCAGAGAAATATGAAGCCTGATTCATATTTGATATTAAGAACTTGCTATACATTTTTTGGTATGATAATGTTATTATGGTTATGCTATAAAAAGAGATAGACACTCTTATCTTTTAAAAATCAATATTGAAATATCTGAAAGGTAAACATTACGTATGTCAAGGATTTGATTTAAAACAATCCAGAGGCCGGGTGTGGTCGCTCACACCTGTAATCCAAACACTTTGGGTGGCCGAGGCAGGTGGATCACCTGAGGCAAGGAGTTCGAGACCAACCTGGCCAACATGACAAAACCGCATCTCTACTAAAAATACAAAAATTAGCCGGGCGGGGCAGCACATGCCTGTAATCCCAGCTACTTGGGAGGCTGAGGCACGAGAGTCGCTTGAACCCAGGAGTTGGAGGTTGCAGTCAGCCAAGTTCGCGCCACTACACTCCAGTGTGGGTGACACAGCGAGACTCTGTCTCAAATAATAATAACAACAACAATCCAAGGATTGGGGATGAGGGGTGCTAGATAGAAATATAGATGAAACAAGACTGCCTATGAGTTGATAATTCTTGAAGTTCAATATTGGGTACATGGGAGCTCTTTATACTATTCCCTCTACTTTTATGTTAATATATATTTAAAATATACTATAATAAAAAGATAAGAAAAAATGCTGTATGGGAATTGAATTATCATAGTATCTACCTATTCCCATAATAGATTAATCCAGAGTCAGGCACAAGTGAGTATTAATTTACTAACATCAAATTATATTTCTAGAATACCATAAGGAATCATTTGACATGAACTTCACAAGTAATCAACATGCTAAGCTCTCCTATATAATAATTACTCTTATTTGCAAGTCTGTTAACAATATCTAACCAATTTATAGCTCTCTGTGAAAAAAAGTGTTTAAGTATTATTTATTTTTAAATTTTTTTTATTAAATAAAGCAACAGTCACAGAAAAAAAATTGCAGACAATATTGCAGAATCATTGCTGTCTTTCTAGTCCTATGGGCCTATGGTACTTCTGGAATTTATTGTCAGCAGAGTTACTGCATAAAGCACTCCGGCTCACTGAGCTCCCAAACAGCACTAGTTTTATCTTGTGTACAAAAACCCTTTCCTGCCTGCCTACTCTGAAATAAGGAGCCAAACCGACAGATGGCAGACGAAAAGGAAGAGGGAGGTGATAAGGAGGCAGTACAAGACAGCACCAGGAAAAAATAACAGAAAGAACTGAAAGACATCTTAAATACGAATATAAAAATATAAAATATTCACCAATTTCTTAGATTTTTGCAAAACTAAGTCACATTTTGTCACTAATCAATTACTTTAAAGCTAAGTGATTCTGTGAATTCATATTGGATTTTATTCCTTTATATGGCGTAGCTTTGAGAGTTTTGAAAAATCCTTCTTAATATCTTAGACCAATTTAAATTAACCAAAGTATTTCAAACTATTCTCAAAAGAACAAGAGAAATGGGACATACTAAACTTTTATCAACATTTCACTACTGCCACATATCTGCCTTTTTAGAAGCTACCAGACTTTCTTTTTCAACTTCTAAAGAGTAAAGTGCCCCACCTCTATGCTAATCCATGATACAGTCAAAACCACTTCAGTATTACTGCAGCCTACTAGTAGGTTTTAATTAAAATATTGGTTTAAAAGATATTATAGTGCTGCCATTAGAATTATAGTTTTAATCTAAATTTATGTAAAACGCCTAGGCTTTTGGTATAACAAACATTATTTAAGAACATGCCAATTACCATAAGCCATCTTGGCCCATTCGTAATGCCAAGCACTTCTGCTTCCAGATTAAGCAGCTTTCCAATCACTTACTTTAGAGATCAAACCTGCAGTACCATATAACATAGAAGACCACTACTCATACTCTGGCAACTTTACAAAGAAATAGCAATTTCTAGGCTTTGGTTGCAGAACCAGAACCAGTTCATTTCTGGTTGCATCATTAAAAAAAGAACAACTAGAGGTTGAGATTATTCAGGGGCTCATTCCTAAGGCAGCTCCCTCTCTCTTCCATGGAAATTTGTCAAATGGAAGAATAACATCTGCCTGCCTGTCTCACAGAGGTGTTATTCACATCAATTGAGAAAATGTTTACAAAAGTATTTTATAAACTAAAAAACTATAAATAAATGTAAGTTGTTATTCTCTATTTGCACTCTAGACAGTTTGCTTAACCTTGCTCCTTAATATCATTAGGTTTCAAGGTCTACCAAGAAAAGCTTCGTATTTCAAGGCATAAAGATTCACTAATATTCACTTTTTAATAGCGAAGTCCAGTCCTTACACCAATTACTGTTCTCTTCTAACATCTATTCCTCTCCTTGGCAAAACAGAACTAGAAACATGCTTTAAGAAATCAAAGCAATAGGTAGTCTCTAAAGTTCCGTCTCATTGTCACCATGAATTCCTGAACACCCATATATCATGGTCCTGCCCACATGACAATACTTGGATGGGGTTTTCTATCAGCCAAAACTATGTCATTGAGGCTGGCCATGTCTATGCTCTGCCCCCGCTAGTCTCCACCAACATTTTTTCATTTCTGAATTCTCATCCAGTCTGCATCACTTTCTAGCTGCATGATCTTAGGCAAGTTACTTAACCTCTCTGTGCTTCAAATTCCTTATCTGCAAATAAGGTTTTACCCCATAAGTTTAAACGTGCGTTAAATAATACATGGAAAAACGCTAAGAGAGTGGATGTTAAGTGTTCTCACCACAAAAATGATGACTAAATGAAGTAATGTATATGTAAATTAGCTAGATTTAGTCATTCCACAATGTATATATACTTCAAAACTTCATGTAGCACACAAGAAATACATACAATTTTATCTGCCAATTTAAAAATAAAAAAATACATGAAACTTCTTAGAACAGTGACTGCACAGTAAATGTTCAGTGTGCTAGTGTTATTCCTTTATATGTGCATCTGTCTACTCCCCCACCACACCACCATCATTAAATTACACAAATCTTTCCATCATTCTCCATCCCTCATTCTTTCCAAAAGAATGAGCAAATTTTGAGAAGGCAGATACTATGATCATATTACTGACTAAATTTCATTATACATGACTGAATACTTGGTTATATAACAAAGTTCAATGATACTTCATAAAAAAGATAACGGCCCACGATGCTTCTAAATTTTATTAACATTGAAATATAATCTTCCTAGTTCTAAATTAGGTTAACCACTTATTTCCAATGCTATCAGTTATCAAGGCTGCTTACTTGAATTATATCAAATAAAAGTGGCCATCACCAAAGAGTTTTATGGTACAGGGACTAAGGTCTTAAAATACGGCAAAACTTTAAAAAGCCTTCCATAAATACTACTGTATTTGTTTAAAAACAACAATGTATCTCAAAAAAATCAAAAGCAACAGAGACGTTATCCTTTTTTTTTTGCTTTTGAGACAAGGTCTTGCTATGCTGCCTAGGCTAGTGTTGAACTCCTGTGCTCAAGCAGTTCTCCGGCCTTGGCCTCCCAAGTAGCTAGGACTATAGGCATGCCACCATGCCCAGCTTAACAGAGACTTTAAATCAGGAGTTTAGGGTGAGGAAAAATAACTTACCAGAAACAAGAGGAAATATTACTACTACATTAACATTACTACCATTATCATTAGGGGACAACAAATAGCTTAAACACTTGCAACCAGAACAAGAGCTAAAAATTCAAGTTTTGTTTTCACATATTACTTAGCACACTCGATGAACAATTATATGCTCTTGATAATGTTATAAATTCTAAATTCTAACATTTCACATGTAAGTACTCAATGCAAAGAATTCACAGCATTGTTTAACTGACTCAACAGTCCTCCTTTAGCTTAAGAATTACTTGAACTAGCCAGGTGCATTAGCTCATGCCTATAATCCCAGCACTTTGGGAGGCTGGGGTGAGAGGATCACTTGAACCCAGGAGTTTGAGACCAGCCTAGGCAACAGAGTGAGACCTCATCCCTAAAAAAATTAGCAGGGGGCCGGGTGCAGTGGCTCACACCTGTAATCCCAGAACTTTAGGAGGCTGAGGCGGGCGGATCACGAGGTCAGGAGATGGAGACCATCCTGACCAACATAGCAAAACCCCATCTCTACTAAAAACACACAAAAAATTAGCCAGGCATGGTGGCATGCACCTGTAGTCCCAGCTACTTGGGAAGCTAAGGCAGGGGAATCACTTGAACCAAGGAGGCAGAGGCTGCAATGAGCCGAGATCGTACCACTGCACTCCAGCCTGGTAACAGAGTGAGACTCTGTCTCAAAAAAAAAAAAAAAAAAAAATGTAGCAGGGTGTGGTTGTGCACGCCTGCAGTCACAGCTACCCTGGAGGCCAAGGTGGGAGGATCACCTGAGTCTTGGGAGGTCAAGGCTGTAATGAGCCATGATCCCACCACTGCACTCCAGCCTGGGAGACAGAGTGATACCCTGTCTCAAAAAAAAAAAAAAAAAAAAAAAATCAGATAATCTAATTTAGAGACAGTTTTACTCCACAGACAACTTCCTGGAGTTGTACTCCTAGTTTACCACATGCTAGGGACTTTTCTAGGCAGTGGAATAAACAACATATCCAAGGTTCCTGCTTTCATGGAGTTTACATTCTAGTAAGGAAGACAAATAATAACCAGGTAGGCAAGTAATTCTATTTCAGGAAGCATAAGTGCCATAAAAAAAAGTAAAGCAAGAGAGATAGGGGATGTAGGGAGTGGCCACTATTTTACACTGTATTCAGTGAAGATCTCTCTACAGGGGTGAAGTCTGAGGCACTCTCTTTAAACAGAAGCCTGAATTATGTGAGCGAGCCAGCAGTGCAAAAACTTGAGGAAAGGGACGAACAAGTTTTAAACCCTGGGAGTCTGCCTGGCCCGGTCAGGGAATACGGATAGTTCAATGTAGCAGAAGTGGAATAAACAAGGAGAGGGAGGCAGGGACTACATCATGTAGGACTTTGCAGGTCATGGCTAGGAATTTGGCTGTTCTTTTAATTTCTGTATTTTAAATTACTTTAAAATAGCCAGGTGCTGTGGCTCACGCCTGCAATCCCAGCACTTTGGGAAGCCGAGGCGGGCAGATCACTTAAGGCCAGGAGTTCGAGACCAGCCTGACCAACATGGTGAACCCCCATCTCTACTAAAAAGACAAAAATTAGCCGGGCGTGGTGGCGTGTGCCTGTAATCCCAGCAACTCGGGAGGCTGAGGCAGGATAATCGCTTGAACTCAGGAGGCAGAGGTTGCAGTGAGCCGAGATCATGCCACTGCACTCCAGCCTGGGCAACAGAGCAAGACTCTGTCTCAAAAAAAAAAAAATTTTTAAATAATAATTGTAATTTAATTTAGATGTCATCTAAAGTATTAAGGAGTGATTAACATTTGAAAAGGTCATTCTAGTTATGAAGTAGAAAACAGCCTATAAGAGGTCAAGTGAGAAAACAAGGAAACCAGATAAGAGACTATTATAATTACCCACACAGGAGATGGTGGTGGTTTAAACCAGAATAAGGCAGAGATGACAAAATGTGATCAGATTAGAAATGTATTCAGAAAATAGAGCCAAGATGATTTGCTAATAGACTGGTTAAAGGGTATAAAGAAAAAAGGAGAATCATAGATCACTTAGGATTCTAGCCTGAGCAACTAGTTGAATGGTCCTGCCATTTATTAATACTAAGAGCAGATTCAGAGGAAATAATGAGAATAAGAATCATACCTTCTGTGTTGTACAAATTTAGTTTGAGATGTCTATTAGATAGTTTGTTATATAAGTAAACTCATGTCATGGGGGTTTGTTGTACAGATTATTTCATCACCCAGGTATTAAGCCTAGTACCCATTAGTTATTTTTCCTGATCCTCTCCCTCCTCCCATTTTCCACTCTCCAATAGGCCCCAGTGACTGTTGCTCCCCTCTGTGTGTCCATGTTTTCTCATCATTTAGCTCCCACGTATAAGTGAGAACAAGCAGATGAACTATGACACTCAATCTTGGGGAGGGGGCTTAGGCTGAAGACATAAATGTGAGTCAACTGGCATATAGATAGTATTTAAAGTCATGGAACTAAATAAATACAGATGTAGAAGATTTTGTTTATTTCATCCTCACATCAGCCCTATGACGTAGCAACTATAATTATTCCCATTTTATAGATCAGAAAACTGAGACTAAGAGATTAAGACTTGCCTAACATCATTCTACCTAACTGGTAGAAGGAAGAAGGAGCTGGGGGAAAGAACAGATCTAACTGGTGACAATGCCCGTGACCTTTCTCAACTGGGGCTTGTTATCTGAACCTCAGAACATTGACAATGGTCGGAGTGGATACTTTCTCAATTCTCACAAGGATGGTACATAACTAGTGCCATCCTACATTGGAGAAAAGTTAATTATTTACATATAACAAATGTCCAAATGTCTTTGGGCATTTGGGTTTATTCTCTTATGAAACCCAGTTGAAAGAAAAAAAGAAACTATACTATACTACTATTATTCCATTATTATTATTCCATTACTACTATTGGGAATAATTTAAAATGAGAGACATTTCTGCATAGCAAAAGAACAATTAACAAAATGAAAACGTAGCCTACGGATTTGGAGAAAATATTTGCAAATTATGTATCTGTTAATATCCAAAATGCGTAAGGAACTCACACAACGCAATAGCAAAAAACAAAAATGAATAACCTGATTTTAAGACGGGCAAATGACTTGAATAGATATTTCTCCAAATAGGACATAAAAATGCCTCAACATCACTAATCATCAGGGAAACACAAATCAAAAAATCAAAACCACAATGAGGTATCACCTGACACCTGTGAGGATGGCAATTATCAAAGAGACAAGAGATAAGTGTTGATGAGGGAGTGGGGAAAAGGGAATATTTGAACACTGTTGGTGGAAATGTAAATTGGAACCGCCATTATGGAAAACAGTATGTAGGTTTCTCAAAAAATTAAAAAGGGCTGGGCGCAGTTGCTCACGCCTATAATCCCAGCACTTTGGGAGGCCGAGGTGGGCAGATCACAAGGTCAGGAGATGGAGACCATCCTGGCTAACACAGTGAAACCCCATCTCTACTAAAAATACAAAAAAATTAGCCGGGTGTGGTGGCAGGCACCTGTAGTCCCAGCTACTTAGGAGGCCAAGGCAGGAGAATCACTTGAACCCGGGAGGCAGAGGTTGCAGTGAGCTGAGATCATGCCACTGTACTCCAGCCTGGGCAACAGAGTGAGACTCCATCTCAAAAAAAAAAAAAAAATTAAAAAGAAAACCACCATATGATCCAGCAATCTCTCTTCTCGGTTTTAACCCAAAAGAAATAAAAGCAGCACCTCTGAGAGAGAGCTGCACTCCCATGTTCACTGCAGCATTATTCACACTAACTCAGATATGGAACCAACCTACACGTCTGTCAGTGGATGGCTCTATAAAGAAATTGTGATACAAACACACTCTGGAATAGTATTCAGCTTTCAAAAAGGAGATCCTGCCATTTACAACAAAACAAATGAAACTGGAGGACACTGTCTTAAGTGACACAAGTCAGACGTAGGAAAAAAAAAAAACACTAAATGATCTCTTCTATATGTGGAATCTTAAAAAAAAAAAAGTCAAATACATAGAAACAGAGACTAGAACAGTGGCTAGGAGAGTAGGGGAGATGCAGGTCAAGGGAACAAAGTTGCAGTTATGTAGGATGAATAAATCTAGAGATCTAAAATATAGCATGAGGGCTGGGCACGGTGGCTAATGCCTGTAATCAATCCCAGCACTGTGGGAGGCCGAGGCAGGGAGATCACTTGAGGCCGGGAGTTCGAGAGCAGTCTGGCCAACTTGGCAAAACCCCATCTCCTCAAAAATACAAAAAATTAGCCAGGTGTGGCAGCACACACCCAGCTACTCCAATGGCTAAGGCATGAGAATCACCTGAACCCAAGGTGGAGGTTACAGTGAACGCAGATCATGCCATTGCACCCCAGCCTAGGTGACAGAGCAAGACTCTGTCTCAAAAAATAAATAAAGTTAGCAAGAGCAATATAATTAATATTAGCATATTATATACCAGAAATTTTCTAAAAGTAGATTTTAAATGTTCCTAGCACATACAAAAAAAGTAACTATGTGAGATGATGGGTATCTTAAATTGCTTACATACAGCAATCATTTCACTATGTATATCAAAACATCATGTGTACACATTAAATTTATACAATAAATAAGTAAGTAAGCCTGAAATAAACAAATAAAATGAGAGAGAAGAGACTGGTGAACAATATGTTACCATCCTGTGACTTTTGTGGGCTTATTTTGTAATCAGTAAAATGAAGTATTATTTGAAGTTTTTATAGCAGCAAAGGTGATTGTACTTTAAGACTATCCCAGGCCTTTACTGGTTCCATTCACAATCAGCACTCAGCATCTATTTTCCTGGGAACATCAGTTCATTAGAAAACCACGAAAAAAAAGAAAAATAATAATTTTTTTTTTTTTGAGATGGAGTCTCGTTCTTGTCCCCCAGGCTGAGTATAGCGGTGGGTCTCAGCTCACTGCAACCTCCACCTCCTGGGTTCAAGTGATTCTCCTGCCTCAGCCTCCCGAGTAGCTGGGATTACAGGCACCCGCCACCATGCTCAGTTAATTTTTGTTTTTTTAGTAGAGACGGGGTTTCACCATGTTGGCCAGGCTGGTCTCAAACTCCTGACCTCAGGTGATCCACCCACCTCAGCCTCCCAAAGTGCTGGAACTAACAGGTGTGAGCCACCACGCCCGGCCAAATAATAATTTCTTAAAAAGAAAACGAATGGAATATAAACTCATCAAGTGCCAGAATCTTTGATTTTCAATTAATGTGTTCCAAGCACCTGGAGCAGCACTCTTTCTGGGAATGAACCTAAATTTCCAGTGTTGCTGGGCAGCACTTGTTACCCTAAAAGATGGGGATTTCTTCATGTTGTCTTGGTTTTTTGGCACCGCTAAAATCTAATAGGATTGCCCTAACCCAGAACTTTAAACTCGCGGTTTAATTTTCATTACGACTGCCCTTCTTCCTTATGGAACTATGACAGGTTCCAAGATACTGCCATTACTGGTCCAAATAACTACCATACCATGGGTATCAATACGTACTGTATATACCGTTCAAAATAACTATGTACAATGTGAACCAGTAACTACCATATCACATATTCTAGCCTAAGAAATATTCTTAGAATTTCAGTTATCCTCTGTTAAACCCCAAAAGTATTTTAGAGCACAGGTACTATGAATCAATGTAGCACTTCCATTAAATGCAAAATGTTAAAATGAACAATCCTGACTAGGCCAGAACTAATGGACTTTACCTGCACATAATAAGCTACATGTATGAATGCAGTATTAGTGGACAATGTATTTCATTTTCAAGCTATAAGAACCAACCATCTGCAAGCATTAAGCACTCATCCACAAGGGGTCACCCGAATGACTACTATTCTTTTAATCACTTATCTCTGGTAAAAAAAAAAAAAAAAAAAAAAAAAAAAAAATATATATATATATATATATATATATATAAAGTATGACAACGTATTCTGTTGGTGCTTTCACACATTACTGGTGAGAATGCAAATTGGTATACTTGTGGAGGAAAATCTGGAATTTGGGAATATCTAACAAAACTACATGTGCACTTAACTTTTGAACCAGCAATCACACTTACAGAAATCTACCTTGAAGATACGGTTCTAACGATACCAAAATACTACGCGCAAGGCTATTTACATAAGAAACAACCTAAATGCCCATACATAGATGAATGGTTGAAGAGGTTAAGAAACATCTACACAGTCAAGTCACAGCTGTAAAAAAGAATAGGCTGGGTGCAGTGGCTCACGCCTATAATCCCAACACTTTGGAAGGCCAGTGTGAGAGGATCACTTGAGCCCAGGAATTCGAGACCAGCCTGGGCAACATGACAAAACCCCATCTCAAAAAATCAACAAATTAGCCAGGTATAGCGGTGCACACTTGTAGTCCCAGCTACTTGGGTGGCTGATGAAGGAGGATCGCTTAAGCCCAGGGGATTAAGGCCACAGTTTGAGCCATGATTGTACCACTGCACTCCAGCCTGAGCAACAGAGTGAGACTGTGTCTTAAAAAAAAAAAAGACCGAAGAAAATGAAAGGAATATCTCTTCAAAAGAATGACCTGATTTGGAGTCATTTCCAGGATATACTATTGAGTGAAAAAAAGTGCAAAAGAGTATAGTATACTCTCCACATAAAAAAGAAGGGAACAGGAAAACAATCTGGCAGTTGCTCAAAAAGTTAAACATACAGTAATCATATGACCCAGCAATTCCACTCCTAGGTATATATACCCATGAGAATTAAAAATATATGTCCACACAAAAAATTGTACATGAATGTACAAAACAGCATTATTCATAACAGCTAAGAAGTAGAAAACCAAATGTACCTCAACTGACGCATGAACAAAATGTAGTATATTCACATAACGGAATAACATTCAGTTATCAAAAGGAATGAAGTACTGATACATGCTACAACATGGATGAACCTTGACAAAATTATGCTAAGTGAAAGAAGCCAGGCACAAAACGCCACATATTATATGATCCATTAACACAAAACATCCAGAATAGGCAAACACACACAGACAGAAAGTAGACTGGGAAGCGGACCTGGGAAGTGACTGCTAATGGATACACAGTTTCTTTTGGGGGTGATGAAAGTGTTCCGGAATTAGATAGTTGTGATGGTTGCACCATCTTGTGAATATACTAGAAACCACTGAATTGTACACTTTAAAAGGGTGAGTTGTATGGTATGTGAATTGTATGGCAATAAGTAACTGTATCAGAAGAAAAGGAATATAAGAGAACACCCACATATATTTTCATTTGTGTAACAGAAATAAAGGAAGGGACAAACCAGAAACTAAAGAGACTATGTACCCACAGGGCATGGGCAAGAGGTAGAAACAAAGATGGAGGGATGGAAATGAGATAGTAAAAACAAGGAGAGAGTGACACTTTTCAGTACAACTTTTTTCCTTTTTTTTTTTTAAGACAAAGTTTTGCTCTTGTTGCCCAGGCTGCAGTGCAATGGCGTGATCTTGGCATACCGCAACCTCCGCCTCCCAGGTTCAAGTGATTCTCCTGCCTCAGACTCTTGGGTAGCTGGGATTACAGGCAAGCGCCACCACACCAAGCTAATTTTGTATTTTTAGTAGAGATGGGGTTTCTCCATGTTGGCCAGGCTGGTCTCAAACTCCCAACCTCAGGTGATCCGCCCTCCTCGGCCTCCCAAAGTGCTGGGATTACAGGCATGAGCCACCGCACCCAGCCCAGTACACCTTTTTATACAGTAGTGTTTAGTAGAAGCAGTGTTTAGTAACTATAATGTTTCATATGCCAAAAAATAATAATAATTAAAATCAACTAGGGTTGGAGGGAACCCAAAATGGAACAGTAACAATAACAAATGAACTTAATGCATTAGGGATGAATAAGATTAAACTAAAGGGAGTGGTAAAGAAAATAACTAACCTAAGTAACTTTGGAAAACTATTTTGACTAGATACTATAAGGCTAAAGCAAAAATAACTACATACAAATACACTAATTAGTAAATACATTTTTCACTAGGGTACAGGTTAGCAATCTGTAACCACTTCATGTGTATTCTAGAAGTCAACAAATAAGTGAGTATACTTACTCTATATCATGAAAGCCAGGTTTCTGACAGAGACAGAAGGAACGGGAGAAGGTTAGAATGAACTTTGTGGTACTGGATTAGAATAGGTGTCAATATGAACCCATGGTTTTAAATATATATAGAATACAGGCAGGGTACTGTGGCTCACGCATGGAATCCCAACACTCTGAGAGGCCAAGGTGGGAGAATAACTTGAGCTCAGGAGCTCAAGGCCAACCTGGGCAAAACAGCAGGACCTCGTCTCTACTAAAAATTAAAAAAAAATCAGCGGGGCATGGTGGGTGCACATCTGTAGTCCCAGCTACTTGGGAGGCTGAGGTGGAAGGATGGCTTAAGCCCAGGAGTTCAAGGCTGCAGTAAGCTATGATCACGCCACGGCACTGCAGCCTGGGTGACAGAGTGAGGCCCTGTCTCAAAAAAGAAAGAAACGTCAGTATGTGTGTGTGTGTGTGCACATATATGTTTATATAAATATATATATATATATATATACACACACACACATATATAAATAATATGTGTGCACATATATGTATGTGTGTGTGTGTGTGTGTATATATATATATATATATATATATATATATATAATATACTGATATATTTCCTAGTTCTGCCAACTGAAGTCCTGGGAGCAATAAAACTCCAATAAACATACCGAGTATACAGATTTTGATTTTAAATACTATTCTCCAATAAAAGAAACCAGAGCTCCTTGGAGAAGTAGTCGACTCCAGGACTGGTGCAAGGAAAAATAAGATGAGCATGGAACAGCCTGTGGCCCCAGAATATAAGAAAGTGCTTGAAAAAGGGTAGAGGCCAACCTGAAAGAGCTTCCAATGGCCAAAGCTGGAACAATTTGAACAACAAAATAAATAATGATAGTATTGGATTATAATCCATAGAAAATAGAGATCCCATAAGAACACACTAATATAAACAAATAATTGAATAAATAAGTGAGGGAAAGGGGACATCTCTCCCTTAAAGAATTCCAATTAATAAATGCAGAAGGAATGAGGGAAATACAAAATCATGATTAGCCAAACACCACAGTAATAACTGTTGCAGACAAGATCTACCAATGGATGTTAAAAATCAATGGGAGAAAGTTTGAGGAGAAACTGTACATCCACAGTCTCAAAGTGTCTCCCCCAAGATATGTATGAACAATAAAGGGAAGAATAGTAACTTTACTGTGAAGAATACCGCTAAGGGTTCAAAGTTAAAATACCACTAGCAAAAAGACATGTCAACACCATGTACCCCCAATATGATGCATTGAGAAGGACACAACATCGCTTCTGTAGTTTTCTTGCAAAACATGCTTAACCTCAATCAAATCATGAGAAAAAACATCAGACAAACCCAAAATGAAAGAAGTTCTAAAAAATAACAGTACTCATCAAAAATGTCAAGGTCGTGAAAAACAAAAACTGAGGAACTGTCAGAGATTGGAGGAAATGAAGAAGACACAACAACTAAATGCAACGTGGGAACCTAGATTAGACCCTAGAACAAAAAAAAAGGCATTAATGGGGAAAAACCAGTGAAATTAAGTAAAATCTATAGTCAATAGAGTTACACCAATGCTAACTTCTGGTTTTGATCACTGTATTATGGTTATGTAAGTTGTTAACATTAGGGGGAGCTTGGTGAAGAGTATGTAAGAACTCTGTACTCTCTCTGTAACTTTTCTGTAAGTCTAACATTATTTCTAAATAAATCATTAAAAATAAATAAAATCCATCAACCAATCATCTGATACAACTGTCATATCTTCTTGCTCAAGGATCTCATCTGAAATTTAACAGTCCCATTAATTTAGAGAGCCCGGTAGGCAACATCAGAACAAACTAAAATCATGAAAATCGGATCTGGCATCTAGTAAGTAAACAACTACTTTATGCTCTTTTTCACTTTTTGTAGTTAAAGAAAATGCTAGCAGATGTGACCTTCCTGGCTTTGCAAACTTCTCTGTAAATGATTTGACCAACTTTTTATGTTTTCAACATCATGATAATCTGCAATACATGCTCACAACAATGTATTTCATGTGTATGTTAAGCCAAAGTTGTGTAGACCTTTGTTGTTGTTTGTTTTGTTTTATTTTGCTTTTGAGATAGAGTCTCACTGTGTCTCCCAGGCTGGAGTAGAGTGGTGCAATCACAGCTCACTGCAGCCTCAATCTCCCAGGCTCAATTGATCCTCCCATCTCAGCCTCCCTAATAGCAGGAATTGCAGGTATGCACCACCACGTCCAGCAAATTTTTGTATTTACCATAGAGACAAGGTTTCACCATGTTGCCCAGACTGATCTTAAACTCCTGGGCTCAAGCCATCCTCCCACCTCGGCCTCCCCAAGGGCTGAGATTACAGGCGTGAGCTACTGTAATCTGGCCAAAAGTTCTATTTACAATTTTTAAAAATAGCTTCAACAGATTATAGTAAGTTTGTTACTTGCTATTATATAGTTATCCAACTATAACATTCAAGTTTTGTTTCACAAGTTTCTTTTTATCCTAACACAACCTTCTCACTCTCCAAGCCACGATGTCATCATTATCATCATTTTAAGATCTGAAAATCTGAATTTTAAAAATTTTAAAAGGTCAGCTCCTTCAATATACCCAGCCCCCTTTTTTTTCTATTTCAAATATTAGGGAGTATTCAGTATGACTTTTTTGGGGGAAAACATGCTTGGAACGTTGGAATTGTTATTACTATTTATTATTTGCACCCTCTACTAACCCAATCCAGTCCAATCACCAACACATTCTCCAAAATTTCTTTAAATTGAGATTTTCAAGAGATGTTTATATTAATAAGCAGATTAAGTGACGCATTTACATTTGCTTTCTCTTCCATGCAACATCAGGGTGCCTGCATTGGAAATGGAATACATGACCAGCAAATGAATGGATGTGTCACATGCAAACAGCATGACTGGAAATTTAAGAAGCAAAATGATAAGAACCTTAGGGAACGCAAAATTCATAAAAGTTTAGAATTACAAGAGGCCTTAATAGGCCATTTAATCCATTCCAATAACAACAACCCCAGATGACAATCTATCCTATTTTTAAAAGGCTCCAGATTTCCAACCTCCCTAGATATCTCATTCTGCCATACAACCTTGTCATGTGATTTGGGGGAAATATTATGACTGTTCTTTGCCCTTCCTAATGCTATCTTTTCTCAAATAATATAGCAATACATCTTAACTCACTTCCAAGATATATAAATGTGTATAGGTGCAGAATACGTGTGTGTGTGTGTGTGTCTCTATACATATATACGTACATTTATGCATAAGACAGGCACCTAGGACATTCAATTTTGCTTGTATAAACGCAGGCTATGGAAACACATATATCAAAGAGACATACTCATCCCACACTAATCACAACAGGCACTATGAAACAATGTCACAGAACAATTTTGGTCTAAAAATATCCAGTAGAAATCAATTTCATAAAACCTGAGGTAAATAGGTTTCTTCCCACTATGAATAATCATAGTTTCTTTCCCTTCTACAAATACTGCCCCATTTTGAGCAACCACCACTAACAGAATTGTAAAAATATAATATATACATAGGTACTAGACCCAAACAGACAATGTTTTAACGTTTGATTTTTCAAACCACTTAGCTAACAATCATTTTGGAAAAGGGCCCAGTGAAAAAGATAGTGATGGCAGAGTTCAGCCAGTGATAATGAACTAGCAGCCAGTTTTAATCAAGCAGGCCAGAGAACTGATTCAAATAAAATAAATCATTTTTGGAACAAATATAGAATGAGGAAGTCCCAAGCAAGGATAAAAAAAAATGTGTCTGTTAGGAAATACAATAAAATGTTAACCATGAAATGCCACCTCTGGAGATGGAATTACAAAGATGGGTTAGTTTGTTCAGATTTGTTATTCCCATCATTTAATTATCTCTATATTCTAAGTATTATAGACATTTCTTAAACTAAGACAAATCTGTCCCTGTGTTTCACAGCTCTCTAAGATAACATGTCTTTTACATAACCTCCTGGGAGAGGTGGTACAAGCTCCTGTCCTCCTCGTGTCTCCCAGTAACCTGCCACCCATCACAGAACAGATTTCACCATGTTCCCCGGGGTAGCTCCTGTCATCACCATCATCATCCTCATCTCACGCTTAAGACTAAACAATGCGCCCCGCCTCGCCTCCCGGTTGCAAAGGCTTTATAATTTGTTGTTTTATTGGGGCGGGAGATTTGGAGAAAGGTTTAGCAGATGATGAGCTGCCCTCACCCAAAGGCAGAGGAGAGGAGGAAGACACGTCGTCCCAGCCTCCACCCCGCTAAAGGCGGCCGGCGCCTGGGGACACCGGGGTCGCGGCACTCCCCGGACCCTGAGAGGGAGTCGGCCGCCGCCCGCGGACCGAGCCCCAGCCGGGGCAGAGGAGCTGGTCAGCAGATAAAGGAATGAAGCAGAAAGAGACGCGACCACAGCGGGGCCGGGGCACAGACGTTGTAAGCCGCTGGAGGGGCGGGTCTCTCGGCCCTCTCCGCGGGCGCCTCGGCTTCTACGCTGCTCCGAGGCGCCCGGGCGGCAGGAGGCCTCTAGAGCCGGGGACCCGGGGGATCCGCGGCGCGCCAGGAGGGCTCCCCCAGCTCGCCTGCCGCCCACCCGGGACCCCAGCAGCCCCGCTCGGCTGCAGTCCCGAAACGGCCCCGGCCGGCCCTGCGCGGCCGGCAAAGCACACACGCGCGCGCGCACACACACACACACACACACACACACACACACACACAGGACCAGGAGGACGGTAGATGATGCGTTACCGTACGTGGCTCTGGAGCTGGCGGGGTGGGGCGCGGCTCCGGCGACCCGAGCCCGGCTCCGCAGAGGCTGCGGCGGTCGCGTCCTTTATTTTTGCTGCAGCAGCAGCGACTTGTCAAAGGGAAAGACGTAAGAGGCGGCGGCAGCAGCGGCGGCGTCAGGCGAGTCTCACGAGATTTGGGCGGAACTCTCGCGCAGCCGGGAGCCCTCGCCCCGCCCAACAGGCCCAGCGCGGGAGGTGAAAGGGGAACCGAGAGGAAGGCGGCTGAGGTGGAGTTGGGGGTTGAGCGAAAAGGGGAAAGGGATTTGGGAGCGAGGGGAGCCAAGCTAGGTGCTGGGGACACTTTGCTACCGCGCGGCCCTCACCCTTCAGCCGTCGCGGAATCCGGGCAGCCCCGACCGCCTGCGGGGACCTGACTCCACAGATGAAGCACAATTGGGGGCGTTTCACAAAGGGTGGTGAGGAGTGGGGGGCCATGCAGTGCGCCCCCTTTTCCTCGTGGTGGGCAGGGAAGACCCCGCCGCCAGGCGAAGGGACACGTGTTACGGCCGGCGGCAGGGCCAGGGCCTCACCCCTTTATCTCCGCCTCGCACCCGGCGCCCCACGCTCTTTATCTCTCATCGCAGCGGCCCCGGCCCTCCGGCCGGCTAAGTTCAATCACATAAAAGCGTTTCACTTGACCTACTCTTCCACCTTGTTCATGTCTTTGCGCCTTATGGGACTGCCAGAACCCTGCAGATGCCAGGGCCTGGCTCCTCGGTTTTCTTTTCTGCTTGGGAACACAGTAGTGTCCTTTGGGTGACTTACATCCTTGATCATGACCTCGACCTCCACGTGAAACCCCATGAGGGGAAGGACACAGACTGGCTCAGTCCTCACCATATCTCCAGCGCCTAACATAGGTCCAAGTGGACATTAAATTGTTGAGTGAATACCCCATCTCCATCTTCCTCCTTCTGTACCTGGTTTTACTCCTTTCCAGCCACCTTCATGGTGTCTTTCCTTCCAGATATTCTAACGAGCATCAATTAAACTGACCGATGACTTGGGGACAAAAAATAGAGTTGGCCTCTGCGTTCCAGAAGTTTGCAATCCAATTGGAGGCGTAGGAGAAGCACACAAACATACAAGCCATGAATGTGTCACTAATGTAAGAAATTACGGTATAGACAGACGAGGGAGTGCTTTCCCATGGTTAAATTAGATACATGTTTGTGTGTCACATGAGGCAGTTTAGTCCAAGAGTTAGGAGCCATGTGCTTCACTGTCAGACACTGGTGGGAATTCTGGAATCCCACTTACCCCAGGTGTGTGACCTTGGGCAAGTTGCTTGACCTCTCTGAACCTCAGTTCCTTATGTGTCAATTTATAATGCCAGTTCTTGTTATCACAAGGTTCCTCTGAGGAGTAAAATATATGTAAAGCTCACATACGGCACATATTAAGTACTCATTAAATGATGGGTCTTAGGTGTGTAGCTTTTAAGTTTCTATGTATAAAATGTGTATTTCTGGTAAATGATGTAAGGGAGTAGCTACATGAGGAGTGATGTCATTGTTGCTAGTGCTTTATGATCTGGGTATTGTGTGTGAAGCATACTCAAAAACAACAAGCAAAAGCTCCTCCTTTTAACTTGTTGATGTCATCTACGTCACTCACAAATATGATATTCTGTCTTTCTTGAATTTGTAAAATTGTACTGGTTTTGCCCACTTTTTCTTTTTCTTTTTTTTGAGATGGAGTTTTGCTCTTGTTGCCCAGGCTAGAGTGCAATGGCACCATCTTGGCTCACTGCAACCTCCGCCTCCCAGGTTTAAGCGATTCTCCTGCCTCAGCCTCCCAAGTAGGTGGGATTACAGGTGTGTGCCACCATGCCTGGCTAATTTTTGTATTTTTAGTAGAGATGGGGTTCCACCATATTGGCCAGGCTGGTCTCGAACTCCTGACCTTGTGATCCGACCGCCTTGGCCTCCCAAAGTGCTGGGATTACAGGGGTGAGCCACCGTGCCCAGCCTGGTTTTGCCCATTCTATTTCAAGAAAAGGACTGCTTACTTTAAAGACCAATCAAGAGACTCCCTCTTTTACCATCTCCTTAGCTTCCACCCTCAGAGCTGTGTGTAAAAGAGAATTGAATACAACTGTGTTCAGTTGCATACAATTAGCAAATACTGTTAGTGTCAGCAAGTGAGCCCTGACTACTAGCCACCCTCACCTTGACCACACCACTCTTTCCCAAAACACTGTTTTTTTCTTTCTTTCTTTTTTCTTTTTGAGGTGGAGTCTCACTCTGCTGCTTAGGCTAGAGTGCAGTGGCGTGATCTTGGCTCACTTCAACCTCTGTCTCCCGGGTTCAAGCGATCCTCCTGCCTCAGTCTTCCTAGTAGCTGGGATTACAGGTGTGCTGCACCATGCCCGGCTAATTTTTTTATATTTTAGTAGAGACAGGGTTTCACCATGTTGCCCAGGCTGCTCTCGAACTCCTGACCTCAAATGATCTGCCTGCCTCGGCCTCCCAAAGTGCTGGGATTACAGGCGTGAGCCACCGCACCATGCTTAAAACACTGTTTCATACTCAAATCAGCATATCCTGGAACCTTGTTGTCAGCATTAACCTCCCAACTCTACCAGTTCATTTTATTCAGATTTCCCTAAAGAAAAATGTTGGAGATGGGAAGAGTGGATGGAGGGATCTCAGAGCCACAGCCAAGTCCTAAGCATCACAAGCCCTTGGTCTGATAGCCCTCTGAGCAGCATACCCTGGCCATACCAGTCAGCCACATCTTCCTCCCCTCACGTATGTCACCCCCACTTCATGCCTCATACTTCACAGCACCACACCACAGCTGGGAGGTCCCAGGCAAAGGAACTGGAGAATCAACAGTAGAATATATATTTTTCATCTTTCATCTGCATTTAGGAAATGTGCAACTCCTAGATAAAAATCAGGGCTAAGTTTGAAGTGAAGAAATCCAGCAGAGCAGTAAAGTGTGGAGGCAGAGCAGCAGGGGTAAACAGACACTGGGAGTAAGTTTGTGTTGCCCTTGGCACTTGGCTCAGGAAATATATCACTCTGAAAACAGAAAAGAGCTCCAGAGCAGGAATCCATGGACATGAGTTCTGGTAGCTCCAGAAATTGCAGCCTAGTTGCCCTGCCATTACACAGTCTTTCTGAGCCTAGTCTCACATCTGTAAATAGGGGTAATAATAAAACCCACTGCCTGCCGGAGAGTATCATGGGAGTCAAATAACATAAGAAAGTACTTTGTAACCATATTTGTAGCACTATTTAAATGTGAGGTATGATTATTCATTCATTCATTTAACAGGTCTTTGTGGAATGCCTATCATAAGTCAGGCACTGTGCAAGGCACTAAATATACTATTGAACAAGCTTAAACACCTGCCCTCAAGGAGCTTATGGTCTAATGGGAGGAGAGAGGGAAGAAAATAGATCGATATAATATCACATGAGGAGAGTGCAAGTGATAAAGGTATAGTGGGAGGGAGCAAGCAAACCAGAAGAAGTGCAAAAAGAGCTGAAAGCCTTTTTGGAGGAGGTTTAGAAAACATATATAATGGGCCAGGCACGGTGGCTCACGCCTGTAATCCCAGCAATTTGAGAGGCTGAGGTGGGCAGATTACCTGAGGTCAGGAGTTCAAGACCAGTCTGGCCAACATGGCAAAACCCCGTCTCTATTTAAAAAATACAAAAATTAGCCAGGCTTGGTGGCGGGCACCTGTAATCCCAGCTACTCAGGAGTCTGAGGCAGGGAGAATTGCTTGAACCCAGGAAGCAGAGGTTGCAGTGAGCGGAAATCGCACCACTGAACTCCAGCCTGGGTGACAGAGTGAGATTCTGTCTCAAAAAAAAAAAAGCATCCATAATGAAGATTCATCACATTTCATGAAGAGCGATTCCTAAATCAACTCCAAAATAACTTCAACAAATTGTTCTGTTGTGGGCTGTGAATTCTCCTTGGTTCTAATAAAAATTGTATCTCCTAAACCATTAGAAAAGAGTCTTTGATGTGGAGTCATTATATACACCCTTAGCTTTGAATAAAGATGGAATTAATGGAGAGAAAAATTAGTGGTATCTTAATTAGAAACATTTTGTTCTTACAGCTTGTGTTTAAACACCAGAAAAAGAATTCATTCCACCTCACGTACTTGGTCCCCAATAGTTCCCTTCAGCCACTCTTTTGATCCAGATAATATTGCAGATCAGAGCCTAAGAGGCATTTCCAAAATATGACAACACATACTTTATTTTCATTTATGGTTTATTTATACAGATGGTCCCTGACTTCTCTGATTTTTCAACCTTAATGATGGTGTGAAAGCAATATGCATTCAGTAGAAACTGTACTTCAAATTTTGAATTTTTATCTTTTCCTGGGCAATATGGATATTCTCCTACAGTCTTGGGCAGTGGCAGCAAGCTGCAGCTCCCAGTCAGGCTTGCAATCACCAACACTACAGTGTCCTGTTTTGCCAGATGATTTTGTCCAGCTGTAGGCTAATGTAAGTGTTGTGAGCACTTCAAATTAGGGTGGGCTAAGCTATGATGTTCAATAGGTTAATTGTATTAAATGCATTTTTGACTTTTTTGTTGTTGTTGAGACAGACTTTTGTTGTTGTTGTTGTTGTTGCAGTCACAGTTCACTGAAGCCTCTACCACCCAGGCTCAAGCAATCCTCCCACCCCAGCCTCCCAAATAGCTGGGACTACAGGCACATGCCATCACGCCCAGCTAATTTTTTTTATTTTTTTACTTTTAGTAGAGATGAGGTCTGCTATGTTGTCCAGGATGGTCTTGAATTCTTGGACTCAAGCAATTCTCCCGCCTCAGCCTCCCAAAATGCTGGGATCGCAAGCATGAGCCACCGCACCTGGCCTGACTTGATTTATGACGGGTTTATTGGGATATAACCCCATCGTATGTGGAGGAGCATCTGTACTCTGCTTCTTTACAAAAGGCTTTGAGATAGCTATTAACACTTTATTCATAATCATATTCCCTACAAAGAAACTCCAAGAGAGTGTATCAGTTCATCATTTCTCACAATTATTGAGTTCCTTCCATGTGTAAGACATTATGCTAGAACTATAAGCTGTATGAAGCGTGTCCATGCCCTTTAGGGGTCTGAAAACTATAGATGCAGATATATATCCATGAAAATATAGCTAAATAATAAACAACTCTATCCCTTTATCCTTATAGTCTATTGTATCTCTTTGTATTTCCTATTGGTTGTATGAGCAAAATTATAAAGTTAGGTGCCCAACTTCTGAAACTTGTTCACTCTACACTGCTGCTTTTCCATAGAAGCAGGATATCAAAGAAGGGCAAGATTTTAACTTGATATTTATAGATCTATAATAGGTATTTTAGTAGGTCTTCTTGAATACCTCATCCTTTAAACAGAGCACAACCATGACAATTTTCTCTTGGTACAGGTAAAATTTGAAATTGGCTAAACCTAAAGACTAATTTAAATTAATTCTGGAAGACAAAGACTTGCACAAAAAAAATAGCCTTTGATAAAAGGCAATATGATACAAGGTAAAAGAAAGTACAGAAAAAAAAAAATATTCCCGGAACTCAGAAGAGACTCCTGGAGAGAATTTCATCCAGGTGGTAGAATTTGAGAGGGTAGCTGACAGCTAAATACAAAAAGTTACATATTCTGATAATAAGGTATTCTCAAAACACCAACCTCCAAGCCACAAAAGTTGCCTAGAATTTTTGTTAAAATGTATCTACATATGAAAACACATTCATTGCCTCCTATCTTACTAACAGATAATTGATCTGCCAAAGAGGTTTGAAGGGAAGTAGGGATACTAAAAATAGGATCATAAGATTGGCAGTTGGTTCTTTTGGAAACAGAGTTCTTTCTTGCTAAATGCAAACCTTCTAGGGTTTCTATTTGAAATCCATATCCTAAAATCAAATATTACATACACTAGGACAACCCACTATCTAAACAGTGTTAAAGACTTCCCTTTCTAGCTGTTTCTTAGACCTACAATGCGATAACCATTTTTAGATAAATTATTTTTACAACAGTTAGTGTTGTTTCATCGAAACACAATACCCTGGGGCAGACACAGACGAACATTTTCTCACTCAGCAGCAGGGAATGGAATGTTGATGCTGGAAAAAGAAAATGAAGCTACAGGGGGAAAAGCCTACTATGTAGGGAGAAGGGAAAGAAGAAGGGAACTAACAATTACAGAGTGCTATCCATGCCAGACACTGTGGTAGCACATTGAGAAGAAGATGAACTAGGCACATCTTTGTTCTGGAAAGAAAATAATAAGAAGCTTATATAAATAATTTTACCTTTTTTCCACACTCTGTCAAGCCTCAGGATATATAAATAATCATAACACAAGTTAGAAAGCTGTGAGCACAACAAGAAGTATGTATCCCTTTTTCTCCTTTCAAAAAAGGACTGGGGGGCTTAGACAAGGTATAGTTAAATTATAGCAGGTTGGATCAGGGACAGTTAATGAGAAATGGGTTTTTTTGTTTGTTTGTTTTTGGCTTTTTTTGAGACAGAGTCTCGCTCTGTTACCCAGCCTGGAGTGCAGTGGCACTATCTTGGCTCACTGCAACCTTCGCCTCCGAAGTTCAAGCGATTCTCCTGCCTCAGCCTCCCAAGTAGCTGAGATTATAATGCACCACCAGGCCCGACTAATTTTTTTTTGAATTTTTAGTAGAGACGGGGTTTCACCATGTTGGCCAGCCTGGTCTTGAGCCCCTGACCTCAAATGATCCACTTGTCTCGGCCTCCCAGAGTGCTGGGATTACAGGTGTGCACCCAGCCAGAAATGGGTTCTTAAAGGTTGAGTGGTTAAATTTGGATAGTGGGAATAGGGCACATTCTAGGCACAAGAAACAGGATAAGCAAAAGTGTTCTCAGGATCAGCAGGCAGTCCAGTTTAGTTGTAGCTCTGTGGTGCTTATGTTTTCCAAGACTCTTGGTTGCAAGTGACAGAAACCCAACCTGAACTTGCTTAGGCAAAAGTGAAGAAGAATCGGCTGAAGAGATCCAAAAAAGTGTTTAAATGTCAAGGTAGGATAGGGCAATGAGCCAAGGCTTCAGGAACTTCTGGAGTCAGGAACTCTCTTGCTTCTTTGCTCACCTTGCTGCCTGGGCTTCAATTTATCTTAACACAGACTGGCTTCCTTCATATAGCTGGATATATGGCACCCCTTAGCTTTACGTCTTACCATTTCCACCCCTAGAATGGGAATAACATTCTTAAGTTTGAAAAAAATCCTGTGGGAAGAATGCTAATTGGCCAGGCTTGGATCAGTGCCCATCCTTAGACCAATCCCGGGGGGCCCAAGGGAGGGGCAGAGCATAGTAAAAGAGAAAATGGGTGATGGGGTCTGGAAAGCAGTCTTGTGAGGCTGTGTTCGGAGAATTGATAAGGACTGAAAGATTGCAACTTTACAAGAAGCATATCAACAGGGGAGGAAACATGTTGGCCCAAAATTATGGTAACATTTGCTGCACTACCAAGTTAAAATGAGGTTGAAAATTTTATGGCATTGTTCAAATTATTAATGTTTTGTCATTTCAGTCAAGATATGAAACATAGTGGATCTTTCACACTGGCTTAATGACAATAGGACCTGGAATCCTTCAGTTATCTAGCCAGATGACTTTAGGTGAACATCTTAACCAACCTGAGCCTCAATTTCCTCATTGAAAAATAATACTAATAATTATAGCTAACATCTATTGAATCTTGGTGTTCTAAGCACTTTTCAAATATTTAATCTTCAAAACAAACCTATAAGGCTCTATAAATCTGATACAATAATCCCCATTCACAAGGTTATTATAAAGATTAAAACCCACATAAGGTGCGTGGCCTGGGCTGGGCGTGGTGGTTCACGCCTGTAATCCCAGCACTTTGGAAGGCCAAGGTGGGTGGATCACTTGAGGTCAGGAGTTCAAGACCATCCTGGCCAACATGGTGAAACCCTGTCTCTACTAAAAATACAAAAAGCCAGGCATGGTGGCAGGCCCCTGTAATCCCAGCTACTCAGGAGGCTGAGGCAGGAGAATCGCTTGAACCCAGGAGGTGGAGGTTGCAGTGAGCCGAGATCACACCATTGCACTCCAGCCTGAGCAGCAATGGTGAAACTCTATCTCAAAAAAACAAAACAAAACAAAACAGATGCATAGACCAATTGCCTGGCTTACAGCCAGCCCTGAATACATCATAATTTTTAATGATCTGTTGTCCAAAAAAGGAAACTCTCTGCATTTCCTGATTGCCTTGGGAACCAAAAGCTTTGAAAAAACAAAAACAACAAACGGAAGGAAAAGACTCTAGACTCTGTGACTCCTTATCTCTGACATAGAAGCGGGTAGATAGGGTAGGACTTAATAGGGACTAAAATAAGTCACGAGGAGAGCTACTAAAAAACAAACAGAAAGTAGAAAATTGAGAAGTGTGATAGTAGAATGTCAAGCAAATGAGAGTGGCCAACGTTTTGGTTCTTTTTTCTTGCAGGATAGAACTTTCCAAAAATGCCCATCTGTAAAGCTGAGCCATTTAAAGTTATCATGTCTTTGACCTGAATGCTGTCAAACAACTCAGATTATTCAACCAAGGACAGGAACTAACACTCATTGGCAAAATCCATTATGTTTGGGCTCTGTGCTGAGCCCTTTATACACAGCTGACCCTTGAACAATACAAGGGCTGGGGGACTAACCACACCCTACCCCTGCAGTCAAAAATTAATGTATAACTTTTGATTCCCCCAAAACTTAAGTACTAATATCCTACTGTTGACCAGAAGCCCTACTAATAACATTAAACAGTCTATTAATATGTATTTTATATGTTATGTGTATTATATACTGTATTCTTACAATGAAGCAAGCTAGAGAAAAGAAAACATGATAAAGATAATCATAAGGAGGCTGGGCACAGTGGCTCATACCTGTCATCCCAGCACTTTGTGGGGCTGGGACAGGGGATCACTTGAGGCCAAGAATTCAAGACCAGTCTAGGCAGCATAGCAAGACAATGACTTTACAAAAAAATTTAAAAATTAGCTGAGTGTGGTGGCACACACCTATAGTCCCAGCTACTCGGGAGGCTGAGGCGGGAGGATTGCTTGAGCCCAGGAGTTTGAGGCTGTAGTGAGCTATGATTGCACCACTGCACTCTAGCCTGGGTGACAGAGTCACACTCTGTCTCTAAAAAAAAGAAAGAAAAAATAAATGACTTTCTGCAGGTCACCAGCTAGTAAGTAGCAAGGCTGGGATTCAAACACAGGTCTGTCTCACTTCAAAGCCTAGAATACAAAATAAGTCCTACTTCCTTACCAGAGTGAGATATTCAAGGCATGAGTACTACCAAAATCTGAGAAAACTGATGAAAGAATAGGCCCTTCCTAACCTGTCTTTCTCCTACTCTTTCTCCTGTGTTCATCCCCCTTACACACCACCTCCTGGCTGCCCAGGTCTGGAGACTTTCCCCAAGGACTATCTTCTCATCAAAATGTATCTGTCCTGTTCTACTCTTCACCATAGTGACATTGCATTGTAAAGAATTGATGTGCCCTTCCCTCTAGTTCACACGTTTTTGCATTCTAAGTTGGACTTCCTGGGAGTATTGAACAATATTAAGAAATAATTCAAAAGATGGAAATTTCAGAACCTGGAAAAGGGACATGGATAAAATCAAAGCTGTTTACAGAGAAGTAGGCCTCTGAGAGTTCACCATTTTGTACCATGTAGATCTTCACAAACGTACACACACACACACAGCCAGCTGTGAGTTCCCTGAGAGCTGAACCTGGGGCTGTCTTGTTCAGTGCCTGGAAATCAATAAATATATAATGAATCAATGATATCTGAAATACACAACTGCACTTTATTTTCCCTGGGCCTCAGACTAACCCAGCACATGCGCCAATTGTTCCAGGTGACAGGATTTGTATTCATCTTTAGCAAAACACCGCTTCCTATCCCCTCTCTTAGTGAGCCCTGCTGACCCTCCAAAAAGGTCAGAAAGAACCAAGCCTCAGTGAATGACAATGACCCCCATCATTGGGAAATATGGAATAAAGCTTTCAAGAGCACTGAGAGAATGAAGACGAACAGGTTTGCCTGTGTGTGGTGGTGAATGTGAGTTACTGCAGACAGTTAAAGCGATCACCAAAAACCCAGCAAAACCAGCAGTTCCTTGAGAAACATTCACTAGCCTTGTGAGGATCTACAGATATGTAGATGGACTCTCTTGGTTGCAAAGGGGGAACATTACTGGTTCACATCACTGGAAATTCCATGATATATCCAGCTTCAGAAATGGCTGGATGCCGATAATCAAAGATCATCATGGACTTTATGTCTCATACTATATCTCTAGGCACTGCATTCCTTTGGAATGGCTTCATTCCCTAGCAGCTCTCTCTCTCTCTGCATAGAGAAGGATCATGGCACCTAGCAGCTCTAGGCTTATGTTGTCATTAGAATTCTTTTTTTTGCTGGGCGCAGTGGCTCACGCCTGTAATCCCAGCACTTTGGGAGGCCGAGGCGGGCGGATCACGAGGTTAGGAGATCGAGACCATCTTGGCTAACAAGGTGAAACCCCGTCTCTACTAAAAATACGAAAAATTAGCCAGGCGTGGTGGCAGGCGCCTGTAGTCCCAGGTACTTGGGAGGCTGAGGCAGGAGAATGGCATGAACCTGGGAGGCAGAGCTTGCAGTGAGCCGAGATCACGCCACTGCACTCCAGCCTGGGCGACAGAGCGAGACTCTGTCTCAAAAAAAAAAAAAAAAAGAATTCTTGGAACCAACCCAAATGTCCAACAATGATAGACTGGATTAAGAAAATGTGTCACATATACACCATGGAATACTATGCAGCCATAAAAAATGATGAGTTCACGTCCTTTGTAGGGACATGGATGAAGCTGGAAACCATCATTCTCAGCAAACTATCCCAAGGACAAAAAACCAAACACCGCATTTTCTCACTCGTAGGTGGGAATTGAACAATGAGAACACTTGGACACAGGAAGGGGAACATCACACACCAGGGCCTGTTGTGGGGTGAGGGGAGGGGGGACGGATAGCATTAGGAGATATACCGAATGTAAATGACGAGTTAATGGGTGCAGCACACCAACATGGCACATGTATACATATGTAACAAACCTGCACGTTGTACACACGTACCCTAGAACTTAAAGTATAATAAAAATATTTTTAAAAAAACTATAAAATAAAACACAATTTCAAAAAAAAAAAAAAACAAGCTGGGCACAGTGACTCATACCTGTAATCCCAGGACTTCAGGAGGTGGAGGTGGGAGGATTGCTTCAGCCCAGGAGTTCAAGACCACCCTGGGCAACATAGTGAGACCCTGTCTCTACAAAAAATAAAATATTAGCTAGACATGGTGGCATGTGCCTCCAGTGACAGCTACTTGGGAGGCTGAGGTGGAAGGATCACTTGAGCCCAGTAGGTCGAGCTGCAGTGGGCCATGATCATGCCACTGCACTCCAGCCTGGAAGACAGATCAAGCCCCTGTATCAAAAAATTAATTAACTAATTTTTTAAAAGCCCACCCAAAACAGGACCGTGGTAGCCCATGCCTATAATCCCAGCACTTTGGGAGGCCGAGGTGGGCAGATTGCCTGAAGTCAGGAGTTCGAGACCAGCCTGGCCAACATGGTGAAACCTTGTCTCTACTAAATTACCAATTTACTGTATTAGTCTGTTTTCACGCTGCTGATAAATACAAAAATTAGCCAGATGCGGTGGTGGGTGCCTGTAATCTCAGCTACTCGGGAGGCTGAGGCAGGAGAATCGCTTGAACCCAGGAGGCAGAGGTTGCAGTGAGCCAAGTTCACAGCACTGCACTCCAGCCTGCACAACAGAGTGAGACTCCGTCTCAAAAATAAATAAATGAACAAACCCGCCCAAAACAAATGCATAGCTCATCTAAAGTGAAGATTCTTGTCACCACCAGGTCAAGAAATAGAATATCTTGCAACCTACCCCAGAAGTTCCATCCATGAGCCCCTTCCCAATTGCAACCCTCCTCATATCCTGATTTTTGTATTAATCACCCAAATGTGCATTATTAAACTAGGGTTTAGTCTTTCCCATTCCTCTCCAAGCTAATATGTCCCTAAGCTTTTTTCAACCCATATCTTCCCGTCTAATATGGTTTCCCCTCTAATTGGTTCTGTGTCCCCACCCAAATATCACCTTGAATTATACTCCCATAATTCCCACTTGTTATGGGAGGGACCTGGTGGGAGATAATTTGAATTGTGGGGGTGGTTTCCCCCATAGTGTTCTCATGGTAGTGAATAAGTCTCATGAGATCTGATGGTTCTATAAGGAGTTTTTGTTTTTGCATCTTCCTCATTTTCTCTTGCCACTGCCATGTAAGAAGTGCCTTTAACCTCTCACCATGATTCTGAGGCCTCTGCAGCCATGTGGAACTGAAAGTCCAATTAAACCTCTTTTTCTTCCCAGGCTTGGGTATGTCTTTATCAGCCATGTGAAAGCAGACTAATACAGTAAGTTGGTATGAGTATAGTGGGGTGTTGCTGAAAAGATACCCAAAAATGTGGAAGTAACTTTGAAACTGGGTATCAGGCAGAGGGTAGAACAGTTTGGAGGGCTCGGAAGAAGACAGGAAAATGTGGGAAAGTTTGGAATCTCCTAGAGACTTGTTGAGTGGCTTTGACAAAAATGCTGATAGTGATATGAACAATCAGGTCCAGGCTGAGGTGGTCTCAGATGGAGATGAGAAACTTTTTGGGAACTGGAGCAAAGGTAACTCTCTTTACGTTTTTAGCAAAAAGACGGGCAGCATTTTGCCCCTGCCCTAGAGATTTGTGGAACTTTGAACTTGAGAGAGATGATTTAGGGTATCTGGTAGAAGAAATTTCTAAGCAGCAAAACATTCAAGAGGTGACTTGGGTGCTGTTAAAGGCATTCCATCTTATAAGGAAAACAGAATAAAAGTTCAGAAAATTTGCAGCCTGATGACGCAGTAGAAAAGAAAAACCCATTTTTTGAAGAGAAATTCAAGCTGGCTACAGAAATTTGCATAAGTAACAAGGAGCCGAATGTTAATCCCCAAGATAATGGGGAAATGTCTCCATGGCATCTTCACGGCAGCCCCTCCCATCACAGACTCAGAAGCCTAAGAGGAAAAAATGGTTTTGTGTGCCAGCCCCAAGATCTCCATGCTGTGTGCAGCCAAGGGACTTGGTGCCCTGAGTCCCAGCCACTCTAGCTATTGCTAAAAGGGGGCAGGATACAGCTCGGCCCATGGTTTCAGAGGGTGCAAGCCCCAAACCTTGGCAGCTTCAACATGATGTTGAGTCTGTGAGTGCCTAGAAGTCAAGAATTGAGGTTTGGAAACCTCCACCTAGATTTCAGAAGATGTATGGAAATGCCTGGATGCCCAGGTAGAGGTTTGCTGCAGGGGCGGGGCCCTCATGGAGAACCTCTGATAGGGCAGTGCACAAGGGAAGTGTGGGGTCGGAGCCCCCACACAGAGTCCCTACTGGGGCACTGCCTAGTGGAGCTGTAAGAAGAGGGCCAACATCCTTCAGACCCCAGAATGGTAGATCCACTGACAGCTTGCACCGTGTGCCTGGGAAAGCCGCAGACACTCAACACCAGCCTGTGAAAGCAGCCAGGAGGGGAGCTATACCCTGCAAAGTCACAGGGGTGGAGCTGCCCAAGACTATGGGAATCTACCTCTTGCATCAGTGTAACCTGGATGTGAGACATGGAGTCAAAGGAGATCACTTTGGAGCTTTAGAATTTGACTGCCCTGCTGGATTTTGGACTTGCATGGGCCCTGTAACCCCTTTGTTTTGGCTAATTTCTCCATTTGGAATGGCTGTGTTTACCCAATACCTGTACCCTCATTGTATCTAGGAAGTAACTAGCTTGCTTTTGATTTTACAGGCTCATAGGCAGAAGGGACTTGCCTTGTCTCAGATGGACTTGGGAATGTGGACTTTTTGGTTAATGCTGAAATGAGTTAAGACTTTAGGGGACTGTTGGGAAGGTATGATTGGTTTTGAAATGTGAAGACATGAAATTTGGAGGGGCCAGGGGTGGAATGATATGGTTTGGCTCTGTGTCCCCACCCAAATCTCATCTTGAATTGTACTCCCATGATTCCCACATGTTGTGGGAGGGAACCTGTGGGAGATAATTTGAATCATGGGGGCGGTTTCCCCCATACAGTTCTCATGGTAGTGAATAAGTCTCATGAGATCTGATGCTTTTATCAGGGGTTTCCGCTTTTGCATCTTTCTCATTCTCACTTGCTGCCACCATGTAAGCGTGTCTTTTGGCCGGGTGCGGTGGCTCACACCTGTAATCCCAGCACTTTGGGAGGCTGAGGCAGGCGGATCACAAAGTCAGGAGTTCCAGACCAGCCTGGCCAACATGGTGAAACCACGTCTCTGCAAAAATACAAAAATTAGCTGGGTGTGGTGGCACATGCCTGTAGTTCCAGCTACTCAGGAGGCTGAGGCAGGAGAATCACTTGAACCTGGGAGGTGGAGGTCGCAGTGAGCCAAGTTCGTGTCACTGCACTCCAGCCTGATGAAGAGCAAGACTCTGTCTAAAAAAAAAAAAAAAGTGTCTTTTCCTTCCTGCCATGATTCTGAGGCTTCCCCAGCCATGTGGAACTGTAAGTCCAATTAAACCTCTTTTTCTTCCTAGTCTCGGGTATGTCTTTATCAGCAGCATGAAAACAGACTAACACACCCTCTATCCCTTTTCTTTACCCAGTCTGTTAAAGAATCCTTTTGACCTGCACAGCTTCCCATGGTCTAGATTTTGCTGATTGCATATTCTTGGTGCAGTTCAACCAGTTTTTCTGTCACCCATATTTCCTGCCATCTACAGCTGTATCCAAGGACTGGATTAAACTCAGGTTTGGTCCTTTGATAACAGAGTAAGAGATATTAGGTAAGTCCATAGCAAACACACATGCCTGGTTATCTCCCTTTTTATGATGATAACATCCATGTTAACATGTTATAGTGCCTAATGCCCATATCTATTAATTCACTGAGGGTTGTTAAATGATGATATTCTCATTCAAGGGTTGGCAAACCATGGCCTGCAGGCCAAATCTGTCAAACTTCCCCTGTTTCTATAAGTAAAATGTTGTGGTCAGGAAGCAACAGTCAGGCATGGAAAGCCAAGATCTAAGGTCTAGTCTCTGGAAACACCAGGCTGCTGGTCCCCTCTGAGGTCATGCCATCTCCCTGGGATTAGTCAGGTTAGAGTACAGGACCCCAAAGTCACAGAATCTACAGACTTCTATCTCCTCTTGTCTCAAGGACTCTCTCTTTACTTTCATGGCTTGAGCCTACCCTATCTTAGAACATCTAACCTCTCCCCCTTCCCCCATCATAATCCCCTCAAAGAGCTCCAACTTTTAGAAACCTAACCCAGGAGAGCAAGCCACCTTAGGTGACCTCTTCTCTCAGCCCTACAGGTCAAACTTCCTCTGAGGCAGGAAACTTAAAAGCTTGCATACCTTTTCAGAAAACAAGGGGGAAACCCCAAGAATAACTAACTAAATAAATGGCTGTTATCCTTTCTAATTCTTTTTTTTTTTTCTTTTGAGACTGAGTCTTGCTCTGTCACCCAGGCTGGAGTGCAGTGTCGTGATCTTGATTCACTGTAACCTCCGCCTCCCGGGTTCAAGTGATTCCCATGCCTCAGCCTCCCCAGTAGCTGGGATTACAGGTGCACACCACCACACCCGGCTAATTTTTGTATTTTTAGTAAAGACGAGGCTTCACCATGTTGGCCAGGCTGGTCTCGAACTCCTGACCTCAAGTGATCTGCCTGCCTCAGCCTCCCAAAGTGCTGGGATTACAGGCATGAGCCACTGTGCCCGGCCTTTTCTAATTCTTCCACAACAGCAAAGCAAAACACAACATCTCAGTTTCCTGCCACATCTTATTGGCTATCAAATACAGAAAAAAAGGTTATTCTTGAGGGCTTTATCTTTATGAAGGCCACTTTTCTTGCACATGAAAGAAATATCATTTAAATTAGCTGAAGGAAAAACAGGACATCTATTAAAAGGACCAAAAAGGCAGGGCGCAGCGGTTCTCACCTGTAATCCCATGACTTTGGCAGGCTGACGTGGGAGGACTGCTTGAGTCCAGGAGTTCAAGACTAGGCTGGGCAATGTGGTGAGATCCTGTGTTTACTAAAAATTTAAAAATTAGCTGGGTGTGGTGGTACACGCCCGGGAGGCTGGAGTGGGAAGATTGCTTGAGCCCAGGAGGTCAAGGCTGCAGTGAGCTATGATTGTGTCATTACCTTCCAGCCTGAGCAACAGAAATTCTGTCTCAAAAAAAAATAAAATAAAATAAGGACCCAAGGACAGGACTGGAATAGCTGCTCTGAGCACTCTGGGACCTTATGGGATCCCAGCCTCTACTCTTCTGTTTTGCATGCGCTCTATTCTCCTTTCTCTGCAAAACATTTCTTCTCGTTTCTCTTTTCCCCTGGCAGAAAATAGCCATCCTGTAGCTCTCAATTCTGTCTTTCAGTTCAAGAGACAGTGGATATTCACTAGTATTTCTCAAGGCCAAAATTTCCAGATGGATAAATCTGATTGTTTCACCCCCAGAGGTTGCAGATATCCCTTGCCCTCAAGTCCTGTTGGCCAGAACTTATTCACGTGGCTATGTCTAGCTGTAAGGGAGGCTGGGTTTCATGGCCTCTAACGGGATGATCATAGGCTCTGTGGCTCTTCCTAAAAGGAAGAAAGGTAAAATGGCTACTGGAGACAGCTGCCTCTGCCACACTCCATATCAAATGCTTAGTTGTTTAAGACAAAGAATATGGCATCCCCTAGAGATAAGGCCAAAGACAAATGATAGCCTCAACCCATGCTGGGAGCTGTAAGCTATAAAGAGAGAGGAACTGACACCAACAAGAAACAGACCTGATACCTTCTTTTTGTAGGTGAAATTCACAAAAATGGGATTCCCAAGTCAAAGATCATGTGTATTTTAAATTTTAATTCATATAGCCAGATTATTTTCCCACAAGGTTGTAGTAATTTCCATTTCTATCACCTGGCATCTGTTTTACTTGGTGCAGTTCAACGAGTTTTTCTGTCCCCCATATTTCCTACAATCTGCAGCTATATCCAAGGACTGGATTAAACTCAAGTTTGGTCCTTTGACAACAGAATGAGATAGAGCCCTCCAGAATAACCTTTTTTTTTTCTGTATTTGATAGCCAGTAAGATGTGGCATCTGTTTTCTCAGTCTTACGAGCATTGTATGTTATCTATCAGTCTTTCAAGTTTTACCAATCTGAAAGATGAAAAAGGTATACATTACCTAACTACAAGTCAGTTTGCAGGATAAACATGTTTCCTGTTTGTTGCTTTACTCATGGCCTCAGGACACACCAATCTATATGTCTTCAACCCACCTCAGTTTGCAAAGCCTGACAGCACAATTCCACCTTTGCTTCGGCAGCTGCACCACTCTCTGTGCATTAATAAAGCCCTTCTGGAAAACAATTTGCCAAAATAAATCATTGTTCTCACCTTTAGTTCAGTGACCCCTCTTCTGGAAATCTATCTGACAGAAATAATCTAACTTATAGAGAAAACTATATGCACAAAGATGTTCATTACAGCATTATTTATAACAGAAGAATTTTAAAAGCAATCTAAGTAGCCAACAATATTACACAAGGGTTAGTCAAGCTATGGTATGATGTAATCCTAAATCCATTAAAATGGTAATTATGAAGACTATGGAGTAATATGCAAATTAATCATGATATAAAATATGGATAGATTAGGTATGCATATGTTAATTAATTTGATTTAGCCATATCAAAATGTATATATATTTCAAAACATCATGTTGTGCCTCAACATATCTATGACAAACCCACAGCCAACATCATGAATAGACAAAAGCTAGAAGCACCCCTTTTGAAAACAGAAACAAGGCCAGGTGCTGTGGCTCATGCCTGTAATCCCAGCACTTTGGGAGGCTGAGGCGGCCAGATCACTTAAGGCCAGGGGTTTGAGACTAGCCTGGCCAACATGGCAAAACCCCGTCCCTACTACTAACAATTAGTCAGGTGTGTTCACACATGCCCGTAATCCTAGCTACTCGGGAGGCTGAGACATTAGAATCTCTTGCATCCTGGAGGCAGAGGTTGCAGTGAGCCTACCATACCCCAGCCTGGGCAATAAAGCAAGACTCTGTCTCATTAAAAAAAAAAAAAAAAAAAAAAAAATGGCCGGGCACTGTGGCTCACGCCTGTAATCTCAGCACTTTGGGAGGCTGAGGAGGGCAGATCATCTGAGGTCAGGAGTTCGAGACCAACCTAACCAACGTGGTGAAACCCCGTCTCTACTAAAAATACAAAATTACCAGGGCATGGTGGCACATGCCTGTAATCCCAGTTACTCAGGAGGCTGAGGTAGGATAATCACTTGAACCTGGGAGGTGGAGGTTGCAGTGAGCCGAGATTGCGCCATTGCACTCCAGCCTGGGTGACAAGAGAGAAACTCCATCTCAAAAAATAAAAAAATAAAAATAAATTAAAAAATAAAAACAAGAACAAGACAAGGATGCCCAATATCATCACTCCTATTCAAAATAATACTGGAAGTCCTAGTCAGAGCAATCAGGCAAAAAAGAAATAAATGGCATCCAAATAAAAAAGAAGACAAATGACCTCTCTTTGCTGACGTCATACTGTACCTAGAAAACCTTAAAGACTCTGCCAAAAGGCTCCTAGATCTGATAAACAACTTCAGTAAAGTTACAGGATACAAAATTGATGTACAAAAATCTTATCATTTTTATACGTCAATAACATTCATGCTGAGAGCCACATCAAGAATGCAATGCCATTTACAAGAGCATTAAAAACAAAAAGTACCTAGGAATACATCTAACCAAGGAGGTGAAAGATCTCTACAAGGAGAACTACAAAACAGTTCTGAAAGAAATCAAAGATGACACAAACAAATGGAAAAACATTCCATACTCATGGACCGGAAGAGTTAATATCATTAAAATGGCCATACTGCCTAAAGCAATCTACAAATTCAACGTTATTCCTATCAAACTACCAATGTCATTTTTCACAGAATTAGGAAAAACTCTTCTAAAATTCATATGGAACCAAAAAAAGAGCCTGAATAGCCAAAGCAATCCTAAGCAAAAAGAACAAAGCCAAAGGCATCACATTACCTAACTTCAAACTATAAACTACAATAATCAAAACAGCATGATACTGGTAGAAAAACAGACACATAGGCCAAACAGAATAGAGAACCCAGAAATAAAGCCATACACTGACAGCATCTGATCTTTGACAAAGTTGACAAAAATAAGCAATGGGAAAGGGATTCCCTATTTGATAAATGATGCTGTGATAACTGGCTAGCCATATGCAGAAAAATAAAGCTGGATCCCTGCGTTTCACTGTATACAAAAATTAAATGAAGACGGATTAAATATTTAAATGTAAGATCTCAAACTATAAAAGTCCTAGAAGAAAACCTAGGAAATGCCATTCTGGACATCAGCCTGGGCAAATAATTTATGGCTAAGTCCTTAAAAGCAATAGCAACAAAAACAAAAACTGACAAAATATTTGCAAAAATAGAGAAAATATTTGCAAATTATGCATCCAACAAAGGACTAATATCCAGATTGTTCTACAGAAAATATACATGCACTCATATGTTCATTGCAGCACAATTCACAATAGCAGAGATATGGAATCAGCCTAGGTGCCCACCAACAGTGGACTGGACAAAGAAAATGTGCCAGCAGGTGCAGTGGTTCATGCCTGTACTCTAGGCTTTGGGGAGGTTGAGGTGGGAGGATTGCTTGAGCTCAGGAGTCCAAGACCAGCCTGGGCAAGGTGATGAGACACTGTCTCTAAAAAAAAAAAAAAAAAAATTAATTAGCCAGGTGTGGTGGCACACACCTGTAGTCCCAGCTACTTGAGAGGCCAAGGCCAAAGAACCCCTTGAGCCCAGGAGTTTGAGACTGCAGTGAGCTGTAATCAGGCCACAACAGTCCAACCTGGGTAACACAGCAAGACCCTGTCTCCAAAAAGGAAAGAAAATGTGGTACATATACACCATGGAATACTACACAGCCATAAAAAGAATGAAATCATGTCCTTTGCAGCAACGTGGATGAGGCTGGAGGCCATTATCCTAAAGTAATTAATGCAGGAACAGAAAACCAAATATCACATGTTCTCACTTATAAGTGGGAGCTAAACATTGGGTACATACAGACATAAAAATGGGAACATAGACACTGGGGCTACTAGAGGGGGGAAAAGGGGGAGGAATGAGGACTGAAAAACTGCCTGTTGGGTACTATGCTGGCTACCTGGGTGATGAGATCATTCATATGCCTAATCTCAGCATCATGCAATATACCCATGTAACAAATCTGCACATGTACCCTGTGAATCTAAAATAAAAGTTGTGGGCCGGGCACGGTGGCTTATGCCTGTAATCCCAGCACTTTAGGAGGCCAAGGTGGGCGGATCACTTGAGGTTAGGAGTTCGAGACCAGTCTGGCCAACATGGCAAAATCCCATCTCTGCTAAAAATACAAAAATTAGCTGGGCGTGGTGGCGTGCACCTGTAATCCCAGCTACTTGGGAGGCGGAGGTTGCAATGAGCCAAGATTGCGCCACTGCACTCCAGCCTGGGTGACAGAGCAAGACTCCGTCTCAAAAAATAAAATAAAATAGTTGAAATTATTTTTACAAAATTGTGTTTGTAAATACATATGACTTTTGTTCAATTAAAACATAATAAATGTTAAATAAAATAAAAATGGATTGAGGATAGCTTCTGCTTTTGCATGCCTTTAAGGAATTGCCCTCTTTCTGGCTGTGTGGCACTATTCCTCCTAGTCCCTGACTGCAGGAGTGGGTATGTGACACAGGCCTGGAGAATCACGATACCCTGTCATAACAAACTTAATGGCTTAAAACAACAAACATTTTTTATCTTACATTTCTGGGAAGTCAGAAGTTTGAAATAGGTCTATATGGACTAAAGTCAAGGTGTTGGCTGAGCTGTGTTCCTTCTGGAGGATCTAGGGGACACTGTTTCCTTTTCAGTTTCTAAAAGTTGCCTCCATTTCTTGGCTCATAGCCTGTTCCTCCATCTTCAAAGCCAGGAGCACAGCATTTTCAAACCGCTCTCTCACCCTGACTCTAACCTGCCTTTTATAAGGACCTTTGTGATTCTGCTCAGCCCACTGGAGAATCCAGAATACTCTCCCCATCTGAAAATCCTTAACTTAATCATATCTGCAAAGCCCTCTTTGCCATGCAAGGTAACATATTCACAGGGGCCAGGGATTAAGACAAGGCGGTCTTTCAAAGGTCATCATTCTGCCTCCCACACAAGTTATATAACTACAAAATTTAAGACTTGGAACATGTACAAAAACGTTACTCGCAATTTCTCCATCACCCTAAACACAATCACTAATGATATCTTTCTTGAGTCTTTCCAATCTTTTTTCTGTTTACAGTTGTTCACACAGTTACAATTATACCATTTTGTATTTAACTTTTTCACTTGATAAATACCACCCACCATTTCCTATGCCTTTATGATACTCATTAGCAATGGCTGCATAATATGCCACTGAGTGGATATGTTGTCACTTATTTAACCAACTCCATGTTGTTAGACCTTTAGGTTGACATGTAGGTTTCCATCTTTTCACTCTTATACATAACGAGCCAATGAACAAATATATGCATACAGCTCTTTCTAAATATGTGGATTATTTCTTTAGAATAGATTATCAGAGGTGGGATTACCAAGCCTAAAGAAATAAACAGTTTGATGTGAACAGCCAAATTACATCCCCAAAGATTGCAGTGATTTCACTCCCACCTGTGATAAAGGAGAATGCCTAATTCACTACCCCCCATCAGTTGTTGTCACTCCAGGGGAGTGAATTCAAAGCCCTTGCCAAATGTCTTTTGACTCATTCTCTATATCCTGTATGTACTCAGGCATCTTGTCCCAAGTTATGACATTTACGGTAAACCTGAAGTGTCATGATTTCTCAGGTATGTTTTCATCACTCAGAACTGAATTAGCCAGTCAACTAAGTCAACATTTCATCCAAAGATATGTAAAGTTAGAAACCAACTTTCCAGCAGTGATTTTGATTTATTAATTTATTTTTTTAATTTTGAGACAGAGTCTCACTCTGTCGCCCAGGCTGGAGTATAGTGGCATGATCTCAGCTCACTGCAACATCCACCTCCTGGGTTCAAGCGATTCTTCTTCCTCAGCCTCCCCAGGTAGCTGGGATTACAGATGCGAACCACCAGGCCTAGCCATTTTTGTGTTTTTTAGTAGAGATGGGGTTTCACCATGTTGGCCAGGCTGGTCTCGAACTCCTGACTTTGTGATCCGCCCACCTTGGCCTCCCAAAGTGCTGGGATTACAGGTGTGAACCATCACACCTGGCCTCTTTTATTTCTTTTAATTTTATTTATTTATTTATTTATTTTTTGAGACAGTTTTGCTCTTGTTGCTCAGGCTGGAGTGCAATGGTGCAATCTCAGCTCCCTGCAACCTCCGCCTCCCGGGTTCAAGTGATTCTCCTGTCTCAGCCTCCTGAGTAGCTGAAATTACAGGTGCCTGCCACTACATCTGGCTAATTTTTGTATTTTTAGTAGAGATGGGGTTTCACCATGTCGGCCAGGCTGGTTTTGAACTCCTGACCTCAGGTGATCTGCCTGCCTTGGCCTCCCAAAATGCTGGGATTACAGGCATGAGCCACTGTGCCTGGCCTCTTTTATGGTTTCGTATAATAAACAGCACCAATCCCTGCCACAACAGCTGTGGAGCACACCTGGAACATGTCAACATGTCTTCCTTGTTTGTAGAACTGTGCCCAGCTGAACCCACCTGGTGGATCCTTAAGCTGCTCACCCTCCTGAACTCTGAAAGGGAAAGGGTCCTAACTTCCCAGACCTTGCCAAGCATGCAGCCTCAGGCCACTATGACAACACAGAGAGGTAAAGCCACATTAGCATCTAGACTTGTGGCTGCCTCTGGTCCTAAGTTAAAGCTATGCTCTGAAAATGGTAACATCACGATAGCGCTAACAGCAATGACCCACATCTACTGAGTAATGGTTAAAGTACAGGCATTGTGCTCGGTATGATTATATGGATCATCTCATTTCTCCTTACAAGAACTCTAGAAGGTATCTGCTATAAAACCATTTTAAAATGAGGAAATTGAGCCTCAGAAAAGTTAAGGAATTTGCCCAAGGCCACACAGCTAACAAGTAGCAAAACCAGGATGTGAGGCCAGATGCTATCTGACTCCAGAGGAGAATTCTTAACAACATATTAGGTGGTGTTGCTGCTAAAAATATCTGCAGCATATTGTCTTAGTGTGTTACTCATCAAAACCCAGAGTCTTAGGGAAAAGCAACCTGGTGCCTTTCTGTACATTCAAAGAAAAGCAGCAGGGTAGGCCCCTAAACAACAGTGAGGCCTTGGAAAAGAAACACAGAAATAATGAAGAGGCGTTTGTATCTTGTCCACACATTCTTTTGCTGTCTGATTCGCCTTCTCAACTGGGAAATACAATGAGGACATGTATGTGTAACTGGGTTCAGGATCCTGGTTTGTCTCTAAGATCAAAAGGTCAGCACCTTGAATTCTGGGCTATGTCATGTGTCTGCATTTCCACAGCATCCCATAATTCCAGGCCTGGCCTAAGGGCACTGGGCCAGACGGAAGCACAGATGGAAGGCCTTGGTTGGTGATCCTGAGCCAGGGTCTCTTAGCCAGGAGGCTGCACCCCAGACACAGACACTCCAGCAGAAATGTTGAGTGGGTGGATGCAGATGTTAACCTCCTCAGCCTCAAGAGCCCTCAGACCAGGCTTCAGACTCAAAATTCAATCCCAACTAGCAGTGTGAAGTTGTGACCTCCAGACTTTGACCCCTTCTAAGCACATCCTCCCTTATTGTTGCTGCCGTCTCTATTCATCCTTTTTGTGACATCGCCCCTGCTCTTCAGGCATAGATTTGTTTTGTTTAGAGACAGGGTCTCCCTCTGTCGCCCAGGCTGGAGTGCAGTGGCACAATCATAGCTCACAGCAACCTCAAACTCCTGGGCTCAAGCAATCCTCCCACCTCAGCTTCTCAAGTAGCTAGGACTACAGATATGTGCTACTATGCCTGACTAATTTTTTCATTTTTATTTTTTTGTAGAGATGGGGTCTTGCTGTGTTGCCTAGGTGGGTCTCCAATTCTTGTGCTCAAGCGATCCTCCTGCCTCAGCCTCCCAAAGTTCTGAGATTACAGGAGTGATTCACTGTGTCTGGCCCCAGGCATAGATATTGTTGTGGTAAATAGCAATAGTAATATTAGCAATAGCTGCAGCAGTAATAGTAGCAGTAGCAGCAGCAACTGCAGTAGTATTGGTAGTAACAGTAGTAGCAATGATGGAGATGGTGGTAGGAGTAATAATAGCTACCACTACTATTTACTGAGACTTTCCTGTGTTCTAGGACCTATGCTGAGTGCTTTAACTGCATTATTTTATTTCATCTTCACAACCACCTTGGGCAAGGTGGCCGTAACACTCCCATTTTACAGATGAGACAATGAAGCTCTGAGCTATCACGCAACCTAGCAGAGCTTGGATTTGAATCAGGTCTGTTTGCCTGCAAGACCCATGCTTTTAACTACCATGTTTGCTTCCTTCCTATGGAAAATGTTTTTTGTTTGTTTTTTTGAGACAGAGTCTTGCTCTGTTGCCCAGGCTGGAGTGCAGTGGTACAATCTTGACTCACCGCAACCTCTGCCTCATGGGTTCAGGTGATTCTCGTGCCTCAGCCTCCTGAGTAGCTGGGACTACAGATGCCTGCCACCATGCCCGGTTGATTTTGTATTTTTAGTAGAGATGGGGTTTCACCATGTTGGCCAGGCTGGTCTTGAACTCCTGACCTCAAGTGACCCACCCTCCTGGGCCTCCCAGAGTGCTGAGATTACACGTGTGAGCCACCATGCCTGGCCTTTTTATTTGGTCAGCTACCAGGCTGTTGTGTTGGTTGTCATGGGAATGGATCGTAAGTCCTCTATATTAGTTTCCTGTTTTGAAAATGAATTATGACGAATGTAGTAGCTTAAAACAATACAAGTTTATTATCTTGCAGTTCTGGAGGTCAGAAGCCTGAAAAAAAAATGGGTCTTATGGGGCTAAAAGCAAGGTGTTAGCAGGGCTGCATTCTTTCTGGAGGCCCTAGGGGAGATCCATTCCCTTGCCTTTTCCAGCTTCTGATGTCATCTGCATTCTTTGGCTCATGGCTGCTTCCTCCATTTTTACAAAGAACATCACTCCAACCCCTGCTTCTGTCTTCTTCTCTGCCCTGCCTTTCTTTTATAAGGACTCTAGTGATTGCATTGGGCTCACCTGGCTAATCTGGGATCATCTCCCCATCCCATGATTTCTAATTTAATCACATCTGCAAGACCTCTTTTTGCCATGTAAATTAACATAGGTTCAGGAATTAAGATGTGGACATCTTTGAGGGGCTGTTATTCGATCTACTATACTCACCAAGTGCCAGTTTCCTCAACCAAAAGCCAGGCTATGAGTTGGCCATGGGAGTGAGAAGTGAGACAGGAGGGAAGGCCTACTGAGTGGCACATGCCTACCCTGCCCTCAGATGCTCTCTCACTGGGGTTATGAAACTTGCAGACATGGGGTTGGTCTGCAGAAGGATGTGTCAAGAATAGAGGGCCAGGCTGGGCATGGTAGCTCATGCCTGTAATCTCAACACTTTGGGAGGCTGAGGCGGGCAGATCACTTGAGGTCAGGAGTTCGAGACCAGCCTGGCCAACATGGTGAAACCCTGTCTCTACTAAAAATACCAAAAGAACTAGCCAGGTGTCATGGTGCATGCCTGTAATCCCAGCTACTCAGGAGGCTGAGGCAGGAGAATCACTTGAACCCAGGAAGTAGAGGTTGCAGTGAGCTAAGATGGCCCCACTGCACTCTAGCCTGGGCGACACCAGTGATACGTCTCAAAAAAAAAAAAAAAAAAAAGAAAAGAAAAAGAAAAAAGAAAGAATAGAGGGCCAGAATGAAAGGAGCTAGTTGTTCACCCACAGAATTCAGAGTTGGGCAAAGTTAGAAGCAATGGAGAAGGCATTTAGCAGGCTTTTGTAGGCCACTGTAGGCTTTCCTCACTGCAAGATTTTTGACAGACTGCTAGAATACCTTCTGGAGCAGAAAGCTCACTTCTTCACAAGAGAGCCAAGGCCATTGCTGGCAGCTGTGTTAAAAACTTCTTCCTTAGTTGAAGTCTACTTCCTCAGAAATGCACCCATTGGTCCTATCTCTACAGAGGCTGAACAGCTGCTCCCCCACCCACTGCCTTCCGGAGGTGAGGCTTTCAAGTGTAATGAAATCTTTGAAAGGTGCTTGTACTAAATCAAAGACACCAGCTGCACCCAGGGTGTACCAGCTGCCATCATCCACTGCCACAGGAACAGTGGATCTTCTAGGTGCTTTCAGAGTCCATGAACCAGTGACAATACTAGTCTGGTGCCTGCCACAAACAAACAGGCTCTTTAAAGCAGTGCCCTGGATCAAAGAGCAGAACCAGATCATCCTTGGAAGAAAAGGGCCGAGCAGATTTGGAAACGCGGCCAGATGCCCCAGACTCCTCTCCTTATAGCAGCTGTCAGAATTACAAGAAAGTATCTGTTGATGTCCCTGGTCCCTGTGCCCTGAAAACCTTCCTCCTCACTCTCTGGCCTAGGAGTAGAAATGGTTTCCTGCTGCTGCTGATCTGAGTTGTGTCATACTCTCCAGTGCTTTCTTGATTCTTCCATTGCTTGTGTGATGTCTATTAACATCTTTCTGTTTTAAATACTCAAAGTAGTATTCGTTTTCAGACTAGACATTACTCATGTAGGCTATGTTACCTGTATTACATTACCTATATATGTTACCTTCAGCTGTCATGCTTCAAGCACCCCCTTGCTGTTCTACAAGTGCTAAATTTCCTCCTTTAGACTAGCTATTCATTTTCCCATTTAACAGCCTTGGTAACTGATTTAGAAAAAATCTCTCTCTCTCTTTTTTTTAAAGAATCTCTGAAAAGGAAGATACAGGTCTGTGTGATCCACAAAGATCAAGAGTAGGGTCCAGGCCAGGTGCAGTGGCTTATGCCTGTGAACCCAGCACTCTGGGAGGCTGAGACAGGTGGATCACCTGGGGTCAAGAGTTTGAGACCAGCCTGGCCAACATGGTAAAACCCTGTCTCTACTAAAAATACAAAAATTAGTGGCTTGTGCCTATAGTCCCAGCTGCTTGGGAGGCTGAGGCAGGAGAATTGCTTGAACCTGGGAGGCAGAGGTTGCAGTGAGCCAAGATTGCACCACTGCACTCCAGCCTGGGCACAGAGTGAGACTGTCTCAAAGAAAAACAAAAAGTGGGGTCCAGTACCCCTCAATTCAACAAATATTCACTTGGTTCCCAGCATTCATTCATTCATTCGACAAATATCTATTGAGCACTGCTATTTTTCAAGCACTGTTGTAATTGGAGGGATACAGCAGTGAACAAGACAAAGTCTTTGCCTTAATGGAGTTTATATTTAAGTGGGAAGAGACGGACAATGAACAAATAACAAATAAATCTACAGTATATCAGACTGTGATAAGAGCTACAGAGAAAATACAAAGCTGGGTAAAGGAGTGAAGAGTGCCCAGATAGACATTGCTGGGATCGCTTGAGGTCAAGAGTTCAAGACCAGCCTGGGCAACATGGTTAAACCCAGTCTCTACTAAAAATACAAAAATTAACTGGGCATGGTGGTATGTGCCTGTAGTCCCAGCTACTTGGGAGGCTGAGGCATGAGAATCGCTTGAACCTGGGAGGCAGAGATTGCAGGGAGCCGAGATTGGGCCACTGCGCTCTAGCCTGGGTGGCAGAGCAAGACCCTATCTCAAAAAAAAAAAAAAAAAGTGAGTATAAACAAATGGGGAGGTTTGTGGACTGAACTCTGAACATTCCTGTGTTCAGAGGTTAGGAAATTATGGAAGAACCAGGAGAGGGGACTGAAGAGACAGGGTGTGTGTATGTGTGTGTGTGTGTATGTGTGTGTGTAGCAAGGAGAGAGGAGAGACTGTGAATGATCCTTGGGTAACTGCAGTCCATGTCTGTCTGTATGTCTTGTACCTCTGAGTTTGTGTAGCAGAGGACAGCCACATGGACTTTGAGTCTGCAAGCAAAGTTCCAGGCATGCAGTGAAAGTTCAGTGACCTCCCCAAAAAGGGTCCATAAACTCAGTTCATGGGTCTCTCCAAGAAGCCCCTACAACTTGAGTTCAATGCAGTCCTCAAGAATGTCCTGTTGGACCTGAGTTTATCAGCCTCCCCAGACAGCCTCACAGTTAGAGTCAGTACATTTCCTAAGAACCCCCTGCCTGAATTCAGTGAGCCCCTGCAGCCTAAATTTCGCACATTTCCCAGAAAGGTCCCACAGCCTCAGTTCAGTCACTTCGCTAGGGTGTCCTTAGAATCTGAGTTCTGAGCACTTCTCAAAGGTTCCTGCAGCCCGAGTTCAAAGCATTTTGACCTCCCTGCAGGCTGATTCCCTCTATGTCCTACCCCCAGGAAACCCCTGTGCCTCTAGTCCCCATCACTCCAGGCTCACCCTCAGGCTCTAAGTTACCAAGGCCCAAGGCCAGGAAGGCATGTGAAGCCAGGAGTCTTTTACTTCAGGGAAGAAAGGACACTAGGTCTCTCTCTCTCTCTCTCTCTGTCTCTCTCTCCTGCTTACTCTGACAAAGGCCTCTGCCCCTTGCTGGCAGCCTAGTGTCCCCATCTGCCAAGCCCCTAGGAGACCCTCAGTGGTGGCCACAGGTAGATCAGGGTGCAGACTCAGGATGGTGAGAAAGAAGGATCCCAGGAGAGAAGGGGGCTGAGTCTCCCTGGCAGCTCTGTCTTTCTCCCATTTTTCTCTTTCTCTCACCTCTGCTGGTAGCAACACCCAGGTCATGCACCCTGAATGGACTCTACAGTGAATGGGAGGAGCAAAGGGAAAGGGAAGGCATAGAAGGCCAAGGGAGTCCTAAGCTAGGCCAGCATCTTGGCAAGGAGCTGGCAGAGCTCCCCAATGTTAGAGAGCTCAACACCACTCCCCTTGGGAGAATCTCTGATGTTAGAGGGCTCTTCGATACCCCCCAACCCTCAGGAAAAAATGTTTGGGGCTGGGCGTGCCAAGGGCTCTGGTCCTCAGTCTGCTGCAGAGAGTAGAAAAACATTTATTCAAAACTATTCTCTAACCCCCTCAATGCCAAAAAAGTTTATCCTGATATCAACAGGGACTCTTTGCAGGGTTTTAAGCAGGTGAGGGGAACGTCATGCTGGGGTTGTAGAAAGCATCCGCCAGCTGGTGCCCCAGGGAATGGGAGAGCAAAAGCAGAAAGACCAGTGAGGACTTTGTTGCACTCGTCCTAGCAAGAGATGAGGGGGACTTAGGCTAGGGGAGCAGCAACGTTGTTGGAGGATGTAGAAGTATGTGAGAGAATGTTTTCATTTTATTCTTTTTATAAGATGGGTCTCGCTATGTTCTATAGGCTGGCCTTGAACTCCTGGGATTAAGTAATCCTCTTGCCTCAGCCTCTGGAGTAGCTGGGACTACAAGTATGCATCACCATGCCAGGAAAGAGAATGTTTAAAGGGCAAAATGGACAGGTCTTGGAGATGGTTTTGGTATGTGGGAGAAGGCAAGAATTCATTCAATGCCAGGTGTGGTTGCTCATGCCTGTAATCCCAGCACATTGGGAGGCTGAGGTGGGAGGATCAGTTGAGGCCGGGAGTTCAAGACCAGCCTGGGCAACATAGTGAGACGCCATCTCTATTTAAAAAAAAAAAAAGATTTTCATTCAACAAATACTTATTAGGCACCTCCTAAGCCAGTTCCACGTGCTTGGAATATAGGCTTTAAACAAGTAAGAAAAAAATCCCTGCCCCGTGAGTTCACATTCCAGAGAGTGACTCCCAGGTTTCTGCTTCTTATGACTGGGTAGATGATGGTGTGTGTCACTGAGATAGGGACATGGAAAGAGAAGCTGGTTTGGAAGGGGAGGGGTGCTGAGGTCCATTAGACATGGTTCGCTTGAGGTGCCTGTGGGATGACCAGGGAGGCTGGCCAGGCAGGACTTGTGGCTGGAGCTCAGATGAGAGGTCTGGCCTGGCAGGAGGTAGAAATTTGGTAGTGGCCACACATGGATGGTTCTGAATTTAAGGGAGATGGGAGACTGACCAGGCAAGCAAGTGCAGTCCAAAGACAGACCAGACTCTGAGGAAACAGATGGTGGCCTAGCTTAGGGCTCCCTTGGCCTTCTATGCCCTCCCTTTAGGGAAGGGAGGAGTGAGGGAAGCAGAGGGGTGATGAGAATTGGGAGAACCAGGAGAGTGGGGTGCCATTGAGCCACTAGGAAAGCCAGTACAGCCCCGAGAGAGGGATCCATTAGATTTGCTCACCAGGCCACTCAGTGACGCCGATGGGGGCAGGTAGTATCAAAGGAATGATGGGATTGGATCTCAGTGGACTGAGGAATAACAAGGAATGAGGAATCAGAGAGAGTTGTGGGTCCTTCTTTCAAAAAGTTTGGCCAGGAGGAGGAGGAGGAGGTAGCCCATCTGTGCCCTCTAGGGAGAACAGGTGTCAGGGCACAAAGGAGAGTACATGTCACTGTGGTTCAAAGTCGACTTAGGAGGGTCAGTGAGGAGCCATGAGGGGCCAAAGCATGCTGTGCGGTTTCCCCTGGCTCCTTTAGGCAACAACAAGCCCGCCTTCCAGCTACTCTGGATGGTTGATCTGCCAGGAGCCTCTCCACCTCATAGAAGGTAACCTGGCCTGCTGGGAAGCACCCAGCCTTCAGCTTGACTTTGAGTTTGCAACTCTACTTGGCTGCTTCCTCGTTGAGTAGCTATAGGTAAATTCATTAACTTAGCCTCCGTTTTCTCATCTATAAAATGGCATCTTCACAGGGATTAAATAAAAGAACATTGTGAATATAATCAACTTAACTATGGACTTAAAAATGGTTACAATGGGCCGGGCACAGTGGCTCACGCCTGTAATCCCAGCACTTTGGGAGGCCTAGGCGGGTGGATCATGAGGTCAGGAGATCGAGACCATCCTGGCTAACATGTGAAACCCCGTCTCTACTAAAAAATACAAAAAAAATTAGCCGGGGGTGATGGTAGGCGCCTGTAGTCCCAGCTACTTGGGAGGCTGAGGCAGGAGAATGGCGTGAACCCGGGAGGCGGAGCTTGCAGTGAGCTGAGTTCGCGCCACTGCACTCCAGCCTGGGTGACAGAGCGAGACTCCATCTCAAAAAAAAAAAAAAAGGTTACAATGACAAATTTTATGTTATATATATTTTCTCACAATGTTAAGATTAATAAATTAATGTGCCAAAAGCCATTGAATTGTACACTTTTTTGTTTTTTTTGAGACGGAGTCTCAAAAGTCCAGCCCAGGCTGGAGTGTAGTGGCGCGATCTCGGCTCACTGCAGCCTCCACCTCCCAGGTTCCTCCACCTCCCAGATTCTCCTGCCTCAGCCTCCAAGGTAGCTGGGATTACAGGCCCTCGCCATCATGCCTGGCTATTTTTTTTTGTATATATATTTTTTAATAGAGACGGGCTCCACCACGTTAGACAGGCTGGTCTCAAACTCCTGACCTCAAATGATCCGCCCACCTTGGCCTCCCAATTTGCTGGGATTACAGGCATGAGCAACTGTGCCTGGCTGAATCGTACACCTTAAATGGGTATATTGTATGGTATGTGAATTATAGCTCAGTAAATCTGTTAAAAAACATGAATGGGCATATTAATTTGCTTATTTAATTATTTCCTATAAAGTGTTGTTTATAGGAATCGTGCCAACTTACTGCCCAAGTTAAGTTTTATTTGTTGGTATATATTAACACATATACACACAGTTTACAATTTAATTTTCACCCTAAGTGGTGTACAGTCATTAAAGGGGCCCAGACCTCTGGGCTGCTCCAGGTTAAGAACCTTGCCCATGTCTCCTAGACCCTGAGTCTGATCTTCATCTCAGAAGTTGTCAAACTCCACCTGCAAAGCTCACTCTGGGGTAACCAAGCTCTGGAGAACCCAGGCCTCTGATGCAGACGCTTGAGAGGCTGATAAACAGGAAGGCCAATGGCTCCTTTTACCGATGGGGACACACTGAGCAGTCCTGGGTAAGGGCCCTCCCCATCACTGCGTGCCCAGCAGAAAGGAGGAACACAGGGTGCTCAGTGTTCTTCAGCACCCTCTTCCTAGCTATAACAACCATGGTTTTCACTGGCTGGTTCAACTTTATTGTGGGATAGAAGTCAATGATCAGAGCAGATATAAATAAAGAGCATTAGAAAATAATGAATCAGGAACATTTTTTTTTTTTTAAGATTCCAGTTCTACAAACCTGTTAGGAAAAACATCAGCCCCTACCACTCCCGTTTCCCACTTTCCAGGGAAACCACGTTCAGCTCTTACAGTGTCTTAAAAAAAAAAAAAATCTACTCCTTCCTGCTATTTTTCAGATTGGAAAACAGTTTGTAGAAGTCCTGGATGAGGGTCTCAATTTTGACAATTGCTCTAAGAGAACCTGTAAAGCAATATGAAATCTTGTAGAGCAATAGTAATTAGCTGTGGTAGAGGGTAGTTATAATAATGTAACTATTGCATCCTAACCCCTCTACCACAGCTAATTATTTCATGTTGCTGTACAGATTGCAAATGACTCTCCTCTACAGTATATCTTTTTTTTTTTTTTTTTTTTTTTTTGGTTTTGTTTTTGTTTGAGATGGAGTCTCGCTCTGTCTCCCATGCTGGAATGCAGTGGCGCGATCTCAGCTCACTGCAACCTCCGCCTCACGGGTTCACGCCATTCTCCCGCCTCAGCCTCCTGAGTACAGGCACCCGCCACCATGCCGGGCTAATTTTTTTTTCCTTTTTTTTTTTTTTTGTATTTTTAGTAGAGACGGGGTTTCACCGTGTTAGCCAGGATTGTCTCAATCTCCTGACCTCGTGATCTGCCCGCCTCAGCTTCCCACAGTGTTGGGATTACAGGCGTGAGCCACCGCGCCTGGCCTATATCTTTCTTTTTTTAAAAAAGGTAATTTTTATTGTGTTAAAATATACATAATATAAAATTTATCTTTTTTACTTTTTATTTTTTCTTTGAAACAGGGTCTCACTCTGTCACCCAGGCTGGAGTGCAGTGGCACAATCATAGCTCACTTCAGCCTTGAACTCCTGGATTCAAGCGGTCTTCCTGCCTTAGCCTCCAGAGTAGTTGGGCATTTTAACAATTTTTGACTGTACAATTCTTTGGCATTAAGTATATTCATGTTGTGTAGGCATCACCACCATCCATCTTAAAACTTTTTCACCACCTTAAACTGAAACTCTGTACCCATTAAACAATAACTCCCCATTGCTTCCTCCTCCAGCTCCTGATAATGACTACTCTACTTTCTTTCTCTATGAGTTTGACTCCTCTACGAACCTCATCTACCTGGAATCATACATTTGTCCTCCTTTTGTGTCTGGCTTCTTTCACTTAACATAGTGTTTTCAAGGATCATCATGTTGAAGCATGTATCAGAATTACATTCCTTCTTCAGGCTAAATGGTATTCCGTTGTGTATGTATCATACTTTGCTTATCCATTCATCCATTAATGGATGCTTGGGTTGTTTCCACTGTTTGGCTCTTGTGAATAACGCTGCTATGAACATGAGGGTAAAAATATCTGTTGAAGTCCCTGCTTTCAATTCATTCATTCATTCATTGAGACAGGATCTTACTTTATCAGTCAGGCTGGAGTGCGTGGTGTGATCACAGCTCACTGCAGCCTCAACCTTCCAGGCTCAAGCCATCCTCCCACGTCAGCCCCCTTAGTAGCCAGGACCACAGGTGCATGCCACCATGCCCAGCTAATTTAATTTTTTTTTTGTAGAGAAGGGGGGGTCTCACTATGTTGCCCAGGCTGGTCTTGAACTCCTGCCTCAAGCAGTCCTCCCTCTTTAGCCTCCCAAAGTTCTAGGATTGCAAGTGTGAGCCACTGAGCCCAGCCTCAATTTTTTGTATACCTAGAAGTGGAATTGCTGGATCTTCTAGTAATTTTATGTTTAATTTTTTGAGGGACCTACTTTGTCTTTCTGACAACAGTTTTATGACCAAGGTGAGGCAGATACTAAGACAACTGTTCTCATAAACCAGACAGGACACTTGGTGGCTGGCCCAGGGTCTCAAAGCTTGTTGGAAAGTAGAGCTGGGACTTGAGCCTGGCTCTTCTGGCTTTAAGTCCACCTTCTTTCTCGCTACCATGCTGTCCTCCCTATTATATTGGCCTTCTTAAGCCTATAGTCCCCAACCAGAGGTCTCAGATAGATGTTCCCATTCCTCCAGAGCATGTAGAGGAAGCTACATTTATGCAGCCACCCCCCTTTGTTTGCAATCATCATTAGCATCTATCAATGGCACATGCCTGGTCTATTATAGGTCTTGAATTAGAGCCCACCTCACCTCCGGTTAGACTAACTCATTGGATGAAGAAGTCTCATTGACACATTGGGAAAAAGGGTGTGCCTTTGCAATGATTCATGTCTATCTTATATGAATGCTTAATCCCTCAGGGGCTGTTCTTTGATCCAAATTTTGTTCCCCCTCTATTCTGGACCAACTGCTCCACACATAACTCATGGCATTGAAATAACAATTTTAAAGTAGCTGCCACATTTCAGGAATGGAGGGCTTTGCACATGTTAGCTCATTTACTCCCCTCACCCTGAGAAACAGAAAGCATCTTTCTGTTTTGCAGATAAAGAAACATAGGCCAGAGAGATCAAGCCACTTGCCTGAGAGATGGCCCAAGATTTTCTGGGTGCCAACATCAGTGCCTCTATTTCTCCACCTCACAACACCTCCTTCCCAAGGATATCTCCCACTATGTAAGACTTTGTAATCTAAAGCTTATGCTCTTAACGGGAACAGAGGGTTTTTTGAGTTGATGGGTTTTTTTTCTTTTTTCCTGTCTGGAGTTCAGACTTGACTTCTAATTGGTAGGGTTTTGTCCTCACTTCTTTGGACCCTCTCCTACAAGACCCTCTCCTACAAGACCACCCACCAGTCTGGGTCCTAATTGTTTGTGACTCTTTTTCAGGGTGGGAGCAGGGTGGTTATGGAATGACCATGGGTCCCGGCATGTAATAAGTGGCCATGACCTCTAGGTCTCTGGGCTAACACCAAGTGTCCCTGTTTAGCCAGTTCTCATTGAGATGTATTGAATGAATAAATAAGCTCATGAAAAAAAAATCAACCTAGACGATATTCTTCTCATCAAGAATAATAATACAAAATCAACCTAGACAATATTCTTCTCATCAAGAATAAAAATAAAATAAACCTAGACAATATTCTTCTCATCAAACAAAAACAAACAAACAAACAAAAAACTCATAATTATCCCCAGTGTTCTCTGCTTCAAAATAATGTGGAGGTACTCAGGAGGCTGAGGTGGGAGGATTCCCTCAGGCCAGGAGTTTGAGACCAGCCTGGGCAACACAGCAAGACCCCATCTTTAAAAAATTTTTTTTTAATTATCCAGGTGTGGTGGTATGTGCCTATAGTCCCAGCTACTTGAGAGGCTGGTGTGGGAGGGTGATTTGAACCCAGGAGTTTGAGGCTGCAGTGAGGTATAATCTCACCACTGCACTCCAGCCTGGATGACAGAGCAAGACCTTGTCTCTAAAACACACACACACACACACACACAAACACACATAATAGTGAGGAGGACTTGAATGCTATGAGAAGTGGGGAGCTTAGGAGGAGAGAGGAGGCCAATTTGCTATGATGAAAAGTTCAGTGCCCTAAGTTGAAATCCTAATTCCAGTCGCTTACTGTGTGGCCCTGGGCACATCACTTAACCTCTCTGAGTCATATTTTTCTCATTTTTGAAAAGGGGATAATAATTCTTGCCTCGCTGAGATGGTTGTGAGGATTAAATAAAATGAGGGGTGTGAAGGTGAGAGCACAGTCTCCAGCACACAGGAGAAATGAGGAAGCAGAGAGAATACTGGATGGATGAATGACCTAGCAAACAGTACAATATAGAATCTGTTTAAAGAAGTGAGCTTAAAAAATCCTCATGTGATGTATGTTATCTTTTGGGGCTATAAATGGCATTAGGCAATGAGGTATGTCAACGAACAATTATGACTCACCGTGGAAATACCAAGTCTTTAAAACCCAAGAACCAATTACCAAATCCAGCATCAAAGACACACTGAAGCACTTAAAAAAAAAAAAAAGTCCCATAGTCTAGGATGTGACAAAATTGCTATGTGTGGGATAGAGCCCTTGATTGCTAAGAAGATTCTGAACATTCACAGTGGAAAATTTTTCTCTTCCATAGGATCAAGTGAGAATCCTATATTCTATATGTGGATTAGGACCAATTAGGATGTCAGGGTCTAAATGATTTTGGTGATCTTGGCCCTAAGGATTGCAGGCAAAACCCAAAAGCCACAGTCTCTGAGCTCCTCCACTAAGGGTGTGCCCAACCCCCTCCTGCTCCCCCTCCGAAGCACTGGAGCTCCTCGCTGCCGGTGCCAACCTCCTCTTCCAGGAAGGAGCTCCCCACTCTCCCATGCCCTACTCTGGAGCTCTGGGTCTGATGTGTGCCTGGGCCTCCATGCTCCTGGCCTGAGGTGCTGTCCAGATGCTGAGAGTTGGGAGACTTTGCTGTCTCCAGGAATATTAATAGCATGGGAGCTGTCCAGCCTAGGGAGCCAGCACTGAGAACAGGAGCTGGGCAGGGAGGGCCTCGGAGCTCAGAGCCCAGGACCCAGAGCTTCTGAGCCAAGCTAGGATAGCCAGGAGGGGCCCTGGAGGCCATGCCTAAATGAACAAAGGAGGAAACTGAGGCCCAGGGAGGACAAAGCTTGGCTCAGGGACAGAGAGCCCATCTGCAGCAGAGAGACTCAGGCCTTCTGACCCTAAGTCCAGTGCTTCTCTCGTGTCCTCACATTGTGGGCTTCCCCCAGCAACATACAGTATTATATGCTCACCAATGAGGTATGCATCTGCTGACACATACCTACCACTGACCATGACACTCACTGATACAGCCCCCTCACAAGGTGCTTTTATCATCTCATTTAATTCTTACCACTACCCTGTGATTAGCTATGGTAGTACCGTCATCATCATCGTATTTTCCAGCTACAGAAACTGAGGCACAGAGAGGTGGGGTGCCAGACCTGGGGACTGGAGTCAGTTGTGAGAGCAGTGCGCCAGGGAAGGTTGCCTAGAAGAGGGGACATCTGAGCTGGATAGAGAAGCAGGTGTTCACTAGGAGGGTAAAGGAAGGGAAAGACATTGTAGGGAGAGGGACCAGCAGGAACAAAGCCTAGATTTATGAGGTTGGGGAGAGAGAGACAGAGGCAGAGAGAGAAGAGCACTGCAGGAGCATGAGGCATGCAGAGGATGATAGAGGGTACGGTGGAGACAGTGGGCAGGGTGGGGCTGGGGACTGTCTTACACAGCCATCCCTAAAGGCTCTCTCTGAGGGAACATGTGCATTAGTCCCGGGGCAGCAGACCCTCTGGACCCCAGCCTGAAAAATTTTGGAGCAGAGCTTCCCTAAGTGTTTTCCCTGACGGTGTTCCCAAGGGGTGTGGCTTAACCTTCCAACTACGCAGTAACCTCTCCTAAGTAAGAATAGTATCTGGCCAGACGCAGTGACTCATGTCTGTAATCCCAGCACTTTGGGAGGCTGAGGCAGGCAGATCACTTGAGACCAGGAGTTCAAGACCAGCCTGGCCAACATGGCGAAACCCCCTCTCTACTAAAAATACAAAAATTAGCTGGGTGTGGTGGTGCACTTCTGTAAGCCCAGCTACTCGGGAGGCCGAGGCATGAGAATTGCTTGAACCCAGGAGGTGGAAGTTGCAGTGAGCTGATATCACGCCACTGTACTCCAGCATGGGTGACAGAAAGAGACTATCTCTCAAAAAAAAAAAAAAAAAGTGATATCTCTCCTTCTGGGGTCTCCCTCCTCCATCCCAGCCTAGCTGTGGGCTGAAGCCCCATGTCATCAGGATAAAGGCTCAAGGCCTGGCTACCAAAACACAAAAACACAAGCACTCAGGCCCTGGCCTTTAGGGCCACTTACTTGCCTCCTATGTGTCTGGCTGGGGAGAGGGAAGAAGGATGACTGAAGGACAGGCTGGGGAGAGGAGTCATATCGCTGTGCCAAACTTGCCTCAAGATGGGGTACAAGAAGACAAGGAAGGGAATTTATGTTCATTGAACATTTATTAGGCAGTTGATTCCATTCTAAACACTTTTTTTTTTTTTTTTTTGAGACAGAGTCTCTGTCACCCAGGCTGGAGTGCAGTGGCGCAATCTCGGCTCACTGTAAGCTCCACCTCCAGGGTTCATGCTATTCTCCTGCCTCAGCCTCCTGAGTAGCTGGGACTACAGGCACCCGCCACCACGCCCGGCTATTTTTTTTTGTATTTTTAGTAGAGACAGAGTTTCACCGTGTTAGCCAGGATGGTCTCAATCTCCTGACCTTGTGATCCAGCCACCTCAGCCTCCCAAAGTGCTGGGATTACAGGCATGAGCCACCACACCCTGGCTGTAAACACTTTAATTTAAATATGCTATTTTATTTAATCCTCTCAAAAACCTTCACTTTATAATTGAGGAAACCAAAACTCAGAGAGGTAAGATAAGTCACCTGAGGTGTTTCCCCTGAGGCCATACTTCCCACTAGTATCCGCCTATGGGGATACTAAGGCCGACCTGGAAGTTGAGATTGACAGCACTGCTCTGAAGGAAATCTTTAGCTCAAGGACCCCCTTAATCCACTGGCCTTGTTGACCTTTCTTAGAACTGCACTGCCGTGTAAGATACTTTGATGTAACCTTCCTTCCTTCCCTCTCTCCATCACATGGGTCAGACCTGCATTGACGTCTGACGCCTCTCTCAGCCTTGCCAGCTCCCTCTCCAGTTTTGCACACTTACCGAATAATCTCCTGCAGTCTAACCCTGTCTTGATGTCTGCTACTTGGAAGACCTGGGCTAACACAGCCATACAGCTAGTGGTAGCTGGCTGGGCTTAGACTGACCTATATAATCCTTCTTCTGCACCATGTGCCACCTGCCATGAAATGGAAATGTCGGGGACTAATGTGAGCTGCTGCCTGGTTTTCTTTAAACAGCACAGGACAGAACTCCTTAGCCCTCCTCCCTCCCACAGCTTCCTTGCTTCCTTCCAGATGGAGTGACTGGCTGCCTCTGGAATCTCAGGGATCTCTTTGTGCCTGCCTGGCTGCTTCTCACTTTTCCCTGGGACTCAAGTGGGGAAGAAAGTCTACGTAGGTTTATTTATATCTTGAAATGAATCTTCCAGCCTGTTTTACACCTACCTCTCAGTTTCAGGTTATTTTTGTTTTGTTTTGTTTAGACAGAGTCTCACTCTGTTGCCCAGGCTGGAATGCAGTGGCGCGATCTCCACTCACTGCAACCTCCGCCTCCTGGGTTCAAGCGATTCTCTTGCCTCAGCCTCCTGAGTAGCTGGGATTACAGGCACACACCACTACACCTGGTTAATTTTTGTATTTTTAGTAGAGACAGGGTTTCACCATGTTGGCCAGGCTGGTCTTGAACTGACCTCATGTGATCCACCCACCTTGGCCTCCCAAAGTGCTGGGATTACAGGCGTGAGCCACCATACCTGGCCTTCAGTTTCGGTTTTTATTTTGCCTCAGGTCTGAACAATTCCCTCCACAATGACAATGTTCCAAGCTTCCTGAGTGCTGCACAGACTTTGTGACCTGAAAATAAATGAAATAGAAAGTAATCCTACAGATGGTACAGACACCCCCAACTAGGAGGAAGAGCAAGCTTCCTGAAAAGCTGTATAAAGAGCTCTTTCCACAAATTATATTAAGCTTTATAGTTAAGGGGTAGAGGGCTCCCTATCTCAAAGAACCCTGAATCTATGGCTTATTCCCTTTTTTCCCCCAGACCCAGACTATACAGAGTGGTACTGGATAAATATTTATAATGTGAAAAAATGATTATCTTTAATGGAGTCATTTTACAAGTTCAGATTTTCTCATGACCATTTTCTGGAAAGCAGAAAATCTGAAATTGTAACACGGTTAATAATATGAATATTATTAATCATCTAAGTAATAAAATAATGATATAAAATTCTTCCTGCTTTCAGAAATATATAAAGAGGCCACTGAGCCCATATCTCGAATCTATGAATTCTAAATAGTCCTGGCTGCAGTCTCAAGGCTCCAGGCTGAAGAAATGAACATGAATTTGTTTTGTTTTGTTTTGTTTTGAGTCGGAGGCTCACTCTGTCACCCGGGCTGGAGTGCAGTGGTGCAATTTCGGCTCACTGCAACCTCTGCCTCCTGGGTTCAAGCGATTCTCCTGCCTCAGCCTCCCTAGCAGGTGGGATTACGGGTGCGCGCCACCATGCCTGGCTAATTTTTTATATTTTTAGTAGAGATTGGGTTTCTCCATGTTAGTCAGGCTGGTCTCGAACTCCTGACCTCAGGTGATCTGCCCGCCTTGGCCTCCCAAAGTGCTGGGATTACAGGCATGAGTCACCACGCCCAGCCGAACATGAGTGTTTTTAAGGACTCCTGAGAGAAGAGGAGAGAACACCTGGACTAAAAATGCACTGCACTTGCATATCCTGAGGCCAATCTTCATGGTTTTTATGCTCTTATCCACCTAGAGCATCACAAACACCTTTCTGCAGGGTGGCCCATTCTGACATTAGCCAGATTATGTCAGCCCTGGATTGCTCAGGCAAATTATGACTGCCAAGGAATCTAGCCATGGCCTAGAAGAAAGGGGTCATAGCGACTGGCTGTTACAGGAATGCTGACAAACCAGAAAGGAGAAGACACCAGGCCCAAATGATGAATGCTCAGAATTCTATCCGAGGGTTCCAAAACACAACTGCCCCCAGGCCTGGGCCATGCTACTCTAGTCCCTATTTTTCTTTTCTTTTTTTTTTTTTTTGAGACGGTGTCTTACTCTGTTGTCCAGGCTGGAGTGCAGTGGTGCAAACATGGCTCACTGTAGCCTTAGCCTCCTGAGCTCAGGTGATCCTCCCAGCTGAACCTCCTAGTAGTTGGGATTATAGGCACATACCACCACACCCAGCTAATTTGTGTAGTTTTTGTAGAAATGGGGTCTCGCCGTGTTGCCCAGGCTGGTCTCAAACTCCTGGGCTCAAGCGATCTGCCCGCCTCAGCCTCCCAAAGCGCTGGGATTACAGGAGTGAGCCACTGTGGTCCGCCCCTGTTTTTCTTTTCTATCTAAATCCTATCCAGTCCTTAAAGCCCAGTTCAATTTTCACCTCCTCCATGAAGCCTTCTGTGGCTACTCCATTGCATGATGACCTCTAGGCTGTCTCTAGCTTCCTGGGACGCTGTTCTGTACAACATGGCACTTACAGTTGTAAGTCCTGCCTTTTATAGCTAATGGTCTGCATTTGTGTAACATTTGCATTCACAACTTGATTGCAAGTCTCTAGAGAGCAATAGTTTTGTTTTCTTCTCAGTTCCAGGAACACAGTAAATCAACACTTGTTGGTTTGGATATGCAGTAAGCACTCAATAAATGACTGTTGATCTGGCATCCAATAGATGCTCAATAAATGCCTATTGGTTTGGTTTACAGAAAGTGCTCAATAAACGCCTACTAGCTTGGTATACAATAGGAGTTCGGTAAGTGACTGGCTTGATCTACTAGGGTTTTTTTTGAGTCTCCTCTTTGTTGAGGACTGGCTAAGCCGATTGGGCACCAGACCCAGTGGGAAGCTGGTTGGAAGATAGCTAGGACAGGAGAGCTCCCCACAGCAGGCCAAAGTGGAGAGCGAACAGTAGGGAGAACCCAAGCCAAATTCTTGAGAGGGACTAAGAGTCAAGGTCTGGAGAGCCCAGACCTAAATATCAGTTCCTAAGAAGCATCTTCCAGTAACTTCTAACAGCACCTCTTCAGTGAAGCCTTTCCTGACCTCACTATCCAAAGTAGCCATCCCTCGCCCTGTCACTCTCTGTTGCACTCTCCCATCTTACTTACTTCTTAGCATTCACACTACTTGATATTAGCATTTCTCCCCTACCGGGCACCCACCCCACTCCCCACTAGAATGTAATCCCTGTGAGGAAAGACTTCCTTGTTTATCAACACTTGCCTTGTTCACCAACATAACCCCACGGCTAGAAGAGTGCCAGCACATAGTAGGTGCTCAATAAATAGAACTTGAATGAATGACTGGATGAACTGAGAGAAATCAAGAGAAAGGAAGTCAGCAGGAAGTGAATTCAGACAGATCTGGATGGGAACTAGCAAGGTCCTGGGCCTCTGGCGAGAATGGCCCATGAGGCTGTGTGGGAGTTTTCCGCCTTCCTTTATGAGCCTGTAGGTGCCATAAATGGTCGTGTCTGGTAATCTTAAAGGGACGGAGGAGAAGGAAGAGAGGGTCAGCCTACCCCTTTCACATTATTTCTATCCTCAGGGCCGGGCGTGGTGGCTCATGCCTATAATTCCAGCACTTTGGGAGGCCAAGGTGGGTGGAGCTCTGAGCTCAGGAGTTCAAGACCAGCCTGGGCATCATGGCAAAACCCAGTCTCTACCAACAACACAAAAACTTAGCCGGGTGTGCGGGCACACACTGTAGTCCCAGCTACTTGGGAGGCTGAGATGGGAGGATCATTTGAGCCTGGGAAGCGGAGGTTGCGGTGAGCCAGGATTGTGCCACTGCGCTCCAGCCTGGGTGACAGAGTGAGACCCTGTTTCAAACAAACAAACAAACAAACAAACAAACAAAGAAAACACATTAATTCTATCCTCTAACTATAAAATTCTACAATGGCTCCACTTTCTTAACCTTGGGGAGCCCCGTAGGATACTCTCTCGTGGATAACATCAAAACATCTCACAAAGCACATTATGTTTGCTTTATTATACAAGTAATAAGCAATAAACTGGGTTAGTACTCAGAATATACCCACTCCCCTCCCACTCCCACTGTGGGTGGCATATACTTCCCTGCCCCATTGGTGTTGGGCTTGGCCATAGGACTTGCTTTAGCCAATAAAATGTTAGGAAATGAGGTAAACAGAGGCTTTATACATGCTTGTGCATTTTGGCTTGTCTCTTGGGCTCTGACAAGCTGGAAGGTGAAGCGAAGCAAGCTTTTATAACTGTTGCCCCTTCAGCCAGAGCCCCAGAATGAAGGCACGTGGGGCATACAGCCTGACCTGCAGTGAGGAGCCAGACCTAGTCCAACTGCAATTTGACTGATTTAGCAGGGCGGGGCTGAGACAGAGCAGCCCTTCCATGCCCAACCTAAGTCAGTCAAATTGCAGTTGATCTGCAGAACTGTGAGCTTGAGAATAAATCCTTGTGTTGTAATCTACTGAGATTTGGGGCTGGTCTGTTATGCAGTATTATTGTGGCAATAGCTAATAATTATATAATATATATTTACTGTAGAAAAAATTAAAAATATAGATAAGTAAACAGGGAAAAATAATACACCCATGATCCTATCACCCAGAATAAGTACTGTTAGCATAGTGGAATATGGCTCTTGGCTATTTTTCTATATTTCACAGCAATGGGGGCCTAGTATATATACCTTTTTTGTAATCTGCTTTTTCATACCAACATATCATGAGCATCTTTCTAAGGCCATAAGCATTGCAGCATTTTCTCATCACCCCTCCCAGCAACTTACAAGACAGGCGCAGTGGCAACCGTGTTTGCCCAAGTTCACTCCTCTAGAAATGAGCAGAGCACATTGTGACTCCAAGCTCAGTACCCTTTCTACCAGGCAGGGGTTCTCTTGGGGCCTCATTAGCATTTTTGTCACCTGGCAAGGTCAGCTCTTTCCCCAAGGAGAAGAAAGTGAAACCTTTATCTTATCTGGAAGTGGAACAGAAGTGTTTGATTCCCTTGATTCACCTGATCCCAGGGGCTGCAACAGGCCCCAGCTCCAGGGACCTACTGCCAACCTCTCACCACAAGCATCCAGGGGAACACTTGTTTCTGCCTTAGGGTGTAGTGGGGCATGAGCAAGCGGTTGGTAAGTATTTTCTGATGCCCACAGGTTTCTAGTTTCAACTGAGGCTTTTTTTTTTTTTTTTTTTTTTTTTTTTTTTTTGCGATGGAGTCTTGTTCTGTTGCCCAGGCTGGAGTGCAGTGGCATGATCCCGGCTCACTGCAACCTCTACCTCCTGGGTTCAAGCGATTATCCTGCCTCAGCCTCCTGAGTAGCTGAGATTACAAGTGCATGCCACCACGCCCGGCTAATTTTTGTATTTTTAGTAGAGACCGGGTTCCACCATGTTGGGCAGGCTGGTCTCAAACTCCTGACCTCAAGTGATCCGCCCTCCTCGGCCTCCCAAAGTGCTGGGATTACAGGCATGAGCCACCTTGCCCGCCTATCTGAGGCATTCTTCTTAGCAGAAATGGAGCAGAGGGTAGCTTCCATTCCTGCAGTAAAGCTAGCCTGGGTGCTTCTGGCAGGAACCTGGGAAGCCCGTGGAGCCAGGCTGCATTCCCAATTCAGACAGTTTCAGCAAGAGAACCCCAGGGAGGTTGGAGAGAGGGGCACAGAATGACCAGATCAATGGCTGAAGTTACTCACCTAAGCAAAGTGCAGGACTCAGAGATGGAAGGCCTGTGTCTTAGTAGTTGTGTGGCCTCAGTTTTCTCATCGGTAAAATGGTCATGGAACTGTGTGCCCATTGAACACTCTCTTCCGACACAGGGTTGTTGTGAGGATGGTGAAGTAATAAGCAGGAAAGAGCGATGGCACTGCAGGGAGCACTTACCCTCAGAATCCCAAGAGGCCGTGTCCTCCTGGGTCAAGCGGAGGAGGCAGGACATGCAGGTCCCCACTCTCCAAGCCAAAGGACAGCAGCAGGGAGAAGGAACCTGGCTTTGGGGAGCTCCGGGTTGGGAGAGGCCAATCCTACAGAATCCCTGACAGCTGGCAGAAAACAGGCTCCAGGCACAGAGTCTCCTCTGATCAGGTTTTTCCCTGAGGAAGGCCCTTTATTTGTGTTTTCCTCCTTAAGTTGATGTTCTAGCCCCAGCTTGTGAAAGGGAAAGAGAGAGAAAGACAGGAAAAAAGAGAGAGGAAGGGAGGGGAGAAGAGGAGAGCAGGAAAGAATAAAAACATCCCACAGTGTGTGGACTGGGGCCATTGCAGGTGGGTGGGAGGGGACATCTGAGAGCATCCGATGGGGCCACTCTGCAGCCAGACTCCCCCAGGAACCAGAAGCCTCAATGCAAACCCAACCATAAAGGCTGGGGAAACCCTGGGCCCAGTGGCTCAGCTGGCAATGATTGTATGCCTCTAGGGTGGGGGTGGGGCACGGGGTAGGCCTTTTGTTCAGCCAAAAGGCCTCCTCCTGCCTCCTCCTTTCACCAAGTCCAGCCTCTCTGCAGGATGAAGAGATGGGAGGGCCAGAGACAGAAAACGTGATAAGAGAGAAAATGCTTTTTTAAAAAAGTGTGTAAAGTATCTTTTTTTTTTTTTTTTTGAGATGTTCTCCCTCTGTCATCCAGGCTGGAGTGCAGTGGTGCAATCTCAGCTCACTGCAACCTCCACCTCCTGAGTTTAAGCAATTCTCCTGCCTCAGCCTCCCGAGTAGCTGGGTTTACAGGCACGTGCCACCAGGCCCAGCTAATTTTTGTATTTTTAATAGAGACGGGGTTTCACTATGTTGGTCAGGCTGATCTTGAACTCCTGACCTCAGGTGATCCACTTGCTTCGGCCTCCCAAAGTCCTGGGGTTACAGGCGTGAGCCACCGTGCCTGGCCTTAAGTATGTGAAGTATCTTGCACAGTGTCTGGCACATATGAGGTAACAAATATGACCAAGTTTGCCCCGAGAATTAGTGACAGGGCCAGGACTAGAGCCCAGGTCTCTGGACTCTATGTCCCAGACATGATTCTTTGATCTCTTGTTGGTAGCAGGGTGCAGCTAGTGTCCAAACTAATGCTTGGTGATGAGGACAGTGGCTGGTTGAGTCCATAGGGGACCTGCCAGGCACACCCTCCCTCAGGATTCTGGTTGCCAAGGCTGCCTCTTACTGAGGCCTGAGCACAATGCATTCACTCTCCCCTGGGCCAGGAGCAACTCTGCACAGGCAGGGGCGGGCTCCCTAGGGCCAGCCCCCAACCAGGCTCCAGGAATGCTGAGGGAGTACACCAAGAGAAGGCTAGCCTAGAGGCAGCTCCCAAGATGCTCATCCCAGGGACCCAGATCTCAACAGCTGTGCCCTCAGAGTCAGTAGGGACAAATGGACCTCTTCAGAGAGCTACCCTTGTGGGGCCTGGGCCCCCAACAGCACACCTGGGGACCCCAATCCTAGGCAAAACTTGAGAGGACACTGGGGGACCCAAGTAACAGCCTGTGAGGGTCCCTTGCCCAGTTGGGAAGCCTCACTCTACATTTTTCCTTCCTGTATATAATTCTTTCATCTCTAAATACCATCCACTGAGAGGCTTTTATTTCCTTAGTTTGTACAACCATTTAAGGATGGAGATTATGACTTCTTCAGCACAATCCAAGCACCTTAGCACAGAGCTGAGATGCACGGTATTTAGAAAATGGGTTAAGTTGAAAGGAAAGAAATCGAGTTGGATTCCTTGGGGGTTCTCAAAGGTACTTGGAAGTTCACAGAACCAAAATGAGCAAGGAGAGTTTCTACGTCTTGATGCACCTGCCAATACAGATTTCAGTACTTTATTTATTTATTTATTTATTAATCTATTTATTGAGACAGAGTCTTGTTCTGTCACCCAAGCTGGAGCACTGTGGTGCAAATATCACTCACTGTAGCCTTGACCTCGTGGGCTCTTGGGAACTTTCCAGTGAGACTTAGAAGGAAATGCCTCAGCTTTAGGGGAAATTCCCAAGAGAAACAGTTCAGTTAAACTACTTTCTACGGTCCGAGGCCATCGCATGGTCATGACTGGCTGTGAGGGAGATAGAGAAAGGTGAGACTTGGGTCCACATCTTGGAGCCCCCTGGGAAAGAGGATATTATTAACCTATATTAGAATTCTAGTGTGAATGAGTTCCCCTACTCATTTTTCCCAGAAGCTAAGGAGAGAGCTTAAGAGGTTACTTTTTTTTTTTTTTTTAGGCAGGGTCTCACTCTGATGCCCACACAGGAGGGCAGTGGCGTGGTCTCAGCTCACTGCAACCTCCGCCTGCCAGGCTCAAGTGATTCTCCCACCTCAGCCTCCCAAGTAGCTGGGATTACAGGCTGCCATGCCCAGCTAATTTCTGTATTTTTAGTAGGGACAGGGTTTCACCATGTTGACCAGGCTGGTCTCAAACTCCTGACCTCAAATGATCCACCTGCCTCAGCCTTCTAAAGTGCTGGGATTGCAGGCAGGAGCCACTGTGCCCGGCCCAGAGGTTACAATTTGAATTGCAGACGTGTGTGAAAAATCAGGCCTTGGTGATGACCTTGAGCCGCAGGATATAAATAACTCCCACCTGCTTAGCATTCCAATAATGGAACACTAGGCATAAGACCTTCTGGTGGGCAGGTACCCATCTGGGAGGCTGCAACAGATTGTGGTTTCAAACACTATTTCTTCCATTTGCCAGCTGAGTGATCTAAGACGAATAATCTGCCCCTTTGAGTCTCAGCTTCCTCATCCCCAAAGTGGGGAAGTGAAAAGTGCGAGGTTGTTTAGACACGGATGGAACTGCCTGAGTGAAGACACTTGGCATGCAATAGGTGCTGGGCCATCCTACTTGCCAGCCTGCTTTTGTAGGGCAAAGAGGTGTAGTACCTTTTCCTCACCCATTCCAAGGTCCATGGCCAATACCCCCATGACAAAAAACAGATTAACGAGAGAAAAGCATAACACATTTATTTAATCTAAGTTTTACGTGATGCGAGAGGCTTCAGAAATGAAGATCCAGAGACAAAGGGAAAACTGTGTATTTTTAAGCTTAGGTCCAATAAAGAACAGACAGCCATGTAGAAATGTGATTGGAAAGAGGGTGTGCTCTAATGGTGATAGACTGAAGGCAGAACACAGCAAGGCCTCTTGTTCAGCTTCTCTACGGCCTCTCTGTGTAGCGTTCTTTCCTTCCTGAGTAAGGGGCAGGACCCCTGTCGTATGAGGGTCTTCCAGGGAGATGGGAAGAGGTTAGAGAGTGACATTTCTAGGTTTCGTGGCTTGCACTGGGGAGAGGAGTTCTAGTTTCTATGACCTCTTTCAGGGGCAATACTGGGTAAGGAGAAAGGAGGGAAAGAAAAAGGAAGGCAGGAGAGGATCAGCAAGACTTGCTTTTGAGGCCCTTCCCATCCCTTCCAGTCCAAATAACTCAGAGTGCTAGAGTGCCATATTTTGGGATATTGTGTTCTGAGCCCCAATATTTGCTTGGGTTTTTTTTTTTTGTCCCTCCCTTCCTTCCTTTCTTCCTTCCTCCCTTCCTTCCTCCCTCCCTCAGGCCTGGCAGGCTGAGGAGGCTGCCCCTGCCATAGCTGCTCCACAGCAAGGCCTAGAGAGTAGCCACTGCACCAAGAGCCTTGGGCCAAGCTCTGAGCACCCTGGCTAATACCAAAGCTGGAGCCTAGAGCAGGGTTCCCAGAAGGTTATCTGGGGCTGGCTTTGACCACATTGGCTACAGCATGGCCTGTGGGTAGACATGCTCTGAACAGCTGAGGCTGACCTGAACGTTGGCATCATCAGCAGAATCATCTTCACCAAGCAGGGTTTGAACTTGAGGTCAGTGACCCCAGGCAGTGTGGGGAGAGGGTTCTTCACCTGGCTGTGCCCCATGGATGGACAGCTAGGACTATACTCTGGGCCCTGCCCTATAGCTCAAGAAACATCCTTTACCCAGAGGAGGCAGAGACATCCCAACTGGTTTTGGGAAACAAATATGAGAGGCTCAGATCATATAAATGAAAGCTTGTTAGGCACCAAGGGAAAGTGGGCAGAACGGCCCCTCCACCTTACAGATCAATAAATCTGACTAAACAGGAGTTCGATTTACACAGCCTGGCCAACATGGTGAAACCCCGTCTCTACTAAAAATACAAAAATTAGCCGGGCGTGGTGGCATGCACGTCTGTAGTCCCAGCTACTCAGGAGTCTGAGGTAGGAGAATCACTTGAACCTGGGAGGCAGAGGTTACAGTGAGCCAAGATTACACCATTGCACTCCAGCCTGGGTGACAGAACGAGACTCCGTCTCAAAAAAAAAAAATTAAAATAAAATTTAAAAATAAAAATGTACTGAAACATTATGATAGTATGAGCTCATGTTGCTAGAAAGTGCGTGTGTGTCTGTGTGTCTGTGTTGAAAAAATACAGAACATGTTCTAAAATATTACTAGTGGTTAGATCTGAGTAGTGTTAATTGTGGAGATTTGGGGGATTTTGTGTGTTTTTCTGTTTTCCAAATTTTCTTTGAGTATCTTGTCTTTTATAATGAGAAAAAATTCTCCATAAAAAATAAATAAACATATTTTAAGAACAAACCTTCTCCTCGGTCTCTGGCACCCATAACCTTCAGGCTGAATTAGCGTGTGCTGAGTGGTCAGAGTCCAGGGCTGGAAAGCAGGGTTTGGGTTTTATCTGTGGTCAGCCTAAGACTAGTGAAGGCTCTCCTTATCCCCGAGGGTCTTCAGAGCCCAGGCTCCTGGGAGTAACAAGACCTTGGAGAGCTAAAGAGGACAAGCCTTCCCCAAGAGCAAGCATCAGCCCTCGGGTGCACCCTGCAAAGGATGCAGGCCTATGGCCAGAGCCCACTGGCAGGTGAGGAGCTGGTCTCCAAATCACCAGCCTGTCCTCCCTGTGATCTCCTAGTTACTGTCCTTTCCAAGGCTAGTTTGTTCATTTCTTTTGCTTTGGTGAATTACCTGGTAAATTCCTAACACATGTTTTTTTCTTCTTTAAGTTATAGCCCCAGTCAGTTTCTGCTGCTTTCAACCAAAGAACCATCTGTTTCACCATTCAAACAGATTGGAGAACAAGAGAGATGAAGGAAGAAAGGAAGCCAGCTTTTAGTGCAGGCCTACTATGTACAGGCGTTGGGCTAGGTACCCCCATACATTCTCTCAACTTATTCTGATAACAGCATTTCAAGGTAGGTTTCGTTAGGCCCAGTCTAACAGAGGAGGAAACTGAGGCTTAATGGAGTGAAGTCACTTGTCTATCGCATATGGAGTTGGTGAGAGAACCAGGTCCTAAGAGAACCAAAATTGTCTCATCACAAAGTTCACGCTCTCCCCAATGTCTGAGGCACCTTCCTTTGGCACTTTGCTGATTTTTTAGTTGACAAAAGAGAAGCATTAAAGAGCATTCTATTTTTTCACTCTGGAAGTCGGAAGAGCAGACTCAGACCTGGCCCTGGGCACAATTGTGAGGCAGACGGGTCTCAGGAACCTTTTCTGTGCCTTGTGTTCCCTTCCCACCCACCTCCGGGCACTTCCTGGATACATGTCCTTCTTTGCTTGCCCCACGGAAGCTTGCTCTTGGGAAAGAGTCTTCCTGAATCATTCCCATCCTACTCCCTGTGATGGAGAAGGCTTAAAATGTTTTTATGTTCAGGGAAGCATCAAAGAGAAAAATTTCTAGCTCTGGGATTGCAGGAGTCAGGAAGCAGGGCAGGGCCGTGAAGAGGACAGTTGTACCCTGAAGTCATAGTTCACAGACCTCCTCATGGTGGTCGGCCCTGAGGGGTCAGGGCAAGATGCCCTGAGCAGAGGAGTGAATCAGGAGGTGTGAGACCTGAGCCTGTGAGGAGTGGCCTGTGCTCTGCCTGAGGCCAGGAAAGGCCAGGGCAGGGTGGCTGGCAGGGCTGGCCTCACACCATCCAGGGACAGCCAGGGATCCAGTATCCTGGGTTTTTTTGCCCTGGGTTGGCCCCCTCTGACAGTTACTCTCCCCTAGGGCTACTACATGTCCTTTTGGGGAGATCCCCGGGAGTGAGGAAAGGGCAGACAGGGCCAGAGCCCCTAGGCCTCCAGAAGGCAGTCCGGCATGCAGAGAATTCCCACCAGGACCGGGGGGTTGGCAGGGCCATCATAACAACTGCTACCCACTACTGAGTGTGGGTTGCACGCCAGGTTCACTCAGCACTTTCCCAGCATTTGCTGTGAGTCCTCAGAAGCGGATGCGCCTCCAGTTTCCCAGTCATCAGGACCAGGATTGTGGGAGGCAGCTCCACCATCTTCCCACTGCCCAGGGCTGCCCCAGAGCCAGTGGGGATGACAGCGTGGGGAGAATATGACTGTTGTCTGAGAGGGATGGGGTTTGATTGTGCTTCCCTTCACTTTTTACTCAAGAAAACAAGACAGAGTAATTTGGCTCTGAACAAACAATTCCCACTTGCTAGGTGCAGGCCAAAACGCCTAAGTTTGAAACCTAGAAGAAGCCTTGAGGTTATCATTCTAGAGCTAGAGAAACCAAGGCCCACAGGTGAAAGGACCGCCTTGACTTGCTGAACCAGGACTTAAACACGGGTGTCTCCACCCCCAGCAGGTTGCAATTTCCACTCCAGGAGTTGGAGGGTCTGTTATCTCAAAGGTGTCAGGTTGTAGGCGACAAGAGCCCTGCATGGCTCCTGCTGTGCCCTCCTCTTCCTGACTACATTCCCACTCAGAACAGGTTGCCCCAGGACCACAGGAAATATCTCGATTGTCTCTGGATTGCCACTTTTCTTTATTTTCAAAAAGACTTTTTTTTTTTTTTTTTTTTTGGAGACAAGCTCTGGTCATTTACCCAGGCCAGAGTGCAGTGCTGTGATCATGGCTCACTGCAGCCTTGACCTCCTGGGCTCAAGTGATCCTCCTGCCTCAGCCTCCACCTGGCTGATTTTTCTATTTTTTGTAGAGATGGGGGGTCTTGCTTTGTTGCTCAGGCTGGTCTTGAACTCCTGGCCTTAAGCAATCCTCCTGCTTTGGTCTACCCGAAGTGTTGGGATTACAGGGGTGAGCCACCACACCAGCCAAAGACTCTTTGCTTCCAGAAAGAAATAAGAAATAACCTTCTCATTGCATTTCATTGAGAGATGCAGAATAGACCACCTCCTGCAAGCTGCTCCATTTTAACTTTTGTCAAGGCAGAAAAATCCTTTAATTGTTTCAGATCTATTGAATTGAGTCTTCCCTTGCTGGCTGACTAAAGCAAGGGCTGAAGGATACAGGCCCCAAATTTGCTGAGCCTCTACACTGAGCACTCTACAATGGTTTGTAGAGTGGCAATGATAAGGAAGCCCACTTTGTAGGCCTGTTGGGGGATTAACCGAGATAACGTAAGGCAAAAGGCTTAGAACACAGTATGGATTTAATAAACATTTACTATTATTCTTCTAATCCCAGCCAGGCCACAAGCGAGGATATATCATCCTAATCTCATTGAAGTCTGAGTTCATTAACTTTTTTATTGTAGTAAAATATAGATAACATAAAATTTACCATTTTAATCATTTTTATGGTCGTGGGAAGCGCTGCCTCTCCACTCTCACCAGCGTCAGGTCCTAGGACCTCTCCAGCCCCTGAGTTGGGTTTCTGGATTTTTCTCGATGGTCTGAATTTACAGTTTTCTTAACATGATGCCCATGGCTTGAGAAGGAGCAAGGGGGAGAAGGAGGTCTCCATTTCTTCTTGGAAAGGTAACAGAAACACTGCCCATCCTCAGGGACCAATGGAAGTTGTTCTTTTCTTTGGTCTTCCCTGCCCCACTAGACTTTCTGTACCCTTCTGCCCACTCCCCAGTAGGACCTGTTCCAACTGCTCCCAATATCCCTCACTCTCCATGGGAATTGCTCCTTTTTTGTTTTTGTTTTTTGGTTTTTTTTTTTTTTTGGAGACAGAGTCTCACTCTGTCACCCAGGCTGGAGTGTAGTGGTGCGATCTCGGCTCACTGCAAGCTCCGCCTCCCGGGTTCACTCCATTCTCCTGCCTCAGCCTCCCGAGTAGCTGGGACTACAGGCGCCCGCCACCATGCCCAGCTAATTTTTTGTATTTTTAGTAGAGATGGGGTTTCACTGTGTTAGCCAGGATGGTCTTGATCTCCTGACCTCATGATCCGCCCACCTCGGCCTCCCAAACTTCTGGGATTCAACAGGTGTGAGCCACCATGCCCGGCCCCTGCTCCCTCTTTTTAACAGGGTTATTGAAACATAATTCACACACCACACAATTCACCCATTTAAAGTGAATGATTCAATAGGTTTTAGTATATTCAACGATATGTGTAACCATCATCGTAGTCAATTTTAGAACATTTTTGTAGCCATAAAGAGAAACCCCACACCCTTTAGCTATCACTCGCCCATCCCCAGGTCCCCTAGTCCCAAAGTCAACACTGATCTACTTTCTGTCTCTATAGATTTCCCCATCCTGGACATTTCATATAAATGGAATCATATACATGGTCTTTTGTGTCTGGCCTTTTTCACGTAGCATTCTATTTTCAAGGTCCATCTGTGCTATGGGAATCTATGCTTGTGAATGTGTCTTTCTTCTCTGCCTGGGCCATTGAAACAAGGCCATGTAAGCCACAGCAGTTTTCCAAAGGACATGTACCCCTTTCTTCTCTCTTTTTGACTCCTGCTCTCCACTTCCGTCCTTTGGAGGACTTCGTCTTCTTCCAGCCAGGCTTCTGTTAACCCTTCTGCCAACACTTCCTCTGAGGGCCAGGCCCAGGGCTGGAGGCCTGGGAAAGCTGCCCCCAGCTCCTCTTCCAGTGCTGGGGCTAGGCCTGGGGAATTCTGCTTTGAAGTTGGTTTCAACATGGGGAAGTGAGTGGATAGGGCCTCTAGTCCTGCTCTGAGCTCAGCCCTTGTCATTCAGAAAGCCACAAGGCCTGGGACAGGCCCCTGAAGTCCTTCCTCCTGACCCTACCCCTGACCACACGATGCCTCGAGGGATGCAGATGCTCCGAGGAGCCCCAACCAACATGTGCAGGCCCACACGTACATGCACAGAACCCAGGACTAATGCCAACAATGGAGACCCTTCTCAGTCTGCTTAAAACTCTGAAATCTTATATTTATAGAATACTATCTTTATTTGATTATGTTTTGTTTTAGATTTTAACTTGCAACGTTTGTTTATCCAGGGCTTTTTTTCTGTCTCTCTTTCTCAAAGATGGCCAATGTTGGTTGGCCATTAGTCAAGTACTGTGCCCATGCTGGGCAAACTAGGCTCCTTTGTCATGCTGTGTGGGGAGAATGGGTGTGGAGCTGGCACTTTCCCTATTCCTGCCCAGCCTCAGCCTGGCCCTGGGGACATCTGCCCAGCAGGCCTATGTGGCTGGATCACATGGGTCCCACTACAGTTCACTGCCCTCCAGTCCATGATGAGGTCAATTGCTCAGATTGTCCCCAGGGCTGACTGAGTGGAAAGGTGACTCCTGACAGGGCAGGCCTCCAGGGTTAGTCTCTATGAGATATGAGTCCCCACTTGCCCCAGAACATCAGCCTCATTGAGAGCTGCTGCAAATGGCCATCTTCCTTTAGGGCTAAGCATCATCCCCTCCCTGCAGGGCCTCACGAGGATGAAGGCGCTGCAAGAGGACTCTTGGATGGAAGTGACTTGTTGGGAGAGCCCATGAGCTCTCCAGAAAGGACTCCCAGCCTGCAGAAATGTTCTTTCTGTACACATATGACACATGCACTTATACTCACCACCTCTCCTGTGGACACACCTCCACAGTGTGCCCCTGTGAATCCCAACCCACACTTTAATCCACCTTCTGCCACCATCTCCACATCAGTGGTCTAGAGCTGGCGGCAATGGAGAAAAACACACCCACTGTACAGAGAAGATGCCTGAAGTGGAGGGACAAGAGACCTGCCCAAGGTTACATGGATGTATGCAGAGCCAGAGTGGGTGCTCAGGCAGCTGTGGTGTGGTGGAAGCACATCACCTGATCTCCTCTCCCCAGCTGTGTGACCTGGGGCAGGTCACTTAACTTCTCTGAGCCTAGAGTCTGCATCTGTGAGACGATAACACCCACTTCAGAGGGCTTCCGTGAGGATCCAGGGAGTCATGTGATACAAGCACCTCCTTACAAGCTATAAAGATGGTGAGAGCTAGTGGACAGTCAGAATTCTGGCCTTTTCCCTTCTTTTGAAAGTTCAGCTGCAAGTTGTATTGGGATATAGGTTGCACATACTTTTTTTTTTCCTGTTATATCTTTTAACATTTCATGGTATTGTTTATATATAGAAGTTTGTGATTTGAATGTTGTTAAATTTATTCATCTTTTCCTTTAAGGTTTTTTGTTTTTGTGTCTTGCCAAAGGTTATAAGTGAGGAACATTAAAAAAAAAAAAAGACAAATTCCCCAGACAAATCACAGAAAATAGAAAAAGATCTTGAAAATATTTTTAAAAACTCACATAATAAGAGGAATGCTAAGATGCCATTTCACATTATCAGATTAACGGAAGTTGTAAAGTTTGCTAACACACTGTGTTGGTGAAACTGATGAGGAACAAGCACTCTTGTTCTTTGCTGGTAGATGTATACACTTGTAGAACTCTGATCAAGAGCAATTTGGCTGTATTTGTAAAAATTAAAAACACACATACCATTTGATCTATAAGACCACATCTAGGAATTTATCCTCAGATATTACAGATGTATGAAATGACATATGCACAAGGTTATTCATTATAGCATTGTTTATAACAGCAAAGGAAACAACCATCATTAGGGAACTGGTTAAAATATGTTTCATCCATGCAATGAACCACTATACATTTGTAACAAAGAATAAGGAAGCTTTTCTGAACTGATATGGAAAAAATATCTCTATACCCTTAAGTGAAAAAAGCAAAGTGCAGGACAGTGTGTATAATAAGCAATTGTCTTACCCCGTGAGGCGCACTGTGGCAACCAGACCTCTGGGTTGTGGAATCAGGTCCTACAGGTCACCGTGGTTGGGGGACAGTGGCAGTTGCTGCCCCCATCTCAAGAAGGCTTGAGCAGCCGGCAGTTTGGCATCATTCTACAGCAGGAGGTTAAGGGCCCCCCTCCCAGAGTGGCGATCATTAAAGCCAAGGCTCCCAAAGGTCAAGCTGCAGAGCAACACCTGGAAAGAATCTGCCACAGCCTTCAGAAGCATCATGCTATGTTGACTTCTATATAGTCAGATAAGCAGGATCACTTGAAAGCTGAATGGGATCAGCCTAATGACCAAAGGTATTGAGACAGCCTTGTGCAAGCAAAAATTAAGAATGCCATGCAAGCGTTTATCATTAACACTGAAGGACAAAACACATGAGGCACACAAACCTGGCGCCTCAGACTGTGAAACATTCCTAAAACCATAATTGGAGATTGCCTAATCAAAAATCAAGTGAATTTGTCAAGTAAGGGTTATGGCTAGGATATTCATATTCCTACCAAATCAATAGCTATTGCTTGTTAATATTTTTTGTTTTATCTATGTTTTGATGGAAAGCAAATGAATATATTGTTCATATTTTGTTACTTTGGTTAAAATCTATTTTGCTTCTTTTGTTGAATATAAAATTGACCCTTGAACAATAAGGATTTTTTGTTTTGTTTTGTTTTGTTTTTTTTAAAGACAGGGTTTTGCTTTGTTGCCCAGGCTGCAGTGCAATGGCGTGATCTCAGCTCACTGCAGCCTCCCCTTCCTGGCCTCCTGGGTTCAAGCGATTCTCATGCCTCAGCCTCCCAAATAGCTGGGACTACAGGTGTGCACCACCACACTAGCTAATTTTTGCATTTTTAGTAGGACAGAGTTTCACTGTGTTGGCCAGGCTGGTCTCGAACTCTTGACCTCATGTGACCTACCTGCCTCAGCCTCCCAAACCGCTGGGTTTACAGGTATGAGCCGCGGCACCTAGGCTTATATACCTTTTTATACTTTAAATTTTTTGAGCCATGTGAATATTTTACCAATGCAGAAAATTAACACTATTTTAAAATAATAACAGTTTCCCAGAATCCAATCCAAAATATCAAACCAGACACTCTGGGCCCATATATTTTTTTAAAAGTTTCCTAGGAATCTCTCAGGGGAATCCTGGCCTGTCATGGAAGATCGCTAAGAACCTACTGAGCCTTAGATCCAGCAGTCAAGGTCCCAGCCCTTGCAGCGCCACCTGGTGGCCTTAGTTACCAAGCATCCCTCAGAAAAATGTGTGTGGATGGCCAGTGAATGCAGACCAGGACAAAGAGTAACATGGCACTGTGTCCACAGGCTGGGTGGGGCTGGCCCCAGCGGACCCAACATCGACCTCCAGGACTGGCTGTGTCGGTCCTGAGGGAAACGAGGCAGAGGGCCTAAAGTTCTACAGCCTCTGTCCCAAGGAGCCACCCAGAGGCAGCCTGCAAGAGCACATACCTTGGGCCTCTGTCCCAAGGAGCCACCCAGAGGCAGCCTGCAAGAGCACATACCTTTGGACCTGAGTTCAAACCCCGGCTCCACCAACTACTAGCCTCGTTATCTCATGCAGCATAACTTCTCAGGTCCTCTGTTTTCTCATCTGCAAAATGGAGACAAGTATAAGTCTGTAGACACATCTAGTATAATGCCTATGCTCAATAGGAACTTGATTAATGCTCATTCTCTTCCCTTTTGTTACTTCTAGATAGCTTTACTCCCTGGCCCTAAAGAGCCTAGCTGGGCTCATGGGAGCTTCCTGTGGCCTGGGAGGGTTCAAGCATTGGAGAGACTGAGGAAGAAGAAATCCATATGCTTCTTGTCTTTCTAAACCCTCTCCCTCCTCCTTGCCCCTTCTTTAGCTAGCAAGGAATACATTTCAGGCCTGGCTGAGGTGGGGAGGCAGTTCAGGAAGTGGCTGCAGTTCCCACAAGCAGAGTCAGATGGGGTTCCAGTCCTGTGCTATAGGCCTGGGTGCTCCATCAATCAATCGAGTCTTTTGGCCTGGGAGCAAGGCCCAGTCCCTGCCCTCCCTCGGGGAGTGCATTATACTCAGGGAGAGCCGAATAGAACACAAATCACAGTGAATGTGCAGGGGACTAAGGGGACTCAGAGGCACTGATGAAGTTACTAAATTGACCATCTGCTCTTTCAGGTTGTGACACTATTTCTAGAAGCTCCTGATAAAAATGCAACTAGGAGCCCATGAATCCCTCACCCTTTAGTTCAGACTAGCATCTCTGCTTCCCTCCTAGGTCTTCTGGAAGATGGCAGAACCCAAGAGAGATGAGACATTATAAAAACGTAGACAAGACATTGAAACATTTTTGTTCGAAGCTGTAGAAAGGAATGTTCAGACGACAGAGCAGAGCACTCCTAGAAGGGGTGACTGCTAGGTTCCAGACCCCCTGGCAGTGGGAAGACACCAGCCTGGCCAGAAGAGAGCCTCCCAAAGGGAAACTGGGGGATACTGAGATCACCTGGGTCACAATTCTGCTCTTTGTACCCATGTCAGCAGAGGACCTCCAAGAAGTCAGATGCTGGGAGAACAGAGTCCTAACCTTAGGCATTACCCGATTCACAGGTGAGGAAACTGAGGACCAGCAAGGGGAGGTGCTTGCCTCAGTCCCATGTGAGTTAATGGATGACCCTGACCTGGACTTCAGGTCTCCCGAGCCCTATTGCATGGTGCAAAGCACTCAGTCTTTGGAGCCAGGTAGAACTGAATTTGAACCCAAAGTCCCCTGCTACTTTGCTAGCCATTTAGTTTTAGAAAAGTCATCTACCTCTCTGAGCCTTGGTTTCCTGCCTTTGTAAAACAGACCAGAGCTCTTGCTCAGGAGTGTTGTCAGGACTAAAGATAATATGTGCAAGCCACCCGGCACATGGTAAGTGGGGATGCTACGATTATTGCTTCTCCTACGCAAACCACACCAGCCACAGACAGGCAGGAAGAGGGCTGGCTGCTGCAGCTCTCAGGCACAGCAGCTTTGCACTTGGTGGTGGTCATGGTAGGGGCATGGGGTTCTGGTTGAAGGAGTCAGATGTGTGGAAAGTAGAATGTGCCTTGTGGCTGGGTAGTGAGGCTTCTTCACTAACTCCAGAGTTGCAGAGTATGCAGGCCGTGGGAGCCACACACCCAGCCCATGGCATGCAGAAGCAAGAGGCATGACCCCTTATTCATATGAAGGGCCCTACCGATCACATGCTTTGCAGTCGCCAGAGTGGTTGCCAGGGGCAGAACCACTATAGGGGATCTTCCTTCCTCTTTTGCTCCAGGCTCCTCACTTACATGTCTATTTTTACCCTGTACTGTATGCTGTCAATAAGAAGCATGGTTATTACAGCAGCAACCACATTCCGAGTGCAACGGAACGGGAACTTCACATGCATCAGCTCATTCCATTTCACCCTCACAGAAGCCCTGCGGGAGCATACTGTCATTCCCATTTTACAAGAGGGAGAACTGAGGCTCAGTTCGTTGCTAACAGTTACCCAGCCAAGAAGGTGCCAGAACTGGGATTCAGACCCTGAGGTCCAGTCTAACTCCAAAGCCAGGGTTTCCATGCAGCACCCCCCTGCCCAGGTATGATGCTTCTTTCCAGGGAAGGGAGGTTGATAGAGGCAGGGCCTACAGGTTATCATTATTATTGTTGTTGTTTTAAAGATGGGTGTCTTGCTCTGCTGCCCAGGCTAAGTGCAGTGGCATGATCATAGCTCACTGCAGCCTCAAACTCCTGGGCTCAAGCAATCCTCCTGCCTGCGGGTTTTGAAGGCTGTAGCAGGACCAACTCCTGGGCAGGTGTGTTGGGAGTAGGGAGCCTCATTTGAGCCCCAGAAAGTTTGCTCACGAGGCAGTTCTGAAAAAGTAGAGAGCACCACAGCAGAAGCAGAGGAAGAGAATTGAAGGAGACATGAGGTTCACCTCCCAGCAGCTGTTCCCCTTCTCTTAGCAATGACCAGTTCTCCTCCTTCCAGTTTCGGGGAAGCTAACTCCACCCTAGGCACTAAGGCCTTGGGTCTCAGGCCTAAACAAATCACCCTCATCCATCCCTCAGCCTCCGTGACTGGTCCATGGATAGGGCGTGTGGATCAACAAGACACGGGGAGGGGCTCACTGGGGTCTTCAGAAAGCAGCTGCCCCACTTTTCTGAGCAAGCTTCCATAGGCAGGCTTGCTGTCTGGTGTTTAACAGCTCAGTGAACATGGTGAAGTCACTCTCCCCACCATCCCCTGTATGTGTTGAAGGCAGCTGGGGTGATAAATAAAAAGGCTCCTGTTTTAAAAACCTCCACCTGTAGGAAAGGTGGGAGGCTGCAGTGCCCTGAAATCACCCCACAGAGGCCAGAGCCTGGCTGAGTCACCACAGCCTCTCCTCTGATTCCTGGCCCAGAGGAGCCACCCGGGCGCCCAGGCCGGGACCCTGGGTATTTTCAGCTTCCAGCAGCATCAGCAGGGTCAGAGAGGCCTCAGCCATATTGTATTTCATGTGACCGAGGCGCCTGGCCAGCGACATGGCCATGGAGAGCCAGCCTTGTATTCTTGTCACTGGCCTGGGCTCCACCTCCCTTTCTGCTCTGGTCTCCAGAGCCTGGACACAGCAGAGGCATGTGGGAAGGGCTCCTGCCAGGCACAGCAGGCACCAGAAACGGGTGACAAGAGGGACAGGCAACTTTAGCCACTACAAAGTCCTCGAGGATGGGCTTCAGCGTTGTTGGGAACTCCACCGTTCACCCATTCCCTTCATAAACAACCTGAGCAGTACGTCTTCCTGGGCAGTGTTAGGGCAGGGTAGCTGACTATCCCAGTTTGCCCTGGGCTCTCCTGGTTTTAGCACTGAAAGTCCCATGTCCCATGAAACCTCTCAGGTCCCAGGCAAGCTGGGACAGTTGGTTACTGTAGTTGGGAGCGTTGTTAGTGATATCTCCTCCCATGCTCGGGTCCATCTTCCAGCTGTGATTGCTTTTTGAGGATGCAGCAGCACCTGCGGCCTCTTCCAGGCTCCCCCCACCTCCCCTCTCTCCCTCAGCTCTCGGGTTGTTTTTCTAAAGCAGCACATCAGAATCACCTGGAGGGCCTATTAAAGTACCCTCAGAGTTTCTGATCTAGGAGGTCTGGGAGGCAGCTGGAGAATTTGCATTTCTAAGTTCCCAGATGACCCTAATGCTGCTGGCCAGGGACCACACTTTGAGAACCCCTGATCTTAGCCACAGCTCTGATAAAGTCTCACGAAACCTCTCAACCCTCCCCATAGCTTGCTGAATAAAGGCCTAAGCCTGGGTTGAAGCCCCTCTTTATCTAGCCCCCTTCCCCACCGCAGCAGGCCCCACCCCAACAGGGTGCCCCGCGTCCCCAGGGGATACCTTGCTCTCTCCTACCTCTGTGTCTTTGCTCAAGCTGTTCCTGGCCTGGACTCTGCAGCCCCCTCCACCCATGTGAATCCTCTTATCTGTGAAGCGCACTCAAAGGCTACTTCCTCTGGAGGCCTGCCTGGGCCCCCATCCCTCGGAACACAGGACTCCTTCCTCAGCTCCCAGCTTAGCGCCTATTTCATCCTTGTCACTGCACTGTGGATTCCTTGAGGACATGAACTATCTTTTCCCATCTTTGTCTCTATATTTGCTAAATAGATATGACCCCAGAAGACAGAACCAGGACAATGGATGGATCTGCGGGGAGGCAAACTTGAGCTTAACCTGAGAAAGAACTTGTAACAACCTGAACAGTTTGACACCAGCCCTTAAGGGTCCTGCCAAGAGATCCTGAGCTCCCTGTCGCCCCTGGGCATCTTCAGTGGTGTTGGACGAGCATCTACAAAGTCTCTGAAACCCCTGCTTAGACCAAGTACTGACTACCTCAATGTCCCTCCTGGGGCCCTCTCTCCCCAGGAGAACCTGACACCCCCCCATCAAACCCGCTGCCCAGCATGCCAGACCCACAAGGCCCCACAGGCTGGCTGGACCTTACTGGAGACCAGTGGTCACAGCAAGTGTGACATTTTGTCAGTGGCCTTCACTGTCTGAATACAAGGAGTGACCAGTGGTGACACCCTCCTGCTCCAGGCCAGCCTCCCTGCCTTCCTCTGATCACCGCCTCCCCCGAAGGACCAACCCCACCTCGATGTACTCACATCGCCTTTCCTTACCTCATCCATATCTCACGTGGCCAGGGGAAGCAGCTCATCTATGGGCAAGCTGAATATCCACAGGTGCGCTCCCAGCTCGGGCTCCTTAGGAACAGGAATATCCTCCTGCAGAATATTCTCCAGTGCCTTCCCCATGCTGGGTGCATGTAAATGCTCAGATGTTCATTTCCTGATGTGCGTTTCCCATCGATGTCCTGCTGGAACCCTTCCCTCACAAGTGGTGCTCTCCCAGGTGTGCTCCAGCGGGCAAATGCCCTCCTCACCCCTCCCCATCTGATATTAGGAAAGAACCTGTGAAACCCATTCCAACCAAGAAGCCTGGGACTGAGGCTTTCTGCCCCTGCCATCCCTGGGGAAACGTTACTGTTTAAATCCGATAAGCGTGAAAGCCTCGCTTGATTGCATGGCAGCTAAGCATACTATGTGTAGTGGTGTTTATTTGCTGATTGGTTGATTTGGAGAGGAAGGAGAAGGATTTTCCAGAGTCTAGACTCTTATGGCTTTGTGGGGCTTTCCAGGGTCAGCATCGATTGTGAAAGTTTGGTGAGCTTGGCAGTTTGTATCATTTAAGAAAATCTGCCCGGGCTTCCTCCCCCACCAGGAAGTGTCCCATCAGTTCCAAAGCCCTCAGCTTAGTTATTGGAAAGGCCTGAGAAAGCCACGACCCAGCGGACCCAGCTGGGGAACACCTGGGTCTCAGTTCACCTTCTGCCAACCTCTAGGTCTTACGAGCATTCCTGTTTCCTCTCCTTCCCTGGGCTACTTGAGGTCATGACCTTCTGAAAGAATGCAGGGTCAGCCAGCCTGGCTGAAATTTCCCCTCCGTGGGTGTGAAAGGCGATATGTCCAACTGTGAACACACAGGGCCCACATCCTTATGACTCAGCAGATGCGGCTGTCCTCAACCACATCGCCCAGAATGTCACTCTGACCTGCCTCAGAGGTCTGACAGCAGAATAGATTCTGCAAAGCCTGGGCCCAGGAGGCGCTTTCTCCATGAGTCCTTTTGGACAACACACATTCACCCAGACACACACTCAGATGCACACACACACACACAGACACATCCACTACAGAGACAGATGTGCACACACTGATACCCAAACGTACCCCAAACGCAGACACGCGGACATGCACAGACACCCAACACACACATGCACACACAGGCCCCCGGACAGTCAGATACACACACAAAGACATCCACACACACAAACACCCAGACACATCCACACACGTCCACACACCCCACAGAGACATGTCCACAACGGGTGCCTAGGTATGCCCAGAAACACACAGTTACCCGAATACAGCCAGACACACACACACACACACACACACACACACACACACACACACACACAGACTCCTCCAGAGGACTCAGGAAGAATCAGATCTGTCCCGTATGCCTGACCTTGAATGCCTCTGCCAACCCCAACAGATGGCCACTGGCTCTCCGACAGGGCCCTCTGGTCTCTGACCAAGAACCAGGGTCACAATGGACAGAGAAGGGGAAAATGGTAGAACTACTAATTCACCACCGTGCAGTTAACCCGCAGAAGTCTCATTCTTTCATTTAATTGGTAGCTTTCCAAAGTTCAGCCACGAGAAGGCGTAAGGACAAGCAATCAGAATACTAACCCATAACTTCCTGTCCCTTCTCTTAGCACCCATCCTTTAAGGCCAAATTAAAGTCCACCTTGTTCATATAGTCCTCCAGATTCCCAGAGTTAGAAACCGCAGCTTCTCCCATGCGCCCCTCATGTCATGCTTCTTGGTCTCTTTTTTTTTTTGAGATGGAGTTTCACTATTGTTTCCCAGGCTGGAGTGCAATGGTGCCATGTTGGCTCACTGCAACCTCTGCCTCCCGGGTTCAAGCGAGTCACCTGCCTCAGCTTCCCAAGTAGCTGGGATTACAGTGCCCACCAGCATGCCCAGCTAATTTTTGTATTTTTATTAGAAACAGGGTTTCACCATATTGGCCAGGCTGGTCTCGAACTCCCGACCTCAGGTGATCCACCTGCCTCAGCCTCCCAAAGTGATGGGATTACAGGTGTGAGCCACCGCGCCTGGCCCACCATTGATTTTTTTTTTTAAAGACGAATTGAGTACCAACTGCTCTGTTCACAGCTTTCTTTTCCTTTTTGTCTTTCTTTAAGAGACAGGTCTCACTGCAGTGACTATTCACAGATACAATCATAGTTTGCAATGTAGCCTCCAACTCCTGGACCCAAGCAGTCCTCTCGCCTCAGCCTCCCAAGTGGCTGGGACTACAGGTGCACCACTGTCCCCAGCTGACAGCTTTAAGGTGAGTGCAGTGGCTGTGTCAGTCCATGCCTGCCAAAGGAATCAGTGGAGACAAAAAGAAGGAGCAAATTCAAACTTTCCTCCTTTTGCCCTCTCTCCTATGTGGGTTCAGATTCTTCAGGAAGCAGATGCCAAGATGGGATGAGAAGTGCTGGAGACCTGGGGTGTGGGATGAGGAACGCCTATGAAGGATGAAGGGGAAAGGAAGCAGGAGTAGGCAAGGGAGAGCTTTCAGGCCATGATGTAGGTGTGACACCTAAGGAAGGAGGGTGGGAAGGAAGGAGGGCTGGCTAGGAAGTGCCTCTGATGGCAGAGCAACCCAGAGAAGGGCTCAGCCAGGTGATGAGCAGTCCAGGGGCAAATATTAGAAGGGTCCCATGCTGGGCAGGAATGGCCTGGTTCGAGTACCCGCCGCGTGTCTCCCATCCCACCATGCTCAATCACTGGCCAAAAGCAGCCTACGGAGAGTGAAGACCTTGTGGCTACTCTGAGAATGCTCTGAGAATACCTGGGCTGGGATTTTTATTCCCCTTTTAAGGAGAAGGGGTAGAATATACCCCTGCCCCTCCCAGCCCTGCCTCCTCAAACATCGCCTCCTCTTGGAGTTTGAGTAAGGACGTGGGTCTGAGGACAACTTCCAAGGCCAACTGGGCTGAGTTTGCCAGCTCATGCTCCAGGTGCCTTCATGTCTCTTTGGACTTAAACCTACAGGCTAGAACAGTATTTGAAAAGTCAGCTGGCACTTAGCAAACTAATACAACACCCTGAAGGGGTGGCAGCTGGGGGCCAGCAGTGAATAGCACTCTTTGCTGCGGGTTCTCTCTTGAAGGCACTTCCGGGGCTGCCACACTTCTTATCTCCTTCCCTCCTTCCTTCATTCCCTCCTTCATTCCCTCCCACCCCACCTTTCCTCCTCAGATCTTCATACCATCTGCCAGGCACCAGCACACTGTGGAGCCCCATAAATGAACTGACACAGTCCTTCCCTTCAAAGAGCTCCCATCCAGAGCTTCCTCTTGCACCCACAGACGGGAAGCTTGCACGACCTTCCGTCAGGCTGCCCGGCCCTTCCGGACAGATCTTCCAAGCACCTCCACCACCCTCTGTCTTGCCAGCCAGCCCAGAGACAAACACTCAGTGCCTGCTCACAGGGGCAAAGTGTGTAAATAAGTGAAGCAGCCAAAACAATGAAACTCTTTGGCTATTTGAAGTATATTTCTAAGTTTCAATGGCAACATAATTCTTCCCAGCTTTTTCTTCTTTTTTTTTTCTTCTTTTCGAGACAGAGTTTCGCTTTTCTTGCCCAGGCTGGAGTGCAGTGGTGCAATCTCAGCTCCCTGCAACCTCTACCTCCCAAGTTCAAGTGATTCTTCTGCTTCAGCCTCCTGAGTAGCTGGAATGACAGGCGCCCGCCACCATGCCTGGATAATTTTTGTATTTTTAGTAGAGACAGGATTTCACCATGTTGGCCAGGCTGGTCTCGAACTTCTGACCCCAGGTGATCTGTTCACCTCAGCCTCCCAAAATGCTGGGATTACAGGCGTGAGCCACTGTGCCCGGCCTTCCCAGCTTCTTTCTTACCTTAACCCCCCATGCACCTCACTTTTATCCACTACTGTCTTGAAATTAACAAATACTTGTTGGGATGCATCATAAAATAGTATTTCATCTATAAAAACGAGTGAAAAAGGCAGATACACACCAACCACAGCAGAGTTACACTGTGGAGATTTTTTTTTTTTTTTTTTGAGTGGGAGTCTCACTCTGTCACCCAGGCTGGAGTGCAGTGGCATGATCTTGGCTCACTTCAACCCCCACCTCCCGGGTTCAAGCAATTCTCCTTCCTCAGCCTCCTGAGTAGCTGGGCTTACAGGCACACGCCACCACGCGTAAGAGGTGAACTACAACGTCTCTATGAAGGAAAAGTCAGGCCCTGGACTCCACAGACAATCAACTCCTGAGTAAGAAAAGAGGCAGGGTGTCCAGTGCCCAAGGGTGCCTGGAATATAAAGCCTACAAAGATGCTTGTCTCTGCCCTGCTGGTGGTTTGGCACACCTGACCTCATAAACCAAAGATAGTCTGTGCCAGGCTGGGCCCATAGCTCCATCTCCCAGGGGTATTCAGAAGCTGGATGTAAAACAGGAAGGCAAAGTACTTACTTTTTTTTAAATGAAGAATTAGATTCACATCAGTGTATGGGCTGAATTAGGTCCCCACCAAATTCACATGTGGAAGCCCTAACCCTCAGTACCTCTGAATTGTGACTGTATTTATAGAGACAGCCTTCAAAGAGGTGATTAAGTTAAAATGAGGCTGTAAGGGCCCTAATCCAATCTGACAAGGGTCCTTCTAAGAAGAGGAAATATGGACACACAGGGGCACCAGGGACGCACATCCACTGAGGGACCACCGTGTGAAGAGGCAGCAAGGAGGCGGCTGTCTGCCAGCCAAGGAGAGAGGCCTCAGGAGAAACTGATCTTGCTGACACCTTGGTCTTGGACTTCTAGTCTCCACAACTGTGAGAAAATTAACTTCTGTTGTTTAAGCCACCCAGTCTGTGATATTTGGTTATGGCATCCTTAACAAACTAATACAACACTCAAAATAAGAAAACGGGGTAGGGGCAAATAGTCAAGTCCCGCACTTAGTTCTTTAAAGAGTTGTTACAGGCTTTGTCTTTTCATTCAGAACCTGTGTTGGGTGCTGAATGAAAAGACAAAGAGCAGGCCGGGTGCAGTGGCTCACGCCTGCAATCCCAGAACTTTAGGAGGTCGAGGCGGGCAGATCACGAGGTCAGGAGATCGAGGCCATCCTGGTTAACATGGTGAAACCGCATATCTAATAAAAATACAAAAAATTAGCCAGGTGTAGTAGCAGGCACCTGTAGTCCCAGCTACTCGGGAGGCTGAGGCAGGAGAATGGCGTGAACCTGGGAGGAGAAGCTTGCAGTGAGCCGAGATCACGACATTGCACTCCAGCCTGGGTGCGAGACTCAGTCTCAAAAAAAAAAAAAAGAGTTGTTACACGCTTTGTCTTTTCATTCAGAACCTGTGTTAGGGTGCTAAATGAAAAGACAAAGGAGCAGTATACTGTCCTCTCAGCTCCCTGACTCCCAGCAGGCCCTCTCGGAGGGGTGGGAGGAAGACAGCCAGCTGAGAGGCCCCTCGCTGAGAGCCTCCAGCATCAACGTGATGCTTTCTCCTGTGTTTAAACCACTGCTGAGAGTCGGAGAGGTAAGAGGTGCACTGATCTCCAGGAGCCCTCCATCCAGAGTCTAGGTAAGCAGTGTTGAGTCTCACTATTGGCCATGGTTGACTAACATCTACATTTCTCAGAGTTGCTCTTATTGGGGTGCTATGCTGACTGCTTTGAACAAAGGAGACTGAAAGGCCCCAGAGGAAAACTAAGGTCTCTCTCTGACCTTCTCCTTCCCACCCCTCTTTTTCCTCCCTAGGGCAGGGAGGAGCTCCCTCTGAAGTTCCCACCTCTTGACTGAGGAATGGTCTTCCAAAAGGAATGGAATTGTCTTGAACCCCTTCCCTAGGAATCTCATCAAACCACCAGGGAATATTAATAACCACAAGGAGATTAAAAGTCATCACCACCCCCAGACAGGCTATTGCCTATTCTGGAGGGAGTTCCAAAACAACTTTGATTACCTGAGGGACTTGTATTTGCATAAGACACCATTCTCTGTGCAGTTCTTCCCCTTTCCTTCCCGTAACTTATCACCACCTCCCCCCAAAGCCTCAAGGCTCTATTCCTTTATGCTGTAAAAACTTCAACCATTGGGTCCCTCTCTGGAGCCTCATTCTTCTATGAGGCTCCTGTGTACAGCCACAAAATTAAAATGGTTTTTCTCCTGTCAATCTGTCTATTGTCAATTTATTTCAGAAGCGACTGTTATGGAATCTTCAGAGGAAGTTGGAGCTTCCTTACACTCTATGCCTATGGTCCCAGAGTGTAACTAAATTGTGTAAAAACAAATTCCTTATGCTTGCCAAGTCCTTCAAAGTTGACAAAGCTCGTTTACAAAATTGGTTTCAACAAGGCACTCATGACAAGTAACACTGATATCACCATTTCACAGATTAGAAAACTGAGGCCCAGAAAGGTTGAATGACAAGGCTAAGTTCCAACAGCTGCAAAGTGGCAGGACTTAGCCCAGGCTTTTTGGATCTGATTGGTAAAATATAATAAAGACTGTTAAGAACTGGAAAAGGGAATTGAGAGATGATATAGGATCTCCCTGGCTCAATTCCAAAATGAGACGAAGAAACCCAAGTGCAATCCCATCTAGGAGCAGGATAATGGCCCAGCTGACTTTTCAAATGCTGTTCTGGCCTCTGGGTTTAAATCCAAAGAGACATGAAGGCACCAGAGCATGAGCTGGCAAACTCAGCTTCGTCGGCCTTGGAAGTTGTCCTCAGACCCAAGTCCTTACGCAAACTCCCAGGGGAAGTGATGTTTGAGGAGGCAGGGCTGGGAGGTGCAGAGGGTATTTCCTATCCCTTCTCTTTAAAAGGGGAATAAAGGCTGGGCTCCGTGGCTCACACCTGTGGTCCCAGCACCTTGGGAGGCCAAGGCGGGCAGAACACGAGGTCAAGAGATCGAGACCATCCTGGCCAACATGGTGAAACCCCGTCTCTACTAGAAATACAAAAATTAGCTGGGCGTGGCGGCACACGCCTGTAGTCCCAGCTACTAGGGAGGCTGAGGCAGGGGAATCACTTGAACCCAAGAGGCGGAGGTTGCAGTGAGCCGAGATTGCCCCATTGCACACCAGCCTGGGCAACAGAGCGAGACTCCATCTAAAAAATATATATATATAATAAATTTAAAAATAAATAAATAAATAAAAGGGAAATAAAAATTCCAGCCAGGTATTCTCACATTGAGTGGTGTGATGACCTCTGATCTAGGTGCTGGTAGAAGAACACAAAAAAAGCCCACCATCGAGTCGTGTGAGAAAAACACTGCAGGGAGGGGCACTACGTCCTGTCCCTAATAGAGGCTGCTGCGGCAAATGGTGACCATTAGGATGGACTTTTTTCACCTCATTTCTCCCTTTATCTTTAACATAATATTTGATACATGCAAAAGCATAGACAACTAATATGTAAGTTAGAAAGCATTATAATAAATAGAACTTGCAGGAGCCCACCGTGAACTTAGTGTTGGCTGGAACACTGCCAACAGCCCAGTGCCCACCTTGTCCTCCTCCCCATCTCAGCCACCCAGATGTAAGTTTCATCCAGAATTTTGAGAGTGGTCATTCCCTTGCTTTTAAAATTCAATTTTAGGCCAGGTGCAGTGGCTCACACCTGTAATCCCAACACTTTGGGAGGCCGAGGCAGACGGATCACCTGAGGTCAGGACTTCGAGCCCAGCCTGGCTAACATGCTGAAACATAGGGCTCTACTAAAAATACACAATCAGCTGGACATGGTGGCATGCACCTGTAATCCCTACTCGGGAGTTTGAGGCAGGAGAATCACTTGAACCCGGGAGGCAGAGGTTGCAGTGAGCTGAGATCACGCCATTGCACTTCAGCCTGGGCAACAAGAGTGAAACTGTGTCTCAAAAATTAATTAATTAATTAATTAAATTTTATCACATTCACATGTATCCCTAAACAACTTATGGCATAGTTTGTGAGCTTTAAAAAAAAGAGTATAATAGTGTACATAGTTCTCCGGGATTACTTTTTCATTGAACACCGTACTTCTCCAGGAAAAGTAGAGAAGAATGTGGATTTGAGGGTAGGCAAAACTGGGCTGGAATCCCGATTCTAAGTACTCCAGCTGTGTGACTGCATGCAAATTTCCTAACTCCGCTGAATCTCAGCTGTATCATATAAATGGGGCTCTCATTTCCCTTACAAGATTAGGAAGAGGACTAAATGAAATGTATGCAAAATGTTCCTATTGCAGAGCAGATTTTAAACAATTATTATGAGCTTCATTTTCTTTTCTTTCACTCTTCCTCTAGCTTAGGGGTGGAGGATCACTGACCCATAGAGGAAAAAATACTTTAAAAAAATTTCTCCCTAGATAATATAATCAACTGCTTTTTAGATTAAGAACTGGGAACATGAATTTCATTCAGTAAGTAAATAAATGACTAAAATATATACTTCAGCTATATATTATGAATTGCTAATGGACGAAGGGGGAGAGAAGAAGAACCAGTGGGAGAGGGAAAAACCGGAGGAGAGAAACTGTTAAGGGGAACTCACCAATGGTGTGTCTGCTTTTTGAAATGTCAATTAACCATTGTTCACAGATCTTCAGCTGCTCAATCCCTAAGCCTATTAATGTTTGCTTAGAATGGGATCCTCTCAGCAGATCACCAAGGAAGACATTTTCCTTTGGGGTGCAGCTACAGTGAACAGAACAATATCAGGATGAAATCAAGTTGGGGACTCTATGGAAGGAAAGTTCTCCAATCCTGTGCCAGATAGAATTCCCTGTGAGAAACAAGTCCTCAAGTTAGCTCTTTCACGTGTACTTACTTTGATTGTCTGTGGAGTCCAGGGCCTGACTTTTCCTTCATAGAGATGTTGTAGTTCACCTCTTACAGTATGGCCTTCATTTGCTTCCAAAATAAGGTTTTCACAAATAAATATGCGAAGGGAAAAGGCAAATGCAATCTAAGATTTGGAGTCAGGAAAGCTAGTGAGATTGACATCGAAATGCAACACACTAAAATATTTATATGGATATTTGTGAAATATTAATGCAGCATCCAACACTCACATAAGCACACACTCTGGGGCAGGAACCCTCCAGACCTCTTGAAAGAATTGCATTTGAACCGGCATGGCTTTCATCACTGGAATGTTCCATTTGCCTCTGAGAATGCTGTGGTCTCTTTCAGCCCTGTAAGTGTCAGCTGGTCAACACATCCTTCTTCAGAGCCAACAGAACACACGTGGCGCCCTGGGCCAGCTGCTGCGCTCATCCTCACACCTGGGGGCCGCAGTCGTCTGCTAGCAGAGGCCACAGGGACTGGGCCCCTGTCTGGGAGGCGCATGGGTGCCTGGCTTCTGGCTGCTGGTCCTCAAAGTCATCCTCAAAGGATTGTGCATCCTCAAAGGCCCCCCTCTGCCCACTGCCTGGCCCTGTGCTTCCCAAGGGCTTCTAGGAAACACAGCAGGTGCCATCCAACACCAGAAAGCTGGGCTAAGAAGACTCAGTCAGCAGTGCTTTATATAACCTGGATGAGAAGAGGGCCAGGAGGAGATATGGGCATGATGGAGTCCTGGTTTCCCAGGGCTTAGAGAACGTGGACCCCTTTAGGACAGGGTCTGTGTCTGTCCTGCTCTGTTCCAACCCAGCATCTAGAACAGTGCCAAGCATACAGCAGGAGCCCGATTAATACTGGTTCCCTGACTGCCTTGCAGCCTGTGGGGGTGGGCTGCTGAGATGCCCCCATCCAGGGGCAGTGTCCTTTACTGTGAAAGATGGGCAGAAGCAAGTGTGTCAATTTCTTCCATTTCCAAGAATGAAGGATGAGGCAGGCCACAGTCAAGAATAGATGAGACTCGTTAACAATGAGGCAAAGCGAACGGTTCATCCTTTCCTGAAAGGTCCACTGCAGTTTATCAGCTGAAGAAATGAGCACCGTTACTAGGGGCCAGAAAGTCTGGGCTTTCATTAGATATTTTCACAAATTTGTTGTGTGAAGCACTAGTCACTTCCTCTCTCTAGGCATCGGTTTCCTCTTCAGTGAAACATAGTGGTTGGGCTAGACAAGTTGTAAAAGGCTCTCTGATCAAGACTGGGTTTGTCAAAGGTCTTTCCTGCTCTTCTTCCTAGCAGGAGGGCAGCCCCACCTTTACCGTAACTGACTTCCTAGGAGCTCCCAGTGAGCCCTGTTCCAGAACATGCCTGCTGATTTATGTAACCAACCATAGCCAAGAGCCCCTCGCAGGCCCAGGGCCCTTGCCCACAGTTGGCAGTTCTCGGCCTCTGCTATCCTCCCAGGGTGGAGGGAGGCACAGGACTGTTTCTGCCTGAGATCTGGGGAAGCTCAAGAAGTCCAGGTCAGCTGCTAAGCTTTCTGCAGCCAGCTTGTGGGCTCACTCCATTTCTGGCTCGACACTTTTCTGAAACTGGGTCGCCTTGCTGTTCCTGTGGGGTCATTTTGCTCTGGACCCATCAACTGGCTGCTGACGAAGGGAACTGGGACCTCTTTCCCCAGCACCCTTTCCTTTTAATAATAGTTTTCCCCCCTCTCTCCTTCCTGGCTCACTTCCTCAGCTCAGTTTCCTCACCTTCCAAAACTTCTCTTTCAGCCTCTTCCCATGTGCTTTCCCAATCTCCCGGCCTCGCCCTGACTTTATTTCTGACTTCCATGGGTCGTCTCTTGAGTGCTGCTCAGCAACACTGTTCTTTTGGCCTGAAAAACAGGGCCCACATTTCGATGCCATTGAGTGAGCTTCCCTTGCCATTTCCACCGAAGGGGCCAGGTCATCCGTCTTTTTCCTCTCCCTTCTCGCCGTGGATCCTTCTTCGCCCTTCTCCGCCCACATCGTTAGGAATTCTCCTGCCCCCATCTTGGCTGTAGTTGGCAAGTGTGTATTTTGCTAGGGCCGCCATAAAAAAAGTACCACAGACTGGGTGGCTTAAAAGACAGAAGTTTATTTTCTTACAATTTTTGAGGCCAGAGTCTAAGATTGAGGTGTCAGCAGGGTTGGTTTCCTCTGAGGCCCCCTTAGTTTGTCGATGGCTATTCCCCCTCCCACTCCTGGGCCTTCATGTGGTCTTTCCTGCGTGTCCTAACCTCCCCTTCTTATAAGGACACCAATTATATTGCATCGGGGCCCATATCAGTGAGCTCATTTTAATTTAAGTGCCTTTCTAAAGACCCCATCTCCAAATACAGTGATATTCTGTGGTACCAAGGGTTAAGACTTCAACATAGAAATTTTAGGGAGACACACTCAGCTCCTAACAGCAGGAGTGGTGGCAGTGAGGTAGAGGGAGCATGGGCATACTCGTCTCTGGCAACTTTTTTTTTTTTTGGATATGGTCTCTCTCTGTCACCCAGACTGGAGTGCAGTGGCGTGATCTCAGCTCACTGCAGCCTCGACCTTCTGGGCTTAAGCAATGCTGTCACCTCAGCCCCTGGAGTAGCTGGGATGCCAGGTGCCTACCCCTACACCTGGCTAATTTTTTGTATTTTTTGTACAGACTGCGTTTTGCCATGTTGCCCAGGCTGGTCTCCAACTCCTGAGTTCAAGCAATTCCCCTGCCTCGGACTGCCAAAGCGCAGGGATTATAGGCGTGAGCCACCACTCCCAGTCTCTGGGTGGGTTCTCTTGAACTGGACACCTTCCTGTTAGGGAAGCAAGGAGGAGGCAGGCCCACTGCAGGCCTGCGCGGACGGTTCAGGAGGACCTTCTGAGATTCTGCCCACTCAGCACCCCACTGGGTGCCCCCCCTCAGAGTTACAGGCACACGGGCTAAAGGAAATGAGATGGGGGTAGCCCTAAAAGAAGCCAAGCATCAGGTAAACCAGAAGTTTAATAAAAATGAGCAAAATTACAACATGGCGGGCCAGCAATGGGCTGCTTCAGAAGGTCTGAGGTGTTGGTCAGCCTGACGTCCTGGCTTCCATGGTTCTGGGAGGTCACAGGATTGGTCCCTCACACCCAAGGTTCACTTTCCTCAATCACCCTGTTCCCAATGGGGAGGACTCTGTCTCTCTGGTGTAATTTTTGGCCAGGCTGGTTCTGAACCCCCTCAGCCTGTGAAGAAGGCTGCCTTAGTCTGACCTTCACCCCGTGATGATGAGGATGTCCTTTATATTGTTTTCCTAAGTCCACACTCCCACCCCAGACTCTGAGGATGGCAGACAGAGGAAAGCCCATTTTATGGAGAATTAAGAGCTTTGGGAATGCTGGAGCCTCCTCCACAGAAGACAGCCACAGCTCCCAGGGTCTCCTGGCTTGCCTGCAAGCTCTTCTGAATTCCTTGGGCCCATCTCTCTTGCAAAGTGCTCAGGACGCCCGGGTGCTGGTGCTGAGCTGGGTCCAAAAGTCTGCACAGAAGGGAGCCCCGCTGGGCCCAGACCTCCCTGGCGGCCACTGCAGGTCAGGCCAGTTAGGAGGTGCTGCTCCTCCTCCGTGGGTGGAGGGCTTTCCTCCTGGCGATGTCCTCCTCAGTGTCACTCTCACAGTTCCTCTGGAGAAAAAAAAGAGAAAGAGGTCCAGGGCAGGAGGATCATGAGACGCCAGGAATGGGGCTGTGCTGGGCAACCTGGGTTGATTCACCTGGACCACGGGACTACAAGCCAGGGAGGTGGGTGGTGAAAGCAAGCCTGCTGATCCATCCAGGGGCTGGGGGATGGGAGGGATCTGAAACGAGGCCAGACCAACTGCTTGGAGGAAGGAAAGCAGCAGGGCATCTAAGGGAAACCAGACATCAGGAGAGGCCAAATTATAATAAAGAAAATTACATCTAGTTCCCTTTGTGGCTGCCATATAATCAAGGCCACTTGGCTGGGTGGTCTGTGGCTGCTGGGTCTCCTGAGCTCAGCCTAGAGAGACTGGAGGATGGGTGTGAGCCACAAGGTACTCCCCATGCTTGACAGCCACCATCCCATGCCCCTTCTTCTTTGATGGGCTGCACCTTCAGCCGCCTTGCTGACCAGTGTTTCCAGGGAAATGACTTCTGAGCTCCATTTTTATAAAACAGGAAATGAGTATAAAGTACTGTCTGTCAGTTCCTACATGGCAAACCAGAGCTGAGGCAGCCACCCCGAGGCCATAATGTCTTTTCATCCAAGTCATGATGATCTAATGTAATTATAAAATTATTAAAAGAAGTACTAATCCACAGTGACTTCATTCCTAAAATATCTGTTGTCCAATGTTCAATTCCAGTGCTTCCTAAACAAAAGGACCTATCATTACTCTTTTTTTTTTTTTTTTTAAGGAAAGTCCCTTTGGGAAAACTGCATAACAGATATCTGGGACCCAACATTTTTCCACTTCTAGGATGAACCTTTGAGCTGATGGTGCTTGCTATTTGAGTAAAAAGAGTACTATTTAAGAATATTTGTACAAGAACAAAAGTTTGGAAAGAAACTGACATTCTTTTTGGCTGGGCGTGGTGGCTCATGCCTGTAATCCCAGCACTTTGGGAGGCCGAGGCGGGTGGATCACCTGAGGTCAGGGATTCGAGACCAGCCCAGCCAACATGGCAAAATCCCATCACCACTAAAAATACATAAATTAGCCAGGCATGGTGGTGCAAGCCTGTAATCCCAGCTAGTCAGGAGGCTAAGGCAGGAGAATCTCTTGAACCCGGGAGGCAGAGGTTGCAGCGAGCTGAGATGGTGCCACTGCACTGCAGCCTGGGAGACACAGTGAGACTCTGTCTCAAAAAAAAAAAAAATTGACATTCTTCTCAATTACTCTGGTCTTCTCTCCCCACAGATTGTATCTGTCAGGGAAGAAGGGCCAGCGGCTCAGCCTGCGAGGCATGCCCACCATCTGCCACTCATCCTCCCAGGGCCTTTTCCCCTTCCTCCAGCCTGAGCCAGCTGGAAATCCAAGGTCAAGATCAACTTTAGCCAAATACATCCTAGACCAAGCCCGGCTATAACAATAAAAATAACTCAAGCTCTGCTGAATAGCAACTTTTTAGCTTGAGTCAGAGCCAAACAGTAAAAAAATAAGCTGGGTAAAGTCTGCTTGTCATTATCAGGGATTCTCAGCGGGAGAGCGGTCCAGTGCCCTGCATAGGAGACGAGGAAAGCAGCCAGAGCCGGCACAGGGCTTGGCCAAAGCCACACAGTTGTTTGGGGCCTCTGGGCCATAAATCCTCAAGTGCTGGCAAGAGATCATGCTAAAGAGAGAAGACCCCAGGCTGTGTGGAGGGAGTGGGGACAGCAGGGCTATCCTAGGTCTAGCCGTGCATCATAAGGCTGCTCAGCCCTCTTAGGCACCCACCTCCCAGTCGCTCCCTGAGCAGGGCGTCCCCTTCTGTCCTGACCTGTGCCATCCCAGACATTCCTGAGCACCCTACACCACGCTCCATAAGCGGGGGGAGGGGCTGTCCAGGGAACCCCTACCAACTGCATTTTAAAGTCTACAGGAGGATTTTACTTTTTTAATTTTGAAACTTAATTTTCTTTAGAGTTAGGGTCATGCTCTGTCGCCCAGGCTGCAATGCAGTAGTGTGATCATAATTCACTGTAACCTTTAACTCCTGGGCTCAAGTGATCCTCCCACCTCAGCTCCCTGAGTAGCTAGGACTATAGGTGCCTGTCACCATACCTGGCTAATTTTTTTGTTTGTTTGTTTGTTTTTGTTTTGTAGAGTCAGGGTCTCACTGTTGTTGCCTGGGCTGGTCTTTAACTCCTGGCCTTAAATGAACCTCCCGCCTCAGCCACCCAAAGTGCTGGGACTATAGGCACGAACCACTACTGCCAGCCTACAGGAAGGTTTTAAACAACAACAATTGCTAACGCTTACTGAGCACTTACATGCCAGGCTTTAAGAATATGTCATTATTGGCCTGGCATGGTGGCTTATGCCTGTAATCCCAGCATTTTGGGAGGCCGAGGCGGGCAGATCACCTGAAGTCGGGAGTTCGAGACCAGCCTGACCAACATGGAGAAACCCCATCTCTACTAAAAATACAAAATTAGCTGGGTGTGGTGGCGCATGACTGTAATCCCAGCTACTCAGGAGGCTGACGCAGGAGAATCGCTTGAAGCCAGGAGGCAGAGGTTGCGGTGAGCCGAGATCGCGCCATTGCACTCCAACCTAAGCAATAAGAGTGAAACTCTGTCTAAACAAACAAAAAAAAAAAAAAAAAGAAGAAGAAGAAGAGGAAGAATATGTCATTATTTAATCTTTAGGAACTATTATTAACCCTATTTTACAAATGATGAACTATCAGCACAGAGAGGTTAAGTAATTTCCTCAAGGTCACACGGTAAGTGGCAGATTTGAATCCTGGTAGTCTGACTGCAGAGGGCACCCTCTTCACCAGTATATTCTGTTATAAGCTACTCCCTTTAAATGTATACAAAATGGCAATAAAGTAATCAAATATAAGATATTGTCTAAATATTATGATGATGGTAATCTGAAACAAAGCAGAAATAGAAATATGGAAAAAAGAATGTAAAGCTCCCATTCTAAAGCAGCTTTTGGGTTATCAGAAATACATTTTGGGTTGTCTGTGGTCAGCCGGCAGCAGCGGCCCCTCTGAAGGCCCACCAGGAAAGGATGGGAGATCCTCCAGGAGTTCATGCTGCTGCATCAGTGGTCCCCTCCCGGCACCACCCAGAGGTCCCCAGAACACACTCCTCTGAAGATCACACTTCAGCCTTCAGGGAAGAGGAGGACTGGGCCAGCAGAACTGGCTGGAAACAGTGAACACCCACCTGCCTTGTGAGGGGAAAGGGAACTCACCCATCCCTGAGCTCCAGGCTACCCCAGAATTCTGCCCAAGAAGAGGGCATGCATTTACCCACCAGGTCCTCATCCGGCCTCAGGTGCACCTTCTTCATCAGCGAGCGGGTGAGGTGGTTGCACAGGGACACGATGCTGAAGGAAAGCTGAGGGAGGCAGAGGAAAGGAATCCCCAGGTGAGAATGTGCATGGAGACCCTGGAGAGCCAGAAACCCCGCCCTAGCCCCCACCCTGTCCCCCGCCGCCCCAACCCTGGACACACCTTCCACCGCCTGCGGACATACTGCTTCCTGAAGTTCTCCAGATTGACCACAGACTCCCTGCGCACCATGGCTTGCTGGTTGTCCACCGGCTGAGAGACAAAGCAGAGCATGGCAGCTGATGCTGGGCTTCAGACAGCAGCCACCCTCCTCGCCGCAGAACTCCCCACCCACCGCATGCCCACCGCCCTTGGCTTGACCCTGGCATCTCCCCGCCAGGTGGGGCACACCGTGGGAGCATCACAGTCAGGGCAACAGCTACACATGTCTCAGCTGTTCAGGAGTTGCCTCTCAGCTATTATTACCACAGCCTGACACACACACAGCCTTGGCTGGAGGCTCAGCAGCTCCTGAAGGGGAATAGCAGGAGGCAGGCCCTCCAATCGCACATCACTTTGGGGAGAGGGTCATTTTACAGCAGTCTGGGATGCCCTCTGGGCACTGGGGTGATTCTGGGCTTGGCAAAACAAATGCCTTGTTGGTAGACGGGGAATTCATACTCCATTAAAAAATAAATGGAAGGAAATAAGGGCTTTGATGAAAGTCAAGAGGCAACAGGATGTGCAGTTGCTTTTCACAGCCTGGCAGTCAGAGCTCAGCTTAAATTTTGACTTCTCCAAGAAGCTTGGGATGGCTTCTCTGAGCCTCAGTTTCCCCATCTGTAATATGGGGATAATAATATCATGTCACAGGGTTGTTAAGGATTATATGATCATGCATATATAAAGTGCTTAGCCCAGCACCACTCAATAAATAGTAATAAGTTATTGTGAGCTTTCCTGCGTTCTCCATTCCCTTTTCAACACCCCCCTTTTGTAAAATAAGGTTTTGTGAAATCAAGAGATAGGTTTCAGGGGTTCTGTGAACAAAATGTGCCTATATATCCATACAAAGGAATATTAGTCAGAAATACTATTCATAAAAAATTGAGTCCAATACATTTTACAACACGGATGAACCTTAAAAACATTATGTTAAATGAAAAAAGCCAGACACAAAAGGCTACCTGCTGTATGATTCAATTTATATAAAATGTCCAGAACAGACATATCCGTAGAAACAAAGCAGATGGGTAGCTGCCAGGGGCTAGGGAAAGGGGAAAACAGGGAATGGCTACTAAAGGGTATGACATTTCTTCCTGGGGTAATGTAAATGTTCTGGAATTAGATAGTGATGTGGTTACACAACCTTGTGAGTATACTAAAAACCACTGAACTGTACATTTTAAAATGGTGAATTTTATGATATATAAATTATAACTCAATTTTTAAAATTTAGTATGTATGTACAGACATGCATTTCTTTGGAGGAGAGTCAATAGCTTTTATCGATTCTCAAAGGCCCCCATGACCTCAAGAAAATGAACTGCCTAGAATGATTCCAAAGGTCCCGGGCAGCTCTGGTTTTCTCTCTGCTCTGACAGCCTTCCTGCCGCAATGCCTCATTCACCTGGTGAATGCTAAGCGAGGGAGCCTATTGATTCCCAGGCGTGGGTCTTGTCTCCTAACCATGCTCGGAGCACACCTCCACGCTTGATTTTTCATCATGGCATCAGGGACCGGAAGAAAGCCAGTGCACACTGCTGGCCACGCTGCTCTGGAGCTGGCAGCCTCTGGCAGGAGGTCCATCCCATGGCAGCCCCTGCTGCCCATCCCCCTGGAAGGCCTTCAAGTATTTCAAAGCCCAATTCAGACATGATCTCCTCCAAGACAAATTCCAGAAAATCATGTCTCCCTCCCTGACATGAACAAGGCACATGTATGCTCCTTTATGAAGTCCAGCACCTCTCAGAACCAGCCTTGCAGAGGAATCACCCCACTCCTGGAAAATGACTGGAGGGCACAGACTTTCTTCCTGTCTATGTCAATGCCCTGCCCTACTCTCCTCCCAACCCGGGACCTACAACAGTGAGTGCTTAATAGTTGTATGGTTAAGTCATTTCCCTGAGCTGTTGGAGAGATAAGTTGGAATGAAATCCCAGGACCTGGGACCTACTCACTCCCACTGATGAGGGGCCCAGGTCACCTGGTCAGCCCAGTCACACCACCTTGAAAGGGTGTCAGGGCACAAAGGTTCCCCATGGCTCTGCCCAGGAGTCAGTAGGATGTACAGCTCCGGGGCGGGGGGTGGGGTGACCCAAAGCTGGAGGGGGAGTGCATGCAACCTGGAAGTGGATGGGAGATGAGAAAACCTGGGGCTATTCACCCTCCGAAACTGAAGCACAGTGCTTTTGGGCCAAAGAGTACAGAAGGAAAGAGAGGAGGGGAAGGAGAAAGACAAGGAATGGGAAGAGAAAAGGACAAGGCTGCCGGAGGAACCAGCAGGCCATGTCCAGCCCTCTAGATCCTGTCTTTAACTGTCTGTCACCCACTCTGTGCACCTGCAAGCCCAGCCCTGGGTCTAGTCCCCCCCTGGAAGGGAGGCACAAAAGTGGATGGAGGGTGACCAATCTGTGCTGAAGACCTTGCCTTTTCCCTTCTCCAAGCCTTCCAGTGGCTTCCCTGTGCCCTCTATACATCCCCACGAGCTCATGGAGACCCTCAAGGCCTGTACCCTCCACCCTGATTTTCTACCTCTCTGCTTCCTGTCCATTTGGCTCCCATCGCACAGGTCCACTTGCTGGTCTGTGAATCCAAAGTCTCCGGGTCTTTGCCCTTGCTCTCTCCTATACTCACTTTATCACCTTGTTCAAGTCTTTGCTCAAATGTTATCTCCTAAGGGAAGCCTTCCTTGACCACCCTATATAAAGTAGCAAGCCAACTTCCCCCATGATTCACTATGCCGGGGCACTAAATCTTCATTACACGTGGTGCTACCCAATATTCTATTCTGTATTTATTCACATTCAGTCCTCAGTATCCTTGAAGGGTTGGTTCTAGGACTGCCGCAGATACCAAAATCCATGGATGCTCAAGTCCCTTATTATAAAATGGTGTGGTATTTGCATATAACCTACACATACCCTCCCCTAATGCTTTAAATCATCTCTAGATTACTTATAATAGCAAATATGATATAAATGCTATGTAAATAGTTGTCACACTGTATTATTTGCATTTATTATTGTAATGTTATTTTTATTTTTACTTTTTGCGTATTTCTGATCTGTGGTTGACTGAATCTGAGGATGTGGAACTTGCAGGTAGGGAGGGCTGACTGCTTGTTTTTTGTTAGTCCTCTCTCCCTTGCACCTCCAAGCTCCTAGAATCTCGTTTCCAAGGTGCTTAGCACCCTCCCCAACCCATCAACCATTTCTAAGTCTAACTTCACTGATGTCTGCAATTCCCCTGGGCATGAATGACCTTTGAGCCTAACCCTCACAGGGGCACCTGCACCTCACAAGGAGAGTTTGCTCAGATGGGATTAGTAGACTCTGGGGGAGAAGAGATTTCTTTTTGCCCACTTACTGATTGGCACCCTCACCCAGGGGAGGAAGAGCTAAGCCCATGGCTGGAAGGTCAACTTGCAGGTGTGGGGAATCTCGTTAATGAGAATCCCACCCTCCTCCTGGCCCAGCAGTGCCAGCCACTGAGCAGAGGGGCCCAGCTAAAATGTCAGGTGAGATCATTCCCAGAGGCTATTAATGGGAGGTGATGCAATTCTTTTGAGGGCCCTGTTTATAGCTACACACAACACCACCAACCCTGAGGAGGCAGCATGGGGCTATCATTCTGTCAGGCTGGCCTTTCCTAATCAATGGGCCTTCCTGGTTGTTAAGAGCCCCACCAAACGCTGATGCTGACATCTCAGCCTGGAAAGATGTAAATTCTGCAGCAGAGGTGAAAATTCTGCAGCAAAATTGTTCCCAGAGGGAATGTGGCACAAACACTTTTGATTCGACTTGGGGTGTGAGGGGGAGATGGAACTGTGTCCTGCCTTCTCCTGACCCGCCCCTCCCTGCAAACAGAAAGTGCCCGCCTTCTGGCCTTGTGGTCCATCCGTGATACCAGGGAGCCCTGGGTGATTCTGACCAGGCTCCTAGGAGTGTGTTTGGTGTCTTGGAAAAATGTCCAAAAGGGAAGCAAGAAGACAGAAAACTGTGGGGTAGTCAAGTTTTGTTTATGCAGCTGCAAATGCCTTTGAAAAAGTCCAGTGGGGTGTGCCAGGTCAGTACCAACATCCACAGGCAGGGGCAGGAAGCAGCAGCCGCTGCTAAGGCATGAAAAAGGAATCCTGGCTTTACTGAAGAGGCGACTCCCCCAACTCCACCCCCCACACAACGATTTTCTCTAGATACTAGGTCTTCTTTAGGAACTGCAAGCAGATTGCACCTCCAACCCCCATCTGTGCCATCTCTCCAGCCCCTTACTCCAGTGAAAGCCAGGGCACTCTCACACCCACTTCTCTCCTGCCCAGGACCCCTCCCCGCTGCCCTTCCCTCAATGGAGTTTTATAGGTGGCACCCCTCCACCCCTCCCCTTCGCTGGATGTTTTGATGGCTGAAGCCTGGGCTCTGCTGCCTTCACCCACCTGTTTTCCCAGGAAAGGAGCACATGGGGCTTGTGGGAGGCTTGAGGCTCTGCCTCCTCCTAAGTGGGAGGGACAGCTGCAGAAAGGCTGTGAGCCTGAAGGCTGCCCCCTACAGTGAACAAGCCAGTGGAAGGAGGCAGAAACATTCCTTTCCTTGCTTGGCCTGGTCTCACATTTCTGAGTTAGGTCTTGACATGGATACGCTCTGTTTTTTATTCTTCTATGGGACCATCAGTTTTCTGAGCAATTTTTTGTCCCCAGGAAAAGCTTCAAAGGTTCTTCCTTTTGTACTGTTATAAAACCCAAGAGACTTGAGAGACGTAGCAACCAAATGCCACATGTGGACTGTTTGGATCCTGATTTGAACAAACCAGCTGTAATGGGACACTGTTGGGAGTGGTGGGGACATGTGAGGATGGAATGGGAATCCAGATGAGATGAAGGAATTATTGCTGATTTTGTCAAGTGTGATAATGGCATGGGGTTGTATTAAAAAGAAAGTCCTGGCTGGGTGCGGTGGCTCATGCCTGTAATCTCAGCACTTCGGGAGGCCGAGGCAGGCAGATCACCTGAGGTCAGGAGTTCAAGACTAGCCTGGCCAACATGATGAAACCCCATCTCTACTAAAAATACAAAAACTAGTTGGGTGTGGTGGTGGGTGCCTGTAATCTCAGCTACTCAGGAGGCTGAGGCAGGAGAATTGCTTGAACCTGGAAGATGGAGGTTGCAGTGAGCCAAGATCGCGCCATTGCACTCCAGCCTGGGCAACGAGAGTGAAACTCTGTCTCAAAAAAAAAAAAAGAAAAAAAGAAGAAGAAAATCCTTAGCAGAGATTTATGCTGGAGAACTTATGAGTTAAATAAGTCTGAAATTTGCTTTAAAATACCCCAGAAGAAAAGTAATGGGAGAGATGAATGAAAGAGGACCCGCATGACTTGATTCCTGCTGGAGCGGGGTCATAGGTCCTGGAATCCACTATCCCATTCCTTATACTTCTGTGCAAGTTTTGGCAATTTTCCTGCTGAGGGGACCATAACAAAAAGTTTAAAACACTCTTTTAAATCTGTGTAATCTCCCTCTCTTTAATCTCCATTCAACTGTTCCAAGTTCCTAACCCCAATCTTGGCTCAGCCCCACCCCCCTTCCAGATTTTACTCATGCCTTCCTCAAGGGACACAGCTTGGGAGTGGAGGAGGGCGGTCACTGGTGGGGACGGCGTCCCTGGGAAGGCCTCTCTTCTCTGCAACCCTCTTACCCTTTCTCAATCAGAATTCCTCTCTCCTTTGATTTCTAGGAGATGAGGAAGCTCTATTTTATCACTCACCATAGCTTTTCCAATCTAGTTGGCTGGGTCCCCATCTGCCCCAGACACTGAATCTTTTATTTGAGGTTATCTTGTCCTTGTCTGTCACCTCCCCCTGAGCCAGAGCACAATCAGTGTTTGTTCAACGGGACTGGACCCTTTTGCAACGTGAACATGCCCACTGCTGGGTCAGGAATTTCACGGACCAAGGAAAAAAGGCATCCAGTCCCACAGACATTTACAGAAGATTGACAGTAGGGGTGACAGCTGGGCACACAGCCACCTCCAGCAAGGGCCGGGCCACCTGTGCTGCGTGATGGAGTGAGGTAGGAAGCCACCATCTTCATGATCACCTGTAAGGGAGGGGAGGGGGCCCATGGGGGAGACTCCAGCTCTTTCTGCCATTATTCCTCTGCTCCATCCCTTCACTGCCAGGCTCCCACAGCTGCAGAATCATCGATTACCAAACCATCACCCCACCTTCTGACACACAGTCAGGCAATGCTAGGCTGTGAGCACCTGCCTCACAGCAGGGACAGGCAGCTGCCTTCCCCAAGGGCCAGCTTGCCAGCTTCCTTGAGAATTGTTATTCAGGGCGATGTCATACACTCACTTTCCCCTCCCAAACAGCCCAGGATGGTGTTTGAACAGAGCACAGAAGCCGACCTTTTATTTGCAGTCTGGGCTGGGTGCAGTGGCTCACGCCTGTAATTCCAGCACTTTGGAAGGCCGAGGTGGGTGGATCACCTGAGGTCAGGAGTTCGAGACCAGCCTGACCAATGTGGTGAAACCCCCATCTCTACTAAAAATACAAAAATTAGCCGGGCATGGTGCTGCGCACCTATAGTCCCAGCTACTCAGGAGACTGAGGCAGGAGAATTGCTTGAACCTGGGAGGCAGAGGTTGGAGTGAGCCGAGATCATGCCACTGCACTCCAGCCTGGGCGGCAGAGTGAGACTCTGTGCGGCTCCCCCACCAAAAAAATTGCAATTTGGTGAATTAAAAATCCTCAATGGCAGAGGGGCCTGCCCACAGAGCAGCACCCACAAGCCTTCCTTCCTCTAGGCACCAGCGAAACAGTCCATTCTCACAGCCCTTCCCGCCATTGTTAGCCCTCCACACTGTTGTAAAAAGTCAGCTGAGGGCGTGTGGGGAGCAGAGATAAGCAGGTCCTGTGGCTGCATCCCACAGGCCCCCGGGCTCCCCCAGCATCAGGTTCCAATGCCATGGAAGGACGGGACTTCAGCTGGCCAGGACACAGAGGAAGGTCATGGTCTCCTCTGCTTTCCCCAAAAGACTTGGGGGCATTTCTCAACTCTCTTTCATTTGTCTTTAGAAGCTCTTTGTACAGAAAAAGGTCTGTTTACGACACGTCTAAGTGAGAAACAGTTACAGTGACTGGACATGAGCATAGAGAGGACGATGTCACTGCTATAAGGAAAACCACTTAGAGTTCGGAGTCCAGCTCACGGCCAACTAAATGGGTGACTCTCAGCACTGTGTATAGCTGATCATGATTCTAAAACAACCACTTCTCCCTCCCTTTTCCCAATTTTCCCCATTCAAATCATTGCCAACATTTTACTCTTTTACTGTATTCTATTTTTTATTTTTTTGAGACAGAGTCTCACTCTGTCACCCAGGCTGGAGTGCAATGGCGTGATCTTGGCTCACTGCAACCTCCGCCTTCCAGGTTCAAGCGATTCTCCTGCCTCAGCCTCCCGAGTGTCCTGAGTAGCTGGGACTACAGGCACCCACCACCATGCCCAGCTAATTTTTATATCTTTAGTAGAGACAGGATTTCTCCATGTTGGCCAGGCTGGTCTCACACTCCTGACCTCAAGTGATCCACCCACCTCAGCCTCCCAAAGTGCTGGGATTACAGGCATGAGCCACCACACTGGGCCTGCATTCTATTTTGACCTTCACTAAAAAGCTTGCCCTGTGTTGCCCCATCAGTGGCTTCCTCTCCTTAGAAACCTGGCTGTGTGAAGGTCAAGGTCTGTTAACACGGCCAAAGGGACATTTAATATTTGCAGTGTCTCAGCACCAAACAAGTATACAACTTCCCGTGACAGGGCAGGTAAGACCTTGGAGAGACTGTAGACAGGTCATTTGAACCAATTCTCTGGGGTAAGATGTAGGAAATGGAGCTTTTGCCATCTTTCATTGGTTCCAAGATATACATTTTTGGATCTCTGAAGTCAGGAGGCATCTCCCAGATGATGGTATCATATTCTTACTGTTGGCCCGGACAGAAGGCAGGTGCTCCGGGAGAGGATAGTACTGTTTTTGCCAGCCATCCAGGGCCACCCAGCCTCAGACTGTTGGACATTACACTCTCTGCTTGATGTTCTTTTGGATCACACTGATAGTGCAAATTCAGAAAGCAAACCTGCATGAGTACCACCGGCTTGGGACTCCTGTTCTCAGGGAAGGATTTTTCACCCCCATTTAGTGTCAAGGTTGAGATGCATGGGTTTCCTTGCTCCCCCTTTCTGCATGGTGGCTCTATTTCTCATTTACCCTCTCATTGAGGGCATCACAGCTTTATGTGGTGGGGGTAGAGAGAGTTTCCTATTAGACGCCCCATCTTGGGCCTTTTTTCTTAGTGGTCCATAAAATGATGATGCATCTTATCACCACGGTTTCTCATAGCTGATGAAGTAAGTTTCTGTTACAAATATTGTATATGATATTTGAAATGATCCTTCATGCATATAGAAAAGGAGACAGGATTCTGAAGAAATGGTTTCATGAGATGAAGCTTTCCTGTCTTGTCCTAAACCACTTCCTGTCTGAGCTGTTCACGGGGCATTCCCTCCCCAGCACCTGGAACCCGCTGGCTTCTCATGACTTTCGGGATAAGGGCAGAGCTCTTCCACATGGCCAAAGCCCTGCTGCTCCTGCTTGTTCTCCGGTCATTTCCGCACTGTATTCCTATTCTCTCCCCTCCAGCTTTCAGTCCTCACATTCTCAACCTTCCACACCGCCTCTCATCACAGAGCTCTGGTATGATGGCTCTGTTGGGAAACTTCTCTCTCCCTGGTTGGCTTAGCTGACCTCCGTTCCAGTGTCACTGCTTCAGGACGCTTCCCCCGATGCTGTCAGACCCTGACGGCAGGCCCCTGCAGTGCTATGTGCTTCTCTCCCAGCATGAACACAAGCTGCAGCTCTATCTCTCTGTGATTCTTGGTCAATGTTCAAATCCTTCGCTGGACTGAGCACTCCGTGAGACAGGAATCAGGCCTATTTTTACTAAACATTGTATCCCCAGAGTCAAGCCGGGCATCTGGAAGTTGGTTGGTGCCTAAGTATAATTTATAAATGGATGGATGAATCCAGGTGTGAGCTGCCCCCACAAGCAGGGAGTAAACTTCTGGAGCCTGGCGCAGCCAGGGGAAGCAGAAAGAGCAACAGACTTGTCATTAGAAGGTCTCTACTTTTGCCATAATGATGTGACCTTGGGAAAATCCCATCCTCTCCCTGTTTCCTCAGCTCTAAATTGGGAATATCGTTTAGTCTGCCTCTAAGATAGGGATGTTTTGTGAGGCCATGAAGACACTTTGAACTATACAAGTTATGCCCCTACCCACAAGCTTCTAGCTCAGCACTAGGCTCATATGCCATGCTCTGTTGACATGAGTTGGTTGACTGTCCCCTCCCCCAGAGAAAGGGAGATGAGATCTTATAATCCTTGGGGAGGGGTGCTCAAAGCTTTGGGTCATGAAACGACCATGTGGCCTTGCGCTTCCCCATCTTTATGTTTGCCCTTTTCAAAAACCCTCACGGAACTTCTTAGGCCTTCAAGGCCCAATGGCCTAGGTACATAAGAAAAGGAACCTCCTGTTGAGGACCTTCTGGCCTTTATTCTCGACACAGAGTTGGGGCCGTTAGCCAGAAGAGGAGAAAGGGTGGAGAATGGGAAGACTCCTTCCTTCCTTCTCTCCTGCTTGCAGGCTGGTCTTCAGACAGAGACAGGGATGGGTAGGGACAATGACTTTGCCTTCTGGGACAGAGCTCCTGGGACAATCATCTGCAGGTGTATGCATTCCACCTACACCTGGCAGAATACATGAAGTTGCTTACTTTACCTCTGGGACCTGGACTTTAATATTAAGGTAGATATTTACAGCAAAGCCTTACTACTTTCTCCCATATACCTCATCTTAGAGATGGGCATCCTGGGTTTCTGTTTCATCTGTACTGATTGACTATATCATTTTCCCTCTCTGAGTCAATTTTCTCATCAGTTACATGTAAATAATAATAATAATAATGCCACCCACCTTCCTATCTCACTGAGTTCTTTTAAGGACCAAGTGAGGTCATTTGTCAGACATGAGTGCTTGGTAAGTGAAAAATCAATGCAAACGAAAGGCAATATTATTTTCTCTATGCATTGTAAATCCCTGCTTCTGTAGCAGGAAAGCACCATGCTGACTTAGTTATTCCTAATTAACTCAAATATTACCCAAGATCTACAGTCCATAAGGTATGTAGGCAGAAAGTGAGATATGAACAAATCCTTCATCACAAATCAATTCTCAAGCATTTCCCCAGGGCCAGCCATCCTCCCTCTGCAGAAGGGGACCCTGAGGGGTACTCACTCTCTAATTGTTTTAACAGCTTGGCTGCCCTGCCAGAGCCCTCCCAGAAAACCAGATTGGTGAGGGGAGGTGCAGAATGAAGAATTAACTGGCACCTCAGCAATTCTGGATTCTGTGGAGGGGCTGGAAGGCTATACTACAGACACACACCCCTGCAGGATAATTCTAGCTGGAGGCCGCAGCAGGGTGGATGAGAACATGCTTCTGCAAACCTCTTGGGATGCATCACTGACTGGATTCTGGCGATTAGAGCTTCCAGCCTGCCAGAAATTCCTCAGTGCATGATCTGCTGAGCAGCTCTGACAGGGATTCACTGGTGTCCTGGTAGAATGTGGAGCCCAGGCCCTCAGAGCTCCCACTCTCCAGCTGGAAGCTGCCCACCAGCTCCTGAATCCACTGCAGGTCTGCGGAGAGCTCCTGCCTCAGAATCTCAAACTGGGCTTGCAGATGGTCCAGTTTCCTGGCCATGCTTCCGAGGCTACATCCCGTGGCCTGGATGTCTTCTCGCAGCAGCTTCTTCAATGACTCCACCTTGCGGAACTCATACCTGAGCTGGGACAGGTCATGCCGGGCGCTCTCATTCTCCTCTCGGTACCAAGCTTCCTTCTCATTGAAGATGGAGACCAGGGCCTCCACATCGTCCTGGATGGTATCGTGGGCCTCCACCAGGGCACGGCATCCCAGGTCGACCCGAGCCACGTCTTCCACCACACAGGCAAAACGCTCGAAGTTGACATAGGAGTTGTTGGGAGGCATGCTTGAGTGGCATTTGAGAGTGTACTCTCTCAGGTGCTTGGTCTTCAGCTGGGTGGGCTCTGTCTTCCGCTGTTCAGGGGCTCTGCCTTCTCCTTTTGACTGGTGGGTGTTCAGACAGAAGAATCAGAGTGTTAATTTGCCGCCCACCCCAGAGGGCAGTCCAAAGGGTAGGCAGAAGGCACACAAGCGGCCTCTGGCATTCACTGCATGCGTCAGGCCATGGGGAGAACCAGGGTGGGATGAGCACCTCCTTAGGCCATAAGTGAGGTCAAGGAGTGTGGGGGTGCTGTCTGCATGCTCATTCAGGGCAGAAGGGTCCACAGCCATTAGAGAGAGCTCCACACACATAGCATTTAAGGGGTGCTCACGCAGACAAGCAGGCTGCAGCCAGGACTCCGCAGGCATCTGCGCAGGGCTGGAGCACGCAAGGCCAGGGCTCACGCAGCAGGGCTGAGGAGCATCTCTCCTTCAGGGCTCCTTGGGCCTTCCCCATCCTTCAATGAGCTGATGAAGCTGAGCAGATAAAGCTGACCTCTTCCCAGACGACTCCAGCCCTCCCTGTTCTGTCTTCCACAGGCCTCACCTTCTCTTTGTATTGATTGATTGATTATTATTTTTTAGAGAGATGGGGTCTTGGCATGTTGCTCAAGTTGGTCTTGAACTCCTGGGCTCAAGTCATCCTTCTGCTGCCTCGGCCTCCCAAAGTGCTGGGATTACAGGCATGAGCCACTGCACCTGGCCTGCCTCACCTTTTCTTATCTCCACCTTTCTTATGGTCATTTCATCCTTGCTGGCCTTCTCACATAACAGTTAAGGTGAATGGGAAGTCTGGTGACGTCCCTGGGTGTGCATAGCTGGTCAGTCAGCAGAATTAGGGCCTGAATCCTGCTGAGTCTCACCCTCTCAAAGTGCTCTTCACCACACCAGACCACAAGAGCCTCTGGAAAGCCAGCAGCTGACTGGAAAGCCAGCAGGAAGCCCGACTGCAAGGCGAGTTAGGCAGGGATTCATTTTTTTGCCCTGACTCTCCCCAGAGGGAACAGAATTGCCCTAACAGTGGCTGTCTCTCTTCCCCACCAGGCCTCTGTCTCAGGCCCCATTCCTCAGGGCCTGAGGAGGTGGGTGGCTGATTTAAGTGTCATCCTTGACTTAGAGCCCCAAAAATCAGAAGGAAGGAGGCCTGGTCACAAAGTGGGGGTTTTCAATTGTCATCTATCTTTCTACACCTGGGGAGTCCTGATTTCCACTTGGAGAAGTGGCAGTGACATACCCTTCAACAAAGAACACTGTGTAAGTTGGCCCCAAAGAAAAAGGGTTTCAACTGTGGTTTGTGAGGGTTTCATTTCATAAGTTACCTGAATTTGAGACACACAAACTTAAAATAGCAAGCAAATAAACCTATTCGAATAAGCCCAGGCCCTCTGGGGCCCCTGGCTAGCTTTCATCTGTGCCCAGGGTCAGTGTTTAAAGCAAAGGCCTCTCCATGGGCCCTCTGCATCTGGCTGCCCAGGCCAACCCTGGCGACAGAGCAGGGACCCTTTGCCCATTGGAACTCATGGCTGTGCCCTTACCGTGATCCAGGGGTGTCTGAGAGCCTCTTGGATTGTGAGCCGTTTCCTGCAATGAGGATTGGGAAACAGTGATGATCCATGAGGACAGAAGTTGGGAGCAACCATCTCCGTTCTCACTCTTTTTAGACCTATATTTTGGCATTATTTGGCCACTGCCGTCAAACCAGTGGAATGGAGGATGCAGAGATGGATGGGAGCTGGCTGCAAATCCTGCACTCCAGGGGAAGGAAGCAGTCCAGACAGACCCCTCAATAGAGTGGCCTTGTTACCTACACCCATACTATTAGTCCCAAAGCTGAAAGGCCTAAGAAGAGTCATAAATGCTCCAATGAGCTTCCAGAATCTTCCAAAAGCCAACTCTCCATTGCTAAATCCCTGGTCTGTTTTTCTGTTTGCCTCCTGGATCCGTTCTCTGCCTTTCGCTGCTCTGTACCCAGGTAAGCAACTCTCCCTAGCACTGTTCTTAGACAGGAAAATCAGGGCCCTTGCACTCCAGACAACCCCACTCTGGCCCTCTCTGAAGTCTGTGGGATGGAGAGGACATGGTGTTCTAGTCTGTGGACCTTTCTTCCTGCCCCATCCAGAGCATGCTCTGGGTACCCAGCGCCCTGCAATTCCCTGCCTATTTCCTTCTTTGACCCCACAGCCACGGGACTCACCCTGGCCCCTGGAGAAGGGATAGGGTTAGCATGTCTTCCACCATCCCACTGTACTGACCTCTCTGAGCCTACCAGCTCCTACTCCCAACCTGAACTGGCTTGAAAACCCTGCCACTTAAACTTTTCAAATCTGAATTCCAGGTGCCTTTGGGACAGACTGCACAAGGTAATGAGCCCTAAAGAAACCCAGGCTGACTTGTAGCGCACACACACACACACACACACACACACACACACACACACACACATTATTTACATTTCAACAGGAGAAGAAAGCAGAAAGACTTGAGCAAACAAGATGAATGCCACGTCTTGGCTAGGCCACACTTTCCAGCACCTGCCCGGATTAGACCACAACAGTGCAGATGACAGCTATGTCAAAGTGGGGACATACTGACAGGTCTTTGACAGAGGCGACAGGAAGGGATCAGTACCTGAGAAACCAGTGGCTTCTCTGTCCTCTTACCGGGTCTCTTTAACCAGAAGCTTCCGAATAAAGTCCTTGGCCAGCTCGCTCGTCTGGCTGAAGAATTCCTCATCAAAGTCGTAACTCACTGCTGTGATATTTGCCAGTGTTTCCTGCTTCGTGTCTCCCAGGAAAGGGGATGCTCCACTTAAGCTGAGTACGACAGACAGGGAATCAAATAACTAAGGGAAAGTAGGTGGAAATGGGGATTACGGACTCGGGGAACCCTGCCCCATGACTGCTGCAGGGAGCTGGAAGGCTCCCAGCAACACAGCCTGCCCCCTCTGGGCAGCCAACCAGCAGCCTGTTCAGCTAAGTCCAATTCAATACATGTTCATGGAGCTCCTCCTAAGCACCCGACAGAGAGAAATTGTGTCTTCAACGGACTCAAAAGCGGAGGGGAGAGAAACACAGAGACATGTCTCTTTGTGATCCCCAGCAAGACAAGCAGAATATAATGGAAGGCCAGCCAAAGGATAGGGGAGCACAGGAAAGAGGGAGGCCCAGTGCAGCTTCACGGTGGCACAGATATTTGCATCATTTGTGTCTTGAAGAATAAAGAGGTTGTCAGCAGTCAGAGAAGGAGACGGAAAGGCCTTCTGGGTTACAGGAGCAACTTGAGCAGAGCCCACAAAGTTTGGAAATAGATGGGCCATTAGGGACAAGAAGGGTCTGTGTGGTTCCCCAACAGGGTTTGTCAAGGATGTCATACAAATAATGACTCCTACATCTACTATCTCCTGACTCAGATTTCAGTTGTTCATGGGATGCCTTGGTAGAGGTATGATCCAGCAGTGTCTGGATCAGATGTGCCATTGTCCCAAACTCATTGTGTCCAAACCCATTCCAAGCACTCCCTTGATGAATCACATTACTTCACAAATGTACCCGAGCTAGAAGCACAGGAGTCACCTTGGACTCTTCTTTCTATTCCCTTGCCACATCTGACTGGCCAAAAGCTTCCTTGTTGGTTCCATTTACTAAATATCTCTTGAAAGTCATCCCCATTTCCACAGCCACTTTCTTAGCATGGTGGCAGCAAGGTGCACTGTACAAATTTTGGTGTTGCAATCCTGGGTTTGAATCCCAGCTCAGCCACTCATTAGCTGTGTGAAGCTAGAACCCCTTGTGTAGTTTCCTCATCTGCAAAATGAAGAAAATAAAATTCCCACCTCATGTGATTGCTGTGAAGAATACATGCATACAAAAGCCTTCATGCAATCCTGGCCCACACTAAGGGCTCTGGAATTAATGGCCATTATTATTGTCATTGTGAGAACACAAAAGCCCTCTATGACTTCCCATCTTCTACAGGATCACATCTAAACTCTTGAGCAAGGCATCAAGAGTTGGTCCTTACCCCACGCTTGGTACACTTCAGCCACACTTAAGGTTTACCGTTCCTTTTCTCATGCCATTTCCTCAGCCAGCACAGCCCTTCCCTCCTCCACCCACAGAATTAACTTCGTTCCCTACATCCCAGTTCAAATTGATCCATCAATCATGTGCTGTCTCTATTTCTCTCTCAATAAACCTTCAGCAGTCCAGCAAACCAGTGGCTCCCCATCTGTGTCTCAAAGAGGCATGTTCATTCCTCCAGCCTAACCTTGGTTCCACTGGGTGTGAGTTAGGTGTATGGTGTGTCTCCCACAGACAGGGAGCCCCAGCAAGCAGGGAAGACCCTCCTTCATGTCAGTATCCTAGTGCCTGGTACAGTGCCTGCCATGGAGCAGACCTCAACAAAGCTGTTAAATTCAAATGAGCCACAAGAAGACTATGTGCTCAGTAGACACTGGGATTCCATTTTTTTTTTTTTTTGAGACAGGGTCTTGCTCTGTTGCCCAGGACGGAGTGCAGTGGTGCTACTACAGCTCACTGCAACTTCTGGGCTCAAGCGATCCTCCAGCGATCCTCCTGCCTCAGCCTCCCAAGTAGCTGGGACTACAGATGTGTGCCACCACACCTAGCTAGTTTTTTGTTTTGTTTTTTGTAGAGATGGGGTTTTGTCATGTTGCCCAGGCTGGTCTTGAACTCCTGGACTTAAGCATCTGCCCACCTCAGCCTTCCAAAATGCTGGGATTACATGGGATCCCTTCATAGTTCAAATCAGAGTCCTGAAGAAATCAAAGTTTCAAGAGCCAACATCAGACCGTTCTGGCTCTGATCTGAAACTATAGATCCATGGTTCTCAGCCTTCTCTTTGCATCAAATTCAGCTGGAGTTTTAAAAGATACAGATACTAAGTCCCTACCCCTAGCAATTGTGATATAATAGATCTGGGGTGGGGCCTGGGCCATGGTGGGTATTAAAAGCTCTGCTGTGCAGCCAGGGTTGAGATCTTCAGCTGCAGCTCAGGGGGATCCACCACGTCACACAGGGCTCCTAGTCCAAGAGCTGCTGGGAGAATCAGGGACCTGGCTCATAGGGATCATTGAGAGAATAATCCTCTCAGCTGCTGAGCACTGGTGCCCCCTGCCCCATCTGGTTGACTCTTACTCCAGGGTGCTATAAAAATAGCATTTTCCATGTGTGCCATGAAGGCAAAAAGGTTGGGAAGGGCTGATGGAATGAATACTCACTAGCCCACTGTGCATGTTCCAGAGTCAGGGCTAGGAGACTTGCGCATGTTGACTTATTTAGCTTTCACAACACACCCATGGCAGGAAGTTTGTGATTCCTATTTTTCTCATGAGAAAAACAAGCCCAGAGGTTAAGTCCCTACCCAAGGCCACAGAGATGGAAAGTGATAGTATCATGGGACTCCAGCCCCAGAGGTAACTCACTACACACTGGAGCTATGCAGGAAATCTCTGTCTAAGCAACTGAGTACTTCAGGGACAGGCAAAGAGGAAGGAGAAAGGAGGAGAGAGACAGTGAGAGGAAGAAAAGGGGATCTGGGGAAAAGGGGAAAGAAAGAAGAGGCAAGATTGGGGAGGGCATAAGTAGCTTCACAGGGCTGTCCCAAGAGTTCTGAGTGAAGGGCTGGGCACAGTGGCTCATACCTGTAATCCCAGCACTTTGGGAGGCTGAGGTGGATGGACCACGAGGTTAGGAGTTCAAGACCAGTCTGGCCAACATGGTGAAACCCTGTCTCTACTAAAAATACAAAATTAGCCAGGTGTGGTGGTGGGTGCCTGTAATCCCGGTTACTCGGGAGGCTGAGGCAGGAGAATTGCTTAACCTGGGAGGTGGAGGTTGCAGTGAGCCAAGATCACGCCACTGCACTCCAGACTGGGTGACAGAGCAAGACTCTGTCTCAAAAAAAAAAAAAAAAGAGTTCTGAGTGAAAAGTGACATTCTCCAGTATACCTCAGTCTGGGGGAGGGTGAGCAGGGGAGCCCTGGCATTCCATAGGAGGAATGCAGACACAGGTTGTGCAGAGTGGAGAGCCTGAGGCTGCTCCCCTGGATGCCTATTCAACCTCAATGCCAGGGTCAGATGGATGAAATGGACCTACAGCACTTAGCCTCAGGCTTGCTGTGTGGACTTAACACATCTGGATTATGGTGGGTGCTTAGTAAATGTCAGTCTATCAGCCTGCCCCTCTCTCATTCCTTCTGGTTCCCCCAGATCTAAGCTGAGCCAGAGCCCCTGGATCAGGGATACTCACAGGATGTAGGTGATGACGCCTATGCTCCTGCAAAATAAAGAACAGTCAAGTCAGGGCCACCTGGGTCCCATCCCCGACCAGCAAGGGACACCCTCATGGATCTAAGGGGAAGAGGTCACTTGCCTCCTCCACAGCAGACCCTGGATGCCGTCTCATGCTCCACACCCATCTCCATCCTGCTCTTCAGCAGCAGCCCGGGGTGTGTTTGGAGTCATCGAGCTCTGAACCCTGAGTCCGAAGACCCAAGTTCAAGATCAGACTCCTGCACTTGCAGGCTGTGTGATTTAGGTAAGTCCCTTACCACCTCGGAGCCCTTCCCCCCTTGTAAAATGAGGATAATGATAACTACCTCACAGGACTGTTGGCAGGATTTTAGAAAACCAGGTAACAAAGGTGCTTGGCCAACTATAAAGCAGCGTCCAAATGAAACGAGTCCCATCTGTGCAGAGGACTAATCCCTGCAGTATCCACAGGCCCAGCACAGTGCCCAGAACTCATGGACTTTCAGTGATGACTTGGTTGGCTGACTGAGCGAGCTACTGTTACTATTATATTTAACCCCAGCTGGGGCAGGCCCACGGGTGAGTCTGCGCCTCCCCCTTGCCTCTCCTCTTGCTCCTCCATTCCTGACAAAGCTCTGACCTGGCCAGGAGCTAACTGGCCTCAGGTCCAGGCCTAGAGACCTCCAGCTGCCCTGGCCACAGGTCTAACACATCGGGGGAGCAGCCAGAGGCTCTGAACAGTGAGTGTGGAGTAAGGGGCTTTCATGGTTAAGCGGATGTCACCTGGAGCAGGATCTGAGGCCTTCCGCCCTTGGAAGGATCGCTAGGTCACCTGAGTGGCCTATCCAACTTACCACATGTCAGCCTCCAGACCCAGGGGCTCGTAGTTCACAATTTCTGGAGCTGAAAGAAGTCATATTAAATAGTCAACATGAGTGTGAAAATGAGAGGAGAGATGGTTTTAGGGAATTTTAGGGAATTTGGTGCCAAATATCTCCATCCTGAATCTCCAGGAAAATTAGAGCAGCAGATAAAGGTGATCTGCATCTAAGATTCTGAGGAAAGGAGTTGCCATGGCCCAAATGTTTGTGCGTCCCCAAATTCATATATCGAAAGCAAATCCCCAATGCAATAGTATTAAGAAGTAGAGTCTTTAGGAGGTGATTAGGTCATGAGAATGGAAACCTCACAAGTGGGACTAGTACCCTTATAAAGAGGCCCGAGGGCTGGCTGTGGTGGCTCACACCTATAATCCCAGCACTTTGGGAGGCTGAGGCAGGAGGATTGCTGGAGCCCAGGAGTTGGAGACCAGCCTGGGCAGCACAGTGAGACCCCATCTCCACAAAACATTTTTTAAAATTAGCTGGGCATGATGGCACATGTCTGCAGTCCCAGGTACTTGGGAAGAGGCTGAGGTGGGAGGATTGCTTGAGCCTGGGAAGGCTGACGCTGCAGTGAGCCATCATTGCACCACTACACTCCAGCCTGGGTGACAGAGTGAGACCCATCTTAAAAAAAAGAGAAAGAAATAGAAAAAGAGGCCTGAGAGAACTTGTTTGCCCCTTTGGTCATTTGACAACTTAGCAAGAAGGCACCATCTATGAAACAGGGTGAGCTCTCACCAGAGTCCAAATTTGCTGGCACCTTGACCTTGGACTTCCTATCCTTCAAAACTGTAAGCAATAAATTTCTGTTGTTTATAAATGACCCACTTTAAGGTATTTCATTAAAGCAGCCCAAAAGGACTAAGAAAAGAGTTGTCTGTTATCCTGGTAGAAACCTTTTACAAACAGGCCTTGATAGGAAGAGGAAAAGTACACCGAACACCTGAAAAAGGAAGAGAAGGGCAGGGAGAGGAAGGTACAGGAAGGAGAAATGGGGCCTCGGCTATGTGGCCTGCTTTAGAACTCTCTGGTAAAGACCAGTCATGTCAGTGCTGGAAAGTGATGAAGAAGAAGGCAGAGAAGAACTCCATTTTCCTGAGTCTGGTCTGAAAGAGGGTACCTCCCACCTGAGGAGCAGGAGGACATTCCTGGGGGTCCCTGAGACAATGAGCTTGAGGTGCCTGAGGGGCAGCCAGGGGAAGATGTCCAGGGGCAGGCTCCAGGGGAGTGGTCCAGAGCCATCACGTTTGGAGCCATCCATGTACAGGAAGGAGCAGGAGCTGAGCCAACGATGTGATGAGCAGGAGAGGGTGCAGAGACTAGGAGAGATGGCTCTGCCAAGGAGAGAAGAAGATCAAATGCTCCCCAGAGATCAAGCAGATAATCCCTGGAAAGTGAGTGTTGAATTTCACAGCCCCGCAGTGCCCAGAGTGTCAAGAAGGTATAGGATGGGCGTGGTGGCTCAAACCTGTAATCCCAGCACTTTGGGAGGCCAAGGTAGGTGGATCACTTGATGTCAAGAGTTCGAGACCAGCTTGGCCAACATAGCGAAATCCCATCTCTACTAAAAATAAAAAAAAATTAGCTGGGTATGGTGGCGGGTGCTTTTAACCCCAGCTACTTGGGAGGCTGAGGCATGAGAATTGCTTGAACCTGGGAGGTGGAGGTTGCAGTGAGCTGAGATCATGCCACTGCACGCCAGCCTGGGTGACAGAGTGAGACCCTGTTTAAAAAAAAAAAAAAAAAAGGCTGGGCACAGTGGCTTACGCCTGTAATCCCAGCACTTTGGGAGGCCAAGGTGGGCAGATCACCTGAGGTTGGGAGTTTGAGATCAGCCTGACCAACATGGAGAAACCCTGTCTCAACTAAAAGTACAAAATTAGCCGGGCGTGGTAGCACATGCCTGTAATCCCAGCTACTCAGGAGGCTGAGGCAGGAGAACTGCTTGAACCCAGGAGATGGAGGTTGCAGTTGAGCTGAAATTGTGCCATCGCACTCCAGCCTGGGCAACAAGAACAAAACTCCGTCTCAAAAAAAAAAAAAAAAAAAAAAAAAGAAGCTACAAAGAAGTAGAGGTAAGAGTATAGATGACACTTTATTTTATTTATTTATTTATTTTTTTTAGATGACACTTTTTAAAAGCTTGGAGATCATGGAGGCAAAAAAGAGGACAGTAGCTTGAGAAGGAGGAAGGACTGAGCCCATTCAACTGCGAATGGAAAAGGTGGAGAGTGGGAAAGTGTGAGTTTATCTAAAACAATATCAAAACCATTGCATCCACAGCCTGTGTCTGCCCTCCTGTCCTCTTGCATCCTGCTACTTTAAGACTCAGGGAACTACGCTCCTGGTTTTGCTGCTGTTTTAGCTTTATAAAAATGCTGTCATACTGCATGTGATTTATAGTCACTTTATTTTTTCACTGAACATTTATGCTTCTAGTGTTCACTGATTGTTCATCCATGCTTTTTACATTTTCACTGCTATACGGTAATCCATCGTGTGAATGTGTATCATTTTTTAGTCATTCTCCTCTCAGAGTTCATTTAAATGGCTCCCATTTTAAACAATTATTGAAACGACATTGCTATGAACTTTTTTTTTGCATGTGTTTCCTAATGTGCACATGAAAGACTTTCTTTAGGTCAGTGATAATTCAAAGTGTGGTCTGCAGACGAATAGTCCACAGACTGTCACTGGTCCAACAAGATAGGCACAGAAATTTGGACTATGCATTTAGAGACTCTGATAGCAATGTGACACTGTTGTGACATCCAAACTGTGGTCATTTTTCTAATAATTTATTTGTTTTTATTTTTATTTTTTTGAGACAGAGTTTCACTCTTTTTGCCCAGGCTGGAGTGCAATGATGTGATCTCGGCTCATCGCAACCTCCACCTCCTGGGTTCAAGTGATTCTCCTGCCTCAGCCTCCCAAGTAGCTGGGATTACAGGTGCACGCCACCACAACAAGCTAATTTTATATTTTTAGTAGAGACGGGGTTTCACCATGTTGGCCAGGCTGGTCTCAAACTCCTGACCTCAGGTGATCCACGCCTCTCAGCCTCCCAAAGTGCTGGGATTACAGGCGTGAGCCACAGCGCCTGGCCTAAGAATTTATTTTTTATTGTATCTTACTGAAGTAGCAGTTCAGGACAGATTGATTTTTTTTTTTTTTTTTTTTGAGACAGGGTCTTGCTTAGTCACCCAGGCTGGAGTGCAGTGGCATGATCACAGCTCACTGCTGACTCAACCCCCTAGGGTTAAGCGATCCTCTCACCTCAGCCTCCCAAGTAGCTGGGACCACAGGCATGTGCCACTATACCAGGTAATTTTTAAATTTTTTTGTAGAGATGAGGTCTCACTGCGTTGCCCAGGCTGGTCTTCAATTTCTAGGCTCAAGCCTCCGGCCTCAGCCTCCCAAAGTGCTGGGATTACAGGCTTGAGCCACCACTTCCAGCTGAATTTTTTTTTTAAAGCTTTCATCATAGATTGAGAAGCAGAACTCACTTTCTCATGCCATTGATCTGAGATACATACACTTTTATTTCTGTCATCAACATGCTTTTATTTGTCTTTTTTTCTGTGCTTTTCTTTTCCTTTCTTGCCTTCTTTAAAAAATGAAGACTTTTGGTTTTATTGTTTTTCCCCAACTTCTTTTTTTTAACAGCTATCTTTGAGACATAACTGTGGATATCTAACAAATTCTAATATAAATCAACATTTTGATGCTCCTCGAACAACCTAAAAACCTCAGAACATTAATTTTAAACACTGCTGCATCTAACATTTTCTTCATGTTCTAGTTTTATCCTAGTTTTTTTTTTTTTTTTTTTTTTTTTTGAGACTGAGTCTTGCTCGTCACCCAGGCTGGAGTGCAATGGTGCCATCTTGGCTCACTGCAACCTCTGCCTCCTGGGTTCAAGTGATTCTCCTGCCTCAGCCTCCCAAGTAGCCGGGATTACAGGCACCCACCACCACACCCAGCTAATTTTTGTATTTTTAGTAGAGATGGGGTTTCACCACGTTGGCCAGGCTGGTCTTGAACTCCTGACCTCAGGTGATCCGCCCACCTTGGCCTCCCAAAGTGCTGAGATTACAGGTGTGAGCCATGGCACCCAGCCTATTGTTTTGTTTTGTGTTTTGAGACAGACTCTCACTGTTGCCCAGGCTGGAGTACAGTGGTGTTATCTCAGCTCTGTGCAACCTCCGCCTCCCAGGTTCAAGCAATTCTTCTGCCTCAGCTTCCAGTGTAACTGGGACTACAAGTGTGAGCCACAATGCCTGGCTAATTTTTTGTATTTTTAGTAGAGGTGGGGTTTCACCATGTTGCCCAGGTTGGTCTCAAACTCCTGGCCTCAAGTGATCTAACCGTCTTGGCCTCCCAAAAAAGCTGGGATTACAGGCGTGAGTCACTACGCCCAGCCATCATCACAATTTTAGGCAGAAAAATGTTTATATTTGCTTAATATTTACTGATTTCTTTGCTTCTATTACTTCTTGCTTTGAGGCCTCCCTTCAGAGTTCATTTCTTTAATTCAGAAGTACATCTTTTAGAAGTTCTGCTAATGATGGTGTATTGGTGGCAAACTCTATATCAATGTTTTGGGGTTTTTTTTTAATTGTTCTTATTTGTTTTTCTTAAATCTTTGCCTTCTTTTTTTTTTTTTTTTCCTGATACACGGTCTCACTCTGTCGTCTAGGCTAGAGTGCAATGGCGAGATCTCAGTTCACGACAACCTCTGCCTCCTGGGTTGAAGTGATCCTCCCGCCTTAGCCTCCCAAGTTGCTGGGATTACAAGCGTGCGCCACCATGCCTGGCTAATTTTTGTATTTTTAGTAGAGACAGGGTTTCACCATGTTGGTCAGGCTGGTCTCGAGCTCCTGACCTCAAGTGATCCACCCACCTCGGCCTCCCAAAGTCCTGGGATTACAGGCATGAGCCACCATGCCCGGCCTCATTCTTGAGATATATTTTTTCTGGGCACACAATTATGGGTTTACTTTTTATTTTTCCTCAGCTCTTTGAAGATAATATTCCACTGGATACTGGCTTCCATTGTTGTTTTGAGAAATATGCTGTAGATCTAATTATTGTTCTTTTGCAGGTATTTGTCTTCCCTGACTGCTTTGTCTTGGTACCCTTCAGTTTCACTATAATGTGTCTAGGTAAGATTTTTGTTTTTTTCTGCCTGGTATATATTGTCCTTTCTGTGTCTGTGGATGCATGGATGCAGTTCTGAAAATTCTCAGCCATTCTCTTCAAATAGTGCTTCTCCTTTTTTTCTTTTTGTATCTATTTCCTCCTTTTAGAATTCCAAAGAGATCTATGATAAGTTTTCTTTTTATCCTCTTTTGCTTATCCTCTCTTTCATATTTCTATGTCTTTGTCACTCTATGGTGCTCTAGCTAATTTGTTTCAGCTCTTTCAATTCTTCAACTCTCTCCTTAGCTGTATACAATCTGCTGTTTAACCCATTCACAGAGTTTTACATTTCAACAATTAAATTCTTTAAAGTTCTATCATCCTGTTCTTTTTAAAATTCATCTGGTCATTTTTGACACCTCTTGTTGCTTGCTCATTCTTGTGAGTCTACCTTTTATTTCTATGTATATAAAATGTACTTTAATATTTATATTCCACTAGTGTATATATTCCATCCATCAGATGTTACAGTCAACATCTGATAATTTCAGTATCTTATGTCCTTGAACATCTAAATTTTGCTAGTCTCTAACTGAAGTGGCGACAAGTGCACTTGCCTCTAGTGGAGTTCCTTCTGTTGAATTTTCTTGCTGCTCACTGCTCTAGCTCTAGGTTCAACTCATCAGCTTTTGGGGGTGGGACAGGTGGTGCTGAAGGAGTTACTATGTTTAAAGATTTCTCTGGCCAGGAGCGGTGGCTCGCTGGCTCACGTCGGTAATCCCAGCACTTTGGGAGGCCAAGGCAGGGGGATCACTTGAGGTCAGGAGTTCGAGACCTGCCTGGCCAACATGGTGAAACCCTGTCTCTACTAAAAATACAAAAATTAGCCAGACGTGGTGGTGGGTGCCTGTAATCCCAGCTACTAGGGAGGCTGAGGCACAAGAATCACTTGAACCCAGGAGGCGGAGGTTGCAGTGAGCTGAGATCACACCACTGCACTCCATGGGTGACAGAGTGAGACTCTGTCTCAATAAATAAATAAAAATAAAGATTTCTCTTATTTCCTGTGAGACCAGAATTTCATGAAAAAGAAAATTTTTCTCAAGAATCCAGTTTTGTAAGCCGGGCATGGTGGTTCACGCCTGTCACCCAGCACTTTGGGAGGCTGAGGTGGGAGGATCACTTGAATCCGGGAGTTTGAGATCAGCCTGGGCAATATAGTGAGACCCCACCTCAAAAAAATTTTTAAAAAATTGCCAGGCATAATGGTGCATGCCTGTAGACCAAGCTACTCAGGAGGCTGAGGTGGGAGGATTACTTGAGCCCAGGACATTGAATCTGCAGTGAGGTATGATTGCATCACTGCACTCCAGCCTGGGTGACAGAGTGAGACCCTGTCTCAAAAAAAAAAAAAAAAAAAAATCCAATTTTGTAGGAGGAGGGCTTTTCAGAACACCTAATCCACCCTAGTACTAAAAGCTGACACTAATTTTTTAACCCTGGGTCTGAGGTTAGAATATCAAAGGAATGGTGGGAGCAGGGGAAAATGGTTATAACCTGTTTCTCAGGGGTCTTGGGAAAGAAAGTCATCACAATTTAGCCAAGAGGTTGGAGAAGTCATCTTATATATTTTAAGGTAAAACAAAACCAGTGCAAACAAAACCATACTGGCTCACAAAAGCCAATGAGGTATATGTCTTTCCAACTCTGTGTTGAGTGACAACATGCCAGTACCTTGAAATTGGCCAATGCTATAAATTAGGGAATTTTTTTTTGAGACCTGGTTATTGGATATTTATCAGCATACCACTGGGCAAAACTCTCCATTGTATAGCCTCATCCATCAATAACCCACTCACACTAACAGTCTAGTGTGAACTCTGGGCTCCATTTGGAGTGGACAGTGACTTGTCCCTGATAAATGCCTTACTCTGGCCTTACTTCCCTGGTAGGGTATCAGTGAACCTGGGAGGTGTTCCTCCCCTCCTCTGGCTCCCTCCCCACCCCTCTTCAGAGACCTCTCCCACTCCAACACCAGCCCTTTTCCTCTCACTCACTCAAGGCCATGACTGATCCCATTGACTTTGCCAGAGTGGGTATCTCATATGAACAGTCTTTTCAGAACATCTATTTTACTTGCTTTACACTTAATCACATCCTGTCTTGTGATACCTCTTCCTTATTGCTCTCAGTTTCTAGTTGTTTATTGTTATTTAACAATTATAATAAACTTAATAGACATGCATTTTTACCACATATGTGAATGGTGGGTAGCAACTGCTCTTTCAGACAAAGCTCAAGTCTAGATGTCTGTGCCCCAGGTTTAAGTTGGCTCTGCCACCAACTTGTGACCTTGGGTGTGTCATTCTGAGTATGGCTCCTTAACATCGCTGTGTCCCCCATACATCACCTAATATCTGTCATACAGTAGGTGACAAATAACCTGAGTTTACCTTAACTAAAATCCCCCAGCCTGCCATCTCCACGTGTGTTAAACTGGACCAGAAAATCTAAAAAGATCCTTCTGGCACTCTTTTTTGATGGTTTGATGCCTTGTTTCTACAACTAAATTGTAAGCTCTTTGAGGGCAGGGTTTGTTAGAGAGACAACCTGGCATAATGGGAAGAGCACAGGCTTTGCTGTTGGCTGTATCTGTATTTGAATCTCAGCTCCACTGCCTACTGGTTGGGTTGCCTTGAACAAGGCACCTGTTGGAGAAAATAATTAACTCTGCTTCATGAAGCCATTTGGGGATAATTAAGACAATGTTTGTAGAGCATGAGACATAGTGCCTGGCACACAGCAAGGGCTTCCTGCCCTGGGATCTGTGGGGTCTCTGAGCAGCATTCTACGGTGGCTGCAGAGCCTGAAAATCCACCAGGTGGTTGGTCTGACACATTCTTTCTTTTTTATTTGACTGTGGTCAGAAGTTTTAGCACCCAGATTTTGAGGACATCATGCCCTCCCTATCTCCAAGACCACTCCAACTCCCAAAGCAGATAAACAGATGGTGGTTCTCAGCGCTCATTCCTTCCCCCTCTACAGGCTATTTCTTCATGACCCCAATCTCCGGCCCAAGCCCTATAAGGAGGCTTCTGGGGTACAGAATGGGCAGGGGCCTGGGCCAAGGGTGACAGAAACAGAGGGAAGAGGAAGCAGCCAGGGCCCCACTGGAGCTGGGCACCCCCATGCATGAATAAAGCCAGGCATAGAGGAGAGGCGAGTGGGTGGATGTGGTATTTGGCAGATGATTTCCTTTTTCCTTTTCAGGAAATCAAAAGCTAGTTCAGAGAAGGTTGAGTTTATGGGAATTCAAGAGGGCGAGGTAATTTTAAGTCTTCACAAGAATAAACTCATCTAAGAGCACGAGGTGGGGCCAGCGCTACAAGGGTTTAACCTTACAGGCTGTAGCCCCACTGAGAGCCACTGGGCCCCACTCAGCCCTTGCCTCACTGAGCACTCAAAGCCTACACCTGGGCCCTCATCCCCAGGCCCAATAAGACATTTCCTTCCCCACCCATTAGGTTTCTAGAGATGTCCCAATGCATCATCTCTTTGCTCAGAGGCCATAGCCCCAGACACAGGTTTCTTCCCAGGATCCCTACCTTTGATGCCAGATTCTTAGCTGAAAGACAAACAGGCCTACAACTCACCAACAAATTCCGGCGTCCCAAAAATATTCTTAAATTCAACTCCATCTTCTATTTCGTGAGCCAGACCAAAGTCAATCAGCTTGATGTGTGGAATGGGAATATTCTTGTCTAACAACATAATGTTTTCTGGCTGGACAACAAAAAGTAGAAAAAAAAAAAAGGAAGGAAGAAAAGAAAAAAAAAGACGGTAATTAAAGGCTGGTTGGTTCGTGTTTTGGCTTTGGGGTTTGGGGTGGGACTTGGTGTTCTTTTTAGGAGACTGAAACAGCATAAACTCTTCCTTGTTTTTGGTCCTCAGTCTTCTCTGTGAACCCAAAGACAGGTAAAGCATTGAGGGCAAGGCCTGGGTTTTACCAAACCTTCTGCTCACAGCAGAACTGAAGACTCCAGCCTTCATCTCCATTCTGTCTCTGAGTGGCAGATCCCTTTAATGCAGTGCCTCTGTTTTCCTATCTGTCAAATGGGGCCAATGAGATACTTGCAGCATTTCCTGTAAACAAACCCAGCACTGCTGTGTGGGTGTGAAAGGGACGGGGACATCCCAGCTTAGCCTCTGTTTATACTTGGCTTACTGACCTTGGTCTTCCTGACCGCCTCTTTCCCCTGGCCAGCCAACTTCCTGTTGACAACATTCCCCTCCTCTAGACTCACTGTGTAGCCCACACTTCTCTCTGCGTTTAACTAATTTTGGTCCTCAGCAGGACACAGGAAAAATGCACCCGATTTCCAGGGAAAATACCAGCTGCTCAGGCTATTTCCAGCCCAGCAAGCAGCTGCCAGGTCTGACACAACAATGCAGGTGGGTGCAGGGTAGGGGACAGCCCCTCACACACCCATGGGCCTGGCCCTCACACACCCCAGACTCCCAGTGAGGCTGCAATGGAATCCTGAGCTCTCCCTTCTCACTCCCACCCAACCACTCAGACTACGGTCCCCTCTGCCTCACCCACTTTCTCCCACTCCACACAACTTTCCTTCACTCCACTCTAAAGGAAATGTCCTGAAAACACACATCCACACAAAATATGTATACAAATGTTCACAGCAGCATATTCCCAATATCCCTGAAGGGGAAACAGTGAATGAATGGATAAACAAGATGTGAACACCCATAGCACATCTAGTATCCACATGTGAATTCGATTTGGCCATAAAAAGGAATGAAGCCAAAGAAAAAAATAAAAAGGAATGAAGTACTGCTGGGCGCGGTGGCTCATGCCTGTAATCCCAGCACTTTGGGAGGTCGAGGTGGGTGGATTACTTGAGGTCAGGAGTTTGAGACCAGCCCGGCCAACATGGCAAAACCCCTGTCTCTACTAAAAATACAAAAGTTAGGTGGGTGTGGTGGCGCACGCCTGTAGTCCCAGCTGCTCGGGAGGCTGAGGCAGGAGAATCACTTGAACCCAGGAGGTGGAGGTTGCAGTGAACCAAGATCGTGCCACTGCACTCCAGCCTGGGCAACAGAGTGAGTCTCTGTCTCAATTAATAAATAAATAAATAAATAAATAAAATGAAATATAAAAAGGAATGAAGTACTGATACCTGCTACAGCAGCAAGGAACCTTGAAAACATTTATGCTAAGGGAAAGAACCAGTCATAAAAGACAAAAAATATTCCATTGATACAAAATACCCAGCATAGGCAAATCCACAGAGACAGAAAGTAGATTAGTAGTCCCCTAGGATTGGGGGAATGGAGAGATGGGGAGTACAAGGTTTCTTTTCTATTTTCTATAAACTATGGTGGTGTTGGTTATATAACTTTGTAAACGGTACACATTAAGTGAATAAATTATATAGTATGTGAATTATATCTCCATAAAGCTATTAAATAAATAAATATTTAAGAAAATCAAACATCCCTGTTTCTTAAAGCACTGAAGGGTTTCCACAGCTTGCACCTTTGTTCACACCATCTGCTCTGCCTGGAAAGCCTTCTGTTCAGTCTCTGTCCATTGAAATCCTAGCTGGGCTTCAAAGTCTAACTCAACCCACTGTGTTCTTGCAGACTTTCCTCAGCAACCCTGAGCACCCTCCACCACCCCCAGGAGTGAGCCCCACCCCGCTCCAGGCCCCACCAGGCTTATTTGAACCTTTCTGTGATGACATTTGGCATGCTTTCTCTTGTCCAGCGGCCCTTTGCTGTTTTTATCATAGCTCCCCTACCAGAGCTGTCCTCAGCCGGAAGGAGGACTCAGATCTTTGCATCTTTGCCCCTGCAATGCAGAGCACAGCAGCTGGCATGCTGAGGGTGACCCTAGCTGTTAGCTGAACTGATAGTGAATCTGGACAGATGCCTTCTCCCAGGTCCCCCTGGCTGCCTATGGTCTCTGTGACCTTCCAGCTGGAAACTTCCACTCAAGGGAGCTGACTGAGGCCTTCCTTGGCTTTTTTTCCTTTTTTTAAAAAAAATAAATAACACATTTCCTTTTGCATTTTTTTTGCTTTTTTATTCTTCTTCCCCTCTGGAGATTACTCTCAACACTGTTTTGAAAATGTGTCCAAGTCTCCCCAAGGCACCGCAAATTTCCCTAAGGCTGTACAGAAAGGAGCATGAGGGTGGGTGAAGTCAGCTTATGACCTGGAGAGGATCCAGGAAAGTGGCCCCACTCTAGCACCCCTGACCAGCCCACTGGGGGCTGCCCATGGACCCAAGTGTCCTGGCACCCCATGCAGTCAGCTGCAACCTCCCAACTGCCAACTACCTCCCAGGCAGGCAGTTTCACCCTCTTAGGAACTTCTCCTCTCCTCCAGGGAAAAGACAGTGAGACATCTCCCTGGGGCTGAAGGGCCATGGCCCAGCCCTCCCGACCACCATAGCTGAGAGCCCAGGACACCATCTCACACCACACGCTGAATGGGGGTGGGAGCCAGACCTGGTGATCCCCAGGACTATGGAGCAGTAGGGATGAGGTGGTGGAGGGGAAGAATTGAGGCTGAAATAAGATGGGAGTCTCCTTCCTCACACAGGCTCACCTCTGTGGCACACAGTCCAGGAGAGATGGTTTCTTCACTGGTCTATAAGAACCTCAGGGCAGGCCGGGCACAGTGGCTCACACATGTAATCCTAGCACTTTGGGAGGCCAAGGCAGGGGGTATCACCTGAGGTCAGGCGTTCGAGACCAGCCTGGCCAACATGGTGAAACCCCATCTCTACTACAAATATAAAAATTAGCTGGGCGTGGTGGCATGCACCTATAATCCTAGCTACTCAGGGGGCTGAGATGGGAGAATCACTTGAACCGGGGAGGTGGAGGCTGCAGTGAGCCGAGAACACACTGCTACACTCCAGCCTGGGCGACAAAGTGAGACTCCATCTCAAAAAAACAACAACAAAAAAAACAAAAATAAAAAAACAAACAAAAAAAAGAACCCCAGGGCAGGGCCATGTTTCCCCCGCCCGAGTCTCATCTGTCCTCAGCCCCACCCCAAGCACCTAACACACAGCAGGTGACTTCTCTCCTGCCTGGAACACTCTCCCTGCACTACCCCAACCCCAAACCTGGCTAGTTCCTATTCACATTTCAGCAAAGGTAGTACCTCCTCCAGAAGGCCTTCTCTGCTCTCTCCCTGCCTACCACCCTCCCCAGTTCCCAAAGTACCCTGTAATACCCGAACACAGTGCTTCTTACTCTGATGAGCTTGTCTGCTTGTCTCCCTCTACTGGGTTGCCCAAGGGTTTTGTTCCTGTCATCTCCCCAGAGGTTGGGATAGAGCCTGATATCCAGCAGCTGCTCAATATATGTGCCCCAAGTGAAGACAGGTGCCACTGATTAAGCCCCTGCAATATACAGGACCCAGTGCTAAGCAAACATGCGACATACTTTACACTTCATTGAACTCTCAACTACCTCACATGGTGGGTGTTATCATTCCTTTTGCAAAAAAAAAAAAAGAAGAAACCAAGACTAGCCAGGTGTGGTGGCTCATGCCTGTAACCCCAGAACTTTGGGTGGCAGAGGCAGGAGGATTGCTTAAGCCCAGGAGTTCAAGACCAGCCAGGGCAACTTGGAGAAACCCTGTCTCTACAAAAAAAATTTTTAAAAATTAGCCCAGCATGGTGGCACACACTTGTAGTCCCAGCTACTCAGGAGGCTGAGGTGGGAGGATCACCTGAGCCCAGGAGGTTGAGGCTGCAATAAGTTATGATTGTGCCACTATACTCCAGACTTGGCAACAGAGTGAGACCCTGTCAAAAAGAAAAAAGAAAAGAAACCGAGACTATAACATTAGTTTGTATTATCCCTCATTAGGAACTTTAACCTTTATCTCTCAGGCCCCAAAGTTTGTGCTCCTAACCGCTAGACTAAATGATTCCCCTTCCTTGCTTCTCAGGGGTCTTATTAATCTAGCCCAGGAGGCCGGGCGCAGTGGCTCATGCCTGTATTCCCAGCACTTTGGGAGGCTGAAGTAGGTGGATCACTTGAGGTCAGGAGTTCAAGACCAGCCTGGTCAACATGGTGAAACCCCGACTCTACTAAAAAAAATACAAAAATTAGCTGGGCGTGGTGGCACACGCCTGTAGTTGCCACTACTCAGGAGGCTGAGGCAGGAGAATTGCTTGAACCCGGGAAGCAGAGGCTGCAGTGAGCTGAGATCGTACCACTGTACTCCAGTCTGGGTGACAGAGAGGGACTCTGTCTCAAAAAAAACAAAACAAAAAAAATCTATCCCAGAGAGAAGCAGCAATGCCACTCTGGCCTGGCAACCTGGGGCAACCTCGTGCCTGGCTCAGACACAGCTGTTTTCCTCCTCTGGCACCTGTGTCCTACCCCAGGGTGCCTTTTCTTCTGGTGATGCTTCCATGCAAGTGAGTAGCCCCAGAACCCATCCCTGGCCTCAGGAGCTCCTGAGCAGGAGGTCCTCAAGTCAGATGAGAAAACGGAGGTCCTGGCAGGGCGAACACCCAAGCTGGGTCTGGATAAAAGGATGAAGCCTGGGGGTTTCAGGCTGGAAGGTGGCCGTGGGGCAGTAGGAATGCTCTGTTGGGTCGTCAGGACCCAGGTTCTCGTCCCTACCTTCACCATTCACTTATTGGGCCATTTGGACCAGACATACCCATAGACTCAGACCTGCCCTGATTGGGAGTAAACAGAGGCCATGGCTCCCTGCTATCCAGCCATGTTTCTGCTTCCTTCCTAGGCCACCAAGGTACCTATAGGCTGGCCAGGGGATTTGGGCCCCTAAACCTGAAGCTCTACCTGCTTTCAGACAGGCTTCCTTCTTGCTGTCCCAAGCTCCACTATTAGCCTGATGACAGCCAGGACAGAGGGTAGGGACTAACATTTACAGCATGTTTACTAAGCCAAATTTGATGCTAGTGTTCTATGTGATCCTTGCAGCCACGCTGAGTGATAGGTACTGTTATAAACTCCATTTCACAGATAAGAAAACGGGGCTCACACAGGGCTAAATGATTTGCCAAGGTGCAACAGCTTGTAATGTCACAATCAGTGGGGAGCAGTGGGGTGGGGGCTTCCCTGGCAGTCCAATCCCTTTCTCCCCAACACATCACTGAATCTGGTTAAATATCTTCAGTGGTCCCACTGGCCACCGGAGAAAGTCCAAATGCCCCACCTGATATTTGAAGTAGTCAAGGCACTGACTGCCCCATGCTCTCTTTCCAGCCTCACCACCCATCCCTTGCCTGTACCTGCTCTATATCCCCGCAGGGTGGGCACTACCACTCCACAACGACATCTCAACTCCATCCTTTGCTCTGGCTTGGAATGCCTGTCCTACTCCTCTTCATTTTCAGAGCCTCTTCCCCCTCAACCCTGCCTCCCCTTACTCCCTTACTTAGAGAGAATCTTTTTCTAAAAAAAGAGATGAGATGTTGCCCAGACTGGATTTAAACTCCTGAGCTCAAGTGATCCTCCCCGCTCAGCCTCCTGAGTAGTTGGGATTACAGACATGAGCCACCCTGACCACCCAGCTAACTCCCTTACTTCTCCCTGAGCTTCCCCCAACCCTGTGCTCTAACCCCTCCGTGTTGATGACGCTGGCCTGCTGGCAGTCCTAAGCTGTAGGCTGTCTCTCACAGGTGATGCCACTTTCCTGGGTGGCAGCCTTTTCCCTGAGAAAATTCAAATTGGTTTTAGGATTCCTGGTATCCCCTGTGGCGTCTTGCATCCTGCATGTTCCATTAATATTTGAGGAAATGAATTGAAAGAATCCAGGGCCAGAGGCTCCTCCTTTTCTGCCAGGCCCCGCACCACCACTAGGGGCTCCAGAGTGCATTCCTCCTATAGGGCTGTGATGCGGATGGAGCAGGAAGGAACGGCACTAAGGGAGGGTCCAAAAGGAAGCTAAGGGTCAGCAGAGTGGCAGTTCCCCAGGAATTTGGTCTAAGCTTCTCTGCTTCCACCCTCCCCAAATAGAGCAGGGTGGTGCAAAAGAGCCCAGGCCTGCAGATTGGAAAACTGCAGGTCCAGCTCCACCACCCAAGGCCATGTGAGCTTAAGCAGGCCACGTCCTTTCTCTGGGCCTCAGCCCCCCAACTGTAAGTCAGGCAGTGGATGGCATCCAAAGCCCCTTCAAGCTCTGGGCTCTGCAGTTTCGAGATGGCACAACCTCCCAAGCTGGCTGTGAAAATTCCTACTGCTTTGGGCTCTAAGGCAGGACGTGTAAAGGCGCAGGTCTCCTGGCCCCAGGTCAGGAAGAACAGGCTGCTGCAACCACACACTGCTGGGTCCAAGCCAGAGTGCCCTCTGGGGCAGTCCGATTCTATCCATACTCCCCACTCCTGTCATTCTCCTCCAGCTTTATTTACTTCAACCAAATACTTCACCCACATACCTGACATCACCTCCAAAGCACGGCTGGAGGGAGGGGTCACATTCCCACAGGTGCCGCCACTGCCCAGCCCAGGGCCTGCCTGCCACCAGGAGGCAGAAATACCCTTGTCAAAACAAACCCACCCAGCTCATCCCGCCAGGGAGGCACCCATGGGAGAGGCCAACGTGCTCCTTTGTGTCCTGGGGGATCTGGCCAGAGGTGCCTGCTGTGGTGCCGACCAGAAGGTGGTTGTCCGGTGGGGCACCCATGGCCTGTGGGCCCAGCACAGCGTGTCCTGAAGTCTGAGCAGGATGAAGACACCCTTGGGGGGCTATGTCATAAAGTACAAAAGACAAAGGCAAGTCTGGGTTCAAATCCCAGCTCTGCTGTTCACAGTATGAAAACTGGACAGACACTGGAGCTCTTAGAGGCTCAGTTTCCCATCTATAAAATGGGGGCAAAACCTACTGAGCCACGGGGTTGTTCTGTGATTGAGAGAGATGGTTTATGTAAGGAGCAGCACCCAATGAGATTTCAGACAACAGTGGCTATGTTTGCTCATTCTTTTCTGGGATGCAGCATGAACAGTCATCCCTGGGAGCTCACAATGTTGGGGCTGCAAGGGACCTCAGAGATCATTTAGTCCCTTCATGTCAGAGCAGCCCAGAGACATCAAGAAACTACCAAGGTCACTGAGCAAGGACCTCCAGCCCAGTGCCCTCTCCAGATGCCCGTGTGGCCTGCCTGCTGCTGAGTGAGGCTGCTCTGCTCAGCAAAGCAGAGGCCCAGCCAGGGCTGTGCTGTGGGGACAAGGAAGCTGCCTACCAATCTTCACCAGCCATGTCAAGCACAGCCCCAGATTATTCAGGCAGTGCTGGGCAACCTGAGAAAGGAAGGCCGCTCCATGCTAGGCCTCTGTGGACAGGTTTTGAGGGTGCTCAGCTCCCTGTCCTCACACACTGTCGATGGGACCACAGCCAGCCCCTCCCCACAAGTCTTCAGTGTGGCCCATGCCCAATACGTGCCTCTGTGTGGCATTCAAGGCCCTGCTTCCCCACCTCCTACTCCCTGCCCGCTTTCCCTCTGCTACCTCTCTGCTACCTCTTCATCACCCCATCCCACCCTGCAGTTCACTCTGCTGGAACAGCCTTCCTGACAAGCTCCTTCTCCCCCTCTCCACCCAGTTCCCACACACACTGGAACTTCTTCTATGATCTCCCTCCCCTCCAACACACAGCTAGTTGTCCCCAGCTTGCACACACCTCTGGCAGAGAATCAGCTGCACTACAATTCCTTCCTTACATGTCCTGTCCCCACTATACTAAAACCCCATAAGGAAGGACAAGGGCCTTGCCTTTCATTTCCATCCCCAGCACCCAAGGGCGGCTGGCATTATAGCAGGGCCCAGTTACTGTTTACTGGACAAATAAAGAAATGGGCCAATGCGGTCACATATGCATCTCTCACACATCCTGCTTTTGGAGAATATAGATAATGGCTAAGCATGCACGCCTTGGAATCTGGGTTCGGATCCCAGCTCTGCCATTTATCAGCAGCCTGACACTGGGCAAGTTATTGAACCTCTCTCAGCATAGGTTTCTCACCTATAAATTAGGAATAACAATCATAAAACCTATCTCAAGAGGGTTACTAGGAGGATCAAACAAGGCATATAAAGTGGCCTATAGGTGTTATCATAGTCTCTGTGACTATTTCCTTGATGATGTCTCTCCTTCCCAGAATGAGAATCTTTATCATCTGCCTATTGAACTCCTAACCACATTTCCAGGCCCTGCCCAAACCTTCTTTCCTCCAGAAGCATCATTTGGATATGCAGCCCAGCTCTTCTTCCTTCTCCCATCTCCATTCATGCAACAAGCTTGATCCATAGCACCAACCACCACCAAGAGCTCTGTGAGTGAGTCTTGCCTTCCCCACTTGTATTAGTCCATTCTCGAATTGCTGTAATGAAATACCTGATGGGCGCAGTGGCTCACGCCTATAATCCCAGTACTTTGGGAGGCCGAGGTGGGCAAAGCACCTGAGGTCGGGAGTTCAAGACCAGCCTGGCCAACATAGCGAAACCCCATCTCTAAGAAAAAATGCAAAAAAATTAGCTGGGTGTGATGGCACACACCTGTAATCCCAGCTACTTCAGAGGCTGAGGTAGGAGAATCGCTTGAACCTGGGAGGCAGAGGTTGCAGTGAGCGGAGATCACACCACTGCATTCCAGCCTGCATGATGGAGTGAGACTCCATCTCAAAAAAAAAAAAAAAAAAAAAAAAAAAAAGATTTAACTGGTTCATGGTTCCATAGGCTGTACAGGAAGCATAGCAGCTTTTGCTTCTGGAGAGGCCTCAAGAAGCTTACACTCATGGCAGAAGGTGAAGGGAAAGCAGGCACATCTTACCTGGCCAGAGAAGGAGCAAGAAGGAGAGAGAGGGGAGGTGCCTCACACTTTTAAACAACCTGATCTTGTGAGAACTCACTATCATGAGAACAGCACCAAGGCACTAAGGGGAAAATCCGCCCCCAAGATCCAGTCACCTCCCAACAGGCCCCATCTCCAACACTGAGGATCACAATTCAACACGAGATTTAGGTGGGGACACAGATCCAAACCATATCACTGCTAGACTGCACACTGGCTGAAGGCAGGGCCTGCTTCTCACACTCCTCCTGCGTTCCTCCACACACGCAACCTAGAGGTCCGTGTAGAACAAAACTTGTAGCACTTCACAGTTTACAAAGGAGTCACATGTGTCTCATTTTGTCACAGTTTACAAAGAAGTCACATGTGTCTCATTTTGTCCTCACCCTGTGAAGCAAGTGCTGTCTTGCTTCTGACCCCTGTAAAACTGACCCCAGTTTTACAGATGAAGAAACCAAGGCACAAGAGATCGTTTGCCCACACTGCCTCAGCTAATAGGTAATGGAGCTGAGATTCAAGCACAGGCTGACCCCAAATCCTGTGTGCTCTCCACTCTCCCACATGGCCTCCCCTCCTCTAGCTGATGCCGGCGTGCCTTCTGAAATCACCCTTGCCTGCTGGTTTGCCATTTCCAACCTAGCTCTGGTGCCTCATCAGTTTGCTGTGCAGCTCCATGTTTTTCCCAGAAAACCCACAGTTGTGGCTTAGGAAAGGGCCTGAACTCAGTTGCACTTGGATTTGTTAAACCACAGCCTCTGGCTACTCACCCATGACTGCTTCCTCCTCTGGGGTAGGCCACTGTGTGGCTCTGACCTCCTGTTGCCCTACTGGGTAAAGCAGGAAAGAAAACCCTACCTGCTCTGTCTCTATACTCTCATGGGATAGAGGGAGAGAAATAAAAATTCACTTTCAAGGCCATTCCAGGACCACTGGCTTTCAGTCCTGGGCTAAGCAGCACACTGGCTTTATGGTCTGTGCCACACACCACCAGCATTTGCCTTGGGCTCTCCCTTCCCTTCCCTTTATCAGACCCTCAAAGCCAACGGGTGAGGCTGGGATGGATGTTGCTCCCATCTAACCAGTGAGGAGCCTGGGCCTGGATTCAGGCATTCTGAGGACCTAGCTGTGCTTTAGGGGCCCCCCATCTGTGCTAATTGCCTATCGGAATTCCCAAACCAACTAAATCCAACTCACCAGGAGTTGGCTCCAAGATGCATGACTTCAAAGCAAGCCTGCAAGGAAGTCAAAATCAGCTGGGGTCCAGTGTTTAGAAAACCAATGCTACAGAGGGCCCCATCCTTAGGTAGATAGGAGTTCGATTCCACTTCTACCCATCCTAGCTCTGTGATCTTGGCAAGTCACTCATCTCTTTCAGCCTTGGGTCCCTCACTTGCAAAATGGGAATGTTAATATGGTAAAGCAAATATGGCTGAATGTTGAATGTAAGGAGAGGGTTTAATGATGTCTATTGTATTCTCCCAATTTCTTCAAATGTTCTGAAATTTTTTTCCCAATAAAAAGTTTTGAGGGAAAAAGACTTCCATGCTGTGACTGCTGATAGAAACTCTTTGGTCTGGACCTGAACCTTTACAGTCTCATCCTAACAGATCTTGCCAGTTCGATTTCTACCAAGTCTTACCTCCACTTCATGCCTTCAGGTTTTAGTATGGAAATAGCTCCAGGCATAAGTTCTACTTTCAAATGTATGCACATTCTATAGCAATTAATAAAATACAAATTAAATTTTTAAGTATGAGGGATAACTTATTAGAAAGAGAAAACAATTTTTTTTTGAGACATAGTCTCACTCTATCAACCAAGCTGGAGTGTGGTGGTGCGATCACAGCTCATTGCAGCCTCAACTTCCTGGGCTCAAGTGATCCTCCCATCTCAGCCTCTTGAATAGCTGGGCCTACAGGCATGTACCACCACATCTGGCTAATTAAAAAACATTTTTTTTTTTTGTAGAGACTCACTCTGTTACCCAGGCTGGTCTCAAACTCCTGGGCTCAAGCAATCCGCCTGCCTTAGCCTCCCAAAGTGCTGGGATTACAGCCATGAGCCACAGTGCCCAGCCAGAAAGAGAAAACAACTATTAGAAAGAAAAAAACAACTATTAGAAAGAAAAAAACACTGTTTTATTTTTTTTATTTTTTATTTTTTTGGATTAACTGTGTGTAAAAGGCATAACCTAAGGAAGTAAGAAATCCGTAATGTTAGAATCTGGTAAAATAAAACTTGGTGACCTCCAGCTTTGTTTAGTGTTTCCTCACTGGCTAAGTTCAAGTCTCAGCCCTGTCACTTAATACTGTGTAATCTTGGGCAAGTTACTTAACCTCTCTAAATCTCCATTGCCTATATGTAAAAAAGTGACAAGATCCTGTACTTCAGTGAGGATCAAATGAGAAAACAGACATGTAAACACATCATGTTCTAGAAAGTTCCACACACATTTGAAGTATTAACATCCTCATGACAGCTTGGCCAGCAGACTTCATCACACATTATTAAAGGACAGCTCGCAGAATGACTCAGGGCATAGAGGAATTTGGATTTTTTGGAATATCTTACTCAAGGATTCATGCCTCTTAACACTGTTTATATAAAGCAATTCCCCCCTCCCCGGGGTTCTGGATTCCTGGCCTGCATAGAATTTTCATCAATTCTCATGACTTGTTATTTTGACATAAAATACCATCAGACCTGAAAACTTCACCTTCCATTTCTGAGTTCTCAAGTTGGATCAGGCTTGGGTGCAGATTGGGGGTGGAGGAAGGACATACCATTACTCAGAGGGGAAGCTACCAAATCCAAAACAAACACAAAACCACATAAAAATGCCCTCTACAAGGCCTCTGTGTTGGAATCATGCAAGGGGGTGCGGTTCCTGGGTGATACTGAGCCCTGTTTCCTGGTGATCCATCCCGTGGAAGGTACATCTAGTGCTACCAGGTACCGAAGGGCAGTCAGCCCCAGTGTCCCTTCCATCTATGTCAAGATAGGTGACATCGTCTATGCACATCACCTCCACCTACCCACATCAGCAGGCTTTCTGTGGTGGATGTACAACACACACCAGGATGATTTCCACTCTGCAGAGACAGAGAGCGCACTCCTTGGCAGCGAGCATTTGTTTGTGATAATTGGTTACCTTTTATTTCCGATGGCATCCCCACCGAGTCTCACTATGGCCAGCTCCTAGTAGATGATGGGCTCCTGGAAGGCTGGTACCATAGCACATTGATGTTTGTCACTCTACCCCCTGGCATACAGTAGACCTTCAACAAATGTTCATATCAGTAAATTGAAATCCACCTGCAATCTCTTCTGTATTTTCCAGGTAAGACATGAAAGGGCCTTGGCCATCCGTGTGTGTGCCTGGTTTTCACTAACGCATTCACTCATTCATTCACCCATTCACTCATTTGTTCGACACTGAGGAACTCAGCATGTGTTGGGCACTAGGTAGCAGAAAGTGACTCACTGTGATCAATGCTCAGCAGAAGTTTGTACACAGGGCCAGGCGTGCTGGCTCATGCCTGTAATCTCAGTACTTTGGTAGGCTGAGGCGGGCGGATCACTTGAGGTCAGGAGTTCGAGACCAGCCTGGCCAACATGGTGAAAACCCATCTCTACTAAAAATACAAACATTAGCCAGGCGTGGTGACAGATGCCTGTAATCCCAACTACTCAGGAGGCGGAGGGAGGAGAATCGTTTGAACCTGGGAGGCAGAGGTTGCAGTGAACCGAGATCCTGCCACTGCACTCCAGCCTGGGAGACAGAGTGAGATTCCATCTCAAGAAAAGAAAAAAAAGTTTGTACAAAGAACAACGGAAGCAGAAAGGCAGATTAGTTCTTAGTTACGCTTTTCAGAGGTGGCAAGGATGGTGAAAGTGTTCCGGAGGAAATGGCAATTCTGTTGGGCCTTGAGTGATTAGCAGGAAATCCATGAGCAGAAAAAAGGAAGAGCAGCAGCATCTGGGATGAGAATAGCACAAACAGAGGAGAAGAGAGGCCAGGGTATGTATCTGTATCTTGTTGCCCGGGGCTAGGTTTTGGAGAGAGGAACAGTGGATGAGGACAGAAATAGGGCTAAGGCAGTGCAAGAAAGGCCCGAGAATGTCATGCTAAGAGTGGGTTCATTCACCCTATGGCTAACAAGGACTCATCACAGATTTTTGGGCAAGAGCATTCCATGATCTGTTTTTTTTTATTTATTTTTTTATTTTTGTGGGTACATAGTAGGTGTATATATTTATGGGGTATGTGAGATATTTTGATACAGGCATACAATGCATAATAATCATATCAGGATGAACAGGGTATCCATCATCTCAAGCATTTACCCTTTGTGTTACAAACAAAGCAATTATGCTCTTTTAGTAATTTTTAAATGTACAATAACTTATTGTTGGCTATACTCTATTGTGCTATCAAATACTAGATCATCTTCATTTATCTAACTACATATTTGTACCCATTAACCAGTCTCCCTTCCCCCCACCCCTGGCCTGGCCCCTCTACCCTTCTGAGGCTCTGGCAACCAGAAATTTTATTTCCATGGGCTTTGGGGGAACAGGTGGTGTTTGGTTACATAAGTTCTTTAGTGGTAATTTGTGAGATTTTGGTGTTCCCATCACTTGAGTAGTATACAATGAACCCAATTTGCAGTCTTTTATACCTCACCCCCCTCCCACCCTTCCCCCGAGTCCCCAAAGTCCATTGTATCATTCTTGTGCCTTTGCAACCTCATAGCTTAGCTTCCACTTATGAGTGAGAACATACAATGTTTGGTTTCCATTCCTGAGTTTCTTCACTTAGGATAATAGTCTCCAGCTCCATCCAAGTTCTGGCAACCATTTTTCTACTCTCAATATCTCATGAGTTCAACTGTTTTAATTTTTAGCATGCATAAATGAGAACATACAAAGTTTGTCTTTCTGTACCTGGCTTATTTCACTTAACATAATGACCTTCAGTTCCATCCAAGTTGTTGCATATGACAGGATCTCATTCTTTTTATGGCTCAATAGTACTTATTTGTGTATATTTACCACATTTTCTTTATCCATTTGTCTGCTGAGGGACACTTTGGTGGCTTCCAATTCTTGGCAATTGTGAACAGTGCTGCAATAAACACACAAGTGCAGATATTTCTCCAATATACTAATTTCCTTTCTTGTGGGTATATATCTAGCAGTGGGATTGCTGGATCGTTATGTTAGTTCTATTTTTAGTTTTTTGAGGAACCTCCAAATGTTCTCCATAGTGGTTGTATTAACTTACATTCCCACCAACAGTGTACGAGGGTTCCCCTTTCTCAGCATTGTTACCAGCATGTTACTGACTGTCTTTTGGATAAAAGCCATTTTAAATGGGGTGAGATGATGTCTCACTGGAGTTTTGATTTGCATTTCTCTGATGATCAATGGTGTTGAGCACCTTTTCATACACCTGTTTGCCATTTGTATGTCTTCTTTTTAGAAATGTCTATTCAGATCTTTTGCCCATTTTTTAACCTTTCCTGTGATGCTGATTTTGCCCATTTTTAAATCAGATTATTAGATTTTTTTCCTACAGACTTGTTTGAGCTCCTTATATATTCTGGTTATTAATCCCTTGTCAAATGGGTTGTTTGTAAATATTTTCTCCCATTCTGTGGGTTGTCTCTACTTTGTTGATTGTTTTCTTTGCTGTGCAGAAGCTTTTTAACTTGATGTGATCCCATTTGTCTATGTTTCTTGGTTACCTGTGCTTGTGGGGTATTACTCAAGAAATCTTTGCCTAATCCAATGTCTTGGAAAGTTTCTCCAATGTTTTCTTTTAGTAGTTTCATAGTTTGAAATCTTAGATTTAAGTCTTTAATCCATTTTGAATTTTTCTATATGGTAAGAAACAGGGGTCTAGTTTTATTCTTCTGTATGTGGATATGTAGTTTTCTCAATACCATTTATTGAAGAGACTGTCCTTTCCCCAGTTATGTTGTTGGCACCGTTGTCGAAAATGAGTTCACTGTAGATGTATGTATTTGTTTCTGAGTTCTCTACTCTGTTTCTTTGGTCTATGTGTCTGTTTTTATACCAGTACAATGCTGTTTTGGTTACTATATAGCTTTGTCATATAATTTGAAGTCAGATAATGTGATTCCTCCACTTTTGTTCTTTTTTCTCAGGATAGTTTTGGCTATTCTGTGTCTTTTGTGGTTCCATATACATTTTAGGTTTTGTTTTTTCTATTTCGGTTAAGAATGTCATTGGTATTTTTATAGGGATTGCATTGAATCTGTAGGTTGCTTTAGGTAGTATGGACATTTTAACAATATTAATTCTTCCAATCCATGAACATAGAATATCTTTCCATTTTTTTGTGTGTCCTCTTCAATTTCTCTCATCAATGTTTTATAGTTTTCATTATAGAGATCTTTCACATATTTTGTTCTTTGGTTAAGTTAATCCTAGGTTTCTTTTTAGCTATTGTAAGTGAGATTACTTTCTTGATTTCTTTTTCAGATAGTTCGCTGTTGGCATATAGAAATACTACTGATGTTTACATGTTGATTTTGTCTCCTGCAACTTTACTGAATTCGTTTATCAGTTCTAACAATTTTTTGGTGGAGTCTTCAGGTTTTTCCAAATATGAGATCATATCTGCAAACAAGGATAATTTTACCTCTTCCTGTCCAATTTGGACGCCCTTTATTTCTTTCTCTTGTCTGATTGCTCTAGCTAGGACTTCCAGTATTATGTTGAATAACAGTGGTGAAAGTGGGCATCCTTGTTGTGTTACAGATTTTAGAGGAAAGGCTTTCAGGTTTTACCCACTCAGTATGATACTAGCAGTGGGTCTGTTATATACGGCTTTTATTGTGTTGAGATATTTATCATGTGGGGATGTTGAATTCTATCAAATGCTTTTTCAGCTTCAATTGAAATGATTATGTTTTTTTCCTTAACTCTGTTGGTATAATGCATCAATGTTCATCAAGGATATGGTCCATAGTTTTCTTTGATGTGTTTTTGTCTGGTTTTGGTATAAGGATAATACTGGCCTCTTAGAACGACTTTGGAAGTATTCCCCCCTCCATTTTTCAGCATAGTTTGAGTAGGATTGGTATTAGTTCTTTGTTGTTGTTGTCGTCATTGTTTGAGACAGGGTCTCACTCTGTCACCGAGGCTGGAGTGAAATGGGGTGATCATGGCTCACGTGGCCTCTGCCTCCAGGGCTTAGGTGATCCTCCCATCTCAGCCTCCCAACTAACTGGGACTACAGGCATGCACCACCACACCCAGCTAATTTTTGTATTTTCAGTAGAGACAGGGCTTCTCCATGTTGCCCAGGTTGGTCTTGAACTCCTGAGCTCAAGTGCTCTCCCCACCTCAGCCTCCCAAAGTGCTGGGATTATAGGCATGAGCCACAGCACCTGGCCTGGCATTAGTTCTTATTTAAATGTTTGATAGAATTTAGCAGTAAAGCCATAGGGCCCCAGGCTTTTCTTTGCCAGAAAACTTCATATTACAGCTTTGATCTTCTTACTTGTTATTGGTGTGCAGGTTTTGGATTTCTTCATGGTTCAATCCTGGTAGGTTGTACCTGTCTAGAAATGTATCCATTTCTTCTAGGTTGTCCAGCCTATTGGAAATCATATAGTTGCTCACAGTAGCCACTAATGATCCTTTGAGTTTCCGCAGTATCAGTTGTAATGTCTCCTTTTTCGTCTCTGATTTTATTTATTTGGGTCTTTTTTCCTCTTAGTAGGTCTGGTTAAAAGTTTGTTGATTTTACCTTTTCAAAAAACCAACTTTTTTGTTTCACTGATCTTTTGTATTGTTTTCTTCATTTCACTTTTATTTATCTCTGTTCTGATCTTTATTATTTCTTTTCTTCTACTAATTTTGGATTTGGTTTGCAAAAGCCCTCTTAATACTGCTTTCAATATACCCCATAGGTTTTGGTATGTTGTATTCCCATTATCATTTTTTTCAAGAAATTTTTCAATTTCCTTCTTAATTTCTTCAATAGCCCACTGGTCATTCAGAAGCATATTATTTAATTCCCATGTGTTTGTATAGTTTCCAAAATTCCTCGTTATTATTTTTCAGTTTTTTTCCATTGTGGTCAGAGAAGATACTTGATATGATTTCAATTTAAATTTTTTTTTTTTTTTAGATGGAGTCGCACTCCGTCGCCCAGGCTGGAGTGCAGTGGCGCAATCTCAGCTCACTGCAAGCTCCACCTCCTGGGTTCACACCATTCTCCTGCCTCAGCTTCCCAAGTAGCTGGGACTACAGGCACCCACCACCACACCTGGCTAATTTTTTTGTATTTTTAGTAGAGATGGGGTTTCACCATGTTAGCCAGAACGGTCTCAATCTCCTGACTTCGTGATCCACCTGCCTCGGCCTCCCAAAGTGCTGGGATTACAGGCGTGAGCCACTGCACCTGGCCAAAAATTTTTTAAAGACTTTTATTGTGGCCTAACATATGGTCCATGCTTGAGAATGATCCATGTGCTGAGCAGAATGTGTATTCTGCAACTATTAGATGAAACGTTCTGTAAATATCTATTAGGTCCATTTGGTCTATAATGCATATTAAGTCCTATGTTTCTTTGTTGATTTTCTGTCTGGATGATCTGTCCAATGCTGAAAGCAAGGTCCTCCAATGTTGGATGCATACATATTTACAACTGTTATATCTTCTTGCTTAACTGACCCTTTTATCATTATATAATGGCTTTGTCTCTCTAAAGTTTTTATCCTGAAATCTATTTTGTCTGATGTAAATATAGCTACTCCTGCTCTTTTTTAGTTTCCATTGGCCTGGAAAATCTTTTTTCATCCCTTTACTTTTAGTCTATGTGTGCCTTTGTAGGTGAAATGCATTTCTTGTAGGCAACATATCATTGGGTCTGGTTTTTTCTTTATTATTATTATACATTAAGTTCTAGGGTACATGGGCACAACGCGCAGGTTTGTTACATATGTATACATGTGCCATGTTGGTATGCTGCACCCGTTAACTCGTCATTTACATTAGGTGTATCTCCTAATGCTATCCCTCCCCCCTCCCCCCACCCCATGACAGGCCCCGGTGTGTGATGTTCCCCACCCCGTGTCCAAGTGTTCTCATTGTTCATTTCCCACCTATGAGTGAGAACATGCGGTGTTTGGTTTTCTGTCCTTGCGATAGTTTGCTCAGAATGATGGTTTCTAGCTTCATCCATGTCCCTACAAAGGACATGAACTCATCATTTTTTATGGCTGCATAGTATTCCACGGTGTATATGTGCCACATTTTCTTAATCCATTCTATCATCGATGGACATTTGGGTTGGTTCCAAGTCTTTGCTGTTGTGAATAGTGCCGCAATAAACATATGTGTGCATGTGTCTTTATAGCAGCATGATTTATAATCCTTTGGGTATATGCCCAGTAATGGTATGGCTGGGTCAAATGGTATTTCTAGTTCTAGATCCATGAGGAATCGCCACACTGTCTTCCACAATGGTTGAACCAGTTTACAGTCCCACCAACGGTGTAAAAGCATTCCTGTTTCTCCACATCCTCTTCAGAACCTGTTGTTTCCTTACTTTTTAATGATTGCCATTCTAACTGGTGTGAGATGGTATCTCATTGTGGTTTTGATTTGCATTTCTCTGATGGCCAGTGATGATGAGCATTTTTTCATGTCTGTTGGCTGCATAAATGTCTTCTTCTGAGAAGTGTCTGTTCATATCCTTTGTGCACTTTTTGATGGAGTTGTTTTTTTTTCTTGTAAATTTGTTTAAGTTCTTTGTAGATTCTGGATATTAGCCCTTTGTCACATGGGTAGATTGTAAAAATTTTCTCCCATTCTGCAAGTTGCCTGTTCACTCTGATGGTAGTTTCTTTTGCTGTGCAGAAGCTCTTTAATTTAATTAGCTCCCATTTGTCAATTTTGGCTTTTGTTGCCATTGCTTTTGGTGTTTTAGTCATGAAGTCTTTGCCCATGTGTATGGCCTGAATGGTATTGCCTAGGTTTTCTTCTAGGGTTTTTATGGTTTTAGGTCTAACATTTAAGTCTTTAATCCATCTTGAATTAATTTTTGTATAAGGTGTAAGGAAGGGATCCAGTTTCAGCTTTCTACATATAGCTAGCCAGATTTCCCAGCACCATTTATTAAAAAGGGAATCCTTTCCCCATTTCTTGTTTTTGTCAGGTTTGTCAAAGATCAGATGGTTGTAGATGTGTGGTATTATTTCCGAGGGCTCTATTCTGTTCCATTGGTCTATATGTCTGTTTTGGTACCAGTACCATGCTGTTTTGGTTACTGTAGCATTGTAGTATAGTTTGAAGTCAGGTAGCATGATGCCTCCAGCTTTGTTCTTTTGGCTTAGGATTGTCTTGACAATGTGGGGTCTTTTTTGGTTCCATATGAACTTTAAAGTAGTTTTTTCCAATTCTGTGAAGAAAGTCATTGGTAGCTTGATGGGGATGGCATTGAATCTATACATTACCTTGGGCATTATGGCCATTTTCACAATATTGATTCTTCCTACCCATGAGCATGGAATGTTCTTCCATTTGTTTGTGTCCTCTTTTATTTCATTGAGCAGTGGTTTGTAGTTCTCCTTGAAGAGGTCCTTCACATCCCTTGTAAGTTGGATTCCTAGGCATTTTATTCTCTTTGAAGCAATTGTGAATGGGAGTTCACTTGTGATTTGGTTCTCTGTTTGTCTATTATTTGTGTACAAGAATGCTTGTGATTTTTGCACATTTATTTTGTATCCTGAGACTTTGCTGAAGTTGCTTATCAGCTTAAGGAGATTTTGGGCTGAGATGATGGGGTTTTCTAAATATACAATCGTATCATCTGCAAACAGGGACAATTTGACTTCCTCTTTTCCTAATTGAATACCCTTTATTTCTTTCTCTTGCCTGATTGCCCTGGCCAGAACTTCCAACACTATGTTGAATAGGAGTGGTGAGAGAGGGCATTCCTGTCTTGTGCCAGTTTTCAAAGGGAATGCTTCCAGTTTGTGCCCATTCATTACGATATTGACTGTGGATTTGTCATAAATAGCTCTTATTATTTTGAGACACGTCCCATCAATACCTAGTTTATTGAGAGTTTTTAGCATGAAGGGCTGTTGAATTTTGTTGAGGGCCTTTTCTGCATCTATTGAGATAATCATGTGGTTTTCGTCTTTGGTTCTGTTTATATGATGGATTACGTTTATTGATTTGCATATGTTGAACCAGCCTTGCATCCCAGGGATGAAGCCAACTTGATTGTGGTGGATAAGCTTTGTGACGTGCTGCTGGATTTGGTTTGCCAGTATTTTATTGAGGAGTTTTGCATCGATGTTCATTGGGGATATTGGTCTAAAATTCTCTTTTTTGTTGTGTCTCTGCCAGGCTTTGGTATCAGGATGATGTTGGCCTCATAAAATGAATTAGGGAGGATTCCCTCTTTTTCTATTGATTGGAATAGTTTCAGAAGGAATGGTACCAGCTCCTCTTTGTACCTCTGGTAGAATTCGGCTGTGAATCCGTCTGGTCCTGGACATTTTTTGGTTGGTAGGCTATTAATTATTGCCTCAATTTCAGAGCCTGTTATTGGTCTATTCAGGGATTCAACTTCTTCCTGGTTTAGTCTTGGAAGAGTGTATGTGTCCAGGAATTTATCCATTTCTTCTAGATATTCTAATTTATTTGCGTAGAGGTGTTTATAGTATTCTCTGATGGTAGTTTGTATTTCTGTGGGATTGGTGGTGATATCCCCTTTATCATTTTTTATCGCATCTATTTGATTCTTCTCTCTTTTCTTATTAGCCTTGATAGCAGTCTATCAATTTTGTTGATCTTTTCAAAAAACCAGCTCCTGGATTCATTGATTTTTTGAAGGGTTTTTTGTGTCTCTATCTCCTTCAGTTCTGCTCTGATCTTAGTTATTTATTGCCTTCTGCTAGCTTTTGAATGTGTTTGCTCTTGCTTCTCTAGTTCTTTTAATTGTGATGTTAGGGTGTCAATTTTAGATCTTTCCTGCTTTCTCTTGTGGGAATTTAGTGCTATAAATTTCCCTCTACACACTGCTTTAAATGTGTCCCAGAGATTCTGGTATGTTGTGTCTTTGTTCTCATTGGTTTAAAAGAACATCTTTATTTCTGTCTTCATTTCGTTATGTACCCAGTAGTCATTCAGGAGCAAGTTGTTCAGTTTCCATGTAGTTGAGTGGTTTTGAGTGAGTTTCTTAATCCCGAGTTATAGTTTGATTGCACTGTGGTCTGAGAGACAGTTATAATATCTGTTCTTTTACATTGGCTGAGGAGTGCTTTACTTCAAACTATGTGGTCAATTTTGGAATAAGTGTGATGTGGTGCTGGGAAGAATGTACATTCTGTTGATTTGGGGTGGAGAGTTCTGTAGATGTCTATTAGGTCTGATTGGTGCAGAGCTGAGTTCAATTCCTGGATATCCTTGTTAACTTTCTGTCTTGTTGATCTGTCTAATGTTGACAGCGGGGTGTTAAATTCTCCCATTATTATTGTGTGGGAATCTAAGTCTCTTTGTAGGTCTCTCAGGACTTGCTTTATGAATCTGGGTGCTCCTGTATTGGTTGCATATATATTTAGGATCGTTAGCACTTCTTGTTGAATTGATCCCTTTACCATTACGTAATGGCCTTCTTTGTCTCTTTTGATCTTTGTTGGTTTAAAGTTGTTTTATCAGAGACTAGGATTGCAACCCTTGCTTTTTTTTGTTTTCCATTTGCTTGGTAGATCTTCCTCCATCCCTTTGTTTTGAGCCTGTGTGTCTCTGTACGTGAGATGGATCTCCTGAATACAGCACACTGATGGGTCTTGACTCTATCCAATTTGCCAGTCTGTGTCTTTTAATTGGAGCATTTAGCCCATTTACATTTAAGGTTAATATTGTTATGTGTGAATTTGATCCTGTCATTATGATGTTAGCTGGCTATTTTGCTCATTAGTTGATGCAGTTTCTTCCTAGCACTGATAGTCTTTACAATTTGGCATGTTTTTGCAGTGGCTGGTACCAGTTGTTCCTTTCCATATTTAGTGCTTCCTTCAGGAGCTCTTGTAAGGCAGGCCTGGTGGTGACAACATCTCTCAGCATTTGTTTGTCTGTAAAGGATTTTATTTCTCCTTCACTTATGAAGCTTAGTTTGCTAGATGTGAGATTCTGGGTTGAAAATTCTTTTCTTTAAGAATGTTGAATATTGGCCCCCACTCTCTTCTGGCTTGTAGGGTTTCTGCCGAGAGATCTGCTGTTAGTCTGACGGGCTTCCCTTTGTGGGTAACCCGACCTTTCTCTCTGGCTGCCATTAACATTTTTTTCCTTTATTTCAACTTTGGTGAATCTGACAATTATGTGTCTTGGATTTGCTCTTCTTGAGGAGTATCTTTGTGGCGTTCTCTGTATTTCCTGAATTTGAATGTTGGCCTGTCTCACTAGGTTGGGGAAGTTCTACTGGATAATATCCTGAAGAGTGTTTTCCAACCTGGTTCCACTCTCCCCGTCACTTTCAGGTACACTAATCAAACGTAGATTTGGTCTTTTCACGTAGTCCATATTTCTTGGAGGCTTTTTTTGTTTCTTTTTACTCTTTTTCCTCTAAACTTCTCTTCTCACTTCATTTCATTCATTTGATCTTCAATCACTGATACCCTTTCTTCCACTTGATCAAATCAGCTACTGAAGCTTGTGTATGCGTCACATAGTTCTCGTGCCAGGGTTTTCAGCTCCATCAGGTCATTTAAGGACTTCTCTACACTGTTTATTCTAGTCAGCCATTCGTCTAATCTTTTTTCAAGGTTTTTAGCTTATTTGCGATGGGTTCGAACATCCTCCTTTAGCTCAGAGAAGTTTGTTATTACCGATCGTCTGAAGCCTTCTTCTCTCAACTTGTCAAAGTCATTCTCCGTCCAGCTTTGTTCCATTGCTGGCGAGGAGCTGCGTTCCTTTGGAGGAGAAGAGGCCCTCTGATTTCTAGAATTTTCAGCTTTTCTGCTCTGATTTCTCCCCATCTTTGTGGTTTTATGTACCTTTGGTCTTTGATGATGGTGACGTACAAATGGGGTTTTGGTGTGGATGTTCTTTCTGTTTGTTAGTTTTCCTTCTAACAATCAGGACCTTCAGCTGCAAGTCTGTTGGAGTTTGCTGGAGGTCCACTCCAGACCCTGTTTTACTGGGTATCACCAGCGGAGGCTGCAGAACAGCAAATATTGCAGAACGGTAGATGTTGCTGCCTGATCCCTCTTCTGGAAGCTTTGTTTCAGAGGGGCACCTGGCTGTATGAGGTGTCAGTCAGCCCCTATTGGGAGGTGTCTCCCAGTTAGGCTACTCGGGGGTCAGGGACCCACTTGAGGAGGCAGTCTGTCCATTCTCAGATCTCAAACTCCATGCTGGGAGAACCACTACTCTCTTTAAATCTGTCAGACAAGGACGTTTAAGTTTGCAGAAGTTTCTGCTGCCTTTTATTCAGCTATGCCGTGCCCCCAGAGGTGGAGTCTACAGAGGCAGGCAGGCCTCCTTGAGCTGCAGTGGGCTGCACCCACTTTGAACTTCCCGGCCACTTTGTTTACCTACTCAAGCCTCAGCAATGGCAGATGCCCCTCCCCAAGCCTTGCTCCCACCTTGCAATTGAATCTCAGACTGCTGTGCTAGCAGTGAGCAAGGCTCTGTGGGCATGGGACCCTCTGAGCCAGGCACGGGATACAATCTCCTGGTGTGCCGTTTGCTAAGGCCATTGGAAAAGCGCAGTATTAGGGTGGGAGTGTCCCGATTTTCCAGGTACCATCTGTCACGGCTTCCCTTTGCTAGGAAAGGGAATTCCCCGACCCCTTGTGCTTCCCGAGTGAGGCGATGCCCCTCCCTGCTCCATGGGCTGCACCCACTTTCTGACAAGCCCCAGTGAGAGGAACCCGGTACCTCAGTTGGAAATGCAGAAATCACCCATCTTCTGCGTCGCTCACGCTGGGAGCTACAGACTGGAGCTGTTCCTATTCGGCCATCTTGGAACCTCTTAACTGTTTTTTGTTTTTTAATCCATTCAGCCAATCTATGTCTTTTGATTGGAGAATTTAGTCCATTTACATTCAATGTTATTACTGATAAGTAAGGACTTACTCCTGCCACTTTGCTTTTTTATTTCTGGTTGTTTTGTTGTCTTCTTTTCCTTCTTTCCGTCCTTCCTGTCTTCCTTTTAGTGAAGGTAATTTTCTCTGGTGGTAAGTTTTAATTTCTTGCTTTTTATTTCTTTATATCTCTGCTGTAGGTTTTTTGATTTGAGGTTACCATGAGGCTTGCAAACACTGTCATATAATTCATTATTTTAAACTAATGACAACAATGCTGATTGCATGAACAAGCTAACAAGCAAAGAGAAAACTAATAAAAACTCTACACTTTAACTTTCTCCCCTCACTTTTTAACTTTTTGTTTCTGTTTATATCTTATTGTACTGTCTGTCTTGAAACATTGTAGTTATTTTTTATCAGTTTATCATTTAGTCTTTCTACTCAAGATACAAGTAGTTTACACACAATTACAGTGTTATGATATTCTGTGTTTTTCTGTGTACTTAATATTACCAGTAAGTTCTACACCTTCAGATGGTTTCTTATTGCTCATTAATGTCCTTTTCCTTTAGATTGAAGAATTCCCTTTAGCATTTCTTGTAGGACAGGTCTGGTATTGATGACATCCTCAGATTTTCTTTGTCTGGGAAAGTCTTTATTTCTCCTTTATGTTTGAAGGATATTTTTGCTGGATATACTATTCTAGAATAAAGGTTTTTTCCTCAGCACTTTAAATATGTCATGCCACCCTCTCCTGGCCTATAAGGTTTCCACTACAAAGTCTGCTGCCAGACATATTGGAGTTTCATCGTATGTTGTTTCTTTTCTCTTGCTTTTAGGATCCTTTCTTTACTCTTGACTTTTGGGAGTTTGATTATTAAATGTCTTTAATTTTTGGGAGTTTGATTATTATTTGGGTTTAACCTTCTTTGTGTTCTATAACCTTCCTGTACTTGAATATTGATATCTTTCTCTAGCTTTGGGAAGTTCTGTTATTATCCCTTTGAATAAACTTTCTACCTCTATCTCTCTACCTCCTCATTGGGGCCAATAACTCTTAAATTTGCCTTTTTGAGGCTATTTTCTAGATGTTATAGGAATGCTTCATTCTTTTTTTTTCTTTTGTCTCCTCTGTGTATTTTCGAATAGTCTATCTTCAAGCTCACTAATTCTTTCTTCTGCTTGATCAATTCTGCTGCTAACAGACTCTGACGCATTCTTCAGTACATCAATTGCATTTTTCACTTCCAGAATTTCTGTTTGATTCTTTTTAGTTATTTAAATCTCTTTGTTAAATTTATCTGATATAATTCTGAATTCCTTCTCTGTGTTATCTTGATTTTCACTGAGTTTCCTCAAAACAGCTATTCTAAATTCTCTGTCTGAAAGGTCACATGTCTCTGTCTCTCCAGGATTGGTCCCTGGTGCCTTATTTAGTTCATTTGGTGAAGTCATGATTTCCTGGATGGTTTTGATGCTTGTGGACGTTTATTGATGTCTGGCCATTGAAGAATTAGGTATTTATTCTAGTCTTCAGTCTTCGTTTGTTTGTACCCATCTATTTGGGAAGGCTTTCCAGATATTTGAAAGGACTTGAGTGTTGTAATCTAAGTTTTTGGTCACTCCAGCCAAATCTGTATTAGAGGACACCCCAAGCCCAGTAATGCTGTGGTTCTTGCAGACTTGTAAAGGTACTGCCTTGGTAGTTTTGGATAAGATCCAGAAAAATTATCTGGTTTAGGAGGCAGAGACTCTTGTTCTCTTCCCTTACTTTCTTCCAAATAAATGAAGTCTCTCTCTGTACTGACCTGCCTGGGGCTAGGGGAGGGGGAACACAAGCACTCCTGTGGCCATCACCACTGGGATTGTGCTGGGTCAGACCTGAAGCCAGCATGGCCCTGGGTCTTGCCCAAGGCTTATAACAGCTGCCTGGCTACTGGCTATGTTTGCTCAAGGCCCTAGGGCTCTACAATAGGCAGGTGGCAAAGCCAGCCAGGCTTGTGTCCTTCCCTCAGGGTGGTGAGCTTCCCCCCCTTGGGTGGTCCAGAGATGCCATCTGGGAGCCAGGGCCTGGAGTTGGAAACCTTGGGAATCTACCTGGTGCTCTATTCTAATGTGGCCTAGCTGGTATCTAAGCCAGAAGACAAAGTCCTTCCCACTCTTCCCTCCCCTTTCCACAAGCGGAGGCATCTCCCCCCATGGCCCCCACTGCCCCAGGCCTATGGCAAGTACTCCCTGACTACTGCCAGTGCACATTCAAGGCCCCAAGACTCTTCAGTCAGCTTGTGGTGAATACTGCCAGGCGTGGGACTCTCCCTTCAGGGCAGTGGGCTCCCCTTTGGCCCAGGGTAGGTCCAGAAATGCTGTCTAAGAGCCAAGGCCTGAAATTGGAAACCCGAAGAGCCCACTTGGTTCTCTACCCCACTGTGGTCAAGCTAGTACCTATGTTGCAGGACAAAGTCCCCTTTATCATTCCCTTTCCTCTTTCCATAGCCACCACAGCTGGGAATGTGCTGGGTCACACCTGAAGCCAGCATGTCTCTGAGTGCACATCTCTGAGTGATACACTGGATGTCACTGCTGACTATTCAGGGCCCAGGGCCTCTGTAGTCAGCAGGTGATGAATCCTGCCAGGACTGGGTCCTTCCCTTCAAGGCAGTGGATTCCCTTCTGGCTCAGAGAGTGTCTAGAAATGTTGTCTGAGATCTAGGGCCTGGAATGGGGGCCTCAAGACTCTGCCTTGTGCCCTTTCTTACTGTGGCTGAGCTGGTATCCAAATTGCAAGATGAAGTCCTCTTCACTTTTCCCTCTTTTCTCCTCAAGTGGAGGGAAGGATTCTCTCCTGGAGTTGCAAGCTGTGCTGCCAGGGGCTGAGGGAGGTGTGGTACAAGCACTTCCTTGGCCATCCCAACTGATGTCTCACTAGGTGTACCCTCCAAGTCCTCTGGCTCCAAGCACAGCACAGGACCAGGACTTGTCCAGGAATTGCAGTCCTTGTGGCCTAGACTTCCGTTCAAGTTTACTTAGAAACCCAGAGCACTTTAGTCTGCAGTGGTGAGGCTTGCTGGAACTCAGGTTCTGACCACTAGGATGAGCAATTCTCCTCTGTCTAGGGCTAGTCTAAATGCTCCTTCCATGGGTTCCAGCGGGGTTCTGCCTGGTATTGCTTTCTGCTGTGACAGGGCAGCACTGAGTTTCAATGCAAAGTCCCACAATTGCTGCACTCTCCCTCCCCCAAGTGCACAGGTTCTTTCTCCATGCAACATGGCTGCTGCCAGAAGATGGGGAAGGGGTGGTATAGGTGATTCAAGACTGTCTTTCCTACCCTCTTCAGTGCCTCTTTCTGTGATATGAAATTAAAACCAGGTACTGTGGGCCGGGCGCAGTGGCTCACACCTGTAATCCCAGCACTTTGGGAGGCCGAGGTGGGCGGATCACGAGTCAGGAGATGGAGACCATCCTGGCTAACATGGTGAAACCCCGTCTCTACTAAAAATACAAAAAAATTAGCCGGGCATAGTGGTGGGTGCCTGTAGTCCCAGCTACTCAGGAGGCTGAGGCAGAAGAATGGCGTGAACCTGGTAGGTGGAGTTTGCAGTGAGCCGAGATTGCACCACTGCACTCCAGCCTGGGCAACAGTGCAAGATTCAGTCTCAAAAAAATAAATAAATAAAATAAAATAAAACAATAAATAAAACCAGGTTCTGTGACCTCTCACCTGGTTTTTGGTTCTTACAAAGGTGCTTTTTTTGTGTATGGATAGTTGTTCAATTTGGTGTTCTTGCAGGGAGGGTGATCAGTGAAGGCTTCTATTCGGTCATCTTGCTCTGTCTCCTGTTTTTACCAATACTGCTTATCTCATATTAATTTGTCCATTTGGACTGGGTATGGTGGCTCATGCCTATGATCCCAGCACTTTGGGAGACCAAGGTGGGTGGTGGGGATCACCTGAGGTCAGCAGTTCAAGACCAGCCTGGCCAACATGGTGAAACCCTGTCTCTACTAAAAATACAAAAATTAGCTGGGCGTGGTGGCAGGCACCTGTAATCCCAGCTACTAAGGAGGCTGAGGCAGGAGAATCACTTGAACCCAGGAGGCAGAGGCTGCAGGGAGCCGAGATTGTGCCACTGCACTCCAACCTGGGCAACAGAGCGAGACTCTGTCTCAAAAAGAAAAAAAAATATCCATTTGTCGGCTCCCTGCAACGAGGCTAGGAGCATGTGGTGAGCAGGGACAGAGCCTGACTGTCCATTGCACAATGGCTGAACATAGGAGAAGCTGATTAAATACCAGCCTGAAGAGAGGTTGTTCACATTCCAAAGGTAGGCAAGAGAGTGAACCCTCTTCTATTACCTGCCCCTTCAAGCTGGAAGGTGTGCATAGAGAACAGGTTATGGGTAAGGGTGTGGAGACAACATGCTGGCTGTGTTCCTGGGGCAGTAAGGACCCTGAGCTTGGGAAGGAGTTAACAGAATATAAGCAGGAGAGGAAAGTGAAAATCCATCATGGAGAATGAAAATCAGGAAGAAAAATGTGGATTTTATATGGTGGGAAACAACACAGAACCAAGAAGCCTCCTCTAAGCTACCAGCTGGATCTTAATTGCATGATCCCCTCCAGGAGACAGAATGTTCCAGCCAGGAGGCATGCATACCCACATTCTGGCTCCAGGAAACATGTACCCGATCCTGAGGTAATCCTTCTGAGTTCCAGCTACTCATCACTTCCTGAAGTTGCCCAGGTGGGCCTAGGCCAAGGGACCCACGGGTGGAAGAATCAGAAAGCTCAGGTCCTCACAACTCTAAGGATACCTGGCCATGGTGGGGACTGGCAGCATCCTCACCTCACATGCATCCAGAGAAAACCCAGACTGTTTCCAGGTAATGGAAAATGTCCAGGTTAGCCCCGGAGCCTCACCAGCCCTCGCCAGCAGTTCTACCTAGCAACCAACTCAGCTCTCTGCTGGACAATTTATTAACAGAACTGTACTCACAGGGTTTGTTTTCCTAGTCTATGGGGCCCACAACACTGTAACAAAAGTTCTATTTCCTTTTCCTCTATTCTGAGAAGGGGAATAACAATAACAGCTACTATTACCGAGCACCTATTCCATATCTGGCACTTAATGCTTCTCTCTAACCCTTACAGCTCTGCCAGGTAGGTATTATTTGCATTGAAGCTGAAAAGCTGAGGTTCAGGTGTATCATGGTACATGGTAACTCAGCCTGGCTAACTCCAAGCCAGTGCTCTCCCCACCACAGCGAGCTGCCATAAAGGCAAGCCAAACATCACGAACCTGCTGCAGTCATTGGTGCCTGTTGGGCTCCAGCCACTCCTCCTACCAGACCCATTCAAGAAAAGACAAAGGAGCCCATTTTGAAGCAGCTCTCCTGGAGCCAGCAAAGACACAATAAAACAACAAGTTAATTGTCCACAGCAGTACCAGGAAGTCACACAGGTGCAATCAAGGCAGACCATTTCCTGCTGTTACTACCCTGAGGTCCAAAGGCCTGCCCAGGCCTCACCATCCTTGGTGACCCCCATTTTTACCCTGTGACGCCTCAGTAAAACTCTGGAAGACTTCTGTTGGAGGTATTAAAAAATACCGTGACAGCCAGGAGCAGTGGCTCATGCCTGTAGTCCCAACACTTTGGGAGGCTGAAGTGGGCAGATTGCTTGAGCCTAGGAGTTGCAGACCAGCCTGGGCAAAATGGCAAAAACCCATTTATACAAAAAAATACAAAAATTAGCTGGCCATGGTGGCATGTTTCTGTAGTCCCAACTACTTGGGAGGCTGAGGTGGGAGGATTACCTGAGCCTGAGAGGTCTAGTCTGCAGTGAGCTGAGATCACGCCACTGCACTCCAGCCTGGGTGACAGAGTGAGACCCTGTCCCCCCCAAAAAGAAACACCAAAAACAAACTGACAATCATGGCCAGACGCAGTGGCTCATGCCTGTAATCCCAACACTTTTGAGAGGCTGAGGCGGGTGGACCACTTGAGCCCAGGAGCTCAAGACCAGCCTGGGCAAACATGGCAAGACCCCGCCTCTACAAAAAATACAAAAATTAGCCAGGTATGGTGGCACACGCCTTTAGTCCCAGCTATTCAGGAGGCTAAGGCAAGTGGATAGATTGAGCCCAGGAAGTCGAGGCTGCAGTGAGCTGTGATCACACCACTGTGTTCCAGTTGGGTGACAGAGCGAGACTATCTCTATTAAAAAAAAAAAAAAAGTGACAGTGAGCCTAAGGAAGGAGGACCATGCTAAGGGGACTCATAGAAGGTCACCCTATCAGGCAGAGTAGAGTAAGAGCTGGGGTAGGGACTCATATGGGAACTGAGCTCATGCCCTGGCATAGCCACTGTGAGATAATGGACATGCCAGACCCTCTCTGGGCCAGGGGCACAAGCCAGAACTTGGGTGTCATCCAGAACCCTGTCCCCTCCTTCATCTCTACCTCTAATTAGGCACCTAATCAATCCTCAGATTGACCTCTGCAAAAGATCTTGACTCTGTCCTCTCCTCACATCTTACCTAGATTATTGCTTTAGCCTCCTAGCTGAGCCCCAGCCTCCAGGCTGTCTCCAGCCTATCCATCCTCCCAGCCAGAGGGATCACTCTGAAACAAGTACATGCTTACCTCACTTCTCTGCTCACCTGAACCCTTATCTCTCAGGGTAAAGTGCAAGCTCCTTGGCTTAGCTCCCAGACCCTTGTGTCTGCTTCCTGCACTGTTCCTGGCTTCTTCCCCAGCCACTCAGCACACACTTCCCATGCCTGTACTTCCCTGAATGCATTGTGCTGTTTTGTGACCATGTATTCTGCTGGCCTTTCTTCCTTATAAGGCCCTTCTCTTCTTCTATTTCCTACCAATCCTTCAGAACTCAACTACATAGCACTTTTTCCAGGGAGCCCTCTCTGATATCCCGGTTGGACTTAGATGTCCCCTCCTTTAGCCTCCCCACCCACCCTGGGCTTCCTTCTAGCATAGTACTTAGAGTTGCTGGTTTTTCTATCTCCTACACTAAGGTTCCTGGAAAAGATGAAGTAATCTCAGACAGGGCCTCAGTGAATTTTGTATCAGCAGCAATACCCAAGCACCCAGCACCATGCTTGAAAGACCACAGGGATTTCTGGATAGAAAAATGAAGGGATCTCCCCAGCAAACAGGTCATAGAATTGATCAAAGTTAGAGGACTTTACACATTAAGTATCTGTATAGGCTCATCAGTCTATGCAACTGAGCTCAGTTACTAAGGGAACTGATCCTTCTACTTTGACCACATTCTTGCTTTATGAAGTCCTATGTGGTCACAGTGAACTCTCTCAGTCCTGAATACCAGTCACCATAAATGATCAGTGGCCCCTACAAGCAGTTTTATGACCACAGTTTGGAGCACAGTAGGGGTTGTGAGTTGGGGAGGGCAGCCAGTGGTCCCTGGGCTCCAGGATTTACAAGCTCTGGTCAAGGGATGATGGAGGCTGCACTATGAATGGGTCTGGCGAGCCAGCCAACTTCAGCAATCCTCCAAACATTTCTAGTTTTTTGTTACTGAAAAGTTCAGTCTTGTGAAAGGTGTTTGGTTTCAAGTTTCCTGTCACTGGTCTACTTATTTAGAAAGTGTTCCCCCCTGCTCCCTGAAATAAATAAGGTGCCTGAAGTCTGATTTAAGCAGCTTCTTGCAGTCAGCTCCAGTGTGCAGAAAACCTGTTATGAAAAATGAAACTGAGAAGGTGGACATTTCCGTGGCATCATCTTTCCCATGAGCTCAGGGTTTTTCACTGTAAGATGAGAAAGAAGGGCTGGTCGGCACTGGGCCCATCCTGGGAAAGACACCAGGAGGGACTAAGCCTCTTCTTCCTAAACTTGATTCTTTTCCCTTTCTCCCCTTACTGACCTTGAGATCAAAGTGAGCAATTTTCTTTGTGTGAAGGTAGTTCACCCCATCCAGGATCTGCTTAATGAAGCTGGTGGCCTCCTCCTCACTCAGTGACTCCTTCTGGGCCAGGAAATCGAAGAGCTCTCCTCCAGACACTCTGTAAAACACCAGCGGGGGGAGGGGAGGCCCAGGCCCAGTCAGCTCTGCATGTCATGAGGCTGGGCTGATAGGGGCAAGCCCTCATCCTGACCCCCCAGGGACCTTGTATGGCAGAATCCCCCTGGCTTATTTCTGGGGCTTTGTCTGTCCAGTGCCAGGGACTGACTTTGCTCCTATTTGCTTTGTTCTTTCTTTTGGATCACAAGGGCAGGAATCACCCTGGAGGTGTTGTCAGAAGAGCCTCTGCTCCCACTCTAGGCCCTGGTCCCAGTCACCCTGGAGGTTGCCCTCTCCCCTCCATATGCCTGAGATGGCAGGGGACAAAAACAAGCAGATTATTTAGCCTGAATGTTTGCGTTCCTCCAAGTTCATATTTTGAAATTCTAACCCCCAAGGTGATGGTATTAGGAGATAGGGCCTTTGGGAAGTAATTAAGTCATGAAGTTAGAGACCTCACAAATGAGATTAGTGCCCTTATAAAAGAGACCCCAGAGGGCTTACTTTCCCCTTGCACTATGTGAAGTTACAGTCAAAAGACAGCCATCTATGAGGAAGTGAACCTTCATCTTGATCTTAGACTTCCCAGACTCCAGGACTGTGAGAAATAAATTTATGTTGTTTGTCAGCCACCCAGTTTATGGTTATTTTGTTATACAGCAGCCTGAATGAACTGAGAGAGGAAATTGGTACCAAGTGTGGAGTGCTACTGTAACAGACACCTAAAAATGTGGAAGCTGCTTTGGAATCAGCTAACAAGTAGAGGCTGGAAGAGGTTTGGGGTGCCAACTAGAAAAAGCCTACATTGCCATGAATGAATGGACTGTAAGGGTGGTCCTGGTGAGGGATCACAAAGAGAGGAGATTCTCAATCTTCTTAGAGAATACCTAAGTGGCCATCAACAAAATATTTGTAGAAATACAGATGGAAAGGCCATTCTGATAATGTCTCAGATGGATATGAGGAACATGTTACTGGTCTGGTCAATGGAGGAAAGGGCATCCTTGTTATAAAGTAGCAGAGAACGTGGCTGAATTGTGTGTGTGCCCTAGTGTTTTATAGGAGGCAGAACTTGTAAGCAATAAAAATGGAATATTTGGCTGAGGAGATTTCTAAGCAAAGTGTTGGAAGAGTGTCCTGGTTCCTCTTGACTACTTAAAGTAAAATGTGAAAAGAAATGGTTTAAAGACAAAATTGTTACTCAAAGGGAAGAAAGCTTAAAAGTATGCAAAATTCTCAGCCTCCTCATATTGGAAAACATAAGAAAACCTGTTTGGGAAGGAACAAAGGTATGACCAAGCAACCATTTGATAAAAAGATTAATATGGCTCTCCAGGGAAGCCAGGTGCTATTCATCAAGACAATAAGGGGATTAGTCAGCCATCTAAACAGAAGCCAGGACCTATTGTCCAAGACAATGGAAGAATAACCCTGAAGTCATTTCAGAGATCGTGGGGGTGAAAAGAGGGGTGTCCCTCCCATCACAGATTCATAGTGCCAGAGCTTAGAGGGCAGAATGATATCAAAGGAGGGGCCTCCACTGCCCAGTGCTGCCTCACATTGTGGGCTTTGCTCTCCAAACTCTGTTGCCATACTCCTCAGACATACCAGGTGTGGCTCCTGGAGGGCAACAGTGTGGCAAGCTCTGTGCCAAGCAAAGCTGGTGGGTGTGTGGCTGCTTTCACCTGGATTTCACAAGATGCCTTAGAGAGCTGGTGGGCCCCTGGGCAGAGAACTGCCTTTGGTGTGGGGGCCAATGTTTGGAGAGCAAAGCCTTATGGGCAGGGTTGCTCAAAGCTGCAGGGGCAAGACCTCCATTCCACCCCCATGGGCCTGGAGGGCAGAGCAATGAGCCAAAGATTCTTCTCAATGTTTTGTACTGGCTCAGAACCTGTCACTCCTTTATTCTTTCCCATTCTTCCTTTTAGAATGGGAATGTGTATCCTCTGCCTGTCCCACCATCATATTTTGTAACACGACATGTTTGATGTCATTGGTTCACAGCTGGAGAGCAACTTGCCTCAGAATGAATCATACCTTGAGTCTCACCCACATCTGATTTAGATATTTAGATGAGACTTTGGACTTTAAACTTTGGAGTTGATGCTGGAATTAATTAAGAGTTTTGGAACTATTGGAATGGAAGGAATGTATTTTACATTTGAAAAGGACATTAATTGGGGTGGGGGGCAGAGACAGAATGCCAGAGTCTGAATGGACTAAGACAGATGACAAAGCGGAACAAATGCTGTGCCAGAAACTAAAGACCTAGGTTCCATTCCAGCCTTGCCACTGACCTTGGACAACTCATTTCCCTTCTCCAGGCAGGCCCTGGTTTCATTACCTACAAAAGAAGCAGACTGAGCAAGACAGCCCCAAAGCCCCCTTTCTTCAATTTTATAAAAGATGGCCCCTTTATGGGGCTCAAGAGAATCTAAGTATGGCCCCTAACTTAAGCATAAGACCCCATTAATTATATTCATTTTTAAAGACTCTAGAATACTGTTTTTGATGTTTGATACTACTTTTTCACACTCTACATTCTTGCTTCCTATAGTTGATGTGACAGAGCAAAAAAAATCTCCCCTGAGATTTAGAATTGCCAGATAAAATAGGTTTTTACTTGCTAAATCTGGCAACCCTACTTGGGCTTATTTATCCTGTCAACAAAAAGAGTCAAACTCTGTAAAATATTTAAAGATGTTTATTCTGAGCCAAATATGAGTGCTCAAGACCCATGACACAGTCCCAGAAGGTCCTCAGAACATGTGCCCAAGGTAGTTGGGTAACAGCTTGATTTTATACATTTTAGGGGGACAGAAGTTACAGGCAGAATCAATAAATCTAAGGTGTACATTGGTTCCATCTGGAAAAGTGGAACAACTTGAAGGTGAGGATAGGGGGTTGGGAGGGCTTCTAGGTCACAGGTGGATTTTCTGATTGGCAATTGGTTATTATTGAAAGACCTGGAATCAATAGAAAAGAGTGTCTGAGTTAAGACAAGGGTTATGGAGACCAAGGTTTTTATTATGTAGATGAAGTCTCACAGGTGGCTGCCCTTGGAGGCAATAGATGGCAAATGTTTACTATTCATATTCTTAAAAGGTGCTAGACTCTCAGCTAATCTCTTCAGGATCAGAAAAAGACATGGAAAGGAACAGAGATTCTCCACAGAATATAGATTTTTCCCACAAGAGTCAGCTTTGCAGGGCCATTTCAAAATATGTCAAAAGATTTATTAGGGTAAAATACTTCTATTTCTTTCAGGGCCTGCTATTTGTCATGTGATGTTATAGTAGAGTCAGGTTGGAATTTATTATCTTATTGCTGCAAAGAGTCTGTTTTGTTAGGCTTAAGTTCACTGTTTTCATATTAATGCTGGTCACTTGTGCCCGAATTTAAATGGGCAGAGAGTATAATGAGGCATGTCCAACCCCTCTTCCCACCATGGCCTGAAAGTTTTTCAGGTTTACTTTGGAATCTCCTTGGCTGAGAGAGGGGTCTATTCAGTTGGTTGAGGGGGCTTAGAATTTAATTTTTGGTTTACAATCCTCTGACAGAAGCTGGGGTATCCAGCCAGCATGTGCTCCACTGGGGCTGAAATAAAGCCATGGGCCCAAAGGGAAAGATCTCAGGAAGGGTTCTAGGCCAAGGGATCCAGGACCTTGGGATCACTTGGAGAACTTGTTTTAAAATGCAGATTTCCAGATCCCACCATAGACTTTAACAAATTAGATTCTCCAGCAGTGAGGCCTTAAAACCTGTATTTTTACTCTAACAACATAATAATAGCAATTAATATTCATTGAACACATACTCTATGTTACATGCCTTATGCACATTATCTCATTTAATCATCACAATATCCTATGATCTAAGGACTAACATTTTTCTATTTCACACTTTAAGAAACAAAGGCTCAGAGAGGTTAAGCAACTTGCCCACAGTCCCATAGCTAGTAAATAGAGTCAGGATTCAAACCCAAGCAGAACAGCTCTCAACCACTACAGCATACTGAGTATTGCAGATGATTCTTTTCTTTTCTTTTTTTTTTTTGAGACAGAGTCTCATTCTGTTGCCCAGGCTGGAGTGCAGTGATGCGATCTCAGCTCACTGCAACCTCCGCCTCCCAGGTTCAACTGATTCTCAGGCCTCAGCCTCCTGAGTAGCTGAGGTTACAGGCACATGCCGCTACGCCCAGCTAATTTTTGTATTTTTAGTAGAAATGGGGTTTCACCATATTGGCCAAGCTGGGACTCCTGACCTCAAGCAATCCGTCCACCTCAGCCTCCCAAAGTGTTGGGATTACAGGTGTGAGCCATTGCGCTCGGCTCCAGATGATTCTTATATGGCTAAAATGGCTCCAACCCAACTTTGGGGATCATTCCCTGCCCCCTAGTCCATCCTAAATAAAGAACATCAAAATCTTCTTTTCTCCTTTCTTTAAACATTTCCAGAAGCACACCTGGACCCACTCAATAATCTTAGCATCATGAAAAGTAGAACAACCGGACATAAAATAGTGACATAGAAAGTACACAGCAACACCTATGATATGCTGTGACTTACAAAATGGAACCTAAATCCGCTTAAGCCTCTTGTTCAGCACTATCAACAGAACTTTCTGCAATGATGAAAATGTTCTAGATATGTGCTGTCCAATAGAGTAGCCACTAGTCACATGTGGTTACTGAGCACTTGCAATGTGGCTAGTGTAATAGAGGAATTGAATTTTAACTTTTATTTAATTTTAATTAATTCTAATTTAAAAACTGAAGTGGTATAAAATATTTTCCATTAAATACAACTTTATTGTTTCAGTAGAATTGCATTTCACTTTAACCGTTGCATTGCTTTGCGTAAGAATTGAAATGTGGGCTGGGCACAGTGGCTCACACCTGTAATCTCAGCACTTTGGGAGGCTGAGGCAGGCAGATCACTTGAGCCCAGAAGTTCAAGACCAGCCTGGGCAACATAGTGAGACACTGTCTCTACAAAAAAAAAAAACTTAGCTGGGCATGGTGATGTGCACCTGTAGTTCCAGCTACTTAGGAGGTTGAGAGGATCACCTGAGGTCGAGGCTGTAGTGAGCCGTGATTGTGCCATTGCACCCTGGGCAACAGAGTGAGAATCGGTCTCAAAAACAAACAAACAAACAAAAAAACAGGTTGAGATGTGCTGTAAGTATAAAATTCACACTGGATTTTGAAGACTTAGTTTGAAAAATAGAATGTAAAATATCTCATTAATAATTTTAAATAAAAATATTATTAAAATCAATTCACCTATTTCTTTTTGTTTAGTCAGTGTGGCAACTAGGAAATTTAAAATTATGTATGTGGTTCACATTACATTTCTATTGGACAGCGCCAATAGGCAGGGTATCTCCTCTAGATCTAACTACTAGTTACAGGAAATACAGGGAACAGAGGAATGAGTTAAAGAACACCATGAGGAAGGAACAAGTCTAATCCAGACTGTGAAACAGGACAAGTGGCCTAGTTTTCCAACATATCAATGGCATCAAAAAAGAGGCAAAAAAAGAGAAGGGGAAGGGGGAAGGTGAAAGGGTGAAGAGAGACTGAGATAAGATGGCACATTTGAGCATATGTACCATCTGCCATAGCTGCAGCGCCCCTCTGCTCAGGGTTGAGTAGGGTGTGGCCTAAGGTGGCTGCCTTGGTGTTGGGGACCAGGCTGGTGCACTATTTTCTCAGTGTCTCATGGGTGAGGCCGTCCTTTGCCCCACTCTGACCCTTGCCCCCACCTTGGGCAGGTGCTGGAAGCTGGAGCACCCTCCCAGCTGCTGGAGTAACCCTGGGTCTGCTCTGCAGACTGGGGTCAAAGGGCCAAGATGATGGCTCCAATCCTTCAGCAGCAAAGATACAACCTTCACCTTGGGGTGGGACATGTGAGAGTTCTAGGGCTCAACTTTTCTTCTTGTGAAACAGGAGTGAAAAAAATAATGCTTTCATTACCAGCTTTGGATGTGAGGGTGGGAGTGAGAGGAATCTCTATGAGATTCTTGATAAAGTCCTTGACATAAACACCGTACATGGTGTCATCATCAGGGGTGGCAGTGGTGGAAGGGGGCTTGATTTAGAGTTTATTTGAAGTTTGCCACCGGTGCAATGTGCTTTCCCAAACATTTCCTCACTTGAGCTTGATATCCACCCGGAGGGCATCCTCATTCTCAGATGAGAAAACTGAGGTCTCAGGAGAGCAAGTGACTTGCCCAAGATCACACAGCTAGTAAGTGGCAGGACCAGGATTTAGACCCAGATTTTCTCAGCCCCAGTTCACCATGTGTCCCTCTCACCACAACCCTTCCACATTACAAAGCCTGAGGTGCTGATGCAAAATGGAAAGGCTCAAAGCAGCCCCAGGCACTGGGCAGTCCTCTGATATCCCTGCTCTGCTGCATCCACGCTCTCCTCACAGTGGGCTTCACTATCTATCTTCCTCTCTCCCCAGCTATATTATTTTTGCTTCCACAGCACCTAGTGCAAGAAAGACATTCAATCAGAAGTTTGGTGAATAAAAGAAGAAAGAAAGAAATAAAACATTAAAAATAACAACATGATGTAGAATATTCTGTATCATATAGACAGTGAAGCCTTGGTATTTGTGAAAGATCTGTCCAGAGCTCTCTGCAAATTTTCACATCTGCAGTGCCCCCTCTGAAACACACAGAACCCAGCTCCACCCTTAGTCTGCCAGCCCCTGCCAGGTTGTGTGGGCCTGTGACCTCGGGCAAATATCTAAATAAATAATAACCCTGCAATTCCTACTTTAAATAAAATGCTGCATCAGTGTAAAAGCTTCTTAGCTTAGCATTCCCAAAAGCCACTGACATGAAGTCTGGGGTTGAGGGAGGACTTTGGGGTGCAGTAATCAGTCATCTGTTTGAAGGTGAGATATGGGCAGGAGACCTGGTGAGACATGGTCTCCTTGGGATGAAGAAGGGAACAGCCACTGTGCCCCCTAGAATCTCCCCCAGAAACTCAGAAAGGTGGGAGGCTGATGACCTGCCACTGTCTAGGCCCTGGATACCCAGGCTGGGACATTCACATTAATGCTCAGTCACCTCTTTTCAAAGCCAAACCAAGGAGCCTGAGTGTCATTTCTTTACCCTCTAAGACCTCTGCCCTGGAGCCACCCCCCATCTCCTTCCAAGTTTCTTTCCTCTTACATCCCACATCTCTTTAGCTTTAAGATGAAAAACAAAGCCTCACGACCTGGCCTCATCTCTTCTCCTAGTGTTCCCAGGATCATCCCCTTCCTGCAAATCTGACCTTTGCCTCCTTCCTCCCTGCAGGGTGGCATGCCTGCTGGAAATGCTTTTCAGACTCTTCTGGAAATGTATACATGAATGACCTGCACAGGCAGCGATAGGGGAAAAATGCTGCCAGAGCTGCTGGGCCCAGGAAGCTGGGCTCAATTCAGGAACCTGGGAAGCATCACTGCCACCCTGGAGCACTCTGCCAGGCAGTTCTCTGGTATGCAACCACCACGGTATCGCTTTCCACAGGCTTGGAATCAAGGAGGCCCCAGAGCAGTCAGGGGCCTGTGATGGGAGGCCAGCCCAACCTTCACAGGGAGACTTACATTTTTCAGGGCTAGTTCCACATGTGACATGAGTTAAGCTGCTGAGATTTTGAATATATTCTATACCCCATACAGAAGTCAACTTATATGGACAATTAAATCCTTCCCAGTCCTGCCTTCAAGAGTCACGACCAGAGGCAGCTGCTTCTAGGGAGGTCACAGATGGGATAATAACAACTGAAAGGGATTTAGATCAGAGCCAGGCATGTCCTCCTAGTGCTGGCCACTTGAGCAGAAAGCAGGCGGAAGCCCTGCACCAGACAACAGTTGCTGAGAGGGGCAGTGGGATCAGCGTAGACTCATTCATAAAACCTGCAACTGGGCAGCTTTCAACTGAGTAGGTGGATACTAACACTTACTGGGCAAACCCACTAACCTATTAGGGCCCAGTGAGGACCACGAGGCCAAGACTTCTGACCAGCCTAACAGGAGTCACTAAGTCTAAGCAACAAAAGCCCATGAGGCTGGGTGCGGTGGCTCATGCCTGTAATCCTAGCACTTTGGGAGGCCAAGGCGAGTGGATCACTGGAGGCCAGGAGTTCAAGACCAGTCTGGCCAACAGAGTGAAACCCCACCTCTACTAAAAATACAAAAAAAATTAGCCAGGCATGGGGGCACATACTGGTAGTCCCAGCTACACAGGAGGCTAAGGCACAGGATCACTGGAACCCGGGAGGTAGAGATTGCAGTGAGCCGAGATCACGCCACTGCACTCCAGCCTGGGTGACAGAGCAAGACTCCATCTCAAAAAACAAACAAACAAACAAAAACAAAAGCCCAGGAACTCCTCTCCTGGGAGGTCCTCCCTCTCAGAACCTGGCCATACATGGGTTAGGGACAGTCTTGGAACGCTTGGGTCTTCTCCAATCTCATAAATTCTTAGCAGTCCATAGACAGGCACCCTGAGAACAATGAGACAGCTTGGAAGTGAAGGGGGAGACAGAAACGGGACAGAACTTAATAAGCACAGAGGCCCAAGCAAGTCATGGGAGCACCAGCGTGACAACTGATGTTACAGATGGTGCACCTGAGCTCACAAGAAGCCGGCACATAACTGGCTGACCATGAGCCCTGTTGGGAAAAACACAGACATCTCAAGAGCATTTACCTGCCACATCCCCGCCACCGACTCCTAGGGTTCTACAAACAGGAAGAAGCAGGCAATTTCCCCAGCAATTAAAGGCATGCCAATTATAGTAAGAAAGTATCAATTTATAGCTATAAAGATCAATAAATAATGAAACACGTTTCAAAACAAATGACCCAGGGCTGGCAGGGCTGCAGGCACACAGCAACACTCCTACGTTGTGGTAGTAATGGTTAACCAGCACCATCTTTGAAAAGTGAGGATATTGAGTCCCAAAAATGTCAGCCTTTGGCTTAGTCATCCCATTCCTGGGGATGTTAGCTAAATCCTCAGGACTTTGCTGAAAGAATTAATTAAAAAGAAAAGGAGAAAATCATGAGAAGAAAGTTGTTTTATCAGTAAAATTTGTAATGGTTAAAAGCTAGGAAATAAAAAGCATGTGTCCAACAATAAGGATGCTATGGTTTGACTATTTGTGCCCTACAAACTCGCATTGAAATTTAATTCCCAATGCGGCCGTATTAGGCAGTGGGACCTTTAAGACGTGATTGGGTCGGGGTGCGGTGGCTCACGCCTGTAATCCCAACGCTTTGGGAGGCCAAGGCAGGCGGATCATCTAAGGTCAGGAGTTCGAGACCAGCCTGGCCAACATGGAGAAACCCCATCTCTACTAAAAATACAAAAATTAGCTGGGTGTGGTGGTGGGTGCCTGTAATTCCAGCTACTTGGGAGGCTGAGGTAGGAGAATAGCTTGAACCCAGGAGGTGGAGATTGTAGTGAGCCAGGATCGCGTCATTGCACTCTAGCCTAGACGACAGAGCGAGACTCCATCTCAAAAAAAAAAAAAAAAGAGGTGATTGGGTTATGAGGGCTCTGTCCTTATGAATGGATTAATCCATTCATGCATTAGTGGATTAACAGGTTACATGGGTGGGACTGGTAGCTATATAAGAAGTGAGACCTGAGATATCCCACTCTGCCCCCTCACCGTGTGATGCACTGGGCTGCCTTGGGGGACTCTGTAGAGAGTCCCCATTAGCAAGAAGGTCCTAATCAAATGTGGCCCCTCAACCTTGGACTCCTCAGCCTCCATAACTGTAAGAAATAAATACCTTTTCCTTATAAATTAACCAGTTTCAGATATTCTATTATAAGCAATAGAAAATGGACTAAGACAAGGGAAATACTGGTATGCAATTCAGTGAAACATATAGTCAGTTAAAAGAGAAAAGCCAATTTTTAGAATTATGTTAATTGGGGAAAAAAGTAGAGCAGGAAATTATACAAGTACAATGATTGTATACAAATAGATAAAGATTGAGAGGAACCACAGAAAAACATAAATAGCTGTGTTTGGGTTGTAGGATTATAAATGTAATTTCTTGTCCATTCCTGCTTAGTTTTTTTTTTTTCCTCCCCATAATAAACTTTTTAAGAAGTGGCTCGGCCTTTCCAGAAAGGTGCACTTGTCACTCTCTGCTGGGAATCAGGATGCCGACTGCTGACCCTCAGCTTCTCTCTGGGTCACGCAGGGCAGGCATCCAGTAGTCCAACCAGCTGGGAGGCCCGTGGGAGAAACATGGAGGACACTGGGAGCTAGCGAAGGGAAGAGCACAGGCAATTCTATACATTTAAACACCGAGATGGATAATTTAAGAATCAAATGCAAGAGTATGCAAATGTCCATCTGCTACTTAAATCTATATCCTGCCAATACCAGAGCATAGTTCTCAAATTAGAATGATCTCAAATGTCAGGTGGTCCACCGAGTCTGTAGGCAGGTTAAGGATGGCTGCCTGCTTTACAGATGAGAACTAAAGCTCAGGGAATTGAGGTGACTTGCCCAAGGGCACAAAATCAGGGATTCCTGAGAGATTCTATCACTCCCGCTACCAGGCAGGTGTATACATGCTTATGAGCCTCAGAATATTCTTTTTTTTTTTTTTTTTTTTTCCGAGATGGAGTCTTGCTGTCACCCAGGCTGGAGTGCAGTGATGCAATCTCGGCTTACTGCAACCTCCGCCTCCCGGGTTCAAGCAATTCTACTGCTTCAGCCTCCCGAGTAGCTGGGATTACAGACACCTGCCACCACACCCGGCTAATTTTTGTATTTTCAGTAGAGATGGGGTTTCACCATGTTAGCCAGGCTGGTCTCAAACTCCGACCTTGTGATCTGCCCGCCTTGGCCTCCCAAAGTGCTAGGATTACAGGCATGAGCCACTGCACCAGGCCAGAACATTCTTTATATAGTCCTTGCTGCTTGACTGGACACAGCCACTGTAACTTGTCCACAACCCAACTCAAACTCTATTGTTTATCAGAGCCCCACCTGCCCAGGACGATACCAGCGTGGCTAGCCAAACCCTAGAGTATTGAGGTCATCTATCCAAATTCCATCATGAACTGTGAGGTCTTCCTCTGCTAAGCCAGCATAAGGCCAACCCGCCTCACACTCATAGCTGTCTGCACAGGCCGTGTGGACTCAAGTCCTGGTCCTGCCACTTCCTGGCTATAGGCTCCTGTAAGTGTCCTGGCCTCTCAGTGTTCTTGTCTGTAAAATGGGGATAATAAGAGTGTCTGTGTGACAGCGTTGTTATGAGGATTAAATAAGGTACAGAAGTACTTGGCTTGCACAATGAATACAAAATAACCTGTCTGCACTAGTAAGACATTTCCCTCATCACAGTCTTTAAAGATTGAACAAGACGACAGATAGAAAGCGCCTAGCAAATTCTTGGCTTACAGTAGGACTCTCTAAATAATAGCTATTATTATAACAATAAAGGTGTCATTCACAGCACAAATGCAGTGGACTTTCCCCAGGAAAGGGCTGGAGAAGGGCTTCGCAGAGCCCAGAGATGTTTGTACTTCCCCTCCTCATAGTACACAGCCCTCGCTGACAGCCTCCCCTGGCCCCACCCCACCATCTGTCCCACTCACCCTCCCACATGCTTCTCCAGCCAGGAAAAGACCCCAGTGCAGTCATTTCTTCCCTTTGATCTCCAGGATCCAGTGAAAGCCAGACTTAGGCCATTGCCCTCTGCCCCTGCTATTCAGCAAGCTTGCCCCTCCTTTGGCTCAGTTTCAGGAGGAGGAAGCGGGTAAGGAGGAAGGGGGTAACTGAGACAGAGGGGATCTGCCCACCACTGACTTCACCTCCTCTGGGCTGAGCTTAGGCCTGGTTGCTGCTGCCCCCTGGGGCCTGTGGCTGGAGTTTCCACTGCTCTGCCTGCCCCTGCTGCCCCCCAACCCTGTGGGTCCTGGGGACCCCACTCACAGCTCAAGGATGAGCACCACGTCGGTGCGGTTCTCATAGACGTCGTGCAGCGTGATGACATTGTGGTGCAGCACCTGCCGCAGGATGCTCACCTCCCGCTCGATCTCCTCCCGGCTCACACCGCGCCGGCTCGCCCGGCTCTGCCGCTTCTTGATGAACTTGGCTGCATACTCAAGCCCCGTGCTCTTCTCCCGGCACTTCTTCACGATGGCAAACTGGCCACTGTGGGGACACAGACCCACAAGATTAGGTCATCACTGTGGTCATTGGGGAAATGACCCCACTGTCAGCTACCAGGTCACACAAATTCAGAGTGATTCTGCCAGGACAGGACAAATCATGCCACCAGTCTGCATCCCCACCTGATGACAACCTGTGGATGAGATGGGGCAGGGACTGGGCTTCCCTTCTGTCCATTCCTTCTATGAGGAATGAATGTTAGTATTCTTAGTCCCAGTGTACAGAGGTGAGCACTGAGGCCCAGAAAGGTTATTGATCAGGATGACATAGCCTTGTCATTGCAAAATCTCAGCTAGAACCCAAGTCTAGGACCCACCAGATGAAATCACAATGTCCATAAGCAGACTGGGCTGGTGGGGATCCAGGTTTGGGTAGAGTTTGGAGAGGAGGCAGCCTAACAAGGTTAATCATCATAGTGGGGGAGCATCACAGTCAGAGGACTTGGTATAAACAGAGAGTTGTACAATTAGGAAACTGAGGCATAAGGATAGGTCATGTGACTCGCCTGAGGTCATCGCAGAGTTAATGGCAAAGCCAAGCCTCAAAGTCAGATACCCAACCGGCTGTCCACAAAGCCTCTGAGATAGTTAGAGCAGTCTAGACCATTATTATTCCCCTTCAGGCACTAGTACCCAGGGCTGGGCTCAGAAACCCATTACTCCAGGGACAGAGACAGCAAGCATGAAATGGAGTCCATGGCAGAGTGGCAGGCAGCCCTGAGCCAGCTTCCCTGAGTGCTCCAGGGGCCCTCCCCACAGGGAAGGGCACCAACCACCTGCTTCTGCACCTCAGTTCAGTGACCAGCAGGAGCAGATCTAAGTCCTCAGAGACTTCCCAGTGACCATCTTGCCCGGGGGTCCTCCCGTCCCCTTACTGCCATTTGCCATCATTGCCCCATGTTTTCTTGCCACCCAAAATACCCACTGCTTGAGTAACTCAGAAAGTTTTCTGGTTCAGCTTAATGGCTCAATAAGGGGCCAGCAGACTCCAGACTTAAGAGGTACACTCTTAGTGGCTCTGGGTTAAAAGCTACATACAGGGAAATGCCTGGGATATTTGCCCCAAATGCAGAAAATAGCAAAATAGCACTGCATCTGAACCACTCCATCATTAGCATCATCCTCAGTGAGACAGTCTTCAAAATACCCGGAGTGGCAATAACAACAACAAAGTCAAGTTCAGCAAGCAACAGATACATAGGCCAACACTTAGGTAGCATTCTATGGCAGCCACTTCAGAGACGTTCCCAAACACAAACTCATGCATCTCTCCATTGCCTTAATCTCCATTCAATCAACACTGTCTGGGCATCCAGTCTGTGCCAGGATCTGTGCTAGGCACTACGGGGCAGGGACCAAAGGCACAGACAACAGGTACAGATGGAGCTCTAGGGAAAGAGAAGATCCTGGGGGCTGGACTGGGCAGAGAAGGCTTTGTGGAGCCAAATTTATCTTACATCGTCCACTGACTCTAAATTTTTAGCTATTTCAGTTCCAAATATTGGCTCTGAGCTGTGCACACACTAAGGGCTGACGCAGGTGGAGTGGAGCCAGGCCTCCCAGAGCCAGAGTGAACACATTCAGTGTGAACTCTAACACATATGGTCTCTTGGAGCCACTCTGGGCCTCGAGGACAGCGGGTGCCTTGGTAGGTGCCAACAAACACTTGACCGAGCTTCCAGGCCCGGGTGGCTCTGAGTCTCAGTGTCAAGGCAGCCACACGCCTCTCCTCTCCGACACCTCAAGCAGCCGCTGGCAGGGCCTGGCATTTCAGAGTCCCTGTGACCTTGTCACAGAAGCCCTGAGTTCCTACTTGACCTGTGGGGAAAGCAAAGCTTAAGGGTGGTAAGGGATACACTTAGGTTTACAGAGCACATAGGCAGTGGCGCAGGGCTTGGCTTGGCATCCAAATCCCCCAGCTCCCAGCCCTGCACTGTGTTGACAGCCTTAGGACTTGTGAAACGGCAGAAGGGCTTTTGTAAACTAGAGCTAAACATTTCAGGCCATGTTGACGTTGTTTCCCCTTCCTCTTATGAGGGAAACAGTGGCATTTTTTTTCTATATCACATGCCTGAAAAATTCCTCAAACTCTCAAAAAGCAAATGAGTGTTTGCTTTTCCTGCCTGAGTTTTCTCTTTGCGAGACAGCTGTGGCAATGAGTGGTGACCGGGGCAGGCCCACTGCACAGGCATCTTTCCCTCCCCAAAAGGAGGTATTTTGAGAGTGGGTGACTACGATGGCGCCAAATACCACACACCACCACTCGTCTCACCTGTCTTCACTCAGGCACAGCCCTCTGCTCAACCTGTAGAGGGGAGCCTCAGAGGGAGCCAAGGCTGCTGGCTGGTGTCCCCCACTCCTTGGGCTGTTTCCAGAAGAGCAGAGAACACCCTCCACCAGACCCAGCCCCCAGGCTTCAAGATCAGACAGGCCTGGCCTCAGAGACTTATGCTTTCACCTGCTCTGAACATAGATTTGCTCATCTGTCAAATGGGAATCAGGGTTCCCTGCTAGAGAATTGTGAAGACTGGAAATATTTGTAATGTTGGCCCGTGGTACTCAAAAGTGGTTCATGTGAAGGCTGAGCAAGAGACATCCAGAGACATAAGTCACTGATTCAAATGGTCTGGAATGTGAAACCAAGGAATTGGTTTAATTTTATTTATTTTTAGAGATGGGGTCTGGCTCTGCTGCCCCGGCTGGAGGGCAGTGGTGTGATCATAACTCACTGCAGCCTCAAACTCCTGGGCTCAAGCAATCCTCCCAACCTCAGCCTCCCGAGTAGCTGGGACCACAGGTGCCTGCCACACCACCCAGCTTCAGTTTAATTTTAAAAGCACCACCCTACCCCGCCAATGATTCCCACGCACAGCCAGATGTGAAAATAGCTCTATTCCGAGCAAGTAGCCAACTCTTTAAATCCTAGAGCAGTGGTTCTCAACCCAGGCCACACATTGATATTGCCTGGGGAATTTTAAAACTCCTAGTGTTTAAGTCTCACCCTGAGAGATTCTGATCTCCTGGGTCTGGGCCTGAAGATGGGGCTATTTAAAAGCCCGCTGGGTAACTGACATGCAGCCAGGGCTGACTTACAACAGCTTTCTGATTATCTCCATTTCACAAATGAAGAAACTATACCACTGTTACTCATACTAGTTCCTCATTTTCAGTATTACACTTCCCCATAGTTCTCTGATCTGATCATTTCAGGAAAGGAGTAAAGAAAGGGAATCAGAGGGGAGGGGTTGTCTCTCCCATCAGCATGATTTTTGCTTGAGGGGTTCACCAGTCTAACTGCTGTGTTATGAATATGCAAATCAAGGCAGAAGATTACTCTAGCTTTCGGAGGATAACAGGAGTGAAAATTTGCAGTCAGGCACTCCCTGGCCACTGTACTCAGCAGATGCACAAAAGCAGAACCTGAGGTGGCTCTAGTATGCCCATCAGAGGGCCCAGCCAACCCAAGGGCAGGTGACAGCAACAGGCCTTTTTCTGCACACAGAAGGCTCTGCAGCCAGAAGTTGAGGTCCCACAGTGCAGAAGTCGCCAGCTAGGCTACAGGGATGATGGGTGGGAGGCGAGGGTCTGTCTACTTTAGGACAGAGCCACCCAGAATGTCATCCAGGGAGGGAGCAGAAGGGAGCAATTCAACCTCTAATGAAAGTCATTGCTAACACTAAATCAAAAATGATGGGAATACTGGAATCTGGTATACATATGCAAAGCACACATATTCCAGTATCTCTGCCCCCCATAGCAACAATCAATACCTATGCATGGTCTACTGCAGCACGGGGCTGGTAGGAGGCCCGATTCCTCGTCCTAATCTGCTATCAAAGTTTCATGGGCTTGACAGGGAGCTGCCTTTTCAGTTCATGTTTCTCCATCTGCCATCCCAGGTCTCATCTTAGAAAGCTTCCTGTCAGACAGCTCCAAAGAGCCTGGGACAACTCTAAACAGGAATGAAGCCCTTTCTCTTCACTCTCCAAATTCCTAACTCTGGGCTGGTGTCAGGAGACTGGGAGTCTAGTCAGAGCCCTACCACTAACGAGCCAGGACCCTGGGCAGCCTGTTCAACTCCCCAGGCCTCAGTTTCCTTCTTTGTCACATGGGGATGATAATACCTGCCCTGCCCACTTCCCAGGGTTGTTTGGGAAATCATGAGGTAATGTCTGAGATAGGACTTTACCATCCAGCCTTGCAGAAGAGCATGAGGTGTGGGTGGGTGGGAACTCTGTGCCTGAGACTGGCTTGCAAAAGTCACGTAGGATGGTTTCGTGAGGGACAGTAAATCCTCAAGATACAGAAAACACCCCGCTTCTGCCAGCACACTCTCCTGCAATTCTGTCAGGAACACACCCCTCTTCCCAGGCAGAGGACTCAGCTCCTCACTCACTCAGCACCTGGGAGGACAAGTGGGCTGTGTCAAGATCAGTGTCACTGGCAGATGGGCCTCATTTCCAAACTTGTCAGGCCCCCAGGTGCCACCTCATAAGGGCTCTCTAGTTGTCTGCCCAGGACTCACATTAAAAGGGGTATACCTAGAACAGCTTCTCAGTGCTCAGAAATGTCCCCAACCTCAGCTCTTAAGGTTCATGGAGGAGCCTGGCTTAATCCCCACCCCCCAAAGTCTTCACTGTCAAGGGTAAATAAACAGGGCATGAACCAAATGTCACACCACGGGATCAATTTTGTATAGCAATGTGAACATTACAACATTTACATCCAGCTTTTCCTTTTTTTTTTTTTTTGAGCTGGAGTCTCGCTCTGTTGCCCAGGATGGAGTACGGTGGCGCAATCTCGGCTCACTGCAAGCTCCACCTCCTGGGTTTAAGTGATTCTCCTGCCTCAGCCTCCTGAGTAGCTTGGATTACAGGCACCGCGACCATGGATGGCTAATTTTTTTCTATTTTTAGTAGAGACGGGATTTCACCATGTTGGCCAGGCTGGTCTTGAACTCCTGACCTCAAGTGATCTGCCTGCCTCAGCCTCCCAAAGTGCTGGGATTACAGGCATGAGCCACCGCGCCCGGCCAGCTTTTTTCTTAATGAGCTAACTTCATATTCATTCTCTTTTTCAATATTTGCAAGTATCATTTTTAGTTCCATTTCACAGATAAGAAAACTGGAGAGGTATGGTGGCTCACACCTGTCATCCCAGTGCTTTGGGAGGCTGAGGCAGGGGGATCACTTGAGGCCTGGAGTATGAGACCAGCCTAGCCAATATGGTGAAACCCTGTCTCTACTAAAAATACAAAAATTAGCCAGGCATGGTGGTGCAAGCCTGTAATCCCAGCTACTTGGGAGGCTGAGGTATGAAAATCACTTGAACTCAGGAGGCAGAGGTACCAGTGAGCCGAGATCATGCCACTGCACTGCTGCACTGCAGCCTGGGTGACAGGGTGAGACTTTGTCTCCAAAAAAAAAAAAAAAAAAAAAAGCCAGGCAAGGTGGCACAACCTGCAGTCCCAGCTACTCAGGATGCTGAGGTGGGAGGATGGTTTTCAGCCCAGGAGTTTGAGGCTACAGTGAGCTATGATCATACCACTGCACTTCATACCACTGCACTTCAGCCTGGGCGACAAGCAAGACTCCGTCTCTAAAAAAAAGCCAATAAAAAAGAGAGAGAGAAAACTGGGCTTAGAGAAGTAAAGTGACTGGCAATTGGGCCAGGGAACAGGGCTAGGACACAGATCCACGTCACTGACTCCGGCTACAATGAGGCTCTCGAGGTAACTGACCAGTAGTGTGTACCAAGTAGTGAGGAGAGGGGCCCATCCCAGAAGAGAACAGTATTCGACATTGTTTTGAATTGCTGGCATGTGGTGATAGTAAAAAGCAGACTGATTTTTACTCGATTTTATTATCGGTTTGTTTGATTTATTTATACATACATACACACACATACATACATACACACACACATACATACACACGCACATACATAGTCTCGCTCTGTTGCCCAGGCTGGAGTACAGTGGTGCAATCTCAGCTCACTGCAACCTCCACCTCCTGAATTCAAGCAATTCTCCTGCCTCAGTCTCCCAAGTAGCTGGGATTACAGGTGCGCACCATTATACCTGGCTAATTTTTGTATTTTTAGTAAAGATGAGGTTTCACCATGTTGGCCAGGCTGGTCTTGAACTCCTGGTCTCCAGTGATCTGCCCGCCTAGGCCTCCCAAAGTGCTGGGATTACAGACATGAGCCACTGCGTCAGGCCTATTATTGGTTTTAAATTCTCAAAAGGCAATATACCCCTTACGGCCTGCATCAAGGTAGACCACTCGCACTGCCACCCACCCTCACCCTCTGTGGTAAGCCACAGCCAACCAGACTTGTTCTGTCAACTACCAGGGCCAAGCTGCTAAAGGCTTTGAAAGATCTATGGGCTGGGTGTGGTTGTTGTAATCCCAGCACTCTGGGAGGCGGGAGGATCACCTGAGGTCAAGAGTTTGAGACCAGCCTGGGCCAACAGGACAAAACCCCATCTCTCCTAAAAATACAAAAATTAGCTGGGCATGGTGGTGCACACCTGTAGTCCCAACTACTCGAAGGGTGAAGCACAATAATTGTTTGAACCTGGGAGGTGGAGGTTGCAGTGAGCTGAGATCGCACCGCTGCACTCCAGCCTGGGTGACAGAGCAAGACTCCATCTAGAAAAAGAAAAAGAAAGGTCCATGGATTGAGTGGGTCTACCTCATTCCCTCTCTTAGTCGACTCTAAAGTGTCCAAAGATTGAGTGATGTACCCCTAAGTCACCAGTCTATCAAGGTGGAAATGAGGTAGAGCTGCATAGAACGCAGGGCCCCAGCCAAGGGACAAGATGCCACCAGAGGTGAGAGGTACCAAATGGGAAGTGTTCCAAAGCAGAGGGTCGCGGAGACTGGCTTCCTCCTCCTGCTTCCCCACCGCAGACACCGCAGTTCCTCTTTCCACTCTGGAGAACAATGAGCCGTGATTCCTCTGGAATTACCCTGCGAGGTTTCAGGGCCATAGGGCAGGGATAATGCTTAGGAACTTCCAGCCAAGGACCTTCAGCCAATGTGTCTCAAAGGCAGGAGCAGCTCAAAGCTGTAGTCCACAAGAACCAGGTCAGCCTGATCCCGGAGGACCCACACCCACATCCCACAGCCACAGCCTGCCTGGGGATGGTGTCACTGAGCCCCCTCCCTACTCCTCTGCCTGGCCAGGCTCCACTGTGGAGCCTCTGTGGCTGACCCTGTCCTTATTTCCCACCCTTTCCCAACACATCCATCTTCCAGCCAGGCCACTCCAAATCCCATGAACAAGACGCAGAAAACACTTGGGGACACATTCCCCAAGGTCAGAGCAAGCAAGGGACCAGATATTCAGGAAACCAAAACAGAGTGAAGAAATATAACGTTATCTGAGGTCAGAGCAGGAAACAGGTCAGGGTTTTAGGCCAGAGAGACAAGGGTAAGGAGGAAAAGTTTACCAAAGCCAGGTGGGCAGTGCGCTGGGAACTAGATGGGCATGACAGGAGTGAGAAACACGCAGGGAGCAGCAGCAAAGTCAGCAGCAGGTGGAGAGTCTGGAACAACAGAATGCCAGCCAAGAACCTGCAAACAGAAGAGGGCACAGGGCTGCCTAATATGACTCTTCTCCCAGCTAATGACCCAGGCCCCTCGTTTCATGAGCCTGTTTCCCCTCCCTGACCTTGTTGCTACTGTCTTTCTAGTTCCTTGACGATGGCTTTGAAATTTGAGGTGTGGAACCCTCTCTCAAATCTTTCACCGAAGTCCAATATGTAAAACAGATGAAAAGCTGTGCTTCTTTTGGAGAGGCATCCAGAGCCCACCCACTGACCGCCCCCACCCATGAGGCCTAAAGGGGCTTCAGGGAACCCCAAAAGCTCCAGGGAACACAGTTTGAGAAGTACTGCTCTATAGCATGGAAGCATAGCATGCTCTAGATGATCCCAAAGAAGTTTCAAATCATAAATGAAAATGAAAAACAGAACATGCAGATGCTTCTCAGTATTATTATCTAGTCTTTTAGGAAGTCACTCCAACCAAGCCGAACTCAGGGTCAGCGGTGAGGAGCACATGTAGGCTAAGTACCAGGAGCCAGAGTCTCCAGGGAACTGACTCCTGACCTATAAATGGCCCCTGTCCACAAAGTCACAGGTGGCTGTTCTGTATGGGCCTGCAGCAGCTGCTTTTAGAGGCTGGCTTGTTTCATTCCCAGGTCCTACAGACTAACTTCCTTCCTCTAGACATTTTTTTGTTGTTGTTGCGGGGTACAGGGAGTCAGAAAAACTAAAGCACAAAAAGGAAGGAATCACTTAGCAGGGCCAAGCTGGGCTAAAGTATGACAACTATTTTTTAACTTAAGTACATTTTGATGCTGTTGTCAAATGAGCTCAAGCCTGCAAGTCTAGGACCTGAAATAAGTTAGGCTCAATTAAAGTTTGACTTGGCTACGTAAAGAAAGATTTTCACTGAAAATATAGCTCAGTATCCTCTGATATTTCCCTTAGTCTAGAGTCTAGATTCTAGACACTAAACATGATGTAGGTTACTGAGGAAATGCTGGGCTTGGAAGGTACCACCCACCACCCACCCACCTGCCCATGTACTCACCCAACCATCCACCCATGCATCCTCCTAACTGTCCACTCACCTATCCATCTGTCTCTCATTTACTGATCATTGTCCTAAGTGCTGTAAACAAGACACACCTCACAACTTGAAAGGCTTATATAGTCTATTGCAGAGATTAGACAAACGCAGATGAAAAGGAAATATAGCCTGGGCATGAAAGAACTATCTGCAACAGCTGGAGAGGCAGGGAGTGATACACAAGCACTTCATTCTGTGGAGGCCCCAAATAACCTCTCACCTTCACTCCCTCCCTATCAGGTTGTGGCCACTTTCTCAAGGAAATACATCAGGAAGCTGAACCTGCCCTTTCCTTTCCTCCTTGTGGGAGCACAGGGAAGGAGAGAACAAGCAGTCAAGGGACCAGTCGGGCTCAGTTGGGTCAGGCACCCTTCCCACCATCTGAGTTCCTGACAGTCAGATGTATGTTTAACAAAAGAACTTCAACAGAGCAGGTCAGTTTGCTCCCTCCTAGAAATGCCAGCCAGGCCCATAGCCTGGGCAAAGCCCAGGAGACAGAACCAAAGGATAATACCTTAAAAACGAGCTTGTGCTGCCACGCAGGAAAAAGACTGCAGAAAGAAGATGGGAAAATCCAGGATGGTTTGAGGCTCTCCTGTTACTGTGGGGGTACAGGATTACCCCTCATAAAATGGTAAAGTGAACCATTCATGTTCTAGAATACCTCCCTCCCCACTTGCCCTCCCCTCTCCTGCATCCAGCCCGCCTCCTGTGAACTTTCCACCTCTTCCTGGCCCACAACCCCCTGTGATCTTTCCCATAATTCATGTAAGGTGACAAAGGATCCCTAAGGGTTATCCTGACCTCCCTCCAAAGAAACACCTTCACAGTTTAACACTATTTGTGACCAAGAAGGGGCTTGAATAGTGGCAAGTTTAGGCACACATGGGGCAAAGTGGTAAGATGACTTGGAGATAGAAAGGTCTTTTTACTTTCCCAAGATTCACATTAAACAGGTGGCTCTGCAGAGGGCTATGTGTGTCTGTGTATGTGAATATGGATGGTGTACAAATCATAACCAGTTATTTCTTGCCCAATTTTTTTCTGTCCACCAGGATCTTAAGGCCTGAGAGATTCTTGATGTAAGAATCTTGTTTTTCACTGATATAGTCAGCTCTTAGCCATCTAGGATGGATGGTCTCTGTTTCTCAAAATGTTTGTGAATTTTTAATCCCATGTTTATTTCTTCACCATGACTTGAAAATGCCCAAGATTGCTTGCCTCTCCCAGACATGCAGGGCTGTGAATGGGGAAGACTACATATCACGGGCAAAGTACAGGGTTAGGGGTCCTGGCTCTACCACCAACTTCCAAGCTTCCTTTTCCCTTGGGGCCTCAGTTTTCTCATCCAAAAATGAAGGATTGGACCAAGATATCTCTTTCAGGTCCTCATGCCAATCCCTGTTAGAGTCTCTGATGCAGGTCAGTGTGTGACATACTGTATCACAGGTATCATATGTTTCATATTGATACATATGAAACATTCCACAGACACACACGGTGGTTTCTGGGTTTCCTACCGCACAGGGCCCAGCCATGGGTCCAGGCTACTGACATTGATCTGTCACGTGTCAGCCAACTAAATTTTCAAAGACAAAGGAGGACCAGGGCTTCAGGCAAGGAGAGCAGATCTCAGGGACTATCTTCATGGCCAGGAAAATGCTGAACTCTCCAAACACCACAAAAGTATTTCTATAAGAAATGACCTGGGCATTCATCTTGGCACTCAACTATAAGCCAGCCTGTAAGAGCCTGGAGAGTAAGAGGTGTTATCTTCATAACTCTCACAGGGCCCACCTCAGCACCCGGCACAAAACAGGTATTCAGCCAGTGTTTGTAGAAATGATGACCTAAGCTGAAGAACCGGGAAGTGTGATAAAGGGCCTTGTCATCCTTGGCTGGCCCCCAGTGCAGCAGGAACCCTTCATTGGCAGACTCACTTACAAATAAAACATTCTTGATTGTTTTTGATTAGAAAAAGAAGAATGTTAAAAGAAAAGGAAGGAAGGAAGGAAGGAAGGAAGGAAGGAAGGAAGGAAGGAAGGAAGGAAGGAAACGCACAAAAAGGAAGCTAAAAAATGTTCCTTAGTCCCACCTTTCTAAGATAACCATCGTTATCATCTTGGTGTCTGCCCCTCAGATGTTTTTCAGCACATACTGAAATCTTTTTTACTTTTTTTTTTTTTTTTTTTTTGAGACGTAGTCTCCCTCTGTCGCCCAGGCTGGAGTGCAATGGCTCCATCTCGGCTCACTGCAACCTCCGCCTCCCGGGTTCAAGCGATTCTCCTGCCTCAGCCTCCTGAGTAGCTGGGATTACAGGCATCCGCCACCATGCCTGGCTAATTTTTGTATTTTTAGTAGAGACCAGGTTTCACCACATTGGCCAGGCTGGTTTCGAACTCCTGATCTCAGGTGATCCGCCCACCTCAGCCTCCCAAAGTGCTAGGATTACAGGCGTGAGCCACTGTGCCTGGCCTGTTTTTTTCATTTTTTAATGTAAGTGAGATGGTACTGTAGATACTATTTTGAAGCCTGCTTTTTAAAAATTCTCCCCTTAACAATAGATCATTAACATCTCCTCATATAATTAAAAATTATTTTAATATCTAATTTTAAATGGCTGTATAATATCATATTATACAGGTAAACCATGGTTTTTAAAGCAAATTCTCAATTTTGGACATTTATATCATTTTCAATTTTTAATATTATGATACTGTTATAAATACACACATGTATAAATCTCTGCATACATCCCTGGTTGTTGTTGTTGTTGTTTTCTTTTTGAGACAGGGTCTCACTCTGTAACCCAGGCTGGAATACAGTGGCACAATCATAGCTCATTGCAGCCTCAGCCTCCCAAGTGGCTAGGACTATAGGCGCCCACCACCACACCCGGCTATTCCTTTTTCTTATTACTTGTAAAAGCTCTTTATGTATTTGTGATATTTAACCTTTTGTCAAATATGTTGAAAAGATTTTCCCTAACTGATTTTCTTATAGGCCAGAGTGGTTATGGGTTTATTGTCTAAAGAAGCTATAGGTCTTTCTCAGCATCAGAAGGTGGTAACAAGTTTTTTCCCTTCACTTCGCCTGCCTGTTACTTCAATCACCCAACTGCTGTGTCTTAGGGCTACTCTGAAGGGAGCAATTCTGTGCCTCAGTGACTCTTGCCATTGCTGGTCACATTGTTGGTCACTCCATGCAGGGTATACCTTCAAACTTACTGCACGACCCAGGGGACCCACTGCCATCCCTTGTCCCCCTGACCTGGTCCTTTCCTCAAAGTCACTGCACTCTTGCTCCGGGCAATGTCCCTCCTGTTAGCTGACTAAAGGAAGGCATGGCATTGGAGGGTGAGCAGGTCCTGCTGCAGAGCGTGCCTGGTGCCCCCAGGGTGGGCCACAGCTGTGAGGCAACCAGCACAAGACCCCTTTAGAGAGGCAAAGCATCTCTCCTGACCCCAAATTATTCAGCATGTGTGTAGTGTCCTTTACAGTAGGACTCACATGTTGGCTTTCTTTCAGAAATTACCAGAAAGATGTTTGTCTACCTCATTTCAGATAATGAAAATGATGTCATCTATCTTATTTCCTTTTTGTTATCTTGGTACCAAATGACAACAACTATGATGACCTAGATGTTGGGTGTATTTCCTCCTTCTTCCTTTGCACCATGGATTCTCAAACTTGGGGGCATATCAGAATCATTTGGGGAGCTGGTTAAAAATTCAGGCACAGCCAGATGCAGTGGCTCACACCTATAATGCCAGCACTTTGTGAGGCTGAGACAGGAGGATCACTTGAGGCCAGGAGTTGAAGACCAGCCAGGGCAACACAGTGAGATCCCATCTCTACCCTGCCCCCCAAAATTGTTTTAATTAGCTGGGCATGGTGGCATGTGCCTGTAGTCCCAGCTACTCAGCAGGCTGAGGTGGGAGGATCATTTCAGCTTAGGAACAAGAGACTGCAGTGAGCTATGATGGTGCCACTGAACTCCAGCCTGACAACAGAGCAAGACCCTGGCTCTAAACACAAAAATATTAAAAATAAATAAAAATAAATGAGACACCCGGGCCTTATTACACATTTGCTAAATCATACTCTTCTGGAGGGCATCTGGCTTTTGATCTTCCACTTTTATGTTTGCTTTCTATGTGCCTCTCATCATAGGTTGCCTCAAATTCTTAACATGCATGAGCAAGAGGAATCATAAGTGGTTCTGTGCTGCCATCACTGCAGCGTTCACTCCAGGACACGAGCATGGAGAAATACAGTGGGCAGCAGAGCACGACTTCCAAAACGGAGCTTAGCCCATTTCACAGACGGCTAAAGGGAGTCCCAAAGTGTGAAAGGCTTTGCCCAAGGGAGGACTACTCAGGCAATCATGTACAGCCGATCCTAATGGCCAAGTTCATTGTAGAGCAAAAAGCATTTATCACAGGAATGAAATGGTGCCACCCCCATCCCCCTCTGCCCCCACGCTTGCAGGTGGCCTATTCCCTCATCCCCACCCTCAAAAGATTTGGCTTTAGGTCCACACCCAGCCTTTCTGCCCACAAGCCTGGAGGGCTGGGTGGGGACAGAAGGAACAGGTCCAAGTCCTCTTAGAAGCACATCTTCCTCTACACCTCTCCCATCCAGCCCTACTCCCCAGCAGACACCAGAGCCTCTGTCAGGCAAGCGGCTCAGAGTGCAACTGTGCCATCTCCTCTGTCATCACCACCCCCAATTAGCAACTCCCAGGTGCCTTCAGGGTTGCCACTCCTGCCCCACTCCTCCAACTCTGCTCTAAGCCATTACAGGCTTTGGCACTGCCTGACAGGTTTCCTTCAAGCCTAATTGTCAGGGCGCAGGAAAGGTATGTGTCAAATCCAACATGATTTATTTGTCCTTTGTCTACCCCAGCTGCAATTTATTTTATTTTATTTCTGAGACAGATTCTCGCTCTGTCACCCAGGCTGGAGTGCAGTGGCACGATCTTGGCTCACTGCAACCTCCACCTCCCAGGTTCAAGCAATTCTCCTGCTGCCTCAGCCTCCCAAGTAGCTGGGACTACATGTGCCCGCCACCATGCCTAACTAATTTTTGTATTTTTAGTAGACATGCGGTTTCACAATGTTGGCCAGTCTGGTCTCGAACTCCTGACTTCAGGTGATCTGCCCACCTTGGCTTTCCAAAGTGCTGGGATTACAGGTGTGAGCCACCATGCCCGGCCTTTGCTGCAATTTAAAATGGACCCTAGCCTCTAAAATGGTCTCTTTCCTCTAGAAAACCCACCCATCAAGTCTCCCACACTAACTGCCTCTAATTGCCCTTGTCCTCACCCACATGGCCCACACTGGAGTCAAAGAGGGGCAGAGGTTAACCAGCAGTGCTCTGAGGGCACGGAGGTCTCTGGAAAGGACTCCAAGATAACTCCAGTCCAGTTCTGTTACAAGGTGGCTGTGAGACCCTGGGCGAGTTTCATCATCAGTGAGACAGGAATGAAAACCGCCTCATAAGCTATGATGATTTCATGCACTGATCCACACAAGTGCCCACAATGGCATCCAGCACATGGTAAACACCAACAAATAGGATTTTATCCTTGGTGCTCTGGGCTTCAGTTTTCCCACCTGTGAAATGAAAGTAATACACTTATCTCACAGTCAGTTAAGAAAAAGGAATTTGAGAATTGGGAGAACACAGCACAGAGCCTGACATATCCTTGGTGCTTAGGAAGTGGTTTCTGATTGATGAAGGATGAAGCAGTCAGACAGTGAGTGTCATGAGTCAGAGCAGACATTCTTACCCATGGGTGCAGGCTGCCCTTCCCTGCCCCTCAGTACCCCAGAAAATCACCTCCGTCCTCAGGGAAACAGGCCCACAGAGCAGTCATGGGCTCCCACATGGATGTGGGCTGGCCACACAAGCACATTCCTGCCTTGAGAGGTGGCAGGTCCAGGCTTTCCCTCTGGGACAGAGGGAGAAGCCAGGTTGTGTCTCAATATATTAGGGCCCAGGAGAGCCAAAGGATGGACTGTCTCCCTCAGGCTGCCTGCCACCACACTGTTCCTGCAGGCTGGGGACTCTGCAGGGTCTCTCCTGCCAGAGGCTGGGCCTGGCTGGCAAGCCTCCTCTATACACAGAGAAGGGTCCCCACATATGCCAGGCTCTCTGGCTCCCTGGGTCTCTGCAGGGTGGACCTATGCCCGGAGGAGACCCAGGGGAATCCCCAGGAAGCCCAGGCAGGAGCAGCTGAGGTTGCCATGGCCGTAACAGTAGGTGCTTTCCGTGTGCACAGCTTGGCATCCTCCCCCTTGCAGCTCGTCCTGCCCTGCACTGTTCTGTCTACTTCCCGGAATCTCACCGTGGGCTGTAGTCTCCTGAAAGGAAGGGACAGTGCTGCTTGTTCACTGTTGTGCGTTTGTGCTGGATGAGGATTAAATGAATAATGAGTCTTGAGAGCAAGCACCGGGAACACAAAGATGAACAAGATGCAGTGCCCATCCACGGAAGAACCACCAAATATTGGAAGAAGGCAGCTTCCTCGCAAATCTTCTCTTTCCTAAAGGAAATATTCTATATATTGACTCTCCTGTGCTCTTGGAGGGCAGGGCTGTTTTGTGAAATTTTCTACCTGCCAATCCCCCACAAAGTACACAGTAGGCGCTTTGACACAAACTAAACTCAGCTCGGGAGCATGGCACAGACGCTGTGCTGGAAACTCGCCCATTCACTCTTCAGCAGTCAATCTCTGTTCTGAGAGGAGTTTTCCCATGGATCCCAGAGGCCAGTAAGAAGCAAACTAATTTGGTCAAAATCTCTCTTCCTCTCCAGCCCAGGAATGATCTGACCAAGCTGGGGCTGGGGGTCAGGACTATCCATGGGCCAGGCATCAGACCCGAGCCTTTCCAGGGCACGTGGGGACTGGGAGGACAGTTCTGCCCCCACAGCTGCCAACAGCTGCTTCTCGTGGAACTGCAGGGTCAAACCACAGGGGAGAGGAAGATCATCTCCCCTCCCATCTCATAACTAAGGAAACACTCACAGCAGCTTGCCCAAGGTCACAAAGCAGTTCAGTCACACAGCCCAGGACCTCAGGTCCCTTACTTCTATTCCTGTGACTTTCTACAACTGCTAGGATTTCCAAACTTGCTCCATCAGTAGGGGTCTTTTCCTTTTCATTATTTTAAAACTTTTTAGCAGAATAATGTACACAAACATGGCTAAGTAAAAATGAGATTGCATAGAAAGCCTTATAATGCAAACAAGAGTCCCCTGCCCCATTCCTCTCCCACCCTAGCTCTGCTTGCCAGAGGCACCATTTTTAAGTCTTCTTGTATTTAAGAATGCTTTTTTCCCTGCTTTTATTTTTTTATTTTTTTTGAGACAGGGTCTTACTCTGTTGCCCCAGCTGGAGTGCAGAGGCACAATTACAGTTCACTGCAGCCTCAAACTCCTCGGCTGAAGCTCTCCTCCTACCTCAGCCTCCTGAGTAGGTAAAACCACAGTCATGCAACCACTATGCCTGGCTAATTTTTATATTTTCTGTAGAGATGGGGTTTCGCCATGTTGCCCAGGCTGGTCTCGAACTCCTGGGCTCAAACTCCTGGGGCTCAAACTCCCAAGGTACTAGCATTACAGGCATGAGCCACCACACCCGATCAATAACGTTTTCAAATAAGCCTTACATAGATGTTTAATGTACAGAATAGATCAAAGCATCTTTGCTTTGGATGAAAGGGGGATGATACAAAGCACTTGCCTGACTACTACTACTACTACTACTACACACACACACACACACACACACACACACACAGCCCCTAGGTCTGCTCCACAGGACTTTGTGTAAAAACCACCCCACTACAGCAAACTCCCCCTTATATCACAGCATCCCGCTTTTACTGGGGCCTGCTTGCTATGGGGCAGAAGAAACCTTTCTCCCTGAACAAATACGTGCACCAAGCATACCTGGACTTTGTCCCCACACCCAGACTCCTGAGATGTCACCATCTACAGCAAAAGAGACCTCTACAAAGCCTCTGGTTTTCCCTAAAGTATAGGCTCTGAATGGGAGGAGAGAACTAGGGAGGAACCCCTGTGTGTCATGACTCACAAAAATGCAACTAACAGCTGGTTGGATCAGTAGCCATGTATTCCTTAACATGACTGAATTAGACTGCTTTCCTACTAGTTGGCAGAATTCAGGTATGCAGGGGGAAAAAAATGAAATTTCAATGTAATGGAAGAAGGCATGATGCTGGGGGTGGGGAGAACCATGGTAATTAGGGGGAAGGCAGATCAAGATGGCTGCACAGTAGAGGTCTTTGGGGTGCTGGAGAGCCACATGAGGGCACTCAGAGCCTGGCAAGCTGGGAATAGGTGATGACAAAGTGTCTGATGAGTGTAAAATGAAGGTGGTGGGGGCACCCTCTGACTGCTTACTCCCCAATCCTTCTCTTCTTCAAAACACTTGAGTCAACACTTTTTTTTTTTGAGATGGAGTCTCGCTCTTGTCACCGAGGCTGGAGTGCAATGGTGTGATCTTGGCTTGCTGCAACTTCTGCCTCCCAGGTTCAAGCGATTCTCCTGCCTCAGCCTCCCAAGTAGGTGGGATTACAGGTACGTGCCACCACGCCCAGCTAATTTTTGTATTTTTAGTAGAGACAGGGTTTCACCATGTTGGCCAGGCTGGTCTAGAACTCCTGACCTCAGGTGATCCTGCCTCAGCCTCCCAAAGTGCTGCAAGTGCAGGCATGAGCCACTGCACCCGGCCAGAGTCAACACTCTTTAATCACCTCCACTACCTGCCAAAAAAAAAAAAAATCTAGTCTGCACTGGATTCTGCTGTGCTGCGCCATCAGATGCTGAAGGCAGGCACTGGCTCAATCTGCTGTCTCTAGATCATGGTACAGCCATGCTTCCCCAAGCAGCTTGGCCCGACAAAGAACAGTTACCGTATGTGATGGTGTAATCTCCTTCCTTCCTCCTCCTACCCCGAGATGGGGCTCAAGCACTCACAATATACATTTTCTCTCTCCAAAATTCAGAGCAAATACACAGCCTAAGAAGACAACAGCCTCTTCCCACTTGAGGAGGATGGGAAGGAAGTGGGGCTACTAAGCAGTGATCAGAGCTCCCAAGAAGACCTTTCTGGAAATCTCCCCTTATGGCACAAATAGGTCAGCAGTGTGCCCCCCTCCCCACTCTAGGAGCCCCGGGCTGTACTTCCCCTCCTTTCCTCTCAATTGCACCCTTAAGAACATTGCTCCTAAATGTTGTACCAGCGGCATTGACTCCACCTGGAAGCTTGTCAGAAAAGTGGAATCTTAGATTTCATCTCAGCACTACTGAATCAGAATGTGTGTGTTAACATAACTCCCAGGTGATCCACATACACATTAAAGTTTGAGAAGTGCTGTTTTAGAAAATATTACGGCAAGGCCCCAATCCACTGCATAACAGAATCCTAGGCACCCCAATATTCATGCCACATTTCCTTTGGTTCTGACCCTCTTTGCTGAAAATTTGCTTTCCTACCTTGGTAAAGGCAGTATTATGAACAAACACAAATTAATAAATATCTGTTGAGTGACTCCTTCTGTGAATAAAAGTAGCCCTTGAAGAGCAACTTCATGATTTGCAAAGTAGTTTCACATGAATCCTCTCATTTTACACTCTCAAATCCTTGGGAGGCTCATGGGGACAGGTATTGCCAACTCCTACTGCAGAAGAGCCAAGCTCAGGGCCCTGGGGAGAGTGGCACAGTCAACCTCCAAGGTGGCACCTCTGATCCCCATCTGGTGGAAACGTCCCAGCTCAACGCAGATCAACCATAGTGTTAAGAGGAAAGGATGGACTACTTTAAAACATTTTTATTAACAGAGTTCATCAGAAATTCCTTTTTTTATGTAAGTCTTCTTATTGGAAACACAAATGAGCTCTACATGCTCTAGCAATAAACAATATATGTCCTTCAATAAAATACGTTTTGAAGATGAACACATTTTTAAAGGTTTTAACAGTTTCTCCTATTGTCCCTGTGTCTTCCATAGCATCTATCAACATAATTTGTCCATAATAGTAAAAAATATTTCATAATTAATGGATGGATGGATAGATGACCAACTGGAGGACTTGGCAGAACACATACTAAACTCTCCCAGCTCCAGTTTCCACTTCTGTAAAATGAGGCTAATATCTACCTATGTCAGGCTTCTATGAGGCTCACATAGCAATGCAAGTGAATATGCTTTGTAAACTGCAAAAGGCCACACACATGCAAGGGATGATAGTATGAACTCCCATCAATCTCACACACAGATACAGTAGGCAGCTATTTGGTAAGAATTCAGGGGGCCTTTGTGCCCCCAACTCACCCAATAAACTCACTGATATCTCATCTGTAAAGTATCATTCCTTAGAGTCTTGGGTCTTTTAAACAAAGAATCGCCTAATTAATGAAACCAGCAGCAGAGGGAGGAGGAGAGAGGGAGGGAGAGAAAGACTGAGACACTGTGTGTGTGTGTGTGTGTGTGTGTGTGTGTGTGTGTGTGTGTGTGTGTCGTGGGACCTGTGTGTGTGTGTGTGTGTGTGTGTGTGTGTGTGTGTGTGTCGTGGGACCAGAGGTGGTGGGGTAGTGTTAAGACTGACTCTTTTATTAATTTACCCAAAGCAGGAATTTGCAGGAATGGGACCTAGGCTTGGAGGCTGAGGAGGGTGGGTGGATGCAATAAGGCCACAAGATAAGGTGGGGAAGAACTGATCTCAGGGGAGACCCCTTGAGGATAGAATGGACAGACGACCCCCTACTGGCTCTTCTCTTCTAACTCTGAAGGCTGGACTTCGATCCAGAGCACATCTCTAGATTCTGTCCCTTTTCAGCGGCTGAGTGAGGAAAAACTTGGAATAGCAACACTTGCAAAGGGTGTGAAATTAATCTGCATTAGTGGGAAGGTTTAGCAATAGCACTCTATCATAGGCAGTGCATTGCTCTGGCAGAGACCTAGACACACTTTGCAGACTGCAAAATCATGTCCTTACAGGGCATCCAATGCTTCCAGCATCACCAGGATTCGCCTACTTCTTTGCTGACCCATGGTGGCATTACCTGGGTTTAATCAGCTGAGTGATCAAGAGCAAATCAGTCATCCTGTCTTGGGTCTTAAGTTTCTTTTCTTTCTTTTCCTTCCTTCTTTTCTTTTCTTTACTTTTCTTTTCCTTCTGACAGAGTCTTGCTCTGTCACCCAGGCTGGAGTGCAGTGGCGCAATCTCAGCTCACTGCAACCTCTGTCTCCCAGGTTCAAGTGATTCTCTTGCCTTAGCCTCCAGAGTAGCTGGGATTACTGGTGTGTGCCATCACACCTGGCTATTTTTTGTATTTTTAGTAGAGACGGGGTTTCACCACGTTGGTCAGGCTGGTCTCAAACTCCTGACCTCAAGTGTCTGCCTGCCTCAGCCTCCCAAAGTGCTGGAATTACAGGCATGGGCCATGGCACCTGGCCTATCACACCTTTTAAAATTAACAATAATTCTTTAATGTCATCAATATCCATTTGGTGTTCATATTTCCCCCATGTGCCTTAACTTTTTTTTACAGTTTGTTCCATCAAATCAAAACCCAAGGAAGGTCACATATTGCAAATGATATGTCTCTTAAGCCTCTTTTAATCTTTAGGTTCTTCTCTCTCTCTCTCTCTCCCTTCCCAGAGCTCCCCTCCATCCCTCCATTTTTCTCTTTTTCTTATACTTCATTTGTCATAAATACCAGGTCTTTTGACCTATACCATTTCTCACTGTCTGGATTTTATTGGCCACTTCCTGATAGTATTGTTTACATGTTCCTCTGCCCCCTGTATTTCCTGTAAATGAGTAGCTGGATCTAGAGGCTTGATCAGATTCAGGTTTGAGTTTCTTGCAAGACTCCTTCATTGGTGGTGCTGTGTGTTCCCATCAGGAGGCGCCTAACGTTGGCTATCTCTCTTTGTGATATTACCAGCTTCTGATGATCAATGCCTAGATCCATTAATTCAACAGGGGGACCCTCACTTTTTAAAAAAATCCTCATCATAATCTATGGCTTGCCTCATGCTGATACCTTTGCCTGGATGGGGCAGCTTGGTTTAGACAAGTGTTCTGAGGACTTTGAGCACCTTAGTGGGATAGAGACTTTCAGAGACATTACTGCCCCTCTTCAAGGGTGGAGATAGGGGTCTCTGCTAGGCCTCAATGGAAACTGCTGGCTGGTTTGGTGGGGTCTTTCCCCTCAGCTTGCATAACAATAATTCCACAGTGGGCCCCTTGGTTTGGCAGCGGGCTTTCGCACAGGCTCCAGGGCACACATACAAAAGCACTAAGCACGTGCAGCACCGCTCCTGAGTCATCCAAGGACACAACCCAATGATCCTGTAACTCTGAGAGCCACACCCTCCCTTTCAGCAGCCACAGGTTGTTCTCTGACCTTACACTCTTGGCTTCAGTGCCAAATCAGTGATGACTTATCTTTCCTTTGAAACGTTAATTCCTTCTACTCCCAGAGTTCCTTTGAGATGAAGGTTTTCATGAGCTTTCAAAACACTCTCTTACCTAATCCTCCTAGCACTTAAGTAAGGATGAAAGGTGACTAGCCGAGAGACCCCACTTCCCAAACAGGGAAACTGAGCCCAAAGCTTAACTGATCCACCTGCTGTTGTGCTCTGGCCTCAGGCCCCCACTTCAGGGTGCAAGATTGTGGGTTTGACAAGACAAAGACATGTCTTCTGAGTGAACCCAATACCCATCCTTGAGTGGTGCTCTGTCCTGTGGTCTCAGGGAAGCCAAGAGGCTCTTCTCAGGAGGGGTATCCAGTTAGCTCAGGGCAAGTCATCCTACCTAGATTTTCCCAAAGAGCAGTAATTTCAAACCCTTTGATTCACTTTCAGGCTCTGTGTGTGAGGTTGTGTGTTTGATCAAGGGTTTGGTAAGTTCAGCCACCACAGATACTAGATACAAGAGCAGAAACTTACCTTTCCTTGACCTAAGTCATAGATGCCAGCCCAAGAATATCATGTGCAGTTCCGGAAAGATGTGCAGGTGCTGGAGAAGATGTGGAAAGGGAATGTCTGAAGCAACTCAGAGGGTGGGAGGACAGCCATGTGCCCTCCCAACATAGGAATGGGCTTATACCAATCTGCCCAGAGTCCCTCATGCCTAAGGCCAACAGCAAATACTGGGAAACAGATAGCCAAGGTAGGGGTGGGCAGGGGAGGAAAACAAAAAACTGTCTTGCCCACAAAGGAGAAGAAGTAAACACAAAGACTAGATCTGGGAGAAGAACCAGATTCAAACCACATAAAACTCTGCAACATGGCTGGGCATGGTGGTGCGTGCCTGTAATCCCAGCTACTCAAGAGGCTGAGGTGGGAGGATCACTGGAGACCAGGAGTTCAGGACCAGCCAGGGCAACATAGTGAGATCCTGTCTCTAAAAAGAAAAAAATTTTTTAATTAGCTAGGCGTGTTGGCACACATTTGTAGTCCTAGCTACTTGGGAGGCTGAGGTAGAAAGATCACTTGAGCCCAGAAGTTTAAGGCTGCTGCAGTGACCTATGATCGGATTATTGCAATCCAGCCTGGGTGACAGAGCCAGATCCTGACTCAAAAAAAAAAAAAAAAAACCCCACAAAAAACCCTCTGCAACACGTACAAACCCAGCCAGCTCAGCATGGTTCTCCCTATGGCCTCTCCTGGCATCCCATCACTCCTGAGAGGGTGTCAGGACCAACCCACACTGAGTGGTCTCCGCTCACCACACTGGTCCATCCAGCTTTCCCAGACCAACCTGATCCTTCCGCCACCAAAGCAGCACCTGCCACCAAGATGTGTAGCCACCTGAGTTCTGACACATGTAGCTTTTGCCAATTTAACAAAAAACAGTCAGGAGGCAGAATGTCAGCCTTTACCATCAGAGGCCATAAGCCCCCAGACTGACCAGCCAGGGAGCAAAAATGACTTTTTTCTCCTTATATCATGTCCTGGTCTATACAGTATATGTCAGCCCTTGGCAACCACCAGCTAAGGACGTACAACATCGTCACCTATATTAGACGCTCAAGAGAAGCAAGGAACTCCCCCAACTCCATTCCCACTTCACCAAAGCAGGGCAGAAACAACCAAGAAAGACGTCAGAGATCCCCCAGTATACAATAAAACTTGGCAAACCTCATGGAACCATGGAAATAAAAGGAATTTCTTACCGTCACCTCACTTTATAAATGGGGAAACTGAGGCCTAGCAAAGGAAAGGAACTTGCCCACATCACCTATTCTCCCGGGCAGTGACAGATGCAGGACCAGACAGGTCTCCTGTCAGGTGGCCCCATTCTCTTCCCTTCTCACCCTGCCTCATGTGTCAGACAACTCATCCTTGGTGCCTGCCAGGGGAAGGCCTGGCAGCTGGAGGAGGTGAGGCCAAGTACAGATTACATCAATCTAGCAGGTAGCCAAGAAGGAAGTAGACATTATTCTTCCCTCCCACCCATAGGGAGCCCGACTCCAGGAAGTCACTGAAATGCAGGGAGGCTCAAACCTTAACTCGGAAAAACCTGCATGGGCTGCAGGGGAGAGGATCTAAAGGCAGTGGTGGGCCCACCCTCACTTTACTGTGCTTTTTCACTTTACAAGTGATCTTTCCACCTCAGCCTCCCAAGTAGCTAGGACTACAAATGTGTGCCAACCTCTCCTAGCTAATTGAAAAAAAAATTTTTTTTTTAGAGACGGGGTCTCACTATGTCATCCTGGCTGGTCCTGAACTCCTGGTCTCCAGTGATCCTCCCACCTCAGCCTCTCGAGTAGCTGGGATTACAGGCACGCACCACCATGCCCAGCCAACCTTTCTCATTCCCTTTCACACAACCCTTTCTCACTCTTCTCAAAATGACCTGAAGGTACAGGGTCCCCTCAGCCTGTTTTCTGGCCCCCACTCAGTTTCCAGTTCCCCCCAGTCTTCCTTCCTCTCCCCTATCATGGCAATCTGTCCCCTGCTCACATTTCATCTTAGCTCCAGCCAGAGCTCTCCATCCTCCAAGAGCCAGTAGGAAACCTCTCCTGCCTCCTGATCTCCCAGCCTCAGAGAAAGTCAATGCTGGGAAGGCAGGCACAGGTCCCCTCCTGGAGGGGGACAGGCTTACTCTGCACAGGAGTTTCCCAAAATCCCCTTGGATAGCTCTGTGATGCTTCTCCTAACAGTTACCTGATGCCTGCAGTTTGTTTAACTATAAAATTCTGCATAAGGGACTGAGAGTCCGACTTTTTTGGCACATCAAATAGCTTGGAGCATACAACTATGTTTGCTGTGTGCCATTTAGCACTAAATGTCAAGACGATACAGTCCAAATGTTCATCATCTAGTGAATAGATGAACAAAAGGTGGTGTAGCCATACAACTGGATATTATTTGGCAATTAAAAGGAAAAAAGTACTGATCCATGCTATATCATGGATGGACCTTGAAAATACTATGCTAAGTGAAAGAAGCCAGTCACAAAGGACCGCATGTTGTATGATTGCACTTTTACAAAATGTCTAGAACAGGCAAATCCACAGACAGAAGGAAGATTAGTGGTTGCCTAGGGCTAGTGGGTTTGGGAGAAGCAGAGAGTGACTGCTAATGGGTAAGGGGGTTTTTTGGTAATGAAATGTTCTAAAATTGATGATGATGATGGTCACACAACTCTGAATACATTAAAGCCATTTAATGGCTTTAATACACTATATGCGAATGTACTAATGGCTTTAGGACACTATAAATGGGTGAATTGTATATAAATTATATCTGTTTTTTTAAAAAAGAACCATAAAAATACTCACATGCTTTCACCAGGTGATATCAACTCTACCCTATATGCAGGTTCTTTATGAAGCACTTTTCATATATTGGCCTCAGACAGTATCTCAACACCCTGCACAGTCAGTGCTCTCCCCATTATAGAGATCAGGAAGTTGAGACTCACAGAGTTACAGTCACAGAGCCAATTTGCCACAGATCTAGAACTTAAAGTCAGATTATCTGAGTCCAGGTGCATTGTATTCTGGGAATTTGGCCTCTAGAGAGACTTCAAATGAAAGAACATAGTTTCATAGACAAGAAAAAGCTGGAAACAAGCTAAGCATTCTCCACTAAGGAACAGCTTTGGCAATCAGATGTTCTGGATGCAATAGACAATTATATAAACATTAAAATAGCAAGTATGAACATCATAAGGGACATGTTTATAAAATAATAAGTGAACATGCACAAATGATATGTATGGTTTGATTCAATTTTTGTATTAGAGAACACAGATGCAAAAGTGCATGAGGATAACAAATAGTTGAGTGAAACTTTTCCTTTTAAAATTTCCTGTGTTTTAAAAGTAAGAAAATGAGAAGAAACACCTGCATAGACATCCCTAACCAACAGAGCAGTGCACTGCTGTCATCCAATCAAGGGTGTACTTGAGGGACAGGCCACAGAGCTGCAGCATCACCAAGGGCCTTACAGATGACAGGGGAGGAAAGGGTAGGATCCCCTTTTCAGTCTGCAAACATAAGACCTCTTTGTTTAAAGGAGGCATAGGAAAGTTGGCCAGAATTTATTGTCACAGCTGATCCTTCCCTCAAGGTGTCCTGGACATGAGGCCCTCCTCTATTTTCACCTCCTGTGCATACCTCCATCATGGGATTCAGCCCATTTTACTGAAATTCTCTATATATTATTCTCCCTTAGTAGACTGTAATTGTCCAGCCTTGTACCCCCAGGCACCAACTACAGTGGATACACAGTAGATCTGCAGTGCATGTTTTCTGAATGGACTTGGGCTAGTATCTCTTCATTACCTGCCATCCTCCTGAGCTAGACTTTTACAGACCAACACTTAGTACAGCTTCCTGATCAGTGTTGCTGTCTTCAGCCCTCCACCCACACACCCAATCCACACCCCACATTCCCCAGTATATTGTCCTACAACGCAGACATCATCATGTTCTCTGCTCAAGATTATTTTCTCCTTCCCATCAAGCCTGAGCTCCTTGGCCAGGCCCCAGGGGCCTTTCACCACCTAGCCTCATTCTACTTGCCCAAATGTACTCTGCTTCCCAGCAGACACACCCCAACACACTCATTTCCACCTCTGGGTTTCTGCTAGCCCTATTTGCCTAAACTAGGAGGTCGTCTGCCTACCCAAATGCTACTCCTGTTTTAAGTTCAAGTTCCAGCTCCTCCTGGAAGTCTTCCCTGACCATGCCACCCCCCAGGAATCCTCACCTTGGAATATGTTAGCTCCTAAAGTTCAGTACACTTAATTGTCTCTTTATGCTCATTTCTTTACTGTGTTTGCCTTTCCCCCCGCCCCTAAATTAGGTTAATCTGTTAAGGGCAGGGCAATGTCTTACACTTCATCTGTGTGACCCACCACACCCACTGTAAGAGAGGCACCTTACAGCAGCTCAAGACTTCGAGGTGGTTAGCACTAAAAATCTGAAACACAGTCATGATGAGTAACGACAAAAGCAGTTTCCAGTGGCACAAAGGCTTGTTCTAGGCAGCCAGCACAGTTGGGCTGTGGGTAAGAGGGTTTGTCAAAGGGCCTTAGAATTGTAAACCTATGCCACTGAAACAAACTGAGTTCTCTGTAGCACCTGATGGTATAAACCAGTGTTTCTCAAAGTGTGACCCGAGACCAGTAAGATCAGGATCATCTGGGAACCTGTCAGAAATGCAAATTATCAGGCCCTAAGCTCAGACCCACAGAGTCAGGAACTCTGGGGGTGGGGCCCAGCATCTGTGGTTTGATAAGCCCTCTGAGGATTCTAATGCCCACCAAAGTTTGAGAACCACGAGTTCTCACGCAACAGGAATATCCTGGTATGCCAGAAGGTTCAGTTTCTTCTATCTCTAAAGACGGCCTATAAATATCATTTTTAACTTATGTCTTTCTGTTTACTACTACTCTCAATAACAATAGTAATAATATAACAACAGTATTGACTGCTTAGTGTCCTCTGCCAACTTTCCCAACTACAGTTTTCAGGAGCAAGAAGTTATCAGCATAGGTATAGGCATGGGGATCCGCATTCTTGGCTTTTTCAATGTGATGATGATCCCTACATTTGTCTCTCAGCCTCAAACCAGTTATTTCTCATCACTCCCAAATCCCAGCTGACCACTTCAGGCAAAGTCCCCACCCGCCTGCCTTAATGTCTTGATTTTCAGAGTTGGCACTTTAATTGTTCTGAGCCCCTACTGCAGTTTTGGTCTCTCATTTGTCTACCCATCCCCACTTCGGAAAACAATGGGTCAGTCTGCTACCAGCTTGGGTTTTATCCCATTCATGAAGACAAGCTTCCCATGGACTCATTCTTCAGCACCTGTCCCAGCTCTGCATGTCAGTGGGTGGGGTGGGTTTGTGTGTAGAACAGCAGCCGAGCTTCCTGTAATCTTGTTTATAAACTGTTGATGCATGTCCTGACCGCATCACAAGAGGGTTCACAGGGAAGCCGTCAGTCTTGGGGCAGAATCTGCAGGGCACCAGCAACCCCATGTGGAGGTGGCTGACTCATTCTGTGGTCTCCTGTCTGGGGACATAGCAACAACACAGACCCAGAGCTACTTGGCAGAGGGCCCCACTCATGGTAGGCACCCAATCTGAACCCTCCAGATTAGCATAAAGGCAGGACAATGGAACAGATAAAGCCATATGCAAAGGATCAGGATCAACAGCTCAGGTTGGAGTGGAAAAAACACAGGTGGAGGATTGGCTGTGCTTGTGGCTTTGCACCCCCAACTACGTGACTTCTGGCACCAAGTCACCTCTTGCCTGTGAGCCTCTTTTCCCTAAAAGTTAGAGAGTAAAGATGATCTCAAGCTGGGCACAGTGGCTCACACCTGTAATCCCAGCATTTTAGGAGGCCGAGGTGGGTGGATCACTGGAGGTCAGGAGTTCCAGACCAGCCTGGCCAACATGATGAAACCCCATCTCTAACTAAAAATACAAAAATTAGCCAGGCATGGTGGCGGGCACCTGTAATCCAAGCTACTCAGGAGGCTGAGGCAGGAGAATCGCTTAAACCCAGGAGGCGGAAGCTGCAGTGAGCCTAGACTCAAAACACTCAAGTGTTTGTGGAAGTGTTTAGGAGAAAAACAACGCTACAGCCTTATACACTCCAGGTTGATGCTTGGATAATGAAAATGTTCTATATCTGTGCTGTCTAATGTGGTAGCTGCTAGCCACGTGTGGCTACTGAACACTCGAAATGTGGATAGTACAACTGAGAAACTAATTTGCAATTTTACTTATTTTTAATTACATTTAAATTTAAGCAGTCAGATGTTGTTGGTGACTACCACATTGGACAATGCAGCTCTAACTGAATTCATGAAATGCAAGTCCTTGAGAACTCTGTCTCCATATAGTAAGTGAAAAAATAAAACTGCTCCTCCAGTTTGCACATGCTTTACTCTAAGTGGGAGAAATTCCAAGGACCACTTAAAGAAGTCCCAGGAAGCAAAACCCCTCTTCTTGGGCCCTCAGCCCAGCTTGGCCACCAGCCACCTTCATGGAAAGTAATGAGTCTTTTCCAGCCCCCCAGCCTTGATCTCTCTGTGTGTCAGTTCCTTCCGTAAAGTGCAGACCAGCCACTCTGATTTCCTCACACAGTTGCAAGAACACACTGCAAAGCTGTACCATAAGGAATCTTAAAAGTCCTGGCAAACATACATTACTGACTGTCACTACCCCTCACTGCTGCAGCAACCTTCCTGAAGCCTCAATACATGACCCATTAACCACTGAGAGGCTGGAAAGAGGTGACCATACTGCGGGATGGGAGAACATCCACTGATTTATCAAACATTCAGTAAAATAGTCTACGTGGCTTATATGCCACATGCATTCAAGAAATGTGATAAATCGATGCACTAACAATTCCATTTTCCAGAATTTATCTGACAATTTTACCAGTACAAGGGTGACACAAGAGTTTGTCTTGTTTACAGTTAAATCCTTAGTGCCTAGAACCATACTTGGCAGACAGCAGATGAGTAAATGAGGTATGCAGATGTATGTAAAAAGATGCGCATTTCAGCAACAACCTAAATGTCTATCAAGACGGTACTGCTTAAATTAATTATGGTCCATCCATAACAGGTGGTCTATGCAGCTTTTAAAAAGATACACATACCTGATCTGGGAAAATACACAAGATTAAAATACAAAGTTACAGAACAACATTCTGATCCCATCTGTGTATATAGTCTGTTCTACCTTTTTGAAAATATAGACTATGCATATGTATGTTCATATATGCATTGACAATTTCTGGAAGGATATACAAGAAACTTAATGATCACTTATGAGGAATAGGACTAGAGAGGTTCAGGAGGATGGTGGGAGGGAACTTTTAAATGCACTATTTGATTTTGTTATTAACTGATTTTCTTTCTTAACTATACAAGTTAAACATGATCATGTTAAGCATTCTATCTGGGGCACTGCATAGCCAATGAATATATTTATATAGGGAATGACTGTAAAATGTTTACACTACAACATAAATAGGGAAATGGGATATAAATTGTATCTTCGATATGATCATAATGTCAAACAGACAAGAAAGAATTCACAGAAGCAAAACTATGTCAGTCCCTACTAGCCTAGTCCCTGAAAGGAGGCCTGAGACCCCTGCCACCCCAGACCCCCAGACAACCCATAAGGTGGCAACCAAATCATTAAAGAGCCGACTCATTTCACGGTGCATGTGCACAAAGCAGTCACAATAACATTTTGGTTGTTCTGTAAAATGAGACCAGTCTAACTCCCTTGTTCTGCATGGGATTATGGAAATGGGGTAACCTGCCATTATCTTTATACAAGGGTTAAGATCTTGTTCTTCATTACTGAGATTTTAAGCTGGGAGGCTGCAAGTCACAAGACATTAAGTGAATGTGGGCAGTCTTAAGAGGCCAGGAACTAACAGCTTAAACTACACTACGTGCCTTTAAGACTTAGTAATTGGGCAGAAAAGTGAAACCAGGAGAGAAGCTTTCAACAGCTATGTCTCTGATTACCTTGCATTCAGTCCTATGGAAGCAAATACCTTAAGAAAACATGAGGAGAAGGGGCAAGAACTTTAAAAGTAGAAAAACCTAAGGGCTAGAAAGGCCCTGAGATACCATCTAGCCTAACCCTCACATTGCCAGAGAAGGAACTGAGCGCCAGATAAGAATGCATTCCTTCTAAAATGATTGCAGACCTGGGAAGGAGGGTGCTATTAAGTGAACAGAGTTATAGGTTTCCTGGCAGCGGTGACTGAGAAAGCAAGCTGGATTTGAGAAATTATTCATTCTGGAAAACTACAGTTGGCCTCATATCACATCAAAGCCAGAGGAAACATGGGACCAGTCCCTGTAAGTGGTCCAGCCTCACATGAATAAATCATGATGCCATTATGAGCAGATAGAAATCTCCTGCTTCAGGACTAATTAGTCATTTCACTTAGAAAATGGGAGAGGCCCCAACCTTCTCTGGGTGTGGCTGGCAGCTGTGCCAGAAAGAAACACCTTCTAGCCAGGGTTCTGGCCAGGAGGCTAGGCTGCCAGAGGCCTTGCTGAGGTTGCACCAACACAGGTCAAGTGTTTATCTACTTGGTTTTCCTCTAACTAGGCTCCCAGATGGACTTCACCTACCCACGGAGAACCTGATCCTTGGGAAATGGGGTTATCACAGAGAATGCTTTACAGGGAAAAGCATGGTCCATCCTGCAGTTTGGGTTTTTAGGAATACTACCTGCGGAGGCAGCACTGCTGGGACCAGGATCAGGGAATGGGATCTCTGACCCTACCTTGGCCACAAGGAGAACATTTATGTTGGTCCAGGCCCTGGCCTTATCAGACATGAGCCTTCAGAGACCTGAGAGCTGTTGGGACAATCACACAGTGTTCTGCCTGAAAAGGACCTTTGATAGTATCCGATAGTCCAACATTCTGGCTTTCCACAGGAAGAAATGAAAACCCTGGGAGTAGGTCACTTGTTCAAAATCACCCAATGATTTAGGAACAGAGAGGAGACAAGACCAAACACTTTCCTATGCCAGTTGAGCAGCCAAGGAGGCACTGACAGGTGTTTACCAAAGACTGCATGGTACTGCAGGGGGGCTTACATCTAACTGGAAAAACAAGGCCTGATCCCTCAGAAGAGTTAATATTATTACACAAAAATAAGACCTGGCTGGGCTTGGTGGCTCACGCCTGTAATCCTAACACTTTGAGAGGCCAAGGCAGGTGGATCACCTGAGGTCAGGAGTTCGAGACCAGCCTGGTCAACATAGTGAAACCCCGTCTCTACTAAAAATACAAAAATTAGCTGGGCATGGTGGTGGGCACCTGTAATCCCAGCTATTTGGGAGGCTGAGACAGGAGAATCACTTGAACCTGGGAGGTGGAGGTTGCAGTGAGCTGAAATCGTGAAATAGAGCCACTTCACTCTAGCCTGGGTGAAAGAGCGAGACTCCATCTCAAAAAAAAAAAAAAAACATTCTGACATTGTTGAAGGAGGGAGGACAGATAAAGTACCAGATGCGTTGATAGCCAAGAGGCATGCAGTAAGGAAGAATGCTAAGAGGAGGTGGGCAGGGAATGATGGGGAGGGAGATCTGGACAGAAGAGGAGAGAAGAACAGATTCTGCAGTGTTAAGTAAATGTAAGGCAGCAGGAAAGGGTACCGTGTGGTCAGGAGTCTGTGCCAGCTGCAGTCTGGCAGGAGAACAAACAGCCTGGCTGACCCACAGGGCCCTGCCATGCCAAGGACAGCCTCTCTCTTGCTTATGCCACACAGGACAACGACAGCATGTTCGAGGTGGGAATTACCACTCTGACGTTCAAAAGTAGCTAATCCCAGAGCTGCTCTGTGAGCTCTTTATATAAGGTCTTCCCATTGCCTAAAGGTCTAAAGGATCGAGACCACTTGACCACAACACTCAGGGCACTGCTATAGGCAGAGTAGAGGCAGCTGCTGTCAGCTCAGTGCCCAGCCTGCAGTGAGTGGATTGACCCCCAAAGTTCTCATGCAACTCCAAGAAGAAACAGGGGTGGGCAGTCATAGTGGGTTGAATAGTGGCTCCCTAAAATATATTTCCATATTCTAACCCCTGGCACATGTGACCATGACCTCATTTGGAAAAAGGGCCTTTGCAGATGTAATTAATTTATGGATCTTAAGATGAGATCATTCTGGATTACCTGAGTGGGCCCCAAATCCAATGACAGATGCCATAAGAGTGAGGCAGGCAGAGATTAGACAGAAGAGAACTCACAGAGACACACAGGGAGAAAGCAACATGAAGATGGAGGCAGAGATTGGAGTGATGTGTCTACAAGCCAAGAACACAAAGGATCACCAGCAGCCACCAGACGCTAGGAGACAGGTATGGAACTGATTCTGTCTCAGAGCCTCCCCAAGGAATCAACCCTGCTGACACCTTGATTTTGGACTTCCGACCTCTACAACTGGGAGAGAATAAATTTATGTTGTTTGAAGCCACCCAGTTTGTGGCCATTTGTTATGGAGGCCCCAGCAAACTAACACAGCAGGGAAAGGGGGCATAGGGAGGAAGGCTTGGGTTCTTCAGGAAAGCATCCGAGAGGACAAAGCAGCCTCTGCTCTTCAGGGCCCACGCAGCGCAGGGAGGGCTGGCTCCAGGGGACTGCAGGTCAGCATGGCCATAAGCAGGAAAGTCCTCCTCTCTCTCAGGTACTGCCGCCACCAGCAGGACACACGGCCTCTTACAGATTCTCTGCCCACAGCCATGGTCCTGTCCACCTCTCCAGCACCTTCCACACCTGACCCCCCTTATCCATGAGTTTCCCAAAGTAACTGGCACTATCCTTCTCCAGCAAGTTTCTTAGAGTCCATTATCACAGAGAGGCAGTGTAGTTCAGTGGAAATTGTTCTGGCTTTGGAGCCAAAGAGACATGGATTTTAATCCCAGGGTGACTTGGGATATGAGTGATTTGCCCTCAGTGAGCCTCAGTGTTCTCATCTGTAAAGTGGGGTAAATAATCGCTGCCTTGCAAGGTTATTGTGACAGTTAGAAATAGCATAGGCTGGGTGCAATGTCTCAAGCCTCTAATCCAAACACTTTGGAAGGCTGAAGTAGGAGGACTGATTCAGGCCAGGAGTTCAAGACCAGCCTAGGCAAGTAGCAAGACCCTGTCTCTACAAAATATTTATAAATTAGCCGGGCATGTTTGCTCATGCTTGTAGTCCTAGCCGCTTCAGAGGCTGAAGTGGGAAGATCGCTTGAGCCCAGGAGGTCAAGGCCACAATGAGCCATGACTATGCTACTGAGTTCTAGTCTGGGTGGCAGAGAAGAAAGAAAGGAGGAAAGAAAGAAGGGAAGGGGAAGGGGAAGGGGAAGGAAGGAAGGAGGGAAGGAAGGAAGGAAGGAAGGAAGGAAGGAAGGAAGGAAGGAAGGAAGGAAGGAAGGAAGGACGGACATGTAAAATGCCCAGCATATGGCCTGCATACAACAGGAGCACAATAAATGGCAGGAATTTTCATCACCATTATTTACATCATGACAAAGTTTTTCTAGAACACTGGCCTAAGCCCAACTTGTTCTCATTGCTGTTGTGGATACAAAGAGATCCACAATGTTGGGGCTGTCCTTGGGGGCTCTCACTCAGCAGGGAGTTCTAGGGACCTACTGTGTTCCCTTTTCTTACTTGCCTTCAAGTCTCTTCTTCTCCAGACACTGGCTGTGACCTCAGTCCCCTAGGTACCTTCAGTAGGCACCTAATACATATTTGTTTTGTGACTAATGAATACATGATGTTGAGTGAGTCACCTAACCTCTTGAAACATCAGTTCCCTCATCTATAAAATGCAGCTAATAGTGTCTATCTACCCTGCTGCCTCACAGGGCAGTTGTAAAGACCAAATAGACAACAGCCAAGGAAGGCATAGGAAGAGAGCAAAGCACCACACGAAGCCCCACCTGCACCTCAAAGGCTGTCCAACCCTCCACCGAGGTGGCTCTGCTGGGCCTAGGACAGTCACAGTCAGGTCTCAAGGTGCTTGCATCTCCCTGTGCCTAGAGAGCCGCATTCCAGGACACGGGCAGGTCCACACCTTAACAGGTGCAAACCTCCCTGCTTTCGCTGGTCTGGAGTCAGAAAGCCTTGACTCAACTATGATGCTGCCTCTTCCTAGCTGTGTCTCCAGGCCACTTAACATCTCCAAGCCTCGGTTTTCTCTTTTGTAAAAAATAGTCAATTATCCCTGCCTAACTAGAAATGTAGCCATGAGCATTGAAACAGACAATGCATGGCAATGTGCTTTGTCAACTGTACAGTTCTGTACAAATTCAGGTGATTATTACAATGATTCCCATTGTGTTGAAAAGCAGCCACACTGGCCTGAGCCTCAGAGGAATACAGACTCCCGGAGAAGGAGGAGAGGACAAACACCACTGCTCCTTGCAATTCCTGTAACTTTGAAACCTGCTCCATAAAATTGCAAAATCCTATATGCCTTTGCCAGGAGACCAAAAATATTCAAGGCACGACTCTAGAGAACCACAAGATGAGCCATTTCTATAATGGGTACTGCTGGGCTTCAATCAACTCAGCTGCCTGGCCCAAAAAAGTCATTTTTTAAAAACACCACACACCACAATTTGGCCTCTCCCCCAAAACATACATCCTTTCTCTTAAGAAATTAAGTGAAATCCAACTTTGATGAAACCCAACTCTGAGGCATTCATTCTCAGAGAGCAGGCCCCTGGTTCCCTGGTGAGGCGGGCAGACAAGCATTCTCAAATGACGGTTTGCAGGTAGACAGATCTCCAGTGGAGGTGGAAGAAATCAGCACTTGGCCAGTCCCAAGGGCTGTGAGGACAGGACCTGTGAGCCCAAGGAAGCAACTGCTGCCTCAGACTCAGAAATTAGCTCTACTAACCCAGCGAAAAAGCTAAACAGCCTTAAGACTCTTTTACTGGTTGTTTTAATCAACCAGGTACGAAGAAGGTGAGAGACCAACTCCTCTTCACCCACAGGCCTGGATGCCACAACCCCACACTCCAACTCCCTGCCCCGCAACAAATGGCCTCCCCCATCACATAGGCAGCCAGCAGATGAAAGTCCCTCCCAGACTGGAAATGGCCACCTGTCCCGTGGTTCTCTGGGTCCCACAACCCAGGCCACCTGGCCCCTCTAGGTTGCACCAGGCTGAGGAAGGCAGACACACCCAGTCCTGGATTCAGGGCTAACAAGGCCAGGATCCTACCTGTAGCTACTCGCCCAGCTTTTACACCTGGGGCTGCCTCTTACTCCAAAGGTCCTCAGTCCTGGATGGAGACGCATGTACCTTATTTGTTAGCTCAGGCTCCCTTTAGCAGTTTCTGTTTTCTGTTGCAAAACTCTGAACCCTCTGAGAGACACCCTAGCATGGTAGAAAGAGCAAATGCTTTGAGGCCAGGTTTGAGTCCAGGGCCTGCTGCTGACTGCCTCTGAGGATTTAGAGAAGTGACTTCTCCTGGCCTTGGTTTCCTCCTCCCTAAAAGGTGGCTAATGCCTGTCCAATAAGGCTTTGTAAGGTTATAACAATATGTGGATGGTGCCTGGTGTATGGTTGGTGCTTAACCAGTGGTAATTATTATTATAACGCCATTCTCACCCCCATCCCCACCCCAACATTCCAAATCCTGAAGTCTAGTCAATCCTCCAGAACTGATTGCTCCCACCTTCAGGTCACAAGCAACCATTTACCAGAGTGCCCTGTCTCAGACCTGCCCACCTCTGGGCCAAGCGGAGCTAGCTGCTGTGAATTACAGAATGCACTCAAAGCAGTTAAGTGTCTGTTTACACAGAAAAAAATTCTGAAATCTTATATGATTGCAATATTTTCCCACCACATCTGCTTTTATGGATATAAATCAGTGAACACACTTAGATCAGGATTTATTCGGAAGAGTAGCTTCTCTTACATGGACTTTTCTCTTTTGATAACTACGGTACTACCCAGTGTCCAGTAGGCAAAACACAAAGGTCTAAGGTACTTGCATGATTCTGAAAGTTCCTTCAGACTCTTCAGAAAGAATTATCTTATGTCTAATACATTGTCCTTTTCAGATTATAAAAGTAATATGTGCTCATTGTAGACCATGAGGAAAACAGAAAAAGTATATGAAAGTACAAATCTGTGGCAATTTCACTGTTTCTAGAGAATGCCACAGTGAATGCTTCGGTGTATTTCTTTCTAGCCTTTTTTTCCTACATGCCAGTGTGTATGTAAGTATCCATTCATTTTAAAGCGAACAAATGAATAAGCCAGCCAGACAGTGCAGACAGGAAAGCAGCTGTTAATTGCCCATGGAATGCTTCCTTGTCTTGTTTTCCATTCTCCCTGCCCCCAAACAACTTATTTATTAGTGACACACCTATGCGTTGTATAACTACATCTTATCAGAGGTTGGTGAACTTCTATCCTCTGAGTGAGTTGACATAGTCATCTCTGCTTTCCATTTTCATGCCACAGAGTCAATATTTACTAGCCATGTTGCTAAAAACAGGCACTGGTCACAGACTTGGTGCCAAACCACTGTGTCTAATCTCAGCAGAAGCAGTCTCAGTGGCACCCGCAGGCTTTACTGTGCCATAAGCCATGGCTCTAGATGAGTGATTCCTGCCCCAGCTGAGTAGACAGCCCATGGCCCAGTAAGAACACTTCACATAATCATGAAGTTGCAGGACACTAAGTGCCAGAAGGCACTTATATGCTAGAGATGGGGGAAAGGAAACTGAGGACTTGCCTAAGCACAGGCAGCTCCAGAGCCAAAGCCAGGACCCCTTTCTCTCCCACGCCAGCACACTCTTATTGCACTACCTTGTTGAATGCATCAACATGAAGAAACAGCTGAGAAGGCAGTGGGGGATAGAACCCATTTCATCAGGACTGGAAACTGGGCACTTGCTCTGAAATGGTCAATTTCACAGGGGTCTTCCCCAAGAGTGGCATGTTCTCTTGCAGTAATGATTAAGGTGATACCATGGCATCATCAATTCTCTTGCCTCTTGCTGTCATTTATTCATTCATATCACATATTTTTATTAAGCACCAGCTATGGAAAGGTATCGCTTGCTTCACCAAAGCAGCACTACTTTGCCCATCTCCTCTGGGAAGGATTTATAGTTGACAAAAGAGACACACCCATTTGATAGCGAAAAGAAATCTAGGCTTAAAGAAAAATATTTATAGAAAGGAAATGTAGGAGAATCATGGAATGACGTCAGGGTAGCCCCTTGACAGCAGGCCTCTAAAGAAAGTCCCTGTTCCCAAAAGCACCTCAGGTACTAGAAGGAATAAATCAAAAGGGAAAGGATAGGTAACTTGGTGTGATACCAAATGCCTACAGTGTTTCTATGGAGTAATGGAAAGGGCAAAGGACCTGGAGTGCAAAGACCCACATTCAGGTCTCACTTCTGCCACCAAAATGCCTTGTGACCCAGAGACAGAAAGTGCCTTGCCCAGGTGCATTAACGTATTGGTAGCCAAAGTGGGATATGAAGCAAGTTCTTTACTCCAAGTCCGTGGCGATGGGCCAGATGCCACAGATGAGTCTTTCTACCCCTCTTATCATTAGCCTTAAAGAAAGCCACAACCCTGATCTAGAACATCTATGGCAACAGAATTTCCCTTCATCTTTCCCCTCAGTAGAGATCAGACCCTACCCACAAGGGGAAGCCCTGGCATCTTCTCCTGGAAGTAGGCACTTCAGTGGGGTTCAGTCTCAGTCACTTTCGGGAGGAACAGGACAGCGGCCCCCAGGCTCACGTCAGCACAGGATGATACTGCGATGTGGGACGACTCTGGCACATGAAAGGGAGCGCGAGTGAGCATTCCGTACAGTTGCTGGGATGTCAAGCAGCTCTGCACACTTGGTCTGTTCCCCTGCCCCACCCCCTCCAGACAAGAAAACAAAGAAGCTCATGTGAACAGGGCCTTGATGAAATTGTTGCTGCTGAATTTCTACCTTCTCCTGGGCTTGTAAACACAAGCTCAGCGCCCTTGGGGCCTCAAAGCTGGCTAAGCACAGCTGATGGCTTTACCAGCCCCTGTGCTCGTTGAGTGCCTACTGTGGATCCAGCCATATGCTAGAGGTGGAAGGGACACAAAGAAGGATAAAATGTGGCCCCGTCTTCAATGGGCTCACAATCTGGCTTGAAATACAGAATGAATCCCCAGAGAACCTTCTACTTTGGAGTAATTGTGTAAGAGGCACAGATACTAAGGGCTATGGATGCTCAAAGCTGGAGGGATAGATGGGGCTGGAAGGAAGAACCCATGGGAAGGCCCCAGAGGGAGAGGAAGTATTTTCACTGGACTTGAGAGCTAAGTACAATTAGTTAAGTGGAAGACAAGAAGAGACAGGAAGGAGGAAAAGAACATCTTATAAAAAGGCTTGGACTAAGCAGCTAGAGAGGAGAAAGCTTGGAAGTATTGGGAGGTAAGTTTGGACAGCAGAGTGGGCAAAGCAATGAGACTAAGTTGGTCACATCACTCAGTTTAATCTGCCAGCCACTTTCCTGACTCTGTATCAGACACTGGATAGGGTGGAGATGGCCTAGACGTTGGTCTGGAAGCACTTACCTTGCAAAGAGGAAAGCAGGGTAACAAAAAGGGAAGGGAAACATATTAGAAACACAAACCACAGGCATAGAGTACAATTTTCCTAGGGTAACCATCCAAATGCTGGTTAGTATCAACAAGGGAGCTAATCTTGGCAATGCTACAGGTAGTGGCTACTGGGTGATCTCACAGAGACAAAAGGAAATGTACAACACTGTTATTACTAAAAGAGCACCTGCAATTATTAACATTTAAATAGTTTAGGTTATTTTCTCTGTTAACAGTCATTTTCTTCAAAGCATTAGGCAAAGGTTTCCTAGACTTTTTTCTGAGAAGAGCTTCCTAAAGAGAGCATTAGCCGGAATTAAGGCTTGAGCTAGGATACATACAAGTATTCTTCACTTCACCCAATAGACAAGTTCCCTTGTGCATGGTGACTACTTCCGTAAAGAACTGACCACTTAAAATGTTTAAATGATCCTAAAGAGTTCACAATCCCATGGGCATGGTGGCTCAAACCTGTAATCTCAGCACTTTGGGAGACTGAGGCGGGTGAACACTCGAGCCCGGAAGGTTAAGACCAGCCTAGGCAATATGGTGAGATGCCGTCTCTACAAAAAAATAACAAAAAATTAGCTGGGTGTGGTCATGTGCATCTATAGTTCCAGCTACTCAGGAGGCTGAAGGGGGAAGATCTCTTGCGCCCAGGAGGCAGAGGTTGCAGTGAGCCAAGATCACATCACTGCACTCCAGCCTGGGTGACAGAGTGAGACCAAGTGAAGAATACTTGTGTGTGTGTATTCTAGCTCAAGCCCTAAAAGAGCGCACAGTCCCTCAAAGGGGGTTAGACAGATGATATCTTGGGGCCCTTCCAGTCTAAATTCTAAGATAGCATGATGAGAAATGACTCTTTCCAAACTCCCTTAGGGTATCTCTGCCAGAAATTTTCTGGCAAAAGTGCTAGGAGACTCACTGTAGGTACCAGTATACAATCCTCACCATCTCTTTACCTTCTCTTTTAGTTGCTGCCATCTTAACTTACTCATCCTTCATTCAGCAAGGGTTTACAGAGTCTCTTCTCTTTGTCAAGGGGCGATGTGGAGGAGGGTGGAAGCTGACTCTAAGGCAAAGAGTGACAGCAGGGATATCCACAACATGCTGTGGGAACACAGAACAGGCTCGCCCAACCCTGCCTGCAGTAGTCAGGGCAGGCTTCTGGGAGGAAGCAGAACTTGAGTAGGGCTCAATGCATGGGTGAGACCTAGATGAGCATAGGACTCTAAGGAAAAGGTGGCCACTGAAAGGATACACCTATTAGTGGGAAGTAAACCTAGAAGCCATAAAGGAATTGGCTTGTGGAGTCACTGTTGGGTGTGGTACACACACACGGTGGGGGAAGGGCAGATCCCAGCAGGAGTCTAACATGAGCAAAGGCAAAGAGAGAGAATTAACAGAGCTGGGACAGAGGATAATAAACCAACTCACTCAATCAAGGGAGGAAAGGAATAAACTAACAGCTCTGAGAGCCTCTGATGTGTCTCAAGTACCATTTTGAAGAACTGATGGTGGATCCAGTTGCACATTCTGCTCAAACTGGGGCATATAAAAAATACTGATGCCAGGGCCTCACTGCAACTCCTCCCTGTGAACTCTTCAAATCAACTGATGACCACTGGGCCTTTAAGGAAATGATGTTGCTATCTACGGCCATTTGCTGGACACTTCCCACGTGCCACGCTATGTCCCTTACATCTGTGGCAGGAATGGAAAAGGTGCTATTTTAAAAAGCTGCTCAAAGCCGTTACCATCTGCTACAGGAGGCGGAAGACTGCATCGTGCGGGGGTCAGAGATGGCTTTTTGTTTAAGAAAAACTTTAAAGGACCTTTGGTTCTGCAAAAGAGAGGCCTGGGGTCCAATCAGGGAGGTGCTGCAACAAGGAGTTTAACTGCCTATCTGAAAGAAAAGGGGAGTCTACCTTGCGCGGTTAAGTAAAAAGAATGGTAGCAGATTTGGGGCCTAGGCTGGGGTCCTGGAAGACCCTGGTATCATGGCAGAGGTCAGAAGTCAAAGAAGCAGAGGTTTTGTTACCCAACTTTAAGCCATTTCCTTCTCTGTGCAGCAATTCCTCTCATCAACCCCAAGCCTTAGGTGAAAATCAATTCATCCTTCAACCAGTCTCAGTGGCAAGGGAGGGACTCAGAAATGGGCCAGGGTCCTTGCCTGAGACTTCAAGATCACAGAGGAGGTGCAGCCTTGTCTCGAAGGAGGAAAGTGATCCTCGAGTTGCAAGGGCCTAGGGCATGGAGGAAGATGTGAGCATGCCCTGGGGAGGCTCAGAAAGCCTGGGTTGGGGAACAGGACTTCCTGTTGCCTGGAATGGAATGCTTATTCTTATTCGGACATTAAAGGACAGAGACCCCAGAAAGCTGGAAAAGTGGAGACTCAGATTCCACATGTGGTATTTCAACAACCCCATGAGATAGCAACCATCTTACGATGAAGAAACAGAGCCTATGAGTGCAAAGCACCAAGGAGCTCACAGTGGCAGAGCCAGGATCAGACTTGGACCTGGTGATTCCAGTGCCCAGAACAGTCACTGCCAGGCTGTCCCGCCCTGAGCCTATCCTTCTGCCTGGGTCTCTCCACTGCCCTTCTCCCCTCTGCCCAGTCCATCTTGTCTCTTAGCCTGCAAAACATAGACAGGGAGGAATGCTTCACCAACTAGAGCCACACCACAGCCCTGAGCAGTCAAGTTCAACTAGTGGGGCCTGCCCCCAGGGTGCTAAATAAACCTCACCCCAATGAGGGAAGGATATTTCATCACCCTTCAAGCCCTGTGGCCAGGCCACCAGGGGCCAGTGTTTCAGGATTCAAGATCAGGGTCCTAAGGCCTCAGGGTTAGAAGCTGCCAGCAAGGAGGTGGAGGTGAGCAGGGAGGCAGTGCCAGCCCTGGAAATGGATTAGACACAGGACAACTGGACTCTCAGCAGGCTCCCCAGTAAACCACCAAGAGACCCAGACACTATTAACAACCACCTTCCCTGTTCTCTGGAGGGGATCCCAGGGTCACAGACAGAAAGAAAATTCTAGGCAACTTGGTACTTCAAAGAGAGCACTGGACCAGGATTCAGAAGTCATAGGTTTAAATCCCAGCTCAGACACTTACCAAGGTAAGTTAGTTCAATCTCTAAGATTCAGCTTCCTCATCTGTAAAAAGGGAAAAATACCTATAATCTCATAGGACTGCAAGAGGATGAAGCCAGGTAACAGACCTCAGAGCTTAGTGCAGGGCCAGGTATCGAGGAGACACTCGATCCCCAACATCCAGAGCGCCCTTCCCTTCTTCCTACCCCAGCCACACTCCAAAGAGGGCAGGATTGACCTAGGTGGACAGTGCTTCTGGGCTTCCCAGGGCTCTGAGTCCCTGGAAGGATGTCAGGGCAAGGGGCAGCTGGCCTCTGCTCACCGCTGCATCCTCCTTTCCCAACACTGCACCTTCACTTTCATCTTCACCCCAATTCCATCATAAATTACTTTTACAGTTTTGCTGTAAACCCTACTGGAGTAGATCAGGAGTAGCCCACCTTTTCTACAAAGGACCAGATGGTAAATATTTGAGGTATTGCAAGCCAAGAAGCAAAATGTAGGATATTATGTAGGCACCTATATAACAAAGGAGAAAATCGAATTTCCACAAGTTTTAAAGTTTTTAAATAATTAATTAATGAAATTCAAAATATAATAATAATTGAGTTTTATTTTGTTTTTATAATACAGCTGTTCCAATGAAAAGAATGGAAATATGGATATTGCGGGGGATGGATAACATTTTGCTTAATTGGGGTCTAAAGTTAGCGTTCTCTATCATCAAATTGATTGGAAACATTCCTCTGTAAAAGCCAATCTTAGCTCCAGGGCCACTCACACACAGGGCGCAGGCCAGATTTTGGCTGTAGGGCTATAGTTTTCTGTGCCCCACACTCAACAATGTAGGAGCCCTCGCAGGTGAAAGTTCCTGGTTCTAGACCCTGTGGACGGCTGACTGGGGGTGAGGGGCAATCTTGAGAAGAGAGGCTGGCGGCTGAGCCATCCCCTCTGTGGAAGGCCCTGGAAGCTGCCGGGGTCTCACATGACCTCCCACCTGCCCTACCAGAGCCCTGGGGTGCTTTGCTACAGCTGAGGTGATAGGGTAACTCTTTTTTTTTAATTAATTAATTTTTTTTAAGGCAGTCTCTCATTCTGTTGCCCAGGCTGGAGTGCAGTGGCATGAACTCTGTTCACTACAACATCTGCCTTCCGGGCTCAAGCAATCCTCCCACCTCAGCCCCCCAGGTAGCTAGGACTACAGGCGCATGCCACCACACCAGGCTAATTTTTGTATTTTTTGTAGAGTCAGGGTTTCGCCATGTTGGCTAGGCTGGTCTCAAACTCCTGGGCTCAAGCTATCTACCCACCTCCACCTCCCAAAGTGCTGGGATTACAGGAGTGAGCCACAGCACCCAGCCTGATAGGGTACCTCTTAAGCCTCACTTTGGTTTCCCCAGCAAGGTGGAGGACAGAAGCTCTCCCTTTTGCCCTCTCAAAAGCACTCCCCATCCCAAGTACCTGCTTCGCCAAATGGTACGCTCTCAGAAAACTTCCTGAGAAAATCCTGTGAGCCAGCTTCTAAAAGCAGAGACAAAGGAGCAGACCCCTTGGCAGGAGTTCCAGGTCCCTTAAGGACATGTATACTCTATTTCTCAGAGAAGGAAAGTGAAACCATCAGTCTATAGGGAAGAGCTCTGCATTTAGTCCCAACTGGCCTGGGTCGGGTAGAGTCTCTGAGCCTCCTTTTCATCACTTACAAAATGGGAACTATTATGTTGGCCTTACCTACCTTGTGTTGCTATTGGAACTTCAAAATATCCATGAAAATATAATGATGACTTACATAGTGGCTCACCGCCTGTAATCCCAGCACTTTGGGAGACCAAGGCAGGCAGATCACTTGAGCCCAGGAGTTCAAGACCAGCCTGGACAACATGACAAAACCCTGTCTCTATAAAAAATATAAAACATGAGGCCAGGTGCGGTGTGGCTCATGCCTATAATCCCAGCACTTTGGGAGGCCAAGGCAGGTGGGTCATCTGAGGTCAGGAATTCGAGACCAGCCAGCCAACATGGTGAAACCCTGTCTCTACTAAAAATACAAAAAAACTAACCAGGCGTAGTGGTGTGTGCCTGTAATCTCAGCTACTCGGGAGGCTGAGACGGGAGAATCACTTGAACCTGGGAGGTGGAGGTTGCAGTGAGCTGAGATCATGCCACTGCACTCCAGACTGGGCAACAGAGTGAGACTCTGTCTCAAAACAAAAAAACAAAACAAAAAAAAAACCCCAAAATTAGCCAGGTATGGTGGCACATAGTCCCAGCTCAAGAGGCTGAGGTGGGAGGATTGCCTGAACCCAAGGAGGTCAGAAGCTGCACTGAGCCATGATCACGCCACTGCCCTCCAGCCTGGGTGACAGAGCAAGACCCTGTCTCAAAAAAAGAAAAGAAAAGATAAAAATGAAATGCAAACACCACGAAGAAAAGTAAAGTGCAGGAGAGAATAAGGTTTGAAATTAAGGGGAAAGTACAGAAAACTTGAACTACTTTAAATTTCCCCACAGTGAAAATGTTAATGTATCTTTACAAAATTCATAAACTAACAAAAATACACAAAAACAATAAAAGAGTATTGGCAAAGCCACAAGGAAATAAGTACATGCTGATGACACTGTAAAGTGATTCACTATTTCCAGTTTAAACCATTAAGCAAATCAGTCATAACCTTTGACCTGGTATGCAACCTCTGGGAATACACCCAACCAAAATAATGCAGAGAGGAAATTAAACAAATATGTTCACCGAAACACCAATATTTTTAGCAGTGAGAAACAACAGGGGAAAGTTACCTGAATTGGGCATGCCTGGATAGAATATTATGAAGTTAGCAGAAGTACATAAACTGTATCTATCTATCTATCTATCTATCTATCTATCTATTTATATTTTTTGAGATGGAGTCTCACTGTGTTGCCCAGGCTGGAGTGCAGTGGCGCTATCTCAGCTCACTGCAACCTCCACCTCTGCGGTTCAAGTGATTCTCTGGCCTCAGCCTCCCAGGTTGCTGGGACTACAGGTGTGCGCCACCACACCTGGCTAATTTTTGTATTTTTAGTAGAGATGGGGTTTCGCCATGTTGGCCATACTTGTCTTGAACTCCTGACCTCAAGTGATCTGCCTGCCTTAGCCTCCCAAAGTGCTGGGATTTCAGGCATGAACCACTGCACCCGACCCTATTTATTTTTTAATTGTCCAGTAATCTTCAAAAATGTTAGTGTCATGAAAGTCAAAGAAAGACTGTTCCCAGTTAAAGGAGACTGGAGAGACATAACCACAAGATGCAACACATGATCCTGCCCTGTGTCTTTCACTGTAGGGAGAAAAACTGCTATAAAGAACACTAATAAGAAAATTGACAAAATTAGAGCAAGAGTGATAGCTTAGGTAAAAATATTATATTGGTATTAAATGTCCTGAATTTGTAACTGTATAGCAGTTATGAAAGAGAACGTCCATGTACTTAATACTTCACTAGGAAATCCATAGTGAAGTATTAAGGGGTGAAGAGGCATAATGTCTGCAACCTATTCTCAAATGGTTCAGAAACTAGGATGGATGGATACGTAGGTAGGCAGGTAGACAGACAGACAGACAGACAGATAACCCACAGACGGAAAGAAGGAAGGAGGAAAGGAGGCAGGTAGAGAAGGGGAAAGAGAGAGAGAGAAATGACAAAATGTTATAAACTGGTATACATAGGTCAAGGGTATATGGGACTTTTGTTATTCTTACAACTTTTTTTTATCACATTTCAAATTATTTCAAAACAAAAATATTTTTAAGTATATGAACTCTGGATATGTGGAAAGGTACATATTTAAAAACAACATGGAGTCAAAAAACAACAATCCAACACAAAATGTACACACTGGCAATAAATAAGTAGAAAAGCAAGGATATCCAGAAGATACAGGCCCATGGTGGTTTCCATTTCCCCCACATAAGTACTGCCCCCCGCCCCCAGCTCTTACAGTTTCCATAATGCAGACAGAGCTCAATGAGACCTACCCTTAGGGCAAGCGATTTGCACTGTGTGCTGAGCTTCTAACTCAAGCGTGTGCAATGCGGCCACTTTGTCTGAGTGGCTTTGTGCTTTGTTTTCCTAACAATGGGTGATGAAAGTGCCTCCCTCTCTCATCCACAGCCTCTGCCACCCAGGGCCCCTTGTAGTCATCAGTCCTCCTGGCAGCCCCATCCCTTCACCTTCTCCACATGCCCTCTTGCCCAAGCCTGGGCCTCTGCTCCTTGGTCGTGGCAGAGCCCTCACCCTTGAGGTAGTTACCGGCCTATCTCCTGGATTAGACCCTGCCGCGCCCAGGGTGATAGCTTCCTCCTCCGATCTCCTGGAATGTGTTTTTGGGTCCCACTATTAGCACATAGTCTAGGTACATCTCATTTCATTTGCTAAGGAGGAGAGTACTCCTGTGCCCCATCTGAGCCTTAGCTCTTCTGGGGCAAGGTCTAAGCCCTAAGTCTCCTCCCCAACACACAGTGGGTGCCCAAGAATATTTATTGTTAACTGTGATAGTGACCTACATACAGTACAGACATGCACATACTCATAAGCTCCTTCACACACACACATCCACACACACCCACTTACCTTTTAGAAACCACCAGCTTGTCTAGGGTGCTGCTGTGGTGGAGGAGGCTTTCTTGCTTTTAACCAAGTTCATTTTGCTCTCAGTCTACAGCCTGAGTTACAAGAGACCACTGTACTATACCGTTTTGCATCCGGCCAGCTCACAGTTCCCTACCCCCCTCAGGAGGACTGGTGTAGGGAGCCCCTCTCTGACACCCCTCTCTCTAAAGTCTGCTGTATGGCTGCACGCAATGGCTCACGCCTGCAATCCCAGCACTTTGGGAGGCCGAGGAGGGCAGATCACATGAGGTCAGGAGTTGGAAACCAGCCTGGCCAACATGGTGGAACCCGGTCTCTATTAAAAAATACAAATATTAGCTGTGAGTGGCGGGTGCCTATAGCCCCAGCTACTGGGGAGGCTGAGGCAGGAGAATCGCTTGAACCCAGGAGGCAGAGGTTGCAGTGAGTCGAGATGACGCCACTGCACTCCAGCCTGGGCAACAGAGCAAAAATCCATCTCAAAAACCAAAAACCAAAAACCAAAGTCTGTTGTGGTGTTGACAAGATCAAAGATGATGTAAATATGATACCCTTGCACCTAGATGTTGACAGGGCTGCTGGCTCCCCTCACCTGCCTCTCCTGTTTGTGGCCACTCTCCAACCCTGAACTGGGCCATAGTCCTGTGGCTACAAGTCTCATGGGTTTAAGAACCTCATCAAGGCTGCAGGATGGAATCCCACCAAGGGAATTTGGTGGCCTGGTATGGTCCTCACTGCTGCCCTATGCAGAGAATGGATATATCTGCCCTGTCTCCCTTCCTCCCCTTCCAGCCCCTTTTACTGACAAACTCTTTGATCCCCTACCCCTACTCGCCCTCAACCACCCTGAGCCCTGGGCCTTTACTAGAATAGATGACCTCTGAAGAATCTCCTGGATTGATTTTTATTAAATTATAGAATTAGGCTGAGGCGAAAAGAGCGCTTGAGGCCAGGAGGTCAAGATCAGCCTGGGCAATACAGTAAGACACCCGTCTCTACAAAAAATTTTAAAATTATCAAAGTCTAGGGCACATGCCTATAGCCCTAGCTACTCAGGAAGCTGAGGCGGGAGGATGCTGGAGCCGGGGAGCTTGAAGCTGCAGTGAGCTGTGGTTGCGCCATTGCATTCCAGCCTGGGCAACAGAGCAAGACCCTGTCTCAAAATACACACATACACACACACACACACACACACACACACACACACACGGAATTTGCATAGTATAATAGAAACAGTATGAGCTTTGTAATCTGACAGAGCTAGGATGGAATCCTGACTGCCTTGTTTAAAGTGTGTGACCATGAATACTTTATTTAACTTCTCTGAGCCTCATTGTCCTCACCTGGGAAATGGGAATGTGATCCAAGTCCAATTGTTCTGAAAGGGCAGGAAGTACTCAGCACAGATACTCACAGGAGGGCAGATTTTCTTTTTTTTTTTTTTGAGACAGGGTCTTGCTCTGTCGCCCAGGCAGGAGTGTAGTGGTGCAATCACAGCTCACTGCAGCTTCAACTTCCCATGCTCAAGCAATCCTCCCATCTCATCCTCCCAAGTAGCTGGGACTACAGGCGTGTGCCACCACACTTGGCTAATTCTTCATGTTTTGTAGAGACAGAGTTTCACATATGTTGCCCTGACTGGTCTCAAACTCCTGGGCTCAAGCAATCCTCCCACCTCGTCCTCCCAAAGTGTTGGGATTACAAGCGTCAGCCACCATGCCTGCCCCAACAGTAGATTCTTAACATATGTCAATCGTTTTCACTTTCCCAGCAGCAAGAAATACAAGCAAGCATGTGTATGATCAGAGAGGCACAAAAATCCCAGGCCAGGGTAGTGAAGAGGGCTTTGCCCAGAGGAAGTTTCTGGCTTTTATTTCCGACATTCTTTGAGATTTTCTGTGTCACACAGAGTAGAATTTCCCACTTGGCATCTCCTTGATAAGGTAGGTTTGTATTTCTTGAACCAGTTACCTAAAATTTTCGAGACTGAGTTTTTTCATCTATAAAATGGGAACAACTACTTCACAGGGTGTTATGAGAATTAAACTCAATAATGTATGTCCGGTAAATGGAAGTAATTTTTGTGTTTTGTTTCCCACTTTGTGTTTGGGGAATCCTGGACATTCATGAATTCCAGGGCTTATGGGGGCTGTGAGCTTGCTTGGCTGAGGTATTCTGCCTTAGGTTTAAATTTAACTCAAGGCAGATCCCAGATGCTCTGCAGTTAACTTATGAGTATCTGTAGGTGTTAAGCACTTATCAAGTATAAAAGGCCTGGGCTGGACACCACAGTAGAGGAGACGGACAGATAAAAGCTGATGTACACAGGAGCCCAGCCTGGAAACCTTCAGTCCAGCAGGGAGGACGACCGGGAAAACCCTATGTGTAACATGAGGTATGATCAGAGACGTGGTCCAGAATAAGAGGGAATTAAATCTGACAGAAGGGAGTGGGGTGGATGGGGCAGGGCATGGCAGGTTTTGTCAGAGTCACCGTGTTTGATCTGGACCTTGAAGAAAAAGCATAATTTTTCCAAGAGTGAGGAAACAGCAAGAGCAAAGATAAGTCATATACGTTTTGTGGGCCTCTGGCCTCTGTCTCAGTGCTGCAGTGATATTCCAAATAGGAGAACAGCTCTGAACCTGCTTTCAAAGAGTTGATAAACAAGTGCCAGATAAGCCTCATCTCATACGGCCATTAGTGCTGCTCGCCCCAGCCTCTCCAACCTGCCCCTGCTTAGCACTTGGGGGAATGTGAACTACATGCAAGTACGTGTGCCACAGTAGTTGCAAAGAGCAGGAAGTCTGTGGGTATGAAAAATACCCCTGCAAAGATTAGTAGGCAAGATTCAGAAATAAAAATAGCCAGGCGTGGTGGTTTACACCTATAATCCCAGCACTTTGGGAGGCCAAAACAGGAGGATTGCTTGAACCCAGGAGTTCAAGACCAGCCTGGGTAACATGGCGAAACCCTGTCCCTACAAAAAATTTAAAAATTAGGTGGGCGTGGTGGTTCATGACTGTAATCCCAGCATTTTGGAAGGCTGAGGTGGGTGGATCACCTGAGGTCAGGAGTTCAAGACCAGCCTGGCCAACATAGTGAAACCCCATCTCTACTAAAAATAAAAAAAGTAGCCGGGCATGATCGTGCACACCTGTAATCCCAGCTACTTGGGAGGCTGAGGCACGAGAATTGCTTGAACCCAGGAGGTGGAGGTTGCAGTGAGCCAAGATAGCACCACTGCACTCCAGCCTGGGTGACAGAGCGAGACTCCATCTCAAAAATAAATAAGTAAATAAATAAATTAGCTGGGCATGGTGGCACATGCCTGTGGTTCCAGCTACTTGGAAGGCTGAGGTGGGACGATTGCTTGAGCCCAGGAGGTCGAGGCTGCAATGAGCCATGACTGAACCACTGCACTCCAGCCTGAGTAACAGAGAGACCCCTGGGGAGGGGGAGGGGGAGGGGGAAGGGGGAAGGGGGAAGGAAGGAAGGAAGGAAGGAAGGAAGGAAGGAAGGAAAAAAAAAATAGCTGCTGGGTTAACTCCTGACCTGGTGATCCACCCGCCTCGGCCTCCGAAAGTGCTGGGATTACAGGCATGATCCACGGCACCTGGCCTTAAATTTATTAATTTAAAAAACCATTGACCCAAAATAAGTCTCACAGATCTACCTGCACTGCTATAAAAAGATACTCAACAGATTTCGTTAAGTGAGAAAAGCAAGTTGTTGACTGTTATGGTCGTGTGGTCCCCTCTGTCCACACACACACTTGCTTAACTTAAAAAGGTTCTGAATGGTGACAGAAGAAAATGACCATCGCTGGGCACAGTGGCTCACGCCTGTAATCCCAACACTTTGGGAGGCCGAGGCGGGTGGATCACGAGGTCAGGAGATGGAGACCATCCTGGCTAACACGGTGAAACCCCGTCTCTACTAAAAATATAAAAAATTAGGTGGGTGTGGTGGCGGGCGCTTATAGTCCCAGCTACTCTGGAGGCTGAGGCAGAAGAATGGTGTGAACCGTGAACCCGGGAGGCAGAGCTTGCAGTGAGCCGAGATGGCGCCACTGCACTCCAGCCTGGGCGACAGAGTGAGACTCTGTCTCAAAAAAAAAAAAAAGGAGAGAAAATGACCATCAAAGTCTACCTGTGGGGTGTGAGACTCAGCGAGAGGGCAGAGGGAGTTCTACTTTTTACTTTATACTCTTCATAACTTTATGACATTCACCTCGAATAACTTCTATAATAAACAAACATCTTTTTAATTTAAAAGGATCATAAAAGCCCCCTTGCTTCAGGGTTAGTCTTAGGAGCTCTTTTGCCAAGGGCTGAGATGAGTAAATCGAACACCTATGTTTGTTGTTTTCTATAGTGCCCAGTGTGGCTAGACTGGGCTATTGAACCAGCCTGGGTAAATTTAAACTTCACACATTTCCTAGAGGATGTTGTTTCTTTCCCCAAAGAAGGTGTCCTGGCTAAGCTGAATGTGCGGTGGCTGATCCTAACCACAGATGATCCCATTGGGAGACTCCAGTCTGTCTACCCCCTGCCCCCATCAACATGGCTGCCCCAGGGAATCTTTGTCCACATTCAGGCAGGCTGAGGGTTTAGTGCAGAGGCTCCTTCCCCCGCCGAAGTCTCTCATCCCCAGGCAAGGAGACTGCAGGTTGGGTGTCTGGCAGGGTGTCTTGCATACATGAGCCTCCTCTAAGTGGTAGCAATTATATGGTTGCTGTCTTCTTCAGGGCAGAGGTGATATGTGGAGTAATGGTAAGGTAAGATCCTTAAGAGAAGTGGGGGCTATGGATAAAGGTTGGATGTAGATTTAAATAAGTTCTTATCTGTTTGTTCGTTTGTTTGTTTAAACCAGCACGGTAGTCGGTAGTCGAGAAGTTTCTGCCTTTGAGTTCCACTTCCTCCAATGCTTGTTTATGACCTTAAACAAATCACCTCCCCTCTCTGGGCCTCACTTTCCTCATCTATAAAATGGTAGATTTGGATTAAATTTTTGTTGAAATCCAGCTCAACAGAAACATCTTATGATTTTATGTTAATATAATATAAGTAAAGAAAATCTGGTCAGGTGTGATGGCTCACTCCTGTAATCCCAGCACTTCGGGAGGCCGAGGCAGGCAGATAACCTAAGGTCAGGAGTTTGAGATGAACCTGGCCAACATGGTGAAACCCCATCTCTACTAAAAGTACAAAAATTAGCCAGGCATGGTGGCGTGTGCCTGTAATCCTAGCTACTCGGGAGGCTGAGGCAGGAGAATCGCTTGAACCCGGTAGGCAGAGGTTGCAGTGAGCTGAGATCATGCAACTGCACTCCAGCCTGGGCGACAGAATGAGGCTCCATCTCAAAAAAAAAAAAATCATCTAAGTAAAGGAAAGTAATCAAAGGATAGGAAACAAGGAATCACTCTTCATTATATGCTGCTTACGTTAAATTACTTTATAACATTGTGCATGCAGTAGTTGTCTATGTGGAAGTTCACAAAACCATCACTGGGCCTATCTACTAGCACCCTCCTCCTGGGAAACATCACTCCTTCCCAAAGGCTCATCCTTCTAACTTTGACCATGCTACACTACCCTCGAGTACAAACAGAAAAGACTTCCTTCCCTTATATTCTTTCCCACTCCTCAGAAGCATTCCGATTAAAGGAAGTAATGACTTTGTGTTTTGTGGGTCCTTATGATGCGGTAGCCAGAGTCCTGGGCTAGGAGTCAGACCACCAGACCCCACCCTGGTTCTATCACCAGTTCACCTCTTCTCCTCTCTGGCCTTAGCCTCATCTACAAAATGAGGAGTTGGATGAGTTTCTCTTTATGAGCCCTGCTCTGATATTTCCCTGCTCTGCTCTACTGATTGCTACCAAGGCTGGGAGATGCCAAACATTTCTGCAAGCCAATATTTCTCCAAACACTCCTAGAAACAGCAGACAACCTCCAGCATCCCAAACAGGCTGGTGCCAAAAGTGTGAGCACAGCCAACTGCCTGCACTCAGCGCTGGAAGCTAGAAATCAGGCAAAATATGCAGGGCCAGGGAGGGTCCCAGCAGAGTGCAGGATGCTCCAGCCAGGGTATCCTGTTTCCATCCAAAGCTTTTCCTACAGAGATGCTCTTACTCATAGGATAAGGATAGACAAAGCCTCTAAAGGAATCAGAAACATGTGGACCAGGCCAGGGCAAGAAGTAGAGTTAAAGGTTATTTATTTTTTGGGGGGAGGATCACAAGGTCAAGAGATCGAGACCATCCTGGCCAGCATGGTGAAACCCCATATCTACTAAAAATACAAAAATTAGCCAGACATGGTAGCACGCACCTGTAGTCCCAGCTACTCAGGAGGCTGAGGCAGGAGAATAGCTTGAACCTGGGAGATGGAGGTTGCAGTGAGCCGAGATCTCACCACTGCACTCCAACCTGGCGACAGAGTGAAACTCCATCTCAAAATATATATATATGTGTGTGTGTGTGTGTGTGTGTGTGTGTGTGTGTGTATATATATGTATATATATATATATATACATATATATATATATATTTTAGTTAAGGTCTAATAAACAGGAAAATGCCCATATGCATGCATGTCTTCATATAAATACTCATAAAATGAACACATCTGTGAAACAGACACCCAGATCAAGAAACAGAATACAGCACCCCAGAAATCCCTTTTGTGCCCCCTTCCAGTCACTAGTCCCCAAAGGATAACCACCATTCAGACTTCTGGCACCACTGATTCCTTTTGCCGTTTTGAACTTTTGCAAATGGAATAAAGCAGTACAGACCCTTTTGAGTCTGCCTTCCTTTGCTCAACATTACATGTCTGAGCTTCATCCATTGTTACATGTAACAAACTGTTGTTCATTTTCATTTTTGCATAGTTAAGACTTAATGAAGAGCTAAAATCAATGAGAGGGCCCTGAGTCTACACTAGGGTGCTCACTGACAGCCAAGTAAAGAGGTTTATATTGAGCTCTCCAGACATCAGGATGATCCCCCTGCTCTTCTTCCTGCAGTCCCATGCCTTCCTCCTAGAAGGCTGCAGAGGCAGAAGGTGGGGCCTTGACACCCCAAAACTACTCCAAAGGCTCGATCTGTTCACTGTTGAAGGCCAGAAGCTCTTGATCATGAACACTTACCCCATGCCCAGCTCTGAGAGGGATTCCTGACTCAGCATCTCATTTCATCCCCACAACCATGAGCTAGGTAATGGTACTATTTCTGTCTTACAGGTAAAAAAGCTGAGGCTCAGAGAGGGCAGGTTGTCTAATGTTGCACAGCTAGGACAGGAACCCAAACCCCAACCCATGTGACCCCAAAGGCCAAACCTCTCCACCACTCTGTGTTGGCAGGGAATTCACCACCTGGATCTGGTCCCCACCCATGCCCCCAGCCTCATGTAACGCTGCTTGCCCCGGCCTGCTTTCCAAGGCCACACTGGCCTCCTGCGGGTTCCCCAGGTCCCAGGCACTTCCCCACTTCAGGGCTCATCCATGCTGCTGACTTTGCTTTTGCATTTACCCTTCAGTTCTCAAATGAACAGTCACTTCCTCAGAGCAATCTTCTCTAACCACCCAGATGGAATTACATCCCCATGCCCCATCAATCCCTTGCAGGGCATCCTTTTCTCTCATTTCTTAGCCCTTAACACACCTTATGGTGATTTATCCTTTAGCATCCACTTGTCTAGTGCCTTTCTCCACCAGCCTGGGGAGCATAAACTGCCAGAGGACAGGACTGTGTCTGTTTTGTTTTCCACTGCTTGGATGGTGCGTGGCACACAGTAGGTCCTCAAGAATACGTTAAATGAAGAACAGGAGGGCAGGAGAAAAGAATAGGACTGTCCCTTCAGAAGCTGAGTGGTCATTCAAAGGCAGCTCTAGTTCTAGCCTGTTCTGTGGCCCCAGGCAAGACCCTTCCCTTCTCTGAGCCTCCATTTCCTCAACTGTCAAGTGAGAGGCCTGGAAGAGAGGACCTCTAAAGGCCTTCTAGGTCATCTGGCCTAGACCACAAATCCTAGGACATCTGACCACTCCAAAGGCCCCTGGCCCCTAGTCCCTGGGCCTCCCCTGCTGCTTACTCACCTTTTGCCCCATTAGCACTTTAGAAGAGTAGGGGAGGTGAGAATCACCCCAAGACACCCCAGGCTATGAGCTGCATGGGATCTCCACACCCTGTTGCAAGTGGAGGACCAGGAAACATGAGGTCTCTTCCGGGTCTAATAGCACATGTCCTTGATATATGGAGTCAGGGAGAGACAAGACTAAGAAGGAATTATAAATGCAATCCCCAGGAAACTGCTTCTACTTCCTTCTTCAGAGTCCCACTCCCCACAACTTCTCAGTTTCTCTGCCCACCCAGACTCTAGTCCAATCCAAGAATGCCCTTGTTAGCATGTATGTAACTGCCAGGGTGGAGCTCCAGGAGGGCAGAGACTGTCTCATCTTGCTCGTCTTTGTACCCACAGTACTCAGCACAGACCCCTGCATGCAGGACATGGCCAAGTGAGGGCACTGAATCAAGCATCATTGGCAGGGCTGGCTGTGGTTTGTTGCCGAGAATGGCATCTTTCTGCTGGTGCCACCAAGGGCAGGAGAAGAACCTGAGGCACAGAGAACCGGCTTCCCATTCAGAGGCAGGCTCCAGCTGACCAACCCCAGCCTCTGGTCCTATGTCCTCTTCCTACCCCTTCACCAGGCCCAAGACTGGGAAAAGTCATTCCCCTCTGGGGTCTCTGCAGTTATTTGCTCCCCCACCCACCATCCAGTCAGCCAGGACTAACTCCCTGATCTTGAAGCACCTGCTGCCTTTCATTCTCTTTGGAGTGAAGCTCTTCTGGCTTTGAAGCTCTGTTTCATCTTTGAAAGTTTAAAAAAAAAAAAAGTAAGACAATTAGTCCTGACATAAGAGTTCTATAAAGGGAAAAAACTCCTGTTTTGCCTGTTGGATACAGTAGACACTTGTGAAAAGAAAATAAATCTTGGGGCCCCCACATCCCTAAGCTAAAGGGAAAAGTCAAGCTGGGAACTGCTTAGGGCAAACCTGCCTCCCATTCTATTCAAAGTCACCCCTCTGCTCACTGAGATAAATGCATATCTGATTGCCTCCTTTAGAAAGGCTAATTAGAAACTCAAAAGAATGCAACCATCTGTCTCTTATCTACCTATGACCTGGAAGCCCCCTCCCCATTAGAGCCTTCCCATCTTTGCTTAGAGTTGGAGTTGTCCCGCCCTTCCAGACCAAACCAATGTTCATCTTGCATATTTGATTGATGTCTCCAGTCTCCAACCAAACTGTGCTGTGACAACTTTGGGCACAGGTCCTGAGGCTGTCATGGGCATGCGTCCTCAATCTTGACAAAATAAATTTTCTAAATTAACTAACACCTGTCTCAGATTTTCTGGGTCTACACACTCTAAATTCCCATGTTTTCATGCTGCGCTGTGTGTGAAGGGGTGAGGCTAGGTGCTCTGATGAGCATGTGTGAGTGTACAAGTGCCAAGCTCATGGGAGAGGGCATAACAGGTGTGCAGGTGCAAAATGGACTGGTCAGAACCTTGGCTATGTCACTCACTGGCTCAGCAACTTTGGGCAACTTGCCCAAACGCTGGACCACAGTTTCCTCATCTGGAAAAGGAGAGTAAAAATAATGCCTATTTCATGCATTGTTATGAGACTCAAACTTCATGACTGGTGTTTTGTAATCACTACACTACCACCTAAATATTAGCAGCTGGTAGAAATGGAAGGCAAGAAAAGAGCTTCAGAAAATCTTAATTTCTATCCAAATCCTAACGATAGTACTTTCAGATCTGATTTTCACCCTGGCTGTGCTCTGGGCTCAGCAAACCTGAAAATGCACCAGTAACAAAGATCCCAGGAAAACTTCATGATGGGGCTCGTGTGGCTGGTTACTCAACATAAATCCATTCTCAGGAGGATTACCTCACCTCCCATTCAAGTTCTGAGCTTAAAACAAAACCCTGGGAACCATGGAGAATCCCAAGTGAGACTCAGAAGAAAACCAACAAGTCAGGTCTCCATCCAGAGCCTGGGGAAGCTTTATGAAAAAAGTAACAGATCAAACAAGAATCATGAAGGTTGTCCCTGCCAGCTAGATTATGCTGAAAACACAGAACTCAACAATTCTCATCCCTTTTACTGGCAAGTCATTATTTCCAGAGCAATGACCATGTGCAAAGTCACCCAGGCAGGTGAATAATCCTCAGGCTCATTTTTAAAGCTTCCCACTGGTCCTGTGGCCCTGCCTTCCAACACCAACTGACAACTGTGCCAGAAGAAGCATGACTTTGGCTCCCTCGGCATCCCCCCACCTCTCACACAGTCTCCTACCTCCCCAGCTCCTCTCCGATGTCATAAAAGTCCTCCACCTTCTGCTGCTTGAATGGCTCCATGTTTGGACTCCTCATTGAGGCCTGGAACATACAATCCTGAAATGGGAAGAAACCTGTGGTTAGGACAGCCATCCAAATTAGCACAAGCCTAAGAGTCTAAGGCCTAAACGTAATTGGCTGCAAGGGAGCTAATAATTTAGTAATAATCCACAGCCTTGGTTCTTCAAGAACTGCCCTGCTCAAGCCTTTTCTCACCTGCAGCTGATGATGTATGGTTCTTATTTGATTTATACGAATTCAAATTTGTTAAGGAGACAGGAAAGGAGAGCTCCTCAGGTCTTCAGATCTGTCTGAAGAAGTTCAGAGAAACATCCATGGTGAACTTCAGCTATTTGTTTTCATTAAATTCAAAACTACTGCAAAAAGAGGCAGCTGTTGTACAGTTTTTAAAAAAAAATGGCCAGGCATGGTGCTCACAACTGTAATCCCAGCACTTTGGGAGGCCGAGGTGGGTGGATTACTTGAGGTCAGCAGTTCGAGACCAGCCTGGCCAACATGGTGAAACTCCATCTCTACCAAAAATACAAAAATTAGCCGGGTACGGTGGCATGCATCTGTAATCCCAGCTACTTGGGAGGAGGCTGAGGCAGAAGAATCACTTGAACCCGGGAGGCAGAGGCTGCAGTGAACCAAGATCACACCACTGCACTCCAGCCTGGGCAACAGAAAAAAAAAAAAAAAAAAAAAAAGCACTAGCTTTAAAGTCAGAAGTCCTAGGTACAAGCCCCAGTCTTGCTTGGGTAAGCCACCTAAGCTGCCAGAGACTTAGCTTCTTCATCTGTAAAATGGGGCTAATACTGTAAAATCAACTTCAAGTCATGAAATTATTTTGTAAACTAGAAAATGCTGTTAAAAGGTAAGGGATTATCATGACCTCAGCTCCCTCAGGTGTTGTACCACCCAACTGCGTGTCTGAACTAATCTGTAAACTCTCTCACTCATCAACCCCAAAGGAAAGATGGACAGGAGGAGTGAGGCAAATTCCTACAGGCACCAGGAGTCAGGAGCCTGAGGTGCTAGTTCCAGCTTTGCCTACAACTAGCTCTGTGATCTCCTTTCTTGTCAGAAGGGCCTCAGTGTCCTCATCTGTAAAACTGAGCCAACTCTGCCTGCCCCAGGCATCTCACTGAAAGCCATAGCCCAACTCTGAGCCATGGGGAGCACTTACCACTCCACCAGAAAAGACTGTCTGCATCGTCTCCTGGGATCCCTCTGCCCCAAGAGGCTTACCCATTCCTGACAGCCATGTGCCACTCTGGACAACATCCCAAGAGCAGGGCGCAGGGCACAGTCTGCAAATCACAAGAATAAAACCAGCTGCCTGTGGATGTGTCTTCCAAGGGTCTTTAGCAAAGGCCTGTCAGAGCTCATTTTGGTTAGCACTGGCAGCTTTTCTGCTGACTGCCAATCAGATCCCAACCACACATGGGCTCCACGAACCCCAAAAGACTATTTTCACCAGGCTGGGTGGAGGCACCATTATATAAGGGCACATCTCATCAATGCCAAGTGGCTGGAGCTGTCCTAACTCTCAGCGGGTGTATACATTTCACCCTCTTTCCACCACTTTAGCCCCCTGCAAACCAGAGCTTCATTACCAAGATGCCGCCTGCCTCTCTCCCTTCCACCAAGGCACACAGAGCCTGAAGACCCTCAGGCAGAGCTGGCCTGGTTCCCAGGGCTTACTCTCGTGGTCACCTGCCTGTGGGTGTCCAGGCTCCCTCATGCATCCTCCATGCTTGGCCAGGGCTGGAGCAAGCATGAAATAGTGAAAAGAGTAGGCTCCAGGAGCCCCAGTTCCAGACTAGCGTGAGTGTATATTAGCCCTGTGACCCACAGCAGGTGGGTACCCTCTCTGGGACTCATCCCCTCACCTGTAAACAGAGTGATACTATCTATATCACATACTTCACACATCCATGTGGGGATAAGGATATAAACTACTGTACAAATAAGAAAGATGATTATTACTGTGATTTAACCCATGCCAGGGAGCCCTCTAGCAAGTTTAGCTTGACCATAATCAGAAGCTCGACGCCCCTCATCCCCAACATCCTGGCAAATCTCCCAAGACTGGCCCAGGGAGTAAAGGGAGTGCTATCTACCATCTTCTTTTCAATGGAAAAAAAAAATTCCTTCCAAATAAACAATTTGGGTCAGGTCCTGCAGGGTGGGGTTACCAATTTCACACAGCTAGAAGCAAGCAGGAAACTCCAAAAAAATTCTGTTGGCAGAAACCCTGAGAGTGGTCCCAGGAACAGCTAAGATCTCCCATTTGGTGAGAGGCCAGCTCCATTTGCTGAGAGCAGGATTCAAAGAAGCCCCAGTTCCCAGCAAAATGGTGAGCCTCTGCCTTGGGCTCTATATCCTGGGTGGCCAAGGTTAGGGGGGCAGGTGAGCCCCTTAGGGACAAACTAGGCCCACCAGTTAGGCTTTCGCTCATCTTTCCAGCCTTTGCCCCCTCCCTTATATATCCTATATTCCAGCCAAAGTTGACCTTTCCCATTCCCCTAAAACTTTCATCCCTGCTATATCTCGGCTGAAGTGGGGCCCTTGCCAGGGGAGGCCCAGCTGGAAAGCCCTGGAGAGTGGGCATAACTACCCACTTCCCACAAGACCCAGCCAAATGCTACCGTCTCTGTGCGGCTCCATGATCCTTGCCCTCCCAAAAACAGATGACAATTCTCCACCTCTTCAAGTTCTCCCAGAGTGCTCTTCATACCTTTTTAGGGTTCGAGTTGATCATATTCTGGCTTATGTTTATGTCTAACCCAGAGGGAGAGAATAGATTCCATAGTCATCACACAGACCTGGGTTTAAATCCCAGCTCTGTCACTTACTGGCACATTGTCTTAGCTGAGCACAGGATAACTTTTGAGTTTCACATTCCTTCCATGGAAAATGAACGTAAGACAATGTCTAGTGTTGGTGAGTATGTGCGGCAACTAGAGCTCTCAAACACTGCTGGGAGGGGTATACACTGGGACCACCACTTTGGAAAACTGTTCAGCAATTTCTTTGGACATATCTAAGAGAAATGCATGCAGATGTTTTCCCAAATGATCCACGTTAGAATGGTCACTGCAATACTATTAGTAATAACTAAAAATTGGAAACAACCAAATGGTTATCAATAGAAGACTGGATAAACAAATTGAGGTACTATATACCCATACAATGGAATCATTATACAGCAATAAGAATTAACAAACTACTGCTACCTGCAACAACATGGATGAATCTCAGAAACATAATGTTGAATGAAAGTAGACAGACACAAAAGACTGCATACTGTGTGATCCCATTTAGGTAAAATTAATGCATGGTGCTAGATGTCAGCAGAGTGGCTATCCCCTCACTCAGGGGAGAGTTGGAAGGGGAGCTTCGGAGGCTTCAGAGTGCCAGCAATGTTGTTTCCTGATCTGGGTGGTAGTTAGATGGATATATGGGATGATTTTGTATGTGATCAAAATTTTACATAATTTTTTAAAATGAGACTAATGTGAGACAAATGAGATAACCCATGTGTAATGTTTTAAACGGTCCATGGATAACGTGAATTCCTTCCCTCCTCTTTGTGACTTGGAGCCCCATAAGGGCAAGAATTGTGACATTCCTACCTCTGTCCCCTTGTCGTAGGCTAGTACACAGTAGGCACTATATAAGTGTTGGCTGATTTTAACTTAGTTCCCCAGCCTCCTTTCTCAAGGCCGCTACTCAGATGCTCATCAGGTAAAACAACTGATAGCCACTTCAAGCACTTTCCTAACACCTCTCCTAAGGCGAATTTGCATTTTACCAGTTTAGAAACAAACTAAAGGGGTGAAACTGAAGTGGAATTATAGTCACCAGCTAGGACCCAGATAAGGAGCCAGAGGCACAAGGACCTTTCCAGCCTCGAAAAGCTGAAATCACATGGCAGAGGGAAGGGACACAGTTACAACTTTTGGCCAGAAGCACAGGCCATCAGCTCCAGATGCTCCCAGGATGATACCCACCTTAATGCCCATGTTTCTCCTGATGGAGTCCTTGGAATTCAAATTCCTGCCTACAACTCTAATACCAGGCAACACTTCAGGGGGCTACCACAGATTTCCTAGAACCCCATAGATCATCTATTTAGGGATTTTTAGAACTGCTTCAGGATCACCAGGGTGAGAAGGGGAAGCCAGAGCAGTTCCACGTTATCCATACTATATGTTGGCGTTCTGGGTAAGAATTCACTGTGAAACAGAAGTTTGAAAACCACTGCTGTCTGGTCTAACCCACTTGTTTTTACAAGAGGAAGCTGAGATCCAGAAAGGGGAAGGGACTCACTGAGCATCATACAGGTGACCCATCCCGCTCCTCTTCCCAGGGCTTCTTCTGTTGATAGCCACCCCAACTCCTCCAAGATGTCACCAGGGTTGGCAAAGTCAGTGGCCTCCTGAGGGACAAGCTAGGAGGAGGTGTCTAGGGCTGGAAGATCACCTCATAGGAAACTCTCAACACTCAAGAAGCCCTCTCCACCACTGGCCCAGCTCACTCTGCAAAGTGAACTCTCTCAGTTCCTCATCCCACCTCACCAAGTGCAAGTGAGTGAAACGGGACCACAGCAAGAGGGCAGGCAATGGTTGGGCAAAACACACACGACCGTCTCATTACACACACCCCCATTAGGAATCATCACACTCAGGCTCTGGAGAGGCTGCCAACAGAAGGGATGGGGCTCCGGCATTACAGAGCTCCTCTCTACATTCCAGGCTTTGACCCATCACAGTCTCCAATGAGGAAGCTGGGGCCCACAGAAGGTCAGCCACCTGCCTGAGTTGACACAAGAAAAACTTGGTCTCTCTGGCAAAGATCCAGCTCCCTTGGGAAGCCTGCTTGTTCACCCCACAGCTAACAAATCGGGAGGCCTCAAGGAGGTGGGCAGGGTCAGTGCGGGTCTCATTCCTGCCAGCCAGGAACTTACCCCAGAGGAGCAGACCTCCAGCCACATCCACACACCCCTGACCCCTCTGCCCAAGTCTCCTCTGAAGGTGCTGAATCATCAGTGGTGCCACTTGAGGGTGCTCAAAAAACATCTTGGGAGATGAGCGGTTTGGGGAAGGACAGGGCTGTGAAGTTAGCTGTGAAGAGGCCAAGGCACCACGGCCTCTTAGGTCAACAGGACTCTCCCAGGAATATCTTCCACAGAGGCAGTTGGGAGTCGCAGTGTCAGAAACCAGAGTGGCTGCCCTCCACAGGATTCCAGGATACAAGATGTCAGGCGCTGTCCCTGCACCTGCCCGCTTGCCCCCGAGGCAGCCAGCTATGGTGCCCTCTCCTCCAGTGTGCACCACTGCCTTACCATTACCTGCACGGCCTCAACGAGGCTCACCTCTCTGGACCTTGTTTTCTCTTTTGTAAAGTAAGAATACCAATTTCCACCGTGCAGAGTTACGGTGAGGGTTAGCCAGACCTATGCAAGCCTTGGGACCTCCAAAATGCCTAGCCCAGAGTCCTAGTCAACTGTTGGCAACGCCCTTCCAAGCCGTTCCACCCCAACCTGCAGCACACCTGCTGGCCGCCCCCACGCCCATCCTAGCTCTACCCCAGGCCGGGGCGCCTGACGGCGGGGACCCCAGCTTCATTCAGCCCCAGAGGAAGCTCAGACATCTGAGCACCCTCCTCGCATCACATCCTTGTGCCAGGCGGGAGCAAGAGGTGAGAGAGTCAGCCCAAGCTGAGAAGACTTGGCCGGGAGCCGGGCGTGCTCTGCCCGTTCCAGGGGGCCTAACTCGATGGACGTCTGTCTCCCATCTCCCTGCTGGGTGCTTGGCTCTGCCCGCCGCCTCTACCCTGTCTCCCAGGTCAAAGTGCCAGGCTCCGGAGGGCGCCCCAGGGCAGCGGCGGGCAGCTCCCGCGCTCGGGTGCCGGCCACAATGCCCCGGGCCACGGCGTCAGGCATTGGGGCGGCGGGCCCGGGATCTGCGAGCGAGTGCCCCGGATCTCTTCGCCCCGCCAGCCCCAGACCCGGGCGCTGCTGCCGTCAGGCCGCGCGCCCCGTCCCGCCCATCGAGCCCGCAGACGGGTGCTACTCACGGCGGGAGGCTGAGCTGCCGCGGTCGCGGCCGCGGCAGGCGCGGCGGGAGCGGCGGGCGCGGCGGGCGCGGCGGGCGCGGCGGGCGCGGCGGGAACGGGGGACGCGGCGGGGTGCGCTGGGCTCGGCCCTGCAGTCCTCTCCTCCCAGAGCGCCCGGCACCCGCCCGCCGAGCAGCCTAGGAGCCGAGGGGGCGGAGCGGCCAGCCCCGTCCCAGGCGCCGGCTGGAGGCGCGCCCGGCTGCCCGGGACGGGGCTCGGGGCGCCCCCTGCTGGAGCCCCCTCCGGACAGTCCCGGGGCGAGAGCCCAGCTTCCCGGCCGGGTAGGGGACACCTCAGGGCTCCCAGACTCCCGGGAGAGCGGGGAGAGTCGGTAGCAAGACCCTCTGCGCGTCCCTACCGGCTCTACCGCGCACATGCTGCGTGGCCTTGGGCAAGTCGGCTACCCTCCCCCGGCCTTATCTGGAAATCGATTTGAATGAGCTTATACGTATGACATGGTCTGGCACAATCCTCAGAAAATGGTACTTGTGTGCTCCTCTCCCCACCATACACACCGTGAGCGAGGAAGCCCCACTGAGGAATAGGCCGTCTCCTCCCTCCCAGCCAGAGCGCTCCCTACACCGCAGACTCTCCTGGAAACCTCAAGCCCACAGCGTACAGCAAGGTGGGGGCTGCGATGAGAAGGGCCGCTCTGCTCCTCACTGCCCCCGACCCAGCCTGAGAGCGGCCTGCCCTCGTTTGCCCTTTGTCCTGGCACGGTTGCTGAGTGAAGCCCCCCTCTCACCATCACGCCTTCTCTAATAGAGGACTTGGGAATGGGTTCCTCTCTCTGCCCTCTGCCAAAAAATCCCTGAGGAAAAAAGGAATGAGAGTGAGGGGGTGAAGGGAGGAAGGAAGGGAAAACAGAACTTAAGCCAAGTTCATTTGTCTTATTTCAAAACAAGAGGCTGTTTAGAGGAAGCAAATGAGGACCCCTCCAACCCCTGGAATTTCCATCCCTAAGTCACCCATGGGGCTCCTCAAAAGGGCCTTAGATTCAGAGTCCTACCACCAGGTTCAAAGCCCTGCCCTGCCACTCCGCATGTGTGTTCTTGGGCATGGCTCTTTCTTCATCAGTAAAGTGGGAGAAACGCACCTTCCGGTAGCTCCTAATGAAGCTATGGTGGGGCTGAGATGAGATGGAGTGTGTAAGATGCACCTAGAGGACCTCTACCAGTGTGAGCACACACACACCCTTCAGCCTTTTGGACATTGGGACAAATACAGATGGACCCCACCCCCCAGCTGAGCAGTGCCTCCGGGTCCAGGACATCCTCGGCAAAGAGTTCCTTGTTTATAAACTTCACAATAATTCAGAACAGTGCAGCCAGCGAGCCTCCTCTCCTAAGAGCAGCATGATATATAGAGTAATATCCAAGACTAGAGGTGGTTTCTGATGTCAACGGACCTAAGGGAATGACACCCACTGGTGAAGTTTCACCAACATGAGAAGTCCCCCACCAAACTATCCCTAAACACCTCTTCCTCCATTTCCATTTACCTATCACTGGTGACAAACCATTACCAGCCTTGGTGGCACAGGACAACAGTTTCACTATGTTCATGCATTCTGAGGGACAGAAGTTCAGACAGCACAGTGTGTATGGCTTATTTCTGCTCTGCAGTGTCTGGGATTTCAACTGGGAACACCTGAATAGCTGGGGGCTGAAATCATCTGGAGATTTCTCCATTCTCATACCCAGTACCTGGGCTGTGATGAATCCAAGGCTGGGCTCAGCTGACCCTGCTGATCACCTACATGTGGCCTCTCCATCTCTTTCCCTTGAGCCTCATGCTTAATACCTCATTGTCAGCAGCAGCAGCCCCTTACATGAGTCAAAAGAGACATTCTTGGGTTTAGCAATTGACAAGTTAGTCAGAGTCCATTGCAGCTGGAAGGGTCATTGTCAATTGACCCTGGCCACTTTTCAGATGAGGAAACTGAGGCTCGGAGAAGGGAGGTGACTTGCCCAACATCACATAGCTGGTGAGAGACAGAGCTAGGATTAGAACCAGGCCTCCTCCAGATTCAGTCTGGTGCCCCTTCCACTGTACCTGCCAGAATGCAACTATCTAGGAAGCTACCATCTGGAGATGCATCTTATGCTTAAGGTTGGGTGAGTTCATCAGACCCTCACCTGAGGGCAGCGACAGGGCACTGAACACAGGACCAAGGTGGCCATCAGCAGAAAAGGGGAGGCCCCGAGGACAGTGGCAATGAAGACACAAATTCCAGAATGAAGCCAGAGGCAGTCCAGGTATTAAGAGCTAAGAATTATCCAACTCAGTTCCAGTCCCTGCATGGTTCCCATGGCTGACCAAATCGAGTGTTAATGCCTCACCCTAGCATTTAAGGCCCCAACCCTTATTTTCCTGCTGTGTATGCACATTCCCTTCCCTCCTCTGCATGCACATCCAGCTCTTTTGCCAGGTTGGATTATTGGCTGTTCCTGCCTCCATGCTTTTGTTCGTTTCCACTACCCTTCATCCCATTCTACAAAATCTTATCTATCCTCTAAGAGCCTTCTAAAGTATCATGTCTTCCACAGAAACTTCCCTGGTCTGCCCTCTAAATACCTCTCTCCTTTGAACCTCACCACTCTTGGTTGGTACATCTCTTGTCATCTTCCTTCCTCTATTTTAATTAGTGTCTACTTCTCCTTTTCTCAAGGGCAAGTACAATTTCTTGTCCATCTTTGAACCCATACAGTGCTTGATATCCCAAACCCAGTAAAGGTTTCTTAAACTGAATTAAGGAAGGTAAATATCACAAGGGGCCATAGCTGTCTTGTTTTCTATTGTCCCCTAAGAGCACCCAAGCACCTGGCACTTAGTAGATGCTCAATAATCTTACTTCAAGTGCTTCACTTCTAGGGGGATGTCATTATCCTCTTTTACAGATGATGTAACTGAGGCTTGAGAAATTTGATTTGCTCAAACTCATCCAATTTGTAAGTGGCTGAGCTGTGACATGAATCTTGCCTACTGGTCTCTGAAGCTATTCCCTCTGCTGCCTTCCCTCAACTGAAACTTCCAAGATTTCTAAAACAGTGTTAATCTGGAACTTTTCAGTCCAGGCAGTACATCAGAATAACTGAGAATAACATGGGGTGCTTAAAATCCCCCATGCTTAGACTGCACCCTACATCAATTACATCAGAACCTCTGAGGATGAGTTCTGGGTATCAGTTTTTGTTAAACTCCCCAGGTGATTCCCAGTGCACAGGTTGAGACCCAGTCTGTTCATGTCACAGAGACCTAGGGAAATTCTCAACCCCCTCAATGACAAACACATCTGAGTACCTGCTTTGTAAAAGACATTCCAAGGGACTGTGAGATGGTAGAGTCACAGGACCTGTGCTTCCCAGGGATGAGAATACAAGCCCATAGATAAAGATGTAACCATGGCAGGCAGCAAAGGGCACTAGTCATGGTGATATCCTAAAGCATACTTTGGTGCCTGGCAAGTTTACAGAGCCTAAAAACCTCCTGACAAGGGGGCAAGGTGGGGATTAAGATGCTGCATGTTGGCCATGGCAGATGGCACCTGGGTTGGCTTACAGCATGTGTAGTGTGACGGCTAAATGCAGAGACTCTGATGCCAGACTGCCTGGGCCCACACTCAGGCATCCCAGCATGCAACTTACGTGCCATGTGGTCTGGGGCAGGCTATTTGATCTCTCTGTGCCTCATTATCCCCATAGGTCAAATGGAGCTTATAGTAGCATTTATCTCTTGGGTTGTTGTGAGCATGCAGTTACTTTTCAATTCGATCAGTGTCTGGCACTTGGTAAAGTCCGCAATGATTATTAACTGTTATTATTATTCCCTAAATGTCTGGCAATAAGCTCCCCTGGGGAGGAAATGGATCTTATTCATCTCTGCGCCCCATCCCACCCCTAGCCTGGCCCAGAGAATTGCCAAATGCAGTCTGAAATGCAGTCTTCTTGACAACGGGTCAAGTCCTGACTCTCAGGCTCTCGGCCAAGGGAGTGCACAGGTGATTCCTCCCCAGAGGGCTTGCCTACTGGATGGAAGGCCGGCAGGAAGCTGCTTCTTCCCAAACTGACCTGGTGGCCTGGCTTCTCAGCCCTTCCCAGCCATGCCCACTCTGCCCTGTGCCATCTGCCCTCCTAGATGGGAGGTGTGGAGCAGGCTTGGTTTGGCAACCTTTCCTGCTACCCCCCCCACCCCCGGGGGCACTGGTTCTTGCAGCCAGAGGCAGCTGCTTCAGCCTCTAGCCTTGCTGGACTCAGCACCACAGGGATGGGGCAGGGAAGGGGAGGAGAGAAGGGAGGAAGGAGCTGGGGGATGGGAGGCCTTGCCTCTCTCTAGAGAACCTGGGGGATGGGGATTTCCTGGACATGTGTACACACTCTTTTACTCCGCAAACATTCAATAGTACCTCCTGGGGTTATGTGCTGGAGTAGGGGCAAATAAAGACCCAATGCCATAAAAGGTCAGATCTACTCCAGAAGGAGCCTCCAGAGAAAAGGAAAGCTTGATTCAAACTTGAAAGAAGAGTAGGGATCACCGGGAGAACAGAAAAGTCCACAGTGGGGCAAGGGAGGCAGGGCACATGGGGTGTGAGCAGCTGTGCATGTAAAGGGCTGCAGGTATGAAACCACTTGTCATTCACCGCCCCTATTTCCACCTGAGCCAGCACAGGGCCTACGCTATGGGATCATGACCCATGCATATGCCATTGCCTTCTATTCAGGACAGAGGCTGGTGACACATTGTGTGGCCAGGACCCCTCAAACTATACCCACCTTTAGGGCTACAACATCCAACCACCTTCTTCTTTAGGCTCGGGAATCAGACAGGCCTATTTGTATTCCTGCTCATCCACTTTCTGAGCCTCTGTTATCTCATCAGTAAAATGGGAATAATTACGTCTTTTTCTCAGGGCTGATGTGAGGACCAGACTCACAAACACTGTGGCAGATGTTTGAGAGAGCACTGGCTCAGGACCATAGGAAAGGTTTGAGAGAGACAGAGATAAAGAGGGAGAGAGAGAGAACTGGCACAAATGTCAACCTCCCTCCCAAACCAGATCCTTCCATCCCTCAAGACAGTCGGTCACGTATGCCCTATCTTTCCAGCCATGTTGTTCCTGCCTCTGTCTCTGAAATGCTTTCTTCTTTTCTCCTTTATCTATCCAAGGTTCAGCTCAATTCCAACTTCATTCATTCTTCAATCCTTTCTCGGTGCCCATTGGGCCAGACTCTGGGCTGGGCCCTGAAAGAAATGAGGCACTGGCCCTGCCCTGCAGGAACTCAGAGCCAAGCAGAGGAAATACCCTGGGAACAAAATGCCTGGAATCCTGTGTTCTGAGGCCAGATCAGGGGCTAGGCAGATCCCAGAAGGAGCCCAGACATGGGAGGGGTGGACCCTGAGTGCCTGGAAGGTGGGCAGGGGGCAGGGAGACTCCTCAGAGGAAAGGACCTCTTCCTAGATCTCATTAGTTAAGAATTCACAGCCATATCTGCTGAGCTGAAGATATGATTTCACCTTTCTGTGTTTGCTGATGGGTCCCCTGAGTGACCCCTGTCACCCTCCCCACTCTGTGCCAGGGATGTAGTCGGAGTCATCAGGGGCCTTTGGTGGATCCATGCAGGAAGGATGGGTAGGACAGCAGCTCCTTCCACACCCCCGCCTGAGCTCTGACCTCTGTGTGGGCTGGTCCTCCCACTTGGGGCCCTGCTCTGCCTGGGGCCCTGCTCTGCCCTCCCTGACCTGCATGGTGACTCCATTTCAGCTGAGCCCAGGTCCTGACCCAGTTATGAACAGCTGCATCCAGGAAAACAAAGACACAGGAGGCTAAGTTCAACCATCTATAGTGGCCTCTGCCCCAAACAGGACTAGGCCCGGCTCTGCCCCCTCCAGATCTGTTCTCCAAGATAAAGGACTCCAGGCTCCCTCAGCCCTTCTCTTTCATGAGATTTTTTTGGCCTCTTAGCCTTGGTTTCCATCACTCCAACTACATAAAATATTTTCATCCTTCCACCCAGATCAAATCAAAATTTGTAGAGAATTTATCATGAGCCAAGGCACTGTGCTGTTTTCTAATTATCTCATTTAATCCTCAAGCTGAATGCATTTTTGAGACCAATATGAATTTTTAAAAATTATATAGATGGGGAAACAGATTCAATCAAAGAGCATGATGGATATTTACATTTAGTTTTGCTGCCCAGTTTCCAATCCCTGCTTCCTATCTGGGAGGAAATAACTATGGTGGCTGTGTAAGTGGATATAATGCACCATCCCTCACCACCAAAGTTGAAGGGAGGCCAGGCATGGAGGCACTTTGGGAGGCCAAGACAGGCAGACTGCTTGCACGCAGGATGTCAAGACCAGTCTGGGCAACAGAGCGAAACCCCGTCTCTATAAAAGAAAATACAAAAATTATCCAGGCCTGGTGGCATGCTGAGGCAGCGGGATCGCTTAAACCTGGGAGGTCGAGGCTGCAGTGAGCTAAGATTGCTCCACTGCACTCCAGCCTGGGTGACACAGCGGCAACACCCTGTCTCTAAAAAAAAGAGTTGAAGGGAGGAAATCTTCCTTCCTCGTGTCCATAAGACTTAGGCATGGCCAATCAGATATTTCTGCCCAGCACTTTGAATCCCAAATAAGTAATGCCAAGATGTTCACAGTGGGGTCAGCAGCAGGCGAGGCCTCCTGGACAGATGATTTTTCCAGCCTCTGGAGCCCCTTTGGTTCCTGCTGCTCCAGCTTCATTGATGCTGTGTCCCTCTCACCCTCCAGCACACCTTTTGTGCTGAGTTGGCAAGAACCTGAATGATACTGGGAGACACGAGAATGTGCTCAATGCTGAAGGGCCAGGAGCCATACATCTTCTTTCACACCCAGAGTAATCCACCTCATCATAGAGCTTCCAACACAGGAGAAAGGTGGACAGAATTCCCAGACTCCCGGGGAAGGGAAGCCTGGCGTACAGCAGGCCTAGAGAGCAATCAGACCCGACAGCCCAGGGGCACAGCAGGCTCCAGGGGCAATGTCTCCAAGAAAAAAGTGAACTTCATACATCAAGCAATCTGTTTTCACCTACTGAGTGGCACTCTTTGAGAGGAAAGTTTGGGGATGAATTTATTGTAAGTACATAGAAAAATTAAATGAATAAATAAAGTGATTATTATTTCTAGAAAAAAACAAAAAGGTGTATAAGTAAGGAAATGTCATCATAATACACTATGGCTCAGCTTTGAGCAGTGAATAATATTTACATGTCATCATCATGTGAACAATAGATTTTTGTCTTGTCTCAATAGAGAGAAGGATGGGGTTGGGGAAAAGTATAAGAATTAAGTGGCCAGGCGCGGTGGCTCACGCCTTGTAATCCCAGCACTTTGGGAGGCCAAGGTGGGCAGATCACGAGGTCAGGAGCTCGCGATCAGCCTGGCCAATATGGTGAAACCCCATCTCTACTAAAAATACAAAAGTTAGCCGGGCATGGTGCGCCTGTAGTCCCAGCTACTCAGAAGGCTGAGGCAGAAGAATCGTTTGAACCCAGGAGGTGGAGACAGAGTCTGCAGTGAGCCGAGATCATGCCACCGCACTCCAGCTTGGGTGACAGAGTGAGAGTCTGTCTCAAAAAAAAATAATTAAGTCCTCGTCTTTCATAATAGGAAGTCAATAGCTACATGAAACTGAAAAGTCATGAAGCAGTTTTATAATAATGTTTCTTGGAAATAAAAGAAAGAGTTTTCAGTGTTGAAACTGGTGGTCTTGGGGCTCAAGTGTGGAACAAGATGGGCAGGGAATAATGGTTCTTAGTTACAAGACTTATAAAGTTTTTGCTCTTTAAAACAATATAAATATATTACTTGGATAAAAAATAAAAGAAAAAGATAAAAAATGGGTAGGATCAGATTGATTTTTTTAAAAGCAGATAAAAATCACAACTCAAGATATCAGAGTTGAGCCGGGCGCAGTGGCTCACACCTGTAATCCCAGCCCTTTGGGAGGTAGAGGCAGGCAGATCACCTGAGGTCAGGAGTTCGAGACCAGCCTGGCCAACATGGAAAAACCCAGTCTCTACTAAAAATACAAAAAAAATTAGCCAGGCATGGTGGTGCATGCCTGTAATCCCAGCTACTCTGGAGGCTGAGGCAGGAGAATCACTTGAACCTGGGAGGCGGAGGTTGCAGTGAGCCAAAATTGTGCTACTGGACTTCATCCTGGGCAACAGAGCAAGACTCCGTCTCAAAAAAAAAAAAAAAAAAAGATAGCAGAGTTAATAATCTTCATAGTCACTAATAATAATTCAGCATTTACTGTACACAAATCACTGCATTATAATCCCCACTTTATAGATGAAATCTAGTGAGACTCAGGTAGTTAACATATAACAGAGACAGGATTTAAACCCAGGCAGTTTGACTTAGAGCCCCAGTGACAGCATACGCTGAAGCTCCAAACTCTGCATTAAACATTAGGAAAAGCAGAAGACCAGGACTGGGTGGTGACCATCAGAATAGTGCATGAATTGCCATACTAGGCACAGCAGGGTCAGTAGGCTCCTCTCCCTTGTTTCCACCTAACAGTGGCTAGAGGATACAGCTTTGGATTTGGGGAAAAGCTGAATGAGAATAACTCCATGAAGAGGAGAACAACTTGACTAGGGAAACAAATAGGGCGGCTGTAAGAGCCACAGGGAAAAGCAAAACAGAGGTAACTCTGGTCCTCCATGAGGGACAGAGGGGGAAAAAACAAAGACAGCTTCATCTAGAAGGGAGATACACCAGAGGGCACTTTACTCAGAGTAAAGCTCTACTTTTTTGGCAGTTTGTCCCCAACCTGTATGCTCCCCACCCAGTCCCCAACAAGAAAGCTAGTCTAACATGCCCAATCCATTCCCAACCCACTTACGCAGTTTGTAAACTGGAAAATAAAGAAGTCTCAGGCCAGGTGCAATGGCTCATGCCTGTAATCCCAGCACTTTGGGAATCTAAGGTGGGAGCATTGCTTGAGCCTAAGAGTGCAAGACCAGCCTAGGAAACATAGTGAGACCCTGTCTTTAATAAAGATTTAAAAAACAAATTAGTTGGGCAAGGTGGCATATGCCTGTAGTCCCAGCTACTCAGGAAGTTGAGGCAGGAGGATTGCTTGAGCCTGGGAGGTCAAGACTGCAGTGAGGCATGATTGTGCTACTGCACTCCGGCCTGGGCAACAGAGCAAGACCCTGTCTCAAAATAATTAAATAATTAATTAATTTTTAAAAATCAAAAAATAAAGAAAAGAAGTCTACCAGAAAATAAAAAAAGATGAAAAATACTGAGAAAAAATTTAAAGCATGGAGAATATATATAGGAAGTCCAGTATTTGTTTAAAATGAATACTAGGACAGAAGAGAGAATATTGAAAGAAATAGCAAAAAATATACCAAGAGAAAATTGTCTTTAGCTAAAAAAAATAAAAATAAAAATAAAAATCTTCAGATTAAAGGACCAAGTGCCAAGTAGGGTTTAGAAGGGTTAAAAAATGTCTATACCAAGGCACATCATGTTGAAATTTCAGAATTCCAAGAATGTAGAAAAAAACAAGAATTAAGAGGGGAGAAGTCGCTTGATCCCAGGAGTTCAAGACCAGCCTTGGCAACATAGTGAGACCTCATCTCTAGTGAAAATAAATAAAAATAAAAATGAAAAACAGGGAAAGGCATCTTGCCTCAAGAATACATATCAGAACAACAGACTTTAGTCAAGCCAAACTGTCTTCTAAGTATGACAGCAAAATGAAGCAATTTTTATAAAATGGCTCAGAAATTTTAACATACAAAACAGATATAAAAAAATTACTCTAGAAAGTGTAAACAGAAGTTTAAAGAATCCAAGAAAGAAGGAATGTATATTCAGAAAAAAAGAAGAATCACAGAAAGAGGGTGATATGGGATATAAGAAATAGTTTGGGCCAAATAAGACTCAAGAAAATACAGCTGGAAAGAAAACAGGGGCTGACATTTGGAGGACTCTTAGACAAGTTGCCAAAGTTTAATAGCATGAAATTACATTTCCTTCTTTCTTTATATAACCAATAACATCTCTTCAGAATGTACTAGAATCACTGGGCCCCTTAAAATTGATTCAGAACTTCTGGGGCTGAGAAATGTGATCTTCAACAGGCCCTGAAGGAGATGCATATCTACAAAAATTTGAGACCCAACGTGTATTTGGTTCTAGAGAGAATATTATACTGTATATATAAAATCATAAAATAAGTCATTTATTGGTTTTTAATTTTTTAGAAGCAACCTATGAGCATAAAGGATAGACTAGTTTATAGGCACACATCAAAACGTCATGTTATTAATCTTGACAATGAAAAAAATGTATAGCAAATTTGGGAAGTGGAAAGGGAAAAAGCAATAGAAGGAAGGGAATTTGCTCCAGCTTATGTTATTTTAAATTATTAATGGTAGCCGGGTGTGGTGGTGTGCCTGTAGCTCCAGCTACTCGGGAGGCTGAGGTGGGAGGATCACTTCAGCCCAGGAGGTGGAGGTCACAGTGAGCCAAGATCACACCACTGCACTCCAGCCTGGGCGACAGAGTGAGACTCCTTCTCAAAAATAAATAAATAAATCTAAATTATAACAGAAGTTTCCTAAGGGAAATGCCTGATACCAGGGCTGGAGCAGGAAGAGTACAAAGTAACCTAGAGCATCTTGTGCCACAAAGTAAGAAAGTGCTCAAAAATGACAGTAACATGCCAAGAGGACAAGGAAGCCAACTTCAGAGGGCTCTCACTGGCCAGATTAGGAATTATTTCAGTATTGAAATAAATAATGACAGGACCAGATTAGAACACATCAGATAATTTTAAAAGAATCTATGTCTTCCAGCCGGGCGTGGTGGCTCATGCCTGTAATTCCAGCACTTTGGGAGTCTGAGGTGGGTGAATTACCTGAAGTCAGGAGTTCAAGACCAACCTGGCCAACCTGGTGAAACCCCATCTCTACTAAAAATACAAAAAATTAGCCAGGCATGGTACTGGACACCTGTAATCCCAGCTACTCAGGAGGCTGAGGCAGGAGAATTGCTTGAACCTGGGAGGCGGAGGTTGCAGTGAGCCGAAATTGCACCGTTGCACTCCAGCCTGGGCAACAAGAGTGACACTCCATCTCTCAAAAAAAAAAAAAAAAAAAAAAAAAAAAAAAAAAAGAATCTATGTGTTCCAATCTATTTAAAAATAAAAATGTTTGGCCAAATGCAGTGGCTTACATCTGTAATGCCAGCACTTTGGGAGGCCAAGGCAGGAGAATTGCTTGAGGCCGGCAGTTTGAGCCTTGCCTGGGCAACATAGCAAGACTCTGTCTCTAAAAAATAGAAAAACTTAGTTGGGAATGGTAGTGCATGCTTGTAGTCTCAGCTACGTGGGAGATTGAGTCAGGAGGATCACTTGAGCCCACAATTTCAAGATTGCAATGAGCTATGATCACACCACTGCACGCCAACCTGGGTGACAAAGCAAGACGCTGTCTCTATAAAAAATAAAAATAAATACTAAAATAAAAAATGTTTAAATTTTTTAAAGGAGAGGGAAGGAAAGGAAAATGATATTTTCAAGAAACATGCCAACCAATAAGTATAGAAGAAGTAATGGAATTTTAAAAATCACCACTTAAGCAGCACATAGTAATAAGTGATTCAGGCAAGGAGCATCACTGGATAATAAAACCACTGAGGCCAGGCACGGTGGCTCGTGCCAGTAATCCCAACACTTTGAGAGCCGAGGTGGGTGGATTACCTGAGGTCAGGAGTTCAAGACCAGCCTGGTCAACATGGTGAAACCCTGTCTCTACTAAAAATATAAAAATTTAGCCAGGCGTGGTGGCAGGTGCCTGTAATCCCAGCTACTTGGGAGGCTGAGGCAGGAGAATCGCTTGAACCCAAGAGGTAGAGGTTGCAGTGAGCCAAGATCACGCCACTGCACTCCAGCCTGGGTGACAGAGTAAGACTCTGTCTCAATAAACAACAAAACAACAAAAACACTGAGTGAACGATTGTTGGGGAACAGGGTACTCATCTGGTCTCTAGGTATCACCTCACAAATTACTCATTTGTGAGTAATTTGGGAGGAATCTGACATATCCATCCTTAAGGAAATGACCAAACTAACTTAGCATCAATTATAATAAGACAAACTGACACCATGTGTCTACGGTGTGCAGGACCAAGATATCACATGATCTCCGTAGTTCTGCCAAAAATGTAGACTCTGAATCTAATCACAAGGACGCAATCAGACAAGTCCAGATTGAGGGATATTCTAAAAAACAACTGACCTGTATCCTTCAAAAATATCAGTGTCATGAAAGAAAAATATGGCTGAAGAGACATAACAAATTCAGTGTCACTTGTGATGAGTGACTGGATCCTGGATTGAAACAAATTATTTCAATAATGTTGAAAGAGACATTATTGGACAATTATGGAAATCTGAATATGGACATTTTATTAGATAATCATGTCAGTGATAACATTTTCTAAGTGGGAGAAGTATATTGTGGTTATAGGGGAGAATGTCCTTAATTCTTTTTTTTTTTTTTTTTTTTTTTTTGAGACAGAGTCTCACTCTGTCACCCAGGCTGGAATACAGTGGCATGATCTCGGCTCACTACAACCTCCACCTCCAAGGTTCAAGCGATTCTCGTGCCTCAGCCTTCCTAGTGACTGGGATTACAGGCACCTTCCACTATGCCTGGCTAATGTTTTTATTTTTAGTAGAGATGGGGTTTCGCCATATTGGCCAGGCTGGTCTCAAACTCCTGGCCTCAAGCAATCCACCTGCCTTGGCCTCCCAAAGTGCTGGGCTTACAGGCATGAGCCACCACTCCTAGCCAAATATCCTTAATTCTTGGAGCATGCATATTTGAGGAAAAATGGCTCTATGTCTACATCTGTTCCTCAAATGATTCAGCAAAAAAGAAAATTTGTATATATGTACAGTGAGAGAAAGCCAAATATGGCAAATGGTTAACAGTTGATAAGTGAATCTAGGTAAATTTTCGCAACTTCCCTGTAAGTTTGAATTTTTGTTGTTGTGGTGGTTGTTGTTGTTGAGACAGAGTCCCGCTCTGTCACCCAGGCTGGAGTGCAATGGTGCAATCTTGGCTCACTGCAACATCTGCCTGCTGGGTTCAAGCAATTCTCTGCCTCAGCCTCCTGAGTAGCTGGGATTACAGGCGCCTGCCACCACGCCTGGCTAATTTTTGTATTTTTAGTAGAGATGGAGTTTCACCATCTTGGCCAGGCTGTTCTTGAACTCCTGACCTCATGATCCACCCTCCTCAGCCTCCCAAAGTGCTGAGATTACAGGCGTGAGCTACCATGCCTGGCCAGTTTGAAATTTTTTTAAATCAAAAGTTGGGGAACATAGGGGTAATCACTCTGTGGTCACCCCCATGTACATGTTAATAAAATTTATATGCTTTTTCCCTAAACAAAAGAAAAGGCCAGGTGTGGTGGCTCATGTCTGTAATCCCAGCACTTTGGGAGGCTGAGGGAGGAGGACTGCTTGAAGCCAGGAGTTTGAGATCAGCCCGGGCAACATAGTGAGATCTCATCGCTACTAAAAATTTAAAAAAAAAAAAGTGGGGGAAAATATAACATAAAATTTACTACAGTAGGCTGGGCATGGTGGCTCACACCTGTACTCCCAGCACTTTGGGAGGTGAAGGCAGGCAGATCACCTGAGGTCAGGAGTTCAAGACCAGCCTGGCCAACATGGTGAAACCCTATCTCTACTAAAAATACAAAAATTAGCCAGGAGTGGTGGCATGTACCTATAATCCCAGCTACCCAGGAGGATGAGGCAGGAGAATCGCTGGAACCCGGGAGGTAGAGGCTGCAGTGAGCCAAGATTGCACCACTGCACTCCAGCCTGGGCCACAGAGCAAGACTGCATCGCAAAAAAAAAAAAAAAAAAAAAAAAAAAAAAAAATTTACTAAGTAGCAGAAACAGCAAAACTAAAAATTTTTGAAAGTGGTTGTCTCTAGGGATGTCTTAGTCTATTTGGACTGCTATAACAAAATACCATAAACTGAGTAGTTTATAAACAACAGAAATGTATTTCTTACAGTTCTGGAGGCTGGGAAGTCCAAGTTCAAGGCACTGGCAAATTGGTCTGGTGAGGGCCAACTCTCTGGCTCATAGATGGAGCCTTCTCATTGTGTCTTCACATGATGGTAGGGGCAAGGCAGCTGTCCCCGGCCTCTTTTATAAGGGCACTAATCTTTTAAAAGGGCTCTGGGACAGGCACAGTGGCTCATGTCTGTCATCCCAGCGCTTTGGGAGGCTGAGGTGGGAGTGAGAGGTGACAGCGTGCTAGCAGCCCTCACAGCCCTCGCTTGCTCTCGGCACCTCCTCTGCCCGGGTTCCCACTTTGGCGGCACTTGAGGAGCCCTTCAGCCCGCTGCTGCACTGTGGGAGCCCCTTCCTGGGCTGGCTGAGGCCAGAGCCGGCTCCCTTAGCTTGCGAGGAGGTGTGGAGGGAGAGGCCCGGGTGGGAACCGGGGCTGCGGGTGGGAACCGGGGCTGCGGGCGGTACTTGCGGGCCGTACTTGCGGGCCAGCGCGAGTTCCGGGTGGGTGTGGGCTCGGCGGGCCCCGCACTCAGAGCCGCTGGCTGGCCCTGCTGGCCCCAGGCAATGAGGGGCTTAACACCCGGGCCAGCCGCTGCGGAGGGTGTGCTGGATCCCCCAGCAGTGACGGCCCACCAGCGCTGAGCTTGATTTCTCGCCGGGCCTTAGCTGCCTCCCCACGGGGCAGGGCTCGGGACCTGCAGCCCGCCATGCCTGAGCCTCCCCCCTTCCCTCGGTGGGCTCCTGTGCGGCGGGAGCCTCCCTGACAAGCGCCACCCCCTGCTCCACAGAGCCCAGTCCCATCAACCACCCAAGGGCTGAGGAGTGCGGGCGCAGGGCGCGTGACTGGCAGGCAGCTCCACCTGCGGCCCTGGTGGGGGATCCACTGGATGAAGCCAGCTGGGCTCCTGAGTCTGGTGGGGACTTAGAGAACCTTTATGTCTAGCTAAGGGATTGTAAACGCACCAATGGACACTCTATCTAGCTACTCTGGTGGAGACTTGGAGAACCTTTATGTCTAGCGAAGGGATTGTAAATACACCAATCGGCACTCTGTATCTAGCTCAAGGTTTGTAAACACACCAATCAGCACCCTGTGTCTAGCTCAGGGTTTGTGAATGCACCAATCAACACTCTGTATCTAGCTACTCTGGTGGGGACTTGGAGAACCTTTGTGTCTACACTCTCTATCTAGCTAATCTAGTGGGGAGGTGGAGAACCTTTGTGTCTAGCTCAGGGATTGTAAACGCACCAATCAGCACCCTGTCAAAACAGACCACTTGGCTCTCTGTAAAATGGACCAATCAGCAGGATGTGGGTGGGGCCAGATAAGAGAATAAAAGCAGGCTGCCCCAGCCAGCAGTGGCAAGCCCTTCAGGTCCCGTTCCACACTGGAAGCTTTGTTGTTTTGCTCTTTGCAATAAATCTTGCTGCTGCTCCCTTTTTGGGTCCACACTGCCATTATGAGGTGTAACACTTACCAGGAAGGTCTGCAGCTTCACCCCTGAGCCAGTGAGACCACGAACCCACCAGAAGGAAGAAACTCCGAACACATCTGAACATCCAAACATCAGAAAGAGCAAACTCCGGAGACGCCGCTTTTAAGAACTGTAACACTCACTGCTAGGGTCCATGGCTTAATTCTTGAAGTCAGTGACCAAGAACCCACCAATTCCGGACACTGGAGGATTGCTTGAGGCAGAAGTTTGAGACCAGCCTGGGCAACATAGCGAGACCCTCTCTACCAAAAAATTAAAATTAGATGAGCATAGTGGTGTGCACCCATAGTCCTAGCTGCTTGAGAGGCTGAGGCTGGAGGATTGCTTGAGCCCCGGAGTGCGTGGTTTCAGTGAGCTATGATTGCGCTACTGCACTCTGGCCTAGGAGGCAGAGTGAGACCCTGTCTCAAAAAGAAAAAAGAAAGCAGGGGGTGGGAAGTGGGGGTGTGCTCTGCTCTCATGACCTAATCAACACCCACCTCCTAATACTCATTAATAAGTTCCCACCTCCGAATACCATCACTTTGGGGGTTAGGATTTCAACATATGAATTTGGAGGGTACATAAACATTCAGATCACAGTAGTGAGTATCACTGGGTTGGGCCAAAAGGGGTACTTCTAGTTTTCATCTTATATTTTTTGAACTTTTTTGGTTTTGCTATATTTCTATATTACTTCTATGATTAAAGAAAACTAGGTTAATTAATAAAACAAAATATCTACAACAGAAGCTGTTCTGAGGATGGTAAGCTTATATCCATGGGGGTCTCTTCATTCCAGAAAAAAAATGAATAAGCATTGCATTTAATGCCCATTAATGCTCATTAAGTTTTTAGACCTATTAGTGAGTGCTGAGGTCCTTAAAGCTCATGCAGATTTCCTCAGCTTCATTTCTGTTCAACAACAGCACTTAGTAAAGGGTAATGTATTCTTTTGCAAAATCTTGCTAAGAGGAAAATAATTGCCAAGAGCATCAAACATTGCTAATGTGAAGACACATTAAACTGTAAATATCCTTCAGAAAATGATGAAAATGGCAAAATGAGTAAAATCATATCTTGATTATTGTGTCCAGCTACGTCCCATTTATTTCACCAGGAAGTTCTATGTCTGTCAATCTACCTGGACCCTATTTTCAATCCACAAAATAGATAAGGAACCTAGAAAATTTTGCACTGTGTTCTGTTAATTCACTTTAATCAATAGGGAAAATGACTTGCCCAAATCACGCTGCTGATTTTTGGCAAATGCTCGACTGGAAATCAGGCCTCTTCCGGTATATCCTAAGCCCATAGGTCCTGACCCCATGGCCTCTGATTCTTCCATGCTATGTGAGTATGGACACGTCACTCAACATTTCCTGGCCTCAGTGTTCTTACCTGTAAAATGAAGTTGGAGAATTAGATTAACACAAAATTAGCCCTCACTGTCCCTGATGGTAGCCACGTTTTTCAGTGGGAGAAATGTAGGTCTCACAAGGCTCTGCAACTTGGTAAGTTTCACCTTGCAAGGCAATCTTGCACACATACTCACTTTACATTCTGTCTCATCTGAATAGACTCAGCTTAATGTAGCCAAAAAAAAACAAAAACCAAAACAAAAAACACCCACAGTTGTGACAGCCTGAGGCATCCAGCTACAAGAAAACTCAGTTGACAGGACCCAGTTTAGCTAAATTTGCTTAATCAGAACAACAACAAAAAAAGCCTAGGAACCATAACACTCCTTAAAAAACAAAAAGCAGGTCGGTAACGGTGGCTCATGCCTATAATTCCAGCACTTTGGGAGGCCCAGGCAGGCGAACCACGAGGTCAGGAATTTGAGACCAGGCTAGCCAACATGGTGAAACCCCATCTCTACTAAAAACACAAAAAATTAGCTGGGCGTGGTGGCGGGCACCTGTAATCCCAGCTACTCGGGTGTCTGAGGCAGGAGAATTGCTTGAACCCAGGAGGTGGAGGTTGCAGGAAAAAAAAAAAGCAAACACACACACACACACACACACACACACACACACTCACACACAGAGAGATTTATTAAGCTAATAAGTTTTGGTAAAAGGTCATGATCATTTTTAATTCTGCATGAATCAGTGGATTAGCAACTGTAGACCAAACTCAGTATTAATCTCGCTTGTTGTTAATGATGCTAAAGGATCCTCGGAACCCCTAGAAAGCCAACATTCACTGTGGCTTCTATAGTTAGACATTCAAAACCAGAAGGAACTTTAGAGATCACCTAACACATTAACTTTATAGAAGACAGAAGGAGGCCCACCAGAGCAAGAGTGACTTACCCAAGTTCACACTTGCCTGGGGCAGAGCCAAGATTAAAGGTCAGGCCTCTTGACCCCCAGCTCAGTGGATATTCCTCATGTGAAATGCTAAAGGCTGAAGCCCTGGGTAAAGCCAGATCCACTCATTATGACCAAGGTGAGCCTGAAATAATTCAACAAGAAATGTTGGAAGGCCAATATGCAAAAAACACACCAGTAGCTGTAGGAGACACCTGAGGAGACATGAAATAGAAAATACATTAGAAATAGCTAAGAATGTGAGCAGTGGGCTACAGCTCCAGCCCCCAAGAGTTTGGATAAAATCAAGGGAAACTTTCCCAAGAGAGAAAATACATTGTATTTCCCACCTTAAAAATATATTTTTAAAAATGGTTTTATAAAAGACACATATACCACAAGAGGTGTTTTGGTTTTGTTTTAAAGACAAGGTCTTGCTGTGTCACCAAGGTGGGAGTACAGTGGTGCAATCACAGCACACTGCAGCCTCGACCTCCTGAGTTCAAGTGACCCTCCGCCTTAGCTTCCCTAGTACCTAGGATGGCAGGCACATGCCACTATGCCCAACTATTTTAATTTATTTTTGTAGAGACAGGGTCTTGCTATGTTGCCCAGGCTGGTCTCAAACTCCTAGCCTTAATCGATCCTCCCACCTTGCCCTCCCAAAGTGCTGGGATTACAGACGTGAGCCACTGTGCCCTGCGTACATGAGTCTTTTTTGGTGTTTTAAATAATATTTATTAGGGGTTATCAACTTATCAAAAGGAAACATTCATTGCAGATAAACTTTTTAAAAGACAGAAATAAAATACTCTTAAAATGTTGATATTTCTTCTATTTTTATACATAAATACACTCTTGTTTTTAATTGGGATCACTTGGCATATATTATTTTGTATCTTGCCTGTCTTAATTTTGTCTTGAGAATTTCCCATGTAATTAAAGAGTCTTTGAAAACATCAAGATTCCATTAAATAAGTGTAGTATCAATTATTTAATGCCTTACATGTTGTTAGTCATTAAGTTGCACATTTTTCATGATAAAAAATGATGCTGTGATCATCATATGATTCATAACGTAGGGTTTGAAAATAATGGTCATGGATAAGATAAACTATTCAATAAGGGATGTCAAGACAATAACTAGTCATCTGGATACAAAACTGAGTTGGTTCAGCATTTATACCAGTATAAATTCTCAGTAGTCTGTACTGAGTATTTATACTGAGTATTTAGTAAATTATACTGAGTACTTATGCCAGTGTAAATTCCAAATGACTCAAAGATTGAAATGTTTAAAAATAAAATCATAAAAGTATTAAAGGGAAGGATAGGAAAAATATTCCCCTAGGAGAGGGAAAGACCTTTCTAATTATGACCAAAAAAGTCCAGGATACATAAAATTAAGGAATGACAAATTAAATCCCATAAAAGTATATTTATGGCAATTAAAAAAGAGAAAAAGTAAAAAAGGACAAACTGGATAGGAATGGTAGCTCATACCAGTAATCCCAACAGTTTGGGAGGCCGAGGCAGGAGGATTGCTTGAGGCCAGAAGTTCAAGAGTCTGGACAACACAGCAAAACCCTGCCTCTACAAAAAATTTAAAAATTAGCCAGGCATGGTGGCCCATGCCTGTAGTCCCAGCTACTTGGGAGGCTGAGGTGGGGGAATTGCTTGAACCTGGTGATTGTGCCACTGCACTCTAGCACAACATATGCTAAAATGTAAGCAAAAAAGGAGCATATGTGTTCTGGCATTTACAGGCATAAAAAACTCTGAAGCTACAAGAGCGATTAATCATGAAACCTACTGGAAAAGGATGTGAACTAAATCGGGAAGGAGTCTTTTCACTGTATATACCTTTGAATGCTTTTTGATGTTGAACCACCTGTGGTATTACTCATTCAAAAACTAAATAAAAGCCAGGCATGGTGGCACGCAGCTGTCATCCCAGCTACTTGGGAGGCTGAAGCAGGAGAATCACTTGAACCCAGGAGGCGGATGTTGCAGTTAGTGGAGATTGCACCACTGCACTCCAGCCTGGGCGACAGAGCAAGACTCCGTCTCAAAAAAAAAAAAGAAAGAAATGAATAAAAATATAAAAATCTCAGCTACTTGGGAGGCTGAAATGGGAGAACCACTTGAGCCCAGGAGTTCAAGACCAGCCTGGGCAACATAGCAAGACCTGATCTCTACAAAAAACAAACACACAAAAATTAGCTGGGTGTGGTGGCTTGCACCTGTAGTCCCAGCTATTCAGGAGGCTGAGACAGGAGGATTGCTTGAGCCCAAGAGTTAGAGGCTACAGTGAGCTATTATCTTGCCACTGCACCCCAGCCTGGGCAACAGAGCAAGATCCTGGTATCTTAAACAAACAAAAAACTGCAGATGACTAACATGTTGTTAGTCATTAAGTTGCACATTTTTCATGATAAAAAATGATGCTGTGATCGTCATATCATTCATGACATAGGGTCAAACATGTTTACACAACAAGAAAATAGGAAATATATTTGCAGTATATGTGACAGAAAATGCTAATATTTGTATTGTATAATTAGCTTTTTAAAACATTAACATTCCAGTAGAGGCCAGGCACAGTGGCTCACACCTGTTATCCCAGCGCTTCGGGAGGCTAAGGCTGGAGGATTGCTTGAGCCTAGGAGTTTGAGGCTGCAGTGAGTATGAAAGCACCACCGCACTCCAGCCTGGATGACAGAGAAAGACTCTTATCTCAAAAAAAAAAAATTCTACATGTTTAACCTTACAAATAGATGCTAATGAAAAACCTTTTCAAAATCCTCCACCTTGGGCAAATATTTTTTAAAATAATAATACCCAATATTACTGTAGAACAGGAACACCTACCCCACTCTTGGTTGGGTGTCAATTGGTACAATTTCTCCAGAGGCCAATTCAACAATATGTATCAAAGCCTCAAAATCATTCATAATCTTTGGCAAAGAGTTCCATATCTAAGAAAGTCTTCAGTGATGGGCCATGTGCCGAGGCTCACACCTGTAATCCCAGCACTTTGAGAGGCCGAGGCAGGCAGATCACTAGGTCAGGAGATGGAGGCCATCCTGGCTAACACAGTGAAACCCCGTCTCTGCTAAAAATACAAAAAATTAGCTGGACGTGGTGGCATGAACCTGTGATCCCAGCTACTCAGGAGGCTGAGGCAGGAGAATCGGTTGAACCTGGGAGGTGAAGGTTGCAGTGAGCTGAGATCACATCACTGCACTCCAGCCTGGGTGACAGAGCAAGACTCCCTCTCAAAAAAAAAAAAGTCTTCAGTGATAATCACTCCAGTCAGAACAAAGGCACAGGCTGCAATAAGTCCATGGTGGTCTGGTACCACTTAGTGCAGCCCGGTTAGAGGGGCAGTGAGTGTGCCCTCAGGGCCTTTGGGAAAACCCAGGGCAGCTGATGCCAAGTGGGTATGCTCTGTCACTAAGAAATAATGCTTTGCTGCCATCTGGTGTTCTCCCAGATAATCGCACCCACCCCAGAGGAAAAACTCTCCAAGTTAGCACCGAGCAGCCCTTTCCTCTATTCTCCCCTACCCCGGAAGATGCGGGTCTCGCTCTGCCACCCAGGAGGGAGTGCAGTGGCGCAATCAGGGTTCACTGCAGCCTCAATATCCTGGCCTCAAGCGATCCTTCCATCTCAGCCCCCCAAGTAGCTGGAACTACAGGTGTGCACCACCACGCCCTGCTAATTTTTTGATTTTTTGTACAGACAGGGTCCCGCTATGTCGCCTAGGCTGGTCTCAAACTCTTGAGCTCTAGCCATCCGCCCACCTTGGCCTCCCAAATGTTGGGATTACAGGCGTGAGTCACTGCACCTGGCCTTCTCTATTTTTAACAAACCCTAATAAAGCATTTACTAGGTTCCAGGCGTTGTGCTCAGCACTTTACAAGCATTCCCTTTTTTAGTCCTCATAAGGGCCCCACGAAATAGGTAATTTTATCATCCCCATTTTACAAACGAGGGAACTAAAATACAGAGAAGCTAGGTAACTTGCCCAAAGTCACACAGCTACTAAGTGACTGAGTATTGGATTAGAACAAGATGGCAGTTTGGCACCAGTGTCTGTGCTCTTGACCACATCCTTTGTGAAGAGGATCCAGGGTCTGCATGGTGCTAACAGCACTTGGAGAGAACCTGACAGCCCATACAGCAACATCCTCTCCACATCCAGTACATCTGCCCCAAATAAGTCCATATCAGAACTGGGTTCGCTCATGCCCTATAGGCAGTCTAACCTGAGTCATGGACAACCACCAGTTCAGGCTAAATCCAATGAAGTTTTTTGGAAAAATCTTTACTTGTATTTCATATATACAAAAAGATATCAGAAATAATGTGGCTGAGCACAGCGACTCATGCCTTTAATCCCAGCACTTTGGGAGACCAAAGTGGGAGGATCGCTTGAGCCCAGGAGTTTGAGACCCCCTAGGCAATATAGTGAGACCTCATCTCTACAAGAAATTTAAAAATTAGCTAGCTTTGGTGGCGTGCATCTGTAGTCCCAGCTACCCGGGAGGCTGGGGCGGGTGGATAGCTTGAGCCTGGGAGATAGAGCCATGATCGTGTCACTGCACTCCAGCCCCGGTGACAGAGTGAGACCATGTCCCAGAAAAAAAAAAAAAAAGAGTATTAACAGTAGTGGTGCATCAGTAATGAGTTTGAACCCCAACAATTCACTGGCTTGTTTTCTACCATGGTATTAACACATGCAGAAAACCACCTGGGATATGAGTGCAATGAGACTTTTATAGCAATCCTACCCCTTCCTAGTAAACTGGCCCCCACTAACTACAGTTAATTGTGTCCTGCTGGACACATCTGCAGTTTTGGTAGCAGTTGCTTCATGGTGGAGCTGGGAAAGCTGCTTTTTTTTTTTCCTTTTTTTCTTCCTTTCTTTTATTTTTTTCTTTATTTTTTGAGACAGCATCTCACTCTGTTGCCAAGGCTGGAGTGCAGTGGCGCAATCTTGGCTCACTGCAACCTCCGCCCCCCAGGTTTAAGCAATTCTCTGCCTCAGCCTCCCGAGTAGCTGGGATTACAGGCACGTGACACCATGTCCAGCTAATTTTTGTATTTTTAGTAGAGATGGGGTTTCACCATCTTGGCCAGGCTGGTCTTGAACTCCTGACCTCGTGATCCACCCGCCTCGGCTCCCAGAGTGCTTGGATTACAGGCGTGAGCCGCTGCACCCAACCTAAGCCACCACGCCCGGCCATAAGCTTCTTATTTGTAACGGTCTAAGAAAGCAGTGGATAAATAATTAGTTGAGCGTGGTAGCTCTCATCTGTAGTCCCAGCTTCTTGGGAGGCTGAGGTGGGACAATTGCTTGAGCCCAGTAGTTTGAGGCTGCAGTGAGCCCTGATGGTGCCTTTTCACTCCAGCAGGGGCGACAGAGAGCGACCCTGTCTCAAAAGCAAAAACAAGAAGGTAGTGGCTCCTACTGGGGCTCAGAAAGCAATAACCCAAAATATGGCTCCTTGGTGTGCTGTGAATTAAAGAAGAATAGAAAGCCTCAGAAGCAGCCTCAAAAGCAAAGACTCTCTCTGACCATATCCTGCCCTGCTGTCTCCTGCCCCTTCCTCCTCCAAAGGGAGTCATAGAAAACAGAATCTGTCTTCCCCAAGGGAGGAAATAGAAACCAGAACCTCTTTTCAAAGCAAGCCATACCAGTCTGGGAAACATGGCAAAGTCCCATCTCTACAAAAAAATACAAAAAAAAATTTAGCTGGGCATGGTGGTATGCACCTGTGGTCCCAGCTACTTGGGAAGTTGGGGTGGGAGGATCACTTGAGCCTGAGAGGTTGAGGCTGCAGTGAGCCATGATTGTGCCACTGCACTCCAGCCTGGGCAACAGAGCAAGACCATCTCAAAAACAAAAACAGTAACAACAACAAAAAGCAAACCACAAAACCTAGAAATATTACTCTAACTTTCCCCCGCCTTTCTGTGCATGAGCTGGCCATAAAGAAATTCTCTGACCTGCCTTATCTAACAGTAGGTCATAAGACTGCCCCATACCCAGGAGGAAGGAATGCTACACAGAAAGGCCAAGAAGAATCTGAAGAGATAGTCCTTGCTGGGTTTCCCCACTTAGTCCATTACCATTAGATCGCACTTTTTGTCCAATCACATTTCTACACAATTGTCCACTCTTCGTCAAACCTAAGCAGAAAAATAAGACAGTTTTCCCTGGGTCTTTGGATTCTTCCTATCTGAAGCCTGCTGTGTCACATAAAACTTGGATTGACCACATTTGTTATGCTTTTCTCTTGTTACCCTGTCTTTTGTCACGGGGGTGTTGGCCATGACCTTTATGATGGGTGAGGAAAGGTATCACACCTTCTGCCCCTATACTCCCAAAGTTGTGAACCCTCAGGGCTCTGGGGGGTTATTAAAGGAGGGGGGAGCCCAGTGCTCAGCTAGCATTACTTGTAAAGCAGAGTTATTAACCCGGGGTCCACTGGCTCCTTAGCAAGTCTGTGAATGTCCTGGAGTCACATGCAGTTTCATGTGAGTGCCTTTTTCTCCCTAGGGAGAGGGCCCATTCCACATCTTTTATCTGATTTTCCAATTGGTCTGACTTTTCAGAAAGGATAATCATTCTTGTAAATCAGGAGTTTGCTAATGGCACACAGGCCAAATCCAGCCCAATGCTGGAATTTTGTACAACCCACAAGCTAAGATGGTTTTTATATTTTTAAACGGTTGAAAAAATTAAAAAGGAAAATATTAATTCATGACACATGAAAATTATATGAAATTCAAATTTGTGTCCATAAAGTTTTCTTGGAGTGCAATCATGCTTATTTGTTTACAGACTATCAGCTGCTTTTGTGCTACAAGGGCAGAGTTGAATAGTTACAACAGAGCATATGGCTTGAAAAGCCTAAAATATTGCCTATGTGGCCCTTTTCCAAAAACGTTTCCTAACCCTTGCCAAACATGGACCAGATAACACTACTTCTGACTATATATGTACCTCTATTTTTCACTTCTATGTAGATACCATTATGATTAATAAAGTTTAAATTCATGTTCTAATATAATTAATGCAGTAGATGTTAGTTTTTTGACCCCTCTCACTCTACTATAGAATTCCCACCATGTGAGTCTTGCTGGGGGGACAGAGTCCACCTCCCCACACCAAAGGTCAGATTTTCTTTTCTCCCGCCTTCTTGGCAGCCAGGACATGGACATGTGACTTGAGATCAGCCGACTAGAGATCTCAGCTAGGACTAGGAAGCTGGAGTGAGTCACACAAAAATGAGAAATCACTCTGGCAGTAGCGGAGACAACAGAAGTCACATCTAGCTTCCAGGAGCAGCAGGGCCAGCAGTTCAGGTGACTCCTGTAGCAATGATCCACTTGGAGTTGCATGTCAGTAGTGTCCTCACCAGACAGTCCCTAAGGCATGGTTTTGTCTTTGGACCTGCTGCCCGGCTTCTGTTTCTACTTGGCCAGGACGAGCTCAGGCAGTAGATAAAACTGAGTCCGAATCACTCACTGCCTGGAGCAGAGAGAAGCTGAAGGTCCAGGCTAATAAGTATGAACTCCAGGAGGACAGACAATGGCTGATGTATCTTTGTGTCCTTGGCACCCAAGACAGTGCCTGGGTCCAGACTTTGGGAGCTAGGCAGTTCTGCATCAGGAGTTCACTCACATGGTTTGCAAATTGCTGCTGGTTGTTGTTGGGAGGCCTCAGCTGCACTCCGTGTGGAATTCTCCACAGGGTGGCTTGAGTTCTCGTGACATAGCAGCTGGATTCCTACAGAATAAGCAATCCAAGAGCCTAAGGTGAAAACAGCAATACCTTTTATGATCTAGCCTCAGAAGTCACCCATTGTCACTCTGCCATTCTTTATTAGCCACACCCATCAGCTCCAATTCAATATGGAAGTTAACTATACAAGGGCATGAATACCAGGAAGTGAGGATCTTGGGGGCCATGTTGGAGGCTACTATACTTCACATGACCATTAACCCCTAAAACAAACCAAATGAAGGACAGATAAAGTGCGGACCATACATTTAGGTTGGTTTAATCAAAACTTCTTTGGTGGACTTCTTGATCTTCAAAATTGTGTATGCCATCTAGCCTTCTCCACATTTGTTCCTTATCTATGAAAGGGTCCAGGACTCTCCTTGGAAGGAAGGAAGGCCCAATCTTAAGGGTTCCTTTTGGTTCTCAGATCTCTGATTCTACAAAATAATCAGCAAAAATAAAGCTTTGAAGATATCCTTTAGGAGTTGACATTTACACTGGAATTTACAATTCAATAAAAACAGTGAGTCATTATAAGAATCATCTGCTTATTTATTTTACAGAGTAATGATTTAAATTGAGTACATTTGGGCACAGTAGATATTTGACACGAAAAATAGTTGTATCAGAATGAGCATCAGAAAAATAGCAACTCATCTTGCACATAATAACTAGAAAATATTATTCTGTCTGATCATTTAAGTGTTACAAATCCTGAGAATGTTATACATTGAACAAATTAGGTACTACCTTATAATTAAATCTCGCTTGGAAAGAATCCTTTAAAAAATACTCTGAGGTACAAATCACCTATGTATTAAACATGAGTCTCTGACATTATACAAAGAGTTTAAACAAATATATCAAACAATTACAGGCCAGTGGCTCTTAAAACAGCTATCAGTCAGGTTCAAGGACACACTGTTCCACAATTTCCCGTAAGTTGGGGTTTTCCATTGCAGCTGCCACTCGCTCTTTGTCATTTATCTGCTTATTGACTGAAAAATACACAGACAAAAGTTAGCAGAAGAACTGTGTCAATATACAGCACCAGACAGTATTTTTATTAGCCTGCTGAAACAAAAACTTTAACTCCTTGAGAACTTAAACCTGTTTTTGGCTAATTACTCATAATGTAATTTCCCATCTAGAAGGCAGACTTAAGAGAAAAATATCTACTAGAATTCTACTACTTAACCACATCTATTTTTTTCTTTCCAGTCTTTGTCCATACACATATTTTTATACAGTTACATTCAGAGTAAATATAATTTTGAAAATTGCTATTTTTTCCCCCATAAGCCTATATTTTAAACTACAGGGTTATTTAACATGGTAAAAGTCTTAAGTGTTCTAAAGTAATTATGAAGACTATGCTACAATGAATACCTTTAAACATATAGCCTTCTTTTTGGAAATATTCTCAAAAATGGGATTATTTTTAAGAGTATGAATATTTTTATGGTGTGATTCATATCATTGATTTACTTCCTAAAATTACTCACCAGTTTATATTGTCAACACCAATACATGAGCTATCAGTTTGGCAACAATACCTGGTATTATTATCATTGTTATTATTATTCTTTGAGACAGGGTCCTGCTCTGTCATCCAGGCTGGAGTGCAGTGGTGCAATCATAGCTCACTGTAACCTCCAACTCCTGGGCTCAAGAGATCCTCCTACCTCAGCCTCCCACAGGCATGAACCACCACACCTGGCTAATTTTCAAATATTTTCGTAGAGACAGGGTCTCACCATGTTGCCCAGGCTAGTCTTGAAATCCTGGCCTCAAACTCCTTCCCTCAAGGCATTCTCTCGCCTTGGCCTCCCAAAGTGCTAGGGTTACAGGTGTGAACCACCATGCCCGGGCAATAGCTGGTATTATTTAATAAAAACAAATACACATATATACATACATAAAACAGGAGATGGAAAACGGCTCAATATTATTGTCATAATTTGCATTTCCTTGACTAATAGGAAAATAGAACATTTTCCATGTGCATATATTAGTTCTTCTTGCATGAATTTCCTGTTCATGTCTCTATTAATCTACTAGATCTTTTTTTAAAATTAGTTTGAATGGATCTTCATATAATAAAGGTATTGGCCCATTATGTTTTCTGTAATTAGCTAACAGCATTCTTAATAGAAGAGTTCAAAAGAGAGACGACTATATTCTTAATGTGGATTGAGTTTTCTGGGCTGCCGCTGAAATGTCTCATGTAGAAGACACACAAACATACACATATTCCTGCGAAAATACTTTCAATTTGGTTTCTTCCTACTACAATGTAGGCTCCACAAAGGCAGGAATGTATCTCAAAGGCTGAACTGTACCCACACATAGAAGGCACTTAATAAATACTTACTAAATGAAAAACAAGACTCATAAGACTTAATACTATTGCTGCTGTAAAATCCTATCATTCAAGGAATTTCAAAACGATAACCTGAGTGGATTTAGGGTACCTAAACTCTTATTTTTCTAAATTACAGGTAGAAGCCCTCAGCTCGTGGGGTTTAAAGAAATTCAGCCCACAAAGAGTATAATAATCTACATGTCTAGAACTATAAATAGGGCATGGTTTTTAACAGTTTTCATGACAGTACCTAAAAAGTTTCCTGGATAGGCTGTTCCTCTGGAAGCAGCAGGCTTCCCTCTCTATAGCTCTCTTTTATGTAGGAGATTTTGTGTGTCTCTCTCCAGCCCTGTGTATGCCTTTCTGAGTCTTCTTGGTATCTATCTCACTGTTGCTCTTCCTCTATTAGCTCTTTCTTCCATTCCTCTGCTATTTTTTCCCACCTTCTCAATTTACTTAGTGATGAAACTTAAGTACAACATGCCTTTTAAATGTATTTCTCATTATTTGCACTCTATCATTTGTAGATTAAAAACATTAAAATTATGTTTTTAATGTAACACAGGGATCATACAGAACATTTTGTTTTTTGCTTTTCCCAAACCCCACTTCTGCTATTTTTAAGTAGCTACTGATTGATTTCTCTCTGTAGGCCAGAGGTCCTCTATATAAAAAAGGTTCCCCACTCCCATTCTAATATACTAACCCAGAGAGACAGCACCTACCCCAAGATTCACTAAAGCTCTACTTGCTAGACCTTCAATTTCAAGTACACAGCTCTCTATCCTGTCACCAAAGAAAAGAAGCCTACTTAGAGCTCATAAGTCAAGGTCCCCAGCACTGGATATTCTTTACAGATGTGTAGCCACTGGCCTAAACCAGTCAACATCCGTGGGCTCTAGTGCACTCGGAGTCCACTGCAAAAATTACTTCTTTGAAATGCCTAGGTTTCCTCACCTAGGAAGGAAGAGCCAATAACCAATTGTGCACTTTTTTGAAAGTAACCCAGTAGATTCTTGGCTGGCAGAAGAATCCAGTATCCAAGATAAAATACTATCTGAAGTTGTTTTTCAATTATGTTTCAACATTCACTTACTGTCTTCTTCTGTTGAGTGGGTTCCTTCAGAAATGTAGATTTCCAACTGGAAAGTGGGAAAAAAAGTAAAAGAAAAAACATTAATGCATTCTAAGATAAGAGAGTGAAGTGGAATGTACAGTAAATTCAAACATCTAGGGATGAGTGCCCAAATCCTGTTTCTTTTTTTTTTTTTTTGAGATGGAGTCTCACCCTGTTGCCCAGGCTGGAGTGCAGTGGCATGATCTCGGCTCACTGCAACCTCCGCCTCCTGGGTTCAAGCAATTCTCCTACCTCAGCCTCCCAATAGCTGGAATTACAGGCAGACGCCACCACACCCAGCTAAGTTTTGTATTATTATTTTTTTTTTTTAGTAGAGATGGGGTTTCGCCATGTTGGCCAGACTGGTCTCAAACTCCTGACCTCAGGTGATCCGCCTCGGCTTCCCAAAGTGTTGGGATTACAGGCGTGAGCCACTGCGCCCAGCGCCCCCCAAATCCTGTTTCTAACATCAGAGACATAGGGACAAATCCCCCACATCCTTCTCTAAAAAAAAAAAGGACTGAAATGAGTAGGATTTTTTATTTTGTTCACCTGGAAAAGGCCTGCAGGTGGTATTTCCATTAATTTTTTTATGAATACACAAAAATATCATTTTACACAAATGAGATCTCATATGTGTGGTTTTACTTAAGAATATCTCTTTTCTGCACTCTACTTCTTCCCAACTCGGTATCTAAACTTCCTCCTGCCCTGCTACTGACTCAGGAAATCTACAATAACAATCTAGTGTGGTTTCTTCCATATTCTTCTCTTTACCCACATAATCTTACACAGATTTTACACACACACACACCCACATATCAGGGTTGGAAGTTTCTTCACATTGCTTGTTTTACAAAAATGGGATCACAATATAGTTTTCAGCATCCTTCTTTTCTCATTCATTATTATCATGCTAAATTTATTCTCAAGTATAATACTGGTTAAGCTATCCCTCCTGGCCCTGCTGCACCTATAGACATGAGCTACCCTCCAAGACCCAGAGCTTTTAAGACAACCTACAAAATTATTGCAAATCCTGTGGTAAAGAGAGTATGCTGTAATAAAGACGTCTACTTTCCAGAGAACACTGGAACATATGAACTAATTTTTATTTACTTATTTACTACGGAGATAAACATTTCTCATGAGTGAGAAAAATCATAACTTATTATAGTTAAAAGGGACCTTAAAGGTCATCTAGTCCAATCTTTTTTTTTTTTTTTTTTTTGAGACAGGTCTTACTCTGTCGCCTAGGCTGGAGTGCAGTGGCGCGATCATGTCTCACTACAGCCTCGACTTCCTGGGCTCAGGTGATCCTCCCACCTCAGCTCCCACACTCCCACCCCTCTCCTCCCTCGTCTCTATTTTTTTGTAGAGACCGCGTATCGCCATATTGCCCAAGCTGGTCTTGAATTCCTGAGGTTAAGTGATCCGCCCATCTAGGCCTCCCAAAGTACAGAGATTATAGGCGTGAGCCACTGCACCTGGCCCCAATTTTTTTTAAAAAACAAAACAAGCCGGGCGTGGTGGCTCATGCCTGTAATCCCAGCAATTTGGGAGGCCGAGGCAGGCGGATCACGAGGTCAGGAGATCGAGACCATCCTGGCTAACACAGTAAAACCCCAACTCTACTAAAAATACAAAAAATTAGCCGGGCGTGTATTACCAGCTACTCAGGAGGCTGAGGCAGGAGAATCCCTTGAACCCGGGAGGTGGAGGTTACAGTGAGCTGAGACTGCGCCACTGCACTCCAGCCTGGGTGACAGAGCGAGACTCCGTCTCAACAAAACAAAACAAAACAAAACAAAACACCTTTCTCCTAGTAGCAAAACACTCTTATTCTAGACCTCAAAGCAACAGGTATAGAATCACTCTATACTGACTTACTTCAGTTTAAAATTACACAGGACTCATTATTCTAAAAGTGATAAAGGGGAAAAGGCAGCATTTATGCAGCTATTCCTATATGAACTATACTTCAGGGTAACCAATTGATGAGGGGAGCTGTTACCAATAATGGGACAAACTGAATTTATAGGCCTCTGATGTGATGCAATGAGAACACATTTATTCAGTATTCTTGCCAAAAATGCACAAACTGAATCTAACCAGGAAACATCAGAAAACTCAATTTGAGGGACAATCTATAAAATATCTGGTTTACATTCTTCAAAAATATCAAGATCATGAAATAAAGGCTAAGGAACTACTCTAAATTAAATGAGACTAAAGAGACATGGCAACTAATGCAATGTATGATGGGGGAGAGGAGCAGAGCCAGGAGGAGGGACCGCCATGAAGGATGTTACCCATTGGAATACGTGCTGTAGATGAGATGACAGTACTGTATCAATGTCCTGGTTTAGAAATTTATACTGTGGTAATGTAAGAGAATGTCCTTGTTTTCAGGAAATACATCCTATAGTATTTAGAGTAAGGGGGCATTACAAATGCACTCAAACATTTCCAGAAAATATGTGTATGTGTGTGTACATATATAGAGAGAAATTAATGATAAACCAAATGTGGCAAAATGTTAACAATTAGTGAATCTGAATCTGGGTGAAGGATATATGGAATTTCTTTGTACTATTCTTCACTATTTTATTTCTTTTCTTTCATTATTTTCATTTCAAATAAAAAGTTAAACATTGTAATTAAAACAGTTAAAAATGAAAAATAAAATTTACAGGGCATCATAAACCACTAGTATAATAATTTATTAATTTACTCAATTTAAGACGTATTTATTGAGCTCCAAATATGTATAAGATCATAGCAGGAACACAGAGATGTATCATATATGAATCTTGACTTCAAGAAGCTGACAGCTAGCTGGTCAGGCATGGTGGCTCATGCCTGTGATCCCAGCACTTTGGGAGGCTAAGGCGGGTGTATCACCTGAAGTCAGGAGTTCAAGACCAAACTGGCCAACATGGCAAAACCCTGTCTCTACTAAAAATACAAAAATTTAGCTGGGTGTGGTGGTATGCGCCTGTAATCCCAGCTATTTGGGAGGCTGAGGCAGGATAATCGCTTGAACCCAGGAGTCAGAGGCTGCACTGGGCCGAGATCGCACCACTGCCCTCCAGCCTGGGCGACAGAGCGAGATTCCATCGCAAACAAAAAAAAAAAAAAAAGAAAAGAGAGAGAAGTTGACAGTCCAGGAGGGAAGATGAAAAACAAACAGAACACAAGTTAGAAAAGGACACTCTCTACATCAGAAGACAAAGAAAGAGCCACGGGGCTGGGTGCAGTGGCTCACGCCTGTAATCCGAAACACTTTGGGAAACCAAGGCGGGAGGACTGCTTGAGCCCAGGAGTTCACGAACAGCTTGGGCAACATAGTGAGACTCTGTCACTACAAAAAATAAAATTAGCTGGGCATGGTGGCATATACCTGTGGTTCCAGCTACTTGGGAGGGTAAGGAGGGAGGCTCACTTGAGCCTGGGAGATCAAAGGTTCAGTGAGCTGTAATCATACCACTATATTCCAGCTTGGGCAACAGGGTGAGACCCTGTCTTTAAAAAAAACAAAAAGAAAGAGCCACGGCAATTCAAAAAAAGAAATAGCTTTAGTTACAGAAATCAGGACTAGTAGTATGGAAAGGTGAATACAAAAAATAAAAAAAAAAATTTAAAAGATAAATAAAAATTCATCTTAAAAAGAAGAAAGAAATCAGGACTGATATCATGGAAAATAAAATAGTATTTCACTGGGCCTTAAAACGTGGGTAGGATTTGGCCAGGCCCAGTGGTTCATGCCTATAATCCCAACACTTTGAGAGGCCAAGGCAAGATGATCACTTGAGCCCAGGAGTTTGAGACTAGCTTGGGCAACAAAGAGAGACCTCATCTCTACCAAAAATTAAGAAAAAATTAGCCAGGCATGGCAGTGCACGCCTGTAGTCCTAGCTACTTGGGAGGCTGAGCCTCGGAGATAGAGGCTGCAGTAAGCAGTGATCACACCACTGCACTCCAGCCTGGGAGACAGAGCAAGACCCTGTCTCAACAGCAAACAAAAAAGATGTGTAGGATTTGAACATATGAGATGGGAGGAAGGGAACTCCAAGTAGACAGGGTACTCTGTGTAAAGGCTAGGTAGCAGCCAGGTAGAGAAGGCATAATTGCCCAGCAATTACAAGAGGCAGTAAGAGACAAGGCCGAATCATTCACGAGCGATAACCAATTACTATGAATTAACTGTGATATCCATATTCTTGCTCAATAGTAGGGTTAAAAACATCTTCCTCAGATTATCACACCAAAAGCACAAGTTAAAAAATTAAAAACAAATTAGACTTTATGAAAATTTAAAACTTTTGTACTGTAAAGGACACCATCAAGAAAGTGAAAAGACAACACACAGAATGGGAGAACATATTTGCCAATCATATCTGACAAGGGACTTGTATTTAGACTATATAAAGAACTCTTATAATTCAATAATAAAAAGACATCCTTATTTTAAAATGGGCAAAGGATCTGAATAGACAGCTCTCCAAAGATACACAAATGGCCAAAAACCACATGAAAAGGTTCTCAACATTATTAGCCATCAGAGAAATAAAAATCACAACCACCATGACAGCAGGGTGCAGTGGCTCATGCCTATAATCCCAGCACTTTGGGAGGCCGAGGCAGTGGATCACTTGAGGCCAAGAGTTCAAGACCAGCCTGGCCAACATGGTGAAACCCTGTCTCTACTAAAAATAAAAAAAAATTAGCCGGGAATGGTGGTACATGCCTATAATCCAAACTGCCTGGGAGGCTGAAGCACGAGAATCGCTTGAACCCTGGAGGCGGAGGTTGCAGTGAGCCGAGATTGCACCACTGCACTCCAGCCTGGCGACAGGGCAAGACTTTGTCTCAAAAACAAAAACAAGGCCAGGCACAGTGGCTCATGCCTGTAATCCCAGCACTTTGAGAGGCCGAGGCGGGTGGATCATGAGGTCAGGAGTTCAAGACCAGCCTGACCAATATGGTGAAACCCCGTCTCTACTAAAAATACAAAAAATTAGCTGGGCGTGGTGGTGGGCACCTGTAGTCCCAGCTACTCGGGAGGCTGAGGCAGGAGAATCGCTTGAACCTGAGAGGCAGAGGTTGCAGTAAGCTGAGATGGCGCCACTGAACTCCAGCCTGGGTGACAGTGAGACTCTGATTCAAAAAACAAAAACAAAAAACCATCACTTCACACCCACTAGAATGCCTGTAATCAAAGATAATAATAAATGTTAGCAAGGATGTGGAGAAGTGGGAACGCAGAATGGTGCAGCCACTGTGGAAAACAAACAATTCCTCAAAATGTTAAACACAGAGTTACCATAGGACCGGGCGATTCCACTCACAGGTGGAAAAGAAATGAAAATATATGCCTACACAAAAACTTATACATGAATGTTCATAGCAGCATTACTCATAATAGACAAAAAGTAGAAACAACCTAAATGTCCATCAACTGAGTAACAGACAAGCAAAAACCACTGAATTGGTACACTTTAAATACGTGAATTGTGTGGTATGTGAATTATATCTCAACAAAGCTGTTTTACAACAACAACAACAACAAAAATACATCTTTCTTACCTTATGTTTAAATGGTAAACATCGCTGAAGTTTTACTCTTAAGCACAGCCCTGTGGAGGGAAAATCACACCTCCAATTATCTCTTTATTGCTTCTTATTGGTTCTTGAAAAAGCATACAACTGCGTTTATGTGCCCCCATACAACACAGTTGCTGAAAACAGCTTTGGCTCAATCCAGAGCAGAGCTCCTTTGAGGCTGGCACCACGCTAGGAAATTTAATATATAATCTTACATATTCCTTAGGATAATCCAATAAGCTATTACTAATCCCCTTCTACAAATTATTAAACCAAAGTCACAACGTAACTTCCTCAAGGTCACTGAGTTACAACAGTGGCAGAATTGGGATTGGAACCTATGACCACTGGAAAGCCCAGGCCATTTTTACTACATCAGTTGGCCTTCCAGCAAAAGTCAATTAACTCATTAAGCCTTTTTTTTTTTTTTTTTTTTGAGACGGAGTCTTGAACTGTCGCCCAGGCTGGAGTGCAGTGGCATGATCTCGGCTCACTGCAACCTCCGCCTCTCGGTTCAAGCAATTCTCCTGCCTCAGCCTCCCAAGTAGCTGGGATTACAGGCGCACACCACCACACCCAGTTAATTTTTATATATTTTTGGTACAGATGGGGTTTCACCATGTTGGCCAGGCTGGTCTCAAACTCTTTACCTCAAGTGATCCGCCTGCCTTAGCCTTCCAAAGTGCTAGGATTACAGGCATGAGCCACCCCACCCGGCCAATTCAATTAACTTTTTAAAATGCCCCACAACAGGCCAGGACACGCAAAAAAATAAAACAAGTCAAAGCCATTTTAAAAGGGCCACATAAAATCTCTCAAATTTGTAATCCTTTATGCCTGCAAGGTACAAATACAGTAACTTCTTTAAAACAAGTTCCACTGAAGTTCAGTTTATCATCCCATGCTAAGACACATCAACAAAACCTCAAACCATACAGCAATACAGCAAGATATAATTGTTAGACTACCTATCTTTTAGGGAGGTAGTAACTTGGTTTTGGTTTTCTAAGTACCATTTGGTTTTCTAAGAGAATTTTTTGAAAAATCCCAAAACAGGGAAAAGGATTAGATGAGATATAATGAGGTGGTGCCTGCCACAGGGTCTTTATTTACTTATTTATTTTTTTGAGACAGAGTCTTGCTCTATTGCCCAGGCTGGAGTACAGTGGCGAGATCTCAGCTCACTGCAACCTCTACCTCCTGGGTTCAAGAGATTCTCCTGTCTCGGCCTCCTGAGTAGCTGGGACTACAGAAGCACGCTACCACACCCACTAATTTTTGTATTTTTAGTAGAGACAAGGTTTCATCATGTTGGCCAGGCTGGTCTTGAACTTCTGACCTCAAGTGATCTGCCCGCCTCGGCCTCCCAAAGTGCTGGTATTATAGGCATGAGCCACCGCGCCCGACCTTATAGAGTCTTGAACACAGTAGTTCTATAATAAATATTAGAGAATTCTAAAGAAAATATATTATTTCCTTAAGAGGGTCTCTCTTCAGAGGATCTGCCTTAAAGCATATCTGGGAGAGTTCCTCTTCCCCTGGCCCCACCATTGTCTCCTTAATTTGTTATCTGTGTACTGTCTGAATATCCTCACGTATTTTAGTCACTATTGGTAGGTGTTTTACAATTCGCAAAGCACTTTTTTGAGCATCATTATCCTCAAGAGAGGTAGTACAGCATAACTGAGATACTTTGGGTTTCAAAAGTAGCTTCACTACATACTCGCTGTGATCCTGCATAAGTTACTTAACCTCTCTGAGCTTCAGTTTCCTTATCTGCAAAACAGGCATTATAGTATCAGCTGGGCAAGGTGGCTCATGCCTGTAATCCCAGCACTTTGGGAAGCCAAGGCGGGAGGACTGCTTGAGCCCAGGAGTTCAAGACCAGCCTGGGCAACGTAGCAAGACCCCATCTCTAAAAGTAATAATAATAATAATAATAATAAAACTTAAAAATATATATAATAATATCACAATATATAGGGTTGCTATGAGGAATAACCTGTTATGCAATGTGTTTAAAACAGTACCTGACACATAAGTGTACAATAATAGTATAAAAATAATTACTATAAATAGTAAAAAATAATAGTATAAAATATTACTATTTTATACTATTTTATAATTTTCATTTTACAGCCAAGAAACCAAGGTAGGTGATTTAACATTACTTAGCTAACAAGTGGCAGAGGTAGAACCCAAACCTACACCTTCTGACCTCCAAACCCTAAGACCGTTCCCATTGGACCACAGCTGCCTTCAGCCATTCTTATCTGGAATAAGTCACCACAAATGATTATCAACTTGTTTCCCTGCCTTACCCTCTTGTTCCCTTGGAGTCTTCCTTGTCAATCACTTACCAAGGTAACATTGAGTAGGTGATACTCTTACTCAGGCACCTTTCCAGGCTAGGACTACCTGCTCTGGAGGAATATCTGTTAACACATCAGACAGACGAAGGCTTCTCTCAAGTTTTCCAGCTGTGTTGACTGAACAAAACTACTATGATACACTATTATACAATTCTCTAAAAAACCAATAGGCCGGGTGTGGCAGCTCACACTTGTAATCCCAGCACTTTGGGAGGCCGAGGTGGGCGGATCACTTGAGGCTAGGAGTTTGAGACTAGCCTGGGTAACATGGAGAAACCCCGTCTCTATTGAAAATACAAAAAATTAGTTGGGCATGGTGGCACGCGCCTATGATCCCAGCTACTTGGAGGCCGAGGCACGAGAATCGCTTGAACCCAGGAGGCAGAGGTTGCAGTAAGCCAAGACAGCACCACTGCTTTCCAACCTGGGCAACAGAGCAAGACTCTGTCTCAAAAAAAAATAAAATAAAATAAAATAAAAATAAAAAATAAAAAGCCAATGGTCTTAGCTGAAATGCATAACGAAAGGGCTAAGACAAAACTTTCTACAGGAAGTGTACAGATCTGAAATATCAACTATAATCTAATGTTAGCACCCTTACAGAACAGTTTTTATTTCATGCACTCTCCTGATATTTGTCCACGTACACATTTTTCTATAACTGCAATCATGATGCAATTTGAACTTATTCAAGCTTTTTCATGTTTTTTTTCTTTTTTAAGAGATTGCTGGTTTCAAACTCCTAGGCTCCAGTGATCCTCTCGCCTCGGCCTCCCAAAGTGTTACAATTACAGGTGTGGGCCACCACGTCTGGCGAATATTTTCTTCTATAAAATTAGTTCCTTAACTCCTGCGTCAAACAGTATAAACTTCCAGATAGGGATTTACCAATATATACCATGAGGCTTCAAAATACTTACATAATCTAACCCAATTATTCCACGTATAGGAATTTATCCTGATGCAATAATGAGATATATAAAAATATTTATATAAGGCCAGGCACGGAGGCTCACCCCTCTAATTCCAGCACTTTGGGAGGCCAAGGCAGGCGGATCACCTGAGGTTGGGAGTTAGAGACCAGCCTGACCAACATAGAGAAACCACATCTCTATTAAAAATACAAAATTAGCCAGGTGTGGTGGTGCATGTCTGTAATCCCAGCTGCTTGGGAGGCTGAGGCAGGAGAATCGCTTGAACCTGGGAGGTGGAGGTTGTGGTGAACCAAGATCATGCCATTGCACTCCAGCCTGGGCAACAAGAGTGAAACTCCGTCTCAAAAAATAAATAAATAAAAATATTTATATATAAAGTTGTTCGGTCAGGCGCGGTGGCTCACACCTGTAATCCCAGCACTTTGGTAGGCCAAAGAGGGCAGATCACTTGAGGTCACAAGTTCGAGACCAGCCTGGCCAACATGGTGAAACCCCGTCTCTACTAAAAATACAAAAATTAGCTGGGCTTGGTGGAGGATGCCTGTAATCCTAGCTACTCGGGAGGCTGAAGCGGAGAATCACTTGAACCTGGGAGGTGGAAGCTCCAGTGGCCACTACACTCCAGCCTGGCCAATAAAGTGAGACTCTGTCTCAAAAAATAAAATAAAATAAAATAAAATAAAATAAAATAAAATAAAGTTGCTCATCACAGTATTATTTATAATTGCAAAAGGCTAGAAGTAGTCCAAATGGTTACAAAACTTCTGATGTACCAATATGATTAGCATGTAACCTATAACTATATAATTAAAGAATATTTAATGATGGCCAGGTATGGTGGCTCATGCCTGTAATCCCAGCACTTGGGGAGGCTGAGGCATGAGCCCAGGAATTTGAGACCAGCCTGGGCAACATGGCAAAACTAGCCAGGCATAGTGGCACCTGCCTGAAGTTCTAACTTTTCAGGAGACTGAGGTGGGAGGATCACTTGAGCCCGGGAGGTGGAGGCTGCCTGCAGTGAGCCGAGATCGTGTCATTGCATTCCAGCCTGGGTGACAGAGTGAGACCCTGTCTCAACAACAAAAAAAATTTAAAAAAAGAAATATTTAATGAGAAAAATAATTCATGTATTTCATGCTATTACTTAACTCTTACGACTCTATAGATATCCTTATTATTCCTGTTTTACAGATAAGGAAACTGGGTCTTGGAAAGGTTAAGTAACTTGCCGAAGCCCACAATACGGTACAGCCAATAGACCTGGAATTTTAGCCCAGAGCATATATTCTTTTTTTTTTTTGAGACGGAGTCTCGCACTGTAGCCTGGGCTGGAGTGCAGTGGCGTGACCTTCGCTCACTGCAACCTCCGCCTCCCGGGTTCAAGCGATTCTCCTGCCTCAGCCTCCCACGTAGCTGGGATTACAGGCGCCCGCCACCACGCCCAGCTAATTTTTTGCATTTTTGGTAGAGACAGGGTTTCACTACGTTGGCCAGGCTGGTCTCAAACTCCTGACCTCATGATCTGCCCGCCTCGGCCTCCCAAAGTGCTGGGATTACAAGAGTGAGCCACTGCACCCAGTGACATTCTTTCATAATAGCTGGTTTTTTTCTTTATGTTTTTGTGGGGTATCAAAATTACTGCCAATAAACATGTTACTCATATAATTTAAATAAATGTTAATTTTAAAAATGAATTTGCTGGCTGGGAGTGGTGGCTCACACCTGTAATCCCAGCACTTTGGGAGGCCGAGGTGGGCAGATCACCTGATATTGGAAGTTCGAGACCAGCCTGGCCAACATAGTGAAACCCCATCTCTACTAAAAATACAAAAAAAATTAGCCAGGCATGGTGGCGGGCGCCTGTAATTGCAGCTACTTGGGAGGCTGAGGCAAGAGAATCGCTTGAACCTGGCAGGCGGAGGTTGCAGTAAGCCAAGATTGCACCATTGCGCTCCAGCCTGGGTGACAAGAGTTAAACTCCAGCTCAAAAAATAAATAAATAAATAAATTTGCTATAGGTTCTTGAACTCTCCATTTAAGAACTCTTTCTTATATGTCAAAATATTTTAAGACACCCCCTCCACAACACCCACAGCAGTACTTTCAGTATCTGTTCGTTCACAAATTGTCCAATGACCAAAAATAACCATGCATTCAGCATTCAGTAATGCTTTTTCTAGCAATGGGATTTTTTTTTTTTTTTTTGAGACAGAGTCTTACTCTGTTGCTTAGGCTGGAGTGCAGTGGCGCAATCTCAGCTCACTGCAACCTCCACCTCCCATGTTCAAGCGATTCTCCTGCCTCAGCCTCCCGAGTAGCCGGGATTACAGGTGCGTGCCACCATGCCCAGCTAATTTTTGTATTTTTAGTAGAGATGGGGTTTCACCATGTTGGCCAGGCTGGTCTTGAACTTCTGACCTCAAGTGATCCACTGCCTTGGCCTCCCAAAGTGCTGGGATTACAGGTGTGAGCCGCCATGCCAATGGGAATTTTTTTTTTTTGAGATGAAGTTTTTGCTCTTGTTGCCCAGGTTGGTGTGCAATGGCATGATCTCAGCTCACTGCAACCTCTGCCTCCCAGGTTCAAGTAATTCTCCTGCCTCAGCCTCTCAAGTAGCTGGGATTACAGGTGTGTGCCACCATGCCTTGCTAATTTTGCTTTTTTTTTTTTTTTTTTTTTTGGGAGATAAGAGTCTCGCTCTGATGCCCAGGCTGGAGTGCAGTGGTGCAATCTCGGCTCACTGCAAACTCCGCTTCCCGGGTTCACGCCATTCTCCTGCCTCAGCCTCCTGAGTAGCTGGGACTACAGGCACCCGTCACCATGCCTGGCTAATTTTTTATAGTTTTAGTAGAGACAGGGTTTCACCATGTTACCCAGGATGGTCTCCATCTCCTGACCTCGTGATCTGCCCGCCTCGGCCACCTAAAGTGCTGGGATTACAGGCGTAAGCCACCGCGCCCGGCCTAATTTTGTATTTTTTTTAGTGGAGATGGGGTTTCACCATGTTGGTCAGGCTTGTCTCAAACTCCTGACCTCAAGTGATCTACCCACCTTGGCCTCCCAAAGTGCTGGGATTACAGGTGTGAGCCACCACGCCCGGTCACCAATGGGATTTTAATAACCACAATAATACCTATGGATTCACAGACCTCCAGTCCCTCAAGATGTGGCCTATATGGTGGAAACCACCAGCAGAGGGAACCCAGGTCAACCAGTGAGAAAAGACAGAAATCACAATAGTGGAAATAATAACGAAATAGCGACCTTTTCAATCTTTTTTATAAACTTGTTGCTTTTTAATAGGTGAGATAGTCCCATGGTTTGAAAATGTAAAAACATAAAAAGGTATAAAGTCTCCCTCCCACCCTTTCCCCCATCTGCCCAGCTCCCACCACCACTATTACCCGCTAACACCCTTATAGCTATTCATTTATGTATTAATATTATTCAGGCATATGCAATCAAATACAAATGTATGTTTTTGCTTTTTTTACACAAATGATAGCAAAATGATACTTGCTTTTATTTCTTAACAGTATGTCATAGAGATCTCTCCATATCAGTACATGCAGAGCTTCTTCATTCTTTTTTATAGCTGCATAGTATTCCACTGTTTATATTCACCATCAATGATTATTTAATCAATCCCCTACTCATGAACATTTGGTTTGAAATAAAATCCCTTTATAACAAAGCATATGTTCAAATACATTTATTGTACCTGCTAACAAATCCAAAATACTGGGAATCCAACCTCCTACCAGGACTTCTACCCATACTATGTAGAAACCAGAAGAGTCACTGAAAGGAGATGGTGATGGAAGCAATGCTAGTCTGACACCACCCACTCCAACCTCCAGAACTGAGGAAAAGCACTGGCCCACATGCACTCTCCATTAATTGTGGGCATATATACCTGGGAGGGGCAGCCTGACATAACTAAAGGAGAAGTGGAGTCAGGAGACCTGGGTATGAGCCTTAGTTTCACCATTTCCTGGCTACCTGATTCTGTGCAAGTCACTTAAACTCTCTGAGCTTCAGGTTCCTCATCTGCAAAATGAAGATAATAATATTTTAACTCAACAAGCTAATTGTGAGGACTACAGAAGATGAATACACGAACATACTCTGTAAACCATAAAGTGTAATACATACACTGTATGGTTTTTCAACAATGATGCAAATTGTTATTATGGGTCAATATCAGCAAGAATAACTTAGAATTTATATAAATATACATGTATGTACAGAAAAACTTACCAATAAGAGTCGCCAAAGAGCAATGAGGTACTGTTGGCGTGAACCTGATAATAACCAGATATTCTTCTTCATTTATCTCCTGAACTTCCACACAACTTTCCGAGACCACTTCCAGTTCTTCTAAAGTATTGGGCTTTTCTGGGTCCCGGATAGTTCTAATCAAATCTAAAGAATCATCAGAGATAAGATATTCTATTAAAACATGACTATTCTAAATAAAGATGATTTTGCCAGGCCTAATTTAAGCACTGACTTCTCTTACGTTTAAGCAAATAGTACAGCAACTCCCAGGTTTCTGACAGAAATTTTCACTACTGGTTTCCTCTTGAGAAAACTGTTTTCTTGGATTATTATAAGACCATATCCAGTTTCTCCAATCGGACATTGCAGAGAAAATATAATAAGAATGGAAACAGTGTCATGGAAGCTCAAGAGGAAGAAATAACTTTCAGCTTGAAAGAATGTGGTTATCAGGCTTTATAGGAGCGGAATCTGAATCAAGCCTTGAAAAATAGGTAACATTTCAATATTTGACATTTAAAGTGAAGGAAAGTAGCTGGGCATGGTGGCTCACACCTGTAAACCAACCACTTTGAGAGGCAAAGGCGGGAGGATCACTTGAGCTCAGAAGTTCGAGACCAGCCTCAGCAACATAATGAGACCCCCGTCTCTACAAAAAATACACACAAAAATTAGCCGGGTGTAGTGGTGCAGGCCTGTGGTCCCAGCCACTCAGGAGGATCGCTTGAGCCCAGGAGGCAGAGGTTGAGAGCGGAGATCGTGTCACCGCACTCTAGGCTGGGCAACAAAGCGAGACCCTGTCTCAAAAAAAAAAAAAAAGTGAAGGAAAGTAAAGTAAAGAAGAAGAACCCTAGTTTGCCTGGAAGCAGGCATAAGTGAAAGGTGTTTTAGAGTATGAGATTTGGGTCTGACCATCAAGTGTCTTTTACAGCCAGCTACCGGCAATAGCAAGTCCTCAAGAGGTTTGAGACAAGTGACATGGACAACACTGTGCTGTCAGCTGGTAACTCATCATCAGCTGCTAGACTCAGACTAAAAAGCAGAACCAATGATACCAGCTAAAAACACCAGGCCTAAAATAGTATCTAGGACAACACTGGCAGAACTAAAAGAAACAGAACGAGGAAGAAATTTGGGTGGGGCATAGAGCAAATGAGTTCAATTTCACACAGAATGATTTTGAGGTGCTTAAGGGGTTATCCAATGGAGTTTTCTAGCAAGTGGTAAACTGTAGCATAGAGTTTAAAACAGCATCAAAGCTAGAGTGGTTGTCAAACCCACAGGATTCACAAAGAATAAGTAGAACCTTGGCTGAACATTGGAATTACCAAGAATGTTTCAAAACAAACAACAAGGCCGGGCGCGTGGTTCAGGCCTATAATCCTAGCACTTTGGGAGGCTGAGGCGGGTGGATCGCCTGAGGTCAAGAGTTCGAGACCAGCCTGGTGAACATGGTAAAACCTCGTCTCTACTAAAAATACAAAAATTACCCAGGCGTGGTGCCGGGCGCCTGTAATCCCAGCTACTTAGGAGACTGAGGCAGGAGAATCACTTGAAACCAGAAGGCAGAGGTTGCAGTGAGCCGAGATCCCGCCATTGCATTCCAACCTGGGCAACAGAGCAAAAACTCCGTCTCAAAAACAAAAACAAACAAACAAAAAAACCTGATGCCTGGGCCCCAATTCCAGAGACTCTGATTTAATTGGTTTGCTGGCCTTTGAGTTTTAAAAATTTCTCGGGTTGTTCTTAGGTACAACCCAGTATGAGAATCAGTGGTATAAAGAAAAAAGAGACCCAACAGATCCATGCGAAGCACCTAACTTAGGGATCAGAATGAGAAACAAAAGCAAAAAGAACTAGAGGAGGGAAGAGAGGGATGGTTAATAACATTAAATGCTGCAGAAAAATTCAGGCTCATGAGAGCTAAAACAGGTCTTTCATTTGTCACCCCAGCCAGCTGTAAGAAAGCAGTTTCAGTAGAGAGTGCGTGCGCTGAAGCCAGCTTGCAAAAGGGGAAGCAAGTAGGAACTGAAAATGTCTTCCTAGGGCCTTAGCTGGGAAGGGAGGGACATGAAAAGGACAATGACTTTATAAGGAAGCTAGAACAATGACAAGGATAAGGGCAACTTTGAGGAGAGAAATTGAAAATATAAGTTGGGAGGAGCGGAGACTGGTAAAATAAGCAGAAGGGAGTGGGATCAAATATTTAGAAGTCTCAGTTGGCCTTGGAGAAGACAAGATTTCTTTCTTACTCTGAGGCTGGAGAAAGAGATGAAGGAAAGGAGAACAATAAAGAGAAATGGTGAGGTAGAAAGGAAAGAAGCAGAATTTTACATAGAATGTGCTTGAGGTTCTCAAATCTGAAGTTTTGTTTTATTATTTATCACACAAAATTATATGTAATCAGAAATGCAACTGGGAAAAACAAGAACAAATTCTATTTTCTCTTTAATTTGCTCCTGGGCTTGTCACTTGATTAGAAACAGAATTTTGCCAAACATGACGGCTCATGCCTGTAATCCCAGCACTTTGGGAGGCTGAGGCAAGTGGATCACCCACCTGAGTTCAGGAGTTCAAGACCAGCCTGGCCAACATGGCAAAAACCCGTCTCTACTAAAAATACAAAAATGAGCCGGGTGTGGTGGCATGTGCCTGTAATCACAGCTACTCAGGAGGCTGAGGTAGGAGAATCACTTGAACCCAGGAGGCTGAGGCTGCAGTGGGCCAAAATTGTGTCACTGCACTCTAGCCTGGGTGACAGAAGAGACTCTGTCTCAAAAAAAAAAAAAAAAGAAAGAAAGAAGCAGAATTGGAAAACATAGGCAAGAAAGTCGACAAAGCTTCTCTTTCACAGAGCTGTGTTATCATGGGACTTAGGGAAACAGAGTTTTCTGAAAAGGAATTTTCTGCCTCTCATACTAGGCTTTCTCCCCATAAGGCTCATTTAATTGTATTATATTCTTTATATGCCACTAAACCCTGAAATTAAATATCATCCTTATTAAATTTCTCTAGTTTTCTAGTTTCTAGATTTGAGAGGTTTGGCTTTACTTCTTTAAAAAGAAAGAAGGGCCGGGTGTGGTGGCTCATGCCTGTAATCCCAGCCTTTGGGAGGCCGAGACAGGCAAATCACTTGAGCTCAGGAGTCCAAGACCAGCCTGGGTAACATAGCAAAACCTCATCTCTACAAAAAAATACAAAAATTAGCTGGGCATGGTGGTGCATGCCTATGGTCCCAGTCAGTCAGGAGGCTGAGGTGGGAGGATGGCTTGAGCCCTGGAGGTGGATGGAGGCTGCAGTGAGCAGTGATTGCACCACTGCACTCCAGCCTGATTACCAGAGTGAGACCCTGTCTCAAAAAAAAAAAAAAAAAAAAAAAAATTTAAAAGAAAGTTCTCCTCATATTACTCCCCACACTAACATTCTTCCACAGCACTGCACTATTAAAATTCTTCATTTATATTTAAAACCTTCAGTATCCAACTGCATCCCACTACCTAGAACAATGTTCAACCACATCTTCACATTTAACCACAAACCCTATCCTATAGCCCCATCTATCTGTCATTTCCTATCTTCTTACCTCCATGCTTTTAAGTTTCCTCTTAGTATGCCCTCTGACCCTCTACATATCTAGATCCTAATTATTCTTTGAGGCCCAACTCAAGTGGCTCCTTCTCTTTATTTCAAAGTCTTTCTAGATCCCCTCAGTCAGAGACTAGTATCTCCCTTTCTCTGAATTTCTGTATCTCTTATTCAGTCTACAGCCTTCTATTACATACTCTATTTTTGCATATATGGGTTTCCTTCAATATCAGTTTGAAGACTAGAGTCACTCTCTTCCAAAGTTGTATCTCCAGTGCCCTACCATCCCTAGATTATGTGGACAGAGATCTGGCAGGACAGGGATGTGGTCTGCTTTGTGGAGATCATTTTACTCACAATTATCATCTGCCTGGAGGCTGATTAGGTAAGTCCTGCCTCTAGTAAGAGAGGTCAACCAAATTAGCTCCCAGAGTATTTCCTAACCCTGGCTTCCTTCTACTGGCCTATAATCCTTACTTGAATTATATTTGTATTCTATGGTTAGATCTCTCAATATTATATCCAGTCTTTTCGGTTTTCAAAAACAATACAACATAATTAAAAAAACAAACAAACAAAAAGTTGTAAGGCAATTGTGAAGTGGTGGAAAGTGCATTACGGTTAGAACCAGTAGGCACAGCCTTTGCTTTTTGGCTCTGTTCCTTACTGGCAGTGTGACCTCCAGGTAGTTCTTTAACCTTTGTTTCCTCATTTGTACAATAAAGATGGCCCCAAGGGTTAAACAGAAAATATTTAATATGCAACATGGAAGAGTGTGTATGTGTGTGTGTGCGTTATGTGTGTGTACACAAGGCCTTGCTACAAGAAGCCAATCTCGTTCTCTTCTTTCGGGGACCTCTGCTTACTGACTTTGCCGGATAGAGTGGCTGTGACCTTGGGCCAGTCCCCAACTCGACTGTCACCCACAAGCGCCCTCAGCGGTAGCAAGAGTGCGTGTCCAGGAGCTAGAGAACGAGGCTCTAGTAGTGCAATCAGGCCAGCTTTGCTTCCTAACCAGGCACCCTAGACTTGTGGTCTCCCCACAAGTCTTGGAATGGTTACTAAGACGTAGGCCACACGTGGAGAATGAAGCTTTTAAGACCTCTGGGTTCGGCTTGCCCCAGGTTTACGAAGAGCCCAGTTCCCAGAAAGACCCACACCCCCCACGTGACTTAGGACCCCGAAGAAAGCGCCTGCTACGCCCCGGACAAGATCTGGCCAAAAACAAACAAACAAACAAACAAAAAAAAAGGTCTCCCCTCCCAGCCCTCAGGTGAGGCCATCATCCCCGCACCCCTCAGCTCCGGCCTGCACCTATAACGCCAAATGCTGTGCTGGGTAAAATTAATTACCATAAACTTCTAGCGCTTTCTCTTCCATGATCCGGGGCTGCCGGGCAGCTCCCGGCTCAGAGAGGCCGGAGAGCCACAGGACTCTGCTCAGCGTCCAGGAGAGCAGCCCGGACACCCGCTGCATCTTCACGCTCAGCCATCCCTGGCGACTGTCCCAATCGCGCCACCGTCTCTCAGCAGCCTCGGGATTGATCAACTTCCTGGTCTTCAAATGGGCCGAGACAAGCCTAAAGGTTCAGGAGAGCAGAGAAAAGGCGGGGCCAGACGGAGTAGCTCGAAGGACCTAGGGAAGGGGCCTCAAGGACTACAAGTTCCAGCGTGCTTTGCTCGATTTCGGCGGGACAAAAACAATCTTCGCGGCTCGTCAGCACATTGCATGCTGGGATGCGTGAGCTATTTTCTTCGGAAGGCAGCGAATTGTATTCTGGGACTTGTAGTGTCCGCCTGGTAGAAGTGGATGTAACGGTCTGTTAACCGCGACTGACTCACTCAGTATCCGTGATAAGTTAAAGATGAATCCTGAAGGGGTAGGGGAAAGGAGATCTTGAGTTCTCCAGCACGGAGACTCTTTACAATTATTTCTCCGCGGGATCCGCTGACAGCCAACGTCTTTCTTACTTCCTGATCGGACAGGAAGTAGGTTTCAGTTGCTGTGAAAAGGGATGTCATGGGAAGCCAGTGAGGTAGTCAGGTATGGCATGGGGAGGGCTTTTTGGCTTTCTCGTCTCCTAAGGGACTCAGTCCAGCACAGCTTCCCACCTTTGAACGAATATTTCTGCTAATGGCCTCCAAAGACAACTTAGAACATAAGTTTTCCCGTGTCTAATGTGTACAGTGGTGACATAATGGAGATCGCCATCCTTAAAAGTGTATCTTGGCCGGGCGCGATGGCTCACGCCTATAATCCCAGCACTTTGGGAGGCCGAGGCGGGCGGATCACCTGAGGTCAGGAGTTCGAGACCAGCCTGGCCAACATGGGCAAACCCCGTCTCTACTAAAAAATACAAAAATTAGCTGGGCGTGGTGGCAGGGGCCTTAATCCCAGCTACTTGGGAGGCAGAGGCAGGAGAATCGTTTGAACTCAGGAGGCAGAGGTTGCAGTGAACCAAGATCGAGCCATTGCACTCAAGCCTGGGGGAGAAGAGCGAGACTTCCCTCAAAAAAAAAAAAAAAAAAAAAAGTGTATCTTAAGCCCTCTGGTGTTCGTGGGTGTGATGGATGCCAGTAACAAAATCGATTTTATTTTATCCATCCATCCCTCCGATCAAATTTGTAGGTACTAATTTGCCATAGGTGATCCATAGGCATGGAAGATACAAAGATAAAACGCTGCCCCCGCCTTCAAACAGCTCACATGACCTGTGAGGGAGTCCATCCCTGAATTTGCAGTTACAACCAAACTAACTAAACCTCTTGTCAAAGTTGGTGACAAATGCCATTTCTATTGAGAAGATAGGATTATCTTGCAGAATTGTCCCATGCTAACATGCCCATTTATCTTTAAACTCCAGTCTTGTTTGTCTAGTTAATGTAGGCCTTAGGATCACCAGACAATGAATTGCTTAGGTCCCAAGGAAATTTTGGTCAGGGTTCAATAATTTCCCTGCCGTCTATTCCACTCCACTTACTCCACAGCAATTGAGAGGATAATCCTAACATTTTTCCAGCCAAATCTAGGACACTGAGGCCTCACTTCATCTGTGAGGCCTCCCTACTTCTCCAAGCAGAATTGATTATCTCTTTCCCTGTGCTCCCACAGGGCACCATAGCATTGAACATGTCGAACTGTCGATTAAATACCTGATTTCTGTATCTGAAACTCACAGCAAGGTGCCAGGCATACAGTAGATGCTCAGTATCTGTATTTCTTAATGAATTAACTGAATGTTGCTCAAGGAATAAGTGGTGAAGCTTTCTTCTAGTCTTGTTCAGATACCTCAATCGAAATATTTATTGACTCTCTGTGAGGGCATTGTGCTTGGCATGGGTAGATGGCATGTAGAGGTTTTCAAACATTTTAGTGACACTCCTTCATTCAGACGAACTCTTAGAAGCCTGTTGGATAAAGCTATCCAGAGCACAAAGGGCCCTAGAAACCTGAGCAGCCCCTAACTCCTACTTTTCTGCCCCTTTGGCCCCACTCGTTAATATCTCAGCATCGCGAACCAGGCCTCGGATTTGCTGCGCAGCCTCAGCTGGCCGGGTGCCGCCCCGCCCCCAGCGCCTAAGCCCCGCCCCTAGGTCTCCGCCCCTCGGATCCCACGGGGTCCCTTGCGGCCCTCCCACTCCTCGCACCGTTGGATCGCTTTGCTCACGGCGCTATCTCTCGATAAAGTTGTTGTTGCGGCTTCCGCCGCGGGTGGAAGAAGATGGCGTCGGGTGGTGGTGGCTGTAGCGCTTCGGAGAGACTGCCTCCGCCCTTCCCCGGCCTGGAGCCGGAGTCCGAGGGGGCGGCCGGGGGATCAGAACCCGAGGCTGGGGACAGCGACACCGAGGGGGAGGACATTTTCACCGGCGCCGCGGTGGTCGTGAGTTTGCACCCCTCGGGGTAGCAGGCGGGAGGGCACCCCGAAAGGGAAGAGAGGCTAAGCGAGAATCGGGGAGGTTGGGCAGAGTGGGCCCGGTGAGACCTTGCCTCGGTGTCAGCAGTCCGGGCCCCGGGGACCCTGGATGTGCTCGAAGCGGTAGAGCTTGGCTTCCCGGCCCCCAGGCGGGAAGAGTAAAGAATGAGGGTTGTGGTGCCTTCGTCGGCTAGCTCCCTAACAGCCGAGAACCGCCGACGCCGTCCTTTGACCCTGCAGTGTGGTGACACTCCACGGATCCACGGGGTTATTTTGCAGGTCGTGTCCTGCCAAGGCAGATTCAGTAGGACGGAATAAGCGAATGGGATGCAGACCTTTCCCCCGTCTTACTGCTTCTAAGATGAATAGCGTTATGTGGACTAGCCTGGGGTGGTGACCCGCCCACCAGTTCTTTCTTTAGCCCAGCATTTACCGATAATAACCAAAGGCCCTTTCTGGATCTTAGTTTACAAAAGTTATGTTGATTCTTCTGATCTCTAGGAAAATCAGGCCAGAGGCTGGTGGACAGAAGGCACTGCCAGATAAATCACTACATAGATCAGAAAGCTTTCTCCTTTTTAAAGGGATGTGTTCAAGTGCCCACGTACCTCACTGGGAGCAAATCTGAAATGTGATGAGGAAATGGTGTTTCCCGTAATGTTACCGGTAGGAGGCCCTTGAGTGTAGGTTGTCGAGGTTCTTGGCATTTTGAACAAATAATTGGACAAAACGCACAAAATAACAAAGGAATGAAACACAAACGAAGCAGCGAAAGCAGGAATTTATTAAAGCGAGAAAGCACCCCACAGGGTGTGAGTGGGCCGGAGCAAGGGGCTCAAGAGCCCACTTACAAAGTTTTCTGGATTTTAAGTGCTCCTTTTATGGTTCCTATGGGTTACCCCTTATCTGGATGAAGGATTTGGTCTGTGGCTAAAGGCCGAGGTGAATTGGCGTCCTGTGCAGATGAACGGATGGTCCCTGCTTGGCCTGCGGCCAGTCTAAGGCACTCTCCCTTTCCATGTGAGACGTGGTGGATGGGGAGGGTTGCAGGGATAGTAGCCTTTGATCCTTTGCCACTCGGGCGTGGGCAGATGGGTTTTTTCCTTTTGGTTTAGCTTTAGGAAGTTGGCCTTAATTGGCCTTAGGTTCCCTGCCCCCAAACCCAGGGGGTTCCTTTTGGGAATTCAGCTTTGGGAAGTCAGCACGAATTGGCCTTAGATTCCTTGCCCCCAGACCTTGGTGTTTTCTCTTTTAGAAAGTTAACGTAAGTTGACCTCAGATTCCCTGCCCCCAAACCTTGGTGTTTTTCCTTGATTCAGCATGAATTGCCCTTAAGTTCCCTGCCTCCAGACCCTATTCTCCTGCCTCAGTAATAAATATCCGGGTCTCTAATAAGAGTTAGGTATTAGAAAAAAATAATCTTTGTAATGTGGAAATCAGTAATCAGTTATGGAACCAGTAGAGATGTTTTGGGCTATTTTATGAGAATATTTACTCATACCACTTGGTATAGGTTGTTCCAGGCTGTAAAATTCAATGCTGGGTCTGTGAATTTATCTGTTTGGCATAATGCTTCTCTTCACAGTAGCTACTCAGTGTGTAACCAACTAAATAAAACAGCTATAAATTCTTTATGCAACATGTGGTCTGAAAAAGTTTGAGGCTTTCCTCATTTGTGTCAGATTTTCCCTGTCCTGTATTCAGAAATTGAGTCCATAATCTCAGCTCATAAGGTGCTTGATAATTCTAATATAACAACTAAAACTGTCAAATGAAGTCTCTTATTCTGAGAAATAATAAGTCTTTGTGACTGTCATAAAACAGGAAACAATTTTTGTTTGTTTTTAGAGACATAGTCTCCCTGTGTTGCCCAGGCTTGTCTTGAACTTCTGGGCTCAATGGATCCTCCCTTCCTCCTAAGTAGCTGGGATTGCAGGTGCATGCCTGAGAAATAATAATTCTTGCCGCTAATTTAGTCCTTCTGTATGTTATTTTAAGTAAGTATTTAGTCTGTTCCTTTAGTAATTCTTCTATAAGTCATGGAAGACAGCTACTGTTGGTAACTGCTGGAATGATGTGCAGACTGAGAATATGAAAACAGAAACTCTGACACTGAAAGTGATTGGTCACATAGGCAAATGTTGATTTATTTTCCAAAAAGGAACCTGGAAGAGTGAGGAGTTATTTTCTAGAGTTAACCTGAAGCAGTGGCCGAGTGCCATGCACACGTGTAATCTCAGCACTTTGGGAGGCCAAGGCAAGAGGATCACTTGAGGCCAGGAATCGAGACCAGGCTGGCCAACATGGCAAAACCCCATCTCTACTAAAAATACAAAAATTATCTGGGCATGGTGGCACGTGCCTGTAATCCCAGCTAGGGAGGCTGAGGCACAAGAATCACTTGAACCCGGGAGGCAGAGGTTGCAGTGAGCCGAGATTGTGCCACTGTGCTCCAGCCTAGGTGACACAGCAAGACTCTCTCTCAAAAAAAAAAAAAAAAAAAGTAGAAATTTAAAAAAGAAATGTAGGAGGCTTCAGTTTGATTCATCTTACCATACTTTATGGAGTTATCAATACCTCTTTTTTGTAAGACTGTAAAAATCCTTTGCCTAATTTCCAGCTAAAAGAGAGTTGAGGAGGTCAGAATGACCTTGTTCTACTGCAGAAAGCATAATTATTTTTATTTAGATATGATCTAGGAAAATTGAGTTGCTAAGGAAACTAAAATGCCACCTATAAGCCATTTTTCAAGCTGCCCATCCTGATGTTAATCTTCAGGATGCCAAGACCCCAAGAGAGCTCGCTAGTTTAACTGTCTTGTTAAACAGCCATAAAGAACAAATTATAATCCAATACATGCTTTAGTTGTGAGCCAAAGAAGATAGAGGATTGCAGCACTTGTGGTATTTTAAAGAACAACATTGAAGAATTAAGTAATTAAGAGTGTGGGCTTTGAAGTCTGATTTAAATCTAGGCTCTATGGCTGGCTAGCTTATCCCTGAACATGGTACTTAATTACTCTCTACAGTTTCCTCACGTGTAAAAAGTGAATAATACTAGTATTTACCTCCACCACTATTGTGAAGATTAAATTAAAATGCCTGTAAAGTGCTTAGAAGATGTTCCCTCCATAATAAACATTTAAAGAGTGCTTACTTTTTGAGGGCATGAGCTGTATTTGTTGGTGAGCATTTTGTAAACTGGAATTACTCTAAAAAAACCCACAAAATCTAATAATGGATTAGAAAAGTTAACATTAAAAATGGGTAATACAGTTGATCAAAGTCAAAACTATTATTAGCCTGGCATGGTGGCATAAGCCTGTAGTCCCGCATACTTGTGAAGCTGAGGTGGGAGGATCACTTGAGCCCAGGAGCTTGAGGCTTTAGTGAGCCAGGATTGCACCACTGTACTCTAGCCTGGGCGAAAAAGTGAAACCCCATCTCAAAACAACAACAAAACTAGTGATATTTATTTGATTAGCTAAAAGCATCAAATAGACACTTAATGACTTCATTTTTTTGAGACATAGTCTCACTCTTTTTGTTCAAGCTGGAGTGCAGTGGCACAATCTCAGCTCACTGCAGCCCCTGCCTCCTGGGTTCAAGCGATTCTCCTGCCTCAACCTCCTGAGTAGCTGGGATTACAGGCACGTACTAGCGTGCCTGGCCAATTTTTGTATTTTTAGTAGAGATGGGGTTTTACCATGTTGGCCAGGCTGGTCAGGAACTCCTGACCTCAAGGGATCTGCCTGCCTTGGTATCCCAAAGTGCTGGGATTACAGGCATGAGCCACCATGCCCGACCGACCTCAATAGCATTTTGCTAATTTAAGTTAATCTTCATCTTTTATTTTGTTTCATGTTGGAGACAGAGAGGAGCATTGAAGAATTTTGAAGTTGAGGCATGTAAAGTTAAAACTAATTTATGGTATGCCCGTAATTTCCTGGGCATTGATACAACTGCTGCTGTTAATCATCCCATCTGCTCTCTTTTACAGCCCAAGAGGCTTTGTTAGTTCAGTAATTAAAATGTGGTTTAATTTATACTTGAAAGAGCAGGCTTACACATGCATCTCAGAATCTGTAAACCAGTTACTTAAATGGGAGAGAATTGGCCAGGCGCAGTGGCTCATGCTTGTAATCCCAGCATTTTGACAGGCCGAGGCGGGCGTATCACAAGGGCAGGAGTTCTAGACCAGCCTGGCCAACATGGTGAAACCCTGTTTCTACTAAAAACACAAAAATTAGCCGGGCGTGGTGGCACACACCTGTAATCCCAGCTGCTGTGGAGGCTGAGGCAAGAGAATCACTTGGCTTGAACCTGGGAGTTGGAGGTTGCAGTGAGCCGAGATCGTGCCAGGGCCCACCAGCCTGGGTAACAGAGCAAAACTCCATCTCAAAAAAAAAAAAAAAAAAAAAAGAGACTCAAAAAAATTACTGAAATAAATTTGAAGTCATTGCTTTAAAACTACAAATAGTTTAGAGAGTTATGTAAGTTATGTATTAACATTTAGGCAGGAAAGGACATGGTCTTTTCAGAAACTACTCCTAAATCTGTGATCACTATAACATCTTGCGAGAGAAGGCAAAAGCTTTTTATTTGTTTGTTGATAAATAAATACAAGGTTTCTGTCTGTCTCCCAGGCTAGAGGGCAGTGGCACCATCATGGCTCACTGCAGCCTCTACCTCTTGAGCTAAGTGATCCTCTCACCTCAGCCTCCTGCGTAGCATGTGCCACCATGCCCAGCTAATTTTTCATTTATTTATTTTTTTGTAGAGATGGGGGTCTCCCTGTGTTGCCCAGACTGGTCTCTTAACTACTGGGCTCAAGTGATCCTCCCACCTTGGCCTCCCAAAGTGCTAGAATTATATGCGTGAGTCACCACGCTTGGCCCAAAAACAATCTTTTTGAAAAAACTGGGGTAAAATTCACATGACAAAATTTGCCATCTTAATCATTTTTAAGTGTATAGTTTAGTAGCACTAAGTATATTCACATTGTTGTGTAACAGAGATCCAAAACTTCCTCATTTTGCAAATCTGAAACTCTGTACTTATTAAACAGCTTCCACAGTCCCTGGTAATCAATCACCATTCTAACTTTGTTTCTGTCAATTTGTCTATTTTTGATACCTCATATAAGTTGGAGTCAAATAGTATTTGTTTTGTGACTGGCTTATTTTACTTAGCACAGTGTCCTCAAGGTTCATCCATGTTATAACATGTGACAAGATTTTCTTCTTTTTTAAGGCTGAATAATATTGCATTGAATGTATATAGCACATTTTATTTATCTGCCAGTGGACATTTGGGTTTGCTTTCTCCTCTTGGCAATTGTAAATAGTGCTGATGTCAACATGAGTGTGCAAACATCTCCTCAAAATCCTGCTTTTAATTCTTTTGGATATATATCCAGAAGTAGGATTCCTGGATCTTGTGGTAGTTCTATTTTCAATTGTTTGAAGAACCTCCATACTGCTTTCCATGGTAGTTGCACCATTTTATGGTCTCACCTCAGCTTTTTAAAACCTGTTTAATTTTGAATCCTAACCAACCTCTGGTAACAGATACCAAATTACAGCTAGATAGGAGGACTGAGCTCTCTTATTCTGCAGCCCTGTAGAGTGAATGTGGTTAACTGTATTTATTGTATATTTTCAAAAAGCTTTCTGAAAGAGAGGATTTTGAATGTTTACAGCACAAAGAAATGATAAATGTTTGAGATGCTGGATATACTAATTATCCTGATTTGATCATTGCACATTGTATGCATATATTGAAATATCACTCAGAATCCCATAAACATGTACAATTGTCAACTAAACATAAAAAGAAAAAAAATTAAAGAATAATGCTTGTTAAAGATTTTTTGTAGATACCAAGTTTTTTAAAAAGTTTCCTTCTATTGCTGTTTTGATAAAAATTTTAAAATATCTATTGAATTTTATTATTTTTTGACATCCCTTGGTCATGGGGTTTCTGTCTTAAATCTGTTATATGGTGAGCTGCTTTACTGGAGTGGACTCAACGTGGTTATTGTATATTGTCTTTTTTGTATTTTTTATTGATATAGTTGTACATATTTTTAGGATACACATGGTATTTTGATATCTGTATACAAAGTGTGATGACCAAATCAAGGAATTTGGGATATTCATCACCTCAAACATTTATCTTTTTGTTGAGAACATTAGAATTCTTCTAGCTCTTTTGGAACATACGATAAATTATTGCTAACTGTAATCTTCCTGCTGTCAAATACTAGAACTTATTCCTTCTAATTGTATTTTTGTACCCATTAACCAACTTCTCCTCATCCTGCCCTGCCTTCCCTTCTCAGCTTCTGGGAATCACCATTGTACCCTCTACCTCCATGAGATCCATGTTTTTGACTCCCACAGATGAGTGAGAACACTTGACATTTGTCTTTCTGTGCCTGACTTCTTTCACTTAACGTAATGACCTCCAGTTCCATCCATGTTGCTCTAAATAACAGGAGTTCATTCTTTTTTATGCCTGAATAATAGTCCATTTTGTATATATACCACGCCTTCTTTTTTTTTTTTTTTTTTTTTTTTTGACACAGGGTCTTGCTCTGTCTCCCAGGCTGGAGTGCAGTGGTGCAATCATGGCCCACTTCCCTTGACCTCCTGTGCTCTGGTGATCCTCCCATCATAGCCTCCCAAGTAGCTGGGGCTACAGGTGCATGCCACCATGCCCAGCTAATTTTTGTATTTTTAGTAGAGACGGGGTTTTGCCACGTTGCCTAGGCTGGTCTCAAACTCCTGGGCTCAAGTGATGTGCCCTCCTTGGCCTCCCGAAGTGTTGGGATTACAGGTGTGAGCCACCATGCCTGGCCTATACCACATATTCTTTATCCATTCATCCATTCATGGACACTTAGGTTGATTCCATATCTTGACTGTTGTGAATAGTGTGCTGGAATAAACATGGGCATGCAGAAGAAATATATATGCTTTGATATATTTGCTTTCTTTTGGATACATACCTAGTAGTGGGGTTGCTGGATGCTATGGTAGTTACATTTTTAGTTCTTTTAGTAATCTCCATACTGTTTTCCATAATGGCTGTGCTACTTCACATTCCCACCCACAGTGTATGAGTGTTCCCCTTTCTCCATATCCTTGCCAGCATTTGTTGTTTTTTGTATTTTTAATAATGTCTTTTTTTATACATTGCTGGGTTTGGATTGCTATTATATATTCTTTTACATCTACGTTCATAAGATAAACCTGTAGTTTCTTTCTCATGAAAATTGTATGGTTTGGGGAATTAAGATTATATGGTAATTTCTTCTATTCTTTCGAGAATGTTTATACTATTGGAATGATCTGTTTCTTAAAAATTGGTGGTACCTATAAAACTGTTCAGGCTTGGTATTTTTGTTTATGCTTTATGGAAAGATTGTTAACTATAAACAGTTTATTTCTCTGAGTGGTTATAGAGTTTGGTAGTTTTATTAAAAAGCCATAAGAAAAATGATGGTTAATCTGGCTAATACTTTAATTCTCTGTTCTGTGAAACATGCATGGTGGTTGTTCCCAAAGATATAACACATCCTCATTAAGTTTCTTGATATTAGCCCTTCTCTGATCTTAATCAGACTTCTGAAAGTGAATCTTTATAACAGTATCTTTAAACAAAGGTGTATCACTTAGTTTGTTTAGTTACTAGTTTAGTCATTTATAGCTAATATTGGTAAAAATTCTAGTGTGTAGTGTTTTCTACAGGGATATTGCCTCAAACACTTGTTTTTGGAGTTAACATACATCAAGTGGTCACATCTGGTCAAATGATCAGAAGTTGAAATTCTACCTTGTGGTAAATATATTCTTGAAAAAAGTGATAGGTATATGCAAAGACTCATTTTAGTGCTCAGCTCAAATAGTAAAGTTTTACTTCGCATAAGTTTAGATTTCCCTGAAATACATAAACTCATTAATTTCTTGATCATTGTATTGTACTAGCAATTAACTTAGCTTTCAGAATTATGGAGGAAAAGCTAATAAAAGTAATTATAGAACACCAGTTTTGGAGTAAAGGGTTTTTTTTTTTTTTTTTTGGGACGGAGTCTCGCTGTGTCGCCCCAGCTGGAGTGCAGTGGCGCGATTTTGGCTCACTGCAAGCTCTGCCTCCCGGGTTCATGCCATTCTCCTGCCTCAGCCTCCCGAGTAGCTGGGACTACAGGCGCCCGCCACCACGCCCGGCTAATTTTTTTGTATTTCTAGTAGAGACAGGGTTTCACCGTGTTAGCCAGGATGGTCTCAATCTCCTGACCTTGTGATCCACCCTCCCCAGCCTCCCAAAGTGCTGGGATTACAGGCGTGAGCCACTGCGCCCGGCCCAGGGAGAAGACTTTTAAAGATGGCTAATAGGCCGGGCACTGTGGCTCATGTCTGTGATCCCAGCACTTTGGGAGGCCAAGGCAGGTAGATCACCTGAGGTTGGGAGTTCAAGACCAGCCTGGCCAACATAGTGAAACCCCATCTCTACTAAAAATACAAAATTTAGCTGGGTGTGACAACGCATGTCTGTAATCCCAGCTACTTGGGACGCTGAGACAGGAGAATCACTTGAACCCGGGAGGCAGAGGTTGCAGTGAGCTGAGATTGCGCCACTGCACTCCAGCCTGGGCGACAGAGCAAGACTTGATCTTAAAAAAAAAAAAAAAAAAAGATGGCTAATAATAACCTGACTTAAAATTTATTTAAAAGTAGGGTTTGGGGCCGGGCACGGTGGCTCACGCCTGTAATCCCAGCACTTTGGGAGGCTGAGGTGGGTGGATCACCTGAGGTCAGGAGTTCGAGACCAGCCTGGCTAACATGGCGAACCCCTGTCTCTACTAAAAATACAAAAATTAGCCAGGCGTGGTGGTGCGTGCCTGTAATCCCAGCTACTCAGGAGGCTGAGGCATGAGAATCGCTTGAACCCGCGAAGTGGAGGTTGCACCACTGCACTCCAGCCTGGGGGATACAGCGAGACTCTGTCTCAAAAAAAAAAAAAAATTAGGGGCTTATGAGAGAAACAATAAAGGTTGCCGTCAGACTTCTGGTTTCTGTAAGGGTTGCCAACCCATTGTTTACTTAGGTGGTAAGGCCACTCTGACAACTTGGCCATTTGTAGTTCATTAGTTTGGACTGGAGAAAAGAAAAAAAAATCTGATATCTCTTCCTTGGTCCTCAAGCTTCTCAGCACTCAAGTAACTTTTGACATAAATAAATCATGAGTAGTTGATAGTTACTAGAGCAAGTAGCCGTAAGTATCTCATCTCCAGGAAAAGCTGTTGCTCAACTTTTTCTGGCTTATTCTTTTGCTTCGTCACGTGGACAGCTGGAGCTTCATTCTGCTTTCAGAGCAGATTTGAACTGGGTTTGCTTTTTCAATTTAGAAGGTAATCCACCCATTAATACTGTGATTCTTCTGCGGTTTTCTGGGCCCTTTCTAAGTTTTGTTAGGTTGAGACCCAAAAAGTTTAGTTGGGAAATTAAACCAGAGAATTCAGTAGAATGTCTGAGGCTAAATCTGGGGTCTCATGAGGTCTCTAATGGCCTTGCACATGATTTTCCTTAACTAGCTCAGTGGTCAGCTTCATGCTATTTTCCCCATCCTTCCAGCTCTCCCTTTTCCATTTTCATTAGTCCCTCTACTCTGTATCTCAGAAGTTCTTTACCTTTTTTGTGCTGTGGGCCAATTGGCAGGCCCTGTAAAGCCTGTGGACACATCCCCAGAATAATGTTTTTAAATGTATGAAATAAAATACATTAAAATATGAAGGAAACCAATTATATTGAAATTCAGTTTTAATAAATTAAAATGATTTTACATTAATAACATACTTAAATAGAGATGAGCATAAATGAGACTTTGAGATCTATAAAAACCATAATCTCATATAAAAATATCTAATATCAGTTACAATCTCAGGTACTTCTATTATGGTTTGTTGCTTATCTTTATGATTAATGTATATGCCAAATTTCAGTTCAAGGTTAATGAAAATGAAATTATAATAATTTTATTCCCATCCAAGTTCATAGATTACCCCCTGAAGTATGTGGCTAATGGACCCCAAGATAAGAACCCCTAGTTTAACTCCTTAAGCTATGGAGTTAAACTCTAGTTTGTAGAGTTAGGTACACCCTATTCTGAAATCCAGTGGACATTGAATGTCCATTCTCCCAAGCACAAATACTTTTAGTGCATCTGTGCCAGTTTTGAAACGTGGTGGGAGAGGAGTCACTGTCTGCTGTAGGCTGAATAATGCCCCCCTTCCTTTTCCCAAAGAAGTCCACATCTTAATCCTGCAACCAGTGAGTATGTTAGGTTATGTGGCAAGGGGGAGTTAAGGTTGAAGATGGAATTAAGATTGCTAATCAGCTGACCTTAAGATATGGAAGTTATCCTGGATTATCTGGCTGGGACAGTGTAATCACAAGGATCCTTAAAAATGTAAGACAGGCTATGAAAGACGATATGGAAGAGACGCAAAGAGATGAAATGTTACTGGCTTTGAAGATGGAAGAAGTGGGCCGTGAGGCAAAGAACCCTAGAAGCCAGAAAGGGCAAGGAAACAGATTCTTTCCTAGAACCTCCAGAAAGGAACACAGCCCTACTGACACCTTGATTTTAGCCCAGCAAAACCCATTGGACTTTTTCAGAACTGTAAGATAATTTGCATTGTTTAAACTGTTAAATTTGTGATGATTTGTTGCAGCAGCAATAAAAACTAATAGGCTGTCCCACCTCACTCATTTCTCCCTAGAAGTAAAGGTGGCAAAACCAACAGTATTTCATGCTAAGTTCTTCCAGGGTAGTTTTTAAAGACTCCATGGAGGCCCATTTATGATCTGGGTATAGCTCCTGGGATAGATTTACTCCTAATTGTCCTTGTCCTGTTACATTAGTGTGATCACACAACTCCTTAGCTCTATCTTGCCTTACTATGAAATATACTAATTTTCCCTCAAAAAATGAGTTATCTCATCCTCCAAGAGCCATGTTACCTTACCATTTAATTTGGATTTGACCTCTAAATACAGTTAAGTTTTAACAGTACCTACGTTTTTGAGATCCTTTGACTGTAATGTAAGGGTTCTGTGTGGAGCAAAGAGCAGTTAAGCAACATGAGGAAGAATCACAACTGGACAACCTAAAGGTAAGTTGCCTAGAATCACAGCAGTGCTTAAAGTAGTGAATGGCTTCGTCAGCTCTGAGGGGCAGCAAGCCTGTTTCTGTCCTTCTCTGAGCTAAGAAAATTGTGCTAGTGGCCTGGAATGGCTTGAGGCTGGTAATTGTGGAGAAATACCTGCTCTTAACAAAAGTGCTCTCTCTTTCTGGCACACCTTTCTAGTACCTCTCTGCAAATTAGTATTGGTCTGTCTGTATGCTCTTTTAATTATAAACAGAAACAGTTGAACTCTTAAACAGGCTGATCAGTAGAACCACTGGCTAGAATTAACAGCCAAAGGGAGTAAGCAAGTGTTGGATATCCCAGCTAGGATTTTAGCTGCGAAAAGGAAAAAAAAAAAAGCAAGGGCGATTCTTTGGCATTATTTACTGTGTCACAAACAGTATTTTCATCACAGAGAATAGTTTCTTGCCTAGAAATTTAGCCCCTTTCACACAGGTGAATAGTTATGTGACTTACTGACTGCTAAGGAGTTTTTTAAAAATATGGGTTATTGGCCGGGCGCAGTGGCTCACGCCTGTAATCCCAGCACTTTGGGAAGCCGAGGTGGGTAGATCAGGAGGTCAGGAGATCAAGACCATCCTGGCTAACACAGTGAAACCCTGTCTCTACTAAAAATACAAAAAATTAGCCCGGCGTAGTGGTGGGCGCCTGTAGTCCCAGCTACTTGGGAGGCTGAGGCAGGAGAACGGCATGAACCTGGGAGGCGGAGCTTACAGTGAGCCAAGATTGCGCCACTGCACTCCAGCCTGGGCGACAGAGTGAGACTCTGTCTCAAAAAAAAAAAAAAGGTTATAAAGCAATGCTTATTTTTAGTATTGGTTTTGCCATTGAATGTAATCAGTACGTTCTTTATAAAGTACTGTGGGTACTTCCCCCACAGTAAATTCTTTATAAAATTTTAACTGTTGATTTAAAATTAGCTTTCTATACTTTAATAATACTAATAAAAATCAGCCTTAATCTTAGACATAGCATATGAAGTGTGTTATAATGTCCAGGTGGCTTTGTATTTTGATAACGTGCTATTATTATGGACTCAAATCTCGTGGAAGACTTGTTTTCTTTTAACTGCACCATGTGAATATACGATACCATGAACGTGAGTCCATTTCTTCTTTAAAAGTGGTTCTGCTCAGTTTTTTTAAAAATCTGATTTTAAATAAAACTTGATAATGTTATTATGCCTCAAAGGCCAACTGTGTACAAGGTACTCTTCAGCCTTAAAAAACTTAATTTTTCCAGTGCTGGAAATAAATTTGATAAGGACAAAAATAAAATATCAAAAGAGTTGGGCACAGTGGCTCACACCTGTAATCCCAGCACTTTGGGAGGCTGAGGTGGACAGATCACCTTAGGTCAGGAGTTCGAGACCAGCCTGGCCAACATGATGAAACGCCGTCTCCACTAATAATACAAAAATGAGCCAGGCGTGGTGGTGGGCGCCCATAATCCCAGCTACTCAGGAGGCTGAGGAAGGAGAATTGCTTGAACCTCAGAGGTAGAGGTTGCAGTGAGCCGAGATCGCGCCATTGCATTCCAGGCTAGGTGACAGAGTGAGATTCCATCTCAAAAAAAAAAAAAACCAAAAGAGAGAAAGTTGGGGAGGGGTACTGTACAATATGCGAGAGAAAGGGTTAACATACTTCTGTGTAAGAAAAATGCAGACCTAGGGTAGGCGCAGTGGCTCATGTCTGTAATCCCAGCACTTTGGGAGGCCATGGTGGGCAGATCGCTTGAGGTTAGGAGTTTCAGGCCAGCCTGGCCGACATGGTGAAACCCCGTCTCTACTAAAAATGCAAAAAAGTTAGTTGGGTGTGGTGGCACGCGCCTGTAGTCCCAGCTACTTGGGAGGCTGAGGCACGAGATTGCTTGAACCCGGGTAACAGAGGTTGCAGTGAGCCAAGACCACGCCACTGCACAATTAAAGAAAAAAAAAGAAAAAGAAAAATGCACACCTAAGTAATGCCAACTTAGCATAGAAAAATAGGTGAAGAACATAAAGACAAGTCACAGATTCAAATGACCAGCAAATGAATGGAAAGAAATTTTCACTACTCAACCTAGTGAAGATTTTTGTTTTGTTTTGTTTTGTTTTGTTTTGTTTTTTTGAGACAGAGTCTCGTTCTGTTGTCCAGGCTGGAGTGCAGTGGCTCGATAGCTCACTGCAACCTCTGCCTCCTGGGTTCAAGCAGTTCTCCCTGCCTCAACCTCCCAAGTAGCTGGGATTACAGGTACCCACCAACACACCCGGCTAATTTTTGTATTTTTAGTAGAGACAGGGTTTCACCATGTTGGCCAGGCTGGTCTCAAACTCCTGACCTCAGGTTATGTAGGCACCTCTGCCTCCCAAAGGTTGTCTGCCCACCTCTGTCTCCCAAAGTGCTGGGATTACAGATGTGAGCAACTGCACCCAGCGCAAAGATTTTTTAAAAGAATGCTTAGTGTTGCTGTGGATGCCGCACTCTTACACACTTCTGGGGGAATGTAAATTGTTGGTCTTCCTGGAAGGGAGCTTAGCAGAGCCTTTGATACCACAATTCTACTTAAGAATCTATCCCAAGAAAATAATCAGATGTGGATTTATATATAGGATGGGTCTCACAGTAGTATTTGGTGGAACCTGGAAACTGTCCAGCATTAGGGGAATGATTATGTCATATATCCATAATGGAGAGTTCAGTAACTAAAAGTGGGATTTTTGTACGCTTTTTAATGACATGAGAAAATGCTCAGGCAGTAGAGGGGAAAAAACAGGATACAGAGTTTTACATAGGTAGAAGATTAATATTGTAAGAGAACTACAGAAAAAAGATTAGGATAGTAAGTATGGTCATGTCTATCTTCAGCTCTCTTAGAACTCAGCCATGTGTGATTTTTGGGATGGAGTCCCAGAGGATATCTGAGAGCAGTTTTCTGTTCTCACAAGTAGTTGTTATCTAGCTTACTAAGGGAACATAAGTCTGTTTTAATCACAGTTTGGGTTTGTTTTGTTTTTGAGGCAGGGTTTTGCTCTGTCACCCAGGCTGGAGTGTAGTGGTGTGATCATGGCTCACTGCAACCTCGACCTCCTGGGCTCAAGTGATCCTCCCACCTCAGCCTCCAGAGTAGCTGGGGCTACAGGTGCACACCATCACGCCAGGCTACTTTAAAAAAAATTTTTTTTTTAGAGACAGGGCCTCACTGTGTTGCTGAGGCTGGTCTCCAACTCCTGGGCTTAAGCAGTCCTCCCACCTTGGCCTCCCAAAGTGGTGGGATTATAGGTGTGAGCCACCACACGTGGCCACAGTTTGGGCTTTTGAAAAAAGTTAGGTGGAGGAAGAGAGGTATGAGTACTCTAGTTTTCACTGCAGTATCCCATTTGTGTGTGTCTGTCTCTTGAGGGAAAGATAGACTACTATTCTAACACTGCTCCGGAAAATATTCTTAGTCATTAACCTTCCAAGTTAAGTGGTGGATCAGAAATGGAAAGCTGGCTTTATTCATCTTTATATCACAGGAATGGGTCCTTCTAGGCATTTTTTAAATGGCTAAATTCTAACCTATGCCTTTTCTGTTGTTTTAATCTCCCCCGTGAGCTACTAGTAAATTACATTTGTATACATGTATCCTTAATGTATACTGGATTTTAATCTCTCATACGTCTCCATTTGGAGATGACTGGTGTCAGTAGGAAGTGAATGAAATCAGGTGGCTTCACATGAGATCTATGTACTGTACAAGAGTGTAGGAAGGAAGTAGTGTGGAAGAAGGTGGTTGGTTATTGGTGATGTGTGAAGCAAAAGGGAAATGCTGCTTTTGTATTTATCCTGTTTCTGTCTTTCTGCAGTGATTTTTTAGTTTTGTTTTTAAGATTGTTAAAGCAGCTAGAGGACAGGACCACTATCTCTAATAGACTTGGAATAACATTTAAGCTTATACAACTAAGTGTTCATGAAACTTCATTAGCAGGGAATAGTTCCAGTAGAAGGATTGTTTGCTCATATAAGTCTAAATATTGGTATGTTTCTTTTCTTGTTCTTTTTTCTTCAAAAAAATTTTTTAAGACTAGTCAAGTGCAGTAGTGAGAAGTGGGGAAATATCAAACAAGGGTTTCGATCTGTAACTGACTGTGAACAGTCAATTGAGATAACTCACTACCTTCAGACCTGCTAACAGTTTCTTTTCTGAAATCTGTCCCCAATATTTAGATGAAGCTATTTGCAAATTTAGAGTACCCAAATAGATTGTCATTTCACTTTGTTGGGTCAGAAAAGGTCTGTCTCCAAGGAACAAATTCCCTCAGATTTGTTAAGGAAGTGTGTCATAAAAGGTTCCTTAAGCCAGGTCTTTTAACTGATCTGCCCTTAGGGTCTGACTTCACAACACTGCAGTGCCATACCATGGCTTTCGAAGCCACATTCTCAACTTTCAGCTCAGGTTCTGCACAATCCAGCTTTGTTCACTCTGGTACCGGTCTGGGGACCCACCCCACCCTTGTTTGCCGCTGATCACTGAGCTTTGAATAAAGGCTATGGACTGACTGTATTTTCACCATGTGCTCACTAGGCTAAGCATGATTAGTTTTTATTCTCCTAGCTTGACACAGTGTGTTATTGAAAATTGTATTTGTGTGAGTTAAGGATGAAAAGATAAATTTTACTTTTAACAGCATTAGAACGTAGTGTTATACCTTCCTTTGCGTGTCAGATGGGTCAGTAATATCCACACAGCTGGGCTTCAGTTAACAGTTTAGCTGAGGCTACAGAGTAAGCATGGGTCAGAGCTTGAGTTCTGGACTCCAGTGTAGTATCCTGGTCACTAGAATGTGCACAGTCAGCATTTGAAAGAATAAAGGTCATCAGCTGAGAAAGAGAAATACATTTGGACATGTTCTTTTGAAAATTATCTGTGTGTACACATACCCATGTTGGTATCATGTGCTTTGGGGTAGGGCATTTGAGCGAGGTTATGCTGTTAGAAATTAACCCTAAAATGTATGGACTTATTTTTGCTCTGTCATGACTTGGGCAGCACTTATTTTACTAATAACGATTTGCTGCTTATTGAACTGGCTGACTGGTGGCAACTGAGGGAGGCATTAAAAGTTGCTTTCTAGGCAAGTTGGGTTTGTTTTTCATGGTAATGTTTTATTCAGAGTATCTCTTTGTTTTCAGAGTAAACATCAGTCTCCAAAGATAACTACATCCCTTCTTCCCATCAACAATGGCTCCAAAGAAAATGGGATCCATGAAGAACAAGACCAAGAGCCACAGGATCTCTTTGCAGGCAAGTTTGGACTCAAAAGTTACTCTAGGAACCTCCTAAATGGCTTTGTTAAGTTGCTGAGTTAAAGTCAAAACCAAAAAAAAAAAAAGTATTGGGAACATAACTTTATGTAAAGTACTTTTGTGGAGGATTCCAAAGTACATGAAATACAGGCCCTGCCATCAAGATTCTTTCAGATTTAGGGAGTAAGATATAAATACACAATTGTTTAAGAAGGTGAGTTAAACTGTTAAACAATAACAGAAATGCAGTTGGAGGAATGATAGAAATACTAAGTCACAGGAGCTCAGAGGAGTGTGAGACCAGTGACTAAAGCAGTGCGTGTAGCCTTGTGTGACCAAGACTAGGAGTAAGAATTGCATTTGGTGTCATAATCCAAAAATGTGCATACTGGTACAAAACAGAAACAAAAGTTTTATTAAATGACTTGCCCTTACTACTTCTAATACAGCCTGAAACTTTCTATTGTTTCCTTTTTCAGTGCTCTTTGCAACACATTGAATTGATTTCACAATCCACCAACAAGCTGTAACCTCCAGTTTGAAAAACACTAGTATAGGACAGTTTCTCAACCTTAGCACTATTAACATTTTGGGCTGGATAATTCTTTGTTGAGGGGTGCTGCACTGTTCTCAACAGAGGGGGTGCTTTTGCCCCCCAGAAGACATTTGGAAATGGTTGGAGACATTTTTGGTTGTCACAGCTGGTGGTAGTACTACTGTTATCTAGTGGGTAGAGGCCATGGATGCTGCTAAACACTCTGTACACAGGACAGGCCCTCACAACAAGGAATTGTTTAGCCTAAAATGTCAGTAGTGCTATTGTTGAAAAAACCCTGTCTAAAGTGATCTTGGGCCAGGCACAGTGGCTCACACCCGTAATCCCAGCACTTTGAGTGGCCAAGGTGGGTGGATCACTTGAGGTCAGGAGTTTGAGACCAGCCTGGCCAACGTAGTGAAACCCCATCTCTACTAAAAATATAAAAAATTAGCTGGATTCCATGGCGCACACCTGTGCTCCCAGCTACTCAGGAGGCTGAGGCAGGAGAATTGCTTAAACCCTGGAGGTGGAAGTTGCAGTGAGCTGAGATTGTGCTACTACACTGCAGCCTGGGTGACAGAGCAAGACTCCATCTCAAAATAAAGAAAGAAAGAAAGAGAGAGAGAGAGAGAGAAAGAAAGTGATCTTGGAAGAAGCAGGATTTATGCAGGAGAAAAGGAAAAAGGGGCCCCATGGTTGGGCAGGAAGTATAAGGTATGTTTGAGTGGCAGTCAGTAAAGTTGGTGGACCACAGCAGGACATTCTTGGAGAAGTCATGGAAGATAAGGCTGGAAATGTAATTTGGAAACAGATTTGGGAGGACCTTAGACATTAATAATTCGAGTCTGGATTTTCATCTTAATGCCAATTAAAAGCCATTGGCAGCTTTGTGTAAAGAATGTGGTATGGGCAAAGTAATGTTTTAGGAAGACTGACCTAGTGGAATTGGAATTATATTAAATTAGTTGCAGTGGGCAGAGACCAGATAATTTTTCGAAGGTAATCACAAACTAGTTCAAGAATGAAATAGCAAAGACTGAACATAAGGTAATAAAAGCAGGAAAGGAAAGGTGAAAACTTTTCAAAAGGGAAATCAACAAAATCTGATTTTAGTGATTGAATATAATGGATATCAAAAAAAAGTGGGGATTGAAGACAAAGTCAAAAGGTTTCAAGTCCAAGGGTTGAGAAGAAAATGGTATCATTATAGAACCCCATTCTAAAGAAGAAACTGGCTTTGGGAAAAAAGTAAGCTTTGGTTTTAGATACTTTACATTTGAAATGCAAAGGGAAATACCCAGGAGGTGACTTGAACTTTTCTTTCCTACCTGAGGGAAGACAAGAGCTGGACATATGGGAATCATCTTTCTAGAGGTGGTAGTTGAAACTTCCATGTGAACGAGATCCTCAAAAGAGTGAATGGTGAGGAGGGAGAAAGACAAGGGTGGAGGGTAAGATCTTGGGACGACTCTTACGTTAGAACCTTGGTAGGAAATTTAAAAGACATACAAGGAAAGAAGAGATTAGAAGAAAGAATAGAAAAATTGAGATTTTCCACTTCCCTTCATCCCTGAAATTTAAATATACAATATTTATTCTGATACTGATTATTTTTTGGATAAAATTTCTGGAGGAGGCCAGGCACGGTGGCTCAGGCCTGTAATTCCAGCACTTTGGGAGGCCAAGGTGGGAAGATTCCTTGAGCCCAGGATTTAAGACCAGCCTGGGCAACGTAGCAAAACCTCGTCTCTATTAAAAAATAAAAATAAATTTCTGGAGGAGAAGTGATATGAAGGCAAATAATGAATTGTCTTTGGTTATATGGCAGATTGAAAAGAAAGTGAATTTTCTATCTTTGGGACCTTAACATTTATATGATCTTTCATTATAAGGAGACCTGACCTGACAGTTTAGTGTAATAGTTACCCAGTGATTGGGTTTTATACACATGAACATGCAGATCTTTATTAGGGTCATATTTGTTCATAGTGAGGATTCTAATTTACTTCATTCCCCTACTAGTTTTTTAAGTAGCCAATACCTGCCTCACTTCTAAGAAAGGAACATAAGGTATCTCTAGAATGGAAAGTCTACAATGAGACACTTAGTTTAGGACTTCAGTAGCTTCTCAGTTGTTTTAGGTATTTGACTGTGGAAACTTAAACGTTCTGATATCATTTTTAAATAATAAATCTAGTGATGATCAGAGTCTCTCATGGAGCCTGAATGCTTTTCCAGTACTCTTAACAGGAGTTCAAAGAGAAAAGCATGTTTTAATATAAGTTTTGGCATCTTTGTCACATGAATTTCAGTAGAAGATGCACAGCTCTTCAAAAGGCTTTTTTTTTTTTTTTTTTGAGACAGGGTCTCACTCTGTTGCCCAGGCTGGAGTGCAGTGGTGTGGTCATGGCTCACTGCAGCCCCGACCTCCCAGGCTCAAGTGATCTTCCCACCTCAACCTTCTGAGTAGCTAGGACCACAGGTGGGCACCACCATGCCTGTTAATATTCGCATGTTTGTTTGGTTTTATTTTTTGTAGAGACAGGCTTTTGTCATGTTGCCCAAGCTGGCAAAAGGTTTTTAGTAGCTTTCTAAAGGGCCAAATATTTTAGATGAGTGATACTTCCTGTTTCATTTCCAAACATGTTTGTTAACTGAATTATTTGTGTGGGACCTGCATGATGTGAATATCCTACGCATACTTCAACTGGTTGCTTGTTTCAGAGACTTCTAATATGCTAACATGTTCATTATATGTATAGTTAGTCCTCGAACAATGCAGGCGCAGTCAAAAATTTGTTTATAACTTCCCCAAAACTTTTCTAATAGCCTACTAATAGCCTACTGTTGACTGGAAGCCTTACCAATAAGATAATCAATTAACATGTCTTTTGTATGTTACATGTATTATATACTGTATTCTTACAATAAAGTAAGCTAGAGAAAAGAAAGTTATTAAGAAAATCATAGGAAGGGAAATGTATTTACCTTTCATTAAATGGAAGTGGTTCATCATAAAGGTTTTCATTCTTGCATCCTCACATTGAGTAAGTAGGCTAAGGCAGAGGAGGGGTTGGTCTTGCTGCCTCAGGGTGGCAGATGCAGAGGAAAATTCATGTATAAATGGACCCGTGCAGTTGAAACCTGTGTTGTTCAAGGGTCAACTGTACTTTTTTGCTTGTTTGTTTTATACTCCCACCCCAGAGTCAGATTATGTTACCACCTTTCTCACTTTCCTGATAGGGATCAGATTTCATTTCTAACAGTGTGGCACCCCTGTTTGCAGACTTGATTCACATTTAGTGATTAGAATACTGATCTGGGACTTGATTATGCTATAGGCATATATGCATAAACCATCATCTCTGGTTTCGTTTAGCCCCAAATGAAAAAGAAGCAGCAGCATTCTTTGTATTTCCTAAGATTAAGATAGAATACTTACTGATCAGACCAAACCCAAATTGACATTTATGTTTTCTGTTACTAAAAAAGAAAAAAAGTTTGGACTGTTTAGGCTTAGAGCATCTAGTTCCACTGCTCCAAGTTGAAAGTGCATTCTTTTTATTTGCATAAAAAATTTTAATGCCTAGAAATGGTACATAATGCTATTTTTAAAGTCCCTTCTCTGGAACACTGAGGGAATGAGTCGTTCTGTTCAACTGAGTACTCCCCAGATAGACAAAGGCAGCCCTTAAGCACTGTTTTTTAAACTGTTTTGAGTAGGAAGATTTTCAGATATTACATGTCTTTTTTCACAAATTGGATAGCATATAGTAAGTATAATTTAACCTTTACAAGGAGATCTAAACCATTAGGAAAAATTCTTAAACCATGACAAAATAACAGTGCTGTCATCAGGTGTGGAAAAGTGCCCTTTCCCAAATGTTACTGTGCTTGTGTCTTGGCTCCATTTTTTTCTAGCTTATAGCTTTCCTGACACTTGCTTTGACGTCATTTTTTTCCTGTCAGTATGCCTGCCTCTTCTATCATATTGGTGTGTAAAGCAAATATCTGAACTTCTTTTACAAGCAATTTTTTTTCTTTTTTGGAGACAGAGTCTCCCTCTGTTGCCCAGGCTGAAGTGCAGTGGCGCGATCTCGGCTCACTGCAACCTCTGCCTCCCCAGTTCAAACAATTCTCCTGCCTCAACCTCCCAGTAGCTAGGACTACAGGCTCAGGCCACCACACCTGGCTACTGTTTTTTTGTATTTTTAGTAGAGACGGGGTTTCACCATGTTGCCCAGGGTGGTTTTAAACTCCTGAGCTCAGGCAGTCCTCCCACCTTGGCCTCCCAAAGTGCTAGGATTACAGGCATGAGCCGCCACGCCCAGCCTTTTACAAACAATTATAACAAGAATAAATAGGGCTCATATAATGTTCTAAAGGAATACTCCGAAGATTAAAATTGACAGACTAAATTAGCTGGCTGTGGTGGTATGCACCTGTAGTACCACCTATTCAGGAGGCTGAGGCAGGAGAATCACTTGAACCTGCGAGGTGGAGGTTGCAGTGAGCCCAGATCGTGCCACTGCACTCCAACCTGGGTGACAGAGTGACACTCTGTCTAAAAAATAAATAAAATTGATAAACTTATTTTGGCTGTGTTGTCTTTTTGCTTATCCTTGGTTCTTGTATAAATTCTAGGTAGGAGAGGGTAGCCAAGTGGTTGTATTTGGAAAGAAGGAGAGGTTGTTCTACTAAGCCTGTGCTAGAAGAACACTTCCCTTACCTTCCTCCCCTTTTCTCCTTGTAAACATTTTATGACTTTCAGTCTAAGAGCCTCTATGTATTGAGAGTGCTTGCTATTGTTCTTGTAAGTTCTTAGCCTATACAAGTTTAGCCTTCAAAGACTCATTACTGACCTTCATTTTAAAATATCAACTTCATTTTAGATGCCACAGTGGAGCTATCCTTGGACAGCACACAAAATAATCAGAAGAAGGTGCTAGCCAAAACACTCATTTCTCTTCCTCCTCAGGAAGCCACAAATTCTTCGAAGCCCCAGCCAACCTATGAGGAGGTGAGGATCTGTGCTCTTGGTCTTATCGCTTTTAGATATTGAGGACTGTGTACGGCCAGTCTGAAGTGTAGTTGAGTATGAACCTTGAGAAAATATTTGTTACTCTTGAAGGAGATCTTTATGGTTAATGGACAGCCAGAATCCAATACAGGAGTCTTTCTTGAGCAGAGTATCTATTGCCCAGAGAGCACGAAGGCTTTCAGTGGTTACTAAAGATACTTAGTGTGCGAAGCTTCCACATTCAGGAGTATAGTTTCTCCTCACTCCCTTCCTAGCCTGCAAGAGGCAAGTCTTTCTAAATCTGGCAGTTATTCATTGTCATCAAAATAAGATTTTAAGGGGATACATGTAACAAAGACTTGTAAGCTGGCTCCTAATTTAAAATTTTGAGAGTTGGTACATTGGGATTGTTGGGAATGGACAAAAGCTGAACACTGAAGGATACATCTTGATTTTATTAGATTGGTATAAGGTTATTACAGGGTAAAATTGATAGCTTTTTTTTTCATATCAACTCTCATGATTTGTCTTTTCTTGAAAAAGCTAGAGGAAGAAGAACAGGAGGATCAATTTGATTTGACAGTCGGTATAACTGATCCTGAGAAGATAGGTAAGTGGTTCTTAGGACTCCTTGTGATGTTAGGATGTGGCTGTGGAAAGCATAGGTAGCTAATTTCAGGATGGCTACCCCCAGAGTTGAACTAGCCAATGTGAAGTACTTCATTAGTATCTTTTCTGTAAAAGTAGACCCCTTGCTATGTTTCTAAGGCCAGAGACTGCTGTTACTCAATGCGTTAGTCAGTCTTTTCTTGGCTTCAGGAAGAAAAATCAGAGTCATCAAATACTACTAGAATCCCTTTTTATTTTTATTCTTTTGGTTTTTTGTTTTTTAGAGACAAGGCCTCATTTTGTCACCCAGAATGGAGCACAGTAGCACTATCATAGCTCACTATCATCTCCAGCTCCTGGACTCAAGCAGTCCTCCCGCCTGAGCCACCCCAGCCGCCCAAGTAGCTGGGACTGCAGGCACGTGCTACCATGCCGACTAATTCTTTTTTTAAGAGATGGGGTCTTGCTATGTTGCCCAGGCTGGTCTCAAACTCCTGGCCTCAAGTGATCCTCCTGCCTTAGCCTCTTAAAGCACCGAGATTACAGGCATGAGCCACCGCACCCAGCTAGAGTCTCTTTTTAAAAACCCCAACAGGCCAGCCATGGTGGCTCACACCTGTAATCCCAGCACTTTGGGAGGCCAAGGCAGGCAGATCACTTGAGGTCAGGAGTTCAGCCAGGCCAACATGGTGAAACCCCATCTATACTAAAAATGCAAAAATTGACCAGGCATGGTGGTGTGCGCCTATAATCGCACCTACTCAGGAGGCTGAGGCCAGAGAATCGCTTGAACCCGGGAGGTGGAGGCTGCAGTGAGCTGAGATCATGCCACTGCCCTCCATCCTGGGTGACAGAGCAAGACTGTGTCTTAAAAAAAAAAAAAAACACACACACACACACAAAAAACATTATCTTCTCCTTCAGAGTTGATAAGACCATTTTACTGTCTTTTGAGATAGTAAATCCAATGTAAGCACCCTAAAAAATACATGTTCTAAAATTGAGGGACACTGAACTTATTTTTTCCCTCAAGAAGTTTGAAACTCTCATTTATACACATACTTTTGATAACCTTATGAGGTGGGGAAGTCTATCTGTGGGATCCAAGTTGAATTGTACTCAAAATTGAAGTTAGATCTTCAAAAAGCATAACACTTAACTTTGTCTGGACTTGGATTTTTAGGATGGCTTTCCCCTCTACCAAGCTTGCAAGAGTTATCCCTGAGTGGAGAACAATAGGCCTCATCTTTCCTTGTTCTAGCTATAGTCCCTTATGGAAGAGGCTATACAGAACCTGTCTTCCTAAACAGGAGTGGTGTTTATACAGTTAAGAGGACAAATGTAATTCTCAACTCTTGGTCTGTTTGGTACTAGGGACAGGAACTTGTTAGACTTTATGCCAAAATGGTTGTCTTTTTTTTTTTTTTTTTTTTTTTGAGACGGGGTCTCACTCTGTCACCCAGGCTGGAGTGCAGTGGTATGATCACAGCTCACTGCAGCCTCGACTTCCCCAGGCTCAGGTGATCCTTCCACCTCAGCCTCCTGAGTAGCTGGGACTACAGATGTGCATCACCATGCCTGGCTAATTTTTTTATATTTTTTGTAGAGACAGGGTTTCACCATGTTGCCTAACCTGGTCTCTGGCCAAAATGGTGGTCATTAAACTATTGATTTTAGGCCAGGTGCAGTGGCTTACATGTGTAATCCCAGCAGTTTGGAAGGCCAAGGCAGGAGGATCACTTGAACCCAGGAGTTCAGGACCAGCCTGCCCAACATGGCAAGACCATGACTCTACAAAAAGTAAAAAATTAGCCCTGTCTCTACAAAAAAATAAAAAATTACAGAGGCATGGCGGTACATGCCTGTAGTCCCACGTACTTGGGAGGCCGAGGTGGGAGGATCATTTGAGCCTGGAAGGTCAAGGCTGCAGTGAGCTGAGGTAATACTACTGCACTCCACGTTGGGTAACAGAGTGAGATCCTGTCTCAAAAAGAAAAAAAATTTTTTTTTAATTTGAACTGTTGAGTTTTACTTTTCCCAGACTGTTGGACTGGTAGGATGTTTTTGAGCGTCTTACACAGTTCTGTCATCTAACAGAAAAGGAAATTGAGGACCAAAAAGGAAGTAGCTTTCCTGGTAGGGCACAGTGTGGCCCATGATAGATCCTGGACCAGGACTTTGGATTATATGTCTAGATTCTCTCTTGCTTCTCTAATATTTATGGATAGTCTATAAACACATTAATTTTAAGCTAGTTATTCACCGCTTTAAATCCTTGGTGGAATAAGATGAATGAATGGCACTTATTCTCTTAAAATGTAATAAGTCATGATGTCTGAACCAGGAGAGGGAACATACTGGTTTCCTAAGGCTGCTGTAGCAAAGTACCACAAACTGGTTAAAACAACAGAAATTTCTCACAGTTTTGGAGGCCAGAAATCTCAAATCCTGGTGTCGGCAGGCCATTCTCCCTGTGAAGGTGCTAGGGAAGGACTGTTCATGCCTCTCTCCCAGCTTCTGGCAGTCTCAGGCCTTCCTCGGCTTGTCGATGCATCACTTCAGTCTCTGCCTTTGCTGTCATGTGGCATCCTTCCTAAGCGTCTCCACATTGCCTTCCCTCTATGCATGTCTATCTCTGTGTGCACATTCCCTCTTTAACAAATAAGGACACCAACCTGAGTGGAGTAGGGCCCACCCTAATGTCTTCATTTTAACTCAGTTACATCGGTAAAGACCCTGTAAGATCACATTCTGAGGAACTGGGAGTTAGAACGTAAAATGTACCTATTTTGAAGGGGACACAATTTATCCCATTACAGAGAGTAATTTAAACAGCCCATGGATCAGATGCATTTAAACACAAATCACTCTTGGTGATAAGTTTTCACCTCCTTGCCCTGTAGTCTAGATTCTTAGTCATGTTGATGCCAAGAAACCAGCTAATTAAAATATTTTCATATTCAAGGCCTGATCTTTATAACAACGCATTCTGTTTGTGTGGGCTGTTTATTCAACATGTGCTTCTTGTTCCTGCACACGTCTAAATAATTTAGAATTCAACTTTTACCAGGATATGCTTTTTAGAGCCTTGGTAATTTGCATATGTTATCTTCAACTCTGAAATTATTCTGGAAATTTACGTAAATTTAAAACCTTGTATTACTAGCTTATTTGCAGATCTGTGTGCTCTCTATGTACATGCAGTATGTCTCTTTTCATGTACATTGCCTAAGTAAAAGCAGCTGAGAAACAAAATATCTGAAGATCCTGCTTTTCTGTTTTCTCTGTGTTTGCATTTAGACTTTCTTAACTGCAGGCACTAAATTATGGGATTGACTTCTTGGACATTTGACCATAACTATTCTGCTGTGAATGAAATTTTGAATATTACTTCTATAAAATAAACTTAGATTTCTTTTTTTTTTTTCTTTTATCAGTAGTAAACATCCTTAGTAGTATTGGGTAATGTTAATAAGGTGGTTTAGAAGAGAACTAAAGTTGGTAATCAGTATAAAATAATTTCTAAAGTTTAGCTTATGGTTTCTGTTTTATATACACCCTTTTGGTAGGGGCTGGGGAAGTATAGCAGACAAGCCCTGTATTCCTGTGTAATCTTCAAATTCTTGGTAAATTTTTCAAAAAGCAGGCATTTCCAGCCATCTTACTGAAACCAAGTTGTAATGTGGGAAGCTGCTGATCCAGTACTGCCTGCTCTTCCTTCCCTTGGCCCCTCACCCCTCACCCCAGAACCAGTTCAGGGGCTTAAGCAGCTGGTAACTGTTGACCTAGGTTTTCCGGTTTGATGTGGGAAGGAATCAAGGGTGGGGGAGGCAGGGAACAAAACCAACCCCAAACACCATAGTCCAGCACTGGAGCTGTGTCTGTTTGGATTCCAGAATATGTCTTTTCAGTGCTCAGGATATCAATGGCATCTTTATCTCCTTAAGTGGTCTAGGTCAGGACATCACCACAGAGAAAAACAATAGCTTGAATCCCAAATTATTTAACAGTCAAAGACTTCTTCATAAAAATAATTGCTCCAGGAAAGGGAGATTTGTGTGACATTAGGCAGCCAAAGTGTCTTCCTGCCAGACCCTTTGCTCTTGGTGAACATGCTAGATCAGAGAGGTCAGTGTCCCCCCCGGCACCAATGGAGGGGGTTGTGACGATATTTCTGAAAGAGCAAATCGAGCCCAGAGCTAGCCTAGGGTAGAACTACTTGTTTCCTTTTATATCAGTTGCTTCCTTCTCCTCCTGCTTTATACAGCAAGAGAATTGTTTGGTTTTGGACAGATGTGTGTAACCAGCCCAAATATTGGCATGGTAACAACTGATGGATTGTCAGTATCCAGTGCTGCTTTGTGGAGGGTATAAATGGAGCCTGGCCTGGCTTTGGAACAGAGGGCTGACTCTCTTGTGTAACTCAAACTGGGGCTCAGCCAGCATCCATGGGGGCTTGCTATGTGCCACAGAGGCCCTGAGGCAAAGTAGGAACTGGATTCTAAGATTGCATATAAAGCTTGGAGATGAAACAAGCATCCCTTCTTATCCAGGGTTCCTATGGCTTTTATGATTCCTGGTCAAATGTTAGCTGGATTGGCACTGCTTTGGTTTACAAGATAATCTTCTGCTTTCTTGTTCTCTCACAGGGGATGGTATGAATGCATATGTAGCCTACAAAGTTACAACACAGGTGAGTCCAGGTGACCCTGCTGATGACCATCTTCATAGACTTTGGTGCTTATACCAAGGTCATCATTCAGATTATTTCTGGGTATCTCCTTTGTTTCTTTGCCAACATCTTCATGTTTACTCAAGATAGAGCAAGCCTGCATCCCCTTGGTAATCTCATCTGGGTACTCCAGACTGAGTCTTTTTAATACTCTTCCAGAAAGCTAACATTTCAGTGTGATTCTATTAACTCGTGGTATATCTGATACAGCCCCATCCCTCTTAGAGAACCATGTGGTTTGGAGCTAGATTCACAGATTGCCCTAAACCATCTTTTAAAATCTTCAATGCTTCTGAGGTTTCAGAGAGCTTTTTTAAATACTTAACCTTTTGCCCCTCTAGTCTGCTCTTCTTTTGTATATAATATTAATGCATACAAAATGTATACAATGTTGTATACAAGTTAGGAAGCATAATAAATGAAGCCCTAAACTTACCACTAGTCTTAAAGTTGAGTATCATTGGATCCACCTGCGTGTTTTTCCATCATATCCCCTGCCTCATACCTTAGAGGTGTCCTTTCTCCTGAGTTGTCTCTCATTTCCTTTATAAGAAATCTTTACATATATATATATATATATATATATATATATATGACTGTTTTGCTTTGTTTTGAGTTTCATAAAAATAGTATCATGGGGGCCGGTCACGGTGGCTCACGCCTGTAATTCCAGCACTTTGGGAGGCTGAGACGGGCAGATCACAAGGTCAGGAGATCGAGACCATCCTGGCTAACACAGGGAAACCCTGTCTCTACTAAAAATACAAAAAAATTAGCTGGGCATGGTGGCAGGCACCTGTAGCCCCAGCTGCTGGGGAGGCTGAGGCAGGAGAATGGCGTGAACCCGGGAGGCGGAGCTTGCAGTGAGCCGAGATCGCGCCACTGCACTCCAGCCTGGGCGACAGAGGGAGACTCTGTCTCAAAAAAAAAAAAAAAAAAATAGTATCATGCTGATAATTGTGCTTGCTTTATTTAGCATTGTTTCTCTCACCCATCCTTGATGGTCATGGCTGTAGTTAGTTCATATACCACAAAATATTTATGTTTTCCTGTTGTGAACATTTTCTGCTGTCAACATGTTTCTGGTTTTTGTAACTGGGAACTTTCTTGCACATCTCTAGTACACACGTAGAAGGATTTCTCTAGAGTATGTAACCAGGAGTAATTCCCGTGGGTCATAGGTACTGCAAATATTGGACACAAGGAATACAAACTGTTTTTTAAAGTCTTTGTACCAATTTGTACCCCATCAGCAGTGTATAAAAGTTCCCATTGATTCACTTCCTTGCCAGCAATTGGTGAGGCCAACCTCCTTAAATTTTGCCTATCTGGTGAGTTTAAAGTGAACTCTCATTGTGATGTAGCCCTAACTTTTTTGGTAGAAATCTGCTTTGTATTGTCTCTCTACTACTTGTTGGCCTGCGTCCTGTGAGCTCTAGATTATGATACTTTAGAGGTTACTGTCTACAGCTTAGACATTTCATCCAATTCCCACCCTGCTCATCACCTGCTTCCCCTTCTTAGAAGCACTTTTTGTCTGTCTTTAGTTTGGCTGCTGTAATTCCAGCAGCTAATACCCTTAAATAAGTCAATGAGGCTTGGCGCAGTGGCTCACGCCTGTAATCCCAGCACTTTGGGAGGCTGAGGCAGGTGGATCACCTGAGGTCAGGAGTTCGAGAGCAGCCCGGCCAACATGGTGAAACCCCATCTCTACTAAAAAACTATAAAAATTAGCTGGGCCTGGTGGCAGGAGCCTGTAATCCCAGCCACTCAGGAGGCTGAGACAAGAGAATTGCTTGAACCTGGGAGGTGGAGGTTGCAGTGAGCCAAGATTGCACCACTGCACTCCAGCCTGGGTGACAGAGTGAGACTCCATCTCAAAAAAAAAAAAAAAAAAAAGCAGTGAAGAATGAGCTGGGCATGGTAGCGTGTGCCTGTATTCCTAGCTACTTGGGAGGCTGAGGTGGGAGGATCGCTTAAGCCCAGGAGTTTGAGGCTGCAGTAAGCTGTGATCGCACCAATGCACTCCAGCCTGGGCAACAAAGTGAGATCCTGTCTCCAAAAAAAAATAGTCAATAAAAGATGAATGGGTTACTGGTTACTATAGAATTCTAGCTTTAAACTAGAACTGAACATTTCTTTCTTTAGAACAAGAGTTCTTAACCTGGGAATGAAACTGTATTTGAATTTTTTTTTCTCAAGGGTCACCATGGCTTCAGATGTATTTGAATTTAATTGATTGCCTTTATAATCCTATATATTTTTTGCATTTAAAATCATTATTCTGAGAAGAGCTCCTTAGGCTCCCAGACTGCCAAAGGGGAACTATAGTTTTAAAAAGTTTAAGACTCTCTGCCTTGGAGAAAGTTATTTGCCAGGTGACTGAAGGGCAGGGATCTGGGAAATGGGTTTCTTTAATGTCAATAGGATGACTTTCAAGATACCATCCCCTATTTGGAATGAAATTGCCTTGTGTTTTTTCCTGTCCCCAAGACAAGCTTACCATTGTTCAGAAGCAAACAGTTTGCAGTAAAAAGAAGATTTAGTGACTTTCTGGGTCTTTATGAGAAGCTTTCCGAGAAGCACTCTCAGAATGGCTTCATTGTCCCTCCGCCCCCGGAGAAGAGCCTCATAGGTAAGCCTGTGGTCTTTCATTCCACTTGGATTGTTTTCCTTTGCATTCTCTCCAAAATTCACTCACTGTTCAGTATATGAGACTACTTCTATTAACAGTCTTGTGGTTAGAAAAGAGACATTTCCAGTGTTTTCCTACACTGGAGGTCTAGAGAAAAATAGCATATTTTGGCATGTTCTCCTTGGGTGCAGTAGGAGCTCTGGGTTTAGCCTCCAGAGATGTTCGTTTGTTTTCTGTTGGTCTTCAGGAGTCTTACATGATTGCGGTTGCCTCCAGATTGAAATAGACTACATTGGATTAGGGGTCAGAGGAAGAAACCTCTTCATTTTGTTTGTTTGTTTGGTTGGTTTTTTGGTTTTTGTTTGTTTGTTTGTTTTTGAGGTGGAGTCTCGCTCTGTCACCAGGTTGGAGTGCAGTGGCGCGATCTCAGCTCACTGAAACCTCCACCTTCCGGGTTCAAGAGATTCTCCTGCCTCAGCCTCCCGCTTAGCTGGGACTACAGGTGCCCGCCACCATGCCCAGCTAATTTTTGTATTTTTAGTAGAAACAGGGTTTTACCACGTTGGCCAGGATGGTCTTGATCTCTTGACCTCGTGGTCCGCCCGCCTTGGCCTCCCAAAGTGCTGGGATTACAGGTGTGTGCCACTGCGCCCGGCCAGGAGCCTCTTCATTAACATCAGTTGATGTTTGTACTCAGGGTTCCATGGCCGCCTTTTTAAGAAAATGTTTACTCTGCAAGTCCTAGAGTTTAGAACCTTCAGCACTTAGAGACTAGTTTTCAAAAGTGGCTCTCATGTAAAGAACCTTTTGTTCATCCCTGCATATAACATAGAAGTGGCCTTAGGCTGTGTGCTAGCCTCACTGCCTTTCCTCCTGTTGACACTTAAAAAAAAAAAAGATTTATCCTCTTCATGATGATTTATGGTTATTTTGCTTTTTAAATTCCATTCTAGGGATGACAAAAGTGAAAGTTGGGAAGGAAGATTCTTCTTCTGCAGAATTTCTTGAAAAACGGAGGGCCGCTTTAGAAAGGTAAGTGCCATGCAGCCATTTTCCTGAATAATGTGAGGACAAATGAAAAGCTGAAAAGTGAGTCTAAATGACGAGACAGTCCATTGAGTTAGAGATGAAACGTGAATAAATTGAAGTTGCACACCTCCATATTATCTCTTAACTTTTCCTGAGTCGCTTATTTTCCCACCTTGAGAATAGACCATCTTCTGTTTTTTCCCCATCCTGAGTGAGCAGGCAGTCATATTCTTAGACAATCAATCAAATATGAATGGCTCTGAGGTTTCTTTCTGACCAGTTATTTTTCCCTCCCTTTTTGGAAATGTCAGGAATGTGAACTTGAATATGCTTACAAGGAGAGACCTACTTAAGTACCTTATCTTAGGGTACTTTAAGTACAAAAAGTACAGAAGACATGGTATCACTGCCAGCACTGTGTGACGCCCAGAACCTTCTGAGGCCAGCTCAACTAACCAGATGATAACTGCTTACCTTTTAGGTACCTTCAGAGGATTGTAAATCATCCTACCATGTTACAGGACCCTGACGTCAGAGAGTTCTTGGAAAAAGAAGAGGTTAGTATTCAGTGCAAACTGAATTTCATAATTTATATCTGCCCCTAGTGAAACGAAACTAGTTCATTCCAAAAATATGTGAGCACTTAACATGCCTAGTACTAGACTGTATCCTAGTTTTGTGTGAACCCCTGAGAGTGACAAGTATTTTTCAGCCTTTGAAATAAAAGAAGCTCTGCCCGAAGTCAAAAGCAGTTGGTTGTAAGGGTCAAATAGCAGCCTAGTATTGTCTTACTGGATCAACACAGTGATCTATTTGGCAGGTCCTTGGCATGTTGTAGGTTACTTCTTGGCTCAGATTGAATGTATATTTTATGCCAGGCGGGTCACTGGTTAACAGTTACCACAAACCACAGAACTACCATGTAGGAAAAGTGTTGATTGAAGTAGACAGTCTCTTTCACAGGCTATGCGTAGGCTAGTCATGATTGTCAAAAACTGAAAACAGCCCAATTGCTAACAGTGGAAGAATTAAGTAAAATATATCAATATAACCAAATACTTGATTCTCATCATAAACAAAGTATACAGAAATGTTAGTACATGGACATGTATGTTAAAAGAATTACAAAATTTGAAACATGAAATAGCATATAAATACAGCTGTAGAAACATGTAAGTCATTAAGGATCAAAAGAAACACTGGAGTGAAATGTTTTATCTCACAGGAAAGCAAACTAGAAGGAAGTAAGTGACTGGGTAGGGCTATCATTTTGCTTTAATTTTTATTTTTAAATTTTTCTTTCATTTGTATGTAGTATGTGTTACTCCAGTGAAGAAAATGATACTAAATAAATGAGGGGGTTTTCTCCTCTAAAATGAAATGTTTTCATTAAAAATTCCCTGTCAAATGCTTCAAATCTTTTAGTCTTTTCTTGTGGATATTCTTAAATCCCTTCTGCCTTTTCACCCTCTCGTCTTTACTCCATACCCCTAAGCAGGGTATGTCTGTAGCAGCACTGTGGACACTTTGGGTCAGATAGTTCTTTGTTGTAGGGGTTGTCCTATGCATTGTAGAGGGTTTTAGCAGCATTCCTGGTACCTACCCACTAGATCCAGGTAGCACCCCCTCCCCAGTTATAACAACCACAATCATCTCCAGACATTGCCAAATGTCCCCTAGGAAGCAAAGTGGCCCCAAGTTTAGAACTACTGCCAGGCCAGGCGCGGTGGCTCTTGGCTGTAATTCCAGCACTTTGGGAGGCTGAGGCAGGAGGATCACCTGAGGTCAGGAGTTCGAGACCAGCCTGGCCAACATGGCAAAATCCTGTCTCTACTAAAAATACAAAAATTAGCGGGTCGTGGTGGCGGGCACCTATAATCCCAGCTACTTGGGAGGCTGAGGCAGGATAATCACTTGAACCCTGGAGGCAGAGGTTGCCGTGAGCTGAGATCGTGCCACTGCACTCCAGCCTGGGCGACAAGAGCAAGACTCCGTCTCAAAAAAAAAAAAAAGAACTACTGCCATAGAGTCCTGAACACTAAAATCTGACTTTTTAGCATAGTGTGCTGTATATGCTATAGATTTTTCAGCGTCCTTTCCATGCCCTAGGAGAGTACTGGGGAGACTGAACAGCAATCAGATTGTTTCTGAATATTTGGCATGCTTGACTACTAGGTTATCCCTGAAAGTAGCCTTGATCTGAATCAATAATTTTCTTGTCCTCGGATATTTGTTCACTGAAGAAAATTCGAACACAGCACGATTTCAGTGTCTTAAGACTTTTAAGTCTGGTTTTGTACAAAGTGTGCTAATCCAAGGGAACTTTTGACTTTTAACAAGAGTATGCTTGGTACTTAAGCAGTTCATGCCTGGGTAGGCAGACAATCTCAATTTGAGGTCACCTGGCCACGTAACACCCCAGTCTACTTTTTTTCTGTATAAAATATCAAAAGCTGAAAATGTTGCTGATTCTTTTTAACATGGTTCTTTGATTTTTCTGTATGGACATGTTAGTTGTGGATTCCTCAGACTGCCTTTGAAAACAATTTACAGTTCAAATAATTTGTCTGGCAAGTTTTGGCATGCCATCTGATGGATACTAATTCTTCTGAACCTAAAATAGGGGCAGCAGATAACTTGCCATCCCTGCCTTCTTGGTCTTGTAGCTGCCACGTGCCGTGGGTACCCAGACATTGAGTGGTGCTGGTCTCCTCAAGATGTTCAACAAAGCCACAGATGCCGTCAGCAAAATGACCATCAAGATGAATGAATCAGACATTGTGAGTAGCCCTGTGCCTCTTACCTCCACCTACACCTCAGGCTTATGGGTCAGAACCCCTAAGGAGTCCTGAAATTTCTGAGATTAGAAACTTTTTTATAAGATTTTTCAGTCCCTTTTTGAGAAACAACTGCTAAAGAAAGACTGTACTGCACCCATAAAAGTAATCTCATTAAAGTTCTGGGCTTTTGTGTTTCAGTGGTTTGAGGAGAAGCTCCAGGAGGTAGAGTGTGAGGAGCAGCGCTTACGGAAACTGCATGCTGTTGTAGAAACTCTAGTCAACCATAGGAAAGGTAACAAGCTCTGAAATGCACTTGGAGCTAGGGGAAATTGTTGTCTCTAGTGAACTGGAGATGCGAGGGCATGCTGTTCCAATCCTCTCAGCCATCCAAGTTGAAATTCTCAGCCCACCTGGTCCTTGATGTTCTGATAAAAAAAAGGTATGCCCTGTGTCTCCTGGCAGAAAACATGATTCAACCACTGTGGGCATTGTGCTTTCTACCTGGGAGGGGTGCAGGGAAGCCATCCCAGATACAGCATGACCTGGGATATGGGCTTCTGTTGATTTTGACTTGATGGCTTACATCCAAAATGATGTCATACATGCTTGAGCTACATGGTCAAACCAGCAATGCGTAAATGCAAGGAAACCACCTGTCTCCTAATCCTTCTGCATCTCTCTTTAGTGAAATTTGCTTAAGAGCTTGTGAAATTTTCCCAGTTTGAATCTTTTCCCTCTTTGCCTTAAACATGCTGATAATTAGAAATTGAAACAGACAGAAGACCCATAGCATGAGGCCAGGGTAAGTAAGGGTTGGCAAAGTATAATCTGGCCCATGGGCCAAATCTGACCCTGGTTCCTATTGCCATGAGCTACAAATTTAGGTTTTTACATTTTTAAAGGAATGAATGAGGGGAGAAAAGAATCTGTAGCAGACTATGTGTAGCCTTCAAAATCTAAAAAATTTATTATTAGCCGGTCGCGGTGGCTCACGCCTGTAATCCCAGCAATTTGGGAGGCCGAGGCAGGTGGGTCACGAGGTCAGGAGTTCAAGGCCAGCCTGGCCAAGATGGTGAAACCCTGTCTCTGCTAAAAATAGAAAAAATTAGCCAGGTGTGGTGGTGGGCATCTGTAATCCCATCTGCTTGGGAGGCTGAGGCAGAGAATTGCTTGAACCCGGGAGGCGGAGGTTACAGTGAGCTGAGATGGCGCCACTGCACTCCTTTACACAAAGTTTGCCCTACTCTAGAACGTGCAAGACTATACGATGTGCACATGTATTCACTCTTCTCTCTTGTACAGAGAGGCTACCACTCATGAGCTTCAACATAAATATAAGAATAGTTTCTTTGGCCTGTTTGTTATTTAACAACTGGGCTTTGGTTCTCCAGGGATATTGGAGCTGCTTCCTTCAGGTAGGCCTAACCCAGTGAAACTCAGGACAGCTGGTGCCTCTCCCTCCTGCTCCTGTGACCAGGCCACATTCTCTTTACTCTCTGAATACAGTTAACTGTGGTGTAAGTGACTGGGTTGCAGAGCCCTCAGTTCCCAGATATGCAGTGGGCGGCATTGCTAAGACATGCCATGCAGTGTCAGCTGATTTGTCCCTTTTCCTTGTGAGATCAGAGAGGCCTCTGCTGTCTTTTCCTCCTTCCAGAGCTAGCGCTGAACACAGCCCAGTTTGCAAAGAGTCTAGCCATGCTTGGGAGCTCTGAGGACAACACGGCATTGTCACGGGCACTCTCCCAGCTGGCTGAGGTGGAAGAAAAAATTGAGCAGCTCCACCAGGAACAGGCCAACAATGACTTCTTCCTCCTTGCTGAGCTCCTGAGTGACTACATTCGCCTCCTGGCCATAGTCCGCGTAAGCTTCTGTTTCCTTTTCTCCTCCTTCCCTTGATTTGATTTGTTTTTCCTTTGCTGGTCCCCTTCCCAAGACAGTTTCATCCCATTATAGCTTGTAAATAGGTGTCACTTTTTCTACTTTTAAGAGGAAAGGTATCCTGTAAACCAAGCAATCTATTCACCTGTTAGCTAGTTATCACTGAATCATTTTGAGCCCCACAGCCAAGATTCCTAGATGGCATTTGGAGAAAAGACCACTCTTGAATTTCCGAATAGGTTGCCCTTTATTGTTGAGGCCAGACAGTGTCTTCTGTGGTCCTTTCTTGAAGCAAGGTTGCTTACAGACCTACTCTCTTGGTCCCCTGGAGCAGTGACTTCCTCAGTCCTTTGGTCTTTGCCTCCTTAACAGTAACTGGTGGCTTTGCCCTGGTTAAGAGCTCTTGCTGACTTCCACTTGTCCTTCCAGTATGGGCAGTCAGGTAACTACATGGAACTGGCTTGGCATTGCATGGAGGAGTGCGGCCAGGGGACTGAGAGAGCTTGTCACCAGAGCCTTCCTGTGCTGTGTCACCCCACACTGGTAACATTCCAGCCTGCCCCTCGTCAAGCACCTCACTCTTTCTCCTGGTGATCAAGCAGTGTGGTTTCCCCGTGAGCACTCCTAGTGATTAAGGTTAAGGAATTTTGACAGTAGTATTAGCTGTCGCATGGCCTCCCTAAGACAGAGGAAAGAACCAAGAGGAAGCCTGGCACCTACACTCTAAGGGCCTAAGTCTGTCCTTGATTTCGCTTGGGATCAGGATGTGTGAGCCTCAGAGTTAGAACAGTGCCCCCCGCTCGTTCCCCGTCCCCAACATATCTCCCATTAGGGAGCTTGTGCGTTGTGTCAGGAGCTGAGCTGCTCCCAGGCTGTCACTTACCCCGTGGTGGAGATGCCTCATAGAGCCTGGAAGGTTGCTCATTGTCCTCTCCCATTGCTATTTGGTTTGCTGCTAACTCCAGAGTGATGAGTCTACCTGCTATGTAATTCTTAGAACTGGGCAGGCTACTTAGACTGGAGAGCCAGCTGCAGGAAGGGCACCCTCTGGGGGAAGCTTTCTATGAGGAGCATTGTTTGGGGTCTCTGGAGAGCACAGTTCTTGGATATGGCCCCCAGGCAGAGTGAGCTTGTACCACAGGGGTGAGGGCCTTGCTTAGAGCTACATGGGCTGGGGCTGGGGAAGTGTGCCTCATGGCACATAATTGCGAATGGTCTTTTCTCAGAGACCCTTCATCTGCCTACCTCATGCTTATGAGCCTGGTGGTGGGATTGGAGAGAAGAGCAAAGGTTTCTTTTCTGCTCTTCCCTGAGCATGGAGCCGGACCACTGTTAGGCCAGTGGGTTGGGCTTGAGTCTAACTAACTCAGATAAGAGGTTGCCCTTTACCTAATCTTTTGACATTGAGGTGTTAAGATGCTGCAGGGTAGCAGCAGTGACAATCCTGGGGCAGGTGAATTTGGTGGCATTGCATTCCCTAAGGTTCAAGTTTTGGCAAAAGCCTGTGCTGAGGAGGCATAGACAATATGCAGGGAAGGTTGGGGCGTGGTGGCTCACGCCTGTAATCCCAGCACTTTGGGAGGCTGAGGCAGATGGATCACCTGAGGTCAGGAGTTCGAGACCAGCCTGGCCAGTGTGGCGAAACCCCATCTCTACTAAAAATACAAAAATTATCTGGGCGTGGTGGTGTGTGCCTATAATCCCAGCTACTCAGGAGGCTGAGGCAGGAGAATCGCTTGAAACCAGGAGGTGGAGGTTGCAGTGCAGTGAGCCAAGATCGCGCCATTGCACTCCAGCCTGAGTGACAAGAGTGAAACTCCGTCTAAAAAGAAAATATTCGGGGAACTTTTGCAGGGCAGTGAGGGAGCCGCTGGAACCCGGCTGGGCGGCTGGCCCCAGGCACAGATCCTTGATCCAGGCTGCTGCTTGGGGCCTATTAAGCAAGTCCGGGTGGGCGTGGTTAGTCAGGCCAGCAGCTTCCTTCCCTGGAAATGCTGATTGTGGTCAAGGAACTGGAAACAAGGAAAACTAGCAAATAGATTTTGGGGAGCTTCTTGGAGGCCTTGGTAGCCTAGAGCAGGTGAGTGTGTGGTTGGGAAAAAGCAATGTGGCCCTATGGTGGTTTTAGGTGTTGATTTAAAGATTTGTTAAGCTAACCTTGTGCATTATTTGGGTGTCAGTTTAAAGGCTGGGTCCTTAGGGTGGACTTCCCTGACATATTTCCCAGGCTAAGCTAGGCCTCTGGTTTCATGTTATAGTACCCTGCTGCTTTCCCAGTAGTCTGCATACTTGTATCTATTTGTAATTGTAAATGTAATGTTGGCCTTTTCCATTAGATGACAAGTTCCATGAAAATGGGACCATGAGTTTCATCCACTGTATTCTTAGCTCCTGGCACATGGCAGGCACTCAGGGAAAGTATGTAGCCTTATGAACTGACTGATCTGAGGGAGGCACTTCTGTAAGCCATAGTATTGGTCACTGGCATGAGGCCACCTACTGGATCCCTGCCATCCAGCCCTGGGAGTAGCATGAAGCAGCATGGCACTGGCCTTCTGGAAGCTTGGAGAGGAGTCTTACCCAAGCTTTGCTCCTAGACATTAAACTTCCCAGCTGGGCACTAACATGTGGCTGCAGAACCTGCCCTTGCTCAGTCTGTCCCTGGTGCAGCTGCTGGGAGAGCCTGCCTCGAGGCAGAGCCAGCAGAGCTCTTGAAGAGCTGGTTGTGCTCCTCCTCAACCCCACCCCCACAGGCTGCCTTCGACCAGCGCATGAAGACATGGCAGCGCTGGCAGGATGCCCAAGCCACACTGCAGAAGAAGCGGGAGGCCGAGGCTCGGCTGCTGTGGGCCAACAAGCCTGATAAGCTGCAGCAGGCCAAGGACGAGATCCTCGAGGTGAGTCCACTGAGGCAGCCCAGCCAGGGGTGTTCTGCTGGTTCCAAATGAACCCAGGGCCCATCCCACCCAGAGGTTTGGAACCCCACAGGGGGAAGAGCGCTGATTGAGTCTAAAGGGCCGTGGCTGCTGAGGAAGCCTCTGAGAATGACTCCAGGCCTTCCTGAGGCCTAGTCCCCCTGTTCTTTTTCTACTCTACGCAGACTTGTCAAATCAGAATCTCTGGCCCGGCATGGTGGCTCGCGCCTGTAATCCTAGCACTTTGGGAGGCCAAGGTGGGCGGATCACTTGAGGTCAGAGGTTTTTTTTGTTTGTTTTTGTTTTTGTTTTAGATGGAGTCTCGCTCTGTCAACAGGCTGGAGTGCAGTGGCGCGATCTCAGCTCACTGCAAGCTCTGCCTCCTGGGTTCACGCCATTCTCCTGCCTCAGCCTCCCAAGTAGCTGGGACTACAGGCTCCTGCCACCACACCTGGCTAATTTTTTGTACTACCGTGTTAGTAGCCAAGATGGTCTCGATCTCCTGACCTTGTGATCCACCTGCCTCGGCCTCCCAAAGTGCTGGGATTACAGGCGTGAGCCACCGCGCCCGGCCGAGGTCAGGAGTTTTAGACCAGCCTGGCCAACATGGTAAAACCCCATCTCTACTAAAAATACAAAAAATTAGCCAGGGCTGGGCACGGTGGCTCACGCCTGTAATACCAGCACTTTGGGAGGCCAAGGTGAGTGGATCACGAGGTCAAGAGATTGAGACCATCTTGGCCAACATGGTGAAACCCCGTCTCTACTAAAAAAAATACAAAAATTAGCTGGGCGTGGTAGCACCCACTTATAGTCTCAGATACTCAGGAGGCTGAGGCAGGAGAATCGCTTGAACCTGGGAGGCGAAGGTTGCAGTGAGCTGAGATCACGCCACTGCACTCCAGCCTGGCAACAGAGCAAGACTCTGTCTCAAAAAAAAAAAAAAAAAAATTAGACGTGATGGCACACGCCTGTAGTCCTAGCTACTCAGGAGGCTGAGGCACGAGAACCGCTTGAACCTGAGAGGCAGAGGTTGCAGTGAGCCAAGATCGCACCACTGTACTCCGGCCTGGATGACAGAGCGAGACTCCATCTCAAAAAAAAAAATCTTGGCAGGAGGGGTCCTGGCTGGGTCTTTGAAAAGCTACCTAGCTGATTCAGATATGCCTTCTCGTGAGAACTAAATTAAGTTTTCCAGGCCTTTCAGCCCTGCTGGTGAGTACCTAAACTGGAGGCTGCTGGCATGTCAGAGCCTTCTTGAAGGACCACACTTGGTCCCAGATGCCTGAAACACAGGCATCTCTTTTCCAGTCAGCCCCTAAAGTAGCCTTCTGCCGGACTCTGACTTACGTGTGGAATCCTCTGTGACACCTCATCTTACCCACAGGGACAGACAGACATAATGATCAATTGAGCCCTCATATGTAAAATCGCTGTCCAAATGTGAAGGCTTAATAATGGTGCCATAATATGAGGTGATCCTTTCTTTCCTCTTTCTTCCCAGTGGGAGTCTCGGGTGACTCAATATGAAAGGGACTTCGAGAGGATTTCAACAGTGGTCCGAAAAGAAGTGATACGGTTTGAGGTGAGATAGAAAATCCTACTTCTCACTTAGCATGCAGTGCTTGTTTTGGGAGTACTCTTGGTGTTGTCCAACTCTGTTGGGTAAAGAGAGAGGTGCCAGTAACTTGGCAGTTCTCGTGAGCAGGCGTGGCCTTCTTTGGGGGGGTGTGTGCTTGATCCTAGGAACAGTGGCAATCTTACACTTGTGGCTGGACCACAGCAGTTAAACACAAATCTTGCAGCTGCCATATACCCTCGGTCCCCTGTCGTTTCTCCTCCACTTCCCATCTCCTGCCCTCCAACAAAGCCTTTCAAGGCCTTGGCAGACCCTCTTTGGCTGGAAATTACAGCTGTTCCACCTGCTGCCTCTACTTTCTGAGACTGTGTTTGGCCTTGGTCAGCAATAAACACCACCATCCCATCGAAAGGGAAAGCAAAAACTGGATGGTCAGTGTAGAATCTTGTCTCCTAGAAAGAGAAATCCAAGGACTTCAAGAACCACGTGATCAAGTACCTTGAGACACTCCTTTACTCACAGCAGCAGGTATGTAAGTTGTGTGTGACCTTCATCCTCTACTGCCTGCTCCAAAGGCCAGCTGCCTCCTCGGGGCTTCTGCAACAAGATGTGCAGGCCCTGCTTCTGAGGGGCTGGGCCCTCCTATAGTCCATCATTGAAAATAGGTCCTGCTGCTCTGACATGGAGCATCCAACAGGGTCTTTTACCAAGCAGGAGGGCCCAGGTCTGCTGCCCTCATTCTGAGGTGAGTTAGTTTTTGAGGACAAACCCCATCTCCCTGTAACTGCTTACCCTTCGAGGAGCCACCCCATGGTACCACCTGGCCCTCCTGAGGCTGAGGCCTCATCGGTATGTGAAACAGTGGCCCCACTGTGAGGAACTAACTGAGCCAGGCAAAGCTGTGGCCACCACAGGGGTGCTCCCTCTGGGGTGGAGCCAAGACTGTCTTCAGAGACTGCCCTTGCACTTGGGGCTCAGTAACTGCTGCCTTCCCTGTCGAGAGGGAGGTGTGAAGGTCATGTGGCCTGTGCAGCTGCTCGGAGCCTGCCTTTGTGTGGCAGGCGCTTGGGGAGCGCCAGGGTACTGTGCTTGATTCCTCCCAGGCTGGCTTAGGCTCTGCCACTAGGTGGGGGCACTTGCTTAATGTCCCCACTTCTTTGCAGCTGGCAAAGTACTGGGAAGCCTTCCTTCCTGAGGCAAAGGCCATCTCCTAATGGACCAAGGACCCCAGAGCCCACCTGTGTGACGCTGCCTTTTTATACACTGTCCTCCTCCACCTTGATGGACCCCTAGTGATGCATCCTGCCTAGGCTGGACTTAACCCCTTCCTCCCTGTCCCCACGACCAACTGTCCCCAGTTACTCTAACCGTTATTTCATTTAGCTTCCATATATATTTTCTTACCTAAGAGAATAGTTTCCTGCTTTAAGCAAAAGACCTACAATAGGTGGTGGAATTATGGGATGGGGTGGAGTATTGATATAAATATATAAATACAAATGTATATTTTTCAGGATGTGGTTTAGGAACTGGGAATAACGTTTTCTGTTACTCCTGATGGTGCCATGAAAAGGTTATGTAATAAAATATTTTAAAATCAGGTCACATGACTCAGAATGTTGGTGGTTTTTGCTTAGGCTGGGGAGCAGTTGGGAATCAGGTCTGGAATACTCCTAACCAAGAAGTTGCCCAGGTATAGTAAGTTTTTCTCTACCGTTCACAAGTTTTGTGCTGCTGCTTCCCTCTGGAAATGGGGTTTCTTTCTCTCCGCCTACCTCAGCTACCTGTTCTGAGGGTCTCAATCTGTTTCGTATTCCCACTTCTTTAGGGAAGGAGTTTTAAAAACATCTCTTAAAATAAGAGGAGCAAAATCTATTAAAACCTATTCTCCTGCAAAGGAGGCAGAGACTTTCTCTCTCTCTTTTTTTTTTTTTTTTGGTGTCCCTATCATTAAGCAAGAGCCTTTCTCTTTTATTCTTCCTGCTTCCCTAAGCTGCTCAGGGTTCTCTGAGTCTTGCCCTCTGATGGCAAGTCTTATATATAACTAAACCTATTTTTGTCACCCATCAAAACACATCCTCAGTAGACTGTGTGAAGGTGTGAAGGTCTGATAATGACTTGATGCTTTGTCTCCATAGACATGAAAGCCATGCCCTCTGCCTCTAGATAGGGTGATCCAAGAGCTCCTGAACCTTAGGAGGTTCAAAGAAGCTCTACTGTCTGTGCCCAGGAGGTAGCCTGCCAGCAAGAGCCCTCAGGAGTTGCACACACAGCCAAAGGGTGTTCACACAGATCTCTGCCGGTCTAGCCAGGGGAGGCCAGAGTCTCGTCAGTCAAGGATGGGCTTCCCCCTTAGCTGTGTCCACAGCTGCTCAAGCTATACTGGTCAGAGTGGGCTTTGAAGCTCCTTTGTGAGCTCGAGCTGCTGACTGCCACTATGGGAGCCTTGCCACCTCCAGCCCCTCCATCCCAAAGACGCTCCTGCCACTGGGGCCCCAGGTCCTGCTGTATCAGTTCTCTTTGGTGGGGGGCTAAGGTTTGGGGCGAGGCAACCTGAGACAAGAAAACGCAGTAAACATTCTGATTCCCTGTACACAGATGCAGCACCAGGGGAAGGGCCAGTGGTGCAAGTATTTCTTTTTAACAGGTGAAGTTTTTGGAAAAAGTCACTCTCCCTACCCCTCAGTATCCTTACCATCAACTTTGGTTTTATCCTTCCAGTCTTTATTATATGCTTGCTTTTACATAGTTGTAATAATATACACATAAAGTATTTTGTATCCTGCTTTTATCATTCAACATTGTACATGTTATAAGCATTTTACTATATTGTTATATATCTTCACAAAGTTGATCTGTAAAGCTGTGTAATTTGAAGGCATCCATAGGGTGACTGTACCATAATTTTGATTCATCCCTTGTTGTTGGATTCTTGGTCAGGGGTTGTTTGTTTTGTTTTATTGGTAACTTTAAAATTTTGAATACAATTTCAGATTTACAGAAAAGTTGCAGGAATATCACAAAGAACTCCTATATATCTTTTATCCAGATTTACTGAGTGTTTACATTTTATCCCATTTGCCTTATCTATATTTCATGTTGCATTTTCTTAATCATTTGAGAATAATTTGCACAGATACCCCATTATGCCCAAAACAGTATGCATTTCCCTAAGAACAGGACATTCTCTTCTAAGAGAAGAAGAGAATTACTTTAAGCATTATTCAGTATTTTTTTAAGTATTATTATCAAAATCAGGAAGTTTAACAGTGATTTAATACTGTTATCTAACCCATGATTCATATTTAAATTTTGCCATTTATCCCAATAATGTCCTTTGTAGCCATTCTTTTACCTTGTGCAGGATCATGTTACATTTGTAAACGTGTGTCTCTCAATACTGCAGATTCCTCAACTTTCTTTTGTCTTTCATTACCATGACATTTTTGAAGAATACAGGCTATTTTGTCGAATGTTCCTCAGTTTGGATTTGTGTGATGGTTCCGCATGACTAGGTGAGGGTTTTGCATTCTGGGTGGGAATATCACAGAAGCAGTGTGTCGTCAGTGCGTCGTAATCAGCATATAATGTCAGTTGGTCCCATTAATGTTGTTAACTCTGTTCACCGCTTAGGTTGGTGTCTGCCAGATTTCATTTTAAATTTACGATTTCCTCTTTGTAATTTACAAGTAATTTGTGGGGAGATACTTTGAGACTATATAAGTATTTTGTTCCTCATTCACCAGTTATATAGTATCAGTTGATTAGTCTTGTCCCAGTTATTACTGTCATGATTGACCAACATGATTTCCTAACTCCATAATGCCTTCTACATTTATTGGTTGACATTCTACATACAAAGAAAAACATCCTTTCTCACCATTTATTTATTCACTTGTTTATCAATATGGATGCAGGGATTCCTGTTTTACTCAGAGTTGCAAGCCATTGCTTTGATTTTATCTTGATTCTCAAATTGTCCCAGATTTATAGCGGCCTCTTGTGTGTTTGTAGCTTGCTCCCATCATGTTTTGAGTACTTTCTTACCTTCTGGCATAACAAGATGTTCCAGGCTCATCTTGAATGTTCCCTACCCTAGCCCTGGAATCAGCCATTTCTCCAGGGAGTCTTGGTTCCTTATAATGGAGAATGGTATTTATTTATTTTTATTTGATTTGATTATTATTACTATTTTTGAGACAGAGTCTCGCTCTTGTCGCCCAGGCTGGATTGCAATGGCACAATCTCAGCTCACTGCAACCTCCACCTACCAGGTTCAAGCAATTCTCCTGCCTCAGCCTTCCAAGTAGCTGGGATTACAGGTGCCTGCCCCCACACCCAGCTAATTTTTGCATTTTTGGTAGAAATGGGGGTTTTACCATGTTGGGGAGGCTGGTCTCGAACTCCTGACCTCAGGTGATCTGCCCACCTCAACCTCCCAAAGTGCTGGGATTACAGGTGTGAGCCACCATACCCAGCCAGAGAATGTTATTTAGAAACCAAGATCTGGGTGCCAAATGTGCTGCTTGTTACTGGAATGTCATTGCCTCTAGGCTCTCACCATACAGTGCAAAGAGATGATAGATAGATAGATAGATAGATAGATAGATAGATAGATAGATGATAGATATAGATAGATAGATAGATTGATTGATTTGTAGAAACAAGATAGGTTAGAGATACCTGACATAAATAGATACTAAAAATCATGAATTCACACTGATGCTTTGAGACCAGCCCTGTAGGTTTATTCCAGTCTGCCCCCTTTTCCATGTTGTTAACTCTTTCCTCCAGAGAGACAAAGATTTCAGGTTGCTTTGTTAAGTTCCATCTAATGATCATTCTGACGTAAGTCTGTTTTTCTTATTTCCTTGGAATGATGTCTCCTCTGGTTTCAGAACTTCCTCCTCTGCTTCCTGTATCCTGAGGCTGGCGGGGCCAGTTGTCTTTAGGGCTTGTGCATTTTTGTAAAGAGCTTGCACGTGTGGAAATCAAGTAGGCCAGTAGTGGGTTAGGGGTACTGAGCCAGAAGCCTCTACAAGGAATAACAGGAGCACAAAGGAAGAAGGTGGTATTCCAGCTGGGGACCCAGGAGGGAGGACTTTGTGGAGAACCTGATGCTTGAACTGAGTCTAAAAGGTGTAAAAGTGTTTGTTGCTTCTGCCTCCCTGTCTGTCTGGCAGGGTGAGGTAGGCGCATCTAGGGAAATGTCAAGTGGCTTGGTGTAGGGTAAAGTCAGTGAGGCCCATGGAGAAAAACGAGCAGGAGCCACATCACATGGGTGTCTGATAGGACCTGGGAGGCGCTTTCCACATTACCATTGTCGCTTCGTGATCTGGACACACCAGAAGGCGTGAGACTGGAGGCAGGAAGAGCAGCCAGGCTTATCCCTACCCTCAGGAGAGCTGAAAAGGGCAGGTATGGTGGGGCCAGAGCTCAGGAGAGTTTCGGAACCACTGAGATCGGTCCTTGATTTGATGAGAGGCTTGAGGGGAGAGGGAGGTAGCTAGGATGCCCCGCAAGCTTCTGGCCCAGACACTGGGCAGACAATGAAACCCTTTGTAACACATGAGGCAATAGGTTTGGGGCAGATGGGAGGGGAAGCAGTGGTGGGGGCAGTGAGTGCTGAAGGTGTTTTAAGAAGCGGCTCTGGGCCAGGCACAGTGGCTTATGCCTGTATTCCTAGCATTTTGGGAGGCCGAGGTGGGAGAATCACTTGAGCCCAAGAATTTGAGACCAGCCTGGGGAATATAGTGAGACCCTGTCCCTACAAAAATAAAAACAACTAGCTGGGTGTGTGGTGGTGCATGCCTGTAGGCCCAGCTACGCGGGAACATCACCTGAGCCCAGGAGGTTGAGGTTGCAGTGAGCTACAGTTGCGCCACTGCACTCCAGCCTAGGTGACAGAGCAAGATCTTGTCTCAAAAAAAAAAGCAGCTCTGGATGGGAAGGGAGGCCAGTTGCTTTAAGTAGGGGAGATAGAGTTAAAGGAGGCTTTGTTTTATTTAAAGGTGGGACAAACTTAAGCATGTTAATAAAATTCAGAGAAGAGAAAGAGAATGACTATCAGAGCCATGTTTGGAAGAAAATGGGGTCCAGAGCACAGGAAGGGGACCTGTGTTCAGAGGGTGCCTCACTGCTGAGGCCACAGGAAAGAATCTGTAGGTGGAGGGGAGGCCGAAGAGGGGAAGTTTCATGCTTGATAATTAAAATTTTCTGAGATAGGAATGTCATATTTACCTATTTAAGCCAAGTTTTTTTAGATAAAAGGTATGGAACCTGCTTTCCCCTTGGCTAGTTCAGCGTTTGGGCTCCGGAGTGCTGAAGATGAGGACTGGACTTCGAGCTGGTGTGATCCCAGTATTCAGTGTCAGTACTCAGTGACAAAATAAATGAGAGAAACGGGAATAAGAATTGTCGCCTACACAAAAATACCAGCAACTGTTAACTCTTCCCAGAAGATTTTCATTCTGAATGCTCCTGTAGCTAGGAACCCTAAAAAGTCTTTGAAGCAACTCAAGTTTTAAAAAAGGGGAGGAACTCCTGGAAATCTCAGGATGGGGCCAAGATGTGGCTGGAGAGTGTGTGGTGATGGAGGGCGTGTCTTTTGCCGAGCACACTCAGGGCCCACGGGAAGCCCATAGACTTCAAGGACATCAAGCCCCAAGGTGGTGGGATTTTCCCCACCAGTACTTGGCAGCCTAGGGGGAAGGGGAGGGCGGGAGAAGATAATGGGGATCCCTGGCTCCAAACATAGGAGGACACATCTGTGCTACAGTGCGCACATGCCTGGATGTACACTCTGTCTTTGGAGACACTGGCTAAGATTCTCTGCTCCATGTTTGGACAGGGTCGTGCCTGATCTGAGATAAATGGACAAGAACAACTGAAGCCTGTCTTCTGGTGCATGTGTCACCTGCCGATAACTGCATCTTGTGATAAAGTTGGGTGATTTACAGTCTCCACCAAATGCTAAACTCTGGGGTCTTACGCCTTTATAACTCCATGGGCCCCAGCAAAGGTTCAGGCTCAAAACAGGTGTCAAATAGATAACTGTTGAATGATTGTTCCCCAGTTGCAGGCTCTGCCACCTGGCGTTCATACTGTCTGTGAAAGGACCCAGCTCACCTTTCCCTCTTTATCTCCCAGTCCTTCCCAACAGCGCCGACACCTCATGGAAACTGATTGCAAATGTGCTACTTCTCACTTCTGTGTGGCCCGAGGAGGCTGGGTTAATGCTGGGCTTGGTACCTTAAGCACCCTTTCTCCCTTCCCCATCTTCATTCTCAGAATTACACCTGTCTGAAGCAGGCATTTTCCAATGCCCTAGATGGGAATATAAGTGTAAGGAGATGTGAAGCATTTGCCTGTGTGTCAGAACATTCACTGAGGATCCTCATAGGCACTTCTAGAAACCAAATCCTTGAAGATGACTAACCAGAAATGCCCGTCATAGCACTGTTTACAGTTGCAAAAACTGAAGCCAATTGAAATGTCCATCAGGAGGGGATTAAATGAATTATGGTACAGTTACACCGTTGAATATTTTACAGCCATTGAAGATGATATATAGCTATATTCATTGACAAGGAAAACTCATATTTTTTAGTGAAAAAAGCAGGTTATAGAATTGCATGATATTCACATTTATATAAAACTTTATATATGGGAAGGATGTTGATTGAATTGTTAATAACTATGGTCACCTCTAGAGATGGAAGTTTGCATTACCTTTAATTTTTAATACCATTTTGTATTGCTTAAAATTTGTATGTATTATCGTTAAAATAAGAAAAATCAAATAAAGCTATTTTCATTATGGGAAAACAATCCAGTGCATCCTTTGAGGCCCGCATCACATATCTGTTCTTTGGGCAGCTTCCCCTGATCCGCCCTCTGCCCTACCCCGGACTGGAGTTGGGCCCTGCGTCTGTCGTCCTCTTCAGCCTCTGGTCTTCCTCTCCTGTGTGGTGTCAGCTCTGAGGCGGTCTCTGTAGCCTCCTGAGCTCTGGACTCCCTGGGGTCCTGGGCTGCACTGTCTCTGCTCATCCTGGTGTCCTCCACCACCTGCACAGGAGCCTCCGGGGCAGTGGCTGCTCCTCGGCTCAAGATCATTGCCATACAAGCCTGTGGGTCACTGAGGCCAGATCTGGGGATTTTTCAAGAGATCCGGAAATCTGGCCTAATTTGAGGTTTAATAGGCCTCACCGTGGTTGGTAAGACTGGTGCTCAGTGTGCTGGGGAAGCCTGCAGGCCCCACAAGTCTTGCCCAGACAGGCCTTTCACCCCTTTGGCCCTTGTCTGTTGTGGAAATGCTCCTCTGGCTCTGATGACCAGACCTCGGGGCAGAAAACTTCACCCACCCAAGGCTGCTCAGAGGAAGCCAGCTGCTCGCCTTCCACAGGATGCTCTTTGTCTGGGTCCAGAAAAGAAACAGAAAAACCCTGTCCAATCCGAGACAGGACCTTTCCATAAAGAGATGTGACTGTTTCCAAATGACTGCCCCTTCGGGGCTTCAGAGCTCGCTGCTTCCTCTTCCATTATGAGCTGCAGTGGCGATAGCCACAGGGGCCCAACACGCAGGTTTCACTGGCAGCCTCTCAAGAAAAATAGACGAGGCTCCTGCGGCCAGGAGCATGTTCCGCAGCAGGGGACAGACTGCCCATGACCGCCCCTTCCCACTCGTGGGCCTAATTATTAACTATAGTAAGAACTGCCTCTGGGCCCTGAGATAGCTCACATCCAGCACTGTCACCCTGCAGGGTGCACTCATGACCCACACTAAGGACAGGTTCAGGGAGCTGAAGCAGCTGGCCCAGGTCACACCCCATAGCTAAGATGAACTCAAGCTCTTAGCATGGCCTCTCTGCCACACCCTATCCCACACACTGTAGACATTTAGACGGGGACAGACAAGAGGAACCTGGAAATCAACCCACTAAGTTTTGTTTTTTTGTTGTTGTTTGTTTGTTTTTTGAGGTGGAGTTTCGCTCTTGTTGCCCAGGCTGGAGTGCAATGGTGCCATCTCAGCTCACCGCATCCTGCGCCTCCCGGGTTCAAGCGATTCTCCTGACTCAGCCTCCCAAGTAGCTGAGATTACAAGCACGTGCCACCATGCCCGGCAAATTTTGTATTTTTAGTAGAGACAGGGTTTCTCTATTTTGGCAGGCTGGTCTCGAACTCCCAACCTCACGTGATCCGTCCGCCTCGGCCTCCCAAAGTGCTGGGATTACAGGCGTGAGCCACCACACCCGGCCCTAAGTTGTTTTCTTAAAGACCTGAAGGCATCCACACAGTAGGCCTGTTAAGGACAAGTCCCATTTGGATACCCACCTGACCTGGTAAGCATTGGAGCTTCTCTGACCCCTGCAAGACATTCTTTCCCCAGATGGGCAGGGGTTGCCCAGTGGAGTAGTAGCAGAGGCTGGAAGACAGAAGCATCTTTGGTGAGTAGCTGGGGACCTTAATGGCAGACATGAAAAACTCCACTTGCTGAGAAGCCACCGCCAGCACCCTGGGGACAGCTAGCATATGAGGCAGGGCCACCTCCCTTCCAGACCTCGAGGCCTGGAGCTCCTGCCCATCCTGGCTTCTGCCTGTTGCCCCAGTTCTTGGTCCCTCAGCTCTCTTCACAGTGAACCCCTGTTACTTGAGGGACCCAAGTGTGTCTTTGTTTCTTGAACCCCAGTGCTTGGCACACCAGAGGGGCCACTTGGTTGATTGGCTGACATGGCTCTGAAAGGCACTGGGAGTTGCTGTATCACCACACGCAGCCTGGAGAGCTGTGCCGTCAAAGTGGTGGGGTGGCCTCTGCCAGCTCTCCCTGTGCCAGACCTGAGTCGTGTTGTCTGAAGCAGCTGAGCTGCCGCTGTCCTATCTGGGCAGGGGACAGGAGACTCCTAGAAGTGACATTGCTGGCTGGAGCCCCGGGTTTGGGGCCTGCCTGTCCTGGACCAATTTTTGCTCTAAGGACTTGGGCAGGACATGCTTGTCAGAGGTGCGTTCTAACAGCTGCTTCCAGTACCCACCACTCCCTCACGCCTGGCTTCCCCCGGTTGACAGAAGTGAAGAGTTTGGACCAACTCAGTAACAACGCTTTTTAGTAGCACTCTTTTTAAAAGACACGTTACACCAAAATCTAATAAACATAAAAATGATGTTTTTAAATGTTATATTTATTATTTCCGTTTATAAAATGTACTTATTAACAAGGTAATCAGTAGGAACTCTGTGAACAGTAGGAGGCTGTTTTGATGAACAGCATAGTTGGTGATTTATATCAACCTCTGCTTCCAATTTATTTCTTTACTATTTTTGGTTGCACAATATGGAGGAAATCAGAAAAATCCTTATTGCAGTGTTAGTAGTTGAAATTGTTAATTTTTTTTAAGCTAACCTTGCAGTCTCAGGGTACGGAAGAAATAGAATCTGCTTTTGTTGTCAATGAGTCAGTATCCATCAGGATGAACCATGTCATTGGTAAGACCTTGCCGTTTTTTGCCTACGAAAACGGCAAATTCACATAATTCAGTCAATAATAGCTAACATCTCTCTGCTGTGTGCTGGGCCCCATGCCAAACACTGTGGAAGCTGCAGTCATTTAATCCACACACCACTCTCTGTTGTGTGAGGACCCTGAGATAAGGACAGATAAGGACCCTGAGCCTCAGGGGGGTTGTCCAAGGTGATGCCGGTGACCAGAGCTGGGCTGGGGTGGCGCAGGCAAGGTTCACCATGGCTCAGACAGCCCCCAGTGGCTGGGCCCCTCCTGGCCAGTCCACCCCTCCGCTGCCGCCCGCCCAGCCCGGGCCCAGAAAAGAATCCAGCCTCTGTGCCCCGTGGCGCCCACAAGCTCGTGGCCCAGGGGCTGTTTGTTTTCTTAACGAGGTTGACCAAACCTCCTGAGCAGCCTTTGTGGCGCAGCAGAAGCCTTGCCGGTGAAAGGGGGCTTTGTGTGACTGCAATGGAAGCCAGGGCCTGAGCTAAGGCAGGGTCTGTGGGCCAGCCTACCCGTGCGCAGGAATGGGGCGAGTCGGGGTACATCTTCACTCCCCAGCCCTTCCTGCCCTCTGCTCCTTGGTTCTATTTCCAAGTGGCAAACTGCCGGCTCTATGCCTGCATAGAGGAGCGAGTGGAGCCAGGCCCCCGGCGGGGCTGCTGCGGTAATCAGGAGACCGGTGCTTGCTTAGTGTGATCTCCAACCAGGAGCTTCAGGACCACCAGGGAGCTTGTTGAAGATGACCGCTTCAGGCTCCACCCCAGCCCAGCAATTAGAAAATCCAGGGCCAGGGCGGCCGGGCATGGTGGCTCACGCCTGTAATCCCAGCACTTTGGGAGGCCGAGGCGGGCGGATCACGAGGTCAGGAGATCGAGACCATCCTGGCTAACACGGTGAAACCCCGCCTCTACTAAAAATACAAAAAATTAGCCGGGCGTGGTGGAGGGCACCTGTAGTCCCAGCTACTCGGGAGGCTGAGGCAGGAGAATGGCGTGAACCCGGGAGGCGGAGCTTGCAGTGAGCCGAGATCACGCCACTGCACTCCAGCCTGGGCGACAGAGCCAGACTCCGTCTCAAAAAAAAAAAGAAAATCCAGGGCCAGGGCACTCAAATGTGAGATTTCACAGCCCTACAGGTGGTGGTGATGATTGCTAAAGTCTGAGAACTACTATAATCTAGTATTGAAATACAATCCATGTGCTAGATCGTGGTGGAGAAAAGACAAAAGCTTGTATCATAAAACAGCTCATTCTAAAAACAAGTTACTTTGAGGTCTGCACACCCATCATATAGAGTCTGGAACGTGGTGTTCATATGCTGAGCTGGCCAGCACTGAAGGCGTACAGAAAGCAAACTTTCTTTGATTGTAATAACTGCTATGGTATTTACATCATGTCATGCGTTCCTCTTTATAGGAAAATACTTGGCCGGGCACTGTGGCTCACACCTATAATCCCAGCAGTTTGGGAGGCCGAGGCAGGAGGATCAGTTGAGCCCAGGAGCTGGAGACCAGCTTGGGCAGCATAGTGAGACCCTGTCTCTATGAAACAAAACAAAACAAAAATTAGCCGGGCTTAATAATGCATACCTGTAGTCTCAGCTACTTGGGAGGCTGAGCGCTTGAGTCTGGCATGTCAAGGCTGTAGTGAGCCATGATTGTGCCACTGCACTCCAGTCTCAGCAAACGAGTGAGACCCTGTCTCAATAAATTAATACATAATTGATTTTAAAAAATTAGAAAATATTCTCCATACCTGTTTTATCTCCCCAAAGACATCTTAAATGCCTCTGTGTCAAGGATCTCGTTTTTCTTCTTTTGTACCTGCACTCTTGTGCGGTGGAACACTGTGCAATTAGGAGCTGCAGGTTCCCTATCACATGTTTGACAAGTCAGTTGCATGGAATCTCTTTCCACAACTGGTGATGAAAATCCACTGATCTGAGGCTTCCTGGAACACCTGAAAATTAAGTAAATGGAAAAAGTAGACAATGATCTGCCAAGAGAGAAGAGAGGAGAAGTGTGTTTAATTCTGGAGGTAGGAAGAAGATTCTTGTTGTCCCACCATGCAGGCAGCCTCTAACCCTTCAGCAGACGCTGCTCCTTCCCCTCCCTAGTTTTTTCTCAGCATACCCCCACTGCCCATTCATTCATATAGTCTTTCAATCACAAATATTATCCATATAGTCTTTCAACCCAAATGTTTTTGAGACACACAGTAACCAAACAATAATTGCAGACTGTAATATGTGCATAGAAAAGGTCATATGATAGGGTGGTCAAGAAGGAAGCCTCAGCTGGGTGAGGTGGCTCACGCCTGTTATCCCAGCACTTTGGGAGGTCAAGGTGGGTGCATAGCTTTAGCCCAGGAGTTCGAGACCAGCCTGGCCAACATGGCCAAACTCCGTCTCTACAAAAAATACAAAAATTAGCTGGGTGTGGTGGTGCGCACCTGTAGTCCCAGTTACTCAGGAGGCTGAGGTGGGAAAATCACCTAAGCTGCAGTGAGCCCTGTGGTTGCGTCACTGCACTCCAGCCTGGGTGACTGGAGTGAGGCCCTGTCTCAAAAAAAAAAACAAAAACAAAAACAAACAAACAAAAAAAAACCTTTTTGAGTTGAGTTTTAGGCTAAGAATTGGAGGATGAGCTCAATCCTTGAAGAGTCAAGGAAGGGTGCCCCCAGGTGGAGCAAACAGCCTAATGCAAAGGCCCTGAGGCAGGAAAGAGCTTGTCAGGTTGGAAGAGCCTAGTGCATGATGGGGAGAGGAGAGGAAATGAGGTGGAAGATGGAGGCTGGGCTGGGTTGTTTACAGCTTTGTGGATTGCATAGAGAGAGTGGGTTTTATTCTAAGTGCAGTGGGAAACATTGGAAGGTTTTAAGCACATGCCTTGATAACAGTTTGTGCTGCAGGGTAGAGAATGGACGTTCTATTGGGGATGAAGGCAGGAAAAAATGGAGACTCACAGACAGAGGGGCAGACAGTCATTAGGATGAGGACCAAGAAGTCTGAGGATCCCAGGAGAGGCCTCCCTGGACAGTGGGAGTTGGGGAGGCCCTGTAGGCCAGGGAAAGCTGGGTCCCTGAATGATGGGGCCGTAGGGAGGAAATGAAAGCACAGCACTTCTCCTCACTCTGGGCTGCTTTTCTTCTAGGGGACCCCACTAGAATCTGGGAAGTTTCAGCTTCCTGATTCTGTGGTCCTTGTGTGATGCAATTTGGAAAAAGAGAATGTGGGACATGATATTGGTGAGACCTGTTTGCCCCATTTTGGGGTCGTCATCTCAGCCCTTCTCTGGGGGCAGGGCTGGGGATGGAGGTTTTTTGCTCCAGCTCAGAGGCGTCTCTGCAGAAGCAGGGGAGGGGTGAGTCCCCTCAACCCCAGCCCCGAAGACAGGCACTCTGCTTCCTCCTGCCCACCCCAAGACCTCCCACTACGTATGAGCTTTGGAAGGCAGGGCCTCGCCTCTCTGCATGTCACGGGGCCTTTGTGGGGGAAGTCAGTGGAGTAGAGGACCTGCCATGGTGCTGCTGATAGCAGCTCTCCGACAGCTGAAGGGTGCAGGGCTGAGAGGTGGGAGCAGAGGTCCTTTCCAGCACATGGCCTGAGAGAGTTCTGGATCAAAATCCTGCCACATATCCAGGAAGAACCTGCCCGGAGGGGTGGACAAGAGCAACCCGGTGCCACCCCCCAAAGTCTCTCTTCCCATCCACTGCCCTGTGCCCACTTATCCTAGTCATCCAGGAGAAGCCCACAGTCAAGCTGCTGCTCAATGCTTCTGTTAAGGGCCTAACATGAATCATCTCACTTTTTTTTTTTTTTAAGACAGAGTCTTGCTGTTGCCCAGTCTGGAGTGCAATGGTTTGATCTCGGCTCACTGCAACCTCCGCCTCTCAGGTTCAAGTGATTCTCCCGCCTCAGCCTCCTGAGTAGCTGGGATTACAGGCATGTGCCACCACACCTGGTTGATTTTTGTATTTTTAGTAGGTACGGGGTTTCACCATGTTGGTCAGGCTGGTCTCGAACTCCTGACCTCAGGTGATCCGCCTACCTCGGCCTCCCAAAGTGCTGGGATTACAGGCGTGAGCCACCGCGCCCGGCCAAATCATCTCACTTTATACACTTGCCTGAAGGAGCCACGTTATCCCTATTTTGCAGATGAGCAAAGGTCTACGGAGCTCCTGAAATCCAGGCAGTCTGACGTCCAAATCGGAGTCTAGGTCCCTAAACTGCCTCTTCCCCACAAACAGCCTGGAGCCCCTTAGGGTTGGAAGATATGAGTGAATGGATGGATGAAAACAATGAATGAATGGGGGGGCCTGTGGATGCTGGGGAAAGGGGCATCAAAGCTGGACTGGGTCCAAGCCTTGCTCAGGTGTGGCCTCAGCCGGGGAATCCAGATCACAATTTCAGGGACCAGGCTGAAAGGAGGGAAAGGCTCGGGAAGGGACTGAGGAACCCAAGACAGGTCCCTGGTTGGCCCCAGGACCGGCGCTGAGGCCCGGGCCCCGCCTCCGTCCGCGCCTGGAGCCACAGGCCGTCCTTGGTAGGCGCTTAACTCAGGTTGGGTGACATTTTCGCTCGCCAGTTCCTGGCATCAGTGAGTGCTCCGTCAATGTTTGACAAACGGTTGACTCCACTGCCCCGCGCTGTGGGCGCACTAGACTTCGGGGGCGGCGTCCAGGTCCCGCCTAATCTTCTAGGCTCAGGACCCGCGGCGCAAGGGAACGCCCGGGGCGGGGTCGCCTGGGGGCGGGGCCTGGGGTGGGGCCTGCGGACCGAGGGGGCGGAGCCGGCCGCCCCGGGGTCCTCAGTCCGCTCCGGGAGAGTTAGGGCTCCGAGCCGAGCGCGCGGAGCAGCTGGGGCCGGGGCGCGGATGCTGGAAGTTCACATCCCGTCGGTGGGGCCCGAGGCCGAGGGGCCCAGGCAGAGCCCGGAGAAAAGCCACATGGTGAGCGCGGCCCCTGGATGGGGAGGGGCGCCGGGACCCGCAGGATTTCCCCGCGCTGCGCTCAGTGGGGACCCGGGGCCCGGGCCTGGGTGAACGAGCGCTGCGGGCTGGACCGTCGGGGGAAACCTTGTCGAGGGTTTGGGGGCCGCTTGGATTTGCCAGCCTCGCGGACCATGGTTCGAGCTCTTGAGGGACCCCAGGGCTCCGAGGGGCAGGTCCGCCAGCCGGTTCTCCCAGGTGTGCGGGAGCGGAGAGTCCCCGGGCAGCCGCGGCGCCGCAAGGCCGCTTTGTGCCTTTGAGAGCGGGAGGGTGGGCACGTCGCCAGGCGCAGGTGCTGCGGCGTCCTCCCGCGGGGCCTCACGCGCAGACCCGCTGCCCGCCCGCGCCGCCAGGTGTTCCGAGTGGAGGTGCTGTGCAGCGGGCGCAGACACACGGTGCCAAGGCGCTACAGCGAGTTCCACGCGCTGCACAAGCGGGTGAGGCGGCGCCGACCTCCCACCGGCCCCGGCCCAGCCTCTGTCCAGCCCCCGCCCAGGCCCTGTGAGGCGGGCGGGCGAGCCCCAGCCTCCGCCACCCCCATTACTGCCTCAGTCCCTGCGCAGCCGGTCAGCCCCCGGGCCTCTGTGGGTGGGTTGGGGCCTTCCTCGCCCTCGGCCGGTCCACCACTCACCAGGGTCTGTCCCAGTAGAGCCCGAAGGCGGGGGCGCGGGAGGGCTTCTGGCTGGGGCGAAGAGGGCTTGAGGGCTCAGTCGGGATGCTGTGATCGCACGCGGTAAACCTCCAGTAGATCAAGAAGCTGTACAAAGTGCCCGACTTCCCCTCGAAACGCCTGCCCAACTGGAGGACCAGAGGGTTGGAACAGCGCCGGCAGGGCTTGGAGGCTTACATCCAGGTATGCGAGAGCACAGTTGGTTGCCCCCCGGCCTTCTGTGCCAGGGGTGTGGCCCAGACAGAGAGGTGTGGGGGCATGGCAGGGAGGGAACCCACAACTTGGGGATGTTATTCACCACCTCAAGCATCAATTTTCTGAGTCTAATATAGGTCCAAACACCCCCCTCTGGCTTGTTGAAAGGACTGAAAGAGGTAACGGACACAGGTAGTCCCAGCTCCATGAAACCCAGGTCCTGTCCCCTCCATGGTGAGGTCCTGTGCTGCCCTCCTGATGGCATGTAGGGTGAGGGTCCTTCCCCCAACAGCAAAGCTATGCCGCGTCATGGGGTACAACCTGTGCACACAGCGCCCAGCGCCCAGAAGGGCCCTGAGCCTGGTTCAACGCTCTGCTGTCATTGTCGTGAAATTCTTTTTTTGGAACAAAGAGCCCTGCATTTTCACTGGCACTGCGCTATGCAAATTAGTAGCTGGGTCTGATTGCAGGTCTCCTCTGTCCTCTCCAGGGCATCCTGTACCTGAACCAGGAGGTGCCCAAGGAGTTACTGGAATTCCTGAGACTTCGGCACTTCCCCACAGACCCCAAGGCTAGCAACTGGGGGTAAGGGGGGCCGATGGCGGGGGCCAGGGGCTGTCAGCAGTGAGCAGGTGAGGAAAGGTGTTGGAGGGCAAGCCCTTTCTTTTCACATCTGCCAGGATCCAGCATGACCGCCCTCACCAGCTCTCTTGACCTGGGTGGAGGGGCTTTTTTTTGGACAGACTTGGTTACCCCCGCCACCTCCGGAACTGGGGCTTGTTACAAATAGAAGCAGTGGTCCCCTGGGAGGTGCAGTTCTGGGCTCTGGTGTCTCCACCCCTTCCTCACGCTCCCCCGGCATCCCCAGGCAGCTTACAGTGTTTCTCTTCTCTTCAGCACCCTGAGGGAGTTCCTGCCTGGCGACAGCAGGCAAGTCAAAGCCCTAGCCCGCGCTTGGCCCCTGCTGCCCCCTAGTGGCCATATGCTAGGAGGCAGGCCTGCTGCCTGGGCCTGTCTGGCCTGGGCCCTGAAGTCTGTTTTCCCTTTGGTGCCTCCTGAGCCCATTTCCCACTCACCTTTTCCTTCATGGGTCCCTGGTGATGGCAACCCCGTCTCCACCCCTCTGTGGGATTCTGCCCTGCCTCCCGCACCCATGGTTCATGACCCTGTTTCCTCCCAGCTCCCAGCAGCACCAGCGGCCTGTCCTGAGCTTCCATGTGGATCCCTATGTTTGCAACCCCTCCCCAGGTGAGGAGGTGCCTAGATATGGGGCTACAGGGCTGGGTTGTGGGCTTTGCATTTCTCGGCTCCTGGGACCCTCAGACAGCATCTCCTTCCTGCTGCCCACCTCTGGAGCCACTACCTCCTGCTCCTGTCCCCTGGAGCCTGCTTTGTAGACACAAGGAAAACAAGTTTGGCTTCCCTGGTCTCCATTTCTTCAGCAGCCTGACTTCTTTACCAAGCTGATGTGAAAAGAATGTGACCTGGGAATGCGGAGGCTTCATTTGGGGTGGACAGCTGCTGTCTGCTGCCTTGGCAGGGGCTCCTACTCCCAAGTGGGGGCTGAGCCCATGAGCAGGAGCTCAAGGAGCTGCAGGTCTGAGGCCAGACCTGTTTAATTCTATCCCACAGAGTCGCTGCCCAACGTGGTGGTGAATGGTGTGCTCCAGGGCCTCTACAGCTTCAGCATCAGCCCAGATAAAGCCCAGCCAAAGGCGGCCTGTCACCCTGCTCCTCTGCCACCGATGCCCTGATCAGTCCAGAGGCCTTTGGCTGCCTCCTAAGAAAGTCATGTGCCTCTGTCCTATGAACTCCATATAAGGCTGGGTCCTCCTTTGGCCTGGACCCAGGACTTAATTACCCAGTGCCCAGTTGTGCCACATTCCCACTCAAGGCTCAGAACTTGGCTCGCATTGGTAGCTGGAGGTGGTAGAATTTGTATGCTCTTAGAGCCCAACAGCCAAGGCAGGGTCAAGAAGATAAGTAATAAAAGAGGAAGTCAGCCAGGCGCGGTGGCTCATGCCTGTAATCCCAGCACTTTGGGAGGCCAAGATGGGTGGATCACCTGAAGTCAGGAGTTCGAGACCAGCCTGACCACCATGGAGAAACCCCGTCTCTACTAAAAATACAAAATTAGCCGGGCATTGTGGTGGTGCATGCCTGTAATCCCAGCTACTCGGGAAGCTGAGGTAGGAGAATCTCTTTTTTTTTTTTTTTTTTTTTTTTGAGACGGAGTTTCACTCTTGTTGCCCAGGCTGGAATGCAATGGCACGATCTCGGCTCACGGCAACCCCCGCTTCCCGGGTTCAAGCAATTCTCCTGCCTCAGCCTCTCGAGTAGCTGGGATTACAGGCATCCGCCACCATGCCCGGCTAATTTTTGTATTTTTAATAGAGATGGGTTTCACCACGTTGGCCAGGCTGGTCTTGTACTCCTGACGTCAGGTGATCCACCCGCCTCGGCTTCCCAAAGTGCTGGGATTACGGGCGTGAGCCACCGTGCTCGGCCCAAGGCAGGAGAATCTCTTGAAGCCAGGAGGCGGAAGTTGTGGTGAGCCGAGATCGCGCCACTGCACTCCAGCCTGGGCAACAAGAGTGAAACTCCGTCTCAAAATAAATAAATAATAAAGGAAGAAGTCAGCTGGGTGCAGAGGCTCATGCCTGTAATCCCAATACTTTAGGAGGCCAAGGCAGGAGGATGCTTGGGTCTGGAAGTTTGAGACCAGCCAGCGCAACATAGTGAGACCTGTCTCTACCAAAAAAAAAAAAAAAAAAAAAAAATCAATTTAGAGGTAGGCTATGAAAAAGTACAGATACATCCCTTAACATAGACTGGAGGGTGGTGGCAAGGGGAGCAAATGTGGAGGCCCAGTAGCTGGCAAAGTTTAGAAGCAGGGGGCAAAAGCTCCTGCCTGACTTTTCCTGGGTAGCTCCTGGGTCAAAATTTCAGGCAGGATCCCAGGGAAGGGGCAGGCACCCATTGCCACAGGAGAGTTGCAGGCATGTTGGGATGTAGGCCTAGGGGAGGTGCTGCAGGCTCAAGAACCAGGCCCACACATTATATATTAAAAAAAAAAAAACCCACATTTTTTTTTATTGGTCAGTGTTGGTAGGAGTTTGTTACAAAAGTGAGTCCATGGGCCTGTGGAATGTGAGGGGAGTGGGTCCGCTCCACCAGATGCCAGCACCGGGGCCAGTGCAGCTCAGAGCCCTGTGGCGGACTACAGGGCCTGCACAGACGGTCACTCAAAGAAAGATGTCCCTGTGCCCTACTCCTTGGCGATGGCAAAGGGCTTCTCCACCTCGATCTTGCCGCAGTCTGCGATGATCACATCCTTCAGGGGTTTATCCCGGCTGTCTGTCTTGGTGCTCTCCACCTTCCGCACCACCTCCTGGAAAAGAAAGGTGGAAGCAGGAGGGCATGGTGGATCAGGAGGTCCACCGCTCAGGAGAAAGGCCCCAGCGTATGGCTCAGGAGGGCTAAGACCCACAAGTGATCAACAGCACACAAAACTGGAGGCACCAAAATTCTAACAGACTCCTGGCCAGAGCAGGGAGAATGCAGATTTGACGAGGGGGTACAGGAATTTTGTTCCTTTGAAGTAAGACCCAGGTTGGGCCAAGGGTGAGGAGGAGGAAGAGGGTGACCAGGGCATGTGGCTTCTCAGGGACATTGCGTTCAGCTGCACTCTGTATACCTCAGGGGTGGGACCAGCACGTCACTGAGTGAAGGAGGGGAGGGAGGCTCTGGCAGTTGTGCAGCCTTCCTGGCTGGGCTCTGAGGGGGCTGGAAGAATTTAGAACCTTGGAGGCATGGAGGTACAGGGTTTATTCTGGACAGGAGCACTGGGCTGCATCTGTGGGTTGGGTCCTTTTGGGAAAGGGATGGACACATGGAGCTCCTGCCCTGGGGTCTGTGTTGAATCCCCGGTGAGGATTGCCCAGTAGTAGCCCTTGCTTCCACAACTCACCATGCCCTCTAGAACTTTGCCAAACACCACATGCTTGCCATCTAGCCAGGCTGTCTTGACTGTCGTGATGAAGAACTGGGAGCCGTTGGTGTCTTTGCCTGCGTTGGCCATGCTCACCCAGCCAGGCCCGTAGTGCTTCAGTTTGAAGTTCTCATCGGGGAAGCGCTCACCGTAGATGCTCTTTCCTGGGAAAAAAGACAGAGCAGGTCAGGGGCGCTGGATTGCGCCAAACCAAGCAGACATTCGGGGCCAGGACTGAGGGGGCTTAACCTGTCCTCTGTGCCAGGCTAGGCTGGAGTGGACTACAAGGACATAAAAGCAGCGTCCTTCCTATCTTCTGGCCTCAGAGCCAAGCCATGCTGACTGAGGCCAAGTGGGGCATCAGGCCAGGCTGATGTGGTGAACAGCTCACAGAAGGATTACTTTGAGAAGATAGTTTTGTGGCTTTTAAATAAGGCGCATGTTATCAGCTCCCCTTAGCTATGGCCCAGGCCTGCCACGGAGGGACTTTGGTGGAGGGAAGTGCCGTGCAGGATGCAGGGGAGTCAACAGGGTCGGAACTCTCCAGAAAAGGAGGACTGCTGTGGCTGACCAGCCTGTTTTCCTATGAGCACAAAAGACACAGGCATAGCTGCAGAGGAGAAAGCAGCCAGAGATGTGTGGGGAGGGGCAGAAAAGAGGGGCTGCCCCTTGGATTCTGGAGAGTCAAAGCCTCTTAACAAGGAATGAACAGGAATAAAAGACAGCTGTGAGTGTGTGTGACGCGTCTGTCCACGTGGGGCTTGGGGATATGGTAAGGGCAATCCGGAGTGATCTCTATGCCATTTCAGAGATCCTAGTTCCAAAGCTGCTTCCACGAGGAACACCGAAACCCTTCTTTTTCCCTATCACCCCTTGGAGACTGACACTGTGCATGAGGCCCCAAGAAACTCAGCCAAAAATGGGGTCATTTTCATTTTGTTTTATCTAACACCTTTCAAACATATTTGCATGCAAAACTCTTTTTTCCTTCTCACTGCACCTACCTTCATCCTGTGGTTCCACAGAATGGAACTGAGCTGGGAAACTGTCCTAGACAGATGCCAACCAGGAAGATGTTTCTGATTGGGCAGCAGGTAGGATGACTGAAAACCAAGAATGACCAGACTCTGGCTGGTGGGGACAGGGTGCTTCTGCCTGTGCTCCACCTCTCACCCCCACGCTGGGGAGACTGGACTCTGCCACATGTGCAGTGAGACCTGGCTGGAGTGCTGGCTAAAAGCCTCCCCCATTTGAGCCAACTGTGGGATTTTGATTATAGTTGTTATCCAGAAAACCCCCAAATCTCCATCCTTAGCTCCAGCCACTCTCTCAAGATACAGGGGTTCCAAACTCAAATGGACATTTCTATTTAAACTCAACATACCTTGTCATCTTTCTCTCCAGACCTCAGTTATTCTTTTGACCCCTTTTCCTCTGCACGTGGCTCAGGTTGTCCCTACCCACTCCCCATGTACTTACTCTTTCTTTCCATTCCCACCACCACCGCTGCAGTAGGCGAGTGCTTAGGGTGCTCATAGTGTGAGCCAGAGACTGTTCCAAGCATCTTACATATTTAACAATCCACTCTATGAGGAGGAGCTAACTCCACTTCAAAGATGAAGAAACTGAGGCACAGAGAATAAAAGGAGCCCCAGCAGAGCAACAGCGGGGCTAGAGTTCAGACCAAGGTGGTCTGCTCTCGAATCTCTGCTCTCAGCCACCTCAGGATCAGGTCCAAATCTCCCTGCCCAGGGTCAGTGGCACCAATGCCCCCAGCAGCCTGCCTGCCCTAGCCTCCACATCCTGGATCTGCCACCACATGACTCCCCTGGCACCCCAAGTGAGGGGTCATCCTCTTACTCAGCTCTGTGGCCCTGACTCCCTGCAGGCCGAAGCCCAGGCTGCAGGACATCACCCACCTCTCTGCACTCCGGGTACAGATGTCCTCACCCCACCTTTGGCCAAGCTCCTGCCACAGAACAGCACCGGGCTCATGCCCTAACCCTGCCTCTTTTCTGCCCGTTCAAATTCTCCTCATTGAGGACCCCACTGAAATCTTTCCTCACATCCGCAAGGTCATTCCCCCGTTCCCTGGCCTGAGGGGATCCCTCTGCTTGTCAGCACTTCAACAATGGCTGACTTACTAAGCACTCACTGCATGCCAGGCACTTCACACTCCAGATCTAGCCCAATCCTCATGGCCCCACAACTCTCTCCACCCTCACTGTACAGAACAGGAAACTGAAGCTCCAAGGACTCACTTGCCTGAGGTCACAAAACAAGAAGGTGGCAGACACTGGATCGAGCCCAACTGCGTCTGACTCCACAAATACAGTTCTTTGGTCTCCTTTGTGAGCCTGAGTCCTAAACGCTGCATCATGGCTCACTTGTACATTTTCAGTTGTTGGAAGTAAAAGGGAGCCACTGCCCCATGGGTCTTCACATCCTCAACCCCCACCACAGAGCCCCATAGACACTCATCGAGGAGTGAGCTGTGTTCTAAGGGAGCAGCAGGCTGTACCTGAGCTCAGTGAGACTCATGCAGGCGTCCGGGGGTCTTTCTGTCCTATGTGTGCAAGTTAATGCCAAGGTGAGGGTCGGCCCTCACAGAGTGGTCTCTGGTGAAAGACTGTCAAGGAAAGTAACTGCTCCCACTCTTTTTTTTATTTTTTTGAGATGGAGTCTCGCTCTGTCGCCCAGGCTGGAGTGCAGTGGCGTGATTTCGGCTCACTGCAACCTCCGCCTCCCAGGTTCAAGCAATTCTCCTGCCTCAGCCTCCCAAGTAACTGGGATTATAGGCGCGTGCCACCACGCCCGGCTAATCTTTTGTATTTTTAGTAGAGATGGGGTTTCAACATGTTGGCCAGGCTGGTCTTGAACTCCTGGCCTCAAGTGATCCAGCCACCTTGGCCTTCCAAAGTGCTGGGATCACAGAGTCACCACGCCTGGCCCTCTCACTCTTGCTGGGGCTTCCAGGGTAGCCTGGACAGGCTTTGGGCATCTGACCTAGAATCGCGTACCCACATGTCTTCACTTTGCTTCCACACGCCTCTCTCCCCAATCCCCATTCTGAAGAGGTATCAGGAAAGGTCACCAGGCTATAGGCCTGGATCAGCAGGACGGTCACCTGGGAGAGATTCTCTTAGATCTACCATCAGGTCCACCCCATTATTCTCTCTCCTTTGTACTGGGTTCCCTCTTCAAAGAAGGGTGCCGCTGGTCTCAAAGTAGGTAAGTAATAAGTAGGCCTGCCTCTAGAGCTGGGGAAGAAAGAGGCCTGGTCTCCCCAGCAGAACCTGGCCCTCCCACTGTGGAGGCTACACTGACATACTCCTTGGCCCAGAGGACCTGTGGTTACCTCCTGTGCCATCTCCCCTGGTGAAGTCTCCGCCCTGGATCATGAAGTCCTTGATTACACGATGGAATTTGCTGTTTTTGTAGCCAAATCCTTTCTAGAAAAAGGGAAGAGAAGGTAAGGAGGTGGTATGGGGCAGCAGGAAGACATTACATTAAATAGGCCTCACAGGAACAAGTCCACAACTCCTGCTCGCAGAAGAGACACCACTGCTGACCACTTTCACTGTTCAGTGTGCTACTAAGTGAGCGGGCAGGCGCCACAGGACAGGCATGGTACACACAGATGTGGAAATCCCTCTGCCTCCATACAATTCCCAAGCTTTATACAATTCTACATCACATAATGCTTTTCCCCTCATTTCTTCCAATCATAAGAACAGATACAAGAAAACTGAGAAGAAAGGTCACCTGCTGGCTCAATGGAAAGTTAATATAAACTGAAATAGGGCACTGTTGTTTCCTTAAAACCCACTGCCCTCACCCTAGGTGAAGTCTCCCCAGGAAGCTCTGGACCCCTTACTCTTTTTTATCTCATTTTTTAAATTTTATTATTATTTTTTTGAGACAGAGTTTCTCTCTTGTCACCCAGGCTGGAGTGCAATGGCACAATCTCCGCTCACTGCAGCCTCCACCTCCCAGGTTCAAGCGATTCTCCAGCCTCAGCCTCCTGAGTAGCTGGGATTACAGGCATGTGCCACCACAATGCCCAGCTGATTTCTGTATTTTTAGTAGAGATGGGGTTTCACCATGGTGCCCAGGCTGCTCTCAAACTCCTAAACTCACATGATCTGCCCTCCTCCGCCTCCCAAAGTGCTGGGATTACAGGTGTGAGCCACCATGCCCAGCCTGTTTTTTTATTTTTTATTTTTATTTTTGAGATGGAGTTTCCCTCTTGTTGCCCAGGCTAGAGTGCAGTGGGGCAATCTCGGCTCACTGCAACCTCCACCTCCTGGGTTCAACAAATTCTCCTGCCTCAGCCTCCCAAGTAGCTGGAATTACAGGCGCCTACCACTACACCTGGCTAATTTTTTGTATTTTTAGTAGAGACAGGATTTCGCCATGTTGGCCAGGCTGGTCTCGAACTCCTGACCTCAGGTGATCTACCCGCCTCAGCCTCCCAAAGTGCTGGGACTACAGGCATGAGTTACTGCGCCCGGCCTTTTATTTTTAATTAATTTATTTTTTTTTTGAGACAGGGTCTCACTCTATTGCTCAGGCTGGAGTGCAGTGGCATGAACATGGCTCACTGCAACCTCCATTTCACTTCAGCCTCCTGAGTAGCTGTAGCTGGGACCACAGGTGCACCCCGTCACACCCAGCTAATTAAAAAAAATTTTTTTTGGCCGGGCATAGTGGCTCACACCTCTAATCCCAGCACTTTGGGAGGCCAAGGCAGGCGGATCACCAGAGGTCAGGAGTTCGAGTTCAGCCTGGCCAACATGGTGAAACCCTGTCACTACTAAAAATACAAAATTAGCCAAGCGTGGTGGCGCATGCCTGTAATCCCAGCTACTCAGGAGGCTGAGGCAGGAGAATCACTTAAACCCGGGAGGCGGAGGTTGCAGTGAGCTGAGGCCGCACCACTGCACTCCAGCCCAGGCGACAAGAGTGAAACTCCGTCTCAAAAAAAAAAAAAAATTTGCGGGGGTAGAGACAGGGTCTTGCTATGTTGCTCAGGTTGGCCTTGAACTCCTGGGCTCAAGCAATCCTCCTACTTTGGCCTCCAAAAGTGCTGGGATTTTAAGTGTGAGCCACTGTGCCTGGTCAGGGCCCCATTACTCTTAAGAAAGGGCAATACTGTGTTCCCAGGGCAACAGGCAGTCGGTGCTCAGTGAGGTCCACGCTACAGATCGGCTGAACTCTGCAGGTCAGTTTGCTGCCATCCCCAGTGCCAATTTCACTTCATGTGAGTTGACTACCCCTGCTCCAGCCACTTACCTCTCCTGTAGCTAAGGCCACAAAATTATCCACTGTTTTTGGAACAGTCTTTCCGAAGAGACCAAAGATCACCCGGCCTACATCTTCATCTCCAATTCGTAGGTCAAAATACACCTGAGGAAAGAGACCATTTCCAACTTAGCTTCTTTAAAGGGGCGTTGCTAGGGGAGGGAAGGTACAAGAAGCTAACCTGAGGATGGGAGAGAGAATAGAGCCATATTTTTAGAGAAGTGGTTCTGAATCTGATTTTGGTGACGGTAAAAATCCTATGAGAATCTAATGAAAGCTCCAGACCCTTTTCTTGGAAAACATGCTTATCTATACCCTCCTTGGACTACAGGATAACAATATTTGCTCTAAACAGCTAATGGACCCAGATTCTAAAAATTAACATTAGAAAACCCATAAGGAGCGGAGCCTAAGTTCACCACTTAAGTTTGAAGTATACATACTGTGCTTTGTAATTGGAAGTGGCTAAAATTTGGCTTAAGGAGAGAAAGGATTCGGAATCCGGCAGGCGTGATCTTTCACCATCTCCCCAGCACTGAGGGGTGTTTGCAAAAAGCCTGCTCTGAGACTGCCAGTGTCGGCCCCAGATGGGTATCCGGGGATCCAACTAACTCCCTGGGTCAGGGCAGGGGCTGGGGGTGTCGGGGTGGGTCCGGGTCGTTCCCTGGACTGAATGGGCAGGACGGCCCAGACGCCACGAGGCCACAGACAGAAGCCGAGGGAGGAGGGGCTGAGCCAAGGCCAAGCCAAGGCCGCCCGGGCCCGAGCTCCGGCACCGTAAATGCCGCGGACTCCACCGGACCTTGACGGTGACTTTGGGCCCCTTCTTCTTCTCATCGGCCGCAGAAGGTCCCGGCAGCAGCAGGAAGAAGACGGACCCCGCGATGAGGGCGGCGGCAAGGAGCACCTTCATGTTGCGTTCGGAGAGGCGCAGCATCCACAGGCGGAGGCGAAAGCAGCCCGGACAGCTGAGGCCGGAAGAGGGTGGGGCCGCGGTGGCTAGGGAGCCGGCGCCGCCACGCGCGGGTGGGGGGGACTGGGGTTGCTCGCGGGCTCCGGGCGGGCGGCGGGCGCCGTTTCCCCCCTCCGGCTCGGCGCCGGATAGTAGGTCCCCCTGCGGGGCGGGCACCGACGCGGGCTCGTGGGTGGTTGCCACGTTATTGCTCCCTCATTGGGCTCCCGGCCGCCCTCTCCCGCCCACAGGAAGGCCACCGGCGGAAGGCGGCCTCGCAGAGCACGGGCCCGGGCTCCGAGAAGACCACAAGCCCCGGCATGCTCCGCGGCCCGCCCCGCCCGGAGCGCTGTTCCACTGGCCTGCGGTAGCTGGCGCTTGAGGTTAGCAAATACGTGGGCCTGGACAAGGGGCACGGGAAGCTTGTCACTGTTTTGGGCCAGTCAAGTGTTTGTCACCGCCAAATTGGCTCTAAACGTTGTGGCTTCCAAACACTTCAGGGACATTTATCCTTACCGAGCGTGGCCTTGTACGGCTCCTCCACTTGTCTTGCAAAACTTGCTGCACAACCCACTTCCTTTTTTACTGAGGCCGTCAAGTTACTACCCATTTTTCTCTCCCTTCTGTAATCTTGCTGTGCTTACTGTTGTGTATATCAATGGACATCTTATTGTATACGCTGTTCTTAACTTCCTTTACCTTTTCCCCCAATAGACTACATTTTTTTTTTTTTCTGCGGAAGGGACTGTGTTGCATTTACTCTGTCCACAGCTCCCTCACAGCGCGGCAGTACTGAGTGCCCAACAAGTCCTGGTTGGGATAGCTTCACATCCGCACTGACATGAGAAATAATTTATGCCACGGCCTGAGGATACAATGCCTTTTTCCGGAGGTCAGGAATAGTTACTAGATGTCCCCACAGGGCTATTTTAGGTCTTCACACACTTAGTGTTGTCCCAATCTACAACATAGATACTTTGGTACTGGGAGTCTTACACACCAAAACAAACCAAAACACAAACTTCCAAAATTTGGACCTATGGCGTTAAAACGTCTTTAAAACTAATTTTCAACGATTAACTTCGTAGAAATTCCAGGTCGTCACAGCACAGATTATAGGCAGGGCTCCATTTACATAAATTATGCAATGTAGTCTTCATGAGGCGCTGACCTGAGACTGAAGTTATGCAAGGCCACTGGCATTAACTTTGTTGTTCATTACAGCGGCCTTACACAGGTTGTAGAGCTTCAAGACAGTTCTCTTATTTCCCATCCTTGCACCTCAATTCAGACAACCCCAATCAGGAGGAAGTTTTAAACATTGTTATACTGACAAAGATGATCTTCCAGATCCATCTCTCATCCCTTTTTTTTTTTTTTCTCCTATTTTGTTAAGCCTCTTTCTTCACTCACTGGTCTCAGGCTGCCATAGCCAGAGAAAAATGTTTACTAAATCATGTTTTCAAAGTAGCCTCCAGCTGGGCACAGTAGCTCATACCTGTAATCCCAGCACTTTGAGAGGCTGTGGCAGGCAGATGACTTGAGTCCAGGAGTTTGAGCCTGGGCAACATGGTGAAACCTGTCTCTACAAAAAATACAAAAATTAGCAGGGCGTGGTGGTGCGCATCTGTAGTCGCAGCTACCCCAGAGGCTGAGGTGGGGGAATCACCTGAGCCCAGAAGGTCAAGGCTGCAGTGTACTGTGATCGTGAAACTGCACTCCACCCTGTCTCAAAAACAAAGAAACACTCAAAAAACCCAAGTAGCCTCCTGCACATGAGGAGCTAAGGCTAAAATGGCATCACAGCAGCCTTTCTCCCACTCCCACTTTCAAAAGAAATCAGGTTGATGGATAAAATGCTCTCAATGTGAAACTTTTCTCTCATGATTCTTCCACTGCTACCTGCCTGTGAAAAAGTAATTAAAGAGTAGTAACAAACTGGAAGGAGTCAATCATGCCCAGATTGACAGTTGTTCTGTTGGCTACATATGCAGTATGGTTTTACATTGCTCATCATAGTTCTATCTTCTGTCTGGACACATATTCCGCATTTGTAGAGGAGAATTATAAAGCTACTAAAGTTGTTCCACAGAGCAGATCCTGATTTCCTGTGTTCTACCACCTGAGAACAACAGGGACCCAGGAACTAACGTATGAGTGATAATGTCCAAATTCTTCCAGGAATATTTATTTATTTGAGACGGAGTCTTGCTCTGACGTCCATGCTGGAGTACAGTGGTGCGATCTTGGCTCATTGCAAACTCCACCTCCTGGATTCAAGCAATTGGCCTGCCTCAGCCTCCTGAGTAGCTGGGATTACAGGTGTGCACCACCACGCCCAACTAATTTTGTATTTTTAGTAGTGACAGGGTTTCACCATGTTGGCCAGGCTGGCCTCGAACTCCTGACCTCAAATGATCCACCCGCCTTGGCCTCCCGGAGTTGCTGGGATTACAGGTGAGAGCCACTGCGCCTGGCCAATATTTATTTTTTTAATTAAAAAATAATTTTCTTCTTCAGCACTCGAAGAGAGACAGCAGTATTTATTTTTGAAGTGACTCACAGGAGAAGACAATATTTAATCCAAGGAATGAAACAAGAATGCCAAATTATTTTTGTTCACAGGAGTCTTGAATCGCATCAAAGTTAGTCCTAGCTAGATTGTTAATTACAAATGAGCCGAGGGAGATTAAAAACAGACAAACCAATCAACCAACCAAACAAGCAGAAGTAGCCAAGAAAGGTAAGACATTTTATTTTACATACAAAAAGGGTGCAAACTGAGTCCTTTCCTCCCCAAACTGGGGAAGAGGTATACTTAAAGATCACATTTGTGTTTTCCATGGTGCCCTAGGAAATGGGCTACTCTGAGATCACATATCAGAACCCATTTTCCATTTTCTCCAAAGAAGGCTACTTCCTCTGCAGAGAAGATTTTCCTAATGGTGCACAAATATCTCTCCTGGAGGAACCATTTCAAATACACTTGAAATTGACATTCATGTTTAAAAATACTACAAATTTCATTTTCACAGCTGAGCTTTGTGACCAGTGCCAGGGTTTATGAAACATTATACATCTAAAAAAAAAAAAAGTAAAAAAAGAGGCATTTAACAATAATCAGACACATCCACACATTAAAACTGATTTCCACTGCTGATTTATACATTATCTAGTTGTTTAAAAATCGCAATCAACATCCCAACATCTTTTTAAGAGTACAATGGGCAAAGATCAAAGACAGATAAATAATAATATAATAAATTAGAGCATGTAATACATCCTATGGGAATTGCTGAATCAACATTATTTTCCATTGGGGGGTATATATTTTTGGTTTATCTTTATCTTTTCTGCTGTTATTTTTTTTCTCTGCTTGATAAAATGGGGCTCATTCCTAAAGCCAGCTTGCTGAGACACTAATTTCAGAAGCTCACTTGTCACTTGTTTAACCTCTGAGAATACTCAGGAACACATGGTTCCCAGCAGCTTGGGCTGGGTCTTTATGGAAGTGAAATGCACATAGATGAACACACGCACTCACGTGCGCACACACACCACACACACACACAGACACGCAGTCACACACTTCCATCTGTAAATATATTTCTCCCCAAAGAAATGGCTCATCTTTCCTGAGACATTCCTAATAGACTGATAAGCCTTCTAAAAAAGGCTTTTGGTGCAAGGGCTGGCCTGGGATTTGGTCTGGAGCTCATGAACTGAAAATGTCTCACCTGTACTGAAAGAGGGGTGGGTGGGGACATTCAGAACAGCTGTCCTCTTGTGGGTGTTACTGGAATGGCTGCACCACACCCCCACTTATTACCATGAATAATCCTCTGCTCTGAGACCTTATAGATGGTGATGGCACTGGGAAAGTGATTGTGAGGAGTAAAAGAAGAAAAATAAAAGAAATTCTGTCTACAGAACGGAGGTTTCTTTGTAACATCAGGTTTGGTAATCAAACTAGAAATACAAGGAATACGTGTTCACTTTTTCCCTTGAAAGGTGATTTACAAATACCGGAAGTGGGTTTTCTGGTTGTGTTTTGAGAAAATATGTCAACTACCACTGTGTATTATCCAGGGAACCTACTCACTATTTTGAATACAATGAGAAAACTATTTTTTTGTACTTAGTCACCTGCAAAAGGAGTTAGGAAAAACATTTTTAAGACTGCTTGCTGGACAAAAGACTTTCAAGATTCCTTACTTGTGGCTAAAACATTGCTCAAAAAGGATAAACCCACATAAGGGCCATGGTTGCCTCTTCTTTTTCTTATTCAGAAACAAAATCACCCCCCATACACCAAAAAACAAACTGAAAACCAAAAACAACAACAAAAAAACAAAACCCAAAGCCAAAGGAATCCCAATTTGATTCCTATCAACCCCTCATGGGAAAGACTAGGAGTCTCTGCCATCGACCTCTAGACAGGACTTCCCTGGAGTCTGCAAAAGCAAGAACCCGAGAGATAAGTGCCTGTCACTTACGTGGCCAATTCAGATGGGTTGCCTAATTATCCTGGCTCCCTGAGGGTTTCTGGAATTCATCTGCCCACCATAGGGCAATGGTGGGGATGGTGGCAGTGGCGTGGCAAAGGCAATGTTGGCTGTATGGTGTTGCAGGCTCCCAATCTGAGAAACGAACCTTAATATGGTTCTGACACTGGAGACAATGTTGTTAGGGCAACTCAATGGGAATGGAGAGCTGGTTTAAATGTGAAATGGAAGAGGTGGCTGGAACACAGGAGGCATGTGGGCTTGGGAGATGCATCAAACGAAAGTTCCTCTGAGAAGACGTTTTCTTGGCTGCCATGGAAGTTCTCATTTTTGAGAAATGCAAGCCATGCTTGCTCACTGGGAGGAGGAATGGATTTTATCTTTTACATAAAAAAGTTAAGGCTATAATCTTTAGTAACCACTTTGACGTTACATTATCATTGTTACATATTTCTGGCATTAAAAGTGGTTACTAGCACTGAAAATCAACACTGAATATGCACTACCAGCATATCTTCCCACTGAACTAAGTTTGGAAATTACTTTAGGGGTGATGGTCACCTTTTCTGGCTGATGGACAGGGACTGTTTTCTAAGTACTTGGAGTTCATTTAGAAAAAAGAGACAATCAACATGTCTAGAAACCTCAGGATCTCTGCTGTCATCTGTAGCTCATGCATTCCAATATAAAATGGGATTTTAACTGGAAGCTAATCTTGTACCTTCCTAGACCCTGTTTATTGCTGGACAGGCTCCATAATAGCAGAAGAATGTTAATTAAGGCAGTCATGAGTGCACACTGGCTGTCAGGATACTCTATCCACCCTTGGGGGCAGTCTGGAGTGAGATCTCTGGAAAGCACCAAGGTGCGTAGAGCAACTTGACCAACTCTTACTGCAGAGACACAAGTGATACCCTGGTCAAAAGGGAGTAGGGGGGACCATTTATGCCTTGGTGGAGTCTTGGCCTGTGTGCCTCAAATCTGTTTAGGATGCAATGTCTGAGGGACTGTAGAGCTTGGGAAAACTCCTAATGTATACTATTAAGGGTTTTTATGAATAGATGCTGAGTTAGCTTTCAGGAAAAACAACTGCATCAATCCTAAAGAAAAAGATCGTTAGGCACCATACTTGTGAAATGGAGAAAGCTCAGAAACTACAGAGCAAGTGGATGGGTGGGGACAGTCAGCGAGTGCATGCCCTAACCCCAAGGATCTGGCTGAGGCATACAGCTAAGGAACTGTAGCAGTAGGGTTGAGGAGGGAGCCCTGATTCGCTGATGGGCCTGAAACAAATGGCCAATTGCATCTAGGGTACTCAGGTTTTTTGCTTATTTTTAAGGAAGATCCCACCAGAATCTCCCAGGTCTGGGACCACTTTGAAGTGCCAATGGCTCTGGAGGGATCACCATTACTCTGCATGCTAAAGGGACCTGGGATTCTTTACCCTTGTTATAAAAACCAAATATCTAGTAAGAGATTTGTGAGGTTGGAAGGTGAGAACAGTGTCTTAGGAAGTACAGTCCCCTACAACTGATCCAGTAAAAATTTTAAGACAAAAAAAAAGTCGCAAATCCAGCTGCAAGGCAGCTTGCCCTGCAGCCAAGCTGGTCAGTGCCTTTGCTTTTGTGTGTGTGTGTGTGGAAGCAGGGTGAGGGGCTGAAGAGAGGCACTCAGTAGAGTATAGAGTGCCAGGATGCTCCAGGCATTCCCACCATTTCCCTCTGCCCTTTTTTTTTTTTCTTTTTAGACAGAGTCTCACTCTGTTGCCCAGGCTGGAGTGCAGTGGTGCGATCTCGGCTCACTGCAACTTCTGCCTCCCAGGCTCAAGTGATTCTCCTGCCTCAGCCTCCCGAGTAGCTGGGACTACGGGAGCATGCCACCATGCCCAGCTAATTTTTGTATTTTTTGTAGAGACGGGGTTTCACCATGTTGGCCAGGCTGGTCTCGAACTCTTGACCTCACATGATCCACTTGCCTTGGCCTCCCAAACTGCTGGGATTACAGGCGTGAGCCACTGCACCTGGCCCCCCCTCTGCCCTCTCTTGAGAGGCAAGGCATTTTCTATACAGGGGTGAGGAAAAGTTAAACTTTCTATACAGTAAGTTAGCAATGCCCAAATCCCAACTGAGAAACGATGTAAATTTTAGTGATAGGGCTGTAACCACTAGGTAATGGCAAGGACATAAATCCCAATATTCACAGTCCTTGTGGGGAAGGGGTGTGATATTGTATCTCCCTGCCACTTTATGTTTCATATATAGAAACATTTATAGAAATGACATATTACCATCTTTTCATAAGCTAAGCAGGTTTGATGCCAGTGAAATGATATTCCCTAGCCAAGGTCCAATGGAACAGATGAAGCCCAGTACCTCTGATCCATGTTAATGTTATTTCTGCTCTGTGTAAGGTACATCAAGGGAATTTTTCAAGAAATGGCAACTATCAGAAAATATCCCCACACCCTCCAGTACAAAAGACAGCCCTGCACCTCAAACCAGAGGTGAAGACTTCTATGGTCCACAAACCATCAGACTAAGTCACCCACCAGCCACTGTGCTCCATGGTTAGCTCTCTACTCCCAGATACAAGACCTCTTTCCTGATGTAAATGACCCTTTCTCTTCTGTCACCGCTGGAATGAGGAGTCATTGTTTGGTTAAGCCACTAAACTCAAATGAAAATTGGGCATGAGAAGAGTAACTCCACACATGAAAGACTTGTCAAACAGTGAATGAGGAACCAGATCCTTCACAGTAGTACCTCATATGAAAACACCATGGGGGGAGGCCTAGGGCATACTGGGAAAAACATGCTTAGAGGCACGGCCACCTTTCTGGAAGGAGTCCAATTGAGAAGATAATTTCAGACCTTTCATTCCAGTCTCCTTTTCCCTGGAATGTTCCAGCACCAAACAATCTTTCCCTCCTTTTAAATGCGGCCCCATATACTGCATCCTAAGCCTACTGCTATGGACCTGCTGGGAGAAGATCTTCATAAGCTTGGTTTCTGATAAGGCAGGCCAGCCCAAATGCTACAGCTCAGCTATTGGGGCAGATAGGATACACCGATTTTCTTTTCCTGGCCCTATAATGCCACACCCTGAGGTCCCTCTGGCAGGTGGAAGGCAGGTTCACTGTCCTCTTTTTTTCCACTAATGGCAATATGGTGGTGGCTGTTTCATCACTAATTTTTCCCCCAAGTCACCAGGACGTCACATGGCTATCTAGTTGGAAGTCCCTGGCAGCATGGGAAACAATTTCAATTTTTTTTTGTTAAGCATCTCCTTCTCTGGGATGAGCTGTTTCCTGGTCACAGTCTGGCTCGGCTGGCTCATCTCATGTTCTGGAGAGCTAGGTTTTCAAACTGTAAGCTGATTAGGTCAAGATGCTCTGGTAGGGACATTCTTCAGCTGCTGAGAAGATGAATGAAAATTCAAGTATGTTTTCTTGCCAACCTGAGTGTTCACTCAGAATGACACCGAGTTTGGCTTCTCTTCTGGGTGCTGCAGATCAAACTCTTTCCACTGAGAATGTCCTCTGGACCCATGTTCTCTCTGAATGGCTTGGCCGGCCCCATCCCCCTCAAAACAGGTAAAAGTAAAACCCCCAATATAACCAGACACAATATGCATCTGCCATGTTTTTGTTTTTGTTTTTTTTAAAAAAACTAAAAGTGCAACAAAGTCAGTTTTCTTTCCTTTGCTTAGAACAATTTTCATTGTCCTACTACCTGGAGAAAAGAGTTTGTCAAAAAAGCTAAGAACGCCAACACACAGGGACAGTAGACTGCAGATTGCTCACAGCTTGTGTCCTACAGTGTAACTTCACAGGAGGGAGGGAAGAAGGAACCTGAACCCCAAGGCCAGCTGGGATGAATGCTGCACAGGCACAGAGGAAGAGGAAACCATACTGCCAGGCACACCTGGGATACGGAGAAGGTTCTTCTCCAGCCCAGGTCTGCCATTTTCCTCCTACCTTCTTGGCCTTACCCCCAGCCTCTTGATCTCCTTCTGCAGACAAAGCCTTTAGCTCACTAGGTTTTATGCTGGAGAGGGTTGAGGGTGGGGTAAAAACCAGGAGTAAACTAAGGGGAAGAAGGAGAATAGCAGTCCTTGAGTTTTTGTGAATGACACCTTCACTGTAAACAATGGGAAGGAGAGTCAACCAGGCAGCCCTATGGGCAAGCAGTGGAGGAACAGCAGCTCTGGGACCTGCTCAGAGCCTTAGGCAGGCGGAGATGGCCAATGACCCACTAGGCCCTGGCTGCCCGCACTGGCCCCTTCTGGGGGCATCTGTTTTCTTCTTTTTGGTTTGGATATCCACCCTCCCCCAAAGAGGAGTCCCTTCCAATGAGAAATGGCAGGAGCTGCAGGTACAATTGAGTCAGAGTCCCCAGGGCCTGAGGACTCCTGGGAGGCACTGGTCACTTGTGGCGCTGAGCAGTCTTCTTCCTTTTCCTCTTAAAGAAACAGCAGCACCTGGAGCACAAGGAACATTGCAAGTCAGTGCGGGAGGCCTGCAGCTTCCAGCAGACTTCTGCCTGCTTCTGCTTACTGCAGGGGTGGAATTTTCCCCCTAGCACCCACCCATAGGGACCACCCACCATCTACAGTGCACGCACTGGAGGCAGTGGGCAGTGTCTGCCAGAAAAGCCAAAGGAAATAGCTGCTTGATTTCAATCTGCAGTCATCCTACCTAATTATCAAGATGGTGCAGGCTAGGCAGGGCTGAAATAGGCATTACTGGAAGGAGGGTGAAGAAGGCTCATAGTTTAGCACCCAACCCAGATGCCTCACCTTATCAAGAGTCATGACTGGGGGTCCTCAGGGCTGCATAAAAATAGTCTACATTGTCTACTCCTTGATACTGAGGGCACAATTATTTAATTCAACTCACTGGCCAGAGGGCAGGGAGGCTAAAATAAGGCAAACAAATCCCATGATAAGTATGATGTCTGGAACTCTAGGAGGATCTCAGGATGTTACCAATGAAGGATTAAGGATTCTCTCCATCCCCCTCTCTGTCCTCACCCACCGAAGTAGGCAGGAGAGGCCCTGACTCTAATAATGACGGTGAGCCACATCTCCTGACATCAGTACAGCTCCCCTTTTCATTTGCAGGGGACCACTGTCACAGCCCAAGAGCTGACCATCAGGATGCTCTCACTCCCCAGTTTAGGGAGTGAGATACAGGGCACTCCCCAATTTAGCTTCCTGAGACTGCTGCTGTGCCAGATGGGGTTTATGAACTGGCCTTGTTTAGGATGGAGGTGGGATTGGCTCCTTTATGAGTCCTCCAAGTTCTGCTTCCTGGGGACTAGCCACAGTTCTGGCACATCCCAAAGTCTGAGTATCCCCCATCCTCACTCCTGTCTTTAGAACAGGAAGTATCACTCTTGCTCAGGCAGTCCAGAAGCAGGTGATGAGTGCTGTGGCAAGGTGTACAAGATATGTCCTTTCTGGGGAGCTGACACATGGGGAATGAGAATGAAAGGGACAGAAGGTGGTGGATGAGTCAAAGATGCCGGATGATGGAGGGCAGTAAAGTTGGAAGCATAGCTCAGACTTGCTAGATCCTTGAAAGAAAACTTTTCTGAAAAAACTATCTTTGAGTCTCTTGCCTAATTATTGCAGGTGTAAAGCCAGCAATATTCATATGGAAATAAAGACTATTACTTACTTCCCATACCCCTAGGTATTCCATTGTAGCCAAGATTCCCTCTCTTTTTAGTTAGACTCTTTGGCATTCCTACATCCAATGGACTAGTTATAAAAAACTGGAGAAAGTTTCTAAGAATGCAGAAACATTTACACAGACCATGATGGGCTTTAATCATATCTGAATGAATCAAACATGAAAATTTTAGAAATAGGACTTTCTTAAGAGGGTCTTTGGAAAGATTTTCTCTGAAAGTATCAATGACATTTGTGAGGTACTATTAATGGGTGCAAATATAATCACTAAGCAAAGTGTCATATGTATTTGGAAACTAAATTCTTTTAAATAAAAGTGACCAACATTTTTGATTGTTAAAAATAATCCTCAGTGGAAACCCTGGATAAGAATTCAAGAACAAATGGTGTTTTTTGGTGTTTTTCTTTCTTTTCTTTTCTTTTTTTTTTTTTTTTTTTTTGAGACTGAGTCTCACTCTGTCGCTCAGGCTGGAGTGCAATGGCGCCATCTCTGCTCACTGCAACCTCCACCTACAGGGCTCAAGTGATTCTCCTGCCTCAGCCTCCTGAGTAGCTGGTGCCCACCAGCACACCCGGCTAATTTTTGTATTTTTAGTAGAGACGGGGTTTCACCATGTTGGCCGGGCTGGTCTGGAACTCCTGACCTCAAATGATCCACCTGCCTCGGCCTCCCAAAGTGCTGGGATTACAGGTGTAAGCCACTATGCCTGGCCCAAATAGTGTTTTTCTATACGTAATGCTTTAGAAATGGACATTTTCCAAGTTGAATGTCCTGAAATTAACAATAAAAGAGGCAAATTAAATCTCTATTTCAATAGACTTACCTCTTTTCTTCTGAATCATGATTTTCACAGGTATTACTAACTTTTAAGTCAACTTCTATTCTTAATCTTTTTGGAGGATGCTAAGATGATGATTTTGTGTTTTTAAGAAAGCAATAAAAAAAGTTTACAATACTGTTTAGGTCCATTTCAAATTGTACAATGACTTCTCTTTTACCTCCTCCAAGGCAAGCCATAAGAATTAATGCCTGCTTACAAGCATATCATAACTGGATGTGCAATGCTGAACCCACCTAACTAAAAGGAAGTGTGAGTTATGGTTCAAAGGAGTTGGAATATTTCAAATTTAGAGCCCTGGATTTATCTTTGCTAGTTATTGTAGTTAAAGCTTCAGCAGTGGCAAAGGCTTTTAATGATTCTACCTACAAGAAAGCAGGCCCCACAATCTGTTCTTCAACTCTTTGGTGTCTGTGGTGACTACTAGCAACAGGATCTATTAAACTGGGTCAGACTCTAGACCAAGTCCACTGATTGACTTTCAGATGTGTTCCTCTCAGAAGAGAATGAAGGCAGGTGGTGGACACCTCATGGCTTAGGTTTCCTTTCAGTTGATTCTTTGACTGTTTAGATGACAAGAAGTTCTCAACATGCTGGAGTCAAAATCGATCCAAATCTCCCTACTCTCAAAGCCATCTAGTGCTCTTACCCCAGGCCTCTGACCCACTACCTTTTCCATATGGCATTCTTACTATGTCCTGGCCCTCTCTCTTCAGCTATTCCCTTGCTATGTTCCTTTTCTCTGCCATATGTGTACATTCTTCCTTTCTTCTAATACTTAACTCAAGTCCTACAGTGTTTACAAGGACTTCTTTGACCATCCTGTCCATGGTGACCTCTTGGCCCCTCAGCCTCTCAAGGGCAGTAATCTCAATGTCCTGCAGAACTCCTTATCCTTTCATGTGTATGTCTGATCTCTTCAGCTAGATGGTACCCAAGCTCTTTGGGGCAAATTTTGTAACCCCACCCCCCACCCCACTAGAGTTCCAAGCACAGGGTTGGATAAGCATATAGCAGGCCCTCAAGTATCTGCAGTAAGGATCATGTGACTGACACCTCACAGGAAAAAATAGACCACCACAATGTCGGATTACACAGACACATGTTTGCAAAACAAATAGCCAAAGGTATTCTTTGATCCCCTAAGACTATAAATCTGACCTCCACAAAACCCAGTTGTTTTCTTTAATACATTCCTGTCCCTGAGGAAGCCCCTGTAGGCAATCTGGCTTAGATAGTTAGGGTTCAGAAACCAGTGCCCAACCCAGTCACTGAAGACAAATAGAAACATGGCAGTCATGAAACTAGCAGGCTGTTACCTCCATATAGAGCATGACTTTATGCGTGCGGACAATGTGGGAGAGTTAAAATTCCAGACTGCAACAGACCAACAAGTTCAGGAGTACCTGGAAGGTCACAGGCAAGAGAGCAGGGGAAGGGGCTATGTCTTGTAGCAAGAATGTTCCTCACCACACATGGATTCTTGAGGGCTTCTCCTTCCATAAACTCCATGTTATTCCTAAAAATACATTCCAGGAACCTTTTCCAGGAGTGGAAAAGACAGGCTCCAATATATCAATTAGCTGAGTCAGTCCTTGGCCTACTAAACTCTCACATAGGAATAAAGAAAAAGACAATAAACAAAAACAAAACAACTCTCAAAACAACAACAACAAAACATCCACCTCTCCCTGAAGGAGCTCCCCCTTTTTTGAGGTTGCTACTCTACAGAGGGAAGAGCCAGCTGAATCAAAAAGTCAGATTTTCCCAAAGCAGCCAATTTCCAGGTTAGAGACCACATTGCAGAATGTGAGATTATCCAGCAACAACTCACTATCCTTGCGGCTGTGAGTAAACACAACTGCTACATAAAAACTGATACAGTAATCTTGCCCTTTTACTTCTGTCCCTCTCCATATCTGGTTGTATTAATTTGGGAGAAAATTTACTCAGCTAAAAATAGATAATTTTGGATACTGTGGGATACTGTTATGGCAGGAGGAGACAGCGATAAGATGGGTTTGAAAGAAGGAATAGATTAATTCCTGGGTACAGGCCTGCCCCATCCCCACCTTATGGATCTAGATCCCCAGTCAGGGTGGTTATGGCACAAGGAGTCCTATGGAAGCTATTTAATGTTCCTAAGGCATTTTGTTTGGCTTTGCCAGTCCCAGCCTAGTCTGGTCCACTCCCCTTGCAATGGACTGGAGAGAGGGACTCACCACAGGTTGAGCATTTTCAGGCAGCTACAGAGTATATAAAGAGAAAAACACAGAAAGGAAGAGAGAGAAAGAGAGAGATATTAGTCCACAGAGGTGAAATGGAAGCGACTCCCTGTGAGCCATGCAAACATGCAGTATGTGTCTGTGTTTAGTTTCTTCTTCTGTCAAGGTAGGCTGAGTAGGCCCAGGCCACTTGGTCCCCACGTTAAAGTGGAGGGTTCGGACAGGAGCCTGACAGAAGCATCAAGGTGGGAGCTGGATCTCAGGGGTAAGGCAAAACAGAAAGAGTTGGTAGGAGCTCCAGGGTGGGCTTTCCTGGGCAACTTCTAGGAAGGCAGCAGGGGAAAGAGCAAATGACCCTGCCTGTAAGAACTCAATCAAGCACCAGGGGTGAACCATTTTGGTTCCCATATGAAGTCTTACTGTGCAATATTAAGCTAGCCTCTCAAATATTCTGAGGGAAAAAGAAAGTCCCTAGCCTTTGTGCAAGTCCAACATGCCTGATCAAAGCAGCTAGCAGTTAGCTCTTCCTCTAGAGAGGGAGAAAAGGTTTAAGCGACACTTACTTTATCTTATTAGAAGATGAATCAGAGGAAGGAGGGTCACTGCTCTGTATTAAGGTATAACTACCAGAGAAGGACCTAAATTCTACTCTTGTTAATGCTCAGGAGAAATGAGGTTCACATTTGTTAAATTATAGCTAAAGTCTGGATAACCAAAAATTCCTGTATTCTTACTGTAACAAAAATCAACCAAAAAGCTGCCTGCCCTCACCACCCTTTAAACCATAAACAAGGACATATGTCCTGGAGCTAGAGAAAAAGGGAATTCACATGTTCGTTTTGTACACAGAACAAAACCTAAGACCCTGTTATTTCTTTCCACCTTTACACTAAACAAGCTGGGTGAGGAACCCAAAATCAAAAGCCTGAAAGTGAAGGTTTCACATGGTCTCCCCAGTACTGAGGTGTGTCTCAATATAAGCATCATCCCCTTCTACCCCACAAGCAGGCTGCATGAACAAATGGCATCACAGCTGCGTGCAATGAGGGGCTGTTTGGAACACCTCGTGCTTCTCTAGCTGTGACTTCTTCCCATGAAAATGATCAACCAGGTGGACACAGGGCTACCCTTTCCTTGCCCCCACACGCAAAGGCCAAGAAAAATAACACATGGCTGGGCCCTGACAGTTCTCTGGGCAAGATGGATTGATAGCCCATGAAATCACTAAATGCCCTAAGCCATGAGCTTCGGGATGACATCTGGTCAAATATAATTTCTCCCCTATGCTTTCTACATCTTTTAGAAGGTCCAAACCTGAAGCTGGTGGCAAAGAGGCACATTTGTCCTTTTTGCTAAATGACAAGACTTTAAACTCTCCTTACATTCTAGAGGTTAGATTATACCAATACAGAATACACCAGATTGAAATCTCTGTGTGAATGAGCCCATATCTTACACACAGAACACAAATACCACACTCACATACACAATTAGTATACACATTTACCAAAATGAGATGAGATGAATGGGTTCAAAAGATAAACCTGTATAGGGCATAACATAAAACTAAAGCCCATTTGATTACTGCATTCAAAGTATACTATTAAATCCAAAGCTAAACTTCTAGCCTTCAAAGTAATAGCCACAAAGGTGAATTGAGAATGGGGTGGGAGCTGGGAACAGGTACGGCCATCCTTCAAGCTCTGACAATGTTTGAATCAGACCACGCTTGGTACAGTGGTTCTCAACATTGGCTACATGTTAGAATGACCTGAACTTTTAAAATTCCTGATGCTCGGGCCACATTTCAATAAATTAAATCAGAATGCCTGAGGCCAGACTCAGACATTTGTATTTTCTACCATGCCCCAAATGACTCCAAAGTGCAGCCAGTTGAGAGCCCAGAGGGTGGGAGTAACATATTGTTTATTTAAGATAATGTAATTTTGTATGGAAATCGAAAAACTGTGAGTACCATTAATATCTCCAAAGTCCCTGAGAATAGGAGCATGTTTCCTTATTAAAATGGCCTTTTCCTGGCATAACCAGCATAACCCTCACCCCCTTATATATCAGTGCCTTATACAAGCTGGGAGAAGAGCTCTGAAGCTGCCTACAGTTAGCAGGGGCTCAACAAAAGACAGTCAAGTCATCCTCATTTACTTTTGATGTATTGGGTAGGAATCCTCAAGCCCTGGTTTTCCAAGCAAAAATTTTCTTTTTTTTTTTTTTTTTTGAGATGGAGTCTCGCTCTGTCGCCAGGATGGAGTGCGGTGGCACAATCTCGACTCACCACAACCCCTGCCTCCTGGGTTCAAGCGATTCTCCTGCCTCAGCCTCCTGAGTAGCTGGGACTACAGACGCATGCCACCACACCCAGCTAATTTTTATATTTTTAGTAGAGACGGGGTTTCACCATGTTGGCCAGGATGGTCTCAATCTCTTGACCTTGTGATCCTCCTGCCTCAGCTTCCCAAAGTGCTGGGATTACACGTGTGAGCCACTGCACCTGGCCAAAAACTTTTGTGTGTGTGTGTGTGACAGGGTCGCACCTATCACCCAGATTGGAGTACAGTGACATGACCATAGCTCACTGCAGCCTGAACCTTCCAAGTACCTAGGACTACAGGTGCATACCACCATGCCCAGCTAATTTTTAATTTTTTTATAGAGTTGGGGTCTCATTATGTTGCCCAGGCTGGTCTCAAACCTCTAGACTCAAGTGATCCTCCTGCCTCAGCCTCCCAAAGTGCTAAGATTACAGGCATGAAGCACCACACCTGGCTAGAAAGGACTTCTTGAAGGTAAAATGAGTTCATCAAATAGACTGGCAGGGCTGGGCACAGTGGTTCATGCCTGTAATTTCATGACTTTGGGAGACTGAGGCAGGAGGATCACTTGAGCTTGGGGAATAGAGGCTGCAGTTAGCCATGATCGTGCCACTGCACTCCAGCTTTGGCAACAGAGAGAGACCCTGTCTCAAAAAATAAATAAATAAAAAAGATGGGCAGGAGACCAGGGGAATAGGCAGGAAAGACAACAATACAAAGTACATCTGGAAGGTGGAAGAATGCAGGTCTCAGTGGCATCTCACTAACTTACATTTAGAGGTATAAGAGTGTTCTGGCTTGTATTAAGCTACCTGGGGGCTCATGAGACTACTTAGGTACAATATCACTATAAATACGTTGTCTGCTTCAGAAAACAAGACCCTGGGATATCCTGAAGGTTCTCAAAGGGCTCACAAGAAAGGTCCTCCATATCAGGGATAGCAGCAGTTACTGACTCATGGTGTCTCTATCTCTCCCTACCTGGTATCTTCTTGAAGTCTAAATCTGGATCTAAATTTGGGATGGGGAAAAAAGTGGTAGAAATGCTGCTTTTGCAGCAGAATTGGCAGTTATCTCACCTTCCACCCCAGATTTTAAGAGTTTAAACACAGACCATGCAGCGCACCAAGGGGCTGGTGGTATGGGTGGGGCAAGACATACACATGCAAGAGAAGCAGAAAAGGGTGTGGGGCAACCTCCTTACCCTCCTGAGATGAGTATGACTTCCATTCTTTTCCCACACTCTCATTCACAGATGCAGACTATAATATTTTTCTTGCCTGACTTAGTCTCTCTGAAGCCAGAATCATTTGAGAGTGAACAAAATGGCCCTGAACTCCTTGTTCCATGATTGTACATCCAGTTGCTAGCCCACAATCAGAAATCGAATGCTATTCAGCATGGCCCATGGTTTAACAGCAGATTTTTCTCTATATCCCATATAGAGCAAGAAGCTCCACAGCCCCAAGAAGCTCATGGCTACTATCCACTGTAGCCCTGATAACATGATTCTTTCGGTTCACTATGTCTTTTTCATGTGAACTAGAAAAATGTGACTGTCTTCCCCGAAATCACAGCTAAAGAAGGGCAGTAGCAGCCTTAAGGTACCATGCAAAAATTAAAACAGTTAAGGAAGAAAGCTGTGGTTACAAGCATGAGAAATCCAGTCTGAGACGAGCAGCACACAGAGAGGAAGAGACAGAAAAGATTTTTCAACCCATGACTTAAGAGCCCCCTTGAAAGATGTACGTACTTAGCTTCCTCCACTACCTCCACCTCGGCATGAGCTGTGATTGGTGCATTGGAGTGGGCTCCCGTGGGATCATCAACATTCAGCTCTCCATTGGTTGAGCTAACCACCTGAAACAGAAAGACAGAAGTGTGTGACAGGCACCATGGCAACAGAAATCTCTTGCCAGCGCCAGACAGGGTCGCTAAACAGGCAGTGTCTGGAATGTTTGTTTTCCTGGGTTAAGGGATCAATTTAGGGAAGGTTCCCAGGCCCATATCATGCGAGAACACTAATATCAATGATGTAATCATATAATGATGATAATAACTTACATACTGAGTGCCTACTCCGTGTCTGACACTCTGCTACATTGTGTGTGTAAATCTAATCCTTACAAAAATCTTATGAAATAGGTTTTTTTACAGATGGAAACACTAACAAATGACTTAACCAAGGTTTAGAGTTAATATCTGTGAATTTCCATGAGGAAAATTTGTTCTAAACACAGATTCTTTCATATTGCAAAAACACACACATTACTTTGTTAAGTTAAAAATAACTGCATGGCTGACTTCTAAAGGTAAAATCACTTGGCTCCCTTGAATGTGATGGGTGAAGTCTAGTTCTCTCAGTTTATTATGCTATAATGATATAGACTTAGTGCTGATGTTGAAAGAAAAAGTTCTAAAAAGGAAGTCAACAGTGGGTACCAGAAACTATAAATAATCACACTTTCCTTCAGAAATTTCCTCATGGCTTTGAGCACTGGTTCGAAGTTACAAATAACAAGATTGTCACATCCTCTCCGACAAGAGGGAAGATGGTAAAAAAACACTCTCCCTTGGAAAGCCAGTCTTATTTCAACGATCTTTATTTCAGGTTCACTGCCATCCCAGTTCTCACTGATGGTCCCCGAAATGTAAGTGAAGGCTCTCACTCCTGTCATCTGGTTAATGTGGACCCAATCAGGCTTCTCTTGCATGTGTAGCTGCTTCTGCCACCTGGTTTCATTTCCAGCACATTATTCCTGTTTATGTGGGTGCTGGGAAGTGGGAAAAGGGGCCTCACTGCTGGACAAAACACTCTGCTTGTTAAAGACCTTGGCTGAAACATGGGAGAGAACACAAAATAGGATAAACAATTTGGATATCATATGCCCTTGGATAAGTACTTCCATCTATTTGAGATTGTTTCTTATAGGTTGATGAGAGAATTATACAAGAAAATGTATGAGACTGTCTAGTATAATACCTAGCATAAATAAGGGAAGCAGCATAGTGTAGAAATTGCCCTAATCAGCCCTAAGTTTGAACCCCAGCTCCACCAGTTATTTGCTGTGGGTCTTTGGGCAAGATCCTCAGTCTATGCCTAAGCTTCCTAATCTCTAAAATGGGAGAACAATGCTGCTTACCTAATGGTGTTTACTGTGCAGACAACCCACAGAAAGTGCTTAGCCCAGTGGCATGAGACATGGTAACAGCTCAATAAGTGGTCATCTTACTGTTATTCTCTCTCCGTAACTGTTTATTCTTATCTGCCTCTAGCTCAGGGGTCCTCACCAGCAGTTAATCCACAAAAATTTCCTGAATAGTCATAAAGAGGAGGGTGGGAGGAAATATATAGTACACGTAGCCTTTGGGACAGATAGGGTGAATACTACTTACTAGCAAGCTATATCCGCTATTATTTCTAAACAAGAAATAATTATTGTTCTCATTAGTAACCCGTTTTTTTTTTTTTTTTTTTTTTTTTTGAGAGAGAGAGTCTTGCTCTGTTGCCCAGGCTGGAGTGCAGTGGCATGATCTCGGCTCACTGCAACCTCTACCTCCCAGGTTCAAGCGGTTCTCCTGCCTCAGTCTCCTGAGTAGCTGAGATTACAGGTATGTGCCACCACACCTGGCTGTTTGTTTGTTTTGTTTTGTTTTTAGTAGAGATGGGGTTTCACCATGTTGGCCAGGCTAGTCTCGAACTCCTGACCTCAGGTTGTCCACCTGCCTTGGCTTCCCGAAGTGCTGGGATTACAGGCACGAGCCACTGTGCCCGGCCTCCAGCTGAATCTTTATAGAAGACTTTTATTTGTTTAAACACAGGGAGACTTAAAGATTAAAACGGATTAAAAGAGACTAAGACATTGTAAAAGACTGATGAGGCATATTGCATTGGTTAATGTGAGGCATGAACCTTGATTAAATCCTGGACACTACAATATTAATTCTGGGGACAACTGGAATTAGGTGGAATGTGACATGAACTATATATTAGATATTATGAAATTAACTTTCTTAGAATGTCTTCGTTCTTAGAAGATACAGGCTGAAGTACTTTGGGATAAGATATAATGATGTCTGCAACTTACTTTCATATGGTTTAGCAAGCAAACACACACACACACTTTCACTCATAGATTTAAAGCAAATATGGCAAAATCTTAATAATTCGTTCAGCAAGGTTAAAGATATACAAGAGTTTATTGCATTTCCCTCCCGATTTCTCTGTAGAGTTGAAATTTTCAATACAAAAAGTTGAAGAAAAACCAGCAAAACCAAAAAGTTGAGGAAGGAGGGTATATGGATTGGAAAACCACAGCTCCTCACTCTAATGCTATCCTGTTAATTTCCTCAGTGCTTCATTTGCTTCTTGTGGACATATTCTGGCTGCATACCAGTGATAATACTGGTAAACTCATTCTGTGAGCACAAAGGTTACAGGAAACATAGTAAGTTTCTAGTGGACAATTCAGGAACTAGACAAGACGTTAAATAAAATGTCTTGGCTTCTACTCACACGAATGAAACATTAGTAAGCATCACCACTGAGAATTACCTGGTGACTCTGGGTCATGGGGCCTGCTCACAGCGTTTCACATGGCTTATACTTCCTAAATTCTCCTCGCTACAAATTGCCACTTGGGCCATAAGCACTGTCCTTGGGCAATCTAAGGAATAAGAGGTTATCCCCATTTTACAGACTAGACATCTTGTCTGTATCAATGAGCATGTGGTCTCAAATGAATGAGACATAAACAGAGCCTCCATTCTCTACTTTTAAACTTAATTGTACCAAAAACATACCTAAGACTTAAAGGCTACACATCTGGGCCTTCACAGCATCCGTTTAATTATTTCAGGTTGGAGGTCTGGTTTGTCAAACTACTGAACTGCAGGCAGTGGAACAAACACTGTGTAAGTGATGGAAGAGTTGGATTCTAGGCCTTGTTCTACCATTAACATCCTCTGTGAGCCCTATTTTCTAATTCCATAAGACAAGGCAAATGACCATGATCCTATCAACTTCATAAATATGAAGGGAATTAAATACAATGATGTTTAGAAAATAAATTTTAAAGAATTAAAAAGAATCTTATGAATAACAAATTACTGACATTTTAAACAATATTATCTTTATGTTTTTCTTTTTTTTTTTTTTGGAGATGGAATCTCGCTCTGTTGCCCAGGCTGCAGTGCAGTGGCGTGATCTTGGCTCACTGCAACCTCTACCTCCCGAGTTCAAGCGATTCTCCTGCCTCAGCCTCCCGAGTAGCTGGGACTACAGGTATGCACCACCACATCTGGCTAATTTTTGTATTTTTTAGTAGAAATGGGGTTTCACCATATTGGCCAGGCTGGTCTTGAACTCCTGACCCCAAGTGATCTGGCTGGTATTTTTTTTCTATTAAATTTTTAGTATAACTTTATGGCCGGGTGCAGTGGCTCACGCCTGTAATCCCAGCATTTTGGGAGGCCGAGGTGGGCGGATCACGAGGTCAGGAGATTAAGACCATCCTGACTAACACGGTGAAACTCCGTCTCTACTAAAAATACAAAAAATTAGCCGGGCATGGTGGCACACGTCTGTAGTCCCAGCTACTCGGGAGGCTGAGGCAGGAGAATGGTGTGAACCTGGGAGGCGTAGCTTGCAGTGAGCAGAGATCATGCCACTGCACTCCAGCCTGGGTGACAGAGCGAGACTTCGTCTCAAAAAATAAATAAATAAATAAATAAATTTTTAGTATAATGTCATTATAAAAGATAATAAAAAATAAGCTTCATTATAAAAAGCTTTATTTGCGGCCAGGCACGGTGGCTCGTGCCTGTAATCCTAGCACTTTGGGAGGCCGAGACAGGTGGATTGCCTGAGCTCAGCAGTTCGAGACCAGCCTGGACAACATGGTGAAACCCCGTCTCTATTAAAATACAAAAAATCAGCTGGGCGTGGTGGCGGGCGCCTGTAATCCCAGCTACTCAGGAGGCTGAGGCACAAGAATTGCTTGAACCTGGGAGGCGGACGTTGTAGTGAGCCAAGATCATGCCACTGCACCCCAGCCTGGACAACAATGCGAAACTCTGTCTCAAAAAAAAAAAAAAAAAAGATTTGCATACTTCAAATAGACATTTATTTTGCTTTAATCACTATTAAAATTAATCGCTCATTACTCTGGCTATACCAAACAAGACCAATTAATATCTTAAAGCATTACTCATGAGAAAGACTAAGATGAAGGACTGTTTTGACGTTCAGACCTGGTAATATCCCTTTTAGGAGTCTCAATAATTTGGGTTATTAGTTTCATTTCTCAAAATGTCACTGTGAGGAGAAATCAGAGCTGTGTACCAAAGGAAACAGTACTTCAACTCATGTGTCATTCTAAGTCTTATGTCCTTACTTGGTCCTGAACATTTCTAAAAGCTCCCTAAACATTTTAATTCAGACAACTTTAGAGGAATCTTTTTGAAAGGGAAAATATATTATCTTCTTGCATTTAGGCCTTCCACACATAAAAGATCTGTGGAAATACTGGAAGGATGAGAACCATGGGGGTCTGCCCATTAAATATGTTGGAACAGGAGCCTTCATGTGCCTTATCAGAGCAAACTTTTCTTGTCTTAGATTCTGCACTCCCTCCCAGGGTCATGGTGTCTGCAAGTCACCCAGGTTAGGCCAAACATGATTTTACTACATTACCTCTGGCAAGTGAGACAACTCAGAAATATGTGGACATCTGTTGTGTTAGGAAAGTATTGTTAATCTGGTTTGCAAAAGGTATGCTAAAAACAGTGTCAGCCCAAAGAGGCCAAAGTAATGAGGAGCAGCAGAGCTGAACATAGTATTAGGTAAATGGTGTAACTGCCTGTCCTCTATCTAAGTGCCAAGGAAGCTGGTAAAACTTAGTTTATAGGGAGTAGAGGAAGTTGCATGTTTCAAAAGAGTTGCCAAAGACACCTCAGTTGGATCCATTTCTAAAGGACACTTTACGAGGCCAGGCACGGTGGCTCACATCTGTAATCCCAGGACTTTGCGAGGCCAAGGCAGGTGGATCACTTGAGGTCAGGAGTTTGAGACCAGCCTGGATGACATGGCAAAAACCCATCTCTACTAAATATCCAAAAATTAGCTGGGTGTGGTGGCACGTGCCTGTAATCCCAGCTGCTCTAGAGGCTGACAGGAGAATCGCTTGAACCCGGGAAACAGCAGTTGCAGTAAGCCAAGATCGCGCTACTGCACTCCAGCCTGGATGACAGAGCCAGACTCCATCTCGAAAAAAAAAAAAAAAAAGAGAGAAAAAGAAATATGCTTATTTTGTAATTATAAAAAGACAAGGATAAACCATAATGTTAAAAAGGAAAATACCAAAGAGCTGCTCTTGCAGCTCTGTTTTGAACAAGCTGCTCTCTTCTATTGGTGTACAGATCCCAGGATCTCCTAACTTTATTATTATATTAGGGATTCCCTTTGTTTCTTTCCTGTGCTGGATCTCTGGTTTCCTGGATCCCAGATATTCCTTTCTTTTTATTTTTTTTGAGATAGAGTCTTGTTGTGTCGCCCAGGCTGGAGTGCAGGGGCGCAATCTCAGCTCACTGCAACTTCTGCCTCCCGAGTTTAAGTGATTCTCCTGCCTCAGCCTCCCAAGTAGCTGGGACTACAGGTACCCACCACCACGCCCAGCTAATTTTTTAAAATTACTTTTTAGTAGAGATGGAGTTTCACCATAGTGGCCAGGCTGGTCTTGAACTCCTGACCTTGTGATCTGCTCACCTCGGCCTCCCAAAGTGCTGGGATTACAGGCATGAGCTATTGCACACAGCTGCTACTCTCTTGTTCTATTAATTCTGATAACACACATCCTCATGTGGCTTCACAAGAAAGTGTGCCTGAGAAATAAAATTGAGTTTTTTGTTTTGTTTTGTTTTGTTTTGTTTTAAAGAGACAGGGTCTTGCTCTGTCACCCAGGCTGAAATGCAGTGGTACGATCATGGCTCACTGCAGCCTCAAACTCCTGGGCTCAAGCGATCCTCCCGCCTAAGCCTTCCTGGCAGCCAGGACTATAGGCACATAGCACCACACCTAGCCAATTTTTCTGTTTTGTGTAGAGACAATATCTTGCTATATTGCCAGGATGGTCAAGAACTCCTGGCCTCAAGTGATCCTCCTGCCTAGGCTTCTCAAAATGCTGGAATTATCGGTGTTAGCCACTGTGCCTGGCTCCTAAGAGCAATGATTTTTTTCTCTTTTTTTTTGAGACGGAATCTCAGTCCATCACCCAGGCTGGAGTGCAATGGCGTGATCTCGGCTCACTGCAACCTCTGCCTCCCAGGTTCAAGCGTTCTCCTGCCTCAGCCTCCTGAGTAGCTGGAACTATAGGCATGCGCCACCATGCCCAGCTAATTTTTGTATTTTTAGTAGAGACGGGGTTTCACCATGTTGGCCAGGATGGTCTCAATCACTTGACCTTGTGATCTGCCCACCTTGGGCTCCCAAAGTGCTGGGATTATAGGTGCGAGCCACCACGCCTGGCCATCCTAGCTAATTTTTTAACTTTCTGTAGAGATGAGCTCTCCCTTTGTTGCTCAGTCTTGTCCAATCCATCATGGTTTTTTTTGGGGGGGATGGAGCCTCATTCTGTCACCCAGGCTAGAGTATGCAGTGGCATGATCTCGGCTCACTGCAACTTCTGCCTCCCAGATTCAGGCAATCCTCCCACCTCAGCCTCCTGAGTAGCTAGGATTACAGGTATGCGCCACCGGGCCTGGCTAATTTTTTTTTTTTTGTATTTATAGTACAGATGGGGTTTCACCATGTTGGCCAGGCTAGTCTTGAACTCCTGACTTCAAGTGATCCACCTGCTTTGGCCTCCCAAAGTGCTGTGATTACAGGAGCTACCACGCCCAGCCTCAATCCATCATTTTAACCTATATGATCCTATGTGGTTTTCTATAGGGCCAAAACTGTCTTTCAAGCTGTGATTAAGATCTTTCCATGAATCACTCCTTGTAACAGCATATCCTAGATGATCAAGGCTACCAAGATGCATTTCTACATGTACAAACCTGTCTGCACCTTTATAAGAATTTATGTTTGACAGCTCTGAGTTCACTGTGTGTCCCAACTGATGGTGTCACTTACCAGTATGAGAACAATATTGAGGCTAAGATTATTAAAAACATTCACATGTAAGACAAGTTAAGAGATACCAGATGTTCTAGTACTAAACAGAAAAAAGAGATTCAGAATAGCCCAAATGAAATCAGAAATAATTTTCTTAAGATCACATTGATTCCAGGGAGAAAAAAGGAAACAGCCCAACTTCCTGGGTACCCACTCAGAAACAGATGACTTATACAAATTAACATTCTCAGCTTATGCGTTAAGGCACATATCATGGAATGAGCAACATATGCAGTCCTTTAGTCCTCTATTCAAAAAATACTTGTAAGTTTCAGGTCTTTACAATTCACAGACTTGACACTAACACAATCCTACCTTGATGTTATTTTTATGGTTTATCATGAATGCATCAAGGTGGTAGGACTAGGTTAACCAGAAATCAGTATCAGAAATCATATAGATGTTTCTTAGTCAATGACAACAGGAAGTAATCATTTTAACAAGCGACTCTTACCCAAGTCCACCTAGACAGAAAATCTACAGAGATATTCAATTAGCCCTTCCTGTAAGCTTCCTTTCTAAGGCTGCCGAAGGTTCAGAAGCAAGCCAACATTCCACCAGCCAAGCTGGAAAGGCCAGGAAAAGGCAATAAAGGCAGTAAATACCTGCACTGATCCCCCATGGCGGTCTGCAGCCAAGTGAGACGTTAGGTATGAGGTATTGGTCTGCCGGCTGGGCTGAATTTCCCACTCTCCTCGGCGCTCTGATGATACATTCTGCTTAGGCGTTAGAAAGCATGAGAGCAAGATATGGAAGGAAAGGTGAAGCAACAGCAAGCAATAACAAAATCAAGTACATTCGTGTCCCTGTAGGTTTTTCTTTCGGTTTTGGATTTTAAACTAACAACCACTGGAAAGCAGTGAGGAAAAGTAAGCTTGTCTACATTCATTTTAGCCTTAATGAGTCAATACATGAATCTATATCACACCCTCCTTACCCAGAACCAGAAAACCAATAACGACCAAAAGAGGAGGGAGGGGGAAAAAACACACAGTCAAAGCTGGGATCATCTTTTAGTTTCCATAGAGGTAAAATTTCAGTAGCCACTAAGCAGATCAAACTCAGAATGTTAAGATTGTTCGGAGTGGTGGCATACGCCTATAATCTCAGCACTTTGGGAGGCCAAGGTGGGCGGATCACGAGGTCTGGAGTTCGAGACCAGCCTGACCAACATGGTGAAAGCCTGTCTCTACTAAAATTACAAAAATGAGCTGGGCATGGTGGCGCACACCTGTGATCCCAGCTACTCGGGAGGCTGAAGCAGGAGAATTGCTTAAACCCAGGAGGTGGAGGTTGCAGTGAGCCAAGATCGCGCCACTGCACTCCAGCCTGCGCGACAGAGCAAGACTCCATCTCGAAAAAATAATAATAATAATAACAAAAAAAATAGCTACATCGTTTGCCTGGTTCTTCTAGCTAACAGCGTCTAGACTGAATTAGAAAAAGTTTACTTATTAATATGATACTATGAATTATTTTCTTCTGGAAAGCAAAAGGAGGGTCGACCTTCAACTAAAAACCTCTTTGGATTCTGCTTTCACCTTAGTATCATTCAGGCTCTCCTTCTTTACCTGCTTTTTACATCTGCTACTATTCTGATCTTGCTCATATGTGACTTTTGTCCAGAAGAATCTGTTTAGGTGCCTCTTCCCCTGTGCCAGATGGCTGAGTTGTTAACATCATAATGCTCAGCTGTAACAGTCCTAAGGCTCTACAAAAATGAAAAATGAGTAGTTGGAGAGGCAGCAATGAGGGATTAGTAAATCAAATTTTAATTGCTGCTGATATAAACAGCTGCAGGGGTTAGGATGTGATATTGCTGCTCTGCATGAAAACCAGAAAGGACTATAAATCTTACAAATGTTCACAGCTATAAAAGTTGTATTCTATAAAAAACGAAGGGCAAGGAAGTAATGGTTTGAGGGTCTATATTCACTCCCCATATTTCAGTATCTCATTGACAAGAGTTGCTTAAAGCTCACCCGTAAGTCACCAAAAAGGCATTTCTCGTAAAAATCAGAGCTTTGTACACCAGCTACAATTTACTTTTTTTTTTTTTTTTTTTTTGAGACGGAGTCTCGCTCTGTCGCCCAGGCTGGAGTGCAGTGGCGCATTCTCGGCTCACTGCAAGCTCCGCCTCCCAGGTTCACGCCACTCTTCTGCCTCAGCCTCCTGAGTAGTTGGGACTACAGGCGCGCAGCACCATGCCCGGCTAATTTTTTTTGTATTTTCAGTAGAGACAGGGTTTCACCGTGTTAGCCAGGATGGTCTCGATCTCCTGACCTCGTGATCCGCCTGCCTCAGCCTCCCAAAGTGCTGGGATTACAGGCGTGAGCCACCACGCCTGGCCAATTTACTCCTTTTTATTAATGGAATACGAAGTCATATGGACAAGAGTATTATAAAGGATCCTGTTCATATTTTCTCTGCTCTTCCTCAGAGAATAAACATATTCTATGAGAAGGCAGCTGTATGGACTTGCTCTATTACCTTATAAATGAGGGGTTTGATTTTATGCTGCTAGTTATGTTAGAGAGAATCAAAGCTACCCAAAATATTCCCCTACTACAATTATTTCTGCCAAAAGAGGTTCAAATGTTTCATTTTCCAAAATAAGACTGGTGTACAACATAATCATAAACTTATTTTTATTTTTTTGGTTGAGATAGAGTTTCACTCTTGTTGCCCAGGCTAAAGTGCAATGGCGCGATCTCCGCTCACCACAACCTCCGCCTCTCAGGTTCAAGCGATTCTCCTGCCTCAGCCTCCCAAGTAGCTGGGATTACAGGCATGTGCCACCATGCCTGGCTAATTTTGTATTTTTGGTAGAGACAGGGTTTCTCCAGGTTGGTCAGGCTGGTCTTGAACTCCCGACCTCAGGTGATCCACCCGCCTCGGCCTCCCAAAGTGCTGGAATTACAGGCGTGAGCCACCGTGCCGGCCATATTTTATAAACTTACTGACATTGTCTATATCCTCAGAGCACTTAGTCTCATTTATTCTGACTGCTGGAGATCTGAGAATAAACCTATTCTTGTAATATTAGAAGTAATATCTATAACTAAACCTATCAGTGATAGACTTTTTCAGTTCTCTAGAACTTTTTATTTTTTGTAATATTGAAATATAATATTTAAGCTCTTAAACTATTATACAGTACTGTCAGGTTTCTAAAAACTTAAGTGCTTAAAAAAATCCAGACAATGGTAAGCCATTTAATGTTGAGTTCTATAATACATACTAAATGCAATTACATCTCATGAATGCTCTCTGTTTTTGCATTTGTTTTTTTGTTTTGTTTTGTGTTTTTGAGATGGAGTCTTGCTCTGTCACCCAGGCTGGAGTGCAGTGGCACGATCTCGGCTCACTGCAAGCTCCGCCTCCCGAGTTCACGTCATTCTCCTGCCTCAGCCTCCCGAGTAGCTGGGACTACGGACGCGCGCCACCAGGTTGCTAATTTTTTTATATTTTTAGTAGAGACGCGGTTTCCCTGTGTTAGCTAGGATGGTCTCGATTTCCTGACCTCATGATCTGCCCGCCTCGGCCTCCCAAAGTGCTAAGATTATAGGTGTGAGCCACGGCACCCAGCCTGCATTTGTTTTTGAGGCAGATAAAATAGAAAATGGCTGGAAATGTATGTTCATGTATACTCATGGGCTTTTAAAGTTAAGAAAACCCTGGACAGCTGATCAACAATTATTTCCATTTTTACTGACTACACATAAGAACTCTGGTTTTATGCTATTGTCTGATTCACAGGGCTATGTGGTTCTTTATATTCATTCTAGTTCAATAAATAATTTGTTGAAAGATTTAAGATTTTTGTTTAAATGAAAATACCAAGACATTTTTCAAAGGCCTAAAAATCACATTCCATCTCCATTCTCAAAGCAATATGCTATTTATCTTTTAAAGATAAATAGAAAACTAATGTTAACACTCTAGATTGCTTCATAAATGCTTCCACTATGATGAAGGAAAAACACACTATACCATACTACTGCCCGCCAATGCCTTCTGTATCTGTTGAAAACATCAAAACTAAGTACAGATGTGAACCTAGGGGTTGCGGGTTTATTACTTTGGAAGCAAGTTTTCGGTAAGATGTTAAATTCTAGGGCTACTGTTTTCTGGAATTTAAGAGCTTGGACCGGTATCTAGAGGATAACATAGTAGAAAGGGCCATTTGCAGTTTTAGAAAGCAACAGAATGCCTAGGAAATAGATGAAACCAAAGAAAGCTGACAACTACAGCAGTCTGCTAGTGTAACTCTCCAAGAAAGGTATTCTAGGCAATACTGTGTACACAGGAGTTATGATTAGGCCTCATCAGCACAGTAGCTAGTTAGATTAAGCAAACTAGTGGAAGAGATCAGCATGTAAATCCTTCATTCTTAAAGATCACTCATGCATACACATCTAATTAAATGTCACTCAAGAGGTGCATGAGTAGAAAAGTCATTCAGCAAAGTCAATTTCTCTGCATTACTTGAAAAGCAGAGCTCCACATGGAGTGTGTAAGTCCCCCAAAGCAGGAGCAGGAATCTCAAGTAGTGGTAACTCCTTGGGGGAACGCTTTAAAATTTTCAGTCGTGATTGCATCACCTTCATGGAAATGATTGGTTTACTATGTAGTAGGTAAATCTTGAAACAAGAAAGTAGCAATCCAGCATAGCATAAATGAAAGGTAAAGGTAACAAAAATACTTGAGAAAACACAGAAGACTGTTGAAAAAGTGAAAACCCCCACCTATGCCCTATGGCAGGGGAAAAAAATCTCTCCCAGCATTCATTTGGCAGGGATTAATGTAAGAGTGACACTAACAAAGTGCCATAATCCCAGCACTTTGGGAGGCTGAGGGGGGCGGATCACCTAAGGTCAGGAATTCAAGACCAGCCTCGCCAACATGGTGAGACCCTGTCTCTACTAAAAATGCAAAAATTAGCCGGGAGTGGTGGCATATGCCTATAGTCCCAGCTACTTGGGAGGCTGAGAACCCAGGAGGCAGAGGTTGCAGTGAGCTGAGATTGTGCCACCACACTCCACCCTGAGTGACAGAGTGAGATCTGCCTAAAAAAAAAAAAAAAAAAAAAAAAAAAAAAAAATCACCAAATCCTATTCTTCATAAAAAACTCATTTTAAAAAATTATTTTTGATTACATATACAAACAACTTTATCTACTTCACTTTATGGCTCAAAAAATACCTTAAAAGCTGCCATTTATAAAGAAACATTTTGGCCTCTCATGTAAGTCTTCTCAGCCTCATTAACTGTCTTCAACTATAAACTAACAAGAATGAGACTGAATAGTACCAAAAGGTTAGCAAAGAGAATATACTGGATTACATTCTGGTTTTATCACACTTCCAATATTAAAATTTCTTTTTTTTCTTTTATGATATGGTGGGGGTAAGACGGAAGAAGAAAAGAATGGAACAGGAGCCAGCTGTGGTGGCTCACGCCTGTAATCCCAGCACTTTAGGAGGCCGAGGTGGGTGGATCACAAGGTCAGAAGATTGAGACCATCCTGGCCAACACGGTGAAACCCCGTCTCTACTAAAAATACAAAAAAAATTAGCCAGGCATGGTGGTGCACACCTGTAGTCCCAGCTACTCGGGAGGCTGAGGCAGGAGAATTGCTTGAACCTGGGAGGCGGAGGTTGCATGAGCCGAGATCGCGCCACTGCACTCCAGCCTGGGCAACAGAGTGAGACTCTGTCTCAAAAAAAAAAAAGTATATACTTGAACAAAACTAAAAACTTCCTTCTATTAAGCTCATGAAACATAACCAGTTTTCCCATGCCAGACAGGGGTTATGCCATGTAATCTGTCATTTGTGCAGAGATATCCTGTATTCTATAAACCTTATCAAATAGGAGGGAAGTTTAAAAATCACTGACAACAACCTGAAAAGGGGATTATTCCCAGGCTCAACACTATCCAGAGACGAGAGTATCAATTCTGTGACGCTTTTAGAAAAATCACGGAAACCACCCTAGAAGTCTGCAATTCTCTATTCAAACTCTGCCCTATCCTTACAATGGTGTAAGATACCTCCCTAGGAAATGTTGGTTTATCTAGATAGGATTACTTCAGAATCACCAAGTTTCCTCCTACAAGGAGCTGGGTTAGAACACAGGTGTCTGCTGAAATACAAAACACTTAACACATACAGAAAGAAAAAAACTTTTAATATGGAATACAGAATTAAGAGAAGAGGTGAGCCGCAGTGACTAGGTGATAGAACAGAAGACGCTAAGGAATCTATTTTCAGTTTTGCACTTGCTTGTTTCAAAGCTCCTCTCAGAGTAAAGGTCCCAGAAATGAGGAGGGGCAGACGTCTCCTGCACTGAGCTCTATGTGGAGCTGTGGCCATCCTGTGGCCAGGAGGAGTGTGCAATCTCTGTCTGTGCTCCTACTGGATGGCAGGCAGCATGTTAGGAAACTGCACGCAGGTCACAAGGAGGCAGATTATCTCTGCGCAAACTTAGCCCCTTCAACTAGCAAACCCTGAGCCTCGGTCAGAACTAAACAGTACTCTGTAAAAAGACAGAAACAAATAACTATATCAGCTTTTTTTTTTTTTAAGGTATTCATTTTATGAAGATAACTGACTACCTTGCCTATTTAGCAATGTGGCCTAATGTTTCCTTTAGAAAAATTATGCTCATAACAAGCTGTAGTCACTAAGCATAACAGCACAAAGCCACAATATATTTTTCTTTTTCTCTTCTTTTCTTTTCTTTTCTTTTTTTTTTTTTTTTTGAGACAGAGTTTTGCTCTTATTGCCCAGGCTGGAGTGCAGTGGTGCGATCTCGGCTCACTGCAAACTCTGACTCCTGGGTCAAGCGATTCTCCTACCTCAGCCTCCCAAGTAGCTGGGATTACAGGCATGAGCCACCATGCCCAGCTAATTTTGTATTTTTAGTAGAGACAGGGTTTCACCATGTTGGTCAGGCCGGTTTTGAACTCCTGGCCTCAGGTGATCCACCGCCTTAGCTTCCCAAAGTGCAGGTGTGAGCCACCGACCCCAGCCAGCCACAATATATTTTTCTAAGGCTTTATGTCCTTTAAATGTATTCCCTTACAGTCTAGATACAAACAAATCCAAAACACTCTTTTACTGGAGGCATATCTTCTTCAGACCTCACATGATTTGACTCTTAAATTCTGCGTTTATTTTTCCGTGTATTATAAGGTATTGAGTTAGTTTAAATATGGTTCTTTTGGAAGGATGAGAGATTACCTTTACTGATCTTTGATTCATATTTTCCTAGTCAAATTGGAGAATTTGCAAGGGAACAGTCCACCTAGTACAAAATTACAAAGAATAAATTCTTTCCCTTAAACATATGCTACGCATCTCTTTTCACATGGCGAATGAAAACAAAACAAAACAAAACACCTATGCTACACATACAAAAACACAAAAAAGAGTAAGTGACATTTTGGGGTAGGATACCATGTCTGTTACCATTTAAAAGCTTTTAATAGTCAATATGACTCTCTCCACTGTCAAAATGGGATCTGTTCCTCTAACCTGCTAGTTACTAAGTAGCCCTTCTTTTTCACATACCCACAACAAAACCCACCATAATAAAAGAGGTCAGCCAGAGAAAAAGGAGACGCTATCATAACTCCTGAACCATTGCGGTGTAATGTTTATGTAGCATTTACGTAAGGATTGTCACAAGCTTGGATTTAAAGTACTGAAAGGGCAGGAAGAGTGCTGCTGCATGCACATAGTAGTCAATGCAACAGTCTACATTTACTGTGTTGAACAAGCACACTGAATAAAACCTATGACAGTACAATATGTTGTACTCTAATATCAGATCTGTGGATACCGGCAGGACTTACTTCCTGATTGAATTTGATCAGATAATGCAAAGGACGTTTTGCCAGGTAGAAGCAAGCAGGCAGAACTATTAAGGTTTTCATCCCCTTTCTGCCGGATTGTAATACGCAGTTCTTTAGAGAGGAATCAGACCCATGGCAAGATTTACAACTTTTGGTACTGGGAAAGGACAAACACGAAGTATAAAATGATGGAAAGACTAACTCAACTGGGATCTTTCTGAATGGATCTAGCTTTTAGGAACGTTTATTCTATCCAAATTCATAGTTTAATTATAGTTCTCTAGTTAGGTAAAATTTATGTTCAAAAAAATTGTGCTTGGCCAGGCATGGTAGCTCACACTTGTAATCCCCGTTACTTGGGAGGCTGAGGCAGAAGGATCACTTGAGCCCAGGAGTTTGAGACCAGGAGGCCCTGTCTCTACAAAAAATAAATAAACATTAGTCAGGTGTGGTGGCTCACGCCCATAGTCCCAGCTGTTTGGGAGGCTGGGGTGGGAGGATTGCTTGAGCCCAGGAGGTCAAGGTTGCTGTGAGCTGTGATCACGCCACTACACTCTATCCTGAGAGGTGGAGTGAGATCCCATCTCTATTAAAAAAAAAGAAGTGCTTGGAATAAAGATAGTTTTAAAAGGCAGATCCAATATATGTGAGTTTAAATGCAGTCCTTTAGGAACCATATTTGGGATTTATTATTGTATATAGATAAACCAAACAGTACTCAATTCAATATACCTAAAATCTAAACAAGCAAAGCAAAATTTTCCCAGAATACAAGGAAAATAGGATTCTTGTTGTGATGGAAAAGAACTAATAAGATCACCTGAACTTTTTTTTTTTTTTGAGACGGGTTTCACTTTTGTCCCCCAGGCTGGAGTGCAATGGCACGATCTCGGCTCACCACAAACTCTGCCTCCCGGGTTCAAGTGATTCTTCTGCCTTAGCCTCCCAAGTAGCTGGGATTACAGGCGGGCACCACCATGCCGGGCTAATTTTGTATTTTTTAGTAGAGATGGGGTTTCTCCATGTTGGTCAGGCTGGTCTCGAACTCTCGACCTCAGGTGATCCGCCCGCCTCGGCCTCCCAAAGTGTTGAGATTACAGGCGGGAGCCACCATGCCCAGCAATCACCTGAACTTTCTTTGCTGCAAAAGACTGCTCTGTGTGTGTTTTTTTTTTTTAAACACCCCTCCCCTTGAGCAGACAATCCAGCCCTACTCTAGCTGCCAAACAGAGGCAAAATGGCTCTTTGTGGAAACAAAAACGAGTAGGAAGAAAAGCTTAAAATTTATTTTTCAATAAAGGTTAAATAAAAATCTATGCTATAAAAAAATATCTATTTACATCTGCACCCTTCATTTGGCAGATTCATTCATTCACTCATTCATTCAAACAAGTATGCATCAAGTGCCCACTATTCTAAACATTGGTTTGGGTGTTAGGGTTAATTAAAGCAGTGAACAAAACAACAAAAACCTCTGCTCTTACAAGGCTCCAATTTGAGAATGCTGACACCCTAAATAGGTTAAATGTCCTATGGCCAAAGTTTTGGGATAAGATAAAACCAAGGTCTGAGCTCTTCTTTCTCCTTCTACTGTAAGTATGAGACTAAACAGTTTGTTGAGCCCTAGGCTCAGATTTCCCAGAATAAGGAGACTCTTTAGGCATTATCATCAATGTCATCTCTATGCCTTGACTCCCAAATATCTCTCTAGTTGTCTCTGGAGAACCATCCTCTGCCTGCTAGACCTCTTCAGGTGGAATACATTGCTAGTATTTCAAACTCAAGATGCCTAAATTCAAATTCCAAACAAGTTCCTCCCCCAACTTTGCCATCTCTAGTAATAGTACCACATGCCTCCTAATTATCCAGGCTCAAGATCTCTGCAACAGCTTTGACTCTTCCTTCTCCCTTAATCCTGACATTCATGTGGGCTGCCAATTCTGGTAGATTATATCACTGTAGCATTGTTCAATTCTGTTTCATTTGCCCTACTATAACCCATCTAGACTCCCTCTACATCTCAAGGGAATTCACTGCCTGCTTAATGATTTCCATGTTTGCTGCCAGACTAGTACCACATTCTGTGCCAAAAGATTTCAAAAGCAGAGTTTTAATCATATCACTCCTTTGCTTAAAAATCTTTAGTCCCTATTCCTACTTAAAATAAGCACCAACTCGCCAGCCCAGCATTCCAGGAGCTTCACCAAATGGTTTCAACCTACTTTCCTAGCCTTGTCTCCTAGGACTCCTTTACTCGCATCATATATTTTAGAAAACTGAACTAGATAAAACATTTGTTGTTGATCATATATTCTTCTGCTTGGAATGCCTCTTCCATCTCATTTAATTCTGCTAAAAGCATGTCAAATGCAGCTTCTCTCATCAAATTATTTGTCTTGCTCAGACTAGATGAAATTTCTTCTTCCAAACCCAGATGATAATAATTTGCAACTTGGGATGCTTATCTGTTCTGCCTTGTGTTATAGTTATCTGTCCATTTGGCTTATCTACTTGTCAGCTCTTTGAGGACAAGGACTCCCTACTTGGTATCCACAGGATATACTTTTTTTTTTTTTTTTTTTTTTTTGAAACAAAGTCTCTGCTGCCCCGGCTGGAGTGCAGTGGCACAGTCTCATGTGCACTGGCTCACTGCACAACCTCCGCCTCCCAGGTTCAAGCAATTCTCCTGCCTCAGCCTCCCAAGTAACTGAGATTACAGGCGCCCACCACCACACCCAGCTAATTTTTGTATTTTTAGTAGAGATGGGGTTTCACCATGTTGGCCAGGCTGGTCTCGAACTCCTGGCCTCAAGTTATCCACCCGCCTCAGCCTTCCAAAGTGCTGGGATTACACGTGTGAGCCACCTTCCCTGGCCCACAGGATACAGTTTCACATAGCAGGTCCTCAGCTCAGATTTACTGAGTCAAAGTTGCTGATGAAAGGTTAGCTGTTCCTAAAGTCAATACCTGTCAATCTCGCTCAAGGAGAAACTGTATTTTTCTTTTGCTAATTTCAAAACTTGAAAGGAATTAGTCTAGAAAATCATCTTGTTTTCAATTCTTAGAGTAATAAGAGAGAGATTTGGCTGCAAATTTTCTTAAAAAAAAAAAAAGGGCATAAGAAAACAATCCTAAAGATAGAAGAAATGTAATATTAACATAGACCAAAGGTTGAACAGACACTAGAAATCCATTACCCAGAGTGCATAGTGCAGAAAGAATTTTACCCAGCAAGGATTCAGAATCCTGGTGGGAAGGCGTTATAACATTTACATCAACGTGAAGGAATTCCAATCTCTTAGCAGCCACAGGATACTAAAAACTCTAAAATTAAAAAAATAGGGCCAGGCATAGTGGCTCCCAGCATTTTGGGAGGCAGAGGTGGGCAGATTGCTTGAACCCAGGAATTTGAGAACAGCCTGAGAAACACAGTGAAACTGTCTCTACAGAAAATACGAAAAAAAAAAAAAAATTAGCTGGGCGTGGTGGCGTGTGCCTGTAGTCCCAGCTACTCAGGAGGCTAAGGTGGAAGGATCACTTTAGCCCAGGAAGTTGAGGCTGCAGTGAGCTGTGATTGTGCCACTGTGCTCCAGCCTGGGCAACAGAGTGAAATCTTTTCTCAAAAAAAAAAAAAAAAAAAAAAGAAAAAGAAAAGAAAAAGAGAAAAAAATATATATCAAAGAGAGATATTCAAGATTCAACTTTTCAAAAATAAGCATAGTAGTTAAATACAGATGAGATTTTCCTAAATAATTATATACTGTGGTCAGAGACTTTTCATTTAAAAGTACATTGAAATTCACTACTCAGTTTTTACCCTGACAACCGAAGTTTTCAATCATCTCTTTTCCTCATACTTTAAAAATCCATGCAAAACCACAGCATTGGTTATAAATTCACTGAAGCAGGAAAGTAAAGGAAACACATATTTTAAGATAGTCTAGGACGGGCGCGGTGGCTCATGCCTGTAATCCCAGCATTTTGGGAGGCCGAGGCGGGCGGATTGCCTGAGCTCAGGAGTTCGCAACCAGCCTGGGAGACAGTGAAACCCTGTCTCTACTAAAATACAAAACATTATGCAGGTGTGGTGGCGTGCGCCTGCAGTCCCAGCTACTCGGGAGGCTGAGGCAGGAGAGTTGCTCGAACCCGGGAGGTGGAGGTTGCAGTGACGCGAGATCGCGCCACTGCACACCACCCTGGGCGACAGAGCAAGACTCCATCTCAAAATAAATAAATAAATAAAATTTTAAAAAAAATTCTATCACATTCTAAGAGAATGGAGGTAAAAAAGAATTTTAAAAAATAAAAAATATTCTAAAAAATAGGCACAAGGTGCCGGGCATGGTGGTTCATGCCTGTAATTGCAGCACTTTGTGAGGCTGAGGCAGGTGGATCACCTGAGGTTAGGAGTTCCAGACTAGCCTGGCCAACATGGTGAAACCCCATCTCCACTAAACATACAAAAATTAGCCCGGTGTGGTGGCAGGCACCTGTAATCCCAGCTTCTCAGGAAGCTGAGGCAGAAGAATCGCTTGAACTCAGGAGGCGGAGGTTGCAGTGAGCCAAGATCATGCTCCAGCCTTGGTGATAAGAGCTAAACTCTGTCTCAAAAAAAAAAAGAGACACAAGGATATATGTTGACTGTGATATGACACTACTTATCTATTTTTTCTTTACATACATTTTCTACTTAAATGCATTTTTGTTTTTTGAGATGGAGTTTCTCTCTTGTTGCCCAGGCTGGAGTGCAGTGGTGCCCAGGCTGGGGTGTAATGGTACCATCTCGTCTCACTGCAACCTCCACCTCCCAGGTTCAAGTGACTCTCCTGCCTCAGCCTCCTGAGTAGCCGGGATTTGAGGCATGTGCCACCACACCCAGCTAATTTTTATATTTTTAGTAGAGACAGGGTTTCACCATGTTGGCCAGGCTGGTCTCGAACTCCTGACCTCAGGTGATCGACCCGCCTCGGCCTCCCAAAGTGCTGGGATTACAGGCGTGAGCCACTGCGCCTGGCCGCATTATAGAGTAATAAAACTTCATTTAAAATATTTTAGAATATATTACTACACTTCCAACCCTATTTCTGTTAATAATTTTGATCTCCTTCCATTGATTCTGCTTATTTCCCCATCCCGTCCAGCTCACTTTACTATAACCCAGTTTATTCAATAAAGGATGTGAAGTAGATTTATAACCATGCCTTTATAGGTGGATAGGCAGATCATTTCTATATCTCTGCTACCAATGACAATGCAACAGTTTTATGCACATAACCTATACTTTGAGTGGTTTTATTGATTGATTTCAAGAAGTAAGGTATTTCATCAGAGAAGAAAATAACTTGATCAAATTGCTTTCTAGCCAGGCACAGTGGCTCACGCCTGTAATCCCAGTACTTTGGGAGGCCGAGGCAGGTGGATGACCTGAAGTCAGGAGTTCGAGACCAGCCTGGCCAACATGGCGAAACCTCATCTCTAATAAAAATACAAAAATTAGCCAGGTATGGTGGTATGTGCCTGTAATCCCAGCTACTTGGGAGGCTGAGACAGGAGAATTGCTTGAATCTGGGAGACAGAGGTTGAGGTAATCTGAGATTGCACCACTGCACTCTAGCCTGGGTGACAGAGCAAGACACTGTCTCAAAAAAAAAAAAAAAAAAAGAAAGAAAAAGAAAAGAAAAAAGAAATTGCTTTCTAGAGAATTTGTACAATTCGTAAAATCAACAGCAATATGTCAGTTTAACTGTGCCCTCACCTGCACTAGCTATTAGCTTTTAAAAAGGGAGGGATGGGAGAGAACTGCAGAAGTCAACAGTCTTTTGTTGTCAAACCAGAAGTCAGTCAAATTATAAATCTTAAACAACGACTTTAAAGGATGTGACTATGGACCCAATTAGTGCCCAGAGTTTGCTTAACCCTTTCTTTTTTGCCCACCTATTTTCTCGTTTATATGTACTCTCTAGTAAATGGCTTTCCTCCTTTTACATACTTTTTTCTTACCCACCAAACCACATATTTTGCCAAGAGTATATACTTACTGGTGAGAAAATATATTTGTGGGTGTACTCCATTGGACATGTGTGTGTGTGTGTGTGTGTGTGTGTGTGTGTGTGTGTGTGTGTTTATATACTATTCTTAACCTATATACTTGCACATGTGCATCTATGAAATAAATGTTTTTGTATTTTCTTGTAAAAATGTTAATACAAGAAAGTGAAATCATAAGGAGAGGAAATAAGCTAATTTGATATGTGATAATTATTTTAAAAATATGTAATCTGTTTATTATGCTTTGCTTATTTACCTACTGTGGTCTCTGTTTTTCTCTTAGCAATATATTTAATATAAAGATAAAAATCCTATGTCATATTTACTTCCCAAATACATAAGCCCTTTTTAAAAATGTCAAACTTGTTGATTTTTTGGTGTGTGTTTGCCTTATCTGTCTTTAGGCTGAGAGATGTCCCTCACTGAGACCACTAGTTTTCCAAACAACGAACAATGAAGGACAGATGACATCGCCTAAGCTGAGTCTTCACTGCAGGTCCATCTCAAATCTTGACCAGCTCTATAATTTGCCCGGGTAGAAGAACAAGGGGTGGTGTGGAGGTTCCATTTCATGCCCAAGTCAGTTGGAAGTCCAAAGTACCTACCATTCTTAACCAGCAAGGAAAAACCAGAACTGGCAAGAGCTCTAGACCAGACTACAGATGAGACCCAAAGTGGGCTACCTGGTACATCCTGTCTGTGCGACAGGTCTTTTTTTTTTTAAACTGCTCCTTGGCGAGTAGGGCTACTCCACAGGCACTGTGCCCAGAGTAGCCTCCAACAGGTCTTTTGGTCCTATGGTAGATGCCTCTGATCCTAACTTATAGCTAGTTCCCCCCAACAGCCAACAGACTCTGACAGGCCCACACACTTTTTTTTTTTTTTTTTTAAGACAGGGTCTCACTCTATCACTCAGGCTGGAGTGCAAATGCGGAAGCAATCTTGGCTCTCTGCTGCCTTGACTTCCCGGGCTCAGGTGATTCTCCCACCTCAGCCTCCAAAGTAGCTGGGACTATAGGCACGTGCCACCATGCCCAACTAATTTTTTGTATTTTATGTAGAGACAGGGTTTCACCATCTTGCCCAGGCTGGTCTTGAACTCCTGGCTCAAGTGATCTACCTGCCTTGGCCTCCCAAAGTGCTTGGATTACAGGCATGAGCCACTGCACTTGGCCAGGCTGACTCTTTAGACTGGATGCTTCATATAGGGCACCTGGCCACATCTCAGTGCAACTATACATGCCCTGAGGGTTGCTTGAAAGTCATACCACACCTGTAAGAAATGGCAAGCATTTGATCTTTATTTTCAGTACATACACTAAAGCGGAGAAGCTGAAGAATTTGGGTTTTAATATTAGCCAAGAAGAAGGGTAGTGTCTGAAAGAATGGAGGATCAACACATACCTGATTTCGAAGAGGCTGCTGTTGTGATGGCCGATCCCTATGTGTGTGGCTTTCTCGAGTTATTGCAGATGCACCAGAATCTACGTGAACTGACCCTACTGGAGTAGGCTAGAAAAATGAAACAAAAAGTCAAATGGGGGAAACAGGTCCAACTTGATGCATATGCAAAGGACAGAATGATTCTAATTCTAATAGAGTAGTAGTAATTATTTTCAGCTACCAAGAGCACTTTCAAGTTGTCTTGTCTTCTCAGTTTGCTCATCTGCAAAAGGGAGGCAGCCTGGTCCTTAATAGTTCATTGGAGAGTAGCTTACCTTCGAAAACAAAAAACCAGGGCCGGGCGCGGTGGCTCGTGCCTGTAATCTCAGCACTTTGGGAGGCCGAGGTGAGTGGATCACCTGAGGTCAGGAGTTCGAGACCAGACTGAGCAACATGGAGAAATCCCATCTCTACTAAAAATACAAAATTAGTCAGGTGTGGCAGCGCGTGCCTGTGATCCCAGCTACTCGGGATGCTGAGGCAGGAGAATCGCTTGAACCTGGGAGGCGGAGGTTGCGGTGAGCTGAGTTCACACCATTGCACTCCAGCCTGGGCAACAAGAGTGAAACTCCGTAAAAAAAAAAAAAAAAAAAAAAAAAATTTCCTCCACTGATATCTGTTTGGCCCTGTGAACCCCTGACCAGAACAACAAATTCAAAAGCTTCCTATGATGCTGGGTTCCACTGCTACAAAGGTCAAGTACATTAACAGCGTATGTGGCATCAACTTCTGAATCATGGGGCCAGGTGTGGTGGCTCACGCCTGTAATCCCAGCACTTTCGGAGGCCAAGGAGGGCAGATCACCTCAGGTCAGGAGTTTGAGATCAGCCTGGCCAACATGGCAAAACCCCGTCTCTGCTAAAAATATAAAAATTAGCCGGGCGTGGTGGTGTGTGCCTACAATCCTAGCTACTTGGGAGGCTGAGGCAGGAGAATCGCTTGAACTCAGGAGGCGGAGGTTGCAGTGAGCCGAGATTGGCGCCATTGCACTCCAGCCTGGGAAAACAAACAAACAAACAAACAAACTTCTGAATCATTCAAATGAAACTTCTCCTAAAAACTGGGCTTAAATTCTGTTATCTTAGGACACACAAGTTATTATCTTCCTATATTACTAGGAAAAAATACTTCCTACTTCTGAACTAGTAAGAGCAACCTATGGCAACACCCAGACAAGGCTAGTAAATATACAGTCTACGATCAAAGGAATATTTTTACCAAAGATTCAAGCAGAAAGACTGGCAAGTAAAGGCATGAGGCAGTGCTGGTTGGAGAAAGGAGGTAATGAGGTTAAAAAAAAAAAAAAAAAAGGATACTTACAATAGGTCTCCCAACCCAATCATAGGCATAGTCAAAGGTGTAGCCTTTCTTTTCAAAGAGGTCTGTGAAGAGGGTCCGTAAATACTCATAATCAGGTTTTTCAAAGAAGTCCAGTCGCCTGACATATCGAAGGTAGGTTGCCATCTCCTCTGTTAGGAAAGAGATGAAAGGCCCTGCTCATTAGCTGAATGCTTTCCATAGCAGTTGTGGGGAAGCATTGGGCCACAAAGGGGTTATTTATACAGACAATTTGACACTGATGTTTTCTTTACTGACAAAATAAAAGTGATAAAACCTACTTTGGTCTGTATCACAAAAGGAAATGTTAATTACCTAAACAGCACCCCTATCTAGAGATACCCAGTCATGGACTCTACCTAGTTTCAAAGCTCAGTCACACTGGAATGTCTTTTTAGCATCCCACCTGGAAAGTTCTCACAGAGAGCTTCAATGGGAGTATTCCTTTTGGTGTCACCAATTTTTTGATATCTCTCTTTTAATGTGTCAGCCTGTAGAGAGTAAAGAGAGAAAGTTACTTTAAAAGAGGGCCTAAACATGGGAGATTCAATATGTTTTTGGACACAATGGTTGTTTCACTCAAATTCGCAGTATTTGTTGGTCTTGATTTTTTTTCTAACACTAACAAATAAGAAATGTAGTAGAAATTATATATTTAGATATATACAAACATCTGCTGTGTTCTGGAAAATTTTACTTGTGAAAATATTTAGTTGTCTCAGATAAACACCATCAAATATAATGGATGAGTGGCTAGGATAAGAAAATAACAATATTATGTGGCCAATATTTTCAAAATTGCAGAAGCTTAGTAATATCCCATGGCCACCATAATTCAATATGATTCAGCATTCTCTCTTAGATCAGCTCTAAAAGTACTGCTAATCCAGGTGGGGGAAACAGATAAGTAATTCTACTACACATATATTGAGACTTTGAACAGAAAAAAAACAATAACTGAAAAATGTCTTTCAACAATGTGCTTCCAGAGGGAAAAAAGTTGTCTATGGTACAGCCATGGCTAACAGGTTTGGTGTATGTCAGTAACTCAAAAGCAGCCCAAGTCTGGTATGCTCAGAGCTATAGCCAGAGGGCTTCTGAACCCTGGATCAACAGTGGGCTCCTAGGGAATTCTTGTCAGGCTTTACCTAGCTTGCTGCACTCAGACTTAAGCAATAGTGTTCTGAAGTAAATAGGAGAAATTTTAGATCTACAACTACCACTAAAATGATTTATGGACAACGAGAGAGTTTCAAGCAATTAATAATACACTAATGCATTGTGTGGCTGTATGATGACCAAGTTTGACATGAAACTCTATTTGAAAGCTATAAAAATCAATGAGAAGATGTATATGACAGGAGAGGAATTTAAGAGTGAAGAAATAAAATCTCAAAGGGAATGGGTGGAAGTCTTACGTTTTAGGACAATAGTCTAGAAAGCCTACAGCAAAATGAACCATCCTGCCTTTCTGGAAGAGGGGGTGTAGGAGTACCCCAAACTACTGATTAAGTTTCTTTCCATATTAATATGTTGAAATAAATTACAACCAAAAAATATGTCTTGGGCCAGGCGCGATGGCTCATGCCTGTAATCCTAGCACTCTGGGAGACCTAGATGGGTGATCACTTGAGGTCAGGAGCTCGAGACCAGCCTGACCAACATGGTGAAACCCCGTCTCTACTAAAAATACAAAAAATTGGCTGGGTGCAGTGGCTCACGCCTGTAATCCCAGCACTTTGGGAGGCCGAGGCAGGCGGATCACAAGGTCAGGAGTTTGAGACCAGTCTGGCCAATATGGTGAAACCCCGTCTCTACTAAAAATACAAAAATTAGCCGGGTGTGGTGGCGTGTGCCTGTAGTCCCAGCTACTCAGGAGGCTGAGGCAGGAGAATTGCTTGAACCCAGGAGGCGGAGGTTGCAGTGAGCCGAGATTGCACCACTGCACTCCAGCCTGGGCAACAAAGCGAGAGTCCGTCTCAAAACAAAAACCAAAAAATTAGCTGGGCGTGGTGGCATGCACCTGTAATCCCAGCTATTCAAGAGGCTGAGGTAGGAGAACCGCTGGAACCTGGGAGGTGGAGGTTGCAGCGAGCCCAGCCTGGGAAACAGAGTGAAACTCTGTCTCAAAAAAAAAAAAAAAAAAAAAAAAAAAAAAAGTCTCACAAGATACTAATGGGACTTACAATGGGTTAGAAGCTCACCATTTCCTAGCCAAACAGCCAAAGGCACAGAGTAATGATAATGCTCATAATTATAATAGTAAACTGACATGTAACCACTGTACTGACACCTACCTAAGGAAGGCTATTTAAACTCTACACATTTTGCAATGAATAGATATTGTCTGAATAGGCATTTATTCAATAATACACTTGAAAAGCAATCTTAAACCTGGATTTTCATTTTAGTTCAGGTGAGTTCTTAGCCTACATAGGATAAACAAATATTTTCCAAGTTTTCCTGAGGAGTACACCCTGCTGGCCTTTCTGGTAAAATGTGTAGCAGCTGTTGTCAACAATTTGTTCCAGAAATTCCCTTACATACTGGGAACACTCCTCCTGCTACATAATGGTAGTGGAGGAGGAATACCAACACAGAGAGAAAAGCAGCACTGTCAAGCCTGGGAGGAAATGAGGGAAAAGATCATGGAAAATCCAAGAACAAGGAAAAATTAAGAAACGGAAGACAAATGTGAACAAAACAGTTTCCAAAGCCCAGGAGAGCATTTATAATGTAGACTAATGTAATTAGTCCCTGCTTCTTATCTCCAGAGCCAATTAGCCAATAATCCTTTTTGTGTGTTGTTTTAAAAAAATATTTATTTGTTTATGTTTAAATAGAGATGGGGTCTCACTATGTTGCTGATCTCAAACTCCTGGACTCAAGCAATCCTCCCACCTCAGCCTCCCAAAGTGCTGGGATTACAGGCATGAGCCACCGCATCTGGCCAGCCCCCTACACATTTCTTAAAAACATGAAGCCAGAGGCTCCTTCATTAACAACTGAGCATTGAAACAAAGCCCTCCACTGAACACTTTCAAGGATACCTTGAGTCCTTGCCAGGGGAGGCTGCCTCGAAGGAAATACATGAACATATGGCCTAGGGCTTCCAAATCATCTCTCCGGCTTTGCTCTAAAAGGGAAGACAGATCACACATTATGTTTGCAGTTATTAAAGCAGAAAGAGGTTCAAAACCAAGTAATCCCTTCAGAAACCCTTCGGCTCTGGAAAGGCTCTGCTTACTAATTACTTGTATATTTAAACCAAGGATAGTATTTTAGATCAAAACCCTAAACCGATGTGTACTTCCTTTGCCTAGATCTGTTGATGGTAAGTAAATATCAAGAGAAAAGAGCAAATTCTGAATTAAAACCAAGCCCAAATCACTAAACAGTGAATTTCCACCCCTCACTCAATGCTGTCACCTTCCTGAAAGTGATAAAATTTTAATGAAATGCTATTTCCAGTATATGGGCTACAATTACCTTTTAGTTACCACCAGAGAGTGAGCAGCAGATTAAGCAACCCAAACTGTTAAAACAGTCCATTCTGGCTAGGCCTGCAAAGATACAAGCTGCAAAATGCCTAGCAAACATGCCAAGTGCTTTTTATTCATCATAAAAATTAACACTTAAAATTAAGTTTCATATCAATGAACATCAGTACATACTCTCTTGGCTCCCATTCAATTTGTACCATGTCCTATAACCTCAAAAACATTTTAGAATTTATTACTAAGGTCTCCTCAAAATTAGATGGGTAAGGCTACACACATCTGTAGTGCCAGCTACTTAAGAGGCTGACGTGAGAGGATCGCTTCGGCCCAGGAGTTCGAGATAAGCCTGGGCAACATAATGAGACCTCATCCCAAAACAAAATAAAACAAAAAATCAAAGTCCCTGCATTCTGGAAGCGTATCTAAAACAAGTTGCTGGGTTTTTCTCTCCTTTTAATTGGGAAGGTGAAGATGACAAAGAACTGCAAAATAGTTAACAAAAAACTGCAACTTCATCTCAGAAAACATCCTACACATTCTTTGATTGTTAGAATCTAAGTAGTACACACCTTCGTTTCTTTATTCTTTTTTACAGACAGAGTCCTTGCTCTGTTTCCTAGGCTTGAGTGCAGTGTTGTGATCATGGCTCACTGCAGCCTCAAATTCCTGAGCCCAAGGGACCCTTCTGCCTCAGCTGAGTAGCTAGGAATATAAGTGTGTGGAACCACACTCGGCTAATTTATTTATTTTTATTTTTTGTGAAGATGGGATGTCGCTATGTTGCTCAAGCTGGTCTCAAACTCCTGGCCTCAAGCAAATCTAACATATCAGCCTCCCAAACTGCTGGGATTACCCATGTGAGCCATTGCACCCAGTCCATGCATTCATTTTGAATTTGCCAATTATGGTTTAGTCTCAGATTTCTTTTTTCTTTTTTTTTTTTTTTTGAGACAAGGTCTCGCTCTGTTGCCTAGGCTAGAGTACAGTAGCATGTTCTTGGACACTGCAGCCTCGCCCTCCTGGGCTCAAGTGATCCTCCCACCTCAGCTTCCTCACTAGCTGGGACTACAGGCATGCACCACCATCCCTGGCTACTTTTTGTATTTTTTATAGTTACTGGGTTTTGCCATGTTTCCCAGGCTGGTCTTGAACTCCTGGGCCAATCAAGCAATCAACCAGCCTTGGCCTCCCAAAGTGCTGGCACTACAGGTGTGAGCCACCACACCTGGCCCATCTCAGACATTTTATGTGTTTATTTTTCAGAATCAAGTTTAGGGCTTTATCTGAATAAACTACAGAAGCAAGACTAAGAGGCTACCTTCAACTTGATTGTGCTTTCTTTGTACAGAAAGTAAAACCCAAGAGAGCCAGAGAAAGCCACTCAGCTAACTCAAAATACAGAAGTGCAACATGTTTAACTATTGCCTTAAATTATAGGGAATTTGCATGAAAAAGAATAGTAGTCTACAGGGTAGATGAAGAAAGAAAAGGCAACTTTTTAAATAATGATTTGATGGAGGTTGTAAAAAGATGGTTACTAATGGGAAGGAGAGGTACCCTGACAGAGATAAATAACATAAAACTGAGTTGGTATACAACAATTGAAACAATCTTAAAAAGAATGAAAACAGCATGACCATCAGAATCCTTTGTCTACATGGCTTGTCTGAAGTTTGCAATAAAATATTCATAATTGAAAAAAAAAGCAGTTATACAAAAACAGTTTGTTGACACAACCTAAGGATGCACAAATGAAAAAGAGAAAAGAACAAGGAGAGTTGAGTGGAGGCCTCCCACAAAGCAGGGCAGATAGAGAAACGACTCTGCAGTTTCTCATACTGTATCACACCTACTCATTGCCTCTCCATTTTTATATCCACTTCCTGTAACAAGAAGCCCCTTGGTTATTAAAAATTCACTGGACAAATGTTTGAATTTTAAACAGTTGAGCACTAGAGGGCGAAAACTCTCCACATTTTCAATATTGATCAGGCCTACAGAAAAAAGATTTCACAGCAAAATAAATTATGAGATTAATATATTTTTAAAACTCACTGGAATAAGTAATAAAGTAACTTTTCAAATCCTGAGAACTATGAAAAAGAACTATAGAATATGGGACAATAGGAAAAATAAGGGTTCCTAAATCAGGAAGGGTACCTAAATAAGGTACCCAAAATAAGGGTACCTAAATCAGCTCAACGATTTAGGTATCTAGATCTTGGTTTATCCTTTCCACTAATTTAATCCAGTGAAATTAAGCATGGTCAAGTCACCTACTTTGGGTCTCAGTTTCCTCATCTGAAAATAAAGTGTTCAATCTGGGGAGAATTTGAAAAGTCATTTTCCAGCTCTAAAATTCTAAAATAATCTGATAACTTAAGCCTTTAGGGCCTTTCAGGAAAAAAATAAGAGTGAAAACCAGAGCATGCTTTATTTTCATACGACTTTGAACACTCCACACTTGTCCAATTCATTATTTCTACATGCCCTCATTTTTTCATGCAGCATATTTTCATTTTCAAAGAAGAAAGGTTTCCAATACCAGTGAGACCAGCAGGACACAAAATTCTTCAATTCTTCTGATTGGTTGAAAGGTGTGCTTTCATCCAATCAGAAAGATGTGCTTGGTTTACATGCATAACATCCCTGATTTTAGGTTAAATATATTTGTTGAAGGCAGGGAGCAAGGTAACCCAGTGTTCTCACCCTAATTTCAACCATTAAATAATATAAATTGGGCTTCTCAGTAAAAGCTTAATCAGTGGGAAGGTGGCTACTATGGTCTGGATTTCTGTCCTTCCCCCGGACCCCCCAACACACACAAACCTCACGTTGAAATTTGATCCCAATGTTCGAAGCTGGGCCAAATGGAAGGTGTTTGGGTCATGGGGGTATATCCCTCATTAACTGATTAACGACCTCCCTTAGGGATGAGTTCCCAAGAAAGCAGGTTGGTGAGAAGAGCCTAGCACCCCCCTTCCCATGTGATCTGCACATGCTGGCTGCTCCCCTTCCCCTTACACCATGAGTGGAAGCAGCATGAGGCCCCTGAGGCCCTCACCAGATGCAGATGCCAGTGCCATGCTTCTTGTACAGCCTGCAGAACCCTGAGCCAAATTTAAAGGTCTTTTCTTTATAAAATGACCCAGCCTCAGGTATTCCTTTATAGCAACACAAAATGGACTAAGTAAGTGTGGCTACTCTGATGTGGCAACTAATGCAAGGTTTAGGAGGCTTCTTCTCTTGTCCTCCTCCTCTGTAAAATTAAGAAGTGATTTTCTCAAAGCCATTTGAAAATACACATCTCAGTCATTTCTTCTTTGCAACACAAAAAAATGCAACACATTTAAAAACCAATAGCATTAGAGTTCCTACAAAAACTTCTATCGTTTGAGGCATGGGAAAGAGTTTAAAAAGCAGTGACAACTTTCTTTATGTATTCTCTGTAATGCAGAGAGCACAAAATATGATGACAGGTTAGATTTGACCTGAAAAACTCTGGTACTCAGTAAGCCAAGTCTGGGGGTAAACTCAAAAGTCCCGGCAGGAATGGCAGTACACCAAGAGATGAAACAGACTGATGCACAGTAGATGCTTAAAACAGATTTTGTTGAATAAATAATAATCGGGATAATTACAATATGGACTGATATTACTATTATCAGGCATTATGCTAAACATTTTACATACATTATCTCATAGAACCATATATTACAGGCATAATTATCATACCCATTTTATACATGAGATAACCGAGGCTGAGGGAAGAAGGTTATTGGATCAAAATTACATAGCTATTAAGAAAGAGCGCCAGGATTTGCATCCTTTTTCTTAACCACTACTCTGTATCTTATACAAACATAACATGAACACCCATCCCTTGTCTGTTCTTGTCTTTCCTCTTAAGAACAATAAAATTAGTACACAAATGGCTGAGCCCAGGAAGTGGGCATTAAAACAACTTCTAGAGTTTGTCAGTTAAACCACATAATCTTAAGTTTATTATTTAAGATACAGTTTTTGTTTCCTTGTAAAATGGAAAATTACTTGTCATTGTGAAGGAAGAAGGGGATGCTGAGCACTATGCAAGAGACCTATGTCAGACATGGTGCTTTCACATATATTATCCATTCAACCCTCAAAATATCCCTGTGAAGCATTACCCTCATTTTACAGAGGAGTTTCAGTGAGATTAAGTAACTTGTCCAAAGTAACGCTGATAGTAAGTACCAGAGGACCTCTAGTCTAATTTTAAAGTATTACATTTACTTAAGTGAGGATTTCCATGTGGTTACTGAAAAAATCTTGATAACATCATAATTTCAAATCGAATTGTATCATACTACTTTGTAATGCCATTTTTTACTCTTCACTATCACTTGAATTCCTCAGGTGAATAACCTGTGTAGTTTACTCAATGAGGGAACTTAGTAGATATTACATTAGTCTTTAAAATACTTATTAATGTGCAGGCCAGGCATGGTGGCTCACATCTATAATCCCAGTGTGTTGGGAGGCTGAGGCAACAGGATCTCTTGAAACCAGGAGTTTGAGACCCGCCTGGGGAACACAGTGAGACTCTATCTCTATAAAAAAATTTAGAAGTTAGCTGGGCATGATGGCATGCGCCTGTAACCCTAGCTACTGAGGCTGAGAAAGATCTCTCCAGCTCAGGTGACTGAGGTTATAGTGAGCTATGATCACACTGCTGCACTCCAGCCTGAGTGAGAGTGAGATTCTGTCTCTAAAAATAAAATAAATATGCTGGGCACGGTGGCTCACACCTGTAATCCCAGCACTTTGGGAGGCCGAGGCAGGCAGATCACTTAAGGCCAGGAGTTCAAGACCAGCCTGGCCAACATGGTGAAATCCCGTCTCTATTAAAAGGACAAAAATTAGCCAGGTGTGGTGATGCATGCCTGTAATCCCAGCTACTCGGGAGGCTGAGGCAGGAGAATTGCTTGAACCCGCGAGGCAGAGGTTGCAGTGAGCCGAAATCGTGCCACTGCACTCCAGCCTGGGTGATAGAGCGAGACTACATCTCAAAAAAATAAATAAAATAAAATACATCTTAGTGTGCAATAGTTCACTAATATTTAAGAATATTTTATAATTATTTCTGCCTAGGAGTATGGAATCTGAGAATATTCTGCTTGTCTACTCTCTAGAATGTTGATTTTCAAACATGTTTTTTTCAATCACCTAGGAGTCTTTTCTTCAAATAGAATCTTCCATGGAAGCCCAATATATGAAACATAAAAAAGGGAGGCTTTTTTGAAGTGGATAAGCCTAGGGCTCTGCCTGCTTGGTCTCCCCACTGTTCCTTAGGCTTCTCTGACAAATACTCTCCCCCTTGGGCTAGTTCCTCACAGGTAAGGTCTTCTGCCTTGATTAGAGCATTTAACAATATTTGTGCAGGTTGTTTATCCTGAGTAAATTGCAAGACTAATGGTAAACCAAGTATATTTTCACTGAATAAGACAGAAGCTCTTCCTTGAAGACTTCTGTGCAGAACTATGTGCAGTGAACAGAAGTCTACTCCATTTTTAGTGAGGCACTCTTCCCCACCGCTGACCCAGCCTGATGTCCTCTTCAGGACTATCATATATAGGGTCATACATAAGTAAATACCAAATTCATTACTAAACTCATTAAAATGCTATCCTCTTTTTACAATAATTCAAGTACTCACACTGCTCAGAAACTAAACATTTGGAAACAGTGTAAAGAATTAAGAACCTATGCATAGTCTATAGGATTCTTTGAAAAGTCATTAACTTACCATCTCAACTTCTCATGTATAAAAATCACTCAACCTTGTGAAACAATAAAAACCACAAGTTGTAATGCACAATGGGGATATAATGTTACAGAAATAATAAACTGTTCTAATGACTCGCCCCTTTCATGGAACAGAAAAAAACACACCTTTGCCAAGATGCGTGTTGATAGACATATATCTTGCAGTTCCAGTTAAACTTTTGTGTTCCCTATAAGGTATGTGTTTTTTGGTTTCGGGGTCAATGTATTCCTTGGCCAGTCCAAAGTCTATAATGTGTATAACATGCTCTTTCTTATTGCCTTGTCGACCAATCAGGAAGTTCTCTGGCTTGACATCTCGGTAAATGAGGTTCTTTGAGTGCACGTATTCCATTCGAGAAAGCTGAAAGAGAAACAAATGATAGAAAGACTGTAAAGAAGTATATCAGGAAAATACATCAAAACAGTTTCTTTAGCCAGACCAAGGTTTTAATTATTGAAATAACAGTAAAATTCATCTCCTTTCACCGCCCTGAGTCACTTCACTGACTTGTAAACAAAAAAATATTTTGCTATAAATACGTACACAACAAATATCAAGACTAGGAAAAAAAGTGGGATAGTACAGGTCTGCTAAAATGATAGCTCAATTTTACCTCATAATGTCACAATTTGCAAATGACAAATGAAATCAGTTGTTTATATGCTACGTCAGAAAATTAAGCATTTGAGACAAAAGAAGTATTCCCAGGTAGGATATCAAACTGTTGGTGACCTTTGAGACAAATGCCACTGCTACATTCACCTTCTGCCCACATCTTCTTATGCTTATTTGGACAAGACTACCCAACCCAGTTTTCGATGTTGTGAGGCCCAGAGAAGTTAATACTGGCCTGACATCACATAGCTAATTAGCAGCAGAGACAGGGAAACAGTTCATTATTATTATTATTATTTTTGAGACGGAGTCTTGCTCTGTCACCCAGGGTGGAGTGCAGCCTCAGCCTCCTGGGTTCTAGCAATTCTCGTGCCTCAGCCTCCCGGGTAGCTGGGATTACATGCACATGCCACCATGCCTGGCTAATTTTTGTATTTTTAGTAGAGACAGGGTTTCACCATGTTGGCCACACTGGTCTCAAACTCCTGACCTTGGGTGATCCGTCCTCCTCGGCCTCCCAAAATGCTAGGATTACAGGCATGAGCCACCATGCCTGGCCGAAACAGTTCATCGTTGTTGTTTTAAATTTATTTTCAGATTATTTTTGTAGAGATGGGGTCTATGTTGCCTACGCTGGTCTCAAACTCCTGGCCTCAAGTGACCCTCCCACCTCAGCCTCACAAAGTGCTGGGATTATAGACACGAGCCACCATGCCTGGCCAGGGCTATAGTTTTTATGTTAAGTTAAATATAACCAAAAATAATAATCATAAAAGCATTTCAAATTTTATTAAGTATTTCTATCTACTAAGCTTTTCTACTAACTTTTTTTTTTTTTTTTTTTTTTTTTTGAGATGGAGTCTTGCTCTGTCGCCCAGGCTGGAGTGCAGTGGCACGATCTCGGCTCACTGCAAGCTCCACCTCCTGGGTTCACGCCATTCTCCTGCCTCAGCCTCCTGAGTAGCTGGGACTAAAGGCGCTCGCCACCACGCCCAGCTAATTTTTTGTATTTTTAGTAGAGATGGGGTTTCACTGCGTTAGCCAGGATGGTCTCGATCTCCTGACCTCATGATCCGCCCACCTTGGCCTCCCAAAGTGCTGGGATTACAGGCGTGAGCCACCATTCCCAGCCCTTTTCTACTAACTTTTAGTAGAGAAAGAGAAGCTCAGATATTTGAATTTGGGGCTCAAAAGTCAAAGTCAATTATCTAACATTTCCAAATTTTTATAGGACAGTGGGAGAGACCATTACCATTTTAAACAAATGAAGATATATTTGCATCCTTCCCCAAAGGGCTTGTGACAAACTTCTCAAAGGAACTGTTGGAACTGCTTCTTAAACTGGTATTTGTGTATAATTTGGTAGGAGCTACAAGAGCTGCCTCTTCAGCTGAAATTTGTCTCTGAGAGAACTGGAGGCCTGAGAACTACAGCAAATTCCTAGTCACACAATTTTGAATCTGAGTGTTAGTGCAATGGGTTATAACATCAATCTTTTCTTGGTTGCAACAGTGAAGGGAGAGATAGGACATGACAAAACCTTACAGCTATATTTAAAACACATAAATAGGCTGGGTGCAGTGGTTCATGCCTGTAATCCTAGCACATTGGGAGGCCGAGGTGGGAGGACTGCTTGAGACCAGTTTAGACAAGCCTGGGCAACATAGTGGGAGTCTGTCTCCAAAACACTTTTTTTTTTTTAAATGAGCTGGCATGGCACCTGCAGTCCTAGCTGCTGGAGAGGCTGAGGCAGGAGAATCACTTGAGCCTAGGAGTTTGAGGTTGCACTGAGCTATGATCATGCTACTGTACTCTAGCCTGGGTGACAGAGACCCTGTCTCAAAAATGAAAAACAAAACAAAACAAAATCAAATAAATTATTCACATTTTTACAACTCCATCTAATCGACCTCTTTCTCCCTAATCTAAATTATATACTTCCTCTTCAGTTAAGGGCAGAGCATTGCTCCAAGGTGCAAAGTCTTAAAATAGAGCAAATTGCAGATGTAGTGTGACTTCTCTGAATTTACCCTTTTTGCCCCAGCCAGCTTCCCAGAATGCCATCAAGCCTGTGAGTACTAATTCTTGATGTGTTGCTACGGCTAGTAAATCACCAAAAGGCCCACAAGGATGTGGCTGAGGAACCAGCTTATTCTCTTCTAGAAGAGCAATTCCAACTTACCAGCTGGATGGCTATCATTAACACCGTCTTCAAAGTAAATGTTCGGTCACAGAGGTCAAACAAGTCCTCCAAGCTAGGGCCAAGGAGCTCCAGCACCATGGCATTATATTTCCCACATGGTCCAAAGTAATACACCTGTGGGAGACCTTCACCTGAAAGCAGAGGGGAAATGGGGGTATACAGTGGGAGACACAAAAGCCAAAATATGAGATAACAGTATTAGCACTGAATAAAATATTTTTAAAAGTACAATTTGTGAGATTTCCATTTTCTTTCATAGTCCCTACTGGAAACTCAAACTGAGCACAACAGCTTCAATGGGAACTAATAATGATGGGAAAGGCTAAGTCATTGCACAATACGTTCAAATGAGTAGTTATTTAATACCACAGTGCCAAAAACATTTCCACTGCTATAAGATAGAGAATGGTCCCTGATCCATTGGATCTTCCCAAAAGGATGCCTGAAAGTGCAGTATCATAAAAGGCTCAAAGGATGGCTCACTGAGCTCAAAGGCCAGGCTAACATAACTTGTTACATTATCTGGTTCATGAGCACTCTCTATGCTTACTGCCATAGCCACATGGGCTATTTGGAACTGTTGCCCTATGGACAACTCAGACTGAAGAGGCAAGGTCACAGAGCGTGCAGCCTGGCCCCAGGCCAGCACAACTGGCCCTCTTTTCACAGGGAGTCTCTATAGTTTTTTGTTTTTTATCAGCTGGAGAAAAGTCAACAGACACTTAGTGTTTGGTTGCTGATAAGTGCTGATGAAAGGAAAAGGGGGAAAAAACACAAGGCTGGGTTTTCCCCAGATTTGAAATTCATAACTATTAAGAAGCCAAAATCCAGACTTTCTCACCTAAGTGGCAAATTGTGAATGAATTTCCTTTATAAAGTGCATTGTAAATATGAGGCATTCACTAAATATATAACTGGTACCATGAGAATAGTAGATATTAAATAGGATTACAGACGCCAGGCGCAGTGGCTCATGCCTGTAAGTCCAGCACTTTGGGAGGCTGAGGTGAGTGGATCACAAGGTCAAGAGTTTGAGACCAGCCTGGCCAACATGGTGAAACTGTCTCTACTGAAAATACAAAAATTAGCTGGGCATGGTGGCACGCACCTATAGTCCCAGCTACTCAGGAGGCTGAGACAGGAGAATCGTTTGAACTCAGGAGGCGGAGGTTGCAGTGAGCTGAGATGGCGCCACTGCACTCCAGCCTGGGTGACAGAGCGAGACTCCATCTCAAAAAAAAAAAAAAAAGATTATAGAACACTTAAAAAATTATCTGGTTTCACAGAGCAGAAACATTCCCATCTTATATATTTATGTATATAGTGGTCTACAGTTGCATATGTTGTAGATTATTGTTTGCTTCTGCCTCTAAGTGTTTTAACTTGAGACAAGGTCTCAGTGTTACCCAGGCTGGAGTGCAGTGGTAAGATCTCGGCTCGCAATCTCTGCCTCCCGGACTAACGCGATCTTCCCAGCTCAGCCTCCCAAGTAGCAGCTGGGACTGTAGGCTCGCTCTACCACACCAGACTAAATTTTTGATTTTTTATAGAGATGGGGTCTCACTATGTTACTCAGGCTGGTCCTGAACAACTCCCAAGCTCAAGCAATCCTCCCTCCTTGGCCTCCCAAAGTGCTGGGAATACAGGCATGAGCTACTGTGTCCAGCCCCATTCCCTTTTTATTTCTATGGGTGGGATATAGACAGATGTACATCTAACACATACTTCTCTCGAGGGTAGGTCTCACATATTTGGAATTAATAACTATTTCATATATTGTATTAGTCTATCTTGATTCATTAAATCCTAAACAACTTTTTTTTTTTTTTAGACAGAGTCTCATTCTGTCACCCAGGCTGGAGTATAGTGGCGCAATCTTGGCCCACTGTAACCTCCGCCTCCTGGGTTCAAGCAATTCTTGCGCCTCAGCCTCCCAAGTAGCTGAGATTACAGGCATGGTGTCCACCAATTTTTTTTTGCATTTTTTGGAGAGACAGGGTTTTGCCATGTTGGCCAGGCTGCTCTCGAACTCCCGACTTCAAGTGATCCATCCACCTCAGCCTCCCAAAATGCTGGGATTACAGGCGAGAGCTACCATGCCCGGCCTAAATCCTAAACAACTTGAACATTTTCTTTAAATATGTTTATTCCTAGCTTGTATCCTCTAACATATGTTACTCCTGCTAGTTCAATAAATATCTGTTCAATTGTTTTTGTTGTTGTCTTGATTCTCCCTATCTCCAAAAGAGAAAAGGATTTAATTTGAAGTGTTTTTTTTTTTTTTTTTTTTTACATGGAGTTTCACTCTGTAGCCCAGGCTGGAGTGCACTGGCGCCATCTCGACTCACTGCAACCTCCGCCTCCCGAGTTCAAGCCATTCTCCTGCCTCAGCCTCCTGAGTAGCTGGGATTACAGGTGCACACCACCACGCCCAGCTAATTTTTGTATTTTTAGTAGAGACAGCGTTCCCCCATGTTGGCCAGGCTGGCCTCAAACTCCTGACCTCAGGTGATCCGCCCGCCTCAGCCTCCCGAAGTGCTGGGATTACAGGCGTGAGCCACCACACCAGGCCCCAAAGAGTCTTTTTTTCCCGGTTGTTTTGAAGAAGTCATTTTTCAGCTTTTTAAAAATATATAAAACCCAACTAGTTGTTTCCAATGACTCCTGCTGAGACATCCAAAGCAGAACACTCTGTCCTAGAGATTTACTGCTTTTATTAATCAGACACATGGTAAATGCAGTTTGGGGATCTTTTAAATTTATGTCCTATATAAGGATTTAATGCCACTAAAATGTTATTTTCCTAATATAAATATTATATTCTTCAAAGCAGGTTGTGGCAGCGCCTGTTGTTTGCATGCCCAATATCCATTCTCCCTCTCCTTTTTTCTTTTGAGACAGTGTCTCACTGTGTCACCCAGGCTGGAGGGCAGTGGTATGACCATGGCTCACTGCAGCCTCGACCTCCTGGGACCAAGCAATCCTCCTGCCTCAGCCTCCCAAACAGCTGGGAGCACAGGCACATGACACCACATCGGGCTAGTTTCTTAAATTTTTTCCAGAGATGAGCTCCCACTATGTTGTCCAGGCTGGTCTTGAATTTCTGGGCTCAACTGATCCTCCTGCTTTGACCTCCCAAGTGCTAAGATTACAGGGATGCCTCTCCCCTTCTTTTTTTCTTTTTCTTTTCTTTTCTTTTTTTTTTTTTTTGAGACAGAGTCTCGCTCTGTTGCCAGGCTGGAGTGCAGTGGCACGATCTCAGCTCAATGCAACCTCCACCTCCTGAGTTCAAGTGATTCTCGTGCCTCGGCCTCCCAAGTAGCTGGGATTACAGGCACGTACCACCACACCTAGCTAATTTTTAAATTTTTAGTAGAGATGGGATTTCGCCATGTTGGCCAGGATAGTCTCGATCTCCTGACCTCGTGATCTGCCTGCCTTGGCCTCTCAAAGTGCTGGCATTACAGGTGTGAGCCACCACGCCCAGCCTCCCCTTCTTTTAAAATAACATAACTTTTTTTTTTTTTTTTGAGACAGAGTCTTGCTCTGTTGCTCAGGCCGGAATGCAGTGGCGTGGTCTCAGCTCACTGCAACCTCCGCCTCTTGGGTTCAAGCCATTGTCCTGCCTCAGCCTCCTGAGTAGCTGAGATTACAGGCACCTGCCACCATGCCTGGATAATTTTTGTATTTTTAGTAAAGACGAAGCTTCATCTTGCTGGTCAGGCTGGTCTTGAACTCCTGACCTCAAGTGATCCACCCAACTCAGCCTCCCAAAGTGCTGGTATTATAGGCATGAGCCACCATGCCTGGCCCAGAACTTCTAATTGTTGCAAATAGCAACTTGCCCAGTTATAACTCCAGTCTCCCTTGACAATTAGGAAAGACCAATGAGATGGAAGCAGAAATGAGTGTATAACTCTTTTTTTTTTTTTTATTCAGAGTCTTGCTCTGCTGCCCAGGCTGGAGTGCAGTTGCATGATCTTAGATCAGTGCAACCTCCGCCTCCTGGGTTCAAGCTTTTCTCTTGCCTCAGCCTCCTGAGTAGCTGGGACTACAGACTCAGCTAATTTTGTTTTTAGTTTTACTCTTGCCTCAGCCTCCTGAGTAGCTGGGACTACAGACTATGGCTAATTTTTTTTTTGTTTGTTTTTGGTAGAGATGAGATTTCACCATGTTGGCCAGGCTGGTCTCAAACTCCTGGCCTCAAGTGATCTGCCTGCCTTGGCCTCCCAAAGTGCTGGGATTACAGGCATGAGCCTCCGTGCCTGGCCACTGAGTGTATAATTCTAAAAAAATTCTTTCAAGAGAGATGGCTAGAATGAAAGGTCCAGAAGCCATCTAGAATCACCAGACATCTTGACGATGTAAAGTAGTGCCAAGAATAGATGGAGCAAAAAACAGAACCTAAGTCCCTGATGGCTGTGGAGTAACCATGCTAATGTTGGACTTTTCTTCTCTCTGGATTTTTTTTATCAAAAAGAAAAATCAATCTCCACCTTGACTGAGCTACTTGTATTTGGATTTTTAAAAAGCAGCCAACTCTAATCCTAATTAATAAACATATTACTCCATTCGTTGGTTAAATTGCAAATCTGGGCATAATATCCTCTTTCTAAAGTACAAGCTAAAAGTCAGGCTTGCTTAGAAATATAATATTGGCATAATTTCCTACACTTGTTGCCAATACTTAAGGTTCAGTTTAAATGAGACAACTGATCTTGTTCTTAATAATCCTTAGTATCAAATCTAGATTATCTTTTGCCAGAAGTTTCCATGTTTACAATGAAGTCACAAAAGGATTTTGAGTAATATCTACAATTTCTAACTATAATGTCACCCATTACTCCTACCTAGGAACTTGGAAGAATTAAGAGTTCCTGCTCGCTGCATTATTGGTTTTATTAAGTACCCTGAGACCTCACAACACACTGGCAGGCTTTGGGATGCTCAAAGCAACTTCTAGACCACTGAGTGGTTTTGAAGCATTTCTAGGAGAGGGTCAAGGTCCGAGATACCAGTGTAGAAAAAGCTCAAGTCAGAGTCTTAGATCTAGTATTTGCTTCTGCTTTCAACTCTGGCACATTCCTTAGCCTCTCTGGGTTAGCTTATTCATCTGTAAAGAGGAGGGGGTTTACACAATGAGATACCATCTCACGCCAGTCAGAATGGTGATTATTAAAAAGTCAGGAAACAACAGATGCTGGAGAGGCTATGGAGAAATAGGAACACTTTTACACTGTTGGTAGGAATGTAAATTAGTTCAACCATTGTGGAAGACAGTATGGTGATTCCTTAAGGATATAGAACCAGAAATACCACTTGACCCAGCAATCCCATTACTGAGTATATACCCAAAGGAATATAAATCATTCTACTATAAAGACACATGCACATGTATGTTTACTGCAGCACTATTTACAATAGCAAAGACATGGAACCAACCCAAATGCCCATCAATGATAGACTGGATAAAGAAAATATGGTACATACACACCATGGAATACTATGCAGCCATAAAAAGGAACAAGATCATGTCCTTTGCAGGGACATGAATGAAGCTGGAAGCCATCATCCTCAGCAAACTAACACAGGAACAGAAAACCAAACACCACATGTTCTCACTCATAAGTGGGAGTTGAACATTGAGAACACATGGACACAGAGAGGGGAACAACACACACCAGGGCCTGTTGGTGGATGGGGGGTCGGGGGAGGGAACTTAGAAGACGGGTCAATAGGTGTAGCACACCACCATGGCACACATGTACCTACGTAACAAACCTGCACATTCTGCACATGTATCCCGTTTTTTTTCTCCTTAGAAGAAATAAAGAAATAACAACAACAACACCACCAAAAAAAAAAAAAAAAAAAAAAGAGGAGGGGGTTTAGACTGGTTCCTTTCAAAATCCAAATTCTTATGGCCAGGATTTCCTTCTAGCTACCTTCTGGGTTCCTCTTTGTAAAGCCACAGAACTATGAATGAAACTCACCTCCATATTTTATGAAATAACGTGTGGCACCAATTCAAATATAAGCTGGTAGTGAAACTCAACTGGAAGTGTATCTATCAGAAATATCTTTAAAACTTAAAAAAAAAAAAAAACCCAAAATGAGATGCAGTGACTTCACCTCCTACCTACTGAGTCAGAATTTCTAGGAGTGGAAGCAAACATTGCTCCACAAGTGATTCTGATGTGTAACCTCAGCTGAAAAACACTATATCTAGAGAGTAGAAATAAAGGGTTTTGCTTTGTTTTATGATTAATATAAGGATTCAGAATACAGTGACAGGTCTCTTTCAGAAGTTATTTCAGATCAAAACAACTGGACTCAATACCTTTTGAAGGAAAGAATTTTAAGGCAAGTTAAAAAGATTTCTCTGTTTAAAGTTTCTTAGTTATTTTCTTACAGAAAATATACCTTTGAGCATAAAAGTTTCTTTGGGAGATGTAGCTGTAATTTATTAGAACTATCTGTACAGAAAGCTCCCCATGCAAGTTCTACTCTGAGCCTGGTTTTTCGCAGGAGTGCCCATAAAGTGGTCTGTGCTGGTGGTAAAAGACACAAACACAAGCACACTAAGAAAGTCTGTCTCTTTGGTCAGAGATTACCACACAGTAACGGCTTATCAGCTGGGCTGCATTTAAATGAAAAAAAAAATCCTGTATATTTCATTCTTCTTTTGCAGAGCCATCTCTAATCCACTGCTTAAGAAATTTTAAATTAATCAACATTATGCTATGAAATCCTTTAATGAGGCTGGGGAGAAGGGCAGATCCTTAAGTGCAACATAAGGTACACATGCGGTAAACAGGTACTTTCTATAAATAATTATGAGGGAATGGAAAGGAAGTGGGAGACTCAGGCAAGGAAGATATGTGCTGGATTCTTTGATCAATGGTATATTGGAAACTAAGGTATTAATAGTTTTATAATCTCTCATCTGCTCTGGAAATAATGTGCTAATGAGGTCTCCCCTTCCTAAATTGGTAAACTGCATAGAAACCTGGAAACTAAAGAAGTGACTACTGAATTTTACTTTTCTGAAGGATTTCCAATAGATTTCATTATATTTCCTTTAACTACAGGTTAAATCTCTTATAAACCAAACTGCAAGGTTACATATACAGTACATATGTTATCTTGTATATTTTTCTTAGTACTATGAAAGAGCCTTTCCATCATCAATAACATGATGTTATAAACCCTGCCAGACATATGGCTCACACGTACATCAAGCTGCACAGAATAGGCAATGAATGTAGAACACTAGAGCTAATTTTCAGTCTGTATGAAGTTTAACTTGAGTCAAATACACCAATTCAAGGAAAATGGCTTCTTTTATCATCCAAGCTGTTATCTAAAAACAATCTACAACACATTATGAACCCTAACTACTCTAAGTAGAGATATTTTAAAATGCACATCAGGTTGAGAACTGAAATAGAACCACCTCAAAGGTTTTGGTAATTTGATCCTATTATTGCCTAATAATTAGTCTTTCATTCTTTTTTAAAAACTAAATTACCTAACTATGAAGGACAACAACCTTGGCAAGCCCATTCTTTTGCTTTGTTTATATAGTTTATTTTTTAATGTTTAAAGAAAATAGAATAATTTTTCTCCCAAATTAAATTAATTCTCTTCTCAGCCCCATCAATAGTAATAGTTTCTAGCACAACTACTAAATGCTCTGTAATGTTTCTGAGGGATCAGGCAATTATTATTATAATACATGGGCAATTATCATTAAAGAAAATAATATTAAACATGTACCCTTAGCAAGAAATCAGAAATAGGCAGATAAATGAGATGTTATTCCATTGTAAGTAACGAAAGGGAAAAATGGAAGCATAGCCTTTAAAACTCTGAGAATAAACCCATGAAACAATGCATTATTACAAAGATATGAGATAATACGTAGTATATCTTTTTTAAAAAAGAACAAACAATCCCTCTCATGTCTCTGACTCTGAAAAATGTCTCTTTGCAACATGAACCAGTTAAACATATGAATTTACTCAAAATGCTGGTTTAATAACAAAAACAGCTAGGCCCAGAATTAAGAAAACAGGATTACTTTGTCTGTCCTGTAATGAAAAATGTTTTACAATCATCTTGTTTAAAGGCCTCCTGGGAACTGGAATACTGCCAAACATAGGCTGCTAACACGAGCTCAAATTTGTATGGTGGGGGAAGAGGCAGTGAGGAAAGGCAAAAGAAGAGGAATAATTTCACATTTCCGAGCCACAGACATTGAGCTTTAACAGTGTCTCTATTACATACACATAATTATGAATGCCTTGAGCCTTAAAGCAGGCTTAACATTTTATTTACCCAAAAGGAGTCAGAAAAGAAAGCCCAAGACAGGACAGAGGACAGATTTCTTCTATAGTAGATAGAATCCAAAATACACTTTTCTTTTTTTTTTTTTTTTTTTGGAGACAGAGTCTTGCTCTGTTGCCCAGGCTGGAGTACAGTGGTGCAATTTTGGGTCACTGCAACCTCTACCTCCTGGGTTCAAGCGATTATCTTGCCTCAGCCACCCGAGTGGCTGGGATTACAGGCATGCACCACCATGCCTGGCTAATTTTTGCATTTTTAGTAGAGCTGGGGTTTCACCATGTTAGCCAGGCTGGTCTCAAACTCCTGGCCTCAAGTGGTCCACCTGCCTCTGAGGCAGGAGAATAGGGTCTGGAAACAGTAAACCTAAGGCCAACCTATGGCTGCCTTCTTGGAATTGGACTAAGAGGAAAACCCCACCTGTCCACAACCAAGTCATAACAGGCCAAAGGCCCATCCCTCTCCGAACCTCCCCTCCCCTATGTCAGGAATGGGAATGTCTGGTTTTGGTCCATTCTGGGACCTTCATCTGCATATATGCCATAGGTGAGATGCCTCTGATTGGTCCTGGGCAGAATCTTGATTCTGACTGGTCCTGGACAGAATCCTGCCTCTGATTGGCCTAGGGCAGAATCCTTCATTTACATAGGGCATAACCTATCAGAAGCCCCTAAAGGTACTTAGATGTGTTACCATGATCTTTTGTTGTTGTTGTTGAACAGAGTTTCACTCGTGTCGCCCAGGCTGGAGTGCAATGGCGTGATCTCGGCTCACTGCAACCTCTGCCTCCCAAGTTCAACTGATTCTCCTGCCTCAGCCTCCCAAGTAACTGGGATTACGGGTGCCTGTCACCACATCCAGCTGATTTTTATATTTTTAGTAGAGTCGGGGTTTCGCTATGTTGGCCAGGCTGATCTTGAACTCCTGACCTCAGGTGATCCACCTGCCTCGGCCTCCCGAAGTGCTGGGATTACAGGCGTGAGACACTGCTCCCGGCTTACCATATTCTTTTAATTCAATAAAAACCCCAAGGAACATTACAATCAGGGCTCTTGAGCCACCCGCTCAAGCCCGCTCCCACTCTGTGGAGTGTACTTTCACTTCAACAAATCTATGCCTTCGTCTTCCATTGCTTTGTGCGTTTTGTTCAATTCTTTGCTCAAGGCACCAAGAACTTGGACAACTCACAGTCAAGACTTTCCATCTGGTAACACCTTGGCCACCCAAAGTGCTGGGCACGTAAGCCACTGTGCCTGGCCCAAAATAAAAACAGGTAAAAGTGTGTTGTGTATTGGAGGTGGGTAGGGGCAGAGGAGTAAAGTCCTTTCCCTTTCCAAAAAGACTAACTCGGCTGGGTGTGGTGGCTCACGCCTGTAATCCCAGCACTTTGGGAGGCCAAGGTGTATGGATCACGAGGTCAGGAGATCAAGACCATCTTGGTCAACATGGAGAAACCCCGTCTCTACTAAAATACAAAAAATTAGCTGGGCGTGGTGGTGCACGCCTGTAGTCCCAGACTAGGGAGGCTGAGGCAGGGGAATCGCTTGAACCCAAGAGGTGGAGGCTGCAGTGAGCCAAGATCGCAACACTGTACTCCAGCCCAGTGACAGAGCAAGATTCCGTCTCAAAACAAACAAACAAACAAACAAACAAACCAAAAAAAAAAAAGGAGACTAACTCAGCTCAGCTCAGTTACTAACAGACTAACTTTACTCAGATGGTAAATTCATGAGATTAAAAAATCCAGTATTTGACATTTTTCCACCTTCCTTAGTACTGTAGTTCCTGTGATTTAAGATAAAAAGATGGATTATCTACTGAATTTCAAAATCTGCCTCAAAACCTAAGAAAATACACCTGATTCTTCTTAAAATCCACCTGAACAATTAACAACTAAAAAGTCAAGAAGGTTCTAGCAAGCAGCTAGAAGGAATGAAAAGGAAAAAATGAGGTTACCCAAAGTACAGTGATCCCCTTCCTGACAATCGTGCCCCAGTCCCATTACACTTTCTTTATCCATGTGTCTGTCTTCCCTACTAACAGAAGGCTATTTGAAGACAGCAACTACTGTGTGTTAATTTTTTGTATGTCAGCACCTAGCACTGGTCCAAGCATATGGTAGATATGGTTAAAATAAGTACTAAGTAAATTAATAACTACAACTCAGTGCGATGGCACTTGAGTTTTCCATTTGGAATGCCTAATGCTTTCCTCAAAATGCTGAAATACACACAATACATACAGAGCAAAGCAAATTCAGTGGATTTAAAATGTGCACGAATACTAACACAATTGATTTTTCTGAGTTCTTGCTTACATTTCATGGGAATACTTTTAAAAGACAGTTCTGCTGGGCAAGCCACAAGTATGAATACTCCAAGTAAATTCAGAGTTGCAATATTTCTACATTGACTTCTGTGTATTTTAAATCTTCCATGATGATTGTAAATGATATCTACAGTTTATCTTGCTGTTCCCATATGTAGGTAAACAACTATGCAGAATTACTTATTTCAGTTAACAGCACTGAAAACTACACACAAACAAATGTCTTCTCCTCTCTCAAAACAGCACCTGCCCATCCAAACAGATTAAATGACCAAAAAAATGAGACATCTAAATCATCTAATATGAAAGGAAGTCCAGTAACTTCTTCCTACCCTTATCTTCTCCCTCTCAATTTATAAACAAATTCTTTATTTTGGTCCCATTTAACTTGGAAATACACGGTCTTTTCTTCACCTAAGTAGTCTTTTCCTACCACACTTGAATCTCATGGTCATCCTGTAAGGAAAAACAGGGGAAGTACTAAAGACCCCATTTTACAGATGAAATAAAAACCCTGAGAAATATTGTGTGAAATCTCCTAGGTTCCCAAATAATACAACCAAATCTCTCAATTCCAGATTCACTGTTCTCTTCTCTACACTAAGCTGCCTACATTCTCTTACTCTCAATGTTCTTTTTCATCTGTGTTGTTGCCAAAATTATTCTCCATGCTCCCCAACCCAACTCTTCCAAACCCTATGTCCTGCCCTTTTGGTTAACATTTTCTTTTTCCACCAATTCTTTATCACCTTTCCAGTACATAAATCCCCCACTATGCTCCACAGGCAGCTTGATTTGTCCTACTCACCCTTTTGGCTTCCCTTATTTTTAATTTTTAAGAAATTTTCTTGCCCTCTCCCCCATTATTTTAAAATCAGCTCCACAAACACTATCTTTTCACCTTTCCTGTCCACCTCTCTGTGGTTCTCAAGCCTTGTCAATTCCAGTCCCTGGTCTTGAACAGGAACCACCTGGGGCATTACTTTTTTAAATTATAAAAGTGATAAACAGACAGATATAGCATGGATATCTATATTACCCATTTTTAGACAACCAAACATAACAGCAAACCAAAAGCAGTAAAAAGCATATAAAGAAAAGGTATTCACACCCGGGCACGGTGGCTCACGCCTGTAATCCCAGCACTGTGAGAGGCCGAGGCAGGTGGATCACGAGGTCAGGAGCTCCAGACCATCCTGGTGAAACCCCGTCTCACTAAAATACAAAGAATTAGCTGGGCGTGGTGGCGCACGCCTGTATTCCCAGCTACTGGGGAGGCTGAGGCAGGGGAATCACTTGAACCCCAGAGGCGGAGGTTGCAGTGAGCCAAGATCATGCCACTGTACTCCAGCCTGGCAACACAGCAAGACTCCGTCTCAAAAAAAGAAAAGAAAAAGAAAAAGTATTCACAACCACAAAGGCACATGATTAAGAACAGTGTACTGCAACTTCATTTTTAATTTAATACTATAGCATGGGCCAGACATGGTGGCTCACGCCCATAATCCGAACAGTCTGGGAGGCCAAGGCAGGTGGATTGCTTGTGCTCAGAAGTTCAACACCAGCCTGGGCAACATGGTGAAACCCCTGTCTCTACCACAACTACAAAAAATTAGCCAGGTGTGGTGGTGTGTGTTTGTGGTCCCAGCTACTTGGGAGGCTGAGACAAGAGGATCACTTGAGCTTCAGAGGCAGCAGTTGGCAGTAAGCTGAGATCATACCGCTGTACACCAGCCTGGGCGACAGAGTGAGACTCTGTCTCAAAAAAAAAAAAAAAAAAAAGAAAAAGAAAAATACTACAGAGTGGATATTTTTTCTTATCAACATATAGACCTACCTTATTCATTTTAATAGCTACATATTAATAGTAGTATAATAGTATTCCACCATGTAACATATCTGTTTAACTTTCCCCCTACTGATGGGCATTCATGCTGTTTCCATGTGTTAATTAGAAATATATATTATAGTGAACACCTATTGCTTTTGCCTGGTCTGCATCCTTTTGTTCCTTCTGATAACACCACCTTATTCTTACAGTGGAAAGTACCATTTCCCCAGTGTTACTTCATGTGGTTAAAGTGGGGGCAACCCATCTCCCACTGACATCCCGAGGATGCCACAAGCCCAATTACTCAGAATACTCTATCTGCCTGCCTGGGAAAACTGGCTCAGGAATGGGTGCCATGTCTCTCATGTAACAAGAGTCAACTCTAGGACTTTTGTGGAACTATAGAGAAGGAGGAGTATTCTCTCTCTTTCTCTCTCTCTTTCTCTCTCTCTCTCTCTCTCTCTCCCTGATCGCTAAACTGAAAGCAGCTCAGCCTGGAGTTGCCAGGGACCACCACATGGAGAAAGCCTATTTGAGAATGAAGCTAATGCAGAGAAAGAAGAGGTGAGAAAAAAAGAGAGGCAAATGTATCACATACCTATGGACCAAGGACATTATTAGTCCTGTATCTGGATGGCTTGAAGTGAGAATGCTTTTGACTTCTCAGTTCTGTGAGCCAAGAAATTCTCCTCTCCCTCTCTCAAGTGAGCTTGAACTGGGATTCTACTCTTGGCAAATAAAAGCATCTAGACAAATAGGCATGCAATACTACAAAAAAAAATCCTTAAGCCTATATTTTTGGGCATGTTTGTAAATTTTTTTTTTTTTTTTTTTTTTTTTTTTTTTTTTTTTAAGACAGAATCTCACTCTGTCGCCCAGGCTGGAGGGCAGTGGCGCGACCTCGGCTCACTGTAACTTCCACCTCCCGGGTTCAAGGGATTCTCCTGTCTCAGCCTCTGGAGTAGCTGGGATTACAAGCATGCGCCACCGTGCCCGGCTAATTTTTATATTTTTAGTAGAGACAGGGTTTTACCATGTTGGCCAGGCAGATCACCTGACGCGCTGGGCCTCCCAAAGTGCTTGGATTATAGGCGTGAGCCACCATGCCCTGCCCGGTAAACATATCTTGAATGTTAATTCCTTAAACAGGAAATGCTGAGTCAAATGCTTGCATAGTTAATATTTTAGTATATAGTGCCAAATTGCCAGTTTTGGTTTTTTTTTTTTAAGTCAGGGTCTCACTCTATCACCCAGGCTATAGTGCAGTGGCACAAACCATGGCTCACTGCAGCCTTGACTTCCCAGGCTCAAGCAATATTCCCACCTCAGCCTCCCGAGTGGCTGGGACTTACAGACGTGTGACACCACGCCTGGCTAATTTTTAATTTTTTGTTGAGACAGGGTCCCACTAGGTTGCCCAGGTTGGTCCTGAAGTCCTGGGCTCGAGCAGTTCTCCCACCTCATCCTTCCCAAACTGCCAGAGTTCTAAATCTTCTTTGGTCCCTATTCTGACTCTAGGCTTGGGCCTATTTTCAACATTTAGCACGACAGTCCCCATTACTTGAGTACTCAGGTCTGTGAGGGTATTTAAAAATAAAATGGCAGCCGGGTGCAGTGGCTCACGCCTGTAATCCCACCACTTTGGGAGGCCAAGGTGGGTGGATCACTAGGTCAGAAGATTGAGACCATCCTGGCTAACACGGTGAAACCCCGTCTCTACTAAAAAATACAAAAAAATTAGCCAGGCGTGGTGGTGGGTGACTGTAGTCCCAACTACTCAGGAGGCTGAGGCAGGAGAATGGCATGAACCCAGGAGGCAGAGGTTGCAGTGAGCCGAGATTGTGCCACTGCACTCCAGCCTGGGTGACAGAGCGAGAATCCGTCTCAAAAAAATAAATAAATAAATAATAAAATAAAATAAAATTGCAGGTTATATTCCTTTTAGAACATTAATTAAGCCTGGGCATGGTGGCTCACACCTGTAATCTCAGCACTTTGGGAGGCTGAGGCAGGAGGATTGCTTGAGGCCAAAAGTTCGAGACTAGCCTGGGCAACATAGGGAGACCCCATGTTTACAAAAAATAAAAAAATTAGTTGAGCGTGTGATGTATGCCTGTGGTCCCAGCTACTCAGGAAGCTGGGGTAGGAGAATCTCTTGAGCCCAGGAGGTTGAGGCTGCAGTGAGCTGTGATGACACCACTGCACTTCAGCCTAGGTGACAGAGCAAAACCTCATCTCCAAATATATATATATTATATATATATTTATATTTTATATTTATATAAACATATATATATTTGGAGATGAGGTCTTGCTCATATATGTATATGTATATATATATTAGGATATATATATATATACACACACACATATACATATATATATTAGGTGCTGTGCCTATCTTGTTCACTACTGTATCCCTAAGACTTAGCTTAGAATAGTACTTAACCCAAGTGGGATGCTCAAGAATATCTCTTTAATAAATGCATGAACAGAGACATAGCAGCCTCTGGGACTTGGTTTATTTTTTGTACTTGGAAAGCTTTCCTTACTCTTCCATTTTTATATGTTCAAATAAATCATAGTCGTTTTTTAAAGCTCAGCCCCATACATGCCACTCTCTCTATAAAACCTTTTCTCTTTCTCAAAATTAGAAACCATTTTTTCTTTCAGAACTTCCTCATTTTATATGCATTTTAAAAATATATATAACATTCTACTGTTTTAGCTTGTGTTACAGTTACTTACCATTATTGTCCTACCATTAACCTCACTGTCCTAACATGAACATACTGTAAGCTCAGTAAATATTACATTTTCCTTCCAATGACACTCTAGTGTACTGAAGGGCAGAGATCATCTTATTTATAATTCTTTGGCCCTCAAATTACCCAGCATAGTGGTAGCTATAAACACAGTGATGTGTAGTGTTTTGTTAGTGAAAACTTCATCTCCTTGCATTATCACTAATGTAGAAGAGATTACCTACAGGCTGGCTTTAAGGCAATATGAAGTATAAAGAAAAGAAAATGCAGAAAAATGTTAAAAGTGTGTTAGACTGCTGAAAGCACAAGAATGCAGAATCGTGCAGATCTGACAAACTCTTCTTTTAATGGATGGAATATAAATTACTTTTGTAGAAAGAAAATGACAATATAATTGTCACAAATGTTAAAAATTGATCTTTTTATTGGTTTTTGTTCCAAGCACACTTACAAATAACTTATATTCTCAAATAGAAAAGGGCTTAGCTAGCAGCTAGATTACTATTATGATAGTAGGCACAAGGAGTTATCTATCTTTAAATAGTTTGTTACTGGAACTTAAGGAAATGTTTTCTTACCAATGACACTGACAGATACTGGAAAGGAACTAGTTAAGTTTTAATATAATACAGTAGATACATAATTCTGCCTTCTCATAATCATAGGAATAATTCTCTTCAATGACTCACCTTCTTCATTCCATAGTACTCCACAGCTTTGGGAATGCTAAATGTTACCTCCCTTCTAAATGATTAACCTTGACATACTATGAGCTAGGAAGAAGAGTGACTAAGGGCTGTGGTCAGTCCTTTGAGGGTCACTGAGCTTACTTCTAGTCCTTATTTTAGACTGAGACTTCCCTTGTCTTTGACCTCCTTAAACAAGCATTCTCTAACGGCAGCCACTAAAAGCTCTACTCAATGCCAGAGAAATGGCTGTGAGAATACGGATGGAAGAGAAACATACAGGTATACAGTAAGAGAAATACGAGTAAAGACCAAAAAAAGGTCAAAATATGACATAGAATTAAAGGGAGAAAATAGCACCAGAACCTTCAGGGTCTGTGTCTATTTCCAAGCAAGCTCCCACTGACAGGTTTTGGTGATCCACCTTTTTGAAACCTCTGCCTGCATAAGCACTATATTGATTTCCTATAACTAATCACAACTCTTCAGTCCAGTTCACTTATATGTAAGTTACATGGGTGTATTTCTAGAACCTTACCTTCTATTTTTCATGAAGCCCTTTAAAAGAAAACAAAATCTAAGTAGCAAATTCTACCTTCACACTGAGCAAATAACCTCAAGCAGTTCTGCACTTTGCAAAATGATGCGCTGAAAAGGTGTCAGTACTTTGTGTTACTGTGGGATGTATGAAGGCCAAACAATTTTTATAATAAACTCACAACAGTCTATTTGCAATTAAGGAAATTACTGGTCCAAAATGTGTAAAATAGAAATGTTTTTCTTTTGCAGGAGGGAAAAGGACAGATTCTCTCTCTCTCTCTTTCTCTCTTTTTTTTACATTTTCCTTTCCCCAGTGCAAAATTCTCTAAAATTTTATAAATGTAATTAAAGGCAATTACTCTATGTGGCTCAGGTGATTTAGAGCTATTTGAGAATTTAAAGAGGCAGGGAAGGACCACAGGAGGTCTGGCCCTAAAAGATAAGCAAGTCTCTTACAGCATTATATATGAATATCTCTTGCTTATATTTCATCACGCAGTAGGGTACACTGTTAGCCACAGTATCAGAAATGTCCTAAAACTTTACGGAAATTACAAAGGACACACAACTGGAAAATTCGTCCTGGTCCAGAAGTCGGGCCTCAGAAATATCAGGATTTTGTTTTTGTTTTTTGCAAACTAGTATAGCTAAAGGCTGAGGTCCTGATATTTCACCCTTGGAAGAAGAGATGGAAATTCATAGTATCACTATTTAAGCTCCATTTAAGACTAGAAATTATTAGTACTGAGTATGTGAATTATACCTTTCCAAGTCCAATAAATGAAACAACTCTTCCTATTTTTTTCTTCACAAAATTAAGCATTTGCCACACACTGGACTTAAGCTACAACATCAATGGAAACATTTAAATATCCTTTTAAAATGTTTCCTGACAATGCAGGTAGATTTGAAATCTCTCTCTCCCTCCCGCTTCCTCTCTCAAATGAAAAGATGACCACACCACACTTTTCCTCATCTGACATTTGTTCCATAAGATAGAGCTGGTTTTCATATACTGATCAGGTTCTTGCTACTAACTCACCAAATCAGGCACACTTTTATATTTAAGTTCTGCTCCCTAAGAGGAACAACTGTGACATTAGTGCTGCTCAGATATTTTCAAACACCCCCCTCACCCTTTACCCAGTGAACGGGATTGCAACTTTTTGTTTTTAACATGAGGCTGTTAAAATAAATATAAAATATTATAAAAAATAAAATATAAAATAAAATTAGGTTGCTGTTGCCCTAATATTTACTTATTTCAAATAGGCCACTCACACAGGAGCAGGTCCTGAGAGCATAAAAGTTAGGCAGATGTTGCTTTAAACCTCAACTCATCATTCCAGACCCCCTCAAAGTATGAGATGAGCTACCTCACTTAACAGAGGCTCAAAGCAGGTTTTTCTCCAAAATGATTATTTTCCCACAAGAGGTGGTGAGTACAATACATTGTGAAAGGTGTAGTTCTGTTTCTGGGGGTACTCACTGCCCTATGCCAGGACCACACACTAGCTCTCAGTTTCTACTCCCTACTTTAACAATCTCAAGATGTTAAAATGTCTCAAGGCAAAATGGCTTGCTATTTAGCAAGTGTTACTAGAAGAGAAAGAAAAGCATGGTCTGTAAGCTCTCCATTTCCTTGTTATATTGTCATTTTTTTTCTCCCAGCTCTTAAACCTCATTCTTAGAGAATCTGCTCTCTCTTGAGTGGTGGGCCCATGTGGTTCTGTACCCACAAGTAAGCTACCTGGACCAGGATTGAAAAGCTGACCCAAGATGGGTCAGCCAATCTTCTTCTTAGGAATGTGCAGTTGTGACATAAGGGCTCTACTCAATCTCTGCTAGGGCTTAAATTGAGGAGAAGGGCTATGCAGGAGGCCTTTTCCCACAAAATACAAGAAGCAGAGAAGGCTGGTAATGTAGACAAAATGATACTGGTAGACGCAAGCTGAGGCAAGAGATTTTACAGCCCTAAGCAGGAGGAGGGTCAAAAAAAGTGTCAGAGACAAGAAGAGTTGAAAAGAAAGCCAGGGACCAAGAGTAGTTGTCTTGGTTCCTAGGAATTATCCAAGTGTTTTGTTCTAATCCCTAGATAGGCCTGTATATTTCCTATCTTGGTTTCATGACATATCCTGCTGGTCTTCCAGTAAATCTTCCTTTTGAGTTTAAGCTAATTTAAATAGATGCTGTTATTTGCAATCAAAACAGTGTTGACTAAGAACATATATAGCTGCTCTACCTCCTCTTAAACCAACATTTTTTATTGGCTTGTTTCACACAATAGATAACTGGAAAAGCACCCAAACATGAGATGACAAAATGTTTGATGGCAATTTAACACATGTATCAGTAAAATGAAATTTCAGCCCCAAAGTGGGTGTCTGAGAAATCATGGCAAACCAGAGTGATGCCTCAGTATTTCCAAAGACACTGAAAACGAAAAAAACCTCATTGGGCTTTATAAATCAACAAAATATATGTAGCTTAAATCTGTTCCGTATAAATATAGCAGAAGCAGAAAGAGTCTAAAAGTCTAAAAACCCACAAAAAGTTTTTGGGTAAAGGAAAGGGGGTTCTGGATTATCTTCCCCGCAAGGTAGAAGTTAAACTCCTGAGTGGATAGTAACTTAAGGACTGTGTTAATGAGAACATATTTGGCAATGATTGTGCAACTCCGAGGTGACTGAGAAAGATTCAAACACTGAACTCATTTGTATTGTATATATTTATTTTCTGTATTTCAAACATTTCTTAAATACTTACTATGTACAAGATACTACACTAGACGGTTAAGGGAAGAAAGAGAAAAAAGATAAATAAGGTACAGACTCTATCCATAGGGAACATAACAGGTAGAAAACTGTTAGGTAAACAGCTAACATGGTCCTGGAAATATGTAACGTCAACAAAATTAGCCTGGGTGTGGTGGCACATGCCTGTAATAACAACTACTCGGGAGGCTGAGGCAGGAGAATCGCTTGAACCTGGGAGGCAGAGATGGCAGTGAGCTGAGATTGTGCCACCACACCCCAGCCTGGGCGACAGAGTGAGACTCCATCTCAAAAAAAAAAAAAAAAAAAGAAAAGAAAAGAAAAGAAAATAGTGAGGAAAAGTTGAGCTAAACTTTTTCTCACTTCAATTCATGGCTATCTCCACTTATTCACACTATCTAGAATTGGAGATGACAATGTCTAAATCTTCAGTCCTCAAAATGTAATTGCAAGGCTATCCATTCATACTTTTGCACAGCAAAAGAAATAATCAACAGGGAGAGGAGATAACCTGTTGAATGGGAGAAAATAACTGCAACTATTCATCTGACAGGGGACTAATAACCAGAATATACAAGGAACTCAAACAACAAAACCCACCGCAAATAATCCAATTTAAAAGTGGGAAAAGAACATTAATAGACATTTTTCAAAAGAAGACACACATGGCCAAGAGGTTATTAAAAAATGTTCAACATTAGTACTCATTAAAGAAATGCAAATCAAAACCACAATGGCATATCATCTTACTGCAGTCAGAACGGCTACTATTAAATTAAGAAAATAACAGATGTTAGCAAGGATGCAGAGAAAGGGAACTCTTTTACACTGTTGGTGGGAATGTAAATTAGTACAGTCTCTATGGAAGACAATATGGAGATTTCCCAAAGAACTAAAAATAGAACTACTATTGGATCTAGCAATCCCAGTACTGGGTATCTACTCAAAGGAAAAGAAATCAATATATCAAAAAGATATCTGTACTCATGTATTTTTCACAGGACTATGCACAACAGCAAAGATATGGAATTAACCTAAGTGTCCATCAATGGATGAATCAATAAAGAAAATGTGGTATACATACATAATAGAGTAATATTTAGCCACAAAAAGTGTGAGATCCTGTCATTTGCAGCAACAAGTATGGAACCTAAGTTAAAACAAACCAGGCACAGAAAGACAAATACTGTATGATATCATTCATAAGTGCTAAAAAATAGGTTTACATGAATGTTGAGAGTGGAATTATAGAGAATAGAAATTTGGAATGGTGAGGGAGTGGGAGGGGGAAGGAAGATGAGAAATTGGTTGGTAGGTACACAATGTATGTTATTTGGGTGATGAATACCCTACAAACCCTGACTTGACCACTATGCAATCTATGTATATAACAAAATTGCACAGGTATCCTCAAAATTTGTACAAATGAAACAGGAAGACAAAATAACTTTTCCCTGAATTTAGGAGTATAGGTAATACCTCTGGCAGAGAGACCTGAAAAATTTATACATGGCAAGAAAAGATCCAAATTTTACTTTCTTTTACCAGGTTCACTATTTCATCCTTTCTTCCCAGGTTATGTAAATTTTCTACCCAAATGAAGATCAAAAGGTTTCTTCTAAGTTCCCTAAGCACTCCTAGAGGACAACTAAGTTCAGGCATGTTCTTTGTTCACAACTACCTGTGTTAAAAGAGTCCTCTTTAAGTAAAATTCCCATTTTTTCTAGTATATCTTCAGAAGTTTGTATTCTTGAATTCTTGTATTCTGTTTCCTGTGTTGCTCAGCTTATTTATAATGTACTCCTAAGGATGTTCACAACATTATAAAAGGGTCTTATCAATATTACACTTTCTTATGACTTCTTCAGATCTATAGTTAATTGCTCTATTGAAACAGAACCATGCTCCTGTTAATTTACAGTTGCCTAGATTCAAAGCTCTTTTGTGGTACCAACCAGCACTGCTTATCTTTTATGAGGGCATATAAAACCATTCCCTCCAAGCGACTTCGAAATTGCAAAGCCTGATAACCTCTATTAACACTTACTTTATTCACACCACAAAGGTTTCAGTGGGTGAAACAGTTTGAATACAGGAGCACTAAGCTTCTCAGTTGTATACATGGCACATGCATTCAACATCAATGATTGATTTACTGTGGGAAAAAAATTTCAAAACCTAAAAAACTCAAGGCCATAAAAGGTTTTGGAAGTAACGAAGGCAGCCTTCTGAGTCACAAAATTAGGGGGCATCATGTGAAACAGGAAATCTTGCTCTTTCACTGGGGGAAATTTCCAATCTTTGCCCCAGTTAAAAGCTTTTATGACTGTCTTCTGCCACTGTTTTAAAATTAGGTAAGGGATAATGTGTGGATGGCTCTAGGAATCTGCTGGGTTTATAGGTATATACGCACATAAAAAAAATCTGTACAAAAACATGCAGCCTGGGCAACAAAGCAAGATCCCATCTCTATAAAAAATAAAAAATTAGCCAGGCATGGTAGTGTGCACCTGTATTCCCAGCTACTCTACTTGGGAGGCTGAAGTGAGAGGATCTCTTGAGCCCAGGAGTTTGAGGCTGCAGTAAGCTATGATCACGCCACTACACTCCAGCCTGGGTGACAGAGCAAGACCCTGTCCCTTAAAAAAAAAAAAAAAAAAAAAAAAATATATATATATATATATATATATATGAAAAAAAACCCACATTCCTAGTGCAGGTTTGCTTACTGTGTGACTTTAGGTAAGTTACTGAAGTTCCTGTGCTCAAAAATGGGAAAAAAAGAAACAACCACATAAAGTGCCTATTAGACTGAGCCCTACTGACTTGGGCTCCTGAATTACAGCTATGGCGTGTATTCTGAATTCAAACCTCCAGAGCACCCATTTTTTCCCTGGAGTTGGGCCAGGGCTGTGCCATGCCCCCCCAGGGATAGAGATTCACAGCTGGAACCCAACCCCCTGGATCTGGGCTGCTAAAGGTACCTCAAGACCCTGAGCCTAGGATCCTAGTCTCACGGCTGCTTGTAGGCTATGTCAGATACCAAGAGTCTCCCCATTGTGGGGAAAATGAGAACAGGAGGACCCAAAAGTCTTTTCCAACAAGGATATTAACAACCTTCTGCCATCACTACCAAAAAACTCTATACCCTAGGCCACTAAGGCATCCACATTTATTCCTGATGTTTAATGTAGCCAAAGAAGTTGCACAGAGGCTGTATCACTAAACCTACCTGCACACAGATTCATCACACTCTTCCCAACCGGCACACTAAGACCCAACTGCAGGTGAAAGTCTTTGTCTATCAAAGCCACTCTAGAAAGTTTAAGAGAGTCAACAGTTCCATTAGATGCACAAACATCAACACAGTGGTACAGAAACATGAAAAAGCAAGAAAATATGACACCACCAAAGAAGCATAACTCTTTAGTAATAGACCCCAATGAAAAGAAATTTTAAAACTGCTGGAAAAGGAACTCCAAATAATGATCTTTTGTTGTTGTTGTTGTATGTTTTTTTTCTTTGTTTTTGTTTTTGTTTTGAGACAGGATCTCACTCTGTCACTCAGGCTGGAGTGCAGTGGCACAAACATGGCTCACTGCAACCTCAACTTCCTGGGCTCAAGCAATCCTCCTGCCTCAGCCCCACAAGTAGCTGGGACTATAGGTGCGTACCACCACACCTGGCTAATTATTTTTGTCTTTTTCATAGAGATGGGGTCTTGCTATGTTCCCTAGGCTGATCTCAAACTCCTGAGCTCCATCGATCCACTTGCCTTGGCCTCCAAAAGTGATGGGATTACAGGTGTAAGTCACCCATGCCTGACCTAAAATAATAATCTTAAGGAAACTTAATGAGATACCAGAAAATACAGACAAGTAAGTCAACAAAACCAGACAAATAATTCATGATATAAACTAGAAATTCAACTAAGAGATAGATATAGAAAAGAACCAAACAGATTTCCCACAGATGAAGAATTCAATGAATTAAATAAAAAGTACAACAGAAATTCAACAGCAGACGTAAGCAGAAGAAAGTCTCTGAGCTTGATGAGAGGTCATTTGAAACTACTCAGTTAACAGAACAAAACAAAATAAGGCGGGAGCAATGTTTCATGCCTGTAATCCTAGCACTCTGGGAGGCTGAGGCGGGTGGATCACTTGAGGTCAGGAGTTCAAGACCAGCCTGGCTAACATGGTAAAACCTTGTCTCTACTAAACATACAAAAATTAGCCAGGCATAGTGGTGTATGCCTGTAATCCCAGCTACGCGGGAGGCTGAGGCAGGAGAATAGCTGGAACCCCGGAGGCAGAGACTGCAGTGAGCTAAGATTGTGCCACTGCACCCCAACCTGGGTGACAGAGTAAGACTCCGTCTCAACAAACTAAACAAAACAAAACAAAAATAATGAAAAAGAGTGAAGAAAGCTTACAAGACTTATGGGACACCATTAAGTGAACAAACATGCATATTATATGATTTCTAGAAGAAGAGATGAAAAAAGGCATAGAAAACCTATTTAATGAAATAACAACTGAAAATTTTTCATGTCTAAGGAGAGATATGAACATCCAGGTCCAGGGAGCTCAAAGGTTCCCAAATATATTTAACCCAAAAAGGTCCACTTTATATTACAGTCCTAAATTGTGAAAAGTCAAACACAAAGAGAGTACTCTAAAAACAGCAAGAAAAAAGAGTCAAGAAAATTATAAGGGAGTAACAGCAGATTTCTCAGTGGAAACCTTACAGGCCAGGAGAGAATGAAATGATATGTGCAAAGTAATGGAAAGAAAAAAAAAACTCTCAGCCAAAAATACTACATATAGCAAAGCTATCCTTCAGAAATGAGAGAGCAATAAAGTCTTTCCCAGACAAGCAAAAACTGAAGGAATCTGTCACTACTAGACTGGACTTACAAGAAATGCTCAAGAGAATCCTGCATCTGGAGGTCAAAAGATGATAATTACCATCATAAAAATACGTAAATCTATAAAACTCACTGATAAAGCAGATACACAAAGGAGAAAGAGAAAAAGAAAAAGAATCAAACCGTATCACTACAGAAAACCACCAAGTTGCGATGATTAACAGTAAGAGAGGAATAAAGAATATATAAAGCAACCAGAAAAAGATTAACAAAATGAGAGGAGTAATTCCTCACCTGTGAAAAATAGCCTTGAATATAAACCGATTATATTCTCCCACTTACAAGATGCAGACTGGATGAACTGATAAAAAACGATGACCCAACTATATACTGCCTACAAGAAACTCACTTCACCTATAAAGATATATACAGACTAAAAATGAAGGGATGGAAAAAGATATTCTACACAAATGGAAACCAAAAGCAAGGAGGAGTAGATATATCAAAAGATCTTAAGTCAAAGCTGTAAAAAGCAACAAAGAAGGTAATTATACAATGTTAAAGAGAACAATCCAGCAATAGGATATAACCAATTGTAAATATATGTGTGCTCAATGTCAGAGCACTCAGAAAGATAAAATATTATTGGATCTAATGGGAAAGATAGATTCCAGTACGATAATTGTTGGGGGCTTCAACATCCCATTGGATTTAAACATCACTTTAGACCAAATAGACCTAACAGACATTTACAAAACATTTCATCCAACAGCTTCAGAGTATATACTTTTCATCAGCATATGGAATATTATCCAGGACAGGCCATGTGTTAGGCCTCAAAACAAATTTCAAAAAATTTAAAATAAATGGTATAACAAATATCTTTTCTGACCATAAGGAAATAAAACCAGAGATCAATAACAAGAGGAACTTTAGAAACTGTATAAATACATGGAAATTCAACAACATGCTCCTGAATAACTATAGTGTCAATAAAGAAATCAAGATGGTGTACAGCAATAAACACATCAAAAAAGTAGAGATTTCAAATAAACAACCTAATGATGCATATCAAGAAACTAGAAAAGAAAAAAAAAACAAGTCTAAATTCAGTAGAAGGAGAGAAATAATAAAGAGCAGAAATCAACAAAATTAAGACCAAAAGTTGCAAAAGATCAATGAAACAAAAAGTTGTTTTTTTAAAAAAAAAGATAGACAAAACCAACAAACCATTAGCTAGACTAACCAAGAAAAAAATGAGAAGACTCAAATAAATAAAATCAGAAACGAAAAAGGAGACATTACAACTGATACCACAGAAATACAAAGAATCATTAGAGACTACTATGAACAACTATATGCTAACAAACTGAAAAACCTAATGGAAATGGATAAATTCCTGGACATATACCACCAACCAAAACTGAACCATGAAAAACACAACCTGAACTAATTATGAGTGATAAGACTGAAGCAGTAACTTATTCCATCAAAGGAAAGGCCAGAACCTGATGGCTTCTGATATAGTTCAAATATTTGTCCCTGCTCAAATTTCATGTGGAATTGTAATCTCCAATGCTGGAGGTGGGGCTTGGTGGGAGGTGTTTGAATCATGGCGGTGCTGTCTTCATGGTAAGTGACTTCTCATTAGATCTGGTCATTTTTTCCCCCACTTTCCCCCGACTCCCAGTCACTCTTCTTCCTACTTTTGTATTGTGATGTACCAGTCCCCACTTTGCCTTCTGCTATGACTGTAAGCTTTCTGAAGCCTCATCAGAAGCCAAGCAGATGCCTGGTGCCACACTTCCTGTGCAGCCTGCAGAACCATGAGCCAATTAAACCTCTTTTCTTTATAATTTATACAGTCTCAGGTATTTCCTCATAGCAATGCAAGAATGGCCTAATACGGCTTCACTACTGAATTCAACCAGATTTATATCAATAACTAATATAAATTCTTCTAAAACATTAGAAAAGTGAAGAGGAGAAAATTCTTCCAAACTCATTCTGAGTCCAGGATTACCCTGATGCCAAAACCAGACCAGGACACAACAACAAAAGAAAACTACATAGCAATATTCCTCATGAACATAGATGCAAAAATTCTTAACAAAATACTAGCAAACCAAATCCAACAATGTATAAAAAAGATAATTCACCATGATCAAGTGGGATTTATTCCAGGGATGCAAGAATGATTCAACATACATAAATTAATATATGAGATATATCTCATGAATAGAATGGACAAAACCGTATGATCATCTCAATAGACACAGAAAAGGCATTTGATAAAATTCAACATCCCTTCATGATTAAAAAAAAATCCTCGGCTGGGCGCGGTGGCTCTCGCCTGTAATCCAAGCACTTTGGGAGGCTTTGAGGAGGGCGGATCATGAGGTCAAGAGATCGAGACTATCCTGGCCAACATGGTGATACCCTGTCTCTACTAAAAATACAAAAATTAGCTAGGTGTGGTGGCGTGAACCTGTAATCCCAGCTACTCGGAAGGCTGAGGCAGGAGAATCGCTTGAACCAGGGAGGCAGAGGTTGCAGTGAGCCAAGATTGCGCCACTGCACTCTAGCTTGGGAGACAGAGCGAGACTCCATCTCAAAGAAAAACAAAACAAAACAAAACAAAAAAAACCCTCAACAAACTAGGTACAGAAGGAACATACCTCAATGTAACAAAGGTCATATAGGACAAATACAGCTAACATCATTTTAAACAGGGAAAAGCTGAATTTCTCCTCAAAAAATTGGAACAAGACAGGATGCCGTCTCTCACCACTCTAATTCAACATAGTACTAGAAGTACTATCCAGAGCAAACAGGCAAGAAAAAGACATAAAGGGCATCCAAATTGAAAAGGAGGAAGTCGAATTGTCCCTATATGCAAGTGACATGATTGTATATGTGGAAAATCCTAAAACTGCCACCAAAAAAATTCTCAAAATGAATTTAAAAATGTAGTCAAGTTGCAAGATACAAAAGCAACATGCAAAAATTACTAGCCATGTGCCTGTAGTCCCATCTACTCAGGAGGCTGAGGCAGGAGGATCACTTGAGCCTGAGAAGTGGAGGTTGCAGTGAGCCGAGATCACACCACTGCACTCCAGCCTGGGTGACTGAGTGAGAACCTGTTTCAAAAAAATAAATAAACAGGCCGGGCATGGTGGCTCACACCTGCAATCCCAGCACTTTGGGAGGCCTAGGCAGGTGGATCACCTGAGGTCAGGACTTCGAGAACAGCCTGGCCAACATGGTGAAACCCCGTCTCTACTAAAAATACAAAAACTAGCTGGGTGTGGTGGTGGGCACCTGTAATCCCAGCTACTTGGGAGGCTGAGGCAGGAGAATTGCTTGAATCTGGGAGGCAGAGGTTGCAGTGAGCCGAGATCACGCCACTGCACTCCAGCCTGGGCGACAGAGCGAGACTCTGTCTCAAAAAATAAAAATAAAATAAGAAATAAATAAATTAGTAGCATCTCTACATCCCAATAACAAACTAGTGGAAAAAAATCAAGAAAGTAATTCCATTTACAATAGCTACAAAAAAAATACCTAGGAATAAATTCAACCAAGGATATGAAAGAGCTCTACAAGGGAAACTGTAAAACACTGGTGAAGGAAACTGAAAAATTAAAAAAAAAAAAAAAAAAGAGTGTGGGCCGGGGGGAGACATCCCTTGTTCATAGATTGGAAGAATATTGTAAAAATATTAATAATACCAAAAGCAATCTATAGCTTCAACACAATCCATATCAAAATACCTAAGACATTCTTCACAGAAATAGAAAAAACAATCCTAAAATTCTTATGAAATCACAGAAGACTCTGAATAGCCAAAGCAATCCTGAGCAAAAAGAACAAAGCAAGGCCAGGCATAATGGCTCACACCTGTAATCCCAGCACTTTGGGAGGCTGAGGCAGGTGGATCACTGGAGTCCAGGAGTTTGATGCCTGCCTGTGTAACATGGCAAAACCCCACCTCTACAAAAAATTAGCAGGGCGTGGTGAGGGAGGCTGAGGCTGTAGTGAGCCGTGATCACATCACTGCACTACAGCCTGGGTAACAGAGTAAGACCCTGTATCAAGGCGGGGAAAAAAAAACAACACAGCTGGAGGCATCACCCACTAATCACGCACTACCTGATGTCAAAATATACTACAAAGCTACAGTAACCAAACAGCATGTTACTGGCATAAACAGACAAAGAGACCAAGGGAAGAGAGGAGAGAACCCAGAAATAAACCCACATATTTGGAACCAGCTAATTTTCAACAAAGGTGCCAAGAACATTCAGTAGGGAAAGGATGGTCTGTTTAGAGAAATGAAACTAGACCCCTATCTCTAACTATACAAAAAAAAACAAATCAAAATGGATTAAAGACTTAGATGTAAGACCTGAAACTATGAAACTACTAGAATAAAACATTGGGGAAATGCTTCATGACATTGGTCTGGGCAAAATCTTTCAGGTAAGACCTCAAAAACACAGGCAACAGAAGCAAAAATAAACAAATGGAATTTCAGCAAGCTAAGAAGCTCCTGCACAGCAAAGGAAACAACTGAGTGAAGAGACAACCAGTAGAATAAGAGAAAATATAATATATGCAAACCATGTATCTAATAAGGGATTAATTAATAGCCAGGATATATATGCAATTCAAACAACTCAATAGCAAAAAATAGTAAAAATAATAATCTGATTTAAAAATGGGCAAATGATCTTCACAGCCATTATCAAAATCAGTTTATCAAAAACATGTGTGTACGTCCATGTTTATTACAGCTCTATTCATAATAGCAAAGATATGCAATTAACCTAAGTGTCCATTAACAGATAAAGGACAAAAAAATGTGGTACATATACACACAAGGAAATACTATTCACCCATAAAAAAGAATGAAATTCACACCTGTAAGCCCAGCTCTCAGAGAGGCGAGGTGGGAGGATAGTTTGAGCCCAGGAGTTTGAGACCTGACTGGGCAGTATAGCGAGACCCCGGTTCTCCACAAAAAGGAAAAAAAAAAAAGACACACACACAAAAAAAGAATGAAATTCTGTCATTTGCAGCAACACAGATGGAACTGGAGGCCTTTATAATAACTGAAATAAGGTAGGCAGGGAAAGACAAATATCACATGTTCTCGCTCATGTGAAAACTTAAAAAGTTGATCTCATATAGAATGATGGTTACCAGAGGCTGGGAATGGTTGGGTGTGGGGAGGATGAAGAGAGCTTGGTTAATGGGTACAAACATACAGTTAGAAGCAATAAATTCTAGTGTTGATAGCACAGCAGAGTGACTATAGTTAACAATAATTTATTGTATATTTCAAAATAGCCAGAAGAGTAGATTTGAAATGTTCCCAACACAAAGAAATGGTAAATGTTTGAGGTAATGAGTAGCTTAACCACCCTGACTTGATAATTACACATAGATATGCATGTATCAAAATATCACATATATCCCATAAATAGGTATATTATGTATCAATTTTAAAAATGAACCGCCTACTAGGTATTTAACAAGTTAACTGGCTTTCTCTGCCCAATGAGATTTTGTTTTGACTACTGCATTTGTGAAGTTTCAACTGGGGTCTTGTTAAGGCTGGACACAGTGGTTCATGCCTGTGATCCCAGCACTTTGGGCAGCCAAGGTGAGAGGATCACCTGGGGCCAAGAGTTCAAGACCAGCCTGGTCAACATAGTGAGACTCCATCCCTACAAAAAACTAAAAATATTAGCCAGCTATGGTGCATTGCGCCTGTAGTCCCAGCTACTTGGGAGGCTGAGGCGGGAGGATGACTAGAGCCAAAGAATTTGAGGCTGCAGCAAGCTACGATTGCACCACTACACTCTAGCCTCAGAATCAGAGCAAGAGTCCGTCTCTTTAAAAAAAAAAAAAAGGGGGGGGGGGAGGAATCTTGTCATTTTTTAATTTGAGGATTAGCTTCTCCTTTATAAGAGAGCCAAATCAGAAGAGTCACTAGATTACAATAGCTGCTGGGAAGCCAGGATATGGGAGCCTAGACTTAGAAATTTCAGGTTATGTCAGAGACCTCCATTTTCCTGTCATTTACTGCAAAGAATCCTATTATCCTGCCGTTTACCTACCCTCTAAACCCTCAATCCTCTTTCATTTGCTCTGGTCCTTGCTGACTCATCCCCTCCCTCCCTTTTTCCTCCCACTTCAGCTGCATGCTTGGTTCTGGCTTATTCATCTTCTAGTCAATTAACGAACATATACCACGCTGTTGTCATGTGGTCAGCTATGGAGTCATTCTCATACTGTCACTCTTCCTAATACGGATCTGTTTCGGCCACAGACTCTTTCATATCTCTGCCCCAAACCTCTCATCCACCAAATCTTGTTCCTGTGTGCTAGAATACAAGCAAAACTGAGAGCTATGCTGGAAAAAAGATTTATGGATTGGAAAATTTTTAAATTGATAATGTATGTATCTTCCTAAGTAAAAGACCCTAAGGAAATACTGAAACCTAAAATCATTCCCATAAAAAGAAAAGAAATTAAAACTTGCCTATGGTGACCATAATACAATTAACATAACATTGATGATTGAAGAAAATAAGAAAAATAGTTATAAGATTTTACAATTTGGTTTCTATAAGAAATGAAAAAATGATAGCTAACAGGAAAATAAAATGCTTATTCTCAGTTTCAAGGTTCTCATGGTCCCCTTTACTTTCTTCCCTGATTATCTTGGAGATATCAATTCTTAAGCATTAAGTCTTGAAAATCTTGGTGGTAAAACTGTAATCAAGAAACAAAGCTTGAAAAGTGTGACCACTCACTAGAAAACAAAGTGGAATGGAAGAGAAAGAGTTAGAGATCACACAAGGAAAAGCAGAGACAATGTGGAAGACCTCCAACCAGAACCACATTCACAATTACCCAGTGCTGTCATTTTTGTTCTATCTCTACATAATTAGAGAATTGGTATGAATTTCTAGATCAGGTCATCAATGTGAAACTGGGGTCCAAAAGGCCAAGGTAATGATTAAGAGTTGGGTACTGAAGAAAATGGTCATAGTCCCAGGACAACAAAAAGTTCCTATTTTAGGAATTTAATGTCTCAAGCTCTGGATATCACAGCAATAGGTATTCTTTAAATTCATAATCAATCATTTTTCCCAAATAATTTCATACATTTATAAGCAATGATTAATTCACTGAACAAACCTAAGTCACAATGGGCTTTTTGTTTAAGTATTCATTGTCAGGAAATCCAAATATTTTATAATTCACTGGACAGTAATGAACAATGACAGACAAAACACTAGTGAGTAAAAACACTAATTATGTTACTGTGGTCTTTGTGTGGCTTTGGCACAAAAGGTTGTTTATTTACAATGCTGCAACATCACCTTGGTAATCAAAAGAGTGGCATATGCGCACTGGCTGCTCAAACATTAACTACCAATGAGTCATACTTGCAGCTGAGAACTTACTCTGAAAAAATAGGGGGAGGAATGCTGTGCCTCTAAGTTAAAAACAAGCTCTGGTGTTCATGCTCACATTTACAAGGACACATGGTGAAATCTTGTCTATTTTCTTGTCAATTGATCTTCTTTCAAAATAAATTTCCTTTTTTTAACCATCACAAGGAATATTTTTATTAATAACATTGGTAAAAATCTAAAAAGGCAAGCTTATTAAATCTTTCTAACTTCTTTCTGCCACTGAACTACTTGCTGACTGCTATGTGACAGAATGACATCACACCAGGCCTTAAGATACGCTTGAGATACAAGGGTAAAGAAGACACAAGGCTTGTTTTCAAGGAGCTTATAATCTTATGGCAGGGAGTGGGGAGAGTGGGACCAATATGCAATTACAATAAAAAAATAGTCAATGCCTAATCATCAATAGGATAATATAATCAGGATTTTAAAAATATCCCAATGTTCTTCCTCATCTGGACTCTGGAAAAAATAAAATAAAAAATATGGCCAGGCACGGCGGCTCACATCTGTAATCCCAGCACTTAGAGAGGGCGAGGCAGGCAGATCACGAGGTCAGGAGATCAAGACCATCCTGGCCAACATGGTGAAACCCCGTCTCTACTAAAAAAATACAAAAAATTGGCCAGGCGTGGTGGCTCACGCCTGTAATCCCAGCACTTTGGGAGGCCGAGGCAGGCGGATCACGAGGTCAGGAGATCGAGACCATCCTGGCTAACATGGTGAAACCCCGTCTCTATTAAAATTACAAAAAAAAACTAGCTGGGCATGGTGGCGGGCGCCTGTAGGCCCAGCTACTCGGGAGGCTGAGGAGGAGAATGGCGTGAACCCGGGAAGCGGAAGTTGCAGTGAGCCGAGATAGTGCCACTGCACTCCAGCCTGGTGACATAGCAAGACTCCATCTAAATTTTAAAAATAATAAATATATAAATAAATGGCAAACTTGGGCCTAATATGAAGAACTTCAAATACACTGGACTTTCCCACATTAAATTAGCCTGAAGAGTGGTGAACTCTATGATTAGAACTAAGTAGTCAAGCCGATTTAGATGACTGTAAGAAAATCCTAAAAGTAATTCTTACACTAGCGGGTAGGGGTAGCAAGGGGATTTGAAACAGAAAACTAAAGCACTTCCTATCTTGGAAAAGTCTGCAGCTACCTTGTTAGTTGCAGGCAAGGGTATTAAGATGATGCCCACCGCAGCTATTTTAGAAGTAGTGGGTGATCTCAAGAAGCAGAAAAGAGGCCAGTAGTCACCACTGAACTGCATATAGGACCTAGAAGGCTTTGTGACCTTTACATGTTTGTTAGAAAAGGTACTGGGAGACAGACCAACGATGGCCAGCCTACCTGACTATGAGTCAACAGTTGGCCTAACCAGTACAACAGAGCCCTCCTATTCCCACTCATGACAATGATGGATATACCAGTCTCAGAGATTCCAGTTTTTCCTTGCTGCTTAAGTGAAAAGCAATTTGTATAGTCACCTTTCCTCTAATGCCCTCCCTGTTTACTCCTCGCTTTCAGTGCACAGAGAATGCTGAAACTTCAAGAGCTTGCAATTTTCTGTATTTGGGAAGAGTACCAACCCAGCAGCACAGATGTTATTCCTACCTAACAAATACATTAGATTTTTTTTGGCTCTATATTGAAAAGGGAAGATTGGTCTGATTTGGTGGATCTATTTGAAAGGGCTTACAGAGGAAATCCTGAAAACTGGCCTGTCCACTTCCCCACTTAAACTTCTAAGCTGGACTGGATTAAGCATGTTGTTACCTGACCCTTGGATTTATGAGACATATACAAACATGCTTATCATAAATGGGCTGTGACAGTCTTTTCCCTAAAACTTATGAAACCTAGAATAACTTAACAACATTATAAAACCAGGAATGTAAGAGGAACAACAATTAAAATGTAGTCCTGGGGCATGTGGGAAGATAAGCCTCAAGTTATGTATACACCCTGTGAACTCAGTTGCCAGTCTTAAATCTTATGCCAAAAACACTCCAATCAATTAACAAATATATACTGAGAGGCTACTGTGAGCAAGAATTCATATTAAGTTCAATGAAAGACAAGTCCATTGTGGGCTCCCTGGGTTATAACTATAGCTGATTATTGCTATAGTCAGGGTATAATAAAACTTGAATAACACACAATGACTCATATAATTCTAAATATTTTAGGATGCAGAACTCAAATTCCTTCAGTAGTACCTTCATAGGGTTACTTGAAATAGAACAAACAGTATGATGGCTCATGCCTGTAATCCCAGCATTTTGGGAGGCTGAAGGCAGGAGGATCACTTGAGCCCAGGAGTTCAAGACCAGCCTGGGCAACATGGCAAAACCCCATCTCTACTAAAAATACAGAAAATTAGCCTGGTGTGGTGGTGCATGCCTACAGTACCAGCTACTCAGGAGGCTGAGGCAGGAGAACTGCTTGAGCCTAGAAGGCCCAGGCTGCAGTGAGCCGTGATCGTGCCACTGCACTCCAGTCTGGGTGATGGGAGTGAGACCCTGTCTCCAAAACAAGAAAGAAAGAAAGAAAAAAAAAATAGAAACCAAGCTTTAGTCATTCATATAAAACCTGTCACAGTGAAGGGGGCATAAAGCAGAGGAAATTCTACTAATGTCAAATAGTGAAAATAGCTCTGAAAGATTTCATCTTCTGAGAGACTTGTCCCTACAGGTAAACATTAGCAAAACATTTTTCTGGAAGCCAGTAAGATATTTGAGAAATTAGAGCTTTTTGGTAAAAACAAACATTTTTTACAGTGATTAACTTAATTTTTAAAAATTGCCGAAGGTCATAGGTTATTACAATCATATGGATAGCTCTTGCAAATTAATGAGGACAATGGATAAAATGACGGTTCTGTAATATTTCAGAATGTATATTTTAGTATGTCTTCAAAACAGATAAACCATCTCAGTATGGTAAAGTATATTTTGCAAATTACCAACATTTCCTCCTTTCTTTTGGTATAAGTAAAGAAAAGAGAATGAACTGCTGAAAAGCAAATCCTTCACACTATGAGTATTTGACAAGTGGAAGGCATCTGCAGGTTGGTCTGTGGGCATAGTCATAGCAACACAGTTCCCCTGTCAACTCAACTCCAGGAACCAGAGCGCAAGTAGCTTTGTGGTTGACTATGTTTATTTACCTATCCGGCAAGCAGGGGAGATAGATGGTTTGGTAAAAAGGGCAAACCAGACAAAAAAATTTGTATATTTTAGGGCTTCCAGCTAAGATACATACTAAGTAAGTGGAGAGAAAAGACTTGACTTACCTGCACTGCCAAGCTGTTTATAAAATCTGTACTCTAAATGAAGCTGTGGAGCACGTGATTTTATTGGTTCCTGAAATCCAAAAAGAAAAACTGTGATCAGATTTAAACAAATGGGATTTTTCCATTCTTAAATTTTTGGAGTAAACGAGGGCTAAGATCACCCAATGTTTTAGAGATAATATCCATATATAAGAGCCTTTTCTAACCACAATTGGTCTTGGACAGTATAGCTAAGAGAAGATGAAGGTGAATTACATACAAGTCCTTCCATGGATAGTTAAATAAAAATAGACTTTGCATGAGCTATCATTCAAGGATATCTTTCTTGCAATGAAATATTCTCCTGGAATGTATTCTGCCAGGAAACTTGATGCCAAACCTTTAAATAAAAAAATACCAGAATGTATTTCCTGCTTGTTTTGTTCAGAATTTTGGGTGGTTCATGGTTTTATTATTTTTAGAAAAATAATGCATGCTCAGAAGAAAATTCAAATATACAAAAATTAGGAAGAAAGTAAAAATCATCTGTGATCCTGTCACTTTAAAGAGAGGCACTATTAACATTTTAGTGAATGTCTTTCAAAGTATTTATTTATCTATATATGTATTAATATATATAATATAGACTAATGAACTTAATTTTATATAAATGAGATTATAATATATTTGCTGTTCATTAATGTGCTATTGAATTCAACAATGTAATAACATATTCCCATGGCGGTAAATAAACGTGTATAATTTCTTTTTTTTTTTAAGACAGGGTCTTGCACACTGCAGTCAAAACCTCCCAGGCTCAAGTCATCCTCCTATCTTAGCCTCCCGAGTGGCTGGGACCACAAGTGTGTGCCACCACTCACAGCTAATTTTTAATTTTTTGTAGAGATAGGATCTTACTATGCTGCCTAGGCTGGTCCCAAATTCCTGGGCTCAAGCAATCCTCCCACTTCAGCCACCCAAAGTGCTGTGGGATTATAGGCATAAGCCACTGCACCTGGCTTATATTATTTTAATGGTTTGAGTATTGCCCTGTATGTGGATATGTATTTATGTATGTATGTATACACACCCTCCCCATAATTTTTGGACACGTGAACTGTTTTCATTTTCCAATATTATGAACAATGCTTTTAGGAACATCCTTATGTATATTTCTTTTTAAACTATTGAGAATTAAAGATTGTAAATGCAATTAAAATATGTAACTTCAATCAATGTGGTGTTCAAGTTTCCAAAAATGGAGTTTTCTAAAAACCTCAGAGATAAAGCAGCCAAACAACCATACTTTGCTCTATACCAATTGAGCAACTGGCTGGCTGATTATTCTAAACTGACAGTGTACTGGGCAACTGGCTAACAAGAAAACCAAACATTACCCTAAACACATTATAATCTCTCTTTAAAACCTCAACAGTAGCTGACATGGTGGCTCATGTCTGCCAACCCAGCACTTTCAGAGGCTGAGGCAGGAGGATCACTGGAGACCAGGAGTTTAAGACCAGCCTGGGCAACACAGCAAAACCTCATCTTTACAAATAAATAAATAAAATAGGACGGGCATGGTGGCTCATGCCTGTAATCCCAGCACTTTGGGAGGCTGAGACGGCAGAACTGTTTGAGCCCAGGGGTTCGAGACCAGCCTGGGCAACATAGGGAGACCTTGTCTCTACCAAAAATTAAAAAATTAGCCTGGCAGGGAGGCACGCTCCTGTAGTCCCAGCTACTCAGGAGGATGAGGTGGGAGGATTGCTTGAGTCCCAGAGATCAAGACTGCAGGGAGCTGTGATTGTGCCACTGTACTCCAGCCTGGGCGACAGAGTGAGACCTTGTCTCAATCAATCAATAAATAAAATAAAGCTCAACATCTGCACACCCATTAGGATGGCTATTATCAAAAACAGAAAAATAACAAGTGTTGATGAGGATGTGGAGAAACTGGAACCCTTGTGCACTGCTGATGGGAATGCAAAATGGTGCGACCGCTCTGGAAAATGGCATGGCAATTTTTCAAAAAATTAAAGACAGAATCATTATGATTTACAATTCTATTTCTGGATAGATGCTCCAAAGAAGTGAAAGCAGGAACTCAGATTTATTTGTACATCCATGTTTATAGCATTATTATGCACAATAACTAAAAGGTGGAAGCGACCTAAGTGTGCATAATTGGATGAATGGATAAACAAAATTGGGTATATACATAGGGTGAAGTATTATTCAACCTTAAAAAGGAAATTCTGACACATGCTACAACACGGGCAAACCTTGAGGACATCATGCTCAGTGAAATAAGCCAGTTACAACGGACAAATATTGAATGAGTCTACTTAATATTAAGTACCCAGTAGCCAGGCGCGGTGGCTCACGCCTGTAATCCTAGCACTTTGGGAGGCTGAGGCGGGTGGATTGCCTGAGCTCAGGAGTTCGAGACCAGCCTGGACAACACGGTGAAACCCCGTCTCTACTAAAATACAAAAAATGAGCCAGGAGTGTCAGCGTGCGCCTGTAGTCCCAGCTACTCAGGAGGCTGAGGCAGGAGAATTGCTTGAACCCGGCAGGTGGATACTGCAGCAAGCCTAGATCGCACCACTGCACTCCAGCCTGGGCGACAGAGCAAGACTCCGTCTCCAAAAAAACAAACAATAAAAAAAATTAAGTATCTAGTGTAGTCAAATTCATAGAGACAGACAGAATGGTGGTTGCCAAGGGGTTGGGGGGAGGGGAGAATGAGGAGTTAGTGTTTAACAGATACAAAATTTCAGTTAGGGAAGATGAAAAAGTTCTGGAGATGGATGGTGGTGATGGTTGTACACCAATGTAAATGTACTTAATGCCATTGAACTTTTTTTTTTTTTTTTTGAGACGGAGTTTCACTCTTGTTGCCCAGGCTGGAGTGCAATGGCATGATATTGGCTCACCACGACCTCTGCCTCCTGGTTCAGCGATTTTCCTGCCTCAGCCTCCCAAGTAGCTGGGATTACAGGTATGCACCACCACACCTGGCTAATTTTTGTATTTTTAGTAGAGATGGGGTTTCTGCATGTTGGTCAGGCTGGTACCAAACCCCTGACCTCAGGTGATCCGCCTGCCTTGGCCTCCCAAAGTGCTGGGATTACAGGTGTGAGCCACTGCACCTGGCCAATGCCACTGCACTTTAAAAAACTGTTATAATGGTAAATTCTGGATATCATCTCTTATTAGATAATATTATTTTCTCCTATTCCTTTCCATGGGTTGCCCTTTTTAGAATTCTGTTGACAGTGTGCAAAAGTTTTAAATTTTGCTGAAGTCCAACTTAGCTAGTTTTTTTCTTTTGTTGTCTGTGATTTTGGTGTCATATCCAAGAAATCACTGCCAAATCCAATGTCATGAAGCTTTTCCCATGTGTATTCTAGTAAAATATTATAGTTTCAATCTTACATTTAGGTCTTTGATCCACTCTGAATTAATTGTTGAATACAATGTAAAGTAAGAATCCAACTTCACTGTTATGTGGGTATCCAGTTTTTCTGGCATCATTTGTTGAAAAGACTGTCCTTTCCCCCAATGAGTAGTTATTTGTCCTTTTTTTCTTTTTTCTTTTGAGATGGAATCTTACTCTGTCACCCAGGCTGGAGTGCAATGGCACAATCTCAGCTCACTGCAACCTCCACCTCCCGGGTTCAAGCAATTCTTCTGCCTCAGCCTCCCAAGTAGCTGAGACTACAGATGCACACCACCACACTCGGCTAATTTTTGTATTTTTAGTAGAGACGAGGTTTTACCATATTGGCCAGGCTGGTCGCAAACTCCTGACCTCGTAATCCACCCACCTCAGCCTCCCAAAGTCCTGAGATTACAGGCATGAGCCACCACACCCCGCCTATTTGTCTTATGTTTAAGACAGACTCCAAGGAAGGAGATTCCATAACTTCCCTCGACAATTCATGCTGATGTTGAACAAGTTTCATGGTTTGGAACACTTTTATATTATACTCAAATCTCACTACTGAAACTTAAGCCTATTTTTCTTAAGTCCTCAGCAAAAAAATAAAAAAGCTCCTCAATAACCACGAATACTATTAAGTAGCTCTCTTCAAATAACAAAACTTACTTTTCTCAGGCTTTCCTAGACTTTCTTTTCTTAGGCAAAGTAATTTCAAATTCCTTTCACCTTTCCTCATTGGTCCTAGTTTTTAATTCTTTGATCATCTTTGAAGGCTCTTTCCTGAATCCACTTGAAGTTTTCTGCATTTTTCTTAAGATATAGAATCCATTAATCAAAGAATTCAGAAGTTTCTCCGAAGTTGTCTAGTCTATCCCTCTGCTTCTAGGAAGATTTTCTCTAAATCAATTCAGGCCAGACTGGAATGTTTGTATCTGTAGGAAGCGCTATGAAGAAAGAACTCATACCCTTGTTTGAGTATAAAATCAGCAATCATTAGAGTTGGACTTCAAGTGTCTCAAGACTTTCAGTAAAAAGAAAAGTACATAAGACTAATTATACTGTAGAGTCCCTTTCTTATTTATCTCTTCAGATAGAGAGGTATCATATCACTCTTATGTCTCCATCTGGTTGCAGATATTCCACTGAATCACTATCAAAGCAGCCAGGTATAGAATTTTTCCATTAGCAAAATAACTAAGAATTCACAAGGAACCAAACAGAAACAGTGATGACAAATCAACATGGAACTAGAAGTCGATCAAAACACTAGAAAAGGGACTATTCTTTCCAGAGAAATCGCTTTTGGATTCTGACAAACCACAGAGGCAATGAATTTTAAAAACCACACATCCTTCCTCAAATATTATACTCTCAATCTTCATGCTGGAAAGCATAATAGAAAATATTCAATCTGACGTTGGGTAGCCAAGCTAGTAAATTAAAAATGCAAAACTCCATAGAGTTCAAGGGTTGAAAGGCATACACATCACATATATTCAGACATGAGGGTCTTATTATGAAGACTGAGAGAATTACACACTTCAGCCAACTCCTTAGCACATGGCCATAGCCTGCTCAGCCAATTGGGCTTCAAGGTGCTTTTCTGGAAGCACTATAAGTAGAAGGCATTGCAAAACTCAGTCTACAGACTACAGAAGGCAGCAATATTAGCAGCACAGGAGATTTTTTTTTAAACCCAACTGTTAGAAAACCTCTGTTAAAAAGAACCCTAGAAATGTGGGTGATGGATAAAGGAGGGGCTCATTACACTATTTTGTTTACTTTGTGTACGATTTTTTTAAAGGTTTTTAGAAATCTAAGAAATCTAAGAAAAAAGAGTCCACAATGAAGATCCAAACAAAGTACAACAGAAACAGCAGCAGCAGAGCTTCCTTGCATTTCTGTGCCAGATGCTGATTACATTTCCATAGAGGGCTGTGCATTTGCCAGAATATTTACCATATTCTGGAAAACATATGCCTGCCTAAAATCCTAAACAAACAGCAGACAGCTACCTTATAGGAGTGTAGTGCTTAAGGCAAATTGACCATTACAATCCAAAGAGCTCAATTACTGCCTTCATATCTTCCTTTGGAGAACAGAAGCCCAAAAGCAAGAATGAAAGCCTGTAGACAAAACTGTTATCCTCTAAAATGGCTTTGAGACTTATTTGAAAGAGAAATGCGGTACTGAGTCACACCATACTAGATTGTAAGAGTTCCATTTTTAGCTTTAAATAGTGGCCATACAAAGCAGAATAAAAGTTTTTAAAAAGGAAATGAAATGTAACGATCAATCATGTCAACAATATGTTATGTAAGCTTATCTATACAGGTTGATTGGTATAACCTGGCAGAAGAAATCAAGATGAAAGAACTGTCCCTAACAGAAAGCCTAACAAATATGTAGTAATGTAGCAAATTTTTAAAGTGTTTTAGGAAGTGCTTTGTTCTCTTAGAAGTCCCAAATAATCAAAGATTATTCCAACTTATCAGAATAATAAAACAGAAAAAGTAAAAAAAGCAGGTGTACTAGAGAACACTTTTAAGAATAACCAAATTCCTATAAATTAAAAAATATGGTTAATATTATTTTTTTGAGACAGGGTATCACTCTGTCACCCAGGCTGAGTGCAGAGGTGCAAGCAATCTCAGCTCACTGCAGTCTCGACTTCCTGGGCTCAGGTGACTTCTTCCACATCAGCCTCCAAAGTAGTGGGGACTATAGGTGTGTGCCAGCATACCTGACTAATTTTTTGTATTTTTTGTAGAGACAGGGTTTTGCCTTGTTGCCCAGGCTGGTCTTGAACTTCTGGGCTCAAGCAATCTGCCTGCCTTGGCTTCCTAAAGTGCTTGAATTACAGGCATGAGCCACTGTGTCTGTTCGGTTAATCCTCTAATATTCAATCTAAGAGGATATTTGACCTGCATTGTTACATGTATTACCTCTCTTCCTGCTCCCATCTATCCAACAAGAGTTCCAAGTCAAAATACAAAAATACTTGGTTTCCTAGAAGGTACCTGCTGCTCTAAGCCCTGCTCCCTGTCCACCCACCCCTTTGTAGGGAAACAAATCTGGTAACTGTCAGTTCCTCACAAGACAACCCTAACTCCTCCACAAGCAAGCTGGATGAGAAGAACAACCAATCACAGAACAAGTGTGGATGTGGTAAGTGCAATTCATTAGAAAATAACAATGCCAGGCGTGGTGGCTCACGCCTGTAATCCCAGCACTTTGGGAGGCCGAGCTGGGCAACATGATGAAATCCCATCTCTACAAAAAATACAAAATTAGCCAGGTGTGGTGGCATGTAGTCTGTAGTCCCACCTACTTAGGAGGCAGACTGAAGTGGGAAGATTGCTTGAGCCCAGGAGGCGGAGGTTGCAGTGAGCCAAGATCACATCACTGCACTCCAGCCTGGGCAACACTGTGAGACCCTGTCTCCAAAAAAAAAAAAATAAAGAAAGAAAGAAAAAGAAAAGAAAAGAATAGCATAGATTTCCTTCAATTTCCTTCAACCATTAACTCCTCTGGCTTCCAACTAATAAAACAAAGCTACCTGTAAATCCTGGGACACTTACTATGAGGACAAACACAGAGTTTCAGTGAAACTAGTCATACGAAACATTTCACATGAAAAAATGGTTTTGTTATCAACCTTAAATATAAGATAAAGAATTCTGTCTTTTAAAATTATTAGTCCTCAAAAATAATAAAATTATTACTTTTTTAAATAGGATATCATTTTCTATGACTAGTTTAATTATTCACAAGGTTAGTACTAATATACCAATTGACTTCTTTGCTTCTAATATGACCATATGGTATGTTTTCCATGCTTGACAGATTTTTAAGGCCATGATTAGATGATCAGTTATGATTTTCTTCTAAGTACAAAAAATAAATCAGTTAAGTTAGAGAAAAAAACAGTAAAATTTTTGAATGATTTTATCTTTTTAAGATACCTCTGTGAAAGATTAAGTTCACAGAGTTACTAGTTCTTCCAGCTTTTTTTAATCAACTAATTTTTGAGTCATCATTGCTAACACTAAAGTTAGTATCATTTAACTATATAGTGTTATATAGTATACAGTGATTCATCACTGTTAACACTATAAATGAAGAAAAATGTGGGATCATACACAAAAAAAACCCCAAACCATTAGCAGTTTTGCGAATGAATGCTTAAAACTATTTCCTATAAAAAGATATAAGCAATGGGAGCACCAAAACATTAATTACCACAAACAGATTCTACTCACCAGTTTGATTGCTACATATTCATTGGTGTAGAGATTTTTACCTAAGAGGAAAGCAGAATGTATATGTTTTAGTGACATTTATTCTGGGAAAAGCAAAGCAAAATATTAGCTTACAGGGTCATGAGAAAGGTTATATTCCCAATGCTGTTCACATAAATGAAACTTGATTTATAAGCGAAAAGCTACAGAGATAATGAGATCTAGCAAGGCTAGAACAGCTTGAAAATTTAGAAATTTAAGCTATACCTGAGAATTTTCCTAAAAGAGAAAACAAATCTCTCTTACACACACACACACACACACACACACACACACACACACACATGCATGCATATTAATATTTCCCAACTATTAAGCCACAAGGCAATTCAAGAAGAAATGCCAGAATTTCAAAGAGATTTTAGCTCTTGGCACAATAAACACAAACCTTCATTCTTCGAACTAACTGGCAAATAGAATTCTATATATTTTGTCATGGTATTTCGTGTCAACTTTGGATGGCATAAAGGACAGTGTGAATAAAACCAATTATTGCCCAAACCTACTTTTGGAGAATTCATCTACTGCTTGTAAGGAGATGATTCTCAAAGCTGTTTTGACTGTTTACCAGAACAACAGACTTATATCTTTAACTATTTACAGGAAACAGATCTTCAGCTAGACAACACTTACACATCTCAAAGTTCTTCCTGCAATAACGGTTTTTCCTTTAAACTTTCCTATTTCTACAAATGTAATCAATATTCCCAGACGTTTAGACTAAGAACTTGGAATGATGATGAGGGCCAGAGCAACAACATTCACTTACTGAACCTGTAATATATGCTGGATACTCAGCTCCTCTCACCTCCCCATCCTCACTAATCCTTGGAAGCCTTAACTTTAATTCCTCCTGAGTGCTTAGTACATATCATGTAGTTCAGCCACTGCACTGAACTTCGCATCTCTTCTTACACGTTTGCCTTCTTATCCAGCTAGAGTGTAAATATCTTGAGGATAGGGATTTTAAGTTTTCTCAATACCCTATGGTGCTTAAGACCATGTTCAGCACATATAAAACACTCAAAATCTCGACTGATTAAAAGTTATTGGTACTGTACGTACAGCATAACTATTTTTAAAATATACCAGTAAATGTTATATTTCTGTAATACATAGCGGAATATATGTGCGTGAAAAAGAATATAAAAGGAATATAAAATAGTTTTACTATTTTAGTATTTTCTGATTTTTATATAATGCATTGTTTTTATAAATAAAAAAACAAGCTGGGTGTGGTGTAATCCCAACACTTTGGGAGGCTGAGGCAGGTGGATCACTTGAGGTCAGGAGTTCAAGACCAGCCTGGCCAACATGGTGAAACCCTGTCTCTACTAAAAATACAAAAATTAGCCGGGGGTGGTGGTGAATACTTGTAATCTCAGCTACTTGGGAGGCTGAGGTGGGAAAATCGCTTGAACCCAGGAGGTGTAGGCTACAGTAAGCCAAGATTACACCACTGTACTCCAGCCTGGGCAACAGAGTGAGACTCCATCTCATAAATAAACAAACAAACAAAAAAAGCTGCTTACAATACAAATTCTCATTTACAAACCTCTAGACAACAGAAGGCCCTCTGCAATATAACTACATCATTAAACTTTTCATACTGCCATCAGATTGCGAGTACCTTTACGTGTCAAAGAGTACACTAATTTAGGAATAATTTTTGTCTGCAAGTAAGATAAAAAGAAGACTAACAGGTTGGTTTCTTAGGTCAAACACCTCAGAAACCATAAGATGAATAACTTCTTTTTTAGGGGAGCACAAGTCAAAAATAGGCATTTCTCTCATATATATAGTGTTTGCATTAACCTTCTAAAGGTTACTTTATGTTTCTTATTAATGTTCCCACCAAAGCCATTTTAAAATATATTTCATGAAATTATAAAAAGGATAGTAATAAGTAAGAGAGGAACAGATGAGGCAGTAACAAACAGCCAATTCCCAGGCCGATTAAAACTTTAATTTGGCCCAGGACTTCTTGCACACCAGATGTGACTCTGCGCAAAGATTTTTCAGGACAGCTCTTCCTGAAATGAAATGAGCATTGTTACTGTGACTTAAAACTAGTTTTAGGGCCAGGTGCAGTGGCTCATGCCTGTAATCCCAGCACTTTGGGAGGCTGAGGTGGGTGGATCACCTGAGGTCAGGAGTTCGAGAACAGCCTGGCCAACATGGTGAAACTCTGTCTCTACTAAAAATACAAAAATTAGTTGGGGGTAGTGGTGGGCACCTGTAATCCCAGCTACTCAGCAGACTGAGGCAACAGAATCACTTGAACCTGGGAGGCAGAGGTTGTGGTGAGCTGAGATCATGCCATTGCACTCCAGCATGGGAGAGAGGAACAAAACTCTGTCTCAAAAACAACAACAACAAAAAACAAAACAAAACCAACTAATTTTAGCACAGGCTTAACCCTAAGAACTTAATTACAGCTCACACTTGTAATCCCAGCACTTGGGGAGGGCGAGGCAGGTGGCTCAAGAGGTCAGGAGTTGGAGACCAGTCTGACCAACATGGTGAAACCCTGTCTCTACTAAAAATACAAAAATTAGGCAGGCGTGGTAGTGTGCACCTGTAATCCCAGCTACTCAGGAGGCTGAGGCAGGAGAATCGCTTGACCTGGGAGGCAGAGGTTGCAGTGAGCCGAGATCGCACCATTGCACTCCAGCCTGGGCAACAGAGCAAGACTCCGTCTCAAAAAAAAAAAAAAAAAAGCCATTAATACCATTTTTCCCTGTTCCTACTTCCTGTATAATTGCAGAACATCAATGCTATCTTAAAGTTTAAAATGAAAGGTTTTATGACCTGATAAGATCTGTGATTTTGCATGAGCATTGTGAGGTAGTACAAGATTAACTAGAAAAATAAGAGAACAGAAGTAGGGAAAAGCATGTGAATATTTAATGCCCATCTACACAGATACCAGACATCTAAGATGAGCAACCTCAGTTCTCACCCTTCATAGACTGTATTCTAGCTCCTCACACAAGGTCTTGTATGTGGTGGCTCAAAAGTGTGTCAAATAAATCACATGATATAGTGAGTGTTAAAACAGAAATACAAATGAGTCAGTAGAAGAGCTTGGATACGGAGGGTAGTGAATTTGGGCACAAGCAGCACTTGAAGTGAGTCCTGACGGATGAACAGAGGAGAGAATAAAAGGCATTTTCTATTTTTAAAAAATACTAATTTGAACAATGATATGGATAAATGATAGAAAATGCACAGGATGTGATATACTGTGGGTAGACCCATATAATCGGAGCACATAGTGTGTGGGAAGAAACAGAAGAAAAGCCATAAACATCCACTAAGCTAAGGACAGGTTATGAATAATATCCAATGCCAGGTCCCCACTCTGAGGTATGTACCTGTGGGTACTTGGAAGTGTGCCAAGGCCTTTGTGCACTAAGCTACAGGACAAGTAAGATACACTTTTCTTGGATCCTAATTTTCATTTGAAGATTTGGATAAAGTCTTTTTATTTACATAAAAACAAACCTACTATATTATAGAAATTGTGCATAGATTTCTTTTGAAGAAAAAGATGCAGTCAGGCGCAATGGCTCACGCCTGTAATCCCAGCACTTTGGGAGACCAAGGTGGGTGGATCACCTGAGGTCAGGAATTCGAGACCAGCCTGACCAACATGGAGAAACCCCCGTCTCTACTAAAAATACAAAATTAGCCAGGTGTGGTGGTGCATGCCTGTAATCTCACCTAATTGGGAGGCTGAGACAGGAGAATAGCTTGAACCCAGGAGGCAGAGGTTGCAGTGAGCGGAGATCACACGACTGCACTCCAGCCTGGGCAACAAGAGCAAAACGCCATCTCAAAAAAAAAAAAAAAAAAAAGCAAGAGTTCAAAGAAATCCTGGGCACTTACATATTTGTTTCTTCCACAAGAAGTCTTGAGGAGTCTCATCATTCAGTGTGCAACCTTTTTCTTTTTTCTTTTTTTTGAGACAGAGTCTCGCTCTGTTGCCCATGCTGGAGCGCAGTGGCATGATCTCAGCTCATTGCAACCTTTGCCTCCATGGTTCAAGCGATTCTCCTGCCTCAGCCTCTGGAGCGGCTAGGATTACAGGTGCGCGCCAACATGACCAACTAGTTTTTGTATCTTTAGTAGAGACGGGGTTTCGCCATGTTGGCCAGGATGGGCTCGATCTCTTGACTTCATGATCCGCCTGCCTTGGCCTCCCAAAGTGCTGGGATTACAGGTTTGAGCCACCGCTCCCAGGCTCAGTGTGCAACCTTTTCCTTATTTTTCCTGCATTTAGCTGGGCAGCCGCTTTTCACAGTGCAGTTGACTTTCAACTAAATTTTCCATTTTTAGCCCCTTCTGCATCCCACCTTTGTGAAGTTCCTAGTGTCTCCAATTCCTAAGCCTATCTGGTATATTTTATAGCATTAACCGGCCTGCCCCTTCAGGCACTCAGCCTTGTCTGGAGTGCTAAGTCAGTTACCACCTAACCATCTGTGTTTCAGCTTCCAAAATTTTGTTAACATTTCTCAGTCTGTTTTCACTTTCTCTTCCATTTTTTTGGTTCCTTGTGGTTTTATGCCTTTTTGTTTACCAAAAAAAAAAAAAAAAAAAAAAAAAGCCCTTTTCTAAATATACTTTCTAGTCTTAAGACTAAGCCAGCACCCAATTTCATAAACTTCTACCTATAATTATTTATGCATATATTTTTTACTTCCACTCGGCAGTAAATTTCCAGAGGACAGTAACGTTTAATTCATCTTTTTATCCCTAGAAACAAACATAGTATCTGACATTCAGTAGGTAAGAGATGCTAAAGTGAACAACTTGACTTGATATATGTAGAAAGTTCTTGTGAGAAAGTTCTTGGGTGATAAAAAAGAAAGGCTAGTTTAGAATAAGATTATAGATAATCCTAAATGCAAATATAGGAGTTTTAACTTCATTCTTCGGTTTGCTGTGAACGAAGGGGAAAAGCAAATGGTGAAAGTTGTATTTTTACAATATTAATCTGACAACTATATGAGAACAAATGTTTAAAAATCTGAAGAAATGGAATAGTTCCTGGAAACATACATACAACCTACCAAGATTGAGTCAGAAGAAATAGAAAACCTGAAGAGAATAACAAGTAATAAGATGGAAGCAATGATAAAGACTCCCCCAGCAAAGAAAAAGCCCAGGACCTGATGGCTTCACTGCTGAATTCTATCCAACATTGAAAGAAAAAATATAAATTCTTTTCAAACTATTTCAAAAAACCAAAGAGGAGGGGAATAATACTTCTAAACTTATTCTGAGTCCAGCATTACACTGATACCAAAACCAGGCCAGGATAAAACAAAATAAAACTACAGGCCAATATCCCTGATGAAAACAGAGGCACAAATCGTCAACAAAATACTAACAAACTAAATCCAACAACACACTAAAAGATGATTCACCATGATCACATGGGATGTATCCCGGGGATGTTAAGGATGCTTGAATATATGCATATCAATACACGTGACACGTCACATGAACAGAATGAAAGACAAAAACCATATGATCATCTCAACAGACACAGAAAAGACATTTGATAAAATTCAACATCCCTTCATGATAAAAACTCTCAATAAATTAGGCATAAAAGGAACACATTTCAACATAATAAAGGCCATATATGACAAACTCACAGCTAATATCAGACTGAATGGGGAAAAATTAAAAGCTTTTCCTCAAAAGACTAGAACAAGACAAGGATGCCCACTTTCACCAATTTTATACAACATAGTATTCAAAGCCCTATCCAGACCAATGAGGCAAAAGAAAGGGCATCCAAATAGGAAAGGAGGAAATCAAACTGTTCCTGTTTGCAGACCACATAATCATATATATAGAAAATCCCAAAGACTCCACCAAAAAACTATTAGAATAAATGAATTCAGTAAAGTTACAGGATACAAAATTAACATACAAAAATTAGTAGCATTTCTAATGCCAAAAACAAACCAGTGGAAAAAGAAATTGAGAATATAATCGGAGCACACAGTGTGTGGGAGGAAATATGGTTTGGCTGTGTCCCCACCCAAATCTCATCTTGAATCATAGCTCCCATAAGTCCCATGTATAGTGGGAGAGACCCAGAGGGAGGTAACTGAATCATGGGGTGGGTTTTTCACATGCTGTTCTCATGATAGTGAATAAGTCTCACAAGATCTGATGGTTTTATAAAGGGGAGTTCCCTTGCACATGCTCTCTTTGCCTGCTGCCATGTAAGATGTGACTTTGCTCCTCCTTTGCTTTCTGCCATGATTGTGAGGCCTCCCAGCTATGTGGAACTATGAATCAATTAAACCTCTTTCCTTTATAAATTAGCCAGTCTTGGGTATGTCTTTATTACTGGCATGAGAACAGACTAATACAGAAGACAATCCCATTTACAATAGCTTTAAAAAAAAAAAAAAACCTAGGAATAAATTCAACCAAAGGGGTGAATGATCTCTACAAGGGAAACTATAAAATACCAACAAAAGAAACTGAAGAACACACACACCAAAAATGAAATATATCCATTGGAAGAAAATTGGCCAGTCACAGTGGCTTATGCCTATTACTGCCAGCACTTTAGCAGGAGGCCAAGGCAGGAGGATCATTTCAGGCCAGGAGTTTGAGAGCAGCTAAGCAACATATGAGACACTGCATCTGCAAAAAAAAATTTTTAATTAGCCAGGTGTAGGGGTAAGTGCCTATAATCCTAGCTAGTAGGTAGACTGAGATGGGAAGAATGTTTGAGTCTAGGATCTTTGAGATCATGTCACTACACTCCAGCCGAGGTGACAAAACAAGACCTTGTCTCTTTTTTTTTTTTGGAGACAGAGTCTCGCTCTGTTGCCAGGCTGCAGTGCAGCGACACGATCTCGGCTCAATGCAAACTCTGCCTACCGGGTTCAAGCAATTCTCCTGCCTCAGCCTCCTGAGTAGCTGGGACTATAGGCATGAGGACCACACCCTGCTAATTTTTGAATTTTTAGTAGAGACAGGGTTTCACCATATTGGCCAGGATGATCTAGATCTCCTGACCTCATGATCCACTGACCTCGTGATCCACCCGCCTTGGCCTCCCAAAGTGCTGGGATTACAGGAACAAGCCACCACACCCAGCCCCTGACCTTGTCTCTTAAAAAAAATAAAAATAAAAAATCGGAAGAATATTGTTACAATGTCCATTCCACCCAAAGCGATCTACAAGATTCAATGCAATCTCTATCAAAATACCAATGACATTCAACACAGAAAGAGAAAAAAAAATCCTAAAATTCATATGGAACCACAAAAGATTCCAAATAGCCAAAATAATCTTGGGCAAAAAGAACAAAGCCAAAAGAATCACTCTACCCAATGCAAAAATCTCCTAGAAAACTATAGTAACCAAAGCAGCATGGCACTGGCATAAAAACACACAAGTGAAACAGAATAGAGAACTCAGAAATAAATCTCCACATTTACAGGTAACTGATTTTCGACAAAGATGCCAAGAATATACACTGGGGAAAACAGTCTCTTCAATAAATGGTACTAGGAAAACTGGATATTCACACATAGAAGGAAGAAAGTAGACCCTTATCTCTCACCTTATGCAAAAATCAACTCAAAATGAATTAAAGACTTAAATGTAAGACCCAAAACTATAAAACTACTAGAATAAAACACAAGGGAAATGCTTCATGACATTCTCTAGGCAAAGATGTTTTGGATGGGACCTCAAAAGCAAAGCAGGCTCATGCCTCTCATCCTAGCATTTGGGAGGCCGAGGTGGGTGGATCACTTGAGGACAGGAGTTCAAGACCAGCCTGGCCAACATGGCGAAACCCCACCTCTACTAAAAATACAAAAATTTAGCTGGGCGTGGTGGTGCACGCCTGTAATCCCAGTTACTTGGGAGGCTGAGGCAGGAGAATCACTTGAACCCAGGAGGAGGAGGTTGAAGTGAGCCAAGACTGTGCCACTGCACTCCAGCCTGGGAGACAAAGCGAGACCTTATCTCAAAAAAAAAAAAAAAAAAAGAAAAGAAAAGAAAAAGAAAAACAGCACTGGCAACAAAAGTGAAAACAGGCAAATGGGATTATATCAAATTTAAAAGTTTCTCAACAGAGTGAAGAGACAACCTAGAGGGAAAAAATATTTGCAAATTATTCATCTGACAAAGGGTTAATATCCAGACCATATAAGGAACTTGAACAACTCACTAACAAAAAACCCCAAATAATCCAATTTAAAAATGGGCAAAAAACCAAAATGGACATTTCTCAAAAGAAGACATTCAAATGGCTAGCAGATACATGACAAAATGTTCAACATTACAAATCATCAGGGAAATCAAGTCGAAACCACAATGAGAAACCACCTCACTCCAGTTAAAATGGCAATTATCAAAAAAACAAATGCTGGCAAGAATGTGAAGAGAGGGAAATTTTTATACTCTGTTGGTAGGAATGTAGATTAGTACAGCCATTATGGAAAACAATATGAAGAGTTCTCAAAAAATTAAAAACAAAACTACCATATGACCCAACAATTCCACTACTGGGTATATATTCAAAGGAATTGAAACCAGTATGTCAGCCAGACATGGTGGCTCATGCCTGTAGTTCCAACACTTTGGGAAGCCAAGGTGAGAGGATCACTTGAGCCCAGGAGTTCAAGACCAGCCTGAACAACATGGCAAAACCCATCTCTACAAAAAAATAAAGTAAAATAAATTTTATTTTTTAAATAAAATTGGGGAGGGGAGGGGAGGAAACCAGTATGCCAAAAAGATATCTGCACTCCCATGTTTACTGCAGCATATTGACAATAGCCAAGATATGAAATCAACCTAAGTGTACATCAATAGATGAAAAGAAAATGTACATATATACAATAGAATACTATTCAGCTATAAAAAGGAAGTGCTGTCATTTGTGGCAAAGGAATAAACATGGAGAACATGTTAAGTGAAATTAGCCAGGCACAGAAACACAAATCCTGCATCATCTCACTTATATGTGGAATCTAGGAAAGCTGATCTCATAGGAGAGAACAGAATGGTGGTTATCAGAGGCTGGGGAGGGAGAAGGAAGAGGAATAAGGAAAGGTTTGTCAATGGGTACAAAGTTACAGTGAGATTTTAAGAATAAGTTCTAGTGTTCTATTAAGTAGTAGAATGACTATAGCTAACAAAAGGACCTTAAATAACATCATTTCATGTTATAACACTGATGAGAAAAAAAATCAATTCCCAGCCAGAACTACCATCTGTGTAGAGTTTGCATGTTCTCCTCATGTCTGTGTGGGTTTCTTCTGGGTACTCCAGTTTCTTCCCACATCCCAAAGATGTGTACCTTAGGTTAACTGGGGTGTTTTGTTTGTTTTTTAGGGAACACACAGTATTTCATTTTTTATTCTTTTTATTTCAATTGTTTTTGAGCTAACTGGGGTGTTTAAATTGTCCCAGGATAAGTGAATGTGGGTGTGTGTGTCAGCATCCCGCCACGGAATGACATTCCTCCAGGGTTGACTCCCACCTTGTGCCCTAAACTGCTGGGATAGGGTCTGGCAACCTGAGACCCTGAACTGGGATAAGTGGGTTGGAAAAATGCATGAATACAAATTATTGTAAAATTAAAATTCTAGCCTATGGTAATCATACATATGCAAGACAATCAACAATGCAGTACAAAAGTGCTCAAGGAGCCTGCTATATTTGTTTTTGCACTGCACAGTAGTAGGATATTCTCCTTACCATTTTTGCTTTGCAAACATTTATTCCTTGATTTTACCCACTACCATTGTGCTGCCATCACTCACTGATTCACCAAAAAAAAAGGGTAATTATCTTGTTTTTATTAATCTGTCTTAAATGTATGTATAGCCCACATTTATTTCAATGTTTAACATTACAAGTGTTTTGGGCCTTTATCTAGAAGTTTGGTGATGTTTTTGTGATCAGAAGTATGCCATAGGTCACTCCTCCTCAACTTTTTGAAACAGTTTCAGTAGAAATGGCACCAGTTCTTCTTTACATATCCAGTAGAATTAGGCTGTGAATCCATCTGGTCCTGGGTTTTTGGTTGGTAGCCTATTTATTACTGATTGGACTTTGGAGCTCATTCTTGGTGTGTTCAGGAAATCAATTTCTTCCTTCAGTCTTGGGCAGGTGTATGTGTCCAGGAATTTATGTATCCCTTCTAGGTTTTCTGGCTTGTGTGCACAGAGGTGTTTGTAGCAGTTTCTGATGGCTATTTTTTTTTTTTTTTTTTTGAGACGGAGTCTTGCTCTGTGGCCCAGGCTGGAGTGCAGTGGTGCGATCTCAGCTCACTGCAACCTCTGCCTCCCGGGTTCAAGCGATTCTCCTGCCTCAGCCTCCCGAGTAGGTGGGATTACAGGTGCATACTACCACGTCCAGCTAATTTTTGTATTTTTAGCAGAGACAGGGTTTTGCCATGTTGGCCAGACTGGTCTTGAACTCCTGACCTCAGGTGATCCGCCCACCTCAGCCTCCCAAAGTGCTGGGATTACAGGTGTGAGCCACCATGCCCGGCCTCTGATGGCTATTTTTATTTTTATTTTTGACATGGAGTCTCACTCTGCCACCCACGTTGGAGTGCAGGGGTGCAATCTCAGCTCACTGCAACCTCCACCTCCCAGGCTCAAGTGATTCTCCCACCTCAGCCTCCCCAGCAGCTGAAATTACAGGTGCACGCCACCAGACCTGACTAATTTTTTTTGTATTTTTAGTAGAGACAGGGTTTCGCCATACTGGCCAGGCTGGTCTTGAACTCCTGACCCTCAAGTGATCCACCCACCTTGGCCTCCCTAAATGCTGGGATTATAGGCATGAGCCACCACACCTGGCCTCTGATGGCTGTTTGTATTTCTGTGGGGTCAGTGGTAACATCCCCTTCATAATTTCTAATTGTGTTTACTTGGATCTTCTCTCTTTTATTCTTTATTAGTCTAGCTAGTGGCCTATTTATCAATTTTTTTTTTCAAGAAACCAACTTCTAGATTTGTTGATCTTTTGAATGGTTTTTCATGTCTTAATTTCCTTTGGTTCATCTCTGATTTTGGTTATTTTTTGTCTTCTCTGCTAGCTGTGGGGTTGAATTGTTCTTGTTTCTCTAATTATTTTCATTGTGATACTAGGTTGTTAATTTGAGATCTTTCTAACTTTTTGATGTGGACATTTATTGCTATGAATTTCCCTATTAACACTATCTGAGCTGTGGCCGGGCGCAGTGGCTCACGCCTGTAATCTCAGCACTTTGGGAGGCCGAGATGGGCGGATCACGAGGTCAGGAGATCGAGACCATCCTGGCCAACACAGTGAAACCCCGTCTCTACTAAAAATACAAAAAAATTAGCCGGGCGTGGTGGCAGGCGCCTGTAGTCCCAGCTACTCGGGAGGCTAAGGCAGGAACATGGCGTGAACCCAGGAGGCGGAGCTTGCAGTGAGCAGAGATCGTGCCACTGCACTCCAGCCTGGGTGACAGAGTGAGACTCCGTCTCAAAAAAAAAAAAAAACACTACCTGAGCTGTGTCCCAGAGACTCTGGTATGTTGTATCTTCGTTCTCATTAATTTCAAAGGGCTTCTTGATTTCTGTCTTTATTTCATTATTTACCCAAAAGTCATTCAGGAGTAGGTTGTTTAATTTCCATGTAACTGCATGGTTTTGAGTGATTTTCTTAGTCTTGACTTCTATTTTATTTTACTATGTATGTGTGTATTTTATTTATTTATTTATTTTTGAGACAGAGTCTCGCTCTGTCTCCCAGGTTGGAGTGTAGCAGCACGATCTCAGCTCACTGCAACCTCTGCCTCCTGCGTTCAAGTGATTCTCCTGACTCAGTCTCCTGAGCAGAGTAGCTGGGACTACAGGCATGTACCACCACACCTAGCTAATTTTTGTATTTTTAGTAGAGACAGGGTTTCACCATGTTGGCCAGGCTGGTCTTGAACTCCTGAACTCAAGTGATCCGCCTGTCTCAGCCTGCCAAAGTGCTGGGATTACAGGTGTGAGCCACTGAACTCGGCCAATTTATTTATTTATTTTGAGACAGGGTCTCACTCTGTCACCGAGGCTGGACTACAATGGCCCCATCTTGGCTCACTGCAACCTCCGCCTCCCCAAGACGCAAGCAATCCTCCACCTCAGCCTCTCAAGTAGCTGAGACCACAGGTGCACATCACCACACCTATTTTTTTCTGGTATTTTTAGTAGAGACAGGGTCTCGCCATGTTGCCCAGGCTGGTCTTGAACTCCCGAGCTCAAGCAATCAGCCCACCTTGGCCTCCCAAAGTGCTGGGATTACAGGTGTTAGCCACAGTGCCCAGCCTTGGCCTTCATTTTAATTGTACTGTGGTGCAAGAATGTGTTTGATATGATTTTGGTTCTTTTGAATTTGCTGAGAATTGTTTTATGTCCAAATATGTGGTTGATTTTAGAGTATATGCCATGTGGTGATGAGAAGAATGTATATTCTGTTGTTTTGAAGTGCAGAGCTCTGTAGAGGTCTGTAAGATCCATTTGGTGCAATGTTGAGTTCAGGTCCTGAATACCTTTGTTAATTTTCTGCCTCAATCATCTGTTTGATACTGTCAGTGGAGTGCTGCTATTATTGTGTGGGAGTCTACATCTCTTTGTAGGTATCTAAAAACTTGCTTTACGAATCTGGGTGCTCCTGTGTCGGGTGCATATATACTTAGGATAGTTAGGTCTTCTTATTGAATTGAACCTTTTACCACTATGTAATGTCCTTCTATCTTTTTTGATTTTTGTTGGTTTAAAGTCTGTTTTGTCTGAAATTAGAACTGCAATCCCTGCCTTTTTCTATTTTCCATTTGCTTGGTAGATTTTCCTCCATCCTTTTATTTTGAGCCTACGGATATCATTACATGACATGGGTCTCTTGAAGACAACATACTATTGGGTCTTGCTTTTTATCCAGCTTGCCACTCTGTGACTTTTTTTTTTTTCTTTTGAGATGGAGTCTTGCTCTGTCGCCCAGGCTGGAGTGCAGTGGCGCAATCTCGGCTCACTGCAAGCTCTGCCTCCTGGGTTCATGCCATTCTCCTGCCTCAGCCTCCTCAGTAGCTGGGATTACAGGCGTCTGCCACTATGCCTGGCTAATTTTTTTGTATTTTTTAGTAGAGACGGGGTTTCACCGTGTTAGCCAGGATGGTCTCAATCTCCTGACCTTGTGATCCGCCCACCTCGGCCTCCCAAAGTGCTGGGATTACAGGTGTGAGACACCACGCCCGGCCCCACTCTGTGACTTTTAAATGGGGGTATTTAGCCTGTTTACATTCAAGGCTAGTATTGATAGGTATGGATTTGATCCTGACAATGTGTTGTTAGCTGGTTATTATGCTGGCTTGTTTGTGAGGTTACTTTATAGTTTCACTAGTTTGTATATTTAAGTATGTTTTTGTATTAGCTGGTAGTAGTCTTTCCTTTCTATATTTATTGCTCCTTTCAAGATCTCTTGTAAGGCAGGTCTGGTGGTGTTTTGGAATGGGGTCTTGCTCTGTCGCCCAGGCTGGAGTGCAGCGGTGCAATCACAGCTCACTGCAGTCTCAGTCTCCTAGGCTCAAGAAATCTTGGAATGCACCACCACATCCAGCTAATTTTTGTAGAGACAGGGTTTTGCCATGTTGCCCAGGCTGGTCTCAAACTCCTGTGCTCAAGAGATCCACCCACCTCGGCTTCCCAAAGTGCTGAAATTACAGGCATGAGCCACTGTGCCTGGCCTTAACTCTTGTTTTTATCAATTACCCCACTGTAAAATTAGTTTCTTTATACATGGTTTCACTTAAAATCACAGTGTCCAAGAACCTATTGATGAAGTTAAGTGAGAACTTACTGCACTGTATATTTCAAGATAGCTAGACAAGAGAATCTTGAAAGTTATTATCACAAAGGAAGGATAAAGATTGAAGGCTATGAACATGCTAACTACCCTTATTTTATTATATAATGTACAGATGTATTGAAACATCACACTCTACCCCATAAGCATGTACAATTATTATGTGTCAGTTATAAACAAAATAAAAAATATTAATCTGGCCCCAATGTATAAAACAGAAGTGAATGAGGTAATTAGAAAGAAGATGAATAAAATGTTTTTATAACAGAACATATAAAGAATAACTATTTCACAGAGCTTTATGAAGATGATAGAATATGTGTAAATATTTTGTAAACTGCAAGGTGCTAGATAAGTCTAATTTTTATTACTTCTATTATTATAGCAGAGAAGAGGTAATAATTCCTAAGAGGACTAGAATAGGATCTTCATGCAAGGTATTTTGAAGGAAAACCTAACAACGTTTGGATTACATGTAATGTGAGGGATAAGGAAAACGGAAGGGTCTAAATGAGGGGTGTCCAACCTTTTGGCTTCTCTGGGCCACACTGGAAGAATTGTCTTGGGCCACACATAAAATACATGAACACTAACAAAAGCTGATGAGCTAAAAAAAAAAAAAAAAAAAATCACATAATGTTTTAAGAGAGTTTGCAATTTTGTGTTGGGCTGCATTCAAGGCTGTCCTGGGCCACACGTGGCCCACAGGCCACAGGTTGAACAAGCTTGGTCTAAATGATGCTCTTAATTAGCGGAGAACAGACTTAGTTAGGAGAGTAAACAATATCATTCCACGCTACTATGATGCATTCCTGCAAATTCTCACTAAACCTAAAAGTGATAGACAAATTATAAAATGCTTCTTAGCTTCTATTTTCACATGTATATAAAAGAGTATAATCACAGAAGTATAATAAGTGAGACAAGCCTATGTAACACCCAACATAGTGGCTGATACATCACAAAATGCTAGCTTGCGTTTACTTAATTTCTCTAAGGGCACCAAAAGAATCAAATACATGTTACCCTTTTTCTTAAGAGGCACTGGAGGTGACTTGATAAGTCTCCTGAGCTAAGCATTGCCTCAAATGAATTTCTTTGCAAGGGCACAAATGCATCATTAAAATTTTACAGGTCAACACAAAATGCAGCCATGTTTCAGAAATTTAGACAATCACTCAGCCACTATCCTAAATAATACACAGTACTCAAAAATTTTGCTCCAGATGAATTTAATTACAAAGATTATGTTAAAACCCTGCCCATTTAAAATAAATAACTGCTTCAGCTAAAAAAATAAAAATAAAAGCATACCAATAACTATGAGGAAGGAAAGCCATTTAATGGACAGAAAAGTACCATTGATGAGCTGGCACAATCCCAAGCACTGAAAGCTTTTAGTATCTGTTGCACAAAATCCACAACGCTTCCCAAGCTCACTTCCTGGCTATTGGTTCCTTTATTCTTAATAGAAAAGGAACTGCATTACACAGTAGTTTTTGGAGCTTTATATTTAAACTCAGCCCTTTCAAAGCAGCAGTCCTGGATGTGATGCTGTCCATAAAACCCTCTGCATGAAGACTTCCTGTTTCTGTAAGTCACCTACAGAGACAACATTCACCGTAAGCTTCATCAGACACTGCATTATTTCAAAGAACTAGGAGTTCTCAGTTCTCAGAGCCATACTGATAAAGGAACATACAGTCTGTTTAGTTAGAGCTCCAGCTGTCACATTTTCTTGCCCTTCAGTGAAAATAGTACATGTATAAATTACTACCTAGAACTTGTAAAAAATCCAGCCAAATGAACTTGAGGCAATTAGTAGTTAAAACAAGTAACTACTTTTATATAACTCAGATGATTACCATGTCTATTTAGGGCAAAGAGGACAGGTTGGCCTATTGCCACCTCCACCCAAAAAGCATCTCTTCTTTTTGTGGAGACACAGTCTTGCTATGTTGCCCAGGCTGGAGTGCAGTGGCATGATCTTGGCTCACTGAAACTCTGCCTCCCAGGTTCAAGCAATTCTCCTGCCTCTGCCTCCCGAGTAACTGGGATTACAGGTGCATGCCACCACACCCAACCAACTTTTGTATTTTAGTAGAGATGGGTTTCACCTTGTTGCCAGGCTGGTCTCAAACTCCTGACCTCAGGTGAGCCTCCCGTCTGGGCCTCCCAAAGTGCTGGGAGGCATGAGCCATCTTGCCCGGCCCAAAGAGCATCTCTTTAAGTGAGCAGTATGATTAGGGGTAAGAAGATAACGATAGCAATACAACTCTAAAGAAAAAAAGCAGATAATGTTTTCACTTTTACTAACTTAATAGTATTAAAATATTAGTATACTATGCAGAAACATTTCCCAAATGATTAGTAGTTAAGGCAAGAATAATTTTTTCTTGTGTCAAGTTTTTTAAAGGGCTTACCTATCAACAACAATAAGTACATTATAATAAAAGAAAAACTTATTAAAGCTTAATATCACTGGGATGGTATATACAGCATGTTTATTATTAACAAGACAGACAATGCTCAAATGTTTTCTAAAGTGTAGAACATGATCCATTAGTGGGATATAAAGTAAATACATTCAAATATTGATTTTAAAGAATGTCTTGACCAAATTTTTTAAAGAAAAAATATATAAAATAAAAAGTATCAGAGTACATTATACTCAGTAAGGATAAAATATTATTTCATGAAACTTCATATACACAGATATTAACTATGTGTATATTAAATCACAATTTTTTTAGTGTGAGTTATGATCAAAGAATAATAAGAGCCATCAATAAAAATCTTCTAAAAAGCAGTTTCAATTATTTCATTTTGCAATGAAAAGCTGGTCAGTGGCTGGACTAGTTTCTATATAACTTTCCTAAGGTATTACACATGATATTCTGATTAATCTGTTAGTAAGAAAAATGAGAGTGCTTCTAACATCTGAAAGTCTAAAGTGAGGCTACGTGGAGTGAGGTAAAAGGCAGCCAGGGCCAAAAGAAAGGGAGAAGTTGAAAGTCATTTATAAATAGCATCAAAGCAGGACTCATACTCCATTTTTCAGAAAGTGTCTATGTACTTTCAAGGGCCTATGCTTTACAAAGAAAATTTGTAAAATGTTCTATATTATAGTGGTGGGCAGAAAAACTGGAGTGAATCATTCTAGAAAGTATGATTTTCTGCAGCAGAGAAATACCAAAGTATTTTTGTATTTTTAAAATTTTTATGCATAACTTCAAAGGCATATGATTTTCCCCCATGTAACCTACCCAATTTCAGTAACTTTATTATTTTGAAACAAATCTCAGATGTTACATCATTTTATCAGTAAATATTTCATTATGGGTCTGAAACAGAATTGAAGTACTTTTTCAGAACAGACGGATCATTTATTATTTGAAGACCTCTAGAATATGAATGTGGAAAATTAAAAGGTCAAATGGGAACCCATGAAAATGAAAAAGAGTGACGTACCAATGAGATATTTCAGCCACCCAGGTAGGAAAAAAAAGGTACAACAGTCCTTTGAAAAATAAAAGAGTTGAGGCTGGGCACGGTGGCTCACGCCTGTAATCCCAGCACTTTGGGAGGCCGAGGCAGGTGGATCACGAGGTCAGGAGATCGAGACCATCCTGGCTAACACAGTGAAACCCTGTCTCTAATAAAAAATACAAAAAAATTAGCTGGTGGTAGTGGCGGGCACCTGTAGTCCCAGCTACTTGAGAGGCTGAGGCAGGAGAATGGTGTGAACCCGGGAGGCAGAGCTTGCAGTGAGCCAAGATCGCACCAGTGCACTCCAGCCTGGGTGACAGAGCGAGACTCCATCTCAAAAAAAAAAAAAAAAGAAAAAGAAAATAGTTGAAAGTGAAAAAACAATCATGAACAGAGTTCAAGGTAAAGCAATCAATTCCGGAAGAACTAGAACCATGCAACGTCAGTGACTTGAACTTGATCATTAGACAAAATAGTCAAATATATTTTCCTGCCAATAAGAATATAGACCTCTATTCTAGACAGTGATGCAAGTTTTGAGAGGAAATATAGATGTTATTAATAAAGTTGGAGGCTGGGTGCTGTGGCACAAACCTGTAATCCAAAAACTTTGGGAGGTCAAGGTGAGAGAATCACTTGAGGCCAGGGGTTTGAGATCAGCCTAGGCAACAAAGTGAGACTCTGCCTCCACAAAAAAATTAAATAATTAGCCAGGCATTGTGGTGCACCCTTCAGCCCTAGCTACTTGGGAGGCTGAGATGGGAGGATCCTTTGAGTCCAGGAGTTCAAGGTTACAGTGACCTGTGATTGCACCACTGCACTCCAGCCTGGGCAACAGAGTGAGACCCTGTCATTCATTCATTCATATGTACATACATAAAATAATACATATACACACACTTTTACCCCTGCTACAAGTTTTCATATTGTTATTAATATTAAAATAATAAAATTTAATATAATAAATATATTAATATTAATATATTTAATAATATATTAATATTGGTATATTTAATATATTAATATTAATATATTTAATAATATAGCAATATTGATATATTTAATAATATAGCAATATTGATATATTTAATAATATATTAATATTGATATATTTAATAATATATTAATATTGATATATTTAATAATATAGCAATATTGATATATTTAATAATATATTAATATTGATATATTTAATATATTAATATTGATATATTTAATAATAATATTGATATATTTAATAATAATATTGATATATTTAATAATAATATTGATATATTTAATATATTGATATTGATATATTTAATAATAATATTGATATATTTAATAATATATTAATATTGATATAGTTGAATAATATATTAATATTGATATATTCGAATAATATATTAATATTGATATATTTGAATAATATATTAATATTATTTTATTATCTATTAAAATATATATATTTTTTGAGATGGAGTCTCACTCTGTTGCCCAGGCTGGAGTGCAGTGGTGCAATCACAGCTCACTGCAACCTCTGCCCCGCCGGTTTCAAGCAATTCTCCCACCTCGGCCTCCCGAGTAGCTGGGATTACACGTGCCCACCACCACTCTTGGCTAATTTTTGTATTTTTAGTAGAGACAGGGTTTTGCCATGTTGGCCAGGCTTGTCTCAAACTACTGACCTCAGGTAATCCACCCGCCTCGGCCTCCCAAAGTGCCGGGATTGTAGGCGTGAGTCACCACACCCAGTCCAGGGGTAAAAGTATATATGCATGTATGTGCGTGTGTGTGTGTGTGTGTGTGTGTGTGTGTGTGTGTGTGTGTATATATATATATATTTTTTTTTTTTTGGACACAGAGTCTCATTCTGTCACCCAGGCTGGAGTGCAGTGGCACAATTTCAGCTCACTGCAAGCTCCGCCTCCCGGGTTCAAGCGATTCGCCTGCCTTAGCCTTCCAAGTAGTCAGGACTACAGGCACAGGCCACCACACCTGGCTAATTTTTGTATTTTTAGTAGAGACAGGGTTTCACCATGTTGGCCAAGCTGGTGTCGAACTCCTGACCTCGTGATCTGCCCGCCTTGGCCTCCCAAGTGCTGGGATTACAGGCATGAGCCACCGTGCCCAGCCATAAAAGTAGATTTTTATGTAAAATTAGGTACTCAACTAATGTACATATAGGAGAAGACAGAGTATAATGAGAACTTCATAGATCCCACTGATGCAACTACACCCCACATCTAAAAATTTTTAATCTTTATGAAAGCATTTATGTAAAAAGGAGCAACGTTAACCTATGTGTTTCACTTTTTTTTAAGTCTTGCTTTACTGTTAATTATTTGGACAATTTCCTAAAGGGTCTGGCACATAATTTTCAGCTTTGTTTAGATCCAGTGATTATGAAGCAGCTCCACCTAAGTGGTATGAAGATCACTGACATACACTGTTAACATCAAAAAACAAATTTCAATCCTCTTGCACAAATGATCCACCTTTTTTTGTAATTTTGTTTACACCTACTTTTTCTTTTTTACTGAGGTATAACTTACATGCAGTAAAGCACACAAACGTTAACTGTAGAGCTCGGTGAATTTTTATATATCCATACATACACCCATGTAACTACCATTTGGAAAGAGAACATTTTCAGCATACCAGTAGGTTTTCTGGTACCTCCTCTCAATGACTAACTCCTACTTATCACAACCAAAGGTAATCTGTTTTGACTGCTATTGTAGGAAATCACATTTGCTTATTTTTGACATCATATGGATGGAATTATCTAATAAGCATTCTCATGTATCTGCATTCTTTTCCTTGATTACGTCCGTGAGATTCATGCACTTTCTTGCATGCATTAGTAGTTCATACTTTTTCATTACTAGATGGTATTCCATTGTATGAATATATCACAATTTATTTATCTGTCCTACTGTTGATGGACATTTGGGCTGTTTTCAGTTTGGGCCATTAGGAATAATGCTGCTATGAATATTATTAAATATGTTTCTTGGTGCACATATATATGCATTTTCTTAAGTGAATACCCAGAGTGGAATTTCTGGATCATAGAGTATTCATACACAGAAACAAACAGGCCAGGCACAGTGGCTCACGCCTGTAATCCCAGGACTTTGGGAGGCCGAGGTGGGCGGATCACAAGGTCAGGAGTTCAAGACAAGCCTGGCCAACATAGTGAAATCCCATCTCTACTAAAAATACAAAAATTAGCCAGGCATGGTGGCACGCACCTGTAGTCCCAGCTACTCGGGAGGCTGAGGCAGGAGAATCCCTTGAACCCAGGAGGCGGAGGTTGTGGTATGCCGAGATCGCACCACTGCACTCAAGCCTGGGCAACAGAGCGAGACTCCATCTCAAAAAAAAAAAAAACAAAACAGAAACAAATAAAATATCCATAAACAAAATGCATAAACAAAATGTGGTATATTCATACACTGGATGAGGACATGACCTAGTTTTACTAAAATGATAAATAAGAAAGCATAAGTTCTCCTACATTAGAGGACGATACTGTTAATTAAAAAGAAGTACACGTATATACGCGCGCACACACACACATAAAGGTTTCAGCTTGTTCAAGCCCTTTCTTTCTGAATAAGGGTAATAAGCTTATCAAATTCACTTTGCATTTCACCAAGCAGCATGTTGAAAAAAGACAGCCCTTCTCAAGAAGTCTTTGGAAGCTGTGAGTTGAGCTGATATAACAATCGTCACTGACCACCCAGGACAACCAGGGCAAAATAGGTAGTCATTCCACTCAGACTTACCTTTTTTTTTTTGTTTGTATTGTTTTGTTTTGTTTTGAGACAGTCTTGCTCTGTTGCCCAGGCTGGAGTGCAGTGGCGCAATCTTGGCTCACTGCAACCTTAGCTTCCTGGGTTCAAGCGGTTCTATAAAAATAGCCCGGCTAATTTTTTGTATTTTTAGTAGAGACAGGATTTCACTGTGTTAGCCAGGATGGTCTCAATCTCCTGACCTCATGATCTGCCCGGCTCGGCCTCCCAAAGTGTTAAGGATTACAGGCGTGAGCCACTGCGCCCGGCCCCTTTTCTCATATTTTATCTTCAGAACTGCTGCTTCTCCCTCCAAATCAAAACTCTATTCTGTTGGTGTCTTATGCTAAGCATTCAGAAACAGCCAACTTAGTTCCATTTACAATAGCCCAAAGATAGAAGCAACCCAAATGTCCATTGATGAGTGAATGGCTAAACAAAATATGATATATACATACAATGGATTATTCAACTTGAAAAAGGAAGGAAATTCTTTTTTCTTTTTTTTGAGACAGAGTCTCACTCTGTTGCCCAGGCTGGAGTGCAGTGGCACAATCTTGGCTCACTGTAAGCTCCGCCTCCTGGGTTCACGCCATTATCCTGCCTCAGCCTCCCAAGTAGCTGGGACTACAGGCACCCGCCACCACGCCCGGCTAATTTTTTGTATTTTTAGTAGAGACGTGGTTTTACCGTGTTAGCTAGGATGGTCTCGATCTCCTGACCTCATGATCCGCCTGCCTCGGCGTCCCAAAGTGCTAGGATTACAGGCATACGCCACCATGCCGGGCCAAAGGAAGGAAATTCTGATACATACTATTATCCTTGAGGACGTTATACTAAGTAAAATAAACTTGCCACAAAAAGACAACTACTGTATGATTCCACTTTTATCAAATATCTGAAGTAGTCAAATTCATACAGACAGAAAGTAGGGGCTGGGTGCAGCAGCTCACACCTGGAATCCCAAAACTTTGGAAGGGCGAGGCAGGAAGATCACTTAAGGCCCAGGAGTTCCAGACCAGTCTGAGCAACATAGTGAGACTCCATCTCTATAAAAATAAAAAAAATAAAAAGAGAAAGTAGAGTGGTAGTTACCTGGGAAGAGGGGAAAGTAGGAGTTGTTTAATGAGCATAGAGTTTCCAATTCACAAGATGAAAAAGTTCTAGGCTGGGGGCGGTGGCTCAAGCCTGCAATCCCAGGACTTTGGGAAGCCAAGGCAGTTGGATCACCTGAGGTCAGGAGTTCAAGGCCAGTCTGGCCTACATGGCAAAACCCCATCTCTATTTAAAAAATACAAAAATTAGCTGGGCGTGGTGGCGAGCGCCTGTAATCTCTGCTACTCAGGAGGCTGAGGCAGGAGAATTACTTGAACCTGAAAGGCAGAAGTTGCAGTGAGCCGAGACTGTGCCGAGAAAAAAAAAAAAGAAAAGAAAAAGTTCTAGAGATGTATTTCACAATAATATAACTATACTAAACACTACTGAATTGTACACTTAAAAATGATTGAGATGGCAAATTTTATAATTTTATGGAGTTTTTTTTTTTTTTTAAACACAGTGTCTATTCTGCTGCCCAGCCTGGAGTGTAGTGGCGCAATCTAGGCTCAGCGCAGCCTCAACCTCCTGAGCTCAAGCAATCCTCTCACTTTAGCCTCCCAAGTAACTGGGATTACAGGCATGCACCATCAAGCCTGGCTAATTTTTTTTTTTAACATTTTTTGTGGAGATGCGGTCTTGCTATGTTGTCCAGGTTGGTCTCAAATGCCTGGCTTCAAGTGATCCTCCTGCCTTGGCCTCCCAAAGTGCTGGGATTACCGGCATGAACCATCATGCCCAGCCTCTACTTTCTATCTCTACACAATTGCCTGACCTAATTTTTTATTTTTTATTTTTTTGAGACAGGGTCTCAGTTGGTTGCCCAGGCTGGAGTACAGTGGTACGATCTCAGCTCACTGCAACCTCAGCCTCCCGGGTTCAAGCAATTAGTGCCTCAGCCACCCAAGTAGCTGGGATTACAGGCATGTGCCACCATGCCTGGTTAATTTTTATATCTTTTTGTAGAGACAGGGTTTCACCATGTTGACCAAGCTGGTCTCAAACTCCTGACCTCAAGAGATCCGCCCGCCTCTCAGTCTCCCATGAATTTTTCATATGAAATGGAATCACAAAATCAATGGTCTTTTTGTTACTGGATCTGTTCATTTAACCTGTTTTCAAGATTCATCTATGTTATAGTAGTATGTATCTTTATTCATTTTTATGGGCTAATAATACCACATTTTGTTGACCTATTTCTTCAGGTGATAAACATTTGGGGTGCTGCCACTTTTTGAGAAATTGTCAGACTGTTTTCCAAAGTGGTTATAGCATTTTACATTCCCAAGAGCAGTGTATAAAGACTCAGATTTCTACACTTCCCCCCTAGCCAACAATTGTTATCTGATTCTAGTCACCCTAGAGGGTATGAAATGGTAACTGTGGTTTTGATATGCATTTCCCCAATGGCTAACAATGTTGAGCATCAAGTCATATGCTTACTAGTCATCCTTACATTGTTTCTGGAGAAAAGTCTATTCAAATCTTTGGCTTATAGTAAGAATGATACAATGGACTTTGGGCAGAAGGGTGGGAGGGGGACAAGGGATAAAAGACTACAGATAGGGTGCAGTGTACACTGCTCAGGTGATGGGTGCACCAAAATCTCAGAAATCACCATTAAAGAACTTACTCATGTAACCAAACACCATCTGTACCCCAATAACCTATGGAAAAACAAACAAAAAGTGTATCTAAAGTGACCATTAAAAAAAAATCCTTTGCCTATTCTTAAATTGGGTTGTCTTTTTATGAATGAGTTGTAAGAGTCTTCTATATATTCTGAATACTAGCCCATTGTTAGATACATAATTTCCAAATATTTTTCTCCCATTATGTAGACTGACTTTTAAGTTTCTTTTTTTTTTTTCTTTTTGAGACGGAGCCTCACTCTGTCACCCAGGCTGGATTGCAGTGGTGTGATCTTGGCTCACTGCAACCTCTGCCTCCCGGGTTCATGCAATTCTCCTGCCTCAGCCTCCTGAGTAACTGGGATTACAGAAGCGCACCAACACACCCAGCTAATTTTTGTATTTTAGTAGAGATGGGGTTTCACCATGTTGGCCAGGCTGGTCTCAAACTCCTGACCTCAAGTGATCCACACACCTCTGCCCTCAGCCTCCTGAGTAGCTGGGATTACAGAAGCACACCAACGCACCCAGCTAATTTTTGTATTTTAGTAGAGACGGGGTTTCACCATGTTGGCCAGGCTGGTCTCAAACTCCTGACCTCAAGTGATCCACCCACCTCTGCTTCCCAAAGTGCTGGGATTACAGCCATGAGCCACTGCACCTAGCCAACTTTTAACTTTCTTGATGGTGTTCTTTGTCACACAAAAGTTTTAAATTTTTATGAAATCCAATTTATCTGTTTTTTTCTTCTACTGTTTATGCTTTTGGTATCATAACTAAGAATCCACTGGCAAATATGAGGGCAGTAAGATTCATCCTTATGTTTGTTTTTTTTAAGACTTTTATAGTTTTGACTCTTACATTTAGTCCTTTGATCTACTTTGGGTTAATTTTTTATTTGTGGTATGAGGTAAGCGTCCAACTTGAATCTTTTGATTGTGGCTATCCAGTTGTCCCAATACCACTTGTCAAAATAATTATTGTTTCCCCATTGTATGGTCTTGACACACCTGTCAAGTGCAATTGACTAGAGATTCATGGGTAGGTGTCAAATCTATTTTACCAGTCTATATGTCTATCCTGATGGGAGCACCACACTGTCTGCTTTGTAGTAAATTTTGAAATCCAAAGTATGAGTCATCCAACTTTGTTCTTCTTTTTTCAAGATTGTTTTGGCTCTTCTGGGTTTCTTGAAATTCCGTATGAATTTTAGAATCAGCTTTCAGTTTCCACAAAGAAGCCAGCTGAGATTCTGATAAGGACTGTGTTGAATCTGTACTTCAACTTGGGGAGTGCTGCCATCTTAACAATATTAAATCTTGAGATCCATGAATGTGGAATGTCTTACCATGTAGTTAGATCTTAAATTCCCTATGACAATACTTTATAGTTTTCAGAGTATAAATTTTGTACTCATTTTATTAAATTTATTCCTAAGTATTTTATTCTTGATGCTAATGTAAGTGAAATTTTTAATTTTTTTAATTTTTGATTTAAATATATATACTTTTGTGTAATACTGATTCAGACCTCTTCTCTCATGATCTATCCCCAGAAACATATTATGTCTTTTAATGAGAATAATATTAGTATCTCTTAAATGTCTACTAGGGAACTATTTTGGCTAAGATATTTTTAATTTTTATTATTATTTTGATTTGTTTCCTAGTCCTCAGCCTTGTTCCAGACAGCTGGAGCTTATTAACACAAGTGATATCATATGAAAGTTTTACTAAGACACAGCTAAAAATTTCAGCAAATATAATTTATAATTCTAATTCATATTACTGTTAACTTATACTGTATACAAATTTTGTGAAAAATTCCACATTTAGCCTTGACTCCTCAATACAAATATTTTAGAGTAGAATAAAACTATTGAAAAATATAGTTGTATCATCAATGTATAAATTTTCTGTGCAATCTATACAAAATAAAATTTATCCAGAAGCTACAGAGGAAGATACATTTCTTATAATAACCTCTATTTTCATGAAAATGTTTATTGTTATTTATTATTATAATAAAATCTAGATTTAACTGGAAGCCCAATTTTATGGTTAACAGTTCTAGTACTCCACTTGAAGAAATAGAATGTAGCCATTAAAATTATAATCATGAAAACCACATAGCAATGTAGTTAATAAAAAAGCCGAATCCCAAAGTATATCCAACATTTATATCAAGGTACACACATACCTGAACAAAGTCTTTGTTCTAATTTTTGTGATGACATTGCAATATTGCCTACCAAAAAAAATTGCCCAAACCAACAAAACAAAAAAGCTCCATAAATTAGAATTATCCTAAACCTGTCTATAGTCTAGATGTTCAAATCCAAAAAAACTGTTTATCATTTAGGTTAATCTATTTGCTGAAGTACTTTATAAAATAAAGAAGACTAACAAGTATAAAAAGTAGCATTACAACCCTCAAAAAGGACCCTACTCTGCTGAGATACTGTTAACATGTTAACTTCTAGTTTCACAGTACAAACAAACATTAATCCAAACTACCTGGAATAGTCCTTTAATCAAAAAACATTTAGAATTACTTAAATCACAAAGCATTTACTGTTTCAGCTTTTTGCCCTGATAAACTGGAAAAAAATCCTACTATTCTTTAGCTATGAACACCTCTGGATAAAAACAGATTGCTCCATGTTTTCTAAAAGCACAGAAAAACTACATTTTGGAGGAAAGGGGAGTGAGATCACTCTAGTTAATTTATCTTCTCCAAGAAGGGGAAAAAAAAAAAACGATGACTTGTAATTCCTCCTTTTTTCATGGCCTACACAATAAAGTCCAAAATCTCTATCATGATCAAGAACAGGCTTTGCTCACATCTCCGGCCTCACTTCCTAATACCAATTCCACTGAACGACCCCTGTGGATCTTAAGTCACCCATGCTTTCCAGCAGTGCTGAGGTTCTTTACATTTTCTTGTGTTTCACACCTCCATGCCTTTTGTATGGTGCGGCTTCCTCTTTTGAGAATGTTCTTTCACGTTCTCACCCCCGGACCCCAGCCCTTTCTCCTTACTGCCCAGCTCGAGCCTTAAAGGTTCAACTCAGAGTGTCTTATTTGTGCAGGTTTTCTGCCATTTGCCAATTCCAGCAGAGATATCACTCTTTCTAAGCTACATTGGAAGACTAACAAGTATAAAAAGTAGCATTACAACCCTCAAAAAGGACCCCACTCTGCTGATATTGTTAACATGTTATTGTTAACAATATTGTTAACATGTTATTGTTAACAATATTGTTAACAATATATTGTTAACTCATATTGTTAACATGTTAACTTCTAGTTTCACAGTACAAACATTAACCCAAACTACCTGGAATAGTCCTTTAATCAAAAAACACTTAGAATTATAAATATATATAAGCTAATTATCTTATATATTTCTTCTATTATTTTACTTACTGCATTGCAGTATAGTTACTAATTTCTAAGTATGAATCCCCAAATAATGATCTTGGCAAAAGCAGGGTCCATGTCTTATTTATGATCTTTGTACCCCCAGGGCCTAGCTAAATGCCTGCCAAAAAACCAGATGCTCAATACAATTTGTTAAATGAATAAATGGCTAGGTAATTATGGAAATCTACCCCTAGCCTTTTATTTGAAAGAGGCATAGTGTTTATAACATCCTCCACTTTGATTCTGCTCTAAATTTACTTTGCAATAGTATAATATTAAACTTCACAATAATTAATTTACCAATGTTTTTCCTCCTCACCCCCTGGAAAATCTCTGACGATTAATGTTGGGGATGATCCACCATAAAAACTAGATGGTGTCACTTAAAAGATCATTAGTTATCATTTTATACTTTATTTATATTTCTTTTTCTGGTAACATGTAATTATATTAAATGCTAATGACTATCATCTTTGTATTATAATTAGACATTTATTCTGATGTCTTTTGTAACTATTTTTTTCTGGCTTGTGGTATTTCAACTATACATTTAACCAGTAACCGGTAAGACTACATGGCATATAATAGAAATAGCTACTTGTGATGTCTTGGATCTGGGCTGTAGTTCCAATTCTGTGACAAGCTGGTTGTTCTCCCTAGACCAAGTCACTTAATTTTTAATTTCTCTCATCTTTAAAACGATGACAGTTGAACTAGACAATGCTAAAGTTCCTTATAAGTCTAAAACTTAACTACTTTTGTTGATCTGGACTTCACATATTAAGTTACTCAAAGTTACCATAAACTTTTGGGAAGCCTGGGACCATTCTTGTCTCATTCTAAACTTACAGTCATCTTTTTCATATTAATTTTTGCTAATCTAGTTGTCAAATCTAAAATTGTACAGTAGAACTGGTTTGTGAACCATGGTTAGGACTTTTGTTCAACTCTTTGCTTATTTAATATAATGCTGAATCTTGATTCTGTTAACCAGCAATACATATTAGCTGCCCCACCCAAAGCACTGTGTTGTGTACAGCTTTCATCAGTATGTTCTTCAAAGGTTTGATCCAATTCACTGTTGAAGTGGATAGGACCAAAATACAGAATTCTACTGTTTAGCATCAATGAGGGCAATGATCCATTAACTCATTCTCTTTTATGAAGATGGTTAAAGGAATGACAAATCTACTTAATTATCTTTTCAGTCACCGCACATTTCTATATGTTACCAGAATACACAAAAGTATGTCAAATAAATGCCCTGCTGAAATAAAAATGTATAACATAGACATCTAGTTTAACATGGCAGAAAAAAATTGAGACATTTAGCTCTATTTATTTCCAAAACCCCACTGAAAGGACAAAGGAAACAAGAAAGGACAAAGAGAACAGGTGAGGAAACAGTAGACTAGAGATGTCAACATTTTGGAAGATGAGAATTGAATAAACAAATGGTAAATGACTTAGCAAAACTAAGCCATCCAGCAGAAAAGGAATCTAAACACAGAATTACCTAATATCATGACAAATTTTTTAATTGTTGGACTTGAGGAAAAAAAATTAATGAAAGGTATATTGATAACTAAGAATTTTTTTTAAAAATCAAGTATCAGCAATTTTTAATTCTGAGGGAAGGAATGATGGAGTCATACTAAAAAGGAAATACAGTAACAGTGCTCTCATAGATTGGTTGTAAACAATACTTCCACAGCCATAAAGCTGTAAATGTAAAAAAATTATTGAACCAAAAAATATGACATAAGTATATTGGGAGAATATGGGCAAGGTATGTACGTCATTAGGGATGGCATCTGTGAGACAATCAATAACAACATCTAATATTGAAAAAATTAAGAAATAATATTTAGAAATAAGGAGGTATCTAGACGACATGGATAAAATAATTGAACCACTTGCCTATAGGATTCAGAACTTTAGAATCTATGTAACCTAGTTATTGGAATTAAAGATAAATTATAAAAAATATTACATGATACTTTATAAAGTTATATATATATATGTGTGTATGTGTGTGTGTGTTTGTGTGCATGTGTATATATATATATTTCCTCTTGTCCTAGTAACCCCAACATAGAAAAAAAAAATTGAATCAATCCAGCATCACCTGCTCTTTGAAAGCCCACAACAGCTGGCAGTAAGCTCCACTTTCTTTGACAAAAGCTTTGCCGCCTTCTGGAAAAGTAGGCCATAAGTTCAGACAGTTTTTTCCTTAGGATGCATGATGACATCATGTAAATACTGCTTCTGAATCACCCTCATAAACACATCTTTCTATAAACTTCTGTTGCCCATAACCATCCTACTTTCATAGTCCTCCTCAAAAATTGTGGCCAGACATGGTGGCTCATGCCTGTAATCCCAGGACTTTGGGAAGCCAAGGTGGGCAGATCACCTGATCTCAGGAGTTTGAGACCAGCCTGACCAACATGGCGAAACCCCATCTCCACTAAAAATACAAAAATTAGCCGGCCGTGGTGGTGCACGCCTGTAACCCCAGCCACTCCAGAGGCTGAGGCAAGGCACGAGAATCACTTGAACCCAGGAGATGAAGGCTGCAGCGAGCCGAGATTGCAACACTGCACTCCAGCCTGGGCGAACAAGTGAGACTCTGTATCAAAAAAAAAAAAAAAAAATTCCGGAATTGTTTGGCAAGCCTGGAAATTTTACCATTACATTCTTCTGGTTAACCATTCAAGATGTCAATGCATAATCTTGCAAGTATTGTATCTGTGACACTTCTAAAATTACCATATTAATGCAATGCAGACTGTGTGTCACCTAATGTGGTTAGAACTCTTCATTTCTACTTTATTTTGATGGATTATGCTATTGACAGAAATAATTCTTCTCCAAGATCTGTTAAAACTGCTTAACCTTAACAAATTGTGCTTAAGTTAAACTAGGGTGTAATTCCAAAAGAAATTTAAACTACGATACTACTACAAACAAGAATCTCATATACATTTGATATTCTTCCAAGAAAATTAAAATGCACAACAAAAACAAAATAGACAAATGGGACTTAATTAAACTAAAAAGCATCTGCACAGCAAAAGAAATAAGAGAGTGAACAGACAACCTGCTGAATGGGAGAAAATATTTGCAAACTGCATCTAACAGGAAACTAATATCCAATTACAAGGATATTATAGTATTTACAATACTAATTGTAAGAATTTACAAGGAACTTAAACAAACAATAACAAAAAACCGTATAACCTCATCTAAAAGTGAGCAAAGGACATGAACATTTTTCAAATGAAGACATACAAATGACTTCATTTGAATGACATTTGAATGACATACAAATGACCAAGAAGCATATGAAAAAACGCTCAAAAGAACTAATCAGCAGAGAGATGCAAATTAAAACCACAATAAGATATAATTTTATACCAGTCAGAATGGCTATTATTATTATTTTTTGTTTTGTTGGTTTTTCCAATAAGCCTTTTACACTCCTAAGAATGGCTATTATTAAAAAGTCAAAAAATAAAAGATGTTGGCATGGGTGCAGAGAAGAGAGAACACTTATACACTGTTGGCGGGAATGTAAATGAGTGCACCCTTTATGAAAAACAGTATGGAAGTTTCCCAAAAAACTAAAACCACCATTTGATCCTGCAATCTCACTAATGGGTACCTACCCAAAGGAAAAGAAATCATTACATCAAAAAGACACCTGCATATGTTATGTTTATCGCCAAAAATACGGAAACAAGTGTCCCTCATGGATGATTTTATATATATATATACACATACACATACACACACACATTTTACACACACACACACACACAGGCAGACAGGCAATGAACTACTATTCCGCCCTTAAAAAAATAATAAAATTTCACGTTTTTTGCAGCAACATGGATGGAACTGCAGGCCATTAACTTAAGTGAAACAACTCAGAAACAGAAAATCAAAAAATGCATGCTTTCACTTATAAGTGGGAGCTAAATAATGTGTACACATGGACACAGAGTGTGGAATAATAGACACTGAAGACTTAAAAGGGTGGGAAAGAGGTGAGAAATGAGAAATTATTTAATGGATACAATGCATATTATTCAGGTGATAGTTACACAAAAAAACCCAGACTTCACCATTAGGGAATATATCCACATAACAACAAAAAAATTAGAATGCATTTTATCTAAAGTTATAATTTAATTTAATTTAATTCAATTAATTTATTTTTTTTGAGACAGAGTCTCGTTCTTGTCACCCAGACTAGAGTGCAATGGCACGATCTCAGCTCACCTCAGCCTCCCGAGTAGCTGGGATTACAGGCGCCCACAACCATGCCTGGCTAATTTTTGTATTTTCAGTAGAGACGGGGTTTCACCACGTTGGCCAGGCTGGTCTCCAACTCCTGACCTCAGATGATCTGTCTGCTTTGGCCTCCCAAAGTGCTGAGATTACAGGCGTGAGCCACCATGCCCAGCCAAGACTCCTATTTTTAATCACTTAAGCAGAAGAATGACATGACTTCTAAAACTTGTTTTAGTTTGTTCCATCCACAGAACCTAAAAATTTGTAAATTTATAAGAAAACTTTAACAAGGTTACAAATATATATCAATGTTTCTGGTTAATTAGGTGTTTGGCTGATACACTTTCATTTGTTTAAAATACCATGATTTTCTAAGAAACTATTAACTTAAAAGCAAAAATTTGATTTTAAAATGGCTTCATTTTGAACTAGAGAAGAAATACCTTTAAATTATGTTACATTTTGGTCTGGGTGCAGTGGCTCACGCCTGTAATCCCAGCACTTTGGGAGGCTGAAGCGGGCAGATCACTTGAAGTCAGGAGTTTGAGACCAGCCTGGCCAACATGGTGAAACCCCATCTTTACTAAAAATACAAAAAATTAGCTGGGTGTGGTGGTGGGCACCTGTAATCCCAGCTACTCAGAAGCCTGAGGCAGGAGAATTGCTTGAATCCAGGAGGTGGAGGTTGCGGTGAGCTAAGATCATGCCATTGCACTCCAGCCTGGGCAACAAGAGTGAAACTCCATCTCAAAAATAAAATAAAATAAAATTATGTTTCATCTTAAGCCTGCATTCTCTCAGATGATTTTCAAAAATGTTTAAAGCAGCAGAATCATACCTTTCAAACAAAATCTTATTGAAAACTCAAATGTATAAAATGTATAAAACAGATAACATGGAGAGTTCTGCCTGCTCACTTTTCTTTTCTCATTGACTTGGAGTGGAAAATAATGGATCTAAGACTGTGGGATATAATATGAAATGAACTGCTTTAGATAGTATTCATCTGTAAATTGTTAATAATTACAACTGCCAAAAAAAGAAAAGCTAGTAGCAGAAGTTAAAAGTTCCAATAAAAGCAGGGCGCAGTGGCTCACGCCTGTAATCCCAGCACTTTGGGAGGCCGAGGCAGGTGGATCACAAGGTCAGGAGATCGAGGCCATCCTGGCTAACATGGTGAAACCTCGTCTCTACTAAAAATACACATATTAAAAAAAAAAATTAGTCAGGCGTGGTGGCAGGCGCCTGTAGTCCCAGCTAGTCGGGAGGCTTAGGCAGGAGAATGGTGTGAACCTGGGAGGCGGAGCTTGCAGTCAGCCAAGATCGAGCCACTGCACTCCAGCCTGGGCGACAGAGCGAGACTCCGTCACAAAAAAAAAAAAAAAAAGTTCCAATTTAAGTTCACAAGTGACAGTTCAGTAATTCAGACAAGGAAAGAACAATATGCAGAGCCTGTCATATAAATCCTACATCAATCACAGAAATAAGTGTCTTACTTTAGAAGCCATGCAGGAGTGTCACAGAACAAGCTGCTACCCTTAGCCAATTTATTTACCTTTGTCAGAAGTATCCTGTGTTAATGCATTTTTGCATATTTCATCAGACACCAAAGATGGAAAAGATCAAAAAGGTTAATTTGTTGTGCCTCCATTTTGTTGTATGCAAGTAAAAACATCCTCTCACTCTATCCTACTTCAAAAGGATAATATGAATATTATTAAAATCATACGCCTGTCTCTCTAGTCTAACAGGTCTCCCATAAACATACGTGCACCCCTATGTGGATGTGAAAGAAATATCACCAGCCAGGTGCAGTGGCCCATGCCTGTAATCCTAGCACTTTGGGAGGCCGAGGTGGCTGGATCACTAGCTTAGGAGATAGAGACCATCCTGGCCAACTTGGTGAAACCTGTCTCTATTAAAAAAATACAAAAAATAATTAGCCGGGCATGGTGGCGGGCACCTGTAATCCCAGCTACTCAGGAGGCTGAGGCAGGAGAACTGCTTGAACCTGGGAGGCAGAGGTTGCAGTGAGCCAATATCGCGCCACTGCACTCCAGCCTGGTGATAGAGCGAGACTCCATCTCATAAATAAATAAATAAATAAATATCATCTATCTACTTATTCTTGCAACTAAGAAAAACATCAGCAATTATTTGTACATTGAGGATGTATATTTTCTTAACTCTAGAGGAAAATAATTTTATTTTAATGTTTACATGATTCTTTCCAGGCCTGATTCAGCAGAAGGCTCAAAACTTTAAAAATGAGAAAGTTCTCACAAGATTCCCCATGATTTTCAGTTAGTATCAATCTATAAAATCTGTTTTCATCCCATCATGTCCTCCTACCTACACAATCACTATCCATCAATTTTCCCTTCTGTCTTAAATCTTCATAATTCTCCTTTCATTGAGGCAGTACACAAAAGACTCCACAGAAATAATCTTTCCATTGAAAATGAGCAAAGGCCACATAGAAATACTCTTTAAAAAAATAAGCAAATATGTGTAAGTATGTTTAACTTCACCTATGAACACATACACATTTAAGTAATACCATTTTCCCCTATCAGACTGTCATAGATGAAAAGATTCTTGATATTGTTTAAGATTTCTGAAGCACTGGAGGAAATAAGCACAAGGACACACATACACACAAAGTGAAACATCTTTTTGGAGGGCAAACTGACAATGTGTAACAAAATTGCAAACGTACATATCCTTTGACACAAAAAGTACGCTTCCAGGATGTAGTCTAAGAAATTAAACCAACTTTAAATACAAGGAGATCGAGTAGACCAGTGCCAGTCCGTGGCCCTGTTAGGAACCAGGCTGCATGGCAGGAGGTGAGCAGTGGGTAAGCAAGCATTACCACCTGAGTGCCACCTGAAAGATCAGTGGCAGCATTAGATTCTCACAGGAGTGCAAACCCTATTACTGTGCATGTGAGGGATCTAGCCTACATCTAATACTTGATGATCTAGGGTGGAACAGTTTCATCCTGAAACCATCCTCCACCCCTGGTACATGGAAAAATTGTCTTCCATGAAATGGGTCCCTGGTGCCAAAAAAGTTGGGGACTGCAGGAGTACTGTATTAATTATAGTATTAAAATACAAAATAATTTTTGTGTATATTGATAATGGCTAAATTGAATACTATAGAAATATTTAAAATTGATGAGATATATTTAAGTTGAAACAAGATGTTCATGCTCTATTAAGCAATAAAAAGAGGCTTCTTTTTTTGAGACGGAGTCTCACTCTGTCTCCCAGGCTGGAGTGCAGTGGTGCAGTCTCAGCTCACTGCAACCTCCATCTCCCAGGTTCAACTGGTTCTCCTGTCTCAGCCTTCCGAGTAGCTGGGATTACAGGCGTCCGTCACCAAGCCCGGCTAATTCTTTGTATTTTTAGTAGAGATGGGGTTTCACCATGTTGGCCAGGCTGGTCTCAAACTCCTGATCTCAGGTGATCCGCCCACCTCGGCCTCTCAAAGGGCTGGGATTACAGGCATGAGGCACCACGCCCAGCCATAAGAGGAAGCTTAGAGCACAATTTGATTGCATTTCTAAAATATGTCCTAATACACATTTTTGAGCTGTAGAAAATTAAACCATCATTACTGGTTATCTCCACAGACACCTCTAAAGTAGAATTAAAAAAAAATTTTAAGCAATAAGTGTATTTTCTTTTTAAAAAAATTTGCTTTAATGAAATTGTTTTGCTTTGATTACTACTTTTTGCTGATTACAAAATACACATGGCTCATTTTAAAAAGATAGGGAAGGGCCAGGAGTGGTGGCTCATACCTGTAATCCCAGCACTTTGGGAGGCCAAGGCAGGCAGATCACCTGAGGTCAGGAGTTCAAGACCAGCCTGGCCAACATGGTGAAACCCCGTCTCTACAAAAAATACAAAAAATTAGCTGGGCGTTGTGGCAGGTGCCTGTAATCCCAGCTACTTGGGAGACTGAGGCAGGAGAATCGCTTGAACTCAGGAGGCGGAGGTTGCAGTGAGCCAAGATCGTGCCATTGCACTCCAGCCTGGACAACAAGAGTGAAACTTCGTCTCAAAAAAAAAAAAAAAAAAAAAAAGAGGGTCGGGGGGTGGCCAGGCGCGGTGGCTCATGCCTATAATCCCAGCACTTTGGGAGGCCGAGGTGGGTAGATCACAAGGTCAGGAGATCAAGACCATCCTGGCTAACATGGTGAAACCCCATCTCTAGTTTGGTGTGATTTCTTAATCCCTATCTCAAGCCTAACTTTCTAAGTCTCAGATATGCATTTCTGCATATGTGTCACCCAGTCCTCAAATATTCACAAACTCTATCTTACCTGCCTTCCCAACCACTCTCCCTAGTCCTATATTTACTATCTCAATTAACTCATTTATGCCTAGTGTTCCATTATTGGAACGCTAGGCTGGTGGGAGTTATTTATATACACTGCTCGAGGTCATCACCAAGGTCTGATTTTTCACAAAAAAATTTGCAGCTTCCGGCATAAATGGGTTTACATCTTCCTCATTTATAAGGTCTCTTCAAGCTGGCACATTTAGTCATCTTTGACTTCTTCCCATCAAATAATTAGTGACTAAATCCTGCCTAAAGTCTATGTCTAAAATTTCTAATTTACCCTGTCCTCTCTCCATCTCACTTCCATTTTCAGAGCTAAGACCAAAGGCCCTGCTACTTCTGACCTGGACAATTCAGCCTTTCTTGAGTACCCATTACATACCACACACAGTGAAAGGAATTAGAATATGAGGACTAAAAAGCAAAGTAATACCCTTACACCTATCTTGGGAGAGAGAAATGGAAGAATAAAGTACAACATGATAAGTATTACAATTAGAGCAAAATCTACAAGATGTCAACTTCTTTCCTATTTGATCTAATCTTACAATACAACCCGAATTCTCTTTCTGGAATATAAACTAGATTATGTCACTCTGTTGTAAAACTCCTGATGATTCGACCCCATTGCCTACAGGATAAAGTCCAAATGCTTTAATATATGCAAACACTTCACAATTTCGTCCCAACTTACCTAAAAGCTTCATTCTATTACTTTTCTTTCACTTCACATCCTATGACCCAGTCATGTATAACTAAATGCTGCTGTGATATGCTGGGCACTTGCACAGTATCTAGTGATTGTGTATCCTGCACAAGCTCTTCTTCCTTATGTCTACCAGCAGAAATCCTGTCCTATCATCAAATCATACCTCCTCTTTGAAGCCTTTATTAACCTTCTCTGCCAATGTAGTTTCCATACAATCTGGTTTTTTGTTTGTTTGAGACACGGTCTCACTCTGTCGCCCAGGCTGGAGTGCAGTGATGTGATCTTGGCTCATGGTAGCATCAGGCTCCCAGGCTCAAGCCATCCTCCCATCTCAGCCTCCCAAGTAGCTAGGACTACAGGTGCATACCACCACACCCAGCTAATTTTTGTATTTTTTGTAGAGACGAGGTTTTGCCACGTTGCTCATGTTGGTATTGAAATCCTAAGCTCAAGTCATCTGCCTGCCTTGGCCTCCCAAAGTGCTGGGATTACAGGCATAAGCCACTACACCCAGCCCCCAATCTGCTATATTATCACTTTGTATTGCAATTTGTTTTTCTCTGTCTACCACTAGACTGTGGTATTTGTAGAGACAAAAACTATATCTTCTTATTTCTATCCTTCCCAGAGTCTAGTATCAGTAAATATTCAAGAAATAGTTGTTAAATGTATGATGAAGGCTGGGTGCAGTGGCTCACGCCTGTAATCCTAGCACTTTGGGAGGCTGACGTGGGCAGATCACCTGAGGTCAGGAGTTCGAGACCAGCCTGGCCAACATGGTGAAACCCTGCCTCAACTAAAAATAAAAAATTAGCCGGGCATGGAGGCACACGCCTGTAATCCCAGCTACTTGGGAGGCTGAGACAGGAGAATCACTTGAACCCGGGAGGCAGAGGTTGCAGTGAGCCGAGATTGTGCCACTGCACTCTAGCCTGGGCAAAAAGAGCAAAACTCCATCTAAAAGAAAAAAAAAAAAGAAAACTGTATAATGGGGTGGAAACATTTGCAGAGAACCAAAATGCACTATCGTTACTTTTTTTTTTTTTTTTTTTTTTTTGCTGTTTGGAACCGATAGGTCTACTATCTACCACCACCCCCACATAAACCTGGAGCCCAAAGAAAGTATGCTTTATTTTCCCCCCTCTTCCTATTCATCAGCTTTTTATCCTTCCATCTCATAAATAACAGTAAACAATACAGAAAGAATCCCTGCCCTTTAAAGGGCTTATATTCAAGTAAGGAGAGGCAATTAATAGGGAAACATACATATGGTCATTTCAGATAGTGATGAATGCAATGAATAAAATAAAGCAGTTTGACGAGACAGGATGTGCTAGAGAAGAAACGTGCTATTTTAAATGAGAATGAGGAACAAGTGATAGAATGTTTCTCTGAGAAGGTAAGACATAAGCTGAGGCCTAAAGGATGAGAAACAACCCACTACGCAAAATTTTAGGGAAATAATTCTGCAAGCAGAAGGAATTGCAAGTGTAAAGGCTCTGAAGCAGAAATGCACACGGTTGGTCAGGTGTGGCGGCTCACATCTGTAATCCCAACACTTTGGAAGGCCAAGGCAGGAGAATCGCTTGAGGCCAGGAGTTCAAGACCAGCCTGCAAAACATCATCTCTACAAAACATTTAAAAATAAAAAAATTAGCTGGGCGTGTTCTTATGCACTAGCTATTAAGGAGGCTGAAGTAGGAGGATCGCTTGAGCCTGGGAGTTGGAGGCTGCGTGAGCTATGATCATGCCACTGCACTCCAGGGCGGGTAACAGAGCAAGACCCTGTCTCTCAAAAAAAAAAAAAGAATAAGAAGAAATGCACTTGGCTGTTTGACAGACTGTGTGTCTAGGAAAGGAAATTAGTTTAGAGAAGCAGAGCTTTGTAGGTGGTAGCCATGATGTAGGCTGACTGCACCTGCCTTGACTTTGGAATTTTGTAGTTTACAATCTTCTCCTCGCTAATATTAGAACAAGAAAATGACGGAATGGGGTATGCAGCCCACTCTATTGTCAGGAAGATGCCAGATAATTCTGAAAGTATCTTTTCTAGATACAAGGCCATAACAGTATGGTCCCAGGGCTAATGAAAACTTGATAAGCAGAGAAGAGTAAAAGCACATGAAAAGAAAGACAAGTTCTTCTGACTACAGGCAAGTCCAAATGAGAAACATCAAAATTATCTCAGATTCAAAGAGGAAACAAAACACAATACTACTCTGAAAATATATATGGGCTATAAATGTATGCTTTTAACTGAATGAATTTTTCCCTTCCCACGTAAACTTATAATACAAATCTAGACTTCAGTGATTAAACAGATTTCCACTTTTAATTCACCAAGGTTTTTCTTCACTTTCACAGAAATGAAACAATTGTCTGATGTTTTGAGAATTCAAAGATTTAGATGCTTTAGAAACTGCCTCTTAGCAATCATTTTATGGATGTTTATGTCATAATTATTTAATCCATCCAAGTAGTACTGTGATGTTACAGTCAATTTATGACATAAAGAAATATTCACAGAACTATTCGTTAAAGCAACTCTGTGATTGCTAGAAAGTAAAGCAGTAATTACACATCTTACTCGTATTGTAAGTAGCATCTGCTGGCTTTGGTAACCCGAACACAATTCTAAATATAAAGATCCTTTCATTATCCTAATTAAGTCCTGAATTTCCAGGTTGTCAGCCTTCTAACAGTAAAAATAAATCCATTCTCATCATTCTTAAATTCAAATGGTCTCTGGCTAGTATAGTGATGTTTCTCCAAGGCTCTCTATGGGGGATCAGAGATAAGATTTTGTCCATGTTCTCTATGCAGGACCATCACAAGTAGCAGAGGTGGTCAGGCGTAGTGGCTCAGCCTGTAATCCCAGCACTTTGGGAGGCCGAGGCGGGTGGATCACTTGAGGCCAGGAGGTCAAGACCAGCCTGGCCAATATGGCAAGAGCCCGTCTCCACAAAAATACAAAAAAAAAAAAAATAAGCTGGGCATGGTGGCACATGCCTGTAAGTCCCAGCTACTCTGGAGGATGAGGCACAAGAATCACTTGAACCTGGGAAGAGGAGGTTGCAGTGAGCTGAGATCGCACCACTGCACTCCAGCCTGGGTGACAGAGCAACACTCCATCTCAAAAAGAAAAAGAAGTAGCAGAGGTAACAAACATAATTACATTATGTTCCCACCCTCCCACCACTCCCCCCAAAGGGCCAAAGTTTCTTACAATGAGTCTTCACATTAATCCACAGTCTCAAGAGCTATGAAGGAAAAGAAAACACTTTAGCCTAAAAGATGACCTTTCCACATTCTCCAGGCTAATTTCCAACTTCATATATTTATACGGCCTTTTATTTTCTCTATCCCACTCATCAAGGGAGAGCCATTAAAAAGTATATAAATGGCCGGGCGCGGTGGCTCACGCCTGTAATCCCAGCACTTTGGGAGGCCGAGGCGGGCGGATCACGAAGTCAGAGGATCAAGACCATCCTGGCTAACATGGTGAAACCCTGTCTCTACTAAAAATACAAAAACAAAATTAGCCGGGCGTGGTGGCGGATGCCTGTAGTCCCAGCTACTTGGGAGGTTGAGGCAGGAGAATGGCATGAACCCGGGAGGCAGAGCTTGCAGTGAGCCGAGATCGCGCCACTGCACTCCAGCCTGGGCGACAGAGTAAGACTCCATCTCAAAAAAAAAAAAATTTTATATATATATATAAATACCCAATGTACCTTCTTCCCAATCTCACATTTTTAGACAGATTAATTTTGTCATTATTTTCCATCTCACCCATAAATTCATAATTGAAATAGAAAATCCATTGCCTTAGTTGGGAAATAAAATTGCCTAACTTCTCCTTGGAGTTCTAACTTAATTCTAATGCTGGAAACTCCAGGAAGAAACGCAAACAAATTATCTTTTGGAAAATTTCTCCAAACAGGATGTACTGTATATCCTTGCAGACTAAGCCTGGGTATTACTGAGTAAGGATTTACTCTTTTCTTTTCAGGGGCAGAGTCTGAATTAAACCAAGGCCTTATGTCCTTCTTAAAAGACCAACAGCATCTGCATCACCTGGAATTTGTAAAAATATGCAGAATTTGGGGCTCCACCTCAGACATCCTAAATCAGAGTCTGCATTTTACTGATATCTGTATGCAACTCTATGTTCATCAGAAAATCTCAGAACTGGTAGAAAACTTAAAAGCCCATCGCACACACATAAAGAGAGATGAGCCTTGGATAACAAATAATTGATAATGACTATAGTGCCCCTTCACAAATTATTTCTTAACAACAGGTTCTCCTTAAGAAAAATTTCTTGTAAAACTATAAACGGCTTGTCTTGAAACACACCAAAGCTTATCATAGGTATTGTTGTTAGTAGAAGTCACTGACATAACCAAGTGCTTACCTAATCTGAGCTCTCCGAAGTTCCCACATCCTATCTTCTTGCCAACCCTGAAGTTGGGTCCCACCATAAGAACCCCAGAGGACGATGAGGAGCCAGATGGTCGAGAGCAGTGTGCACTCCTTTGTGCCATGGGTTTAGTTGTCCGTTGTCTTTCATCCTTTTCCCTACTAGGATGGTCCATGATCCTACAGGACAGAGTCTCCTATAGTACAGCAAGTAGCTTCAGTATGTATACCTCTCTTCAATACAAAAGTATGTCCAAATAAATTGTAGTCAGAGAAAGGTAAGGAGTTCTTTTAGCACCATATTTGTTTGTAATGTATCTCCGGGAGATGAAAAACCATTTATTTGTTCCCGTAGGAAATGTAGTCACTAGGTCTCAATCTTAGGTGAACATCTTGTAACCTAGGTAAAAATCAAGAAAACATGTAGTTAAAAATTAAATTTTGAAACAAATTCAGAAAGTCACTACCAATTAGAATGAATCCTATCCAAAGGTGAGCAAAATGCATAGCTTCTGAAATGGGTTTTGGTTTTCTATCCTCCAATAGTTTAACCATCTGGATTAGTTATTCACATAGTATCATAAGCTCAGTAGGCTGCAAACCATAGAAGCTACAGAAACACACAAGCCTTTAATATAGAATGCTTTCTTCTAGTAATGTATCTATGACCAAAAAGAAAGACAATTGTTTTTCATCACTGGCTAACAGAAATACAGAGCAGTGCTAAAATCAAGTTAAAGAAACTGAGGATGATTTAATTTTAAGCTCTTCCTTTTAATTTCGCCAAAACTTATAAGAAATTAGACTATTCACTCCCCCATTCCCCTATCCAAGCATTTACCAAGCACTAGCAAGAATTATGTAATCTTCAGTTACCAATCAACACAGACAACCTCTATGAAGGAACTTCCAAAACTCTATTGGTATTAAGTAGTCCTAAAGTTCTGAAAAGCTAAACTTTTGGTGGTTTTTGCTGTATGCTGAGTATGCAATGACAGAGTGCCAAAAAGAGATCCTTTGCAGAACCCCAAAGTGAAAATAAAGCAAAAAAAAAAAAAAAATCTTAAGCGTAACATTCATCTCTACCAGAATTCTGCAGTGTCCAAATTCAGGACTGAGCCCAACACAAATGTTTGCAATGAGATAATTTTGATGCTATATTTGATTATCCATGTGAGTATTCTTAACAAAAAAAAAAATACTGCTATCACCAATCACATACTAAACACACACTTATATTTCACTTTCATAAATGTTTTCCTTAAAACTTAAGTGAAAAGAAGGCCAGGTGTGGTGGCTCACGCCTGTAATCCCAGCACTTTGGGAGGCCAAGGCAGGCAGATCACCTGAGGTCAAGAGTTTGAGACCACCTGGCCAACATGGCAAAACCCTGTCTCTACTAAAAATATAAAAATTAGCTGGACGTGGTGGCAGGCACCTGTAATCCCAGCTACTCGGGAGGCTGAGGCAGGAGAATAGCTTGAACCTAGGAGGTGGAGGTGGCAGTGAGCCGAGCTCGTGCTACTGCACTCCCACCTGAGTGACAGAGTGAGACTCCGTCTCAAAAAAAAAAAGAAAGAAAGAAAGAAAACTTAAGAGAATTAGAACAAATGTCAAATGTTTGGTTATTATCACCAATTATACAACAAAGCAAAGACACCTATACTCTAAACTTCCTGAGGACCTGTAATTCCCTACTAAAGTAACAGGTAAAAAGCTGTCAGCTGACTGTACAAGTGGGCACATAATCCAATAATACAATCTGTTTGCTTTATTTATTTATTTATTTATTTTTGAGATGGAATTTCGCTCGTTGCCTAGGCTGGAGTGCAATGGCGAGATCTCGGCTAGCTGCAACCTCTGCCTCCCAGGTTCACGCGATTCTCCTGCCTCAGCCTCCCAAGTAGCTGGAATTACAGGTGCCTGCTACCACACCCAGCTAATTTTTTGTATTTTTAGTAGAGACGGGGTTTCACCATGTTGGCCAGGCTGGTCTCGAACTCCTGACTTCAGGTGATCCAACCACCTCAGCCTCCCAAAGTGCTGGGATTACAGGCGTGAGCCACCATGCCTGGCCTCTGATTGCTTTATTATAGTTTAAATAAACTGCTTTTCATTTTTGTTTTCTTTGCTTTACAATAGATTTACATTTATAATGTATATTCTGTAAAGGAAAAAAAAATCAAAGCGATCAAAGGAGGTCAGCAACTACTGAACTTCCTACATGAACAACATTAAGAATTCATATTTCCTCATTGTTTCTCCTATTTTCAAGTATATCCACTATCCCGGTTATCCTTGTCTTTTGCCTAAATCCCTCAAATGATATTAGAAAGAAAGAGAAAAAAATATCATAATTGTTGGGAGTATGTCTATACGTGAGACTGTCAACTATACTTCCTTCCATTATAAGTTAATATGAGGACAGAGGCAGAATGTGTCTTGGCCCAATTCAGTCAATTTATAAGTATTCAATGAACTCACACATTTTCAAAAATTATCACTACAATAGCCTCATTTATAAAGATTTGGAAACTATATTACATTGCCTATTTCTCTTCATATTTTTCATTTTTGCTCACTGTTTTTTCCAACAGATGGATGTTATTTTTATAATACTTTGCACTAATTTCTTCCATTGCACTTAGACTAGTATAACATTAGATGGAATAATCACACATAGCCCTCATTATCCATGTTTACTTACATGTATGTATTAGAAGAACACACAGTATTTGTCAGGTTAAAAACCCATAGAAGCCAGGTGCAATGGTATGTGCCTATAGTCTCCAGTTACTTGGGAGGCTGAGATGGGAGTACTGCTCAAGCCCATGAGTTCAAGGCTGGAATGTGCTATTATCATGCCAGTAAATAGCCACTGAACTCTAGCCTGGGCAACACAGAAAGACCCTGTCTCTAAAAAAAAAAACAAAAAAAAAATTAAAAATTAAATTTAAAAATATTAAAAATTAAATTAAAAAAAAAAAACCCTATAGAAAGCCAAAAATTGGCTGGGCATGGTGGCTCATCCACGTAATCCCAGCACTTTGGGAGGCCAAGGTAGAAGGACTACTTGAGCCTAGAAGTTTGAAATGAGCCTGGGCAACATACGGAGACCCCATGTCTACAAAAAATTTAAAAATTAGGGCCGGGCACAGTGGCTCATGCCTATAATCCTGGCACTTTGGGAGGCCAAGGCGGGTGGATCACCTGAGGTCAGGAGTTCAAGACCAGCCTGGCCAATATGACGAAACCCCATCTCTACTAAAAACAAAAAAATTAGCCAGGCGTGGTTGTGCATGCCTGTAATCCCAGCTACTTGGGAGGCTGAGGCAGGAGAATTGCTTGAACCCAGGAGACAGGTTGCAGTGAGCCGAGATCATGCCATTGCACTCCAGCCTGGGCGACAAGAGCAAAACCCCGTCTCAAGAAAAAAAAAAAAAAAATAGCTGGGCATGGTGGCGCACACCTGTGGTCCCAGTGACTTGGGGAGGCTGAAGTTGGAGAATTGCTTGAGCATGGGAGGTTCAAGGACGCAGTGAGCCATGATCGTGCCACTGCACTCCAGTATGGGTGAGAGCAAGGCCCTGTCCAAAAAAAAAAAAAAAAAGCCAAAAATCTCACTCAGCTGGGGGAAAATGTTCATAACACCTACTTGTAGAACAGAACAATCACTTTACTTCCCACAACCATGACAAAAACTGACACTAAAGGTGCTGTGTCAATTTTCTAATCTATGCATGGGACATAAGCATTGTTCAATCTATAATTATGAAAGATGAGGCCAGGAGCAGTGGCTCATGCCTATAATCCCAGTACTTTGGGAGGCCGAGGTGGGCAGATCACCTGAGGTCAGGAGTTCAAAACCAGCCTGGCCAACATGGTGATACCCTGTCTCTACTAAAAATACAAAAAAAATTATGGTGGTAGGCGCCTGTAATCCCAGCTACTTGGGTGGCTGAGGCAGGAGAATCGCTTGAACCTGGGAGGCGGAGGGGGCAGTGGGCTGAGATCACGCCATTGAACTCCAGCCTGGGCAACGAGAGCGAAACTCCACCTCAAAAAAAAAAAAAAAAAAAAAAGGAAAGAAAACGAAAGATGAATAATATTCAATGCTACTTTATGTGGCATCTCTCACTTAAGAAATTAAAGTTACTAAGTTTTTTAAAATCCTGTTTCTTTATCACTCTCAATTACAACTGCTCAATTATAAACTGCTCAATTACAAACTCTTTGGCTTATCATTTGAACTCTACTTAAATTCATGTAAAACAGTATATGGGAGGTTACATGAAGTCTAAAAGAAAATTAAGTCATATTATAAAAGCATCAAAAAAAGTTTCACTAATTTACTGTTTGTATATTTCAGATTCTCATATATTGGCTTTATCAAAAGTGAGGTACATAAATATTTAAATTTCAAAGTCAAAACACCCTGGGTTTTTGTTAATAATCAAAAGAGAGATTGCCAGGCTTCTAAATCTCTCTTCTTACACAACTTATGATGAAATTGTTTATAGGTATAGGACTGCTGGATCATATGGTAAGTGTATGAGAAACTCAAAAGCAAACCAGGCTCTTTCTGATCTACTACTTCTTCATCCACCACACATTGCTTTTGGTCCTCATGCTTGCTGTTTCTTGGTCACAAGTTTCGGCTTCAGGCATCACTTCCCATCCTACTGTCCAAAACAGAAATAATAGGGCAAAACCAAAAATCTTTCTCCTTATAAGTCTTTTTTTTTTAAATTATGTTGGTCAACGATAAAAATTCTTCTAAGAAACACCCCAACAAATTTCCCCTTCTGTTGGGTTGCCACTGGTTTTTGTACCAACATCTGTCATTCCAATTGTAAGCTTTTCAAAGAATGAGATAAAACCCTAACCTGATGTTTAAAACACAGGGTAAATTTCAAGAGCAGTATCATACCCAGAATAAGTATTTAGCAAACATTAAGCAAAAATGATATCTGTGTGCTCCAGTGCACACATGAATGTGTGTTTATAAAACTATCAATAACTATAGGACAAATTAAAAGACACTGTAGGACAATTTGAGTACCAATACAAGGCTTGAAATGCATTTAAGCTAAAACAAAACAAAACAAAAGGCCAGGTGCAGTGACTCACATCTGTAATCCCAGTGTGTTGGGAGGCCACAGTGGGGAGAATCACTTGAGCCCAGGAGTTCAAGAACAGCCTGGGCAACAAAACGAGATCCTGTCTCTACAAAATAAAAATAAAAATTGGCCGGGCAAGGTGGTATACACCTATGGAACCAGCTACTCAGGAGGCAGAACTGGGAGGATTGTTTGAGCCCAGGAGTTCAAGGTTGCAGTGCGCTATGATAGTGCCAGTATGACCCTGTCTCCAAAAAAAAAAAAACAAAAACAAAAACAAAAAAAAAACTTACTATAAAGCTACAGTACTCAAGACAGTGTGATATTGCAAAAAAAAAAAAACACAAATAAATCAATGGAACAGAATGGAAAGCCCAGAAATAGATTCACACAAATATATTCATACCAATCTTTGACAAAGGAGCAAAGGCAATTCAATGGAGAAAGGATAGTCTTTTTAACAAATGGTGCTAGAACAATTAGACATATATTTGCAAATAAAGAAAAATAATCTAGATACAGACCTTACATCTTTCGCAAAAATAAAATCAAAATGGATCACAACCTAAATGTAAAACACAAAATGATAAAACTCCTACTATATGCCATAGGAAAAAATCTAAATGACTTCGGGTTTGACAATGACTTCTTAGATATACCAACAAAAGCATGATCAATGAAAGAAGAAATTGTTAAGTTTAACTTCACTAAAACTAAAAACTTCTGCTCTGGGGAAGGCACTGCTAAGAGAATGAAAAGATAAGCCACTGATTAGGAGAAAATATTTACAAAACACTTAACTTGTTAGAGGCCTGTTATCTAAAATATACAACACTCTTAAAACTCAACAATCAGAAAACAACCCAGTTAAAATATGAGCAAAATATTTGAATCAGACGTCTCTTCAAAGAAGATATACGGATGGCAAATACATATATGAAAATATACTCAATACCATATGTCAGAAGGGAATTGCAAATTAAAACAATGATACCACTATACACTTATTAGAATAGTGAAAATCCAAAACACTGACAACATCAAATGCTAAGGAAGATATGGAGCAATAGGAACTCTCATTCACTGCTGGTGAGAATGCAAAATGGTACGGCTATTTTGGAAGAAAGTTTGGCAGTTTCTTATGTAACTAAACATACTCTTACCTATGACCCAGCACATTTCTTGGTATTGACCCAAATGAAATGAAAACTTAAGTCCACACAAAAACCACCACCTAAACGTTTACAGCAGCTTCATTTGTAGTTGTCAAAAAATGAAAACACTAAGATTTCCTTCAATAGGTGAATGAATAAACAAATTTGTGGTATAGCCATGCAATGGAATATCATTCAGCAATAAAAGGAAATGAATTATTGAAAGCTACAAAAAGACATAGAAGAACCTAAAATGCATATTGCTAAGTGAAAGAAATCCATTTGAAAAAGCTAAATACTACATTCCAAATTCATGACATTCTAGAAAAATCCTAACTATGGAGATGGTAAAAAGATCAATGGTTGCCAGATATTGTGGGTGGGGAGGGGGGCGGGTGAACAGGTGGAGCCCAGGGGATTTTTAGAGCAGGAAAACTATTCTGTATGATACCATAATGGTAGATGCATGTCATTATACATTTGTCCAAATCCATAGAATGTATAATACAAATAGTGTAATACATTCTATCTAATGTAAACTACCGACTTTAGTTAATAACGTGTCAATATTGGTTCGTTAACTACTACAAATGTAGCATAGTAATGCAAGACATTAATAATAGGGGAAAACGGGGGTGGAGGAGTGTTGGGGGATATAGGGGAACTCTGTACTCTCCACTCCATTTCTCTGTAAACCTAAAACTGTACCCAAAAAATCTAAAAATAAAGCCTGTTAATTAAAGTAATAATTCTATCTAAAAAAAGCAACAAGAAACTTAGGAAGCTATATTACAAAACCTGTACAAAAATCTATGCTCAAAACTACAAAATATTGGCCAGGCATGGTGGCTCATGCCTGTAGTCCCAGCACTTTGGGAGGCTGAGGCAGGTGGATCACTTGAGGCCAGGAGTTCAAGACCAGCCTGGACAACGTGGCAAAACCCTGTCTCTATTTAGTATACACTACTGTATTTCATGTACATATATATATACATACACACCACAGTATATCTAATCTTCAGACTACATTTTAGTAGTACACTAAAGTACGGGGACTTATGAAACATCTTGTCAGCAACTTACTTGTTTTTGATTTTGTTTTTGTTTGAGACGGAGTCTCGCTCTGTCACCCAGGCTGGAGTGCAGTGGTGCAATCTCGGCTCACTGCAAGCTCCGTCTCCCGGGTTCACGCCATTCTCCTGCCTCAGCCTCCTGAGTAGCTGGGACTACAGGTGCCCACCACCACGCCTGGCTAATTTTTTGTATTTTTAGTAGAGACGGGGTTTCACCATGTTAGCCAGGATGGTCTCAACCTCCTGACTTCATGATCCACCCGCCTCAGCCTCCCAAAGTGCTGGGATTACAGGCGTGAACCACCGCGCCCTGCCTGTCAGCAACTTACGCTTATGTGGTCAGGGAAAAAAATGTTCGTCTTCTACTTGCCAAAAAGGCACAGAAAACACTGTCCACTTAATCTATAATACTTATTTTTATCTTATTTCCTTATAACGTTGATCTCTGGAAATGACTGGATCCTACAACTAAAAAGTAAATTATAAATAAAATTTGTCTTTGGGTTTACACCTTCAGATCCCTTACTTTTTTCAGTGAAAACAACTAATCTCAATTTCATAAATTCGTCTGTTCTACCTGTTGTACATTTTTGTTTATTATATTTTTTTGTAGAGACGAGGTCTCACTATATTGCCCAGGTTGGTCTCAAACTCCTGGGTTCAAGAGATCCTCCAGCCTTGGCCTCCCACAGTGTTGGGATTACAGGAATGAGCTACCATGCCCAGCCCCACTAGTTATATACACATTTTTAGAACAGCTGTTCATTATTAAAGGGAGCCAAAGCAAAATACAGTGGCACTTTGATTTTATTTGCCTTCCAGCTCTCTCACACTCATTTACTCTCATTGTACTCATTCTATGATTTCATCAACCTCTGAGGACCCTCAACTCTCTAGCAGCCTCTTCCAGTCTTCCGACTTCCTTTAGGATAAAACAAAATCCTGGCCAGGCGCGGTGGCTCACATCTATAATCCCAGCACTTTGGGAGGCCGAGGCGGGTGGATCACGAGGTCAGGAGATCGAGACCATCCTGGCTAACACGGTGAAACCCCATCTCTACTAAAAATACAAAAAAATTAGCCGGTCGTGGTGACAGGCATCTGTAGTCCCAGCTACTCGGGAAGCTGAGGCAGGAAAATGGCGTGAACCCGGGAGGCGGAGCTTGCAGTGAGCCAAGATCACGCCACTGCACTCCAGCCTGGGCGACAGAGTGAGACTCTGTCTCAAAAAAAAAAAAAATCCTTACATGGCTTGAGGTCATTCCAGATCTGGCACTTGCTTACCTCTTCCGCTTAATTTCTGTTTAACTGTTCCCTTATATTTTATGTTAATGAATATCAAACTTACTTCAAGGCTTCCAAAGGGCCCTGGACCTGGGTCCTCCTTTATCTCTGCTCTTCATTATGTTAACTTATGCTCATATTTAGTTTTCACCTTAAATGTCTATTTCCCAAAACAAGCAATTACAGTGCCCCTCTTATGTAGTCCTTTTAGTAACTCACCATAGCAGTAATCACAGTGCACTGTAATTGCTTGTCTACTCACGTATTAGCTCTGTGAAGGTAAAAACTGTTGTCACATTCACCATTTTATTTGCAGGGCCTAGCATGGTAAGTTCTCAAATACTTAGTGAATAAAACACACACACACACACACACACACACACACACACACACACACAAATAAATGAGTTCTCAATCTTGGTTTTCAACCAATGAACAGATCTCACAAGGCTAAAAAAATCCAAACTCCAGATATCATAATTCTTGCCACCATTCTGAGTAGAAAGAAAAAGATAATCAAAAGTACCATGACTATAGTACCTGTCACAAGTACCCTGCAAATAAAATGGTGAATGTGACAACCTTCACCGAGCTACTAGAGCTACTACACAAGTAAACAAGCAACTACAATGCACTGTGATTAGTGCTATGGTGAGGTGCTAAAAGGAGTACATAAGAAGGGCATTGTAATTGCTTGTTTTGGGAAACAGACATTTGAGGTATATCCTGCCCTAATTATCTGCCATGCGTTATCATTGTGATCATTGTGAAAAAGCAACAGTCATTAGAAAACTATAACCCAAATTTTCACCCATTTTAAATGGCGTGAGAGAACATCAAAAGATGAAAACTTATGGCCAATAAACTGATTTTGGCCTGGTGTGGTGGCTCATGCCTATAATCCTAGAACTTTGGGAGGTCAAGACAAGATGATCGCTTGAGCCGAAGAATTCAATACCAGCTTGGTCAACATACTGAGACCCCATCTCTACAAACAGACTTTTTTTTTTTAAATTAGCAGGGTGGCACATGCCTGTAGTCTCAGCTACTTGGATGGCTGAAGCAGGAAGATCACTTGAGCCCAGGAGGTCAAGACTGTAGTGAGCTGTGATCACACCACTACCCTCCAGCCTGGGAGACAGAGAGACCCTGTCTCTCCCCAAAAAAGGGGTGGGTAGGTTTTGTTTTAAATCCAACTCTAAGTATTCTTATCTGGGTGCTTTCTGGAATTGTCAATAGTCAGCTATTTCATTTTTTCCTGGCCATGAAGAAACAGCCTATTTACATAGGCACAAAGTAGGTGAGAGGTAGAAAATCAAGGCTAGAAACCTGCAATTTTATTCTCAGCCTCAATATCAATTTACTTCCCTCCACTTGATTCACCTTTTCCAACAGGAAAAGGGACATATGTGAAATGTACTGTATCTTGTACTGCAAGAAAAGAAGATTTAAATAACTGTTTAAAAAAAAAAAAGTTTAGCCTGGGCACGGTGGCTCATACCTATAATCCCAGCACTTTGGAAGGCCAAGACAGAAGGACTGCTTGAGCCCAGGAGTTCAAGACCAACCTGGGTGATGTGGTGAGACTGTGTCTCTATAAAAAAAAAAAAAAATTAGCTGGGCATGGTGGTGTGTACCTATAGTCCCAGCTACTTGGGAGGCTGAGGTGAAAGGATCCCTTGAGCCTAGGAGTTCGAGGTTGCAGTGAGCTATGATTGTGCTACTACCTGGGTGACAGAGAAACACTCTGTCTCAAAAAAAAGGAAAAGAGGCCGGGCACAGCGGCTCACGCCTGTAATCCCAGCACTTTGGGAGGCCGAGGCAGGCAGATCACAAGGTCAGGAGATCGAGACCATCCTGGCCAATATGGTGAAACCCCATCTCTACTAAAAATACAAAAATTAGCTGGGTGTGGTGGCGCATGCCTGTAATCCCAGCTACTCGGGAAGCCGAGGCAGGAGAATCGCTTGAGCCCTGGAGGCGGAAGTTGCAGTGAGCAGAGATCGCACCACTGCACTCCAGCCTGGCAAGAGAGCTAGACTCCATCTCAAAAAAAAAAAAAAAGGAAAAAAGAAAAACATATATACATATGCATTTTATTTTATTTATTATTTTTTTTAAGACAGTCTCGCTCTGTCACCCAGGCTGGAGTGTAGTGGCATGATCTCAGCTCACTGCAACTTCCACCTCCCGGGATTCTCCTGCCTCAGCCTCCCAAGTAGCTGGGATTACAGGCATGCACCACCATGCCCAGCTAATTTTGGTATTTTTAGTACAGACAGGGTTTCACTGTGTTGGCCAGGTTAGTCGCGAACTCCTGTCCTCAGGTGATCCGCCTGCCTCAGCCTCCCAAAGTGCTGGGATTACAGGCATGAGCCACCATGCCCAGCCTACACACGCATTTTAAAATACTACTTCTACATAAATGAATCTTAAAGAATAATAGCAATTACAGAAGGAGTTTGGATAATTTCCAGGTGTCAAAAAGGAAAAATACAAACCACTACATTTATTCAAAGTGTTCCTAGTTAAATCAACAAATATTTTGTGAAGCCAGGTGTGGTGTCACACACATATATTCCCAGATACTTAGGAGGCTGTGGTGAGAGGCTCACTTGAGCCCACGAATTCGAAGCTGACATGCATGATGACCACGCCTGTGAATAGCTACTACATTCCAGCCTGGACAACATAGTGAGAGCCAGTCTTTTTTAAAAAAAGTGAAAAAAAAAAAAAAAAAAAAAGCCACGGGGTTTGGTAGCTCACACCTATAAAATTAGTCAGGTGCAGTGGTGCATGCATGTAATCCCAGCTACTTGGGTGGCTGAGGCACGGGAATTGCTTGAACCTGGGAGGTGGTGCTTGCAGTGAGCTGACATCACACCACTGCACTCCAGCCTGGGCGACAGAGTGAGACCATGCCTCAAAATCTCCTTAAGCTGATAAGCAACTTCAGCAAAGTCTCAGGATACAAAGTCAATGTGCAAAGATCACAAGCATTCCAATATACCAATAGCAAGAGAGCCAAATCATGAGTAAACTCCCATTTACAACTGCTACTAAGAGAATAAAATACCTAGGAATACAACTTATAAGGGATGTGAAGGACCTCTTCAAGGAGAACTACAAACCACTGCTCAAGGAAATAAGAGAGGACACAAATGGAAAAACATTCCATGCTCATGGAGAGGAAGAATCAATATCACGAAAATAGCCATACTGCCCAAAGTAATTTATGGATTCAATGCTATCCCCATCAAGCTACCATTGACTTCCTTCACAGAATTGGAAAAAACTACTTTAAACTTCATATGGAACCAAAAAAAGAGCCCGCATAGCCAAGACAATCCTAAGCAAAAAGAACAAAGCTGGAGGCATCACGCTACCTGACTTCAAACTATACTACAAGGCAACAGTTACCAAAACAGCATGGTACTGGGACCAAAACAGATATATAGACCAATGGAACAGAACAGTGGCCTCAGAAATAACACCACACATCTACAACCATCTGATCTTTGACAAACCTGACAATAACCAGAAATGGGGAAAGGATTCCCTATTTAATAAATGGTGTTGGGAAAACTGGCTAGCCATATGCAGAAAACTGAAACAGGACCCCTTTCTTACACCTTATACAAAAATTAACTCAAGATGGATTAAAGACTTAAATGTAAGACCTAAAGCCATAAAAATCCTAGATAAAAACCCAGGCAATACCATTCAGGACATAGGCATGGGCAAAGACTTCATGTCTAAAACGCCAAAAGCAATGGCAACAAAAGCCAAAATTGACAAATGGGATCTAATTAAACTAAACAGCTGCTGCACAGCAAAAGAAACTATCATCAGAGTGAACAGGCAACCTACAGAATGGGAGAAAATTTTTGCAATCTATCCATCTGACAAAGGGCTAATATCCAGAATCTACAAAGAACTTAAACAAATTTACAAGAAAAAAACAAACAACCCCATCAAAAAGTGGGCAAAGGATATAAACAGACACTTCTCAAAAGAAGACATTTATGCAGCCAACAAACATGAAAAAATGCTCATCATCACTGTCATTAGAGAAATGCAAATCAAAACCACAATGAGATACCATCTCACGCCAGTTAGAATGGTGATCATTAAAAAGTCAGGAAACAGATGCTGGAGAGGATGTGGAGAAATAGGAATGCTTTTACACTGTTGGTGGGAGTGTACATTAGTTCAACCATTGTGGAAGACAGTGTGGCAATTCCTCAAGGATCTAGAACTAGAAATACCATTTGACCCAGCAATCCCATTACTGGGTATATACCCAAAGGGTTATAAATCATTCTACTATGAAGACACATGCACACGTATGTTTATTGTGGCACTATTCACAATAGCAAAGACTTGGAACCAACCCCAATGTCCATCAATGATAGACTGCATAAAGAAAATGTGGCATATATACACCATGGAATACTATGCAGCCATAAAAAAAGATGGGTTCATGTCCTTTGCAGGGACATGGATGAAGCTGGAAACCATCATTCTCAGCAAACTAACACAAGAACAGAAAATCAAACACCGCATGTTCTCATTCATAAGTGGGAGCTGAACAATGAGAACACATGGACACAGGGAGGGGAACATCACACACTGGGGCCTGTTGGGGGGTGTGGGGCTAGGGTAGGGATAGCATTAGGAGAAATACCTAATGTAGGTGATGGGTTGATGGGTGCAGGAAACTACCATGGCACGTGTATACCTATGTAACAAAACTGCATGTTCTGCACAGGTACCCCAGAACTTAAAGTATAATAATAATTTTTTAAAAGTAAGAAAAAAAATCTCCTGCTGGGAGAAAAAAAAAAAAACCCCAAAAACCAAGAACTTTTTTTTTAATCTTAAAAATAAAAGTTAGAAGGTTGTAGGTATATGGCAAAAAAAAAAAATTAATAAATAACTATTCAGTGAGTGCCTCCTATGTGCCTAAAACTGGGTTATTCCACTGAGGATATAACAGTGAACTTGACATATACAGCTCCTCTGCTCACAGAACTTCTAGTGTAGAGAGGGCCTCACAAACACATGAATTAAAAAAACACAAATCGGGACGATGCTACATATCAAAGATCTGCTAAACTAAGGATTACGGTGAAATCAAAGAGGAAAGTTTTATTTTATTCATATTTAGAGATGTGTTCTTGCTATGTAGCCCAGGCTGGAGTGTAGTGCCTGTTCACAGGTGAGATCACAGTGCAATGCAGCCTTGAACACATGGGTTCAACAGATTCTCCCACCCCAGCCTCCTGAGAAACCGGGATTACAGGCATGTGTCACCATGCACAGCATGGAAGAGTTTTAGATAGAGGGGTGGGAAGCCTTTTATTAGAAGACACATTTATTTTTTAAAAGTTTAAAAATTGTATGTTGACAATTTATAATTATATAAATGTAAGGGGTACAAAGTAATGTTATAATTTATGAATATAATATATAATAATTAAATCAAGCTAGTTAACATATCCATTACCTTAAATACTTAACATTTTTGTGGTAAGAATATTTGAAATTTATTCTCTCAGCAATTTTAAAATGTACAAAAACTATCTTCACCACACTGTACCACAGAATTAAAAAAAAAAAAAAAAAACATATCCCTCAGCTGAGATTTTGTTCCCTTTAACCATGGTCTCACCACTTTCTCAACCCTCCAGGCTCTGTAACCACCATTCTATTCTCTGCTTCTATGAGTTCAGTTGTTTTAGATTCCACACATAAGTAAGAACACGCGGTGTTTGTTTTTCTGTACCTGGCTTATTTTACTTAGCATAATAAAATATTCTCCAGTTCCATCCAAGTTGCCACAAATGACATAATTCCTTCTTTAAGGCTGAATATGTATATGTGTGTGCGTGTGTGTGTACATTTTCTTTATTCATTCATGTGTTGAACACTTAGGTTGATTCCATAACTTGGCTATTGTGAATAATGCTGCAATGAACATAAGAAAGCAGACATCTCTTCAACAAACTGATTTCAAATCTTTTGGATAAATACCCAGAAGTGGTATTGCTGGATCATGTAGTAATTCTATTTTTAGTTTTTTGACAAACCTCCATACAGTTTTCCATAATAGGAATACTAACTTACATTCTTACTCTGTCAGATGGCAATTACAAAAAAGACCAAAGATAACAAGTATTGGTGCGGATGAGAAGAAGAGGGAATCCTTGTACACTGTTGTGAAAACATAAATTAGAAGCCACATTTAAACAGTGTCCTCAAGGAAGAGATGGAGCCAACCTTGTCAAGAGCTAGGGAACACAGTTTCCAGAAAGGAAAAAGCAGCAGCCTATTAAGAAAGGCTTTTGGTGAAAGAAGACCAGCAACGCCGGGGATTACAATGAGCAAAGTAAAGAGGTAGCAGGAGTCCATTGTTCAGGATTTTATAGGTCACTGATAGTCCAATAAGAAGACATTTAAGAATGGTACTGACATTTATGCTTAAAGGGATTTAGCTTTACAAAAAGCATTTACATTTTCTAAACGATTGACTCTAGGTGCTGTGTGACCTATTCAGTGGAGTCAAACTGGAATTACTTGCCTTAGTAAAGGCAATTATTCCTTTTCAAAAAGGACGCTGAGCCTCACAGAATTATGTTCACTGACTAGGTCACACTGTCAAACACAGTCAAAGGAGTCCAAAAAGCCTGAGCCCTCCTCCCTTCTGCCACACCAACCAAATGATCCTGCTTGCCCACTCACTTACCCATTCATTCCCACTGAGCCAAAAGTGCACTGGCCTCACAACTGTCCTCCTGAAACAATTTTTTTTAAAAAATCTGTGCAGTGATTTTAACATGTCCACAAATTTTTTTCAAAGGAGCTAATTATTCCTCCCTCGAGAGACTTAAAATTTCTTCTAACACACTGAATGCTCTTCCTCACTTGAATACTATATTTATGCCCCCTTTCTGGGGCAAAATTTCTCCATGGGTCAAATCTGTGTTTTTTAAAAACAGCTTTATTAAATATAATTCACCTACTATACAATTTATCTATTTAAAGCACACATTTGGGTTTTGCTGTTGTTGTTGCTTGTTTGTTTTAACAGATAGGGTCTCGCTCTGTCAGCTACGCCGGAGTGCAGTAGCATGGTCAGAGCTCATGGCAGCCTTGAACTCCTGGCCTTTAGCAATCCTCCAACCCCAGCCTCTCAAAGCACTGGGATTAAAAACATAAGCCACTGGCACTCAGTTTTGCTTTTTAAAACAAACAAACAAACAAACAAACAAACAAACAAACAGAAAAAGTTAATGCAGGTTGGGCTCGGTGGCTCACGCCTGTAATCCCAACACTTTGGGAGGCCAAGGCGAGCTCATCACTTGAGGCCAGGAGTTCAGGACAAGCTTGGAAAACAGGGCAAAACCTGTCTCTATTAAAACTACAAAAATTAGCCGGGCATGGTGGCACACGCCTGTAGTCCCAGCTACTTGGGAGGCTAAGGCAGGAGAATCAATGGAACTCAGGAGGTGGAGGGTGCAGTAAGCTGAAATCATGCCACTGTTCTCCAGCCTGGACGAGAGAGCAAGACTCTGTCTCAAAAAAAAAAAAAAAAAAAAAGAAAAGAAAAAAAGTTAATACAGCTTGTCTATCATAAAGGGAGGAGACCACCCCTCATGTTGTCTTATGCCCAATTTCTGCCTCCAAAGAAAAAAGAAGTAAAAACTAAAAGGCAGAAATGAAATTCACAGGCAGACAGCCCAGCTCTGAGCCCTGGGCCTGGTAGTTAAAAATCAAGCCCTGACTTAACTGCTTGTGTTATCTATAGATTCCAGACATTGTATGGAAAAGCATCATGAAAATCTCTGTCCTGTTCTGTTCCATTCTGAATACCCGTGCATACAGCCCCCAGTCACGTACCCCCTGCTTGCTCAATCGATCATGACCCTCTTACGTGGACCCCCTTACAGTTGTAAGCCCTTAAAAGGGACAGGAATTGCTCACTTGGAGAGCTTGGTTTTTTGAGACCTAAGTTTGCTGATGCTCCCGGCCGAATAAAGCCCTTTGGTGTCTGAGGGGTTTTGTCTGCGGCTTGTCCTGCTACATCATAATTCGTATTATTGCTGCTATTATCATGTCACAGCCTTTAGAGACATGGAACTTTTTTTTTGAGATGGAGTCTCGCTCTGTCGCCCACGCTGGAGTGCAGTGGCATAATCTAGGCTCACTGCAACCTCCGCCTCCCAGGTTCAAGCAATTTTCCTGCTTCAGCCTCCTATGTAGCCGGGATTACAGGTGTGCGCCACTACGCCCGGCTAATTTTTCTATTTTTAGTAGAGACAGTGTTTCACCATGTTGGCCAGGCTGGTCTCAAACTCCTGACCTCAGGTGATCCGCCAGCCTTGGCCTCCCAAAGTGCTGGGATTACAGGCGTGAGCCACTGTGCCCGGCCTAAAGTTTTCTATAGAATTTTTGTAGAGTCTTTATCAGATTAAGTTCCTTTTAAATCCTATTGTGAAGGTTTTCCTATTATGAACTATTAGTGAATATTATCAAATACTTTTTTTGTATCCATCAAAGTGATAAGGTTTCTCTTTTTTTTTTTTTTTAATGTGGTGAATTACATTTCATCTGTTTTTACTTATTTGTTTTCAACAGGGTTTCGTTGTGTTGGCCAGGATGGCCCAGGATGGCTGGGACTACAGGGGCATACCATCACCCACCTAATTTTTAAATTCTTTTGCAGAAACGTGGTCTCACTATGTTCCCCAGGCTGGTCTCAAACTCCTGGCTTCAAACAATCCTTACACTTTAGTCTCCCGAAGTGCTGGGATTATAGGCGTGAGCCACCACATTCAGCCTCATGTCTGTTTTTAAAATAATTTTTCAACTGGGAGATTTCAAACGTGGTCTATCTTTAGCCTACAATTAGTGCAACTGATTTTTCTTGAGTTTACCTGGTAAATAATACCAGTTTCTCTAATTGATTCACTCATTTCACCTGACAAAGATGGAAAGGAAGCTAGGGGCTTAAGCAACTGCTACATAGCTGGGAAAAGGATTTCGAGACTGCTGCCAATTTTCTCACCTAATGACTTCACTTCTAAACCTTATCCAACTTAGGTGGGGAGTTCTTCCAGGTAGAAGTAAGCCAACTGTGATATTAAGAGCTTTTATCAAAGAGGAGGGAAATACATATTTATATAAAAATTTTTACAAAAAATTAATCATATATATATATATTTTTAATGGCTTTGTAGTTGTGGCCTCAAGACACAACTGAATTATATACCCAACTAACTTTCTTCTTCCCGTGACGTATCAGTAGGGGTTTCTAAACTTTATGTGGTTCTAACAACAGTGTATGCTCAAAAAAAATAGCTGCAAATGATTTTCTTTCCATCTGGTCTAAATAATACTGTTTCTGAAAGACATTTCTAGAAATTTGTGGCATGAGATTAGGGCAGTTACCTGGTTTTCATCACTCTGAAGTTTTCTTTGCTAGTGATGCTTTGGTATTATTGTTTTTTGGTTAATTCATTATATCATATTATTTTGGGAGGGAGGTAAGTTTGAAGGGCTGCTGAGTATAAACTTGTATTTCTTTCTTTCTTTCTTTCTTTTTTTAAAGACAGGCTCTCACTCTGTTGCCCAGGCTGGAGTGTGGTGGCATGATCTTTTTTTTTTTTTTTGAGACAAAGTTTCGCCCTGTCACCCAGGCTGGAATGCAGTGGTGCAATCCCAGCTCACTGCAACCTCCGCCTCCCAAGTTCAAGCAATTCTCCTGCCTCAGCCTCCCAAGTAGCTGGGATTACAGGCACATGCTAACGAGCCTGGCTAATTTTTGTATTTTTAGTAGAGACGAGGTTTCACCATGTTGGCCGGGCTGGTCTTGAACTCCTGACCTCAGGTGATCTACCCATCTCAGCCTCCCAAAGTGCTGGGATTACAGGCATGAGCCACCGTGCCTGGCCAACATGATCTTGGCTCACTGCAACCTCTACTTCCCAGGCTCAAGTGATCTCTTGCTCAGTCTCCTGAGTAGCTGGAACTACAGGCACACACCACTACACCTGGCTAAATTTTGTACTTTTTTTTAGAGACAATGTTTTGCCATGTTGCCCAGGCTGGTCTCCAACTCCTGGGCTCAAAGTGATCCGCCTGCCTCAGCCTCCCAAAGTGCTGGAATTAACAAGCGTGAGCTACTGCGCCTGACCTAAACTTACATTTATAATATCATCTTTTCCAGAGAACTATTTACTTTGGACAAATGTTTCTAATGAGGTTCAAATTTACTGTGATGCTGGATAAAACCTGGTATCATCCAGAGTCTCACATGTTAGACTTTGAGCTGGTTTCTCACTACTTAATAAAATTTGTCCCATTTGATTTTCTTGTCAAATTACATGTATTACTATTATTAAAACGCATCTACTCTCAAAGGATATCAGGCATCCTGAGACTATTCAAAGGAAATATACCTTTTTTTTTTTTCCAAAAATGCTTTGAGTAGCACTTTTAGAGTAAGTGCTTTCTTGAGGTGATTGCTTTATGGAAGCAATACTTGCCTGAATTTTAAATTATTATAAGCTTATTTCAGTTCGTTGAATTTGTTTTGTTTTGTTTTGAGATGGAGTCTCCCTCTGTTGCCCAGGCTGGAGTGCAGTGGCACGATCTCGCTCACTGCAACCTCTGCCTCCCAGGTTCAAGCAATCCTCCTGCCTTAGCCTCCTGAGTAGTTGGGATTACAGGCGCATGCCGCCATGCCCGGCTAATTTTGTGTGTGTGTGTTTTAGTAGAGACGAGGTTTCACCGTGTTGCCCAGGCTGGTCTTAAACTCCTGAGCTCAGGCAATCCGCTATCATGCTTCACCCCCTGTATTCGTGTTACAGACACAAAATGTAACACCTTTATTTTGAATAAAGCATAAAAGAAAAATACTGCTTGTATAAAATAAATGACTGCCTAAGTAGATCAGGGCTTTTTTTTTTTTTTTTTTTTTTTTGAGACAGGGTCTCACTCTGCTACCCAGGTTAGAGTGCAGTGATGCCTCAACCTTCTGGGCTCAAGCAATCCTCCCACCTCAGCCTCCTGAGTAGCTGGTACAACAAGTGAGCACCATGACATCTGGCTAATTTTTGTTTAGTTTTTGTAGAGACAGAGTCTCACCATGTTTCTCAGGTTGGGCTCAAGCGATCCACATGCTTGGCCTCCCTAAGTGCTGGGATTACAGGAGTGAGCCACTGCACCAGGCCCTTTTTCTTATTCTCTAGATAATTCCACCGAAACAGGCACACGTCAAAAAAACAAATGCATTAATGAAGAGGTTACAACGCTCAGAAGTACCGGATATTGATTCTTTACTGGGAAGGTGTAGAGTGGCAAAGTGAATAGTGGGTGTCCCACCTAACAGGTACAGCTATTTCTGCTCCTGTTGAATTTTGCCATATAAAAATATGGGGCCGGGCACAGTGGCTCACGCCTGTAATCCCAGCACTTTGGGAGGCTGAGACAGGCGGATCACTTGAGGTCAGGAGTTCAAGACCAGCCTGGCCAACATGGGGAAATTCTGTCTCTACCAAAAATACAAAAATTAGCTAGGCGTGGTGGCAAGTGCCTGTAATCCCAGCTACTTGGGAGGCTGAGGCGGGAGAATCGCTTGAGCCCAGGAAGTGGAGGTTGCAGTGAGCTGAGATCGTGTCAATGTACTCCAGCCTGGGTGACAGAACAAGGCTCCATCACAAAAAAAAAAAAAAAAAAGAAAAAAGAAAAAAAAGAATACGGGTCCCATGCAATGTGGCCAGCTCTGAGTTTTCAGAAGTTGCTTAACACTGAAATTTTAATAAAATCTCCCAGTTTTTATATGTTCGCAATTAATTTTTTAAAATTTTTAAATACTGTCCACACCACCAGTTTGTAACCTCTGGTCTCAAGTTCTTAAAGTGAAATATGGCTTTTTAAATCTTTAGCGTAAGTGATCTACATTGCCAAAAACAAGGGTGGGAATTCACAAAACACAAAGGAAAATATCCTGTTTAAGATTAAAAAGTATCTTTTTCACCCTACAATACAAATTCGTAATATAAAAGCAAAAGTATGAGATATTTATAATGCTCTCTATAGAGAAATTCAGAATAGTATGATTACTATTGGTAATAAGTTTAATTCATTTCTGTTTCTTATTCAAGAGAAAAATTCCCATTTTTCAATTTCAAATGCAAAAAATAACAATTTAATGTATTATTTAAGGAAATGAGCATCACACAAAATAACAGCTTATTACCCACTGAAATAAAAAAAAGCATTTTTTTTCTTTTTTTCCTTTTTTTTTTTTTTGGAGATAGGGACTTGCTCTGTTGCCCAGGCTGGAGTGCAGCAGTGCAGTCATGGCTCACTGGAGCTTCAACCTCCTGGGCTCAAGCAATCCTCCCACCTCAGCTTTCCCCGCAGATGGGACCACAGACACATACCACCATGCCCAGCTAATTTTTCTATTTTTTGGTGGGGGAAGAGACTAGGTTGTGCTATGTTTGCCCAGGCTGGTTTCAAACTCTTGGATTCAAGCGATCCTCCTGCTTCAACCTCCCAAAGGGCTGGGATTACAGGCACCAGCCATCGCACCCAGCCTAATTAAAGCATTTCTATGACAGTTTTATAATATAAAGAGAAATGGCCATAATATATCATGCACAAAATTACTAAAGATCTATGGGCTATTGGCTAATATGAAGACAGCTGCTTCTGATATTGTACTCAATTAAGGAAGCCATGAACACGGTAAATTTAAAAGTGTCTGGTCAAACACCTAACACCAGTATTAATAAAGTTTTCTAATTATGAAATGACCATATTGTTAAATTTTCCCTGAGTAAGACTTTCCTCCACCTACTGAAAGTGGAGAAGAATGGAGGGAGTTACAGTTATGATTTGGGACATAAAGCCTGAATTATTTTTCTATAGTTCCCGCTAAGCTACTGATAAACCACAGAAGGCAGTAACAAACCTCACAAGAGTGCCTGGTAGGCTCTAATTGGATCTTATCTAACATTTTACTGTATTTTTTCTTTTTTCTTAACTAAATTACTCTAAGTAGTAAATATCTTTTGCCTTCTGAAATCAATATTCTGTAATATGTAATATCTTCCTCTCATGGAGCATAAGTAGTAAATATCTTTTGCCTTCTGAAATCAATATTCTGTAATATGTAATATCTTCCTCTCATGGAGCATAAAGTCTTATTGTAACTTGAATCCTCCCATATTCATTTCTCTTTCCTAGTTTTGTGCATGAAATACCCACAAAGCAATTTGGTTATTTCTCCTAAAGCTGTTCAACAGTTAAACCTTTTTCCTTTGAAGCACATACTATACTCTCAATTGGTACATGCAAGCAAAACAAGTTTTCTTTTCTCTCTCTTTTTTTTTTAAATACAGACACGGTCTTACTACATTGCCCAAGGTCTTACTACATTGCCCAGGCTGGTCTCGAACTCCTGGGCTCAAGCAATCCTCCCGCCTTGACTTCCCAAAGTGCTGGTATTACCAGCATGAGCCGCCATGTCTGGCCCAAAGCAAGTTTTTAATCTCATTTAGTACAGGCCAGGCATGGTGGCTCATGCCTGTAATCCCAGCACTTTGGGAGGCCAAGATGGGTTGATCCCTTGAGCCCAGTAATTCAAGACCAGCCTGGGCAACATGGTGAAACCCTGTCTCTAGCAAAAAAATAAATTAATTAAACAATACAAAAATTAGCCAGACATGGTAGTGCGCATCTGTAGTCCCAGCTACTCAGGAGGCTGAAGTGGGATGATCACTTAAGTCCAGGAGGCAGAGCCTGGAGTGAGCACTACATTCCAGCCTGGGTGACAGAGGAGATCCTATCTCAAAAACTAAATAAGTAAGTAAAATAAAGTCAGTTATTATAAAATTTAAGATAGAGTTCACTTTAATCATAACATTGTAAAATGCACTGCACTTTTACATTCCTCGTTTTGTTTTTGGGTTGTTTTTTTTTTTCCTCGCTCTGTTGCCCAGGCTGGAGTGCAGTGGCACAATCATCTCACTGTAGCTTCAACCTCCTGGGCTCAAGCAATCCTCATGTCTCAGCCCCCTGAGTACCTAGGACTACAGGCTCACGCCACTATGCTGGGCTAATTTTTCCTTTTTTCTTTTTAAAAAATGGAGTCTTAGTATGTTGCCCAGGCTGGTCTTGAACTCCTGGCCTCAAGTGATCCTCCTGCCTTGGCCTCGCAAAGTGCTAGGATTACAAGTGTAAGCTAGCACAACCAGCCTCCTCTTGCTTTTGTGTGGTATTTACTGGCAACCTGAAAAGCTGTGGTTTAAAATCTGCTATGACATTGAATATAATTACTAGCTTACTTTTATTTAACTTTTGTCCAGTCTCAAAAAATTATTTAATTACTGACTATACTTTTTTTTTTTTCTTTGAGACAGAGTTTCACTTTTGTTGCCCAGACTGGAGTGCAATGGCGCAATCTCGGCTCACTGCAACCTCTGCCTCCTGGGTACAAGCGATTCTCCTGCCTCAGCCTCCCTAGTAGCTGCGATTACAGGCATGTGCCACCACGCCCAGCTAATTTTGTATTTTTAGTAGACATGGGGTTTCTCCATGTTGGTCAGGCTGGTCTCAAACTCCTGACCTCAGGTGATCCACCCGCCTCGGCCTCCCAAAGTGCTGGGATTACAGGTATGAACCACTGTGCCTGGCCAATTACTGACTATACTTAAAACATATAAACAATTTCACCCATCCAATTAAAATCTTTAAAGTTATATTTACTCCCCTCCTTCCTTCAAAACGCCATTATCCCCTTATCTTCTCACTCTATAGCTATGTGGAAATGCAAAAGGAATACTAGTGTTCTTAAAACAAAGCCTCTCTTTTCCCAGCTGATTTTACTGTTCTATAAAAATAGTTTGCTTTAAGACATGTCACATTGTAGAACAGTAACAACTACACCATCTAAACCTTATTGGGCCTTTATGCACCAGGTACACTTTAAATGATTTAAATATATTAATTCATTAAATCCTTCCACTACCTTATGGATAGTAATACTGTTACTATAATTCTCACTTCACAGATGAGGAAACCAAGTAAGATGCGTAACAAAACTAGAAAGCAGTAGAGGCTTTGACACTTTTGTCAGGTAGATACTTGACATCCTGACTCAAAAGCCCCTGACTTACACTACTATGTATTTATAAACACTACACTGATTACCCAAACCTATAAATACCGAAGCATATGATTGTCCTGTGCGATGGTTAATACTGAGTGTCAACTTGATTGGACTGAAGGATGCAAAGTAATGTTCCTGGGTGTTTCTGTGAGGGTATTGCCAAAGAAGATTAAGATTTGAGTCAGTGGCCTGGGAGAGGCAGACCCACCCTTAATCTGGGTGGTACCATCTAATCAGCTGCCAAAATGGCTAGAATAAAGCAGGCAGAAGAAGACAAAAGAGCAGCCTTGCTGAGTCTTCCAGTTTTCATCTATCTCCCATGCTGGATGCTTCCTACCCTCGAAGAACATCTGACTTCAAGTTCTTCAGCTTTTGGTCTCTTGGACTTACACCAGTGGTTTGCCAGAGGCTCTCAGGCCTTCGGCCACAGACTGGAGGCTGCACTGTCTGCTTCCCTACTTTTGAGGTTTTGGGACTCAGACTGGCTTCCCTGCTCCTCAGTTTGCAGATGGCCTATGGTGAGTCTTCACCTTGTGACTGTGTGAGTCAATTCGGCTTAATGAACTCCCCTTCATATATACATATATTCTATTAGTTCTGTCCTTCTAGAGAACCCTGACTAATACACCCTAGGACCACATATTCTTGTTGCCTAATTATAAAGGAACTCCATGAAATTTCTTTAATGGTTCTTAAGAGTCACTGCTGACTGTGCAACAAATGCACATGGTATTATAAGAAAATTTATTCTTTTAGGGAATAAGTACATTTTCATGTAAAATATTCAAGTTTTGAATACATCAATAGAATCCTACTAAATTAGCTTGTATTGTACAGTGAAATTATTACCATACAGTCTGATACTCTGTAATATGTGTTAGCAGGGTAACTATTGAACATGTAAAAAGCATCTGAATCATGAGAACTTGATTAATACAGGATTTAATAAAGAATTCTTTTGTTGTTTTCAGTATTTGTGACATCTGGGTAGTGGACACTTTTTCCTATAATCATCCCCTACAGCTACACAGTAATAGAAGTATATTTTAAGGAGAATGGAGCAACACAATTTCAAGTGGTTGTTAGTGATATTTTACCTTCACTGGGATATAGCTACAGTTACATTATCTCACTCATAAGCAGCATAGCAGGCATCCGTTTGAATTCTACAAATGTATATGCTCAGCTTTCAGACTCATCTTTCATTATTTTCAGTAAAAACAACTCCAAATTCTATTAATTGGAGAAGGTATACAGGTGGTGAGCTTGCCTAAAAGACAATGCACATATCCTGATAGCTGTTAGTACTGCCTTATTCTCATATTATAATGGCTTACTTACTTCATACCAAGAGAAACTCATAGCCCCAGAATCACAAAAAATTATATAATCATTTCTATAACAAATTTACTCAAATAGCAGAGAAGTAGATTCACAACTACTTTAAATAAAGGTTTTAAAAGCTCCATAATTATAACTACCTTTAACTATTATAACTTTAGGCCTTAAATCACATCTCTAAATTTTTACAGTAATAAGACAAGCATCTTTTAAGTGCCTACTGCATACCAGGCACTATGCAAGACACTTCACTTGGACTATCTTAATAACTATCCTATGAAAGAGGTATGATTATTATCACTTTACATAAAAGAAAAGATTAGAGAGGGTAAGTAATTGGCCTAATACTACACAGCTAAGAAATGGCAGAGACAGAGACGGACAGAGAGACAGAGAGTTAGTTCAAACTCATATCTGCCCTGATTCCAGTGGTGCTACCCACATCATGTCATATCTTATATTACATCACACTTTACCTCATTAAATGTGAATAAAAACCTTTGCATCTCAGCTTTCAGTTTTGTAGTGTTTTAAGCCATGAACTACAAAAAGAAATAGTTTTGGAAACAGAGTCCTGCTCTGTCACCCAGGCTAGAGCGAAGTGGCACAATCTTGGCTCATTGCAACCTCGACTTCCCAGGTTTCAAGTGATTCTTGTGCCTCAGCTTCCTAAGTGGCTGGGACTACAGGTGTGTGCCATGATGCCCAGCTGATTTTTGTATTTTTAGTAGAGACAGGGTTTTGCCATGTTGCTCAGGCCAGTCTCGAACTCTTGGCCTCAAGTGATCCACCTACCTCAGCCTCCCAAAGTGCTGGAATTATAAGTGTGAGCCACCATGCCTGGCCCAAGAAAATATTTTTAACATTTAAAAAAGTAGTTTAGGCCAGGCATGGTGCTTCACACCTGTAATCCCAGCACTTTGAGAGGCCGAGGTGCGCAGATCACCCGAGGTCAGGAGTTCGAGATCAGCCTTGCCAACATGGTGAAACTCCGTCTCTACTAAAAATACAACAATTAGCCGGGCATGGTGGCAGGCACCTTTAATCCCAGCCACTCAGGAGGCCGAAGCAGGAGAATCGCTTGAACCTGGGATGTGGAGGTTGCAGGGAGCTGAGATCACGCCATTGCACTCCAGCCTGGGTGACAGAGCGAAACTCTGTATCAAAAAAAAAAAAAGTAGGGGGGAGGAGCCAAGATGGCCGAATAGGAACAGCTCCGGTCTACAGCTTCCAGCATGAGCGACGCAGAAGACGGGTGATTTCTGCATTTCCATCTGAGGTACCGGGTTCATCTCACTAGGGAGTGCCAGACAGTGGGCGCAGGCCAGTGGGTGCGCGCACCGTGCGCGAGCCGAAGCAGGGCGAGGCATTGCCTCACCTGGGAAGCGCAAGGGGTCAGGGAGTTCCCTTTCCGAGTCAAAGAAAGGGGTGACGGACGCACCTGGAAAATCGGGTCACTCCCACCCGAATATTGCGCTTTTCAGACCGGCTTAAAAAACGGCGCACCACGAGACTATATCCCACACCTGGCTCGGAGGGTCCTACGCCCACGGAATCTCGCTGATTGCTAGCACAGCAGTCTGAGATCAAACTGCAAGGAGGCAGCGAGGCTGGGGGAGGGGCGCCCGCCATTGCCCAGGCTTGCTTAGGTAAACAAAGCAGCCGGGAAGCTCGAACTGGGTGGAGCCCACCACACCTCAAGGAGGCCTGCCTGCCTCTTTAGGCTCCACCTCTGGGGGCACGGCACAGACAAACAAAAAGACAGCAGTAACCTCTGCAGACTTAAATGTCCCTGTCTGACAGCTTTGAAGAGAGCAGTGGTTCTCCCAGCACGCAGCTGGAGATCTGAGAACGGGCAGACTGCCTCCTCAAGTGGGTCCCTGACCCCTGACCCCCGAGCAGCCTAACTGGGAGGCACTCCCCAGCAGGGGCACACTGACACCTCACACTGCAGGGTATTCCAACAGACCTGCAGCTGAGGGTCCTGTCTGTTAGAAGGAAAACTAACAAACAGAAAGGACATCCACACCGAAAACCCATCTGTACATCACCATCATCAAAGACCAAAAGTAGATAAAACCACAAAGATGGGGAAAAAACAGAACAGAAAAACTGGAAACTCTAAAACGCAGAGCGCCTCTCCTCCTCCAAAGGAACGCAGTTCCTCACCAGCAACGGAACAAAGCTGTATGGAGAATGATTTTGACGAGGTGAGAGAAGAAGGCTTCAGACGATCAAATTACTCTGAGCTACGGGAGGACATTCAAACCAAAGGCAAAGAAGTTGAAAACTTTGAAAAAAATTTAGAAGAATGTATAACTAGAATAACCAATACAGAGAAGTGCTTAAAGGAGCTGATGGAGCTGAAAACCAAGGCTCGAGAACTACGTGAAGAATGCAGAAGCCTCAGGAGCCGATGCGATCAACTGGAAGAAAGGGTATCAGCAATGGAAGATGAAATGAATGAAATGAAGCGAGAAGGGAAGTTTAGAGAAAAAAGAATAAAAAGAAATGAGCAAAGCCTCCAAGAAATATGGGACTATGTGAAAAGACCAAATCTACGTCTGATTGGTGTACCTGAAAGTGATGGGGAGAATGGAACCAAGTTGGAAAACACTCTGCAGGATATTATACAGGAGAACTTCCCCAATCTAGCAAGGCAGGCCAACGTTCAGATTCAGGAAATACAGAGAACGCCACAAAGATACTCCTCGAGAAGAGCAACTCCAAGACACATAATTGTCAGATTCACCAAAGTTGAAATGAAGGAAAAAATGTTAAGGGCAGCCAGAGAGAAAGGTCGGGTTACCCTCAAAGGGAAGCCCATCAGACTAACAGCGGATCTCTCGGCAGAAACCCTACAAGCCAGAAGAGAGTGGGGCCAATATTCAACATTCTTAAAGAAAAGAATTTTCAACCCAGAATTTCATATCCAGCCAAACTAAGCTTCATAAGTGAAGGAGAAATAAAATACTTTACAGACAAGCAAATGCTGAGAGATTTTGTCACCACCAGGCCTGCCCTAAAAGAGCTCCTGAAGGAAGCGCTAAACATGGAAAGGAACAACCGGTACCAGCCGCTGCAAAATCATGCCAAAATGTAAAGACCATCGAGACTAGGAAGAAACTGCATCAACTAACGAGCAAAATCACCAGCTAACATCATAATGACAGGATCAAATTCACACATAACAATATTAACTTTAAATGTAAATGGACTAAATTCTCCAATTAAAAGACACAGACTGGCAAGTTGGATAAAGAGTCAAGACCCATCAGTGTGCTGTATTCAGGAAACCCATCTCACGTGCAGAGACACACATAGGCTCAAAATAAAAGGATGGAGGAAGATCTACCAAGCAAATGGAAAACAAAAAAAGGCAGGGGTTGCAATCCTAGTCTCTGATAAAACAGACTTTAAACCAACAAAGATCAAAAGAGACAAAGAAGGCCATTACATAATGGTAAAGGGATGAATTCAACAAGAGGAGCTAACTATCCTAAATATATATGCACCCAATACAGGAGCACCCAGATTCATAAAGCAAGTCCTGAGTGACCTACAAAGAGACTTAGACTCCCACACATTAATAATGGGAGACTTTAACACCCTACTGTCAACATTAGACAGATCAACGAGACAGAAAGTCAACAAGGATACCCAGGAATTGAACTCAGCTCTGCACCAAGCGGACCTAACAGACATCTACAGAACTCTCCATCCCAAATCAACAGAATATACATTTTTTTCAGCACCACACCACACCTATTCCAAAATTGACCACATAGTTGGAAGTAAAACTCTCCTCAGCAAATGTAAAAGAACAGAAATTACAACAAACTATCTCTCAGACCACAGTGCAATCAAACTAGAACTCAGGATTAAGAATCTCACTCAAAGCCACTCAACTACATGGAAACTGAACAACCTGCTCCTGAATGACTACTGGGTACATAACGAAATGAAGGCAGAAATAAAGATGTTCTTTGAAACCAACGAGAACAAAGACACAACATACCAGAATCTCTGGGATGCATTCAAAGCAGTGTGTAGAGGGAAATTTATAGCACTAAATGCCCACAAGAGAAAGCAGGAAAGATCCAAAATTGACATCCTAACATCACAATTAAAAGAACTAGAAAAGCAAGAGCAAACACATTCAAAAGCTAGCAGAAGGCAAGAAATAACTAAAATCAGAGCAGAACTGAAGGAAATAGAGACACAAAAAACCCTTCAAAAAATCAATGAATCCAGGAGCTGGTTTTTTGAAAGGATCAACAAAATTGATAGACCGCTAGCAAGACTAATAAAGAAAAAAAGAGAGAAGAATCAAATAGACACAATAAAAAATGATAAAGGGGATATCACCACCGATCCCACAGAAATACAAACTACCATCAGAGAATACTACAAACACCTCTACACAAATAAACTAGAAAATCTAGAAGAAATGGATACATTCCTCGACACATACACTCTCCCAAGACTAGACCAGGAAGAAGTTGAATCTCTGAATAGACCAGTAACAGGAGCTGAAATTGTGGCAATAATCAATAGTTTACCAACCAAAAAGAGTCCAGGACCAGATGGATTCACAGCCGAATTCTACCAGAGGTACAAGGAGGAACTGGTACCATTCCTTCTGAAACTATTCCAATCAATAGAAAAAGAGGGAATCCTCCCTAACTCATTTTATGAGGCCAGCATCATTCTGATACCAAAGCCGGGCAGAGACACAACCAAAAAAGAGAATTTTAGACCAATATCCTTGATGAACATTGATGCAAAAATCCTCAATAAAATACTGGCAAACCGAATCCAGCAGCACATCAAAAAGCTTATCCACCATGATCAAGTGGGCTTCATCCCTGGGATGCAAGGCTGGTTCAATATACGCAAAGCAATAAATGCAATCCAGCATATAAACAGAGCCAAAGACAAAAACCACATGATTATCTCAATAGATGCAGAAAAGGCCTTTGACAAAATTCAACAACCCTTCATGCTAAAAACTCTCAATAAATTAGGTATTGATGGGACGTATTTCAAAATAATAAGAGCTATCTATGACAAACCCACAGCCAATATCATACTGAATGGGCAAAAACTGGAAGCATTCCCTTTGAAAACTGGCACAAGACAGGGATGCCCTCTCTCACTGCTCCTATTCAACATAGTGTTGGAAGTTCTGGCCAGGGCAATCAGGCAGGAGAAGGAAATAAAAGGTATTCAATTAGGAAAAGAGGAAGTCAAATTGTCCCTGTTTGCAGACGACATGATTGTTTATCTAGAAAACCCCATCGTCTCAGCCCAAAATCTCCTTAAGCTGATAAGCAACTTCAGCAAAGTCTCAGGATACAAAATCAATGTACAAAAATCACAAGCATTCTTATACACCAACAACAGACAAACAGAGAGCCAAATCATGAGTGAACTCCCATTCACAATTGCTTCAAAGAGAATAAAATACCTAGGAATCCAACTTACAAGGGATGTGAAGGACCTCTTCAAGGAGAACTACAAACCACTGCTCAAGGAAATAAAAGAGGATACAAACAAATGGAAGAACATTCCATGCTCATGGGTAGGAAGAATCAATATAGTGAAAATGGCCATACTGCCCAAGGTAATTTACAGATTCAATGCCATCCCCATCAAACTACCAATGACTTTCTTCACAGAATTGGAAAAAACTACTTTAAAGTTCATATGGAACCAAAAAAGAGCCCGCATTGCCAAGTCAATCCTAAGCCAAAAGAACAAAGCTGGAGGCATCACACTACCTGACTTCAAACTATACTACAAGGCTACAGTAACCAAAACAGCATGGTACTAGTACCAAAACAGAGATATAGATCAATGGAACAGAACAGAGCCCTCAGAAATAACGCCGCATACCTACAACTATCTGATCTTTGACAAACCTGAGAAAAACAAGCAATGGGGAAAGGATTCCCTATTTAATAAATGGTGCTGGGAAAACTGGCTAGCCATATGTAGAAAGCTGAAACTGGATCCCTTCCTTACACCTTATACAAAAATCAATTCAAGATGGATTAAAGATTTAAATGTTAGACCTAAAACCATAAAAACCCTAGAAGAAAACCTAGGCATTACCATTCAGGACATAGGCATGGGCAAGGACTTCATGTCCAAAACACCAAAAGCAATGGCAACAAAAGCCAAAATTGACAAATGGGATCTAATTAAACTAAAGAGCTTCTGCACAGCAAAAGAAACTACCATCAGAGTGAACAGGCAACCTACAACATGGGAGAAAATTTTCGCAACCTACTCATCCGACAAAGGGCTAATATCCAGAATCTACAATGAACTCAAACAAATTTACAAGAAAAAAACAACCCCATCAAAAAGTGGGCGAAGGACATGAACAGACACTTCTCAAAAGAAGACATTTATGCAGCCAAAAAACACATGAAAAAATGCTCATCATCACTGGCCATCAGAGAAATGCAAATCAAAACCACAATGAGATACCATCTCACACCAGTTAGAATGAATATCATTAAAAAGTCAGGAAACAACAGGTGCTGGAGAGGATGTGGAGAAATAGGAACACTTTTACACTGTTGGTGGGACTGTAAACTAGTTCAACCATTGTGGAAGTCAGTGTGGCGATTCCTCAGGGATCTAGAACTAGAAATACCATTTGACCCAGCCATCCCATTACTGGGTATATACCCAAATGACTATAAATCATGCTGCTATAAAGACACATGCACACGTATGTTTATTGCGGCATTATTCACAATGGCAAAGACTTGGAACCAACCCAAATGTCCAACAATGATAGACTGGATTAAGAAAATGTGGCACATATACATCATGGAATACTATGCAGCCATAAAAAATGATGAGTTCATGTCCTTTGTAGGGACATGGATGAAACTGGAAACCATCATTCTCAGTAAACTATCACAAGAACAAAAAACCAAACACCGCATATTCTCACTCATAGGTGGGAATTGAACAATGAGATCACATGGACACAGGAAGGGGAATATCACACTCTGGGGACTGTGATGGGGTGGGGGGAGGGGGGAGGGATAGCATTGGGAGATATACCTAATGCTAGATGACGAGTTAGTGGGTGCAGCGCACCAGCATGACACATGTATACATATGTAACTAACCTGCAAAATGTGCACATGTACCCTAAAACTTAAAGTATAATTAAAAATAAAATAAAATAAAATAAAAAAACCCAAATCACAAAACAATTTAAAAAAAAACAAAAACAAAAAAAAAGTAGTTGAAAAATAATTTAAAATTTTTCTTGCTCATATAAGCAAAATATCTTACTTTTATGTTTAAAGTTACATAAAATTTTTTAAAAGAATTTTTAGCCCACAAGATAAATGAGATTATGTAAAATGTTCAAACCTAAGAATCACTGGTGTTCCTGAGAGAAAAGAAAAACCAGAAAGTTTGGAAAACTGATTTGAGGGAATAATTGAAGAAAATTTCCCTGACTAGCTGGGAGCAGTGGCCCATGCCTGTAATCCCAGCACTTTGGGAGGCCAAGGTAGATGGATCACCTGAGGTTAGGAGTTCAAGACCAGCCTAGCCAACATGGTGAAATCCTGTCTCTACTAAAAATACAAAACTTAGCCAGGTATGGTGGCGGGCACCTGTAATGCCAGCTACTCGGGAGGCTGAGACAGGTGAATCACTTGAACCCAGGAGGCCAAGGTTGCAGTCAGCCCAGATTGCGCCATTGCACTCCAGACTGAGCAACAAGAGTGAGACTCCATCTCAAAAAAAAAAAAAAAAAAAAAAAAAGGAATGCTAAAAGGAGGTCTAAATCTTGAAACAATGGCTGGGCACAGTGGCTCATGCCTGTAATCCCAGCACTTTGGGAGGCTGAGGTGGGAGGATTACTTGAATCCAGGAGTTCAAGACCAGCCTGGGCAACACAGTGAGACACCATCTCAAAAAAAAAAAAAAAAAAAAAAAAAAGGTCAATATGTACCAGAATAGAAGCTCCTGAAAGCACAAAACTCACAAGGTCTATAAAATAACATAATGAGGACAACAAAGTGTCTAGGTAACAATCAACATGATGACTAAAGCAGTACCTCACATCTCAGTATTAATGCTGAATGTAAATGGTCTTAAATGCGCCACTTAAAAGGTACAAATTGGCAAAATGGATAAAAAATTGGAAACCAAGTATTTGCTGTCTTCAAGAGGCTCACCTAACACCTAAGGATTCCTACATGCAAACGGAAACCAAAAGCAAGAAGTAATAGCTGTTCTTACATCAGATAAAACAGACTTTAAAGAAACAACAGTTTAAAAAGACAAAGTCATTATACAATGATAAAAGGATCAATTTAACAAGATTTTACAATCTTAAACATATATGTACCTAATTCTGGAGCATCTAGATTCATAGAACAATTACTACTAGACCTAAGAAAAGACAGAGACAGCAACACAATAATAATGGGGGACTTCAACACTCCACTGATAGCCCTAGATAGATAGATCTTCGAGCACTAGATAGATCTTAGAGACACAAAGTCAACAAAGAAACACTGGATTTAAACTGCACTTGAGAACAAATGGACCTAACAGATATTTACTGAACATTCTACCCAAGAACTGCAAGATATACAGTCTTCTCATTACCACATGAATCATTCATTACAGGCATGCACTGACCACCACGCCCAGCTAATTTTTTTGTATTTCAGTAGAGATGGTGTTTCACCATGTTGGCCAGGCTGGTCTTGAACTCCTGACCTTAAGTGATATGCCTGCCTCAGCCTGCCAAAGTGCTGGGATTACAGGAGTGAGCCACCGTGCCCAGCCTAAAATCTTTTATCTCAGCAGTCCTCAACCTTTTTGGCACAAGGACCAGTTTTACAGAAGACAATTTTTCCACAGACTGGGGGTGGAGGGCAGGGGGGAATGGTTTAGGGATGATTCAAGCACACTACATTTATTATGCACTTAATTTCCATTATTATTACATTGTACTATGCAATGAAATAATTATTCAACTCACCATAATGTAGAATCAGTGGGAGCCCTGAGCTTGTTTTCCTGCAACTGGATGGTCCTTTCTGCAAGTGATGGGAGACTCTGGCCAATCATCAGGCATTAGATTCTCATAAGGAGTGCATAACCTACATCCCTCTCACGTGCAGTTCACAACAGGGTTCACGCTCCTATGAGAATCTAATGCTGCCATTGATCTGACAGGAGGTGGCGCTCGGGCAGTAATGCAAGTGATGGGGAGTGGCTTTAAATACAGATGAAGCTTCACGCACTCACCTGCCACTCACCTGCCACTCACTTCCTGCTATGCAGCACGGTTCCTAAAGGGCCATGGACCACTACTGGTCTGTGGCCCAGAGCTTCAGGACCCCTGTTTTATCTAACAGATGACAGCAGTTAAACTTACCTTCACCAAAAAGTGTACTTCTATAACTACCTAATTTAGAGTAAGCTTAGAGACCACAATATTATTTCCATTTTTGGTTTCCCTAATAACTCCAGAAGAGTTACTACAAAGATTCAGATTATTGACTTATTTTGCAAGTACTGCTCAGTTCACATAATCTACAAAGAAAATGAGAATCTGCTGCAAATCTATCTGTCATTTCAGAACACATCCTGTGTGAGAAGGGTAGCCTAATACATGCTTTTAGGAAAAACATATTTCAATACCTGATAAAGAGTTTTGTCTACCTCACTAAAAATTTTTTTAAGCAAAGCTAGGCTAAAACAATAAAAACATAACCTTATCTGAGAAGATGGCTTTCCTTCCCTACTCAAGGAAAATAAATAATAAAACAATCAAGATGAAGCCAGTATTGAGGAGCCACAGACACTTCTTACTGGCATAAAAATAAAGTACCACAAAGGTCCTGATCCTCATTTTTCTTTCAATTGTTATACTTTTCCTTAAAAAAAATAAGGGCTTTAATAACTGCACTTTGGTAACAAAGTCAGTCACCATGACTGCCTATAGAAACACAAAAAGGCAGCCTTGATGATTGTCCCAAGAAATTACTGACTTGATTTTTCCATTAACTGCCTCATCACTATCTACCTCCTAAAGAATCAGTATATTTCTTTCATGAATATTTACTTTGTGATTGATGATTTGAATTTTAAGCTTTAATAACCAACTTTAACAATTATTATTTTTTAAAAACCCTATCACAAGCTTAGTAGTAAAGAATCATTCTAATGTTGATGGAAACAATTAGAATTTCAACCTTTTCTGTTGATCAAGAAAATACTAGACTGTCATACAAGCTACATCCTCACTTGAGTTCTCTAAGGATGAAAGTCAACAAATTCTTGCTGTTGTTCCTGTATTGTCCTAGTCATTTCATTTCAAAAACCTAAGAATAAGGAGAAAATAAAATTTACCTGCAACATCCCAGTAATCTTTTTCAATGCAAGCACAAATATTTCCTGTTTGTCACTATACCCCCAGTACCTACACTAGGCCTAACACATAGTATAACAGTTGCTCAATAAATTTATGGAGCATGAATGAATAATATTCATCTTAATTCATATATCCATCTATCGATTTATGTGGCTATTTTTTACCTATCTGCCTACCAAACTATTCTATGGAACTCTATGCGACTAGGGACTGCTCTCTGACTTACGTACCTAAACCGTTCAAAGCACCATGCCCAAAACAGAGTAAACAAATGTAAAATTGAATTGACTGTTTTCAAGTAACTGAAATTTACTTGACAAATTATCTTGATTAACTAGATTCGATCTCTCTCATTTCACTCCTTATTCTATTCACAAGAAAATTACAAAGCAAAACCACAATGTCCTCAAAGTGTATAAGCCACACTCTACATACTTCCTTTCTTCCTTTCTTATTTGTTTTAAAGCCCAGGAATTCTACTGAAGTCAGCATAAATGCTACCTGCACTCAATACTTACCTATGTCACTGAACATGCTTAATTGATAAATTTAAATAATAATTTTGGCAGGTCCTGTGCTATGTGCCTATAATCCCAGCTACTCAAGAGACTGAGGTGGGAGGATCACTTTGAGCCCAGGAGTTCATGACCAGCCTGGGCAACTTAGAAAGACTCCATCTCAAACAAAAAAATAACAATAATAATTAATTTTTGATCTGAAAATGTAAGAGATTCAAAATAACTGACATAGATATAACAAACTAGAAAGCATCTATAACCAAGGAAAATATAACTTTCATTAGAGAGGAAGTTTACAGGTTAGTAACAGTTCATGGAAAACTCAGTTTTAGTCACGATTCTATGGAAAAATCATCTACTCAAGTAATATAAAAATTTTCACTAGTGAGATTTACATTACAGAAAATCCTTCACATAAACATATTTTATAAATATTCACATATGTCTTTTTAACGTATTATTTACTTTTTTCTGATTCAGAAACACATGCTTGTTATTTTGAAAAAAGCAGAACTCGGCCGGGCGCAGTGGCTCACACCTGTAATCCCAGCACTTCAGGAGGCCAAGACGGGTAAATCACCTGAGGTCAGGAGTTCAAGACCAGCCTGGCCAACATGGTGAAACCCCATCTCTACTAAAAATACAAAAATTATCCAGGCGCAGTGGCAGGCACCTGTAATCCCAGCTACTCAGGAGGCTGAGGCAGGAGAATCGCTTGAACCTGGGAGGTGGAGGTTGCTGTGAGCTGAGATCTTGCCACTGTATGCCAGCCTGGGCAACAGAGCGAGACTCCGTCTCAAACAAAACAAAACAAAAAAACAAAAGCAAGCAGAACTCATAGAAACATATGACAAAAAAATGAGAGTGAAACTTCATCACCAAAAAAGACTTCTAATAAGTTTTTCCAGTAATATACTAACATTTTTGTCTGTTTTAAGAGACAGAATCTTGCTCTGCCACCCAGGCTGAAATGCAGTCGTACCATGATAGCTCACTGCAGCCTCGAACTCCTGGGTTCAAGCTATTCTACCACTTCAGCCTCCCGAACAGCTAGGACTACAGGTACCACCATGCCTATTTTATTTTTTGTAGAATGGGTCTCATTATGTTGCCTAGGCCGGTCTCAAACTCTTAGCCTCAAGTAATCCTCCCACCTCAGCTTCCCAAAGCTCTGGGATTACAGATGTGAACCCACCTGGCTTTGTTTTTTACTGTGATAAAATATATATAATATTTATAATTTAACCTTTTGTAAATGTACAATTCAGTGGCATGAAAACACACTCACAATATTGTGTAACAGTCTCCAGTATCTATACCCAAAATATTCTCATTATCCTCAACATTAATTCTGTACCCATTAAACAATAGCTCTGCTTTTCTCTGCCCCATCAGCCCCTGATAACCTCTATTCTACTTTGTCTTTGAATTTGTCTATCCTAGGTAGCTCATAAGTGAAATCATGCAATATTTGTCCTGTGTCTGACTTATTATACTAAGCATGTTTTCAAAGTTTACCCACGTCATAGCATGTGTCAGAATTTCCTTCCTTTGTATGTATATACTACATATTGTTTATGCACTCATCTGTCAACAGGCGCTTGGTTGGCTATTATGAATGCTGTTATAAAGGTACTGTACAAACATCTGTTTCAAACCCTGTTTTTGATTCTTTTAGATATATGCCTAAGAGAGGACTGCTGGGTCTATATGGTAGTCCTATGTGTAACCTTTCGAGAAACTGCCAAGCTGTTTTCCACAATGGCTGCGGCATTTTATATTCCCACCAGCAATAAATAGAGTTCCAATTTCTCCACATCCTCACTACTTTTTTACTTTCTGTGTGTGTATTTTAATAGCTATCTTAATGGATGTGAAGTGATATTTAGTATGATAGCAAGATTAGGACTTCTATAGATGTGCAAGAACCATTTTCTAAGTAAGCATAGGCATGGGACATCTAACAACTTGATGGTTAAAAACACTTGAGCCCGGCGCGGTGGCTCACACCTGTAATCCCAGCACATTGGGAGGCCAAGACAGGCAGATCACCTGAGGTCAGGAGTTCGAGACTAGCCTGACCAACACAGAGAAACTCCCATCTCTACTAAAAATACAAAATTAGCTGGGTGTGGTGGTACATGTCTATAATCCCAGCTACGCAGGAAGCTGAGGCAGGAGAATCGCTTGAACCTAGGAGGTGCAGGTTGTGGTGAGCTGAGATCGTGCCACTGCACTCCAGCCTGGGCAACAAGAGTGAAACTCGGTCTCAAAAAAAAAAAAAAAAAAAAAAAAAAAACACTTCTGGCCGGGCGCGATAGCTTACACCTGTAATCCCAGCACTTTGGGAGGTGGAAGCTGGTGGATCACCTGAAGTTGGGAGTTCGAGACCAGCCTGACCAACATGGTGAAACCCCGTCTCTACTAAAAATACAAAATTAGCCAAGGATGGTGCTGCATGCCTGTAATCACAGCTACTTGAGAGGCTGAGGCAGAAGAATGGCTTGGACCCAGGAGGTGGAGATAGCAGTGAGCCAAGATCACGCCACTGCACTACAGCCTGGGCAACAAGAGCGAAACTCCATCTCAAAAAAAAAGTACTTCCAAGAAAAGGGGAGAGTTAAAGTGCAGGATTCTGAAGGGAAAAAGTTAAGGAGGAGAGAAAAGGGGCTACAGGAAAAGAATTAGCAGTTACAAGGGATACAGTCAAGTGAATGTAATCTCTAGTACAGTGATTCTCAAAGCATTGTCCCTAGGTCACCAGCATGAACATCATCTGCAAATCTGCTGAAAATGGAAATTTGGAGGCCCTACCCCAGATGAGCTGAATCAGAAATTCAGGGGGTGAGGACCAGCAATCTGTGTTTTTTTGTTTTTTGTTGTTATTGTTGTTGTTGTTTTGAGGTAGAGTCTCACTCTCTCGCCCAAGGGGGAGTGCAGTGGCACAATCTCCGCTCACTGCAACCTCTGCCTCCCAGGTTCAAGCGATTCTCCTGCCTCAGCCTCCCAAGTAGCTGGGATTACAGGCACCCACCACCACGCCCGGCTAATTTCTGTATTTTTAGTAGAGACAGGGATTCGCCATGTTGGCCCAGCTGGTCTCAAACTCCTGACCTCAGGTGATCCACCCGCCTCGGCCTCCCAAAGTGCTGGGATTACAGACATGAGCCCAGCCAGCAATCTGTGTTTTAACAAACCCTCCAGAAAATTCCAATACATGCTAACATTTTAGAACCACTAGTGTCTAATAAGAGAACTTTAATTATGTAATTAAGATTAAAGCAAAAGAAACAGGAGGAGCAGTAGTGCCCACTGACAACTGTCAGAGGACAAATTGCACAAGGCCTTAAATACGAATATTAAATCAAGAGGAGTGACTGACAGTTCTCAATTTCTGAGGCTCTTTTCCTCTATTAATACCACTGCCCTCAACTAGAGAATGGTCTTTTCAAACTCTCACAGAGTATTTATGAAACTTGACTATATGCTATGCCCAAGAACCACTAAGTTGCATCCATCAATTTTGATGTTGTTTTTTTAATTAACATTCAGTGTTATGCATTGGTAAACCTCTATCATTATTTCTTTTGTAACCTCAAGAGTTATTTAGATGTGTTCTTTTAAATTTCCAAACATTTTTAAAGGTCATTTTTTTAAAAAACTGAGTCCTAATTTAGTTTGCACTGTCATCGAAGGTTTGGTCTATAGAATACATATTCTTTGAATTTGTTGAGATTTTCAGGGCTACTTTGAAGGTTGTTACCTCTCGCATTACAGAAATTTTGGATTCCACAAAGTAACTATATCTGCAAATAGTAGTAACTGTATGAAACTAATTCTTTAAAACTTGAGTACAATGTTCTATATTCACCCAATAGCTCTGTCTTGTTGTGTTGTTTTAATGATTTTTTTTTCTTTAGCACATCTCTGCTGGCAGGAAGTATTGTTTTAATGTCAAAAACATCTATTCTAATATAATGGTGAATTTATAAATTTCTCCTTGTAGTTGTTATGTAGGTTTATGTATGTTGAACCTGTATTATCTGGTATAAGTAACAGAATTCTAGTATCTTCCTGGTAAACTAAACCTTTTATTGTTATATGATGTGGTAGAGACTGCAGGTGGCTTTCCCAGAATCACCACTCCCTCAGTAAAGTCCAGTTTTATTCTGGGCAGCCTAATTACCTTGCAGCAAAGGGCTAATGAAGTTGCTAGGTAGAACTTCTGTGAAACCACTTTAAGGTCATGTATGTTGGCTCATGCCTGTAATCCCAGCACTTTGGGGGGCCGAGGCCAGAGGATCACTTGAGCCCAGGAGCTCAAGACCAGACTGGGCAATATGGCAAAATCCTGTCTCTACAGATAGTTTTTTAAAAATTAGCCAGGCATGGTGGTGTGTGCCTGTGGTCTCAGCTACTTAGGAGGCTGAGGTGGGAGGATCACTTAAAGCCTGGGTAGTTGGTACTGCAGTGAGCCATGATCACACCACGGCACTCCAACCTGGGCAATAGAGTGAGGCACTGTCTCAAAAACACCACCACGTCCAGCTAATTTTTATCTTTTTTTTTTTTTTTTTTTTTTTTTTTGAGACGGAGTCTCGCTCTGTCGCCCAGGCCGGACTGCGGACTGCAGTGGCGCAATCTCGGCTCACTGCAAGCTCCGCTTCCCGGGTTCACGCCATTCTCCTGCCTCAGCCTCCCGAGTAGCTGGGACTACAGGCGCCCGCCACCGCGCCCGGGTAATTTTTTGTATTTTTAGTAGAGACGGGGTTTCACCTTGTTAGCCAGGATGGTCTCAATCTCTTGACCTCATGATCCACCCGCCTCGGCCTCCCAAAGTGCTGGGATTACAGGCGTGAGCCACCGCGCCCGGCCAATTTTTATCTTTTTAGTAGAGCCGGGGTTTCACTACATTGGCCAGGATGGTCTCAATCTCCTGACCTCATGATCCACCCGCCTTGGCCTCCCAAAGTGCTGGGAATACAGGCGTGAGCCACAGTGCCCGGCCTGAAATATTTATTAAACTGTCATTTATTTCTTCTGTTGGTTGGTTGGTTGGTTTCAAAGACATCTTGCCCTGTCACTCAGGCTGGAGTGTAGTGGCATGATCAGATCTCACTGCAGCCTCAAACTCCTGGGCTCAAGCAATCCTCTTGCCTCAATCTCTTGAGTAGCTGAGACTACCAGCTCGTGCCATGACACCCAGCTAATTTTTTTTTATTTTTTATAGAGACAGAGTCTTGCTATGTTGCCCAAGCTGATCTTGAACTCCTGGCCTCAAGTGATCCTCCATAAGCCACCACACTCAGCTTAAACTGTCTTAAGACTAAGATGCTTAGAGAGGGAAAAGTGGTATTACAGTAAGCTTCTTGGGCATGACTTACTCACAGACTATCTACTCTAAAATCTAAAAGACCCTTTTTAAAAGCGGGATGAGGTGACTCTTCTAATTTAGTCAGCATGAGCAAGAACAAACAAAACCTATAAACTCAACTATTGAAAGTTACTTCGAACTTTATACTGAAAAAGCACTATACAAAAATTTCCATCGGTTATTCCTCATGGTCACTTTTACAAGATGGTTTGTTCCCAACTGGCTAAATGACTTCCCTTGTTACCCACTGTATGCACTATTTCCCTTCCGACAGTGACGTCCCCTTGCACTCTGTCAAGTAGGATTAAAACTTTTCAGACTCAAGTATTTTCCTTTTTCTCGTGGCTCTCCAGATATTATTAGCTGTTTCTTCAAGAGGCTTTAGAGGCAGAGATTCTTGAGCTTGACATCCTGGCTCCACCACATACCAGCAGTGTGAACTTCAGAAGTAACCTTCCTTTCTCTGCCTCATTTGCTGATCTGTAAAACTGGAATAGCCACACTTCAGTGGCTTGCTGTGAGAATAAAATGCATTTAACATGCCACTTGTTATGTAAACTCTCAATAAATTGCCATCACTATTATTAGTATTATGTTTTCTCACTAATACTTCCCTAGAACAAGCCTTTACTGCTGCTAGATTACATCCACTAGATTATGTCTGCATTTCCTCAACCAGCCCACTTCATTCATATCTTTTAGTAATCCAAAGTATTGTGCAGATCACCATCAGATTTACCTTGAATACATACAGATACTTCCTGTTACTCTCTAGCTTAAGAACCTTTAATGTGGTGATGTCCATCTCATGTCATCCAGGGATAAAGCAACCCTTGTTTATCCCATCTTGGCTCTTGGTCTGTGCCCATGGCTGGTTCGTGCCTTGGATACATGGAAAATAAGTAAATGATTAAAAAATAAAAATTAAAAATCTTCTATGGATCCCTGCTTATGAGCACATCAAATCTAATTTCCTCTGCCTAACTTTCATTATCCTCTCTTAACAGCAGTTCCCAAACTTTGAGTGTACATCAGAATCATCTGGCATGCTTGTTAAAATACAGATTGCTGGACCCCAGTCTAGAGTTTCCAATTCAGTAGGTATGGGACCAGGGCCTTAAAATCTGCATTTATAATAAATTTCCAGGAGACGCTGCTGCTGCTGCTGCTGGTCAAGAAACCACATTTTGAAAAGTACTATTCTATCTTGACCAGCCTGACCAACATGGAGAAACCCTACCTCTATTAAAAATACAAAATTAGCGGGGTGTGGTGGCGCATGCCTGTAATCCCAGCTATTCGGGAGGCCAAGGCAGGAGAATCGCTTGAACCCAGGAGGCAGAGGTTGCAGCGAGCTGAGATCGTGCCATTGCACTCCAGCCAGGGCAACAAGAGCAAAACTCCAACACACACACACACACACACACACACACCTCTTCTAAAATAGACCCCATTCTGCCTCTGTAGGCTTATTTCTCCTTCCTCCCCACCTAGCACACACTGCTTTGACTGGATTAATCTTTTCACAGACTGTGGCCAATTCTCCCACCCTGTGCTGGCCTAGTACACTTTCTTGCTTTTCCAAATCAAACCCAGCCTTTAAGCCTGTGATTCTTAACACTGCCTGCACATTACAAACATCTGGGAAAGCTTTTAAAAACTGCAGATGCACCTCACCCAAGATTCTGATTCATCTGATTTTTGATTAAGTTTTCCCAAGTGATTCTAAGGAGCAGTCAGAGTTGAGATCCACTACTTTAACTTTAATCTCCTTCCTGTCAGAATTGTGAATACTCACTGGATTTTCTCCCCTCTAAATTACTGTAATGTTGACAGATTAGATCAAGTTTTTGCTTCATTACATATCTGTGTTATTCTCTACCTTTCATTTTAAGTCTTGTTTCTTTCAACTCGAAATTGAAGATATAATCTATATCACCATACTAGAGCTGCGGTAATATAGAAGCTGAAGATATAGACTATATCTTCAATTTCTATATTACCACAGCTCTAGTATGGTGATGAATACACAGTAGAAACTGATTATTTCTTCACTGATTGTGAGTTCAAATTAGAATTCAGAGCCTTAAAATATTTTTTGGCGTATTATTTTGACAAAGCCTTAAAATATTTCTAATCTATTGAATTCAGCAAATTACATTCCTTTCTTTTTAAACATGGTTCTGCAACAAACTCATTTTGTTATGGTGAGTCATTTAGCCCCTTCCTTCCCCAATAAATAAATTGGAAAGAAAAATAGTAATGTATAAAAATGCTTTAAAAAATAATAAAATGAATAATAGCATTGTAAGTGGCTTCACAGTTGCTTCCTTAGAGCAAATGGCCTTTTCTAAATCCATTAAAGACTGTTTCAAAACAGTTAAAACAGAATCAAAGCGCACATATTTAAAGATGCTGAAACTCTGAATAGTTCTATGATTTGTTTTCTCAACAGATGTGCATCCTTCAAGCCCTGAATTCACCAGATGCATATTAAATTAATCTGTACTTTTAGTTTTTACATAACACTCTACTCTAGTTTTATAAATACACCACATGAAAGCAGAATTCCATTGTTGCTTTATGGCATTAAATATTAACAGATTATCTCCGCTGTGCAAAAAATACATTAAGATTCATTTTAATGCAGCCAAATGTGTGCTCATTAAATATAGGCTATAATAACTTCACCACTATTTTTAAATTGGCTGATTTCTATCTGGAACGTGAAACATAACAAATTTGCTCATAGAAATCCAGTGACACCTGGTACCTGAAAGAAATATACACATTTCAATTATAAGAAATACTTAATTTAAGTCCACTTAAACCTCCTGGAAAATTTACTTCTTATAAATCCATAATTTCTTCACTAACTGCAATGAAAAAATTAGCACAGTTATATCAGAAATAAGACTACACTGAATTCCAGTGTGACTCATTAATTAGCTGTACAATCTTGAGCAAGTCACTTAGCCTCTCTGCACTTAAGTAGTCTCAGCTGTAAAATGAAAGGGTCTAACTAGACCATCTCCATATTTTCTTTTAGCTTTATGATTTCATAATCTATGAAACTCAAGAAACACAGCATTAACCAGATGGATCCCATTAAAGACAAAGTGAGCCTTCATATTGATTGATTTGGAGATAATGTATCTCTGGAGAATCTAAGTGCTTTCACACAGACAGTTCCTAGTTGACTTATTTAACTAGGTGAAAAAACAAACAAAACTCACCAAACAGAGTTATTAAACAATTCTTGCATCATACCCTAGATGACCAGAATATTTAGATGTCATTATACCAATTAAGGTTAAAATGTTTTAGAAAATAGAAGCTGTTCTAGAAGTACAGGACAGGACAGTTATAAAGCCAAGTGAAAGAGGATTCTAGCTAACAATTAGTACTCAGGCTACATGAGAATAAAATGTCTCAGGACAGCATTCTATTACTTTTAGAATCAAGATTCTCAGCCTGAGACAGAATTGAAAATATTCAGGAAAGTACAGCAGTACCCATGGAAGCGCTTCCTATTCAGTTTTTGCCAGCTCAAGCTTCTAGATAGTCTTCAACAAGTGTAATAAGCAGCAGCAAACACTAGAGAGGGTGATCAAAATCTGTATAGTTGAAACCCTTCGCAACAATAAAACCCAAGTGACAAAGGCTCTTGTCCTTAGTGACAGTTGAAAAATTCTGCATTTAAATTTCCTATCAAGCCCCTTTACAACCTGAAACATCACATGACTGTGCCACATTTAGCTCATACTTCCTAAGACTCTAATACATGTATGAAATAATTAAGCAGTTGTCAATTAAGACCTAATAACCTAAAATCAATCTTCTTGAAAGGGAAAACCACACTCTGAACAATGCTTCTAATTACATTCGAGAACGTTAGGAAACTCTCATTTAAAAATAACTCCCACAGATTATTTCATTTGTTTTAGTTTCTTTAAGAACATCCTTATTAACGCTTGTAGAATAGAAAAAAAAACTTATTTTTTTTTGAGATGGAGTCTCACTCTGTCGCTAGGCTGGAGTGCAGTGGCACAATCTCGGCTCACTGCAACCTCCTACTCCCTGGTTAAGCGATTCTCCTGTCTCAGCCTCCCAAGTAGCTAGGACTACAGGCATGCGCCACCACACCCAGCTAATTTTTGTATTTTTAGTAGAAACGGGGTTTCACCTTGTTGGCCAGGATGGTCTTGATCTTCTGACCTCGTGATCTGCCCACCTCAGCCTACCAAAGTGCTGAGTGTGAGCCACTGCACCCGGCAGAAAAAATTTGCATAAACCAATTGGTCACGACTGGATGCAGTGGCTCACACTTACAATCCCAGCACTTTTGGAGGCAAAGGTGGGCAGATCAGGAATTCAAGACCAGACTGGGCAATATAGTGAGACCTCATCTCTGTTTATTTTTTTTAATTAAAAAATAAATTAAAAAAAAAACAATTGGTCACCCATGTGCATGCATATACACATATTCCTTACACCTTTCCAAAAAAAAAAACTAACTTAAAATAAACCTTATAACTAAATGTAAACTACAAAACGATAAAAAATTCTTGAAGATAAATAGGAGAAAATGTAAGTGACCTTGGGTTTGGAAACGAGTTTTTATTTATTTATTTATTTATTTATTTATTTATTTATTTATTTATTTATTTTGAGACATAGGTTTGCTCTTGTTGCCCAGACAGGAGTACAATGGTGCGATCTCAGCTCACTGCAAATTCCGCCTCCCAGGTTCAAGTGATTCTCCTGCCTCAGCCTCCTGAGTAGCTGGGATTACAGACGCACACCACCACACCCGGCTAATTTTTGTATTTTTAGTAGAAATGAGGTTTCACCACATTGGCCATGCTGGTCTCGAACCCCTGACCTCAGGTGATCTGCCTGCCTTGGCCCCCCAAAGTGCTGAGATTACAGGTGTGAGCCACCACACCTGGCTGGAAATGAGTTTTCAGATATAACACTAAAAGCATTATCAATGAAAGAGAAGAGGTTAACTTGGACCTTATTAAAAACTTCTGCACTATGAAAGGCACTATTAAGAGAATAAAAAGACAAGCCATAGACTGGAAAAAATATTTGCAAAAAATATATCTGATTAAGGATTTGTATCCAAAATACACAATGACCACTTAAAACTCAACAAGAAGCAAACAACCTTATTTTAAAATGGGCAAAAGACCTGAACAGATACCTCATCCAAAAAGGTATAGAAATGTCAAACATACAAAAAGATGCCCAACATCATAGAGAACTGCAAATTAAAACAAGATACTACTACATATCTATTAGATAACGAGTAAAATACAAAAAAAGAGACAATACGAAATGCTAGTGAGGACGTGAAACAACGGGAACTCTTGTTATTCATTACTCGTAGGAATACAAAATGGTATAGCCACTTTGGGAAACAGTTTGACAATTTCTTACCAAATTAAATAGTCTTATCATAAGATCCAGCAATCACACTCCTGGGTATTTACTCAAAAGAGCTGAAAACTTTTAATGATAGAAAAACCTACACATGTATGTTTATACCAGCTTTATTCATCATTATCAAAAACTAGAAGCAACAAAGATGTCCTTCAAATGGTGAAGGGATCAACAAATTGTGGCACATCTATACAACAGAAAATTATTCAGCAATACCAACTGGGTATGCTGGCTTGCACCTGTAGTCCAAGCTACTCGGGAGGCTGAAGCAGGAGGATCGCTTGAGCCCAGGAATTCAAGGCCAGCCTGGTCAACATAGCAACACTCCGTCTTAAAAAAAAAAAAAAAGAAAGAAACAAGGAAAGAAGGAAGGAAGGAAGGAAGGAAGGAAAATGTACAGAAAAGAAAAGAGAAAAGAAAAATTGTCCTGCAATAAAAAGAAATGAGCTATGAAGCCACAAAAAAACATGAAGAGGCCAGGCACAGTGGCTCCTACCTGTAATCCCAGCACTTTGGGAGGCTGAGGCGAGCAGATCACGAGGTCAGGAGATCGAGACCATCTTGGCCAACATGGTGAAACCCGGTCTCTACTAAAATACAAAAAATTAGCCAGGAGTGGTGGCATGTGCCTGTAATCCCAGCTATTCGGGAGGCTGAGGCAGGGGAATCGCTTGAACCCAGGAGGCGGAGGTTTCAGTGAGCTGATATCCCGCCACTGCACTCCAGCCTGGCGACAGAGCACAACTCTGTGTCAAAAAAAAAAAAAAGACACGAAGAACATTCAACGCATATTGCTAAGTGAAAAAAAAAACAATCTTAAAAAGCTCTATGTTATATGATTCTAACTATATGACATTTTGGAAAAGGCAATACTATAGAGACAGTAAAATGGTCAGTGTCTGCCAGTAATTCAGGCAGGAGAGGAGGGATGTGAAGCACACAGGATTTTTAGGATGGTGAAACTATGTGTAGGAAACTGTAATGGTGGATACGTGTCATTATGCATTTGTCAAAACCCACAGAATGTACAATGCAGAGTGAACCTTAGTGTAAACCAGATGCTATAGTTAACAATAATGTATCAATATTATTTCATTAATTGTAACACATGTACCACACTAATGCAAGATGTTAATAATAGGGGAAACTGGGGGATGGAGGAGAGAAGCACACTGAACTCTATGTACTATCTGCTCTCTTATTCCAGAAATCTAAAAGTATTCAAAAAAAAATTAATGAAAAAAACACAATAGGGCATACACAATCTCAAAGAGTAAATATTGCCACTGTAGACTACAGAAATTTTAGCAAAGTGCAAACAAAATTAAGAGATTTTAATCCTCTTGCCTTTTCCTGGCATTAGTCATTTCTCTCTGCTCACCAGCACCCACATCAGAGAGTGACCTCTAGGAAATGGAAAAGAATTCCAGCTGGGAAGCGGCTTGATCACAGCTGTGGTTAGCAATTTATCCTAAAGCTAAAATGAGATCTGGTGATTATCATGGATACTCAAACACCAAAAAAAGGAAGAAAAGAAAAAAATTTCACATCATTCATTATGGTCAACAGAGAAATTAAAGTGTATTTTAAAACATATTGGCAAGGCGCGGTGGCTCACACCTGTAATCCCAGCACTTTGGGAGGCTGAGGAGGGCAGATCACCTGAGGTCAGGAGTTCGAGACCAGCCTGGCCAACGTGGTGAAACCCCATCTCTACTAAAAATACAAAAAATTAGCTGGACATGGTAGGTAGCGGGCACCTGTAATTCCAGCTACTCAGGAGTCTGAGGCAAGAGAATTGCCTGAACCCGGAATGTGGAGGTTGCAGTGAGCCGAGATCACGCCACTGTACTCCAGCCTGGGCAACGAGAGCGAAACTCCACCTCAAAAAAAAAAAAAAAAAAGTATCAAGACAGAAGAAAATGTATAACTTTCATTCAGGAAGTCGTAAATACCCCTTTTTATAGGCTAAGGAGTTAGAATGTATAAGCAGCAGAAATCCATGGGGATCCAATGCTATTGTTCCCTGGCAAATTTATGTAGCATTTTGATGGAGACATCAAACTCGGCACCCAGGCTTCTCCCTTTTCGTGGCAAGGGCAATGGCTACCTCTTCACCCGACATCTCTGGACAAGGCAAAAACTAAGAGAATATCCCTCTACCCAGTATACCCACACCTCCAATGTGATGGGTGAGAAATTATTAAAGAATAATTCCCATCCCTAGCACCCCAACCCCCACTATAACTACACTGCCCACTTGGAGCTTCTGGGTGAGGGACAGACTACATTAGTGTGGGGACAGTCCATCTGTCTTTCTATCTCATCAGAACATTCCTGCTGCAGACAAAGCATGGCTTCTATCCAGATGGCTCTCTCTTTAGGCCATTTCTGGGATACCACACTAGTGCTATTTCAATTTCTCTGAGATGACTGAGTCTTTCTGGTCCGCTAAGTTAAGGTTATAACCTCAGCAAGTTTGGTCTTTTACAGTTTAGTAACCCAAAAGCCTGCCGTCAGAATTTATTAAGATCCAAAATGAACCTAGCATGGTGGTTAGCACCTGTAATCCCAGCTACTCAGGAGGTTGAGGTGGAAGGATCACTTGAGCTCAGGAGTTCAAGACCAGCCTGAGCAACACACTGAGACCCTCGTCTCCAAAAATTAAAAAAAAAAAAAAAATTAAAAATTAAAAAAATCCCAAATGAAAAGTGCCAACTATGTGCACACATTTAGATGAAAACTAAGCAACTGGCACAGAGGGTAAGATAAAATCCACTACTGAAAGAGTAAATTTAAGTAAGCTTGTTTTAAGTTAAAAATCCTCAGAAGAAGCTTCTTTTCTGGTTTTAAGACATCAAGTGAATAAAGATTTAATCTAAAATATCTTTTTATCAATTTTTTAAGCTTCCATCAACAAGTGGACTATGTTAAATACTACTTATAAAAATGGTTTTATCGGCTGGTCGCGGTGGCTCACACCTGTAATCCCAGCACTTTGGGAGGCCAAGGCGGGCGGATCACAAGGTCAGGAGATCGAGACCATCCTGGCTAACACGGTGAAACCCCGTCTCTACTAAAAATACAAAAAGAAAAAAAATTAGCCGGGTGTGGTGGCAGGCACCTGTAGTCCCAGCTACTCCGGAGGCTGAGGCAGGAGAATGGCGTGAACCCGGGAGATGGAGCTTGCAGTGAGCCAAGATCACGCCACTGCACTCCAGCCTGAGCAACAGAGCAAGACTCTGTCTCCAAAAAAAAAAAATTGGTTTATCAAGTGAACAGTGAGAATTAAAAGATGCATGAAGTTACCATTCATATAGTTTGAAATAACAATTAACTTTAAACAGTATCTGTCATCATCCTGTATAACTCAATATAAAAATGCAAGATCTTTGGTTACATGTTCACTGATAGAGCTGATATTATATAACCTAAATCTACTGAGGATTTTTATTTTTACAAAATAATCTGATGAACTCAAAGCCATAAAACATAAAAGGGGTTGGGAGAGAAGGAATCTGAAACAGATGGCATCTAAATTTTTTTTCCTGAGTCCATCTTGAACACAATCCCAATAATGTCAAAATCCAATTTTGCTCTCCAAATAAGTAATCTCCACAACTTAAAATGGTAATTCTGAAGTAAATCCATTCTTTTTCTTTTTTTTTTTCCTCCCAGCTTCTCAGAGCTTCTATATTGGGCAGAAATGAGTAGAGACAAGTTAACTGTTAAAAAGAGAAAAACTATCATTCCACAAATTCAAAAGTTATTTCCGGAAAATACACTTATCTAAAACCACTGAAGCAGTTTCTATCAATATGTAGTACTAAAATCTATGACACCAGCCTTTTTTTATATAATGATTATTTATCCTTATTAGAGACTAAATCACAGCTCCATAAAAGAAATATGCTTTAAAATAAAAATGAGCTCTGGAAGAATACTCATTTGGTTTGAGTAAAAAGAAAGCACCGCCTGGACTTTTTAATAACATTTTCACAGTAACTCACTCCTGATTGTATAGCGCCAATAAATTCAGCTGTATTTTGTTCATTATCTAATTCTAGTATATGGTACATATATAAACCTTCCCAATCTTTCCTAAAACTTTCTGAGGTCATCCAAGAGATAGATATTAAACAAAGGTTTAGTCATTTTTAGATTTCCTGACAAGCAAATTCCATAACTGACAACTGCAAAGATCCTTGGAACGGCCACAGACTTTGAGAGGAAGTGGTGATTGAGAAATCTCTAACCGTCTCTATTCATTGCACACAATTAAGATAGAATTTTTTACTCTAGCAGCTAGTATACTATCTCTTATATCAAAATTAATAGATTATCGGGCCAGGCACGGTGGCTCACGCCTGTAGTCCCAGCACTTTGAGAGGCTGAGGCGGGCCAATCACTTGAGGCCAGGAGTTCAAGACCAGCGTGGCCAACATGGCAAAACCCCATGTCCACTAAAAATACAAAAATTAGCCAGGTATGCTGGCGCACACCTGTAATCCCAGCTAATCGGGAGACTGAGGCAGGAGGGGCGCTTGAACCTGAGGGGCAGAGGCTGCAGTAAGCTGAGCCTGGGCACTCCAGCCTGGGTAACAGAAACTCCGTCTCAAAAACAAAAAAGATTTTTAAAAATATTAATACAGTATTATAGTTTGAGAAGAAGACAGGGGAAAAAGTGGGAGCTTCTGAGAGCTTTACCAAAGCATATGATCTCAACTTTAAGATTTAAAGGATGATAAAAAAATGATACGAGAAAACACAGCAGGCCGGGCAGGGCAGTTCACACCTGTAATCCCAGCACCTTGGGAGGCCAAGGTGGGTGGATCACCTGAGGTCACGAGTTAGAGAGCCGCCTGGCCAACATGGCCAACACCGTTTCTACTAAAAATACAAAAATTAGCCAGCATGGTGGCGCATGCCTATAGTTCCAGCTTATTCAGGAGGCTGAGGCAGTAGAATTGCTTGAACCCGGGAGGCGGAGGTTGCAGTGAGCCAAGATAGTGCCGCTGCACTCCAGCATGGGTGACAGAGCAAGACTCCATCTCAAAAAAAAAGTGAAAAGATAAAAGAAAACACAGCAGAAAGCTTAGATATATACAGACCTTACACTCTCAGAAGAGCCATTTAGAAAGCTAAATAACCTTACCAAAACTCTGTAACTATCACAAAACATAATTTGAATTCTTCTTTTTTTTTTTTTTTTTTTGAGATGGAGTTTTGCTCTTGCCCAGGCTGGAGTGAATGGCACAATCTTGGCTCACCGCAACCTCCACCTCCCGGGTTCAAGCGATTCTCTTGCCTCAGCCTCCCGAGTAGCTGGGATTACAGGCATGCTCCATCATGCCTGACTAATGTTGTATTTTTAGTAGAGATGGGGTTTCTCCATGTTGCTCAGGCTGGTCTCAAACTCCTGACCTCAGGTGATCCGCCCACCTCGGCCTCCCAAGGTGCTAGGATTACAGGCATGAGCCACCATGCCTGGCCTAATTTCAACTCTTTATAAAACAAAGAGACATGGGGAAGAAATATATTTGAAAATTTCTCAGGGCTGGGTGTGTTGGCTCATGCCTGTAATCCCAGCACTTTGGGAGGCCAAAGCTGGCGGATCACTTGAGGTCAGGAGTTCGAGACCTGCCTGGCCAACATGGCAAAACGCCTTCTCTACTAAAAACACAAAAATTAGCTGGACATGGTGGCACACGCCTGTAGTTCCAGCTACTCAGGAAGCTGAGGTGCGAGAACTGCTTGAACTTAGCAGGCGGAGATTGCAATGAGCAGAGATTATGCTGCTGCACTCCAGCCTAGGTGACAGAGCAAGAATCTGTCTTTAAAAAAAAAGAAAAGAAAATTTCTCACAAATTTACACAAAACTTATGAACTTCTCAAAAAAGGTCAAACTGAATTGCAAACTTTGTATTCTCACAAACATCTATTATTACAGGAAGTTATTTGATTTTTGTCCTCTGAGTATAAATTACATTTGAAAATAACTAACTATAAGTCACCTCAAAAAGCAAACTACGTTAGCTGAAAATCTGACATATAATAGGTGACACATAACTATATTATTTTAAATCCACAAAACAAATGAGTATAAAGACTTTGGCCGGGTACGGTGGCTCATGCCTGTAATCCCAGCACTTTGGGAGGCTGAGGCGGGTGGATCACGAGGTCAGGAGATAGACACCATCCTGGCTAACATGATGACACTTCGTCTCTACTAAAAATACAAAAAAATTAGCTGGATGTGGTGGCATGTGCCTGTAATCCCAGCTACTCAGGAGGCTGAGGCAGGAGAATTGCTTGAACCTGGGAGGTGGAGGTTTCAGTGAGCCGAGATCGTGCCACCACACTCCAGCCTGGGTGACAGAGTGAGACTCCATTTCAAAAAAAAAAAAAAAAAAGAAAGAAAAAGACTTCATGGGCTGGGTGAGGTGGCTCACACCTGTAATCTCAACACTTTGGGAGGGCGACGCAGGAGGTTTGCTTGAACCCAGGAGTTTGAGGCTGCAGTGAGTATAATTGCCCCAGTGCATTCATTCTGGCCTAAGTGACAGAGAAAGACCTTGTCACTAAAAATAAATAAAAAACAGACTTCATGTTTCTTGGATTTATTTCTATATCGTAATAAGGAATGATTTAAAGGCAGAAATGTATTCGATTTTGTTTTCTGAATATTATATAAGTTTTTCTAGTAGCATAAATCTAACTGAGATGAGAGGTGCTGCTGATGCTGCTGATTTTTATCTTAAAATTACAAGTAGGCCGGGCACGGTGGCTCACACCTGTAATCCCAGCACTTTGGGAGACCAAGGCGGATGGATTACAAGGTCAGGAGTTCAAGACCAACCTGACCAACATGGTAAAACCCTCTCTCTACTAAAAATACAAAAAATTAGCTGGGTGTAGTGGCAGGCGCCTGTGATCCCAGCTACTCAGGAGGCTGAGGCAGGAGAATCGCTTGAATCCTGGAGGTAGAGGTTGCACTGAGCCGAGATCGTGCCACTGCACTCCAGCCTGGGTGATAGAGCAAGACTCTGTCTCAAACAAACAAACAAACAAACAAAAAACAAGTACCTTCTATTTTACACCCCAATTTTAATTCTCTTTAAAGAGACATGTGATGTTAAGATTTACATACATTACTTTTTCATGTATTTCGTGTTAATCCATACTATAAACACCAATATGGTGTAGCTGAGAAAAATCTATAAAATATATTTTGCTCATTTCAATAAATGGGCCATATTCTACTTTATTATTTTGAATTTTAAGAAACTACTGATAACTGAATTTCATGCTACCTACGATCAATTTCGAGAAGACACTGAAAGTCCTATTGTATGCATTTTTTTTTCAAAATTATCCGGTTGCTTTCCTATCTCAAACCTCGTTTCACAAAACTGGGCTGCCTTGACTGTGTATGATTAATGGTAATAATTTATCTTCTAATTCAAAGGTGGTTCCGTTTAAAATGGGATGTTACTTATAATACAGGTAAGAATTTTAACTCATACTACTTATGAAGAAACAAAAGCTCTGGTAGGTTCCATGACTTGCCCAAGGTCAGTAACTAGCAACTGGCATAGTCTAGGTTCAACCCAAGATTTATCTGCCTGAAAGTCAATACTTCCACTTGACCGCAATTATCTCCTTAAAAGATTAAGACACAGGCTCAACAGCAGAACATTCATTCTCTCTCTGAAAATTCACATATCTGTTCTGAGACATCACTACACAGCACCTAGTATTCAGTCACTGATTGAAACAAAAATGAAGAGGATCTTTCTACTTCATTTAAATTAGGACAGGTTTACTGGCAGGTAAGAAAGAGGCTGCAAAAGCCTTGCCTCAACATGTCTTGCCTAGACCTGTGATACATCTATATGGTTTCCCCAGTCCATTCTTTTTAAATAAACACGTACATCTACTACACAAGACTACACCTGGACTAGCCTATTGTTAAATGCTTTTCAGAATTCCACTTTTCTAAGGTAATTTATACCGGAATTAATATCGAGCTGGGAGACTTGGTTGAATATGTCATTCAGGCACTTTCCAAACATCTTAAGTGTCATTTAGGGGCAACAAACCCAGTTCCACTCTCTTTTACATTGTGATGCCTGCCCACTTGGGGGACATTGCTCCTGTAGGACGTGGGGGCGAGGAAACAGTAAAGGAAGAAGTGGGGGAAGCGTACGGAAGTTGGGTAGAGGAAAGTCTCATTACCCACTCTTGTGCCCTAAGCTCCGCCAAGGGCGGCTCCCCGCGGTACCCAGTCGACTCAGAACCCCCACAACCTTCGAAGTCCAGCTCTGTCCCAGCGGGGTGGGTAGGGAAAGAGGGCAATGGAAGCACGGGATAGCCCCAGTCACCCTGACGAGATCTGTGCCCTCCTTTTGGCTCCCGGGGGATGCTCCCCCTTTCAGAGTAAGCCCTCCAGGTGGCAAACTCCCGGTCCACACCGGCTAGAGTCAGTTTCTCGGAAGGGGCGCCTCCTCCGCCTACCTCTACCCCGCTAACCGAAACTCTCCACCCGCTGTGTCCCTCAGCCCCTCCATTCCGCCCCCGCAACCCTCCACAGACACAAACGCCAGCCTGCGCCCCACCCGGGATCACGGCGTCCCCCACCCACGCCCAGGAAAGGGCCCCCCACCAACCCCCTCAGACACACACACACCCCCTCAGACTTCAGCCTACAGAACCCCGACGAAGCCGGGCAGATACCTGGTCCAGCAGTGCTGCAAGGCGCAAATGAGGCGGGCGCGGTCCCCTCCCCGAGGCGCCAAGTGCTTCTCTACCCACCCGCAGCGGTGGTTTCTCTCTTTCCCAGGAGCGGGAGGGAGGGGAGAAGGCGGACGGGAGGGGGAAGGCGAGGAGCCGAGGGGCGGCTGGAGCCGAACCGGAACCACTAGCGCGGCCCCGCCCTCGTCCCGGAGTCGCAGAGTACCCTGGCGGGCCTAATAGGACAAACTTTGGGCAGGCAGCGTTAAACTGACACCATCACTTCCGGGTTATCCCCACGGCTGCCCCCTCCTTAGCAACCGCGTGGGGTTGCTAAGCGGAAGTGCCTTCAAAGCAACCCACCCCCATTTCTTCTGGGACTACCAGAAGATATATCGGGAGCACTGAGCTCTGCTTTGGCAACACGCTCTTACCTTCTGCTCAAGATCTTAGACCAAGTACACGCTTCGCTGCCAGAGGCACGAAACCCATCCCGCTTTTCCCTTCAACTGTACTCCTCCACCAAGCCCCCGTCTCTATATACTCCTGCTCCCTCCCACCCTTAATCCCGTGGCTGACCCAGTGGCTGTTCCTAAGGCTCCAGGCTCCTCTCTCAGGTCCCTCGAGGGAATTATTTTCTGACGGTTTAGCAAGCATCTCCCTCTTGTGGATTTTTAATTGTGTTTCAACCAGATTTTTAAAATTTCTTTCAATGTTGTGAAAGGTTTTTCATGCACTTAGTTCTCCTGTGACAGCCCATGAAGCCGAATGGTTAGAAAAATGTTGTCTTCACCTACATTTTGTAAGAGCTGCACATGTTTGTGTAAGGTCTGGAATTAACCTAGCCAAATGGAATAGGCAAAAAAGATTCAATGTAACTCGACAGTTATTTTAATCCTTAAAACAGAGAGCAGGGCACATGTTCTCAGGACCTCTTGAGACTGCGCCTCGGGGGCGGGGTGGTGGTGGAAAAAAGACAGAAAACAAAGAAAAAGGCTAAAGGGAGCCCATAATCAAATTTGGGAAGGAAGAAGACTGTCTAATCCTCCACTCAAAACTCAAAATATGCCGGGTGCGGTGGCTCACACCTGTAATCCCAACACTTTGGGAAGCCGAGACTGGCGGATCACGAGGTCAGGAGATGGAGACCATCCTGGCCAACATGGTGAAACTCCGTCTCTACTAAAAATACAAAAATTGGCCGGGCGCGGTGGCTCGCGCCTGTAGTCCTCCTGTAAGCACTTTGGGAGGCCGAGGCGGGCAGATCACGAGGTCAGGAGATGGAGACCATCCTGGCCAACATGGTGAAACCCCGTCTCTACTAAAATACAAAAAATTGGCTGGGGGTGGTGGCACGTGCCTGTAGTCCCAGTTACACGGGAGGCTGAAGCAGGGGAATTGCTTGAACCCGGGAGGCGGAGATTGCAGTGAGCCGAGATCGTGCCATTGCACTCCAATGGCACTCCAGCCTGATGACAGAGCGAGACTCCGTCTCAAAAATAATAATAAATAAATAAACAAACAAACAAAAATTAGCTGGGCGTGGTGGCGTGTGCCTGTAGTCCCAGCTACTCGGGAGACTGAGGCAGGAGAATCGCGGGAACCCGGGAGGCGGAGGTTGCAGTGAGCCGAGACCGCGCCACTGCCCTGCAGCATGGAGACAGAGCTAGACTCCGTCTAAAAAAAAAAAAAAAAACCTTCAAAATAAACTTTCATACCGACACTATGGATAAGAAAAGAGACCTCATTTATTGTGTCTGGGTGATTTGGGGTTTGAAAATATTGGGAAAATGAATGGTTGGGGTAAAAGTTAACAAAGTAATACTCGAAAAAAACAACTCGTATCTGGAGGCTGGGTGCGGTGGCTCACGCCTGTAATCTCAGCACTTTGGGAAGCCGAGGCCTGAGGATCACCTGAGGTAAGGAGTTCGAGACCAGCCTGGCCAAACTGGTGAAACCCTGTCTCTATTAAAAATAGAAAAATTAGCTGGGCGTGGTGGTGGGCACCTGTGATCCCACCTACTCGGGAGGCTGAGGCATGAGAATCATTTGAACCCAGAAGGCAGACGTTGCAGTGAGCCGAGATTGCGCCATTGCACTCCAGCCTGGGCAACAGAGCGAGACTCCGTTTCAGAAAAAAGAAAAAAAAAAAAAAAAGGAAAAGAACCCATATCGTTATGGCAGGTAAAATATTCAGAGAAATGCAGTTGGGCATTCAGAGAAAAATGAGTAAAAATCTTCATTTGGTTTTCCTATCTTAAATAGGTCTTCTTACAAGCAGAATGCTTAACAGTAGCTCCTAAATTTGTTTTCTATTCCATGGCAGTGAATATACTTGCCACGGCAGGCTCTAATTTTATTGGTCATGATAACCTCTTTATAGACACCAAAATTGAACTGTTATCCACCTTAACTGGGGCAGAGAGGAAATGAGCTTTGGTCACTTAAACGAAACACCACGTCTATTGGTTTCCTGTATGCATGAGACAGGGTTAAATTGATTCACCATAGGCAATCACTTCAGCAAAACCTTTAGGAAATCACTTCAAACTCAAATGGGTCAATAGGATGTTTAATACATCTCCACCTCTGCCATTGACATGAATACATGTGGGAGTATATACACATGCACAATTCAAATGGAATTTCAGCTCATCCACTAATTGTTCCTTTAAAAACCTGGGCGGGATGCAGTGGCTCACACATGTAACCCCAGCACTTTGGGAGGCCAAGGAGGGTGGGTCATCTGAGGTCAGAAGTTTGAGACCAGCCTGGCCAACATGGAGAAACCCCATCTCTACCAAAAATCAAAAAAAAAAAAAAAAAATTAGCCGGGCATGGTGGCAGATGCCTGTAATCCCAGCTACTCGGGAGGCTGAGGCAGGAGAATCGCTTGAACCCAGGAGGCTGAGGTTGCAGTGAGCCAAGATCGTGCCATTGCACTCCAGCCTGAGACAGAGCAAGACTCCGTCTCCAAGAAAAAAAAAAAAAACCTGGCTGAAAGTGACAAGTGGTAAACATGTTACCCTGACAAAACAGAGCTTGGTATTTCAATTGCCAAACAGGTTTAAATATCAAAAAACTTTGAAATAGTAAATAAAATGAGCTCAATGAACAACAATATATCTAAAACTATGATAGACTAGGATGTTTCAAAAAATTAAAACATGATTATGGTAAATAATAAATGTGTTCTATAGAAAGAAATGTTTTATTAAGAAAATCAAGTTATGATTAAATGTGATAGCGTAAGCCAATGTAGAAATGCAAATTCCTATGCATCACTCATTTTACCCACTGCCTGAAGAAAAATGATTTATAAGCAGCATTTGTTTACATCCTCTCTTCCTACAGCTTTTTTAAAAACTCCAGGCACTTTTGTATAGGTGTATGAATAACTGGCTTGACTCCTAATTCATCACATGTCCTCTATTCTATTATTTTCAACATACTCATTGCTTTGAGATCTCTAAAGATAGATAGTACAAACCCCACCTAAAATTAGGTATGTGAGTTTAACTACACTTTTGTAATTTTTGTGGGGAATCCATAGTCTCTCTCTTTTTTTTTTTTCTTTTTAGACAGGGTCTCACTCTGTCACCCAGGCTGGAGTGCAGGCACAATCTTGGCTCACTGCAGCCTTCACCTCGTAGGCTCAAGCGATCCTTCTACCTCAGCCTCCCAAATAGCTGGCACTACAGGCATGCAGTGTGCAGCCACACCCAGCTAATTTTTGTATTTTCTGTAGAGATGGGATCTCACTATGTTGCCCAGGCTGGTCTTGAACTCCTGAGCTTAAGCAATCCGCTTGCCTCAGCCTCCCAAAGTGCCGGGATTATAGCTGTGAACCACCACACCTGGCTAATTTTTGTATTTTTTGTAGAGAAGGGGGTCTCATTCTGTTGCCCAGGCTGGTCTTGAACTCTTGGAGGCCTCAGCCTCCCAAAGTGCTGGGATTACAGGTGTGAACTACCACACCCGGCCATGAATCCATATTCTTTTTTTTTTTTTTTGAGACGGAGTCTCGCTCTGTTGCCCAGGCTGGAGTGCAGTGGCGCGATGTAGGCTCACTGCAAGCTCCGCCTCCTGGGTTCACGCCATTCTCCTGCCTCAGCCTCCCGAGTAGCTGGGACTACAGGTGCCCACCACTACGCCCGGCTAATTTTTTGTATTTTTAGTAGAGATGGGGTTTCACCTTGTTAGCCAGGATGGTCTCGATCTCCTGACCTCGTGATCCGCCCGCCTCAGACTCCCAAAGTGCTGGGATTACAAGCGTGAGCCACCGCGCCCAGCCCATGAATCCATATACTTAATATGAACTATAAGGCAGTGCTCTCAGATCTGGGCCAGATCTCAAATAGCCCTCATTAAGTCAGTACAGTACCTTCATCCTACAGATCAATATGGGACTTCCAAACTTTTCTCCCACTCTCTTGAGCTGTCTTCATTTTTTTTATTGCCCTTGGTAATCATTTAAAAACTTAACATATCTAATGTATATTGGGGAAACCCAATATGCTGTAACTCAATTATTAATATTTAAATACTACTACAGGAATTAATATTTAAATATTGTTAGAGTTACATTGGCATCTTCAAACATAAAATACCAGAACTAGGCCAGGCAGAGTGGCTCATGCCTGTAATCCCAACACTTTGGGAGGCCAAGGTGGGTGGATCACTTGAGGTCAGGAGTTTCAGACCAGCCTGTCCCTACTAAAAAAAAAAAAAAAAAAAAAAAAAAAAAATACAAAAAATTAGCCAGGTGTGGTGGTGGGTGCCTGTAATCCCAGCTACTTGGGAGGCTGAGGCAGGAGAACCTGGGAGGTGGAGGTTGCAGTGAGCCGAGATCACACCACTGAACTCCAGCCTGGGTGACAGAGCCAGACTCTGTCTCAAAAAATAAAAAATAAAATAAAATAAAATACCAAAACTACAGTCTAACAATTAATGAATGTGTGGAGTCAATAAGAAGAAATTTAGCCAAACTTATCATTTATGTGCCTAAGCAATATACAATATAAAAGACATAGTCCCTTACACAAGGGACTCAGAGAAAGTCACTTAGGATACACATAACATAAACCATCAAATGTTAATGCTTAGAAAGCTTGAAGACATAACAGCCTTAGGAAGGCTAAAGATATAACAATTATCTAAATAATTGAAGGTTGCGGCCGGGCACAGTGGCTCATACCTATAATCTCTCTCCCACTTTCATATGCTATTCTCAAAGGTAAAAGAAACCATTATAACAATGATGGTTGAACCAAGGCTCAGTTGAACATTTTTTTTCTGAAAGTGAGTTAGCTTGAAGATTCTAAGTACAGTAGAATTTGTAAGCAGTGTACACATGAGAAAAGTGCATTTAGTTTAGGCTTTATATTCCATGTTTTTGTCTGTTGAGACGGGGTCTCCCTTTGTTGAGCAGGTTAGAGTGCAGTGATGTGATCATGACTCACTGCAGCCTCAACCACCTGGACTCAAGCAATTCTACCACCTCAGCCTACAAAGTAGCCGGGACCACAGATGTGAGCCACCATGCCCAGTTAATTTTTTGATTATTTGTAGAGATGAGGTCTATGTTGCCCAGGCTGGTCTCCAACTCCTGAGCTCAAGCGATCCTCCCGCCTCAGCCTCCAAAAGTGCTGGGAGTACAGGTGTGAGTCACTGCACCCAGGCAAAATTCTACTTTTTTTAGAATCTCATGGGAGAGATGAGGGGGAAAAATAATAAGCATTTGACATCTTTTAAATAAGTCTTTGAGCTCTCTTTATAATTTTCTCTTGAGTATTTGCTCGTCCTTTGTAAAACTATGGAAACACAAAATACATATGATGCTCACAATGCTCTAGCATTCAAAAATTCCAGAGTAGTTTTAATCATTATCTGGTCAGGAGTAACACTAGCATTAATAATTTGAATAATGCATTAAAAGAAAAAAAAAAGCTGTGAGCAGTGGCTCATGCCTATAATCCCAACACTTTGGGAGGCTGAGGTGGGTGGATCACCTGAGGTCAGGAGTTCGAGACCAGCCTGACCAACATGAAAAAACCTCATCTCTACTAAAAATACAAAATTAGCCTGGCATGGTGGCACATGCCTGTAATCCCAGCTACTCAGGAGGCTGAGGCAGAAGGATCACTTGAACCTGGGAGGCAGAGGTTGCGGCGAGCCAAGATCACACCATTGCACTCCAGCCTGGGCAAAAAGAACGAAACTCCATCTCAAAAAAAAAAAAAACAGACTAACTTTGTGAAGAAGGGTACAAAATTAAAACCTTGGTTTTGACTGGGCATGGTGGCTCACACCTTTAACTCCAGCAGTTTCAGAGGTTGAGGCAGGAGGATCGCTTGAGCCCAGGGGTTCAAGACCAGCTTGTGACAGAGCAAAACCGCATATCTAAAAAAGAATTTAAAATTAGCTGAGCATGGTGGCGCATGCCTTAGTCCCAGCTACTCAGGAGGCTGAGGCAGGAGGATCACTTGAGCAAGGGAGGTTGAGGCTGCAGTGAGCTGAGATCACACCACTGCACTCTGGCCTGGGCAATAGAGTAAGATCCTGCCTCAAAATCAATCAATCAATCAATCTTAGTTAAACTATCTTCTTAATGGGTAGATTTTACTTTTTAATTCAGTTTCAATGAAAAGAAGGGGTCTATACTTCCCTTCTGTTTAGAAAAGCTAAGTGGCCATGCTACATTTTGAAAATGCTTCGAAAAGGAAACATTATGTATAAATTTGCCTAATGAAAGTGAAACATCATCAAATATATACTTGAAAAAATTTTTTTTTTTGAGACGGAGTCCCACTCTGTGGCCCAGGCTGGAGTGCAGTGGCATATCTCGGCTCACTACAACCTCCACCTCCCAGGTTCAAGTGATTCTCCTGCCTCAGCCTCCTGAGTAATTGGGACTACAGGCATGTACCACCCTGCCCAGCTAATTTTTGCATTTTTATTATTTATTTATTTTATTTATTTATTTTTTGAGATAGAGTCTCACTCTGTCACCCAGCCTGGAGTGCAGTGGCGTGATCTGGGCTCACTGCAACCTCTGCCTCCCGGGTTCAAGTGATTCTCCTGCCTCAGCCTCCCAAGTAGCTGGGATTATAGGTGCCCGCCACCACACCTGGCTAATTTTTGTATTTTTAGTAGAGACGGGGTTTCGTCATGTTGACCAGACTGGTCTTGAACTCCTGACCTCAGATGATCTGCCCGCCTTGGCCTCCCAAAGTGCTAGGATTACAGGCGTGAGCCACCATGCCCAGTCTTTTTTTGCACTTTTAGTAGAGTCAGGGTTTCACCATGTTGGCCAGGCTGGTCTCGAACTCCTGACCTCAGGTGATTCACCTGCCTCGGCCTCCCAAAGTGCTGGGATTATAGGCGTGAGCCACTGCTCCCAGACTGAAGTTGAATGTAGGCATGTAATTGTTTCTAAAAAATTTGAATCTTGGCCGGCTGCAGTGACTCACACCTGTAATCCCAGCATTTTGGGAGGCCGACGCGGGCAGATCACGAGGTCAGGAGATCAAGATCATCCTGGCTAACAGGGTGAAACCCCATCTCTACTAAAAATACAAAAACAATTAGCAGGGCATGGTGGCAGGCACCTGTAGTCCCAGCTACTAGGGAGGCTGAGGCAGGAGAATGGTGTGAACCTGGGAGGTGGAGCTTGCAGTGAGCCAAGATTGCGCCACTGCACTCCAGCCTGGGCAACAGAGTGAGACTGTCTCAAAAAAAAAAAAAAAAAAAAAAATTCCCAGCACTTTGGGAGGCCCAGTCAGGCGGATCACCTGAGGTCAGGAGTTGGGAGTTGGAGACCAACCTGGTCAACATGGTGAAACCCTGCCTCTACTAAAAATGCAAAAATTAGCTGGGCGTGGTGGCGAGCACCTGTAGTCCCAGCTACTCCGGAGTCTGAGTTAGGAGAATCGCTTGAACCTGGGAGGCAGAAGTTGTTGTGAGCCAAGGTCAAGCCACTGCACTCTGGCCTGGGTGACAGAGCGAGACTCCATCTAAAAAAGAAAAGAAAAGAAAAATAGCAAATGAAGTGTCAGATCCATTAAAACTTGACTTCAAGATATTTTGTTTAAACTACTCCTTAAAAATAAACCTAATTATCAAATAAGTACTTGAACTCAGCTCCCAATTCAATAACATACTGTTTAATAATATCCACCTCTAAAAGACAAAGCAAAAAATATAATCTACAATCATTCGGACTCAAACAGTTTGGAAGGTGTTAAAATCAGGTCAATGCTCTGATTTGTATTTGGAAAGAATAAAATAGGACATAATTTTAGGAAGCACACAAATGGATAGTGTATTGTAAAAATAAGTATGCATTTATTACAAACGTATTTCAGAAAAATATGCCTACTAAAATATGATTACTTTTGACAACAGGCTGCTGCAAAAAGGGTGATGAGGAATATTATACCCACTTCTTCAATTATACCTCTGGTTATGTTGAAAAATGTCATAGTAGCTCTTAGGAGTTTTGCCATGCCTATGGGTTTATGGCATGATTTGCCTTTCATGTTATATTGACTTCCAACTTTAAAATTATATTTTATGATAGCGAATCAAATGCAAATCCTAGGAAAATTTCTTTTAAGAGATGGGATCTGGTTCCACTGTGTGTGCCACCATGCCAGGCTAATTTTTTATTGTTCATATATAAATATATATTTTTTTCTTTTCTTTCTTTTTTTTTTTTTAAGACATTGTCTCACTCTGTTGTTCAGGCTGGAGTGCAGTGGCACAATCTGGGCTCACTGCAACCTCCACCTCCCAGGTTCAAGCGATTCTCCTGCCTCAGCCTCCTGAGTAGCTGGGATTACAGGCATGTGCCACCATGCCTGGCTCATTTTTTCATTTTTAGTAGTGACAGTTTCACCATGCTGGCCAGGCTGGTCTTGAACTCCTATCTCAGGTGATCCACCTGCCTTGGCCTCCCAAAGTGCTGGGATTACAGGTGTGAGCCACTGCACTCAGCCTTTTTTAAAATTTTTTTTTTTTTTTTTTTTGAGACGGAGTCTCGCTCTGTCGCCCAAGCCGGACTGCCGACTGCAGTGGCGCAATCTCGGCTCACTGCAAGCTCCACTTCCCGGGTTCACGCCATTCTCCTGCCTCAGCCTCCCGAGTAGCTGGGACTACAGGCGCCCGCCACCGCGCCCGGCTAATTTTTTGTATTTTTAGTAGAGACGGGGTTTCACCTTGTTAGGCAGGATGGTCTCGATCTCCTGACCTCATGATCCACCCGCCTCGGCCTCCCAGAGTGCTGGGATTACAGGCGTGAGCCACCGCACCCGGCTAAAAATTGTTTTAGAGATAGGGTTTACGCTATGTTGCCTGGGCTGGTCTCCAACTCCTGGACTCAAGCAAACCTCCCTCCTCAGCCTCCTGAGAAGCCACTGTGCCCACCATGATTCTATCCTAGTATTTTATCTTTTTTCTTGTTGTTGTAGAGGCATTATCAACCGTTTAAACCCTCAAGACCAAATTATCTTTACATTTTTTTAAAGAGAAGATATCCATCCAAGGTTTTCCAACATTGCGTATTTGTCCTCCTTGCCAAAAAAGAGGGTAGAATAAGTAATGTTTAATTAATACTGAATTTTTTAATGTGCAAAAATCTAACTCTGCTTTTTAAAGCAAGTAGAAGGAGTGACAATATGGCACCATTCCAATAATCAAACACCAATAAAAATGGCAGCAGTACAACAATCTAAGCAAATCTCAAATACAACATACTTGTAATTAGAACACAATGCAATGACTTGATTTTAGCAAGAACTAGACACTTAATTTGGTAAAAGAAACCAAACAATGCATTATATTGAATACTAAGCTAAGTTACCATAATTAGTCTTACAAATTCTCAAATTTCACAACTACTTTTGAACATCTAAATTTAAACCTAAATTTTTTAATTAAATGCCTGTTCAACAAAGCTAATTGGAACAAACACATTTATGTAAATTTACATTCTAGAATACCAGGGTAAACAAGGAGACGTTATTCAAAGATGAATGAGAAAGTTCTATTCTTTTTCATCATTTGTGTGATCAGGTTGCAAAGGACATGCTCTGTGAAAAGAAGAGAGAACATCAATAGCCATCCAAGTATCAACTGTTTGAAAAAAATAGTTACAAACCTATATAAATCAGGAACATTAATTAACAGTGCAGTAGATCTGGTCTAATGACTAGAAATGAAAGAAAATTAAACTTCATTAATTAACAAACACCTACAAATTTCAAGTATTAATGCAACAAAATTTTTAACAATTTATTTGCCTGTTAATTTGCAGAATCAGTGTTTCTCCTTTAGACTACGTTGTAATTTTTATTAAAAAAAGAATCTATTTATATAGCATATTATTTCAACATGTTATTAAATGGATTGATAAACAATATAATCCTTCAGCAAGAACTTTGTGGTAACAAAAAGTAAAAAAATTAACCAATCCACTTTAGCAGAGAAAACATATAGCAAGTTGTCCTTTGACTATATATACTCTTTTGAACCATGTGATTACATTAACTAATTAGGAAAAACCCCAAATTGGCCAGACACAGTGACTTACACTCATAATCCCAGCACTTTGGGAGGATGAGGCAGGAGGATTGCTTGAGCCCAAGAGTTTGAGACCAACCTGGGCAACTTAGTGACACCCCATCTCTACAAAAAATAAAAAATCAGGCCGGGGTCGGTGGATCACGCCTGTAATCCCAGCACTTTGGGAGGCCAAGGTGGGTGGAACATTTGAGGTCAGGAATTCGAGACCAGCCTAGCCAACATGGTGAAAACCCATCTCTACTAAAAATACAAAAATAGCCGGGCAGTGGGGGTGTGTGCCTGTAATCCCAGCTACTTGGGAGGCTAAGGCAGGAGAATCGCTTGAGCATGGTGGGTGGAGCTTGAAGTGAGCTGAGACTGTGCCATTGCACTCCAGCCTCGGGGACAGAGAGCCTGTCTAAAAAAAAAAAAAATTAGTTGGTCGTGGTGGCACATCCCTATAGTTTCAGCGACTCAGGAGGCCTGAGGCAGGAGGATCACTTCAAGGTTGCAGTCAGCCATGATTGATTGTGCCACTGCACTCCAGCCTGGGAAACAGAGCAGGTCTCTGTGTCAATAAAACAAAAAAAGAAGAAGAAAAAAGAAAAACCCCAAAATTGTTAGCATAGAATAGTTGTAGCTTTTGAAAAATAATTTACATTATCCCAAAGTCAGGGAGGGCCCTGTGGCTCGTGCCTCTAATCTCAGCACTTCGGGAGGCCGAGGCGGGTGGATCACCTGAGGTCAGAAGTTCGAGACCAGCCTGGCCAACATGGTGAAACACATCTCTACTAAAAATACAAAAATTAGCCGGGCATGGTAGCAGGTGCCTGTAATCCCAGCTACTTGGGAGGCTCAGCCAGGAGAATTGCTTGAACCTAGGAGGCAGAGGTTGCCGTGAGCCAAAACTGAATCATTGCACTCCAGCCTGGGCAACAAGAGCAAAACTCTGTCTCAAAAAAACCCAAAAAAAAAAACAAAAAACAAAGTCATTTTGTACCCATTATAGTTTTTTTTTTGAGACGGAGTCTCGCTCTGTCGCCAGGCTGGAGTGCAGTGGTGCGATCTCAGCTCACTGCAACCTCTGCCTCCCGGGTTCAAGCGATTCTCCTGCCTTAGCCTCCCAAGTAGCTGGGATTACAGACATACGCCACCATGCCCACCTAATTTTTTTGTATTTTTAGTAGGGACGGGGTTTCACCATGTTGGCAAGGATGGTCTTGGTCTCTTAACTTCATAATCCGCCTGCCTTGGCCTCTCAAAGTACTGGGATTACAGGCATGAGCCACCGTGCCCAGCCTCATTACACTTTTTATGGAGGAAAAGTCAATTCAAAACTTAATCAAAAACTACTTTTTTTTTTTGGTTTATTAGAGCTGACAAAGATTTGTAAGATCTACTCTAAAATTCTTGGTTTTCAAATTAGATCCAGCAATCCTTGATGGGCAGAACCAGGTAGTGAAAGAAGGAAGTGAAAATGAAGGCACTCAGATTTGGTATAAGATTATCGTTGGCCCGGCGCGGTGGCTCATGCCTGTAATCCCAGCACTTTGGGAGGCCAAGGCAGGTGGATCATCTGAGGTCAGGAGTTCGAGACCAGTCTAGCCAACATAATGAAACCCTGTCTCTACTAAAAATACAAAAACAATTAGCTGGGCATGGTGACGCGTGCCTGTAATCCCAGCTACTCAGGAGGCTGAGGCAGGAGAATCGCTTGAACCCAGGAGGTGGACTCCAGCCTGGGCAACAAGAGCAAAAACTCTGTCTCAGTAAAAAAAACAAAAACAAAATAAGATTATCATTAACTCAGTATTAGATAACAAAGATATCTTCATTGTATTTTCCTGGAAATTAAATCAAATTAACAAATGAACATTATCATAACCCAGACTTCCTTTGTGCAAGCGCCTGATTTACTTTAGGCATCATAACTCTGTTAAAGGTTTAAGTAGATAGTCTTCCTTGATTCTGACTCTTCCCCCACGCAACTGCTGGGAGTTTACCCTGCCTTTGGGAGAAAAATAAGGCCATGGGAATAACTATATTCCATAGAGAGTTTATATCATAAATCCTTCTAATAAACTCATTTATTATTTCAATAAAGGGGTAATTACAATCCTCCTAAACAATGGCAAATCTAAGAACAGGACCTAAAGAAATAATATAAACCTCTATTACCTAGGTTTATGTCACAGATTTTATAATACCATGGATTAAAGTTCTTTATGAGAATACATGTGTAATCTCTTTTCATATGGTGGGAAGGCTATAATATAGGTTTTATTCCTGTGATGATCAGTGTTATAGTCACATTTGGCTATATTGCCAAATATTTTATTTCCTTGATGTAAGTCACAGGTAATTCAAGAAGTCTGAAATATATTCTAAAGCTAGTCTTGACTATCAGCTTGTTCCTGTTGGAAAAAAGAACGAGGAAGAAAGGTGCCAGACAATGACAGAGAACTAAAAGAAATTTATTGGATCAGGAAAGCAAAACTATTAAAAAGCTTTATCCAAAATGTATCCCTCTGGGGCCAGGCATCATGGCTGAGGCCCGTAATCCCAACACTTTGGGAAGCTGAGGTGTTAGGATTGCTTGAGCCCAGGAGTTCAAGACCAGCCTAGGCAACATAGCAAGGCCTGGTCTCTACTAAAAATTTAAAATTAGCCAGGAGCAATGGCATGCATCTATAGTCCCAGCTACTCAGGAGGCTGAAGTGGGAAAATTGCTTGAGTACAAGAGGTCAAGGCTACAGCGAGCTATGATCTCACCACTGCACTCCAGCCTGAGTAACAGAGCAAAATCCTGTCTCTTTAAAAAAAAAAAAAAAAAAAAAAAAATCCTGTCTCTAAAAAAAAAAGGGTATCCCTTTGGTTGATTTTTATGGAAACCAGAAATCATGATAGTGATATAACAACAAAGCCTAAGATTTAATTGCTGCTAATCTCACAACATGGATCATAGACACTCAATTACTATTTACTAAATGAGCTTATGAACAGCACTGAATAATTTCTTTTTTTTTGAGATGGAGTCTCACTTTGTTGCCCAGGCTGAAGTGCAGTGATCTCGGCTCACTGCAACCTCTGCCTCCCAGGTTCAAGTGATTCTCCTATCTCAGCCTCCCCAGTAGCTGAGATCACATGCATGTGCCACCATACCTGGCTAATTTTTGTAATGAATAATTCTCAATATTTTATATGCTTTCATATGTCAAATACTTTGTTTTAATTACTCTTTCAGCCATCTATTTTTATCTAGTTTGTGTTCAATGAAAATCCATTCCAAACACAATGTACAATCCAAAACAGATGTAACAGATATAGAATGTACAAATAAGAAGCAAAAGGGACTGTTCAGTCACACATACCATAGGTCAAGATCTGTTGGATCTGCTTGTTCCCATGCAGGTTTCTAAAGATGGCAAATATTGCCTTAAGACTTATTAAAGCTACTATGGCCATATGGGATACAGGAACAACTAAGCATCAGTGTGTGACCATGTGAACCAAAGATTTCATGGAGTGTCCTTTTTTTTTTTTTTAATAGAAACACAATCTGGCTCTGTCACCCAGGCTGGAGTTCAGTGGCACAATCATAACTCACTGCAGCCTCGAATGCCTGGGCTCAAGCGACTCCCACCTTAACCTCCAGAGTAGTCAGGACTACAGGTGTGCGCCACCATGCCCACCTAATTTTTTTTTTTTTTTTTTTTTGTGTAGAGACCATGCCTAAGCTGGTCTCAAACTCCTGGGCTCAAGCAATCCTCCCCCTTCAGTCTCCCAAAGTGCTAGGCATGCCTGGCCTCATGGAGTACGTATTTCTTTTTTTTTTTTTCAGACGGATTATCGCTCTGTTGCCCAGGCTGGAGTGCAATGGCATGATCTCGGCTCACTGCAACCTCCGCCTCCCGAGTTCAAGTGATTCTCCTGCCTCAGCCTCTGGAGTAGCAGGGATTATGGGCACCTGCCACCAAGCCCAGCTAATTTTTGTATTTTTAGTAGAGACGGGGGTTTCGCCGTGTTGGCCAGGCTGGTCTCGAACTCCTGACCTTGGGTGATCCACCTGCCTTGGACTTTCAAAATGTTGGGATTACAGGCACAAGCCACCGCACCCAGGCTGGAGTGTCTATTTCTAAAAAGGCTTCTATACATCAAGGCAGTTGTAAAAGTTTTACTTACCAGAATCAAGTCCACTTATGCTTAGGCCCAGGCTCTATCTAAAAATATTGACTAATTATAGAAAGTGTCCCAAATGTAGCTACTCAGACTCATAAAGTTGTTTTTTTTTTTTTTTTTTTTTTTTTTTAAGTATTTACAGAAAGAGCACAAAAGCATTGTGAATTTAATGCAGACAAATTTCTGGTCTTCACTTTGCAAATACAGAACCAGATTTGTTATTTTGCTTATTTCATGTTCTTTTTTTTTTTTTTTTTTTTGAGACGGAGTCTCGCGCTGTCGCCCAGGCTGGAGTGCAGTAGCGCAATCTCGGCTCACTGCAAGCTCCGCCTCCTGAGTTCACGCTATTCTCCTGCCTCAGCCTCCCGAGTAGCTGGGACTCCAGGTGCCTGCCACCATCCCCGGCTAATTTTTTGTATTTTTAGTAGAGACAGGGTTTCACTGTATTAGCCAGGATGGTCTTGATCTCCTGACCTCGTGATCCGCCCACCTCGGCCTCCCAAAGTGCTGGGATTACAGGCGTGAGCCACTGCACTTGGCTTTTTTTTTTTTGAGACGAAGTCTCACTCTGTTGCCCAGGCTAGGCTAGAGTGCAGTAGCGCGATCTCAGCTCACTGCAACCTCTGCCTCCTGAGTTCAAGTGATTGTCCTGCTTCAGCCACCTGAGTAGCTGGGATTACAGGCACTCACCACCACGCCCAGTTAATATTTGTATTTTTAGTACAGATGGGGTTTCACCATTTTGGCCAGGTTAGTCTCAAACTCCTGACCTCAGGTGATCCGCCGGCCTAGGCCTCCCAAAGTACTGGGAGTACAGGCATGAGCCGCCGTGCCCAGCCCACCGCTTAATTTCAAGATTAATCAAATATGACTTCAAAACAGATCAATTTTTTTTGAGACAGAGTCTCGCTCTGTCACCCAGGCAGGAGTGCAGTGGCGCAATCTTGGCTCACTCCACCTCCTGGGTTCAAGTGATTCTCCTGCCTCAGCCTCCTGAGCAGCTGGCATTACAGGTGTGTGCCACCACACCCAGCTAATTTTTGTATTTTTAGTAGAGACCGAGTTTCACCATGTTCTCCAGGATGGTTTCGAACTCCTGGCCTCTAGTGATCTGCCCACCTTGGCCTCCCAAAGTGCTGGGATTACAGGCATTAGCCACCGCACCTGGCCCAGATCAACTTTTTTTAACCCACCTCCTGCACAAAAAATGGTCAATTTTTAAGTTGTAAAAATTATTCAACATGTACAAAGTCACCTCTTAATTTCAAGATTAATCAAATACGCCTTCAAAGGAAATCAACTTTTAACCCACCTCCTGCACACAAAAAAATCAGTTTTTAAGTTGTGAAAATTATTTGACATACACAAAGATAAAAAGGCACTATTTTAAAATTACTTGAAGTCAATGCACTTCTAATTTTTGGAATCCAGTTAAGTATCGTAACTAAATCTGGCATTCTTGTTGAATTGGAATGGGTGATAGGAAATGCCTACTATTTCACTTTTAAGTGTATATGCAAGAATTAGTCATGCTTGGATTTGGAGTAAATTCCAGTCTATCATTGCTCTGGCACACTTCAATTACCACATAGAAAGTAAAATGCAGGGCTGGGTGCGATGGCTCACACCTGTAATCCCAGCACTTTGGGAGGCCGAGGCGGGTGGATCACAAGGTCAGGAGATCAAGACCATCCTGGCTAACATGGTGAAACCCCGTCTCTACTAAAAATACAAAAAATTAGCCGGGCGTGGCGGCGTGCGCCTGTAGTCCCAGCTGCTGGGGAGGCTGAGGCGGGAGAATGGCATGAACCCAGGAGGCGGAGCTTGCAGTGAGCCGAGATAGCGCCACTGCACCCCAGCCTGGGCGACAGAGCGAGACTCCATCTCAAAAAAAGAAAAGAAAAGAAAAGAAAGTCAAATGCAATGGCAAATCAAATCCAAAGCCCTAAAGAGTTAAGTGCCCTTGGCCAGGCGCAGTGGCTCATGCCTGTAATCCCAGCACTTTGGGAGGCCGAGGCGGGCAGATCACAAGGTCAGGAGATCAAGACCATCCTGGCCAACATGGTGAATCCCATCTCTACTAAAAATACAAAAATTAGCTGGATGTGGTGGCACGTGCCTGTAATCCCAGTTACTCAAGAAAGGCACAAAAATCGCTTGAACCCAGGAGGCGAAGGTTGCAGTGAGCCAAGATAGCACCACTGCACGCCAGCCTGGGCAAGAGTGAGACTCCTTCTCAAAACAAACAAACAAAAGAAACAGAGTTAAGTGCCCAAGAGAAGAGTGAAAACTTAGCAATGTAAATCTAGAGCATATCAGCATTAAATTAGGATGGCTGAAACAATACATAGAATATTTATAGTAACACCTGGTAGTTTCTTCCAATGCACATATATAATAAATAGAATCATGGAAGCTTTTTCTATTACCTAATCATTTTACAGCCTTGTAGATTTAACAAACTAAAATGAAAACTGAATCTCCATTCCATAGCTTGCTAAGTAATTTTTGATGTTCTCTTTCTCCTCTGTCTTATACGTGAAACTCCAACAGATTTAATATTGGCATTTATCATCTAGTCAAATCCTTCAGATGCTCTTTAAACCAGTCCAGTTTGAGACTCTCAAGCGTTTCTCTGTTAATAAGGAGTGAAATTAGTAGATTTGATGAAGACCTGGTTTTTTTCCTTGCCACATTGAACTTCTAGGCACCATTTGGATTCGGTTTTAGTGTATGGGTTGGAGAACTGTAGCTGTTTCTTGACCTGCCTCTTAATGGTAGAGATGTAGAAGGGCAAGCAAGACCACAAGGAGACCGGCTGTAGGCTGTAGGGCACTGTTGGAGGGCTTTGTGGTTTCGGCTGCAGTAGCTTCCGGCATACTGGTTAAAGGAACAAATGAAGAAACCTGCACGGGTAGGAGCAGCGCCAGAAGTAGCAGACCCAGAATGAGCATCGCCACCATCCCCTTACCCATTTGGATCAGTGTGCCGTGTGTCCAGCTTGCTGCTCAGTGTGCTGGAGGATGGGTGGCTCCTGGCTGGTGCAGGGGAGATAGCAAGTAGGGTCTTATATTCAAGGGGCATCATAATGGCAGTGACATCACTCCCTTTCCTCCTACATCCAGACAAGTACTTTGTTTCGAAACAAAACATTTAAGTTGCTTAGAAAGCCTGGACCTTATTAATTACAAATCTATAAAAAGGCAGATTTCGAATCTTTTTTTCCCAAGTGGCGTGATTTTTCCCTTGGTTTTTTTTTCTGTCCCATATGACCTTCAGAAATTTTTCTTGATTCTTAAAAGTGATGCAAATTTTTTGTTAAAAGTTGTTAGCACAGGGTATGAGAAGAGGTTTTTACCCAGAGATAAGTATTATTGATATTTGGTATATTTTCATATAGTACATATACATGTATTTACACAGTAAAGATTGTACTTTTGTATCCAGAATTTTGGGTTAACAATTATTGTGAGCATTTTCCTGTCATTAAAAATGTAAAAGGTATGGTTTCATTAACTTCTTAAAAAGTTTGTGGCCGGGTGTGGTTGCACTCGCCTGTAATCCCAGCACTTTGGGAGGCCGAGGCGGGCAGATCATGAGGTCAGATTGAGACAATCCTGGCTAACACGGTGAAATCCCATCTCTACTAAAAATACAACAAAATTAGCCAGGCGTGGTGGCGGGCGCCTGTAGTCCCAGCTACTTGGGAGGGTGAGGGAGGAGACTGGTGTGAACCCGGGAGGTGGAGGTTGCAGTGAGCCGAGATTGCACCACTGCACTCCAGCCTGGGCAACAGAGCGAAACTCCGTCTCAAAAAAAAAAAAAGTTTGCACACTGGCCAGGTGTGGCAGCTTATGCCTGTAATCCCAGCACAGTGGGAGGCCAAGGCAAGTGGATTACTTGAGCTCCGGAGTTTGAGACCGGCCTAGGCAACGTGGCAAAACCTCATCTCTACCAAAAACACAAAAAATTAGCTGAACTCCATGGCACATGCCTGTAATTCCAGCTACTTGGAAGGCTGAGGTGGGAGAATCAATCGAACCCAGGAGGCAGAGGTTGAAGTGAGCGAACATTGGGCCACTGCATTACAGCCTGGGTGACAGAGTGAGACCCCCATATCAAAAAAAAAAAAAAAAAGGAAGAAAGAAAGAAAAAAAGGAAAAAAGGAATGAGATATTCATGAAATACAACGGATGAAACTCGGAAACTTTTTTTTAAAGGTTGCACACCAAGTTTGGTGTGTGTAGTTTTATCCCTACTTTTTGTTTTTCACTATTCTTACGTACTTACAGAGAAGTTGTAAAGACAATACACCATGGTATTATTCCTAGTTGGTTCTAGGTGATGGGGATTTCTATATTTTCCAACTTTTCCATATTGGTCATATTTTTATTTTTATTTTACTTGATTTTTTTTGAGATGGAGTCTCGCTCTGTCCCCCAGGCTGGAGTGCAGTGGTGCGATCTCAGCTCACTGCAACCAACACCTTTCAGGTTCAAGCAATTCTCCTGCTTCAGCCTCCCGAGTAGCTGAGATTACAGGCACGTGCCACCACGCCCGGCTAATTTTTTGTATTTTTAGTAGAGACGGGGTTTCACCATGTTGCAGGATGGTCTCGATCTCTTGATCTTGTGATCTGCCTGCCTTGGACTCTCAAAGTGCTGGGATTACAGAGGTGAGCCACTGTGCCAGGCCTATTTTTGAGACAGGTCCTCACTCTGCCACCCATGCTGGAGTACAGTGGCGGGATCTCGGCTCACTGCAACCTTCATCTCCCAGGGTCAAGCAATTCTCCCACCTCAGCCTCCCTAGTGGCTGGGATTATAGGCGGCGCCGCCACCCTTTTGGTAGAGAAGGGGTTTCACCATGTTGCCCAGGCTGGTCTGGAACTCCTGAGCTCAAGCGATCTGCCCACTGTAGCCTCCCAAAGTGCTAGGATTACAGGCATGAGCCACCGCACACAGCCTGGTTATATATTTCTTGTGCAAGTTGAACTGGTAGTTTTTTAAGGGACAGGATTAATGGAATTCAAGTTATATAAGCCAACAAGGAAATTGCCTTGTAAGAAAAGCCTAAAGGAAAAAGACAGTAAGAATTAAAGACTCAATACACTAAGTTCATGGTTAATGACATAGCACTTATGTGAATGGGAACTGATCCTCTTTGAGAGATTGGGAAGAGTAAAAAGAATACTTTTTACTAATGTTTGAAATTTGCTGGCTGGATGCAGTGGCTCACGCCTGTAATCCCAGTACTTTGGGAGGCTAAGGTGGGTAGATCACAAAGTCAAGAGTTCAAGACCAGCCTGGCCAACAAGGCAAAACCCTGTCTCTACTAAAAATACAAAAATTAGCTGGGCGTGGTGGCGTGTGCCTGTAATCCCAGCTACTTGGGAGGCTGAGGCAGGAAAATTGCTTGAACCTGGGAGGCGGAGGTTGCAGTGAGCTGAGATAGCGCCACTGCCCTCTAGCCTGGGCAACAGAGCAAGACTCCGTCTCAGGAAAAAAAAAAGAAAAGAAATTTGGGAGTGAGTTATAATAAGAAATTAGAAGAAGTTTTTAAAAACTTTTTTTGCATTTTCTTATGAGCTTGAAGAGAAACTTGACTCAATATCCTATTTGTCCTTTATTTTCAAGATATTTTCTTTATTAATTAATTAATTAATTTTTTATTTGAGACAGAGTCTCACTCTGTCCCCCAGACTGGAGGGCAGTGGCGTGAAAATGAGATACATGTGCATTACATGCAAGTTTGTTATATAGGTATATGTGTGCATGGTGGTTTGCTGCACCAAGCAATTCTTTTGTTTGAGCCTCCCAAATAGCTAGGACAACAGGTGTGCACCAGCACGCCGAGCTAATTTTGTATTTTTAGTAGAGACAGGGTTCCACCATGTTGGACAGGCTGGTTTTGAACTCCTGGCCTCAAGTGATCCTCCCGCCTCGGCCTCCCAAAGTGCTGGGATTACAGGCGTGAGATAAATATTTTCTTTATATTCCAGAATATAAAAACTTACTTTCTCTTTGCTTTTCCTAAGCCACTGCTTCCTGCCTCTTCAGGAATCTGATTCTCTTTTTCAGAATCTTTAGGGGACAACCTAAAGAATTCTCCAATTCCTTTTTGCCACTTGGGAGTTGGGCGCACGCAAACGGGGTTCCCTCCTGCATATTTATTTTCAGCTGTAAAATATAAACAGATGGAACTAGATAAGTGCTAATAATACAATCTCTATTCCTTAAACAACTTAATTCCTTCTTTAACATCAAATTCTCAAAGGTATTAAATAATCTTTATTTAAGATATACAACTTAAAGAATTAGAAAATGTGACACAATAAAGCTGTATTCCACCAATAAACTCAGTGTGATGGTTATCTTAGCAATAACAGTAGTAACAGAATTTTTACAACTGAAAAATATTTTTATATTTTGTCCACAAGCAGAGCTATTCAAATACTCTTGCCGGGTCCAGTGGCTCACGCCTGTAATCCCAGCACTTTGGGAGGCTGAGGAGGGTGGATCACAAGGTCAGGAGTTCGAGACCAACCTGGACAACATGGTGAAACCCCCGTCTCTACTAAAAATACAAAAATTAGCTGGGTGTGGCGGCACGTGCCTGTATTCCCAGCTACTTGGGAGGCTGAGGCAGGAGAATCACTTGAACCAGCGAGTCGGAGGTTGCAGTGAGCCAAGATTGCGCCGCCACTGCACACTCCAGTCTGGCAACAGAGCGAGACTCTGTCTCAAAAAAAAAAAAAAAAAAATATATATATATATATATATATATATATATATATATATATATATATATATTCTTGTATGTACTGACATACTGAAGTTTGACACACTTTTTCCTAACATAAGATAGGACCATGTAGTATAAAGTGCCAACATTTTACTTACTAAGGTCATTTAGTTAAAGCACATATAAGAGGCAATGTGAAAGTCTCCACAAAAGTAGATTCCATTTTTCAAAGCACCTGGCTCCTTTTCAGTTCATAAGAGAAGTCCAATTCCTGGTGTTTTTTTTTTTTTTTTTTTTTTTTTTCAAAGTCTAGCTCTGTCACCCAGGCTGGAGTGCAGTGGCGCAATCTTGGCTTACTGTAACCTCTGCCTCCCGGATTCAAGTGATTCTCCTGCCTCAGCCTCCCGAGTAGCAGGGATTACAGGCGCCCGCCACCACGCCCAGCTAATTTTTGTTTTGTTTTTGTTTTTTTGGGGGGGAGACAGAGTCTCACTCTGTCACCCAGGCTGCAGTGCAGTGGCACGATCTTGGCTCACTGCAAGCTCCGCCTCCCGGGTTCATGCCATTCTCCTGCCTCAGCCTCCCGAGCAGTTGGGACTACAGGCGCCCGCCACCACACCTGGCTAATTTTTTGTACTTTTAGTAGAGACAGGGTTTCACCATGCTAGGATGGTCTCGATCTCCTGACCTCATGATCCGCCCGCCTTGGCCTCCCAAAGTGCTGGGATTACAAGTGTGAGCCACCCTGCCCGGCCAATTCCTGGTTATTTTTCAACAGTAATATAAGGAGAAATTGAGGGAAAATTCTTGCCTTTTTATAAAGTAATGACCAGGAACAAATTATTCAGTTACTGCAAATCTTTTGCTTTAAGCTAAAACATTTGCTTTAACAACTCTAGTTGTTAAAGAATGCTTACAAAAGTTGTTTCCATATAGACTCTGAAGTTATATTGTTTCTACTTATTTATTTACATTTATAAAAATAGCAATGGGGTTTTGCCACGTTGTCCAGGCTGGTCTCAAACTCCTGGCTGAGGCAACCGTCCCGCCTTCGCCTCCAAAAGAAGGAATGGCATATAAAAGATAGTGATCTTTTGGTTCACAGTTTTCCCAAAGGAACCTTACAGGAATGCTTTTACTACTAGAAAACATACAGCAGCAGCTGGGCGCAGTGGCTCACGCCTGTAATCCCAGCACTTTGTGAGGCCGAGGCAGTTGGATCATGAGGTCAGGCATTTGAGAACAGCCTGGCCAACATGGTGAAACCCTGCCTCCACTAAAGATACAAAATTTAGCCAGGCATGGTGGCGCATGCCTGTAATCCCAGCTACTTAGGAGGCTGAGGCAGAAGAATTGCTTGAACCCGGGAGGCGGAGGTTGCAGTGAGCCGAGTTCATGCCACTGCACTCCAGCCTGGGTGACAGAGCGAGACTGTGTCTCAGAAAAAAAAAAAAATATAGCAGCAACAGGTTCAAACCCAACTCCACTGATTTAGTTGTGTGACCTTTATCAAGTTATATAACCAGATATTAAATTTCCTTATCTTTAAAATAAGGATATTACCCATTTCATACATCCAATTATTCGGATTAAAAATAGAGATTTTTAAAATGCCTTAAAGGATGCATTTATTCAACATATATTCAGTAAGGGCCTATTTAGTTGGCTCTGGTGATTCAACAGTGGACCAGACGATGAGATGCGGCTCTAATGAAATTTCATCAGGCCAGGCGTGGTGGCTCACGTCTGTAATCCCAGCACTTTGGTAGGCTGAGGCGGGAGGATTGCTTCAGCCCAGGAGTTCGAGACCAGCCTGGGCAATGTGATGAAACCCCATCTCTACAAAAAACACAAAAATTAGGCGGGCGTGTGGTGGCATGCGCCTACAGTCCCAGCTACTTGGGAAGAGCCTGAAGTGGGAGGATCATTTGAACCCTGGGGTCAAATCTGCAGTAAGCTGTGATTGCACCACTGCACTCAAGCCTGGGCAACAGAGTGAGACCCTGTCTCAAAAAAAAAAAAGAAAAAAGAAAAGAAAAAGAAACTTAGTCTAGTGGTACAGGGTATAAGTTACTCTAAAAAAATTCATCAACTTCTATTTCCTTTTATCTGAAGAGATAGAAATAGTAAATGTTTTCTAATGAAATGTTTATAATAGGGAGAAATTTGAATTGACTTTAAAACCCATGAAGTCCTAAACAGTGTTCACCTTTATGTTCTTAATTAAATCTTGTAGCGTTAATCTCCCTGTCTGCCAAATTTCCTACTGAAAGGAATGAGGCACCAGATGGCAGGGCATTTTCTCATCTACTCCACGCACAGAAGGAGCAGCGTGAAGCTATTTCCTTTGCCGGGTTTCACTCCTACTCTCCCAAAGACAGTATTAGGAGCTGCAAAGTTGGAGAAAACCCACAGACATCATACTCAAACAAACAAACAAACAAAAAAGAGTAAGGAAGAAAGGAAAAACAAGCAAACAAAAACAAAAACATTTTTATTAAAGTTTAGTAGACATTGCAATGAGCACTCAGCACTGTTAACGATTGTTCAAACCCTTAATCTACTAAGGGGGCTTTTAAATAGCCTCTAACAATATTTAAATAGCCTCTGTTATTATTAAGAAAAATAATAGCTGGGCGTGGTGGATCACGTCTGTGTTCCCATCACTTTGGGAAGCTGAGGCAGGCAGATCATGAGGTCAGGAGTTTGAGATCAGTCTGGCCAACATAGTGAAACCCCATCTCTACTAAAAATACAAAAAAATTAGCTGGGTGTGGTGGCGTGCACCTGTAATCCCAGCTACTCAGGAGGCAGAGGCAGGAGAATCGTGTGAACCCGAGAGGCGGAGGTTGCAGTGAACCAAGATCACACCGTTGCACTGCAGCCTGGGCAACAGTGCAAGACTCTGTCTCAAAAAAAGAAAGAGAAAGAAAAAGGAAAATACTAAACCAAAAAACAAAAATTGATAGGCTGGCTGTGGTGGCTCATGCCTGTAATCCCAGTAGGAGGATTGTTTGAGCCCAGGAGTTTGAGACCAGCTTAGGCAACATAGTGAGACCCCCATCTCTACAAAAAATAGAAAAAAAAGCCCGGCGTGGTGGCATGTACCTGTAGCCCCAGCTACTTTGGAGGCTGAGGTGGGAGGATTGCTTAAGCCCCATAAGTGGAGGATGTAGTGACCAGTGATTGCACCACTGCACTCCAACCTGAGCAACAAAGAGAGGCCCTGTCTAAAAAAAGAAAAGAAAAGAAAAATAGGCTTGAAGATAAGGTGTGTCGGTCCTTAACTCCAAGGCTTGAAATTCCCTTCCATGAGACCTCCCCCCCACCTCTACCCTAGCCGGCCAAAAGGCCCAGCCTCTCTTATTATATCACAGGGCAAGGAAGAAATTCGGGCGTGAGTACCTCAAGAAAAAGAAATTCATGGCAAGCCAGGGGCTTGCAGGTGCCAGGACTGATCCCCTAACTTTAGGAGGGCTCTTCTTACCTTTCCTCGATGAAACTGATGTCGAATTAGTGGCAGAGGTGGAAGAACCAAGCACCTTTCTGGGGGCTCGAGCAGCCACCACTGTGAAGAGAGGCAAAAAAGGGTGTTCAGAAGGGGCAGGAGGGTTCCGACACCGAGTCCTGGACCCCAGCAGCTTGGAGAGGAGAGCCTGGCGATCCAGAACAGCAGGATAACCTTACCCTGCCCCTGCGACTTCCTCTTCTAGGTAAAGGGGCCAGGCGGCTACTCCCTGGCTAGCTAGATGAGTTTGGCGCACAGGGCCCAGGGGGACCTCTGGCGTCTGTCGCCCGTGGCCAGGCTGCCGGGAGGACCCCCCCGCCCTCCAGTACCACACTCGATCGCCTCACCTTTTCTGTAAGTGCCTGGAACACTGTCTGCTTTAGTCCGCACCATGTTCAAACAAGAAGAGAGGAGAGGAGAGAACGAACTGACTTCCCAGCCGAGGGTGTTTCACTGGACAAGGACCCGAAAACTATCCCGCCACAGTTTATATTGGTCTCTTTCCCGCGCGCTCCAAGGTCTCTCCCGAGCCACCGCTCCCATTGGTTCCGCGCCGTTCCCCCTGAACCAATTGCCAATGCCCAGTGGTGACAGCGGCGAGGCTTCTTGCAGCGCGAATCCGTCCATCAACACGCAAAGGCCTAGGATTCGTAGGCGCCCCAGGTGGGCGGTACCAGGACTCTCCAGGGGTACCCGACTAGTGGGTGCTAAGTTTCTGAACTACAGAAATGAGCCTGCTTAGAAAAGAAAACCTAGCAAAGACAGCGAATTACAAACGATCTTCAAAAGTTACTATAGCTTTAAGTCCATAATGATTGACTCCTGGAGGTGAAACCTGAAATTAAGCGGACTTTTTGATGCAAATCAAAATTAAAAGAACTTGAGAACTTTCCTTTAGTCCCCCAGGCATGAACTCTTTGTACAGCATCCATACTAAAACAATTCTATGGAATGGGGAAAAGGAAGCTAATACAACTTGTTTACAAGGGTTTTTTTAAATGTCTTTAGGATGATGTGAGACTAAACAAAAACTAGGGGGATTGTATATACATACACACATAAAAAGAAACTAATAAAACGTCTTCTTGAGAACCGAATGGTGTCAGAGCTCCTAAATAATCTGCCAAATCTGCCAGGAGCGGGGACTCATGGCTGTAATCCCAGCACTTTGAGAGGCCGAGGCGGGCAGATCGCTTGACCCCAGGAGGTCGAGACCAGCCTGACCAACACGGTGAAACCCGTCTCTACAAAAAATATACAAAAATTAGCCGGGTGCAGTGGCATGTTCCTGTAATCCCAACTACTCGGGAGGCTGAGGTGGGAGGATGGCTTGAGTTCAGGAGACGGGAGATTGCTTGTGCCTAGGAGGGAGAGGTTGCAGTGAGCCATAATCACACCATGCACTCCAGCCTGGGCGACAGAGCGAGATCCTGTCTCAAAAAAAAAAAAGAAAGAAAGAAAGAAAAGAAAAGAAAGAAAGAAAAGAAAAGAAAAAAGAAAAGAAAGGCAAGGCAAGGCAAGGAAATGAAATGAAACGAAACGAAACGAAAAGACCCTGCCAAATGTGGTAAGACCACATCGCTGTCACACAGTGAGCATAACTCTAGGATAAAGGGTCATAATTTTTTTCTATCTTTATGCTTACCTTCTAATTACTCACAACACCCCTGGGGAGTGATTTTCACTCTCTAAATACCATACATAAAACAGAATCGGTCAGGCATGGTGGCTCACACCTGTAATCCTAGCACTTTGGGAGGCCGAGGCAGGCAGATTGCCTGAGCTCAGGAGTTCGAGACCAGCGTGGGCAACATGGTGAAACCCAGTCTCTACTAAAATAAAAATAAAAATAAAAAATAAAAAATTAGCTGGGAGTGGCGGCATGTGCCTGTAGTCCCAGCTACTCTGGAGGCTGAGGCAGGAGAATTCCTTGAACCCGGGAGGCGGAGGTTGCAGTGAGCCGAGATCACGCTACTGCACTCCAGCCTGGGCGACAGGGCGAGTCTCCGTCTCTAAAAACAACAACAAAAAACAGGATCAGATGAACTTGCTTTGGGATGTATTCTGTTAAATGCTCACTTGAAAGGCTACTCTAGAAGTGTAAACACAGCATTAATTCTCTCCAATGAATTGCTCGAACTTAGAATTAGGCTACTCAGTACTTTAACAGAATCAACAACTGCACTCTGTAACACAGATTTAAGGAATCTAGGCAACAGGTTAAATTAACACAATAATAGAAAATGTATTGGCAATTACCTGTAGTTTTGTCTTAACCTTGGTATCTAAGGTTACAGCCAAATCAACCGGAAAAATCCACAAGACCCAGGGCATTCCTTTGTTTTTTGTCCTCATGGCCCATCTCATTGCACAGTGGTTTTTTTGTGTGTGTGTTTTTTTTTTTTTGAGATGGAGTCTCACTTCTTCGCCCAGGTTGGAATGCAGTGGCGTGTTCTCGGCTCACTGCAATCTCCGCCTCCCGGGTTCAAGCAATTCTCCTGCCTCAGCCTCCCACGTAGCTGGGATTACAGACACGTGCCAAAACACTCGGCTAATTTTTGTATTTTCAGTAGAGACAGGGTTTCACCATGTTGGCCAGGCTGGTCTCAAACTCCTGACCTCAAGTGATCTGCCTGCCTCAGCCTCCCAAAGTGCTGGGATTACAAGTGTAAGCCACCACACCTGGCCAGCACAGTGGTTCTTAAATGCCATTATTTCCTTTCCAGTTTAAGTGGCTTCTACATAGGTCTGAATTACTTAATTTGAACTTATATTCCAGATTCCTGCAGAAAGAATAAGATAGTCTTTTCTCCTTGCCCACCTGCCAAGCAAGTTGCCAGAAAGAGTATCAAATATATATTTCCACCCGGGGCAGTCTACATATTACTATAGTTGTGTGTTTGTTTTTGTTTGCATGTTTGTCATTTTAACACCAACGATGATAATGAAGAATGCATGCTAGAGAAAAAAAAAAAGTGCTGATGCCTAGTAAAAGTTCTTCATTGAAATGTTTGCTTTGCAGAAGCAATTAAACACAATTTTTATAATGAAATAAAACACAGAGAGTGGTGTGGAGTGAACCTGAAAATTTCAAAGGCCTAGGGCATTAAGAAAAGTTACAGTATGTATCAATACAATTTCTGCCTAAATTTATTTATTTTATTTATTAATTTTGAGACAGAGTCTCACTCTGTCATCCAGGCTGGAATGCAGTGGCACGATCTCAGCTCAATGCAACCTCTGTCTCCCGGTTCAAGCAATTCTCATGCCTCAGCCGCCCATGTAGCTGGGATTACAGGTATGTGCCACCACATCCAGCTAACTTTTGTATTTTCAGTAGAGACAGGGTTTTACCATGCTGGCCAGGCTGGTCTTGAACTCCTGACCTCAGGTGATCTGCCTGCCTCGGCCTCCCAAAGTGCTGGGATTACAGGTGTGAGCCACTGCAACTGGCCTGCCTACATTTATACCAAAGAAAATCTTGGCCGGCGCAGTGGCTCATGCTTATAATCCCAGCAATTTGGGAGGCAGAGGCAGGTAGATCAACTGAGGTCAGGAGTTCGAGACCAGCCTGGCCAAAATGGTGAAACCCCATCTCTACAAAAATACAAAAACTAGCCAGGCATGATGGCTGGTGCCTGTAATCCCAGCTACTTGGGAGGCTGAGGCAGGAGAATCACTGGAACCTGGGAGGTGGAGGTTGCAGTGAGCCCAGATCATGCCATTGCACTCCAGCCTGGGTGATGGAGCAAGAATGTCTAAAAAAAAAAAAAAAAGAAAAGAAAAGAAAAAAGAGATCTTTAAGTCTTGCTAAATGGGTGTGCTTGCATTGCTCAGGCAGAAATGTAATTTAACAAATGACAGTAATAATAAATTGCATTATAATTACATCATAATTAACATATGACTTATGAGAAAAGAATGCCTTTTTCTTTTTTTGAGACAGGGTCTCACTCTGTCACGCAGGCTAGAGTGCAGTGGTGTGATCACAGTTTACTGCAGCCTCGCCTCCTGAGCTCAGGTGATCCTCTTCCAAGTAGCTGGGAACACAGGAGCTTGCCACCACACCTAGCTAATTTTTAGGTTTTTTTTGTAGAGACAGGGTCTCCTGATATTGCCCAGACTGGTCTCGAATTTCCGAGTTCAACCAATCCTCCCACCTCAGCCTCCCAAAATGCTGAGATTACCGGTGTGGGCTACGGTACCCAGCCACCTATGTTATTCTGGAGGACGTACTTATCATAACATGTATGACATACTAAATTATATTATATGAAAAAACTTAAGTCATAGTCTCTGCCTTCAAGCACTTAATGTTTTAGTTATGGAGACTGTTATGGTTAATTTTAGGTGTCAACTTGACCAGATTAAGAAATACCTAGAGGGCTTGTAATCCCAGCACTTTGGGAGGCCGAGGCGGGAGGATCACCTAAAGTCGGGAGTTTGAGACCAGCCTGACCAACATGGAGAAACCCCATCTCTACTACAAATACAAAATTAGCCGCGCATGGTGGCACATGCCTGTAATCCCAGCTACTCGGGAAGCTAAGGCAGGAAAATCGCTTGAACCCGGGAGGCGGAGGTTGTGGTGAGCCAAGATTGCACTATTGCACTCCAGCCTGGGCAACAAGAGGAAACTCCATCTCAAAAAAAGAAAAAGAAAAAAAAAAGAAAAAGAAAAAGAAATACCTAGATAACTTGTAAAGCATTGCTTCTGGGTGCCTTTGAGGGTATTTCCAAAGGAGACTGGCATGTGAGTCAGTGGACTGAGTGGGGCAGATCTGCTCTCAATGTGAGCGGGCACCATCCAATTAACCAAGGACCCAGAACAAAAAAGGTGAGAAAAAATATTTCTTCCTTCTGGAGCTGAGACACTCTTCTCAGACTTCTGCTCCCAGACATCAGAACTCCAGGCCCTCCACCTTGAGACTTGAAGATTTCACAACTTGGACTGAGCCAGCTACCAGCATTCCAGGGTCTCCTGCTTGCAGATGGCCTGTCATGGGTCTTTTCAGTCTCCATAATTTCCTGAGCCAATTCCCTAATAAATCTCCTCATAGATCTGTATCTATATCTATCTGTTATCTATCCTATTGGTTCTGTCTCTGGAGAACCCTAACACAGGGACTGAATAAATAAACAGGTAAATGACTTTGATACCTTACAATTATTATTAAATGTAGTGGAGTTTTACAAAGAAACAAAACTTGTACCCACAATTAATAAACATTCACAGAGTATTTTGACTTTTTCTTAAAAAAAAAAACCCTGGAAAATCATCTGCTTTCCAAATTAATGATATCTACGACAATCTAAATGGAATGTAAATCAATACACTTATGAGGTTTTGTTTTGTTTTTGTAAAAAGGCCTTGCTCTGTCGCCCAGGCTGGAGTGCAGTAGTGCAATCAGGGCTCACTTCAAGCTTGACCTTCCAGGCCCAAGTGATCCTCCCACCTCAGCCTTTCAAGTAGCTGAGACTACAGGCATGTGCCACCATGCCAGGCTAATTTTTTTCATTTTTGTAGAGATGAGGATTCTCCTTATGCTGCCCAGACTGGTCCGGAACTCCTGGGCTCAAGTGATCCTCTTGCCTCTGATTCCCAAAGTGCTGGCATTACAGGCATGAGCCACCACGCCCAGTGTGTGTGTGTGTGTGTGTGTGTGTGTTTGTGTGTGTGTCTCCGTGTGCGCTCGGGTGATCCTCCCGCCTCGGCCTCCCAAAGCGCTGGGATTACAGGCATGAGACACTGCGCCCGGCCAATACACTCATGATTTTAATTATAATATTTATGCCAATGAAAACACTAGCAAAAAGGTAAAACAGCTGCCAATTTAATGTGACCACTTAGTCTAAACAGGCTAGTAGAAATGAAGAACTTTTAACCTGCAAATGCAACAAAAAGCCAGAAATGAATGGGAAGACATTATGATCTCCAGAAAAGTTTGGCTAAATTTTCCCCAGCCCATTGTCTTAGCGGGGTAGGGAATTGCAGACAGCCCTTAAATACTGTCATTTTTGGTTGAGAACTCATGTGGAAAGTCCTCAAAGCCAAATTCCAACTCCTGTTTTACTGTTTTTTACCCTCGAGCTTGCTGAGTTGTCTTGGCTCTCCTGGAAAATACATGGCTCAAAAAATAAAATAGAAGTTTTAGCGGTGTGAATCTAGTAGTCGACTACAGGGGGTATTAAAAATAAACACTCCATCCCGGTTAACACGTGAAACCGCGTCGCTACTAAAAATACAAAAAAAATTAGCCGGGCGTGGTGGCGGGTGCCTGTAGTCCCAGCTACTTGGGAGGCTGAGGCAGGAGAATGGCATGAACCCGGGAGGCGGAGCTTGCAGTGAGCCGAGATCATGCCACTGCACTCAAGCCTGGGCGACAGTGCGAGACTCCGTCTCAAAATAAATAAATAAATTAATTAATTAATTAAAAAATTAAAACCACCACCAGAGCAAAAACTTACAGCGCTTACAATACCTTCCACGTGCTGTTTTATTTTACATAAAACCATGACGATTAAAAAGCTGGCCTCTCAGCTTTCCGGGTATTGGTTTGTTTTCCCCCTAAACTGTCGTTTTTATAGGCACTTGCACTGTCTTCTTAGCAGAATTGCCAATGGCCTTCCTCGAGTCCTACGTTTAGCGATTGGCAAGAATCATGCACTGACAGAGCTCGACTCCGGAGGGCACAAGGAAGTAGACAACAAAGCAGGAAGAAGCAGGAGGCGCACAGATGGGCGGGATCTGCACTGGAGGCGGTGCGACCTTGCGGGGCGGTGCAAGCTGGCGGAACCCGCGTGAGAGAGGTTGGTGTTGCGAAGGGAACTAGTCCGGTGCAGGACGTGGGGCTTTTGCAGCTCAGCTGGTTCCGGCTGGGGAAGATGGCGGTGGCTGGGGCGGTGTCCGGGGAGCCGCTGGTGCACTGGTGCACCCAGCAGTTGCGGAAGACTTTCGGCCTGGATGTCAGCGAGGAGATCATTCAGTGAGAACAGTTCGGGTCCAAGCGGGGAAGGAGCTCTGGGATGTGCACTGCCTGAGCGAACCGGGAAGCGGGGAGGACTGAAAAGTTAAGAGAGAAATGTGATAAAGGGGCTGCAGTCTGTAGTCTGTAGGCGTCGAATTTTGGCCTCCACCTTTGTAGTTTAGTTTCTGGAATAGGGTGTCCGGCTCCACAGTCTGCCGGTCGGGCTTTTTTCCTGGGAAGACGCCCAATCTGTAATAATTAGAAATGCAAGGCTGTCCCAGGAGCCAGTTTCCTTTCTAGAGAGAAGGGGCAGGTCAAACTGTATTTCCTAACTTTGAACCCCTTACTCTTTTATTTATTTATTATTATTGTTGTTATTATTGAGACGGAGTCTCTGTCGCCCAGGCTGGCGTGCGGTGGCGCGATCTTGGCTCACTGCAACCTCCGCCTTCCGGGTTCAGGTGATTCACCTGCCTGAGCCTCCCAAGTAGCTGGGATTACAGGCACGCACCACCACACCCGGCTAATTTTTAAAAATTTTTAGTAGAGTCAGTGTTTCACCATGTTGGCCAGGCTAGTCTCCAGCTCCTGATCTCAAGTGATCCGCCCGCCTCGACCTCCCAAAGTGCTGGGATTACAGGCATGAGCCACCGCACCCAGATATACTCTGAACATTTTAGTCGGCCCAATCTGAGTTGTGTCAGTAGAGCCAACAGGGTCAGCTGTGTCAATAGGACCTAGAATTTAAGTGGAAGCAGCGTGGTAGAGTACAAATAGCTTCTGACTCTGGAGTCTCAGGTTCTATATTCTGTTGTCGTTTACCTGTTTTAGAACCCAGGACAACTTAATTTTTCTCTCTGTACCCTGGTTTCTTCATTTATAAGATTAATCATTAGTAGAGCTTATCATGCTTTATGACTCCTATGAAATGGAGATGGTGTACATGACTTAATATCTACTTTCAACTGATTGAAGAACATTTGTTGCGCTGCTGTTACACGCCAGGTGCTGGGGTAACAAAGACAAGACAGTTGGGTTCCCCTTCGTTGATGAGTGCTGAGGTTGGGGAAATGAAGGGGCTTGTTGGAGCACAAAATAAAGGATTCTCATTAAGATTTGAAAAACTCGGAAGGTTTATTGGAAAGGATAACTTTCACCCGAGAACTAAGGAATAGACAGAGGTGGCGGTCCAAAGTGTTCAGGCAGGGGAGAAAACTACAAAAATGGGACTTGATCGAAGAACTGAAAGTGTTCCTTCATTTGATTCCTTGGTCACTGATGTTGAAACCTAAATTGCTGTTCTAGGGCTTTTGTAGGAAGTAAGATGAGTTTCTGAGTTTCGGAGAAAATAGACTTTTGGCAAGGAGACAGTTCAAGTAGGTTATTTTAATGGATTTTTTTGAGGCCCTAGGAGATGGCTCAAGCCCTTATTCCCAGCACTTTGGGAGGTAGAGGTGGGAGGATTGCTTGAGACTGGGAGTTGGAGACCACCCTGGGCAACATAGTGAGACCCTGTCTCTACAGAAATAAAAAAAGTAAACAACAAGATAAAGGATTTTTTTTAACACTAGAATAGACAACAAAACAAAACAGCGAAATCTTATGGTTTGGCTTTACCCTTGCTTGAACGCAGTCAGATTAAGTATTTAGTAGTTTTCAAACATTTTTTAAAGCAGTGGAATGCTATCAAATGAAATAATGAAACTTTGCAATATATAAAACAGAAAAGTGTTTTTTACGAATATAAGTTCAAAATTTTCACTTTTTTTTTTTTTTTTTTTTGAGACAGATTCTGTTGCCCAGGCTGGAGTGCAGTGGTGCGATCTCAGCTCGCTGCAACCTCCGCCTCCCACGTTCAAGCGATTCTCTTTCCTCAGCCCGAGCAGCTGGGATTACAGGCGCGCACCACCATGCCTGGCTAATTTTTGTATTCTTACTAGAGATGGGGTTTCACCATGTTGACCAGGGTGGTCTCGAACTCCTGACCTCAGATGATCCAACCGCCTCAGCCTCCCAAAGTGCTGGGATTACAGGCATGAGCCACCACGCCTGGCCCAATTTTCACATATTTATTGTAAATATGTGTAATATATTAAATATCAAATATATTAAATATTAAATATATCAAATATTATATTAAATATATTAAATATTAAATATATCAAATATTATATTAAATATATTAAATATGTGTATTATATTAAATACAGTATTAAAAAAAAAAGATTGAGGTGGCCAGGCGCAGTGGTTCATGTGTGTAATCTAAGCACTTTGGGAGGCCGAGGCAGATGGATCATTTGAGGTCAGGAATTTCAGACCAGCCTGGCCAACATGGCGAAACCCCCACTCTACTAAAAATACAAAACTTAGTCGGGTGTGGTGGAGCGTGCAGGTCATCTCAGTTACTCGGAAGGCTGAGGCAGGAGAATCCCTTGAACCGCGGGGCAGAGGTTGCAGTGAGCTGATACCGCACCACTGCACTCCATCCTGGGTGACAGAGTGAGACCTCGTCTCAAAAAAAAAAAGGAAAAAAGAAAGATTGAGGCTATTTTTGATAAATTAACAATTTGAAATAGGGTAAGAATGATAGATGTAGTCTTCTCAGTCTAGAATCCAGTTGTATTTTGTTTGGATTACACAGTATCAAGAAAATGCGTTCTCAGGCCAGGCGTGGTGGCTCACGCCTGTAATCCTAGCACTTTAGGAGGCCAAGGCAGGTGGACCACCTGAGGTCAGGAGTTCGAGACCAGCCTGGCCAACATGGTGAAACCCCGTCTCTACTAAAAATACAAAAAAAAATTAGCCAGGTATGGTGACGGGCACCTGTAATCCCAGCTACTCGGGAGGCTGAGGCAGGAGAATCGCTTGAACCCAGGAGGCAGAGGTTGCAGTGAGCCAATATCTCACCACTGCACTCCAGCCTGGGCGACAGAGCGAGACTCCGTCTCAAAAAAAAAAAAAAATTATATTCCGCCTGGGAAGGAGGTCAGTGCCCGTCGGCATGTATTACGCTAAGATACTATTTGAAGCATTTGTTAGGTATTCACTAGTATTCCACAACAGGCTATTATGCCATGATGAAAGCATTTGCTGTGCCTTGCCTGGCATTTAATTGAGAATTACCCAGGTGTATGTACTACAGTAATGTACTAACTTGAACAATTTTATATGAGTGGACTGAATTTTTGAAATAGCACAGAGCTATTAACTTTTTTTTTTTTCTTTTTTGAGACGGAGTCTCACTCTGTCGCCCAGGCTGGAGTGCAGTGGCAGGATCTCGGCTCACTGCAACCTCCACCTCCCAGGTTCAAGCAATTCTCCTGCCTCAGCCTCCCCAGTAGCTTGGACTACAGGCGCGTGACACCATGCCCAGCTAATTTTTGTATTTTTAGTGGAGATGGGATTCCACCAGGTTGGCCAGGATGGTCTCGGTCTCCTGACCTCGTGGTCTGCCCGCCTCAGCCTCCCAAAGTGCTGGGATTACAGGTGTGAGCCACTGCACCCGGCCTTAACTTTCTAATTAGTGATACATTTATAAGACATAAATAGCTATCCACAGAGTTAACAAAATAAACTTTGGTCCACAATCTGGATGAGTTCATATTATTTTGATAAGATTTGGTATATAACATATTTGGATGAATGTTGTTCTTTATTATACCTTGTTAAGTAGTTAAAATGACATTTATTCAAATGGTTCTGAAACTCTCTTCCCTGGTTGTTTGAAAAATACTCCAGGGTTGGCCAGGTGCAGTGGCTCAACCTGTAATCCCAGCACTTTGGGAGGCTGAGGTGGGTTGATCACTTGAGGTCAGGAGTTCAAGACCAGCCTGCCCAACATGGCAAAACCTTGTCTCTACTAAAAATTCAAAAAATTAGCCGGGCGCAGTGGTGCACGCCTGCAATCCCAGCTACTCAGGAGGCTGAGGCAGGAGAATTTCTTGAACCTAGGAGCCAGAGGTTGCAGTGAGCCAAGATAGCACCACTGCACTCCAGCCTGGGTGACAGAGTGAGACTCTGTCTCAAAAAAAAAAAAAAAAAAAAAAAAGCCAGGTGCAGCGGCTCAGCCTGTAATTCCAGCACTTTGGAAGGCTGAGGCGGGCAAATCACTTGAGGTCAGGACTTCGAGACCAGCCTGGCCAACATAGTGAAACCCCGTCTCTACTAAAAAAAAGCAAAAACAAAACAAAACAAAACAAAAATTAGCCGGGTGTGGTTGTGCACGCCTGTAATCCCAGCTACTCAGGAGGCTGAGGTAGGAGAATCGCTTGAACCTGGGAGATGGAGTTTGCAGTGAGCTGAGATCGCACCACTGCACTCCAGCCTGGGAGACTAAATGAGACTCTGTCTGAAAAAACAAAAAAACCCTCCAGGGTTAAATGATCCCTTGGGATTCCTTACAGTTTTGCAAGTCTTTGATAGCAGTTAATCTTTTGGTGGGGACTGGTAAGTTTGGGGATCAAGATGATTAAAATGTGTAAGTCCTGAAAAACCATTGTCTTTTCTAATCCATAGTAATTAGAAGATGCCTGTTTTTGGGGGGTGTGTGTATGTGTGTGTGTATTTTTAGTAGAGACGGTTTCACCATGTTGGCCAAGCTGGTCTCTAACTCCTGACCTCAGGTGATCCACCCGCCTCAGCCTCCCAAAGTGCTGGGAGCCATCATGCCCCACCGTTTTTGCTTGTTTGAGACAGAGTCTCATTCTGTTGCTCAGGCTGGAATGTAGTGGTGCAATCATGGCTCTGCAGCCTTCACCTCTGAGACTCAAAGGATCCTTCCACCTCAGCCTCCCAAGTAGCTAGGACTACAGGAACATGCCTCCATGCCTGGCTAATTTTAATTTTTCTTCTAGAGACAAGGTCTCCCTATGTTGCCCAGGCTGGTCTCAAACTCCTGGGCCCAAGTGATCCTCCAGCTTCAGCCTCCCAAATTGTTGGGATTACAGGCATGGGCTCCCGAACCCAGACAGAATATTCTCTTAGTGAGGCCCAAAGGCACAAATTTGTTTACCTCTAGAGCATAATTCTGCAATTCCACCATTACACTGTGAAAAGAATGCAGTACATACGATACCAATCATAGGACAATTTCATAATTTTTAAAAAGTTAAAGGATATAGCACTATGGTAATAATTTTTCTTGCATTCCATATCATTGTGTCTGAATTACAGTTTCTGTGCTGTTTTCAGTGTCTTGTATGTTAATTTTTTTTTTTTTTTTTTTTGAGAGGAAGTCTCACTTGCCCAGGCTGGAGTGCAGTGGCACGATCTCAGCTCACTGCAAGCTCTGTCTCCTGGGTTCACACCATTCTCCTGCCTCAGCCTCCCGAGTAGCTGGGACTACAGGCGCCTGCTACCATACCCGCCTAATTTTTTTTTGTTTTTTTTTTTTAGTAGAGACAGGGTTTCACCGTGTTAGCCAGGATGGTCTCGATCTCCTGACCTGGTGATCCGCCCGCCTCGGCCTCCCAAAGTGCTGGGATTACAGGTGTGAGCCACCGCGCCCGGCCGCTTATGTGTTAATTTATAAGTAATTTTTATCACTTCTTTCTCTTGTAATGATAAGATGTTCACTGTAGAAAACTAAAAAAATCAGAAAAGGATAAAAAAGTAAACTAAAATTACCATAATACTACAACCCAGAAATAAGCACTGTTTCTTTCTCTTTTTTCCCATATATATTATAATGTAATACATTTTAAAAACGTATTTATTGTAGGAAAAAAGAAAATAAAAATAAAACTACCTTTAATTCCATCACTCACTAGTAATCGTTTTGGTGTATAACGTTGTTTTTTTCCTACACATAAGTGTATGTATGTATACATTCATACCAGTTAGGATCGTATCGTATTTCTAGCACCTAGCATAGTACTTGGCTCAAAGTAAACACTCTAATAGATTAATGAATGGTTTTTACTACCTAGATCTCTGTTAAGATTACTGAGAAACAGTGTAAGTTAGTCTTGTTTCAACAACTTATATCTTTGCCTCCTGAGGTACGTTTTGTCAATTGAGAGTGCTGAAGAGATACGAGAATATGTTACTGATCTCCTCCAGGGAAATGAAGGCAAAAAAGGTCAATTCATAGAAGAACTTATAACCAAATGGCAAAAGAATGATCAGGAGTTGATTTCGGATCCTTTGCAGCAGTGCTTCAAAAAAGATGGTAAGTTAATGTAATTATGCAAATGTTGAAATATTGGTAAGTGGGCAGGCTTAAAGAATTATTATTATTATTTTTTTTTTTGCCATCTTGTGTTTCTTCACAGCTAACTTAAACAGAGTCATATGTATACATATTTTTAGTTCGGTTCTACTCAATCCGTAATGAATATTGCTCTAGTTCTTTTTCAACTTAGAAAATATCACAAAAAGGCCGGGCGTGGTGGCTCACGCCTGTAATCCCAGCACTTTGGGAGGCTGAGGTGGGCGGATCACGTGGTCAGGAGATCGAGACCATCGTGGCTAACACGGTGAAACCCCATCTCTACTAAAAATACAAAAAGTTAGCCAGGCATGGAGGCAGGCGCCTGTAGTCCCAGCTACTCAGGAGGCTGAGGCAGGAGAATGGCGTGAACCTGGGAGGTGGAGCTTGCAGTGAGCTGAGATAGCACCACTGCACTCCAGCCTGGGCGACAGAGCGAGACTCCATCTCAAAAAAAAAAAAAAAAAAGGAAAATATCACAAAAAAATGTGTGTTTACAGACACAAATGTGGCTTCAGAATAATTTGAAAAATTTATACATAAAGAAACATTTTTCAGTCGTGCATACCTGGATGTAAGTAAAGTGTTGATTGACTATAGTATGAATAGCATTTAGAGATAACTGCTTAAATAGTACAAAAGATAAGCACCAAACTAAATAATCTAAGTTATTATGCAATCTACAATATCAGAATTTTGTTTGTTTTGAGACATGGTCTCACTTTCATTGCCCAGGCTGGAGTGATGTGGCTTGATCCTAGCTCACTGCAGCCTCTGCTTCCTGGGCTCAGATGATTCTCCCACCTCAGCCTCCTGAGTAGCTGGGACTACAGGCGTGTGTTACCACACCTGGCTAATTTTTGTATTTTTTTCTAGAGATAGGGTCTCACTCTGTTGTCCAGGGTGCTCTCAAACTCCTTGGTTCAAACGGTCCACCTGTCTCGGCCTCTCAAAGTGCTGGGATTATGCATGTGAGCCACTAAGCCTGATTTTAGAATATCAGATTTTAATTTAACTTCTTAGTCCCAGCCACTTGTTTGACTTCTTTTTCATTGACTGCACTCTTGGAAATGATGATTTAAATTTAATTCTGGTTTGACAGGAAAAGATAATTAAAAATCTTCCTGATGATATCTTGACTCTAAATATTAAGCATCACCTTAGTTTATTAGCTATATTAGTTCACCAGGAATCCTCTTATCAATCTGTGTGTGTGTGTATTTTTTTTTTTCTATCTTTAAAGAAATTTTAGATGGGCAGAAATCAGGCGACCATCTAAAGCGGGGTAGGAAGAAAGGGAGAAACAGACAGGAAGTTCCTGCATTTACTGAACCTGACACGACTGCAGAGGTTAAAACACCTTTTGATTTGGCCAAGGTGAGTGCTTATAGATTGAAGCTTTTTCTGACTATTGGAGAAGAGGAAGTGACTAATACATTTCAGAGAGCAAAGTGTACAAATTGGTCTAGAATGGCAATTTTTCAACAAATGCATGAATTTTAGGTAGAAAAAGTTACATATACTCCTTTCTATATGGTAGATTTTTTGTTTGGCAACCTGATTAGTATTATAAAGACATCTTTGCTTTTTTTTTTTTTTTTCCCCAAGACAGAGTCTTGCTCTGTTTCCAGTCTGGAGTGCAGTGGTGCGATCTCTGCTCATTGCAACCTCCGCTTCCTGGGTTCAAGTGATTCTCCTGCATCAGTCTCCCGAATAGCTGGGACTACAGGCATGCGCCACCATACCCAGCTAATTTTCTTTTTTTTTTTTTTGAGACAGAGTCTCGCTCTGTCGCCCAGGCTGGAATGCAGTGGTGTAATCTCAGCTCACCACAACCTCTGCCTCCTGGGTTCAAGCGATTCTCCTGCCTCAGCCTCCCAAGTAGCTGGGACTGCATGCGCACACTGCCACGCCCAGCTAATTTTTCGTATTTTAGTAGAGATGGGGTTTCACCGAGTTGCCCAAGCTGGTCTTGAGCTGCTGAGCTCAGGCAATCCACCCACCTTGGCCTCCCAAAGTGCTAGGATTACAGGCGTGAGCCACCGCGCCCAGCCCTGTTTTTGAACTTTAAATTAATGGAGCTAAATAGTGTGTACTCTTGTATCTAGCTGCTTTTTTTTTTTTTTTTTTTTTTTTTTTTGAGACGGAGTCTTGCTCTGTCACCCAGGCTGGAGTGCAGTGGCGCAATCTTGGCCCACTGCAACCTCTGCCTCCCTGGTTCAAACGATTCTCCTGCCTCAGTCTCCCAAGTAGCTGTGATTACAGGCACACATGCTACCACACCCAGCTAATTTTTGTATTTTTAGTAGAGATGGGGTTTCACCATGTTGGCCAGGCTGGTCTTGAACTCCTGACCTCAAGCAATCTGCCTGCCTTGGCTTCTCAAAGTGCTGGGATTACAGGCATGAGCAACTGTGCCCAGCCAGTGTCTAGCTTCTTTCAATTTATGAGATTCATCTCTACTCTGGGCAGCTATACTTTCTCATTCTCATTGCTACACAGAATTGTATTAAGTGAACACATCACAATTTATCCATTCTATTATTTGGATAGTTTCCAATTCCAATGCAACAGTGAACATTCTTGTATGTATTTTTGGTGAACATATTTACACATTTCTGTTTAGTATATATCTAGGAGTTGAATTGCTGTGTCATAGAACATGCATATGTTCAACTTCAGTTGATATGAGTTTGCAGTCCTGCCAGCAGTGTATGAGAGGTCTAATTCTTTTGTATCTTTGCTAACACTTCATATTTTCTCTTTTTCAGTTTAGCCATTCTGGTTGGTATTTAGTGGTATTGCATTTTGTTTTCGTTTTTGCATTATTTTGACGACTAATGAAATTGAGCACTTTTTCATATGCCTGTTAGTCATTAGGATATCTTTTGTTATGAAGTTCTTATTAGGTTTTTTTTGCCCTTTTTTTGTTTGAGATAGGATCTCGCTCTGTTGCCCAGTGGCGTCAACTCGACTAACTGCAACCTCCACCTTCTGTTTTTCTATTGTATTATCTGTCCTTTTCTTAGTGGTTTCTGATTAAGTCAACTTTATATTTATTTTTCCTATTTTATTGATGGCCCATATTTCCAAATCTGTGAATATCATCTGCTTTTAGAGGCATTCTTGTTTCTTATGATCTCCAATTTAGCTGTGCTTAAAGATGTCATATAAACAGATTTAACTGCTACATTTACCCTCCACTAGCTATAGTAATGGGCTGAAAGCTACTAGCAGAAAAGACAAGGTAATTATCAGCTAGTTTTTCTAGAGTATAACCTTTCCTCAGAACCTTGATTATAACTAATTTGTATTTCTTCCTTTCACTGCCTTCTTTCTTGGTTCTTGGATAGTATATAAGTTGTTACTGAACAGAACGGAGCATTTTCTCCCTTGACTTTTTACATTGTCATTAATTATTTGATGTTATTTTGATGTCTTTGTACGATAGGCACAAGAGAACAGCAACTCCGTAAAGAAGAAGACAAAGTTTGTCAATTTATACACAAGAGAGGGACAGGACAGGCTTGCAGTCCTGCTCCCTGGTCGTCACCCTTGTGATTGCCTGGGCCAGAAGCACAAGCTCATCAATAACTGTCTGATCTGTGGGCGCATTGTCTGTGAACAAGAAGGCTCAGGCCCTTGCTTATTCTGTGGCACTCTGGTAAATTATTTCTTTTCTATTTTATTTTACTGTGCTTTGTGTTAATACGCAGAGCCAGTCAGATCTCAAGTAATTTCTCTTTTTTTGTTTTTTTTTGGTTGAGACGGAGTCTCACTTTGTCGCCCAGGCTGGAGTGCAGTGGCACGATCTCGGCTCGCTGCAGGCTCTGCCTCCCGGGTTCATGCCATTCTCCTGCCTCAGCCTCCCGAGCAGCTGGAACTACAGGTGCCTGCCACCACGCCCAGCTAATTTTTTTGTATTTTTATTAGAGACGGGATTTTACAGTGTTAGCCAGGATGGTCTCGATCTCCTGACCTTGTGATCCGCCCACCTCGGCCTCTCAAAGTTCTGGGATTACAGGCGTCAGCCACCGTGCCTGGCTTTCTCTTTTTCTTAGTAAATTTCTTCCCTAAAATATCCAGTGAACTCGAGTGTCAGGGATATGATTAGTTAGAAACCCAAGGTTAGGCCAGGCACAGTGGCACACGCCTGTAGTCCCAACACTTTGGGAAGCCAAGGTGGGTTTTGGGAGGCTGAGGTGGGAGGATCACCTGAGCCCAGGAGTTTGAGACCAGCCTGGGCAATGTAGGAAGACCCTGTCTCTACAAAAAAAAAAAAAAAAAAAAAAAAAAGTTTTTAATTAGCTGGGCTGGGTATGGTGGTGCACACCTGTGGTAGCATTTACATGAGGGGCTGAAATGGGAGCTTCACTTGATCCCAGGACGTCCAGGCTGCAGTGAGACAGCGAGTCCTTATCTCAGAAGAAAGAAAGAACCCCAGGTTATATCCTAGTACTGAGGCCATTAATGAGAAGGGTTTGAGAACATACATTGTTGAGAGATCCAAGGGCTAGGAGCCACTGTGACAGAATCCTCAGATCATTATAGCTTCTATTTCCAGGATTCCACCTTGTCATAGCTCTGCTTTGTCTGAGAGAATGACCTCAAGAATGCAGTGATAATGACTCACAGAAACCCTTAATGAGCTATCTAGAAAGCTAATTTTACCAAGTTGAGCTGGCTGTCAGAAGCAATGACATTTGGTGTTGGTAAAGGCATCCGTTTTATATTACTTCATTTTCTCCTCTTTTCTGATGGGGCCCTTAATTTTTTCTTTTTTCCTTTTTTTTTTTTTTTTTTTTTTTTTTTTGAGACGGAGTCTCACTCTGTCGCCCAGGCTGGAGAGCAGTGGCACAATCTCGGCTCACTGCAACCTCTGCCTCCTGGGTTCAAGCAATTCTCCTGTCTCAGCCTCCCTAGTAGCTGGGACAACAGGGACACACCACCACGCCCAGCTAATTTTTTGTATTTTTAGTAGAGACAGGGTTTCACCATATTGGTCAAGCTGGTCTCAGAACTCCTGACCTCAGGTGATCCAACCATCTCAGCCTCCCAAAGTGCTGGGATTACAGGTGTGAGCCACCGTGCCTGGTGGGACCCTTAATTTTTTCATATGCTCAGAATAAGCTGATAGACAATGGATGACCTGAAAAATGTAGTGTCTACCAATAAAAATGTCCATTAAATGGCAGTAAATCTCCTCCCATATGGAGCTTTCTCTTTAGAGCAAGCTCTTATAGCTGCTGGCAGGAACTCTGTGTGTCATTGAGGCAACTGCTAGGAAGTATTGTACAGTGTTTTCTCCTAGGTCCCTTGAAGTAATGTAAAGCAGATTGGCCTTGAAGTTTGTTTGTTTGTTTGTTTTTTGAGATGGAGTCTCACTCTCTTGCCCAGCCTGGAGTGCAGTGGCTCACTGCAACTTCCGCCTCCTGGGTTCAAGTTCAAGTGATTCTCCTGCCTTAGCCTCTTGAGTAGCTGGGATTACAGGTGCCCACTACCACGCCCAGCTAATTTTTGTATTTTTAGTAGAGACAGGGTTTCTCTATATTGACCACGCTCAATTGAACTCCTGACCTCAGGTGATCTACCTGCCTCGGCCTCCCAAAGTGCTGGGATTACAGGCATGAGCCACTGCGCCTGGCCCTTGTTTGTTTTTTAGACAGAGTCTCAGGCCAGGCATGCTGGCTTATGTCTGTAATCCCAGCACTTTGGAAGGCTGAGTTGGGAGGATGACTTGAGCCCGGGAGGTGGAGGTTGCAGTGAGCAGAGATGGTGCCACCGCACTCCAGTCTGGGTGACAAAGCCACACCCTGCTCAAAAAAAAAAAAAGAAAGAAAAAAAGAAAAAATAACGTACTCTCAAAGATAAATATTTCTCACTGTTGAGAATACTAGATAAAACATATGTGACTTTACCATAAAAAGCAACCCAGTTCTAATCATGAAGCCCAAATCTGACAAGAGAAGTTAATTATAAGAAGATGTCTTATTAGAAAGAACCAGAAGCCAGGTATGGTGGCTGATGCCTATAATCCCATTGCTTTCGGAGGCTGAGGAGGGAAGACTGCTTGAGCCCAGGAGTTCAGGACCAGCCTGGGCAACATGGCAAAACCCCATATCTACAAAGAAGTCCCAGCTCCTAAGTAGCTGGAACTATAGGCACACACCACCACGCCAGGCTAATTTTTGCATTTTTTTGTTGAAATGGGGTTTGGCCATGTTGCCCAGGCTGGTCTCGAATTCCTGCACTCAAGCAATCTGCCCACCTCAGCCTCCCAAAGTGCTGGGATTACAGTCATAAGCCACTGTGCCCAGCCTTTTTTTTTTTTTTTTCTAAACCATTAAGTCATTCAGGGACATGTGCAGTGATATAAGTTTTTTGTTTGGGTCATAAAAAAGAAATGGAAAGAGATCTGGAGAAAACTCATTTGCATTTTTATATTTTGGTGTGTTTGGATTAAAAAACACCAATAGTCTCATTATTTTATCATCATCTAATGTGTAATTTCAGGTTACTTTTAGATATATCAAGAAAGCAATATAATTTAACTGTTGGATCACATGTCTTACTCTTACTATTTTACAGGTGTGTACTCATGAGGAACAAGATATTTTACAGCGTGACTCAAACAAGAGCCAGAAACTGCTAAAGAAACTCATGTCAGGTAGACAGCAGTCTTGTAATTGGATCACTGGGATGATGGGTACCTTGTTGCGTCTGTGGTTGTTTCTCTTTTCTGTATCCTGGAGTGCAAGATGCAGTTTATTCACTCATTCTCAGTTTTTTTGGGGGGTTTTTTTTGTTTTGTTTTGTTTTGTTTTGATGTGGAGTCTCACTCTTATCACCCAGGCTGGAGAGCAGTGACGCGATCTTGGCTTACTGCAACCTCCGCCTCCTGGGTTCAAGTGATTCTCCTGCCTCAAACTCCCTAGTAGCTGGGATTGCAGGCGTGTGCCACCACGCGTAGCTAATATTTACTTTTTTTTTTTTTTTTGAGATGGAGTCTCGCTCTGTCACCCAGGCTGGAGTGTAGTGGCGCTGATCTCGGCTCACTACAACCTCTGCCTTCTGGGTTCAAGCAATTCTCCTGCCTCAGCCTGCCAAGTAGCTGGGACTACAGGCACATGCCACCATGCCTGGCTAATGTTTTGTATTTTTTAGTAGAGATGGGGTTTCACCATGTTAGCCAGGATGGTCTTGATCTCCTGACCTCATGATCTGCCCACCTTGGCCTCCCAAAGTGCTGAGATTACAGGCATAAGCCACCACGCCCAGCCAATATTTACATTTTTTTAGTAGGGGTGGGGTTTTGCCATGTTGGCCAGGCTGGTCTTGAACTCATGACCTCAAGTGATCTGCCTGCCTCGGCCTCCCAAAGCACTGGGATTACAGATGTGACCCACTGTGCCTGGCCTATTCACTCATTCTATAAGCATCTATTTTTTAGAAAAATTATTAAGACTACATAACATTGAACAGCAAAATAAATAATAGTATTACATTATAATCTAAATAAAATTAATATCCATGTGACCATACTTGTATAAATAACTGAATAAGTTAATAAAATGGAGAAAGGACAACTTCTTATAAAAGAATTCCAGTTAATAAAGTACAAGAAATGAAAATACTAGAAAATCACAATTAGAACACTACAGTAGTAACTGCCACAAGCACGATCCACCAATGGATACTGAAATTATTGGTTGAAAGTTTAAGAACAAGAGATTTACAATGTCATGAAAGACAAGAAAAGATTGAAGAAACGTCACAGATCAGAGTAGATTAAGGATATATATGACGACTAATTGCAGTATAGATCCAGTATTAGATCCTAGAATAGAAAAATGACATTAATGGGAAAAAAATGTTAAAATCCAAATAGTCTGTCTATAGTATTATACCAATATTAATTTCTTAGTTTTGATAATTGTACTATGGTTTTGTAAGATAAGATGGTAACATTAAAGGAAGCTATGTGAAGGTTATATAGGAACTCTACTTATTTTCTAATTATTTTGCATGCCTTTTATGCTTGAAACACACCTGACAAAAATGGTTAAGGACATTTTTTTTTTTTTTGAGACGGAGTTTCACTCTTTTTGCCCAGGCTGGAGTGCAATGGTGTGATCTCGGCTCACCGCAGCCTTCGCCTCCCAGGTTCAAGCGATTCTTCTGCCTCAGCCTCCCCAGTAGGTGGGATTACAGGCATGCGTCACCACCCTGACTAATTTTGTATTTTTAGTAGAGACAGGGTTTCTCCATGTTGGTCAGGCTGGTCTTGAGCTCCCGACCTCAGGTGTTCCACCCACCTCAGCCTCCCAAAGTGCTGGGATTAAGGTGTGAGCCACCGCGCCCGGCCAACATTTTTTTTTTTTTTTCTGAGACGGAGTTTTGCTCTTGTTGCCCAGGCTGGAGTGCAATGGCGCGATCTCAGCTCACTGCAACCTCCGCCACTTGGGTTCAAGTGATTCTCCTGCTTCAGCCTCTCAAGTAGCTGGGATTACAAGCGCATGCCACCTTGTCCAGCTAATTTTTTTGTATTTTTAGTAGAGATGGGGTTCTCCCATGTTGACTAGGCTGGTCTCGAACTCCTGACCTCAGATGATCTGCCCACCTCAACCTCCCAAAGTGCTGAGATTACAGGCGTGAGCCACCGCACTTGGTCAGTTAAGGACATTATTTTTATTTATTTATTATTTATTTAGTTAGTTAGTTTTGAGATGGAGTCTCGCTCTGTCGCCCAGGCTGGAGTGTGGTGGCGTGATCTCGGCTCGCTGCAAGCTCCATCTCCCAGGTTCATGCCATTCTCCTGCCTCAGCCTCCTGAGTAGTTGAGACTGGCGACGCCCGCCACCATGCCCGGCTAATTTTTTTGTATTTTTTTAGTATAGACGGTGTTTCACTGTGTTAGCCAAGATGGTCTCGATCTCCTGACCTTGTGATCCACCTGCCTTGGCCTCCCAAAGTGCTGGGATTACAGGCGCGAGCCACCGCACCCCTATTTTTAATTTTTTTTAGACGGAGTCTCGCTCTTTCGCCCGGGCTGGAGTGCAGTGGCGCAATCTTGGCTGACTGCAACCTCTGCCTCCTGGGTTCAAGCGATTCTCCTGCCTCAGCCTGCCACGTAGCTGGGACTACAGGCGTGCACCACTATGCCCAGTTAAATTTTGTATTTTTAGTAGAGATGGGGTTTCACCATGTTGGTTGGCCATGGTGGTCTTGATCTCTTGACCTCGTGTTCCACCCGCCTCGGCCTCCCAAAGTGCTGGAATTACAGGCATGAGCCACCGCGCCCAGCAGTTAAGGACACTATTAAAAAGAAAAACAATATACTCATTACTCACTACTTACGCAAATATTTCATTTTGTTCCTACCTTGGTTCATAGTAGTTTTTGTTTTATATCGACAGATTTGTTGGGATTATAATGTAGTCATCTGTGTAAAAACATTTGTTTTTCCATTTTCCAACTAATTCATAATTAGCTGCCATCTTGCTATATATTCATAATTGTTTTTAGTAGCTAAAAATAGTCTTTTAACTTGGTTTATTATAGTATGATTATTTCCTAATTACTGGATATTTGTTTCCAAATTTTAAATAATATTACAAATTGTCACCTTTATTAACATAGCTTTTGATTTACTTCCTTGTGATAAATTGCTAAGAATAATGTTACTATGTCAAATAATGTGTCTTTTTTTGACACTTGAGATGTATTTGCCAGATTATTTTGTCAAAATATATAAATAGCCGGGCATGGTGGCTCATGCCTGTAATCCTAGCACTTTGAGAGGCCGAGACGGGCGGATCACCTGAGGTTGGGAGTTTGAGACCAGCCTGACCAATGTGGAGAAACCCCGTCTCTACCAAAAACACAAAATTAGCCGTGCATGGTGGCACATGCCTGTAATCCCAGCTACTCAGGAGACTGAGGCTGGGAATTGCTTGAACCCCGGAGGCGGAGGTTGCAGTGAGCCGAGATTGCACCATTGCACTCCAGCCTGGGCAACGAGAGTGAAACTCCATCTCAAAAAAAAAAAATCATATTAATCTATAGCAATATTAGCATTGTACCCAGAATCCTGTTCACTCTTGAGTTTTGACATTTCAAATTTGTTTTAGTTGTAAAAGGCTGTAATTTTATTATTTTTTATTTTTATTTTTATTTATTTATTTGTTTTGAGACAGAGTCTCTGTCACCTAGGCTGGAGTGCAGTGGCGTGATCTTGGCTCACTGCAACTTCTGCCTCTCAGGTTCAAGCAATTCTCCTGCCTCAGCCTCCCAAGTAGCTGGGATTGCGGGCGCCTGCCACCACACCCAGCTAATTTTTGCATTTATAGTAGAGACAGGGTTTTGCCATGTTGGCCAGGCCTCCTGACCTCAGGTGATCCACCCACCTTGGCCTCCCAAAATGCTGGGATTACAGGCATGAACCACCGCGCTCGGCCTGTAATTTTATTATTAATGAGGTTGCACATGCCTCTATGTTTTTTTCAATTAGATTTTAAGGTAATCATTCTGAGAAAAAATAGTTCTGATTGTACGTACTGTCCTTGTTTGTTTGTTTGTTTTTAGACGGTCTCTGTCAGGCTGGAGTACATTGGTATGAACACATTTTACTGCAGCAATTCTCCTGCCTCAGCCTCCCAAGTAGCTGGATCTACAGGCTTGTACCACCGTGTCTGGCTAATTTTTAAATTGTTTGTACAGATGGGCTCTCACCATGTTGCCCAGGCTAGTCTTGAACTCCTAGGCTCAAGTGATCCTCCCACCTCAGCCTCCCAAAGTGCTGCAATTACAGGAGTGAGCCACTGCACACAGCCACCTAACCCATTTTGGATCTTGGGTGTATCATAATCTATGGCTCTCTTTTCTGGGATATACAAATTTACAATATGCTGTCAAAGAAGAAAACACAACCATGGAATCAATGTTGGCTTTAGAGTTATACTCGAGCTCAGATTTTGTTTCTATGGTCTAATTTCTTTTTCTTTTCTTTTTTTTTTTTTTGAGATGGAGTCTTGCTCTGTCGCCCAAGCTGGAGTGCAGTGGCACGGTCTCGGCTCACTGTAAGCTCAGCGTCCCAGGTTCATGCCATTGTCCTGCCTCAGCCTCCCAAGTAGCTGGGACTACAGGTGCCTGCCACCATGCCTGGCTAATTTTTTGTATTTTTAGTGGAGACAGGGTTTCACCATGTTAGCCAGGATGGTCTCGATCTCCTGACCTCATGATCCGCCCGCCTCAGCCTCCCAAAGTGCTGGGATTACAGGCGTGAGCCACTGCACCCGGCCACTGGTCTAATTTCTAACTGTGTGAACTCAGTAAATTTATAGTCATCTCTGAACTTCAGTTACTTTATCTGTAAAATAAAGATAATACAAACTGTCTTACAGGGTTATTGCGAAAATTAAATAACATGTATACTAAGTGACTCAGCATTTAGCAGGTTCTCATTAAACTGAAACTGTTCATTTTTTCTGCCCCTTTTGTGAAATTTTCTTTTTTCTTCCATTATTTAGTGTTTAGTTTTGATAATATAAACGTATATTTAGGCTGGCATAGTGGATCATGTCTGGAATCCCAGTACTTTGAGGTGCTGAGTTGGGAGGATTGCTTGAAGCCAGGACTTTGAAACCAGCCTGAGCAACATAGTGAGACCCGCCTCTCTACAAAAATTTAAAAATTCAGACACAATGGCATGTGCCTGTTGTCTCAGCTATTCAGGAAGCTGAGGTGGAAGGATCGCCTGAGCCTAAGAGTTTGAGACTGCAGTGAGCTATGATCACACTACTGCACTCCAGACTGGGCAACAGCATTAGATCCTGTCTTGAAAAAACGTATATTTAAAGGTAATATTGAGCAAATGTCTTCTTCACTGAGAAGGCATTTTTATGTCACATTCTTAAATACTTTGGTGCCCTTAGTGAACCAAATTTTTATAAAGGAAGAAAAGATCCCTGCCATTTATTGAAAACCTGTCATGTGTCAAGCACTGCTTACTGCTGTACAGGTAAGGCCTGGACTGTGTACTTGTTTTCTGTTGAAATGAAGGCTCCAGGCCATCAGGCCAGAACCAGATCTTCTGATGTTTTGTTCTTTGTTGCACACTGGTACAACTAATTTGTATTTAGAGGCTGACACCATTTGACTTCCTTATTGAATTTCAGGAGTGGAGAATTCTGGAAAGGTGGACATCTCTACCAAGGACCTTCTTCCTCATCAAGAATTGCGAATTAAGTCTGGTCTGGAGAAGGCTATCAAGCATAAAGACAAACTGTTAGAGTTTGACAGAACTAGGTATGAAAGGGTTAGAATAACAAATGCTAAGAAATAAACTAGTCCACAGATTCTGGCCATTATTTTGGTACTTGATACCTTCTCAAAGTGGAGTGTGAAAGAGTTTATAGCAAAAGAAGAGCCAGATGCTCTACATAGGAGGCCTACATCTTGTTTTTTAATCCACGGTTGAATAATATAGGCTCCTATGAAAAGAATCCTGTCCTGTAGCATTTTTTGATTCCTGACAAATGTTAGTATATCCCCTGGACAGTTATGTGAGTTGACAGAATTCACCACTTGTTTTACTTGTAGCCATTCATTCAGTCACCTGTATTAGAGTACGTGTTATTTGCAAACTGTTAGGCTGGGCTCTGGAGAATCTGTAAGGAATTGCCTCTGGGAGAACACAGGTTATGCCCTATCATAGGAGGGCATGATTTACCCTTCTCCTTTACTTTGACTAAATTTGTTTTTTGATTCAATAATCGGTATATTAAAATACAACTAAATTAGCTTTATACTACTGCATTATTATTGTTTAGCCCATTGACTTCTGTTTAGGAGATAGATTTATGATAATTCTGTTTTTGACTTCCTCCTTACTTACATTTTTTTTTCTTTTGAAAAAAATACTTGTTGAAAACCAGTTAGTGGTAAAAAATGTTTGGATAGGATTTATATGCTCCCTTCTCAAATGACTCTGAGGGTCCTCAGAGAGACCCTGAATCTCTTGTAACCTGAGAGTCTGTTGCTGACAGTGTAATCTTTTGATGGGACATTCCTGCTACTTCCAAACCATTTGCTATGAATACATGAGATAAGATTTAGAAAACTATTCCTTAAATAAACCCATCACAAGGTGTATAACTCATATTCACTCTTCATCCTTTCAGTATCACATTTCACCCTACTCAGTAGAACGTATTATTAGAAATAGAAATGGAAGCCGGGCACGGTGGCTCACACCTGTAATCCCGGCACTTGGGGAGGCCGAGGCAGGTGGATCACGAGATCAGGAGATCCAGACCATCCTGGCTAACACAGTGAAACCCCATCTCACTAAAAATACAAAAAAATTAGCCAAGCGTGGTGGCAGGTGCCTGTAGTCCCAGGTACTCGGGAGGCTGAGGCAGGAGAATGGCATGAACCCAGGAGGCGGAGCTTGCAGTGAGCCAAGATTGTGCCACTGCACTCCAGCCTGGGCAACAGAGTGAGACTCTGTCTCAAAAAAAAAATAATAATAATAGAAATAGAATGCACTTACTTTTTGATAAACAGAAAGTGGAAAAGGGTCTCTCCCTATTGTTGCTGTTTTGCTGGTGTATTCATGGATACCAGTTTCATTATCTAGGTTTTTGTATAAGACCAATTTCCACCAGGCACAGTGGCTCACGCCTGTAATCCTAGCACTTTGGGAGGCCAAGGCAGACGGATTGCTTGAGCCTGTAAGTTTGAGAGCAGCCTGGGCAGCATAGCAAAACCCTGTCTGTACAAAAAATACAGAAATTAGCCAGGAGTAATGTTACATGCCTGTAATCCCAGCTACTTGGGAGGCTGAGGTGGGAGTATTGATTGAGACTGGGAGGTGGAGGTTACAGTGAGGCGAGATTAATCCAGTGCACTCCAGCCTGGGTGTCACAGCGAGATTGTCTCAAAAAAAAAAAAAAAATTCCTCCAGAGTACTGTTAAAAAAGTTTCTACTCTAAGTCTGCTTTATTTTTGTTTTTTTTTTTTGATCCGCCAGCCTCGGCCTCCCAAAGTGCTGGAATTACAGGTGTGAGCCACCGTGCCTGGCCTAAGAAGACAAATTTTTTTTTTTTTTTTTTTTTTTTTTTGAGATGGAGTCTTGCTCTGTCGCCTGGGCTGCAGTGCAGTGGCGCCATCTCGGCTTACTGCAAGCTCCGCCCCCTGGACTCACGCCATTCTCCCGCCTCAGCCTCCTGAGTAGCTGGGACTACAGGCGCCCGCCACTACGCCCAGCTAATTTTTTTGTATTTTTAGTAGAGACGGGGTTTCACCGTGTTAGCCAGGATGGTCTCGATCTCCTGACCTTGTGATCCGTCCGCCTCAGCCTCCCAAAGTGTTGGGATTACAGGTGTTGAGCCACTGTGCCCGGCTGACAAAATTTTTTTATAATTCTAGCTGAGTATGAAAATTTGAAGCCAATATATGAATCTAACTTCAGTATTTCCCTTATGTCTATTTATGTCACTATTTGTAATTATGGGGAAACGTAATCTTAACTGGATTTATGACATTGGAGTAATCACTCAACTTCTATGAGCCCCAGGTTTATAATATGTAGAATTAGAGAGTTAGACCATCAAGATTCCTTCCAGGTTTTAGTGTCTCTGTCAGTATGATCTTAGAGATAGGCCTAATTGTCATATTTTGGAACTTGGCCCCAGTGCATTAGTGAGAGCCTGCAAAGTGGGGTATAGGTAATGACATATAGTAGTAGGGTAATAGAATGTCTTAAGAGTAAATAGTTGGCCAGGCACAGTGGCTCACACCTGTAATCCTAGCACTTTGGGAGGCCAAGGTGGGTGGATCACGAGGTCAGGAGTTCAAGACCAGCCAAGCCAAGATGGTGAAACCCCATCCCTACTAAAAATACAAAAATTAGCCAGGCATGGTGTTGCGCCTATAATCCCAGCTACTCAGGTGGCTGAGGCAGAGAACTGCTTGAACTGAGGAGGCAGTCACACCACTGCACTCCAGCCTGAGCGACAGAACGAGACTCTGTCTCAAAAAAAAAAAAAAGGTAAATAGTTAAGCTACAGAACTGAGACTTAAGCATAGAACTCCAGTAAGCAAATAAGCCTAGCAAGAATAGGCTGGATCCCAGTTACAGAGGGACTAGGATATTTAGTAAGCTGTCAAACTTGAACTCAGATGCAGCAAAACCAGGCTGAAGCCCAGCTTTCAGAAGGTAGAGGCTGGACTAATATGAAAGGTAGAAGGAAAATGTATTATGGTGCTGTGTCTTTTCTTGCCTGAGGTTGAGATAAGTTCTAGGAGCTGAGCCTACACTGGAGATAAAACATATGCAGAGCTTGACCTGATTTTGGAACATATTTGAGATATTAAGTTACCTTGAAACTGTTTTCCAATAATCGGTCCTTATTTGTCAACAGATGACCTAATTACCATGTGTTCCCTTTTTCTCAGTATTCGAAGGACCCAAGTCATTGATGATGAGTCAGATTACTTTGCCAGTGATTCTAACCAATGGTTGTCCAAACTTGAGCGGGAAACCTTGCAGAAGCGAGAGGAGGAGCTGAGAGAACTTCGACACGCCTCTCGACTTTCTAAGAAGGTCACCATTGACTTTGCAGGAAGGAAGATCCTGGAAGAAGAAAATTCACTAGCAGAGTATCATAGCAGGTAAGTGAGCAGCACTAGAAAGGGTCTCAAAGAAGGAACAGGTTGACCATAAAGGATTTTCCCTTTCTAGTGGATCTTTTATTTTTGTTGATTTAAAAAATGTGTTTATTTGGAACAGAAAACATGTTAAGAATAGCTAAGAAAAAATGTTTAAATGAGCACTCCTACCAGATAATTACTGATTTTTGTGGTTTGGTTTTTTTTTTTTTTTTTTTGAGATGGAGTCTCGCTTTGTTGCCCAGGCTGGAGTGCAGTGGCCTGATCTTGGCTCACTGCAACCTCCGCCTCCCAGGTTCAAGCCATTCTCCTGCCTCAGCCCCTTGAGTAGCTGGGATTACAGGTGCCCACCACCATGCCCAGCTAATTTTTGTATTTTTAGTAGAGACAGGTTTTCACCATGTTGGCCAGGCTGGTCTCAAACTACTGACCTCAAGTGATCCGCCTACCTCAGCCTCTGAAAGTGCTGGGATTATAGGCATGAGTCACCATGCTCAGCAAAAAAAAGTTTTTAAAACAATGAGATATAGTATGGGCACAGAAATAGATCAATGAAACAGAATCCAGAAAGAGATTGGTATGTTTACATTGTGTTTGTATGTGTGCATGGGTGTGTGTATATATGTATGTGAGTTTAGTAATCAATAAAGCTAACATTTTTAATTGCTAAAGCAATAATTAAATATGTTATTTTGGGATAATTGCCTGTTTAGAAAAAAATCTAGGTAATGTCTTTATCTCAGACCATTCTATGATGCTGTAATAAGTTTCACTAAAGAGTTAAATATAAACAATATAAAGGGATCAGAAAGAAATACAGAATTATAGGAGAATATAATTATAGTCTTGGTGTGATAAAGCTCTTCCTAAGCAAGATACAAAATCCTGAAGTCATGAAGATATAAGATATTTTAAATAAAAAAGACAGTACCAAGTTGGAAGAAAATATTTTAAGTGGTTTTAACAGTCAAAGGAACAATATCCATACTATATAAGTAAGAACTCTTGCAAATTAAAAGAAAATGACCAAAAACTCCAGCAGAAAAATGGACAAAAACTAAAAACAATTTACAAGTGGGGAAGTACAAATAGCCAGTAACATTTGAAAAGATGTTTAACTAGCAATCAGGAAATACAGATTTTAAAACAATATATCAATTTTCTTTGGCTCATCAAATTTGGCTTAAATTTTTTTTAAAGGATAATATTGCATATTGTGTGGGTATAGGAAAATGGGGATATTCTGTTACTGTGAATGGGAGTATTAAAATGATGCAGCCTACATACTGTATGATTTTAACTATTCAGTAGTTCCAGGGATTAGAAGAGAGGGAGGAATAAATAGAAGGAGCACAGAGAAGATTTTTAAAGCAGTGAAACTACTCTGTATGTAGTTATAATGGTAAATACATGTCATTATAAATTTGTCCAAACCCATAAATTGTACAATACCAGGAGTGAACGCTAATGTAAACTATGGCTTTTGGGTGATAATGATGTGTCAATGTAGGTTGATCAGTTGTAACAAATGTACCACTCTGGTGAGGGATGCTAATAATGGGGGAGGCTATGTATTTGGGAGGTCTCAGGGAATGTGGATAACCTCTGTATATTCCTCTCAATTTTGCTCTGAACCTAAAACTGCTCTAAAAAATAAAGCCTAAGGCTGGGTGCGGTGGCTCACACCTGTAATTTCAGCACTTTGGGAGGCCAAGGTGGGAGGATCACTTGAGGCCAGGAGTTCAAGACCAGCCTGGGCAACATATTGAGACCCCACCTTAAAAAAAAGTCTATTAACATAAATACATAAACAAAAAAGTTACAACTTTTTAGAAGAGAATATTTAAATTGTGCATACTGTTTTTTTTTTTTGAGACAAAGTCTCGCTCTGTTGCCCAGGCTGGAGTGCAGTGGCGCGATCTTGGCTCACTGCAAGCTCCGCCTCCCAGATTCACGCCATTCTCCTGACTCAGCCTCCCAAGTAGCTGGGACTACCAACGCCCGCCACCACGCCTGGCTAATTTTTTTTGTAGTTTTAGTAGAGACAGGGTTTCACCGTGTTAGCCAGGATGGTCTCAATCTCCTGACCTCGTGATCCACCCGCCTCGGCCTCCCAAAGTGCTGGGATACAGGCGTGAACCACTGCGCCCGGCACTAAATTGTGCATACTTTTGACTTATCAGCTACACACCACATATCAAGATAACAATTTCCTTTTCCCTTGTCAAAGATTTTTTAAAAAAATTGCCATTTTCAGACATGAAAAATAGTATTTCATTCTAATTTTTATTCACATTCCTTTGCTTTAGTTGTATGTTAGTAAGTTTGAGTGTTCTGAAAATGTATTCATTTGCTTTTTTACTATTTCTTTTATAGAGATTCTAGAGTTCTGGATATACTTATCATTTTACTGTGTCAAATTTATTCCTCTCTTTCAGACCTCACTCTCCCCACGCTATTTTAGACTTACCTCATCATACAAATTCTTATACTTTTTAAAAGCTTCAGGCCTTTGTTTCTGATTTTTCCTTGGTTTGGAAATTCCTCCTCCATTCTTTGCATTTCACATACCTACCTCTCCCTTGAACCTACATGATACAACATGTTGGATGATGGAATAATAACCACTAAATGGATTGTGCCTGTTTCATAGTAATTATTACATCCCCTCATGTATGATTCATCATCTATACGGCTTTCTTAAATCTGCCACTTGGATTGAAAGCCTCTTTAAAAAAAAAAAAAAAGCCTCTTGAAGGCAGGAACAATGTCTTCCCCACCTTTTAAGCTGCCTTATATATGAGGTATTCCTAACAAACATATATTGAATTGAATTGAAGGTCAAGTTTAGCCTTTCCTGTTAGTTGAAGCTTTTCATTATGTTGTGCCTCACAATTATTATTGTTATCCACAAACGTTTTGTCAAGCATCCAACAGGAGTATTGAATAGAGTAGCAAGTACTGTAGAGCTATAGAATGAATTAAGATAGGGTTCCTTCAGGGCTTATGATCTCTTACTAACTAACCAGTAGGTTTCCACAATCTTTAAATGAAAATCATCACATTCTTTTATAGGTTTAGAGCCAGATATCCAATGCCAACATCATAGGCATGGGATAACAGGGGATGTATCCAATGATTGTTTAGATAGTGGGTACTATAGGACCTTAGAGAAAGGATTAAGCATTTTTGTTCTGGGCCAGTAGGGTACCTCTTTATAACTTCTGAGCCTTCAAGCAAAGATAGAATGCAGACTAGCAAGAAGGAGTGGAGAAAGGACTGCTGAGCAGACAGAGGAATAACTGTATAGGTTGTATTGCGAAGATGAGCTGCCATAGAATACTCTTCTGTGGGTCAGGGTATTCCTAGGCAACTTTTTTTTTTCTTTTTGTGACAGGGCCTTATTGACTATTGCCCAAGCTGGAGGGCAGTGGCGCCTTGAACTCCTGGGCTCAAGTGATCCTCCCATCTCATCCTCCCAAGTAGCTAGAACTACAGGTGTGAGCCACCATGCCCAGCTAATTTATTTTTTGTAGAACCAGGGTCTCTCTATGTTGCCCAAGCTGGTCTCAAACTCCTGGCCTCAAGTGATCCGCCCTCTTTGGCCTATGATAGTGTTGGAATTACAGGCACGAGCCACCACTCCTGGCCTCTAGGCAGCTTTTCTGGTCTTGGCATGTTTAATGATCTTGTTGAGCAGGTGAATGACTGTAGCGTGCCCTATGTATTTTCTTGGTATTCTGGAACTTTTATTTTATTTATTTTTATTTTTTTTTATTTTTTTGAGACAGTCTCACTCTATTGCCCAGGCTGGAGTGCAGTGGCACGATCTCGGCTCATTGCAACCTCCTCCGCAGTTTCAAGTGATTCTCCTGCCTCAGCCTCCCGAGTAGCTGGGACTACAGGCGTGTGCTACCATGCTCAGCTAATTTTTGTATTTTTAGTAGAGATGGGGTTTCACCATGTTGGCCAGGATGGTCTCGATCCCTTGACCTTGTGATCCGCCCTCCTTGGCCTCCCAAAGTCCTGGAATTACAGGAGTGAGCCACTGTGCCTGGCCATTCTGCAATATTCATTAACTCATATTCCTTAGGGTTTTTGGTGTGAGAAGGAAGTTGGAGTGGGGAGTAGGGAAGGTCATCCATAGACTCCTCTTTATATTCCAAATTTTATTACTATTAAAGCATTTTATGTTGGTGGTAAGCATTCTGAGCATAGAACATTACCAATTGTTGCATCCTTTTGGTTTATTATCACAGACTAGATGAGACAATACAGGCCATTGCCAATGGAACCTTGAACCAGCCACTGACCAAATTGGATAGATCTTCTGAAGAGCCTTTGGGAGTTCTGGTAAATCCCAACATGTACCAGTCCCCTCCCCAGGTTAGTGGACCTTTGCTCTAACTGTTAATAAGAAGTTTGGCCCCAATTTTGCCTTCTTTTAAGTATGTCTATTTCATAGACTTCAGATACCAATCAGCTCTCTCAATACACCTGTACCAATCAGCTCTCTCAACACACCTGCCAACCTTATTCTCTGGCCCACATTTTTTCCATTTTTATTGCAGTACTTCTGACAAATTGACTTGTTTTATCTTCCAAGTACTTCCCAAGAAAGGGTTTTGTTAAGTACTATAGAAATTTAGACAGAAATTCCATGGTTCTTTTGTTAATGCTCTTTCTCTTTTTTTTTTTTTTTTTTTTTTGAGATGGAGTCTCACTCTGTTGCCCAGGCTGGAGTGCAGTGGCATGATCTCGGGTCACTGCAACCTCCGCCTCCCAGGTTCAAGCTATTCTCCTGCTTCAGCCTCCTGAGTAGCTGGGACTACAGGTGCCCGCTACCACGCCCAGCGAATTTTTTGTATTTTTTAATAGAGACAGGGTTTCACCGTGTTAGCCAGGATGGTCTAGATCTCCTGACCTCGTGATCTACCTGCCTCAACCTCCCAAAGTGCCCAGCTATCAATGGGTTTTATAGGGAAGCTGGCATTCATTAAAAGTAAATATTCACCAGGCGCACTTTGGGAGGCTGAGGTGGGCAGATTGCTTGAGCCTGGGAGTTCTAGACCAGCCTGAGCAACATGGCAAAACCCCGTCTCTACTAAAAATACAAAAATTAGCTGGCCATGGTGGCGTGGTGCCTGTAGTCCCAGCTACTTAGGAGGCTGAGTCGGGAGAATCACCTGAGCCCAGGAGGCAGAGGTTGCAGTGAGCTATGATCATGCCACTGCACTCCAGCCTGGGTGACAGAGTGAGACCCTGTCTCAAAAAAAAAAAAGCAAATATTTTTGAAAAATATATGTTTGGGAATGGTGGAGAAAAAAATTCCAGGCAGAATGAATTGTAGGAACAAAGGCATGTGTACACAAAAACATGGGATATAGATATAGGAATTTCCAAGCACACAAATCTGGAGAGGGAATTTCCAGGCAGAAGGTACAACACATACAAAGGCTCAGCAGCGTGAGAGCATTGCAGGTTTGGGGAATCACAAGTAATTAACTATTGTTATGGACTGATAAGTGTATTAGTTTCCTAGGGCTGCTGTAACAAAGTACCACAAATTAGGTGACCTAAACAACAGAAATTTATTATCCCATACCTGGAGGCTAAAAGCCCGAAATCAAGGTGTTGGAAAGACTACATTCCCTCTGAAGGCTTTACAGGAGAATGCTTACTTACCTCTTTAAGATTCTGGTGGCTCTAGGTGTCTTTTGCCTTGTAGCTCATTACTCTAATCTCTGCCTCTGTCTTCACATGGACTTCTTCCCCATGTGTGTCTCTGTCACTGTGTGCTCTCTCCTCTTACAAGGATACAAGTCATTGGATTTAGGGCCTACTATAATCTAATATAACCTCATCTTAAACTGATTACACCTGTAAAGATTATTTCCAAATAAGGTTGTATTCACAGATTCCATGAACGTGGACATTGATTTTGGGGGGATACTACTCAACCCAGTACAGTAAGCAACACCTGATCATGAAAGATTTTTTGTCTTATGCTAATGAGTTTAGGTTTTGCCCTAAAGTAGGCAAAGAAGGGTTCTGGAAGAATTTTAACAGAAGATTGGCATGGCTTCCATGCCTACGTAGAGAATGGATTGGAGGGAAGAGTAAGTAAGATTAGAAGCTGAGAAATTGCCAAGGTAGTCATTGCAATAGCACCATGGAAAGATGATGCCAGCCCAAATTAGTATTAAAGCACTAGTGGAGCAGTAGAGAGTTATTTAAAGACCAAAAGTGGGAGCCGGGCCTGAGATGTAGTGATACACATCTATAGTCCCAGATACTTGGGAAGCTGAGGTGGGAGGATCACTTGAGACCAGGAGTTGGAGGCTGCAGTGAGCTATGATTAAGCCACCACACTCCAGCCTGGATGACACAGTGAGACCCCATCTCTAAAAAAAAATAATTATCATCATAAAGACTAAAAATGTAGATGAAGAGACCTGCTGGCAGATTCTTTAATAGTATTATCAAAAGATAATGAGGAATTAATTTAGGAAAGTGGCTGTGTAATTAGAGGGAACAGCTGTAGTAGAAATAGAAAAAATAATTTGGGCCTCAAGATTGTTCACATACCAACATTTTATGAAATTATTTATTTCCAGCCAGGTGTGGTGGCTCACGTCTGTAATCCTAGCATTTTGGGAGGCTGAGGAAGGAGGATCACTTGAAGCCAGGAGGTCAAGACCAGCCTGGGCAACAGAGCAAGACAGTGTCTCAAAAAAAATTTTTTTTAAAGAAATTATTTATTTACCCTATAATGGATCAATTCTTTTTCCTCTTTGGTCCTCTGTAAAAACTTCTATCTCCTATTTAGTATGTAGTCAATTCTGCCTTATGTTTTGAATAGTTATTTATGTGTCTGTCTTCCACTAGGCTTTAAGTTCCTTGCAAGCAAGAACCGTATCTTTTTCATATTTTATGTCTCCCTAGTTAATGTGCTTTTCACAGTTAAGTACTCAATAAATGTGTATTTAATTTGTAAAAATGTGTATTTTTAAGATATGCCACAATTGACAAGAATCATAAAATTGTATGGCAGAAAGATCCTTAGAAATTTATTTAGTCCAACTTCATCCTTTTCCAGTTTGAAAAACTGAAATCTTTAGGGGTTAAATGCCTAGGGTTTCGACTACCACTAGAAGTTTTTTCCTATAAGTTATTTTATGTTCATTTTTATTTATTTTTGAGACAGGATATTGTTCTGTCATCCAGGCTAGAGTGCAGTGGTATGATCATAGCTCACTGCAGCCTCCACCTCCCAGGCTCGAGAGATCCTCCCATCTCAGCTTCTCAAGTGGCTCAGACTACAGTAGCCACGTGCCATCATACCTTACTAATTTGTATATTTTTTTGTAGAGAAGGAGTTTCGCCTTGTTGCCCAGGTTGGTCTTAAACTTCTGGGCTCAAGCGATCCTCCTGCCTTGGCCTCCTTAAGTGCTGGGATTACAGACATCGGCCATCATGCCTGGCCCTTATTATTATTTTTAAAGACACAGGACCTCACCATGTTGCCCAGGCTGGCCTTGAACTTATGGGCTCAAGTGATCCTCCTGCCTCACCTCCTGAGTAACTAGTGAAGCTACAGGCATGCTTCACTGTGTTCAGCTTTATAAATTATTAATTTTTTAAAAAAGATAACCCCAAATATCATCATGCTAATTGCCTTTATTTTTAAATTTTAATTTTGGAGGACATGGTATCGTTGCTCTGGAAGAAACATTAACCTTTGCCATTCTCTGTCTGAACTGTTGCCAAGACTCTTCACTCTCCTGTAATTACCTGTACCTTATAATTCTCTATTCTTTTTATATGATGGGAGCCCTGTTTTAGTAGTCCTCCACCCTCTCTTTCAGGAGACAAGTTCTTCATTTCAGGGTAAGAGAATATTTCATGCATCCAGTAGTCAGAACTGCTGCCTCTGACCTGACAACATCTGTTTGGCTTTGTCATGGTGCCAGCATGTGACACTGCCCCTAAGCACATGCAGAATTGTGGACCAAAATGTTGAACTTTCATTTAGCTCACAGAATTCTATTGAAAAATTATCCAGAACCAAGTATGGATCATTAAGTATAAATTGGAAATAATTATAGCTCTTTTGGTGTGATATTTGTGCTGTTGCTGGAATTAGTAAGCATTGTATGGAGATTTCAACATTCTAATTATTCTTTAAGATGGGCCTTGTTATCATACCTGAGACTTCTACTGAATGTATACTATCTCTACCCTTTTGGCCTTATTGCAGACAAAGATGGGATTATTTTTCATTTGTTGTTGTTGTTGTTGTTGTTCTGAGACAGAGTCTCTCTTGCCCAGGCTGGAGTGCAGTGGCACAATCTTGGCTCATTGCAACCTCCACCTCCTGGGTTCAAATGATTCTCCTGCCTCTGCCTCATGAGTAGCTGGGATTATAGGCACCTGCCACCACGCCCAGCTAATTTTTGTAGTTTTAGTAGAGATGGGGTTTCACCATGTTAGCCAGACTGGCCTAGAACTCCTGACCTCAAGTGATCCACCCGCCTTGGCCTCTCAAAGTGCTGGGATTACAGGCGTGAGCCACGATGCCCGGCCTGGGATATATTTTTCTAAGAAAAATGTTCCCAATATGATTTCCTCATTATTAGCATTCGCATCATTTTGTCTACCTACCCCAGATTCTTGCCTTATAAGATAGAACTGTATGTTTGTTTTTCTGTGTAGTGGGTTGACCACACAGGTGCAGCCTCACAGAAGAAGGCTTTCCGTTCTTCAGGATTTGGACTAGAGTTCAACTCATTTCAGCACCAGTTGCGAATCCAGGATCAAGAATTTCAGGAAGGCTTTGATGGTGGCTGGTGCCTCTCTGTACATCAGCCCTGGGCTTCTCTGCTTGTCAGAGGGATTAAAAGGTAAGAATAAAAATGAATCTGGGCAGTGGAAGATCTTAGAGTGACATAAATTTAATTTAGAAATATGAATTGGAATTAGTTTTCCTCAATCTAGTGATGATTTATAATACTCTTCAATAAATAGAACTTTGAACAACATATTCATGTTACTGACTTGGTAGCAGTATATTTTAAAATTAATTTCAAAACATTTAAATTGACAAATATAGTAGTAGTTTTTGTACTGAATAGCTTAAACAAACTGAGCATAAAAAGGCTAAGAAAGTCATAACAAAGATAGAAGACTAATTTTTTCATCTTTGGAAGGAAATCTATTGAAAAATCTTCTCTTGGCTTTGCTTTGGAATATACTACTAAGCAACCTTAATAATTTGATCCTATTTGAAACATAGTTTTGATGCCTATTTACTTATTAAGATACCAGCATAACTGATTTTATTTTCCTGTCCATATATCTAACTATTAATCTGGCTAATAATATTGAGAAACTATTTTATTACAAAATGCTTTTCTACAAAAGTAGGGGAAATTGAGATAAGTAGAGGTATTATACAGCTGAGTTACACCTGTTACTGATAATAATATTTAATAGCTTACTATTCCGTGGTGTCTTGTGTTTTTTTCTTTTCTTTTCTTTTCTTTTTTTTTAAAGACCGAGTCTTGCTCTGTCACCAGGCTGGAGTGCAGTGGCGTGGTCTCGGCTCACTGCAACCTCCGCCTCCCAGGTTCACGCCATTCTCCTGCCTCAGCCTCCCAGGTAGCTGGGACTACAGGCGCCCGCCACCACACCTGGTTAATTTTTTGTATTTTTAGTAGAGACGGGGTTTCACCTTGTTAGCCAGGCTGGTCTCGATCTCCTGACCTCGTGATCCGCCCGCCTCGGCCTCCCAAAGTGCTGGGATTACAGACGTGAACCACCGCGCCTGGTGTGTTTGTTTCTTAATTCAGTTTTTAAAAATAGTGTTTTTCTTGGCTTTTATTATCCATGTAAATGGAAAACTGTAAAGCACAGAAAAGTAGCTAGAAAAAGAAAGATTACCTATAATCCCACACCAAGAAACCGCTGTTATTAGCATTTTGGAGTGTTTCTATCTTTCTTTTTTTTGAGACAGAGTCTTGCTCTGTCACCCAGGCTAGAGTGCAGTGGCCTGATCTCGGCTCACTGCAACCTCTGCCTCCCAGGTTCAAGCAATTCTACAGCCTCAGCCTCCCGAGTAGCTGGGATCACAGGCGCCCGCCACCACACCTGGTTAATTTTTGTATTTTTAGTAGAGATGAGGTTTCACCATGTTGGCCAGGCTGGTCTTGAACTCCTAACATCGTGATTCGCCCACCTTGGCCTCCCAAACTGCTGGGATTATAGGTGTGAGCCACTGTGCCTGGCTTCTTTCTTTCTTTTTTTTTTTTTTTGAGACGAAGTTTTGCTCTTGTTTCCCAGGCTGGAGTGCAATGGTGCGTTATCAGCTCACTGCAACCTCCACCTCCCGGGTTCAAGCCATTCTCCTGCCTCAGCCTCCTGAGTAGCTGGGTTCACACGCATGTGCCACCACGCCTGGCTATTTTTGTATTTTTAGTAGAGACGAGGTTTCTCCATGTTGGTCAGGCTGGTCTCAAACTCCCGAACTCAGGTGATCTGACCACCTCAGCCTCCCAAAGTGCTGGGATTACAGGTGTGAGCCAATGCGCCCGGCTGTTTCTATTTTTCTTGTGTAAATTGTTAAATGGTGAGAGCATGATATATATGTTTGTGTTTTTCTTCTTTCACTTATCATTACAACATATGTCTTTTGCTTCTTATTTCTTTTTTTTTTTTGAAATGAAGTCTTGCTCTGTCGCCCTAGCTGGAGTGCAGTGGCGTGATCTCAGCTCACTGCAAGCTCCGCCTCCCAGGTTCACACCTTTCTCCTGCCTCAGCCTCCTGAGTAGCTGGGACTACGGGCGCCCGCCACCATGCCCAGCTAATTTGTGTATGTGTGTGTGTTTTTACTAGAGATGGTGTTTCACCGTGTTAGTCAGGATGGTCTCGATCTCCTGATCTTGTGATCTGCCCGCCTCGGCCTCTCAAAGTGCTGGGATTATAGGCGTGAGCCACCGTGCCAGGCCATTTCTTATTTTTTTCTATTAGAATTTTATATGCCTGGCAATGTCCCAACTCATAACAGTAAAAATACCTTATATTTAAATAGAATTTTAGTTTTCAAGGCAGTAGCTCTATGAAATACACGCATGTGCTGCATAACGACTTTTCAATCAGCAATGGAACACATGTACAACAGTGGTCCCATAAGATTAGAATACCGGCCGGTCACGGTGGCTCATGCCTGTAATCCCAGCACTTTAGGAGGCCGAGGTGGGCGGATCACAAGGTCATGGTGAAACCCTGTTTCTACTAAAAATATAAAAATTAGCCAGGCGTGGTGGTGTGTGCCTGTAATCCCAGCTACTCAAGAGGCTGAGGCAGGAGAATTTCTTGAACCCGGGAGGTGGAGGTTGCAGTGAGCCAAGATTGCATCATTGCACTCCAGCCTGGGCGACAGAGTGAGACTCCATCTGAAAAAAAAAAAATTATAATACTATATTTTTACGCTACCTTTTATTTTCTTTCTTTCTTTCATTTTTTTTTTTTAAGACAGGATCTCGCTCTGTTGCCCAGGCTGGAGTGCAGTGGCATGATCTCGGCTTGCTGCAACCTCCACCTTCCAGGTTAAAGCATTCTCCAGCCTCAGCCTCTCGAGTAGCTGGGATTACAGACATGCACCACCATGCCCGGCTAATTTTTGTATTTTTAGAAGAGATGAGGTTTTGCCCTGTTGGCCAGGCTGGTCTCAAACTCCTGACCTCAAGTGATCCACCCGCCTCCACTTCCCAAAGTGCTGGGATTACAGACATGAGCCACCATGCTCAGCCTTTACTGTACCTTTTCTATGTCTAGATGTATTTACATACGCAAATAGTTAACCACTGTGCTCCAGCTGCCTACAGTATTCTGTACAGTAACATGCTGTACCAGCTTGTAACTTAAGAATAAGAGGCTGCCGGGCACGGTGGCTCACGCCTATAATCCCAGCACTTTGGGAGGTCAAGGTGGGTAGATCACCTGAGTTCAGGAGTTCAAGACCATCCTAGCCAACATGGCGAAACCCCATCTCTACTAAAAATAACAAAAATTAGCGGAGCATGGTGGTGCATGCCTATAATTCTAGCTACTCGGGAGGCTGAGGCAGGATAATTGCTTGAACCCAGGAGACAGAGGCTGGAGTGAGCCGAGATTGCCTGGGTGATAGAGTGAGACTCAGTCTCAAAAAAAAAAAAAAGAGCAAGAGGCTATACCATAGCCTAGGTGTGTAGTAGGTTATACTATCTAGGTTTGTGTAAGTTCAGCCAATGAAATTGCCTAAAGACACATTTCTCAGGACATATCCCCATTGTTAAGCAAGATGTGACTGTAGATTAGGCCAGTATTATTATAGTCTTTGACAAATGAGGATACTGAAGCAGGCAAAGGTAAAATGGATTGCCCTGAAATATGAAGCTAGGTGATGACAGAGATGGAACTAGACTTCTGGTTTTCAGAGTGCTCTTTCCCCTCTACTGTTCAGGCTTCAGACGTTTCTCTACTTTACTTAAAAGCAAATGATTATCAGCATTTAGGCATAATCATTTCTACTTTGGTAGTTTCACTATTAGCTGCCATTTCTCTATTGTGTTAAGGTGCACTACACCTTTTCTCCCCTCTTGAAGGTCAGGTTTCCTTGCTTTGGCTCCTAATTGTTTCATAGTTCATGTCTGTAAACGCCATTAGAACAAGTGCATGGGAATCCGCTTCTGCTCCAGGATGATCAAAACCTTAGATGTCTGTTCTTCTCATTGAGTTTTCTGCAATTTAGGTGTCTTGCTTTTCCAAAGTAGAAAACTAAACAACTTGCCTTCTGCTAAGGGAATCAGAGTGTTTACATTTCTCTCATCCTATTTGGATCTGTTATTCAAATTTTCTCACAGAAGCGAAAGAATGAGCAGCATCTAGTACACAGTCACTTTATTTTAATCCCACAGAAATAAAGTAGGTGGTTTTGCCACATTTGTGGGACCATTTTCCCAGTAATTCTTCAGGTTATTTGGCCTAGAGGGAAGATATACATTGGTTCATTCCCCATATCGTGCACCTACTGTGTGCCTGGCACTCTTCCAATTTATCTATATTGGGAAACCAAGGATATGAAAAATTCATGACCCCATTTTCCATTATAAGAATGGGATAAGAGGGATATATTATCAAGGTACTTTATTTAATTTGGTGGGAGGGGAAAGAGAAACATCTTTTTGTAATCCTTGGAAAGTAGCAATTAAATTCTCCTGAATACATTCTGTTATTCTCTTTAGAGGTTTTTTCAAACTAGTCCACAAGTTGTTTAATAATCCTCAAAGAAAACCCCAAATACAATTTAAAAATGCAAATGGAGCCGGGCATGGTGGCTCATGCCTGTAATCCCAGCACTTTGGGAGGCCGAGGTGGGCAGATCACAAGGTCAAGAGATCGAGACCATCCTAACATGGTGAAACCCCATCTCTACTAAAAATACAGAAATTAGCTGGGTGTGGTGGCACGTGCGTGTAGTCCCAGCTACTCAAGAGGCTGAGGCAGGAGAATCGCTTGAACCCAGGAGGCGGAGGTTGCAGTGAGCCGAGGTCGCGCCACTGCTCTCCAGTCTGGCAACAGAGCGAGACTCCGTCTCAAAAAAAAAAAAAAAAAAAAAAAAAAGCAAATGGGTGTGGTTCTAATTGAAGAGTAAAGATAAGCGTTTTTATTTACTTAAATTATTTTAAATAAATAAAAAGTAACATTCTTGGGAGTTGTGTGTAGATGAGGATTTTTCTGTCAGGTTGGAGAACAAATCAACTAATCTTCTAGGGAAAGGTTAGCCTTTGACTCAAGGGCAAGGATTTCCATATCTCTAATATGATTTATATGCCTTGAAAATATAGGATTTGTATTGGAGAAGCACCAAGACTGGTCAGGGTTCCAAATCTGAGTTGTAGGGATCAGGTGAAAAGCAGTCAAGAGTTGAGAGAGATGACTTGTCGCTATTCTGATGGAGGAGAAATTAGTGGACAGAGTTCATCCTCAAGTGAAAAGTATTGTGAGAGAAAAGTGTTTTTGACAAAAGATACTGCTCTTGAGAAGGCATCATCTATAGACCTCTTGGTTCAACTGGATAATTTGCTATAGGATTTGTTATATATTATGGGATATTCCAGGAAACTAGAATTTATATCCTTCCCACTAAATTTCTATTTGTTTAAGGGTGGAGGGCAGATCCTGGTACACCCCCCACAGAGGACGACTTTGGATAGCAGCCACAGCTAAAAAACCCTCCCCTCAAGAAGTCTCAGAACTCCAGGCTACATATCGTCTTCTTCGTGGGAAAGGTAACAGCCGCATATTCTCCTTTCAATTTTACTTTATGGAGAGAAGTCATTGACGTTCATCTTCTTTCACTTCCTTCTTTCTTTGGCTTTTTCTTTGTTAAAAGAGACTTTTAATCTTTGTATATGTTTGTTTGTTTAGTGGTAAATCATTGACAGCGTTCAAAGCATTAATCTGTCAAAACAGTGCAAATAAAAATATCAATTTCCAACACAAGAAATCAACTAGTCTTAATTTTTTTATCTGAGAAAATCATCTTCTTTACTCTAAAGGTAAAATGACTAGTGTAAACTCTGAGATCCTTACATTGGGAAGAACAACCACAAATAGGAATTTTCATTGAGAGTGGCCTAAATAGACACCTACTATTGGATTTGTACAAATCAAAGTTGATTGATTTAAGCAACGTATTTTGGGAATCACCCCAAGAATACTAACTTTGGATCCTTAAAAAGACTTCTGACCTTTGGGCATCCTGTTTTTCCTTTGTGTTATCCAGCTCATACAGTTGTTTTGAGGGTAGAATAAAAGGACAACTACACAACCATCTTTAAAGGTTTTTAAGAAACAAGGCTTAAAGAATCACTAGGAATAAAAAGTTCATGCTTCCTTAAAAGCACTTTTCTTTTTTATTTTTTTTTGAGACAGAGTCTCGTTCTGTAACCAGACTGGAGTGCAGTGGCGCCATTTCTCCTCACTGCAACTTCCGCCTTCCAGGTTCAAGTGATTCTCCTGCCTCAGCCTTCCGAGTAGCTGGGACCACAGGCGCATGCCACCACACCCAGCTAATTTTTTGTATTTTTAGTAGAGACAGGGTTTCACCATGTTGGCCAGGCTGGTCTTGAACTCCTGACCTCAAGTGATCTGCCTGCCTTGGCCTCCAAAAGTGCTGGGGTTATAGGTGTGAGCTACTGAGCCCGGCCTAAAAGCACACTTCTATTCCTATTGATATGGACTGGCTTGTTTTAAAGACATTCATTCTTATGGTTTTAACCACATTTTGATGTTTTTTTTTTCTTGTCACCTGTAACTGCCTTACTTTGCTTCCAAAACTCATCACTGCCAAACTCCAATCTGATCCAATGGCGTATAGTAGAATCGATTTGTATTAGGATGAATTTGTGGGGTCCTTGAACTTTGATGGTATGAGGGCAAAGGAAAAATTTTCTAGCTTAACATGTGGATAGTGGACTAAGCCAGCCACTCACTAGATTTTTTTGCTAAAATGCAAACAGTTGTGCCAAGTAAATTTCACTGTTTTCCTTATGTCTACAAATAGATAATGGAAAAAGTTATTAATGTTTGTTCAGAATTGAAAACAGATTCCTGAGTTCCAAGATCACAAAGAAGGAAATTTATTCAATATTTTTGTTATTCCTGATTCAGATGTGGAATTTCCTAATGACTATCCGTCAGGTTGTCTTCTGGGCTGTGTGGACCTAATTGACTGCTTGTCCCAGAAGCAATTTAAGGAGCAGGTGAGTAAAGAATACTTTTTTTTTTTAGAGACAGGGTTTCGCCATGTTGGCCAGGCTGGTCTTGAAAGCACTTTAAGAGGCTGGGCCTCTTAAAAGTGCTGGGATTATAGGCATGAGCCACCACACCCAGCCTGGTGCATATAAATATCTGTATAAAAAGCTGTTTCCAGGCCGGGCGCTGGTGGCTCAGGCCTGTAATCCCAACACTTTGGGAGGCCGAGGCAGGTGGATCACAAGGTCAGGAGATCAAGACCATCCTGGCTAACACAGTGAAACCCCATCTCTACTAAAAATACAAAAAATTAGCCGGGTGTGGTGGCACGTGCCTGTAGTCCCAGCTGCTCCAAAGGCTGAGGCAGGAGAATAGCTTGAACCCGGGAGATGGAGGTTGCATTGAGCTGAGGTCCTGCCACTGCACTCCAGCCTGGGCAACCGAGTGAGATTCCTTCTGGGGGAAAAAAAAAAGCTATTGCCACAATGCAGCTAGCAAGTATATAGGGTCTTCATCCCTTACCAAAACCTTGCTTCTTTTGAAGAAACCCTTGATTATCCCTTGAATTATTTTGATTGGGGGGTGGGAATACTAGGATCTGTTATTGCTAATTCTGGAGCTTTTGGTCCAGGCTATTGAACTCATGATAGGCAAATGTATTTGACTCTGATTGCCAGGACTGTGCCATATTTGGGAGGAGGTATGTGTATTTATGTATGAATGTACATATGTATGAATGTACATATGTATGCATTTATATATTTTAATTTTTATCACTAAAGATTGAACTGACAGGTCGGGCGCAGTGGCTTACACCTGCAGTCCCAGCACTTTGGGAAGCCAAAGCGGGTGGATCACTTTAAGTCAGGAGTTTGAGACCAACCTGGCCAACATGGTGAAACCCCGCTTCTACTAAAAATACAAAAATTAGCCTGGTATGGTGGCGCATGCCTGTAATCCCAGCTACTCAGGAGGCTGAGGCAGGAGAATTGCTTGAACCTAGGAGGCAGAGGTTGCAGTGAGCTGAGATCGTGCCACTGCACTCCAGCCTGGGCGACAGAGTGAGACTCTGTCTCAAAAAAAAAAAAAAAAAAAAGATGGGCATGGTGGCTCACGCCTGTAATCCCAGTGCTTTGGGAGGCCAAGGCGGGCAGATCATGAGGTCAGGAGATCAAGACTATCCTGGCTAACACGGTCAAACCCCATCTCTATAAAAATACAAAAAAAATTGCTGGGTGTGATGGCACGCGCTTATAGTCCCAACTATTCGGGAGGCTGAGGCAGGAGAATTTCCTGAACCCAGAAGGCAGAGGTTGCAGTAAGCCGAGATCATGCCACTGCGCTCCAGCCTGGGCAACAGAGCAAGGCTCTGTCTCAAAAAAAAGAAAAAAAAAAGATTGAACTGATGTAACTAAAGTACATTTTTGAGCAGCAGAGGGAGCCGAAATACTTTAACTTAATTAGAAAATTCCTGAAATGTAAGACCTTTATGTTTAGACACAGAACTAGCAGAAATCCAAAACAGGAAAAGTCCATCCTTGAAGCACAAACAGTCTTACCTATCAGTATGGTTTTCCTGTTCTTTGAACAGTTGCTTTAGATAATAGGGCTTCCACCAGTGTGCTGAAGAAAAAGAGCTTCAGTTTCATTTTTCCCAGCAAATTCTCTTTTTCAGACTTACTTACCTTTCATTACTGTTATTACTGTCTACTGTTTTCCTTTACTGTTCCCAGCCATTTTACCCTCTCTATTCTTTACTCTTTATTTATTTTTTTTGGAAACTGGGTCTCACTCTGTCGTCCAGGCTGGAGTGCCAATCTTGGCTCACTGCAACCTCTGCCTCCTGGGCTTAAGTGATCCTCCCACCTCAGCCTCCCAGTAGCTGGGACTACAGGCACCACACCACCATGCCCAGCTAATTTTTGTATTTTTAGTAGAGACAAGATTTCACCATGTTGGCGAAGCTGGTCTTGAACTCCTGGCCTCAAGTGATCCACCTGCCTCAGCTTCCCGAAGTGCTTTGATTATAGGTGTGAGCCACTGTGGCCAGCCTACTGACTGATTTTAACTAACACTTGTTATCCCTCTAGATTTATGTCTTTCATTTCCTTGTGAGTTACCTCCTCTGCCTCCTCTGATTATGTGTGTGAGTACAATGCATGCATTTTGGTGTGAATTTTGAGTTCTAGCGTTTTGTTCTTCCCTTAGTATCTGATCCAGACCTAGGCAAAACCATAGACACATGGAGGCTATCCCCCACACTCTTGTGCCTGCACTATCCCTCTGAGCTTTTTGCCCATTTTTTTCAATGTCTACTTTCTTCCTCCCCCCTCTTTTTTTTTCCCCCAGTCTAGAAGTAATATTATAAAAATACCTTACACTGGTGTAGGCTTTACAGTTTTAGAGATTCACAGTCGTTAACAGCTTAGTATAACATACTGCATTATGTTTTCTTCCTGGGATATGTATTTGCGTTCTAAAAGAGAACCCAGGAGCATCTGGCAATGTGGATGATGGTTTTTGGCAAGCGGCCTTGCTTTATTTTCTCATCTATTGATCAAGCAAACTACCACCTGATACAAGGTCAAATGATTTCAATCTCTAGATAGCCAATCTTCTTTGTGCCACAAATTTGTGTAGAGAAGGGTAGGAAACTATAATCCTGATCTATGGAATACTATGAAGGTTACAGGAATTAGAAATCTAATTAAAACAAGTCTTGTTGATTTCTGAAGGATACCTCTTTTTCATGATACTTCTCCTTTAACTTATATTGTATCTCATTTCCTGAGGTTGCTTTGAACAGCATGTAGAAGTGCAGGAATCCTCCCATATGTTTCCAGCTAGAGGTGCTGGCAACTCTCTTTATGAATGTCTCTGATATATAACATTAAAATATAACAGAAGCCACTAGGCTTCATCAGACATGGGAATCCCATACCCATTTTCCCTATGGTTGGCTTTTCTGTAACTTTTTCCCACTGTTTCTTTTTTCTTTTTTTTGAGACGGAGTCTCACTCTGTTGCCCAGGCTGGAATGCAGTGGTGCAATCTTGGCTCACTGCAACCTCTGCCTCTCAGGATCAAGCGATTCTCTTGCCTCACCCTCCTGAGTAGCTGGGATTACAGGCACATACCACCACACCTGGCCATTTTTTTTTGTATTTTTAGTAGAAGCAGGGTTTCACCATGTTGGTCAGGCTGGTCTCGAACTCCTGACATCAGGTGATACACCCGCATTGACCTCCCAAAGTGCTGGGATTACAGGTGTGAGCCACTGTGCCTGGCCTCCACTGTTTCTTTTCTGTGTTTAAGGGTAGCATATGAATTTATTTAGAATTGATGTTAGCCCTATTTTTATCTTATTTATTGAGTAAAGAGTTTATCAGTTTTAAAAGTTGTAGCTTTTGGGTTGGGCGTGGTGGCTCATGCCTATAATCCCAGCACTTTGGGAGGCCGAGGCGGGTGGATCACTTGAGGCTAGGAGTTCGAGACCAGCCTGGCCAACATGGTGAAACCCCGTCTCTACTAAAAAACTACAAAAATTAGCCAGGCGTGGTGGCAGGAGCCTGTAATCTCAGCTTCTGGGGAGGCTGAGGCAGGAGAATTGCTTGAACCTGGGAGGCAGAGGTTGCAGTGAGCCGAGATTGTGCCACTGCACTCCAGCCTGAGTGACAAGAGCAAAATTCTGTCTCAAAAAAAATAAAATAAAAATAAAAAAAGAAATGTAGTTGTCTAATCTATTATACCAGCCTCATTCTTGTTTTCTGAATGAATGAGTTGAGAGTTTAGGAATAATGGCTCTTGACTAGCATTTACCAAACTATTCCATGGCATAGGTGTTCTCTGAAACACAAATTTGGGAAATACCTTTGGATTAAACAGATCTGTTTACTGTAGAACATCTCAGAGCCCTTAATATGCTAGTGTGGATTATGACTCTCTATGAGGTGGATATAACATGCAGTGTTCTCAAAACTTTGAGCATAAATTAATCCCCCACCCAAACATGCACTACCTATTTACATACTACAGAACTGGTATCATGGTATTTACAGTTTAGGAGTGTTAGTCTAAGTATGCTTGATTTTTCTGTATTCTCATAGGTCAACTCACTGAGAGAGAACCATCTAGGAAGTAGTTTCCTAACTGTGACCTGTGCCTTCCCTTCAGTATCTCCATATTCATTTATCACCCAGTTGAATTGCATTTTCTTTGAAAACTAATGTGGATCTAGTAATTTTTACTTCAACTGAAACTAACTTCCTGTGTGACTTGGACCACATTTTGCCTTTACATGCTGTTCCTTTTTCTTTTCCCCCCAAAATTCAGTAATTTACTTCTGACCTCACATTCTTGGCCTTTCTTTGATAAGTTAAAATACACTAAACCCTCACTATTTTTGGCATAGTGTGATCATTTAGTCCTCTTAAAAAAAGAAAATCGAAAAGGTTTTGTTAGTGGTTGTTTTAAAATCAAGTGCACTACACTGTTAAATGGCTTTAAAAATATGTGCTTTCTCCTGAGCCATGAACTAGTCTTCCTTTTTATCTTCTAAGATTAGTATGGCCAACATGACTAATTTGTGCCAGAAAAAATTCCTCTAGATCCTCAACCCTCCTGAGTAATGGCAGAGGATCAGCCTAGAGAAGGTAGAAGTGATATAGAAAAGGCTATGGGTTCAACTCAGGGTAAAAAGGTAGATGAGAGCCATCTCGTTAAAGCTTCTCCTGTGATTCCCCTGGAAGGAGCCCATGCTGTTTGCCAGCATTTTATCTGCCAGCAGCAGATGTAAGCTCTCAAAAACAGCAGGGAGGATGTTGACTGCAACAATGCATCAAGGCTGTGGTTTGTAACCTCAATAGTAAGGCAGTTAAAACTTTTTTTTTTTAACAAAGACATTTTGATTGCCAAATCCATAACCATTAGCAGCTGTGGTTTGAACAGTTCTCTAGACCTAACAAGTTTTCAAACAAAAAGTTGAGTTGGTGGCTTTTGTTTCTACGTGTCTGTGTTGTGTTTGTGCTATTTATATCCCTGCCTTCAATAGAAAATCTGATTTGTCTGAAATCTCCAAGGTCATTGATTATTCTATTTCTTCTGAACTGAATCCATTCCTTTCCTGCCAGCTTACTGACCCTTTAGTCTATTTGATCTTACAGCTTTTACAATAGCCAAGACCCTATCTTCAAGGAATTATGCTGAAGCAGTTATACTGCTGGGTGCCTGTTTCCAATAATTGACGGCAGTAGACTTGTAGTCTTCCAATAGGGAAGAGAATATTACTTCTTCCTTTTTCTAGAAAAGTATCTTCAGGATCTAGGAGAATTTGCTGGAAGAAAAGTAAGCAATTTTTAAAACTTTAAAAAAAAAAGAGTATCCAAGCAACATAGATCTTCAGGAAGATTCCAAGTATCACTTCGTTTGTGGAAATCATCAGCTTCTATCACCAATGAATTGTCTGTGAGTCTGAGAGATGAGAAATTAGAAAATGAAGGATTTAATAGTCAGTATTCAAACCAGGCACTGGAATTCAAAATGCAGTCCACAAATTCTCTTTTAAAATATGTGAAAATGTCCTGTCTGTTGTACTGAGAAAATCTGCCAATATATAGACCTCAAAATATTCCGATAACAGCCCTCACGATGAGGGCTGTTATCTGAGACTCAACAAGAAGAAAAATTGTTATGTTACTAACAACTAGCTTAACCCTGGACAATTCATTAAAATCACAGCTCACTTGAGTGAGATATAGGGAATGTAGTTTTGGAATTCTCTTGAAGACTGGAACATTGACAGGCTGGGCACGGTGGCTCACGCCTGTAATCCCAGCACTTTGGGAGGCGGAGGCTGGTGGATCATGAGGTCAGGAGTTCAAGACCAGCCTGGCCAACATGGTGAAACCCTGTCTCTACTAAAAATACAAAAAAAAATTAGCTGGGTGTGGTAGTGGGTGCCCGTAATCCCAGCTACTTGGGAGGCTGAGGCAGGAGAATCACTTGAACCCGGGAGGCAGAGGTTGCAGTGAGCAGAGATTGCACCACTGCACTCCAGCCTGGGCAACAGCGTGAGACTCCATCTCAAATTAAAAAAAAAAACAAAACTGGAACATTGACTAGAGTTTCTAGATCAAAACAGACTGTCTTTAGGGTTATTTGCAGTCTGGGTATTAAGTACCCACTTAAATGGTTTCAGAAACCATTTATATTATATATATATATATATTTTTTTTATCCAAAGAGCATTGTGTTTTCTTTTTTTTTTTTTTTTTTTTTTTTGAGACGGAGTCGTACTCTGTCGTCCAGGGTGGTGGAGTGCAGTGGAGTGATCTTGGCTCACTGCAACCTCTGCCTCCTAGGTTCGAGCAATTCTCCTGCCTCAGCCTCCTGAGTAGCTGGGATTGCAGGTACGCACCACCACGCCCGGCTAATTTTTGTATTTTTAGTAGAGACAGGGTTTCACCATGTTGGCCAGGCTAGTCTTGAACTCTTGACCTCGTGATCCGCCTGCCTCGGCCTCCCAAAGTGCTGGGATTACAGGCATGAGCCACCATGCCTGGCTGAGCATTATGTTTTCTGTTGTACTTATCCTGAAGAGAGATGGGAAATATTACCACTTTTCCATGTATTTAGTGTTTTGGTTTTCATCTGAAAATAAACATGAAATTCTTAAGATTTTCATATATATTTATTCATTAATAAATACTTGAGCCAGGCGCAGTGGTTTACGCCTGTAATCCCACCGCTTTGGGAGACCGATGCAGGCGGATCACTCAAGGTCAGGCTCTTGAGACCAGCTTGACCAGCTTGGTGACCATCTCTACTAAAAATACAAAAATTAGCTGGGCATGGTGGCGCACCCCTGTAATCCCAGCTACTTGGGTCACTGAGGCAGGAGAATCACTTGATCCTGGGAGGCAGAGGTTACGGTGAGCCGAGATTGCGCCACTGCACTCCAGCCTGGGTGACAGAGCAAGACTCTGTCTGAAAAATAAATAAATAAATACAGCCGGGCGTGGTGACTCACACCTTTAATCCCAGCAGCTTGGGAGGCCAAGATGGGCGGATCACAAGGTCAGGAGATCAAGACTATCCTGGCTAACATGGTGAAACCCCTTCTCTACTAAAAATACAAAAAATTAGCTGGGCGTCGTGGCATGCGCCTGTAATCCCAGCTACTCGGGAGGCTGAGGCAGGAGAATCTCTTGAACCCGGGAGGTGGAGGTTGTAGTGAGCCAAGATTGCGCCACTGTACTCCAGCCTGGGCAACAGAGCAAGACTCCATCTCAAAAATAAATAAAAATAAATAAATAAATAAATAAATAAACACTTGAGAGCCTATTATAAATCAGGCACTGTTCTAAACACTAAGAGAAACAAAAGGATGAATCAACTGTAGATTCTGTCCTCAGATGTTTGAAAGACTTCTAGGTAGATATGTATATAAACCAAATATAAAATAAAAAGTGAACCTAACTGTCTTAAAAGAAGTAAAGACTGTCTCTGAGAAAAATAAAGGAGGGAAAGCTTGCTTCTAGCTGGGAAGGATCCCAAAAGACTTTATTTAAAAAGATGGTTTTGAATTAGCTTTGAAGGATAGTAATGAAATCTATCACTTTTTGATCAGTTATTATGTGCCACATTCATCATGCTATTTTCTAATCCTTATAATAATTCCAAGCAGGGTGTCATTTCCCCTCCTTTAGGGATGAAATATCATCCCTAAAGTGTCAAGAGAGTTCAAATAACTTGTGTAATGTCCAGGGTGAGGAGTTCGAGACCAGCCTGGTCAACATAATGAAACCTCATCTCTACTAAAAATACAAAAAAAATTAGCCAGGCGTGGTGATGTGCACCTGTAATCCCAGCCACTTGGGAGGCTGAGGCAGGAGAATCACATGAACCCAGGAGGCAGAGGCTGCAGTCAGCTGAGATCGCACCATTGCACTCCAGCCCAGGCAACAGTGCGAGACTCCATCTCAAAAAATAAATAAAAAATAACTTATGTAATGTCAGTTAATGGTAGAGTTATGATTTTGCTGTTCAAGTGTTTCTACTGAGATGGTAGAAAAGCATATTACAAGGATGAGGAGTAATGGGAGCAAAGGCACAGAGGTGAAGTTATCGGCCTCTATGGAGAATAATGGCAAACCAGTTCATTGAAAGAAGAGTGTGAGTATAGAGCAAGCTTGTCCAAGCTGTGGCCCGTGGGATGCATGTGGTCCAGGACGGCTTTGAATGAGACCAAACACAAATTTGTAAACTTTCTTAAAACATGAGATTTTTTGTGTGTGATTTTTTTTTTTAAAGCTCATCAGTTATCGTTAGTGTATTTTATGTGTGGCCCAGGACAATTCTTCCAGCGTGGCCCAGAGAAGCCAAAAGATTGAATACCCCTGGTATAGAGGAATAAGCAGCAAACAAAAAATGAAATGGGGAGTCTCTCTGAAACTAATCTGCTTCTGGGACTGCCCAATTAAAAAAAAATTAAAAAGGGCTGGGCACAGTGGCTCACACCTGTAATCCCAGCACTTTGGAAGGCCGAGGCAGGTGGATCACCTGAGGTTAGGAGTTCGAGACCAGCCAGACCAACATGGAAAAACCCCGTCTCTACTAGAAATATAAAATTAGCTGGGCGTGGTGGCGCATGCCTGTAATCCCAGCTACTCAGGAGGCTGAGGCAGGAGAATCACTTCAACCCAGGAGGCAGAGGCTGCAGTGAGTCGAGATTGTGCCATTGCACTCCAGCCTGGGCAACAAGAGTGAAACTCCGTCTCAAGAAAAAAAAAAAAAAAATGAAAAGGTAGGTTTGTTCAGATGATAGATAGTTTTGAATGATAGGCATTCAAATCTATCAAATGATAGACATATCAGTTGTGGGATGGGAAAGAGTGTTTTGAAGTTTTTTTGAGGCATTAACATGATCTGAGGCTTGCTTGAGGGAAAACTAATTTGGCAGAAATGTGGAAGATGGAGTGGAGATATTCTGAAGATGGGAAGACCAGTGAGAAGACAGTTGTAGTCCAGGATAGAGATGTTTGAAAAATATGTTCTAGGATAATGCCAATGAAATGAGGCAAGACAGGAACAATGATGCAAGGGGCTTTATGTAGGTAGAATCAATTACTGGATATGATGCCTTCATTTTACCTTTAAGTAAACCAAGGCTTAGAGAAAGTGGTCTATTTGATCTAGAAAGAATATGCTGTAGTGTCGCTATCTACTTGGAATCTGTTCAGGACTCCTTGGTTTGTCATCTAGTCTACCATGTAAACCAAGTGGCAACTTATCTTCTAATTTAAGATATTATTGGCCAGGCATGGTGGCTCACGCCTGTAATCCCAGCACTTTGGGTGGCTCAGGTGGGCAGGTCACTTGAGCCCAGGAGTTCGAGATGAGCCTGGGCAACCTGGTGAAACCCCGTCTCTACAAAAAATACAAAAATTAGCTGGGCATGGTGGCATGCACCTGTAAACCCAACTACTAAGGAGGCCGAGGTGGGAGGATCCCTTGAGCCGGGGAGGCAAGGGTTGCAGTGAGCAGATTGCATCAGTGCACTCCAGCCTGAGTGACAGAGTGAGACCCCATCTCAAAAAAAAAAAAAAAAAAAAAAAAGATGCCGGGTGCAGTGGCTCACGCCTGTAATCCCAGCACTTTGGGAGGCCATGGCGGGCAGATCACGAGGTCAGGAGTTCAAGACCAGCCTGGTCAATGTGATGAAACCCCATCTCTGCTAAAAAAAATACAAAAAAAATCTGCCGGGCGTGGTGGCATGTGCCTGTAATCCCAGCTACTCGGAAGGGTGAGGCAGGAGAATCCTTGGAACCTGGGTGGCGGAGGTTGCAGTGAGCCGAGATCGCGCCACTGCATTCCAACCTGGGCGACAGAGTGAGACTCTGTCTCAAAAAAAAAAAAAAAAATATTATTATTGCTTAGGATATTATATAATCATACATTCATTAAGTATTTATTAACTATCTGTCATGTGCCAGGCACTGTGTTAAATACTAAGGATCCAGAGTTTTAACAACATTATTCCATCCCCTCTAGATCTTTAAGTATACTAGATGAAACTGAGACAAGAAAACCCAACCATAATAACTATCACATGAATAGTGGAATACACTAAGGAAGGGACCCAACTGTTAACTTTGCATGGCTGGAAGTGGGATGGGAGGGGGAGTGTAAAGGAAGCTTCTTAAAAAAAAAAAAAAAAAAAAAGACAAGTCCTGCAGAAGCAATGCTTCCTGGAATACCATAATGGTAGATTGAAAAAAAAAAAAAACCTGAAGAAAGTAAAATTTATATTTTCTTCAATAAACCATTCTACATCATGTCACCATGCCCTTGTCCACTAGGACAGCTCCTGCTCATCCTTTAAAACATCTCAGGCTGGGCGGGGTGGCTCACACCTGTAATCCCAGCATTTTGGGAGGCCGACGCATTTGGATCACCTGAGGTCAGGAGTTCGAGACCAGCCTGACCAACATGATGAAACCCTGTCTCTACTAAAAATACAAAAATTAACCGGGTGTGGTGACATATGCCTGTGTTCCCAGCTACTCAGGAGGCTGAGGCAGGAGAATCCCTTGAATCCAGGAGGCGGAGGTTGCAATGAGCTGAGATCGTACTATTGCACTCCAGCCTGGGCAACAGAACGACACTCCGTCTCAAAAGAAAAAAAAAATCAGCCAGGCACATTGGCTTACGCCTGTAATTCCAGCACTTTGGGAGGCCGAGGCGGGCAGATCACGAGGTCAGGAGTTCAAGACCAGCCTGGGCAGCATGGTGAAACCCTGTCTCTACTAAGAATATAAAAATTAGTTGGGCATGGTGGCGGGCGCCTGTAATCCCAGCTACTCAGGAGGCTGAGGCAGAGAATCACTTGAACCAAGGAGGCGGAGGTTGCAGTGAGCTGAGATCGCGCTACTGCACTGTAGCCTGGGCAACAGAGCAAGACTCCATCAACAAAAAAAAAATCTCAGATGTTACTCTCTGAAGTCTTCCCTAACCCCAGCCCATTTCCTCCCTAACAGGATTAATTTCCTTCTTTGGGTTCCTACTGTGTTCATACTTCTATTACTGCTTTTTTTTTTTTTTTTTAATATTGACATGTAGTTCTTTAGGTGACCATCTATGCCTTTTTTTTTTTTTTTTTTTTTTTTTTTTTAATAAGGAGTCTCACTCTGTTGCCTGGCTGGAGTGCAGTGGCGCGATCTCGGCTGCAGGTTGTGTGCCACCACACCCAGCTAATTTTTGTATTTTTAGTAGAGACGGGGTTGCACCATGTTGGCCAGGATGGTCTCCATCTCCTGACCTCATGATCTGCCTGCCTCAGCCTCCCAGAGTGCTGGGATTACAGGCATGAGCCTCCAGGCCTGGCCTAGGTGACCGTCTATGTCTTATTCACCTTTATATCAGTGTGCTAACATAGAGCCTGCCATGTAGTAGGTGCACAGTAAGTGGTCATGACAATAAATAGAGAGGGAGACAATGGTAGATATATGAAAAATCTTGGCCGGGTGTGGTGGCTCACACCTGTAATCCCAGCACTTTGGGAGGCTGAGGTGGGTGGATCACGAGGTTGGGAGTTCAAGAGTAGCCTGGCCAACATGGTGAAACCCTGTGTCTACTAAAGATTAAAAAAAAAATTAGCCAGGCGCATACCTATAATCCCAGCTGCTACTCAGGAGGCTGAGGCAGGAGAATCTCTTGAACCTGGGAGGCAGAGTTGCAGTGAGCTGAGATTGCACCATTGCACTCCAACCTGGGCGACAGGGTGAGACTCCATCTCAAAAAACAAAAAAGAAAAAAATGCCATATGAAAGGATTTGAACTGTGTTCTAAAGATAATCATATGAAGTCGTGTTACTTTGTTTTTTTTTTTTGAGACAGAGTCTCACTCTGTCGTGCAGGCTAGGGTGCACTGGTGCGATCTCGGCTCACTGCAACCTCCACCTCCCAGGTTCAAGCGATTCTCCTGCCTCAGCCTCCTGAGTAGCTGGTATTACAGGCGCACGCCACCACGTTTAGCTAATTTTTTTGTATTTTCAGTAGAGATGGGTTTTGCCATGTTGGCCAGGCTGGTCTGGAACTACTGTCCTCAGGTGATTCACCCGCCTGGGGTTCCCTAAGTGCTGGGATTACCGGCCTGAGCCACCACACCCAGCCAAAGTCATGTTTTACGATTGTCCTGGCAGCTGTAGGAAGGATGTACTGGATGGGGCAAGCCTGAAAACAGAGATGATTTAGGAAATTATGGTTGTCCAGGTGAGTTATGATGAAGATCTGCAGCAATGCTGTGTCAGTTGAGTTGAAGAGAAAGGATCTGATGATTGGAATGTTTAGGAGGTAAAGTTTGTAGGACTTAGTAATTTTACTGGATATGAAGGGTGAGAGAAGTCTAGGATCAACTTGGGTTTCTTTTTTGTTCTAAAAGATATGTTATTTGATAAAGGAGTATTGTTGACATTAATAACACCAGATTGCTTGACAATGACCTTACCTTGATATGTTAAGTGAAGTCAAAGATCTCTCAGAGCACTGCCTCAGAAGTTTTCAGTTGAGTCAGACTAGCCATTGGGAAAATAAAATCTAAAATTGGCACAGCCCTTAACTCAAGAGAAGTCTTCAGCATTCTGAGGTAATAGTCTCAGAGTGGACTTTGTTGGTTGAAGACCTTACCATGTACTGTCATTCATTCATTCATTTATTTATTTTGAGTTTCGCTCTTGTTGCCTAGGCTGGAGTGCAATGGCACGATCTCAGCTCACTGCAACCTCTGCCTCCCAGGTTCAAACGATTCTCCTGCCTCAGCCTCCCAAGTAGCTGGGATTACAGGCATGCACCATCACATCTGGCTAATTTTGTATTTTTAGTAGAGACAGGGTTTCTCCATGTTGGTCAGGCTGGTCTCGAACTCCCAACCTCAGGTGATGCACTTGCCTCGGCCTCCCAAAATTGTCTTTAATTAAAAGCAACTTTCTTCTGGTGTTCACTAGTTTAAGTTGGAGTGGAAGCCTATTATATTAAAATGAAGACCAAAAATAATTGTCATGAGTGGGTGATTCCCAGTTAGGCCTTGAAGAATCAGGCCAGAAAAGTTATGAGGTTAATTTTAGAGAAAATATACTTGTTTGAGTTCTTTTATGTGGAGGTTCTAGCATACGATTCCACAGGGCACAGGAAACCACAGTGGAAATGTTACTGTCGATAAAATGAGACCTGGTTGTAGCTGCTTCAACCAGATTGTCTTCCACAAATGGCTATAAGATCTGTAAGTTTGTGTGTGTCTTATCACTTATTTCTTTCACCTGGTACATATATGGATTGTCTCTGTAGCATTGAGCTGGAAGCCCCTGTCTTAGATACTAGGCATGTGACTTGAATTGGGTTACTGGTATATGGGAGTTCAACTATCCCACTTTGGGCCAAGTGGTATGATCTTTATTCAACCCTAGTCAAATATTCAGTCGTCATCTGGTCAAAGTATTATGATCAGTAGGTCACCCTGAAGTAAGAAAACGTTTATCTTCCAGTAGAGTGGGGCCTGGGGTGGTAGTTATCCTGTGACACCTTGAATTGCTTTGAAGGAAAATATAAATGAGAACTGTTTATCACAGAGCACAGTTGCTTGCGGGATATGCTTCCTTGGATCTGTTCTTGCACCTCTTTATCAGACTCATTTCCTTCTCTCTTTCTGCATATTATCACCTCAGTCTTCTTGGAGTTGGTTTTCAGCTAACGAGATTTCAGACCCTGATTTCATGTTCTATCTAGTTCCTCAAAATTCAGACCAAGAATGCCTACAGCAAATATATGTTCTTTGTTAATGAATTCCCTATTATTGTTGCTTTAGTTATTAGTTCTTCAAATAACAACTTATAAATCTTTTTTTTTTTTTTTTTTTTTTTTTTTTGAGATGGAGTTTCACTCTTGTTGCCCAGGCTGGAGTGCAATGGCGTAATCTTGGCTCACTGCAACCTCCACCTCCCAGGTTCAGGTGATCCTCTTGCCTCAGCCTCCCGAGTGGCTGGGATTACAGGTGCCCGCCATCATGCCGGCTAATTTTTTGTATTTTTAGTAGAAACGGGGTTTCACCATGTTGGCCAGGCTGGTTTTGAACTCCTGGCCTCAAGCAATCCACCTGTCTCGGCCTCCCAAAGTGCTAGGATTACAGGCATGAGCCACCATGCCTGGCTAACGTATAAATCTTATATCTGGAGACAGATATAAGATTTACAGATCATCTGGGAATTTGTTGTGAAGAGTGACATAGTTTAGGAGTTATTGATCATTTCAGTACAAGAATGAATAAGAATGAAGGGGAGGCTTGAAGATTTGGTGAAAATGCCCATTTTCCACTGAATCAGTGGTGGTTGACAAAAACTGCTAACCAATTTTTTCTCTTATGAAAATGGCAAAAGAAATTTATATATATATACATATTTATTTAGTCCTCTAAAAAAAATAAAATTAGACAGGTCTGGTGGTGTGCACCTGTAGTCTCCAGTACCTCCTGAGTGGCTTGAGCCCTCCAGGTCAAGGCTGTAGTGAGCTACGAACACACCACTGCACTCCGGCCTGGGTCACAGAGTGAAATCTCAAAATAATAATTAATTAATAATAAATATAAAATAAAATGTGACATCCAGAGCTTATTCACATTCTTCACCTCCCTTCTCTTATTCTTTCTCTGGGTAATCTGCATTTTAGTTTTCTGACTTTCAGACCAGATATCCCTTACTTGTGAGGATACAATGTAAGTATATAGTGGCTTGTTAGTATGTAATGTGGTCTTTAGTGTCCAGGCCCTGGTTATGGGGATTGTGGTTGTCTTTTTTTTTTTTTGGAGGTACTGAGGCTCTGCCAAGCTAACTTCGTTTTAATGCATTTGATAATGAAAAATAATCTCTTCTTCCAATGCATAGGCTTTACTTTATTCCTTGTAGGCCACTTTGCTTTTCACCTCTGTTTCTTGTAAGCCCCTTGAAGTTCAGTGCTAGTAGTAGGAAAAGGGATATTCACCTGGAACTTTAATTTGAGATTCATCTGGGAAAGTTGATTTTTATGTTTGTCTTTATTGTGAGGCATGATGGGTCCAAGGAACCTATTGTTATTTAATTTGTCCACCATTTTTCCAGTTTTTCCCACTATTTAACATTTTCTTACTCTGTTAATACACATCAGGGTGGTTTTTCTTAAACATAGAGCCATATTGACTACTTGCCAAGACACAAGCTTAGGGATAACACATTAAGAGTAATATCTACTTTTACTTAGAGTTATAGTTCTAAGAGTGTACAATTCCCAGCATGTGTGTATTCACCATGAATAAAATAACGTTAATGCACAAGTTGGTAAATTCATTTTTTTTTTTTTTATTTTTGAGACCGAGTCTCGCTCTGTCACCCAGTCTGGATGGAGTGCAGTGGTGCGATCTCGGCTCACTGCAAGCTCCGCCTCCCGGGTTCACGCCATTCTCCTGCCTCAGCCTCCGGCGTAGCTGGGACTACTGGTGCCCGCCACCACGCCTGGCTAATTTTTTGTATTTTTAGTAGAGACGGGGTTTCACAGTTTTAGCCAGGATGGTCTCAATCTCCTGACCTCGTGGTCCGCCCGCTTTGGCCTCCCAAAGTGCTGGGATTACAGGTGTGAGCCACTGCGCCCGGCCAATTCATTGCGTTTTTATTCAACAAGTATTTATTGATTGCCTGCTGTGAACTAGGCATGGTCCTAGATGCTGATGAGTAAACAAAACAAAAATCCCCGTCCTCATGGAGCTTTCATCCTAGTGAGTCGAGACCAAGTAAAAGTTCTAAATAAGTAAATTATATTGTATCAGACGATGGTAAAATAAGGCTGGAGAGGGCCGGGCGTGGTGGCTCACGCCTGTAATCCCAGCACTTTGGAAGGCCGAGGCAGGTGGATCATGAGGTCAGGAGATTGAGACCATCCTGGCTAACACGGTGAAACCCCGTCTCTACTAAAAATACAAAAAATTAGCCGGGCATAGTGCCGGGCACTTGTAGTCCCAGCCACTCGGGAGGCTGAGGCAGGAGAATGGTGTGAACCCGGGAGATGGAGCTTGCAGTGAGCCAAGATTGCCCCACTGCACTCCAGCCTGGGCAACAGAGCGAGACTCCGTCTCAAAAAATATATATATATAAATAAAAAATAAGGCTGGAGAGGTAGTTTAAGAGTGCCAAGTTTGTGGGGAATTTGGTGCTCTGATTTTAAATAGGGTTATCAAGAATATTCACTAAAAGTTGACACTTCAACAAAGTTCTGAAGGAAGAGAGGGAAGAAGCCATGGAAATATCTAGGGTGAAAAGCATTCCAGGAAGAAGGAAAAGGCAAGTGCAAAAAACCTGAGGCAGGAACAACAAGGAAGCCAGTGTGGCAAGAGTGGAGTGAAAGTGAAGGAGAGAAGTAAGAGAAGGTATCAGAGAGGAAATGGGGGGCCAGATTGTCTATGGACTTGTAGGTCATGGTAAGCAAGGACTTAGACTTTTATTCTGATTGAGATGAAAACCCGTTGGAGAGTTTTAAGCAGAAGAATGGCGTGATCTGATACAAAAAAAAAAAAAATTAGTTCTGGCGGCTGTGTTGAGAATAGACCAAGAGGGAAGTTAAGGGCAGAAACAGACCACTTAAGAGGTTATTGCAGAAGCCCAGGGAGACATTATGATGGCTTGGACCAGGGAAGTAGCCATTGAAGTCTTAAGAAATGGTGAGATATTGGATATACTTTGGCTTTTCTTTGAGACAGGGTCTCACTCTGTTGCCCACGCTAGAGTGTGTGCCACTATGCTTGGCTAATTTTTTTAACGTTTTATTTTTTGTAGAGATGGGGTCTTGCTATGTTGCCCAGGCTGATCCCAAACTCCTGGGCTCAAGCAATCCTCCTGCCTGGGCCTCCCAAAGTGCTGGGATTAGAAGTGTGAGCCACCGCACCTAGCCAGAGAAAAGAATTCTATCTTTGGATGGCAAGAGTGAAGATAAAAAAAAAAAAGAATTCTATCAAGTTCTACTACAGATAGATCAAGTTCTACTACAGATAGATCAATTAAGATGAGAACTGAGCCAGGCACGGTGGCTCACGCCTGTAATCCCAGCACTTTGGGAGGCTGAGGCAGGTGGATTACCTGAGGTCAGGAGTTCAAGACCAGCCTGGCTAACATGGTGAAACCCTGTTTCTACTAAAAATACAAAATTAGCTGGGCATGGTTTTGGACGCCTGTAATCCCAGCTACTCGGGAGGCTGAGGCAGGCAGGAGAATTGCTTGAACCCAGGAGGCAGAGGTTGCAGTGAGCCGAGATCACGCCATTGCACTCCAGCCTGGGTAACAGGGTAAGACTCCATCTCAAAAAAAAAAAAAAAAGATGAGAACTGCGAATTGACCGTTTGATTTAGCAGCATGGAAGTCAACAGTGACCTTTACAAGAATGATTTTGATGGAATGATGAGAGTGAAAGCCTACTTATAGTGAATTCAAGAAAAAAGTAGGAGAGGAATTAAAGGCAGGGAGTACAGATAATCTTTTGATGAATTTTGTTGTAATGGGAATCTGAGAAATGAGTAGTAGCTGGAGGAGGATGTGGGATCTGGATAAGAGATTTTGTTTCATGCCAGACATTACAGAATGTTTGTGTGTTAATAGGATTGATCCAGTAGAGAGGCAAAAACTATTGACATGGAAGAAGGAGGAGAGATTGGCTGAAATGGTTTATGGTGTTGGAAAAGCAGAGCTGTTGATTGTCCTTTGCCTCAATGGTCTCTAAGCCACAGGGAAGGAAAAACAGGAAAATTAAAGAGATAGTAATTATGAATGCTGCTGCTCTGGTCTCTGTAGAATTAGGTTTGGAGATCTTGATGGCAGCCTCTGGTTTTATTTGTGCCAAAGCACCTCAGCATGGATCTTGTGCAGAGCTTATTTCCTTCTAATACCCAGCAATAACAGCTGGGCCCTGTTTTTCTTTGGCTTCTGAAGATAAAAGGGATAAGAAAGAAGAGGGTTTACCTTTGTATCTGTAGCCTTACTTTTCTACCGTGAACATTTGACCCTGCCTATTAATATGATTGTGGCTGATAGTTAATATTAAGTTTGTTTTATTGGCTGGGTGCGGTGGCTCTCTCCTATAATCCCAGAACTTTGGGAGGTTGAGGCAGGAGAATCATTTGGGTCCAGGAGTTTGAGATCAGCCTGGGCAACATAGAGAGACCCCATCTTTAAAAAAAAACAAAACAAAAACAAAGTACATGTCCCACCTCTTCCACACTGAAAGCCATGGTGTATGGGCAGGGCCAGATGCTAGTAAAAATCCCTTCTGTTTTCTCCACAGCATCACTTATCATGTAGGACAAGAGTGGTCAATAAAGAAGTTTAACTATTCATGCTTCTAGTTACAGAGAAATTTGAATTTCCTTACTTTTTAAAATGAAACTTTTAGTGGCTTAGACTTTAGAAGGCTTATCTTAGCAGTCAAATAAGGGTGGAAAATACAGGTAATTTCATACTTTTTACGGTAGTTACTAGGAGAAAGTCTTCTCTGGTAATGAAGTCTGACCCAGAAGCCTATGAGTCATATTTGTTGAATGTGCTAAACATAAGACATAGTAAGATAGGAAATAATGAAATTCCAGCTCAGCCATTGCTAACCCCCAATTGTTCTTAAATTGTGATTGTGTAGCCAGCATAGTCTTACTCTAGGTTCTGTGTCTGTTTTTACAAAAAAAGTAAAAGTCCTAACTATTCACACAGATTTGTTTTTATGATAAGAGATCCAAAGGAGGTTTCTAAATAATTTTCAGAATTGCTCTAACCAGTTACCTTTTCACCCGAAGTAGATCTGGAAAGCATCCAGCAAAACAGCTTTTGCATGTTCATACCTTTCAGAATGAATCATCTTCCTTCCCTTTAGCTAGAGAAGGGCTATGTGTACTGTTTCTGGCAGAATTTCCACAGATGTTTTATTTTTCTTAAGTCTTCCAGTGCTTCACTTGAGTTGAACCTAGGGGGTACCTGATGTTCCCCAAGGAGATCTCTGAATCTCCTGACTCTTGGTTGTTTGTGATAAAAGAGCATTCCGTTCTGATTCTTCTGGGAGGATTTCAGGTATCCTTTTTTTTTTTTTTTTTTTTAATGAAGTTGTTCCCACTATAGGAAATCAGAGATGGCAGGCAATAGACTGTATAATGCTGTACTAAGGATTGTAGAAAGGTGAAGGTTTGTTCTTGCTTGTTGAGCATAATCCTCTTTACCTGTGAAATGGAAAGTAGTATCATCAGAATGTTGAGGTGAAATCTGGGACATCTTCTGTTCTCCTTAAATTCAAAGCTTGTCCCAACTATCCTGAACTTTTTATTTTTATATTTCACAGTTTCCAGACATCAGTCAAGAGTCTGATTCTCCATTTGTTTTCATCTGCAAAAATCCTCAGGAAATGGTTGTGAAGTTTCCTATTAAAGGAAATCCAAAAATCTGTAAGTCATGATTTTTTTTCTTTAAGACTAGTCAAGTGCAGTAGTAAGGAATGGGGAAAAAAGTAGAACAAGGAGTTCAATCTATAACTGACTGTGAACAATCAGTTGAGGTAACCCACTACCTTTGGATCAGCCTGTAAGTCATAATCTTTGATGGTCTAATTTTCTTTTCTTTTCTTTTCTTTTTTTTTGTCTTGCATCTTACTTGTCTAGATTTTTATAAAATCTTCCCTTTTGGCCGGGCACGGTGGCTCATGCCTGTAATCCCAGCACTTTGGGAGGCTGAGGCAGGCGGATCACAAGGTCAAGAGATCGAGACCATCCCGGCCAACATGGTGAAACCCCCCCGTCTCTACTAAGATTACCAAAAAAAAAAAAAAAAAATTAGCTGGGTGTGGTGGCGTGCGCCTGTAGCACCTGTAGTGCCTGTAGCGCCTGTAGTCTCAGCTGCTTGGAAGGCTGAGGCAGGAGAATCGCTTGAACCTGGGAGGCGGAGGTTACAGTGAGCTGAGATTGTGCCATTACACTCCAGCCTGGTAACAGAGCGACACTCAGTCTCAAAAAAAAAAAAAAAAAAAAAAAATTTATTGTGTTCTGTGTGTCCCTAGTGTTGGAGGCTTAATATAATTATACTTATCAATAACTTTATGTTAGGTTAACTACAGTAAAGCCTTTCCAAAGTATACCTTGATCCACAATTACCGGCATAGTAAGTCGCTCTAAACTTCAATTTCAGATCCTATTACATTAAAATGCTATTTGTCAGCCAAAAGAGTGTTTTGCCCCACTGTACTGCTCATTAAAGGAAGTAGTAAGGCAGTGCAGTGGCAACATTGTCATTTATCCATTTATTCATTGTTCAGTATTCAACTCAAGAATAAGGGCTGGGCATGGTGGCTCATGCCTATAATCCCAGCACTTTGGGAGGCTGAGACGGGTGGATCATCTGAGGTCAGGAGTTCGAGACCAGCCTGGCCAACATGGTAAAACCCCGTCTCTACTGAAAATACAAAAAATTAGCAGGGCATGGTGGTGGGCACCTGTAATCCCAGCTACTCGGGAGGCTGAGGCAGAAGTATCGCTTGAACTCGGGAGGCAGAGGTTGCAGTGAGCCGAGATCACGCCACTGCACTCCAGCCTAGGCAACAAGAGCGAAACTCCATCTCAAAAAAAAGACTTAACATTTTAAGTATTTATTATTGAACATCTATTTTAGAGACACCACTTCCCACATTTCTCTTCATTATTGGTTCCCAGAGTACAGCCTTGGCTCTCTTGCTTTTCATTCCTTTTTAACATTTTTTTTTTTTTTTTGAGACAGAGTCTCACTCTGTCTCCGAGGCTGGAGTGCAGTGGCCCAATCTCGGCTCACTACAACCTCCACCTCCTGGGTTCAAGCGATTCTCCTGCCTCACCCTCCCGAGTAGCTGGGACTACAGGCATCTGCCACCACTCCTGGCTAATTTTTGTATTTTAGTAGAGATGGGGTTTCACCATATTGGCCAGGCTGGTCTCGAACTCCTGACCTTGTGATCCGCCTGCCTTGGCCTCCCAAAGTGCTGGGATTACAGGCGTGAGCCACTGTACCTGGCCTCATTTTAAAAATTTTTATTAGTTAATTGATTGAGACAGGGTCTAGCTGGGACCCATCTTTTCTTCCTCTGTCCTAGAGCAGCCTCTTGTATTTCAAAGCAGTCTCAAAACGCATATAGTGGGCCGGGCGTGGTGGCTCACGCCTGTAATCCCAACACTTTGGGAGGCCGAGGCAAGTGGATCACAAGGTCAGGAGATCGAGACTACCCTGGCTAACACAGTGAAACCCCATCTCTACTAAAAATACAAAAAATTAGCCAGGCATGGTAGCGGGCACCTGTAGTCCCAGCTACTCGGGAGGCTGAGGCAGGAGAATGGCGTGAACCTGGGAGGCGGAGCTTACAGTGAGTCGAGATTGCACCACTGCACTCCAGCCTGGGCAACAGAGCGAGACTCCGTCTCAAAACAAAACAAAACAAAAACAAAAACAAACAAAAAAAACACACATATAGTAGTGGTGTCCTCCCTGCCTAACATCCTTGGAAAAGCAACATCAGCAACTCTCCCATTTGCTCATGTCAGTTACCATTTTGTGCCTCTTTGTCATTGCTTTCCCATTGTGTGAATTGCATGATTCTAGGGCATGCATTGTCCTCACTGGTGCGAAACTCTCCCTCATCCAATACCTTGGGGACCAACTAGCCATTTTATAAATCTATGCCCTAGAGAAGTACTTCTCAAACTATAATGTAACTAAAAATCACCTAGCAAGCTGTTAAAACACAGGTTCCTCAATCCTGCTCTCAGGTGATACTGATGCTGTTGGCCAGCTGGCTGTACTTTAAGTAACACTGCTTTCAATCACAAAATGAAATGCTTAGAGTAGGAATTTATATTAATGTATATTTACTGCAAAATTCAGGCAACATCTTGATTGATAAGATCCTAAGATTCCTACACATTCGAAGATCTGAACCAAGTTGCCCTTAACTGACACAAATTATTTACTTCAGACGGTACTCCAGTTGGTGGCCCAGTAGCCCTGGAAATCCTTTCTTTTCTCCACTATTAAGGATTTATTTATTTTTGAGATAGGGCCTTGGCCTGTCACCCAGCCTGGAGTGCAGTTGTGCAATTATGGCTCATTGCAGCCTCCACCTCCTGGGATAAAGTAATCCTCCCACCTCAGCCCCCAAAGTAGCTGGGACTACAGGTATGTGCCACCACGCCCAGATAATTTTTAAATTTTTGGTAGAGATGAGGTCTCACTATGTTGCCCAGTTTGGTCTCAAGTGGATCCTCCTGCCTTGGCCTCCTAAAGCGTTAGGATTACAGGTGTGAGCCACCACACCTGGCCCTGTTTAGGATTTAGATCTCCTTTTACCCTCCCTCTGTTTTGGTTCTAGCAGTCTACCCCTTCCTCCTCCATTTCATTCTCACCTTCCTCTAGGTACTGGTGGCAACACTGGTGGTAGGAGGAAACGGTGGTAAATCCTCTCTCTCAAACCCACTGTTAATTGATCTTTAGTCCTACTTCCCTTTTCGTAGCTTCTTCCCCTGGCTTGGTTTTCATCTGCTGCCTAAAGTCCTGTGAGAAAATGTTCTGTGTAGAGTTTAGCTATTTCTCTGAAATGTTTTACTTTAGTACTTTCTCTACACCTTCAGGACCTATAGGGCCTTCATTTTTCTCCATAAGGTTTCATGATGGTGAGGGGAGTGACATTCTTAGGAGAAACCTTTAATAACTTCCTATCTTTTTCGTATTGTTTCTGTTAGTTAATGGTAGACTAGACAAGGTTAAAAATTGCACAGAAACAATAGGTAGTGAAAATTTTATTTTGAGATGGGGTCTCACTCTGTTATCCAGGTTGGAGTGCAGTGGCACAATCTCAATTCACTGCAACTTCCATCTCCCAGGCTCAAGTGATCCTCCCACCTCAGCCTCCTAAGTAGCTGGGACCACAGGCACGCGCCTCCATGCTTGGCTAATTTTTTGTATTTTTGCTAGAAACGGGGTCTTGCCATGTTGCCCAGGCTGGTCTTGAACTCCTGAGCTCAGGTGATCCATCCACCTTGGCCTCTCTAAAAACCTTCTACTCTGCCAGAACTCTCTTGCCTTAGGTCCTAGGGGATAACCTCCAGTAGTTTAAGCTGGAAAAGTCTTTAATCCCAGTTACATTGGGGAAAATACATACCTGCCTCTTAATTTGAAATGGTTATCACACTTTCCCCTAGATATATTATTACATGAAGTGATTAAGTTTAATAGCAATAATATTAATACTTGGTCAGGCACAGTGGCTCATGTCTATAATCCCAGCACTTTAGGAATCTGAGGCAGGAGGATCACTTGAAGCCAGGAGTTTGAGACCAGCCTGAGTAACATAGCGAGACCCTGTCTCTACAAAAAAATAAAAAAAATTATTCCAGTGTGGTGGCGTGTGCCTATAGTGCCAGCTACTTGGGAGGCTGAGGCAGAAATATTGCTTGAGCCCAGGAGTTCAAGGCTGCAATGGGCTATGATTGCAATACTGCACTCCAGCCTGGGTGACACAGCAAGACCCTGTCTCTAAAAAAAAAAAATTAATTAATAGTCTGCTTTACTTATAACACTGTGGCTTAAATGTTTGTTTTTTTTGTTTGTTTTTGTTTTTTTTTTTTGTGGGATGTCTTAGGAACCTAGCCACCCTTTACAGATTAGTTCTATGATAAATATATTCGAAATTCCAAACTTTTATTTTTGAGACAGGGGTCTCACTGTGTTGCCTAGACTGGCCTTGAACTCTGGGCTCAAGAGATCTTCCTGCCTGAGCCTCCCAAGTAGCTGGAACTACTATGTAGATATACACTACTATGATGCCCGGCTTCAGGTTCCAAACTTCAGACTTGCAAATAAACTTTCAGAATATGACCCATTTATGTGTTGTATCATATATATATATATAAAAAATATATGGATGTATAAATGCCTTAAATTAAAGGTGTATACTTTGATTTGTTTGTTTTTGGAAGTGTAAATTTGAGTTTGCTTGACCTTAAGGTAATTGTGTCTCCTCAAATTGAGATAATTCAGAAAAGAGCAATATACAATAGGGTATCACCTGGCTCTGTGTCTGCTTTATATAGGTTGAATACTCAGATAAAGGAAATTTTTTAAATTTAGCAACATGCTCTATAAACTCATGCACCTTATATCTTTTGCAAACCATGTGAAAATTCCTATGAGAGTTATATCAATTAATGACAAATATTTTTTCCCCTTTTAACTTCTTGCCCATCTGCTGCACATGCATTTGACTTTCTTTTAGGCACTATGATTGAGGATGTGGTTTAACACTGAAACGATTAGGTACTAAATGTAAAAATATTGGGGAAATACAGAAACTAAGTGTTACACCCTACCATGAAGAGGATGTATTGTATGTCACTATGGTTCACTATCCAGATCCTGATCTTAGAAGCCCAGGGTGGGCTGGGCGCAGTGGCTCACGCCTGTAATCCCAGCACTTTGGGAGGCCGAGGCGGATCACAAGGTCAGGAGATGGAGACCATCCTCGCTAACACGGTGAAACCCCGTCTCTACTAAAAATACAAAACATTAGCCAGACGTGGTGGCAGGTGCCTGTAGTCCCAGCTACTCGGGAGGCTGAGGCAGGAGAATGGCGTGAACCCGGGAGGCGGAGCTTGCAGTGAGTCGAGATGGCGCCACTGCACTCCAGCCTGGGCGAGAGTGTGAGACTCCGTCTCAAAAGAAAAAAAAAAAAAAAAAAAAAGAAAGAAAGGAAAAAAAAGAAAAAAGAAGCCCAGGGTGAACTAGAACTCAGAGCTTTGAGTTCCTGCAATCTAAGGACAGTCATGATGACTGCTGCTTTCCACAAGAAGCCCCGGTCCCTTACCATCATTGCCCACAGCTGGCCCAAGAGTTGCCTCTATTGGCAATCACTCTGTTAGACGTTAAGGATACAAAATGTCCATGATTGTAAGGAGTTCACAGATTGTTGGCAAATGTCTGATTTTTTTTAGGCAGCCTAGAGGATGAAAGAACGTCTGAATTCCTGGGAATATCCTGGAAATCCTTGTTCCTCTTGTATCTTGTTTCTCCTATTAGCTTTCCATTTTAGACATCATCATTGAAGCCAGAGATTAGTCTGCCTACAATTGAGTGTTTTATTCTGATGGGTTGATCTTACCTGAGCTGGTCTCACTTGAGGGCTTTCATAATCATACTGGAGTTTCCTGAAACGTAAAATAGGAATGTTCTCATTCAGTAAAGCTTTAAGAATGTGAAGAAAATGATATGTCTTTTTTTCTTATGAAGAATCTGAAATAAATAATAATTAAAAGACTTGCCTGGGGTTATATGGTAAATGAAAGGTGAAATTGAAACCATAACTAAGAAACCTAACTCCCAAGCCTCAGCGTAAATAATATAACCACCCTTACTTCTTCAGGAGACTTTGAATTTATGAAGCCCCCCACTTTTTTTTTTGAGATGGGGTCTTGCTCTGTTGCCCAGGCTGGCATGCACTGGTGAGATCTCAGCTCACTGCAACCTCTGCCTCCTGGGTTCAAGCAATTCTCCTGCCTCAGCCTCCCGAGTAGCTGGGATTACAGGCGAGCACCATCACACCCAACTAATTTTTGTATTTTTAGTAGAGACGGGGTTTCGCCATGTTGGTCAGGCTGGTCTTGAACTCCTGACCTCAAGTGATTTGCTTGCCTTGGCCTCCGAAAGTGCTGGGATTACAGGCATGAGCCACACCTGGCCTGAAACACTTTAATATATATTATTTCAGTTATAGGCTGAGCATCCCAAATCTGATCTTTTTTTTTTTTTTTTTTTTTTTGGGGAGTGGGTCTCACTCTGTCACCCAGGCTGAAGTGTAGTGGTGTGAACTCGGCTCACTGCAACCTCTGCCTCCCTGGCTCAAGCAATTCTCCCACCTCAGCCTCCCAAGTAGCTGGGACTATAGGCCTGCACCACCATACCCGGCTAATTTTTTATTGCTTTTATTTTTATTAATTTTTTTTTTTTGAGTTTTACTCTTGTTGCCCAGGCTGGAGTGCAATGGTGCGATCTTGGCTCACTGGAACCTCCAACTCCTGGGTTCAAGTGATTCTCCTGCCTCAGCCTCTTGAGTAGCTGGGATTACAGACACCCTCCACCACGCCCAACTAATTTTTGTATTTTTAGTAGAGACGGGTTTCACCATTTTGACCAGGCTGGTCTTGAACTTCTGACCTTAGGTGATCTGCCTGTCTCGGCCTCCCAAAGTGCAGGGATTACAGGAGTGAGCCACTGTGCCCGGCCCAAAAAAAAAAAAAAATTTTTTTTTTAGACAGGTCTCACTCTGTTGCCCATGCTGGAGTGCAATGGCATGAGATCTTGGCTCACTGCAACCTCCACCTCCTGGGCTCATGCCATCCTCCTGTCTCAGCCTCCTGAGTAGCTGGGACTCCAGGCTTGCACCACCATACCCAGCAAATTTTTCTGGGGGTTGAGGGGGGTTTGGTTTTTTTGTTAGAGACAGTATTTCACCATGTTGGCCAGACTGGTCTGGAACTTCTGGGCTCAAGCGATCTGCCTGCCTTGGCCTCCCAAAGTACTGGGATTGCAGGCATGAGCCACCATGCCCTGCCACAAATCTGAAAATCTGAAATGCAAAATCTAAACCTTTTTGAGCTTCAACATGATGCTCAAAGGATATGCCTCATTGGAGCATTTGGGATTTTGGATTTCTGGATTTGGGATACTTAACCAGTAAATATATATAATGCAAATATTCCAAAATCCAAAAAAATCTGAAATTTAAAACACTTCTGGTCCCAAGCATTTTAGATAAGGAATACTGAACCTGTAGTTATTTGATTAAAGGACTCAGTGTATGTGTAATACACGTAGCTCAGTGACTGGTCTATAGAATGCACTTCATGTTAGCTATAATCTTCTTAATAATTCTGTGTGTTAGTAAGGGCTTTTTCCTCCTTTCATTTTACAGGTTTATGGAAGTTGTTTTACTCAAATCTTTCTGGCACAAGGTTTCCTGTTCTTTTCACTGTATCAGATTGCCTCAGGAACAAATTATTCCAATTTACATTTCATTTCTAGGGCACAATATCATAGAGTTGGAAGGAACCTTCAGTATTGTATAGTCCAGTTTCCTCTTAGAGTTGATAAAAATTGAGGACAAGAGTGACTAGGTAACATACTCAAGGTTATACAGCTAGGAAGTCTTAGGATTAAAACTGAGTTTTTCAGCCAGGTGTGGTGGCTCACGCCTGTAATCCCAGCACTTTGGGAGGCTGAGGTGGGGTGGGGGATTGCTTGAGGTCAGGAGTTCAAGACCAACTTGGCCAACGTGGTGAAACCCTATCTCTACCAAAAAATAAAAAAATTAGCTGGGCGTGATGGCACACACCTGTAGTCCCAGCTACAGGGGAGGCTAAGGCAGAATTGCTTGAACCTGGGTGGTGGGGGTTGCAGTGAGCCGAGATTATGCCATTGCACTCCAGCCTGGGCGACAGAGACTCTGTCTCAATAAATAAAGTCTTTCAACTTATGCAATACAGACGACTGGATGTCTGGAGTCCTAGATGGAATTCTAAATTCTGTCCCAGCTTGTCCTAAAAAGCTGAATGGGACTCACCTCTGGGTACCACCACCTTTACAATCTGTACTCTTACATTTGTCTGATATCTGCTATTTGTGGTTACTTAGTACTGTCTATAATATAAAGGTTTTGAAATTTGTAGTGTCTACCTTTGTTTAATTCATTTGGTGAGAGCATTTATTGAGCGTCTACCATTTGGCAGTCACTATGGTAGTGTTAGGGATACAAAGGCTGACTTGCCTTGTAACAGGGCTCTTTGCCAGATGGCTGGCACATGTTCAGGTTTTCAGCCAGGCAGCATAAGGGATAAAAGAACTCCTAAATCCCTGGGAATGCCCTATGCTCTAAAGCCCTAATTAAAATCAACAGCATTGTGATTATTGTTAAATGATATTCAGGGTATCACTTAGTGATGGTTTCTGAGGAAGCCCAGAAAAGGACATAATGTTCTTCTAGAAGCAGGTGTAGCCTAAAAGAAAAGAGAGAGAGAGATAAACAGACAAAGAGAGATATACAGACAGACTAATGTTGGGCAAGAGGAGATTTAAGTAAACAGAGAAACTTGTTAGGCTGAGGCTAATTTTTCTCACAGTCTTACTGTGCCATGGTCAGTACATGTATTCTTAACTTAATTGGACAAGTGAAAATACTGAAATCCAGAGAAATTGAATGACTCGCCTAGGTCACACAGCTAGTTAATACCAGAGAAGGGTGGACTAGAACCTGGGTCTTCTGATTTTTAGTCCAGTGCTCTGTTATGCCCAATTGCTGCAACAAATGAAAATGACAACATATTGAGAGGCAGTGATTATGGGCATGGGCCTGTGGTATACTCAGCTGCCTTTGAAGGGGAAGACTCCTTGTTTTTTTTTTTTGTTTTCTTTTTTTTTTTTAGTGCTGAGACTGAACTGAATTATGTTTCTATTTTCAGCATAAGCATCACTATTGACTTAGATGAGACTTTTTGTGGGAGAAAGCAAACTGCCAAACTGTTCTCAGGCCAGACAGACAGGAATTCTCTTAAGATTCTCCTAATGAGATGGATGGTTCCTAAGGCTGCTACCACTGAGCCAAACTCTATCCTGGTAGATCTGAGAAGAGGTCAGAGACCACATCAGTAATATACCTTTCATTAGGGTCACCTGGGATGGGAAGGTTGCTTGTTTTCTAAGTTTAACACTTAGAGAGTCATATAGCCTATGACCTTTAACCTTCTTAGCTGGTGATAGGGGCCCTTTGTCAGTAAAGCATTCATGTGGATTCTATTCCACTGTTGCAGGTCACTCCCCCTATTAAGTCTGAGGCAGCAAAGGGGTGTTGAACTGCTTTTCTCACTGTGAAGGTTCATGCATTATGCTCAGCCAGTTAACAGGTCACAGGAATGGATTTCCCACTGTGAAATGCCTGCCTTTATTGCATGTGTATATTCTTAAAAATTTGCCGTAGCATCAAACCCCTTAAAAATGTGATTATTTCTTTTCTAGTAGCTACAAAATTAGAAATAATTAACTTCTTAGATTCTTAGGACAAATACTCATTGTATGCATTTGTGTATCCTTGTACAGTGTTCCCATTGCTTCCTTATTCTTACAGAATGAAACTCTGAAGTTTGGAAGTGTCTGAGTCCTGAAGTAAGATAATTGAATGTGACAGGAACACAGTAACCAGAAGACCTGGGAGGCTGCAAAAGATTTGCATTGCAAATACAAAAATAAATAATGAGACTTATTTTTCTCCCTTACAGGGAAATTGGATTCCAAGATCCATCAAGGAGCAAAGAAGGGGTTAATGAAGCAGAATAAAGCTGTCTGACCCAGGAGAAAAGGAACTATACAGCATAGTGGAGTTTTGTGTACTAAAATTGCTATCTACTGGTCCTTTGGAATTGAAGTAGTAGAAACCTAAAGGCTTGGCGTCAGGCTTGAATATCTCAGAACTTAAACTCTTACCAAAATCTGTATATTTTTCTTAAGGAGTGGGATTCCTACTTTATGTAATGGGGTCGAAATCTTTGAACACATTATTTATAAAAACCTGTTTAAAAATTCTAAGTCTTTTGACATTTTTCTTAGAATAGTATCAAAAGAGATTGGACCAAGTTGGAAATTCTTTTCCTTTCTGAGACTTGTATTTGTAGTTAGAAAGTTTTTAACCTAGGTTAATGATTTTTTTTTGAGGGTTCCTCTCAGATTTTAAAGTTTCTTATCAAAGGGATAATCTGATAGAGTAATAGGATGTTTGAGGAATCCTGTGCTTAATACAAACCTGTGATGGGACAAAAAGGTTTGTAACAAGTTTTCTGCTCCAATCCAATGTCTCTTAAACAGTCTGAATGAAATGTGAAAAGCCGAGTAACCCTCACTGGCAAATTTTTTTTTTGGAAGGAATAACCTGAAGAAGTGCTTCCACTTCTTGGGTTTGAGAAGCCAGGATATGGATGGTTCAGACTGGGAGGAGATGGAGCCACCTGCTAAAGCACCATGAAGCTGCCCTATTTATTTTGTTGGTATTGCAAAAGCATCACTTGGATGGGGCAATTAGAAACAAACTAAAAAATAAAATCGCCTTAGTAAATGCATCCAAATACCCACCAAATGCTGAACTCAAACCTTTTAAACCATTCACATCCCAGAAAGCTATGCGCTTTGGAAAAAGAAGAGGTTGGTTTGAAATGAGATTTTTGTCAGTCTGGCCGTCCTTAGTGAAACACTGAGGCTGTTCTGAAGAGCTGTCAGAATCTCAGTTGCTGGCATCCTGAGGAAATTCATGGTCTTAAATGTGTATGTTCTGCTTTTTATAAAACAACACCACCACACTGGGGAAGTTGGACTCCCTCCAGCAGTTGTGTGCATTTCTTAAAAAAGAGAGAGCAAGGGAGAGAAAAAAAATGTGCCCTGTGTTATGAAAAAGATTAATTTCCCCTTTCTTTAATCCTTCATATTCAGCGTTTATTTGCATTGAAATGCCTCCACTCATTATGCATTGATGTTCACTCAACTGTGAACCCTGCTTGTTGCATAGCTCTAGGCATTGGTTTTGCAGGGCCTGATCACTCTGGATTCCCAGGGAAAACCCACCCGATTCTTGTTGCGGTGATGCAAACATGTAGTATTCTCTTTTTCTGTTCAACCTCTGGAGAAAGGGGAAAGGACTGCTAATGTCCACTTCTTTGGCAGGGGGCATGTCGGGGGAGTCTCTTTCTGGCTTCCTGCAGACCCTACTATTAATGAAGCCATACTGGGTTCACTATGCAGCTAATAGTTTACTAAGCAGTAGCACCTTGAATTCTATGCTGGAGTTGTCTGGCTCTCTTAATACCAAAATAAAACTAGAAGACAGGAGGTGAAGAGCCTAGGGAGGGAGGAAAAAAGTTTATTTGAACAACAGCCTGAGCATAGAGGTGTCTGGATTGATTTTTTTCTCCTGGATAGACTGTGTGCATGCCGAAAGAAAAACATCAGGAGCTGTGACAGATCAGGTTATGCAACCATTTTGTGTGCTGAGATAAGACAGTTTACAAGAACTTCACAAGTTTACAAGAACCCACCTCAGCATCCAAAATATGCAACTGGAGCCTCATTAGTAAATGGCAGAATAACATGGAAACTTCTCCTTTTCATGGTTAGACTGTGAAAGTCTGTCTTTAGTTCATATGGTGGTGGTGGTATAAGGTCTCTCTTTTATTTGTGGAGACACCAGGGAGGAAGTGTGGGAGAAACTTGGGGGTAGATGGCCTTCAGTTGCTCAGTGATGAATAGCACAATTTAAAGCCTAGTGGAAATTCTTAGCAGCCTGAGTGCAAACTTGCCCAGGAATAGCCTTTTAGGACTTTACAACACTTTGCTCTGACTGTGTAACTCTGGGACAGTGTGGCCTAAAGGAAGTTTCACATTTCTGAGCTGGTTTTTTGTTGCAGTCTAAATATCTGTACCCACTTTTGAATAGTTGGGTTCAATTGCTGTCAATTTGTATAGTGCCTAAAGGTTTCAGCTTTTTTGTTTTTGTTTTTGTTTTTGTTTTTCCAGGCAGGACTCAGTCTCATTTATATAAAGTCAGAGTAGGGGGATATATGAAACTGGAGACTTTCTCTGACGGGGTTTAGGAAGCCTTGGCTTTATTGCTTCTCGGCCTTTTGGCTAAGATCAAATGTAGGAAGCCTTGGCTTTGCAGTTAGATGTTTGGAATAGAGTAAGGGTTTTTGTTTGTTTCTTGCTATAGCTAATCTGGAAAAAGAAAACTAGGTATCCCCTCTTTTAAGTCAGAAGTTTACATAAATTCATTTTTTCCTAGGAAGTAAGTGTGAAAAATTTAGACTTCAAAGCCCATTTATGTGGATTTCATTTAATTTAGTAAATTTTAAAAATGCACCTAGCCAAGATCAAGACAGCATGGGAGTTATTCTCAAAAAGTCAGCTCAAAAAGACGAGTAAACAGCAAGCATCTATTAAACTAAAGAAATCAGTGAACTTCAGTTTGTTAGGCCTGGGGAGGGACAGAAAATCCAATGATGAAGGAATTTTTTTTCCTAGAGATTCAAGTAGCCAAGCATACATCTGCTGCTCTGAGCTTCTGTGAATGTGTTCGGAGGGAGGTGATCCATACCACAGGCACCAGCAGCAACAAGGCATCCAGCATGTGGAGGGCTTTTCTACTTCTCTCATGCAGAGAAGAAAGAATACAGCCTCAGTGCCATCCTCTGACACAAATGAACTTGTGTAAATGTCCATTTATGTGTATGTACATAATGTGGCTTAATTCATAGGGTGACAACTGATAACCTGATCCATTTTCAGACTTCATTTGTGACAATGGAGAGTCCAGAGAGACAACCTAGTAAGTGTACCCTAGCTTGAGGTCAGAAAAATGGATGTGTATATAGTGAGTGGGACTGTGGAACAGTGGGGTGGTGGGGAGTTCCTGAGAATCCATAGAGGAATGTCACAGGAAGGGAGTGAGATAGTGGCATAAGGAGAAAAAAAAACATCAGTACAGAAGATTTAAGAGTCTAGAGCTGTACTGTCTATTATGGTAGCCACTAGCCACTTGTGGTTATGAAAATCTCAATTATATGAAATTAAGGATTCAGTTATTCAGTCACTGTTGACCATATTTCAAGTGCTCAAATAGCTACATGTGGCTAGCGACTTCTGCATTGGACAGCACAGATATAGAACATTTCCATCGCTGCAAAAAGTTCTGTTGGATAGTGCTTGTCTGGAGCAGGGGTTGGCAAACTTTCTGTAAAGGGTCAGATAGCAAATATTTTAGGCTTTACACAGGCCATGCAGTCCTTGTTTCAACTGTTCAACTCTGCTGTTGTAGTAAAAATGCATCTATAGATGATAATGTAAATGAATGAGCTTGGCTAGAGCCAATAAAACTATTTTTTTGTTTGTATTTTAAGACAGTTTCATTCTTGTTGCCCAGGCTGGAGTGCAGTGGCAAGATTTCGGCTCATTGCAACCTCCGCCTCCCGGGTTCAAGCGATTCTCCTGCCTCAGCCTCTCAAGTAGCTGGGATTACAAGCATGTACCACCACGCCCGGCTACTTTTGTATTTTTACGGGGTTTCTCCATGTTGGTCAGCCTGGTCTCGAATTCCCGACCTCACGTGATCCGCCCGCCTCAGCCTCCCAAAGTGCTGAGATTACAGGCGTGAGCCACCGCACCTGGCCTGAAATTTGAATTTCATATCATTTTCACATCATGAAATAGTATTTTGATTATTTAACTGTTTAAAAATGTAAAAATCATTCTAGCTCATGGGACATGTTAAAACAGGTGGTGAGCCTGATTTGACCTGTGAGATGCAGTTTGCCAACCCTTGGTCTAGAGGAACAGTAAATCAAAACTTAAGGTTTGTTTACTATGTGGGACATCTGATCACTTGAAAATTTTTAGTGGTTCTTCGAGGCTTGAGAACTTTCTCTGGCTGAAACTTGGAGTTCACTGCAGGAATGTTTACCTTCCTTTGTTCCCTATTTTTGCAGTCTAGTTCTCTCCAATGGCAGAGTCATGCTCCTTCAGTGGGAGATGACTACTGGAATGTTTAATCCTTAATTAAATCATGCCTAAGTCTAAAACACTAAACCCTTCTCTGTCTCCACCTGCTAAGTAGCTGAATCCTCACTTGTAACTTTGTCTAGTATACATTGGAAGTTCGCTGTCACCTGGGATCAGTTCTGCCCCTGTACTGTCTAACAACATGACTATTGGTGGACCAAAGAGAGATTATTTTTCCTAGACCAGAAAGGTTTACTTTTATCTTTAGCTATCAACCCCTCCCCCCACCTTTTTATGACCTCACTTTATCTCCAAGTCACATGCTATCTTGAGTGGCACTGTTGAAGGATGCCCCAGGATAAGGGAAAAAAGGTAAGATAAATGCAAAGCAAAATAAAATGGTCAAGGACACAGGAAGGACATAATAGGGGCTAGGATGTGGGAGGCCTTGAGAATTAAGGTAAATTTGTTTGCTATGGAATGAGATGGAAGTCTTAGGAGGTCGTCATGAATAGATGTTTCACAAGTGAAAGCTGGGTGGGAGGGCTCACTTAAACATGGACTGAATGCCTACTGTGCACTAGATAGTATGCTGGGCAATCAGAGATGAATAGCAGATAAGGAAAAATAAAAGCTACAATCCTTAGAATGGTGGGTTGGAGAAGGACAGAATAAGGTTTTTAGATAATAAAAGGCAACAAGATTTAGTGATAGAGGATGGTGAGGGGAAAAGGGATATATAGAGGGATTAGAAATGGGTGCTTTGGGGAGAAAAGCAAGTGGTAATCCTAAAAGAGAAAGCTGGAGAACAAAGGATAAAAAATTAGGAGGTTGGTACTTTGCTGAACTAAGGGGTAAAATGGATGAAACCATCAGGAGCTGTGATTGCTCTTCTGTTCTTTGTGGATGCCCATGTTCAGATCCCCTACGGCCCTTTCCTCTCTGTGGTTGAAGGACAACTACAGAAGAGGTGTCTTCTGTGTTATAAGGTGCAATACTCCCCCCAGAGACCTCTCTATGAGGAAGTCTGATCCAGCGAGAGTTCTACTGCCCACGAGGGGACAGCGTTAGGTTCGAGCTCTCTAATCCAGGTTTCTTTGAGTTTATCTTGGTTCTAACCGGCACGCCGGGTTTTCCAGCATTCCCTGAGCTAAGACTCCCTAATCTGGGCTCCGGGTGAGCGCGCATTCCGAGACCCAGGATTTCGCTCCTTCATCCAGGTTCCGGGTTTCCCCTGCGCTCACCGGCTCCAGACTCCACACAAGCGCGGAATCCGGATCCGAGGGCCTGGCAGTCCAGTGTCCGCGTCTTCCGGGTGACTCTGGTTGTCCCGGATCGCGGCGGCGGCGGCGGTGGCGGCGGCTGAGGGACCCGCGGCCCCGGACACAGCGGCACCGGCCGGGCGGGGCGGAGAGGCGCGGGGAGGGGGCAGAGAGCCAGAGCCGGAGCCGGAGCCGGAGCCGGGGTGGGGTGGGGGGGAGGGGCCGCGGGAACGGATGGCGGCCTGGGCCCCGTAGCAGCGGCGGCTCTACGGCCCGGGGCCCCGGGCGGGCGGAGGTGGCGGCTCCCGGGACCGGCCGCGCGGTGAGTCCGGAGCTTTGTGTGGAGCCGGGACTGGGGGAGGAAAGAGGCGGCGGCACCGATGGGGCGCGGGGCTGAGGGGATCTGATGGGGGCCGGGGGCGGCGGCGCTGCCTGACGGAGGAAGTGGGGGTTGGGGGGGCTGGGGCGGAGCGAGGGGAAGGTGTGTAGGGGGGGTCGTTGCGTGGGTGGGGGAGGGGGCGTCGAGGGGCGCGGGGTGAAGTTCAAAGCGTGGCCACGGCCGGTTCAGGCTGAGGGTAGGGGTGCCCGGGAGGGGATTAGGGTCTGGCTAGGTTATGGGAGCAGGCCAGAGAGTTTCTGAGGCGAGTCTGGGTATGTTGAGGGCGCTCGGGGCGACTGGGGCCAGTCAGGGAGTTGGCGGGGGAGGGGGGGCGGGGGCGGTGGTGGTTGTTCAGAGCATAGGGTCGGAAGCAGGACGTGTGCGTGACCTAGGAGTGGGGAGCAAGGTGGCTGGGATCCTGCAGTAAGTAGGTTGTGGGTGTGTGCCCCTAACAGTCTTCAGGTCACATTTACTCCTGTCCTTTTCTTCAAGATGGAGGGATCCCTGGGCCTGGACCTCAACTGCTATCCTTGTACCCCCGGGAGGGTTTGTGACCCTATCCTGTTTGGAAAACCCATGCTGCCCTCTTTTCCCTTTATGTGTAATTACGGTTGGATCATCTCTGTGCTTTGCTCAGATTCTCCTTCCTCCCTCTGGGGTTGAGGAGGAGGAGACACATCTGACCAATTAATGTGTGTTTGTGAAACAGGCAGCAGCAAACAGTCATTTCAGCTTCGAGGAATTAGGCTCACACAGGGTGGAGAGATCAGAGCCCTTCAGGGGGAATATTTCTGAACAAATCACGGATGATTAAATTCTCTAAGAAACAGCTCCCTACCTAAATGAGAGTGAGAAAGATAGGGAAGAAAGCCTGTCTGTTTCCAGCCATGTGTCCAGAGCCTAAGGGGTTGAGGAGAGTCCCCAAGCCCCTACAGGCCTCCCTTTTCTGTATTAGGCTTTGCTCTGCAGCCTTGAGTTAATTTCACCCCTGCTGCTTTGTCTTGGGGGAGGGAGTGCTGGTTTAGGCTGTTGTGAGGAGATGACTGTTCTGCTGCCACACACAATAGTCGTGTCATTTTATCGGGAGCGCTACCCCAGGGCTGAGAACTGCTGCAGCAGAGATAAACCGGTCCCTCTCACCCGCCTATTGTGTACACAGTGAAGGTCATAGGTTCAAGTCTTGTCTGAGAGCTTTGGATATGCTCCATCTCCCAGGCTCCTCAGTGCCATTTTCTTCCTTTTCCAGACTGGGGCTTGCCATTGGAGGAGGCCAGAGAGAAAGGCTCTTCTTTTTGAGTGAGGAACAATGCAGAGCTCATTGGCACACATTTTTCAGAAGAATAAGGGATGCCAGCCATGTTGTGCCTGCCTCTTTGGCTAGCCTGTACTAAGTTGTGAAGGAATAGTGTCTGGTAGACTCAACTACGATGTTTGTTTCAGACCCTTAAGGAAGAAGACTTCAAGGGAAGGTTCTACTCTTAGTTGAATCATCATATTTAATTCTTTTATATGAATGGAACACTCATGCAGTGATTTTTGTTTGTTTCCGAATACCACTAAAAACCTGTGCAGTGTTAAGATGGGGAGTCAAGCCCAGGTGTGGTGGCTCATGCTTGTAATCTTGGCACTTTGGGAGAATGAAGCCAGAGGATGGCTGGAGCCCAGGAGTTTAAGACCAGCCTGGGCAACAAAGCAAGACCCTGTTTCTTTAAAAATAAAAAATAAAAAAGTCAAGAACCAAGTACCTTTTTAATGGTGGCTTCCTGGTCAATAATAATAGCACAACAAAAAAGCCACAGAATTTGCCTATCTGGGCAAGGGCTGTGGGAACAAACCTTTCAATATTTATTTTAACTCTAATGAAAGGACATGAGTTGCTCATTGTGCAAAAGTCTATATCTGCCTCTGTATTAAGAAATTTGCCAAAGAAATAAACATTTTTGAAAAAATGTATGGGTCTTAGGGATTATTAGTGAGAGAAGGATGAGAACAAACTAGAAGGAATCCTATTGTACATATCTGATAGAAGTGCTCAAATAATATTTATGTACTATTAGTTGTGTAAAAAATTATTTGGGACCAGGCATGGTGCTCACACCTGTAATCCCAGCACTTTGGGAGGCTGAGGCAGGAGGATCACTTGAGCCTAGGAGTTTGAGAGTGGCCTGGGCAACATAGTGAGAACTCATCTCTACAAAAATTTAAAAAAATACAGCTAGCTGGGCATAGTGGCACATGCCAGTGGTCCCAGCTACTCAGGAGGCTGAGGTGGGAAGATCGCTTGAGTTCAGGAGTTCGAGACCAGCTTGGGCAACATGGCAAAACCCCATCTCAACAAAAAATATAAAAAATGTTAGCTGGGTGTAGTGGCATACGCCTGTGGTCCCAGCTTCTTGGGAGGCTGAGGTAGAAAGATCTCGTTGAGCCCAGGAGGTTGAGGCTGCAGTGAGCTGTGATTGCACCGCTGTACTCCAGCCTGGGTGATAGAGCAGGACCTTGTCTTTAAAAAAAAAAAAAAAAAATTTGGGGCCTGGAAAAGAGGTTTCCATTTAGGACATTAAATACAACTTTTCTTTAAAAAGAGATTAGAAGTAAAACTCATTGTGAGTGGGGAATTGTATATAATGTGCTGTGTACACAATAGCCAATCATTTCCCATAGGATAGTGTTGAATAAGAACTTTAGCCTTTGGTTTTGGTAAAGGTCTTTCTGAGGCAATTAGTCTGTCTATGGTGCCTCCCTTATCCTTTTATTTCAGTGAGTTTCTTTAAATGATGGCCTGCCACTGAGGTGTTGGGCCTTTGATAGGAGGGAACAGGTTGTTCTGACCTTTATATATTTTTTGATAACAGAACTGTCTTCAGGCCTTACTGGAGGTGTTGTCTGTCTTTAGACTATTTCCAACTCTGTGTCCTAGGAATATTTGAGTGAAGCCTCAGCTAAACTGAGTCCAAAGCTTTTTGCTCTTGGGCTCTTGGCATTTATTTCTGAATGCTGTCAGGTGACAGTGAAGGCAGAAGCCTCAGATTAAATTTGTCCTGATTAGATTTAGTGGCTTCAGAGTTGGGCCCTTGCCACAAGGAATCTCATGTGAGTCTTCTGATTGTGACCATCATTCAAAGAGTGCTTTGGATTCCCCCCCAACTACCCGTCCCAGCTTCTTGGTAGAAAAAAATTTCCTTGTGATAGAAGTCTAGAAAGTTGGACAGATTAGTGCTTATTTTGTGAGGATATGGAGGCATAATTTTGGCTCCTGGTAGCAATTATGTTGCAATTAGCATATAGCAACTAAATGACTGGAACACGATAATTTGTTGAGGGGTTTACTGATTGCTCTGTCAAGTGGAAGTGCCACTCCTTATTTATTTTATTTATTTGACTCAGAACACTATTGCCTGAGCTTAGCCATGGAGGCTAAGTATAGCAATGATATGTGTTCTCCAGAAGTTCCCACTCTGCTTCCTCTTTGTAGTTACTTCTTTTCCAGGTACCTTAGTACTTGTACTGCCCTTTTCTCCTACTCTGAAGGTAGCTAAGCAATTGTTATTTCCCTCATGGAAAACTGGTCATGGATGGGAATACTGCCAGGCAGATGGGATTAGCCTGAGATGAGGCAGCCTTATATTGTGTGGGAAGTTTTCTTTTCAGTCTCTTAATTCTCTCTTCTACTTGATTTTTCAAAATCAGTTTCCTTTAAAGAAAACAAACAAAAACCCCACAAAATGCAAAATATCGTAATGTATTAAATATGCCTTCATGATACCTCTGTTATAAAAGTTGTCTGTGACAGACAAAATGAAGATAGGTGATGTTGATTGGCAGGTTCTGGGTCCACTAAGTGTCAGTGAAGGACTCTTTTCGCTAGGGAACAGGTAATTCACCAAAGCACCTGCCTAGCTGGGCATGTGGAATTGGCAGCAGCTGTGTAGCTGAAGAGGGATTACTGAGCAGGTGGTTGAAGAATCACATGCCACAGTGACAAGAAAATACTTGGTCTTCCGTGGGTTAGATTCAGTTTGTATGTGTGAAATTGCACTTTGTTTCACATTTCTTAATGCTTGTTGATTTGTTAGTAAGATGGTAATAGAATAGAGAAAGAGATTCTTCTGTAACTGTGGTTTTTTAGATCACTCAGTAGCATGCCCTAGACATGGCCCTACACGGCTCTATTGTATTTATGGGAGTTCTGGCTTTATGCTTTGTGCATGGGAGGGAAATAGTGGTAATTCAGTGTTTCTAGTACTTGTTTATTAAAGGGAAATGGGAAGGAGAAAATTTCTTGCTTTCAGTATGGTGAAAAAGATTTAGCCTACTGGGTGGATACCTAATAGGTTTTATGCAAATGATGTAATTGACTTTTTGTGGAAGTCTACCTGACATGCCTTACTCAAGTGATTTTGCATGTGTTTTTATATTATGTTTTTATATTATGAATATATTTCCCCACATGAAGTTTGCATCTCTTCGGTTGTTTATTTGTTTGTTTGTTTGTTTTTCTTTTTTGAGACGGAGTTTCGCTCCTGTGGCCCAGGCTGGAGTGTAATGGTGCGATCTCGGCTCACTGCAACCTCTGCCTCCCAGGTTCAAGCAATTGCTTGCGTCAGCCTCCTGAATGGCTGGGTCTACAGGCGCCCACCACCATGCCCAGCTAATTTTAGTATTTTTAGTAGAGATGGGGTTTCATTATGTTGGCCAGGCTGCTGTAGAGCTCCTGACCTCAGGTGATCCACCCACCTCGGCCTCCCAAAGTGCTGGGATTACAGGTGTGAGCCATCATGCCCTGCCAGTTGTTTTTTTCAATTTTTAGTTTCTCCCAGCACCTTTGTAACTCTTTTCCCTGACATTGACATTAACATCACTTGTTAGAACCAAGTCATCACCAGAAGAAATGATGTTAAGGAACATCACCACTAAATATTTATCTTAAAAACGGATATAGGCCGGGCGCAGTGGCTCATGCCTGTAATCCCAGCACTTTGGGAGGCTGAGGCGGGCAGATCACCTGAGGTCAGGAGTTTGAGACCAGCCTGGCTGACATGGTGAAACTCCATCTCTACTAATAATACAAAAATTAGCCAGGCTTGGTGGTGCACTCCTGTAATTCCAGCTACTCGGGAGGCTGAGGCAGGAGAATCGCTTGAACCCGGGAGGTGGAGGTTGCAGTGAGCTGAGATTGCGCCATCGCACTCCAGCCTGGTCAACAAGAATGAAACCCTGTCTCAAAAAAAAAAAAAAAAAAAAAAAGTTAGCGGGGGGTATAGCATTTCCTATAACTTGGGAAAAGACTATTTGAGGTTTTCTGAAAATTCAGATTTTTTAATAGATTATCATCTTCTGTTAATATGATTTTCTCTTTCATATGTTTGTGCCACTATAATAGGAATGCCATAGAGCCTAAAACTTGTAAGCAAGTAACTTTGTGTTTATTTTCTGACCTTTTTAGTGCCTTCCATTCATTTTCTATATTAGGCCAACAGGTTGTGTGCCCCTTCTCTTGAAACACATACACACACGACCTAATGGAATTCACAGGGTACTAATTAACGGATGATTGAAGAGAAATGAGCCATATGAACTGTTTTAAAGTTCAGAAATCTCTTTCCCACAGCCCAAGTGGAGTGAAGGCTCTTTGAGGGAAAGTGAGGCCAGACTATGACTCAGGTCAGGGCCTATGGAGCACTGCATAGATGGGGACATTTGCAGTGATCTACCTAAAGCTAAGCTAGCTTTAAGTGGAAGTCTAGCGACAGCAGTTAATTGTTTAGTATTCACTTCTAGGAAAGAATGTCAAGTTCTTGATTTCCTCATACGAAGCTATGGCAGTTTTTTATGTTTGTTTTATTAAAACTGTTCACAAACCACTTATGCTTTCCTAGCACTCTCAGTAGTTTGCTTCCTTTTACCTTTCCCCCACCCCCATCTCTTATCCCACTTCCCTACCCTGAAGACTTCTCTAGCAGCTTGGAAACACTCTAATTACTGTAGCTATTATAGTCACAACCCAGATCCTCCACCTCCTTCTCTCTCACCCCTTTCTTTCTTCCCCCCTCCCCTTGCTCTAGCAGCAGGAGTTGAACTGCAGTCTCATGAGCACAGTCAGATCTATGAATGAGCTTTATATCTTGTCAAGGCAGAACTCCAGATCCAACAGGGCTAATTTTTCATGGTTCTCTTGCTGTTTGTTCTTGGATCAGAGTCCCAGAAATAAGAGATGGCAAATACCTGTCAGGTCATATCTAGTCCATCACTCAGGGGCAAACCTAGGATTTTTCTCTTGTCTCTGTGAGAAATTTTTCCTTCTTTCTTTTGCAGGTGAGAGCTGTCTGATGCCAGACAAGCTCTGAAACTGCCTTCTTTTTATTGTGTTCTCTGGTCATTAGTGTCTGGCCAACTTCTTTGGGGTTTTTTTCTTTTTTAATTCCATTTTTCAGGAATACTTCCTCCCAGCAATATCTCTACCCCTTCTTCAGTCCTTTCTTCTTGATTGTGGGCATCACCTTTGTGGATTCCTTTTGTACCATCAGTTATCTATGCCAGAAGTATCACTTTTCTGACCTTTGCCACAAGTGTCACTGTGGCCTGCTTTTAAGGAGGTACATTTGATGAAAACACAGGACATAAATTCTAGCAGGTGGTAATTAATAAAATACTTTAGAAAACATGTGCCTTAGCCCGGTGCGGTGGCTTACGCCTCTAATCTAAGCACTTTGGGAGGCCGAGACGGGCGGATCATGAGGTCAAGAGATCGAGACCATCCTGGCCAACATGGTGAAATCCTGTCTCTACTAAAAATACAAAAATTAGCTGGGCATGGTGGCGCACGTCTGTAGTCCCAGCTACTCGGGAGGCTGAGGAAGGATGATTGCTTGAATCTGAGAGATGGAGGTTGCAGTGAGTGGAGATCGTGCCACTGCATTCCAGTCTGGCAACAGAGCAAGGCTCTGTCAAAAAGAAAAAAGAAAATATGTGCCTTAAGTAACCCCTGTACTATATGAACAAATGTTGCTTCTTCTGTTCTAACACTTCTCTTTATGTGGATGAAATTTTATTTTTCTGTGTCTTTGTTACAGTTAAGATATTGTCTAAGAGTGTTATGTTTTCTTTACTAGTATGCTTTTTTTTTTTTTCTTTTTTGAGGCAGGGCCTTGCTCTGTCACCAGGCTGGAGCATAGTGACACAATCACGATCACAGCTCACTGCAGGCTCAACCTCCTGAGCTCAAGCAATTCTCCTACCTCAGCCTCCCAAGCAGTTGGAAGTACAGGCAGGCGCCACCACACCCAGCTAATTTTTTTTTCCTCCCTCCCTCCCCTTCCTCTCCTTCCTCTCTTTCCTTCCTTCCTTCCTCCTTTCCTTTCCTTTCCTTTCTTTTCTTTTCTTTTCCTTCCTTCCTTCCTTCATTTTCTCCTCTCTCCTCCTCCTTCTGCTTCTCCTTCCTTAAGACAGGGTCTCACTCTGTTGCCTAGGCTGGAGTGCAATGGTGCAATCACAGCTCATTCCAGCCTCAATGCCACCACACCTGGCTAATTTTTTTGTGTGTTTTTTTTTGTTTCGCTGCATTGCCCAGGCTTGTCTTGAACTCCTGGGCTCAAGCCATCCTCCCACCTTGGCCTCCCAAAGTGCTGGGATTATAGGCATGAGCCACTGTGACCAGCCCAATTTTTAAATTGTTTTTGTAGAGATGGAGTCTCACTATGTTGTGTGCCACTGCACTCCAGTCTGGTTGCCCAGGCTGGTCTCAAATTCCTGGACTCAAGCAGTCCTCCTTCCATGGTTTCCCAAAGTGCTGGGACTACAGACATGAGCCACAATGCCTGGCTAGTATAGCTTTTCAAAGAATAGAGGGGAAAAAATCATAGAATTGAGAGTCATAAAACCCAGATTCTGATCATTACTGTGCCTCTAATTAGCTGTTTGTCCTTGTGCAAGTCATGCCCCTGTTTTCATGTGCCTCATCTGTGAAATGAACACATTAGACAGGATGATCACTGCGGTTCCATTTAGCTGTAGAATATCATGATACCAAGATTGAGAGTCAGGTTGACACTTGTAGTCCTAGCACTTTGGGAGGCTGAGGCAGGAGGATCACTTGAGCCCAGGAGTTGGAGACCAGCCTGGGCAACAGAGAGGCCTCATATCTTAAAAAAAAAAAAAAAAAAAACAACACAATTCAGCCTGGCCAACATGGTGAAACCTTGTCTCTACTAAAAGTACAAAATTAGCCGTGTGTGGTGGCACATGCCTGTAATCCCAGCTACTTGGGAGGCTGAGGCAGGAGAATCGCTTAAACTTGGGAGGTAGAAGTTGCAGTGAGCCGAGATCAAGCCATTGCACTCCAGCCTGGGCAACAAGAGATAAATTCCATTTCAATAAATACGTAAATAATTAGCCAGGTGGTGTGCACTGTGGTCCCAGCTCTTCAGGAAGCAGAGATGGGAGGATCGCTTGAGCCCAGGAGGTCGAGGCTGCAGTGAGCTGTGATCTCACCACTGCAATTCAGCCTTCACTCGCACAGAGCAAGACCCTATTTCCAAAAAAAAAAAAAAAAAAAAAAAAAGATTATGGTGGAAGAACAGGACAAAAATATTTAACATAAGTGAGCATCTTTTTTTTTTTTATTGCTGGTCAAAAATATAGCCGGTATTCAGAAGGGCTAATGAGTGCAATTTCAGTTCCCTGGGGCTTGACTCTCATACTCTTTGATTTGTTTGGAAGGCTGTACTTTTATTAGGCCATCTTTTTTTGGAGGGTTTTGTAGCCTCATTCTGCAGGCTCACCAACTTGCCGCATATATCTTTTTCTAGTGTGCTTAAAACATAGGAGTGGAAATCAGAAAGCTGCAAAAAAGGCTGGCCTGGCTTGGTGGCTCACGCCTGTAATCCTAGCACTTTGGGAGGCCGAGGCGGGTGGATCAGCTTGAGGTCAGGAGTTGAGAAAGCTGCAGAAAAGGAACCTTAGCTTGTGAGAAGGAAGTTGTACCTGGAAGGATTTGCCATCTATCAATAAGAAGTAACTTTGTAAATTCAGTCAAGGATCTAATAATCTATTATATCTGAAATCTGGGAGCTAAATTGGACTGATTATGGAGGTTAGTTGGATATTTTTCCACTTTTGACTAGTCAGTAGAAATTCCACTTTGAATTAACTTCTTGGGACTGAGTACAAGTTGAGTTGCCCACAGTGTTTTGTTCGGAAAATAAAATTATGTTGTTATTTATTTATTTTTGACAGGGTCTTACCCAGCCTTGACCTAGTGGGTTCACCTCAGCCTTCCAAGTAGCTGGGACTACAAAAGTGTGCCACCATGCTTGGTTAATTTTTGTAATTTTTTTTGTAGAGATGATGGTTTGCCATGTTGCTCAGGCTAGTCTTGAGCTCCTAGGCTCAAGCCATCCTCCTGCTTCAGCCTCCCAAAGTGGTGGGATTACAGGTTTGAGCCACTGCACCCAGCCAATTACGTTATTTTTAATGCTGAAAATGCACGTTGATGACATTTGCCGAAGTATGACGAACAAGGGGGTATCTCTGAAATACCCTCCTAAAAGAGACGAGAAATGAAAAGCTGGTTGGTAAGTGTTTCAGGAACTTTCAGATTGAGAGTAATGTTAGGAAGTATTTGCTTTCAAGCAGTTTTTTTTTTCTTTTTGAGATGAAGTCGCTCTGTTGCCCAGGCTGGAGTGCGTTGGCGTGATCTTGGTTCACTGCAACCTCCACCTCCAGAGTTCAGGCGATTCTCCTGCCTCAGCCTCCTGAGTAGCTGGGATTACAGGCGTGTGCCACCATGCCTGGCTAATTTTTGTATTTTTAGTAGAGATGGGGTTTCACCATGTTGTTCAGGCTGGTCTCGAACTCCTGACCTCATGATCCACCCGCCTTGGCCTCCCAAAGTGTTGGGATTACAGGCGTGAGCCACTGCACCCGGCCTCTTTCAAGCAGTTTTAAGGAAATAAAATTACACAGCCAAGTTGTTAATTCCCCATATTAGGATTTTTATCAGCATTTTTCAGTTAATTATTTGATCTGGGACTTCGAGTAGCAGCTATTAATACTTATTGAATAGTAAGAGGATGCTGGTCTTTTAGTCTTCTGTTGTTGTTAACATAGCAAAATCATAGGTTTAATCTACCTTTGAACATTGGAAATAATGTTCACTGTTTTCAGATTTGTACTTAAAACATCTGTTGGTCCAGGCACGGTGGCTCACACCTGTAATTCCCGCACTTTGAGAGGCCAAGGCTGGCGGATCAGTTGAGGCCAGGAAGAGACCAGCCTGGTGAACATGGTGAAAGCCCGTCTCTACTAAAAATACAAAAAAATAAGTTAGGCGTGGTGGCATATGCCTGTAATCCCAGCTACTCAGGAGGCTGAGGCATTAGAATCATTTGAACCTGGGAGGCAGAGGTTGCAGTGAGCTGAGATTGCCCCCCTGTACTCTAGCCTGGGTGACAGAGCAAAATTGTGTCTTTAAAAAAAAAAAAAAATTCTATTGGTCTGGAGTAGAAAAATTTGGTAGGCAAAACTTGTTTGTTTTGGATCATTAAAAAGTCCTGAGAGTGCCTTGCTTTATTCCCAGCCATCTATAGCACATTACTAATTTTTAGTTCATCTAAAGGTTATTTGGGGAAGTGTTCCACTTGAATGTGAGATTTTAGAATGATTTATATTAGAAATATAAGTAGTTTGTTTTTTGTTTTTTTTGTCCCCCCAAGATGGAGTTTCTCTTTGTTGCCCAGGCTGGAGTGCAGTGGCACAGTCTTGGCTCACCGCAACTTCCGCCTCCCGGTTTCAGGCGATTCTCCTGCCTCAGCCTCCTGAGTAGGTGGCATTACAGGCATGCGGCACCACGCCTGGCTAATTTTTTATTTTTAGTGGAGATGGGGTTTCTCCATGTTGGTCTGGCTGGTCTCGAACTCCCAAACTTAGGTGATCCGCCAACCTCGGCCTCCCAAAGTGCTGGGATTACAGGCATGAGCCACCATACCCGGCCAATATAAGTAGCTTTTTCTTTGTTTTTGTTTTTGTTTTGTTTGTTTGAGATGGAGTCTTGCTCTGTCACCCAGGCAGGAGTGCAATGGCACAATCTCAGCTAACTGCATCCTCAGCCTCCTGGGTTCAAGTGATTCTCCTGCCTCAGCCTCCCGAGTAGCTGGTATTATAGGTGTCTGCCACCACGCCCAGCTAATTTTTGTATTTTTTAGTAGAGATGGGGTTTCCCCATGTTGGTCAGGCTTGGTCTCAAACTCCCAACCTCAGGTGATCCACCCGCCTCGGCCTCCCAAAGTGCTGGGATTACAGCCGTGAGCCACCACACCCGGCCTATAAGTAGTTTTTATAGATGGTTTAAAAAAAGTGTGAAGTGCAGCATGGGGGTTGGATTGCAAAGTAGCCAAAGTGGGTACCACGAAACCTTTGGCTATCATACCACAGCATGAAATCCAGATGAGGCAGTTAGTCCATATTGCATGCTGGTACCACATTTCATGCTGGTACCTATAGTTTCTTAGACTGTAGTTCAGTATTTGTGGAGAAAGACAGCAGTGTCTGCTCTATCCTGTGTACAAAGTACAGCTAGTGTGGTCTTGGGATATTATCAGCAGCATACCTAGCAACATTCCTAGGTGGGCACTTTGTGTCTGGTTGAGATGAATTTTCATTCATATGAATAGAAGTGAATGTTCATGAATATAAGACGGGTGCGGTGGCTCTTCCTTGTAATCCCAACACTTTGGGAGGCCGAGGCTGGAGGATCACGTGAGCCCAGGAGTTCAAGGCCAACCTGGACAACATAGACCCCATCTCTACAAAAAATTTGAAAACCTGCCATGGTGGCACACTCCTGTAGTTCCAGCTACATGGGAAGTGGATCACTTGAGCTTGGGAGGTTGAGGCTGCCGTGAACTGTGATCATGCCACTTTACTCCAGCCTGGGCAGCAGTGAGACCCTGTCTCAAAAATAATAAAAAAAATAAAGACCAAGAATATACCTTGTAAATTTCAGCTACAAATTCTGAAATTCGGTGTAAAGCTCAGCATTTATCTGTTTTGGAACAGATGCTTCTAGAGCAGAGTTCTAAAGAATGGTATCAAAAATGAAACTATAAGAAAAGACATGGAATTGTAAAGCTTATGACATATATATCTGAAGGGTAAGGAAGGGAAGAAATTTGTTTCTACTTGGCATATGCTTTCAGATGTACTTCCCGTTCATAATTTGAAACCCGCCTATGCTTTTCTCCTTGAAGCATTGCTGTTCTTCCAGTTGCTTTGGCTTAAAACTTTTGACTCATATTTGGTTCTTTTTTTTTTTTTTTTTTTTTTTTGGAGACAGAGTCTTGCTCTGTCGCCCAGGCTGGAGTCCAGTGGTGTGGTCTCGGCTCACTGCAACCTCTGCCTCCTGGGTTCAAGCGATTCTCCTGCCTCAGCCTCCCAAGTAGCTGGGATTACAGATGCCCACCACCATGCTTGGCTAATTTTTGTATTTTTAGTAGAGACAGGATTTCACCATGTTGGCCAGGCTGGTCTCGAACTGCTGACCTCGTGATCTGCCTACCTCGGCCTCCCAAAGTGCTGGGATTACAGGCATGAGCCACCGCGCCTGGCCTCATATTTGGTTCTTTTTTTCGTCCTCACCACCTCATCTGAATCATTCACCAAATTACGTATCTAAGCATTCACTAATTGGATAGCCTGACATTTAGCCTCACTAGTTAGCCTTTTTCTTTTTTTTTGAGACAGAGTCTTGCTCTGTCACCCAGACTGGAGTGCAGTGGTGCGATATCGGCTTACTGCAACCTCCACCTCCTGGGTTCAAGCGATTCTCCTGTCTCAGCCTCCCAAAGAGCTGCGATTACAGGTGCATTTCACTACGCCCAGCTAATTTTTGTATTTTTTTGAGATGGAGTCTCAGTCTGTCGCCCACACCCCGTCTCAGTGCAGTGGCGTGATCTCGGCTCACTGCAACCTCTGCCGCCCAGGTTCAAGCAATTCTCCTGCCTCAGCCTCCCGAGTAGCTGTGATTACAGGCGCCTGTCATTGCACTCGGCTAATTTTTGTATTTTTAGTAGAGATGGGGTTTCACCATCTTGGCCAGGCTGGTCTTGAACTCCTGACCTTGTGATCCACCTGCCTCGGCCTCCCAAAGTGCGGAGATTACAGGCGTGAGCTACCGTGCCTGGCCAATTTTTATATTTTTAGTAGAGACGGGGTTTCACCATCTTGGCCAGGCTGGTCTCGAACTCCTGACCTCAGGTGATCCTCCCGCCTCGGCCTCCCAAAGTGCTGGGATTACAGGCGTGAGCCACCACACCTGGCCTAGCCTCACTTTTTTTTTTTTTTGAGACTGAGTTTTGCTCTTGTTGCCCAGGCTGGAGTGCAATGGCACAATCTCGGCTCACTGCAACCTCTGCCTCCCAGGTTCAAGCAATTCTCCTGCCTCAGCCTCCCGAGTAGCTGGGATTACAGGCGTACGCCACCATGCCTGGCTAATTTTGTATTTTTAGTAGCGACGGGGTTTCTCCATGTTGTTCATGCTGGTCTCGAACTCCCGACCTCAGGTGATCCGCCTGCCTCAGCCTCCCAAAGTGCTGGGATTACAGGTGTGAGCCTGGCCTCACTTTTTAATCTGACCTAGTTCAGGTCTTCATCTTCTATATATTATTGCAATAACCTCATGGTTATTGCCTTTTTTTGTATTGCATACTACATACAACTGCTGTATTATAATTTTTATTTACTCATTTAGGTAATATTTACTGGGCACTTATATGCCAGGCCACACATAGTCTTGTCCTGTTTGGACTTGTAGTCTAGTGGGAGAGACAATTAATGAATTTATGATTATGAACTAAAGTGCTCTGAAAGATAAGAATTTTGTTCTAGAAGAGTGTGTGCAAATAAAGCCAGCGTAGACCTTTAAAATTACAATTTTGATCATTTTGCTTCTTTCTATAAAATCTTCGATGGTTCCCATTGCCTACATAGGTCAATATTCAAGGTTCTTTATGATTTGACCAAACCTGGCCTTCCTCAACCTTATTTCATATTTTTCATTTTATCCATATCTTTTTTGTTGTTTGTTTTTAAGATACGGGCTCTTGCTATGTTTCCCTGGCTGGCCTCAAACTCCTGGGCTCAAGTGACCTCCTACCTCAGCCTCCCAAATAGCTGAGATTACAGGCCTGTGCTAGCATACCCAGTTTATCCTTTTTTTTTTTTTTTTTTTTTTTACAGCTATTCCTCTAAGTTACCCTGCATTTTTCAGTCTCCATTTCTTAGGGTTTTTTTTTCTCTTCTGTTCTGTTGGAATGCACTACCTTGCTCCCAGGACAGTTAACTCCCAAATCTAACCATTCCTTCAACTTAGCAAAAAAATTTCCTTCCTGAAGCCTTTCTTATCCCACTTCTTCCTATCCACCTATCTCCAGAATTGATTTCATCCTCCTCTTTATCTCTAACTTTTTGCTGGGATCTCTGTTGTAGTACTTTATCACATGTTGTCTTTTTTTTTTTTTTTTTTTGAGACGGAGTCTTACTCTGTCACCCAGGCTAGAGTGCAGCGATCTTGGCTCACTGCAACCTCCACCTCCCAGGTTCAAGCGATTCTCCTGCCTCAGCCTCCCGAGTAACTGGGATTACAGTTGCCCGCCACCGCGCCTGGCTAATTTTTGTATTTTAGTAGAGACGGGGTTGAGTTTCACCATCTTGGCCAGGCTGGTCTCGAACTCCTGACCTCGTGATCCACCTGCCTTGGCCTCCGAAAGTGCTTGGATTACAGGCATGAGCCACCGCGCCCAGCCCGCATGTTGTCTTTAACTGTAATTATTTGTGAATATATTTTCTTCATCCCTCATTTTAAGCTCGTGAGATACCTGTGTCTCCTCTGTTCCGTAAACTCTTAGCCCAGTGCTTCTTTGAATATAACTTTATGCTTAATTAATGCTTGATGAATTGAATTAGAACTTGATTCTTGAAAAAAGAAATTGTGATTTTTTTAGACTTCTTTTTATGCAAAAGTAACGTAACTTCCATTCAACACATTTTATCCCAAATTGAATAAACTAGGGAAAAGGCAGACGGTGAATGCCTTGAGAAATTGTTCAGATTCAAGGACAAGCATTTGTTGCCTTTACTGCATATGACTGTACTGTGGTTCCATACATCCGAGCTGATAGAAAACTTGCAGCAAGGGTCTAGTGGTGATGCATGGCAGGTGGAGGTGAGATAAATTTAGTCACAGGAACCAAATTGGTTCTGCTAGGGCAATATAGGCATTGTTGGGCCATCTGGGTGTGGTTGACTTCTGGGAGGTCTTTTTAGTTTTTCTTTCTCACTTCATTCCATAAATATTTATTGGATGCCCTGTTCTAGTTGTTTAAGATCAATGAACAAAATAGACCAAAAAAAAAAAATCAACCTCATGGATATTATCTTTGAATAGGAGATAGAAATAAACATAATAATATATAAAATTAGAAAGGTAATATATGATATGGGGAAAAGTACAGCAGGATAAGGAGAATTGGGAGTGGAAAAGAGGGTTAGGTAGGAGAGGTGGGAGGGGTTGCAACCCTAAATAAGATGGTTAAAGTAGAGATCTTTGAGAAATGTTGTGTTACTGGGTTGTTAGGCACTTCCCTGAGATTAGTGGATTCTCTTCTGCCCAGCAGAGAGAAAGGCAATGTCTACAGTTGTTCCAGAGTCCAGCTGACACTGAGGAGAAATAGCTACTCCTTATGTTCTTTTCTCCTGTCTGCTCCTCTTGCTGGCATCACTGGAAGTTAACTGGGGTGAAAATTGCAGTCAGTCTTGTCTGGAAGACAGCAGGGGTGGAACTAGAGACCTTCTAACCCAGTTCCCTGAGGGGTGGGATTTACCCTTCTGCTGACTGAGCCTTGGTTGCCTGGAGTGATGGGTGAGGTAGGCCTCTGACTTTTTTCCTTCCTCAAAGGGAGAAGCCCAGTATCATAACCTTCTCTCTTCTTAGTGAGGCCTCAGCAACTTTATTTCAGGTAGCTCTTTAAAAATAAGCTTTCAAAGAGTGTGTGCTATGCGCCTGGCCTAAAGCGTGAATTTTCAGGTTTTTGGTGCTTTGACTTCCTCTCAACACATTAGCTGTGTTTTGGAAGTCTCAGTACCTAATTTCAGCAGCCTAAAGATGAAGTTTTCTTATGTCTAGATGCTCTCTTGTTTGAATTGCACATTGTAAATTTATTTGTTTATTCCCTTGCTTACTCTTCTCTTTCTTTTTTTTTTTTTTTTTTTTTTGAGACGGTGTCTTGCTTTGTTGCCTAGGCTGGAGTGCAGTGGCGTGATCTTGGCTCACTGCAAGCTCTGCCTCCCCGGTTCAGGCCATTCTCCTGCCTCAGCCTTCCAAGTAGCTGGGACTACAGGCGCCTGCCCCCACACCCAGCTAATTTTTTGTATTTTTAGTAGAGATGGGGTTTCACCGTGTTAGCCAGGATGGTCTCGATCTCCTGACCTCGTGATCCGCCGGCCTCAGCCTCCCAAAGTGCTGAGATTACAGGCGTGAGCCACCACGCCTGGCCTGCTTTACTTACCCTTTTCTAACTCTTCTACTTCATTATTTTTCTTGTTACCCTTTCCCTTTTCTCCTTTCATGAAGCTGATAGGAAACAGAAGTCCCTTAGGCCAGACAGCTATTTAGGTAATTGGCTAGAAGCTAAAATGTATACCTAATATGCAAGCAATGGAATGGAATGTCTTATTTCCTTTTTTTTTTTTTTCTTTTTTTTGAAACAGAGTCTCGCTCTGTCACCCAGGCTGGAGTGCAGTGGCGCGATCTCAGCTCACTGCAACATCTAACTCCCAGGTTCAAGCAAGTCTCCCACCTCAGCCTCCCGACTGGCTGGGATTACAGGCATGCGCCACCGCGCCCAGCTAATTGTTATGGTTTTGGTAGAAACGGGGTTTTACCATGTTGGCCAGGCTGGTCTTGGAACTCCTGACATCAGGTGATCCACCCACCTCAGCCTCCCAAAGTGCTGGGATTATAGGCATGAGCCACTGTGCCTGGCTGCATATCTTATTTCTGTCCACATGTTATATTGGATTCAGCTTGTGGACATCAAGCTCTCAGCCTGTTACACTATATGCCATTTGATGTAGCTGAGGATATATTGGGACCCATTTACTCTGTTTTTGGTTATTTATACCACCAGCTTGTGTAGTTTCAGTACACAAGAAGACCTATTTGCCATTTTGTAAAAATGTGGTCTTTTTCATATTTAATTTTAGAATAAAGGTGTGTGTGTGTGTGTGTGTGTGTGTGTGTGTGTGTGTGTGTCTGTTTAAAGAGGTGGGGTCTTGCTGTGTTGCCCAGGTTGGAGGACAGTGGCTATTCACAGGTGTGATCATAAGTGTGCCATGGCCTCAAACTCATAGGCTTGAGCTGTCTTCCTACCTCAGCCTCCCAGGTAGCTGGGACTACAGGCACATGGCACTGCACCTGGCAGAATAAATGAACTTTTTTTTTTTGAGACGGAGTCTCACTCTGTTGCCCAGGCTGTGGTGCATTGTTGCGATCTCGGCTCACTGCAACCTCTGCCTCCTGGGTTCAAGTGAGTCTCCTGCCTCAGCCTTCCAAGTAGCTGGGATTACAGGTGCCTGCCACCAAGCCCGGCTAATTTTTGTATTTTTAGTTTTTAGTAGAGACAGGGTTTCACCATGTTGGCCAGGCTGGACTCAAACTCCTGACCTCAAGTGATCCCCCACTTCCCAGACTCCCAAAGCACTGGGATTACAAGTATGAGCCACCACATGGCCAGAATAAATGAATTTTGTGGTGAACTCAGATCCATACTAAGGAAAAATCTATTACTTTTAAGCAGACAGAGTTCTAATATTGGGTGGTCTTCTGGGCAGATTTTATATTACCTTTCTCTGGGAGGGTTTGCTGTATATCAAACTTGAAGTCATACATTCTCCCTACCTATGCTTAAGTAGTACATAACATATTACTGATATTGTGAATTTTAAAGCCAGCAGCTGTTAATCCAAGTGTATGTTGTTGTTTTCTTTAGTGGTTGAAAGGATATCAGTTTAACTGACCAAACTGTATTGCTTTTATTAGTAAGAGAACTTGAACATAGCTTGTTTGCTGCTGTTTACTTAATAATGTTTCTGTGGTTTGTGTTAGTAGGCCCTTCCAGTTGCAGAGCTAGAAATCTAGGCAATGTGGATTTCAGATGAGTTTCGTAACACTATCTGACACAGTGGGAAGTTCAAGGAAGTATCTGGCAATATTATTTTTCTTATGGAGCCTTTCCATAAGAAAGAAATTCAGTTATAACAAGGTCACATTTGGGTAGGTGACATAATGGTGAAATGACATTTTCTGCCAATAACAAAACCTATATATTGTACCTGTGTGATTTTTTTTTTTTTTTTTTTTTTTTTGAGACAGAGTCTCGCCCTGTTGCCCAGGCTGGAGTGCAGTGGCGCAATCTCGGCTCACTGCAAGCTCTGCCTCCCGGATTCACACCATTCTCCTGCCTCAGCCTGCCAAGTAGCTGAGACTACAGGTGCCCACCACCACGCCTGGCTAATTTTTTGTATTTTTAGTGGAGATGGGGTTTCACTGTGTTAGCCAGGATGGTCTCTATCTCCTGACCTTGTGATCCGCCCATCTCGACCTCCCAAAGTGCTGGGATTACAGGCATGAGCCACCGCGCCTGGCCCGTACCTGTGTGATCTTAAGCATTTGATTTATTTAAAAGTTACCAGGGCTGGGTGTGGTGGTTCACGCCTGTAATCCCAGCGCTTTGGGAAGCCGAGGTGGGCGGATCACTTGAGGTCAGGAGTTCGAGACTAGCCTAGCCAATGTGGTGAAACCCCGTCTCTACTAAAAATACAAACATTAGCTGGGCATGGTGGTGCACACCTGTAATCCCAGCTACTCAGGAGGCTGAGGCAGGAGAATGGCTTGAACCCGGGAGGCAGAGGTTGTAGTGAGCCAAGATTGCACCACTGTACTCCAGCCTGGGCGACAGACTGAGACTCTGTCTCAAATTTAAAAAAAATTAAAAATGAAAGTGTTATTGGCCAGGAGCAGTGGCTCACGCCTTTAATCCTAACACTTTGGGAGGCTTGAGGTGGGCAGATCACCCTGAAGTCAGAAGCTCGAAACCAGCCTGGCGAACGTGGCAAAACCCCGTCTCTACTAAAAATACAAAAAATTAGCCTGGCATGGTGGCAGGTGCCTGTAATCCCAGCTCCTCAGGGGGTCTGAGGCAGGAGAATCGCTTGAACCTGGGAGGCAGAGGTTGCAGTGAGCCGATATCGTGCCACTGCACTCCAGCCTGGGCAACAGAGCAAGACTCCATCTCCAAAAAAAAGGTGTGCTGGGCGCAGTGGCTCACGCCTGTAATCCCAGCACTTTGGGAGGCTGAGGCAGGTGGATCACCTGAGGTCAGGAGTTCGAGACCAGCCTGACCAACATGGTGAAACCCCGTCTACTAAAATACAAAAATTAGCTGGGCGTAGTGGCGGGTGCCTGTAATCTCAGCTACTTGGGAGGCTAAGGCGGGAGAATAGGTTGAACCCAGGAGGCGGAAGTTGCAGTGAGCCGAGATTCCACCACTGCACTCCAGCCTGCACAACAAGAGTGAGACTCCATCTCAAAAAAAAAAACAAAAAAAGTGTTACCAATAATTTAATTCTCATCTCATATGCTTGATGGAAGGAGACTAACTGTTCAGGTGTAGTACTGCTCTGGGCTATATACCTCATAGGAATGATAGAGGCAGCAAGTGATTATTATAAGGAATAACAAGCAATAGTAATGTTAATTTTTTCCCTATAACCAGGGAAGTAGCATGGAAGTTTGAAAGGTTTAAATCCTTGCTTAAATAAAAATGTCAGTCCTAATCAGAATAATGGGACTGAACTTGAAATGTTAAAGGAATTGGAGAAGCTGCAAAATTAGGTCAGATAGTAATAGAAGGTTTATTTATACATAGATTGATTAAATTCTTCATTGAGAGCAAATGTGGTTTTGACTAAGATAAGCTACTCCCGACAATTGGCAGTTTTAGAACATACAAAGCAAATAAATAACCTGAATTTTACCCGGAGGAACAAATAAGAATTGATTCAGGTTTCTGTAGGTCAGGCATTATTTCATAATAATTATACCGTGATTAAGTTCAGCATTCTTCAGAAAGGAGAACAAAATCTGTCATGCGAGGATTCATTTTTAGGAAATTGAGCTGTGATCATGTATATATTAGGGTGAGTGGAGAGGAAGATTTTAAAGAGAAACCTACTGGAAATTTAAAGACTTAAAAATCATCATATTTGAAATACATGTTAAAAGAATGCAAGAGATCAAAAGGACCATACAAAACAGTTGGTTATTTGGCATAGGCTTAGAGGCTGTGGAGAGAAGAAAGGCATCTTTCTTTTTTCTTTTTTTTTTTTTTTTTTGAGACGGAGTTTCACTCTTGTTGCCCAGGCTGGAGTGCAATGGCGCGATCTCGGCTCACCGCAACCTCTGCCTCCCAGGTTCAAGCGATTCTTCTGCCTCAGCCTCCCTAGTAGCTAGGATTACAGGCATGTGACACCACGCCTAGCTAATTCTGTATTTTTAGTAGAGGCGGGGTTTCTTCATGTTGGTCAGGCTGGTCTCGAACTCCCGACCTCAGGTGATCCGCCTGCCTCGGCCTCCCAAAGTGCTGGGATTACAGGCATGAGCCACCGTGAAGAAAGGCATCTTTCTAAGAAGAAGGCATTTCTAAAATATTGGAAACGTTTTCAGTCAAGGCCAGAGAAGCCCACAGACTGATTAGGAACAACCTAGAAATTAGGTGAATAAAAGATGAATTCAATAAGCCTCTTTGTAGAAATGATTAGGTAAGAGATTTTGTGTTTTTTGTTTATTTGTTTGTTTTTGAGATGAAGTCTTGCTCTGTCGCCTAGGCTGGAGTACAGTGGCACGATCTCGGCTCACTTCAACCTCCACCTCCTGGGTTCAAGTGATTCTCCTGCCTCAGCCTCCTGAGTAGCTGGGATTATAGTCACACGCCACCACACCTGGCTAATTTTTATATTTTTAGCAGAGATGGGGTTTCACCATGTTGATCAGGCTGGTCTCGAACTCCTGACTTTGTGATCCGCCTGCCTTGGCCTCCCAAGGCTGGGATAACAGGTGTCAGCCACCGTGCCCAGCCTTGTTTTTGTTTTTAAAAAAGATATGTTATAATGAAAAGGTCAGCTAGAGAATTGGTAAGACTACTTAATCATGGTGTGAAAGATCCATTTAAGAATGAAAACATTAGAGAATTTCCACTATTTCTTTCCAACCAGATTAAAGTTTCTAGTACAAATGATGATAGATGCTTAACTTTTTTTAAAAGTTTTTTTCTGATTGGAACGTGAATAAATCCTCTAGAAAGTACAGAAAAATATCTAGAAGTCCCAGGAATTATCCCAGAAATGTTAACATTTATTTAATATTTCCTATACGTTTTTTTTTTCTGGCTGCCTAGGCTTTTCTTGATTAAATCAGTAAACTTGATGAGCTCAAATTTATCTACCCAAGAATTTAGGAAGAATTCAGAGTTAGCCTGTGGAATGCTTAGTGAAAGTATAGTACCTTAAATTGTAAGTGGCATGGTTACTATACTAAGGAACTGGTGTAGATTTCAGATGTGGTTCTGTCCATAAGAAGGGTTCAGAGTGAAGGGACTAAAAACTACACCATATTAGAAAGCTGGAAAATGTAGATTAAAGATTGAGATGATTTGGTGCCAGTCATGTAATTTGTTGGCGTCAAGGCAATGGGTTAGTTTACATAAGGAAAAATCACATATGACAGATCATTAATACTTTTATGTGAACACAGTTGTTACCAGTAGACATTGTTTAGTTTGAAAAGACTTATGGTAAGGAAGGTCAGACCAAAGACTGCTTGAAAACTTTAGTCATGGAGTGTCAGAAAATTGTTTTGTTGTGAATTAGCAAACTGATTTTCTGACGGTAAATACTTGCCTAGGTCTACAGTCCCTTCGGTTCTAAAAACCTCCAAAAGCTCTGAAAACTGAAAGATTTTTGAAAAGATATGCACAAATCTGACTTCAACTAATAAAAGGCTATTTATAGTCTTTTTATGTAAAGTAAATATTCATATTGCTGGAGGAATATTAACGAATTTGATTACAGTGTGCTGTTTCAGTTTTTTCTTTCTTTTTTTTTTTCCCCCTGAGATGGAGTTTCACTCTTATCACCCAGGCTGGAGTGCAATGGTGCTATCTCAGCTCCCTGCAACCTCCACCTTCCGGGTTCAAGTGATTCTTCTGCCTCAGCCTCCTGAGTTGCTGGAATTACAGGCATGTGCCACCACGCTCAGCTAATTTTGTATTTTTAGTGGAGACGGGGTTCTCCATGTTGGTCAGGCTGGTCTCGAACTCCCAGCCTTAGGTGATCTGCCCGCCTCAGCCTCCCAAAGTGCTGGGATTACAGGCGTGAGCCACCAAGCCTGGCCTCTTTTTTTTTGAGGCAAGTTCTTACCCTGTCAGCCAGGCTGGAGTGCAGTGGCAGAATCATGGCTCACTGCTTCATCGACCTCCTGGGCTCCAGTTATCATCCTGTCTCAACCTTCTGAGTAGCTGGGACTACAGATGCATACCACCACGCCTGGCTACATTTCTTATTTTAGTAGAGACAAGGTCTGGCTATGTTGCCCAGGCTGGTCTTGAACTCCTGAGCTCAGATGACCCTCCCACCTTGGCCTCCCAAAGTGCTGAGATTACAGGTGTGAGCCACCATGCCCAGCACTGTTTCAGTGTCTACTGACAGCATTACACTCTACTATATAAGGTGTATTAATTATCTGAGCTGGCCTTGAACTCCTGGGCTCAAAAATCATCCTCTTGCCTCAACCTCCAGAATAGCCAGGACTGTAAGCACACATCATCACACCTGGCTATTTCAGCTTCTCACAGATGAAATAACTGAGGCCCAAATAGCTGTAGTGACTTCCCAATGTTATTACACATCTAGGGAGAGTAAATAGTAGAATTGAGTTTTTCTGCCTGCTTACTTGGTTTTGTGTTTTTTTTTCCCCCATTGCACTGTGCTGCTTCCTTGTTAATCAAATATTAACAAGTTTGATCAGAGGGTGCTGTTTCAGTTTCTTTCCTTTTTTTTTTTTTTGTCCTGGTGACATTGCCTCCAAAGACCATCTTGATGATAAATAAGTTCTATGTGGAAGAGTTTAGTGACATTCATCTTATTTGACATTTTAATAAATGTTTCACATAAGTGAAATATTGAGATTTTCCTATGACATTAAACTCTTCCAGGTAGTTAGGTCCCCAAATTGTTGAGATTATGCTTCAGGAATATCTTGACTGAGGTGAAAAGTAAATGAGCTTCAGTGTGGATAAGAATTGCATTTAAAAAGAGGGAGAAAGTCTAAACTACTTTCTTAGGATGTGTAATTTTTAGCTAACAATTGCAGCCCCCAGTAGAAATTAAGAATCTTGGCCGGGCACAGTGGCTCACGCCTGTAATCCCAGCACTTTGGGAGGCAGAGGTGGGCGGATCACGAGGTCAGGAGTTCCGGGCCAGCCTGGCCAACATGGTGAAACCCCGTCTCTACTAAAAATACAAAAATTAGCTGGGCGTGGTGGCGCGTGCCTGTAATCCCAGCTGTTCGGGAGGCTGAGGCAGGAGAATCGTTTGAACCTGGGAGGTGGAGGTTGCAGTGAGCCAAGATTGCGCCATTGCACTCCAGCCTGGGCAACAGGGTGAGACTCTGTCTCAAAAAAAAAAAAAAAAAAAGCTGGATGCGGTGGCTTATGCCTGTAATCCCAGCACTTTGGGAGGCCGAGGCGGGCGGATCATGAGGTCATGAGATCGAGACCATCCTGGCCAACATGGTGAAACCCCATCTCTACTAAAAATACAAAAATTAGCTGGGCATGGTGGCGCTTGCCTGTAGTCCCAGCTATTCAGGAGGCTGAGGCAGGAGAACCGCTTGAACCCGGGAGGCGGAGGTTGCAGTGAGCCGAGATTGCGCCACTGCACTCCAGCTTGGGCGACAGCGAGACTCCGTCTCAAAAAAAAAGTGAAAGAAACTAGGAATCTTGGTAAGATATTCCTCGCAAAATTAACTTAGTGTACTGCCACGGAAATGCTGGGCATCATTAGGAAGAGAATCAGTACCAAATAAACAAAGATAAAAATAAACTTCCATCTGTGTAAAACCAAGGTTTGTTTATATTTGTGATACTGTGTATTCTGTTGACCCCGAAGAAGTATTTATCAAAGCTGATGACCAAAGAAGGTGAAGGCTTTAATGAATACATGCAAAGAAAAAAAAAATTCAGCTTTTAAAGACAAAGGGAATATAATGTCAAGTGATGAAAAGAACATATAGACTTGATCACCAGTTCTTAGGATCCTGTATTAGATATGGAACACTCAGGTTAGAAGTGATTTTAGCTTAATGATTGGGCTACTCTTATAAATAGTAAATAAATAAAATATGTTTAACGGCGGTAGAAATTTAAAAATGGAAGATAAAGTGTTTGCATGTTTTTTAAATTACACTTTTTATTTTGAGATAATTATAGAGTCTTACGCAGTTGTAAGAATAATGCAGTGGGGTTGGGTGCAGTGGCTCATGCCTATAACCCCAACACTTTGGGAGGTTGAGGTGGGAGGATCACTTAAGCCCAAAAGTTCAAGACCAGCCTGGGCAACATAGTGAGACCCTGTCTACAAAATTTTTTTTTTTAAATTCACTGGGCATGGTCATGCACCTCTGTAGTCCCAGCTATTCTGGAAGCTGAGAGGATTGCTTGAGCCCAGGAGGTGGAAACCGTAGTGGGCCATGATAGCGCCACTGTACTCTAGCCTGGCAAAACAGCAAGACTGTCTCAAAAAATAGTAATAATAATGCAGAGGGATCCTTTGTACCCTTGACCTAGTTTCCTCCAGTGGTAACATCTTGCTAAAGTACAATATCATAATTTTGACATTGATATAAGCCATCTATCTTGTTCAGACCTCCCCATTTTACTCATAATCACTTTTGTATATATGTGTTTTCAGTTCTGTGCAGACTTAATCACATGTAGAGTCATACTATTTTCACCACCACAGTCAAGATACAGACAGCTCCATCACCACAAATGTCCCTCATGTTGTCCTTTTATAGCCACACCCACATCCTTTCTACTGTCCCCTTCTCCCATCTCCCACAATAAGATTTTTGATAAATTATTGGATTGGTACATTATATAATAACCTGTTAAGGGAATACAGGAGTATTTGAGGAAGTATATCCTTGACTTTTCCTAAAATTATTTAAAGTTTATTTTATCGGCCAGGCACGTTGTCTCACACCTGTAATCCCAGCACTTTGGAAGGCCAAGGCAGGCGGATCACCTGAGGTCAGGAGTTCGAGACAAGCCTACCCAACATAGTGAAACCCCGTCTCTACTAAAAATACAAAAATTAGCCGGGTGTGGCGACGTGCGCCTGTAGTCCCGGCTATTCAGGAGACTGAGGTAGGAGAATCACTTGAACCCGGGAGGTGGAGGTTTCAGTGAGCTGAGATCGTGCCACTGCACTCCAGCCCAGGTGACAGAGTGAGACTCTGTCTCCAAAAAAAAAAAAAAAAAATTGTTTTGTCTATCCAAATAATAGATAAATTATTTTTGGTTTCCTATGAACTTTGTATTAAAAGTCAAATAGTGGGGCAGCTTTTTTTTTCAAGACACAGTCTTGCTCTGTCACCCAGGCCAGAGTGCAGTGGCATGATCTCAGGTCAATGTAGCCTCTGCTTCCCAGGTTCAAGTGATTCTCATGCCTCAGCCTCCTGAGTAGCTGGGACTATAGGCATGTGTCACCATGCGATGCTAATTTTTTGTATTTTTAGTAGAGGCAGGTTTTGCCATTTGGCCAAGTTGACCTGAAGTAATCTGTCCGCCTTGGCCTCCCAAGTGCTGGCATTACAGGTGTGAGCCACTACGCCTGGCCTTTACTCCCATTTTTCTAAATAATAATGTGTTCTCTTACTGCCCTTCTCTTCGTATCGAATCATCCCAATATAGTTATGTCACAATTTTTGGTTAGGTCGATATTCATTATTTATTGTGCTGAGTAAATAATGTTTATTATTGAGCCGTTTGATATACTACTATTACATTTTTGGTGCAACTTTTTCCCCCCAGGATTTAATATCATTACTTAATTTTTTTTGATTTGTTTTTATATCCCTATTTCTGATTAATTTTTTTCAGACTCTCCAACAGATCTATAAATCTCATAGTCAAACATCAAGTAATCTGTAAGTTAGTTTCTTACTGTCTCCCTCCATCCCTCCCATCCTGTTATCTCTCTAAATAGCCTAATCTGTGGTGATTAATGGCATGATTCCCTTTACATATAATACTGCTTTAGGATCAGGACTATGTTATAGCAAGACAATTCTCTTGTTCATAGGTATTTATTTTACTTTTTTAAAAAGTATAATATGTATGTAGTAAAGTACAGTAAGTGCACGAATCTTGTGCACAACTCAGTTTTTCCATGTGTATACAGATATGTAACCACTATCCAGTTCAAGATATAGAACATTTATTTCCAGCACCCTGCAAGATTCCCTCGTGTTTCTTCCCAGTTGGTATCCCTCTCCCCAAGCATGACCACTTTTCATGACTGCTTTTTTCACCTTTGATTCACAGGTGTTTTTTTTTTGTTGTTTGTTTTTTGTTTTAATTTTTTTTTTGAGACGGAGTCTTGCTCTGTCGCCCCGGCTGGAGTGCGGTGGCACAATCTCGGCTCACTGCAACCTCCGCCTCCTGGGTTTAAGTGATTCTTCTGCCTCAGCCTCCTGAGTAGCTGGAACTACAAGCGAGCGCCACCACGCCCAGCTAAATTTTTTTGTATTTTTAGTAGAGATGGGGTTTCACCATATTGGCCAGGCTGGTCTTGAACTCCTGACCTTGTGATCCACCCACCTTGGCCTCCCAAAGTGCTGGGATTACAGGCGTGAACCACCGCACCCAGCCAATTCATAGGTGTTTTAAGTGTGACACTTGGATGGTTTAAGTCTGATAGAACTTTTACATTTATTATACATTTAAATATATACCTGGGGGCTCTCAGGAGTTTGTGGACTAGTCCTTTTTTGGGAAGCAACTATGCATGAATGAGACTGTTGCAAGGCTAGGAATACGCAGAAATGGTTAGGAATTTTAAGAAATATGGAAGCTGCTTTGTTTTCTAAACTTTCCCTTAGATTCTTAATGAATCTGAATTCTTTTTTCTGGAGAAAGGAATCCACACTCTGATCTAGTAGATTTGACAGCTGACTGCTAATTGAGAGAGTTTATAACTAGTGACAAATCAAGGTGAAGTAAGAATGGAGAGGAGAAATGCCAGCGGGGCATTGATATGATTCTGCTCATTGAGGAGAACAGTGTTCATTCACTCATTTGTTGACCAAAATGCTTAATGAAGGTGGACTGTAAACCAAACACTGGTTCTTCAATGGTGAGCACAAGAGAGACAGCCTCTGCCCTCAGGGTGGGTGCTTGCAGTGTAGTGCAGGAAACAAATGTGACATCCTTGAAGCAAAATGGTGGCAGTTGTGGCCATACCTCATGGCTGGAGAGGTAGTGTTAGGTATCTTTAAGGATATTTATGTGAATCCCACCCTTTTTTGTGGCTAGTCTAACATTATTTATATTTTTTGATAAGAGAAGTTTTCTTTGTCCCCTCAGATTTACTCTAGGGCTTCTTGTAGAATAGATCTGGGAAGGGAGAGATAAGGTCTAGAATATAAAAAATGAAGGCAATTCCTTGTCTGTTCTGAAAAATGCTAAATGTTTTTTCCTTTCCCTGAGACTATGAATTTGACCATGTTTAGAGATGAAGAACTAGGCGTGATGTAATTCCAGCACTTTGGGAGGCCAAGGTGAGAGGATCTCTTGAACGCAGGAGTTTGAGACCAGTCTGGGTGACAAAGAGAGACTTTGTTTCTACAAAAAAAAGAAAGAAAGAAAGAAAGAAAGAAAGAAACAATTAGCCGGGTATGGTGGTGGTGCATGCCTGTGGTCCCAGCTACATGGGAGACTGAAGCAGGAGGAGGATCCCTTGAACCCAGGAGGTCAAGACTGCAGTGAGCTTGTGTTTGTTTGCACCACTGTATTCCCACCTGGGTGGCAGAGTGAGACCCTGTCTCAAAATAAAAAAAAAGGAAAATTAATGATTTTACACAACAGTTCTGTGTGCAAGCCTAGTTTTGTGTTTTTTTTTTTGTTTTTTTGTTTTTCTTTTGAGATGGAGTCTCACTCTCTCTCCCAGGATGGAGTGCAGTGGCGCGATCTTGGCTCACTGCAACCTCCGCCCTCCAAGTTCAAGCAATTCTCCTGCCTCAGCCTCCTGAGTAGCTGGGATTACAGGCACCTGCCACCGCGCCCGGCTAATTTTTTTTTAGTAGAGACAGGGTTTTACCATCTTGGCCAGGCTGGTCTTGAACTCCTGACCTTGTGATCCACCCGCCTCGGCCTCCCAAAGTGCTGGAATTACAGGCAGGAGCCACTGTGCCTGGCACAAGCCTAGTTTTTTAGATGTTTTGAATGCTACCATCTCCATTATTCACTTTTTTTTTTTTTTTTTTTTAGACGGAGTCTCGCTCTGTCACCCAGGCTGGAGTGCAGAGGCGTGATCTCAGCTCACTGCAACTTCTGCCTCCTGGATTCAAGCGATTCTCCTGCCTCAGCCTCCCAAGTAGCTGGGATTACAGGCACCCGCCACCATGCATGGCTAATTTTTGTATTTTTAGTAAAGACAGTTTCCCCATGTTGGCTAGGCTGGTCTTGAACTCCTGACCTCAGGTGATCTGCCCGCCTCGGCCTCCCAAAGTGCTGGGATTACAGGCATGAGTCACCATGCCCAGCCACTTTTTTTCTAACAATTTGACATTACCACCTCCTTAGCACAAAAAGTTTATCTCTGGGGATAAGAACTTCTAAAGAGCTACATAGCCATCCAATTATGAGGGGAAGAGGCATGGCAGAGCTTATTTTTAAATTTTTATTTACTTGTTTGAGACAGCACCTCGCTCTGTCACCCAGGCGGGAGTGCAGTGGCATGATCACAGCTCACTGCAGCCTCAACCTCTTGGGCTCAACAGATAATCCCATCTCAGCCTACCAAGTAACTGAGACTACAGGCATTTGCCACCATATCTGGCTAATTTTTTATTTTTATTTTTGTAGAGACAGGGTCCCATTATGTTGCCCAGGCTGGTCTCAAACTCCTGGGCTCGAGTAATCCTCCCGCCTCAGTCTCCCAAAGTACTGGGAGTACAAAGGCATAAGCCACTGCACCCGGCCAGTAGTTGTTTTTTTTTTTTTTTTTCGAGACGGAGTTTTGCTCCCGTTGCCCAGGCTGGAGTGCAATGGCACGGTCTCGGCTCACTGCAACCTCCACCTCGCGGGTTCAAGTGATTCTCCTGCCTCAGCCTCCCTAGTAGCTGGGATTACAGGCATGTGTCACCACACCTGGCTAGTTTTTGTATTTTTAGTAGAGACAGGGTTTCTCCATGTTGGTCAGGCTGGTCTCGAACTCCCGACCTCAGGTGATCCATCCACCTTGGCCTCCCAAAGTGCTGGGATTACAGGCATGAGCCACCGTGCCCAGCCCCCAGCTAGTAGTTTTTTTTTAATTGTTTACCTCAGATAATCTGCCTCTGCTTTTTGGCCTAGCTATACACAGGATTTAGTAAGGGTTTTCTATGTGGATCACTTTCACCAAATGAATCTCTAAAGGGTCAGGACTGAATTATTTACATATTCAGGATACCATTTAGCCTATTGTGAGATACATGCTGGCACAGAGCAGTAGTGACAAACAACAAGGATCTGAACTTGAGCCCAGTTGAATTGCTATGTGCTGATGGAAGAGTCAGTTGCTTATGTGAAATGAAACAGGTCAAGCCTTGTAATCTTTGTTGGAGAATAGCAGCCTTTGAGGACTATAAAACTATTGATGAGTTGCAGCATATAAAGACTCAGGGACTAAGAGATGCTGCTGTTTTGCTCTCCTGTCCTTAGGTGACACATGGTCAGATAAGCCCTGTTGAATTGGATCTGTCTTCTCAAATTGGCTCTTTTAGTCTGTTCTTTATCTAATCTCCATTGGAGATATAAGCTGAAAGCTATGGTACTTGAGGAGATGACACAGTTCCTTTGTTACAGTAATTAATGTAATAAATTAAGGGAGAGGCCCAAAGGGAAGGTGATTGTTTCTCATTAGAGCCCTAGGTGGAAATTCATTTGATTAGCAAGCTCCCATGAAGTGTGGCAGGTAGAGAGGGAGATGCCTGTTTTTATAGTTGGGTAAGCTGAGAGTCACTGAGGATGGTTTACATGTTGTAGTAACCATACTGAAGCTGGCTAAGTATGAATTGATTTCAGGGCAACATCTAGAATTCAGGGAAGATGGTATAATATGGTTACCTTCTCAGCAACTTTGTTGTATCCCATTAGTTTATTGACAGTTCCCTGAGACATCAAATCCTGTAAACCTCACACAGTTTATATTCAAAGACAGTTTATATTGTCAGTGGGATCAACAACCTTGTGGGTTAGAACAACTGGCAAAAGAGGTAGTACAGATGTTAAAACCATGAGTTTTGCCGGGTGTGGTGGCTCACGCCTGTAATCCCAGCACTTTGGGAGGCTGAGGTGGGCAGATCACTAGGTCAGGAGTTTGAGGCCAGCTTGGCCAACGTGGTGAAACCCCATCCCTCTCAAAAATAAAAAAATTAGCCGAGTATGGTGGCGCCCCTCCAATCCCAGCTACTCGGGAGGCTGAGGCAGAAGAATCGCTTGAACCCAGGAGGTGGAGGTTGCAGTGAGCTGAGACTGTGCCGTTGCACTCCAGCCTGGGCGACAGAGCAAGATTCCGTCTCAAAAATAAATAAATAAAACCATGAGTCTTGAGATTGGTACCTTGTCCCTGAGGGATTTCTGAAGCAAGATGGAGTCTGTCAGTCACGACAGTATATGGCTTTAGGAGCCACATCGAGCCAGGCGTGGTGGCTCATGCCTGTAATCCTAGCACTTTAGAAGGCCAACACAGGCAGATCACCTGAGATCAGGAGTTCGAGACCAGCATGGCCAACATGGCGAAACCCCATCTCTACTAAAAGTACAAAAAATTAGCCAGGAGTGGTGGCACATGCCTGTAATCCCAGCTACTTGGGAGGCTGAGGCAGGAGAATTGCTTGAAGCCAGGAGGTGGAGGTTGCAGTGAGCCGAGATCACGCCACTGCACTCCAGCCTGGGTGACAGAGTGAGACTCTGTCTCAAAGAAAAGAAGAAGAAAAAAAGCCACATGTGAAGGTAGGCATAGCCTAAAAGGAAAACCCTAATCACTGAGTTCATGGAAGAAGAAAAGATTGCCATTTCCTTTCATAGAACTCAAATGGGTATTGGTACAACCTGTAATTTAATTTGTAAAAAAAAATTTTTTAAACATTTTCCTTTATTTTTCTTAATACTTTAGATGCCTTGTGAAAGGTAGAACCATGAAACAGTTCTCCCTAAGTTCATACACTAGAACCTTATAAGAGTAGTTGGGTCATATATTTTCGAGTTGTCTTCTTTTTATTTTTATTTTTTAAATAAATAGAGATGGAGTCTCGCTGTGTTGCCCAGGCTGGTCTAGAACTCCTGGGCTCAAGTGATCCTCTCACCTCGGCCTCCCAAAGTGCTGGGATTACAGTCGTGAGGTGCTGTACCCAGCTTTGACTTGTCTTACATTTTTCAGATTTATATCCTCATGATATGCTTAGAATGTGATAGACTCTTCCTCCATCTTATAATGAGAAAATACTTAATGAAGCAGCTTAGCTAGTGTCAATGGAAATTTGAGTCCAGAAATCACATCTCCTGACTCAGAGTTCATTGTTCTTTTTACTACACCATGCTACCCTCCTCGAATTGAGTATAGCATTTTTTCTTTGGCATGCAGGTTTTGGAGGGGAATACCTAGCTAGACAGCCCTAATATCCATATTTTGTGTGTGACCTGTGTGGTCTCAAGCAGATTATAATTCATATATAACTGTCACATGCTCAGGCCAAAGCCTATAAGAGGATTGATCCAAAATCCATAAGAAAAAGAGGACAGATAAATTTACAGTAGAACAGTATTAGACAATTTACTGCTTATACTGGATTATCTGTGGGTAGTTACCAATTAAAGGAATTGGCTCTTTGAAGCCTTCTTGGATGGATACAGAGATCTCTCGGGGGTGAAAGAGAAATGTAGTGTTTCTTGTTATGTTTGGATATGAGTGGGGTCCAGTTGCTGTTTTTGCCCTCTGAGCTGGGACAGAAACCTCACATGAAAACTCTTTTTCATTCTTACCCTTGTCGAAGGAGAGGCCTTGTTCATTCCTGAGGTAGAAGAGTTGTATGGTCTGTGACATAAGTCCTTAAAATTGCAATTAATGACCTGAAATGTATGATTTACAATGTACAAGCCTGTGGGCTGGGAGTCAAAGAGATGGATGTTATTATGATATGTTTTTTAAGCAGGAGTGCTTTGGGTAAATACAGGGTATGGAAAGTGATTGTCATGACCTATCTTGGTCCCTTAAACATATCCATGTAGCAAGGAATTTCTTAATGATCAGGTGTAGGAACAAAACACAGATAGTACTGACAACTCATGGTGGACAAGTGATTCCAGAGGCTGTTGAGTTGCAGTCCTAAAGAAGGAAGTGGAGTACACTTAGGCAGAAGGAGAGAAAAGAAAGGAAAATAATCACAGAAACTTGTGCAAGTTGTTAAATGCCTTGTGGTCTCTGTAAGATATTGGTTCTCCTGATTCCGCACTTTCTCTGCCATGAAAGCAAGAGGTCAGTGCTTTTCGTTTCCCACTAGCATGTTGGTTACCCCACCTCTTGGGGTTAAACATCTCTGCAATGACCTGTCAAAGAGTTGATTATTAGCTGCATAAAGCCAGGGATGCTGTAGGGAGCAGATGGGAAGTGGTTTGGCTGCTGCAGCCAGGCTGATTGAAGAATCCTTGGCAATTTTACAGTGTATCTTTGGAAATGTACCACCAAAGTTACTATGAAGCCTGCTGGGTTTGGAAACCTAGATTTCTGAAAAGTCACCTGGTTGAAAAGTAGTACTTACGAAAACTCTTCACTCTCAAAAATAGGAATATAGGGACTTCCTAAAAGAACATCAGGACCACCAAAGATCAGTCCTTGGGATATGTTTTCTTTGCATCCTGGTCATTCAGAAATTTTGGAGTAGCTTTCTAGTAGGGAAAGCACTTTTTGATGGGTATATTAATAGAATTATAAATTTGAAAAAGGCCTTAGGCATGTCTAGACTAACCCTACCACACACAGGAGAATCTTTTATGTATTTGCTTCACAGGTGATTATGCTTTTTCTGCTTAAATACTTTCAGTAAAATAGACATTAAACATTGTGGGTCATTGTTGGGAATCAGGATATTAAATTTTTTCCTGAGTTAAATATCTGTCTTTCTGTAACTTCTACTCACTGACTCTCTTTCTACCCTCAGAGTCACAGAGTTACTTTCTTCCACACTGCACACATCATATACATATATATATGTTTTTGTTTTTGTTTTTTCTTTTTGAGACAGAGTCTTACTCTGTCACCTATGCTGGAGTGCAATGGTGCAATCTCAGCTCACTGCCTCCCAGCCATTATCCTACCTCAGCCTCCCAAGTAGCTGGGATTACAGGCTCCCGCTACCATGCCTGGCTAATTTTTTGTATTTTTAGTACAGACGGGGTTTCATCATGTTGGCCAGGCTGGTCTTAAACTCTGACCTCAGGTAATCCACCCGTCTAGGCCTCCCAAAGTGCTGGGAGAACAGGCATGAGCCACCTTGCCTGGCATCATCATATATTTGAAGCTAACAGCCTGTCTTCCTTCAGTGTTCTCCTTTCCAGACCAAAGAATCCCAGTTTCTAAGGTCTTTCCTCTTAAGAAATGGCTTCCCAGTCTTGTACCATACTGTGCTCTGTAGTACATCCTTTCAGTTTATTAATATCACACTTAAGATGTGGAATCTGGAAATGAGCATAGATCATCAGATGTTTTTTTCGCCTCCAGCTACCGTTTCAGAAAAAGTACAATTTTTAAAAAGTGTAATGGCAGTATCACTTGCTTACTAGAAAAAAATCCCAAAAAACAAAACAATTTGCCATGGCATATGGAATTGGAACAAGAGGAATTTGAAAAAATATCAGCTTTATAACTTACGGTTTGTCTTTCCTTATTGTTAAGGCTTTTTGAGGTACATTATCAAAGTACTGGTTTTCCCTCACATATTATTCAGGGATAATTGTTAATATCTGAATTGAGTTTTCAGCTTACAAAGTGCAGTTGATATTTGTATTTATAGGAATTATTTAAATTTATGCTACATTGAACTGATTTTAGTATTTCAGGTAGTTTTTTTTGTTTGCTGGTTGAATTTTTTCAGATGGCATCTCGCTCTGTCGCCCAGTCTAGAGTATAGTGGCACAATCTTGGCTCACTGCAACCTCTGCCTCCCAGGTTCAAGCAATTCTCCTGCCTCAGCCTCCCAAGTAGCTGAGATTATAAGATGTACTGTCACACCTGGTTAATTTTCGTATTTTTGTATTTTTAGTAGAGAAAGGGTTTCGTCATGCTGGCTAGGCTGATCTCAAACTCCTGATCCTCAAGCGATCCACCCACCTGGGCCTCCAGGTGGAGGCCCAGAAGTGCTGGGATTAGCCACTGTGGACTACTTTCTTTATGAATTTTAATTGATACTGCATTTTTTGTTTCCTTGTATCTTTTTTTTTTTTAGTGTTAAATCCTTTTGTCCTTTCAACTAAGTTACACATTTTCATTTTAACCTGTTATCTTTTTTTTTTTTTTGAGACACAATTTCATTCTGTCACCCAGACTGGAGTGTAGTGGCGTGATCTTGGCTCACTGCAACTTCTTCTTCCCAGATTCAAGTGATTCTCATGCCTCAGCCTCCCAAGTAAGTGGGATTACAGGCACATGCCACCACACCCAGCTAATTTTTGTATTATTAGTAGAGATGAGGTTTCACCATGTTGGCCAGGCTGGTCTTGAACTCCTGACCTCAAGTGATCCTCCTGCCTCTGCCTCCCAAAGTGCTGGGATTACAGGCATGAGCCTGTGCCTGGCCTCTGTTATCTTTTTAATGCTCTCTTCCTTACTGGCATACTTTGTTTATCATGCATCCTGCAGCAGGGCAGGCAGTACAGTAGACTGAGAACTGTCAGAAGCTCTCAGTGAGCACTAACATTTTTCTGTTTCATACGCTTTCCTTACTCCTCCAGAGTCTCTCTTCCGTTACCATTCTATTTTCTAGAGGAAGGTCTTTTGAAACTAAGGAAAGTTTTATTGTTTTTCTAGGGATAAAACAAGGTGGGGTTGTTTTAATGGTTAAATTACATACTGAGGATAGTGAGTAACCCTTAGATTAATGTAGGTTACACTCTAAGCCTAGCCACAATTGCAAAGATTAGAGAACTAAAAAATTATGATTTGGGGAAGAACTGTGCTTTAAGAATTCTCTATCATGGAAATTCAGTTGGCATCTCCTTTCCTAGAGATGCCCTCTGCCCCTCATAATAGAAAAATTATTTTCAGTACCATGTTCCATTGCCTTACTCACTGTCTTACTTGCTGCTGTATTTTCAGCACCTAGTTTAGTGCCTGGCACGTTGAAGGCAATAAATAAAAGATTTTCTAACAAATGAATAGGTATCTACTATGCTATTTCATGGAGGCCAAGTCTTCTTGTGTAGTGTTGAGAATTCCAAACAGGTTACTAATTTCTTCAGAATCCTAGATCATTTTCAGAGTTTCATTTCTTTTTTTCTTTCTTTTTTTTTTTTGAGACAGCGTCTCGCTCTGTCACCCAGGCTGGAGTGAAGTGGCACAATCTCAGGTCACTGCAGTCTCGACCTCCCAGGCTCAAGCCATCCTCCCACCTTTCAGCTCCCTGAGTAGCGGGGGCTACAAGCATTACCATCATACCCGGCTAATTTTTGTATTTTTTATAGAGACAGGGTTTTGCCATGTTGCCCAGACTGGTCTCAAACTCCTGGGCTCAAGTGATTCTCCCGCCTTGGCCTCCCAAAGTGGTGGGATTACAGGCATGAGCCACCATGCCTGGCCTAGAGTTATCATTTCATAAGAGATTATGTTTCCTTTACCTTGTGAGTAACTTTTTTCATAGTTTGTACATCATATCATCCACCCCCACTTTTTGCTCATCTCTTATAAAGTAGGATCTATGTAGACTTGGCATTTACTAATAAATAGTGGTTGGTTGCTGTTAACACTAAGATCTCCACTTGGGTAATGGATATATTTTCTTCCCACATCTACAGCTAAATGGCAGATAAATGTGCACACCTCTCCCCCTTAAATTCCTGTTGCTAGCAGGCATTCACCTGGCTCCCCTCCTTTGCTCTTCTACTGTGACATCTTTTCTTGCCCCTACACCCTAGTTCTTTGACATTGCTCTGAGGGAATAGGTAAAAAAGTACAATTTGTCTTGTCTGTGTCCTATCTGTGGCATTTACAGATCTCTACAAAGTTAGAGATCCACTTTGCAGAATTCACTGTGACACTACTGGCTTGTTCTTTCTACTCAATTACCTTATAAAAATTACTTTTTGGCTGGACACGGTGGCTCATACCTGTAATCCCAACACTTTGGGAGGTCGAGGCAGGCAGCTCACATGAGGTCCAGGAGGTTGAGACCAGCCTGGCCAACATGGTGAAACCCCGTCTCTACTAAGAATACAAGTTAGTCAGTCATTGTGGTGCACGCCTGTAATCCCAACCTCTTGGGAGGCTGAGGTGGGAGAATTGCTTGAACCCGGGAGGCAGAGGTTGCAGTGAGCCGAGATCACGCCACTGCACTTGAGCCTGGGCAACAGAACAAGGCTCTGACTCAAAAAAAAAAAATTTTTTTTTTAATGGATAGAGAAAGGTGGTGGACAGAGGAATAAGCAAGAACAGAACTCTTTGGCTTTATCATAAAATAATACTGGATGGTATATGTTGACTGCCAGGTTTTCTAGATGGCACACTCCTCAAGTCTTGTTAGTCAGGAGATAGTGGAGACAGAGTCTTACTCTGTCACCCAGGCTGGAGTGCAGTGGTGTGATTTCAGCTCACTACAACCTCTGCCTCCCAGGTTCAAATGATTCTTCTGCCTCAGCCTCCCGAGTAGCTGGGATTACAGGTGCCTGACACCACATCTGGCTAATTTTTGTATTTTTAGTAGAGACGGGGTTTCACCACATTGGCCAGGCTGATCTTGAACTCCTGACCTCAGGTGATTAGCCTGCCTCTGCCTCCCAAAGTGCTGGGATTACATATGTGAGCCACTGCACCTGGCCATAAATTGCACTTTTAATACCCCATCACCACCACCCCCTTTTGTAGCCAATCTCTGTTTCCTATGGTGTGAGGCCTGGTGTTTGTCAATACAGTGCCATCAGTATTACATGAGAAAGTGAAGAGTTATTCTACATCCTGGTGTTAGGATTTTTAGTAGTGTCCAGTTTTTCATAGAGTAAACATTTTTCTTTATTTGTGTGTCGTCCTATTTTAGTGGGAAGTGGGAAAGGCCACTTTGAATCCTGCTATTGAGATAATAATTTGAAACCTGGAGTTTTAGAAGGCTGTTTCAGCTTCTCTGAACTTAAGCTGATTGGTTGAGTCCCCTCTGAGATTGTCTCCTCTAGTTCAAGTCTTAGCCCCCTGTCCTGAAGTTGCATTTTCCCCAGTTCTGCTTGTTTTTCTCTTTCATTCTTAACCATAAGACTTTTCCTTCCCAATAGTAGGAGGAATCTATACTATTTGTACTAGAGATAGACCCTGTTAGAGAGTTTTTAAAGCTTTTGCTAGATCATGTTCTGCGTCTCTGATAATGTAAGAAAAAGCAAGGAGAAATGGGGGTATAAGTAAAGTTGTGCTAGAGCTTGCATCTGTGATATGCCAGGACCTGTATTGATTGAGGAAGGGTTGCCAGCTGACAGTGGTAGTAGAAATAGGTCTCTTAGGAGTGGGAAATTAACTCTAGAGGACTCCTAGTTAAGACTTACCATGGAATCTCTGGGCAATTGGAAATACTGTACTTTCCCCTAGGGAGATGGAGTGGGAATTGATTTTTCCTTAGGTCCAATGTAACTTGGTTAGAAATACAATTGAACCTGTTTGTCATGTCTGTTGTGATATGATAGCCCCATAGGAAGGGTCTGTTTTTGTGTGGGAGTTTATTTCAGGCGTCTCTTGCCTGTATTGTTTCTTTTAACAGCTTTTTAAATTTTCTTTTTCCAGCAATGATGTTGTCCACTGGGCATGTACTGACCAATGTGGCAGGTCTGAGAACATAGCTGAAGCTGAAAATAGGAAAGCTGGGGGCAAGGAAGAGCCTTGAATCTTGAGGTGGGACGTTGACTCTAAGATGTCCTTGAGCAGTGGAGCCTCCGGAGGGAAAGGAGTGGATGCAAACCCGGTTGAGACATACGACAGTGGGGATGAATGGGACATTGGAGTAGGGAATCTCATCATTGACCTGGACGCCGATCTGGAAAAGGACCAGCAGAAACTGGAAATGTCAGGCTCAAAGGAGGTGGGGATACCGGCTCCCAATGCTGTGGCCACACTACCAGACAACATCAAGTTTGTGACCCCAGTGCCAGGTCCTCAAGGGAAGGAAGGCAAATCAAAATCCAAAAGGAGTAAGAGTGGCAAAGACACTAGCAAACCCACTCCAGGGACTTCCCTGTTCACTCCAAGTGAGGGGGCAGCTAGCAAGAAAGAGGTGCAGGGGCGCTCAGGAGATGGTGCCAATGCTGGAGGCCTGGTTGCTGCTATTGCTCCCAAGGGCTCAGAGAAGGCGGCTAAGGCATCCCGCAGTGTAGCCGGTTCCAAAAAGGAGAAGGAGAACAGCTCATCTAAGAGCAAGAAGGAGAGAAGCGAAGGAGTGGGGACTTGTTCAGAAAAGGATCCTGGGGTCCTCCAGCCAGTTCCCTTGGGAGGACGGGGTGGTCAGTATGATGGAAGTGCAGGGGTGGATACAGGAGCTGTGGAGCCACTTGGGAGTATAGCTATTGAGCCTGGGGCAGCGCTCAATCCTTTGGGAACTAAACCGGAGCCAGAGGAAGGGGAGAATGAGTGTCGCCTGCTAAAGAAAGTCAAGTCTGAAAAGGTAAGAGGTGGCCAGATATGGCTGCCCACTGACTGCCAGTCAGAACTGCCCTGGACTAACTGCCAAATACTATGTGTACTCTGTGGGAGGCTCATTAGTGTGTGGGTAATGACCAATTACAAGGTCAGAGCAGCTGGTAATGATAATGTGGTTTTCTTCCAAATTAGAGGATTCCCCTACAGACTCATTTACAGCAGGCCTGGACATTGTGGAACAGGATATTTGTTGTTGGGGGCAGCTACTTTGTAGAATGAACTTTCTGTAGTCTGAGTTGAGACCTTCCCACCTTGTCTTTGCCCACCTCAGACACTTGTTGGTAGAGATTGGCATCAGACCTTTATTTGTTTCCCAGCTTGACTGGCATTTCATCATCAGACTCATAATAGTTGATAAACAATACGCCTTTGGTGATAATGTAGATTGAGTACGGTTCTTGATGGGATAAATGGTGCTGTTGGGTCTCTGGTAGAACAAAGGGCTAAATTTCATGGCATATCTACGAAGTGTTCTATTGCCGGCTACCAAAGAGCGAAGGGGCACATTTTGAGGGCAAGAGGTACTCATTGTACTTTGAGGTACTTAGATCTTATGAGTTATTGTTGTGGTTATGACAGTTTGGCCTAGGAAGAGATTGGCCATTAAAGGTGTAGCTTCATGCCAGGTATCTCCCACAACTATTAGGAATCAAAGTCTCCTCGTGGTTTAATAGCTGCCAACAGTGTAATGATACCTTGCCTTCTGCTTGACTTGGAAGGACAGGTGCCTGCAGCCCCAGGAGGGGTTAGAACTGAGTCCCTCCTCTGGGAAGATGATCTTAGTTCATGCTTTAGGAAATGGAACTTGCAGGGCTGGAGGAGAATGGGTGTGAGTCTAGGGTCAGCTCAGGCAGCATTAAACTTCAGCAGCTTATTCCTGCAAAACAGTGGCCTTGTGGTGAGCTGTTCATTGGCTCTTGATTTTCTGCTCTGTGCTCTGCTCATCCTGTGCTTTCAGCTGATCCCAGCAGATGCAGTATAAATTGATTTCTCTGTAATTAGATCAGCTGCAGCAGGGAATACCTATTTCCATATGTAAGTGTTAATAAATAAAGGCTGGATGTGTATGTTTGGGTGGTGGTGCCCTCTTAGTGCCTGTATTCCAGTGGTAGCTCATGCTTTCTTTGCTGTCGGTATTTTGGTCTTTGCCTCTGGCACATCTGTAGCTCTTAGCAACATCTGGGCTTCTCCAGTAGCAGGTCTGTGAGTTTCTTCCACTAATAATACAGTGGCTCATTCCCTTTTACCAGTGGCAGCTGCCAGAGAGGCTGCCTGTGTTTAGGTGGCAGATGCTATAGTCCACTTCAGCAGAGTCAGGTTCCAGCTGGTTACTAGCTTGGCTCATCCTGTGCTGGCTGTGATTTGCTATTTTCTCTCGGGTACAGATGGATAATACTGTTTTAAAGAGGCTTAGGAGTACTAGCAGTTGTTGCTTCTGTTCCAGGCCCATTAGACTGTTCCCTACATCTGGCTTCAAGAAACTCTTGCCATATATCCATATTCATAATCATTATTCTTCCTGTGCTAAAAAGTACTTCTGAGGATGACCTTCATTCTCCTATCTAAATTTTAGAGTACTTATGTTGCAACCTTCTAAGCCCAGTGATAGTCTGTGGATGAAAGGATTAATATTGCTTAGCTTTATGTTGGATTTAAGTGTAAATGTCCATGATTGTCTCTAACAGAGAAGCAAATGGAACCCATTTTCTCACATAGAGGTGCAGGGACTGATTGGGTGGCTGCCCTTCAGATTATAATTGGGCTGAAAGATGCAGTATGTTCAGCTAAGAATACATCCTGGTGCCAGGGAGTTTTGTCCCTTAATAATGTTGCTTTGCCATATAAGCTTTGCCTCCCAGGGAGACTCTGAGAATGGGGCAGCAGAATGAGAAAGAAAAGGGAAAGAGACTGTGCTTCAGTTTTTGAAAGATAGAGAAAATTGCTGGCAATTACTTTTAGAAGCAGAAAATTTGCTATACAGTTTCATGTAACCATAAGCAAGAACCTGCTTTCTCAATTCCTTCCCCTGTTCCCTCAACCCTTTTGGACAGTCTGGTCCTGAGGGTGCCTTTCCATATTACCTTTGGCTATTGAAATAAATAATTATTTAAATAAATGTTTGGAAGTTGCTAGGAGATTAAAACATGCTGTGCAGGGAGAGAACATTTCTGGACTGGGAGGAGCAGAAGAGGCAAGTTAAAGGAAAGGAAGTTAGGAACCATGCAGAGGAGCGGTTTTTGAGAAACAACAATCTCCGGTTTGGGGCATAATAGGTGCTCAGTGAGTATTTGATGATTAGTACTATAATTTATAAGCAAAGTCTTTGAAAACTTCTTTAAAATTTTCTCTCTGAGAAATGGGCTTGCCTGTGGTTTGGGACGTTTCTATGTAGGGATAACAAACAGAACCAAAATAGCAAAACAGATGTTTTGATATAATCTAAGAATTGCATCCTCTCAACTGGGAACTGTCATGAAGAGGAAGAACTCATAAAATTTGGGAAGTTTCTTGACTGAATTCTGTGGTGCAGAGTAGCAGTGTTGACTACTAGCCAATGAGGAAGATTTGAATATTGAAATTACTGGCTGGGCCTGGTGATTCATGCCTGTAATCCCAGCACTTTGGGAGGCCTAGGTGGGCAGATTGCTTAAGCTCAGGAGTTTGAGACCAGCCTAGGCAACATGGTGAAACCCTGTCTCTACAAAAATTAGCCGGGCATTGGTGGTGTGCACCCGTAATCCCAGCTACTGGGGAGGCTGAGGTGGAAGGATAGCTTGAGCCTGCGAGGTGGAGGTTGCATTGAGCTGAGACGGCACCACTGGACTCCAGCCTAGGCAATAGAGCCAGACCTTGTCTCAAAAAAAAAAAAAAAGAAAGAGAGAAATTATCTATCTCATGTTCTTCTTTGTGAAGGTAGATATCTCAGGCTATGGCCTGGGAAATTTTCTGTCAGACAAGGATGTGGATTTCCCTTCATGGGATCCCACTTTTGCTCGACCATACCTTCCTCTGACAGAGTGAGCTCTGTGCTGTTTCCCAGAGTTCTAGGAGAGACCAGAGATGGCTCTTAGCAACTGCTGCTGCTCTGAATTGTTATTGAACACTTCTGCCTCATACTTCCTGCCAGCTGAAGAGATGGGGGAGGGAATGTTGAGGAATAAACAAGACAGAGCCTTCCAGCTCTTGCCTGTTCCCTTGCCTTTAGTTTGATTGATGGATTGTTAAGTTAGGGATGGAAGGGGAGGTAGGGAGGAGGGCAGGCGCCTGTCTGAGTGTCCTGAGCTTAGTGCTTATGTCGCCACTCTGACAGGCAAGAAAAAAGGAATTTACAAACCACAGATGGCAACGATCTATCTGTGCTGACTTTGTCAGGGCTTACGACCAGGAGTTTAAGGTGAGACTCCTTCTTTTCCCCCAAATCATATAAAATAGCCAAGTAGGCTCTAGTAGTTAAAGAAAGGATCTAGAAGTTTCTAACCAGAAGCTCCCCCTCACATGTCTTTAGCTGCTGCTTTTGATCTTGCAAGGTAGGAACACTGCACTTTGCTTTTCCCGTGTTTGAATGTCAGCTTCTGCTGCTTTCAGAATGCTGCATATATTTACCACTTCCCCCATTAGTTTAGGATACAAAGAAAACCATAAAGTGTGCTCTTTGCTCTTTCAACTTCTGATCATGCATGCTATCATATCCTGTGTTCTTAAGAGCATCTTCCTTTGCCATTGGTTTTGTATTCCTGCCCTAATTTGTGCCTTCTAGCTTAGTTCTCTTGTATTGTAGTCCCTCATTGCCTAACCAAGGTCAGGTCTCTTTTATTCCTTCTGATCCAAGGCTTTCTTAACGCCTTCTTCCACTAGCTGTTATTTCTCAGCTATTGATGGCAGAGCAGTCAGCTTTGCTTCCTGAAACCAAATGCCCTCAAGATTTTCCTTCATGGAAAACATTAAAAAGAAGTTGATATTTATGTGGGACAGAGTTGCATTCTGTAACTACAAGCTTAATTTATTTTTTCATTCAGAAACTCTGTTTTCCTTCTAGGTGTTGTAATTCAAGGCAGTTCCAGAGAAAGATTATCTTGTCCAATTTCCTCATTTTATAGAAGAAACTAAGACCAGTGAAGTCCTGTGACTTGCCCAGCATCTCACAGGTAGTCACTGGCAAAGCCAGATTTGTAGACACCAAATTCTTATGGCATGTTGTTACTCTGGGATTCTTAACAAATCTTTAACTGTCAGGAAGGATTCTCAATTTTCCCACTTTATTTGTTATTTTCTTAGTATTATTATTTTCGAGATGGAGACTCACTCTGTCACCCAGGCTGGAGTGCAGTGGCACGATCTCGGCTCATTGCAGCCTCTGCCTCTGATTCAAGCGATTCTCCTGCCTTAGCTCCCCGAGTAGCTGGGATTACAAGTGCATACCACCATGCCTGGCTAGTTTTTTTTTTTTTTTTTTAATTTTAGTAGGGATAGGGGTTCACCATGTTGGCCAGGCTGGTCTCAAATTCCTGACTTCAAGTGATCCACCTGCTTCGGCCTCCCAGAGTGCTGAGATTACAGGCATGAGCCACCACACCCAGCCTATTTGCTTATTTTTAAGGCAGGGTCTCGCTATGTTGCCAATGCTGATCTTGAACTCCTGGGCTTATGCACTTCTGCCTTGGCCTCACTTATGCACTTCTGCCTTGGTCTCACTTATGCACTTCTGCCTTGGCCTCGCAAGTAGCTGGGACTACAAGTGTGTGCCACCACACCCAGCCATTTTTTCAATGTAAAGACTACCTTGAAACATTAGATGAAAATGCTTACATACTCCAAAATTGCTTTTACCCCAAAACTGCTTTCACTTGTTTTTCACAGTGACTTTAACATTGTAGACACTCAATAAACAAAGGATCTTTGAGTTTAGGATTTTAGGTAAGGTAATGAATGATGTTTGCAAAGAATAACCATTACAGCTGGCACTGAACCTATCCTGTTATTTATAAAGAAGGAAAGTTACTTTAAAACTGCTACTTTGAGCTTGACTACTTATGATATATGTGTGTGTGTTCTGGAATATTTCATCCAGCCAAATTTTCATTATAATAATTGAGGAATAGTTCTTTCTTTACTTGGCAATTGCAGGTAAGAAAAAAAACCCTGTTCTAGTGCTTCTTCCTTGGACACATCACTAATAGGCAGACCTTCAAATGTATTGTGGATATTACTAAGTATTTTGTAGAGAAGATATACTGTTGGCTAATTGTTATCACTTTTCATTCAGTCAGTACATTAATTGAATGCATTTTAGATACTAGGTTTTCTACTTGGTATTGGGTATACACTGGTAAATAAAACAGAGATGGTCTCTGCTTTTTGAGGAGCTTACAGTTTACCGTCTACAGCAGAGTTCCTAAAAGTGTGTCCCATAAAACCATGTACATCACCAGAGTATCAAAAATGCACATTCTTGGACCCTACCCTAGATATGCCGAATAAGTTTTTGGGGTAAGGGCCCAGAAATCTGTACTTCCAGAAGTCTCTCCAGATAATTGCTATATACATCAAAGTTTGAGAATTTTCCTTTCAAGGTAAGTATTCGGGGCCACTTCTCATTTAAAACACCAGCCTTCTAAACTTGAATTTCACATCAACTCTTATGTATAATTTAGTGGCTAAAAGCGTAAACTCTAGCCAGGCCTCCTGGCTTGAGCCTGGGAGGTTGAGGCTGCAGTAGTGAGCTGTGATCGCACTAGTGCACTCCAGCCTGGGCAACAGAGTGAGACTCCGTCTCAAAAAAATAATAATAATAAATTTTTTAAAAAGTGTGAACTCTGGAGCCAGACTACCTGGCTTTGTTTCCTACCTTTGCACTTATTTACTGAGTGATCTTGACCAAGTTTCTTAATTGTTCTTCCTCAGTTTTCTTATCTGCAAAATGAGAGAAATAGCACCTACATAAGTTTGTATTTATTTATTTATTTATGAGAGGGAGTCTCACTCTGCCGCCCAGGCTGGAGTGCAGTGGTGCAGTCTCTGCTCATTGCAACCTCTGCCTTAACCTCCAGAGTAGCTGGGATTACAGGCATGCACCACCATGCCTGGCTAATTTTTGTATTTTTAGTAGAGACAGGGTTTCGTTGTGTTGGCCAGGCTGGTGTCGAGCTCCTGGGCTCAAGTGATCCACCCGCCTTGGCCTCCCAAAGTGCTGGGATTACAGGCATGAGCCGTCACACCCAGCCTTTAAGTTTGTCTTTAGGCCGGGCGCGGTGGCTCACGCCTATAATCCCAGCACTTTGGGAGGCCAAGGCGGGTGGATCACCTGAGGTCGGGAGTTCGAGACCAGCCTGACCAACATGGAGAAACCCTGTCTCTACTAAAAATACAAAATTAGTCGGGCGTGGTGGTGCATGCCTGTAGTCCCAGCTACTCAGGATGCTGAGGCAGGAGAATCACTTGAACCCGGGAGGCAGAGGTTGCAGTGAGCTGAGATTGTGCTGTTGCACTCCAGCCTGGGCAACAAGAGCAAAACTCTGTCTCAAGAAAAAAAAAAAAGTTTGTCTTTAGATTAAGTTAGCTAATTCATATAAAACACTTAGTGCCTGGCACGTAGGAAGCATTCAATAAATATTAGAAAAAAGAAAAATACAGTTTGAGTGGAAATTGGTCTTAGTCTCTCCTAGGCAATAATGTACTGAAATACAACAACATTCCACTTTACAGGAATCCCAGTATGAATAGATATACATGTTAGCTAAGACTTTTTAGCACTATGGTCTGAAGAAGTTCCAAATCTAGGCTGGGAAATTTTCATGGTGGTGATGTGTTCTAAAGCCCCTGATAATTATAGTTGGAGGTGGGGGGAAGACCAAAAATTAGCTTAGGGCATATTGAAGTGGCCTGTTGAATTTCAGACTTCATATGAATCGAGCTTCTTTTCTGGCCATATCCCTGGCATGGGGTTGGGTATGTTGGATAGATGTTACTGTGGTTTTGCCGGAATATGCAATCTCACGGACACTGGAGTAGTGCTAAGTGTTTTTGTTTCTACACAAGACTGCATGGAAAAAATCTAAGTCTTAGCCCTTAATCTTCCTCCCCCAGTGTGAACTTGTATTTTTGCCATTTGGGTATAAGAGCTTTTACCAGCAGAGCTCATCCAGGGAGGCAGCAGGGCTTGGGATGTGGCAGTAACATACACAGCTGAGATCCTGCCACTGCTGGCTGTCTGAGCCCTCTCTCTGTGGTTTTCACTCTTCAAGCCATGCTTGAGTAACCCGCCTCCAGAGCTGCTGACAGGGCTGTGTTCAGAGGCCTTGGAAATTACACTGTTCATTTCCTTATCATCCCCTGACCTGCAGTGCAGAGCCTTCTGGTGCAGGAACAAGGCAGAAAAAATCCAGACGGCTCCCAGCCAGCATGTGTCAAGAGCTACAAAGAAGGAAATTGGACTTGCTCACTTAAAAACCATGGGGTTAGGCTTTGATTTTCAGTTCCTGTGGAGAGTTATTTGTGTGTATGAGCATGTTGTATCTCTGTGTATATGTATAGAATGAGTCTGTGCGTGGCAAAGCTGTGGAGGAGGACCATTTGAAATAGAGAGCAGAGGGAAGATGGCTTTTCTCTTCACTTAATTTCCCAGTTGTGCCATTGGGGTGGGCCTGGAACCATTAGCATCAGGAAGGTGCCAGACCATATTAATATTTTAAAATATATTTCTCTCGGTACAGTTTAGTCATGGTTCAGAGCACCCACAGAAGAACCTTTCCTGGCTGACCGAGGAGACATTTTTAACAAATCCTATTCCCTAAAGTCATTCATCCTAGATGACATTGACATAGTCAATATTTAAGCTGCCTAAGAAAGTGTAGACTTTGGGTCAGTCCTGGGTAAGAGCAATAGCTCTTTTGAGATGAAGGATAGTGTGATAAAAGAGAGACCTTTGTGATAGCTAAGGTGAACTAAGGAGGAATTTGGAGCATTTTGAGATTTTCTGTTCACAGGGCAAAGTTCTATTATATTTTAAGAGCCCATCCTTGTTTTGGGGGTTGGTATTACAAAGCAATCTACTTTTCTTTTGGCATCTGTTGCTCAAGGAGGCCCAAAGGAAGGACTTCAGGCTGAAGTAAAATGTGAGCAGTAAGAAGTTCTTAGCAAAGTTTATAAATATTCTGTCCTTAATTTTCCTTTTTCTGGATTTCATGTGCCTTCATGTTAGTGGTGCCATTGAAGCCTTTGTGAAGTGGGGAGAAAAAAAATAAATCTTTAAGCTGTCAGACCCTGGAGGTGTTTTAAACCCTAAGTGTCTGTCTTGTTGAAAGTACTCTGTAGAGAAGTGTCTTCACATAAGGTGATAGCTAAGGTGAGAGGGGACTACTTTCTTTTCCCTTCATATAAATTAGTGGGCCCTGTATCAGCAGCAAATGAGAATTCGATAAAAATTTGGATCTCAGACCTCCTCCCAGTCCCTAAAGTTAGAAACTCTAGGCTTGAGACCCAGAAAATTTTTTTTTTTTTTTTTTTTTTGAGACAGGGTCTCACTTTGTTGCCCAGGCTGGAATACAGTGGCACAATCAAGGCTCACTGCAGCCTCAACCTCCCATGCTCAAGTGATTCTCCTACCTCACTTCCTACCTCCCCAGTAGCTGGGACTACAGGTGTGTGCCATCACGCCCAACTAATTTTTAAATTTTTTTAGAGACGGGGTCTTACTATGTTGTTCAGGCTAGTCTTGAACTCCTAACTTCAAGCGATCCTCCTGCCTTGGCCTCCCAAAGTGTTGGGATTACAGGTGTAAGCCACTGTGCCCAGCTGAGACCCAACAATTTGCGTTTTAACATTAGCTGTCCTGTTGATTGTGATACACACTAAAGTTTGATATCTACTATTGTAGAGCACCCTTCCCTCTTAATAGTGAAATTGAAATTACCAAAAACTTTAAAATGTAACGCTGGGCAGTAGGTATGATTTTTTTCTTTTAAAAATATCCTTATATATCTTTAACTCTTTGTGGACAAACTGACAGGAACCTAAAATTGGAATGAATATCTAAGGGCTTAGGACTTTCAGAGCAGAAGAGCAGAAAAGATATTCAAAAAAGACCCACTTTTCTCATCTGAATGGAGGAAGTAAATAATAGTACTGACCTCATAGGGTTATTGTGAGGATTAAATGAGATGAAAAGAGTTAAGCATTCAGCACAGTGCCTAGCATTATAGTAAGTAACCAATAAATGTTAGCTGTTGCTGATGTTACTGTTCTTAGCTTTGAGGTGCAAGGTCATTGTGAAATTAAGGAGAAAGGATATCCTTAGAGACTTTGAAGAATTAATCCCCTGAAGGCTTTGGAAAACAATGAATTTATGATAGCTAATATTCCAGCTCCTACTGATTTCCAAGAAGGCTTCAGGGAGAGATTGATTCAGAGCATTTGGAGGCATTGAAGTTTGGGGTTTTGTTGTTTGATTGGTCAGTTTGGAAGTGTGTGTTGGACTTCTTTTGGCAGAGGGCTGATCTCAGGTTGAGAACCATGGCTTTTGTTTATTCTCCATTAAGGTCAGTTTCTTTGGTATATAACCAACTTCTTCTGAATTATTTTCCTAAGAATTGAAATGAAGATAACATGATTGTTTTCATACAGGAAGTTTCTTTCCTCTCTCTGCTAATCCTTGTAAGGTACAGACTAGTCTTTTGAAGGGATTAGCAGAGGTAGCCAGAACAGTCAAGAGAAGAATGAGGATTGAAGTACTGTAGTCCCCCCAACCTTATCCTTGTTTTTGCTCTCTGTGATTTCAGTTACCCTCAGACAACCAAGATGTGAAAATATTAAATGGAAAATTCCAGAGATAAATAAATCACTAAGTTTTAAACACTACATTATTCACCCCATTTCATCTCATCCCATAGGCATTTTATCATCTCACATCATCACAAAGAGGGTGAGTACAGTACAATATTTTGATAGAAAGAAAAAGACACCATATTCACATAACTTTCATCACAACACATTGTTATAATTTTTTTTTCTTTTTTTTTTTTTTTAACAGACAGGGTCTCCCTCTGTTGCCTAGGCTGCAGTGCAGTAGTATGATCACAGCTCAGTGCAGCCTCAAACTCCTGGCCTCAAGTGGTCTTCCTGCCTCAGCCTCCCGAGTAGCAGGGACTGCAGGCATATATCACCACATCGGGCTAATTTTTAATTTTTTTTATACAGTTGGGATCTTACTGGTTGTCCAGGCTGGTCTGAAACTCCTGGGCTCAAGTGATTCCCCCTGCCTCAGCCTCCCAAAGTGCTGGGATTACAGGTGTGAGTCACCATGCTCACAACCTGTGTCTTACTGCTCACACCTGCTCTTACTGTGTCTAATTTATAAATTAAACTTTATCATAGGTACGTACGTAGAGGAAAAAACCTAGTATATGTAGGGTTCGATAATATCTGCCATTTCAGACATCTACTGGGGGTTTTTGAATGTATGTCTTGTGCTTAAAAGGAGGCTACTACTTTTTTGTGAGGAAATAAAAAAGACAGTTTTTAGATGTTTTGAGGTGGTCAGGTTTTACCCTAAAATGTTTGTTGTCCATTGGGATGTGACAATTTGACTGTGCACCTGTGAAATACTCTAATTGCTTTTTAAATTTAAGACTGCTGGGTTACAGCCCTAGTGGCAAATACTAGATTATGTTTTGATGAGCCAGACCTGGGCATTAAATCCTTTCTTGGGCTCTGTTTTCATTTGGTAATGAGTTCTTTTTTATTTTTATATTTATCTTTTATTGTTTTATTTTACAAGTTTCCACATAGCATTGATTTTTTTTTTTTTTTTGGTTCCTTCATTTTAAAAAGTTTTTATAAACTGGTACCTAACTCACCCAGCTCAGAGTTGATATTTCCTGGCTTATGTGTTGCTTTTTTTTTCTTTTTTGTTTCTTCAGAAGTCAGGTACTTAGTTCTGCACTGAATCAAACCTTAGTGAAAGACAACAGAGTGTTGTAGAAAGGAGGTATAGGGGCCAGGCTCGGTGGCTCACACCTGTAATCCCAGCACTTTGGAAGGCCGAGGCAGGTGGATCATCTGAGGTCAGGAGTTTGAAACCAGCCTGGCCAACATGGTGAAACTCTATCACTACTAAAAATACAAAAATTTAGCCAGGCATGGTGGCGTGGTGGAGTGTGCCTGTAATCCCAGCTACTTGGGAGGTTGAGGCAGGAGAATTGCTTGAACCTGGAAGGAGGAGGTTGCAGTGAGCTGAGAACACGCCACTGCACTCCAGCCTGGGCAACAAGAGTGAAACTTTGTCTCAAAAAAAAAAAAAAAAAAGGAGGTATATATAGTCGTCATACTTAGACCAACCAAATCAGCATACTGAATGTATCCTATAACATCTGAATGTTACAGAAATTAACATTCAGGTTGCAGAGTTTCTTGGTCGTGAGACAGCTTAGGGTACGTATCAGAGTCACTTCTGGAGGTTTTACAAAGTATAAGTGTCCTACTGGATAAAATCTTTGTGGCTGGAGACTCCAAGCATGTAATTTTTTTTTTTTTTTTTTGAGACTGAGTCTCGCTCTGTCGCCCAGGCTGGAGTGCAGTGGCGCGATCTAGGCTCACTGCAACCTCTGCCTCCTGGGTTCAAGTGATTCTCCTGCCTCAGCCTCTCGAGTAGCTGGGATTACAGGCACACTCCACCACGCCCAGCTAATTTTTGTATTTTTAGTAGAGGCGGGATTTCACCATGTTGGCCAGGATGGTCTTGATCTCCTGACCTCGTGATCCAACCACCTCAGCCTCCCAAAGTGCTGGGATTACAGGCATGAGCCACCGCACCCTGCCTACTTTTTTTTTTTTAAGTTCAACAGGTGCTTGTAATGTTCTTCTTGGTTAAAAATCACTATCATGTGAAAAGGACTCTCCTTTTTCATTGCTCAGTGTACAGGATGCTTATGTTGGGGTCAGGCATTTCGGAATTCAACTATAATGAACCTGATTTCTCATTATCACCTTAATTAGGAGAATTAATTATTGAATTTCTGACAGCCTTTAAGGTAGAGCATCCATATTTGTGTTACTAATTCAGTTTTAAATTATTGTTCCAGAATTTTTAAGGCAAATTTAAGCAAAATTCTTATGAGTAGATATATTTGCCACATATAGGCTATTTGAGCTTTTTTTTCTATGTAGATTAGAAAGGGGCAGAAGACAGATTTGGATAATCAAAATTTATGGCTAATCCAAAACCAGTCTCTTTTCTCATTGGTTTGTGAATGTATTTCTGTGCTTATATTGGATAATAGGTGTTCCTAATTTTCTGGAAATTCATGACATTTGAAAATAAAATAATGTAGCAATACAAAAAAGACCTTATTCCTGAGTCTGCTTCTGGATGCATTCAAAGTAAACATGCTGTTTTAGGAAGAGGAAATATCGCATCACAGAAATAGAACAAGCACCTTATATCATAGTTCTTTGTTGTTGATTTTTTTTAAAATAAATACAATTTATTTGAAATCAAAAAGAGCATTAATGTTTTGGGGTATAAAGTATTTCCTTGCTGAGATTTTTAAGTCTTATGCCTGAAGAAGAGTAATTAGAATGCTAATTGTTATCAAAGATGAACACATACCTAATTGTGCAGCAAACTCATACTTTTTTAAAAAAAACTTTTAGGTTTAGGGATATGTGTTGCAGGTTTGTTAGATGGGTAAATTGTGTGTCACATGGGTTTGGCGTGCAGATTATTTCCTCATCCAGGTAATAAGCAAGCAAACTCATACTAGAAAACATTGTGGTATGTCAAATTTTAGCCAAAATAATAATTACGTAACCTTAAATTCTCATAATAAAATTTTAATAATAAATTAATATAAAAATTTAAAATTTTAAGTGTGGTTTTTAGTACTGGTACATGCATTACCTATCTATCTTCTCAGAAGTTATATTAATCTGTACTTTAGATGGATCTTTTTTTAGGTTTTGGAGTATCTCAAATTCATATACCACTGTGAGTAGGAGGAGAAAAAATTGGCAAATGTGGGGAAAAACTCATCATACAAAGTGACTACACATTTATATACACCATATTAGACTAGATCTTAATTTCATCACTATGCAGATTCCTAAACATCTGGTAGAGTGTCTGTTTTAGATAAAATATGCCATAAGGCATTTTTCATTTTGCTTGTACATATGTGCTTGGATTGAGAATGTAGGGATTTGAAATCAAACAAGCTGATTGCTTATTACAATTTCAGAAGGAGACTGAGAAATTCTTTCATTTTTGTTTGCTTCTAGTATCTCTCCTGTCCTTTCCCATCTCTTAAAAGGATTAGGTTCTAAAGTCAAAGTGTGAGGCACTCAGTCAGAAGTTACCTACAGAATTTCTTAGGATGATTTCTTGAAGCTTGACATACTGGCTCCATGAATTCAACACAATCAGTTTTTTCTTTAGCATTGAGACAAGCCATTATTTCTTCAGCTGAGGTCCCCACATAAGAGCTGACTTGTGTGAGAGCTAGACTATATTAATGAAAAATATGTATTTGTAAATACTAGAATCACCCTAAGCCTAGTAAAATGCTTATATTATGAGAGGCACATGGGAGTGGAAACCAGATTAAGGAACAGCCAGCTGGCTGGGCAAGGTGGCTTACACCTGTAATCCCAGCACTTCAGGAGGCCAAGGTGGGAGGACTGCTTGAGCTTAGAAGTTCAAGACCAGCCTGAGCAACATAGGGAGGGCCTGTCTGTACAAAAAACTAAAAAATTAGCTGGGTGTGTTGATACATGCCTGTGGTCCCAGCTACTTGAGAGGCTGAGGCGGAAGGATCACTTGAGCCCGGGAGGTCGAGGCTGCAGTGAACCATGATCATGCCACTGCACTCCAGCCTGGGCAGCAGAGCAAGACCCTCAAAAAAAAAAAAAAAAACCACCAGTTCAAATCTCCTATCTCTGGCTTCCTCCAGAGCATATGCTCAATAAGCAGAACAGCTGTGAGGCCCAAACCATTCAAATTGGTTTTTGTTCCTTTCTTTCTTTTTTTGCCAGTTACATACAGTTGATTTTATAATGTTAAATATTATCCATTTAGTATACAAAGGTATTTTATGACAATAGAGCAAATCTTAGGATCCAGATTCTCTATGTAGTGGAAACTTTGGGTCCATGGAATGAATATAGCTTAATGTAATGATTATTGTAATATTTACATTTCAGTTCCAACCTTCATGTTCTTCACAGTGTCCACAAATTCCTTCCCTTTATTTCTGTATAGTAACCTCAGATCTTATCGTTGAATTGAACAAGAACTATCATGTAGCAGAGCTGTTCTCCTCTTACCAACATAAATATTTCTGAGCCTAGTTTCGCTTTCTTAGGCCCAGTGCCTTTGGTAGGTCCTTTGAGGTATACCTTTCACCTTCTAGCCTCTTCTCACTTTCACCTTTAGATTCTATCTAAACTATGCTTTTTTTTTTTTTTGAGACGGAGTCTCACTCTGTCATCCCAGGCTAGAGTGCAGTGGCGCGATCTGGATTCACTGCAACCTCTGCCTCCCCGATTCAAGCAATTCTCCTGCCTTAGCCACCCCAGTAGCTGGAATTACAAGTGTGCACCACCACACCTGGCTAGTTGTTGTATTTTTTGTAGAGATGGGTTTCACCCACACTTGAGGCTGGCCCCAAACTCCTAGTCTCAAGTGATCCTTCCGCCTTAGCCTCCCAAAGTGCTGGGATTAGAGGTGTGAGCCACTGCGCCCACCCTTTTTTTTAAAATTTTTTAATCCTGCTTTAATTTTTTGTTGTTGTTGTTATTTCTGAAATAACATTTTACATTTGTTGTTGGTCTTGTCTTAAGCAAATGGGATTATATTTAGTTATGCAGATTTAGGAAGGGCTCTTCCTTCCTTCTCAAATAAAAATAACCAGGAAAAAGCAGTCGTTTTCATATGTTCTACCTGGGACATTCATTATAGTCTGGGTACAGCATTGTATGTATCTTGAAAACTACTGTACTACCTTTGACAGTGAGGTGTTTTACCCATAGTTCAAAATTGCTGTTACTGCCTAGAGATGACACTGCTGTGAATAGTATACCTTATTCGAAGGCTTGGTGCTTTTAGGCATGGACTGGTGGCATCTCTTGGACAAGGCATTGCAATTGCCCTGGAGGACTGGCCAAACAAGTTTTCATGTTGAAAAGCTGAGTAAAAATGACTCTGGGTGTAGGCCAATATAGTATCACTCGGGAAAAAGAAAAGCACAATATGCCTCTCCCTGGGAAGCAGTTTGGCCAGGGCAAAGCTCCCAGAAATGGAAATTTAAGCTTGTTGATTTGGGAAACTCTTGGTATTTGCCCCTCAGCCTTTGTGAAATGGATCTTCTTTTTAAAGGGGGGAGGGGTAGGATAGAGGAGACTTAAAGGCTTAAAATAATGTCCCCTCTGAACCATCTAATCACCTCCTTAGAACTAAGCAGGTAAGGCTGGGCGCAGTGGCTCACATCTGTAATCCCAGCACTTTGGGAGGCCGAGGCAGGCGAATAACCTGAGGTCAGGAGTTCGAGACCAGCCTAGATAACATGGTGAAACCCCATTTCTACTAAAAATACAAAAAATTAGCCGGTCGTGGTGGCACACGCCTGTAATCCCAGCTACTCGGGAGGCCGAGGCAGGATAATTGCTCGAACCTGGGAGGCGGGGGTTGCAGTGAGCTGAGATCGCGCCATTGCACTCCAGCTTGGGCAGCAAAGGCGAAACTCCGTCTCAAAAAAAAAAAAAAAAAGAACTAAGCAGGTAAATGTCCTCATGTCACAGAAGAAAAGATCGACTTGTTTAGAAACCAAGTTAGGTAGGGCTGTCTGTAGTTGGTAGTAAATTATCAACCTGAAGTGGCATTCAGGCCAGAGAAAAGTCAGGGAAGATAGTTGGAAAATAAAACCCCAATGACTTTTTCATATTTGACTAAAATTTTCAGATCTCTTATTGTTCTTATTCCTTAGTCATATTTCACCCTCCTTCCTGTTTTATATCTAATAACCTGAAGCAGAAAAGGGCCAGGCCAATCCTACTTTAATCTCTTCCATTCCCCTGCCCCCCTGGAGTATATTTTTTAATTTTTAAAATTTATTTGTATTTGTTTTTCGTTTATTCAGTCTTGCTGAGTTAAGCAGAAACCTCATAGAGGTGGGGTTTTTTTGTTTGTTTTTGCTTTGTTTTGAGACAGAGTCTTGCTCTGTTGCCCAGGCTGGAGTGCAATGGCACGATCTCGTCTCACTGCAAGCTCTCCGCCTCCTGAGTTCAAGAGATTCTCCTGCCACAGCCTCCCAAGTAGTTGGGATGACAGGCATGCGCCACCACCCACACCCGGCTAATTTTTGTATTTTTGGTAGAGATGGGGTTTCACCATGTCGCCCAGGCTGGTCTCAAACTCTTAAGCTCAAATGATCCTCCTGCCTCAATCCTCCAAAGTGTTGGATTACAGGTGTGAGCCACCATGCCCACCCAAATAATACTTTTAAAGAAAACTTAGATTTTATTGTGGTGCCACTATATACTGGGCATTTATTAAGAATATATATATATTTTTAATCTTGTATTGATCTTATCTTAGGGATGGTTCCTTATAATTGCATTTATCCTTCTTATGTGTTTCTGTATCTTTCAGAACCATTTCCAGAATTAATCAGGCTACCGAACAATAAGTCCAGTCTTAGCTTATCAACTCTCAGGATGATTCTGATTTTAAAAATTTTCACCAGGTTCCAGCAGTCCCTTATACTATATCAATTTCTTCTCTCCTTAACCCCTACTCCGGAAACTTTTTACTTGATAATGTTTGTCTGGCTCTTCCTTATTTAATTGCGAGTTTTAAGCTTCTTGCTTTAAAAATATAGCATTAGCTGATTTTAAAATTACCTCTGGGCTGGGTACGCTGGCTCACTCCTATAAACCCAGCACTTTGGGAGGCCAAAGCACGTGGATCACCTGAGGTCAGGAGTTCAAGACCAGCCTGGTCAACATGGTGAAACTCCATGTCTACTAAAAAATACAAAAATTAGCTGGGTGTAGTGGTGCATGCCTGTAGTCCAAGCTTCTCAGGAAGCTGAGGCAGGAGAATCACTTGAACCCGGGAAGTGGAGGCTGCAGTGAGCCGAGATCATGCCACTGCATTCCAGCCTAGGTGACAGAGGGGGATTCTGTCTCAAACAAAACAAAACAAAATTCCCTGTGATTCAACAGATCCTATATGGGATGCTTTATAACAAAATTAATGTTTTTCTGGACTTACAGGTTGGAGGGCTATCCTAGTCAAGCAGTTCAAATTTATGGATACTCATTCAGTTCATCCAACAAATAATTATTAAATAACTACCATGTGCTATACAGTGTGCTGGCACTTAGGATAAAGAGTTGAAGCCAGGCATGGTGGCTCACACCTGTAGTCCCAGCTACTTGGAAGGCTGAGGTGGGAAGTTCCTGTGAGCCCAGGAGTTCAAGTCCAGCTGGGACAACATAGCAAGATCCCATCTAAAAAAATAAAAGTTAAATGGATGTGGTCTCTGCTCTGTGGAGTGTGTGTATATATATGATATATAAATAAAAATTATACATATATATTATTATTATTATTTTTAGACACTCTGTCACCCAGGCTGGAGTACAGTGGCACAATCTTGGCCCACTATAACCTCTGCCTCCTGGGCTCAAGTGATCCTCCCAACTCAGCCTCCCAAGTATCTAGGACTACAGGTGCGTGCCACCACACCTGACCAATTTTGGATTTTTTGTCGAGACAGGGTTTCACCATGTTGCCCAGGCTCACCACGTTGAACCCCTGGGCTCAAGTGATCCACCCGCCATGGCCTCCCAAAGTGCTGGGATTACAAGCGTGAGCCATCGTGCTGGGTTCCTGGAGTTTATATTCTAATGTGGGAGACAGATAAATTGGTTATTATAACAAACTTTGATGAGTAATGATAACATAGGGTATTGTGGGTGCACAGTGGTGGCCAGAGTATAGTGTAGGATCAAGGAAGATCTCTGCTCAAAAGAGGTGATGGAGATCTCTAACCTCTCTGATAGTTAAACAGAGACCCAAAGGGATAAGCAGGAATTAGACAGGTGATGGGAGAGAGGGCAAAAGGCTTGTGCCAGGTGAGAGAATAGCATAATCAAAGGCTAAGTGGTAAGACTAATCTTGAGGCATGAGAAGAACTGGAAGAAGTTCACTATGACTGGAGGAGGAGGAATAGAATGGTAAGATGAGGCTGGAGTGCTATGGGGTCAGATAGTAGAAGGCCTTAAAAGCCTTGTTAAAGGATTTGGATTTCATCCTAACATCTGCAGAAAACTATTGTTAGACTTTTTAGTGGATTACAGTGATTGATTTTTGAGTTTTTGAAGAATTACTCTTGATGTCATCTGCAGAGTGGATTGGAGAACAAGATTGGAGGCATTTAGGAAGCTGTTAGCATAGTTAGCAAGACAGCTGGACCAGAATAGTATTAATAGGAAAGGAGCAAAGTGGGTAGATTTGAGAGAATAGAAGTTCAATTGATAGCATCTTGGTAATTGATACCATGTTGGGAAGAGATTGAAGAAGAAGTCGAGAGTCATGTCCAGATTTTGGGCATGAACCAAGCTGTTCATGGAACCACTTACTCATAGGAGGGAACACTGAAAAGGGGCAAGTTTGCAGGGAATGATAATGAGTTTAACTTGGGACATGTTTTGAGGTGCTTGCACTGCCTGTGCTGGGGATAATGTAAGCAAAATAGATTTGGTCCTGCTCTTTCTAGGGCATACGGTTTAGTAGGGGAGATAGAATGGAATCAAACAATCATATGCACATCTATCATTTTACACTATTAAAATTATAAAAGTGAAAGTTATAGGATGCTGAGAGCCTATAATTAGGAACTGAACCATTCTTGGCGGGTGCAGGGCGGGGGGCGGGGGGCGGGGGCGGGTCAGGGAAAATATCCGTGAAGAAGTTTGAGTAAATATCTGAAGGATAAATGGTAGTTAATTTGGAAGAGGGAGTTGAATGAATGAACAACCAAGTAGAAATGTCTCTTGAGGACTGGATGTGTGAGAGAGAGAACTGGAAATCTAAAGATTTAAGAGTTTATTAATGTGAACACATAAATGGTAATTGATGCCATAGAAGTGAGTGCACTTACCCAGGAAGAATGTGTCTGTATTGAATGAAAGGGGCTCAGTATGGGTCACTGAGGAACACCAAGAAGGTAGCTACCTTAGTTGGCATATTGGGAACTGCTTCCTTGTGTCCTAGAGAGAATACAAAACCCACAGCTGGGAACATATGTCTATACAAACATTTTAAAATCCACTGAAAGAGGTTATAGAACTTGCTTGGTTCTGTAGTTAGAATTGGTTTTATTGGATTGAGGCACACTTTGAGGAAAAGTTCGTTTCTCATGCCACTTATGAACAATGGAAGAGTGATCTTTGCTTTTTATTTTAACCATTTGCCATATTTTCCCTGCCTGGCATCATCACTCTCAACTTTTTTAGTTTTCCTTTTTTCTTTTTTGACCTAATTTTCAGTTATTTAAACTCTCAACTTCTAATAGTATTAAAGTGAAAGCATAGATATTGTAATCAGGCCTATGTTTGAATCCCAGCACTGACTGCCATTTAATATATATAGGATCTTCTGCAAATTACCTCTCCGTATCTCATTTTCCTTAGATTTTATATGGTTTTAATTTAAAAGATCTAAAAGTACACTGTAAATGCACAGTATATGGAGGTTATAGTATAATAGTTACAGGTCAGCAACAAATGTTTGTTCTATTTTCCTTTCTCCTTGCAGCCTCTCTTGTCTTTCCAGGCAGGTGAGTAGTTTCATCTGTGATCATTTATGCTCTGTACCACCTCCTCATGGCAGTATGTTACAGCAGCTTTTCTACCAGAGCATAAGGAGTCTTGCATTTTTGTGGTAAAAGTCCTTTCTGGAGAAGCAGTACAGGAAGGTTTCTGGGTTGCTATAACCAGGATTTTTCAACAACAACACTATTGGTATTTGGGGCTAGGGTAATTCTTTGTTGTTGGGGTGGTCCAGTTTATTGTAGGATGTTTCACAGCATCCATACCTTTATCATATTCGCTCCAAGGTAAGACAACCAAAAATGTCCCCAGACACTGCCAAATATCCCCTGGAGGGCAAAGTTTTTATTTGAGCACTATTTGCTAAAATATTGTTGTGGATGCTATTTACATAACTGTGTGTTCAGTTTATGAAAATGCAGAGTTGTACATATATGATATATGTAGTTTTCTGTTGTGAATGTTGTTTCCGTAGAAAGTAGAAAACCAAAGGCAGTTAGAGAGCCAGGCTCCCTAACCTGTGTCTCAGTTTTTATTATCCCCAAATCTCTATTTTTCTTTTTGTTTTTTTATTCTCGTTTTCTTAAATTTTTGGCTAATATTTTTTTTCCCACACGTTCTGGTATTCTCCCCAAATCTCTAAAAGGTGAGGTGAAATTAAGGGAGAAAAGGGTTCACAATAGAATGGGAAGACAACAAAAAGTAACCGAGAAACTGACTTCCAAATGTCTCTTCAATTCCTAGCTGTTAGGATATGGAATTCAACCTAGGGAAATTTCTATTACAAGATTTCAGAAATAAGCTCTGAGTACGGGACAGAATTAAATTATCAGCCGAAGAGATTATTTTATTATCTTTCTTCCCACCTTCTCTGCTACACTGACAGCAAAGGAGAGGCTCACCTGATTTTCGTCACTTCAGCTGTTACCTTTACCTGATGGCCACTGAAGTTATTTCTGAAAGTGTTCGCTTTTACTTTTAATTTAAAATCTTTCCGTTCTTCTTTACTTTGTACAGGTGGGTAGAAAGTCCTTCCATATTAGATAATGTTGACTACCCCCTGAGAATGTAGTCCCCAGAGAAATCCTTGGATAGCACTCAAGCTGGAAGCAATAGGTTAAGTAACCCACGTCCATGTCTTAAGAGGAGTCCAAGATAAGATCCCATTTTGAAGTTTGAAAGATCCTGTAAAGGGAAGGCAGACCTTGGGCCAAGCAGCCTTTGAGGTGGTAACCAGCTCATAAACAAGAGCTGGCATGTGCCAACAAAGTCTCTCATCCTGGCTCCAGAGTTGGCTGAGGAGAGAAATTTGTGGAAGCCTCTGTAAGTGGAGGATTGTTCTTGGCTTTGGCTTTTGTGTGGCTGGATATGGAGTAGGGAGGGAGCTTGGACCTGGTCTCTGGGGTGTAGGCATTTCCCTGAGAGGAGGATTTTTTTTCCTTTCCTTGTTTTATTTTTTCCTCCCTGTCCTTCCCTTAGTGTTAACATTTCAAGGTACAGGAAATGATTGGATACTGATTGTTTTATAACTCTCTTAGGACAGCCTATTAATATTCTGCTGCCAAGACGACAGTCAGGAGGAATTTAGGTAGAATCAAGGCTCATAACCTTTATGAAAATACCCTAAGCAGGGAACCTTCAATTTATTTTGAAGTGTTTGAGTTTTACTAAAAGCCCATCATTGCCAGTGTGGTTTTTTAAAATGGACAGCCATAGTGGCTAAGGAGACCAGTAAGACCTGGAGTTGGCAGCAGAGTGAGCCTTCTGAGGAAAAAAGGAAGAGGAATATTGGTGTGGGAAAGAGGTGCAGCTGTGCCACTGGATCCCTGTCCCTTCATTATTCTTTACTGGCCCTGGCAGCTGTCAAAGTTTGCTTAATAGAGTTGTGGGCTGGAGATTGTTTCTTAATCCCTGTATAGGAGTACCAAGCTCCAGCTGTGTTATCTAGGCTCTGGGGCCCTAGCACTTGGCCAACTAATGCTGAGGCATCTGGTGACTCGAGACAAAAGCCTATTATGTCAGAGAGAAGATTGGGCAAAGCACAAGCATTGTTATCTCTAATGCCCCCGGGGCAAACTCTGTACTTGGCAAGTGAGAATGCCTTGACCTTGTGAGTTTACAGCAACCTGTCCACTCGGTTTTCTGTTTCTTTGAGATTATTTTCTACTAACGAGGTTTCAGCATTCTGGCATTGAAATCTATAAGTGCTTTATTGTAAAGAATTTGGAAAATTCAGAAAAGTAAAAGGAAGAACATAAAAATTGTACTTCATTCTACCAGATTCTTAAGAGAAGAATTTCTTTAATGTTGTGGAACTGGCTGAGATTATTGGTTCAGGACTGGCTTGGGCATGATCTATACCTCATGAATCTCAACTCTGTCCCTTTAAGCATCTTTAATTTTCCCATTAGAGATCTGAACTGGTTTGGCCCTGCTTGGCTAGATTTTATTACAATTGATGTGATCTCACCCTGGAGTATGAAACTCATCTTCTTTGTTTAGCTTTTTATAACTTATCTCAAACCAATTTTTTATCTTCATTTGTGATTGTCTTCAGAAGTCTGGGTGTTTGTTTTTTTTAAACTGATGGTGGTGAGTATGTAGGGAGAGAGTAGTTTTGCAATTTTTAAAGACTTAATGTTGACCTGCTTTCTTCTCTTTGGAAAGAGGTGTCTGTGATGTCAGTTAACATAATTTGCTTTCGTTGATGAGCTTGCTCAAGACATAAGCTTATGAGATTTCTAGTTGTATAAAAAGAAAAGGGCTGTCTTTCATGTTTTCTTTTCCTTGCTGGAGTAGCATTTTAGTTAAGGAAGTTGCACAAAAAGAAACCCATCTTTTTTCTGTGTAATTTTCTATATGGATTTCTATGTTGACCAGTCTAGACCTTTTGTCTATTCGATGTTTACATAGATGTTTAGATTTAACTTTTAATACATTGTGGTTAAAAAAAAAAAAAAAGGAAATTTTGGTGCAATAGAGAAAAGTATTTTGGATTTATTTATTGTTCCTTTTAAATGTTAAAATGAGGCAGGAATACAGTACTTGCAGCCTATTGTCTAAGAGTACTCTTTGACATTTATAATATCAGGTATAAGCATTTCCAAAAGAGATCTTCCTTAACATACCATACCCTTAATGATCTTTTGACAGGACAGAAATGGGGAGAGATGTTAGCAGGGTATATTTTAATTTATATTCTCCAAAAGTATACATCCTATACTATGATGAATTATTATAGATTTTATTTTCATGTAATATGGACTCCCTTGCATAACTGGAGAGAAACAGCTTCCAATTAAAGTAATTATGCTAGCAGCTCTGAGACTACTCTTTGGAACTGTTGTCAGCACTTTGGTTTGAAGAAATCAGACCAGGATTGACTGCCTAATAGTAGGCTTTTACCAAGAGCCTGACATAAGAATTTCAGGAAATCTAGGAAAATCTTTGAAAATCTGCTATATTATAGGCCGGGCACAGTGGCTCAAATCTGTAATCCCAGCACTTCGGGAGGCTGAGGCGGGAGGATCAGGAGTTCGACACCAGCCTGGCCAACATCGTGAAACCCTGTCTCTAAAAATACAAAAATTAGCCAGATGTGGTGATGCACACTTGTAATCCCAGCTACTTGGGAAGCTGAGGTGGGAGGATCGCTTGAACCTGGGAGGCAGAGATTGAAGTGAGCAGAGATCACGCCACTGCACTCCAGCCTGGGCAACAGAGCAAGACTCCATCTCAAAAAAAAAAAAGAAAAGAAAATCTTCTATGTTATAAACTTAAATTTCATGTGAATGGAAGATTGAGAAATGATGGCTGATGGCCTAAGCTCTGGGTAGAATTTCAACTTTTTGCATGTTTATCAAATGGCTTTAATGTTCCTGCCTTTTCCTGGTTATTATTTAAAAAAAAGTAATGTTTCCAGAAACCATTTAACAACTGATAACTGGAAAATTTTTTGGAAGAGGTTAGCTAGACAGGTTATACGGGTTTTTTTTTTTTCCTCATACAGTTTTTTTAAAAATTGAGAAATAATTCATGTTTTCTTTTTTTTTTTCAGTATACAATTCAGTGGTTTATACTATATTCACAAACTGTGTACCCATCACATCACTAATTCCAGAATATTTTCATCTCCTCAAAAAGAAACCCTGTACCCATCAGCAGTCACCCTAATTCTTCATTTTACTTAGCCCCGGGCAGTCTACTTCTGTCTCTCTAGAAATTTCATGTAAATGGAATCATACAATCTGTGGCCTTTGGCCGGGCGCAGTGGCTCACGCCTGTAATCCCAGCACTTTGGGAGGCCAAGGCAGGCAGATCACAAGGTCAGGAGTTCGATACCAGCCTGACCAACATGGTGAAACCCTGTCTCTACTAAAAATACAAAAATTAGCTGGGCGTGGTGGCACATGCCTGTAGTCCCAGCTACTTGGGAGGCTGAGGCAGGAGAATTGCTTGAACCCGGGAGGTGGAGGTTGCAATGAGGCAAGATTGCGTCATTGCACTCCAGTCTGGGAGACAGAGCAAGACTCCATCTCAAAAAAAAAAAAAAAGGGGGGGGCCTTTTGTGTCTGACTCCTTTCACTTAGCATAATCTATTGTAGCATGTATCAGTACTCCATTCCTTTTTATGGTTGAATAATATTCCATTATATAAATATACCACATTTGTTTATCCATTTCATCAGGTGAGGGATATTTGGGTTTTTTCCTTATTTTGACTGTTAATGGATAATGCTGCTATGAACATTCATATACAAGTTTTTGTATGGACATATGTCTTCAGTTTTTTTTATTATATACCTAGGGATAGAATTGCTGGATTATGTGGTAACTCTTTGTTTAACTTTGTTTGGAGCTGGCAAACTGTTTGCCAGAATGTAAATGGCTGTGCCATTTTACATTCCCGCTAGCAGTGTACAAGGATTCCAATTTCCCCACACTTTCAACAATACTTGTTATTGTTCATTTGTTTAATAATAGCCATCCTGGTGGGTGTAAAGTGGTATCTTGTGGTTTTGACTTGGATTTCTTTAATGACTAATGATTCAGAACATCTTTTCATGTGCTTATGTGCTTGTATATCTTCTTTGAAGATATCTGATTCTTTGTCAATATTTTAATTAGGTTCTTTGTAAGAATATATTCTGGATACTAGTGTTTTCTAAGATTTTTATGGTTATAGCTCTTACATTTAGGTATTTGATCCATTTTGAGTTAATTTTTCTATATGGTGTGAAGTAGGGATCCAGCTTTAGTCTTTTACATGTACATATGCGGTTTTCCTAGCACCAATCGTTGAAAAGACTATTCTTACCCCACATTGAATTTTCTTGACACCCTTGTTGAAAATTAATTGACCATAAATGTATGGGTTTTTATCTAGACTCTCAGTTTTGTTCCGTTGATCAACATATCTATCCTTATGGCAGTATTACAATCTTGATTACTCATCTTTGTAGTAAGTGTTGAGAATTGTGAGTCTTTCAACTTTATTCTTCTTTTTGAGATCGTTTTGGCTATTCTGAGTCCTTTGCATTTCCATACAAATTTTAGGATCAGCTTGTCAATTTCTGCAAGAAGCAGGCTAGGATTTTGATGGAGATTGTATTGAATCTGTCAGTCAGTTTGGAGAGTTCTGCAATCTTAACAATAAAAAATCTTCCAATCCATGAACATGAGATGTCTTTCCATTTATTTATAACTTCTTTAATTTCCATCAATGATGTTTTGTGGTTTTAGTGTACAAATCTTGCCCTTTTTCTTTTTTTTTTTTGAGACAGAGTCTCACTCTGTCCACCAGGCAGGGGTACAGTGGCACAGTCTTGGCTTGGATCACTGCAACCTCCACCCACCAGTTTCAAGCGATTCTCCTGTTTCAGCCTCCCAAATAACTGGGACTACAGGTGCACGCCACTAAGCCCAGCTAATTTTTTGTATTTTTAGTAGAGCTCGGGTTTCACCATGTTGGCCAGGCTGGTTTCCAACTCCTGGCCTCGAGTGATCTGCCTGCCTAGGCCTCCCAAAGTGCCGGGATTACAAGCATGAGCTACCACGCTCAGCCCTGTTTTTTCTTTTCTTTTTTTTTTTTTTTTTAAGCCAGTCAAATTTAGGGGTTGTACACCAAAATCTTGCACTTCTTTTGTTAAATTTATTCCTGAGGATTTTATTCTTTTAGATGTTATTTTAAATGGAATTGTTTTCTTGATTTCATATTTGGATTATTCATTGCTAGAGTACAGAAATACTATTGTTTTATATGTACTGATCTTGTATCTCACCACCTTGTGGAATTCGTTTGTTGGCTCTGATATGATTTTTGTGCATTCCTTAGGATTTTCTATATATGAGATCATGTTATCTGCAAATTGAGATCCTTTTACTTCTTACTTACAACCTCGATGTCTTTTTTCTTTATTTCTTGTCTAATTTTTCTAGCTATAACCTCCAGTACAATGTTGAATAGAAGTGGCAAGAACAGACATCCTTAACTTCTTCACTGATTTTAGGGAGTAACTTTCAGTCTTAATTATTAAATATGATGTTAATTAACTGTGGACTTTTTTATAGATGACTTCTATGAATATGGGATTTTTTTTTTTCTTAGAGATGGGGTCTTGCCCTGTCACCCAGGCTGGAGTGCAGTGGCACAATCACAGCTTACTGCAATGGCATAATCACAGCCCACTGCATCCTTGACCTCCCAGGCTCAAGCAATCCTCCTGCCTCAGCCTTGCAAGTAGCTGGGACTACAGACACATGCCACCACATGTGGCTATTTTTGTTGTTGTTTTTTGTAGACACAGGGTTTCACTATGTTGCCCAGGCTGCCCAGTCTAGTCTCAAACTCTTGGGCTCAAATGATCATCCCACCTCGGCAATCCCAAAGTGCTGGGATTACAGGCATAAAGCACCGTACCCAGCCCAATATGAGATTTTGAAGGGAACATTTATACTGTAGTTAGAGATTTTAAATTATGTTGATATTTTTCAGAACAAGATAATTCTTGAGGAACAGGTGAGGAAGGAGGCTGGAGAAACCTCTGGAATGTAAAGCACACAAGATTGAGAGCACCTAGCTTCTAGTGTCCATTCCCCTACTTAAGCTGAATAACATTGGAAATTCTGTTTAATTCTTTGGGCTTCCTTCATTCATGCTTTCTGTTCATCACATATTTATTGATCATCTAGTTTGCCAGGTATTTTGAGGATGCAGGGTTAAAAGACTAACGGCTATCTGAGTCGTTGTCGTCAGATATCAGCTACACTCCATTTCCAACGTCTTTTTTTTTTTTTTCTTCTGTAAAGATGGAGGTGATGGGCATATTTGATTTGTGGGGACATGTTACGGCCCTGCTTATTTTCAGAGTTCAGTATATTCTCAGTGTTAAGACCAGCCTTACACATAAGATGGCATGAGTGCTACCTATGTGTCAGTCTCTTACACAATTATTATTTCAAAGTACTGTAGTTATAGCAGTGACTCCCAAATATCCATTCCCTGCCCTGACATCTTTACTAAATTTGACCATGATTTCCAGTTGCCTAACAGATTTCCTTGCTTAGTTGTCCCAAATGTACTTCAAATTCACAAAGTTCAAAGAAAAATCATAATTTGTCCCTAAAGTCCACCTCTCTCCATTCCTTTCTCCAGTACTTTCTCAGTGTTAGTACTGGGAATACTTCTGCCCAGTCACCCAAACTAGAAACTTGTGAGTCATCTTTGATGCCTTTCCCTCACTGCTCACATCTGGTACATCACAAAGGTTCTTTAAGAGACTATCTCCTGCTTATCTCTTGTAACTTCCCCTCTTTATACTTGTTGCCACTTCCTTTGTTCAGACCCTCATCATTTTTAACCTGGACCAAACTCTACTCTTACCCCCTTTCTTTCCCACTTGTCATTCAGGATCCAACTTAAATATCACTTTCTCTTTACAGCATATTCTTGTTAGCCAGTTGCTCAGACTTCCGAATGAAGTTAAACACCTATTAATTTTATAGAAATATTGAATATTATATAGGGGTTAATAGCACAAATTATAGAATTATGCAGGCTTGAGTTTGAATCCTGGCTCCTTTTTTTTTTTGAGTTGGAGTCTCGCTCTGTTGCCCAGGCTGGAGTGCAGTGACGCGATCTCGGCTCACTGCAACCTCCACCTCCTGGGTTCAAGCGATTCTGCTGCCTCAGCCTCCTGAGTAGGTGGGACTACAGGTGCGTGCCACCACGCCCAGCTAATTTTTGAATTTTTTAGTAGAGATGGGGTTTCACCATATTAGCCAGGCTGGTCTCGAACTCCTGACCTCTTGATCCAGAATCCTGGCTCTTTTTTATTGGTGGGGGTTTTAAAAAAATTTATTATTATTATTATTATTATTATTTTTAATTTTTTGTGGGTTTTTTTATTGTTTAATTTCTTGTTTGTTTGTTTTTTGTTTTTTTGGCTGAGCACAAGGCACTTTATTGATGGTACATGACAAGGTGGGGCACCCTAGGCCCCTCCCTCTCCAAGGGGTCTGCATGGAAACTGTGAGGAGGGGAGATTCAGCTTGGTGGGGGACTGATTATGGCAGGGACTCCCCAGCAGTAAGAGCTTCTGTCTTCCTCTCATGCTGTCGCTGGGCTGGTGGTCCAGGGGTCTTACTCCTTGGAGGCATTGTGGGCCATGAGGTGCACCACCCTGTTGCTGTAGCCAAATTCATTGTCATACCAGGAAATTAGCTTGACAGAGTGGTCCTTGAGGACAATGGCTGCCCCAGCATCGAAGGTAGAAGAGTGGGTGTTGCTGTTGAAGTCGAAGGAGACCATCTGGTGCTCATTGTAGCCCAGGATGCTCTTGAGGGGGCCCTCCGATGCCTACTTCACCACCTTCTTGATGTCATCATATTGGCAGGTTTTTCCAGACGACAGGTCAGGTCCGCCACTGACACATTGGCAGTGGGGACATGGAAGGCCATGCCAGTGAGCTTCCCGTTCAGCTCAGGGATGACCTTACCCACAGGCTTGGCAGCGCCAGTAGAGACAGGGATGATGTCCTGGAGAGCCCTGCAGCCATCACGTGACAGTTTCCCGGAGGGGCCATTTATAGTCTGGGTGGCAGTGATGGTGTGAACTGTGGTCATGAATCCTTCTATGATACCAAAGTTGTCATGGATGACCTTGGCTGGGGCGCTAAGCAGTTGGTGATGCAGGAGGCATTGCTGACGATCTTGAGGCTGTTGTCATACTTCTCATGGTTCACGCCCATCACAAACATGGGGGCATCAACAGAGAGGACAGAGATGTTGACCCTTTTGGCTCCCCCCTGCAAGTGAGCCCCAGCCTTCTCCATGGTGGTGAAGACACCAGTGAACTCTACGACGTACTCAGCGCCAGCATCACCCCATTTGATTTTGGAGGGATCTTGGTCCTGGAAAATGGGTGATGGGGTTTCCATTGATGACAAGCGTCCCGTTCTCAGCCTTGACGGTGCCATGGAATTTGCCATGTGTAGAATCATACAGGAACATGTAGACCATGTAGTTGAGGTCAATGAAGGGGTCATTGATGGCAACAATATCCACTTTACCAGAGTTAAAAGCAGTCATGGTGCACCAGGCACCCAGTACGACCAAATCTGTTGACTCTGACCTTCACCTTACCCATGGTGTCTCAGGGATGCAGCTGCCAATGCGAGAGAATATGTGGCTGTCTGTCGAACAGGAGGAGCAGAGACTTTTTTGAGACGGAGTTTCACTCTTGTTACCCAGGCTGGAGTGCAATGGTGCAACCTCGGCTCACCACAACCTCTGCCTCCTGGGTTTGAGTGATTCTCCTGCCTCAGCCTCCTGCGTAGCTGGGATTACAGGCATGCGTCACCACGCCTGGCTAATTTTGTATTTTTAGTAGAGACGGGGTTTTTCCATGTTGGTCAGGCTGGTCTTGAACTGCCGACCTCAGGTGATCCACCCACCTCGGCCTCCCAAAGTGCTGGGATTACAAGGCGTGAGCCACTGCACCTGGCCTTGGTTTTTTTTTAAACTCTGTCACCCTGTCTGGAGTGCAGTGGTGTGATCTCGGCTCACTGCAACCTCTGCCTCCCAGGGTCAAGTGATTCTCCCATCTCAGCCTCCCGACTAGCTGGGACTACAGGCCCATGCCACCACGCCTGGCTAATTTTTGTATTTTTTGGTAGAGATGGGGTTTCATCATGTTGGCCAGGCTGGTCTCAAACTCCTGACCTCAAGTGATCCGCTTGCCTCTCAAAGTGCTGGGATTACAGGCATGAGCCACCGTGCTGGGCCTGAATCCTAGCTCCTAATAGCTGTGTGACTTTGAGCATATTACCTAGCCTCTGGGCCTCAGTTTCCTTTTATCTGTAAAGTAACACTGATAACTACTTTATAGAGCAGAAGTGAAGATTAAATGCAATTACAAAGGTTATAATTATACTATCACGGCTACAATATATTGAACATACATTATTTGCTAATCACTGTGCTAAGTATAATACTTGATACTTATTGCCCATGGAAAGTAGTTAGCTCAATGCTTAATATTAGTAGGGATTCAATAAACAAAAGCTAGTATTTTCTGTGTGGTCTTCTTCCATTCTTAGCATCTTAAGGGCAAGAACGATGTCTTATCTTTGTGACTGACAGTATGGTAGATAACAATAAACAGTTGTTGAGTTTGAATTTATTTAATGGGATTTGAGTAACTGCCAAGAGGTCTTCAGTATAATATTCCCTGCTAACTTGACTGCAGTTCCTTTGGAATTGAAGGTTTTGAGTTTTCTATTAAAGTATACATACCCCTAGAGAGAAGTAATACTTTGAGCTATTATCAACAGCCATCTTAAGGAAATTAGTTGTTTATCAGCTGCTTTCAAATCTGAGAAAGACCTTGCAGGATGAGACTTGGGTAGGAAAGAAAGAAGATGGGAAAGAGACCTGAGCTCACAATATCATGTGTAACAAAATCACTTTTTCCTATTTGCCTCAGAATTACTCTTTTTCCTAATTTGTAATGTATATCATTCCACTTAACATACATGTACTGCATTTAATACCTATAGCTCTCCTGTGGGACCATGGAATTAGATCAGCAGAAATGAGTCATTTCCATTACTTGAATTACTTAGGTTATTTAGCACTTTGTGATATTATGGGCAAGATGGCAGATTCACTCCCTATGTAGTTAATAGCTTTATATTGAGTACTGAGAGGATATTCTAGACCTGGTCCCTAATTTTGGCCAGCTATTTTGGCCAAATTAATGTCAGTTATCAGCTGCCCTATGAACTGCCCAGAGGATTGCTGAATACAAGATGAGATGATAAACCTAAAAACACTGAAAAAGCTACACAAATGCAAAGTGGATTATTCCAGACATTATTATTATTATTATTTGGGACAGTCTCGCTCTGTCACCCAGGCTGCAGTGCAGTGGCGACAATCATGGCTCACTGCAACTTCCGCCTTCTGGGTTCAAGTGATCCTTCCACCTCAGCCTACCAAGTAGCTGGGACTACAAATGTGAGCCACCATGCCCAGCTAATTTTTTATATTTTTTGTGGAGACGGGGTCTCCCTATGTTGCCCAGGCGGGTCTTGAACTCCTGAGCTCAAGAACTTCCCACCTCAGCCTCCCAAAGTGCTGGGATTAGAAATTTGAGCCATTGTGCCCAGCCTTATTTCAGACTTTAACACATGACCTTGGAAAACGCAATGTTGTGGGCCTCAGTTTCCTCATCTCTAAAATGAAAGACTTGGGAAAAAAAATTACTTCCAACACCCTTGTCAACTCTAACATTCTTAGAAATTCCATTCTCTCTCTTTCTAACCTATGTCCCTTGCTTCCATATAGTCTGTTCTTAGCACAGCAGCCAAAATGATTCTTTGAAACTTGTCCATTCATTATCACTTCTTTGCTCAGAACCCTCCATTGGCTCTTAATTTCATTCAGAGAAAAAGTCAATGATCCACATGATCTGTGCTTCTCTCTGCCATACCTCTATGGCCTTATCTCCTATTTCTCCCTACTAGCATGCCCCTCCAGCCCTACTGGATTCTGCTGTTCCTTGAAATGCAGCTCCTCTTGCCTTAGGTCTCTTACATCGAAGGTTCTGGCTACTAGAATTCTTTTATCACAGAGAAGTACGTAGCATGGCCAACTCCCTCATCTCTCTCAAGTCTTCACTCAAATGTCAACCTATTTGAAATTTGCAACCACCTCTGTACCCTCCTTTTATCCTATCCCATTATTTTTTCTCGAAGCACTAATCTTTTTAATTTACTATGTGTATACTTTATTATGCTTATTGTTTATTATCTATCTGCTAGAATGTAAACTCTACCAAGGCAGAGATTTTGTTTTCTTTTGTTTTGCTTTGTGAATCTTTGTTTCTCAAGCACCTATAATAGTACCTGGCCCAATAAATATTTATTAAACATATGAATGAAATGTGCAGTATGGTAAATACTAATCTCATTTTTAGCTGATGTGAGCCTCAGTTGACTGATTTATGAAATGCTGGTTTTGTTCTCTGTCTTTTTTGTTAGAGGCATTCCTCAGATATCTGGTAGTACTTGGTTGTCTGCTCACGTTTTAAACATCTTTAAGATGGAGCGCTGAAAGTTATATTTGAAGCTGTGAGTGCATTTGCAGGACATCTTTATGGTGAGCTTCACAGCGAGATGACTGTTAAGTTGGGAAACCCCAGATGTCAAGATCGTTAGGTGTTTCCTTATAGGCTTACCAGATTTCTTAGAAAAATAACAAGCCCCTTCCAATCCTCCTGGAGAGTAAAGATTTCTTTGAGCTAGGTGAAAAAGAGGACTGGGGCTTCAGCCTTCAGCATTCAGTATGTTTAAATCCACATTTAATCTCCTTATTTTAGGTACGGTACTCATGTCCTCCACTATTCCTGGAGCACCCTGGTCCAGAGATCCTCTATTTGAGCTTTCTCTATTTGAGAAACTAGCCTCTCTAGTTTTTTTGGGTCGGGGGTGGTATGTGAGTGAGAAAAGGAATTAAATAAATAATTGCTGCTTTTTTTTTTTTGAGACAGAGTCTGCTCTGTCACCAAGGCTGGAGTGCAGTGGCGCAATCTTGGCTGACTGCAACCTCTACCTCCCACGTTTAAGCGATCTTCCTGCCTCAGCCTCCTGAGTAGCTGGGGCCACAAGTGTTTGCCACCACGCCTGGCTAATGTTTGTATTTTTAGTAGAGATGGGGTTCCATCATGTTGTCCAGGCTGGTCTCGAACTCATGGGCTCAAGCCATCTGCCCGTCTCAGCCCTCCCAAAGTACTGGGATTACAGGCATGAGCCACTGTGCCCAGCCATAATTGCTTCTTATATAGTTTTCAATCAGTGTTATTCATCCTAAATCATTGATTTCACATCATCTGGTACTGCCAGTTACTGAGCTTTTAGGGGAAGATTCTGTAGTGTTGATTGGTATAGTTCAAAGTTTTTTCTGTTGCATGCTTATTATTCAATATAGCGTTCTTAGGTTTGCTTAGTCAGTTATCATTCCTTCATTTGCTTTCCACGTTCCAAAATATTGTTGTCTCCTCTCTAGTTCATCCCCCTCCTTGTGGGTTTAAGTCTTTTAAAATTCTTTATTGTTTCAGTGTGGTTTTTGTCTACTCTATTTATTGCAACTATTTTCTTGTTTCCCATTTTTCTTGTTTGCTTTCAATTGACAGTTTTATTGAGATAACTAGAATCACATGTAGTTTCATAAAATAATACAGAGAGATCCCTTGTACATTTTACCCAATTTCCTCCAATAGCAGCATTTTCCAAAACTAGTGTAACAGCCAGGTAATGGGCATTGATACAGTCCATCAATCTTACTCAGATTTGCCTTGTTTTGCTTGTTCATGTCTGCGTATGTGTCGTTATTTCCATACAATTTTATATCACGTGTAGGTTTCTCTTTCCACACCACTGTCAAGATTTTGAACAGTTCCATCAACACAGCAATCACTGTTATTAACCTTTTTTTTTTTTTTTGAGATGGAGTTTCACTCTTGTTGCCCAGGCTGGAGTGCAATGGCACAACCTCAGCTCACCGCAACCTCTGCCTCCCGGGTTGAAGCGATTATCCTCCCTCAGCCTCCCGAGTAGCTGGGATTACAGGCATGCACTGCCACACCCGGCTAATTTTATATTTTTAGTAGAGACGGGGTTTCTCCATGTTGGTCAGGCTGGTCTTGAACTCCCGACCTCAGGTGATCCACCCACCTCGGCCTCCCAAAGTGGTGGTATTACAGGCGTGAGCCACCACACCCAGCATTATTTATTTTTTTTTTTTAAGATAGAGTCTCGCTCTGTCGCCCAGGCTGGAGTGCAGTGGTGTGATCTGGGCCCACTGCTGCAACCTCCGCCTCCCGGGTTCAAGCGATTCTCCTGCCTCAGCCTCCCAAGTAGCTGGGATTGTAGGCATGCGCCACCATGCCTGGCTACTTTTTGTATTTTTAGTAAAGATGGGGTTTCACCGTGTTGGCCAGGCTGGCCTCGAACTCCTGACCTTAGGTGATCTGCCCACCTTGGCCTCCCAAAGTGCTGGGATCATAGGCATGAGCCACCGCGCCTGGCCGTGTTAACTTTTTTATACCATACCCACTTTCCCTGCACATGTGAACACAGTATATTCCCACCTCCATCCCTAATCTCTTGTAACCACTAACCTGTTCTCCATTTCAAAAATTTTGTTATATAAAAACTGTTATTTAGGCCCGGTGCAGTGGCTCACACCTGTAATCCCAGCACTTTGGGAGGCCAAGGTGGGTGGATGACTTGAGGTCATGAGATTGAGACCAGTCTGCCCAACGTGGTGAAACCCTATCTCCACTAAAAATACAAAAATTAGACGGGCATGGTGGCATGAGCCTGTAATCCCAGCTACTCAGGAGGCTAAGTCAGGAGAATTGCTTGAACCTGGGAGGCAGAGGTTGCAGTGAGCCGAGATCATGCCATTGTACTCTGCACTTCAGCTTGGGCGACAGAGTGAAACTCCGTCTCCAAAAAAAAAAAACTGTTATTTATATAAATATGTAAAGTGAAACAGGGTCTCTGTCACCCAGGCTTGAGTGCAGTGATGTGATCATAGTTTACAGTAACCTTGAACTCCTAGCCTCAAACTATCCTCCTGCCTCAACCTCCCAAGTAGCTAGGCGCATGCCACCACCCCTGATTAATTTTTAAAATTTTTTGTAGATATGAGGTCTTGCTATGTTGCCCGGGCTGGTCTGGAACTCCTGGCCTCAAATGATTATCCTGCCTCTACCTCTCATAGCACTGGGATTACAGTCATGAGCCTGGACAAAAATGTTATATAAATTGAATCGTACCATATGTAACCTTCTGGGATTGGCTTTTTCAATCAGCATAATTTTCTGGAGATTCATCCAGGTTGTTGCGTGTATCAATAGTTCATTCCTTTTTGTTGCTGAACGGTAGTATTCCATGGTATAGATATACCACAGTTTGTTTTACCATATACGTGTTGGAGGTGAGCTGGGCTGTTTCTAGTTTGGGACTATTATGAAAAAAAATGGCTATGCACATTTATATACAGTTTTTTGTGTGTGTGTGAACATAAGTTTTCATTTCTCTGGGACAAGTGCCCAAGAGTGCAGTTGCTGGGTCATATGGTAATTGTGTTTAGTTTTTTAAGAAACTGGTTTTCAGAGTGACTATACCATTTTACATTACCACCAGCAAATGTGTGAGAAATCTAGTTTCTTTGCATCCTTGCCAATATTTACTGTTATCTCTATTTTTTATTTTAGCTATCCTGGCAGGTATGTAATGGTACCTCAATGTGGTTTTAATTTGCATTTCTCTAATGATAACAGTGTTCAAGTTATTTTCGTGTGCTTGTTTATCACCTGTGTATTCTCTTCAGTGAATCATCTGGATGTCTTTTGCCCACTTTCTTTTTTTTTCATTTTTATTATTTTCATTAATTTTTTTCTTTGGCCACTGGAATAAAGACTCACCATTTTCTAACTGAGTGATGTTTTTTAAATATATATTTTTTAGAGACAGGGTCTCACTCTGTGGCACAGAGTGCCATTGTAGCTTTGAACTCCTCAGCTCAAGCTGTCCTCCCGCCTCAGCCTCATGAGTAGCTAGTACTACAGGCACATGCCACTACACCTGGCTAATTTTTTTATTTGTTTGTGGAGACAGGGTCTTACTATGTTGCTGAGGCTGGTGTTTAACTCCTGGACTGCAGTGACCCTCTCATCTCAGCCTCCCAAAGTGTTGGGATTACAGGCATGCGCCCCTGTGCCCAGCCTATGGCATGATTTTAGAAGTGGTTTATGACTGTATAGCCTCTTCCTGTTCTTGCTTGTTTTCTGAGCCTGATTCTCCAGACTTCCTGGGAATTCAGTGAGTCACCCACTACTAACCTTTCATCTTTTGCTTGAATCAACTAGGGTTCGTTTCTGTATGCAACTAGGGACCTTGAGTTATATAGTTTCTGAATTTTGAGAGTAAAAACCACAATACATATTAAAGAAGTGCACCATCTAACCAGGGAGATGGGACTTAATGAAATACTAGAACTGGCCGGGCTCAGTGGCACATGTCTGTAATCCCAGCACTTTGGGAGGCCGAGGCAGGAGGATCACTAGAGCTAAGGAGTTCGAGATCAGCCTGGGCAACCTAGCAAGACCTCGTCTCTACTAAAATTCCACCCCCCCCCCCAAAAAAAAAATTAGCTGGCAGGCAAGGTGGCATGCAGGCCTGTCCCATTTACTCAGTGCCAGCTACTCTGGGGGCTGAGGTGCAAGGACTGCTTGAGCCTGGAAGGTTGAGGCTGCAGTGAGCCGGAATTGTGCCACTGCACTCCAGCCTGGGCGACAGAGAGAGACCCTGTCTCAAAAAAGAAAAAAAAAAAAAAAAAAAAAAAAGGCCGGGCACGGTGGCTCACACCTGTAATCCCAGCACTTTGGGAGGCCATGGTGGGCGGATCACCTGAGGTCAGGAGTTTGAGACCAGCCTGGCCAACATGGCGAAACCCCGTCTCTACTAAAAATACAAAAATTAGCCAGGTGTGGTGGTGGGCAGTTGTAATCCCAGCTACTCGGGAGGCTGAGGCAGGAGAATCACTTGAACCTGGGAGGTGGAGATTACAGTGAGTCGAGATCGTGCCACTGCACTCCAGCCTGGGTAACAGAGTGAGACTCGCTGGGTGCGGTGGTTCACACCTGTAATCCCAGCACTTTGGGAGGCCGAAGCGGGTGGATCACCTGAGGTTGGGAGTTCGAGACCACCCTAACCAACATGGAGAAACCCCATCTCTACTAAAAATACATACAAAATTAGCCGGGTGTGGTGGCACATGCCTGTAATCCCAGCTACTCGGGAGGCTGAGCCAGGAGAATGGCTTGAACCCAGGAGGCGGAGCTTGCGGTGAGCCGGGGATCATGCCATTGCACTCCAGCCTGGGCAACAAGAGTGAAACTCTGTCTCAAAAAAAAAAAAAGAAAAAGAAAAAAAAGAGCAGAGTGAGACTCCATCAAAAAAAAGAAAAAAGAAAAAAAATACTAGAGCTGTATTACACAGAAATGTGATAGCTTATCTAACACAGACAAGTGATATAAATAAAGGGGAAATTAATGGCTGGAGCATGTGGAACAGGTTTATAGAAAAACTGGATGCAAAAATTTACATAGAAAGAAGAAGTGTTTATATACTGTGGCCCTTTGGCAGAACACAAACTGTAATATGATTGTTTTGCCCCCTTAGGGGCACTATCTTCTTCATTGAAAATGTATATCCTAGGGCTGGGCGCGGTGGCTCTCGCCTGTAATCCCAGCACTTTGCAAAGGAGGCTGAGGTGGGCGGATCACCTGAGGCCAGGAGTTGGAGACCAGCCTTACCAACATGGAGAAACCCCGTCTCTACTAAAAATACAAAAAAAAAATTAGCCAGGCATGGTGGCGCATGCCTGTAATCCCAGCTACTCGGGAGGCTGAGGTGGGAGAATTGCTTGAACCTGGGAGGCGGAAGTTGCGGTGAGCCGAGATCGCGCCATTGCACTCCAGCCTGGGCAACAGGAGCAAAACTCCATCTCAAAAAAAAAAAAGAAAGAAAGAAAATGTATATCCTAGGATGTTCTAGTTAGGTTAATCTCTTTCCTTTGTTGCATTAGGAGGTGAAAAAAATTTTTAGATGGGTTAGATTTCCCTCAAAAATATTTCTAGTGATAAGATGTTCAAATAGTATATTGAGGTCTAATGCTAGATCAAAAAGTCAGTTGCTAAGACACTTGATGTCACAAACTGTTAACCATCCTGGCATTTTAAGCTTTTGAGAAATGTAAAATAATTCTTCTCCACTAAAATGTTTGAGGCTTTTGCTTTAGTTTATAGACTGGTTTATTATACAGTTTATTTGTAAATTTGGCTCATCATAGAATGTATTAGTAAATTTGTCCATAGGCAGAAGCCAGAGAGTTTAGTTTTTAAAAGTTTTATCTGTAAAGTGTGGATTTTTGTTTGGTTTTATTTATTATTTATTTTTATTTTTTTGAGAGAGAGTTTCACTCTTGTTGCACAGGCTGGGGTGCAGTGGGGCGATCTTGGCTCACCGCAACCTCCGCCTCCTGGGTTCAAGCGATTCTCTTGCCTCAGCCTCCTGAGTAGCTGGGATTACAGGCATGCACAATCACGCCTGGCTAATTTTGTATTTTTAGTAGAGACGGGGTTTCTCCATGTTAGTCAGGCTGGTCTTGAACTCCCGACCTCAAGTGATCCACTGCCTCGACCTCCCAAAGTGCTGGGATTACAGACGTGAGCCACTGTGCTGGACTGGTTTTATTTTTTATAGAGATAAAATAAAACCCAGGCTAGAGTGCAGTGGTGTGATCATAGTTCACTGCAGCCTGGAATTCCTGGGCTCACGCAATCGTCCCGCTTCAGCCTCCTGAGTAGCTGGGGCTACATGCATGCACCACCATGCCTGACTGGTTTTTGTACATTTTTCTTTTGAGATGGAGTCTTGTTCTGTCACCCAGGCTGGAGTGCAGTGGCGCGATCTTGGCTCACTGCAACCTCCGCCTCCCAGGTTCAAGTGATTCTCCTGCCTCAACCTCCCAAGTAGCTGAGACTGCAGGCGCCTGCCACCATGCCTTATTTATTTATTTATTTATTTATTTATTTATTTATTTATTTATTATTTTTTATTTTGTTTTGAGATGGAGTCTCACTCTGTTGCCCAGGCTGGAGTGCAGTGGCGCGATCTCGGCTCACTGCAAGCTCCACCTCCCAGGTTCACCCCATTCTCCTGCCTCAGCCTCCCAAGTAGCTGGGACCACAGGCACCCGCCACCACGCCCGGCTAATTTTTTGTATTTTTAGTAGAGACGGGGTTTCACCATGTTAGCCAGGATGGTCTCGATCTCCTGACCGCGTGATCCACCCGCCTTGGCCTCCCCAAGTGCTGGGATTACAGGCGTGAGCCACTGCGCCTGGCCAATTTTTTTATTTTTGAGACAGAGTCTCACTCTGTCACCCAGGCTGGAGTGCAGTGGCACAATCTCAGCTCACTGCAACCTCCGACTCCCCGGTTCAAGCGATTCTCCTGCCTCAGCCTTCGGAGTAGCTGGGATTACAGGCGCCTGCCACCATTCCCGGCTAATTTTTGTATTTTTAGTAGAGACAGTGTTTCACTATGTTGTCCAGGCTGGTCTCGAACTCCTGACCATGTGCCTCAGTCTCCCAAAGTGCTGGGATTACAGGCCTGAGCCACTACGCCCAGCCTACCTGCCTAATTTTTGTATTTTTAGTAGTGACAGGGTTTCGCCATGTTGGCCAGGCTGGTCTCAAACTCCTGACCCCAGATGATCAGCCCGCCCTGGCCTCCCAAAGTGCTGGGATTACGGGCCTGAGCCACTGCGCCCAGCCTTTTTTCCTTATTTTTGTAGAGATAGGGTCCCACCATCTTGCCCAGGCTGGTCTCGCACTCTTGGGCTCACGTGATCCTCTTGCCACACACCTCCCAAAGTGGTGGGATTACAGGTGTGAACCAGCTTACCTGGCCAAGAGTTTTATTACTAGCTGGATTATGATGTTAGCCCGTTGTGTATCTTCTATATCTTATGTTAGGATTCTTTTCTCCCATCTTCCCGCATCTTCATCTTTTCTTCCCCACAGCATATTCTTGGAGAGAAAGGAGTAGGCAGGAGTTTGCTATTTGAAGGCAAGTAGGGAGAGAGATGTGGGGAGGCTGGTCAAAAGAGGAAACTCAAGTTTAAAGCAATGAAACACCAACACTAACTTCTTTTTCGAAGTTGCTGATGGCTTTGTGTTTAGTAATCCAGATTAGGTCATGAATCTTTTGATACAGATAGGTTTTTTTGTGTGTTTTGTTTTTTATTTTTGTTTTTGTTTGGTACGGAGTCTCACTCTGTCACCTCGGCTGGAGTGCAGTGGTGCAATCTTGACTCATTGCAACCTCCGCCTCCTGGGTTCAAGTGATTCTCCTGCTTTAGCCTCCCAAGTAGCTGGGACTACAGGTGCGTGCCACTGTGCCCAGCTAATTTTTGTATTTTTTAGTAGAGACGGGGTTTCACCATGTTGGCCAGCGTGGTCTTGAACCCTTTACCTCGTGATCCGCACGCCTCGGCCTGCCAAAGTGCTGGGATTACAGGTGTGAGATACCGTGTCCGGCCACAGATAGGTTTTTAAAATGTAGATTAAAAAAACCTTTGTGTCTGGCTGGGCGCGGTGGCTCACGCCTGTAATCCCAGCACTTTGGGAGGCTGAGGTGGGCGGATCACGAGGTCAAGAGATCGAGACCATTCTGGCCAACATGGTGAAACCCTGTCTCTACTAAAAATACAAAAATTAGCTGGGCATGGTGGCATGCACCTGTAGTCCCAGCTACTTGGGAGGCTGAGGCAGGAGAATCGCTTGAACCCGGGAGGCGGAGCTTGCAGTGAGCCGGGATCGCGCCACTGCACTCCAGCCTGGGCGACAGAGTAAGACTCTGTCTCAAAAAAAAAAAAAAAAAAAACTTTTGTGTCTAACAGCAAAACAAAATCCATCTTTGTTTCCTTCCTCTTCTCCATCATATAGGAAATATGGAAAAGCAGAAAAGAATTGCGTTTTTCTGGCCGGGCGCGGTGGCTCACGCCTGTAATCCCAGCACTTTGGGAGGCTGAGGCCGGCGGATCACGAGGTCAGGAGATCGAGACCATCCTGGCTAACACGGTGAAACCCCGTCTCTACTAAAAATACAAAACATTGGCCGGGCGTGGTGTCGGGCGCCTGTAGTCCCCGCTACTCGGGAGGCTGAGGCAGGAGAATGGCGTGAACCCGGGAGGCGGAGCTCGCAGTGAGCCGAGATCGCGCCACTGCACTCCAGCCTGGGCGACAGAGCGAGACTCCGTCTCAAAAAAAAAAAAAAAAAAAGAATTGCATTTTTCTGAAAAGAGAATAATTGGCAGAGTGGTACACTTGCTAGTGAATTACAGTGGGACTATAACTGATTCTAGAGAAAAGAGATTGTTGTTTAAGTAGAATTCCGCCGGGTGCCGTGGCTCATGCCTGTAATCCCAACACTTTGGGAGGCCAGGGCGGGCAGATCACGAGGTCAGGAGATCGAGACCATCCTGGCTAACACAGTGAAACCCCGTCTCTACTAAAAATACAAACAATTAGCCGGGCCTCGTGGTGGGCGCCTGTAGTCCCAGCTACTCAGGAGGCTGAGGCAGGAGAATGGCGTGAACCCGGGAGGCAGAGCTTGCAGTGAGCCGAGATCGTGCCACTGCACGCCAGCCTGGGCGACAGAGCGAGACTCCAACTCAAAAAAAAAAAAAAAAAAAAAAAAAGTAGAATTTCTTCTCTTGCCCTTCCCTTTTGGCTTCTACTATTTACTTAACTGAAACTTAACGAGTCCATTTTTTCCTTTCTCTTCCTTCCCTTTCTCTTCAGTGGATCTGTTTCTTCCCTTTAAAAAATAGGTTGAGTTGGGCATGGTAGTATAGACCTGTAATTCCAGCTATTCAGGGAGGCTGAAGCAGGAGGATCACTTGATGCCAGGAGTTTGAGACCAGTCTGGGCAACATAGGGAGACCCCCATCTCTCTCACACACACACACACAGACAGAGTAGGTATTTCTGAGAAAGTTGAACCTAAAACCTACTCCCCAGTAGATATTTTTTATGCTGTGTGAGAGTAAGGAAGCTTAGAAAATGGCCTAAAACCACTTTTTCTCAAACTTGGAACTTTGCATACAATATTTATGGGCCTCTTGGGCAAAACTATAGACGTAATTTTGCCTGAATCTATTTGGATTATTTTTCAAGTAGTTAATGTGAGGGAGAAAGGCAGAAATGGTCATCTCTTCCAAGGCCAATTTTTTCTAGAACTTCCTTCCTGACTTAAGATTTCTCTGTGTTATTTTCTCTCATCATCATATGGAACTTCAGCTCTGTAACACTGAAATAGGATTTAAATATTGTCACCTTTCAAATTTCTGTGCACTACACTATATTTTTATATTTTACATTCATTATATTTTAATCAGTGCATCCAAAGTTTTCATTGTTCAACCTAAACTTGATTGTCTAGTGATATTCCGTATCTTGCTGATGCTTAATGCACCAACCACTCAAATGCTGAGGCTGAAACAGAGAATCATCTTAGACTCTCCTTTTCACTTATTCAGAAGTCCCATGTCCTGTGGATGATTCTTCTTTTTAACAATATCCACCCTCCTTCTCTCCATCCCCACTTTCTCTGCCTTAGTTGGACCTTAACACTTTTTACCTGCATCATTCCAGGTTGGTCCCCTGGCTTCTGGTCTAGCATCTCTCCAGTCCATTCTCTACATTGCTGCCAGGTGATCTTTCTAAACATTCTGGATTAAATTCATATAACATTGTAAATTAAATTCCAGTTCCAGTGAGAACACATGGACACAGGGAGGGGAACATCACACACTGGGGCCTGTCAGCGGGTGGGGGGCAAGGGGAGGGAGAGCATTAGGACAATTACCTAATCCATCTGAGGCTTAAAACCTAGATGACGGGTTGATAGGTGCAGCAAACCACCGTGGGACGTGTATACCTATGTAACAAACCTGCACGTTCTGCACATGTATCCCAGAACTTAAAGTAAAATTTAAAAAATTTAAAAATAAATTTAAAAATTCCAGTCTCTTAATTTTAAGACACACAGCTCTTCAGAATTCCATCCCAGTCTGTTTTTTGTTGTTGCTTTTTTTTTTTTTTTTTTTCTAATTTCATCTACCATTCCTTCTTTATTTCAGCCATACCAAAGTATGGCAGTTCCCTAGACATGCCATGGGGGTTCATACTTTCTGTTGTTTCATATAATTGTACCTTTGTGTATATATACTTTTTTCTCTGCTTAAAACACCTTTCCCTGCCTTTTTGTTTGTTTTTTGCTTTTTTTTTTTTTTTTAAACGGAGCCTCCCTCTGTTGCCCAGGCTGAAGTGCAGTGGCGTGATCTCGGCTCACTGCAACCTCCACCTCTGGGTTCAAACGTTTCTCCTGCTTCAGCCTCCTGAGTAGCTGGGATTACAGGCGCCCTGCCACCATGCCCGGCTAATTTTTGTATTGTTAGTAGAGACGGGGTTTCACTGTATTGGCCAGGCTGGTCTTGAACTCCTGACCTTGAGTGATCCACCCACCTCAGCCTCCCAAAGTGCTAGGATTACAGGCGTAAGCCACCACGCTCAGCCTCTCTGCCTTTTTAAATCAAAAACTAGTTCTATTTTAAGAAGCAATCAAAGTTTTACTCTGATGAGTTTTTGTTTCCCAGAACCTCATATATGTTTGTGTCATAGTATTTATCACACCATACAATATGATCGAATTCTTTTCCACCTAGATTGGAAGATCTTTTTGAAGGCAAGTCTTGTGTTGTCTTTGCCTTAGGCTACACGTTACTTAGCACAACCCCTGGTAGTAGCTGTTCCATAAGTGCTCCTTGACTGACTCTCATTTATGTTAAAAAGAAAAAAAATCCATACAGCAGAAAATTTTTCAACTTTGAGGCCAGGCATGATAGCTTACAGCTATAATTCCAGCACTTTGGAGGCCAAGGACGGCGGATCACCTTAGGTCAGGAGTTTGAGACCAGCCTGGCCAACATGGTGAAACCCCATCTCTATTAAAAAATACAAAAATTAGCCGGGCGTGGTGGCATGCATCTGTAATCCCTGCTACTCAGGAGGCTGAGGCAGGAGAATCGCTTGAACTTGGGAGGCGGAGGTTGCAGTGAGCTGAGATCATGCCACTGCCCTCAGCCTGGGTGACAGAGTGAGACTCTGTCCTAAGAAAAGTTCTCAACTTGAGCACTGGACTCATTTAAGTAATAATCGTTAAAACCAAAGCCCAGCAAAATAAAATAATTTGAAAGGACTTCAGGGCTGTAATATAATTTGATGTGCTTTATAGGTTTGAAAGTTTTTGCTAAGCAGATTTATGCAGAATGTGATTAAAATAATTTTTTGGCTCACAGTGTCAACCAGACAAATGATGTTGAGGTTAGTTGCTAGGCTGGTTCTCCTTCCTTTATGTTGAAACAACAGGCAGCATTCATTTTAGCTGATGATGAAGACCTGGTTTCTCCTACAGCCTTATCTGAAATGCCTTTCCAAAGCCAGCAGTGACTGTCAGGCTGTCCAGAGTTCTTTCAACAGGAAAACCAGGACTCATCCCTTCTCTTAACTCCTCTAAGCTGTCAGCAAGCGAACCCCTTTTTACCAATCTAGCATGAAAGCCATGAGCCAGGAATACAGGGCAGGTACATTGATTGTTAAAGGGCGTTTGGTTTTCAGTCTCTGGATTCCAAGTCAGTGCTTTCTCCTCTGCTGTCAGACCATCAAGTTGTAGGTAGGTGTTGTGCTGCATGTTTCAAGATGGCCCATAGATGCTGGACAATTCCAGAAAGCAATGGTTTCCCTATTATGAGAAAACTGTGTACCTGTCATTTCTGCCATTCTGTTAAGCAGGTAAAAGAGATTAAGACTTGCTATTTAGCAAGATTAAATGAGACTAGTACCCCACTTCTTTCTTGAAGCCGTTGTGTCTCTCCTGTCTGTACATTTAGACCTTTCTTTTGCAACCAGATCTACTTGTTAAAAGGTGGGGAATGGGGTTGGCATGATGAGAAGAGTATGCAGTATACAGGATTTTTTTTTTTTTCTTTGAGACAGGGTCTAGCTCTGTAACCCAAGCTTGGAGTGCAGTGGCGTGACCTTGGCTCATTGCAACCTTCGTCTCCTGGGCTCAAGCCAATCTCCCACCTCACCCTCCCGAGTAGCTGGAACTATAGGCTCACGCTACCATGCCCAGCTAATGTTTGTACTTTTTGTAGAGATGGGGTTTCACCGTGTTGCCCAGGCTGGACTTGAACTCCTGAGCTCAAGGAATTCACCTGCCTCAGCCACCCAAAGTGCTGGGATTACGGGCATTAGCCAACACACTTCGCCAGGATTTTTAATAATCCATTCATCAAAGCATATATCTGTATAATAAAAATCACTGATTATGAGTGTACAGATTGATGACTTTTGTGAAATGGATGCATCTGTTTAACCACCCCCAAAACCAAGATGTAGAACGTTTTAATTTCCCCAAGTTCCTTTGTGTCCCTTTACAGTTTTCTCTCCCTGCCCCCATTGCAATCAACCACTAATCTTACTTCCATCATTAGTTTTGCCTGTTCTAGAATATGTATAAGAGAAATCATACAGTGAGTACTTTTTTGTGTCCAGCTTCTTTCACTTAATATAATCTCCTTGGAAGTTGTCTATGTTGTTGCATTTATCAGCAGTTTTTTTCTTTTTATTGCTGAGTACTATTTCATTGTATAGATATACCACATTTGCTTACCTGCTTACCACCAGTTGGATCATTTCCAACTTCTGGCTATTATAAATAAAGGTGTGAACATTCATGTACACAAAGTTTTTTGTGGATAGAGGGTTTTATTTTTCTTAGATAAATACATACACATGAAATTACTGGTTCACATGGTAAGTATATATTTAACTTTATGAGAAAGTGGCAAAATGTTTTCCTAAGTGGTTACACGATTTTATACTCTTACCAGCTATGTATGAGAGTTCTAGTTGCTGCAAATCCTTGTCAGTACTTGATACTGTCTGTTGTTTTCTTTTCAAGTGGCTATACATCTTAGTCACTGTGAAGGAGTACATCTCTCATTGTGATTTTAATTTTTCTTTTTTGCTTTGAGACAGGGCCTCACTGTGTTGCCCACATGGGAATGCAGTGGCATGATCACTGCTCACTGCAGCCTTGACCTCCCAGGCTCAAGTGATCCTCCCACTTCAGCCTCCCAAGTAGCTGGGACTACAGGCATGCACCACCATGCCTGGCTAAGATTTTAATGTTCCATGTTTCTTTCTTTTTTTTTTTTTGGAGATGGTGCCTTGTTCTGTCACCAGTGGTGACCAGTGGCGACCAGTGGTGAGCCCTGATTGCACAGGTTGGAGTGCGGTGGTGCGATCAGGGCTCACCACAGCCCCAACCTCCCAGGCTCAAGCAATCTTTCTACTTTAGCCTGCTGAGTAGCTGGGACAACAGGTGCATGCCACTATGCCCAGCTAATTTTTAAATTTTTTTGTAGTGATGGGGTCTTCCTACATTGCCTAAGCTGTTCTTGAGCTCCTAGACTCAAGCAATCCACCTGCCTATGTCTCTCAAAGTGCTGGGATTACAGGCATGAGCCACAACAACCCAGCCAGTTTTTCATGTTTCTTTTTTTTTTTTTTTTTTTGAGACAGAGTCTCGCCCTGTCGCCCAGGCTGGAGTGCAGTGGCGTGATCCCGGCTCACTGCAAGCTCTGCCTCCCAGGTTCACATCATTCTCCTGCCTCAGCTTCCCGAGTAGCTGGGACCACAGGCGCACGCCACCACACCTGGCTAAATTTTTGTATTTTTAGTAGAGATGGGGTTTCACTGTGCTAGCCAGGATGGTCTGGATCTCCTGACCTCGTGATCCACCCACCTCGGCCTCCCAAAGTGCTGGGATTACAGGCATGAGCCACCACGCCTGGCCCAGTTTTTCATGTTTCTTGATGCAAATGGTAATTTTTAAAATTTCATTTTTCATTTGTTTGCTGCTAGTGTATAGAAATGCAGTTGATTTCTGTGTATGACCTTATATCAATGTCAATTAGCCCTTATTTCTAGCAGTTGTTTTATTTTAGATTTCCTAGGCTTTTTGGAGATAGTCATGGTGTTAATATTGGACTTACTCAACTTTAGACAGTGAGAATAAGATCCACATGATCTAGATGTTTGGATTTTTTGGTTTTCTGGATATTTGAGAGCCTTATCTTTGTAGGTCTCTGCATGCATGTTAGGATGACATAATTGAAGTAAACCATGAATATAAAGTGGATGAATACAGTTGCAATAATAATTCTATGTAGAATTGACATGGCAGATGGGAAACAAGGCTGCTTTGCCCTCTGGGCTTTTGAAAAATTGGAAAGTAGGCCCTGTGCTCTAAAGAATGATAAAATCTGGCTCTGGCTCATAAGAAGTACTTCCTAAAACCAGGTTACTCAGGAGGATGATGGAATTACCTCTAGCCATTTGTAAAGCCACTTACCACTTTTTTTTTTTTGGACAGGTATTTTGTTAGTGAGTCCCCACCAGTGTACCAGGCACTGTTTTAGTGCTTGGGATACATCAGTGAACAAAACAGTAAAACAAATAAACAAACAAAAAAACTCCCTGTTTAAATTACATTCTAGTGGGGGGAATACATAATAAATATTAAGCATGAAAATACTGATTTTTTATTAGTGGTGAGAAGGGCTCTGGAGAAAAATGAGGCAAAGCAGGAGGACGGGGGTGTAGAGAAATATATTGATTTTAATACCCTTGTAGATTACTTTTTGATTAACACTGGAAAGTCATCATAAACCAAATAGCAGGAAAAAGTACTAATTCATAATTAATTATTCAATGATGACCCTTTGATGAGGATTATCTCAAGTTTACATATGTATTCCCCAGTGATTCTTTTCTCCAACTGAATTGTCTAATTTGCAAGGAATTTTTTAGAAGAAATGGTTCCAAGCAAGCTATGCTGCGATCCCTCAACCACAAAAGATCTAATTTTCATAGAAAAATATTTGAATTTTTTCAACAGTTACAAACACAAAGTAGGAAACAAAGGTCCTAGCCTTACCAAGTTGCATAATTTCTCATTTTACCATCTCACTTAGGAATGGTCAATATTATGTTTGAGAACAGTAAAGCAAAGGAAATAAAAAAGGTGCCACTTTTGAATAATTTTACTCGTGTACACTCTAACAAAATGTGAGATGCCAAAGAAACAACACTACACCAGATGGCTATTAAATCAAATGCTTTTCTTTACAAGTCGATGAATCAATAGACTCTAGTGAATGTGCTCAGTTAATAGAACTGCTTAGGCTGGGCTAGGTGGCTCATGTCTGTAATCCTAACACTTTGGGAGCCTCTGGTAGGCAGATTGCTGGAGCCTAGGAATTCAAGACCAGCCTGGACAACATGGCAAAACCCATCTCTACAAAAGACAAACAAAAACAAAAATTACTTGGGCATAGTAGTATGTGCCTATATTCCCAGCTACTTGGGAGGCTAAAGTAGGACTTGAGCTCAGGAGGTTGAGGCTGCAGTGAGCTGTGATCTTGTCACTGCACTTTAGCCTGGGCAACAGAACAAGATCCTGTCTTTAAAAAAAAGAAAGAAAGAATAATAAACTGCTTACAGCCCTTGAAGAGAAATTCTTAGAGAGTTATTTGTTCTGCATATATGTCAAAACAACCTACTTGAGATGAAATATTCAAAATTATAAATGAAATCTTTTAAAAAAGATGATACAGAAATCTTTCTTCTGTTCATGTAGTGGTAATGCTGGTGCAAAGATGGGTATATGGATATAAAGGCTTCATGTCAAGAGTTCACCTGAAAACCCTGAAATTTAGGCACATGAATTTTTTTTATTCCGTTTTGCATAGGAGAAATTCAGTTTTGCCTGTAGGTCTAAATTCCACATTAAATTTTATTTTCAAAATGGTGAATCTAATAATAATAAGTACTTAAAAATAAAATAGTACCCACTGTGTTTCAAGACTGTTTTTGTTTGTTTGTTTTGGTTTTGGTTTGGTTTGGTTTTTTTGAGACGGAGTTTAGCTCTTGTAGTCCAAGCTGGAGTGCAATGGCGCAATCTTGGCTTACCACAACCTCCGCCTCCCGGGTTCAAGCAATTCTCCTGCCTCAGCCTCCAGAGTAGCTGGGATTACAGGTGCACACCACCTCGCCCGGCTAATCTTTTTTTGTATTTTTAGTAGAAACAGGGTTTCACCATGTTTCAACAGCTAGGCTGATCCACCCACCAAGGCCTCCCAAAGTGCTGGGATTACAGGCATGAGCCACCGTGCCAAGACTGTTGTAAGAAGTGTATGTATATTTACTAATTTAATCCTCACAGTTAATGATGTAGGTACTATTAATATCATCCCCATCTACAGCTGAGGAAACTGAGACATAGAGCAGTTAGGTTATTTTCCCAAGGTTACATTGGCAGAGCCAAAATTCAAAGCCAGGTAATCTGGCTTCAGAGTCTGTACTCGTGTGTGTGTGTGTGAGTGAGAGAGAGAGGGAGACAGGGAGAAAGAAAGAAAACACAAATAACATAAAATTTACCATCTTAACCATTGATTTTTGGTCCATGTTTTTTATTTTTCATTTTTGGGCTTAATTTAATTTATTTTTGAGATGGGATCTCACTCTGTCATCCAGGTTGGAGAGCAGTGGTGCAATCACAGCTCATTGCAGCTTCAGTCTCCTGTACCCAAGTGATCCTCCTACATTAGTCGCCCAAGTAGTTGAAACTACAGGTATCTGTCACCACGCCAAACTAATTTTTTTCTTTTCTTCATGTTTTTTTAAGAGACAAGGGTCTTGCTATATTGCCCAGGCTGGAGTGCCATCACAGCTCACTGCAGCCTCTACTTCCCTCAATGGATCCTCTCACCTCAGCCTCCCAAGTAGCTAGGGCTACAGGCATGCACCACCACACCCAGCTAATTTTTTTCTGTTTTTTTGTAGAAATGGGGTCTCACAGTGTTGTCTAGGTTGGTCTTGAAATCCTTGGCTCAAGTGATCCACCCACCTCAGCCTCCCAAAGTGCTGGGATTACAGGCATGAGCTGCTGTGCCCAGCTGTGTATCTTCTTTGTAGAAATATCTATTCAAGTGTTTTGCCCAGGTTTGAATTGGGGTTTGTTGTTGTTATTGTTGTTGTTGTTGTTGTTGTTGTTAAATTGTGGGAGTTCTTTATATATTTTGGATATTAATCTCTTATTAGATGTATGATTTGCAGGCCAGGTATGGTGGCTCATGCCTCTAATCCCAGCACTCTGGGAAGCCAAGGCAGGAAGATTGCTTGATGCCAGGAGTTTAAAACCAGCCTGGGCAACATAGCAAGACCCTGTTTTTAAAAATAAATAATTAAAAAAAAAAAGAGGAATAGATGACCAGGCACAGTGACTCATGCCTGTAATCCCAGCACTTTGGGAGGCCAAGGTGGGCGGATCACCTGAGGTCACCAGCCTGACCAACATGACGAAACCCTGTCTCTACTAAAAATACAAAAATTAGCTGGGTGTGGTGGCACATGCCTGTAATCCCAGCTACTTGAGAGGCCGAGACAGGAGAATCGCTTGAACCCAGGCAGTGGAAATTGCAGTGAGCCGATGATCGTGCCACTGCACTCCAGCCTGGGTGACACAGTGAGACTCTGTCTCGGGAAAAAAAAAAAAAAAAAGAAACATGATTTGCAAATATTTTCTCCCATTCTGTAGGTTGTCTTCTTAGTCTTCTCATGCATAAGTTTTCAGTTTTGATGAAGTCCAGTTTATCTATTTTAACATTTGTTACCTGTACTTTTTGGTGTCTTAGTCAAGAAATCACTGCCAATCCAATGTCAGGAAGCTTTTCCTGTATGTTTTTCTCTAAGAGTTTTATAATTTTAGCTTCTACATTTAGGATGGTCCCTTTTTTTTGTTTGTTTTGAGGTGAAGTCTCACTATGTTGCCCAGGCTGGACTCACAACTCCTAGGCTCAAGCAGTACTCCCACCTCGGACTCCTGAATATCTGGGACTATAGGCATGCACTCTGCCCAGCTGGTTCATTTTGAATTAATTTTTGTTATGGTATAAGGTAAGGGTCCAGCTTTTATCTTATGACTTCTTTTCATTTCTGACCCATTGTTTTTACCTCCAAGGGTACTTATACCTTAATTCAAAGAGTTAGCATAAAGGATTTAGAAAAGTAGATGTCTTGCTTGGCGCGGTGGCTCACGCCTGTAATCCCAGCACTTTGGGAGGCCGAGGCAGGCGGATAACCTGAGGTCAGGAGTTCGAGACCAGCCTCAACATGGAGACACCCCGTCTCTACTAAAAATACAAAATTAGCTGGGCGTGGTAGTGCATGCCTGTAATCCCAGCTACTCGGGAGGCTGAGGCAGGGGAATTGCTTGAACCTGGGAAGCGGAGGTTATGGTGAGCCGAGATCGCGCCACTGCACTCCAGCCTGGGCAACAAGAGTGAAACTCTGTCTCAAAAAAAAAAAAAAAAGAGAGAAAAGTAGATGTCTCAGGGAAGGGATGACCATGGAGAGGGAGAAAGACAAGAGAACAGCTGATCAATGGGGCAGTGAGAACTTACACATTTATTGATTAAGCTTACCTTCTTATATCGCACGTTTTGTGGCAACTACCAAACGTCTCTACTAAAAATACAAAAATTAGCCAGGCGTGGTGGCAGGTGCTTGTATTTCCAGCTACTCAGGAGGCTGAGGCAGGAGAATCGCTTAAACCAGGAGGCAGAGGTTGCAGTGAGCCGAGGTCGCACCACTGCACTCCAGCCTGGGTGACAGAGTAAGACTCTGTCTCAAAAAAAAAAAAAAAAAGTTTTTTCTTATTTTAAATTGAGTTGTTTGTTTTCTTATTATTGTGTTTTGAGAGTTCTTGATACGTTGTGCATGTAAGTCCTTTATCAGATGTGATTAGCAAATATTTTCTTCCAGTCTGTGGCTTGTCTTTTCATTATCAGTGATAAGAGAACATAAGTTCTTAATTTGGAAGTTTAGTTTATCATTGCTTTCGTTAATGGGTCATGCTTTCCATATCTAAAATCTTTGTCTAACCTAAGGTTACAAAGGTATTCTATTTTATTCCTGAAGTTTTGTAGTTGCAGGTTATATATTTAGATCTATCATCCAACTTTAGTTAATTTTTATATATGTTGCAAGGTATGGATTAAAATGGTTTTGTTGTTGTTTTGGTTTTTTGTTTTTGAGACAGAGTCTTGCTCTGTTGCCCAGACTGGAGTGCAGTGACGCGATCTTGGCTCACTGAAACCTCCGCTTCTCAGGTTCAAGCAGTTCTGCTGCCTCAGCCTCCTACAGGCACGCACCACGCCTGGCTAATTTTTCTGTTTTTAGTAGGGACGGGATTTTGCTATGTTGTCAGAGTGGTCTGGAACTCCTGACCTCAAGCAATCCACCTGCTTCGGCCTCCCAAAATGCTGGAATTACATGCTTGAGCCACTGCTCCCAGCCATTGTTGTTTTTTTGAAACAAGGTCTTGCTGTGTGGCTCAGGCTGGAGTGCAGTGATGGGATCATAGCTCACTGCAGCCCCAAACTGCTGGGCTTAAGTGATGGTTGGCCTCAGGCTCCCAAGTAGCTGGGACTACAGGCACATGCAACCGTGCCTGACTAATTTTTTTCTTTTGTAGAGATGGGGTTTCACTATGTTGACCAGGCAGGTCTCAAACTCCTGGCCTCAAGCAGTCCTCCCACCTCTGCCTCCCCAGAGTGCTGGGATTACAGGGCATAAGGCATTGCACTCAGCCAAAATGAGTTTTTAAAATTTTTGGTTTTGTTTATGGGTATCCAGTGGTCCAGCACTGTTTAAAAAACTATTCTTTTTCTCCTGAGCTGCATTTTCACTTTATGAAAAATCAGTTGACCATTTATCATAGATGTGTGGTTCTATTTCTGGACTCTCTGATTTGTCTATCTTAGTTGGCATTACTACATGTCTTGATTACTATAACTTTATAATAAATGTTGAAGTCATATGATTTAAATCTTTCAACTTTGTTCTTTCAAAGTTATTTGGCTGTTATAGATTATTTGTCATAAACATTTTAGATTCAGCTTGTCCATGCCTTAAAAAAAAAAAAAAAGCCTACTGGGACTTTAATTGGAATTGCATTGAATCTATCAATAAATATGGAGAGAATTGCCATCTTAACAATATTGCCCTCCAATCTATGAACACAGGTTATCTCTCTTTCATTTTAGGTCTTTAAGTTCTCTTTACAATATTTTGTTTTCAGTGTGTATATTTTACACATTTTTAAGTATTTCATACTTTACTATTTTATGTTTTGAGGCTATTGTAAATGGTATTTTTAAAATTCAGTTTCTGAATGTTTACGTAATAATTTTTTAATTTTAATTTATTTTTTAATTTTATTTTTTATTTTTATTTTTATTTTATTTTATTTTATCTTGTGAGACAGAGTCTCACTCTGTTGCCCAGGCTGGAGTGCAGTGGCGCAATCTTGGCTCACTGCAAGCTCCGCCTTCTGGGTTCACGCCATTCTCCTGCCTCAGCCTCCCGAGTAGCTGGGACTACAGGCACCTGACACCATGCCTGGCTAATTTTTTGTATTTTTAGTAGAGACGGGGTTTCATCATGTTGGCCAGGAAGGTCTCGATCTCCTGACCTCGTGATCCACCTGCCTCAGCCTCCCAAAGTGCTGAGATTACAGGCATGAGCCACCACGCCTGGCCTATAAAATTTATTTTCATAAAGTGATCTTATACGCTGCAACCATGCTAAACTGATATATCAGTTCTTAGTAGCTTCTTTTAAGATTCCATAGAATTTGCTAGCTAGACAATCATGTCATTTTCAGATTAGGAAAGTTTAACTTCCTTTCCATTTAGATGCCTTTTATTTATTTTTCTTGCCTTTATTGAACTCAATAGAACCTCTATTACTATGCTCCATAGAAGTGCTAAGAGTAGACATCCTTACCTTATTCCTGATTTTAAGGGGAAAGCATTCCGTTTTTACCATTAAATATGACGTTAGCTGTAGTTTTTTCATAGATTTTCTTTTTCGGATTGAGAAAGTCCTCTTCTATTCCTGGCGTGTTGAGTGTTTTATCAGGAATGGATGTTAGATTTTGCCAAATGCTCTTTCTGGGTTATCCAGATAAATACATATACTTTTAAAAATTTTAGTCTCTTGGCCTAGCACAGTGGCTCACACCTCTAATCCCAGTACTTGGGAGGCCAAGGCAGGCAGATTGCTTGAGCCCAGGAGTTCAAGACCAGCCTGGACAACAAGACAAAACCCCATCTCTACAAACAAAACAAAACAAAACCACAAAAATTAGCCGGGCAGTTAGACTACAGGCATGCACCTGTAGTCCCAGCTACTCTGGAGGCTGAGGGGAGATCAGTTGAGCCCAGGAGGTCCAGGCTACAGTGAACCATGATAGTGCCACTGCATTCCAGACTGGGCAACAGATCAAGACCTTGCCTCAAAAAAAAATCTAGTCTCTTACTATGGTGAATTACATTGATTAAATTTCAGGTGTTCAAACAAATTTACATTCCTGGTATAAACCTCACTTGATCATGATTTATTAACCTTTTTATATATTCTTGGATTTGATTTGCTAATCTTTAAAGAATTTTCCGGCCAGGTGTGGTGGCTCACACCTGTAATCCCAGCACTTTGGGAGGCCGAGACGAGTGTATCACCTGAGGTCAGGAGTTCAAGACCAGCCTGGCCAACATGCTGAAACCCCATCTCCACTAAAAATACAAAAATTAGCTGACACAGTGATGTGCGCCTGTAATTCCAGCTACTTGGGAGGCTGAGGCAGGAGAATCACTTGAACCTGGGAGGCGGAGGTTACGGTGAGCCAAGATCACGCCATTGCACTCCAACCTGAGCAACAGAACAAGACACCATCTCAAAAAAAAAAAAAGAATTTTCCACCCTGGGAGACCAAGGTGGGAGGATCGTTTGAGCCCAGGAGTTCAAGACTGGCCTAGGCAACCTAGTGATACCTCATCTCTACAAAAAATAAAACAAAATTAGCCAGCTGTGGTGACACATGCCTGTAGTCCCAGCTACTCCAGAGGCTGAGATGGGAGGATCGCTTGAGCCCAGGAGGTTGAGGCTGTAGTGAGCCGAGATCACGCCACTGCACTCCAGCCTTGGTGACAGAGCAACACCCTGTCTCAAAAATGAATAAATTGGGCTGGGTGCAGTGGCGCACGCCTGTAATCCCAGCACTTTGGAGGCCAAGGCGTGTGGATCACTTGAGGCCAGGAGTTCGAGGCCAGCCTGGGCAGCATGGTGAAACCTCGTCTCTACTAAAAATACAAAAATTAGCCGGGCATGGTGTTGCACAACTGTTGTAATCCCAGTTACTTGGGAGGCCGTTAAGCGAAATTCTGTCTCAAAAAAAAAAAAATAGCCAGATGCAGTGCTTTACGCCTGTAATCCCAGCACTTTGGGAGGCCAAGGCGGGCAGATCACAAGGTCAAGTGTTCGAGACCAGCCTGGCCAACATGGTGAAACCCTGTCTCTACTAAGAATACAAAAATTAGCCGGGCATGGTGGTGTGTGCCTGTAATCCCAGCTACTTGGGTGGCTGAGGCAGGAGAATTGCATTGCTTGAACCCAGGAGGCAGAAGTTGCAGTGAGCCGAGATTGGGCCACTGCATTCCAGCCTGGGTGACAGAGCAAGACTCTGTCTCAAAAAAAAAAAAAAAAAAAAAAAAAGAAAACCTGAAGATTCAGTGAAGTATAGAAAACAGAAATCACCCATAATCCTACATGTAGCAATAACGCAATAACTACCTTTTTTTTTTTTTTAGTTGGAGACAGGGTCTCTCTCTGTTGCCCAGGCTGAGTACAGTGGCATGATCACAGCTCACTGCAGCTTCAGCTTCCCAGGCTCAAGTAATCCTCCTTTCTTAGCCTCCCAAGTAGCTGGGACCACAGGCACACACACCACACCTGGCCAATTTTTTTTTTTTTATTATTTGTAGAGAAAATGTCTTGCTATGTTGCTCAGGCTGGTCTCAAACTCCTGGGCTCAAACAGTCCTCTTGCCTTGGTCTCCCAAAGTGCTGGGAGTACAGGCGTGAGCCACTACTCTTGGGTAATTTTAAAATTTTTTTATAGAGACTGGAGCCTGGCAATGTTGCCCAGGCTGGTCTCGAACACCTGGTCTCAAGTGATCTTCCCGCCTCAGCTTCCCCAAGTGCTAGGATTACAGGCATGAACCACTGCTCCTGGCCAGCACTTATTTTAAATGCCAGCCATTATTCTAAATGCTTCATATATATATATTAGTTTATTTAACCCTCATGACAATCAGATATTATCTATTTGCATTTTATAGATGAAGAAACCAAATGAAAGGTTAAATAAGTGATCAGTTTCCCAACCCTAATTAAAAATTTAACAGAAATTATTGCCCTTCCCTCCTAGCCACTAAATACTTAGCACTGCTTTACTAGTCTTTCACATAATGCCAGTGTATTTAGTCTGTTTGTAATCTGTTAACACCATGTTGACCAGTTCTTGGTTGTTATATACAGTGTTTACCTTCCGATTTTTAGCCTCTGTAATACAGTTACAGCATTACCTAGGTTTATTGAGTTTTTTTATAGTTACTAGATTTAGTGTATACTTAGTTATCAGTATTTGAGGGAATTTCAAAATATTATTTATATCCTATCTGCTTTTTAAAAGGATTTAATGCCATTTATAATAAATAAGTCATACAATGAACTTTTCAACATTAAAGATTAAAAACCGTAAAGAGGAACCAGGATAATTATATCCAAAATGTAAGCTCATTTAGTAATAACAAGTTAATATTAAATTTAGTTCTTCTTTCTGACATTTTTGGTAAGAATGAGATTCTTGGTTTTGGAGATAGCACAGACTATTAGTTTGAAATTATGGGATTTGGTATGTCACATATTATTCAGAATGCTAAAATATCTGCCACTGAGCAAACCTGAAATGTAATTCTTTTTTCTTATTCTTCTTTTTTTTTTTTTTGACAACTTCTGATACCAAAAAAATGTGTAATTCTTTACATACCTTCTAATAGTAGATGGTCAGATTTTTTGTACGTGCAGTGATTTCAGAGAACATTGAAAAATAATCAGGAACTGGTTCAGTTTGCACAAATTTACTCTTCTACTCCTTCTTCTGCACCCACTAAAAATTGTGAAACTGTGCAGATGTAATAAATATATTGTGTGTAGGCTGAAGTATGATACAGAGTGTGAAACTGAAATATTTAGTCCAAATTTTTATTCAGCAATGAATAAAAATTCCCAGGGCAATGAATAATTCTATCGAGGGCTGAAATTAGTGGTGGGGATTGGTGGAAAGAGAGATGGAGCTCATTTTATGAAGTCTCATAAATTTGGCATGAATCTTATAATCAGTGAAGAGCTATTAAAGACTTTTTGATCAGGGTAGTGTCATGAAATTGAATTTTAGGAATTTTTTAGGAAGCTGAATACTGTTAGTGGTATATAGAAAGATTTTCTGGTTTTTTTTGGGACGGAGTCTCGCTCTGTCGCCCAGGCTGGAGTGCAGTGGCGCGATCTCGGCCCAGTGCAAGCTGCGCCTCCCAGGTTCACGCCGTTCTCCTGCCTCAGCCTCCCGAGTAGCTGGGACTACAGGCGCCCACCACCGCACCTGGCTAATTTTTTGTATTTTCAGTAGAGACGGGGTTTTACTGTGGTCTCGATCTCCTGACCTCGTGATCCGCCCGCCTCGGCCTCCCAAAGTGCTGGGATTACAGGCGTGAGCCACCGCGCCCGGCCGAAAGATTTTCTTAAAGGAGGAGATACCAGGAAATCACTTTATAGTCTATTGGTGTATATCATACATAGACTATTGCTTTTTGGTTTGTTATTTACTACTGTAATTCAAGGTGTAAGTAGCCCCAGCTTAATATAGTTTCTCATAAATTTTCATTCTTAACCTCTCCCAAGAAGCTCACCATACTTAACTCTCCATTATTGCTGTACCTTTTTTGTTCTCCAAATTGTAATACGTACATTTCTCTACCTGTCACCCTTTGATTTCCCCTTCCCTTGCCATCTCTTGCCACCCCTACCCCCACCTCCTACCTGGGTTCCAATCCTGGTTCTGCTTACCATGTAACTGTGGCAGTTTACTTTATCTCTCAAAGCCTCAATTTCCTCATCTATACAATGTGAATAATAGTTTCAGCTTCATAGGGTGGTTGGGAGAGTTATTAGGTAAATATATGGAATACTCTTAAAATAATGCTTGGCACTTAATAAGTACTATGTAAGTATTGTTACTGTTGTCTGGCTCATATTTATTTTTCTGATCTTAGCTTAGAGTTTATATCTTCCTTCTGGGAAGTCCTTTCTGCCCAAAGCTGAGTTACATATTCCTCTTTGTGTTGCCACAGATTCCTGTGCCTCCCTTGCCATGTTGTATTGTCATAGCCTAATTGTTTCATTGCCACAAGTTCTTTTTCTGCTTCCATCACATCATCACATCCTTCTTGATTGGCAAATAGTAACTACTCAATAAATATTTGTTGTCTAGCACATACATACAGTTCAAACAGAAAACTAAAATAGACTAAAGTATGAGGAAATCTTGGTATTGGAACTTAACTATTGAGGTTTATTTCAAAGAATTTTATTTTGCAGCTTCTTTTGTATAGCTTTGAAACTCTAAAATATTTCCTTTTTTTTTTTTTAGTTGCCATTTCCTTTGAGTCAGCAGGCCTTTCATCTGGACCTTGACCCAAGAAGTTATGATTTTTCTCACTGTTTCACTCTATCTCCCAGTCTGAAATAGAGCATTGCACTTTTTAGTGTCTGAGAGATATCATGCCTTTGCAGTTAAATTCTCTTCTGTGGCTTTGGCTGGAATGTGAGTAAATTTCCAGAGAGGATACATAATTCCCAGGCTGAACTCTAACCTTGTGAACTATTTTAATGTGTGGCCTCATAAATGTAAATTTTTTAAATTTTAGACCAAGGAGGTGCTTGTTGTTCTGCCTTAATTGCAACTTCTATTTAGAAAGAAAGGATCTCTTGGCTTTAAGATAGAATCAAGAGGTGATAGTAGTGAGACTCAAGTCCTGAAGATAAAAACAGAAAGGGCCAAAAGCTCACCTCTTGGTTAATCAGGCAGGTGTGGAGGTTATGGAAATCCTCAAAGATAAAAAGTGCCTGATGGCAGCAACCAAGGGGAAAGGAAGATTGGCTGAGCCCCTGGGGTGTGTAGCAAGGAGACCATTGGTAGCCAAGTTGGAATCTGAGAAGCGGCCCTGTAGCTGAACACTAGAAAAGCCTTTGCGTGAGGTATTCCCAATTCTAACATTTATTTATCACCTTCTGTGTACCAGGTTCTGTGATCATTGTTAGGAGGAATGAAATAATGACATAGCCTTCTAGAGAACCTCAGTATCCAGCAGGAAAGATGGGCATATAATGAATAATTATATTAATAACTTTAATAAGATCCCCTACCACCTATAAACTCCATGAGAACATAGAACATGTCTGTTTTGTGTCTAGCACTGAGTGGTCGCTCAATAAGTATTTATTGAATAAATGAATTTGTTTAGCCCTTTCTAGTTTACTATGTGCCTTCACAGATATCTCGTTTAATATTCTACCTTCCTTTTCTATTCACCCACTTTGTGATGTAAGCAAGATAAATAATAGTATCCGTAGCAATAATAGTATAAGACAATAAACTGAGTTAAATAGAAGTTAAAATGATAAACAGAGAAGGGAGTAAAATAGGAGCTTTTGTAGCTACATCTTAATCAGATGAGTTGTTATACCTCTGTCCAGTATCTAGAGTAATTACATACTTACCACCCTTCCTCTTGTCTCTCTGGGTTTTTTTTGAGACTGAGTCTCGCTCTGTCACCACGCTAGAGTGCAGTGGCACAATCTCAGCTCACTGAAAACTCCACCTCCCAGGTTCAAGTGATTCTCCTGCCTCAGCCTCCCGAGTAGCTGGGACTACAGGTGCATGCCACCACACCTGGCTAATTTTTTTGTATTTTTAGTAGAGATGGGGTTTCACCATGTTGGCCTGGATGGTCTTGATCTCTTGACCTCGTGATCTGCCCGCCTCGGCCTCCCAAAGTGCTGGGACTACAGGTGTGAGCCACCACACCCAGCGTCTCTCTGGTTTTTTAATTTGTTTTTTTTTTTCCCCCCGCAGAAGATCCTTTGGTTTTCTACTAGATGTTATTCCATCTAGATAGTGTTTATTTATTGTTCATAGTCATCTCTTACCCAGGGAATTCCTTATTTTGTATTCCTGAAATCGAAATATTCTTTCATACTCATTATTTAGATGCTAAGAGAAAACTTGGGGACCGCTCTTCCCAACAAGATTGTCTCAAATTTTGTGCCCATCTGTGTGCATTCACGCACATGAGCATGTGTGTGGAGGAGAAGAGGAAAAGAACAGAGATGGAAAAGATTTTGAAGTGGGATGCTTGGCAAGAGGAGTAAATAGATGATAATTATGAAGAAGAAATTGGCAGGATTTCTTAACTGACTAGATTATGGGAACAAGGAGTAGAGAAACAGGTCAAAGTTGGCTGAAGTCCATAGAATGTATATTTTAATTTAAGTGCTAAATTTCCTCCATACATTTTTCATGAACTTTGAAAAATTTGTTGGCTTTATACGAACCTGTGAACTTCAGTGAGAAAAACAGCATCTTTATATTTTTGAGCATAGTCTCAATGTCATTAATTCTTCTGCTTAAAAATCCTCAAATGACTTGCCAAATTAGGATAAAATCTAAATTCTGTTACCAAGGCCCCAAATTTCTACGTATCTGACTGCAACTGCCTACTTAAACTGATCTTACCATTATTCCCATTCATATACCACCCACATAGGCTTTATATCTGCTCTTACTTAAGAGTTTTTATACTTCCTGGTCCCTCATCCTGGTTGTTCCTCCCCAGTACTCAGCTTATTCAGTTATCAGCTCTTCCATACTCCTTTATCTAACGTGGTACCCTCAGTGACTTGTTATCTAACCTATTACTTTGTTTTGTTTTATTTTTATAACAGCACTTACTACTTTCTGATATTGTCATCTTGTTTGTCAGTTTTTCTCTTCTAGAGAAATCTTTGTGAGGGCAGGTTCTTGGCTCTCTACTGATTACTTGAGTCTCCATTGCCCAGCCTTCTTGTTGTATCAGTTTTAATATAGCAAACCAAAATAGGATCTTAATTTTAAAAAATAGTAATGCTACTTAAGATTTGATTACTCTTAAGACCTAGTGTTTCTGTATGCTAACTCCCTTTTTATAATGTAAAATGAATTATTCTCTCATAATATTTTTCTTTCTTTTCTTTTCTTTTTCTTTTTTTTTTTTTTTTTTAAATGATTTAGATGGGGTCTGCCTGTGTTGGCCCAGGCTAGCCACGAACTCCTGGGCACAGGCAATCCTCTTGCCTCAGCCTCCTAAAGTGCTGGGATTACAGGTGTGAGCCACCATGCCTGGGCAGTCTCATAATAATTTTCATTCCTGACTTTTTTTCAGATCTAGTCTCTAGAAAGAAACTTGTGCATACCAAGACAGTATGGCCAAAAACCTATCCTGGCAAGTGTTAATGCTATGTTTCCACTCCTGAACACCAGGAACTGAACATTGTTGTGTTTGGGTATTGTGAGTATGGAAGTCATTCAATTATTTTTCAAAGCGGGCTTAGTACATGATGTTTTGTTAAGCTACCTTGAGAACTGGAGTTTGTGTTTAAGTTTCAGTGAGATAAGGGTAGACCTCCTAATGCCTGTGAAAATTTTGATATATTTTATAATGTACCACCTGACATCATAATGTACTGCCTGACATCCAAATCATCTTTTTGAGTTTTATAAATCTCCAAACTTCAAAACTAGTAGATGCTGGTATAAAACCTAATAATTTCAGTTCAATCTTTACATTCTCCAGGGTCCACTTTTCATTCTCTTAAGTACAAGCCTATTTCTCAGTTTGGCATAGTGCCAAGAACATTGATAAATGTTGGCCCCAAAATGATTGTCAAAGTTCTGTTCACTTAAATTCACTGTAATTAGTAAGAATAGTTATCATTTATTTTGGGTGCCTTCAAAGTAGACTATGCTAGGCAACAATTTCTCTTGATAATCTCACAATAGCCTTGGCATTTGAAGAAACTTTGGCCTAGAAACATTTATGCCCCCAAGATCACACAACTAGAAAGAAGCAGAAGTTGATTTATCTCCTAAATCTATGTGACTTCAAAGCTGGTCATCCTACCACTATGCCTGGTTGCCTATATCATTTAATGTGATGAAGGCACTAATGTGACACCCACACCGGGCTCAATTTATTAGTAATCCTTCTATATCACAGCCACACAAGTGCTTAGAGTTCCTGGCTGAGATCAGTCTATATAATTATATTACACTTCTCAAGTTTAGTAGTGCTAGACAAATAGGAAGGGAGTTTTACATTCTTTGTTTATTTGCAATAATTTCATGATTGTCGTAATTAAACTATAGCCCGAGTTTAAAGAAGAAGCCAGCCAAAAAAAAAAAATTAACTCATACATTCATCCCTAAACAATCAAATCTCAGTAAAAATTTTAATATTAGCAGCAAGTTCTTTTTATTTTCTAGCAGCAGCTTCTTAAGAGAGAGGAAAAGAGGGTAAGCGTGAGTGTGTGTGTGTGTGTGTGTGTGTGTGTGTGTGTGTGTCTAGGAGAGGGGGAGAGCACATATGTCAACTAAGAGGTGAGTTTACTTCTGAAGTCCAATTGTCTAACGTATGGAGGGAGGATAACCTCCAGGCTTGGTGGTGCACACCTGTAGTTCCAGCTACTTGGGAGGCTGAAGTGGAAAGATCACTTGAGCCTGGGGGTCAAGGCTGCAGTGAGCCATGATCACGCCACTGCACTCCAGCCTGGGCAATGGAGCAAGACCCTGTCTCAAAAAATAAAAACTAAAAAATTTTAGTCTGGGCATGGTGGCTCACACCTGTAATCCCAGCACTTTGGGAGGCCAAGGTAGGAGGATCACGTGAGCCTAAGAGTTCAAGACAAGCCTGGGGAACATGGTAAAATCCCATCTCTACAAAATATACAGAAATTAGCCAGGTGTGGTGGCATATGCCTGTAGTCCCAGCTCCCTCGGGAGGCTGAGGTGGGAGGATTGATGGAACCCAGCAAATCGAGGCTGCAGTGAGCCATGATCGCATCACTGCACTCCAGCCTGGGTGGTGGAACAAAACCCTGCCTCAAAAAAAAAAAAATAATTGAAAATAACTGAAAATTTAAAAGATTGGCGGGGCGCAGTAGCTCACGCCTGTAATCCCGGCACTTGGGGAGGCCGAGGTGGGTGGATTACCTGAAGGTCGGGAGTTCGAGGCCAGCCTGACCAACATGGAGAAACCCTGTCTCTATGAAAAACAAAATTTAGCCGGGCATGGTGGCGCATGCCTGTAATCCCAGCTACTCAGGAGGCTGAGGCAGGAGAATAGCTTGAACCTAGGAGGCAGAAGTTGCGGTGAGCCAAGATCGCGCCATTGTTCCAGCCTGGGCAACGAGAGCGAAACTCTGTCTCAAAACAAAACAAAACAAAACAAAACAAAACAAAAAAACCCATATATATATAATATATATGTAATCCCTCCCAAAGTGGTGGGATTACAGGCGTGAGTCGCCGTGCCCGGCCTATTTATTTATTTTTTGAGACGGAGTCTCGCTCTGTCACCCAGGCTGGAGCGCAGTGACACGATCTCTGCTCACTGCAGCCTCCACCTCCTGGGTTCAAGCGATTCTCCTGCCTTAGCCTCCCGAGTAGCTGGGACTGCAGACAGGAGCCACCACACCCGGCCTAAATTTTAAATTGTGCCTCATTCTGAGTAGCATGATGAAATCTTGCACCATCCCACCCTGTCCCACCCAGGATGTAAACTGTTAGCCTTTATCTAGTATATGCATGTTGTATGCGCTGGCTGCTACAAAGTTAGGCACTTCGTAGCTGTGTTGGTTATCAGATCAAAAAAACAGTTTATGTAAGGTTAGGTACTATTCGTGGTTTCAGGTACCCACCGGGGGTCTTGGAATGTATCCTCCAAGGTTAAGGGTAGGGGGGACTACTGTAATTGCCTGAATGGCTCAGAAGGGAGAGCTGTTGTGGCCAGAGAAGCTGCTTGTTATGTAATCCACATTAGTACAAGATAATCATAAGATGAGCTGTAAGTATAGTGGGTGTTAGATCACTGCTGGGTCTTATTTAAGGTGGCAGGGGTGTTAGGGTAACATTTAGAAGTTGAGAGCAAAGAGTAAGGTTTGTTTTGACTTTATACAACACTTGAAGTAAAAAGCAGTTTGTTTTGTTTTCAGGCATAAAGATATCCATCCATGTGTTTGTTGTGTTGTTTTTGTTTTTTGTGGGGTTTTTTTTTTGTCATATTCACAAGGGAAACCAGAATCTGTATGTTCCTCTGGAAAATTAGGTGAAGAGAAGTATAACCTATTTCAGTGTGGCTTCAGTCTATGGTCTGGGTTTTATTAAACCAGATACGTATAAGAGCATGTCAAATTTAACCACCTCCCTTCATCCACTAGATTACAGTGAATGATAGTAATGTCACTGATACATTGTTATACACATTGCTCACTAACTGTTTTTTTTTTTTTTTCTTTTTAGAAACGGAGTCTCGCTCTGTTGCCCAGGCTGGAGTGCAGTGGTGCGATCTCCGCTCACTGCAAGCTCCACCTCCCAGGTTCACGCCATTCTCCTGTCTCAGCCTCCCTAGTAGCTGGGACTACAGGTGCCTGCCACCACGCCTGGCTAATTTTTTTGTATTTTTAGTAGAGACGGGGTTTTCTTTTTTTTTCTTTTTTTTTTTTTGAGACGGAGTCTTGATTCTCGGTCTGTCACCCAGGCTGGAGTGCAGTGGCGTGATCTCTGTTTACTGCAACCTCTGCCTCCTGGGTTCAAGCAATTCTCCTGCCTCAGCCTCTCGAGTAGCTGGGACTACAGGCAGGTGCCACCATGCCTGGCTAATTTTTGTATTATTATTATTATTATTACTATTTTTAGTAGAGACGGAGTTTCACCATGTTGGCCAGGCTGGTCTTGAACACCTAACCTCAGGTGATCCACCCACCTTGACCTCCCAAAGTGCTGGGATTATAGGCATGAGCCACCACACCCAGCCACTAACATCTTTTATCCATTAATAGTTCTTAATTTTGTTTTGCTTGTCTTTAAGTGCTTGTCCCTTTACTAGGATAAACTAAGTACTATTGATAATTTACAAAAGTGCTCCATCTTTACTGTTTACATCTACTGGCTAGAATGTCTACCAAGTTATGTAAGCATTTTTGTAAATGAATTTATTGCCTTTAGTTTTAGAAATATTGAGAGCAGAATGGAACACTGACAATCAGATTTGGCAAAAGCATTCAAAGTGATTGTTATGGTGATTCTGATCATCTCTTTAAGATAAGGGAGTTAGGAAGATTACTAGAATAAGCATCTTTAATATTGAGCTAAGATTCATTTTTGTGTTCCTTAAAATTCACCATAGTTTTGACTAAACTAAGGAGGACAGTGAGTACTTACTTTACACTGACCTATACATTCATTTAAAAGCATTCTTTAATTGAAGTACTTTATTTTATTTTATTTTATTTTATTTTTTGAGATAGAGTCTCGTTCTGTCACCCAGGCTAGAGTGCAGTGATACAGTAATGGCTCACTGGAGCCTCAACCTCCTGGGCTCAAGCAACCCTTCCACATCAACCTCTTGAGTAGCTGGAACTAAAGGTGTGCACCACCATGCCCGGCTAATTTTGTTTATTTTTTGTAGAAACAAGGTCTCACTGTGTGGGCCAGGCTGGTCTCAAACTCCTGGGCTCAAGCAGTTCTCCCGCCTCAACCTCCCAAAGTGTTGGGATTACAGGCTTGAGCCACCATGCCTGGCCCAATTGAGGTATTTTATTTTAGATGCATCTTCTAGCCAGGCAAGGTGGCTCACACCTGAAATCCCAGTGTCTTGGGAGACTGAGGCAGGAGGATTGCTTGAGCCCACGAGTTTAAGACTGTAGTGAGCCATGATCATGTGACTACACTCCAGCTGGGGCCACAGATCGAGACCTTGTCTCTAAAATGAATGAATGAATGTATGCATGAGCCTCCTGAGAAGCCATGGAGAAAGAAGCAAGCATGACCAGTCAGTGACTGACATTTAAACTGTAAGAAAAATTGACTTCATTTTATATGAACTTTAAAGGAGACACTCTGTGTAGGTAGGTACTTCAAAATATGTGTAAGTGTAATTGTATCAGAATAGGTGGCCATGATGTGATTTGATGAGACTGCCAAGAGCTAGACATTCTAGCCATTTCTTAAAAGGCCAGTTAGCTAAACACTAGTTAGGATTCATTTATTTAATTGATTCACAGCTTAAAATTAAGTGTAGTAAAGGAAACAGATATAGAAGAGATAGGGAAAGGTTTAGAGTTGGAGTGTCTTCAGCTGCTTGTGGAGGGCGTGGTAGAGACAGTGTTAACTACTTCCCAGTTTTACCTTGGGTGACCCTTGTTACAGATCACTGCTTCTGAGCTGCTTTTGAGAGCTAGTGGAGAGAGATTATATTACGTCCTAGGAGAATGTAACTCAGTTCTACTGGAGGCCACCATTCTCTTCCAGGTCATGGGTGGTACCTCTTAGTGTCACTCAGAGGTGAGGACTATTTGATGGCAGGCAACCTTAAGCTGCTGACAGGACAGAAACCTTTGTGATAAGCATTGGGAAATCTGACTCCTGGAAAGAGTGAAGCATCAAAAACTCTGTAGAGTATATGAGTTTCGCCTATTAGGCAGTTATAAGGAAATAGCTAAAAAGGAACTGGCTAATTAGAGTTGAGAGAAAATATTTATAAACAGACTTTAAATACTTTAAAAGCAGGCTTTTATTTTATATTCTTTCAGTGGGGATAGTGTGAACTGCCACCTCCTTTAAAAAGCCTTGCATTCCAGCTGGGCGCCATGACTCACTTCTGTAATCCCAGCACTTTGGGAGGCCGAGGCGTGTGGATCATGAGGTCAAGAGATCGAGACCATCTGGCCAACATGGTGAAACCCATCTCTACTAAAAATACAAAAATTAGCTGGACGTGGTGGTGCGCACCTGTAGTCTCAGCTACTCTGGAGGCTGAGGCAGGAGAATCGTTTGAACCCGGGAGGTGGAGGTTACAGTTGAGCCGAGATCACACCACTGCACTCTAGCCTGGCGACAGAGCAAGACTCTGTCTCAAAAAAAAAACAAAAAACATTCCATCTAAAAAAATTACCATTTACTTGCAGATGTTTTCTTGTGGAAGAAATAAAGTTTAAAGAAAAAGAAATAAATTACCAAGACAGCTTTCCAAATATGATGGATTAATTATCTGTATATTGTGGCAAGATATTTTCCCCCTCCCAACATTTATTTTTTATTTATTTATTTATTTTGAGACAGGATCTCGCTCGGTCACCCAGGCTGAAGTGCAGTGGCACGATCTCGGCTCACTGCGACCTCTGTCTCCCGGGTTCAAGCGATTCTCCTGCCTCAGCCTCCTGAGTAGCTGGGACTACAGACACGTGCCACCACACCCGACTAATTTTTTGTATTTTTAGTAGAGACGGGATTTCAGCGTATTAGCCAGGATGGTCTCGATCTCCTGACATCGTGATCTGCCCACCTCAGCCTCCCAAAGTGCTGGGATTACAGGCATTAGCCACGGTACCCGGCTGAGATATTTTCTCCCTCCCAACATTTTATTATGAATAATTTTAAACATACAGAAAAGTTAAGTAAAATGATCACCCACCACCTAGATTCAATAATTGTCAAAGTTTTGTCATATTTGCTTTATCTATATATGTGATTGTATTTGTTTTGCTGAACAGTTTGGAGGTTTTAAACATTATGACATTTCTCTCCCAAATACTTTATCATGACTCTCCAAAAACATGAGGACATTTGCTTATATAACTGTAATACCATTATTATACTACACAGTACTTCCTACTGTCATCTTTTATCCATGTGTAGCAAGTTATTTAGCCACTTTTAAATTTGTTTCTCCTCACTCCAGTAACCCTACACCCCCGAAAACCTTATTGTTCCTTGTCACTTTGTCATGTACCTCATGCCCAGCAGCAATTGGTGAGATGGCTTTTTCATATGGTTTTATATTTGGGAACCTCTAGAGCAGTGGTTCTCAACTTGGGCTGGACATTAGAATAACTTGAGGAGCTCTTGAAAATCCCAATCCCCCTACATCCCAGACCACATATATCAGAATTTCTGATATTCTGATGATTTCCATGCGTCAGTAGTTCTTAAAGTTTCCCAGGTGATTCTGGTGTGCATCCATGATTAAGAATCACAACTGTAGGTCCTATTAATCTTCAGTAAGAGTATTCAGTGTTTGGATAGGTGCTTGACAGTTTTCTGACCAGAACAGAGATGAAAAGTGGTATGCCTAGGTATTTAGGCTTTTTCCTTTTCTTTCACTGAACATTTACTGAACATCTACAATGTGTAAAACACTGAGCTAGGTTCCCATTCATAAGGATGAATAAGATATGTTAACTGTGGTGTTCTAGAAAGGCCATGGACTTAGGGTTAGACTTCTATGGAGTTAAATTCTAGCTTTGCTGAGAACAATTTGTGTGATTTTTAACTAAGTCCTAAACCTCTCTGGGGCTTTAACATGATGTGGTTTGTTTACCTTGCAGATATTATCTTAACCACTCTTACTACCTCTGTACTCTAGCCACACTGGCCTTCTTTCTTTTTCTCAAACATATGAAGCTTGCTCTATGTATATATGTGGCTTTTTACTACCTTCTTTTTCCACTCCCTCTGATACCCCTCTGGGATACAAATGGGCCCTTGCTAGTCATTCAGGTTTCAGTTAAAATATCATCTTCTCATTGAAGCTTCTTCTGACCATCTAATCTAAAATAACTTCCTGGATAGTCCATATCATATCATGGTGTTTGATTTTCATTGTGGCATTTATTCCTCTTAGATAGTTTCTTGTTTGTTATGGGCTTACTTTCTCCTCTATTATATAAGAGTACCAGGAGAGCTAGAACCTCATCTGTTTGGTTTCCCTTATTCTCAGGAACTGTAGAAAAATGCCTGACACATAGAGGATGCCTAATAAATATTTGTTGAATTAATAAAGTGGTAACAGTAATTCTACATTATGTTTGAGATAGTTTAGGAAAACCTCCTGGGGACAATTTCCTATCAGTTCCCTCATGCTCTTTCCCCAAGGAGTATCTTTTCTCTTAAATGCTAAAAGCCAAAGCCTTTGTTGTGCTTAGAAAATCCAAGCAGGTAGAAGATACTTCTGAATATGTAAAAAGTGTGCCAATTCAGTAGCCCCCTCCCCAGACTGGGGTTAGAGGGCTCCCTTTTGCTCTCACAGTGAGTCTCCTTGTGAAAAAGAATCAATAGTTTTATCATCTTGTCTTAGCACTTCTCCTTCTGAACAGAAATTTGTTGTTCAACCTTTGGGTTTATGCTGGAGAAACAGAATGCATTGATAAACCATCCTTTTGTGTGTATCATTGAGAGCCAAGATGGAAGCAGTGTTAGACAGCTAGTTAAGTTTTTTTCTGTAGTGTCTTTTCTGAGTTAAAAAGCAAATGCAATAAATGCCCACAGAATGTTCTTGACTTTTCTTTTTCTTTCTGGTGTATTTTTTTAAGCTTTAATTTATTGCTCTTGCACTGTGTGCCAAGAACGGAATTGCCTAGATCACATCTTACAATATCTCTATGAGATAGGAACTCTTTCTTTCTTACTTTTTAAAATAGAGATAGGGGTCTCGCTATATTGCCCAGGCTTGTCTCAAACTCCTGTGCTCAAGTGATCCCCCTGCCTTAACTTCCCAAAGTGTTGAGATTACAGGCGTGAGCCACTGTGCCTGACTGGCCGAGAGCTCTCTTATTCCCACTTTATACATGAGCATAGTGAGTTTTAGCAAGCTAAGAAACGTGGCCTGGTTGGTGGTTTGTGGAGCCAGGATTAAAATCCAGGTAATCTGACTTATATCTTCCACAGTTATAACTATACTACCTCTCATTATATCTTTTTCTCTTCTCATCTTTATCATTTAAATACTTTTATAAAAGGCATTTGAGATGGTTAAGCATAAATATGTTTCTCAAAGCAATAGATACCAGGAAAACAGTTCCTGGTGGCCTTGCTTAGAAGCCATGTTCTAATCAATCAAGATTCTTAAGGAAGAGTAGCATCATCAATTGTTCATGTATATTAGTAGATGAGTCTGGAAAGTGGAACCAAGGTTCTGGACTTCTTTGTTTCTTTAAGCCTTCTAATTATATTTTGATGATTATGGTCAAGTATATGGATTCTAGTTTGTCTTTAGTGAGAGATTCAAAAGGAGCATTGTGTTTAATTCTAGAAACTCGAGATACTAATATTATCACGATGAGTTCACTCCTATTATTTTCATGTTATGTTTTTTTGGATTAGTAAAATTAGCTTAGTTTTGGCCAGGCGCAGTGGCTCACACCTGTTATCCCAGCACTTTGGGAAGCCGAGGCAGGTGGATCACCTGAGGTCAGGAGTTCGAGACGAGCCTGGCCAACATAGCAAAACCTCGTCTCTACTAAAAATACAAAAATTAGCCAGGTGTGGTGGCACGCACCTGTAGTCCCAGCTACTCGGGAGGCTGAGGCAGGAGAATCACTTGAACCTGGGAGGCGGAAGTTGCAGTGAGCCGGGATCATGCCACTGCACTCCAGCCGGGGCAACAGAGCGAGACTCTGTCTCTAAATACATAAATAAAGCATATGATCTATATGGACAGTCATATCTTTTTCTTTTTAAAAGTCCATGCTGATGCTAGACGTAAGAGATGATTTGCACAGAGTAAGTGCTAAGGTTGATAACAAATTCCTTCTGTAGGGTGTTTATCCAAGAGGGGAAAATAGGAATTCTAGAGGGGAAGATATGAAACTTTTGGGTATAGATCCCTCAGCAGAGCAGAAACACAGAGGGCTTAGGCACCTCATAAGAAGAGCTAATAATACTGCCACTGATCATGGTGATAATAAGAAAGAGAGCAAACATTTATTTACTGTTTGCTAAATATAGTGCTGGCACTTTAAATGTATTATATGAATAGATTAAATGGGTTAATAAATGTAGAATACATAGAATAATGCCTGGTGCATGGTAAAAAGTTATATAAACAGCTGCTATTTTTATTGTACTTTTATATTTTTATATAATATATTTTTATTTTTTAATTTTTATTGTTATCCTTTTGGGTGGTGATTGTAATTATTCTTCACAGCAACCGTATAAGTTAAGTACTATTATTATCCATTTTACATATGGGTAAACTGGATGCCAGAGGTTAAGCCAGGAAATAGTAGAACAGGATTCAAACTCTCTAGTTTTATGTAGTTGAGTCTTTTTTTTCAGTCAGTCTCACTCTGTCACCCAGGATCGCCCAGGCTGGAGGGCAGTGGTGAGATCTTCACTCACTGCAGCCTCTGCCTCCTGGGTTCAAGCAGTTCTCCTGCCTCAGCCTCCCAAGTAGGTGGGGTTACAGGTGCCCACCACCACGCCTGGATAATTTTTGTATTTTTTTAGTAGAGACAAGATTTCGCCATGTTGGTCAGGCTGGTCTCAAACTCCTGACCTCAAGTGATCTCACAAAGTGCTGGTATTACAGGTGTGAGCCCGGCCTTGAGTCTTTGTTTGGTTAGGACTGCCTAGGGATATAGATAGCTATTCTACTTAGTGTTGCTGGAAAGTTGCCCTTAAGGAAGTGACATTTAGGCTGATACTGAAAGATAAAAAGCTAGGTATGCAAAAGTTGAGAAAGGGAAAGAGGAACTTTAGGCAAAGTACAGCAAGTGCAAAGGCCTGAGGGGAAATGGGTTTGACATGGTTCTGTAAACAAAAATGTCACCTTCTGAGTGAGTTCTTCCCTGAATACTGTATTTAAAACTGGCCAGGTGTGGTAGCTGATGACTAATTCCAACACTTTGGGAAGCCGAAGTAGGCAGATCGTTTGAGTCTGAAAGTTCAAGACCAGCCTGGGCCCCATTGTGAGACCTCATTCTTTACAAAAAATAAATTCGCTGGGCATGGTGGCATGTGCCTGTAGTCCCAGGTACTTGGGAGGCTGAGGTGGGAGGATCACTTGAGCCAGGGAGATTGATCCCTGTTTTATTTTCTCCATAACACTTATTATTGTCCCACATAGTATATAATTTATTTTGGTTGTCTCTCCCACAATGGGATATAAGCTTCCTGAGGACAGGGATGTTTGTCTGATTTGTTCATTGTTATTGCCAGGTCCTCCCTTAGCCCATGGGACTTTTTCCAGTAAATTAGAAAAGAATGCCAGGCACGGTGGCTCACACCTGTAACCCCAGCACTTTGGGAGGCCAAGGCAGGCAGTTCACCTGAGGTCGGGAGTTTGAGACCAGCCTGACCAACATGGAGAAACCACCATCTCCACTAAAAATACAAAATTAGCCGGGCATGGTGGCACATGCCTGCATACCTGTAATCCCAGCTACTCAGGAAGCTGAGGCAGGAGAATTGCTTGAAACCGGGAGGCGGAAGTTGTGGTGAGCCAAGATGGTGCCATTGCACTCCAGCCTGGACAACAAGAGCAAAACTCCGTCTTGAGAAAAAAAAGAAAAGAAAAGAAAGTCTCCTTTCCAAAAGGTTGTGGCTCCACGCGGGACACGTAGTTCGGCTAGAAAAGCATGGACCTAGATTTTGGCCTCCTCTTGCCTCCTCAGCCAATTATACAAGACATAATTGAGCAACCATTACATGGCAGTCCTAGGATGCATTCATAGTACCTAGAACAGTGCCAACGTGTAGCAGACATGAATAAATATTTGTAGAATGATGGAATAGTTTAGAGTGAAGAAGAGTGATTATGAGATGAGAAAGTAAGCAGAAACCAGGTCAAGTAAGACTTCTAAGGAGTTTGATCTTTTTTTTTTTTTTCCTAAATAGCAGTCAACTGACAAGTCCCATGGAATACTTTCCATTAAATCATAATCTGTATTTTCAAAAAGCAGTGCAAGTAATTCTGCAGTAGAGTTAGTGGCCCAACTTTCTTTTTTTTTTTTTTTTTTTTTTTTTTGAGACGGAGTCTTGCTCTGTCGCCCAGGCTGGAGTGCAGTGGCGCAATCTTGGCTCACTGCAAGCTCCGCCTGCCGGGTTCATACCATTCTCCTGCCTCAGCCTCCCGAGTAGCTGGGACTACAGACACCCGCCACCATGTCTGGCTAATTTAATTTTTTTTTTTTTGTATTTTTAGTAGAGATGGGGTTTCACCTTGTTGAGGATGGTCTTGATCTCCTGACCTCGTGATCCGCCCACCTCGGCCTCCCAAAATGCTGGGATTACAGGCGTCAGCCGCTGTGCCTGGCTAGCAGGCCAACTTTCAATACTTTTGGACCTTCAGGGATCCATCTCCTGCCTATTTCACCCTTGTCTATTTGGCATTTTACTTTGCCTGCATATGTGGGTTTACCATGTTCTTTCAAACTCTGTGCAAGGGAGTTTGGGATGAACTATATGTAAAATATTCATTTTTTTCCTTGCAACCCCAAATCCAAACACAGTTGGATGGAGTTTTTAATCAGGGTTATTGCAGAAAACCCAGGACCTCAGGTCCTTGTGATTGAGTGGTGAATGAAGGGGAAAATGAGGCCACTTGAACATTATTCTGTTTAGGAACTTGCTGTATGAATTAGTAGAGACCATCACATTTTTCATCAATTCCTGCTCTCACCACACCCCGCTCTTGCCCCTGCTAAAAAACTACCAGCCTTCTCTCATGTTATGATTTAGGGGCCCCTGTTCACTGAGGGGCTAACAGCTGGAATTGTGGCACTGCATTAGCCTTTTTTGAGCTTTTATTTCTCTTTCATGCTGGATTTTTTTTTTTTTTTTTTTTTTTTTGGCACCCACACCCCATTTGAGAATTTACTTTCTCTCTGAGAAGTTTTTGTCAGTAGTTTTTTGTTTTATTGCCTTTTCTGTGATAGGTTAAGGATACAGCTTGGTAAAGAAGGAACCTGCAGGGGTTTATTGATGGAGTTCCTGTCCCACCATGCCCTAGGCCTAGTACATACATGCTTCTGATGAATCACTGCTGTTAGTATTTAGTATCTCCTGATCCTCATAGTCCATATTATGCAAAGCATAGAATCTGCCCAAGGGACTTAATAGCTGAATCACTCACTTGATCTGTTGTCTTTCACTCTTTCTTCCCTTTGTTGGTGGCTACAGGCAAGTATATGAGAGATATAAAACTGTAAGCAAGACAAAATCTGGACTACATATCTTTATTGCTGCTTGGGAAGTGGCCTGGGAGTTCAAATTCAAGGATTTGAAGCTTTGTACAGCTGCCCCAGATAACCTGCTCTCATTGGGATGAGGATGAAGTATTTCCACATGATTGCTCAAGTCCCTTTTCTCTTTGCCCTGATGCCCCCTCCCTCCTCTCTATTTCATTAATTGCTTAGCAGTTGCTGATGGAATTAAAACGAAATGTGTCTGCAGCCTCTGTGGTTTGCTGTCAGAACTCTCTTTCTAAGGTCTTTATCTTACTGCTAGGGATGGGTGAACATCTGATTTTGAAGCAAGAGGAGGGAGGGACCTGTGGCTGTAGTTAAATGCATTTTTCTAAAAGCAGCAGCTTGCAGAGTTGGACTCCTCCTGAAGCACTATTCATTTTACCAAGCCATGCCCTAGTCCCTTATGCTGTTCATTAATGGGGCTTGTATGTGGCAGCACAGTATATAGAAATGAATCCTGCTGAATTGCTTTTGTTGGTGATGTGGAAAGTGCTTTTCATTTTTAACTAAGAACAAGAAGGAAACAGCCTCAAAGTGTGAAAGAGTCAAAACCAAATCCCGGGGTTTCTGTGGAAGACAAGAATCTGGATATGGCTGAGGCGGGTGGATTACCTGACATCTGGAGTTCAAGACCAGCCTAACCAACATGGAGAAACCCCGTCTCTACTAAAAATACAAAATTATCTGGGTGTGGTGGCACATGCCTGTATTCCCAGCTACTCAGGAGGCTGAGGCAGGAAAATCACTTGAACCTGGGAGGCGGAGGTTGCAGTGAGCCTAGATCGCACCATTGCACTCCAGCCTGGGCAACAAGAACTCCATTTCAAAAAAAAAAAAGGAAGAAGAGGGGAAAACCAGAGGTTATCTATAATCAGTAGGATTTTTTTGCACATACAGAATTTCTGGCAATAATAATCTTTTGGACACAGGATGGGAATAACAACCATGGAGGAACTTCTGTTTTCTTAGGGAGGTCAACGTATTTATTTTCTCTTAATACCGAATTCTCTTTTCTTATTCATGGTTTTGGTTTTGTGTACTATTAATTATATAAATTAATGGGATCCCAGGTAGTATTTGTATATTTACAAAAAGGTTATGAAATTTAAGCAAGGTAAACTTAAAGATAGCCACTTGAATTTTGCCAAAATTTGGAACTTAATCTACATTCTAACCAAGCAAGCTGGTTTTATCTGAGAAAATATAAATAATTACTTGATATACTTGGCCGGGCAAGGTGGCTCACGCCTGTAATCCCAGCACTTTGGGAGGCCGAGGCAGGTGGATCACGGGGTCAGGAAATCAAGACCATCCTGGCTAACGCAGTGAAACCCCGTCTCTTCTAAAAATACAAAAAATTAGTCAGGCGCGGTGGCGGGCACCTGTAGTCCCAGCTACTTGGGAGGCTGAGGCAGGAGAATGGCACGAACCTGGGAGGCGGAGCTTGCAGTGAGCCGAGATCGCGCCGCTGCACTCCAGCCTGGGCGACAGAGCGAGACTCAGTCTCAAATAATAATAATAATAATTACTTGATATACTTGAAAAATTAATAAAAATGGGGGCTAATCAGGATTAGGCACCTTGAGAAACCAAAACCCCTGGTTTGCCTTCTTTTAGGTCAAATTTATCTACTTAGTTTATATTATAACTTACAGGTATAAATGTGGTTGTTGTTATTAATAATAATCTTTTATTCAGTGTCTACTTGCTGCCAGTTTCATGAGGCTTTCTTTAAACATTAATACTGACTTTAGGCTAGCTTAAATATATTATAAATTCTGATACAGATTTCTCTAGTCATGTGCTTCTTAGTTATGATGTCAATTCAGAATTTTTTATCAGAATTTTGTTCTAGAAAAAAAAAAAGTCAACACACGTCACTGCTATAAATTATATCCCAGAATGGGGGCTAAAATAAACTTGCAATATCTTTAAAAAATCTAACTTCCATGCCCTATTCTAGAAAGCTACTGGATGTTTCTACGAAAAGGAAGATGTGATAGAGGAAAGATGAAATTCAATAAACAAGAAAGGTTAAAGGAATCCTCAAAATAGTGGATGGAGCCAGGCGTGGTGGCTCAAGCCTGTAATCCCAGCACTTTGGGAGACTGAAGCGAATGGATCACTCGAGGTCAGGAGTTCGAGACCAGCCTGGGAGGTGGAGGTTGCAGTGAGCTGAGATCATGCTACTGCACTCCAGCCTGGGAGACAGAGCGAGACTCCATCTCAAAAAAAAAAAAAAAAAAAAAAGAATGAACTGAAGGCCCATTTTAAGAATCATATATATACACATATAAATATATACATATATATGTATATATACATATATGTGTATATATACATATAAATATATACATATATGTATATATACACATAAATATATATATGTATGTATACACATAAATATATATATGTATGTATACACATAAATATATATATGTATATATACACATAAATATATACATATATGTATATATACACAAATATATACATATATGTATATATACACACAAATATATACATATATGTGTATATATACACACAAATATATACATATGTGTATATATACACACAATATATACATATATGTGTATATATACACACAAATACATATATATGTATATATATACACACAAATACATACATATATATGTATATATATACACACAAATATATACATATATGTATATATATACACACAAATATATACATATATGTATATATATACACACAAATATATACATATATATGTATATATATACACATATATGTATATATATACACATATAAATATATACACATATATGTATATATATACACATATAAATATATACACATATATGTATATATATACACATATAAATATATACATATATATGTATATATATACACATATAAATATATACATATATATGTATATATATACACATATAAATATATACATATATATGTATATATATACACATATAAATATATACATATATATGTGTATATATACACATATAAATATATACATATATATGTGTATATATACACATATAAATATATACATATATATGTGTATATATACACATATAAATATATACATATATATGTGTATATATATAAAGAAAACAAGGTCGGGTATGGGGACACATGCCTGTAATCCCCGCTACTTGGGAGGCTGAGGCAGGAGAATCGCTTGAACCCAGGAGTCAGAGGTTTCAGTGAGCAGAGATCGCACCACTGCACTCCAGCCTGGGCAACAAGAGCGAAACTCCGTCTCAAAAAAAGAAAGCAGGCTTAGTGCAGTGGCTTATGCCTGTAACCCAACACTTTAGGAGGTCAAGGTGGGAGGATTGCTTGAGGCCAGGAGTTCAAGACTAGCCTGGGCAACATAGTGAAACCCACCCCCCTTCCCTGCAAGAAAACAGAAAAAATAAAATATAGATAATTATTTTTTATCTGCTTGTTAGGATATGAATGACTTTGTAAGTGTGACTGCATAGGGAAAAAAACATAAAGGAAAAGATTGATAGATTTTTACTAAATAAAAGTTTAAGATTTATTTATTTATTTTTTTATTTTTTTGAGACAGTCTTGCACTGTCGCCCAGCCTGGAGTGCAATGGCATGATCTCAGCCCACTGCGCCCAGCCAAGGTTTTTTTTTTATATCAAAAAAGGTTGTGAACATTACTGAATGATCTTGCTTCACTGCAGTCCTAAGTCTTGTCATTAGTCTATTTTAGTTATCTTATAGATTTTGGAGTTGCTCCCTCTCATTCTTTACTTGGAATGATTCATTTACAGGAAAATTAATTATTTAATAAGGTTTATGAGCCGGGCACAGTTGCTCACGACTGTAATCCCAGCACCTTGGGAGGCTGAGGTGGGCGGATCACAAGGCCAGGAGTTCGAGATCAGCCTGACCAACATGGTGAATCCCCGTCTCTACTAAAAATACAAAAATCAGCCATGTGTGGTGGCGTGCACCTGTAGTCCCAGCTACTCAGGAGGCTGAGGCAGGAGAATAGCTTGAACCCGGGAGGTGGAGGTTGCAGTAGCTGAGATCGTGCCATTGCACTCTAGCCTGGGCGACGGAACAAGACTCTGTCTCAAAAAACAAACAAACAAAAAATTATGACCAGACATGGTGGCTCAGGCCTGTAATTCTAGCACTTTGGGAGGCCAAGGCGCATGGATTGCGTGAGCTCAGGAGTTTAAGACCAGCCTCAGCAACATGGCGAAATCCCATCTGTACAAAAAAGTACAAAAACTATATGGGTATGGTGGCATGTGCGTGTAGTCCTGGCTACTCTAGAGGCTGATTGGTGGGTGGATTGCTTGAGCCCAAGAGGTTGAGGCTGCAGTGAGCTTTGATAGGGCCACTATATTCCAGCCTGGGTGACAGAGAGAGAACTTGTCTCAGAAAAAACAACAAAATTGTGCAGGATCTGGATTTTTTAAAAATTAAAAAAATTTTCATTAAAAATTATAAAACAAAAAAGATTTGCATCTACATTTTGCTATTTTTTTATGTCTTTTTTGTTCCTCTTTCCCTCCATCACAGCCCTCTTTTGTGTTAAATAGATATGTTCTATTGTGTATAGTGTAGGGAGACCCATCTCTACAAAAAATTTAAGAATTAGCTAGAACAGAGAAAACAAAAAGAAGTGATGGTACATGCAAAGAAGTGATGGTACATGCATGCCTATAGTCTCAGCTACTTGGGAGGCTGAGGTGGGAGGATGAGTTGAGCCCAGGAGGTCAAGCTGCAGTCAGTTGTGATTGTTCCATTGCTCTACAGTCTGGGTGATAGAGCAAGACCCTGTCTCAAAAAAAAAAAAAAAAAAAGTAGCCAGACCTACTGGCTCACACCTGAAATCCCAGGTGCGGGAGGCCTAGGCAGGTGGATCATTTGAAGTCAGGGGTTCGATACTAGCCTGGCCAACATGGTGAAACCCTGTCTCTACTAAAAGTACAAAAAAAATTAGGTGTGGTGGTAGGTGCCTGTAGTCCCAGCTACTTGGGAGGGTGAGGCAGGAGAATCACTTAAGCCCAGGAGGCAGAGGTCGCAGTGAGCTGTGATCTTGCTACTGCACTCCAGCCTGGGCGACACAGGAAAACAAACAAACAAAAAAAAAAAACTTGTGTTTTTGTATAGCTCTGTTCCCTTCTTTGTCCTTTGTGCTATTATTGTCATACAAATGACGTATACCCATCAACACATATTATAAATATTGCTTTATGCAGTTGTCTTTTAAGTCAGATATGAGAAAAAAGTTATAAATAAAAAATACATTTATACAGTCTTTTGTATTTACCTACTATGGCAGGTAGGCAGAATACTGCCTCCTCCAAAAAAAATCTATTTCTTATTCCCTGGAACCTGTGAATATGTTACCTTACCTGGCAAAAGAGATTTTATAGATGTGATTAAATTAAGGATTTTGAGGTGGGGGGATTAGCTTAGATTATCCAATGGTTCCAATGTAATCACAAGGGTTCTTGTAAGGGAAGAAGAGGGCAAGAGAGTCAGAGTCAGAGAGAGATTTAAAAATGGTATACTACTTAGTTTGAAGATGGAGGGAGGGGATGAGCCAAGGAATTTAGACAGCCTCCTAAAGCCTAGAAAAAGCAAGAAAAATGGATTATCTCCTAGAGCCTCCACAATGAAATGCAGCCCTGCTGACATCTTAATTTTAGTTCAGAGAGAACCATTTTAGACTTTTGAACTCCAGAACTGTATGATAATAAATTTGCATTGTTTTAAGCCACTGAGTTTATGGTAATAGTTTCTTATTGCTGCTGTCATTTAATACAGCTATGGGGGAGTTAGCTTTACTAACATTCTTTCTTTGTGTGGATTCAAGTTATTGCCTAGTGCCCTGTCATTTCACTTAAAGATTCCCTTTAGTATTTCTTGTAGGGCAGGTCTACTAGCAATGAACTCTCTCAGTTCTTTTCTTTTCTTTTCTTTTCTTTTTTTTTTTTGAGACAGAGTCTCGTTCTGTCGCCTAGGCTGGAGTGTAGTGGTGCAGTCTGCAACCTCTGCCTCCTGGGTTGAAGTGATTCTCCTGCCTCAGCCTCCCGAGTAACTGGGACTACAGGCATACGCCACCATGCCTAGCTAATTTTTGTAGAGATGGGGTTCCACCTTGTTGGCCAGGCTGGTCTCGAACTCCTGACCTGAAGTGATCCTCCCACCGTGGCCTCCCAAAGTGCTAGGATGACAGGCATGAGCCACCACGCCCAGCCTCTCAGTTCTTTTTTATCTGGGAATATCTTAATTTTTCCTTGTTTTTTAATGGATAGTTTTGCTGGATATAGAATTAAATACTCAGCAGTTGACAACTCTGTTTTCTAGTCTTCAATGTCTTCTTTTTTTTTTTTTTTTTTTTTTTTTTTTGAGACAGTCTCGCTCTGTTGCCCAGACAATTTTATTTTTAAATTTTTTTAGAGACGGGGGTCTCACCATATTGCCCAGGCTGGTTCAGTGGCTATTCACAGTTACACTCATAGCACACTGTGACCTTGAACTCCTGGCCTCAAGCTGTCTTCCTGCTTCCTCCTCCTGAGTAGCTGGGACTATATGCATGTCACCATCCTGGCCTAGCCTTCACTTTCTGCTTGTGCAGAGCTTCAAGGTCAACCGGAGGTGAGAGTTTAGGGCCTTCTCAGTACTTTACTGAGCGTGGCCTCAGCCCTGGGCATGTATACGTCCTTGTGCATACATGTGGCTTGCTTTTTTTAAAGATTTTCTTCTACTCTCAGACAATCTAGAAAACATACGGCTTTCTAGATTTCCAGGAAAGCCCTGTGAACATGTCCTTCCCCAGCTTTTCCTTTTAAGTTTTTTTGGTCAGGCAGCCACAAAGTTAAGCACTTCCCTATATTTTTCACAAATACTCCTACCTCCCAGGGAAAAGGCTTTTTATGCTGGGTAAGCTCTGAGTCTGGTCAGATATAGATAACCTTGCAAGTGGGGCCTTCCAGGGAACCACCGGAAAGGTCAAATAATGATAATTCCCTGGGAATGAAGCTTCACAGGCACGCCAACCCTGTTCTGCCCCATCTAGTGATTGTCAAGCTGCTGCTTTTTCACTGTGATTGCAGGCTTTTGATTTTTCAGAGCAGGAGATGGGAGTAGGGCAAGTTAAGGTGCTAACAAAGCTCAATGTTTCTTACTGATATTCAGGCGTTTTGCTTGAATAAATGCTCTTAGATTGTTGTAAGCCTTTGGTGTTAATTTCCAGAATTCTGAAAAACTTGATTTTGACAATTTTTGTTTTATGGAGAAGAGAATTTTCAAAGATCCTTTACTCTGCCAATTTTGCCAGTGTCCTCCCTCATTCTTTAAAGGCTTTTTTAGTTCCTGGCTCAGAGTCACCCTCTCCAACACTATTCCTGGCTTAATTCTTGGTAAATTCTATGTCCATATTAATTATCTTTCCAACATCTTTATTTCTTAGTTCCTTATCCATGTCTCTCCCAAAGATTTTTGACCTCTATCCTGTCTCAGCTACTACTCCCATAGTCGTACTCTAGACCAGTGCACCAGGACCAAGCTGTTTTTGTAAATAAAGTTTGTTTAAATATAGCCTTACTCCTTCATTTATGTATCGTCTATAGCCTCTTTCATACTACAACAGCCAAGTTGAGTAATTGCAACAGACACCATTGACTCTCAAAGCCTAAGGTATTTATTGTCTAACCCTTTACAGAGTTTACTGACTCCTGCCCTAGATCTAGTCAATTAGAGCTACATCTCCTCTGTTATTTCAGTATCAAGCATGCTATTCTTCCATCACTCATTTCTACTTTCACAACACCCTTCCTCTGGAATCTCTGCTCCGTCAATCCTTTGACACTGTGAATCACCACTGTTTGTACTGAGCATTACACTCTTTTTCAAGTACTTCCCTACTGAACTTGTATTCATTATAATTACTTTCTTCGCTACATTGTTAAATTTCTCACCGACAAAAACTCAGTCCAACTTTTTGCTTACTTCATGCCTGTATCTGTGTGTCTACATGTGGCTGAAAAAACTGTTCTGCCTGTTCTCACATTAAGTTCACAATCATTAGCCTTAAGCAATCCTACATTTCCCTATCCATTCACTCTTTCTTTCTTTCTTTCTTTTTTCTTTTTTTTTTTTTTTGAGACAGAGTCTTTTTTTTTTTTTTTTTTTTGAGACAGAGTCTCGCTTTGTCACCCAGGATGGAGTGCAGTGGCGTAATCTCGGGTCACTGCAACCTCCGCCTCCCAGGTTCATGCCATTCTCCTGCCTCAGCCTCCTGAGTAGCTGGGACTACAGGCGCCCGCCATCACGCCCGGCTAATTTTTTGTATTTTTAGTAGAGACGGGGTTTCACCGTGTTAGCCAGGATAGTCTCGATCTCCTGACCTTGTGATTCACCTGCCTCGGCCTTCCAAAGTGCTGGGATTACAGGCATGAGCCACCACGCCGGGCCAAGACAAGAGTCTTGCTCTGTTGCCCAGGCTTGAGTGCAGTGGTGCGATCTCGACTCACTGCAACCTCTGCCTCCCGGGTTCAAGTAATTCTCTGCGTCAGCCTCCAGAGTAGCTGGGATTACAGGCACCCGCCACCACACCCAGCTAATTTTTGTATTTTTAGTAGAGACGGGGTTTCATCATCTTGGCCAGGAGGCAGGAGAATGGCGTGAACCCAGGAGGCAGAGCTTGCAGTGAGCCAAGATTGCGCCACTGCACTCCTGCCTGGGTGACAGAGCAAGAGTCCATCTCAAAAAAATAAAAAATAAAAATTAAATTAAATTTAAAAATAAAAATAAAAGTGAGATACGATAGTCCTGTTTTAGAAGCTCTGTTTTCATTGGTGGGGCTTGTCATTTGGTGGCCCTTACTATAGGAAGGAGTTGATTGACCATTGATGAGGGACCATCCACCTTCCAGCATCTGTAGGTCTTTTGTCTTAGGCAAGTCATTTTTCCCTTAGAGGAATCAACCCATCTTTTGCCTGCTTTCTCATAGCCCAGAGGAGCAAAAAGGGGTTTGTGTTTGACTGTTGCTGTGAGTGTTTCATTTCATCTCTGTTCTTAGTTGTGCATGGTGCGGGTGAGTACCCAGCCTGTCCAACATATTCTGAGTAAATGTTCAGACTTTTGCTAGAATCGTGAATGTAGGGGAGGTGGGAGGAGGCTGCCTTGGGTAGTGGAGATGATCTAGAGCTCTGATTGTATCTTTTAGGACTTTGAGCGATCTTCCTGTTTTGAACCCTACGCTCTTTTCAGAGTACCTGATGCCACAAATTGCTGATCTTTTCCTGGGTTTTGAATGTTTGCTAACAGTTTCTTCACTTCCACCTCTACCAATTTTATAAGCTTAGGTTTCATCTTTTTTTGGTCTCTAGGTTAACGTTTATCCATCTGCTTTCCAGTTCCCAAAATGGTTTTCACATCTCTTGTCTGCTATTCTCTTCTCTCTTGCTCTTTGTCCTCAAGGATTTATGCCTATTTTTATTTGGTTTCATTTTATTGAGGTTTTAAAAAAGAAAGGAGGGGAATGTATAAGTAGAGCAACTAACCCTCAGTTGTACAGGTTGTGCCTTTTAAGAGGGTTCCCTGCTGATCAGAACTAGGATCTCTGACTCGGCACTTTGGGAGGCCGAGGCAGGTGGATTGTTTGAGTCTAGGAGTTTGACACCAGCCTGGGCAACATGGCGAAACCCAGTCTGTATTTTAATTTATTTATTTATCTACTTATTTTTATTTATTTATTTATTTTTTGAGACAGAGCCTTGCTCTGTCACCTGGCTGACAGACTGGAGTCCAGTGGCGTGATCTCTACTCACTGCCACCTCAGCCTCCCAAGAAGCTGGAATTACAGTTATGCGCCACCATCCCTGGCTCATTTTTGTATTTTTAGTAGAGACAGAGTTTCGCCATGTTAGCCAGGCTGGTCTCGAACTCGTGACCTCAAGTAATCCACCCACCCAGCCTCTCAAAGTGCTGGGATTACAGGAATGAGCCACCACACCTGGTCAGCCACTGCACCCAGCCCCATCTTTATGTTTATTTTTATTTCTTTTTTTGAGACGGAGTTTCACTCTTGTCCAGGCTGGAGTGCAATGGTGCAAGCTCGGCTCACTGCAACCTCTGCCTCCCAAGTTCAAGTGATTCTCCTGCCTCAGCCTCCCGAGTAGCTGGGACTATGGGTGCATGCCACCACACCCAGCTAATTTTTGTATTTTTAGTAGAGATGGGGTTTCACCATGTTGGCCAGGATGGTCTCGATCTCTTGACCTCGTGATCCACCCGTCTCAGCCTCCCAAAGTGCTGGGATTACAGGCATGAGCCACCACGCCTGCCTGCTATTTTTAAAAATATAAAAAATAAATAAGGAACTAGACTCTCTAAGAAAAAAGAAAAAAAAAAAGAGGGGGCCCTGCTTAAGGTATTTGAAATGATGGGTTAAAATCCATCCTGGGCCGGGTGTGGTGGCTCATGCCTATAATCCCAGCACTTTGGGAGGCCAAGGCGGGAGGATCACTTGAGGTCAGGAGTTTGAGACCATCCTGGCCAACATGGCAAAAACTTGTCTCTACTAAAAATACAAAAATTAGTCAGGCGTGGTGATGCACGCCTGTAATTCCAGCTACTCGGGAGGCTGAGGCACAAGAATCACTTGAACCTGAGAGGTGGTGGTTGCAGCGAGCCAAGATCGTGTCACTGCACTCCAGCCTGGGTGACAGAGCGAGACTCTGGGGAAAAAAAAAATCCAACCTGAGCTTGATTCACTGTGCCTTAAACTTGTTTAGCCCCGAGGAAGGTAGCTTCTCTAATTCACAATGGTCTTATGCTGAGGGTAGCCTTGGATATATGTATTTGTTGCTGTTGTCTTTAGCTAATAACTTGAATCTGAGGTATATTTCTGCTTTGTTTCTTTAAAATTCTGTAGTAAATTGTTAATGGTTTTTACTGGGTTAAGATATCCATTTTTTGGAAAAGGTCCCTATGTATTTCTTTTGAATATAGTAACAAATTAGTTTCATCTCTTAATCTCTAGACTAGTTTCCAGTGTAGCTAGCTAGTTGACACCTAATTGAGCACTCAGTAACCTTAGTTAATGCTCATTTACTTTTGCCCTCATGCCATCCAAACTCAGATTCAAGCATGACTTTATTACTTCAGCATTCTGCGTAATAAAATTCTTGTCCCATAAACAGTGACTCACAGAAGGAGACTGATTCTAAAGGATTCTGAAATATATTTTTTACTTTTTGTTTTTTTGTTTGGTTTTGTTTTTTGAGACAGAGTCTTCCTCTGTCGTTCAGACTGGAGTGCGGTGGCATGATCATGGCTCATTGCCACCTCCACTTTCCAAGCTTAGGTGATCTTCCCACCTCAGCCTCCCGAGTAGCAGGGACCACAGACATGTGACACCATACCTGGCTAATTGTTATTTTTGTAGAAATGGGATCTTGCCGGCCGGGTGCGGTGGCTCATGCCTGTAATCCCAGCACTTTGGGAGGCTGAGGAGGGCGGATCACCTGAGGTCAGGAGTTCGAGACCAGCCTAACCAACATGGAGAAACCCTGTCTCTACTAAAAATACAAAAAATTAGCCGGGCGTGGTGGCACGCACCTGTAGTCCCAGCTACTCGGGAGGCTGAGGCAGGAGAATTGCTTGAACCCGGGAGGCAGAGGTTGCGGTGAGCCGAGATCGCGCCATTGCACTCTAGCCTGGGCAACAAGAGTGAAACTCGGTCTCAAAAAAAAAAAAAAAAGAATAACTTGAGCTGATAATGAGTATCAGCAACATTTTCTACTGTGGCCTTGATAGCTGCAGACTGGTACTGGTCCATGGCCTGTTAGGAACCTGGTCGCACAGCAGGAGGTGAGCAGTGGCTGAGAAAGTATTAGCACCTGAGCTCTGCCTCCTGTCAGATCAGCATTAGATTCTCATAGGAGCGGGAACCCTATTGTGAACTGCACATGAGAGGGACCTAAGTCATGCGTTCCTTATGTGAATCTAATGAATGCCTGATGATCTGAGGTGGAACAGTTATAGCCCTGAACCATCCCCCGTCCCGCCAACCCCCCTCTGTCTGTGGAAAAATTGTCTTCCAGGAAACTGGGCCCTGGTGCCAAAAAGGTTGGGGACCACTGCTTTATAGGAATACTCGGTAGAATGATGATTATTACAGTATTGGAACAGAGTTAAAGACAGCAAAAATCTTGAGTTCAGTGAAACGAAATACTTCTCAAATTTATTAGACCCATCATATATGCTTTTTAATTAGTTGTCTCTAGTTTTAACCTTTCCCATATGTTTCATACAGAGAGACAGCTGTAATGTGGCAACCTGTGGCTCTTGTCTTTTATCTCCAGAATAGTGATGTTTTTCTTTAAGATAATAATTTCTTTTCTTTTAGCTTTTCTTCCTATAAGTTGTTATCTCTGCCTGTTGCTTTCTAGAAGAGGATCCAGAAGGAAAATGCTTTGCTGTTTAATCAATATTTTAGGAGAGGCTACTCTACAGAACAGGAAATGACATAATTTAACTCACAAGGATGGCGAAAACTAAAATAATTAGTTTATCTGTTTAGAGTATCTGAAGAAAATAGCAGCTCATTGTTCTCTAAAGTGGATCTTGCCACCCACCAGTTGTTGAAATCTCAGCCTTGTCTTTGTACATCTCAGTGTCGAAAGAGGTCGAGGAAAAAATCCTGTCTTTCCATCTTCCTTTATATAAGGAATGGTTATTGTTTAGATGAAACTGTATCTACCCTGACCGTGTCATATCTGTAGTACCTAGCAGCACAGTACCTATTAATTAGTAGTAGGGCTTCAGTACATTTTTTTTCATAAATCCTGAAGTAACTATTAAGTTCTGGGACAGTGGTTCAAAGGGCATAATAAAAAGGGATGAAACATCAAGTTTCTGGAAAATTGTGGTGTATTTGTGTATTTTCTTGCATTTGTGGCGAGACTAGTAAAAGTTAACCTAATTAGATTTTCAAAAGTGTTCATTGATTATACTCAAAAAACATTTATGGAGTACTTCCTGTGGTCAGGCACAGCACTAACCCCTGGTATAGAGTGTTGAAGGAGACCTTTAGGAGATGTGAAAGAGGGAATACCCTCCTTCATGAAACTTCCAGTTTATTCTGGTAGGGAAACACTATAAAAATAGCTCTTTTGCCTGAGATAAGTGTTACAAAGGAAAATTACTCCTGATTGTCTATGGATGTGGTGTCTCCAGGTTAATTTTTCTGAAAATGAGTGTGGATAGCAGAGTCTCTAAAGAAGTTATCAGGCCAGGCACTGTGGATCACTTGAGGCCAGGAGTTTGAAATGAGCTTGGCCAGCAGGGGTTTTTCCATGTTGGTCAGGCTGGTCTTGAACTCCCGAACTCAGGTGATCTGCCCGCCTCAGCCTCCCAAAGTGCTGAGATAACAGGCATGAGCCACTGCCCAGCCAGTAGGAGGATCTCTTAAGCCCGGGAAGTTGAGACTGCAGTGAGCTGCTGCGATCAAACCACTACACTCCAGCCTGGGCAGTGGAGTGAGACCTTAAAAAGAAGGGGAAGGCCGGGTGCGGTGGCTCACGCCTGTAATCCCAGCACTTTGGGAGGCCGAGGCGGGCGGATCACGAGGTCAGAAGATTGAGACCACGGTGAAACCCCCGTCTCTACTAAAAATACAAAAAAAAAAAACAAAAATTAGCCGGGCGTGGTGGCGGGCACCTGTAGTCCCAGCTACTTGGAGGCTGAGGCAGGAGAATGGCATGAACCCAGGAGGCGGAGCTTGCAGTGAGCCAAGATTGCCCTACTGCACTCCAGCCTGCGTAACAGAGCGACACTCTGTCTAAAAAAAAAAAAAAAAAAGAAGAGGAAGACTGTACAGACTACTAGAGATTATGGCAACCTCTTTCTCAATCTTGTTTTCTTGTTTTTTGTTTGTTATTTGTGGAGATGGTATCTCACTTTGTTGCCCACGCTGGTCTCAAACTCCTGGGCTCAGGTGGTCCTCCCACCTCAGCCTCCCATAGTGCTGGAATTACAGGCATGAACCACCATGCCTGGTCTGTAGTCTTTTTTTTTTTTTTTGAGATGGAGTTTCGCCCTTGTTGCCCAGGCTGGAATGCAATGGCAAATGGCAAACTCTGCCTCCAGGGTTCAAGCAATTCTCCTGCCTCAGCTTCCCAAGTAGCTGGGATTACAGGCATGTGTCACTACGTCTGGCTAATTTTGTATTTTTAATAGAGATGGGGTTTCACCATATTGGTCAGGCTGGTCTCGAACTCCTGACCTCGGGTTCGGGTTATCCACCTGCCTCAGCCTTCCAAAGTGGTGGGATTATAGGCATGAGCCACCATGCCTGTCTGTGGCCCTCAGTCTTAATAGTGCAACCAAGAAAATGTCTCAGCTACCCAAATAGGGGAGATGGTTTACACATCAGAATGTTATCTGGGGACTTTATCTCCTGAATTTGGTCCTGGGTTGCTCAAATGAACACTAGCTAGTTCCATTTTAGCTCTTCTGATGGAGCCCAGTGTAGACTGGTACAGGAATTGTGGAGGATGTCCCTGCCTTGTGTGGACATGTTCCAACCTGAAATAAGGGTGGTCTTGAGAAGCTAAAAAAGGAGAAGAACTCAACTGATTTTTTTAATTGATGGTTTAGTAGCCAACTTCTGACCTGTTCTTAGCCTGAAAAGACCTACTGATATCAGGCTAATCATAGTTCTGAGATAAAGGTCAGTGGATGAAGCCCTTTTTGGAGGATCCCTAGGGCACATTTAATAACAACAGAAACTTCAGCAGCAGCAGCAGCAGCATTTTATCAGACTATGTTCCAGGCAGCAATACCAAATGCTTCTTATATATTTCCTTTAATTATTGCAGTAGCTCTATGCAATACACACTAGCATAATTTTTATTTTACTAACAAGAAAATTGTGGCTTAAAGAAGTTAAATAACTTGCCTAAAGTTGCACAGCCAGTAGTGGAGGCTCTATTTAAAGCCAAGATGGCTATCTTCAAAGTCCATTTGTCGTAATCATTATCTCCTATTTATCTTCATCCCCTTTACTTCTATTTGAATAGTATTTCTTTCCTTATCTCATCTGTTCTTAACCAAGGCCCTCCTTTACTTCTTCCTAAAGTAGTCCACATCTGTGGAGCTTCTCAGGAATATACTTTTTTGTGAGATTTTTCTATAAGATTAAAATTATAAATTAAATGGCTAAAAATTTTTACATACTGTAAACAGACCCAGACAGTTAAAGAGATTATAGAGATTTGGCAGGAAAAACTCGATGCTTTTGGAAAGCTCTTGATAGTATTCACAGATAAGCGATAGTGAAAATTGAGACTAATGGATACTGGTAAAAAATTAGATGTGGTATGGTTGATCATACTTGTTGTGATTAAAGCTAAAACATTATTCAAGTTTGCTAGAAAGTTGAAGAGCTGAATTTGGGCTGGATGGAGAAGGTAAGAAAAAAACACACTGCACATGGTCCTCATTTATGAACTTAAATCTTTCCTGGCTGCCAACTACTTGCTGATTAGAAATCTGAACTCCCAACCTGTATACTAGGAAATCTAGCCTTTTATTGTCCTGGTTTAAGAAGGATTTAAATTGTGCTCAGTATTGAAGTTTTTGGGTCGGAACTATTTTAATATTATCTATGAATAAATATAAGGTCATACATATTAGTAGGGGAGAGAGCGTATGGGATAAATTGATCTCTCTCTCTCTTTTGCTCTTTATTTTGAGAGAGGGGTTCTTGCTCTGTTACCCAGGCTAGAGTGCAGTGGCATGATATCAGCTCACTGCAACCTCTGCTTCCTGGTTTCAAGTGATTCTACTGCCTCAGCTTCCTGAGTAGCTGGGATTAAAGGTGTGTGCCACCACACCCAGCTAATTTTTGTGTTAGTAGAGTTGGGGTTTTGCCATGTTAGCCAGGCTGGTCTTGAACTCCTGGCCTCAGATGATCCATCCACCTTGGCCTCCCAAAGTGCTGGAATTGCCCACGTGAGCCACCTGGCCTTCATATATAGAAAATATATATTTATTTTACATACACATAACACACACACACATATACATGCATATATATATATGTATATATATATGTATCTGGGTTTAGAGTAGTCATGTAACCCAGGAAAGGAATCCAGAAATCAATATAGACCTCCTTAAGATAAGAGCAGTAGCTTTCAATGTCAGTTTACAAGGTAATGGTTATACTAACCATAACCATTTTGTGTTTGTTGGCATTAAAAACAAACACAAAATGTTATCCCTTGAAGATAAAGACAAATAGGTTCAAAAGTAGAAAACTTTGTACATTTCTGATAATACCTTAAAAAGGTCCTGAGAAGAGTAAATAAACTACCCTGGAAATGTAGGCAATACCATAGAGTTTTCTTTAAGTTCCAGAAAGCCTGGAAGTTGGTTGAGTAGTATGTATCGAAAAGCCTTAAAGGCCGGGCATGCTCGTTTATGCATGTAATCCCAGCACTTTGGGAGGCTGAGCTTGGGAGGATTGCTTGAGCCCAGGAGTTCAAGACCAGCCTCCGAGGCCAAGTGCAGTGGCTCACGCCTGCAATCCCAGCATTTTGGGAGACCAAGGCTGGCGGATCATGAGGTCAAGAGATCGAGACCATCCTGGCCAACATGGTGAAACCCCGTATCTACTAAAAATACAAAAATTAGCTGAGTGTGGTGGCATGCACCTGTAGTCCCAGCTACTCAGGAGGCTGAGGCAGGAGAATCGCTTGAACCCAGGAGACAGAGGTTGCAGTGAGCCAAGATCGCGCCACTGCACTCCAGCCTGGGCGACAGAGACAGACTCTATCTCAAAAAACAAACAAACAAACAAACAAAAACAGCCTCCTCAACAAAGCGAGACCCTGTCTCTATAAAAAATGTTTTAAAAAAAGCCTCAAAATGTGCATACCCTTTTACTTGCTTATATGTAGGACTTCACCCTATGAAACTAGTGAAACAGGTGCAAAGATATTTCTCTCAGCCAGGCATGGTGGCTCATGCCTATAATCCCAGCACTTTGGGAGGCTGAGGTGGGTAGATCGCTTGAGCCCATGAGATTGAGAACAGCCTAGGCAACATGGTGAGGTCCTATCTCTACTAAAAATAATTTTTTTTTTTTTTTGAGACAGAGTCTTGGTCTGTCACTAGGCTGGAGTGCAGTGGCACGATCTCGACCTACCGTGCACCGGGTTCAAGTGATTCTCTTGCCTCAGCCTCCCAAGTAGCTGGGACGACCGGCACACACCACCACGCCCAGCTAATTTTTCTATTTTCAGTAGAGATGGGGTTTCACCATGTTGGCCAGGCTGGTCTCAAACTGACCTCAGGTGATCCGCCCGCCTTGGCCTCCCAAAGTGCTGGGATTGCGAGTGTCAGCCACCACACCCGGCCTTTTTTTAATCAGCTGGTGGAATGTGCCTGTGGTCTCAGCTACTTGGCAGACTGAGATAGATCACTGGATCACTGGAGCTCTGGGGGTCAAGGCTGTAGTGAGCCATGATTACATCACTGCACTCCAGCCTGTCAGCAGAGGGAAGACCCTGCCTCAAAGAAAAAAAAAAAAAAGATATTTCTCTCAGCCTTGTTTATACAAGTGAAAATTAGGACAACCTAAATATCCATCTATAGTTAATTGGTTAAATGAATCGTGGTTGGTTTGTTCAAAATAATTCTATTCAGCTGGGCATGGTGGCTCACGCCTATAATCCCAGCACTTTGGGAGGCCAAGGCAGTTGGATCACTTGGGGCCAGGAATTTGAGACCAGTCTGGCCAACTTGGTGAAACCCCATCTCTACTAAAAATATGAAAATTTAGCCAGCTCTGGTGGCAGGTGCCTGTAATCCTAGCTACTTGAGAGGCTAAGGCACGAGAATTGCTTCAACCCAGAAGGTGGAGGCTGCAGTGAGCTGGGATCTCGCCACTACACCCCAGCCTGCATGACAGAGTGAGACTGTCTCAAAAAAATAATAATGGTAATAATTCTGTTCAAGCATTTAAAATTATGTTTTAAGTTGGCCAGGCATGGTGGTTCACGAGGCCCGCAATCCCAGCATTCTGGGAGGCCAAAGCAGGCAGATCACCTGTGGTCAGGAGTTCAAGACCAGACTGGCCAACATGATGAAACCCCATTTCTACTTAAAAAAAAAAAAAAAAAAAATTAGCCCGGCATCTGAAATACCAGCTGCTTGGGAGGCTGAGGCAGGAGAATTGCTTGAATCTAGGAGGCAAAAGTTGCAGTGAGCTGGGATCGCGCCACTGCACCCCAGCCTGGGCAACAGAGCAAGACTCTTGTCTCAAAAAATTACATAAATAAATAAAATAAAAATAATGTTTTTGCTCTCTCCGGTCCGTGCCTCCAAGATGACAAAGAAAAGAAGGAACAATGGTCGTGCCAAAAAGGGCCGCGGCCACATGCAGCCTATTCGCTGCACTAACTGTGCCCGATGCGTGCCCAAAGACAAGGCCATTAAGAAATTCGTCATTCGAAACATAGTGGAGTCCGCAGCAGTCAGGGACATTTCTGAAGCGAGCGTCTTCGATGCCTATGTGCTTCCCAAGCTGTATGTGAAGCTGCATTACTGTGTGAGTTGTGCAATTCACAGCAAAGTAGTCAGGAATCGATCTCGTGAAGCCCGCAAGGACCGAACACCCCCACCCCGATTTAGACCTGCGGGTGCTGCCCCACGTCCCCCACCAAAGCCCATGTAAGGAGGTGAGTTCTTAAAGACTGAAGACAGGCTATTCTCTGGAGAAAAATAAAATGGAAATTGTACTTAAATAAATAAATAAAAATAATGTTTTAAGTTATAGCTAATTGACACAAAAATGTTCACGATGCAGTGAAATTCTGATAACCTTTCATAGTCTGAAAAATCTAGTTGTTCTAGGAGAAATAAGTCATCCAGAATGTTCTCTTGTTTGTTTTTGAGACAGGGTCTTGTTCTCTCGCCCAGGCTGGAGTGCAGTGGTGCAATCACAGCTCACTGCAACCTCCGCCTCCCAGACTCACGTAATCCTCCCACCTCAGCTTCCCCAGTAGCTGGGACTACTGGTGCGTGCCACCATACCTGGCTAATGTTTTATATATTTTTTGTAGGTACAGGGTTTCACCATGTTGCCCAGGCTGGTCTCAAACTCCTAGACTCAAGTGATCCACCTGCCTACAGTGCTGGGATTACAGGTGTAAGCCACTGTACCCAGCCATTCCAGAACATTCTGATGATTCAACCATAACTCATTTCATAGTATAATTGAGTGGATAAGAAGGGTTGGTGTTTGCTGTCTCGCCATATTAATAGTTTTGTGTTGGAACTCCTTGACTGTCAATCAAGTATTATGTTTGAGGAAGATGTAAACATTTAATACTTTTAAGATTAGGAGAGGTTTGAAGGGTTTTATGTCATGAACACACATATTAAGGAAGAAGCATGGCTCTGCCCTCTTGAAAGACTAAAGAAATATTCCATCAGCAGTTTACTTTAGAAGAACTGAAAGAATAGGTTGATACTGAACCCACTCCCAGAGCCAGGTAGCTGAAAGGGCACTGTGATTGTTATCTTACTAGGAACACGTGGAGTGGGAGTAAGGCAGTTTTCTGCAGAAAAGAGGGATTCTGGGCAGACAAAAACTACATATGCACTATGTTTTGTTTTGTTTTTTTTGTTTGTTTGTTTTAAATTAAAACCAGAAAAGGCGAAGACTTGGAGAATGCTCAAAATTTTTTTTTTTTTTTGACACGGGGTCTCACTCTGTCACCCAGGCTGGAGTGCAGTGGTGTGATCTCAGCTCACTGCAACCTCCACCTCCTGAGCTCAGGTGATCCTCTCACCTCAGCCACCTCAGTAGCTGGGACTACAGGCTCTTAACACCACATCTGGCTAATTTTTTTTTTGTATTGTTGGTAAAGACCGGGTTTCACCATGTTGCCCAGCCTGGTCTCTAACTCCTGAGCTCAAGCAGTCTGCCTGCCTCAGCCTCCCAAAGTGCTGGGATTACAGGCATGAGCCACTGCACCTGGTCACAAAATGTAAAGATTTTGAGGGCCATTGATTTTAAACTCCAGAAGCTGGTCCAATCAGAATGAACGTAAGGATTTTTGTTAGTGTGATTAGAAAAGAATGTGTCTCGGCCGGGCGCGGTGGCTCACGCCTGTAATCCCAGCACTTTGGGAGGCCAAGGCGGGTGGATCATGAGGTCAGGAGATCGAGACCATCCTGGCTAACAAGGTGAAACCTCGTCTCTACTAAAAATACAAAAAATTAGCCGGGCGCAGTGGCGGGTGCCTGTAGTCCCAGCTACTCGGGAGGCTGAGGCAGGAGAATGGCGTGAACCCGGGAAGTGGAGCTTACAGTCCGGCCTGGGCAACAGAGCGAGGCTCCGTCTCAAAAAAAAAAAAAAAGAAAAAAGAAAAGAATGTGTCTCTTTCTACTGGGTTTGGAGCTGTGAGTTTATAAAATTTGGGCCGGGCGCGGTGGCTCGTGCCTGTAATCTCAGTACTTTGGGAGGCTAAGACAGGTGGATCACCTGAGGTCAGGAGTTTGAGACCACCCTGGCCAACATGGTGAAACCCCGTCTCTACTAAAAATACCAAAAATTAGCCGGGCGTGGTGGTGGGCATCTGAAATGCCAGCTACTTGGGAGGCTGAGGCAGGAGAATCACTTGAACCCGGGAGGCAGAGGTTGCAGTAAGCTGAGATCATGCCACTGCACTCCAGCCTGGGCGACAGAGGAAGATTCCGTCTCAAAAAAAAAAAAAAAAAAATCGAAGTGCTACAGCCACCTTGCCACCTAGGAGGAGATCCTGGCTGACAATGCAGCTGTGCCAGAGAAAACACCAAGAGAGGGAGGGTTTGAAATTGGGCCCGAAGACATCATTTGAGCCCGTACATCAGGTCATGTGTGATATAGACTTTTTCAGTTACACGAGAGCCACTAAATTCTCTTTTTAAGTCAGGTTGGCAGTGGTTTTTCTATCATTTCTAGCTGAACAAGCCCTAATACAATATCCTTAGGGGTCATAACATCCAACTACCTCATGTCTTGAAGTTTGGAGAAGTGAAGTGACTTACTTAAGGTTATACAGATAAATGGTAAAAAACTGGGACTAAAACCTGGCCCCTTCCCACCTCCTTTGTAAGATAATTACTCCAATGTGTAAATCACTTTAAGGAGGTTTGGGGCAAAGTCTTAAATGGGTTTGAGGATGCCATTTAAGTAATGGAAATCAGTCCTGCTCTCATAGTAAGTGTCATTTGGAATGACAGTGACTGCTATTGACAGAAAACTGACCCCACCATCATAGCTCTTATTTTTCTCAGACTTTGGATAAGTGGGCTGTCCATAGTATCTTCATGATTGGTAGCTTAATAAATAAATTATTTGTGAAATCACTGGATAACATTTGGCTAGCTGTTTTAATGTTGCCCATTCCCTCAGCCTCTTGAGCTTCTAGAATCAGCAGACTTGTTTTTCCATGGTGTGTCTAGTAATATGAAATGAAATATGGACCTCAAATATATAAATATATGCCAAGCTCTTTCTTTTTTTCTTTTGGAGATGGAGTCTCGCTCTGTTGCCCCAGGCTAAAGTGCAGCGGCGCGATCTCAGCTCACTGCACCCTCTGCCTCTCAGGTTCAAGCACTTCTCCTGACTCAGTCTCCAGAGTAGCTGGGATTACAGGCATGCACCACCATGCCCGGCTAATTTTTTTGTATTTTTAGCAGAGATGGGGTTTCACCATATTGTCCAGGCTAGTCTCAAACTCCTGACCTTGTGATCTGGCCAACTCAGCCTCCCAAAGTGCTGAGATTACAGGCGTGAGCCACCGTGCTCTATGCCAAGCTCTTTCTTGCCTTAGGAGTTTGCATATGCTGTTCCCTCTGCCTATAGTGCTTATCCCTTGGCTCTTCACATGGATGGCTCCTTCTCATCTTTTGGGCCTCAGTTTAAATCCAGCCTTAGAGATGCCATCTCTGATTACCCAAGGTAGCTCCCTTCTCATTGTTCTCTTATCACATGACCTATTTGTCTCCTAATAGCAGTTTCTAATTTATATCTAATTTGTATTTACTTACCAGTCCCTTTCGTTTACCACCTATACTCAGTGTGTATAGCATAGGAGCCATACATAAGAAGTACTCAATAATTATTTGTTAAATGGTTGGGTTCTGTTATCCTAGGCTTGAAAAACATTAAAAAGCACTATTTGTACCCTTTCACCAACCCTGCCCCAAGTACCTTAATTGCCCTTACACCTCTACTGACTGAAAATACGGCACAAATCCTGAAGAGAAAGGGAAACTAAAAGCTGTACTTAACTGCTATGCTGATAGTTGTCTTAGGCAGTTTTGAATTAATATTTTATTATCTCTGTTCTTCAGCTTGTTGTGCCTTGTTTTTTCTCTTCTCTGTGACTTCTCACCTACCCACTTGACTCTGACCAGATTCCTGACACTTAAAGGGTATATCCAAGAAATGAGATGGCCCTGAGCACAGGGGAGGAAGGATGGAATGACAAGGGCCACCAGAAACCTCTTTCAGGACTCTAATCACTCTAAGGTCACAGTTTAGAGTCTAGAATGAGAGGGACTTTGAGTGCCTCTTTTTCTTGCTCAGTGCCCTCAGCTTGAGTGCTTAGCTGGCAGACGGGCACTTTTCCTCCTCAGTTACTGTCAAAGCAACATGAAGGTCAGGCAGAGAGAGACAAATGAGAGCAGCTCAGGGAAAGGAGGTTACCACGGTAACAAGCAGGAGGGACTGCTATTTGGAAACAGACCTAATCTTTCTCCTCCTTCTCCCTCCTTCTCAGCACAGGAAGATGGGTATTGTTTAGCTGACCTGCATCCTTGGGGTGGGAACCATAATCCCTTTCTGACAGTTCCCAATGACACTGGAGTGATCTGCTTTGCATTTTAATTTGATAAGCAGCAGCGGCAGTTTTCTCTGAAGTGCTGAAAACATGGCTTTTTCTGGCCCTGTTCCAGATAGGATTCTGGTTGCCACAGAGAGGGGTTTGATATTGTTGTTTATTTCTCAACAAAGATCTTGCATATTTGCATAAATGTGGAAGATGCTGCTTGGTTCTAGACAACCAGAATCAAATGAATACAGGCTATCTTTAGGTTATGAATATCTATCTGCTCTAGGAAGGTCACAGAGATACTGCCCCATCCCCAGCTCACAGGACCACCCAGTGACCTGTGCAGTGGATCTTCTGACTTAATGTCCTTACCCTTCTGCCTCCCCCATCTACTTATATGTCACACTATTCTCAATCTCTTCCCTTACCTACCCTACCCTTATAGTAAGCCTTCACTATGTATATAAATATTCCTTCCTTTTCTTTCAAAATAAAAAGAGCATTTTAAACTAGAAAAATAAATTATCAATGTAATGAAAAATTAAATGCCAAAAAACATAAGAGAAAGTAAAAATCATCTAGAATATTACTATAGACATGATGGCTAGAACATCCTTCCAGATCTAAACCTCTAATTCTATCTGCTTTGTTTTGTTTTGAGATAGTCTCGCTCTGTCACCCAGGCTGGAGTGCAGTGGCACGGTCTCAGCTCACTGCAAACTCTGCCTCCTGGGTTCAAGCGATTCTTGTGCCTCAGCCACCCAAATACCTGGGATTACAGGTATGCACCACCACGCCTGGCTAATTTTTTGTATTTTTGATAGAGACAGGTTTTCACCATGTTGTCCATGCTGGTCTCAGACTCCTGGCCTCAAGTGATCCACCTGCTTCAACCTCCAAAAGTGCTGGGACTACAGGCATGAGACACCACATCCAGCCTCTATCTGCTGATCTACGCATTTTATGAGTTGTATATACTTATGTATAGATCAGTTTATTTTTATTTATCTTTAATTTTTTAATTTTCTAACACTTCTCAAACAAAAAGTAGAGTTAAATTTAACATTAATGGGCCAATATAGTACATGCTCCATCATACTTTTTCCTTTAATTCACTAAAAAATATGTTGTAGATATGTCATTGATGTAGATAGGGATCTATGCTATGATGGACCTATAGATTGTTTCTGGTTTTGTGGTTATTTTTTGGTTTGGCTATTAAAAACAACATTGAAGAAAACTGTCCATCATACATCTTTGTGTGTGTATATATATATATATATATATATATATATATATATATATATATATCCTGTTATCTTCTTGATACAAATCCTAGAAATTGAATTTTGGGACAAAAGAACATGTGCATTTTATATTTTGATACATATTGCCAAACTGCCCTCTAGAGAAGGCACCAACCAATACTGCATAAAAGTCCCTATTGTTTTTACATACTCTTACCAACTGGGATATGTTCAACTCTCTCATCTTTGCCAAATAGATGGGAAATATACTGTGTTTTTATTTGTGTTTATGTATATTATTGAATCCTTAAAAATACTCACATGACCCCTTCAGATTTTACACTGAAGACCTATCTACTTCTTTTCCCATAATGTACTTCCAGGCTTCTCTTTCCTGTAGTGCTGGCAACTGAGCAAAGTAAAAAAAAAAGTTATTTTGTGGTGGTTTTTTTTTTTTTTTTTTTTTTTTTTTTGGTTTTTGAGAAGATATCAAACAAAAAAGTAAAAAATTTTAAAAACACCTAATTGCATTAATCTCTGCACCCTCCCTCCAAACCAAAACCAAACCTGTTTTTTTTCTTTTTCTTTCAGTGATGGACTGTCATTCACTCAGATTTAAGCTCCAAAGACTGAGATGTTTGTCTGTTTGTTCATAGCTGTATTCTCAGTGCCTAGACTGGTGCCTGGCATGTATCAGTTGCTCAGTAAATATTTGTGCAGTAAATCATCTCTCAGCCATCTTAATCAGAAATTCTAATCATACCTAATTCCTTTACTGATTACCTACATGTCTGATGCCTTGCAAAGTCAAATTGCTTAAAGGTCCTGAATGTCTCTTGGGTTCTTCCCTTTATCCCCCTACTTCTGATCATTCTTACTTATGTTTTTATTCCTAGGAGCCCTCCTTTTCAATCTCTCTAGTTTACTCCCCTCCTTCTATTAATTTTACCTTTGGATATACAGATACAATAACATCATACCCTTTCTTTCATTCCTCAGTGGCTTCTTAATACCTGCAAGGTTAAGTCCCAATTTAACTCTCCCTGTACTCTTTAACCAAACCAAGCAGCTTGTTGTTCTTTAAATACATTGTGTTTGTTCATGCCTGTGTGCCTTTGAAGAGGCTGTTCCTTCTGCCTGGAATATGCTTTCTTCTTTTCTTGGGAAACTACTACTTATTCTTTAGGTCCACTCCAGCATTGAGTCATCCCTATTCCCTCTGGCAGTTATTCCCTGGGCAGGATACTTGCAGTCCTTTGTTCACTTCTGTTATGATTATTTGTTTGCCAATTAATCTAATCTAAAATGAAACTTCGTGGCCAGGCACGGTGGCTCATGCCTGTGGTCCCAACAGTTTGGGAGGCCAAGGTGGGCAGATAAGTCCAGGAGTTCAAGACGAGCCTGGCCAACACAGCGAAACCCCATCTCTAAAAAATAGAAAAATTAGCCAGGTGAGGTGGCTCACGCCTATAATCCCAGCACTTTGGGAGGCCAAGGCTGGCGGATCACGAGGTCAGGAGATCGAGACCATCCTGGCTAACACGGTGAAACCCTGTCTCTACTAAAAATACAAAAAATTAGCTGAGCATGGTGGCGGGCACCTGTAGTCCCAGCTACTCAGGAGGCTGAGGCAGGAGAATGGCATGAACCCTGGAGTCGGAGGTTGCAGTGAGCAGAGAATGCGCCACTGCACTCCAGCCTGGGCGACAGTGCGAGGCTGTGTCTCAAAAAAAAAAAAAAAAAGAAAAAAAAAAACAGAAAAATTAGCCAGGTGTGGTGGCAGCACGCCTGTAGTCCCAGCTCCTCGAAGGCTGAGGCACAAGAATCACTTAAACCCGGGAGGCAGAGTTTGCAGTGAGCCAAGATTGTGCCACTGTACCCCAGCTTGGGTAACAGAGCAAGATCCCATCTCTGAAAGAAAGAAAGAAAGCAGGGATGGCGGGGGTGGGGGCGGGAGAAGAGGGAGGGAGGGAGGGAGGAAGGAAGAAAGGAAGGGAAAGAAAGAAAAAAAAGAAAAATTAATGGCCTCTCTTAATTTTTATAAGCTCTATATGTTAAGTATGTTCTACAAAATTCTAAATTTATATAGTCTTTGTTATTTGGTATTTTGGGTTTTGTTGGTCTGTTTTAGAAGAGGTTTGCTCTAGGGAGTTGTTGTAGAGCGAAATTTAGTTTATCAAGGCTTGACTGCTTTATGATTTCAGTTCTGCTTCAGAGTATATTTGTACTGAAAAATCAGAGCCATTTTATGATGCAACTTATGCAGTTCAGCCATCACCTTCTCCCATTTGTTCCCCACACTGCAAATCTCTGAGTCCTCTGTGTTATGCCTCTTCCTTACCCAACAGGTTGCCAAGTCCTGTGATTTGGCCCTCTTGTTCCTGATGCCACCACTCTAGTTGAACATTGCCATTAATTTTTTATGTAAAATAATTTTATTTTACAATAAAGCCCTTTCTTCCCATGAAACCTAGAGCATAAAGTGGGAGGAGAGCAGTGATGGACGATGAGGCTGAGGAAGGAGACAAATAAATTGTTATTGCATTTACTGAGCATGAACTGAAGTGGACAGTATGCTAAGTGGTCTACGGGTCTCATCTCTTCTATTCCTAACAGCCAGGTAAGATAGTTAAATCCCCATCTTACAGATGATGACACACTCATGTGGAAAGTTTAAATCACTTGAGGAAGGTAATAGAGCTAATGAGGGTAGAACTAAGACTCATACCTAAGGATTTACCAAAATTAATGTGCAAATCAAGATCTAAAAATAAATAAAATTATTGAACAACCTTTCATTGTCCTTTTTACAAAAGATGAATGTGCTTAAGCAGAGGACTACTAAATAATAAGTACCCTCTTTTCTGTCTGACATAGCACCTTGAGTTTTATTGAGCTCAAACATTTAAGTCCAAATTAATCATATTTGAGAAGAATTTTCACACAGTGATCCTATTGTCTAGAGTATTCTGCTAAATGGGAGCATACCAGAAGACTACAGATAGGCAAACGTTCAAATTTTCAAAATTGCAGACCATACGTGGTGCTTAACAGTGATCTTCAGCAAAATCCTAGAACAGGATATAAACAAATCACTTGTGAACTACTTGTTCTCTCCTTCCTTGGCCTTCTAAGCTTCTTTGCAGTAGCATAGTATAGTGGAAAAGAGAATAAGCTTCAAAGTCAGACATACATTGGTTCAAATCCTGACCCTGTCACTTAATAACTAGGTAATTGCAGGCAAGTCAGTTAACCTTCCTGCAGCTCTGTTTATTTTCTATCAAAAAAGCTATCATTTACTTCAAAGGAGTGTTATGAGATTTAATAAGATAACATGTAGAACTCCTGGCACACAGTAGGCATACAATAAATTCTAATTATCTTCCCTTCATCTCATCATGCTTTCCTTTACCCAGTACAGTTTAGCTTTTGGGCCCTACTTTTTTCTGCAACTAGAACTTCTTGCTAAGTTTATTTAACACTAGCCCATTTTCTTCTTTAAACTTCATTTCCCCTTGACTTCTTATGACAGTGTTCAGTTTTGGTTCTTAATTCTTTAGTACTGTATGGGTTCTGGCACCAAATTGTCTGAGCCTGAATCCCAGTGTCATCACTTAGTAGTAACCTTGGCTAGGTTAGTTATCTAGCCCCTCTAGCCTTGATAATTCATCTTTAAAAGCAGGTTACTAGTAGTAATTACCCCAGAGGGTAGTTTTAAGGAATAAGTGAAATGCACATAAAATGCTTTGAAAAGTGCTGGGACACACACAGGAAGCAATAAATTAAAGTTTGCTTTTATCGTTATGATGATTATTATTTTCAGACTTCTTTGTGGTCTTTTCTTCCTGGATTTACTCATTTAAATGTTGATGTTCCTTGGGTTCTCTCAGATTGCCTTCTTTTTTCTCTCCAGTCTCTTCAGGCTGTCTTACCCAGCAAGCTCATGACTCATGACTTCTATTAACTACTGCCCTGACTTTTCTTTTTTCTTTCTTTTTTTTTTTTTTTTTTTTTTTTGAGACGGAGTCTTGCTCTGTCACCCAGGCTGGAGTGCAGTGGCGTGATCTCGGCTCACTGCAAGCTCTGCCTCCTGGGTTCACGCCATTCTCCTGACTCAGCCTCCCGAGTAGCTGGGACTACAGGTGCCTGCCACCACTCTGGGCTAATTTTTTTTTTTTTTTTTTTTTTTTTTTTTGTATTTTTAGTAGAGACGGGGTTTCACTGTGTTAGCCAGGATGGTCTCGATCTCCTGACCTTGTGATCTGCCCACCTTGGTCTCCCAAAGTGCTGGGATTACAGGCGTGAGCTGCCGTGCCCGGCACTGCCCTGACTTTTCTTCTGAGTTCCCATCCTTTGCATCCAGTTGCCTATTTAAAACTCATACCTAAAGTTGAACTTGCTTTCTCGCTTTTATTCCACCAATAATTTGCCATTGTTGCTGTTGCTACTGTTGTGTTCTTGCATCTCCTGAGATAATGGCGTCAGAAATCTTGAAGTCAGCCCAGATTTTTCTTACCTCCTTGACTTGAGTCAGTCACTGAGTCCTATTTTTTTTTTTTTTTTTGAGATAGAGTCTTGCTCTTGTCACCCAGGCTGGAGTGCAGTGGCATGATCTTGGCTCACTGCAACCTCCACCTCCCAGGTTCAAGCAATTCTTCTGCCTCAGCCCCCAGAAGTAGCTGGGATTACAGGCTCCCACCACACCTGGCTAATTTTTATATTTTTAGTAGAGATTGGGTTTCTCCATGTCGCCCAGGCTAGTCTCAAACTCCTGACCTCAGGTGATCTGCCTGCTTCGGCCTCCCAAAGTACTGGGATTACAGGCGTGAGCCACTGCACCTGGCCCACAGTGCCTTTCTTTATCATGACAAGTAATCTCCCACCACTCCCTCCAACCCCTTTATGCCAAACTATTGTGGCCTCTATTGCACCTGACTAAAATAATCAACTCTTTTCTTGTTCCTCTGTTGAATTTATCCCTTAAGATTTAGCTGAGGCGGAGCGTGGTGGCTCACGCCTGTAATCCCAGCACTTTGGGAGGCCGAGGCAGGTGGATCATGAGGTCGGGAGTTTGAGACCAGCCTGGCCAAGATGGTGAAACCCATCTTTACTAAAAATAAAAAAAAATAGCCAGGCATGCTGGCGGGCACCTGTAATCCCAGCTACTCGGGAGGCTGAGACAGAGAATTGCTTGAACCCGGGAGGTAAAGGTTGCAGTAAGCCGAGATCACACCACTACAGTCCAGCCTGGGAGACAGAGTGAGACTCCGTCTCAAAAAAAAAAAAAAAAAAAAAAAGATTAGGCTGAAATGTCACCTGCCTCTCCCCCAGGTAGACACAAATGATTCTGCTCCTTTTATACTTACCTCTTTTGCATTCTTTATGACATTACTTTAATTACTTGTTCACATTTGTTTACCTCACCCAACCTTGGGACAGGGATCATATTATATTTCTAACTTAGTATAGTATAATGGTTACACCATAGTAAGTATTTAATGTCGCTGAAAGGAATCCAGAAAAAGAATGCTTACTAGGAACCAAATTAAGTTCTAAAGCAAGGCTTGCTAAACTACTTCCTCTCTCTCCCCTTTTTCCCCCAATAGAGTTGTTAGGTGGGTAGATTGGAGTGCCTTGATTTCTTCAAGGTATTTGAAAAAGCCTTTTATGATATTCTTGATGACATGTTGATGAAATGTGGACTGGATAGTGATACAGTTGGGTGATTTTATAGCTGACTGAAGAGCTATATTTAAAGATTATAGATGACTAGATGTTTGTCAGCTAGGATAGAGGTGGTATACCACAGGACTCTTGCCTTTGGTCCATTCTTGTTCAGCATTTGTATTATAACATCAGTGACTAAATAAAATGTATGCATATAAATTTGTGGGTAATGTAGTGGTCAGGACTTTTTCAGTTATGATAGAAATCTGGCTCAAGCTAGTTTAAGCAAACAAAGAATTTATAGATTCCCAGGAATGGAGTTTATTAGTTTAGGCAGGGTTTCAAATAATCCCATCAGGATTCTGTCTTTGCTTACCTCCATTCTGCTTTCCCCTAATTTGGCTTTATTTAATTTAATTTATTTAGTTATTTATTCATTTATTTATTTATTTATTTTTTGAGATGGAGTCTCGCTCTATCGCCCAGGCTGGAGTGCAGTGGCATGATCTTGGCTCACTGCAAACTCCACCTCCCACCTTCACGCCATTCTCCTGCCTCAGCCTCCTGAGTAGCTGGGATTCCAGGTGCCCGCCACCACGCCCGGCTAATTTTTTGTATTTTCAGTAGAGACAGGGTTTCACTGTGTTAGCCAGGATGGTCTTGATCTCCTGACCTCGTGATCCGCCCACCTCAGCCTACCAAAGTGCTGGGATTACAGGCATAAGCCACCGTGCCCGGCCTAATTTGGCTTTATTCTTAGGGAAGTTTTCTTTGTGAGTCTGGCAAAATGGCCTCTCGCAGCTTCAGATTTTATTAGTCCTTCTAGCTTAAGGTACCAAAGGAAGAAAGAAACAGTATAACCTGTATATAACCTGTTTCATGTAGTTTTGGTAGATCTGCCCACTCCTATACTGCAGTGAGGTGAAGGAATGTATTTCCCAAAGGTAATAGAGATTCCCCTGCTAGAAGAAGGGAGGGAAAGCATGATAAAAAGCCATAACTGTATCTCCATGAACCACTACAGGTGGTTATCTCAAGCCTGGAAATCTGAATAGAGATTAACAATGTTGCAAGACACTAGAAAGGTGGAGTTAAGTTAACAAGATACTACCATTACCATTATTATTGTCTAATATTTTTTGAACTTTTACTGTATATAGCTAGGCACTGTACACTGAACACTTTACATTCAGTTAATCATTACAATGACCTTATGAAATATAGGTAACTTTGATGGTTTTATTTTGCAGAAGAGGAAACTGAGGCTCAGAAAGATTGCATAATGTTATTAGTGGTTAACCAGCTGTTAAATAATAGAGCTGAGATTTTTTTTTCTTTTTCTTTCTTTTTTTTTTTTTTTTGAGACGGAGTCTCGCTCTGTCGCCCAGGCTTGAGTGCAGTGGCGCGATCTCGGCTCACTGCAACCTCCGACTCCCAGGTTCAAGCGATTCTCCTGCCTCAGTCTCCTGGATAGCTGGGATTACAGGCGCCTGCCACCACGCCCGGCTAATCTTTTTTTTTTTTTTTTTTTTTTTTTTGTATTTTTAGTAGAGACGGGGTTTCACTGTATTAGCCAGGATGGTCTCGATCTCCTGACCTCGTGATCCACCCGCCTCGGCCTCCCAAAGTGCTGGGATTACAGGTGTGAGCCACCGCGCCTGGCCTTAGAGCTGAGATTTCAACCAGTCTGTCTTTTAGCAGGATTAGCATTTTAAATGTATTTATTTATATATTTATTTTGGGGATAGAGTCTCACTCTGTCACCCAGGCTGGAGTGCAGTGGCACAGTCATGGCTCACTGCAGCCTCAACCTCCTGGGCTCAAGCAGTCCTCCTGCCTCAGCCTTACGGGTCTGCAAGGACCCGCCACCATGCCTGGCTAATGTTAAAACTTTCTGTAGGCCGGGCGCGGTGGCTCATGCCTGTAATCTCAGCACTTTGGGAGGCTGAGGCAAGCGCAGGAGTTCAAGATCATTTTGGCCAACATGGTGAAACCCCGTCTCTACTAAAAATACAAAAATTTAGTTGGGCATAGTAGCAGGCGCCTGTAATCCCAGCTACTTGGGAGGCTGAGGCACAAGAATCGCTTGAACCGGGAGGCAGAGGTTGCAGTGAGCCGAGACCATGCCACTGCACTCCAGCCTGGGCAACAGAGCAAGACTCCATCTCAAAAAAAAAAAAAAAAAAACAGAAAAACTTTTTATAGAAACAGGATCTCACTGTGTTCCCCAGGCTAGCCTCAAATTCCTGAGTTCAAGCAGTCCTCCAACCTTGGCCTACCAAAGAGCTGGGATTATAGGCATGAGCTACCACTTCTGCCAAGATCAGCATTTATAGTTTAAAACGGTTACATCAGTAATACCAGCACTTTGGGAGGCCGAGGCAGGAGGATCACCTGAGGTCAGGAGTTCGAGATCAGTCTGGCCAACATGGTGAAACCCTGTCTCCAAATACAAAAATTAGCCAGGCATGGGCTGGGCGTGGTGGCTCATGCCTGTAATCCCAGCACTTTGGGAGGCCGAGGCTGGCGGATCACCCTGAGGTTGGGAGTTTGAGACCAGCCTGATCAACATGGAGAAACCCCGTCTCTATTAGAAATACAAAATTAGCCAGGCGTGGTGGCACATGCCTGTAATCCCAGCTACTCGGGAGGCTGAGGCAGGAGAATCGCTTGAACTCGGGAGGCGGAGGTTGCAGTAAGCTGAGATCGCGCCACTGCACTTCAGCCTGGGCAATAAGAGTGACACTCCATAAAAAAAATAAATAAATAAAGTAAAAAATAAATAAATAAAGTAAAAAAAATAAATAAATAATAGAACTATCATTTACTGAATTTATTGGTGTCATATCAAGGAATAATATCCACAGTTATCTGAAAAGGCTATTAAATACAAACATTATATACATTATCTGTAAAACAACACACACATATACATATATCTGTACCATATATATTCTATGTAAGGCTGATTTTCTTTGTATACTTGAACCAAAACATTTCACCAACAGATTGAATGGAGAATCCAGCTGTCTTCTATTAAACCAGACATTGAAAATAATATGTTAATATTTAACAGGTTTTTTAATGTTATTTTAACTAACTTAAGGCATACTTTTTTTTTTTTTTTTTTTGGAGACAGAATCTCACTGTGTTGCCCAGGCTGGGGTGCAGTGGCGCGATCTTGGCTCACTGCAACCTCCGCCTCCCAGGTTCAAGTGATTCTGTTGCTTCAGCCTCCCGAGTAGCTGGAATTACAGGCATCTGCCACCACACCTGGCTAATTTTTGTATTTTTAGTACTGACGGGGTCTCACCATGTTGGCCAGGCTGGTCTTGAACTCCTGAACTTAGGTGATCCACCCTCCTTGGCCCCCCAAAGTGCTGGGATTACAGGCGTCATCTACTGCACCTGGCCTTAAATGTTTTCTTCTTTCTTTCTTTCTTTCTTTCTTTCTTTCTTTCTTTCTTTCTTTCTTTCTTTCTTTCTTTCTTCTTTCTTTTCTTTCTTTTTTTTTTTTTTTTTTTTTGAGACAGAGTCTCACTCTGTTGCCCGGGCTAGAGTAGGGTGGCAGGATCTCGGCTCACTGCAACCCCCTCCTCCTGGATTCAAGCAATTCTCCTGCCTCAGCTTCCTGAGTAGCTGGGATTACAGGCATGCGCCAACATGCCCGGCTAATTTTTGTATTTTTAGAAGAGATGGGTTCACCATGTTGGTCAGGCTAGTCTCGAACTCCTGACCTCAGGCAATCCGCCCGCCTTGGCCTCCCAAAGTGCTAGGATTACAAGCCTGAGCCACCATGCCCAGCCAAATTATTTCTTATTTTAATTCTAGTCTGGTAAACATCAGTCAATTTATCCCACATAAATAAAAGTTCTTTGGGGTTCTTAACTTTTTTAAAATCTTTTTGTTTTAATATAATTGTATTTGTAATACAGTACTCTCATGTACCATGTACCCTTTTCCTAGGTTTCCCCAATGATAATATCTTGCAGAACTCTAGCACAATATTGCAACTGGGATGGTAATATTGATGCATTCACCTATTGTGTTCAGATTTCCCCCATTTACTCGTACTCATTTGTGTGTTTTTCTGGGTGTGTGTAGTTCCATACAGTTTTGTCCCATGTATAAGTTCATGTATCCACCACCCAGTCAAGATACAGAACAGTTACATCACCACATCACCAAAAAGATCTCTTGTGTTGACTATTTACAACTACATTTACCTTTCTTCCACCTTCCCCTGCCCACCCCTAATCCCTGGCAGCTGCCAATCTGTTCTCTTTGTCTCTAATTTTATTTCAAAATTGTTATATGTGTGTATGCATGCATGCGTGTGTGTGTGTGTGTGTGTGTGTATTTTTTTGATACAGCATCTCACTTTGTCCCCCAAGCTGGAATGCAGTGGCATGATCATGGCTTACTGCAGCCTCAACCTCCTGGGCCCAAGCGATCCTCCCACCTCAGCCTCCTAAGTAGCTGGGACAACAGGCATGTGCAACCATGCCCAGCTAATTTTTTTTATTTTTAAAGATGGGGTCTTCCTATGTTGCCCCTGCAGATCTGGAAATCCTGGGCTAAAGCATTCTACCCACCTCAGGCTCCCAAAGTGCTGAGATGATAGGCGTGAGTTACCACACCCAGCCCTGTTACTTGCATGTTTTAGTTTTAATTTTTCTTTCTTTCTTTCTTTCTTTCTTTCTTTCTTTCTTTCTTTCTTTCTTTCTTTCTTTCTTTCTTTTTTTCTTTCTTTTTTTTCTCTCTCTCTCTTTCTTTCTTTCTGTCTGTCTGTCTTTCTTGTCCTTTCTTTTACTTTCTTTCTTATCACTCTGTCGCCCAGGCTGGAGTGCAGTGGTGCAGTCTCGGCTCACTGCAACCTCTGCTTCCTGGGTTCAAGCAATTGTCATGCCTCAGCCTCTCGAATATCTAAGAGGCTAATTTTTGTTTTTGTTTGTTTGTTTGTTTGTTTTTTAGTAGAGATGGGGTTTCACCTTGTTAGCCAGGATGGTCTTGATCTCCTGACCTCATGATCCACCCTCCTCGGCCTCTCAAAGTGCTGGGATTACAGGCATGAGCCACCGCGCCCGGCCGTATTTTTTTATAGAGACGGGGTTTCATCATGTTGTCCAGGCTGGTCTTGAACTCCTGACCTCAGGTGATCCACCCGCCTTGGGCTCCCAAAGTGCTGGGATTACAGGCGTGAGCCACGGTGCATGGCCTCATTTTAATTTCTAATATGTTAAATATCAAGGGATATAGCCTACCTAAACCAAGGCTCTTTAAGGTTCTCATTTTTTTTTTTTATGGGACTAGGTATAAGAGGGGGAAAATATGTTAAGTATATGAAAAAAATAAGGCCGGGTGTGGTGGCTCACACCTGTAATCCCAGCACTTTGGGAGGCCAAGGCGGGTGGATCACTTGAGGTTAGGAGTTCAAGACCAGCCTGGCTAACACGGTAAAACCTCGTCTCTACTAAAAATGCAAAAATTAGTCCAGTGTGGTGGCATGCACCTGTAGTCCCAGCTGCTCGGGAGGCTGAGGCATGAGAATTGCTTGAACCCAGGAGTCAGAGATCAAGCCACTGCACTCCAGCCTGGGTGACAGCATGAGATGCTATCTCAAAAAATAATAATAATAATAAGGTTCTCAGTTTTTAAGAATTTCCTGCAAGGTGAAGTGTCACACCTGTAATCCTAGCACTTTGGGAGGCCAAGGCACAAGGATCTCTTGAGCCCAGGAGTTCGAGAGCAGCTTAGGCAACATAGGGAGACCCCCATCTTTACAAATTTAAAAATTAAAAATTGAGCAAACCAACGCAGAAACAGAAAACCAAATACCACTTGTTCTCACTTATTAGTGAGAGCTAAATGATGAGAACACATGGACACTTAGAGGGGAACAAACAGACATGGGCCTACTCAAACAGAGTGGAGTAGAAAAGAGTAGAGGGTGGGAGGAAAGAGAGGATTAGGAAAAATAACTAATATTTACTAAGCTTAATACCTGGATGATGAAATAATCTGTACAACAAACCCCAGTGACAGTTTACCTGTATAACAAACCTGCATATGTACCCCTGAACTTAAAAGTTAACAACAAAAACAACAAATAGCCAAGTGCAGTGGTGTGTGCCTGTAGTCCCAGCTACTCAGGAGACTGAGGCCGGAGGATCGTTGAGTCCAGGAGTTCAAGGCCATAGTGAGCAATGATTGCGCCACTGTAGTCCGGCCTGGGTGAAAGAGCAAGACCCTGTTTCTAAAATAATAATTTTTTTTTAAGAATTTCCATGACCAGAAAGTTTTAGAACAGCTGGCTTATAGCAGGGAGAATCATCCCATTCCTCCTTCCTAAGCCACAGCAGAGCAAAATGTGATTTGTGATGTCTCAATTTAGAATTCTCATGTTTTCTCACAGGACTGACAGTATGAATAATGATTCATTAGTTCTTGAGTACAGTTTGGTCCAGCCACGTTATAGGTTAAATAGATTTCTGTGGGCCGGCCTAGGAATCGCTGTTTAAGACTTCTGACATCGTGATTATTAAGATTTCAGAAAAAGGCTTTAGCTTTCTGTTGTGTTTACTTTATTTGATTTGTGGAGTTTTTTAATTTTGCATTTTGTTTGCTTACTTGTTTTTATATTCTTAAAGGTAAAAGAGTGGAGTAAAGATGACACACTTAAGTCTTGACTTTTTAGGAAATGCATATGTGAAAGGAGGTAAAAGAAGTGTATTCAGGAAAGGAAGTAGTTACAGAAGTTCTTTATTCTTAGGAAGCAAATCCTAATGCTTACCTTGTAACCATACAGGAATAGGAGGGATTATCAGCCTTCTATGGTAAACATACAGTCAGCTTCAGAGGAAGTACTTGGGTCTCTATCATCACTCATCAGCTGCAAAGTTAATAAGCTTTGCTGAAGGAAAATGTGAATTTCAAGCAGGCAGGAGATTGTAGAGTGAGAAGACTTAGGGAAGAGCAATGGAGATGCTTCATTCAGCAAAAACCTTTACCACAGTAATGGACACTGCCATGTGATTTGTGTTGCACACTGATTTTGCTTATGAGATTTTTTCCTTTGTTAAATTTCAAGCATAATTTATCTGTTTCCCACACACTGGGAATTTCTAGACAGTCTTGAATATCAGGATTGTTTGATCTGCTGTCTCCTCTTTAGCAGAAAAGGATTTAGGGTCTGAGCCCAAGAATGTATAGGGATCACTGCAGGAGAACAGACTGTAGACTGCAAGTCTGTAGTCTTCAAATTATATGTTCAAAAGCAAAAACAAACAAAAATCAAAAGAGAAAGAAACAAAATTTAATGTTCACTGTACTTGAATTTTCTTTTCTTTTTTTTTTTTTGAGATGGAGTCTTTTGCTTTGTTGCCCAGGCTGGAGTGCAGTGGCGCAATCTTGGCTCACTGCAACCTCTGCCTCCCGGGTTCAAGCAATTCTCTGCCTCAGCCTCCCGAGTAGCTGAGATTACAGGCTCCCGCCACCATGCCCGGCTAATTTTTTTTTGTATTTTTTGTAGAGATGGGGTTTCACTATGTTGGCCAGGCTGGTCTTGAACTCCTCACCTCATGATCCGCCCACCTCAGCCTCCCAAAGTGCTGGGATTACAGGCATGAGCCACCGTGCCCAGCCTGTACTTGCATTTTCTAGTGCACAATAGAACAGCCTTCACTGCTGACCTTGAGTAGGTACTGATTGGTTAAAATTAAGTACTACATTAAGTCTTCTGTGAATAATAGAATATATAGCTTCTTTTTTTTTTTGAGACGGAATTCCCCTCTGTCCCCCAGGCTGGAGTGCAGTGGCGCGACCTCGGCTCACTGCAAGCTCCGCCTCCCAGGTTCACGCCATTCTCCTGCCTCAGCCTCCCGAGTAGCTGGGACTACAGGTGCCCGCCACCACGCCCGGTTAATTTTTTTTGTATTTTTAGTGGAGATGGGGTTTCACTGAGTTAGCCAGGATGGTCTTGATCTCCTGACCTTGTGATCCACCCACCTCAGCCTCCCAAAGTGCTGGGATTACAGGCGTGAGCCACTGTGCCCGGCCTATATATAGCTTCTTAGAACTGTTTGAAGACTGGTTATGTTGCCAGCTACTCTGTCTTTTTATCTTTTTCCTCCTTGCCTCCTGCTATAAGATATTTTGGAAATTAACCAGATTTATAATCAAATTCTTTTTCAGGGCAGCCTAAGTGAAATCTGGAAGCTCAGCAGTCCAGGAGCCTCTTTTTTTTTTTTTTTTTTTAATTTATTTTTGTTTATTTATTTATTTACTTTTCCAAAGGCAGGGGAGAGGCAGGGTCCAAGTGTAGTTACTGTTTGAAAAGGACCTGCCGGGCGTGGTGGCTCATGCCTGTAATCCCAGTACTTTGGGAGGCCAAGGCCAGCGGTTCACTTGAGGTCAGGAGTTTGAGACCAGCCTGGCCAACATGGTGAAACTCTGTCTCTACTAAAAATACAAAAATTAGCCAGGTGTGGTGGCATGCGTCTGTAATCCCAGCTACCCAGGAGGCTGAGGCAGGAGAATCACTTGAACCCAGGAAGTGGAGGTTGCAGTGAGCCGAGATCACGCCACTGCACTCCAGCCTGGGCAACAGAGTGAGACTCTGTCTAAAACACAGAAAAGAAAAGGACCTGAGGCCAGGCATGGTGGGTCACACCTGTAATCCCAGCACTTTGGGAGGCTGAGGTGGTGGATTGCTTGAGCCCAGGACTTCAAGACCAGCCTGGGAAACATGGCAAAACCTTGTCTCTACAAAAAATACAACAGTTAACCAGTCATGGTGGCGTGCACCTGTAGTCCCAGCTACTTGAGAGGCTGAGGTGGGAGGATTGCTTGAGCCTGAGAGGTCAAGGCTGCAGTGAGCCATAATCACATGAGCCTGGAAGACAGTGAGACCCTGTCTCAGAAAAAAAACGAAGAAGAAGAAGAAAGAAAAGGACCCGAATTTCCTCCACTTATAGTTAAATGTTGTGTTGTTTTGGGATTTACTCAGGGTATTCTGTTGCATTCTGACAAGAGCTTTGTGGGAAGGAGGCATTCAGATTTCTCCTTCCATCCTTAATTATCCCATGATGTCTACCTGCTAGCCTCTCATGACAAGGAATTGCTGATTTTTCAGAATAAGCAAAAATCATCCTTGTTTAAACTTATTTATTTATTTTTTGAGATGGAGTCTTGCACTGTCGCACAGGCTGGAGTGCAGTGGTGTGATCTCAGCTCACTGCAGCCGCCGCCTGCCGGGTTCAAGGGATTCTCCTGCCTCAGCCTCCCGAGTAGCTGGGACTACAGGGATGTGCCACCATGCCCGGCTAATTTTTTGTATTTTTAGTAGAGACAAGGTTTCACCATGTTGGCCAGGCTGGTCTAACTCCTGACCTCGTGATCCTCCCACCTTGGCCTCCCAAAGTGCTGGGATTACAGGCGTGAGCCACTCCGCCTGGCCTAAACTTGTTTATTGAATGGAATTTTGTCTCAAAATTCCAGTCAACAGAAAGTGGTTCAAATAATTGAAGATTTTTTTTTTTCTGATTTTTGTTTTGAGACAGTCTTGCTCTATCACCCAGGCTGGAGTGCAATGGTGCAATCTCAGCTCACTGCAACCTCTGCCTCCCAGGTTCAAGCGATTCTTGTGCCTCCCAAGTAGCTGGCATTAAAGGCACCCACCACCACGCCTGACTAATTTTTTTTGTATTTTTAGTAGAGACGGGGTTTCACCATGTTGGCCGGGCTACTCTCGAACTCCTGGCCTCAAGTGATCTGCCCACCTTGGACTCCCAAAGTGCTGGGATTACAGGTGTGAGCCATGTGCCCAGCCTTTTTTCTGTATTTCTTTTTTTTTTTTTTGAGACGGAGTCTTGCTCTGTCGCCCAGGCTGGAGTGCAGTGGCGCGATCTTGGCTCACTGCAAGCTCCGCCTCCCAGGTTCACGCCATTGCCCTGCCTCAGCCTCTGACTAGCTGGGAATACAGGCGACTGCCACAATGCCCGGCTATTTTTTTTATTTTTATTTTTAGTAGAGATGGGGTTTCACCGTGTTAGCCAGGATGGTCTTGATCTCCTGACCTTGTGATCGCCTGCCTCGGCCTCCCAAAGTGCTGGCATTACAGGCGTGAGCCACCGCGCCTGGCCTTTTCTGTATTTCAAGAGACAAAAATAAATAACTTAATAAATAGATAAATGGGGTTTTATTTGCCATTCTTTTAAATAACCCACAATAAGAATTTGGTGAGCAAATTAAGTTTTATATAATACCTTGGTGGATTATTTATATGTTTATCCATGAATCAGTGAGTATTCATTTTAATCCCTCTGCCCTGTATACCTATATTACTATTAACATTACTGATGTTGAGTCACTGTAAAATCTTGAAGCACTTTTTGGATTATTGGTAAAGATAACATCTCGCTTTTTTTTTTTTTTTTTTTTTTTTTTTAGGCAGAGTCTTGTTCTGTCACCCAGGTTGGAGTGCAGGGGCACAATCTCGACTCACTGCAACCTCTGCCTCCCGGGTTCAAGGGATTCCCCTGCCTCAGCCTCCTGAGTAGCTGGGATTGCAGGCACCCGCCACCACACCCGGCTAATTTTTGTATTTTCAATAGTGACGGGGTTTCACCCTGTTGGCCAGGCTCGTCTCAAACTCCTGACCTCGTGATCTGCCTGCCTTGGCCTCCCAAAGTGCTGGGATTACAGGCGTGAGCCACCAGGCCTGGCCTGTTTTGTTTTGTTTTGTTTTGTTTTGAAGACAGTATCTCATTCTATTGCCCAGGCTAGAGTGCAGTGGTAGTACCTTGGCTCACTGCAGCCTCAACCTTCTGGTTGCAATCCTCCCATCCTCTCAAGCAGTTCTTTCATCTCAGCCTCCTGAGCAGCTAGGACTACAGGTACACACCACCATGCCTGGCTAGTTTTTGAATTTTTTGTAGAGACAAGATCTCTCTATGTTGCCCAGGCTGGTCTGAAACTCCTGAGCTCAAGTGAACCTCTGTCCTTGGCCTCCCAAAGTGCTGGGATTACAGGTGTGAGCTACTGCCTCTGTCTTGATAACGTCTTATCAACATAATGTTTAGTGTATTTGATGACATCCTTTTTTTTTTTTTTTGAGATGGAGATTCACTCTTGTTGCCCAGGCTGTAGTGCAATAGCACGATCTCGGCTCACTACAACTTCTGCCTCCTGGGTTCAAGCGATTCTCCTGCCTCAGCCTCCTGAGTAGCTGGGATTATGGGCATGCACCACCATGCCTGGCTAATTTTTGTACTTATAGTAGAGACGGGGTTTTGCCGTGTTGGTCAGGCTGGTCTTGAACTCGTGACATCAGGTGATCCACCTGCCTCGGCCTCTTAAAGTGCTGGGATTATAGGCGTGAGCCACTGTGCCCAGCTAGTGACATCTTACTTTCTACACAATCTTATCTGATAATTCTGAATAAATCTGAACATTCATGTACCAACATCCCCAACTACCTTTTTATTTTTGGATAAAACAAAGTTTCTTAGAACTACTGCTGTTATCAGTAGAACTAACTTCCTTCTTGCGTTTTTGTCTGTGAAGGTGAAGATACAAGACTCATTGTGAAGGGGAAAAGGCAAGGTCTATCTCAAATATCTCTTCAATGAATTTCTTTTTTTTTCAGATAGGGTCTCTCATTTTGGTGCTCAGGCTGAAGCGCAGTGGTGCAGTCATAGCTGCTGCCTCATCCTCCTGCCTCAGTCTCCCAAGTAGCTGGGACTATAGGGATGTGCCACCATGCCCAGCTCATTTTTATTTTTTGTAAATATAGACTTTTGCCATGTTGCCCAGGCTGGTCTAGAACTCCTCAGCTCAAGCAATCCTCCCGCCTTGGCCTCCCAGAGTGCTGGGATTACAGGTATAAACCATCACATTTGGCCTTCAGTGTATTTTCTACCTGTAAAGTTATGTTGCAGCCATGAAGATTTTTGTCCATCAGTGCCTCTCATCTGTGAGAGGCAGTTGAAGTAGGTATATAGTTATAATTACTCTTTGTGGGGAGATGAATGACTCTGGCCTTTCTCTATTCTCTCAAGTCCCCATTTCTGTGTCATCTGCCTACCAACATTGAGATCCTTATATATGTTATTAAACTGATATCTTTTTTTTTTTTTTTTTTTTTTTGAGATGGAGTCTCACTCTGTCGCCCAGGCTGGAGTGCAGTGGCGTGATCTCGGCTCACTGCAAGCTCCACCTCCCAGGTTCACGCCATTCTCCTGCCTCAGCTTCCTGAGTAGCTGGGACTACAGGCGCCCGCCACCACACCCGGCTAATTTTTTGTATTTCTAGTAGAGACGGGGTTTCACCGTGTTAGCCAGGATGGTCTCGATCTCCTGACCTTGTGATCCACCCGCCTCAGCCTCCCAAAGTGCTGGGATTACAGGTGTGAGCCACCATGCTTTTTTTTTTTTTTTTTTTTTTTTTGCACTCTGTCGCCCAGGATGGAGTACAATTGTGCAATCTCAGCTCACTGCAACCTCCACCTCCCGGGTTCAGGTGATTCTCATGCCTCAGTCTCCCAAGTAGCTGGGATTACAGGTGCACACCACCATGCCCGGCTAATTTTTTATTTTTAGTAGAGATGGGGTTTCACCATGTTGGCCAGGCTGGTCTTGAACTCCTGGCCTCAGGTGATCCACCTGCCTCAGCCTCCCAAAGTGCTGGGATTACAGGCGTGAGCCACTGCGTCCGGCCTTAAACTGCTATGTAAAGGTAAATTGAGAAGTATCATTTTAGGATGGGCAACGTAGGGAGACTTTGTCTCTACAAAGTTTTTGTTTTTGTTTTTTTTGGAGACAAAATTTCACTGTATTGCCCAGGCTAGTCTCAAACTCCTGGACTCAAACAGTCCTCCCATTTCAGCCTCCCAAAGTGCTAGGATCACAGGCATCAGCCACCATTCCCGGCCAAAAAATTAAAAAAAAAAAAAAATTAGCCTAGCATGGTGGTGCACGTGTAGTCCCAGCTACTTGGGAGGCTGAGGTGGGAGGATTGCTTGAGCCAGAGAGGTTGAGGCTGCAGTGAACCATGATCACCCCCTGCACTCCAGCCTGGACGACAGAGCGAGACCCTGTCTCAAAGAAAAGAGAATTATCGCCAGGCATGTCTGTAATCCCAGCACTTTGGGATGCTGTGGCGGTTGGATCACCTGAGGTCAGGAGTTCGAGACCAGCCTGGCCAACATGACAAAACCCAGTCTCTACTAAAAATAGAAAAATTAGCCAGGCATGGTGGTGGGAGCCTGTAATCCCAGCTACTTGGGAGGCTGAGGTAGGAGAATCGCCTGAATCTGGAAGGCAGAGGTTGTAGTGAGCTGAGATCACGCCATTGCACTCCAGCCTGGGCAACAAGAGTGAAACTCCATCTCAAAAAACAAACAAACAAACAAAAAGTATTAAAAGATAAAGGACATAAAGTGTTGGGAAACTCCAGAGATCTCCTCTTTAAATTCTCTATAAGTCTCTTTTCAAGCTTTTGTTTTGTTGTTTACCTCCCTAGTAAGCTAAGCCCTAGGAGCCATGATGGCACTTCTTAGCATTTCAAAGACTGAGAATTAGCTTAACTTTTGTTGGTGTAGTTATTAAGGCATCTAATGACCTTAACTTTTTAATATTCCTATACCTTATTTTCCCTCTTGGCCCCAATTTCCTGACAATCCCTGCTCTTATATTTTAGGTATATGAAAAGATGGCAAAATGAGTCCTTTTCTGATTTTTTTTTCTCCTTTTTTGAGACAGGGTCTTGCTCTGTTGCACAGGCTAGAGTACAGTGGCACGATCACAGCTCACTGCAGCCTTCACCCCCGGGACAAAACTTTCCTCCTGAAATGGGAAAAGTTCCCTTGTCCCCCTCACAGGGCGTGCAATGGGAGTGTGGCTCACTTCTTCACTGCCCTGCTGCTCAGACCTGTAGGGTAACATACAGAGGGGCAGGCTATGGGGCTCCAACCCCGGCAGTGTCTAGGGGTGAATGCTTACATCTGAAGCCCCAGTGGGTGTGTGTTACAGGGTGCTCTTTTAGTTTAGCTGTCCTTAGGCGGCTTGTGTTAGCTCAATTAGACCCCTGCCTTATCACAAGAACAGAGGGCTTTCTGTATCCCAAGGTTCTTGTCTTGGTGTACTGGAAGAATTGGATCAAATGTGGGCTTGGAGAATGAGTGTAAGGTTTTATTGAGTGAAAGTAATGCTCAGCAGATTGGGGAGCCAGAAGGGAGATGGTTTTCCCCTGGAGTTCAGCTACTCAGCGGCCCAGGCTCTTCTCCAAATGCCCCAGCCAAACTCTGCTTCGTTCCACGGCCTGCTGGCATTTGTCATGTGCTCTTCCGCCACGTGTGCTCTTCTGCCGGCATGCTCCTCTCAACGCCCTCTCGAGGTCCAGCCGCTGTGTCTTCTTCTGCCAATGTGTTCCTCTAGAAGTCCAGCCGCTTGTGTGTCTGCCTGCTAGGGTCTGGGGAGTTTTTATAGGCACAGGGAGGGGCTGTGGCAGGCCAGGGTGGTCTTGGGAAATCCAACATTTGGGCGGGAAAACAAAAATGCCTATCTACCTAGGTCCGTGGACACAGGCCCCTGATGGAGCCCTAGCCAGGGACCATGCCCTCCTCTACCCAGCACTTCCCTTACCCCCTTCTGTATCATTTAAAGGGACCACGTTCTCTACCCAGCACACCCGTGTCACTCCTACCTCAGCGTCCCAAGTAGCTAGGACTGCAGGTGTGTGCCAACACACCCAGCTAGTTGTTTTTGTTTTTGTTTTTGTTTTTAATTTTTTGTAAAGACAGGGTCTCACAATGTTGCCCTGGCTGGTCTCAAACTCCTGGACTCAAGCACTCCTCCTGCCTTGGCCTCCCAAAGTGCTGGGACTACAGGCTTGAGCCATTGCACCCAGCCCCCTTTTTCTGATTGTTATCTTCTCCTGGAAAGTGATAAATGAAGCTATCTTTGTTTCAGTGAATAATAGAATATGAAATCCTGTAAAGCCACATAGGTTATTAGATGAATATCACAGAGCTTATTATGCACTATGGCTTAATGTTAGATTATAGATGTGACCAAATGGTAATTAACAGAGCTGGAGCTGTAATTAAATACTATTATGCTGCTCTGTGATCTCTCCTTAGATTTCTGTTGCAAAGTAAATGGAAAATGAATAGTTCAAACCCATAGGTGGATTTCGTCGCTTCTCCCCATCCCTGAACATCTCTTTTAATTAACTAAGTAATTAAATAAAGTCATCTTCATACAACAGAGATGCCAAACTCTGCCTAGTAACTCTAATCAGTAAGGGTAGTTTGATGCATACTTGTTAATGAGTTCCTCATGTGTATGAGTCTGTTCTGTTATTCTTAGTGATCAGTTCAGCTGAAGTTTCTTCTCTTCACTTATTGTATAGCAGGGTATAATTTGGCAGACTGCTTGAATGCAACAGTGATGTTTCCAACCTACATTTTAGGTGTTGTTTTCTGGATTTCTTGGTGCAAAACTGGGGACTTCATTTTATCTAGAATGTATTAGCATATGTTTCTCCTAGCCTGCCAGGAGCACTGAATAACCTAGCAGGAAATTAAACTACTTCCAGAAAAGAGCTGTCCTCAGTGGCTGAGAGAAAGTGTATAGGTGTCTCCCTGGGGTAAACTTCCTTCTGTGCCTAGGGTTGCTGCCTGAGCTGTGGAACAGGTTGGCAATAGGACATGTGCAAGCAAGGCAATCAGAAAGTTCACAGGGGTGACCTGGAAGGTTTAGGCCAATGTCTGTGTCCAGTAGGACCTTGCAGGAATTTCTCTTGTGAGTAGAAGAAAGTATAAAAAAGGGAACAAACCCTAAGCAAAAGAAGTACACATATAGGCTGTGAAACTGCTTCTGTCACAGTTCTTCCCCAAGAGAAAGAATAGATAAACAGAGGTGAGGCCAAGAGTAAAGATGATCTGTATATTCTGTCTCTAACTTTCCCTCTCTAGTGACTCTCAAGAGTTTGTTCCAGCACTGCAGAGGAGTGAGTAGGGAGGATCCAGTTTACTTTTTCTGTGTTGTTTTTTACCTTCACTTCTGTGCATGGAAATTTTAAAGATCTTTCCAGGATCTACCACATCCCAAGAAGGTTGGGAAATTAAATTATAAATGCCCAGTTTTCAAGAGAGCAAATATGCCTTTTGGCATTTATCATAAATGTAGATGATTCATTATACAGGCTTCTACTTCCATTTCATTTCATGAAAAAGGTGGAGTTGGGGAAGTACAAGGGGTGTGTGTGTGAGACAAGCAGACAAGGATGTTTTGGCAGCTCTTCAGGGACCAGAATTAATCAGAATCAGTGTATGAACATTCTGTGGACTCACAATGATGATCTACAAATAGTGATGACTTTCTAAGCCAAGAAGTCAGAGCCAACTGTGGAGAATGGATCCGGAACCCAGACCTCAGCCTATAGGCTAGTTTTCAAGGCCAGGAAGGTGTTTGTCTCTGTGTGTGTTGTGGGAGGGAAATGGATTATAGATAGAGTGATAGTCATGTAGTAAATTATTCCAGAATCAGAGTTTTGTTGCAGAGCTATTTAGAAGCTTGGCTTACGGATACATGTATGATCTTCTCTGAATGTCTCTATTAAAGGACTAGACTAAGAAGTCTATTAAAGGACCTAGACTAAGAAGTCCTCACAAAGGACTCTCTATTAAAGGACCTAGACTAAGAATTCCTCACAAAGGGAAGAGTCCCAAGGATTGGGAAAGTCCCAATCTTTGACTCTCATTTTCTAGGTCTGCTGATTAGTATCATACTTAATCTTCGGAGGAAATAAGCCAGTGTGTGCATTGAGTGTCTTTGCATATGCAAGACGTTATGCTCATTCAGGATTGGGGCATCAATCACTCGAGCATAATAGACTTTGTCAGCCTCATAAATTCTGGGATTTAAAGAGTTAAAGGATCACTGCCCACTTCATTTCATTCTTTTTTTTTTTTTTGAGATAGGATTTCACTCTGTCACCCAGACTGGAGTACAGTGGTGCAATCATAGCTCACTGTAGCCTCAACCTCCTGGGCTCAAGTGGTCCTCCCACCTCCGCTTCTGGAGTAGCTGAGAATACAGGCATATGCCACCACACACAGATACCTTTTTTATTTTTGTTTTTTATAGAGGTGGGGTCTTGCTATGTTACCCAGGCTAGTCTTGAACTCTTGGCTACACGTGATCTTCCTCCATAGGCCTCCCAAAACATTAGGACTACAGGCATGAGCCATTGCACCTGACCCATCACAACTTTTATGTTGTCTCTAGATGGGTTGCATTCTTCTTGGAACCTAACTAATTACATTCTTGTGAGAGGTTCTAGTTTCTGGTTTTGGAAGCAAATTGCTTCTTTCTTTTTTTTTTTTTTTTGAGACGATCTCAGCTCACTGCAACCTCTGCCTCCCAGGTTCAAGCGATTCTGCTGCCTCAGCCTCCTGGATAGCTGGGATTACAGGCGCCCACCACTACGCCCGGCTAATTTTTGTATTTTTAGTAGAGATGGGGTTTCACCATGTTAGTCAGGCTGGTCTCGAACTCCTGACCTCAGGTGATCTGCCCACCTCGGCCTCCCAAAGTGCTGGGATTACAAGTGTGAGCCACCGTGCCTAGCCATGTTTGACTATTTCTATCTATGTGTACATAATCAACAACATCTTCAGACTGCTGTTGATTGGCTTCTGGGTGGCAACAGCACCTCCTGTTTCTTATAGATAAATTTGATGTTAGAATTATATTCCAAGATGCCATTCTCATTAAACAACCACTGTTACATGTTACAGTTTCTAAGGGTTAGAAATTCCCACCAGGTTAATCCCAGCCCTGCTATAACTTTATTCCTTCTAGCCAAAGATGTATTAAAGCACCTAGGATCATTAGGAATCATGGCATTCCTAGGATTTGGCTATTTCTTCCTCTCTTTATCCCCACCCAAATTCATGGATTTTATGCCAGACTAATGTACTGTTTGCTGAATGATAGATTGGTAGGAAGCATAGTGGTGGTAGCAAAACATACCTCAGATGCTGGGCCTTGTCTTTCTCATCAGTCTGTGTGCTCTGTTACTATTGAAATCTGGCCCTGATTCTCTTTCATTAGAGACTTTTTAATGAGATGAGGAAAAAATAGAACTTTTTAAAAAACATTTTAGCCAAGTGCAGTTTATGAGGAAGATCATTAAGAAGATCATTATACGCTCATTAATAAGAGTTTCTCTTAGCACAGGATGTTCTCATCTAAACCACTAGATTTGTAGTGGTATCATAAGCCAGAACTTGAAAGGAAGAACCAAAGTCTTATTTATAGCCGTCTGCACTCTGGCAGGAATAGATATAGGACTAGATTAAATACAGAAAAGGTATTTCCTCTAAATGTTCTCCCTGCAACTCAGCTACTACTTTTTCTTCCCTCCACAGATGGAGTCCCCTGTTTCCACACCAGCAGTGCTGCCAATACACCTTTTGGTGCCAGTGGTCAACAATGACATCTCATCTCCCTGTGAGCAGATCATGGTTCGTACCCGATCAGTTGGGGTCAACACATGTGATGTGGCTCTGGCCACAGAGCCTGAGTGCTTGGGCCCCTGTGAACCTGGAACTAGCGTCAACCTTGAAGGCATCGTGTGGCAGGAAACAGAAGATGGTAAGTGTGATATGTGGCTTTCCCCTCCCTTCTCAACCTGCTTCTGCAGGGGAGCCACCAGGGACTTATTGTTGTAAATATTACCAAGTGGTTATTAGAGTCTCAAGTGTCCACAGTCTGCGGGAGATACCCACACAGAGGATTTTAGCAGACTTAGCAAAATTTCCCAGCTTCTAGAGATTCTTCCCTTCATAGTATTCAACAGTGTTGATCCTGGTACTTATGATATGCAGTCATGTGATAGGTATTGGCCAGGTAATTCAAACTGTATCTGTACTCTCCATATTTTATATGGGAGAGTTAGATTATAAATTAAATTTGAGGTCAGGCCTGAAGAGAAAAATTAATAAAAGGGCAGCTGAGGGAGTCAAGAGGATGGAGAATAGTCACTCTTAAATTCACTTAATGTTGGCTCATTGCATATGCAGCTCTTGCCTTTTTTAACACCTATAGGTACAGCCAGTTCACTCTTCCCACTGATTGCCTCATTGCCCAGCCACCCACACCGCTTCATGTATCTGTCACTTGGTACAGATTTTATAGGAAATGTTTAGATGGTCTTGTTTTCAGGCATCCACTAAGCAGTTGGCTCACTGTAGGTTGCTGTTGCCCAAGGCATCCAGACTTCTTGCATGTTCCACTTGCCCCTGAGAACGGAATCTATTCTGTTTTGAAAATTTATGAACCTGAAAAAATGGAAGGAAGTGTAAAGAGACTTAATGGGGTATTTCAGATCTTTTGGTAACATCTGGTGGCAATTTGATTTTTGCATATTCTTTTTCTGAAGAATCCAAATCCTTGTCAGAGTATATGTGGTTAGAGAGTCTGGGCCTCAGTCCCATCATGTCTCTGCATCAGTAAACAGACTTTCAAACTGTCCTCACTCTGAGGAGTTTAGAGGCCCAGAGGAGCACAGCTAATCATCTCTGATTATCACAGAGCTATTTTGTCAGTCTGCCCCTAGAAATTCAGGCATTTCATTCTGGTCATTCTAATAAAATCTGTTCCCCTGAATATTTTGTTGTCATTCAGTATTTATTTAAAGTTTACCGTGCAATAGGTGCTGATGTGTTACAGGTTAAGAACTCTGTATTCTTGTCTGTGTCATCATTAGGAATGTAATACATCTTCAGCTTTCAGAATAACGTCGCTAATGAGGTTTTATTGTGTGCCTGAGTGGTAGAAGCTGATGCAGAGAAGGTAGAGAGAGAGTTTAACTCTAGAGGTTGACTCTGGATATGTGTATACAATATACAATCTGAAAATCACAAAGTGGCTATCTGATTTTTAAAATGTCATCTGCTTATGGACAAATGTCTGAACAGTCACAGAGTCTGTTGGAATGACAGACATATCCGGACCATATCTCTGTGCCACCAAGCAACCTTCAAGGCCTCTTACCTCAGTATATTGAAGATAGAATAAATCGATTTCCTGCCTGTTTGTTCTGCTTGCCTTTATGATGGTGACTCTTTTCCAAGAACAAGATGCTTTTTTTATGTGAACCTAACAAAAACTTTGAGAGAGTGAGGCTAATGCTTTCACTCTCCTGAGGACAATGAATACCTTTTTATCTGAGGATCCCTTCCTGCCAGGGCAAAATTAACACATAATTTTTTTTTATTTTTTGTAAATCGTTTGCACTGGAAGACTCTCTGTCAGGTTGTCACAGGCAGCCTATTATTACCAAGTTCCCCTGTTACGTACACTTTTTTTTTTTTTTTTGAGATGGAGTCTCACCCTGTCACCCAGGCTGGAGTACAGTGGTGCGATCTTGGCTCACTGCAACCTCTGCCTCCCAGGTTCAAGCGATTCTTCTCTCTCAGCCTCCTGAGTAGTGGGGACTACAGGCACATACCACCACGCCTGGTCCATTTTTGTATTTTTAGTAGAGATGGGGTTTCACCGTGCTGGCCACGCTGGTCTTGAACTCCTGACCTTGTGATCCACCTGCCTCAACCTCCCAAAGTGCTGGGATTACAGGTGTGAGCTACCACACCCAGCCCAGTTTGTACTCTTAAGGTACTCTATACTTTATTTCATAGCACACATCACAGTTTGCAACTTTGTTTATCATTTTTATGATTTTTCTATTAATGTGTATCTTTTCTACTGTGTTAGAAGTTCTGAGATCAGGCAGTCTGTTTTGCTCATCATTGTATCCAAGGTACTTAACATAGGTGGCATCTGACACCTATAGTAGTAGACTGTCAAAAATACTTGTTTGAGGCCAGGCGTGGTTTATCACCTGAGGTCAGGAGTTCAAGACCAGCCTGGCCCACATAGTGAAACCCTATCTCTACTAAAAATACAAAAAAAAAGCTGGGTATGGTGGCGTGTACCTGTAATCCCAGCTACTTGGGAGGCTGAGGCAGGATAATCACTTGAACCCCGGAGGTGGAGGTTGCAGTGAGCCGAGATCGCACCATTGCACTCTGGCCCAGGCAACAGAGCAAGGCTGTCTCAAAAAAAAGAAAAATATATTTGTTTGAATGAAGGAATGCTTGCATCTATGTCATTGTCATTTCTGGATCTATCTTAATATATATCTAGAGGAGCCGGGTGCGGTGGCTCAAGCCTGTAATCCCAGCACTTTAGGAGGCCGAGGCGGGCGGATCACGAGGTCAGGAGATGGAGACCATCCTGGCTAACATGGTGAAACCCTGTCTCTACTAAAAATACAAAAATTAGCCGGGTGTAGTGGTGGGCGCCTGTAGTCCCAGCTACTCGGGAGGCTGAGGCAGGAGAATGGCGTGAACCCAGGAGGCGGGCCTTGAAGTGAGCCAAGATTGCACCACTGCACTCCAGCCTGGGTGACAGAGCCAGACTCCATCTCAAAAAAAAAAAAAAAAAAAAAAAAAAATATATATATATATATATATATAGAGAGAGAGAGAGAGAGAGAGAGAGAGAGAGAGGATATTAAAATATTGCTTGAACTTAGGAATGGTGTCGAAGTACTTTCCAAAATTCTAAATCTTCTCTGCAACTCAGAATAAATACTGCTTTCACCAGGTTTGAGATCAGTCTCGTTGTCTAAATCTGTAAGATTTTTAATCCTACTTTTAATACCAGGTTTTCTCCCACTTACTGTATTTCAAGGCTTAGGTCTCTTTCTTTATTTTATTCTCTTTTTCTGAAAGAGAACTGTTCAGCAATAATATACTCATCTTTTCTTTGCTTTCTGGTCACCCCAGAGGGCCTTCACCTGAACTGTCAGTTGGCGAAGGTCTGAATTGGGATCAGAGTTGGTTCACATTCCTTTTCATCTTCAGGTAACAGAGATTTCCTGCAAAGATCATTCTCTGAAGATCTGTAAGATCCAGGATACCGAGTCAGTCCTCAAGTTAATCATAAGAACTACATACAGATACTTTTTAAAAAATTCTTCCAGACTTCTAGGTTTTTTTTTCTGCCTCTCGACATTTTGTACTTCTGTCTGTCTCTTTGTCCAGCAAACTACACTGTCTTCAAACAGAAAAGTCCTTACAGCTCAGAGAGAAGCTGTGAATGCTTGGCCTCTGAGGGGAATGGAGGACACTGAGGTCCCTGTAGAACTGAGCCACCTTGCTGAGAACAGGTATAGGAGTCATGGCCTCAATTATTCCTAGTTTCTTTGCCTACTTGTCCTACAGTGTTACTTCTTTCTTTCCTCTTCTCTCCCTATCACTCCCTTTAAACCTTGGATGCATTTTTAAATTCCTGCAGATTCCATTTCTTTTTAGGCTGTTGATAATTCAGTAAGCACTGCAAAGATCCTACTTGACTAGATTCAACCGTGGGACTGTTAAGAAGACCCAAGTGTAACCTAGAATTTTTTTGTCTGTTTGTTTTTGAGACATTCTCAGCACTATGTAAGGGCTAGTTCCACTGGATTTTGCTTTATCTCACCTCACTTCAAATCAAAATACTGAGTATGTCCGAGGCGGGAGGTACACTTGAGGTCAGGAGTTTGAGACCAGCCTGGCCAACATGGCAAAACCCCGTCTCTACTAAAAATGCAAAAATTAGCCTGTAATCCCAGCTACTTGGGAGGCTGAGGCAGGGGAATCACTTGAACCCAGGAAGTGGAGGTTGCAGTGAGCCGAGAGTGTGCCACTACACTCCAGCCTGGGCGACAGAGAGTGAGACTCCGTCTCAAAAAAAAAACAAAAAAAAACAAAACAAAACTACCAAGTCTATTCTGGGTTCACAAGGCTTAACTCTAATCTAGGATCCTGAAAAAATGTATAAGAAGCCTTAAAGCAGACTATGTACTTTTAGGGACACAAAATTGCATACTGGCTTGTGTGGTATTTTAAAGAAAGGCAAGGCTGACTTTAGGTAAGAGTTCTAGGAGATGCTATAGGTTCTCCTTTTTGGACAGTAGCACTAACCCAAAGGCCAATACCAGTGATGTAGTTTACTTTGGCAAATGTGCTTTATGGAAGAATTTATGGTATAGTGGAAGGAGCACTGGAGTAAAACTCTGGAGACTTCTATATCTCTGCCACTATCATTATGACCTTGGAAAAATCCCTTAATTTTCTGGGCCTTAGTTACCTCATCTCTTAAGTTGAACTAGGTGACCAATTAGGACCTGACAGTTCTTTTTAGTTCTTTTTTTCTTTCTTTTTTTTTTTTTTTTTTTTTTGAGACAGGGTCAAGCTGTGTCACCCAGCCTGGAGTATAGCAACAACATCATCTCTCACTGCAGCCTCAAACTCTTGAGCTAAAGTGATCCTCCTGCCTTGGCCTCCTGAGTAGCTGAGACTACAGGCATGTGCCGCCGTACTCAGCTAATTTTTTATAGAGACAGAGTCTTGCTATGTTGTGCAGACTGGTCTCAAACTCCAGGCCTCAAGTGACCATCCCACCTCAGCCTCCCAAAGTGCTGGGATTACAGGCATGAACCACCATGCCCAGCCTATCAGCTCTTAAGTTATAAAAATCTATGCAGGCCAGGTGTGGTGGCTCATGCCTGTAATCCCAGCACTTTGGGAGGCTGATGCAGATGGATCACTTGAGCCCAGGAGTTTGAGACTAGCCTGGGCAACATAGCAAGACCCTATCTCTACAAAAAAAATTTTTTTTAAATCTATGCCTTAAACCATGGAATCAGGGCCAGGCACAGTGGCTTGTGCCTGTAGTCCCAGCTACTCAGGAGGCTAAGGCAGGAGGATCACTTGAACCCAGGAGTTCGAGGCAACAGTGAGCTATGATTGTGCCACTGCATTCCAGGCTGGGTGACGGAGTGAGACCCCATCTCAAAAAAAGAAAAGAAACATGTAATCAGCATGGATCCAACACTGGTTGACTATGGCAACTTAAAAACGAACAAGTGGACGGGCACGGTGGCTCACACCTGTAATCCCAACACTTTGGGAAGCTGAAGCAGGTGGATCACTTGAGGCCAGGAGTTTGAGACCAGCCTGGCCAATATGGTGAAACCCCGTCTCTACTACAAAAATTAGCCAGGTGTGGTGATACATGCCTGTAATCCCATCTGAGGCAGGAGAATCCCATGAACCCAGGAGGCAGAGGTTGCAATGAGCCAGGATGTGAGAGAATATGCGGCTGTCTGTAGAACAGGAGGAGCAGAGACTTTTTTGAGACAGAGTTTCTCTCTTCTTGCCCAGGCTGGAGTGCAATGGCGTGATCTCGGCTCACTGCAACCTCCACCTCCCGGGTTCAAGCGATTCTCCTGCCTCAGCCTCCCAAGTAGCTGGGATTACAGGCGTGTGCCACCACACCTGGCTAATTTTGTATTTTCAGTAGAGATGGGGTTTTTCCATTTCGGTCAGGCTGGTCTCGAACTCCTGACCTCAGGTGATCCCCCTGCCTCGGCCTTCCAAAGTGCTGGGATTACAGGCGTGAGCCACCATGCCTGGCCCCTGCTCACTATTGTAATAACATCCTGTCATCAGATTTCTTCTACCACCATTTGACTGAAATATTTCTCATACCAGTTTTCCAGAGGTCTTCTCTCAGTCCTTCCTAGACTTCTATTAGCTCTCTTATTTCTTTATTCTTGAAACTCTCCTCTCTTGCCTTGGTCATAAATCTCATTTCTCTTTATAACTGGTTATTCTCTCTATTTTGTGCCAGTCTCTCTTCCTTCTTGTATTCATTTAATCAGAAATTCCTGTTGAGATTCAGGATGCTGAAATATCGGTCAATTCAGTCCTATCAGCCACTAGATAGGGTCTGTAGCAGCTGGTGCCCTGCTCCCTTTCCCACAGGCAAACAGCCTTATCCACAATATATTTTTTCATTTACTGTGTGTGTCATAGTGGGGAAAGTTGAGGAAACATTGAGTTAGGAATGGCATTTAGCTGCTTGGAGAAGAAATGAAACTATAATAATGATTTAATATAAGAGAATTTGGAGGTAGGTAGGTAAGTAGTCTAGGGCTGGTATGATGACATCGCAATGGAATCACTGTTTCAGGCTCCTTAAAGTTACTTCTTTATTGTAAAATTGCTTCTGTAGCTCCAGCCATCATGTTTACTTTCCAGTCTTGAAAGAAAAGGAAGGTAGAAGAGAAAAAGCACCTGCCTCCCATCTTAGTCTGTTACCTTTGGAGAGGTTTCCCAGAAGCCACACCATAAGACTTCTGCTTACATCTTGTTGGCTACCCTGTGTGCAAGGAAGGCAAAGAAATTTAGCCTTTTAGCTGGATACATTACTTCCCCGCACAAAATAGGGGCTCTTACTAAGGGAAAAGGGAAGAAATTAGTAGAATCTGCCACTCTTCTGCTTTGCATAGCCTTCCTACATCATAACTTCCAAAAGCTATTACTTTAGCAGCTTTCTATTGTAAGTACTCTCCTATATATTCATATCTTTAGCTGTCTACCTTGTGTGAACAATACCGAGAACTTTATCTCCACACTTGACCTTTTGCCTAATACAGTTTCACTGATGAACATCAACAGAAACTGATTTATTAAATTCGAATGTCTAAAAAGGAGTATTCATCATTTTTTACCAAAAATTTCCTTCTCTTTCCTTCTCTGTTTCTCTTCATTACACCTACATTACCATCCTCCTAATTTTCTTTTTTCTTTTTTTTTTTTTTTTTGAGACAAAGTCTCGCTCTGTTGCCCGGGGTACAATGGCCTCCACCTACGGGGTTCAAGCGATTCTTCTGCCTCAGCCTCCCAAGTAGCTGGGATTACAGGCGCCCACCACCACACCCAGCTAATTTTTGTATTTTTAGTAGAGATGGGTTTTCACCATGTTGGCCAGGCTGGTCTCGAACTCCTGACCTCAGGTGATCCACCCGCCTCGGCCTCCCAAAATGCTGGGACTACAGGCATGAGCCACCATGCCCAGTACCATCCTCCTAATTTTCTAGGCTCAAACCTCCCTAGTCATCTCTTGACTCTTCACTCTTCATCTCTGTATAATTTTTTAGTGGTTTCTCTAGGAATTACAGTATATATATTTAACTTTTCACAGTTTACTTAAAATTAGTACCTCAAGTGGAATGTAGAAATCTTACTACCATATAAGTCCCTTGACTCTCCATTCTTTTTTCTTTTTGAGATGGAGTTTCACTGTCTCCCCCAGCTGGAGCGTAGTGGTGTGATCTTGGCTCACTGCAACCTCCGAGAAGAAATGGAGTTTCACCGTGTTAGCCAGGCTTATCTCAGACTCCTGGCCTCAAATGATCTGCCTGCCTCAGCCTCCCAAAGTGCTAGGATTACAGGCATGAGCCACTGCACCAGGCCTTACTCTCCATTCTTTTGTTTTCTTTTTTGTTTGTTTGTTTTGTAAATTATTTTATTTCTTCCATGATGATTTAGAGGCACTGTCTTCAAACCAATACAAATATTTCATAAATAATATTTGGCTGTTTTCTAACCAGTTGAGTAACTTGTTGCACAATAAGCTACTTCACATCTTTCAGCAAGAAATACATTAAATTTGAGTAGTAAAGACATTACATAATGAATTAGGACACAATTAAAATTTGCTTTAAATATTTTTTTAGGGGAGAGGACACCACACTTCTACTCAATGAAGAGAAACATTTTTACAGTCCTGAGGTCTTTTATTTTTTTAACACCCATTATGCTGTGAATTTGTAGGGAAGAGGTTCCAGCAGTTCAGGCTCCTTCCCATTGGTTCTCACAAAGTGTGCTTCTCTGGGTAGAGGCTGCTGCTTCAGGTGAACCCAGATGCCTTTCTCTTTGGCTTCTTTCTTTTTCTGATCATTTTTCCTTCACATGTTTCAGGAAGCTATCTTGGCTTTTAGAGAGTGAGTGCTTAATGTGCTGAATACACACATTAATTCTCTTGGCAAGAATCTTGCCCTTGTTTGTTTACAACAATGCCAACAGCGTGCTGGGGGACACTGTAGACTCTTCCAGTTTAGCCGTGGTAACACTTGTGGGGCATTCCTTTTTGAACAGTACCCATTCCCCTGATGTCTACAATATCACCTTTCTTATAGATTCGCATATACATGGCCAAAGAAACAACTTCATATTTTCTTTTCTTTCTTTTTTTTTAGACGGAGTTTCGCTCTTGTTGCCCAGGCTGGAGTGCAATGGCGCAATCTCGGCTCACCACAATCTCCGCCTCCTGGGTTCAAGCGATTCTCCTGCCTCAGCCTCCCGAGTATCTGGGATTATAGGCATTCGCCACCATGCCCAGCTAATTTTGTATTTTTTTTTTTTTTTTTAGTAGAGACGGGGTTTCTCCATGTTGGTCAGGCTAGTCTCAAATTCCTGACTTCAGGTGATCCCCCTGCCTTAGCCTCCCAAAGTGCTGGGATTACAGGCATGAGCCACCACACCCGGCCACAACTCTATATTTTCTAAGAGACCTAGAGAACATATATTGGGTGCCTCTCTTCTTAACCTTTGTGTTTGTCCACTGGAAGATGGCAGTTCTGGCCGAAAGGCTCTCCATTATTTATGTTGTAGTTGTCTTACAGTAGCACATTGCCTGCTTTTGTATGGCTTATGAGCTAAGAATGGCGTGTGTGTATATATATATATTTTTTGAGACAGGGTCTTGTTCTTTCAAGACGGGAGTGCAGTGGCAAGATCACTGGCTCACATACAGTGGCACGATCATGGCTCACTGCAGCCTCAGCCTACCAGGCTCAAGTGATCCTCCCACGTCAGCCTCCCAAGTAAGTAGGACCACCAGAGCATGTCACCATGCCTGGGTAGTTAAAATTTTTTTTTGGTAGAGACAGTGTCTTATTACATTGCACAGGCTGATCTTGAATTCCTGGGTTCAAGCAATCCTCCCGCCTCACCTCCCAAAATGCTGGTATTACAGGCATGAGCAACCACACCCAGCCTCTATTTTTTAATAGTTGAAAAAATGCAAAATCCAACAATATTTGTGAGGCATGAAAATTACGTGGAATTCAAATTTCAGTGTCTATAAATAAAGGGTTTTTTGTTTGTTTGTTGTTTTTATTTTATTTTTTATTTTTATTTTTTTGAGACAGAGTCTTACTCTGTCACCCAGGCTAGGGTGCCGTGGTGCAATCTTGGCTCACTGCAACCTCCACCTCCTGGGTTCAAGTGATTCTCCTGCCTCAGCCTCCCAAGTAGCTGGAATCACACGCCTGGCTGATTTTTTTTGTATTTTTAGTAGAGATGTGGTTTCGCTATGTTGGCCAGGCTAGTCTGGAACTCCTGACCTCAGGTCTGCCTGCCTTGGCCTCCCAAAGTGCTGGGATTACAGACGTGAGCCACCATGCCTGGCTGTTGTTGTTTTTGTTTTGTTTTTTTCAGATAGAGTCTTGGTTTGTTTCCCAGGCTGGAGTGCAGTGGTGTGATCAGTGGTGTGATCATGGCTCACTGCAGGCTCAAGTGATCCTCCCAGTTCAGTCTCCCAAGTAGCTGGGACTACAGGCACACACCACCATGCCCAACTAATTTTTTTTGTTTTAATTTTTTTTTTGTAGAGATGGGGTCTCACTATGTTTTACAGGCTGGTTTCAAACTCCTAGGCTCTAGCAATCGTCCTGCCTCAGCCTCACAAAGTTCTGCGATTACAAGTGTGAGCCATCACACCTGGTCCATAAATAAAGTATTGTTTTGTTTTTTTTTTTCTGTAACCTATTAGAAGTGACACGTTTTGTTTTGTTTTGTTTTGTTTTTTGACACAGGGTCTCACTCTGTTGCCCAGGCTGGAGTGCAGTGGCGTGATCACAGCTCCCTGCAGCCTCCACCTCCCAGGCTCAAGTAATCCTCCCACCTCAACCTCCCAAGTAGCTGAGACTACAGGCATGTGCCACCCCATCTGGCTAATTTTGTATTTTTTGTGGTGACAAGGTATTGCCATATTGCTCAGGCTGGTCTCAAGCTCCTGGGCTCAAGTGATCCGCCCACTTCAGCCTGCCAAAGTGCTAGGACTATAGGCGTGAACCACTACACCTGGCCTATAATATTTTCTTACGGAAATGAGATCTCACTGTGTTGCTCAGGCTTGTCTTCAACTCCTGGGCTCAAGCAATCCTCCTGCCTCGGCCTCCCAAGATGCTGGGATTACAGGCGTAAGGCACTGGGCCTGGACCCATAAATAAAGTTTTATTGGAAGACAGTCATTCTCATTTAATGTATTTTGTTCACATTTGCCCTACAGTGGCAGAGTTGAGAAGCTGTAACAGAGACCATGTGGCCTGCAAGGCCCAAAATATTTGTTATCTGGTCTTTTGTTGAAAAAGTTTAGCCAGGCATGGTGGTGGGCGCCTGTAATCCCAGCTACTCGGGAGTCTGAGGCAGGAGAATCGCTTGAACCCGGGAGGTAGAGGTTGCAGTGAGCCGAGATAGTGCCACTGCGCTCCAGCCTGGGCAACAGAGTGAGACTCCATCTCAGGAAAAAAAAAATTATTAAAAAAAAAAATGTTTACCAATCTCATGCCTCGTATAGCCACCGTGCCTGGCCAAGGGTCTGAATGTTTAATTTTATTTAATTTAAATTTAAATAGCCATATGTTAACTAGTGGCTTATGGTATTGACAGCACAGGGGCTAGATCTTTAAAATATATATACACAGACATGCATATATATATGTGTGTGTGTGTGTCTGTGTGTATATACTCTGAGATGGAAAGAAGAGTAATTGTGTGGGAGTATGAAGAGGGTGGGTAAGTAGCTGACATCTAAACAGACCCATGGTGACTTCTGTGTACTCTGGCCCCTGTTACCCAGGAGAACATTCGGCCCTACTTCAAACTCTGTGGTTGAGCCCTTTGCTTTGGTCTGTGGGCTGCAGTTTTCTCATTATCAGAGTAATAGGCTATGGTTTTGCTTAGCAGGAAGTTAGTCTGCCTGTGGTAGCTCCGCTGAGAACCTGCCCCAGCTATTCTTCATCCTCATCTGATTGCAGATCCCAGCTGTGGGCTTTTATCCTTTTCACTAAAGGGAAGGGGCTCTCCATTAATCTTCTTTCATGGAAATGGTAACCTTGGTAGTTACTCTTGGTTTTTCCTGTGTGATTTTGATGTAGAAAAGTATGTGTGTGAACTGTGAAATATCTAATTTTAGATATTTGCACTAGAAAAGTAAGGTGGCATTCAGCTATTGGTTTTTCTTTCTCATATGCTATAATTAATGCCCCTTCACCTTCAGTCTTGCCCCAGGCAGTACTCACCTAGAGGAGAGATGGGGCACAGTAACAACCAAGCTTTCTCCACTGTTTAGCCAGTTGCATACTAGCTTGAATCCCGAAGAAATAGCTCTACCAATAGCACAGTCATAAAGAGCCTAGCAGCCATTGTCTGACACCACAAATCTTCATAGCAACAGACCACCACATGGCAACAGCAGCCACACAAAGGAAACATTAGGGAAATCAGTACCTACTTTCTCCCACCCCTCCCCCACCAAAAACAACAGCCAACACATTCCCACCTAGCAGCTTACTCCCAGAGGATACTTTAGGGCAGTGACGTGTTTATATACCTTTGTGGATTGTGTTATATGTCCACTGTCATACATTTAAATCCTGAAGACCTTGGGAAAAATTTCAGTCACCGGCTTTTTTGAGTTTCATTTTGCAAATGGCAAAATAGACTAATCTCCAGGGGAGAAAGAGAGTCTCCCTTTGTGCATGCTCACACACCTCCTCCCTCCCCCAAGCAAAGCACAGTCAGGCAGTATATATAGGTGACTAGGCTGTGAGCTTGCCAGATAGGTAAGGTTGTTTGCAAATGAGATTCTTTTTATATTTCAGTAACAAAACCCAGACCTATTTTGTTATCAAAATCATCCTGATACTTAGGAATTTAGTTGAGTGATACCTAGGCAATAAATATCTTACTGGTATTGCCTGGGATTAATCATTAGCCCTAACTAACTTAGCTTTGAAGTGTGATTCAAAGGGGAAAAAGTCCTATTTGAGAGCCTTGGTGTTTTCTTGCTCTGTTAATAAGGTCGTTTGACTATCTGGGCCTTAATTTCCTTATTTGTAAAATGAGGAGGTTGGACTACATGATCTCTATGATCCTTCTAGCTCTGATATTTACAACTCTGTAATCATTTATGTGGAATAGAAGAGGGACTTGTCTTTGTTAGTCATTGGTTGTGATGAAATCTGCTGGAAGATGTTGAGCCCTCTGGTCTTAGTGCTTACACTGCTAAAAACAGGTCCTGGCCCTGCCCTATTTGATAAAGCTGCTGTAACAATGATAGGCAGAAGCTATTAACAAAGTTGGCAACTAGCCTTTTCTCCCACAGCAGTAGTTTCAGACTAGTTCAAGCAGAGCTTTGCTCCCAAGCTATTGCTACTGAGGCTGCTGCTGCCTCTTAATGATACCGGTGAGAACTAACTCCATTTCTCTCTTTAACTCGCTCTCTCTCTCTCTGACTACTCTGAAACAAGGGGCTGTTCTCCACCTCTTCTGATACCTCATTATTCCATCTCCCTCAGGCTTTACAGAACAAAGAAATCACAGGGCATCAACTTTATAATTTAGGCAGCTGGAGATAATTTCACCAGGATAGGGTGGGTAGGTAGCTGATTCCTCCTGGCATTAGGCAGCATTGCTAAGTGGCCTTGTGTTTTGTCTGCCAGGCTTAAGCTTTGTTAGGCCCATTCAGGCTTCTCTGTATTTCAATTAAATTATAGTGGTAAACCAAGCCCATGTACTTTCAAAGGGGTAGGGGTTAGGAAAAACAAGAAAAGTATGTCATTTATAGGCCCTGCTACTCACTAATTGCTCAAGAAATTTTTGTTTAATCTACTATCCCTGTGCTTACTCCTGCCAGATCCTTTATTTCCTTTAGTTGCTGCCTTCACGGCCTTCTCCATAGCAACAAGCTATATGACAAAAAGGCTATGGTGAGAAATTGAGCAGTCACCCCTCCCCGAAGTTGTACTCTGTTTTCTCCTTAGGGTATCTAAAAGCAGCCCAAAAGACTGCTGTCAAATAATTTTCTACCCCCATTGAACTCATAATCAAATGAAACTTTTAACCCTGAACTAATTTGGTGAACAACCTGCATTCTCCTTATTTGACTCTGATTATCCCTACCTTTTGAAAATTTTCTAGATCATTCAATATACTTGAAATATTGTGCATATTCTCATTTATGAAGCTCCCTTTTGCTTTTTAGCTTTCAGCTTACTCCTTAGAATTATACAGAAAATCTCCTGGAATGAAGTATGGAGAAAGAGTAGATGAAGAAAGCGAAACCCTCCCCTTTTCTGCCATGTGCTGTTGCCTTAGATACTAGACTAGTCTTCTGCCCTAGAGATTGGGCAAGCTGCCTGAAGTATAGAACTGGCCTGCATCTTGGCTGATCCTGGCATAGCCTAATCTGTTATCCTTTGTTATCTTCCCAGCCACTTGTCTACAGGAGTCACAAACCCAAAGGTTTTGTTTTTGTTTTATATTAATAAGTCTTACTGAAAATAATATAAACATGTACGCAAATTCTACGTGTGCAAGTCTGCATTTTCGAAGTGAACACACCATGTGATACCAGCACCTAGATGAGGAAACACAGTATTGCCAGAACCCCAAAATCTCTTTCATGCCTCCCTTCTAATAGCTAGCCCTTCTCCCCACCCCAGGTAACCAATCTCATTGTTAATACCATAGATTAGTGTTACCCATTTTGAACTTCATGTAAATAGAATCATTACAGTATGAGCTTTTTTATGTTGAGCTGTTCAACATTGTGCCAGTGAGATTCATCCATATTGTTACATGTTGTTAAACTTTGTTTATTTTCATTATAGTATTCCATTATGTGAGTATACTGCTACTTATTCAGTTGTTGATGGCATTTGGGTTATTTGCAGTTTGAGGCTGTTATAAAAAGTGCTGCTGTGAAAATTCTTGTACATGTCTATTTGGGACTATATATACATATTCCTATCTATCTATACTTAGAAATGGAATTATTGAATCATAAGGTATGTGTATGATCAACTTGAATAGACATCACAAGTTTCCCAAAATGTGTAAACCAATTTACATTCCTACTTCCAATGTATTAGAATCCTGATTGCTCTGTGTTCTAGCCAACACTTGACCTTATTTGTCTTTTTCATTTTAGCCATTCTGGTGGTGTGTAGTGGTATCTCATTGTGGTATTAATTTGCATTTCCCTGGTGAGTAATGAAATTGAGCATCTTTTCATGTGTTCATTGGCCATTTGGAAATCTCTTTTACGAAGTGTCTGTTCAAGTCTTTTGCCCATTTTTGGATTGGGTTGTATGTCTTTTTCTTATTGATTTGTATGAATTCTTTGCATATTCTGGTTATTAGTCCTTTGTGAGATTTATGTAATATAAATATCTTCTGTGTCTTAACTTTTCTGTTAATGGTGTCTTTGTCTTCATTTTTATGTAGTCTATTTTATCTTTTTTAAATTTTTTGTTTTTCTTTTATTGTTAGTGCTTTCTGTGCCCTGTTTAACAAAGTTTTGCCCATCCCAAGATAATATATTCTTCTATGTTTTTTCTGAGAACCTTGTTTTATATATATATATATATATATAAAATATATATAAAAATACATATATATATATATGTATTTACATCCACAATCTATCTGGAATTTATTTTTGTTTAGGATGTAAGTTGGAAGTCAAGATTCTTATTTTTTTATATGGATATCTAATTGGCCCAGCACCTTATCAAAAAGACCATCCTTTCCCCCATTGCACAGCAGTGTCACATTTGTCGTAAACCAGTTAACCTGTGTGGGTTTATTTATGGGTTCTCTTCTGTTCCATTTATACATTTACGTATTCTTGTGTCAATACTACATTGTCTTGATAACTACAGCTTTGTAAATCTTGTTATCTAGTAGTATAAGTCTTCCAGTTTTGTTGTACTTCTTCAAGATTGCCTTGGCTTTACTTGGCCTTTTGCATTTCCATGTAAATTTTAGGATCATCTTTGTGAATTTTTACAGAAAAAAAAGTGCTGAAATTTTGATTAGGATCTACAGATCAATTTGGAGAAGACCCAAAGTTTTATCCTTTTACTTAAGCTAGTAAACTCAGCAGTTACTGAGGGAGAATTGGGGGGAGGGGGGATCAGAGCAAGTCACTGATATCATTTAGGGATCTTGTTTAAAATATATGTTAGCTGGCCAGGCACCATGGCTCACACCTGTAATCCCAGCACTTTGGGAGGCTGAAGTGGACAGATTTCTTGAGCCCGGGAATTCAAGACCAGCCCGGACAACATGGCGAAACTCCATCTCTACAAAAAGTAGAAAATTAGCCAGGCTTGGTTGCAAGCGCCTGTGGTCTCAGCTACTTGGAAGGCTGAGGTGGGAGGATCACCTGAGTCCAGGAAGGCTGAGGCTGCAGTGAGCTGTGATTGCACCACTGCATTCCAGCCTAGGTGACAGAGTGAGGCCCTGTCTCAAATAAATAAAATAAAATTAAATTAAAAAGTTAGCTATCTCCTGCTCCTATTCTCAATCAGCATGTTCAAGATGGAGCTTGGAACCAGGTGCAGTGGCTCACACCTGTAATCTCAGCACTTTAGGAGGCCAAGGCAGAAGGATCATTTGAGCCCAGGAGTTTGAAACCAGCCTGGGCAACATAGTGAGACCCGTCTTTATTTAAAAAATAAAATAAATAAGATGGAGCTTGGACTTGCCTATTGTAAAAAATGCTCCCCAAGAAATTATGGTTTGCTGCCATCACCACTGTTCTCCACCAACCCTGTTTGAGAACCACTGACTTAGACTGCAGTCTAGCAGCAATTCAGTGAGGCTAGTTAAGGTAAAATCTGACTGATTTAATCAACACCACATCTGCCTTTGGGGCTGTATTAATTTCCTGGGCTGCTGTAACAATGTACCAAAAACTGAGTGGCTTAAAACAACAGAAAGTTATTATTTCACAGTTCCTGAGGCCAGGCATCTGAGATCAAGGTGTTGGCAGGACCATCTGTCTCCTGCAGCTCTAGGGAAGAATTCTTCTTTTCTTCTGCTCTTTGCTGGCAATCCATAGTGTTCCTTGGCTTGTAGCTGCATCATCCCAGTCACATGGCTGTCTTCCCTCTTTGCATATCTGTGTCCAAATTGCTCCATTTTATAAGGACACCAGTCACTGGATTAGGGCAGACCCTAATGACCTTATCTTGATAACTTGATTGCCTCTGTAAAGACCCTATTTCCAAATAAGGTCATATGCTGAGGTACTAGGGGTTAGAACTTCAATATACCTTTTTTTGGCAGGGGAAGGGTGGGACAGGGACACAGTTCAATTCATAAAAGGGGCAAATGAAAATTTCAGAATAATTATTGTCACAAGTTGGAGAGAGAAGATTTTCTAGAAATGTGCATAATAATGAGAGACATTGCTTCCCAAAGTCAGTCTGAGCAGATCATCCACCCTCTGACCCCAACTGTTACTGGGTTGAGTTCCTCTTTTTTTGCTTTGTTTTGTTTTGTTTTGTTTTTTTGAGTCTCTTTCTGTCGCCCAGGCTGGATTGCAGTGGCGCAATCTCAGCTCACTGCAACCTCCGCCTCCTGGGTTCAAGCGATTCTCTTGTCTCAGCCTCCTGAGTAGCTGGGACTACAGGTGCCTGCCACCACACCCAGCTAATTGTTGTATTTTTTTTAGTAGAGACAGTGTTTCACCATGTTGGCCAGGATGGTGTTGATCTCCTGACCTCATGAGCCACCGTGCCTGGCCTCCTCTCTCTTTTTTTAAATCTACTTATTTTATTTTACTTTTTGTAGAGCTGAAATCTCACTTTGTTGCCCTGGCTGGTCTTGAACTCCTGGGCTCAAGCAGCCTCCCATCTTGGCCTCCCAACATGCTGGGATTATAGGCATGAGCCGCTGCGTCAAGACTTGAGTTCCTTTCTCTGCATTACTATTTACCCTTCCTTGGGTAAATACACTTGTGCTTTCTTTTTTTTTTTTACTGAGAGTGAAAGGGTGGTTCAGCTCTACTCTGTTAACAAACTCTGAAACAGTCAAGTAGAGGTTACCAGAAAGAAAAATAGGTTTCAGCAGTTGGCAGCATACTAGCCTCTGGCTGAAGAAGGCCAAAAGGAAAAGTGCCTCGCATAAGCCAAGCCTAGTCATATTCTTATCCTAGTTCCTTCTGCTAGGTCATAAAGCAGTAAAGCTGTGGACAGTGGGATTCCTTCTCAACCCCAGGCAAGTATTTTTTCAAAGCTGTTCCATTGAGATGATACCATCTTTCTTATTCCTAGTGGTTTTCAGAGGACTCCAGCTGTATAGCCAAAGGCATGATGACCTTTGCTGAGCCACCTTCTCCAGCCATGGCTGCAGGATATGGTTACCTCAGCAAGAGGAAAGGAAGGATATACGATTTAAGGGTGTGGTGAAACAGCCTTTGTGGCACTTATGCAAAGTTTCCCTAGTGTAAGAATGTATAGATGGGAGGAGGAACTGTGTCAGATTTTTTGCATTTCTCCCATCTTTCCCATTTCTCCCATTTGCACACCCCATCCCCACAGTGTGGGTGTGAAGTGGTTTACATTTACTGGTTATTCCACTTTGGCCTTCTCTATCCTGTACTAGTCCTTTTCCTGCCTATAGTTTTAGCAGTACCAGATCTGAATGCTCTTCAAATTGACACTTGCTTAATAATGGTTTCAGCTGGCTCTCTAATAATACTTTTGCCTGAAATTCTGTTGAGAGAAAATACTATGGTCATGTGAAAATGGTTCCAGGATGATGGGTGTTAGTTACACTTGTGCTTTCTTTTTTTTTTTTTTTGAGATGGAGTTTCGCTCTTGCTGCCCAGGCTGGAGTGCAATGGCATGATCTCGGCTCACCACAACCTCTGCCTCCCAGGTTCAAGCAATTCTCCTGCTTCAGTCTCCCGAGTAGCTGGGATTACAGGCATGCACCACCACGCCCGGCTAATTTTGTATTTTTAGTAGAGATGGGGTTTCTCCATGTTGAGGCTGGTCTTGAACTCCTGACCTCAGGTGATCCGCCCACCTCGGCCTCCCAAAGTGCTGGGATTACAGGAGTGAGCCACCGCGCCTGGCCTACACTTGTGCTTTCTTTGGCTCCTCGAGTCCCAGAAGATCTCAGAATTAAGGGTTTAAGATTTTTGTTTTCTCTCCAACCCAGACTTGAAGGTGGACAAATTTGAAGACATCATTTTCTTTAGCAGTAGTTTCCACATTTTGCTGTACATTAGAGTTTGGGAGTGGGAGTTTTTAAAATCCCAGTCCCCAGATCTCACCCAATTAAATTGGATCAGAATAACTGTGGGTGGGAGCCAGGTGTCAGTATTTTTTTAAGGGTCTCCAGAGGCTTTGAACATTTTTACAGACTATCCCAAATTGCTTATTGGATCATCTGAGATATTTATACTTAGAATATTAATAAAGAACTCCTGGATAGTGTATAGATTCTCTTTGGAAGTATCCTCTCTAAAGGAACAGTAACCACATTTCTGCCTTTAGGTTTCTGGTTTTGGAAGACTCGTACGTAATTTGACCCTTCCTTACAGTCAGATCCATGAATTGAGGATGAATGGTTTGCCAGGATAAGTAGGATAAAAACCTAGAGATGTTGCTGTTAATCTGATTGGAGGTTCTGCCTACATGAAATTTGGTAGGGCATGAGTATTTATAGCATGGCAAAAGCATTCTCTCTAATAATTTGCATTGCAGCAACAAATTTGGAGCTAAAATACAGGTTTTTGGTTTGTTTTTGTTTTTATTTTTTTGAAACAGAGTCTCGTTCTGTCACCCAGGTTGGAGTGCAGTGGTGCAATCATGGCTCACTGCGGCCTCCAACTCCTGGGCTCAAGCAACCCTCTCACCTCAACTTCTCAAGTAGCTGGAACCACAGGCGTGTACCACCATGTCTGGCTAACTTTTTTTTTCTTTTGTAGAGACTAGGTCTCGCTGTGTTGACCAGACTGGTTTCAAGCTCCTGTCCTCAAGTGATCCTCCTGCCTTGGTCTCCCAAAGTGCTGAGATTACAGGTGTGAGCCACCACGCCCAGCCAGTATGACAGTTTAAAAAAAAAAGTTTGACCAGACACAGTGACTCACACTTGTCATCCTAGCAATTTGGGAGGCCAAGGTGGGAGGATTACTTGAGCCCAGGAGTTCGAGACCAGCCTCTGCAACACTATGAGACCTCTTCTCTACCAAAAATCAAAAAAATTAGCCAGGCAAGTGGCACACTCCCGTAGTCCCAGCTACTTAGGAGGCTGAAGCAGGAGGATCTCTCGAATCTGGGAGATCGAGGCTGCAGTGAGCCCTGACTGTGCCACTGCACTCTAGCCTGGGTGACAGAGCAAGACCCTGTCTCAAAAAATAATTATTATTATAATGGTTTTCATTTTCTGTAAATCTAAAATTTTTTTAAATGGTTTTCAGATAACAACTATGCACCAATTTAAGAAGAAAATCTTAGCTAGTACGTAACCACACATGGTCTAATTCTTTCTAGTTTCTTCATTTCTGGAGGCAACTCACTCTTGGAAGTTTCTGAATATATTTACCCTTTCTCTACATCTCTGGTTTGAACTTTCATCCTGGAGGAAATAGCGCTCATAAATGCACATACTCTCTAATCACATGTCAAAGTTAATTATTAGACAGTAACATACCAGAGATCAGCTGTGGGAAGGAAACAATTTCTACATTCTCCCATCTGAGGCTTCTGCAGAGGTAGTAGCATGTAGAGTTCCATACCAGCCTTCCTCACAGGCATCCTCTTGCAACTCTCCCTCAGCTCTCAGTCCTACCAATTTCCTGCAACATTCCTTGCTGCAGGCGTGAGCCACCACACCTGGCCAGAAACTATAATTTATTTACTTTCATACGATCTGTTTCTCCACCTCAACCTCTAAAGAGAACTAGAAAACTGGAGTGGGAAAACTTTAGAAAACTACTAGTACTGACTGGGAGTTGAGGTATTGGTTGTAGCTGCATCTTCCTCCTTGCCCTTACTCCGAACATCAGTAAACAAATATGTCTGTCATTCTCCTTTAGAAATAAAAATAGGAACTACATAGACACCATTAACAGGTTTTTGATCATTTAGTGGTGGTTAAAAGGACCTTTGGCCATTATAAGAGGTCTAGAGAGAGTAAAGAGGACTTTACTAGGAAAGCAAAGAGAAGACCATAACTGAAGGCATATTCAACTTCTAGAGAATAGGACCAAATTGAACAACAATTTGGCACCAGTGTAAAGTGTGTCAGCAACAATTATTAATATTTATTGTTAACTATTCATACTAGCACTGGACATTAGGCTTAACACTTACTATTTTTCTGACCAAGCTAAGGAAATACAACTTTCAAGGGAACAAGGTAACAAAGTAGGCCAGGTGTGGTGGCTCATGCCTGTAATCCCTGCACTTTGGGAGGCTGAGGCAAGAGGATCACTTGAACCCAGGAGTTTTAGACCAACCTGGGCAACATAGCAAGACCCCTTCTCTATCAAAAAAAAAATTTTTTTTTAATTAGCTGGACATGGTAGTATGTACCTGTAATCCCAGCTACTCAGGAAACTGAGGTGGGAGGATCACTTGAGCCCAGGAGGTCATGGCTACAGTGAGCCATGATCTTGCCGGTATACTCTAACCTGGGCAACAGAGCAAGACCCTGTCTCAAAATATATGTGGGAACAAGCTTTTTATTTGTATTATTTATTTATTTTAAACAACAACATCTTGTCCAAGACAAATTTTTTTTAAAAAGAGGAAAAGAATAAAGAAAAAGAAGGCCAAGGCCAATGGCTCACACCTATAATCCCAGTACTTTGGGAAGACTGCTTTAAGCCAAATTCAAGACCAGCCTGGTCAACATATAGCAAGACCTCATCTCTACAAAAAAAAATTTAAAAATTAGCTGGGCATGATGGTGTGTGCCTCTAGTCCTTGCTACTCAGGAAGCTGAGGAGGGAGGATCACTTGAGCCAAGGAGTGTGAGGTTACAGTGAGCTATGATCACATCACTGCACTCCAGTCTAGGCGACAAGAGTGAGACCCTGTGTCAATAAAAAACAAAAAGAAAAATAATAAAAAGAATCAGAGGTCTTTAAAATATAACAGATGATGGATCCAGTGTTACATACCTAAGTATACCTTTACCAGAGCTTCTGCCTTGATATGTGAGTCTGAGGGTTCAACTGTAAATTGCAGAAAACTTATAAAATGGTTTGGTGCCCAAGGACTGTTGCTAAGTCTTGCATGTAAGTCCAAAGTGGATACTATCCAAGTGACCTGCAATGCCATCCATAGATGGTGGGCAAAATTGATGGATGAGCTCTTGATCCAATGGGTAGCTTTGTTTTTATTATACATGTCTTTGGACCAGGCAATCATCTACTAAGTCACATTATAATAAGAAGAGGAGTATGAATGCTTAAAACAGACTTTGTTAGCTACCCTTACTGTGCTTTGAATTCAAAGCATAATTTCAGAGATAATGAGCTATATCTTCTCCTAAATTTTCTCTCTCTTTCTTTTCTTTTCTTCTTTCTTTCTTTTTCTTTCTTTCTTTCTTTCTTTCTTTCTTCCTTCCTTCCTTCCTTCCTTTCTTCCTTCCTTTCTTTCTTCCTTTCTTCCTTCCTTCCTTCCTTCCTTTCTTTCCCTCCCTCCCTCCCTCCCTCCCTTCCTTCCTTCCTTCCTTCCTTCCTCAGGCTGGAGTACAGTGGTGCAGTCTTGGCTCACAGCCACCTCCATCTCCTGAGCTCAAGATATCCTCCTACCTCAACCCTCTAGGTAGCTGAGACTACAGGCGTGTGCCACCATGCTCGGCTAATTTTTCTATTTTTTGTAGAGATGGGGTCTCACCATGTTACTTAGGCTGGTGTTGAACTCCTGGGCTCAAGTGATCTGCCTACCACAGCCTCCCAAAATGCTGGGATTACAGGCATGAGCCATTGCACTCGGCGTCCTACATTTTCTGCCCCACAACTAGCAACTGTTTTTTCCTCTGATTTTTTTTTTTAATTTTTGAAATTATTTTATTATTTCAAAAGTAATGCCTGATTTTTTAGCTATGACACCAAAAGCACAAGCCAGCAAAAGAAAAATTAGATAAATTGGATTTCATCAAAACTAATAACTTTTGTTTATCAAAGGATACTACCAAGAGAATAAAGATAGAATGAGAGAAAATATTTGCAAATCGTGTATCTGATAAGTGATTAATATCTAGAATAAAGAACTCCTACAGATCAACAATGAAAAACCCAAACAACCTAATTCAAAAATGCGCGTAAGACTTGAATAGACATTTTGCCAAAGAAGATATCTAAATGACCAATAATCACATGAAAAGATGCTCAGAATCATTAATTATAAGAGAAATGAACATAAAAACCATGATGAATTACCACTTCATACCTACTAGGATGGTTGTTATCAAAAATGTGGAAAATAAAAAGTGTTCAAGAGGATGTGGAGAAATTGGAACCCTTGAGAACTGTTGGTTGGAACATAAAATGAGTACAAGCCATTGTGGAAAACAGTTTGGTGGATCCTCAAAAAGCTAAACAGAATTAACATATGATCCAGCAATTCTACTCCTAGGTATATACTTAAAAGAATGGAAAACAGATGTTCACACAAAAACTTGTATGTGAATATATGACAGTATTATTCACAATATTCAGAAGGTAGAAATAACCCAAGTGTCCATCAACAGATGAATGGATAAACAATGTGGTATAGCCATACAATGGAATATTATTCAGCAAACAAAAAGAAATGAAAGCTGGTACAGTGACTCATGCCTCTAATCCCAGCACTTTGGGAGGCTGAGATGGGAGGATCACTTGAGCCCAGGAATTCAAGACCAGCCTGGGCAACATAGCAAGACTGCATCTCTAGAAAAAAATACAAAATGGCGGCCAGGCATGGTGGCTTATGTCTGTAATCCTAGCACTTTGGGAGGCCGAGGTGGGTGGATCAGCAGAGGTCAGGAGTTCGAGACCAGCCTAGCCAACATGGCAAAACCCCATCTCTACTAAAAATACAAAAAAAATTAGCCAAGTTTGGTGGCACACACCTGTAACCCTAGCTACACGGGAGGCTGAGGAAGGAGAATCGCTTGAACCTGGGAGGTAGAGGTTGCAGTGAGCCAAGATCGTGCCACTGCACTCCAGCCTGCACAATGGAAACAAGACTCCATCTCAAAAAAAAAAAAAAAAAAAAAAAACTGGGCACGGTGGCTCACGCCTGTAATCCTAGCACTTTGGGAGGCCAAGACGGGCGGATCACTTGAGGTCAGGAGTTCGAGACCAGCCTGGCCAACATGGTGAAACCCCATCTCTACTAAAAATACAAAAAATTAGCTGGGCATGGTGGCGCATGCCTGTAGTACCAGCTACTCGGGAGGCTGAGGCAGGAGAATCGCTTGAACCTGGGAGGCAGAGGTTGCAGTGAGCCGAGATCATGCCATGGCACTTCAGCCTGGATGACAGAGGGAGACTCTGTCTCAAAAAAAAAAAAAAAAAAAAAAATCAACCTGGTATGGTAACACGTGCAGTGATAAACTCATTATCACTGTATAGGATGTTGTCAGTTAGGCTTACTTAGTACTCCCAGCTACTCAGGAGGCTGAGGCAGGTGGATTGCTTGAGCTGTGATCACACCACTGCCATCCAGCCTGGGGGACAGAGTGAGACCCTGTCTCCAAAAAAAAAAAAATGAAGTTCTGATTCTACAATGTGGATGAACCTTGAAAATACATGTTAAGTGAAATAAGCCAGTCACGAAAGGACAAATATTGTATTTTTTCCACTTAGGTATCTAGAATGGATACATTTATATAGACAGAAAGAATATTAAGGGCCGTGGGGAGCATAGGGAATGGAGAATTATTGCTTAATGGCTACAAAGTTTCTATTTCAGGTGATGAAAAAGTTTTAGATATTGTGATGGTTCAAAAGGAAAAAGTAACAATTTTTATTGTTGAACATTTAGGAGACAAAGTCAAAATTCACCAAGAGGAAAAGAATAAATTACCCAGAGATAACCAATGTTTGAATTTTTATATTATATATTTTTGTTGCTTCTTTTATTTTATATTTTTAACAAATTGAGACCCTTCTCTATATATTTCGTAATCTTCTTTGTTTAGAGAAATATATTCCTGTAACATATTTCCATAACATTAAATGACCTTCTATAACATTTTAAATAACTACAGAGTATTCCATGTTAAGGATGTATCATAATGGACTTAGTCATTATATCTTTTATATGGTTTAAAAAAAGATACTTCTTAAATTTTCTAGCTCTTCAAGAGCTGAGCTTCATTTTTTACATCATCAATAAAGTACCTCACATACCAAGGAGACACATTATGTGTTTCATAATAATAACCTTGCAGCTTTGGACTTTTCGGTTTTTGTCCAAACTCCCTTTTCTCTTTTTATCCTCTTGCTGCATTTTGCCTACTTGGACATTTTCTTTTTGCTTCTTCCACCTGTTCTGTGTGTCTTTCACTTTGCCACCAGTATGTAGCTTTATTGCTGCATCTGTTTCTTTTCTGGTAGAAATAGGTCAAACGTAAAATCAATAACCTGCTTCTCAGCCCAAAATAAACCTACAGGTGTTGATGTCTTTTGCTTTAGTCCACAGTTTTATTCTCAAGTGCAGTGCGTAAACCATTTAGTGTTTTACACCGAAAATACGAGCTCCTGAGAACCAAGAAAGTGTAATCTTATCTTGTGAGGCAGCGTAGTTAAAAATACGTATAAGGCCATGCAGTATGGTTTACACCTGTAATCTCAATACTTTGGGAGGCCAGACAGGAGGATCGCTTGAGCCCATAAGTTTGAGACCAGACTGGGCAACATAGCAAAACCTTGTCTCTACTGAAAACTTAAAAATAAAAATTAGCCAGGCATGGTGTCATACACCTGTAGTCCCAGCTATTTGGGAGGCTGAGGTGGGAGGACTTCTTGAGGCCAGAAGTTTGAGGTTGCAGTGAGTTATGATCATGCCACCGCACTCCAGCCTGGGCGACAGAGTGAGACTTAACCTCAAACAAAACAAACCATACAGGCTTTAGTTGAGAGTCATATTGATTGGGATTCAGATCCTAGCTTTTGCATCTTATTTAGCTATATAACATTGGAACAGATTGCTCTGAGTTTCCAGTTCCTCGTCTGTAAAATGGGAATGATTATACATTGGAGGTTGGTGAGAGAATTAAATATGAGATAATATATAGAAGATGTTAAAGCACAATAAGTTGTATGCATTATTGGAAATACTGTCTGACCACCACCACATACCAAAAAAAAAAAAAAAAAAAAAAATTAGGGAAAGCAACCAAATATGTAACCCGTTGTATCTGGGACTAAGCATCCTTTCTGTATCATTAGGACTTGGGAAACTTCTTCCACAATTTTAGTGGGATTATATTGGAGTCTGAATCTTACTTTAGTGGCCAGATTCAGTGTGTAGTAACAGTTAAGGTCTAGGATGCTTCTAATTGTTCATTTCATAGGTGGAAAAGGAAGATGGATACTTACTGCAAAGTATACAGCAAATTTTGTCTGGGAGCAAGACATACATAAGAGAAAGAATTTGAAATGACTCCAGCTTTGGTTGGGCAAATTCTGACAATTATTTTTAAATGTAAGCCCAATGAAGTCAAATATCTATAGTGACTGTTATCTCCAGATGAATTTTGAGAAAAAAAAAATAGAATTGTTATAAATTAAATGAAGCTTCAGAAAGATAGGACTCAATTTAGTCATATTGGTGGTTTTTTAAAAAATTCTAAATCTTTACATTGTATTTTAATGCCATAAACTCATTATCACTGTATAGGATGTTGTCAGTTAGGCTTACTAACGCTCCTTTTCCACCCCCCAACACACACAAATCATATATCTGATTTAAATCAGAACTCTGTCTCACACATACACACACACTCTCACACTCTCTCTCACACACACATGCACACACCCATGCTGCTGGAAATTTGGGGAATCACACTGAGTTGAGAATCAGAAAGTAACTGAGATTCTTATCTTTGGAAGGAAAGGTAAGTAAGTAGCTGAGGAGTTCCTATTCTTCTGTCAGCTCATCAGCCAGAGATGAGATCTGGTGCCACTCCAAACCCTGCCTGATGGGTTAAACCAGTATTAGGGTTATTTATTCTGTTCAGTACTTACTGAGTACCTGCTAAGTATTTAGGGAGAGAAAAGAAAAGTGTATAGACGATGTTATCTCTTCTAATAAAGCATCATTTTTGCGGGGGAGGGGTTGCTTTTTATTTTGTACATGAATACATGAAGTGGCACAACATTCAAAAGAGATTAAAAGGATAGGCAGTAAAAAGTAAGTCTTCTTTCCCTGTCCCTAGCCCACCTAGTTCTGCTACCTTGAGGCAACTACAGTTATAGTTTCAAAGTATAATTTTTAATATTTTTAAAATACTTTAATACTTTAAAAATCAGAACATTTATCTAGGAATAGAATAATATAGCAGTCATAGGGACACACTTTGACACATCACATAAGAAATTAGGTAAAGAGCCAGGTATATCGTGGCATGTGCCAGTAAGTCCCAACTACTTGGGAAGGTGAGGCAGGAGGATCACTTGAGTCCAAAAGTTCAAGTCCAGCCTAGGCAACATGGTGAGAACCCATCTCAAAAAAAAAAAAAAAAAGTGTAGCCCATGCCTGTAATCCTAGCACTTTGGGAGGCCGAGGCCGGTGGATTTCCTGAGCTCAGTAGTTCGGGACCAGCCTGGGCAACACAGTGAAACCCCCTGTCTCTACTAAAATACAAAAGAAAAAAAAAAAATAAGCCAGGCATGGCAGCATGCACCTGTAGTCCCAGCTACTTGGGAGGCTGAGGCAGGAGAATTGCTTGAACCCAGGAGGTGGAGGTTGCAGTGAGCCAAGATCTCACCACTGCACTCCAGCCTGGGCAACAGAGTCAGGCTCCATCTCCAAAAAAAAAAAAAAAATTGTAAAAAAAATAGGTAAAGTAAATCATTAATTTCTAAATCAAATAAGTTCAGTCATGACAGACAACATAAAATTTGTATGTGGAAGTCTTGGGGCTTAAGAGAGGATAAAAGTTAGATTAACATTAGAAGAAGGTATGGAAAATCTGTACACAAAACAGTACCTATACTTTAGCAGGGCAGCCAGTGAATCAGAAATGTGTTAAAGGGAAAGAGGTCCTCTACTTAGATCCAATAACTGTGTCTTTAGCATCTCAACCTCCTGAAAGTAAGAAGCTGGGGAGTTGGGGGTAGCTAGAGGGAGAGACCAGACCATCCATTTGCACAGAATATTCAAAAGAGTCTGTAGAACTTTGAGAAAAACCTTGCAGAGTGTACATCTTCACCTAAGACTAGAATAGCTAATGCGATTGTGAAATGGAATATTTATTTAGTGTGTAAGATTTGTGTTGATGGGTGGGGGGGGGATCCTTTGTCATTTATTTAAAAGTAATATAAAATTATAAAAATGTTTGTTACTGGCCCGGCAGAGCCAATTTGGCAGTCTAGAAAAAGTCTGGATTTATAAGCAAACTAATGGAAATAGGAAGGATTTTTTTAGTAATAGTTTTGAGGCAACTTTGTGAGGAGGGAATAAGTTGATTTACAGACCCATCTCAAACTATCTATAAACATATATATACATATATACACATGAACATCTTAACTTTATGTAAGCCTGGTCCTATTTACTTTCAAATGGACTGGAATGAAAAGAAATTATACCTTATTGCATTTTTGTCATGTAGTCCCAAGTAGGCAGCTTTGCTTCCTAAGATTTCTGGGGTGGTTTCTTCATATTTGCTTTGTATATGGGAGCTCATTTTTAGGAAGTTTTATAACCGAAATATCTTCAAATAAATATATGCAAATAATACCACAAAACAGCATAAGAGCCCTACTAATGATACAGTCAGCAGATGCCATATAATTGTGAACTGAAAGAGATCACTTTTGGCTAAATTATAGAGCTCAGCTCATTTTCACCTTTTCCTAAAAAGGTGACTCTAGGTAAAAGGTAGCTGAGCAGACCACAGCAACTCTTGTTCAGTTTGATTATTTTAAACTAGGAAACCAGGTAACTGCAGTAGATGCCTGCTATTATGAGGGATTAGATAGGAGCAGTGAGCCATTGCTCAGCTCCTGTTCAGTGTGGGGGTTCCCCAGCCAGTTCATCACAGGTATCAGAGGGCAAACACTGTGACAGGAGCTGTCAGGAGGACTATACAAAGAGAAAGCATTATTGACATAGCAAAGACATGAGGTGACCTAGATGTTTGTAAGCCACTCTGGCAGCTACAGCTGAGGGAGCAGGCCTGGTTAGAGATTTCTCACAGGTGTTCTCCAGACCCGAACACTGTAGTTTTATGTAGATTGCTCCCCTCTTGGGAAGGAAGTAGAGCTGTTTTGTTTCTATTCACGTGTTATGTATTACCTCTCTCACTATCTCATTAACCAGTGTTGTCACCACCACACCCAACTCTGTGTACTAAAATTTGTTGTTCAGAAATTAAAAAAAAAAAAACTTAAGACATGAAACCTGAGAGCCCAGTTTACATTTTTCTTTTATTTATTTATTTACTTAGAGACCAAGTCTCTCTCTGTCACCCAAGCTGGAGTGCAGTGGTGCAATCGCAGCTCACTGCAACCTCTGCCTATTCTCATGCCTCAGCCTCCTGAGTAGCTGGGATTACAGGCGAGCCAACACACCTGACTAATTTTTGTATTTTTGGTGGAGATGGGATTTCACTATGTTGGCCAGGCTGGTCTCCAACTCCTGGCCTCAAGTGATCTGCCCACCTCGGCCTCCCAAAGTGCTCAGCTTACAGGCATGAGCCACCATGCCCAGCCTTATTTTTATTTTATATATATATTTTTAGCCGGGACTACAGGCACACACCACCATGCCTGGCTAATTTTTTTTTTTTTTTTGAGACAGGGTCTTACTCTGTCACCCAGGCTGGAGTGCAGTGGTATGATCACAGCTCACTACAGCCTCGACCTCCCAGGCTCAGCCATTCTCCCCACCTCAGCCTTCCAAGTAGCTGGGACTACAGGCACGTACCACCACACGTGACTAATTTTTATATTTTTTGTAGGTACGGGGGTTTTGCCATGTTACCTAGGCTGATCTCAAACTCCTAGGCTCAAACAATCCTCCCACCTTGGCCTCTCAAAGTGCTGGGACTACAAGTGTGAATCACTATGCCTGGCCAACACTTGGCTTATTTTTTAAAAATTTTAGAGATAGAGTCTCACTGCGTTTTCCAGGCTGATCTTCAACTCCTGGACTCAAGCAGTCCTCCTGCTTCAGCCTCCCTAAGTAGTTGGGACTACAAGTGCGAGCTACCGCACCTAGTTCAATTTAGATTTTTCTATCATTATGCCATATTACCTAAGATACTGCAAGTCTGGGGCTGGTCTGAGTGCAGTGGTGTTTACAACTAGTTGATCACAACCAATTACAGATTTCTTTGTTCCATCTCTAATCCCATTGCTTCACTTAACTAACCTTAAAAAATAAATACATAAAAAGATACTCCAAGTCTGTACAGAATGTGTACTGTGGCTCTTCCTAGACAGGGCATCCAGCTCTGTGCCCTATTTGGAAACCAGGGCTTCCATCTGGCTCCAGATGCCTGATATGACAGAGCTGAAGATAGCTACTATAAAATATGTTCAACAGTAATTTTATTTTAAAACCATTTCTGGAGACTTTTTACTGGTCTTTAAAGAACCCTTTATTTCCTTAGACAGATTAGGATATTCATTACCCTATGCATCTTTGTGATCTTTTGGATTGTTAGAGGTAAGCCTTGCTGGTGATAATGTCTTCTGTTTTACATTAGAGTTTTGTCCCCCTCATTCTAGATTATAAACTTCCTGGAAGCGCCAGGCGCAGTGGCTCACGCCTGTAATCCTAGCACTTTGGGAGGTCGAGGTGGGCGGATTGCCTGAGTTCAGGAGTTTGAGAACAGCCTGGGCAACACGGTGAAACCCCATCTCTACTAAAAATACAAAAAATTAGCTGGGTGTGGCGGCGTGCGCCTGTAGTCCCAGCTACTTGGGAGGCTGAGGCAGGAGAAATGCTTGAACCTGGGAGGCAGAGGTTGCAGTGAGCTGAGATCGTGCCACTGCACTCCACCCTGGACGACAGAGCTAGACTCCGTCTCCAAAAAAAATAAATAAATAAAAAATAAACTTCCTGGAAGCAATGACATGTTTATTCAACCCCACTCCCCCAACCCCTAAACAAACACACAAGTAGAATATAGCTTTGAATAGTAGCTCCTTGCAGATTGAATGAGAAACTACTAGAGTTTGCGTTATCTGTTATTTTAATTTCTTAGTAGTGTCCAAGATATCACACTCTCCTAGACTGGGAGCCAAAGAGCTATAAAAAATTGGTAGCAAAGTCACCAACTTGCTAGGAATCATAAATTACCCCTTACTCTGAAAGGTTGAAGGAAATTTGAGTTATAAAAGACAATATGGTTACTCCAGCACCATCTAGAGGAAAGTCTAGAAAGGTTTAAAATGGTATTTTACAAGTTCACTATATCAGTTTATTTATCTATTTATTTAGAGACAGAGTCTCACTCTGCCGCCCAGGCTGGAGTGCAGTGGTGTGATCTGGGCTCACTGCAACCTCTGCCTCCTGGGTTCAAGCGATTCTCCTGCTTCAGCCTCCTGAGTAGCTGGGATTACAGTGCGTCACCATGCCCGGCTAATTTTTGTATTTTTAGTGGAGATGGTGTTTCTCCATGTTGACCAGGCTAGTCTCAAACTCCTGACTTCAGGTGATTCACCCGCCTCAGCTTCCCAAAGTGCTGGGATTACAGGCACGAGCCATCATGCCCCGCCATCAGTTCAATTAAATCTAGATATCACATTCTTCCTATCCTTTTTTATTATACATGTCATGATATGGTAAGATATCGTTCACTTGGCCATTCAACCAAACTTTACTCTCTTCTTTATTTATTTTATATATATTTTTTCTTTTTTATAGAGATGGGAGTCTTGTAATGTTGACCAGGCTGGTCTTGACCTCCTGGCCTCAAGCAATCCTTCCATCTCTTCCTCCCAAAGTACTCTGTTCTCATCTACTGCCTGATAGCATGTTATTTCTGCGTGTGTTTATCTCAACTGGATTGTAAAGTGTGTGAGAACAGATTGAGATCATGTCTTCTATTTCTATAATATGTATCTCCATAGCCCCTTACTACAGATAGGAAGTCATTAAAGATTGATTATTAAGTGATAGGTATAGGTATTACAACCTTATAGGCTAGATACAATATAGCAATATGGAAGATTCTTAAAAGCATAGCGCCAAGTGGGCCGGGCACGGTGGCTCACGCCTGTAATCCCAGCACTTTGGGAGGCCGAGGCAGGTGGATCACGAGGTCAGGAGATCGAGACCATCCTGGCTAACACGGTGAAACCCTGTCTCTACTAAAAATACAAACAATTAGCTGAGCGTGGTGATGGGCGCCTGTAATCCCAGCTACTCGGGAGGTTGAGGCAGGAGAATGGCATGAACCCGGGAGGCAGAGCTTGCAGTGAACCGAGATTATGCCACTGTGGTCCAGCCTGGGTGACAGAACGAGACTCCATCTCAAAAAAAAAAAAAGTATAGCACCAAGTTGAGGGGAAAAAAAACAGAATAGAAAAAAAAAAATTATAGCACCAAGTTGAGGGGAAAAAAAACAGAATAGTCCAGGCATGGTGGCTCACGCCTGTTGGATCACTGAGGTCGGGAGTTCGAGACCAGCCTGACCAGCATGGAGAAACCCCGTGTCTGCTAAAAATACAAAATTAGCCGGCATGGTGGCACATGCCTGTAATCCCAGCTACTCGGGAGGCAGGAGAATCGCTTGAACCTGGGAGGCGGAGGTTGTGGTGAGCCAAGATCGTGCCATTGCACTCCAGCCAGGACAACAAGAGCAAAACTCCATCCCCCGCAAAAAATCAGAATGATATCTATAACATAATACTAAATAAGCAAAATAAAATATATGAAAACAAAACAATAATATATATAATATACATTTATAAGAACATATACAGGCTGGGCATGGTGGCTCACGCCTGTAATCCCAGCACTTTGGGAGGCCAAGGCGGGTGGATCACCTAAGGTCAGGAGTTGGAGACCAGCCTGGCCAACATGGTGAAACCTCATCTCTACTAAAAATACAAAAAAAATTAGCTGGGCATGGTGGCAGGTGCCTGTAATCCCAGCTACATGGGAGGCTAAGGCAGGAGAATTGTTTGAACCCAGGGGACGGGGTTGCAGTGAGCTGAGATCACGCCGTTGCACTCCAGCCTGGGCAACGAGAGAAACTCTGTCTCAAGAAAAGTAAATAAAAAGAACATATACAAACAAAAATGTGTACATTAAACATAAAGAATGTCTGTAGGGGGCAGGGGCATGGAAATTGTGTAAAATGGAATAAGTAATTAACTAACAAGGGGAAGCTGAAAACAACAACTTTACCAGATTTAGAAAACAGCATGGATAAGTAGCAGCTTTTGGCGAAGGATGAATTAAGCAACTCAGCACTCAGTCAAAAGTTTTTACCTTATTTTCTTTTTTTTCCTTTTTTGAGACTGAGTCTCACTCTGTCACCCAGGCTGGAGTGCAATGGCGCGATCTTGGCCCACTGCAACCTCCGCCTCCCGTGTTCAGGCAATTCTCTTGCCTCAGTCTCCCAAGTAGCTGGGATTACAAGCACCCACCATCACACCCAGCCAATTTTTGTATTTTTAGTAGATATGGGGTTTTACCATGTTGCCCAGGCTGGTCTCGAACTCCTGACCTCAAGTGATCAGCCTGCCTCAGCCTTCCAATGTGCGGGATTACAGGCGTGAGCCACCATGCCTAGCTATCTTATTTTCTATAACTTATTTTAATATATTAGCCCACCAATCAGTAACAATTAACAAATATTTATTTAGCATCAAGTATTAGATCAGCTTTTTCCATATCTCCTTCCTACTCTCTGACACATGCCTCAGTTCTTCACTTGTGGTTTGGTCTCACTCTTCTTCATGTGTGTCATGCTTATCCCAAATCCATTTAGGATTATAAAATTCTCCCTATTCTTTCTCTGACCTAACAGTCCATGGCTTTACCACAGTTTGTAGTGCAGCATATGGTTTTGGGTTTTTAAGTAATGGGTTTTCTCCTTTTTTCTTTCTTTCTCCTTCCTTCTTTTCTTCCTCCCTTCCTCCCTTCCTTCCTCTTTTCTTTTCTTTTTTCCTCCGTCCCTCCTCCCTCTCTCCCTCTTTCTCCTCCCCTCCCCTCTCTCCCTTCCTCCCTTCCTCTTTCTTTAGATCCAGCATCCCAACTAATGGTTTTGAATATATCCATTCTCCGACACCACCCTGCCCCCCACCTCCAAGATTAGAACACAACTTTCCATTCAGTAGCCATATCTCTATTCTGTTTTGAATCTTCAGTAGCACTTGGCACAATGACGGAGTATGGTAAGTAGTATGGGCCAGGCACAGTGGCTCACGCCTGTAATCCCAGCACTTTGGGAGGCTGAGGCAGACAGATCACTTAAGGCCAGGAGCTCAAGACCAGCCTGGCCAACATGGCGAAACCCGTCTCTACTAAAAATACAAAAAATTAGCCGGGCATGGTGATGCGTGCCTGTAGTCCCAGCTACTTGGGAGGCTGAGCCAGGAGAATCACTTGAACCCAGGAGGTGAAGGGTTGCAGTGAGCCAAGATCGCACCACTGCACTGCAGCCTGAGTGACAGAGCAAGACTGTGTCTCAAAAAAAAAAAAAAATTATAAAAAATAATAGGTATTATGTATTTGCTGATTAGTTGCATAAAAGCAGTGTTTGAGGCCGTGCATGGTGGCTCACACCTGTAATCCCAGCACTTTGGGAGGCCAGGGCAGATGGATCATGAGGTCAAGAGATTGAGACCATCCTAGCCAACATGGTGAAACCCCGTCTCTACTGAAAATACAAAAATTAGCTGGGCATGGTGGTGCGTGCATGTAGTCCCAGCTACTCGGGAGGCTGAGGCAGGAGAATCACTTGAACCCCGTAGACGGAGGTTGCAGTGAGCTGAGATCGCGCTACTGCACCCCAGCCTGGCGACAGAGGGAGACTCCGTCTCAAAAAAAAACAGCAGCGTTTGAGGTAGATTAATCTGACAATAGTTTACCGCCTGGATTGACAGAGATAAAGGGTGGAGTTAGGGAGCACAATTCAAAGACTATTGGGATAGTCTACAGGTAAGTTAATGAGGACTTAGACTCTAGTGGTTGTGGGGATGTGGAGAGGAAGACATTATTCAGAGATTTCAAAGGCAGAATGGGCAGGTCATGGTGGCTGACTCTTGTCCAAATGCCAGAAAGTCAACTCTATTTACTTCTTTTTTTTTTAGCCCTTGATCCCTCCTGGCTATGCCCAAAGTTTCCTGCTTCCTTTACAGATCATCAGTTGCCTCTCCTCAGGATCCAGAATTCTCACAACTTTCAAGAATTCAAACTGGGCAAGCAAATCCCTGAAAGGCAAAACTGACTGCACTGGTAGAAGTGGCTTGATCCCCAGCTTTCTGTCTCCCAGCATGAAGATAGCAGCAGCTTAGTTAACTTCTCTATAAAGAGGCAGAAGGAAAACAATGCTTGGCTTTTATGCCTTATGTGTAGCAGTTCTTATACTTTTTGGTCTCAGGACCCCTTTTCATTTACCTTAAAAATTACTATTTTTTTTTTTTGAGACGGAGTCTTGCTCTGTTTCCCAGGCTGGAGTGCAATGGCACGATCTCGGCTCACCGCAACCTCCGCCTCCCAGGTTCAAGCAATTCTCCTGTCTCAGCCTCCCGAGTAGCTGGGATTACAGGCATGCACCACCACGCCCAGCTAATTTTGTATTTTTAATAGATATGGGGTTTCCCCATGTTGATCAGATTGGTCTCGAACTCCTGATCTTAGGTGATCCACCCTCCTCAGCCTCCCAAAGTGCTGGGATTACAGGTGTGAGCCACCGCGTCCAGCCTAACTTAAAAATTATTGAAGGGCCACATACCATGGCTCACACTTATAATCCCAGCACTTTGAAAGATATACACACACACACACACACATTATATATAATATACATATTATGTATAATATATGTTGAGGTAGATTAATCTGACAATAGCGTATATGTTGGGTGTGGTGGTGCACACCTGTGGTCCTAGCTACTTAGAAAACTGAGAGAGGAGGATCACTTGAGCTTTGGAGGTTGAGGCTTCAGTGAGCCGTAATCATACCACTACACTCCAGCCTGGATGACAAAGATCCTGTCTCAAAAAAAAAAAAGGTATTGAGGACCTCAAAGAACTTTTGTTTTTATAGATTATATCTATTGATATCTACCATTTAGGAATTAAAATTTAGAAACTCAAAGTGTGTATTATTCATAATAATGAACCTGTTACATGGTAATATAAATAGTATTTTTAATGGAAAATAACTATTTTCATATTTTTAGTAGAGACGGGGTTTCACCATGTTGGCCAGGCTAGTGTCCAACTGGCCTCAAGTGATCTGCTCACCTCAGCCTCCCAAAGTTGTGCTTTTTCGTTTCTCTCTCTAGGAGAGCCTTAAAGATCTATGTTTCATTTGTAGCCATTTCTGGGAATTCTTGGCACCTGAACTGAGATCCTCATTACCCATTGTTGTTAGAAATAACATGTTCAAAAGAGGTATAAAACGCGTTTTTAGTTTTTTAAAAGTTTTTTATTGGACATTTACCACACACACTCACACACTGCATTCAAAACTCGCTGGCAAACTGTGGTCGTAGGGAGTTACCAAAAATAGTTTCTCAGACTGATTCCTTTGGTTAGTAGCTATAGAATTTTTCCCCATGGACTTTGAGTTCCAAATAACAGACCCTTAAGAGAATCATGTAATTAGTGGATGATAGAGCTACGTTAATATTTACTCCCTGATTTCCTAGCCTAAAGTAGATTGGAAGAAGGAAGTTGGATGTAATAGAGAGGTTGGTGATAAGGGAAAGACTACTGCAGAAGGCAGACATATTAATGACGAGAAAAAGTAACTGCTGACAGCCAAAGAGGAGACCGAGAAGCAAAACACAGAAACTCAGCAGAGTAGTTTGGTCTCAATTAAAGAGGGCCATTAACCCCTAATATCTCAGGAACCTTCAAAGGGACATCTCTTTACCACACCACAGAATAATTGTATCTAGAATAATGACCCTGAGTCATCAAGAAAATTTTAAAATACGCTCTGTATATGGGAAGTCCCCAACTTACGAATGGTTTGTGGTCCAAAGTTAATTTTCAAAACATTTTTTTGGAACGCAAAATATTTTTCTTTCTTTCTTTTTTTTTTTTTTTTTGATACTGAGTCTTGCTTTGTTGCCCAGGCTGGAGTGCAGTGGCATGATCTTGGCTCACTGCAACCTCTGCCTCCTGGGCTCAAGCGATTCTCCTGCCTCAGCCTCCCGAGTAGCTGGGATTACAAGTGCACGCCACCATGCTCAGCTAATTTTTGTATTTTTAGTAGAGATGGGGTTTCGCCATGTTGGCCAGGCTGGTCTTGAACTCCTGACCTCAGGTGATCTGCCCACCTCAGCCTCCCAAAATGCTGGGATTACTGGCATGAGCTGCCACACCTGGCCTCAAAACATTTTCTATAGAAATAATGAAATAATTATTTTGGGCCTTAGACAAGCTGCTTTTTTCATTTTATCAGTCCAATAAACAACCTTTGAATGCCTAATATTAATAAAAGTATTTCTTTTTTATCTGGCTCTCATTTATATCTTTGTTTCAGTGAGAGTTCATTCTGAGGCCAGAGCCTGAACATAAATACAGTTCCCCTCTGGCCTCATAATCTGTTCCTCAAGGTGCAGACGGTCTATGTCAGGGATTATTAGCAAGTTAGGATTCGGTTACCAAATCCAGTCCCACTTCTGGTTTTTATAATACAGTTTTATTGAAACACAACTATGCCTATTTGTTTACATATTGTCTGGGGCTCTTTTTCTACTATAAGAGTTGAGAAGTTATGACGGAGACTGTGTGGCCTGCAAAGCTTTAAATATTTACTATCTGTCCCTTACTTTAAAAGCCTGCCAATCCCCAGTCTGTGTGATCTGGTCCACCGTTGTCACTAATATGCTGTCTCTCTGACCTCATGTGTTCTCACTCTTCCCCTCATTTATTCCACTACAGCCACACTATCCTCTTTGCTCTTCCGAACGTGCCATGTGCATTTCCACCACAGGGCCTTTGTACTTGCTTTTTCCGCTGCCTAAAATGTCTTCTAATTTCCACAGAGCTCGCTGTCTCACCTCTTACAGGTTTCTCTGCTTGAATGTCATCTTCTTGAGAAGGCTTTTTAAAATTGCCCTTTATAAAATAGCAGCATCACCATCCCTCACATCGTCTTCTGCTTTGTTTTTCTCCATAGCTTATCACTCTCTGGGTTTTTGTTGTTTGTTTGTTTGTTTGTTTGTTGAGACCGGGTTTCACTCCCGTCACCCAGGCTGGAGTGCAGTGGCGTGATGTGGACTCACTGCTGCAACATCCACCTCCTGGGCTCAAGTGATTCTCCTGCCTCAGTCTCCCAAGTAGCTGGGACTACAGGCGTGTGCCACCATGTCTGGCTAATTTTGGTATTTTTTGTAGAGACAGGGTTTCACCATGTTGGCCAGGCTGGTCTCGAACTCCTGGGCTCAAGCAGTCCTCCCGCCTTGGCCTCCCAAAGTGCTGGGATTACAGGTGTGAGCCACCACGACTGGCCGCGTATCACTATCTGACATATGCTTACATGTTCCCTTATTTATTGTCTTTCTCCTCTTATCTGAATGTAAGAGCAGAGACTTGGTCAGTTTTGTGTGTTGCCATGTCCCAGTACTTGAGAACAGTGTCTGGCCCAGAGTAGGTGCTCATTTGTGGAATAATAGAATGAATGAAAGCATGTATGTGTGCTAATCTGTACTTTACCCTGGTTAGTTAGGGTGTATTTGTATCCAGTTAGGGTATAGTTGTCAACATCAATCAGGATTGAAAATTGGGATTAAAATAAGATTTAAAAGCAGCATATAGGCAAATGCTGATGTTTCCATTTGGAAACTCAATGCTACTGGAATATTCAGGTACACTTCATCTCTTCCCCTTTCTCTTTTGTTGTCTCTTATGCTGAGGGCAAGCATCTGGCCTTATTTATCCTTATTCTCTAGTACTTAGTCCAGCACATTCCATAAAGTTGGCTCTTAATAAACATTTGCTGCCAACCCAGGAGTGGACCTCAGCATTTCTTCACTGTTTTTGTAACTTCAATACTTCACAGAATGCTTGGCAAATAATAGATGCTCAATAAATATTCGTTCAAGGTAGGAATGAATTATTTGTCTACCTAGGGTAGACATTATTCCAGGTTATCTGTTATGTAACAAATTAACCTAAAACATAGTTGTCTAAAACAATAAATATTATCTCACAGAGTTTCTGTGGCTCAGGAATTCAGGAGTAGCTTAACTGGGTGGTCTGACTCAGGGTCTCTCATGAGGTTGTAGTCAGTTGTTGACTGGGGCTGCCATCATCTGAAAGCATATCTGGGGCTGGAGGATCCTCTTCCAAGTTGCTTCACTACATGACTATTGGCAGAGGGCTTCAGTTGCTGGCCTCGTGGACTTCTCCATAGGGCTGCTTAAGTGTTCTCACAAAATGGCTGCTGTCATCCCTAAGGGAAGAAATCCCAGAGAGAAAGCAAGGAGGAACCCCCAATAATACCTTTTATCACCTTGTCTCAAAAGTCATGCACCATCACTTCTGCAAGTTGCTAAAGGCAGCTCACACTCCAGGGGATGAGAATTAGGCCCCATCTTTTTTTTTTCCTCTGTGAATTAGGCTGGAGTGCAGGGGCAACATCTCAACTCATTACAGCCTAGATCTCCCGGGCTCAAGTGATCCCCCCATGTCAGCCTCCATAGTAGTTGGCACTACAGGCACATGCCAACAAGCCCAGATAATTTAAAGAATTTTTTAGAGACAGGGTCTCACTACATTGCCCAGGCTAGTTTCGAATTCCTATGCTCAAGCAATCCTCCCACCTTGGCCTCCCAAAATGCTGAGATTACAGGCATGAGCCACCATGCTTGGCCATGAAGCATTTTTAAAACATTGAGATATTTCTACTAAAACTAATAATTTTTTTTTTCTTGAGACAGGGTCTCTTTCTGTTGCCCAGACGGGAGTGCAGTGGCGCGATCTCGGATCACCACAACCTCTGCCTCCCAGGCTCACGCGATTCTCTTGCCTCAGCCTCCTCAGGAGCTGGGATTACAGGCACGCGCCACTACTGCCCGGCTAATTTTTGTATTTTTAGTAAAGATGGGGTTTCACCATGTTGACCAGGCTGGTCTTGAACTCCGGACCTAAGATGATCCACCTGCCTCGGCCTCCCAAATTGCTGAGATTACAGGCATGAGCCACCGTGCTTGGCTAACTAATAACTATTTTTATGTGTTTTTTTGGGAATAGGTGATACATACAGATGTATGTATCACCTATACCTGTATGTATGAGTTCAAAAGCTAAAAGGTTTTATACAGAGAAATGATAGGATATGAGAGGTTTTATTTAACAGGATCTCTCTGGTCTCTGTGTTGAGAACAGGTCAGAAAGTGATAAAGATGGAAGCAAGTTAGGAAGCTATTGCAATAATTTAAGGAGTGCTTGGAGCAGTAGAAGTGGAGGTAATGAGAAATGATCAAAATCTGGATATATTTTGAAGGTTGAGCCAAAAAGATTTGCTGATGGTCAGGTGTGGGGACATGGATAGTAGGAGAGGAACCAAGTAAAACTCTAAGGGTTTTGACCTGAACACCTAGAAGGATGTACACATGCCATTACCTCAGATAGGGAGAATTCAGAGCAAGTTGTTTTTGTTGTTCTTGGAGGAGAGGGTTGTTAAGGAGAGGATGGGTATCAGGAGCTCAGTTTGGAACATATTAAGTTTGAGATCTCCATTTAGACGTCCAATGGAAATGTCAAGTTTGTGATTAGATACATGAATCTGGAGTTTAGGGGAGAGGTTGGGGCTAGGGATAGAAGTTTGAGTCATCAGCTACACATGAAGTACCAGCAAAAGATGCTGAGGAATGACCAGAGAGATAGGAGGAAAACCAGGAGAGTATGGTGTTCTGGAAGCCAAGTGAAGGAAGCGTTTCAAGAAGGGAATTGGTCTGAGCATGAAGGAGCTGAGCATGAAGGTACCAGATCCCTGAGAGAAAGTATGTACTAATGGAAATAGTAAAAATGAGGGGCCTAGAAAAAAATCTCTCTCTCTCTTTCTACTATTATACTTGGATCAGCCTTGACTACACAAATGTTTTGAGGTTTTGAATTATTATCTGAAACAAAGCAGTGCTGCTTTGGGATTGAGTTTGTCTCAGCATTTCACTCCTAAGAACTGTGGGAACCTGGCCAGTCGTGGTGGCTCATGCCTGTAATCCCAGCACTTTGGGAGCCCGAGGCAGGTGGATCACCTGAGGCAGGACTTCGAGACCAGCCTGACCAACATGGTGAAACAGTATCTCTACTAATAATACAAAAATTAACGAGGTGTGGTGGTGCACACCTGTAATCCCAGCTGCTTGGGAGGCTGAGGCAGGAGTATTGCTTGAGCCTGGGAGGCAGAGGCTGGAGTGAGCCGAGATTGCACCACTGCACTCCAGCCTGGGTGACACAGTGAGTCTCTGTCTCAAAAATAATAATAATAATAACTAGGGGAACCTGACTAGTGCCTCATACATGTCATCATTTTCCCTTTACTCTGCTCCAATATTTATCACCTTGAAGAAGGGAGAATAGTGAGTACTCTAAAACTTAATAATGGGTACTTAGATTATGTCCATAAGACTTGGTAAATCTGAAAGTAAGATTCTAGAGAAACACGGAGCACTATTTATTACTGCTGTTTTTTAGCAGTATTATCCTCAAACATGCTGAGCCTTTCCTTATTTTGTGAACACTTATGAAAAATAGTAAGTTTTCCAAGATGAAGACCAGTTTTTCTTTCTCTTCAGCCTACTTGCTTCTCTAAAGCTAGCCCCTAATAGAGAAACTTGGTCTGTTAAGTGTTATTTGCTGCTTTTCTTTCCTGTCGTCCTATTCTCCAGCTGTCTCAACTCGGAACCTTGCAGGAAGACTATTAAACCTCATCAATGTGTGTTTCCTTTGACATTTAAACAAGCCTCCATTTTGTCTTTCCATATCATAATTTTTTCTCTTCCCTTCTCCCATTTCCAGCACCTTGTTTGACCTGTCTTCTCTTCAGCTCATTCATTATTGCTAAAGTTTGCAGATTATACCAAAGGAAGAAGCCTGATTTATAAACATGTGTTCCCACCCAGCTGTTTCAAGAATAGTAATGAGATTCATCTTCTAGTTGTGTGCCTGCTCTCTGTGTACAGCTGTGCTCATCTGCCCTTATAAATGAGATGCCTATCTCTAAGTCTTACCTTCTCTATAAATGGACTCTGTTCCTATTAAATTGATTATGCAGTAATCAGAGCAGGCCACCTTTTGGGGGAGACATCCATTTGAAATCACTTTGCTAATAGCTAGAGAGAATTTAGCCTAATTACTTCTTTAGGAGAGATGCCATTTCCCTTAAGATGCCAGGGCACTGCAAAGGGATAGGATTCCTATCCTTTTCCCCTCTGGATGACCCCCTGCAATCCTGTATGTGTATGTGTCTTTTATCTAAGGTGAAGGTAACAGGATATTCTAAGAAAATTGTGTGAAAACAATCAGAATCCATTAGAGATAGCTGTGTCAGGCCTTAGAGTCTGAAAGATCTGACCACTAATAGTGAACCCTTGAGTAAATGATTTATCCTTTCTGGTGTATCATTTCCTCCTTTGCAAAGTAGCCTTAACAATCCTTATATGACAGGATTTTTGGCACCCACTTATGGCCTGCCTTCCTCAAAAAGTGATTTAAGACCAGGTGCCGTGGCTCATGCCTGTAATCCCAGCTCTTTAGGAAACCAAGGCAGGAGGATCACTTGAGACCAGGAGTTGAAACCAGCCTGGGTAACATAGTGAGACTCTGTCTCTATTTTTAAACAAACAGAAAAAATTATAAAAAGTAAACAAATGGGCCGGGCCCGGTGGCGCATGCCTGTAATCCCAGCACTTTGGAAGGCCGAGGCAGGCAGATCACCTGAGGTCAGGAGTTTGAGACCAGCCTCAACATGGAGAAACCCCATATCTACTAAAAATATAAAATTAGCTGGGCGTGGTGGTACATGCCTGTAATCCCAGCTACTCGGGAGGCTGAGGCAGGAGAATTGCTTGAACCTGGGAGGCGGAGGTTGCGATGACCCAAGATCACGCCATTGCACTCCAGTCTAGGCAACAAGAGCAAAACTCCATCTCAAAAATAAAAATTAAAATTAAAAATTAAATTAAAAAATAAATAAACAAATGCCAGCTACTCAGGAGGCTGAGGCAGGAGAATCGCTTGAACCCAGGAGGCGGAGGTTGCAGTGAGTAGGGATTGCGCCACTGCACTCCACCCTGGGCAACAGAGCAAGACTTCGTCTCAAAAAAAAAAAAAAACACACACACACAAATAAAAATAAAAGTGATTGGCCTAGTGACTACTGTAATCTCAGCACTTTGGGAGACCAAGTTGGGTGGATCGCTTGGGGCCAGGAGTTCAAAACCAGCCTGGCCAACATGGTATAACCCTGTCTTTACTAAAAACACAAAAATCAGCCATGCATGGTGGCACACGCCTGTAATCCCAGCTACTTGGGAGGCTGAGGCACAAGAATTGCTTGAACCTGGGAGGCGGAGGTTGCAGTGAGCCAAGATTGCACTACTGCACTCTAGCTTGGACAACAGAGCGAGACTCTGTCCAAAATAAAAATAATTAAATAAAAATAAAAGTGATTTAAGGCTGTAAATATTCAATAAGATAATATGAAAACATCTAGCACATAATAGTTTTATTTTTCTTTTTTACTTTATTGTATTTATTTATTTTTTGAGATGAAGCCTTGCTCTGTCGCCGAGGCTGGAGTGCAGTAGCACAATCTCAGCTCACTGCAACACCTCCTTGAACACCTCCTGGGTTCAAGCAGTTCTCTTGCCACAGCCTCCTGAGTAGCTGGGACTACAGGCGCCCACCACCACGCCCAGCTAATTTTTGTATTTTTAGTAGAGATGGGGTTTCACCATCTTGGCCAGGCTGGCTGGTCTTGGACCCCTGACCTCAAGTGATCACTCGCCTTGGCATCCCAAAGTGCTGGGATTACAGGCATGAGCCACCGCACCCGGCTTAATCCTATATTTTTAAAAATCTAAGATTTGGGCCAGGCGCGGTGGCTCATGCCTGTAATCCCAGCACTTTGGGGAGGCCGAGGCGGGCGGATCATGAGATCAGGAGATCAAGACCATCCTGGCTAACATGGTAAACCCTGTCTCTACTAAAAAATACAACAAAAATTAGCCGGGTGTGGTGATGTGCGCCTCTAGTCCCAGCTACTCGGGGGGCTGAGGCAGGAGAATGGCGTGAACCCGGGAGACGGAGCTTATAGTGAGCCGAGATTCGTGCCACTGCACTTCAGCCTGGGCGACAGAGCGAGACTCTGTCTCAAAAAAACAAAACAAACAAAAAAACCCTGAGATTTGTAGAAGCCAAGTGACTTGTTCAAGGTTACACTATAACAAAGCCAGGATTTGCACTGAGGTTTTCTAACTCCATGTCCAGTGATTTTTAGACAACATTGTATGTCGAAGAATAAATGAATATAAGTGAGTTACTAGAGATATGTCCTAGAAGTGCCAAATCAAAAAGTATTTTATTAGTGGGTGGCCGTAGACAAACAAAAGCTAATTCCAGATCCCCCAGATTTATTGTCTTGATATATTCCATAGAAAATATGCCTTGGAGCTGGGTGTGGTGGCTAACACCTGTAATCCCAACACTTTGGGAGTCTGAGGTGGGCAGATCACCTGAGGTCGGGAGTTCGAGACCGGCCTGACCAACATGGTGAAACCCTGTCTCTGCTTAAAAAAAATACAAAATTAGCCCGGGCATGGTGGCACCTGCCGTAATCCCAGCTACTCAGGAGGCTGAGGCAGGAGAATCACTTGAACCCAGGAGGTGGAGGTTGCAATGAGCTGAGATCAGGCCATTGCACTTCAGCCTGGGCAACAAGAGTGAAACTCTGTCTCAAAAAAAAAAGAAAAAGAAAAAGAAACACAGATGCAAGTCACTAAGTGGGGCTGAATCTGTGGACTGGCTGACCTCCAGATCTGGGAACAAAGAGTAGTCGTGAGAGGTGATTTCAGAGGAGTAAATAGATACTAAAAAAGCTCATAGACTAAGAATGTGAGGCCAGGAGAGTGAGATGCTAACCCCCAACCAGCCTTATGAAAGGAGGCTTAAAATAAGTTAATTGTTGAGTGGAGGAGGGAAGCTTTAAGGAGTTGGGAAGGACTGTGTCAAGCTGCCTCCTGATTCATTATTAGAATAGAAGTGTGATATCCTAAATTTCACTGTGGCATAGGCCATTTGAAGACCTGTTGTACTGAGTCCCTAGGGGGCCAGAAGAAAGAAATTGCAAAGTGATGAGACAGAGAAAGGGGAAAAAGTAATAACAAAGACATTCCACTCAATATGAGGCTGCAAACCAAAATGTTAATAATAGAAATCTAATGTTAAGAAAGATAACCAATAAAAACCAGGACTTCCACTTCAGAGAAGATGGAGTAGACAGATTTTTCCCTATTCCTCCCCTAAATACAACTAAAAACTCTGGAAATTATTTATAAAACAAATACAACAAGACTGTGAAACGTGGAAGAAAGAAGGCAGACCAGCCATGGGTCACAAGACCTTAGAAACAACATGGTGATGAGTTCCCTGGGTTTTCTTTTTGTCTCTAATATCCCAGACATGGCGCTAAAACTGAATATTATATTTAATGGTAAAAGACTGAATGGAGCCAAGTGTGGTGGCTCACACCTATAATCCCAGCACTTTGGAAAGCCAAGGCAGATGGATTGCTTGATCTCAGGAGTTCAAGACCAGCCTGGGCAAAATGGTCTTGACAAGAGGATAGCTTGAGCCCGAGTTTGAGCCCAATCTGGGCAACATAACAAGACATTGTCTCTAAAAGAATTAAAATGCCAGCCAGGTGCGGTGGCTCATGCCTGTAATCCCAGCACTTTGGGAGGTTGAGGCAGGCGGATCACATGAGGTCGGGAGATTGAGACCAGCCTGACCAACATGGAGAAACTCTGTCTCTACTAAAAATACAAAATTAGCTGGGGGTGGTGGTGCATGCCTATAATCCTAGCTACTTGGGAGGCTGAGGCGGAGAATTGCTTGAACCCAGGAGGCGGAGGTTGCAGTGAGCGGAGATCACACCATTGCACTCCAGCCTGGGCAACAAGAGCGAAACTCCGTCTCAAAAAAAAAAAAAAAAAAAAAAAAAGGAATTAAAATGCCAAAAAAAAACCCTATATAAAACATAATTTTTCTTTTATCAGATTGGCAAAGAACAAAATGAGAACATCATGTTGCCAAAGGAAAAGGGCAAGAGGTATTCATGGGCTACTATAAATGGGTATATGAATGAGTATGTCCTCTTTGAGGCAATTTGGAGGTGGTTTGGCCGTATTTGTGAGAACTCCAAATACAAGTGCACTGTGATTAACAGTTTTACTTACAGGAATTCATCTTACAGACATATTTGTGTAGGTAAAATGAAGCATTTGTACAAGATTATTCATTGCAGTTTATTTGTAATAGCAGAAGATTGAAACAACCTAAATGTCCGTTCAAATGCTGCCATTGAAAAGAATGAAGTAGTTCTCTGTCTACACATATGGAATGATCCAAAATATTTGGGTACATGAAAAAAGCAGTGTGCAGAACATTGTGTGTATATTGCTATCATTTAAGGAAGAATATATGAACATATTTGCATATATACATATAAAATATCTGTGGAAGACTTTTGGATGTTTCCAAGTAGGGGAACTGGAAGACTGAAGAACAGTTATGGAAGGGACACTTCATTTTATATTAGGGTTTGTTGGAGATTTTTTTTGGTTGAGGTGTGGGGACTACCTTTTGAATTTTGGAGTAAGGCTACATTACCTAGTCAAAAGCTTTATTTTTTTATTTTTTATTTTTTTTTGAGACGGAGTCTCACTCTGTCACCCATGCTGGAGTGCAGTGGCGCAATCTTGGCTCACTGCAAACTCCACCTCCTGGGTTCAAGTGATTCTCCTGCCTCACTCTCCTGAGTAGCTGGGATTACAGGCATGCACCACTATGCCCAGCTAATTTTTGTAATTTTAGTAGAGACAGGTTTTCCCCATGTTGGCCAGGCTGATCTTGAGCTCCTGGCTGCAAGTGATCTGCCTGCCTTAGCCTCCCAAAGTACTGGGATTACAGGCGTGAGCCACCACTCCCGGCCAAAAAAAAATTTTTTTAATTATCCAGGTGTGGTGACATGCTCTTGTGATCCCAGCTACTTGGGAGACTGAGGTGGGACGATCGCTTGAGGCTGTACTCCAGCCTGGGCAACAGAGCAAAACCCCATCTCCAAAAATAAAAATAAAATGTGTCTTGACAAAACCATGAAGTCTTTACAACTGTTACCCATCCTAAGGGACCTCAGTAGCATTGTAGGCAATTCCTATGGAACTATTCTGGCCCAATCCTATTTGTCCCATTGGTACCCAGAGTACCTCCTAAACCCTCTTATAGAAGTCAGAGTGCTGATCAAAAGAATACTATTCTCAGTGGCAAATGGGGTGTGTCTTGTCTATATCTATGTGCTCTTATTTTCCAGGGATGTTGGTGGTAAATGTAACGTGGAGGAACAAGACATATGTAGGTACACTCCTTGACTGCACACGACATGATTGGGCACCCCCAAGGTAAGCACTTACAGCTATTTAGTTTATATTATTCTGAACCACACTAATTGGTGATCCCTTATACTTTTATCCTGCTAGAGTTGTACATCCAGCTTTTAAAGGACATGATGGTATAGATACCAGGGAAAGCACTGTATTTATCTGACATTCAAGAAGACTGAATGGCCAGGCGCGGTGGCTCACGCCTGTAATCCCAGCACTTTGGGAGGCTGAGGCAGGCGGATCACCTGAGGTCAGGAGTTCCAGACTAGCCTGACCAACATGGAGAAACCCCGTCTCTACTAAAAATAAAAAATTAGCCAGGCATGGTGGTGCATGCCTGTAATCCCAGCTGCTTGAGAGGGTGAGGCAGGAGAATCGCTTGAACCCAGGAGGCAGAGGTTGTGGTGAGCCAAGATCACACCATTGCACTCCAGCCTGGGCAACAAAAAGCGAAACTCCATCTCAAAAAAAAAAAAAAAAAGAAGATGAATTGTGTATTAAAGTGTTCGGGGGGCCGGGTACGGTGGCTCACGCCTGTAATCCTAGCACTTTGGGAGGCCAAGGCGGGTGGATCATGAGGTCAGGAGATCGAGACCATCCTGGCTAACACAGTGAAACCCCATCTCTACTAAAAATACAAAAAAATTAGCCGGGCGTGGTGGCGAGCGTTTGTAGTCCCAGCTACTCGGGAGGCTGAGGCAGGAGAATGGCATGAACCCGGGAGGCGGAGCTTGCAGGGAGCCGAGATCGCGCCACTGCACTCCAGCCTGGGGGACAGAGCAAGACTCCGTCTCAAAAAAAAAAAAAAAAAAAAAAATTAATTAAAAAAAAATAAAGTGTTCAGCGGGTGCTCACTTCAGTGGTACATATACTAAAATTGGACCAATACAGAGAAGATTAGCATGGCCCCTGCACAAGGGTGACATGCAGATTCGTTAAGTGTTTTATATTTTTAAAATTAGGAAAAAAAAGTGAAGTGTTGAGGGGATGCACTTTGACTGGAATTATTAAAGTCACCTTGAGACCAAAGCTATAACATCTAACCATGGGTGAGCAAACATTCATTGATGATAGCTATTTCTCAGAAATTTGAACTCAAGAACATTTTTAGTTTTATAAACTCTACTAGAACATACGGGTTTCACAAGGACCTTTTCATGTCGCAATTTGACCTTTAGATGGATATTTCAATCAATGGCCCCTTATAGCTTTTTCCTAATATTAGTACTCAGTTCGTCAGGGTTTGGGAAATCCAGGCGTTGAGGGTAACTTGCAACTAACATACAGGTAACATCCTAGGAGCTTACCAATTAATGCAATTCCCATGCAGTCACAAGTTTCTTTGTTGGATCATATTCATTGAAAATGGTAGTTATTATCTGAACAGTTCTTTTAGGAAAAGTATCTTAAACCTTCATCTGCCCATTGTTCCCATGAAACAAAGATGGGCAGAAATGTCCCAAGGAAAGGTATTTTAAAGTTCTTGATTCCATACCACTTTCTTATTCTCAGATGTGATTATTCTCTACCGAGGGCTATTTATGCCTCTTAATTTTCAGAGATGCTGGGCCAGGTTTCTAGAGGCTTAGACTTTTTTTTTTTTTTTTTTTTTTTTGAGATGGAGTCTCGCTCTGTCGCCCAGGCTGGAGTGCAGTGGCGCAGTCTTGGCTCACTGCAAGCTCCACCTCCCGGGTTCACGCCATTCTCCTGCCTCAGCCTCCCGAGTAGCTGGGACTACAGGCGCCCGCCACCACGCCCGGCTAATTTTTTGTATTTTTAGTAGAGACGGGGTTTCACCGTTTTAGCCAGGATGGTCTCGATCTCCTGACCTCGTGATCCTCCCGCCTCGGCCTCCCAAAGAGCTGGGATTACAGGCATGAGCCACCGCACCCAGCCCAAGGCTTAGACTTTTATAAGACTATATTCAGGCTGGGTGCGGTGGCTAACGCCTGTAATCCCAGCACTTTGGGAGGCTGAGGCGGGTGGATCACCTGAGGTCAGGAGTTCGAGACCAGCCTGGTCAACATGGTGAAACCCTGTCTCTACTAAAAATACAAAAATTAGCTGGGCATGGTGGCTCATGCCTGTAACCCCAGCTACTCGGGAGCCTGAGGCAGGAGAACCGCTTGAACCAGGGAGTTGGAGGTTGCAGTGAGCTGAGATCGCTCCACTGCACTCCAGCCTGGGCGACAGAGCAACACTCCATCTCAAAAAAAAAAAAAGACTATATTCAGACCATAATAGTTGCCCTGATAAGAATCAGAAGCAGGCCAGGTGCAGTGGCTCACGCCTGTAATCTCAGCACTTTGGGAGGCCGAGGCGGGTGGATCACAAGGTCGGGAGATCGAGACCATCCTGGCCAACACGGTGAAACCCCGTCTCTACTAAAAATACAAAAATTAGCTGGGCGTGGTGGCTCATGCCTGTAACCCCAGCTACTCGGGAGCCTGAGGCAGGAGAACCACTTGAACTAGGGAGTTGGAGGTTACAGTGAGCCGAGATCGTGCCACTGCGCTCCAGCCTGGCGACAGAGCAAGACTCCATCTCAAAAAAAAAAAAAAAAAGAATCAGAAGCATATGAGCTAAAACAAGTTAGTAAAGTTCTTTATGCCCTCCCTTTGCATTTCTGAGAAACCTATTGGAAGGACTTATTTCTGCTTTGGGCATGCAAGAATCCAGAGAGATAGGAGCTGAGTGAGTAGGTTGATAACAAGGAAGCAGTAAGTAGCTTTACAGTAGAACTGTTCTGGGAACCCAAAGGAGATATTTGACAAAATTTGCCTCTTTTCTGCAATAGCTATGGTTCCCACTGTCTTAGAAACAACCTACTCCAGCTGCCCCCTGGAACAAGAGAGTCAAAACCATCTTTAGATTTACAAGGGAACCAATCTTAGCTAAAGGTTTAATTCTAGGCAGTGTTTTAAGCTCCATGAAAAGCTACTTTAGGGCCTATGAGGAGTGACCCCTAGGTGCAGATCTCCAGACATTCAAAGAACTCATGTACTCTTGGTTATATCTGATGTTTAGGGAACTCTTAAATGGATAGGTGCTTTGTTCTACCTTTCTATATCTTCATAGTGAGGTATGTAAGAAAAAGGCATTGGGCTAAAAGTAGAGCTAGAGTCTTGTTGTATGTTGCCATTAATCAGTGATGTTACCTTGGACAAGTCATTTAGCATGCCTGGCCTCAATTTCCTGTATGATCTCTAACATCTTTTCTGAAACCATGACTATGGCTGTATATAGGAAATGTTGACTTGACTATCTTACGGAACAGATTCTGCATGGTTTTAGAGGTAAATGTTTGGGAATAATTTGCAGCTAACGTGTATCCCAGGAGTTCACCATTTAGTGCAATTCACAATCAGAATTTCTTTTAACAAATCATATTCATTGAAAATGATAGTCACCATCTGGACAGTTCTGGAGGCTACAGCTAAACTGCTTTGAAGATGTTTTCTCTTCTTAATAATATTCTGTTGTGTTTATCCTTTGCCAAGGTTCTGTGACTCCCCGACCAGTGACCTGGAAATGCGCAATGGCCGGGGTAGAGGCAAACGCATGCGTCCCAACAGTAATACACCTGTCAATGAGACAGCCACAGCCTCTGACAGCAAAGGGACCAGTAACAGCAGCAAAACCCGGGCAGGAGCCAATAGCAAAGGCCGTCGGGGCAGCCAGAATTCTTCAGAGCACCGCCCACCTGCCAGCAGCACTTCTGAGGATGTCAAGGCCAGCCCTTCCTCAGCTAATAAGCGGAAAAACAAACCCCTTTCAGACATGGAGCTGAATTCTAGCTCAGAGGACTCCAAAGGGAGCAAGCGTGTCCGTACTAATTCCATGGGCTCAGCCACTGGCCCCCTTCCTGGGACAAAGGTAGAACCCACTGTTCTGGACAGAAACTGCCCCTCCCCCGTCCTAATTGACTGTCCCCACCCAAACTGCAACAAGAAGTACAAGCACATCAATGGACTTAAGTACCACCAAGCTCATGCCCATACAGATGATGACAGCAAGCCGGAAGCGGATGGGGACAGTGAGTACGGAGAGGAACCTATTCTCCATGCAGATCTTGGGAGCTGCAACGGTGCATCTGTCTCACAAAAAGGTTCCTTGTCCCCTGCCCGCTCAGCTACCCCCAAAGTTCGACTTGTAGAGCCCCATAGCCCTTCTCCTTCAAGCAAATTCAGCACAAAAGGCCTCTGTAAGAAAAAGTTGAGTGGGGAAGGGGACACAGACCTTGGGGCCTTATCCAATGATGGCTCTGATGATGGACCCTCAGTGATGGATGAAACAAGCAATGATGCCTTTGATTCTTTAGAAAGGAAGTGTATGGAAAAAGAAAAATGTAAAAAACCCTCTAGTTTAAAACCTGAAAAGATTCCTTCCAAGAGCCTAAAGTCAGCCCGTCCCATTGCCCCTGCCATCCCCCCACAGCAAATCTACACCTTCCAGACAGCCACCTTCACAGCAGCGAGCCCAGGCTCTTCCTCAGGCTTGACCGCCACAGTGGCACAAGCCATGCCCAACAGTCCCCAACTCAAGCCCATTCAGCCCAAGCCCACTGTTATGGGAGAACCTTTCACAGTCAACCCTGCCTTGACTCCAGCCAAGGACAAGAAAAAGAAAGACAAAAAAAAGAAGGAATCTTCAAAGGAACTTGAAAGTCCTCTGACCCCTGGGAAGGTGTGTCGAGCAGAGGAAGGCAAAAGCCCATTCAGGGAATCTTCAGGAGATGGGATGAAAATGGAGGGGCTCCTAAATGGCTCATCAGACCCCCACCAAAGCCGACTGGCTAGCATCAAGGCTGAAGCCGACAAGATCTACAGTTTCACGGACAATGCCCCCAGCCCTTCCATTGGAGGCAGTAGCCGCCTTGAAAACACTACCCCTACTCAGCCCCTGACTCCCTTACATGTGGTGACCCAGAATGGAGCTGAAGCCAGCTCAGTCAAAACCAACAGCCCTGCATACTCTGACATCTCTGATGCTGGGGAGGATGGGGAGGGCAAGGTAGACAGTGTCAAATCAAAGGACGCCGAACAGTTGGTTAAAGAAGGGGCTAAGAAAACTCTTTTTCCCCCTCAGCCTCAGAGCAAAGACTCACCATATTACCAAGGCTTTGAGAGTTACTATTCTCCAAGTTATGCACAGTCCAGCCCTGGGGCTCTGAACCCCAGCAGCCAGGCAGGAGTGGAGAGCCAGGCCCTGAAGACAAAAAGGGATGAGGAACCTGAGAGCATAGAAGGGAAAGTGAAGAACGATATCTGTGAAGAAAAGAAGCCCGAGCTGAGCAGTTCCAGTCAGCAGCCCTCGGTCATCCAGCAGCGTCCCAATATGTACATGCAGTCCCTGTACTACAACCAGTATGCCTATGTACCCCCCTATGGCTACAGCGACCAGAGTTACCACACCCACCTTCTGAGCACTAACACGGCTTACCGGCAGCAGTACGAAGAACAGCAGAAACGCCAGAGCTTAGAGCAGCAGCAGCGGGGAGTGGACAAGAAGGCAGAGATGGGCCTGAAGGAGCGGGAGGCAGCACTCAAGGAAGAGTGGAAGCAAAAGCCGTCAATTCCACCAACTCTCACCAAGGCCCCCAGCCTGACAGACCTGGTGAAATCAGGACCTGGCAAGGCCAAGGAGCCAGGGGCTGACCCAGCCAAATCAGTCATCATTCCCAAGTTAGATGACTCTTCAAAACTCCCGGGCCAGGCCCCTGAAGGCCTTAAAGTGAAGCTGAGTGATGCCAGCCACCTAAGCAAGGAGGCCTCTGAGGCCAAGACAGGTGCTGAGTGTGGTCGACAGGCAGAGATGGATCCAATACTCTGGTACCGACAGGTAACTGTTGCCCTGGGAGGAAGTGGAAATACCGTATGGTAATCGTCTATCTTCCTCACAAATAAGGGCTGTCCTTATACAGGGGTTCAACGGAATTGAGATTAGCAGGAGAGATGTATAATTTTAAGGATTCTTTACCTTTGTAAACTATTTTAATGTTTTTTATTTTATTTTAGTATTATTATTTTTTTTGAGATGGAGTCTCACTCTGTTGCCCAGGCTAGAGTGCAGTGGTGCAATCTTGGCTCACTACAACCTCCGCCTCCCAGGTTCAAGCAATTCTCCTGCCTCAGCCTCCCGAGTAGCTGAGATTACAGGCACACGCCACCATGCCCAGCTAATTTTTTTTGTATTTTTAGTAGAGATGGGGCTTCACCATCTTGGTCAGGCTGGTCTGGAACTCCTGACCTCAAGTAATCCACCTGCCTCAGCCTCCCAGAGTGCTGGGATTACAGGCATGAGCCACTGCACCCAGCCAATTTTTATTTTATTTTATTTATTTATTTATTTATTTTGAGATGGAGTCTGGCACTGTCACCCAGGCTGGAATGCACTGGCGCAATCTCAGCTCACTGCAACCTCTGCCTCCCAGGTTCACACGATTCTCCTGCCTCAGCCTCCCGAGTAGCTGGGATTACAGGTGCACGCCACCACACCTGGCTAATTTTTTGTATTTTTAGTAGAGACGGGGTTTCACCATGTTAGCCAGGATGGTCTTGATCTCCTGACCTTGTGATCCACCCACCTCGGCCTCCCAAAGTACCTGGATTAAGGCGTGAGCCACTGCGCCCAGTCGTAATTTTTTTTATTTTTATGTTTTTATAGAGACCAGAGTCCCTCTGTGTTGCCCAGGCTGGAATGCAATGATGCAGTCATAGCTCACTGCAATTTCCAACTCCTAGGCTCAAGCAGTCCTCCTGCCTCAGCCTCCCAATTAACCAGGACTACAGATGCATGCCACCACACCCAGATGATGTTTTAATTTTTTGTAGAGAGGGGTCTCACTATGTTGCCCAGGCTGGTCTTGAACTCCTGGCCTCAAGCAATCCTCGCGCCTCAGCCTCCCAAAGCACAGGGATTCATATTAATGTTTTTTAAAAAGCACTTTTATATCCATAGCAGGTGTTTTTTCCATTTGACAGGAAAGGCCCAGACAAGTTAGCTTAATTTGTCTGGGGTTACTTGAGACCTCACTAGCAGAGCCAGGATTAGAACCCAGGTATCTCGATTCCTTGTCCGTGTTTCCTCCACTGTTTGGTTCCTATGAAATGAGTTATTGATGGTCTCTCTATTTTTTAGAGTAGGTCCAAAGTATACTCAGTTACTGAGTTTCTTTAACAAGGATTTTATAGGTTGAGTTAGAACTAGGAACTTGGAATCTCATATCTTGCTCTGCTCATGAGACTTAGAATGTCTTCCCTTCCCTCTTGGTATAATAGTTATGCTTCCCTCCCTCCTCTGATCTGAGTGTCACTTATAAGCTTTCCAGTCCCTGAGCGTGCTCTGAAAAAGTGAAACAATCTAAACATATTGGAAGGGGCAGCCTCTCCTATTTCAGTCGTTTTCCCAGAATGCTTGTTCTTACCTAGAAAACATCCACTGATGCATGGATGGATTTTCCTTTTCTCCCCCTGCCCCATCTTGTTCCCTGTGGGTGGGTGCAGAGGTGGGGGCGGGGGCTTTTTAACCAAAAGGGAGCAGAGTTGGATTATAAACAAGATCAGTAGAGGCCAAAATCCTACTCTGCCCCAGGTGTCTAGTACTAATTATCTGCTCTGGTGGTTCTACTGGGACCTTGGGCTTGAAGTATATCTGTCTTATCTGTACAACACCCAGTCGTTGTTCTGTGATTGTTGTAGGAGGCAGAGCCCCGGATGTGGACATATGTTTATCCTGCCAAGTACTCAGACATCAAGTCAGAGGATGAGCGGTGGAAGGAGGAGCGGGACCGCAAATTGAAGGAGGAAAGGAGTCGGAGTAAGGACTCTGTCCCCAAGGAAGATGGGAAGGAAAGCACAAGTAGTGACTGCAAGCTGCCCACGTCAGAGGAGTCTCGCCTTGGGAGCAAGGAGCCCCGGCCAAGTGTCCATGTGCCTGTGTCCTCCCCACTTACCCAGCACCAGTCCTACATCCCCTACATGCACGGCTATTCCTACAGTCAGTCCTACGACCCCAACCACCCCAGCTACCGGAGCATGCCTGCTGTGATGATGCAGAACTACCCAGGTACAGCACCAAGTGCCAGCACTATTCCATTCACTGGAAGGGGGAATGAAGCACAGATTTCACATCCAGAGTTTTCTTGCTCAGCCCCAAGGCATATTGAGGCTCGCTTAGATGACGGACCTTTTTTCACTGAGTCATTCTGTGAGGTGGCCACCATAACCCATAGTTCCTTGAATGACCCATAATGATAGTCTGTGTGACTACCTCTCTCTCCCTTGCTCCAGCTCAAGGATTGTCTCTGTAGTCAGTTTTCATTGCTAACTAAAGGTAAAACTCCTTCTCTGTCACTGCTGTCTCCCCTCAGCTGGAATTTGTAAACCATATACTCCACGTTTTGCAGTGTGCTAGGCACTGTGGGAGGTACAAAAGAAGTAGAGCCATTGAGTTCCTTCCACTCCCGGAGCTTACAGCTTAATCATAGTGGAGAGACACAAAGAACAAATAAAATGCAAACCATAACAATGCATGGATTCAGTTGCCAGATCATGTTCACCTGTCAAGTAAGAAGAGCCATCTGAAGTCAGACTGGGGGGAGGTCCTGCTAGATTCAGCTTGGAAAAGACAAGCTCTTTATAGTGTTTAAATGTTTTTTGTTTGTTTGTTTTTTGAGACGGAATTTCACTCTTGTTGCACAGGCTAGAGTGCAGTGGCGTGATCTCGGCTCACCACAGCCTCCACCTCCTGGGTTCAAACGATTCTCCTGCCTCAGCTTCCCAAGTAGCTAGGATTACAGGCATGTGCCACCACTCCTGGCTAATTTTGTATTTTTAGTAGAGACGGTGTTCTTCCGTGTTGGTCAGGCTGGTCTTGAACTCCCGACCTCAGGTGATCCGGCTGCCTTGGCCTCCCAAAGTGCTGAGATACAGGCATGAGCCACCGCTCCGGCCTTAAATGTTTTTTAACTTGTTAGAAGAAAATGCTCTTATTTAACTCTACTCGTTTTGTTGCCCAAAGAACCATGTGGGGTGCTTCTGGGGTGGAAGGGCACTGCTTTAGCCTCACTCCTTAGAGCCTCCAGCTTCCTACAGCAGCCTAAATAGTCTCAACATTCTGGTGACATTATTATAAAGCACACTCTAAATAGAAATAAGCTTTTCAAACAGAAATAGGAAATTTCTTACCCTTGAGGTGTTCCTTTATCCCTGTCACTCACACCCATCAATATAAAAATCATAGTTGCATTTGTTGAGTGCTCGCCCTGAGCCAGGCGCTGTCCTCTGAGATTTATAGACATTATCTTTTTTAATCCTCCCTATCACCTTAAGTAATAAGTATTGATATCTTCATTTTTGATGATGAAGAAACTGAAGCTCAAAACAGTTATTTATTTGCTCAAGGTTACCAAGCTAGTAAGTCTCAGAGTAAGGTTTTGAGCCCAAGGCTCTGACTCCAGATAAGTGTGATCTTTCCACTTTATCATATCACTTCTCCAAGATGAATCTGAGACCAGTTCAAAGAACAGTATCAGATCTATGGAAGTTGGAAGCAGGAAACAGGGCCATGTTCCTAATATCCCTTAGCTAATTTTTCCTGTAGAGCTCAGTAAAGAAAGGTCAAGCCAACAGTCTCAGCCAAAGACACTATGTTAGAAAATACCTCAGCCTGTGCCTAGGAAAGCTGATGCCCACCCAATCAAGCTCACTAAAGCAGAGTTTCCTCTACCTCTCCCATCTCTTTGACTGTTTGATTTCTCCTTCCACAGGTTCCTACCTGCCTTCCAGCTACTCTTTTTCCCCATATGGCAGCAAGGTCTCAGGTGGTGAAGATGCTGACAAGGCACGAGCCAGCCCCAGTGTGACTTGTAAATCCAGCTCAGAGTCCAAAGCCCTGGACATCTTGCAGCAGCATGCCAGTCACTACAAGAGCAAGTCTCCCACGGTAAGAAAAGTACAGTGATGCTGGCTGTTACCCAAAGACTAGTAAGGCCAGATCCAGGGTCTGGGAGAAGGTGGGCAAGTTCAGGTCCTGACCACAGTGCAGCTTGGCTGACTTGACACTGGCAGCCCCCAGGGCATCTTCTTTATTCTTAGGTATCTTGCACTTTTAGGGGTCATAAGGTGGCACCCTGGGCATCTCACTTGTGTGTGTGTGTGTGTGTGTGTGTGTGGTTGTATGCATATGTGTCTCACTATAGTGCTTTTGTGTCTCTGGTTTCCTTTCCAGATAAGTGATAAAACTTCTCAGGAGAGAGATCGAGGAGGCTGTGGGGTGGTTGGGGGTGGTGGCAGCTGTAGCAGCGTCGGGGGAGCAAGTGGGGGTGAACGGAGTGTTGACCGGCCCCGCACCTCTCCTTCCCAGCGCCTGATGTCCACACACCACCACCACCACCACTTGGGGTACTCATTGCTCCCAGCACAGTACAACTTACCCTATGCAGCAGGTAAGCCTGTTTTCCCTACCACCTGTTGTTTTGTCTTGTTTTGTTTTGTTTATCTTCATCCCAGTAGTAATGTCCACAGCTAGGACCCTCCTACCTGCCTCATAAGAATCCTTTTTTAATTTTTTTTTTTTGAGCTTCTAATCTGTGCACAGTCCTAACCTCCTGCAGTCATTAAAGCATATGATATTTATTCCTCCCTTGGAGTTTGGGGACTCTTAAATTCCTCCAGAATACTGGCCTTGATAGTCAGAAGAATATGGAACAGGTGTTCCCCAAAGGCAAAGAGAAACAATCAGCTGAGAAATAGAGCCTTATTATCTATCTCCAGCAAATATATCTGGCTGAGTATCAGATTTTTTTTTCTGTCAGCACCCCAAAACTCAGGGAAAAAGATTAATGGAAGGTTTCTGTGAGTGCTACACTAACATGTTCTCCTGCTTATTCAGGGCTTTCTTCTACAGCCATTGTTGCCAGCCAACAAGGCTCAACTCCCTCACTCTACCCACCCCCCAGGAGGTGAGAATGGTAAGTCACTTTTATTAATTTGGGGCAACACATAAAGCCGGGATAGTTGCTACCTGGATCACAGAATCCCTAGGTGAGAAATAGCTATGAGGGGTCAGCAGTCTGGAATCCATGGAACCCTGGCCAAGCCTCTTGTACAAGAGTCTCCCGTGAAGCCATGTGCATCTGAGAGGACCTGTGGAACACAGTGTCCCCTAGGGACCAGTACTGGCCACTCCTACAATTCATTTTCTTGGAGTGCCACCTTGTGGTTTTTTTACCAACAGGCTGAGTGCCTGGTTATCTGTCCATGTTTCCCTTGCAGACACCAAGTGCCCGGATAAAGTCAGCTTCACGGGCCCGGACTGGCTTACCCAAGGAGGTGCTGAAGGTGCCGTTTAGACATCAGTTAAATGGTGTTGATCATCCTGTTTGCCGTTTCCACCATGACTGAAGGCAGACCCTTGGCTATCTCACCTCCACCAGACCTCCGGACTACCTGACCCTACCTCTTCCTCAGGAGCTGGAGAGCTGGTACTTAGCAAAAATATTTATTCTCTCAGCCACAGTTATGACTATTGTGGCCTCTGTGGAGATGAAGGCACGGGAAGCAACCAGGGGAACATGGCCTCAGCCCAGAGAAGCCACTGCTCTGTTCCCCAAGCCCTTGGTCTGCTGCTGGAGCAGTACCAGCCCCCCCGCCCACCAGGGAGGGACCCCCACCCCCAAGCACTGGGTAAGGTCTGAAGACAGCACAGCAGCCATACCCCTCACCATCATTACCACCATCACCAGATTCTGCATCTCCCTAGTGCTTTGCACCCTGGGAATTGGCAGCATGTGGAGGAACTAGAATCTCAGGAAAGAAATTGGGGGTTGTTTTCTACATAATTGTGAAAACAAGGTCTTCAAATGTGGAGACTTCTCCCCATTTACATGAGCACATATAAACGCTCACAACCTAGCCTGGAAAGGAAGACCAAGGCATCTGCCCCAACATGGCCTTGAGCTGCCTGTGAGGCAGGGGGCAGGGGTTCCAACACCAGCACAGGGCTCCCCAGGGACACTGGGAGCAAGCTGGTGCTGGAGCATGAATGACGTCTGTGAAGTAGAACCTGCGTCCCCACTAAGTCCTGCTGCTTCTTATTCCCCAACTCCTTGCCCTTTTCCCTTCCCTCCTAACCCCTTGGTGCCTTTCCCAGGGGGATCCCCACACTGGTCTTGCCTCTTCTTTTCCACTGCTTGGCTCTTAAGCCTCAGGCAGATAAACTAGTATTCCCCCCAGCTTGGGGAACCTTGGAGTCTGCCAGGTCACCTTAGGGCAAGGCCCAGAAGGCAGCCCCTGGGAGCACCCAGCAGTTCTTGGAGATGTCCTGTCATCTAGCCATCTGATATCTTCCTCATTTGAGGCCACAGATATATACAGCCCAATTCCTCTGTCTACAAGTACATGATTTTATATAGCTCAGTCTATAACCTCCATGTGGGCCAATATAAGCTGTGTTTCTTGGTAACACATATTTTGTTTGAGGGGCCACTGGCCATGGGAGGTTATTTGTTCCTTAGACCCTGGAATAACACATCCAAGCCATTACTTATTAGAGTCTCAGAATGTACTCAGTGGAGCTGTGCTTTGAGGCAGCCAACATTTCTCTGCTCTCCTTAGAAATGCAGTCTCCCAATGGAAGCTTTATACTCTTTGTACTGGGAAAGTGAGGATGATTTGGTAGCTTTATTGGGGTCATGTCTTCCCCAAGGTGTGGGGAGCTTAGCTTACTTGGCTTTTGAGGTATCATCCCTCTGTTCTCCCCTCCTATCTTTCCATGACCCTCTGGATTGAGAGAGAGAGATAAAGACTGACAGACACCAGTGTAGGCTGGAAAAGGGAGTGTGTGACCAGAGTGCCAAAAGTGACTAGGAGCAGGAACTTGGCTCCGACTCAGTTTGGAAAATGGGAAATAGGGGACAGTAAGCACAATGCCCAGTAGTAGTTGATTTCCAAGGACCCTGGAACCCTACACTTGAGAGGCTTAGGGTCACCATCTGCTCAAGAGGATCCCCTCTGATCTACAGGCCTTTTCCCTAGGTTTCTGCCTCCTCGTTTTTGTTCAAGTTGGGTTCTGAGTCCTCCCCAAAAACCATTGTTTTAGACCTCTTGGCAGGGCCCCAAAACAGCCTCCCTCATACCCATCATTCCCTCTGCCTTCTGCTGCCCTCATGGGCAGTGCTCTGAGCAGTGACCTCCCTTTCCTCCGTGGAAGTAGCTAGTGCAGACACCGTCATCCCACCCCACCTGAGTCACCCCAACCAAGAGGGTGACTGAATTTCAGCCTGATTATGCCCTCCTGGGGCTCCTGTGAGGTGGAGCCAAGGTTCCCTCTCTGTTCCTGTTTGTTTTTAAATATTGTTGTGTGTTTTGTATCTGTGGCACTGGCCTGCAGCATACTCTGTATATATTGTAAAGAAACCGTTAGGAGTAATTTTCTTTTGCATTGGGCAGGCATGGCCCTGCATTCCTGCCCTTTCCACTCATTCTGTAACACAGAGGACGAACTTCTGTATTAGCTGGGCAGCCTTGGGTTCTCCAGAAGAGAACAGGTTTTTCTTTTCCTTTTTAATTTTTCTTCTTAAACATTTGGCTCTTTGATCCTCATATCCAAGTCTCCCCTGAAGAGTAGGAGCTGCTCAGAAGAGCAGGTGAAAGCCACCATGGCAGATCCTGATGCCTGCCGGGCCTAGTCTTCCCTCTGAAATAACATGAAGCAGCAGCTGTGGAGATTCTTGACAAGTGCTGAGTGAAAGATTTGCTGCCCACCTCTACATGGGGAGGAGAAACACAGGTGGGAGCTACCTGTGGCATCCATGACCTAGTCAGAGGGATGAGATGCTCAGCAGGGGTCCCCATCCTATCCCACCCCACAAACAAAGGCTGGAAAAATTTGCTACCAAGGGCCAAGACCACCAGACCAAGCCTGTTTATGAGCCACCCCTGCCCAGGCCCTCACAGACATTGCTCACGGGGCTTCCCATAGAGGAGAAGCTAAAGAGGGAGGGGGCCTCATCCCCAGATAGATCAGGCAAGGCTTGGAGAGCTGCTCTTTAGGATCCACATCAACTACTTCCTCATTTTAAGGTATGGCAGTTCCCTTCATCCCCTTTTCCTGCCTTGTACATGTACATGTATGAAATTTCCTTCTCTTACCGAACTCTCTCCACACATCACAAGGTCAAAGAACCACACGCTTAGAAGGGTAAGAGGGCACCCTATGAAATGAAATGGTGATTTCTTGAGTCTCTTTTTTCCACGTTTAAGGGGCCATGGCAGGACTTAGAGTTGCGAGTTAAGACTGCAGAGGGCTAGAGAATTATTTCATACAGGCTTTGAGGCCACCCATGTCACTTATCCCGTATACCCTCTCACCATCCCCTTGTCTACTCTGATGCCCCCAAGATGCAACTGGGCAGCTAGTTGGCCCCATAATTCTGGGCCTTTGTTGTTTGTTTTAATTACTTGGGCATCCCAGGAAGCTTTCCAGTGATCTCCTACCATGGGCCCCCCTCCTGGGATCAAGCCCCTCCCAGGCCCTGTCCCCAGCCCCTCCTGCCCCAGCCCACCCGCTTGCCTTGGTGCTCAGCCCTCCCATTGGGAGCAGGTTGGGGCGAGCTGGAGGCCCGGGCTGGAGGGGCAGTGTTGCTGTTCATAGATTTTGTTCCATTGGCGTTGCTCTGTTGAATTTAATTTCAGTCTTCCTGATTCTTCCCTTCTGTAAAGTGTACATTACCAAGTTCCTTGTTTTTTTATATATATATATAAATATATATATATACAAACTGTACTCTTTTTGCCTTTGTACATTCAGGCAAGAAGAGAAAATAAATCTTTTTAAGAGACAATCACAAATCTGTGAGGGCTGCTGGTTATTTCTCCTGGAGTTTGCTGCTGAGCTGCCTCTTCCTTCCTCCCAATTTTCCTGTTCTCCCTCAGCTCTCCTGATCTTCCTGGCCCTGCTCCATATGCATCCTCAGCTTCACTTTCCCTGGCTGATGGCAAGCTGTTGAATCCAGTGTCCAGACTACCTGCCTTGTAACCCTTTTCTGCCCAGCATTGTTTTCTGGCTTGGCCACTGGCTTAGCCCAGGAGCTTTACTCTGTGCCCTGGCCTCCCCTCTCTTCACCTTTAGATTTCCATTCACCGAAGTGGCTTTGGACCCCTGGGTACTCTGGGACCTGTTTCCTGGAGGCCCTGGCTTGGGACACTCACCTGTGAAACTATGCAGCTGGGAGCTCTCTGCCTAAGAGTTTGCACTATTTAAACCTGCCTGGGAGTTAGGACGGATGGTTTTAGGAATGACCGGAAAACTACCCCTAAAACTCCCCCGACATTCCAGCCTCTAGAATGCTCTGATCCAGAGCTCAGTGGATGATTCCCAGCTGGTGGACTCCTGTGGCTACCCCATCAGAACAAGGGCTAAGGGTTTATGGGTCAAGAGTATTTGATCAGAATTTTAAAGGGTGGTATACTCTGAAACACAGCCCAACCAAACCATTGTTTGGCCGCTTTCTCTTTTCCTCTACCTTCCTCATCCCCACTTTTTTCCCTTTCTCTCTACTTCCTCTTCTTAATTGGCTTTGGAATTGAAATATATTTTTAAATTATTTGTTGTATTTATTGAATAAAGTTTTTAATGTCCCTGTTCTTAAATTTAGACTTAGTTTGCCTTTCACACACCACCCCCACCCCCAAAATATTCTACCTTCTAAGTTGCTTTTTAAACTGTAGTGCAGCCTTTTGGGTACCATATTTCTTTCCTGTCAGTGGTCTTCAATAGCAAAAGTTTTTTTTGAAAAGGGAAATCTTGACTGGGTGATTTTTTTTTGAAGAGGGAAATCTTGACTGGGTTTCCAATTTAGCCTTTGTGACTCTAGCCGTATTGAAGAGGAATCACCAATAGGTGGCAGCAGAATCTCAAGCATGTTTCTTGGGAAAAAGTAAGGGACTGAGTTTTGTCTTGGTTCTTTTTCATCTGTCTTGTCGATTCCTTGTGTTTGTTTAATATCTGCATCCTAAACTGCCAGCTGCCTCTAGGAATTACCTGCCCAGTGGGGGACACTTGATTTCAACGGAATGTCTCTAGTCCCAGACTTGCTCTAATAACATTTGCCAGGCACGGTGGCTCACGCCTGTAATCCCAACACTTGGCGAGGCCGAAGCGTGGGAATCACTTGAGGCCAGGAGTTCGAGACCAGCCCGGGCAACATGGCAAAACCCTGTCTCTACTGAAAATACAAAAAATTAGCTGAGTGTGATGGTGGGCATCTGTAATCCCAGCTACTCAGGAGGCTGAGACAGGATAATCACCTGAACCCAGGAGGCGGAGGTTGCAGTGAGCTGAGATTACACCACTGCACTCCAGCCTGGGCGACAGAGCGAGATTCCATGAAAAAAACAAAAACAAAAAAAAACTTGGGATTCGAGCTCATTACTTTTAATGAATACAAGTTAGAGTCCAAGATAAATGACTTGGCCCACAGTGAAAACACAAGCAGGCTCCATAAAGAGCAATGTGAGAGCCACAGCTTAACAGTAGACAGTTGCAAAAATGTAGGTGGAAGAACATGCCCTTCAATTGGCAAAACAGAAGCAAAAGAAAAAAAGTGCCAGTAAATCCTTGAGAAATTAAAAAAACTGTGGTGAAGAGGATTCCAGCCCCCTTGGTACCACTGAGAGCTTATTCATCAGGCTGTGGTGTGGGGGACTGGAAGCCACACCTTAGGACACTGAGCTCCAAAAGGGGAAAACTAGAACAGGGAAGGTGTGTGCTGCATCCTTCAAAGACCTCAGGAATGGGAATGTCAGGAGCTCCATGCAAAAGCCAAAACCCAGTATCAGGACCCAACCTCCCCAGCCTTTTACAGAAAAGGAAGAGCTAAGAGCAGATTGGATCTTGGGTATAGCCTCTCCTAGATGAAGCTGATATGTACACATCTCTCTCCAGGGGGCTCTGGCAGTAAGTCTCAGACTCCTAGCAACCCCGCATTTCACAGTGTAATATGGCCCCAGAGAGAGACCTCAGCCAGTTTATCTGCCCTCCTACACTGCAGTTTTTTTCCCAAGGAGCACGCACCACACCTCTATTTATTAGGCTCTGGAGTCAAAACAGTTTGGTAGGGAGTTGGTCCTAGTTCAGAAATAAAGAATAGACCAACCACAACTTTAAATCAGTTTATTGACACAGTAACACAACACACTTGCCTCCCTGACATCCCCGTCCCCCTCACCCAATCTAGATCTCTCCCCCTTGCTCTCCCCTTAGAAAAAGCTGTTTAGTGAAAACAGTTAAGGGCAGGCCACTTCTACACTCCCAGCGCTACCCTAGGCCCTGCAGAGCAGAGTCTCAGACACTACTCGGAACCTGGTGGGGAGGCAGCTAGTACTATACTCAGCCAGCCAGAAGTATCCAGTCCCTAAGAACGGATTGCCCCACAATTCCCAGGCCCTGAGTTGCTATATATTCCTCTTCCTTACTGCTGTTTGTGACCCCAAGAAGGAGACCTTGGGGCCTGGGCCTGCAGCCAGGAGCAAGAACTCCTGGCAGTGATTTGAGAATTAATTAGAGTTTGGCTAGTGTTTTAAAGGCCCAGGCATCCCCCAAAAAAGCCCTGGTGGTGGGAGTAAATTTCAATGCCCCTATTTAAAATGTACTGATAACATTAAACAGATTAAGCCAGCTTAACCAAATGCCAGAATAACACTAAGCTGTAAAGAAGGAGGGGTCGGACCTGCTTACTCCAGGCCAGACGCAAATGCACACAGAGAAGCCCAGGTAAGAGTGTCAAAAAACAACTCAAGGACACTGCCCAGGGACTGAAAAGCCTATACTCAGGAGCCCCTGGGGTGACAGGAAGCAAAGAAAGAAAATACACAAGTCTTAATAACCAAAACAGAAAGCCAACAGCAGGGAAACCTGAGCCTGACAGTGCTGCCCACCAGCCCTCCAGGCCATGCCCCTGAACCCAGACAGTCCCTCCCCCTCTAGGCAATGTCCTCCCCTAGGCTAGATAGAACACATCACACAGCGCAGTTTAGAAAGCTTCTAATGCCAGTTCATAAACATCTTCATTTACTATTGGTGATTACATGTGAATAATATGTTTATACTGTTCTTTATGGAAAACAATTTCAACGAGTCAACTCCGAGAACACAATAGGCAACCCTCACCCTGAGCCCCTCAGTGTCCTTCCCTAGACAGCGAGGAGCCCTCTCGTCTGTCCCAGGGCTGCCTAACTTCCCCTCTTCCCCCACTGTGGCTCTTGGGTAAAGCATCCTCTATGACTATTAGTCCTCATCGGACAAGTTCTGGTCCAGGGGATAAACCATGAACATCACATCTGGCCGAGAGGGGACACAGGGATGGCCTGGACGTACAATCTCAAAGCCCAAGAAGCTGAAGGTCTTCAGGAGTGGAGCTGCAGAAGACAGAGTGTAAAAAAGTCTGATGAGAAACACAATGGTAGGCTGAAATCAAAACCCCAAACAAAGATGGAACAAATAAGCACTAGGCTTTTACGAGCCCTTCAGGCACTTGCCCTCCTGCCATGATTTCCCAGGGTTTGAAAGGCAAATTCAAGAGTCCCACCTCATCCTGGAGGTGCTCCCTTCTCTCCCCCAGGCCCCACTGTCTGGGCTGTAAGGCTCAGGCCACTCTGACTCCTCACCTCTGTCTTCTCGGCCCTTCCTGAAGCAGATGAAGACATAGTTCACTTTCATCTTCTCTTCAGCAAACTCTAGCAGTGCTAACAATCTGCAGGAAGCAAAGAGAAGTACTTAGGCCCATCACCACCTTCCTAGACCTCCCTCCCATTCACACCCCACCCCCACCCCTACCAACCCAAAGGCTTTTCTGAGGCCTACAACCAGCAATATAAATACAGAAGCTCTGGGCTGGGCACAGTGGCTCACACCTGTAATCCCAGCACTTTGGGAGGCCGAGGCAGGTGGATCACGAGGTCAGGAGATCAAGACCATCCTGGCTAACACGGTGAAACCCCATCTCTACTAAAAATACAAAAAACTAGCCGGGCGTGGTGGTGGGCGCCTGTAGTCCCAGCTACTCGGGAGGCTGAGGCAGGAGAATGGCATGAACCTGGGAGACGGAGCTTGCAGTGAGCCGAGATCGCACCACTCCACTCCAGCCTGGGCGACAGAGTGAGCCTCCATCTCAAAAAAAAAAAAAATTCAGAAGCTCCAGGAGGAAGATTCCTATGTCAAGACCCCAAGAGCCTTGAATTTTGGAAAAAAAAAAAAAAAAAGCCACAGCGCCTGAGAAAAATGTTACTAACTTTTCTCTTCCTGCAATAGGAGATCTGAAAGTAACACTACCCATCTTAACTAATGCTGTCCACAAGACAGAGTCTGGGGCCTAGAAAGAAAACCCAGTTCTTCAGGTGTCCCACAGATTGCCAAGTCTGATATGATCACCTGCCACTGAGAGGGACACTCTGGGCTCTAACACTGCCTAAAAGGATTTTCTCAAGAGGCTGGGACCACTCAGGAACTCTGTCCTCAGGACATTTCTTACCCATCTTGGCTGCTTGGAGGGTCTTTGCCCAATCCAATGAAATCCCACTTACCTCTGAGCTTCCTGGGTGGGGTGTGAATGGGAGGGAGGTCTAGGAAGGTGGTGATGGGCCTAAGTACTTCTTTTTGCTTCCTAGCCTTTTAAACTACAGTACTGTGTAGCTACAGGGGGATTTAGTGTCAGAGTGAACCATGGGGCGATTAACCGGCAGGCATTTGGTTAATGTGATAACAATCTGCTTTAATTATAACCTAGAGCAGGCCTGTCTTACTGGCTAAAAATAACCTGTTACAAAACGGTATCTGCTTGGGGAGTCTAGAGCTAAGGGAGAAGGCACAGACTCCCCTACAATTCTGTTACCCACAGTAAACATATACTCTTCTCTGGAATGGGACCTCCTTTCCCTCCCCAGCATTTGGCTCTTTACCCTTCTTTGCTCCCATCAGCTAATAATCCATCTGGGATTTCTACAAACAGGCTCTGGCTGGACAGGACTGCATCCCAAGAAGAGACCTTCACCTCGGTGACCTCATACTGGAAGTGGACGATGTGAGGTTTTCCATCATTCACAGGGAGGTCCTGGGTCACAGTGAGCTTCTCGTCCTGGGAAGGAAAGCAGGGCAGAGGACCAGGTCACTACTGCTTCTGGCCATATCATCCACTCCCTAATCTAGGCGATGCTGGGAGTCCCCTTAGGCCAGTGTCAGGGTAGCGTGGGATAGAGGCCATGCTGAAAACGCAGAGCTTCATGATGGCTAAAAGGAGCTGTCACTCACCAGGCACTAAGACCAGTTGATGGTGGTAAAAGCTAGCAAAACAGAAAGGGAAATATTTACCTAAATTGTCCACTAGGTGCCAAGTACAAAGTGCTGTCCCATATATTACCTTTATCATCATGACAAGCACTTGAGATGGTAATTAACAACTCCACTTTAAGTCTGAGAATAATGAAGCAACTGACCCAAGGCTCCAAAGACAGTGAATGGCAGAGATGAGATTCAAACCCAGGTCTCCCTGACTCGAAAGCCCACGCTTTCCCCCAACACCATGTTCTTTTCCTTCCCTGTCAGAAAGGGAAATACCAAAAACAAATGAGGGTATGTATGAGGGTTTGGCTGGAGCCCCAGTCAGCCAAAGTCTGATTCCAAGTGGACTGCAGGGTCCGTGTTATCTCCCTTGGGCACAATCTCAAAAGCCCAGAATTCAGCTGCCTTGCTAACCTTCCATCCCAGTCTTAGTGAGAAGCTAAACTAACTTCTGGGCCTCAATTACAGCAGATTAAAAGGCAACAAATGGTGCTGATATCTCTCCTCTAGTATTCCCAATAAGCCATGCAACAGCCTCAGCTGAAAGAGTCCTTCACAGTCCCCCCACTGGCCTAGGCTAAGAGCCAGAAGACTAAGAAAGTGATTATTCCCCTTGAGCAGCAGCACAGTGGAGTCTGAGAAAGCTCCAACCCCAGCCTTCCATCCCAGGGTCCTCCTTACCTTATATATTAGAGCTGAGAGAGAAGGATCCCTGCCGCCCCCTCGCCCACCGGGGATCTTCGACAGTGGGTGAGGGGCATCAGGAGCACCACAGAGGCCCTGGAACAATGTGCCTGCAGCACTGGAGCTGGGGACAGTTACTCAAAGGCAAAATACTACTGCAAGAGACAGAGAGGGTGAGACAGTAAACACCAAGACTTGACGATTTTTTTTTTTTTTGAGGCGGAGTCTCGCTCTGTCGCCCAGGCTGGAGTGCAGTGGCACGATCTCGGCTCACTGCAACCTCCACCTCCCAAGCTCAAGCGATTCTCCTGTCTCAGCCTCCCGAGCAGCTGGGATTTCAGGTGCACGCCACCATGCCCAGCTAATTTTTCTATTTTTAGTAGAGATGGGGTTTCACCATGTTGGCCAGGCTGGTCTCGAACTCCCGACCTCATGATCCACCCACCTCAGCCTCCCGAAGTGCTAGGACTATAGGCGTGAGCCACTGCGCCCGGCCAAGATGTAAAGATATAACTCAAATCCCACCCCCACCCCATCCTGGCTCTCTCTAAACAAGGGAAGGCTTATGAACGCTCCCAGCTGCCCCAGTCCTGTGGGCTTCAGCTTCCAGAACTACGCTGCTGTCTTAAGGGGAACCCACCGTGTTGCAAAGTCATGGGGAGGAAGTCTCAGGAGGGCCAAGGGACTCCAGCTGGGTTTATTTGACCGGAGGAGCACCTAGCAATCTTCTAACAAATCACTGTGGCACTGGGCAGACCTTGGAAATCACCAGGTCCTGGCTTACCTGCCAAGCCTCAAACCCTGTGCCAGTCTCTTTTCATTTCCCTATGGTGCCTCAACCACCTATGTGGCAGAATCAAAAAGGCCCACAGTTACAGGCTGGAGAGGGGAAGTCATATGGTCTGGGTACCCTGTTCCTGAGGAACTCTCAAGGCTACTTCCCCAGTGATGGCCCCATCCCCCTTCTGAGCAAAGGAACTGGGGTGAGAAACTTTTTTTTTTTTTTTTTTTTTTTGAGACAGAGTTTCACTCGTTTCCCAGGCTGGAGTGCAGTGGTACGCACTTGGCTCACTGCAACCTCTGCCTCCCAGGTTCAAGTGATTCTCCTGCCTCAGCCTCCCAAGTAGCTGGGATTACAGGCATGCGCCACCACGCCTGGCTAATTTTGTATTTTTTAGTAGAGACAGGGTTTCACCATGTTGGTCAGGCTGGTCTGGAACTCCTGACCTCCAGTGATCCGCTGGCCTCAGCCTCCCAAAGTGCTGGGATTACAGGCATGAGCCACCACACCCAGCTGGAGTGAGAAATCATTTAACCAAATCCCTCAATGGTTAAGAATAAAACTAAATCCAGGGATTTGGCTCCCAGAGCAGAGGTACACAATAGTACATAGAATACTGTGATGTCTGATTTGCCCCTGGTATGCACCAAATGCTGGGCCTTCTTGCCCTTCTTTGCTGATCCTTTCGTGACCTGAGCGTGGGAGGTCACATAATAGTGATGTGGTCAGAACACACACTCAGATGTGCTGGGTGCAGGCTATGTGCTGGGAGAGGAGGATACGTGCTATGACCTGAGTAAAGAATCCAATAATCAGACAGATTATAGCAGGTAAAAGGCTCCTAAAAGAGCTGTCACCTTACTGGCCACCTTGATTTTCGGATGGACCCAACAGGGCTGTAGATCTGCTCAACTGTCTTTGAATCCAATTTAGTGGTTCCTTAGACTGAGATGTAGTTCATTCCCTAGGCCAAGGGCAAGTGAAACAGAGAAGGAGGTAAATTGTGTGTGTGTGTACACACCACGACTCAGCAACAGGCCTGTTCCCCAGCCACCACACATCAGCCTCAGAGCAGCTGGAATGCACTGGATACATTTAGCGGGTATTGCAGTGGTGTGCTGGGGCCAGCTCACACAATCGTGCACATCTCTTGCCAAATATGTGTTTAATGATGTCATGTTGGTAGCCTGAATTGGCCAAAGGAGGAGTATTTACACTGCGAAAGTCCCCAAATGCTGTAAGTCAGGGCTTTTTTTTCCCTGAAAGCCATTGTAAAACGGTGTGAGGTAACTATTCTTCACACTGTCCTTTGCTTTATATAGCATGGCATGCCAATTTTGGATTCTTCTAAATGAAGAGCAACAAAACTGAATTCACACCTAACATGGCAATGGTACAGTAACCAAAGGGGCAGTCCTATTAGCAGAACTGTATCTGCACTCCAGCTGAAAATGCAAGTCCAAACCCGTCACTGCTCAGCTCCTAGGGTCTGTTCTCTCAAAGATTTCAACTGGGGGCCTACAAGTATACTTGGAAATTTCTTTGAGAAATGGATTTCCCAGGGAAGTGTCCATGGGTGAGGAGCAGCATCAGTATCTAGGGGTGCACTTTGGGAGGCCGAGGAGGGAGGATCACTTGAGCTCAGGAGTTCAAGACCAGCCTGGCCAACATGGCGAAACCCCACCTCTACTAAAAGTACAAAAATTAGCCGGGCGTGGTGGCAGGTGCCTGTAATGCCAGGTACTCAAAAGCCTGAGGCAGAAGAATTTCTTGAACCCAGGAGGTGGAGGCTGCAGTTAGCCGAGATTGTGCCACTACACTCTAGCCTGGGTGACAGAGCCAGATTCCTCCCCCCCAAAAAAAAAAAAAAAAAATCTAGGGGTGTAACCACATATCTACCTCTTCCCTCCTCTGGAAAACCTCAGGTCATCCTCACCTCCTCCACTCTCGGCCTCATCAACAGCTGTTAACAGAAAAGGCTGAACTGGGCGCAGTGGCTCATGCCTGTAATCCCAACACTTTGGGAGACAGAGACGGGTGGATCACTTGAAGTCAGGAGTTTGAGAGCAGCCTGGCCAATATGGTGAAACCCCATCTCTACTAAAAATACAAAAAAATTAGCCGGGTGTGGTGGTGTGCACCTGTAGACCCACCTACTCAGGAGGCTGATGCAGGAGAATCACTTGAACCTGGGAGGTGGAGGCTGCAGTGAGCCAAGATTGTGCCACTGCACTCCAGCCTGGATGACAGAGCGAAACTTCAGCTCAAAACAAAAACGGCCAGGCGTGGTGGCTCACGCCTGTAATCCCAGCAGTTTGGGAGGCCAAAGTGGATGGATCACCTGAGGTCAGGAGTTTGAGACCAGCTTGGCCAACATGGTGAAACCCCGTCTCTACTGAAAACACAAAAATTAGCCGGGTGTGGTGGAGCGTGCCTGTAGTCCCAACTACTAAGGAGGCCGAAGCAGGAGAATCGCTTGAACCCGGGAGGTGGAGGTTGCAGTGAGCCAAGACCACGCCACTGCACTCCAGCCGGAGCAACAAGAGCAAAACTCTGTCTCAAAAAAACAAAAACAAACAAAAAAACAGAAAGGGCTTAACAGAGGACTATGCTACTGTTTTCAAGGACAGGAGTTATTTTCTGCTGGGGACAATGAGCTATTGTGATTCCCCCTTCCAATGTGTTAAGGGGCAGAATAACAGTGTCCAGACTAGAAAAAATAAGACAAGAGTTTGGTGAGGGGAGTTTCCCCAAGCAAATGCACACACATGCACCACATCATATGATTCCGTTCTCATTCCCCAATGATCACTTCTCTGTGCTGAGGTTCCTGCAGGGGCATAAGGAGGGCTGGACCACGGGAGAAAGCTGGTTTGCTTCTATTGGTCAGTGGAGCTACCCAAAGATGGGGCAAACCCCTCTGGGATAGACAGATTATCATCTTGTATACAGAGAATTAATTAGGTTCACAAAATAACCCTATCAATCACCAAGCCCTTGCAATTCTAGAATTCTGGTGCCAGGCTCCTACTTCCAAAGGAATTATTCCTCAAATGGTCTTTAGATGAGCGAGCTGCATTCAACCTCTGCCCTGCATCCCAACTACCATCTTGATTCTTAGCTAATTTTTACTTGCAAACAGCAGAAGCAATGGGCCAACTCACTGAAAAGACAAGAATAAAGTGAGGATTTTTTTTTAGACCATAATACCCTTTGTCTTCCTAGAAGTAATCCCTGGAGCCTGCCTGCCCTGTGTCCAGCACTAATCTATGAGCTTGTGATATTTCTTTCTTTAAGCTAGTCATATTTAGCAGTGGGGCTTGTGATATTTCTGGTTTCCTGATCTCTCTCCTCTTCAAATAAACGCAAGATATCTACGCCATGGTAACATGTCATTTACTTCCCCATTCTCACATACAAGGATCCTGGAGGCTCTCTGCTCCTCCCCCATAAATCTGCGCAGATAAGCAAGTGTGTGTGTGAGTGGGGGTGGAGGGGTGTTTCAAGCCCCCACTCTGGGAACTAGTTCCAGTTCCCTAAAAGAAACAGCTGGGGTTTGCGATAAGTTTAGTAGACAGTAGATCACAATAATTATCTTCATCGTCCACATAAAGCATCTGTTATTAGTTACTTGCTGTGAATGGCAAATTGCTTCTCTTCCAAAAAACCTGTCATTTCTGAAGTGAGAAAGGAAGGGGGATGGGTACGTATGTGGTAGTTAAAGACATTAAGGGGCATGAAATTACCCAGTAATGGCCTTCTCTTCTGATAATGGCTTTAGTGTTCAAATGGTATTGAAGCTACGCCACCAAGCTCATTAGGAATAATGAATCCTGGAAGAATTTAAGCACAACAGACAGTGACTTCTAAACACAAGTCTTCCTATCATAAGATCCAAACCAGGTTGGGTTTCATATTCAGTTTAGTCTTGTTTCTAACTGGCTCCTATCCCCAGCTTTTTCCAATCCTTCCTCACCTCCTGGTCACACCACTTGAGGGCAGGCATTGTTTAATCTCAACCACCTAAAGGATGATTTAAGAAACAGGCTGGGCATGGTGGCTCATCCCTGTAATCCCAGCACTTTGGGAGGCTGAGGTAGGAGAATTGCTTGAACCAGGGAGGCGGAGGTTGCAGTGAGCTGAGATCGTGCCACTGCACTCCAGCCTGGGTGACAGAGCGAGACTGTCTCAAAAAAAAAAAAAAAGAATCTCAGTCCTTTTCAGAGGCTGAAAAGATCAGGCTGATTAAGGAAAATCAAATGTATCAGACCGAACCCAAACATCCAGCTGGGCTGGTCCTGCTTTGGAAGAGAAAAAAATACATATATCCCATGCCAGAAACTAAGGTGTCAGGTATCCAGCATACAAGGCAATTCGGAAGAGAGATGGAAGATTAGAGCCAATCTGTTAGTGCCTTTTATTTTCTCAGTGATAGGACATGCCCTTGGAAACACTCCTCAGAATACATATGAGTGCTACTAACATATCACATCCTGCTGCCTCTAATTTAAAGTGTCTGTGAAACTGTTGTCTGAAATGCCCTTAGCAGGTTACAATTTCACACACTGACTACAGACAGGCAGCGTATGCAGCAGATGTACAGCTGGGCAATGATGATGGTAAATAAAATTTTTATAATTCAAATGCTATTTCTAAATCTCTAGGGTACTTACTATTTAGAATTAACCTTAAGTCTCTTGATAAAAGTAAAGGATCTTCTGTTAAAGAATCACTTCCAGCCGGGCGCAGTGGCTCACGCCTGTAATCCCAGCACTTTGGAAGGCAGAGGCAGGCAGATCACAAAGTCAGGAGATCAAGACCATCCTGGCCAACATGATGAAACCCCGTCTCTACTAAAAATACAAAAATTAGCTGGGCGTGGTGGTACACGCCCGTAGTCCCAGCTACTTGGGAGGCTGAGGCAGCAGAATCGCTTGAACACGGGAGGCAGAGGTTGCAGTGAGCCAAGACTGCACCACTGCACTCCAGCCTGGCAAAAGAGCGAGACTCTGCCTCAAAAAAAAAAAAAAAAAAATTACTTCCAGCTGTCTTTAGTCAGTTTTGATTTACATACAGTTGGTCCTCTATATCCACAGGTTCCACATTCGTGGATTTGACCAACCATGGATCAAAAATACTCAGGAAAAAAATAAACAACAGCATAATAAAAAAAAGTACAAATAAAAAGAGCACTAAAACTATTTACATAGCATTTACATTGTGTTATGCATTATAAGTAATCTAGAGATAATTTAAAGTATATGGGAAGATATATGTAGGTTATATGTAAATACTACACTATTTTATATAATGGACCCTTGGATTTTGGTAAGGGGAAGGTCCTGAAAGCAATCCCCCACAGATGGCTACCAAAAGAGTACAGAGTACACAGAGAAGAGATTCCATATAAAAGTAATTCTGTGAGTAACTTCCACTTAGCTACATCTAAAAAATACTTGAATTCAAATTCTCCTTAATATACTTCTGATCATGTTTCACTTGAATCAGTAGCCTCCTTCGCTCATTCAATTCTGCACCCTTTCTCTCTGGTTTCTATTACCTGTCAGAGAAAGTCAGATGGCCTTGGTATTAGCTACCTTTTGGTATCAATTGAAGACATGAAAACCACATTCCCAACACAGTTCTACATTCATTTCCCCCTCTCAACCTCTTCTGACCCATTCTTGTCTCAGGCCCTGCCTCATAGAACACCCAAAGGTGCCCTCACTTCCCTCATACAGGTAGCTTTTACTCTGAGACTAGGAATGTCTTTGATGACTAATCCCTACGCAAAAAGATGTGCCATCACTTAGCAAAATAGAAAGTAAGAAAGGTGAGAGGGTGATGACCACCTCCAGTCTAGTGTGGCTGTAGAGGCTGATTTCCAGCTACCGATGCCCCTTCCATCTGAGAAAGGGCCCCTGGGCAGATGCCAGGCAAAAGTCATTTCACTAGGGCTATTCTGCGTTCCACAGGGACTCTTCTTGCTAAGCACAATTATAAAGAAAATGACATCACCACTCTGAATCACAGGCTGAAAGCAAAATTGGGTTTTGGTTGATTCTCCACAAGAAACACAGTTATAGTGATAGCTAGAATATCTGTGCCTTTGGGGTTTGCTTATCACACAGCTGATATTGGTACATATGCCAAAGGAACGCACAATCACATATGCTACCAGAGGTGAGTGGATAGCTAGGTAATCAAGCTTTAATATAAGACTTTACTTTTACATATTAAGTACCTCAATCTAGTTTGCAGAGTAAGGTCATCACACAGTGCCAGCCTCTTCCCAGGACAGAATTACATCATTGTTTATATAGTATCAAAGGACTAAGAAATTTTCTTAAGGTTTATCTTATACAAAGCATTTTACACTACTGCTGCTAACCGGACACTACCTGTTTTGTTCACTTTAAGTGACAAAATTCTTGCCTGCCTACTTGTCCCTTTCTTGTCTATAACTTTTTTTTTTTTTTTTAAGAGATGGGGCATCTCACTATGTTGCCCAGGCTGGTCTTGAACTCCTGGGCTCAAGCAATCGTCTCAGCCTCCCAAAGTGCTGGGATTACAGGTGTGAGCCACCATGCCTGGCCTGGTCTGTAACTTTGGCTTCATAACCTTCTAAATCATGGCACCAACTTGAATCAACACTGCATACTCTTTCAAAAAGGGATGAATTACTCATTTTGTTTTTCTAGAAATGCACATTTGTAACATCCCTCTATCCCACTCCTCAGTCCCCTTTTTTATATTTTTGAGCAGCTCTGAGGCTAAATTTGGATTTCTTGGCAGAGTGAGGAATTGCTATTATTAGCCCACACTGCTTTCTGAAGCATAGCTCTGATTTTGGGGGATTCCTGACTATACTAGGAGAGTCTGTGTCTGTCTCTCTCTCTCTCCTCTTTGACTCTCTCCTCTCTCTCTCCCCTCTCTCCTCTCCCCCAACCCTCCTACCATAGAGTGACCTTGAAGGCACATCATTGGAAAACTGGCTCTCCCTACCACCCCATGCCCAACAAGCCATATTGTCAATAAATAAGGAATAACTGAAACCAGACCCTTTAGGAAGAGACAGAAATTCCATTACCCAGGAAACCACTCAGTGAAGATGCTGATAGTTCTGATATGTTCTTATGCCCTGCCCCCTTCCCCCAAAAAACCACCTGCAGAACCAAATGTTTCTCCTCAAAGCCCATCAGCACAGATTGATAATAATATCACTATCAAGCCAGGGCTAGTGCTTCTCTACATACTGTACTGTCACAGGTACAAAGCAAGCCCTGGACAGATACTGTCTCCCTGCCCCCACAAATCCAGGGAGAAAAAGACCAGGAAGCTTGATTTCCTTGGATTTAAACCTCATGTTCAAAAAGGATAATAAAGGTGCTCGTACTTGTATCTTCTTCCCTCCCCCACCATCAGGAATTCTGACATTTTGGAAGTACCAATCAGAATAACACTGGAAAGGAAGAGCCTTGTTTTCAAAACATAGTGCCAGCTCCTCTGCAACTATTTCTTCCAGGAAACCAAGCCTCCACCTCCTGAGTTTTTCACTGGAGCCAGGGAAGCTGAAAATCCCATCCCCCACCCAATGGGAGCTAAATTCCCAGCCAGCTCCCCACTCTATGGATATGAAACACTCGAGAACACTGACTGGGAAGAACATCCGGCTCTTATCAGAATCCCTAGTTAGGACTCTACCAGGATTCCTTTTAGAAAGTTAGGGGCAGGCCCAAGGAATCTAGGAAACACGCTATGGAAATGGGATTGCCATCACTCAAAGAAACCAGACACCCTGCACACAACACCCCACCCCCAGGCCAAGTGGAGGAGCCTGATCCAAGGCCTAGCTCCTACCCAGGCCCTGGCAGGCCAGTTGGCTCCTCTCTCCACCTGCCTCTCATACAGCCAGGCCCCTCAAATTACCAACACGCTAAGCAAGGGCCCTGGAGACAAGCAAGCCTGTTTTGCCACTTAGGAAGCTGGAAAGAATTTTCGAGTCAAGTTAACCCAACCCCCTCTTCTTTTCACATGTAAGCACACTGGCTCAGCCAGAACTCAGGTCTTTCAACCTCACAGTTGGTGAAGACTCTTACATGTTGGTTCCAAGTTGCTCAACTCTCAGGGCTCAGCCTACAAAAGACTCGGCATTTCGACCAGCTCAGTCCAGAGGACTCCAGAGAATGACTGCTGAGACCACCCCACTTTCCAACCCCCACTACAGACACACAAAAAGAACAGAAAAAAAAGTCTATCTCACATACCCCTTGAGTGGGTTTTGTTGTAGGTCTCTCTGCTCCCCTCCACCCCTGTGCTTCATCCTGCCCTCTCTCATACCTGCCATCTATCCTCAGCACACACGGCGCCTTTGCCACAAGTAACACCTTTGCATCCAGCACTCTCCGTGTCTATATCCGCCTCCACCTCCTCAGCTCCCGAGGGGCTGGGTTACAGAAGATGGAGTGAAAGGGGGGAATGCAGAGGGGATGGACATGGAGAGTCTTGGAAAAGGAAACTCTAACAGCTGATGGGTTGTAGGGTAAAGAGAACATGGGAGGCAGGGATAACAGGTCAAATAAGACCATAACAAATTATCAAACGGCGAGTGAATTTTCTTCCTGCATGCAAAGAAGAAATGAGGGGGAGGGCACCAGTTAAGAGTCTGAGACTTGGGGGAAGAAAATGGCCAATGGCTGAGAACTGAGTACAGACAGGAACTTCAGAAGCTGTTGCAGGTATTGTATCTTGGGCACTTCTGGACAGCACCTGAGAGAGAAAGACTAAGAAATCCCTGAAGAAATTGAGCCCAGGAGGCAGAGGTTGCAGTGAGCCCAGATCGCACCACTGCACTCCAGCCTGCGCCACAGAGTGAGACCCTGTCTCAAAAAAAAAAAAAAAAAAAAATATTCCTCGAAGAAAATTAGGCCTTTGTCAGTAGAAAAGGGCTGACACCCACTACAGGAATAGGATGGGAAAAGCTGCAGGAAGGAAGCTGTGGTTTTTAACCCCAGCTTTGCATTATAAAGAATTACCTGGGGAGCTTTAAAACTATATGCTAATAATCAGGACACTCTAGGCCAATGAGACCAATCTTTGAAGGTAAGGCCCAAGTGACTGATTTCTCAAATGTGAAGCCAGGGTAAGAAACACTGAAATACAAGAAAAGCTGAAAACCCAGTTGGAATATTTAAGGCTGGTGCTGTTAACAAGTGGGAAAGGAAAGTTGAGAGACTATTTCAGTAAGAAGAGTGCCCAAGTTTGAGAGGAATCCTGAGTGGCAGTTAGAGGGCTCTATGCAAAGAAAAGCAATAAAGAAGGCAATGCATTTGAGAGGAACTAGTCTAATTCTGAATAGAACATGGCCCAATTTAAGGAAGATTTACAGGGAATGGATCTGCTTGCAAAATAATGAGGCCCAAGTGAGAGGCAGAGGCCATAAGGCCAAATCTGGGGACAAAAGGTCTGGTGTGGGGAACTAATGAGCTTCAGACACGGTTTGGACAGGACAGCAACAAGTTTGGGGAAAAAATGAGGAAGAGAATTAGGTCCAAATTGTAAATGAAAGCCATTCTGATGTATAAGGAGCAACTAGGATTAAAAATTCCGGGGAATTAGGAAATTGTGGAACAGTTTCAGAGAACAGAGGCAGAAATATGGGATATATTAAAATTTGAGGGAGAGATAGGTGAGAAGGGTTGTCTTGGAGAAAGAGAGGCATGTAGAGAAAGGAAAATTGAGGAACTATCTGCAGGGGGAAGGATATACCATGCAAGTTTGGAAAACCAGGGTGCTCGGTCTGAGAAAGATGTGCAGCCTTTCTCTAATTAATGGGGGAAGACTAGGGTCGGGTTTTGAGGGAGGAAATTGCAAAGATCTAGTGTCCAGAATATAGAGCTTGGTTTGAAGGCACTGGAGGTACAGGGGGAAGGTTCACTGGAAGCGAGATGGCTGGGTCCTGTGATCTAATGATCCAAAGACGGGATTCAGTTAAGAGGGGAAGGAGAAGGATGAGTTCCAGCTGAGAAAAGATGTTTAGAGGGTAAGAATGTTTCCAAGAGTGTTGGGGGTATACCATTGGGGCAACAGGATGGAGCACAAGAATCAAACCTGGTGTTTGATAAATAAAAGGAATGGCGCTGGGAGACTGGGAAAATGGGGCCTAACTGGGAGAGGGGTGTGGAGAGGGGAAGGTGGGGGAAAGATGAAGCTGAAGTATGGGACCAGGAGGAAGAGGCTGGACATCTGTGTAAGGACTGCTAGGCCTGAAGAGAATGGGGGGAGGGTGATGAGTGGGGGTAAACTGAGAACTGAAGGATGGAGGTTGACTTTGCGGGGGGCAGTGATATGAGAAGAGTCTGGGTGGGGGGTGCAGTTTTCATCAGGGAGGGAATTCAAAGGGAAGGGTGAAGTGACTTATAAGGGGAGTAAGAAAGATTTGAGGAAGACAGGAAACAATTTGGGGAATCTGGATGCCGGGGAAAGCCCAGTTTGGGGAATGGGGCACAATTCGGTGGGGCTGAAAGAAAAAAGGGGACTTGCTTGGAAGGTTGGGTTCCGGCTTTTGGGGGCTTTAGGGGAGGAGAAGGCCCGGATGAGGGGGATGGGCCCGGCTGAAGAGGGGGCTAAAGGACAGAAGAAGGCCCAGTTGCAGGGCTGAGGACCGGACTAGGGTGGCTGAAGTGGTGAACGGACCTGGCTGGGGGCGGATGGCCCCGCTGCGGGGGGCGGGGGCCGGCTAGGGGTACGTGAGAGGCCCTCTGGAGCAGATGAGGGAGGATGGGGGCGGGGAGCCTGGGCCGGGCCGTTACCTGTCCTGGGTGTTTATCATCCTCGGCGGCTCTGCTCAGGGTGGGAGGAGGCGGCGCAGGGAGTGGATAGATGGATGAGTGGGTGGGTGTGGGGTCACGCGCGCGGGGTCGATCTCTGCGGGCTAAGTCCCTGTCAGGCCGCGGGCCGAGCGCCTCCTTTTGCCTCAGCGAGCGCCTGCCTCCAACTGACCCTCCCCGGCCGCCACCGCCGCCGCCGCCGCCGCCGCCCCGCCCCCGAGTGCCTCATCTGCATAGCCCCACCCCAGCGCCGCGCGGTGTCCTGGGAAACTGGGGCCCACAACAAAGGGCAAAGCACCGCCCCGCCTCCGCGCAGGCGCACCACGGACCGATCGTGGGGGTAGGGCTAGGGGGTCCGAACGAAGGGCAGGCTGTGCAGGAGGCCATGACCAAGGCGGTGGGTCTGCCCGCAGCTGCGGCAGCGCGGCCCAGAAGATGCGTTGTGTTTCCGGTAGTTTTCTGTGAGGATTGACTCAACCTGGTCCTCATCCCTATTCCTTGTTGGCGTGGGGCCGAACAGGGCTGTGCCATTTGGGAGGATATTAAAACAAAATCAGAAATCTTAAGAGAACTACACACATATTAGCACCATTCCTAGTCTGAGTCCAGGCCCACAGATCTGTTATCTCAGCTCATAATGCAGATCAATAACCTCAGCTGTCAGGGTAGATCAACAATCTCAGCATCTCGCACACATCTCATGTCAATCGTCAAGGCTGCTCCAAGCACTGGCTTAGGTCATCTGAAGCCAGAACTCTGTAGATCATGAGCACAGTCACAACAAGACAGTCGTGGAAAGCGTCGTCACTAACTTGTTCACGGTCACTTCAGATCACAATCAGTGCAAGTTACTTCAATCGATCATGCAAGGTTACTAGTTCAGTCACCTCCATTCATTATCCCTACTGGTCCTTATGACAGATTAGTGCCTGAAGGCCACAGTCACCGGTGCGCAGACCCCTCAGATCACAGTCCTTGTAGGTTACAATCACAGACACTTCAACACAATCATCAAAAGCCCCGACTCTGTTCACAGTCAACCCAGATTGCAATCAAGAGAGGTCACATTATCTCAGATCACAGTGGGTCACTCTGTCACCTCAGATTACATCCATTCAGTTATTCAACAAATAATTATTTTATTTATTTACTTATTTTTGAGATGGAGTCTCTCTCTGTGGCCCAGGCTGGAGTGCAGTGGCACAATCTCAGCTCACTGCAACCTCCACCTCCCGGGTTCAAGCGATTCTCCTGCCTCAGCCTCCTGAGTAGCTGGGATTACAGACATGTACCACCATGCCCGGCTAATTTTTGTATTTTTAGTAGAGACGAGGTTTCACCATGTTGCCCAAGCTGGTCTTGAACTCCTGACTTCAGGTGATCCACCTGCCTCGGCCTCCAAAAGTACTGGGATTACAGGCATGAGCCACCGCACCCGGCCAACAAATAATTATTGAATAGCTACTTACTGTATGCTCCAGGCATGTGCTAGAGTCCAAGAATACGCCATAATCAACCAGGCAAGGTTCCTGCCTTGGATGTCACAATCCGGTCAAGGGGAGAGACACAGGTCATCACAATACCAGGTAAGTAAGTGCTCAATCTGAGGAATGCCACAGAGAAAGTAATTTAGGGAATTAGGGACAGCTTTGCAGAAAGAGTGATAACTCAGAGAAAGGGTGACACTCCAGATCGGCGGTCACTATGACTTTCAGTTCACAAACATCTCACATTGGAGTCATCTCAGGATATGGTTACTCTCCTTCACAAACAGCATGCTTTTGGGTTTTGGATGATGGGGATGGAGGCACAGAAGGAAGGCTGGAGCTACCAAGCTAAGGCTTTTTCAACACAAATTAAAGTGGTAAATGATACCGAAACTGCCCGGATTATCACTAGATATTCAGGCAAGGCTGGTCTCATACTCTGGTTCACTTTAAGATCCTCCACTTTGTCCCTCAGCTATCCCTACCTACTCCTCCAGGTTCAAGTCAGGTATGTTCTTACATTAGTACTTAGCAAAATTGGACATTTAAACCCAGCCCTGATCTACCCCATCGCATAGTCCCAGAGACCTGGGCAATCCTCCTGGACCCTCAGAGGGAGCTGGAATGTCTCACTTCTGCCAGCCCATTCCTGGCCAAGTAACCCTTTAACCTGAAGGACAGTTTTTGACCCATGAATCAACAAATATTGAGAACTCACTATGTCAATAATAGCGACCATTTATTGAGCATCATGGGTAAAGTACTAAATTTTAGAACAGCTCTCCACCCTCGTTTTAAGGATGAAGAGAATTAAACCTCAGAGAGATTTATTCTGTCATCCAATATTTATTGAGGGTCTGTCTATACCAGACATGTTAACATGCTAGCTTTAATTCAAAGCGATTAAGTGGTATAGTTAGAATTTGGATCCCAAGTTGCCTGATCCTGTGCTTTCTCTGGATCTGCATGGTGGAAGAGTCAGAAGCTCTCTGGACAGCTTTCTGTTTAAAGGAGTGGCCACCCTGATAGCCACCTGGTCAGCAAGTGAAAAATTCACAAAAACTGAGGTCTTCAAATCTAAATTAATTAACATGAAATAAAGTTAAAAGTTCAATTCCTCAGTCCCACTAGCCACATTTCTTTTTCTTTTGTTTGAAACCGAGTCTCATTCTGTCACCTAAGCTGGAGTGCAGTGGGATGATCTCAGCTCACTGCAACCTCTGCCTCCCAGGTTCAAGCAATTCTTCTGTCTCAGCCTCCCGAGTAGCTGGGATTACAGGCGCCCACCACCACACCCGGCTAATTTTTATAGTTTAAGTAGAGACGGGGTTTCACCATGTTGGCCAGGCCAGTCTCGAACTCCTGACCTCAAGTGATCCACCTGCCTCGGCCTCCCAAAGTGCTGGGAATTACAGGCATGAGCCACCGCGCCCGGCCCACTAGCCACATTTCATATGCTTAATAGCCATATGTGGCTAGCAGCCACAGTATTACACAGTATACATATGGAACATGTCTATCATCACAGAAACTTCTACAACAGCACTATATCCCATCACCCCTCTATCCCTGTCTACCCCAGTCACCACCACAGGTTCAAGTCCCTTCTCATCCATTGCCCTCACACTGGCAATCTATCAGACTCTGCTTCCTGCTCCTAACCATACCCTCCCACTGTGCCTTCTGCAACGTGTGATCAGCAAACTCTTCCACATCCTCAGCCTTTTCTCAGCATCCTTGCTTTATCTGAAACTTGGCTATCCACTAACCGCTGCTTCTCCAGCAGCTCTATTAGGTGAATTCTGTTTCTCATTCTCACGTGCCTCAGTGTCAGAAGTGGGTAAGTGTATTCCTCTCCATCCCAATGCCATTTCTAGACCAGTGTTTATCTTCCCCTCCCTCCCACAAAATCCCTGTTCCATTGGGGCTTCACCCTCTAGATATACTATCTTGGTTAATGTCATTAGCCAGCCTCCTGGTTGATGCCCCTTATTTGGCTCATGGCTTGCTGCCTCTCCGCCCCAAATTTTGTCATATTTGGTGAGCTCAAGGTCCACATGATGGCCTCTCAGCCACGCTCCTCTCACTTCCTCGACTTTCTCATCTCCGGTAAGATTTTCAGCACTCCACTGTAGCTGCTAACACACCCTCAACTTTGTTTTCACCAAAAATCATTTCACGTCCAAAATATTGACTCTCCAACCATAACCTTTGCCTTAATTAAACCTTTCAACAAGTCTTTGACCTGTATCAGGAGCTTAACGCTTGACCTCACTAATTCCTCACTATTCATTAGCCCTAAGTTTTTTGTTTGTTTTTTTTAAGAGGAAGAAACTTGTTAAGAGAGATGAGAAAGTAACCTGTCTATGACTGAGCGTGGCAACTCATTCCTATAATCTCAACACTTTGAGAGGCCGAAGTGGGAGGATCACTTGAGCCCAGGAGTTTAAGATTAGCTGTGGGTAATGAGGAGACCCTATAAAAATTTTAAAAAAAAGCCAGCGTGGGGACACACACCTGTGGTTCCAACTACTCGGGAGGCTGCAGTAGGAGGATCGCTTGAGCCTGGGAGGTCAAGGCTGCAGTGAGCTGTGACTGCACCACTGCATTCCAGCCTGGGTGACAGACTAAGACCCTGCCTCAACTTAAAAAACAAAAGAGGCCGGGCGTTGTGGCTCACGCCTGTAATCCCAGCACTTTGGGAGGCCGAGGCGGGCGGATCATGAGGTCAGGAGATCGAGGCCATCCTGGCTAACATGGTGAAACCCCGTCTCTACTAAAAATACAAAAAATTAGCCGGGCGTGGTGGAGGGCACCTGTAGTCCCAGCTACTCGGGAGGCTGAGGCAGGAGAATGGCGTGAACCTGGGAGGCGGAACTTGCAGTGAGCTGAGATCACACCACTGCACTCCAACCTGGGCAACAGAGTGAGACTCCGTCTCAGAAAAAAAGAAAAAAGAAAACGAAAGGAACCTATCTAATGTGTCAAAGCTTTAGTGCAAATACTTGGGTCCAAACTCAGTAGTCACTGTTACCAATTGCAGATTTTTACATAGGACTGAATTATATGGTAAGCCACAGAAATTTGGAATAACTGAAACTCTCCTATTTGAGTCCACTGCCAGCTAATGATACTGTTTTTTTCTGTTTCCCTTGGCAAAGAGAGATAGTAGTTTATTAGAAAAGTAGTCGAGAACCATAAGTGTGAAATTATGTTAAAATAGTTCCCACAAAAATCATTATTTCTTTATGCATATTTTTAAAATTTTAACAAAGATTGTATACATTTATGGTGTACATCACGTTTTCATATATGTATACATTGTAGAAGAGTTAATCAATGATTAAATTTTTTTTTTTTTTTTTTTTTTTTTGAGACGGAGTCTCGCTCTGTCACCCAGGCCAGAGTGCAGTGGCACGATCTTGGCTCACTGCAACTTCCACCTCCCAGGTTCAAGCGATTCTCCTGCCTTAGCCTCCTGAATAGCTGGGATTACAGGCTTGCGCCACCAAGCCTGGCTAATTTTTGTATTTTTAGTAGAGACGGGGTTTTGCCATGTTGGCCAGGCTGGTCTCGAACTCCTGACCTCAAGTGATCCGCACACCTCAGTCTCCCAAAGTGCTGGGATTACAGGCATGAGCCACTGCACCCGGCCAAATCAAGCTTTTTAACATATTTATTATCTTACATCCTTATCATTTTTTTGCAAATATACACTATGTTGTTAACTCTAGCCATCATGATGTAACATAGATCTCTTGAACTTACTCCTCTTGTCTAACTGAAAATTTGTGTCCTTTGACTAACACTTTTCCAATTCCTCTACCTGCCCCCGGCCTCTGGTGACCATCATTTTACTCTCTATTTCTATGAGTTTGACTTTTTGTTTTGTTTATTTGACACAGGGTCTCATTCTTTTGCCTAGGCTGGAGTGCAGTGGAACCAGCATAGCTCACTGGAGCCTCAAATTCCTGGCCTGAAAGGATCCTCCTGCCTCAGCCTACCGAGTAGCTAGGACCACAGGCACATGCCACCATGCCTAGCTAATTGTTTTTTACTCTTTTCTCCAGAGACAGGGTTTCCCTGTGTTGCCCAGGCTGGTCTCAAACTCCTGGTCTCAAGGGATCCTCCTGTCTCAGCCTCCCAAAGCAATGAATGGGATTACAGGTCTGAGCCACCATTCTTGGTCTAAGCTTGATTTTTTTCACACTCTACATGTAAGTGAAATCATGCAGTATTTCTTGTTTTGTGCCTGGTTTATTTCACATAACATAACATCTCCCAGGTTCATCCATGTTGTCGCAAATGATACAGTTTCCTTCTTTTTTTAAGGCTGAATAGTACCCCGTTGTCTATATGTACATTTTTCTTTATTCATTCGTGTGTTGTTGGGCACTGTGGTTGTTTCCATGTGTTGGCTGTTGTGAATAATGCTGCAATGAACATGGGAATACAAATCTCTTTGACATGCTAATTTCAGGTCCTTTGGATATATACCCAGTAGTGGGATTCCTGGATCATAAAGTAGTTCTATTCTTAATGTTTTTTATTTTTTATTTTGAGATGGAGTCTCACTCTCTCACCCAGGCTGGAGTGCAGCGGAGCGATCTCAGCTCACTGCAACCTCCGCCTCCCAGGTTCAAGCGATTCTCCTATCTCAGCCTCCGGAGTAGCTGAGATTACAGGCACACGCCACCACGCCCAGCTAATTTTTTGTATTTTTAGTAGAGACAGGGTTTCACCATGTTGGCCAAGCTGGTCTCAAACTCCTGACCTTGTGATTTGCCTGCCTTGGCCTCCCAAAGTGCTGGGATTATAGGCATGAGCCTCCATGCCCAGACTATTCTTAATGTTTTGAGGAACCGCCATACTGTTTTCCATAAAGGCTATACTAATTCACATTCCCACCAACAGGGTGCAAGGGTTCCCTTTTCTCTGCATCCAGACCAACACTTGTCTTTTGTCTTGTTTTTTCTTTGAGATGGAGTTTCACTCTGTTGTCCAGGCTGGAGTGCAGTGACGTGATTGCAGCTCACTGCAAGCTCCACCTCCTGGGCTCAAGTGATTCTCCTGCTTCAGCCTCCCAAGTAGCTGGGATTACAGGCACCCACCACCACACCCATCTAGTTTTTGTATTTTTAGTAGAGACAGGGTTTCTCCATGTTGGCCAGGCTGGTCTTGAACTCCTGACCTCAAGTGATCCACCCACCTCAGCCTCCCAAAGTGCTGAGATAACAGGCATGAGCCACCATGCCTGACCATCTTTTATCTTTTTAATAATATAATAGTAGTCCTAATTTTGACTCACATCTCTTCTTTTCTTTTTATTTTTTTTTTATTTTTTTTTTTGAGATGGAGTCTCACTCTGTCACCCAGGCTGGAGTGCAGTGGCGCGATCTCGGCTCACTGCAAGCTCTGCCTCCTGGGTTCATGCCATTCTCCTGCCTCAGCCTCCCGTGTAGCTAGGACTACAGGCGCCCGCCACCATGCCCAGCTAATTTTTTGTATTTTTAGTAGAGACGGGGTTTCACCGTGTTAGCCAGGATGGTCTTGATCTCTTGACCTTGTGATCCACCTGCCTCGGCCTCCCAGAGTGCTGGGATTACAGGCGTGAGCCACCGTGCCCGGTCTTTTTTTTTTTTTGCACTCTGTCGCTGAGGATGGAGTATAATTGTGCAATCTCAGCTCCCAGATCCCTTCTTTTCTAGCTTCTTTTTTTCTTTTCTTTTTTTTTTTTTTTTGAGACAGTCTTGCTCTGTTGCCCAGGCTGGAGTGCAGTGGTGTGATCTCTGCTCACTGCAACCTCCGCCTCCCAGATTCAAGCAGTTCTCTGACTCAGCCTCCCGAGTAGCTGGGATCACAAGCACCCATCACAACACCTGGCTAATTTTTGTATTTTTAGTAAAGACAGGATTTCACCATCTTGGCCAGGCTGGTCTTGAACTCCTGACCTTGTGATCCACCTGCCTCGGCCTCCCAAAGTGCTGGGATTACAGGCGTGAGTCACCGTGCCCGGCTTTTTTTTTTTTTTTTAAGACAGGGTCTTGCTCTGTCACCTAGTCTGGAGTCCAGTGGCGCCATCTCGGCTCACTGCAACCTCTGCCTCCTGGATTCTCCTGCCTCAGCCTCCCAAGTAGCTGGGACTACAGGCACATGCCACCATACCCAGCTAATTTTTGTATTTTGGGTGGAGATGGGGTTTCGCCATATTGCCCAGGCTGGTCTTGAATTCCTGGGCTCAAATGATCTGCCCGCCTTGGCCTCCCAAAGTGCTGAGATTACAGGCATGAGCCACCACGCCCAGCCTTTTCTAGCTTGTCTATCATCCATCACTATAACTACTCCTTCCCTCTGTCTCCTCCCATTGTGCTTGCCTGGCAAAGCCCTACTCCACATAAATTCAACCATTTGCTTTCCGAGTGCTTTTGCTACAGCAAAATCACAATACCAGGCAGGTTATCTTCACTCATGTTCATGATCCTAACCTCAAACGGACTGTCAATACTGCTGGGTAATTCCTACTACGTTTCCCCATTAAGTTTGCTTTTCCACTCTCAAGAAGAATTTTTTCCCTAGGCTCTCTCTGCAAAACCTCTACCCCTCTCATCTTAGCTGATGACCTAGCCACCATGTTACTAAGGAAATAGAAGCAATAGGAAATACCCTGTCATTCCTACCACAGCCTACAAACCCATCTGCATCTCCGCCTACTTACATCTGTCTCCTCCTAGTGCTCTGAGAAGTGGATGTCCCTTTGCTAAAGACTAGCCAATCCTGGCCAGGCACAGTGGCTCACACCTATAATCCCAGGAGTTTGGGAGGCCAAGGCAGGCAGATTGCTTGAGCCCAGGAGTTTGAGACCAGCCTGGGCAATGTAAAGAGACCCCCATCTCTACAAAAAAATGTAAAAAATTAGCCAGGCGTGCTGATACACCCCTGTAGTCCCAGCTACTTGGGAGGCTGAGGTAGGAGGATAGCTTGGGCCCAGGAGGTTGAGGCTACAGTGAGCTGTGATCATGCCACTGCACTCCAGCCTGGATGACCCTGTCTATAAAAAAAAAAAAAAAAAAAAAAAAAAAAAAAAAAAAAACTAGCCAATAAAAACTAGCCAATCCCACGGCAAAACCTATGGAACTTCCTCTCTCCCATCTTCAAGGACCTAGTTCCTAAAATCTAAATCTCCCCCTTCAGCACACAAACATGCTCTCTAGTCTTTAAAAAATAGTAACACAGGCTGGGTGCAGTGGCTCACGCCTGTAATCCCAGCACTTTGGGAGGCCGAGGCGGGCAGATCACAAGATCAGGAGTTCAAGACCAACCTGACCAATATAGTGAAACCCCGCCTCTACTAAAAATACAATAATTAGCCAGGCATGGTGGCACACACCTGTAGTCCCAGCTACTCAGGAGGCTGAGGCAAGAGACTCACTTGAACCCAGGAGGTGGAGGTTGCAGTGAGCCAAGATTGCTCCACTGCATCCCAGCCTGGGCGACAGAGCGAGACTCTGTCTCAAAAAAAAAAAAAAAAAAAAAAGTAACATAGTCACTCTGGAAAACAGTTTGGCATTTTCTTAAAAAACTAAACATGCAGCTACCACATGACCAAGAAATTGCATGCCTGGGCATTTATCCCAGAGAAATGAAGACTTATGTTCACACAAAAACCGGTACATATATGTTCATAGCAGCTTTATCCATAATAATAGCAAAAACTTAAAATTAGCTCAGGTATCCTTCAGTAGGTGAATGGTTAAAGAAACCATGGTGCATCCACACCATGGAATATTGCTCAGCAACAAACAGGAATGAACTATCAACACACAGCAACTTGGATGACTCTCCAAGGAATTATGCTGGTTATTTGTTGTTGTTTTGAGACAGGGTCTCACTCTGTGGCCCAGACTGGCATGTAGTGGCATGATCACAGTTCACTGCAGCCTCACCTCTAACTTCCAATCTCAAGTGATCCTCCCACCTCAGCCTCACAAGTAGCTGGGACTATAAGTGTGCACCACATCAGGCTAATTTTTTTATTTTTTGTAGAGATGGGATCTCACTATGTTGCCCAGGCTGGTCTGAAACTCCTGGAATCAAGCAATCCTCCTGCCGCATCCTCCCAAAGTGCTGGGATTACAGACATGAGCCAACGAGCCTGGCCCTGATTTTAAAAAGGTTACATACTGTATGATTCTATTTATATAACAGCTTGTTTTTTTGTTTTTGTTTTTTGAGACACAGTCTCGCGCTGTAGCCCATGCTGGAGTGCAGTGGCGCAATCTCGGCTCACTGCAAGCTCTGCCTCCTGGGTTCATGCCATTCTCCTGCCTCAGCCTCCCTCCCAAGTAGCTGGGACTACAGGTGCCCGCTACCACGCCTGGCTAATCTTTTGTATTTTTAGTAGAGACGGGGTTTCACCGTGTTAGCCAGGATGGTCTCGATCTCCTGACCTCGTGATCCGCCCACCTCAGCCTCCCAAAGTGCTGGGATTACAGGCGGGAGTCACCACGCCCAGCCTGGTTTTTTTGTTTTTTGAGACAGGGTCTCGTTCTGTCACCCACGTTGGAGTGCAGTGGCACAATCTCGTCCACTGCAGCCTTCGCCTCCTGGGTTCAAGCAATTCTCCTGCCTCAGCCTCCTGAGTAGCTGTGATTACAGGTGTGTACCACCATGACTGGCTAATTTTTTTATTTTTAGGAGAGACGGGGTTTCACCATGTTGGCCAGGCTGGTCTTGAACTTCTGGCCTCAGATGATTCACCTGCCTCGGGCTTCCAAAGTGCTGGGATTACAGGTGTGAGCCACCGCACCCGGCCTTATATAACGGTTTTTGAAATGACAAAATTTTCGACCGGGCATGGTAGCTCACGCCTATAATCCTAGCACTGTGGGAGGCCGAGATGGGCAGATCACCTGAGGCCAGGAGTTTGAGACCAGCCTGGTCAATATGGCAAAACCCCATCTCTACCAAAAATTTAAAAAAATCAGTCACTGTGGTGGTGGGCACCTATAATCTCAGTTACTCGGAAGGCTGAGGCAGGAGAATCTCTTGAACCCGGAAGGCGTAGGTTGCAGTGAGCCAAGATTGCTCCATTGCTTCCAGCCTGGACAACAAAAGCGAAATTCCATCCCCCCAAAAAAAAAAGAGAGAGATAACAAAATTTTCAAAATGAAGGTTGCCAGGAGTTTGGAATGGGGCCTGGGAGGAGTCAGGAGGGAAACACGTGTGGATATCAAAGGGCAACCCTGAGGGATCTTTGTGGTATTGGAACTGTTCAGCAGTGGAGGATATACGAACCTACATGTGTGATGAAATTGTATTGAACTACACACCCATACACACACACACACACACACACACTCACACACTAGTACAAATAAAACTGGGGACATCTGAGTAAGTTTGGTGGATTTTATCAATGTCGATATCCTGGTTATGATACTGTGCGATAGTTTTGTAGAATGCTACCACTGGGGTAACTGGGAAAAGTGTGTAAGGGATCTCTCACTATTACTTCTTATTGCATGTAAGTCTACAATTACCTCAATAAAGCGTTTTTTTGTTTTTTTTTTTTTGAGACGGAGTCTCACTCTGTCACCCAGGCTGGAGTGCAGTGGTGCAATCTCGGCTCACGGCAAGCTCCGCCTACCGGGTTCATGCCATTCTCCTGCCTCAGCCTCCCGAGTAGCTGGGACTACAGGCGCCCGCCACCATGCCCGGCTAATTTTTTTGTATTTTTAGTGGAGATGGTCTCGATCTCCTGACCTCGTGATCCGCCTGCCTTGGCCTCCCAAAGTGCTGGGATTACAGGCGTGAGCCACCGTGCCCAGCCTTTTTTTCTCTTTTTGAGATAGAGTCTTGCTGTGCTGCCCATGCTGGAGTGCAGTGGCACCGTCTTGGCTCACTGCAACCTCTGCCTCCCGAGTTCAAGCAATTCTTGTGCCTCAGCCTCCTGGGTAGCTGGGATTACAGGTGTACGCCACTACACCCAACTACTTTTTTTTTTTTTTTTTTTTTGAGACAGTTTTGCCCTTGTTGCCCAGGCTAGAGTGCAATGGCGTGATCTCGGCTCACTGCAACCTCCACCCCCCAGGTTCAAGCAATTATCCTGCCTCACCCTCCCGAGTAGCTGTGATTACAGGCATGCACCATCACTCCTGGCTAATTTTTGTATTTTTAGTAGAGACAGGGTTTTACTACGTTGGCCAGGCTGGTCTCGAACTCTGGATCTCAGGTGATCTGCCCGCCTCGGCCTCCCAAAATGCTGGGATTACAGGCATGAGCCACTGCGCCCTGCCAATTTTTGTATTTTTAGTGGAGATGGGGTTTCACCATGATGACCAGTCTATATAGGTTTTGTTTTTGTTTTTGTTTTTTTGAGACAGAGTCTCTGTCGCCCAGACTGGAGTACAGTGGCTCAATCTCGGCTCACTGCAAGTTCCACCTCCTGGGTTCACGCCATTCTCCTGCCTCAGCCTCCCGAGTAGCTGGGACTACAGGTGCCTGCCACCATGCTCAGCTAATTTTTTGTATTTTTTTTATTATATTGTATTTTTTTGTATATATTGTATTTTTTTGTATTAGCCAGGATGGTCTCAATCTTCTGACCTCATGATCCACCTGCCTCAGCATCCCAAAGTGCTTGGATTACAGGCGTGAGCCACTGCACCCGGCCTGTAGTTTTTTTTTTTTTTTTTTGAGATGGAGTCTCACTCTGTCGTCCCGGCTGGAGTGCAGTGGCGTGATCTCGGCTCACTGCAAGCTCCGCCTCCCAGGTTCACGCCATTCTCCTGCCTCAGCCTCCTGAGTAGCTGGGACTACAAGTGCCCGCCACCATGCCCGGCTAATTTTTTGTATTTTTAGTAGAGACGGGATTTCACCATGTTAGCCAAGATGGTTTCGATCTCTTGACCTCGTGATCCACCCACCTCAGCCTCCCAAAGTGCTGGGATTACAGGTGTGAGCCACCGGGCCCAGCCAGTTTTTTTAACTAAACATTTTATTGGCGGGACGTGGTGGCTCACGCCTGTAATCTCAGCACTTTGGGAGGCCAAGGCGGGTGGATCACTTGAGGCCAGGAGTTTGAGACTAGCCTGGCCAACATGGTGAAATCCTGAGTCCACCAAAAATTAGCCAGGCGTGATGGCATGTACCTGTAGTCCCAGCTACTTGAGAGGCTGAGGTGGGAAAATCACTTGACCCTGGAAGATGGAGGTTGCAGTGAGCTGAGATCAACACCACTGCACTCCAGCCTCGGTGACAGAGCAAGACATGTGTATATATATACACACGTATATATATATATACACGTATATATATACACACGTATATATATACACACGTATATATGTACACGTATATATATACACACGTATATATATACACGTATATATATACACACGTATATATATATACACGTATATATATACACGTATATATATATATACACGTGTGTGTGTGTGTGTGTGTGTGTGTGTGTATATATATATATATATATATATGATGTGCTAAGTTGGCATGTAGGTAAAAACCATACATATAAATGTAATAAAATGTATTAAAAAATGTGAGCTGAGCCCAGAAGCTTACTTCTGTAATCCTAACACTTTGGGAGGCCAAGGCAGGAGGATCACTTGAGCCCAGGAGTTCAAGACTAGCCTGGGCAACATAGTGAGAACTTGTCTCTACAAAAAACAAAATTAGCCCAGCCGCAGTGGCTCACACCTATAATCCCAGCACTTTGGGAGGCTGAGGTGGGCGGATCACTTGAGGCCAGAAGTTTGAGACCTCCACCTCTCCTAAAAATACAAACATTAGCCAGGCGTGGTGGTGCACACCTGTGGTCCCAGCTACTCGGGAGACTGAGGCAGGAGACTCTCTTGAACCCAGGAGGTGAAGGTTGCAGTGAGCTGCGATCGCGCCACTGCACTCCAGCCTGGGCAACGGACTGAGGCTCAGTCTCAAGACAGGAAAAAAAAAAAAAAAGCTGGCCAAGTGTTGTGGTGCATACATGTAGTCCTAGCTATTCAGGAGGCTGAAGTGGGAGGATCATTTGAGCCCAGGAGTTTGAGACCAGACTGGGCAACATAGGGAGAGCCTATCTCTACAAAAAAAGTTAATAATTAGCCAGGCATGGTGGCACACTCCTGTAGTCCCAGCTACTCCCAGGAGGCTGAGGTGGGAGGATCACATAAGCCCGGGAATTTGAGGCTGCAACTGAGCTATGTATGACTGCACCACTGTACTGTAGCAGAGTGAGACATCTGGGCAGCAGAGGGAGACCCTCTCTCTAAAAACAAAACAAAACAAAAAAGCCCTAGAGGATCTAAGCCCTCCTGCCCCTCCAGCCTCATCCTGTGCTCCTCTCTTTGGTGGAGCAACCCTGGCTTCTTCTCAGGGCCTCAAACAGGACCAGCCTCTTACTATTCCCTGACCTGGACCACCCTTCCCCAGATCCTCCTGAGGCGGGGCTGGCTCCCCATCCTCAGAGAGCCCTTGGCAGCATCCCTGTTCCCTGTGTATTCCCTCATGGCATATCTGTAATGCATTCATCTGCTGCTTCCATGTTCATTGTGTGACACTCGTGTTGGACTGAAAGCTCCAGGTGGGTAAGAAGCGAAGAGCCTGGGCCACATGAGGTGCTCAGTGAATACTTTTGTGTATGGCAAAATTCAGTGAAGAAATTTAAAGCATGAAAGCTTACAGCAGAGTTGGAGAGATGTAACTTACATATCTGAAACAAGGCAGAAGCACGAGAAGACAGCAGCATCAGTGCAGAAGTGGGCCGCTCAGCCCGCGAGTGCAGGAGGCGCTGAGAAGAACAGGTGTCAGCTCTCTGCTGAGAACAAAGACAATTCAACGCCACTTTTTCAAGGTGAAAATAGAGCCCAAAGCCCTGAAAAAGGAAATTAAAAATAAAGGTTCTCTGAGGCCCAAGCAAGATCAGGATGTCAAGAGCCTGGCATTTTTCTTCTGCTCCCTCCCAAAGCTGCCTTTCAACATTGCACGGTGTTCCTTAAGGACATCACCAAAGAGTCAGAAAACCTGCGAGTCCTGGTTCTCCCCCTTTTCCTGGCTGCTGATCCTGGCAAGGCACATGTGCTCTTTGTACCTCTGTTTCTCAGCTAAAATTTGAGGTTGGGAGTAGACTCTTAGGGTTCTTTTCCGCGATAAAGACTTTTCCAAGTGGTCACTTGAGCCACCTCATAAGGTCTAGCTTGGATCCCACTACCAACCCTTGAGTCAGGATCATGGTTGGGGGCGGAGGGAGGAACTGGCTTCTAGAGGCAGCAAAAGACTTGTGAGGAGCCCTGCCCCTTGGCTCACAGGGCAGGAAGCGCCTGGCGGAAGGTGAAGCAGTTGAAAGCACTAGAGCTGGAAGTGAGTGAGGGGTAGTCCTGCCTGGGGCGTAGGGTTCCGGTCCCAGGCAAAACATTATTTTAGACCAACAGGAAAAACAAAAGTAATGGTTCCCACCAACTTCCCAGCTCCAGGAAGCTGGGCATGACTAGTGATTTTTTTTTCTGTTCCTCTAGCCTGTGAGCATTTCCACTCGTCTGCCAAGGCAGAGACAGCCCCATCCAGAAGCAAGAATGAGACCTCGGGGCCCTGGCGCCCTTGAGCCAACCCCATCTCTGTTCTCACAACTTGCCTTGCCTGACCTCTGGAGAAAAACTTCAGAAAATATCACCCTTTCTTCCCACCTGCTCCCGCTGGCCAAAATCCCCATCAAAGCCTGGCTTCAGCCCCTCAGACTGGGAACTCTATCCAAATGGAGTGTGGGGAGTGTGGGTGAGGAAGGACGGAAGGAAGTAGGTCACACGCTGGCTACCGCACAACGGGGAAGAGGCCAACCTCGGAAAGGCAGAAGAGTGGCCGCCATGCCGAGCTTCCAGAGATGGAGAGAAGGTCTAGGAAGCCACCTTGGGGAAGCCGCCTGAGCAGGAGCGGGGCAGCCAGGGATCAGAGCCCACGGCCTGCTGGGGACCCATCCTGGGCACGGGGCTCTGGGCTCTGTGCCCATTCTCTGATGTGCCACATTGTTCTGCTACTTCCTTCTCTGGAAGTAATAAGGGGGTTGGGGGTGGGACAGCACGGCCAGGAGTAGATGGAGCGGGGTGGAGCTGCCAGTGGGGGAGGAGGCTGCGGTTCATTCCCACGACCAGCTGCCCTTCTGGCCGCCCTGGGACTGCGTGGGAAAAGGTCTGGGAAGTATGGGGGATGGTGTGTGTGTGTGTGTGTGTGTGTGTGTGTGTGTGTGTGTGTGTTTTCATGTGTCTGACTCCCTTGCTTGGCTTCAGTCACAGGACAAAGCCCTTTGAGAAACAGTCACCAACCTGTGTTCCCACTGGGCTCTGTCCTGGGAGAGGCACAAGAACCCGCCCTGACGCCTGAGAGAAAGACTCTGAAGGCCTCAGGACCAAATCCCTGGAGGGGTCTTGGCGTCTAATGAATCTAGATTGACTGACTTCCCTGGGATGCTTCTGGAACCTTCTGCTAAGCCCTCAGCTTCTTGGCAGAGCTCTATTACTAACTGGATATCAGAATATGGGTGCAAACTAGACATGGGGAGTGAAGTCAGCCATTCTCACAGCATCTACCTAAGAAGGCCAGGATCCTCCACAGCCACGTAGATCGTAGAGCCAGTGGCATGCCGGGGATGATATACAAAGACAAGAAACTCTGAAACAGAGAACACAAACTAACAGCCCATAGGCCAAATGCAGCCCGCAGGCACATGGCTTATTTGGCCAACACAGCATTTAAGAAATGTTTGAGCCGAGGCTGGGTGAGGTGGCTCAGGCCTATAATCCCAGTACTTTGGGAGGCCGAGGCAGGTGGATCACCTGAGGTCAGGAGTTCAAGACCAGCCTGGCCAACATGACAAAACCCCGTCTCTACTAAAAATACAAGAATTAGCCAGGTGTGGTGGTCCATGCCTGCAGTCCCAGCTACCCAGCTGCTTGGGGGGCTGAGGCAGGAGAATCGCTTGAACCTGGGGGGCGGAGGTTGCCGTGAGCTGAGATCACACCACTGCACTCCAGCCTGGGCGACAGAGCGAAACTCCGTCTCAAAAAAAAAAAAAAAAAAAAAATCCCAATTTCTACAGTCTCTTGAAAAATCAGACGATATGGCTAACATTGATGCATATGGCCCCAGGACCACAGCTGATGGGGCTGAATAATGACCACCCTTTAGAAAGACCTTGGACTGTCCATTTTGCCACTGTCCACACCACTCTGTATTGTCTCCAGCAGTGAGGCCGAGTATGAGTTGCTGTTGCTCATCACACTTGAATGGTTATTACACTGTTTTCTGTACCCTCGTCTCATTCAAAAGTGGGGATATGGCCAGGTGTGGTGGCTCACGCCTGTAATCCCAGCACTTCGGGAGGCCGAGGCAGGTGGATCACTTGAGCCCAGGAGTTTAAGACCAAACTGGGCAACATGGAGAAACCCCATCTCTACTAAAAAAAAAAAAAAAAAAAAGTGGGGACACGAAAGAAACTAAGAGGGCCACTGTTTGTAGCGAGCACATTTCTACCCCAGCCAGGCCTATCTATAAGCAAATAAAGATGGGATTTCATGTCCTCCCATCAGCTTTTCTGCACCCTCCCTTCTACCTTCCAGTGGCACAGTGCTTAATGACAGCTGCTGACAATACAGTGTCACAGGCCTTGCGCCAAAATTACCCCCAACTCCTTCCCTCACTCCCAAATCACAACTCTTATTATCTAAGTGAGCAACCCCAGTTGCAAAACACAAAGGAGTAATAAGTCCTGTAGAAATTCTCAGCTCCACCCCAGCCCCTGGTTGCCAATGACCCTGTGAAGAAGCTAAAACTCCTTAGCTCGGACATTCTGTCACAGAGAGACCTGCAGCATGTGCCAGATGAACTTGCATCAACTGAAAACCAAGGTCACCTCTGGAGACCAGAAATGGAAGTGACAGTCCCAGGCCTATTCATAAAGCTTCAGTTTTTTACAAGGAGATTGTAATCATGCAAAACTTGCGTAATTAAAATTAATAATAAACAGAAATGCCTCAGCCTAGTTCCTGTGAGTCTGACCCCAACTTACATTTCCAGGTTTTTTTTTTTTTTTTTTTTGAGACGGAGTCTCACTCTTGTCACCCAGGCTGCAAGCTCCGCCTCCCGAGTTCACACCATTCTCCTGCCTCAGCCTCCTGAGTAGCTGGGACTACAGGCACCTGCCACCACGCCCAGCTAATTTTTTTTTTTTTTTTTTTTTTTTGTATTTTTAGTAGAGACAGGGTTTCACTGTGTTAGGCAGGATGGTCTCGATCTCCTGACCTCGTGATCCACCTGCCTCGGCCTCCCAAAGTGCTGGGATTACAGGCGTGAGCCACCACGCCTGGCCTTTTTTTTTTTTTTTTTTAAGACATGGTCTCACTCCAGTGCCCAGGCTGGAGTGCAATAGCGTGATCTCAGCTCACTGCAACCTCCACCTCCTGGGCTCAGGTGATACACCCTGCCTTAGCCTCCTGAGTAGCTGGGACTACAGGTACATGCCACCATGCCCAGCTACTTTTTGTATTTTTTGTAGAGATAGGGTATCTCTCTGTTGCCCAGGATGGATACATTTCCAGTTTATCTCAGATTACTCCCTTCCATGAACAAGTCCACTCACAGAACCCTCTTTCTCCTACAAAGAACGTCTTTCTCCTCCTCCTTTGTCAAGCAACCTCTAGCTCATCTCTCAAGACTGTAGTCTTTCAATAATTTAGCTCATGCATACCCTAAACATTTTTAAAAATTATGTACCCCTTCAATAAAGCTTGTTTTAAAAGTGAAGTTTTTAGGCTGGGCATGGTGGCTCACGCCTGTAATCCCAGCACTTTGGGAGGCCGAGGTGGGTGGATCACCTGAGGTCAGGAGTTCAAGACCAGCCTGGACAACATGGTGAAACCCCGTCTCTACTATAAATACAAAAATTAGCCGGGCGTGGTGGCAGGTGCCTGTAATCCCAGCTACTCGGGAGGGTGAGGCCAAAGAATCGCTTGAACCCAGGAGGCGGAGGTTGCAGTGAGTAGGGATCACACCATTGCACTCCAACCTGGGAGACAAGAGCAAAACTCTGTCTCAAAAAAAAAAAAAAAGGGGAAATTTTAAAATTTGATTTAAAAAAAATTTTAACCATGTTTAAATAGTTGCAAAAGGCTGGGCACAGTGGGACATATCTGTAATCCAAGCACTTTGGGAGGCTATGGTGGGAGGATTGCTTGAGGCCAGGTGCTCAAGGTTACAGTGAATAATGATCATACCACTGCATTCCAGCCTGAGTGATAGACTGAGACCCTGTCTCTACAAAAAAATATAAAAACAGTTTCGAAGGATGTGATTTCTTTGCAATTTTTTTTTGTATTAGAAATATTGAAGCTGGACACAGTGACTCATGCCTGTAATCCCAGCACTATGGGAGGCCGAGGCAGTGGGCAGATTGCTTGAGGCCAGGAGTTTGAGTCCAGCCTGGCCAACAAAGCAAAACCCCATCTCTACTAAAAGTACAAAAATTAGCCGGGCATGGTGATGCGTACCTGTAATCCCAACAACTCAGGAGGCTGAGGCATTAGAATTGCTTGAACCTCGGAGGCAGAGATTGCAGTGAGTTGAGATCAACCCAGTGCACTCCAGCCTGGGTGACAGAGTGAGACTCTGTCTCAAAAAAAAGAAAGAAAAAGAGGCCAGGTGCAGTGGCTCACGCCTGTAATCCCAGCGCTTTGAGAGGCAGAGGCGGGCGGATCACTTGAGGTCAGGAGTTTGAGACCAGCCTGGCCAACATGGTGAAACCCTGTCTCTACTAAAAATACAAAAAATAGCCAGGCGTGGTGGCGTGTGCATGTAATCCCAGCTGCTTGGGAGGCTGAGGCAAGAGAATCGCTTGAACCCAGGTGTCGGAAGTTGCAGTGAGCCAAGATCATGCCACTGCACTCTAGCCTGGGCGACAGAGTGAGACTCCCTCTCAAAAAAAAAAAAAAAAGAAAGAAAGAAAAAAAGAAAAAGTAAGCTGTTCTTTAGCACAGGAAATTTTACATCACTCCTTTTTCTCCTTGAACTTGTATTTTCTTTTTACTTCTCTCACATAATGCTTTCCTAATACAATATGTACTTTATCCCTTTTTTTTTTTTTTTTTTTTTTTTGAGATGCAGTCTTGCTGTGTTGCCCAGCCCAGGCTGGAGTGCAATGGCACAATCTCAGCTTACAGCAATCTCCGCCTCCCGGGTTCAAGCGATTCTCCAGCCTCAGCCTCCCCAGTAGCTGGGATTATAGGTGCCTGCCACCACGCCCAGCTAATTTTTGAATTTTGAGCAGAGACAGGGTTTCACCATGTTGGCCAGGCAGATCTTGAACACCTGACCTCAGGTGATCCACCCACCTCAGCCTCCCAAAGTGCTGGGATTATAGGCGTGAGCCACTGCGCCCAGCATTTTTTTTTTCCCCCAAGATGGAGTTTCACTCTTGTTGCCCAGACTGGAGTGCAGTGGCGCGATATCAGCTCACCGCAAGCTCTGCCTCCCGGGTTCCAGCGATTCTCCTGCCTCAGCCTCCCGAGTAGCTGGGATTATAGGCATGCACCACCACGCCCAGCTAATTTTTGTATTATTAGTAGAGACAGGGTTTCTCCATGTTGGTCAGGCTAGTCTCAAACTCCTGACCTCAGGTGATCCACCCACCTCAGACTCCCAAAGTGCTAGCTAGGATTACAGGCGTGAGCAACTGCACCCGGCCAAGAATTCTTAAATATAAGACACAAAATTGTATAGGAAATACAACTTATATTGAGAGAGATGTTCTCATGCTAGAGTGAGACAGTGATAAGCATCAATGTTTTTGTTGGCTGGTTGGTTGTTTTTCTGAGACAGAGTCTTGCTCTGTTGCCTAGGCTGGAGTGCAGTGGTGCAAATGTGGTTCACTGCAGCCTCGACCTCTTGGGCTCAGGCAGTCTCCTGCCTCAGCCTCCCACGTACATGGGAATACAGGTGTGCATGACCATGCTCAACTAATTTTTTGTAGAGACAGGGACTCACTTTGTTGCCCAGGCTGGTCTCCTGGGCTCAAGCCTTGGCCTCTCAAAGTGCTGGGATTACAGGTATGAGCCATTATGCTTAGGCTGTGTTTTCGTTGTTATTGTTGTCTTTTTTTTTTTTTTTTTTTTTTGAGACAGTCTGACTGTGTTGCCCAGGCTGGAGTGCAGTAGCTATTCACAGGCATGATCGTAGTTCACTGCAGCCTCAAACTTCTAGGCTCAAGTGATCCTCCTGCCTCAGTCTCCTGAGTAGCTGGGACTACAGGTACATACCGCCACACCTGGCTAGGCTCAATTTTATTTCAACGTTTCAATCTCACACATGGTAATGCTGAGGTATCTTATTCACATAAGTACCTGGGAAAGGAAGAAGTTCTAGCAGAGTCACTCAATACCACCTAATCATCAAGCAGATGACAACAAAATTTGTTTCAGGTCCTTCCATTCAAAAGCAAAATATTGGGAAAGCTTTAGTTTGTAGAAAGGATCTATAATACAGTCATTTGAGTCATTCACTTTCTCAATATTGAAATCACTATTTCAAACTGTTTCTGTTTGAATTCCCAGAGATTTTTACACATCAAGACAATATACCAAATACCAGATCTCCCAACATACCAAACATCAGATCAACCAACAAACCAAATACCAGATCACCAACAAACCAAATACCAGATCTCCCAACATACCAAATACCAGATCACCAACATACCAAATACCAGATCACCAACATACCAAATACCAGATCTCCAACATACCAAATACCAGATCTCCAACATACCAAATACCAGATCTCCAACATACTAAATACCAGATCACCTAGCATACCAAATACCAGATCTCCCAACATACCAAATATCAGATCAACCAACAAACCAAATACCAGATCACCAACAAACCAAATACCAGATCTCCCAACATACCGAATACCAGATCACCAACATACCAAATACCAGATCTCCAACATACCAAATACCAGATCTCCAACATACCAAATACCAGATCACCTAACATACCAAATACCAGCTCTCCCAACATACCAAATACAAGATCTCCCAACATACCAAATACCAGATCTCCAACATACCAAATACCAGATCAACAACATACTAGATCTCCTAAGATCTAGGATGAAGGGCCAGGCATGATGGCTCATGCCTATAATCCTAGCACTTTGGGAGGCTGAGGTAGGTGGATCACTTAAGCCCAGGAGTTTGAGACCAACCGGAGCAACATGGCAAAACCCCATCTCTACTAAAAATACAAAAATTAGCCAGGCACGATGGCTCACACCTGTAATCCCACACTTTGGGAGGCTGAGGCGGGAGGATCACTTCAGGCAAGAGGTCTAAGACCAGCCTGGCCAACATAGCAAAACACCGTCTCTACTAAAAACACAAAAAATTAGGCCAGGTGCGGTGGCTCATGCCTGTAATCCCAGCACTTTGAGAGGTCGAGGCGGGCAGATCACAAGGTCAGGAGTTCCAGAACAGCCTGACCAACATGGTGAAACCCCGTCTCTACTAAAAACACAAAAATTATCTGGGCATGGTGGCTTGCACCTGTAGTCCCAGCTACTCAGGAGGCCGAGGCAGGAGAATCACTTGAACCCAGGAGGCGGAGGTTGCAGTGAGCCGAGATCGAGCCACTGCACTCCAGCCTGGGTGACAGAGCGAGACTATGTCTCAAAAAAAAAAAAAAAAAAAAAAATAGCCAGGTGTGGTGGTGCGCACCTGTAATCCCAACCACTGCACTCCAGCCTGGGCGACAGAGCAAGACTCCATCTCAAAAAAAAAAAAAAAAAAAATTAACCCGGTGTGGTGGCGTGCACCTTAATCCCAGCTACTCGGGAGAGTGAGGGAGAATCACTGGAACCCAGGAGGCAGAGGTTGCAGTGAGCCGAGATCGTGCCACTGCACTTCAGCCTGGGTGACAGAGGGTGACTCTCTCAAAAAAATAAACAAGTAAATAAAAATAAAAATACAAAAATTAGGCAGATGTGATGGCACATGCCTGTAATCCCATCTATTCAGGCAGTTGAGGTGGGAGGATCACTTGAGCCTGAGAGGTCGAGGCTTCAGTGAGCCATGATCTCACCACTGCACTCCAGTCTGGGCAACAGGGTGAGAACTTGTCTCAAAAAAAAAACAAAAAAAAGCCTGTAATCCCAGCACTTTGGGAGGCCGAGGTGGGCAGATCACCTGAGGTCAGGAGTTCGAGACCAGCCTGGCCAACATGTCAAAACTCCTCTCTACTAAAAATACAAAAATTAGCCAGGCGTGGTGGCACATGCCTGTAATCACAGCTACTCAGGAGGCTGAGGCAGGAGCATCACTTGAACCCGGGAGGCGGAGGTTGCAGTGAGCTGAGATCGTGCCATTGCACTCCAGCCCAGGTGACAGAGCAAGACTCCATCTCAGAAAAAAAAAGATATAGGATGGGTGAGACATATATGTCCTTTGTAGCATATCCACTAAATTATGCTATAATAACAACCAACATCAAAATCTATGTTGCTTAAGCCAACAAAGGTTCCTCCCCATCTTCCCCAACACTCTAATGTCCATCACAAGTTGGTTGAGGTTCTGATCCATACCATCATCACTCAGAGATCCAGACTCTACCAGCTAAAATGTCATCAGTCACCATGGCAGAGAGAAGGTAAGAAGGAGAATCACATACTGGCTCGTAAATGCTTCTACCCAGAAGAGACACTTTTGCTCATAGTTCACTGTCCAAAGCAAGTCACACGGCCACGCCTAACTTCTAAAAGGTGGGAAAACACTCGGAGGGAAGAGAACAGAAAAAAGAGAGGGGAAGCACTCATGCTTCCTACATATTTCTTTTGTAAAGTAAGAGAAAAGAAATTGTAAAAACGAAGGGAGGACAGGCAATCTCAGTCATAAATAGTTCTTATTAAAGATGACACTGGGCACAGTGGCTCACACCTGTAATCCCAGCACCTTGGGAGGCTGAGGCAGGAGGATCACTTGAGTCCAGGGGTTTGAGACCAGCCTGGGCAACATAGTGAGACCCTGCCTCTGCAAAAAATGAACAAAATTAGCCAGGTGTGGTGGCACGTGCCTATAGTCCCAGCTACTTGGGAGGCTGAGGTGGGAGAAGTGCCTGAGCCGGGAAAGTCAAGGCTGCAGTGAACCAAAATCAAGCCACTGTACTCCAGCCTGGGTGACAGAGTGAGACTCTGTCGAAAAAAAAAAAAGAAAAAAAAAAAGACTTTTTGGAAATTGATTCCCTTAAACATAAGCCCACCTGCCCTTAGAAAATTCTTTTTGTAGCCAGGCACAGTGGCTCACACCTGTAATCCCAACACTTTGGGAGGCCAAGGAGGGAGCATCACTTGAGACCCGGAGTTCAAGACCAGTCTGGTCAACACGGTGACATCCCGTCTCTACTAAAAATACAAAAATTAAGGCTGGGCAAGGTGGCTCATGCCTGTTATCCCAGCACTTTGGGAGGCCGACGGGGGTGGATCACCTGAGGTCAGGAGTTTGAGACCAGCCTGACCAACATGGTGAAACCCTGTCTCTACTAAAAATACAAAAATAGCCGGGCGTGGTGGCACATGTCTGTAATCTCAGCTACTTGGGAGGCCTGAGGCAGCGAATTGCTTGAACCTGGGAGGCAGAGGTTGCAGTGAGCCGAGATTGCACCACTGCACTCCAGCCTGGGCTACAGAGCAAGACTCCATCTCAAAAAGTAAGTAAATAAATAAAAATTTAAAAATTAAACAAATAAAAATAAAAACAGTGAAAATTCTTTTTGTACCTCTTGGGGTGCAAATACTAGTTTGAAGACCACTACTTCCTTTTTGAAGGCTTCCCTGACCCCTACATCCGGGGACCACTCTCTGACGTTCCCACTGTTGCTATTGTACTATCTACTTGAAAGCTGCTGGGAGCTGGTTATCTTTTTAGATGAGTATCATGTTTTCCTAACAGGCTATATAGTCTCTTTGAGGATGGGAACCCTATCTTCAGGTTTTTTGTATCCCCTACACCATCAAACACGGACACTCAGAAAGTATTTGAGTTCAGTTTGATGGCAGACACTTTTCTCCGCGTGCTTCATCTCCTCATGTATGAAGTTGGAACAGCAAGGCCTACCCTTACAATTACACTGAGATGAAGGAAATAAGAGCCTCTTCAGCTCACTCCCACTCACCTAACTGGGATCAGCATCCCAATACTCCACTTCTGAGAAACTGGATGGTCCAGCTTTATGTAACAAGGAGCTATTGAAGGCTCTTGACAAGGTCTGTAGCGAGTGGGTCTGGGGCAGACCAGCCTGATATCAGTGACTGCTGGGTGGTTGGGGGGCATGAGAGACAGTGTGTGTTGGGGAAAAACAGCTAAGGACAGAAAGTACCGACAGAAAGTTGCTCCTATGGGCCAGGCACAGTGGCTCATGCCTGTAATCCAGTACTTTCAAAGGCTGAGGGCAGGAAGATTGCTTGAACCCAGGAGTTTGGGACCAGCCTGGGCAACACAGTGAGACCCCCATCTCTACAAAAATTTTATTTTAATTAGCTGGTGGTGGTGGCTAGTACCATTGCACTCCAGCCTGGGTGTTTTTCTTTTTTAAAGAAAGAAAGTTGCTCCTATGATCCACAAATGAGGTGATGGGCATCCACTGGGAGGTGTGTCTGGGAATGGTGAGCCACACTGCACCCTCAGGGAGCAACCCTAGCTGCCTTCCTGAACCTCCAAACCTGGATGCCAGACTGAGATCACAACCCCTGCCCGTCCACTAGCCCAAACCAATAGTTTTCGGCATTCTACCCTGCCCTCTGGTGGCCTCTGGGAGCATTGCAGATACAGCGTTCTAAGGAAGCCCAGAGCTGGTTCTTCCTCAGGGGAGATGGGATGGATGTGGGTAAGGGCAACATGCTCAGATAGCCCAGCCTTTGGGCCTGGCTCTTTGATGGCTGAAGCAAAAGAAGGAAATGGCCAAGCGCGGTGGCTCCGGCCTGTAATCCCAGCACTTTGGGAGGCCAAGGGGATCACAAGGTCAGGAAATCGAGACCATCCTGGCTAAACACAGTGAAACCCCGTCTCTAGTAAAAATACAAAAAAATTAGCCGGGTGTGGTGGCGGGCGCCTGTAGTCCCAGCTACTCGGGAGGCTGAGGCAGGACAATGGCGTGAACCCGGGAGACGGAGCTTGCAGTGAGCCGAGATCCTGCCACTGCACTGCCACTGCACTCCAGCCCTCCAGCCTGGGCGACAGAGTGAGACTCCGTCTCCAAAAAAAAAAAAAAAAAAAAAAAAAAAGAAGAAGAAAACAAAGGAGGGAGAGGAAGGGGTCATACCTATGGGTTGGGCGTAACTGTGCACTTGGCAGTTTTTTTCCCTATAGTTACTGCACAGAGTGAAAACTAGGAATCTTTGACCTGAAGTTGCAAAGTAATAAGCACATGGGCCATAGTATAGTGCACGAAATGGCTTTATATGGTTTGTTGTCGGCATCCAAAATCAGGACTTTTCACATTAAAATCTGAATGTCCAGTTTCTGTTGAAAAATCAAAACATGAAGCCACATGGAGTCCCCACCTTGCTGAGCAGCAGCTGGCAGGGGTTGAGGGGCAACCACTGCCCCCTTCTCCTGTCACCCAGTCACCCAGCCTGCCTCCCTCAGTCTCCTCACTTCCTGCAGAGTGCGAGTTTCCAACTCTTGACTAAGTCCAGCACTTCATGATGGAGAACAGGGTCAAAAAATATCAGGACAGGGCCCAACGCAGTGGTTCATGCCTGTAATCCCAGCACTTTCGGAAGCCGAGTTGGGCGGATCACCTGAGGTCAGGATTTCGGGACCAGCCTGGCCAACATGGCAAAACCCCGTCTCTACTGAAAATACAAAAATCAGCCGGGCATGGTGGCATGCATCTGTAATCCCAGCTATGTATGTATTATATATGTATATTATATAGATTATAGATAACATTTTATATATATATATATATCAGGACGGGGGTCCACCAGGCATCTAGTGCTTGAATTGCTTCCCGAGTACCACCACTAAGCATCATCAGCGTATACTCGAAGACCTGCAGGGACAGGAAAGTCACTGCCTGCCTGTAATCCCAGCACTGTGGGAGGACGAGGCAGGCAGATCACTTGAGCCCAGGAGTTTGAGACAAGCCTGGGCACCATAGTGAGACCCTGTCTCTACAAAAAATGTTTAAAAATATTAGCCAGGCATGGCCGGGTGTGGTGGCTCAAGCCTGTAATCCCAGCACTTTGGGAGGCCGAGGTGGGCAGATCACCTGAGATCAGGAGTTTGAGACCAGCCTGACCAACATGGAGAAACCCCATCTCTACTAAAAATACAAAAATCAGCCGGGTGTGATGGCAGGCACCTGTGATCCCAGCTACTCGGGAGGCTGAGGCAGGAGAATCACTTGAACCCGAGAGGCGGAGGTTGCATTGAGCCTAGATTGCACCATTGAACTCAAGCCTGAGCAACAAAAGCGAAACTCCGTCTCAAGAAAAAAGAAAAAAAAAAAATTAGCCAGGCATGGTGGTGCACACCTGTAGTCCCAGCTACTTGGGAGACTGAGGCAGGAGGATCACCTGAGTCCAGGATGGAGGCTGCAGTGAGCTGACTGCACTGCTGCACTCCAGCCTGGGTGACAGAGCAAGACCCTGTCTCAAAAAAAAAAAATGAAGTAGCCATTCCCAGTCATGTGTTAGGTATCACCAAAGGCCCTGGACTGTGCTGGTGAGTGACAATGGCATGACCTATGCCCTGAAAGAACGTCCAGTATGTGCAGGCACCAGCAAGGTTTGCAGACGAGACAGTGCCTGGCAGTGCTGACGACGGAGTGACCCCTGAGTAAAGCGCACTGAGAGAGAACAGCCCAAATTTGAGTTTCCAGGGGGGTCTATCCCCTGGATTTTACCCATTCCAATGGGCAAAATCTCCCAGACATGAGAGAAATTAGGAATGTAATTCCTGAAAATATCAATAGTGGGTTCTCAACTTTGTTACTATGACATCCAGGGGTTTCTTTTCTTATTTTTTGAGACAGAGTCTCACTCTGTTGCCCAGGCTGGAGGGCTGGAGTGCAGTGGCGCGATCTCGGCTCACTGCAAGCTCCGCCTCCTGGGTTCATGCCATTCTTCTGCCTCAGCCTCCCGAGTAGCTGGGACTACAGGCGCCCGCCACCACGCCCGGATAATTTTTTGTATTTTTTTTAGTAGAGACGGGGTTTCACCGTGTTAGCCAGGATGATCTCGATCTCCTGACCTCGTGATCCGCCCACCTCAGCCTCCCAGAGTGCTGGGATTACAGGCATGAGCCACTGCACCCGGCTGACATCCAGGGGTTTAATCAGTGAGATGGAAGCTGACTTGATTTCCTACGATAGTCGGGACACCTGAGTTTTGTGTCAAGCCCGCATAACCAAATGAGCTCCGCACATCTTTCTGCTTCTGAAGGCTGAAGCTTCTCCATCTGTGAACCGAGGCAATTGGATCAAATCTCTCTGGGCCCAATATTCACTTTTGTATCCCCAGTGCCAGCAGAGTGACTACTAGCATGCAAGTATGCACAAATGCAGGAGGTTCTCCATGAGTGTTTGTGTTTGTTAGTGACTAACTGCCTGACTCTGCCTCTGGGAACAGAGGCGCCCATAGAGTCCACAATAAATGACCCCAGGCAAAGGTTAATCTGGAAGAGCAAAAGGGAAAAAGGAAAAAGGTGGGGGCGTGTCCTGAATGCGTGACACTGGCCATCAGCCCTTATGCGGTAGAGAACCATGGAATGAAGTTCTTCTAACCTGTGAAAGTGGCGTCTTGGCACGATTCACCTGGCGGCCGTAGACAGGAGAGATTTCAGACGAGGTTTGTGAGCATCTTCAACCACGAGAGGGCGCCCCAGGATCACACAGTCCCGCCAGCTCCCAAAGGAAGGAGGCTGTGCCAGAGGCACCTGCCTAGTGCTAAGTCTTAGGTGAGCAGAACTTTCTCCTTGGTCACCACTGGGCCAAGACAAGGGGCCTGAGATGTAAATAAAGGTGAGCATAGGAGAAGGAGGGGCCAAAGAGAGAAAGGGACTTGCTGGGGCCACAGAGCATGTCTACAGGTACATCAGGACATGGAACGAGACCCAGGTGGGGTCAGTTTCCCATTACCTTGAAGAGGAAGGCAATGCCCGATCTAGTAGAGAGGAAAAAGCTGCTCTGTAGTACAAGGGAGATGACGGTGGTTAGCAAATGTCTCCAATCACAGGGAAGAAGGGGCCAGAAGCCAGGTGGGGGTGTGTCCTGAATGAGTGACACTGGCCATCAGCCCCTATGCAGTAGAGAACCACGGAATGAAGTTCTTCTAACCGGTGAAAGCGGCGTCTTGGCACGATTCACCTGGCGGCCGTAGACAGGAGAGATTTCAGTGCGTAGGCCCTGGGGAAGCGCATATGAATGGATACTTGGGAGTGTGGCCTTGGGGGAGAACCCTGGGGGAGGCCACTGCTCCAAAAGGAAGTGGCTTTTGCTCCTCCCACCCCTGCCCCTCCCCCCAGCCCCTCTCCCTCCATGTCTTTCTGGAGACACAAGTTAGTTTTTAGGAAGCACACTCCTGCTTTCAGTAATGAGAACCTGGGTCTGGAAAGAGACACAGGCCCATCTGAGAAGCCTCTAATCTAAGAGACCACCTTCAGCAGGGGACAGAGCCTGAGGGTATCCTGCTCTGGAAGCTGCAGTCACCCTGAGGTGGGAGATGAGGCATGTTCCTCTGTGCACAGCTCTTACACCACCCATGCAGTTCTGCGAGGCCAAGCACAGAACCACGATACCATGGGACCCAGAGCAGTACTCTGGACCTGTGGGTAAGGTGGGCAGCAGCCCAGCCTCCGGGGAAAGAGAGGAGCGGAAGTTTAGAACCAATAACCCCCAGCTTTCCCTGCTTGAGTAGCTCCACAGCCCAGACTCCCACACTCCAGGCTGTGCATCACCTGAGAACAGAAACTGTGCCTTATCCTCCATCTCAGCACCAAACACAGGCTCAGCAAAGGGCAGGGGCACAAAAAATGTTTGCTGGAAAGAATGACTGGACAAGAGAGGATGCAAAGGTCAGTCAGCGTGCTCCTTCCCCCTTGAGGGCAGCAGACCAGAGCTCAGGGCTCTGGCTCAGCTCATCATGATCAAACATGACCTTGGCACCTTTCTGAACTTGAACTTCCTGTCCATGGGATGGAAATGATCCTTCGCAAACAGCCTTCCCAGGACAGCTTCGAGGATCAGGGCAGGACTACCTTGTAGCAGCCTATGGACTTAGCTCTTTCCTTCTCTCTTATTCCACTTGGTAATGTTAAGTGATTGAGAACAAACTCAATTCACCTCAATTTGCCCTCACATATTCAAGTGGTTGCAGGGTTTTTCTGTTTGATGGTTTTTATTTTTGTTTTCAGCCTATTTCTTTTTCATTTTTTTTTCTTGTGAGATGGAGTCTTGCTCTGTTGCCCAGGCTAGAGTGCAGTGGCATGATCTCGGCTCACTGCAAACTCCACCTCCTGGGTTCAAGCGATTCTCCTGCCTCAGCCTCCCGAGTAGCTGGAATTACAGGTGCCCACCACCACGCCTGGCTAGTTTTTGTATTTTTTAGTAGAGACGGGGTTTCACCATCTTGGCCAGGCTGGTGTCAAACTTCTGACCTCATGATCCACCCACCTCAGCCTCCCAAAGTGCTAGGATTACAGGCGTGAGCCACCACGCCCAGGCGTTTTCGGCCTATTTCTTAACCAGGCTACTATGTGATGGTTTTTATTATTTATCTATTTATTTTTGAGATGGAGTCTCACTCTCACCCAGGATGGAGTGCAGTGGCATGATCTCGGCTCACTGCAACCTCTGCCTCCCAGTTTCAAGCGATTGTCCTGCCTCCGCCTCCCAAGTAGCTGGGACTACAGACATGTGCCACCGCACCTGGCTAATTTTTGTATTTTTAGTAGAGATGGGGTTTCACCATGTTGGCCAGGCTGGTCTTGAACTCTGACCTCAGGTGATCCGTCCACCTCGGCCTCCCTAAGTGCTGGGATTACAGGGGTGAGCCACCACACCTAGCCATGGTGAAGCCTTTCTAACTCTGGTTTCCATAGCTGTAAAATTAGATGATTGATGGGCATGGTGGCTCACACCTATAATCCCAGCATTTTGGTAGGTTGAGAAGGACAGATTGCTTGAGCTCAGGAGTTCAAGACCAGCTTGGGCAATATGGAGAAACCCCAGCTCCACAAAATATACAAAAACTAGCCAGGTGTGGTGGTGCACGCCTGTAGACCCAGCTACTTGGGAGGCTGAGGTTACAGTGGGCTGAGATCGGGTCACTGCACTCCAGCCTGGGCAGCAGGGTGAGATTCTGTCTGAAAAAAAAAGATAAGTAAAACTTTCCTTTTTTTTTTTTCTTTGAGACTGAGTCTTGCTCTGTTGCCCAGGCTGGAGTGCAGTGGCATGGTCTCAGCTCACTGCAACCTCCGCCTCCCAGGTTCAAGTGATTCTCCTGCCTCAGCCTCCCTAGTATCTGGGATTACAGGTACATGCTACCACACCTGGCTAATTTTTGTATTTTTAGTATAGACAGGGTTTCACCATGTTGGCCAGGCTGGTCTCGAACTCCTGACCTCCAGCAATCCGCCCGCCTTGGCCTCCCAAAGGGCTGGTATTACAGGCGTGAGCCACCACGCCTGGCCAACACCTTTCTTATGTATGTCAGCAGGCTTTTTATGGCAATCATGGGCGATAGCAAACGTATGTATTGTAAACTCTGAAGCAGTGTATGAATACAACTACTGTCAGAACTTTGAAGCCCTAAATGGCTTGATAAAAAGGTTAGAAGTCCACCTATAATCCCAGCACTTTGGGAGGCTGAGGCAGGTGGATCTGAGGTCAGGAGTTCAAGACTAGCCCAGCCAAGATGGCGAAACCCTGTCTCTACTGAAAATACAAAAATCAGCCAGGCATGGTGGCACACACCTATAATCCTAGCTACTCAAGCTCACTGCAACCTCTGCCTCCCAGTTTCAAGCGATTCTCCTACCTCCGCCTCCCAAGTAGCTGGGACTACAGACATGTGCCACCACACCCAGCTGAGGTGGAGGTTGCAGTGAGCTGAGATGATGCCCTGCACTCCAGCCTGGGGAACACAGTGAGATTGTCTCAAAAAAAAAAAAAAAAAAAAAAAGCTACAGTTAGATCCAGTGCCAAAAACTACTAGCTCCAGGGTTTTGTGTGTGTTCTCCTAGATTCCTGGGCCCCACCCTGTCCTTCTTTCACCTTCCTCCCAGGTAGAACATGGGGTTAAAAATCTTTCAATGACTACTGATCCATTGAAAAAACAGTCAAGGAGTACGTCAATTGGAATCGACTCAATTTCACTGCTTCTTAAGGATGAAGGAAATATTATCTTTTTAACATAACTGCAGGCCAAGCGTGGTGGTTCACGCTTGTAATCCCAGCACTTTGGGAGGCTGACGCAGGCAGATCACTTGAGTCCAGGAGTTCGAGACCAGCCTGACCAACATGGCGAACCCCATCTCTACTAAAAATATAAAAAGTAGCCAGGTGTGGTGGTGGGCGCCTGTAATCCCAGCTACTTGGGAAGCTGAGGCAGGGAGAATCGCTTGAACCTGGGAGGTGGAGGTTGCAGTGAGCCAAGATTGCACCACTGTACTCCAGCCTGGGCGACAGAGCGAGACTCCATCTCAAAAAAAAAAAAAAAAAAGGAAAAAAAAAAGATAAGCATAGAAAACATTTAGGGAGTACCTACTATGTGTTAGGCACGTTATTGTGTCATCATTAAAGCTCATAACCTTGTGAGGGAAGGAAACAGAGTCACAAACACACACTCCTTGGCCGGGCGTGGTGGCTCACGCCTGTAATCCCAGCACTTTGGGGGGCCAAGGCGGGCGGATCATGAGGTCAGGAGATGGAGACCATCCTGGCTAACATGGTGAAACCCCATCTCTACTAAAAAACACAAAAAATTAGCTGGGCTTGGTGGCAGGCACCTGTAGTCCCAGCTACTTGGGAGGCTGAGGCAGGAGAATGATGTGAACCTGGAAGGCGGAGCTTGCAGTGAGCAGAGATCGCGCCACCGCACTCCAGCCTGGGCGACAGAGCAAGACTCTGTCTCAAAAAAAAAAAACAGAAACACACACTCCGAGGGAAGGCACAGGCTTTTCTGGGATGAGACAGCCATTCCTGTCTCTTAGGCTCCTCCTACTAAGCTGCTGCATATTCTCTACTACAGGCAGAAATGGAGATACACCATCTTTGTTCTTGCATAAGCTGATAGCCAGATGAATCCTGCACGTCCAACAACCCTAATCACTGGGTTAAAGGCCAGAGACTACACAATGCTAGGCTGAGGCTAGATGGGTCACTGAGGGCTTCTCTTTGTCCTTTAATCAGGGAGTAAGACCCAGTGTCCCAGGGAAAGATGGGGTCATATTTAGATCAAGACAGAAGACAAGAAAGTATGGCATGCCAAGAAGAGGTCTGCAGCCAGCAGCCCTGAGCTGTAACCATGGCTCTAGCACTGCAGGGAGAGGCTTCCAAGCCTGTGGGGTGAGGTGTCTGCTGCCTGCCTGCCCTGTGGGGTGCTGGACTGACTGGAAGACAGAGACACCAGTGGAGCATGCACTGGTCACTGTCTCCATAACAAAAAAGGGCTTGCTTTAGGGCAAACTACTCACCTCTGTGCTTCACCTTCTCCATCTGTGAATGGGAGAGCTGGGTGGACTCAATCCTCAATGCCAATGTCTGACCCTGGTTTCCTGGGGTCATTTGAAGGGCCTCTCAAAAGAACAGATTTAAGGGGATGGCTGGAAGGTCATGAAGATAATGGCCAAGGGCACCTGACCTCCCTCCAAACTCTTGCAGAGGCTCCCGCTCCCTCACCCCAACCAGAGGCCAGGGAACTAGGGGATGATGGTCAAGGAGGTGGGGGACGGGGTATGGAATGGACCAGGAGCACATGCCCCTCTCCTGGCTGCCCTGGAAAGTTGCCAGGGCAGTGATCCCATTCAGCCTTGCTCCCCTTGCTCCTGGAGCCCCTCTTCTGCCTGAGAGAAGGTGTTGGGGTGGGGCCTGCACTCCTGCAGGGCCACCTGGGTGGAGGCTGGCACAGAGGATGTGAGGCAGGGCAGGCCTGCAGCTTGAGTGGGGCGGCTCTGCTCCCTCCTCCTGATACCTTTGCAGGAGGCTTTATCCTCCCATTTTCCACCTTTCCCTTTCTCAGTCCCCTTCCGGCACTTGCCCTACTTCCCTCCTCTGACGGACTTAGCCTGGTTTCTCAGGGATATTTGCCCTCTGACAAAGAACTCAAGATCCAAAGGCTTTATTCCAGACCTCAGGAAATGGAGCTCTGCGGGGCACGTGTGGGCAGGGCAGGGTGGGGCGGAACGGTGGGCAGGAGGGAGGCCTGGATCACCCCCCAACCCCCGCTCCCACCCCTGTCCCAGAACTCTGGACCCCATGCGGCCTGCACTCTTACCTTGTACTGATCCCCAGGGACGCATCATGTCAGGCCACACAGCCTGGAACCTAGGAACCTGCCTGGGAAAGCTCCAAGATAAGTCACATCCCTTAAAAACGCTGGCCAGGGCTGGGCATGGTGGCTCATGCCTGTAATCCCAACACTTTGGGAGGCCGAGGCAAGAGGATCACTTGAGCCCAGGAGTTCGAGACCAGCCTGGCCAACATGATGAAACCCCCGGGTCTCTACAAAAAATACAAAAATTAACCAGGCATGGTGGTGTGTGCCTGTGGTCCCAGCTACTACTCTGGAGGCTAAGGTGGGAGGTTTAACTGAGCCCAGAAGGCAGAGGTTGCAGTGAACCATGATCACACCACCGTACTCCAGCGTGGGTAACAGAGAGACCCTGTCTCCAAAAAAAAAAAAAAGAAAAAGAAAAATGCTGGCTAGGCAGCAGCACCCAACGATGGTTCAGTCAGGGTGACAAGCACCATCTCTGTTGCGAGAAGAGCTGGCTCTGGCCAGGGCAGGGGGGCATCAGGGGCTTCCCAGTGGCTCACAAGCATCTGTTTAGTACTGGCCTCACTTGTGTGCTTGCAGGGAGGGGATTACATGGAAAGACAGCCTCTCCTGCCAACGAGGGGATTTCATCGCTGCTGGGAAGGGACCTCACACCAAAAGAACCCTGGTGGAGGCTGGGCATGGTGGCTCACGCCTGTAATCCCAGCACTTTGGGAGGCCAAGGCAGGCGGATCGTGAGGCCAGGAGTTCAAGACCAGCCTAGCCAACATGGTGAAACCCCATCTCTACTAAAAATACAAAAATTAGCCCAGTGTGCTGGTGCATGCCTGTAATCCCAGCTACTTGGAAGGCTGAGGCAGGAGCATGGCTTGAACCCAGGAGGCAGAGGTTGCAGTGAGCCGAAATCAGGCCACTGCACTCCAGCCTGGGCGACAGTGAGACTCATCTGTGGGTGGGAGAAGTGGGGGAAAGAATGCTGGTGGTTCCCAGATGCCTAACTCCCTTTCAGAAGGGAAGGAACACTTTCAACTGTGATCAGGACTCAACACCTCTGGGGATAACGAGCTGCTTTCTGGAAAGAGAGCAGGACAGGGAATCAGGACACAGGTGCTTCTGACCCCAGCCAGGAAGCCCTGATCTACTGAAGGCTCCTTAACCCAAGTTCAGTCTAAACATGACTGCTCACTAAGGCCTTTCTGCAGAGGCCCTACACTGAGAAAAGCCCCCAGTCCAGCTGAGAGTGCCCTCTGGAATGGCTGCAGGGCTCCTCCTTCCCCGGCTCCTCCTCCACTCAGACCCAGGCCTGGGCCCTGCTCGCTAAAGCGTGAAGGAGGCCCCCCAGGGAAGCCGCAGGCGCAGGGGCTTTAAATTATAGAGCAGCTTTCTTAGCCCCTCTCAGAAAGGCCCAGGCACCTTCGCTAAATAATTCACGACCTCAGGAAGACCCACTGGTTCTTGACACAGATGAAGTAGGTCAGCCCTCGGCTTGGCCCTGGGTGGGGGCCATAGGACACAGAGCAGCTTTCCCACCAGCACAGGCAGGGGCTGAAGGCTGGGCGGCCTTGCCAGCTGGTCCGATACTGCAGCGAGGCAAGGGGCACAGCGCGGGAGACGAGTAACCCCGGACTCCTCTGGGCACGAACACAGCCACCCTCTGAGGTCCAGGTAACTCGCCCACAGACACCCAGGGTTACCTGCAGGGCCTGGTCCTGGCCAGGCTCCTCCTCCTCCTCCCTCAGAGCACCTGGGTCGCCAGCTGACGCATTCACCAGCACTGACATCTTAGACCCAAGCCGACCTGTGCAGGACTGGGATTCAGGAGACGGGGTAAGGCGGGGAGCGGTGACCTGAGGTGCAAGTGAGGAAGTGACCAGAGCCAGCCACAGCCACTTTAGTTTTGCTTAGAGCAAGGCTGGAGCAACACCTATTGGGAGGGGGGTTCCGGGGCCTCTGCTGTCCTCCCTTTCCAGGCACGGCTTTGGGTCTGAGGTGCGGTGCGGTGCAGAGCAGCTCTCCCAGGAGTGGATGAAAAAACAAACAGTTAAACCCTGAGTTCAGCACACCAGCCCTCCAGTAAGAGTCTGAAAGGATTTCAAGCAACCTCTTCACAGACAAGGAACCCGAGACCCCAAGTCACAAAAGGTAAGACTGAGGGTCATGACGGGCATCCTGACACCTGGCCCAGGCCAGCCTGGGCTCTTGGCACTGCACAGCTTCCCTGAGCCTCACACCCATTTGCTCCCGCTCCAGGAATCAGAGTTGCAGCCCATAGACTACAGGGTGGATGAGGTTAACCCCTTCTGGGCAAGATTCCAGGTCCTAGCCTTCCCTCCAGCACAGCCTCACAAGAGGCACGCCAAGGACAGACACCACCTGGCAGAGCCCAACAGCCCAAACCTCAGTCCTCTTTTACCAGAGCGAGACTCAAAAAGACCACAGGCCGTAAATGGTTAAGCCGAGTATATCACCGCCTTCCCCCAGGAAGGTCCCACCTGGGGGCCTGCTCTTGGTGTAGGGAGTCTCTCCCTACCCTGACAGCCTGGAAACTGAGGAAGTAAAGCCACAACTGCCAGGCCCTTAGGCAAGTCACTTACCCTGGACTTTGTTTCCCCAGCTTACAAACCAGGGAGGCAGGAGAGGCTAAGTGAGCTCCAAGGTCCTCCCCCACCACCTTTACAGTCACAAGCCAGCTGCCAGCGGGCCAGGCCCACTTCACTTCCTTCCCCCGACTCCACATCTCTCTGGCTCTGCCTTCCCAATGGCAGTCTGCGTCCACGGAAGGGGGAAGCAAAGGCCGAGAGCAGTCATTTTGGTTTTGTTTTATTTTGCATTTCATATATTATCCAGTTTCACATTCTCACAGGATCAGCAATGACAACAGCCGCCTCATCTCCCAAGTCTGAAATGGCCAGACGGTCACAGCTGCGGCTGACAGTAAAGCACTGATATGCTCAAAACAAAAAACATTGCACAGTGTTTCCTTCATTTCATTTTCTTAAACAAATGCCAGACACAAAGGCGTACTGCTGAAGAATGGAAACCCTTTTCTTCTTCATGCCTCAAACTAAACATTAAACTTATCTGACAGGGCGAACGAGGTCGCTTTAATAATTAATGGTACGCACATGAAAAATCCTTTATGATGCATAAATATTTTGTTACACAGGGTACAAAAATACTTCTCACGTTTTGGTTGGTTTCGAGGTTTGGAAAGAATGAGGAGCAGCGGCGGGCGGGGTGCGCTGTGGAGAGGTGAACAGAACGGGCAGAGAGGGCTTTCTTACGACTGTTGGCCCATCCGAGAAGGCAGGAGCGGAGGAGCCCCATGTGAAATGAAAAAGCAAACCCCATCTATCTGTTGGGTGGAGGTGGGAGCTGAGCCTGGAAGCGTGTGGGGCCACGGAACTTGGGCCTCCCTGAAGCGGGGTGGGTGCAGGGGCGGGGCGAGGAGAGAGGGGCAGGCAGGATGAACCACTGGGAGCCAGGACCTGTCGCTATGGTGACAGTGTGAGAACAAACTGTACACTCATATATACAAGTATAAGTGTCTTAATTCATGCCAGAAAACATGCAAAATTAAACACCTCACTTCCTCGAGGGGGAGCTACAGAAGCAAGTTTGGGCGGGAGGTCAGGCCTTGCCAGGTCCCAGTGAGGCCTCCGAGCTGGATCTGGGCGCCCCAGGGAGAAAGTCCCCAAATCCTCCTGGGAGGCATTGGAGAAAGGCTTGAGGGTGCAGAACAAGGTGAGGAAGAGGAGGGAGGGGAACAGGAAGCAGTCCACTGAGTCAGGCTTGGGATTCACAGTCTCTGGAGGGCAGCAGCTCTGTGCAGGCCGCCCGGGGGCAGTGGGAACTCGGGGCGCCTGTCCCGGCACCACCACAGATTACCAGAACCACCTCCCCGGTGACCAGACCTGGAGGGAGGGAGAGAGGCGGCCGTGAGCAGAGGCGTGGGACTAGAGCTAAAGCCAGGCCTGCTCTGGGCTCGGCTAAGCTCTTGAGACCCGGGGCAGAGGGAGGAACTACGGCCCTTCAGGGAGCCGGAGTCTAGGACACTTGTCCTGGGCCTCTGGGGCCAACACTTACTGAAAAACTAACAGAACTGACGGTACTTCCATCCTTGCTGGGTGGTGTCAGAGGAAGGGTACCAGCGCACCTGCAAGAGAAGCCAACGTCAGGAGCCAGCTGTGCATCCCTTCCCTCAACAGGAAGCCAGGTAACCATGGCCATCGGTGTCCCCGCTGGAGTCCTGGTTCTGTCACTGATTGGCTGGCACATTTTGGGCCAGTTACTCACCTTTAAGCATCAGTTTCTCTATCCGGCAAGTGGGAGTGCACTGCCTGATGTGCCTCCTCTGCAGGACACAGGTTCCAGCGAAGGAAAGTCACGCAGGCGTCTCATACCCCAATCAGCCCAATCCAAATGGGCCACTATACTGGTGGGAGCCCTGGCAGCTGGGGGCAGTGGTGCCAGCAACCCGCCCTTCCCCTTTACTGACACAGCACGGAATTCCTAATTCTGTGGAGGAGGAGGAAAAGAATGAGCCTCATACATTTTTGTTTGACTTCTTTGGGTCTCAGTGTTCTCATCTAGCTATAGGACAGAAATGACGAAGTCATATGTGGTTGTGAGGATCAGGTAAGACAGGATGTAAAGATACAGTAAGGCCGGGTGCAGTGGCACACACCTGTAATCCCAACACTTTGGGAAGCTGAGGTGGGAGGATCACATGGGCTCAGGAGTTCAAGACCAGCCTGGGCAACATAGGGAGATAATGTCTCTATTAAAACCAAACAAGGCCGGGCGCAGCGGCTCACGCCTGTAATCCCAGCACTTTCGGAGGCCGAGGTGGGCGGACCACCTGAGGTTCAGAGTTCGAGACCAGCCTGACCAATATGGAGAAACCCCATCTCTACTAAAAATACAAATTAGCCGGGCGTAGTGGTGCATGCCTGTAATCCCAGCTACTCGGGAGGCTGAGGCAAGGAGAATCGCTCGAACCCGGGAGGCGGAGGTTGCAGTGAGTTGAGATCGCGCCATTGCACTCCCGCCTGGGCAACAAGAACAAAACTCCGTCTCCAACAAAAACAAAAACAAAAAACAAAACAAAACCCAAAGTCCGTGTAGACCCCAAGGGGTAGGACTCTCCAACATCAGTCCTGATTCTTCTGAGAAGCCATGGATGAGACCCAGCTGAGGCTCCCGTTTTGACCTTCCCACCCCTGCTGTGCCATGCCCTCCATCACAAGCCTCTAAGTCCAGAGGTCTATAACGTCAGGTGGGCGGCAGCTATCTGAGATCATCCTCACCAGTGCCTGGAAGTTGCCTAAACCCTGGCACTTGCCAGAAGGCCCCACAGAGCAGTAGCCCCAAAGCTGGGTTCCCAGAGACTGGTCAAGAAAATGGCACGTTCCCTCCTCCCTGTGGGCCAGTCATCTGGAAGGCAAGTATGCTGACTGCCAAGACCGCAGGGAAGGCCGCCTGCCCCAGTTATGCACGGTGAAGCATGTCTGTCCCAGCCTGACCCAGGACAGGGAAAGGGGTGTGGCGGGGGGAGCGGGACAACACAGGACCTTGAGTTGCGGTTGGGGGATGAGCATCCAGGGAGGGGAGCTGGAGTCCCCTCAGGAAGGGAAGGGGCAGCACATGAGCGTGTGGCAGGAAAGGAGTAGAAGCTGGGCCTGCAGACAGCTCCCTTGAGGTTGGAGCAGGCAGACCCAGTTACCCACTTGGCTGCTGGGAACTCCTGCTTCCTGGGTAAGCCATGCCAGGCCGTCTGGGGGCTGATGGAAGCTTCCTAAGAACCCGTTCCTATCCCCGCCAAATTCTAGGTGCTGTTTTGTACACTGCAGAATTCCAGCCACCACATCCCAGGAGCTCAGCGGGAAGTTAGAAACCTGGCTGGACACTAGCACTTATTCCACAAGAGAGGGACACACGAGGAAACGAGCAATGCTGCTATCAGAGAAGCCGGCGGCTGGCACCAGCTCAGGGAGCCCCTTAGTGGGCCCTGACCACTGCCCTTCATGTAGCCTCCGGCAGCCCCACAGCAAGGAAATCCCGGACGGGCTGGGTGTCCCGCAGGGCCGGACAAGGGGAGAACATGGACGACAGAATGGAAGGAGCTCAGGAGGCCTGCAACCCAACCTCTTTCACCACTGGGAAGCTAAGGCCTTGAATGACTGCCTAAGGCCGCCCTCAGCATATCTGCTGGATCCTGCCCTACACTCTCGCTACAAGGTGCTGGGATTCCTGCTTCCCAAGCAGCGACTTTCCCTCCAGCCTGAGGGACTCCTTGGGGAGAAAGTGGAGGAAAGCTCCCATATTTGGGCTTGGGACAGCTGTGCCACTGAAGCAGACGGAATGCATTTAGAAGGGCTGCTTTTCCGCTTCCTCCGGGTGCCTGGCATAGGCCAGTGGCCTGGGTCCTCTAGAAGCCACACAATCCCTTCCTAGAGCTCTTCTTTCTGCTCCAGCTACAGGAGACCCCCAGGGGGCCAGGCCAGCAAGACAGGGCACCCGCAGTGTCCTTTCAGGGCCTCCAGTTGTGCCCAGGGGGGGGGGGGCTCCTGAGAGTACCCCCCACAGGCTATAGTGACCAGGTTCCGAGAGGGCTGCTTCAAAACAAAGAGCGGAGGATGCAAACTCAGCCGTCTCTCAGATCCTGGGACTGACCAGTTGAGAAGATACACCAGAAAGCAAGCAACGGGATGAACCTACATAAGAATAAATATAAGGCCAGGTGTGACAGCTCACGCCTGTAATCCCAGCACTCTAGGAGGCAGAGGTGGGCGGATCTCTTGAGCCCAGAAGTTTGAGACCAGCATGGCCACCATTACGAAACCCCGTCTCTGCAAAAAAATACAAAAATTAGCTGGGCGTGGTAGCACACACCTGTAATCCCAGCAATTTGGGAGGCTGAGGCAGGAGGATCGTGCTTGAGCCCAGGAGGCAGAGGTTGCAAAGAGCAAAGGTCATGCCACTGCACTCTAGCCTGGGCAACGGAGTGAGACTCTGTCTCAAAAAAATAAAAATAACTAAAAAAAGAGAAAGGAAAAAAAAAAGATATAAACAACCAAAGATATGGAAGCCTCACTTATCCGAAATTAAAACATTTAACCCAGACTGGTAAGTCTACACTTTCACCGTGTCATAGTTCTAGGAATTTATCATAAAGAAAACAAAACAATGGCTGGGCGCGGTGGCTCATGCCTGTAATCCCAGCACTTTGGGAGGCCGAGGCGGACGGATCACCTGAGGTCGAGAGTTCGAGACCAGCCTGACCAACACGGAGAAACCCCATCTCTACTAAAAATACAAAATCAGCTGGGCGTGGTGGTACATGCCTGTAATCCCAGCTACTAGGGAGGCTGAGGCAGAAGAATCACTTGAACCTGGGAGGCGGAGGTTGAGGTGAGCTAAGATCACACCATTGCACTCCAGCCTGGGCAACAAGAGTGAAACTCTGTCTCAAAAAAAAAAAAAAAGAAAGAAAGAAAACAAAACAGAAGAGGTGCCCAGAAGTACACACAAGGATATCCATTGTTGTATAGCTATCAGTAAGCAAAACTGTATAAACAAACCAATTTACCATCTACAGGGAGCTGGACACATTCGTACAATGGTGTACTAGCCAGGTATCCAAAATGTAGAGCTACACTTACTATTATTTATTTTAAGTCCTAATATTTAAGTTTTTTTGGTTTGTTTTGTTTTTTTTTTTTTTTTTTTTTTTTTTTTTTTTTTGAGACAGAGTCTCGCTCTGTCACCCAGGCTAGAGTGCAGTGGCGCGATCTTGGCTCACTGCAACCTCTGCCTCCTGGGTTCAAGCGATTCTCCTGCCTCAGCCTCCTGAGTAGCTGGGGTTACAGGTGCCCGCCACCACGCCCAGCTAATTTTTGTATTTTTATAGAGACGGGGTTTCACCGTGTTAGCCAGGCTGGTCTTGACCACCTGACCTCAGGTAATCTGCCCACCTCGGCCTCCCAAAGTACTGGGATTACAGGCATGAGCCACTGCGCCTGGCCCTAATATTTAAGTTTTTAAAAGATTAAATATGTATTGCAGTTTTTCTAAGATTCATACCTATAGATTTACTTATACACCTGCTCCAAACTACCTATCGAACTGAAGAATTAAAAGTACAGGTTTTCTGGGGATTGGATGATAAGCCAAAGGGAAGAGAACAAAAACTGCCTGTTTTTTTCCATAAATGCAGATATGCTAATACAATAATAGCTCCTGCTCATGAAGCACCTCCCCTGTGCCCAATGCTGTTCTAGGTAGATTTCATATACTAAGTTCATTTAATCCTCACAAAAACCCTATGAAGTAGATGCTATTATCATCTCCATGATACAGATAAGAAAATAGAGGCACGGGAGTTTATGTAACCTTAAGGTCACTGGTAAATGGGTGAACCAGTTTAAGGGGGAGAAAAAAGCCATGGAAGACCCGCATATCCTCAGGTTGGAACGTAAAATGAAATCCAGTCTGGGAGGACCGTGGGATGCAATAGGACGCTGAGAACCCTTGCTTTTAGGCCACCATCTTTCTATGCTGAACCCCACTGGGCCTGCCATCCACAGTTGCTTTTGTGCCTCACCCTCTTTAAGGGGAAGATTCTATCAAGAGGGTTAGAAGGCCAGGCAAGGTAGCCTCATGCCAAGACAGAGCAGGACCAAACAACCTCCAGGACCCCTCCTGCAGGTCTGGTCTCTGCAGCCACGTAGCTGTGGAGGCCTGGGCTCAGGCTGGGCTACTGGCAAAGGGCATGCAGCTGGGGTAGAGAACAGAGGTACTTGTTCTCATCACCTTGTCCTTCAGCTGCTACCTTCTCCTGAAGTCACCTCCTTGCCCCCAGGCACAGAAAAACTCAGTCCTTCTATTGGTCTTTTGGGTTCAAAACAATTCACTTAAGATCAACAGTGTCCATACTTCATTTAGACACTTTTATACCCTATCTCTGGGGCAGCACTGTCAGGGGGCAAGCAGTGGGGCTGTTGGAAGGAAAAAAATAAAATGTTCTTAGTCGGGAAACAGTAAAACAACCTGTTTTACTATTGAGGAAAGGGCTGCCCAGAGAGTTTGAGTAGCAAGGACAGAACTAATGACTCCCTGGTCTAATCTCTTCCCATTAGCCTGCCTCCCCAAAAACGCCACTATCCTTTGGGGTGGGTGGCCTCTATCCCAGTCCCCGTCCAAGGAAGGCCAGAAGGCAGGAACTCAGGCACAAAGAGGCCTCCAGCCTCAGAGAGGACCCAAGGGAACCCAGACAATAATGATATTAAATAACATCACAACCATCTGCACTTTCACAGCACTCCCTCCATGCCATCACGCGACTCCATGCCATCATGCGAACAACACACCTATCAAGTAGGCATTATCATCACCATTTTACAGAAACACAGAGATGGTGGGTAACGTGCCCAATGTCCCACAGCTGTTGAGAACCAGGATTTGGGCCAGAGTTGGACAGCTGCAGAGTGTGGATGGGGTGGGAGAAAACTGGGAAGGAAGCCAACAGGAGGAAGGAAGCCCTGTGGCGTGGAGCTCAGGGCCAGAGAGCAGTGCCACCCCCACCTGGCTGGGCAGAGGTGCCCTCTCTGATTCATTTGACAAACTCATTGTCCCTGGCTCCCAACCTCTGTCACAGCCTAGCAATTCAGAGGATAGGGCAGAACCTCTCCACCTTATCTGGTCTATCCCTCTCATTTTACAGATGGGGACACAGAGGTGAGGATCATGTAGCCAATTGGTGCCAAAGCTGGGATCAGAGGTGAGAAGCCCAGTGAGGTGGGAGCCTGTGATTCCTTCCAGTGCCTCCCAGGGCCTTGCAGTTAAACATCCGCTTGACCTGAAGCATCAAGTCACTGCCCAGGTCAGGGTAGACAGGATGAGCTTCCCTGCTCCCCGCTCTATTCCAGCCACAGAACCCAGTTTGCAGTAAATACCCAACAATTCCCTCCAGGGGAAGGTCTTTACCACCTTCCTTATCCTCTGATCAATTTTCAAGCTATTTGTGGTGCTCAGCTGGGGAAGAGCGCCAGGGTTAACCACAATTCTGCCCTCAGTACAACTGAACGTTGCGGAGCCAGGGAGCATTCCCCTGCTGGGGAAAACAGTTTGCTAGGGTAGCAGCCCCTGAATCTGAACTTTCCGCTTTGGAACTGGACAAACCCAGGTGTCACTGAGTCCCTGGAAGAACCTGAAAATGGACGTACACACAGCTCTCGGGCAGAGCACCCGACTCCTCCCGCCTCAGCTCTGGCTCCTGTGAACCCTCCTTTCTGGCTTCTCCTGCTTTCCTTCCTCATCCCCTCCTGCTCCCCAGCCAGGTCCCAGCAACCTCAATTCTCTCCTTCGCAGCAGCACAGCACACCCTGGCCGGGCAGCTCTTCCTGGGGATTAGTGCTCATCACCTGGCTGGTCAAAGGTTGAGGTGGGCTCAAAAGTGCCCCCCAGCCCCTTCCTGTGGCTGCCTGGCTGCAACTTGTCACTGCCACTGTGAGGCACCCCACTGCTCCCCGACACACGCACAGTGGGATGAGACCTCCCCTGCAGAGTGCTCCAGTGACCTGCACTTGTGGCCAAGTCAGACCAGAGGAAGCGCCTGCATGGCCAGGGGAAAGCCTGACTCCCTGCCTGCCCATTGGGCACCCAGCCCAGCACCCCACACAGAGCCTTCCTGGCCCTGCTCTAACAGCCCCGACTCTCCCCAGAAGCATTCACTCCCTGTTTCCTGCCCGGCACAGGTTCACAGTGGACAGCGTCCAGCCTTCATGGAAGCGAGAGCCAACACTCAGGGCGCTCTAGGTTACATCCTAGCACTCAGTAGTCACTTCGTCTTGACATCTAACTTTCACAACAACCCTAAGGCAGATTATCTGATCATTCCCATTTTTCAGATGACTAAAAAAAAAAAATCGAGGCACAGCAATCTGTAAGAGCTTGATGAAAGGGACAGGAAGGGGCAGAGGCAGATGGTCTGACTCCAGAGACCATACCCAGGTTAGGACTGGAATCATAGTCCCATCACCATGGGAGAACATAGTCGGTGCCTGGGCAGGGGTGCTTGGGGCTGGGGAACCACAGCTGGGCTGCCTGGCATCCTCCATGGGAACTCGTGGGTTATCTTCTCCCTCCCTGTCAAATCCTAAACCCAAGGGGAGGACAAATAGGTCCCTGGGGTCTGGGCTTTCAAACCATCAAGGAAGACAAGAGTTCTGCTGCAGCTCTGGGACAGCAGCGGCCAAGTGGCCAGGCACATGCAAAGTCTGGCCAGCTAAGAGCCCTTGTTCTTCGCCCTCCCCAACCTTAAAGGGCTTACCTGAGCGTGGAGGGCGGCGGCAGCGGCAGTGGCAGTTGGGTAGGTGAACGCAGCATGGGAGATGGCTGGGGTCAGCTCTGTGGTGTACAAAGGGTAGGGGGCCCAGGCCTCTGGGGATGCAGGGATCAGAGCAGCCCCCATCAGGTCATCTACAACAGGAGACAATGGCCTCCATCATCAGAACACTCGCCTCCCCTTCCAAACGGAGAAGGGGACCCAGCACTATGGTTGAGCCATATGCCCCACACTGAGGCCAGACCACCCCCAACCACAGAGGACCCCGAGACCAGGCAAGGAAGCCACGTTAAATCGGCCTGTCATGGTGTGCATCCTGCCTGCTTTAAGACAGGCCTCAGCTCGTCTCAAATGAGAAATTAAAGAAGGTTGCAGGGAAGCTGGAAGCCCTGGCAGCTCAGAAATTCTAGGCAGGCTGCAGGGGAGGGAGGAAAACCAGGTGTTTCAAAAATGGGTGGCCGTGGACACAAAAAGCCTCCTGGAAAAGGGGCTTCCCTCTGCAAGAGCCTGCAAGTCTGCCCTGAATGCAACTCCATGAGGGCCTGCCAGCTCAGAGTGCCACTCACAGGGGTCCCGTGCGATGAAGTGTGCTCCTAGGGCGGGGTGCACGTTGCTGGGATTTGGAGTTGCCATTAGCTTGCTCTTGGCCATCTTGGTGTTGGCTTTGGCAAACTCTAGCCTCAGAGTCTGTGGATTTTCGGGATCAAAGCGAATACCCTACATGGGTAGAGAAAAGAAGAGAAAGGCTTACTCCGGGGGACCCAGAGTGTTAATGGCAGAGAGTAGAGAAGGGCGCCATAAACAAGCTCGCCTCGAAGACCTGCCCACACGGTGGCTGAGGCAGAGGAAAGGCAGCTCAGGCCTTGAGTAATGGCCTTTGGCACAGACAGTGTCGCCAAGGACTCTGCCCAGGGATGGCCGGGAAATAAGATACATCTGCACACCCACTGCCTAAGAGGGCTGTGAGTCAGAGAAGACCTGTTCTCCACCTACTCACGTTCAGCGCATTCTTGGCCGCTTCTGCTCCTGCACGGCTGTCAAAGATCACAAAACCAACAGGCTAGTAGGAAAAAGAGAGAACACCCTTATATCTCTCCTAGCATTCCACCTCTCCCTCCAAAATAACAACAAAAAAAGAGTATCATCTATGTGGAAACAGTATTTGCCCTGCTGATGAGAATACAAAAGGAAAAAAAGCCCCCCAAAACTCCAGCCCACATCCTCCCTGTTCACTGGAACAGCAGTTTAACATGCACCAAAAGTCAAGTCTCCCTCCCCAGGAATATCCTGTGGGAAATGATGCCAACAGAGCTTAATTCCACTGAATTAAACGTCGCCCTTTTAGTAAAAGTATTGTTTTTAATGCATGCAGATAACTAAAAGTAAGTCCCAGTGTTTTCCCCAGCAAGAAAGGGGACACCAATGTATCAAGGGCATGGGAAGACTCCGGTTCTATCAAGGAGCAATAGGTTGAAAACTGCTCCAACTTCATTTTCCCAAGGATCAGTCTAGACCCCAAATAGCCCCCAAAGGCTAGCGGGCCCTGGCCTCCTTGTATTAAAAGCTAGAGCTCAATCGTGCCATTGCACTCCAGCCTGGGCAACAAGAGCAAAACTCCATCTCAAAAAAAAAAAAAGCTAGAGCTCAGCTAACTGCTTTACTGTCCTCAGCCAGCGGGGCTCCCAGATTCCTAAGAAACAGACAGGGAGGACCAGGAGCTGGCTGGGCTCAGATGGCCAGTGAAGAGACAGTGGGACCTACAGAGGCTGCTCTGTCAGAAACAGGACAACAGGGAGCGCAAGTCTGTACCGCCAGATGCCTCTAGATTAGGGAAGGGTTAACGGGCCCTTGTTTGAAGCTCAGCAGCCGGTCTGGGCTGGGAGGAAGAAAACCCTAGGAGAGAAATTACCTGTCTTGCAGTGAGCTTGATCAGGGACCCTTCATACCCCTGCGGAGAGAGGTGGCTGTTACCGTGGAAGGTCAGAAGCGTATGTTGTGCTAGCCCAGCGCTGCCACCTCATCAGCCCCCGCGTTCCCCTGAGTCATTCTCACACCCTTCTCCCTGTCAACATCAACCCACCCTGACCTCCGCCACTGCCAAACGTCCACCGCCCTGCGTTCTGAATCACGCGGTCTAGCACATAGGGTGGGCATCACGCGGCAGCACTCATCACTTCAGGCAGAAATTCCCATTTGCTCCACTAACTAGTAACCCGAGAGCACAGACCTTACCTTTTAAGTTTTCTCATCTGCAAACTGAAAAGGCTACACTGAATCTCAAAGATTCTTTATATAACCACATATATTTAAAGATTCTTACTGTTAGCTGGGCATCATGGCTCACGTCTGTAATCCCAGCACTTTGGGAGGCCGAGGCGGGCAGATCACAAGGTCAAGAGATCCAGACCATCATGGCCAATATGGTGAAACCCCATCTCTACTAAAAATACAAAAACTAGCCAGGCATGGTGGAGGGTGCCTGTAGTCCCAGCTACTCGGGAGGCAGAGGCAGGAGAATCGCCTGAACCCAGGAGGCGGAGGTTGCAGTGAGCCGCACGCCACTGCACTCCAGCCTGGGCAACTGAGTGAGACTCTGTCTCAAAACAAAACAAACAAAAAGGACAAGCGCCGTGGCTCACACCTGTAATCCCAGCACTTTGGGAGGCCGGGGCGGGCGGATCACGAGGTCAGGAGTTCAAGACCAGCCTGACCAACATGGTGAAACCCCATCTCTACTGAAAACACAAATATTAGCCGGGCATAATGGCGCATGCCTGTAATCCTAGCTACTTGGGAGGCTGAGGCAGGAGAATTGCTTGAACCCAGGAGGCAGCGGTTGCAGTGAGCCGAGATCAAGCCACTGCACTCTAGCCTGGGCGGCAGAGCAAGACTCGTCTCGAGGAAAAAAAAAAAAAGATTCTTACTGTCTCCATTTAACTGGCGAGGAAACAGAGGCTCAGAAGGCAGCATGTGAATTCGCAGAACCAGGACACGGGCTGGACCTGCCCCCACAGCTTCTGCCACGCCTTCCCGCATCATCCTGCTGCCCTGCCCGACCCGAGATTCACTCCCGCTGCTTCTCCAGGGTCCCAGGCTCTACCCAGGGGGCGGCTGGGTCCTGACTCACCTTGAACGGCCGGAAGAGCAAGTAGAGTTCTCTGGGTTTAATGTCCACAGGGAGGCCGCTGACAAACAGTGTCCGGACCTGGAGACAGAGACCAGTGATCAGGGCCAGGCTGCCCAAGACGGACAGGGATGACAACAGCGCTTCCTTCAGGCAGGCAACTGGAATCCTTCTAGAGCTTAGAGGAATTCAGCCTTTCCTGGGCCTCCTTGGATACCCAAGGCAAATTAACATTGTTTCACAGCACTCAATTTCTCAAAGCCCTTTCCTTTCTCTGGGTACATCCCAGAGGCATCGTGCTGCGTCTGCCGGATGCCTCTGCACACAGACTGAGTCTGCTGGTGAACAGAGGCAAAAAGAAAGCCCTGTTTGATAAGGGTACAAACCCAGCCCAGCATGCCTTTTTTTTTTTCTTTTTTTTTTTTGAGACAGAGTCTTACTCTGTTGCCCAGGCTAAACTGCAGTGGCGTGATCTCAGCTCACTGCAACCTCCACCTCCTGGGTTCAAGAGATTCTCCTGCCTCAGCCTCCTGAGTAGCTGGGATTACTGGGGTACACCACCACGCCATGCTAATCGGTATGCCTTTTCAAACCAAAGCCTCCTCTAAAAATCTGAAGAAAGCTGCAGTGCCTGACCCCCCAAAAATGTACATGTAAAAATGTATCTATTTTTTTAATCCATTGCACCACTGGCCCCTCAGACAAAAAAGTATCTGTTTTCTAGATGATACCCATGGCCTCCTGGTAGAGAGCCTCCAGTCTGGTCGAGGGGAGGAGCAAAGATGTAAAGGAAACAGAGTCCCATGCCCACTATCCCCTGCAGTGATTTCAACAGAGGGCCCGGCACTTTCTCATCCATCTCCTGCTCCTACACGAGATGTGGGACCTTCAATGTCAAGAAACACCTTATACTCCTGCCTCTCTGCCTGCTCTTAGCATGGTGATGGTACTAAATGTTGACTGAACAGGGTAATGGGTAAACAGTCAAAACCATTATGCTGAGTTTTGAAGAACACGCTAAGATCTTGCCAGCTTCAGGTGAAGCATTTGATGCTGTGAGTTTTTTTTTTTTTGAGATGGAGTTTTGCTGTCACCCGGACTGGAGTGCAGTGGCGCCATCTCGGCTCACTGCAACCTCTGCCTCCCCGGTTCAAGCGATTCTCCTGCCTCAGCCTCCCATGTAGCTGGGATTACATGCATGCACCACCATGCCCAGCTAATTCTTTGCATTTTTAGTAGAGATGGGGTTTCACCACATTGGTCACGCTGGTCTCGAACTCCTGACCGCAAGTGATCCGCCCACCTCGGCCTCCCAAAGTGCTGAGATGACAGGATTGAGCCACCGTGCCCGGCTGATGCTGTGAATTTTGAGCATTGCCCCCAACATGGTTACAAGCCAGATCTAAACACTAGGTGTCCATCCTGTGACTGTAGCCACTGCTGCTATTTAAACGCTGCTGGCACCGGATGCTAAACTAGCAAGCCCTGATCAGCCAAAAATTGTGATGGGGAAGGGGAGACTTTCCATAGCTTAGATCCATTCAAAACATTTTTTGAAACCGTGGCTTCCTGAATAATGAAAAATGTGAACAAGCAGAGCGTCCCTACACGCTTGACTCCTGCTCTGGGCCACATCTCCTCCTGCGAAGCCAAGCACAGGTCTTCTGAACTCACCGCTGCAGATTTTAGAAGTTCACATGCCTCACCCCATCACGCGGCCATTCTTGAAAGCATTAAGTTGCCCTACAGTGGGCCACATCCCCTTCTTGAGAGGTACCAAAGAACTTGCTCCGCTCTCTAGTGATGGCCCGCTGACCCCAGACAACAGCCTTTCTGAGACGATGGCTTTTATCAGTGGCTTGTCTCAGGAAGCTGGAGCAATGTTAGGTAAAACTACACCCAATGCACCCAGAGAACTCAACAGAGCCAAGAATGTCAAAGGAAATCAGCCAGGATAGCTGCTGGTTACTGGTGTCACCACTCCCACCCACGCAAGAATGACTCTCAGCCACGGTGAAGACAAACTTTGTCTCTTAAACTTTGACTCTCAGCCATGGTGAAGACAAACCTCACGTGAGCTTTTGCCAAGCCCATTCAGCAGAATCTCGGGCCGCTTGGGACGCATCTTCTCCCTTGGGACACGTCTTCCCCTCAGTAGAGGCACCACTATACCAGCCTCTGTGCCCGGGGTTGGGGTGATGGCACCTCACACCTCACAGCCCTGGCAGCTCATGTCCCACGGAGACACCACTCGAATCCTGCTTTGTTGTTGGCAGCATCTGGGGGTCTGGATAGCCAAGGATCCAGGATGGGTGAAACCGAGCTCCTGACCTGAGCCCAGCAGGCCTCTCTGCCCTTTGATGTAAGGGCCTTGAGGTGTGCGTGTGAATCCCCAAGCAGAAGTGACTTGTCCAAGGTCACATGGCTTGTTCTTTAAAGGCAGCAGACCTGGAACTCAAAACCCAGGCCTCGGCCAGGTGCAGTGGCTCATGCCTGTAACCCCAGCACTTTGGAAGGCTGAGGCGGGTGGATCACTTGAGGTCAAGAGTTTGAGACCAGCCTGGCCGACGTGGTAAAACCCCATCTCTACTAAAAATACAAAAAATTAGCCAGGTGTGGTGGCCCATCCCTGCAGTCCCAGCTACTTCGGAGGCTGAGGCAAGAGAATCACTAGAACCCAGGAGGCAGAGGTTGTGGTGAGCCAAGATCGCACCACTGCACTCCAGCATGGGCGACAGAGTGAGACTCCATCTCAGAAAAAAAGAAAAAAAAGGCTGGGCGTGGTGGCTTACACCTGTAATCCCAGCACTTTGAGAGGCCGAGGTGGGTGGATCACTTGAGGTTGGGAGTTCAAGACCAGCCTGACCAACATGGAGAAACCCCGTCTCTACTAAAAAATACAAAATTAGCTGGGTGTGGTGGCGCATGCCTATAATCCCAGCTACAAGGGATGCTGAGGTAGGAGAATCACTTGAATCGGGAGGCAGAGGTTGCAGTGAGCTGAGATCACACCACTGCACTCCAGCCTGGGCAACAAGAGCAAAACTCCGTCTCAAAAAAAAAACCCAAAACCCAAGTCTTCCTACTACATGCCCAGCCTGGCCCACTGCACTCCAGCCTGAGCAACAAGAGCAAAACTCCGTCTCAAAAAAAAAAAACCCAAAACCCAAGTCTTCCTACTACGTGCCCAGCCTGGCAGAGGTGATGGGTGCTTTGGGTGCTGGGAAAGGACGACAGGACCCGAGCACCAAGCCCTCTGGGTAGCCCAGGGTCTGCCTCCAACACCTCACCCCAGAGGATGGGCCAAGAGTGCAGCCACCAGCGTCCTGATGGAGGGACCTAGATCGGTACCACTCCCTTCTCTCCTCCCCTTCCTCCCCAGGAAAGCAGGACATGATTTGGGTCAAAGACCCAGACCAGAGCAGACCCACGGAAACCTCTGCTTCAGTTCTCCCCAGGGGCCACACATTTCACCCAGGCTAATTTTAAACCCTCCCTCAAATGGCTCCTTTCTGGCCAGACCTCCCCAGAGGCCTCTTAAATAGCAAGTTCTCAGCACAGAGTTTCCGCTTGGGGTAGGGTGGGGTGAGTGTAGGGGCTGTTTCCTTATCCTGGCTCAAGACTCGTTTCCAGCCAGGATTCCCTCTGGGTCCGATGACCCTTTTCCTCAGGGTTCCATCTTTCAGGTTCTATAGAGTCCAAAAGGCTACCCCACAGCTCCCATCCTGTCCCTGGCCACCTCTCAGGTGGTCAAGGCAGTCACGGATGAGCTGGTGGGCCCGTCTGCCTGAGCACAGATGCTCTGTGGGGAGCAGTCCGGGAGGCTAAATCACAGCAAGTGTGATTCCCAAACACCCGCCTTGGTTCCTACTAGATTCCAGCCACCCCAGCAGATGACATCTTAAAGCCCAGCCCCTTGTACAGACAGGGAGACTGAGACCCAGAAAGCCTTGGTGATTTGTCAACGGCACACAGCTGAGTTCACGGAGGAGCAGGGCTCCTGAGACCAGGCACCCTGACTCTGCTGTTTGTGAGGGCAGGGGGAGCGGCACAGGGCAGCCTCATCAGCGTCATGGGTGGGTAAGTGCTGCCATCCATCCACTCAGTATGACACTTGTTTAGGATGACAGCCACACCAGAGTGAGGAGGGCAGAAAAAGGGGAAACTGGCAAACCAGGAGCAGGGGAAGCGTGGGCTCCGCAGGCTGACCAGCCACATGTAGGGAGGAACAAGAGGTTCCAAAGCCGCCCAACACCTGCTTCCATCAAGCCCGCCCAGCCCACCCACTCCAGGGCCCTGACAAGCGTCCACAAGGCTGCCTGCACTGCCCCCTCGGCTCACCCCTTCCTCACTCCTTAACTAAAGGTATCCAGCCTTCAGGTCTTTCCGGAGTCCTCAACTACCCTTTCCTTCCTCTGAAGCCCCACAGTGGCCGTTAGGACCCCTCGCCTTATAGTTCCCAGCAGTCTGAGGTACCCCTCACCTTGACTACAGAAAGCCCTAGAGACAGGAACCAAGCCTCAAAACATTTCCATCTCCCAATGTCCCTAGAGTCAGGTCTAAGCACTGGAGACCTCCCCCATCTCTACACACCTCAGTCCCTGCAGAGAAGAAACTCACAGCCAGAGACCAGATACGATCCAGCATGGCAGAACGATACCATAAATGGCAGAGAGGGCCGGGCATGGTGGCTCACACCTGTAATCCCAGCACTTTGGGAGGCCAAGGAGGGTGGATCACTTGCGGTCAGGAGCTTGAGACCAGCCTGGCCAACATGATGAAACCCCGTCTCTACTAAAGATACAAAGTTAGCTGGGTGTGGTGGCGCACACCTGTAGTCCCAGCTACTTGGCAGGCTGAGGCACGAGAATCCCCTGAACCCTGGAGAGATGGAGGTTGCAGTGAGCCGAGATCATACCATTGCACTCCATCCTGGGCAGGAGAGCAAGACCCTGTCTCAAAAAAAAAAAAAAGGCAAAGAGAACAGGCCTTAGTTACACTGGAGTTTGCTTCCTAGCTTCATGCTTGGCCTGAGGAAGCCACTTCATCTTTCCGAATCTCAGTTTCTTATTTTTATTTATTTTTCATTTCTTTTTTTTTTTTTTATGGAGTCTCGCTCTGTTGCCCAGGCTGGAGTGCAGTGGCACAAACTCTGCTCACTGCAACCCTGTCCTCTGGGTTCAAATGATTCTCCTGCCTCAGCCTCCCAAGTAGCTGGAATTACAGGCGTCTGCCACCACGCCCAGCTCTTTTTTTTTTTTTTGGAGAGACAGGGTTTCACCACGTTGGCCAGGCTGGTCTCCTCACCTCAAGGAGTTCCTTGAGGTCAGGAATCCCTGACCTCAAGTGATCCGCCCGCCTTGGCCTCCCAAAGTACTGGCATTATAAGTGCGAGCCACCATGCCCGGCCTCATTTTTTTTTTTTTTTTTTTGGAAATGGAGTCTCGGTCTGTCTCCCAGGCTAGAGTGCAGTGGCGCTATCATAGCTCACTGCAGCATCAAACTCTTAGGCTCAAGAGATCTTCCTGCCTCAGCCTCCAGAGTATCTGGGACTATAGGTGTGCACCACAATGCCTGGCTAGCTTTTCCATTTTTGTAGCGATGAGGTCTCACTATGTTGCCTGGGCTGGTTTTGAACTCCTGGGCTCAGAGAATCCTTCTGCCCTGGCCTCCCCAAAGTGGTGGAATTACAGGTATGAGCCACCATGCCTGGCCTCAGTTTCATCTTCACAACACAAACACCATCTACCTCCAAGACTAAGAGCTCACCTTACTCTCCCCATTACTTGTGAGAGCAATAAAATGCTGGCTTCATTTAGGGCTCCTGCATTTACCTGCACAAGGATCTCCCTCATCAGGTGCCATGAGCCACTTATTAAGGTTGTCTACTGAAGCTGGTAATGTGGGTAGGATGTCCTAAGGTGGTCACTAGATTCTTTAGTTTTTCTCTTCCCCAGAGGAGGTAATGCCCGAAATAGAAGACACCACAGAGATCAGCTAGTTCAACCCCTTCGTTTTATAGATGGGGAAACTGAAGCCAAGAACAGGGTAACAAGGCAAGCTGATGGCACAGCCAGGATCTTTCAGCAATGGCAGGAACAGAGACATGCAGTTACTTCTCCAAGGTCCAGCCAACTAGTCTTGTGTCTCAGGCCAGTACAGGGGACCATTGTGGTACCTACGTCAGGGTAACAGGGGAAACATTCAGGAACAGGCTGGATGCTCCAACCTGGGCAATATAGCAAGGCCCTATCCCCCCCCACAAAAAATCAGCCAGGCGTGGTGGAAGGCACCTGAAGTCTGAGCAACTCGGGAGGCTGAGGTGGGAGCATCGCTTGAGCCCAGGAATTCAAGGCTGCAGTGAGTCATGATTGCACCACTTGAATTCCAGCCTGGGCAACAACAGAGCAAGACCCTACCTCTAAAAAACAAAAATAAAAAATAAAAGGTTAGATGCAGACAAGGATTCAGGCACCGACAACTAGTTGATGACAAGGAAAGTTCAACCAAATAACTCATGTCCTGCCTATTCCATGGGTTTATTACAAGAATTCAGCACATACACAAAACGTTTTAAAGCATTTAAAGAGTGCACAGGGGTGGTTCTCACAATCTCAGGCTGCTGGAAGGCACCAAACGCATTCACTTGGGCCCTTTTCCATACTCTCATCCCTTCTGCAGAAGCATCCAGCAACCCAAGGGTTCCTGTCCCAAAATGTGAAGAGCAACCACAGCCCTTCCAAAAAAGTCACCCTTATGGCAAGTAAGAGCAGAAATGCTGGGAGCACAGTCAGGTCCTCAGCACAGCTGGAAGGTACACCTGTAGTCACATGGAGCAGGTATGGGGGAGACCGGGGGAACGGATGGAGGATGATTCTGAGAACTCAGTCAAAGATACTTGTTGAGGAACAACCCTTCTGGTGGAACCTGCTGCAAGCACCAATATAGGCAAGGAACGTGGCCAGGGTTGTGTACCCATACAGAATACCACAGACATGGCTGTGTGGCTCTCATGACCCCACAGGAGCAGACCCAGCCCTGCTGGAGGTCCCAGCCAGTGCCAGGCCTACCTAGGGGAACTGACCAACTTTTGGCACAACTGCCTCTGCCCAGCAAAGCTTTGGAGGCACCCAGAGCTGCTCTTTTCTGAGGCAAGTCTTGCCTCTAGAGTCACAGGGAGTGGGAGGGTGGGAGAGGGGTCCATGGACCCCACAGGCTATCACTTACTGGCACTTCCTGGAGTCCTCTAGATCTTTGCTGCCAATTGTTTATAAGCCTGACTCCTTTGGGGAGAAGGGCCTGTGTGTTCTTGAGCTCTCTCCCGCCAGCCAGTGCTAGACCTAGAGTGCCTGGGAGCTACCTATTTTTATTTTTAATTAAAAATTAAACTTTTATTTTTATTTTATTTTTATTTTTTGAGATGGGGCGTCACTCTGTGGCCTGGGCTGGTCTCGAACTCTTGGGCTCAAGTGATCTTCCTGCCCCAGCCTCCCAAAGCACTGGAATTATAGGTGTGAGCCACCTCACCCATCCTGAGCCACCTCTTGACCTCTCCCCACCTCCCCGGGAGGCCCCTCAGTCTCACTCCCAGCTCCAGCATCGTAACTCAGCCCTGGGGTCCTGGGGAAGGGGAGCACAGCACCTGGGTGGCACAGGAAGTAGAGCCCCCCATCCTCAGCCTTGTTTCTGGAGGCCCCTGGAATGGGGAATCCCCTCCTAGTACGAATAGATCTAGGAGGAGCTTTTGGACCATGCTGTCTAATCCCACCACGACGGAGGAGCCTGCCCAGGCTGCCCAGGTCACCCAGCCCTCTCTTTCAGGAAGGTGTGAGCTGCAAGCTGACATCCAAATGTTCTTCCTCCACAGCCCTCTCCAGCCTAGAGGTTAAGGGGTCATTTTTTAGAGAAGAGAAGTAAGAAGAAGGGGCTCTGACAAACCCATTCCCATCTACGTGTCGGTGATGTTCTTCCTTCAGACAAACTGACATTTGTTTCAGGATCTTCAGAAAAGACCAAATTAAACAACCCTTCAGGAGCAAAGTATCAGGAGCACCCAAGACACCAGCACAAATCCAGGCTTGCGTGGAAAGGGACTCGGCCTGTTTTTCTTTTTTTAATTATTTTTTAATTTTTTTGAGATGGAGTCTTGCTGTCACCTAGGCTGGAGTGCAGTGGCACCATCTCAGCTCACTGCAACCTCTACTTCCCGTGTTCAAGCGATTCTCCTGCCTCAGCCTCCGGAGTAGCTATGACTACAGGAGCGCGCCACCATGCCCGGCTAATTTTTGTATTTTTAGTAGAGATGGGGTTCCGCCATGTTGGCCAGGATGGTCTTGAACTCCTGACCTCAAGTGATCTGCCCACCTTGGCCTCCCAAAGTTCTGGGATTACAGGCGTGAGCCACCGCGCCAGGCCTACTCGGCCTGTGTCTATCAGCTCAGGTAGACGTCTCTCTTGGCCCTGGACACTGCCATGGGCAGACCTGGCATTCAAGCTGCTGCCACAAAAGGCCAGTGCCCTGGACAGCAGATGCTTAGGGTCCCTCCTTCCAGGGCACACACAGGGCCCAGCTCACATGGAGGTCCTGCAGGAATAGGGAATGGGCTCGTGGGGGAGAAGGAGGGGCCAAAGCAGCTGAGCAAAGCCTCCATGAAGAACAGGACTGGGACATGGGGTCGGCCAGGAGCCACGACCATGGGGACCCCACACTTGGTCAGAAGTGGCTGCGGCCTGGCCGCTCACCAGAAGCGTGTCTCCCTCTGCAAGGGGAAGGACAAGCCCGATGCTGAGGGATCCAACTCTAAACTTCTCAGATACTGTGACCATGAGGACAAGTTCCGTAAGTGCTGGCTTTTATTAGTGATGGAAAAGGTAAACACTGCTTTCAAAAACAGTGGTAGGCTCAGGGATATTAAAGTCTCTTAAGCTTTAAGTTTGGAGGACAAATCCCGGCCTTAGAATAGCCACGAAAGGACCCCAGACTCCAGGAACCACCACCTAGAAAACAGATCCTTCTCCGGATCACCTGAGGTCAGGAGTTCTAGACCAGCCTGGCTAACATGGTGAAATCCCCTTTCCACTAAAAATACAAAAATCAGCCAGGCATGGTAGCGCACGCCTGTAATCCCAGCTACTCGGGAGGCTGAGGCTGGAGAAATCGCTTGAACCCAGGAGACAGAGGTTGCACTGAGCCGAGATCACGTCATTGCACTCCAGCTTGGGCAAAAAGAGTGAAACTCCATCTCGAAAAAAAAAAAAGAAAGCAAACAGACCCTTCTCCACCAAGGATACTGAGGCAAGAAACCACTGGAACCACTCCCCACTCTTCCCTGCCCACAGACAACCCACCAACCCACCAGGAACAGTCACCCCTAGAGGCCAACTCTGGCCTTCTGTAAATTCCTGTCTCACAGGATTGGGACTTGGAGAAAAGACACCCCAGGAAAATCTCACTGCAGGCAATAGAAATATCCTTAAAAAAAAAAAAAAAAAGACTTTTGCAGCAACCCTTTAGCATCTCTAAAAGTTAGAATTCAATCTGGAAAGGAAGAATTGTTTCAACTGTCCACTCACAATGTTCAAGTAACGAATGCACGTGCTTCAGCAGTCCCCTACCCACTGCTTCGAGCGAGCTCTCCCGGTGTCATCCCGATGGAAAACACTACTTTGGGAAGGGGGTGAGAAGAGGAGAGAAATCCAAAAAGGGAAAAACGAGCCTCTTATAAGCCCCTCCCACATCCTTCCCCAACTCCCAGCCCTCAGTAGCAACCCAAATACAGAACATCTGAGCTGGAAGAAACCTTATTTTTAGAGGAGGAAACCAGGGCCTAGGGGTCGAGCGAGTTGCTCGCAGTTACCGAGCATGTCAGAAACAGCCTGTTCCCAAGTGCCCAGCTCACGAGTCAATGCTCTTTTGCAGACCTTGATCTCACACCAACCCACTCAGACCCAGTGGGGCCAGCCCAAGGTACCCAGGAACAACTGGCCTTCGGCTTTTTTGAGACAGGGTCTTGCTCTGTTGCTCAGGCTGGAGTGCAGTGGCGCAAACATGGCTCACTGCAGCCTCCTGGACTCAAGCGATCCTCTTGCCTCCATCTCCTGAGTAACTGGGACCACAGGTGCACACCACAAAGCCCAGCTTTTTTTTTTTTTTTTTTTTTTTTGAGACGGAGTCTCACTCTGTCGCCCAGGCTGCAATGCAATGGCATGATCTTGGCTCACTGCAACCTCCACCTCCGCCTCCTGGGTTCAAGTGATTCTCCTGCCTCAGCCTCCCAAATAGCTGGGATTATAGGCACCCACCACCATGCCCGACAATTTTTGTATTTTTAGTAGAGATGGGGTTCCACCATGTTGGCCAGGCTGGTCTCAAAAACTCCTGACCTCAAGTGATCCATCCGCCTCAGCATCCCAAAGTGCTGGGATTACAAGCATGAGCCACTGTGCCCAACTCCCGGCTAATTTTTTAATTTTGTGTAGAGGTGGGGTCTCACCATGTTGCCCAAGCTCATCTCGAATTCCTGGACTCAAGCCATCCTCCTGCAATCCCAAAGTGACTCACGCCTGGCCTGGTCTTCAGCTCATGAACAAAGAGGACAGACACAGTATCTTGCAAAAGGTTGGGGTAGGTATGATGGTGATGGTGGCGATGGCAGGGGGGTGGGGGGTGGTCCCACTGGATGATGCCACGGTGAATCCTACATGGTTACAGGCCAACGACGAGACTGACTGACAGACTGTCAACTCCCCACAGCTGAGTGTGAGTGGCCTTGTGCCCCACTAGCTATGGGGAGGTTGGGGATGGGTGCTGGAGCAGGCCCAGCCATCCCTACCAGCCCAGACCACAGAGCACACGAGCTGCAGCCTACATTTCTAAGTTTACGGCTTTCCTGTTATAAAGACACTGAGCACGTTTTCAGAATTTGCTGCCATCATCATCGCACCCAGATCTGATCTGGCTTCCCCAAGGGAAAGAGACCCCACTGAGAACCAGGACACTGCACTCAGGGTCCAGCTCAGAAGATACCCACTGACGAGATTCCAAACAAAAGACAAAGAACCTCAAAACAACGTCAGGAAGCCCAGGGTGAAGCCCCAGCCCTGTCACCAGCCATAGCAGGTGGCTTTGTGGCCTTCGCTTGTCAGCCTCAGCTACAGTAGAGTAGACTCGCCTCAGGTCCCGTCACACACTGACACTCTATGACACCAGGCGTTTTAAAGGGCAGTAGAATGCGACTGAGTCTCAGATAAGACTCAGCCACCATCCTCCATCTGCTCAGAGCTTCAGTGACTCCTTCTGCACACAAGGTGGCAAAGAAGTGGTGTGAACAGAGAAGAGAAGGGGACAAGATGGAAGTCAGGGGCCAGCCAGCTCTGGGCCCTAGACCGACCTGGGCCTGGGAACTTGAGGGGGGTCTCTGCAGAGCCAACGTTAGGGCTGCCGAACAGAAACGTCAGGGCAGTCATACCCTTGGTGTGGTCTTGGTCGCCGTAGTGGGTAGGGGGTGGGGGTGGGAGTGTTTTGGGGGATTGGGTCCTGCCTGGGCCCCGCGCTTAGGCTTGGCACCAGCAGGTTGCTCTTACGCCTCCCATAGGAAAGAAGGCCCTCTGAGTATGGCCACTTGACGTGAGGTGGATGGAATGTGGCGACATGGCCTGCAGACCCAGGACTTATAAGGCTCTGAATAAGGACACAGGGGAAGACAGCAAGCAGCACACAGCCAGACAGTGGATGTGAACCTAGATCCACACACTCCACAACATGTTTCCCATGCTTCCTGCAAGGAGCTCTGGGGTGGCTCAGCTACCCAGGCAAGGACGATGCCCAGATCCCCTTGCAAGAAGCCCCCATCTAGAGGACACTTGGCCCCAGAGTTTACCAGTGTCACCACAGCCTCACCTAGTAAGGACAAGTCCCAGGTTCAGGTGGGATCTGGTGTTCTGCCTGCCCCTGCTATCCCTCTTGCCCCAAATCCCATGTTATCAGGGCCTGGCTATAAGGCCCCATCCTGGGCTGCACCTTGTAGTTTCATTCCTTTACACAAACCATCAGCATGCAAAGCTCATAGTCCTTTGAGCAACAGGTAGAACAGGTATGGGGTCCCCATTTTACAGATGCAGAAGTCAGTCCAGGGATCAAGTGCCTGGCTGGCCAGTGGCAGAGCTGAGGCTTAAGTCCAAGTTGCCTGAAAAGTTTGGGGCTCTTCCTCATAATGTGCAATGTGTCCTAGACTTCCAATGGTGTGTGTGTGTAGGGGTGGGGGGAATAGAGACTGGGGGGAACTAAGCCAGGGTGAAAAGTTATCTGAAAGGAGGGACAGGGCTGGGCAGGTATAAGAAGGCTTCAGGCCTCATTCTCCAAGCCACTTCCAGCCCCAGGAAGAGAAGCCTTAATGTCGTGGGAACACACCTGGTCAAAGCCTGTTGTGTGCACTTGACCTACACCTCATTTAGGGAACTAGACCAAACAGAGAATGAGCTGTGCTTGCAAACTCTGTGTCAGGGCAGGCTGGCTGAAGCGTGCCTTCCATCAGGATCCAGACAGAGCCAGGGGCCAGGACTTGGCTTTCAGGGGCAAAGTTCACTGGGCACCCCGGCATGGAAGCCTCCCAGGCCCACCCACCTCCTGCAGCCTTCTTGGTGCTGTGTGGCCAGCTAACACAGATCTACTGCCTGCCTGTGTGCCTGGCAAGGGTTGCAGTTGCCGCCACTGCCATACAATACCCTACAGAAGGGACTAGATTCAAGGCATTGGGCTAGAGGACCCCTACACCCCTCACTGCCAGCTCCTAAATCAATACCTCCAACCCTTAAACCACATGATGCTATGCTGGCATGAACACACAGCCCCGAGCCCACCACACCTAGCCCATTACTTGACGGAGGCGAATGAAACCTGACAGGAGAGATGTTTCCTAACATGATGCTCCTGTCAGGAGGGGGTTTCTGTTCAGAGGTAGAAGCTGCTTCTGCAACCTGCATTCTGATTTGCAGCTCCCTGCCACAAACATAGCAGGACCCTCCATCCCAAGCTGTGCCCGGATGTATATGGCCACGACTGTACAGCAAGAACAAGAGGTGGGGCACGGTGGCTCACGCCTGTTATCCCAGCACTTTGAGAGGCTGAGGCGGGCGGATCACGAAGTCAGGAGATCGAGACCATCCTGGCTAACACGGTGAAACCCTGTCTCTACTAAAAAAGTAAAAAAAAATTAGCCGGGCATGGTGGTGGGCGTCTGTAGTCCCAGCTACTCAGGAGGCCGAGGCAGGAGAATGGTGTGAACCCGGGAGGTGGAGCTGGCAATGAGCTGAGACCACGCCACTGCACTCTAGCCTGGGTGACAACAGAGTGAGACTCCGTCTCAAAAAAAAAAAAAAAAGAAGAACTGGCCAGGCACGGTGGCTCACGCCTGTAATCCCAGCACTTTGGGAGGCAGAGGCGGGCGGATCACGAGGTCAGGAGTTCGGGACCAGCCTGGCCAACATGGTGAAACCCCGTCTCTACTAAAAATACAAAAAAATTAGCTGGGCATGGTGGCGTGCGCCTGTAATCCCAGCTACTCAGGAGGCTGAGGCAGAAGAATGACATGAACCCATGAGGCGGAAGTTGCAGTGAGCCGAGATTGCGCCACTGCACTCCAGCCTAGGCGACAGAGCGAGACTCTGTCTCAAAAAAAAAAAAAAAAAAAAAAAAAGCAAAAAACAAAAATTAGCCCGGCGTGTTGGTGTGCACCTGTAGTCCCAGCTACTCGGGAGGCTGAGGCAGGAGAATCCCTTGAACCCAGGAGGTGGAGGCTGTAGTAAGATGAGATCACGCCACTGCACTCCAGCCTGGCGACAGAGCAAGACTCCGTCTCAAAAAAAAAAAAAAAATTAGCCAGGCATGGTGGCATGCACCAGTGGTCTCAGCTACTCAGGAGGCTGAAGCTGGGGGATTGCTTGAGCCCAGGAGCTCGAAGCTACAGTGAGCCGTAATCATGCCACTACACTCCAGCCTGGGCAACAAAACGAGATCCTGTGTCAGAATAAAAAAAAGGGCGGGGGGGGACCAGTCTGGGCAAAAACTGGAAGGTGCAGAGCCTTTTCATCAATAGTTCTTCAAAAATGGGCCAGGCACGGTGGCTCACACCTGTAATCCCAGCGCTCTGGGAGGCCGAGGTGGGCGGATTACGAGGTCAGGAGTTCGAGACCACCCTGGCCAACATGGCGAAACCCTATCTCTACTAAAAATACAAAAAATTAGCCAGATCGCTTCTCTGCCTTTTGGCTAAGATCAAGTGTAAAAAATTAGCTGGGCATGGTGGAAGGCACCTGTAATCCCAGCTACTCAGGAGGCTGAGGCAGGAGAATTGCTTGAACCTGGGAGGCGGAGGTTGCAGTGAGCTAAGACTGAGCCACTGCACTCCAGCCTGGCAACAGAGCGAGACTGTCTCAAAAAAAAAAAAAATGGTCTCAGCTCCTATGCCAGTATCCTCTCCTAACTCCCTGCCCCTACCTGCACTAAAAGATAGTTGAGGAGGGGGAGGTTGGTTAACCACAAAGAAGGGCGAAGTACTCCAGACTTCTGCCATGGCCTGGTCCAAGTCAGGCTCTGTCCGTCCTCCTTGGAGGTTGGAGGTGGCCTTGATAGCTTGTGACAGTCAAGAGCCTCTGCTCAGTTGGCCGTGAGTTGACTGACAGCCAAGGCAGATGCGCCTAGGCAAACGCTCCCACCACACCCAGGCCCTGCTGCACTCCAGAGGCCTCCAACGCTGATACAGCCACCAGTGCACTCTTCAGGAAGGGAGGGCCCAACAATCCTGTCACCTGTCTAGTGTTGGCACGTATCAGAAGTAACCGTACTCTCTCCATCAAAGGGTGGAATATGGGAAGAAGCAGAATACAAGGAGGCTATGCCAGTGCCTGGACAGGCAGTGGACGGGTTCTGGCATATGAAGCCTCATAGGCTGCCCACAGTTCTGACTTAATGGTGGCTTTTTTTTTTTTTTAAGATGGAGTCTCGCTCTGTATCCCAGGCTGGACTGCATGACGCAATCTCAGCTCACTGCAAGCTCTGCCTCCCGGGTTCACGCCATTCTTCTGCCTCAACCTCCCTAGTAGCTGGGACTACAGGCGCCTGCCACCACACCCGGCTAATTTTTTTTTTGTATTTTTAGTAGAGACTGGGTTTCACCGTGTTAGCCAGGATGGTCTCGATCTCCTAACCTCGTGATCCACCTGCCTCAGCCTCCCAAAGTGCTGGGATTACAGGCCTGAGCCACTGTGCCTGGCCTGTTTTTGTTTTTTGAGACCAAGTCTCATTAAGTGGCCTCCGCCTCCCAAGTTTAAGCAATTCTCCTGCCTCGGCCTCCTGAGTAGCTGGGATTACAGGTGCTCACGGCCACACCCAGCTAATTTTTGTATTTTTAGTAGAGATGGGGTTTCACCACATTGCCCAGGGTGGTCTTGAACTCCTGGGCTCAAGTGATCCACCCACTTCAGTCTCCTAAAGTGCTGGAATTACAGGCATAAGCCACCGAGTTTTTCGGTTTTTTACTTTTTTTTTCTCTCTTTTTTTTTGAGACAGGGGCTCTCACTCTATCACCCAGGCTCAAGTGCAGTGGTGGGATACTGGCTCACTGCAGCCTCGACTTCCCGGGCTCAAGCGATCCTCCTACCTCAGCCTCCTGACAGGCTGAGACTACAGGCGTGTGCCAACATGCCCAGCTAGGCAGCATCATTTCTGAAGTGTAGGGGACAGGTTCTGCCCCACTGCCTCATGGTTTGCCAGAGGCGTGTGGATCCTTCTGTGGCAGCCATGGGCGGAAGACAGAGGAAGTGACGTGACACCAGATGTCGCTGCTGCCCATAACCAATGCCAGAGCAGATCCAGAACCCAGCACTGTAGTTCAGTTCTGGGTAATCTTGGACCAGGAGCTCAGTACTCAGGGCAGGCAGGACTCACCCTGCCTCCAGCTCGCAGGATTGTCCTGAGGCCCCGAAGGATAAAAGGGTTCAGAGCATGAGAGCCAAGCAAAGGCTCAGCACCCACCAGCCATGGCTTCCTCTACTTACGGCGCTTGCCAGTCCCACCCTGGACATGGGGAGGAGGAAGCCAGCATGTCCCAGCCTTGAGTGGGATTTTTTTTTCTTTTGAGACAAGGTCTCGCTCTGTCACCCAGGCTGGAGTGCAGTGTGGCACGATCTCACTGCAACCCCTGCCTCCCAGGTTTAAGTCATTCTCCCACCTCAGCCTCCTGAGTAGCTGGGACTACAGGCATGCACCATCACACCCAGCTACTTTTTTGTTTTTGTAAGGACGGGGTTTAATCATGTTGCCCAGGCTGGTCTTGAACTCCCAGGCTCAAGTGATCCTCCTGCCTTGGCCTCCCAAAATGCAGGGGATTACAGGCATGAGCCAACATGCCTGGCTGGCCTCCTTGAGTGGGATTTAGAAACTGGTTCTCTCTGGGGCAGACTAAACAGATTGCCCGTATGTGGAAAAGGAAGGGATAACGAGACACAAAAGAATGTCCCCCAGAATATCAGCCAAATGGCTCTTTAGAGCAAGAATCGTTTCTTTAGTTAAAATGCCCAAAGCAATGGGTAGTGGAGGAGTGTGTGAAAGTAGTCACGCCCAGGTACAGGAAATAAGTAAGTGTGCCATTTGTAGAGAATTTAAAATAAAACTGCTTGGGCGTGGCAACTCACATCTGTAACCCCAGCAGTTTGGGAGGCAAGGCAGGACAATCGTTTGAGGCCACAAGTTCGAGAGCAGCCTGGGCAGCAAAGCAGACACTGTCTCTACAAAAAATTAGCCGAGGCCAGGTGCAGTGACTCAAACCTATAACCCAGCACTTTAGGAGGCCAAGACAGACGGATCACCTAAGGTCAGGAGTTCGAGACCAGCCTGCCAACATGGTGAAACCTCATCTCTACTAAAAATACAAAACTTAGCCAGGTGTGGTAGCGGGTGCCTGTAACCCCAGCTACTCGGGAGGATGAGGCTGAAGAATCACTTGAACCCAAGAGGCAGAGATTGCAGTGAGCCGAGATTGCGCCACTGCACTCTAGCCTGGGCAACAAAGCAAGACTCTGTCTCGAGGAAAAAAAAAAAAATTAGCTGGGCATGGTGCTGGTAGTCCTACCTACTAGGGAGGCTGAGGTGGGAAGATCATTTGAGCCCAGGAGATCGAGGCTGCTGTGAGCTATGATCATGCCACTGCACTCCAGCCTGGGCAACAACAGAGACCCCGTCTATAAAAAAAAAAAAAGGAATTTAAGGCCGGGCGCCGTGGCTCATGTCTGTAATCCCAGCACTTTGGGAGGCCAAGGTGGGTGGATCACCAGGTCAGGAGATTGAGAACATCCTGGCTAACACGATGAAACCCCGTCTCTACTAAAAATACAAAAAAATTAGCCGGGCATGGTGGCGGGCACCTGTAGTCCCAGCTACTTGGGAGGCTGAGGCAGGAGAATGGCGTCAACCCGGGAGGCGGAGCTTGCAGTGAGCAGAGATCGTGCCACTGCACTCCAGCCTGGGCGACAGAGCAAGACTTCGTCTCAAAAAAAAAAAAAAAAAAAAAAAAGAATTTTAAAAATATGCAAGATGTGTAAGGATATAGATTTTTTAAAAAAGAATTTAGGTCAGGTGCAGTGGCTCACATCTGCAATCCCAGCACTTTGGGAGGCCGAGGCCTCCCAACATGGAGAAACCCCATCTCTACTAAAAATACAGAATTAGCTGGGCGTGGTAGCACATGCCTATAATCCCCCTACTTGGGAGGCTGAGGCAGAAGAATTGCTTGAACCCAGGAGGTGGAGGTTGCGGTGAGCCGAGATCGCGCCATTGCACTCCAGCCTGGGCAACAAGAGCGAAACTCCGTCTCAAAAAAAAAAAAAAAAAGAATTTAAAAAATAAAATCCATCCTGGCTAACACGGTGAAACCCCATCTCTACTAAAAAATACAAAAAATTAGCCGGGCGTAGCAGCGGGCGCCTGTAGTCCCAGCTACTCTGGAGGCTGAGGCAGGAGAATGGCGTGAACCCAGGAGGCAGAGCTTGCAGTGAGCTGAGATCGCGCCACTGCACTTCAGCCTGGGCGACAGAGCGAGACTCCATCTCAAAAATAAATAAATAAATAAAAATAAAATAAAACTGGCTTGGTTTGTTTATTATCTTCGTGCAATGGCAACTCTAAATCATATCTGTGATAAAAGGCCCCTCCTGGCAGGGGCTGACAGCTCCCATCACCCATCTTGGGATGCCACCAGCCCAAAGGAAACTAGTCCGGAGTCAGCCTCTGGGCTTCTGGTTGGCATCACCCAAAACTCAGCCATTAGAAACTTTAATTGCAGATACCCGGCTGGGCGCGGTGGCTCACGCCTGTAATCCCAGCACTTTGGGAGGCCGAGGCAGGAGGATCAGGAGGTCAAGAGTTCGAGACCAGCCTGACCAACACAGTGAAACCCCGTCTCTGCTAAAAATATAAAAATTAGCTGGCCGTAGTGGTGCGCGCCTGTAATCCCAGCTACTTGGGAGGCTGAGGCAGGATAATCGCTTGAACCTGGGAGGCAGAGGTTGCAGTGAGCCAAGATCATACCACTGCATTCCAGCCTGGGTGACATGGCGAGACTCCGTCTCAAAAAAAAGAAAAAAAAAAGAAAATTGCAGATACCTTTCTCCCCCTGCCTTCCAGTCTCACCAAAAACCCTAATATAAAACACAATAGCAGTATACTGTGTGGTTAAGAGCAAACTCTGGGTTCAAATCCCAACCTCCCCACTTAATAGCTACATGAAAGTTATTTAACCTCTCTGTGCCTCACTTTCCTCATTTATGAAATGGTGATAATAATGTAAGTACTTCATAATGCTCTTACAAAGATTAAGAGTTAAAATGGTGCAGAACATATAACAATGCCTGGCATAAATACAACATACAGGTTCATTATTATTAGTACAGCCTCTCCCTTAGATTACTTAGGCAGAGGGGACACATCCACAATAACTCCCAGTGAGGAGGGGAACCTGACCTCCTACTGCTATATGCCTGGCAGGGCTTCTAGGTGAGTGCCCAGAAACAGAGAAGCCTCCATTCCCTCATATTCAAAAAAAGCCTGCAGACCAAGATGTCCCAGATGCTTTCAAATGCTATTGATGTTAAAGAAAAGGGAGGTGCCCAAATAGCACACTGGATCCAGGAATTACCTCGCACTCATCTAGAGTGCCTTATCCCCCACCTCCCACACCCCCCTCCCCGTTCCATCCACACAAGTCTAAGCACCTGTTCACCCACATCTCAGGGAGGGCTGACCTCAAGCCACCCAGTGGTCCCAGGGCTCTGGCTGCTTCCTGACACCCCTCTGAGGACACATGATGGGCTCTAGGATACCAGGCCTGCAAGCAGCAGCCCTGTCCCAGCCACACTGGGATGAGGTGGAAGGGCAGGGAAGGGCAAAGCCCCTCAGGTCAAACTGTAGCCCCCTTAGCTGCCATTAACCCCTGCCTTTCTATAGCTTACCATTAAGCTGGCAAAAACTTTTTTAACTCTTAAGAAACTTATATCCTCCCTCAACCCAATAGTATAAATACCACTCTCCCCCTTCCAGGGGTGCCCCCCAGTTAAAAATTACTTTAACAATCTCCAAACTCTTCAAGTTGTATACACTAAATATACACCTTTATATATGCCAATCATACCTCAAAAAAGTGGTTTTTAAAAATTACTATAACTTAGTATCACCTCGTACCGTTTAGTTGTCCCTCGATATCTGAGGCGGATTGGTTCCAGGGTTCCCCCTTGGATATCAACATCTCCAGATGTTCAAGTCTCTTATATAAAATTTGTATATAACCTATGCACAGGCCGGGCACGGTGGCTCACGTCTGTAATCTCAGCACTTTGGGAGGCCGAGCTGGATGGACCACTTGAGGTCAGGAGTTCAAGACCAGCCTGGCCAACATGGTGAAACCCCGTCTCTACTAAAAATACAAAAATTAGCCAGGCATGGTGGCGTGCACCTGCAATCCTGGAGGCTGAGGCAGGAGAATCACTTGAACCTGGGAGGAGGTTGCAGTGAGCCGAGATTGCGCCACTGCACCCCAATCTGGGCAACAGAGACTGTCTCAAAAACAAAACAAGGCTGGGCGCCGTGGCTCAGGCCTGTAATCCCAGCACTTTGGGAGACTGAGGTGGGCAGGTCACCTGAGGACAGGAGTTCAAGACCAGCCTGGCCAACATGGTGAAATCCTGTCTCTACTAAAAAACAAAAATTAGCCAGGTATGGTGGCGGGCACCTGTAATCCCAGCTACTCAGGAGGCTGAGGCAGGAGAATTGCTTGAACCTGGGAGGCAGAGGTTGCAGTGAGCTGAGATTGTGCCACTGCACTCCAGCCTGGGTGACAAGAGTGAAACTCCCCTTCAAACAAATAAAAAAATAACCTATGCACATTTTCTGGATACTTTAACTCATCTCTAGATTATTCACAATACCTAATACAATGTGAATGCTATGTAAATAGTTGTTATATTTATTTGTATTATTTTTTATTATTGTATTTTTTATCTACAACTGGATTCATGGATAGGGAACCCATAGAAATGGAAGGCCAACAGCAACTGTATTATGAAAGCAAGGTCTCCACTTTCAAAATAGAAATCACATTTACCCCTCTTCAGAGACATGGTAATTACCCAGTTATCCCTTGAGAATCACTAAGACAGGACATTTAGGTCTGAAGTTTGGCAGCACTGATACAGCCTGCCCCGGACAGGTTCATGTACTGTATTACCTCATGTCGTCCCCAGCTCCAGTCAAGACTTACCTGCAGGACAGCACAACCTCTAGATTGGGAGGGACATTCAGCTCCTCCCCTTAATTCCTTACTGCCCTCCTTAGCTTTCAAAGGGTATCAAAGCTTCGAACACATCTTCCCAAGTGGCAGAAAAATGCCAATTTTCCCGTAATACCACAGTCATTACTGCCCTAATTCCAAACTCTCATTATGGCTGCACTGCCTGATATTGCTGCAATATAGCAAACTCCAGGTAGTTACCCAAACAAGCCATGTGGTTACACAAACCTACCTCCTCACTTATACATGCGACTCCCTCCTCTTGGAATGCCTTTTCCACCCCCACAGGTCTAACCTTGCTCCTCCTACTCACCCACATCTCAGGGAAGGCTGACCTCTAATCTCTCAGGAGCACCATGGTACCATGTGCTCATATGCCTTTATTTTATCTATCATTGCATTTCACCTACCACCACTTCCTGGCAAGTCCTTCCGACCTCCTAGGCTGAGAATTTTCACTTGTATCCTTAACCCCTGGGTCCAGAAAGAAAACTTAATGCGTATGACATGGATAAAGCCTATAGGTAAGGTAGTCAAGCAGGCAGAGTCAAGGCTATCCAAAGCAGTTCAGGACAAGCAACCTCACTGATAACTCCCAGAACCATGAAAAATACACTCCCTTCGCCAGTGACCCAGCGCCTTTAGGAATTGAGGTCTTACGGCGTGCAGCAGCATTCCTTGGTTTCCTGGGCTTGCTCTCGCTAGTCTCCAAGAGTTGACTGGGAAGAAGCCACCTGTGTCAGCCATGGGAGTAAACCACTGCTAACGCTGATTCTCCAGATGGTTGCTCTTAGGGGCTGCAGAACTGACTGCTTAGGGAGCATCTAAACTACAGGGAGGATTCCAGTTCCAGCCTACACCACCAATCCAAGATGGAGCCACCAGCACAGGGGCTCATGGCCCACTATTCAGAAGACTAGGCCAGGGCTTGGGGAATAACCCTTTCCCTTACCAGACCAGACAGACACTGGGCTCCAGGAGACCCTCAGAACCCTTTGTTCTGGACCTCTGCTAAACGCGAGCCCACCATGCCCTTTTCCAAGTGCGCGGATTTGGAACCACCATAGGGCCGCAGGCCATCTCAACTCCCAAGGAGGAATAGTAGGGATTCCACTTTTTGAGAATCCTGCCCTCTTTCCCAGAAAAGGTACTTAGAAAGGAGTGGCTAAAACCTCAAATGCTTTTTTCAAGACTTAGAATGGCCACATGGGTCACCCTTCTCACCCAACAGCAGTGGGTCTGAGGGTTTGCCCAGTACCAGCCTCTTGGGCAGTGTGAAGTCCCCACTGAAGTAGACCCTTTAGCAGAAGTGGGGTTCTGGGTCCCCATTCAGCTTTATAGGAGACATGCTCTCCCCCAGTTTCAGCCCACAGCAGGGGGCCAAGCAGAGACTCCAAGTACGCTAGCAACCCTGTCACCCTCCCCAACTGTCAAGGGAGATTCTAACAGCCAGGTAGAGTCAGGATGGGGGCAAGATCCCCAAAGCCAAGGGCCTTTTGGCATCAAGGTACAAGGAGGGCAAGGCCTCTGGAGCCCAAACAAATCCACCACACTTAAGTCATTAGTGGACAGATGTCACAGTTGTATATTCTTCCCTTCCCCTTCCGCCAAAAAGTGGAGATCCAAACCTAGATTGTCATCGACTGGGGCTGGCTGAAGGTCTCTGAATAGCCGAGTGGGAGCTGGCGGCGCTGAGCCCAGCCCAGCCGAGGGCCACCGGCGCCATTCTGCACCAACCCCCAGCACAAGGGGAGGAGGCAACACCAGTCCACACCAGGGGCTCTGCGGTTTCTCCCCCAGGCCAAGGGGAAGGGCGCCCAAGGTGGATAACCAGCCCTTGGTTTCCTGGGCGAGAACATGCCAGGGCAGGGGCAGGAAGGCTCTCTCACCCCTAGAATGACGCAGCAGAGGCCAGAGGCCCTGCGAAGCCTGTCCCCTTCTACTCCAGTTCTTGTCTCCGCCAGCCTAGCTCCTCGTCCCTATTCACTGATATCTTTGAGGCTTTTATCCAGCACCCCACCCCGCACACACATCCTCCCTACCATCCATTAACCACCCAGCTGCTGGTGGTTCCACGGAGCCGCCTTACACTCCCTCCCTTTCGCACATGGCCGGTGGACGAGATGATTTCGCCCCTCCTGGCAGGATCCCACCCAGGCCAGCTTTGGGGTCCTGGCTTGGTTGCCAGGACAAACCCAGAGAGAGGAGAAGGACGAACTGAGTGTCTTTAGTCATCTTCCAAACTAATTAAATTGTGGGCTCACCTCTGCCAAAGCCCAGGTTCTGGGGCTGTGAAGAAAGCCCGCCCACCCCCATGACAACAGCTCGCAGGAACCGAGGAGCCGGCCGGCCCAGGCCTCCAAGGTCACGGGGAGGGGGTCAGGGCGGAAAAGGCAGTGGAGTGAGGGTGCCGCCCTCGGGCCGTGCTAATCCCGCTCCGCTCCGTGCCGCCGAGGCGGGGTCCTGGCCACGCAGGAGGTGCGCCTCGGAGGAGGGCGGCGAGCGGCTACGGGGTGGGGAGCAAGGGGCGCGCGGGCGGCAGGCATGGAACGGACGCGGCGCATCTCGCCCACCGCGGGACGCCCGGACGGCGGCCGGCGCGCGCGGCCCGCCTCGAGCCCGAGAGGGCGGGGAGACAATGCCTGTCCGGCGGGGCAGTCCAGGCCGCACGCTCCCGCCCGCGGACACGGGCCGCTCCTACCCGGGCGAGAGGGCAGCGGCGGGAAGGCGCCGGGAGCGATGGCCACCCCGGCCCCGCGAGGCGCGGCAGGCCCCGCTCGCCCTCTCCCGCGCCCGCCTGGCGTGCGCTTCACCCGGCAAGTCCCGGGGCCACAGACCCACCTCCTCCTCCAGGGCGCCGCCGGAGCCCGCGCCGGAGCCGGTGCCGGTGCTGCCGCCGTGCTCGCCGTCCGGCTTCAGGTTGCTCATGGTGCGGGGGAGGGGGCGGCGGGAAGGAACGCGAGGGCGAGCGCGGCGCCGGCCCCGCGGGAAGTGGGAAGGGGCGCGGGGAGCGGTGCGCTCGCGGGTGCGGAGCGGGTGGCGGGGGACCCACGGGGCAGTGAGAGGGGCAGCCTCCGCGTCGGGCCAGGGTCACATCAAGTTTGGCGGGTGCGGAAGGTGGGGAGGGGGTGCGGCGGGGGAGGCAGTGGGAGCCGGAGGGGCCGCCGCCTCCGCCTTTTCACTGCGACCGGCGAGTGCGCCGCGGCGGCGGCGGCGGCGGCAGCGGCGGCGGGGGGCGGGCGCCGGGGGAGGGGGCGGGCGCCGGCGGCGGGGGGCGGGGCCGGAACCGGCCTCAGCTGGGGCCCGGCCAGCCCCCTCCCCCGCCCGCCGCGCGGTCTCCGGGGGAACGCGCAGCCAATCCCCACCGCCCACCGTGGGCTCGCCCCGGCCCCGGCCGCGGGGCGCCGGCCTCCGGCCGGGCCTTTCCCCTCTCTCTCGCCTGGGTCAGCGCTCTCCCTCTCTCCTCTTCCCCCGCGCCCTTCTCCACGGCGAGTTTTTAAACTTTGATGAACTCGCCCGGCGAACTTTCTTAAAGGGGCCGCGCGCTGCGCGCCCCAGCCCGCGGGAGGTGGAGCCCCGTGCCCCGCACCCAGCGCCCCGGTCCCTGGGCGGCCCTGCCCGGGCGGCCTCGCGCTTAGGGCACCCGCAGCGAGGTTTCCGGGCCGTCGACTCCCCTTGTATCTTGATCTAGGGTTTTGGGGTTCCCGACGCACTCATTCTGCCCCTAAATCCAGTCGCGCAGACCTCAGCTCCGGGGGACCGAGTTCTGGGGGTGATGGCCGGGGGGAGGGGGTTGGGAGACACCTGAGCTTTGGCCCGGGCTGGGCGCTGTTTTGCTGAGTGACCTTGAGGAAATCACTTCCCCTCTCTGGCCTCAGGCTCCCAGCCCAGAGGGTGGGACTTAGGATCTCAAACTCCCTTCCCACTCCCAGTCACTATCTGAATAGGACTTAGGTGGGGATTCGAGTGTTGGGACCCCAATGGTCATTAGCGAGGGCTGCCTCGAATGACCAAGAAGGTTCTGTTGCCCACCTTGCCCTCAACACGCCTGGCTTTCGGGTCTTCTCGCTCCTCCCCCGACCTCAGTGCCCCTCACACCTTTCCCTGCCTCCTATTCTGAGCCCGAAGGCTGGGGACGGATGTAATAGCCTAGAGGCTGGGGGAGGTGGGGGAGGTCGTCGTGACTCCCCCCGCACCCCCGCGCAGGTCAGTAGGGCGCGGCCTCTGGGTCGGTTTTCTCTTCTATTTGAAAACCCAGCCGATGGGGGCCCGCCCTGCTGCCACAGTAGAAACCCGCACCCACCTCGGGGAGCGCTGGAAGCGCTGCAGCCTGAATCCGGCAGAGCCGCGGGAGAACTGGGTCCCTCCTCAGTGCCCCTTCTCCTGGACGGGGCGGAGGTTGCGGTGACCCGAGATCTTGCCATTGCACTCCAGCCAGGGCAACAAGAGCGAAACTCCGTCTCAAAAAAAGAAAAGAAAAAAGAAAAGCTGGATTTGCAGTCACGGACTGGTTAGGATCCCAGACCGTGGACAAGTGCCTGAGCCCCCAGAACCTCTGTGTGTCGACCTCCTGAATTAGGTAGGACTAGCACCACAGGATCACTGTGCTGTGGCTTAGTCTTCCCAGTAAATTATAATCTCCATCCTGACCTGCCATCTCACAGATAAATTGAGGCCTAGAGATGGGCAATGTCTTTCCAATGATATACTCATTCCTTTAGTAAATAATTATTGAGCACCTACTGTGGGCTGGGGACCATTTTCTGCTGGTGGCAAGGCCAAGAGCACCCTGGTTTCCCATCAGCCCTGTTGCCAACACTTGGCTCAGGCCCTATGAAGAGGGAGCTGCTGCCTGTAGGAGCCAGACCTTTACCCAGAGTTTTTAAGATGCCTCCAGCCTCAGGCATCTCCAGATAGAACCAACCTTGGGAACCCTCAGATACCCCTACCATCCTCCACAGGCCTCAGTCCAATCTGGCTGTGGGCTTGATCACCATCCCCTCCCCTAGAATAGGTCTTCCTATCAGGTTTGTCTCTAACTTTGGCCCAGGAATACTCTTCCTCTTCCTCTTCCTCCCCCGCTCCCCCTAATCAATCCAAAATCTTCCCTTCCCTCAAGATCCTGCCTTTCCCATGCTTTTTCCAGGAGAAGGAGCCTGGCCAGATTTCTGAACTCAGCCATTATATGGTTAATTTGAATTTTTCAAAGAAGAGCCTCTCATCTTGTAATTCTGGTCACCCTTCTTCTCCATTCTGGTCTCTGTTTTCTCCATAGATGGGAGAGCTAAGGCCCAAAAAGGTGACAAATGACACAGGGGCCACAACTGACCCCCATCACTACATTTCTTTTCTTTTTTCATTTTTTTTTTTTTTGTTTTGGGGGCTTTTTTGAGATGCAGTCTTGCTCTGTTGCCAGACTGGAGTGCAGTGATGCGATCTCGGCTCACTGCAACCTCCACCTCCCAGTTTCAAGCTATTCTGCCTCAGCCTCCTGAGTAGCTGGGACTACAGGAACGCACAACCACGCCCAGCTAACTTTTGTATTTTTAGTAGAGACGGTTTCCCCATGTTGGTGAGGATGATCTTGATCTCTTGACCTTGTAATCTGCCCCCATCAGCCTCCCAAAGTGCTGAGATTACAGGCGTGAGCCACCGCGCCCGGCCTTCTTTTCTTTTTTTAGAAAAAAGATCTTGCTCTGTCACCCAAGCTGGAGTGCAGTGGCACAATCACAGCTCACTCCAGCCTTGAACTCCTGGGCTCAAGTGATCCTTCTACCTCAGCCTCCCAGGTAGCTGTGATTACAGGTGCAACACCACGCCCAGCTAATTTTTTTTTTTTTTTTTTAAGAGACTGGCCTCTCATTATGTTGTCCCAAGCTGGTGTTGAACTCCTGGGCTCAAGTGATCCTCCCACCTTGGCCTCCCAAAGTGCTGGTATTATAGGCGTGAGCCACCACACCCAGCCTGTATTTCTTCTTAAGTTCTTCATAATTTGTAGTAAATGCTTACCCCTTATTAGACTGCCATTACTTATTTAACCTGTCTCTTGTTAGATATTTGTATTATTTCCAGTTTATTTTCTCTTTTGCCTTCATAGGCAAACTTTATATGAGGATTCTTTTTTTTTTCTTTTTCTTTGAGACGGAGTCTCACTATGTCACCAGGCTTGAGTGCAGTGCATCCTCCATCTCCCAGGTTCGAGCAGTTCTCGTGCCTCAGCCTCCTGAGTAGCTGGGATTACAGGTGCCTGCCACCACACTCGCTGTCACACCTGGCTAATTTTTGTATTTTTAGTAGGGACAAGGTTTCACCGTGTTGGCCAGGCTGGTCTTGAACTCCTGGCCTCAAGTAATCTGCTCACCTTGGCCTCTCAAAGTGCTGAGATTACAGGCATGAGCCCGCCCTCTTATATGAGCATTCTTAATGCCTCAGAAAGTTTCCTGTATGTGTGACCAGCCCTTAAGCACTTTGGAGGCAACAACTGTCTTTTCCCTCTCTGTGCACCCCTATGGCCCCTGAAATGGCAGAATCTCCAATCTCACATGGATTTGGAGATCATATAAACACAAAGCTCCCACCCAGCCCGCACCTTCATGAGTAGTCAGGCGTACCCATTGGTGCTGACCAGAAGCTGATGTGAAAGAGGCTAGAGAGAGGAGTTTGGGGTGTACAACTCTTTCAGACATCTGAAGGGTAGGAACTTATATCTCTGTCTCCCCAGCTATGACCTAGTAGTGTAGCCTCTAGTAATCTCTTCAGTGCCCCAGGCCTCCCCCACTGTCATGCTCCATATCACCTCTGAGCTTCTCGAATTTCTATTCCTTTTGTCTGGAATCCTCCCATCCTCACTCTCCACCCCCAGCTTCCAGACCTTTCCCAGTACCCATTCTCTCTCCCCTGTGCTCTCAGAGTGCCTTCTCTGTGTCGTGTTGAACCTGGGAATACCTTGTTTTGAAGTCTCACCTACCACATGGGAAGCTTTCTGACTCCAAGGAGTGGCTGTAAACCCTGCTGAGTGAGTAGAACTCCTTAACCTCTGCAGCCCCCTGGCCTCCAGCAAGGAGCAGATGATGGTGGGCATTTTCAGTAGTAGGTGTTTAATAAACCTTTGCTGAACCAATACTGGGCTATTCCTGGAGCTTCTGGGCTATCTGAAGCCAATGGCCCTTTCTCTTTGATGTACTGTACATACATCATCCTTCAATATTTCATCCTTAGGGTAGGGAAAAGAGATGGCCTCACTCCTGGGAAACACTGCCCTGGAACTCAACTCCTGAGAGTGTGCCTGGCTACTTCAGGGCAGGCCCCCATTCTGACCCCAACTTTCCCACCACCAGGAAAGCCTAGGCAATAAGAAGGCAGATAGAAGCTGGGCTTGGTGGTGTGCGCCTATAGTCCCTGCCACTTTGGAGGCTGAGCTGGGAGGATTAATTGAGCCCATCAAGTCTAGATGGGGCAACATAGCAAGATCCCCTCTTTATTTAAAAGAAAAAGAAGAAAGGCAGGTAGAGAGGATGACCTTGAAGCTTAAAGGCTGAGATGTGTCTGAGTTATATTTTCTTTTTCTTTATTTTTTTGGGGGGAAGTCAGGGTCTTGCCCTGTCACCCAGGCTGGAATGTAGTAGCACAGTCTTGGCTCATTGCAACCTTCACCTCCTGGGTTCAAGCGATTCTCCCACCTCAGCCTCCCAAGTAGGTGGGAATACAGGATCCCCCCACCAGGCCCAGCTAACTTTCCCTAGCAGGGTTTCACCATGTTGGCCAGGCTGGTTTCGAACTCCTAACCTCAAGTGATCCACCTGCCTCAGCCTCCCAAAGTGCTAAGATTACAGGCGTTAGCCACCGTGCCTGGCCATACTTTTTGTATTTTAGTAGAGATGGGTTTTGCCACGTTGCCCAGGCTGGTCTCAAACTCCTGGCCTCAAGTGATCCACCCACCTTGGCCTCCCAAAGTGCTGAGATTATAGGCATGAGCCACCACACCCAGCCATCTGAGGTATATTTTCTTGGTGCTCATAGGTTTTTGTTTATTTATTTTGAGACAGAGTCTCACTCTGTTGTCTAGGCTGGAATGCAATGGTGTGATCTCAGCTCACCACAACCTCCATCTCCTGGGTTCAATCAATTCTCCTGTCTTAGCCTCCTGAGTAGCTGGGATTACGGGTGCGTGCCACCATGCCCAGCTAATTTTTGTATTTTTAGTAGAGATGGGGTTTTACCATGTTGGCCAGGCTGGTCTCGAACTCCTGAGCTCAAGTGATCCGCCTGCCTTAGCCTCTCAAAGTGCTGAGATTATAGGTGTGAGCCACCACGCCCGCCCATTGTTTATAGGTTTAAGCTCCACTTAAGTGCAAGAAGTCTCTGGAGGGAAAGGGGACAGGCTACTGCCCCAAGCAGTTAATCTTTCTATTGTTCCTGCTATCCCTAGTTATAGGATTAAGGGACCTTCACGAGCCACTGGCAGATGGCATGGATGGTGGGAAAAGCATGAAATAGCCCTGTGATAGAATTCTGATTCTGTAACCTTGGGCAAGTTGCCAGCTAGTATCAGTCAGTTCATCTGTAAAATCGGAATACTAGTACACAATTGCAAGAATGTGTTAAGTAAGATAAGAGCTCATGGTAAGCTCTTGGAGGTTGTGATTATTGCCCTGGGTCCACTGCTAGTTTGCAGGTCAAGGTCACAGACTGGGTAATTTCTTTTTTTTGAGAAGGAGTCTCACTCTGTCACCCAGGCTAGAGTGCAATGGTGCGATCTCGGCTCACTGCAACCTCTGCCTCCCAGGTTCAAGTGATTCTCCCGCCTCAGCCTTCCCAGTAGCTGGGACTACAGGCACCCATCATCATGCCTGGTTAATTTTTGTATTTTTGTAGAGACAGGGTTTCACCATGTTGGCCAGGCTGGTCTCAAACTCCTGACCGCAGGTGATCCGCCCACCATGGCCTCCCAAAGTACTGGGATGACAGGCATGAGCCACCAAGCCCAGGCAACTGGTTAATTTCAGCCCCAAATCCCTGAGCTCTCCCTTTCTCTCCTTGCCTTCCTCTGGGCCACATTGTGAACCTGGATCCCAGGTTCCAATCTAAGACAAACAGTATTTCCAAAGTAGCTGTGCCAGAAGACCTGGATCTGCGTCCAGGTCACCACGGCAACCCGTGTGACCATAGGCAGATAGTTTAATCTCTCTAAGGCTTTGTTTTCTCAAGGTAAAACTAGAGAACTAGCGACACCTTTCAGGCAGGCTTTCATGAGTGTTCCCTAGGCTTCTGTAAGAATTAAATGAGATCCTGATGCTGAAACTTCTTTGACGTCCTCAAAGCCCCAAGACAACCGGAGGGGCGATTGTAAAGTCAGCAAAGGAACAACACAAGAACTTCACTTCAGATCCAGCCTTCCTGAGAGGTGGTGTCTCCTCCCTGCACACCATCTCCCAAAGATGTTATTTCTCCTGTCCCCACCACATAGCTGAAAATTAGCAGGGGACCATCTGAGGACAGGGATAGCGTCTCTTCACCTTTGAATCAAATCTTGGAAGCTCAGTTCAGGTCCTGGCAGAGGGGTTTCAGTAATGAATATTGAATGATTGAAAGGCTAGGGTTACCAAGGAAATATCTCTGACAGCGTTTTTTTTTGTTTTGCTTTGTTTTGTTTTGTTTTGTTTTGTTTTGAGATGGAGTCTTGCTTTGTTGCCCAGGCTGGAGTGCAGTGGTGCGAGCTCGGCCCACTGCAACCTCCTTCTCCTGGGTTCAAGCAATTCTCTTGTCTCAGCCTCCAGAGTAGCTGGTATTACAGGCACTCGCCACCATGCCCGGCTAATTTTTGTATTTTTAGTAGAGACGGGGTTTCACCATGCTGGTCAGGTTGGTCTCAAACTCCTGACCTTGTGATCCGCCCGCCTCGACCTCCCAAAGTGCTGGGATTACAGGCATGAGCCACCATGCCCTACAGTATTTTTACATTAACATGTCAATGGCTGCTTTTCCTCTCTTTGAAGATGGGAGGGAGAATGAGATGCCAGGAACCTGAATGGGGAGAGGACCCAGGATTAAAAAACAAAGAGAAACCCCAAAGGGATGTCTGGCAGGCCAAAGGTTTCTATCTGAACCCTGAGCTCCCTACTCACACCTCCCTCTCAGCACCCAGGGCCTATGAAACCACAGGGCCCACGCCCTGCTTCACTGCCAGTTCCTATGAAACCACAGCCTTTGCTGTTGGGGAAACTGAGGTTCAGCGGCCAAAATCAACTAGCTTGAAGTTACACAGCAAAGTACTGAGTTCACTTAATACTTTCTGTTTAATTTCAAAAGCAGGTAGCTTAGAAGCTTTCCTTCTAAGAAAAAAAAAAAATCAAACCTAATCAAATAGATTTTCATATACACCCCTCCAAATGATCTTTTATCCTCTAGAAAGTCTTTGTGTGTGTGTGTGTGTGCATGCGTGTGCATTTTTTAAAATGAATTTTAAGTTCTGGCAACAATTTAATGACATTTGCTAAACTTTTACTGGTTTTGAGTCCTTCCCAGGGAACCAAAGGTCACTGAAAGCTTCTCTGGCCTGCTTCCCTGCCTGAGTCTCTGTCCTCCCAGAGCCTGGGAGAGGGCCTTCTGGGCCCGACCAACTGCGGAATTGCCCAGCATGCCCGGGAGGCTGGCTCTACCGGGCTACTTTTCTAAGGGACTTAAAGTAGGAATTGTTACACTTGACTAGAGTCCAGTGGGGCAACTGACAGTCTCAGGGACAGGGGCTCCACATGGAATGAGGTGGGATAGGGTGAGAAGGGAAGATGAGCTATCTCTATCCTCACCACTGAAGGTGGCAATGTGAGCCTATGCCCTCCTATACTGCCTTTTTTACCATCCAGAAGAGTCTGTTGCCCATGAGGGGAAGGGTGCACTCATCCTCTCTAAGGCCTTAGAAATTTAAGGAGGAAGTAGGGGGAGAGGGCAATGCCTAACCCAAAGGAATACTTCCCAGTGGTGTGTTAGGGCACCACAGGTCATAGAATCTATGCAGAAGCTGCTTAGGACCAGGCACGGTGGCTCACACCTGTAATCCTAGCACTTAGGGAGGCTAAGGCAGGAGGATCCCTCGAGGCTAAAAGATCCAGACCAACCTGGGCAACGTAGCAAAACCCTATCTCTATAAGGAAAAAAAAACAACTAGGCCAGGCACAGGGACTCACGCCTGTAATCCCAGTACTTTGGGAGGCTGAGGCAGGCGGATCATGAGGTCAGGAGATCGAGACTATCCTGTCCAACATGGTAAAATCCCGTCTCTACTAAAAATACAAAAATTAGCTGGGTGTGGTGGTGCGCGCCTGTAATCCCAGCTACTCGGGAAGCTGAGGCATGAGAATCGCTTGAACCAGGAGGCAGAGGTTGCAGTGAGCTGAGATCGCACCACTGCACTCCAGCCTGGCGACAGAGCAAGACAACGTCTCAAAAAAACAAAGACAAAAAACTAGCTGGGCATGGTGGTGTGTGCCTGTGGTCTCAGCTACTCAGGAGGCTGAGGTAGAAGAATTGCTTGAGTCCTGGAAGTGGAGGCTATAGAGAGCTGTGATAGTACCACTGCACTTCAGCCTGTGCAACGGAAAAGGTCTCTAGAGGTCAGCCAAGCCAATGGAGCCCACACTTGGCTGCAGTCCAGAATTGCCTTTTGAAAAAGACAGATTTCAGGGCCAGGCATGGTAGTTCACACCTGTAATCCTAGCACTTTGGGAGGCTGAGGCAGGCAGATCGCATGAGTTCAGGAGTTTGAGACCAGCCTGGGCAACATAGTGAAACCCCATCTCTACAAAATATACAAAAAAATTAGCCAAGCTTGGTAACTTGCACCTGTAGTCCTAGCTACTCAGAAGGCTGAGTTAGGAGGATCACCTAAGCCTGGGAGTTCCAGGCTACAGTGGGCTATGATGGCATTATCGCCCTCCAGCCTGGGTAACAGAGTAAAACCTTTCCACTGGAAAAAAGAAGATTTCTGGGTCCCATCTAAAAACAGCTACATCCAAATCTCTGGGAACAGGCCTTGGAAATCTCCTTGTACCCCCACAACTAGAACCTTAGGTCTCGAATCCAACTGTCTGTGCTAAACACTTGAATCTCTACCAGAAGCTAATCCAACCTTTGCCTGAACTGGAGGAGAAGCAACTCATATCCCCCACCCCAAATTGCTCATTCCACAGCCAAACCTCTAGCTCTCATTAGAGTAGTATTGTTGTCAGATAATGATAACAATTTAGTGATAATTAACATTTATTCAATACTTGGCCTTTGACTTCTTTTCTTTTTGAGACGGAGTCTCGCCCAGCTGCCCAGGCTGGAGTGCAGTGGCATGATCTCGGCTCACTACAACCACTGTCTCCTAGGTTCAAGCGATTCTCAAGCGATTCTCCTTTCTCAACCTCCCAAGTAGCTGGGATTACAGGCACTCACCATCATGCCCGGCTAATTTTTGTATTTTAGTAGAGACGAGGTTTCACCATGTTGGCCAGGCTGGTACTCAACTCCTGACCTCAGGTGATCTCCCAGCCTTGGCCTTCCATAGTGCTAGGATTACAGGCGTGAGTCATGGCACCCGGTTACTTTTTTTTTTTTTTTTTGAGCCGCAATCTCACTCCATCGCCTAGGCTGGAGTGCAGTGGTGTGATCTTGGCTCGCTGCAACCTCCACCTCCTGGTTCAAGCGATTCTCCTGCCTCAGCCTCCCAGGTAGCTGGGACTACAGGCACATGCCACCATGCCCAGCTAATTTTTTGTATTTTTAGTAGAGATAGGGTTTCACCATGTTCCCCAGGTTGGTGTCGAACTCCTGAGCTCAGGTGATCCACCCGCCTCAGCCTTCCAAAGTGCTGGGATTACAGGTGTGAGCCACTGTGCCCGGCCAGCCTTTGACTTCCTCTTTTTTTTTTTTTTTTTTTTTGAGACAGAGTCTCACTCTGTCACCCAAGCTGGAGTGCCGTGGCGTGATCTTGGCTCACTGCAATTTCTGCCTCCTAGGTTTAAGTGATTCTTCTGCCTCAGCCTCCCTAGCAGCTGGGACTATAGGCGTGCGCCACCACGCCTGGCTAATTTTTGTACTTTTAGTAGAGACAGAGTTTCACCATATTGCCAGGCTGGTCTCGAACTCCTGACCTCGTGATTCGCCAGCCTCTGCCTCCCAAAGTGCTGGGATTATAGGCATGAGCCACTGTGCCTGGCCTGACTTCTTAACACAATGTTTAAGCTTCCACGTTTTGCACTAAGATAGGCCTGGATTCAAACTTTGATACATTTTATATTTGTTTCTATGGCTTTGGACAAGTGATGAGGGACTCTGAGCCTTGGTTTCTTTATCTGTAAAATGGGGATAGTACCTATCTCATAAGGTTTGTGTGCAATCAAATGAGATGATGTATAGGAAGTCCTTGACATAGTGCCTGGCATAATGTCCTCTCAGATATATAATTCAGGCCAGGCGTGGTGGTGCACGCCTGTAATCCCAGCTACTTGGGAGGCTGAGGCAGAACAATCACTTGAACCCAGGAGGCAGAGGTTGCAGGGAACCGAGATTGCACTACTGCACTCCAGCCTGCATGACAGAGCGAGACTCTGTCTCAAAAAAAAAAGGCCAGGTGCGGTCATTCATGCCTGTAATCCCAGCACTTTGGGAAGCCGAGGCAGGCAGATCACGAGGTGAAGAGATTGAAACCATCCTGGCCAAAATGGTGAAACCCCGTCTCTACTAAAAATACAAAAATTAGCTGGGCGTGGTGGCACGCTCCTGTAGTCCCAGCTCCTTGGGAGGCTGAGGCAGGAGAATCGCTTGAACCCGGGAGGCAGAGGTTGTGGTGAGCTGAGATCGTACCATTGCACTCCAGCCTGGGCACAGAACCAGACTCCGTCTCAAAAAAAAAAAAAAAAAAAAAAAAAATATATATATATATATATATATATATATGTATGTATGTATATATATGTATATATGTATGTATATATGTATGTATATATATGTATATGTGTGTGTGTATGTTTATATATATATACATACACACACAATTCAGTTAAACCAGCCAGATGTGGTGGCTCACACCTGTAATCCTAGCACTTTGGGAGGCCATGGGAGGCCAAGGCGATGGATCACTCAAGGTCGGGAGTTTGAGACCAGCCTGGCCAACATGGTGAAACCCTATCTCTACTAAAAATAAAAAAATTAGGCTGGGCATGGTAGCTCACACCTGTAATCCCAGCACTGTGGGAGGCTGAGGCGGGCGGATCACCTGAGGTCGGGAGTTCGATACCAGCCTGACCAACATGGAGAAACCCCATCTCTACTAAAAATACAAAATTAGCCAGGCATGTTGGCACATGCCTGTAATCCCAGCTACTCGGGAGGCTGAGGCAGGAGAATCACTTGAACGCAGGAGGCGGAGGTTGCAGTGAGCCGAGATTGCGCCATTGCACTCCAGCCCAGGCAACAAGAGCGAAACTCCATCTCAAAAAAAAAAAAAAAATGCAAAAATTAGTCAAGCGTGCTCACTTGAACCCAAGAGGCAGAGGTTGCAGTGACAATCCAGCCTGGGCGACAGAGCAAGACTCTGTCTCAAAAAAAAAAAATTAGTTAAACCCAAATCTCTCTCTCTGTGCCTCCACCCAACTCCTCTATATATAACGGCCCTGGGTTCTACAGTCCCATAGAGCAAACCCATGTTCCCTGTCCTAGAGCAGCCTTGGCAGACAGCCAACCCATTCCTAGCACCTGACTCTGATTCCTGTCACCTCAAACCCTGGTTGAGCCCTCTTCTTAACTGTATGGCAATGGGGGTGGTGAAATATTTTGGAAAGGGGATTCTGCCCAGTAGGCCAGGCCTCTAGGAGTACCTTGAAGATGTAGGAAACCAGTAGCTTATGTGGAAAGGCTGTAGAGATTGGTGATCCCAGGAGAGAAGAGGATGATGGCCCCTGCACCCTGATGATGTAAGGCCGCTAAGGCCAGCTGTGTGCTGGGCACAAAGTTAGGCGTCTCTCATCCCTGAGCTCATTTATCTTTTCTGGCTGCTCCATGAAATGATTTTTCCTTATTTTATATTTCCAGTGCAGAGAGGTTAAGTAACCTGGACTGTGATGTACAGCTATAACTGACAGGATTGGAATTGGAACCCAAGACTCTCCCAACTTCTGGTAGTAGAATGTAACAAAGGAGTTAAGTCTGAATTGAGGTCTAGAGTCTAAAATGCAGTTTTAGGCTAGGCATAGTGGCTCATGCCTTTAGTCCCAGCACTTTGGGAGGCCGAGGCAGGAGGATTGCTCGAAACCTGGAGTTCAAGACCAGCCTGGCCTAACATAGTGAGACACCCATGGCTAAATATATATATATATATAATTTTAATATATATAATATATGATATATGTTATATATGATATATTTTATATATGCATTTTATTTTGTTTTTTATTTTTATTTCTTTCTTTGCTCTTGTTGCCCAGGCTGGAGTGCAATGGCGTGATCTCGGCTCACTGCAACCTCCACCTCCTGGGTTCAAGTGATTCTCCTGCCTCAGCCTCCCGAATAGCTGGGATTACAGGCATGTGCCACCACACCCGGCTAATTTTGTGTTTTTAGTAGAGACAGAGTTTCTCTATGTTGGTCAGGCTGGTCTTGAACTCCCGACCTCAGGTGATCCGCCCGCCTCAGCCTCCCAAAGTACTGGGATTACAGGCATGAGCCACCACGCCTGACCTTATTTTTGTTATTTTTTAAGAAAAGCAAAAAACAAAATAAAATGCAGCTTTCTTCCAAGAATCATCAAGATAAACATTTTTTTTTTTATTTTTTATTTTATTCATTTATTTATTTATTGGGACAAGGTCTCACTCTGTTCCCCAGGCTGGAGTGCAGTAGTATGAGCTCAGCTCACTGCAGACTTGATCTCCCCTGCTCGAGCAATCCTTCCACCTCAGCCTCCTGAGTTGCTGGGACTACAGGTGTGTAACACCACGCCTGGCTCATTTTTGTATTTTTTGTAGAGACAGGGTCTCACCATGTTGCCCAGGCTGGTCTTGAACTCCTGGGCTCAAGTGATCTATTCACCTCTGCCTCCCAAAGTGTTGGGATTACAGGCATGAGCCACTGTGGCTGAGCTTTTTTTTTCTTTCTTTCTTTTTTTCTTTTTGAGATAGGGTCTCTTTTGTTGCCCAGGCTGGAATGCAGTGGCATGATCACAACTCACTGCGGCTCTGACCTCCCAGGCTCAAGCAATCCTTCTGCTTCAGCCTCGACCTCCTGAGTAGCTGAGACCACAGGCACACACCACTACACCTGCTAATTTCTTATTTTAGTAGAGATGAGGTCTCTCTATGTTGCCCAGGCTGGTCTCAAACTCCTGGCTCAAACAGTCCTCATGCCTCAGCCTCCCAAAGTGCTGGGATTATAACCATGAGCCATTGTGCCTGGCCCAAACATTTATTAATTGCTTATCTAACAATAATCCTTTGAATTTATAGTACGCTTTATTTTACATTGTTATTTATTTATTTATATTTTATTTATTTTATTTTTTTTGAGATGGACTCTCACTCCGTCGCCCAGGCTGGAGTGCAGTGGCGCAATCTCGGCTCACTGCAAGCTCCGCCTCCTGGGTTCACGCCATTCTCCTGCCTCAGCCTCCCTAGTAGCTGGGACTACAGGCACCCGCCACCACACCCGGCTAATTTTTTGTATTTTTTAGTAGAAACGAGGTTTCACCATGTTAGCCAGGTTAGTCTCGATCTCCTGACCTCGTGATCCACCTGCCTCGGCCTCCCAAAGTGCTGGGATTACAGGTATGAGCCACCGTGCCCGGACATATTTATTTATTTTTAATTTTTTTTTTTTTTGAGAAAGGGTCTTGCTCTGTTGCCCAGACTAGAGTGCCATGGCCCAATCACTGCAGTCTTGAACTCCCAGGTTCAATCAATCCTCTTGCCGCAGCCTCCCAAGTAGCTGGGACTACAGGTGTGTGCCACCATACCTGGCTAATTGTTTTTGTTATTTGTAGAGATGGGGTCTCCCTACATTGCCCAGGCTAGTCTTGAACTCCTGGGCTCCAGTGTTTCTCCTGCCTAGGCCTCCCAAAGTGCTGGGATTACAGGCGTGAGCTACCATGCCTGGCTCGTGTGTGATTTTTCATATAAATGGTAACATCCTGGCCGGGAGCAGTGGCTCACGCCTGTAATCCCAGCACTTTGGGAGGCCAAGGCGGATGGATTTTGAGGTCAGGAGATCGAGACCATCCTGGCTAACACGGTGAAACCCCGTCTCTACTAAAAATACAAAAAATTAGCTGGGCGTGGTGGCGGGCACCTGTAGTCCCAGCTACTCGGGAGGCTGAGGCAGGAGAATGGCGTGAACCCGGGAGGCGGAGCTTGCGGTGAGCCGAGATTGCGCTACTGCATTCCAGCCTGGGCGACAGAGAGAGACTCCATCTCAAAAAAAAAAAAAAAAAAAAAAAAAAAAAAAAAAAAAAAAAAAGTTGGGATTACGATTTATGAGTTAGCAACATTAAATCCATGGGGTAGGCAAAAGAAGCAAGAAAAGTACCCTTTTCCTCCTGCCCCCTCAGTGTGCACTGAGCTGCCAGCCACCCTCCAGCTCTCTCAGGGTTGCTTTTGTCCTGAGACACTGAAATCAGAGGAAACGGCAGGGTCTCAGGCCTGGGGGCTTAGTGGTGCCACTGGTAGAAACAGGCAGGTTGAGAAAGGGAAATAATTTTGCAGGATGATTATAGTTCATTTGTTACCAGACAGACAGACTTAGAGCTACCATTTATCAGCTATGAAGCTGGGAATGGTGGCTCATGCCTGTAACCCCAGCGGTTTGGGAGGCTGAGGCAGGAGAATCACTTGAGGCTAGGAGTTCAAGACCAGCCTGGACAACATAGTGAGACTTTGTCTCTACAGAAGAATAAAATAAAAAATTAGCTGGGTGTAGTGGCATGCCCTTTTATTTCCAGCTACTTGGGAGGCTGAGGCAGGTGGACCGCTTTAGCCAAGGAGTTCGAGGTTGCAGTGACCTTTGATCATGCCATTGCACTCCAGCCTGGGCAACAGAGAACTACTTTGTCTCTTTTTTTTTTTTTTTTTTGAGACGGAGTCTCGCTCTGTCACCCAGGCTGGAGTGCAGTGGCGTGATCTCGGCTCACTGCAAGCTCCACCTCCCGGGTTCACACCATTCTCCTGCCTCAGCCTCCCAAGTAGCTGGGACTACAGGTGCCCGCCACCATGCCCAGTTAATTTTTTGTAGTAGAGACGGGGTTTCACCATGTTAGCCAGGATGGTCTCGATCTCTTGACCTCGTGATCCACCTGCCTCGGCCTCCCAAAGTGCTGGGATTACAGGCGTGAGCCACCACGCCCGGCCTACTCTGTCTCTTTAAAACAAACAAACAAACAAACAAAACTGCTAAGTGACCTGGACAATAAGTAGACATCTGAGCCTCAGTTTCCCCAAATTGTAAAGTGGGGATGTAATAGTATCTACACCTTACAGCCTGTGTGAAGAGGAAATGCAGTGCTACGTATTCCACAAAACTCGAGGCCTCAGTACTGTGTATGATAACAGCCATATACGTGATTTTTTTTTTTTTGAGACAGAGTCTCGCTCTGTCGCCCAGGCTGGAGTGCAATGGTGCAATCTCAGCTCACTGCAACCTCCGCCTCCTGGGTTCAAGCGATTCTCCTCCCTCCGCCTCCCGAATAGCTGAGACTACAGGCAGCCATCATCATGCCTGGCTAATTTTTGTATTTTTGTAGAGACGGGGTTTCACCATGTTGGCCAGGCTGGTCTCGAACTCCTGACCTCAGGTGATCCGCCCACCTTGGCCTCCCAAAGTGCTGGGATTACAGGCATGAGCCACCGCGGCCGGCCCATATACACGATCATGATTTTTATCGTTAATGTTGTTATCTTTGGGTTGTTGAGGTGGGTCCTGAGGTTTCTTCGACATTCTGCAGGACTCTGGTAAGTTTACAGTTGGAGTCTGAGATCCTGGCAGCTGATGGATCTGCAGGACTGGAGGTCAGAAGAGAGGTCCGTGGCACAGCTCACAGGTGGTCTCTAGGTATCTGGAATCAGGCTAGAGAGTGGGCATCTTCTGGGGGACATGGAATGCAGAGGGGCCCAGAGATGCCACCTAAGCTCCTTCCCTTCCCTTCCAATCCTGCTCAACACTCACGAATGAACCTTCCCCTCTTGGTGTCAGACTTGGACAGGAAACAAGTCAGGGCTCCAGAGTCAAAACACTGGAGTTCACATCTTGCCCTGCCAAGCTACATCAATGTGGTCAAGTCATGTAGTGTCTCTACTCCGCAGTTTCCCCACGAGTGCAAAGGAGGGTATCATTATGCTAATTACAGAGAAGTTGACAGGATGAAAACCATTTAGTAAACTTTACAGGCCACGTAAATACAGGACATAACTTTCCTCACAGGCCAGATACAAAAAGCATCTTTTCCATGAAGGCTTCCCAGACTACCCCCTGGGATGATTTCTTCTCCCACTGATCTCCCACTGCCGCTCACCTCAGCCTTATATACACCTGCTGCCCCAATCAAGAGGCACAAGAAGGCTAGGTGTGGTGTCTCATGCCTGTAATCCCAGCGCTTTGGGAGGCTGGATCACTTGAGCCCAGGGGTTCAATACAACCTGGACAGTATAGTGAAACCCCTGTCTCTACAAAAAAAAAATGAAAAAAAAAAAAAAAAAGCTAGGTGTGCTGGCACACACCTGTAGTCCCAGCTCCTCAGGAGGCTGAGGCAGGAGGATCGCTTGAGCCCAGGACTTTGAGGCTGCAGTGAGCCATGATCGTGCCACTGCACTCCAGCCTGGGAAACAGTGAGACCCTGTCTCAAAAAAAAAAAAGAAAAAAAAAAAGCAGCACAAGTTTGAGTACCGCACAGGACAGGTGACCTGAATTCCAGCCAGCATCTTTGTAGTATCCCCTGACATCCTGCTGTGTGGTGGTCATCTTGTGGCCTGCCCACTCAGTACTTTCCTAGCACTTGTCCATCTGTAGGATGCATGACCAGCCAGGTTCATAGTGTGTGGTCCACTCCCTGACCACAGTATAGTTAGTCATGTGTTGTTTAATGATGGGGATGTGTTCTGAGAAATGCATCATTAGGCGATTTTGTTGTGCAAACATCACAGAGAGTATTTACACAAAGCTACATGGTATAGCTCACTACTACTCATCTAGGCTATACGAAATAGCCTGTTGCTTCTAGGCTACAAACTGTAGCCTACAAACAATGTTACTATATACTGTAGGCAATTGTAACACAATAGTAAGTATTTGTGTATCTAAACATAGAAAAAAATACCATAAAAATACAGCATACAGGGCCAGGCATGGTGGCTCATGCCTGTAATCCCAGCACTTTAGGAGGCCGAGGCAGGCAGATCACAAGGTCAGGAGTTTGACACCAGCCTGGCCAATATGGTGAAACACCGTCTCTACTAAAAATACAAAAAATTAGCTGGGTGTGGTGGTGCATGCCTCTTGTCCCAGCTACTCAGGAGGCTGAGGCAGAAGAATCGCTTGAACTTGGAAGGTGGAGGTTGCAGTGAGCTGAGATCACGCCACTGCACTCCAGCCTGGGCAACAGAGCGAGACTCCATCTCAAAAAAAAAAAAAACAAATAAAATAAAATACAGCATACAGGCCCCGGCACTATGGCTCAGGCCTATAATCCCAGCATTTTGGGAGGCCGAGGCAGGCGGATCACCTGAGGTCAGGAGTTCAAGACCAGCCTGGACAACATGGTGAAACCCCGTCTCTACTAAAAATACAAAAAATTAGCCACGTATGGTGGTGCATGCCTGTAGTCCCAGCTACTCAGGAGGCTGAGGCAGGAGAATCGCTCAAACCCAGGAGGTGGAGGTTGCAGTGAGCCAAGATTGTGCCACTGCACTCCAGCCTGGGCTACAGAGCAAGACTCCATCTCAAAAAATAAAAAATAAAATAAAATACAGCATACAGGCCCAGCACGGTGGCTCATGCCTATAATCCCAGCATTTTGGGAGGCCGAGGCAGGCAGATTACCTGAGGTCAGGAGTTCAAGACCAGCCTGGACAACATGGTGAAACCCCGTCTCTAGTAAAAATACAAAAATTAGCCAGGCATGGTGGCACATGCCTGTATGCCTGTAGTCCCAGCTACTCGGGAGGCTGAGGCAGGACAATCGCTCAAACCCAGGAGGTGGAGGTTGCAGTGAACCGAGATTACACCACTGCACTCCAGCCTGGGCGACAGAGCAAGACTCCATCTCAAAAAAAACAAAACAAAACAAAACAAAAAAACAGCATAGAAGATAATAAATGGTAAACCTATATAGGGCACTTACACAAGATAATAAATGGTACACATATATAGGGCACTTATACCGTTAATTATTTTTTTATTTAAAAATTTATTTTTAATAAATTTTTAATAAATTTAAAGTCTCACTCTGTCACCCAGGCTGGAGTGCAGTGCCATGATCTTGCCTCCCTGCAACCTCTGACTCCCAGTTCAAGCAATTCTCCTGCCTCAGCCTCCTGAGTAGCTGGGATTACAGGCATGCACCACCATGCCCAGCTAAAAATTTTGTATTTTTAGTAGAGATAAGGTTTTGCCATGTTGGCCAGGCTGGTCTCAAACACCTGACTTCAAGTGATTTGCCCACCTCTGCCTCCTAAAGTGCTGGGATTATAGCCATGAGCCACCGCGTCTGGCCTCAGCACCATTATTGAAAATCAATTGAGTTGGCTGGCACATGGCTGACACTTGTAATCCCAGCACTTTGGGAGGCCAAGGGAGGAGGACCACTTGAGACCAGGAGTTGGAGACCAGCCTGGACAACATAAGTGAGACCCCATCTTAATTAAATTAATAAATATTAAAATAATATTAAAAATTAAAAAAAAGAAAATCAATTGACATGAGTTTTTTTCTAGATTCTCCATTTTATTACATTGAGTTATATGTCTATCCTTATGCCAGTATTAAACTATCTTGATTACTAGATTACTATTAGTTGTTTTGTAATAAGTTTTGAAATCAGAAGTGTAGGTTGCCCAAGTTTTTCTTCCCTTTCAATATTGTTTTGGCTATCCTGGGTCATTTGCAATTCCATATAAATTTCAATATTAGCTTGTCCATTTCTTTTTTTTTTTTTCTTTATTGAGATAGAGTCTCACTCTGTTGCCCAGGCTGGAGTGCAGTGGCACAATCTCAGCTCACTGCAACCTCCGCCTCCTGGGTTCAAGTGATTCTCCTGCCTCAGTCTCCCATGTAGCTGGGACTACAGGCACATGCCACCACGCCAGCTAATTTTTTGTATTTTTACTAGAGATGGGGTTTCACCACGTTAGCCAGGATGGTCTCAATCTCCTGACCTCATGATCCGACTGCCTCGGCCTCCCAAAGTGCTGGGATTACACGCATGAGCCACCACGCCCGGCAGCTTGTCCATTTCTATACGGAAGTCAGCTAGGATTGTGTAAGAGATTGCACTGAATCTGTAGATCAATTTGAGGACTATTACTATCCTAACAAATAGTCTCTGAATCCTGGCCGGGCACCGTGGCTCATGCCTGTAACCCCAGCATTTTGGAAGGCTAAGGTAGGTGGATCACCTGAGGTCAGGAGTTTGAGACCAGCCTGACCTGGTAAACATGGTGAAACCTTGTCTCTACTAAAAATACAAACATTAGCCAGGCATGGTGGCGTGCACCTGTCTTCCCAGCCACTTGGGAGGCTGAAACAGGAGAATCGTTTGAACCTGGGAAGTGGAGGTTGCAACGAGCCAAGGTTGTACCACTGCACTGCAGCCTGGGCAACAGAGCAAGACTCCATTAAAAAAAAAAAGTCTCTGAATCCATTAACATGGCATTTTTTTCTATTTATTTAAGTCTTTTAAAATTTATTTTAATGTTGTTTTCAGAGTATAAGTTTTATACTTCTCTTGCTAAATTTATTCCTAAGTATTTTATCCTTTTTGATGCTATTGTAAATGGAATTGTGTTTTTTTCTGAGACGGAGTTTTGCTCTTGTTGCCCAATCTGGAGTGCAATGGCGCAATCTCAGCTCACCTCAACCTCCACCTCCCAGCTTCAAGCGATACTCCCGCCTCAGCCTCCTGAGTAGCTAGGATTACAGGCATGTGCCGCCATGCCTGACTAGTTTTGTATTTTTAGTAGAGACAGGGTTTCTCCATGTTGGTCAGGCTGGTCTCAAACTCCTAACCTCAGGTGATCCGCCCACCTCGGCCTCCCAAAGTGCTGGGATTACAGGCTTGAGCCACCACACCCAGGCTTTGTTTGTTTGTTATGTTTTGTTTTTGAGACAGAGTCTCCCTCTGTTGCCCAGGCTGGAGTGCAGTGGCGCAATCTCAGCTCACTGCAAGCTCCACCTCCCGGGTTCACGCCATTCTCCTGCCTCAGCCTCCCAAGTAGCTGGGACTACAGGCACCCACCACCATACCCGGCCAATTTTTTTGTATATTTTTAGTAGAGATGGGGTTTCACCGTGTTAGCCAGGATGGTCTCGATCTCCTGACCTTGTGATCAGCCCGCATCGGCCTCCTAAAGTGCTGGGATTACAGGCGTGAGCCACCGCGCCTGGCCTTTTTAACTTTTTTGGCTGGAGTCTTGCTTTGTAGCCCAGGTGGTATCTCGGTTCACTGCAAGCTCCGCCTTCTGAGTTCAAGGGATTTTTCTGCCTCAGCCTCCTGAGTAGCTGGATTATAGGTGCCTGCCTGCCACCACGCCTGGCTAATTTTTTTGTATTTTTAGTAGAGACAGGGTTTCTCCATGTTGGTCAGGCTCTATTGAACTCCCAACCTCAGGTGATCCACCCACCTTGGACTCCCAAAGTGCTGGGATGACAGGCATAAGCCACCACACCTGGCCCTTCTTTTCTTTTCTTTTCTTTTGAGACGGAGTCTCACTCTGTCATCCAGGCTGGAGTGCAGTGGTGCAATCTCAATTCACTGCAACCTCTGCCGCCTGGGTTCAAGCGATTCTCCTGCCTCAGCCTCCCGAGTAGCTGTGATTACAGGTGCTTGCCATTCAGCCTGGCTAATTTTTGTCGTTTTAGTAGAGATGGGGTTTCACCATCTTGGTCAGGCCAGTCTTGAACTCCTGACCTCGTAATCCACATACCTCGGCTTCCCAAAATGCTGGGATTACAGGTGTGAGCCACTGCACTGGGCCTTTTTTTTTTTTTTTTTTGAGATGAAGTCTCACTCTGTCACCCACGCTGGAGTGCAGTGGCAAAATCTTGGTTCATGCAACCTCCACCTCTTGGGTTCAAGCGATTCTCCTGCGTCAGCCTCCTGAGTAGCTGGGACTACAGGTGCGCGCCACCACACCCAGCCGATTGTTTAATATGTTCAGCAGCAAGCGCGTTTCACCGTATTGGCTAGGCTAGTCTCAAACTCCTGACCTTGTGATTTGCCTGCCTCGGCCTCCCAAAGTGCTGGGATTACAGGTGTGAGCCACCAGGCCCCGCCCTCTTTTCTTTTTTAATAGAGATGGGGTCCCTTTCTGTTGCCGAGGTTGGTCTCAAACTTCTGGGCTCAAGCGATCCACCCGCCTCAGCCTCACAAAGTGCTGAGATTACGGGTGTGAGCCACCGAGCCCAACCAAGTATTTTTTCGTGTTTTGTTTTTTTTAATCATGAATGGGTTTTGTATTTTGTCAAATGCTTTCTTTATGTCTTTTGAGATAATCATGTTTTCTTATTCTATTAGTAAAATATATTACATTGATTGATATTTGGATGTTAAACCAACCATGCATTTCTGGAATAAATTCCACTTGGTCATGGTATAATTTTTTGTATATGTTGCTGGAATTGGTTTGCTAGTGTTTTGTTGTTGTCTGAGACAGGGTCTCACTCTGTTGTTCAGGCTGAAGTGCAGTGGTGCAATCATAGCTGACTGCAGCTTTGAACTCCTGGGCTCAAGCGATCCTTCCTGCCTCAGCCTCCCAAGTAGCTGGGACTACAAGTGTGGCCGCCATGCCCAACTAATTAAAAAAAATTTTTTTTTTCTAGACACAAGATCTGTTGCCCAGGCTGGTCTTGAACCCCTGGGCTCAAGCAATCCTCCAGCCTCAGCCTCCCAAAGCACTGGGATTACAGGTGTGAGCCACTCAACCTGGCCACTTTCCTGGTATTTTGCTGAGGATTTTTGCATCCATATTGATAAGAGATATTAGTCTATAGTTTTCTTTGAGATGGAGTCTAGCTCTGTTGCCCAGGCTGGAGTGCAATGGCACAATCTTAGTTCACTGTAACCTCCACCTCCCAGGTACAAGAGATTCTCCTGCCTCAGCCTCCCTAGTAGCTGAGATTACAGGTGGGTCACCATGTTCTGCTAATTTTTTTGTATTTTTAGTAGAGATGGGATTTCATAATGTTGGCCAAGCTGGTCTCGAACTCCTGACCTCAAGTCCCAAAGTGCTGGATTACAGGCATGGGCCACCATGCTTCACCTTGAGTAGATTTAAATTGATTGGTTTTTATTTTTCTTAGGGGTCATGTTTTCCTGTCTCTTTGTATACATGCTAATTTCTGTTGGATGTCAGACACTGCCAATTTTACTTTGTTAGGTACTGGATTTTTTTTCTTTTCTTTCTTTATTTAAAATTTTTTCTTTTTAATTTCTTGTAATACTCTCCTATCCAATGGAGATTTTGTTTGTTTGTTTGTTTGTTTTCAGACGAAGTCTCACTCTGTTGCCCAGGCTGGAGTGCAGTGGCGCAATCTCAGCTCACAGCAACCTCTGCCTCCCAAGTTCAAGCGATTCTTCTGCCTCAGCCTCCTGAGTAGCTGAGACTACAGGCACACACCACCACGCCCAGCTAATTTTTGTATTTTTAGTAGAGATGGGGTTTCACCATATTGGCCAGGCTGGTCTCGAACTCCTGACCCTGTGATCTGCTTGCCTTGGTCTCCCAAAGTGCTGGGATTACAGGCATGAGCAACCGCGCCCGGCTGATTCTTTTTTTATATATACTTTTTTTTTTTTTTTTACTTTTTTTTTTTTTTATTGATCATTCTTGGGTGTTTCTCACAGAGGGGGATTTGGCAGGGTCATAGGACAATAGTGGAGGGAAGGTCAGCAGATAAACAAGTGAACAAAGGTCTCTGGTTTTCCTAGGCAGAGGACCCTGAGGCCTTCCGCAGTGTTTGTGTCCCTGGGTACTTGAGATTAGGGAGTGGTGATGACTCTTAGAGCATGCTGCCCTCAAGCATCTGTTTAACAAAGCACATCTTGCACTGCCCTTAATCCATTTAACCCTGAGTGGACACAGCACATGTTTCAGAGAGCACAGGGTTGGGGGGTAAGGTCACAGATCAACAGGATCCCAAGGCAGAAGACTTTTTCTTAGTACAGAACAAAATGAAAAGTCTCCCATGTCTACTCCTTTCCACACAGACACGGCAACCATCCGATTTCTCAATCTTTTCCCCACCTTTCCCCGCTTTCTATTCCACAAAACCACCATTGTCATCATGGCCCGTTCTCAATGAGCTGTTGGGCACACCTCCCAGACGGGGTGGTGGCCGGGCAGAGGGGCTCCTCACTTCCCAGTAGGGGCGGCCGGGCAGAGGAGCCCCTCACCTCCCGGACGGCGTGGCTGGCCGGGTGGGGGGCTGACCTCCCCACCTCCCTCCCGGACGGGGCGGCTGGCCGGGCGGGGGGCTGATCCCCACCTCCCTCCTGGACGGGGTGGCTGGCCTGGCGGGGGCTGACCCCCACCTCCCTCCCGGACGGGGCGGCTGCCGGGCGGAGACGCTCCTCACTTCCCAGACGGGGTGGCTGCCGGGCGGAGGGGCTCCTCAATTCTCAGATGGGGCGGCTGCCGGGCGGAGGGGCTCCTCACTTCTCAGATGGGGCGGCTGCCAGGCGGAGGGTCTCCTCCCTTCTCAGACGGGGTGGCTGGGCAGAGACGCTCCTCACCTCCCAGACGGGGTCGCGGCCGGGCAGAGGCGCTCCTCACATCCCAGACGGGGCGGCGGGGCAAAGGCGCTCCCCACATCTCAGACGATGGGTGGCCGGGCAGAGACGCTCCTCACTTCCTAGATGGGATGGCGGCCGGGAAGAGGCGCTCCTCACTTCCTAGATGGGATGGCGGCCCAGCAGAGACGCTCCTCACTTTCCAGACTGGGCAGCCAGGCAGAGGGGCTCCTCACATCCCAGACGATGGGCGGCCAGGCAGAGACGCTCCTCACTTCCTAGACGGGGTGGCGGCCGGGCAGAGGCTGCACTCTGGGCACTTTGGGAGGCCAAGGCAGGCGGCTGGGAGGTGGAGGTTGTAGCAAGCCGAGATCACGCCACTGCACTTCAGCCTGGGCACCATTGAGCACTGAGTGAACCAGACACCGTCTGCAATCCCGGCACCTCCGGAGGCTGAGGCTGGCGGATCACTCGCGGTTAGGAGCTGGAGACCAGCCTGGCCAACACAGCGAAACCACGTCTCCACCAAAAAAATACGAAAACCAGTCAGGCGTGGCGGCGCGCGCCTGCAATCGCAGGCACTCGGCAGGCTGAGGCAGGAGAATCAGGCAGGGAGGTTGCAGTGAGCCGAGATGGCAGCAGTACAGTCCAGCTTCGGCTCGGCATCAGAGGGAGACCGTGGAAAGAGAGGGAGAGGGAGACCGTAGGGAGAGGGGGAGGGGGAGGGGGAGAGGGAGAGGTACATTTTTTTTTTTGAGACGGAGTTCCGCTCTTGTTGCCCTGGATGGAGTGCAATGGCGTGGGTCTCAGCTCACTGCAACTTCTGCCTCCCAGGTTCAAGCGATTCTCCTGCCTCAGCCTCCTAAGTACATGGGATTATAGGGGCCTGCCACCAAACCTGGCTAATTTTTGTATTTTTAGTAAAGACGGGGTTTCTCCATGTTGGCCAGGCTGGTCTCAAACTCCTAAACTAAGGTGATTTGCCTGCCTTGGCCTCCCAAAGTGCTGGGATCACAGGTGTGAGCCACCATGCCCGGCCAAATTATATTATTAATATAATGTTTTGGAGACAGGGCCTTGCTCTGTTACCAGGCTGGAGTGCAGTGGCATTATCATAGCTCACTGTAGCCTTGACCTCCTGGGCTCAAGTGATCCTCCTGCCTCAGCCTCCTAAATAGCTGGGACTTCAGGCACTTGCCACCTGTTTTACATTTGTTTACATTTACATTGTAAAACAGGCACATGCCTGCCTGTTTTACATTTGTTTTTGCAGAGACAGGGTCTCACTATGCTGCCCAGGCTGGTCTCAAATGATCCTTCCACCTTGGCCTCTGAAAGTGCTGGGATTACAAGTGTGAGTCACGGTGCCCGGCCCTGGAAATTTTCTTTAGGCAGCAAGGTGGGGCATTTGTAGGGTTTTCCTCATTTGTTTGCTGACTCTCTGGAATCACTATTTTTCATCTTATGGGTTTCAATGTCTTGAGAACCATGTTTCACATACTTTGGGGAGTATTTTAGTTGTTTTTAGGTGGGAATGTAAATCATCTTGTCTAGAAGCAGAAATCCTTACAATCATTTATTAATTTCTTTAGCTGGCATTTATTGAGGAAGAGCTTAGTGTGTGCCCACCTTCCATTTGTCTTACAACTCTCCAAACACTCCAAATTTTCCTGCCTTGGGGTCTTTGCACAATTTTTCCTTTGTCTAGAATGGTCTTTCTAGCTCTACTTTCCTCCCTCAGCTCAAAGGGGCCTTCTCTGACTACTCTATGTAAAGTGAATCACTCTCTTTTTAATTTCCCATCACATTTCTGCTTTATTTTACAGCTTCTTCTACTAGAATAGAGCCAGACTTTTTTTTTTACTTTTTTTTTTTTTTTTGAGACGGAGTCTCGCTGTGTCGCCCAGGCTGGAGTGCAGTGGCGATCTCTGCTCACTGCAAACTCCGCCTACCGGGTTCATGCCATTCTCCTGCCTCAGCCTCTAGAGTAGCTGGGACTACAGGCGCCCGCCACCACGCCCGGCTAATTTTTTGTATTTTTAGTAGTGATGGGGTTTCACTGTGCTAGCAAGGATGGTCTCAATCTCCTGACCTCGTGATCCACCTGCCTCAGCTTCCCAAAGTACTGGGATTACAGGTGTGAGCCACCGTACCCGACCTTTTTTTACTTTTTTAACCTTAAAATTTTTTTTTTCACGCTTGTAATCCCAGCACTTTGGGAGGCTGAGGCAGGTGGATCATGAGGTCAAGAGATCGAGGCCATCCTGGCCAACATGGTGAAACCCTGTCTCTACTAAGCACCACTGCACTCCAGCCTGGCAACAGAGTGAGACTGTGTCTCAAAAAAAAAAAATTTAGAGATAGGATCTCACTATGTTGTCCAGGCTGGGCTCAAACTCTTGGGCTCAAGGGATCCTCCCATCTAGGCCTCCCAAAGTGCTGGGATTACAGGCGTGAGCCACCGCGCCTGGCCAGGCAGGAATTTTTGTGATTCTCTGGAACCAGCTCAGGGCCAGGCACACTGTTAAGTGTTCAATAAATATTTACTGAATGAATAAATGAGGTCTTTGCATACTTCATGGTGCCTGTCACATAATAGAGCTCAGTCAAATTGCGGGTGCCTGGCTGAGGAACACAGCCCCCTCCCCTGAGTTGTCCAGCGGGGATGGGATATTGGGCCTCTGGATTGTGCCCATGTTCAGCTCACCCTCAGCCTCACTCTCCTTAGTGATAACCAAAGGCCCCTGCTTGCCGGCCAGGGGAGGGCTGACAGGTGGGGCTGATGAGTTCCAGACCCAGTCCTCTGGGCCCCAGCACAACCAGATAGAACCGGATGCTGGCTGGAAGCCAGAGCCAAGCTTCCATGACGTCGTTGCCTTCAAGGGGCGTGCCCTCCCTGGCCCGTGTGGGCCTTCAGCTCTTGCCCACCGGGCTCAGAGCCTCCTGCCACTGGGCTCTGGGGAAAAACCTAGCCATCCTCCCTGGTTCTAGTTCTGCATCTACTTGTGCAGCCACTGACAACTATTAGAACACAGAACTAAATAGTGGTCGGCGCTATAAAGTGAAAAATACTTTGTAGATTTAAAACATTCTGTAAGTACTCACTAAACTAGAAAGGACTTGGGAAGCTTCTGTTCAAAACCACTACTTTTGACAGAGGAAGAAGCTGAGATTTAAATGAAATAATGGGCTGGGTGCAGTGGCTCATGCCTGTAATCCCAGCACTTTGGGAGGCCCAGGTGGGCAGATCACTTGAGAGCTCATGAGTTCAATCCTAGCCTGAGCAACATGGCAAAACCCCATCTCTACTAAAAATACAAAAATGAGCTGGGTGTGGTGTCGCATGCCTGTAGTCCCAGCTACTGGGGAGGCTGAGGCAGAAGAATCACTTGAACCTGGGAGGCAGAGGTTGCAGTGAGCCGAGATCATGCCACTGCACTTCAGCCTGGGCAAGAGAGCAAGACTCAGTTTCAAAATAAATAAATAAACAAAATAAAAATAAACAAATAAATGGAATAATGTATGTAGACTGCTTAGCACCACACTTGGGACGTTGTGATTTTACTCTAGCTATTCACCGCCTGCCCACCTCTGGCTAAGCAAACTCTGCGTTTGTGCCTCTCCACTTCCGCACACTCCCCTCCCACCTTGTCAATGAATTTTTTGTTCATTTATGTCACTTCATAATAATATATGCAAAGTGTTTAGCTCAAGGCCTGGCACTTCATAAATGAACAAAAAATGGGCCGGGTGTGGTGGCTCACATCTGTAATACCAGCATTTTGGGAGGCCGAGGTGGGTGGATCACCTGAGGTCAGGAGTTTGAGACCAGCCTGGCCGACATGGTGAAGCCCCTGACTCTACTAAAAATACAAAAAATTAGGCTGAGGCTGGGCACGGTGGCTCACGCCTGTAATCCCAGCACTTTGTGAGGCTGAGACAGGCGGATCACTTGAGGTCAGGAGTTTGAGACCAGCCTGATCAATATGATGAAACCCCGTCTCTACTAAAAATACAAAAATTAGCCGGGTGCGGTGGCAGGCATCTGTAATCCCAGCTACTCGGGAGGCTGAGGCAGAATAATCTCTTGAACCCGAGAGGCAGAGGTTGCAGTGAGCTGAGATTGCGCCATTCTACTCCAGCCTGGACGACAAGAGTGAAACTCCATCTCAAAAAAAAAAAAAAAAAAGAACAAAAAATAGTAGCTACAGTTCTTATTGAAACAGGGGATCCATCTGATAAATGCAAAGCAAAGCACTTTGCATATATCATTTAATTCTCATGTAGGATGAAATCGGTATCATTATTCCCATTTTACTGATGAGAAAACTGAGGCTTGAAGTAAGTGGCTGATGCAGTTCAGACCCCAGAGTAGGAAGATGCCAAACTGGTAGGTTCTGGCTTCTCTTCCCTTAGTGGTATCTTCTAACAAATTGTATTTCCTGCTAGCTATTCCTTCCTGTGCCTTTGGGGAAGGTCATCTGGCCCTGAACATTCATTTGGTCAATCACTGAAACAGGGTAAGATGGGGTCTAAAACCTCCAGCTGAGTGTATGTCCTGAAGCCCAACTCTGGGTTTGTTTGTTTTTTTTTTTTTCCTTGAGACAGAGTCTCGCTCTGTCGCCAGACTGGAGAGCAGTGGCACGATCTTGGCTCAGTGCAACCTCTGCCTCCTCGGTTCAAGTGGTTCTCCCGCCTCAGTCTCCTGGGTAGCTGGGACTACAGGTGCATGCCACCATGCCCAGCTAATTTTTTTGTATTTTTAGTAGAGATGGGATTTCACCATGTTGGCCAGGGATGGTCTTGATCTCTTGACCTCGTGATCCACCTGCCTCGGCCTCCCAAAGTGCTAGGATTACAAGCATGAGCCACCGCGACTGGCCAACTCTGAGCTTTTTTAGAGTTGGCAGCAAGGATGTTTCTGAAGGTCAAAGATAATCCCGTGTCAAAAACAGCTCTGGGGCAGGAGGAGTCATGTTCTGTGGGAATGAGCCCTCAGACCCAGCCACTTCCTCATCAAATGTCCTAGTAGCTGGGTCTCCTGGAGCCCCTAGCTCTGCATTCCCACAGGATGGTAGGAGCTGCTGATGGAGGCAGGCAAGTGGAAGTCCAGCCCTGTAGGAGCTCCAGTTCACAGAGGGGAACTGAACTGGCCTTTTTGGAGGAAAAGAAGACTTGAACCAAACTTGGAGGACCTGGTCAACTTGGATGAAGGAGAGTGAGGTGGGACGAGTAGGCTTTCTGTTCAGTGCAGAAAAGCTGGGACTGCTGGTTAAGCCATCAGCATTTCCCAAGCCCCACGGGTGTGTCCCACTGGGTGTTCACACCACAGACCCTTCAAGGGAGGATTGTCATTGCTGTGTGTCAGATGAGGAAACTCAGCCAGGGTCCAAGACTGCAGGAGGGATGTGCTGAATGCATGTGATGAGGAAATGGGGACCATTCTTTTATTTATTTATTTATTTATTTATTTATTTATTTATTTAGAGACAAGGCTTGCTCTGTAACCCAGGTTGGAGTGCAGTGGCACAATCTCGGCTCACTGAAGCCTTGACTCCCAGGCTCAAGCAATCCTCCCACCTCAGCCTCCCAAGTAGCTGGGACCACAGGTGTGTGCTACTGCACTGGGCTAATTTTTTTCTTTTCTTTCTTTCTTTCTTTTTTTTTTTTTTCGAGATGGAGTCTCGCTGTCACCCAGACTGGAGTGCAGTGGTGTAATCTTGGCTCACTGCAACCTCTACCTCCTGGGTTCAAGTGATTCTCCTGCCTCAGCCTCCCAAGTAGCTGGGACTACAGGCTCGCATCACCACGCCCAGCTAATTTTTGCATTTTCAGTAGAGACAGGGTTTCACCATGTTGGCCAGGCTGGTCTTGAACCCCTGACCTCAAGTGATCCATCTGCCTTGACCTCCCAAAGTGCTGGGATTACAGGTGTGAGCCACTGTGCCCAGTCCTTTCTTTTTTTTTCTTTTCTTTTTTTTTTTTTTTTTGAGACAGTCTTGCCCTGTCGCCCAGGCTGGAGTGCAGTGGCGCGATCTCGGCTCACTGCAACCTCCGCCTCTCAGGTTCAAGCTATTCTCTGCCTCAGCCTCCGGAGTAGCTGGGATTACAAGCACCCACCACCACGCCCGGTAATTTTTGTATTTTTTTAGTAGAGATGGGGTTTCACCATCTTGGCCAGGCTGGTCTTGAACTCCTGACCTTGTGATCCACCTGCCTTGGTCTCCCAAAGCGTTGGGATTACAGGCGTGAGCCACCATGCCTGGCCTTTTCTTTTCTTTTTTTGAGACAGGATCTTGCTCTGTCCTTCAGGCTGGAGTGCAGTGGCACTATCAGCTCACAGCAGCCTTGACCTCCTGGGCTCAAACAATCCTCCTGCCTCAGCCTCCTGAGTAGCTGGGACTACAGGTATGCATCACCACACTCAGCTAATGTTTTTTTGATTTTTTGTAGAGACAAGGTCTCACCATGTTGTCCGGGCTGGACTTGAACTCCCAAAAGTGTTGGGATTACAGGCATAAGCTGCTGCGCCCAGCTGAGAGAGACCATTCTGAGAGAGGCCATGGGAGCCTCAGCAGGCTGTGAGACAACCTTAGCCAGGGCAGGAGCCTGGAAACAGGTGGGCAGATGAGGCTGGGCTGATGGGAGATGCATGAGGTCTGAGCTGGAAGGGATCTCAAAGATCTCTCCAACTCATTTTACAGGAGGAAATTGAGGCCCAAAGAGGGAAAGGGGCTTGCCCAATGACACACAAGAGGTTAACGGTAGAGCCAGGCTAGAAAGACCCAGAGAAGATCAAGTACACCCCAATTAAACACAAAGTTCACCCTCACATACTCCCACCTCCAGGCACCACCGCCCCCGCCCCATCCAACAAGCACACTAACACTGGGGCAGTGACAGTGGCTGCATTTCCTCCTATAATAGACCCTCTTTTCCCAGGATGAAGCCCCCACCTTAGGTTATTAGGGGCTCCAGTCAGACCCAGCTCAGCTTCTATTTCACTGTGGGGACCCTGGGGCCTTCCTTCCCATTCCCTGAGCCACAGTTTGCTCATCTGTGATGTGAGGCCACTGGACCAACTGACCACTGTGGTTTTTTCAGTTCTCAGTGAGCAGAGGAAGGCGAGGCTAGGGCTTCTTCCTCCCTCTGGTCCCCCAGCCCCCAGTCCAGCCTGACAGGGGTGGGGCCGGCCTGCTGGGGCTCACATGCCTGAGGAGTAAGCTCCTGGTCCCGAGGAGGCAACATGATCTGTAAAAGATCCCTGACCATCTTTTTGAACCCTGGAGAGGGCGTCTCAGTCATATGAGGACCACAGGGGGATTAGCGATGCTTAGAAGGGAGGCCAGGGAGGCAGCCACCTGGGGGAAAGACTAGGAAGAGGGGAAGTGGGAGAGAAGGAAGTAGCAGTGGGGCAGGTCTGAGTCAGGGACCGAAGACCTGGGAAAGGCAGCTCTGGTGGGTCTGGAGAGGAGGCAGAAGAGAGGAAGGCAGGCGGAGGAAGGGTGTGTGCTCAGGGCTTTGAATGATGCCTGAAAAGGGCCTAGAAGTCTTGTGTCACATAGTCCCTGGCACAAGGAGACCTGGCAGAGAAGGGGAGAAAGCGTTAAATCTGGAGCCTGCCAGCTTGGATTTCAGACCCTTCCACTCAGGCTGTGTGACCCTGGGCAAGTTTTTTGCTCTCTCTGAGCCTCAGGTTCTAACAAAGAGCAGTTTTGGTGCATCGTTCACACTGGGTGGGCTGTGAGGTCAGATGTCCATCCAACCTCAGACCCTCCATGGCCCTTGCCGGTCTTCCTGGGTATGCCCCTCCTTTAGCCAAAGCATATATCCCCCCATGCCCCTCCCCCAACGCCTGCAAGAGCTGCCCTGTCCTAGCCTTCTGGGAGTGCCCCAGCCCCTCTGAAGGGGTTCGAGCCAATCCAGGGCCTATGCAATGAGGGACCAGCAGGACTCAGGGGATGGGGGAAAGGACCTTCTCAAGGCTCATTTTGGGAGGGGGAGTACATACCTGCTTCCCCCACCCGTGCTCCCCCATGACCCACTCCATGGGATATTTGGGTTTCCTCCCCTTTCCCGAGCTCAGGCCCTGCTTGCTTTCTCCACAACAAGGAGCGAATGTTATTTAAAAGGAGATCAGGAGATTTGCCTTAAATAGGCATGGAGTGCTGTGCCAGGTCCCAGTAGAGGGGCGGGAGAGGAGGCCATCTTGGCGGAAGGGAGAAAGGAGTGGAGCTGCAAGAGAGAACAACCTCCCAGGAGTGCGCAGAGCCCTGCACAGTTTACCAAGCACAGGCCTAGTCTGCGGGGAGACGCCCCGGTCTTCAGATGCCAGGAGTGTGGAGGTTTTCTGGGAGGCAAGGGGATAGGGCCTGCAGAGTGGGGGGCTGTCTTGAGACCTCCCCTGACACCTGCCCCCACCATCAGTTTCCAGACCTTTGGCCCCTGCCCCCGGGCTGCCCCTGCCTGTCCTCCCAGCCCTAGCTTGTAACTGGATGCCATCCTCACTCTGCACCTTCCCAGGTGAGCTGGGGCTCTGCTTACTGAACCCAACACCCACTGGGGGCGGGGATTGAGGGGGCACCCCTGGGGCGGGCATCTGCCTGGAGGCTGAGGCTGAAGGCGGGAGCTGGAGCTGCGGGGGAGGAGTGGAGATGGGCTGGCTGTCTCATTCACAGCCCCCGCCCCAGGCCTCCTCAGGAATTTAGGGTTCCAATTCCCTATTCAAGGTCACCTTCTAAGCCTTTCAAGCCCCACCCCTCCCATCTTGGCCTGCCAGGGCCAAGGACTCAGGGGCACCCCCCTGCCATTTCTGTCCCAGCAGGTGATGCTCTTGGAATCTTAAGGAAATGGAGTCTGGCCTGTGGAGTTTTGGGGACAGAGCTAGGGGGAAAGGAAGCATCCCATGTTCAGTCCTTTTTTCAAAGGCCCTGAACACCAAGGTGAGGCCTCAGATACCTGGATGCCCAACCTGGATCTGCCATTTACAGCCATATGACCTAGGGCCACCCACCTTCTGTGAGCCTTGACTTCCTCTGTAAACTAGGTCTAAAGATTCCACTGTAGACTGGGCGCGGTGGCTCACACTTGTAATCCCAGCACTTTGGGAGGCTGAGGTGGGCGGATCACCTGAGGCTGGGAGTTCGAGACCAGCCTGACCGACATGGAGAAACCCCGTCTCTACTAAAAATACAAAATTAGCCGGACGTGGTGGTGCATGCCTGTAATCCCAGCTACTCAGGAGGCTGAGGCAGGAGAACTGCTTGAATCCGGGAGGGGGAGGTTGCAGAGAGCCGAGATCACGCCATTGCACTCCAGCCTGGGCAACAAGAGCGAAATTCCGTCTCAAAAAAAAAAAAAAATTCCACTTTAGAGTTGTCGAAGTCGCTTTCATAAGAAAATGGGCAGAAGACAGAAGGGGGATTATGCCCAAGTGCACTAACTGACCGGGACCTGTACCTCACGTGTGTTGCGGGAGGCAGAGTGGGGAGATTTCATCCTCCCCTTCCCCATGGTGGGTGGGCGCAGCCCAGGTCCTCCAGAAGGCCAGACAGGAAGGAAGGCTTTGTGAAAGATGGCATTCATTTACTCTGGGCTGCTGTGAATTCTCTTTGTTATTCCCCAGAGGCTGCTCAAGAGGGGGTTAATGGGGCGGGGGATGGCCCCTTCAGGTGACAATAATCAAGACAAATAAATAAGAGCTAACCTTGAGGGTTTGCTGCATCCCTGGCCTGACTCCAGCTCTTCTGTCTTCCTAACTCCATCCATGTTTGATCGGCTTTATCCCCATTTCACCAACGATGAAACCAGAGCTCAGATTTAAGCAGAATAACCACAGTCACACAGTCGGGAACTGATGGGGCCAGTGTTTAAACACAGGAATCTGGCTTCAGGGCTCTCTGCTGACTTTGCAAAAATCCCAGGACCCTTTATTTGGGACTTGGGTTCCAGATACAGCTTGCAGTGTGGCCATAGCCAAGTCACCTAACCTCTCAGAAGTTAGGTTTCTCAGCCATGCGCAGTGGTTCATGCCTGTAATCCCAGCACTTTGGGAGAACAAGGCAGGCAGATCACTTGAGGTCGGGAGTTCCAGACCAACCTGACCAACGTGGAGAAACCCCGTCTCTACTAAAAATACAAAATTAGCCAGCTGTAATCCCAGCTACTCGGGAGGCTGAGGCAGGAGAATTGCTTGAACCCATGAGGCAGAGGTTGCAGTGTGCTGAGATGGCACCACTGCACTGCAACCTGGGTGACAGAGCAAGACTGTCTCAAAAAAAACAAAAAAACAAAAAAGAGAAAAGAAAAAGAAATTAGGTTTCTCTCTTTATAAAATGGGGACAATTGTCCCAACCTCCCAGGGTTATTGTGAAAAACAAACTAGAGGGTTAATGAGGCCGGGCATGGTGGCTCGCCCCTGTAATCCCAATGCTTTGGGAGGCTGAGGCAGGAGTATTGCTTGAGCTCAGGAGTTCGAGGCTGCAGCAAGCTCTGACTGCGTCACTGCACTCCAACCTGGGTGACAGAGCTAGACCCTATCTCAAAAACAAAAACAAACCAACAAGAGGGTTAATGAGCACAAAGCAGATAATCTGATGGAAGATTATTTAAAACTTCCCTGCTCTACACTAACTCAGCCCCCACCTCCTAAAGTGTCCATGCACCCCCCACCTAAGCCCAGAGACTGGGAGACAAAGGCTCTGCGGTTCCCTGGGAAAGGACTGAATGACCAATTGGCGCCACCTAGTGGTCTGCAGTGCATGGGGAGCGGGAGGGCCCGGCTGCTCCGGGATTGGGGGTTAAGTAAGATCATTAGCCCAGTGCGGATGGGAAAAATATACCAGGACGTCAGAAAGGATGGGGTCAGGCCTAGTTGGCACCCCACTGAAGACAGGGTGAAGGAGCGCACAGGGCTCAGGGTTCTATTCTAGTTCCAGTTCTGCCACTAAGAACCTCTCCAGGCCTCAGCTACCTCCTTTGCAGAATGGGAGTAAACATTCCTTACCTCTCAGGTCACTGTCCAAGCCTTTGTTCACTTATGAAACATTTAATGAAGCATCTGCTTTCAAAAGTCATCCTGCTGAGGGTTGTGAGGACACAAAGACATCTCAGCTGTGTCTCTCGGGATCAAGGGATCCGCTTCATCCTAGCAGGGAGACTGAGCTGTAAATTGCTCACTACCCTCAGATGCAGATCCCAGGGGACACTGAGGAGGGAGCATAAGGCACAGGAGGCAAGTGGAGGGACAGCAGGTAGTGGGACTCCCCCTCCAAGGGTGAATGTCTTTGAGAAGTGGCAGGAACTGTGACAAGTCAGGTCATAAGATTATCTTTCTGAGGGCCATCGCCCCGCCCCTCTTGCCTGGCCCCCTGCCTGCCTCCCAGCTGGGGACTGGATCGCCCTGGGCTGAGCCCCCTACTCTGGGCTCAGCCCCCTCAGGGCCAGGCCAGCCTCCCCACATACCACCTTCTCTTGCATTAAAGCCTTTAAAGTGGACCATAGGTCCATCAAGGATAGTTCACATCTCTGTGCATTTGCACTGTGTAGCTCCTCTCTCCAAACACCTTTTCTCCAACTCGTCCACCTGGCAAAGTCAACTCCAGCCTTCCTGTGGGAGAGTGGAGAGGAGAGTGCGAAATCCCCCAACTAGGAAGGAAACAGAAATGAAGGGGTGCCCCCTGCCCCCATCAGCAGTGGCACAGCCTGTAAGAATGTGAAATATACATTTGGTCTTCATCCCCATTTCCTGGCATACAACTCCTAAAATCCTTGGAATCTCCAAAGTGATAAGTGTCTTTTTGTATGCTGATGATTGCCTGATGGCCGGCAGCCCCTAGGCAGCTTCAGGATGGGGCTGGTCACCAGAAAGACCAGGGCAGGATTAGAGGGTTGGGACTTTCAGCCCCACCCTATGACCTCAGGGGAGGGGAGGGAGCTGAAAGTTAAATTGATGACCAATGGTTAATCAATCATGCTTACATAATGAATTCTCCATAAAAGGCCCCAAAGCAGAGGTTCTAAGAGCTTCTGGGTAGCTGAGCAAGTGGATATTAGTGGAGGAAGGCTTTCCCACAGAGGGAAGCTCCACACCCCTTCCCCCACGTATCCTTTTCTAATAAAGTGATAAATGTGTTTCCCTGAGTTCTGTAACTCACTTTAGGAAATTAATCAAACCAAAAGAGGGGGGTCTTGGGAACCCCAACTTGAAGCCAGTCGGTCAGAAGTTCCAGAGGCCCAGACTTGTGACTGTCTGAAGGGGCTGTCAGTTTTGGTGACTGAGTCCTCAACCTGTGGGATCTGAGGCTGCCTCCAGGTAGATAGCTTCAGAATTAAATTAGAGGACACCCAGCTAGTGTCCGCTACAGAATTGCTTGTTTGTTGATGGGAAGAAGTCCCTGCATTTGGTCACAGAAGTCTTCTCTCTGTGTTAATTGTTGTTGCTGTTGAGAGAACAGGAAAAAGCAGTTGGAGTTTTTCCACCCACACCCTGCTATATGAGGGCAGCTTTCTTGGGCAGGTAGCAAGTCCTGGTCGCCTAAGGGTAAGCTCTCTACCTTCCTTATTTCTTTGTTCATTCCCTTGCTGTCTGCCTGCCCCTTTCCATGTGCTGGGTGTGTGTGTGTGTGTGTGTGTGTGTGTGTGTGTGTGTGTGTGTGTGTGTGTGTATTTTTGCTTTGTTTTGTTTTGAGCTGGAGTCTCACTCTGTTACCCAGCCTGAGTTTCAGTGACATGATATCTTGGCTCACTGCAACCTCTGCCCCCTGGGCTCAAGTGATCCTCCCACTTCAGCCTCCTGGGACCACAGACACGCACCACCATGCCTGGTTAATTTTTTGTATTTTTGGTAGAGATGGGTTTCACCTTGTTGCCCAGGCTGGTCTCAAACTCCTGATTTCAAGTGATTCACCCACCTCAGCCTCCCAAAGTGCCGGGATTACAGGTGCGAGCCACCGTATATGGCTCTCCCTGTGCTTCTTTGCCTCAAATCCAGAAGTTATCTGAGGACACAGTCTTTCCTGGCCTTTGCTTCACAGGTAAAGTTCCTTGAGAGGATGATGCTGGGGGGAAGGAGAGGCAGAGAGAAGGAGGGTTCCATAGACTGGGGAGGGGCAAGTGGTCAGAGGGTCCTCTGGGAGCACCACAGGGAGGTGGCAGGGGCCCAGAGGGCCTGGCATGAGGTACTGGAGAGTCTCAGAAAGCCTCCCACCCCATCCCAGGGCCCAGGCTGAGTTACTGCCTATGGATGGTGATCAGGGCGGGCCCTGAAGATGAGAGCGGCTCCTATAAGCCCCACTCTCATTTGACCCTGGGGATTGAGGAGCCTCCTGTCTGACTGAGATAGGGTTTCCCTACACCCCTCGGGATACAGGCTCAAAGTTAAGTTAAATTAGATGTCAAGAAAATAGAGAGCCGTGAGGTTTCTTGCACACCTCATAAAATAATCCACTATTGTGATCTGGCATGCGGGTCAGGAATGTCTGGAGCTCACCCACCATGTGGAACTCACTTGTCTTCCTCTGGGGGCCTTCCAGAGAGCATCTTCACCATGAGAAGGGATTGCTAAGGAGAGGACTTTCCGGTGCCCAGGTAGTCTCACGAGAAAGACATTTTATATAGCAGGACAGATGCATATGAGACTGGGAAAAGCTGTGATCAGCCCCTGCGGAAGGGGAAGGGGCTGGGTGAGTGGGATGCCTCAGCCATGTGTGGAGGATGGAGTCAGAGAGAGGAGTCCCAGGTGAGGATGCAGAAGATAACTGCATCACCGGACCCTCAGACATCCCCAACAACCCGGCCTTCGGGGGTGATTAGAGAGTCATCCTGGACAGAATCACTAGGCCCTCTTGCAACTTGATGAAACATTTGGCCTCTTGCCAGTAGCCACAGGACTTGCATGGGAGACCAAGGTCACCCAGCCCCATACCCGCCTTTAGGTCTGAACTGAATCGGGGGAGGAGGTAGCAGAGTGCAGAGCTCCTGCCCCTGGCAGCTGTGCTCAGTGTCTGGTGGCGGCTGCAAAGGTCTTCCTGGCCTGACTGCTCCCAGCTCTACTCCTGCCAGTGGCTCTAGCCTTTCTGATTCCTATTTGTTTCCAAGCCTAGTTTTCTGGGCTTCATATCAGTTCTTTGAGATAGCCTGTTGTTATCTTCCTTTCCTGCTTCAATTATCCTGAGTCAGTTTCTCCTCTTTCCATCCAAGACCACCGAAGGTTGCAGAGCTGTTAGAGAATATGAGATAGTGCTATCTGGGCTGAACTGGGTGGTCCCCAGACCGTGTGTTCAGTAGAAGGAAAGAGTGAAAGCAGCAAAGTGCAACCAGATTGTAACTGCCCTGAGGGCAGGGCCTCAGTGTGACCTGCTCACAGCTGGACCTGGGAGAAGGGATGTGTTGCATGGGGAAATTGGGAACATCTGACATATAAATGGCACCACATTTAAAGACCCCCATGGTTGCCCACTTGTTGTGGGGTAGGGGAAGGAGGTGTCACTCTGGTGGGCTTGTTTTCTGCTCCTAAGAGTGTCTTCTGTTTGGAACAGAGAAAAGAAATTGTGTCACAGAAAAACAATTGACTCAGCCGGGCGCAGTTGGGAGGCCAAGGTGGGCAGATAACAAGGTCAGGAGATCGAGACCATCCTGGCCAACATGGTGAAACCCTGTCTCTACTAAAAATACAAAAATTAGCTAGACTTGGTGGCATGTGCCTGTAATCCCAGCTCTTTGGGAGGCTGAGGCAGGAGAATCGCTTGAACCAGGGAGGCAGAGGTTGCAGTGAGCTGAGATCGTGCCACTGCACTCCAGCACTCCATCCTGGCAACAGAGCGAGACTCTGTCTCAAAAAAAAAAAAAAAAAATTGACTTCTCCAGGTCAGGGAGGGTGGCACCACCATGCCCAGCTAATTTTTGTAGACATGGGGTTTCACCATGTTGGCCAGGCTGGTCTTGAACCCCTGACCTCAAGCCTCCAGAGTTCCTCCTGGGACTACACCACTGTGCCCGGCAAATTTTTGTTTTTTGGTAGAGACAAGGGCTTCATCATGTTGCCCAGGCTGGTCTCGAACTCCTGGGCTCAAGCAATCCACCCGCCTTGGCCTCCCAATATGCTGGGATTACAAGTGTGAGCCACCTTATCAGGCCATCTTTTTTTTTTTTTTTTTTTTTTTGAGAGAGAGTCTCTCTCTGTCACCCAGGCTGGAGTGCAGTGGTGCAATCTCAGCTCACTGCAAGCTCCGCCTCCCGGGTTCACTCCATTCTCAGCTTCCAGAGTAGCTGGGACTACGGGCGCCCACCACCATGCCCAGCTAATTTTTTTGTATTTGTAGTAGAGACGGGGTTTCACTGTGTTAGCCAGGATGGTCTCCATCTCCTGACCTCGTGATCCGCCCGCCTTGGCCTCCCAAAGTGCTGGGGATTACAGGCGTGAGCCACTGCGCCCGGCCCCAGCCACCTTTTTTATTAATCTGACACCTGTAGCTGCCAATGCATGCCTCCATCATAACCCATATTTACCACCCAGAATCGATACCTTTTCACTCACAAGCAGAGAATCTTAGTTTTAGCTAGCCTATGAGGACCCCTGGGCAATTTCCATCAGGCTTTTTGAAAAACTGAAGTTAGTTTGTTGATGATCAGGTTCAAGCTGGGGAGACCATCAAGGCTCAAACTGAGAAATTTCAACCCAGGCTCCTAGCAAATGCAGCAACATATAGCAGGCCTGTTTGTTTCCCACCACGTGAATTCTCTAGTATGTCTGACTATTGGGTGATGGTAACTCACCTTCACCAAATGACAACGTCATTTCTGTTTTGTTTTTTTTTTGAGACAGAGTTTCACTCTTGTTGCCTAGGCTGCAGTGCAATGACGCAATCTCAGCTCACTGCAACCTCCACTTCCCCACCTCCCGGGTTCAAGTGATTCTCCTGCCTCAGCCTCCTGAGTAGCTGGGATTACAGGCATGCACCACCATGCCTGGCTAATTTTGTATTTTTACTAGAGATGGGGTTTCTCCATGTTAGTCAGGCTGGTCTCGAACTCCCGATCTCAGGTGATCCACCCGCCTCGGCCTCCCAAAGTTCTGCGATTACAGGCGTGAGCCATCATGCCCGGTGACAATGTCATTTTATTGCTAGTCACCAACATCAGATAACTCAGCTTTTCAAACGACCAGTGATACTAAGACCACCTCACAGAAGGGTGTGATCTCAGCCACTGTGGCCTAAACAAACACGTGTGTGCACATGCACAAGTGAGAGGGGGAGAGAGAGGAGGCAGGAGGCACAGTTTTTACACAATTCTCTAGTTTATTTGTCCGAAATAAATACAACCTGAGAACATCCATTTCAATGTCCCCAAACACTATTTATCCCCTGAAAAAGCAGCTTAAAATATGGGTGCACATTTTGCAGCTTATGTTCTTTGGTTAGGCTCTGAAGGGTGTTTGTTCTGGGCTGGGCTAGGCTGGGCCTAGCTGTAGAGACACACCTAAGTTCCGTTCTCTGTTTGGAGGCTGCACCCAGCCTGAGTCCCCACCAGTCCCCTCCAAGAGCCCTGATGCTGCTTCCGGAGCACCTGTCTTCATTGCCTCTCCCTTCTGCAGCCTGAAAGGAGGGATGTTCAGGACTCTGCAGCTCTGTGTCCAGCCCTTGCAGAGAGCTTTGTCCTCTGACATCAGCTACCACACAGGCTCATTCTCAACTGGCACAGAAAGGGTTACTTCTGACCCTACAGCAGCTTACCCAGGGCAAAGTGAGAGAAACTGAAGCACAGCTGGTATATGGGTTTAAAGTACTCTCCCTTTAACCCTGCCAGGAGGCTGAGAGTCCCTAAAAAATACAGAAGGGGACACTGCCTGCCTACTCCAGTTATTCCCTGGGGCCCTGGGCCACTAGGGAGCAGGAGGACGGGGAGGCCACAGGCCACCCTTTGTCTTCTCTTTGTGGGTGAGGCTCAGAGGATTGGGTCCATGTTCTCCTGGTCTGAGGCTGCCTCATCATCATCTGGGGACTCCTGGATCAGAGCCAGAGAAGCCCAGTCATGGGTTTGTGCTGTTCCCCAGGACCATAACCTGGGGGCCAGCATCTCTTTCCTTTTGCCCTCACCCCTAAAGGAGCCAGCAGAGGGCTTTTCTGCCCCCACCCCAGGTCCCACTGGGCCGGCGCTCCCTCTGTCCTAGCTCCCACCCTGCCCGTGGCCACAGCCCACCACTGGATGACTCCCTCTTACCAGACTGAGGCTCCTGCCCCGCCGCAGGGTGGCATAGAAGTGCAGCACACGGGGGTCACAGCGAACCGCCATGGGGTCAAAGTCCAGCACACGTAGGCCCTGCAGGCTGCGGGCCCGAGAAAGGGCCACATAGGCCTGGCCACTGGCAAACACACGGCCCAGAGAAATCTCCACACAATCCAGGGTCATGCCCTGGGGGATGCAGGGACAGAGATGGAGTCAGCTCAGCCTTAAGTCCCTTGCCCCGAAAGGCCTGACCCTTTACCAGCCCTGCTACTGCCCCTGGATCTCCTCGTCCAGTCCAGAGAGTCTCTAGACAGAGGGAGAGCATGACAGCAGGTGGCTGTCTGAGTAGGAGGGGGACCGGGAGACAGATCCAGGTAAGAGTTGAGGGATGGAGTGAAAGGAAAGCACTCAGGCTCTGGGTCAGACAGGCGTGGAGCTGAATCCAGGCTGCCACTCACTAACTGTGTGACATGGGACACATGAGCCCTGGTTTCTTTCTGTGCAAAATAGGATTATTCATTATATCTATACTTTATACTTGATACAGTGGTTGTATACAATTTATACAATTTTACGTATCTAGTGGTGGCTTAGAAAATGGTGGGGCAGGAGATGGCAGAGGGGAAGTGAATGTATCCAGGAAAGGGAGAGGAGGTGGACTTGGAAATTCACTAAAGAAAAGTTTATTCTGGGCTGGGTGTGGTGGCTCACGCCTATAATCTCGGCACTTTGGGAGGCCGAGGCGGGCAGATGACCTGAGTTCGAGACCAGCCTGGCCAACATGGCAAAACCCCATCTCTACTAAAAATACAAAAAATTAGCCAGGCGTGGTGGCGGCCGCCTGTAGCCCAGCTACTCGGGAGGCTGAGGCAGGAGAATGGTGTGAACCTGGGAGGCGGAGCTTGCAGTGAGCCGAGATCACTGCACTCCAGCCTGGGCGACAGAGCAAGACTCTGTCTCAAAAACTAAACTAAACTAAAATAAAATAAAAAAAGACACATAGGCCAGGCACGGTGGCTCACACCTGTAATCCCAGCACTTTGGGAGGCTGAGGTGAGTGGATCACCAGGTCAGGAGATTGAGGCCATCCTGGCCAACAAAGTGAAACCTCATCTTTACTAAAAATACAAAAATTAGCCAGGCGTGGTGGCATGCGCCTGTAGTCCCAGCTACTCAGGAGGCTGAGGCAGGAGAATCTCTTGAACCTGGGAGGTGGAGGTTGCAGTGAGCCAAGATCGCGCCACTGCACTCCAGCGTGGGCGACAGAGCAAGACTCTGTCTCAAAAATAAAAAAAAGACACATAGACTGCAACATGCCTGACCTCCCTCTGCCCTCCCTGTCCCTGCCCCCCACACCGGTGCTCACTTGGCTCTTGTGGATGGACATCGCCCAGGCCAGCTGGAGGGGCAGCTGCTGCCGACTGAGGAGCTGGCCCCCGGTGGCCTGCACCGTCCAGCGGTCAGCGTGGATGACCTCAGTGACTCCACACAGGAACCGCACCTGGGGTAGCCCTAAGGAGAGCATGGAGCAGTCCAACTTTAGCTCTGCTTCAGGGCTCTGAGGTGAGGAGCAGGGGCCTTTGGAGCTTTCCTTCCTAGTCTTTTTCTCCCCCCACCATTCCCGGGGCCATGCTGCAAAGCCCCGTAGCAGGACTGCCACCTCCTCCCAACACTTACCTCTCCCTTCTGCCTCGAACCCAACTACCACCCCTCGGGCACCATTCACCAGGCCCCGAGACACCGATAAGTTTTTCACCAGCATCACCTGCAAGGGAGAGAGAGGAATGGACAGCAGCCCCCCTACCCATGCCTGGTCTTAGCTTCGCCATGGCTGTTCTCAGAGGCTGAGGGCAGGGAGCTGTCATGGGGACACTGAATCCCAATCCTTAGCTCTGCCACTGGCTGCCTGTGACCCCTGGGGCAAGTTGCCTTATCTTCCTCGGTCCCAATTTTTCTTTATGTCAAAGAGGAATAATATTTGCTCAATTTGCCCCAGAAGGAGGTGGTAAGGGATCAATAAGGCAACCTCTATCACAGGGCTTTGAAAATGATTGGCTTGGTTATAGGTACATCTGTGGACCACAGATCTTGAGGGATGGCCTCTAGGTCCTGCCACCCCTCTCAGATACACTGTGCCTGCATTTTCCCCTTGGGTGCCCTAAGGAAAATCTTCTGCCCACCCCCAACATTGAGGGAGGAATCAGGACTGTCTCCTGTTTATAAAGTATACTACAGAAGACAGCTGTGTGGGGTAGGTATTTCATTCCCCATTTTTAGGGATGAGGGGACAGAGCTTCAGCAAGGGAAAGAAATTTGCCCAAAACAACACTGCTTGGAGGACCTCCTGGTGTAGGAAGAGAAAAACAGTAGAAAGCTTAAGATGGGAAGGTGGGTGGGAACAGGAGGCAGGGAGGTTTTCAGTGTGGTCAAAGCTGGGCCCACTGGCTGCAGAGTGGCCTGGGCAGAGGGGTAGGGATCAGCAAGGCCCATGCGGGACAGCCCAAGCTCCCAGGGGCTAGGCCCTGCTTCCCACTCACCTGGGCCCCCAGCTTTAGTTGAAGGAGCTGGCTAACAGGACACTGGGCATCCAGGGTACTGGCCAGCTCAGGGTTGCTGTCCATAGCCTCAAATCTGTGTACCTTACCTGGAGAAAAAGAGTTGAGCAAACAGATCACAAATCACTGACTTGTGACTCAGCATCCCAAAAAAGACTTTTTTTAAATTTTAATTTAATTTAATTTTATTTTTTGAGAAGGAGTTTCGCTCTGTTGCCCAGACTGGAGTGCAAAGGCGTGATCTCGGCTCACTGCAACCTCTGCCTCCTGGGTTCAAGCAATTCTCCTCAGCCTCCCGAATAGCTGGGATTACAGGTGCCCACTACCACATCTGGCTAATTTTTTTCTATTTTTAGTAGAGATGGGGTTTTGCCATGTTGGGCAGGCTGGTCTCGAACTGCTGGCTTCAGGTGATCTGCCTGTCTCGGCTTCCCAAAGTGCTGGAATTACAGGTATGACCCACCGCTCCCAGCCTCCAAAAAAAACTATTAGACCAGAGCACGGGGGTAGGGAGTAGAGGCAGCGCAGGCCTGGGGGGCTGTGGAATTTAGTTCATCACACCTCTCAAAGTCACAGTTGCATTTGCAAATATGAGGGCCTTTATGGCTTCAGAGGTTGGGGGCCTAGGACCCAGAGGCCCAGGTTGCCTGGGGGCTACATCTGCTTATAACTCTTCCCAGCTGGTCTTGCCCAGCCCAGGCTCCCTGCTCACCTGGCAGCTCCTGAAGCCGCCTCTCGTTGGTGAGGGCCACATCATCCTGGTGGGTGCAGAGCCTCGTGGCCACAATCCCATCTCGCCCCACCTTGTGGGAAGCTGTGGCCTGGAGCTGGCGGGTCACCTCATCTGAACACCTGTTGGGGCTGGACTGTCAGGGCAGAGCCCACCTGTGCAGCAGGGGAGGTGGGGAACATGGGCAGGATGGCTCAAGCAGCAGGCCATGGGTCAGGCCTTGGGACTGGAAGAGGGCACCAGGGAAGAGTTGCTGCCCCCTCAAGCTGGCCAACCTGTCCCTTCCAAACTTGGACCCCAAACATGGGGAATAAGCAGGGGCAGGGTACTGAGCTTTGATCACATGTGGGCACCCTTCCCTGTGCTGCCCCAGGTCAGAGCTGGCCACCCTCGCACTCCATAATACTCCTGAGGAAGTTGGCTATGATGAGTGAGCACAGGCTGGAGATTTGCAGGACCCAGATTGGCCTCCAGGGTACAATCTTCTATCCACTTGCCTCCTACCTTGGGTGAAAAATCTAGCTTATGTTTCTGTTTTGTTTTTGTTTTTTGAGACGGAGTCTCGCTCTGTCACCAGGCTGCAGTGCAGTGGCATGATCTTGGCTCACTGCAACCTCTGCCTCCCTGGTTTAAGCGATTCTCCTGCCTCAGCCTCCCAAGTAGCTGGGACTACAGGTGCGTGCCACCACGCCCAGCTAATTTTTGTATTTTTAGTAGAGACTGGGTTTCACCAGGTTGGCCAGGCTGGTCTCAAACTCCTGATCTTGTGATCCGCCTGCCTCAGCCTCCCAAAGTGCTGGGATTACAGGCGTGAGCCACCGTGCCCAGCCCCTGACACCTACTTTATGCCAGGCCTTGTGCTAGGTGATGGAGACCCAACCCTGAGGGAGGCTAGGTCCCAGCACTCAGAGCAACCATCTCCTATGGTGCCATGATGGTCTTGACTACAATCCATCCTGAGTTGTCCAGTGCCCTGCCCAAGGCTCCTCTTCCTGCATGGAGTGCTTGCTCCTGAGGGTAACAATTCTACCCCTTCTGTGAGTCCCTCTCTGTGTTCCACTGTGGCCCATGCCTGGATCCTCATCCCATAGCCCCTTCCCCAACCAGCAGAGCTCACCTGCCTAGCCTCACGGCCTGCAGTAGAGAGATGAAGGTCTGGTCTGCCTGCCTCCACACCTTGGTCAGCTCCAGGGTCACTGGCACACACCTCTTCCAGCTCTTGGACTGGTGGGGGCAGGGTGGGGGTGGGTCAAGGAGCAGAGCAGACCCCCAAGGAGAGCAGAGCTAGGAGGTGAGTAATACCTGGAAGCAGAACCGTGGGGGCTGGGAGCCCTTGGTCACAGGTGGCAGCTGCAGAAAGTCCCCACAGATGATGAGCTGGATCCCTCCGAATGGCTTGTTCTGCTGCCGGACAGCTCTGGAGAGGAGCGTGGGGTGCTTTAGGGGCACACAGAAGACCACCAGGTCCCAGTTCTCACCTGCTGCCCTCTGAACATACTGACCTGGCCACGGCCTCCAGTTTGTCAAACAGGTCTGCCTCCACCATTGAGATCTCGTCAATGACCAACCGCTGGCAGTTCAGCCAGCCCTGCCGCACGCCTGGCCTTTGGGCCAGGGCCACACACTGGGCTAGAGGAGCCTGGCCTGAGCCGATGCCTGTGAGTGACACTATTCAGCCTGGGCTAATACCCAAAGCCTCTCTTTTTTTTTTTTTTTTTTTTTTTTGAGAGAAGGTCTCTTTCTGTCACCCAGGCTGAAGTGCAGTGGCACGATCTTGGCTCACTGTAACCTGGGCCTCATGGGCTCAAGCGATCCTCCCACCTCAACCTCCATAGTAGCTGGGACTACAGGCACACACCACCATGCTCAGCTAATTTTGTTTTGTTTTGTTTTGAGATGGAGTCTCGCTGTGTCGCCCAGGCTCAAGTGCAGTGGCGTGATCTCGGCTCACTGCAAGCTCTGCCTCCTGGGTTCACGCCATTCTCCTGCCTCAGCCTCCAGAGTAGCTGGGACTACAGGCGCTTGCCACCATGCCTGGCTAATTTTTTTGTATTTTTAGTAGAGACAGGGTTTTACCGTGTTAGCCAGGATAGTCTTGATCTCCTGACCTTGTGATCCGCCTGCCTCGGCCTCCCAAAGTGCTGGGATTACAGGCGTGAGCCACTGCGCCCGGCCGCTAATTTTTAAATTTTGTGGAGACAGGGTTTACTGTGTTGGCCAGGCTGGTCTCAAACTCCTGGGCTCAAGCGATCCTCCCACCTTGGCCTCCTAAAGTTTTGGGATTACAAGAGTGAGCCACGGCGCCCAGCCCCCAAAACTCCCTCTTTATGCAGACCTCCCCTCTCTCCCTTCCCAGAAGCTGGGCTTGCTCTTAGCTCAAGCCCTAGGGGTTCCTACTTACCTGCAAAGGCATGGAGGGTGGTGCCCCCGATGTGGCAGGCTGCCACCCCAGTGCTGGCAGTGGCCACAGTGCCTGTGGGGGGCAGTGAGCCCAGGATTCGCTTTAGCAGATATGACTTCCCTGTTCCTGGACAGGGGCAAAGTTAGACAGGTCTCCCTGTTCCTCTATCCCACCCCACCACTGTCCCCCTACCTCCTCTCTGCCCCCACTACCTGCACTCCCAGTGAAGAAGATGCTCTGGCCTTTCAGGACGGCCCTCAGCACAGCAGCCTGTTCCTCAGAAAGCTGTGGCTTGGTGGAGGGCAAGCTCAGCCTCTTCACAGGCAGGGGCCACCTTGGGGCTTCCTGGGGGGAACAGAGCTATCTCAGAGCATCCTCCCACCCGCTAGGCATTGCCCCCACCCTTCTTGGCCCATGTGCAATGCTGGGCCTGGTAACCCTTTGTCCTCTACTGCCTTCATTCCATGGAGCTCTTGGGTTTGCCTGGAGAGCTTGCCAGCAACTATTGGGGTCCCGATCTCTCCTTGTGCCCTGAAGACCCCCATTGTCCAGTCCTGGGCAGACCACACCAGTGTGGTCTACACCCTCCCTTAGCTCCTTCCCCTGGGTTCCCTAACCCTTCTCATCCTGTCACTAAAGTTTCCTTCCTGTCACCTAAGTTTCTCTTCCTATCACAAACCTGTTTCTCACCTCAAAATACCCAAGCAAAACCCTGTCTAGCCAGGGCCCCTTCTTATCCTGTCTCTGTCCTCTCGCCAGCTTAGTGTCAAACCCTGGTGGGCTATGATTCACCTGCCCCAGCCCATGAAAATTGTCAAACCCACCAGACTTTTTTCCCCTCATCTGCTTCAACTGTTGGCTGCCCAGGACACGAATGACCACTTCATTCTCTCCATAAGCTCCTCTACTCTGGGCCTATTACCCTCTCCCAGCATTCTTTCTGTAGTCCTTTGCAAGCCTCCTTCTCTTCTTTCTCTCTCGCTCTCTCTTTTTTTTTTTTGAGGAAGAGTCTCGCTCTGTCACCCAGGCTGGAGTGCAGTGGCGCGATCTAGGCTCACTGCAACCTCTGCCTCCCGGGTTCAAGCTATTCTCCTGCCTCAGCCTCCCAAGTAGCTGGGATTACAGGCGCCCGCCACCGCGCCTGGCTAATTTTTGTATTTTTAGTAGATACGAGGTTTCACCATGTTGGCCAGGCTGGCCTCAGAACTCCTAACCTCAGGTGATCCACTTTAGCCTCCCAAAGTGCTGGGATTACAGGCGTGAGCCACCATGCCCGGCCTCTGCTTTCTCTTTTAATGTAGCCAGGTCCCATTTCCTGTTTTGATTTACTCCATCTCAGGGATTACACTATAACAACCACAGGCACAATTCCCACACCCCTGTCATACTGAGATGTCAGATGGGTATCAAATACCCACACCGGCTTCCCCTCAAACTTGGGTCTCTAGGTCTCTGCCATCTTAAAGAATGGCACATCTACTCCTAAAGGTGTCCCTTCTTTCCCGTCCTCACTGTGCTAGGCTCGGCCCCAGCCTGGGGCTCCACAGGCCGCTTCACCAGCGTAGTGTCCGGAACCCGGGTGGCCGCCCTGAGCCGCCGCTCCTCGGGCTGCACAGGGCTGATGGTGACGAAGTCGCGGGGCCGCGGGCCCAGCAGCTGCGCTCGGGCGGAGGCCGGCCCGGGACCCGGGGCCGCAGCCAGCTTGAGGCGCAATGTGCGCAGGAAGCGGCGCAGGCGGTCTGGGGGGCAGTCCGAGAGCAGCAGCTGCACTGCGCCGGCCCCGGGGGTGTCGTGGGCGGGGAGCCGCAGGGTGCTGCGCCCGGCCTCGGCGAAACGCGTGAAGAGGCGCGCGGCGCGCAGAGGAAAGCAGCGCGGCCGCCCCGCGGGCCCTGGCGCTTGCAGCCGCAGCATCAACTCGCGGCGCTCGTTGCGACCCAGGCTCAGCTCCGCGGTGCGCAGGGCCTGGCGCCTTCGCGGCTGCCCGCCCGGGCTCAGCTCCTCCACAGCCACGCGGCACCGCAGCTCCGAGTCCTCATATTCCCCTGCCGCCGCCTCTATGCCCGAGAGCATCGTCACCGCCTCTGCTGGTCTGCGAAGACACCGGAGCACAGGGGTCATGAGGATTCATGAGACGTAATGGGTGCTATAGGGGACGTAATGGGTGCTATAAAGGACGTGACAGGGAGCAGGGTCAAGGCTACACAAGATCACGAGGACTGTCACTGGTAACACAAAGAGGTCACAAAGACGGAGAAAGGGCTTTGGGCTAACCGAAAATCCACCCTTAGAATATGCCCTGGGCCGGGCGCAGTGGCTCGCGCTTTAATCCCAGCACTTTGGGAGGCTAAAGTGGGCGGATCACCTGAAGTTAGGAGTTCTGAGACCAGCCTGGCCAACATGGTGAAACCTCGTCTCTACTAAAAATACAAAAATTAGCCGGGCGTGGTGGCGGGCGCTTGTAATTCCAGCACTTTGGGAGGCTGAAGAAGGAAGATCGCTTGAGCCCAGGAACTCGAGACCATCCTGGGCAACATAGCGACACCCTCTAATTAAAAAAAAAATACATACATATAAATACATACATATGCATACATTATATATATGTGTGTGTGTGTGTGTATATATATGTATATATATATATACACACACGCACCCTGCTACACAATTTCCATTTCTATATATCCAATTTCTATATATATATACACACAATATATATACAATTTCTATATATATACACACACACACACACACACATATACACACACACCGTGCTACACAACAATTTCCAGAGCGGCGGATGGGCACCGAGGATTAGGGAGCCTCAGGTGTCCTGCAAGGACCTCACTAGAACAGGGGTCCCTGCGCAGAAAGAATCCTCCTTCCCCGAGACCCAGGGCGAGCACATGAATCCTCAGAGTACTCTCCCCAGGAAGCAGGAGAATCGCCCGTGGGGAGATGCAAAGAGGGCTGCCGTGTAATAAGCGACTTCTGCCTTGTAGGTACATTCACTGGCTTATATGCAGCGGGCAGGTCTCACTCTTCCCCGTGTACAGACGTGGAAACAGGCTAAGAGAGGGAAACTCACTTGCCCTTCATAAGCCACAGCGGCTAGTAGTCAAAGTCAGTGTGATTCCCATGCCCTCGCGCTTCCCACCACCAAGGTGGGGACGAGGTGGAAAATATTCGGCTAGGGAAATCGCGGGGGACCCTGGGACCCTAGAAGCCGTGCTCCCTCAGGCTGACCCATTTGTTTGCACCCTCCCGCCGGAAACCCCTAGATAAATCAGGCTCTTTGCTCCCCACCTCTGGGTTCGGGCAGACACTCACTTGTGCCGACACTCAGATGAACAAGCAGATCGTAGCCGGCCTGTGGCTAAGCTCCGAAACTAGAAATTTTTCAAATGCTAGAGGCAGAAAATCACCCAATCACCGACTGGATCTTTAAATTCTCCAGCCACTCAGAGGTAGGGGCGTAACAATGGGCGTGTCTTTCTTTGCGTCTCTACTCCAGGAGCTTGGGCTGTACCAATTGCCTGCTAGAGGAAGGAGGTTTATGGTGGTGGCTGAGCATACCAAATCCAGTGGACGGCTGGGCGTGGTGGGAGGAGGCCGCCGCTGCGGCAGCCACCCGGCGGCGCGTGGTGTCGGGTCTGAAAACCCTACGCGACTCCGAAGATTTATTTTCAGAACCATCCTTCCAGCACACTCCCTCTCCCCTCTAGCCCGCACACAGAGGCTGGGCTTAGCCTTGGGGAAGATCTGCCTTTGGACTCTCACACCCCTGTTTACACTCACAGTACCATTGTCCAGTTCTGGGCAGACCACCCCAAGGCCTGCCCAATCCCTCCCCCGCCCCCAACTCTACATCCTTCTCTGCCTTTGTAAGGGACTTTACGCTTTGGCTCTCTCACCCACCTGAGGCCCATGAGTGAGAAACTCTGAGACCTGTGCCACGTGCCAGAGGGTACAGCGGAAGCGAGTAGAGTCTCTGTCTTCAGGGAAATTGTATCCCTCTTCTTGCACAGGATGCTGAAAGAATTTACTTTTAATCATCTTTATTATCTCATTGAAGCTTGGAATTACATAGCTGGAAAGGATCTTACAGGTGAGTCTGGCTACCTCATTTTACAGATAATGATAACTACCATGGATTAAATTGCCCTTTCCTTTCCTTTTTCCTTCTTAGGGCTCACTCTGTCGCCCAGGCTGTAGTGGAGTGCAGTGGCACAATCTCTGCTCACTGCAACCTCTGCCGTGGCGCGATCGTGGCTCACTGCAACCTCCGCCTCCTGGGCTCTGGTGATCCTCCCGCCTCAGCCCCCCAGGTAGCTGGAACTACAGATGCACACCCAGCTAATTTATATATATATATATATATATATATATATATATATATATATACACACACACACACATATATACACACACATATATATACACACACATATATATATACACACACATATATATATATACACACACATATATATATATAATTTTTTTTTCGTATAGACGGGATGTCACCATGTTTCCCAGGCTTGTCTCGAACTCCGGAGGTCAAACGATCCACCCACCGTGGCCTCCCGAAGTCCTAGGATTACAGGCATGAGCCCGGACCTTATTTTTCAAATGAGAAAAAAGCAAGGCTTCCAGAGATTTTACTGAAGGTCACATAGCTGATATGGAGAGCAAAACCAAACATTGAACCCAGATTACCTGCTCGCTTAATCACTCCATGGGGCTTAGCTACTACACCACACTGCTCCCAGTCTGTTAGCGGTAGAGGGTGATGACTGAAAGTTGTCCAGGTTCTTGGCGTTTTGAACAAAGAATTGGACAAAATGCCCATCAAAGCAAAGAAAGAATGAAGCAACAAAAGAACAAAAGCAGGAATTTTTTGAAAACGAAAGTACGGCTAGGCGCGGTGGCTCACGCCTGTAATCCCAGCACTTTGGGAGGCCGAGGTGGGGGGATCACTTGAGGTCAGCAGTTCCAGACCACCCTGACCAACATGGTGAAACCCTGTCTCTACTAAAAATACAAAAATTGCCGGGTGTCGTCGTGGACATCTGTAATCCCAGCTGCTTGGGAGGCTGAGGCATGAGAATCACTTGAATCCAGGAGGCAGAAGATACAGTGAGCCTGGATCGTGCCGCTGCACTCCAGCCTGAGCGACAGAACGAGAACTTGTCTCAAAACAAACAACAACAACAAAAAACAAAAACGAAAGTACACTCCACAGTGTGGGAGGGGACCCGAGATACAGAATTTTCTTGGGTTCAAATACCCCCTAGAAGTTTCCCATTGGGAACTTTACGCTTACTTCATGTAACTGAAGTGGTAGCGATAATCAGTCTGATTGGTTGCAGACAGCAACCATTCAGCCACCATTCAGAGGCTGGAGTGAAGTTACAAAGTTGCAAACGAAGACTGGACCCACACTCCTATGATTTGTTGCAGACAGCCAATCTCCCATCTGCCAATCTCCCATCTGCCATGCGGGAAACGTCAAAGGGAGTAGCCTTTGGTCCTTTTGTTCTTGTCCTTACTTAGGAGTGGAAAGTTAGAGTTTTCCTTTTTTTTTTTTTTTTTTTTTTTTTTTTTTGGGAGACAGCGTCTGGCTCTGTGCTCTGTTGCCCAGGCCGGAGTGCAGTGGCAGGATCTCGGCTCACTGCAACTTCTGCCTCCTGGGTTCAAGCGATTCTTCTGCCTCAGCTTCCCAAGTAGCTGGGACTACAGGTGCGTGCCACCATGCCCATTTAATTTTTGTATATTTGGTAGAGATGGGGTTTCACCATATTGGCCAGGCTGGTCTCGAACTCCTGACTTCGTGATCCGCCTACCTCGGCCTCCCAAAGTGCTGAGATTACAGGCGTGAGCCACCATGCCCGGCCAGGGTTTTCTTTTTTCTTCTTCTTCTTCTTCTTATTTTTTTGAGGTGGAGTCTCTATTTGTTGCCAGGCTGGAGTGCAGAGGCGCTATCTTGGCTCACTGCAACCTCTGCCTCCCCCATTCAAGCGATTCTCCTGCCTTAGCCTCCCAAGTAGCTAGGACTACAGGTGCATGCCACCATGCCCAGCTAATTTTTGTATATTTAGTAGAGACGGGGTTTCACCATGTTGGCCTGGATGGTCTCAATCTCTTGACATTGTGATCTGCCCGCCTCGGCCTCCCAAAGTGATGGGATTACAGGTGTGAGCCACTGTGCCCAGCCGGGTTTTCCTTTTAATTTAATTCTAGGAAGTCGGCGTGAAACAGCCTTAGGTTCCCTGCCTCCAGACCCTGTTCTTCTGCCTCAAGGTGACTGGCCTAGCTTCATGAAAGGTATAACCTGGACTGGAATCTCAGCTAGTAACAGCCACTGCAATGCCTTTCCAGTGGATGCTACCCTAAGCAGGTTTCCATAATGTCTCAAGCCTCTGTTTTCTCAAAATGGGAGAAAGATAAAAATAGTCTAAAATTGATTGGTGATAGTTGCACAACCCCGTGACTATACTGAAAACCATTGAATCGAATGCTTTGAATGCTTAAATTGTATGGTATGTGAATTATATCTCCATAAACCTGTTAGAAATCTTTTTTTTTTTTTTGAGACAGGTTGTCACTCTGCCACCCAGGCTGGAGTACAGTGGCACAATCATAACTCACTGCCGCCTTGACCTTCCTGCTCAAGTGATCCTCCCATCTCAGCCTCCCAAGTAGTTGGAACTACAGATGACTACCACCACGCCTAGCAAATTTTTGTATATTTTATAGAGACTAGGGTCTCGCCATGTTGCCCAGGCTGGTCTCGAACTCCTGGTCTCAAGAGATCTGCCAGCCTCAGCCTGCCAGAGTGCTGGGATTACAGGAGGGTGCCACCATGCCTGGCTGGAAAGAAATCTTGAGAGATATTTTTCTTCTCCAGTGTTGTCTTGACATATATTGAATATCAGTGGCATGCGTCATTGTGTATGAGTAAATGAGTAGGTTAAGAAAAATTTTCAGCTGGGTGTGGTGGCTCACGTCTGTAATCCCACCACTTTGGGAAGCTGAGGCAGGTGGATCATGAGGTCAGGAGTTCAAGACCAGCCTGGCCAAGGTGGTGAAACCCCATCTTTACTAAAAATACAAAAATTAGCTGGGTGTGGTTGCAGGCATCTGTAATCCCAGCTACTCGGGAGGCTGAGGCAGGAGAATCGCTTGAACCCAGGAGACAGAGGTTGCAGTGAGCCAGGATCGCACCACTGCACTCCAGGCTGGGCGACAGAGCGAGACTCTGTCTCAAAAAAAAAAAAAAAAAAAAAAAGAGAAAAGTTTTCAAGGTCATTATGGTAGGCAGAATAATGACCCCCTTCCCCAAAATGTCCATGTTCAAATCCCTAGAATTTGTGAATATTATCTTACATTGGCAAAAGGGACTTTGCAGATATGATTAAGTTTTTTTTGTTGTTTGTTTTTTTTTTTTGAGGCGGAGTTTCACTCTTTTTGCCCAGGCTAGAATGCAATGGCATGATCTCAGCTCACTACAATCTCCACCTCCCGGGTTCAAGCAATTCTCCTGCCTCAGCCTCCCTAGTAGCTGGGATTACAGGCATGCGCCACCACACCTGGCTAATTTTGTATTTTTAGTAGAGACAGGGTTTCTCCATGTTGGTCAGGCTGGTCTTGTACTCCTACCTCAAGTGATCCGCCCACCTCGGCCTCCCAAAGTGCTGGGATTACAGGCGTTAGCCACCACACCCGATCATGGTTAAGTTTTTTGAGATGAAGATGTTATTCTGGATTATATGAGTGGCCCAATGTAATCACAGGGGAAAGAAGGAAACAGGAGTCAGAGAAGATATGACAAAGGAAGTAGAGTTGAGAGAGAGAGAAAGAGAGACGTGAAGATGTTACTGCTGGCTTTGAGGTTGGAGGCAAGGGCCACAGACTAAACCAAGGAAGGCAGGAGCTCTCTAGAAGCTGGAAAGGGCAGGGAAATGGATTATCTCCTGGAGTCTCCAGAAGAAAAACAGCTTTTGATTTTAGTACAGTAGGACACATTTCAGACTCCTGGCTTCCAGAATGACAAGATGATAAATTTTTGTTGTTTTAAGCCACTAAATGTATGATAATTTGTTATAGCAGCCATAGAAATAAGAAACAAATACAGCCACATAGAGAGAAAATGAAAGAGCTGGGATTATGAACCCAGGTCTGTTTCCAAAGCCTGTGTTCTCTCTTTCCACTGCTCTCTGCTTACAATGGGCCTAGCGCACTTACACACAGGGGAAGCCAAATCCCTTACCCTGATTCTGTGTGCAATACCCCAGACTGCTTCAAGGGAAGGCACCAGAATGTCCCAATGGATTTTCTCTTAATATGTTTTTTTTTGTTTTGGCTTTCAAACTTTTTTTTTTTCTTTTTTTGAGACAGTCTCGCTCTGTCGCCCAGGCTGGAGTGCAGTGGCGCAATCACGGCTCACTGCAAGCTCCGCCTCCCGGGTTCACGCCATTCTCCTGCCTCAGCCTCCCGAGTAGCTGGGACTACAGGCGCCCGCCACTACGCCCAGCTAATTTTTTGTATTTTTAGTAGAGACGGGGTTTCACCGTGTTAGCCAGGATGGTCTCGATCTCCTGACCTCGTGATCTGCCCGCCTCTGCCTCCCAAAGTGCTGGGATTACAGGCGTGAGCCATCGCGCCCGGCCTTGGCTTTCAAACTTTTTAAAAACAATTGTGGAAAAATATACACGACATTTATCGTTTTAATTATTTTTAAGTGTATAATTCATGGCATTAAGTACATTCCAAATGTATAACCATCACCACAATTTAATTAATTAATTAATTTATTTATTTATTTTGAGACAAAGTCTCACTCTGCTGCTCAGGCTAGAGTACAATGGCACGATCTCGGCTCACTGCAACCCCTGCCTCCTGGGTTCAAGCGATTCTCCTGCCTCCGATTCCCGAGTAGCTGGGACTACACCTGCCTGCCACCACGCCCGGCTAATTTTTGTATTTTTAGTAGAGACGGGGTTTCACTATGCTGGCCAGGCTGGTCTCGATCTCCCGACCTCAGGCGGTCCACCTGCCTCGGCCTCCCCAAGTGCTGGGATTACAGGCATGAGCCACTGCACCTGGCCACAATTTATTTATTTATTTTTTCACTTTCCCCCACAATTTATTTTTGAATGTTTTCATTATTTCACATAGAAACTTCATCCAGTTCAGGCGTGGTAGCTCACGCCTATAATCCCAGCACTTGGGGAGGCCAAGGCGGGTGGATTACCTGAGGTCAGGAGTTTGAGGCCAGCCTGACCAACAAAGTGAAACCCCATCTCTACTAAAAATACAAAAATTTGCCGGGGGTGGTGGTGGGCACCTGTAGTCCCAACTACTCAGGAGGCTGAGACAGGAGAATGGCGTGAACCCGGGAGGTGGATGTTGTAGTGAGCCGAGATCACGCCACTGCACTCCAGCCTAGGTGATGGAGCGAGACCCCATCTCAAAGAGAAGAAAAAAATGAAACTTCATCCATTAGGCAATAACTCATCATTCCTACTTCCTCTCACACTTTAGTTCTCTCATTTTATTATGAAAATATCCAGGCCAGGCACGGTGGCTCACGCCTGTAATCCTAGCACTTTGGGAGGCCGAGGTGGGCAGATCATGAGGTCAAGAGATGGAGACCATCCTGGCCAACATGGTGAAACCCCGTCTCTACTAAAAATACAAAAATTAGCTGGGCGTGGTGGTGCACACCTGTAGTCCCAGCTACCTGGGAGGCTGAGGCAGGAAAATCGCTTGAACCCCGGAAGTGAAGGTTGCAGTAAGTTGAGATCACACCACCGCCCTCCAGCCTGGTGACAGAGCGAGACTCTGTCTCAAAAAAAAAAAAAAAAAAAAAAAGCAAGCAAACAAACAAAAATCCAAGCATATACAGAAAGAGCGAACGAATTGTACAGTGAACATTGATACATTCATCACCAATCTACAATATTTTGCAGTATTTGTTTTATCACATCCATACATCTACCCATCTCTTTGTTATGTACTTCAAAGCTACAGAGATGAGTATATTTCACTTCTAACTCTTTAGCATGCATAGCATTAACCAGAGTTTATGTTTATCTTTTTTTTTTTTTTGAGACGGAGTCTCGCTCTGTCTCCCAGGCTGGAGTGCAATGGTGCGATCTCAGCTCACTGCAAGCTCCGCCTCCCGGGTTCACACCATTCTCCTGCCTCAGCCTCCGGAGTAGCTGGGACTGCAGGCGCCCGCCACCACGCCCAGCTAATTTTTTTGTATTTTTAACAGACACGGGGTTTCACCGTGGTCTTGAGCTCCTTACAAGTGATCCACCCGTTTCGGCCTCCCAAAGTGCTGGGATGACAGGCGTGAGCCACCGCGCCCAGCCATGTTTATCTTTTTAAAAAATTTTTTTGTTCGTGTCCTGCACGGCGGCTCACACCTGTAATCCCAGCACTTTGGGAGGCCAAGGCCGGCGGATCACGAGGTCAGGAGTTCGAGACCAGCCTGGCCAATATGGTGAAATCCTGTCTGTACTAAAAATACAAAAATTAGCCAGGCGTGGTGGCGTGTACCTGTAATCCCAGCTACTAGGGAGGCTGAGGCAGAAGAATCGCTTGAATCCCAGAGGCGGAGGATGCAGTGAGCTGAGATCTGGCCACTGCACTCCAGCTTGGGTGACAGAACCAGGCTTTATCTCAAAAAAACAATTTTTTTGTTGTTTTTGTTTGAGACAGAGTTTTGCTCTTGTTTTTTTTTTTTTTTTTTTTTTTTTGAGACGGAGTCTTGCTCTGTCACCCAAGCTGGAGTGCAGTGGCACAATCTGGGTTCACTGCAAGCTCCACCTCCTGGGTTCATGCCATTCTCCTGCCTTAGCCTCCCGAGTAGCTGGGACTATAAGCTCCTGCCACCATGCCCAGCTAATTTTTTGTATTTTTAGTAGAGACGGGGTTTCACCGTGTTAGCCAGGATGGTCTCCATCTCCTGATCTCGTGATCCACCCACCTCGGCCTCCCAAAGTGCTGGGATTACAGGCGTGAGCCACTGCACCTGACCCTTGTATTTTTAGCAGAGACCGTGTTTCATCCTGTTGGCTAGGCTGGTCTTGAACTCTTGACCTCAGGTGATCTGGCCACCTCGACCTCCCAAAGTGCTGAGATTACAGGCATGAGCCACCAAGCTCAGCTTTTTTTTTTTTTTTTATTTCTAAAAGTAAAAAGGCCAGGTGTTGTAGCTCATGCCAGTAATCCCAGCACTTTGGGAGGTCAAGGCAGGTCAAGGCACTTGAGCCCAGGAGTTACTGACCAGCCTGGGAATCCAGGTGAGACCCCCATCTCTACAAAAATTAAAAAAAAAAAAAATAGCTGGACGTGGTTGCACATGCCTATGGTCCCAGCTACTTGGGAGGCTGAGGCTAGAGGATGACTTGAACCCAGGAGGTCAATGCTGCAGTGAGCTGTGATGATACCATTGCACTCCAGCCTGGACAACAGAGTAAGACTCTGTCTCATAGAAAAATAATAATGAATTACATTTAAAAATCTTTTTAGAGACAGAGTCTCACTCTGCTGCCAGGCTGGACTCAAATACTTGGGCTCAAGTGACCCTCTGGGCTCAGCCTGTCTAGTCACTGGGGCAACAGGTGCATGCCTGGCTATGTTTACTTTTTTTTTTTTTTTTGAGACAGAGTCTTGTCCTGTCATCCAGACTGGAGTGCAATGGCGCGATCTCGGCTCACTGCAACCTCCATCTCCTGGGTTCAAACCAATCTACTGCCTTGGCCTCCCAAGTAGCTGGGATTACAAATGCCTGCCACCACGCCCAGCTAATTTTTGTATTTTTAGTAGAGACTGGGTTTCACCATGTTGGCCAGGCTGGTTTCGAACCCCTGACCTTGCGATCCACCCGCGTCGGCCTCCCAAAGTGCTGGGATTACAGGCATTAGTCACTGTGCCTAGCATTTTTTTTTTTTTTTTTTTTTTTTTTTGAGAGAGGGTCTGGCTCTGTTGCACAGGCTGGAGTGCAGTGGCAAGATCTTCACTCACTGCAACCTCTGCCTTCTGGGCTCAAGCCAACCTCCCACCTCAGCCTCCCAAGTAGCTGGGATTACAGGCACACACCACCATGCCCAGCTAACTTTTGTATTTTTTGTAGAGACAAGGTCTCACTATGCTGCCCAGGCTGGTCTCAAACTCATGAGCTTAACCAAACCGCCCACCTTGGCCTCCCAAAGTGCTAGGATTATAGGCTTGAGCCACCATGCTGGACCATGTTTACATGTTTAATGTAAACTTCACATACAGTGAAACACATAAGTCTTAGGAGTATCATTAGAAGACCTTTGCAAATTAATATACCTGTGTAGCCCAAACCCCTATCAGGATTTACAACTGTGCTGTCCAATACAGTGGCCACTAGCCACATGTGGCTATTTTAATTTAAACTTAAATCAATTAAAACTAAGTGAAACTCAAATCCAGTGCTCAATTGCCACATGTGGTTAGTGGCTATTACATTGGATAGCACAGATAGGGGACAGTCTCCTCCACTGCATGAAATTGTAAGAACATTATCATCACCTAGAAACTTCCTTTGTGCCCCTTCTCAGTCAATCCCCACTCTCAGTCCTTAGACAACCTCTGTTCTGATTTTATTTTTAACCATGGATTAGTTTAGCTTGTTCTAGCATCTTTTTTTTTTTTTTTTTTTTTTTTTGAGACGGAGTCTCGCTCTCTCGCCCAGGCTGGAGTGCAGTGGCGTGATCTCGGCCCACTGCAACCTCTGCCTTCCAGGTTCAAGTGATTCACCTGCCTCAGCCTCCCGAGTAGCTGGGACTACAGGCACGTGCCACCACGCCCGGCTAATTTTTTGTATTTTTAGTAGAGACGGGGTTTCACCGTTTTGGTCAGACTGGCCTCGAACTCCCTACCTCGGGTGATCCGCCCGCCTCTGCTTCCCAAAGTGTTGGAATTACAGGCGTGAGCCACCGCGCCCGGCTGGATGTATGTTTTAATTTGAGACGGAGTCTTGCTCTGTCGCCCAGGCTGGAGTGCAGTGGCGCGATCTCGGCCCACTGCAACCTTCGCCTCCCGGGTTCACGCCATTCTCGTGCCTCAGCCTCCGGAGTAGCTGGGACTACAGGCGCTTGCCACCACGCCCGGCTATTTTTTTGTATTTTTAGTAGAAACGGGGTTTCGCCATGTCGCCCAGGCTGGTCTCGAGCTCGTTACAAGTGATCCACCCACCTCGGCCTCCCCAAGTGCTAGGATTACGGGCGTGAGCCACCGCGCCCGGCCTGGATTTATGTTTTAATTTATTTTGAATAAATACCTAGGTGAGAAATTCTGGGTCATAGAGTAGTTGTATATTTAGTTTCATATGAAACTGTGAGATCTTTCTTCAAAGTGGTTGTACTCCCCACACAGGATTTTGTCTGAGCAACAAAGTCCCTGAAGGGAAAGGTATCGAACATGTAACTAGACACTGCCTGGTGGTGGATTAAAGGTCCTCGGGTCTTCGCTCCTCCCCGCTCCACGCGCCGTGGGCCTACCAGCTGCATCCTGATTGGCCCGCGGCGTAGGGAGGCGAGGCCAGAGGGAGCCCTACCTCCTGGGGCTGTACTTCCTCCCCTTCGGCTTCGGGCGGTTCTGGGCATCCGCCCGACACTCTGCTCCCTGCTGCCGCCGTGAGGTCAGTCTGGATTGAGGTGCAACGCTGCTCTCGGATCTCGCCCAACCCAAAGCCTGGTTTGGAGGCAAGATCTCAAGAGGAAAGGGTTTTCTTCATTTTGAAATTTCCTCCTCGGAATATCCTTCCACACGTCTTATCTGCTCGCTGTCATTGAGAGGTCTCAGTTCAGTCCCTGGCTCATTAATAATAGCTACAATGACATTAGCACAGAGGGGGTTATAAAATGCATTTTTGGCATTATCTCATGTGATACTACTCAAAAGGCCCCGTCCCTTCCACCTTAGGACCCTTTCTCTCCAAGCTTTTTGCCCTCCCGCTTTCGCAGCCCGAAGCTTACAAGGACAGTCTGTAGAAGAGCTGAACGGGAAACGGTATTTATTTTACTGTCTTCCAGTTTCCAGAGCAGGACGGCACCTTGCACTGTCATCACCGGGCAGCGGACACTCATTTTGTTGAACCTCTCATACAGCTGATCCTCTCTTAACTTCCACGACTTCACACTCCCCTCGTTTCTTCCTGTCTACTGGCTGCTCCATGTTAACCTCCTTTGCTAACACCTCTTCCTCATTAGACCTCTCACTGATCCTCTCTCTCTTCCTTCCCTCCCTCCCTCCCTCTTTCCTTCCTTCCTTCCCTCCATCTCTCCCTCCCTCCCTCTTTCCTTCCTTCTTTGGTGACTCAATTATCAACTACATGATGATTCCCAATATTCTATCTCCAGCCTGCCCTTCTTCCCAGAACACCAAACAATATCCCCATTTGTCTTCCTGAGATTTCCACATGGATGCCAATAGGCATGTCAGATTCACTTTCTCCAAAACAGAGGTTTTAATCTCCTTCCCCAGTACCATATACGCCTGTTTTCCTCCTTTCTTTATCATCTCAGTAAATGGCACCACCATTTTGGGCTCAATTTAAAAACCCACGCCATATCCCTGATTTGTTTCTTCAACTGCCACATCCAACCCACCATTGAAACCCGATGTTTCTTGTCTTTTTTATTTTCTTTCTTTTTTTTTTTTTTTTTTTGAGACGGAGTTTTGCTCTTGTTGCCCAGGCTGGAGTGCAATGGTGCAATCTTGGCTTACCACAACCTCCTCCTCCTGGGTTCAAGCAATTCTCCTGCCTCAGCCTCCCGAGTAGCTGGGATTACAATCATGCGCCACCACACCTGGCTAATTTTGTATTTTTAGTAGAGATGGGGTTTCTCCATGTTGGTCAGGCTGGCCTCGAACTCCCGACCTCAGGTGATCCATCCACCTCGGCCTCCCAAAGTGCTGGGATTACAGGTGTGAGTCACAGTGCTGGACCTCTTTTTTTTTTTTTTTTTTTTTTTTAACAAGGTCTTGCTCTGTCACTCAGGCTGGCACTTGTAGCTCACTGCAGTCTCCAACTCCTGGCCTTACGCGATCCTCCTGCCTCAGCCTCATAAATAGCTGGGACTAAAAGGTGTGCAGCACCATGCCTGGCTAATTTATTTAAAAATTTTTTTTGTAGAGATAGAGGCTCACTAAGTTGCCCAGGTTGGAAGGTAGGGTCTTTTAAGACGTATAAATCAGATTTTGCAGCTGGTGTAGTTAAAAGCCCTCAATGCCTCCCTAAGACTATTCATCTTAGAATAAAACCCACAGTCCTTACCATAGCCTGAAGTCAATTCCCCTTCTGTGCACCGTGACCTCAAGCCTACTGCTCTCCCTTGCTCACTAAGCTTCTGTCACACTGGCCTCCTTGATGTTTCATAATACCCAAAGCCCTTTCTTGTGCCAGAGTCTTTGCACTTGCTCTTCCCTTTGCAGGAAATGCCCTCCCCCTTCCTCCCCACCTCTTTGTGTGGCTGTCTTTTTTGTCATCATTTAGGTCTCAGCTGAAATATCCACTCTTCAGAAAGGCTTCCCCCACCACACATACCATATCTAAAAATGGGCTCCCCCAGTTTCTATTTTTTTTTTTTTTTTAGACGGAATCTCACTCTGTCGCCCAGGCTGGAGTGCAGTGGTGCGATCTCGGCTCATTGCAACCTCCACCTTCCGGGTTCAAGCAGTTCTCTGCCTCAGCCTCCCAAGTAGCTGGGATTACAGGTGCCTGCCACCACGCCTGGCTAATTTTTATATTTTTAGTAGAGACGGGGTTTCACCATCTTGGCCAGGCTGGTCTTGAACTCCTGACCTCAGGTGATCCACCTGCCTCGGCCTCCCAAATTGCTGGGATTATAGGTGTGAGCCACCACACCCAGCCACAACAGGTATTTTTTGAATGGACGAATCAATGAATAAAGAAACCACTCCAAGTCCTGATCCCTCTATCTCTTTTCTAGCTCTTGAATCTATCCTCCACATCTTCGTAACCACTGCTCTGGTTCAGTGGTTCAGCAAGTTGCATTACATCCAACTTGGATTTCTGGAATAATCTACTCAATGGACTACCCTGTCTTTCTTGCCCATATTGCAGTCATGAAAATGAGCTTGTAAGATGAAAATGAGATTGTGTCATACCTCACTTCAAGCTTCAGTAGCCCCCTGCTACTTGCAGGAGGAATTTCAATCCCTTAGGTCAGCACTCAAGGCCTTTAGTGCTCTGGCTCCTGCTGCCTCGTTGGCGGCATCTGACCGAATTCGCCTTCCCCATCCTGCCCCCAACACATATGACCACATAAAGACTGCCTACAATTCACCTAACAAGTCAGGATATTCTACAAGTTCTCACTTTTGTGAGATGTTCTCTTGTCCTGAACTTTCCCTCCGCCCCTATCCAACTAACCCTGCTGGAATACAACTCAACCCCTCCTCTGGGAGCCACTCTCACCACACACCATGTACTTTTTCATCAAAGTCCTTCTCAGGGCTGGGTACCATGTCTGAGGTCTATAATCCCAGCACTTTGGGAGGCCAAGGTGGGAGGATTACTTGAGCCTGGGAGGTTGAGACTGCACTGAGCTGTGATTGCACCACTGCACTCCAACCTGAGTGACGGAGCAAGACCCATATTATTATTTTTTTAAGTGTCCTTATCAGGACTTGTCTACCTTCCTGCTGGTTTGGTTCATCAGCTCTCCAAGGCAGGACCTAGATCTTACGTGGTGTGGTCACACGATGCTGCCCAAAGGAGTCATGTGGAGTCAGGCAGGGTTTGAATCCAGTCAAGTGGCCTTAACCAGGTCATCTAACTTCTTCAAGCCTCAGGTTCCTGATCTGTTCAATGAGGATAACAATTGTATCTATTTCATGGATACTTTCGTGAGGATTAAATGAGATATAGGGAGAGTTTAGAATACTGAGTAGATAACAGGGGGCCTTACATTCTTTTCAGTGAATAATTGTAGGATGATGCCTTAGAAAGCACCCCCACTTAAGGGGCACTCAGTACACTTTGCAGAATGATTAAATGGTACACACACAAAACAGACCCCCACACCTCCCAAACCTTCAATGACTTCCCATTGCCCTGAGGTTAAAATGTGGTCTCCTCCACACAACCTACAAGGCCCTCTCTGCACAAAGCTGTCTGCTTTTCCAGACTGGCCGCCCTACATACACATGCTGTGCTGTTCATGCCTCCATGCCATTGATTACACGCTGTCCCCTCTCCCTAGAATGCCTGTCCTACCCCTTTGTCCTGGTTCTGGTGCCCCTTCTCTGTGCATTTACCTTCTCATTTAACACTCGGCATTCTCATCTTCTTACATGCCTTTCTCCCCAGTAGAGGACAGGGATCCTGAGCTCTGCCATTATCTCCCAGCCACTATTGTAGGGACTGACAGACAAAGAAAATAAAATATGTGTTGAATGAAAGCACACAGTATAGAGGCAAAACCAGAGGGTTTTTTGAGCTAGATGGGGAAACTGAGGCCAGAGTAGTTCTCAATGGCTCATTCCCCAAAATGACAGAACTATTTGGATGTCAAACCAACCTGTCCTCACTGCTCTCTCCCTACAAAGGGCTGCTTCTGTGTAACAAAATGAATTTCCCCAGGGTCTCTGGTCTGCTGCAGGTGGAGCATGAGTTTCCAGATACAAGATCTTCTGAGTCCTTGATCATTGGAGTAGAATGCTGCACAGCTCTGCAGATTGAGGGAGTAAAACCATGTGGTGGCCGAAAGAGGTTGCTACATATACAGACTATCTCAGATCCTCAGCCTCAATTTTCCTTCATCTTTCCTTCCTTCCTTTCTTTCTCTCTTTTTCTTTCCTTTCTTTCTTTCTCTTTCTTTCTCTTTTCCCTCCTTGCGTCCCTCCCTCCCTCCCTTCTCTCTCTCTCCCTTTTTTTTTTTGACAGAGTTTCACTCCTGTTGCCCAGACTGGAGTGCAATGGCGTGATCTCAGCTCACTGCAACCTCCGCCTTTCGGGCTCAAGCGATTCTCCTGCCTCAGCCGCTCAAGTAGCTGGGATTACAGGGATGCACCACCTCGCCTGGCTAATTTTCTATTTTTAGTAGAGACGGGGTTTCTCCACGTTGGTCAGGTTGGTCTGAACTCCCGACCTCAGGTGATCAGCCTGCCTCAGCCTCCCAAAGTGCTGGGATTACAGGTGTGAGCCACCGCTCCCAGCTCTTTCTTTTCTTTCCTTCCTTCCCTCCGTCCTTCCTTCCTCTCTCCTTCCTTGTTTCTTTTCTTTCTTTCCTTCCTTCATTTCTCTTTCTTTTCTTTTTCTTTCTTTCCTTTTTTCCTTCCTTCCCTCCCTCCTTCCTCTCTCTCTCCTTCCTCTCTCTTTCTTTTCTATTCTTTCTTTTTCTTGACCAGTGTGATAATATCAGCCTCAATTTTCTTCATTCCTTTAGCTAAAGGATCCCAGGCCTAGGCATGAGGGAGAAGTGTACCTGCATCTCCTTCCCCCTTGGCCTGGGAGCCCCAGGCTGCCCTTTTCCGTACAGGGCTGGAAGTAGCCTGGGAGCCTGAGGGCTGGCAGAAGGCCGTGAAAGGGGAGCTTGGTCGCTGGCACAGCCGCTGCTATGGCAGCCAGAGCCGAAGAAGGTCACCATTGATCTCACATGCACTTAATTTTCCCTTCCTTGGCATGGGACGGGGTTGACCAGGAGAGCTAAGGGGGAGTATGCGTGTGTGTGTGAGAGGGGAGCGGTGCTGCAGGCTGCGATGCAGCCAGTTACTTTCTCTCTCTGGGCCTCAGTTTCTCCAATGTAAAATGAGGGCGCATGGTATAACTAAAATCATTACTCTCTGCTGGTCCCCACACTCCCACTCTCCAGTAAGGCTGTCAGGGCTGCAAGCTCACCGCGGGATCGGGGGGATGGTCGACCCTCAGATACGGGAGGGATTGAGCGATGCCCAAGGAGAGCAGGAGAACACTGCGCTTGGAGACCCCTGAGAGCCAGGGGCGGGCCGCCCCCTAAAGGGACCCCGGAGTCCCGACTCTCAGCTCCAGCTCTTCCTGTGACACCACCCTCCGGACAGAGACCCAAGCTCCAGGCCCGGCCCCGCCCAGAGGTTCCAGGGAGAAGACCAGGCCACCGCCCACTGCCCGGCGTCGGGGAGGAAAGAGGAGGAGCCTCTGTGTGCCCACATCTCTGGCCGCCCAGGGCAGCTCGGCTCGGTCTCGCAACCCCAGCCCACTGGTTCGGGAGACCTCAAAGGCTCCACCGCCAGCGCCCCCAGCGCTCACTGTGTGCGCCCCACCCCAGCCCTGCCTGCGCGCCGCTCCCGCCACCCTCGCCTCAGTCTCTGGGCCGGAAGCCCCCTCTCCTCCCCCGCCGCAGCCCCCTCCTAGTCCCTCTCCCTCCGCCGATGCGGGAAACCTTCTCCGCCCCGTCCCGCCCTCTTCCTCCAGTTGCATCTCCGCCCGGCTCCTCCGTCCAGTCTCCAACCCAGGCCCCGCCCCTCCCCACCCATTTCCCGCCCTGGGCCGGGCCCCCGGCCCCACCGCCCCCTCCCCGGCCCCGCCCCGGCCCCCGGAAGCCTCACCCCGCCCCCGGCCCCGCCCCCCCGAAGTTTCTTGGGCCCCCGGCAGCCGGCGGGACAGAACGCGGAGAGTCGCCGCCTGGCCGGGCGTAGACGCGGTGGCAGAGCCCGCGCGGCGCTGGAAGCGAGTGGCGGAGCGGCGGGACCTCGGCGGACTCGCCATGGAGGAGGAGGTGAGGGCGGGGCCCGGCGGGGCGTTGGGCTGGGGTCCTCGAGCCCCTCACGGGGATTGCGGTCCTGGGCTCAGGCCCTCGTTCCTGCCCGCCCCACTCCCGCCAGTCTCACCTCAGGAAGAGCCTGGGCAAATGGGGCAGGGGCGAGGGGCTGGATCCATATCGGGGACTTCGCAGACCGCGTCCTCCTTCATTCTCGCTGACTTTCTCACCAGTTGTGGGGCGTCGTGGTTGTTACCGTTCCCATTGGATTGACCAGGAGACTGAGACTCCAGCGAGATTGATGACTTGCTGAAAGTGGCCTGGGTGACTGGGCTCGAACCCCGATTACCGTGGTCGGATCCTGACTCTCTCTCTCTCTCTGTGTGTGTGTGTGTGTGTGTGTGTGTGTGTGTCGGATCCTGACTGTGTGTGTGTGTGTATGTGTGTGTTGGGGGGTTCCTGTCTCAAGGATCGGATCCTGACTCTGTGTGTGTGTGTATGTGTGTGTTGGGGGGTTCCTGTCTCAAGGATGTGACCATGCTTTGGTGGCAGGAGGATTGGAGAAGTTGCTTTTTTCTCCCTTGTATAAGTCTCTGTATCTTTTCCCCCACTCTCTCCCCGCTCCACATCCATCTGAGCAGCTAGCTGTAGGGAAGGAATCGGGAGTCCGGCCCACCTAGGGTCTGATCTTAGTCCCTGCCTTCCCCACCCGAGGGCTGGACCAACTGTGTCCCTGGAGCCTCCTTCTAACCACTCAAAACACTCTTGGCCTGGGATTGGGTCTTGCCCCTGCCCCTGCCCTTTACTTGCAAACTCAGTTCTGCCAGCAGCCGCTTTATCCGAGGGTCCAGCACGCAGCAAGCACTTAATATATGCCTGTGGAATGATTAAGTTAAAATGAGGGGCCTGTTGGGTCTAGAGGAAGGTGAATTTGTTTCTTATCCCCTGAGGGGGTCCCAGCTTCAGCCCCTCTCAGCCCAAGGGAAGGGGCATGTCTTTGCCTCCTTGGATGGGGAGGAAAGATGAAGTTCTCTGCCTTGGGGGAACCCTGGCCAGCTGGGAAGCCCTGAGTGGACCGGACTGCCTGTGTCCCTTCAGTGCCCACCTCCCACTTTTCCAGGGCCATGGATAGGAGCAGCTAGTGGTCCGTCAGGGCTCCCTCTAGGCCAGGCCCTGCCTTTCTGTGGGATGGTAGATAAGTCACTTCCCCTCTCAGCCTTCATTTCCTCTTCTACAAAATATAGTGCCTGTCCTCCTCATACTCCTGGCCTGACAGTGGCCGGTTCTCTCAGTGGGTGAAGGTAGGGGGCAAAGTCAGGCCTCTGTGATTTGCTGCGGTTTCTTTCTGGCTGTTAGGTGGGGCTGCCATCTGCCTGCCCCAGGCCCCTGCTGCAAGGGCTGGGCTCTCTGGCCAGGGCCCCTCCCCTGCTCCCAGAGGATGTGGGTCAGGATTACTCCATCTCCTGATCTGCGCTGGCCCCTGATTAAGGGAAGTTCTCCGGACACCTCCTGGGCCCGGCTCAGCTCTGTACACCCTTGGTCCTGAATCTCTCACATTGTCACTTTCTTTTCTTTTTTTTTTTTTTTGAGACGGAGTTTCGCTCTTGTTGCCCAGGCTGGAGTGCAGTGGCGAGATATTGGCTCACCGCAACCGCCACCTCCTGGGTTCAAGCAATTCTCCTGCCTCAGCCTCCTGAATAGCTGGGATTACAGGCATGCACCACCACGCCTGGCTAATTTTGTATTTTTAGTAGACATGGGGTTTCTCCATGTTGGTCAGGCTGGTCTCGAACTCCTGACCTCAGGTGATCCGCCTGCCTCGGCCTCCGAAAGTGTTGGGGTTACAGGCATGAGCTATTGCACCCAGCCTATATTGCCACTTTCTGACTCCTAGATGCCCAAAGCTCTCTAAATATCTGGGCCATCTAAGTTCTTGTCCACTTTACCCAAGCCCCTGCAAGCCTCACCCCCACAGCAGGGGCTTCCTTTCCCTACTCCCCTTTGGCATCCCTAACTCTGCTTTCCTCCCACTTCTCCCAGTAGCTTCCGCTTGTTGCACTAGGCCTCAGTGCCCATCTTTGTTTCTCTAAAACACCTCTTAGGTCATAGCCACATGCTCTGCCCCATGATCCCAGGCCATCTTCATCATCTCTTTCACATGGCTGCTTTCAGCCCTCCTGCTAGCTTTCAGCTTCCTCCCTGTGCCCGGCCACCCTGGGCCAAGGTCCCTCAGCCTCAGTGACCTCCTCTATGCAACGGGCAGGCTGGTAGCTCTTGTCAGGCTGAGGCTTGGGGAGGAGATGCTGGTCTGGGCACTGGGCATCTGCCCACCTGTGTGCTCCTGGCCTCGGTTCCTCCTTTGTAAAAGGAAAAGGGTGGGTGATCGAGCAATGTGATGATGTATATTCAAAAGCTGAGAAAACTGCGAATATCAGTGGGGGTATTATTGCTGCCATTGGAGTAAGGGTGGAAATCCTGGACCTAGGCTTTCCCTTCTGTACTCTGGGGCTCTGTCCTCTGCCAGCAGTCATGCCTTTCCCTGGCTTCTAGGCTCTCCACTTGCCCTCACCATCTAGAGACAAGCAGGGCAGTGTCCTGTCCCAGTACTGTTTCTGTCCCACGGAGTAATCTCTTGCCCTTTCTGGGCTGTACTTTCTCTTTCTATAGTAAAGGGGTTGAGGGGGCAGGGGCTTTGATAACCTTTTGTGCCTTGCCTTCTCTGGACCAAGGCGTGTGTCTCTTCCCCTGCTCAGAGCCCTCCCCAAACCCTACCTTCTGCAGGGGTCTCCCAAACGAACCCCAAGCCCTTATCTCATCAGAGAGCTAGGACCGGTGCATCCCTCTGGTTAAGTGCTATGTCTCTGCCAATAGGCTGGAGCCTCTCAAGCAGGAGATTACCCGCTCCCCACCAGACAGGGGACTTATCTTATACAGCGTCTCTGTTACCCACCTCAGACTGAAGGTTGCCCTGGGGCAGAGCCTGTGCTTCCTCTCTCTCAATGCCCCGGCACAGGACTCTGACACGGTGGATTCTTAGTAGAGTTGGGTCAGAACATCACTGGGTTTTGTCAAAGAGCAAAGGTTGTCATAAGCTTCCTGGGATGTGAGGTGCCAACCAAGTTTCTTCTAGTCTCTGTCTCTCGTAACCTGTGTTGTGGTTCCATCTGTCCCCTTCTGTGTACAGAGTTGAGGTGACCTGGCTTCTTTTTTTTTTTTTTTTTTTAATGAGTGATCCAAGGGAGGCAGGCTGGTGCCTAGGGGTGCCTCAGGAGCTGCTCACAGTGGGCAGGAAAGGGCCTGGGTGAGGAGGGATGGGAGGGGAGAGGGCAAAACAGGAAGAACAGCGGTCAGCTGCTCAGTGAGGAGAGGAGGCCGAGAAACTGGGCTGAGCAGGACAAAACCTCCCCTGTGAACCCTGCCAAGGGGAGGGGCCCCTTATTAAAACTTACTGGGGCATAGCCAGGCCCCCCTGGAGGGAGGGGGTCTGAGGGGCAGGGAAGGGGGCTGGGTGGAGGCAACTAGGACTCTGGCCTCCAGCCAGTCCTCCCCTGGGTGGCTGTTTCTGTGGCTGGGCTGTGGTTCACACCATCTGTAGCCCTTCAGTTGTCCCCTTCTCCATACCAAAGTGCTGTTTCGCCTAGTCCTGCCCTGGTCCCATTCATTCTTCAAGGACCTGGACTTGTTTCTGTAGGTAATCCAGTCACAGTATTCTCTAGGCTACATCAGCCCAGAAGTGACAGTGATCTAGGCACAAGTTCCAGCTGTGGCCCTAGGGAGCTTCCAGAGGGTAGAAAGTTTTCAGGAGAGGTCATGAGTGGAGAGAGTTTAGAAAGGGGTGTGAGATCCCTTGGGGTGGTGGGTGGGTCCCCTGAAAGCAAGAGGCGAGCTTGGAGCTCAGAGGTGGGTGGCTGGGCAACAGCTTCACACTCCACAGACCTCACTGCCTTGTTTAAGAGAAACCAAGAGTCTGCCCATCAGGTGGAAGGCCTGGCAGGGGCTGGTGGTGCTGTCCTTGCTGTTGCCGTTGCAGTAGGAGGGTTGTCAGTGTGAAATGTGGGGGTGGGGTTTCCCATTTCCCTGTTCTTCCCTTCTAGCCCTGGGCCTATGACAGCCTGCAGGGCTCGCTGAAGTAGTGTTAGGGCCCTGGGGGTGTCAGTGGTGATGTGGGGAATGGGAGTTGAGTGCATGATGGAATGGGAGAGCCTTTCCCTTCTTGTCAAAGGGTGCTGAAATCCCTCTTCTCCTGGACAGGGTGGCTCATAATCGGCCAGCCTTCTACTTCCTTGTTCCTATATCTGGGAAGACCTTTTTTTTTTTTCGGAGACAGGGCCTCATCCTGTTAACCATACAAGAGTCCAGTGGTGCAATCTCGGCTCACCACAACCTCCGCCTTCCTGGCTCAAGGGATTCTCCTGCCTCAGCCTCCTGAGTAGCTGGGATTACAGGCGTGCGCCACCACCGCCCGGCTATTTTTTGTATTTTTAGTAGAGTTGGGGTTTCCCCATGTTGGCCAGGCCGATCTCAAACTCCTGACCTCAAATGATCTGCCCATCTCGGCCCAAAGTGCTGGGATTACAGGCATGACCCACCATGCCTGTAGAAGAAGACCCTGGGAAGATCATTTGGACCACCCCACTTCCCCATTTCTCTTGCCATCTACAAGTTAGGGAGAGACCCCAAGGTGGGACCCCACATTCCTGGAGCTCCTGGAGATCTGAGGCCAGCAGCTATAGACCAGAAAGGGCTTGTCCTGACTTGGGAACTGGGCCCAGGGAGAGGGTCCCTGAGAGCCAGAGAGGATGGCAGTGACAATAGTAACAATAATGACAGCTGCCGTTTACTAGGTTTAGGGCATCCTGGGAACTGCTCTATATGCTTTGTCTTTACTCAGCAACAAATGTTTATTGAACACTTACTATGTGCCAGTCACTGTCTAGGAACTGAGGGTACAGGAGTGAACAAAACAAAAATCCTGCCCTCGTGGAGTTGGATTCCTTACAACTTCTGCTGTTAGTAGCTGCATTTCACAGATGAAGAAACTGAGGCTCAGAGAGGTTAAGTGGTTTGCTTCAGTCTGCATGACTGCAGCTTCTAAGCCCAGATTCCCCACCACTAGAATGCGCAGTTCAAAAGGGGGTGGGGGCCCACAGTGAGAACCAGGCTGGGGTTCCCCTGCCATGACAGAGACCAGGGAAGCCAGGTCTTCCCAGCTCCTGACAGTGCACCACGCTTACATCTGTCTGGGCTTGTTCTTCCAAAGGCAGCTGTGGCCACAGGATATCCCTGGGGAGAGGCACACCTCTTTTAACTGGGGCCCCTTTTTTGAATTTTATGTAAATTATAACGTAGTCAAAATTAGTCCATGCTAATTTCCTTCTAGCAGCCTCTAGATTCTGACACATTCTTGATCCCCTCTCCTTCACCCCCCACTTCACACTCACGACTCTGGGTACCTATCAGTGAAGCAAAGTGGTTAGCAAAGGGTGTGTATTTTTATTTTCATTTCACGCGTACCTCTTGAGCACCCATTATGTGTAAAAGAACAGGGCTGGGTGCTGGGGACCCAGAAGTGGATCTGACCCCAACCTTATTTGGTAGGCATGTATCTGGCACCCAGCCACCCAAGCAGGCAATCAATGAGGCACAAGATGTCAGTAGCTGGCCCCAAGGCTCCAGGGTGTCTACCCAAGTCCAAGAGAAGGGCTTGAATTTAACTCCTGTGCCAGCCTGTGGTCAAAGACAGAGTCCTTGGAACCCTCACCAGATGTGGTGGCCACCCTAAGGTCCTTGCCTGGAGTGGGGAGGAGGGGAGAGGAGCCTCCTGCTTTGGGTGGGAAGCGGAAGGGGCTGCAGAGTGGGTTCTCTAGAAGCATAGCGGTAGAGAGGCAGATTGCCACTCAGCCTGCCTGTCCTTCCAGTCTTTGTTCTGGGTGGCCTTCCTGGGCCACCCCAACCTGAACTGGGTCCCCCACTGTCCTCTCGCTGCCCTTTGTGTGTTTCCTGTATAGCATTTCACACAGGTTGATGGGTATGCCTGGGTATTTATTTGTTCAGCTCCTATTTTCCCGCACTGTGAGCTCTGAGGACAGAGACTGCCTTACTTTTATTCTCCTGTGATGTTGTAAGCACTCAGTACATTTGTTGACTGATTGAATGAACACATGGAAGCAGAATGGTGGAGTGGGAAAAACGTGGGGTCAGAGAGACCTGCTTTGAATTCTGGCTCTGTCCTCTAGCAGTGGTTTGCCACTCTGTCGAGTCATCCTCCATTCTGAGCTTTAGTTTGCTATGACATGTGGATAATGAGGCTACCATCTTGGAGGGGAGTTGTAAGAGTGAAATGACACTATGTGTATCAAATGTTATACAGTGGCTCAGAGTAAAGTGGCTGCTGCTATTATTGTTGTTATTAGCTCTGATCCTGGGTTAGGAATATCTGCCTTGGGGGTTGTGGGGAAGCTCACATATTATGATGTCATTAGGTACTTAGCCTAGGGACACATCCCTTGTGTGACCTATGAACCTGTGACCTGTGACCCCATGGTAGCAACCCTCATGGTATGAACTGGTGCTGTGTTACAGGGTGTGAAGGAAGCCGGTGAGAAGCCTCGGGGAGCACAGATGGTGGACAAGGCTGGCTGGATCAAGAAGAGCAGTGGGGGCCTCCTGGGTTTCTGGAAAGACCGATATCTGCTCCTCTGCCAGGCCCAGCTGCTGGTCTATGAGAATGAGGTGAGGACCTGCTTGGCCCTGAGATTGGGGGTTCTGGGACAGGGGCAAAGTGAGGGCATTCAAGTTAGTAGGAGGACCCTGGGTCTGGGGCCAGAAGACCTGCTCTACTTTTGCCATGCTGTGCAACCTTGAGCGAGTACCTAATCCTCTCTTGGGTCTCTGTATATGGGGATAATACCTCCGAGGACAAATCTAGGGTTTCTAGATGAGAGTTCTTTTCTTATTTTTTTAAACTTAATTCTTTTTTTTTTGGTGATGGAGTCTTGCTCTGTCACCAGGCTGGAGTGCAGTGGCGAGATCTCGGATCACTGCAACCTCCGCCGCCTGGTTCAAGCAAAGCAATTCCTCTGTCTTAGCCTCCTGAGTAGCTGGGACTATAGGCATGCATGCCACCATGCCCAGCTATTTTTTGTTTTTGAGAAAGAGTCTCGCTCTGTAGCCCAGGCTGGAGTGCAGTGGTGCGATCTCAGCTTACTGCAACCTCCATCTCCTGGGTCCTGGTTCAAGCAATTCTCCTGCCTCAGCCTCTGGAGTAGCTGGGATTACAGGCATGCACCACCATGCCCAACTAATTTTTTGTATTTTAGTAGAGACAGGGTTTCACCAAGTTGGCCAGGAGAGTCTCAATCTCTTGACCTCGTGATCCACCCACCTTGGCCTCCCAAAGTGCTGGGATTATAGGTGTGAGCCACCACGCCTGGCCCTCTTTTTTTTTTTTGAGATGGAGTTTCGCTCTTGTTGCCCAGGCTGGAGTGCAATGGCACGATCTCAGCTCACTGCAACTGCCGCCTCCCAGGTTCAAACAATTCTCCTGCCTCAGCCTCCCAAGTAGCTGGGATCACATGCGTCAGCTACCACACCCGGCTAATTTTGTATTTTTAGTAGAGACAGGGTTTCACCCTGTTGGCCAGGCTGGTCTCGAACTCCTGACCTCAGGTGATCCACCCACCTCCGCCTCCCAAAGTGCTGGGATTACAGGCGTGAGCCTGCGTGCCCAGCGGAGAGTTCTTTGAACTGTATGTGCATCTAGTGTGCAAGTCTTTTCCTGTCCCTGGGCAAGGTTCCATATGAGTGAATGTTATGGAAAACTGAAGCCTGCTCCATTCAGCAGTGGTAGTAGAAATAATAATTAGCAGGCCGGGTTGTAGTGGCTTACACCTATAATCTCAGCACTTTGGGAGGCCGAGGCAGGCGGATCACCTGAGGTCAGGAGTTCTAGACCAGCCTGACCAACGTGGAGAAACCCCATCTCTACTAAAAATACAAAATTAGCCGGGTGTAGTGGTGCATGTCCGTAATGCCAGCTACTCAGGAGGCTGAGGCAGGAGAATCACTTGAACCTGGGAGGTGGAGGTTGCAGTGAGCCGAGATCATGCCATTGCACTCCAGCCTGGACAACAAGAGTGAAACTCCATCTCAAAAAAACAAAAAAATAATAAGTAGCACTCGTACTTGTTTGGAGATATGCTCTTACATATCTCCCTATGACAAATTGCAATAGTCCCATGAGAGTGGTCTTCATGTTAGATTTTTACAGAAGAGGATACTGAGGCTCAGGGTGACAAGATGACTGTTCAGCATCTCCCAGTGAATGGAGGAGTTAGGTCTAGAAGCAAGTCCAGCGTGCTTTCTACCAAGAGACGCCAGCAAGTAAACTCCAAAACTTATTTTTGTTAGAAAATCTCTAAAATATGTTAAATATTCTCCGCTTTCTTCAACAGAAGATTCTGGCCTAAATAAAATCTTTCCCTGGTGGCTCAGTGTCATCACCTGTCAGACCCACCTGCAGAGTGGGTTCTCTAGATGCACAGGGGTAAAGAGGCAGATTGCCTCTCTGTTTTGAACTGGCAGGAGGCTGTACTTCTCATCTTTTCTTTCTCCTTTAACATCAAGCTGCTGGTTGCAACTTCTGCTGTCCTTGTGCCTCGAATAGCCCTCACTTCTTCCCACTTCAGATGCTTGTTCCCCTTCTGATTTCAGCAGGCTTGGGATTTGGACAACCAAGGATGCTAAGCTTGCGTGTTAACTAAGAGTCAATTAAGATGTAGGTGAAGACTTGAGGAAGAAAAGTGGTTTTTACTTGTAGATGCTATTTGTGTGCTGTGGTTGAGGCTATCGGAGGGCCCATCCACTGAAAACAGGGTAGCAATATATGCCTTTGACAAATGAAATACCTGGGGAAGAATTGGCCTGGGGGCAGAAGGGGGAGCCTGCCTCTTCCTCATCCACCTCTCCCAGCCTGCCTCAGGCTATCTTGGCAAATTCACAGTTGTCCCAGGACAAGAAAGATTAGGCAACCTGGATCCAAAGTGTTTAAAGGAGCTGCCTCGGAGAAACACCTTGTCTGACCTACCTGAGTTGCTGGCTCGTGGAGTTTGTTTGGGTGTCAGAGAAGCAGTGGGAAGAGGGCAAGGGAATGAGGGTGCGTAGACAGCACCCCCAGATGTTCTCTACTGCTGCTCCCACCAAAATAGGATGTGCCACAGTTGAGAATGAGGCAGCAGGGGGACCTTTTTTCCAATAAAGGGGGTTGTCACAGCTTCTTCCAGTGCCAGCTGCCATGAGATTTAAGTAACAGGCTTCAGCTGTCAGCCTGTCAGGTACTGTCAGACTTGTCCTAAACTGCCTCTCTGCATCTGGCCACAGCTGGGAAGCAGGAAGGATTTCACATCTCCCAAACATGAAAAATCTAAATCATGCTTTTTTCCCCTTGTTTGAAAAAGATTGCTATTAAAAATGTAAATGCAATTTCAGGAACTTAACACTTAGGGGTGGGGGAGCTTGGCCCTGGAGTAGGAATTGAGAAATGCTTATTAGCTCAATTCCTCTTTCTGATGTAAGGAACTAGGCGAATGCGAATGGCTCTTGGCTGTTTCTTTGCTGTCAGAGAGGCTGACATTCCAAAGATGCTTCCCTCACCCATTGCCTACTGGTTTATCCGTTTTTCTGAGCTGCAGAAGAGCTGGGATGATTCAGCGTCTTGGGGTGGGGTGGAGAGGAGACCCAGGACAGGCAGCTATTGGGAGCTTAATGGTAGAGGTGGATGGACTTTTTGTTCCCAGGCAGAGGAGGGTGTATTCGGGCCAGTGGCGGTCCAGTTAGTGGAGGCCTGTGGACACGGGGCAAGTAAGCTGCTCTCTCTCAAGCAAGGATTCTTCCCCGGGCAGTTTCCCTGCTCCAGATTCCCGGGGAGGAGGAGACTTCCTGAGTTCTCAATCTGGATAAGGCACTCAGAAAACTGGTCCTACATATGTTCTGCTTGAGGGCTGCTGCTTGTAGGGTGCAGTTGGGGGAACAGAAGGATAAGCAGATAGATACACAGAGAATGGGGTAGAGAAAGATGGCCAAGCAGGGAGTCAGGACTGTGTTTTCCCATGGCAGGACTCGGCTCCTAGCACCTCATAGGGTGTCTGCATCTTGCAGGTGTTTTGTAGATGTTTGCATCCCCCTGGCAGTAAATGATGGGATGGAGAGCACTCAAGTTCAGGGGTTCATGGTTGGGGGCAGGGGAGTTTCTCAGAGCAAGAGGATTTTTCTGGTCCGTCTGTTTAGTTGAGGAATCTGGAAGGTACTGGAGGCTAGAGATTGGAAAGGGATGTATGGATGGAAGCAAAAATGAGAAAAGATACTTGATTTAACCTGGTTGGGAGAGATAAGGCCACCTTGGCCATCTCTTCCCCTTTCTCTGAGGGGCTGACGAGAGAGTCGATTAGTAGTTATCCACATTAGATATACAGTCATCTGCTTTAAAATATCCTGAGGTCTGGGCCTTGCACCCCAAGAGATTGTGGTATAATTGGTCTGGGATGTCGCCTGGGCATTGGGGTTTTTAAAAGCTCCCAGGTGCCACCAAGGCTGAGAACCTCTGGTGTAGAGCAGTGGTTCTTTTTTTTTTTGAGAAGGAGTCGCCCTCTGTCACCCAGGCTGGAGTGCAGTGGTGCTATCTCGGCTCTCTGCAGCCTCCGCCTCCTGGGTTCAAGCGATTCTTCTGCCTCAGCCTCCTGAGTAGCTGGGACCACAGGCTCATGCCACCATGCCCAGCTAATTTTTGTATTTTTAGTAGAGACAGGGTTTCATTATGTTGGCCAGGCTGGTAGCAGTGGTTCTTAACTGTTCGCATCCAGGCCAGGCTTGGTGGCTCATGCTTGTAATCCCAACTCTTTGGGAGGCTGAGGCAGGTGGATCACTTGAGGTCAAGAGTTCGAGACCAGCCTGGCCAACATGGTGAAACCATGTCTCTACAAAAATTAGCCGGGCGTGGTGGTAGGCACCTGTAATCCCAGCTACTCGGGGGGCTGAGGCCGGAGAATCGCAGGTACCCAGGAGGCAGAGGTTGCAGTGAGCCGATATCATGCCACTGCACTCCAGCCTGAGCGACAGAGTGAGACTCTGTCTCAAAAAAACAAAAAACAAAAAAAATTCGCATCCATCAAAATCCCTGGGGGCTAGTTAGAACGCAGATTGCCAGGCCCACCCTCTTAGGTGTAATGATTGAGTGGGGATGAGGCCTGGGGGTTTGCATTTCTTTTTCTTTTTCTTTTTTTTTTTTTTTGAGACAGAGTCTCGCTCTGTTGCCCAGGCTGGAGTGCAGTGGAGCGATCTTGGCTCACTGCAAGCTCCGCCTCCTGGGTTCACGCCATTCTTCTGCCTCAGCCTCCCAAGTAGCTGGGACTACAGGTGCCCGCCACCACGCCCGGCTAACTGCCCGGCTAATTTTTTTTTGTATTTTTTTTAGTAGAGATGGGGTTTCACTGTGTTGGCCAGTATGGTCTCGATCTCCTGAACTCGTGATCTGCCCGCCTCGGCCTCCCAAAGTGCTGGGATTACAGGTGTGAGCCACCGCACCCAGCCGGGAGTTTGCATTTCTAACAAGCTCTCAGGTGGTGCGAATGCTGCTGGCCTAGGTCCCAACCTTGGAGGACCCCTCGTGCAGAGCAACCTACTGCCTGTGACTGGAAGGAGTGTGCTGTGCTGGAAAGGGCCCTGGCCTGGGAGTCAGAGGCTGTGGTTTGAGTTGGGGCCCTGCCCCTTATATTTGGGTCTGTGTGCCTAGGGCAAATCCCTTCACCTCCAGGCCTCATTCTTTCCTTCTAAAATGAGGCAGATATGGGGCTGCAGGCTTTCAGGGTTATTGTGAGGTTCAGAGACTCAGGGATGCAGAAGTGCTCACTAAGTGTCAGATTTCTTCTGTTAAACATCAGCAAGGGTTTCCTTAACTTTTTGGCCCGTCCCAGGGTGGTGTACCCTCCCCCACCAAAGGATCTGCTTCTGCTTCCCTGGACTCTCCTGGATGACAGAGTGCCACACCCAGGAAGTTGTTCCAGTTGGGTCTTCCCTGGAAGAGGACCAGTTGACCACCACTGAGGGAGGAGCTTTTCCCAGGCAGCTTGCTGGACAGGCACCTGATGGGTGGAGCCTGTGGAGAAAACACTCAAATGTCAGGAGTGGTGGGCAGGAAGACAGTCTGGCTGGTGTCCAGAGATGGCCGGGAAGAGGCTGGGCACTGTTCTGGCCACTGGCCCTCCTAATGATGAGGCCTCCGAGTGGTGGGGTGGGGATGGGATGCGCTTCAAGGAGCCCTTGCCTGTTGCTTGTATGTAGCCTGCAGCCTTGGATGAGGTGCTGCTCTCCCAAGCCAGGGCTCCGCAGGGGGTGATGCTGAGTGAGGAGCACAATTCAGGATGGCTGTGCTGAAGGCAGGGCATGTAGCCCCAAATTTGCCTTGTTCACACTTCCCTCTGGCTCTTCCTGGAAAGTCGTTGTCCCCCGTCCCCATCCCACTCCCTGCCTGCCATTTTGTGGCATCCTGCATTCTTCTTCTGGCTTTCTCTTCCACAGATCTCTGCCTGGCCTCTGGGCATGGCTGGACCCCAGACAGCCTTTTCTTATCCTCTCTAGCTTCCCCTCTGTTTCCTCCTCTGGCCTTAGGCACATACGCGCCTCTGGGCTATGTGCCCATCTCCCATCTGGATGGGGAGCCTTGTGGGCATCCCTCCAGCCAGCATGCACTTGCCAGGGTCTGGACACCACATCTTGGTGACTGATTGGCAGCCTGAGGTCCTCCCTCTAACCAAGTGATGTCCTCGCTGAGTGGGATCAGGGTCTGGGACATGAGTAGTTGAGGGTGGTGGTGGGTCTGACTGTCACCAGCTCATGTCCCTTCTGTCTCCCTCCCCAGGATGATCAGAAGTGTGTGGAGACTGTGGAGCTGGGCAGCTATGAGAAGTGCCAGGACCTTCGTGCCCTCCTCAAGCGAAAACACCGCTTTATCCTGCTGCGATCCCCAGGGAACAAGGTAGGGCGATGCCTGCTGCTGCCCCATCTCCCTCTAGCCCAGAGTCAGCTTGGGAGGCCTAAGCAGGTTTAAGGCAGGCCTGGCCCCTTGAAAAAGCCTGTTTTCCGTTGCGTGTGGCTGAGGCTCAGCCCTAGCAGCCACCATAGGTCAGACCTTTGCTCATTTTGTCTCGGAATCTTCCAAGCCCCTAGTTGATAAGAGATGCACTTAGGGCTCTGTTGAGAGACCTCTGCTCCCCTTTTCCTCTTGCAGGCCCAGGGCCTCCATCCCAGGCTGTAGTTGGAAAGTAGCCTTTGGGAGGTGGGGCACTTGGCTGTACCCCAGACCCTGGGGGAGGCCCAGGGCTGAGGCAGGAGAGCTGTGGTTGAGGCCTCCACCCTGCCAGGCCTCAACACCGTGATGCAGCCTGGGGCAGAGGGGGAGTGTGTGGCCTCCCTTCATCCCAGGCCTTTGTGGGTGGGCCCACCCTGGACTAAGGACTAGGAGGCCTGCAGCCCCCCAGCTTTCCTCCCCTTGCACTTTCCTTTCTTGGCTGTAGCTGGGGAAGGTCCCTGGCTTGAGAGAGTCTTTCCCTGGGACATGCTGTGTGTACAGATGAAGTTTGCTGTTTGCACCACATTTCTCTGGCGGGGAGTCTGGTGGGTGTTGACACATGGTGTAGCTTCACAGATGTCAGGAGCGAGTTCAGATTTGAGGCTGGCATGCACAGCACCTCTCGCCAGCTTGCACCCATCTGCGGCTGGGCCATTCCTTGCCTTGTCCTCTGCATGTCATGTGGAGCCTCGCAGAATAGGGCTGAGTCACAGAGGCTGGGAGTTGGGGAGCAAGTCTGGTCTGGGCCTGCTGGAGGCCATTCTGTTTCTCCCCCAGCTTTAGGGGATAGGAGCCCAGTCCTCTGCAGACCCTGAAGACCACAATGCTTTACTCATTGACCCTTTGTCCTACTGTGCAGGGGGTGGGGGCGCAGAAGCAACCAAGATAGCAGTGGAGGGGGCTGTGGAGCTGTGATACTAGGGAGCTGGAAGTGTATCCCAGGGTAGCGGCTGGTATAATTATAGTGTTATGAGGGCTCATGGGACTGGGCCCAGGTTTCACTTGACATCTGCTGCTTAGGGCTCTTTGAGGACAAAAAGAGTCACATTTTAATCTTTTCAAGGCCTGGAGCCCCTACCCTGTCCTGGAGACCCACTTCCTTCCTGAGTGGGCACTGTATATGTGGATGTGTGTTTGAGAGAGATGAGATGCAAAGTATGTTCTGTGTGAAGATCTGCCACCTGTGTGTCTGGCCCTTATGTGTGTATCTTTTTTTAATGCAGGTGAGTGCTCACCTGGCCGTGTGTCTGTCTGGGTGTGTGTCTTAGTATGCTATGTGGATGTGGGGTGGAGGGGGACCTAGCCTCTCTGGCCTCTGCCTGTGCTGTTCTGTGGGCCATCTCTTCCCCAGCTCTGAGAATCAGCTGGTGATAGACTAGGTGGGCTTGGCTCAGCTCAGGGTGGGACATCACCTTCAGAGAAGCCTGTTTGTGCAGCTGTGTTCTCAGCTGCTTCAGCCAACACCCTCCCTACCAGCCCCCAACCCTGCAAGAATTTAGGCTGGCTCTGAGAACAGGACAAGAATTTAGGCTGGCTCTGAGAACAGGAGATGGGGCTGTGGAGCAAGTGGTGGGTGCTGCGGATGAAACAGTGCATCCTGGTTCCAGCTCAAGGGTCCCTGACCCTCCCCACCCCAGGAGCTCACACAGATTGGGGCTCTCCAGAGGTCAGTTGGTGGACCTGGCCCAGGGCACCACATTCCCACATCCTCTCACCCTCCTTTCTCAGCAGCCTGGGTGTTCCCCGTCCTCAGTGAGGCCTCCAGCCGGCCAGGAGGTCACATGACCCTGGCTGTCTGGTCCTGAGGCCGCCTTTTTTCCCCTCTAATCAAATAAACAAAGACTCCAATGTCTTACATGCCCCTCTCCCCCTGCTTCTCCAGCCCCACACCCCTGCCCATGAGGTCACAGGCAGACGCTGCCAGGAAGCAGGGTGGCCACTGCTGGGCCTTGCTGCCCTGCTGGTCTCAGCCAGCTTGGCCCTTTCCTCTTTCCTGCCTCCTCTCTTCCCCTCCCACTTTTTTCCTCTCTGCCATTTTGTCCTTAACCTTTTCCCAGGCCTTGTGGGCCTAGTCTGTGGCCAGTCCTGTTAGCATCTAAGCTCCTAGCAGTGCCTATGTCCCTGGGGCTTCTTGGAAGTTCTCAGGGCAGGGACCTGTACAGCCTGTGGCCCTTCAGGATGGTTTTTGGGGAGAGGCACAGCTTCTTGGTATTCTTATTTTTTGAGACAGGATCTCACTCTGTCACCCAGGCTGGAGTGTAGTGGCATTATCTCAGCTTGCTGCAACTTCTGCCTCCTAGGCTCAGGTGATCCTCCCACCTCAGCTTCTGAGTAGCCGGGACTGCAGGCACACACCGTCATGCCTGGCTAATTTTCATATTTTTTGTAGAGATGGGGTCTCACTATGTTGCCCAGGCTGGTAACTTCTTGGTATTCTAATTGTTTCTATTGTGGTCATCCTTGTGGAATGCCTGGCTCGTTCAGCCAGATACAGGGTTCCTTAGGAGGGTGGAGCTGGGTCCTGTTTAACCTTGTCTTCCTTCTCCTGTGGGAGCCTTTTGGCTTGCACAATAGGTCTTCTCTGAGGCCATTTCTGCTTCTCACAAGGGAGCAGAAGAGAGCCGAGGCAGCCTGCTTCAGGTGGGCTGGGCCAGTGGGGAAGGAGCTGCAGTTTGGGCTGGGTCCAGTGGTTCTGTTCTTGTCCCTTTGAGGTCCAGAGTAATGAAGCGAGTAGAACTTGGTAATCTGACTTCTAGGCCTGCTCTTCTCTGGCCTCCTCTTGTTCCATTGGCTCCTGAGTTCAGCTGTACACTTTTCAAGCTCCCTGGATGCTAAATCCTGTACCATGCAGGGGTCACACCAGCTCTGAGCCTGTGAATAGGAGGAGCAGCTGGGTAGAAGGGCTGGCCCCAGACTCCCTTTCTAGCAGGTCCCGTCACAGAGTTGGGTGGCCTTAGCGACCCCAGATGCAGTGTGGTCTGTCTCTGAGCCCCCAGCAGCCCTGATGGCTGAGCTGAGGCAGTTGCCAAGGTGCCCTGGGGTTTCTGACTTAACTGAAGATCTGCTTCCAGGATCAAATTTACCCTGGTCATGCAAATGAGCATTTGGCTGTGCCTGGCATGGTGGGGGTGGGACCCAGGGCCCTGCATGAGGAGGAGGCAGTGGCAGCCAGGAGGAAATTATATAATGAGGATGCTGAGGGGGCCAGGCCGACCTCGGTGTTACATAACTGGAGAGTGGAGGGAGGGGAGGTACTATCTAACACCAGGGTGGAGGATGGGCAAGCTGGCGACCGCCAACAAAGAACTAGGGCATCTTGAGGTCAGAGAGTAGGCAGTGGTCCAAAAATGGTGAGGGAAGGAAACTTGAGCCAGTTCATTAATTTTTTGGCTCATTCATTCAAGAACTATTTACTGAGCACCTACTATGTGCCAGTCCCTGCTTTTAATCATGTTTAATTTCCCCATCATTGCTTGGTAGTAGGCAGTGTTATCCCATCTTACAGACGAGGAAACAAACTGTTTTGTCCAGAGGGAAGGCAATGGTGCTAATTCCTATTACTGAGTATTCACTCTGCCTAGCTCCAGATTTAGTACTTTAGATATATCTTTTTTCCCTCAATTAAAAAATAAAAAACTGTGGTAAAAAAAAATTTACCATCTTTTCCAGTTTGAAATTGCACAATTCAGCGGCATTAAATACATTCATGGTGTTGTACAGCTATCACCACCATCCATCACATAACTCTCCATCGTGTAAAACTAAAACTCTATGCCCATTAAATAATAATGCCCCATTGCCCCTCTCCCCAGCCCCTGGCAACCACCACTCTCCTCTCTGTCTCTATGATTTTGACAACTCTAGGTACCTCATATAGGTGGAATTGTACAGTTTTTGTCTTTTTGTGTCCAGCTTATTTCACTTAGCACAATGTTTTCAAGGTTCATCCCTGTTGTAGCATGTGTCAGATTTTTCTTCCTTTTTAAGGCTGGCTGATAATCCATTGTACGTATGGACCACATTTTGCTTATCCATTCATCTGTCAGTGGACACTGAGGTTGCTTCCACCTTTTGGCTGTTGTGAACAATGCTATGAGCATGGGTGTACAAATTGGATACATCATTTTAAAAATGATCTTCATGGCTCCATGAGGCAGGTTCTGGTGGTATTCTCTTTTACAGTTGAAGAAACTGAGGCCTGAGGTCAGACACCTGTAAGTGGTGGACTGTCCTGCTCAGAGGCCCTACTGCCTTGTCCACTGCGTGAGGCAGCCCCTCAGTTTCCATGACCTCACTCCTTCCTCTTATTTCCTGTCTGGCCATTGGGCCTGGCAGGGTCAGGGTTCTCTGAGCCACCCTCTGATTCTAACAGGAGCTCAGAGCTCCTACCTGAATTGGGAAAGGACTCATGGGTGGTGTGGGGTGGGTTTGAATGTAGACTGGGGCTATTCCTACTTTTCAGAGTAAACGGAAGCCCAGAGCCCAGGCAGCTGGCCTGGGGGAGTCCCATGGAGCTGGACCAGATCCGGGCTCTTTCCACAAGGCCAGGCTGATTCGAATCTAGACCCAGCTGCATACTGGTGGGCAGTGGGGAGGGCTTCTCTGTGAGATCTTTCCCTTTCCTGGCCCAAAGCCCCAGTGTCATACTTAACTGTGGGGTCATTTTGGTTTGACTTTGGGATCTAGGTAAGGAAGCCTCCTTAAGATGCCAAATGTGAGCTTTGTTAAACATCTGCCATCTACTCCATCCATCTTGCCCACAGGTCAGCGACATCAAATTCCAGGCACCCACCGGGGAGGAGAAGGAATCCTGGATCAAAGCCCTCAATGAAGGGATTAACCGAGGCAAAAACAAGGCTTTCGATGAGGTGCGATGCAGTCTGTGGACATGGACAGCTCTGTGTCTCCTTTCCCACTGCGTGTGATCTAGGAGAGGACCCTGCCCCTCCTTACCCCAGACTACCCCTTGATTATGTCACTGCTATGGGGCATTGTTGTTACCTTCTATAGTCCTCACTACAGCCCCTCATAGTAGGTGGTGCTGTCCTTGTTTTACAGATGAAATGGAGGCCTAAGGAAATTAAGTAACTTGTCTTAAACTGGAAAGCAGATAAGTGGTGGGCTGGAACTAGACTGGTGGCAGCATGCATCCTTTCTAAGCCTGGCCTCAGCTGGAAGCAGCAGGTGGGCCCAGGCCAGAGAGTGCTGCAGAGTGAGCCGACAGCTCCCTTTTCAGTTTGACCATGAAGTCCAGGGCAGGCTGGCTCTCAGCTCTGGGCCTCCCTCTCTGTCTGCAATGACCATTCAGCCCTGCAGACCTCAGCCCCCTGTGCTGTACTGGGGACTGTGGCAACAGTAGCCACAATCTGGCTTGGGGCAGGCAGAGCATCCCATGGGGCCAGGATCTCCTAGGAAGATTTGTCTTTGACATCACGGATCTTTGGTTATTTGGGCTAAAATGGACCTGGGGGCCACCTACAGTGATGCCTTGGATTATGTCAAGGAGCAAATCTTCCCAAGCAAGTCCCCTCTTAATACCCAGGTTCCCCGACTCCCAGCCCATAGCTCCTATGTCGTGTCCTGTGTTACATGTCATGCTCAGCCCTTCACTACCTAGGGGAAAAGTGTCCCCGTTCCACGGGAGAGGGATGATGGGACATATCATAGATATTGGGGGAGGCCATAGGAGCCATGGGCTGGGCCTCAGCCCACTGAGGGACAGAGGGACAGAGGGACAGAGACAGCTGGAGTCACATGTGGGCCTGAGCCCCCACTCCCCATCATAGGGCCAGGCTGCTCCAGGGTTCTGAGTCTGGACCTCCCATGTGACTCTTACTCTGAGACTTCCCAGCCAATCCTGACCCCTTCTGTTACCCTCAGAGAGAAGATGCTGACCTCCAGGCTCCCAGACTCAAGGGGCAGAGGCCCTGCTCTCTCTCTGGGCTCTCTCCAGGGGTCCTGGGAGGGTGGCAGAGGCCAGGGCAGACCTTTTCCAGAAACCAGGTACCAGGGGAGCATAGGCTGCTTTCAACCTTCTCTCCTAGCTAAGCCCCAAAGCCACCTCAGGGCTGCTTATATATTTGTGATATACTCAGGGGCAAGGGCCGATGGCCCATATTTGGGCAGGAAGACTGAGGCAAATGGCAGCTGCAGAGAGGGAGAGCCTCAGACTTTGCAAGAGACTCCAGGGGCATTGCAGAGTTAGAGAAGCAGAGGCCAGGGCAGGGAGATTCCCAGAGAGGGCAGCGGTGGGGCACTGACCCTGGCTCTGAGCCAGGTCCGCCCTGGCTACTTCCCACACTCCCCAAGGCTTGGCAGGGGCTGATCTGGTTCCCCCTCCCTCCAGGTAAAGGTGGACAAGAGCTGCGCCCTGGAGCATGTGACACGGGACCGGGTGCGAGGGGGCCAGCGACGCCGGCCACCAACGAGAGTCCACCTGAAGGAGGTAGGGCCTTACCCAGTGTGGATGTTGGGGTTAGTTGAGCCTAGGACCTCAGCTCCTCTGGGCGGCAGCCAGGCTTGGGGCCACATTTTTCCTGAGGACACCTGGAGCTGGGGCTTCCTGAGGAGTAGACAGGAAGTGATGGGGCACCTGTGTTACACGTGCTCAGGGTATGGATGTCCTTGAGCCTGTAGCCTTTTCCATTTGTTCAATCCACACACAAATGTTGAATCTGTCCTTAGCCAGAGTTGGTGCCAGAGGGAAACTGAAGCCCATGAGGCCAGTCCCTGCCCCTCAGAGCTCGTCTTCCAGCTGAAAAATAGGCCTATCCCACAGACTGCTCCATGCAAAGCTGTGTCTGATTTTTGTGCGGAGGAAGGAAGGCTCTAGGAGGTCAGGGCAGGAGGGACCACAAGGAGCCACTGGCATTTTAGCTGACCCTTGAAGGATGGGAGGGGTTCACTTGGTGGACTTGGAGTCAGGGGATTCTCTGTGGAGGGAGTGCTGTGAGCTGAGGCACAGCGGGAGGGTTTGAGGTATGCGGAGCAGCTCCATTTGCCTGGGAGATGGGTCTGAGAAGGGGGTTGTGGGGAGGAAATTGTGGAGGCCTTGGTGAAGAAGCTGGAGACAAGGAAGGGAGAGTGCGTTTCAGAGGTCAGTTTGAGGCTCTGGGTAGGATGGGTTGGGTTGAGAGAGGGAAAGGCAGGGGCCAGGAAGGAGGTGGGGGAGGCGGCTTTCCAGGCCCCTGGAGGGGATGAAGAGGGAGGGGTTGATGGGAGGATGTTAGGAAGCAAGAGCCACCTGGGCTTGTGATTGAGTCAGGGGATTGGACCAAGGGAAGGTTGTCTGAGGTTCCCCAAGCCTGGAGACTGGGAGCATGGAGGCCCTGGGCACAGGGAATTTGGAGAGGGTATGGGCAATGGGGAGGGGGGAAGGGAGGAGACTCTTTTAGACCAGTGGAGCTAATGCTGCAGGGGAGGATTTTGGAGGCCAGGAAAGAACCTCAGCAAGTGCTACATTTAGGGACTGGAGGGAGGTCAGCTAGCAGGGAACCAAGAAAGAGGAAGCCAGAGGCAAGTGCCACATCTGGAGAGAGATGGGCACAAGACCTGGTGGGCATCAGCCAGGTTGGCAGCCGCAAGTCACAAGGGCAGGACCAAGGACAAGGCATTTACAACATATTTTCTTTTTCTTTTCTTTCTTTTCTTTTTTTTATTATTATACTTTAAGTTTTAGGGTACATGTGCACAATGTGCAGGTTAGTTACATATGTATACATGTGCCATGCTGGTGTGCTGCACCCATTAACTCGTCATTTAGCATTAGTTATATCTCCTAATGCTATCCCTCCCCTCTCCCCCCACCTCTTTTTTTTTTTTTTTTTTGAGATTGAGTCTCGCTCTGTCGCCCAGGCTGGAGTGCAGGGTGCAATCTCAGCTCACTGCAACCTCCGCCTTCCGGGTTCAAGAAGTTCTCTGCCTCAGCCTCTCGAGTAGCTGGGATTACAGGCACCCTCCACCACCCCCGGCTAATTTTTGTATTTTTAGTAGAGACGAGGTTTCACCATCTTGGCCAGGCTGGTCTTGAACTCCAGACCTCGTGATCTGCCCACTTTGGCCTCCCAAAGTGCTGGGATTACAGGCGTGAGCCACCGCGCCTGGCCTTGCAGCGTATTTTCTAAAAGGAGTCGATTTAGGGCTGTCCCGGGGTGCAGGGCTGGGTTTGCCGGAGGGAGGGACCCAAGGTCGTGGGAGGTCTGTTTTTGAGTTGCAGCAGCCTGTGCCTGTCTGTCAGCTGAGGGATAGGATCCTGCAGAGGGAGCACTGAGGTGGCCACAGAGAAAAGGAATGCCTGATGGGGGCCGGGGACGGATGTAGGGAGGGCCAGCCTTGGAGGGAGGGGCCCTCTGACAGAAGAGTTCAGGGAGGCGCTGTGTGTGTGTGTGTTTGTGTGTGTGTGTGTGTGTGTGTGTGTGTGTGTGGTGTGTTAGGGGTGACTTTCTGGTGGTCCCCAGTGCCTGATGTCAGCCAGGTCCTGTGTATGTATAAAAGGGAGTGAGAGCAACAAAGGGAGATGGGCATCGTGGCACATGCCTGTGGTCCCAGCTACTCTGGAGGCTGCAGTGAGCTGTGACCATGCCACTGCACTCAGCTTGGGTGACAGTGCGAGACCCCCTTTTTTTTTTTTTGAGACGGAGCTTCGCTCTTGTTGCCCAGGCTGGAGTGCAATGGCATGATCTCGGCTCACTGCAACCTCCGCTTCCAGGGTTCAAGCAATTCTCCTGCCTCAGCCTCCCGAGTAGCTGGGATTACAGGCATGTGCCACCACACCTGGCTAATTTTGTATTTTTAGTAGAGACGGGGTTTCTCCATGTTGCTCAGGCTGGTCTCAAACTCTCGACCTCAGGTGATCAGCCTGCCTCGGCCTCCCAAAGTGCTGGGATTATAGGCGTGAGCCACTGCACCCAGCCAGCCCCATCTCTTAAGAAAAATAAGGTGGCAGGGGAGAGTAAGGATCCCAGCCAGGACCCCCACCATCTGAGGGACCTTGGGAAAGGCCTCCTGCCCAGCCCTGCTGGGGCCTCTGAGGCTCTCTGGGAGGGTCTCATGACTGTGGGACTGCTGGATATCCCTATTGGTCCCTGGAGCCTGGTGGGGGTGGGTAGCTGCCTTCTGGTGCAGCTGTTCTCTGGCAGTCAGCTGTGGTCTGGGACCACATCTGATGACATGAGGAGAGTGGGCACAGGCTGCCAAGCAGCTGGACAGGCAAAAGCTGGAGAGAAGCTGGCAGACGGAACAGAGGTCTCCAGGAAGGGCAAGCAGAAGTCAGTGAGCTTGAGATGAACTGGAAGAAGTATGTTTGAGTCCTGGTCCTGTCTCTGACTGACCAACTGGTTGTGGGGACCCTGGGTATGGTGATGGGTAGGTGGGTTGCAGAGAAGGGAACCTCTGAAGGCCATACAGCTAGGTAGGGGTTAGATGCAGGGCTGGAACTCTGTCCCCTGCCACCCAGGCTTGTATAGTCCAGTCCAGGTCCAGTATCCCAGAAACCAGCCTGGGGCTCCAAGAGGACCCTGGCTGTGACTTTCCTGGCCTGTGATTCCAAAACAGGGAATTCTTTGGTGGTGAGGGAAAGGAGAGGAAGATTCATCAAGAAATCACTTTAGCTTCTAATTAAGTAGCCACAGAAGCCAGGACAGAGGGAGGCTGGGGAGCTGGGGGCCTGGACAACCTGGATGGGAGAGGGTAAGAACTCGTGTCAGTGGGCACACCTGACCCAATGGCTAGTCAGCCAAGATGACACCCATATACCATCCCCCCCACCAGGTGGCCAGTGCAGCTTCTGACGGTCTTCTGCGCCTGGATCTTGATGTTCCGGACAGTGGGCCACCAGTGTTTGCCCCCAGCAATCATGTCAGTGAAGCCCAACCTCGGGAGACACCCCGGCCCCTCATGCCTCCTACCAAGCCTTTCCTAGCACCTGAGACCACCAGCCCTGGTGACAGGGTGGAGACCCCTGTGGGGGAGAGAGCCCCAACCCCTGTCTCAGCAAGCTCTGAGGTCTCCCCTGAGAGCCAAGAGGACTCAGAGACCCCAGCAGAGGAGGACAGTGGCTCTGAGCAGCCTCCCAACAGCGTCCTGCCTGACAAACTGAAGGTGAGCTGGGAGAACCCCAGCCCCCAGGAGGCCCCTGCTGCAGAGAGTGCAGAACCGTCCCAGGCACCCTGTTCTGAGACTTCTGAGGCTGCCCCCAGGGAGGGTGGGAAGCCCCCTACACCCCCACCCAAGATCTTATCAGAGAAACTGAAAGCCTCCATGGGTGAGATGCAGGCTTCTGGGCCACCTGCTCCAGGCACAGTGCAGGTCTCAGTGAATGGCATGGATGACAGTCCTGAGCCTGCCAAGCCCTCTCAGGCTGAGGGCACCCCAGGAACTCCTCCAAAGGATGCAACAACATCCACAGCACTGCCCCCCTGGGACCTGCCACCTCAGTTCCATCCCCGCTGCTCCTCCCTTGGGGACTTGCTTGGGGAAGGCCCGCGGCATCCCTTGCAGCCCAGGGAACGGCTATATCGGGCCCAGCTGGAGGTGAAGGTGGCCTCGGAACAGACGGAGAAACTGTTGAACAAGGTGCTGGGCAGTGAGCCGGCCCCTGTTAGTGCCGAAACATTGCTCAGCCAGGCTGTGGAGCAGCTGAGGCAGGCCACCCAGGTCCTGCAGGAAATGAGAGATTTGGGAGAGCTGAGCCAGGAAGCACCTGGGCTAAGGGAGAAGCGGAAGGAGCTGGTGACCCTCTACAGGAGAAGTGCACCCTAGGGCCTTCTGGGCCAGAGGCACCATCCCTTCTGGCCATCCATCAAGTCCATCAAGGCCCAGCCCTGCTGAGAAATGTGCTTCTGCTTCTACAGCAATGGCTGCAGGAGGGCCATTGGGCATGTCAGGGTTTGGCCATGACCCGAAGAGACTCCTGGCGTCCTTCCTACTCTGCTCTGGCCAGTGGTGCCAGGTGCCACCCAGGGCTACTGCCTGGCTATCTGGCCTGGCCTCTGGGCTGGGGCTGGGGCTGGGAGCACACACGCTGGGACCTATGTGTTTGTGTGGTCGTTCCAAACTGCCCCAGGGCTTTGGGGGCGGCACTTGGGGTTTCTGGGAATGACATCATCTCTGTTCCCCATCCCCAGTAGTTTACATTCCTGACTTCTGAATACAGCACAGCTGAGCCCCCTGCAGCTCCCATCTCCAGCTATTCCTAGGCAAAGAGCCTCATGGCTAAGGCAGCCTCAAAGCCAGCCCCTCCTCCCACCTATTCTGAGTAGCTGCAGAGGCCTTGGGTCCAGGCTCTAGGTTCATCCCTCAGTTGGGGGGAACGTAGGACCCAGCTGGAGCCTCTTGAGGGAGATGAGAGGCCTCTTTGTGAGGAGGACATTAGCTGTGTGGCCTCTCTCTCTTTGGCCCTGTTTCCTTTTTTGCAAAACAAGGACATTTTCTGCAGCCCCTTCCTCTCAGTGAGCTATGATTGGAGGGCTTAGGTCTGGAGGATTCAAGAGTGGAAGAGGAATTTAAGGGGTCCCCTAGTCTAGTCTCTGCCCCTGGATAGTGTCCAGCCTTGTATATTTCTGAAGAGGTGGATCCCAGAGTGGCTCTGATGTCCACATTAGAAAAACTTACTTGTAATGATCATGTCAGCCTTCAGAAGAGAATCCCCACCAACTTCTGTGCCTCCTCAGATGGGGATTTATCTGGATCTCTGTGGTTCCTTCTCAGCCGAAACAGGTCCAGTATCCCAGTCATTTCTTCAAATGCTGATAGGGGTATGTTGGAATCCGAAGCCACTTCCCCGCCTTCAAGCCCCAGATGGGCTGCTCTCCTGTAACTTTCTAGGAGAAGAGACATTTTCTTCTTTCCCTTTCCTGGTCCATCCCTGCACCCTGGTCCTCTCCCAGCCTCTCCCCCACATTGTCCCTGACTCTAGGGGCACATCCAGTCTCCATCGTGCTGCAGCAGCTGGACTGAGGGCAGAGCCTGTAGGTGCAGAGGCCCTGGCTCCCGAGGTCCAGCCACTCTCCCTGGGGCCTCTGGGGTGAGAGCAGCTTCCGATAGGACCTGCCCAGATTTCTGCATGTGCACTTTTGTTTACTGAAAGAGAGAAAGGGGGGGGTCACAGCAACATGCCCTGGCCTTTCTGCTCTGTTCCCCAACCCCACTGAGGCCTGCTGCACAGGTCAATGCCTTCGTTATCGTTATTGTACTGTCACTTTGTTCTTGAGGTAGTAGTCAAGGATCAGGAGGGGCAGATGTCTTCTCTGGGCTGCGTGGGGCCGGAGCAGAGGTGAGCAGCAATGCACTGGTTCGGGAGCCCCCATCAGCCTCCTTGTGCAAACTGGGCCCCCATGCCACAGTCTGGCTTTCCCTCCATCTGCCCCAGGACAAGAGCAAGAAGGACATCAGTTGCCCAGTCATGTGATCCCCTGCCATCTTGCCTTAGGAACAGCCTTCCCCCACCAGCAGCCATGGCTGGCTGGGGCTTTAGCCAAGCCACCTACTGCCAGGAATTGGAGCCTCAGTTCCCTCCTGTGTCAAGTAGCTAACTGCAGCAGCTGGACTGAGGGCAGAGTCTGTGGGTGCAGAGACCCTGCATGTAGGTCACAGGTTGAGGCCCAGCCACTCTCCCTGGGGCCTGGTGGGTAGGCAAGTAGCTCTGGGGCCACCTCAAGTGACCAAATGCTATTAATTTCCATCCTTTAGCAGGCTGGGCCCTAGGCAGGAAGCTGGCTTCTGGGAGAGGAGTGAGAACGTGCAGGGCCTGCCTAGCTTGCGTGCTTGAGGAAGGTGGCATTCCGTGCTTGCCTCCTTGAGGAGGGTGGCATTCTGTGTCTTCTGCTTATGAAGCGCCTTTCTTAAAGTTTGGCAATAAATCCATTTTTATGGAACTTCAGTGCCTCAAGCCTGTTTGTTGTTGTGGGTGCCAGCTCCAGGGCTGCCCTTCTCCAAGACAGCAGTTGGTGATTGGTATCACCAGTCCTCCAAACTCGGTACTAGGGCCCCCATTCCATAAGCTGGGCTGGGACACTGCCTGCTCCTGGGCTCCATTATTGCTTATTATTATTATTATTTATTTTTTTTTTTTGAGATGGAGTTTTGCTCTTAATGCCCAGACTAGAGTGCAGTGGCTCAATCTCAGCTCACTGCAACCTCTGCCTTCCAGTTTCAAGCGAGTCTCCTGCCTCGGCCTCCCAAGTCGCTGGGATTACAGGAGCCCGTTTTTTTTTGTATTTTTAGTAGAGACGGGGTTTCACCATGTTGGTCAGGCTGGTCTCGAACTGCTGACCTCATGATCCACCCACCTCGGCCTCCCAAAGTGCTGGGATTACAGGCATGAGCCACCACGCCCGGACCCTATTATTATTATTATTATTATTATTATTATTATTATTATTATTAGAGATGTGGTCCTACTATGTTGCTCAGGCTGGTCTCGAACTGCTGGCCTCAAGCCATCTTCCCACCTCAGCCTCCCAAAGGGGATTACAGGCATGAGCCACCTTGTGCAGCATTCTGTTCTTGCTAAACTCAGGCCTTTCTGATATATACCCCCACCCCCAGTGTTTCTACGGCTGGGGGCTAAGTGTCGCAAGGAACAATAGTTTTCAAAAACCAAACTTTTCATTTGGAAATACTTTTAAACTTAGAGAAAAATTGCAGGAATAAGAATAGTACAAAGGCCATGGTATGGTAGCTCATGTCTGTAATCCCAGCACTTTGGGAGGCCGAGGTGGGTGGATCATGAGGTCAGGAGTTCGAGACCAGCCTGGCCAACATGGTGAAATCCCATCTCTACTAAAAATACAAAAATCAGCCGGGCGTGGTGGCGCGTGCCTGTAATCCCAGCTACTCCGGAGGCTGAAGCATGAGAATCGCTTGAACCTGGGAGGTGAAGGTTGCAGTGAGCTGAGATCATGCCTCTGCACTCTAGCCTGGGCAACGGAGCAAGAATCTGTCTCAAAAAAAGAACAGTGCAAAGAACACCCATTTACTCTAGCAAGATTGACCTGTTTTCTCTTTTGAGCACTTTCTCTTTTTCACATATACATATAATTTTTTTTCTTTGAGATGGAGTCTTGCTCTTGTTGCCCAGGCTGGAGTGCAGTGTGGCACAATCTCAGCTCACCACAACCTCTGCCTCCCAGGTTCAAGCGGTTCTCCTACCTCAGCCTCCCGAGTAGCTGGGACTGCAGGCACACACCGCCACGCCCTGATAATTTTTGTATTTTTAGTAGAGACAGGGTTTCACTGTGTTGGCCAGGCTGGTCTCGAACTCCTGACCTTGTGATCCGCCTGCCTTGCCCTCCCAAAGTGCTGGGATCACAGGCATGAGCCACCACGCCTGGCCCATAACTTTTTTCTGAATCACTGGATAGTTGGTTATCATGGCTTCTTATCCTTAAATATTTAATACTTCACTGTGTATTTCCTAAAAATAAGTATATTCTCTTATGTAACTGTAGTACAGTTATCAGTACATTTAACACTGATAACAATAGTTTATTGCTCATATTCCTATTTGTCATTTGACCCAATAATATCCTTTATTATATGTTTCCTCTGGTTGGTGTCAGGTCAGGCATACAACTGTCATCACTCTTTCATCTCCTTCAATCTGAAACATTTCCCCAGCCTTGCTTTGTCTCTGATGACATTGACATTTTTGAAGAATACAGTCCTCCCCTTTCTGATTCCTCTTTTGGGGTTTGTCTGAGGTTTCCACCTGCTTAGTTGTGATAGTTAATTGAGGTTATGGATTCTCAGCTGGAAACTGCACAGGCAATTGGGTCCTTCTCAGGATATTACTCTGGAGATGGACTACCTGCATCTGGCCCTCATGGGTGATGTTCATTTTGATTACTGGGGCCAGGTGTCTGATTTTTCTACTGTTAATGTTTTTGCATTTTTCCTCTTACTAATAATCTGGGAGACAAGATCATCTAAATATGTTGCACCTCACCACAAATTTCCCCAGATTTAGTATCCATTGATGATTCTTGCTGAACAGGTGTTTCCTACAATGGTTCTAAAATGATGATTCCAGCCATTATTTTACCCTCAGAGCCTGGTCCTTGTTAAGGGTGAGCCTGGGTCCTATCTTTGGCTCCTGACCTCCTGACACAAACAAAATGCAGCAGAATTCCAGGGCTTCCCTGAACACTGTTGGGAAGCCCTTAGGCCAGTGGACAGCTCCAAACCAGGCTGCCAAGGTCCAAATCTCACCCAAGGACCTTGGGTGTGTCTCAGTTTCAGGAGACCTCAGTTTCCTCACCCACAAAAGGGGATTACAGCCACACCCTCTCCCCACCCGCCATCCCCCATGTGGGAAAGCACGACTGTGCTCACCAAAGCCCAGCTCCCTTCCTCCTCCTCTGTGAGAACCATGGACAGACCCCGGGGCCAACACAACAGGAAACACCTGAACCGGGGCCTATCAATTGTGGCAATGACCCTCATGTCGCTCCTGAATTCCCCTGCCACTGCCCTGGCGCGTGACAGCTATACCGAGTGAGTGGCCCGCAGAAGCTGAGGGACCTCAGGTGAATCACTCCATCTTCCCAGGCCCCTTCATCATAGAGGAGTCTTTTTGATGGCAGAGTCCCCTCTGTAAGGCCACTTTGAAGAGAGTGGCTGCTGGGATGGTGTTGGCCAGCCATGGGGAAGGATGTGGTAAGAAGCACATTTCTGGCCAGGCGCGGTGGCTCACGCCTGTAATCCCAGCACTTTGGGAGGTCAAGGTGGGCAGAGCACAAGGTCAAGAGATCGAGACCATCCTGGCCAACACGGTGAAACCCCATCTCTACTAAAAATACAAAAATTAGCTGGGCATGGTGGCATGTGCCTGTAGTCCCAGCTACTGGGGAGGCTGAGGTAGGAGAATCGCTTGAAATCAGAAGGCGGAGGTTGCAGTGAGCCGAGATTACGCCACTGCACTCCAGCCTGGCGACAGAGCAAGACTCCATCTCAAGAAAAAAAAAAAGAAGAAGAAGTGCGTTTCCCTCTGGTCTTGGGGCTGGAGGCCTGTGCAGAGAAGGGTAGCCCTCCTTTTGAACACAGGCTGCCATATCTCTGTGACTTGAAGTCCTGTGGGTTGTTACAGTGCAGGATTTTTTTTTTTTTTTTTTTGAGATGGAGTCTGGCTCTGTCGCCCAGGCTGGAGTGCAGTGGCGCTATCTTGGCTCACTGCAACCTCCGCCTCCTGGGTTCATGCCATTCTCCTGCCTCAGCCTCCCAAGTAGCTGGGACTACAGGCGCGCGCCACCACACCCAGCTAATATATATATATATATATATATAATTTTTTTTTTTAGTAGAGACGGAGTTTCACCATGTTAGCCAGGATGGTCTCGGTTTCCTGTCCTCATGATCCGCCCGCCTCAGCCTCCCAAAGTGCTGGGATTACAGGCGTGAGCCACCGCACCTGGCCTTTTTTTTTGAGACTGAGTCTCTGTCGCCCAGGCTGGAGTGCAGTGGTGTGATCTTGGCTCACTGCAACCTCCGCCTCCTGGGTTCAAGCGATTCTTCCGCCTCAGCCTCCCGAGTAGCTGGGATTACAGTTGCCTGCCATCACACCTGGCTGATTTTTGTATTTTTTGTAGAGACGGGGTTTCACTATGTTGGCCAGGTTGGTCTCGAACTACTGATCTCAGGTGATCCACCCACACTGGCATCCCAAAGTGCTGGGATTATAGGCGTGAGCCATGGAGCCCGGCTAGGATATGTACATATTTTTTAATTAAGACGGAGTCTCGGTCTGTCATCCAGGCTGGAGTGCAGTGGTGTGATCTCAGCTCATGGCAACCTCCGCCTCCTGGGTTCAAGCAATTCTCCTGCCTCAGCCTCCTGAGAGCTGGGACTACAGGCGTGCGCTACCACGCCTGGCTAATTTTTGTATTTTTAGTAGAGATGGAGTTTCACCATGTTGGCCAGGCTGGTCTCGAACTTCTGACCATGAGTGATCTGCCCGCCTTGGCCTACCAAAGTGCTTGGGATTACATGCGTGAGCCACCGTGTCCAGCCCAGTAGAGGGTTTCACAAATCACAAGGTGGCTATCATCAGACAGGACCCAGGACAGGGGGAGGGGCAACCAGATTGCCCCTTCCTCTACCCCTGCCTAGGCCCTGGCGGCATCCTGTCTCGGGAGTCACTGTGTTTTGTTCCCTTCTCCCTGTCTTGTCTTCCTGCCTCCCCACCCCTACCCTCATGTCCCAGACAAAAGGGGTGTCAGAAAAGACAAACTCACTCCACAGAGGTTTCTGTGACCAAGGAGGCTCTGTGATGGAACATGGATGGTGGAGAGGTGATGATGGAAATTCCTCCCTGTTGACATAATTTAACAAAATTCTTAGAGGAAACAGCAGGATGTAAGTAGAGAAAACATGACTTCAGGTTTGGAGGCAGACACACCTGGATTCAAACCCCAGGGGTAGCCAGGTGCAGTGGCTCACACCTATAATCCCAGCACTTTGGGAGGCTGAGGTGGGTGGATCACCTGAGGTCAGGAGTTCGAGACCAGCCTGGCCAACACGGGAAAACTCCGTCTCTACTAAAAATACAAAATTAGCCAGGAGTGGTGGCAGGCGCCTGTAGTCTCAGCTACTCAGGAGGCAACAGAGTGAGACTATGTCTCAAAAAAAAAAAAAAAAAAAAGAAAAGAAAATGCTTAATAAACTCCAGCAGCCTGGCCTCACAGAGCACCTACTGTTTGCCAGGCCTGTTAACCTCTCACAGTCACCACAGTGGCCTCACAAGGAAGATGTAATTTCACTCCATTTTACAGGTTAAGAAACTGAGGCTTAAGCAACTTAGGTAGGGGACCAAAGTTAGTGTCAGGACCTGGGATTTGACCCTCCTGGGGTTTTGGCCTGGGGCCACAACTGACTGCTTTCTGCTATTTGTCTGGAGGGTCTGTGATTTCAGATGGAGGCTCACCCCAGAGTCCTTGGGGCACCCCCACCTTTCCTGGCACTGGGAGGATACCCCAAGGCCTGGGCAGGTTCTCCACCAGCTGGCTATGGCCCAAAGGAGAGGCTTCGGAGGACTTTCCCTTATAAGGACAACAGCTCAGCTGTGATGAAACTTCTCAGCCTCCTAGCTGGGGAGGCGGGAGAGGGGAAATGACGGTGGCTCCAAGGGTTACAGCTGAGTTTGAGCCTCCTCAGGAACTTGCCCACAAGCCTCCACTCTCTGTTGTCATAATTTTATGGGAGGAGGGGCCAGGCAGGGCTTGGGACCAGAGGGGGTGGCCCACAGAAGGGAAGATGCCTACATTGAGGCCTAGGGAGGAGACAGGACCCTTCAACATCCAGCAGGCAGCTTGCAGATCTGGACTCCAAGCCGTAGGCCTATCTGGCTTCAAACTCACACTCACCCTGGGGAGGATTATCAGAGGGTCCAGAAGGCTATTAGGCCAGCCATCCCTTTCTCTCTTTTGTTTTTTGTTTTTTTTTGAGATGGAGTCTCGCTCTGTCACCCAGGCTGGAGTGCAGTGGCACAATCTCGGCTCACTGCAAGCTCCGCCTCCCGAGTTCATGCCATTCTTCTGCCTCAGCCTCCCGAGTAGCTGGGACTACGGGCGCCCGCCCCAGGATGGTCTAGATCTCCTGACCTCGTGATCTGCCTGCCTTGGTCTCCCAAAGTGCTGGGATTACAGGTGTGAGCCACCACGCCTGGCCTCCCTTTTTATTTATTTATTTATTTATTTGAGACCCGGTCTTGCTCTGTGGCCCAGGCTGGAGCCAGGCTGGAGTGCAGTGGCACGATCTTGGCTCACTGCAACCTCCTCCTCCTCCTGGGTTCAAGCAATTCTCCTGCCTCAGCCTCCCGAGTAGCTGGGACTACAGGCACCCACCACCACGACCAGCTAATTTTGTATTTTTAGTAGAGACGGGGTTTCACCGTGTTGGCCACGTTGGTTTCGAATTCCGGACCTCAGGTGATCCACCTGCCTCGGCCTCCCAGAGTGCTGGGATTATAGGCGTCAGCCACCGTGCCCGGCCCCTTTCTCCCTTTGGACCTCTAAAGTGGAGTCTTAAAGAGCAGGGTGTGTGGGGCTGGTCTGCTTTTGGCCTTCCTCCCCATGAAGCCTGTGTCCCTAGGGGACTGCCCTCCCCAACACAATTCGTCAGCCCACCGTCCAGTCTGAGAAACTATTCCATCCATGGAATCACAGGATATTGGGGCTGATAAGGATCTTTGAGACGTCTAGTCTCACCTGCTGGTTTTAGAGAGGAGGAAATAACAGCTCAGAGCGGCCAGGGGAGGTGGTGGCTCATATGTGTAATTCCAGCACTTTGGGAGGCTGAGGTGGGCAGATGTCTTGAGGCCAATCTTCAAGGCTTGAGACCAGCCTGAGCAACATGGCAAAATCCTGTCTCTACAAAAAAAAATTAGCAGGGCATGGTGATGCAGGCCGAAGTGGGAGGATCGCTTAAACCTGGGAGGCGGAGGTTGCAGTCAGCTGAGATCGTGCCACTGCCATCTCAAAAAAAAAAAACAAAAGCTCAGAGGGGACCTGGTATTGCCCATTTGTTTTGTTAAAATGTGTGTGTGTGTGTGTGTGTGTGTGTGTGTGTGTGTGTGTGTGTGTGGCTTTCTCTTGGTTTCCCATTAAAACTTCCTTTTTAAGAAATCCCAAGTTAACCGAATAACAGGATAAAGAGCTTTTTCTACACCCAGATCTGGTTAGTTCTGGGGGTCAGTGTTTCCCTGAAGACCATGTCTGGAGTTGGCAGCAGGGGAGGCAAGATCCCAAGGGAGAGATGGGTGTGGCAGATGGAGAATCTGTCTCTGACACTGCTGTGCATAAGCTGTGGCACCTGCAGTGGCTGCTCAGCCTCTTGGAATTGTAGTCTCATCTCTTAGGGGGAGACAATCACTCCTGGCAAGGCGATTTTGAGGATGAAATAAGATAATTTAGATAAAGCATTTGCTCAGGGCCCACCACATAGCAAGGACTTAGTAAATGGATAATCATATGGTGTATTGGGCACCTACTCCATGCCAACATTACATTAGGAGCCGTGGATTCCAAGTACAATAAAATGGGATCTTTCCTCAGGTTGCTCACTGCCAGTCAGGGAGACAGGCACTCCAACTCATAAATGCAATGGGACAAGCTCTGTGTTAGACCCACAGGCAAATTCTGTGGCAGCAGAGAGCAGACATCAATGGGCTGTGTTTGCTGAGGGAATCAGTCGAAACCTGAGGAGGAGGTTTCTTTGCCTGGGCCTCAAAGGAGGAGTTAGAGTTTACAGAACAGAGGTGGCAGGGAAGGACATTGGAGACAGAGGGAACAGAGTCACAGTGGGTTACCGGGTTACTGGAGCCATGGTCAGCTCTTTGTGTAGTCTCCTATTGGCTATAAGTAAGAGGTGGGGGACTGGGAGGTGAGGTGGGAGAGGGGAGCGGGGATGCTGGTCACCCAGAAAGGTTGGACTTTGCCCTAGAGACCAAGGGAGTCTGGGGAGGGGGTCGTTTCAGGAGGTGGGGGGCGGCAGGTGGGGGTGTGGGGTGGAGACTGGAGGCAGGGAGGGTAGTTAGGAGGTAGTGACAGTGAACCAGGGGAGGAGTGGTGAGGGCCTGAACTGCAACAGTGGCATTAGGGGTAGAGTGGAGGAGAACTGGGGACTTTGGGGCATTGTGAATGTGGGAGAGATGGAATGGGAGAGAGGGAATTCAGAGATGACTCACAGAGTTCTAAGGAAGTGGGAGTACCTTTTTGAGATAGGAAGCCCCTGGGGAGGGCGGGATGGGGAGAGGATGGTGGCCATGTGGAGGGGTCTGGTGAACTACTAGAATTGAGCTGAGGCAAAAAATTGACAGTCAACGGGCATCCAGACAGTGGATAATTAAAGCCACAAGCACTGCTGAGTTATATCTTGTATGTTACTTAAGATTAGATTTGACTGTGACTGACAAGAGGCCATGGTGTCAGAAGAGTTCATCAGAGGCTAAACCTCAGCTCCGGGGGAGTTAGGCCAAGACAGCAGTGACACAAATTCATTTATCTTGCATGAATTAAGTCTGGTGGTAGAGGCCATCTCTATCATGGCACTCCATGGTCATCTGGGACCCAGCCTCCTTCCCTCTTACTGCTCTGCCATCTTACCCCTTGACTTTGATTTCTGGACCCATGAGGTGATACAGCTGCAGCCCCCGCATAAGTGTTCTCACCCTTGGGAAGCAAGAAGGGGTATAGGATGCACACTTTCCCTTTAGAGACACTTTCTGGAAGTTGTACTGCTGCCTCATTGCGAGGGTGGTCTTGCAGCTAGCTGCCTGGTGTTTTTTTTCCTGTTGACTGTGTGCCAGCTGAAAATCAAAAGTCTTATTACTAAAAAAGAAGGGAGGGAATGGAGCTAGAGCAGTGTTTTTCAAATGGGGATGATGTTGCCTTCAGAGGACATTTGTCAATGTCTGGAGATATTTTTGTCACAAATGGGGACATTGCTACTGGCATTTAGTGGGTGGAGGCCAGAGATGCTGTTGAACACCCTACAATGCACAAGACAGCCTCCCCGACAACATCTTGGGGGCTCCTCATCCAAAATATCAGTAGTGCTGAGGTTGAGAAACCCTGACCTAGGTGGACAACGTATAGTCTCTTTGCCACAACCAGGACGGGGTGTAGAGTGAGTGGACTAGTCACCGTAGATGTGCAAAGACACCTGTCCCTGGCAGACCATAATGTCAGGAGAGTTCAGCAGCAGCCCAGACCTAGGCTCTGGGGTTTTATCAGATTTGTCCCAGCTTAGTGGGGCTCTTGTCCTCAAAGAGGCTTTGTTTTGTTTGTGTCTTTTTGTTTTATTCATTTCTGTTTTAAAAACTATTTTTATTTTTTGTAGGAATAGGGTCTCACTATTTTGCTCAGGCTGGGCCCTTGTTTTATTCATTTCTTGATGTTGAATTCTGAAGCAGAGACCCAGGTTGGAGCCTCAAGGAAGAGGCTTAAGATAGAGGCGGGCTGAGCTCCGTGGCTCATGCCTGTAATCCCAGCACTTCAGGAGGCCGAGGCAGGAGGAGCACCTGAGGCCAGGAGTTTGAGACCAGCCTGGGCAATGTAGCAAGACCCTGTCACTACAAAATATTACAAAATAATTAGCCAGGTGCAGTGGCATGCACCTGTAGTTCTAGCTTCTCAGGACACTGAAGTGAGAGGATCCCTTGAGCCCATAAGTCCCAGGTTACAGTGGGCTATGATCATGCCAACGCATTCCAGCCTGGGCAACAAAGCGAGACTCTGTCTCAAAACAAACAAACATATATATATGCATTTCTTTGCCCACTAGCCACACCCCTGAGCTGCAGGTAGGGGAAAGAGTCCAATAGTCTTGGTAGCCAGGGCCAAGTTCTGATTCAGTCCCTCAGAGTGTGACCCAATCAGGACTTCTCCTCAGCCTCCTGGCCACAAGCCGGGGCTGGGTGGCCAAGGTGAGGCCCTTGTGGCCTTGAATCCGCAGAGATGCCAAGGCAGCCTTGCCAGCTTTGCCCAAATTGCTGGGCTGGCCTTTCTGTGCTTCCTCCCTCCCAACCAGCCTTCCAGCCTAGTCAGCTTTTCTGGGCCCCTCCCACCTCCATTTCCTTCCAGCCTGTGGCCTTGGGTCTGAAGGGAAGCAGCCCTGCCCCAGCTGTGGCCAGCGCCAGGCCATGCTGAGGCTGAGGCCTGTGGGTCCCCAGAGTGCCCAGGGTGTGGTGTGGGTGAGAGTGTGCTGGTCAGTGGGATGAGGAGAGTGCAAACAGCTCTGTCTCTGGGGAAGGCCAGGGGAGAAGAATAGATCCCAAGTCATTCTGAACATTTGGGGTGCCTGCTATGGGTGAGCAAAAGTCTCCTCAGACTAAACAGCCCTCTTCTTTTCTCTGTGAAAAGGTTCCCCTTGAGAGGAATTTGTCTCAAAATCACCCCTCAGGCTTGGGCCAAGGTCAGTCTCTACAGTGGATCTGGGAGGCAGGGTTCCATGAACTCAGGAAGTATCTTCCAATTTGTTTCTGGAGGGCCAGAGGGACCCCGGAGTTTTTCAGCATTTTGAAATATACAAGATATTCAACAAGACTAGGTGGCAGATGGGACCAGATATGTGGCACAGACCTTTCAGCTCTGTGAGCTTTGACAAGTCGCCTAACTTCTGCTCTTCAGTTACCTCATCAGTTAAACGAGGAGAATTGTGCCCACCTGAGAGCTTGGAGATTAAATAGGATCACGCATGCGTGGCACCTGGACGATGCCCACCCAGTACCCACGGGAGGCCCTCAGGAAGCAGTGGCTGTTACTATCATTGTATCATCACTCTGTCTCTCAGAAGAGCCTTTTCCTTTCTTTCTTTCTTTCTTTTTTTTTTTTTTGAGATGGAGTTTTGCTCTTGTTGCCCAGGCTGGAGCACAACGTTGCGATCTTGGCTCACTGCAACCTCGGCCTCCCAGGTTCAAGCGATTCTCCTACCTCAGCCTCCTGAGCAAGGAGAGCCTTTTTACTCTTTTTCAGAAAGTCCTCCCTACAGCCACCTCTTTCTGTAGCTCTGACCAAAGAAAGTCTAAGGTGAAGGGACCCCAGTAACCTACACTTTACAGGTGGAGAGGCAAGAGAAGGGACTTGCCCAAGGCCACCTGGGGTGCCTGTGGCAGGGCATCAACAAGCTCGGGTCACTGCAGCATTCTTCTCCCCACCCTCTTCCCATTCAGGAAAGAAGGCCAGTCCTGTCATTTGTGCTGTTGTCTCAGACACCAAAAGGCTGTTTTCCTTCTGTCCAGCTCAGCATCGATGCCTGGAATCAGGAAGCAGGGTGATGGAAAGTGTCCTGTCTGACGTCTTCCTGCGGAGGGGGGACGGCATCCTCACAGGCTGGGCTTCCTGAAATACAGCTGTGGCAGCAGCTTCAGGATTTGGCAGAACATTTAACATTATTATTATCATTATTTTTGAGACAGAGTCTCACTCTGTTGCCCAGGCTGGAGTGCAGTGGCGCAGTCTCGGCTCACTGCAACCTCCGCCTCCCGGGTTCAAGCGAGTCTCCTGCCTCAGGCTCCCAAGTAGCTGGGATTACAGGTGCGTGTCACCACGCCCGGCTAATTTTTGTGTTTTTAGTAGAGACTGGGTTTCGCCATGTTGACCAGGCTGGTCTTGAACCAGCGATCTACACACCTTGGCCTCCCAAAGTGCAGAGATTACAGGTGTGAGTAACTTCGCCCAACCAACAATTGGATACTTTTCAGTACTATTTGAATTATTATTATTTGCCATACACATAAGTTAAATCTATTAATAAAATAGTCAGGCCAGGCGCGGTGGCTCACGTCTGTAATCCACCTGACCTCAGGTGATCCACCCACCCTCGGCCTCCCAAAGTGCTGGGATTATAGGCGTGAGCCACTGTGCCTGGCCTAACATTATTTTTTAAAAGACCGAGTATTGGGAATAAGGTGAGGAGGGAGGAGAGATGGGGTAGATGAAAGGAAACAAACTTTTCCAGCAGAGAATAACTAGAGTTACTCTAGAAATGCTAAATAAAAAAATAGAGCATGAGTGTGTTATTTACAGTCAGGGAGAGGATTCACAGCAGTGAAAAATTATTCACTTTTTTTTTTTTTTTTTTTTTTTTTTTAGTTTCCTACACTACATGGATATAAAAATCATTCACTATTAACATAGTTACTTCTGGGTAGTGGTTCTGGAGGTAGGATAATTTAATTTTTAATTGGATACTTTTCTTTCTTCTTTTCTTTTTTCTTTGAGAAAAGGTATCTGTTGCCCAGGCTGGAGTGCAGTGCACCATCACTGCTCACTGCAGCCTCCACTTCCCAGGCTCAATCGATCCTCCCACCTTAGCCTCCTGAGTAGCTGGGACAATAGGCAAATGCCACCACATTCATCTAATTTATTGTATTTTTTGTAGAGATGGAGTCTCTATAAAAGTTGCCCAGGCTGGTCTTAAACTCTTGAGCTCAAGCGATCTACCCACCTTGGCCTCCCAAAGTGCAGAGATTACAGGTGTGAGTGACTTCGCCCAACCAACAATTGGATACTTTTCAGTACTATCTGAATTATTATTATTTGCCATACACATAAGTTACATCTATTAATAAAATAGTCAGGCCAGGCGCGGTGGCTCATGCCTGTAATCCAGCTACTTGGGAGGCTGAGGCAGGAGAATCACTTGAACCCGGGAGGCAGAGGTTATAGTGAGCCAAGATCGCGCCATTGCACTCCAGCCTAGGCAACAAGAGCGAAACTCCGTCTCAAATAAACAAATAAATAGGCCGGGCGCGGTGGCTCACGCCTGTAATCCCAGCACTTTGGGAGGCCGAGGCAGGCAGATCATGAGGTCAGAAGATCAAGACCATCCTGGCTAACATGGTGAAACCCCATCTCTACTAAAAATACAAAAAATTAGCCGGGCGTGGTGATGGGTACCTGTAGTCCCAGCTACTTGGGAGGCTGAGGCAGGAGAATGGCGTGAACCTGGGAGGCGGAGCTTGCAGTGAGCCGAGATCGTGCCACTGCACTCCAGCCTGGGCAACAGAGCGAGACTCCGTCTCAAAAAATAAATAAATAAACAAATAAATAAATAAAAATAGTGCTGAGCTCGGAGGCAGGTGGGAACTACTTTTGTCTCTAGACTCATTGAATGTGACCCAGGTAGTCCTTGGTCAGTCTAATAGGGAATTCTGTGTCAGTCAAATTTCAGCTAGACCCTCCTCCTGTCCCCTCAAGACCCAGTTAAGATTGGCTCCAGAAAATTTTTAAAAAGTGGCCCTAGACTATTCAATAAATAGAGTTAGAAATTTGGTTACCCGTTCGAAAAAGAAAAAAGAAATCTTTACCTCACACTATCCACAAAAAATCAACTCTAGATGGATCAATAACTCAAAAAGTTAAAGTTAAAACCTTTAGGCCAGGCACAGTGGCCTATACCTGTAATCCCAGAACTTTGGGAGGCCAAAGTGGGAGGATCATTTGAAGCCAGGAATTCAAGACCAGCCTGGGTAACACAGCAAAACGTCATCTCTACAAGAAATACAAAAATTAGCTGGGCGTGATGGCACGTGCTTGTGGTTCCAGCTACTCGGGAGGCTGAGGGAGGATCACTTGAGCCCGGAAAGTCGAGGCTGCACTCAGCCATGATTGTGCCATCGTACTCCAGCCTGGGTGACAGAGCGAGTCCCTGTGTCAAAAAAAAAAAAAAAAGCCCCCAAACCCAGGCATGGTGGTTTGAGCCTGCAGTCCTAGCTACTCGAAAAGGTAAGGCAGGAGGATCACTTGAGTCTGAGAGTTCGAGGCTACAGTGAGCTATGATCTCACCACTGTACTCCTGCCTACGTGACAGAGCAAACTCTTTACAAATCAATTAACAAAAAGCTAAAAATTATAATAGGAAAATTAACAAAAGATATGAATAGGCATTTCACTGAAGAGAAAACATGTCTGGCTAATAAACATGAAGACATGTTTAACTTCCTTAACATTCAGAGAAATGCAGATAAGCCCCATAGTGAATATCATTTTACATCCATTGGTTGGCAAAAGTTAAACACTTTGGGATGGGTGCAGTGGCTCACGCCTGTAATCCCAGCACTTTGGGAGGCCGAGGCAGGTGGGTCACCTGAGGTCAGGAGTTTGAGACCAGCCTGGCCAACATGGTGAAACCCTGTCTTTACTAAAAATACAAAAATTAGCCGGGCATGGTGGTGTGCACCTGTAATCCCAGCTACTCAGGAGGCTGAGGCAGGAGAATAGCTTGAACCCGGGAGGGAGAGGTTGCAGTAGGCTGAGATCGTGCCATTGCACTCCAGCCTGGGTGAGAAGAGCAAAAATCTGTCTCAAAAAAAAAAAAGTTAAACACTTTGACAGTACAAAGGGGACAAAGGATATGGACCATGAGCTCTCTTTTGCTCAGTTTTTGGGAGTAAAAATTGGCACAACTACTTTAGAAAACAATTTGACATGTTCATGTCAAGCTGAACGTATATCTAACTAGAGTGGTTGAGTGACTTGCCCAAGGTTATAGCTAGTGCATTTCAGAGCTGGGATTTGAACCAAACTGACTGGCACCAAAGAAGGGCAAAGGACACTGATGAAACACTCCCAGACACTGGGGCAACGGCTGGCCAGGGCTGGAATATTCTGTGACCCCCACAGGGGAAAACTAAGTGAAATATCTGAAAACATCACAAACATAGACACACTATCACAGCCTCACAGGCAGAAAGGGAACTTACCAGGCATCTGGCCCTGACACAGCATGAGCTCTGGAATGATGATTGCGGGTACACTGCCCTCCCTCCCTTCGTTTAGCCACTGTGCAGAGTGAACACCCACAGGTCTCAGCATGTGACTCTCTTCTGCAAGAGTCAGCCCAGTGGGGAGACAGACACTCCGGAAACCTAGATATGTGCTGGGCTGGGTGGCAGTGCCACAGCTGGGCACTTTACTCCCCAACATAAATGTAGGCATTTCTGTGTCTTGTGAGCCCATGAATCCTCATAAGACCCTGTTGAGTTGGGAATTACTGCAGAGCTGTAACAGACAGAAAACCTAGGCCCACAGACAGCCAGTGACCTCCCATGGGCACACAGTTTGGGTGTGGCAGAGCGCGGTATGGAATCCAAGCCTTCTGGTGCTAAACCCTGCAGGATTCTGGCAGGTCACACTCCAGGCTCCCAAGCCAAGCAAGCGTTTGAAAATGCCTTCCCATGTCCAGTCGCGGTGGCTCACACCTGTAATCCCAGCACTTTGGGAGGCCAAGATGGGTGGATCACTTGAGGTCAGGAGTTGGAGAACAGCCTGGCCAACATGGTGAAACCCCGTCTCTACTAAAAGTACAAAAAAAATGAGCTGGGCGTGGTGGCACGTGACTGTGATCCCAGCTACTCAGGAGGCTGAGGCATGAGAATTGCTTGAACCCAGGAGGCAGAGGTTGCAGTGAGCCGAGATCATGCCACTGCACTCCAGCCTAGGTGACAGAGTGAGACCCTATCTCAAAAAAAAAAAACAAAAAAAAAACGAAAATGCCCCTCTGTGAGCCACAGGCTCTGCCCCTGCAGTGGGCTATCTACCTGTCCTAGCTTGCTTTCTTCCTCAGAAACAGATGTTTCATCCTCCTACCATTCTCTTGACTGACTCCACAATTGTGGCTAAGACAAACTGGGTGAATCACATCTAAAGCAGAAGCAAGTCTGCATGAACCCCAACACTTCCCCAGTCAATTTCCTGTGTTAGGTTCAGAGGGGTCATTTCAAACTCTCAGCATGTTCAAGACGAGACTGCCTATAAGGCCACGTCTTGGGACATGGTTTAGGGGAGGAGGTAGGAATATGTGGCAGGGCCCTCTGGCTATACGGATCTCCCTATCTGCTGGAAACTCCACCACTAAAACCATTCCTTTGTATCATTTCCCCAGAGGGATCTTGATAATTGTGAAACGCCAAACAACTTGCCAGCCATGAGTCCCAAATCACAGCTATGAAAGTGCTTTACAGTTTATAAAGTGATTTCACAGCGAAAAATGGGTTTGCTCCTCATAACAACTATGAAAGTTAGGGCAGCAATTTAAATGTGTCCATGGAATAGATGAGGACACTGAGTGAGGCCCTGAGAGGCAGAGGAATTCCTCTGCCAATCAGAGCCCACACTTGAATACAGGTCTTTCTACTCCACATTGCATGTACCCCTGATAACTGGGAGTTGCCTTGGGAGCAGATGCTGATGGGACACAAAACAGGCAGATTTTGATAAGAAGGCAGATGATGAGGTGGAAAGGCTCTGAAGAAAGAGGTGGATGGCAGAGCTTGGCTAGAGGGGAGCAGGACTCCCCAGGGAATCGAGGATCTGGGCAGGGGAAAGGGTAGCCTGGAAGCAGGGAGAGGTGGAGGATGAGCTCTGGGAGCCAGAACCTGAATTCTGTTCCGGCCCTGTTCTGAAGCCTGAGGGGCTGGAGTGGACTTCTCCTCTAGGATCTGTCTGCCCTGTCTGCTCTGAGGACCTGCCAGCTCTCCTGGGAGGCGCTCAGGGCATCTTGTGAGCCTGTCAGCACTGACCTTGTCACGCGGCTCATGACTGCTCCTCATCCGACCTCAGATGAGTCAAGAGGGGAAGCAGGCGCAAAGGGCTTCCAGGGGATTCCCGGGATGCAGGCAGCTTGGGGCCCTAGGGGAAAGAGCCTGGGGCTCTTCAAGGCTGGGCTATGAAGCCACCCTCCTCCCAGGGTTGAGGGGCAGTCAAAATATCCCCAAACCTAATGTGATTTCTCACCTGCCAAGTGGCAGCAGTGTGGCATCGGGGCATAAAAGCTGCTAACAGTGGGGAAAGGCCTGGCCCAGTGCCAAGCAGGCTGTGGGCGTCCCTAGAAGAATGAGCAGCGCAACTACAGCAGGAGTCCCAGGCCCTGGGCAGAGAGACACCCCTTTATCGAGACCTACTACCTGCCAGGCACTTTATTTATTGGTAAATTTAATCAGATTTTGAAAACCACAAAATCTGGATACATTTGCATTGTGGTATTTGTTGTAATTGTTGGATATAATTACATATACATGCTATAAAATATAAGATAGAACTAGAACAAGAGTTCTTAATCTGGCATCTAAGGGAACCCGAAAGATCAAAGGATAGAGTTCAAGGAGTCTAAAAATTTGGAAGAGAAAAAATATATATCTTTATTTTCACTAATTTCTACCTGAATTTTAGCATTCTCTTCAACGATGAATGTAGGCAACAAACCACAGCAGTATTAGCAGGACTCGTGATGATGTCACTAGCAATTACAAATATTTTCAAATCATATAACGGTTTTTGAAGATATTTCAAAATATGGTTTATACTCATCACTATTTCAAAATTACAGCAGTTATTGGACCTATTATTAGCTCTTGATCTTCAGGCATTAATTAGGAAGCACTATCTAGTACTATGTCGAAAAATTTTTTTTAATTGTTTGATGACTACATTTTAATACAACTGGTTTTCTTTGTAAGCCTATGCTAGTTTATTTTGTGCATTTCAGAACATTATTCTGAGAAGGGGTCTGCAAGTTTTTACCAGATGACAAAGGAGGCCATGGCACACACAAAAGAGGTTAAGAACCCCTGATCTAGGTCTTCCCTGCAGTATTTTAGGATATATCCACATTTTAAAAATGTGGATTTTGGCCGGGTGCGGTGGCTCACTCCTATAATCCCAGCACTTTGGGAGGCCAAAGCAGGTGGATCACTTTAGCCCAGGAGTTTCAGACCAGCCTGGGCAACATGGCAAAACCTCATCTCTCCAAAAATTATAAAAAATTAGCCAGGCATAGTGGCATGCACTTGTAGTCCCAGCTACTCAGGGGACTGGGGTTAGAGGATTGCCTTGAGCCCAGGAGGTTGAGGCTGCAGTGGGCCATGATTGTGCCACTGCACTCCAGTCTGCTGGGTGACATGAGACCCTGCCTCAAAAACAAAAAAATAACAAAAAAAAGCCGGGCACAGTGGCTCGTGCCTGTAATCCCAGCACTTTGGGAGGCTGAGGCGGGTGGATCACCTGAGGTCGGGAGTTCGAGACCAGCCTGGCCAACATTGTGAAACCCCATTTCTACTAAAAATACAAAAATTAGCCGAGCATTGTGGTGCATGCGCCTGTAGTCCCGGCTACTCGGGAGGCTGAGGCAGGAGAATTGCTTGAACAGGGGAGGTGGAGGTTGCAGTGAGCCAAGATTGCGCCACTGGACTCCAGCCTGGGTGTGACAGAGCAAGGCTCTGTCTCAAAAAAAAAAAAAAAAAAAAAAGATTTTGATTTTTTAAAGACAATTTTCCAGTCACATCAGAAAGTTGAGTGCTGATCTGATTATTTCACTTAATTGCATAAAATTCAACTCTGTGACATCCCTGGACAGTGAGCAACCCACAGCTCCTCAGTTGAAAAGTCTTCCCCCAGAAAAGGCATATACATTGTTTAACTTAAAAGCTGCATGTTGGCCGGGCGTGGTGCCTCACGACTGTAATCCCAGCACTTTGGGAGGGCGAGGCGGGTGGATCGCGAGGTCAGGAGTTTGAGACCAGCCTGGCCAACATGGTGAAACCCCGCCTCTACTAAAAATACAAAAATTAGCTGGGCATGGTGGCAGGTGCCTGTAATCCCAGCTACTGGGGAGGCTGAGACAGGAGAATCGCTTGAACCCTGGAGGTGGAGGTTGCAGTGAGCTGAGATTGTGCCATTGCACTCTAGCCTGGGGGACAAGAGTGAGACTTTGTCTCAAAAAAAAAAAATGCATGTTTTTCTTCATACTTATGTCTAATCATCATAATTAGACAATGTCGTAAGAAGAATAGTTAAAGGACTATTCTGGCCAAGGGCCTTTTGGCCAGAAAAAAGGCTGGCGGTAGAGGGCTGGGGGAGAGGACACAAGACAGCTATCTTGTTCTTATGAAGGGCGGCCCTTACATTCCTGTGTGCAGATCTGGAAGCCCGACAAGGACTCATGGTTTGAAATCAGGACTCCAGGCCAGGCGCGGTGGCTCACGCCTGTAATCCCAGCACTTTGGGAGGCCGAGGCAGGCGGATCACGAGGTCAGGAGATCAAGACCATCCTGGCTAACACAGTGAAACCCCATCTCTACTAAAAAATACAAAAAATTAGCCGGGTGTGGTGGCGGGCACCTGTAGTCCCCGCTACTGGGGAGGCTGAGGCAGGAGAATGGCATGAACCCAGGAGGCGGAGCTTGCAGTGAGCCGAGATCGCACCACTGCACTCCAGCCTGGGTGACAGAGCAAGACTCCGTCTCAAAAAAAAAAAAAAAAAAAAAAAGAAATCAGGACTCCAGGCGAATGTCCATATAGTTTCTCTTCTCTCTTTCAGCCACTTCTCCCGGGGCCTTGGGTCCCCCTGCTGGCTCCCCTCCCTTCTATGGAGATGTGCTCTGGGAGAAAGGCCATGAGAAAGAAGCTGGTGTTGAGGACAGAGTGGCTGACCCAAAGCGGAGTTGGTTGGGATGCTGGCCAGGGGACTGCCCACAGGTGTGGTTGAGAACCCATCACCATACCTCCTTGAGTTTCAGTCTCCCCAGCTGTAAAATGAGGACAATGATATCTGCTCTTAGTTGGCAGGCACTAAATGAGATGGTAAATGAGAAAATATTTGTGGTACAAGGTCACAAGGATCAAAAACTCCCTCACACTCAGGTATAGGTGACTGATAATCCTTCAAGGATAGCTTTTCGCAGTAGGCTAAGCCATGTAAATAGAAATAACTATTTCTTTTTTTTTTTTTTTTTTGAGATGGCGTCTTGCTCTGTCACCAGGCTAGAGTGCAGTGGCGTGATCTCAGCTCACTGCAACCTCTACCTCCTGGGTTCAAGTGATTCCCCTGCCTCAGCCTCCCCAGTAGCTGGGACTACAGGCACGCACCACCACATCTGGCTTCACCATGTTGGCCAGGATGGTCTCAATCTCCTGACCTCGTGATCCACCCACCTCGCCTCCAAAAGTGCTGGGATTACAGGCATGAGCCACCATGCCTGGCCAGAAAATAACTATTTCTATGTAAATTGGGGATCAAGTCTAGGTCGAAGGACTGACTTTCTTTTCCAATGGTGAACTCCCCTTCACGTGGATGGGAGAAATAGCACAGTTTCAGAATCAAACACTTCTGGGGTTGAATCCTAGCTCCCCCATGTCCTACATCTGGCCTTAAGCAAGATGGTTCACTTCTTTGAGACTCACTTTATCATCTGTTAAGTGGGGATAATAACAGAACACACCCCCCAGTGCTGTTGTGAAGATTAAATAAAATCCTCTGTGAAGAGCACTCAGCCCAGAGGTATGGGAAGACACACCTCAAAAATGTTTATTAGGCCAGGTGTGGTGGTTCACGCCTGTAATCCCAACACTTTGAGAGGCCGAGGCAGGAGGATTGCTTGAGCCCAGGAGTTTGAAACTGGCCTGGGCAACCCCATCTCTGCAAAAAGTAAAAAAAATTAGCCAGGTGTGGTGGTGCATGCCTATAGTCCCAGCTACTCCGGAGGTTGAAGTAGGAGGATTGCTTGAGCCCAGGAAGTTGAGGCCACAGTGACCGGAGATTGTGTCAACTGCACCCCAGCCTGGATGACAGAGCAAGACCCTGCCTCAAAACAAAAAAAAGTTTATCTATATATATGATCATGATTATTCAGGATCCAAATCCTACTGAGTGAGTGAATGGGCCATGAGTAATTTAAGGTGGGCTGGGCCGCCCCAAGTGCTAGTGTAGTAAGGGGGCTGCAGGTAGATGGAAGTCCCTCCAAACCCTTCCCCCACCACAGGGCTTCCTCCTGAGAGGGAACACACTGCCCCACAGGCCCTTTTGTGTCAGGCCTTAGAGTGTGTGTACTCGGCCTCCATGATGGCCTCCTCTTCTGGAGCTGACCCCAGACCGCAGGGTCAGCTGGCAAGGGCCCTGGCTCTGTGACCTCTTTCAGTCCCTTGCGCCCAAGAAGCTCGCAGGCTGCCAGGCCCGATGCTCAGCTGCATGGAACTGGCCCCCTTGGCCAGGCCTGGAGGCCCAGGAGGGAGGGCCCCAGAGTATAGCTGCCTCCTCAGGGAGCCCCAGAGTCTCCCTCCGGTCAGATGGCTCCTCAGACAATGAGCAAGGCTGAAACTGAGCTGGACAGAGGAGAATAGGAACCAGGACCTAAAACAAGGAGCTAAAACTGAGAGCGGAAGGGCACCCACAAAGGCCAAGTGGGGAGCTTCAAGACCTCGTCAGAGCTGACTCCAGGGGCTACAGCTCACACTTCTGAGGCCTGCCTTTCCTCCTTCACACACACACACACACACACACACACCACACCAGGGCCGAGAGCTGCATGACCCCTAGAGCAGTGATCCCCAACCTTTTTGGCACGAGGGACCAGTTTCATGGAAAACACTTTTTCCATGGACCTGGGGGTCAGGGGGTGGGGGGCAGTTTCATCAGGCATTCGATTCTCATAAGGAGCGCACAACCTAGATCCCTCACAAGTGCGGTTCACAATAGGGTTCTTGCTCCTATCAGAATCTAATGCGGCTGCTGATCTGAGAGGAGGTGGAGCTCAGGCGATAATGATCGCTAGCTGGACACTGACCTCCTGCCAGGTGGCCTGGGGTTTGGGAACCCCTGCCCTAGAGGGACCAGATAGGAGGGGCCACCTCAGGAATCACCCTGTGTTTGCAAACCAGCATGGCCAGAGGCCACTATTTACTGCCACTGACCAAGGGTCCTCCAGTACTGTTTCTAAAGTTTCAGCCATTCATGTATCACTTTCCAGATTTTTGCTATTTAAACTATTATCCATTTAATATTTTCCTTTAAATCAATTCCTTTTAAAACTTAGCCTAGTCGCATCCAGACATGGTAGTTGACATCTGTAATCCCAGCACTTTGGGAGGCTGAGGTGGGTGGATTGCTTGAGCTCAGGAGTTTGAGACCAACCTGGGCAACATGGCAAAACCCAGTCTCTACCAAAAATACAAAAATTAACTGGGTGTGGTGGTGCATGCCTGTGGTCCTAGCTACTTGGGAGGCTGAAGTAGGAGGATCACTGGAGCTTGTGAAGTTGAGGCTGCAGTGAGCTGTGATTGCACCATTACACCCCAGCTTAGGTAACAGAAAAAGACCCTGTCTCAAAAAAAAAAAAAAAAATTAAAAAACAAACAGGCCAGGTGTGGTGGCTCATGCCTGTAATCTCAGTACTTTGGGAGGCCAAGGCAGGTGGATCACTTGAGGTCAGGAGTTCAAGACCAGCCTGGCCAACATGGCAAAACACCGGCTCTACTAAAAATACAAAAATTAGACAGGCATGGTGGCAGGCGCCTGTAATTCCAGCTACTTAGGAGGTTGAGGCAGGAGAATTGCTTGAACTCGGAGGTTGCAGTGAGCCAAGATTATGCCACTGCACTTCAGCTTGGGTGACAGAGCAAGTCTCTGTCTCAAAAAATAAAAATAATATAAATAAAAAACAAAAAACTTAGCCTAGTCACAGGGCATAATTTCTGTGAAATCATGAATTTGATGAGTTTATTAATTTTGTCCTGACTTATATTTGGATCAATATATTGTTGAAGTAATGATAATTTTATTTTTTAAATTTTGTATATTTATTTATGTTAGAGACAGGATCTCACTGTTGCCCGGGCTGGTGTGCAGTGGCGTAATCATAGCTCACTGTAGCCTTGAACTCCTGAGCTCAAGCAATCCTCTCACCTCAGCCTCCCAAGTAGCTGGAACTACAGGCATGCCCCAACACACCTGGATAATTTTTAAGATACTCTTGTAGAGACAGGGTCCTGACCTCAAGCAACCTTCTGCCTTGGCTTCCCCAAAGTGTTGGGATTACAGGTGTAAGTCACCATGTCCGGCTGTAATAATCTTAAAACCAATTCAACCACATATCACCTAAACTCACCTTGTGGACTGTATTTTTTTAATTAAAAATTTGTGGTTATTTATTTATTTATTTATTTTATGTATTTATTCTTTTTGAGATGGAGTCTCGCTCTGTCGCCCAGGCTGGAGTGCAGTGGCGCGATCTCGGCTCACTGAAACTTCCACCTCCTGGGTTCAAGTGATTCTCCTGCCTCAGCCTCCCGAGTAGCTAGGATCACAGGCGTGTGCCACCATGCCCGGCTAATTTTTGTATTTTTAGTAGAGACGGGGTTTCACTATGTTGGCCAGGCTGGTCTTGAACTCCTGACATCAGGTGATCTGCCCGCCTTGGCCTCCCAAAGTGCTGGGATGACAGGCATGAGCCACTGTGCCCAGCCTAATTTTTAAAATTTTTAGAGGGGTCTCTCTATGTTCCTCAGGCTGGCCTTGATCTCTTGGGCTCCAGCAATTCTTCTTTAGCCTCCCAAGTAGCTGGGACTATAGGCATGGGCCACCATAGTCTGGCTCTAGGTTTTAAATTCATCTTGGGGTCCACATTTTGGGAAACCACTCAGTGGAGAGAACAAAGATTTTGGGGGTTATACCATACAGGTCTCACTACTTTCTAGCCGTGTTACCTTGGGAAAGTAATTTACCTCTCTGGGCTTCAGTTTTCTTTTCTGTAAAATGGGATCCTCTCACAGCTGTGGTGGGAAATGGGAGTGAGTACTGAGGATGGCCTTGGCCATAGTAGCTTTCTTCCTTCTCCTGGATCCTCCCTCCATCCCAGCAGAGTAACTTTGCCTGGAAGCCTGGTCTCTCTAGCTTTCTTCCTAACCACAGGGAGCTATTGCATTTCAGGGTATCTTACTCTAAAGGCATGCTGGGAGGAGGTGAGCACTCCTTTGCTACCTGTCCTGGAGTTGACCAAGCCCAGGGGGAAGTGCCTCCTGGTGTCCAGCCTAAGTCCCCTTGCTGCAAAGTCAGTTCCTGCTCTTGTGTTCTGTTCTCAGTGGATGTGGGAATTAGTTAGAGACCCTCCTCAGAGGGGCAGCCTGATGATATGGAAAGGCTTATAGGACGCTGGGTTCAATCCTGGCACTCCCACTGTCTTGCTGTATGCCCTTGAGTGGGTACTCAATGCCTCTCTCTAGGTGTGGGTTTGCTCATCTGTAAAATGAGGAGGCCAGTTTTGACTGTGAACCCAGCCCTCTTCCCCACTTCCCCTCTCCCATTGCAGATGGGATGGGTAGAAGGGGCAGGGGCTCCTGCCTTTTCCTACTGAGCAACTAATTTGTGTTTCTCCTCTGGTCAAGGATGTGGGAACTGGGAGGGAGCAGGGCAGTGTGGGATGGTGGAGGAGAAGAAGTTGCTGATGAGAGTGGGAGGCTGGCTGCCACTAAGCCCTTCCCTACTGGAAACTCCTTCCCTGTCCCCTCCCCCAGACAACCTCAGGAAAGGGTCTAGGTGTTTCCACAGTGGTCTAGGAAGGGCTAGACCAATGTGGAGTGGACGACATGCCTGGTGTCTCCCTCTGGAGAGTGCACTCTGGATACTAATCTGAGTCTCCAAAAAGGAGAAAGGGTTAGGGATCATTTGGTCTCACCTTCCCTCCTGCTTTTACAGAAAGGGAACCAGAGAGGTATAGTGACTTGTTTATGTCATGCAGTGACTTGACAGCACAGTGGGACATGAACTTGGAGTCTTGGATGTGCAGTCCTGATCTTGCTCCCAGCACTGCTCAGGGAAGACATTCTTCCTGCTCTGCCTTCCCACCTCTCCTCCCAGGCTCCTGTGATCCCCACAGGGAGAGCTAGAGCTTCTATAAAAACTGCTGTAATTGATTCTTAACAGGAAGTGAGGGCTTTTTCACTTTGAGTTGACAACCACAGCAGCTACACACACACACACACACACACACACACACACACACACAAACACACACACAAACACAGACATACAGTTAAGGTTTAAATATCTGTCCCCTCTGAAACTCATGTTGAAACTTATTCCCCAATGTGGCAGTAGTGAAAAGTGGGATCTTCAAGAGGTGATTGGGCCATGAGGACTCTGCCCTCATGAATAGATTAATTCATTCATGGATTAATGGATTAATGGGTTCATGGATTAATGGGTTATCACGGGAATTGGACTGTTGGCTTTATAATAAGAGGAAGAGAGATCTGAGCTAACATGCTCAACCCCATCACCATGTGATGCCCTTCAGGGCCTCAGGACTCCGCAGAGTCCCCACCACCAAGAAGGACCTCACAAGGTGCAGCCCTTCAACCTTGGACTTCTCATTCTCCAGCACTGCAAGAAAGAATTCCTTTTCTTTATAAATTACCCAGTTTCAGGTACTCTGTTACAAATAACAGAAAACCGACTAAGACACACACACCCCAAGTTTGTACACAACCATGTGCACACACACAGTCACTTGCCCATACTCCTACGCATTCAGGCACCCAGCTGGGAACACAGCGTGCCTTTCTTTCTAGTGCCACAAGATACCCATTTATAGGCTTCCAGCTTGTGCCCTCTGACCTGCCTTACATTTTGATAGTAGAGGGTGGATTTGAGGGGGAAGAGCAGAGACCACAAGACCAGGCAGGGTTTCCTCAGTGGCTGCACTGCAGGGATTCAATGGGCAGCAAAGGCCCCCACACCCCAGGCTGGGCCTCATGGCTGAGACTCATCAGTCTTGGGCCTGGAGGGGCTGCTCTCAGTCTAACAGGCCTGACTGACAGGGAAACCACCAATTTGTCATTGGGTTCCAATCCCGAGTAGCTGGGATTACAGGCGTGCGCCATGACGCCTGGCTAATTTGTTTTGTATTTTTAGTACAGATGGGGTTTCACCATATTCGCCAGGCTGGTCTCAAACTCCTGACCTCAGGTGATCTGCCCGCCTTGGTCTCCCAAAGTCCTGGGATTACAGCCGTTAGCCACCTCACCCGGCCAGACAAATGTTTGTTGCATGAATGTCTTGCCCCTCACATCTGTGTTCCGTCCAGCCTTCCTCGCCTCTCCTTTTTCTTGGTGCCCTGGCTGTGGCCACAGTACTTTCCTAGGAGGAGGCCTATGCAGGCGCGTAAGGAACTCGGTGAAGGAGTCAGGGCCCCCAACTCGGCTCTCGCGAGCTTGCTGTGTGACCTCAGGCCAGTCACCTCCCCTCTTCTGGCCTGGGTTTCCACACCTGCACAATGGGAACAGCAACCTCAGCTGCCTGCCGTCTCTGACGTGAGGGCCAAATAAGAAAAGGTGAGAAGCTGGTCGCAAAGCGGTAAAAAAAGCCTTCAGCGCCGAAGCCGGGGAGGAAGCCGCTGATGAAGCTATTGCTGAGAAGTGTGAAGCCCCCACCCGAGGATCCGCTTTTGAAGAGGGACCCGGGGAACGCGTAGGGGGAAACTGCCTTCCTCTTCCCTCAGTGGAAAGGGCTGTGCTCATGTCACTGTGAAACGAAGCTATTTTTATGTAGTACAACTGCGATTATGACAGGGCCTCTTCCTGAAGGGGAAGGGTGGGGAGGAGACCTGAGTCATCAGTGGGGCGGCCGGCCCCACAGGCTGACACAGGCAGCTTGTGGAAACCAGGCCCCCCGCCCTGCCTTCCGCAGGTAGAGGCCCCAGAGAGGGGAAGGGGCCGACCACCTGCTCCCGAGCCATTCTCGGGCTCGGCCAGCCATTGGGCTGGGAACCTGTCAATCCTGGTTGATCTTCCAATGAGCTGTGAACTGGTCTTCCGGGAGGACTTACAGGAGGCTGGAAACGGGGCCTGGCGCGCGCTTCCCTCTCAGTGCGAGGCTGACTGGTTGGACTCGCCGGGCTCTACTGTGGGCCCCACGCTATGTTTAGACGCCCGACGTGTCCCATTTTATTGAACTCGTCCTGCCCCCCAAGTAGGGACGATTTACCTCCATTTTCTAGATAAGGCACTGGGGGCTCCGCGAGGGGATGTGGCGGACTGGAGCCCAGCTGCACTCCTGACGGGACTGAATGCGGGGCTGAGGGAGGCAACAGGAAGAATGAGTATTTTCTTTACTGGAAGGGCAGGGAAAGGTTTCTCTCAGAAGGTGACATTTGAGCTGGGCCCTAAACAATGAGCAGGATTTAGCTGTCTTGAGGAGGGGGAGAGGGAAGGGCATGTGACCCGGAAAGGATGCAGCCTGGGCAAAGGCAGGGAGGTGTGCATGGCTTGTTTGGGGGTGTCGAGCAGGTCGGGGGGGCTGGGTGGGGAGTGGCCGCGGGGCGTAGGTAGGGGAGGGCCTGGCATGACAGGCTAAGGGGTGTAGGCTCCTTGGGGTTCCTTCAGCGCTGTGCAAGCCCTGAGCATCCTCCCAGAGGTGTGGCCCTGCAGAGAGAGGGGAGGGAGCCCACTGGGGGAGGCGAGCTGAAGGAGTGGCCTGTCAGGTGGGTTTCCTGCCCTGGAGCCTGAGCTCAGGCAGTGGCTGCCGTGCCCCGCCGCCGCCCTCTTCTGCCGCCTCCTCCACGCCAGCACTTTTGCATGCAGTACTCCCTTCAGTCGTCACAGCCACCTGCAAGGTGAATATTACCACCTTTATTTCATAGGGGAGGTAACAGGTTTAGAGAGGTTAGAGGAGCCGCCCCAGGTCACACAGCCCCTCTTGATATTCTTCAACAAAAGAATCCTCTCTGACCCCTGCTCTCAGTCAACGGAACAACCAACAACCTCCTTCCTTCAGAGAAATAGGGACCCTGAGGCTGCAACCCAACTGTAATCATCTGCCTCCAGGCACCCTCTGCACAGACTCAGCTGTTAAATATAGATGGCCGCTTAGAGATCCTTTTGTTCTCTTTACATATTACAGATGGGGAAACTGAGGCCTAGTGAGGAAGAGACTTGCTTGGGGCCCCACAAATGGACCTAGATTGGCGAGCCTCTTTTGAGCCAGAGTCTCACTGGGGTTCTAGCCCAGCTGGGAAGTTGAGCAAAGAGGGATAAGTGGGTTACAGCTCAAGGACTGGGGGTGCCTTGGGGCTTCTAGGAGATGAGAGCCGAAAGGCATTCAGCCCTTTAACCCCACTCCAGAGCTTCAGACTGTTCCTTCTCAAGACACTTTACTGCCATCTGTCTGAAAAGTGTGCTAATAAATATGCAAATTTTGGTGACTTGAGAGGACTGGTGTCCTCTTGAGTTGTACAGGGCACAATTTGCAGATTTGTGAGTGATCACCAAGCCCCGAAGATGCAGCGAGGTCTCTGGCAACTCCCTTTCTCAGTCCCTTCTCTATTCCTCTCTTCTTCTTTGTCCCTCTCAGACTGGGACTGGGGGTGGGGGCAGGGGGGGGATTTCCTACTAGGGTGGGAGGAAGAAGGGTGAAGGAAGTAGGGTAGGAGGAGGGGAAGTGTGGAGGACAACAGAGGGAAAGGGTAGAACTTATTTCTGCTGTCAGAAACCGAAACCAAAAGTCCTGGCAGGAGTTAATGTGAGAGGGAGGTCTGTAGCAAGAGGCTGAGGAGCAAAGCCTTCACATCTGAGGACAGCAGCCCTGTCAGAGACACCCTGGCTGCAACCTCGGTGTCACTTAGACCAGGGCTTGCCTCTCATGCTGACAAGAAGCATGCAAAGGCAGTCTGTTTTCTCTGGGGATACCAAAGGCCCCTCCAGACCTTACAGTGCCCAGCACTGGTGTTAGGATCACTGCTGGAAAGGGGAGGGGGCACTAACTCAAGTCACCATGTCATCTAATAGCCCAAGAGTGGGTGACCCTTTGTCTTGTCTGGTATTAGTCTGTGTGGACCTGCATACACCCATGAGGCTGAGGCTGGGGGCAGCCGGCATCTGTGTGTCTAGCATAATGGGGATCCTCTTTCCCCAAGTCAAGCTTAGGACGTGTGGTATAACATAGATTTTTGTGATCCACCTGGCTGTGAGAGGTCATTTAGGTGCCACAATAATGGATTCTTTGGGGCACTTCATACTCTATTATAACAATAGGAGAAAATGTTTGCAACTTGGACTTGTCTTTTAAAATTCAGATTGTGTGGCCACTATTTCTTGTGAACTTTGTGATTCAACGAGCCAATTGTGTACTGGGAACCCAGATGGTGCCCCTCCCTTGAGGCTTGCTGGGTCCTCTGTGTAGGGATAGACTCTGTTCCGGGCGCCGTGGCTCCCAGTTCCAGACTGGCAGCCCTTTGAGCGGCTGAAACTTTAATTCATCTTTGTATCTCCCATGATGATAGGAACCTCCTGTCTCCTCAGGGGTTCTCAGAGTGTGAGTTTCTGGCTTCTCCATTCATCCCTCTGAGGCTGACATATCTGTGCTGGCTTCACAGAGGCAGAGAAGAATGGGGAGCATGCAGGGGAGGTGGACTGATGGATCAGGGCACAGGGGAACCTGGCTCCACCATTTCCCAGCCCTGAGGCCTTGGACAAGTTACATTTCTGAGTCTCAGTTTCTTCATCTGTAAATGGGGATGATTTAAATAGTTGACTTTTACTGAGCATGTTCTCTGGGTCAGGCACTGCGTTAAGCATATTGCAGGCAGACTTATTCAGAAAGCATTTATGAGGGCCTCCAATGTGTAAGGAACACCACAGTGTCAGAAGGAGAGGCTTGAAGAAGATAGGTGACTGGCCAAGGTCACATGCAGGTGAAGGAGTGGCAGAACTTGTACCCCAGAGCCCACTCTTATAACGAGCCCTCTGTATTGGATGGCCCCAGCAGACCCGAGAGGACAGGCCAGTGGAGAGCTCAGCATGGAGTCAGGTGGGGGAGACTCCTCTGTTCTCAGTGGAGGCCAGGCCCAGCTGTCCTGGAAGGAGCTAGAAGCCTGAATTCAGGTTGTGGAGCAGTGAGAGTCCAGCCCCACACAGGATGCCATGGGAGGAGGCCCTTCAAACCGGGATTCTGAAAGAACACATCCAATAGAAGGGGCAAGGGCTGCTGAGGGCCCTGAGGAGGGGGCGTGGGCTACCCATGAGCAGGCCCTTCACTCGTGGCCTCAGCTGCCCCTGCAGAAGGCTGGAGCCTGAGAGGAAGCCAGCCAAGTGAGCGGTGGAGGAGGAAGCTGGTCACATTCAGTTCTGGCTGACTCACGGGATCTGGGCTGAAGGACATATGTCTGGGAGTGCCCCAGAAAATATCTCACTGATATGGGAGATTTACTGGACTGCCTTTGGGGATTAGGCGTAGCCTCCCTTCCCTGCACCCCAGGGAGTGAATCCACTTCCCCACCCCTACCAGTGACCTCAGGCAGATGGCCCCAGGTAGAGAAAGCTGTGATTTGGTCAAGGACTCCTCTTGGCAGAGGCTGGCAGACCTCTAGGCCAGCCAGAGGAGATGGGCCTGCAGTGCACAGCCCCAAGGACTGGACACGTGTACACACAGCACCCAGAGGGACAGGATGTGAGGGCCAGGCTGGGCAGATGCAGGGAAGCCTTGAAGCCACCCTTGCTCTTCTCCTCTACACCCCAAGTCCTCAGTCAACCCTGTTGGCTCCAGCTCCACAGTACAAGCCTCTTCTGGTTCCTTTCCCACTGTCTTTTGAGCCTCCCCTTTACCAGCCTCCCTGCTTCTACCCTTGACCCAGAGTCTGTTCTCAACACTGCAGCCAGAGTGATAGTGTTAAAGATCACATCACTTCTGGGTTCATTCCAGTGGGCCGTCATCCACCCCAACTTCACCAAGAGCAAATGCCAAGCCCCCACCTCCCAAAACATACCTCTTAGATACTATTTCCTACTCCTCTCCCCATTCCTCACTCTGCAACAGCCACTCTGGCTTTCTTGCTTTTTTTCAAATAGCCCAGGCACAGCCTCCCACCCCAGGCCTTTGTACTGTCAGTTCCCTGTGCCCTGAACACTCTTTTCTTAGACATCGGCATGGCATACCACCTTACTGCCTTCCAGCCTGCTCAAATATCACTGTATTTCTCAGCATTCAAATTAGCATTATTTCAGGACTATTTTCAAAGGTGTGGACAGGCTGTAAGGAAACCCTAAGGGAGAGTGCAGTGCCCAGGTTCAGTAGCATGGGGCATTTTTGCTACTCCCAGGCCTGGCAGAAGGGCGAGGAGGAGGGAAAGACATGGCTGGTGGAAGGAAGGACAGAATTGTGGGAGAGGGCCACCTGACCAGAGCTGTGACCTGCAAGGAGGGAGCCAGGGGGATAAAAACCTCCCCCGCCTGTCTAAGCTCTCCTGCGAGGCTCATTGGCTGAATCCAGCCAGAGCCAGGACACAGTCCTTCAGGTCAGCCTTTTCTGGGGATCTGGAGGGCAAATGGAAGTTCCCTAGCACGGTTGCTTTCTTGGGAAATGTGACTGCTCCCCACCCCCAACTCCCAAGTCCTCTTACCTTGCCCTGTTTTTTCCCCATGGCACTTTTCTTCTAACATATTTACATATTATGATTATTTTTATTGTCTGTTAGCTCCAGGAGGGTAAGAATTTCAGTCTCTGTTATTTTTTGTTGTACCCCAAGTATCTAGAACACTGACTGGCACATTGTTGACAATAATTGTTGAATAAACAAATGCCTACTCAATCTCTCTGGGCATTTTGGGGAAAGCCTTTGGTGCCCAACTGGGCCCCTGCCTGGGGAAGGAGTGGGTTGATGCTGCAGACTGGGGTTCCAGGATTGGAGAGAAGCCAGCAGAGCCCCAGCTGGGAAGGAAGGAGAGCCTGCAGGGCTCTGCCCACAGCAGCCGCCCATTCCTGTGGCTCCCACAGCAGATCCCTGCCACTCTCCAAGGCTGTGACTTTGAGACTGGTAGGATTTTCCTTGGCAAATGCATCACTCTGCTCGGTCTCTCCAACAAGGCACCACTATGTGAAATCTCCTACCTCATGAATTAGCTCTTTGAAGGCACATCTGGTGCCTTTCCTGGGCCTCTAAGGAATGTTTTCTTCAAGGAGTTCTGGACTCACCCTGCAATGGAAAGTCCAGGAGTTGTAGGCTTGGGGGCTGTGTTCTGAGCCTCCCTGACAAGGCCTTGGATTCCTAGGTACATGGCATTGTGGGGCTTGTCTGACCCCAGGGCTGTCCTTGGTTCATTCTTGGGCTCCTTCCCTCAAAGGTGCCCAGGAATGCTGGGGACTTCCTGAGATGGCACCATCATCCCCTCACTAAGACTTGATGTCCTATGGGAGTGAAGACTCAAAACAACACAAAGCCCAGCCTTGTACTCCAGTTGTAAGGTTGTGCATTTTCTTAAATGGATCTATAAACTGAAAGTGATTTAAATCAAAACAATAGGATTTGAGGAGGGTGCCTTGGAAAATAATATTAATCTGGAAAAATAAACATTTGAGACTAGCAGGAAAATTCTGAAAAACAACAGGAACACACTACATAAAATCCAGAGTCTCGGCCGGGCACAGTGGCTCACGCCTGTAATCCCAGCACTTTGGGAGGCTGAGGTGGGTGGATCACGAGGTCAGCAGATTGAGACCATCCTGGCTAACACGGTGAAACCCCATCTCTACTAAAAATACAAAAAATTAGCCAGGCACGGTGGCGGGTGCCTGTAGTCCCAGCTACTCAGGAGGCTGAGGCAGGAGAATGGCGTGAACCCAGGAGGCAGAGCTTGCAGTGAGCGGAGATCGTGCCACTGCACTCCAGCCTGGGCGACAGAGCGAGACTCCGTCTCAAAAAAAAAAAAAGAAAATCCAGAGTCTTGCTCTGTCGCCAGGCTGGAGTGCAGTGGCGCGATCTCCACTCACTGCAACCTCCACCTCCTGGGTTTAAGTGATTCTCGTGCCTCAGCCTCCCCAGTAGCTGGGATTACAGGCACACACCACCACACCCAGCTAAATTTTGTATTTTTAGTAGAGATGGGGTTTCACCATGTTGGGCAGGATGGTCTCAATCTCCTTACCTTGTGATCCACCTGCCTTGGCCTCCCAAAGTGCTGCGATTACAGGCGTGAGCCACTGTGCCTGGCCAAAATCCAGAAATCTTAAAGTAAAAGGTTGATAATTTGAACCTGTAAAAATTTAAAACCTAAATTGAGAAAATTGTCAAAAAACAAAGTCAAAAGTCCACACACTGTGGAAAACTATTTGTAACATAATATCAGATAAAAGCTACTCAGGAGGCTGAGGCAGGGGAATTGCTTGAACCCAGGAGGCAGAGGTTGCAGTGAGCTGAGATCATGCTACTGCACTCCAGCCTGCCAACAGAGCAAGACCCTAGCTCAAAAAAAAAAAAAAAAAAAAAAGCTACTCTTTTTAATATATACATTTTATAAATCAATATAAAAAAGTCCAACCAAATTTTAAAATGGGTAAAATATATAGACAGACAATTCACAAGAAAAAATAAAATTTAATGAACAGCAAATACGTGAAAAGATACTTACCTTCACCCATAATTAAAGAAATGCATGAAAGAATGACAATGAAATACAGTACCATTTTCAGCTGCTAGATCAGCATGAATTGAAGTGTTTTACAATGTATGGTGTTGGTGAGGGTGTGGGGAAGGACAATCTAGTGCATCATTGCTGGGAATGTAAATTGACCAATATTTTGGAGGGCAATTTGGAAATAACTATTATGGTAGAGTAAAAGTGGTCACAAGTTCTCTGATGTGCCTTCCATGGAGAGGTGGGGTCTATGTCCCCTTTTCTTGAATTTGGGTTGGACCGTGAATTCCCTGGTCAATAAAATACAGCAAGTGATACTGTCTCAGTTGCAAGTGTATCCCTTAGATTGTCCAGCAGGTTCCATATCCTCCCTCTTGGAAGCCAACTACCTGGTTACCTGACCTGCATTATCTAATGTTCACATGCTGTAAAAAGCCCAAACCATGTGGGGAATCCCTACAGGATATGACACCACATGTTTAAAGAGCAGTCAAGGAGCACTGAGGCCCCAGTCATGTGAGCGATGAAGCCACCTTGGAAGAGAATCACAGATGAACCATCCGGCTGAGCCCTTCCCAAAATCCCTGACCCACAAAATCATGAACAATATAAAATATTTTTTTTTTTTTTGAGACCGAGTCTCACTCTGTTGCCCAGGCTAGAGTGCAGTGGCATGATCTATGCTCACTGCAACCTCCAGCTCCCTGGTTCAAGCGATTGTCCTGCCTCAGCCTCCCGAGTAGCTGAGATTACAGGTGCACACCACCATGCCCAGCTAATTTTTGTATTTTTAGTAGAGAAAGGGTTTCACCCTGTTGGCCAGGATGGTCTCAATCTTCTGACCTCGTGTTCTGCCCGCCTCGGCCTCCCAAAGTGCAGGGATTACAGGCGTGAGCCACCACACCTGGCCAAAATGGTTGTTTTTGAGCACTAAATTTTGAGATAGTTAGTTATATAGCAATAGATATCTGGAACATCTATTCAAATTTAAATGTACCCATTGATCCAGCAATTGCACTTTTATGAATCTAAGCTACTGAAATAGTTGTACAGGTGCACAAAAACATACACACAAAGTTCATTGCAGCACTGTTTATAATAGCACAAGACTGGAAATAATCTCTATGTCTATCATTAGGGTGATGGCTAAATGAATTCTAGTATATCTAGCTAATGATATACAGTACGCCAGCTGAAATTCTGAGACAAGGAAAAGTCCCATTTGAGGTCCTGTGAGCCTAGGGTGATATAACACAGTGGTTAAGGGCAGAGAACCTGGCTTTGCCATTTACTGTCTGTGTGAATTTGGGGAAGTCACCTGTCTATACCACAATTTCCTCATCTGTAAGATGTGGAGGATAATCATAGTACCTACTTCAGAGGGCTGTGGTGAAAAATAAACAAGTTAATATGACAATATGATATATATCTGTGCTATATGTATTTTGAAGATTTTTTTTTTTTTTTGAGATGGAGTCTTGCTCTGTCACCCAGGCTGGAGTGCAGTGGCGTGATCTCGGCTCACTGCAACCTCCTCTTCCTGGGTTCAAGCCATTCTCCTGCCTCAGCCTCCCCAGTAGCTGAGATTACAGGCACACACCAACACGCCCAGCTAATTTTTGTGTTTTTAGTAGAGATGGGGTTTCACCATGTTGGCCAGGCTGGTCTCGAACCCCTGACCTTGTGATCCACCCACCTTGGCCTCCCAAAGTGCTGGGATTACAGGTGTGAGCCACCGCGTCTGGCCGTATTTTGTAGATTGAAGGGCTTGGAATTTTAAATTGAGTTGGACCAGACTTTTAATATCCTAAAATGATTGCAAAGCATAGTATCTGCCAGATTGTCATCTGGGGACAGGAAGGGAAATTTGACTGATGAAGATGTGAACATAGGCCATGTGTGGTGGCTCACGCCTGTTATCCCAGCACTTTGGGAGGCTGAGGCAGGTGGATCACTTGAGGTTGGGAGTTTGAGACTAGCCTGACCAAAGTGGAGAAACCCTGTCTCTACTAAAAATACAAAATTAGCTGGTTGTGGTGGCATATGTCTATAATCCCAGGTACTTGGGAGGCTGAGGCAGGAGAATCGCTTGAACCCAGGAGGTGGAGTTTACAGCGAGCAGAGATCATGCCATTTCACTCCAGCCTGGGCAACAAGAGCAAAACTCCATCTCAAAAAAAAAAAAAAGTGATGATAGTGGCAGGAGAATGTTTTTAAAGAAATGGACTCATATTGTACTTCCTGTTCTGACTCTTGCTGTCTCTTAGAGATTCTTCCTACCTCAGCAAATACAGACCCACTAATTTCTTTTTAACAGCTGCTCAGCATTGCATTGTATGATTTTATAATCATGCATCACAATTTATTTTGTCATCCCCTATTGATGGGCCCTTGGGTTGTTTCCAATTGTTTGCTATAGTTACGGAACAGATCGCAGTAGACATCCTTGCATCTTTATGTAATTACTGCAATTATTTCTATGGTGTAGATTCTTAGAAATGGAGTTGTTGGCATGAAAGGTATGTACATTTAAAAAATTCTGATAGCCATTGTCAAATTGTTTCAGTATCTGGTCCCATCTTTCCCTCCACTGCTCTTTGTTTTCATAACATTGCTGTCTGTTTTTATTGTTGTTGTTGTTTTAAGATAAACTTTAGTATCATTTTGCCAAGTCTTATCAGGCTGTAGTTTTGAATGAGTACAGGGATGAATTAGCTACCACATCTGCCTTGACAAGTTCAGTTGGCCAGGCGCTGTGACTCACGTCTGTAACCCCAACACTTTGGGAGGCTGAGGTGAGAGGATTGTTTGAGCCCAGGAGTTCAAGACCAGCCTGGGCAACATAGGGAAACCTCATTTCTGCAAAAAAAAAAAAAAAAAAAAAAAAAAAAAAATTAGCTATGCGTGTTGGCACATGCCTGTGGTCCCAGCTACCTGGGAGCCTGAGGTGGGAGGATCGCTTGAGCCCTGGAGATAAGGCTGTGATAAGCCATGATCTTGACACTGTATTGCATTCCAGCCTGGGTGACACAGTGAGACCTTGTCTCAAAAATAAATAAATTTAAAAAAAGTTCATAGTATGGCAGGGATTGGGGTTGGGAGGGTGCTTTAGTGGGAGCTGGAGCAGAAGGTGACAGCTGCAAAACAGTTACTTGCATCTAGGCCAGGGATACCACGGAAGGCTTGACCATGGGTTCTGGGAACCCTCAGGAAAGGGGCATTTTGAGTTTGGAGCAATCTGGGAGCCCTCTACAGAGGAGGTTTCATGCCTAGTCTTTGTAGTGGTTACAGAGCACTTTCTAGAACAACAACTGATTGAATTCTCACAATAGCCCTTTGCATATAGGTAGTGTTATTATCTCCACCTTCCAGATGAGAAAACAAGTCTGGAAGATGAAGGTCTTGCCTGACTCCAGCCTGCCAGCTCTTAGGTGCCTTTTCCTTTTCTCTTTTCCTCGCTTCCCAAGCATCTCTCCCTGACCCCCAACCTCCTGTCCCCCAACTTGAGCCTCACTGGCTGGGCTGGCAGAGCCCTGGGCAGAGGGCATGCTCAATGACACTGCACATGGCTGTGCTACCTTCTTAGAGAGGACACACATCCGGTGCATTGGGCTTTCACAACAGGCTGCACCCTGTCCCTGCTCTGGGACCCAGATCACAGAACTGCCTCACCCCTCAACCCAACAACACCAGGTCATCTTATCCTTTCTCCAGGCAAACACCTCTCTCCCTTCTGCCTGTTAACCTAAAAAAATCACGGGAACAGAAAACCAAATACCGCCTGTTCTCACTTATAAGTGGAAGCTAAATGATGATAACTTATGGACACAAAGAAGGGAACAACAGACACTGGGGCCTACTAGAGGGTGGAGGATGGGAGGAGGGAGAGAATCAGGAAATATCACTACCAGGTACTTGGCTTAGTACCTGGGTGATGAAATAATCTGTACAACAAACCCCCATGACACAAGTTTACCTATGTAACAAACCTGCACATATAGCCCTGAACCTAAAACAAAAGTTAAAAAAAAAAAAAAAAAAAAAAAAAAGAAGGCCGGGCGCGGTGGCTCACGCCTGTAATCCCAGCACTTTTGGAGGCCGAGGCGGGCGGATCACGAGGTCAGGAGATCGAGACCATCCTGGCTAACATGGTGAAACTCCGTCTCTACTGAAAATACAAAAAGAAATTAGCCGGGCATGGTGGCGGGCGCCTGTAGTCCCAGCTACTCGGGAGCTTGAGGCAAGGGAATGGCGTGAACCCGGGAGGCGGAGCTTGCAGTGAGCCGAGATCGCGCCACTGCACTCCAGCCTGGGCGACAGAGTGAGACTCCGTCTAAAAAAAAAAAAAAAAAAAAAAAAAGACCTTTAGAATTTCATTTGGGTTAAATATTGCCCCCTTCCTGCAGCTTTTTAAGATGCGCATTCCTCTAACGGGAATCCATAGTAATTCCCTACTTTCTTTGCGAAAGTTATTGGATCTTTTCCCTCATTAGAAAGGCCCGAGTATGTCTGGGAATTAAACTGCCACTCAACCCCACATTTACTTACATCTTTACCACCGCGTCTATTCCTCTCTCACCCCGCCCCCATGGCCCAAGTCTTTAGCCTGGCATTCACGTACCCTCACTGGCAATCTTGGGGAAAGCCTCAGAAAATGGTACAGCAGAAAGCCCAGCGTGGAGGAGCCAGTTGGGAGACTCAGCATGTGGGCACCCTGCTTCTCTGCGCAGAGCCTCCTCTGTCATAGGTAGATCCAGCCCATCTCAGGTTACACTACAGTCTGTAACCCCTAGCCTCTCCCTCCTCGCGCCCCTCTGGCCTCCATCACTGTCGTGCCGGTCGTGGGGACAGATGGGAGGGAATTACGGTATTTACAGCTGCTCTTCGCCGGCTCTTGCTCCCCCGCGTGTCGACAACCGAAACTGCAGCGAGGCCCAGAGGCCTCTGCCCACTCCCCTCGGAGTTCCAGGAGGACGCTAAGCGCGAGAAGCCAGGCTCAGGGAAACTGAACGCCCATACGCTCCTAGTCCCTCTCACCTGGATCCTCTGCGTCAGGTTACGTGCTTGCGCTATTTTTCCTTTTGTTTCTTTAAATTTTTTTTGTAGAGACAGTGAGCGTGTGTGTGGGGGGGTGGAAGGGTAGGTCTCACCATTTTGCCCAGGCCGGTCTCGAACTCCTGGGCTCAAGCCTTAGCCACCTGCCTTAGCCTCCCAAAGTGCTGGGACTACAGGTGTGAGCCACCACGCCCAGCCTGTTTGCGCTGTTTTCTGAGGCTTTCCGCCAAATTGCTTTCTTTCCTGGCAAGAAAGTCACGCCCTAGAATTGGGGTGTCCCAGTGGACTGGCCGGGTGGTTGGATTGAAGGATGTCCTCCAACCTCACCTTCAGCTGTGGCCTGGCTGGGGACCCAGCACGTGGTTCAATGCCATGGGAATCACCTGTTTCTCCTTTGGAGCGAGTCACACCTGGAGGCCATTCTCAACTCTCCACAGCTTGTTGTATGTCCCTGAGTGAAGTATTAACCTCTCTGAATCTCAGGTGCCTCCTCCGTACAGTGGAGCTTCCATATTCTAGCATTTGCCTCACAGAGTTGTCAATATGATTACATGGGATAGTATAGGTTGCAGGTGGAGAGCTGGAGGATAATCACCGCCACCACACTAGGGCACTCATTGTGTGCCTGGGCCTAGGCATTTTGAAATAGCCCTATTAAAAAAGGATCATCCACAGATAAATTGAAGGTCAGAGAGATTTAGTGATTGCATGGGGTCACACAGCCGAGCTAGGACTGGACTCAGAAAGACATGGATACACAAGTGCTGGGAGATGTGGGTGGAGTCTGAGGTCTGTGAGTTTATAGCAGGTGTCCCCAACCCCCGGGCAGGACCAGTATGGGTTTGTGGCCTGTTAGCAATGGGGCTGCACAGCAGGAGGTGAGCAGCAGGCATTACTGTCTGAGCTCTGCCTCTTGTCAGATCAGCAGAGGCATTAGATTCTCATAGGAACATGAACCCTATTGTCCCCACATGCGATAGGTTGCTGCACTCCTTATGAGAATCTAATGCCTGATGATCTGAGGTGGAACAGTCTCATCCTGAAACCATTCCAATGGCCCCACCCCAACCCATGGAAAAATTGTCTTCCAGAAAACCAGTCCATGGTGGTAAAAAGATTGGAAACCACTGGTTTAGAGGGTACCTAGGGACCTGAAAAATAAACTGGCCCTGCCTCCCTTTGGTTAATGCTTTCTTCCTCTAATGGATTATTCATCACCTCTCAATCCAATGCTTGAGGGGCCAGGGACCTAAAAGACCATCCAGGCCTATTTCCTTATGGAGAGAGGGAAAGGACTTGTCCAGTTCCACAGCTGGGCAGTGCAGATCTGGATTGGAGCTCAGGTCTCTTAGTCCTGTGCTCCTGCTGCTCCTTCCCCCACTGGGTGAGCAGTTCTGCAGGGGGCTGCCACTCCTACCCACAATCAAACTGCTCACTTATTTGGAGCACCTGTTCAGGAGCTGCCCACTGGGTACCCCTGACCCCACTTGGCTGGGAGCTTCTGCCACTCCCTCCCTCCTCTCAAGCAGCTGATTGCTCTAAGCAGAGAGGAAACCAGTGCCATTCTGGCTCCCAAATGCTGGTACAAGACCAGCAAATATTTACCACTCTTGTGTGTGTGTGTGTGTGTGTGTATTTTTTTCTTTTGTTAGAAAAGGGCTAGCGCAATATATAACAAGTGATTCATGGTGGCGTCTTCTGGTAGATTGATTGTATTTTGTCCCTTCTTTTTTTTTTTTTTTGTTTTTTTGAGACGGAGTCTCACTCTGTCGCCCAGGCTGGAATGCAGTGGCCTGATCTCAGCTCACTGCAAGCTCCACCTTCCGGGTTCACACCATTCTCCTGCCTCAGCCTCCTGAGTAGCTGGGACTACAGGCACCCGTCACCACGCCCGGCTAATTTTATATATATATATTTTTTTAGTAGAGATGGGTTTTCACCATGTTAGCCAGGATGGTCTTGATCTCCTGACCTCGTGATCCTCCCACCTCGGCCTCCCAAAGTGCTGGGATTACAGACGTGAGCCACCGCTCCCAGCCCCTTCTTTGTATTTTAAAATTTCTTTAGTAATGAACAAACATTAATAAGACAAGAAATAAAAAGCTGTTTTAAAATTTCTCTTAAGCAAAAGGCCAACAATCATTTAAAAAATGAGTGGGATAAGAACAGATTGTTCTCAGGAAAAAAAAGAAAAGAAAACGGCTCTTAAACATAGAAACAGATAACCAACTTTTCTTGTAATGATAGAAATGCAAACTAAGATTATAATGAATTACTATTTCTTACTTATCAGATTGGGAAAAATCCAAGTTTTACAGAATGTTCTCCTTGGAAACAGGCACCCTCATACATTGGTAATGGAAATGCAAAATATTTCTGGACCTTATGGAGGAGAATTTGGCAATAGCTAGCAAAGTTATATGTGCATTTACCCTTTGACCAAGCAATCCCATTTATAAGAATAGATCCCATAGATGCACTGGTAAAAATACCAACTGATGCATGCATAAGGTTGGTCATTGTAACTCTATTGTAATAACAAAAGTCTGGAAACAGGGCCAATGTCCATCAACAGGGAGTGGTTGAATAAGCCACCCAATGGAGGACTCTGAGGCTGTACAAAGGATGCAGGAAGATCTCAACAGACTACTGCGGAGAGATCTCTGTAGTAGATTGTTCCCAGAATAAAGCCAGAAGAATGTTCAGAACGGGCAAATCTATGGAGAAAGAAAGTAGATTTGTAGTTGCCTAGGGCTGTGTGTGGAGGGTTGGGGAGGGTAAACTGCAAGGGGGGGTGATAGCTAAAGCATATGGGCTTTCTTTTCTGGGGTGATGAAAATATTTAGTGGTGATAGTTATACAACTCTGAACGATACTGTACTAAAAACCATTGAATTATACACTTAAATGGGTGAATTTTAAGGGGCAGGGCAAAGTAAGAAGATGATATATAGTATGCTACTGCAGTAAAGGGAGAATATATGATTAAATTAAACAATATAAGGGTAAGCATCAACAACACAAATGTTATTTTGTCAGTCAGGATGCAGTGAAGGAAGCAGAATCATGTTGAGGTTATGGGTTTAGGGTACTGGTCCCCAACCTTTTGGCACTAGGGTCCAGTTTTGTGGCAGACAATTTTTTACAGGACTTGGGTGGTGGGGGGATGGTTTTGGGATAAAATTGTTCCCCTTCGGATGATCAGGCATTAGTTAGATTCTCATAAGAAGTGTGCAACCTAGGTTGGGCATGGTGGCTCACGCCTGTAATCCCAGTACTTTGGGAGGCCGAGGCAGGTGGATCACTTGAGGTCAGGAGTTTGAGACCAGCCTTACCAACATGGTGAAACCCCATCTCTACTAAAAAAATACAAAATTAGCCGGGCATGGTGGCGCAAACCTATAATCCCAGCTACATGGGAGGCTGAGGCAGGAGAATTGCTTGAACCCGGGAGGCAGAGATTGCAGTGAGCCATTGCACTCCAGCCTGGGCAACAAGAGCAAAACTCCATCTCAAAAAAAAAAAAAAGAAGTGTGCAACCTAGATTCCTCACATGCACAGTTCACAATAGGGTTCACCCTTCTATGAGAATCTAATGCCACCACTGATCTTTCAGGATGCGGAGCTCAGGTGGTAATGCTCGCTCTCCTGCTGCTCACCTCCTGCTGTGTGGCCCAGTTCCTAACAGGCCATAGACCAGTACTAGTCTGAAGCCTGGGGGTTGGAGACCCCTGGGATTAGGGATCTGTGATAGTAATTTGCCTTACACAGTTGCGGAAGGACCAGAAGGGGAGTTGGGGATCAGAGGAGTCCTTAGTCAGTCATCTGAGAAACCAAGTATGTCCAGCTGCTAAAATGGAACCACAAGGGAAAGCTCCTGGGGAGGTCTATGGGTGGTACTAATGCCCTGGGTCTGCAGCCAAGTCCGCGATGGCCTGGGGCCACTGTTGGTCAGCAGGCTCAGCAGCTGGGAAGAAAAGCTGGATGTGGAGTGAAGGAGAGTGACAGCAGGCTGGAAGCCAGTGGTGCCCTCTTCATCCATCACCACAGCTGACTATGACAACCTTCAGAGACTTAACTTTGAAACATGTAAATACTTTACATAATTGTAAAGCAAAATTAACATTTAAAAATATCAAAAAACAAAAGCAAAACAAAATAAATAAACCATGCATGTTGAGTTGGTGGCATAACCACATAAAGAACTATTCCAAGTGACTAAAACAGTAACGTGACACTATGCCCCTAGTGGGATGTACATGTGACAAAAGCTTTACAAAAAACATTTAAACTGTTTTCAGGAATAATATCTTTGGCTAGGCGTGGTGGCCAAGCACTTTGGGAGACCTAGGTGGGTAGATCACCTGAGGTCAGGAGTTCGAGGCCAGCCTGGCCAACATGGTGAAACCCCCGTCTCTACTAAAAATACAAAAATCAGCCGCGTGTGGTGGCACACACCTGTAGTCCCAGCTACTTGGGAGGTTTAGGCATGAGAATCGCTTGAACCTGGGAGGCAGAGGTTGCAGTGAGCTGAGATTACGCTACTGCACTCCAGCTTGGGCAACACAGTGAGACTCTGTCTTAAAAAAAAAACAAAAACAAAAAGGGGGGGGTGCGGCGCAGTGGCTCACACCTGTAATCCCAACACTTTGGGAGGCCAAGGTAGGTGGATCACCTGAGGTCAGGAGTTCAACACCAGCCTGACCAACATAGTGAAACCCCATCTCTACTAAAAATACAAAATTATCCAGGTGTGGGGGCGAGTGCCTGTAATCCTAGCTACATGGGAGGCTGAGGCAGGAGAACTGCTTGAACCCAGGAGGCAGAGGTTGCAGTGAGCCGAGATCATACCACTGTACTCCAGCCTGGGCGAAAGAGTGAGACTCTGTCTCAGAAAAAAAAAAATCATATCTTTGATTATTATGTTGGAATTGTTATTTTGAGACCATTTTGAGGGGTTGGCTCAGGGCTCATTAATTGTTAGCTGTTATCATTATGTTATTTTTCAAAGGCCATTCCAAATACCTCCTTCTTCAGGAAGCCTTCTTGAACTATATTCTAAGGACTAATGACTGAAAGATGCTCTTCCTCCTTTGATCCCCAAAGTAGTAGTAACTACACCTATCATGGCTTTGCTGGCTTCTTGCCTTGGGATAGAGATGCCTGAGACCCCATTATCCCTAAATTCAAAGAAGCTGTAAATGCCTTTAAGGCAAAAAGGACATGGACATCCCCCAAGGGTCTGAAGTGCAACCCATTCTGGTGTATTTAATGTGTATCTTTTTGTTTCTATGTGTCTTTGCAAGTCTGTGTTGTTTGATGTAAATGCATTTGTAATATTTTTATTGATATTGTTTCCTAGGTCTTATTTGGTTTGGTTATTTACTTTTTCTGCCTAGCACTAGGTGTTTAAATCCATATTGCCACGAATACAGCGGGTCCCTTGCTTTGAGTGCTGCACAGTTTATCCATCTGCTCTTACAAGAAAGGGCGCTTAGATTGTCTCCAACTCCCAGCAACCACAGCAACACAGCAACCAACATCCTCCTACATGTCCCTTTATGGGCCTGATAAATCTTTCTGAACACTGATAAATCCGACCATCTCTTCATATGCTTGCAGACCTGCTGAGGTTGTGGTCCCTTAAACGCCAGCTCACATCTTTGGGGTTTGACTTTCTGCGCCTGAGGCGGCGGGCCCAAGGCTCAGCCCTCCTCCCCGAGTCCCGAGAGGCGCGAGGAGGATGAGCCTGCCAGATGCCTTGTGCGCATCTATCTCCAGGGCCGGGGAGGCTGGGCGAACTCCCGGGGAGGAGACTGGGTCAGGGACACCTGCGGAACTCGGCGTGGCCCCGACCCGCCGGCCTCGGGCGCGGAGGGGTGGGCAGGTTAAGAGAGCAGGAGGAGGGACCTGCGTCCTGGTCCGGGACTGGGGTGGCCGGGGCAGCTGCGCTCCTAGCAGGCGGGGCGTGGAGTCTGGAGGAGCGACCGCCCCGTCCTCTCGGCTCCCCGGGCCCCGCCCCGGCGGACGCGCGCCTCGCGCCCGGGCACCAGCGCGCGCAGGGGCTGCGGAGCGGCAGGATGCAGGAGGAGCTGGCGTGGGAGACCGACGGCCGTGAGTCTGCCTGGAGGAGGGAGGGGGGCGGGCCGAGGCCGAGAGGACCCCCGCATCCGTTTGGGGAGTGCCAGGGGTGAGGTTGGCGCCCTCCGAACGGCCACCTCCGTGTGGGGCGTCTGTGTGGCTCCGAGCGGAATGGTTACCGGTCCGCGCACTGGGCCGAGGGGACCTTGCCAGTGCGTCTGGGACTCGGGGACCACACCCGCCAGGTGAGCGGGGAGCAGCGGCTGAGAGGTTAGCTACAAATAATAAAGGTAATAGCGATCCTTGACTGCGTGCTGTACTTTGTGTGCCAGGCCTTGACCCAGGAGAGGCACGTCATTTGATCTTCGCTGCGGCCATATGGGTAGGACATTATGTTATCTTCATTTCGCAGATGAGAAACTGAGGCACAGGGTGTTCAAATGAGTTGTTCAAGGTCACACAGCCATTGAGTGGTAGAAGTGCTGAAGGGCCCAGCTCACCCGGAATGCTGGGGCTGGATAGCGAGTGGAGACCGCATCAGATGGGGCACGCACTCAGAGGAGAGGAGCCTGACTGGCCACAGGTGGAATGAGGGCACCTCCGAACCTCCCTCAAGGAGTGCGCCCAGTGCCAGGGCCTCTAGGCCGGGCAGCAGCGTCTGTGTGGGCATCAGCTGGCCTGGGGCAGCTTTGGCTGCACCGTCTGGGAGAGGGGAGAGAAAGATTGTGTCGGTGTCTGCACTGTGAGTCCTTGATCCTGCAGCCCTGGCTGAATCCTGACAGCTGAATCCCGGGGCTTTCCCTCAAAAGCGCATAGTGCAGCTCACTGGATTCCTTTGAGACCTATAGTGTCCAAAATGCTGGCACACTGCATCTACTCAGCTGAGGGATGTGTTGGGGGTGGGAATGCTCAATCAAGATTAGGTACATGGTTCTGCCTGGGGCGGAGGATCACTTGAGTGGGCCTGCGAAGAATGTGTACCAATGGAGCATTGGGGTGTGTGGCAGAGAATTCTGGACAAAGACCCAGCATGGGCAAAGGCTCAGGTAGCTCAGTGGGTATTGGATGTGGCCAGAAAGAGGGTGCCGGATGGGAGGTGGATGGAAGAGATGAGACTGGACTTGATTTCATTCTAACTTAACCTTCTCTGGCCTGACCCTATGCAGTGTCTGCTGGCTTCCCATTGGAACTCCTGGCTGTTTGCCAATACAAACCAGGCCAATCCCCCTAAGCTGCACATAAGATAGAGGGTGCCAGACAGGAAGGGACCTATACAGATCTCTTTCTTCACCCTCCCCCAGTTTTACAATGGAAGAAACAGACCTACAAGGGGGATGTGACTAGCCCAGGATCCTGCTGCTGGAAAGTGGCAGGGAAGGTACTAGAACCCAGGCCTCTGTAAGCTCACATCTGAAGTGGCAGCTCTCTTTGGCTACCAGAATTTGACCCTTTGCCTTGGAGGAATAATAGTGATGATGATGGTGGTGGTGGTGGCGGTGTGGTCATTATGTGCCAGACACTGTGCCAGGGGGTTTTCATATCTCATTTCTAATCATGATATTAACCTTGTAGGGAAGCTCGCACTCCTGTTTTGCAGATGAGGAAACTGCCTAACACAGCTAGGAAGTGGTTAAGCCAGAGTTGAACCCAGGACTGTGTGATTGCCCCCCAGGGTAGCAACTCTGAGATCCACAGGTTGTATCCATGAGGCCCCAGAAAGCTCAAGATCCTCTTTCTCATCTGGAGAAGACTGTGTGGAATTTATCTAGAAAAACAAACTGCATGGCAGGCCTGTCTCTCACCTCAGTGCATCTTAGCCTTCCCTACCAAGACACTCGTCACCTGTCCCTGGATACACAAAGGGGCTGGGTTCAGACATTCATACTGGACCAAACATGCAGGCTATGGGGTCACTTGCCCTGCAGTGACTATGGAAAGGGCCAGCAAATATTTGTCTCTGTGCTAGTATGTGTGAGCACTTTGGGAGAGGGGACAGGCATCTATTCGTCTGGGGATTGTTGGTGTCACTCATACAAGCAGAGATTTTTTTGTTTCTGTTTTCTTTTTTTTTTTTTGAGATGGAGTCTCGCTCTGTCACTAGGCTGGAGTGCACTGGCATGATCTCGGCTCACTGCAACCTCCAGCTCCCAGGTTGAAGCAATTCTCCTGCCTCAGCCTTCCGAGTAGCTGGGACTACAGGTGTGTGCCACCATGCCCAATTAATTTTTGTATCTTTAGTAGAGACGGGGTTTCACCATGTTGGCGAGGATGGTCTTGATCTCCTGACCTCGTGATCCATCCACCTCGGCCTCCCAAAGAGCTGGGATTACAGGTGTGAGCCACTGCACCCAGCCTGTTTTTGTTTTCTTTTTAGAGACAGGGTCTCACTCTGTTGCCCAGGCTGGAGTGCAGAGGTGCAATTATAGCTCATTGGCAGCCTCAAACTCCTGGGCTCAAGCAAGCCTCTTGCCTTAGCTTCTTGAGTAGCCGGGACTACAGGCATGTGCCACCACACCTGGCTAATTTTTAAAAAAACTTTTTTGTAGAGATGGAGGTTTTGCTTTTTAGCCCAGGCTGGTCTTGAACTCCTGGCTTCAAGCCATCCTCCTGCCTTGGCCTCCCAAAGTGCTGGGATTGCACGCATGAGCCACCATGCCTGGCTCAAAAGCAGAGTTTTGTGGGTTCCTCCTGTGCCCACCTTTGGGCCTGCTGTGAGCTGTGGGTGGATCAGGAAGGGTCAAGTGTGGCCAGGGCCTCCAAAATACTTGAAGTCTAGCCATGGAGACTAGACATCCTCACAATCAAGAGCCGTCAGGATGATGGCAGCATGGGGCTCCGGTGGGGATCATCTGGACCTGTGTCCTCCTGGCTCAGAGACTAATGCAGTCTGACCCTGAGCCCACAGGTGTGCGTGACAGGGGTTGGCAGGGGGAGCTCTGAGGTTCCCTTTAATCTGAGACTCTGTGCTAAAGGTGCAGCGATGGGGGTGAGAGGAGCACAGAGAAGAGAGACCACAGAGAAGGAAAATCAGGGTAGCCTCAGCGTGGGCAGGTGGAAGCTGGTTAGGATTTGGGCAAGAGTGATTGGAAGAGGCTGGGCGCTGTGGCTCACGCCCGTAATCCCAGCACTTTGGGAGGCCGAGGCAGGCAGATCACTTGAGGTCAGGAGTTGGGGACCAGCCTGGCCAACCTGGTGAAACCCTGTCTCTACCAAATATACAAAAATTAACCAGGTGTGGTGACACACACTTGTAATCCCAGCTACCGAGGAGGCTGAGGTGGGAGAATCGCTTGAACCTGGGAGGCAGAGGTTGCAGTGAGACAAGATCACGCCACTGCACTCCAGCCTGGGCAACAGAGGGGTTGGAAGAAGGGGTGGAGGAACAAGGAGACGGAATGTGCAGGAGTGGGGTAAACATGCCTCTGGCCTCACCCGGCGCTGGCACGCAGTAGGTGGCTCAGTAAATCCTGGCTGTGTAGACTGAGCCGTGGAAAAGATGGTTACTGACTCCAGAGGGAGTTAATTTCATTTCCTTCCCCAAGAGCAGCTCTTGGGAGGGTACATGAAACTTGGATAATGGGGCACACATTTAGGCTGCTGAAAATGGCTTCGCCCTGCTCTTCCATCTTCAGGGTTTCACCACGTCCTGGTTGCGTGGCTGTGGGGTGAGTTAATGAGGAAGAGCAGCCTGTCTGGGGAGGACCCTGACCTTGAGAGGGAGGAGGGCTGTGCCGCTCTGCCCCTGTTCCTAGCTGAAAGACCCCTGCTCCAGAAATGTTCAGGAGTGGAAATGGGTTGTTTACCTCTCCTGTCTGCAGTGTGGGGCATCCTCCCCCTCATCCTGCACCCCATTTTCTCCCCACAGTGCTTCCTCTGGAGAGGCAGCTCCACGAGGCCGCCCGCCAGAACAATGTCGGCAGGATGCAGGAGCTGATTGGGAGGAGGGTTAACACCAGGGCCAGAAACCACGTGCGTAATGAGCTTCTCTGAATCCAGGCACCTGGGATAGTGTCACGATAATGCCAGTACACAGGGGGAATAGTTTATCTGAGCTAGAGGCAGGCACATTTGCATGTGTAAACTTGGAGGGAGGCTCGGGCTCTGTCCTCATGGCCTGCATTGTCTCGAGGAATCTGAGGCTTAGAGTGGTTGGGCCCCCACCCAAGGTCAGGACCAGGATGTCAAGCCAGGCTTGGGCAATTCCAGAGGTCAAACTCTTAACTTCTGGGACCCATCTGAGAGGTTAGAGCCAGGAGGGCCAGGGTCAAAGGTCAGCAGCCAGAAGCTGGCAGATGGGCAAAAGAGGAGGACAGACATCACACAAAGCATCTCACAAACAATTCATTCCCTCTGTGATAAGTTGTCGTAAGAGCGTGTGCAGGAGGGTCGGCTTTTTTTCTTTTTTTTTTTTTTTGAGACAGGACCTCATATCACCCAGGCTGGAGTGCAGTGGAGCAATCACAGCTCACTGTAGCCTTGACCTTCCTGGGCTCAGTTGATCCTCCCATCTCAACCTCCTGAGTAGCTGAGACTACAGGCGTGTGCCACCATGCCAAGCTAATTTTTGTATTTCTTCTAGAGATAGGGGTCTTGCTATGTTGCCCAGGCTGGTCTCAAACTCCTGGACTCAAGCTGTCCTCCCACCTCAGCCTCCCGAAGTGCTGGGATTACAGGCATGGGCCACCTCACCCTGCCAGAAGTGGCATTTTTGAGGAGCCAAGTGAAGGACAATATTTCAGGCAGAGGGAATAGTATGGGCAGAAGCCCTGAGGTAGGAAGGAGCAGCTGGGCTCCAGAGAGGGGATGTGGCTTGCCTGAGACCACAGAGAAAACTAGTGCTTCCTTTCATTGTCCCCTCATAAGCTGAGAACTACAGAGGGGAGAAGTGGGCACAGGGGCCACAGGCCAGCTTCCCTCAGGCCTATTTGGATAACGTTATGAACTGCCAAGGTGGTCTGAGAATGAGGTGGTGGGTCAGGTCCCTTCAGCCCCATTCTGAGAGAAGGAAGGGGACAGAACCCAGGCACTCCAGTGCCTCTCAGGGACTTGGAGGATAATCCTTGGCCACATGGGGCTTTCCAGCAGGGGGAACAGCAGGAAAAGGCCTAGAGGTGGGAAGCTGCTTGGTATTTCTGAGAAGCAGTGGTGGGCAGTGCCAGACCATGCAGCGCCTCATCATCCCCAAGGTTAGGAGTTTATCCTGAGAGCCATGAGAAACTGTGAAGAGTTTTAGATGGGGACAGATGGGTCCAGTCATTTTACTATGTTGGCTCTGGCTGCCATGTAGGAGAGGAGCATGTGGCAGAATGGGGCTGGGTCCCCAGCTAGCTGGGGACCAGAGCCAGCAAAGACCCTTCCAGCCTGCAGACCAGCTGTCCTGGGGGAGGGTGTGGGAGGTGGTCCAGGCAGCCAGGTGGCAGCAGCACCTGACAAGTGTCATCTCCCTCCGGGCAGGTGGGCAGGGTGGCCCTGCACTGGGCTGCAGGTGCAGGGCACGAGCAGGCTGTGCGTCTGCTTCTGGAGCACGAGGCTGCTGTGGACGAGGAGGATGCGGTAGGGGCCCTCACAGAGGCACGTCTGTGTGTACGTGTCTGTCTGTCTGTCTGTCTCAGGGTGGTGGGGGGCACTGGAGATCTCTCTGGGTCTATGAGCCAGTTGCCGAGATTGCTGCTAATATGCAGACATTCAGGTGCAGAGTGGTGGGGAGTCAGAGGCTTCAGGCGCAGGGACACTGCACTGATTCTGTTTTACTCCTGTACAGCAATGAAGAGCTCTCCACTTTCAAGGGTCTTTCAGTTCTCAGAGAGCCTTTTCAGTCCCTCATGATACCATGCGAACAGAGAGAGGGCTGTAGAACAGATAATTGGGTGGATTGATAGAGGCCTGATTAGCAAAAGCACCAGGAGGAAAGTCTCTCATGATATGCCACAGGGCTCTGCCCTGGCTAACACTTCAATCAAAGTCTTGGATAAAGACTAATAATAGTCTTAGTTAACCAATTGGCAGGCAGCGTGTTGCTGAGAGAGAGCACTGATGAGTAACGGGGTCTGTAAAATTATCTCTACAGGTTTGGGAAAAAGGCTGAATCTAATAATGACATTTGAAAGGGATACACTTATGGCTTTGTCTACATTTAAATTAAAAAAAAGCGCCTGGGCGCGATGGCTCATGCCTGTAATCTCAGCACTTTGGGAGGCCAAGTGGGTGGATCACTTGATCCCAGGAGTTTGGGACGAGCCTGGATGACACGGCGAAACTCCGTCTCTACCAAAAAATACAAAAATTAGTCAGTCTCATAACCTGGTGTCTAAATACATAAATAGATAAAAATTTTAAAATAAAAAATAAAACCATAAACTTCCCTGCAGCGACTTAGTTGTCCATGAAAACAATTTTCTTTGTTCCGGCTTCTCTCTGCTCCCAGGCCTCACTATGTGGGGGCTTGATTACTAGTTGGGGTTGAGGTGAGGCAGCAACCCTTACCTCCCCCATTCCCCAATCCTGTCTCCTCCCTGTACCTGCTTAGGCCTCCTTTAGGGATGCCTTTAGGAGCAGAATGTCTAGGATCCTTAGCCTGAGCTCCCTGGTGAAACACTAGAGCCTCTTGCATCAAGTCTTTATACCCACAGAGACCCCCACTATCACCACTGTGCTGTTATTTCTTCCTTCAGGGGTTTAGTGAGAAAAGAAGCTACGAGGGAGAACAGTAAGAGGGGGCCCTTTTAGAATCCCTCCTTGTTGGCCAGGTGCGGTGGCTCACACCAGTAATCCCAGCACTTTGGGAGGCCAAGGCAGGAGGATCACCTGAGGTCAGGAGTTCGAGACCAGCCTGGCCAACATTTCGAAACCCCGTCTCTACTAAAAATACAAAAATTAGCTGGGTGTGGTGGCACACACCTGTGATCCCAGCTGCTGGGGAGGCTGAGGCAGGAGAATCGCTGGAACCTGGGAGACGGAGGTTGCCATGAGCCAAGATTGTGGCACTGCACTCCAACCTGGGTGACAGAGCGAGACTCTGTCTCAAAAAAAAAAAAGAATCCTCTCTGTTTCTTTTGCAAATGGTAATAAGTAACCTTTTGAAAAATAAGACAGCCTGCTGGGCTTGCCTGCTGTAGTAATGGGGTTCGGGAGATACTGGAGAAGGGAAATCCTGTGGTTGGAGGAAAGTCTGTAGTGATATGCCGCAGGACTCTGGCCTGGACAGTTCCTAGGAACTATGTATGTGGGGAAAGCTGGTATAGGACTGTGATGTATCCCGGAGGTCCCCACTGTCAGGAGGCTCTGGCTCCCATGGCTCTCCCTCCCTCAGTCCTGAGCCTTCACCCTTTTTACTCCCAAGCGTCTGTGGACTCCTTCCTCTGGACTCTGCCCGTGCTTGTTCTTTCTCCTTCCTCCTGCAGCCAGCCCACAGTTGCTGATACTCTACCAGGTGCTGAGCTCTGAACCAGTGCCAGGTCTCCTGGCCTCTTCGGCTCTAGTTAAGGCCAGCTGTAGACCCTCATTTGTTTCTTTTGTTTTGTTTTATAATTTTTAATTTAAAAAATATGTCCCCATCTTGGATGATAGACCCTCATTTGAGGCTCTATGCGAGATCCAACACCTTCTCTAGGATTTCATGAGGAAGAACTTAAGTGCTTGTGGTCCCTGCTGGCTCTTGCTTCCAGCTTCTGGTCAGCTTTTGGCGTTCTCTTGAAATTTTGCAAATAGTCCTTTGACTCCACCCTGGTGTCATCCCAAACATGGTACCTCTCCCCGGTTTCCAGGGACTCCATTCACAGAAGGCTTGTGGTGTGGTTTTCCAAACTGGGAAATAGAGGAGACCTACATTATACATGAAAACAATGTAAAAATCCTAAAAACCCCTCTTTGACATTCTGTTCTTTAAAGGCCCTTGGTCCTCTCCTTGCCTTGGCCCCAGCCTCTGCTTCCCTCCTCTCTCCAGTGCTGTCCTTGTCTGCACCACCCGCCTCCTGCCTCCAAATTCCCGCCTGTTTCTAAAGCAAAGCAGTGCAACTCTCTTTGGATGCTCGGGAGCCTGCTGATCAGTGAGTTCCCTCTGAGTTTCACCTTTTGCCTCAACCCTTTGTCAAGGCTTTTACCCAAACACAGTTCCCTCCCTAAGAGGAATTCTGGTGCCAACCGCTAAGACCCCTTTTCTTGGTACCCCTCACAAAGGCTCCTGGTGGAGCCAACACACCCAAGGAGGCACTGCAAAAAACCATTCCCAGGATCTGGCTGGCTCTTGATGTATCCCCGGAGCTGAGTTTGGAGGCCTGGGGTTGCTCTTCACAGAGAAGAAAAGACTCCGGGGAGGTGGGGGAAGTGCAGAACCCTACTGCAGTGGAGGTCAGTGAAGGGACTCTGGGGACCCTGGAGCACGGTGCAGATGTGGAGGAAGAGCACCCTGCAAACAGGTGTGGGGCTGCCCTGAGTGGAGGCATAGACATATTTTCAGTTGCTCCAGAGAGTTGGTGGGATGGAAATTGCAGGAGTACAGATTTCAATAGAGCTCGAGGAGGCATTTCTAACAGAAGCCAGTGTTTGACTGCGCAGGGATGTCTCGTGAGGTGATGTGGTGCTGCAGACTTAAGCTATCTGCCTTGAAGATATTCTATGGGATATTTATTTATTTATTTTTGAGAGAGGCTCTCACTCCATTGCCCAGGCTGGAGTGCAGTGGTGCAATTTTGGCTCACCATAAGCTTTGCCTCCTGTGTTCAAATGATCCTCTCATCTCAGTCTCTCAAGTAGCTGGGACTACAGGCACGTACCACCATGCCCAGCCAATTAATTTTTTTATAGAGACAGGTCTCATTATATTGCCCAGGCTGGTCTTGAACTCCTGGGCTCAAGCGATCCTCCCACCTTGGTCCCTCCCAAAGTGTTGAGATTACAGGCATGAGCCACCATTCCCAGCCTCTATGGGAGATTTAAACAGTCCATTCTTAAACACCAGTCCAGGATAAGGTCTTCACCAGTCATAGCAAATCAGAAAACAGGGACAACGTATTTTTCATGAAGCTACATTTGTTTTTTTGTCTTTGTTTGTTTGTTTTTGAGACAGGGTTTCGCTCTGTCACCAAGGCTGGAGTGCAGTGGTGCGATCACAGCTCACTGTAGCCTCTACCTCCTGGGCTCAAGTGATCCTCCCACCTCAGCCTCCTGAGTAGCTGGGACCACAGGAGTGTGCCTCCACGCCTGGCTTATTTTTACGAAAATGTCTGTAGAGATGGGGGTCCCCCTATTTTGCCCAGTCTGGTTTCAAACTCCTGGGCTCAAGTGATTCACATCTCAGAGTGTTGGGATTACAGGTGTGAACCACCACACCCAGTTATGAAGCTTTATTTGTCAAGTATATATTCTAAGATTGGTTCCTTACAAATTTTTTCTTTTAAAATGGTCTTTCTTTATGAAATGGTGATGAGAGTAAATGGCAGCTGGTTTTTTTGTTTGTTTGTTTTGAGACGAAGTCTCACTCTGTCACTCAGGCTGGAGTGCAGTGGCATGATTTCACCTCACTGCAACCTCCGTCTCCTGGGTTCAAGCGATTCTCCTGCCTCAACCTCCCAAGTAGCTGGGATTACAGGTGCCCACCACCACGCTCGGCTAATTTTTCTATTTTTAGTAGAGACGGGGTTTCACCATATTGGCCAGGCTGGTCTTGAACTCCTGACCTCATGTGATCCTCCTGCCTCAGCCTCCCAAAGTGCTGGGATTACAGGCGTGAGCCACCAAGCCTGGCCGGCAGCTGTCTTATTTTTAAGTTTCATTTAGCAAAAATAAATTTTAAAAGTTTGCAATAGTACATCAGCCTCTATTTAAAAAAAAAAAAATCTTGGTCTTTAAACTCCTAAAGCTTGGAGCTCCCTGGATTAAGTGGCACTTATAGTTCCTTCTGGTTGTATGGTTTAGTCATAAGGCACAGGGCCTGGCTGGCACAGCCACGCCTTCCCACATTCTTCTCACCTCCTCTATGTCCTCTCCCCTAGTTTGGGATGAATGCGCTTCTCCTGTCTGCCTGGTTCGGCCACTTACGAATCCTCCAGATCTTGGTAAACTCAGGGGCCAAGATCCACTGTGAGAGCAAGGTAAGGCCTCAGCTGGTAGACCCCTGTCCCCTCGGCTCCCCTGGCCTGGATGCACAGGTCTCCCCCGACCTCTGTCCCCCACCCCTGCTTGCCCCTCCAGCCCCCAACCTGCCTCTGCCTGTCCCTCTTTCATCTGATCTCCCCCACCTCCCTTTACTATTCGGTGAGTTGGGAGAGTTCCCAGCCCTCTGGCTGGCCTCCTTATTTACAAGAGAGAAATCAAAGTAACTCCCTCAGAGGGTAGTTAGAAAAATTAAATGAGAAGGAGGTGAGGTCTCCTCCACCCTCCTGCCAGGCTCTGCACCCCTTGTGCTCAGTGCGGTGGGGTGAAAGGAGCAAAGCATCATTTACCAAGTGTGGTATGGTGGGCGAGTTTCTCTATCAGCCTGCACTGGGATTTGAGGGAGCAGGGCCCCAGCAAGTGAGAGTGCCTGGAATCCCTCCACTGGTGTCTAACCTTTTAGGGTGTCAGTGGCCCATAGGAAAATGCAAACATTTCTGGGCCAAATCCCTCAGCCAGGAGTTCTCACATGGGTTCTTGGAGAAAATTCAGAGGACCTATGAACTTGGATTGGAAAAAAATGCATATTTATTTTGGCTAACTTCTTGAAAATTTAGCATTTTTTTCTTTCTTTCTTTTGAGATGGAGTCTTGCTGTGTCACCCAGGCTGGAGTGCAGTGGCATGATCTCAGCTCACTGCAACCTCCGCCTACTGGGTTCAAGCAATTCTCTTGCCTCAGCCCCCAGAGTAGCTGGGACTATAGGCGCGTGCCACCACTCCCGGCTAATTAGCATTTTTTCCAATCATGAATGTAGGTAATATTAGTACTTGTGACTTTGTCACTAATAGAAAATTTAGCTATTTTCATATCACATGAAAATTTTTGCAGTTATCTTAAAATACTTCTTACACTTATCATTACATTGAAATTATGGCAGTGATTAGACCCTTCACTAGATCTTGTTGTTTAACGGGTCAGTAAGGAAACACATATGTTACTAGATTGAAAACTTGGTTTGTAATATTTTCATAACTTAATTTCAATATAATTGGTTTCCTTTTATGGTAGGCAGAATAATGGCACCCCAAAGATGTCCATATCCTAATCCCTAGAACCTCTGAACCCCCACAACCTAACACACCAATAGGAATTTGTTGGGTGTGATGTGATATGTGTGAGGTGTGATGAAGGAGGCAGGGCTGGAGTGATGTGAGCCACTAGCCAAGGAATTCGGGCAGCTTCTAGAAGCTGGAAAAGGCCAGGAAATGGATTTTCCCCAAGAGCTTCCAGAAGAAACACAGCATTGCCAACCCAATTTAGAGTTCTGACCTCTAGTATTGTAAAATAATAAATTTATGCTGTTTTATGCCATGAAGCTTATAGTAATTTGTTATAGCAGCAATAGGAAACTAATACGCCATTGTAAGCCTGTGTATTTGATTAATTTTTTTTCCTGTATAATTTTTTTTTGCATTTAAGTAAATATTCTGAGAAGGGGTCTATAGGCTTCACCAGATGTAAAAGGGTTGTGGCACATAAGAGGTCTGTCCCATGCCATTGTTAGGATCCTGTTGGCAGTGGTGGGAGTGCCTGAAAGCATTTGGGTTGGAAAATCCATCCCAGAGAACCATGCCCCTATGTGGTGGGTCACAAGATCTGAACTGGAGTGTGGGAGGGAGGGGCCAGCAGGAGGGCACCCTGTGAATACACCCAGGTTCAAGCTCAGGGTTCTGCTGTCTGGTCCTGCCAGCCTGGCCTGGCTTGGCCTTGGAAGGGCTCAGTGGCCCTGGGGAATCCAGTGCTGTCTTGATGGAGTATACTATAAACAGAGTTGTGAATGAGCCTCCATGTTCTAGAATGAGGGAGGCGGGGTCTTGGGTGTATATGGAGGGTGAGGTTCTGAGTCACGGACTCTTCTAGTTAAGCAGATCCCCTCTATATTTGTTTTCTGTTTTTGGCAACAAATCACTCTAAAATTTAAACGTAATGAATCTGAAAGTAATGATATATTATTTTCCACAATTCTGTGGTTGGCGGGCAGTTCCTGTGGCCTTGCCTGGGCTCACCTACAAGGCTGCAGTCAGCAGGTGGGTGGGCTGGGGGCTGGCTGGCCCTGGAGGGTCTCACTCACATGTCTGGAGCCTCTGCAGGAAGGGTTGGAATGTCTGGGATGGTGCAGCTGGTTTCTCCAGGTGGTCACTGATCTTTAGGGAGTTCAGCCTAGACTTCCTTATGTGTCTGCCTCAGGACAGCAAAAGAGCCAGAGCAGAATTGGCAAGGGCTCTAGAGGCCAAGGCTGGAAAGCCACGTGGTATCACCTCCATTGCATTCAAAAGCCCATCACAGGACCAGTGTAGAGTCTCAGTGAGAAGAGTAGCACCACCCTGGGGTGTGCTTCCAAGGGCAGGAGGAATAGATGCAGCCAGCTTTGCAAATGATAGACCCCACTCTTCCTTTCAATCTCTTATTCAAGGTCTTCCCCAAAGGGATTCATCTTACCTATAGATGCCACAGGCCCAGTCCTGCTTCTGCCCTAAAGCTTTCTCCTTTCGCTGCTGTTTATGTAGCTCTACCTTGCCAGGCATTGGTGATATTTACAGTTTTACTAAACTATAGACTATAATAAGATTTCAGCAGTTTTTCCATTAATATTCTATAATGCTTTAGTCATTTTGTCTCCTTAGTCTCTTCCAATCTTGTGATGATTTCTTTGTTCTTCCTTGTTTTCCATGACCTTAACCGTTTTGGAGAGTAGTAGCCAAGTATTTTGTGGAATGTCCTTAATTTGGGTTTGTCTCATGTTTTCCTCATGAAAATCATCCGTCCAGGGCTATGGAATTTGGGAAGAACACAAGAGGGAAGTGTCCTTCTCATCCTTTCATATCAAGGGGTCCATGATACCAACATGAAATACACACACTGGGCCGGGCGTGGTGGTTCATGCCTGTAATCCCAGGACTTTGGGAGGCCGAGGCAGGCAGATTGCCTGAGTTCGGGAGTTCGAAACCAGCCTAGGCAACATGGGGAAACCCCATCTCTACTAAAAATACAAAAAATTAGCCGGGCGTGGTGGTGGCTGCCTGTAATCCCAGCTACTCGGGAGGTTGAGGCAGGAGAATTGCTTGAACCCAGGAGGTGGAAGTTGCAGTGAGCCGAGATCGCACCACTGTACTCTAGCCTGGGAGACAGAGTGAGACTCCGACTCAAAAAAAAAAAAAAAAAAAAAAAGAAGTACACATATTGAAAATTTATATTCACTGAGATTTGACCACTGTCAAGATGTAAAACACTGTTGTACTGATTTTTATGACCCACTGATGGGTTGCAAACAGGACTTCAAATAATCTGACCTTAATACAAGGCAGGAGTAGAAGCTCTGGGGCATAAACATAGTATTTGCAAGTCTCCTTCCTTTTGCTTCTAGGCCCCAGAGACCTTCTTCCTGTCCACCCCCAACCCAGGCCACTTCCCTCTACTCCCTGCAGACCACATCTGCTCTTAATCTGCCCTAGAAGGTGAGGAGGTCACTTCCTAGTGACATACACTGGTCACTTGGTCACCTGCTTCTTCATTAGCAGCTGTATCAAGGAAGGCAGATACCTAGAACCTTCTTAACTGTTCTGGAGGCTACTAGTGCTACACGACCTCACCGTACATGTTTGAATTAATTTTCAGTTGATAAAATACCTTTCCTGTAGGTCCAGTCCTCTCAACCACCCACTGAAGTGGTCGGGGATTATGATGCTAGTTTGTCCTGTGTGAAAGTGGAGGCTCAGAGAGGTGGAGGTAACTGGCCCGAGACTCCGGAGCTGAGGGGTGCTGGAGCTGGGATTTGAATTTTGGCATCCCGACTCCTGCCAGCCCCCCTAAGGCTAAGTGGGCAGCAGAGTGGGTTATCCCTCGGGTCCATTCATCATTTACAGTGTTGTATCCATGGGGAGGCTGTGTTCTGGGTCCCAAACACTCGCTGTTTGGGAGACTGGCAGTGTGTGAAAAGGGCCTCCCTTCACAGACTGCAGGAACCCTCCTGCACTTGTTTCCAGGATGGCCTGACCTTACTGCACTGCGCAGCCCAAAAAGGCCATGTGCCTGTGCTGGCGTTCATAATGGAGGACCTGGAGGATGTGGCCCTGGACCACGTAGACAAGGTGAGAGTGCCTCAGGGCTACTCATCATTCCCATTGGGCGGGGGGCTCCTGGGGCCACTCTTGCACACTGGGCTTACCACATTCCTTGGGTGCATCCTTTGATCTGTGGGCATATTGCACCTGGCCTGGGGAGCCGCTGGTTGGGAAGAGGTGTTGAGGCGCAAATGAGCAGAATACAAGCAGAACACAGTCAGTTGCCACAGAGAGGTCTTGATCAAGGACTAGGTGGGTTAGAAAAGCAAGCCATTGCTTCTGCTTCCTGGAGGAGGTGGCATTTGGTAAATAAACTGGATTTGTGGGTAAGATTGGAAATCAGGGGTTGGAGAGGGCACCAAATGGAAGAGCGAGGCTTGTGGGAGCTTTAGGGACAGGAAAGGGCTCTAGTGTGAGTTCTGAGGGACTGGAATCTTAGGAGGGAAGGTCTGATGGGTGGTTGGGGGTCCCTCTGGCGATCTCAACCCCCATCCTCAAGAATCTGTTTATTCATTAGGCAGCAAGGAGCCACCTCAGGACTTCAGCCAGGGAGGGACCCCAGCAAGTGTCTCTTGTTGGGAAGTTGGGTCTGGGCTTTCCAGGCAGGGTGTGGGGAGGCAAGGGGAGAGGACAGTGTCTGGGGCAGGAGAGGCCACTACAAAGCCAGAGTGGTTGGGGAACAGAGGCCAGGTGGGCAGAGGCAGGTATGCCCACTGACAGAGTGAGGAAGGCTCACACCGCTTCTCCTCCCGGCCAGCTGGGGAGGACGGCGTTTCACAGGGCAGCTGAGCACGGGCAGCTGGATGCTCTGGACTTCCTCGTGGGCTCTGGCTGTGACCACAATGTCAAAGACAAGGTACCGTGTCCGTGAGGCTCTGGGATCCTGACCAGGGTGCAAAACTTGCCACCTTCCAGGCTCTGGCTCCTCACCTGTGTCCACGTCTGACTCCGATTGCGCTGGAGGCCCGTGTGGCCCAAAGATGAGAGTGTATTTAGTGTTCATCCAGCAGGCCCTTCACCAGCGTGTGCTATGGGCCAGCCCTGTGCTACAGGTTGGTGGCATAAAGATGCCCAAGACACCGTTTCTTACTCGAGGAACTCAGTGCCACAGGCATAGTAAGGATTTCTGATCCGACGTGGCTGGCCAGGGTGGCAGATCTGGGTGGTTGGTAGTGCTGCCTGGAGTGGGTTGAGCAGGGCTGTGATCTACTGGGGTTGTCTGTTGTTGACAGATGTGGGGAAGTGTTAGGGGGTGGTAGCCACACATCTGCTCTGCTATGGTTATGGCAGGAATAGGTTGGGAGCATGGAGAAGGTAGCATATCATTCAGGGCTTGTGAGCAGGATTTCACCAATCTGAGAAGGGGTAAGGGACGGGGACCAGAGGGTCTACCCTGCAAATGACTCTTATCATTGGACCCTTGTGAATCATTAGGCAAAATATGTTACAGCAAATTCCCTTTTTTTTTTTTTTTTTTTTGAGACGGAGTCTCGCTCTGTCGTCCAGGCTGGAGTGCAGTGGCGCTGTCTTGGCTCACTGCAAGCTCCGCCTCCCGGGTTCACACCATTCTCCTGCCTCAGCCTCCCGAATAGCTGGGACTGTAGGCGCCCGCCACCACACCCAGCTAATTTTTTTTGTATTTTTAGTAGAGATGGGGTTTCACGTGTTAGCCAGGATGATCTTGATCTCCTGACCTCGTGATCCACCCGCCTCAGCCTCCCAAAGTGCTGGGATTACACGCGTAAGCCATCGCGCCCGGCCTGTTACAGCAAATTCTAAATGATGCCTCCAACAAAGAGATTAACTCCATTATTAATCTTCTGGTTAATGTGCTTGGCCAGGATAGAGGGAGTTCTGTGTAAAATGAAGTGATAGAGAGCTCACACACAAATGCACTGCAGGGTCTTGGAACTGGAAGGCATCTGAATTCAGCCTTCTCATTTTACAGCTGTGGAAACTGATGCCCAGAGAGGGACATGCCTTAGCCAGGGCCACACAGTGAGACACAGGTAGAGCTGGATTTGGAAGCAGCATCCTAATGCATAAAGCTGTCTTTCTCCCCTTACCAGGCTGCCTCCTGGGTTGGACCCCCTTGGGTTCTGCACTGAGTCCATCCACACTCATCCTTTTGGGCTGAGCAGGTCCTACCCTGTGCAAGGCACTGGGCCAGGAACTAGGCATGCAAAGAGCGGGGAGGGCAGTGCCTGCCAGGACTGGCAAACCCAAGAGGCAAAATGATCACACCTCAGGGCCCCAGGAGAGCATGAGCACCAAGAACAGTGAAAGATAAAATACAGCTTTGATGAACTTCTCCAGAATCTTGCAATCAGAAATTCTGCAAAGAAGCTTTTAAAATTGCATACCCCTGTTAAGTTTTGTGTTTTCACAATGGGAGTGTTTTCATTTTCAGTTTCATCTGGGAGTGGGGCACGGTAAGTTTTTCAATGCCTGATAAGGGGGATAGACCTCTTAGAGTCAATGACAACACAGGTCACTCCACGTGTACTCTAGAATGCTAGGGAGGCTTTGAGAGTCCAGAGAGAGCTATTAACTCCACTTGGAAGGGCAAAGTTGCTGTCAAGGCCTCACAGAAGTGGAGATGCTGGACATCCCCAAGGTGGAGGGGAGAGGGCCCCGGGCCCACGCCAAGGCTGCCTTCTGCCCAGCTGTCCTGCCTCTGAGCCCCCTGCCCTGCCCAGGAAAGTGCGAGCGCCTGTCAGGCATCCATGTGTGCCACTTGCAGCTTCAAATGGCAGGACATGGATATTTATAACCCAGAAGGAAGAAGAAAGCCCTGCCACGGTCTCTACACCCTGCTAACTGGGGGCATGTGTTGGCCCTTCATGGTTCACCTGCTTCCTGCGTGTCTCTGAACACAGAGATTTCACGCTGTGATTGCATTTCCCACCGCTTGTCCTGGCTCGCAGCAGCCAGCCTGCAGGCTATAGGCTGCAGAGAAGCTGGCAAGGAGAGAAAAACAAAGCTGTTGAGGGCTTTTTAAAATTATTTTAAAATTTTATTATTTTTAGCTGAATTCAATTTTTTTTTGAGACAAGATCTTACTCTGTTGCCCAGGCTGGAGTGTAGTGGCGTAATCACAGCTCATTGCAGCCTCAACTTCCCATGCTCAAGCAATCCTCCTGCCTCAGTCTTTCCAGTATCTGGAACTACAGGCACGCACCACCACATCTGGCTAATTTTTGTATCTTTTGTAGAGACGGAGTCTTACTATATTGCCCAGGCTGGAATTCCTGGGCTCAAGCTATCTGCCCACCTCAGCCTCCCAAAGTGCTGGGATTACAGGTGTGAGGTACCATGCCCAGCAGGGAGATCCCTTTAAAGGACAACCCCACGCAGGCTGACCTCAGCAGGGGCCACTTCTGATACAAAGTACGTTGCGCCCTCTGCCCTGCCCCATGCAGCTGCTTCTCTTGGCTATGTCACTGTCACCTTTAGACTTTCCAAGTGCAAAGCAACTACCAGTCCTCTGGCCCTCAAGTCCCAGGGACACATGTCAAGCTCTCCACATGATCACCTGAAGACCCTCCTACATTATTGACTCATTGAACAAATATCTACTGAGTGTTGGCCATGTACCCCCGGCCCTATTCTAGGCACTTAAGGAAACTTCAGAGAACAAAATAGATGCCCCTGTGGTGCTTATGTTCCAGCAAGAAGGGTCAGACACATGGAACCAACCCAAATGCCCATCAATGATAGACTGGATAAAGAAAATGTGGCACATACACACCATGGAATACTATGCAGCCATAAAAAGGAATGAGATCATGTCCTTTGCAGGGACATGGATGAAGCCAGGAACCATCATCCTCAGCAAACTAACACAGGAACAGAAAACCAAACACTGCATGGTCTCCCTCATAAGTGGGAGCTGAACAATGAGAACCACATGGACACAGGGAGGGGGACAACACACACCAGGGCCTGTTGAAGGGGGGCAAAGTTAGGGAGAGCATCAGGGCAAATAGCTAATGCATGCAGTGCTTAATACCTAGGTGACGGGTTGATGGGTGCAGCAAACCACCAATGCACACGTTTACCGATGTAACAAACCTGCACATTCTGCACACGTATCCCAGAACTTAAAGTAAAATTAAAAAAAAAAAAAAAGTCAGACAATAAATACTAAGCACTCAGCCAGTGACAGAGTGTGTTAGCAGGTGATCTGTGCAGTGGGGAAAGGAAAAGCAGGACCCAAAAATAGTCTCAGGAGGACAGAGGTGGGGGTTGTAGTTTCAGTGTGGCCCGGGCAGGCCATGCTACTCAATGAGAAACTAACGTCTCACACAAAGACTTGAGGGAGGCAGGTGACTGAGCCAAGCAGCTGCCTGGAACAGCCTGAGCGCAGGGGAGAGTTGCTGGGGCCTTGAGCCGTGAGAGGAGATGGATCTGGGGGACATGAGGAGGGACCGGCTTCAGATGGGCACGTGGAAAGTAGAATTGGATTTGTTTAATTTTTAAGCAATGTGCCTGCCTTGAAGTATAAGGAAAGAAAGACCAGGGCTTGGCCCTTGAATCTGCCCCTGGTTATAGTTTTTGGCCCAGTTGTCAGGAGCAGGGTGGCACTGACCCAGTGTGCATGGCTGCAGCTCATCACAGGTCTGTGATTCTGGGACTCTCTGGTCTGCTGGCCTCTCAGGAGCCCTTTTTCCTGCAGGAGGGGAACACTGCCCTTCATCTGGCTGCTGGTCGGGGCCATATGGCTGTGCTGCAGCGACTTGTGGACATCGGGCTGGACCTGGAGGAGCAGAATGCGGTGAGTCACCGCCTGGGGATGGCGAGATGCATGACCCTTGCTTGCTCTCTGCCTTCGAGGAACCCCCACCAGTCCATGGTGAAGTCTAAAGCCAGAAGGCTGAGGGCATGATCTCGAACTGAGAGCCCACCAGGGAAAGACAAGCAGCAGCACTGAACTCCAGGCTTAATGGTAGTACTTGGCATGATGCCTCACCCCAGAAGTGAGACAGAAAGTGTGTGTTCAAAGAAGGGAGACGTCACCGTGGACAGGATGGTGAGGGAGGGCTTGCTGGAGGAGAAGGAAATAGAGGGGAGGGGCTGAGACAGCCTGACCGGGGCAGAACATGAGCAGAGATGTGGAGCCAGGAGTGACTATGCCATGTGTGTGCTCCATAAAGTGAGGACTTCAGGGGTGGGGCTCATGGAATCACAAACAAGAAAGTTCATTGTTCCCAGGGGCAGGGCAGTGGAGAGCTCAAGGGGTCCTGGGGCCAAGGCACAAGGGGCATCCTCTCACCGTGGGATTGGGGGTCACTTGGGGGTGGGCCTCCCCACCATCCTCATTGCTCTTCTTGTGTGTTGCAGGAAGGTCTGACTGCCCTGCATTCGGCTGCTGGAGGATCCCACCCTGACTGTGTGCAGCTCCTCCTCAGGGCTGGGAGCACCGTGAATGCCCTCACCCAGGTAGCCAGGCCCTCCCAAGACTGCGGTCGGCTCTTGGCTGCTGAGCCATAGCCATGTCGGCAGTAACGGCCACAGGGATTCCTGAACCCTGAGTGAATAGAGGCTTCGAGGCAGCAGACAAGGTTCTGATCTTGGCTTCTCCACTGCTGAGCCCTGTGACCTGGAGCAAGTTACTTAACCTCTCTGAGCCTTGTTTCCCAACTATAAAGTGCAGTGACATTTACTTTTTTACATTGTTGTGAGGATTAAATACCTAACACAGTGCCCAGGACATAATAGGGCCCAACACCTCAATACCTGTTAGTGTTTTTTTGTTTTAATTTTTTTGAGATGGGTCTTACTCTGTCGCCCAGGCTGAAGTGCAATGGTGCGATCTTGGCTCACTGTAACCTCCGCCTCCTGGGTTCAAGCAGTTTTCCTGACTCAGCCTCCCAAGAGGCTGGGACTACAGGTGTGTGCCACTACCCCCGGCTCATTTTTGTATTTTTTGGGTAGAGACAGGGTTTCACCATGTTGGCCAGGCTGGTCTTGAACTCCTGACCTCAAGTGATCCACCTGCCTCAGCCTTCCAAAGTGTTGGGATTATAGGCGGGATAGCCATTGCACCTGGCCCTGTTAGTGTCTTCTATTTGTTGAGCTCTTGATCGTTCACAAAGCCCCTTCATAACTGTTACCCCAGAAAAATTCCACCCATTTTGCAGATGAGAAAACTGGAGCTTTGAGGGCACTTTCTCAGGGTCACAAGCTAGTACGAGGCAAAGCTGAGTCTCAAAAGCCTTTTCCCCTGACTCCAGAGCTCCCACCCACTGATGAAGCTTTTCCCCTGACAGAGCTGGGGCTTGAGGTGTGACCCTGGATGAACCTCTTCTCTCTCTCCCCGTTGTACTCATCAGTTCTGCCAGTAAAAATTCTCCTCTATGACCTGGAAAGCGGGGTTGTGGCCTTTCTTTAGGTAGTGAGTTGGTGTTTTGGGTTTGCTTTTTATTTTTGAATCAGTGACAAATAACCTTTCTGGCTGGTTGAATGGCTTCAGGTTCTGGAATTCTTGCTTTGTTCTAAATGTCAATAGTATAGCAAAAATATTAATAATAAATAATACAATATAAATAATAATAGCAAAAACACACAGGCAGTTCAAAAACAGAGAATTAAAATGTTATGCTAAAAAATATTTATTTCCCCACTGCTTAATTTGACTGGCTTTGAAAAGAAAAGTAGGCTGGGCAAGGTGGCTCATGCCTGTAACACAGCACTTTGGGAGGCCAAAGCTGGAATATTGCTTGAGCCCAGGAGTTTGAGGCTGCAGTGAGCTATGATTGCACCACTGTACTCCAGCCTGGGTGACAGATTGAGACCCTGTCTCAAGAAAAAAAAAAAAAGACTGGGAAGGTTGCACCCAGCTGGGTGGCCATTGGGTGGGGGGCTGGAGCTGCTCATCACGCCAGGCCTTTTGCTCCAACCTCAGCTTGTGGTTTCTGGCAGAGGCCACGTTCCATTTCAACACTCCCACCCCTCTCAGAATGTCATGCCACAGGGTCTCGGAGGAGGTGCCAAGCCCACGGTGACTGCATTTCCCACTGGGAGATGGACTGAGTCCCACACACCCCAGGTACTCGCTCAGCTGGGACTTTAGCAGGGTGGCTAGCTAGTCCTGGTTTGCCCCATACTGTCCTGATTTTAAAATGGAAAGTCCCACATCTCAAGAACTCCTCAATCCTGGGCAAACTGAGACAGTGGTGGGTCACCCTAGTGGGGCCTGCCTGGTGTGTGCCTTGTGCAAGGTGATCACTGGGCCAGGTTGGGCACTGACTGAAAGAGAGCCCTTTGAGGCCCACCAAGATCAAGCCTCCATTCTAGCCCAGCCAGGATCCTGTTTGGAGGCACCAAGACCAGCTTGTGCTGGGCAGTGCATGCTGGGTGGAGTTTGCTCTGTATTGGCAAATCTTATTTGTCTTCCTCTTTAAAAACCACCTCCTGGCCAGGTGCGGTGGCTCACGCCTGTAATCCCAGCACTTTGGGAGGCTGAGACGGGTGGATCACAAGATCAGGAGTTCAAGACCAGCCTGGCCAACATGGTGAAACCCCGTCTCTACTAAAAATACAAAAATTAGCTGGGCGTAGTGGCAGGCACCTGTAATCCCAGCTACTCGGGAGGCTGAGGCAGGAGAATTACTTCAACCTGGGAGGTGGAGGTTGCAGTGAGCCGAGATTGTGCCATGTACTCCAGCTTGGGTGACAGAGTGAGACTCTGTCTCGGGAAAAAAAAAAGTCTATCATCTGCATGTCTTTACCAGCCATAGAATTGGGCAGGCTTTGGTCTGAATTCTTGAGTTTGTGATAGGAGGTGAGGAAAAGACTGAGACCATAATGAGTTCCTTTTACTGGTCATGAGACCTGGGAAAGTCATTGATTTTTCCAGCCTCAGTTAAATGGGGATAATACTCCCAGGGGTGTTGTGACACTCAAATGGAAAAATGAATCTCGAAGAGCTTTGCAAACCTCAGTAGGAGGGGTCCTTGTGATAACGCATTGATGCCTGTTTCCTTCTAGAAAAACCTAAGCTGCCTTCACTATGCAGCCCTCAGTGGCTCGGAGGATGTGTCTCGGGTCCTCATCCACGCAGGAGGCTGCGCCAACGTGGTTGATCATGTAAGTATGGTGCGAGTGTTGAAGGGGGTCTCCATTGCAAAGCCTTCCATGAGCACACTGATGAAGCACAGGGAGAAACAGGCACATCGGATCCTTGGGGTTGGGGTGCGGACCAGGAGTAGGGGAGCCGGCAGCACTTAGGAGAGTGAAATACTGTTGTAGCTGTAATAGGATTAGAAACCCAGCTTGCTTGCAATTCCTCTGAACTGAATTATTAGCTCCTGTTCTCTGCTCGTTTATGCATTGGGGCTTTTTTTTTTCTTTTCTTTTTTTTTTTTTTTTTGAGACAGAGTCTTGCTCTGTTGCCCAGGCTGGAGTGCAGTGTTGCAATCTCGGCTCACTGCAGCCTCTGCCTCCCAGGTTCAAGCAATTCTCCTGCCTCAGCCTCCTGAATAGCTGGAACTAGAGGCACACACCACCATGCCCAGCTAATTTTTTTTTTTTTTTTTTGTATTTTTGGTAGAAAAATACTGGGGTTTCACCATGTTGGCCAGGCTGGTCTTGAACCCCTGACTCAAGTGATTCGCCAGCCTCAGGCTCCCAAAGTGCTGGGATTACAGGCATGAGTCACTGTGCCAAGCCTAGGCATTGGGTTTTACTATTAATCTTTTATGTTGCCTATCTGTCCACTTAATTGTTAATCTTTTTACTGTTATACATTTGGTCCACACACAGGAACTGTATAATCTTTTGGTTAAAACACAGACTTTGGGAGTGCAGTGGTTCACACCTGTAATCTCAGCACTATGGGAGGCCGAGGCTGGAGTATTGCTTGATCTCAGGACTTCAAGACCAGCCTGGGTAACCCAGGGAGATCCATCTCTACAGAATTTTTTTTGAAAAACTGGCTGGTCATGGTGGTGTACACATGTAGTCCTAGCTACTTGGGAGGCTGAGGCTAAAGGACTGCTTGAGCCCAGGAAGTTGAGGCCACAGTGAGCCATGATCACACCACTGCACTCCAGCCTGGGCAAGAGTGAGACTCTGTCTCAAAAAAAAAAAAAAAAAAAATTGGGTTGGGCATGGTGGCGTGAGCCTGTAATCCCAGCACTTTGGGAGGCCAAGGTGAGCAGATTGCTTGAGGCTAGGAGTTCGAGACCAGCCTGGGCAACATGGCAAAACCCCATCTCTACAAAAATATAGAAAATTAGCCAGGTGTGGCCGGGTACAGTGGCTCACACCTGGAATCCCAGCACTTTGGGAGGCCGAGGCGGGCGGATCACGAGGTCAGGAGATCGAGACCATCCTGGATAACATGGTGAAACCCCATCTCTACTAAAAATACAAAAAATTAGCCGGGCTTTGTGTCAGGCGCCTGTAGTCCCAGCTACTCAGGAGGCTGAGGCAGGAGAATGGCATGAACCCGGGAGGCAGAGCTTGCAGTGAGCCGAGATCGCACCACTGCACTCCAGCCTGGGCGACAGAGCAAGACTCCGCCTCAAAAAAAAAAGAAAAGAAAATTACTCAGGCATGGTGGTGTATCCCTGTAATCCCAGCTACTTGGGAGGCTGAAGCACGAGAATCACTTGAACCCAGGAGGCAGAAGTTGCAGTGAGCCAAGATCGCTCCACTGCACTCCAGCCTGGGCAACAGAGTGAGACTGTCTCAAAAAGAAAAAAAAAAGTAGTGGGAGTTTCAAATGGTGACTATCTTTCTAGAAGGCAAGTTGACAATAACTATCAAGCTGAATTAAATAATTAAAATTTAAAAACAAGAGGCTTTGGTGTTAGGCCTGGCTTTGTATGCTGGTACTACAAACTGAATAATCCTGGGCAAGCTGCTTTGACCTATTTGGGCCTGTTTCCTTACCTATAAGTACTATTATTATTATTCCCATTACATAAACAGGGAAACATCTATGGTTTAAATCAGAAAGGGGTCATTTCTTACAGCTAAAACAAGTACTATATTTAAACTTATTATAAAAACAACATTACACAATTCATTGGAATATAGAGAAGAAAGGCATCCTTGATTCCAAAGCCCTAGAAAAGCAAGGACTTTTTTTTAATGCCCTCCCATTTTCCCCCATGTAAATAGTATCACCTCCAGCTAGAAAGAATTCAGGCTAAATGCTTACTTGTTTCTGCCCATCAAGACACCAGAATCCTGATGCCAGCCCAGTGGTCAAACTAAGAAGTTTTCCTGTTACCTTCATTTAGTATGTTGTTTTCCTTTTCATTTTAGCTGTTTTTGCTGCCTATTTATTTATTTATTTAATTGTGTCACTTTTATTTGTTGTATTTGCTTTGTTTTTAATACCAAAAGTAACTTGCTGGTAGTAACAGTGTCAAAAGACACATTCATAAAAAGTGAAGGCGTTGCCAGGTGCAGTGGCTCACATCTGTAATCCCAACACTTTGGAAGGCTGAGGTGGGAGGATCGCTTGAGTCCAGGAGTTCGAGACCAGCCTGGGCAGCATAGTGAGACCCCCGTATCTACAAAAAATTTAAAAATCAGCCGGGTATGGTGGTGGGTACCTGCCTGTAGTCCCAGATCCTCTGGGGGCTGAAGTTGAAGGATCACTTGAGCGGAGGAGGTTGAGGCTGCAGTGAGCTGTGATCACACCACTGCACTCCAGCCTGGGTAACAGAGTGAGACCTTATCTCTAAAAAAAATTTTTTAAAAATTCCCACAAATCATTACAAAGTTAAAAAACAAACAACACAAGAGAAAAATGGCCAAAGGTTATGAAGAGACATTTGGTAGAAAAGGAAACACAGAGGATTCTTAAGAGAAATGCAAATTAATACTACATGGAGATATAATTCTTCACTCATTAGGTTGGCAAAAATCCAAAAGTTTTGCCAAGTGGATTGACAAAGCTGTAGGGAAATAGGCACCTTCATATGTTACTGGAAGGAGTAGAAGTTGGTACAATCTGTTCAGAGGGTAATTTACCAATCTGTAGGGAAATAGACACCTTCATATGTTACTGGAAGGAGTAGAAGTTGGTACGATCTGTTCAGAGGGTAATTTACCAATATGTATAAAACTTACAAATACATGTGCCCTTTGACTCAACAAATCTAGGAATTTATTTGACAGATATACTTCCACATGTATGGAATGATAATATGTACAAGGTTTTTGCTGCAGTATCATTTGTAATAGCAAAATATTGAAACCCATGCTTAACTAGGAGACAATGTAATAAACTGTGGCCCATCCATGCAATGGAATACTATGTAACTATAAAAAAGAATGAGGACGGCCGGGCGCAGTGGCTCACACCTGTAATCCCAGCACTTTGGGAGGCTGAGGCAGGTGGATCATGAGGTCAGGAGTTCGAGACCAGCCTGGCCAACATAGTGAAACCCCGTCTCTACTAAAAGTACAAAAAATTAGCCAGGTGTGGTGGCACACGCCTGTAGTCCCAGCTATTCAGGAGGCTGAGGCAGAAGAATCGCTTGAACTCAGGAAGCAGAGGTTGCAGTGAGCTGAGATTGTGCCACTGTACTCCAGCCTGGATGACAGTGAGACTCTGTCTCAAAAAAATAAATAAATAAAAATAAAAATAAATAAGAATGAGGACAGTTTTCAAAAAATGTACTTATATGGAAAGACCTTAAAGATACAGTTATGTGAACAAAGCAGGTGCAAATTCTCTACTACAAGGAACCAAGATTCTTTGGGAAAATGGCTCAGTCTAGGACTAGGGCAGGAAATACTAATACATAGGGTGAGTCTGGAGCATCTTGTAGTGCCAGAAAGTAAAGGAGCACTCCATTAAAAAACGATGATTAGGTTGTGTCAAAAGGACACAGGGGCCACCAGAGAGAGCTCCCAATGGTCAACTCTGAAACTACTTAAGCAATAAAATAAAGTAGTATTGGATTGTAATCCAAAGTATAAAAAAACTGTGCGTCCATACTGATATAAATAAATGATTGAATAAGTAAATGGAGGAGAATAAACAAATATCCCATGCGGAAGAATTTCAAATAATTTATGTAGATATCATGCTCTCAAGGAGGTGAAGCAGAACCTCCCAACACCTTAAGTACAGGCTGTGCATAGTGACTTCCTGCCAGAAAGTGCAGTACGGGAAGAGGAAAAGAGTAACCTTACTCTGGGGAAATCTGACAAACACTACCTCAGCCAGGTGGTCAAGGCCAACATCAACAGTGATGAGTCATGTTGGCAGTATTTACCCTTGATAATGGTGTGATGAAAATGATACTTTATCTCTGTAATCCTCCCCCAAACTCCTAACCCCAGTCTAATTCCGAGAACAACAGCAGACAAATCCTGGTTAGGAGACATTCTACGAAATACTTGACAAGTAATTCTCAAAATGTCAAGGTCATGAAAAACAATGAAAGTCTGAGAAACCAGCACAGCCAAGAGGAGCATAGGGAGACATGACAACTAAATATAATGTGGTATCCTGGATGGGATCCTGCAACAGAAAGGATATTCGGTAGAAACTAAGGGCCAGACGCAGTGGCTCATGCCTGTAATCCCAGCACTTTGGGAGGCTGAGGTGAGTGGATCACTTGAGGTCAGAAGTTCAAGACCAGCCTGGCCAACATGGTGAAACCCCATCTTAACTCAAAAATTAGCCGGGTGTGGTGGTGGGCGCCTGTAATCCCAGCTATTTGGGAGGCTGAGGTAGGAGAATCACTTCAACTCAGGAGGCGGAGGTCGCAGTGAGCCGAGATCGCGCCACTGCACGCCAGCCTGGGCAACAGAGAGAGACTCCATCTCAAAAAAAAAAAAAAGAAACTGAAGACTCTGAATAGAGTATGGATGTTAAGTTCTAATAATCAATTGACATTGTCTCATTAATTATGACAAAAACATCATACTAATTAAGATGTTAGCAGTAGAGGAAACTGGATGTGGGGTATGTGGGAACTCTGTTATCTTTGCAACTTTCACGTAAAACTAAATATATTCTAAAATAAAAGTTTAGGCTAGGCATGGTAGCTTGCACCTGTAATCCCAGCACTTTGGGAGGCTGAAGTAGAAGGATTGCTTGGCCCCAGGAGGTCAAGGCTGCAGTGAGCCATGATCTTGCCACTGCACTCCATCCTGGGTGACAGAGCAAGATCCTGTCTCAAAACAAAAAAGACAGAAAAAGTTTATTAAAAACTGCAGAATAGGCCAGAAATGGTGGCTCACACTTGTAATTCCGGCACTTTGAGAAGTCGAGATGCGCTTGAGGTTAGGAGTTCAAGACCAGCCTGGGCAACAAAGCGAGACTGTCTCTACAAAAAAACTTTAAGATTAGCTGAGCTGGAGGCACGTGCCTGTAGTCCCTGTTCCTCCAGAGGCTGAGGCAGGAAGATCATATGAGCCCAAGGGTTTGAAGCTGCAGTCAACTATGATCACACACTGCGCTCCAACCTGCATGACAGATCAAGACCTTGGCTCTAAAAAATAAAAAGCAAAAAAAATATAAAGCTGCAGAACAGTGTAATATGCTTCACAAAGAAGGGTGGGAAGACCATGAAAATACGCCCAGCTGATTTTTATTGAAGATGCAAAAGCAATTCAGTGGAAGAAGGTTTGATAGCCTTTTCAACAAATGGGACTGAAGCAACTGTACATCCACAGGCAAAAAAATGAGCCTCAACTAAAACCTCACACCTTATACAAAATTAACTCAAAATGGATCACAGACTTAAGTGTAAAACTATAAAGCTTTTAGAAAAAATATAAGGAGGAAAATTTTTGGATCTAGGGTTAGGCCAAAGAGTTCTTAGACTTGACACCAGAAACATGATCCATTGAAGCAAAAATTTGATTAATTGGACCTCATCAAAATCAAAAAATTTTGCTCTGCAAAGGATCTGTTAAGAGGATGAAAAAACAAGCTATGGACCAAGAGAAAAGATTTGCAAATCACATATCTTATAAAGGCTAGTGTCTAGAGTATATAAAGGGCTCTCAAAACTCAACAGTAAAAAAAAAAAAATGGGCAAAAGACATGAATAGACATTTCACTGAAGAGGATATACAGATGGCAAATAAGCACATGAAAACATGTTTAACATCATTAGCTATTAGGGAAGTGTAAGTTAACACCACCATGATATACTACTTTTCAGAATGGTTAAAATTCACAAATTGTGACAAAAATGTTTAACAGATGGGAGAGAGAGCTTTAGGTAAGAGGATCCTCTCCACCATCCATGGTGGGGATAGGATGATTGATAGATAGATAGATAGATAGATAGATAGATAGATAGATATATAGATATTTTTTTTGAGACAGAGTCTTGCTCTGTCGCCCAGGCTGGAGTGCAGTGGCGTGATCTTGGCTCACTGCAAGCTCCGCCTTCCAGGTTCACGCCATTCTCCTGCCTCAGCCTCCCGAGTAGCTGGGACTACAGGCACCCGCCACCAAGCCCGGCTAATTTTTTGTATTTTTTTTTTTAGTAGAGATGGGGTTTCACCGTGTTAGCCAGGATGGTCTCGATCTCCTGACCTCGTGATCCGCCCACCTCGGCCTCCCAAAGTGCTGGGATTACAGGCATGAGCCACTGCACCTGGCCTAGACAGACAGATTTTTTAGAGACAAGGTCTCACTCTGTTGCCCAGGTTGGAGTGCAGTGGTAGGATCATGGCTCACTGCAGCCTCGTCCTCTTGGGTTCAAGCAATCCTCCTGCCTCAGCCTCCCAGGTAGCTGAAACTACAGGTGTGCACCACTATGCTCAGCTAATTTTGTTTTAAATTTTTTGTAGAGACAGGGTCCCACTATGTTGTCCAGGCTGATCTCGAACTCCTGGGCTCAAGTGGTCCTCCCACCTTAGCCTCCCAAAGTACTGGGATTACAGGTGTGAGCTACCACACCTGGCCTTGCCATTTCTTTATGTCTTCTTTTATATCCCTCAGTGATGTTATATAGCTTTGGTTTACTTTTGTCTTATTCATTTCTAATTATATCCTTCATAGTTAGTTTATATTTTTTGGCTGTCATTGTGACTAGAATATCTTTTTTAAAATTATGTGTCATTTCTTGTAAGCATTCAATACAAGAATGCTACTGAATAGTATTTTTGTCTTCTGTATGACTTTATTCTACTAGGATTTTTGCGGGGGAGCGGTGTCCTAGTCCATTTTGTGTTGCTATAACTGAATACCATAGACTGGGTGACTTATAAAGAATGGAGATTTATTTAGCTCATTGTTCTGGAGGCTGGGAAGTCCTAGAGCATGGTACCAGCATCTTGTAAGGGCCTTCCTGCTGTGTTGTGACATGATGGGAGGCATCACACGGTAAGACAGAGCAACTGTGCTAGCTCTGTGTAACTATACAATTACATGTCTACAAATAATTTTTTGTTCAAATCTTCTTTTCTAATATTGATAACACTCCATACCCACTGGCCTAAACTAATAATGTCAATAATGGGCATTTTTGTTGTATGTGTGTGTATATTCTGTTCTGTAACCCTTTTATAGCTCAATACATGAGGATGTTTTCTACTATAAGTATTAGTTTCTAGTATCAATTTTATTGGCCTTGTACTATTCCACAGGATGTGTGTCACTATATCACCTAGAGAGGGGGGAGTATCCCCTCTTTGTCATTTACTCAGGGGGCCACAGGAGACTATTGGGGATGGTGTCTTCCACTGTTGAAGGAGAGTTGGACTTGGAGTGAGGTATCTTTTCTGGTCCCAGCTGGCTCTTTCATTCATTCATTTTTCTACACAAATAGTTATCAGGTACTAGGTACCTAGGTACTGGGGGTGGGGACGTGGTGGGAGTAGAAAGTCCAATAAGTCATCGTTCCTATTAGCTAAGTATCCTTGGGTAAGTCATTTAAGTTTTCTGAACTTCAGTGTTTCTGTTTGTAAGATGAAGATACTAATAAGAACACCATCCCTATATACTTCCTAGGTTGATGTGTGGATTAAATGAGATGTCAGAGAATCTTAAGGTATTGTTGCTAGGAGGGACCATGGCAAACATCACTTGCCAGATGAAGAGTAGCAGAGAAGGGAAATGACTTGCCCGAGGTCACATAGTGAGTTCCTGATATAGCAGGTCTCACCCTTGGGTCTTCAGACCCTCACCCATCTAGAGGATCAGTTTGGGGCTCCAGGAATTCAAGCTTTGGGACCATAATTGCCTAAGGCCACCCATGTCATCCAAGAAGCTAAAAGGGCCAAACCCAGAAGCACTATACTCTTCCCTCCTCCTGTCCCCAGCACCAGCCTGCAGCTGGGCAGTCCTGGGAGGGACTGGTCGATTGATCCGTGTATCTCCTCCCACAGCAGGGTGCCTCTCCTCTGCACCTCGCTGTGAGGCACAACTTCCCTGCCTTGGTCCGGCTCCTCATCAACTCCGACAGTGACGTGAATGCCGTGGACAATGTAAGTGGCTACAGAGACCTTCCGGGCCCCAGGGAGCTTCTGGAAACCCTCCCAGGCTGGCAGGCTTGGCTGTGGTCTCCTAGCATGGCCCAGAGTTGAGGAATCACTTTTTTTTTTTTTTTTTTAGCTTTTAGAAAGTAATCTAAATAGTTGCTGAAGGGAATATCATTTTGTTCATCATTCCCCTCTTTTGACATTTGGGTGTTCCCAAGTTTTGGCCACGGTCTATAACATTACAGTGAACATCTTTTTACATTCAACCTTTTCCTTTCATTGCTTTTTTTCCTTAGGGAACATTCCCAGGGCAGGGGTGACTGAGGCAGTCTTGTGTAACAAGAGGCCTCTGAGTCCTGAAGCTGTGATCAGTAAAGCCCTTTTAAATCCTGTCCCCACAATCTACCCACCAACCATATAATTCTCAGTACCAGCAAGGGCATGGCTCACAGAGCCACTGGGAGCTGAAAGCAATTTGGCAGAATATGTCATATACCTTTAAATGATATGTGTGAGCACTGCTGGGAACTCAGCCTTGAGAAACATATTAAAAGCTCATGCACAGAGATATTTACTGCAGTATTATTTATCAGTCTTCAATTTGAAAATGGCCTAAATATTTAATAATAGGGAAGTGGTTAGGTAAATTATGGCACAGACAAAAATAGGCTAGTATGGAGTTATCAAAAATGGCGTTTATCAGAGTTTATAGTACACAAAAAGTGTCATGTTGGGGTAAAAAAATTAAGATGTAAAATGTACATATAAGATGATCTCATGTATGTAAAACCAACAAACTGAAAACATTCTGCATTAAAGAAAAGACTAGAAGAAATATACTAGGATCATTGTGCGGGCTGACTTAGGGTAGTGGGCCACCCCTACATGCTTTTCACTTACCTATTCCCTTGGCTTCTCCCCTAGAGGCAGCAGACGCCCCTTCACCTGGCTGCAGAGCACGCCTGGCAGGACATAGCAGATATGCTCCTCATTGCTGGGGTTGACTTAAACCTGAGAGATAAGGTACCTCTGCTTACAACCCACCTCGCTTCAGGCTTTCATGGCTCCCCCCTTGCCAGAGACCCTGCTACGAATGCCCCCTCCCTCCTCCTTCTCAGGGTGTTCAAGGACTGTCATCCTTTCTATACCAGCTCAAATGCAGCCTCCTCCAGGAAGCCTTCCTGACCTTCCACCACCTTCCCCTCTCTCTACTAAGGTCCTTCAGCCTTGGCCCACCCCCCTCTGGTATAGGCCTGTGAAATGATTGCTTTCTCCTTTATGGCCCCCATCAGACTGTGACCTCCTGAGTCACCTGGTAGGGTTGGGAAGTAGACGAATACCACAGTACTGCCCAACAACCCCCATATGTGGGACAGGGTTTGGGGAAGCTTCCCAGCTCATTAGCACAGCTACGTCCACAGGTGCTAGTGGTCTCAGAAGAGCCAAAGACTTGGTATGAGGCTGGGAGGTCACAGGTGTTTGAGGGGAGGGGCACCTGCACATGTGACTCAGCGAGGCCAGCCTAGTATGGTGTGGGGTAGAGCTGGGGGGCAGGATCAGATCCTGAAGCTGGACCTGGGAGGGGGCCCCTTCTTTGAGCTAGGCCCCATGGCAGCTGGCCAGATGTGAAGGGGAGCTTCCCATCTCACTGCAGGTCTGTGGAGGTAACTGTCTGGGAGGCCTGGAGAAAAGGAGGCCTGACCAGAGGTGGGCAAAAGGCAAAAGTGACATGATAAACCCAAGCCCCCATCTCTGGGCTCTGATTTCTTCATCTGAAAAGTGGGTGGGAACCCCTATTTCACAGGAGATGTTGAAGAGTTAATGAGGGCTGAGTTTCATAAGCTCTAGAGCTTCCTAATTTCTAAAGAAACACAAGAGGTGGTCATTGGAATTATGTATTGCTATTGCTTTATTCTATTTGTGACTTTTCCATATCCCCTTCATGCCCAGAAAACCAGAAAACCTTTCTGCTCTCAGCGTAGACTGCTGGAAAGCACTTCCTGTGGGCAGGAGGGTTTGTCCTCAGTGCTAGAAACCCTTGTGTACCCCTCCTGTAGAAACTCTGGCTTCTCTTCTTGCCTCTTAATTGCAGCAGGGAAAAACCGCCCTGGCAGTGGCCGTCCGCAGCAACCATGTCAGCCTGGTGGACATGATCATAAAAGCTGATCGTTTCTACAGATGGGAGAAGGTACGGAGGCCTCACGCTTGATCTTTCCTCATTGGAAAGGGAGTGATTTTGGCTCCAGATGGAGCTGGCTTTGAACCCTAGGCCTGACCAATTCTGGGTCCCTCAGTCTCCAAGCAGGTGATAATCACCACCTTGTATGTTACCACAGTTGTTTGTGAGGATCTGGTGAAGGGCAAGTGTCCAAACAGGCTGAAACAAGGCAGACTGAGGTCCATGCCAGCGTGGAGATACTGCTGGACACTGCTGTAGCTTCCAGCTGATGAATGCATGCGTGCATGAATGCATACAGACATGTGAAAAAGAGAGGGCAGGTGGTTCCATCTTATGCCATCTCCAGGTGATTGAACTGCTGCTTGGGATGCTATGCTCAGGCAACTTTCTGAGCCAGAAGTAAGTGTGTTGCAATTCATTAGTCGTGTCTCCTGTGGACTTGGGACAGAAGAGTGGCAGAATATTTGCTATTCCAGTTAGCAAATGGAGGTAGGGAGTTTTTTGGTGTCCTTGGGGCTTGTTTTTATATACAGAAGATAATTTTGCATTTACTTCAGTTTTCAAAGTTAATACAGATGGTCCCCGATTACAATGGTTCAGCTTATGATTTTTCTACTTTATGATGGCACAAAAGTGATACACATTAAGTTGAAACCATACTTTGAGTACCTGTACAGCCATGCTGTTTTTCACTTCAATATAGTATTCACTAAATGACATGAGATATTCAGCACTTTATTATAAAACTGGCTTTGTGTTAGATGATTTGCTCCACTATAAAGTAATGTAAGTGTACTAAGCACATGTAAGGTAGGCTAAGCTAAACTATTGATGGTGTGTAGGTTAGAGGGATTAAATGCATTTTCAACATATATATATATATATATATATATGAACTTTTTTTTTTTTTTTGAGACGGAGTCTCACTCTGTCACCCAGGCTGGAGTGCAGTGGTGCGATCTCAGCTTGCCGCAACCTCTGCCTACTGGGTTCAAGCGATTCTCCTGTCTTAGCCTCCCAAGTAGCTGGGACTACAGGTGTGTGCCACCATGCCCAGCTAATTTTTTGTATTTTTAGTAGAGATGGGGTTTCACTATGTTGGCCAGGATGGTCTCAATCTTCTGACCTTGTGATCTGCCCACCTCAGCCTCCCAAAGTGCTGGGATTACAGGTGTGAGCCACCATGCCTGGCCGAATTATGATTTTTATCAAGACATAACCCCATCATAAGTTGAGGGGCATCTGTGTTGAATCTGCTAAGTTACAAATTTAAAAACCTAGTTTTTCTTAAACTTTAAAATTCATTTTATAAATCTTATTATTCTATTTATACAACTAGTAAATTTTTCCTGTCAGTTTCAAGGAAGTCTTTTGAGTAATGTTGGGTCCCATGTTTAAACTTAGTTAAACTAACTTAAACATTGAAACTGAATAAATAAACTTAATATAACAGATTTTCTTTTTAAGCACTTCAAATGCTTCTTAAATTCTTAAATTATCCTAATAAGACCATTAACTTAAACCTATAAATAATCTCAAATATCTTAAACATTCCAATGTGGTTTACAAACTTAGTAAACTTCTTATCCCTTTCAAATAAAAATCACTGTTTCAGAATCAATTGGTAGATAAATTTCAGTAGGAATCATAAGATGTTCTCCCACTGATATGCTAGATTCCCTTAAACATGACAACCCCTTTACATACAACAGATTATTCCTAAATATAATCCCAAAATGTTAATACTGAGGGTTGGACTAGCCGATTCATCTCTGTGCTGAGTACTAAGCCACTTCAGGCTTTACAGGTCCTCACCACTAAGGCAGTGGCTGCATGTCAGAATCACAAATCTCCCCTGGACCCCTAGGCCAATTCAGGTAGAATCTCTGAGGTAGGGGCCAGACATCAGTGGTTCTTAAAGTTCCCAGATGGTCTCAATGTGCAGATGGGGCTGAAAACACTGCCCCAGGGGACCAGTTTTTAATACCCCAGGTGAGAACCAAGCTTCACCTCACAGTGATTGCCAGAGACTGTTGACCATGACATAAGCTTTGGAACTGCAGACACCAGGATGATTTTTTTCACCCTGAACTTAACAACCAGAACTCTGCATCCATTCCCTTTAGAGGGCCTTAGGCTTCTGTGGGCATCATTTATGCTATGACAGAATTCTTTAGTAACCTCTAATTTCATTGCCTGCTTTGCTAGAAAGGATTTTGTAATCCCACCCTTTACTACCCCTTGTGATTCAGCAAATCCGATTCTTGCCCTGCCTGGTTTTGGCCAAAGCTTCGGAGTACTTCTGCTGACACCCATGCTATAAGAACACAGGAAAGAGAGGCAGGTGACCGGAGGAATCTGGAAAGGCTCCCTGGAAGTAGCACATGGGTAGTCTTTTGACTATGACAATGAGGTTGAGGGGCAGGAAGGTGAGCAGAGGAATTCCGGGTGGAAGAACAGTGGGAGCAACTTGGGTTCCAGAGGTCAAGGCAAGGCATGGAGTGAGAAACCAGAAGAGAGGACATTAAGCCCCTGGCCCTTGCTGACTCCAGCTCCCAGGCACCCCAGCAGAGGTGGTAGGAGGGTCATAGGGGCCTCGGCTCGGCACTGCCCCTGTCTGGGATCATGAGGGAGAGCTTCTGCACTTTTGGGATCTGCCCCACAGGACCACCCCAGTGATCCCTCTGGGAAGAGCTTGTCCTTTAAGCAGGACCATCGGCAGGAAACACAGCAGCTCCGTTCTGTGCTGTGGCGGCTGGCCTCCAGGTATCTGCAGCCCCGTGAGTGGAAGAAGCTGGCATATTCCTGGGAGTTCACGGAGGCACATGTCGACGCCATCGAGCAACAGTGGACAGGTACCACCTTGCCTCTCCTCGCCCTAAGCAACCATTGGGCGGAGGGGTGGGACACCTGAAATGTGTTCAGTTTTCTGTGCTTCTGGTGAAAGGGCCTGTGCAACCCACAGCCTGGTCCCACACTGTCCAACACACCTGGTGCTCTGTCCCTCCTCCAGGCCTCTGCACAGGGTGCACACTCTGCCTCTCCCCATTGATTGTGAATTTCACATTCTTCACCAATCAGCCCAAACTGATACCCACTGTTTATACCTAAACTAAAACCATTCTTGGTAAAAAGAAGAGGGCCTGCTGTTGTCACTATTATTCAACATCTATATGGAAATTTTGGCCCTGGTACTAAGGTGTGAAAAGGAAATAGAAATAAGGAGTGTAAATATTGTAAAGGAAGAGAGAGACTTATTGATTTCAGATGGAATACTTAATATACATAGGACGTCCAGAGGAATCAACTAAAAAAATCTTAGAATTAATCAAATAATTCAAGGAAATGGCTAAATATAGAAAATATACTAACACCACAGAACTCCTATGAACCATGGCTAAATGGGCAAAAAATATAGAGAGAGAATCTTTTAAAAGAGATTCCATTTACAATGGTGTGTGTGTTTCATCTGGAAAACCTAAAAGACAAATACAGATGACACATATGAATAAAACAATAATGGTTCAACTATAAAAGACTTGTGTAAATGGAATGACATTCTGTATTTGTGGCAAGAAAAAGTATCATATAAATATCAGTTTTTCTCCAATTAGATTAAAACTTTGATCTAATTTTAATCAAAATAGGTTTTTGAAACTTGACTGAAGTATTCTACAATTTGTCTGGAAGAATAAACAGGGATATAAAAGTGAACATTCTGGGGGAAAACAATAAAGGGGATCTAACCCAAGCAGACTCAGCCTTTTATAAAGCCAAAATAAAATTAACATAAAGAGATATCTGGATCAGGCATAGTGGCTCCCACCTGTAATCTCAGCACTTTGGGAGGCCAAGGTGGGCAGATCACCTGAGGTTAGGAGTTTGAGACCAGCCTGGCCAACATGGTGAATCCCCCGTCTCTACTAAAAATACAAAAATTAGCTGGGCATGATGGTCGGGTCCTGTAATCCCAGCTGCTCGACAGGCTGAGGTTTAAGAATCGCTTGAACCCGGGACACAGAGTTTGCAGTGAGCCGAGATCCCACCACTACACTCCAGCCTGGGGGACAGAGTGAGACTCTGTCTCCCAAAGGAAAAAAAAAAGATTCCTGACACAAAAATATGCAAATTGACATTTGCATATCAATTTGGGATAGAGCAGAGTTCAAAAGTAAACGCTGCTACGGATAAGAACTTTCATATATGATAAAGAAGCACTTGTACATTACAGTGGCGGGGGCAGAGATAGTTAATAAATGGTGTTGAGACTGCTGGGTCAAGCGGAAGTGCCACCACACCAAGGGCAGTACCGTGAGGACATGCCTGCTGAGGGCCCCAAGAGGGGCACGGAAGGTCAGAGGGGCGAATGGAGTGACCTGGACCTGATGGGCGTGGCCCAGCATCTGTCTGTTTCCACAGCACTGGAGAGCCAGCTGAATCACAGCCAGCTGAATAACATGTTAACCCCATGCCGTGTGGGCAATTATTTTCCAAACATGGTTGTATGTTGGAACCACCTGGGAAATTTTGAAACCGTTAAATGCCTAGGCTGCACCCAGTCCCAGGTACATGAGAATCTCTGGGGGTGACATGGGCCCTAGGTGTTTCCAAGGAGCAGCTGAGTCTGAGAACCACTGGTGCAGGGGAAAGCATGGCCAGCTCCATCTCTGACTAAGCTGTATTCTCATCTGTAAATTAGGACCACTATCATGCAAGACACAGATTATTTTGAGCAGCCAGAGAGGTGAAGTATACAATTTGTGCATCATGGTACCACAACGATGAAAGTCAATTCTTTCTCCATTCAGAGTGACACCAACAGAGTGCATAGTGGGTGTTCAGGAGAAGGCCTGGGGCTGGGGAGGTTCTAGAGACCAAGACACAAACCCTTCCCTCCCCATCTGAGAGGCTGCTCCTCCACTCCCCTTACCTATCTCCAGGCTGAGCTTGGCTGGAGCATGGAGAAGGGCCTTGGAGGCTTTTGGCCTCTTTCCCACCTGGGCATGTTCAGGAGGCGGTGCAGGGTGGCATAGACAGGCGCTCTGGTCAAGTGGCCCCATTGGCTCCTTCTCCCTCTCTCTCTCCTCCCTCACTGTTCTCAGGCACCAGGAGCTATCAGGAGCACGGCCACCGAATGCTGCTCATTTGGCTGCATGGCGTGGCCACGGCTGGTGAGAACCCCAGCAAAGCGCTGTTCGAGGGCCTCGTGGCCATTGGCAGGAGGGACCTGGCTGGTAAGAGCGTACTCTGCTGGGCTGCTTCTCAGGAGCTGGGTGGCCCCCACTGGAATGCAGCAGGGCCCTCCAAGGGCTGCTCAGACAAGAATGCTGTGATGCTGGCTCTAGGCCTTCCAGATTCCTACCCCTAGCCCTGCCCTCTTTTCCCTTGGGCAAACTACAGTGCCTCCTGGCCCTGGTTTCCCCATCTGTGCAATGAGGGTGTTGGCCCAAACTGAACCCTGTGACCTTCACAGCCCCGGAGCCAGTGATGCTGTCCATAATCTCTTCCTTACCAGCCCTCTATACCTTGACATTTTTTTTCCATTTTGGAATAAGCCTGGAACCACCTCCAGACTTTTTTCACAAACATTAAGACATAGGAGCCAAAACTGACTTAATATGAGTTGAACCAGTCAAATCTGGTCAAATAAACCTTCTGAGGTCATCACAACTTATTTGAGTATGCCAATCTCAAAAGCCTGATATGGGATTCAGTGTTCTGTGGAATCATCAGACAAGCAGGATAGAAGGTTCTAGTACTAATCCCTCATTAAAAACAAAATCAGCTCATGATGAAAAAGCCTTAAACGCTGTGATACCCACTGACGTGGTACATAATGGGGCAACCACAGAATGGGGCACTAGGCAGCCACTGATAGTTGTGAAGTCTCCATTAGATATGAGGCAACAAAGAAAACCACTCCTGACATATTTCTAGTATATTGCTGAGGGAAATGTTTCTAGCATATTATTGAGGGAAAAGAAAGGACCGCCCCCCCCCCCCCCCCCCCCCATAGCTGCTATAGGCAAGGTGGAAAAGCTAAGACTCATTTCAGGGTAGAGAGATTAGGGACGCTACCTTTCTTTCCCCAAAATGTTCTTAAATATAGTTGTTACATCTTTTAACACAAACTGTGGCATGCAATTAAAACATAAAACCAGTCCTGTGAGGCAGAGCTTAGGCAACAGAGGAAGTAAGATTCTTGTTTTTAACAGAAAATATCAGGAAGAAAGCAAACGCAGCCCCGAGTGCCCCCAGGAGGTGCACAGCCATGTAACCGGAGGGGCCAGACCTTCAGGCACGTGGGACCTCAGCGTGTGGAGCCACCTGAACAGAAGATGACCATCATTTAAGGGCTTTTTAAAAAATCACTGTTAACAGACCTCCAGGTGATTCTACTGAAATGCACAGTCATGCAGAGCCCAGGAGGCAAATGTTTGTACACTGATCTTTTTCATGAGGATGGGTCCAAGGGCCTGTAATCCCGTCCAACAGGTATGGTCCTTTTGAGCTCTTGGCACACTTTGTTTATTTCTTCTTCTTTTTCTTTTCTTCTTCTTCTTCTTCTCTTCTTCTTCTTTCTTCTTTCCTCTTTTTCTTTCTTCTTTCCTCTTCTTTCTTCTTCCTCTTTCTTCTTTCTTTTTCTTTTCTTCTTCCTCTTTTTTCTTTTTTCTTTTCTTCCTCTTTTCTTCTTTTTCTTTCTTCTTCCCTTTCTTTTCTTTTCTCTTTTTTCTTTTCTTCTTCCTCTTCTTTTCTTCTTCTTCCTCTTCCTTCTTCCTGTTTTCTTCTTCCTCTTCCCTCTTCTTTCTTCTCTTCTTTCTTTTTCTTTTCTTTCTTCTTCTTCTTCCTTTTCTTTCTTCTTTCTTCTTGTTCCTTATTCTTCTTCTCTTCTTTTCTTCTTCTATCTTCTTTCCTTCTATCTTCTTTTTCTTTCTTTCCTTCTTTCTTCTTCCTCTTCTTCTTCCTTATTTTCTTTTTCTTCCCTTTTCTTCTTTCCTCCTTCTTCCTCTTCTTCCTTCTTTCCTTTTCTTCTTCTTTCCTTTCTTCTTCCTTCTTTCTTTCCTCTTTTCTTCTTTCTTCCTCTTCTTCATCCTTCTTATTCTTTCTTCTTCTTTCTTCTTCCTCTTCTTTTTCTTTCTTCTTTCCTTCTTTCTTTTTCTTTTCTCTTCGTCCTCTTGTTCTTTCCTCTTCTTCCTTTCTTTTCTTCTTCTTCTTTCCTTCTGCTCTTCTTTCTTCTTCCTTCTTATTCTTCTTTCTTTTCTTTCTTCTTCCATCTTCTATCTTCTTTTTCTTCTTCTTTCCTCTTCTTTCTTCTTCTTAGTTCTTCCTTTCTTCTTCTTCCTTCTTTTCTTCCTCTTCTTCCTTCTTTTCTTCTTCTTTCTTCTCTTTCTTCTTCTTCCTTATTCTTCTTCCTCTTTCTTCATCTTTTTCTTTCTTCTTTCCTTCTACTTTTTCTTCTTCTTCTTTCCTCTTTCTTCTTCTTCCTTCTCCTCCTTTCTTCTTCTTATTCTTCTCCTTCTTCCTTCTCCTTCTTTTTCTTCTTCCTTCTCCTTCCTCTCCTCCTCCTTCGTTCTTTTTCTTTCTTCCTTCTTCCTTCTCCTTCTTCTTAGTTCTTCCTCCTTCTTCTTTCTTCTTCCTCTTTCCTTCTTTTCTTCTTCCTCCTTCTTCTTCTTCTCCTTCTTAGTTTTCTTCTCCTCCTCCTTTCTTCTTCTTAGTTCTTCTCCTTCTTCCTTCTCCTTCTTCTTCCTTCGTCACCGTCTTCTCCTTCTTCTTACTTTCTTCTTCCTTCGTCTTCTTCTCCTTCTCCTCCTCCTTCCTTCTCCTTCGTTCTTCTTCTCCTTCTTTTCTTCTTCTTCCTTCGTCTTCTTCTTCCTCCTCTCCTTCTTCGTCTTTTCTTTCTTCTTCTCCTTCTCCTTCTTCTTCCCCTTCTTCCTTCTTCTTCTTCCTCTCCTTTTTCTTCTTAGTTCTTCTCCTTTCTTCTTTCTTCTTCTCCTTCTTCCTCCTTCTTTCCTCTTCTCCTCCTCCTCCTTTCTTTTCTTCTTCCTTCTCCTTCTTCTTTTCTTCTCCTTCTCCTCCTTCTTCCTCCTCCTTCTTCCTTTCTTCTCCTTGTCTCTTCTCCTTCTTCTTTTCTTCTCTTTCTTCTTCTCCTTCTTCCTTCTCCTTCCTTCTCTTCTTCTCCTTCTTCTTAGTTCTTCTTCCTCTTCTTCCTTCTCTTTCTTCCTCTTCTTCTTTTCTTCTTGTCTCTCCTTCTTCTCCTTCTTAGTTCTTTCTTCTCCTTGTTCTTCTCCTCCTTCTTCCTTTCTTCTTTCCTCTCTTTTTTCTTCCTCTTTCCTTCTTTCTTCTTCTTCCTTCTTATACTTTCTTTTCTTTCTTCCGCTTTCTACTTTCTTCTTCCTTTTTTCTTCCTTTTTCTCCTTTCTTCTTTCCTTCTTTTCTTCTTTTTCTTCTTCCTCTTCTTATTCTTTCTTCTCCTTCTTTCTTGTTCCTTATTCTTCTTTCTTCTTTCCTCCTCTTTCTTCTTCTTAGTTCTTCCTCTTCTTTCCTTCTTCCTTCTTTCTTCTTCTTTTACTTTTTTCTTTCTTCTTTCCTTCTTATTCTTCCTCTCCTTCTTCTTAGTTCTTCTTTCTTCTCCTTCTTTTCCTTTCTTCTTCTTAGTTCTCCTTTTCTTCTCCTCCTCCTCCCTTCTTCTTCCTCCTCCTTCCTTTTCTTCTTTCTTCTCTCCTTCTTCTTCTTCCTCTTCCTTCTCCTTCTTCTTTAGTTCTTCCTCCTCTTCCTTCTCCTTCTTCCTTCTTCTCCTCTCCTTCTTCCTTCTCCTTCTTTCTTCCTCCTTCTTCTTAGTTCTTCTTCTTCCTTCTCCTTTTCTTCTTTCTTCTCTCCTTCTTCTTCTTCTTCCTTCTTCTTCCTCTTCCTTCTCCTTCTTTTCTTTCTTCTCCTTCTTTTCTTCTCCTTCTCCCTTCTTCTTTCTTCTTCTCCTTGTTCTTCTCCTTCTTCTCCTCCTTCTTCTTTCCTCTTTTCTTCGTTCTTCTTCCTCTTCCCTCTTTTCTTTCTTCTGCTTTCTTCTTCCTTTTTTTCTTCTTCCTTATTCTTTTCTTCTTTCCTCTTCTTTTCTTCTTTCCTCTTCTTCCTCTTTCTTCTTCATTCTTTCTTCTTCCTCTTTTCTTTCTTCCCTCTTCTTTCTTCTCTTTTTCTTTTTTCTTTTCTTCCTCTTCTTCTATTGTTTCTTTTTTTCTTCTTTCTTCCTCTATCTTCTTCCTTTCTTTCCTTTCTTCTTCCTTCTTTCCTCTTCTTTTCTTTCTTCTTCCTCTTCTTCTTTTCTCCTTCTTCTTTCTTCTTCCTCTTTTCTTCTTCTTTCTCCTCCCTCTTTTCTTCTTCCTTTCTTTTCTCCTTTCTTCTTCCTCTTTCTTCTTGTTCCTTATTATTCTTTCTTCTTTCTTTTCTTCTTCTTCTCCTTCTTTCTTGTTCCTTATTCTTTTCTTCTTCTTCTTCTTCCTCTCCTTCGTCTTCTTAGTTCTTTCTTCTTCTCCTTCTTTTCCTTTCTTCTTCCTTCTTAGTTCTCCTTTTCTTCTCCTTCTCTTCCTTCTTAGTTCTTCCTTCTTCTTCCTCCTCTCCTTCTTCTCTTCTTCTCCTTCTTCTTCCTTTTCTTTTCTTCTTCTTTCTTCTTCCTTCCTCTTCTTCCTCCTCTCCTCCTTCGTTCGTCGTCTTCTCCTTCTTCTTCTTCCCTCTTCTCCTTCTTCCTCTTTTTCTTCTTCCTTCTCCTTCTTCTTCCTTCTTCTCCTCTTTCTTCTCCTTCTTCCTCCTTCTCCTTCTTCTTTTCTTCTTCCTTCTCCTTGTTCTCCTTCTTCCTTATTCTTCCTTCTTCTCCTTCTTCCTCCTCCTTCCTCTTTTCTTCTTCCTTTTCTTCTTCCTTCTTCTTCTCCTTCTTTCTTCTTGTCTCTTCTTCTTCTCTCCTTCTCCTTGTTCTTCTCCTTCTTCTTCTCCTTCTCCTCCTCCTTCTTCTTCCTTCTCCTTCTTCTTTCTTTTTGTTCTTCTTTCTTCTTCTCCTTCTTCCTTCTCCTTAGTTGTTCTTCTTCCTTGTTCTTCTCCTTCTTTTTGTTGTTCTTTCTTCTTCCTTCTTCTTCTTTCTTCTCCTTTTCTTCTTCCTTCTCCTCCTCCTTCTTCCTTCTTCTCTTGTCTCTTCTCTCTCCTTCTTCTCCTTCTTCTTGTCTCTTCTTCTCTCTCCTTCTTCTTCTCCTTGTTCTTCTCCTGCTTCTCCTCTTCCTCTTTCCTTCTTCTTCCACTTCTTCTTCTTCCTCTTCTTCTTCTTTCTTTCTTTCTTCTTCTTTTCTCTTTTTTTTGATATGGAGTCTTACTCTGTTGCCAGGCTGGAGTGCAGTGGCGCAATCTTGGCTCACTGCAACCTCCACCTCCCAGGTTCACGCCATTCTCCTGCCTCAGCCTCCTGAGTAGCTGGGACTACAGGTGCCTGCCACCACACCCAGCTAATGTTTTGTATTTTCAGTAGAGACGGGGTTTCACTGTGTTAGCCAGGATGGTCTTGATCTCCTGACCTCGTGATCTTCCCCAGGGATGGGGTGTTCCATCTTCTGCCCTGTCCGGCAGAGTAGCTGCTTGCCACCTGAGGCTGTCATGCACCTGAAATGTTGGCTAGAGGGACTGAGAAGCTGAAATTTCTTATTTCTCATTATTTGAAATTGCAGGCACCCATAGCAAGTGGCATCCATGGTGCTTGGCTTTGAGGTGCCAGGCAAGCACAGCTTGTTCTGGGGCTTGGCTGTACCAGCAGGGGGATGTGTTTCTGGGGAATTGTGGCTCTGGAAGCTTCACGGTTTCCCAGAATGTGGAAAATATATCTGTGCAGGATAGAAATCCTGCCCAGAGGCTGTTTCTGTCTCATTTGAGCTCTCCTTCATGTGGCAGAGCTGGCTGTGGCGTTTAGGAGCCTACATTTTAGAAAAGCTTACCTCAAAGTTCTGCATTGAGCCTGAGACTGGAAAGGAGATAAAATAAAACAGCTGACAGGAGCTTTGGTAGTCACACATGCCTGATGGGGTGCACAGGGCCACAGTCTCTGAAAGGCAATTTGGCATTGTCTGTCCACAATATACTTTTATCCATTGGTCCAGCAATCCTACTCTAGGAATTTTTCCTACATATAAACCTGTATGCATACAAAATGATAGACATACAAGGTTATTACTCTGAAAAAGCAAAAGATTGGAAACAAACCAAGTGACTGGCTACAGGGGACTGGTGAAATAGAGTATGTTCCATCCACACAGTGGAATTCTGTTCAGCAGTGAAAAAAGGATGAGAGTGCTTTCCAAGTGTTGTTATGGAAAGAGCTCCAGGATAAATTAAGTGGAAAAAAACCCCAAGATACAGGTACATTAAACCGAAGGAAATTGGTTCAGAGGATAGCTGCACCATTTTTAGAGAAAAAGCTTCCTTTCTCTCTTCACCTTTTGCAGGTGATGTATTTTTTTCTTTGGATTCCTTTTTTTTTTCTTTTTTTTTGAAACAGTTTAGCTTGGCCGGGCGCAGTGGCTCATGCCTGTAATCCCAGCACTTTGGGAGGGCAAGGCGGGCAGATCACGAGGTCAGGAGATCGAGACCATCCTGGCTAACACAGTGAAACCCTGTCTCTACTAAAAATACAAAAAATTAGCCAGGCATGGTGGCGGGCACCTGTAGTCAGTCGCAGCTACCTGGGAGGCTGAGGTAGGAGAATGGCATGAACCCGGGAGACAGAGCTTGCAGTGAGCCGAGACTGTGCCACTGCACTCCAGCCTGGGCGACAGAGCAAGACTCTGTCTCAAAACAAACAAACAAAAAAAGAGACAGAGTTTCACGCTTGTTGCCCTGTCTGGAATGCAGTGGTGTGATCTTGGCTCACTGCAACCTCCGTCTCTTGGGTTCAAGCAATTCTCCTGCCTCAGTCTCCGGAGTAGCTGGGATTACAAGCACACACCATCATGCCCGGCTAATTTTTGTATTTTTAGTAGACAGGTTTCACCATGTTGGTGAGGCTGGTCTTGAACTCCTGACCTAAGGTGACCCATCCACCTCAGCCTCCCAAAGTGCTGGGACTACAGGCATGAGCCACGGAGCCCAGCCATTTTTGGATTCTTAAAACTTAAGAAAAATTCTAAAACATATTTGTGATCTATTACGTTATGATATATGATAGGGAAAAAATAGACAACTTTACCTACCACTAAGTTATATTTAATCAGCATTCTTTTGTTTCCTAACATATATGTTGCGAGCTAAATGTATGCTCTTACTCTAAATCTTTCTGAGCTACACTTTAAGGGTGATAATTGTTTTGTTTTGTTTTTTGAGACAGTCTTGCTCTCTCACCCAGGCTGGAGTACAATGGCGAGATCTCAGCTCACGGCAACCTCCGCCTCCCGGGTTCAAATGATTCTTGTGCCTCAGCCTCCCGAGTAGCTGGGATTACAGGTGCATGCCATCACAGCTGGCTAATTTTTGTATTTTTAGTAGAGATGGGGTTTGGCCATGATGGCCAGGCTGGAAAATTGAAACATAATTTCACAATTATTCCTTTTTCCACCTTAAATAATAAGAGTAGAATACTTTCTGTGTTTTTATCTTATACACATGAATAAATGCTATGGCTTATCACAGTTACAATGTGTTTTCTGAAAGTAAAGATTATTTTACCTTGAAATTACAAAAATTATTTTCAGTTTTCCAAAATTCTATCTTTAAACCTAAATAATTCAATTTCATGGATGCACAAATGTTTATTGAGAGTCTCATATTCATGCTTTTCTTCACAGCACTATAAAGTTGGACTTGGAAAATTTGGACAGCCATTTGCCATTGTAATTTTTATTCTTTTTTCTCCTGATTATTTGACAAAACTTGTATCCACATTGTAGCTGTTCATGTGTCTGCTTCTATTGCATATTGTAAAATTATTAACTACTTCCCAAAATAGTATTTCTCTCAGCAGATATTTCTTTGGTACTACCATGTATTGTGTAACTTTTGGGAAAGTAAGGTGGCTTCCCTGCTCTCAGTGAAGCATTTTATTAAAAGAATAATTATAATTAAAAAAACACGATACAGATCAGTGCATATAGTATATTACTAATAGTATGCTGTTAATTGTGTAAGAAAGAAAGGAAATTAGAAAACATATTTGCATAAATAAAAGCTAGACAAAGGCTAAGAAACTAATCAGGTGGTTTCCCTGGGGTAGTAGGATAATGGGGAACAGTGGGGCTGGGACCGGGTGGGAGAAAGAGTTCTCAGTGGTTCCTTTCTATACAGTTTTAACTTTTGAAATGTGTGAGAGTGTTACTTACTGAAAACTGAAAGGATATGACATGCTGGAACAGGCAAAACTACAAAGACAGTAAAAAGATCAGTGATTTCCAGGAGCTGCAAGGGCAGTGAGAGGAAGGGAGGGATGAGGAGGTGGAGCGCAGGGGATGTTAGGGCAGTGAAAGGTTCTGTATGACACTGTGATGGTGGGTACATGACATTGGGCATTGGTCAAAACCCATAGCATGTACAGCACAAAGCGTTTGCTCTAATGTGAGCTATGGACTTTAGTTAATAGTAACGTGTCAATATTGGTTCATCAGTTGTATCAAATGTACCACACTGATGCCAGATGTTAATAATCGGGGAAACTGTGTGTGCTGAAGAGTACGTGGGAGCTCTCTGTGCTATCTGCTCAATTTTTCTCTAAACCTAAAACTGTTCTAAAATAGAAAGTCTGTGAAAAAAAACAAAAGTAAAGTTATAAAAGGAAAAGAAAACAGAGGCTTTAAATTAAATCATCTATTCCTTGGGAAAGGTATTTTGTACCATATGGGACTGAAATCATTTATCTGGATGAATTTTATAAAATGAATTTTGTAATTTTTTTCTGAGAAAAAAAAGTTCTTAAATACAATAAAATTGAAATGTTGAAATATATCTCTCAAATCCAGTACTCATATCTTTTCTTTGGGAAATACAGGGTGAAATTCCAGGTCAGACAAGCTGTCACAGATTGGTGCTATGTAAGCACAATGGCTCAACTCACGGACAGTGAATACTTCCTGAGTGGATTTTGTGCCAGGTGGCCTGCCAGGAGTGGGTACAGAGATGAGAGCCCACAGTTCCCTCCCCTTCCCCAAGCTTAGGGTCTAGTAGGGGAGAAAGGCTTGCACACCAATAACTGTAATAAGGTGCAGTCCACGCTGTAATGGATGGGTGCAAACAACTATGGGACTCCTTCCTGGGGGAAGGAAGAAAGGAAGGGGAGGAAGCAGCTCACAGAGGAGACAGAAGTGGGGAAAAGGGCAGTCCAAGCCAACAGCACAGCCTAAGCAATAGCCCAGAGGTGTGGAGAGGGACCCCCCACCTTGGGGAGTAGCGTGGCTGGAGCACAGGATGCGTGGAAGGAGGGGGAGCTGTGACCTGAGGGGCAGGAGGGGGAGGGGTGCAGATGCATTGGAAATTGTTCCCCACCCCATCACCAAAAATTAGATGTCTCATAAAGTAGAAACTGAACAGAATAGACTCCGCCTTTGGAAATGCACATCTGCTTGTCCTTTCAGAGTCTACTTTACCTTGCTAATTGTGACTCTCCTTGTTTCTAAAATGTATATTTAAATCACTTTTCCAATGGATATTTACTTACAGTTACTCCCTCCCTTTTCTTTGAGACGGAGTCTTCCTCTGTTGCCAGGCTGGCGTGCAGTGGTGCGATCTCGGCTTACTGCAGCCTCCGACTCCCTGGTTCAAGCGATTCTCCTCTTCAGCCTCCCAAGTAGATGGAATTACAGGCACATGCCACCACGCCCAGCTAATTTTTTTTTGTATTTTTAGTAGCGATGGGGTTTCAACATGTTGGCCAGGATGGTCTTGATCTCCTGACCTCGTGATCTGCCTGGGTTGGCCTTCCAAAGTGCTGGGATTGCAGGCGTGAGCCACTGTGCCTGGCCCCTTTTTAAGATATATACTGTACTTAAAACTATTCACATATAGTCTGCAGGTTTATATACTTAAAAAGTGCGAAGTCTTTCTCCTGTGGATCCCAAGATAACTTCTAGAAGCGGGTACAGGCCCTGGATCACATCATGTATCAAAATGAACCCATAAAACTCCCAGGTTAAGAACTGAGGTGAAGGAGTCCCTGGCTCTTAGTGGAGGTTGCTCCCCGCATCTCTTCCTGTGTGCAGAGCTTCACTAAATGGTTACAGCCCCACTTCAGAGTTTCTGAAACTAGTCTGATTTCCACAACAGAGGTCCCTTAGTGTTCATGCACTGGCAAGTGACAAGATCAGACCTGTGTGTGGACCACACAGAGGATGGGTGGGGGTGGGAGGAGATGGCTGGTGGAGCCAGTGAGGACTGTAGTAGTCTGGGCAAAAGATGCCAAGGCCTAACTTGTAGTGAGGAAGGCTCAAGTTTGCAGGCAAGTTGCTAGATCTCTGAGAGTCAGGGGATATAGGTGTAGTAGATGTGGAAATGCATTGCCCGGACCCCCTTCTTCCAGGAAGGCCTTTCCATCCAGCTGCAGGAGTGAGCTGGGCAGATGGCCTCCAGCTGTCAGCCCTTCAGGGTCTGCCTCAGCTGCAGAGAGTTGCCCCACCCAACACCCTGCCCTCCCCAGGGCAGCTGCCTCTGGGAACTGAGCTACGCGGGAGCATAGAGACCCAGCCATTTTAGTCCTCCATGAAAATATTCCAGTGGGTGCTTCAAGCTCCTGCGTGCCCTACTGAGTTGGTGGGTACTTGATCGGGCCTGCATCACAGTTCAATTTCGCTCTCTGCCCAATCCATCTTCCCTTCACAGATGTTGTTTTTTTGTTTTGTTTTGGAGATTGAGTCTCACTCTGTTGCTCAGGCTGGAGTGCAGTGACACCATCTCAGCTCACCGTAACCTCTGCCACTCTGGTTCAAGTGATTGTCCTGCTTCAGCCTCCTGAGTAGCTGGGATTACAGGCACGTGCCGCCAGGTCTGGCTAATTTTTTTGTATTTTTAGTAGAGACTGGGTTTCTCCATGTTGGCCTGGCTGGTCTTGAACTCCTGACCTCAGGTGATCCACTCCCCTTGGCCTCCCAAAGTACTGGGATTACAGGTGTGAGCCACCACACCAGGCCACAGATGTTGATCCTTAATAAACATCTTGCACCCAAATTTTCATCTCTGCATCCGCTTCAGCCTGAGACATGGGGGTGGAGGAGTGAGTGGGGGTGGAGGGTCCAAGATGGCTGAGTTTCTAACTGGGGATTCCAAGAAATAGTGATGCCAGGACCTAAGAAAATGGGGCTAGAAGAGGAAGGGCAGGTTTGGGCAGTGGGGCCATGGGCATAGCTTTTGACTGGTTGCCTGTCGAAGGCTGAGATGCCTGTTGAAGGCTGGCCTAATAGGCCTGAGTACGCATTCAAGGCCAGTACTCAAAATTGATCAGGGCTGGCAATGACAACTTGCAGTCATCAGGGGGCAGAGCTGGGGAGTAGTTAAAGTTGTTAGACGGCTCTAGTAGCCTCAGACGCTACTAGTTAAAATGTCAAGCTTCGCCCTTATGGTTTACCAAGTGTTTCCATAACTCATGACTGTTGTCAAGCCACAGATAGAGAAGACAATGTGGCCCCTTTGTGGAAAGATCACTGGCTTTAGGGATGGTCAGATTCAAGGTGGCATCCCAGCTCCACCCCTTACTGCCTGACCCAGTCTCCAGGTCCTCACCTGTAAAGTCAGGATAATCAGGGCTGTATTGGGGATGAAGTCTAAGAAGGTATGGCCAACCCAATATTCTGAAACCTGGCACATAAAGGGAAAGAAGCACTGATGCTTATTTTTCTGTCTAAATTGTATCTCAGCGAAACCAAGCAGTCGATGAGGGCAAGTTTTTGTTTTTTTAAATCGGTAATTTCCAGTTAATAAATGCAGAAGGAATGATAAAAATTAATATTATCACTGACCTGCAACCCCTCATGGAATGATGCACCTGTGCAATGGTCAGCAGTGGCAGCTAAGCCAGCAGGGGACTTTCTCAGGACTGGATCAGGCTGGTGATGCCTGAACACACCCAGCAATCATAATAACTTAGACACAACCAGACAGATGCCTCCTGAGATGACGCGAGAGAAACACACAGCCCCATCTATGCAGTGTTCCTGCCAAAAAGATCGAGCTTGACCTGATCAAGCCTCTTGATGTAACTACCAGTTTACAGGAAATACCAGGGACAGAGAAACAAGTGGAAGGACACCATGAGGCCACAGTCAGCCAAATCTGGACTGTGGGGCAACTACAGGGCAAATGAACCTGTTTCTTCACTGAATATATGGCAAGAAAAAATAGAGGGAGGAGGAGCTTCCAGTTCAAAAGAGATCTAAGAGACAAAGTGTGGGCTTTATATGATTAGAACAAGTCACCTATAAAAAAAAATTTATGGAATAATTGTGAGTGACAACATTCACTGGATTATTAGACAATCCAGTGAAGGAATTATTGGTAAATAATTGAAGGAATTATTGGTAAATTTTTAAGTGTGATAATGGTATTAAGGCTGTATCTTAAAGGTACACATAGAAATATTTACAGATGAAATGACACAGCACCAGAAATGGCTTTAAAATAATTTAGTGATAGGAGCATGTGTGGAAGAAACGTGGGTAGGTTAAAAGATGAACAAGTCCGGGCATGGTGGCTCATGCCTGTAATCCCAGCACTTTGGGAGGCTGATGTGGGCAGATCACCTGAGGTCAGGAGCTCGAGACTAGCCTGACCAACATGGAGAAACCCCATCTCTACTAAAAATACAAAATTAGCCGGGCGTGGTGGTGCATACCTGTAATCTCAGCTACTTGGGAGGCTGAGGCAGAAGAATTGCTTGAACCCGGGAGGCGGAGGTTGCGGTGAGCCGAGATCACGTCATTGCACTCCAGCCTGGGCAACAAGAGCGAAACTCTGTCTCAAAAAAAAAAAAAAGAAAAGATGAACAAGACTGTCTGAGAGTTGATAATTTTTGAAGCTGGATGATGGGAACATCATTCATTATGCCATTTTCTCTACTTCATGTGGGTTTAAGCATTTTCACTCAGGGGAAAGAAGACGAGAAAAGTACCTGGCACACAGTAGCAGATCAATAAATGATAGCTTAGGGTTATTTTATGATGTGCAAACTGTACTTCAGGGAGATTAAGTAACTTACCCAAAGTCACACAGAATTGGCAACCATGACCTACTTCTCAGAAAGTCCTAGGCCTGTGTAGCCCAGTTGGGCAGCAACAATAATCACAAAAGCGACTCAGTTAAATTGAATTTTTATTCCAAATGACTAATATCTAGAAAGGCAGTAGCTAACACTCAAAACAATTTGTTTAAGTGTAAATTAAAAGCAGTTGATTTGCAGGAGAGCAAACAGTGGGGTAGTGGCCATGGCACTCTGATCATGGTTATATCCAAGAAAGCATAAAATAACCAATGTCCTGATATGCAATCTGGATGTGCAGCATTTACAGCAAACAACATAAAAAGAAAGAAAGAAGAATGGAAAAGAAAAGAAGAAAAAAACCACCACAAAGTCCCAAACCTCAGAAATTAACATTCACTTAAGAACACAGTGGTGAAGACTTTTGGTAGCAAAATTTGCACGGTTCTTAAAATGGGAGTCTTCAAAAGTACTTCTTCAAATTCAAAAGCTAAGAAAACCAAAGAGGGAACAGTTACACAGGCTTAGTGGAGATGCCGCCTGTCATGAAGATGACCATCAGTCCTACTTCCCAGACACAGTGAGAACCGGTGAGCCTGACGAACCTGAAGGAAAAGGCTGGCTGACGGGTGCTGATGCCACTGACTATACAAGAACACACCGGGTCAACTCATCATTGACAGCGAGAGACACACTACTGCTCCTCCTGGCTGATGCCAAGGCTGCCTTTCTGCACCTCAAGCTCCTCGGCACTGACCATTGATGGGTCAATGGCCGCGTATTTGGTTCCATGGAATTGCAGCAAATGTATCTGTTGAAATGCAGAATCATTATTTTATTTATTTTTTGAGCTGGAGTGTCACTCTTGTTGCCCAGGCTGGAGTGCAGTGGCACTATCTTGGTTCACTCCAACCTCCGCCTCCCGGGTTCACCCAATTCTCCTGCCTCAGCCTCCCGAGTAGCTGGGATTACAGGTGCCCGCCACCATGCCCAGCTAATTTTTGTATTTTTAGTAGAGACAGGGTTTCACCATGTTGGCCAGGCTGGTTTTGAACTCCTGGCCTCAAGTGATCCATCTGCCTCGGCCTCCCAAAGTGCCAGATTACAGGTGTGAGCCACTGCACCCTGCCAGAATCATTGTTTTAAATGGCTGCATTACAGAGTAAAATGTATACTGCCTTCTATAAAAAGTTTGGTAGGAAAACATCACCATAGTGGACAAATGTTTTATACTTCTAAAATTTACAGACTAAGACATACTAAATAGAGAAAAGTCAAACAATTTTTTGAAACCACATTTGGGATCTTTGTTCCTCACTCCCTGAGCAGTCTCCCTGAGTCCCTGCAGAGTCTCCTGAGACATCTTAGATGGTGCATGCTCATGAGATGTTTACCCTTCCCTTCTGCTGCTGTGAGTTAGGTCCTTCCAATCTTCTGCTACTGTGACTAGTGCTGCTATGATGAATATCTCTGGGCATCAAGTATTCCTGTTTAGGATCCTGTCTTCTATAAGGGGATGACAGGATCAAGGGATATGACTGGTTTTTGGGATTACAGGTGTGAGCCACCATGCGTGGCCAGGATATAACTGGTTTTTTAAGGCTCTTGATTCATCTTGCCAAACTGCCAGGGCACTCACCCCTCACTGCTATTCTATTATCCATTTAGTTAGAGTATGAAGGGATGGTGTTTGTTAGGGCTTTCTTTTCTTTTCTTTTTTTTTGAGACGGAGTCTTGTTCTGTTGCCCAGGCTGGAGTGCAATGGCGTGACCTCGGCTCACTGCAACCTCTGCCTCCAGGATTCAAGTGATTCTTCTGCCTCAGCCTCCCGAGTAGCTGGGACTACAGGTGTGCACCACCACGTCCAGCTAATTTTTTTTGTATTTTTAGTAGAGACGGTTTCACCATATTGGCCAGGCTGGTCTTGACCTCCTGACCTTGTGATCTGCCTGCCTCAGCCTCGCAAAGTGCTGAGATTACAGGCATGAGCCACTACGCCTGGTAGGGTTTTCTTTTAATGCATTAAAATTAGATCAAGAAGTCACTTCACAGGACTCAGATTGACCCCATTTAGGTCTGGTGTCTTGCTCTGATGGAATTCACTGTGTCCAGAGGGCAAGGTCACATCATACCAATAGTAACCTCAGTGTGTGAATGCAGGCCTGCTGTCCTTAGAAAAGGGATGGTGGCCAGAGAGTCACTGGGGGATCTCTAATATACCTGTTCAAATTCTCCTACAAGTTATAAATGTAAACCACTTTTATCAAGTCAATGCCTCATTTCTACAAGGAATTCTGTAGTTCACTGATTCCCTAACTAGTCCATTAAAAGAAGTCTTTATGTTGCAAACATATGTTGGGCTCAGAGTGCTCTGGGTTTCAAGCTAGGCCTTACCTGTACATAAAGATTGACCTCTGCACTTCTGCACAGGTATGGGAAATTGCCTCCTGTTTTCAGATGAGCTCTTCGGGCATTAGGATACAGCTTGTACATTTCTTCTTTAGCTTCAGTTGAAAGCGCACTCTGATCAAACACCTTTAAAAAACACAAAGCTTCAGCACCATAGGAAAGGTAAAACACACACACACATACAGAAAGCTGTAATCAACTAGTGTTTTAATATGTTCTTTTCACATTATGGAAATGTTACCCTAAGTATTCCTTTCATATGAAGACAATCCTGAACCCCCAGCAGCCTGAACTACCTCCACTGCTGATCCCTGGTGACTTATAACTCCAACCGAAGACATTAGCTACAGATTTTGCTGCACAGCATCTCCTGCATTCTTTTGGTGGGGGGAAATTCTTTTTTTTTTTTTGAGGTAGAGTGCAGTGGTGTGATCTCGGCTCACTGCAATCTCCACCTCCTGGGCTCAAGTGATTCTCCTGCCTCAGCCTCCTAAGTACCTGGGACTACAGGCATGCGCCATCACGCCTGGCTAATTTTTGCATTTTTAGTAGAGATGGGGTTTCACCATGTTGGCCAGGCTGGTCTCAAACTCCTGACCTCAGGTGATCTGCCCACCTCGGCCTCCCAAAGTGCTGGGATTACAGGCGTGAGCCACCAAGCCCGGCTGGGGTCGGGGGAAATTCTACCATGAATTTCCTTTTTCCTCAAATATAGCTAAGTAGATTAACAGAATATTAATAGAGAACAATCATTGCAAATGTCAATAAGTTTCAAAAAGATCACGAAGCCCCAAAAGAACTTTTTACTTTTATCATTAATTTAAAGCAATAAACTAAGTCATTTAGGCTCAGTGAAAAAAATTCCAAAAAAATGTAGAGTACAAGCTATTCTTTCTTGGGGAAACCAGTTTGCAGCATATGATTCTAGACATCCTTCAATACCCATACACATTTACGTTTTTACATGCAACAAAATTTTTCAAAAAGTAAAATAAGCAAAAAAAATTGTATACTAAATATACCATACCAAATCTGTATGTTTAAGTGCATCTCCAACTAAAACTTACAGGCTGTTTTCAGTGACCATGAACCCAGGCAGTGAGCACAGCTTTGAAAGAAGGGCAGGCAGAGCAAATGTCCTGTGAGGACCATTGAAAAGCTTGTTCTATGTTATGGCAAATGTCAGAATGCAGCGATTATGGCAGAGGATGATAAGAAGTTGTTTACACGCTTATAATGAATAATTTCCCAACAAAAACCAATTATTAAAAATACCATATTATGGCCAGGTGCGGTGGCTCACACCTGTAATCCCAGCACTTTGGGAGGCTGAGGCGGGCAGATCATGAGGTCAGGAGATCGAGACCATCCTGGCTAACATGGTGAAACCCTGCCTCTACTAAAAATACAAAAAATTAGCTGGGCGTGGTGGTGGGTGCCTGTAGTCCCAGCTACTTGGGAGGCTGAGGCAGGAGAATGGCGTCAACCCAGGAGGCGGAGCTTGCAGTGAGCCAAGATCGCGCCACTGCACTCCAGCCTAGGCAACTGAGTGAGACTTTGTCTCAAAAAAACAAAAACAAAAACAAAAACAAAAAACCATATTATTTGAATTTAGGAACAAATCCATTTATAAGGCAAAATAATCATATGATTTTTTTTTAAGTAAATTGAAACCATAGTGAGATACCAATTCATATCCATTAGGATAAGTATCAACCAAAAAACCAGAAATAAGGGTCCAGGATATAGAGAAACTGGAATCTTTGTGCATTGTTGGTGGGAACATGAAATGGTATAGCCACTGTGGAAGACAGTATGGTGGTACTTCAAAAAGTGTGATTCTACTTCAAACGATATGTCCAAAAGAATTAAAAGTAGGATACATCTACTATGTACCCATAAAAATAAAAAACAAAAAATTATTTTTAAAAAATAATTTAAAAATAAATAAAAAAAAATTAAAAGCAGGAACTCAAACAAATATACATATATTTTTTGACAGGTTCTCACTCTGTTGCCCAGGCTGGAACGCAGTGGCATGATCATGGCTCACCCCAGGCTCAGGTGATCCTCCCACCTCAACCTCCCAAGTAGCTGGGATCACAGGGATGTGGCACCATGTCCAGCTAATTTTCCTTTTTTTTTTTTTCTTTTTTTTGAGACGAAGTCTCACTCTATTGGCAGGCTGGAATGCAGTGGTGCGATCTCAGCTCACTGCAACCTCCACCGCCCAGATTCAAGCAATTCTCCTGCCTCAGCCTCCCGAATAGCTGGGACTACAGGTGTGTGCCACCATGCCCGGCTAATTTTTGTATTTTCAGTAGAGACGGGTTTCACCACGTTGGCCAGGATGGTCTCGATCTCTTGACCTCATGATCCACCCGCCTTGGCCTCCCAAAGTTCTGGGATTACAGGGGTGAGCCACCGCGCCCGGCCTAATTTTCTTTATTAGTAGTAGAGACAGGGTCTCCTGTATTGCCCAGACTGGTCTCGAATTCCTGGGCTCAAGCAATCCTCTTGAGTCAGCCTCCCAAAGTGCTGGGATTGCAGGAATGAGCCACTGTGCCCTGCCCAAACATATACTTTTACACCAATGTTCATAGAAGCACTATTCACAATTGCCAAAAGCTGAACACAACCCAAGTGACCACTGACGGATGAATGGATAAACAAAATGTGGTATAAACCAACATTGGTTTTATTGGTAGATATTATTCAGCTTTAAAAAGAAATAGGCTGGGCGTGGTGGCTCATGCCTGTCATAGCACTTTGGGAGGCCCAGGCAGGCAGACAGCTTGAGTCCCAGAGTTTGAGTCCAGCATGGGCAACATGGTGAAACCCCATCTCTACAAAAAATTAGCCGAACGTAGTGGTGTGAGCCTGTGGTCCAAGCTACTAAGGAGGCTGAGGAGGGAGGATTGTTTGGGCCCGGGAGGCAGAGGTTGCAGTGAGCTGAGATTGCACCACTGCACTCCAGCCTGGGGAACAGAGTGAGACCCTGTTTCCAAAAAAAAAAAAAAAAAAAGAAAGAAATGACATTCTGACACATGTATAACATTTCAAGATAAGTCTTGTGAAACATTATGCTAAGTGAAATGGCCACACAAAAGGATAAATGTTGTATGATTCTACTTATATGAGGTTCTAGAATAGGTAAATTTTTATAGACAGAAAATAAAACCGTTGATTATCAGAGGCCGGGGGAAGAAAGGGAACAGGAGTTATTGTTTAATGGGTATGCAATTTCTTCTTGGAATGATGAAAATGTTGTGAAAATGGTGATGGTTGCCGAACTGTGAATATACTTAATGCCACTGAACTATGCACTTAAAAATGGTTAAAATGGCATATTTTAAATGTACATTTTACCACAATAAAAAAATAAGCAAGCTTTTGTGGTAATTAAACTATGGAATTCTTGATTCTCTACCCTTGTTACCCTTGTGAAGCACCTTCTCTTTGCTGCCCATATATGTGCAATATATGGTGCAATATCTATTGATGAGAACAGCAAAAATACATCAAATGGGTAGACTCCCTTGTTTAAATTTATTTTGATTCATTTTTATTTTTATTTTTTTTTAATAAATACAGACAGGGTCTCACTATGTTGCCCAGGCTGGTCCTGAACTCTTGGACTCAAGCAATCCTCCTGCCTCAGCCTCCCAAAGCGCTGGGATTACAGGCATAAGCCACTGTGCTCGGCCTATTTTGATTTCAATGGTGTTATTCCTGCCAGAAAGAAATCCAAGATAAGCAATAAACAGATTATTTTGGAATTGAGAAAGCTGGAGGGTAAAAACAAAAGCCAAGGCAGCATTTGAAGAGGTACATTGAAAGTTATCAAATAGTTTTATAGGAGATCTTGACATACACATTTTAAAAAGTAAAGCAGCTATTTTACTTAAAAGGAAGCTTACATCCATAATAGTTACAGGTATGTCCCGAATTTTATGAGGTTCCACATAAGAATTTTGACAATTCAAGGTAAGTCTTGAAGCCAGTTCACTCTGACCCAAACTTTCTAGCTGCAGGAAGAAACACAGGTAAAGTTTTTGAAATAATTTTGTTTTTCACATTTACATTAAATCCACAGACAACATTTGTGCTTATAAAGGTGGTATCATCTGTGGTGGGGCCAGAAAAGTCATCAGTGAGGAACCACAACTTAGGTGAGAGACCATGAACTGGGCTTCTCAGGAGGTTGTGGCATTTTTCTATTCTGGAAACCTGGGTACAAACCAATGAAACCCGGCCTTCTACAGCCCTCAGCCTACACTGCCTACTCCAGCCAGGTGCCCATGGGCAGCAAGCCAATTCCTACTGCTCAAAGGTGACAGATATATGTTTTTGTTTTTTTTTTTTTTTTAAGATAAACCTTTAAGGGATCTTAAAAGAGATTTGAGAAATCATCTAGCCCAGCAGTTCCTAAATGCAAGCCAACAGACCTGGTTCATCAGATTTACCTGGTGGGTAGAGGAAAAGTGTGAAGTAAAAATAGATTCCCAGATCCCATGCCCAGGGATTCCAGATGGATGATCTGCTGTGAGGCCTTACAATCTGTATTTTTGAAAGCTCCCCTAAGTGATTTTGATGAATAGCTGGTGGGAAGCACTGATGTAGGCAAGCCCTTACCAGCAATAATATCTGCTCAGATGTATTACTCTGCTTAGCAAATACCTCTTACACATACTTGTGAGACAGATCTATCTTCTGGAACCAAGTAGATGTGAAAATTCCCAATACAATGTGTCCCCAACCCAATGTCATGATCCTTACCCTGTCTACCATGAAATCAATGGCATCAGCCATCATAGGGTCCACCGGGCCAGATGAAAAATTTCCAAGAACTATTTTTTTGAGCATAAATGCAGGCATCAGCCAAAAGCTGTAAAACACAAAGACCTTATAATTTAAACTTCCAAGACTACACATGGCAAATATTCATTCAACATTAAAGCTTTGTATTAGCTTGGGATCTAGAAATAAAAAGTCCTAATCCCCTCCTCCAAAGAGCTCAGCATCTAGTTTTTACACACACTTTCCCAAGCTTCCAAAGAGTTATGGCTTCATATAATTAAACTTTTATTTGAGGATTTAGGATAATTATAAGAGATATTTCAAAATACCTTTACTGAGATAGACATTCTGATGAGTCCAAGATTGTTTTTTTTCTCTAATTGGCCCTATTTCCAAGGATTAAACTATTTCTTTTGGAAAACTGAATATTAAGAGAAGTATTCTTTCCTTCTGGTTGATATTATGTTTTTATCGATTGATATTTCAAAACAGATTTCAAAATACCAATATGAAAGCTATTGCACCTCCCCAAATTTGCTACTATTAGATTCAACTTGGCTAATTCAAGGCAAATTGATATTTATAGATTTATTTTTTAAATTTATTATTGTTATTATTTTTTGAGACAGAGTCTCAGTCAGTTACCCATGCTGGAAGTACAGTGGCATGATCTCGGCTGGGTGCAACCTCTGCCTCCCGGGCTCAAGCAATTCTCATGCCTCAGCCTTTCGAGTAGCTGCGACTACAGGCACATGCCACCACGCCCGGCTAACTTCTGTATTTTTAGTAAAGATGAGCTTTTGCAATGTTGGCCAGACTGGTGGTGAACTCCTGGCCTCAAGTGATCCACCCACCTCAGCCTCCCACAGTGCTGGGATCACAGGCGTGAGCCACTCCTGGCCTCTTTTTATTTTTTAATTAAAAAATTTAAAAAAAAACTTTTAGAGACAGGGTCTCACTCTGTTGCCCAGGCTGAAGTGCAGTATTGTGATCATAGCTCACTGTAGCCTCAAACTCCTATCAAGTGATCCTTCTACCTTGGCCTCCCGAGTAGCTGGGACTACGGGCTCGTACCACCAGGCCTGACTAATTTTTTAAAAATTTACTGAGCTGGGGGAGCCGGGGCCAGGCACGGTGGCTCATGCCTGTAATCCCAGCACTTTGGGAGGCCAAGGTGGGCAGATCACGAGGTCAGGAGATTGAGACCATCCTGGCTAACACGGTGAAACCCCGTCTCCACTAAAAATACTAAAAATTAGCCGGGCTTGGTGGCGGGCGCCTGTAGTCCCAGCTACTCGGGAGGCTGAGGCAGGAGAATGGCGTGAACCCAGGAGATGGAGCTTGCAGTGAGCCAAGATCGTGCCATGGCACTCCAGCCTGGGCGACAGAGCCAGACTCCGTCTCCAAAAAAAAAAATTTACTGAGCCAGGCGCAATGGCTCATGCCTGTAATCCAGAACTTTGGGAGGCCAAGGTGGGTGATCACAAGGTCAGGAGTTCAAGACCAGCCTGGCCAAGATGGTGAAACCCCGTCTCTACTAAAAATACAAAAATTAGCCAGGGGCGGTGGCCAGCGCCTGTAATCCCAGCTACTTGGGAGGCTGAGGCAGGAGAATCACTTGAACCTGGGGGGCAGAGGCTGCAGTGAGAACGTGCCACTGCACTCCAGCCTGGGCAACAGAGCGAGACTCCCATCTCAAAAAAGAAAATTTTTTTTCTGTAGAGACAGGATCTTGCTCTGTTGCCCAGGCTGGTCTAGAACTCCTGGACTCAAGCAATGCTCTTACCTCTGCCTCCCAAAGTGCTGGGATTACAGGTGTGAGCCACTGTGACTGGTCAGATCTTTACGGATTTCTATATATGATCTTTAGTTTATATTTATTCCATTAATTTCAACTGTTAAGAGCCATCATGGAGGGCAAACACTAATTTCTGTAAACCTATGACGAAAATTACTTAGATGAGGTGCAAACTACCTTCTGATGCTTATTACCACTGGGACAGCCTTGCTGGAAGTTGAGCTTCCCTCAAAAGGACCACTAGGTCACCTTCCAGTTAACTTTCTAAGTTCTCTCCCAGCCCCATCACTTTCTTATCTTTTGAAGGTGATGAGGTCTAAGTACGCTCTGTAAGGGGTGGACCCTGTTGACTTTGCTCACTCCTGGATCCTCAGTGTGTGGCACACAGTAAGCACTCAGATATTTGACAATAAGCAGCTGATGTGCCAGAGCACAAACTGAATGGGGGCTGTCTTGGCATTCTAACAATTAGAACAGCAATAAAAATCACCAAAAATAATGAGCATTATTTAGTGCATTATCTGGACGGGAAGGATTTGTAAAGTAGCTAATGTATACAAGAAATTGTTGCATGAATGCTGAGTAATTACTAAGATAACATCAGAAAAACTAAAAAATAGCTGGGCACAGTGGCTCATGCCTGTAATCCCAGCACTTTGGGAGGCTGAGGCGGGCGGATCACGAGGTCAGGAGATCGAGACCATACTGGTGAACACGGTGAAACCCCGTCTCTACTAAAAACATAAAAAATTAGCCAGGCATGGTGGCGGGCGCCTGTAGTCCCAGCTATTCGGGAGGCTGAGGCAGGAGAATGGCGTGAACCTGGGAGGCAGAGCTTGCAGTGAGCTGAGATCGTGCCACTGCACTCCAGCCTGGGCGACAGAGCGAGACTCCATCTCAAAAACAAACAAACAAAAAAACAAACAACAACAAAAAAAACTAAAAAATATCAGAGTGCAATTTTAAGTAGATGTGAAAACGATATTTCCCTATACATTATTTGAAAACACTGATCATACAGATGTGTTTACTCACTGGGCTTTTTTTTTGAAGTAGGGTCTTGCTCTGTCACCCAGCCTGGAGTACAGAGGCACAGTTGTGGCTCACTGCAGCCTTGAACTCTTGGGCTCAAGCGATCCTCCTGCCTCAGCCTCCTGAGTAGCTAGGACTGCAGGTGCATACCATGATACCTGGCTAATTTATTATTATTGTTATTTGTAGAGATGGGGTCTCACTATGTTGCTCAGGCTGGTTTCAAACTCTTGGCCTGAAGTGATCCTCCTGTCTTGGCCTCCCAAAGTGTTGGGAGTACGGCATGAGCCATCACACCTGGCCACTGGGCTTTATTTTAAGGCTAGAGCCTCGCCTTGCCAGCAATGAAAGAAGTGCACAGTAAGCCAGCTGTATGGCATCATAGATACCTACCAATTACTTAAAATGATAAAATCAATGAAAGGATGGCTCCTAGGAAACAAGTACCCCACTGGCTGCACCCAAAGCATTTCCACCATTTTGTTTTTGGTTTGTTTTTTTTTTGAGATGGAGTTTCGCTCCTGTTGCCTAGGCTGGAGTGCAATGGCGTGATCTCGGCTCACCACAACCTCCGCATCCTGGGTTCAAGTGATTCTCCTGCCTCAGCCTCCTGAGTAGCTGGGATTATAGGCATGTGCCACCTTGCCCAGCTAATTTTGTATTTTTAGTAGACAGGGTTTCTCCACGTTGGTCAGGCTGGTCTCGAACTCCCGACCTCAGGTGATCCGGCCGCCTCGGCCTCCCAAAGTGCTGGGATTACAGGTGTGAGCCACCGCACCCAGCCTCATTTCCACCATTTCTATCTTTTGGAAGAACAGACTAATATCAAGGGTCATGATGTGCAGAACATCTGTTGACAGACCAAATGCTCTATTCTTTCCATTTGGAGAACATATCTCAAGGAAATAAATTGGAAAGGGAAAAAACCCAGTAATTTGTACAAAGATTTACTGTAGAATGTGATGAAGAATTGGGAAAAGCCAAATGCCTAATAAAACTATGTCAGTCAATACACGGAACTGTTTACACATAATAATAAGTGGGATAAACAGAACATGGTATTAGTTACATAGAAATACTGAATAAAAACAGCAAAAGTATATTAATGAATATTAAACAAAATTTAAAAATTTAAGGTAATAAAAAAAGCTGAATTTAGAGTTCATTCAATTCTTTCCTTTTGCAAAGGTAATTGTTTCTAATTTTAAAAGCCAAGAAAGAGCCGGGCACAGTGGCTCATGCCTGTAATCCCAGAACTTTGGGAGGCCAAGGTGGGCAGATGGCTTGAGCCCGGGAGTTAGAGACCAGCATGGGACAACATGGCAAAACCTCATCTGTACAAAAATATACAGAAATTAACCAGGTGTGGTGCCATGCATGCCTGCCTGTAGTTCCAGCTACTTGGGAGGCTGAGGTAGGAGGATCGCTTGAGCCTGGGAAATAAAGGCTGCAGTAAGCTGTGATTGCACCACTGCACTTCAGCCTGGGTGACAGAGCAAGACTCTGTCTCAAAAAAAAAGCCAAGGAAGTTGCAGAATATAGAAGTAGATATAAGTCTTCCCTTCCTAATGTACCAAACACTCAAAAGCCAACATTTTCAAAATTTCACTGAACAAAAAAAGTAATTTTGTTCTTACCTGTTTGCAGTCCAAGTTTGGTTGAAGATAGAGGTGTCACTGAAGGAATTGCAGAGGATTAGGGAATGGACTCTAGGAGATTTGTGAGTGTATTCAGCAAATTTCTGGGCCAAAAAGCCTCCCAAAGAAGCGCCAAAAAGATGAACCTAATTATAAACAAATATAAGGCAGATTCTGAAATACTGATCAATCTTGAACCTGAGTATTAAAAAGTTGCTTCAATTATCACTAACCACAGAATATGTTATCACTAGCCAATAGACTAAAATATTTACAGCAGCTAGAAATTTAGAAAATATTGTATTTAAATGCAATTTATACAGTCCATCAAGATAATACAACTTGGCATCCAAGTTATATAATTAAAAAAAATATCATTCACAGATTGCATTAGAAAACAAAACCAGTCCAGGCACGGTGGCTCACACCTGTAATCCCAGCACTTTGGGAGGCCGAGGCAGGCAGATCACGAGGTCAGGAGTTCGAGACCAGCCTAGCCAGCATGGTGAAACCGTCTCTACTAAAAATACAAAAAAACTAGCCAGGCATGGTGGTGCGTGCCTGTAGTCCCAGCTACTCGGGAGGCTGAGGCAGCAGAATCGCTTGAACCTGGCAGGCGGAGGTTGCAGTGAGCCAAGATCGCACCACTGCACTCCAGCCTGGGCAACAGAGCGAGACTCCGTCTTAAAAAAAAAAAAAAAAAGAAAAGAAAAAAAGAAACCAACAAAACCAAGCTAGGGAAATATGGAAAAGGCCTGTATACTAAAAATACAAAAATTAGCCAGGCATGGTGGTACGTGCCTAGAGTCCTAGCTACTTGGGAGGTTGAGGTGGGAGGATCGCTTGAGCCCAAAAGGTTGAGGCTGCAGTGAGCCATGATTGCACCACCGCACTCCAGCCTGGGCAACAAAGTGAAAGCCTGTCTCAAAAAAAAAAAAAAAGAAAAAACTCAAAACCACTTAGTGGTTTATGTCTAAGAAAACTGTGATTCAGTAATTCCACCCCTAAACACATACCTAAGAGAACTGAAAACATATGTCAACACAAAAACTTGTACATGAATGTTCATGGCAGCATTATTCATGATATCCAAAGGGTAAAAACAACCCAAATGTGCATCAGCTGATGAATCGTTAAACAAGATATGGCATATTTATAAAAATATGATTTAACTGTAAAGAGAAACGAAGTATTGATTCCGGCTTCAACATGAATGAACCTTAAACTCACAATGCTAAATAAAAAAAGCCAGTCAAAAAGACCACATATGATACGATTCCACTTATGTAAAATATCTAGAATAGGCAAATCCATAGAGATAAAAATAAATTAGGTTGCAGGGCTAGTAGGGGGGAAGATGAGGACCGACTGCTAATGAATATGAGGTTTTTGGCATTAAAAAAATTATAAAACATTGACTGCAGTGATGGTTGCACATACCTGGGAGTATACTGAAAAACATGGAACTGTATACTTAAAAGGGTAAATTATATGGTATATGAATTATGTTGCAATAAAGCTATTATTAAAAAATAAAAGAGGGCTCGGCACGGTGGCTCACGCCTGTAATCCCAGCACTTAGGGAGGCTGAGGCGGGCGGATCACTTGAGGTCAGGAGTTTGAGAGCAGCCTGGCCAACCTGGCGAAACCCCATCTTTACTAAAAATACAAAAACTAGCCGGGCATGGTGGCACACGCCTGTAATCCCAGCTATTTTGGAGACTGAGGCAGGAGAATCACTTGAATCCGGGAGGTGGAGGTTGCGGTGAGCCGAGATCGCGCCACTGCACTCCAGCCTGGGTGACAGAGTGAGACTTCATCTCAAAAAATAAAAAAAAAATTGTATGTATGTAATTAGTTTCAGGGTACTCACTTTATCCAATTGTAAATGGTCTAAAAGTTTTCTGAATCCATCACAGAACTCGAGATGGTCCCAATAAACTGGATACTGCAACTGAAATAATAACGATAATTTTATTTTTAAAAATCATAAAAGTAAAAATGCAACTCACGTATTTGAAAAACTTAGGACTCAAACACTGACATTTCTCGTTTGCTCAAGCGCTGCTCCTTATTCAAAATATGTAAAAATAAGCTCTCACTTTTTACTAAACTTCATATTTCACATTTTTCTAACAGACCAAATTAAAAGAGTATAAAAAGTAAGCACACTCTAATGATATTACGTGAGTAACAATTTCAATTCCCATCAATTTCCTTTCTAAATAGCTGAAAAAGTCTGGGGTTCAAGGATGAATACAGCAGAACCCATTCCAGTAAAGAAATACCGTTTTCTCTTAAATCTAATTTCATTCAGAATTATGGCTCAGGAGAGATGGAAACAAAATTTGTTCTAAGGAGAGCTTCCTCTCTTTTTGGTAGCATTTCTTTAAGAGGGTATTCAGTAAAATTGTTCCTCTTCTTTTAAATGACTTAGTTACTCTATTTCATTTATTGTACTTTGGGGTGTCTGTTTGTTTCTTGAGACAGAGTCTCCTCTGTTGCCCAGGCTGGAGTGCAGCGGCGCGATCTCGACTCATGCCACCTCCGCCTCCCGGGTTTGAACGATTCTCCTACCTCAGCCTCCTGAGTAGCTGAGATTACAGATGTCCACCACCACACCCAGCTGATTTTTGTATTTTTAGTACAGACACAGTTTTGCCATGTTGGCCAGGCTAGTCTCGAACTCCTGACCTCAAGTGATCTAACTGCCTTGGCCTCCCAAAGTGTTGGAATTTTAGGCGTGAGTCACTCCACCCAGCTTGTTTGTTTTTGTGATAGGGTCTCACTCTCTCTCACCCAGGCTGGAGTGCATTGGCACGATTGTAGCTCACTGCAGCCACAACCTCTTGGGTGCAAGCGATTCTCCCACCTCAGCCCCCCGGTAGCTGGAATCACAGGCATGCACCACCATGCCTGGCTAATTTTTATATGTATACTTTTTTGTAGAAATGGGGTTTTGCCACGTTGCCCAGGCTGGTCTTGAACTCCTGGGCTCAAGCGATTTGCCTGCCTCAAGCAATATAACTGCCTTAACTTCCCAAAGTGCTGGGATTACGGGTGTGAGCCACCATGCCAGGCTACTGTACTTCTGTTTGTGACAAAAGAAGTATGGTACTTGACTATACGTAGCCTATCTATTAATGCTGGCAATGATGAGGAAAAAGAAGTACAAGTCACAAACTCATTTCTAAGGGACTCAGGTTTGTCCCCTAAGAATTCCTTTTTTTTGTTTGTTTGAACTGGGGTCTCGCTCTGTCGCCCAGGCTGGAGTGCAGTGGCGCGATCTCGGCTCACTGCAACCTCCACCTCCCAGGTTCAAGCGATTCTCCTGCCTCAGTCTCCTGAGTAGCTGGGACTACAGGCATGTGCCACCACACCCGACTAATTTTTTGTTGTTGTTGTATTTTTAGTAGAGACGGGGTTTCACCATGTTAGCCAGGATGGTCTCGATCTCCTGATCTTGTGATCCGCCTGCCTCGGCCTCCCAAAGTGCTGGGATTACAGGCGTGAGCCACCGCGCCTGGCCAAGAATTCCTTTTTTATATACATATAAAACCAACTGGCTGGGCGTGGTGGCTCACGCTTGCAATCCCAGCGCTTTGGGAGGCCGAGGCGGGTGAATCACTTGAGGTCAGGAGTTCGAGACCAGCCTGGACAACATGGTGAAACCCCATCTCTACTAAAAAATACAAAAATTAGCCAGGCATGGTGACAGGCACCTGTAATCCCAGCTACTGGGGAAGCTGAGGCATGAGAATTGCTTGAGCCTGAGAGGTGGAGGTTGCATGAGCCGAGATCATACTACTGCACTCTAGCCTGAGTGACAGAGTGAGACTCCATCTCCAAAAAACAAAAACAAAAACAAAAAAACTCCCCCAAAAACCTCGTCTAACAGGCTTACTGTTTAAGCACTTAGGTTCATTTTGTTATTGATGAATCACTGGAATGGATACTGCCATATGAATTATGGAATCATTTTAGATTTGATGTATGACTTTCATTATTAAAATTCTATTTGTGGATAAGACTTCCACCATTCCAAGAAAGAATGGGGAACTGATTCTACCTAGCAGAAAGTTTGAGAATTTGAGTCAGATGATAGCCTAAAAGAAAGGGGATGATACTTTCATGGAGTCTTTAATTTATAAATATCCATGCCCACACAGGTGACAAAATTATATGCAACTTAATACATACAAACAAATGAGTTCAAGCAGAACTGGGGAAGCCTGAATGAGATTGGTAGATTGTAGTAATATCAATATCCTGGTTGTGATTTTGTACTACAGTTTTGCAAAGGTTCGGCAGAAACTGGGGAAATGTGTAAAAGGTATATTTCTCTTTACTATTTTTTACACTGCATGTGAATCTACAATTACAACAACAAAAAAATTTAAATTAAAAAGATCTGTGCATTTTAACTGCTAGATACTAACAAATATTAAATAAGTTCCAAAACCTCATGGAGCTGAACATTCTGATCACATCTTGATGACAAAATAATTTTGAAGACACTGTTGACCTTTTCTTGATTAACTCTCCTCCTAATGAAACAGGGAAAGCGCACAACAAGAACCTTGAGAGTGAAGAAGAAACATCCAGCCAGAAGCCAAGGCTCTCATGACCTGCCACTGTGGAGCGAGAAACACACTGCTGGACAGCACTCCCGAGTGGGACGGGCGCCTATGGGTTGCTCGGTTTCCCCCTCCCTGGCTGATCAACAGGGGCCACCAAAAATGGTAGTGTCATGTCTCAGGCTGCAGAGGGCTGGGATGAGGGCAGTTCCCACCCTGTTCTAGAATGCTGTTTGTGAAGAGGAATGACTGAAAATCTGAACAAAGGAGGATTATGTTGCAGAGGCTCAAACATGTCACGTGAGGAATGGTTAAAGAAGCTGGAGAAATTAAGCCAGAGAAGAAAAGACCCAGGAGAAAAGCAGCAGGTAGTGATGATAACTGTTTTCTCAAGTAAGAGACGGGCTCTCAGGAGGAAGAGGAACTGATTTCCTTTGTGTGGCCTCAGTTGGTGGTAACCTCAGTAGAATTTTCAGTTACCTTCCAAAAGGAGAGACGTGACCTGCCTTTTCATCCCTTTAAACAGTAAATAAAACGTACACTAACAGCAGTACTCCCACTGGGAGTACCACTTACAAGTGAATACTGCAGGCGACTGCCAGCTAAAGAGACTCTCTCCTTCCTGGAAAATTAGGAGACCAATGTCCTGACCAATGTGGAAGCATGCAAAAAAAAAAAAAAAAAAAAAAATCAGTCACCAGGAAGAGTGCCTTTCCCACACACCTTTCTCCCAGAGAAGACTCAAGAATGATCAGTGGGAAACTGGATTTAGACCAAACTCAGCTATAAAGTAACAATCAGGAACAAAAAAACTTCCTAACCAAATGCTAACATATGAGCTAATTAATGAATCTCACCTCAAATATCAAAGATTTACATGAAAAGCCAGCTTTTCAAGTCACTTGTATGTTAGCAAATCCCTTTGTTGTCTAATATTCCATGCTCAGCAACCCTGGAAGCAGTGCTGTGATAAAATGAGGAGCAGAAACAGAGCCAGGAGACGGAGCTCAGTTCCTCCCTCCACCACTACTGGCTGTGTGAGCCGGACCTCAGTTTCTTCATCTGTAAAGAAGGACAACGCTTCCTACCGCTCTGAGTTGAGAGAAGGGCGTCAGGAGAGAATGCACGTAAATGCTGGGCATGGAGAGGCTGCCAAAAGAGGTTTGTTCCCTCTGAATCTCTGTGTGACCGTGGACTCACACCAGCCTCCTTCAAAAGGCTTCATCTCACATATTAAAATAAGCAAACAGTATCTTTCCTCAATTAAAAAAACTGCCTGGCTGGGCGCAGTGGCTCGTGGCTGTAATCTCAGCACTTTGCGAGGCTGAGGTGGATGAATCATGAGGTCAGGAGTTCGAGACCAGCCTGGCCAACACGGCGAAACCCCGTCTCTACTAAAAATACAAAAAATTAGCTGGGCGTAGTGGCGGGCGCCTGTAATCCCAGCTACTCGGGAGGCTGAGGCAGGAGAATCGCTTGAACCCGGGAGACGGAGGTTGCAGTGAGCAGAGATCACGCCACTGCACTCCAGCCCGGGCGACAGAGTGAGAATCCATCTCAACAAACAAACAAACAAACAAACAAACAAACAAACTGTGCCCATTACTATAGCTGATGAGAGACAGAAGCATAAAAAAAAAAAAACACACAAAACGTGGGTCTGAATTTTAATCAGTAATACTTACAGCGATAACCCGGTAACCCCATCCAGTCAGAGCCAAAATCTGCCGGAAAAAGACATCTGCAGTTCCACTGACAGGGGGCAGGAATATGAGAGGACACCTGATACTTCGGGGGCCCGCGTCATAGAGCGACCATATCTTACTGTCATCATCATCCACAATAATCTGGAGGGAAGGTTAAAAGAAAAAAGTGGAAAACCTTATAAATTTGCTTTTTATGTTATTTTACACTGTCATTTCACTGACAATTTTACTACTACTGCCTTGTTTGTTACAAGGTAACCTGGAGCTCACACCAGATTAGCATGCATGACAAACTCCTCTGATCTCCTTTTCTTTCCTCAGGGCTAACGTATTCCACAGAACTACTTAGAACTACTTTATAATCTTCCAAAGGGCTGCTGCTTCTCTGTTTCTTCCCCCTCCTCCTTTTTTTTTTTTTTTTTTGAGACAGAGTCTCGCTCTGTAGCCCAGGCTGGAGTGCAGTGGCACGATCTTGGCTCACTACAACCTCTGCCTCCCAGGTTCAAGCGATTCTCCTGCCTCAGCCTCCCAAGTAGCTGGGATTATAGGCACACACCCTCATGCCCAGCTAATTTTTTGTATTTTTAGTAGAGACGGGGTTTCACCATATTGGTCAGGCTGGTCTCGAACTCCTGAGCTCATGATCCACCCGCCTTGGCCTCCCAAAGTGCTGGGATTACAGGCGTGAGCCACTGCGCCCGGCCTGGATCCTGTCTCTTTAAAATACATAAATAAATAAATAAAAATACAACAACACTCCAGCCTGAGCAACAGAGGGAGAGATCCTGTCTCTTAAAAAAAAAAAAGGCAAGCTGAGGTAAGACAAGTGCTCAGCAGAGTCTGGCAGATGTTAAGTGTCCTAGAAATATTAGCTATTATTATTATTCACGGCATCCTAGTTTAATTTTTGCTTTCACTTTTGGTGGTATTTAGAAAAGTACATTAACTGCTTAAACATTTGACAATGCAAATCAGTATTTATTCTACTTTCATATTAAAAAACTCAAGGCCTCCAGGCTCTTTTTTCTGAGAGCTCCTCACTAGCAGGGCTATGGACTCCACAGTGTCACTCTGTGGGTGGCAGCACACTAACCAGGGTCACTGGCATCACTAGGAGCAGATAAATGGAGCAAGGCAAAGTCCAGAGAGGCCTAACAGTTCCCTTTGGACTTCCACAGGTCACAGATGGTGATAATGTATCTCACGCTCATGTTTTTGTCCTGTGTATCTTGCCACTCACATTTTTTCTTTTCTTTTCTTTTTTTTTTTTTTTTTTTTGAGACAAGGTCTGGCTCTGTCACCCAGGCTGGAGTGCAGTGGCACGATCACAGCTTACTGCAAGCTTGTCTTCCTGGGCTTAAGCAATCCTCCCATCTCAGCCTCCTGAGTGTCCGGGACTACAGGCGTGCACCAACACGCCCAGTTAATTTTTTCTAGTTTTTGTAGAGAAAGGGTCTCATCATATTGCCCAGGCTGATCTCAAATTCCTAGGCTCAAGCAATCTTCCTGCCTCGGCCTTCCAAAGTGCTGGGATTACAGGTGCACAGCACCATGCCTGGCTAATTTTTTCATTTTTTTATAGAGACAGAGTTTCGCTATGTTGCCCAGGCTGGTCTCAAACTCCTGGCCTCAAATGATCCTCCTAGGTCTCTAAAGTGCTAGGATTACAGGCATGAGCCATCACAAACAGCTGCAAAAGATCTTAAGATCACTGGATTCTAACACTCCTGCAAGGGAATCAGCAAAGGTTTTACTCTACTCAGTGACTTGAACTGCCTTTGTCTAGTGTGATCCCCAAACATCTGGGATTAATTTGGGAAGCAGAGTCAATACTCAACTGCAATATAAGTGTTTTGGGTTTTCAAACATCCCAGGAAAATAAAGCTTCTAGAAGATGACTGTGGCAGAATGAGTATGTCATTGCAAACAGAAGCTCTATAATGTGACCCCATTCTTAAATCTGAGGAACAGGAATATAATCTGACTGTACTCACTATACAGTTGCTGTAAACTTTCCACTAAACTATACAGAAGAGTACATACATACCTGCTTGCTTGTATATGTAAAAGCAATTATAAAAAATGAGTACAGGCTGGGTGCGGTGGCTCACGCCTGTAATCCCAGCACTTTGGGAGGCCAAGGTGGGCGGATCACTTGTGGTCAGGAGTTCGAGACCAGCCTGGCCAACATGGTGAAACTCTGCCTCTACTAAAAATACAAAAATTAGCTGAGTGTGGTAGCGCATGCCTGTAATCCTAGCTACTTGGCAGGTTGAGGCAGGAGAATCTCTTGAACCTGGGAAGCAGAGGTTGCAGTGAGCCGAGATCATGCAGTGCACTGCACTCCAGCCTGGACGGCAGAGCGAGACTCCATCTCAAAAATAAATATAAATAAATAAATAAATAAAAATGAGTACAGTTACACTTGCTTTCACTCTAAAATGAGTCTCAAAAGTTGACTGTACATGACAGGGAAGGAGTGAACTTAATCCTCTGCAACCCACAGTCATGATACTCGGCAGTAACCTTTACTCTCAAACACTACTAAGACATGACATCTAAATCACACACAAAAACAATACAAGATTTTGCAAATAAGAGGTATAGTAAAACCATACATACCTTTTTAAGGGGAACTGTACCTCTAAACCAGTTATAATCAGGAGAGACTTTAATCTCTCCCATGATTAGCTGAAATGGAGGTTAATCCTGAAATAAAAGCATGTGATATTTCACGTCAAGAATTCATGTTTACATCAGAACTAAATGTAGAGTCTCATCTAGCTATACCAACAATATTTTAAAGAAGAAAGCCAAGGAAACTGGCTATTTTGTCAGTATATAGTCCAACTACAGAAAACAATTTGGTGAAATACTACAATCACAGAATCAGAAGCACTCTTTTTTTTTTTTTTTTGAGACAGTCTCAGTCTTGTTGCCCAGGCTGGAGTGCAGTGGCGTGATCTCAGCTCACTGCATCCTCTACCTCCTGCAGTTCAAGTGATTCTCCTGCCTCAGCCTCCCGAGTATCTGGGATTACAGGTGCCCGCCACCACGCCCAACTAATTTTTGTATTTTTAGTAGGGATGGGGGTTCACCATGTTGGCCAGGCTGGTCTCGAACTCCTGACCTCAGGTGATCCACCCACCTCAGCCTCCTAAAGTGTTGGGATTACAGGCGTGAGCCACCATGCCCGGCCACCAGAAGAGCTCTTACAGAAATTATTCCAACACCCTTAGTTCTTCCAGAAAAGGAATCTGGTCTAGAAAATTTAAATGACTTACCCAAGATCACATGGCAATGCTAGGACCAGATGTGAGACAGCCTTTTCTGACACCATACTTCCTGTCTTAGTTCTCAACTGCAGTACCATCAGTTATCTTTTGACATTACCTTAAGAATCCCTTTAATAAAGATGCTCCTGTCTGATTATAGGGATAGTCCACGCTAGAGAAAGGAGTTGATGTTTTTTTACTTTTTTAATTTTTGAGACAGTCTTGCTCTGTTGTCCAGGCTGCAGTTCAATGGCACAATCACAGCTCACCACAGCCTTAACCTCTGAGGCTCAAGTGATTATCCCAACCTCAGCCTCCTAAGTAGCTGAGACAATGGGCACACACCACCACGTCAGGTGAATTTTTTGGTTTTGTAGAGATGGGGGCCTCCCTGTGTTGCCTGCACTGGTCTCGAATTCCTAGGCTCAAGCAATCCTCCCATCTTGCCTCCCAAAGTGCTGGGATTACGGGTATGAGCTACCACACCCAGCCTAGAGAAAGAAGTTTAAGTTAAGCCTGCTTCCTGATAAATTCGCAATACACCATAAATCTAACTGTAATAGCACATAACCAGAAATTCACATGTAGTTCCCTTTTTTTTTTTTTTTGAGACAGAGTCTCACTCTGTCACCCAGGCTGGAGTGCAGTGGCGTGATCTCAGCTCACTGCAACCTCCACCCTCCAAGTTCAAGCGATTCTCCTGCCTCAGCCTCCTGAGTAGCTGGGATTACAGGCACCTGCCACTGCGCCCGGCTAATTTTTTGTATTTTTAGTAGAGACGGGGTTTCACCATCTTGGCCAGGCTGGCCTTGAGCTCCTGACCTCATGATCCACCCGCCTCAGCCTCCCAAAGTGCTGGGATTACAGGCATGAGCCACCGTGCCCCGCCTACATGTAGTTCTTAATACAAAATACAGGCAAATTTGCCACTCATATGGACGTGATTAAAAGTTACACAATGTCCTCAGAAAGATCTATAATGTAAACTTGAAGGCACTATAACTAACAACAAAATGAAACATTTGCCCTTAGGAAAAAATGTGTAGTCTTTTGTTGTGAGCTTAGTGACTTCTGGTTTTCATAGCTCTGTGATCTTAGATAAGTCTTGATCCTTTTGGAGTTTGTTTCCTCATCTATGACTGTGTTACCACTGTGTCCCCAAAGCTTAGATCAGTGCTTGGCACACAGCAGGCATTATCTGTTGATTGAACGAATAACTACATTCTAAGGAGAATGAAGGGGGCCATCCTTCTAACCCTGGCATCTGTGAGCTTTGGCCTAGCTGAACATCCTCAACTAAAAGGCTGCCCCTCTTTGCTCAGGCATCTGTGCTATGTCATAACAGGAAACTGAAATTATAGTTCCCTGTTGCAGATTCTTATTGCCAAGTGAGGAAATTCCACCAGGAAGGATTCAAATATTTGCTTTGTACCACTTCCTCTACCTCAAGAGCAAGCCTTGATCCTAGCACGGCTAACACGAGGTGAGATTCGTGAGACCTAACTCCCGGGCTGACTCTGAACTGTCGTTTTAGAGGGAGTTCTCTGGACTGGCAAGGAACAGGGGATTCTAAACTCAATGGAACTCTTCCTTGGTGGCCCTCGAGATCTGCTCCCTCAGGAACACAGAGCCCTCAGTAGACTCAACTGTGACCTTGGAGACGTACTAAGCTGAACCCCGAGGAGACAGCAGATGTAGACATTCTAACACTAAACTTGATTTACAACCTTGACATTGTGATAATGGTCTCTCTTCTCAAAGCTAAGATGGTAATTTTAGAGAAGTGTGTTAAAATCATAAGTTGCTTTAAAGTACCAAGAAAATCATCAGCCAGTCTTATACTGAAAATTAGTGTGCACAGATATATATAGTGAAATAAAGAAAATTCTTTGCATATCCATTTTATCTTAAATATTAATATGTTAAGGCCAGGCACAGTGGCTCACGCCTGTAATCCCAGCATTTTGGGAGGCTGAGGCAGGTGGATCACGAGGTCAGGAGTTCAAGACCAGCCTAGCCAAGGTAGTGAAACCCTGTCTCTACTAAAAATACAAAAATTAGCCTGGCGTGGTGGCGCACGCCCGTAGTCCCAGCTACTCAGGAGGGTGAGGCAGGAGAATCACTTGAACCCGGGAGGCAGAGGTTGCGGTGAGCCAAGATTGTGCCACTGCACTCCAGCCTGGGCGACAGAGTGAGACTCAATCTCAAAAAAACAAACAAAAAAATTAATATGTTAAAAAATTTTGCCAGGCGCGGCGGCTCACACCTGTAATCCCAGCAGTTTGGGAGGCTGAGGCAGGTGGATCACCTGAGGTGAGGAGTTCAAGACCAGCCTGACCAACATGGCGAAACCCCATCTCTACTAAAAATACAAAAAAAATTAGCCAGGCATGGCAGTGGCCGCCTGTAATCCCAAATACTCGGGAGGCGAGGCAGGAGAATCGCTTGAACCCAGGAGGCGGAGGTTGCAGTGAGCCAAGACTGCACTCCAGCCTGGGTGACAGAGTGAGAGTCTGTCTCAAAAACAAAACAAAACAAAACAAAACAAAACAAAAAACAAAAAAACAAAAAACAAAAAAAAACTAAGCCATTTTAACTATAGGCTTTCTCTAAGCTGATTATAACTTTTAATTGAAAGCAACTAGCACATATACTTAATTCTGGAATATTTTCTACCTGGACAGACTTGAAATACTTCTATATCATCTAAATACTTCTTAATGGAGACATTTCCTAGTATTGCATTATTAGAAACAATCTATTCTAAAGGAGGGAAAATAAAAACATGTTTAGCAAATAACATCTACTCAATAGATTTATAAAACACCTTAGCTAACTAAAGCCAGAAAGTGTGCTTCTAGAGTCACCAAATGGGATAAATCATTCATAGCTTTGAAATCAGTTGCAATGCACAAACCAAACCACCATACAAATACACACATACACAGGCACACATATTCACGCGGTCATCCTCTTCTTTCCCATAGCAGTAAATAGAAAGATGTTCCTTACCAACAGTCTTCAGAATAATTCACAACCACCTCAGGATGCCAACGTGTTAAAAGTAATCTTACAAGATGGAGAGATTCCACTCCGCTGTGACTAAATTTTTGTAGAGACAAGTAATTTTAACACTTGTGCTAGTTTGGCAGTACATGAAAGGTAAAATGGATACCAAATGTTGCATCTGACCAACTGACGTCTAAGTGAAAAAAAGATCACTGCTGCAAAGGGAAAACAGCTGTGAGTGGTATGAATAGGAAAGTTTGTTCTCCTAGCTCTCTTTCATCCACCAAAGGGGTATACTTTTCCAAATCATAAGAGGAATATTCTGTATATGGCAAAGGTTAACTGAGATTGTGACCAAACTGGTCAGTACTGAATAAGAAAGAATGTGGACCATGAGCTCAAAACTGATTTTATCTCTCATGATTTTGTTCTTCACAAAAACAAAAGCACCTGTTCATGCTGGTGGGAAAAGAGCCACAATATTAGCCTTAATCTTGCCTAAGGAAAGCCCTCTTCAGGGTGTGCTGTGGACTCCCTGTCTTCTCTGGCCCTTGTGCTGCTGGACAATAAAAACTGCCAGTTGTGGCTGGGTGCAGTGGCTCACGCCTATAATCCCAGCACTTTGGGAGGCTGAGGCAGGTGGATCACCTGAGGTCAGGAGTTCGAGACCAGCCTGGCCAACATGGTGCAGCCCCGTCTCTACTAAAAATACAAAATTAGCTAGGCGTGGTGGCACATGCCTGTAATCCCAGCTACGCAGGAAGCTGAGGCAGAAGAATCACTTGAACCCGGGAGGCAGAGGTTGCGGTGAGCCGAGATCACGCCATTGCACTCCAGCCTGGGCAACGAGAGCGAAACTCCATCTCAAAAAAACAAACAAAACAGCAACAACAACAAAAACAAATTAGCTGGGCGCGGTGATGGGCTCCTGTAATCCCAGCTACTTAGGAGGCTGAGGCAGGAGAATTGCTTGAACCTGGGTGGCGGAGGTTGCAGTGAGCTGAGATCACACCACTGCACTCCAGCCTGGGCGACAGAGTGAGACTCTGTCTCAAAAAACAAACAAACAAACAAACAAAAAAACCTGCCAGTTGTGACTATGCCCCTATCCCTCATGGCTTCAACAGAACCTGCCACTTTAAAGTCAACAAAATCACCTTTATCAATGTTTAAGTCACATAACCAGCATAATTAGTCAGAGGTTTCTGCTACTTTATTTCAATCTATAGTTGATGTGCATTGTGGAAAATCTGTGCTTATAAATACTAGCCATAACAAAATATTAGAAGCTGAGAGTCTCTGGGAGATGCAACTGGCTTTTTAATGCACGTCTCCATCCCTCACCACAGAAGTACACAGCTATCCTTTTCTTAGATCTCTTCAGGGGAGATCTATCCCTCTTTTCTTCATTGCATTATCTCTAAACCTTACAGGAGGAAAAGGTGCCTACCTGACATCTGTGACATCTCTTCTCATGCTCTTGGGAAAAAAGCTTTTGGAATTTGGACACAGCTATTAAGTTACTCCTCAGTGGCCAGCCGCGATGGCTCACGCCTGTAATCTCAGCCCTTTGGGAGGCCGAGGCGGGCGGATCACGAGGTCAGGAGATCGAGGCCATCCTGGCTAACACGGTGAAACCCCGTCTCTACTAAAAATACAAAAAATTAGCCGGGCGTGGTGGCGGGAGCCTGTAGTGCCAGCTACTCGGGAGGCTGAGGCAGGAGAATGGCGTAAACCCAGCAGACAGAGCTTGCAGTGAGCTGGGATGGCGCCACTGCACTCCAGCCTGGGCGACGGAGCGAGACTCCGTCTCAAAAAAAAAAAAAAAAAAAAAGTTACTCCTTAATTTGTTGAATCTTTGTGCCAAAAGGAGCTGAACCAGTGTAGGTGGAGACAAAGGAAGCAGCATAAATGTCTAACTTATAACTCCCCAGGAAAACGAGAAGAGGAAAAATGAGACACTCCGGTCCCGCTCTGTTCCTCATCCCCCGTTTACAAACCTTACACCTGGCCCACACTCAGTAACAACAAAGACATCTATCACTTTCAGGCCGAGGTCCTGTCTCCAAAATTACTGGCCTCTGCTCACAGTTCTTAAAAGTTTGCTGAGAAAAAAAAAAAGAAAGAAAGAAAGAAAGAAATGTTCCTGGGCTGCAGTCGTGTAGCCCCAGGATGGGTTTACAGGAGGATGCCCCGGTTAAGCCCTGTGCCGCCCCCACCTCCCGCTGGAGACTCACACACAGCTCCCCGCCAGTCCCACCGGTGACAGCCACACAAAGGCAGGGTCACAAGCACACCGACCACCCCACAGCCCAGATTCGGCCCCAGACACACACTCACAAGGGCACGTGATCACGTGCGTGGTCACATGGACCGGCCCACTCAGAACACACTCACAAAGTCACACCAACCAAGGCAGCCACGCGCCACACACACACACCTACAACCCCGCATACCGCACACCCAGCCGCTTCCCAGGGCTTCGCCCACCCTCACCTGCCGTGGCCGCCCCCACGTCCCTTCCCCTCCTTCAGGAGGCCGCTCTTCGCTCCAGTACGAGCGCGGGCCGTGGAGGCGGCTGGGCCCGGGTCGGGGCGGGCGGCGGAGCACTCGGGACCCACGGGCACAGCAGGCTGCGCGGTGCGTGCGGGAGGCCGGCCTCTGAGGGGGCGGGGCGCGTGGCCGAGCGAGCTTGGGCCGCCGCGCTCCCCCCGCCCGACCGCCGCTCAGCTGGCGCGAGACTCCCGCTTCCGGGTTCTCAGAGGGCGGGGCCACGTCGCGAGGAAGGGGCGGTGCTGCGTGGCCCCGGCGGTCGCCACGGCGACGGGCGCGGGGGGAGGCTCCGTGGGATGCTTGGCTGCGGCTGGCGTGAGGAGAGGGCTGAGTTACGTCTGGGTCAGCCTTAGTTCTGCCCTACGTACCTAGGAGGAGGAGGAGGTGGAGGAGGCGCCTGGCCCCTTGGGACCTGCTTCTTCTTTCAGTTCGCGTTTTCTCTGTCGTGTACAGCTTTGGAGGGACACCTTTGGGTTCCAGACTTTGATGAACACAACTTTGTATACTCTTTTCTTAGGAACATTTTTTTTCCTTTGGCACAACCGTAGACGCTCTCCGTAGTCCTCCACTCAAAGCCTCCGCTTCCTTTTTGACGTTCTGGGGATTTCTGGGAACATACGCCCACCCATCTTCCTGTTCCTTCATCACTTTTCCCTTAAAATCAGAGAGAATATTAATACATTTGTAATCATTGTTCTTAAGGTGTTGCAGACGTCACGTCTTAAGGTGTTCCAGACTTCACGACTCCTTTTTTATTAGTAAAATATTTCTGAAATTATGATAAGGTGAATAACATGTAAATCTCCTTGTTTTGAATTTTTTTTTTAGGGATCCTGCAACAAGGTCCTGTTGAAAGTGCCTCTCTCTAATATGTTTTAGGGAAAGCTTGTACCCTGTTTTAGGGCCTGTAGACTTTGCCTTTACCTAGGCAACTGTTTATGGGATTAAGGTCAGGGAAGATTCCAACTAAATTGCATCCTACTTAGTTATCACTTCTGTCCCCTGGCCCAGGAGCCTTGGGTTCCACTCTAGAACTTGGACAAATCCCAAAAGCATTTTCCAAAAGCACGGTGACATACTTACCTTTTTCTTTCTTTCTTTTTTTCTCTAAATCATTTCTTTCGGGGTTGCAACTCAGTCGCAGGAATTCATCTTTTATTGTAAGCACCACATAGATGTATAGAGCACGTTTCCGTGGAGTATTTTAAGTTGGGGGCCTTTTCTCCAACATTTGGAATCGTTTAATGGGTGGAATAACTTGCAAACTACTGGTTGTCTCTGAAACTGGTTATGGATATTCATTACATTAGTTGTCTATTTTCCCAGGTGGTCTCGAAGCTTCAATCTAGAGCAAAGGGAATAGAGTGATTCCACCAGTCCATTAGCACATGATTAGCCCATAAATAATAGGTACTAAATGTATATTGATTGTAATCCCAGCACTTTGGGAGGCCAAGGTGGACGGATCGCTTGATTGAGCCCAGGAGTTCGAGACTAGCCTGGGCAACCTGGGAGACCCTGTCTGTACAAAAAAATACAAAAATTAGCCGGGCGTGGTGGCGCATGCCTGTAATCCCCGCTACTCAGGAGGCTGAGATGGGAGAATCTGTTAAGCCCAGATGTCGAATCCACTGCACCACATCCTAGGTGACAAAGCGAGAGACCTTGTCTGCTCCCAACAAAAAACTATATTGAATGAATTAATGAGTGGAATAAATAAATCTATCCCCATTTCCACATTTGTTCCTAAAGCTGTATTCCTTAGACCCCATCCCTAGACCCCATTTAGTAACAGCTTTAATGAGACCTAATCTATGGATATACCCGTATGTTAAAAGTCATTGTTCTGTTAGTGTGGTAGTAAACTTTGACAATTGACAATAAAAAAAAATCACTATGTAGATATGTTTTGTTACATATCAACTTTTATTACAATGTAGACCAATCCAAAAATAATAAATGTTTTACTTCTTTCAGGAAGGGAAACCATGGTCATGTTTGTGTCCTCAGTTGTTCCATAACACATGGCAAGCACATTGTCCCTTTCCTAATCCCAACAAAGAACATTTAATATCTGTGAATTCCAGCTGAATTGTAATGCACAAATTCAGGCAGCAAACTTTTGATTCAGGCAGGTCCCAGTGCAGGCTGACCTGGTAGACATGGCTGTAAGGATTTGCAGCTGTTGTGGCTGGGGTCTGCCAGATGGTTCCCACAGCACCAATTCATCTGTGAGAATCTCACAGAAAAACTGGAATGTTCACAAAATATGCTGTGAACACCAAGCAAAGTAAACAGATGGCCAGCTGGCTCTCAGAATTACCCAAACCCGGGCTCTGTCCCTCTTAATTTATCTTTTCACAGGATAATATTTGTTTGAAAACACACAAAATAATCCCAGATCCAGAAATATCCCTATGCATGTGTATACATAAGTGAATGCACTTTTTTTTTTTTTTGAGACGGAGTCTTGCTCTGTTGCCAGGCTGGATTGCAGTGGCACATCTCAGCTCATTGCAACCTCCGCCTCCCGGATTCAAGCTATTCTCCTGCCTCAGCCTCCCGAGTAGCTGGGTCTACAGGTGCCTGCCACCACACCCAGCTAATTTTTGTATTTTTAGTAGAGACGGGGTTTCACCATGTTGGCCAGGATGGTCTCGATCTCTTGACTTCGTGATCCTCCCGCCTCGGCCTCCCAAAGTGCTGGGATTACAGGCGTGAGCCACTGCGCCCAGCTGTGAATGCACTTTTTAAAATGTTTGGAGAGGTATGTACCAAGCAGCTAAGTGATTACCTCGGAGGAGGAACTGGGGATGGAGGGAGTGGTGAAGAACTTTGACTTTGGATTTAATAGTTGAGTTTATATTAAAATGTATTCATATATTATCTGTGTGATCAAAATAATTAAAAGCAGCCAGGCATAGTGGCTCATACCTGTAATCCCAGCACTGAGGGAAGCCAAGGCGGGTGGATCACTTGAGGTCAGGAGTTCGAGACCAGCCTGGCCAACATGGCAAAACCCCCATCTCTACTAAAAATACAAAAATTAGCCGGGTGTGGTGGTGCACACCTGTAATCCCAGCTACTGGGGAGGCTGAGGCAGGATAATCACTTGAACCCACCTGGGAGGCGGCAGTTGCAGTAAGCTCAGATCATGCCACTGCACTCCAGACTGGGTGACAGAGTGAGACTCTGTCTCAAATAATAATAATATTAATAATAATTAAAAGCAACTATATTTCTGTAATTCCTCTGCTATAAATCCTTCAATAGCTCCCCACTGCCTTCAAGCTAAAGTTCAAGGTATGCAGAGTAGAGCAGGTCTGGCTCTTGACTCAGATCTCTGTGGGGCCAAAGTGCTCTAGTCATACCAACTGCTTGAAGGGCCCCAAACACCTCCTGATGTCTCAGGAAGCCTCTAGGCTTTTGTATATGCCTTCCTTCCATTTAGAATGCCTCCCTCCAGTGCACCCATTAGAGTGAAAACATTTATTTTACCCCCAGGAACCACGGATGTGTAAAAAAGTGAAAGAGAAACAAAACACTTGCTTTTTCAGACTAATACTAATTCTTGGAATACCATCCCCTTAAAGCTTTACAGGGTACAGTCGATTGCAGTGTTATATACCAAATTATGCTGAGACCCAAGATTGAAAATGAATGCTCTTTCCTCATTGCCAGACCAAGTCTATGTAAAATGTATACTGCACTGGATTGGAGGAATCAGACACAAAGTGGGTATTCAGGAACTGGCTTAGAAAAATGCTGATGTGGCTATTTTAGAGGTTACTACCTAAAGGCATTATCAAACAGAAGTTATATATAGTTATTTTTAATTAATAATGTATTAGTTGTCATCTAGGAGTTCAGAAACCTGAGTTTTATCTTTGAGCAAAACATATCCTCTGCTAGGTCTGGTTTCCTTCTCTGTAAAATGAGGCCAAGGCTAAACTAAATTATCTGTAAGTTCTTTCCAATTCTAAGATTTTAGATTTTATAAATTTATAAGAGATTTGTCAAAGAATCTTTACAGCTGGGCGCGGTGGCTCACGCCTGTAATCCCAGCACTTTGGGAGGTTGAGGCAGGTGGATCACCTGAAGTTGGGAGTTCAAGACCAGCCTGACCAACATTGAGAAACGCTGTCTCTACTAAAAATACAAAATTAGCCAGGGTGGTGGCATGTGCCTGTAATCCCAGCTACTCAGGGGGCTGAGGCAGGAGAATCGCTTGAACCCGGGAGGCAGACATTGCAGTGAGCCGAGATCGCACCATTGCACTCCAGCCTGGGCAAAAAGAGCAAAACTCCATCTCAAAAAAAAAAATAAGGATCTTTACATCTTTACAGCAGTCTTTCCTCAAAGCTGCCCTTCTCTGATAATATTCCTCCTCCTTCTTGCTTCCAATCAAACTTTAAAAAAAAAAAAAAAACAGGCCAGGCACGATGGCTCATGCCTGTAATCCCAGCACTTTGGGAGGCCGAGGTGGGTGGATCACGAGGTCAGGAGATTGAGACCATCCTGGCTAACACGGTGACACCCTGTCTCTCCTAAAAATACCAAAAATTAGCCGGGTGTAGTGGCGGGCGCTTGTGGTCCCAGCTACTCGGGAGGCTAAGGCAGGAGAATCGTGTGAACCCGGGAGGCGGAGATTGCAGTGAGCCGAGATAGTGCCACTGCACTCCAGCCTGGGCGAAAGAGCAAGACTCCGTCTCAAAACAAACAAACAAACAAACAAAAAAAAACAGCCTACACACAAAAATGCTTATTTAACGGAAGCAGTATTTTAATCTCTCAGAAAAGTTAACGTTTGTCCATTAACTTTTTAGAATAAAAGTTTCTAAGCAAAGGTACCACATATTTTGTATCATCTGTCAACCTAGCATCTCAATGTTTCAACAATGTAAACAATGTAAATAATTAATGTAAATAACAATGGATAATCTACCTTCTGGTAGAAGAGCAGCAATAAAAATTAGTGGAAAGCAAGAGCTGCACTTCTTTACTACAAAAGATAGCTTCTATCTGTGGTGTCTTAGAAAACTTTATAAATCTTAGAGGTAAAAAAAGACAGTGATTACCTGGACATGGTGGTGCATACTTGTAGTCCCAGCTATTTGGGAAGTTGAGGCAGGAGGATACTTGAGCCCAGGAATTTGAGGCTATGTGTGTGATCATTGTGCCTATGAATAGCTACTGCACTCCAGCCTGGGCAACATAGTGAGATCTTGTCTCTAAAAAAATAAAAATAAAAAAAAATAAGACTGATGAAATAGTAACTAAAATAAAATATTTTTGAAATTGTCTAGCATAGTACCTGCATATAATGGGCATTCAATTGGCATGTGTTCCCATTTCTTTTTTTCTGAGCACCAAAGCCAAACACATTAAATTCCCTAATCAAGGATAAAAATATTTGCAAATAGACTCATGGCAATAGATTAGTTAGGCACACTGATTGGAATCTAGGTTACCAGGGCATACGTTCCAGCTCCACCGCTGAGTAGCTATTTAAAATTCTGGAAAAATGAGGATCAATAACAGTATCTGCTTCACTTGGTTATTGTAAAGATAAAATGAGACAGTCCAGGTCAAGTCCTTACACACATGGCTAGCCCTCAAAAAATGTTAGCTAATAATAGTGATATTGCGAACCTACTGTGTTTCTTCAGACACTGTGCTAGGTGAGTTCTTTTTTTTTTTTTTTTTTGAGATGGAGTCTCACTCTGTCACCCAGGGTGGAGTGCAGTGGCTTGATCTTGGCTCGCTGCAACCTCTGCCTCCCGGCTTCAAGCGATTCTCCTGCCTCAGCCTCCCGAGTAGCTGGGATTACAGGCGTGCACCACCATGCCCAGCTAATTTTTGTATTTTTAGTAGAGATAGAGTTTTGCCATGTTGGCCAGACTAGTCTCGAACTCCTGACCTCAAGTGATCCTCCCTCGTAGACCTCCCGAAGTGCTGGGATTATAGGTGTGAGCCACCACGCCTAACCAAGTATATTATTTCTATTCCTCATGACAATCTTTGCAAAGTAGGTACAATTTTAATTTCATGGATAGGGCCATACATGGAGAGGCTCAGTAACCAGCCTAGGCTTACAGTCAGTGGCAGGGCTAGGCTCATGTGAGGTTTGTTGACTCTAAGACTCTGCCCCTCAAAGTCATATATTTTCACCTTGAAATTGTTTGATAAATATGAAGAAAAATGGTGAAAATAGGTTGAACTGACTTAAATACAAAGTATAAAGCAACAAACATCCTTTGGGTAGCTATTCTCGAGAACTCAATTTTATGCTCAGAAATGTTTCTTTTGTCCCCCAAACCAAATGAAGAATAAAATCCTTCTTTAAAACAAAATCTCCTGTAGTCTTTGGGTTCTAATCCTAGTATTGTCACTACCTAGCTGTTGCTAGGCCCCTGTTTCATCATCTCTAAAAAGAAATTTTGAGTTATATAGATCCTTCCCTACTTGAAAATTCTTTTGCTCCTATTGGTCTAAAGACATTTCCAATAGCGTAAAAGTTCCTCTAAAAACTACAAATAGAGCTACCATATGATTCATCAATCCCACTACCAGGTAGTCATCCAAAGAAAGAGAAATCAATATATCGAAGAGACATCTACACGCTCATGTTTATTGCAGCAGTAGCCTCAATAGCCAGGATATAGAATCAACCTAGATGTCTAACAACTGAAGAATGGACAAAGAAAATGAGGTATATATACACAATGGAATACTATTCAACCATAAAAAGAATGAAATCCTGCCATTCAAGGCAACATGAATGGAACTGTAGGACATTATATTTCTCAGGGTCCTCCAGAGAAACAGAACCATCAGAATGTATGTGTAGAGAGAAAGATTTATTATAAGGAATTGGCTCATGTGATTATGGAGGCTAAATCCCCAAATATGCAGTTGGCGAGCTTGACAAATAAGTGAAATAAACCAGGAACAGAAAGTTAAACACTGCGTGTTCTCATTCGTATATGGAACCTTAAATGAAGCTGATCTCATAGAAGTAGAAAGCAGAATAGAGGTTATTAGAGACCTGAAAGGGTAGAGGAAAGGAAGGGATAGGGAGAGATTTATTAAAGGATGCAAAATTACAGCTAGATAAGAGGAACAAGTTCTAGTGTTTCATAGCACTGTAGGATGACCATAGTTAACAATAATGTATATTTTCAAATAGCTACAAGAGAGAATATTGAATGTTTCCAACACAAGAAATGATAAATGTTTGAGATGATGGATATCTAATTACGTTGATCTGATCCCCTCACATTATTATATGTGTCAAAGCATCACAATGTACTCCATAAATATATACAATTATTATGTGTCAATAAGAAATCAAAATAAATAAAGGTATCTTCTTCCACAAGCTGTTGCTACCATTCAGAGGAGAAAATGTTGTAGGCCCAAAGAAGGGATTATAGTAGCATTTGACTGTGGTGATGTATCAGTCAGCGTTCTCCAGGGGAACAGAACCATCGGGTGTATACATATATAGAGAGAGATTTATTATATGGAATTGGCTCATGTGATTATGGAGTTTAAATTCCAAAATCTGTAGTTGGCAAGCTGGAGACCCAGGAGAGCTGATGGTATAGTTCCAGCCAAAAAGCCAGCAGGCTCGAGACCTATGATGAACTGATTTTCAGTTCAAATCTAAAGGCAGGGTAAAAACCAATATCCCAGCTCAAAGGCAGTCAGGCCGGAAGAAATCCTTCTTACTCGGCCTTTTTGTTCTATTCAGGCCTTCAACTGACTGGATGAGGCTCATCCACATTAGGGGGGCCATCTGCTTTACTGAATCCATTGATTCAAATGTGTGGGGCTTTTTGTTTTGTTTTGTTTTTGAGACAGGGTCTCACTCTGTCATTCAGGCTGGAATGCAGTGGCACAATCTCAGTGCACTGCAGCCTCGACCTCCTGGGCTCAAACAATCCTCCTACCTTAGCCTCCCAAGTAGCTGGGACCACAGGCATGCGTCACCACGCTTAGCTAACTTTTGTATTTTTTGTAGAGACAGGGTTTTGCCATGTTGCCCAAGCTGGTCTTGAACTCCTAGACTCAAGTGAGCTGCCTCCCTCGGCCTCCCAAAGTGCTGGGATTATAGACATGAGCCACCATGCCTGGCCTGATTCAAATGTTAATCTCATCCAGAAGGAGCTTCACAAACACACCCAGAATAATGTTTGACCAAATGTCTGGGCACCTGATGGCCCAGTCATAGACATAAGATTAACCACAGATGACAACAATAGCTACCATTTATTGAGGGTGTACTATATGCCAGGCACTTCCCAGATGTATTCCTATTCTGCAAGGCAGGTATTACACATGTTTTTAAACTGAGAAATGAGTTTTAAAACTTTCAGCAACTTGTCCTGAGTCACTCAACTAGTAACTAGCAAGAAAATTTGTTTTTGAGTCTGATGCAAAGCATATGTTTTTCAGCAATGACAAGAACCAAAATAGAAGCATCTTGCATAAGGAGGCAACGTATTTGCAAATACATCCTTTCAACTAAAGCATAAAGTAGACTGTGTTCTACCTTCCTGGGAGGACTCTGGACTCTGGGCCAACACGTAGCTCAGATTAACATGCATCTCTTATGCTAGTTAAAACTATTACCGCTGTAGCAGAAAAATTATTTGATGAGTGTGGTAAACTGCAGAGTCCCATATCCAGAGATTCTGATTCAATGTCGGCAGTAGAGTCCAGGAATCTATTCCAGGTGATTCTGGTTCAGATGAGAAACGCTACTCAGTCACACTGGATTGTGGTTTCTACAGGGGCCTGAAAAAAGAGTGGGTCATATGGTTTCCTGAGGCCTGTCTGGGATGTGCATCATTTACTTTCTTGAAGAAATAGGCTGCCAACTTGAAGATGGCATTTCCATACCTGGTGTTTATCCTCCAGTTCCAGGATGAGCTTGAGGCTCCCTTGATGGGGAACTGCACACTGTAGGATGGGCTTTGCACTCTTACCTCAAGATTTCAGATGTATGAAAGGTATTTCATACAGTCCTAGGTATACCAACTGTGCCAGTCCAATTTCACAGCCCCTTATGCTGCTTTTTCTGCAGAGTGGAATCACTGGACTGGGGTGGGCCTTGATTCACAGTCTGGCTAAGGACTAGACATGGTCTGGCACAAAAGGTTCTATCTGGCAAGGGCAATGATAATTGGCTAGACAGTCAGACAGGCTCCACCCAGAATGTGGGGTGGCAGACCTGAGGCCATTAACTAGTAGGTAGTAAGAGATCAAAACTGCTAAGTAGAGAGCACACATGTCATCAGAGAAACTATGGGGAACGGGGGTCAGGGAGTGACGGTAACCAAAGGAAACCTCCGAGTTGACTTGCTCCGAATGGCTTTCTAGTCCTTCCTACTCATATTCCTACAATAAAATCCCCATTTCTTTCTTTCTTTTCTTTTTTTCTTTTTTCTTTTTTTTTTTTTTTTTTGAGACAGAGTTTTGCTCCTGTTGCCCAGGCTGGAGTGCAATGGTGCGATCTTGGCTCACCACAACCTCCACCTCCCGATTCAAGTGATTCTCCTGCCTCAGCCTGTCAAGTAGCTGGGATTACAGGCATGCGCCACCACATCTGGCTAATTTTGTATTTTTAGTAGAGACGGGGTTTCTCCATGTTGGTCAGGCTGGTCTCGAACTCCCGACCTCAGGTGATCTGCCTGCCTTGGCCTCCTACAGTGCTGGGATTACAGACGTGAGCCACCATGCCTGGCCTAAAATCCCCATTTCTTTAAAGTGTTTCAAGTCTATTATTTGCAACCAAGAGCCTAACTTCACACACACAGATTACTGATTTCATCAATTGTGAAGGTTTAAGGGATCTCCTTTGCGATTCCTTCAACTATTCAAGATTCCCCTTGTCGAGGTTGTTACCCTGTTTGAGGGGATGGAAGGGGCAGAATATTGCTTAGGTGTTGCAAGAGGAATCCAACCTTTCCTGGGTCACAACTCTGACGGGAAGCTGTGCCCTCAGTAAGGTTTCCCCAGTCCTGGTGGCAGTGTCTGAGTGGGCACTTCCTTAGATCCCCTGCAGAAATCGTACTCATGAGCTCCTAGACGACACTGATTTCCGTTCTCTCCCAATTCCCTAACATGAGCAGAGTGCCTGGAGGGGATTAAGTGTTCAATACATACAATTGGAAAAACAAGGCACTTTCACAGTCTCTTGTTGATTCTCAAAATTATTTTGGTAGTGTTTTGTTTTCATCATCAGCCTAATTTCACACTTGAGGAAATAAAGTTCAGTGATACTGACTTGTCAGAGATCAAAGAGCTCATCAGTGGTGGAGCTAAAACTCTCCATAAGGATATAATACCCAATAACTCAAATTCCCTCACCCACAAAAATCTTTTCAGTCATCTCCCCTTTATCCTAACCACTGACGTAACTCAGATCTTCACATTCCTTTTCTCTTTTATCCTCAACTTTTAAATTCAGGGTACATGTGTAGGATGTGCAGGTTTTTTACACAGGTAAATGTGTGCCGTGGTGGTTTGCTGCACAGATCATCCCATTACCTAGGTACTAAGCCCAGCATCCCTTATTCTTCCTGATGCTCTCCCTCCCCCCATCCCCATCCCCACTCCCAAGATGCTCCTGTGTGTTGTTCCCCCGCCATGTGTCCATGTGTTCTCATTGTTCAGCACCCACTTATAAGTAAGAACATGCAGTGTTTGATTTTCTGTCCCTGGATTAGTTTGCTGAAGATAATGGCTTCCAGCTCCATCCATGTCCCTGAAGATCACATTTCTAACCTTCCAACGGATCTTCCTGCCCAGGTTTTACCCCCAACCTATCTTCCACACCACCACCAAAGTTAAATTTCCAAAATCTAACTCTGATCACGCCACTCTACTCACAGGCTACTGCATATGAGACAAAGGCCCTAACTCTCATGGTTTTCAAAGTCCTCCATGATCAGGCCTCAGCTTGCTTTTGCAGTCTCATTTCTATCACCAGATTCCACTCATCAATTCTTTTCATCAAAACGCTGGGCTTTCCCCCGGTATTCAACATGCCATTTGTTTCTCTTCCATAATCCATTGTTAGCTTTTTCCCAGCCAGCTCTATAACTAGCTCATACATACAAGGGAATGTATGACAAATTTATGGCTTAAAGAATAATAAAAGAACAATCATGCTCCCACCTAAACATTACCAAACACCCTATAGTGTTCTTTTAAGTCTCTGTGCCTCTGCACATGCTAGAATGTCCTTCCAGGCCTTAGTCTGCATAGTAAACTCATCCTTTGGAAGCTAATTCCATTGACTTCCTCTGGGAAGCCTCCATTGACACCCGTGAGGGACACAATGCTTCCCTTATGCCTCTACTATGGCATTTATAACTATTATATTCGCTTACACATTTGTCTCCCTGGTAGGTTGAAGATGTCAAATATTTGATCTCTGAATCTCTGGTAACCAGTTTGAAGTTCTAGTTACACAGTAAGTGCTCAATACATCAGATGACCACACAACCCAGTTTGCCTGGGAGAGTCCTGGTTTATGTCTGTTGCCCTGGAGTAATTATAAGTGCTTCTTTCACTCATAAAAGCATCCTAACTTAGATGACCAAATCACCCTATCCATAAATGTTGAATTAACAAATGACTTAAAGAATAGAGAAAGACTTTCACTGTCAGAATCTAGGCAGGAAAAGCCAATGTGTGGATTCTGCGGCCACTGTGCCTCCTTCTCCTCCTCCTTCTGACTCTCCTGGAGACAGAGAAGATGAGTTTGCACACACCAGATGCTCAATAACCTTTATTGCACAAGTAAGTTGAAAAATGTTAGCACGTTCCTACTTCAAGAAAACCTGGGCCGGGTGCAGTGGTTCATGCTTGTAATCCCAGCACTTTGAGAGGCCAAGGCAGGAGGATTGCTTGGGCCCAGGAGTTCAAGACCAGCCTAAGCAACATAGTGAGACCCCTATCTCTACAAAATTTTTTTTAAAAACTAAGAAAGAAAATTAGCCAGGCGTGGTGGCCCCACTTTGGGAGGCTGAGGCTGGAGGATCACTTAAGCCCAGGAGGTTGAAGATGCAGTAAGCAGTGTTTCACGCCACTGGACTCCAGACTGTGTGAGAGAGCAAGACCCCATCTCTAAAAAAATTAATAAAAAAAAATAAAATCTGGATGTAAAATGTTAATTTATAGTACAGATCAATGTGGCAGAGATTATTAAATATTACCTACGTTTACTACTTGGTTAAATCTAGCTGGTAGTGAAATGTAAAGAGCTGGATTTACTACTTATAGGAAATAAAAAATGCAGATTCAATACTCCTAAAATGTCAGTGGTGACACGATTTTTAAAAAATTAAATAGATGCACTGTTTTTAAAAAAACCTCTTCTCGGCCAGGCACGGTGGCTCACAGCTGTAATCCCAGCACTTTGGGAGGCCAAGGCGGGTGGATCACGAGGTCAGGAGATCAAGACCATCCTGGCTAACACAGTGAAACCCCATCTCTACTAAAAATACAAAAAAAAAAATTAGCCAGGCATGGTGGCGGACGCCTGTAGTCCCAGCTACTTGGGAGGCTGAGGCAGGAGAATGGTGTGAACCCGGGAGGTGGAGCTTGCAGTGAGCTGACATCACGCCACTGCACTCCAGCCTGGGCCACAGAACAAGACTCCGTCTCAAAAAAATAAAAATAAAAACAAAAAACCTCTTCTCAGTATGTATGTAGGTACATACATACACCAGTTAGGGTTGCCCTTGTTCTTAAGGAAAGATAATCTCCTTGAGTTTCGTATCATAAATACAAGTTTTATTTAAACTTTTTTGTAATTCAAGTAAAAAAAAAGCTGTTTTTTAACTACTGTTACATAAAAAGTGGAAAGTGAGGCAATCCATCTTTTCGGCAATAATCTTCTCTTCTTATAATAATGCCATCTTCTTTGAAAGTCCAGATAATTCCAGGCCAGGCACGGTGGCTCACGTCTGTAATCATAGCACTTTGGGAGGCTGAGGTGGGCAGATCACAAGGTCAGGAGTTCGAGACCAGCCTGACCAACATGGTGAAACCCCATCTCTACTAAAAATACAAAAATTAGCTGCGTGTGGTGGCGTGTGCCTGTAATCCCAGCTACTCAGGAGGCTGAGGCAGGAGAATTGCTTGAACCTGGGAGGCGGAGGTTGCAGTGAGCTGAGATAGTGCCACTGGATTCCAGCCTGGGTGACAGAGTGAGACTCTGTCTCAAAAAAAAAAAAAAAAAAAAAAGTCCAGATAATTCCTTGTAAATAAGGTTTTTAATAAATTACAAATATGTAATAGGTTTTTATCCATCTTCTTCCTAACTACTCAATGCATTGTTGCATAGCAACAGTTTTTTTCTGCTTCTTCTTTGTTGGAAGTCTGAGAGTCTGAAATCTGCATTGGCTTGGTTGAGCTTGGGAATTTTTCTGGTACCAGGGGTGCAAATATCCATTGTAGAAGTCAGTAGCTGTTAGTGATTTCTTGAGCATCACTGATCGAACACCAATCCAACCATCCTAAAGGGCAAAATACAAATAGTGAATAGGCAGGGGTGGCAAAACTAAAAAGCCAAGTAAATATTAGTTTATAAAATTTTTATCATGGAAACAAACAAACCAACAAATCTTTACTAAATGCCTAGCTGCAAACAGCACTACACTAAGTAACATGTAGAATTCCTTGACTCTATTAGGTTGGTGCAAAAGTCATTGCGGTTTTTGACACTGAAATTAAAAGCTTATTACCAAGGAGCGATAACAAATGTATAGATCTGTATAAATATTTAAATACAAAGGGAGCAGAATAAAAGGTATGTAACATGAAATACACATATAGGCCAGGCGTGGTGGCTCACGCCTGTAATCCCAGCACTTTGGGAGGCCGAGGCGGGTGGATCACCTGAGGTCAGGAATTCGTGACCAGCCTGACCAACATGGCGAAACCCCGTCCTTACAAAAATACAAAAATTAGCCAGGCGTGGTGGCGGGTGCCTGTAATCCCAGCTACTTGGAAGACGGAGGCAGGAGAATCGCTTGAACCCAGGAGGTGGAGGTTGCAGTGAGCTGAGATCACACCACTACACTCCAGCCTGGGCAACTCCATCTCAAAAAAAAAAAAAAAAAAAAAGGGAAATACATATATATAGACCCAGAAAAGGACAGCAAGACATATGCATCCAACACTGTTCCAGAATAAGCTGGCGAGAGACAAAGAGAGGTTGATGGAGTTTTGTATTCACAGTCTGTAGGTCAGATCAATCTATCACACATTTTAAACATTTTCTTTTTTTTTTTGAGATGGAGTTTCGCTCTTATTGCCCAGGCTGGAGTGTGATGGCACGATCTCGGCTCACCACAACCTCCGCTTCCCGGGCTCAAGCGATTCTCCTGCCTAAGCCTCCCAAGTAGCTGGGATTACAGGCGTCTGCCACCACGCTCGACTAATTTTTGTACTGTTAGTAAAGACGGGGTTTCTCTATGTTGGTCAGTCTGGTCTCGAATTCCCGACCTCAGGTGATCCACCCGCCTCAGCCTCCCAAAGTGCTGGGATAACATGTGTGAGCCACCTTGCCCGGCTAAACACTCTTAAGTATGAAATATCTCACATGAACACCATATGATGCAAAATACCTAGGAAATGGAAGGAATGTAGAACACTTCTCAGAACACACCATGATCTTATAAAACAATAATGATTCCAAAGTTATTTTAAAAAGTTCAGAAATCTCCTCTTTACTACTGTTAAGCAGTAAAAGCAAGTAGGATATGTGTGTCCTGTAGTAGTTCAGTCAGATATTTTGATATGACTATCTTTTATGTTACCAAGCACAAGAGCTGTTAATTAAATTGGGCTACTGAAAATACACGTGTTCTTTTAAGAAAGCACTCAAGTTACTGAATCTTCTTTCTTTGAGTAATAATAATGCCTTGGCAAAACTTCATCACTTTCAAAAAATTATGCTAGAGACTTCACTATTTCTTAAGAAAATTAAATGATCTCCTGACCCAATCTATGGACAGGCAGTTAAGTGAAGTTCCAACTAAAAATAATAAATGATACAGACTATAACATAGTAAAACAACTATGATAACTTGAAACTAATGAAAAACATACCTTGCAATAAACCAATAGTATTTGTGACTGTTTGTGGTATATTACTGATCCTGGAATAAGAGCCTGTCCCGTTAATTTTGGATCTGAAGAATGGAAAAAAGAAAAGATATACAAGAGAAAAAAGCAATTATGCAACTTCATAGTACTTCTTAAAAATCAAAAAACATCTTGGGAGGCAGTACTGATACCGGAGAGAACACATTTGCTGATGTTGACTTTGTAAACCAAAACTTACAAGGAAACCACAGTGCTCTCTGTACATCAGAAACCCAAAGGAAAGCTTCCCATGCACATACAAAGCTATAATTCCTTTACCCAGTGACCACCTAAAATGCTGAATCTACAAGTTTTGTGTTAGCGCTTTGGTGAAATAACTAGCCAACAGGGGGAAATACATAGGATGTTTAGGATTTAGGCTGGCCCTTTCATCCCTGCCCAAACAAATCCTAATTCCTAGGTTCCTGGGGAACTCCAACTACCTCTAAATTAAACCAGCTTCCTCTGTGGCTCACATTCCTTCTGTCCACCGTATTGGCAGGATGCTGATGGGCCTCAGAATGGACTTGTGGCATGAAGTATGAATACACTCTGGCCTAGATTTTCACTGATTTGCCCAGATATTTTCATTATAATATTCACCAGAATGAAACTAATCGAGTCATTCTGCACTCTCTGAAAACCTTAAGGCAGGAAATCACAGAGCTTAAAATGGGATAGGAACACTGCTTTGCCTACTCCCCAGGGTCCTGTAATGATTTTTTTTTTTTTTTTTTTGAAATGGAGTTTCACTCATTGCCCAGGCTGGAGTGCAGCGGCGCAATCTTGGCTCACTGAAACCTCTGCCTCCCAGGTTCAAGTGACTCTCCTGCCTCAGCCTCCCAAGTAGCTGGGATTACAGGCATGTGCCACCATGCCCAGCTAAATTTTTGTATTTAGTAGAGACGGGGCTTCACCATGTCAGTCAGGCTAGTCTCGAACTCCTGACCTCAGCTGATCCACCCACCTTGGCCTCCCAAAGTGCTGGAATTACAGGCGTGAGCCACCGCGCCTGGCCTGTTCTTGTAATGATTAAATGAGAAAATATATGAGAATGAGTGTTGCAAAGAATAAGACAATAAGTGAATGTAAAGTATTATAATTACTGAACTGAAACAAACTAAAAGTTATTTTTAGTAATTGTGACATATGATAAAACAGACGTATTTCCAGATACACTACAGTGAAAACAGCTTCCATGTTAGCTATTCAAAAGTTAGTACCAGCAAGGACTGAACTGTTAACTTCTACCAAATCCAGAAGTTTAATGGTATTCGCCATCCAGAGCGTCTGCAACGGAATCTGCAAGTAAAATTAAAGAAGGTATGATAAAGGAATACACTCAACTCCCAAACCCTTTTCAACTACTATTTTGTGTTAATCTGGACTTTTCTTTCAATTAGAGGAATTGGGAACTCAGTCACTAAGTTTGATGGAACAGACCGTAAACATGACTCTCTACATCAGTGTTTCCAGGATTTATAAGATCTTTTTTTTTTTTTTTTTGAGACGGAGTCTCGTTGTGTCACCAGGCTGGAGTGCAGTGGCGCGATCTTGGCTCACTGCAAGCTCCGCCTCCCGGGTTCACGCCATTCTCCTGCTTCAGCCTCCCGAGTAGCTGGGACTACAGGCGCCTGCAACCATGCCCGGCTAATTTTTTGTATTTTAAGTAGAGACGGGGTTTCACCATGTTAGCCACGATGGTCTCTATCTCCTGACCTCATGATCCGCCCGCCTTAGCCTCCCAAAGTGCTGGGATTACAGGCGTGAGCCACCGCGCCCGGCCGATTTATAAGATCTTAAATGTTACTTTAAAATCAATGTTTATATCTAATATACTAATATTTCCAATTAAAAATTTATTATCCTTATAAAAAATGCAAGCATTACATTATGTTAAAAAATTTTAGAAAGTGATATTCTGTATTTATTCCCATCCCTATAGGTAACGACTGTTAAGTTTGATGTGCATTTCCCTGTATTTTTTTCTACAAATATTATTATAAAAATCTAGAACACAGTGATAGAGACAGGAGACAGCCAAATGCCACCCAGGTCATTATGCACAGTGGGCTTGACTCAACATGTCCATGGTGAAAAGTTCTGTCCCTTAACACATGCACAGTAAAGGAAATAAATCAAGGTGGCGTGGCTCAGACTAAGGGCCCGCATGAGCACTGGAAGAATGGGGGTGGAGCCACCAGGAATTTCTGCCTTATGCAGGGGAAGAGCCTGGCCTCTTCAGCTCCTGTGTGGTGGCCTGGTATTCAATCTGTGAGGTGGGAGCCTGTTGGCAGGACCCCCTCTTTTTTTGCTGAGAGCTTTCTTTTAATAAATTCCACTCTCCTCACCTTTCAATGTGTCCACGTGCCTAATTTTTCCTGGTTGTGAGACAAGAACCCAGATTTTAGCTGAGTTAAGGAGCAAAAAGTCCTGCATCAATACTGTTTTACAAGGACTTTTGTTATGTGACCATAAAGCATTGATGTTTCATCAGTACATACTTATCAATTTCACTCTATCTGCTGCACAGTAACCCATTTTATGAATATGTAATTTATGCAACTACCTTTATGATAGATATTTGTTATTTTCAATTTATTGCTATTTATAACACTATAAACTAGGGTAATAACCTTGTCGATATATCTTTGAGGGCTTACACATTTCTGGATAATAGTTTTGGGGTTTTTTGTTTTTAAAGTGGAATGCGTGGGTTAAACAGCATCAACATTTTATTGCTAAACTGCCTGGATAAGTGAGAAAAAAATATGATAATCTCTTGCTGTTTATTATTAGCGAAGCTGAGAAGCTGTCCATATATTTATGTGCACTTTTAATTTATTTATCTGTAACCTGCCTATTTATGCCCTTTGGTTATATTTTTTAAAACTGGGATGGTTATCTCATTAATTTGCAAAAATATTTTCTATATTTAGGAAATTAGCCTTTTAACTCTTACATGTGTTGTGAATATTTTCCTCAGTTTGTTGACTTTTAATCTTGGGGACAGCCATTTTTTCCATGCATAAGTTTTTTATTTTCATAATTATATTTCTAAGTCTTTTCTCTCATTACTTTGGTGGTTCGTATCATACTTAAAAAGGCCTACCCCACACTTTAAGATTATTAAATATTGTCAAATTATTCAGTTGTGCTTTTTTATAGTCCTTGTGATTTTACTTTTTATATTTAAATCCTTGATCCATCTATATTTTGATTTTTTTATTATGGTAAAAAACACATAAGAAAAATGTGCTCAATTAACAAATTGTAAGTATACCATACAGTATTGTTAACTACATATGCATTGTTATAATATAGCACTTACTATGATTTTAAAAGATAGGATTTGAGGGCTTCCCCCACCAATGGTTGGCCAGTTATCCCAATACTATTTACTAGATAATCCATCTTACCCTTCCCTCCAGTATGAAATACCACCTTTATCATGTAACACATTTCCAACATACCTGAGATCCTACAGCCTGATTTAAATGTTAATAAAATTTAACACACACCAGGAAATAAGTTCTCTAAAATTTCTGAATTGAATGCATTTATTTCCAGACTGTAGTTCAATCCTCTATTTCATACATGAAGAGAGTGAGGCTCAGAGAAATGCAGCTATTTTCCCAAGGTTGGACCCAGCTAGTTAGTAGCAAAGCCAGGACTGGCTTCTGTTTTCTGATTCTCAGTGCAGTGCTCTTTTTATGACACCCCTTAAAGAGGGTATTTAACTTTCAGAAGAGTTAGGTTGTTGTAATAATTTGAACATTAAATCAAATAAGTAAATGAATTTGAAGAACAAGTTCATAACTGTATCTATGTCATAGCCTCTTCTATAACTTGCTAGCTCACTTTTCTTTTGCCCGCTTCAATAAAAGTTCTGAAACGATTTTCATATGTGCAATTTTTTTCTTTTAAATAACTCAAAATATTTTTGAAACATGCTTACTGACTAAAAAAGATTTCTATTTACTGAGAGTAATAAACATGCTAGGTACATACTCAGAATATAGTCTTGTTCTTCGGGAGGTAAAGCTCACCTTATCATCAGAGCATTGTAGAAAGGAAAGGGATGGTAAGAATATAATCATTTTGGTGTCTGCCATCATTACTGCCAAAATAGTATGTTTGCATGAATTTACATTCACCTAGTTCATTTCCTTTGATCTTGCCAGTTGTGTACATGGTCATTAATCCCACTTTAGAGGTAAAAAAAGCAGAAGCTCAAAGACAAGGGCCTTCCTCTCATTAGTAAAGGGCAACTCTAGGAACCAAACCCCACCTTCTGGCTCAGTCTTTTATAGCACAAAGCTTTTCTCCATGTACAGGGAAGATAAACCGCAGAGGGTAAGAATCATCATGTAGTAAGTTATAGGTGCCAAGAGATTTCAAGCTACTGGCCTAAATTGCATCTCAGGAAGTTGTCTACTTGATATCTCCATATGAACGTCTTCTAACTTAATATATGTCAAACTTAACATGGCCAAAACTATTGATTTCTCTTCCCAAATGTTCCTCCCCAGACATCCTCATCTCAATTAAATGGTTCCACTATTCACCCAGTTTCTCAAGCCAAAAATCTATGAATGATCCTAATTTATCTATCTCTAATTTCCCAGATTCCATCAGCAAATTCCGCTGACTCTATCTCCAAGCATAGTCTGGATGTCCACTTCTTTTTATCCACCATTATCATTGTTCCAAACTGCCATCATCTGTCATCTGGCTACAGTCGCAGCAGCTTCTTTTTATTTTTTTAATTTTTTTTTTTAAAGACCGGATCTTGCTCTGTCATCCAGGCTGGAAGTGCAGTGGTGGAATCACAGCTCACTGCAGCCTCAACCTCCCAGGGTCAAGTGATCCTCCTACCTCAGCCTCCCGAGTAGCTGGGACTACAGGTGCATCCCACAATACCTAGCTAATTTTTGTATATTTTGTAGAGACAGGGTTTCACCATGTTGCCCAGACTGGTCTGGAACTCCAGGGCTCAAGCGATTCACTCTTCTTGGCCTCCCAAAGTGCTGGTATTACAGGTGTGAGCCACCACACCCAACCAATTCCCTAACTGACCTCCACTCCACTCTCTAGCAGCAGCCAGGGCAACCTTTTAAGAATGTACATACCTAATCCCATTACTCCCCTGCCGTGGCCCTCTGATGTCAATCCTACTCAATCTTGCTTCTCCCCTCACCTTAGCTACTCTCCATCTTGCCAGCTATGCTCCAGCCACACCAGCCTCATTTCTGTCCCTCAAACATGTCCAACTCTTTTCCATCTTGGGTTGTTTTTTTGTTTTGTTTTGTTTTTTGACAGCTTTATTGAGATGTAATTCACATACCAGAAAATTCACCCTTTTGAAGCTTCCAAGTCAGTGGTTTTTAGTAGACTCAGGGTCATTCAACCAATGTCACTCGTTTTTTTCTTGCCTAATTTTTAGAACATTTTCATTACCTCTCTCTCCCAGAAAAAACGCCATCCATTATCAGAAAATTCCCATTATCCTCTCTCCTCCAGCCTATGGATTTGCCTATTTTGGACATTTCATATAAATGGAATAATAACATATGTAGTCTGTTGTGACAGGGTTTTTTCACTTAGCATATTTTTCAGGTTCATCCATGTCATAAGCATGTGATTATGGTTATGGCTGAGTATTAATAATATTCCACCGTATGGCTATATACCACATTTTTTTAACGCATCCCTCAGTTGGATATTTGGGTTGTTTTCACTTTTTGGCCATTCTGAATAATGCTGCTATGAAGATTCGGGTACACATTTTTGTGTGAGCACAATGTTTCCAATTCTCTTGAGTATAAACCTAGGAAAGGAAATGCTGGGTCATAAGATACTTCTGTGTTTCACTTTTTGAGGAACTGCCAAACTGTTTTCCACACAGGTTGCACCATTTTTAAGAGGTAAACATGGTACCATGAATGTATGAAGTTTCCAAATTTCTCCACATCCTTGCCAACACTAGTTTTTGTCTGTTTTTTGAATTATAGCCATCCTAATGGGTGTGAAGTGGTATCTCATTGTGGTTCTGATTTGCATATCCCTAAAGACAGATGAAGTTGCTGATCTTTTATATGCTTACTGGCCATTCATATTATGTATCTGCTTGAAACAAATGTCTACTCAGGGCCAGGGCAGTGGCTCATGCCTGTAATCCCAGCACTTAGGGAGGCTGAGGCAGGTGGATCACCTGAGGATAGGAGTTCGAGACCAGCCAGGTCAACATGGTGAAACCCCGTCTCTACTAAAAGTACAAAAATTAGCCGGGCGTGGTGGCGCTTGCCTATAATCCCAGCTACTAGGGAGGCTGAGGCAGGAGAATCGCTTGAATCCAGGAGGCAGAGGTTGCAATGAGCCAAGGTCGCACCATTGCACTCCAGCCTGGGCAACAAGAGCAAGACTCCATCTCAAAAACAAACAAAAAAGAAATGTTTACTCAGAATTTTTGGCCATTTTTAATTGGGTTATTTGTCGTTTTACTGCTGAGTCATTGTAAGAATTCTTTACTCTGGATATTAGGCCCTTATCAGTTATATGATTTGCAAATATTCCCTCCCATTCTGTAAGCTGTCTTTTTTTTTTTTTTTTTTTTTTTTTTTTGAGACAGGGTCTCACTTTGTCACCCAGGATGAAACACAGTAGTGCAATCACAGCTCACTGCAGCCTCGACCTCCCTGGCTCAAGTGCATCCTCCCATTCCAGCCTCCCAAGTAGCTAGGACCACAGGTGTGCACCATGATGCCCAGCTAATTTTTTACTTTTTGTAATGATGGGGACTCACTACATTGCCCAGTCTGGTCTCAAATTCTTGGGTTCAAGCAGTCCTCCTGTCTCAGCCTCCCAAAGTGCTGGGATTATAGGCATGAGCCACCATGCCTGGCCTACCTGTCTTTTTTACTTTGTTGATAGTGTCCTTTGAAGCACAACTATTTTTAATTTTGATGAAGTCCAATTTCTCTATTTTTAGTCTGATTGCTTATGCTTCATGGCATCATAGCTAAGAAACCACTGCCTAATTCAATGTCATGAATATTTACACCTATATTTTCTTCTAAGAGTTTTCTAGTTTTAGCTATTCATTTAGCTTCTTTAACTTTTACATATGATGTGACATAGGGTCCAAATTCATTCTTTTGATTGTGGACATCCAGTTATCCCAGCTCCATTTATTGAGAATACTATTCTTTCTCCATTGGATTGTCTTGGCACTCTTGTCAAAAAAAAAAAAAAAAAAAAAAAAAAAAAAGGTGGGTGGGAGGGGAGAGGGATAGCATTAGGAGATATACCTCATGTAAATGATGAGTTAATGGGTACAGCACACCAACATGGCACATGTATACATATGTAACAAACCTGCACATTGTGCACATGTACCCTAGAACTTAAAGTATAATAATAATAATAATAATAAAAAGAACTATCTTTTGGGAACTACCTTTAGAAAAAAAAATCAATTGACCATAAATGTATGGGTTTATTTCTAGACTTTTAAAAAAATTTGAGACAGAGTCTCACTCTGTCACCCAGGCTGGAGTGCAGTGGTGTGATCTCAGGTCACTGCAACCTCCACCTCCCAGGTTCAAGTGATTCTCGTGCCTTAGCCTCCTGAGTAGCTGGGACTACAAGCGTGCACCACCATATCTGGCTAATTTTTGTAAATATTTTTAGTAGAGATGAGGTTTCACCATGTTGGCCAGGCTGGTCTCAAACTCCTGACCTCAAGTGATCCACCTGCCTCAGCCTCCCAAAGTGCTGGGACTACAGGCATAAGCCATCATGCCTGGCTTATTTCTAGACCCTTAATTCGATTCTAATGAGCTATAGCCAGTACCACACTATCTTGGTTACTGTAGTTTTACAGCAAGTTTTGAAACTGAAAACTATGAGTCCTCCAATTTTGTTAGTTTTGGCTATTCTGGGCCCCTTGCAATTCTGTATACATTTTAGGAGCAGCTTGTCAATTTGTACAAAGAAGCCAATTGGGATTTTTTTTTTAGGAATTGTGTTGAATCTGTACATCAACTTGGGGAGTAGAGACATCTTAACAATACTAAGTTTATCCAATCAATGAATACTGGGGTCTTTCCATTTACTTGGGTCTTCTTTACTGTTTATTAGCTCTAATAGTTTTTTTTGGAACTTCTTCATGATTTTCTATATGCTAGATCATATCATCCACAAATAGAGACAGCTTTACTTCTTCCTTTCCAAACTTTTGTTTGGTTGCCTTTTGTTTCTTTTTTCTTGTCTAACTGCCCCAACAGAACAAAGTTGAATAGAAGACATTTAACTTTGAGAGCGCAGACATCTTTATCTTCTTTGTGATCTTAAGGGAAAGGCTTTGTCTTTCTTTTATTTTCTTTCTTTCTTCTTCTTTTTTTTTTAAGAGACAAAGTCTGGCTATATTGTCCAGGCTGGTCTCGAACTCCTGGCCTCAAGCAATCCTCCCGCTCAGCCTCCAAAATACCTGGGACTACAAGTGTCCACCACTGCACTTGGCTTCTTTCATTAAGTATGATGTTAGTTACAGGGTCTTCATAGATGTCCTTTATCAAGTTGAGGAAATGCTCTTCTATTTCTAGTTTATTGAGGTTTTTTTACATGTGTTGGATTTTGTCAAATGCTTTTTCTGCATCTATTGAGACAGTGATGTAGCTTTTGTCCTTTATTCTACTAATATGATATGTTACATTGACTGATTTTCATATGTTGAACCAACCTTGCATTCCTGGGATAAATCCCACTTGGGGCAGGGTGTGATGGCTCACACCTGTAATGCCAGCATGTTGGGAGGCTGAGGTGGGCGGATCACTCAAGTTCAGGAGTTTGAGATCAGCCTGGCCAACATGGTGAAACCCCATCTCTACTAAAAATACAAAAAAATGAGCTGAGCATGGTGCTGCATGCCTGTAATCCCAGCTACTCAGGAGGCTGAGGTAGAATTGCTAGAGCCCAGAAGGCGGAGGTTGCAGTGAGCTGAAACTGCACAGTTGCGCTCCAGCCTAGGCGACAGGGCGAGACACCATCTCAAAAAAAAAAAACAAAAAACAAAAAACAAAACCCAAAAAACAATCCCACTTAGTCATCATGTATAATCCTTTTTTATATGTTGCTGGATTCAGTTTGCTAACTCTGTGGAGGACTTGTGCATCTATATTCAGGGATATCAGTCTGGAGTTTCCTTTTCTTGTGATTCTTTGGGTTAGCCCACCTTGGGTTTTGTACTAGCTGTTCCTCTGCCTGGAATGCTCTTCTCTGTTCTAGGCATGGCTGGCTCCTTATTGTCTTTCAGATTTCAGCTTAAGTGTCAGAAAGAGGCTTTCCCCATCACCGATCTAAAATAACCTCCAGTTATTCTATCACATGATCCTATTTTTATTTTCATCAAGGAATTTATCACACTATTTGATTTTTTTTTTTTTTTTTTTGAGATGGAGTTTCGCTCTTGTTGCCCAGGCTGGTGTGCAATGTGCAATCTCGGCTCATCATAACCTCCACCTCCTGGGTTCAAGCAATTCTCCTGCCTCAGCCTCCCAAGTAGCTAGGATTACAGGCATGCGCCACTAGGTCTGGCTAATTTTTTTGTATTTTTAGTAGAGACGGGGTTTCTCCATGTTGGTCAGGCTGGTCTCGAACTCCTGACCTCAGGTGATCCGCCCGCCTCGGCCTCCCAAAGTGCTGAGATAACAGGCGTGAGCCACCATGCCCGGTCTTTTTTTTTTTTTTTCTTTTGAGACAGAGTCTTGCTCTGTCGCCCAGGCTGGAGTGCAGTGGTGTGATCTTGGCTCACTGCAACCTCTGTCTCCTAGGTTCAAGCAATTTTCTTGCCTCAGCCTTTCTAGTAGCTGGGATTACAGGCGCATGCCACCACGCCCAGCTAATTTTTTTGTGTGTTTTTAGTAGAGACAGGGTTTCACTATGTTGGCCAGGCTGGTCTCAAACTCCTGACCTCAGGTGATGCATCTGCCTCAGCCTCCCAAAGTGCTGGGATTACACGTGTGAGCCACCATGCCTGGCCTGATTTTTTTTTTTTTTTTTTGCTTACTTGTTGTCTGTCCTCCCACAACACCTGTTTCTATAGTACCTAGTACACTGCTTGACACATAATAGGCCTTCAATAAATATTTTGTTTAATGAATGAATGAATAATAGCAGCTATCATTTAATGAGTACCTATTCTGTGCCAGATACTGTACAAGATGCTGTAAATATATTATACCAGCCCTGATATTCCAAGGAACAAACTAAAGCTCGGAGGTTAAATAACTTTCCTGAGTCTACGACGTTAGGAAGTAGCAGAGTCAAGATGGAACCCAGCACTGTCTGGCCCTATGGTCCTTGTTTCCTGATGCCATTCTGTGGCAGCAGGAAAATAATAGGATTTGAAGTAAGATAGATCTCGTTCAAAACCTGACTCTGACTTTCATTAACTAGCAACACGACATCGAGTAACACTTAATAACAATTCATTATCTACTTTAAGCCTCAATTTCTTCAACTTTAAAGTGGGATGATAATAACTATAACATGAGTCTGTGATCCTCCTTACTGAAGAATTTAGCATGCTATAGATATCCAATGGTGGTTCCCCATTTTACCCAACATTAATAACAGAGATGGTCCATTAAAAACCACACACTTGGCCAGGCACAGTGGCTCGTGCCTGTAATCCCAGCACTTTGGGAGGCTGAGAAGAGCGGATCACTTGAGCTCAGCAGTTCAAGACCAGCCTGGGCAACATGGCAAAACCTCGTCTCTACAAAAAAATACAAAAATTAGCCAGGTGTGGTGGTGTGTGCCTGTGGTTGCAGCTACTCAGGGGCTGTCACAGGAGGCTCACTTGAGCCTGGGAGGCAGAGGTTGCAGTGAGCCAAGGTTTCTCCACTGTACTCCAGGCCTGGGTGACAGAGCTAGACCCCGTCTCAAAAAATAAAACAACACACACACACAAACACACATACGGTAAGCTCAGTGTTCAAATAACACAAGTAGCTATTGAAATGAAAGGAAAAAACCCCACAAATTTATCAATGAACTGAGAATTTAACTCAGACATTTTAACAAACTGTTATATTACTACACTTGGTGTACCATATGTAGAAATCAATGATTTAACAATTTGATTGTAAAAAATTGGCTAAAGGCAGAAAGACATACTGGAAGAAGCACAGGATTAGGAGTGAGAAGATTTAAGTTCATTATTTAGTGACTGGACATTCCTGTTAGTCATCTCATTTCTTTCCCCTCACCTATGAAGTAGGATAGTAAAACTTGGTTATGTGAAACTGCAATATACATATATTTAAAAGTGCTTTGTGAATTCTAAGGTCTCTATAAACACTTTAAACAGCTTAAAGAATTTTTAAGAATAAATTTCAGGTTTTCTAGGTTTTGTTCCTAAGATCAACCTTTTATTTGGGATATTTTTATTTGGGATTATTCCTAAATAAAAATATTTAGAAAGCAAATTACACACATAGAAAACCAACTAGGTAGAACTGCAACCTGACTTCCCAACTTACTATATTTCCAATGGCACGGTAAAGTCTGAATATTTGTTCTGAAGTTTGTTCCTCCCATTTTATACAACTGGTACCAGCAGAAATCTTAGGGGCTACAAGATAAAACCAAGAGCAAAAATGAACATCAGGGTCAGTGTCCATGAATTGACAGCTATTGATACTGAATAAGAGATACCAGAGAATTCATTCTAACCTCTCAACTTTTCTTTATGTTCAAAATTTTCCATATATCAAGTAAAAATAATAAATAAATAATCATATAAATATTAAAATAAAACATGGGTGAACTTCTTTACATCCTGGGAGTAGAAAATGCCCTTCTAACTATGAAATGAGACTATTCAAACTTTTTTTTTTTTTTTTGAGATAGGGTCTTGCCCTGTCACCCAGGCTGGAGTGCAGTGGCGTGATCTCAGCTCACTGCAACCTCCACCTCCCAGGCTCAAGAGATTCTTGTGCCTCAGCCTCCCGAGTAGCTGGGACTACAAGCGTGCACTACCATGCCTGGCTAATTTTTTGTATTTTTAGTAGAGACAGGGTTTTGCCATGTTTGCCAGGCTGGTCTCGAACTCCTAACCTTAAGTGATCCACCCGCCTCATCCTCCCAAAGTGCTAGGATTAGATGCATGAGCTACCATGCCTAGGCAAAATAAATTAAAAAAAAAAAAAAAGACAAAAAGAAATGCCATAAGTTAAATCAAAAAACAAATGACAAACTGAATTTGCAAGTTATCTCAGAGAGGACTAATTTCTCTATTATGAAATATAAGTACTCAAAAAACTGAGAAGAAAAAGACCAAAATGTTGATAGGAACATGGGCAAAAGATATACTACCACCCAGAAAAAAGAAATGCAAATAGTTCTTAAATATATGAAAAGATCTTCAACATTACTGACAGGAATAAGGTACATTAAAACTACTCCAAGTAGTTTTACTATACTATTCTGAATAACCATGTGCCTGTTATCTTCCTAATCTTACTATTATTTGAAATAGCAAAAGATTGGAAACAACCCAAATGCCCATCAATAAGACATCTGTTGGGTTAATTATGATATATTCACATAGCTGAGAACTATGCCACCATAAAAAACAAAAAGAAGGCCAGGCATGCCTTTGGGAGGCCAAGGCAGGAGGACGGCTTGAGTCTAGGAGTTCAAGACCAACCTGAGCAACATAGTTAGAACTTGTCTCTACAACAAATTAAAAAATTAGCCAGGCATGGTGGAATGTACCTGTAGTCCCAGCTACTTGGGAGGCTGAGGTGGGAGGACTGCTTGAGCCTGGGAGGTTGAGACTGCAGTAAGCCATGATCACACTATTGCACTTCAGCCTGGGTAACAGAGACCCTATCTTAAAAAAAAAAGAAAGAAGGAGGAAAATCTCTTCTTACTAATAGGAAGTAGTCTCCATGATACACTATTAAGTGAAAAAACAAAGGCACAGAAAAATATGTATTTTATGCCACCTTTTGTGAAGGAAAAATAAAAAATAACACTATGTAGGTGTTTGCTTATTTTGGCAAAAGGAAACACTGGAAGACTAAATCAGAAACTAATAAAAATGTTACCTATAGAGGGAGGAATACGGGTTAGATAAGATAGAGATGGAAGTAGGACTTCTATGAGTGTACCTTTTTAAGCTGTTTTAACTTTTGAACCATGTAAATATTTTATGCATTCAAAAAATAAAATTTAATCATAAAAGAAAATAAAGCAATCCCTAAAATAAAAAAAAAAACAACTGAAACTTAACTATGTATGAAACTAGGTAACAAAACCACATGGAAAAAATAATCATTACCAGGAAGTTTTGAAGGCAGTAATCTGACTGTATATCCTTAGGATATATTCTAAGGATCAAAAAGGAAAACTGTAAAGAAATCTTAAATCTTACTTAGTATTTTTACTCTTAGTAGTAATATTGGTATTGTAATGCTGAAATGATGTTATGAATAGCAAATAAATAGGTTAATATTTAAAAAAAGATAGTGTGAGAAAATATAAGGAAAACCCTTTAATGATAAATTTGAATCATAAACAATATGAGCTTGAATATTTTTTAAAAATATAACTTCTAGTTTAGTCCACTGATACCTTATCTTGCCATACATTGTTGTACCAGATGATCTCTAATTATCAACCCCACTAAAATGAACAAAAGCTCCCTGGAAATCACACTGGTTGATTTCAGTGTGAGCCAGAGGACACATAGGCGAGCCTGGGACATACTGTGGTGGAAGCAAGGAAGCACTCCAAACTAGTGGGAAGTGAAGAGTGTTAACAGAATGTAGGAGCCAAATTTAAGGGGCTCCCACTGGGCAAATATAAAGAATTATGACTGTAAAACACAATCAATGAAAATCTACGCGTCAAATGATACTAAAAAGAACGCATCTGACACCAAAATTGAAGGCAATTAATGGCATCAACTTCTTATTCTAATTAAAGAGAAAGAATTAAGCCCCTGTCCCCATTTTAGGATGAACTAAAATTCACCTCCAATTAATGAGGAAAAACTCTTCTTTCCAGAACAATACCAGCTATTAAATGTAAAAGGAATTAGAAAATTGCCATTTTGTAATCCATAGTGAAATAATTCATTTGGGCAAGGAATATCAATCTGTACTAAAACCATCATGTGAAAGGTTGTTAGGGAACAGGATATCTGCACAGTGCCAGAGTATTAATTACCCCACAGATTACCTGCTAATTGCAAAAGGGAAAACACATCTTAACACTGGAAAGATCTGGTGGTCACCATCTCAACCAAGTGATCAAACTTAGCTTCACTTGCTTTAGTACAGTCTGATATCTTGGCTTACTCAAGTGGTACCTTAAGACTGTAGGGGACAAAAGTGAGACTTCTCTAGGTATATTAACTTTTGAATCAGCTATATGTTTTACATATTCAAAAAATAACATTTAATCATAAAGAAAAATAAAAAGTAATCCCTAAAATTAAAAACAAACTGAAACAAATGTTTATACTCCTAACTCTACTAAAAAAAACAAAAAAGAAGAAAACAAATGTCACTGAAACACACTCTTTCCAAAAACTTTAAGCCTGAATCCAGCCAAACCTTTAGAACTAATTATAGGAAATATAAGAGATAGGGAACAAGTTAAACAACACTGGAAGAAAACAAATCAAACAACTGGCCTGGTCTCTTCAAAAAGTCAATGACATAGAGAGAGGAAAAAAAGAGGAATTTTTTTTAGAGACTAAAGAGACATAACAACTAATTACAATTAAATCCTAGTTTGAAAAATAAAACTATAAAATAAATTTTTAGACAATTAGGAACACTTAAATATGAACTGAACATTGGATGCTATCAGGAAATTGTTCATTTTTCTTAGGAAAGGCATACTAAACTACTTAGAGATGAAAGATCATGATTCATACTTCCAAATGAATAAGCAGAATTTAAAATACACGTAATAAATACATAAAGAGAAAGAAAATATGGACAAACATTAATAATTGTTGACTCTGGGGTAAACTGGTGTTTATTATACCAGTCTTTCTATTTAATATTTTCAAAATCAAGAAGTTGGAAAAAAATGCTCAATCCTTCATGAGGCTATATGCTAAGAGGGAGAAAGAATGCTTTCTACCATTCTTTGGAAAAGCACACAAAAGTGGGCACTCAATCAAAATTAAGGGAAAAGTACAGCTAAGAAGTCAGAATGTTCAGATGCTATCGTGACAAGCAGAACCTTTAGAAAGATGAGAGTCTCTGCAGCCTTCACTCACCGTAAGTCGCCCCCTCCATTGGCTGCTGCCTTCCATTGCTCAGACTTTCAGGCAAATTTTTCAAAACTGAAATGAGCTACAAAAAAAAAAAAAAGAGTGTGATATATTCAAAATGAAGGGAAGAACAAAAGCAGAAACACATTACAATTCAGCACCATGAAATAACCTATAACTTTTTTTCTTTTTCTTTTTTCAAATTAAAAAAAAAATCTTTACTATTGGCTCTTCAAGGCTGAACCTATAACTTTAAAAGATCTATGTGGCAGGGTAAGGTAGTACATTGGCTTAAGCTGTGAGGATAGGTGTCTACTTGGGGAAACCTCAGTAGAGATTCTGCTTTCTGTAGAGTACAGGTCATTGATTCACTTCTAGAGAATGCTGTGGAAGCTTTGGCATCAGGATAGCCCGGGCTTGGCTATACACACTCTCACCCCATGGGGGCCAAGGCAGTGAAACCTCACAGGACAATGTACTATGGAGTCACCCAGCTCTGGGTTCAAGTCCTAGTTCTACCACCTACCAGCTGTCTCATTGTGGAAAAGTTATTTAGCTTGTCTCTGGCCTTCAATGTCATCATCTGTGAAACAATCAACAGCAACAACTACCTCAAAGTTGAGAGGGTAAAAAGAAAAAGTCCATACAGTATCTAGAACAGTTGTAGAACACAAGCCAATGTTCAATAAACGGCAGTCACTATTATAAGATCATTTGTGAGGTAAGTGCCTAGAATAGGAAATACCATCTCTACAGGTGGGAAAAAAATATTCCTCTGTATAAAATTAACCCGTTCATATGGAAAACATAAGTTTAGTCATTAAACATTTACCCAGACTCTACTCATGCAGTTTCAATGAATTATATATACAAAGCCACAGAAAAAAGAAGGATCATCTATAGGTAGAATGGTCAGCAGAATTCTAGTGCAAATGACTGAAGCCAGGCAAAGAAATGGAAGGAAAGCTAAGAGTCGCTTAGAAAATTGCTGTTAGTTCATTCTGACAGGGATGCAAGGTATACATACCAGAGTGCGGAGAGTGAAATTGAGAAGAATAGTCTAAGACCTCACTATGGCATGTAGTAGGTCATGTAAGATCACCTGTTTCACTTGAAAGCCTTTATTCAGTACTTACTCTTTGTAAATTCTCAAAGATTTACATGAGATCACAAATGCCAGGCTAATTTTTAGGAAGCCAAAGATAGAAATTACTCTTTTTTGTTTTTAAGAAAATTAGAAGTCACAAAATTGTTCTTCTTTTTATAACCACTTAGGAAACCCACTAAATGAGTAAAAAGCAGTAGGATATTGGGGAATTATACCATGTTGGCACCCAGTCTTGACAACACTGCTTCCAATTCCTTTGCAGTGCTCTTGGGTGGCACAGGAACAGTTTCTTGTTTGAGAATTGGGCCTACATCAAACCTAGCAAAAAATCAAAAGCAAATAATGACAATGATTACCATTTCCTGAATCAATGTTTGTCTACACACAAAAAGATACAAGCTGGGTACAGTGGTCTGCATGCCTATAGTCCTAGTTGCTCAGGAGGCTGAGGCAGCAGGATTGCTTGATCCCTGGAGTTTGAGACCAGCCTGGGCAACACAGCTAGCCCCTATCTCTTAAAAAAAATAAATAAAGATAGTTTATCACTGGCTATTAATTTGGCTGTTAGACATTAGCAAGGAAGATATGTCAGTTTGAAAGACGGGAGAACAAAATATGGCCTGTGTTTAGAGTCTAAATTTATTTTTCCCTAAAGCAAAGAAACGATACAGTTGCATATCAGGAATTTAATTACAATTACAGAAAAATTATATCATTAGTAATAGCATGAAAAAATCTCTATTTGTATATGAAAAGCATAAGGCAAAGAATTTATTTTCCATGGAAGTACAGTTAGGAAGTTCATAATTATTTATTTCTATAGTCCCTTCCTCAAAGGATAAGAGTTTTGCCTAGATTATCACCATAGGTGATTATAAGTAGGGCCAGGCGTAGTGGCTCATGCCTGTAATCACAGCACTTTGGGAGGCCAAGGTGGGTGGATCACGAGGTCAAGAGATCCTGGCCAACATGGTGAAACCCTATCTCTACTAAAAATACAAAAAATTAGCCGGGCATGGTAGCGTGTGCCTGTAGTCCTAGCTATTCGGGAGGCTGCAGCAGGAGAATCGCTTGAACCTGGGAAGCAGAGGTTGCAGTGAGCTGAGATCACCCCACTACATTCCAGCCGGGGTGACAGAGTGAGACCCCGTCTCAAGAAAAAAAAAAAAAAGTAAATGCAAGTATATTTGCATTCCCACAAGTCTGACATTTTATATCAAGCTCTGTAAACACTGGTCATAGGTTTTCATGAGCAATATGCTTTATTTAATTTTTTTTTGCTTTTTGTTTTTGTTAATTCTATTTCTAACCTAGGAGCTTTAGTAAAATGTTTATTGTGAAAAATTGCAAACATTCACAAAAACGGAGTGAACAGTCTAATGAATCATCATATACACATCATTCAGATTTTTTTTTTTTTTTTTTTGAGACAGGTTCTTGCTCCGTCGCCCAGGCTGGAATGCAGTGGTGCGATCTTGCCTCACTGCCGCCTCAACCTCCTAGGCTGAAGAGATCCTCTCACCTCAGCCTCCTGAGTAGCTGGGACTACAGGTGTGTATCACCACACCTGGCTAATTTTTTTATTTTTTATATGTTGCCCAGGCTGGTCTTGAACTCCCAGACTCAAGTGATCCTCCCACCTCGGCCTCCCAAAGTTTAGGATTACAGGCGTGAGCCACCATGCCTGGCTCAGATTTTAGAACTACCAAAGTTTTGCCACTCTTGTCTCATCTACTCTCTCTCTTGTTTTCTGAAGTAAGTTAAAGCAAATCCCAGATACCACGTTGTTCTTGCGAACTTGTGAATTATTCTTTTCTAAGGGGAAATTAGGTGGTAACAGGCAGAGACTGAATAAACTCCTCAAGTAATTCTAAATAATTGTTTCTAAAAAATTGTTCTAAATTGTTTCTAAATTGTTCTAAACTATAGGTATGACAGGAAAAAATGAATGTTTTAGGACAATTATATTGCATATTGATATACAATATATTCTTATTTCAGGTTCCAAAAATTTTTTGGCCATAGTTTAGAAACCAAGGCCAGCAAAACCAAGATTCAAAACAATTAACATACAAAAATCCATCTCTCATTTATACAATGTATTTTATAGAAATCCGAGTATTAATAATATAACCTATTTCAATTAACAAATTAAAATTCACATATGGACTTTAAAGAGACCCCGCATAAATACCAAAAGACATATGGTTTATGTTAGAAACCAGGAGAAAACAGAAAGGATATAAAAGCAGAAGAAGCACTCTGGAGTCACAGAAATTAGTGAGCACCACCCATTCATCCACTGCCCCCCAAACAGGCTGACATCAACATTTAAAAATCACAAAAATCTCAAGAAAGGAAAATATGTGCTACCTTTTAGGTCTAATTTGCATAATTGTTACTCCAGTAACTGTGTCTCCGTGAAGCACTGTATGGATTACAGGGGCTGGGCCACGCCATCTCGGGAGGCAACTGGGATGAACATTCAATATGCCACTGAGTTAGAAAATGTAGAAATTAGTATGTCAGTGGGCTTTACCACTTCGTTACCACTACCTAAGCTATTATGCTACTTTTCATTAGGAAACTTTCCCAGAAATTTGGAAAAACTGACAGTTAAATCTAAGTCTCGTATCACCTGAAAGGAAAAAAGTTACATGTAAATTCACTCTCTTACCATAAGAAACCAATGACATTTAATTAAAAACAGAGCTAGGACAACTATTTGCTGTTCTAAAGATGTTCTGTCTGGGTGTGGTGGCTCATGCCTGTAATCCCAGCACTTTGAGAGGCCGAGGCGGGCGGATCACTTGAGATCGGGAGTTTGAGACCAGCCGGACCAACATGGAGAAACCCCATCTCTACTAAAAAGACAAAATTAGCCAGGTGTGGTGGCGCATGCCTGTAATCCCAGCTACTCGGAAGGCTGAGACAGGAGAATCGCTTGAACCTGGGAGGCAGAGGTGCAGTGAACCGAGATCACGCCATTGCACTCCAGCCTGGGCAACAAGAGCGAAACTCCGTCGCAAAATCTACAACAGCCCATGATGTCTGGGAGTTTTTAAATAAAATTTTAAAATGCATTTATGACTATAAGAGAACCACTCAAACCCTATTATGCATCTCATGAACAATTCTAATTTTATAGTTTAGTCACATAACTATCCTCACTTCACTTGGTTTACATACAGACTGCCTAAAATAAGCTTTTTCTTTTTTTTTTTAATTTTTTTTTGAGACAGGGTCTCGCTCTGTTGCCCAGGCTGGATGGCTCACTGCAGCCTCAACCTCCCAAGCTCAGGAGATCCTCAGCCCAATCCAACATTCACTGAGCGCACTCCATGTGCAGACACTGTTCTAAGTGTTAGGCATACAAGCAGCAGTGAACCAGACAGAAAAAAAAAATCCTGCCCTCAGAGAGTTTATGTACAAAAAGTGGGAGATAAGCAAGAAAAAACAAAATATGTACAAGGTTTGCCAGATGATGCTGAGGGCTATGGAGAAAATAAAGCAGAGAGGACTATGAGGGGGACATATTACAATTTTAGTAGTGATCAGAGAAAGCTTTACCAACAAGAAAACACTTGAACAAGAACATGAAGAAGGAAATAACTACGCATATATATGGGAGAAAAGCATTCCAGGCAGAGGGAACATTAAGTACAAAGATCTTGAAGAAGGTAAATGCTCGGCAAATTCAAGGCACAGCTGGGAGGCCAGTTAGGCCTGGCCTTTTATTGAGTAAGACAGAAAATTACCAGAGGATTTTGAGCAGAGTGACATGATCTGACTTGTTTTAAAAGGATCACTTTGAGGCAGGGTACAGTGGCTCATGCCTGTAATCCCAAAACTTTGGGAGGCCAAGGCAGGAAGATCACATGCAGCCAGGAGTTTGGGACCAGGTTGGGCCACATAGCGAGATCCCTGTCTCTAAAAAAAAAAAAAAAAAAAAAAGAGTTAGCTGGGTGTGTTGGCACATTCCTATAGTCTCAGCTACTCAGAAGGCTGAGGCAGGAAGATCCCTTGAGTCTGGGGCTGCAGTGAGTTATGATAGCAACACTGTACTCCAGCCTGGGTGACAGCAAGACTGTCTCTAAATTAAACAATAAAATAGAAATAAATAAATAAATAAATAAATACATTTTGGCTGCTGGATTGGTAAAAGACTGAGAGGGCCAAGGACAGAAGTAGGGACCAGTTAGGAGGCTTCTGTAGTAATGTAGGCGAGAGTGGCAGCAGCGGAAGTGATGAGATACAGACAGATTCTACACAGATTTTGAAGGCAGAGCCAATAGGATTTACTGATGGATTGGATATGGGACGTAAGAAATCAAGCATGACTCCAGGATTTTGGTGCAAGCAGCTAGAATGATGGAGTAGCCATTTATTGAGATAAAGATTTTAGGAGATGCTTTGGGTATCTTGAATGTAAAGTGGCTATCAGACATCCAGGAAGAGCTGTGGAGGCAGTAGGTATTAGGGGACTAGAGTTTGGGGACCGAGCTGAGCTAGAGGGACCAATTTGGGCGTTGTCAGCATATATATGGAATTTAAATGAAGGTGGATGAAAGCCTATAGAGGGTGATAAGGAGTTAAATACATTTTGACAACTCATGCCACAAATAAAATGTTCTTTAGTACTTGAAAAGAAAATATCAGGCCGAGTCATGTGTCAGCCAAATATGGCTGTGCCCAGGCGAGTTGAGCAAAGGCTTCAGTGAGCCCGGGCATGGCTGAAGACGACCTGGGGAGGCACCAACCAGCTGCTGGGAGAAGAGCATAAGGCTCAAGATGGAAAATCATAAATCTAATACTATCAAGGAAAACTTAACAATCTTTGATATCATAACCAGAAAAATTAACCAGCTTCCACAAGCAGAAAGGAATCTACCTGAAGAGGGATCAGCATATGTTGGATTTAATGCTCTCTGTGGCCTCATAGCAAATGGTCTTTTTCAATGCGTCTTGAACATGACACAGGCTCTTACAGCTGCTGGCTTACCAATGGCAGTGATCCCTTTTCTTACAACAAACACAGCTTACAAAAGTTTTGTAAATTTTCCTTCGAATACAGGTGATTTGAATTGTGAAACGTGTACCATAACACAGAGTGGATTGGTCTTGCTTTTGGTGGTCTATACCCTCTTTTCTTGTCTATACCTGTGACTGGAGGCCTAGCAGCCTGGTATGAATCAACTCTGTTACCAGAGAAAGGGAACATCTTAAGTTACTGGATTCAAATTTATAAGCCTGTCTTTAGAAAGATGTTATTTCCTATTGTGTTCCAGACTGTGTTTGCAGCATTCCTTGGGTTTAAACAATATAAACTACTTCTAAAGGCCCTTCAGTTACCTGAACCTGGCAGAGAAATTCATTGACTTTAAGCAAACATGTACAGAAAAATAAAATGGTAAAAATAAAAAAAGAAAATATTACAGAAAGCATAGAGTTCAAATTATCACATTTTATATACAAGGTCCATTTATAAAGACCAAGGTTTCTATACTGTATTTCCTTACAAATAAAACTTACTAGGGAAATTTAAGAATAAGAGCCTCATTCAAAAGTCGGCCAAACGAAGCCACTACTCCAACATCATATTCTCCAGATCCCACATCCGGCCACTCATATACGGGAAGCTGAGACTGCACAGCATATTGCTTCACTGGCAGTCCTTTTGGTGATGGGGAAGGCATTGTGACCACCTCCAGTTTGTCGATTAACTCTTCTTCTTTGTTTTCCCTAAATTAGATAGGAAGAAAAATGTGACAGTGTTAAGGCAATGACTCAAAGCTAAAACTACTTCACATATCGCTAAGTATGTTTATGATTAATCTCATGAAGCATTTAGGGCTAAATGATTAAAACTAGTGTGAGAGACTGAGTTTTCATTTTTTCTTTTTCTTTTTTTTTTTTTGAGCTGGAGTCTCACTCTGTCACCCAGGCTGGAGTGCAGTGGAGCGATCTCAGCTCACTGCAACCTCTGCCCCCTAGGTTCAAGCGATTATCCTGCCTCAGTCTCCCGAATAGCTGGGATTACAGGCATGCACCACCACACCCAGCTAATTTTTGTGTTTTTTAGTGGAGGCAGGGTTTCCCCATGTTGGCCAGGCTGGTCTCCAACTCCTGACCTCAAGTGATCCGTCCGCCTCCACCTCCCAAAGTGCTGGGATTACAGGCGTGAACACCGTGCCCAGCCTCAGTTTTCATTTTTTATTTAATTTTAATTATTTAAAATGTAAAGAGTGACACGTGGCTAGTGGCTACTGTTTGAACAGTATCATTCTAGGGATTTCCTGTGCATACAGAAACATATACAGTATGGATACTTTACACAACTGGGATATTACATACTGCTTTGCATTTTTTTTCCTTTTAACAATGCTATATATGCTATTATGTGTCTTTTTGAAAAATGGGTTAAATATACGTATATTTGTATATTCACTGAACATTTCTAGAAGGAACTGAAAACAGTGGCTGTCTCTGGATAAAGGAACTGGGAACTGCTAAACAGAGGTGGAAGGAAGTAACTTTTCACTGTATATCCTTTGAATCCATGGAACTTTTTTACCATAACCATGATGCCATTCAAACACTACTTTTTAAAAAACAAACAAAAATACATAACATGGCTATCATTCCATGGCAGTACCTGTAGCACTACCTCATCCTTTCTACCTGCTGCATAGCATTCTAGTACCCAGGGGGGTACATTTATTAAACAGGTATTGTATGTACACGTTGAGGAGTTATGAGGAGTATGTCCTGGGGCACTATAAAGAAAGCACAGGAGTAATGGAGCTGCCAAGTGAAGCATCATCAGAAGTATCAGGATAGGCCAGGAATGATGGCTCAGGCCTGTAATCTCAGCACTTTGGGAGGCCAAGGTGAGAGGATCACTTGATCCCAGGAGTTTGAGATAAGCCTGGGCAACATGGTGAAAACCCGCCTCTACAAAAAATTTAAAAATCAGGCGTGGTGGTGCACGCCCGTAGTCCTAGCTACTCTGGAAGCTGAGATGGGATGATTGCTTGATCTTTGAGGTCGAGGCTGCAGTGAGCTATGAGCCGGCCACTGCACTCCAGCCTGGGGGACAGCGCGAGACCTCGCCTCAGAAACAAACAAAAAAAGTGTTGGTATAAATGTATAAATGCAGTGAGAGACGCATGTGACAACAGCAGCCCATGAAGGGTGTGCAAAGGGAACATGGGGTTTCCTTCCGGGTGTGTGCACAGAGGGGTGTGTGGAGGAAGGAAAACCACACAGGGGATTGACGAAGGATTCAATACATGAGGGGCTGCTGTGAAGTATCTGTAGGGAAAAGGAGATGGAGATGACCAAAAAAAGTGGAAGGAGGACTGCGTCAGAAAAAAACAGAATGGGGAAATAAAAAACATTAATTGGGAAAAAGAGGCAGAGAAGTATATACGGTATTGCCACCACATACCATGGACTCTCAGGACTGGTTGGATTTCAAATAATTTTCTTTCCCAGTAAACAAAACTTGTTAAATATTATGAATACTAAATGTATACCTAACAGTTCTGATTTATAAATTTATTCTTTTGAAAACAGGTCGTTTTTGGACTATGTCCTTGTATACAAGGAGCACAGGGGGAGCAAAAGAGCGAGACACGGGTGTGCCGAAGGATGGGGGTCAGGAGGAACTGCAAAGCAGGGAACTTTGAAGTGGGACCTGGTTTTAGTCCGAACCACCTCGGCTGATGACCTTGGGCAATCGCATAACCTCTCTGAGCCACGGATTCCCCACACTCAAAACGGGCAGGGAGGCCGTGGGACTGGCCCGGGGGATGCAGGCAGAGCGCCCAGCCCCAGCTCGGCACAGCGTGGGTGGCAGGGCGCCTGGAGAACCCACAGAGGCGGCGGGGAGTGAGGGGCGCAGACCGCAGGTACTAGGCGCCCAAAGGCTGACCGGCGGGAATGGCGCACCTTCTGGGAGCCAGAAGACGCCGAGATCTGGGCCCACACCGCTCTGCCGCCCATGCTTTCCGCAACCAGAAGTCCAAAACCCTCGGGGCCGGCCGCCCGGGCGCGGCCTGGAGGCCTTCAGCGGCCGGGTCCCCGGATCCCTGGCCCGGGTACCTGGCGGCGTGCAGCGCCCGCAGCGCCTCGCGGGCGAACTGGTCCGTGCCGAAGAAGAGCACCCGCCAGGGAGGCTTCTCGCGGACTCTGGAGTCCCGGCAGTCCTCCCAGCCGAGTCGGGCCAGTGCTCGCCACTGGGGACTCGGCCTCCCACGCCTGGCGCCATGAGCCAGCGGAGGACCCCAACAGCGCCGCACCAACACCCTCATCGCCTCGGCCGCCGGCGGCCGGCCCTGCGCAGGCGCATCGGGGCGGGGACAAGGGTGCAGCCTGGGGAGGGCGGGGCTTGCCTGCTTGGAGGCGGGGTCTGGTTGGAGTTGGTGAACGAATTTGCCCGCTACAGCGGCCCTAGATTTTTGTTCTGTTTATTTGCACTATGTAGCCAATCCTCCAGAATAAGTCTTTCTTTTCTTTTTAAAATCGCTTTATTTATTTATTTATTTATTTATTTATTTATTTCAGAAAGGGTCTTGCTCTGTCGCGCAGGCTGGAGTGCTGTGGCGCGATCTCTGCTTACTGCAACCTCACTGCTCCTGGGCTCAAGGGATCCTCCCACCTCAGCCTCCGGAGTAGCTGGGGTACAGGCACACATCACCATGCTGGGCTGATTTTTTGTAGAGAGAGTATCTCACTATGTTGCCCAGGTCTCAAGCAATCCTCCTGCCTTGGCCTCCCCAAGTGCTGGGGTTACAGGCGTGAGCCACTGCGCCGGCCCAGGATAAGTCTTTTGGTAACAAATCGTGCATGTTTTCAGACAATGAAACCTCATGTATATAGTGCATGTCATTTCCTCAACCATTATAACCAATATTTGCTGAGTACTTCACTCCGTGCCACGTTTTTGCTAAGCATTTTATATTCATTATTCTGGTTAATCATCAGATCAACCTTAGGAGGTAGATACTATTACAAATATGTTACTGAAGAGAAACTGAAGCTCCGTGAAATTAAGGACTTACCAGTGTATAAGGTCCACACAGCTAGTAAAGGACAGAGCAGAGGTGGGACTCTTGTAATTCCAACGCTTGTAATCCTAGCCGTTGGGCCTTCTCAGCGATCCTATGTATTAGGCAAGTCAATTACCCACATTTTGCACCTGAGGAAACTGAGCCTTAGTTACTTGTCTGCAGTTACTTTCTTGAATCGAAGGCTCCATCTTTACTCCTCCCCTGTGGGTTCCTTTGCACACAGAAGGATACCATAGAGGTGATTCCTAGGGAAATGGACAGGGAACCTTATCCCCAGAAGACCTCCGAGGACCGTTAGTGCTTAGATTCTGTATCCCCAAAGCCTCCTTGAGTGGAGTCAGACATCCATGAAACAGGATCTGAGCAGAGACTGAAACCGAATTTTGTTCTAATCTTATTCTCACCACCATTTTTTTTTTTTTTTTTTTTTTTTTTGAGATGGAGTCTCGCTCTGTTTTTCAGGCTGGAGGGCAGTGGCGGGCGATCTTGGCTCACTGCAACCGCTGCTTCCCAGGTTCAGGCGATTCTCCTGCCTCAGCCTCCCAAGTAGCTGGGACATGCGCCACTACACCTAGCTAATTTTTGTATTTTTAGTAGAGATGGGATTCACTATGTTGACCAGGCTGGTCTTGAACTCCTGACCTCAGGTGATCTGCCTGCCTTGGCCCCCCAAAGTGCTAGGATTACAGGCATGAGCCACTGCGCCCTGCCGTCTCACCACCTTTTCCCATCACACAGTCTTAAACCCAGTGACCCTGGACCAGTCCTTTTTCCTAAATTATGAGCTCTGCACATCCCTGCTCCTGTGCCTTTGCTCATGCTCCCTTCCTAGACTGCCTTCCCACATCTCTTCATCTCTAAATGGTATCCATTCTTCAACACGAAGTTCAGACATTCGCCCTGAAGCTTCAAGCTCTTGCCTCCTTAGATTTCTTGTCTTTCTCCATGTGCCCCTGTTTTTTTTTGTTGTTGCTGTTGTTTTTGTTTTTGTTTTTGAGACAGAGTCTCACTCTGTCACCCAGGCTGGAGTGCAGTGGTGTGATCTTGGCTCACTGCACCCTCCACCTCCCCTGTGCAAGCGATTCTGCTGCCTCAGCCTCCTGAGTAGCTGTGATTACAGGCGCCTGCCACCACGTCTGGCTAATTTTTTGTATTTTTAGTAGAGATGGGGTTTTGCCGTGTTGGGCAGGCTGGTCTCGAACTCCTGACCTCAGGTGATCCACCTGCTTTGGCCTCCCAAAGTGCTGGGATTACAGGCATGAGCCACCGTGCTTAGCCCATGTGCCCCCTTAATACTCTGTAGGGACCCCCATTTCTCATGTAGTTTGGTATTACTGAGGAAGGTTGTCTAATGTATGCATAGACATTGAGAAATTCACATGTGTTTTGAACAGAAAAGAGAAGCAAAGAGGAAGATATTCCAGTAATTTTGCTTATCTGATCACATATGAGAAGGAGAGTGAGATGGGACCCCAAACCCTCTATTCCCTTGATCAAGTTCTGTTCCAGTATCCTCTCTTAGGGTGAGCAGAATGTGATTCTAATATTCGAAGACTGGTCTTTTCCCATACAACATGACCTAGAAATACAATGCAAATAGTCAACTGGTTTTCACCTTAGAATTTGGCTGCTGCCTAAAGTGTAAACCTTGGTACCTGTGTTTATGCCATTTCTTCCCTAGTGGGTTTTAAGCTCTTGAGTTAGAGAGCCTGCTTTATGCTACCTTTAATTTTCAGCAGCCCGAGTTCTCCCAGATAACCCTGCCCCCTAGGGTTGTTTTGCACCATTCCCAGAGTCCTTTGATGACTACAGAGCGACTGCTCAGGTTGAGGGGCTAATTCCAATCGTTTTCTTTCCTCCACAGATCCGCCTCCTATCACTGGCATCTAAATTTCTAGTTAACAAACACAAACTTCTTTTTAAAATTGATTTGCAGCAAACTTCTTTTTTTTTTTTTAAAGGAACATGGTGTTACTGTAATGGCTGAGGTTTTCCCAGGATGTAAAAATGAAAATATTTCTGAAACTCTTGGTAGTGAGTTAAGAGTATGTTGTAGAGGACGAGGGGTGTCTACTTTCAAGACCAGATAAATCCACCACTGGAACTATCATAAAGCACACAGAGAAGATGAGGACTCCAGCCCCGAATGGCAAGGAGTTTTACATAATAAATTAAGACACCCAGAAAGCACATACAAGGGGATTGGAACCCAGATAATGCTAATTCAGTTGGTGCTCCTGTTTTCAGAAATTTATCTTTCTTGATGAATAGAGTGTGTGCGGATGCTGAATCAATGAAATTACTCCAGGTTCTGAGTCTGGGTGACAAGACAATAGCAGTGTCATTGACGTAGGGAAATAACCCACTTGGTGGTCAACATGACATTTCACCCTTGAATGCTTTGAAACTGAAGTGATGAGACAAGCAAATGGAGACGTTTAGTAGAAAACTGGAATGCAGGAGTGGCCTCCATGACTAGGGGCTGGGAGAGCTGATCTGGGAATGGGAAGAGGCAACAAGCATTTCCACTTCCTGTTCCCGTCATCTCACCCCACTCCATGACTATATGGGTATTTCTGCAGGGTGAGGATAACTACCACAGAACAGAACTCCAGTTAGTAAGGTGGCCAACGCCTAAGTCCACAAGAACCCCTGCTTGTGGCCTAGGAGGCAATGCCACATTTGACCAGGGGAAGGACTGCCACACATAGGTGTCAGCCCAGTGCCAGGGGCAGGAACTGACCTCAGGGGCACAGTCCAGTGAAGCCTTTTGAGATGCAGTTCCTAGCGAGCCACTCCATGTACTGCCATCGCCTGCCTGTGGTTGTATCAGATGCCCGCAAGGAGGTGCTGCCCACCAGCCTGTCCCGTCACTGAGCGTGACGGATAGTCCGTTTGCTCCAGTACCTCTGACAGAATCTGCCCTCTGTGTTGTTACTGCCCTGTGTGGTCCAGTAGATGTCACTCCCTAACCTGTCCAGCCTCTCTGTAAATCAGGGCCGGGGATGAAAGGCCACACACAGCAGTGTGGGTCCACAGGACTCTCCTTGATAAGGAGAGAGACTGGAGAGGTTAAGGGACATCTAAGGGGTATCAGGAACCCCAGGAAGCGAAGCCAGATATACCACAGGTAGGAGAAGCAGCCTAACAATATGGACGTTTCCTCATTGCTGCTGAGGGGCATCCTAGAAAACCAAGAGAATATTTCAAAGTACACTTAAAGAGATCAAATATTAAAAACTTTAGTTCCCAGCCCTTTACCCCCAGCAAAAATGCTAGACAGTGTTAACAAAGCTGTATGTTGTTAACAGGAGGAAAGACTAGTTAGTAAAATAGCTACAGCTGTGGCCAGTTCTTGTTCTTGGACACCTATGTTTATATCGGAAAACACTTTTTGATGCTGTTCTCTGAAATCAGGCTCCACATATGGAGTGATAAAACAGAAATCCTTTTTTAAACAAAACCGCCTTTGCTACTTCCTAGACAGCCACTAGATAGCACCACAGCCTTGCTTCCTCACCCTTTACCCTCACGTGGGACTCAAAGAAGAGCGATTGCATGCAATTGATTAGCTCCATAGTTTCTAATCAGCTGCTCACTAGCATGCTTCCTTTATTTACCAGGTTCAGAATATGGGAAAGAGAGGCTGAAGCTACCCCAAGGAAGTTTTGTATAGATTGTTATTGTGAATATATATCATGTATCCTGTGTGGGGTGGTAGCATATTTCTGTTTGTATGTAAGGGCTATCAATAAATACACTTCTAAGAAAATTTTTCCTAGAAGTGTAATAATTTGGTTGGTTGGAGATGCTTGTGGTATCCTCTTTACATTTTACAATATAGATTATCATTCTCTGGAGATTTGCCAAAACCTTCAGGTCTATAATACATCCCTCTGTGGGGGATAATGATCATCTCAGTCCTTATGTAACAGTTATAGAAAGGCTCATTTGCTTATATCCTGCTCTCCTGTGGGAATCCTACTTGCCTCCAATCTGATGTAGCTGACTCTGTAATAAATTAAACCAGAGCTACCCAGTCTTATCATTAACAGGTGCTTTCTGCTTGCTCCTCACACTTGGCCTAAAGGCCCTTGTATATAAGTCAGAGATCTTGGCTTCTGGAAGAAATATCAAAATAAAATTTACAGCCTTGGGGGTAGGGGCTGAAGGGGCTGTACCAGGCACTTTTTTTTTTTTTTTTTTTTTTTTTGAGACAGAGTCTTGCTCTGTCACCCAGGGTAAAGTGCCGGGACGTGATCTCGGTTCACTGCAGCCTCGACCTCCCAGGCTCAGGTGATCCGCCCGCCTCAGCCTTCCAACTATAGGCACGCGCCACCATGCCCAGCTAATTTTTTTTTGTAGAGACAGGGTTTTGCCATGTTGCCGAGGCTGGTCTCGAGCTCCTGGGCTCAAGCAATCCTCCTGCTTTGGCCTCCCAAAATGCTGGGATTACAGGCTGCACCACTGCGCCCGGCCAAAATGCACATCCTCTTTACAGGGGAAATTCCCTACTGTAGATAGCTTTGCTTGAATGAGCTCAACTACAGTGCGAATGCTGGGGCTTATTGTGTTGACTGTACGGTCACCACGGTTGCCGCATCCCGAGGACATGGTCACTTCCTTGACTACCTATCTTGCCTCAAGTTGAACATTTGAATTGTTCCCACTTGTTGGCTATGATGAATAATGCTACCGTGAACATTCATGTGCAAGCTTTTGTGTGGAAATATGTTTCCACCCGCTGGGCACGGTGGCTCACACCTGTAATCCCAAAACTTTGGGAGGCCGAGGCGGGCGATCACTTGAGGTCAGGAGTTCAAGACCAGCCTGGCCTACATGGTGAAACCCCATCTCTACTAAAAACACAAAAATTAATCGGGAGTGGTGGTGCATGCCTGTAGTACCAGCTACTCAGGAGGCCGAGGCAGGAGAATTGCTTGCACCCGGGAGGCAGAGGTTGCAGTGAGCCAAGATCAAGCCACTGCACTTCAGCCTGGGCAACCAAGTAAGACTCTGTCTCAAAAAAAAAAAAGAAATATGTTTCCAATTCTCTTGGGTATATACCTAAAAGTAGAATTGCTGAGTCCCACTCTATGTTTTATTTTTTATTTATTTATTTTTTATTTTTTTGAGACTGAGTCTTGCTCTGTCACCCAGGCCAGACTGCAGTGGCGCGATCTTGGCTCACTGCAAGCTCCGCCTCCCGGGTTCATGCCATTCTCCTGCCTCAGCCTCCCGAGTAGCTGGGACTACAGGTGCCCGCCACCACACCCGGCTAATTTTTTTCTATTTTTAGTAGAGACGGGGTTTCACCATGTTAGCTAGGATGGTCTCGATCTCCTGACCTCGTGATCTGCCTGCCTTGGCCTCCCAAAGTGCTGGGATTACAGGCGTGAACCACTGCGCCCGGCCTCTATGTTTTAATTCTTAGAAGTGACAAGCTGTTTTCCAAAGTGGCTACACCGTTTTACATTCCCACCAGCAGTGAGTGACAGTGTACCATCATATAACTACTGATACTGCAGGGAGTAAACTCAGGAGTTCAGGCCTCTTTGTGTGAACTGATTTTGCCGCTGCACATGGATACCTGGCACATTGTACCAGAGCGCTTACATCTCAGGATTGCCGGGGTGCCTTTGTCTAGAAGCAGATAATTCTGCAAATGTGGACTGCTGACCCAGGATCCACCTATGGAGAATTCATTATGTAGAACTGAATGAAACCAATGATGAAACTCAGATTGTGTTTTGAAATGTTGTCGGTATTTTTTTTTATGTTCTATGTTCTGCTAGGCATATGAAAAACATCTCTTTAGTCCTTTATGTTCCATCTCTAACTCTCAATTTAGCGGGCTTTAAATGTTCAAACTGAAAGGCACTTTCACCACACATAGTTAAAGGAACTACCCTAAATCTCCCTGATTATTAGCTTTGTGAGTCTTACCTTGGTTGCTATATTATTTCAGAGGACCCCTCAAAATTCATGAAATGAATAATATTGTATACTTTAGATCATCCAGTTTTCAGAAATGAGAGACTAAATGCCTCAGAATACCTACCCACATTGCCAAACCCCCTTAGAATCCAAGATGTATTAAATGTTCTGTCTAGGAGGTCAAGACTGTAGAAAATCTTTTTTTTTTTTTTTTTTTTTTTTTTTTTTTTTTTTTTTTTTTGAGACGGAGTGTCTTAACTCTGTCGTCCAGGCTGGAGTGCAGTGGCACGATCTTGCCTCACCGCAACCTCCGCCTCCCGGGTTCAAGCAAGCAATTCTCCCACCTCAGCCTCCTGGGTAGCTAGGATTACAGGCACCCACCACCATGCCCGGCTAATTTTTGTATTTTTAGTAGAGACAGGGTTTCTCCATGTTGGCCAGGCTGGTCTCAAACTCCTGACCTCAGGTGATCCACCTGCCTTGGCTTCTCAAAGTGCTGGGATTATAGGCATAAGCCACCGCACCTGGCCAGAAAACCTTAAATGGAAAATTTAATCCAAATGGATAAATTAATATACAGGTAAATTTAAGGATGATGCCTCCAAAAAGTGCAATTTGTTGTAAAATGGGTTATGCTTAGCAAAACAAAAATTTCCTTAAATTTTTGTTTTCTTATTATAACTATAGTATGCCTGCAAATAATCAAGCCAGGCATGGTGGCTCACACCTATAATCCCAACACTTTGGGAGGTCAAGACAGAAGATAACTGGACGCCAGGAGTTTGACAGCAGCCTGGGCAAGACCCTATCTCTACAAAATTTTAAAAATTAGCCAAGTGTAGTGGTGCACGCCTATGGTCCTAGCTACTCGGGAGGCTGAGGTGGGAGAATCGCTTGAGCCCAGGAGATTGAGGCTGCCATGAGCCATGATCATGCCACTCCAACCTAGGCAACAGAGTCAGATCTTGTCTTAAAAAAAAAATTAAAAAAAAAAAAAAGAGTGCTTACTTGCCTGTGAATGGGAGGGACAAAACTGAGACAAATTAACACACAATTCTTACTTACCAAGTTGTTTGACATTCCTCAAACACATTGTTGAACAATATGTCTGTAAAATGAAACTGTTCATAGTGCTGTGTCTGAGAATGATTAAACTTTAAGCACCTCCTATAGATAGACTTTGATTTTATTCTACTCTTGGACTCTGGTTTAGTAGGGGACTGAAGAAAATTTTTGGTTATACTATAACCAGGAGCAAGAGGTCAAAGACATAGAAATAATTAAGGATTATGAATAAGGGTCAGCAACATAGATAGTCTCAAATGCTATCGATAAGATGAAAGGGATTAAGGTGGTGGCTGCAGAATATCTTTCCTTGGAGAAAGTACATATTGTACTTGTTTTTACTGTTTCACACCAGTTTTTGCCAAACTTCCTATACTTTGCAAATATTCTTGAAATGCTTCCAACAAAACATGTGTCTGATGAAAAAGACTTTGATCATGGACATCCTTTTACTTTGGTATAAAGATGACTTCCCTTTGAACACCTGTCACTCCTCTCAACCATCCTATTACAGATGAAGGCCTCAAGTCAGTGCTTCACTGGAAATAATTTTGGACTTACTTCCCCTACCTTTTGCAAAAATATCCCTCACTAATTCCACTATTTGTTTTTTTTTCCTCTTCTGGGTTTAACATAAAAATTAGCCCCTAGAAGAAATATGTGGTTCCGTTGGTACCATAATTTAACCACTCCTCTGATCCTCGATATTTGTATTTTTGTTTCAAAAAAAATTTGTATTTTTTTTTGTTGTTGTTGTTTTTCTGAGACAGAGTCTCACTCTGTCGCCCAGGCTGGAGTGCAATGGCACGATCTTGGCTCACTGCAACCTCTGCCTCTCAGGTTCAAGTGATTCTCCCGCCTCAGCCTCCTGAGTAGCTGGGATTATAGGCACCCACCATCATGCCCGGCTAATTTCTTTTGTATTTTCGTAGAGATGGGGTTTCACCATGTTGGCCAGGCTGGTCTTGAACTCCTGACCTCAGGTGATCTGCCCACCTCGGCTTCCCAAAGTGCTGGGATTACAGGCGTGAGCCTCTGTGCCCGACCAACAACAAGAATAAATTTTGAGACAGCATCTCACTCTGTCGCCCAGGCTGGAGTACAGTGGTGGATCATGCCTCATTGCAGCCTCAACCTCCTGGGCTCAAGCAATCCTCCTGTCTTAACCTCCCAAATAGCTGGGACCACAGATGCATGCCACCATGCCTGGCTAATATTTTTTTAGAGATGGGGTCTCACTTTGTTGCCCAGGTTGGTCTCGGACTCTGGGTTCAAGTGATCCTCCTGCCTCAGCCTCTAAAAGTGCTGGGATTACAGACAGAAGCCACCATGCCCACTCTTTTTTTTGCTATTTTAAATAATGTTGCAGTGAACATTCTTGAACATACATCTCTGCTCCCATGTGTCATCATTTCCTTACATCGCCACTTTCAGATTTCATTTTATTTTCCATGAAGTTTACTGAGAAGATAACGTGCTGTCATCAGGGACTTGGAAGAACTATTGTTCAAACTGAATTGTTAAACTGGCTTCCACATGTAAGTGATGCTTGTGAAAATGAGGGTGAGAACAAACAGCTAGCCAAGGGCCTGTCCACCCCTCCTGGCGCCAGCTGATGATAGATGGCCCACCCCAAGGAGCAGAACAGCCTGCCCTGGAAATGCAGATCAGTTTCCACCACTTTGAAACCTTTACTGGCTGTCAGCCTAGCAGGCGTCACATCTTCCGCATGGGGAGACAGCAGGCTGAGACGCAGGAGGATGCTTAGCCTTAGGCCCTGAAGGTCAGGGCAAGACTCTGCCTCCTGGAACTTAACCCTGAGCTGAGGTTAAAGCATCCTCTGCAATCCAGCTGAGGGGTCAGGTTTCTGGACAGCTCAGCCAGTATTCCCTACCCTCTAGCATCCATCACAATTTAGGGAAAAAGTTCTCCTTCATACTGGTGTTTTACCTTATTTAGCAGAAAAGCCAACTGGTTGACCCCAGGTGGAAATCTCCCATGTTTAAAGGGCCTGGACTTTGTCATTACACAATTGGCTCCTTCTGATAGTAGTTGCTAAAATCCTTTGCTTTTTCACTCCTTGTAGAACCTTAATGCGTTTTGATAAAAACTTGAGGTCCCAGTGACTAGCTCAAGATCACACAGCTGGTCAGTAGCAAAGATGGACAGGACTAGAAGTTAGTTCTGCTGCCATGTTATTTACTTATCCAATAAACCATTTTTAAACATGCAGAATGTATGTATTAGTTACAGTACAGAGTAAGTTTCTGTAACAGGGAGATCCCCAAACTTTTCCTGTACATAACACTTTCAGAAGCTGATAGGTGGTCCAGGGCAGGTAGGCTGCTCAGCTACCTGAGGTTAATCAGGAGCTCAAATTCCTTCTATCTTGTTGCCTGGGTTGTCTTTTTTTTTTTTGAGATGGGGTCTCATTCTATTGCCCAGGCTGGAGTACAGTGGTGTGATCTTGGCTCACCGCAACCTCCACCTCCCAGGTTCAAGTCATCCTCCTGCCTCAGCCTCCCAAGTAGCTGGGACTACAGGCATGCGCCAACAGCCTGGCTAATTTTGTATTTTTAGTAGAGACAGGGTTTCACCATGTTGCCCAGGGTGGTCTCGAACTCCTGAACTCAGGTGATCCACCTGCCTCAGCCTACTAAAGTGCTGGGATTACAGGCGTGAGTCACTGCACCCAGCTGGCACTTTTTTTGTTTGGTAAATGAGGACCAAATGGCAAATATTTTAGGCTTTGTGGGCCAATCGTCACAACTGCTCCATTCTGCTAATGTAATGCCAAAGCAACCCTAGACAATATGTAAACAAATGAGCATGGCGTGTCCCAGTAAGAATTATTATTATTATTATTATTTTTTTTTTTTTTTACAAAACCAGGCTGCAGGTCAGATTTGGCCCATAGGCCAGGTGCGGTGGCTCACGCCTGTAATCCCAGCATTTTGGGAGGCCAAGGCGGGCGGATCATGAGGTCAAGAGATTGAGAACATCCTGACCAACATGGTGAAACCCCATCTCTACTAAAAATACAAAAATTAGCTGGGCGTGGTGGTACGTGCCTGTAGTCCCAACCACTTGGGAGGCTGAGGAAGGAGACTCGATTGAACCCGGGAGGCAGAGATTGCAGTGAGCCAAGATCTCCCCACTGCACTCCAGCCTGGCAACAGAGCGACACTCCATCTCAAAAAAAGAGAAAGATCTGGCCCATAGGTTAACAACCCCTGTCCTGACATGTCCTTTCCACCATCATATCTGTGTTCCAGAAAGAGGAATGAGGAAGTGGAGGGGTTGAATTTTCTCACAAAAACATGATCCACAGGTAGAAATAGTGCAGCATAGTCACACAATAGAATACTACGCTACAACAAGAATGAATGAACCACAACTACACACAACGCGGATGAATCTCACAAGTATAATGTAGAGCAAAAGAAGCTGACACAAAAGATTGCATATTGATTGATTACATTTATATAAAGTATAAAAACAGACAAAATTAATCTATGGTATTAAAAGTCAGGTTGCCTTTGTAAGGGATAGTGACAAGAGAAGACTTCTGAGATCTGGAAATGTTCTATTTCTTTTTCTTTTTTTCTTTTAGAGACAGGGTCTTACTCTGTTGCTTAGGCTGGAGTACAGGATGCAATGGTGCAATTGTTTTATTTGTTGATCTGGATGGCATATGTTCCCATGCATGAGTGTGTCCACATGTGAAAATTCACTAAGCTTACCATTTGTGTACTTTCCTATATGTATACTCCAACAAAAAAAAGTTTGTATAAATTTCAAAAAAAAAAAAATAGTGATTCTGAAGTTGCAATCACTTCTCAGGTCTCTTTCGGCCAAAACTTAGAGGACCACTTATGACTGCAGGGAATCTGGGAAATGCAGGTTCATTAATTTTTTTAATTAATTAATTTATTTATTTATTTTAAGATGGAGTCTTGCTCTGTCACCCAGGCTGGAGTACAATGGCGTGATCTCAGCTCACGCCACCTCCCAGGTTCAAGCGATTCTCCTGCCTCAGCCTCCTGAGTAGCTGGGATTACAGGTGCACGCCACCATGCCTGGCTAATTTGTATTTTTAGGAGAGATGGGGTATCACCATGTTGGCCAGGCTGGTCTTGAACTCCTGACCTCGTGATCCGACCACCTCGGCCTCCCAAAGTGCTGGGATTATAGGCATGAACCACCACGCCTGGCCTGGGAACTGCAGTTTCCAGTTGGGTGGCCATATGCCTCTAAAATTTAGAGGATTCTCTTATTAAAAGGAAGAAGGGAAGAATGTAATCTAGGGGGAAATTAGCAGGCTGTGCTACAGTCCACACAGCAGCACAGGCCCATGACAGTTATCAAATCCTGCTGGGCATGAGCTGTGAAGACCTCCACCCTGGCAGTAGAGTAAGTTCTTTGGTTAGCCCACCTGGCTGCCCTTGCTACTGTTTTCTGGGAATAACTCCCTTGACCTTAGTTCTCTGTATTATCTGAGTTTACTCTCAGATAGGTTATTCGTTTACTATAGAGCATGGTCACACCTTTTTGTCCTTCTTCCCTTTTGCTTTTTTTTCTGCTTGGAACTTGGATATAATGGCAGGAGCTGCATCAGCCATCTAGGGGCCATGAGGGAGTCTTAGAAACCTCAGCCCTGATTTCCTTGGTCTTACGACATTAATAACTGGCTACTTCTGACATTCTTCTATGAGAAAATAAACTCTTATGGTTTAAACCACTGACATTGGGTCTTTGTTACCCAGAGCCAAACACAATTCTCAACTGATATGGAAGGCCTCCCTAAGAAGATGACATTTAAGCTGAGGCTTGAAGGGTTAGCAGGTGGCAGATACCAGAATAGCAGAGGAAAACCAAAAGCCCTTTCCACTCCACTACACTGCTGACTGTCTATCATCCTCTAGGTAGGGAGATAAGAGACTGGAGAAGTCAGGAGAGGAGATTTCAAGGTGGGATTGATTGGCCAGGAATGATAGTGATGCTGTGAGGAAAGGAGGGCTTGGTGATGTGCTCTCATCTCCATGTGTACGTTTCCTTCATGGCACTTGTCACACAGAAGTTGTGATGACATGATGAACACCCGTCTGTCTGTTCTGCTAGACTGGAGTCTCCATGAGGGCAGGGACAATCCTTTCGACTGTTTATCACTGGCATAATGCCTGGCACATGGCAACCATGGAACAAGTTATTGGATAGGCCGTAGTAGAAAGAGCTAGGGTAAGAGGAGGGAGAGAAAAGACACAGAAGCAGAAGAGTGGAAAACCTGGGATTGTGCAGGCTCCTTGTTAAGGGGACACCATCCCATTAGAGCACCACAACACTCCTCAGAGGCAGACAAGGGGGATTGAGGTCAAATGGTTCCTTCAGGCACCCACATGGCATGGGCTGTCCAGCTCACAGCCTGTCTCTCCTGGCTACCCAACAGGCATGATGAGCTCTGAGTTGGCTATCAGTGGTACCCCCCTCCCTAGCCATAACAATTGATCCAAGACATAGGTACATGACTCAGGCTGGACAATTAGAGTCCTTTCCAAGAATTTTTAAACAAGAGCTAAGAAAAGTAGCTACTTCCTCTGCAGCTATGAGAGCATGAGCCTGGGTTTCCTATCATCTGGTCAAGCTTCCCGGAGGTGGCCAGCCTGGGGTAATGAGCCTGGCACCCAGAGAAAAGCAGGGAAAGAGCCACAGAAACAAAGCACTACGGGTCGTCAAATCCCTGGTTCCCGTATGCCTCAGGTCAGCTCCACCCTGCCCTTCCTAGTTTATGAGCCAATAAATTCCTTTTGTGTTTAAGAGAGTTAGTGTTGAGCTTCTCTCTTGAAATCTATCAACTACCTTTCTCTCCAAAATGCACCCTGAATCTGACCACTTCTCATCATCTCCACTGCCACCAGCCTGGTCCAAACTACTAATATGTTTTGCCTGGATGAATATAACAGCCTCCCAATGGTCTCCCTGTTCCTCTCTTGCTCTCCTACAATCCATTTTCCACCCAGCAGGCCAAGTGATCTTAGACAAATGTCAATTAGATTATGTCACTTTCCTGCCTAAACCCTCCAGTGGCTTCTCATCACTTTTAGGGTAAAATACAAACTCCTTACCCTGTTTTACAAGGCCCACCATGAGGAGTGGATACTCCTGTCTGTCCTCTGACTTTATTCCATGCCACTTCCCCCTCATCACTATGATTCAGCTATATTGGCCACCTTTTTGTTCCAGACACATTAAGCTCATTATTTCTTCAGTGTCTTTGTACCTGCTTGCTTTCTTTTCTTTTCTTTTTTTTTCTGAGATGAAGTCTTGCTCTGTTGCCCAGGCTGGAGTGCAGTGGTGCGATCTCAGCTCACTGCAACCTCCGCCTCCCGGGTTCAAGCAGTTCTCCTGTCTCAGCCTCCTGAGTAGCTGGGACTACAGGCGCCTGCCACCACACCTGGCTAATTTTTTTATTTTTAGTAGAGACGGAGTTTCACCTTGTTGGTCAGGCTGGTCTCGAACTCCTGACCTCAGGTGATACACCTGCCTTGGCCTCCCAAAGTGCTGGGATTACAGGCATGAGCCACCACGCCTGGCCTTTGTACCTGCTTTTTCAGGTCTTTGCATGGTTAACCCCTCATCATTCAGTTTTTAGTGTAGTAATATAGTAATCATGTCTCCCCCACCTCATCCCTTTCTATCTTATTATGTTGTTTAAGATATTCACAGAAATGATCACTGCTATAATTATCTTTTAATTATGCTTTTGCTTACTTTTTTGTTGGCTATCTCCCCTGGAGTTTGAGCTCCAATGGAGCAGGGCCCTCACCTGTCTTATTTACCATGTATCTACACAGTAGATGCTCAAGTAACATTTATTCAATGAATAAATGAATGCATTACAAAATGAGGAGGAGCTGGAGTTCCAGGCAGCCCCTAGATTCCCTGTTGGGTCTTCTTTCCTCTGCCCCATGCACACACAGTACACACTGTTGACTAATGTTTAACTCATAGAGGAGTTTGGGCTTGACATGTGACCTCACTCAGCCTCTGTTTCATTTGTGAAGTAAGAAATAAGAGTGGGCGGCTGGGCGTGGTGGCTCATGCCTGTAATCCCAGCACTTTGGGAGTCTGAGGTGGGCAGATCACGAGGTCAGGAGATCAAGACTATCCTGGCTAACACGGTGAAACACCATCTCTACTAAAAATAGAAAAAATTAGCCGGGCATGATGGCACATACTTGTAGTCCCAGCTACTCAGGAGGCTGAGGCAGGAGAATTGCTTGAACCGGGGAGGTGGAGGTTGCAGTGAGCCAAGATTGTGCCACTGCTCTCCAGCCTGGGTGACACAGCGAGACTCCATCTCAAAAAAAAAAAAAAAAAAAAAAAAGGAGTGGGCTTATTTCACATAAGCCCACTCCTTGCTAAACCAACAATGATTGCCTAAGATGCACGGAGCCAGTTGGTGGAAAAGTCCATAGACTATCAGAGTTGAATGGTGCTGGTCAGGTGGGAGGAGCACCTCATTCCTGCTTCCCCATCAAGTTACTTGCCTTGGCCTGCTTCCTACTCTCTGGGTCACTGGTGCTCACACAGCCTTTCCCAACCCCCACCTCCAAAGGTCATATTTTACAGCTCCTTGTGAGGAATTCACATCATGCCATGACCTTCACTATGAGAAAGCACAGGCTGTAAAAGGCCAGCCTGGCTCCCTGCTCCGTGGTTAAATATTGATGATATTGGGCAATAGAGACCTGGAGTGGGCACACTACATATCCCCCTGCAGTGATGGAACCCACAGACCGCAGGTCCTCTGCAGTCCATTCTCCTGCCTGTCCAGAGGATCCGGATGTTTTCTCTTTACTTGAGGCCAACACATAACAATGAAAGCACTGGGCTACTGGTGCTTTCGGATTGTGAAAGTCAGGTGGAGCCTGTTTGCACTCTGAGTGCACTCATTCAAGAGGTCAGTCACCCTGGAGTGATACAGAAGGCTCCAGGCCTGGGCGTGTGCTAAGGCCAGAGCTACCAGATGGGTCCAGCTGCCGCAGGCTCTCCAGGCACTGTCCCCTAAGTGACAGCTGTTACTGCCTGGGAGAGCTCAAGTGCAAAGACTATCCTGTTCTCCCATAAAGAGGAGGAAAAGGAAGATACAGAAATCGGTGCTGCTCCCAACAGCAGATCAAGGCAGTCGTCAGGAACTCAGGATCCGGGGTGAGTGTCCTCATCTTGCCTTGGGGATGGGTGGCCCAGGTCTTTGGCAGAAGTCACAGTCCAATGGCACGATGGTTAAGCCCTGTTTAAAATGCAGAGATCTCCCAGAGGGGCTTAAGGAGACAAGACAACTAAATGCAGTATGACATCCTAAATGGGATCCTGGAACAAGAAAAGAACATTAAAGGCAAAACTAACAAAATGCAAATAAGGCATAAAGTTTAATTTAATCATGCAAATGACAATATGATGCTCACTTTAGAAGCAAACTGGATACGTGCTTTGATAGAAATATGTCTTTGGCCGGGCGCAGTGGCTCACGCCTGTAATTCCAGCACTTTTGGAGGCCGAGGCAGGCCGATCACCTGAGGTCAGGAGTTCGAGACCACCCCGGCTAACGTGGTGAAACCCCATCTCTACTAAAAATACAAAATTGGCCGGGTGCGGTGGCTCATGCCTGTAATCCCAGCACTTTGGGAGGCCGAGGCAGATGGATCACCTCAGGTCAGGAGTTCCGAGACCAGCCTGGCCAATGTGGTGAAATGCTGTCTCTACTAATAATACAAAAATTAGCTGGATGTGGTGGCGGGCACCTATAATCCCAGCTACTCAGGAAGCTGAGGCAGGAGGATCACTTGAACTCGGGAGGCGGAGGTTGCAGTGAGCTGAGATGGTGCCACTACACTCCAGCCTGGGCAACAAGAGTGAAACTCTGTCTCTAAATAAATAAATACAAAATTAGCTGGGCATGGTGGTGGATGCCTATAATCACAGCTACTTGGGAGGCTGAGGCAGGAGAATCACTTGAACCTGGGAGGTGGAGGTTGCAGTGAGCTGAGATCATGCCATTGCACTCCAGCCTGGGCAAAAAGAGTGAAACTCTGTCTCAAAAAAAAGAAAGAAATATGTCGCTTGTTTCTGTGGCATCTAACATAGCTGAGGAGGGCTGACTCTCGGTTCTGGATTTGTATCCAATTTGTCATTTTGGTTTTTTGTTGGTTGGTATGTGTTTACTGTAACAATATTAAACATATTTTAAACATATTTTGGCCAGGCGCGGTGGCTCATGCCTGTAATCCCAGCATTTTGGGAGGACAAGGTGGGCAGGTCGCTTGAACTCAGAAGTTCAAGGCTGGCCTGGGCAAGATGATGAAACCCCATCGCTACAAAAAATACAAAAATTAGCCGGGCGTGGTGGCACATGCCTGTTGTACCAGCTGCTCAGGAGGCTGAGGTGAGAGGATCGCCTGTGCCCGGGAGATGGAGGTTGCAGTGAGCCAAGATGGTGCCATTGCACTCCAGCCTGGGTGACAGAGCCAGACTCTGTCTCAAAAAACAAAAAACAAAAAAACACCACTCCACTGTGGACAATAGCTTACCTGCGTCTTTGTACACTGATCTGATTAGTTCCATTAATTAAATATCAAAAATTGGAATTGTTGTCTCAAAAGGTATAAGTACAATAATACCTACATTTAAAAATGCATACAAAGGCTGGGTGCAGTGGCTCACACCTGTAATCCCAGCACTTTGGGAGGCTGAGGTAGGCGGATCACCAACCTGGCAAACATGGTGAAATCCCATCTCTACTAAAAATACAAAAATTAGCCAGGTGTGGTGGCACATGCCTGTAGTCCCAGCTACTCAGGAGGCTGAGGCAAGAGAATTTCTTGAACCTGGGAGGCGGTGGTTGCAGTGAGCCGAGATCACACCATTGCACTCCAGCCTGGGCAGCAAAAACAAAACTCCATCTCAAAAAAAAAAAAACATACATACAAATAGACAAAATATACATAGAAATATATACACACATTAAAAATGGAATTACATGTATTGTTCTCATGAAAGCAGTGTATACGCATAAGAAACCACACAATACAGGAGTGGTCAACATGAATATCCCATGTGTCTAAATCTCATCCCACACCCTAGAAGAAGACTGTGTTTGGTTTCTCAACTTCAATACTTTTCTTTGTGAGTTCAGGGGTTTGCATATGGCACAGGGGCCTGTGGCTGATGTTACTAATCAATCCAGGCACTCTTACATCTGAGACTGGATGGAATGTCACAATCCTTCTTGGACAGTGCTCTGGACAGTCAGTTGGAGCTAGAACACAAGATCACATCTGTTGGCCATTCTTGTAACTTTGTCTTTCCATGATTTTAGATGGGTAGGTAGGCAGATAGATAGATAGACAGATAGATCGATAGATGATAGATAGATAGATAGATAGATAGATAGATAGATAGATAGAATCTCCCTCAAATGAGTAAGTAGGCAGTGTGCATGTGAGTCCTTGAAAGTCTAAGAAAGGGCCAGGCACGGTGGCTCAGGCCTGTATTCCTAGCATTTTGGGAGGCCGAGGCGAGTGGATTACCTGATGTCACGAGTTCAAGACCAGCCTGGGAAACATGAGGAAACCCCATCATTACTAAAAATACAAAAATTAGCCTGGCGTGGTGGCATGCCCTGTAGTCCCACTACTTGGGAGGCAGAGGCACAAACGAGAACCGCTTGGACCCAGGAGGCATAGGTTGCAGTGAGCTGAGATCACGTCACTGCACTCCAGCCTGGGCGACAGAGCAAGACTCCGTCTCAAAAGAAAAAAAAAGAAAAAAAAAAAAGTCTAAGAAAGGTCTTTTTTTCTCCCTGACTTCCATCTCCACCTTGGCATATGAATGATCATTCACATATGAAAAGCTTAAGTCAGTATTGTATTTGTGTCAAAATATTTTCCCTTGCAATTTGTAGATATGCCTTTTTAGTTTTCTCAGAGCATTTAGTGCTAGAGGAAACTCTGATGTAAAGCTAGTCCTTTTGTTGATACTCCAATTTTCTGTCTGGCTGTTTGCCATCTAGCTGTTTTTGAATGCCCCTGGCTAAGTGTCCAAAGGCTATTTGGGGCTGAGATTGTTGAGCACCTAAGGCAGTGACAGAGTGTGAGGGGACCTGAGAATGCTTCGATCCTCCCTGTACACTTTTTTTCTTGGTGCCCTATGGCATGTTTTATAATTGATCTGTTCAAAACACTTCTCTTGTTTTATTTTAGTTACGTTTATCTCCATTCCTACTCCCTTCCTCCTCCTCCCCAAGACACAGCTTAATGTGTTTAATGCGTGTCCTTTTAAAAAAATGTGTTATTGGGTCAGGCGCGGTGGCTCACTCCTGTAATCCCAGTACTTTGGGAGGCCAAGGCGGGTGGATCACCTGAGGTCAAGAGTTCGAGACCAGCCTGGCCAACATGGTGAAACCCCATCTCTACTAAAAATACAAAAATTAGTGGGGCGGTAGTGACATGCGCCTGTAATTCCAGCTACTTAGGAGGCTGAGACAGGAGAATCGCTTGAACCTGGGAGGCGGAGGTTGCAGTGAGCAGAGATCGTGCCACTGCACTCCAGCCTGGGCGACAGAGTGAGACTCCGTCTCAAAAAAAAAAAAAAAAAAGCGAAATAACTTAACAATTTTAATATTGGCCTGAATAATATATGTTGTCAAAATTAATTTTACCTATTTCTTTTTGTTTTGTAAAGTATGGATGCTAGAAAATTTTATATTAAGTAGTAATAATGCAGTTAGTACAAGAAGACGTCAAAATGTCTGACTGTTTTGAGATTGACTGAGGTTCAGTTTATTATTAATAGTTGGGATGGAAATAGGCCTACACGAAGTAAGGGATTTATCCAGAGAGCATGGATTCAAGTTCTTCCCTTGCAAATAACAGAAACCAATTCTGCTAACTTGTCCAAAAAAAAAAGAAAAAGAAAAAAAAAGCTCTCGGGGTCGGGGCAGGGGGTGCCCTCTCAGCATCAGGAGCCGGCAGCTGCCTTTCCCTCCGGCACTTTTCCCTTTTCTCCTCTCTGTGTCGTAGGCGTGCCAATCCCCAGGAGAGAGGCGTGATAGGCCCAGCCTTTGACATGTGGGGAAACACAGGCCTGTGATTGGCTACCGCATGACACCCAAGGGACAAGTTGCTATGGCAACGCGTGGGCGCGCTGTGGGCTCGTAGAAGCCAGGTGCGGACGCTGAACAGGCAGGCGAAGACCCGAGATGTCCTTTGCAAGGGTCCCAGAACTCGCCAGTGGCTCAGTCCTCCTCACTCCCAGAACAGTGCTCCTCCACACATGCGATGGCTTTTAATAAATATTTGAGTCACTCCCACTTCCAGTCTCTGCCCCTCCAGGCTCCACGTGCTCCTGGGTTCGTTCGGGTCGTTTTTGTCCCATAACTTTGGGCCAGAGGAGATCTGGATTTGGGCACAGAGGGAGATCAAACTCGGGTGGGATATCCAGTCATGCTGTCTGCTTTGTTTCCAGGGGTCTTCACGGCTTCTCTGCCCAGGGGCCAGAACCGAGGAGGCCAGGAGGGCTGCTGGGGCTAAGGGGTCTAAGGACCTCGTTGCACACGCTACCAGGAGCAGGGGCATGGAGCACAGTGAGGGGGCTCCCGGAGACCCAGCCGGTACTGTGGTACCCCAGGAGCTGCTGGAAGAGATGCTTTGGTTTTTTCGTGTGGAAGATGGTAAGTGGTGAGAGATTGACGGCAGGGGTGGGGGTGTGCCCCTCAACACAGAGCAGAGTTTGGCTGAAGGTCCTGACACTGTCGTCCCCTCCAGGTCAGGCGGTACATTTCCTCCAAGACAGGGAATCAGTCGGGGTGTCTCAGTACCCAGAGGGGTCTGGCTGGACCGCCCCTTCCTTTTCTCAGGGTGTGGTCGCTTATTTATGCAGCCCTCCAATCATCACATTTATTAAGCTCCTACTCTGTACCAGACACTGTTCTCAGCACTGGGGCGACAATAGTGAATAAAACACAAAAATCTCTGCCTTCATGGAATGTACATTCTAGTGGGGATTAAAAATAAACAACTAAAACGCATAGTGCGTTGGTGATGAGTAATAAAAAGAAAAATTAAACAGAGAAAGAGAATAGGAAGTATGCAGCAAGGGCAGTAATGTGGTCAAGGAAGGCCTCACTAAAAAGGTGACATTTTTATCATCAGGAAGGTGACTTGCAGGAAACTAAGGAAATAATTAGGTATGCAAATTATTTGGGGGAGGAACATTCCTGGAGGGAGGACAGCAAATGCAAGAGCTCTGAGGCTGGACCCTGCTTCATTTGGGTACAGCATGGACAAATCTTGAGTAGCCACATTCAGTTTAGTCACTTCATGTATTATCTGTGGGCAGTTGCCATTCCTTCCACCCTTCTCCCTGCCTTCTTTCTTTCCTTTTTTTTTCTTTCTTCTTCTTCTTCTTTTTTTTTTTTTTTTTGCCTTTTTTTTGAGGCAGGGTCACTCTGTTGCCCAGGCTGGAGTGCAGTGGTGCAATCTTGGCTCACTGCAAGCTCTGCCTCCTGGATTCAAGTGATTCTCATGCCTCAGTCTCCTGAGTAGCTGGGATTACAGTGTATGCCACCACACCCAGCTAATTTTTGTATTTTTAGTAGAGACAGCATTTCACCATGTTGGCCAGGCTGGTCTTGAACTCCCGACCTCAGGTGATCCACCTGACTCGGCTTCCCAAAGTGCTGGGATTATAGGCGTGAGCCACTGAGCCCAGCCTTCTTTCTTTTCCTTGTGCTCCGCAGGTCCAGCCCAGGCTGGCAAAACTGAAGATTGTGAAGTTTATCTTGGCCCACCTGTCTCCTGCCCTCCGTAGGCCTCTGCCCTTCACCCCTGTTGCCCCACTATTATTTAACTGCAGTACTGTCTCCTCCATTAGATTAGGGCTTCTCCAGAGTAGAGACTGTCTTCCACCCTCCCACCTGTTAGACTGGGAGTGCCCCAGGGCAAGGGGCCCATCTTTGATTAGGGTCTCCACGCAAAGGACAGTTGATGCTGTAAGCTGGGTCTGAGCCCAGGCCCCAGCTGTTAGCGGGCTTGAGAGGTGCCTGGCCATTCCTCAGGGCTCTGTCCTGTGTGTCCTTCCCCAGCATCTCCCTGGAATCATTCCATCCTTGCCCTGGCAGCTGTGGTGGTCATTATAAGCATGGTCCTCCTGGGAAGAAGCATCCAGGCAAGCAGGTGAGGAGCTGGTCCTGGGGGGATGGGGTGGTCTCTGTGGGGTAGAGGCCCTGCCTTCCCAGAGGGAAATCTAGAGAGGGGTCACTTAGGGGTCATTGCTGTCCACCCTTTGGGACAGCAAAATTCAGCCTTCAGTGTCCTTCGAGAACCCCAAGCTGTTAAAAACAAACAAACAAACAAACAAAAAACAGCAACAGTCCCTGATTACCACCCCCTGGCCCTGGACAGGAAGCAGGCATGACCTGGAGGAGTGTAGCCATTCAGAAGGCGAGCTTGCCCCTCTCACCCTATCAGCACACATGCACCTCAGCAAAGTCAACTCAGAGATGAGTGGCTGTCCATGGGTACAGCAGACCTGTTCCCCCTACGACCCAGTCAGAATCTCTAGGCAGACAGCTTACCACCGCTGGGTCCCTCCACTATGGCCAGGAAGTCTAGGGGTACCTTGAATAAAACCAATCTGGAGAGAGGACAGACACATGGGAGTTATTAAGGAAGTGGGCAGTGGGAGCCAATGAAGGTGGTTGGGGGAGGGGAGTGATGTGTACACGATGGGGTTTTAGAAACATGACTGGTGTTGTGCCTAGGCTGGTTTGGAGAAGGAAACACCTAGAGGCAGAGAGATTAGTTAGAAATTTCCTGCAGTAGTGTGAGGGATGAGGTGTGTGGTGACAAGGACCTACGCTAAGTAGGATGACAGTCCAAGGTCAGAGACAGTGTGGTTAGGTGAAAAGAACACAGGATTCAAGAGTCAGGAGGCTTAAGTGCACACACTAGCTATGTGCATCCTTGGCTTTTTTTTTTTTTTTTTTTTTTTGAGACAGTCTCTCTATTGCCCAGGATGGAGTGCAGTGGCACAATCTCGGCTCACTGCAACCTCTGCCTCCCAGGTTCAAGTGATTCTCCTGCTTCAGCCTCCCAAATAGCTGCAATTACAGGCACAACCACACCCAGCTAATTTTTGTATTTTTAGTAGAGATGGGGTTTTGCCATGTTGGCCAGACTGGTCTCAAACACCTGGCCTCAAGTGATCCACCCGCCTCAGCCTCCCAAAGTGCTGGGATTACAGGTGTGAGCCACTGCACCTGGTCTCCTTGAAGCACATTTCCTCACTTGGAAGGTGCGGGGGTGGCAATGATACTTGAGCTCACAGGTGACAGTAAGGATTCCTTGAGATGACACACACTCAAGGGTAAGCCATTTCTCTGTTGAAGGAATATCCAACCATTGCCGCTTCTCCTCTAGTAGCTCCCAAACTGCATAGAGAATTTTCCCCTTAGACTCTTTAAGCCATTTGGGCGACCCAGTCCTGCCCCAACCACTCAGCCCCCCTCATTAACACTGTTCCCTGTCCCCCCAGAAAAGAAAAGATGCAGCCACCAGAAAAAGAAACTCCAGAAGTCCTGCATTTGGATGAGGCCAAGGATCACAACAGCCTAAACAACCTAAGAGAAACTTTGCTCTCAGAAAAGCCAAACTTGGCCCAGGTGGAACTTGAGTTAAAAGAGAGAGATGTGCTGTCAGTTTTCCTTCCGGATGTACCAGAAACTGAGAGCTAGTGAGGGTTCAGAGAAGCCCCATCCTAAGCCAGACACATGATGTGGGCTCAGCTCAGTGGCCTGAAACCTCTCAGGTTTTAGAGTCTCTCCCAAGAAGCCGCTTTTTTCTTTTTCTTTCTTTCTTTTTTTTTTTCTTAGCAGATACAATGAATGAACTGCAAGCAAACTAAAATTCTGTTATTAAAAAAAATCTTTTATTAAAATGCTCCTGGAAGGGAGCAGGTGGTATTGCATAGTTTGTTCAGATGGCAGTGGTACACACACACATACACACACAAGTGGCCTGGAGCAAAAGTGCAAAATCCGTAGCTGGCCTGTGGGTCGGGAAGCCTGTAGGACTGCAAGCATGTGGTCTTGAGTAGTTCACAGCCCCCCTCTGACCTCAGCTCCTCCATTTACAGAATGAGTCCGAAGACTGGGTCAGAGATGCTGTTTGCAATCCAACAGTAGTCCTGAGACGGCTGAGAGGGGAAGGAGCAGGCTTCCAGGCCCAGAATCCCCTTCCCAATCCTTCCACCCACCAGGACCCTCTCTTTTCCCTGCTTGTCTGCTAAGAGTCTGTGCAAGACTTCCCTGGGACCTGGCGTGTGGTAAACAAAATCAGACAACTACCACACTGCCTGCCTTGGACAGCCTTTTCTTGCTAACAGTGGGATCTCAAAGGTGTGTCCTGATCCCATGTCTGAGCCATGGTGTCTTGGTATAAGCTGCGGTGACACCACCAAATAACATAAGCAAAATTTTGCTTTATTAACCCAAAATGCTTTAGGTTCTAAAGTGGGCTTTGAACACTCAGACTCATTGCTGAGGGTCCTGGGTCCTGCCAAACCAGATGACAAACGGGTATACTGTGTTTCTACCTGCAGGGGGGCAGGCCCTGTAGCCCCTGGATGGGTCTGATGCTGCTGTGGGCTCCCTGGAGCCCTGGGTAACTCACTGGAGTGACAACTTTCTTCTGCAGCCTGGATCATTAAGCTTGAGGGAGCTGATGCTGAGGTTCTTTGGACAGAGTCCTTAACAGTGGGAAAACACATGGAGAATCTGTCTGCTGGTGAAAGAACTCTGGGGCTCCTTATGCTGGACAACCTACAGTCCCTCCCTTTTATCCTCATTGAGACGCCAAGTGTTGGAAATACCCCTTCCTGGGGCTTCTGTCCATTGGATTATTTTAACTAGATTTTCCTTGGATAAACTGTGGGGTTTGTAGCCTGGGCCTTCTGTGAAGTCAGCAGATGACAGGAGGGCCAGGCTCTGGCCTCTGAAACTGCAGCCGCCCTGCCTTTCCCGTCCACCAGGTGGCACAAGGACCCCAGGCTGTCATTCCGCAGGCTGTTCTCGGGCCTGACATTGACAGAGCCATCCACCCAGACCATCCACTAAGGCCACAGCTGGCCCAACTGTAGCTGGAGCAGGAAGGGCTGATGGCAGCAGGATAGACACTGCAATTTCTTCCTACTTAAGGCTGACCCCAGGTCTCTGGGTTGTCACAGTGGCTGTTTCCCTCTACGGCCACAGACGCGGTGGTTACCATGAAGACCAAGGCCTGGAGGGAACAGAAGCAGCATCCCTGCCTGCCACTCCAGCTCACACAGTGAATTGAGTGTAGGGACACTGCTTGGTGCTGGAGGCGGGGTCTGCTGTCCATCAGACGGAAAGGCTGGTGGTGAGAAGCCAGTCCCTGTCCTGCTGCAGTCCTGTCCAGCCACCGAGCCTAGGCTTCCTGGGGAGGGGGCCTCAGAAGATCTTGAAGCCCTTCAGGAGAGTCAGGGTAGGCGCCTTGCGCTTGCTCTGGGCCCGGGATGACTTCACGGTGACCAGCTTGGCCTGGGCCACAGTGGGCATCTCCTTCAGGTTGATGGTGGAGAGCGTGTTGAAGGTGCAGCTGGCCAGCCCATGCCGCGCGGTGAGCGGGGCCTGGTGGGGCAGGGCCCTCTCCTCGGAGATGAAGAGGGGCCGGGTCAGGGGGCTCTTCTCCAGCTCCCGCCGTGCCTCTCGCACTGCCTCGTGGAAGACATGCTGCACGTGCTCAAAGTCCAGACAGGCAGAGACCTCGAAAAACAGGCACCCAAACCTGCCTGCCAAAGCCACACCCTCTGCCTTGGTGACTTGCCTGGTGAGGAAGCAGTGTGAGGCAGGGAGTTAGGAGCAGGCTGTGCCAAGTCAGGCAGACCAGCTCCTACACCCAGCGCCCCATGGACTAGCTGGGTGGCCTGGGGTCATCTTCACCTCTCTGAGTCTCAGCGTTCTTATCAGTACAGTGGGTTACTGCCCTCTGCCTCTCAGGGTTGTTAGGATTACGAAAGACAATTTGTTTCAAGTGCTTAGCACAGTACCTGGCACAGAGTCAGTGCTCAATAAATGGTAGCTGATGTCACCCAGGCCAGAATTTTGGGATGAGGGTAAGGGTAAGAAGCTACTCCAAATCCCCTATGCTAGACCCTGCCTGTGGCTGGAGGAAGCAGGCCATTCCCAGCCCCATCTCTTCTCTACCCCATCGTGGGTCCCTGGGGCAGGAAACAGGCCACCCACAGCTCTGGCTTGTGGGATCAGCTCTAGAGAGAAGCAGTCGTTTGGACTGAAGGGTTAGACCACAGAGGTGACTCCAGAAGCCTGTGGTTGGCAGAGTTCTCAGGGCTCCTGGGGTTTGTGTTTGTGAAAATTCATTATTCAAGCCCTCACAATGACAAAGTTGCAGATTCAAGCTCATCATAAAAGCAAATAATAAAACCAGGGCAGAGGCAGGAGAGGGCAGGGGGGACAACATTTCATGGTGAGGAGGGCAAAAGGAGAGAGGGGGCAACACCTATTCTGCCTTGGTCCTACACCACCTCCCGTGAAGGGAGGATAGAATATCCGGAACTTGGGAAGGTCCTGGAGGCTTCTGACCTGAAAGCCATGGGAATCGAGGCGGGAAGAAAAAGAAGACTGGCCTTGCATAGGTCGGATGTCTACAAGAGGGAAGAGATGGGGGGGTCCCTGAGATCTTGGGGCCAAGACTCCACTGGCTGGATCTTCCTGACCTACTGCTGAGCTGTCCCGCTGCCCATTCCCGAGGATAATGGCACAGCCACTAGATGAGAGGAGGCACTCGAGTGGGCCATGGTGGGAAAAGTTTCTGAGCCCAAGGCTGACCTGGCAGGAGCAGGGGCTGAGAGTGGGCTAGCTTCCCAGAGTGCCACTCCATGGTGAGGCACGCGGTCTCAGAGAGAGTGAGTAACTGGGACAAAAAAGAGTCAGAGGCATCGGATCTATTCCCCACCCAGGGCTGGGTGCCGTGGTGCCAGTAAGCTCACCGCTTCCTGAGGAACCCTTTTGGAAAGAACACTTGCTATTATTTGCTTTTATGATGAGCTTGAATCTGCAACTTTGTCATTGTGGGGGCTTGAATAATGAATTTTCACAAACACAAACCCCATGTGTGCGTGCATGTGTGTGAGTGGGTGACAGAGGCACAGAACATTGTCCTTTTTCTTATTTTGTTGCATCCTAGGGAAAATTTTATCAGTGGCTTGGGAAGCATCAACCTAACCGACATTTTACCCTTTTAACAGTGAGACAGTCGTGGGAGACAATGGCCAATGCTCAGCTAAAAGTTAGACTTCCTGTGCTTCCCAGAATCCTAATCTACTAAACTTGGGACTTGATCGAAGAATGAAATAGGAATACATTGTCCTGAGTTGTTTTTAGGGAACGGGTGGGATCAGCTTCATTTGAGCATGTATGCTTTGTTATTTGCTCCCAAACCATTTTAGACAATCCCTTTGGCAAAGATTGGGGTCAAAAGAGTGATCTGTGCTTTTTTCCCTGTACTGAAAACTGGCCTACTCACAATCCAGTCTTCTGACCCCTAAGAGGGTCTGCAATTCCTCAAAGACTACCTTCAGCAGCTTTCAGGTCACATGACTTCCCTCATTCTCTGAGACACAATTTGCCTAGGTCTGAGGGCTTGGCCACCTTTGAAGGCCTCTCACCATAGTCCCCTTTCACGGTCCCACACCTCTCTTTTTCCCACGGCCCATCTGACCCGTTCTAAACAAAGGGTCCCTTCCTTGCTAACACCAGTCAATGTGCCCTTGGGGCCTAGGGCAGCAGGACTGACCAACCGTGAACAGGGAGGGATGAGTGGCTGGTGGAAGGGGCTATCCCTTGCAGGTAGACTGGCCACAGAGGACAAAGGTCAGTGCTGGAGAAATCCAGTGGCATTACTCATCAAGTTCAGGCATCACAGTGTCAAATGCTTCAGGGCCAGGCGGGCAACTTGAATGTGTGGAAAGGGTGGAGGTAAACCACGGGGAGTGGTGAGGCCTGGGGTCGGCTGGAGAGAGCGTGCCCCACCTCAAAGCATTCCAATTCTAGGTCTTTTAAGACACTATGCCAGCCAAGCAAAATATGGCTGCAGTATTCTTCAGTAATGCATCCTCTGGCCCAGTCTCTGACCTCCGATTCGAGTCCAACCCTTTCTAAGAGAACCTGCCCTCAGCCCAGCCAACTGTGGGAGTGAGAGTGGGAGGCTGCGTCTGGGTGAGGTGAGAGCCGATTGGACCAGAGCAGACACCTGACCAAGGAGCCCATCAGAGCCTCTCTCCTTAGAATTGGAATTGGGCACTAGACCAGTCAGCTGCTGGGAGTGAGATCGGAAGGTCAGATAGATTCATGCAAGAAGGGTGAGTCCAAGAGAATCCACAGAGACCCAAGAGCGCGGAAGGAGTGGCCACTCTTCTGACTTTCAGGGTGCAGTTGCTGTGTGACCCAGAAGCGTTTCCCTTCAAGTCCTTGGCTGCCTGGAAGACCAACATCTACCATACCCTTACAACATAATCCCTGTGGTCGGGCACGGTGGCTCACGCCTGTAATCCCACACTTTGGGAGGCTGAGGCAGGCGGATCATGAGTTCAGGAGTTCAAGACCAGCCTGGCCAAAAAGGCGAAACCCCATCTCTACTAAAAACACAAAAATTAGCCTGGCATGGTGGCAGGAACCTGTAATCCCAGCTACTGGGGAGGCTGAGGCAGGAGAATCACTTGAACCCAGGAGGTGGAGGTTGCAGTGAGCCGAGATGGTGCCATTGCACTCCAGCCTGGGTGACACAGTGAGACTCTGTCTCAGAAAACAAACACACACACAAACAAACATATAATCCCTTCTACCACAATTCAAGGGGATGACTGTTCTTAGCAGCCCACTAATCCCTCAAGATGCCACCTGACCTTACAAGTGAAGAAAGCGAGCTCTGGAGATAACGGCCAAGCAGGCTGTGCTCACCTGTACTGAGCCATGTCCAGCTTGTTGCCCAGCAGCAGGGCAGGGATGCTGCGCTGTGTCTCCTTCGCGTGCAAGGCAAGCAGCTCCAGGTAGCTGCTGCTGCTATCAAAGCTCTGGCGGCTGTCGACGCTGTACACCACCAGGAAGGCATGGGCCCAGTTCAGGTAGCGCTCGCAGTTCCTGGGGGTGTCCTGGGGTGAAGGTGAGAAGCCCCGCCGGGGGGCAGAGGAGGTTGGGGTAAAGGCCTTCACCTGAGCCGCCCAATCCCACCTCCCCACTCCCCGGTCTTTGTATATTGTTTCTCAGCAGAGCCCTTTCAAAGGGGCACTTGAGTGTGGATTTGGCTTGGTGTGAAAGGAGACATTGTCTCATGAACCTCCCTCCCACCACCCAGCCAGAGACTTGGAGACCTTGGCCCCTTGGGCCCAGAGCCAAAGACTCTGGCATGGTCCCTACAGAGACCTGGCTGTCCCTGGGCACCACTGGTTTTGGGTTGAGTTCATGCTGCCCCTTTGGCTTCTGAGAGTAACTGGCATCCAGCCTTGGCAGGGGGTGGTGAGGACATGGGGGGAGACTTGTGTGTGGGAGAGACCTGGGCCGAGGGGCTCTCACCAGGAGCATCTGTGTAAACAGGTGTGCACCTGTCTCCTCGTGTGCACAGGCACAGAGCCCCACAGCACAGGATCTCAGAGCAGATGCCAGCAACCATCATGTCTCTCCAGGCCCTGTCCCATCCTTCTCATTTGGCAAAGGAAGGATTCAGACCCAGAGAGGTCAAGTGCCTCATTCAGGGTTACACAGCAAAGTTGAGCTTAAAAGGCATCTAAATGCCTATCTGAGGTCCCGCACTCTGGGCCAGGACTTCTCAGGAGGCTATACTGACTCACAGCAGTGCATAGGTAATGGAGGTAATGTTACCAGGTCTGCAGTGTCCATGACCCTCAGGTGGACAGGCTGGTGGTCCACAGTCTCCTCGGAGCTGTAGGTGTCCTCTACAACACAGATGGTTAGCCAGGTCAGACACAGTGCCTTGGGTGTAAGTTTGAGCTTCCCTCTGTGCTAGACCCCTGTGTGGCCTGGGGGGACCTTAGCAGCTGCTCTGGGGCTGGGACCACTGGAAAGTCCTTGGTTCTCACCCACATGGAGGCTACAGGCAGAACCTCCCACCAAGGAGATGCTGCTCCACCTGCAGGGCTCAGCATCAGTGGTCACTCACAGACCACACCTCGGGGGTGGGTCTGTGTTCTGGATCCACACACAAAACCAGCAGGATAGAGTCGAGTGTGTGGCCCCTAGACCCTGTTAGCAGCACAGGCTGGCTCAGGAGCAACACTGCTAGCCCCTCTATCCCAGAACCCCAGGCTTTCCCACTCTCTTCCCCCTCAACCAACCTCCTGTCCCCAGTGGGAGAAGAGACAAGGGAAAAGAGAAGTACACAATACAATGGAAGGAATGGCAGTCAGACCCCTTTTAGAAGTTCCGAGAAGGTTTTACAAATAATCCTTGTCAACATGACAGCAGGGGAGTCTAGTGTAGTCAGAAGTTTTCAGTTGGAGAATGTGGTATTAAACCCAATGTCAGCTGCTTTTTAGCTTTGTGACTTGGCCAAATCACTTCAGCTCTCTGAGGCTGTTTCCTCATTTTAAAATGGGAACACTGTGATAACATTGCTAACAGTTTCCAAGCCTTTCCTTTGTCCCAGGCGCTGTGCTAAGTGCTTGACATTAGCTCATTTAACGGTCCCATCTCCCAGGGCTCTGTAAGAACTGGATGGGCCCCCCAGGCATGGGGCCTGGCTCACCATACATGCCTGGTGAGGGCAGTGGGAATGATGGTGTTCCAAAGTTAATAGGGCAGGATCACATTCCCAGGTGATTTTTTTTTTAACTTTTGAAATAACTTTAGACTGACATAGAAGTTGTAAAATAGTAGAGTTCCTGTGTACTCTTCACCCAGCTTCCCCCAGTGTCATCACCTTACATAACCATAGCCCAATGAGCAAAAAGAAATTTACATTGATACCATACTATGAACCAAACTAGTGACCTTATTTGAATTTCTCGAGTTGTTACTTTTTTTATATATATGGTTCTCATGATCTCAAATCTGAGAAAGCAACAAGTGGCCAGGCATGCAGAGGACCTTGCGGCCATGTTGGCAGTCATTCTCTGCACCCCCAATCTGTGCCTGTGTCATTGGCCCACATGTGTGAGTGCACTTGGTTATCACCTTTCCCTAGGTGTCCCCTGCCCCTAGTGACCCTAAAGAAGTCACCTTTTGGCAGAACTGGGGTGGTCTCTGCCTTCCTGGCAGCATCCACTGTGAGAGGGCACGCCCCCAACCCTGGCTGAATTTATAGTCAAACACTTCTTTCTGAGGGCCACTGGCAGCCAAGCTGGCCTGGACACACTCCAGGTCCACTAGCATCCAGCATGAATCACAGACAGCTTCTTGTCCCCAGCCTGCTTTGGGGACTTGGATAAATAGCTGCTCTTATGCAAAGACAAAAAAAATCTAATGGAAACTATGTTCCAAATGTTTAACTATATTTGGTCCAAGAAGAGCTGCCCCTAGATGCTTACATCGCTTTCAGATCTGTCTTTATTTTCCAGTCAAAGATGTCAGATGCACCCCTTTTAGGAGTTCCCCTCAATGGGCGCAGTGTCCTGCCCAGCCCAGTGAAAGGCGCTAGCTCAACCTTGGTCTCCTGCCCACAGCATGACAGCCTTTCAAGGTTGCTGTTAGCTCCATTGTAGAGAGATGGCAAGGTGAGGCCCAGAGAAGGGATCTCACCCAAGGCCACACAGCACCTAATCAGCAGAAGGAACTTGAACTCAGGGCTTCCAGGCTGGGCTGTGTTCACAATGGGACCCCCTCACCCCGTGACTGCTCAGTGAATCAGCCCACCCTCCAGCTCTGTCTGGGCAGAGTACAAGGGAAGACCAGAATCGCCCAGTCTGGTGGGGATGTGGAACATGCCTGCATGAGCTGGAAGAAGCCTTGGAGCTCGTACTGTCCAGCCTCCCTTTATAGAAGAAGTGACAGGCCTCAGGGGCTGGGGCAGGAGTGAGGGGCTCCTTTCCCAGTCACAGTAATGTCCAGACTTCCTATCATCAAGTCCCTGCCTCAGAGTACTCTGGTGTCCTTAAATATATGGGTTTCCTAACACCTGGTTGTAATTAATATCCTGTGGACTTTTGGGTAGAGAGAAGAGTCATTTCCCAAAGTTTTGAATTTGCCGATGTTTTCCTCTCATTTATAGTAATAATTTTTAAATGGCACCACAGAAGCTCACGTCAGAGTGTATACAGGGTGCTGCCTCAGAAATGGTGCCTATGTTGGGCCGGGCGTGGTGGCTCACACCTGTAATCCCAGCACTTTGGGAGGCCAAGGTGGGCGGATCACAAGGTCAGGAGTTCTAGACCATCCTGCTGAACACGGTGAAACCCTGTCTCTACTAAAAATACAAAAAAATTAGCCGGGCATGGTGGCAGGCACCTGTAGTACCAGCTACTCGGGTGGCAGGCACCTGTAGTCCCAGCTACTCGGGAGGCTGAGGCAGGAGAATGGTGTGAACCCGGGAGGTGGAGCTTGCAGTGAGCCGAGATTGCGCCACTGCACTCCAGCCTGGGTGACCAAAAAAAAAAAAAAAAAGAAATGGTGCCTATGTCCTCGCTGGAGGAGGAGGAGAGCAAGAGGAGTGAGAAGCTGACATTCTTCCCTGGCTGAGCCAGATGAGGCACCCTCAGCCCTTCTGGGAGAGGAGAATATTCTCCTGGAGACGCCTGCCCACTCCTGCGGGTCTCAGCACAGGCAAAGCCCTTCCACAGACACTGAATCTCTCAGCTACTACCAGCTCTAACAGCCACACCCCAGAAAACGGTGCAACTCTTACACAGCCAGAGCACAGGCTATTGGTCCCATCTTCCAGATGGGGAAACCACAGCTCAGAGGGCCCCATGCCACACAGACCTCTGACTCCAGGCCCTCTATGACATGAGGCTGCTCCTAGCGGAGAGCAACTGGAGCCATGCCTCGTCTTCCTTTGTGCCTGAGGGTCTCCATAATCTTAAGGCAAATCACTGAGCCCTCTCTTCCTCCATTTCTCCACCTATAAAATGAGGATCGTGATAGGAGCTCTTCTTTAAAGGGTAATCCTAAAACCAAAATTTACCACCCCCCCAGTTAAACCCTCATCTACACTGAAGCTAGTACTGTGCTACCTGCTGGAAATGGGAATGAATCTCCACCCTCAAGGCTCACCAAATGAGCTCAGGCTCTCAGAAGACCTAGGAAGGGCTTAGAGAGTTGTTTTACCAGCATTGCTGATGGCTAGCTCCCCAATGGAATGTGGAGACCTTTATCCACAGAAGGAAAGGTTCTCATCTGTCTCTGCTGCTGCTGGAACCAACAATGGGACAGTGGCCGGAATGTTTAGGCCCCTCCTAGCAGAACCTTCGAGGAGTGGCACTGGCCTCCCAGAGAGTCTGAGGGGAGAATGTCTGGTTGGCTCTCTGACTCGTGGGCTGTCAGTGTAGTGTGAGAGACCACAGACCAAGGGGACTGACCATTGTGGGGCTGCCCACTTCCCAGACAGTCTGCCCACGCATTCCACTACCAGGTCAGAACTCCAAAATTATTCAATCAGGAGGCTCAAACCACCACCCTAATAGGCTCATCCGGTGGCACCCTGTGACAGTATCGATTGGAAGGCAGGGAGGAAGACAGACTGGAGGTGAGATGCCAGGAAAAATACAAGATGCCCAGTTAAATCTGAATCTCAAAAAAAAAAAAGGAATAATTTTTGGTATAAGCATGACCCATGCAATATTTGAATTAGGCCGAATATGTCTTTTGAGTCCCTGCCCTTGGGAATTCCCCTTGTCCTTTCCCAGACACTGTGTCTGCTTGTGTGCCTTTCCTTCCTGTCCTCCCACCTCACCTCTGTCCTCAGTTTCTCCACCCCATCTCTATTCCATGCTCTGGCCTCTTCCAACACCTCGCCGGCCAGTGCACCATTGCATCCTGTGTCCTCCTCTCTCTGGAGCTGACCTCTGCTAATCAAAGGGCCTCCTCTGGGTGACCTTGGCCCAGAGTCTTCAGCTCCTTGGGCCTGTTTCCTCCACTGTAGCACTGAAGGGCTGTGCCAAGGCACCGGGGGTCAAGCAGAGCTTCGAGGAACAAATCTCTTAGGGACTGTCACCATGTCACCTGCCCTGCATCCCTGACTTACCCATGGGAACCCCTTTGCTCTCTCTGTTTGACACCCTGGGGTTCTGTTTAAAATCTGGAAGAAGGGATTCTGCTACCTAAGGAAAAGCTTTTTTAAACAAGGGGACTAAATAGCCCTGATGTCTCTGCCTGCTGCAACACTGGTGCTGGACTCCAGCCTGAACTAAGGGGCTGGGCACCACTAGGGTAAGGAGCTCTCCCCTCCAGGTGCGGCAGGAGCGCTGGATCAGGGGCCTGCTGCAGGGAGCGCAGGGGGTTTCCACTGTGTCACAAAGCCTTGGGCTTCTTTGGAGGGCTCTCAGGGGTCCCATGAATGCTTTAATTGATTTTTATGAATGGGGAAAATAATCCAAGACTGCAACACCCATTTTCTAAAGGCTAAGATCATCCAGACACCTTATGGCTCTCAGTGAACAGTTTACAATAGACAAATGTTATACATGTGAGCTTTAAGCAACATTTATACTAATAAAATCCTGCTTTGATTTGTTTTAGAAGGGAATCTAAGCTATTGTGTATGGGAATCCATTTGAGGAGGAAGGAAAAGCAAAAATGCATTGAGTGCCTACTGTGGGTCAAGTACTAGGCTGGATCTTTTACATGTGCTATTTCTTTAATCCTCACAGCAATTCTCTAACTATTTTTTAATGCCCATTTTACAGATGAGGAAACAGTAGCTCAGAGAGGTTAGCTGACTGGCTCAAGGTTGCCAATAAGGAGCAGAGCCAGGTAGGATTCAAACCCAGCTCTGACTGACACCGAAACGTTCCTTTTTCCAATATACCATGATGCAGCGATGAAAACAACAGTTGTTTTCTCATACGGTTAAAAAACTGGTTCAGAAGCCAGCACCACTAGAGAATTTCTCGAATGTCCTGCCCAGGTTTTCTGGAAGAGAACACTGAGTGACCATCTTGAAGAATAATACCTATTTGTTTTTGAGTTTTTTTTTTTTTTAGACAGAGTTTCCCTCTGTCGCCCAGGCTGGAGTGCAGTGGCACGACCTTGGCTCACTGCAATCTCCGCCTCCCGGGTTCAAGCAGTTCTCCTGCCTCAGCCTCCCTAGAAGCTGGGATTACAGGCACACACCACTATGCCCAGCTAATTTTTGTATTTTTAGAGACGGAGTTTCACCATGTTGGCCAGGCTGGTCATTAACTCCTGACCTCAGGTGATCCACCCACCTCAGCCTCCCAAAGTGCTGAGATTACAGGCATTAGCCACCGCACCCGGCCCAAGAATAATACCTGTTTGGATGTGGATGTCTTGCTATGTTTATTTTTATTTTTTAAAGTTTTTTCACACCTCATATTTTAGGGTAAATCAGCCTCTCTTAGTTCTGTGAATTAGGCCAACCCCCCAGTTGTCTGGGGTGGGCTGTGGAAGGGGTATTTCTGACACTTAAAACATTTTCCCCCATGGGCTGGGTCATCCTGGCGGCTTCTCCCTTCTGTCCCCAGACATGCAGTCCTGGTCAGTGCCCACCCACGGGGTGGGTCCCAGGAGAGCACTCCAGATGGGGCACAGGCAGCAGAAGGTACGGGGAGTAGTTTCTTACCCAAGTTGGGGTCATATTCACTGATAAACCTCTTGGTCAGAAACTTCACGGTCAGGGCTGCAAGAAGCAGAAAGAGGTTGGCTCCATCTCCGCGGCCATGTCTAGCTGCTGGCCCCTCGTTTAAGGGAGGCCTTATCTAACCTCTGTGATCCCCGGCTGACACCAAGCTCAGCTCTCCCAGAGAATGAAGCTAGGGAACTGAGGAATTGGTTTGAAAGGCTCAGAAGGAAACCAGAACTACGGGGAGCCAAGTGCCTCTAATTGCACCGTGGGAATTTTTTTTAATGGCAAGGAAAGCAATGAGTGGCAAGCCTAAGGGGTGTTTGGAAGGTATGAACTCAGGGGTCAGGACCCATGCAACCATTACCCTAGAGTCAGCCTGGTGAAACCTCAACTGAAGGGAGGTGTCGCCCACCCCGGACAAGTCACAGAGATTCTGAAGTGTGGGGCTATTTACTCCAGGCTTTAGCTACAAGCCAAAAACACAGGAAGAGCAGAGTTGATTGCAGTGGTTGATCTTTGGGAAGGGTATAAATCCCCAAGTGCCTGGGCTTTCCAGGTAAGGTCCAGGTGAGGTCTGTGTCCCGAAGAAACACACTCTGGTCCTGGTCTCCCACATCGCAAGTCTTGGCTTTCTCTGGGGCCTCTACACTCATCATGGATATCTCAGCAGAATGTAAAACTCAAGAATTAAGCTCTCTTTGGTTCAGAGTGTAGCCATATAAAGCAAAGACCAGCCAACTACTATACTGGACCCTCAAAAAGTAATGTTCGCTACTGCTTGTTTGGAAAGAAAGAAAAGAAAAGAGAAGAGAAGAGAAGAGTAGAGAAGAGAAGAGAAGAGAAGAGTAGAGAAGAGAGAGAATAAAAGAAAGAGAAGGAAAGAGAAAGAAAGAAGAAAGAGAGAGAAAGAAGAAAGAAAAAAAAGAAAGAAGAAGAGAGGGATGAAGGGAAGGAGGGAGGGAGGGAAAAGAGAAAGAGAAAAAGGAAGGAAGAAAAGAGAAAGAAACAAAGACAGAAAGATAGAAAGAAAGAAAGAAAAAGAAAAAAGAAAGAAAGAAAAGTAATGGGATGCCTGTAATTCCAGTGCTTTGGGATTGAGACCAGCCTGGGCAATGCAGTGACACTGTTATCTCTAAAAAAATTGAAAAATTAACCAGGCATGGTGGTATGCCTGTAGTCCTAGCTACTCAGGAGGCTGAGAGGGAAGATCACTTGAGCTCAGGAGTTTGAGGCTATAGTGAGTCATGATCGCGCCATTGTACTCCAGCCTGAGTGACAGAGACACTGTCTTAAAAAAAAAAAAGTGACATTGTGAATAAAATCCTTAAAATTCTTTCCTAGGATTCCTAACGGTGTCAGTTTGCAAACTAATACCCAGGGAATACATATTTTAAAATTTAAATTCTTTCTTTTATGTAGTCACTGGCTAAACGGTACCGGTTACAGAGCTACGGATAACAATCTGATTTTCAAAGGGCAAATCTTTCAAAGGAAGAGGGTAATCCCTTCTGTAGGAAAACCAGATTCAGAGTCCCCTCTCTGGGGGTGGGGCTGGCTTCAAAATCAGAGAGTAGGCCCCCAGTGAGTCTTACAGAACACTCTGGGGAGGAAACCCACAGCCAGCTGAGCTTGGGTTGGCCATCACTAACGGCTAAAACTGGAAAAACAGCCAGTGGAGGACCCCTTCTGCCCTCCCTCCTTCAGCCAGCCAGGAGTGGCATAGTTCAGTGTTGACACAAATTATCTCAATGGAAGCCCAAGATCTTGGCTCATCAAGGACAATCCCATGCACCTGGAACCATAACCCAATGTGTTTCCAGAAAGTTGAGAGGGGTCTGGCTTGAAACGAACACATTTGATAAGAATGCACAACTTGTCCCAGAATCCCAGGGAATGGGGGTGGGAGTGGGGGAGTGGACCTTCCCTGAGAAATCTCAACAGCTAGTGACTTCACCAGCTCCCTTCTACGGGGAGGGGGTGTGGAGGGGGAGGGGTTGGACGGGAAGTCTTCCCCCAAGCCTAATCAGGGAGTAGCAAGGCTGCGACTAAGCTCAAAGAGGCGCCTTGGGTAGGGGGATCAGTGCCCAACAGGTCCCTTTGAAGCCAGTCGCCAGGACTGACTGCTGGCCCCAGGGTAGGTCATAGGGGTGGGGGTTGGAAGGTTGGTGGCAGGGGAGACCGACCAGTAAAGGACTCCGAGACACACAAGAGAGAGGGGAGAGACAGCAGGGGTCACTGATACGGAGGACAGAGACAGTGGGAAGACACAAAGGGAAGAGGCAGGCAGGGAACAGAAGACAGAGATGGTGGAGCTGAGCACAAAGCCGAGAGAAGAGAAAGCCCGGCAACAGGGAAACTGAGGCAAAGAAAATCACGGTGTCTTGTGCGACCCTCCTGGGTGAAGGAAGCTCCCCAAGCCAGTGGAAGAACCTGCCCCCAAGAGCACAGCCCACTGTCCCCCCACCCACGCCCAGCTCCGCACTTGGCGGCTCAGGCTCCCCGGCGCCACTCACCAGACTTGCCAGCCCCGCGGCGCCCCAGGATGGCCAGGTTGACCTCGAGGGGCGCGCTCTGAGGCCCGCTGCCCGCGCGGGGTTTTCCAAACACCGAGGACATGGCGACGCCCTGGACGGCCACGCAGGTCTGCGGCCGGTGGGCCCCGCGCAGTGCGCCCGCCCGTCGGGGCCCAGGGGAGCGGGATGCAGGCTTCCCTGGAGCGCGCGGCCCCGGACCCGTCGGCGTCCGCGCCCTCGGCCCCGCGTCCAGCGGGCTGCCACCCCGCGGGGAGGAGGGGCCGGTGGAGCCTGGCGGGCGGGGCCACCCCAAGCGCCACCAAATTCCTTGTAAGGGCTGCGGAGCCCCCCGCGGGGCGCGCTCAGCCGGCTCCTGGAGCAGGGAGGGAGCTCCTGCCGGCCGCGCCCCCACCGCCGGGCTGGGCCTCGAGGACCCTGCCGTCACCCTCCCGAGCGCCCCCAAACCCGGCCGGGAAGGAGCAGAGAAGGAGCCCCAGGGCTAGGGGGAGAGAGGGGAAGGATGTTTGCACTCTTCCCTGAACCTCCCACTCAATCTCTTTTCACCAGCAAGAAAATCCACCCCTCCCTTTGTTCTACCAAGCCAGCCCCGCCTCCTCCTCCAGGAAGCTTCCTGGGTTCAATTCCAAGCCTTGCCCTTTCTTTAGCTCAGCCTTGGCACTCTATATCCCCAATCACATTATTCTGCCCTTTGCTGTGGAGACTCTAGAGGCCTCACTGCAGAACCCATTCGGAACCCAGGCTTCTGGGAGAGGGGGCGGGGCGGAGAGAACCCCTCACTAAGATTTCAGGGCCAATATGGGTTCAGCTTCAAGAAACCTAATCCATTCTGAATTACTGTCTCTCCCTAATGGGAGCTAATGAGTTGCATGTGTTTGTGGCCTGTTGTGTAAATGGGGTGTTTGTTCTAAAACCTGGCACTGCCTCTTGCCTACAGCAATTCTGGGATTGGTGGTGAGCCTGGCAGGGGTCCCCTGGTCATTCCCCTTGGGACTCAGGGTAAATCTGGTCATACCAAAGACAGGGCAAAGGGCCCACACCACGAACCTGGACACTTAGGATCTAGTGCTAGCTCCTGCCCTAGAGTAATCTTGGGCAAGTCACCTTGCTTCTTTGGGCTTCGGTGTCCCCATATATAAATACTGAAGGAAGGGGAAAATGAAGCAAAATAGAGAGTGACAGAATCAGCCCTGGGCTCCAGGCCTGCGTACATTCTAGAACCCTGTGAGGCATCTCTTCTGGAGTACGCTCCAGGTTAGAGCAGGGAAAGGCATGGGAGCCTCAGAGACCTCTCACGGCAGCCCTTCTCCTTCCCCTTCCCGCAGATGGTTAACTCATCTACCCACCCACCCACAGAGGAACCATGGAAAACCAGGTGTGCAGGCAGGGCCCAGGGTCAGAGCTGGATGGTAATAACGACTCTTCAAAGAAGAACAATTATTTTCCTGGCCAGGACATGAATATTGACTCAGCCTAGTTGTGTTTTGGGGAAATCATGGTAAACCAGCTGTGTTATTAAGGTAGTGGGTGGAATTTGTTTAGATTACACTCTCAGGCCAGAATTAGTCACACAGCTAATGGCCAAGGGTTTTCCTTTGAGTTGTAGGAGTTGAGAAAGTGGGAGCCAAGTTCCAGTCACATCCCTGGGCTGGCCCCATTCTGTGAAGACAGACTGGTTCCAGATGGGGCCTTTGGGGATAGAACCAATCTCAATGGACAACTGCTGGAGGCAGGGCTAACTGTGGGCCTGCACGGGCCCAACTGCATGTAAACTTAAGCTCTGCTACTTCTCAGCTTGTGTGATGCTGGGATGTTACTTGACCTCTATGTGGTCTGTTTCCTCATCTTTAAAACTTGACCAACCAGGAGATGGGAGCTGCAAGATTCTAGCTCAGTCTGAGGGTGAACTCTGTAACCATCTGACTGTCCATAGTTAGAAGGGACTGTCTTTGGTGGAACTCAACCCCTCTCCCCTGACACTGGCAGCAACCAAGGGAGTGACCACGTCAAGGAAGTGTTAGAGAAGAGACGCCTTCATGACTCGAATGTTGCAGTAAGATGACCCTTAATTCTCTTCCAGTTCAGAGATTATTTGAGCTGGTGGCCACCTGGTTACTGGGGCCCTCAACTGTGACAGCTCATTGCTCAAAGTCTGCCCCTTCTCTGAGGCTTGGGAGGAAAACAGTGCCCACCTCATGGCTGCGACCTATCCTTTTCTCCATCCCCAGTTTCCTCACCCAGGGGCTGCTACTGTCAGACCCTGGAATAAACTACTTTGCCCTTCTGGGTCTCTGTTCCTCATCTTCAAAATAGGGACAAACCTGGGCAACATGGTGAAACCCTGTCTCTACAGACGCATATAAAAAAATTAGCTGGGTATGTTGGCATGCAACTATAGTCCCAGCTACATGGGAGGCCAAGGTGGGAAGATAGCTTCAGCCCAGGAGATGGAGGCTGCAATAAGCTGTATTTGTGCCACTGCACTCCTGCCTGGGTGACAGAGTGAGACCTTGTCTCAAAATAAAATAAAACAGGGACAATATCAATAAGTATATTAGATAACATGTGTCCTATCCAGAGCTTGGCCCATGGCCCAAGGAAGTGGAGGTTAGTTCTGTCTACTCCTCTGGATATAAATAGCACACATTTCTCATCCACCTACAAAGAAGTCATAACCGTTTAGTGACCAGAAGTTTGTACACTTCAGATCAAGAGAGAGGTTATTCTGCTAGGGCAGGTAACCCAACTCTCCTTACCCTCTACCCCCAACCCTCATCAAGGGTCTCATAGGAGGCCCCCAGGCACTCAAAATCTAGAGGATGTGGCACCAGGCCCAGCAGTGGGCATGCAGCAGGTGCTCAATAGATACCTCTGGAGTGAACGACTGGAGCAAATATAGGTCTAGACACGTAGGGCCTGTGAGGTTTTCCTGACGGCAGGACCTACCCTTGCCACCCAACCCCCAGGAGCCCTTTCATATAAAGCTAAGCTTTTGGTACCCTTTCGCGATGTGGTTGCCTCTTCTGGAGGCACAACATGACAACCACTTCTGTGGTTGTCGAATGATAAATTCACATGTCAAAGGGGAACAGAACCTTAGAAGGCAGATTCAAATTCCACTTTACAGATGAAGCACTGTAGCCTGAAGAGTTTGGGTAGCTTTTGTAAGTCAGTGGTGGCACCAGCATCAGAGCCCAGGCAGGAGTCCTGACTCCCAGTCCAGTGCTCTTCCTCCTCTAGGTCCAGGCAGTACAAGCCACTCACTACCCTATGTGCAGAAACATCTATGTGCATAAGTGGCAAGGGCCAGGGCGTTCCCATCAGACTTCAGAGAGTGGGGGTGTCTCCCAGGGGCAAGGGTTATATCTTCTCTATCAGACTGGAGACTCCCACAGGTTAGCGCCCCAGAGAGTCTACTTAACAGACGCCTACTGTATGCCCATCGTTGTGAATACAGGGATAAACAACACTGGGTCTGTGCTCTAGAAAGGCTCAGAGTCTGAGGCAGGCTCCTTTCTCCTTTCTTTGCCCCCATCCCCAACCTCACACAGTGTAGGGGATGCGGAGTAGAGAGGGAGGTTGGTGTGGGGTCGAGCAGGGCCTGGGAACTCTGTGGGCTGCCCACAGCCAGGATAGTTCCTTGTCCTCTCCAAATCCCAGAGGGACACTCAGTGTCCAGGAGGAGGAAACTCTCCCCAGCTGTAGGCAACACCCCACCGGGGCCTTGGGGGCGGGACCAAAGGGCTGATCCTCAGCCCAGCCTCAGGAAAACATGACCCCCCACCTTGGATGACCGTCTCCCCACTGTCTGGCTGCTGGAGGTAGAAACTGGGTGGGTGCCCGAGCCCCAGCCCACTCAAGGCAGGGCTGGACTTGGAAAAAATCAAGCCAAGAGCAAACTTCAGCCAGGAGGGGTTTGCACTCCCTCCTTCTCCTGCTCTCAGGAGAGGGCCTGGCAATGGTTCCATCTGGTTGTGTCTGCCAGTTACTAGGTGTCTGGAACAGGCCATTTGGGAGGGAACTGTAGTCCCGGGACTATGCAGCAGCCCTGGCCCCCTGGGAGTCAGCCCTTCTCCAGCCCTGCCCCCAGCAGAAGGCAACTGTTTCCCTGCCCTGAGACAAGGCTAGTGCAGGTGAGGAGTGGCAGCTAGGGTCAGTGGGCAGGGTTCGATTGAGCCTCACATCCCCATTCATAACCAAGGAAAAGCCCAAATCATTTCTAAGCCTTTGTTTCCTCGTCTGTGAAATGGGAATAGTCAGACACTCTTTCCCTACCACTAAGGCCACCAGCAAGGACACAGTCAAGACCCAGCACTGAGAGCCCACTGGTCCCCAAGATTGGGACTGTCATGCCTGCTGCCTGGACATCCCAGACCATTCAGCCAATATCTGGCCTTGGGGAAAGAAAGAAACTGGCAGAGGGCCTGGGATAGTATTCATGGGGACTTCTGCCCACCCATCCCCCCATCTCCTCCTCCTCTTCCTGTCTGGTCCCTGGGGCAGAGTCAGAGATATTTCTGGCTGCCTCCTCCAGGCCTCTGGCTTCCCAGGCTCACACAAGTGGTCCCCACATCCCATCACTGCTTTGATGGAGTGAACTGGATGGGAGTTCCCTAGCAGGGGAGGCACATTTGTGTTGGCTCTGCAGATTCATACGTGAGGATCTATGCATATGTATCCTAAGGGGGAGAGAAGTTCCCCTGCCTCTTCCCACCTTCTACTTGGTCATTGTGAGCCACTCATTCTCCCTAAGAAGGCCTGCAGGTAAGGATGGGGAGCTAAACATCTGAATGGCAGATACCATTTTACACGTCTGGGCCTCAGTTTCCTCACCTTAGAATAGGTGGCAAGAGGAGATAATTATTAAGCTCCATTCCATCCCAAGCTCCACTTTTGGACCCATAGTTTTAGCTGGTCACCTAGAAAAGTTCTGTGTAGTGGGAAAAGTGCCATGGAGTGGGCAGCAGGAGGCCTGAGGCTGTCTGCTTCAAGCTACAAGACCCTGAGCACTTCCCTCCACTGTGAGAGGATTGAACCATATGAGCCTGAGGTGCCTTTCAGCTATGCCCTCCTGACACAAGGTGACTGCCCAGCATTTGTAGCACAGAGAGGCATCGGAGCACAGTGGTATGGCCCAGCACTTTGGGAGGCCGAGGTGAGAGGATCACTTGAGGTCAAGAGTTCAAGACCAGCCTGGCCAACAAGGTGAAACCCCGTCTCTACTGAAAATACAAAAATTAACCAGGTGTGGGTTACTCTGTCACTCTGGGTGACAGAGTGAGACTCCGTCTCAAAAAAAGAAACAAACAAACAAAAAAACCCCAAACCAACGAACCAAACAAACAAACAAAAACCGACAACAAAAAACACAGTGGTATGGGCATGCCCTCTAGCAGTCCCCAACCTTTTTGGCACCAGGGATTGGTTTTGTAAAAGACAGTTTTTCCACAGACAGCGGAGGGGAGATGGTTTCGGAATTATTCAAGCGTATTACATTTATTGTGCATTTTATTTCTATTATTATTATAACATATAATGAAATACTTACACAACTTGCCATAATGTAGAATCCATGGGTGTCCTGAGCTTGTTCTCCTGCAACTAAACAGTCCCATCTGGAGGTGATGGGAGACAGTGACAGATCATCAGGCATTAGATTGTCATAAGGAGCAGGCAACCTAGATACCTCCCACATGCAGTTCACAATAGGGTTCGCCCTCCAATGAGAATCAAATGCTGCTGCCACTGATCTGACAGAAGGCAGCACTCAGGCAGTAATGAGGATGGGGAGCGGCTGTAAATATAGATGAAGCTTTGCTTGCTCACTGCTCACCTCTGGCTGCGCGGCCTGGTTCCTAAGGTCCATGGCCCCAGGGTTGGGGACCCCTGCTTTAGAATCAGGCTGGCTGCATTCCAGGCCTAGGTCTGCCACTCTCTGGCTATGTGACTAAACCTCTTGGTGCTTCAGTCTCTTCATATATGAAATAAGGCCATTAATAATTTCTAATTCATAGTGTTGCTATAAGCAATAAATGGATAATATCCATGGGGGGAGAAATAATAGTATCTACTCCTGGGATTGTTGTAAGGACTTAGTATAAAGTGCTTACAACAGTGCCTGACACATAATGCAATTAAAGTGTTAGCTATTATTATTTCAGGAAGCCCTTCTTCCCATCCACAAGCATATGATCCCCTAGGCAGCCCCAATTCCTTTTCCCAGGATCTGGAGCCTCGCAGCAAGTGTGGAATTCCCATCCCCATCCCAAGTCAGGGGCTTTATGGGATGCTCATCTGCAAAGCAGGGTTGCTACCTTTCCCATTTTTCAGGAAGAAAATTGAGACTCAAAAAGAGATTGGACTGGCTCAGAGTCAGAGTCAGAAGCCCAAGCCAAATTAAAACCCTGGTCCTGTACCCCAGCCTGGCCCAATGTACTTGCTCCATTTCTGCCTTGTTCTCCAACCTGCCTGTCCCACTCCTCTGAGCTGAAGGGGTGAGGTGGGTATTCATTCTGCCCCAGCTTCTTCCTAGCTGAATGACCCTGGACAAGTTACCTAAAGTCTTTCAGCCTCAACCGGGATATTTCGGATACTGTCCCATGACTGTGAAATAGGTGTTATTATTGGCCCCATTTTATTTTTTAATTAATTTTTTTTTTTTGAGACAGATCCTCACTCTGTTGCCTAGGCTGGAGTGCAATGGCACGAGCTCGGCTCACTGCAACTTCAGCCTCCCGAGTTCAAGCTGTTCTCGTGCCTCAGCCTCATAAAGTAGCTGGTATTACAGGCACGTGCCACCACGCCCGGCTAATTTTTTTGTATTTTTAATAGAGACGGGGTTTCCCCATGTCGGCCAGGCTGGTCTCAAACTCCTGACCTCAGGTGATCAACCATTCTCGGCCCCCAAAAGAGCTGGGATTACAGGAATGAGCCACCGTTCCTGGCCTACTGGTCCCATTTGGAACATGAGGAACGGTTAGGACATTCGCACGAGGGCACACAGCTGGAAAGATGCAGGTGAAATGGGTATCTCCCTAGCAGCCCTCAGTGCGCCCGCACGCTGCAGGTGCACGGTATATGGTCACTATTATTGAGAGGTGACAGCATGCTGGCAGTCCTCAGAGCCCTCGCTTGCTCTCGGCACCTCCTCTGCCTGGGCTCCCACTTTGGCGGCACTTGTGGAGCCCTTCAGCCCACCACTGCACTGTGGGAGCCCCTTTCTGGGCTGGCCAAGGCTGGAGCCCACTCCCTCAGCTTGCAGGGAGGTGTGGAGGGAGAGGCGCGAGCGGGAACCGGGGCTGCGTGTGGCGCTTGCGGGCCAGCTGGAGTTCCAGGTGGGCGTGGGCTTGGCGGGCCCCGCACTCGGAGCAGTCAGCCAGCCCTGCTGGCCCCGGGCAATGAGGGACTTTGCACCCGGGCCAGTGGCTGCGGAGGGTGTACTGGGTCCCCCAGCAATGCCAGCCCACCGGCGCTGTGCTTGATTTCTCACCGGGCCTTAGCTGCCTTCCCGCAGGGCAGGGCTCAGGACCTGCAGCCCGCCATGCCTGAGCCTCCCATCCACTCCATGGGCTCCTGTGCGGCCCGAGCCTCCCCGACGAGCACTACCCCCTGCTCCACGGTGCCCAGTCCCATCAACCACCCAAGGGCTGAGGAATGCGAGCGCATGGTGCAGGACTGGCAGGCAACTCCACCTGCAGCCCTGGTGCAGGATCCACTAGGTGAAGCCAGCTGGGCTCCTGAGTCTGGTGGGGACGTGGAGAGTCTTTATGTCTAGCTCAGGGATTGTGAATACACCAATCGGCACTCTGTATCTAGCTCAAGGTTTGTAAACACACTAATCAGCACCCTGTGTCTAGCTCAGGGTTTGTGAGTGCACCAATTGACACTCTGTATCTAGCTGCTCTGGTGGGGCCCTGGAGAACCTTTATGTCTAGCTCAGGGATTGTAAATACACCAATTGGCACTCTGTATCTAGCTCAAGGTTTGTAAACACACCAATCAGCACCCTGTGTCTAGCTCAGGGTTTGTGAGTGCACCAATCAACACTCTGTATCTAGCTGCTCTGGTGGGGCCTTGGAAAACCTTTATGTCTAGCTCAGGGATTGTAAATACACCAATCGGCACTCTGTATCTAGCTCAAGGTTTGTAAACACACCAATCAGCACCCTGAGTTTAGTTCAAGGTTTGTGAGTGCACCAGTCGACACTCTGTATCTAGCTGCTCTGGTGGGGCCTTGGAGAACCTGTATGTGGAAACTCTGTATCTAACTAATCTGATGGGGACGTGGAGAACTTTTGTATCTAGCTCAGGGATTGTAAACCCACCAATCAGCGCCCTGTCAAAACAGGCCACTTGGCTCTACCAATCAGCAGGATGTGAGTGGGGCCAGATAAGAGAATAAACGCAGGCTACCCGAGCCAGCAGTGGCAACCCGCTCATATCCCCTTCCACACTGTGGACGCTTTATTCTTTTCCTCTTTGCAATAAATCTTGCTGCTGCTCACTCTTTTGGGTCCACACTGCTTTTATGAGCTGTAACACTCACCGTGAAAGTCTGCAGCTTCACTCCTGAGGCCAGCGAGACCACAAGCCCACTGGGAGGAACGAACAACTCCAGACACGCTGCCTTAAGAGCTGTAACACTCACAGCGAAGGTCTGCAGCTTCACTCCTGAGCCAGCGAGACCATGAACCCACCAGAAGGAAGAAACTCCAAACACATCTGAACATCAGAAAGGACAGACTCCAGACACGCTACCTTAAGAGCTGTAACACTCACCTCGAGGGTCCGCGGCTTCATTCTTGAAGTCAGACCAAGAACCCACCAATTCTGGACCCATTATTACCATTTCTTCTAAGGATATGAGTGATCACACAGGTCTCCAGATGCCCTCCGGGCCTGCAGCCATACAGCCTGCGGGCCACCACATCACATGAGCCATACTATCTTTAGCCAGGGAGAGATATTTATAGCCCCCAGGGAAGTTTTTTGCTCCAGGGGAGCCCCAGAGTTGGTGGCTGGCTAACCCAAGGCCCCAGCGGCAGCCTCCGCCCGGCCAGCTCGCCATGGCACGGGGTCCACAGACCCTGGTGCAGGTGTGGGTGGGCGGCCAGCTCTTCCAAGCCGACCGCGCCCTGCTGGTGGAGCACTGTGGCTTCTTCCGAGGCCTCTTCCGCTCCGGCATGCGGGAGACCCGCGCAGCAGAGGTGCGCCTGGGCGTTCTGAGCGCGGGAGGTTTCCGCGCCACGCTGCAGGTGCTGCGCGGCGACCGGCCGGCGCTGGCGGCGGAGGACGAGCTGCTGCAGGCCGTGGAGTGCGCCGCCTTCCTCCAGGCGCCGGCGCTGGCTCGCTTTCTGGAGCACAACCTCACGTCGGACAACTGCGCATTGCTGTGCGACGCGGCCGCCGCCTTCGGCCTGCGCGACGTGTTCCACAGTGCCGCGCTCTTCATCTGCGACGGCGAGCGCGAGCTGGCGGCCGAACTGGCGCTGCCTGAGGCCCGCGCCTACGTGGCGGCCCTGCGGCCCAGCAGCTACGCGGCCGTGAGCACGCACACGCCCGCGCCCGGCTTCCTGGAGGACGCCTCGCGCACGCTGTGTTACCTGGACGAGGAAGAGGACGCGTGGCGCACGCTGGCTGCGCTGCCCCTGGAGGCCAGCACGTTGCTGGCCGGGGTGGCCACGCTGGGCAACAAGCTTTACATCGTGGGGGGCGTGCGCGGCGCCAGCAAGGAGGTGGTAGAGCTGGGCTTCTGCTACGACCCCGACGGCGGCACGTGGCACGAGTTCCCCAGCCCGCACCAGCCGCGCTATGACACAGCGCTGGCCGGCTTCGACGGCCGCCTCTACGCCATCGGCGGCGAATTCCAGAGGACGCCCATCAGCTCCGTGGAGCGCTACGACCCAGCCGCGGGCTGCTGGAGTTTCGTGGCCGACCTGCCGCAGCCGGCCGCCGGCGTGCCCTGCGCCCAGGCTTGTGGCCGTCTCTTCGTGTGCCTGTGGCGGCCGGCCGACACCACCGCCGTGGTGGAGTACGCAGTGCGGACCGACGCGTGGCTGCCAGTGGCCGAGCTGCGGCGTCCGCAGAGCTATGGCCACTGCATGGTGGCCCACCGCGACAGCCTCTATGTGGTGCGCAACGGACCTTCCGACGACTTCCTGCACTGCGCCATCGACTGTCTCAACCTGGCCACGGGCCAGTGGACGGCGCTGCCCGGCCAGTTCGTCAACAGCAAGGGAGCGCTCTTCACGGCCGTGGTGCGCGGTGACACCGTCTATACGGTCAACCGCATGTTCACGCTGCTCTACGCCATCGAGGGCGGCACCTGGCGGCTGCTCAGGGAGAAAGCCGGCTTCCCGCGGCCCGGCTCCTTGCAGACCTTTCTCCTAAGGCTGCCTCCTGGCGCTCCTGGGCCTGTGACTTCGACAACGGCAGAACTGTGACCTCTGGGCTGGCTTTAGGAGGGAGGAGACGCCGCGACTCCTCCCTGAGCTATGGCTGAGTGTGTGAGGCCGGCCTTAGAAGTAGCTGGCAACTTCCCTCTTTCTACTGAGACACCCAGGTTTGGTGCCTTCTGGTGGTGTGGACATGTTCAAGAAGCTCAGGGAGCAGTGATGATGCCCTCAAATTACTTGGGCTCTGCTGAGAGCTGGTGGGTCACAATGTCAGTGAACAGGGTAGGGGGAGTTGGGATTTGAATAATCCGGGCTTATATGTAATGGGCTAGTGATTGAGCATCGCTGGGAGCGACTTAAATGATGTTAATCAAACTGCAAGTAGTAGGCAAGAATTAGGCACCTACTGTATGCCCAATACAGTGTTATGCGTAATGAGAGCCGTAGTTGCCACACAGGGATCCAGGAAGCTTAAAGGATAACCCAGAAAACAATCTTAACAGTTACAGGACAACAAAAAGGTTTACACACAACTTGATCCACAGAGTTGAAGGCAACATGCAAAAAAATTTAAAACCGCATACAATATAATAAAATAAAGTGCTGAAGAAATCAGGGCAAAGGGAAAATAGGAAGAGAAAAAATATATAACTCCAGAAAAGAAGAGAGTGTGCAAACTCTATGGAGGAGATGAGCAGGATACCATTAGCTGCTGAAAGGGGAGGCTTAGACCATGGAGGCTGAGAGCTCAGAAGAGAAGCAGGGTTGGGGAAGGCTGGAGCAGATGGGGAGGGTCTCTGCAAGTCCAGCCATACCAGCAGAGCAGCAGTAGTTGGGGCATCTAGAGAGGGGATGAGACTGGGCCAGCTTGCAGCAGATAATGACTGAGCTGAGCCTGGAGTGAGACCTGTGGGGGCGAGAGGATTCTTCACGTTCCTTTTTGGAACCCTTAGGGGAGCACCCAGGTGTAAGCCCTTGCCCACCCTGTTTTTGCCATCACCACGGGGCAGTGGACTGTTAACCCACATGACTTCAGGTCAGTTGAGGTATGAGCCAAATCCTGCCTCATCTTCCTCAGTTGTAGCCCCTCCTCCACATTCTACAGGTTTGTTCTCTTCCTGTCCTATTCTGCCCTTTGCAATTCCCTGGGCTGGAATGCCTAGTCTCCTCCTCTCTCCCTGTCAGTGCTCTACCATCCTCTGTGCAGCATTGGCTCACCCAGCTCTTCGTTTTCCTGACCTGGGCTGCCTGCATTGCTCATTGGACCCCTGGCTGTAACATCATTGTGTGTGCACAACCACGTGTGTGGATTGTAAGGGCAGAGATCCTGTTAAGTGAGCTGGGGGACTTCCCTGTCCCAGATTAAAATGATGATGCCTTGAAAGAACCCAGGCTACAGAGGCCACTAGTTAGGAACCTAGTGCTGACCTCTGTTGTTGGATGAGGACTCTCGTTCCTTCATCAAAATCCCCAGCTCTGGCTTCTGGGCAGATGCCTGTCCCAGCCCTTTCCAGCCTCTCCATGGCCTTGGGAAGACTTCTCTGGGTGGTTCTCATTGGTCTCCATCCCCCAGGACCTGAGGCCCATGGGGAATCTTGGCCTCGTCAGAAGTGGAGAATGCAGTGTCAGCATGACACCTCCGGGGCATGGAGGCTCGCGCCAGGGCTGCACCTAGCTGCCTCTTCTCCTGGCCTATGTCCCAACCCTGGAGAATGCTGCCCTCAGAAGCCTGGGACCTTCCAGCCCTGGAGTAGCCTAGTCTGATAAGTCTCAACAATAAACCCTGACTTTTGCATCTTGTGAATTATGTGCAAGGTACTTTCACATCTGACTTCCCCCTCCCGACCTACCTTGGGCCTGGGAGTTGGGTACCCTCTTCTTGTGGCAGAAACTGACCCACTGGCCCAAAGCCACACAGCATAGCAACAAGAGTTCCTCACTTGTAGTTCTATCAAAGTGTAATTCATTCATTCTTTTTTTTTTTTCTTTTTGACACAGGGTCTTGCTTTGTCAGTCTGGAGTACAGTGGTAAAATCATGGCTTACTGCAGCCTTAACCTCCTGGGCTCAGGTGATCCTCCTACCTTAGCCTCCCCAGTAGCTGGGACTACAGGTGCACACCACCACACCTAGCTAATTTTTATAATTTTTTTTTTGAGACAGAGTTTTGCTGTAGTTGCCCAGGCTGGGGTGCAATGGTGTGATCTCAGCTCACCCCAACCTCCACCTCCCAGGTTCAAGTGATTCTCCTGCCTCAGCCTTCCCAAGTAGCTGGGATTATAGGCATGCGCCACCAAGCCTGGCTAATTTTGTATTTTTAGTAGAGATGGGGTTTCTCCATGTGGGTCAGGGTGGTCTTGAACTCCTGACCTCAGGTGATCCGCCCACCTCGGCCTCCCAAAGTGCTGGGATTACAGGTGTGAGCCACCACGCCCGGCCAATTTTTATACAATTTTTTTGTAGAGGTGGAGTCTCACTGTGTTGCCCAGGTTGGCCTTGAACTCCTGGGCTCAAGCAATCCTCCTGCTTGGCTTCCGAAAGTTCTGGGATTACAGGCATGAGCCACTGTACCTGGCCTCAAAGTGTAATTCATATCACACATCAAAGATTTATTTAACTCACCTGTAAGAGAACCAAAAAGAATGGCAAAGCTGATTGAAAAGAGCATTTGAGAGACAGATTTGTATATTTAGTTGGAAGAGACATACTAAAATAAGTTTGCTAAGTTAGAGACAAAACTGGCATATGCCTTACAGGACAAAAGCATAATTTTTTTGGTTCTCTACTGAACAAAAATCCTTTGCATCTTTACATACATGCATGTACATATTTGTGCATATGCCTACAAGTTAGCATGTAACTTCACAAAGTCTGGGCTCTAATCTATAGTAAATTGTAAGGCAAAGGTACATTCCCCTTGAAAATTAAATAACTCTTCTCTGTTCAAAGTGTCCCAAAGTGACATTGAAAGGAAATAATCCTTCTTTTGCCTTACTTCCAAGTTACAGATAACTTTCATAACAGTACAGAGCATTTTCCTCCTTCCTCCTGACCAGTGCTGAACACCTGAGACTTGCCACATGATAATCCATCAGCTCCTAGTCTCTCTTATCCCACAGCATTGTCTGCACTTGGGGCTGCTTAGCCCCAGCCTGCTGGCTCCTGGCATTTGGTTGTTCCTCCCTTCATCCAGGGCAGCCCTTTCTGAGATGCCTTTTGTGCGTAATAATAACACAGTGTTCACAGAGAGCTTTCCCACAGTTGACTTACTTGAGCTTTTGAGAATTTTAAGTGGCAGATAGTTTGGCAACACCCCTACTCCCGCAGCTTAATGGAGGGAAAAAAGCTCAACGGTCATGTGATTAGAAGAGGCTCGTTAGGTAGTGGCAGAACCTGGCTGTGAACCCAGGGCCACAGGCTTGTCTTCTGTGCTACATGCCTGCTTGGCCGACATCCTGAGATGGACAGGGTGTTTCCAATGGTCTCCTTAACACTCCCTCCGTTTTGCCTTTCTCTATGTATCCCCACCTCTTTTGGGGGTTCGTTTGTTCCCTTGGACTCAGCCCTTTCTCTTCCCTCTTCCATAGGAAAGTTAACTAGTTCTCTTCCCTTAGGATAGACCTGGGAGACCAGTAGCCCCGTTCAGCCCAGGTAATGACTGGTTTAGGCCCTGGGGGATATTTGCACGTTCACTGATACTTCCCTCGTCTCAGGAAGTGTGGGGAAGCTTTGTAACCCAGCCCACCTTCTCTGTCTAAGGGTTCTCACAGTTAAGGCTTTGTTCCACCCACAGTCAGCATGTGTCACCACTGCCCACCACCCTCAGCAGGGATGGTGACTGTGCCTGGGGTGCCTGTGAGGAAACCAGCAGAAAGCCAGAATGGCTGGCTCACCCAGAGTCACACAGGCAGTTAAGTGGAAGAGCAGGGACTTGAACTCAGGACTTGGGATTCTCAGCCTCTCATTCCCCGGCATCTCGGCTTGACTATTGCATGAAGGTGTGGGGGGCACAAACCAGGTGCAGCTGGGCAAATTACAGAAACACTTAGGAGTTACTGAGCTCAGAGGGCTGGATTTGAAATCTCTCTGTCCCAGCCCAGAGGTTTACTCTGAGAAGTCCGTCCTTTCTGAGAGGCCTACACTCACACAGCTTAAAGCTGCAGGGATCATTTTCCTGAACCTGGTGGCAGCCCTGCAGCCCAACTCTCTGGAGTTCTCTCCAGTCTTCCACAAACGTTCTCCTTGCCCCTGACTCCAGATGTCCTGCACCCCAAGCCTTCCTCTCCCTGAAATCATCCTATGTGGTTTATATAGCCCGCCTGGCAGAGGCAGAGAAGCTGCCCCACCCCTGTCCACCAAGGACCTGCTTCCTTGCTGGCTTCCCTTCAGTGTGCTCACAGGGCAGCCAGAGCCATCCTAGTTCAACAAAATGCCAGTCAGAGCCTGGTGCGCCCCCTCTGAAAGGCAAAGTCCTTTCAGACTCTCCCACCCTGTTTCCTCCCTGACTTCATCTCCTCCCACTCCTCTCTGGCCTCATTGCTCCTCAGACGCACCAGGCACACTCCGGGCTCAGGGTGTGTGGCTGGTGTCCCTCTGCCTGCGCACTGCCTCAGCCCCACCCCACTTCCTGCAGGTCTTGGCTCAGATGTCACTTCGATCCTACAGACTCTCCTAACCTCCCTACTTAAAATCTACCTCCCCCTTCTCTACATGTTCTCCTCCCTTTTCCTGTTTTATTTTTCTGCATAGCTTTTAGCATCATCTTCCATGCTATCTTTTCACTTGTTTGCTGTTGGTTTTCTCCTACTAAAATTTGAGCTCCACGAAGGCAGAGGGTTTTTTCTGTTTTGTTCACTGCTCTCTCATCAGGACCCAGAAAAATGACTAGAACGTAGTAGGCAGCTTAAGAGATGATTTATTTAGTAGGGACTTAAGAAATATTTGTTGAATGAATGAATGGCACTCAACGGATGTTTGTTGAAAGAATGCATTAATGAATTGATCAGTCAATCAAGGAAACTCCATAGGAAAGGTACAGAGAAAGGCTCTCAGATTTCAGAGGACAGGAGTATCATTTCTGGCAGGGCTGTGGCAGGTGGCCAGGGAAGACTTTTCTGTGGAGGTGACGAGCTGTCAAGTTTGCAGTCCACCTTGGGAAGAGTGGGATCTGAAAAGAGCAGCCGCTCACCGGTCACTTTTCTTTCAAGGGAAGGGAGGAAGCTGGGATTAGAAATGCTAATCATCCCTTGAAGAATGGCTCCTCTTGGCGGCGGAATACACACAGGGCTGCTCTGTTTATTTTCCTTTGGCCTCAAGGAGCTGGGGCCTCTTTTTCATCCTAATTGCTTTGCTTCAAGTTGCTGTCACATCCCAGGAACGGCAGCAAATTAACTGTGCTGGTGGGAGACACAGCTGTCAGAAGACAGGCTGGCCCCAGCAGGCCAGTAATAGGCATGGGATACAGGACCCCCCTAGAGGAGGTCTTGTCCCAGCAGCGTCCTCTGCAGCCCTCATGATTCTGCCCCAGCTGGACTGGGGAAGCATGAAAAGAGGGAGCCCTTCTCTCTGGCATTCGAGTAACTAACAAAGGGAAAATGGGCCTTTTGTTGGGCTGCAGGGTCTTGGAGCAGGGTATAAGCCTCTAGTTCCACCCCTCTCTTCACAGGGAAGGAAAGCCAGGTCGCAGGTTAGGGGAAAGCAACTTTCCTGGAGACAAAGCAATGCAAGTGGACCACCCAACCTAAAGCCTGCTTCTCTGGAATCCTCCTCCCATCCTAACATGTTATTTCCTGTGCTGCCTTCCAGGGCACTCATGAAAGAGCTTCCCCATGGTGACCCATCATCAGGCTGCCCTCCCTGATTCCAGGCTTCCATCCTTATTTTTTCTAGGAAAGTTCCTCTACACACACACCCCATTCAGCACGCAGATTCAGCAGATGGAGACAAAGGAGTTAGTCTCTAATGGTATTTGGGCACCTGGGCCCTTCAGATCACACACTCATGCGTACACACACACAATTTTGCCAACTCTATAGGAGGTCAGAAACCATTCGCCCAACATGCTTCTCTTTCCAGGTAACATATTTTCATTCTAACAGGAGTCTTACAAAAATACGCCTAACTGCAAAGTCCTGATTAGCAAAGGTAATTTCAGGTGCTCAGAGAGGGAGCTAGCACTGGGTTGCGGTGGAAACGAGGGACTGAGGACTTTGTAGGTGCCACTCTGCAGAGGGACAGTGCTGCCTGCCTGCCAGCTGATTTTGCAGTCAAATGCTGGCTCTGACAGGGACTTCTGTTTGACCATGGGTAAATTCCTTAAAGTTGCTGAAATGAATGAAGGTGTCTCAACTCTAACCGGAGATGATAATTCCAGGAGGGTTGTCCTGAGAGTGAAATAAGAGCTTCTAGACCAGCATACGCAATCCTCACCTTCCAAGTTCCTTGCCCTGGTTCCTCTTCACACTTTCCCCTCCACCCATTATTGACACCCTTACTGTTTGGAAGGCACAGTTTTGGTGAATGGACTGTGTTCCAGCAGTCTGTGCTTATCGCTCATGACACAGCAGGATGGCATCCAGGGGACCTGGGTCCATATTCCAGCTCCACTTGCCAGCTGTGTGATGTTGGGCAAATGGAGATGATGATGAGAGACTGTTATAGAGTCTCTGTGCAGATTATGTGAAGTGCCTGTAGTGGGGCCAGAGAAATAGGCTGGAGTCTGAGTGTGAAGAGCCTTGAATGCCAGGCTGGAGAACTTGGGCTTTATTCTGTAGGAAGTGGGGAACCACAGTAAGTTTTTGAGGCAGTAAGTGTGACCGACAGAGCTGCTTTTTGTATTCAGATAGCAAGCCCCTCATCCAGCCCTGGGCTGACGGCTCCTTGTCCCTGCAGATCAGCTTGTCCCTCCAGATCAGCTCCTTTCTCCTGCTCCGCACCCCGAGAGGTGGTCCTGTCTGGGTGATATCACTGGACTCCCTTGACTGGCTCCCAGTACAGAGCAGCAGCAAAAGGTGGGAAGTGGGGAGGCGTATGGAGTCAGGGAACTTAGTTCCTGGCTCCCTCCCTGTGGGGTGATCTTGCACTGACCTTTTTCCTTCACTGACTCAAGTCCCCGCCACTGTCAGCTGGTCTTTTCCTTACAGCCGTCTGTCTCCAGGCTGAGGTGGCTGCCCCCTTCCCTCCTGCGCAGACGCAGGAGTGGTGAAGCCCCAAGCTCACTAGCCTGGTGCTATCCCTTAGGGGCCCTCCACCCTTTGTGAACAGCCTCTTTCCTCAACCCTCCTCTAGTGACCTGATTTGAGTGTGCCATCTCTTTCCTGTCAAGACCCTGCTGGACATGTGCCCTGTCCCCTCTGACCCTCAGCTCTCTGGGCTGTGTTACCAAGTGGCTTGGCTGGGGCACAGTGTACTGGAAAATGCCCATCTCAGTGCCTCTGCCTGATCACACAGTTATGGGAACCAGAGGAATGTCTTACAGGCAGAGGTGGCGCCTCCGTGACCGGAAGCCAGGGCCTTGCCTCCCAAGGCACTTGAATTTGAGGGGGAAAAGATTGACCTTTAGAAGCTCTCCGAGGAGTGGCTGGGAATGGAAACAGAACCAGATGGCATGAGCTCCAGAGTGCACAGCTTCTGTCACCCCCTCCCAAGTGAGGGGCCAGGCAGGCCTGCAGCCCCGGCCTCCACCACCCTGGCTGGACCGGACCATTACAAGATTTATCCAAGGGGTCCTGCAAGGTACATAGAGGGAGCCCTGGGGATCCTTGCTTCAGGCCCAGCCCTGCCACCTGTTTGCTGGGTGACATGGGGCTGGTTGCATCACCTTTCTGAGCCCCAGTTTGTATCTGTGGTTGAGATGTGTCTGGTGCATACATTTGCTGTGGGGTCAGGTGGGGGAACGTGTGTGCCGGCTCACTGTGAAGGGAGCCAGTGTAGTGGCAGGGAGGCTCCAGCTGCGGCTCAGACTTCCTGGATTCTAATCCAGTTCTAATACTTTCTGACTGTGTGATCTTGAGCAGTTGCTTAACCTCTCTGAGCCTCAGGTGGGCATCTGTCAGGACAGCAGAACCTAAACTGAAAGGGCTGTTGGGAGAGTAAATGAGAGAGAGCGCAGACAGGGCGTAGAGCAGAGCCTGGCTGTCAGTGTCAGTGAACCAGAAACCTCCCTGCCCTCAGGCATGGGCAGTGGAGTATCTTGGCGATAGCAGTCAGTCTGACTTCAGATGGAGAAGGCAATTAATGACTGCCTGGTGTAGTTGGGAGCCCCAAAGAGTTTTGGCCTTGAAAGGATCTCTCATCATTCCTCCTGATTAGGGCATTGTCTGCAGAATATGACTCTAGGGACAAAGGCTGGTGCCCCCTCTGGTGGAGGGAGGACAGTGCTTTGCTGGACAGGCAAGTGTGTGAGTCCTCTCACCTGTGCAGGCAGCCTCCCCAGCCCTGGGTCTGACTGAAGATCCAGATGCTAAGAACTTGGCATCCCTGTGACCCATGGGCCCCAGCTCTGTAACTGAGGTCCCTGCACTCCTGGGGAGCTAAAGACGCTTCTCTTAGGTTCAGTCTCCTACCTTGAACCCCCAAAACAGCTCTGGACTGCCTCTAGGCGGTCTCATGGGCCACCTGCCCCCACCAGGCCTGGGGTTGATATGACAAATCAAAGCTCCTCATCACAGGCACGGGGTGGTGGCTTCCTTGCCCAGCAGCACCCACTGCTCTCCTCAGAGTTCAATCTGCTCCACTGCCGAGTGTGGCCACTGCTGCTGGCCTGCTCAAGGACAGCAACGCACACTTGTCTCTGCTTGCCTTGCTGCCATACAAAAGGTGCCATGTGGTTTCCAAAGGAGCACAGCACAGGGGGTGTGAACCAGCTGGAACCTCACTCCCTTCCATGGGCACCAGGGGGCCTGTGCAGATCAACACCAGGACCCTCCCAGCAACGACAGGGATCCCTTCTTCAGCCCCAGCCCTGCAGTCCTTCCAGGCTCTGAAGTCTGGGTGCTGAGGAACGGGGGTGGCTGCCTTGTTTCTCGGAAATCACCTCACTAGTAGTCATCCCAAGTACTAGACCTTCCTTGAATCCCTTCTGGCGGGTCTTTCAGCTGGAGTTCAGTGACAACCCTTTGGAAGGCAGCTCGCTTTCAGCATGGGCCACTCCTCAGGTGACTCTCCTGGGCCCCCCTCTCCCCCCACTCTTTTTCTTATTCTTCTTTCAGCAAACACTCTGTGCACATCCTCTAACCAGAAGCTGTGCCAGGCGCAGGGGCAGAGAGACAAGCCAGGTTCAGCCCCTGCCCCCAGGGCCTCACAGTAGAGCGAAGGAGGCAGCCAGCTCCTGCAGCAGTTAGGACCACAAGGTGAGCTCCCTGATGGAGATAGCGTCCCTCCTGGTGGCAGCCTCAGCCCAGGGTTCCCTCATCCAGCTTAACATAACTTCCTGTAAGTTCACAGGGAGACAGCACACACTCTCTGCCCCACTTGACTGCCACTGCCTTTACTTATGTTCTCTTGCACTCAGCAGGGTGCTTTGGTTGTCAGCCAGGGAAACCTTTGGCTAAGTTCAGGAGAACAGGATCTTACTGGAAGGACTTTGGGTAGCTCAGTGCTCCCTGGGAAGGCCAGCACACCTGGCTGGAAATGGACAGTCCACAGCATCGGGAGCTGCACACAGTCCCACTGAGGCTGCCCCAGAACGTGTATACTCAAGATTCCAGCGCTCCAGCCCGGTGTTGGACTGGCCTTGTGTGGGCACCATGCGCTCACCCCCTAGACAGAGGACCACAGGGCACTCTAACAACACAAGAAGATGGCCCACAGCTGGGGGAGGGTCACCTCCCCCAACTTCAGTGGGTGTCACTTAAGGGGAAATGGCCCGCACAGGGCCTGCTGGAGTTCTTAGAATCGTTCAGCTGCTGGAGTATTTGGGATATGTGGCTAAGTCACACCCTGGGGCTGTCAGTCCTGGGTCCCTGGCTCCCAAGCACCCTGGCATTCATCCTTCTGCCCTCATCTGGCACCCAGTTAATGTCTCTGCTCAACCTGGAAACATTTTCTTAACGACAAAAAAATAAAATCATAAGTTAAAAATCTCGAGCAGTAAAACAGCAGATGACGTTGTGTGGGCAGCTGCCCAGAGGACACAGAACGCACGTCTCCTGAGCGGGTGGCCTTATAAGGACAGGTTCAGGAGGAGAATGGGCAGGAGGGAGGGCCACCCACCAGGAGAGTAGGAGGCTGGGGTAGTGGTGGGTGCCCCACCACTGGGCTGAGTGTGGAGCCAGCAGGGTGCCTGGCCAGGACCTGACTCCACAGAGGGACTTGGCTGCGTGCAAGAGCCAGAGGCCCTTGTGGGCCAAAGCCTGCCCGTCCCTCCGCCTTCACTGTGTCACTGCCAGCACAGGCACTGACCTGCTCTCAGCCAGCTGCCACGCAAACCCACCTGGCAGCCTCACCCTGGGAACCCCCTCCCTCCAGGGCAGGGGCCATTTCCTATCCTTCATCCCACCTTCCCCCACTCCTGGGCCCAGCAGGCCTAGCACCAGCTGGCATGACGTGCAGTAAAGGTTTGTGGGGTGACAGAATTAGGAAATGAAGGGTTCTCTGGTAGAAGTTTTGGCTCATCACCTGGGCTATAGCACCTGGAACTCAGGGCAGCGTCTTCTCTCCTCAGACGGCCCAACGTGGGGCTGAGGAGGTGGGTAGGGCTGGGCAGTCAGTTTTTGCCCTGCCCAGGATCACCTTTGTCCCCATTGTGAAGACACACATACCATCAACGTCCTCCTGATAGGGTGGAAGAGTTTCACTCCCCCGAGGTCAAAGTGTGTGTGTGTGACAGAATATGTGTGTTTCTGGGAGAGTCCTGATTGTCTCTGCACTTTTCTGACCCCAGCATCACTAGGATTAAAGACCTGGCCCTTGGGATCTGAGGGTGAGCAGAGGAGCGCCCCAGGAGGTCCTATACTGAGGGAAGGACTCTGGAAGCCTCCCCAAACCCTCATTTGGAAAGATCCTTCCCTGAGCTTCCTAAAGCCCCACGTTCCTCTCGGGGTGAGTCCTGCATAGACACAGAATGGATGGTCATTTGAAGAGAGCTGAGAAGGTCACGCCTTCCCTTTGACAGCTTGCACTGTACCTAAAACCCCATCATTTATGAGCCATTATCCTTAAATAAGCATTGCCTTGTCCCATAAGTTCTCTCTTAAAAGGCAAAGAGTGTTCCCTGCAGAGGTCAACAAAGGAATTCTTTAATCTCCAGATAAGACAGGAGGACAGAGCAGCTAGAGGCAGCCTAGGCAGCCTGGGCAGCATGGGGGATGGAGAGTGGAAGGAAAGGGCTGAGAGGGCAGGAGGGTCCCAGAAGAGGGAAGTGGCTCCTTACCTCAGTTGATCCTTGGAGGCCAACAGTGACCTGAGAGTGTGTTCCCTCCCCCCAGAGTGGAAGGGTCAGGGCTGATAGGAGGTGCTGGCAGCCCCTCAGCTGGCGCTGCTCCCATGCCAGAAGAATGTCATCAGCTGCGGAAGGTTGACTTGAGATGAAGCAAGAGAGCAGAGGTGAGAGAGGATCGGCGGCAGCTGTGTGTGCTGGAGCCTGCCTGGAGGCCCAGCCTTGTATAATACAAATACAAGACACAAGGAAACCCCCTGATACAATTGTCTGAAATGCCACCATTACACATATATTATTTTGGGTTAAGCAGTGCCTCTCTGTGGTAGGCTGAATAATGGCCCCCCAAAGACATCCACGTCCTAATTCCTAGAACCTGTGAATCTGTTACTTGGACTTTGTAGGTGTGATTAAGGATTTTTTTTTTTTTTTTGAGGTGAAGTCTCACTCTGTCACCCAGGTTGGAGTGCAGTGCTACAATCTCAGCTCACTGCAACCTCCACAATTCTCCTGCCTCAGCCTCCCAAGTAGCTGGGATTACAGGCACGCGCCACGACGCCCAGCTAATCTTTGTATTTTTAGTAGAGACAGAGTTTCACCATGTTGGCCAGGCTGGTCTCGAACTCCTGACCTCAAGTGATCCACCTGCCTCGGCCTCCCAAAGTGCTGGGATTACAGGTGTGAGCCACTGCACCCGGCCGTGATTAAGGATCTTGAGGTGGGAGATTGTTCTGGATTATCTGGGTGGGCCCAGTGGAATCACGAGGGTCCTTCTAAGAAGGAGGCAGAAAGTCAACCAGATAGAGGGCACTGTGCACATTTCCCCAGAAAGGGAACACCTAAAGGCCTTGAGATCTCAGCCCGAATGGGTTAGGAGACATCCCTCCTGTCAGAGTCAAAAGGCTGCCTTCAGCCTGCTCCACTGGGCCTCTGCGGGAACATGGTGGGGACCCAGAAGAGGAGACAAAGCATAAGGGGACAGGAGGGAGAGCAAGAACCAGGGCAGAACTCGCTTCATTCTCCTTACATGGGCCAGGCCTTGGCTTGCTCCTGGAACCTGGACCCTGCCATCCTCCTGACCTCCTCTCTGAGGGTCCTCTTGTCCAGACCATGCTTGAGTGTGTCAACTGCTGCTGTTTCAAGGACGCACCAAGGCAGCCACCTGATCCTTAGTATTAACTGTAAAGATTGTCCTTCTCCCAGGTGGCACTCCCAGAATCCTCTGCTCCAGCCAGATACCTTCGTTAACCCTGCTGACCTGAGAGGCAGCGAGTGGTTCTCCCAGGGTTTCTGAGTTTGATGATAAATGCTGGAGGTTTGTTAACCATAAAAGTGATGAGGAGGATGATCATAGTAAAGGTAATGATGATGGAATGAGGCAGGGTATAAATATGTATAAATAAGTGGCTACTGGATACCATGGCACAATCTTCCTGCACACTATCCTGCTCAATCATCACAACTGGAAAGTTTCAGTATCTGTATTTTATGGATAAGACACTGAGGCACAGAGAGGCTATGTGATGTTCAAAAGGTCACACGGCTGGTTAGTGCTAAGGCTGTAGTTTCAGCCCACATCTGACTTCAGAGTTCGTGCCCCTAACTACCACACTATTGTACCTCCTAAAAAATATTTTAAATGAACAATTTGCCCACTGATGTCTCTCTTTTTTTTCTGGAGACAGACTCTCACTATGGAGTGCAGTGGCACTGTGGTAGCTCACTATATCCTCAAACTCAAGCAACCTTCCTGTCTCTAATGTCTGATTTTTTTTTTTTGAGACGGAGTCTTGTTCTGTCGCCAGGCTGGTGTGCAATGGCTCAATCTTGGCTCACTGCAACCTCCGCCTCCCGGGTTCAAGCGATTCTCCTGCCTCAGCCTCCCGAGTAGCTGGGATTACAGGCATGCACCACCACACCTGGCCAATCTTTGTATTTTTAGTAGAGACGGGGTTTTGCCATGTTGGCCAGGCTGGTCTCAAACTCCTGGTCTCAAATGATCCGCCCGCCTCGGCCTCCCAAAGTGCTGGGATTACATGGGTGAGTCACCACACCTGGCCAGATGTCACATTTTTAATCAAGCAACAGTTTGCTAGGGATGGGCAGATTTGAGGCATGTGGGAGAAAGATAGGAATTATGGATGGGCCTGTCAACTGGTCGCCTCTAATCAAGGGGACTTAGTAAAGTGGTGGACCAAGGCCAGGTTACCTTAATCAGAACATAAATAGCTTTGGACCTAACATTGCATCTTAGAAATTGAACTTTAATTTTACTGTCTCTTTCAAGTGTAGTTTTACTTTTGGCAACAGACAGACATATGTCCAACTTTACAACATCTTGCCCATTTTCTCTAATAGTTTTGTGCTGCCTGCAAGTTATTCAAGGCAAGTTTTAAGGCCAAAGAATATTTTTATTGTGATTTCAAGTTGGCAGGCATTGAGACTTAGTAGAAAGCACCGAGGGGCTATTGGGCCTCCGGAGACCTGGTTCTAGTTCCAAGCTTGTTGTGTGTAGGCCTGCAGAAGTCCCCATTACACATTCAGATGAGGTATCTGGGGTTGAAGCCCTGAGAAACGTGGAAGTTGTTCGTTTTTTTTACTGGCCTCATTTCCAGGTCCAGCCCTGTTTGCAGGGTGGAGGGGGCTGAGATGTTTTGATTCTGCGGTAATTGTTGCAGGTCTGCGCAGGGCTGGCTGGGGAGAGCAGAGGCACTAGAGTCTTGGCCCCTGGCCTCTGCTTGCTTGAGTTATGGGCTGGTCCCCTCAATCCTTGGGGACTTCTGAACGATAGGCCTTGGGTGACTGGAGACAACTCTGGTCACAACCTCCCCACCCCGCAAATGAGGAAAGACTGTCATACGATCACAGATAGAGCAGAAGGGGCCCCAGACTGGCTGAAAGTCACACACACTGGCCATAGGCCTGTTATGTAGTAAAGAATCCCCAGAGATCTTCTTACATAAAACAAAACAGATTCCTGGGGGCTGCCAAGCTGGGCTTTCTGAATCAGAATATACGAGGGTGGGGTCTGGGACTCTTGAATAAACACCCTGAGGATTCTTATGGATAGCCGCCAGGGCTGGAAGCTTTTGACCTGGTCAAATCTCTCTACGTTTCCTAGGGAAACTGAGGCCCAACAAGGCCTTGACCCAGACATCAGCAGACCTAAAATCAGAAATGAGGTCTTCTGACCTACAGTTTGATGTTCTTTCCACACCAAGACCAGGTGCCTGCAGGACTCAGAAGAACTGCCCATTATTTATTTGTTTTAATTTTCTTAAAATCAAGGTTACTAATGCACACAGTGTAAAGAGTCAAATCAGGTGGTTTCACAGGCATGCATGAAGAACATAGCTCCCCGTCCGGCTCTCCCATCTGCCCCTCTGCAGAGGCAACTATTTCAACTCTTTCAGCAGATTCTGCTGCTGTTAACTGTCACCCTTGGTATTATTTGTGTTTTTACAATAAGTATGCATCACTTTGTTACTCTTACTTGGTTTTAATAATACAGTTAGGATGGGTTGCCAGGTCTGGCATTGGGCCTAGATGCCCAGGCATCGTGGAGTGCCTCCGTGGTCACTGGGCACAGGCCACCAGCTCCTCCAGGGCTTGCTCTCGGCGGTTGCCATGGACCAGCAGCACCTCCTTGATCCGGTCCTGCTGGAAGCCCATGTCACTGAACTGCTCCCAGAGGCGCAGGAACTCCCCTGCCTGAGGAAGAGGAGACAGGGAGGGTGCTGGGGGCTCTGCTGGGCCTGGCCTCAGCCATGGGGAGCCCCAGCTCCAGTGCCTACTGCACCTAGTCCCAAAAAGCTGTGGCTACCCCCAGGCCACGTGAGCCTGATCCTGGGCCACACCTGCCACTTTTCTGTACCTGTAGGGTGATGTAGGTTCCGACCTCCCTTCCTCTGCCAAGGAAAGAAGGCCCCAGCCTGGCCATGGGCTCTGTCCTGACTCTCCTCCCACTCCTCCCACTCACTGTCAACTTTCTGCTGGGGCAGGAGGGGGGCAGACCGTACACCTGCACCTGGAGCACAAACAGCCCAAGGTCCCTGCCCGTGCCCTGAACACTGTGGAGGTATCACAGCGCAGCCTGCACTTTCCTTCCCCTCCGACCCCAGGGCTTGAAACTTCCCCACCTCTGCTCACTCTCTCCTTCTCGAGGCCTCACCCAACCCTCCGTCCCCTTCAGCCTCTGTGAAGAGCTGCTCTGCCATGGGGCACTTAGAAGTGACTACTGGGGCCGGGTGCGGTGGCTCACGCCTGTAATCCCAGCACTTTGGGAGGCCGAGGCGGGCGGATCACTTGAGATCAGGCATTCGAGACCAGCCTGGTCAACATGGTGAAACTCCGTCTCTACTGAAAATACAAAAAAAATTAGCAGGGTGTGGTGGCAGGCGCCTGTAATCCCAGCTACTTGGGAGACCGAGGCGGGAGAATTGCTTGAACCTCGGGGGCAGAGGTTGCAGTGAGCCAAGATCGTGCCATTGCACTCCAGCCTGGGCAATAGAGTGAGACTCAGTCTCAGAAAACAAGATGTGACTATTGGGCCTACAGCTGCATGCACTTGGGGTAGGCGGCACGCTCCCCAAGTAGAAAGGTCATGCATCTTTGTGCTGCCCATGGCTCCTATCTGAGTGTCCGACAAAGAGTGGCCATTCAGTCACAGAGGCTGTGTTGATTAAGTCTAATAAAGCAAAACCCCTGCTGCTCTCTGCCTCCTGTCCCCGTCCCACCTCTTCCTGATCTCCCTCTGTGCCTCTCACCTTTGTCCCTGCTGTAGCTCCCTGGGCCATCTCCTCCTCAGAGCTGAGGAGTCAGGCAATCTCCCGACAGACCCACAGGCTGGACCCACAGACTGGCTCTGAGGACTGGTGTGGCCCTGCACACCGGGCTCCTGGGTACACCCCCATCCCTTCCATCCCCTGGGGCCCTGGCAGGAAGCCCTGCTGACCTGGCTCTCGGAGAACTGGAACATCTCCATGGCCTCATCCACCAGGCCTTCCTCATATCCCTGACGTAACAGGCGGTCACAGGCACTGAGGTAGCTGAGAAACTGGGCCGGAAGCGGGCAGAGAGGGAGGGAGGGTAAGAGGAGCAGCCGGGGCAGCAGACAGGGCAGAGAGGCACTCCAAGGGCCTGAGCTGAGGGCCAGGCAACAGGGCAAGCCACCACCTGCAGCGTGGCCCCAGAGAGCCCGTGAACCCACAGAAGGGGGATAGAGGCTTTCTCTGAGTGCCTGGCGATAGGCAGACAATGGGTCTTCACCAACTATGCCAAGCTGGGGGCTGGACTCCAGGAAAAGGGCTGTCAGGGTGGGCTAGGGTGTTCATAGAACCTAGGTGGGGAGCAGGACAGGCTTCAAACACAGACATCCCACCTACCACCCAACGCAATTCAACATTCATGCACCACCCACCCCTGTCTGGGAGCACCCATTCGTGTGAAGGTGCCTCCTCATCCGTCCACACCTGTGCACCCCTACTGTGCCCCCAGATGCATCTCTCTCATCCAGGACTCCTGAGCCACTACTATGCAACTCCTGCACCAGTGCTGGAGAAGGGGTGTGGGGTAGGCAAAGAGGAGGATTCCACAGGCAGGAAAAACTGTTCAGGTCACCCCACGGTTACGTCATCAGGGGCCCAGGATAAAATGCTGGCTCCTTACCAGGCAGGGCTCAAAGGCCTGCTCCCTGTCTATGGCCTTGGCCCCTCCCTCACCCTCCAGGTCTCTGCAGATGCAGCTCCCTCAGCCAAGGCTGGCCTCCTTCCCTGTCCCTGGGAAGCTTCCTGCCCCCTCTATCTTCCTGGGTGCCGTCCCTTGTGCCCCCATAGCACCCTATGCTTCCCTGTTACAGCACATATAACTTTGTAATTGCTTCACTCAATCTTTCTCATCCACGAAGTTTTTGCTCCATGAGGGAGGGGCTGTGTCAGTCTCATTCACCACAGTGTCCCCATCATCCAGCATGGTGGCAGAAGGAGCTCAATAAATGTGTGCTGTGTTTATAAAATGAATGAAGACCTGCCTTCAAGGAACTCACAGCTTAGTGGGGGAGATAAACCAGATACAGGACCACATCAGTGCCAGGCAAATCAAAGCAGGATTTATGGGGTGTAGGTGCCAAATGAAGGCTCCAGACTACAGGAATTATGAGTATATGTGGAGAAGGGAGAGTGGGGTTTCCGTAGACCTTCAGAGCTGGGATGAAAGTGCACATCATCTAGACTAACAGTTGTCAAATTGTTTTTGGCTCCTGAAGTGTTTGTCTTAGCACAAGGAGGCTTCAGCAATAACAGGCTAAGATTAGAGCTGCTCTGGGAGAACCAGGGCCAGGGGCATGGGGGCCCGGAGTCCAGTGCTCCTGGCCGAGGTACTGCCCAGTACAGCTAGACCTGCTCTGAGCACGTTTTGAAAACCAGGCACCCATGCCCTCCTTCCACAGTTGAGGAAACTGAGGTTCAGGCAAGGCAGGTGCCTTGTCCGGGGTCCCAGGACTAGGTCCCCGATTATGTAACCTGTCATTTAATGCCTTGTCCATCAGAGGGATCAGCTGCTAGAGGACGGGCTTTTAGCTGTCTTGGTGGATGACAGGGTTTCCAAAGGTGAAAGCTTCACCTTCAGAAGGAGGGCGGGCAAGGATGGATGGTGGACGCTGCCTCCACCTTTTGGCTCATCCATAGCAATGGTTCTCAGTCTCAGTGCTTATTGCAACCACCTGAGGAACTTTAAACATTACTGCTGTCTGGGCCTCACCTTCAGAGGTTACGATATAATTGGTCTGGGGTGTAGCCTGAGCATTGGAATTTTTCCCTATAGCCCTCCAGGTGATTCTAATGTGCACCCAAGACTAAGAATCAGTGAATGGGGACAGCTGACCTTGATCTATACTATGCCACAGTGAATATCAGACCCATCTGCAAATTTTCTAAAATTAAAGGCCCCTGGGTCCACCCCAGATCCACTGACTGGGGCCCTGCAGGATAAGCCCTGAGAGTCTGCATTTGCAAAGGTTCTGCTGCTTGGTTAGCTTTTGGGCCTGCAGGACTGTAGAAGCTATCAGGCTTGCCTCAGGCCCCCAGGTGGGTGAGGATGTCACCTTAAGGCCACCGGAGGGGGCCCCCGGAAGTCACTGGTTCCAAACACGTATTCCTCCTCCACCCTGTGAACTGGGAAACTGAGGCTAAAAGAGGGGGCCTGGCCTGTGGACCCTCACACATGGCACCCATGCCTGTCCTGCAGGGAGGCAGTGTGGGCACATCAAGCCTTGTGGAAGGAAAGGAGTGCTGCACAATTTCTTTTGTATCTTCTTCTCTCCCTGACTCTTCTAGCTGCTCTGTCTCTATCACCTGATGCCCTTCCTCCTGGGCCATCTGTCATTTATCTTGGCCAAAAAGGATTTACTGCAATATGCGGCTTTCAGTGGGAGAAGGAATCTGAACCCAAAGGGCTTGTTCAGTTACCAGGACTTCACAGAACAGACAGAAATACTAACTTGGTGGGGGAGGATAGATGAAGTCATCCAAAGGCCCCTCAGACCCACCCCGTGGGGCCTGGCTCCTGACTGCCCACCAGGGAAGGCCACCCAGAGATCCAGGGGGCCAGGCAGGTGGCCAGTCTATATCTGGAAACACAATGTTCCCAATGCAGTGAAATCCTTCCTGCTCACCCACTGGGAGGCCAGGGCCCCAGGCTGGCTCTGACTCATCTTCAGACCCCCAGAGTGATGGCCTGAGACCTCAGCCTTACCACAGGGCCTGAAGGGACTGGGGAGGCATGTCAGAGCCCCACTGTGCACCTGGCCCCTCACAGCCCTCCTGACCAGCTTTTTGGCCAGGACTCTGGCTTTTCAGTATCATCCGAAGGTAGGCGTGACTTTAGATCTGCTCTTAAATCTCAGATCAGCCTGTGGTGCTGTCCTGGGAGGTTCTCACACAGAAAATGAGATAAAAGACATCGTGCGACCAAGATGCAGAGTCAGACCAGCTGGCCTCAACCCCAGTGCTGCCATTGACTGGCTGTATGAACTTCCCTGGCCTCAGTTTCCTCATCTGCAAAGTGGTCATAATGTAATAGCAACCTTGCAGAATTGAGACCTAACTGAATACCCTCAGAGAGAGAGATTCATGCAAGAAAATGTTCAATAAATGTTAGCACCCCTCCCTGCCATTTTAGCCACATGGGGGTCACTATGTTGGAAATTCTCCTCCAGGACAGGGCATGAACTGATGAACCCAGAGTAGAGTAGAAGCAGGAGTGGGTGGGCAAGGGGACCAGGTGCATTTGCCCAGCCCCACCCCGGCTCCTGTTTGAAAGTCACTTCCCTTCTGCCATTCCCTCTGGCAGAAGCAGGCAGCTCTGGACCGCAGGGACCCAACATTCAGTACTCATCAGTGATGATGGAGGTGTCCAAGCCTTCTGATGGTGGTGGGGCAGGAACGGGAGAAAAATGAAAAGTGCCAACTACCCTGGGGCCAGCCATCAAACCATGAAGAGTCCCGATGTTTAGAAAACCACGCAACGAAGGATGTTACTTTCAGGTGGGGACATGGGGGTGTAGGCAATGGCATTCAATGTTACCTCCTGACCCTACTTACAATCCTTCCGTGCCTCCTTTTGCCTATTGGGTCATTTATCAAATTCTCAGGCCAGCCTTCAAGACCCCTAAATCTACCCCCAATTCTCTTTTTCTCATCTCCTACCAGCCTGCCTCATGCACCCTCTCCTCAACAAGACTGGTCAGATCAGGGCCTCCCAAACACTTCCTTCCCACCTCCACTCCTTTATTCACACTGTCCTTCCCTCCTGGAATATCACCCCTTCTCCTTCCTTCAGCATCAGATCTTATCCATCCTTGAAGTCCTGCTCAATGCTTGGTATCTCCATGAAGCCTTTCTTGATCACTGGAACCTTCTTGTGGTAGACTGAGAATGATCATAAAATTTTTTGCACCCTCTCCCACCAAGAGGTGGAATCTGTTTTTCCCCTGTGTAAGCCTGGAGGGGTCAACAACATGCTTTGACCAATAGAATGAGGTGGAAGTGACTATGTACAATTTCAGCCAAGGCCTCAAGAGGCCTCAAGAGGCCTTACTCTTGGAACCAAGTAGGGTGGCTTGCTGGAGATATGTGGCCCAGCTGACAAGTATCACCACCCACTGTACAGTGAATGAGGCCATCTTAGATCATTCAGCCCCAAGTAAGTCACCAAACTGTAGCCACATGAGACTGCAGGTGAGATGAGCAGAAGAACCCCCTAGCTGAGTCCACCTTAAAACTGCCAATCCAGAGAATCATAAGCAAATAAATGGTTGTCTCATGCCACTAAGTTTCGGGGTAGTTTGTTACACAGAAAGAGATGACAGAAACACCCCTATAACACTCATACCACTTCTTCTCCCAGGTATCTTGCCACTAGCACCTCTTTTTGGGCACTTTGGGGGCCCTCACTCCTCTGCAGGTGCTCTTACATTCTTGGCTTGTATCAGGGGTCAAGACCTGCTTCCAAATAGTAGCGTGGCTCAGAGTGCTGTCCTTGGAGTGTCATCATGAGTCTCCGCCATACTTCCAATAGAGTGAACTCTATTAGAAGAATAGAATGTGGGTGAGTAGAACCTGCGTGTGGTAGACTCTGTGATGTTCCATCCACACACCCTTTCACTGCAGGACTTACTGCCCCAGATGCTGGGAGAGCTGGGAGACACTCTTCAGTTGTCTGCCCCTTCAGGGATTACCTTAACTGCAGAGATCCACTTACCTCAGGTCACCCCCTTCCCACATGCAATGACTGATTGAGGCAGGGGTATAAAGGCCTGACCATCTCAGCCCCACTTAGGACAACCCTGAGGGGCCATAGATGCTCCAGAGCTGTGGGGTTGGCTGATGCTGTTGTTGGGCCTATGTCACAGCTCAAAAGGTGAAAATCATGTGGCCACTCACCTGGCTCCAGCATCACAGCTCATCAGCTCTGGGTCCCCCAACTCACCTGGCTCAGGCTCTGCCTCCCTGTCTTCTGCAGAGCTATGATGGCCCTTCGCAGGGGATATCCCAGGGCGACCACTGGCCCAATGAGGTCTTGCTCCTCCTGGCTCAGGGCGGACAGCAGGTCAGCCGCAGTATCAGGGTGTGACTTGTGGGGGTTGAGAGGTTGGGGTGCCCCCCCAAGAGGTGGCAGACAGGTGTACGGGCTGAGGGACTGAAATACAGACAGACTGGACATGTCAGTTACTACAGGAAGTGACACTCAGTTGGGCTGGACATTTTTAAAAATGCCTTTATGTACCACCTTCTGTACAGAGTGTAGGGGCTAATATTATGGAGGGCTTAGAGTCCTGCAGACCCCAGCTCTCTAATGCTTACTCAGTATACTCATATGAAAAATGAGGGCAATCCCTAAGCTACTTCACGGGACTATCAGGAGACTTAAATAAGACAATGTGAGGGACTGGGCGCGGTGGCTCATGGCTGTAATCCCAACACTTTGGGAGGCCAAGGCAGGTGGATCACCTGAGGTAAGGAGTTCGAGACCAGCCCAACCAACGTGGTGAAACCCTGCCTCTATTAAAAAATACAAAATTAGCCGGACGTGGTGGCACATGCCTGTAATCCCAGCTATTTGGGAGGCTGAGGCAGGAGAATCGCTTGAACCCGGGAGGCAGAGGTTGCAGTGAGCAGAGATCGCACCATTGCACTCCAGCCTGGGCAATAACAGCCAAACTCTGTCTCAAAAAAAAAAACAAAACAAAAAACAATGTCAGGAAAGTGACTAGTGAAAGAAATATGAGGTCCATTCTACTATCCCATTTTACAGACATTGAAATCAAGGTTCAGAAACGTTAATGACCTGATTAAGCAACACACGCTTGGTACCTCAACCCTACTTAGGTTTTATGCCCCACACCTTGGTGACAGATGAGCAGGGGTAGGTCTTCCCAACCAGGCCCTCCTTCTTGAATTTGGTTGGGCTGGGGTTTGGCAGGGCATGGAGCAGGGGAGGAACTGGGCACACCAGTTGAAACACACCCTGGATTAAGGAGGGTGACTTGAAGGCATTTCCATTGGTTTGGCCGGCATCGCCCCGAACCTTCTCCCATGAGGAAGTACCTCTCTGCCAGCCCTGAACGTTTCATCCTGTCCCCTCCTCCCAAGGAAAACACAGCTGCCGCCTGGCTCTTGGGGTGGAGTGTATATGTAACACACATGAATCCCCACCCATACGCATCTTCTCAGGGCTCTCCCTGCCACGACCTCACCCTAGGGTCTACCCTTTATTACCTCCAGGGTGGAGAACATCAAAGTTTAGGAGCTGAGTCTACTCTTGTGTCCTTGAAAAAGATTCTTTGCCACTCTGTGCCTCATTTCCATCATCTACAGAATACTGTCCCACCCCCACAGGGTTGTTATGAGAGTTAAATTCATCTTGGCCAGGGAAGAGCCATCCTGGCATCAACATCTGGTCTTGGATGTGGGCATGGCACATCACGCTTACAGAGCCTCTTCTCTACTATGTATGCTCTAAACAACCGTGTGAAGGGTTGTTGGCTCACAGTGCAGGTAGAGAAGGGGTGGTTCAGTGACTTGCCTAAGGTCACAAGCCGGTGCATGTAAGAAACCAGACCTCAGGTCTCTGTCTTGCAGATTGAATTCTACCTTGGCCTTATTCTGCAGCATCTCCTGGCCTGACTGTGGGGCTGCTGGGGGGCAGAAAGCTGTGCCCCGCTGCCACCTTCTGCTGCCAATCCTGACCCACCCCATGTTTTGTGGAGTCTGATACTTACATAATTTGGAAGGCACCTCACAGAAAAAGAACACACAATTATGAATACAAAATTGGGCACAAGGCCTTGGAAGAGACAAAGGGAGGAGCCTGAGGCTTAAGCTTCTGTGGTTTCACTGTAGGGTCACTTCTCCCTGCTCTTCAGGGTTCACTTCCTCCGTCCTGAAGCCTTCTCAGCCTATTGCAGCCCTGACGCTCCCTCAACACCTGATCCCGCTGTACAGTTCAGGGCCTGGTCCCACAACCCTCTTGGCCAACTCTTCATGTCCTGTGGTTTTGACACTCCCAAACCCAGTGTCTGGCAGGAAGTAACTGTGCATTGAATATTCCTTGATTGAGCCTCCAGCTCCCCTAGCTTATAGCAAACCTCAGCCAGTGGGAAGCCCTAGATTTGCGTTGCGTTCATCAATTCAACAGACATCCACTGAGCGCCCCCTATGGGTCAAGTCGGCAGCTGGGTGCTCTGGAAACAAAAATCAGTGCGATCCAGTCCCTGCCCTAAAAGAGCTCAACCTCGTTTAGAAGAGACAGGTCCTGGATAATTAAAACCACTGTGACCTGCTCCCTAAAAAAAAGCAAGGCAGGCACAGTGGGAAACGCGGGGAATGGGGGCTTCTGAGCAGGGACTACTCTACTCTAGTCAAAGGGCCGCAGGAGGACAACACGGTACAGGCCCAGGTGGGAGCAGGTCAAGGGAGGATGCAGGAGCGCGTGGAGTAGGGGACCGAGGCTGCGGGCTGGGCTGGACACCCAGATTATGGGGCCTGGGCTGCTGATTGGCGGCCTTGGAGGGGCGGGCAGAATCCTTACCGCGACCGTAGGCTTGTGGCTCCGCAGCGGGGGGATGGCGCCTGCCGTGGAGGGCCGCGGGGGCGACGCGGGGGCGGCGGGGTGCTGGGGCGCGGGCCCCGGGGGTGATGCAGACCTGGGGGACTGCGCAGGGCTCGGGCACAGGCTCAGCGCGCGGTGGCCGCGGAGGCCATGCAGGAGGGCGCGGGGCCGGGAGACCAGCTTCCCCTCGGAGAGCCGCCGCCGCGCCCCTGCCAGCTCCAACCGCACGCCGCGTAGCACGTCCAGCGAGCACAGGCGACGGCCGGGGCCGGGGCTCGCCGGGGAGCCCGGTTGGAGGCTGCTGGGGGCCGGCTCTTCCTCGCTGCCAGAGGAGGCTTCTGCCTCGTCCTCACCCTCCTCCTCCGGCCTCTCCTGGTGTCCGGCCTCCGGGTCTCTGATTGTGGTGGGCGCAGGCGCCAGCCCATGTTCGGGGCTGACTAGCAAGAGCCAGGCTGGAGGGGCTGACGCTGTCCCCGGGTCACCGCACTGGTACGGGCTGGGTCCCTGGCCGGCGGCCTCCACCCAGAAGAGTGCCGTCCTCTCCAGGCTGAAGTCGTGCTGCGGAAAGAAGGCGACGTAAAGCCCAGGGCAAACCAGGACCCCGGGGGCACAACACTAACCCCTGGCCTGGGGGACCCTGTTCAGCCAGAGACTCTCTAAGCCTGGACAGCGTCAGATTCTGAGCCCCGGGCTTCCATCACAGCCCACTCTACCCTGGGTTTTAGCTAACACTGTGGTCGATGGATACCAATAACAGTTTAATGGCAAACTGGCATAAATGACAAAGTGATGAATTCGTCAGTCGAATGAAATGTAATGAAACCCAACATCTAAATCCCTTTGCCATTCAGTATGTAGTTGAGCAAAAACTACTTAAAAATTTTCTCCAATAAAGCTTATTCTTAGCAAAGAAGCTTTCACCTGAGCCCAGCAGTTTGCCAATGAGTAGTCTGCCTTGGAGGCCCGCCCAGGCAGACAAACCTCCCTATGGAGTGATTCCTGTCCCCAGCCCCTTTGCTGCCACCAAGGTTACTTTGGGGTCCTGGAAATGTCATAACCACTAATCTTTGTGGAACTCTACTTAGTATGGTCTAGTGTCATTCCTATTTCCATATTATGAAAATGGAGCTCAGAACATTGAGTTTGCTAGAAGTTAGATTGGCAGTGAGTGGCTGAGCTGGTTTTCCTGTCGGTGGACCTGATTGTAGTGCTTTCTCCACTTCGTATCAGACCACCTAAAAAAGCAATCTGGAGTCCACATAAATAATCTAACTCTAGAGTTTATAAAATGAGGCAAAAATGACATATTCCTGTTCCCTACCTTTAAAATTAAGAACAGCAAACATAAGACTCCATCAAAAATATGTAAAAGTTTTAAAGGCAATTTGTTCTACCATGGCCAGTTAAGGAAGAAAGAGGCTAGGGGTTGGGGAGTGAGGCAGAAAGACAGGCACAGACACTCAGACACTTAGATCACAGGCACAGCTCCCTCTCACCCATGACCCTACCTTGGGGAGAGGAGCATAAGTTAGCTGCTCCAGTGTGACTCCCTGAGTTCCTCTCTGTATCTTCAGGGCCCAGGGCAGGCCTGGCCCAGAGTGGACATTTGTAAGTATGTGCAGAATAAATGGTTAGAGAAAGAGATTGGAGCAAAATAGATGGGTTGTGAAGGACAGAGAAGGCAAAAAGACTTCAGAACTAATGAGGCATACTTGGAGAGAAAGAAGCTAAGAAATAGCCAGCAGCACTCAGAGGGATTAAAAAAATACCAAGACCCAATAAAATGCCAACACTTGATTTTGGAACTATGCAAGATGATTCTAAACTTCATATAAAAACAAATAAGGGCTGGGCTCGGTGGCTCATGCCTGCGATCCCAGCACTTTGGGAGGCTGAGGCAGGTGGATCACCTGAGGTCAGTTCAAGACCAGCCTGGCCAACATGGCGAAACCCCACCTCTACTAAAACTATAAAAATTAACTGGGCATGGTGGCACATGACTGTAATCCCAGCTACTTGGGAGGCTGAGGCAGGAGAATCGCTTGAACCTGGGAGGTGGAGGTTGCAATGTGCCAAGATTGCACCACTGCACACTCCAGCCTGGGCGACAAAGCGAGACTCTGTCGAAAGGAAGGGAAGGGGAAGGGAAAAAAGAAAAGAAAAGAGAGAGAGAGCGAGACAGAGAGAGAGAGAGAAAGAGAAGAGAAGAGAAGAAAAGAAAAGAAAAGAAAAAGAAAAAGAAAAGCCAGAAACTCTGGAGACAAAAACATAAATAAGGAGAACTGGCCCTACCATCTATTAAAATATAGAAGTTCAATAATTAAAACTATGGTACTGGCACAGACAGATTAAAGGTACATAATAGAAAATCCAGAAATAGGCCTTAATATATTATAGGGATTTAGTAACTAATACGGGTGGCATCTCAAGCAATAGGAGAACGATAAAGTTCTGGTCAATAAATAGTGTTAGGCTGGGCACAGTGGCTCATCTGTAATGCCAGCACTGGGAGGCCGAGGCCGGAGGATTGCTTGAGCCCAGGAATTCAAGTCCACCTGGGCAACATAGTGAGACTGTCTCTACAAAAAATTTTGAAAATGGCCAGGTGCGGTGGCTCACGCCTGTAATCCCAGCATTTTGGGAGGCTGAGGCGGGTGGATCACGAGGTCATGAGATCAAGACCATCCTGGCCAACATAGTGAAACCCCATCTCTACTAAAAATACAAAAAATTAGCTGGCTTTGGTGGTGCATGCCTGTAATCCCAGCTACTCGGGAGACCATGGCACGAGAATCACTTGAACCGAGGAGTCGGAGGTTGCAGTGAGCCGAGATTGCGCCACTGCACTCCAGCCTGGTGACAGAGCGAGACTCTGTCTCAAATGAAAAAAAAAAAAAAAAAAGAAAATTAGTCATGGTGGCACTTTTCTGCAGTCTGAGCTACTTGGGATGCTGAGGTGGGAGGGCTCCTTGAGCCCAGGAGGTTGAGGCTGCAGTGAGCCATGTTCATGCCGCTGCACTCCAGCCTGGGCGACAGAGTGAGGCCCTGTCTCAAAAAACAAAAGCAGGTCGAGCACAGTGGCTCATGCTTGTAATTGCAGCACTTAGGGTGGCCAAGGTGGGAGGATCACTAGAGCCCAGGAGTTCAAGACCAGCCCGGGCAACATGGTGTGAAATCTCATCTCTACAAAGAAATATAAAAAATTAGCCAAGCATAGTGGCATGTGCCTATAGTCCTAGCTACTTGGGAGGCTGAGGTGGGAGGATCGCTTGAGCCCTAGAAGAGGAGGTTGCAATGAGCTGACATTGTACCACTGCACTCCATCTAGTCTGGGTGACAGAGCGAGACTCTGTCTGAAAAAAACAAAAACAGCTCTTTCCCTAAGTGGCCTGAGGTAATCTGTGAAAATGGTTCACCATTCATTTGACCTGGAGAACCCCATAAAATCATGCAAATCAAGAGGTTCAAATTTTCGTGTTCACTTTAAGAACACTCGTGAAACTGTCCAGGCCATCAAGGGTATGCATATATGAAAAGCCATTAAGTATCTGAAAGATGTCACTTTACAGAAATAGTGTGTACCATTCTGACGTTACAATGGTGGAGTTGGTAGGTGTGCCCAGGTCAAGTAGTGGGGCTGGATAGAAGGTCGGTGGCCCAAAAAGAGTGCTGAATTTGTTTTTGAGACGAAGTCTCACTCTGTCGCCAGGCTGAAATGCAGTGGCACAATCTTGGTTCACTGCAACCTCCACCTCCTGGATTCAAACAATTCTCATGCCTCCACCTTCCGAGTAGCTGGGATTACAGGCACGCGTCACCACACCCAGCTAATTTTTTGTATTGTTAGTAGATACGGGGTTTCACCATGTTGGCCAGGGCTAGCTGTCCTTTAAATTCAAGGAACAAGGCCCCATGGACTCAGCCCCAGACCCACAGACCCAGAAGACAGAAACACAGAGACACACTTACCATAGAACCCAGCAGAACTTCCCCGCAGGCCGGGACGCTGAGTTCTGGCCCAGGGAGAGGCTCTGTGCCTATCACAAAGCCCTTGGGCAACTTGAAAGGAACACCATCGAGGGCATTCATTCTGTCAGGAGTGTGGAGATGGCTGGCAGGGCTGGGGCAGGCTGCTTGATGGCAGGGAGAGAGAGTCGAGTCCTGAGGACCAGGCTCAGGCCTCAAATGGCCTCACTGCTCTCCTGTGTGGTCACTTAGCTGAGCCCCAAACAGCTGGAAAGGAAAAGGTGAGGGGGCCAGTGCTGCATAAAGGAAGGAAATGAATAAAAACAAGAGCATTCACACGGACAGAAATTCACTATTTCATATTTCAGTCATGCTCTAGACCACTGTTTTCCAAAACATGGTCCACAAAACTAGTTCTCATGCATTTCATCAAAATAATTGTCACCCAAATGTTTAAGAAACAAACAGCATTAATTTACATAAACTCTTCCAGGGAAGAAGAAAATAAGAAATACTTTCTAACTCATTTTGATTTTAGCATAACCTTTTTTTTTTTTTTTTTTTCTGGGACGAAGTCTCGCTCTGTCACCCAGGCTGGAGTGCAGTAGCCTGATCTTGCCTCACTGCAACCTCCAGCTCCTGGGTTCAAGTGATTCTCCTACCTCAGCCTCCCAAGTAGCTGGAATTACAGGCTTGTGCCACCACACCCAGCTAATTTTTGTATTTTTAGTAGAGACGGGGTTTCACCACGTTGGCCAGGCTGGTCTCAAACTCCCGGCCTTAGGTGATCCGGCCACCTCAGCCTCCCAAAATGCTGGGATTACAGGCGTGAGCCACTGCACCCAGCTGATTTTTAGCATAACCTTGATACCAAACTTGATAAGAAAATTAGAAACCAATCTCTCATGAACACAGATGCAAAAAAAATCTTAAAAATAATTATGGGTAGAATAATATAACACTGTCAAGTTAAGTTTATTTCAGGAAAGACAGATTGACTTAACATCCCCAAATCAATAAATGGGAATAAAGATAAATATCAATAAAGATGAAAAATTATATAATTATATAGCTTCATAGATGCAGAAAAAAACATGACAAAATCAATACCCATACCCTTTCAGCAACTTAGGAAGAGAAGGGAATTTTCTTAACTAATAAAGAGTATCTCTAACACATCACACAGTGGCCGAGATCATGCTGCTGCACTCCAGCCTGACAACGGAGCAAGATGCTGTCTCAAAAAAAAAAAGAAGAAAGAAAAAGGAAAAAAAAAAGGAATTACATCTCTCTATATAAATAGTAAATCATGTAAATGGACTCTTCTAAAAATTTTATTAGAAATGGAACATTTTAGGCCAGGTGCAGTGGCTCACACCTGTAATCCCAAATCCCAGCACTTGGGGAAGTCGAGGTGGGAGGATTATCTTGAGGTCAGGAGTTGGAGACCAGTCTGGCCAACATGGTGAAACCCCGTCTCTACTAAAAATACAAAAATTAGCTGGGCATGGTGGTGGGTGCCTGAAATCCCAGCTACTTGGGAGACTGAGGCAGGAGAATCGCTTGAATCTGGGAGGCAGAGGTTGCAGTGAGCCAAGATCACACAATTGCACTCCAGCCTGGGCAACAAGAAGGAAACGCTGTCTCAAAAAAAAAAAAAAAAAAAAAGGAAAATTTAAAAAGTTACCATTTATATTAGTATAGTTCTCTAGGACTAAATCTAACACAAGATGTATGAGACCGCTACACGGAAAACTATAAAACATTTGGTTAAATGGAGGAACATACCACGTTCAAGGATTGTAAAACTGAATCTTGTAAAGATAGCAGTTCTCCTCCAATTAATTTATTCATCCCATGTATCAAAATTCCATCACTTTTTTTTTTGGTAGAAATTGGCAAGCTAATTCTAAAATTAAATGAAATGCAAAGGACCAGGAAAAGCCAAGAGACTCTTGGAGAAGCAACACAGTGGAAGACTTTCACTATCAGATAGCAAGACCTTCAAGTTATGAGAATGAAGAGAGTGACTTAAAGACTTACAAAGAGACCAACAGGACAAAAAAGAAAGTCCAGAAACATATCCACACATGAATCTTTGACTTATGACAAAATTGGCTCTGTAGAGTAGCTGGAAAGGGAAAGTCTTTTAAATAAATTGTTCTGGATTAATTTGATATCCATCTGGGGAAAAAAAAAAACAAAAACAATATTGACCTCTACCTCATGTCATACCTAAAAATCAATTCCAGGTGGACTGTAGATTTAAATGTAAAAGGTAAAATAATAAAACTCAAAGATAAAAATGAAAGACTATATTCATGGCCTTGTAATAGTCAAAACATTTCTTAAGTTACAAAAGGGCTAACGGGCCAGGCACGTTGGCTCATGCCTATAATCCCAGCACTTTGAGAGGCCCAGGCAGGAGGATCAGTTGAGGCCAGGAGATTGAGATGAGCATGGGCAACAAAGCAAGACCCCTATCTCTACAAAAAATACAAAACTAGCCAGGTATGGTGGCATACACCTACAGCCCCAGCTACTCGGGAGGCTGAAGTAGGAGGATTGCTTAAGCCTGGGAGGATGAGGCTGCAGTAAGATGAGTGAGCTGTGAGCCCAGGTTGCACTCCAGCCTGGGCAACAAAATGAGACACTGTCTCAAATAAATAAATAAATAAATAAATAAATTAAATTTAAAAAAACACAACAACAACAACTCCAAAAGAGACTAACCATGAAGGAAAATTCTGATAAACTGGATTACATTAAAGTTAAGAACTTCCGCCAGGTGCAGTGGCTCACACCTGTAATCCCAGCACTTTGGGAGGCTAAGGCAGGCAGATCGCTTGAGGTTGGGAGATCGAGACCATCCTGGCCAACATGGTGAAACCCTGTTTCTACTAAACATACAAAAATTAGCCAGGCGTGGTGGCACACATCTGTAATCTCAGCTACTAGGGAGGCTGAGGCAGGAGAATCGCTTGAACCTGGGAGACGGAGGTTGCAGTGAGCCAAGATCACACCACTCTACTCCAGCCTAGGTGACAGAGCGAGACTCTGTCTCAAAAAAAAAAAAAAAAGAAAGAAAAAAAAGTTAAGAACTTCCATTTGGCCGGGCGTGGTGGCTCACACCTGTAATCCCAGCACTTTGGAGGCCGAGGTGGGCGGATCACAAGGTCAGGAGATCGAGACCATTCTGGCTAACATGGTGAAACCCCGTCTCTACTAAAAATACAAAAAATTAGCTGGGCATAGTGGTGGGCGCCTGTAGTCCCAGCTACTCAGGAGGCTGAGGCAGGAGAATGGCATGAACCCAGGAGGCGGAGCTTGCAGTGAGCCGAGATCACGCCACTGCACTCCAGCCTGGGTGACAGAGCGAGAATCTGTCTCAAAAAAAAAAAAAAAAAAAAAAACTTCCATTCATCAGAATATACCATTAAGAGAGTTAAAACAAAAACAAAAACAAATCACAGAGTGGGAGAAGATATTTGCAACAAATCTATATGACAAAGGACTCATATCCAGTATATACAAAGAACTTCTATAAACAATAAGAAATGGGCAAGAGACTTTTAATATGCACTTTACAAAAGAGGATATCCAAATAGCCAATATGATAAGTTGTTTAACTTCATTAGTCATCAGGGGAATGCAAAATAAAACAATGAGATACCACTACACAAACATACAACCATTAATTTAAGGTTAAAATTAAAAAGCTTCACAATATCAAGCGATGATGAGGATGTGGAACATCTATAACTCTCATTCACTGTTGGTCAGAAAGTCACTTAGTCAACAGTATCTACTAAACCTGAAAGCCAAGAATTAAGAACTCATTCACACATCACTTCTTGGCTTTTTGGGTTAGATCAAGACTAGTATCTGTCCTTCGTTTAGCAATACAACAGCCAGGAATTTAATTTTTGATATATTTTAAACTACATTAAATATTGAGTCTGTTGCCTTTAAAAAAGAACAAAATCGGCCGGGCGCGGTGGCTCACGCCTGTAATCCCAGCACTTTGGGAGGCTGAGGCGGGCAGATCACAAGGTCAAGAGATTGAGACCATCCTGGCCAACATGGTGAAACCCCGTCCCTACTAAAAACACAAAAATTAGCTGGGCGTGGTGGTGCGTGCCTGTAGTCCCAGCTACTCAGGAAGCTGAGGCAGGAGAATCGCTTGAACCAGGGAGGCGGAGATTGCAGTGAGCTGAAATCGCGCGACTGCACTCCAGCCTGGTGACAGAGTGAGACTCTGTCTCCAAAAAACAAAACAAAACAAAACAAACAAAAAAAACTTGGCCGGGCGTGGTGGCTAATACCTCTAATCCCAGCACTCTGGGAGGCCGAGGTGGGTGGATCACCTGAGGTCAGGAGTTCAAGACCAGCCTGGCCAACATGGTGAAACCCCGTCTCAACTAAAAATACAAAAAAAAAAACATAGCTGGGCATGGTGGCACGCGCCTGTAGTCCCAGGTACGTGGGAGGCTGAGGCAGGAGAATTGCTTGAACCCAGGAGGCGGAGGTTGAGGTGAGCCGAGATGGCACCACTGCACTCCAGCCTGGGCGACAGAGTGAGACTCTGTCTCAAAAAAAAAAAAAAAAAAGAAAAGAAAAGAAAAAGAACAAACTCATTCACACAGAATTTAAGCTCACGACTGCCTATAATAATACACTTGAATCTAGACTTCTTGACCGCAGTCTGCCTTTTTGCAAACAATCAGGGATTATCAGGGAGTCTGCAGCAGGAAGTGCCTCTGGCTCAACACAATCTGTCATCCCTGCCAGGATGACGCAAAGCTCTGCCCTGCTAGGGGTCACTACAGTCATCCCCTTCCCATGAGAGCATCATGTGGAGAGGTAGGGTGGATAATCTGAGTGCAGAGAGGTCAAATGAAGGCAGGTAGGCAAATCCCTTAATTCCCTCATCTCCTGCCCCATTTGTCAACTCTTGTTAGTGTCTTGCTGTATATAAGACTCAAAAGGTTTCTCCACTCCATGCCTAGAGCTGGTCTCCCTGCACAGCAGGAGGTAGCTCTCTGTGCTACCTTCCATACAGAATCAGGAAGGTCCCACTGTAACCAGTAAATTATCTGCCCCATCAGCCAGTTCTTACAGGGGACCTTTGAGGTACAAGGGTGTTATAGGAGACACAGGAAAGTTCAGCAAGTTTTGGCATTCTCAGATTTATTATTCACATTTTCAGGTATCATCTGAATTTTGAGCTATCTCCAAGGAAGGGACACAGTTCTATTGAGACTATCTGTCCACTTAGCAGGTATAGGGCACCCTTCTCTCCATCTTCCGCCCAGCATCTGCATCCTAATAGGTATTTTCTACTCAGCCCTACACTTGCTTCTAGGATACTGAGGATTTGGGGAACATATCTATTTTTTTCTTTTTTGAGACGGACTCTCGCTCTGTCTCCCAGGCTGGAGTGCAGTAGTGCAATCTTCTAGGCTCACGGCAACGTCTGCCTCCCAGGTTCAAGCGATTCTCCTGTCTCAGCCTCCTGAGTAGCTGGGATTACAGGCACCCACCACCACGCCTGGCTAATTTTTGTATCTGTAGTAGAGGTGGGGTTTCGCCATACTGGTCAGGCTGGTCTCGAACTCCTGATCTCAGGTGATCCACCCGACTTGACTTCCCAAAGTGCTGAGATTGCAGGTGTGAGCCACCATGCCCAGCCTATATCTCTTTTTTTTTTCTTTTTTAGGCAGAGTCTTGCTCTGTCACCCAGGTTGGAGTGCAGTGGCGTGATCTGGGCTCACTGCAAGCTCCGTCCCCCGGGTTCAAGCGGTTCTCCTGCCTCAGCCTCCTGAGTAGCTGGGACTACAGGCGCCTGCCACCACGCCTGGCCCTATATCTCTTAAGAATGGCAAGGGCTACAGTAAAGATATCGATATTGCCTAGTTAGAAAGTATTCTAAAATGAGGGTCACCTCACTAGGTACAACATGAGAGGTACAGATCATTATGTAATAATATTCTCCAAAGGAAGGGGAGTGGTCTAGTCCTTATGGGCATTGGAGAAGCTTCAGGAAGTAGATGGGACTTGGCCTTGACCCTGGAAGGTGAAAGAACAGCCTGTGAGCAAGAGAGCAGAGGAATCTGCAGGGTGGAGAGAAGTGACAAGTTGCTGGACTTAAGCAGATGGTCTGTGCTGGGAAGCAGTACGAAGTAAAATTGAAAGGGTAGACTGGGGTAGAGCTGGGGAGAACTATGAACTTCAGGCTGAGTGCTGACTCCATTCAGCAGGTAGTGGGCAAAGTGTGGAAGAGGCCTGAGGTGGTGGAATGGAGTAGGGATGTGGGAATGTTAGGAAAGCCAGGCTGTGCATGCTTGGACAAACTGTAAGCCAGGACCTCTCAAACACTAGCCCATGAGGTGGTGCCCATGTGCTTGGATCTGGGCATGGGGATGGGGAGTGGGATGGGTGAAGGTGGCACTGATTGATTTAAGTGGGGCCCAGGCAATGACATTAGTATTGTTTCCAAAGGTCTTCACTATACTCTCTAAATGACTTTATTCTTGCCCAGAGCTTCAATTACCTGCCAATGATTCACAAATTAAATTCTCCAGTTCTCTTCTGAGATCAAACTCATAAACACAACTGCCTACACAGTGTCTCAAGACTTCTCAAACTCAACGTATCAAAGTGAACTGATTTTTCCCTTCCCCAAACTGCTCCTCGCCCCCAGGGTTCCTTGTCTCAAGGAATGGTAACATTGAGCCAGGTGCACGAGTACTCATCTCTGATACTTTCCTCTCCTTTACCACCACCATCTCAAATTTCCTGTGAATTTTTATCTCCTAAATCTCTGGAATCCAGCCATTTCAGGCTAACTCCACTGCTTCCATGGGAATCCAAGCCCCCATTATCTCTCACCTGGACCACTCATCTCCATGTATCCTCACATGCTTTATTATTATAATTCTGTTCCACACACTGAGGCAAGAATGACCATTTCAAAACCAAAACTAAGCCACTCCTGGCTGGGCACGGTGGCTCATGCCTGTAATCCCAACACTTTGGGAGGCAGAGGTGGGAGGATTGCTGGAGCCCGTGAGTTAAAGACCAGCCTGGGTAACATAGCAAGACCCCTTCTTTAGAAAACAAAACGAAACAAAACTAAGGCACTCTCCTACTTAAAACTCTTCAATGGTTCCTGGCTGTTTTCAAAATAAAAATTAAACTTCTGAAGGCTTGCAGTGTCTGGCCCGTTTCCTCTCCTCCCATCTTACTCCAGTCATGCTAGCCTTCAACTGCCATGGTCTCTCAGTCCCCACAGAACCTTTGCATATCCTGTTCTGGATACTTGCTAAGTTCTTCCCTGTTGCTTCCCCACAATTAATTAAAAGCTGCTCAAATGCCAGGCACAATGGCTCACATCTGTAATCCCAGCACTTTGGGAGGCCAAGGTGGGCAAATCACTTGAGGTCAGGAGTTCGAGACCTGCCTGGCCAACATGGCAAAACCCCCTCTTTACTAAAAATACAAAAATTAGCCTGGTGTAGTGGCACACGCCTGTACTCACAGCTACTCAGGAGACTGAGACGAGAGAACTGCTTGAACCTGGGAGGCGAAGGTTGCAGTGAACCAAGATCACGCCACTGCACTCCAGCCTGGGCGACAAAGCGAGAGTCTGTCTCAAGAATAAAAAGAAAAGAAAAGAAAAGAAAAAGCTGTTCATTCTTCAGAGCTCAGCTGAAACATCACTTCCTCAAAAAAGCTTGCCCTGACTCTCAAACTTGGTCAGGTCTACCTAGCACAGTGGCCTTTACAAAGTTTTTTATTTTTTACTTTTTTGAGATGAAGTCTTGCTCTGTTGCCCAGGCTAGAGTGCAGTGGCTCGATCTCAGCTCACTGCAATCTCTGCCTCCCAGGTTCAATAGATTCTCCTGCCTCAGCCTCCCGAGTAGCTGGGATTACAAGCACCTGCCACCACGCCCGCTAATTTTTGTATTTTTAATAGAGATAGGGTTTCACCATCTTGGCCAGGCTGGTCTTGAACTCGTGACCTTGTGATCCACCTGCCTTGGGCTCGCAAAGTGCTGGGATTACAGGCATGAGCCACCGCGCCCAGCCTTTTTTTTTTTTTTTTAACTATGACCCATAGTATACTTTTATTTCCTAGCATACACATATGTAAACTGAATAATGATTCTTACCCTTACTATATGATACATATTTCCTATTATTTCAACTAAATGTGTCACAGAACGCTTTTGAAGAAAAATCCTAATTCATAATCTCAGAACCATGTCTTTCTTTCAAAGCACTCAGCATATTTTTTATGATTATTGGGTTAATATCTACCTTCCTCATTGCCTGTATTCTGTATGAGGTTAGGGAGTATTTGGCATTTTGCTTAGCTTTAATAGGCACTTAAACATTTGGAATGAAATATATAAATTGGCTGATAAGTACTTTTCCTTGTAGCACTTATCACAATTGTCTCTAATGACTCTGTTATAATCATTAAGCTTCTTCACTCTAAACTCCAGGAGGTCAGGAATCCTGTCTGTTCACCCCTTCTTACATCCCTAGCACCTAACCACAGTACCTGGAAAATGGTAAATAAAAAATCATTTCCCATAGAACATAATTCAAATTCTGGTATCCAGACTGTGGCCAGCATGAATTAACAAAGCTGAGGAAAGTGTCCACTGTTCTACACAGTTATGCACTCTAACACCACTTGCCTCAGAGACCTTAATCTTTGCTTTGGAGGCTATGAAAAACCAAATTTATTCCAAAAGGCAAATGAACTCTGCAATGGAAACATACTCTTCATGTGTGGCCAGATACAGGAAGCCAGGAACTACTATGTGGATTCACAAAAAGGTAAAGAGCTCATCATATGGAAATAGCTTATAGGTTCTAAGCATTACAAAAAATCTGGGACAAACAGGTGGCAAAAAACAAATTTAGTTGATAATGTCTCATTTAATCACTATTCCATAAATCACTACTATTTCAGAATGTTCACATTCCTTTCATATATTGCATATTATACTTATTTAAATGGAATAAGATATACTTTGTACTTACCTTGTAATTACCAGGAGAACTTCCCTGCAGACAAAGCGTGTATAAATGAATAGCTACAACAGATGGCATAAGCCTAAGCTTCTTGTTACAAATGTCACATGGGCATAGGAGCATGAATGGTTTTATAGAGTGATTAAGTTGGTTGGCTTGTAGCAGCAAATTCTTTGACATCATAAACTCAGCCACTTGGGCTAAATACCCTTAGTATTTAAGAACTAATCTCTTTCTCTCATAGCTTTCTAATCTCTGTATTTACCGAATTTATTAAAAACAAATGCTTTTGTACAGTTTTTCTTTTTAAAAGTATTCCAGTTAATAATTGAAGAATGACAGAATTAAACTATCACTATTTTTGAGTCCCCTCCCCATCAATGAATGAATCTGGGTCTTATCAGTGGCCGCTAACATCACAAAAAAAGCCAAGACATCAGTGCCTCCTGACTGGAAGTACACATTATGTCTGTGAAGTATTCCTGCCAGAAAATTCCAATCTGAATGTGATCAAGCCTCTAGATCAGCACTATCCAATTGAAACGTGATCCACATATGTAATTGCACATCTCAACTCAAATAGATCACATTTCAAGTGCTCAACAGCTGAATGTGGCTACTATATTGGACAGTACAGCTCTGTTTAACTACTAAATTATAGGACATACGAGAACAGAGGGACATGGCATCACAAGGATGCAAACAACAGTGTATGGAGTCTATTCAGATCCTAATTTGAACAAAACGTAAAACATTTACGAGAGGGCAATTTGAACAATGATTGGATATTTGTGATATTCAGGAGTTGTTACTCCTTTATTTAGATGTGATAATGGCCCTGTAGTTAGATTTTTTTTTTAATCACTTAAAGCTACATAATGAAATATTTACAGATGAAGTAATTTGATGCCTGAGATTTGCTTCAAAATAATCCAGGGTGAGTGGAGGATGTATAGATGAAACAAGATTGGCCATAAGCTGATAATGATTTGAAGCTGGATGATGGGTACATGGAAAAAAATCATTGTACTATTCTCTTTACTTTTGAATGTATTTGAAATTTTCCCCAAGTTAAAAAAAGAAAAAAAAAGACTGTGGGATAACATTACAATAACACTGCTCATATTCTTGAAAGTACAATTCATTAAAGATACTACCATGAGTCTCTCTAAACCTGAAAGAACCAGTGGCTACTGCCACCACCACTACACACAGGTAATAAACCAGGAAAATCTTACAAATAAAAACCGAACAAGAGTAATGCTCATGTTTTGTTTTGTTTTTTAATTTTCTTTGTTTTGAGACAGAGTCTCGCTCTATTGCCCAGGCTGGAGTGCAATGGTGTGATCTCAGCTCACTGCAACCTCCGCCTCCTGGCTTCAAGTGATTCTCCTGCCTCAGCCTCCCAAGTAGCTGGGATTACAGGCGCCTGCCACCATGCCTGACTAATTTTTGTATTTTTAGTATAGATGGGGTTTCACCATGTTGGCCAGGCAGGTCTTGAACTCCTGACCTCAAGTGATCCATCTACCTTGGTCTCCCAAAGTGCTGGGATTACAGGCGTGAGCCACCACACCCAGCCTGATCACTTTATTAAAACCTTGCAAGGGCCAAAGGAAAAAGGGATTTTTTTTTTCTCCATCTGTGGCTAAATGCCACCTTCTTGGGTTCTGCTGTCCGAGTTTTCCTGAGTCCCTGCAGCACATTCCCTGCCCTCACAGCAGATATCTTAGTGGCAAGGCTGTCCAGACACCAAACACACATCGTACAATTCACCTTATTTCTACTCTTCCTGCATCTCATCAGAGAGCAAATGGTGGAGATATCTAACAAAAAGGCACACAGGATTGTGGAGCTCTATGAGGGTAATCATATCAGATTTTAAGATTTATAAGCGTAGACATACATTTTGGAGACATGTGGCCCTCATTCCCTATCTGTTGACTCTATATAATGTATAAATTAATGCAAATTAAACAACAGAAAAGGGACAAAGCCATTAGTATCTTGCACCCAAAAGCTTCCAACTACAGTACGTAACATTATTTCCAAAATTGATGGTATCCTTACCAATCCAGACTTGGATTTTGCAGATAAAGTTTAGCATTTAAGATTCAAATTCCTGTAACAAATGCCTGCTTAATAAATTTGAATTTTTGAATGAAAATATGTTTCATCAATGTGAAAGTGTGTGTTAAGTGATTTGGAAGGCAACAAATTGGCAGCAAAGGCACAAACTAAAAAATAAAAATGATTTTTATTTAGTTTTTTGGAAATATAACAAAATAATTGGCAAAAACCAAACCAAAACAGAACCAAAAAAATGACATGTTATATGAGTGATCATCTCCAAGCACAACAGCATTTATTAATGAATATAAAAAATAAATTTTACTTTTTTTTTTTTTGAGACGGAGTCTTGCTCTGTCTCCCAGGCTGGAGTGCCGTGGCGCGATCTCGGCTCACTGCAAGCTCTGCCTCCTGGGTTTTACACCATTCTCCTGCCTCAGCCTCCCCAGTAGCTGGGACTACAGGTGTGCACCACCTACGCCCAGCTAATATTTTTTTGTATTTTTAGTAGAGACAGGGTTTCACCGTGTTAGCCAGGATGGCCTTGATCTCCTGACCTCGTGATCGGCCCGCCTCGGCCTCCCAAAGTGTTGGGATTACAGGCGTGAGCCACTGTGCCCGGCCAAATTTTACTATTTTTATTTGCTTTTTCCCCTAGATTTGACTACATGGATAGTTTTAGAAGCTTGAGTTCCTAAGATAATTCCATAGCTACACTGGCTCCTACAATGTGACTGAGTGAGGTTAGGGAAATATCCTTGGGGATTCTGAACAACTAGACCCTTAGAAACTTAAAAATAACAGGTGCTTTCATTAGGATCCTTCTAACATGGAAAAAATACAGCCATTGTCCATTAAAATACAATCCAATTTGGGTACTCTTCAGGTTTTCTAAGTTCTCCATCTGAATAATAAGACTAGGCCACCATCTTTTCTGGCAACCCAGCCTACAGCCACTGCCATCTTCCTAACTAGCAGCCTCCTAAGCTGCACTAAAACTGGGATTAACACAACTGAAGATAACATTTTTGACCTTTCTTCCTAGAAGTCAAAGGGCTCTTCAGGTAGGAAAGGTCAGGAGGTTTTGCATCAAGCTTGCCTTCACACTCACTATTAGTAGAAGGGCTGTGAAATCTACCCATCACACACCTGTATTCAGTGTTTGAGTGTACTTACCCATCAACACACAAGGAAGTTAGAGTAAATTAACAAGTCACTCTGGACCAAGCCCCTCAAAACAGAGGCAAATTTGGTGAACCAAGGTCATTCACTGCCTGTGGTAAAAACCTCAGTTCACCTAAGTCCTTTCCTGAAAAACCACATTAATCTGATTCAAGAGGCACCTCTGGCCAGCACAGAGCACAGAAGGAAAGCATAACTTCAGGGTAGGGGAATGCCACATGGAATTTAGAAGTTGCAGTTTAGTCTACAGCAAAAGATGGCACCATCGCTAATATTTACAGCTGGAAAGAGCGCTGGCTGGACCACACTCCTGGAGCATCTTTACTAATGCAGCTTAACAGCAGTTGCCCAGATGTCGTTGCTGGGGAGCGGGGGAAGGACCCATCCTTGGGGAACGAAGTTGCCTTTGGGATGATCGGATGGCACCAGGTACTGATCCCAATCATGCCTTAATAAGAACATTATAGAACAACTATTTATTTCTGTTTTATTCCAAATAAGATGTTCAGCAACTACATATTCTAAGACTTAGCTTTCAAATGACTGATATACTAATCTATTACAGAACTTGATTTCTAGGAATCAAGAAAATGACTATATTTCTTAAATGTACATATAAAAAGAGGAAAAACTCTGAAGAACTTAAACCTTATGGATAACCAAATAACAAATAAAGTCAATCCTCATTATTTACAGATTCTGTATTTGCATATGTGCCTACTAACACAGGGCAAGTCACAACCTGAGTTTTTTTCTTCACCTATAAAAATAGGGACATCAACTTCTCAAGGACTAATGAGGACTAAACAAGATGTATGCAGCATCCTTGAAACATGGAAACATTATAAACCCATAGTTTTTTTTAAGTTCCTTATGGAACTTAAAAAAAAAAAGACAGTAATAGACCTAAACAATGTAAGCACTTCTTCAAGTGCTTCCTGCTACCTAAGAGAAAGACAACATGGAGAGCCAGCCCCTCTGACCTGATCTGGATGAGCGCTGGCAGGGAGTGCTCGGCTTGGAGATAATACTGTCGGAAAGGCTCCAAGAGGTGAGCAAGTGGGAACTCATCTGAAAGAGAAAAGCACAATACCACGTTATCATGCTTGATATCCACAGTGTATTTCTCAAGGCAAGGTGACTGAGCCTATGATTACGACAGAATGAGAAAATGTGTTCTATCTGTATCCATGAGTTCTATGACACAGAATTGCATCTGGAAGGTGTCATTTGTTGCCTACCACCTCTTAGCTTGAGATCACCCGTGATGAGAAGAGCGTCAATCTAGTATTTTCATTTTCTCCACTGGTTATAGAGCAACATACCTGGATCCCCAAACAACTTGGACTCAATTTCACGTTTCTGAAGTAAAATTTTCTCTTTTTCTTTTCTTTGTTTCTTTTCTAATTCTCTTTTCCTCTCTTCCTCTTGTTCTCCTTCTAGCATAACTCTGAGGGCTCTCTCTTCAGCTTCATACAGTTCAGAGCGCTTTTTAATGAGTTTTCTCAGTCGCTGAAGATGATGCGTAAAAGTCTCATCTGCTGAGGCTGGAGGACAGACCCCTGGGCAGACAGGACAAAATGGCATTTTATTTATTTTTTTTTTTGAGACAAGGCCTCGCTCTAACACCCAGGCTGGAGTACAGTGGTGTGATCATAGCTCACTGCAACTTCAAACTCCTGGGCTCAACCCATCCTCCCACCTTGGCTTCCCAAGTAGCTACAAGTACAAGTGTGCACCACCATGCCTGGCTTTTTTTTATTTTTTATTTTTTATTTTCAGATAGGGTCTCACTCTGTTGTGCAGGCTGGAGTGCGGCAGCATGACCACGACTCACTGCAGCCTCGACCTCCTGGGCCCGAGATCCTCCCACCTCAGCCTCCCAAGTAGCTGGGACCACAGGCACGTGCCACCACATCTAGCCAATTTTTTTTTTATTTTTGTAGAGACAGGGTATCCCTGTGTTTCTCAAGCTGGTCTTAAACTCCTGGTCAAGCAATCCCCCTGCCTTGGCCTCCCTAAGTGCTGGGATTACAGGCATGAGCCACTGTGCCTGGCCCTACCTACTAATTTGTAAATTTTTTGTATGAGGTCTCACGAGGTCAGGAGATTGAGAACATCCTGGCTAACACGGTGAAACCCCGTCTCTACTAAAAATACAAAAAATTAGCCAGGCATGGTGGCAGGTACCTGTAGTCCCAGCTACTCGGGAGGCTGAGACAGGAGAATGGCGTGAACCTGGGAGGTGGAGCTTGCAGTGAGCGGAGATCACACCACTGCACTCCAGCCTGGGCAACAGAGTGAGACTCCGTCTCCAAAAAAAAAGACCAAAACTTTTTTGTATGAGGTCTTGCTATGTTGCCCAGGCTAATCTCTAACTCCTGGCCTCAAGCAATCCTACCAGCTTGGCTTCCCAAAGTGAGCCACTGCATCCAGCCCAAATGGCCTTTTACACACGTTTTCTTATCCCAAAATTTGTGTTATAATGAGGAAGTTTAAAAGTCCTAGCTATAGTATGTATCGGTTAAAATTTAGAAATTTTACCCAATCTTTTAAGGCTCAATTTGATGTTTCTGAGTATTCAATTACTCTGACCCTACCCTGACTTTCTCAACTCCTCCCTCTGGATCATCCACACCACTTAACCTCTGACTTTCTTTCTTTTTTTTTTTTTTTTTTTGAGATGGAGTTTCATTCTTGTTGCCCAGGCTGGAGGGCAATGGTGCGATCTCAGCTCACTGCAAACTCCACGCATCCCGGGTTCAAGCGATTCTCCTGACTCAGCCTCCTGAGTAGCTGGGATTACAGGCATGCACCAACACACCCGGCTAATTTTTGTATTTTTAGTAGATGTTTCTCCATGTTGGTCAGGCTGGTCTCGAACTCCTGACCTCAGGTGATCCACCCACCTTGGCCTCCCAAAGTGCTGGGATTACAGGCGTGAACCACCATACCTGGCTTCGACTTTGTTTATTTCTAATGGTCTTGATCCTCCACTTGAAACAGTGAGCTCACTAAAGGGAGGAACTTGTCTTAACTTCATTGTTTGTGAAATTCCCTTAGCATCAACTCCCAGATCTAATTAATAAACAATTCTTCCTCTGACTGAGTGTGAATTTTGGGAGTGCACACTTGGATGGTGAGGAAGATACACTTAAAACAACCACACTGACCTTGCAGTCTGCTGCTGACAGTAGGCTGACCAACTGTTTTGGTTTGCCTGCATGTAGCACTGAAAGCCCCAAGTCCCAGTAAAACTGGGATGGTTATTATCCTGATTTAACTATGAGGTCAGCTAACAGTATAGCCAACATATCTAAAGCCACAGTGGAGAAAATAGTCAGGTTATTAGGTGATATCAAAGAATTACTGCTAATTTTTTTGGTGTGACAATGGTATCATAGTTGATGATGAGTGTTTATGTATTCTATTTTTGTGCATGTGTGAAATGTTTCATAAAGTTTCATAAGAAAAAAAGATTTTAACTTAATGAATATTTGAGTGGACTGCAATTGTGCACTCACTACCATAATGGCCCTGTAATACAAAAGCTTCCAGGTGAATCAATGTAGAGTGATGTGGATGTGATCTATCCTGTCAGTCCTTGAAGATTTTAAAGGAAAATATGTTACCCAAGCATTTTAGCAATACCAGATACAGGGCCAAGCGTGGTGGCTCACACCTGTAAACCTAGCACTTTGGGAGACTGAGGCAGGCAGGTTGCCTGAGCTCAGGAGTTCAAGACCAGCCTGGCCAACATGGTGAAACCCCATATCCACTAAAAATACAAAAAATTAGCCGAGCATGGTGGCGTGCGCCTGTAGTTCCAACTACTCAGGAGGCTAAGCCAGGAGAATCGCTTGAACCCAGGAGGTGGAGGCTGCAGTGAGCCAAGATCATGCCACTGCACTCTGGCTTGGGTGACAGAGCAAGACTCTTATCTCCAAAAAAATAAATTTAAAAAAAAAGAATACCAGATACAAGAAAGAAAAAAAAAATCCTAATCCCATTACCATAATCAACCATTTTATACTTTCTCACATTCTCTTCAGGTCTTTTTGTCCATGTATTAGCAACTTCATATAGTTCAACGTTACATGTATGTAATTTCCACTTCTCCCTGTTGATTCTGTACGTTCTTCTCCAATCTTCATAATTATTTAATGGCTGTATCCTATTTCATCAAATCAATACACTAGAATATACTTATCAAGTTCCCTACTCCTGGACACCTAAGCTATTCCAAATGTCCTGTTATTATATTGTGATACAATGAATATTCTTGGGCATGTTACTTTTTTCCTTCCTAGGGATTTCTATCAGAAAAATTCTTGGCCGGGCAGGGTGGCTCCTGTAATTCCAACACTTTGGGAGGCTGAGACGGGTGGATCACGAGGTCAGGAGTTTGAGACCAGCCTGGCCAACATGGTGAAACCCTGTCTCTACTAAAAATACAAAAATTAGCCGGGCGTGGTGGCAGGTGCCTGTAATCCCAGCTACTCAGGAGGCTGAGGCAGGAGAATCGCTTGAAACCAGAAAGCGGGGCTTACAGTGAGCCGAGATCGCACCACGGCACTCCAGCCTGGGCAACAAGAGTGAAACTCTGTCTCAAAAAAAAAAAAAGAAAGAAAAATTCTCAAAAATGGAAATGTTTGTGAATACTTTCAAGACTAACAAACTGTGTTCTAAACTGCTTCCTAAAAAAGCTATATATTTGCTCAGTTACCAAACACTTGACACAGAGAAGGTAATTAATAGATACTTCTTCAATGAATGAATGATTTTCAACAAGGTTTTTTTGTTTGTTTTGTTTTGAGACGGAGTCTCGCTCTGTCACCAGGCTGGAGTACAGTGGCGCGATCTCACCTCACTGTAACCTCTGATTCCTGGGTTCAAGCGATTCTCCTGCCTCAGCCTCCCGAGTAGCTGGGATTACAGGCATGTGCCACCATTCCCAGCTAATTTCTGTATTTTTAGTAGAGACAGTGTTTCACCATGTTGGCCAGGATAATCTTGATCTCCTGACCTCATGATCCTCCCACCTCGGCCTCCCAAAGTGCTGGGATTACAGGCATGAGCCACCATGCCCGGCCCTTCAACAGGGTTTTAACAATTTATGCTGCAACTTGTGTTATACAATAGTGCCAGCTTTGAGCACTAAATTTTCAGTTTGGGCTGATAAATGGCATAAATAATGGTTTCTCAAGGTTAGTAGTTCTGTTTCTTGTAAAGTTGTAATTTGGAGGTAGGATTCTTTCCTCCTTCAACCACTACAGCTAAGTGGTTGTGGAACTCACTCTCAAGGCTAACATTTCTCTAGATGATTTTCTCCTAACTGCTTTGCTTCTACAGGTTTCCATTCACTCATTCTCAACTACAGAAACACTACAACTCAAATTTATCTTCTACTAAGTTGCCAGGCCAGTGTTTTTCAAGTATACACAAAATTCTTATACACTGACAAATTTAAGCTGTCACTCTGTTTTATAATAATCTAACGGTTTTGTTTCATTTCTTTACCTTTACAGGTAAATATTTTAGATTTTGTAAGCCATACAGTCTCTGTTGCAACTACTAAAATCTGTCTATGGCGAAATACACAGATACTCCATCATCCTATGTTAGCCTAAAGACCCCATGAAGAGATGTAGGCTGCTGAGCCTGGGCCACCAACCCACATCTCTCTCGGCCCCTCACTGATCACTCCCTGGTCAATGTAACATATTCCCTCAGAAATGGCACTCCTGGGGCGGGAGTGGTGGCTCACACCTGTAATCCCAACACTTTGGGAGGCTGAGGCGGGTAGATTACCTGAGGTCAGGAGTTTGAGACCAGCCTGACCAACGTGGTGAAACCCCATCTCTACTAAAAAAAATACAAAAATTAGCTGGGTGTGGTGGTGCATGCCTGTAATCTCAGCTACTCTGGAGGCTGAGGCAGGAGAATCGCTTGAACCTGGGAGGTGGAGGTTGCAGTGAGCCGAGATTGCACCACTGCACTCCAACAGGGGCAACAAGAGTGAAACTCCGTCTCAAAAAAAAAAAAGAAAGAAAGAAAGAAAAAGAAAAAGAAACAGCACTTCTCACACAGTCTTCCTCCTGGCACCATCTAGGTTCCCTCCACTTCTACCACTCACTGTCCACCTAGTCCTGCAGCTCCTAGACACCAATGCCTTTGCCTCTATTCCCCTTTAGCCACATGCCTGCAGTCCTGTTCAGTCTGTGGACCTTGGCATTATCAGAAAAAACTTTCTGCCTCTTAAATCTTAAACTTGATTATTCTCTTATCCAACTACAACTTTCTCCCTTATAGTACTTTTACTTCCTTCTCCCCAGAGACCCATTTGGCAGCTTCATCAAAACCTCCGGACCTGATGTATCAGATTCTATCCTTCTGCTACTCCTTCGCCACAAAACTAATGGTCACCCCACAAAGCAAAACCCCAACAGCCCCGTGCTCTGTGCTCACCTGTCAGCTACAGTACTACTGGAAGAGGTCATTTGATTGTGTCATCCATTGCCAATATATGTCAGCTGGACCCATAGCACCCCCTGCAACCATCTTCCACAAGTCTCTGTTGGCTCTCACCCATTCTTCACAGCAATTAAATCAAACCTTCACTGCTCTCCTAAAGCCCCACTTGTCTACTGGCGCTCAGCAAACCATTTACCCTGTTTCCCAGAGAAAACAGGCCAGCAGACAGGAAATCCCTCAAATATCTGTCCCCATTTACACACTCATGTGCATCACTACCTATCTTCATCTCCTTCATTTTCATGCTTGTGTAAGATGGGTCCTTCTTCACTTAAGTTAATCCCTCCACCTGGGATCTGAATCATCCTACCTTCCATGGGACCTTGAGCCATCAACTATTCTTCCTGCTTCTCTTTGACCCTTCCCCTTCTACTCACTCCTCTCAGCAATTTTAACCATGCTTAAGTTTTCCCCATGACCCAAAGACACACAACACCCCTCACCATCACCACTACCACACACCTTGCCAGATACTGATGTTGCTCTTTCCTTTTCTTCACAGGCAATCTTTTAATAAGTTGAATTATCTGTTTGCTTTTCTTGTATCATATTCATTCTCTAACCAACTGTAGTCTGGCTTCTACCCCCACCACTCCACTGAAATGCCCCTAGCATAGGTCACTAATGACCGGTTGGATACTAATTCCCATGGATGTTCCTTATTTCTTGATAATAAAAAGAATAATAATATGAAACATGTATATAGCATTTACTATGTGCCAGGACTGTTTTAAGTACTTTACACATATTTATTAATTTAATCCTCACGACACCCCATGGGTAGGTACTATCATTACTCCCTTTTTGCAGATGAGGAAACAAAGGTTCAGAGAAGCTCAAGTAACCTGTCCAAGTGTATTAATCTATTCTCACGCTGCCAATAAAGATATACCTGAAATTGGGTAATTTATAAAAGAGGTTTAATTGACTCACAGTTCTACATGGCTGGGGAGGCTTCACAATCATGGCGGAAGGTGAAGGAGGAGCAAAGTTATATCTTACATGGTGACAGGTAAAGAGGGCGTGTGCAAGGAAACTCTCCTTTATAAATCCATCAGATCTCATGAGACTTATGATCACAAGAACAGCATGTGAAAGACCTGTCCCCATGATTCAATTACCTCCCACCAAGTCCCTCCGACGACATGTGGGAATTATGGGAGCTACAATTCAAGATGAGATTTGGGTGGGGACACAGCCAAACCATATCACCAAGACTACACAATCTCTCTCTAAGCACTTGCCACTTTCCAGAAGGAAGCAGGGAGTCTATCTTTTCCTCCCATCTCTCTGACCTCTCTTGGTCTCTTTTTTGCTCTCTTCATCTTCTACCTTGATTTTGACATTCCCTATGATTTTGTCTTTTTGGCCCTCATCTCATGCTGTACAATCTCCTTAAGGTCATTCTGACTCATGGCTACATGCTAATGAACTCTTATCCAGGATGTACCACACACACCTCAAACTCGACAGGTCCCCAACTGAACTTGTCAACCCTAAACCTGTTCCTCCTCCCTTGTTTTCCTTCTTAATTAGAATGGTATCGGCCAGGCACAGTGGCTCACACCCTTAATCCTAGAACTTTGGGAGGCCAAGATGGGAGAATCGCTTGAGCCCAGGAGTTCGAGACCAGCTTGGGCAACATGGCGAAACTCTATCTCTACAAAAAATTTAAAAATTAGCCAGGTGTGGTGGTGTGCACCTGTAGTCTCTACTACTCAGGAGGCTGAGGTGGGAGGATCGCTCCTGCCTGGGAGTATAAGGCTGCAGTGAATTATGATTGCACCACTGCACTTCGGCTTGGGCGACAGTGCAAGACCCTGTCTTTTAAAAAAAAAAAAAGCAAAAAAAAAAAGCTATCTTCACTTATTCAGTAGATGAGGCTAGAATCTGGAAGACATTTCATTGTTTTTCCCTTTAGTTCCTGTACTCTGAGTTCCTTAAATTATTTATTTATATGTACATGGGTATATACACATATACCTTTATTCATTATCTCTCAATTCTTTGACTTGAGAATTATTCACTAATAATTCTGAATTACTCAATTATTCACTATCACTTGAATTACTCATTACCTCTCAATTCTCCTACACACTGACGTCACTCAGCTTATGCTTCCATACTACCCGTGCCCAATAGCCTTACCCATCTCTCTGCCCTTCTCTCTCTCTCCTGGATGCTCCAAAACTTTCTCTGCTCTACTGGCACTGATCTTTGCCATCATTTCACTTAAAAACTTTCAGCGGGGCCAGGCGTGGTGGCTCACGCCTGTAATCCCAGCACTTTGGGAGGCCGAGGCAGGTGGATCATGAGGTCAGGAGATCGAGACCATCCTGGCTAACAAGGTGAAACCCCGTCTCTACTAAAAATACAAAAAATTAGCCGGGCGCGGTGGTGGGCGCCTGTAGTCCCAGCTACTCGGGAGGCTGAGGCAGGAGAATGGCGTGAACCCGGGAAGCGGAGCTTGCAGTGAGCCGAGATTGCGCCACTGCAGTCCGCAGTCCGGCCTGGGCGACAGAGCGAGACTCCGTCTCAAAAAAAAAAAAAAAAAAAAACTTTCAGCGGTTCCCCAAAGCTTTAAGTATAAGTGAGAACTCTAGCATAGCCCATAAGACAATTTGCAACGTGGTCCTGCTTAAACATCCAGCCTCATCATTCAGCACTTAGTTGGAGGTGCACACATCTTGAAGAGAGAAGTTAGCTGCTCATTTTAAATATGCATGCAACCAGCTGCTACTTACCAAATCATTTTACATTCAAGTCACTTAATGCCACAAAGTCTGTTTATTTCTATAGATAATGATTTTCCTAAAATTTCCTCCTCCTTTTGGACCAAAGTGAGGAAGATTAATATTGGGAAATGCTGGTAAATTCACTTGGCAGAAGTTTACTGAGCACTCACCTCATAGAGGATGTGAGGTGTGGGAATATTAAATAGCTCTCAGGTTTTGCCTTCTAGTGAAAAAGAGATGGGTAGACAAAGCAGATGCTAACTTCCCTCTGATTTACAAATGCCCTGAGAGTACCACAATGGAGGCATCTGTTTCTGAGGTCTGGATGTGAATTAGCCGCTCTGAAGGCTAGTATGCAAAAGCCAATCACTTAGCTAGCAAACGAGCCTGGGTGAATACAAAATGGTCATATTCCAACACAACTTTCTTAAGGGTCTAAAAGAATCCCAGTTTTCATTTACATTTTAAACAACACATGGGAAATCATTTGTTAGAGTGGCATTTGCTAATTTGTACACTCTCAAATATCTCTGGTGAATACCAAAGGCCTACAATCTACTAAATAAATCAGCATGTGGTCCAAAGCAGGTGCAAGTGAGAAGCAACAGGAGGTTACCTCAGCCCAGATCAGGGAAGGATGAAGGATGCTGCATGTGTATTTGGTTTTGAATAGTGAGATCTTAAAATGGCAAAGATGGGACTGAGGGCCCTCCAGATGAACAGAATGACAACAGCTAAGATCCAGACAGGCAAATGGAAAGCACAATTGGGTAACTTCTAGAAAGCCAGCATGGTTGAAACAAACTTCGGTGGAGAAGCTTGAACTGCCTGGCTATAGTGTCTGGTGCTTCCTCCAGAGGCAAGAAGAGACCAGTGACATGAAGGGAAGGTGGGGAAATCCACACAGTCTGCAATCCCTGCCCTGTCCAACCATTCATACCTCTTCAAATAGAAATAATTCAGGTTTGAAATGTATCTGAAGAAGCATGCCAAGTTTTCAACACTTTCTGGAGCAACAAGTAAGGGTGAAAAGCTTTCACTCTGGCACAAGGCAAAGGTGACTAGCCATGACAAGCCCACTCAGAAGAGTGTGGCCAGAAATGCCCAGGGTAGGAATGATAAGTCAAGGGGAAGACAGTGCAGTGGGTTCCCACACTTGCCTCTCTTTTCAATCTGGGCTACCACAGGCTAAACATCTTCTGAGGCTTCCTGCTTCAGAAGTTCTGACCTACTTGCTGACAAGCCCAGTTACCCGACAAGGTGAAAATCATGAAGTTTCAAGTATTTTTCCCTCAATAATATTTGGGGTGGGAGGAGCTAGAGTAAAGAAGGGGAAGGGAACAAGGAAAGAAATGCAAAGCCACAGTTACCTTTCCTCGCTGCAGCCTCTTTCCTCAGTTTCCTCAATTTCTCCAAAGCCCGTAGAATGTCCACCATTCTTTTGGTATCTGCTTGTTTTTTCCTCACTTCAGATAGTACGCCATCAGCGGCTGCTTTGAGTTCCTGCTCCTGGAAGAGAAACAAAGCCCATGAGACCTCGTATTAGGAACAAACTTACAGCAGAGAATAGCTGCCCAGTGGTTAGATTTTAAAGGATCAGACAGTCTCCAGGTTAAGAGAGACTCTATTGAATCTCCATCCCAATTTCTTAGGCCTTGCACAACTCCCCTCTAGCTAAGAGGTTATCCCCCTCCACTGATGGTACAACCTTCATCTTAAAGGAGAACCTCTCCTCTCTGTATCTTCCACATAGCACTGGTTTTGTTTCTTCCTCAGTGTTTCTCAAAGTGTAGTGCAGAGATCAGGTGTCCAACTTACCTTGTTAAGCTGAGACTTGTTAAAAATGCAGATTCCCTAGACCTGAAGATTCAGATTCCCAGGAAGGATAAGGAATGTGGCTGGAAAGGCTGAGACCTCTACAAAGGTCTCTTAGTGACAACCTATGTTTGTGTTCCACTGCTCTAAAGTCCCAAGGATCTCTTCCACATGACAGCCTTTCAAATACCAAAGATTGCTGTCCTACTCTTGACTTAGTTCACATATAGACTAAATAACCCCAGTTCCTCAAGCCACTCCTCATAAGACTCTGTCACCAATATCCTCACCATGGAAGCTGGGCATAATGGCATGTGTCCCTAGCTATTCCTACTCAGGAGGCTAAGGCGAGAGGATCACTTTAAGACCAGGAGTTCAAACCTACAGGCTATGACAAACCCGCTGCACTCCAGCCTGGGCAACAGAGTGAAACTTTGTATTTTTTTTTTTTTTTTTTTTTTTTTTGAGACAGGGTCTCATTCTGTTGCCCAGGCTGGAGTGTAGTGGTGTGATCACAGCATCACCATGCCCAGTTAATTGTGTTTTTTGTAGAGACGAGGTTTCTCCATGTTGCCCAGGCTGGTCTGGAACTCCTGGGCTCAAGTAATCTGCCTGCCTCAGCCTCCCAAAATGCTGGGATTACAGGAGTGAGCCACTTCGCACCCGCCCCCAACCCTCTTTTTTTTTTTTTTTTTTTTTTTGAGATGGAGTCTCGCTGTTGTCCAGGCTGGAGGGCAATGGCGCGATCTCGGCTTACTGCAACCTCCGCCTCCTGGGTTCAAGCGATTCCCTGCTTCAGCCTCCCAATTAGCTGGGTTTACAGGCTCCTGCCACCATGCCCAGCTAATTTTTTGTATTTTTAGTAGGGACAGGGTTTCACCACGTTGGCCAGGCTGGTCCCGAACTCCTGACCTCAGGTGATCCGCCCGCCTTGGCCTCTCAAAGTGTTGGGATTACAGGCATGACCACGGCGCCCAGCCCCAACCCTGTCTCCTTAAAACAATAAAATAAATAAAATAAAAAGTTCACCATGGGTGGTGGAGAGAATCCTCTTGCCTAAAGTGCTCTCCCCCATCTGTCAAATAAGTGCCTGTAATTCCACCACTACAGCTACAGCCAACACCAAGCTGTTTCACTTCTCCATTTGGATTACTCTGTTTCCCTGGAACTGCACCTATTACCTTCACCTGGGTGACTTTTCCTTTAAGACTCAGCTTATAGCCAGGAGTGGTGGTGTGCACCTGTAATCCCAGCTACTCTGGAGGCTAAGGCAGGAGAATCGCTTGAACCTGGGAGGCAGAGGTTGCAGCGAGCCAAGACGGCATCACTGCACTTCAGTCCGGGCAACAGTGCGAGACTCTGTCTCAGAAAAAAAAAAAAAGACTCAGCTTACGTGTCATTGTATCATTTGGGAAGCATTCCCTCAGTAAATCAGATGTTCCTTCTTTGGGCTTTTACAGCACCTATAGTTGAATTCCTAACACACACCACGCTATACTGACATGATCTCCCACAGATCTCTAAGCCAGGGGTCAACAAACCCCAGGCCACGGATGGTAACCAGTCCATGGCCTGTTAGGAACCAGATCACACAGCAAAAGATGAGGCAGGCGAGCAAGTGAAGCTTCATCTCCATTTACAGCCACTCCCCCATTGCTTGCATTACCACCTGAGCTCCGCCTCCTGTCAGATCAGCAACAGCAGCATTACATTCTCATAGGAGCACAAAGAAGTGAACTGCGCATGGAAGGGATCTAGGTTGTGGGCTCCTTATGAGAATCTAAAGCCTGATGATTTGTCACTGTCTCCTATCACCCCCAGATGGGACTGTCTAGTTGCAGGAAAACAATCTCAGGGCTCTCACTGTTTCCACATTATGGTGAGTTGTATAATTATTTCATTATGTATTATAATGTAATAATAATAGAAATAATGAGGAAGAGGAAAGGGAACCCCAGAGGCAATCAAAGGTAATGAAAATGCCTTAGACGGCCAGGTGCAGTGGCTCACGCCTGTAATCCCAGCACTTTGGCAGGCTGAGGCGGGTGGATCACCTGAGGTCAGGAGTTCGAGACCAGTCTGACCAACATGGAGAAACCCTGTCTCTACTAAAAATACAAAATTAGCTGGGGTGTAGTGGTGCATGCCTGTAATCCCTGCTACTCGGGAGGCTGAGGCAGGAGAATCGCTTGAACCCGGGAGGTGGAGGTTGTGGTGAACCAAGATCATGCCATTGCACTCCAGCCTGGGCAACAAGAGCGAAACTCCATCTCAAAAAAAGAAAGAAAGAAAATGCCTTAGAAAACCATCTGAACAATTTCCAGTTTTACCCTGGCCCTGCTTAAAGAGTCTGAGATCAATACGCTTTGGAATTAGACAACTTGGGATCAAATATGGGAAACTGCCACAAACTCGTTGTGTGACTGTTGGCAAGTTAACCTCTCTATGCAACTTCCTAACCTGTAAAATTAGCATAATACTTCCTACTTCTCAAGGCTGTTATAAAGATTCAAAATCTGGTATATGTAATGACCTTAGCACACCTCTCTCTATATATACACAGATACATACATATATATACACACATACACATACATACATATATATACACATACATATATGTATGTGTATATATATGTATGTATGTGTATATATATATATATATATAGTAAATGCTCCGAAACACCATTGCTGAACCTGGGGATACATGGTTTAAAACTTGTAAACAAAAGAATCCTAGGGAAATCACTATTGCCCCATCAGCTAATTAGAGTATATATATTCCTTGAGGTAGGGTCCCCAAGTTCTCTATTTTTTTTTTTTTTGAGACGGAGTCTTGCTCTGTCGCCCAGGCTGGAATGCAGTGGTGCGATCTCGGCTCACTGCAACCTCCGCCTCCAGAGTAGCTGGGATTACAGGCGCCCGCCACCACGCATGGCTAATTTTTGTATTTTTAGTAGAGACGGGGTTTCACCATCTTGGCCAGGCTGGTCTTGAACTCCTGACCTCGTGATCCACCCGCCTCCGCCTCCCAAAGTGCTGGGATTACAGGCGTGGGCCACCGCGCCCGGCCTGTATTTTGTATTCTTAAAACCACCTAGGGCAGTACAAGACACAAGGAACTAGACACTTACTGGTTTTGAGAGTAAGTGGACAATGTTGGAGCAGGATAGGGGAGACCTGTCATTCGTGCAGTGCCACCGTGTAATCCTATACTTTGTGTTTACAGGATTTTACAGTGCACCTGGAACTTTTGTGTACCACACATCATTAACACAAAATTAACATGGTGGTATGAGCTGGGAAGGTTAGCTATCGCTTCATTTTGCGCGTAAAACAGAGGCTTAGCCCTGGGAAATGGAAGTTTAAAGCCTCCTGCTGCTCCAGGTTCCAACCACCACCACTCCTACCCCCATGAGCGGCCGCTGCTCTCACCCGCTTCTTCTCCTCCACCTCCTGCACACACTTCACCCTCCAGCGGTCAATCTCCTGCTCGCGTTCCACTGCCCGCGCGGCCTCTGCCTCCCGCTCGGCCTCGCGTTCCCGGGCCCTCTCGCGAAGCCGCAGCCGGCGGCGCCGGACCCTCTCCAGCCTCCTCCGCGCCTCGCCCACATAGGCAGCCTGGGTCAACGGCTGTAGCCGCTCGGCCAGTTCCGCGCGCAGCGGCGCGGTCTGGGAGTACAGCAGGACCCAGGCCGCGCCGTCGGCTTCGGCCTCGCGCAGGGCCTGGCTCAGGCCGCGCAGCCGCCGCACCAGGCGCAGAGCCCGGAGCAATCGCGCGCGCACTTCGCCAAGGCTGGGCCCGGCATGCGTGCGCTGGGGCACCGGACAGCCTGCCCGCCGCGGGGTCCCGAACACCGCCTCCAGCCACTGCCGGTCGCGCAGGCGTTGGAGGGCCGCATCCCCGAGCACGTCGGCCGGCGGCGGCGGCGCCTCAGGCCACCGCGGGCTCCAGGGCGGCCCCGGGCCGGGAGGCGGTGGCCGCGGCCGCTCGCCGGCGTCGGTCCCCGGGAAGGGCCGACACTGGGGCGGCGGAGGAGGCAGCGGCGGTGGTGGCACCGGGTAGAAGGCGCCAGCGCCGCCTCCGCCGCGGGAGGCCTCCGCGGAGGCTCGGGGCTGCAGAGCCAGCGGAGGCTGAAGGAAGGGGGCGGAGGCCCCCGGAAAAGGGCCGGGCCGCTGGGGGAGAGGCGGCGGGAAAGCCGGGGAGGGCAGCGGCGGTGGCGGACAGCCGAAAGGAGCAGGAGGCGGCGGCTGCGGGGGCGGTGGGCCTGGGCGACCCTGGCCGAAGAATGGTGGCAGGGCCATGTTCACGACGGAGATGCTTTGAGAAGTGACAGGAATCTGAGTGGCTCCTCATGAGAACCTTCCGACGGAAGTGACGTCGTTACGACGCGCGACCCCTGTAGACTCGTCCCTCCGGAAGGCTCAGTGCATAAGTGGGCAGTCGTTCAACCTTCTGTCGTTCAGTTCATAAATACCGTTCTTATTGAGCATCCTAGGTGCAGAGCTACCCACTCCGCATACAGTGAGACTGAGAGATACAGAGCTTCTCTTCGTGGAACTATCTGCCTAGTATAACACACTAATCAATTAATCATGGTGAGTATCTTCGAGAAGTTGGAGAAGGTTATCCTAAGAAACTGCGGCTGCAGCTGAGATCTGGAAGATAAATAGTTAAATAGAAAAAGAGAGGGAAGCACAGTGCAGATGAGAACATGTGCAAAGGCCCTAGTAAATAGGAGTGTGACCAACTACCCATTTTCTTAGAAAAATGAATTATTTTTACTTTTCTCCTTTCACCCCACCTCCTATTTAGCTCTTTAGGAATGCAATTATAGGGTGGGTGCTGTGGCTCACGTCTGTAATCCCAGCACTTTGGGAGGCCGAGGCAGGCGAGATCGGCCTGTAGTCCCAGCCATTGGGGAGGCTGAGGTGGGAGGATCACCTGAGCCCTGGGAGGTAAAGACTGCAATGAGCCACGATAACGCCACTGCACTCCACCCTGGGCGACAGAATGACACCTGTCAAAAAAAAAAATCCAATTAACCTTTACCTTCTCTCCACCAGACACTCTCTACACTGTAAGCTTATCTAATTATGTGTTCGCTTATTAGTTCCAAGGACCGAAGCTTAAACCAGGGACCTCTGGAACTTTCCCATACCAGGGGATTGCCTGGGGACAACTGTCAATTTACAACCTAGCTCCCCGCTACCCCCCACCCCCCCTCCGCCTTCGCCCCAGCCTCCATGGCGCCAACCAGATCACTGATGGATACATAGGAGCAAGTCCCATAGACCCAGCACCTCCTTGGTCCCTCCCCACCCCTTGCATGCCATCCAGGTCAACCAAGTCCCGTGCACCCCCCACTTTTTTTGAGACAGAGTCCCTCTGTCACCCAGGCTGGAGTGCAATGACGCACTCTCCACTCACTGCAACCACTGCATCCCAGGTTCCAGTTATTCTTGGTGCCTCAGCCTCCCTAGTCAGTTGCTGGGATTATAGACCCCTGCTGCCACGCCTGGCTAATTTTTGTGTTTTTAGTAGAGAGGGGGTTTCACAATGCTGGCTAGGCTGGTCGTAAACTCCTTACATCAGGTGATCCGTCCACCTTGGCCTCCCAAAGTGCTGGGGTTACAGGTGTGAGCCACCACACCTGGCCACTTTCTTTCTTTTTTTTTTTTTATGAGACAGAGTCTCCCTGTGTCGCCCAGGCTGGAGTGCAGTGGCGTGATCTTGGCTCATTGTAAGCTCTGCCTCCTGGGTTCATGCCATTCTTCTGCCTCAGCCTCCCGAGTAGCTGGGATTACAGGTGCCCACCACCATGCCTGGCTAATTTTTTTGTATTTTTAGTGGAGATGGGGTTTCACCATGTTAGCCAGGATGGTCTCGATCTCCTGACCTCATGATCCGCCTGCCTTGGATCATGTTGGGATTACAGGCGTGAGCCACCGTGCCCGTGGCAGTCACTTTCTTTTTACCATTCTCTTACTTGTTATTTGAATTTGCAAGCTGCAGGGAACTGGACCTGCCTTAGGTTACAGGACTATGTCTAGTGGGAAGCCTGATAGAATGCCAGTTTTGGCCTGTAATCCCAGCACTTTGGGAGGCCGAGGCGGGTGGATTGCCTGAGCTCAGGAGTTCAAGGCCAGCCTGGGCAATATGGTGAATTCCTGTCTCTACTAAAACACAAAAATTAGCCAGGTGTGGTGGTGCGTGCCCGTAATCCCAGCTACTGGGGAGGCTGAGGCAGGAGAATTGCTTTAACCCAGGACGTGGAGGTTGCAGTGAGCCGAGATCACACCACTGAACTCCAGTCTGGGAGACAGAGCGAGACCTTGTCTCCAAAAAAAAAAAAGAATGCGAGTTATGGATGGAGCTCTGAGAGGAGTCTGGTGATCCTGGTGAAGTGAAGTCCTAATGTCTGGGGTCTCATATCTTATGAACAATGGGAAACTATTTTGTTGTTGTTGTTGTTGTTTTGAGACCAAGTCTCACTCTTGTTGCCCAGGCTGGAGTGCAATGGCGCGATCTCGGCTAACCACAACCGCCACCTCCCAGGTTCAAGCAATTCTCCTGCCTCAGACTCCTGAGTAGCTGGGATTACAGGCACACACCACCATGCCCGACTAATTTTGTATTTTTAATAGAGACGTGGTTTCTCCCTGTTGAGGTTGGTCTCGAACTCCTGATCTCAGGTGATCTGCCTGCCTCAGCCTCCCAAAGTGCTGGGATTACAGGCGTGAGCCACTGTGACCAGTGGGAAACTATTGGTTTTAAACAAGAGGTAAAGAGAAGCCTGTGCCACCTGATTAGATTTTTAAAATTAAACTATTTTGAGACAATTGTAGATTCATATGGAATATGAGAAGTAGTAATACAGGGAGATTCTGTGTACCCTTTACCCAGTTTCCCCTAAGGGTAACATCTTGTAAAACTGTAGTACAGTATTGTCAGAGGCATTTGAACCAGAGTGACTCCATCTTGAGTGAGGGCTAGGAAAAGTGAAGCTGGGACTTGCTTGGCTGCATTCCCAGGAAGTTAGGTATTCCTAGCCTCTAGATGTTTATGGTTAAGGGAACAGACTAATAACATTTACTAAACAGACCCGTACTTAGGAGTGTCCTGAGATCCCGATATTTTGAGAATAGAAGCATTCCTAATTTTGCTTTAAAGATAATAATGTTGATTCTTGTAAAATATAGTAATTTAAAAAATTAATCCTTTATCACAAACCCTTGTGGCAGAGCACATCTCCCCATGATCTTTTTTTATCCTATATATAAGCAAGCATTCTACCTAGGGTGGACACGTTTCTCCTCTTACTTTCAGGAACGCCCTACTGTCTATGGAGTAGATATTCTTTCACCACTTTACTTTCTTAATAAACTTGCTTTTGCTTTGCACTGTGGACTTGCCCTGAAATCTTTCTTGCACAAGATCCAAGGACCCTCTGTATTAGTCTGTTTTCATGCTGCTAATAAAGACATACCTGAGACTGGGTAATTTATACAGGAAAAAGGTTTAATGGATTTACAGTTCCACATGGCTAGGGAGGCCTCACAATCATTTGGAATGCTGGGATTACAGGCGTGAGCCAGTGCACCCGGCCCCAGACCTCAATTCTTGACTTTTGCGCACCCGCAGGCTCAACACCATGTGGAAGCTGTGAAGGCTTGGGGCTTGCACCCTCTGAAGCCACAGCCCAAGCTGTACCTTGGCCCCTTTTAGTCACGACTGGAGTGGCTGGGACACAGGGCACCAAGTCCCTAGACTGCACACAGCAGCGGGACCCTGGGCCTGGGTCATGAAACCATTTTTTCCTCCTAGGCCTCTGGGCCTGTGTTGGGAGGGGCTGCCGCAAAGATCTCTGACATGCCCTGGAGACATTTTCCCTATTGTCTTGGAGATTAACATTCAACTCCTCGTTACTTATGCAAATTTCTGCAGCTGGCTTGAATTTCTCCTCCGAAAATGGGATTTTCTTTTCTATGGCATTGTCAGGCTGCACATTTTTTGAACTTTTATGTTCTATTTCCCTTTTAAAACTTGATGCCTTTAACAGCACCCAAGTCACTTATTGAATGCTTTGCTGCTTAAAAATTTCTTCTGCCAGATACCCTAAGTCATCTCTCCTAAGTTCAAAGTTCCACAAATCTCTAAGGCAGAAGCAAAATGCTGCCAGTCTCTTTGCTAAAACATAACAAGAGTCCCCCTTGCACCAGTTCCTAATGAGTTTCTCATCTCCATCTGAGACCACCTCAGCCTGGATTTCATTGTCCATATCATTATCAGCATTTTGGTCAAAGCCGTTCAACAAGTCTCTAGGGAGTTCCAAACTTTCCCACATTTTCCTGTCTTCTGAGCCCTCTAAACTGTTAACCTCTGCCTGTTACCCAGTTTCAAAGTTGCTTCTACATTTTTGGGTATCTTTTAAACAGTGCCCCACTCTACGGGTACCAATTTACTGTATTAGTCTGTTTCCACGCTGCTGATAAAGACATATTCAAGACTGGGCAATTTACAAAAGAAAGTGGTTTAATGGACTTACAGTTCCACATGGCTGAGGAGGCCTCACAATCATGGCGGAAGGCAAGGAGGAGCAAGTCACATCTTACATGGATGGCAGCAGGCAGAAAGAGAGCTTGTGGAGGGAAACTCCTCTTTATAAAACTATCATATCTCATAAGACTTATTCACTACCATGAGAACAGTATGGGGGGAACCACCCCCATGATTCAGTTATTTCCCATTGGGTCCCTCCCACAACACATGGGAATTACGGGAGTACAATTCAAGATGAGATTTGGGTGGGGACACAGAGCCAAATCATATCACCCTCTCTTGGGATCTGGATTGGGACCCCTTTCCAGTAACAATATTGAAACTGTAAACCCCCCAAATTTGAGACAGGTCTCAGTTAATTTAGAAAGTTTATTTTGCTGGCCAGGTGTGGTGGCTGTAATCCCAGCACTTTGGGAGGCTGAAGCAGGTGGATCATGAGGTCAGGAGTTTGAGACCACCCTGGCCAACATGGTGAAACCTCATCTCTACTAAAAAAAAAAAAAAAAAAAAAATACAAAAATTAGCCGGCTGTGGTTGCATACACCTGCAATCCCAGCTACTCAGGAGGCTGAGGCAGGAAAATTGCTTGAACCCGGGAGGTGGATGTTGTAGTGAGCCAAGATCACACCACTGCACTCCAGCCTGGGCAACAGAGCAAGACTCCTCTCAGGGAGGGAAAAAAAAAAAAAAGGTTGAGGACGCACCTGTGACACAGCCTCAGGAAGTCCTGATGACGTGTCCAAGGCGGTCAGGGCACAGCTTGCTTTTATACATTTAGGGAGACATGAGACATCAGTTAGTATTTGTAAGTACATTGGTTCAGTCTGGAAAGGTGGGACAACTTGAAGCAAAGGCAGGAAGACTTGAAGCGGGGAGGGCGCTTCCAGGTCACAGGTGATACACAAATGGTTACATTCTGTTGAATTTCTGATTAGCCTTTCCAAAGGAGGCAAATCAGATGTGCATCTATCTCAGTGAGCAGATAATTGACTTTGAATAGAATGGAGGCAGGTTTGCCCTAAGCAGTTTCCAGCCTGAGTTTTCCTTAGTGATCTTAGGGGCCCAAGATATTTTCCTGTCATAAAACCATCCCTAAAAAAACTTTTTGTGGAGTTTAGGGAAAAGGAGTGGGGCTGGCAGGACTGAGGGAGAGCAAAAAGGAAAGGCAGATAAGCTACAAGTCTGCCTTTCTTCATGGTTCAGGACACATAGCCCTCCTGCGCTCATATCTCACAATCTTCCTGTGCCCAGCTATCACCAGACCCTTGGCTTATAGAAAAATGCAAGTTAGCTAACTGCAACCTTGGTTGCAGTAATCAGTACTGCACAAAGCCCTCTTCAGCACACAGCACAAGCACCATTCTATAAAATCCCCAGCAAGCCTTTGTCTCCTCACAGTTAGCTCCTCTCTTGCTAACCAGCCCCTTGCACTCTTGCAATGTATTTTCATACTTTCTTTCATAAATCTGCCTTTCTTTACCTACAACTGTCTTGGTAAATTCTTCTTACTGCCCACACTGATACTGGCCTCAGATAGTCACTGCTCACCTGCAACGGTTTATAAAATCAATAGGAGGCAAAATAAAATCTAAGTAGGCTTATAGCACAATCAACAACAATCATTAAGTCGGCTTGCCTTCTGTCCCAGTTCCTTGTAGTTGGTCACTACTCTTACTACCCAAGGATAACTAGCTCTTGTCCTCACAAAAGTCTTTTTTATTTTCCTGTTCTATAGATAAAATCTAAGACATTGTTAGATATATTTTTCCATTGAGCATCTCCTTTAGATTCTATATACCAACAAAATTACCATGCCAGCTAGTCCGAAGGACCCAGCAAAAAGCTGACTAATGAAAGAAAAATTTCCACATCCTGATTTTAACCCCTGTATTAGTTCATTTTCTTTTTTCTTTTTTTTTTTTTGAGATGGAATTTCACTCTCGTTGCCCAGGCTGGAGTGCAATGGTGTAGTCTTGGCTCACTGCAACTTCTGCCTCCCAGGTTCAAGCAATTCTCCTGCCTCAGCCTCCCAAGTAGCTGGGATTACATGCGCCCGCCAACCATGTGCGACTAATTTTTCTATTTTTAGTAAAGATGGGGTTTCACCATGTTGGCCAGGCTGGTTGCAAACTCCTGACCTCAGGTGATCACCCACCTCGGCCTCCCAAAGTGCTGGGATTACAGGCACGAACCACTGCCCCTGGCCTATTAGTTCATTTTCACACTGCTATAAAGAACTACTGGAGACTGGGTAACTTATAAAGAGGTTTAATTGACTCACAGTTCTGCATGACTGGGGAGGCCTCAGGAAACTTATAATCATGGCAGAAGGCAAAAGAGAAGCAAGCACCTTCTTCACAAGGTGGCAGGAGAGAGGGTGAGCAAGGAGGGGAACTGCCAAACACTTTTAAACCACCAAATCTCGTGAGAATTCACTCTCAGAACAGCATGCAGGAAACTGCCCCCATGATCCAATCACCTCTTACCAGGTTCCTCTCTTGACATGTGGGGTCTTATAATTCAAGATGAGATTTGGATGGAGACAGAGCAAAACCATATCATCCACTTTACCCAACCAATCGATGACCCCAAATTTTCTAGTCCCTCACCCTCCACAACCCCCTTAAAAATCCTTGCCCAGAACCCTATGAGGAAACAGATTTCAAGCTTGAGAATTCCTCCTGCTTCCTTGTTTGGCATCTTGAGATTATTAAACTCTTCACTACATGAGCAAAGTTGTGTGTTGCAAATTATTTTTAATTTTTAAAAAAGGAAAAAAATTAAACTCTCCAGTACAAACCCAGTTGTCAGTGTATGTCAGATGTCTATTGCTGTGTAGCTGGCATACAAACCTGGCAGTCCTATTACATTATCAAAGTCAGGATATTGACATTGATACAAAACATGTCCATCACTACCAGTATTCCTCATTTGCCCTTTTATAGCCACATTCAGTTCTCTTCCTTAACCCATCTTCTCCTTAGCCATGAATCTATCCTCTACTTTTATAATTTTTATTATTTTATTTTATTTTATTTTATTTTATTTTTGGAGACGGAGCCTTGCTTTGTCACCCAGGTTGGAGTACAGTGGTGTGATCTTGGCTCACTGCAAACTCTGCCTCCTGGGTTCATGCGATTCTCCTGTCTCAGCCTCCTGAGTAGCTGGGATTACAGGCATGCGCCACCACGCCAGGCTAATTTTGTATTTTTAGTAGAGATGGGGTTTTACCGTGTTGATCAGGCTGGTCTCCAAATACTGACCTCAGGTGATCCCCCTGCCTTGGCCTCACAAAATGCTGGGATTACAGGTGTGAGCCACTGCGCCCGGCCCCCGCCTTAGCTTCTAGGGTAGGTAGGACTGCAGGCAGACACCACCATACCCTGCTAATTTTTAAAAATTTTGGTAGAGATGGGGGTCTTGCCCAGGCTGATCTCAAACTCCTGGCCTCAAGCTATTCTCCCACCTTTCCCTCCCAAAGGCCAGGAATATAGGCATGAGCTACTGCACCTGGCCAGGGTTTTTCTTTTGGCATAGCAAAAGTTCTTAATTTTGATGAAGTCCAATTTATCAGTTTTCCCTTTCTGGATTGTGCTTTTGGTGTCAAGTCCAAGAACTCGATGCTTATCCTTAGATCCTGAAGATTTTCTCCTGTGTTTTTTTCTAAGTTTTGTAGGTCTACTTTTTTTTTCTTTTTTGAGACAGTCTTGCTGTGTCTCCCAGGCTGGAGTGCAGTGGTGCGATCTTGACTCACTGCAACCTTCACCTCCCAGGTTCAAGCGATTCTCCTGCCTCAGCCTCCTGAGTAGCTGGGACTTCAGGCACCTGCCACCACACCTGCCTAATTTTTTTTTTTTTTTTTTTTTTTTTTTGAGACAGAGTCTTGCTCTGTCTCCCAGGCTGGAGTGCAGTGGCACAATCTTGGCTCACTGCAACCTCCGCCTCCTGGGTTCAAGCAATTCTCCTGTCTCAGCCTCCTGAGTAGCTGGGACTACAGGCGCCCTCCACCACGCCCGGCTAATTTTTGTATTTTTAGTAGAGACGGGGTTTCACCATATCGGTCAGGCTGGTCTCGAACTCCTGACCACAGGTGATCCGCCCGCCTCGGCCTCCCAAAGTGCTGGGATTAGGCATGAGCCACCACGCCTGGCCTCTAATTTTTGTATTTTTAGTAGAGGTGGGGTTTCACCATGTTGGCCAGGCTGGTCTGCAACTCCTGACCTCAAATGACCCACCCACCTCGGCCTCCCAAAGTGCTGGGATTACACGTATGAGCCACCGCGCCCGGCCACTTTTGTTTTGAGACAGTTTCGCTCTTGTTGTCCAGGCTGGAGTGCAATGGAGCGATCTCTGCTCACTGCAACCTCTGCCTCCCGGGTTCAAGCGATTCTGTCTCAGCCTCCCGAGTAGCTGGGATTACAGGCACATGCCACCATGCCCGGCTAATTTTTGTATTTTTAGTAGAGATGGGGTTTCATCATATTGGTCAGGCTGGTCTCGAGCTCCCGACCTCAGGTGATCCGCCTGCCTCGGCCTCCCAAAGTGCTGGGATTACAGGCATGAACCACCATGCCCGGCCTTTTTAAGACTGGGTCTGGCTCTGTCGCCCAGGCGCCATCTTGGCTTACTGCAGCCTCTGCCTCCCTGACTCAAGAGATTCTCAGGCCTCAGCCTCCCGAGTAGAGTAACTGGGATTACAGGCGTGCACCATCACACCTGGCTAATTTTTGTATTTTTTAGTAGAGACGGGGTTTCACCATGTTGGTCAGGCAGGTCTCGAACTCCTGGCCTCAAGTGATCCACCTGCCTCGGCCTCCCAATGTGCTAGGATTACAGGCACATGCCACCGCACCAGGCCATTTGTAGGTTTACATTGAAGTCTGTCATCCTTTTTTTTTTTTTTTTTTTTTTTTTAAATAAGAGGCCAGGTCTCACTATGTTGCCCAGGCTGGACTTGAATTCCTGGGCTCAAGGGACCTTCTTGCTTCAGCCTCTGAAGCAGGCAGGACTACAGGCATTTGACACCATGCCTGGCTTACGATCCATCTTCAGTTAGGCTCTTTTTTCTTATGGATGTCTAATTGCTGCAACATCACACTTAGATCTTCACTTTTCTGAGCACTGTTACTCTGAGCAAAGTAATTAGATGATGGACATGCCCCATTTCATATTTTTGTCATTTATTAAGCACTTTCTATGACAAGGAGCTGAAGACGGCAAGGTGAGTTGTTTCCTTATCTTCAAGGAGGATGACCTCTTGGGTCATACCAAGAAGAACCAGAGAGCCTGGCCCCACTCCCCAAGGGACCGATCAAACTTCTCAGAAACTTACTGTGATTCTACGTAATATTTATTTATTTATTTATTTACTTATTTATTTTTTTGAGACAGAGTTTCACTCTTGTTGCCCAGGCTGGAATGCAATGGCACAATCTTGGCTTACCGCAGCCTCTGCCTCCTGGGTTCAAGCGATTCTCCTGCCTCAGCCTCCTGAGTAGCTGGGATTACAGGCATGCGCCACCATGCCTGGATAATTTTGTATTTTTAGTAGAGACGGGGTTTCTCCATGTTGGTCAGGCTGGTCTGGAATTCCCGACCTCAAGTGATGCGCCCACCTAGGCCTCCCAAAGTGCTGGGATTACAGGCGTGAGCCGCCACGCCTGGCTCTACATAATATTTAAAGGCTTTTTGTTTGTTTGTGTTTTGTTGAGACGGAGTCTCGCTCTGTTGCCCAGGCTGGAGTGTAATGGTGCGATCTCGGCTCACTGCAACCTCCGCCTCCCGGGTTCCAGCCATTCTTCTGCCTCCGCGCCGCCACGCCCGGCTAATTTTTTTTGTATTTTTAGTAGAGATGGGGTTTCACTATGTTGGCCAGGATGGTCTTGATCTCCTGACCTTGTGATCCACCCGCCTTGGCCTCCCAAAGTGCTGGGATTACAGGCGTGAGCCACCGTGCCCAGCCAAAGGCTTTAATTTTTATCTTAAAAAAATTTTTTTTTTAAGACAGAGTCTTGGCTTATCGCCCAGGCTGGAGTGCAGTGCTGTGATCTAGGCTCACTGCAACCTTCACCTCCCGGGTTCAAGCAATTCTCCTGCCTCAGGAGAATATATAGGGTCTCACTCTGTCACCCAGGCTGGAGTGCAGTGGCACGATCACGACCTCCCTGCGCTCAGGTGATTCTGTCACCTCAGCTTTCCGTGTAGCTGGGAATACAGGTGTGAGCGAGCCACCACACCTGGCTAATTTTTATTTTTTATAGAGATGGTGTTTTGCCATATTGCCCAGGCTGAACTGGAACTCGTGGGCTCAATCAATCCACCTGCCTCAGCCTCCCAAAGTGCTGGGGTTACAGGCATGAGCCACTGCACCTGGCCCATTCTTTTCTATTTGTCCATTGATGCACTGGTACAAACTTAAATTTTTAAAGCTCTAAAAATACACACACACGGCCGGACGCGATGGCTCATGCCTGTAATCCCAGCCCTTTGGGAGGCTGAGGCGGGTGGATCACCTGAGGTCAGGAGTTCGAAACCAGTCTGACCAACATGGAGAAACCCCGTCTCTACTAAAAAAAATTAGCTGAGTGTGCCCACGCCTGTAATCCCAGCTACTCGGAAGGCTGAGGCAGGAGAATCACTTGAACCCGGGAGGCGGAGGTTGCAGTGAGCTGAGATCGGGTCATTGCACTCCAGCCTGGGCAACAAGAGCGAAACTCCGTCTCAAACAACAACAACAACAACAACAAAAACAAAAACACACACACATTTTGAGACAGGGTCTAGCCCTGTTGCCCAAGCTGGAGTGCAGTGGTATGATCCAGCTCACTGTGGCCTTCTGGGCTCAAGGGGTCCTCCCACCTCAGCCTCCCAAGTAGCTGGGACTACAGGTGCATGCCACCATGCCCAGCTAATTTTTTAAATTTTTTGTAGAGACAGGATCTCACCATGTTGCCCAGGCTGGTCTCAAACTCTTGGGCTCAAGCAGTCCTCCTGCCTCGGCCTCCCAAATTGCTGGGATTACAGGCGCGAGTCACCACACCTAGTTATAAAGCTTTGTATTTTAAATATAGCTAGTAGAGGAGGCAACGAGAGGGATAGCATTAGGACAAATACCTAATGCATGCAGGGCTTAAAACCTAGATGATGGGTGCAGCAAACCACCATGGCACATGTATACCTATGTAACCTCCACGTTCTGCATATGTATCCCGGTATAAATAAAATAAAATAAAATAAATTTAAAAAAAAGGTAGTAGAGGCAGTCCCTCCTCTTTCTTGTTACATGTAGGATTCTGGAACCGGTCTACCTGGGGTTAAATCCTGGCTCTGTTACTTTGTGTGAGCTTGGGGAAGCTACTTAACCCCTCTGGGCTTCAGTTTCTTTATGAGAAGACTTGATTGTAGTATCCACCTCGGAGTTGTTACATTAAGCACTATGTAAGTGTACTTTTTCACTTTGCTTGTTCACCATTCTTCCATATGAACTTGAGAATCAGCTTGCCTGACTTCAATGTAAAATTTTGGCGTCTTATATATATTATTTATAAAATAATTTATAATTTTATTATTTGTAATTTATAAAAAGTATATATTACTTGCCGGGCATGGTGGCTCACGCCTGTAATCCCAACACTTTGGGAGGCCGAGGCGGGTGGATCACAAGGTCAGGAGATCGAGACCATCCTGGCTAACACGGTGAAACCCGGTCTCTACTAAAAATACAAAAAAAAAAAAAAAATTATACGGGCGTGGTGGCGGGCGTCTGTAGTCCCAGCTACTCAGGAGGCTGAGGCAGGAGAATGGCGTGAACCTGGGAGGTGGAGCTTGCAGTGAGCTGAGATCGCGCCACTGCACTCCAGCCTGGGCAACAGAGCAAGACTCCGTCTCAAAAAAAAAAAAAATATATAAATATATATATAAAATATATATATAAATATATATATAAATATATATATAAATATATATATAAATATATATATAAATATATATATAAATATATATATAAATATATATATAAATATATATATAAATATATATATAAATATATATATAAATATATATATAAATATATATATAAATATATATATAAAACATAAAATATTGGCATTTTATTGGACTATTAAATTTATAAATTTAAGGATAATAGACATTTTTATAATAACGAGTTTCCCCACTGAACACAGGATAACACTTTTAATCAGATTTGCAAAAATACCTACCCATTCACTTCTTCCACTTCCACTACTTTAGCCCAAGCCATCATCTTTTCCTTGTCCTCTTAGTCTGTTCTCTCACACTGTAACCAAGTATCACTTCTTTGTGCAAAACCTCCTGACAGCTTCTCATTTATGAGTCAAAGCCTGGAGCCAGGTACGGTGGCTCATGCCTGTAATCCCAACACTTTGGGAGGCCAATGTGGGAGGATGGCTTGAGCCCAGGAGTTCAAGGATGTTGTGATCCATGATAGTGCCAACTGCACTCCAGCCTGGGCGAGTGAGACCGCACCCTCCCCGCTCCCATCTCTTAAAAAGAAGAGTCAAATCTCAGAAGGGAATTGGAAAAATGCAAGACCAACTTTTAGTTGTGCTGCAGAAGAGAAGCAGCTGGGCAACAGGTGGAGAGGATTTGGGTTCAAGGAAGTTGTTTTGTTTGTATGCTGATGAGAACTAACCTCAAAAAGTGGAGGAAATTGTTGAACTAGGAGATAGAAGGGCAAGTGCTGAAGAAATGTTTTTAAGTAGGCCTCCAGTCACGTTTCCTTCCATTCATTTTCCTGAGCCTGCCCCCAACAATTTAAAAGGGACATCTGATCATGTTCAACTCCCCTGCTAAAACTTTCAATAACCCCCCACTACCTTCTGTAAAAACTTACAATTTAACCTGGCATACAAGACATTCCATTCTTTTTTGTTTTTTTGAAACAGAGTCTCGCTCTTGTCACCCAGGCTGGAGTGCAGTGGCGTGATCTCAACTCACTGCAACCTCCACCTCCCAGACTCAAGTGATCCTCTGTCCTCAGCCTCCTGAGTAGCTAGGATTACAGGTGCCCCCCACCATGCCCGGCTAATTTTTGTACTTTTAGTAGAGATGGGGTTTCATCACGTTTGGCCAGGCTGGTCTCGAACTCCTGACCTCAGGTGATCCACCCGCCTCATCCTCCCAAAGTGCTGGGATTACAGGCATGAGCCACCATGCCTGGCCATTCCATTATTTCTTTAAAAATGTATGGGGTACCAGATGTATGTAGCACTATGGTAGGTGCTGGTTATAGTTAACAAAACAGGCTGGGTCACCATCTTTGTGGAACTTATGGTGTAGTTGGAAAGATACGTAAATAAGCTTGGGAGATTTGCTATAGGACAGGAAATACTAAGCAGTGTTTGGATGCCACTGGGAATAATTCAGAAGGAAGGACACAGATACTATAGTAGAGACATGATCAAAAGAATTAAAGGCCTTGAGAAATGAGAGGGGATGATGAGACCCAGAGCATGTGGGGAGTGACTGAGTTTTGTAGGAGGGATACTTCAGTTGTAACTAGAGAGAAAGGTTGAGTGATGGAGTAGATAGATTTATAGATGGTGGGATGATGAATTCCATCAATGGTTTTTCAATGAAATGTGAAGCAAGATCCTTAGCTAGATGGAGAGGAGAATATTAAATGGTCATTTCAGAGTATTAACAAGAAGTTACAGTTGTTGCTTATTTCTTACCTCCTACAGCTTCCTAGTTGTTGTTTTACACTTCTGAGATTTTGATTTAGTTCTCATTATTCTTTTCTGGCAAATTTCTACTTGTTCTTCCAGACTTATCTAGGCCATCACTTTCTATGTCACCACACCTGGTACCTATCTCACTTCCACTATTAAAATACACTTTAGTTTGTATTTGTTTCCCCTACAAGACTAGTAAGATTCCTGAAAAACTTGGCCTGTGTCCCTAGTGTCAAGCGGGACATTTAAGTAAGGATTTTTGATAAATGTTTAACAGACATTGTCTGTGGAATCTACAGCTAGAATTTATCTGATATGGAAGTGCCAAGGATTAATCAATCCCTAGAATGAAGCAGCTCATATGACATCTGTGCCCTTTTAAAAATGGCACTGTTTGGCTGTGCTTGTTGTTGTCAATGCAGAGTGCTCCTGCACCATTGCTGTATGGACACACCACCACGTTGGCTTTCATTTAGTCTTTTTGTTTTATTCAAATGTCAAAATGTAAGTTCCAAGATACAAATTATGTTTGATTTAAAAACATCGACTATGCTTTGTTAACAACTTCCAAAGCCAAATGTAAGTTGTTGTGACTAAAATGCCTCCCCAGTACATTTCTGGAGGATTAACCTTAATATGTTTAGCAGCTAGTCTGATTTCCACTCTACAAAAAGGAAAATGATGCTATAAGGGAAAGATAATGAACAAAGTTATAATATGTAAGACTTCCTGGGAAGAACTTGAACCATTACTAGGGAGACCAAGGAGAGGTGTTTCTGTTCCATACTATAGCAACCAGCCTTAACACTCTGTAATACAAAGTGCATTTCTGGTCCTACCCAGCCATAAATACCATACATCCCTTTTATTAATTATATCAAAGAAAGCCCAACTCTTCATCAACAAGATTTAGAATTTCCTAATAGCTTTAGTTTTTCCCTAAAAAAAACTGTGTAAAAGGAAAGCTCGAGTCTATAAACCAAAAAAAAAAACCCACAAATATTTACATGTACTCTGATTTAAACAATTTCAAATGAGATTAAACTGAATGAATATAGAACTTGTACCACCATTATAGAAGGAAAGAAAAAAAGCTTAAAAGGTACCCAAATATTTTAATATTTATGGAATTAAATGATACAATTTTCATTAAGACCCCAAATATCCCACCACTTTTTAGCTTTGCTGTATAATGAAGGTTAGTAACTTATATGTTAGTGTGAACACATTTACTTTGGCTGATAGCAAAACATAGATTTTTTAAAATGTTCTAAGAAGCCAAAGAATTAGACCAAAATGTTCAGCACCAAAAAACAAAACAAAAAAACTAGCTCAATACTTCAGGTTAAATACACAATATCAAGAAATTTTATTTAGGTCAGCACATGGCTGTTACTATGACTGATACTGCATGCTATTTCTAGAATTAGATATGTATCTTTCTGGCTGGATGCGGTGGCTCATGCCCGTAATTCTAGCACTTTCAGAGGCCAAGGTGGCCGATTGCCTGAGCTCAGGAGAGACCAGCCTGGGCAACATGGCGAAACCCCGTCTCTACTAAAAATACAAAAAATTAGCCAGGTGTGGTGGTGCACGCCTGTAGTCCCAGCTACTCAGGAGGCTGAGGCATGAGTATCGCTTGAACCTGGGACTCAGAGGTTGCAGTGAGCCAAGATTGTGGCACTGTACTCCAGCCTGGGTGACACAGCGAGACTCTGTCTCAAAAAAATAAAATAAAATAGATATATAACTTTCTGAAGATTTAAGCCAGACTTCAATTCCATGTACTCACCCATAGTACTAAAATGGATTAAAGATGGTAAATAAGGCCGGGTGTGGTGGCTTACGCCTGCAATCCCAGCACTTTGGGAGGCTGAGGCCAGCAGATCACAAGGTCAGGAGTTACAGACTAGCCTGGCCAACAGGGTGAAACCCTGTCTCTACTAAAAATACAAAAATTAGCCAGGTGTGGTGGTGCGTGCCTATAATCCCAGCTACTTGGAAGGCTGAGGCAGGAAAATTGCTTGAACCTGGGAGGCGGAGGTTGCAGTGAGCCAAGATCGCACCACTGCACTTCAGCTTGGGACAGCGTGAGACTCCGCTCAATTAAAAAAAAAAAAAAAAAAAAGATGGTAAATAAATCAGACAACTTGGTAAGAAAATGGCCTTTTTTACAGAACCAATTGGGAAGTTAGTGTCATGCATTAGCAGATAAGACTAGGAATACAGCTAAACCAATTATCAAAATATAGTTCTTCAGGGTATTTTTCAATGAAATGTTTAACTACTTGAAAACTACCTGGTCCAATTTTTTGTTTTCGCCCTGAGACGGAGTCTCACTTTGTCGCCCAGGCTGGAGTGCAGTGGCACAACCTCAGCTCACTGTAAACTCTGCCCTCCGAGTTCAAGCGATTCTCCTGCCTCAGCCTCCCGAGTAGCTGGGATTACAGGCACCTGCCACGGCACCCAGCTAATTTTTCATATTTTTAGTAGAGATGGGGTTTCACCATCTTGGCCAGGCTGGTCTTGAACTCCTGACCTCGTGATCCACCCGCCTTGGCCTCCCAAAGTGCTGGGATTACAGGCGTGAGCCACCACGCCCGGCCTACCTGGTCCAATTTTTAAGATGAATAAAATTCCAATATTTTCAGAAACACATGTGGGTAAAAAAGGTAACACTAAAGAATGGTATCTCAATATTCAATTTTAAAGAATTTATTTTCCCATTTGTAGAGTAACATTATTGTAAAATCTACAGTTATCGCAATACCTGCATTGCTTAAAAGAATTCCTAAGAATTTTGTTAAAGCATATTTTTTTTAAAAAACTGAACCAAAATAATGTACATTTTATCTCTAAACATTGTGTCATTAAAGTCCATATAACATCTTCCGTAAAATCAATGTGATGTTACAATTATATACATGATCTGATTCTTCTCCTAAAGGCTTCTCTGACCATGTATGATATCCAAGATAGATCCAATGCCTTTAATATCAGACTGTAGAGACAATTATGATCCTAAACAAAAGAAGGAAAAGCTGTATATACAAGACAGCAATATGACAGTTTAGCTGTTTGCAGCATCTGCTTGGCGGGGCCATCCTTCTTCTTCAACTCCAGAGTCATACTCCTCTTCAGAGGATTCTTTTGTTGGAGCCCTACAATGAAAAGCCATGTTTGTTTTTTTAAAATAAAAAATGGAGGTAAACATGATCTTTAAAATCAAAACAGCAAAGTAACCTCTCCTAGCTAAGAAAGCCACGATAATAGAAAATATTAGGAGCACTTTTAATATTAAGACGGCTTAGGCCGGACACAGTGGCTCACATCTGTAATCCCAGCATTTTGGAAGGCCGAGGAGGGCTGATCACTTGAGGTCAGGAGTTCGAGACCTGCCTGGCCAACATGTTGAAACCCCATCTCTACTAAAAATACAAAAATTAGCCGGGTGTGGTGGCACACACCTGTAGTCCCAGCTACTCAGGAGGCTGAGGCAAGGGAATCGCTTGAACCCAGGAAGTGGAGGTTGCAGTAAGCCGAAATCATACCACTGCACTCCAGTCTGGGCGACAGAGCAAGACTGAGTCTCAAAAAAAAAAAAAAAAAAAAAAGATTGCTTAGTAATATGGGAAACAGACTATACAACCAAGAGTTGCAAATAAACTTCCCAGCATTTTCCCTGACAAATTTATTACTGGGAGAAAAAAAAAAAAAAAAAAAAAAAAGGACAATATGGCTTCAATTGTGAAGGCTTAAAAAATCCTCTTCTCCAAGAAAGTATCATCTGTTATTTCAACTCAAATGCTGGAACTTAGCATATGTATATGGTAAAGAAGCTATTTCTGATCACATCCGTCTTGTCTCGAACTAGTAAAAATGATAATTCAGGTCACCACAATTCCTTTAAAAGCCATACGTCAATGTCATTAAACAATAAAAATAAAAGATTATATCTCTCTGGATAACTAAGGTTGTTCAAAACACATCAACTGCCTCTAAAGTTATCTTGGAACACAAGCAAACATAAAACATAACATACCTTATGATTTGAGTTAAACAGAAACCTAGCTTTTGTGTAGGTAACATTAATGTCAAGCATTGCATAGTAAACATTTATTGAATAAATCAGGGGTTAGGAAACTGTAGCTTGCTAGCCAAATCCAGCCCCATTGCCTTTTTTTATATATTTTTTGAGACTGAGTCTCACTTTGTCGCCCAGGCTGGAGTGCAGTGGTGCGATCTTGGCTCATTGCAACCTCCGCCTCCTAGGTTCAAGTGATTCTCCTGCCTCAGCCTCCCGAGTAGCTGGGACTACAGACGCACACCACCACGCCCAGCTAATTTTTGTATTTTTAGTAGAGACAGAGTTTCACCATGTTGGCCAGGATGGTCTCTATCTCTTGACCTCGTGATCCGCCCACCTCGGCCTCCTGAAGTGCTGGGATTACAGGTGTGAGCCACCACACCCGGCCTGATGATCAACTTTCAAAGACTCACAAAATACTATTATTTTATAATACCCAAATTAGATTTTTCTACAGAAAACTTGAGATTATTGCTTCCCTTAGAAATATAATAATTTTTATGTAATTTTAAAATGACAAACCAATAAACATAGCAATGAGGAGCTCATCTTAAATTTTGTATCTGTTCTGGCTTGAAAATACACTTTACCGGATGTATCCTGGTTCCTTTTTTCCTTCTACTACTTCTTTGTCAACCTCCACACATACGATATCAGAATTAGGGACTTCAAACATTGGTTCTAGTAACAGCTTTTCCTAAAGAAATAAAAAGTAATGAATCACATTGAAAACAGATTACATACAAGTGCTTTTATTCTATAAATCACAAATTGGAATCCATTCACTCAAGGAAAAAGAAACAAACAAAACAAATATATATATATATATAAACATATATATGGGATTATATATATAAACATATATATATATATATTTGGGATTATAGCTGTGATTACAGGCGTAAGCCACCAAATCTGGCCAATTTTTTGTATTTTTAGTAGAGATGGGGTTTCGCCATGTTGTCCAGGCTGGTCTTGAACTCCTGAGCTCAGGCAATCCGCCTGCCTCAGCCTCCCAAAGTGCTAGGATTATGGGCATGAGCCACCATGCCCAGCCTCTTTTTTTTTGTTTGTTTGTTTGTTTGTTTGTTTTGAGAGATGAGGGTGTATGTTGCCCAGGCTGGTCTCAAACTCCTGGGCTCAAGCAATCCTCCTGCCTTGGCCTTCCAAAGTGTTGGGATTTATAGGTGTGAGTTACCAGGCCCGATCCCGATTTTCTGTGTCATTAATCATATTATGTCTATGTCCTTTGTTGCAAACACCTTGAAGTTCCTTTTTGAGAAAAAGCAAAATATAATCTACTGTGACTAAAAAAAAAAAAAAATTCAGGCCAGGCGTGGTGGCTCACGCCTGTAATCCCAGCACTTTGGGAGGCTGAGGCAGGCAGATCACCTGAGGTTAGGAGTTTGAGACCAGACTGGCCAACATGGTGAAACCCCATCTCCACTAAAAATACAAAAATTAGCCAGGTGTGGTGGTTCTTGCCTATAGTTCCAGCTACTTGGGAGGCTAAGGTGGGAAGACTGCTTGAGCCTCAGCCTGGGAGGTGGAGATTGCAGTGAGCCAAGATCGCACCACTGCACTCCTTTATTTGAGACTCTGTCTCAAAATATATATACATATTTTCCAAAAGAAAAACAGGGAAGCTTAATATACTCAAAACTCAGACCAAGAAATAATTGTTTTTATAGAATAATGCCAACTCACCATTATGGACCGAAGGCCTCGTGCACCTGTTTTTCGTTCTAGTGCCAATCTGGCTATAGCTTTCAAAGCATCCTCAGTAACATTCAGTTCACACTACAAATACATTAAAAATAAATTATAACTTTTATTGTTAATTTGTACCACCAGAAAATGTACCATTAAGTGAGGGCACAATTTCTCATGGTGTTTTGGAACCCTGCCTTCAAGAAGCACTTGTTTCTATCAATCCATGACAGTATCAGTATTATGAATTCCAAGTTTGTTCTGAAGCTTGAAGATGTTTTCTAGATTAACACGGACTCCCTAGGATTTTTTTCAACATTTACTAAACCTCTGTGTGTTACATACTAGGGATTTAATGATGAATAGACATCATCTTTGCCAAGCAACTTACAGTCTATTGTGTGATGACAGATGACAGATTAGCAAACTAGCATTTATAGTCCAGTGTATGTACATGGAGCTAAGGGAGCAGCAAAGGGGGAGACATCTAAATAAGACTAGGGAACCACCGGAGGATTTTAAGCAAGGGAGTAAAAACATTAGCCTTATCTTTAATCATTCAATAAATATTTAAGAACTTAATATCTATTTGTTGGGCACTGTTCTCAATGATCCATTCCAGAAGTAAAGAGGAAGATAATGATATTTTGGTGATAGTCACAGACAGACATGAGACAGGCAGACCAATTAAGAACTAAATGCATGGGTCAAGGTGAATAATATCAAAGGGGCTTGACTTGAGGCAGTGGCAACGGAGAAGAAGAGACTGATATTTAGAGACACAAAGTTCACAAAACCCAAACCATTTGTTATCCAATTGGGTATGTGGGCTAGGTGTTTGGCTACAGAGAAGTATATGTGGGATTAATAAAACTCTATTTTGGCAAAATAATATAAAAATATACACAGTATGTCACAACAAAAGCATTTAGAATACCAAGACTGAAAGGACAATCCTGTATGTCTGGCTTGGAGGTGTTGAGGTAAGCTAATGGCATTATTTTTCTTGGGCTTTAGGCTATAATGATGGTTTTAATTCAGAAAAAATAAAGACAACTCCTAAATTCTAACATAATACAATATGCCTTCCTTGATTCCTAGATCCATATTTAGTAAGGAATAGGCTGGTATTCTAGATGAGCAGAATTTGTTTTTGTTGTTAGGTTAATTTATGTAGAATTTCAATAGCAAGAAAATAAAAAATAACTAAGTACAAAAAATAAAAATCTAACCTTATCCATGCTGAATAAGGCCTGGTACTGAGGAATAACAGCATTTCGTGGCTCAGTTAATATTTGTACAAGTGTTTTCTCATCTAGGCTATGCAATGGAACCACCACAGGCAACCGTCCCACAAACTCAGGAATCATGCCAAACTCAATCAGATCTCTGGCTTCCACATGACGCAATAACCGATCTTTTTCTTCAATGTCTTGGTGAGTATTCGATTCCCCACTTCGATTAGCAAGGTCTGCAGCAGCTGCAGCCCTTCTGCCTTTTCCCAGATTAGATGGTGTTCCAAATCCAAGATACTGCCAAAGAAATGATGCATATTTATAATTAGTAGAATCAAATGATAGTGTATTAAGTACTTTTCCTACATATTTCATATGATCTTTGTAACAACTCTATGAAGAAGGTTTTATTATCATTTACATTTTACAAAGGAAAAAAACAGGCTTAGAGAGTTTAATATCTTGACCAAAATCTTATTGCTGTAAGTGGCAAAGCCAGAATTTGAACTCAGGTCTGTCTGCCTTAGAGTTCTTGGCTCACTGCAACCTCCGCCTCCTGGGTTCAAGGGATTCTCCTGCCTCAGCCTCCCGAGTAGCTGGGATTACAGGCACCCACCACTACTCCTGGCTAATTTTTTGTATTTTTAGTAGAGACAGGGTTTCATGTTGGCCAGGCTGGTCTTGAACTCCTGAGCTCAGGCAATCTGCCCACCTTGGCCTCCCAAAGAACTGGGATTATAGGCATTGAGTCACCGCACCCTTCCCTGTATATTTCTGATATGCTCTAAGAAAACCCAACTCTTATAATTAAAACTATGACTGGTAGCCCGCAGATATGAGAATGGAAACTGAGTGTACATCCTTTAAATGCTCTCTATCCTTCTAGTAACCCCTCAGAAAAACTTACCTTTTCATTTTTCCTCCTGCTGATGATTCTGTCTAAACCATTGAAAGCACCAGATGCCACAAACAGGATGTTTGTTGTATCAACTTGAACTGTTTCTCCACGGAGCTTTCGGGAATTCTTTTCTGGAACATTGACTATTGTGCCTTCTAGTAGTTTTAATAAGCCCTAAATAAAGAACAAATGATTTATAGCATCACCATATAAGCACATTATTTATTATACTTTAGACAATAGGATTAAATGGGGAAAACAATATGTGATTATAGTCAATGCACATACCTAATGAAACTCCCACATTCCTATAACTAACAAGAAAATCTAATGCATTTATCACATTAATAATTAATACATTTATTTGAAATGGTTACAGAACTTGATGCATTGTAATTCAGGAAAACAGTCAACCTGAGAGGTTGTTTTTGATAGTAAAGACATAATTCTGACATAAACACAGAATTATGACTGTATAAAATGGTGTTCAAGCACGGTGGGAACATTCAAAATTAGAAAATAGTTGAAGATATGTCTTTCACATAAATTAAAATTCTATTCCACTTACAGTATTAAACTTTGAGACTACCTATATTTGGAGATGCTTTTATAAAAAAAAATTTCCAGCACGTAAGTGTGATTATACCTATGTCTCTGTCAAAAAGTGAAACAATTTTCCTCACCCTTTAATAGTTTATGTCATAATTAGTTATCATTAAAAGGTCAAGTTGGCCAATAGATCATTGTGACTTCAATTATGGCTCTGCAAGGAATTAAACATTATTTTATACCTATCTTCTAAATAAGTGGAAGGAATAAGAAGCATGTACATAGTTCATTCATGTCTAGTTAGAATCATAACTTTCTTCAAAAGTCTTCTAGAAATGTTTAACTGGGCCTTTGAGGAATAAAAAAAAAAGATTAAATTTCATTTTTTCTGTTCTTCAAAATATTTTAAATTTCCTAACAAGGTAATTTGTTATTTCAAATTGTCAACAACTTTCTTTTAGGATCTAAACTACTTCAAAATGATATGTGGAGTTTGGGGGCGGAAGAAATAAAACAGAATCTAATTGAATGTGAAACCAAACGTACAATATTTGGGAGGTTGATGTATTCCCTTCCTTTTAGTGGGCTTGAACAAAATACTCAACTGCTTACTTGCTGAACGCCTTCTCCACCTACATCCCGTAATTGATGAATGCCTGGCACACTGCCAATCTTATCTACTTCATCCAGAAAGACAATTCCTATAATTTAAGGAGGATTCTATTTATAATACGAAAAAGATATACACAAGATAGCCTCAGCTTTAAAATACTTAGGTAGCTAGAGAACAAAGTTATTTGATCTTTCATACTTAACATATCCAATAGCTTGACATTATAAAAATGCACTTTTATTTCTTCCATCCATCATTTTGTACAACTGCTTTGTAATCTGCTCTACGGAGTAACATTTACGTATGGTAACAAAATCTCCTTGACAACAGTGATTTGCCCCACTAATGTATATGAATTCTTTATAGTATGGAAGCAGGAGGTATCTGCAGTGCTAGTATTAACAAAACTTTAGCTTACTCTTTCCCGCCTACATTCTTGTCTTAAAGAAATTTGAACAGGAAGCTGTCATGCTCTTCACGTGAACAAGAACAGATGATAAATGAAGGAGCAACGCAGCATCCATGACATCCTGTAGGTCAACAGGCTAAACTGTTTCTAGAGTCATCTGGTACCCTCCTCCCTTGCCCCTGCCCTGTCCTGTCTTAATCTAAGCATTAGAAGTCTTGAGGGGAGTTAAAACAAGAAAAGCAATGATAGTATTAAGGATCTAATAGGACAGTAATTTGGCTTGTTTTGAATCCTACCAGCCAGCTTAGTGACAATAAGGCAAAGCAAACTATGTGGCCCTTAATCAGTATGCTAGAAATTATGTAACAAAGGTACTTTTATATAATTACAGAATTTTAGTCCTTGACTCAAAACAAGAATTATATTGTCTCTTAATATTAGACTGATTCCCCAATATTCTAAATCTGGGGACAGACCATGCTGAAAACATACCTTGTTGTGCTTTTTCCACATTATAATTGGCATCTTGGAGTAGTTTTGCAATCACAGATTCAATATCTTCGCCTACATATCCAGCCTGAGTCAAAGTTGTACAGTCACAGATAGCAAAAGGGACATCAAGGCATTTAGCTAGGGTTTGTGCCAGCAGAGTTTTACCTACAAATAGAAACAGTCACTAAAAGTTTACTGAAAATATATTGGCACACAATTTTTCAATAAAAATGCAAAATAAATTTTAGTAGTATATAATAAAAAGTTGTCAATTGCTACATCCTTCCTCTGCTATTATTTTTTTTAGAGACAGGTTCTTGCTCTGTCACCCAGGCTGGAGTGCAGCCTGTGATCATGGCTCACTCCAGCCTCAATCTCCTGGGCTTAAGTGATCCTCCTGCCTCAGCCTCAGGACTACAGGCATGTGCTACCACGCCCAACTAATACTTTATTTTTTATAGAGATAGAGTCTTGCTCTGTTGCCTAGGCTGGTCTCAAACTCTTGGCCTCAAGTGATCCTCCCACCTTTGTCTCCCAAAATGCTGGGATTACAGGTGTGAGCCACTACATCCGATCTATTATTATTTAGATATAGCTGTTTTTTATTTTATTATTCCTGTGAAGATGTTAGGGATTGGCCTGAAGGGCAACACCAATGCCTCAAATCCAGTTTGTATTCTATGCAGGAATACTGATAGTGTATCTAGATGACTGGCCTTAGATTTTCTTCTCAAGAGCCGTAATACTTCAATCGCAAGATACAGGTTATAGAATCATTTATATTCTGATTTTTAAAATGAGTAGTAAATTTTCTCAGCAAGTTATTTACCTGACCCAGTTGGTCCAAGCAGCAAAATATTACTTTTTTCAAGTTTTATGTCATCATGAGAAGAATCCAATACTTCACCTCCTCGTTTTTCCTGAGGTATTTGTTGATTTACCTGTTGCTGCATTGATGCTCCTAAAGCATTACCATGTGGGCTAATTCCAGCAATCTGAAGCAATTCTGAAAAAAATGCCAAAGGAATTACTTGAGCTTCATTTGAATTTACTTGAAGAAAATGTCCCATAAAAACTTTTATCTAAAACTAAATATCGACATAGAAAAATTTAAGTATTTTGACATTCTGTCTTACCTACAAAGGAGAAAAATCTCAAATTATCTAGTGACAAACATATAGCACACAATGATTATATAAAGAACCTCAAGCAAAGGAAATTGATTTTTTTTACTGTCCTTATTTATATAAATATGTAAGAATACTCCTTTACCCAAGGGAAGGCAATACAACAGAAGAGCAGAGCCAGGAGTTAGAAAGCTTTAGCTCTGGACCTTCCTTTGTCTCTAAGTAGAAGCTACATGATCTAGGGCAAGTCATATAAACTTTATGTTCCTGTTTCCTAATCAATAAAATCTACTAGAGAAACCAAATATGATACACCTTACTATCTCTGGCCCTATCTAAATCTCTAATTTTATTGGACCTGTACTGGATCTTTCTATTTCCTTTATTAGAGACATAACACTTAACTAGATGTGACTGACATTGCTAATGACTAGATGGGACTGACATTGCTAGTGAGGTTATCAGTTTATCAGCCAGATTCCTACAAAAATAAATCTTTAGGCTAGGCATGGTGGCTCACCTGAGGTCAGGAGTTTGAGAACAGCCTGGCCAACACGGTGAAACCCCATCTCTACTAAAAATAAAAAATTAGCCAGATGTGATGGCACGCGCCTATAGTCCCAGCTACTTGGGAGGCCGAGGCAGGAGAATTGCTTGAACCCGGGAGGCGGGGGTTGCAGTGAGCCAAGATCACGCCACTGCACTCCAGCCTGGGCAACAGAGTAAGACTCTGTCTCAAAAAAATAAAATTAAAATAAAATAAAACAAAACAAAATAAAAATGAAATAAATAAATCTTTATTCTCACTTTCTCTTGGCTGAAGGAAAGATTATCCAGATTTGTAAATATTCAGATTGTTCTTGGTTCTTAGCATTTGAGTACCTGTTATCACAACATACTTGTTTATATTTCCTGAATTTATTTTTACATTTTCTTTTCTTTTTTTTTTTTTTATTTTGAGACAGAGTCTCTCTCTGTTGTCCAGGCTGGAGTGCAGTGGTGCAATCTCAGCTCACTGCAACCTCCGCCTCCTGGGTTCAAGTGATTCTCCTGCCTCAGCATCCCGAGTAGTTGGGATTACAGGCACACGCCACCACACCTGGCTAATTTTTGTATTATTAGTAGAGACGGGGTTTTGCCATGTTGCCCAGGCTGGTCTTGAACTGCTGACTTCAGGTGATCCACCCGCCTCAGCCTCCCCAAGTACTGGGATTACAGGCATGAGACACCGCGCCTGGCCTAAATTTTATTTTCTAAGAAATTGATTCAGAAAATCAGACTTTCCAATGATTATTTTAATTAAACTGATAGAATAATAGTTTGGCAGACATATCTATTATCATAGTCCTATTCCATCTGGCTGTCACTTTCAAACTATCTTCATACTTAAGGTAAAGGGTTATTCTATTCATCAAAAACAATAAGCATTCCATAAACATCTGGATTAAATTGTGCTACCTTTGAGGGTTAATAATTAGTGAATAATTCACAATGTTGTGCCTCATTATAATCCACATCAGCCAAGAAAACTCAGTCTGCTGTATGAGGATAGTTAAATTGTCACTAGCAAAGTACTTTTTAAAATTTCAGCAAAATCTGGTTAGGGATTGTGATAACATAGGAAGGGGCTTGGGTTAAGTTTAGCTCTGCCCAAAGGGAAAAAATGATTTAGATGTAGCTTCAGATCAGCAAGGCCAGCAGGTGCTTGTCATTCACTCATTCTCTCTCTCTCTCTCTCTCTCTCTCTCTCTCACACACACACACACACACACACACACACACACACGATTTAGATGAATAAATGAACAAAATTGCAAGGGGCATATTAATTACAGTGGAACCACATAATCTATGTATTTAACTTATTTAATGATTTAAGTTTAAAAAAGAAATAATTTAAATGATACAGATGATATCCATCATCCCATTTTATGAGTATATGCCTTAGAACAAACTTGAGACAACTCTCCGATTCTTTCAGTTAGTCCCTGTTTGTGCATCTCTCACTGTGTAAGCACAGCTCTCTAAAATGAGGACCATGAGCAAGCAGGCTAGTGTAGTAGTTAGCTGCACAGAGCTCACCAGCTGTGTGGCCACGGACAAATTACTTAAAATTTCTGTGTTTCAGTTTTCTTACTTCTAAAATGGAGATAAAAATAATAGTTTCTGTCTCATGGGTTTAGGGGAGATTAAATGAATATATGCAAAACACTTAGAACAATACCTGGCAGATAGTTTTATAAGTGTTACAGAAGAATCTGGTATTATTATTACCATTTCCCTAGTGTTTAATTATTCACACAACACAGCCCTTAAACGCAAACAAAGTATTTCATCTGGTGCTCAACTTAAAAAACAACATTATATTCCAAAGATGGAGAAAAAAAGCCAATTGTGTCAGTCCTCCTAAAAGCTGTATGTTGGTCTCTAAAATTTGACTTCCAAAGGGACTTATAAGAATTAATCTTATTGTACATGATTTTGGTCTAAAACCCTAGACCAGTGTTAGGGTCTAACACCCCCAGCCAGTGTTAGTTAACAACCTAACTTTAGAACTTAAAATCCCATGTAAAACACAACAAAACTGCACATGACAATAAATTTAAGCTTTTGAAATATTTGTTTCTAAGTCAATCTTTTACATAAGTTCTTAAATACTGTTACTTGTTAACATTTAAATAACATTAAATCACTACATATATTACATGACATGTCTTTCAAAATATGCACTACAGACTTTCTTTACTAATTTAGTATAGGTTAACTAGCTGTCAACACAATTTATGAGTATGGTATTGACTGCATATCTGAATATATTTTTTTATTATGAAATAAATTACATATATACCTAAAGGTTATTATTTAGATTTTACATTCTTATATACAATCTAATTCTATTGCACTTACTGTATTTCTTAATTTTACCACGCATGGTATAATCAGTATTTCTATAAATTTAAAAATAACTGGGGATAATGTAATTTTATTACATGTGATAAATGTCATGCCCAAGTTGGTACACAAGTTATATTCTCATGGCTCATCCTATATATAGTACACTTCAAATAGTGGATATATAATACTACTTGGTTCAAAGGCAAATGTAAAAACATCAAACTTAGCTAATTTTCTTTATTTCAATTACTAAAACAAAAGGCCATGTGAATCTTTCTATGACACCCCTGGAACCTCCACCCTCAATGCAGCAACTAACTATATCCACCTCCAAAGGAATAGGTGGAACACAACAGAAAGGCCACTCTCCTTGGTCTATCAAGTCCTTCCACACCCTCCATCGGACCATCTGATGCTTGTAGGGGCAATCTGGGGCTGGAAACAGTGAATTAAGACTTACTCATAATTTGTAAGACTGTAAGTTTCATAAATACAAAAAAAACCAAAAAACAGTGTGCTTTCTGGCAAAGAGTAGCTAGAAAATAATCTGCCTCCCCCAAATTCCTGTGACCCACAAGAAGCAGGCCAACTCTAATTGTAGTTTGATAGAAAAAATAAAAAATAACCCAACATATGGAAACGACACAAATTAGCTATGAAAAACTATTCCAAAGTTATATATACCATGTAGGATAAACACATTTAGATAATACGTATCTTTCTTGGTAATACACAAGCAAATACATACATGTCTATCACTGTTACTGCTGAAACACTTCACTGAAATAAATGTCAAAAGGAAGAATGATTACAGAGGAGGACCTGAAGTCACTTACTTGTAAATCTGTACTCATCCTCCCGTCTTCTTATTTCTAACTCTAAGAAAGAGGATGAAAATATTACATATTTGTTTACCTTGGGGGAACAAACAATGAGTATCCCACCTCCTGTCCTCTTTCAAATATATTTAAAGGATTTGTTCATTAACATTTTTCAGCTTTTCATATATGCTATATCTTTTCTATATTAAAACAAAACCATGCATAAAGACCGCTGTCCAGTTGCTAATATTCACATTTGTCAAATATATAATTGATATCTATTGTAAGGGTATAATAACATAAGTCTTTAATAAGAGTTTAAGCCCCTCATGCTATAAATATTATAACCATTTGCTCCTCCAGCACTTAGAATAGCTTAAATATCTATTTATTACCGAGGAAAACAAAAAAGTTTTGCTCCATAACTATCAGTGCTATTTGGACCTTATAAAAATGAAGATTTCAGGCCAGGCGCAAGAGTTCACGCCTATTAATCCCAGCACTTTGGGAGGCTGAGGCAGATGGATTGCTTGGGAGACTGAGGTGGGAGGATCACTGGAGCCTGGGAAGTTGAGGCTGCAGTGAGTCGCAATCCAGCCTGGGTGACAGAGAGAGACCTTGTCTTGAAAAAAAGAAAAAGGTTCCAAGTCATCCGTTAGTTATGACTTATACTTTCTAAAAATAACTGATACCATCACATACCTATTTTGCAGTTATGTGATGTAAGTTCAGCAAGTGAACAAGTGTCTTCATTGAAATAAATTATACATTTAGTTGCTACTAAAGGCAATCAAAGATAATGTAGACTTATAAATTTAAGTACTTAGCAGAACTCCTTCACACTGTACAGTGATAACTAAAAGAATCTAAAATGATGGAATATAGGCCTAAATCAGAAATTGGGGCTGTCTGGCCAACAAAACAAAAAATTAAATATTCATATTTACTCTATGCATAATTGTTTTTAATAAATCATTCTATTAATATACATTATTGTCCATAGTAAATTGAGATTATACAGTATACTGTATAATGACTACAGCCATGTGCCACCCCACCTGGCTAATTTTTGTATTTTTAGTAGAGACGGAGTTTCCCATGCTGGCCAGGCAGGTCTCGAACTCCTGACCTCAAGTGATCCCCCCGCCTCGGCCTCCAAACGTGCTGGGATTACCGGCATAAGCCACCATGCCAGGCCTAAGAAATAATATTTACCTTAACTGTAAGTTAATGTATTCTGTTATTTTCTATTCATATCTATCAAATTTTTAAAAAATGCTGTTGGCAAATGATTTCATAACACACTAATGGGGAATAACCTGCACTTTGAAAAATGCCACACTATATAAAAAACATTTTAAGAAGAAAGTGAGGAGTTACAAATAAAGATTACTTTTAAGCATAGCAATCTCTATTTAGGTCAATTATCAAAAACGCTACCTCTTGGTGTTAATGATGTCTGCTTCTCAACCTCTGCTTGCTGTCTCAGATTAGCTGGGATATTATTATATATTCTCTTATAATGATTGTACACAGCAACTGAAAGCACCTTCTTAGCAAATGACTGGCCAACAACATACTTGTCGAGGTAGTTATAAATCTGAAAAATGATTAGGTATGAATAATTTAATATGAGCTATTATAAGAGCACACACATTAAAAAGTTATTTACTAAGCATATTTGCTTACAGTTTTAAATCTGAACAAAGACTCTCATTAAAAACAAAATGACAATACATTATATAGCAATGATTCAGAGGCCCTGAACACTAAATGAACAAAAACACAATTCATTTGTTCTCTAGCTTAACAAAGTATCACTGTACTCTACTAGTGTTGTGCTAATTTCTATTCTATAAACAATGCTATCAATCTTTATTTTTTGATAACAAATTAAATTTAAAGTAACTTAGAATACATACACATGCCACCATGGTCTAAAAGTATCAACATTAATGTAAATCATTAAAATAAATCCATACCTGTCAATCAAATGAATAACATTCTTCACAAAGATAACATTATAAAACTACTCTTTTCAGAAACAGGCATTACATAATCAAAAGCCATTATACTATCAGTATCTATGTGTTTTAGTAAATTTAATTTTTTCTCAGACATTAACTTTAAAGCTACTCATTTATCTGAGACTCTAAAAACTGTATTCTTATTTTTTTTTATTTTCTAAAAATATATTTTTTTCTTTTTTTGATACAGGGTCTCACTGTGTCGCCAAGGCTGGTCTTGAACTCCTGGGGCTCAAGCAATCTTCCTGCCTTGGCTTCCCAAAGTGCTGGGATTACAGGCATGAGCCACCAAGCTCAGCCCTAAAAACTTTATTCTTAATAGTAGCTAAAGCTCTATTCTACAGTTGGTTATTGCCAACAGCTTGGAACCTGGGGTAAATTTTTTAAGTTTTTAGTGAATAGAAATGAAATGGTTGGTGAATTAATATTAACCAACTCCTGCCGGGCTTGGTGGCTCACGGCTGTAATCCCTGCACTTTGGGAGGCTGAGGCGGATGGATCACTTGAGCCCAGGAGGTGCAGACCAGCCTGGACAACATGGCAAAACCCTGTCTCTACAGAAATTAGCTGGGCATAGTGGTAGACACCTGCAGTCCCAGCTACTGTGGAGGCTGAAGTGGGAGGATCACTTGAGCCCAGGGAGGTTAAGGCTGCAGTGAACCATGAGTGTGCCACTGCACTCCAGCCTGGGCAACAGAGTGAAACCCTGATTAAAAAATAAATAATTCAAAAACTCCTGAAATTAGTTAAACTGCCTGGATTTTTTTTTTTTTTTTTTTTTTTTTTGAGACGGAGTCTCGCTCTTTCACCCAGGCTGGAGTGCAGTGGCGTGATCTTGGCTCACTGCAAGCTCCGCCTCCCGGGTTCACGCCATTCTCCTGCCTCAGCCTCCCGAGTAGCCAGGACTAAAGGCACCCGCCACCACGCCGGGCTAATTTTTTGTATTTTTTTAGTAGAGACGGGGTTTCACCATGTTAGCCAGGATGGTCTCGATCTCCTGACCTCATGATCCGCCCGCCTCGGCCTCCCAAAGTGCTGGGATTACAGGAGTGAACCAAACCACCGCACCCGGCCAAACTGCCTGGAATTTTAACTCACATGTCTAAAGTCTACACAAATTCGTATAGAATATAAAGCCCAATATATTTTCCATTTTTAATGACAAATTCTTTAGTTGTTGACCATATACATTTTATTATAGTTTTAAACATCTTTATTCCTTACAAATTATACCAATGACATTAAATCTGTCACAGCACATTTGGAAGTAGAGACAAATGCACTGATATCTAAACACAGTAGAAGAAAGATACACTGAGGCAGTGAGAAATAATCTAAGTGTGCAAACATCTGAGACACAGCCAGAACAGAAGGCACATAGCCAGGGTACAAGGGTTCCCAGTTCTCAAAAAGCACACACCAAATACCCAATGGAGCTGGTGGTACATTCTGTTACATCTCACAGGACCAAATCATACTCTGCCTGAGACTTCTAAAGAGTCCACACTACCAAAGCCACAGTGCTATACGGAGCAGCCCGGCACACTGGCTATGAAAAAACTACTTACTTACATTATTAGACTGAAGGCTGTTTTACCATAAAATAGACCAATTTAAGGGAGATAATTGCAGGCTTTTTTTTTTAAGGCTAGTCAAGTGGACCAGCCTAGGCTGGTGTTATTTAAGGGTCCATATGAACAAAAATAAATCAGAAGTTGCTTGCTCTATTGTAGATATTATTTCAGATTAACTTGGTATTAACAAGTTAACATTTTAATAATTATCTAGCTATATTTCACTGCCACTGAATACAGTAATCATAACATGGGAAAAAGCAACAGACCCCATATTTAAATTCCAAAAGGCAATAACAATTTAGCCACATATGGTCCATATTATGAACCTATAATACTTGTTTATATACTAGTATTAGGATTCAGTGTAAACTTGGGAGAGGGAAGCAATGGAATGTTTTCAAGATAAAATACTTGTAAGACTGAGCTTAAGACTTATACCTTCTTAGGGGGAGGTGGTGGTTTCTGTTGGAATGCCAATTTTACAGCTTCTGCTGCTGATTCAGGTTCTTTAATTATGCTTTTCTTTGAGTCTGCTTCAGATAGCACAACAAAAAAATGATGACACTTTTCACACTTGACAAAACGGGTGGATGCTGTAAAAGAAAACAGACATAAGTAGAGGGAAATAAAAAATAATTCCAATAGTGTTTAACCTTAAAGACTCCACTGTAAATGAAAGCTACGCACCTGACAAAAAGTAGACTTGCTGTTCAATCTACTTGCCACACAAACAGCCTCATTTATATAGCAAGTATACTACAAAGATAGATCAGTCAACTACCTTTTGCTCATTTCTATTAGGTCCTTTCATTTTGTGATATACTTCTTTAAAAGAAAAGATTGCGTGAAATTTTTCCAACTTTCCATTCACTAAAAAAGATTTTTTTTTTTCTTTGGGAGACGGAGTCTCGCTCTGTTGCCAGGCTGGAGTGCAGTGGTGTGATCTCGGCTCACTGCAACCTCTGCCTCCTGGGTTCAAGCAATTCTCCTGCCTCAGTCTCCTGAGTAGCTGGGATTACAGGGGTGCACCACCATGCCCAGCTAATTTTTGTATTTTTAGAAGAGACAGGATTTCACTATATTGGGCAGGATGGTCTTGATCTCTTCACCTTGTTATCTGCCCGTCTCCGCCTCCCAAAGTGCTGGGATTTACAGGCGTGAGCCACCGCACCCGGCCCACTAAAAAAGATTTAAAACCTCTTTGAGAATATGGAGTAATCATCTATTTTATTGAAATACTTGAATGAACAAACTAAAAAAGTAAAATACAAGATTCATATATTTTTCCAATATTATAAAAAATGTCAAACATATACAAAAGTTGAAAGAGATAAATCTATTTTAATTCCTAAAAATGTAAAAAATGTATATTCTTTACATTCTCTTAAACCCATGAGCATTTTTCGGGCGTGTTGGCTCATGCCTGTAATCCCAGCACTTTGGGAGACTGAGGCAGGTGGATCACCTGAGGTCAGGAGTTAGAAACCAGCCTGGCCAACATGATGAAACCCCGTCTCTACTAAAAAAAAAAAAAAAAATACAAAAATTAGCTGGGCGTGGTGGCAGACACCTGTAATCCCAGCTACTCGGGAGGCTGAGGCAGGAGAATCGCTTGAACCCAGGAGGTGGAGGTTGCAGTGAGCTGAGATTGCGCCATTGCACTCCAGCCTGGGAGATAGAGCAAGACTCCATCTCAGAAAAAAATATATATATAATTATTTCATATCTTTCTTATTTTATCTTTACTCCACTAGTTCCTATTTCTCTGATCAAAAAACCACTAAGAAACTAACAAAATACTGCTTTCTCAGTCATACTGATTGGATTTAAAGATAATCATGCAGACTTTGAAAGCAATACAAAGGTAGTTTAAAGTGAGGATAAAAAGAGTCTCTTTTTTCTTTTAAAAATTTTTGGCCAGGCATGGTGGCTCAGGCCTGTAATCCCAGCACTTTGGGAGGCCGAGGGGGACAGATCACGAGGTCAGGAGATCGAGACCTGGCTAACACGGTAAAACCCTGTCTCTACTAAAAATAGAAAAATTAGCTGGGTGTGGTGGTGGGCGCCTGTAGTCCCAGCTGCTCGGGAGGCTGAGGCAGGAGAATGGTATGAACCCGGGAGGTGGAGCTTGCAGTGAGATGAGATTGCACCACTGCACTCCAGCCTGGGCGACAAAGTGAGACTCTGTCTCAAAAAAAAAAAAAAAAAAAAAAAAAAATTTGTGGATACACAGTGATGAGTTCATGTCCTTTGTAGGGACATGGATGAAGCTAGAAACCATCATTCTGAGCAAACTATCGCAAGGACAGAAAACCAAACACCGCATGTTCTCACTCATAGATGGGAACTGAACAATGAGAACACTTGGACACAGGGTGGGGAACATCACACACCGGGGCCTGTCATGGGGTGGGGGGAGGGGGGAGGGATAGCATTAGGAGATATACCTAATGTAAATGATGAGTTAACGGGTGCAGCACACCAACATGGCACATGTATACCTATGTAACAAACCTGCACGTTGTACATGTGTACCCTAGAACTTAAAGTATAATTAAAAAAAAAACTTTGCGGATACACAGTGGATGAATACATTTATAAGGATTTCTCAATTCCAATGGATCAGCTACAGTATATCCTATGTTAAAGGTGATTTATTTTTCTTTTCTCTTTTTTTTTTTTGAGACAGGGTATCGCTCTGTTGCCCAGGCTGAAGTGCAGTGGCGTGATCACTACTCACTGCAGTCTTGACCTCCTAAGCTCAAGCAATCCTCCCACCTCAGCCTCCCTGAGTATCCAGGACTACAGGCACACGCCACCACGCCTGCCTACTTTTTTTTTTTTTTTTTGAGATGGAGTCTTGCTCTGTCGCCCAGGCTGGAGTGCAGTGGTACAATCTCGCCTCACTGCAAGCTCCACCTCCCAGGTTCACGCCATTCTCCTGCCTTAGCCTCCCGAGTAGCTGGGACTACAGGCGCCTCTCGATCTCCTGACCTCGTGATCTGCCCGCCTCGGCCTCCCAAAGTGCTGGGATTACAGGCATGAGCCACTGCGCCCGGCCGATGCCTGCCTACTTTTAAAAATCTTCTGTAGAGACAGGGTCTCATGATGTTGCCCAGGCGGGTCTCAAACTCCTGGACTCGAGTAACCCTCCCACCTTGGCCTCCGAAAGTGCTTGGGATTACAGGCGTGACCCACTGAGGCCAGCCTACTCTTTCTTTTCAAAACATGGTTATAGGATGTTGGCGGGGCACAGTGGCTCACACCTGTAAACCCAGCACTTTGGAAGGCCAAGACGGGTGGATCACTTGAGCTTAGGAGTTCAAGACCAGCCTGGCCAACATGGTGAAACCCTGTCTCTACTAAAAATACAAAAACTAGCCGGGCATGGTAACTACCTGTAAACCCAGCTACTCAGCAGGCTGAGGCAGGAGAACTGCTTGAACCTGGGAGGCAGAGGTTGCAGTGAGCCGAGATGGTGCCCATCGTGCCCTCTTATTATAAACAAAACAAATAAACATAAAACAACACATGGTTATAGGATGTAGATATATGGATATATTTACTTTTTTTTTTTTTTGAGACAGAGTTTCGCTCTTGTTGCCCAGACTAGTGTGCAATGGTGCAATCTCGGCTTACTGCAACCTTCGCCTCGCCTCCAGGGTTCAAGCAATTCTCTTGCCTCAGCCTCCGAAGTAGCTGGGATTACAGGCATGTGTCACCACGCCCGGCTAATTTTGTATTTTTTAGTAGAGATGGGGTTTGACCATGTTGGTCAGGCTGGTCTCAAATTCCTGACCTCAGGTGATCCGCCTGCCTCAGCCTCCCAAAGTGCTGGGATTACAGGCATGAGCCACCGCACCCAGCGACTTTTTTTTTAAGAGCTGCTGTCTTGCTATGTTGTCCAGGCTAGCCTCAAATTTCTGTTCTCAAGGGATCCTCCCACCTCCCAAGTAGCTGGGTTTGGACATACATGCTTAACTCAGCCTAACCCTACTAATGGTAACCGGGGACCTCAGAAAGCAATTTGGTAGAGAATCTCTTATAGGTACAGGTGGCAAATACAAAGCTAGTATGTCTAAGTAATACATTTTTGTGTAACCCAACTAGAAAGAGAGAACTGCAGAGAAAAAAAAAAATTCATGGAATTTTTTTTCCTTTGGGAAAATTTTAAATATAAATATCTATCCACAGATTATAGGGAACACTGCACTAGCAAGCACACCTACGTCTTTACAAACTAATCTAAATGAAAAAAGTAGACAATTCCATATTAAAAAAACAACTTTAGGCTGAGCGGGGTGGCTCAGGCCTGTAATCCCAGCACTTTGGGAGGCCGAGGCGGGTGGATCACCTGAGGTCAGGAGTTTGAGACCACCCTGGCCAACATGGCGAAACCCTGTCTTTACTAAAAATACAAAAATTAGCCAGGTGTGGTGGCGGGTGCCTGTAATCCCAGCTACCTGAGAGGCTGAGGCAGGAGAATCCCTTGATGGTTACCTGGGAGGCGGAGGTTGCAGTGAGCCAAGACCACGTCACTATACTCCAGCCTAGGCAACAGAACTCTGTCTCAAAAACAAACAAAACCACTTCATTATCAATTCAATCAATTCTTGTGTTTCTGTTCTTCTTTTTTTTTTTTTTTTTTGAGACGGAGTCTCATTCTGTCACCCAGACTGGAGTGCAGTGGCACGATCTGGGCTCACTGCAACCTCCGCCTCCTGGGTCCAAGCAATTCTCCTGCCTCAGCCTCTGGAGTAGCTGGGACTACAGGTGCATGCCACCACACCCAGCTCATTTTTGTACTTTTAGTAGAGATGGGGTTTCACCATGTTGGCCAGGATGGTCTCGATCTTCTGACCTCATGAAACACCCACCTCAGCCTCCCAAAGTGCTGGGATTACAGGCATGAGCCACTGCGCCCAGCCATGTTTCTGTTCTTAAACACAAGACTAATTAAAAACACATTCTGGGCCGGCCAAGGTGGCTAACGCCTGTAATCCTAGCACTCTGGGAGGCTGAGGCAGGTGGATCACTTAAGGTCAGGAGTTCAAGACCAGCCTAGCCAACATAGTGAAACCCTGTCATTACTAAAAATATACAAATTATCCGGGCGTGTTGTCTTGTGCCTGTAATCCTAGCAACTGGGGAGGCTGAGGCACGAGAATTGCTTGAACCTGGAAAGCAGAGGTTGTAGTGAGCTGGGATCACACCACTGCACTTCAGCCTGGGCAATAGAGCGAGACTCAGTCTCAAAAAAAAAAAAAACATTTCGGATAAATTCTATTAGCAAATTTTAAGGAATAAGCGGTTTCATCCATGTTTCCTATTTGCTGATCACGTATAAATGCTTAAAGAAAAAGATCAAGCTATTTGAAGCATCTGTGACTAACACAAGCCTAAGTAAATAATCACCACTTCCCATCAATGGGAAAGATAGTTACTGCCTTTATAATGATGAGGCACTAGTTTACAATTGTTACTGATGGTAAACAGGGCAAGGATTAAAGGGCAGAGAAGCCGCTGATCTAGTTCAGGCAGTGTGACAGGAAAATCTGGCCTGAGAGCACAAGTACAAAATATTTCTCTAAGGAAATTAGATCAAAAGGAAAATGATTAAACACCAACAAATCACATCCCTCTTTGCTTATTGTTGAAAGGTTGCTTAAATTTGACTTGAATATTTGCAACACAATTTTACACTGACATATTTTCAACATATCCCTAAATTCAAGGATTCAATGTTATTTATCAAAATGCTATTTTGGGAAAAAAAAATACAAGCATTGCAATGCACTTTTTTGTTTTGTTTTGTTTTTTGAGACAGAGTTTCACTCTTGTTGCCCAGGCTGGAGTGCAATGGCGCGATCTCAGCTCACCGCAACCTCCGCCTCCCGAGTAGCTGGGATTACAAGCATGCGCCACCACACCCAGCTAATTTTGTATTTTTAGTAGAGATGGGGTTTCTCCATGTTGGTCAGGCTGGTCTCAAACTCCCAACCTCAGGTGATCCACCCGCCTTGGCCTTCCAAACGGCTGGCATTACAGGCATGAACCACCATGCCTGGCCAATGCATTTTTACTCCAAAAACAAGGGGCAAAAATCTAATTTTGTTAAGTTACCAGGAGATAAATTCTTTCCTTTAAACAGCTACTACAAGTATCCTATATTTCTTTACATAAAATGTTGTTGGTTTGGGAGGCTGAGGTGGGCGGATCACAAGGTCAGGAGTTCAAGACCAGCTTGGCCAAGATGGTGAAACCCCCATCTCTACTAAAAATACAAAAAAATTAGCCGGGCATGTTGGCAGGCGCCTGTAATCCCAGCTACTCAGGAGCCTGAGGCTGAGAACTGCTTGAATCCGAGAGGTGGAGGTTGCAGTGAGCCTCGATCACACCACTGCACTCCAGTCTGGGCAATAAGAGCGAAACTCCGTCTGGGGGGAAAGAAAAAGAAAGACAAAGGATTTAAATTGACACTTCTCCAAAGAAGACAGACAAATGGCCAATAAACCTAAGAAAAGATTAACATCATTAGTCATTAGGGAAATGCAAATCAAAACCACAGTGAGTCCCAGGAGGTAGCACAAAAATCCCAGCACTTTGGGAAGCCAAGGCAGGAGGATCACTTGAGCCCAAGAGTTCGGGACCAGCCTGGGCAACATAAATGAGACCCTGTCTCTAGGGTGGCATTTGCCTGTAGTCTCAGCTATTCAGGATGCTGAGGTGGGAGGACAACTTGAACCCAGGAAGGTGAGGCTACTGTCAGCTATGATTGCGCCACTGCATCGTAGCCTGGGCGACAGAGCAAGACCCTGTTTCTAAAAACAAAATAAAACCAAAAGAAGCCCATGATGAGATACCACTTCATATCCACTATGAATAAAGAAAGACAGGCTGGGCGCAGTGGCTCATGCCTGTAATCCCAGCATTCTGGGAGCCCGAGGCAGGAGGATCACCTGAGGTCAGGAGTTCGAGATCAGCCTGACCAACATAGTGAAATCTTGTCTCTACTAAAAATACAAAAATCAGCTGGGTGTGGTGGTGGGCACCTATAATCCCAGCTACTTGGGAGGCTGAGACAGAATTGCTTGAATCTGGGAGGTGGAGGTTGCAGTGAGCCGAGATAGTGCCACCGCACTCCAACCTGGTGACAGAGTGAGACTCTGTCTCAAAAAAAAAAAAAAAAAAAAAAGAAGACAGACAGACAAGTGGTAAAAAGGATGTGGAGAAACTGGAACCCTCATATTGCTGGTCAGATTGTAAAATGGTACAGCTGCTATGGAAAACAGTTTAGCAATTCTGTAGAAACTAAACAGAGTTACCACATGACCCAGCAATTCCACTCCTAAACATATACCCAAGAGAGTTAGAAACATATGTCCACACAAAAACTTGTACACAGATGTTCACGGGAGCATTATTCAGAACAGCCAACAAGTAGAAACAATGTAAATGTCCACCACCTGATGAATGTCTAAACAATGAAATATTATTCAGCCATAAAAAGCAATGAAATACTGATATATGCTGCAAACTGGATAAACTTTAAAAACATGCTAAAGAAAATAAGGCTGGTATGAAATGCCACATATCGTATAATTCCATTGTATGAGATACCCAGAATAGACAAACCCATTGATAGAGAAAGTAGTTAATAGTTAACAGGGCTAGGAGGGGAGGAGGGTGGAGAGTGACTAAGGGCTATGGAGTTTCTTTCTGGGGTGATGAAAAATGTTCTGGAATTAGATAGTGGAGATGATCATTCAACTTGGTAAATATCTTTTTTTTCTTTTGAGATGAGACAAAGTCTCGCTCTGTCGCCCAGGCTGGAGTGCAGTGGTGCGATCTGGCTCACTGTAGCCTCTGCCTCCTGGGTTCAAGAGATTCTCCTGCTTCAGCCTCCTGAGTAGTTGGGACTACAGGCGTGCCCCACCACACAGGCGAATTTTTTGTATTTTTATTAGAGACGGGGTTTCACCGTGTTAGCCAGGATGGTCTCGATCTCCTGACCTCGTGATCCACCCACCTTGGCCTCCCAAAGTGCTGGGATTACAGGCGTGAGCCACCATGCCTGGCCTCTTTTTTTTGAGATGGAGTCTCGCTCTGTCACCCAGGCTGGAGTGCAGTGGTGTGATCTCGGCTCACTGCAACCTCCGCCTCCCGGGTTCAAGCAATTCTCCTGTCTCAGCCTCCCAAGTAGCTGGGATTACAGGTACGTGCCACCAAGCCTGGCTAATTTTTGTGTTTTTAGTAGAGATGGGGTTTCACCATGTTGGTCAGGCTGGTCTCAAACTCCTGACCTCATGATCTGCCCACCTCGGCCTCCCAAAGTGCTGGGATTACAGGCATAAGCCACCATGCCGGGCCACAACTTGGTAAATATTTTAAAACCACTGAAGATGAATTGCATGGTATATGAATGATGATATCTCAAATAAATTTTTAAAAGGAAAGGATTAGGCCCACATGTACAGCTGTCCCTTGGCACACATAGGAGACTAGTTCTAGGACCACCCACATATAACCAAATCCATGCATACTCAAGTCCTGCAGTCGGCCCTGTGGAGACCACACATATGAAAAGTTAGCTCCTCATATATGCTGGCCATTATGTGTTTGGTTGAATAAAAGCTAGGTATAAGTAGGCCTGAGCAATTCAAACCCACTGTTCGGGAGTCAACTGCATTAACATACACAGCTCTCAAAACGCTGCGTACTGAAAACAAGCAATTTGCAAAAATATGAATATGCTATTTATACTTTAAAAAAAATCACACGTTCAATGAAGATATGTTATAGAACTTTATAGCTTCATCTATCAGGGTCTATTCTTTTCTCATAAAGGAGGATCTACATATGCATTCTTCAAGTAATTAAAAATAATTAAAATTACAAAAAAGTAGACAATTACTTAAACAGGCCATTCACAAAAGAATTACAACTGACCAAAAAGCATATAAAAAGATGTTTACAAACTAGTATCCAAATAAATGCAGACTTAAAATGCAGGCCAGGCATGGTGGCTCACACCTGTAATGCCAGCACTTTGGGAGGCCAAGGCAGGTGAATCACCTGAGGTCAGGAATTCGAGACCAGCCTGGCCAACAAGGTGAAACCCCGTCTCTACTAAAAATACAAAAATTAGCCTGGCATGGTGGTGGGCACCTGTAATCCCAGCTACTTGGGAGGCTGCGGCTGAGGCACCTGAGGCTGGCACTTGAATCCAGGTGGCAGAAGTTGCAGTGAGCCAAGATCGCGCCACTGCACTCCAGCCTGGGTGAGAACAGTGAAACTCTGCCTCAGAAAAACAATAGAAACAAAAAACAAACAAAAAAACAGGCTGAGTTATCCCTTAACCAAAATGCACGGGACCAGAAGTGTTTCAGAGTTCAAATGTTTTCACGTTTTGGAATATTCACAGAAATACACTGGTTAAGCACCCCTACATGAAATCTGAAATCTGAAATGCTCCAATGGAGCATTTCCTTTAAGCGTCATGACGCACTCAAAAGGATTTCAGAGCATTTTGAATTCCAGATTTTCAGACTACGGATGCTCAACCTGTTAGTAACCTGAGATCAAATAAAACTCTCTTTAGGACTATGAAGACCCAACTTTTAATGATCAGACACAGAAGGATTCAAAAGGATGCATTCTGAAAAGACTTTTATTATGGGTACACAAAACTAAGGGAGGAGGGGCTCACTGCACTGCTAGGGCCTACAAATAGTTAGAGGACAGGGACAGTGTCATGATCATCTGCATATTTTCTGAGCCTAGTGATGTCTGAATCAACACATTTGCTATTAATTTTGCACATAAGTGTGTGCTCTTTTTTTCATTCTTTCCTTCTACATTTTCTACTCCCATATCACCACCCACAATTAGAATTCTCAAAGCAAACAGGCCTCAGCCTTGAATTGATTACACTAAAGTAGTGTTTCCACACTTGGTCTAACTAATAATATACATATACTACTAACATACAAATTCTAGGACTCCATCCCACATCTACAGAATCTTAATCTCTAGGGAAGGAGTTTGGGAATCTCTAAGTTTAACAGTCACCTTCAGTGACTAATACAACCTGGCAAGTTTTGGAAAGAATGCATAGAAGGAAAATAAATTTAATCCCAAGAGGAGCTAGTTTACTCCTAAAGTATCTCCAGATGGTAGAAATGTATGATATAGGAATTTCTGAATAGCAAATCTTCACTGCTATGTGACCTTGAATGAGTTACTTAAACTTGCTAAATCTCAGTTTATTTATAAAAAGGAGAATACTCTTTGTTCTGGCAAAATTAAGGGTGCAAGAATAAAACTATATATGTTGGCATTTATTAAATATTAGTTTCTTTCCTTTTCTACTCTAAGAAATTATTCTTTTTTCTTTTTTTTCTTTCTTTTTTTTTTTTTGGAGACGGAGTTTCACTCTTGTTTCCCAGGCTAGAGTGCAGTGGTGTGATCTCGGCTCACTGCAGCCTCCGCTTCCTAGGTTCAAGCAATTCTCCTGCCTCGGCTTCCTGAGTAGTTGGGATTACAGGTGCCCGCCACCACGCCCAGCTAATTTTGTATTTTTAGTAGAGACGGGGTTTCACCACGTTGGCCAGGCTGGTCTTGAACGCCTCACCTCTGGTGATCTGCCTACCTCAGCCTCCCATAGTGCTGGGATTACAGGTGTAAGCCACCGCGCCTGGCAACAAATTATTCTTTAGGTCTATAAAGGTTGAAATGTTTCTTTGAAGAAAAAAAAAGGAGGAAAATTTCTTGATTAAAATATAAGACACTGACCTTATAAATTGAACAATTTTCAGCCTCTGTATAATTTTATTATATCACATCAAATTTGTTTAGAAGGTTTTATCATCCAGTTCTACCTTTTTTTTTTGAGATGGAGTTTCACTCTGTCGCCCAGGCTGGAGAAGTGCAGTGGTGTGATTTTGGCTCACCATGACCTCCACCTCCCAGGTTCAAGAGATTCTCCTGTCTCAGCCTCCCGAACAGCTGGGACTTCAGATGCACGCCACCACGCCCGGCTAATTTTTGTATTTTTAGTAGAGATGGGGTTTCACCATATTGAGCAGGCTGGTCTCAAGCTCCTGACCTCAAGTGATCAGCCCGCCTCGGCCTCCCAAAGTCCTGTGATTACTGGTGTGAGCCACAGCGCCTGGCCCACTTTCATTTTATGTTGTGATCCAAATTAAATTTTGTTCAGAACCCCTAATATTCCAGCTATGGGATGGAGCTACTTTAAGTCTTTCCAGTACATAAAAACACACTACATCTAGTACCTTTTCATATGGTGGCCAATTATGGTTAATGGTAAGTGTGAAATTGTAACCAAAGTCTCAATATTAGGGTTAGGAGATAGAGAATACTCTCTAGCCAACCATCAGACACTGAAGTCTTACAATCTTGAAGCTTTCTTCAATTGGATTGTATAGGAAGGCTGACATGGTGGTACAATTCATTACCATTAACTCTAAATTATGTTAAGTAATGAGTTTTTTGATTATTTGATTCATTAATGAAAATATCTGTAGTAGAATCTTTGCATTTCAGAGAGTTACTGACACTAACAGCAAAAGTAGGATACATGATTTTTTTCCTTCTTTTTTTCTTTTTTTGAGACAGGTTCTTGCTTTGTCGCCGAGGCTGGAATTCAATGGCTGGCTCGCTGCTGCCTCACCTCCCAGGCTCAAGCGATCCTCCTACCTCAGCCCCTAAGTAGCTGGAACTATAGCCATGCACCACCATGCCTAGCTAATTTTATTTTTTTATACATATGGGGTTTTGCCATGTTGCTCAGGCTGGTTTTGAACTTCTGGGCTCAAGCACTCTGCCTACCTCAGCCTCTGAAAGTGCTGGGATTACAGGTGTGAGTCACTGTGCCCAGCCCTGATTTCTTCCTTCTCTGAGTGTCTGAATCATTAATAATTATCAGATGCTTCCCGGAATTGAGGGCTTACCTCCTTTGGTAAGTACTAAGGGAAATTACCTTAATATATGAATGACTGGCCTTCCCAGCCATGTGAGATATTCAATATGTATTTGAAGAAAGTAGTAATAAATACAGAATAAATAAGTCTTGGTTCTCCTATAGCCTAATGATCACATCCAGAAATTCACAAAATCTAATTTGAAATAAACACAAGTAAGCAAAATAAAGAAGCAAATGTTTTTCTTAAATTATCTCTTACACAACAGTGCAAAGTATTACCAGTCCTGAAGATTTTCTAGTATATAGTGAACATAAGAGAGAATCAGGTAAGCTCATACAATTTACATATAATTTATATAACATACAAAGTCACATACATTTATCTATTTCATATAATCCATATTTCTACACATTTAATACAATTTATATATATATATTTCTTTTTTTTGAGACAGGGTCTCTGTCACCCAGGATGGGGTACAGTGGCATGACCATGGCTCACTGCAGCCTCAACCTTCTTAAAAGAAGTAGCTAAGACCACAGGTATGCACCACCATACCTGGCTTTTTTTTTTTTTTTGGAAAGACAGGTGTCTCAACATGTTGCCCAGGCAGGTCTTGAACTCCTAGGCTCAAGGGATTCTCCCATCTCCTCCTTCCAAAGTGCTAGGATTATAGGCATAAGCCGTTTGCACCTGGCCTATATTTATACATTTTACATAATTTACATATTTTTATACACTTAGTAATTTACAGAAAATGTAGGGAAAAAAGAACAGTAGAAGATGTAATACTTACATACAAAGGTCTCTACATGTGTGCACAAGTCGCCACATTTAGGACAGCGCAGCTGGTTTCCACCTTTCCCAGAATTCCCAGAGCCTGATTTCTTACTACTTCCCTCACTTGCTGATTTCTAACGTTTATGAAGGAGAAAAAAGGAAGAGTGTCAATTATTAGTTTCAGGCAACCAACTTAAATGTAAACAATACTGTTTGTAATTAATTTTATAATCTTCTATATTTCTAGGATGAAATTATTAGTATATTTTATAATTCTATTACTGGTGTCAGAAGATCTATTTACTTCAAAAATCAAATCAGTTCTAGTAAATACATATATATCTGCAGTCCTCCTTTGTATAACATGTGCCAACATATATAATAAACAGCTTTCATTCAATGACTCAGGCACTAGAAAATTTACTAAGGGTAAAAAACTACATTTCAATGAAATTGAATCAGGAGTTATTATCATGGTAGGTAGTGACTCTGACTATTCTTAGATCTAACTTTTCTCATCTCTAAAATGGGAATAATTTTACTCACATCAGAGTCACTGTTAAGTATGGATATGTAAGTGTCTCACATTTTGTCTAACATATAAAATTAACTCAAGTGTTAGTCAAATTCACGTAATGAAAAAAACTGTTAAGTCACTGACTCAATACAACTACCAACATAAGTTATACTAGCTACAACATAAAGTTATACCAGAAATATGAAATTTTTAGGCTACCAGAGTAGCCCAACATTAAGTTATACCACAAATCTGAAATTTTTAGGTAGAGGATAAAGTGAGGTTTATACTGCCATGGGTTATAAGAGTTATATGAAAGCAGGAAATGATGGCTATTCCTAATTCAATCCTACTGACTGTCATTTAATGACACTTCTTTACTACTTTGGGGTGTAAGAAATTTTAATTACTGCTTACTATGTGCAATGCTTATAAAAGTATTTTAAGGTTCAAAATGAAACATCTAATTACATAAAATTATTCAGATCATTTTAGCTATCTCATATTTCCTACAGAAAACATATAAGCCAGTAAGAGACAGTACTGTTATATTTTTTTAAAGGAGGGAACTCACAATGTGTACAGATGCCAATAAGATAAAATAATTACCTTATTTCCATCTCCAGAACCATCTTTACTTATCCCATCTTTTGAGGCAAAGTATGCTGGTGTTTCTGTAAAGGATCTAAGAGGAGCTCTTTGCAGAATCTGAGTTTCAAATGTCCCAAGCCTTCCTAAAACTGACATATGAATGCGACCACCAGAAATACCTGAAAATAAAAGGAAATCTACATCAAATATAGACATGCCTCAATAAATCCCCTGGAAACAAAAATTCCTTGAGCATAAAGGAGGTTGAAAAAAAGCTATCATTTTCACAGTAGTATAAACTGAGAGAAAAAAAATGACACCAACGGAGGCAAAGTCCTTTCAAAAACAGGCCAGCAGGTCTGGGCCTCTGAAAGATTCTAAATAAATAAAGGTGTTTCTTTCTGTATGTGTCCTTTGGAAATAAGGCAAGATCACCCACGTCATAACTTTTTCAAAGTTTGAATGGACTTCAACATCTGCCTCACCTGTAAGATTTTGAAAAAGGCCATTTATGCCCTATATTCTTATTATTTCTACCAATGAGAATAAACATCTGACAGCAACTCATCTGTTATTATATAAGAATACTATCTGGGCCGGGTGTGGTGGCTCACCCCTGTAATCCTAGCATTTTGGGAGGCCTAGGCGGGTGGATCACTAGAGGTCAGGAGTTCAAAACCAGCCTGGCCAACATGGTGAAACCCCGTCTCTACTAAAAATAAAAAAAAATTGGCCACGCATGGTGGTGGGCGCCTTTAATCCCAGCTACTCGGGAGGCTGAGGCAGGAAAATCGCTTGAACCCGGGAGGCGAAGTTTGCAGCGAACTGAAGTCGTGCCACCGCACTCCAGCCTGGGTGACATAGCGAGACTCCATCTCAAAAAAAAAAAAAAAAATCTGTAACAATGGAAACAAACTTCAAATGTTCTTTAAGGTCAGGCGCGGTGGCTCATGCCTGTAATCCCAGGGTTCGAGACCAGCCTGGCCAACGTGGTGAAACCCTGTCTCTACTAAAAATACAAAAATTAGCTGGGTGTGCTAGCAGGCGTCTGTAATCCCAGCTACTCAGGAGGCTGAGGCAGGCGAATTGCTTGAACCCAGGAGGCAGAGGTTGCAGTGAGCCAAGATCATGCCACTGCACTCCAGCCTGGGCAACAGAGGGAGACTCTGTCTCAAAAAAAAAAAAAGTTCTTTAAAAAATTGTGTTATTCCACTTACACGTGGTACTTAGAAGGCAAAATCATAGAGTCAGTGAGTAGAATGGCGGTTCCTGGGGGTTGGGGAAAATGGAGAGTTATTGTTGTAATGGGTACAGAGCTTCAGTTTCACAAGATGATGGCAATGGTTGCACAGTATCAATGTACTTAATACTACCGAACTATACACTAAAAATAGTTAAGTCTTGTAAATTTTATATGTATCTTACCACAATAAAAAAATTGAAGGAGCCAGGTGTGATGGCTCACGCCTGTAATCCCAGCACTTTGGGAGGTTGAGGTGGGTGGATCACTTGAGGTTAGGAGTTTAAGACCAGCCTGGCCAACATGGTGAAACCCTGTCTCTACTAAAGATACAAAAAGTAGCCAGGCGTGGTGACAGGTGCCTGTAATCCCAGCTACTTGGGAAGCTGAGGCAGGGGAATCACTTGAACGAGGCAGAGGTTGCAGTGAGCCGAGATTGCGCCACTGTACTCCAGCCTGTGCAACGGAGCGAGGCTCTGTCGCAAAATAAATAAATAAATAAATAAATAAATAAATAAATAAATAAATAAAGATAGTATCAATCCCAAAAGTAGGCTTAGAAAAAGTAATTGAGGGGGCCAGGTGCAGTGACTCATGCCAGTAATCCCAGCACTTTGGGAGGCCCAGGGGGGCAGATCATAAGGTCAGGAGATCGAGACCATCCTGGCTAATACGGTGCAACCCCATCTCTACTAAAAATACAAAAAATTAGCTGGGCATGGTGACACGCGCCTGTAGTCTCAGCTACCCGGGATGCTGAGGCAGAAGAATCGCTTGAACCCAGGAAGCAGAGGTTGCAGTGAACCGAGATGGCACCACTGCACTCCAGCTTAAGCAACAGAGTCTCCGTCTCAAAAAAAAAAAAAAAGAAAGAAAGAAAGAAAAAGAAAAAGTAATTGAGGGAGAGTGACAGATGCAATCAATCAAAATGACCATTCACCAATCATAAAATCCTCATAAAAATGATAAAGCTCTGTAGCAAAGTAATTGGGATTTCTAACACTTTTTGTGCCATGAACCCCTTAAGCAGTCTGGTGAAGCCTCTGAATAGATCTTCTCAGAATAATATTTTTAAATGTATAAAATAAAATACATAACAAAGGAAACAAATTATAATGAAGTAGTTATCAAAAAATTTTTAAAATATGCCTCTTTATTAACAAGCAAAATTAAATAAGATCTAACAGCTTTTTAAATAATTACTATGATTTCAAAGTAGCAAAAAGTATGGACAATATTCTGAAATATCAGCAACTATAATGTGATATGAAAATATTTCTGATTTTGATTGATGACAAATCCACAGACACTTCTAAGACTACTGTGGATGTGTTGCCCACATTCATAGGCCAAGGAAACGTTGTGTTTCAGTTAGAGCTTAGTGAAAATAAAGTTCACAGAATCTCTGAATTCTATTCAAGGACCCTTTGGAGGCCTGTAAACCCCAGGTGAAGCTCTGAAAGCCAAAAAAGAGAAGTGTTTCTGTAAAGTATATTTCACCAGATTACCTGGCAGCAACCAGAAAAGACAATTTAAGTTTCACTATTTACAGAACTTTATCATACAGACAAAGCTTTCTAAATTTCAGAACAACTGTTTTTAAAAAGAAATACTAGTCCGGGTGCGGTGGCTCAAGCCTGTAATCCTAGCACTTTGGGAGGCCAAGGCGGGTGATCTCCTGGGGTCCAGGAGTTGGAGTCCAGCCTGACGAACATGGCAAAATCCCGTCTCTACTAAAAATATAAAAATTAGTGGGGCGTGGTGGCGCGCGCCTGTAACCCCAGCTTACTCAGGAGGCTGAGGCAGAAGAATTGCTTGAACCCAGGAGACGGAGGTTGCAGTGAGCCGAGATCGCGCTACTGCACTCCAGCCCGGGCAACTTAGCAGATTCCATCAAGACAGACACACAAAAAGAGGCCAGGCGCGGTGGCTCACGCCTGTAATCCCAGCACTTTGGGAGGCCGAGGCGGACGGATCACAAGATCAGGAGATCGAGACCATCCTGGCTAACACGGTGAAACCCCGTCTCTACTAAAAATACAAAAATTAGCCAGGCGTGGTGGCGGGCGCCTGCAGTCCCAGCTACTCGGGAGGCTGAGGCAGGAGAATGGCGTGAACCCAGGAGGCGGAGTTTGCAGTAAACTGAGATCTGGCCACTGCACTCCAGCCTGAGCGACAGAGCGAGACTCTGTCTCAAAAAAAAAAAAAAAAAAAAAAGAAAGAAAATAAGACAGACAGAAAGACAGATAGTAGATGGAAAGAAAGACAGAAAGGAAAGAAAGACAGGAAGGAAGGAAAGGAAGGAAGGAAGGAAGGAGAAAAGAAAAGAAAAAGAAAGAAAACAGTCGTTTTGAAAAGAAAAAAAAATAACTGCCTATCTCCTATGATTCAAAAATGTTCACGGACTCTTGGCTACAAGAGATCAGTAACACTTTCAAAGAAGCCGTCCCTGACCAAAGGGAACACACACATACTTCATCCACCCACTGGAAACTGTATTATTCTTTGTCTACTCCACTAGATTTAAACATGAGGGTGAGGACTTATTCACCACTCTACCTCCAGCACTAAAAGAAGGCCTGACACACAGTGGACCCTTGACAAATATTAATATATATCAGATAAATGGATTAAAATATGTCACTTTAAAGTGTTTGCAAATCGAATTCCTGGAATCGGGACATCTACTGGTTGAGGCTTAACATCGATTTAGGATTAAATTTACTCCCTTACATTTATATATCATTTTACAAAATGCTTCTGCCCACGTTACCTCATTCAATCCTTCCTTCTGTAGTAAAGAAACTGGAAGATATATTTAGTAAACAATAAGGATTTTATAATTGGCTTAGAAGTTAGATAAAAGGGGCCTTTTTAAAAATCCATCCAAGGGTCATAAACCGATAAGCCAAAATAAAACGAATTTGTCTAGAAGTCAGTCATTATAACAGGATCTAGCCTCGTGGTCTGACTTCCACAGATTTGAGGAAGAGAAAAAAAGTTTATTTTCCAGACTCTCTTGGCTGGGGCGCCATTCTTTCACAGCTTCAGATAAACAGAAAGAAAAGGTAAACAACATGCGCCACTCTTAGGAAACTACCTCCCGGTCAAGTTGGGAAAGCCAGCAAAGGACTGCTGAAACACCCAAGTACTTCCGAACCAACTCCTGCGGGACTTCTCCCCATCTCTCCCGCCGCTGTCCTGCGGGCCCCGGGGCTTGCCTGACGCCGGGAAGTATTGTGAACCTTGTTTATGTCCCAGTGTCAGGGCCGCACAGTGATAGTAACATCTCGGGTATCGCGCGGCTTGCGTCCGGGACGGCCAGCTGGGTGCCCCGAGTCCTGGGGGACCCTAGTAGGGACAGATCCTCAGCCGAGCCCCTCCTGGAGCCCCCAACGGGCCCGAGGGGGATCCCGGCCAGGCTGCGGAAGAAGAGCCGCAGCCATGGCAGGCGGCGGTCCCCGGCAGGGCTGAGTGGGATCTGGAGACATTTTTTAATAACAGGAGCATTTTGTGCCTTTCAGGGTTTCTACAAAGTGGCCGCATTCCGGCCCCAAAGTCAGCAGGCCTGAAAGCGTGCAGGCAGGCGCGTGGGAAGGAGTTTACTTCCAATTTGAGCAACGGCTGCTCCAGAGGTTGGCAGAGCCCCATTCCACGGGGAAAGTGGTGGGTGCCGGGCGAAGCGCCGCGCATTCCCTCACACTCCCCGGGTGCAGCAGGCCTCGTGCCCTCCCCGGGGCCCCCAACCATTGGCCAGTCCACCCCCCCCCCGACAGGCTGAGGGCTCAGGAGTGGCACTATTTCGTTACCTCTCTGCGCGGAGGCGAGTGAGGAGGTGATGAGCCGGACGGCCGCCGCGCCGCAAGTACAAGCACCGCAGCTGGGCATCTCCGCGAGGCCTAGGCCGGGGCTTCGCCCCCTGAGGACCTCCGGGTCACAGCGGCGTGAATCCTGCCCGCAAGGCGCGCTGACTCGGTTCCGAACCCTTTCGCGGGCCCTAGACCCCGTGGAGAGTTCACCTGCCCGGCAGCCAGGCCTTCACGCTTCTCTGCCCCACAGCCGTCTATTCACCAGAGTAGACACCCAACCCCCCCCTCCCTTCCCCTCCTTCTCCTTCTACCCCCACCCCCAGCCTACTGGGCCCGGGGAGCTTGCGCGCGCCTGCGCCCTAGGCCCGGGGAGGGGGCGGAGGGCGTGGGCACGCGCCGTGTTTGCGAGCTGGTGAAGCTACGTGAGGCGAAGGCGAGGGGGTGGTGCCCTGGGCGCCAATGAGTTCCCTACGGCAAGCGTCTAGCCCCAACTGGGGCGACTACAGGTCCCGACGCTCAAGGTTGCCAAAAGCCCTTTTATCCTAAAGTTGAAAGGTTTTGCGATAGACGCGGAGAGATGCATGCCGGGACTTGTAGTCCCGAGTCGTCATAGTCGAGCTCTTCCGGTCACTTTTAGTGGGCGGCAGGGAAGGTCAAGGTGAGGCTGGTGGCTTAACCCTCCAGGGGGAAGTCTCTAAAGTGCCTTGGTAGGCGCTGGATGCTTCAGATTCACTAAATTTCTTCCCCCGGAATTCCACATCCTGTGTTCCTTATCTTCTCATTCTCCTTAGTTTCATCACTTGTAACATGGAGTTGGTATTGTCAGTTAGTTCCCTGAGCAGCAATTGTTAGTTGGTAACAGCTCCGTCTCCTTGTTCTTTCAGGCCTCGTGGTGATAAAGCTTCTAGCTGTTGCTAGTCCGTGGGTGCTTTAAAGTCTTGAGGGTTTTCTTTTCTTTCTTTCTTTTTTTTAATTTAGTAAAGATGAGGTCTCCCTATGTTGCCCAGGCTGGTCTCAAACTCCTGGGCTCAAGTGATCCTCTCGCCTCGCCCTCCCAAAGTGCTGGGATTACAGGCGTGAGCCACCGCACCCGGCCGTGATTAAGGATGGCACTGCATAGATAACCTCTGGTCAGGTTCCTATCAGGCCATCCTCTCAAGTTATGAATTCAAAAGCACAGAGCCGGCTGGGCGTGGTGGCTCACACCTGTAATCCCAGCACTTTGGGAGGCCGAGGCAGGTGGATCACGAGGTCAGGAGTTTGCGACCAGCCTGACCCACATGGTGAAACCCCATCTCTACTAAAAATACAAAAATTAGGTAGGTGTGGTGGCGTACTCCTGTAATCCCAGCTACTCAGGAGGCTGAGGTGGGAGAATTGCTTGAACCCAGGAGGCGAAGGTTGCAGTGAGCCGATATCGTGCCATTGCACTCCAGCCTGGGCGACAGAGCGAGACTCCGTCTCAAAAAAAAAAAAAAAAAACCCAGAGCCATCTGAGATTATCCCTGTGAGAAAATGGATCCTTCACCAGGAAAGTGATGGCAAATACTTGTGGTCACATCAGCCCTTCCACATCACACCTACTTTCAGCTGTTTTCTGACAGATTAATGACGCTTTAAAAAGAAAGTCAAGTGCAGTTTTCCAGCTCAAATAGTTTACACTGGAGGAGTTAACTCCTTGAGTTATTTACTTTTTGCGAACTACATAGCTGAAGGCACATAACTTTTTTTTTGAGACAGAGTCTCCATCTGTCACCCAGGCTGAAGTGCAGTGGCACCATCTCAGCTCACTGCAACCTCTGCCTCCTGGGTTCAAGTGATTCTCCTGCCTCAGCCTCCTGAGTAGCTGGGATTACAGGCATGCGTCACCATGCCCGGTTAATTTTTGTATTTTTAGTAGAGGCAGAGTTTCACTATGTTGGCCGTGTTAGTTTCAAACCCCTGACCTCAAGTGATCCGCCTGCCTCAGCCTCCCAAAGTGCTGGGATTACAGGCATGAGCCATTGCACCCAGTCAGGCACATAACTTTTTATGTCTTCATTTTATGTAAAACTTTTTCTTTTGTCTTTTTTTTTTTTTTTTTTTTGAGATGGAGTCTCACTCTGTGGCCAGGCTGGAGCGCAGTGGTGCGATCCTGGCTCACTGTAACCTCTGGCTCCTCGGTTCAAGCGATTCTCCTACCTCAGCCTCCTGAGTAGCTGGGACTACAGGCGCACACCACCACGCCCAGCTAGTTTTTGTATTTTTAGTAGAGACGGGGTTTCACCATGTTGGCCAGGATGGTTTTGATCTATTGACCTCATGATCCGCCTGCCTTGGCCTCCCAAAGTGTTGGGATTACAGGTGTGAGCCACCATGCAGGCCCTCTTTTTCTTTTATACTTGATTTTACCTCCCAGCATTATGAGTTGCTATAAGAAATATTTTAATAAATTAGAGTCCATGAGTCTTAACTCACTCAATATTAACCCTGATTTTTTTAGATGAGGAAACAGGCCTATTGAAAAGGCAGATACTTGACCAGGGTCACATAACAAGTGAAAAACAGAGAATAGAGCTGGAGTCTTCTGGCTTTAAAACTGTATTTCTCAAGCTTTTCTTTTTTAACCCAAGACTCTTTTCGATAAACATAAAAATCTCACTTCTCGGCCAGGCGCAGTTTCTCACGCCTGTAATCCCAGCACTTTGGGAGGCCAAGGCAGGTGGATCACCTGAGGTCAGGAGTTCCAGACTGGCCTGGCCAACATGGTGAAACCCCGTCTCTACTAAAAATACAAAAATTAGCCGGGTGTGGTGGCGCACGCCTGTGATCCCAGCTACTCGGGAGGCTAAGGCAGGAGAATCGCTTGAACCTGGGAGGCAGAGGTTGCAGTGAGCTGAGATCGTGACAATGCACTCCAGCCTGGGTGACAAAGCAAGTCTCCATCTCAACAACAACAACAAAAAATCTCGCTTCTCCTCTCCTCCACCAGAAATTCTGGCACATCTTCTCAGAGAGTCATCATTCTTTTGGGAATCTTTGTATCCTCTGAATAAAGACTTTTTTTTTCATGGCCAAACCCTGCTCCTTCATATCAGCAGACATTGATTATCCCTGGAAGGATATAAATATAAATATTGAGGAACTCAGTATTTTAAAAGATAAGGACCTGCATCTGTAGGTGGTGCGAACTCAAGATAATATTAACACATCGTATTGAACTTTATAACTTACAAAGGGTTTTCACATCCACTTTCTCATTTGATTATTACAACAACCAAATGATATATTGTTATTATCAGCATTCCAGTTTTGAAGCTGAGAAAATCAAGACACAGAGAGTTTAAGTGACTTGCCCAAGGTCACAGCAGAACCCAGACTTAAATCCAAATCACCATATGGGTTTCCATTACTTCTCTATATCTTATTCCAAAAGCTGATGAGATTTTAGGGGTCTGCAGAATCTCTACCCCCTACCCAGGAACATCTCACATCAAGGAATAAAAATCTGCCCTCCTATTAAGGAAGTGACCCACCATCTTTCCTTTACTTAAGAATTACTTTGGTTGTAGCCGGGCGCGGTGGCTCAGGCCTGTAGTCCCAGCACTTTGGAGGCTGAGGCTGGCGGATCACGAGGTCAGGAGTTCAAGACCAGCCTGGCCAACCTGGTGAACCCCGTCTCTAAAAATACAAAAATTAGCTGGGCACAGTGATGTGTGCCTGTAGTCCCAGCTACTCAGGAAGCTGAGGCAGGAAAATCGCTTGAACCTGGGAAGCGGAGGTTGCAGTGAGCCGAGATCATGCCACTGCACTCCAGCCTGGGCAGCAAAGTGAGACTCTGGCTCAAAAAAAAAAAAAAAAAAAGAATTACTTTGGTTGTTTGTTAAAATACATTAGGCCCCTCTCCTAAAGATTTTGACAAAATAGTCTGGAGGAGGGCTCAGGAATCTGTTTTTATTGCTGGATGCTAGAATCAGGAGATGCTAAGATTTATTTGCAGAAATGATATGTTTCCACTGTGCTGATAGAAGTCTGGACCTTTTTTTCTCAAGGTCTCTTTTAGGCTCCTTCCAACTGCTACTACTTTCTTCCTCAGGGAGTCACTGCCCAACCTTGGTATTGTAGGGTGACCAAGAGGACTACAGCGAGGCGCTCATCATTTTCCTGGGCCTGCCCTTGGGGGCTGGAGGTAACCTTAGATAGCATGAGATCCCCCTTGTCCTCAATTAGACTGCCTCTTGTTCCTCATCCTGATGTTCAGGGAGATGGTCAGCAGATGGTGCTAACTTACCACCCTTCCCTCTGAATCCTTTGGGGGCATTCTTAAAATTAATCCAGTGGAACTTTCAGTGTATCAAATCTTGAAGACAGTGCTAGGGAATTCTTGTTTGTATTTACTAAAGGGCACAGACGTCAGGAGTAGAAGGACTGGTGTGTGAATCCCAGCTGAGTTCCTTAACAGCCATGTGACCTCTGGTAAGTAAGTTAATTCCATAAGCCTGTTTTCCACTATAAATTGGGGTGCTCTTGACCTCCTAGAATTAATGTGAGGAATAAATGATCCCTTGGCACTTGCTATAGTGAGTAGGTGCTTACTAAGTAATAAAGATATTTTCCTGTGCAATGTTGTGAATTATGGATTTCCCTTTATGCCTTTAAAAATTCCTTTAAATAAAAAAATCAAAAAATATAAACAATGAGTTGCATACAAAATAAATAAAAAAATAAAAATAAAAAATTACTTTTTCGGTCATGCTTCTTAGCCAGCTAGTTGAGGATCTTACCCTATTCACAGTACTTTAGCATTGTGAGGAACTTGCTTGATTTCAAATGAAACACTTAAAAAGAGATGAAAGAGAGAATATGAACTCTTGGCTTATAAGTCCTTTCCAATTTCCAATTTCCAATTCATGTGCATTAACCATAATATTAGATAATAAAAGTGATTAACAATTATAATCACCCACTGGCTAGGGCCGGGCACAGTGGCTCATGCCTGTAATCCCAGCATTTTGGGAGGCCGAGGCGGGTGGATCACAAGGTCAGGAGATCGAGACCATCCTGGCTAACACGGTGAAACCCGTCTCTACTAAAAATACAAAAAATTAGCCAGTCATGGTGTCGGGCGCCTGTAGTCCCAGCCACTCTGGAGGCTGAGGCAGGAGAATGGCATGAACCTGGGAGGCGGAGCTTGCAGTGAGCCGAGATTGTACCACTGCACTCCAGCCTGGGTGACAGAGCAAGACTCCGTCTCAAAAACAAACAACCAAACAAAAAAAAAAAACAACCAATTATAATCATGTATTACCTGTAAGCAATTGTTAAATATACAGAAGCATCCACTGGCTATGTATGTAAAGTAGTACTCATGGGTAAATTAATCAATAACAAGGTTATGAAGAGAAAAGGCTTCTGAGCCATCAAAGTAGATATTACAAAGTTGGCATATCAAAGTTCATGTACTTTACTCATACCTAGGCTTTCAGAATTTCATTCTGTAAGTCTCTTTGCTCATTTTAAATACTAATTTGGTCATATGGATCCCCATTGCATGAGTCAGTAAATTAGAAAGGGGGAATAGGTGCTAGAACCACAGCCAAAGTGTTGTCTAATAGCCTGACAAAAAAGGAAACACAAAAACAGATGTGTGAACTCAACAAGAAGGGTATATAGTCTGGCATCATTTGGGATTAGATAAAATTTTTTATATATCATATCAGCCCTGGTTGCTATTTTATTAGTATTATACTTCCACAATAATGGTATTCATAATACATCAAGAAAAGATTGAATTATGTTATTTCTGTTTTTATAAAAGTAGACTAAATACTTTTATATTTCTACCCCAAAACAATCAAAAGTTTAAAAGTTTTGGAGGCCTGGTGCAGTAGCTCATTTTTGTAATCCCAGCACTTTGAGAGGCCAGGGCAGAAGGATCGCTTGAATCCAGGAGTTTGAAAACAGCCTGGGCAAAACAGTGAGACTCAGTCTCTACAAAAAATAAAATTTAGCCTGGTGTGGTGGCTCATGCCTGTAGTCCTAGCTCCTTGGGAGGCCAAGGTGGGAGGATTGCTTGAACCTGGGAGATCAAGGCTGCAGTGAGCTGTGATAGTGCTATTGCACTCCAGCCTGGGGAACAAAAACGCTGTCTCAAAAAAAAAAAAAAGTCTTAAATAAAGAGGAAAAGTTTGAATTTTCTGGAAAACTGCTTCTGTAAAACAACTCAATTTCCTATTGTGCTACAGAAATGAAACATCACCTTGTTAAATCTACAAAATTTTCAATCTCTTCCATTTCTAGCAGTGTGGGATACAGCAAATTCTTTTTTTTTGATGAGGGGACAGGGTCTCACTCTGTTGCCCAGACTGGAATACAGTAGCATAATCACAGCTCACTGCAGCCTCTACCTCCCAGGCTCAAGCGCTCCTCCCATCTCAGCCTCCCGAGTAGCTGGGACTACAGGTGTGTGCCACCATGCCTGGCTAATTTTTGTATTTTTTAAGAGATAGGGTTTCACCATGTTGCCCAGGATGGTCTGGAACTCCTGGGCTCAAGTGATCTACCTGCCTCAGCCTCCTAAAGTGCTAGGATTACAGGCATGAACCGCCACACCCAGCCAGCAAAGCCTTTTTTTTTTTTTTTTTTTTGAGACGGAGTCTTGCTCTGTCGCCCAGGCTGGAGTGCAGTGGCACAATCTTGCCTCACTGCAACCTCCGCCTCCTGGGTTCACGCCATTCTCCTGTCTCAGCCTCCTGAGTAGCTGGGACTACAGGCGTCCGCCACCACGCCTGGCTAATTTTTTGTATTTTTAATAGAGACGGGGTTTCACCATGTTAGCCAGGATGGTCTCGATCTCCTGACCTGGTGATCCACCCTCCTCGGCCCCCCAAAGTGCTGGGATTACAGGCGTGAGCCACAGGCGCCTGGCCAATTTTTGTATTTTTAGCCATGTTGGCCAGGCTGGTCTTGAACTCCTGACCTCAGGTGATCTGCTAGCCTCCGCCTCCCAAAGTGCTGGAATTGTAGGTGAGAGCGACCGCCCAAGGCCTTAGGACTGCCCTTTATATGCCACACCCCCACCATGGACACAGTTGACTGGACTAGAGGCAAACTGCAGCTGGGCCAACCAGATTGTCTCTCCAGGGAATTTGATTGGATAGCAGGATTGCCCTGTATTTCCCACCCCTGCCATGGCCACGGTTGATTGGACTAGAGGTGGAGCCCCAATTCAAACTGGGCCAATCAAATTCGGTCTTCAAGACAGGGCTATTCATTGACTTGAGATATAAATAGGGTGGCCACCTTCTTCTGTGAGCCCAGAGGAACAGAGAAAGCATATCTGCAAGCAGAACCAAGGGTTCCTGCAGAGAGGAAAGACCACACAGTGAGAGGGAGAGACTGCAACAGAGACAGGGGCTAAGAAGAGAGAGAAATTGGCCGGGTGCGGTGGCTCACGCCTGTAATCCCAGCACTTTGGGAGGCCGAGGCGGACGGATCACGAGGTCAGGAGATAGAGACCATTCTGGCTAACACGGTGAAACCCTGTCTCTACTAAAAATACAAAAAATTAGCCAGGCGTGGTGGCACCCGCCTGTAATCCCAGCTACTCGGGAGGGTGAGGCAGGAGAATCGGTTGAACGTGGGAGGTGGAGGATGCAGTGAGCCGAGATCGCACGACTGCACTCCAGCCTGGGCAACAGAGAGAGACTCCGTATCAAAAAACAAAAAACAAAACAAAACAAAACAAAAATAGCCTGGCATGGTGGCGGGCGCCTTTAATCTCGGCTACTCAGGAGGCTGAGGCAGGAGAATTGCTTGAACCCGGGGGGCGGAGGTTGCAGTGAGCCGAGATCGCGCCATTGCACTCCAGTCTGGGCAACAAGAGCACAGCTCCGTCTCAAAAAACAAAAACAAACAAACAAAAAAAAATAGAAATAAAGTCAGAGAGACAGTCTGAAAAACAGAGCATTGTAGGCCAGACGCGGTGGCTTACGCCTGTAATCCCAGCACTTTGGGAGGCCGCGGCGGGTGGATCACGAGGTCAGGACATCGAGACCATCCTGGCTAACACGGTGAAACTCTGCCTCTACTAAAAATACACACAAAAAAAGTTAGCCGGGCGTGGTGGCGGGCGCCTGTAGTCCCAGCTACTCGGGAGGTTGAGGCAGGAGAATGGCGTGGACCCGGGAGGCGGAGCTTGCAGTGAGCCGAGATGGCGCCACTGCATTCCAGCCTGGACAACAAAGCGAGACTCTGTCTCAAAAAAAAAAAAAGAAAAAAGAAAAGAAAAGAAAAAGAAAAACAGAGCATGTAACCCAAGATTGAATTAGAAATTGAGAGAACCAAAGCCACCGAGCATGAGAGAAGACAAGTTAATTGAAACCAGAAAGAGTGATTACCTGGATTCTGATGGCTCTGCAATTCTTGGTTCCAGTCCTTCCTGAGGTTACCTGGCACCCCTGTTACTTGTAATCAAAAGACTGCCAGTGCACAGTCCCACCTCTATTCTTTGGCTCTAGCCAACACCTTTACCTGAAACCCCATCTACCTCTAATTTTGCTTAAGTCCTCTCAATCCTTCCAGACTCTGTTCTTGTCCCAACATCTTGGTGACATTTTTCTCTTATCACGTCAGCTGCTAGAACTCTTTGAACTTGAGAGAACATTGTTTGAAAACTCCCTTGTTTGTAAGCAGAAGCAACCTGATCTGCCCATCTACCTGCCTGTTCCCCTCCTCCATGCCATATGGTACCGACCTTCACAGAATTCGCACTCAGTAACTGGGTGATCAGAAGGCTGAGACTGAAACGCTAGGGCTTTCCTGAGATGAGCATTTTGTCCATCCAGTGTGCAGTCTCCACAGGGGAACAACCGACAAATCAGCAGTGGTTTAATGAACTGAAAGCATCCTGGGAATGGTGCTATTAGCCTCACTGAAAATCATGAAAAGGGCTTTAGAAATCCTTCATTTATAGGTGAGTAAATTGAGGTCCAGGGGAAAGTTATGCAGCTAGCAAGGAGCACATTTGATTTTGGAGGCAAGACTCTTAGGAATTAAGTATCATGAGTTCAACTCAAGAATGCTGGCTAGGCCTGGCGGCAGTTCACACCTGTAATCCCAGCGCTTTGGGAGGCTGAGGTGGGTGGATCACCTGAGGTCAGGGGTTCAAGACCAGCCTGGCCAACATGGTGAAACCCTGTCTCTACTAAAAATACAAAAATTAGCTGGGCATGGAGGTGCACACCTGTAATCCCAGCTACTCGGGAGGCTGAGGCAGGAGAATCGCTGGAACCCCGGGGGCAGAGGTTGCAGTGAGCCAAGATCGCACCACTGCACTCCAGCCTAGGCGAAAGAGCAAAACTGCGTCTCAAAAAAAAAAAAAAAAGTGTTTCCTTGTCTGAAAGAGAGGTATCTGCCTGCAAGCCCCACCCAGCCTGCAGTCCCTGGTTTTGCACATCTGTTTCTGCTTGTGCCTCTCGTTCCTGACAGCCATACCATTAGCAGGCCACCTCCTAGCTATCATTCAGACCTCAAATTAGATGTCACCTTTTCTAAGAAGACTTCTTTGACCACTACTTCCTCAAAGTCTGATGCCATGACATGTAGTATGTTTTGTACTATCTCATAAAAGCTTGTCTACTTGCATACATGGTTTGGCACTCAATAAATGTTTGGCGAGTGAAGGAAAAAGTCAGGCATCAGATGCTGTGTGCTGGAGTCCATTTATTCAGGCCCTCAATTGAGAACAGCAAGGAAAGTGCCCTAGAGTGGGGAACCAGTCAGCCCACCTTCCCCAGCAACCCACCCCCCCCCGACCCTCCCCCTCCCCCCGTGAGTTTGAAGTGAACTGGTGGTCAGGTTGAAGCAGCAGGCACTCTGGCTCCTGAAGTGGCTGGGGCGATGGTGCTGCAGATAGCTGTGCACTCACAACAGGGGCAGTCAAGCCTCCCCAAGCAGTCAGTGAGAGCTGCTTCCTGGGAGCAGTGGGACAGATGTGGAGTCTGGAAGTGGGTCAAGTTGCAATCACAAGACCACTAGTCCTCACTCCTGCAGATGCTTGCTTTTTCTATGGTTATTGTGATGTGCTCAGCTAGAGAAATTTCTAATTGCTTACAAACCAAATTCCCAGGAGCCGGGCAGATGGTGATCCAAGAGTACAAATCCAGCCCAGGCCAGAGATGGGTAAAGGAGCTGCACTAGGCTGGCCAGGGCATCAGGGAAAGCTTTTTGTCCTGATTGTAAACAGTGTCCTCTCTTCTCCCAAACCCTTTGGACTCTTGCCTGACAGATTCTGGAGGGGTTGGGATAGGGGCAGTGAGTGCATCCTATCCAACCCCACACCCCACTACCCTGACTGTAATGCCGCTGAGATCGCTCTGGCACCACCTATGGGCCTCTGATTTACTATTTTAAACCAAATACCTTTTCCAAAACCAAAACTCTGCCCGTTTGGACCAATTGTTTTGCTCCAGGGACAGGGTCTGTAACACACAACAGAGATCTGGTGTCTGGAAAAGTTGAACATCTTTAGAAGAGCATAAAGAAAAAAGTAAAAGCCCATTTCTGAGTGAGGCCGGCCAGCCCAGCTGGAGAAGGCAACAGGCTGTTGGGAGAGCCAAAGGACCACTTGGCCAGCTTGTCAGACCCTGGGCCAAGCCATTGTATAAGCTCCAAAGTATTGGAAAGAAGGAAAGAAAAAAATCGGGACGTGTTTTTAGTCTTGCTCAGGAGCCCAGAACATGCTCACAACTCCAGGAATCTGCTCTTTTCTGCAAACGGAAAATGTGATCCATGAGAACAAATTTGACTGCTGGAGTGTGTGCCTATGTTGCCCTGCCCTGTAACTTAGGGGGCGAGGACTTACACCACCTGTGACTGCTTTCCAGAGTCCCCTGTACTCCTCTGAGAAGCTGGCTCACTTTAATAGTTAAGACAGGACAGTGGCCTCAGAATCGAAATACAGAGTATGCATTTATTGACATCTGCCCTGGGCTACACTGGGTTTCTAGCAAGAACAGAAGCGAATGCAAAGGGAAATGTACAAATACAGTTAGCAACCTGGTGTAATTGTGGATACCAGGAGATGTTCTTTCCAGACTTGGTAGAGGAACTATGATCACCCTATATTTAATAGCTTAACTTTGAATGTGCACTAGAATTCCAAATTTAGCAAAGAAATAAATAAGTTATTTACATTTCAAGTAAAAGTATTGTGTTTTATTTCTTTATTTCACCACCATTTATATGTATGAACTATGATCAAGGCTTGCCTATGTCCTGTGGAGCAAGGCCAAGAAATATGCTTTATATTGGTTATTTGATCTTCAGCATCAGATTATCACTATTGCAGAGGTGGGCAAAACCATGCAAAAAGAAGAGGAAGTATATTTGCATTAATGGCATTAAATGAAGTACAGTTGAAGCTGCAGAGTTTTACCAGTGGCCAATTTCTTGTGTTTCATTTAAAGAACAGTTTCACAAAGGGGCTTTATTGTGCCATTGTGGGGGCCACGTGCCAATCAGTAGCATGGGACAAAGTAAGTAAAGGCATGAAGAAACAAACAAGCAAATTCACGAAAACAGAAGTGCTTAAATTAACCAAGTGACAGTTTGTGCATCAGTCTCACAATGGCTGTCACATGAAATGAGGGCAGAAGAGGGTGAAGTACCACAAAACTTAGTTGATCAGGGGCTGTTGAGCAACTCTAGGAAATCTCAGAGAGGCCACCACTCCACCCTGGCGCTGGCCACCCCTGCTCGCTCGCTGCTGCCTCCTCGAGGGCACTCTTCCTTGGACAGTGCCTGCAGCAGGGGACTGGGCTGGGGTGCTTTGGAGGTACTGGAAGGCACTCTGGCGGCCTACTTGCCTCTCTACACAGTTGAAGGTGAGGGCTACTCCCACATTGCTCTTCATGATTCTGGAGGAGCCATCGGATGTGCCATCAAAGCACCGGCCGAGCGCGATCTCCTTGGCCGTGCGAGGGTCCTGGTCAGTGACAGTGTAGATGCCATAGTTGTGGCCCAGTGGGTCCAAGGGTGCCAGCATGGTGTACTCACTGGTGTCGTTGTTGACTGCAAGTGGCAAGTGGTTGACCAGGTACTCATGCAGCATGGGGTTCACACTGGCTCGACGGCAGCTGCCCTGGGGGATGACCTTCACCAGGGTGCGGTCCACACGGTCCTGATCATAGAGCATCCCACTGCACTTGAACTCCAGACAGGCAGCTGAGACATTGGGCTGGTCCCTGTCCCGAGTGCTCCTCACATCTCGGATTCCATACAGCTTCCCCACTGTCTGCCGATGAGTGCCCCCCATGTTGCGGGATCGCACATTCACTTCCAGTGGCCCCACAATCTTCACCTTGATATAGCAGGCCCTGAATTCCATCGGCTTTGGCCACCATGCCAGATAGTCTTCAGTCCAGCTCATAGGGTCATCTTCGTTGAAGGGGACTGTGTTGTAGTCATATCGATCCCCCTCAATCTGGTAGAACCGGAAGTGGGCTGCACTGGGTGGTGCCTCTTCACATGCCCGGAGGTTCTCAAAGGCATAGATGGGCCCATTGCTCTCCTCAGCTGAGTTGGGCCTTGGCTTGGCCATGCTAATCTGGAAAGCTGTCTTTTTAACCCGTGGATCCTCATGGTCCGTCCGACGGTAGTTGAGCTTGTTGAGATAGGGCTGAGGGACGCCAATTGCATTTGGGTTGAATTTAGGAGAAGACTCCACTGCTTGCAGTTCCTCCCCAGCCAGGCTTGCCAAGACATAGGCAGAGTAGGCATCAGGGGACTGGTCATCACAGAAGGCAGGCACACAGGCCCCGTTGGGGCCTGTGATGACACTGTCAAAGCGGCCCCAGGCCCTAGGGTTGGACAAGAAGCCAGTTCTAGGCTCCAGGTTAATCACGGAGATCACAACCCCCTGGATCTGCTCACTAGGCAAGAACCTCTCACTCCGGTAGGCCCTCACCTTAACAAAGCACCGCCTGCTTTCAGGAACATCCAGGTTAAAGAGCCTCCTCTCACGAATCTCCAGGTTGCCCACCAGGAAGGTTCTGTCTTCTCTTTTGTTCCTCCTTTGATTTTCAAATTTGAAATCACCTTCCTCCTCCCACAGCCCTGTGTCTGGATTGAGTGACCAGAGTTTCACTGTGGATATGTGCTCTGGCATCTTGACCTGGGTCGAGTCAAGGTGGACCTTCACTTTGCCAGCATTAAGTGGCTCTGAGGTGACCTCATCTCTGAAGTCCACAGAGAACATGCCATACGTCCGAAGGGGGAAAGTGTCTCCTTCGTCATTGATGAAGTTCAGGTCAGTCTGGGCAGCTGTGGCTGTGGAAATATTCCGGGGATCCAGGAAGGTCACACTGGCCTTCACTTTTCCTATGTAGGGCTCCCCATTCTGCCTGTAGAAACTCCTGGATGGAATCTCCAGTTCAGCCATGGGGTCTTCACCAACCACTTCCCCCAGGGGGATGATGTTGGTCTCCATGGCTTCCAAAGTGATGGGCTTTTTCCGACGAAGCATCTTGATTTCATGGAACACGGCACTCCCCTTCTTGTTGAAAGGTAGCACTTTGGTGGTGTTGACAAACTTCTGCAGCCTGTCCACAAATGTGAGCACCAGCCTCTCAGTGTCCTGGGGGACATGGAGGGTGAAAGTGCCCTTGTAGCCAGTCATGCTTACACGGCTGTTCCCCATGTACACATGGCCAAAGCGCATGGGCTCCCCATTGTCAGCAGCACTGACACGGCCCCGCACGATGCTCCGAGTTTCCGTACACCGCTGGCAGCTGCACTCCTTGGCCACCTTGGTGGGTAGCGTGTAGCCACTGCACTGGATCTCCCTTTCCTCTGTCTTGGAGATGCCACAGCAGTTCTGCACAGCATCACGGCACCTGATCCCATTATCCTGCTGCCCTGCACAAGTCTTAACAGGGCAGCGTCCCACGTCATAGTAGAAGGAGTTGGTGGCATTCTGAAAGCAATCATGGGGCAGCCGGATAAGATAGCTCTCAGGAACTGGGTTGCAAGGAGTCTCATCAGATGCTGTGTAGGGAAATGGTGTGGAAATTAAGATGTAAGTTTACATCCTACACAAAGAGTACCTCAACCTCACCTCTCTACAGTATTCTATGGTTTTCAAAGGACTTGTATATCCATGATTCTCATTCTCACAGAACTCTCTGAGAGGATAGAACAGCTATTACTGATCCCATTTTATATACCGGGAAACAGAGTTGGTTGATGGGACCACTACAGTGGCGGTTTGTCTCAATGGAGGGGTCTTGAAAATTTATGAAGGTGTTTTGGGTTATCTCCAAAATTGGGGATGCTACTGGCATATTGTGGGTAGGGGCCATTGATGTTCTATGTCCTGCAATGCCTGGCACTGTTCTGCATAAAGAATCTCTGTGTTCTGAACAACTTTCACATATCCCACCACTCATTCATGTAGGTAGAAAACCTGTTTAAAGTGATCAGAGCTTTGGCCGGATGCAGTGGCTCACACCTGTTATCCCAACAATTTGGGAGGCCAAGGTGGGTGGGTTGCTTGAGCCTAGGAGTTCGAGACCAGCCAGGGCAACATGATGAAACCCTGTCTCTACAAAAAATACAAAAATCAGCTGGGCATGGTGGCACACGCCTGTAGTCCCAGCTACTCAGGAGGCTGAGGTGGGAGGATTGCTTGAGCCTGGAAAGTCAATGCTGCAGTTAGCCGTGAGTGTGCCACTACCCTCCAGCCTGGGCGACAGAGCAAGACCCTGTCTAAAACAAATTAAAAGATCAGAGCCTAGTATCTTTTACATGGCTTTAACCATATACTGAATTTTTCAAGAATGCAACTACCATATAAATTGAGCTAAGATTATACTTTGTTTAGCTCAGAACAATACCAAGAATTGTTCCTCGTCTCAGGAAAATCACGTTTCTACAACACCATTACCCAAGGACTGTGAATGCCAGAATGATACCTCTGTATCCATCAGCACTTGTAGCGGTCATGTTTATGGTGACCCTGGATTTAAATGCAAGTAGTTAACTTCTTGGTTTGTCTTCTCGTGTCAATGTGCCAAAGCATTTAGATATGGGAATACACACTATTTTGTATTAAAATTTAAAAAATTTATCCTTTGTTTTATAGTTAGGACCATGCACATATACATTTGGAAATTATAGGTAGTTATCTATAAATGTAACTTCAGAATAATAAAGTAGTATTAAAAATTCCTGTAGCAAAGAGGGAGCCTTGGTGTGATGGGTTGGGACCACTGCTGAGGGCTCCATATCTCTGCCAATGTCCAGAGTACTGTGTGTCTTGTCTGCCCTGAGGTCTGTTGCTCAACTTTTTAAGAGTCTAAAGTAGTCCAGGATCCTTCCAATACATTCTGTCCTTCTCTGCGTTTTGTTTTGTTTAGGCCAATTACCAAGCTATCTTCCTTCCTACTCATTTTCCAAAGACAGGCCCCTGATTGGTCTTTGGCCTCTAATCTCTCCCCATCCAGTTCTGTTCTTGAAGCCAGCTCTAGATCACCCTTTCTTGTAAAGCCCCCTCAGTTCCCACTTCTATATCTTTACCCATGCTGGCCCCTCAATCTGGAACACCCTCACCTCCACATACACAATCCCTGCCCATTCTTTAAGACCAGGGGTTCTAACCTTGGTTGCAAATTGGAATCACATGGGGAGGTTTTAAACTATGCATGCCCAGGCCACATCTCAGACCAATTAAGTCAGACTCTCTGGAGGTAAGACTGAGGCATCAGTATTTTTTCAAACCCAGTCAGGTCATACCAATGGGCAGCCAAAGCTGAGAACCATTACTTAAGCCCCAGCTGGAAAGCTGCTCCCTCAAGTAGCCATCCATGGTCACTCCCACCTGGGAGGTATCTACCATCTATTAGAGTCCACAGCCCCTTGTCTCCTATTTTAGCTGCATTTTTCTTTTCTTCTTCTTCTTTTTTTTTTGAGACAGAGTCTTGCTCTGTTTCCCAGGCTGGAGTGCAGTGGCGTGAACTCGGCTCACTGCAACCTCTGCCTCCTGAGTTCAAGCGATTCTACTACCTCAGCCTCCTGAGTAGCTGGGATTACAGGCGCACGCCACCATGCCTGGCTAATTTTTGTATTTTTAGTAGACACAGGGTTTCACCATGTTGTCCAGGCTGGTCTCGAACTCCAAACCTGAGGTGATCCATCCACCTTGGCCTCCCAAAGTGCTGGGATTACAGGTGTGAGCCGCCACACCTGGCCTTAGCTGCATTTTTCTATCTTGTTTGTCGCTTATTTACATGTCTTCACTCCTCCTCAAATGATGGCTCCATGGTGGTAGGATTCAGATCTGTACCATCGTTATGTCCTAGAGGTCCTGGCACTGTGCACAGTACAGAAAAGCCTGAGCTTGGCCAGGCACGGTGGTTCATGCATGTAATCCCAGCACTTTGGGAGGACGAAAGAGGTGGTGGGGGTCAGGAGTTCAAGACCAGCCTGGCCAACATGGCGAAACACCATCTCTACTAAAAATATAAAAATTAGCCAGATGTGGTGGTGCACGCCTGTAATCCCAGCTATTCAGGAGGCTGAGGCAGGAGAATCACTTGAACCTGGGAGGCAGAGGTTGAAGTGAGCTGAGATGGTGCCACTGCACTCCAGCCTGGGTGACACAGCGAGACTCCATCTCAAAAAAAAAAAAAAAAAAAAAAGAAAGAAAGAAAAGAAAAGAAAAAAGAAAAGCCTTAGCTATTACTGCATAGTTATGCCCACCTGGGTGCTCAGCCAACCCTGTTGCAGACCCAGGGGCCCCAGGGACCCAGACAGGCTTACCTATGACAATCAGCTGGGCAACCTTGGACTTCACAGCCCCAGCATCACTCTGGGCCTTGCAAAAGTACTCCCCAGCCTGGTGCTGCTGCAGTTTCCTCAGCACCAGCTTGCTCTCATGCTTGTAGAGGGAAGGATCCAGCAATGTGTCATTATGATACCTGCAAGGGATGGAGAGGTAGAACCTGAATGGGCAGTGGGAGGGCAGGTATTCCTAGAAAAGTGCCAGGAGCAGGCAGCCAAGGAGACAGATGATGAATGGGTTCCCACAAATGTCAATATCACCTTTGACTTGGCTCATCCAAGAGCACTAATTGGCCTGGGAAACAAGGAGCTTGGTTCTAAGTCCCAGCCCTACCACGTACCTGGCTGGGGATGCTTGGACAACCTCCCCCACCCCATCTCACCAATCTGTACTTCAGCTTTCTGGTCTATAAAATGTCAGCAATGACTTCTAGCTGACTTCACAGGACTGTTGGATGGGTCAAATAAGAAAGTGGCTATAAAATGTTTGTGAAGGATAAAGGACTCACAGCCATAAGGGATTCTGCCCTTGTTTGCATTTTTTTTTTTTCCTGAGATGGAGTCTTGCTCTGTCGCCTAGGCTAGAGTACAGTGGCATGATCTTGACTCACTGCAACCTCCGTCTCCCAGGTTCAAGCGATTCTCCTGCCTTAGCCTCTCGAGTAGCTGGGATTACAGGCATGCACCACCACGCCCAGCTAATTTTTGTATTTTTAGTAGATATGGGGTTTCACCATGTTGGCCAGACTGGTCTCGAACTCCTGACCTCAAGTGACCCACCCTCCTCGGCCTCCCAAAGTGCTGGAATTACAGGCATGAGACACCATGCCTGGCCCCTTGTTTGCTTTTATTGGGAAAAGCAGGACCTAGGAACTTTGTTCTGTGTCCTGATGATATACAAGTCTGGACCCCAAGACCAGAGATGCTCCAGGGGACCACAGCTTTTTTTTTTTTTTTTTTTGAGACAAGATCACACACTGTCACTCAGGCTGGAGTGCAGTGGTGTGATCACAGCTCACTGCAACCTCCGCCTCCTGGACTCAAGCGATCCTCCTACCTCATCCTGCCGAGTAGCTGGTACTAGAAACACAAGCCTGCAAACCTGGCTAATTTTTTGCATTTTTTATAGAGACAGGGCTTTACTATGTTGTCCAGGCTGGTCTCGAGCTCCTGGGCTCAAGCAATCCACCTGCCACAGCCTCCCGAAGTGCTGGGATTACAGGCGTGAGCTACTGTGCCCGGCCAAAGGGTTCCCCCAGCTTTGAGGGTACAATGAGAGAGCTTGCTGGTTGTCTGGCTCCCAACCCCATGGCTCCCATTTGTAAGTCCCAACATCCGGGCTCTGTACCACTGTCTTACTTGTAACTTTATTCTGTTGGTTATTGTTCTTATTAATAAGTCCAGACCCAATGCAAGAAGCTCTGGTTTCCAGGAGGAGAATTGGGCAGGGTAGCTAGCAGAATACGCACCAAAAATACTTGTCTGGCCTGGGCTTCCCTGTGGCCTTACAGCACAGAGACACGCTCTGCCCAGCTCTCCGTGCTTTTGTCTCAGGGTTCATCACCATGTATGGAGTCTCTGGGACAGAAAATGAGAAATAGCATTTTGGGTTTTTGTGTGTGTGTGTGACAGGTTCTACAGAGCCTAGCTCCCTCAGGGTCTTTGATGTTGTGAAAATTATAAGGCTTCACCCCTACCCCCAGCCCATCTCCATTGGTCCTAAGGGAATTGGTTCAGAGTGGAGTCTATCCTTCCACACCCCCAATCCTGGGACCTCTCCCATGGCCTGTCAAGCAGCATCTGGGTGGGTCAGTGGTGAAACAAGGGGACCTTGTGTCAGCCAAGATTCCAAGCACTACCTTTGGGACAGAACTGACTGTTTTAAATAGTGCAATATTCATGTTCTGCTGCCCCTGGCAGAATTTTCTGGCCATCCTGCACCATTTCTGAACTTCCCAAGCCTTTCTCTCTGTGACCTGCAAACCGCACACTATATTGTATTGACCGTTAGATAAGGTGGCCAGGGAAGACCTCATACATTTGAGGGAGCAAGCCACGCCAATATCTATGGGAAGAACATTCTAAACAGAATACATGCAGCAAGCACGAAGGCCCTGAGGCAGGAATGTGCCTGTGTGTTTGAGGAACAGATAGGAGCCCATTGCAGTTGGAGTAGAGTGATTTGGTGTAGAGCGAGTAACAGGAGAGGAGAGCAGAGAAGAAATGGAGGGCCAGATAATATAGTGCCATGTGGGCCATGGTAAGGATTCGGGGTTTTACTCCAAGTTAGCTGGGAAGCCAGCTTTTAGCACTATAATCCCTTTATTTAAAAATCTGGACCTTCTCACCAGCCCTACCCCAAAGAATTTAGTTACCTGCCCTCACAAACTCTGCCTTGATGGTGGCTGCCTTCAGGCTAGTCTTGGGCATTGTGAGTACAATGGGGGCAAACTTGACCTTTGTGATCTTCAGGATGCTTTTGCCATCAGGGCACAAGCCAGGGATTCGGAATCTCCCATCACTGTCTGTCTGGGTCAGCAGCTTCGGCGTCTTGGTCAGGAGGTAGATAGCAGCCCCTGAGGCTGGGGCACCTCCGGGAAGGGAGACAGCCCCATGAAGCATGAAGTCCTGGCACATGCAGGCATCACAGTCAGCATTCACCTGGCCCATTGGGCAGGTCAGGTCACAGGCTGTGGAACAAGGGGCCATATCAGCAGGGATTCTATGGATTCTGGCATTCCTTCAGCCACATCACAGATCACTTCCTCTCCTCCTTGGCCTTTGCTACCCTCCCTTATCAGCCTGCATGACTAACTCCCACTCATCCTTTAAAACTTATCCCAAGGCCAGGCGTGGTGGCTCACACCTGTAATCCCAGGACTTTGGGAGGCCAAGGTGGGTGTATCACCTGAGGTCAGGAGTTTGAGACCAGCCTGGCCAACATGGTGAAACCTTGTCTCTACAAAAAATACAAAAATTAGCTGGGCATGGTGACACGCACCTGTAATCCCAGCTACTAGGGAGGCTGAGATAGTAGAATCCCTTAAACCCAGGAGGCGGAGGCTGGAGTAAGCCAAGATTGCGCCATTGCACTCCAGCCTGGGCAATGGAGCAAGACTCTGTCTCAAAACAACAACAACAACAACAACTTAGCCCAAAACACCTCCTCTAGGAAGCTCTCCTGGATTCCCCCAGGCTATGATAATTGACCCTGCCCTGTGTTCCTATATTATCCTGTATATCTCTCATTAGGGCACATAGTAGATGCTCAGTTAATACGTGGTGAGTAAGTAAATGAAGGAATCCATCAGTCTCAAACTGACCCTCTAACTCCCTCCTCATTCTTCAGCCTCACCCACCACACCCTGCCCAGTGCCAGGAGGGAGGGTGGTACCTGTACAGTCCTGGCCCATGCAGTGCTGACCCTCTTCGCTGGCCTCACTGCACAGCGACACCATCTCTGCCAAGCAAATGCGTGTGCGAGTCTGGACCCCAGTCTGACCACAGGCAGCTGAGCACTTGCTCCAGGGAGACCATGGGCTCCAGATGCGCTCTGTGTCTCGGCGCAGGGATCCTGCAAAGTGAGATCAGCAGACGGTCTGATTTCCCTCTTGAGGGAACTCTGTCAGGAAATCTGACCCTGAGGCTGTTTCTTCTCTGGTAAAGACAAGGTTTCCATTTATGTCGTAGATGTCACTGATATTTATATTTACTGCAGTGATTTTTCCAACAGACAAAATTCTTGAGGAAGTGAGGTCTCTAATTTGCACAGAGGCACCATATGGGCTAGGGGTGGCCCTGAGCGGTGCTTGTTGGCCAAGCACTGGGACTTTGATATGCTGTCCTAGGATGTGCAGGGATAGCACTGTCTTTCTTCTTCACCAGTGTGGAAACGGCCACATGCTCCTATGGAAGGACTCCCTGGGAATCAGGGACCCCTGGGAAGTCGGGGCCTGCAACATGCAATGACTTGGACAAGAAGCCCATTTCTGCCCACCTTCCTCACCTCTGGCCTGAGGCCTGTGTACAAGAATGGGGTCTTCACACCTTGCTCAGATCAGCCTGAGCTCCCATCCCAGATGACCACCACTGGCGTCTGGGCCTGGGGGATCTTGTGGAACCCTAAGGGAGAAGATCCCCATCCAAGAAGGGAGCAGGCCTGCTCCCCATAACATCTGTATTATCCATGGTGGGAGGGGATATAAATGCATAGACTCTGCAAACACGGACATGGTTCAAACCCCAGCTCTGCCTTATCAGCTATGGAATCGTGAGAAGTTACCTAGCTTCTCTGAACCTCGTGTAACTTGTCAAGATGGAGATCTCTCAAAGGTCAGTTGTAAAGGTTGAATAAAGTGGATAACTAGCACAGTATCTGGCACATAGGAACAAGAATAGAAACTAACACTCAGTGAGCATTTACCTGGGTTAAGCCTCTGCATTCATATCATTTAATCCTCATTAAAAACCCCTATGAAGACTTACTATTACCCAGGTGTCACATATGAGAAACCTGAAACTAAGAGAATTTCAGAAAATTTGTCTAGGGGACACATCATATTGCGGGCTCAGAATTCAAACCCAAGCAGCCCCACTTCAGAGCCTGTGGTCTTCACCATGGTACCACTCAAACATAATAAAATAGGTTGAATAGAGAGTACCCATAAACACAAAACACTATTGGAAAAGTTCTGGCATTAATGACACTACTTGTTATTATTACAGAGTCCAAGCATATGCATGTGTGTCACTACTTGTTATTATTACAGAGTCCAAGCATACGCATGTGTGTGATGCTGAGAGTTCTGGTGGCCAGAGGCAGGTTCTCCCTCTCCCTGAGTAGAGGCCAGTGGGAAGTAGCGGGTGGGGGTGGGGGCGTTCTGGCTTACCTGGTGGGCAGAGGAAGCGTACGGTGTAATTAGAGCAGTTCTGGCCAGGCCGCTGCTCCCTGTTGAGGCACCAGAAACCCTCACGGGGACTACCATGGACCACCTGGCCAGTGCTGCCCGCAGGTGTCCAGTCAGTGGTCCGAGCCTCTAGCCGCAGGGGACGGGCACATACACGGTCCCCATAGTAGAAGCGAATGGCGTCCAGCCGCTCATAGTCGCCCTTCCCGCCTGGGTAGTCGATGTTGAACCATGTTGTCCACTCACCAGGGCCTGAGAGACATAGCCAAATTGCGGAGGAGCCGTGATCCTGGTGCGCTCCAGTTCTCCTTTCCCTCTCACCCACCCCCAGCTGGCCTCAGGCCCTATCACATTTGTCTCTCCAGTATCTCTCCAATCCCCTCTTACACCTGCCACTGCTGAGGCCTCCATTCAAGCTCTCATCAGCCTGACTGAACCATGTCAGTCACTTTCCACATCAAGGCTCCTCCTCAATGCCACTCACACCCATCCCTGACCCTGCAGTCAGGGTGAGCTTTCTTCATGTGGCTCGGGCCACATCACCTCCAGCTTTAAGATCGTCTAGCTAGGCATTCAGGGTGCTGGTGAGCTGTCCCCAGCCATCTCTCCATACTCATCTCCCCACTCCCTTCCCACCAGCCTGTGCTCTGGCCCCAGCAAGCTCCACAGCATTCCTGAAAGGTATCAGGCAGATTCCTGATTCTGAGCTGTCTTATATACTAAGTTCCTTGGCTGGACAGAGATGGAGGCCAAATGCTTGTAAAAGTGGGTTTCCATGGGACCCTGACATCATGCCCTGGCTTCAGAGATCCACTTCGGAAGCTCGTTAAAGGCTGCCCCTCCAGCCCCTCCCTGCTTCAGCCACAACTCACTCTCCAGGGTGTCGGCAGGCTTGGCAAAGATGCTGGGGTTCTTCTTCCCAGGCTGGACTCTTCTTACTGACTGGGTGAGCATCGTCTGTCTCCCTGAGGGCCAGAAGGAGAAGCTAAGTGAGAGGCCAGGACTGGAAGTTACAGCATTCCTCAAGATGCAGGGAAACAGTGTGAGGTGGTGAATGGAGCATGAGCACCAGGCATGGGTTCAAACCCCACTCTGCTACTTATTGCTGTGCAATCTCAGAAAAGCTTTACTCCTCTGAGCCTGTTTCCCCATAAAATAGGAATGCACTAATAATTGCTGCATCCTAGGGTCCTGGTGCATTATTCAGGTGATAATGAATGTAAAGAGACCTGGCTTGTAGTGCACACTCAGTGAATGGTATCTCCCTTTTCACTCTTGTTCTAGAAATGGATTATCAGATGCTCCTGAGCAGCCAGTGGCCTGGGACTCCTGCTTTGGTGTCTGCACCAAACCTTCTTGGCAAAATGGAGCTTTGTTTTCCTCATGTGTAAAATGGAGATATTTATTCCCATCTCGCAGGGTGATTCAGTTGGCATGAGGATTCCATGAGCTAGAACGTAAAAGCCTCTGAAGTATATGCAGATTGACAGTGTGGGCTCCTGAGACTCTGCCAGTTTCTAACTGTGTGACTTTGGGCAAGTTACTTAACCCAGCTGACCCCATGTTCTTTCATCATAAAATAAGGATAATGATAGTTCCTGCCTTAGAGTATTGTGGGGATTAAATAAGCTCATTCATAAAATCCACTTAGAACAACACCTAGCACATAACGCATACTGAATAAGTGCTAGCAACTTCTTTTAGCTCAACGCCAGAATAGATGGCCATTTACTTTCCCTTGGGAGTCCACTCTCCCATAAAGACTCCTATGGCCTAATTGGGGCAGCGGTCCTCAATTTTCCATACGAGGCTGGCAGGGACTGCCTGAGGATGGGTACAGGGTCCTCGGGCCACAAGCAGTTCCAGCTGTACCCTACCTGAGGCTGGGTTGGGGTCTCCAGAATGGGAAGGAGAATGCGGAGCAGAGGGCTGCAGAAGCTTTGACAGGCAATTAACGCTTACTCCAGGAGCCAAATCAGAATTCTCTATGCTGCTTAATTGGGGTGATAGGAGCTCTTTTAATCAACCTAATCTGATTTCCCCTCAGATGGTTGAATGTTAATCATCTTCACAAGCAGCAGCTGTCAGGGTGGAAAGAGCAAGGCAGGAGGCAGGCACATACAGGGGTTGGCTCCAGGCTGAGACAGCCTTTGTTCCTGCATTTGTAGCCACAAATCCTGCAAGGCATACAGCTTTAAAGGAGGGTTTTGAGCTTTTTTTTTTTTTTTTTTTTTTTTGCTTTTGCTTTACCTGAGTATGTGCTTAGAAATCAGGAGAGGAAGGGGAGGAGGTGGGAGAGAGTGTGCAGGGGAGGGCTGACGCTTAGATGCCTTGGGAAGTCTTCTGTTCCACCAGACAAATTCTTTCTACGAGTTCCTTCCAGAGCTCAGTATCACCAGAGGATGCAGTCAGAGGGCAAGGAGACCGGAAGGGGTTCTGGTGTGTCTGTGAAATTTGGCTGCAGGGTCTAAATGAAATTGAGCTTTGGGCCAAAAGAATCTTCATAAAACTAAAAACAGACCAAACCCCAAACCTGCTTCTGAGATCTCACTGATGCCCTGTGATTCCCTATTACTTTGGCTGCCAGGAAGCTCGGAGCTCAATTTGGTACTCAAGGGCTAAAAATAACCCTCTTATCTTTTTTTCCTCCCTCTGAATGACTGCTCATCCCTCTTCTCATATAAAGGTTCTGTTTTGTGAGTTTTAATAATGGGAACAATCTCAAGTTTTGGAGAAAAACAAACAGGGTATAAATTACGAATAAATCCATAAAGTGGCCTCAGGTCTTAAGGCCTTGCTGTGTCTTAAGGCAGATGCATAGTTCAGTCCCAGACCAGACACAACCTCACTGTGGCAAGTGGAAGATTTGGGAGCCAGCAGATACTTAGCCTATACCCAACACAGATGTGACTTCCAGGACCAGGAAGGAGAACACCCAGGCCTTGGTCCCCACCATCTTTCCCCCAAGCCCGTGGGAACGTGGCAAGAGGTAGATGTGGGTGCTTCACAGAGTCACTGACTCTGGAATGCGGTCCCCTGGGAAGTTTCTCAGATCCAGTGACCTGTAAAGAAACAAAGCTTGTCAGGTTTCATATTTCTGAATCACCGCTTATGGCTCAAGCAGAAATATTTCTTGACCTGTCAAGGAGGGAAAGGTGGACAGAATGATATGAAAGTGATATCTGCCTGAGTTGTGAAACCAGGTAGCTTGGGAGGTGCAGAGGCTCAGAATCTGAGTTCAAATGAGGCAGACTAGGTTCCATCCCTGGGGGTAGGCTCCAGGGCCCCACATGGAGATGAGGCACAAGGACAAGCAGGGGCGAGGAGGTTCCTTGCAATGAGGAGAGTCCAGGGCTCACCCCCAGCAGCCTCTTGGTGACTCGTCACTTCTAAAACCCAGGCCTGAGGGGCATTTGTTTTGCCATCCTTTGATGGAGTTCACACTCTCACACAGGCGGGTACATATTAAGGCCGTGAAGACTTGGCTCCGACTCCAGTGGCCTCTCATAAGGCAGGCTGGCTGGAGGGTGCAGATGCCTCGGACATACCACCTCCATGAACACATTCCCAGATGTGCACGGGCTGCAGCTGGAACACATTTCTGGCCTTTTTGTTTGGGGCCTGACTGGGAGTTACACAGCCAGGAGCCAGCTGACGGAAAGCAGAGGGGATGCATTGTGAGAGGCCAGGGCTCCCCAGTAACTGCTGAGCGTGGGTGAGGAACTGCAAGGGTCAGGAGAGGAAAGCAGGCCTGGGACAAGGGCAAGGAACTATGGGGCGTGCGTGGCCCAGGCCGCAGCTGAGCAGAACATTTTTATGTCTCCCCAGAGCTCCGGCCAACCCAGAATCTGACTCGTTTCTGGGGATTCAAAAGTGGTTCCCTTCAACATCCTAAGTCCAGGGTGTGGTAGGAAAGGGAAGAGTCCTCCTCTCTAAAAAATACACATATCTGAAAACACTGGGATATTCCAGGGGAAGAAAAAACCAGTCCCATGCTGCAGACCTTCTAGCTCTAAAACCACTGGCCCCACCACTACCTGTTTCTCGGATGAGGGAGCAGAGTCACCAGGACGTCCCAAAGGCCTCCACATTGTGTGTATCCCTCTGGGCTCCAAGCAGGGAGCTGAGCAGTCTGCTGGCCTGCACTGCATTCAGCCTGAGCCTGAGCCTGCTCCAGGGATGTCTGGAGGCTGAGGTGGCCTGAGACACCTTGTGGAAAAACCATTTCCCATCTGGCAGCCCACAGAGGTTTCTCAGCATCTCCGCCGTTTCCTCAGCATATGCCCTGATGGTTAGGCTTGCCATCCCACGCTCCTCAGAACACTTGGACAAAGCAGACTGGCTGACCGCAGGGAATAAAGCAGGGCACCCAGAGGTATGGAAACCCTAAGTGGGACCATCTGGGGGTTCCTGTCCTCAGGTGGGGGAGGGAGAGGACTTTGGGCCAATGGGGGAAAGCAGATTCCCAAAGCAGAAAGGGAGTCTTCTCTGTGGGAGATGAAGGATCAGGCAGCAAAAAGTGGGGGGAAGTGGGGAGAAGGGAATGGAGTAGTCAGGGGAGGGCAGGAGCAGTTGAGTCCAGCAGTGGGGTGCAGGGATGGGGTGAGGGGAATAGGAGTGGAGCTCACCGTGTCTTGAGCAGGACTCCTCAGCTGGGGGTCCAAGCCTTCGCCTCTCCAGCAGTCCAGTGCCGGCCTTATATAGCACAGCTGGTGGCTCAGCCTGTGGCAGCCAGCCAGAGGAAGCAGCAGCGAAACCAGATCTGAGCATGAGCCTCCCTCTCCCCTCCCCATGTCCCCTTGCAGTTCACAGAGGCCAGGATTTTATGTCCAGATCCTAAGGAGGAGATGCCGCAGGACCTGGTGATGGGCCAGGTGGGCAGTGGCCTGGGGCATCACAGTCCAGAGCAGAGAGAGGGGTCAGGAGGTGGGCTGGGCACTAGAAACAGCCCTGGGAAGGGGCCACGGGGAATTCTAGATCTGGGCAGCATTTCATGGCCCGGGGGATGGTGTGCTCTTGCCTAAGCCTAGCTTGCTGATGCCCCACATTCCCCTGGCCCTGGCTCGCCCACACAGAGAAAAGACTTTGCTGGTCTTAGCACATACTCCAAACACTCTTAGGCACACAGGCCACCTTGGCCTCTCAGCTGGGTGTGTCTGGTCTGAGTTGGGCAACTACTCAGCTTCTCTGGCTTCTGAGGGAACACTCAGGGAACCTCAGAAGGGATAAGGGACAAAAGAATTGTGGGGCATAGGTTGTCAGCTGGTGAGAACAGTTCTTCCTTTCTCCCCCCCACTTCCATCTGAGTGCCTGCTGGTACCCACTGAGACCCCAGAGCTCCAGCATGTGGACTCTTCTGAGACCCTGATGCTCATATATGTGCATGCGTGTGAGTACGTGTCTGCCTTCAGGTATAGGCATCCACCAGCATGTGAACAGCCAGTGTTACCCATAGGGGGCGTATGCAGCTGCATGTGCTCTGGGGCTTCACACCCCCACTCCCGGCCCCCTGGCCCCAGCATGAGGTTATCTGTTTGCACAGACACTGGTTCTCTAATTTTAGCATGTGTTAGAATCACCTGGAGGGCGGTTAAAGCAGATTTCTGGACCCCACACCCAGAGTTTCTGATTCAGTGGGGCCTGAGACTTTGCATTCTAACAAGTTCCCAGATGAGATTGATGCTGTTGGTTCATGGATCACATTTTGAGATTGACTGGTCACAGTGATAGAGCCCCAGTTGAAGGAAGAAGATGAAGAGCGAGTGTACTAAGGACCACAGTGGGAGCTTCCCAGGTCCTGCCCCATGTAGCAGGCTCATCTAGCCTGGGCTGGGCTTCCTGCCTCATGCCAGCAACTGGAGATGGAGGCCTGGTCCTGTGGCCATCCACGCCAGGGTCAGCTCACTCTCTCCACATACCTTTACCGAGCTCTTATTCCCAGGCTCTAGACTGGGCACTGGGAAGGCACAAGAAAAGAGATGTATCCTTGCACTCAGAGGAAAGAGCCTCACGTGGAAATGATCCCGTAGTACAACAGTGCATACCCACATGCCAGAGAGTTCTGTGTGTGTGTGTTTATGCCTTTTCCTGTGTGTATGTGTCTTTCTGTGTGTGTGTGTGTATGTGTGCGTAAGAGCTGTTTTTTCTGAGCATTGCCTTTGACAAGATATACTGGGAGGCTGGGTGGAGTGGCTCACGCCTGTAATCCCAACACTGTGGGAGACAGGGGCGGGTGGATCACTTGAGGTCAGGAGTTCAAGACCAGCCTGGTCAACATAGTGAAACCCATCTCTACTAAAAATAGAAAAACTAGCCAGGCATGGTGGAGTGTGCCTGTAATCCCAGCTACTTGGGAGACTGAGGCAGGAGAGTGGCTTGAACCCAGGAGGCAGAGGATGCAGTGAGTTGAGATCGTGCCACTGCACTCCAGCCTGGGTGACAGAGTGAGACTTGGTCTAAAAAAAAAAAAAAAAAAATCTGCTGGGGAAGAGAGTGGGGGTGGAGAAAGGATGTTGAGCAGCATGGTTCCCAAGTAGACCTGGGGCATAGATCTGATTTGCTTTATCTCCTGGAGCCCCGTCTCCCTCCTGGCCACCAGCCCTTGGTTCATAAGCCCTGTAGTTGGCCCTAGTCTGGTCCAACTTGTCAGAGCCAAGCCATGACTCAGTTTCAGCCATGGCTTTGACTGCAGACGTCTGAACTGAGTGAACCCCATGTGAAATCTGATGGCCTAAGGAATAGACAGACAGACAGGCTGAGCCACAATCCCCAGATCAAAGGACAGGAGAAAAATTGAAATTTGGAATTCAGAAGCCTAGTCCTGGCTGTTTCTGATTCTGATATGCGACCGTGAACTAGCAAGAACCCAAGTAACCCTGGGCCTCAGGTGTGCAACGGGAGATGGACTGAGTGAGTTTGCAGGCCCCTGCCAGCTCTGAGATTGCAAGGTTTGAGATATACAGATGCTCTTTGGCTTATAGTAATGTCCCAATAAACCCACTGTAAGTTGAAAATATCATAAGTAAAAAAAATACGCTTAATGCACCTAACCTACTGAACATCAGAACTTAGCCTAGCCTACCTTAAATATGTTCAGAACACTTACATTAGCCTACAGTAGCCTACAGTTGTACGAAACCATCTAACAAAAAGCCTATTTTACCATAAAGTATTGATTATCTCATGTGATACATTGAATACTGTACTGAAAGTGAAAAACACAATGGTTGTACAGGAAAGTACAGTTTCTACTGAATTTGTGTCACATTTGCACATCATAAAGTCGGAAAATTGTAACTTGAATCATCCTAAGTTGGGGACCATCTGTACTGACAGCAAACAGAGCTGGGAGGAGAGAGTGGAGGGAACGACTGCTCCTACGTGTCTGGCAGAAGTCAGAGGAGCCAGTGTGGAGTCAAGGTCAGGAGGAAGTCCAGAGAAGCAGATATGACCACCAAGGCTGGATAAGGACAGCAAGAGAGATACACAGGAAAGGAAGGTAGTGGGAGGTAAACCAGAGGGCAAGGTCAGGGTAATCAGCTGCTCTCCAAGGCCTTCATTCTGTGGAATGCCAGGGTGGGTAAGAGACGCCTCCCCAGCCTCCCAGTCACCTCCATCTCTTTCTGTAGTGGGAGGCAGGGTACCCTATGGGTGAGGATTGGGCAAAGTGGAGTGTTTTAGGCCAGGATTCCTGCCTGGGTCTCCTCATTCAGCCCAGCACTCACACTGAGGCCCTCACTTACCTAGCCCCAAGTGGCCAGTGCGTGTTAATATGGTAAGTACAGGGTTGAGGGCTGCGTTCCAATTCCACCATGCCATTTCCGTCCACCTGTCTCATATCTTGCCTCCTCCCATACTCCCATCAGAGTCCTTTCCTGTCTCCAAGTAGGAATGAGCTGTGTGAGCTGCACAGGGCTAGACTGGGGAAATCTGAGCCTGCCCTCACTCTCTCTTCCCAGGACTCCTTTGGGGGGGAAGCTATTGCTGTCCTCAACCAGGACCCCAGAATAGAGAGGGCTTTGGAGGTGGCCGTAGGTCTAGACTGTCCAAGGCCTGGCCTGGGTGGGTCAGCCTCAGCCACGAGTGGCCATCTGGGGCTTCTGCAAGCCAGGCTACTCTGCAGCCACTCCAAGCTTCTGCCTGGAACATGCTGGAAACCCATCAATCACCCCATCCCTGCCCAGGGGATGAAGGGACTTGGAACCCAGCTTAGCTAGGCCACCTGTAACCCAAGCCTATAGCCAGGGGTCCACACCCTGCACCCTGCAGTGGGGAAAGGAGCTTGGGAACACTGGGAGGGGTCTGACCTGATCCTGGTGGCTCAGGAGGAGGGTGCTCTATCTGACTCTCTGACCACCTGCCCACCACCTCTGTCGTCAACCCCTGTGGCTGGAGGAGGCCTTGGAGGCCTGTGGGGGGATAAGCAGCTGATAAACCTTGAAGAATGGAAGCCTTGGCTGTAGTTCTGAGTGACCATCAGTGGCTGCTGCCCCACTGCCTGGGAACACAGAAACCCAGAGTCCAGGGTGGTAGAGGGGGCTCACCCTCTGACCAAGTTGCTCTCCTCCCTCTCCTGGGTACCCTCTGTCATTGTTCTACCTCTGTGCCTTTATAATTTTATTCTCCAGCTTCCCATCTTGAAATACGGCCCTTCTCCCTCACCAGTGTGAATGTCCTTCTTCAAATCCCTGTCTCAGTGTCCTCCTTCCTGCCCTCTGCAACTACCCAGGCCCATCTTGAGTACTTCTTCCTCAGATCTCAGATAATAATACACAGTCACATGTAGATGACACTCTGTCATTTACAAGGCACATTAGTGGTGATCATCTCATCTTCAGTTTCACAGTCAATCTGTGAGGCAGGGATCAGCATGCCCATTTTACAGAGGATGAACTGAGGCTAAGAGGCATGAAGTCACTCAGCTATGGTAGGTCTTCAGCTCCAAGTTGCCCCTGTGAACCAGAGGTCTAATGTATACCTTGTCATAGGGTCCTCAGCTCAGAGGACCCACCATGGAAGTCACACCCCAACTGTAGGCTCCTCAGTGGGCACATGCCTAGAACAGTCTGTCCCACCTGCCTGGCATACACACCCTGCTTCCTGTATATATACTAATTCCAAAGATGTTCCCATCTAACATAATCCAGCTATCTACCACATTGTGGTGGATTAAATATGGCCACACATTCTTTGCAACTCTCCCATTATGAGGTGGAGCCTATTTATTCATTCCTTTGACCTGGACTGACTTTGTGACTTGCTTTGAATAAAGGAATAGAACAGAAGTGATGTTGCATAAGTTCTGGAGTTTAGGCCTCAAGAGAGCTTACAGTTTCCACCATCGCTCTCTTGGAACATTGTCTACCATCTAAGGAAGTCAGTCTATCCTACTGGAGGATGAGAGACCACATGGATAAGAACTGAGACCCTGAGCCAATGGCCAGACAGGTGAATGAGGCCATCTTGAACTTTCCACACATGCAGTTGCCTGAGAAAGTCCAGATGAGACCAACAGAGGAATGGTCTGGACCTTGATTCTGTACAGCCAACCCACAGAATCATGAGAAATAATAAATCATTGTTTTAAGCCACAGAGCTTTGGAGTGGTTTGTTATGCTGCAATAGATAACTGATACACTAAGAGTAAAAGCTCTTTCAGTTGCAAGTAATAAAGCACAACTCAAAATTTTTTTTTTTTTTTTTTTTTTTTTTTTGAGACAGAGTCTCACTCTGTTGCCCAGGCTGGAGTGCAGTAGCATGATCTTGGCTCACTGCAACCTCCACCTCCAGGGTTCAAGTGAGTTTCCTGCCTCAGCCTCCCAAGTAGCTGGGATTATAGGTGAGTGCCACCACGCCTGGCTAATTTTTGTATTTTTAGTAGAGACTCAGTTTCGCCATGTTGGCCAGGCTGGTCTCGAACTCCTGACCTCAGGTGATCCGTCTGCCTTGGCCTCCCAAAATGCTGGGATTACAGGCATGATTCACCACGCCCGGCCTCAAAATGGTTTAAGCAGAAAAAGAATCTGATGGTTCTGATGATGGAAATCTTGGTAAAAGTTGGATCTAGGTACTCAGACAACATCATTAGAACTTTTCTTTTTCCATATCTCAATTGCTTCCTCTGGATGGCTTTATTCTCAAGGAGGCTGTAGCAATCTGTATTTTCCAAAGATGGCTGCAATGGTATTTCCCCTTCCTTATGTTCTCATACAATGTAACTACACTAATCCACCATCAGGAGATAGAATCTAATTTTCCTCCCCTTGAATCTGAGCTGGCCTCATGACTTACTTGTAACCAATAAGATAAGGTCTACTTTTTTTTTTTTTTTTGAGATGGAGTTTCTCTCTTGTTGCCCAGGCCGGAGTGCAATGGCACAATCTCAGCTCATGACTACCTCTGCCTCCCGGGTTCAAACAATTCTCCTGCCTCAGTCTCCCGAGTAGCTGGGATTACAGGCATGCGCCACCACACCTGGCTAATTTTGTATTTTTAGTAGAGACGGGGTTTCTACATGTTGGTCAGGCTGGTCTGGAACTCCTGACCTCAGGTGATCTGCCCGCCTTGGCCTCCCAAAGTGCTGGGATTACAGGTGTGAGCCATTGCGCCCAGCCCTTTTTTTTTTTTTTTTTTTTTTTGAGACAGTCTTAATTAGCCAGTCGTGGTGGTGGGCACCTATAATCCCAGCTATTTGGGAGGCTGAAGCAGGAGAATCACTTGAACCCAGGAGGCGGAGGTTGCAGTGGGCTGAGATTGTGCCACTGCACTCCAGACTGGGTGACAGAGCCAGACTCCATCTCAAAAAAAAAAAAAAGGGTTAAGAGTCATGATATGAAAAAACCACTTTAATAGCTGTCAACCTCAGAGTTTACCCATCATTTGTTCCGTTCCAAACCCACCTATGTAACCCCTGCCATCTTGTAACCATAGCAACACACTCCAGAACAGTTGAGCAAAACCAAGCAACCATAATAACAACTCCAACTTAGGAAATAGGAGAAAAAGAAAGAAACCTTCAGCACTGCACATGCCACACTGGTTGCTGTGAATACTGCAGCGTACTGATCAGCACCTAGTCTTGTAAGCATGTGCTTACTCAGCGGCCATAGGTGGGAGAAGATTCCCAGAGAATGGGCTATGATCACAGCAGATACTCCAAAACGTGCTCAGTAGAGCTCTCCACCCTCTGCATAACACGCTCACTGTGGTCACCCCAGAATGCTTCTCAAGCTTAAAGCAGGGTCACCTCAGTGTTCCTATGATGGATTCAGCCCAGTCAGGGCCTTATGTTCACACACAGCATCTATAGCGTCCACCATGCTTATCACAGTGTGTTCACACACACCCTAGAGGCCCGTGTTTTCACCACTGACTACAGAATTCATGCAATGTCACCATGACATTCAACAAATTTACCATAGTATGTTCACAGTCCATAGCGTCTTCACCACACTTTCATAGTTTGCTCTCATTCAGTGACATTGTAGTGTTCACTGCATGAACCAGCTGAGTTCCTACTCTATATGTGCACGTCATAGTGTTCATACCACTGTATCCCCCTTGTATTTCCCATGAACATCCACATTCACAATTTTGTATAGGATTAGGGGGTGCACATTCACCCAGGTGTTATCTCAAGAGTGTTCACCCTCCCCTGGCTATTCACACTCACCATGGGTATGCCCTGGGTGTTCTAGGGCATAAGCTCACCCATGCACCCACCAGACTCTGCTGCTCTCCTTCCCATGACCCGAGGCCTCTTCATGACTCTCTTGAGAGGTCCCAGATGGCTCTGGGTGTGGTGTGGCTTCAGCTCTGGCCAAGATGCTGGCAGCCCAGAAAAGCCTGCAGCAGTGACAGGGGTGGCCTTGGTAGGGGATGAAGTGAGGTGGATGCTGGGTAGATGCCCTCTCTGGCTATATGTTCTCCGGACACGTGGGTATTTTATTGGTTAGAAAACACAGCTGTGAGAAGTTGAGTGGGAGGAGCCGCCCTCTTTCCAAGCAAAATCTTCGCCCATATAGCACCTGGGCCGTAAGGGTTTGGTCCCTGCCCAGGTCACCACCAGGACTCTAGCCCAGGGAAGGTGAAATGGAGGTTAGAAAGGCTGGGTCGCCCTTGGCAACTGGGCCTACACAGATGGCGTGGGACAGAGGGTGGGACAGAGACAGACACGTGGCCCTGCAGACCATTCTTAGTGGGTTTCCCTTTTTTCCTCAGAAGCAAGGCAGTCTTCAGTGTGGCCGAATCTGGGCAATGTTTTCTCTAGGAGAACAAGAGCTTCAAGGGCAGGATGTTGGGCAGTGACAAGGAAGACAAACAAAAGGGAGAAGGAATTTGAATCCCACCCCCAATTTTTAAAAGTTGAAATTTTTATATTGTAAAATTCAGTCTTTTGGATCTACACTTCTGTGATTTTTGACAAATATAATCATGTAACACCATCACAATTAAGATAAAAAATATTTCCAAAACCTCAGAAGTTTCCTTTGTAGTCAGCCCTTCTCCCCATCCCCAATTACTGACAACCACAAATCTTTCTTTCACTGTGGTTTTGCCTTTTTGAGAATGTCATATAAATGGAGGCATATGGTAGGAGCCTTTTGAATTTGGTTTCTTTCATTTAGTATAATCGTCCATGGTGTTGTGTGTATCAACCGTTCATTCCTTTTTACTGCTGAGTAGTATTCATTGCATGTACGTAGCACAATTTGTTTCTTCATTTCCCAGATGAAGGACATGTAGATTGTCTACAGTTCTTCAGCTTTTTGTTTTGTTTTGTTTAGTTTTTTGTTTTTTGTTTGTTTTTTTTGAGATGAGGTCTCGCTCTGTTGCCCAGGCTGGAGTGCAGTGGTGCGATCTCAGTTCACTGCCACCTCCGCCTCCGGGTTTAGGTGATTCTCCTCCCTCAGCTTCCCACGTAGCTGGGATTACAGGCTCCCACCACCACGCCTGGCTAATTTTTTTGTGTTTTTAGTAGAGACAGGGTTTCGCCATGTTGGCCAGGCTGGTCTCGAACTCCTCACCTCAGGTGATCCGTCTCCTTGGCTTCCCAAAGTGCTAGGATTACAGGTGTGAGCCACTGCATCTGGCCAGTTCTTCAGTTTTTTAAAAAAAATTTTATTCTTATTTTTTTGAGACGGAGTCTCGCTCTGTCACCTAGGTTGGAGTGCAGTGGCACAATCTTACTGCCCTGCAATCTCCCCCTCCTGGTTCAAGTGACTCTCCTGCCTCCACCTTCTGAGTAGCTGGAGACTACATGCACCACCACGCCTGGCTCATTTTTGTATTTTTTTTTTAAAGAGACAGAGTTTCACCATGTTGGCCAGGCTGGTCTTGAATTTCTGACCTCAGGTGATCCACCGGCCTTAGCCTCCCAAAGTGCTGGGATTACAAGTGTGAGCTACCGCGCCCGGCCCAGTTCTCTAGTTTTTAGCAAGTACATTTTAGCTATAATTTGTACACAGGCTTTTGTGTAAACATGTTTTTCATTTCTTTTGGGTAAATACCTACAAGTAGGCTCTATGGTAAGTGTATGTTCAACTTTATAAGAAACTGCTAAACTGTTTTCCAAAGTGATGGTACCTTTTACATTCCCACCAGCAATGTATGAGTTCTAGTTGCTCAGCATTCACATCAGCACCTGATATTGTCAAGGTTTTATGTTTGATTATTTGTTTGTTTTTAGCCATTCTAATAGGTGTACAGTGTGATCTCATTGTGATTTCAATTTGCATTTCCCTAGTGACCAATGATGTTAGGAATCTTAATTGCCATTCATATATCTTCTTTGATGAAGTATCTGTACAGATATTTTGCCCATTTTGTAATTGAGTCATTTCTTTTTTTTTTCTTTTTTGGAGACAGGGTCTCGCTCTTTTGCACAGGCTGGAGTGCAATGGCATCATGATGGCTCATTGCAACCTCCACCTCCCAGGCTCAAGAGATCTTCCTGCCTCAGCCTCCCAAGTAGCTAGGACTACAGGTGCATGCCACCACACCTTGCTAATTGGGTTTTATTTTTTGTAGAAATGGGATTTCATGTTGCCCAGGCTGGTTTCAAACTCCTGAGCTCAAGTTATCCTTCTGCTTCGGCCTTCCAAAGTGCCGTTTATTTTCTTATTATCGAGTTTAATGTGTACTTTATAGATTCTGGATACAATTCCTTTATCAGATATATGTTTTGAAAATATTTTTTCCCAGTCTATGGCTTATCTTTTCTAATTGATCAATTTTTTATTTTATGGATTGTGTTTTTGGTGTTGCATCTAAGAAATCCTTGCCAAATCCACAGTTGCAAAGGCTTTTTCTTCTATGTTTTTGTTTTTGCTTTTAGAGACAGGGTCTTGCTTTATTGTCCAGGCTGGAGTACAAGTGGTGCGATCATAGCTCACTGCTGTCTGAAATTCCTGGGCTCAAGCGATCTTCCCGCCTTGGGCTCCCAAAGTGCTAAGACTGCAGGCATGAGCCACCCCACTCAGCTCTCCTATGTTTTCTCTGGGACTTTTTTAGTTTTAGGTTCTACCTTCAGGTCTATGATTCATTTTGAACTAGTTTTCATATATGATGTGAAGTATGGGTCAAGGTCAGGTGCAATGGCTCACCCCTGTAATCCCGCTACTTTGGGAGGCCAAATTGGAAGAATCACTTGAGCTCAGGAGTTCAAGAACAGCCTGGGCAACATAGTGAGACCCCATCTTTACAAAAAATAAAAAAAATCAGCCGGGCTGGGACCACATGCCTATGATCCCAGCTACTCGGGAGGCTGAGGTGGGAAAATCGCTTGAGCCTGGGAAATCAAGGCTGCAGTAAGCCATGATCACACCAGTGTGCTCCTGCCTTGGTGACAGAGCAAGACCCTGTCTCAAAAACATAATAAATCAGTAAGTAAACAAAAATTTAGAAAGAAGTATGGGTGAGGGTTCATTTTTTTTACATGGGGGATGTCCAGTTGTTCCAGTACAATTTGTTGAAAAGACTATCCTTTCTCCTTTGACCAGCTCCTTTTTTTTTTTTTTTTTTTTTAACACTGGCTTCTCAAGGCATTGACCTCAGCACAGCACCCTATTGCTTTCTCAATGTACGAAGGTCAATAGTGAGGACAAATGCCTTTCTTACCTAACTTCAGAACAAGACTGCGTATGCTCAGATAAGACACAGACTGTTCAGTGGAACAGCTCTTTGGGCTCTTACTGACAGCCCCTCTACTCTCCCCAGGACTCATGTCTGACTCCTGAGAACAGCACCAGGAGACCATTATGATTGCCAAGGACATGTCTGGGTCTAAAAAACTGCCCCTCCCTCCAATGACTCTTCCATTTCCCAGAAGGCTCCTGAGCCAGATAGTTTTTTGTTGTTGTTTTTGTTTGTTTTGTTTTAGACGGAGTCTCGCTCTGTTGCCCAGGCTGCAGTGCAGTGGTGTGATCTCGGCCCACTGCAACCTCCACCTCCCGGGTTCAAGCGATTCCCCTGCCTCAGCCTCCTGAGTAGCTGGGACTACAGGCATGTGCCACCATGCCCAGCTAATTTTTGTATTTTTAATAGAGACAGGGTTTCGCCATGTTGGGGAGGCTGGTCTTGAACTCCTGGCCTCAAGTGATCTGCCCGCCTCAGCCTCCTAAAGTGCTGAGATTACAGGAGTGAGCCACCGTGCCAGGCCTGGGCCAGATAGGTTTTAAATCCTCTGCACTCAATTAACCAGCTTCCATCAAACAGAGGGAAAATGCCCCGAGAGTGCATCAGCTGCCTTCATCTTTCTGCTACTTCACCCATCAATGCTGTTGTTGAAACCAGGTGCAGTGGCTCACGCCTGTAATCCCAGCACTTTGGGAGGCCAAGATGAGAGGATCGTTTAAGCCCAGGAGTTTGAGACCAGCATGGGTGATATAGTGAGACCTCATCTCTATTTAAAACAAAACAAAAGCTGCTGTTGATTTTCATTTCAGCCTGAGCCTGATCATAATTAGTGGGGAAAGCACACAGTGCGAGGTATACCAGAATTCTACCAAGACCTGGGTCCTGGAGATGCTTAGGAATTTGAGTCAGCTCAAACCCAGGCCAGGTCTAATTTCCAGTCCTCTGATCTTCCTGTTTTATCACAGTGGCCTTTCATACAGGATGGTAGGGAGAGTTGGTTCCTCTCTGTATTTGGTGAACCTGGATCTTCCCTCCAGGGTGCCAGGCAGATGCAGAGGCTCCACACTCTGGGAACAAGGATGATGATTCACCCAGGCCATCCTGAGGAAAAGGGGTTTTGTTGTACAGAACTCTGAGTGTATGTATTTGTGAGTGGCTGCACGAGAACATGTAAGCCTGGTGGGGTGTGTCACAGCTCATATATGCCCACGCCCAGCTCTGATCCCCAAATGCAGTGTGACCTTAGGCATTTCACATTCCCTCTCTGGACTTCAGTTTCCTCCACAGTAAAATGAGGAGATTCGGTGGGCGGGAAAGCCCATGATAGAGTCTGCATAACATCAACTGGGAGCCTCTCTGCCCTTGAAATCCAGATGAAATTGCTTTGAACCCCACTGTCCCACGGCCAGTGGACACCAAAGCCCTCAAAGACTGTATCAATTCCAGGAAGCCTCCTCTGCTTCTCAGCCTCCTCCACTTCGGGCTTGGGCTTTCTTTTTTTTTTTTTTTTTTTTGAGACAGAGTCTCGCTCTGTTGCCCAGGCTGGAATGCAGTGGCGCGATCTCAGCTCCCTGCAAGCTCTGCCTCCCAGGTTCACGCCATTCTCTGGCCTCAACCTCCCGAGTAGCTGGGAATACAGGCGCCCTCCACCACGCTTGGCTAATTTTTTTGTATTTTTTAGTGGAGACGGGGTTTCACCATGTTAGCCAGGATGGTCTCGATCTCCTGACCTCATGATTCACCTGCCTTGGCCTCCCAAAGTGCTAGGATTACAGGAGTGAGCCAACACACCCGGCCTTTTTCCTTTTCTTGTTTTTTTTTTTTTTTTTTTTTGAGATGGACTCACTCTGTCACCCAGGTTGGAGTGCAGTGGCATGATCTTGGCTCACTGCAACCTCCGCCTCCTGGGTTCAAGCGATTCTCCTGCCTCAGCCTCCTGAGTGGCTGGGACCACAGGCCACCATGCCTGGTTATTTTTTTTGTATTTTTAGTAGAAGTGGGGTTTCACCATATTGGTCAGGCTGGTCTCGAACTCCCAACCTCAAGTGATTCACCCGCCTCAGCCTCCCAAAGTGCTGGGATTGCAGGTGTGAGCCACCTCGCCCGGCATAGGGGCTCAGGTTTCCTATCCCATTCCACAACTTCAGTATGAAGCTCACACCCTTTAGTTCCCACAACAAACAGTCATGCACAGTGAGCTTTTGTCAGTTGGTAGACTTGACCGAGGGACACTGGCTTCCTCCCTCCTTTTCCTCTCCGACCACTGCTCCTCGCACCTCTTTCCAGACCCTTCTTCCTCTTTTGAGCAGAGCAGCTTTGCCAGGCTCCAAAGCCCTGTTTCTGCAGATCCCCAACCACCAGGGGCCTCATCTTCAACCCCCAGTTCTTATTAAAGCATTTCGTTCACAAGAACAGCTCTTTCACTGAGAATTCTAGTACATTCTCCACTACTTTGCACATATGTGATATATGTATGTGTGTAATTGTTTATGACTACAGGTGTGCCTGTACCCTAGTGTGTGTGATGGGCAGTGGGAGAGGGGTAGATGGAAAATAATTCTGAGACATTATCCAATACCTTATGTTTGTACCTTACTGCATATGTGATGTGGGCAGTGGGAAAGGAAGCCCCCATGGGGGGAATTAGTCCATTTGTTTGTGTCTCCGTGTCTCTTTTTCCAAATACAGAGTTAACTCCCAAGAGCATGTACCCAATCACCAGCTTTGTGCAAATTCTAGAAATATCTATTCGTAGCAAGACTCAGCCCAGGTACCACCTACTCTGGTAACCCTTCCTCCTAGTCTTGGGCTGAACTAATTGTCCCTTTTCTGTCTTGCACAGTCCCTGTATACCCCTCCAGCAAAGCGTTTGTCACACTTTACTGACATTGTTCTTTTGCCTGCCCCATCTCTATGGTGAAGCTCCTAGAAGACAGGGACCATGGCTCACCTTCTCTCAGCATCCCAGCACCCAGAATGTTCAGAATCTGTGTATGGACTGGGCTGGCCTGGCTTCACACACTCCCAGTAAGATATTTCACTCTCAATGGCTACACACCCCTATGCCCACCACCCTCTCTGGAATGTGGGGTAAACCAACTTACACACCAAGGGGCTTTTCTCTTGGGGTCATCACCCAAGGACCTTCCTCTGGCCAGGAGAAGCTTGCTCTAACCCTGAAGATGGAGGCAGCCTGGGATACAGGGTGTGGGCAGCCCCCTGGCTGACCCCCACTGTACCCTCCACCGCAGGGACGTCCCTCCTCTTTTCCGTACTTTCTGGCCCTGGCGCGAACCTTGTTGGCGCCAATGGGCTTTTAATATTTTCCATTCCTGGCTGGGATACAACATTTCACCTCAAAAATGCTTCCTCCCCCTCACCAAAGGGCGTGTCTTTCCAGTGAGAGGAACCGGAAGCTGGATGTGGAGGTTCTGGACCCACCCGTATTCTGGGGCTTGGAGGAGCCACAGTCCAACCCTGGAGAAAGAGGTGGCAGAAATGTCTTCCCAGCCAATGAAGTGAGTTCCCAGGCCTGCCTGAGGCCTCCTGGACCCACAGGAAGCCTGGATCCTCAGTGACAAAGCAAGGGGCCACCTGCTTGCTTCCATCTGAGACTCAGCCCCTGCCCTCCACTTGCCCTCTGACCTTGGCCAAGTGGCTTCACCTCTCTGAGCCCCCATGGCCCATGTGAACAGTGGGGATAATGACAGTATCTAGCTTTCAAGGTCCTTGTGGAGTTCTAATGCTGCACATTCAGGTTATCTGAGGAGCATTAAAAAACACCCATGCCCCACTCAGAGATTCTGATTTAATTGCTCTGGGATAGGGCTTGGATGTTGGCATATTTCAAAAACCCTCCAGGTGATTTTCACTCACAGCCACAGTTGACAATTAGTCTTTGATGGGAAAGCACTTTTTTTTTTTTTTTTTTTTTTTTTTTGGAGATGGAGTCTCACTCTGTTGCCCAGGCTGGAGTACAGTGGCACAATCTTGGCTCCCTACAACTTCCACCTCCCAGGTTCAAGTGATTCTCCTGCCTCAGCCTCCCGAGTAGCTGGGTTTACAGGTATGCACCACCACGCCCAGCTAATTTTTGTATTTTTAGTAAAGACGGGGGTTTCACCATGTTGGCCCAGCTGGTCTCAAACTCCTGACCTCAGGTGATGTGCCCGCCTTGGCCTCCCAAAGAGCTGGGATTACAGGCATGAGCCACTGTGCCCGGCCTGGGAAAGCACTTTCTAAGGTGACCTGTACAGGTGCCAGCTGCTGCTTTGATGATCAAGGGTGTCACACCACTCATTTTCCCAAAAATATGACCCCAGGGATGCCTGAAATCCCACTGAAATGTGGTGGAGGGAAAGCACTTTGAAGGGAAGTAAGGGGTCCTCCAGATGAGTTCTGTGACTTCAGGATTCCCACCTGCACACAAGCAGGTGCCTTAGAGCCACCAGCCCTGTCCCAGGCCAGGACCCGACACACCTACCCTGCTGACCCCTTCTGCTGGGCAGGCTAGGTCCTCTCCAGAGAGCATCTGGGCTTGTAGCTGACCAACAGCCTGCTCTCCCCAACCACTCTCCCCAGATCCTGGAGAGTGGGTTGTGGGGTCATGTAGGGGTGGGTTGCCCCTCCACACCTGTGGGTGTTTCTCGTAAGGTGGAACGAGAGACTTAGGAAAGAAAAAGACACAGAGACAAAGTATAGAGAAAGAAATAAGGGGACCCGGGGAACCAGCGTTCAGCATATGGAGGATCCCGCCAGCCTCTGCGTTCCCTTAGTATTTATTGATCATTCGTGGGTGTTTCTCCGAGAGGGGGATGTGTCAGGGTCACAAGACAATAGTGGGGAGAGGGTCAGCAGACAAACACGTGAACAAAGGTCTTTGCATCATAGACAATGTAAAGGATTAAGTGCTGTGCTTTTAGATATGCATACACATAAACATCTCAATGCTTTACAAAGCAGTATTGCTGCCCGCAGGTCCCACCTCCAGCCCTAAGGCGGTTTTTCCCTATCTCAGTAGATGGAACATACAATTGGGTTTTATACCGAGACATTCCATTGCCCAGGGACGGGCAGGAGACAGATGCCTTCCTCTTGTCTCAACTGCAAGAGGCATTCCTTCCTCTTATACTAATCCTCCTCAGCACAGACCCTTTACGGGTGTCGGGCTGGGGGACGGCCAGGTCTTTCTCTTCCCACGAGGCCATATTTCAGACTATCACATGGGGAGAAACCTTGGACAATACCTGGCTTTCCTAGGCAGAGGTCCCTGCGGCCTTCCGCAGTTTTTGTGTCCCTGGGTACTTGAGATTAGGGAGTGGTGATGACTCTTAAGGAGCATGCTGCCTTCAAGCATCTGTTTAACAAAGCACATCTTGCACCGCCCTTAATCCATTCAACTCTGAGTTGACACAGCAAATGTTTCAGAGAGCACGGGGTTGGGGGTAAGGTTATAGATTAACAGAATCTCAAGGCAGAAGAATTTTTCTTAGTACAGAACAAAATGGAGTCTCCTATGTCTACTTCTTTCTACACAGACACAGTAACAATCTGATCTCTCTTGCTTTTCCCCACAGGGTCAAGGTCACCTTGTTCCCTTTTTATCTCCTTCACTGCACTTGGAGGTAAAGGGCAGCAGTTGCTAAAGAATTTAACATGGGCCGGGCGTGGTGGCTCATGCCTGTAATCCCAGCACTTTGGGAGGCCGAGGTGGGTGGATCACCTGAGATCAGGAGTTCGAGATCAGCCTGGCCAAAATGGTGAAACCCCATCTCTACTAAAAATACAAAAAATTAGCCAGGCATGGTGGTGGGCGCCTGCAATCCTAGCTACTTGGGAGGCTGAGGCAGGAGAATTGCTTGAACCGGGACCTGGGATGTGGAGGTTGCAGTGAGTCGAGATCGCACCACTGCACTCCAGCCTGGGCTACAGAGCGAGACTCCGTCTCAAAAAAAAAAAAAAAAAAAAGGAGTTAAATGTGGAGAGAACCAGTTGTCTGTGCTAGGGGAGGAGAGGGTGTTTGGGTGCTTCGTGGAGAGAGCCAACATCTCCTTTCCTCCTCTTGAGAAGAGAGGATCTGCAAACAATTCTACAGCCCAGAGGGAGGAAAACGGCTGAGAGCCAGGCGCCTTGGGAAAAGGCAGCAGAGAGCCCCACTGGCTGAAGATGCTCAGTCTCTCACCATGACCAGTGTGTCCACCTGCCCCGGTGCCATATCCCAGAGTTACCATGTTCTTACACAGAGGAAAGAACAGCCTCTGTCCAGGGGAGGCACAGCCCCTGTCTCGGGGAGCTTCACCCAAAGGCCAGGCCCCCAGGAGAGGGCCAGAACCCTTGGTGTCCCAGGCCCGAGGTTCTTCAATAAGGTTATTTAACAGATCTGGTGGCTAGAGACTCCCGTGGGAGACTTCAGCCCCATGAGGAAGCGCTGTTTTCCTCAGGCAAACTATGGTTGAGAAACAGGAGCTTTCTGGAGACATTATTCTTCAAAGGGTTTCTCACAGCCCTGTGTCCCAGGCTCCTGGCCAGAGGTGGAAAGGAGAGGGAGTGAGTGATGGGGAGCATGGTGTAGGGCACCACACAGAAGGCAGGAAGGAGAGGAGGGTCAGCAGTGCCACCAGACTGAGCCCCAAATGAGGGGGAGTCCAGGAGAGGAGGCTTGCACAACCCACCACCTTGGGGTAGTTACAGTGCCACCCAGGTTTATTTTTCCAACTGAGGGCACACTGAAAGGAGGGTACATTGAAAAGTATGGGCATAGGGGAACTCAAGTCCCCTGGGCTGGGCTGTGGCCTCTTTAGAAGCACCTACAGCCTCAGCAAGGCCGGGAACAGGGAACTACTGAGGCTGAAAAAAACTTCAGTCTCAATAAGTCTGCCCCCAGTCCCTGGTAACGCTCAGGCTTTGCAGCCAAATGCAGATTAAAGCTGCCTCTACCACATGTAAGCTGCATTCACTGATTCATTCTACAATTAAAAAAATCTTTTTGTTTTTGAGAAAGGGTCTGGCTCTGTCATCCAGGCGGAAGTGCAGTGGTGTGATCATGGTTCACTGCGGCCTCAACCTCCTGGGCCCAAGCAGTCCTCCCACCTTAGCCTCCAGAGTAGCTGGGACCACAAACACACCACCGTGCCTGGCTAATTTTTTATTATTATTATTTTTTGTAGAGACAGGGTCTTGCTACTTCACCTAAGCTGGTCTCAAACTCCTGGGCTCAAGCAATCCCTGGTCTCAGCCTTTCAAAGTGCTGGGATTACAAGCATGAGCCACTGCACCCAGCCCCCTACAAATTTGTTTTGTTTTGTTTTTCTTTTTCCATCATCTTCTTTGTGATAGTAAACAAATATTTTTAGCTTCTGCTATGTGCCAGGCCCTGAGCTAGGTGCTGGGGGTACAGAAAACAACAAAGTAGGCCGGGCGCGGTGGTTCATGCCTGTAATCCCAGCACTTTGGGAGGCCGAGGCGGGCGGATCACCTGAGATTGGGAGTTCAAGACCAACCTGACCAACATGGAGAAATCCCGTCTCTACTAAAAATAGAAAATTAGTCAGGTGTGGTGGTGCATGCCTGTAATCCCAGCTACTCGGGAGGCTGAGGCAGGAGAATCGCTTGAACCCGGGAGGCAGAGGCTGCGGTGAGCCGAGATCTTGCCATTGCACTCCAGCCTGGGCAACAAGAGGAAAACTCTGTCTCAAAAAAAATAAAAAATAAAAGAACAGAGTACCTTTGAGGAACTTACCCCATCGTCGGGGAGATGGAATGGTCACTATAGAACACTAAGGTAAATGTAGGTAGGGACAATAACATGCATGGGTTAGTGTGGAGCACCTGTTCTGGGCCCCCTCTGGAGCATCATTCTGAGGATGGCTCTCAGGGAAGCCTTCCTGGAAGAGGTATAATCATTTGAATTTAAAAAAACGAATGGCAGTGATCACTTCGGTAGCACATATACTAAAACTGGAATGATACAGAGAAGATTAGCATGGCCTCTGCACAAGGATGACATACAAATTTGTGAAGGATTCCATATTTTAATAAGAAAAACAGGCCAGGCATGGTGGCTCACGCCTGTAATCTCAGCACTTTGGGAGGCCAAGGCGGGCGGATCACCTGAGGTTGGGAGTTCTATACCAGCCTGGCCAACATGGCAAAAGCCCATCTCTACTAAAAATACACAAAATTAGCCGGGCATGGTGGCTCGTGCCTATAATCCCAGTTACTCAGGATGCTGAGGCAAGAGAATCACTTGAACTCAGGAGGCAGAAGTTGCAGTGAGCTGAGATCAAACCACTGCACTCCAGTCTGGGTGACAGAGTGAGACTCTGTATCAAAAAAAAAAAAAAAAAAAAAAAAGAAATGGTCCCGGGAGAAACCAGTAGGAAATAGGGGAAGCAGGATAGGGAAGAGGAACAGTACAAAGCAGCTAGATTTTGTTTTTTGGAGCGGAGTCTTGCTCTGTTGCCCAGGCTGGAGTGCAGTGGCATGACCCAGTTCACTGCAGCCTCAAAAATCCCAGGCTCAAGTGATCCTCCCACCTTAGACTCCCAAGTAGCTAATTTAAAAAATAATAAAATATATATATATATATATATCAGTAATTACTAAAAATTAGTAGTAATTATACTACTTTAATAGTGTGCTAACATCTTCCACTGTGTTGTGAATTTACCTATTTTTATTTTACTTTCCTTACCTTTTTTTTGCTTTATATATATTTAAGTTGTGTTATTAGGTGGGTATAAATGTAGGATTGTTCTTTCTGATGATTTGGACCTTTTGTCATTATGAAGTGACCCTTTTATCTCTCATAATGCTTTTGCCTTAAAGTCTATGTGGACTAAAATTAATACAGACATATCAACCTTCTTTGGTTAGTATTTGACAGATTCTTTTCATCCTCTTACTTTCAACCTTTCTGTATTCTTATGTTTTATTTAGATATGCCCTTTTTTTTTTTTTTTTTTTTTTTTTGATGGATGGAGTCTTGCTCTGTCACCTGGGCTGGAGTGCAGTGGTGCGATCTCAGCTCACTGCAACCTCCGCCTCCCAGGGTCAAGTGATTCTCCTGCCTCAGCCTCCGGAGTAACTGGAATTACAGGCACCTGCCATCATGCCTGGCTAGTTTTTACATTTTTGTAGAGATGGGGTTTCACCATGTTGGCCAGGCCAGTCTCGAACTCCTGACATCAGGTGATCTCCCTGCCTCAGCCTCCCAAACTGCTGGGATTACAGGCGTGAGCCACCATGCCCGGCCTAGATATGCCTCTTGTGAACAGCTTATAACTGGGTTCATTTGCTTTGTCTAGTCTAGCAATCTTTGTCTTTTAACTGAGGCATTGAGTCCATTTACATTTATTAATATACTGATATGTGCATGTGTGCGCACACACGTTATTTATTTACGTATATCCTATTGTTTGGTATTTTCCCCACCTTTTCTAAGGTTTCCTTTTCTATTCTTTTTGGCTTTCTTAATTATTCTTTATTTCATTTTTCTCCTTACATAGTTTGCAAATTATACCTTTTTTTTTTTTTTGAGAGTTTCGCTCTGAGTCACCCAGGCTAAAGTGCAGGGTCACGATCTTGGCTCACTGCAACTTCTGCCTCCCCAGTTCAAGAGATTCTTGTGCCTCGCCCTCCAGAGTAGCTGGGACTACAGGCGCACCACCACTCCCAGCTAATACTTGTATTTTTAGTAGAGACGGAGTTTCACCACGTTGGCCAGGCTGGTCTCAAACTCCTGACCTCAAGTGATCTGCCCATCTCGGCCTCCCAAAGTGCTGCAATTACGGGTGTGAGCCGCCATGCTTGGCCTGTGTTTTTAAGCCCATAAGACATTGTTATTAATGTTAATACAACATTTGTTTAGACTTACCCACACATGTACCATTTTCTTTGTTCCATATTCCTTCTTGTCTCTCATTTTTTCCATCTAGGATCACTTTTTATTTCTGCCTGCTGGTGGCAAATACAGTTTTTGTTTGTATCATGTCATTGTTTTTTCTTACTTTTAAGATATCTTTTCACTGATTTTATAATTCTTTTTAAAAATTTTTAGTGCCAATGAATTCTTGCTTATTGTTTGTACCTACAGTTGTGTCCTCCAGCTGCTGTGCCAGTTTAGACTACACCGTCACCTACCTCCTAAAGCACATAGCAAAAGAGGGCAAGGGGGATGGGCATGGTGGCTCAACACTGGTAATCCCAGCACTTTGGGAGTGGTATTTTTCTCTTAAGAATAGGGAAATTAAGATAGGCATTTTTCTTTTCAGTCTGTTGGGAGGTAGTGGTGTTTATATCTAGCTCACACATTCACTGAAGTCCCAATTTTAGGTTTTTTAGACTTCCCACCTTAAAGGAGCCCTGAGTTTCTCTCAGTAGTGTGTATTGGAGTTTGCTCCTATCAGCTCACAAGAACCAAATATTTTTCGTGTCAGTTCTTAGTACCACTGACGGCTTGAAATCTATGGTGGGAACATTTACCTAATGGAAATCAACAAAAACTGAAACACTAAAAAATGTGTGTACAACATTGTGCTTATAGTTAATACTGAACTGTACACAAAACAGTGCTTTGTTTTGTTGGAGAGCCAGTTACTAGCACACCACTGGTTCTCTCTAATCACTCACTCCCATGAGACCATGAAAATTCAAGTTCAAGTTTACTGAGTTAAAAATTACTCACCGGACCAGGCTCAGTGGCTCACACCTATAATCCCTACACTTAGGGAGGCAGAGGCAGAAGGTTAGCTTGAGCCCAAGAGTTCAAGAACTGCCTGGACAACATAGCAAGACCCCATTCTCCACAAAAAGAAAAAACAAATAAATAAATAAAAAATGGGCTGGGTGCAGTGGGTCACACCTGTAATTACAGCACTTTGGAAGGCTGAGGAGGGAGGATCGCGTGAGAACCACAAGTTCAAGACCACCCTAGCCAACATAGTGAGAGCCCCATCTCTACAAAAAACAAAACAAAACAAAACAAACAAAAAAAACAGTTGAGCATGGTGGTGCCACTGCACTCCAGCCTGGGCAACAGAGCAAAACCTTGTCTCAAAAAATAAAAAATTAAAAAGTTTAAAATTTTAAAAAATTAAAATGATGTCGTTTCAGTCACGCAAGATGAATAAGTTCTAGAGAGTTGCTGTACAGTATTGTGCTTATAGTTAATACTGAACTGTACACTTAAAAACCTGTTGACCAGGTGCGGTGGCTCACGCCTGTATTCCCAGCACTTTGGGAGGCCGAGGTGGGCGGATCACCAGGTCAGGAGATTGAGACCATCCTGGCTAACATGGTGAAACCCCGTCTCTACTAAAAATACAAAAAAATTAGCCGGGCGCCTGTAGTCCCAGCTGCTAGGGAGGCTGAGGCAGGAGAATGGTGTCAACCCAGGAGGCGGAGCTTGCAGTGAGCCAAGATCGCGCCACTGCTCTCCAGCCTGGGTGACAGATCGAGACTCCGTCTCAAAAAAAACAAAACCAAAACAAACAAACAAAAACAAAAAATAACTTGTTAAGAGAAGCCGGGCACGGTGGCTCATGCCTGTAATCCCAGTACTTTGGGAGGCCAGGGCAGGCAGATCACTTGAGGCCAGTTCGAGACCAACCTGGCCAACATGGAAAAAACCCATCTCTACTAAAAATACAAAAATTAGTGGGACAGGCTGGCATGCGCCTGTAGTCCCAGCTACTCAGGTGGCTGAGGCACGAGAATCCCTTGAGCCTTGGAGGTGGAGGTTGCAGTGAGCCGGGACTATGCCACTGCACTCCAGCCTGGGTGACAGAGCAAGACTATATCACAAAAATTAAAAAAAAAAAAAAAAATTTAAATTGCAAATAGGTTAGACAATAAAAAATAAAAATAAAATAAAAATGTCCAAAAGGCAAAAGTCAGTTTCGTTGCGCAACTTGCCTTTGAATTCGTGACTTTTTTGGCCTGAGTATTCCTTACTTTCTTGCCAACTCATCAGTGCAGTAAAAAAATTTTTTTTCTTTTATCCATAATTGTTTTCAGAAGTTTATTCAGGGTACTTAGTCCACTTTAGTACCATAAAATATCTTAGTATCTTAACGTAGATATTGAGATAGTTGGACTAGATCAGTAGTTCTTAACATTTTTTGGACACAGACTCGAGAATCTGATAACAGAGCTTGGATAACTTCTCCTCGGGAAAATGCACATACACACAGATAAAATGTATGTTTTTACTCCCCTGAAACTATCCATGGGCCCAAGAATAAGAATGTTGCCCAGGTTGGTCTTGAACTCCTGGCCTTAAGAGATCCTCCCATGTCTGCCTCCAAAGCACTGAGATTACCTGTAGGTGTGAGCCACTGCATCAGGCTCAGAGCTAACTTTTGACAGCCTCTCCATGTTTCCTGTCCTGAGCTGAGAGTTTCCGGGATTCTCTCCTTGGGTGAGCTTGAGTTTCTGAACTGGGGCTTCCAGAATCTCCAAGACCTCTTGGGGGAGAAGCTGAGAGTTGTCAGTTAAACCTTTCACAAAGCTGAAACACACGCAATGTTCATTCAACCAGACCTATCCACATTTATTCATTCGGTGTTTATTGGCTCCTGTTCCAGCTGTCTACTGCTGCATAACATATCATATGTAAACTTAGTGGCTTATATAGTAATAACAATCAATTACATAGTTCTCTCATGATTCTGGGAGTAACTGGGCTCAGCTAGGTAGCTCTTGCTCTGGGTCTCTCATGTGGTTGCAGTCATCCACAAGTGCTGGAATCATCTCAGCCTCTTCAGTACATGTTTGGCAGTTGATGCTGGTTGCAGGTTTGGTTTTCAGTGGGGCTTCTGGCTGTAAAACCTACATGTGGCCTCACTCTCTCTATGTGGCCTGGGTGTCCTCACAGCATGGCAGGTGGGTCCTGAAAGGGAGCATCCAAAAAGAGATTTAAAAAAATTTAAAAAGGGGCCGGGCACAGTGGCTCACGCCTGTAATCCCAGCACTTTGGGAGGCTGAGGCGGGTGGATCATGAGGTCAGGAGATCAAGACCATCCTGGCTAATATGGTGAAACCCCGTCTCTACTAAAAATACAAAAAAAAGGGGTGGGGGAGAGGGATAGCATTAAGAGATATACTTCATGTAAATGACCAGTTAATGGGTGCAGCACACCAACATGGCACATGTATACATATGTAACAAAACTGCACGTTGTGCAAACGTACCCTAGAACTTAAAGTATATTTAAAAAAAAAAATTAGCCGGGCGTAGTGGTGGGCGCCTGTAGTCCCAGCTACTTGGGAGGCTGAGGCAGGAGAATGGCATGAACCTGGGAGGCGGAGCTTGCAGTGAGCCGAGATCGCGCCACTGCACTTCAGCCTGGGCGACAGAAAGAGACTCCGTCCCCCCCAAAAAAAATTAATAAAAAATAAAATAAAATAAAAATTAAAAGAGAATGAGTCAGGAGGAAGCCACATTACCTTTTAGAACCTAGCCACGGATGTCACACAGCATTTCTGTCACATTCTGTTAATTAGATACAAGTCATTAGACCAGCCCATATTTAAAGGAAGGTCAATTAGATTCTACCTCTTGATGGAAAGGATGTCAAAAAATTTGCCGGCCAGGCATGGTGGCTCATATCTGTAATCCCAGCACTTTGGGAGGATGAGGTGGGCAGTTTGTTTGAGCCCAGGGTTCAACACCAGCCCAGGCAATATGGTAAAACCCTATCTCTACAAAAAAAAAAAAAAAAAAAATTAGCCGGGCATGGTGGTACATGCCTGTAGTCCCAGCTACTCAGGAGGCTGAGGTGGGAGGATCGCCTGAGCCTGGAGTCGAGGGGGCAGTGAGCTGTTTAATCGCTCAACTTACCTTTGATTCATAATGGCGTCACTATACTCCAGCCTGGGCGACAGAGTGAGACCCTGTCTTAAAAAAAAAAAAAAATTGCAGATATGGTTTTTTTTTTTTTTTTTTTGAGACTGAGTCTCTCTCTGTTGCCCAGGCTGGAGTGCAGTGGCACGATCTCACTGCAACCTCCGCCTCTCAGGTTCAAGCGATTCTTCTGCCTCAGCCTCCCAAGTAGCTGGGATTACAGGCATGTGCCACCATGCCCAGCTATTTTTTTGTATTTTTAGTAGAGACAGGGTTTCATCATGTTGGCCAAGCTGGTCTCAAACTCCTGACCTCAGGTGATTCACCCACCTCGGCCACCCAAAGTGCTGGGATTACAGGCGTGAGCCACTGTGCCCAGCCCTGCAGACATGTTTTAAACCCACCACATCTCCTTTCTGTTTGTCAAGCACTGGACAAGGCACTTAGAATAGAACGGTGAATACTACAAACCCTGTGGTGCTTACAGTCTAGTGGTAGAGCCAAACATTAATAAAATAACATTACAAATATGTACACAATTATGAACTTTGATGGTCCTATGGAAGATGATTCCAGGGAGCCATGAGAATTTATATGACACATTTTTATGACCTGGACCAGGGAACCAAGAGAGAATTCTCTGCAGAAGAGACATTTGGATTGAGATCTGGAACACCATTGGATGCTAACTCAATGAAGTGGGTTGAACAAGAGCCTTCCAGGCTGAGGGGATACCAGGCCAAGGCCCTAGAGTAGGAGAAACAGCAGCCTGAGAGGCAGCTAGTATGTCTTGAGACAGCTAGCAGGGACAGGAAGTATGAAACAAGACCGCAGTGGTGGGCTAGGGCCAGGCCCCTGGGCACTGTAGGCTGGGTAATGGTATTGGACTTCCGCATAAAAGTTGTGGGAAGCTGGCTGGGCACGGTGGCTTATGCCTGTAATCCCAGCACTCTGAGAGGCCGAGGTGGGCGGATCACGAGGTCAAGAGATCGAGACCATCCTGGCCAACATGGTGAAACCCCATCTCTACTAAAAATACAAAAAATTAGCTGGATGTGGTGGCGGGCACCTGTAGTCCCAGCTACTCGGGAGGCTGAGGCAGGAGAATCACTTGAACCCTGGAGGCAGAGGTTGCAGTGAGCCGAGATTGCACCACTGCACTCTAGCCTGGGCGACAGAGCAAGACTCTGTCTCAAAAAAAAAAAAAAAGAAAAAAAAAAGAAAAAAGGTGTGGAAAGCTGTTGAAGGGTCACATACTGGAGAGTGATATGAACACATTTACAACTTAAAGATCACTTTGGCTGCTGTGTAGATGGCCCCAGCCAGACGCTGAGTCAGGCCTGGGAGGGCTGGGAACCTCCTATCTGCAGTTCCTCCCCTCCCCATGAGACTCTCCCACACAGGCTGAAGCCAGCTGCAGCCTTGGCCCTATACCTCCTTGCCTGAGATTTCAGGCTGAGCACCCTACACTTAACCTACTCAGTCCCTCCTCCCAGACACAGGAAGTCCTGCCATTTTGCATCACTCGGTGAGTCACCCCTTATTTGTCAGTCAGTGGGTGTAATGGATTAAGAGGTGGTCCCAAAAGATGTGTCTACATCCTAATTCCCAGAACCTGTGAATGTAACCAAATTTGGAAAAAAGGGTCTTCATGGATGTAATTAATTAAGGATTTTGAGAAGAGGAGGACATCCTGGATTATCTGGGTGGACCCTAAATTCTATGTGTCCTTAGGGTCTTATAAGGAGTGAGGCACAGGGAGATTTGATTAGAACAGAAGAGGAGGAAGTAGTGTGACCACAGAGAGGGAGATTGGAGTGATGTGGCTATAAGTCAAGGAAGGCCAACAGCTGCCAGAGCTGGAAGAGTCAAAGAACAACATCTCCCCTAGAGCCTCCAGAGGGAGTACAGCCCTGCCAACACCTTGATTTTGGCCCAGTGGTCTGATCTTGAACTTCTGGCCTCCAGAACTGTAAGAGAATAAATCTCTGGTTGTTCTAAGCTGCCCAGTCTGTGGTAATTTGTTACAGCAGCCACAGGAAATTAATGCAGTTGGGTACTTCTCAAGCTGCTCCTTCCTGATGAGCTGTACAGGCTCCCTCTCCTTCAGGAGACCTCTAAATGTTGGGGTGCCCCGGGCTCAGTTCTCATACTACTTTTTTCTCTATTCTCTGTCCCTACATGATCTCATCCATTCACTTGGCTTTAAAATACCATTCATTTATTGGCTGGACGCAGTGGCTCACGCCTGTAATCCCAGCACTTTGGGAGGCCGAGGCAGGTGGATCACCTGAGGTCCGGAGTTTGAGACCAGCCTGGCCAACATGGTGAAACCCTGCCTCTACTAAAAATACAAAAAATTTATCAGGGCATGGTGGGGCCTGTAATCCCAGCTACTTGGGAGACTGAGGCAGGAGAATTGCTTGAACCCGGGAGGCAGAGTTTGCAGTGAGCTGAGATCATGCCACTGCGCTCTAGCCTGGGCAACAAGAGCAAAAACTCTGCCTCAAAAGAAAAAAAAACATTTATTTGCTAATATCCTCAAATTTTATCTCCATCCAGACCCTTCTCCTGGAGCCCAGGCATCCCCAGAGGTAGATGAAAAGAGAACTCTTGTTCCACGCTCACCACCACATCTGTCCCTGGCCCAGGCTGCCCCAGTCACTCCATGCTCCAGTTGGAAATGTGATAGCTATCCTGGATTTCTCCATTTCCCTCATGCAGTTTATCCAAACTGCTAGCAAGTCTTGTCTTGTTGTTTAGGTCTTATAATCTCTCTCAAATCTGTCCATTCCACTCCGCACTGCCATCACTGCAGCCGCAGCATCTCTCACTCAGGTGACTGTGCCAGCTGCCTGATGACTCCCATGTCGACTCTCATCCCCCTCCATCCCTTCTTACAGCAGCCAGGGTGATTTTTTAAGAAACAAATTAGATCAGGTTGCAGTTTTTTGAATACCTTTATTGAGGTATAGTTGACATGCAATTAATTGCACACTTCAAGCTTACAATTTGCTAAGTTTTGACATATACCCATGAAAGCATCAGTATAATAAAGATAACAACCATATCTATGTGCAGTGGCTCACACCTGTAATCCAAGCAACTCAGGAGGCAGAGGCAGGAGCACTGCTTAAGGCCATGAGTTTGAGACCAGCCTAGGCAACATAGTGAGACCCTATTTCTACAAAAAATAAAAACCAATTAGCCAGGTATGATGGCATGTGCCTGTAGTCCCAGCTACTTGGGAGGCTGAGGCAGGAGGATTCTCTGAGCCTGGGAGTTTGAGGCTGCAGTGAACTGTGATTGCACTACTGCACAGCAGCCTGGGTGACAGAGTGGGATCCCGACTCAAAGAAAAAAAGGAAGGCTGGGTGCGGTGGCTCATGCCTGTAATCCTAGCACTTTGGAAGGCTGAGGTGGGCGGATCACGAGGTCAAGAGATCGAGACCATCCTGGCCAACATGGTGAAACTGCGGTCTCTACTAAAAATACAAAAATTAGCCGGGTGTGGTGGTGTGCGCCTGTAGTCCCAGCTACTCAAGAGGCTGAGGCAGGAGATTCACTTGGACCTGGGAGGCAGAAGTTGCAGTGAGCTGAGATCCCACCACTGCACGCTAGCCTGGCAACAGAGCAAGACTTTGCCTAAAAAAAAAAAAAAAAAAAAAAAAAAAAAGAGAGAAAAGAAAAAAAAAAGAAAAGAAAGAAAAAATGAAAAAGAACTATACCTATGACCTCCAAAAGTTTTCTCGTGCTCCTTTGAAATCCAACTTCCCTTCCCCACCTCCCATTCCTAGGCAATGACTGATATGCTTTCTGCCATTACCAACTAGTTTACATCTTCTGAATTTTATGTGATAGAAAATAGTATGTAATTTTTTCTTTTTTTTTTTTTTTGAGGCAGAGTCTTGCTCTGTCGCCCAGGCTGGAGTGTAGTGGCGCGATCTCCCCTCACTGCAAGCTCCGCCTCCCAGGTTCACGCCATTCTCCTGCCTCAGCCTCCCGAGTAGCTGGGACTACAGGCACCTTCCACCACGCCTGGCTAATTTTTTGTATTTTTAGTAGAGACAGGGTTTCACTGCGTTAACTAGGATGGTCTCGATCTCCTGACTTCATGATCCGCTCACCTCGGCCTCCCAAAGTTTTCGGATTACAGGCGTGAGCCACCGCGTCTGACCTTTTTTTTTTTTTTTTTTTAAATACAGGGTCTCACTCCGTCACCCAGGCTGGCGTGCAATGGCGCGATCACGGCTCACTGCAACTGCAGCCTTGACCTCCTGGGCTCAAGCAATCCTCCCACATCTGCCTCCCAAGTAGCTGGGACTACAGGCATGAACCACGACATGCTCGGCTAATGTTTTTTTTCTTTTCTTTTTTTTGTTTTGAGACAGAGTCTCGCTCTGTCGCCCAGGCTGGAGAGCAGTGGCTCGGCTCACTGCAAGCTCCACCTCCCGGGTTCACGCCATTCTGCTGCCTCAGCCTCTCAAGTAGCTTGGCGCCCGCCACCACGCCTGGCTAGTGTGTGTGTGTGTGGTGGGGGGGGCTAGTGTGTGTGTGTGTGTGTGTGTGTGTGTGTGTGTGTGTGTTGGGATTACAGGCGTGAGCCACAACGCCCGGCCAATTTTTTTGTAGAATGGGGTTTCACCATGTTGCCCAGGCTGGTCTCAAACTCCTGAACTCAATCAATCGCCCACCTCAGCCTCTGAAAGTGCTGAAAGTACAGGCGCAAGCTGCTGTGCCTGGCCTATATACTCTTTTTTATATGGCTTAATAATTTTGAAATTCATCCATGTTCATTGTATCAGTATTTTTTTTATTGCTGAGTAATAAGTATTCCATTGTATGAATATACCACAATTTTTTACCCATTCACTTGATGATGAACATTTGGGCTGTCCAGTTTTTAGCTATTATATGCAAGGCTGCTGTAACCATTCATGTATAGGTCTTTGTATGAGCTTCTGCTGTCGTTTTTCTTGGGTAAATACCTAGGAGAGAAGTGACTGGATCATGTGGTAGGTGTATGTTTAACTTTTTGAGAAATTGCAAAACTGTTTCTATTTTTATTGTTTTGAGACAGAGTCTCACTCTGTTGCCTAGGCTGGAGTGCAGTGGTGCAATCTCGGCTCACTGCAACTTCCGCCTCCTGTGTTCAAGCAATTCTCGTGCCTCAGCCTCCCAAGTAGCTGGGACTGCAGGTGCACACCACCAAACCTGGATAATTTTTTGTATTTTTTTAGTAGAGGTGGGGTTTTGCCATGTTGGCCAGGCTGGTCTTGAACTCCTGACCTCAAGTGATCTGCCCCCCTCAGCCTCCCAAAGTATTGGGATTACAGGTATGAGCCATCATGCCTGTCCAAACTTTTTTTTTTTTTTTTGAGATGGAGTCTCACTCTGTTGCCTAGGCTGAAGTGCAGTGGTGGCATGATCTCAGCTCACTGCAACCTCTGCCTTCCAGGTTCAAGTGATTCTTCTGCCTCAGCCTCCCAAGTAGCTGGGGTTACAGGCGTGTGCCACCACACCCAGCTAATTTTTGTGTTTTTAGTAGAGACGGGGTTTCACCATGTTGGCCAGGCTGGTCTCGAACTCCTGACCTCAGGTGATCCGCCCACCTTGGCCTCCCAAAGTGCTGGGATTACAAGCATGAACCACCATGCCCGGCCAGTTTTCTAAAGTGCTTATACATTCCTACCGCTAGTGTGGAACTGGTTATAGTTGTTTCACATCCTTGCCAACACTTCATATGGTCAGTCTTTTAATTTTCGCTTTTTTAGTGGGTGTGCAGTGGTATTTCACTATGTTTTAGTTTACATTTCTTATAACCAAAGAGGATCCTTTCATGTGCTTATTTGCAATTTGTGTATCTTCTTCAGCAAAGTGTCCGTTGAAAATTTTTGTTCATTTTTTTACATTAGTTTTTTATATTGAGTGTATATATTTTTATGTATTCTAGATACAAATCATTTATTCTTCATATATTCTAAGTATATAAGGAAGTTTTTAAAAAATATATTCTAGATACAAGTCCTTTGTTGGATATATGTTTTGCAAATATTTTCTCCCACCGACAGTTGTCTTTTCGTTTTTCTAGTGGTATCATTAGAGAGCAAAAGTTTTAAATTTTAATGAAGTTTATAAACCTTTTCACTGATTATTAGTGTTTTGCCCAACCTAAGGTTATAAAGATTTTCCCCTACGTCTTCTTCTAGAAGTTGTATAGTTTTTGCTCTTGTAATTAGATTTGTGGCCCACTTGGATTAATTTTTGTGTATGGTGTGAAGTAAGGATAGAGGTTCATTTTGTTTGCCATGAGATATCCAGTTGTTCTAGCACCATTTGTTGAAAATACTATCTTTTCCCCAAAGGTACTTTGTCACCTTCATAAAAAATCAATTGATAATATGTGTATATCTCTATTTCTGGATGGCCTTTTCTTTTTCAGTGATCTATATGTTTATCTTTACATCAATACCACACTGTCTTGATTATTGTAGCTCTGTCTGTAGTCTTGAAATCAGGTAGGGCCAGTAATCTAATTGCATAATACTTTAAAAAATTGTTATGGCTATTCAAGGTCCTTTGCATTTCCACATACATTTAGAATCAGCTTGTTTACTACAAAAAAAAAAAGATTGCTGCAATTTTGACAGGAATTATTTTGAATCTATATGCCAATTTCAGAAAATTGTAATCTTGAAAACATCAGGTCTTCTGATCCATGAACACAGTATCTCTCACCACTTATTTATATCTTCTTTAATTGCTTGCACATCTTTTGTCAGATTTATCCCTGTTTTGGAGTTCTGATGGTATTATAGATTGTTTTTATAATGTCAATTTCCAAGTGTTTTTTGCTTATATAGAGAAACACAATTAGTTTTCATATATTAATCTTGTATCCTGCAACTTTGCTAACCTCAGTTATTCATTTTATTTATTTATTTATTTATTTTTTGAGATGGAGTCCTGCTCGGCTGGCCAGGCTGGAGTGCAGTGGCATGATCTTGGCTCACTGCAACCTCTGCCTCCCAGGTTCAAGCGATTCTCCTGCCTCAGCCTCCTGAGTAGCTGGGATTACAGGTGCCTGCCACCACTCCTGGCTAATTTTTGTATTTTTAGTAGAGACAGGGTTTCACCATGCTGGCCAGGCTGGTCTCGAACTCCTGACCTCAGGTGATCCGCCCACCTCAGCCTCCCAAAGTGCTGGAATTACAGGCGTGAGCCACTGCGCCTGGTCCCTCATTTACTCATTTTAGGTTTCCTAGATTACTTAAGATTTTCCATATATATGTCATTTATAAATAAAGACAGTTTTACTTTTTTCTTTCCAAACTATATGGTTTATATTTTTCTTCCTATATTGCATTGACTAGGACCCCCAGTATAATCTTGAATAGAAGTGGTAAGAACAGATATTTCTTGCCTCATTCTCAATCTTAGAGTGAAAGCATTCAATCTTTAACCATGAAGTATGATTTTGTTGTTGTTTTTAGAGAGTAGGTCTGGCTCTGTTGCCCAGGCTGGAGTGCAGTGGCGCAATCTCAGCTCTGCAACCTCCGCCTCCCCAGGCTCAAGTGGTCCTCCTGCCTCAGCCTCCCAAGTAGCTGGGACTACAGGTATGCACCACCATACCTGGCTAATTTTTGTCTTTTTTGTAGGGACAAGGTTTCACCATGTTGCCCAGGCTGGCCTTGAAATCCTGAGCTCAAGTGATCCACCCTCCTTGACCTCCCAAAGTGCTGGGATTACAGGCGTGAGTGGCCATGCCTTCTTGGAATATCTCTGTCTGGTTTTGGTATCAGGGTAAGGCTGGCCTCATAGAATAAGTTGGGAAGTATTCCCTCCTTTTCAATATTCTGGAAGATTTTATATCAAGTTGGTATTATTTCTTCCTTAAATGTTTAGTAGAGTTCACTAGTGAAGGCATCTGGGCCTGGAGGGTTTCATTTTATTTTTTTTTGTGGGAAGGTTTTTAACTATTATATAAATTCCATTACATATTTATTCTTGAATATGTGTCACACTTTTGTGTAAACCCTCAGGGCCTTCCCCTCACTCCTCCCTAAGTCCTTATTGTGACTCCCAAGGCCCTGTCTCCTGTCTGGTAGGCTCCTGCCCTCCTCTGCAGCCCTTCCACATGCTGCCTTCCCCTTAGGCAAGAACCCCCAAGAAGCTTCTTGCCCACCTCTCTGCTTAAGGGTCTTACTGCCTTCCCCTCACCATGTTCCAGTAATATGGGTCTTCTGGCTATCCCAAGAGTATGCCAAGCTCTTCCCCACCTCAAGCCCTTGGCATTGCCTTTCTCCATCTGGTAAGATCTTCCACAGGCTCTTTGCATGGTCGTTTCTCATTCTCAATCTCCAGGTCTCAGATAATGTGTCAGGAAGGTCTTCCCTGACTTTTGTTATATCCAGGGGATGGCCTGCTGGATACTATCTCCCACATAATCTCATTTACTTCCTTCATATAATATATAATATACAGATCACACTCCATCATTGTTTACTTACTATATTAGTCTGTTCTCATGCTGCTAATAAAGACATACCCAAGACTGGGTAATTTATAAAGGAAAGAGGTTTAATGGACTCACAGTTCCGCATGGCTTGGAGGCCTCACAATCATGGCGGAAGATGAAGGAAGAGCAAAGTCACATCTTACATGGCAGCAGGCAAGAGAGTGTGTGCAAGAGAACTCCCCTTTATAAAACCATCAGATCTCGTGAGACTTATTCACTGTCATGAGAGCAGCACGGGAAAGACCCGCCCCCATGACTCAATGATCTCCCACCGGGTCCCTCCCACAACACATGGGAATTATGGGAATTACAATTCAAGATGAGATTTAGGTGGGGACACAGCCAAGCCATATGGCTTACTTTCAGTGCCTTAAGAGCAAGGATCTTGTCTGTCTTGTTTATGGCTGTATCCCCTGCAGCCAGCACAAGATCTGGCACAAACTAAGTGTTCAATGACTATTTGTTGAATATGTAGACTAACAGGATGGCCTATTGGTTAATCAGGCTGTACATCACAGAAGTAGTGAGTCTCCTGTGAGCCTGTTGGTTGGTCTGAGGATTTGGTCAGCCTGGAGTAGGTCAGGCAGCTGTTGAGTGGGCCACTTACTCTGTGGGGTTGGTCTGTATGACTGACAAGCCAACTGCAAAGCCAGGCCAGGATGCTGGGGGGATACAAGAAGGAAAAGGCCCAGGCCTACCCCTAAGAAGATTCTTGCCCATCTCTATTTAGAGTCTTACTGCTCCCCATTCCCTGGCCAGGAGGTGACACAGGGATGGCCTGGGGGAGTGGGGAGGCTATAGAGCCTGTCCCAAACTGGCAGCTGCTCCTCAGTAATTCTGCTGCAGGGCTTTCAAATCCCATGAACCTCACCTCGTGGCTGCAAGGCTCAGGAAGAGCCTGTGGGGGAGGCACAGAGAGGGCTTTGTGGCTTCCTCGCCACCCCACCTCCTAACCTCCCCTGACCTGGGCTCTCTGCTCATGGAAAGTCCCCCTCTGGACCTGGCTGCCTAGCCCCAGGAGACAGGCGGTAGGACACGTTGCCACTATCTGCTCTCTGCAGGGGCAGAACATGAGCCTGTACCTCTAGGGGCCACTCCTTACAACTGAAGTTGTGCCCTTCATAGACCAGGGGAAGCCCAGCTCTCTGGCTGAGGGAAGAGGCTTTGGATAGAAGCTGGATATGGGACAGTTAATCCCAGATCTCGCCAGGAACACCGCTGCTGTGGGGTCATGGATGTGGCTAGAGTCCCATGGAGTATGTGTAGGAGGGTGTCAGAGCTGCTTGTATGGAAGCAGCTGTTTGCAATAACTAGGCCACAGCACCCAGGCCGCCAGCAATCACCGAGCTTCCATCCTGCTCACTGACAAACTCCATGACCAGGAGGCCCCACTCATGGTGACATCATCCCCTTGCACGCTGCTGAGGGAAATGAGCTCAGGACAGCCATCAGAGGCGGCCTGTTTACTTACAGGGACCCTGGCCGTCAGCAGCTATTTGACCAGACATTCCCTGTCCTGGCCAGCATGAAGCAGAAATTTCCTTAAACACATTACTTTGGCCACAACCCATTGCCTGCTCTCTTGCTTTCAATTTTTTTCAAGAGGAAAATTCCTAGTTCTGGCCCCAAGCAGAGCAGCCAGATATGGTGAGGGGCCGTCACAATGACTCCCAGAGGGCCTTTTGCAGTTTAAGTTACTCCCATCTCCAGGGTAACTCTTAGAGCTGAGAGAACATCAAACCAATTATCTGTGACCCATGTTGGGGATGGCCATTGGGGTGGCCAGCATGACCTCCAGGCAGACCCTCTCCCTGCTTCTCTCAGGGCCTCGGCCACCCTGAGCTCACTTCCAGAGAATTTCCCAACTCAGCAACCCTGGCTGCACCCTAAACCCCTCCCTCAGTCCCTCCAGGTCAGGGATATTTTGGGAGAGCATAAGAGCTGCCAGCTTTAACAGGCTCTAGGGGATTCCCGAGATAGTCACCCCCAGCAACCCTGGCTGAGAGGCACTATCTCCGGACCGCCCCCAACTCTCCTTGTACCTGCTGGAACTCAGCCATTCCAGAGGCCTTGAGGGCACAGGGGTCATGGAGGTCTCCTTGGTCTCTCAGGTGCTCTATGATTCTCAGCCACCTGAGCCAGGAGCAGAGCGATGCGCTCCCAGCAATATCAATCATGGGAGGCAGACGCCCTCCGCCTGTCTGGATGTGCCCATACTGGGGCTGGTCAGGCAGGCACAGACATGTCAGGGAGCTTGAAGACTTACCTGACCCAGCTCTGCCCTGTGGCCTGATCCTATTTAGCTCAACATCCTGCCTCACTGGGTAGGGGCTCAGGGGCAGAATCAGGTCAGAAGAGGGTGTTGAACCTGTCTTTCATAGTACTTATCTGTACACAAGACTGAGAAGATGTCAAGGATCCACATCAGAGAATGGGGTGAAGGGAGTGGCTCACACAGATCTCAGTTGGCAACTTCTTAGAAGGTACCGAAGAAAGGGCCAGATTTTCTCCCCCACTGTCCCCACCCCCAACCACCATAGGGCCAGAATTCCCTAAACATGTGGTTTACATGAATTCAATTTGTCAACGTGTCTACTGAACCCAACATTTGTAAGATATGAAAGCTGGAAAGTCTGTAGATAAGAACAGAAGCTAATATTTATTGAACATCTACTATGTGCCTGGCATCATGCTCAACAATTTTTTTTTTCCCAAGACAGGGTCTCGCTCTGTTGCCCAGGCTGGAGTGCAGTGGTGTGATCATAGCTCACTGCAGCCTCGACCTCCTGGGCTCAAGCAGTCTTCCAGCCTTAGCCTCCTGAGTAGCCAGGACTATCGGCACAGGTCATCAAGCTGGGCTAATTTTTTAAAAATTTGTTGTAGAGACAGGGGTCTGGCTATGTTGCCCAGGCTGGTCTCGAACTCCTGACCTCAAGTGATGCTCCTGACTTGGCCTCCCGAAATGCTGGGATTACAGGCATGAACCGCCACACCTGGCCCATGCTCAACACTTTACACACATTATTTTATTTAATCCTCACAACAATCCTGATGAGGTTAAATAACTCCAAAGGACACAAAATCCATATGGCAGAGCTGGGATTCAAACTGAGTTCTGTCTGAACCCAGAGCTTCTAAAATTAGGCATCTTCCAATTTGACCTCTAAAAAGTAATTAATTAACCCAGGAATCAATCACCCTCCTTCTGTAAACCACACAAGGCCTATACAATTAATGATGAGGTGATCTAACCCTTTCATTCTACAGATGAGAGGCCAGATCACAGTGAGTCTAAGCTGAGCACAGGACTAGTATCTTGGACTCTTAGGTCACTGCCCTCTCACCACCCCAGCCTGTCTACCCAGGCAAGGGAATGGATGGCTGGAGAGCTGTGAGTTCTACCCTCTAGGAAAAACACATATGAACATTCACACAGACAGACACACAGAGACATGTATACACAGGCGATAACACACACAGGCACTTAGACCAATGGATTGTTCTTTTTTTTTTTTTTTTTTTTTTTTGAGACGGAGTCTTGCTTTGTTGCCTAGGCTGGAGTGCAGTGGCGCAATCTCGGCTCACTGCAACCTCCACTTCCCGGGTTCATGCCATTTTCCTGTCTCAGCCTCCTGAGTAGCTGGGACTACAGGCGTCCGCCACCACGCCCGGCTAATTTTCTGTATTTTTAGTAGAGGTGGGGTTTCACCGTGTTAGCCAGGATGGTCTCGATCTCCTGACCTTGTGATCCGCCCGCCTCGGCCTCCCAAAGTGCTGGGATTACAGGCGTGAGCCACCGCTCCCGGCCGGATTGTTCTTACCTCTCTACTTTCCACAGTTCCTTTCCATGAGGCCCTTGTCCTGGGCCCACCCTTTAGATGGCCACACTCTGGCTTTACTCTGGCCACAGACACCTCTTCAGATTCCCAGTGCCTAGTGTGGGGACAATCACAGAACAAGTACTTTAAAAATGTCCAAGTAAATTAGTAAATCATAAATCAAGAATGAGTGAATGAATGCTTCTGCACAAATAGGCATATGTGCTTTCAGAGGCTCACTGACATATTATTTACACCAAAATAACCTCATGAGTACCCCCACAAACACACGTAGGCAGGTGGTAGACCAATTCAACTATGCAAGCAGTAGAGGCCCACACTTTCCCTCAAAGATACTCACATACATGGGCTTATACAGATGTGAATACTTACATACAGGGAAACACACAAGTACATACTTTCTACCGAGGAACAGCTGCAACCAGCAATGCAGCTGCCTACACACACAAACCCAGAAGTCACACAAACCCACCCTGATCTGCTCAGCTAGACAAAGGCAAAGCTGCAGGCCCAAAACAGACTGGGAGTGAGACATTTGTCCATAGACTCCTGGACTGCCCCTGGATCCCACACTGTCTGCCTCCTTCCCCCTCCTGTCTGCGGCCAGAGGGGGTTCCTAGAATTCCTTTTGCAGACTGGCTGAAAAAGCCGGCTCTTCCTCCTCCCCCACAGACCCAGGCCAGAGTCCTAGGTTAGGGAAGCAGATGTTATACGTTGTGGGGAGCTATGCCTTCCCAAGGACTCTGCCCTTGGTCCCCAGTTGCCTCCCAAAGCCTGACTAAGGCCAGGCTGGACGCTGGATGGTGGCAGAGCACACTCAGGTTCCACTGCCCCAGCTCTATTGCCAACTAGATGATTTAGGAGCATCTAGTGAATAGCGCTTTTCCAGAAGCCTTGCTTCCTTAGGAAACCGCTCAGCCACCAGCCTGATCTTCAAAACAGGCCTAGGGGACGAAAACACTCCTGCTTCTCTGCAAAAACATGGGCAGCTCCTCTTGCTCAGAGCCCCTAGCGTCATCCAAACCACAGCATCTCAAGGCTGTGGGAATTAAAGGCCAGTGTTCTAGTCCTGCTTCTGTCTCAACTCTGTGGACTGTGTCCACTTTTGTAAAATGAGCCATTTGAGTGTGACGACTTCAGATCTAGCTGGAATGGTGTGGGAATCTAATTCCCCAGGCAGCCCCTGGGCGGGGGTGAAGGGGCTCCCACCCCAGGGACAGTGGCCCAGTGGGGGCCTCCTCTTAAGTGACAGTCATATTACAAACACAGGACTTGTGCCTGGAGTGGCTTGAGGCTGAGGTGCCCAGTGCTGGGGCAAAATGGGGACTCAGGAGAAATGTCTCGTTCAACCTGGAGACAGACAGCTACCTTCCTTCTCCCTTGTACCCACTCACCAGATCCTCCAGGCCTCTGCTGGAGGTGGACGAAGGGCTGCAGCCCCACCCAGCCAGGCAGGACTGGAGACAGGAATGCTGCTGAGCCCAGCTGGCCAGAAAGGGGTGACTGTTTGTTCTCTGATGTGAGGAACATCTCAGGCAATCAGGGGGATTTGGCTGCCAGCAGCCCCTGGATGCAAGGTCTCAAAAATTTCAACTTAATCAGAGCAGGCTGATAGCTTGAGCAGGCAGTGGGGGTGGAAGGGAGGGGCCATCCCCTTCCTGCCCCACATTCAGTGCCATGTGTGCCTCTGGGCTCACCTCCTGGGTCTGCAATGATGGGGCTGGGAAGGTTACAGGAGATGAGCTCAGAGCTCTGATTGAGTGGGTGTTGGGGGACTTCCCATGGTTTCCACTTCTGACATTGCAGGTGCCTTCTGCTCATAAAACAGAGCAGAGCTCACAACCCCAGTCTGGAAAGGGAACTCGTTTTCTATTCACTGGGCCTGGTGTCGGCACTCTTGTCTTCCTATGCCACCAGCCTAGGTCTTCTTTGCTCAGACAGCCCCTCTAGCTGCAGCCTTGCACCTGCTTGCCTTTTTTTTTTTTTTTTTTTTTTTTTTTTGAGACAGAGTCTCTCTCTGTTATCCAGGCTGGAGTGCAATGGTGCGACCTCAGCTCACTGCAACCCCCGCCTCCCAGGTTCAAGCGATTCTCCTGTCTCAGCCTGCCCAGTAGCTGGGATTACAGGCGCGCGCCACCATGCCCAGCTGATTTTTGTGTTTTTAGTACAGACGGGGTTTCACCATGTTGGCCAGGCTGGTCTCGAACTCCTGACCTCAAGTGATCTGCCCACCTCAGCCTCCCAAAGTGCTGGGATTACAGGCGTGAGCCACTGTGCCTGGCCATGCCTGCCTTTCTTATTCCTTTAGAGTCAGCCCTGGTTCTGCCTCTTTCTGGCCTTTTAACCTTGCACAAGTCATCTCCAAACCTGTTTCTTCTGTAAAATAAACAGAATAGTATCTGCCTTGCAGGGATACTGTGAAGATTAAATGAGATAATTCTTTTAATATGCACATCATGCAGGAGGCACTTGATACACGGTAGCATCCTTTTCCTTCCTCCCTTCTCCTACTGCTGCAGACTGCATCTCTGGTCTTCCTGAGGGCCAGGCTCCTCCAGTGTAGTTTACAGCCACAGCCCTGGTCAGACCTACCCATTGCTGCTTCCGGACTTTGATGGGCCCTGAGGTTTCTGAGGCCAGAAGCCAGTCCAAGCTGACCGAAGGAGGCCCCTTGAGACTGAGGCTGCAGAAGGCCCCAAAACACAGTGGCGCGCGTGTGTGTGTTTTTCCCATCTCTTATTTATTTATTTAGAGACGGAGTCTCACTCTGCTGCCCAGGCTGGAGTGCAGTGGTGCGATCTTGGCTCACTCAACCTCCGCCTCGCTACAACCTTTGCCTCCCAGGTCCAAGCGATTCTCGTGCCTCAGCCTCCCGAGTAGCTGGGATTACAGGCGTGCACCACCATGCCCAGTTAATTTTTGTATTTTTAGTAGAGACGGGGTTTCACCATGTTGGCCAGGCTGGTCTCAAACTCCTGACTTCAAGTGATCTGCAGGCTTCAGCCTCCCAAAGTGCTGGGATTACAGGCATGAGTCACCATGCCCCTGCCTCCCATCTCTTATTTTGCACAGGTTTGAGTGCCTTGTGGGGATAGTCCAAGGGTCAGGACAGTCAAACTTCATCAATCCAGACTCACTAGTTTGGAATTCACACCTTTCTATAGTTAACAAAGGATTTACATTAAAAATAATGATGCTCCAGGATGGCAAAGGCTATCAGTTAAGATCTACCCACGTTTATTCCCCGTTAAGACCCAACTTACTCTGTTAAATAAAAAGGAATGTATTTATTGGTCACCTAAGTGAAAAGTCTGGCTTCAAGCACAACTGGATTCAGTACTCAAAACAACGTCATCAGGACAGCAGCTCTGCTTTCCACTGTGTTGGCATCAGTCTGAGACTTTGCATGGCAGCCAGATGGCAGCCTCTCACATTCAGGACCACTGAAAATGCAAGTCTCTTTCCCAGGATCCCCAGCAAAACTTATGGTTCATTTTGATGAGATACTATTATCTCATCAAAAGATATGAGATACTATTATTATATCAAAATGAGATACTATTATCTCAAAACTCGTGGCTCATTTTGATGAGATACTAGTTGGGTCACATGCCTAGGTTTTTTTTTTGTTCGTTTGTTTGCTTTTTTGAGATGGAATCTCGCTCTGTCGCCCAGGCTGGAGTGCAGTGGCATGATCTCAGCTCACTGCAAGCTCCACCTCCCGGATTCATGCCATTCTCCTGCCTCAGCCTCCCGAGTAGCTGGGACTACAGGCGCCCACCACCCCGCCCGGCTAATTTTTTGTATTTTTAGTAGAGACGGGGTTTCACCGTGTTAGCCAGGATGGTCTCGATCTCCTGACCTCGTGATCCACCCGCCTCGGCCTCCCAAAGTGCTGGGATTACAGGTGTAAGCCACTGCACCCGGCCCACATGCCTAGGTTTGAAGCAATCACTGAGGCTGGGAGAAGGCAACTCACTAATTGGCTTGGGCCTGAGTCAATGCTCTACTTGTAGAGTGTGTGAGTGGAGGGGGCAGTCAGTCAGCTTCCCAAGACCAATGAGAGTGGGAAAGGGAGTTGGTTCCCCAGAGAGGAAGTTGAGGTATGGTACCAGGAAGGTGAATGAACCCTGGGTGACAAGAACAACAGATGGACTTATCCAAAGGAAATCGATGGCCAAAGAACTAAGAGGACAAATACTTTTCTAGCCCTTTAAAAATATAATTGATGTGCTAGTTTTAAATCCCTACAGACCTCTGATAGGCAATATATTATGGGCTCATTTGGGATAGCCTGCACTTGCTCAAGAATAAAACTGCATCTTTAAAGCAGCCTGCGATCCATGCTTCCAATAAATTGAGACTGGCCTTTCTGACCCACCAGTGGACAGTTTGACTAAACTAACCAATGTCACCAGCAATGGCTAGAAAGCCTGGCAGCACCACATGCTGTTTTCACTGGGGTCCTCCTTTGGCCAAATGGGGTTAGAGCAAAGTTTGATTCCAGCGGCCCCACCCCTTGACATGGTCAAAGCTCCTCCTGCCCTTGAATCCCTAGTGATTTCTCTTTCGCCACCCTCTCCTAACTCATTACTAAAACCTGCTCTTAGGGAGGCTTTGTTATCAGTCATTTGCACATGTGTATGAATAAGCTTCAAGTCAACAGTTTAGCCTCTCTCAGGATCATCTGCACTTTAAATAAAATGCAAGGCGGCTGGGCGTGGTGGCTCACACCTGTAATCCCAGCACTTTGGGAGGTCAAGGTGGGCAGATCACCTGAGGTCAGGAGTTTGAGACCAGCCTGGCCAACATGGTGAAACCTGTCTCTACTACTAATACAAAAATATTAGCTGGACATGGTGGCACATGCCTGTAATCCCAGCTACTTGGGAGGCTGAGGTAGGAGAATCACTTGAACCTGGGAGGTGGATGTAGTAGCGGTGAGCCGAGATTGCACCACTGCACCTCAGCCTGGGAGACAAGAGTGAAACTCCGTCTCAAAAAAAAAAAAAACAAAACAAACAAAAAAAACAATGCAAGACACTGTCCTTTCCACCCCACTAACCTCAAAAGGTATTTCTGGTGACATCGCAAATGGGACTCCCTGAATTCAAGCAACAAATGTCCACAACCTTCTTTGAAACCCCCACTCATCCACAATGTCTTGTCAATGCATTTTTTTTCTCGTCTAATTTCATTCTCTTTTTTTTTTTTGAGACGGAGTCTCGCTCTGTCGCCCAGGCTGGAGTGCAGTGGCGGGATCTCGGCTCACTGCAAGCTCCGCCTCCCGGGTTCACGCCATTCTCCTGCCTCAGCCTCCCAAGTAGCTGGGACTACAGGCGCCCGCCACTACGCCCGGCTAATTTTTTGTATTTTTAGTAGAGACGGGGTTTCACTGTTTTAGCCGGGATGGTCTCGATCTCCTGACCTCGTGATCCGCCCGCCTCGGCCTCCCAAAGTGCTGGGATTACAGGCGTGAGCCACCGCGCCCGGCCTTCATTCTCTTTTTGCTAACATTCAATCATTACCCTCTACTGTGATAGGGAAGTTTCTTGTATCTTTGCACCCCTTTATTCACTCAATAAACTCTTCTCCAGCACCTACCATATCTTAGATACTTGGATATACAAAGACTGCCTAGTCCCTGTCCTCAAGGAGCTTGCAGTTGAATTTTAATGCAGGAAACCAGATTTGTTTTTTTTGAGATGGGGTCTCTCTCTGTCACCAGGCTGGAGTGCAGTGGCACGATCTCAGCTTACTGCAACCTCTGCCTCCCAGGTTCAACCGATTCTCCTGCCTCAGCCTCCTGAGTAGCTGGGACTACAGGCGCACACCACCACACCCGGCTAATTTTTGTATTTTTAGTAGAGAAGGGGTTTCACCATGTTGGCCAGGATGGTCTTGATCTCCTGACGTCAGGTGATCTGCCCGCCTCAGCCTTCCAAAAGTGCTGAGATTATAGCCGTGAACCACCGCGCCTGGCCTAATTTCCAGATTTTTAACACAAGCAAAGTCTAGCCCCGTGGCTGATATAAAGTATTCAATAAATGCTGCTTTCCCTTTTCAGGGCTGCAGTATATGGACACTACAGCAGAACGCTGGAAATTTTTGAAAAACCCTTTCCAGGTGGACAAGGGCACCAGCCAGAGTGGGTGGAGACGGTGGTTTCTATCTTTACTTGGGAATGTCATGATTTGTTTTGGATGCTCCAAATGTCAGGTTGGAGACGCATGCAAAGGAGAGGGGCTTATTCTAACCAGATCAGGCTAGAGGCAGCCCAGGACACTGTCTCCATGGTGCACAGCCCCAGACAGTTTGGAAACAAACAGAAACCCATCCAGAGGCAGGAGACTGACAAAGGCAAACACAAACAAAGGCCAAGAGATGGAAAACTCATGAGGTGGGGCACAGTAGAGAGGAGGGGAGCGGGGAGAGAGACAAGTGGGGGCTGTGGAGGGGGTTTAGAGAGGGGTGTGGTCCTGTTTTTGTGTGAGCTAAATCCAGCCCCAGGGCCTAAGAATCACCATGGCAACGGGATGAATGCTGCTGACTCCATGCCAACACAAGCCTCCTGGGCTTAGCAGAAATGGGCTCAGATGCGATGGGGCCATGTTCTCAAGAAAAATGTCTGAATTGGGCTGTTTAAATCACAAACTCTCCACCCCTCTCCTGGTTTTGTAGGCAATCAGTGTTTAATGAAATGAATTAAACAGAAATGACACAGAACAACTTCCCCTATTCTACCTCTCTCTCATACACTCGTGCACTTACTCCCATAGAGTAAAACTCTTTCCCTTTCTGGTAGAAACTGACAGCTCATGGGATGCTGTGCATTTTCAGAAGCAAGGACCTCACCTGTGAGAGGTCCCCCCTTACAATGGCATTAGTGACAGAGGACAGATGGGGTTGCTTTTCACAAGACCTTAGGCAGCTGGGGGCCCCTATGAGGTGGCTCCAACTAAACCACTTTCACTTTTCCCAGAGCTGCTTGGCCTATGGGATCTCCCTGAGATTTTGGGTCAGTGCTAAATAGAATGTTAAGTCTCGTGTAGGGCTTGTCTCCTTCCTGCCTCTCCATTCCCAGGTACCCAGAGGCCTCACACTATCCCCTAGTACACTAGTCCTGTGCTAACTCATCCATTAGACATAGTAGGCACCGTGCCTAAGGCCCACATTGCAAAAATGTTTTCTTTTAAAATTAGAAGAAAAAAACTTTTAAGAAAAATTAGAAGAAAAAATGGTTTAGTACATAAATATATTCATTTTTATATCAATGCAGTAATAAAATATAATTTTAAATACTTTTATGGAAGAAAGGGGGCCCAGAAAGGCAAAAGTGCCCAGGGCCCATGGAAGTCATAACGTGGCCCTGCCCTAGTCTTCCCTCCTGCCCACTCGAACCCTCTAGACTCCAGAGTTTTCCTTCCCCCATATCAAAACGTACCTGCTATCTCATGTCCCTCCACTAACCCTGGAGCTCCTGGAGGGCAAGACCATTCTTTATGTATCCTCTGTGCCCACAGTCATATCAGGTATTGCGTTACCATTTCTTCTTTTTGCAGGGAGGGGGGTTGGAGGTGGGATGTATGGGGTGGAGCAGAAAACTCAGAAAAAAAAAAAAAAAAAAGAAAAAAAAAAAAGACAGGGCTAGGTTTGAAACAAATGTTGCCGGAATGAGAGGCCCACTCCTCAGCCCTGCTCTGTAGCAGTGAGCTAATGTGACAGCAGAGTCAAGCCAAAGCAGGGGTTCTTCACTTGAGACATATAGCCAGGTCTCGGGGAACAGAATTCCTGGAAACTGCAAAAACTTCCCATCTATGCAGTCTGACTTTGTCCACATCTGCTATACTGAACTCCACTGAAACTGTTCCTGCTGAGTTTGCCAATATCTCCAATCCAGTAAATCCAACAGACACTTCTCAGGTATAACCGTGGTTTCTCAGCACCATTTGACACTGCTCATCTAGCCCTCCTCTTTGGCTTCCATGACACTTGGCTATCTCAGTCGCCTCCTATTTCTCTGGTCACTACTACTGTCTCCTTTGCAGGCTCTCTGCTCTGTTGGGCCCTTAAAAACAAGTAATAATAGTAGCAGCAACTGATACATATCAGTGATTTACTCTGCCCTGGGCACTACATAAGCATCAATCCTCTTAATCCTCAAAGTAATCCTAGATCCGCTCTCCAACCACCAGCTAGAGTGATTTTTCTAAAAACCGTATCTCATCATTTTCTTGCTTAGAACCTTCTAATGGCTTTCCTCTGCCCACGGCTTTTTTTTTTTTTTTTTTGAGATGGAGTCTCGCTCTGTCACCCAGGCTGGAGTGCAGTCGCACAATCTCGGTTCACTGCAAGCTCCGCCTCCTGGTTTCATGCCATTCTCCTGCCTGAGCCTCCCGAGTAGCTGGGACTACAGGCGCCCGCAACCACGCCCGGCTAATTTTTTGTATTTTTAGTAGAGACGGGGTTTCACCGTGTTAGCCAGGACGGTCTCAATCTCCTGACGTCGTGATCCTCCCGTCTCGGCCTCCCAAAGTGCTGGGATTACAGGCGTGAGCCACCGCGCCCGGCCGCCCACAGCTTTTAAAGTCTTTCAAGATCTGGTCCCTGTCTACCTCTCCAGCCTGATTTCTCATCACTGCCTCTTCCTTTATAACCTGCCTGCTTTTAGCTTCTCCAAGAACTTCAGGTCTTTGCATGTGCTGTTCCTACTGCCTGAAACACTTTTCCTCCACCTTTCAGCCTAGAACCAATTCCTCTGGGGGAAGGAGATTGGTTATGTGATTGACGCTGAAATCAGTCTGCCAGGTTCAACTCCCAGCTCTGCCACATCCTAGCAATAAAACCTTGGGCAAGCTATTAAACTCTCTGGCACTGGCTGGACATAGCGGCTCATGCCTGTAATTGGGAAGCTGAGGAAGGTGGATCACTTGCGGTCAGAATTTTGAGACCAGCCTGGCCAACATGGCAAAACCCTGTCTCTACTAAAAATACAAAAATGGCCGGGCATGGTGGCTCACACCTGTAATCCCAGTACTTTGGAAGGCCAAGGTGGGCAGATCACTTGAGGTCAGGAGTTCATGACCAGCCTGGCCAACATGGTAAAACCCCATCTCTACTAAAAACACAAAAATTAGCCAGGTGTGGTGGCATGCGCCTGTAATCCCAGCTACTCAGGAGGCTAAGACAGGAGAATTGCTTGTACCCGGGAGGCAGAGGTTGCAGTGAGCCAGAGGTTGCAATGAGCTGAGATTGCACCACTGCACTCTAGCCTAGGTGACAGAGCGAGACTCCAGCTCAAAAAAAAAATTTAAGAAAGAAATAAAATAAAAATAAAAATACAAAAATGAGCCAGGCATGGTGGTGTGTGCCTGTAATCCCAGCTACAGGGAGGCTAAGGCAGGAAAACTGCTTGAACCCGGGAGGCAGAGGCTGCAGTGAGCCGAGATTGCGTCACTGCACTCCAGCCTGAGTGACAGAGCAAGACTCTGTCTCAAAAAAAAAAAAAAAAAAAAAAAGTAGATAAGGCCTGTTGTGAAAATTAACCAGTATAGTAAGGTGCCTTGCAATGTTACATGTGTCACCTGAGTATTTTCTGACCCTAGACCATGTTAGGACTCCTTGCCAAGTATTTCCCTAAACTTTATAATACCATAAACTCCCAACCTCACTCTTGAAATGTTTGTCCATCTGCCCACCTTGCAGGCTGTCAGCTCTGTGAAAGCAGGGGCTTTCTGACTTTGATCCTGCTCGTATTCCTAGTGCCTGGCATACAGTAGGTACTCACGTTTGTTAAGTCATTAACTAGAAATCCAACACCTCCTAGATATCATATCCTGGTGATATATGCTCTCCAGCAAACAGCTAGTTTGAACAAGGAAGGATGGAAGATAAAGTTTTTAACAACAAGGCATATAGGGCAGACTCACACTAAGGCTAAAAGCACTCACAAAGGCAACTTAAATCATTAAGAAAATATCTTTATTTATTCTGAAATGTTCCAATAATCAATGTAAAAACTGTGGTAGTGGCTCTTTCACAACTTTACAAATTATAGAAAAATGATTTTTCCTCTTCTTTACAGAAATGTCACTCCCAAATCGTACCGGGCCCTATTATGGCTAAAACCCAGCAGGAAGAAGGGAGCAGAGAATACAGCAAGCAGGGCTCCGGCTCTCTGGGTGGCCAGAAGGCTTTTCCTACACATTAAAGCCCAGGCTGAGTCTCAAAGACCTGTGACCCCTCTGAAGGAGGCTCCATCCACATGGATCTGTGGCACACTGGGGCAGGCCTCTGTCTTGAAGGCCAGTAGGCCACAGAAGACCTGAAAGCATGGCACTCGTGGTTGCAGGCCACAGTCAAGGCAGCTTTGTGAGAATGAGAACAGGAGGCGAGCCTATAGCTCAAATCCCTTTCTCTAAAACACAGCCAGAAAAGAGGCTGTGGACACTGGCCAAACAGTGCACTAGGTTTAGAAATTTCCCCTTTTACTCAGCAAAGACTAATTTGTTAAACAGCTATTAAAAAAAAATCAGAAAACAAACATTTGGTTCCATTTCAGCTGTAATCAGCAGTTGGTAATTTTTGGAAAAAGAGCAGTTTTCTCATCTTGAGTTGCTCATTAAGTCTGTATTTTTTATCAGGCCCCTGACTCCTTTCTTTCTCATCCATGGTTTTTTGGGGAGGGGGGCAAGTACAGCTATAGGAGAAGGCTGTTTGTTGATTTGAGAAAACTGTTAAAATGTTTTGCACTCACATACAAAGGCTGATGGAATTCAAAAATGATCCCACTGATTTTTATGAGAAACATGACTGTTCCTCTTGGGTGTCTCAAGTCAAAACAAGGCAACCGCCTAGTGATTTATAGTTCCCACATTTTCCGCCTTCCAGAAGGCATTAGAGAAAGGGCCAACCTCTGCCAGGAGAGATTGTAAACACACCACTGACAGCTTGGACACTTTGTTTTTAAATGCAGCAGGGCTTTTTCCTTTGGCCCTGGCTGAAAAGCCAACTCCCTAGGACAGTTTAAGAAGGAGCAGATGGAAGGACTCCCCTAAAACCTAAGAGTGAGGGACTAGTAGTCCCCGTTGACTGGAGTATGGCTGGGAACATCATCAAAGGCAATGGATACATTTAGGCCATATGAAAATTGTCCTGTGGTCCCCCAACTGGCCCCTAGGCTCAACCTGGCTGGACATGAGGCATAGGAGGTACAGAACAAGTTACCATAAGGCACATAGTTGAGGTAGCCCCCACACCAGGCCCAGAAAGATTATCTTTTCGCACGATTCCAAAAGTGTTGGAAAGCAGAGGAGTTGATGACACTCACTATGAGCAGCAGCAGCAGATACAGGGATATCATGACGGTAAACCAATGGCTGGAAAACCAGGAGAGCTGGCTCGAAGCCCTGCTTAAGAGGGAAAAAAGAGTGGTGTTGGCAAAAAGAGAAAAACATTTTTTTTAAGTGTGTACAACAAGTCTGGCTCTAAGAAGACAAAATGATGAATTTCATCCTTTGCCTGAGCCATGAAATGAAGCTTCGTGCTTCCTTGCTCAAGAAACCTGGGGCTGTTTGCCCAGGCACTGACACGCCTTTCAACAGGATATTTTCTAAATGCGCAAAGACAGCTATGCAATGAGCTCATCCTGATCTTCCCTTTTGTAGCTCCTCTTTTACCATTTACAACCCATCTTGGTATCTATAACAATGACCTAGCTCAGGGTGTCTGCCCAGATGGTGGCAGGTGGCAGGTAATTTAGCTGAAGTCTTTTCACTTTTAGACACATGCAGATATAAATCCAAGCTGGGGAAATCCTCTTTGGCCCACTAGGAGATGATCTAAACCACCCAAGTGTGCACTAAAGAGATGCTCCAGGGAGAAGTGGGAAAGGAATGGAATTTTCAAGGATAAAAAGTTAGATGATTTTAAACCAAAGCATAATGTCACCTGGACCCAGGCACCCTATATACATTTCCCAAATTTGGACAGGGGTCGGGAGGAGACTTTACTGGTTTATGAAGTCTGGAAGCATGGAAACCACTGGTGTGTACAAGCAGGAGTGGGGATTATTTAAAGTGACCCCTTTTCCTGTCATATCTACTTACCTGCTGCTGGCCCCTGCAAGAAGCACCATCATGGATTCCAACAATGCAACAAAATCTCAAGAGTGGCCCCCAACGCTGGTGAGCCCCACACTTACTCCCACACTGCAGAGATGGAACTAGGCATCCACCAAAGCTGATAAGGTCTGAAGGCCCACATCTGCTATTGAGTTCAAGGCCCTCATTTTAGAGATAAAGATGAAGCATCTCAGGTCCAGAGAGGGGCAGTCAGTGGTTCAGCAGCCACTGTGGGAAGCTACTGAGCCAGCCTGTGCACAATCACAACCGGTGTCCAGTCACTGCCCTGCCTCTCAGCTTAACCTCATCGGTGGGTCTCAGACTGCAATCATGGGCCTAATGGCTAAGGGGCCACACTGTTTGCGGCAGCCAATTTGGACTCAGTCAGTCTCTCATGCTATTTGTGTTTACCAATCTTTCTCTCTTCTCACTGGAATACAGTCCTCTTAGGGTCGGGACCACATCTTCTCCAGATCCTATCTCTCACTTCTCACCGTGTCCAGCATGGTGCTTTACATACTTGACATCTAGCGGAGGTCTAAGGCTGGGGGAGGGGAGGCTGATACCTACAACAACTAAGAAAGCCAGCACTCTGAATACAGCCATTAGTTGTTCTCTTGGACCTTACCTCTTGGGTGGCTTCTGTGAATACACCAGGAGGTACTTCACTCGCAGCAGCTGGTTATTGGTGACCACGAAGTACTTGGGAGGGATGTCTCCCCCTTCACTATGTTTGATTCTCGCTCGTCTGCGATCTATCTCCTTGGAATCTGAATAAGGAGAGTAAAACACATCTTCACTGGGGGAAACAGAACTAAGGAAGCACATTATAAATAGAAATAAGTCAAGCCTCCTGGTGCTGAGGGGGAAGAAGGCCTGGCAGGCTGAGGAACAGACCTGTGTGTGCATGAAGCAGCACTGAAAAAAACGGAGAATCTGGCAGGCAAATGGGAGGAGGAAAAAAAGAGTAGGAAAATATAAGGGATACAAGGAAGAAAAAACAAAACTCAACTGAGTGGGGAGAACAGAAGGAAGAAGCAAATTGATGGCCATAGCAAAGAAATACGCTGGGACTGGAAGCTAGGAACAGGACTTGATCTGAAAACGCCTCTTAACAGGCATTTTATATATAAATTTTATATATATTTTATATATAAAATGCCTGTTAAGAGGCGTTTTATATATATACATGTTTTGTTTTTTTTTTGTTTTTTTTGAGATGGAGTCTTGCTTTTTTCGTCCAGGCTGGAGTGCAACAGCGCAGTTTTGGCTTACTACAACCTCTGCCTCCCGGGTTCAAGCAACTCTTGTGCCTCAGCCTCCCAAGTAGCTGGGATTACAGGTGCCTGCCACCATGCCCGGCTAATTTTTGTATTTTTAGTAGAAACGGGGTTTCACCATGTTGGCCAGGCTGATCTCAAACTCCGGACACCTCAGGTGATCAGCCTGCCTCAGCCTCCCAAAGTGCTGGGATTACAGGCATGAGCCACCACACCCGGCCTTAACAGGCATTTTAAATGAACCACTCTGGATTTGAGGTTCTTAGAACATTTATCTTCCACCCTTCGTACCAAGACTTGTTTTAAAACAAACAAACAAAAAACCCTTTTCTTTTAATAGCACAAAAAAGTTCTACAAAAAACTAGGAAGACGAAAGCTGCGTGACAGCAGAAGTTGGAAGGTTTTGTTTTGATGTTTAATGTCACGGTTTGCAAACTTCCTAAGAATTATAAATGCAAATATCCATGCTGTCCGGTTTGGGAGGGTGGTGTCAGACCTGGGCCTGCATCTCAGAATTCCAGTTGTTTTACATTAGAGGCCAGAACAGTCAGTTTTCTGAATTCTCTTGGAACCAACAAGCCAGATCTTTTTTCTTTCTTTTTTTTTTTTTTTTTGGATGGAGTCTCGCTCTGTTGCCCAGGCTAAAATGTAGTGGCATGATGTTGGATTACTGCAACCTCTGCCTCCTGGGATCAAGCGATTCTCATGACTCAGTCTCCCAAGTAGCTGGGACCACAGGCACACGCCACCACACCCGGCTCATTTTTTAATTTTAGTAGAGAAGAGGTTTCACCACGTTGGCCAGGTTGGTCACAAACTTCTGACCTCAGGTGATCCACCCGACTTGGCCTCCCAAAGTGCTGGGATTACAGGCGTGAGCCATACCGCACCTGGCCCCAACAAGCCAGCTCTGGAGACTGGAATGACAGTTCTATGACTGCTCTGCCTTTGAGGAGAGCCACACAATGGTGGGGGGAGACAAGGCAAATAGTCTCAGGGACACAGTAGGGGAGTGGGATGAGGTAGCCAGCTAGTCATCACTCTCTGGAGAGCTCAGGACTCCCCAGCACCTTGGCTGCCCTTCACATCCTGGAGGGATCTGGCACACGCCAGTGTAGATCGGAGGGTCTGGACCCAGCATCCTTTGCTTCATTTAGCAAATATTTATTGAATATCAAGTACATACCAAGGCTTTCTGCCGATACCCGGTGCCCAAGAATGAATGAGATCTCATTCCTACCTTCAAGGAGCCCACGCACTGGCTTCATCACTCACTTTTTAAAAAAATTCAAATCTCTCCTCCTCCCACAAAGCTTTCCCTGGCTGCTTGGACCCACCATGATTACTACTTCCTCTGAGCTGCCTCTGTGGGCCTCGTCAGCCTCCTTACCTGGCACCCCCTACCTACCCCCTTGTAGTGAATGGTCTCCATTGAGTGTTCAATCTCTAAGAAGACTGCTCGCTCCTTGGGCAGGACCCTGTCCGGCACTGCCCTGGATCCAGCCCAACCCTTGGGCATGCAATGGGTGCTCTACCCAACAGCTGGGCCAGCAAGAGCCTGTACACCCAACAGAGGCCTGTAGCCCAGGTCTGGACCAAGTGCTCACTCACCCTTCTTCTTGGTTTGGCACTTGACGTCCGGATGGTCAATGACCTCACACACGGCCACACAGCTAAGGATGGGGCCGAGGAGGCTGTGCTGCCACCCATGGCCATGGGGGCTGTATATGAGGGCCAGGCTCAAGTCACTGGTGAGGTAGGTCCCCTCTCCGAACAAGGATGTCTGCAACAGCAAGGCCAATGGAAAAGAAACACAGATGGTTGAATGTACAGTTGGCACGGCAAGACGACACAGGTCTCTCTTCAAGAGTTGTAAACACAAAATGTACAACCCCCGCTTTTTGCCCCAGCAAGACACAGGATCAAATAATCCTGTGATATCATCACAGGGTTATTACTAAACACATTCCTGCCTGACAACAGTTTAACTGATTGTGGATTTGGCCATCTGGCCTGGCAAACTAGCAGTTCCTTGTGGTCAAGGTTGAGTGAGAAAAACATAGGTATAAGCATCCAAACCAACCTCGGTTTGAATCCTCCAGCAAGTGGCAAGTTATATAAACTCTCTGTGTCTCAGTTTCTAGATCTACAAAATAATGTTACTAGTAGCTCCTTTACAAGGTTGCCAGTGAGGATTAAATGAGGCAATATACATACATAAAAGAGTGGGACATCTGGCACATCTAAATAAATGAGGGGCCAGTACTCCATTGCAGGCCTTTATGTTCTAGTATATAAAGTAATTCCTGTTACATGAATGCAGTAGGCATGGTTACTCTGATGGGCTTCAAATGCAAAGTCACACCCTTAGGTACAGGGAAGGGGTCCCACCTGAGAAGGGAGGTAATCTGAGTCATTACTTGGAAAAGAAATGAGTCTCTCACAAATAAATAAAAACATAAAAATTAAAAATAATAAATAAATTAGAAATTAGTCTCTTAGACCAGAAACTATAACAAAATGAGGGAGGCCGACATGCGGGGCAAGGTACGTTTTACTCTTTGTATTGGGGTTGACCAAGAAAACATCTAAAAATCTAGGCAGCATCTCCCTGGTGGTGCCCTCCATAAGGAAGCATGCCAGGTGAAGGACCTGTAAGTTGAGGCTACAGCAGGCATAGTGAACACATCTTTGCCCATGGTAGATGACCAATAACAAACCACAATTGCCAGCACAGTAATATCAAGCATGGCACTTATTCCTAATGATCCAGAATCCTCAACTTAACATTCCAGGTAGCTGCGACCAATGGATGGACATTGACGCTCAGGTTGAAATTCAACTGCTATCCCTGAGCCACACTATCAGTATCTCAAGATAAGTGGACTTGAATAGCTCACTGAAGAATATCTTATGCTCTGGAATTGAGAAATGTCCTTTTCAGTAGCACCAGGCTTCCAAAATCCTAAATCTGTTAAGTGAAGCTTAGGGGAAATGAAACAGACCTTTGCTTGGCCTTTGGGAAGCTCTTTGCCAAGTTAGGCAGGGTCTCCATCTCTCAAAAGCTGACACAGACCTTCTCCAATGACACTGGATGCCCTCTGATCTGACCCCACATCCATTCTCTGCTTATGCCATCATGTGTTCACCCTTCCTTAGACTTGAGAACCCCATGCAAGGCTGCCATGAGCAGTGGTGTACAAGAGTGGGAAGCTCAGTGTATCTCTGCCATGAAAACAGTATCAGTATCAACTGGCAGATGGACTCCCTCAAGCAAGCCCTTCACTGAAAACCCAGGCAGAGGGGCCATAGGAGGATTGATGTGCTTTACCAAAGGATTTTTGTAAGATGCCTCTAAGCAGCAAACTCCCTGGGGCACTAAAATGAAGGTTTAGTGTACAAGAGTATAATCTGCAGGCAACTTCTCCAGGCCAGCACCAGTGTAAAGGGGAAGCCCCCTGAATTCCAGTAGCCTGGACATAATGGTAAGCTGAGAGCCAGTGGTGGACTGAGAGCCAGTGTAAACAAGCCCGTCATCCTTAGCAAAACCCAACGACATTAACCAGATACACCAGGGAAATATCTCCAGTCTCAGGGCTGCAGCAGCCACAACTGAGCCCATGGCTCATGGAGCCAGCTCCTCACAGACAAGGCAGATACTGCCATGACTGGGGGAAAGGCCTGCAGCTCCTCCAACTACCCTAGATGCCCCTCCATCAGCATATAAAAGCAGCTACCTCTTCCTTGGTACTTAGTACACAAAGAGCCCTTTGCATACATGAACTGTTTTAATTCTCTGACATATAAGAAGGAGGGTAATGGTGTCCTTTTTTACAGATGAAGAACCTGAGGCTCAGAGAGTTTAATTTACTCAGGGCCATAGAGCTGCTAAGTAAGTCTCTGTAGCTCCAGGGTCTGTCTGTAATGCTCCTCCTATACCTGAGGGGTAAAATAAATGCCTGCAGAGAAGTGGATAGATGACTGTTTTGACTCATAAAAATGGGACAAAAGCAGCTCAAGAGGGGAGGGAAAGGACCTCTCCTCGGTGCATCTTGGCATATCCCTCAGTTTCTCCAAGGGCTGATTTCCTGGAGTGTGGTCCCCAAGGAAAGTGCTTCTCAAACTTCAATATGCATACAGATCACCTGGGGACCTTGTTAAAGTGTGGATTCCGATCAGGTGGTCTGCGCCTGAGATTCGCATTTCCAGCGAGCTACCAGGTGATGCAGACGCTGCTGGTCCAGGGAACGCACAGTGGAGCTAGGGTTGGCTACATAGTGGGATCACCTGGAGAGCTTTTAAAGCAACTGATGCCTGTGCTCCACTCGGAGATTCTCATTTAATTGGTCTGGGATGCAGCCAGGCATCTGGGATTTTTTATTATTTATTTATTTTATTTTTTAATTTTTGAGATGGAGTCTCACTCTGTCACCTAGGCTGGAGTGCAATGGCACGATCTCAGCTCACTGCCACCTCTGCCTCCCAGGTTCAAGCAATTCTCCTGCCTCAGCCTCCCGAGTAGCTGGGATTACAGGCACCCACCACCATGCCCGGCTAATTTTTGTATTTTTAGTATGGATGGGGTTTCACCACGTTGGCCAGGCTGGTCTGGAACTCCCTCAGCCTCCCAAAGTCCTGGGATTACAGGCGTGAGCCACTGCGCCAGGCCTGGCATCTGGGATTTTTAAAAGCTCCCCGAGTGATTCTAAATATGCAGCCAAGGTCGGGAACTATCTTTAAATCGACGCTTTTCAAACTATAACCAGTGCAGGAATCACCTAGAGATCTTGTTAAAATGCAGGTTCTGATTCAGAAGGTCTAGAGTGTGCCCAAGATTTTGCATTTTCTTAGGTCTCCAGGTGATGCTGCCACTGCTGGTGTGCAGACCACATTTTGAGTGAGAAGGCGTTAGTAAACCTACCCGACCCCACCTGCAAACTCCTAGGGTTCTGAATCTCCCCCTCCCCACTCTCCCACCTCCATCCCTGCTTCCCCACATCAGCAGGGTGTCCCTTAGGCCCCACCTTGTTCAGATGGCAGTGCAGGCCATTGTGGATAATGGAATGGAAGTTTTCTAGGCGGCTACCATGAAATGCATAGATTAGGTCTCGTTCTCCTTTGGTCTCATAAAATTTGGCGTTGGCTGGGTCAAAGTACTCAATTTCAAACAGGAAGTCCGGTGCAGGAACAGGCGTGTGAGGAGCCCCAGTCAGCTTTTGGATCTTTTCAAACTTGAAAACATGAAGAGCATCAAAATTTTATTTGGGGAGCTGGTAAATGTGCTGCAAAAATAGCCCCCTAAACTCTCAGGCTTAACTCCCATGGACTCTGCTCATGAGAACAACAGGTTTCATGAGGATAGAGACATAAGCAAACTCAGAGCGTATAGCACAAGACTGCTTTCTTTAATAACATTTTTCCCGGTCGGGTGTGGTGGCTCACACCTGTAATCCCAAAACTTTGGGAGGCCGAGGCAGGTGGATCATTTGAGGTCAGGAGTTCGAGACCAGCCTGACCAACATGGTGAAACCCCATCTCTACTAAAAATACAAAATTAGCCGGGTGTGGCAGTGCACACCTTTAGTCCCAGCTACTTAGGAGGCTGAGGCAGAAGAATCACTTGAACCTGGGAGGTGGAGGTTGCAGTGAGCAGAGATCACGTCACTGTACTCCAGACTGGGCAACAAGAGTGAAACTCCATTTAAAAAAATAATAATAATAAATAATAACATTTTTCCCTACAGTAGGCTGAGAAGCATGAATTGCTCCTTCTAAGTGGAGATCACAGGGCTGGGTGCGGTGGCTCACACCTGTAATCCCAGCACTTTGGGCGGCCGAGGCAGGCGGATCATGAGGTCAGGAGATCAAGACCATCCCAGCTAACACGGTGAAACCCCGTCTCTACTAAAAATACAAAAAATTAGCCGGGCGTGGTGGTGGGCGCCTGTAGTCCCAGCTACTCGGGAGGCTGAGGCAGGAGAATGGTGTGAACCCAGGAGGCAGAGCTTGCAGTGAGCCGAGATGGCGCCACTGCACTCCAGCCTGGGCGACAGAGCGAGACTCCGTCTCAAAAAATAAATAAATTAATTAATTAAATAATAATTAAAAAAATAAGTGGAGATCACTTCTAATTTTCCTAACTTTTTTTTTTTTTTTTTTTTTTTTTTTTGAGACAGTCTCGCTCTGTCGCCCAGGCTGGAGTGCAGTGACGCCATCTCAGCTCACTGCAACCTCTGCCCCTCCAGGTTTTTTAAGCAATTCTCTGCCTCAGCCTCCGGAGTAGCTGGGATTACAAGTGCGTGCCACCACCCCTGGCTAATTTTTTTTGTATTTTTAGTAGAGATGGGGTTTCACCATCTTGGCCAGGCTGGTCTTGAACTCCTGACCTCGTGATCCACCCGCCTCAGCCGCCCAAAGTGCTGGGATTACAGGCGTGAGCCACCACGCCCGGCCACTTCCTAACACTTTTACATCTATCTCCTGCATTCCATTTTTACAATCATCTCATGTTTATTGTAAAAATTCCCTCTCATCCTTGTCCATGCACCCCTCTGCAATGTGGTTTTGCAGGTGGGATTCTACCAAGATCCCATCAAAAGATGGAACCTACTTCTCCACCCTTAAGACTGTGCTTGGCCATGTGACCTGCTTTGGCCAACGGGACATTAACATATATATAGCAAACAGAGACTTGAGAAGGGCTTGTCTTTCCTTCTTTGCTGCTGAGAACCCCTCACCATTGTCCTGGCTTGTCTGCTATAGAGTATGAGCCTCACAGAGGAAGGCTTCCAGCATGGTGGCCATCCCAGCTGAAGCCCCAGAAATGTAAGTGAGGCCACCCTAGCTCATCCAGCCAAGCCCAGAACCACCCAACCAACCCACAAAATCATGAGAAGCAATTAGCATTTGTTGCTGTTGTTGTTTTTGAGACAGGATCTGGCTCTGTCGCCCAGGCTGGAGTGCAGTGGTGTGATCCTAGCTCATCGCAGCCTTGAACTCCTGGGTTCGAGCAATCCTCTATCCTCAGTTTCTTGAGTAGCTGGGACTATAGGTGCAACTACTATGTGCACCTAATTCTTAAATTTTTCATAGACAGAGGGTCTTGCTATGTTGCCCAGGCTGGTCTTGAACTCCAGCCTCAAGCAATCCTCCCACCTTGGCCTCCCAAAGTACTAGGATTACAGGCGCAAGCCACTGCCCCCTAGTCCATTTCAGTGGTTTTTTCTTTTTTTTTTGAGATGGAGTCTTAGTCTGTCTCTCAGCCTAGAGTGCAGTGGCACGATCTTGGCTCACTGCAGCCTCCACCTCCCAGGTTCAAGCGATTCTCCTACCTCAGCCTCCCGAGCAGCTGGGATTACAGGCATGTGCCACAATGCCTGGCTAATTTTTGTATTTTTATTAGAGACGAAGCTTCATCATTTTGGCCAGGCTGGTCTTGAACTCCTGGCCTCAAGTGATCCGCCTGCCTTGGCCTCCCAAAGTGCTGGAATTACAGGCGTGAGCTTGTAGAGTTTAGTATTATTTGGAATGGGGACTGTAGACCTGTGAATTTCCTCTCTATAGTGGTTACACCTATAGTCCCAGTTACCCAAGACAAGCCAGGACAATGGGTCACACCTGGCCCATTTTAGTCGGTTTTTTTCTTTCTTTCTTTCTTTCTTTCTTTCTTTTTTTTTTGAGATACAGTCTTGCACTGTTGCCCCGGCTGGAGTGCAGTGGCGGCATCTTGGCTCACTGCAACTTCCGCCTCCCGGCTTCAAGCGATTCTCCTGCCTCAGCCTCCCACGTAGCTGGGATTACAGGCTCCCGCCACCATGCCCAGCTAAGTTTTTGTATTTTTAGTAGAGACGGGGTTCCACTATGTTGGCCAGGCTGGTCTCAAACTCCTGACCTCATGATCCGCCCACCTTAGCCTTCCAAAGTGCTGGGATTACAGGCATGAGCTACCGCACCCAGCCAGTGGTTTTCAAATAGTAGGTCACAGACCAAAGCCAGTCTATGGCAAAGTTTTCTCTGGATTATGACTGAATGAGCAAAATAAGGGCTATATAACAGATATATTGATGTAAGGTTGCCATGTACCTTTCTTTGGAAGAACTGTTCTTCATTCTGAAGTCAAGGCCATCCTCCTTTCTTAGTACTATAATATCCTTTTATAAAATGATGATACATGGTAGGCTAACATACTTACTTGGGCAATACAAAAAGTTGACAATCCTGGGTCCCAATACCCCACAGTTTAAAAGAAATTTAACTGGTCCACAATCAAAAGTCTAGGAGCTATTTATTGCCTTATCTACTTTAGCACCCAACATCTAGTAGGTGCTTGATGCCCATATGAGGTAAGAATAAATGAATGAATAAATTTGAATTCAACACATAACAACAGTGAAACCCAGAGATTCACTAGGAATTAGCCACCCAGCCTGGAACTGAATACAGATCTCCTGACTCCCACCTCCAGGGCTCTTTATGGTATTTTAACATCTAACACAGAAGAATGTCCCTTAGATACCAGAATCCAAGGTACCAAATTCTACGCCACATAGGAAAGATGTGTGTCTTTGGCAGGAGCTTGTAAAATTGATTACTCTTAAATTGAAATGAATTAAGTGATGAACAGTATGGGTAAAGGAAGAGCACCAGAGCAGGAATCAAGTCCTACACCCTGGTCCTTGTTATCCAGCCTGTCCCTGGGAGACCCCAGCCAGGCAAGGTAAACCAAATTATGGAATGTCTGACTTGTGCCAGAAACTGTGCTGGGGGGGTGACACACATTTTATCAGTGCCCCACTTTGAGGTAACTATCAGCATCTCAATTTATAAATGGAAAAAAGGAGGCCCTTTTCGATAGAAATGGGATTTGAACCCAGAGCATGAGGTTTTCCACTCCTTTGAGTTCTGCCTCTCCATCTCCTGATAACTGAACTAGGTCAGAGTTTCTTAAGGTATGGTCAGGGTCACCCTAATCAGAATTACCAGCAGTGCTTGTTAAATAAAGTGAATCCCAACACATACTGAGCCCTTAGTATGTGCCCTTAGGCATTTTCAAAGTGTGAAAATTCATTCAATTCTCATAGTCAGTGCCTGATGGAAGTATACTATTATCATCCCCATTTTATAGATGAGGAAGCGGAGGGACTGAAATGCACCTGGTACCTACTCAAGGTCACACAGCTGAGATGAGACAGAATTCAGCTTTGTACAGCCAGTGGGAAAGCTCCTGGGCCTGACTCCAGACACAGAACTAGAAAGTCTAAAGGTGAGGACCAGGACTCTGCATTCTCAAGCTGCCCAGGTCACTGGTACACAGGGAAGTCTCAGAGCCACTGGATTCAGTGCTGTCCTAGAGCCCTTAGGCCCCTAAAATCTGTGATGCTACGGACCAAAGTCTCACCTCTGCCTTCCCTGCACTGTGGATTGTCAGGACCTTTGAGGATAAAATCCAGCTCACCAGGTCCCAGGCCCGTTTGTGGTTGTCTCCGGAGGACTGGAGAAGTTCTTTCAGGTTAGGTAACTTGCTGGCATCTGCAAGCTGAAGCGACGGAAGAACTTCCATTAGCAAGGATCCCGGACACAGTGATAATCAGGGGCCCTCTAGTGGGAAGGCAGGCAACGTTCACTTGTTGCACGTCTCAAGGGATCTCCTGAGAGGAAATTCACAGGTCTACAATCCCCTTTCCAAATAATACTAAACTTTACAAGCTCTAAAATCTGAAAGGTTTTTTTTTTGGTGGGTTTTTGTTTTGTTTTTGAGACAGGGTCTCACTCTGTCGCCCAGGCTGGAGAGCAGTGGCATGATCTTGGCTCACTGCAGCCTCTGCCTCCTAGGTTCAAGCAATTCTCCCACCTCAGCCTCCCGAGTAGCTGGGACTACAAGCGCACGCCACCACGCCTGGCTACTTTTCATATTTTTTGGTAGAGATGGGGTTTCACCATGTTGGCCAGCCTGGTCTCGAGCTCCTGACCTCAAGTGATCCCCCTGCCTCGGCCTTCCAAAGTGCTGGGATTACAGGCGTGAACCACCATGCCCAGCCTTGGTGGTTTGTTTTTTTTTAAACTCTTTGGGTACCAAACCTGACCTGAGCTGATGTGAGGTTTAATCTTTACCTATCCCCTTCCTGTTAGTATCAGTGCATTCTGCTGCAGGAATATTAACATGCCATGAGTATGGCATGCCACCCACTGGAGGTGTGACTGAATACATGATACATGCACATGTGGGTAAAGCGCTACATTACAAAGCCTTTTCCTTTCTGTGTGAGAATTAGTTAACTTCTGTTAAGTTGTTCCCCTGGAGACTGGATAAAGGTAGTATGACAACTACATACGTAATCAGGCAACACTGCTTAAGGTAAAAATGACCCAGCATGGTACACGGCATCTGGCCTGGGAGGAACTGTAAATGGGGAATGCATAACTTTGGGTTTCCCAGAGTGTGACAATGTTTTGTTGGAACACTGGAAGCTTTGTTGATGACATTCTCATGAGTGAGACCAGCCTCTGAGGAAAATGGAGCTTCACTTAGGCCAGAGCAGTTCCTGCACCCACCCCATGTGGATCTCATCTCTTTACTCCCAAGTTTTCACTTTTGGGGGCAAAGACTAGCTCTTGGACCTCTATGTGGACCACTGCAAGGACTTCCACAGAAACACAGTGCCTAATGCTGTGCTGCTGAAAGCTGTCATCAGTCCTAGAGCCTTTGGATTTAGGCTGATGTCCCGTGGGACCTGTGATAGGACTCAGCCTAGTTGTCATTGCAGCACATTATTTACCATTCTAAAATCAGGAAGAATCGGAATCCTGAAACATATTCAGTGCCAGGATTTCTGATAAGGGACTGGGGACTTGGACTAACAGATAGCAACAAAGTATCTGTAGCTTTTGCTCAGAAGTTATGACTGACTAGAGGTCAAACCTCTCCAGCATGGCATTTAAACACCTCTAGCCTAATCTCAACCCCTTACCATCCCCTCCCCATCACAGACTGGTTCTATTCAGGAGCATGTCTTGTTCCAAGAATACCCCTTCCCCCACCTCTACTACCCAGGCACTTCTGATCCAAGAGACCACTCTCTCCTCTAAGCCCCTAAAGCCCATTGCCCCAGTTCTCCCTTCCAAGTATGGCCAGACACCTGGAGGTCAAGAACTGTCTTGTGTTTTTCCAATTCTCCTCTTTCCTGGATGCAGAGAAACAGCATGAACTGTGGAATCAGATCTCAGTTGGAATCTCTGTTGAGCTTCTATCTCCTCTCCAACAAGGGCACCTCTCTACCTCGCCAAGGGGTTGTCAGGAAGTTTGAAGAAGGTCACAGAATCTCAGGGCTTGGTCTATATATGTCCATTTCTTTTCTTTCCATTTACATTTCTCCCCAGACAACACTGTCCTCCCAAACCCTGGCAACCTTTCCTTCTGCTTTGCAAGGGATGTAGTTGGCACTTCAAGAATACCTGTGTGGTGGCCCGGTGTGGTGGTTCACACCTGTAATCCCAGCACTTTGGGAGGCTGAGGGGGGCGGGTCACGAGGTCAAGAGATTGAGACCATCCTGACCAACATGGTGAAACCCCATCTCTACTGAAAATACAAAAATTAGTTGGGTGTGGTGGCATGTGCCTGTAGTCCCAGCTACTCGGGAGGCCAAGGTAAAAGAATCACTTGAACCCAGGAGGCGGAGGTTGCAGTGAGCCAAGATGGCGCCACTGCACTCTAGCCTGGTGACAGAGAGAGACTCTGTCTCAAAAAAAAAAAAAAAAAAGAATACCTGTGGTTCTTTTCCATTTTTCTAGAAAATTGACTATTACTGACTTTGGGAGTTTTTCTTAGCTCTGTAGTTGAAAATTAGAAACAGAGCCAGGTGTGGGGGCTCATGCCTATAATCCTAGCTACTCAGGAGGCTGGGGTGGATTTCTTAAGGCCAGGAGTTAGAGACCAGCTAGGGAAACACAGTGAGATGGCTCTAAAAATAAATAAATGAAATTAAAAACATCTTAGGGCCACTTTATTTCTATTTCCAGAGATTCAATCAATAGCCTCATATATTGTAATAAAACTATCTCAGGTTGGGTGCAGTGGCTCATGCCTGTAATCCCAGCACTTTGGGAGGCTGGGGTGGGCGGATCACCTGAGGTCGGGAGTTTGAACCAGCCTGACCAGCATGAGAAACCCCATCTCTACTAAAGATACAAAATTAGCCGGGCGTAGTGGCACATGCCTGTAATTCCAGCTACTCGGGAGGCTGAGGCAGGAAAGTCGCTTGAACCCAGGAGGTGGAGGTTGCAGTGAGCCAAGATCATGCCATTGCACTCCAGCCTGGGCAACAATAGCAAAACTCTGTTTCAAAAAAAAAAAAAACAAAAAACACCAACTATCTCTACAGGCCTCATGAGGTATCAGTGAAAATCTAATATTTATTAAAAGAAAAAATTTTTTTGGAGACAGGGTCACGCTCTGTTGCCCAGGCTGGAGTGCAGTGGCACAAACACAGCTCACTGCAGGATCCATCCCACCCCCACCCGAAGTGATTCTCCTGCATAGCTGGGACTATAGGCACATGCCGCCATGCCCAGCTAATTTTTTTTATTTTTAGTAGAGATGAGGTCTTGCTATGCTGCCCAGGCTGGTCTCAAACTCATGAACTCAAGTGATCCTCCTGCCTCAGCCTCCCAAAGTGCTGTGATTACAGGCATGAGCCACCAAGCCCAGCATACTTTTTTTTTTTTTTTTGAAAGTGGATGTGTGAGCCCGGGCATGGTGACTTATGCCTGTAATCCCAGCACTTTGGGAAGCTGAGGTGGGCGGAGCTCTTCAGTTCAGGTGCTCAACACCAGCAGGGGCAACATGGCGAAACCGCATCTCCACAAAACAAAACAAACAAACAACAAAAAAAAATTATCCAGGCGTGGTGGTGTACACCTGTAGTCCCGGCTACTTGGGCTGAGGTGGGAGGATCGCTAGAGCCTGGGAGGTAGAAGATGCAGTGAGCCATGATTGTTCTACTGCACTCCAGCCTGGGTGACAGAGTGAAACCCTGTCTCGAATAAAAAAAAAAAAAAGGATGTGTGGAGTGCAAATGCTCCATGAGTATTGGTGCTATTTCTATGCCTTGCTTACTGTTCCACGCCACCTGCTTCACCCCCAGGCTGCATGGCCTTGCATTATTCAGGGGGCATTTACTAAGCATCTACTTTGTGCCAGGCCCTGTGCTTATAGGAGGAGGCATTAGATTTAAAATGGGCCCCTTAATCAAGTGGGGAGGCAGAAAGGTAAATAATAATGACTTAAAAGTATTCATTGTCGCCAGGCGTGGTGGCTCACGCTTGTAATCCCAGCACTTTGGGAGGCCGAGGCAGGCGGATCACCTGAGCTCAGGAGTTCAAGATCAGCCTGGCCAACATGGCAAAACACCATCTCTACTAAAAATATAAAAGTTAGATGGGCGTGGTGGCAGGCACCTGAATCCCAGCTACTCTGGAGACTGAGGCAGGAGAATCCCTTGAACTCCAGAGGCAGAGGTTGCAGTGAGCCAGTGAGCCATCACTGCACTCCAGCCTGGGTGACACAGCGAGACCCTGTCTCAAAAAAAAAAAAGCAGCATTCACTGTCGTAACAAAGTTGGATACAAACTACTAAGAGGACAAGGTGGGACTCCTGTTGCGTAGGGGCTAAAGGAAAAGGGGGTGGGGTTGGGACCAGCTTCACAGAGGAGGTACTGTATGATCTGGGTTTGCTATATGAAACCACAGAAGTATAAAAGCGCAGCATGTAGCTGGGGAAGTGGGTGGTGGCATGGTTAATTGTGCAGTTCTCCCAGGCATCTGGGGCTCTATTCCTCTACTAGCTGTGTGACCTTTAGTGAGATGTTTGACTTCCTGTGTCTCAGCTTTCTCAAATACATAATTGGGATAATATCAGTAGCTACTTCATAGGGTCCCGGTGGAGATTAATCAAGTTAAACAAGTGCTCAAACCAACAGGAAAGTATTAAGTACTCTAATGTTAGTGTGACTGCCATGACTGTCATCATTAACAACAGGTAATTCTGTGTGGCTGGAACCTAGAGTGTGGGGAAGTGGCTGCCAAGAGGAAGAGTGGGAAGGTGACCTCAAGTGAGGTCATCTCAAATGATCCTGTGAAGGACCCTGTACTCCACTTGGGAACCCCAAGCTTTGTTCTGTAGGTTATACAGAGTCACTGAAGACATATCCCAAATGGTGTACCCTCAGGTAGCTTACCCATACAGGACTGCTGCCTGCACAGTCCAAAGGGCACTCATCCCCCTTCCTTCTTTTCTATTCCTTGTTATCTCAGAGCCAGAGCTGAGTCATCTTCTCTCCAAAGATTACTACTATTCCCATCACTCGTGTCCTCAAATCCCACCTGTGAGTCACAGCCCTTGTCAACAGTCCATATCTAGGCCCAGAGAGCCCCACAAAAGGACAGTCAGCTAGCCAGGTGCCTTTCAGGGACTCAGTCTGGACAAAGGGGAGAGATGCCTCCTAGCTCCAAGCTGGACCCAGGCCTCTTCCCGGCCCTCCTACTGCATCTGCCCAGACAGGGTCCCTGCTGCATCCTGCCCTCCTTGCTCCCCACCATCTGTCCACACTCTTTAATTCCTCAACTGACCTTCTTTATGTCCCATTTCACTTTGCGTGTTACTCTGAAAAATAAATCTGCTTCAACAATTTAATAGGATTCTTCCTCTTGTGACTAAAACCTGTCTGCATTTTAGCAGGGCCTTTTGGGAACCAGGCACACAAGTAGGGTTGCCATTTAAAATACGCTCTGCCCGGTTAAATTTGAATTTCAGATAAACAACAACAACAACAAAAGACCCATTTTGTTTTTTTTAAAGACGGGATGGGGTCTCACTCTGTCACCCAGGCTGGAGTGCAGTGGCAAGATCACAGCTCACAGCAGCCTTGACCTTCCAGGCTCAAGCAATCCTCCCACCTCAGCCTCCAGAGTAGCTGGGACTAAAGGTATGTGACATCATGCCCAGCTAATTTTTTGTACAGACAGGGTTCCACCATGTTGTCCAGGCTGGTCTCAAAACTCCCGGGCTCATGCAATCCACCAGCCTCAGCCTCACAAAGTGCTGGGATTACAGGCATGAGCCCCTGTGTTCAGCCAACAAATTTTTTTTAGTATAAATAACCCATGCAATATTTGGGACATATTCATACTTAAAATCCCAGCACTTTGGGAGGTTGAGGTGGGTGGATCACCTAAGGTTAGGACTTTGAGACCAGCCTGGTCAACATGGTGAAACCCTGTCTTTACTAAAAATACAAAAAATTAGCCAGGCATGGTGGCGGACACCTTTAGTCCCAGCTACTTGGGAGGCTGAGGCAGGAGAATCGCTTGAACCGGGGATGTGGATGTCGCAGTGAACCGAGATCACGCCACTGCACTCCAACCTGGGCAACAAGAGTCAAACTTCATCTAAAAAAAAAAAAAAAATTATTGGTTGCTCATCTTAAATTCAAATTTAACTAGGTGGCCTATATTTTTATTTGCTAAATCTAATAATCTTACCCTTAATAAGGCACTTAGGAATCCAGTCTGGCCTCTTTGCTTAACAGTACCTCCTGCCACTAACTCCCTCCCCACCCCCAATGCTATTCCTCATGTGACCTATGGTTTTCTTCCTCTGTGCTTCTGTGGCTGCCTACCATGACATCCCACTGAGTCTTCAAGGTCAGCAGTCACCTCCCACGTGAAGCCTTCCCTGACCACCTACAACCTCTGTACTCAATAATTGTATTCTATTGTGTTCAGCAATACAGCAGAGCCCCATGTTGGTACCTGACCCTCTGGGGCCAACTCATATCTGGTTGGGACAAACACTCCCTGAGGCCAACCACATCTTACTTACCCTGGATCCCCATGCCAGCCTGGAACCTGGCATGAAGTTAAGAACAAAAGAGTAATAGCTACTATTAATTTGAACCCTTACAGGTGCCAGCCACCAGAATAAATGCTTTGCATGAATTTATTGTTATCTCATGTTATTCTCATAACCTGTTTTGAAGATGAGGAAACTGAGGCTTGGAGATGCTCAGCACCTTGCCTAGGGGCACACAGCTATTCAGTGGCAGGGTGGGGATATGAAGCCAGGTGGCCCGACTCCAGAGTCTATTCTCCTGCCATACACTCCTACCAAATGAATGGAGAAATTTAGTGGTGGACTGAATATTTTAGCCCAAAGGAACAATTCTGGCAGAATTTTTAAGAGACTGCTTTGGGAAGCTAATCAGGTATGATATTGGAATTCCCCCCAATCCCAAAATAATACAACTGAGACAGCTACTGGCTGTGCCTAAGCCAAAGGTAGGGAGAAAGATGTATGTAATATGCAGTATAGGGGTATGTGGAAGAAATCACCATCTAGGCAAGCATTCTGAATCACACATCAGTACATGGCAGTGGAAGGCATTTGCCAACTGGATCCAGGAGAATAATTATCCAAGAGGAAGGCAGGTATTTCCAGGGATGGGGAGGGTTTCCCACTCCAGGTGGGAAAGAGCACGGCAGATGGGCAGAGAAGTGAGCAGAGTGTGTCCCAAAAAGTGCTCCTCCTGGGCTCAAATGTCCCCCAGGGCCCGAGAGGTAAAGAAAATGAGTAACGGGAGCCCGGGAAAGAGTTGTGAAGACTGTGTTGAACTGGTGACTCCGGCCTCCATTAGTCGTCTAAGGCCAACCAACCCTGAGCTCCAACTGCTTCCTGCCCTAGGGCAACCTCCACCAAAGGTGGTAAGGCCTCAGATTTTTGTTTCAAAAAGAAATCAACAAGCTGTCTTTTTAATTTCCCAGTTTCCGAAAAGCTAGAGGACAAACAAAACCCGTCAGCTCACAGGCAACACATCTGCAGCCTCTGCTGTGGGGACTAAGGAAGGATATAGCTGGAGAGATAGCTGGGGGAATCTGAATGGTGAGCAGAGCTGAGAGCCTCAGGGGTTTGGGAAGAGAAGCCTCTTAGGAAAGAGGTACTTTGGGTGAATAGGCCTCACAGAGGAAAGAGAGGACCAATGAGCTACAAGGAAGCAACTCAACCTCCTTGCTTGGAGCAGGAGCAATCACTTAGATCACAAGCTCCTGGGGAGGAGGTGGCCCAGGAATCTGTGATTACAGATGTGGGTACAAGTGATTCTTATCATCAGGAAAAGCTGGAGATACTCAGGTTTAGATCTTAGACAATGTTGTCCTAGAAAGGTGCGGCAGCAGGAAAGAACAAACATCTGAAAAACATACTTGTCTAGGAAAGTGTCAGAGGTCACAGTTACTAGATGTGGGTGGAGGTGCTGAGAAGGAAATGAACCAAAGGTCTGCCAAGGTCACCATTTTTGGGACCACAGTGACACCCAGAACAGTGGGGCAGGGGCGATGAGTGGAGCTAGAAGGCTGCTGAAATGAAGGCTGAAGAGGTGGACACCACAGGTACAATTTGCTTTGCACAAACCTACAGTATGAAAGGCCAGATTTGCCAAAACAGATTAGGGATCAGAGTCTACAAAAGAACTCTTCACAGGAGGAGCCAGCATGGGGACCCTAAAGGGTTCTCCTAGGAAGTAGGGGTTCTCCTAGGAACTTTTAAAAGTCCTAGTGCCTGGGAGCAAGAGTGGTGTGCCATCACCACGTCCAGTGATTAGCTGATGGTGATGAAGATAATACTAAAACCTACAACCCTGAGTTGTTAGGAGGATTAAATGAGCTACGTGTAGTAACAGCTCAAGACAGCGCCACACAAACAGTAAGTGCTATTAGTGTGGTACAGGTGTTGGTTGCTATATTATTATTATCAATCAAATACCCTCTCTCTGCTGCTCACCAATCTGCTGAGGAAAGGTCTGCATTTCTGGGATCGTTGGAAGGAAAGAGATGGCTGGTCCTGGAGGGATGGATCCCACCCCTTCACCCTCCATATCACCATCCCATTAGCTGATATCTTTCTAGACACATACCTACCCACTGACAGTCACATAATATTATATGTATCTATGTCTGTATCCATATATTTTCAGACCTGTGTACTTTTTCTCCTCCACTGTTCAGATGCCATCTTTGAGAGGAGCAGAGAAATAAAAAGGTAATCTGAGAGATCAAGAATCTTACCTTGAGATATCAAGTATAGACCTAATAGGCACTTTTATTATTAACAAATCTAATTGTTATCATTTCCTCACCATCCAGCAGGTATGGGTGCTCATGAAAATGATCAAATCAGTTACTAGAAAAATAGAAAAGCTACATATTATCTGTAAGGAAACAAACAAAAAATCTCAATGCCAAGGCTGCACTTTAAACCAATCAAATGAGAATCTCTGAGGATGGGGCTCAGACGTCAGGGTTTTTTTTTTTCCTTAGTTTCCCACGTGATTTCAATGACAACCAAGGTTGAGAGGCTTGTAAAGAATGATCTTTCCAAACCGGGCTCAATGACACAACTCCTGCTTGAGACCAGGAGTTTGTAGACCAGCTAGGCAACATAGCGAGACTCCTGCCTTTTTTCTTTTAATCCAATAATAATAATAATAACGATCTTCCCCAGTTAATGTCAATATTCAATTTCCAATATGGAAATAAGCATCGAAAGCCTTCCTTAGAAAGGTTAGCCATGAGCCAGGTGTGGTGGTTCACGCCTGTAATCCCAGCATTTTGGAAGGTTGAGACAGGCGGATTGCTTGACTCCAGGAGTTTGAGACCAGCCTGGGCAACATGGTGAAACCCCATCTCTACTAAAAATACAAAAATTAGCCAGGCTTAGTGGTATGTGCGTGGAGTCCCAGCTACACGGGAGGCTGACGTAGGAGGATCGCTTGAGCCCGGGAGGCAGAGGTTGCACTGAGCCAAGATCACGCCACTGCACTCCAAACTGGGCAACAGAGCAAGAACTCGTCTCAAAAAAAAAAAAAAAAAAAATTAGCCATGGACCAGCAATTTCACCTCTCAGAATGTATCCAAGAAGACAACAACAGATATAAACAATGATTAATGTAGAAGGATGTTTATCAAAGTATTATTTATAAAAGCAAAATTTTAAAATTATAAAGAAACCCAAAAGAAGGACTCCTAACTGCTAGGGAGTGGAGGCACAGAATAAGGTGGAAATTTCACGTGTATCTTAAAGGATGAGAGGGAGTTTGCTTCAACAAAGATGGAAATGGCATCAGGAGGGCTCAGGACAGAGAGGAGCTTATATGCGCTTTAACCCAGACACTGGGGAGTCATGGTGTCTAGACAGTGCAAGCCAGAAACCAGAAAGAGGGAGGAAAAAAAAGAGAAAGACTCCTTACTCCTCCAGGACCAGGAGGCCCAATTAGAGCAGTTTGGCACCCCAAATGAGAACAGGGTAAGCTTCATGCAGTGCTTTTCAGACTTCACTATGTGTACAAATTGCCCAGATTTGTTAAAATGCAGATCCTGACTGGATAGGTCTGAGGCAGGACCTGCTTTTCTAATGAGCACCCAGGTGAGGCTCATGTTGCTGGTCCTCAACCACACTAAGCAGCGAGGGCCTGGAGCTAACACAAAGAAGCCATTCCCACACACTTCCCACCCCCAGAAAGGGTCTACAGGCTAATGGAGAACCAGAACATGCTATTTCGGGAGGGAAAACAGAACAAAAAACTGTACAGCTGCGACTGTGTCAAGTGACAAACCTGAAGTTCGGAGGCCAATGGTTAAGGGGTACAGGGAATCCCAAGAATGTTACAGGTTCTCTCATCCAACCCTGGTCCCAAAAAGCAAGGTGAGAAATCCTGAGCCTGGGTATTCAGCACACGCACAATGTGATTCCTCAAACATTTGATAAGTACTTCCCAGGCCAGGCACTGGAAATACCAAGAGCTCCCAGTGTAAAATCAGAGAGCTGGCCAGGCACGGTGGCTCATGCCTGTAATCCCAGCAGTTTGGGAGGCCGAGGAGGGCGAATCACCTGAGGTCAGGAGTTCAAAACCAGCCTTGACCAACATGGTGAAACCCTATCTCTACTAAAAATACAAAAATTAGCTGGGCGTCATGGCATCTGCCTGTAATCCCAACTACTAGGGAGACTGAGGCAGGAGAATCGCTTGAACCCAGGAGGCAGAGGTTGCAGTGAGCCGAGACCGCGCCATTGCACTCCAGCCTGGGCAACAAGAGGGAAACTCCATCTCAAAAAAAAAAAAAAAATCAGAGAGCTTATCAGCACGAAAATGGTCTCAAAACAAGACACCTCAGGGATAATTTGGGACTTTGAGGACAGTGGTAAGATAAGGCTAGATCAGACCTAAAGCCAAGAGCTTGGTTCAGCAGTGGGGAGTTCTCAGGAAATCACCAATCAATAAAGTAATTTAAGGCACAGGTCTAATTTTTGGAAACTGCAACCCTTGTGTTATAGGTGTGTAATAACACCTCACAGTGTGGACAAAGATTTAAATGACTGAAAATGGTAAACTTTCACATTACTTCCTAGTGCTTTTAGCTGAACAAATGAAAGTGAGAGACTTTTTTTGAGACAGGGTCCCACTTTGTCACCCAGAATGGAGTGCAGTGGCACAATCACGGCCCACTACAGCCTTGACCTCCTGGTTCAGGTGAACCTCCGACCTCAGCCTCCCAAGTAGCTGGGACTACAGGCGTGCACCACCACACAGGCTAATTTTTTGTAATCTTTTTATAAAGACAGGGTTTCGCCATGTTGCCCAGGCTGCTTTCAAACTCCTGGACTCAAATGACCCGCCCCAGCCTCCCAGAGGGCTGGGATTACAGGTGTGAACCACCGTGCCCAGCCAAGAGACTTTTTAACAGCTCCATACTTTCCTTCTTCAGGTAACTACAAAATGATCTAGCCAGTCCATTCCAGACCTGATTCCCTTTTCTTTAAAAGTTAGACTTTGATTCAGATACAGATCCAGATGCCCAGTTCTCTGCATCATTTCAGTAACTCATGTGACGTGGCAAAACGAGGCCTAAAGTGTGTGTTTATCTAAGAATGTATGCATGTCCCCAGAAATGGTGCCAGGCCCCACCTGTGAGCAGTCTTGCTGCTGACGGCCATGCCTACAGACAGCCAAGAATCTATGTAGTCTGGGCTATTTTCCTCAACAATGGTGCCCTATAAGGAATATGGCAACAGAAATGGATGGTAAGAATGCGTGTTTCTCCAGTAGCCCTCAAGAGAAAGGGTAACTATCTGGGACTGGTACAATAAACCCCATGGGAGGGGCAGTCTGTCTCTATAGAGGAGGTGGCTTTTTGGGGCAACCTACGTTGCTGATGCTCTCTTAAGGGATTACAAGTGGGGCAAGGGAGAAGGGGGAGGATGGGCCCCAAACAGAGCAATTGATACCTTTGCAGAGGGGTGAGGGATAGAGTGAGATCTATCAGGGGCACTTTTACTTTACTGGTATCATTTGAATTTTTTATAATGAGAATATATTCAAACATTACCTGCATAATTAAAAATAAATTTTAAAAAGCATGATCAAAACAACTCCACAAGCCCCTTTGCATGTATCCCATATTCACCAAACAAACCTGATTGCATTCGCCAAGACCTTCCAGCAGAAAGAAAATAAGTTCCAGATTCTAGTCCACTTAGAGATATGTTTCTTGGTAAAAATTAAAGCTGCACTGTGGCCAAGTGCAGTGGCTCAAGCCTGTAATCCCAGCACTTTGGAAGGCTGAGGTGGGAGAATTGCTTGCGCCCAGGAGTTCAAGACCAGTCTGGACAACGTTGTGAGACCCCATCTCAATTTTTTTTTTTAAAAAAAGCTGCATTGTGAGTTTGATCCCTCTGACCCCAAACACTCCTCCCAAACAGGTCCCTCTCTCACCCTGCCACCACAGGTGTCTTTCTGGATCTCACCTCTATACCCTCCCCTGCCCAAGGATAAAAATCTCCACAACTTAGCAGGGCATGTGTAGCCTTGCATGCTCCATAGGCTGGCCTCATCTCTTCCTGTTCCCCACAACAGTCACACTAAATCACAGTCTTGTCCTTCTCTGTAAGCTCACACCTCCTGGCTGACCATCCTGCTACTCCTCCTGGAATACTCTTTCCCTCTTCTCTGCTCTTGAAGTTCTGCCTTGGGACTTGGCAAGGCATCAGCCTCCACCCCTAGATGGTGTTCCCTGAGCCTGGCCCAAAGCTGAGAGCTAGGGGGTGTCCTTGCTCTGGGCTTCCATGTTGTACGGCGCTTACCTAGTATGAGAGGTTAACACTGTTAACCTCTCCACGGGTTAATCCTGTATCCTTAGCACCTGTCCCATAGCAAACACTCCATAAGTATCTGTTGCCAAAACTGAATGAAGTTTCGTACCCAAGGTCCTGATACACCACACTCAGAAAATTGAGTATCTGAACCTGCAAGAACAAATCTCGAGGGAAGTCAGTCAATTTGCCTCTTTCTCCAACCTCCCACTTCCGGTACCCTGAAACGCCTGTGCACTGTGGTCACCACTTGAGATGCCCTCGACACATCATTAGGTGGGCTACCAGGACCAGGTTGGGCCAAGAGGCTCAGCCTTTGTCCCTCAACCTCCTAGGAATGATAGCAAAGGAGGAACCAAACACTGATGATTTCATCAGAGATAACGCTAAACACGTGTTGATTCTAAATACCTCCTTTAATCTATCAATGTGGTTCGTGCCATTAACTGATTGCCTAATATTGAACTAATTTTGCATTCCTGGGATGAACCCAACCTGGTCATAAGGAATTACCCTTTTTTATACATTGCTAGCTTTAAGATCCTAATACCTTGAAGATAATTTTTGCATTCATACTCATGACATTGGCCTATAATTTTCTTTCCTCTTTTTTTTTTTTTTTTTTTTTTTTTGAGACAGTCTTGCTCTGTTGCCCAGGCTGGAGTGCAGTGGGGCGATCTCGGCTCACTGCTACCTCTGCCTCCCAGGTCCCAGTTCAAGCAATTCTCCTGCCTCAGCCTCCTGAGTAGCTGGGATTACCAGCATGCACCACCATAATGGTGAGACAGGGTTTTACCATATTGTCCAGGCTGGTCTTGAACTCCTGACCTCGTGATCCACCCGCCTCAGCCTCCCAAAGTGCTGGGATTACAGGTGTGAGCCACCGCACTCGGCCTATAATTTTCTTTTTTTGTATCACCCTTATCAGATTTAGGGTCAAGGTTATGCTAGCCTCTTTTTTAATACTCTGTGTAAAACTGGGAATTACTTATTCCCTCAGTGATTGCTACAACTCACCAATGACACCAGCTACGTCCAGAGTTTTCTTTGAGGGAAAATCCTTGACTACTAATCCAACGTCTTTTTTTTTTTTTTTTTTTTTTTTGAGAGAGAGACTTGCTGTGTTGCCCAGGCTGGAGGGCAGTGGTGTGATTACAGCTCATTGCAGCCTCGACCTCTTGGACTCAAGCCATCCTCCCGCCTCAGCCTCCCAAGTAGCTGGGACTACAGGCGTGCATCACCACACTCAGCTAATTTAAAGAAATCTTTTTTGCCTAGGCTGGTCTCAAACGATCCTCTTGCCTTGCCTTCCCAAAGTCCTTGGGATTACAGGCATGAGCCACTCAGCCTTTTTCTTCTTTTTCTACAATAGTCTAGAAAAGTTCGCCCAATAACCTGGCACCCTCCAGGTTTTTTTTTTTTTTTTAATGGAGTTTCATTCTTGTTGCCCAGGCTGGACTGCAATGGCGCAATCTCGGCTCACCACAACGTCCGCCTCCCGGGTTCAAGCGATTCTCCTGTCTCAGCTTCCAGAGTAGCTGGGATTACAGGCATGCGCCACCACGCCCGGCTAACTTTTTGTATTTTTAATAGAGACGGGATTTCTCCATGTTGGTCAGGTTGGTCTTGAACTCCCAACCTCAGGTAATCTGCCCGCCTTGGCCTCCCAAAGTGCTGGGATTACAAGCATGAGCCACCGAGCCTGGCCCCTCCAAGTTTTTAACAGTGAAGAATGTTACTTGTGCAAGTCAGAATCTGATACCAATTAAATGGTGACAGCTTTGCTGGTAAACAAGAATATGCTCTTCCATGGCAAGGAAGGGAGACTGCCACACTTGACAGGTCCCAAAGATACATGGAGTTCAGTGTCTTTAATGAATATCAGCTATTGGCGATTTCAATTTTCTGCTTTTTATTGAATCGATTTTGGTAAGTTATATTTTTCTAGGCAATTCCAAACATTTGGATTATAAGGATAACTGATATCTTGAATGCTGACCCAGAGGTGAACTCTGCAAAAAAAGTGCCTGGTGAATCAGAGAAATAACAGCTTACATATGTACTGGATGTTACAGTTTATAAAAGTACTGCCCATAGATCACCTCATCTGAAGACCAATGTCTGGGCGGCTTTGGTGACTTTTTGGTGTCTAATTATTTGCAAAAGGATGGATAACTTTCTAGCTAAGCAAAACAGCTGATTCACATCAACCCTATTCCTGGCCAGGCTAGAAAATCTGTGGAGGACTATGCAACTATTCCTCACTTCAGTCCTCGGAGTCATTTGTCATTGACAGGAGAGAAGCAGCCACCAAGTGCCTTGGGAGTGAGCGTTGACATGAGGGTGTTAGCAGTGTTCTTAGCTCATGGAAACCTTCCCCAAGGCAAGGCAAGACCAAGCTGGGAATGGAAAGTCTGGCGGCTGTCATGTTTACTAATGCGGATGGAACTGCCTCTACCTGTGGTTCCACAGGGCACTTGGTCCAGGACGCAGTGGGCAGCGCCAGGACAAAGCACACTCACCAGGGCTTCAAAGTCCTTACAGTCGCCGCGGGCGTAGGACGCGGGGAAGGGCCGCAGCACCGAGTCGCGCTTGTAGCTCTGCAGGGCCGAGGCGAAGAGGCTGCACCGGAGGTCGGCGGCCAGCATGTCGCGGCCCGCCGCCTCCCTGGCGGCCGCCCAGCCTGAGGGCTGCATCCCAGGTCACTGCGCGTTGCCGGGGTAGACGCGCTGGTTAGGGGCAAGGGCGAGCGTGCGTTCAGCGCGGGGGCTGGGCCCGCGGACAATGGGCCGTCAGGGGCCGGGTTCCCAAGCCTGGGGTGGAGCTAGGCAGGGGGCTGAGATGACAGGGGTGAGAACGTGCCGACAAGTGTCCTCTGCCGGGGTCTGGGCCGCGGCTCGCCGCCGAAGAGAGAGACCGAGGCCTGGACCGCGGGTCGGCGGGGAGGTTGGGCCCAGGGATAAAGGAACTGGGGCTGGTGGGGGGGAGGGGTTCCCGGCCTAGGGGAAGGGCTATGACAATGGAATGACAACCGCGGGAACGTGCTGACACGTGTCCTCCGCGGAGGCCTGGGGCGGGAAGCAGCCCCCGGGGGACGGCGGGCAGAGCCCACTCTCCGCGACGGGCGAGGCTGCTGCGCCGCGCGCGCCTTCCTGCCCCGCCTCCCGCCGCGCCGCCGAAGTCCCGCCTCTCGCCAAGCTGCCCGCGGCGCCACCTGTCTTCCGCCTGCAGCTCACGTCCGCTTGCCTTGCCCGGCCTACCTCCCCTCCCGCCGCCGCGCTCCGCCCGGCCCAGCCGAGGGCCCGCCCCTTCGCGCCCCAGCCAGCTCCACCGTACGGGTTGTGCCCGCCCCTCCCAGACCCCGATCACCCGCAGCTACGAGAGTTGCCGCCGCCAGTGTGTGCCGGGCGACGTCGCCCACGCCCCTGCCAGCCATCCTCACAGCAGCAGCAGCCCTGGTAGAAATTGATGTGGGCACCCTCTCGACCCGCCCCTGTACTTGTCTTTGTCCCAGCTCTGCGGACTGAGCCTACCTCTCTTCCTTGGGGTATTAATGCTACCTATTGTCTCTCTTGAATCTTTTCCCTCCAAAACTGCACAGAAGGAGCCATTTAACACCCAGGGAAACTGAGGCTTAGAGTGCTGCAATGCTTGCCCAAGATCCCACAGCCAGATGGGTAAATCTAGGATTCACACCGAGATCTTTGGAAAACCAAAAGACTTTTCCTCTGCTTTTCAGCCTCCAGAATTCTCTGAATTGCTTAAGTCTCTGGCCTCAAATGCCCCAAGATCCTCCTTGGGAGACCTCTCTGACAGGGAGCTTGGGGGAGAGCAGAGGGGCATTGACTTAACTCTGCTGGAGGGTAAGGACTAGACTCCCATCCCCTCTCCCTACTCAGAACCTTCATTAGAGAAAACCCCAAAGTGTGACCTCATGGTCACATGCAAATCTAAACACAGACCATTGTGCTTAAACCAACACACCGCACACACTCCTACCCTGCAGGATCTTCTGAGGAAGAAACTTCTCCTTCTGCATCCAGGCTGTGCTGGGCCCTGGACTCAGAGGAGAGGTGGTCCCATGCCATTGGATTGCATCTATGACTTCGGGAGGTAGGGCGAAGACTGGTCCCCCAGACACCACAGAGCTTCCCATCTTCTTTTGCCAGGTAAAGGTTGGGGGCTGCTCCCAGGAGCCCACATCAAATCTGTTTGCTCTGAGGCCTAGAACCACAAGGCCCCTAGTGCTTCAAAAGCCATGGGGGTTCTCATAGGACCCAGGAACTCTAAGGTGGCTTCTGAAGCTCAGACCCCAGGAAGGGAGAGCTTGGAGTGGGTCAGGAGACCAGGGAACCATCTCTCATTCCACCTCTTCTTCATTGCAGGCCCTTAGACAAAAGCCACCCTCTGATACCTCCTTGGCCTCAAGAATTGTTTGTTGGGTGGATATATAAAATTTGCTTATCTGAAGATATTTGTCACATATGATATGAGAATCATAGTGATAATATTCACATCACAGGGTGGTGTGGAAGGGCCTCTGATGGCCAGCATTCTCATGACTTAGCTCATGCAGAATATTAGAATTCTTTTTAATTCTTGTCAATTCCATAGACACAAAGTTGAATTTCATTATAGTTTTAATTTGCATTTACTTGATAGTGAAACTGAATGTTCTTATGTTTACTTTATTCTTCTAGATTTTATCAGAATTTGCTAAGGTGGTCTCAGAACCACATTTCTTGTGGAGGGGTTTCAGCCCTGCTTATATAAATTTGATATAATCCACAGACCATACAATTCACCCATTTAAAGTGTACAATTTAATAGTTTTTAGTACATTCACAGATATGTGAAACTGTCACAATCAATTTTAGAATATTTTTATCACCTCAGAAAGGAACTCTCTACACCTAGTCTATCAATGCTCTACCCACCCTACCATGTCGCCCACTCCTAAGCAATCACCAACATGTTTGTTTTTTGTTTAAGAGACTGGGCCTCACTGTTACCTCGGCTAGAGCACAGTGGCTATTCACAAGCATGATCATAGCACATTGCAGCCTAGAACTTCTGGCCTCAAATGATCCTCCCGGCTCAGCCTCCAGAGTACCTCAGACTACAGGCTCACACCACCACACCTGGCTTAGAGAACACATTTTGTTTACTCCTGTCCTTTTAAATTCATTGAGGTTTGTCTATTGCCTAGCATATGGCCTATCCTGGAGAATGTTTCATGTGAATGTATATATTCTGCTGCTGTTAGGTCAAGTGTTCTATGGATGTCTGTTAGGTCTAGTTGATTTATATTGTTTTCAAATCTTAGATTTCCTTGTTGATCTTCTGTTTATTCTATTCATTATTGAAAGTGGGGACCAGGCACGTGGCTCACACCTGTAATCCCAGCACTTTGGGAGGCCGAAGTGGGCAAATCACCTGAGGTCAGGAGTTCGAGACCAGCCTGGCCACTATGGTTAAACCCTGTCTCTAATAAAGATACAAAAATTAGCCAGGCATAGTGGCACGTGCCTGTAGCCCCAGCTACTCGGGAGGTTGAAGCCCGAGAACTGTTTGAACCTGGGAGGCGGAGGTTGCAGTGAGTTGAGATCATGCCACTACACTCCAGCTTGGGTGACAGAGTAAGATTTCATCTCCCAAAAAAAAAAAAAAAAAAAAAAAAAAAATCACTGACAGGAAAGATATCCACCTGAACAGGTTTTTAATGCCGATGAACATGCCCTATTCTGAAAGAAGATGCCACAAAAGACACTTATTAGTAAGGAAGAAAATCGAGCACCAGGATTTAAGGCAGAAAGGGATAGGCTGACTATTGTTCTGTGCAAATTTGGTCAGGTTTATTATCAGAACTTCCCTTATCTGTAAAGCTGATAACCCCCAAGCCTTGAAGAGAAAAGATAAACACAAGCTGCCACTCTTGGTACAACAAGAAGGCCTGGACAAGAAGAACCCTTCCTCTGGATTGGTTGAATGCTTTGTCCTTGAAGTCAGGAAGTATTATATCTTGCCAGTAAGGAGCTGCCTTTTATTTATTGAGACGGAGTCTTGCTCTGTTGCCCAGGCTGGAGTGCAGTGGTGCGATCTTGATCTTGGCTCACTGTAACCTCCACCTCCCAGGTTCAAGCAATTATCCTGCCTCAGCCTCCCGAGTAGCTGGGATTACAGGTGTGTGCCGCCACGCTTCGCTAATTTTTATATTTTTAGTAGAGATGGGGTTTCATGATGTTGGCCAAGCTGGTCTCGAACTCCCAACCTCAAGTGATCCACCTGCCTCAACCTCCCAAAGTGTTGGGATTACAGGCGTGAGCCACCATGCCCGGCCAGCAGGAGCTTTTCAAGTTCTTTTGATATTGGACAATGTTCTTGGCCACCCGGAACCCCGAGTTCAACACTGAAGGTGCAAGTGGTCTACTTGCCTCTGAATAGGGACGATGTCTGTAATTCATCCTCTAGATCACGGGGTCATAAGAATCTTTAATGCTTATTACACCCAGTACTCTATGGAAGGGATCGTCAACACTATGGGAGAGGACCTCAACCAAGAGAACATCATGAACGTCTGGAAGGATTACACCATTGAAGATGTTGTAGAAAAACATGTGAAGGCCATCAAACCTGAAACAATAAATTCATGCTGGAGAAAAATTGTGTGCAGATGTTGTGCATGACTTCACGAGATTTATGACAGAGACTGTCAAGGAAATCAAGAAAGAGATTGTGGATATGCAAAAGAGATGTGTGTGGGGTGAAGGGTTCAAGATATGAATCTTGGAGAAATCCAAGGGCTACTAGATGTCACACTAGAGGAACGAATAGATGACTTGGTGGAGATGAGTGCCTTCGAACCAGTGCAAGACGATGAAGATGATGTAGAAGACGCAGTGCCGGAGAACAACTGACATTAGACAATCTGGCGGAAGTGTTCCTAGTATTCAAGACTGCTTTTACAACGTGGACCCTTCTATGACATGGGCACTGAAACTAAAGCGAGTATGCCTGCCTCCCTTCTACCTCCACCTCTTCCTCCTCTGCCACTCCTCAGACAGTAAAACCAACCTCTCCTCCCTGTCCTCAACATACCCAACGTGAAGACAATGAGGAAGACTTTTACGATGACCCACTTCCACTTAATGAATAGTAAATATATGTTCTTTTTGTTTATTTAGTGGGGTTTTTTAATAGTAAATATATATATATATATATATTTTGAGACAAGGTCTCACTCTGTCACCAGGCTGGAGTACAGTGGTGTGACCTCACTGCAACCTCTGCCTCCCAGGTTCAAGCAATTCTCGTGCCTCAGCCTCCTGAGTAGCTAGGACTATATAGATGCATGATGCCATCCCCAGCAATTTTTTTTTCTTTCTTCTTTTTCTTTTTCAGTAGAGACAAAATCTTGAACAGGCTGGTGTTGAACTCCTGGCCTCAAGTGGTCCTTCTGCCTTGGCCTCCCAAAGTGCTGGGTTTACAGGTGTTAGCCACCATGCCCAGCCTATTTTCTCTTCTTCTTTAATAACATTTTCCTTCCTCTACCTCATTGTAGTAAGAATACAGTATATAATACGTTTAACACACATAATATGTGTTAATCAACTGTTATCTGTAAGGCTGTCGGTCAACAGTAGACTATTTGTAGTTAAGTTTAGGGGGAGTCAAAAGTTATATGCATCAGCATGGTGGCACATGCCTGTAATCTCAGCACTTTCGGAGGCCGAGGCGGGCGGATCACTTGAGGCCAGGAGTTCTAGACCAGCCTGGCCAAAATGGCAAAACCCCGTCTTTACTAAAAATACAAGAATTAGCTGGGCGTGGTGGCACATGCCTGTAGTCCCAGCTACTCAGGAGGCTGAGGCAGGAGAATCGCTTGAGCCTAGGAGGCGGAGGTTGCAGTGAGCCGAGATCAAGCCATTGCACTCCAGCTTGGACCACGGTGAGACCCCATCTCCCCACCAAAAAAAAAAAAAAGTTACATGCAAATTTTCAACTGCGAGAGGGGTCGGCAACTCTAACCCCCCATGTTGTTCAAGGGTCAACTGTATATCTGTTGTTTTTTTCTTTTTTGAGATGGAGTCTCGCTCTGTCACCAGGCTGGAGAGTAGTGGCACGATCTTGGCTCACTGCGACCTCCGCCTCCTGGGTTCAAGCAATTCTGCCTCAGCCTCTCTAGTAGCTGGGACTACAGGTGTGTGCCACCACGCCCAGCTAATTTTTATATTAGTAGTAGAGATGCGGTTTCACTGTGTTGGTCAGGGTGGTCTCAATCTCCTGACCTCGTGATCCACACACCTCAGCCACCCAAAGTGCTGCTGGGGTTACAGGTGTGAGCCACTGCACCTGGCGCCTGCCTGCCTTTTTTTTTTTTTTTTTTGACAGAGTCTAGCTCTGTCACTCAGGCGGGAGTGCCGTGGTATGATCTCAGCTCACTGCAACCTCCACCTCCCGGGTTCAAGCGATTCTCCTGCCTCAGCTCCCGAGTAGCTGGGATTACAAGCACACACCACCATGCCCAGCTAATTTTTGTGTTTTTAGTACAGACCCGGTTTCACTGTGTTGGCCAGGCTGGTCTCAAACTCCTGACCTCGTGATCCGCCCGCCTCAGCCTCCCAAAGTACTGGGATTACAAGCGTTAGGCACTGTGCCCGGCCTTTTTTTTTTCTTTTTGAGACAGAGTCTCGCTCTGTCGCCCAGGCAGGATTGCAGTGGGGTGATCTTGGCTCACTGCAACCTCCATTTCCCAGGTTCAAGCAATTCTCATGCCTCGGCCTCCCCAGTTGCTGGGATTACTGGCGCCCTCTGCCACACCCGACTAATTTTTGTATTTTTAGTGGAGATGGGGTTTTGCCATGTTGGCCAGGCTGGTCTTGAACTCCTGACCTCAAGCAGTCTTCCCACCTTGGCCTCCCTAAGTGCTGAGATTTCAGGTGTGAGCCACCATGCCCGGCCAGTTGTTTTTCTTTATGTTTTATGCATGTCTTATATATTTTATGCTCCTTAAACAGGCACTTCACCAAAGAAGATACATGGATGACAATTAAGCACTTGGGAAGATGCTCAACATCATTAGTCATGAGGAAAATGCAAATTAAACCAGAGATACCACTACACACCCCACCCGTGGAAGTGGTTTAAATTTAAAAAATAAAACGAACAATTCTACATGTTGGAGAGGATATGGAGTAACTGAAACTCTTATACATTGATGGTGGGAATATAAACTGGTAACTACTCTGTAAAAACAGTTTTTATAAACATCCACCTACCATAAGACCTAGCAATACCCACTTCTAGGTGTTTAGAGAAGTGAAAACTCTTGCTCAGACAAAAATCTGTACAAAAATGTTTACAGCAGCTCTGTTAGCAATCACTAAAAACTGGACATGACAGGTGGATGGGTAAATAAATCATGGTACAGCCATACAGGAACAGAGAGGAATGCAACATGAGTGAATCTCAAGGCATCATGCTGAGCACAAGAAGCCAGTTCAAAGGGTATGTGCTGAATGTTTCATTTAAATGTCGGAAATGGCAAAAGTATTGTTGGAGGACAGGTCAGTGTTTGTAAAGGATTACAAGTAGAGGAAGGTGTGACCACAAAGAGCAGCATGAGGAAATTTTGGAGTGATGAAACTATTGTGTATCTTGATTGTGGTAGTGATTATGCAAATCTATGTACATGTTTAAAAAGTCATAGATGCACTCAGTATGCAATGAGGATAAAATAAAAAATAATAATTTAAAATCATAGATCTGGCCAGGTGTGGTGGATCACACCTGTAAAAAAAATACAAGTAGCAGCAGGACATGGTGGCTTGCACCTGGAATCTCAGCTACTTGGGAGGCTGAGACCTGGGCAACAGAGACCCTCTTATGGTGGCTCACGCCTGTAATCTCAGCACTTTGGAGGATGAGGTTGTGGGATTGCTTAAGACCAGGATTTCGAGACCAGCCTGGGCAACATAGGAAACCTGGTCTCTAAAAACAAAACAAGCAGTGGCTCAAGCCCGTAATCCTAGCACTTTGGAAGGCGGAGGTGGTCGGATGGCTTTGAGGCCAGGAGTTCTAGACCAGCCTGGGTAACATGGTGAAACCCTGTCTCTACTAAAAATACAAAAATTAGCCAGGCATGGTGGCCCCAACTGTAGCCCCAGCTACTCTGGAGGCTGAGGTGGGATCACTTGAGCCAAGGAGGTGGAGATTGCAGTAAGCTGAGATCGCACTTCTGCATTCCAGCCTGGGTGATAGAGTGAGATCCCCTCTCAAAAAAACAAAAAATTTTTTTAAGACAAAAAAAAAAAAAGAAATCGTAGATCTGTATACCAGAAAAATTCAATTTTACTGTTAACTTAAATATAAAAATAATTGCATGGAAGCATTATTTACAATAACCCAAGAGGTGTAAACAATACCTGTCCATCAACAAATGAATGGGTAAACAAAATGTGGTGTACCCATATAATGGCATATTATTCATCCTTAAAAAGGAATAAAATTCTGGGTGGGCGCGGTGGCTCACGCCTGTAATCCCAGCACTTTGGGAGGCCGAAGCTGGCAGATCACCTGAGGTCAGGAGTTCGAGACCAGCCTGACCAACATGGTGAAACCCCATCTCTACTAAAAATACAAAATTAGCCAGGTGTGGTGGCGCATGCCTGTAATCCCAGCTACTCAGGAGATTGAGGCAGAAGAATCACTTGAACCTGGAAGGTGGAGGTTGCAGTGAGCAGAAATCGCGCCATTGCACTCCAGCCTGGGCAACAAGAGCAAAACTGTCTCAAAAAAAAAAAAAAAAAAAAAAAAGGAATAAAATTCTGATGCATGCTACAACATGGATGAACCTTAAAGATATTATGCTAAATGAAATAAACCAGAGACAAATGAACAAATATTCCAGATTCCACTTATATGAGGCACCTAGAAAGGCAATATCATAGAGACAGAAAGTAAAATGGTGGTTGCCAGGGGCTCAGGTGAGAATGGGGAGTCATTATTTAATGGGTTTTGGGATGATGAAAAAATTCTGAAAATGGAAAGTAGTGATGGTTGCAGAACAGTGTGAATATATTTAATACCACTGAACTGTACACTTAAAAATGGTTAAAACGGTAAGTTTCATGTGTATTTTAGCACCATAACAAAACAAACTTTAAAAATTTAAATGAAGGCTAGAAAACATGTTAAAATACACTATATATAATATATAATGTATATATATGTAATATATAATTATAGATATATACTATGTAATTATATATAGTATATATTATTTATATAATATGTAATATATATATTATATATATGCAAAATCTCGTGAAGAAAGTGAAAGAAGAGCTGGCGGCTGTCTCACGCCTGTAATCCAGCAACTCCGGAAGCTGAGGCAGGAGGCTCGCTTGCGGCCAGAAGTTCGAGACCAGGCTGGGCAAGAAAGCCAGAACCCGTCTCTACGAAAAATACAAAAACTAGCCAGGTGTGGTGGCGCGTGCCTGTGGTCCCAGCTAGTTGAGAGGCTGAGGTGGGAGTATTGCTAGGAGGGAGTTTTCTAATAGTTGGGGCGGGGGGGGGGGGGGGGCATTTAAGTGCAAAGGAATGGTTAATACATATTCCAGATAGTGACTACCCATATAGCGAGTGAGGGGTATGATAGGGGAAATGGGCCAACGAAGGCTTCAAAGATGTTAACAATATACTTTTTGAACTGGATGGGAGACATCAGTGTTTTATTACTTTTGAATTATGTATGCACATAGACTATATACATTATTTACGAGATATACTTAAAAATCTTTAAGATGTTTCTATATTTTAGAGACAGGGCTTAAAAGTCCTGGGCAATTAGCTGGGCACAGTGTCGTGCGCCTGTAATCCCACCTAGTTGGGAGGCTGAGGCAGAAGAATCTCTTGAACCCGAGGTAGAGGTTGCAGTGAGCCGAGATCGCGCCACTGCACTCCAGCCTGGATGACAGAGTGAGACCCTGTCTCAAAAAAAAAAAAAAAAAAAGTCCTGGGCAGCAAGGCCTCCACTTCACCCCCTAAAGGTTGCCCCAAGAGCACCGTGTGACTGCTAAGGTATTTCCGGAGTCTAAAGACGATTATTCAGGTCTCATTTGCATACCCATAATACACTGCAAACAGTATTTTTTTCGGAAAAACATTTATATATTGCTTGACATTTTTAAGTATGAGAATTTTGCATGCAGAATTTTTTTGTATAAACTTTCTCAGGTAGTAACCCTTGGGATTAGTAGACACCATCAGTGTACTAGGAATTGCAGTTACCCGAAAATTGAGTTACAGAAGTAACTGGTATACTCTGGTTTCTCTTCAGATCGCATAAATCTTTCGCCTTTTACTAAAGATTTCCGTGGAGAGGAACAACTCTGAGTCTTAACCCAATTTTTTGAGGCCTTGCTTTGGCAAGGCTATATGTGGTAATCCAACAATAGAAATTATTTTTAAGTTTGTGTGTTCCTTTTTCTGTTCAATGGTGCTTTTGATATTGTTGTAAAGCAGTGACTAGCAGATTCTGTGTGGTAAAAGCACTGAACCCTGTTTAGTTCTTTTCTCCCTACCTTATTGGTAATTATTTCTGTGTATATATGTTCCAAAGAAATGCGGCTTGTATATTCATGCTTTTCAACTTTTTGTGATAGACAGTTGATACACAAGTAGTACCTCCTCCGGGATCTTCTTAGTCAAGACTGTTTGGTAGATGCATGTTTTTTGTTACTTGTAATGTACAGTATTCAGTTCATTTTCTTTTTGCAGCACTGTCCGGTTGAAACACAACGCGAGGATCGGGCGTGGTGGCTCACGCCTGTAATCCCAGCACTTTGGGAGGCCGAGGCAGGACAATCAAGACCAATCCTGGTCATCAAGGCAGGAGAATCAAGACCATCGAGGTCAGGAGATCAAGACCATCCTGGCTAACACAGTGAAACCCTGTCTCTACTAAAAATACAAAAAAAATTAGCCGGGCGTGGTGGCAGGCGCCTGTAGTCCCAGCTACTCGGGAGGCTGAGGCAGGAGAATGGTGTGAACCCGGGAGGGAGCTTACAGTGAGCCGAGATTGCACCACTGCACTCCAGCCTGGGCGACAGAGCAAGACACTGTCTCAAAAAAAAAAAAAAAAAACAATTCGAGGTATAGGTGGAATTTTTAATTTTAAAAGCCACATTAAACTACTTTTAAAGAATGGAAAAATCCAGTAATCCAAAATACTATCACTTGTATATGTAATAATTAGAGATGTTTTACATTATTTTTTGCCCATACTGTAGTCCTTGCTTTGGTAGATAGGGCTAATCTTATTTGAGATGGAGTTTTGCTTTTGTTGCCCAGGCTGGAGTGTAGTAGGGCGATCTCGGCTGACTGCAACTTCCGCCTCCCGGGTTCAAGCGATTCTCCTGCCTCAGCCTCCGGAGTAGCTGGAATTACAGGCGCCCACCACCATGCCCGGCAAACTTTTTGTATTTTTAGTAGAGATGGGGTTTCGCCATGTTGGCCAGGCTGGTCTCGAACTCCTGACCTCAGATGATCTACCCGCCTCGGCCTCCCAAAGTGCTGGGATTACAGCTGTGAGCCGCCGCTCCTGGCCTAATTTTTTTTTTTTTTGAGACAGTCTCGCTGAGTCGCCCAGGCTGGAGTGCAGTGGCGCGATCTCGGCTCACTGCAACCTCCGCCTCCCAGGTTCAAGCGATTCTCCTGCCTCAGCCTCCCGAGTAGCTGGGACTACAGGGGTGGTGCCACCACACCGGGCTAATTTTTATATTTTTAGTAGAGACGGGGTTTCACCATGTTGGCTAGCTAGGCTGGTCTTGAACTCCTGGCCCTCAAGTGATCCACCCGCCTCAGCCTCCCAAAGTGCTGGGATTACAGGCAGGAGCCACTGCACCCGGCCTAAATTTTTAGTGATGTAACAGTTTTTAGTGTTAATATTAAAATGCACAAGATACTCATCCTTTGCATCTCTTTAAACTTATATTGTAAGTTATCACAAGAAAGCTGTAGACATGATCTTTAAAATGTGCAAGAGGAGCATACATTTTCGAAATACTTTTCGGATTTAAGGGAAGAAGATATTTGACGCCACGACCATAACGGGTGGGCCTTGGAGTCAGAACTGAGCACTAAATGGAACTTGGGCCCTCTTGTGGCCATCGCGGAGGCTGCAGCAGAAATGAGCAAGGAGTTCGAAGAACGGAGGTAACGTAATAGGAGCTGAGACCTAGAGGCCCCCCACCAACTACCTTCCCTATAGGGAGAGTCTCTACAGAAAAATTTGTAATGATTGAATGTTGCTTCTACAAGAGAACCTGCTTCTTATAACTGGGCCCTGGCATCTGGTCACAACAAATAGAAACCAGAGAACAATCTACAAAAATGATTTAACGTTTATCTGTGTAGGCTGGCCACAAGTGGCTCACACCTGTAATACCAGCACTTTGGGAGGGCGAAGCGGGAAGATCAGTGGAGGCCAGGAGTTCAAGACCAGCCTGGCCAACACGGTGAAACCCCTTCTCTACTAAAAATACAAAAATTAGCCAGGTGTGGTGGGGCACGCCTGTCATCATCCCAGCTACTTGGGAGGCTGAGACAAGAGAATCACTTGAACCTGGGAGGCAGAGGCTGCAGTGAGCCGAGATTGTACCACTGCACTCCAGCCTGTGTGATAGTGAGCCTCCATCTAAACACACACACACACACACACACACACACACACACACACACAAAACCAAAAAAGAACCAGGAGAATCGCATGAACCCCGGAGGCGGAAGTTGTCGGCCCAGATCACGCCACTGCACTTCAGCAGTGACTGTCTCAAAAGAAAAAGAAAAAAAACAAAAGCCCCATCAATCTGTTAGTGTAGATTGATCAACACTATATGAGATTAAAGCAGAATCATTTGGTAATCCCATGAATGTACATTTATCAAATGTTTAAGTTTGACAAATTTAAACATCTATCCATTTTTATATATAGTATATACATAACTTAGTTTTATTTTACTTTTGATAGTCTCGCTCCGTTGCCCAGGCTGGAGTGCAGTGGTGCAATGTAGGTTTACTGCAACCTCGACCTCCCGGGCCCAAGTGATCCTCCCACCTCATCCTCCCAAGCGGTAGAGACTACAGACTCGCACCACCCCACCTGGCTAATTTTTGTGTTTTTTTGTAGGAACAGAGTTTCACCACGTTGGCCAGGCGCCAGCCTCGAACTCCTGGGCTCAAGCCTTCCCTACAGCCTCGGCCTCCCAAAGTGCTGGGATTACACGTATGAGCCACCAAGCCCAGCTATGTTTTTATCTTATTACAATAGAAATAGATGGGAATCTGCTTAAAGTAGAACCACCACCAAAAACATTCACACATAACAAAGTGTTGTGAACTTTCCCTTTAGAGTCTGGAAAAAGACAAAGATGACAGTATCACTGCTTCCATTCAATTTTTCACTAAGGGCCTTGCCAGGCAAGTGTAACAAGAAAAGTCAGGGGGAGGGAAAAGTATAAGGAGTGAAAAAAGAAAAAATTATTATTCTCAGTCCATATGATTATCTTCATAGAAGATCCAAAAGGATTTAGAAGTATACTGTTCAATATGGCAACCACTGGCCACATGTGGCTATTGAGCATTTGAAATGTGGCCAGTCTCAATTGAGATGTACTTAAGTATAAAATACACACTGGATTATTATATTTTTGAGACGAAAGTCTCTGCACCCAGGCTGGAGTGCAGTAGCACGATCTTCGCTCACTGCAACCTCTGCCTCCCGGGTTCAAGCGATTCTCCTGCTTCAGCCTCCAGAGTAGCTGGGACTACAGGCACATGCCACTGCGTCCCGCCAATTTTTGTATTTTTAGTAGAGAAAGGGTTTCACCATGTTGGCCAAGCTGGTCTTGAACTCCTGACCTCAGGTGATCCCCCCAACCTCAACCTCCCAAAGCGCTGGTATTACAACAGGCGTGACCCACCGCGCCCAGCCAGTTATTTCCTAAATTAAATTAGCACGAATTGTTGCTGGAAATTGAGGTGCAAGCCACATCATAAATAACGGATCAACGTGAGTCCAAGCTTCGGATTCACAAATTGTAGAAACTCCATGACCCTCTGTGGAGACTCACAGAGCTACAAACAAGTTAACTCTCCTTTCAGTTCTCTCAACAGTGAAAGCTATCCAGGACCCTTCCAGAGTGAAGCACAGTACAGGCCAACAAATAAATGTCTCCTAAAGCCCAGGAAAAGGGAAACACTCTCTCCCAAGGCTCAATACGGGGGGAGGTCAGTACTCAGAGAACCCACCCCTTAACCCCTTGCTAGGTCCTATGAGACGTAGCTATTATCATATGGTGAGAACTTTGCATCTCAATGGGTTTCTAACTTCCCCTTACATTGTGAACTACAGCAAGCATGCAAGACTATCAAAACAGACGTAACGCTGGCTGGCGCAGTGGCACACCTTTAATCCCAATGTGTCCAGAATTGGTGGGTTTTTGGTCTCACTAACTTCAAGAACGAAGCCGCAGACTCTCGTGGTGAATCTCAGGGTTCTTAAAGGCGGCGTATCCAGAGCTTGTTCCTTCTGACCTTCAGATGCATTCGGAGTTTCTTCCTTCTGGTGGGTTCGTGGTCTTGCTGGCTCAGGAATGAAACTACAGACCTTCACGGTGAGCATTACAACTCTTTAAAGCAGCACATCTGGAGTTGTTCCTTCTTCCCAGTTGGTTTCCGGCCTCACTGGCTTCAAGAGCGAAACTACACACTTTCAGGGTGAGTGTTACAGCTCATAGGCCAGACCCACGCACGGAGCAGTAGCAGCAGCAATAGCAAGTTACTGCAAACAGCAAAAGAAAAAAAGCCACCTCGGTATCAAAGAAAACACCCCACCTGCCTGCCGCAGCAGGAGCGGGCAGCCTGCTTTTATGCTCTTATCTGGCCCCACCCACATCCTGCTGATTGGTCCATTTTACAGAGAGCCGATTGGTCTGTTTTACAGAGAGCTGATTGGTCCGTTTTGACAGGGTGCTGATTGGTGTGTTTACAATCCCTGAGCTAGACACAAAAGTTTTCGTCCCCACTATATTAGCTAGATACAGAGTGTCCATTGGTGTATTTACAAACCCTGAGCTAGACACAGAGTGCTGATTGGTGCATTTACAAACCTTGAGCTAGATACAGAGTGCTGATTGGTGTATTTACAATCCCTTAGCTAGACATAAAGATTCTCCAAGTCCCCACCACACTCCGGAACCCAGCTGGCTTCGTCCAGTGGATCCTCCACTGGGGCCGCAGGTGGAGCTGCCTGCCAGTCCTGAGCCGTGTGCCGGCACTCCTCAGCCCTTGGGCGGTCCATGGGACTGGGCGCGGTGGAACAGGGGGCGGCACTTGTCCGTGGAGGCTCCGGCCGCGCAGAAGCCCATGGCGGGTGGGCAGGGTAGGCTCAGGCATTGCAGGCTGCAGGTCCCGAGCCCTGCCCTGCAGGGAGGCAGCTAAGGCCCGGCAAGAAATCCAGCACAGCGCCGGTGGGCCGGCACTGCTGGGGGACCTGGCGCATCCTCCGCAGCTGCTGGCCCAGGTGCTAAGCCCCTTACTGTCTGGGGTCGGCGGAGCCGGCCGGCCGGCCGCTCGGACTGCGGGCCGCCAAGGCCACGCCCACCCGGAACTCTAGCTGGCCCGCAAGCCCCGTGCGCAGCCCCGGTTCCTGCGGTGTCTCTCCCTCCACACCTCCCCGCAGGCTGAGGGAGCCGGCTCCGGCCTCGGCCATCCCAGGAAGGGGCTCCCACAGTGCAGCGGCGGGCTGAAGGGCTCCTCAAGCGCGGCCAGAGTGGGCGCTGAGGCCAAGGAGGCACCGAGAGCGAGCGAGGGCTACGAGGGCTGCCAGCGCGCTGTCACCTCTCACCAACACTTTCAGAGGCAGGGGTGGGAGAATCCCCTGAGCCCACGAATTCGAGACCAGCATGGGCAACATGTCTGTCAACATAGGGAGACCCCCATCTCTACAAAAAATTAAAAAATAAAATTAGCCCAATGTGGTGGCTTGCAGACTATAGTCCCAGATACTCGGGTGACTGAGGCAGGAGGTGCTTAATCCCAGCAGTTTGAGGCTGCAGTGAGCTATGATTGCAGCCCTGCACTCCAGCCTGGGTGACAGAACGTGTATCAAAACAAAAACAAATAGGAATGGCTACAGTAACCTTCCAGCAGTCAAGAAGATGACCTTCAGCCAGTACCCCTATAGCAACCTCTGCAAGGGCTTGGGGGCCTTGCTCTCAGAACAGGGCTTTCATCTTACGAACAAGTTCCTGACCTACTTCCCCGGGAGGAGCACTGAGGATGGCCGCAAGCGAGTATTTCTGCGAGATCGCCCCCCGCCCCCCCACTGACCCCTCGATGTTCCCCACGTGGCCCGTAAAGAGTGAGCAGCAGTGTGTGAAGTGGAGCACCAGCACGCCCCCACCCGACCCGCGCCCCGCCAGGGAGGCCTGGGCTACAGCCAGCTGGGTGACGACCACGTGAAGGAGACTGGCTTCCACTTCACCATCACGAACCAGGGCGCCTCGGTTGCGGGCCCGGCTTCAGCCTCAAGTTCTGGCAAGGTCAGAGCCGACTCCAAGTCATGGGGAGGATTCAGCCCGGACCACGGGGCAGCTGCTACGGCTGAGCTGCCTTGAGTCTCAGAACTCCTCATCTTTATTTTGTGTTCCACATTTTGTTTTTGTATTTTGGTTTGTAAATTTGTAGAATTAAATCACATTTTCCTTGTTGTGGGAAGGAAAAACCAAGCAAACAAACAAACAAAACCAGATGAATGTTTGCTCACCAATGAGCCACACCAAAAGAAGCCGGTACAAAAGGCCACATGTTGTATGCTTCCTTTTATATGAAATGTCTGGAATGGGCCTATCAGAGACAGAAAGTAGATTAGTAGTTGCCAGAGGCTGGGTGAATGAGCAGGTGGGAAGTAACTTCTAATGGGTACTGTTTCATTTTTCGGAGTGGCAAAAACATTCTAACTGGGCTCGGTGGCTCACCTGTAATCTCAGCACTTTGGGAGGCCAAGGCGGGGAGATCACTTGAGGTTAGGAGTTCAAGACCAGCCTGGCCAACATGGTGAATCCCTGTCTCTACTAAAAATACAAAAATTATCTGGGCATGGTGGCAGGCGCCTACAGTCCCAGCTACTTGGGAGGCTGAGGCGGGAGAATCTCTTGAACCTGGAAGACGGAGGTTGCAGTAAGCCGAGATTGCGCCACTGCACTCCAGCCTGGGGAGCAGAGCAAGACTCCGTCTCAAAAAAAAAGAAAAACAATAACAGACCCAAAACAAAAAATTCTAAAATTATATTGTGGGGATGATTCTACAACTGTGAATATACTAAAAACCATTGAATTGTATACTCTATTTATTTATTTTGAGACGGAGTCTCGCTCTGTCGCTCAGGCTGGAGTGCAGTCGCACAATCTCAGCTCACTGCAAGCTCCGCCTCCCGAGTTCACGCCATTCTCCTGCCTCAGCCTCCCAAGTAGCTGGGACTGCAGGCGCCCGCCACCACGCCCGGCTAATTGTTTTGTATTTTTAGTAGAGACGGGGTTTCACTGTGTTAGCCAGGATGGTCTCGATCTCCTGACCTGGTGATCCGCCCACCTCGGCCTCCCAAAGTGCTGGGATTACAGGAGTGAGCCACCGCGCCCGGCCGAATGGTATACTTTAAATGGATGGATCGCTTGGCTTTTAAATTATATCCAGTAAATCTATTTTTTAAATGTATTAGACAAATTTAAATTACATGCATGTCAAATATGATTGACTTGCTAGCAAAGGAGCAGCAAAGTGAAAAAAAGTGTTGGTTTAGAGAAGGTGTGAAAGTCGGGAAATGAAATGTTTACACCATCGGCTGTAAAAGTCTTAGTGCTGGCTGGGCGAGGTGGCTCAGGCCTGTAATCCCAATTCTTTGGGAGGCCGAGATGGGAGGATTGCTTGTGGCCCGTAATTCCAGACCAGCCTGCACTGCTTTCCTTTCACTGGTTGCCGAGTGAGCACATTCCTTAGAAAGGAATTCCCTGTAGGCTGGTGAGAGCCGACAGTGTAGCTCCGAGGGGGAGAGGGCAGCACTATGTTTTTAAATTATTATTTTTTGTAGAGATGGCAGGTCTGGAACTCTGGGCGTCAGGCGATCCTCCCGCCTAGAATAAGGAGACACGAGGTCTGAAACTGGAATAGCAAGATTGCATCCCCAACAGCAGATTCCGGTCGGGCAGGAAACCTGAAACAGAGCGCTCAAGTTCCAATTTTAAACAGGACATTGCCGGGAATTCTCAAATGGCATGCAAAATTCAGTATATCCCCGGAGTGCACGGTTAAAAATAACATCAGAACGCCCCTGCGCCCACCACACAGTTTAAGAAAACGGAAATTGTCAAACTTTTTAAACCCCTGTGCGCCCTTCCCCAAGTCACATCTCTCGCTCCTCACCGAAGGGAGGAACCACTATTCTGAATTCTGTGTTAATCATTGACTTGCCAATTTTTTCTCTTTCAATTTAATAGCAGTCTTTATTTAAAAGAAATCAAACTCAGACGTACAAATACACAAAACAGATAAAACCCGAGTCTCTGACCAGGAAAGCGTTATTTTCCAGCCAGCCAGTCTTCGGCTTCGCCCCCTAACGGTGACATAAGGCACTCTGTGAAATGCTCTGTTCCGGAATCAAAAGATTGATCCGATTATTTGCATACCCATAATGCACTGCTCACAGTACAAATTTAAAAAGGCAAAATCAAACATTTTTATTCTAAGCATATTCTGTGAAAGTTAGACTTTTGTTTAAACAATACTCTTAAAATTTTTTTCTAGGTATAGAACCTTGGCATTCACTAGTCACCATCACTATACTAGGAGTTTCTGTTACCCGAGAAACGAGTTATGAAATTAACAAGCATACTCTGGTTTCTCTTCAGATCGTATAAATCTTTCGCCTTTTACTAAAGATTTCCGTGGAGAGGAACAACTCTGAGTCTTAAGCTAATTTTTTGAGGCCTTGTTCCGACAAGGCTATATAAAGCTGTTAAAAAATCAGATTGACTTCATTTAGGGTGTTTCTTACAGATATCGTTTAAGTTTTCGGTTCTGCTTGTAAACGCTTCAATCGCTCATGCGTTTAAACTTTGTGTAAGTGCAAGCGTTCTTTTTCTAGTGAAGCTTCTTCCAACAAGTTAGAAGTATTTACTTCAGTGTCATTAATGTGAAAGATTCTTAAAAGTGTTCTGGCTGGGCGCGGTGGCTTATGCCGGTAATCCCACTGCATTGGGTAAACCAAGGTGAGCGGATCACTTGAGGTCAGGAGTTCGAGACCAGCCTGGGCCAACGTGGTGAAACCCACGTTGTACATTGTTTTCTTAGTCTTCTGAATCCTGTGTATATTTTGCATTTAGCGCATCTCAATTAGGACTAGCTGCATTTCAAGCGCTCAATCGGCACACATGGACAATGACTAATAATTGCCCTGTGCACCTCTGCTAGGTGTAAAACGTTTGAACAGAGCACAGTGTGTAGATCCGTTCTCCCTTCCTGTAGGTTTTGGGGTTTTGCCAGATTTTGGCCATTGGAACTCCTTGAACCTGTGCAAGGTTATATTTCCTTAAAGTGTGGAATGGAATGGCTGGCTGGGTCTTAGGGCAGGTAGGTACCTGCATAATAATTTTTTCCCAAATTATGTACTTATTTGCATTTTCACAAATGGCCTATTATATTCCCATTGCTTCTCACCCTTACTGGCCTTGAAATGCTCAGAAGTTGCCGGGCGTGATGGCTCACCCCTGTAATCCCAGCACTTTAGGAGGCCAAGGCAGGCGGATCACCTGAGGTCAGGAGTTCGAGACCAGCCTGCCCAAGATGGCAAAACCCCGTCTTTACTAAAAATATAAAAAATTAGCCGGGCGTGGTGGTGCCTATAATCCCAGCTACTCGGGAGGCTGAGGCAGAAGAATCGCTTGAACCTGGGAGGCAGAGGTTGCAATGAGCTGAGATCGTGCCACTGCACTCCAGCCCGGGCAACAAGAGTGAAGCTCCATCTCAAAAAAAAAAAAAAAAAGTAAAAAAAAAGAAATGCTCAGAAGTTAATCTTTGTCCATCTGGTAGTTATGAAATTGTAACTTTTAGTGGTTTTTAAATGTTACTTTAGTTTTTGAGACAGGGTCTGGCTTTATCACACAGGCTGGAGTGCAGCGGCATGATATCCTCTCACTGCAGCCTCAACTTCCTGATCCAAGTGATCCCACCTCAGTCTCCCAAGCAGCTGGGACTGCAGGCGTGCACCACCACACTGGCTGATTTTTAAAAATTTTTATTTTGTTTTTATGCTTTTTGTAGAGACAGGATTTCTCCATGTTGCCCAGGGTGAGCTGCTCTGGATCTTCTGAGCTCAAGTTATCCTCCCACCTCGACCTCCCAAAATGCTGGGATTGCAGGTGTGTGCCATTGTGCCTGGCTTTTTTTTTTTTTTTTTCCTTTACAAATGTCTAATCTTCCAGCATTATAGTAATTTTAATGTACATCTCCCTAATTACTAATGAGGTTGAACATCTTTTCAAAGATTTTTTGGCCATTCATAGTTTCTCCTGTAAAATGCCTGTTTGTGCCTTTTGCCCATTTTTTTCTTAGATGGCGAATCTTTTTCTTAGTGGGTATAGTAGTTTTTTGCACAGCTTCTAGACTTCAGAGACTTTAAATAGTAATTCTTTGTTGGTTATATGGTGCAATTACCTTCTCCCAGTTTACAGCTTCTCTTTTTGCTCTTATAGAGTCTCTTGGTGACTGGTTTTAATGTCAGATTGATTTGTTTTTTTTCTTCATTCTCATTTGTACTTTTGTGTGTTTTGTTTAATAAACAACTCACCACCTCAAATTATTAAATAAATTCTGTATCTTTTTAAGTGATGTCTTTCATATTAAGTCCTTGATTCCTCTGGAATTGAATTTTTATGTATAGTGTGAAGTGTGAATCTGGTGTTATTTTTCCCCTGGAAATGATTGGCAATTGTCCAGCACTGTGTATTGACTTGGTACCTCCTTTCCCTAGGGATATGCAGTGACATGTGTCCATGGGTCTGTTTGTCTAAACTTGAGCCAATATTGCACATCCTAATTACTATGAGTTTATAATAAGACTTAAAATCTGGTGGGTGTCATCTCTCTACTTTGTTTTCTTTTTAATAGTAACTTGGCTAAACTTTCTTCTTCCAAAAATGTTTAGAATTGTCTTGTCAATTTCCATGAAAATCCCTATTGCGTCTGAATTAAATCTATAGATTGATTAGGGAGAATTGAATCTTTATCTTATTAATGGACATGATTTGTCTCTCCATATGTTTAGGTCTTCATTTTTTTTTATTCTTTATTTTTTTGAGACAGTCTCACTCTGTCGCCCAGGCTGGAGTGCAGTGGTGCGATCTCGGTTCACTGCAACCTCTGCCTCCCAGGTTCAAGCGATTCTCCTGCCTCAACCTCCCAAGTAGCTGGGATTACAGGTGCCTGCCACCACGCCTAGCTAATTTTTGTATTTTTAGTAGAAACGCGGTTTCACCATGTTGGCCAGGATGGTATCGAACTCCTGACCTCGTGATTTGCCTGTCTCGGGCTCCCAAAATGCTGGGATTACAGGCGTGAGCCACCGTGCCCAGGTCTTCATTATCTTTCAGTAAAGTGTTATAATTTTTCTACTAAAAATCTCACACTTTTTATTAATTTCTAAAATAATATCTCCTAACTGTACACTGCGGTTTTATAGAAATTCAGTGAACCTGTATGGGATCTTACATCTGGCAACCTTACTTGATTTATTAACTTTAATCTATGTGTAGATTATTTTCAGTTTTCTACCTATATAATCTCATTATCTGGGGATTTTTTTCAATTTTTCCTTTCTAATATTTATAATTATTTTTATTTATTTATTTATTTTTGAGAAGGAGTCTTGCTCTGTCATCCAGGCTGCAGTGCAATGATGCAATCTTGGCTCACACAACCTCCGCCTCCCAGGTTCAAGTGATTCTCGTGCCTCAGCCTCTGGAGTAGCTGGGATTACAGGTGCACCCCATCATGACCAACTAATTTTTGTATTTAAGTAGAGCTGGGGTTTCACCATGTTGGCCAGGCTGGTCTCGAACTCCTGACCTCAAGTGATCTGCCCACTTCAGCCTCCCAAAGTGTTGGGATTACAGGCGTGAGCCACTGCGCACGGCCTCAATTCAGTTTTGGATGTAGGACTTTTCCTTTTTTTTCTTGAGACAGGGTCTCCCTCTATCAACCAGGCTGGAGTATAGTGGTATAATCATGGCTGACTGCAGCTTCTACCTATCAGGCTCAAGTGATCCTCCTACTTCAGCTTCCTGAGTAGCTGGGACTACGGGCATGCACCACCACGCCCAGCTATTTGAATTGTTTTGTAGAGACAGTCTCACCATGTTGCCCAGGTTAGTCTCAAACTCCTGGATTCAAGCGATCCCACTGACTCAGCCTCCCAAAGTGCTGGCATTACAGGCGTGAGCCATCGTGCCCCACCCGGACTTTTCTTTCACATGTGAAACTGAGCCAGGAGTGGTGGCTGTAAACCCAGCTACTTAGGGGACCAAATTGGGAGGATCACTTGAGGCTGGGAGTTCGAGACCAGCCTAGGTGAAATAGTGAGACCCTGTCTCTAAAAGAATAATTTTAAAAAATGGTAAAATTGGCCAGGTGCAATGGCTCATGCCTATAATCCCAATACTTTGGGAGGCCAAGGCACATGGATTGCTTGTGGTCAGGAGTTTGAGACCAGCCTAGCTAACATGGTGAAACCCTGTCTCTACTAAAATACAAAAATTAGCTGGGCATGATGGTGTGTGCCTGTAATCCCAGCTACTCAGGAGGCTGAGGTGGGAGAATTGCTTGAACCTGGGAGGTGGAAGTTGCAGTGAGCCAAGATTCTGCCACTCTACTCTAGCCTGAGTGACAGAGGGAGACTCTCTCTCAAAAAGAAAAAGAAAAAAGTAGTTCGAGACCAGCTTGACCAACATGGTAAAACCCCATCTCTACTAAAAATACAAAAATTAGCTGGGTGTGGTGGTGGGCGCCTGTAGTCCAAACTATTTGGGAGGCGGAGGCAGGACAATCGCTCGAACCCAGGATGCAGAGGTTGCAGTGAGCTGAGATCACACCACTGCACACCAACCTGGGTAACAGAGTGAGGCTCTGTCTCAAAAATAAGTAAGTAAGTAAATAAATAAATAAGGCCGGGCACAGTGGCTCACACCTGTAATCCCAGCGCTTTAGGAGGCCAAGGTGGGCGGATCACCTGAGGTCAGGAGTTCGAGACCAGCCTGACCAACATGGAGAAACCCCATCTCTACTAAAAATACAAAATTAGCTTGGTATGGTGGTGCATGCCTGTAATCCCAGCTATTCGGGAGGCTGAGGCAGGAGAATCGCTTGAACCTGGGAGGTGGAGGTTGCGGTGAGCAGAGATCGCGCCATTGCACTACAACCTGGGCAACAAGAGCAATACTCTGTTTCAAAAAACAAAAAAAGCCCAGGCGTGGTGGCTCATGCCTGTAATCCCAGAACTTTAGGAAGCCGAGGCGGGTGAATCATGAGGTCAGGAGATTGACACCAGCCTGGCCAACATGGTAAAACCCCATCTCTACTGAAAATACAAAAATTAGCTGGGTGTGGTGGCATATGCCTGTAGTCCCAGCTACTTGGGAAGCTGAGGCAGGAGAATTGCTTGAACCAGGGAGTCAGAGGTTGTAGTGAGCCGAGATCACGCCACTGCACTCCAGCCTGGCGACAGAGTAAGACTCTATCTGTAAATAAATAAATAAATAAAATGTAAAATTGACCACAAGGCAGACTGATTTCAGTTGAGTTACGATTTATTTGACAAATATTTATGGAGAAGCTTCTCTGCTGGGCCCTGGGCCTGGGCTTCTCTACTGGGCCTGGATATACAGGGGCAGTAAGAGCCTCACAGTGAACTCTAACAGATTGCAGCAAGCAGGAAAATGAGGCGAAGGGTTGCAGAAGGAGAGAGGAGGGAGCAACTGCTTCTGCCCAAGAGAATCATGAAGACTTCATGGAGGTGACAGGGCCCTTGACACACTGAGAAATGGTCCAGGGAGAGGCACTGGGAGAGTGCATCTCAGGCTGTGATGGACGGACTTCCTTCTGAGTTTTTGGTTGTCGTCTGTGGGGATCGAAGAGTCCCAGAGACCGTGCTCCTCCCGTGGCTAACACTAATTCACCGAGGAGCTATGCACATTCCTTCCCCTCTTCCCTCCATGCTGGGGGTGCCTCCAGGAGGCGAGAACACGCACCGGCCTTCCAGCTGAAAATCCAGGCCCCTCACCAAAATCAGGCCAGGCCAGCATCGGGAGCCTCCAGATGTAATGCACTGAAAAGGACACAGCTTGCCCTCTGAGCTGTTTACACCAAACATATCTGACTAAGTAGTCAGGAGGAAACATGAGACAAATCCACACTGTGGGTTACTCTGCAGGATAACTGGCCTTGTCCCTTTCAGAAGTGTCAGCACCATGGGAAACAAGAGCGGCTGGGGCTGCTCTGGAAAAGGGGGAGCAAAGAGATAGAGTCTCACTCTGTCACCCAGGCTGGAGTGCACTGGCGTGATCTTGGCTTACTGCAACCTCCGCCTCCTAGGTTCAAGTGATTCTCCTGTTTCAGCCTCCAGAGTAGCTGGGATCACAGGCATGTGCCACCATCCTCCCGTGGCTAACATTAATTCACCTAGGAGCTATGCACACTCCTTCCCTTCTTCCCTCCCTACTGGGGGTAATTTTTGTATTTTAGTAGAGACAGGGTTTCACCATGTTGGCCACGCTGGTTTCGAAATCCTGACCTCAAGTAATTCGCCTGCCTCGGCCTTCCAAAGTGCTGGGATTACAAGTGTGAGCCACTGCACCCAGCCTGAGGCCAACATGGTGTCACCCTGTCTCTTCTAAAAGTACAAAAATTAGCTGCGGGTGGTGGCAGGCACCTGTAACCCCAGCACTTTGGAAGGCAGATTGAGGCTGGAGGATCTCTTGAGTCCAGGAGTTCAAGACCCAGCTTGGGTAACCTGGTGAAACCAGTCTCTACAAAAAATTAGCCAGGCATGGTGGCAGGTACCTGTAATCCCAGTTACTCGGGAGGCTTAGGCTCGAGGATCGCTGGAGCCCCGGAGGTGGAGGTTGCAGTAAGCTGAGATAATGCCACTGCACTCCAGCCTAGGTGACAGAGGGAGAACTGTCTCAAAAAAAAAAAAAAAAGAAAGAAATCAGGCCAGTGCATGGCTCATGCCTATAATCCCAGCACTTTGGGAGGCTGAGGCAGGCAGATCATGAGGTCATGAGTTCAAGACCAGCCTGACCAACATGGTGAAACCCTGTCTCTACTAAAAATACAAAAATTAGCCAGGCGAGGTGGTGCCTGCCTGTAATCCCAGCTACTCAGGAGGGTGAGGCAGGAGAATCACTTGAACCCAGGAGGCGGAGGTTGCAATGAGCCGAGATCACGCCCCTGCACTCCAGCCTGGGCGACAGAGCGAGACTTCGTCTCAAAAAAAAAAAAAAAAAAAGAAAAAGAAAAAGAAAAGAAGTGGCTCACGCCTGTAATCTCAGCACTTTGGGAGCCCAAGGTGGGCAGATCACTGAGCCCAGGAGTTCGAGACTAGCCTACATGGCGAAATCCTGTCTCTACAAAAAAAAAAAAAAGTTGCCAGATGTGATGGTGCATCCCTATAGTCCCAGCTACTGAGGAGGCTGAGGTGGGAGATCACCTGAGCCCGGGGAGGTTGAGGCTGCAGTAAGCCATGATCGCACTACTGCACTCCAGCCTGGGTGATAGAGTGAGTCCCTGTCTCAAAAAAAATAAATAAATAAAAGAAGAAGAAGAAAAAAAAAAAGAAAAGAAAGTCTCGCTATGTTGCCCAGGCTGGTCTCAAACTTCTGGGCTCAAGTGATCCTTCCACCTCAGCCTCCCAAAGTGCTGGGAGGTATGAGCCACTGCATCCAACCATTTTTCTCAACAATGGAAAAAAAGTGTTTGCCATGTTGTTTCCCTAGGGTGGGAGGCTGTGGGAAAAGAAAAACCATGATTTTAAAAAGCAGAAAAAAAGCCACGGGACTTCCACCTCCTCCGTGTGACACCTGGAAGCAGTTCTGGTGCCACTCAGAGCCTATTTCATCATCAGGGAAAGCAGGGCTTGTGCTGGTGCCCATCTGGGTGGCTGTTGGGGACTGACTGAGAGAACATGCCTGGGAAGCCAGGGCCATTGGTTAACTGTCACCTCAGCAGGGAAGGAAGGCTTAGTGGGGACCTGGCTGTGGACTCTGGGGACTTCCCCTTCGTGGGAGATGCAGACCCAGGAGTCTGCACCCCTTTGTTGCCCCCTACCACCCTCACCCCATTTCCCAGTGGCTCCAGAGTAGATGCTCCCTGCAAGATTTTCCAGCCCAAGGGGGCAGCCTGGAAACATGGCTTAGATCACCTTTGTTGGTTTCCAGCAAATTAAAATTTATCTCTCAGAGAGGAAATGAGGGGCCGGGTTTTTTTTTTTTCTTCTTTTTTCCTTTCTCCTTCTTAATGGGCCCTGATGAAGGAAATGAATGCGGGGAAGGGATCAGAAATACGATCCACCACTCGCTGGCACAGAAAGGTCAGGGGGCTCCCTGCGCCCTTAGAGGGGCAGCTGGGCACAGTATGTTTTATTATATAATTAACCTTGACCCTTCTGGGTTCAAAGAGAGAGATTAGTTGGAAATAAATCAATAGTCTGGTCTGGTCACTTCAAAGGCCACAGAACACGCTGGAAAATTCCACACTGGCTCAGTGTGTAAATTGAAATAGGCTATGCAATGCTTCTTTAAAGGTGGGAGGGGGCTTTCGGTCTAAAATTGAAATTAATTGTGTATCCGCTTCCTTTAATCAGGCAATCAGGAGTCTTTATTGTGTATCTTGTGGGGGTTGCGGGGAGGCCTGGAGACAGCATTGTGACCTCCGAGTGACCGCTGGGCCAGGCTCCAGGACAACAGGCATCTCTTCAAGCCTAGGGAGCTCCTCCCTCTGGTAGCAGTGTGCAGTCATTTACTGGACATCTGGAATTCTCAGAATCACCCAACCATCACCATCGCAATACACGGCATTTATTGAGTGCTTACTTTACACCAGGCGCCAAGGATTTTCCAGTTATTTTTCTCATTTGATCCTCATAACAACCCAATTAGATAAGTACCATTATTATCTCTATTACCGATGAGGAAATTGAGCTTCAGTGTGGCTGAAGATACAGAGCCACTCTGAGGTTTTCTCTGTTTTTTGTTTTTTGTTTTTTTCTTTTTGAGACAGAGTCTCACTCTGTTGTCCAGGCTGGAGTGCAGTGGTGCCATCTTGGCTCACTGCAACCTCTGCTTCCTGGGTTCAAGTGATTCTCTTGCCTCAGTCTCCTGAGTAGCTGAGATCATAGGTGCCTGCCACCACGTCCAGCTAATTTTTGTATTTTTAGTAGAGACGGGGTTTCACCATGTTATGCAGGCTGGTCTCAAACTCCTGACCTCAAATGATCCACCCGCCTCGGTCTCCCAAAGTGCTGGGATTACAGGTGTGAGCCACCGTGCCCGGCCAACTCTGAGGTTTTCAAAGTCCATTTCAATACCGTGGCTCAAGGAAGAGCTGCACATTTCCAGAGGTCCCATCTTCATGTTCTTTTCCCTGAAGTTGTGAGAAGGTAAATGGAGCCAGGCTGGTGTCTCTTCAAGTCTCCCTTAGCTTTATTCACCTTTCATCTATTTCTGTCCTTTCCCTTCATCTTCTCTTTCTCCTTCCTTCTTTCACTCTTCCTCCTTTTTTTTTTTTTTTTTTTTAAAGACGGTTTCTTGCTCTGTGGCCAGGCTGGAGTGCAATGGTGCGATCTCAGCTTGCCACAACCTCCGCTTCCTGGTTTCAAGCAATTCTCCTGCCTCAGTCTCCCAAGTAGCTGGGACTACAGGCGCACGCCACCATGCCCAGCTAATTTTTGTATTTTTAGTAGAGAAGGGTTTCACCATATTGGCCAGGATGGTCTCGATCTCTTGACCTTGTGATCTGCCCGCCTCGGCCTCCCAAAGTGCTGGGATTACAGGTGTGAGCCACTGTGCCCGGCCTCCGTCTTCCTCTTTCCTGTCCTGATTTCGTGCTTTCTTTCCACAAATATTTGAGAATTTAGTGCTACTCCATGGCGGCACTTGTGGTTCATAAAGACATAAGAACACCACACCTGTCCTTAGAAAATGTAATCCAAGGCAGGGCTCAGAGGCTCACACCTGTAATCCCAGCACTTTGGGAGGCTGAGGCAGGAGGATCACTTGAGCTCAGGAGTTCCAGACCAGCCTGGGCAACATGGTGAAACCCTGTCTCTACAAAAAAATATAAAAATTACGGCGTGGTGGTGCACGTTAGTAATCTAGGCGACTTGGGAGACTGAGGCGGGAGGATTGTTTGAGCCCAGGAGGTTGAGGCTGTAGTGAACTGTGAACATACCACGGCACTCCAGCCTGGACAATAGAGTGAGACCCTGTCTCAAAAATAATAAGAAGAAAACGTAATCTTAGATTCTCAGAGCAGAGTGACAGTCATACATACTGGGCATAATGAGCTGCAGAAGGAAGTAGCTCTGTATGAGAGAAGTCCCACTGGAGTTGCCCAGGCTGGTTTCAAGCCATGCACCTGCCTCAGCCTCCCAAACCAAAGTGCTGGGATTACAGGTGTGAGCCAGTGCACCGGGCCAAGGATTACTTTTTTTTGAGATGGAGTCTCACTTTGTTGTCCAGCTGGAGTGCAGTGATGCGATCTCAGCTCACTGCAACCTCTGCCTCCTGGGTTCAAGCGATTTTCCTGCCTCAGCCTCCCGAGTAGCTGGGACTACAGGCGCGTGCCACCACTCCCAGCTAATTTTTGTATTTTTAGTAGAGATGGGGTTTCACCATGTTGGCCAGGATGGTCTCAATCTCTTGACCTTGTGATTCGCCCGCCTTGGACTCCCAAAGTGCTGGGATTACAGGCGTGAGCCACTGAGCCCAGCCGAGGATTACGTTTTCTTTTTCTCTTTTTTTTTTTGAGACCGAGTCTCGCTCTGTCGCCCAGGCTGGAGTGCAGTGCTGCGATTTCGGCTCACTGCAAGCTCTGCCTCCCAGGTTCATGCCATTCTGCTGCCTTAGCTTCCGGAGTAGCTGGGACTACAGGCGCCTGCCACCACGCCCGGCTAATTTTTTGTAATTTTTTTAGTAGAGACGGGGTTTCACTGTGTTAGCCAGGATGGTCTCGATCTCCTGACCTTGTGATCCACCTGCCTCGGCCTCCCAAAGTGCTGGGATTACAGGCGTGAGCCACTGCGCCCGGCCTCTTTTTTTTTTTTTTCGAGATGGAATTTCGCTCTTGTGCCCCAGGCTGGAGTGCAATGGAGCGATCTCGGATCACCGCAACCTCTGCCTCCCGGGTTCAAGTGATTCTCCTGCCTCAGTCTCCCAAGTAGCTGGGACTACAGGCATGCGCCACCACGCCCAACTAATTTTGTATTTTTAGTAGAGATGGGGGTTTCTCCATCTTGGTCAGGCTGGTCTTGAACTCCCGACCTCAGGTGATCCATGTGCCTGGGCCTCCTAAAGTGCTGGGATTACAGGTGTGAGCCACCGTGCCTGGCAAGGATTACGTTTTCTAAGGACAGGTGTGGTGTCTTTACCTCTTTATGACCCATCAGTGCCGCCGTGGAGTAGCACTAAGAGCCTGAAGTGGCTCTAGCTGGAGAGGAACAAGGAAGACATCAGGAGGAGCTGTGTTTGTCAGGATCTGGAGAGAAGGGGTAGTGGGAAGGAGTGGTTCCAGGCTGAAGTAACAGCCTGCAGAAAGGCCGGGAGGCAGCGCAGTGCATGGCGTATCTGGGAGAAGCCAGGAGCCGAGCTTGGAGGGTTGGACCTGATGATAGGAGCAAAAAATTACAGTCTGCTCTAATTAATAATAACAACAACAGCAAGCACAGGACTAAGTGCTTCATGCATCCTGACTCTCCTACTACTCACAACCTATGAGGTAGGTGCTCTCCTTATCCATAGTTTACAGAGGAGGAAACAGTGGCACCAGAGGACGCCCACTTGGTCACACAACTGAACCGTGGGGAGCAGGGATTGCAGTCCTGAGCCCACACTCTTTTTTGAGACAGAGTCTGGCTCTGTTGCCCAGGCTGGAGTGCAGAGGCGCAATCTTGGCTCACTGTGACCTCTCCCTCCTGGGTTCACGCCATTCTCCTGCCTCAGCCTCCCGAGTAGCTGGGACTACAGGTGCCTGCCACCACTCCTGGCTAATTTTTTGTATTTTTAGTAGAGATGGGGTTTCACCATGTTAGCCAGGATGGTTTCAATCTCCTGACCTCCTGATCCACCCAACTCGGCCTCCCAAAGTGCTGGGATTACAGGCGTGAGCCACCACGCCTGGCCGAGCCCATGCTTTTAACCACTGGGCTAGGCTGCCTCTTGTGAGGGGACCTTGATTGCCAGGCCAAAGGCACTGGACTCCTCTGGGAGCAGTGTGGAGCTGTGGTAGGTTACAGACCCAGCCTGCATTTTAGGATGTGCCCAACCTCCTCAACCGTCCCACTCAGGGAGGCAGGGGGGCCGACATTCCTGGGTCTCTTCTCACTCTTCAAAAAGAAAATCTCCCTTTTAGTTAATTTAGACCGCCACCCCTCCCGCCCCACCGCCCCCGACTGGGCTCCCCTGTCGTCTTTTCCTCCATACATAGATGTAAGTTAACAGCATGGGCTTCGAACAAGGAGTCTGAGGTTCAAGCCCCAGCTCCACCACCTCCCTTCTCGGAGCCTTGGTTTCCTCATCTCAGATGGGAGGATGACAGCAAGCCCAGCTCTACCCGCTGCACGGCTGTGAGAGACGCACATGAGGTGATACGGAGGTGTCTACAAAACACCCTAAGAAGCCGGGCGTGGTGGCTCACGCCTGTAATCCCAGAACATTGGGAGGCCGAGGTGGGGGTGGATCACCTGAGGTCAGGAGTTCGAGACCAGCCTGACCAATAAGGTGAAACTCTGTCTCTACTAAAAATACAAAAATTAGCTGGGCATGGTGGCATGCGCCTGTAGTCCCAGCTACCTGGGAGGCTGAGACAGGAGAATTGCTTGAACCCGGGAGGCAGAGGGTGCAGTGAGCCAAGATTGCACCATTGCACTCCAGCCTGGGCGACGGAGCAAGACTCCGTCTAAAAACAAACAAACAAACAAACAAATGCCATAAGATGTAATAACTAGCTGGGTGCCATAGCTCGTGCCTGTAATCCCAGCACTTTGGGAGGCCGAGGCAGCTGGATCACTTGAGCTCAGGGGTTGGAGACCAGCCTGGGCAACATGGTGAAACCCTGTCTCTACTAAAAGTACAAAAAAATATGGCCGGGCGTGGTGGTTCACGCCTGTAATCCCAGAACTTTGGGAGGCAGAGGCAGGCAGATCACTCGAGGCCAGTAGTTTGAGACCAGTCTGGCCAACACGGGGAAATCCCGTCTCTTCCAGAAAATACCAAAATTAGCCAGGTGTGGTGGTGGTGCACACCTGTAGTCTCAGCTACTCAGCAGGCTGAGGCAGAAGAATTACGTGAACCTGGGAGGTGGAGGTTGCAGTGAGCCGAGATTATACCACTGCACTCCAGCCTGGGTGACAGAGTGAGACCCCGTCTTAAAAAAAAAAAAAAAAATAGGACAGGCGTGGTGGCTTATGCCTGTAATCGCAGCACTTTGGGAGGCTGAGGTGGGTGGATCACCTGAGGTCAGGAGTTCGAGACCAGCCTGGCCAACATGGTGAACCCTCATCTCTACTAAAAATACAAAATTAGCCGGGTGTCTTGGCACATGCCTGTTGTTCTAGCTACTTGGGAGGCTGATACAGGAGAATCACTTGAACCCGGAAGGCAGAGGATGCAGTGAGCCGAGATCGCGCCTCTGCACTCCAGCCTGGGTGAGACAGAGCAAGACTCCATCTCATAAATAAATAAATAAATAAAAATACGATACAGGCCGGGTGCAGTGGCTCAGGCCTGTAATCCTAGCACTTTGGGAGGTCGAGGTGGGCAGATCACCTAAGGTCAGGTGTTTGAGACCAGTCTGGCCAACATGGTGAAACCCGTCTCTACTAAAAAAATACAAAAATTAGCCGAGTGTGGTGGTGGGCACCTGTAATCCCAGCTACTCGGGAGGATGAGACAGGAGTATTGCTTGAACCCACAAGGCAGAGGTTGCAGTGAGCTGAGATTGCACCACTGTACTCCAGCCTGGGTGACACAGTGAGACTCCGTCTCAAAACAAACAAAACAAAACAAAAAAACAGTACAATACAATAAAAAAAAATAGGCCGGTTGCAGTGGCTCACGTCTGTAATCCCAGCACTCTGAGACGTGGGCGAATCACTTGAGGTCAGGAGTTTGAAACCAGCCTGGCCAACATGGCGAAACCCTGTCTCTACTAAAAATACAAACATTAGCCAGGCGTGGTGGTGGGCACCTGTAATTCCAGCTACTTGGGAGGCTGAGGTAGGAGAATTGCTTGAGCCAGGGAGGCAGAGGTTTCAGTGAGCCAAGATCACGCCACTGCACTCCAGCCTGCATGACAGGATGCTACTTCTGTAATAACAGAAGTAGCATCATTATCATTGGGAGGACTCCATAGGGGCTCCTTCCCTTCCCCGAGGAAACTCTAGGCTATCTGACCCTCTCGATGACTTTCTGTCCACCTGGAAACCATGTAAGGCTTTCCTCAGACACATCGACCCCACAAAAAGCATATGCTCTAGAAATTTAGTGGTCATTCATATATTTATTGACCATCTGTTAGGTGGCAGGCCCCATGCAGCAAATGGAAGACTTGAGCCTGCTCAGTGAGTTCCCCATGCACTTGCACACCTCCCAAGCTTTGCTTATGCTGTGCCTGCAGCCTTGGATGCCCTTTCCCCTGTTTCCACTCCTTTTCAAAGCCTTCCTTAATCCAGCACTTCAGGATAATTTCCTTCCGTTTCTACAATGTGCTGCTGGTACTCACCCACATAAGTATTTGAATAGATAGCAGTTACTTGTATTCAAGCCTATAGATTGTCAGCTCACTGAGGGTCTGTCTCTCTCCTATGGGGCCCAGAGCATCTTAATTGCTGGGCTCAATTAGTCACCAGTAGGGATCAGGCCTCTGTTCCCGTGGCTGTAATCCTTGTTAATTCCACTGGGTGGCAGCAAAGTCCGCCAGTCACAGCCCTCCCAGGAGCGCAGCTTCCAGGCTGCCATGCTTGGAACCAGAGGCTCCCTGGGCTCCAGGGAGGCCAGGCCAGCTGCAGGAGGCCCTTCAAGCTCACTCTTCTATCTTTCTTCTTCTTTCTTCCTTTCTTCCTTCCTTCTTTCTTTTTCCTCTTCTTCTTCTTCTTCTTCCTCCTCCTCCTCCTCCTCCTTCTCTTCCTCCTCCTCCTTCTTTTTTTTTGAGACAGAGTTTTGCACTTGTCGCCCAGGGTGGAGTGCAGTGGCGCAATCTTGACTCACTGCAACTTCTGCCTCCTGGGTTCAAGCAATTCTCCTGCCTCAGCCTCCCAAGTAGCTGAGATTATAGGCTCCTGCCACTGCGCCCGGCTAATTTTTGTATTTTTAGTAGAGACGGGGTTTCACCATGTTCACCAGGCTGGTCTCAAACTCCTGACCTTGTGATCCACCCGCCTCAGCCTCCCAAAGTGCTGGGATTACAGGTGTGAGCCACCGCGCCTGGCTGCTTGCTTTCTTCTTTATCCTGCTCCCCTCTCCCCGGCATTCCTCTCCCCCCTCCCCCAACTTAGGGTTGCTTTGCCTTGCCTGCTCCAGTTTCTCTGCCTATTACAGTGGGATCATTTGAACACTTAAACTGTGCGCTTCACTTACATGAACTCAGTGAATCCTCTCAACCTCTTTTTTTTTTAATAACAGCTCTATCAAGGTATAATTCATGTTCCATGCAATTCGCCATTTAGGTGAACAATTCAATGGTTTTTAGTATATTCAGGACTGTGCAACTATCATTACAATTTTAGGATATTTTCATCACCCCAAAAAGAAACCCTGTATCCATTAGCTGTCATTCCCCATTTTCTCCCAACCCCTAGCCCCCATCAATCTGCTTTTGGTCCCTATAGACTTGCCAGTTCTGGACATATCCTATAAATGGAATTGTACAATATGTGGGACTTTGAGACTGGCTTCTTTCACTTAGTACCTGTGTAATGTTTTCCAGGTTCATCGATGTTGCAGCACGTACTCGTTTCATTTCAGTATTTTTTTAATCTGCTAAATAATATCTCATTGTGTGGATTGACCACACTTAGTTTCTGCATTCATCAGCTGATGGACAGTTGTTTCTGCCTTTTATCTACCGTGGCTAATGCTGCTGTGAACATCAATGTACAAATTTTTGTGCAAGCATATGTTTTCTTTTTTCTTTTTCTTTTTTTTTTTTTTTTTTGAGATGGAGTCACTCTATCACCCAGGCTGGACTGCAGTGGTGTGATCTTGGCTCACTGCAACCTCCGCCTCCCGGGTTCAAGCAATTCTCCTGCCTCAGCCTCCTGAGTAGCTGGGACTACAGGCACATACCACCACACCCGACTAATTTTTGTATTTTTAGTAGAGACGGGGTTTCACCATGTTGGCCAGGCTGGTCTTGAACTCCTGACCTCAAGTGATCTGCCCACCTCGGCCTCCCAAAGTGCTGGGATTACAGGCGTGAGCCACCATGCCCGGGCAAGCATATGTTTTCATTTCTCCTGAGTATACAGCTAGGAATGAAACTGCTGGGTCATACAGTAGCTACATATTTCGACTTTGTTGTTGTTGTTGTTGTTTTGTTGTTGTTTTAAGGTTTGTTTGTTGTTTTTTTGTTTTGTTCTGAGACAGGATCTCCCTCTGTCACCCAGGCTGGAGAGCAGTGGTGCCATCATAGCTCACTATAACCTCAAACTCCTGGGCTTAAGTAATCCTCTAGCTTCAGCCTCCTGAGTAGCTGGGACTACAAGCATGAGCCACCACACCCAGTCTGAGTTAGTTTTTTTTGTATGGTGTAAAGGGTCCAGATTCATTTCTTTGCATGTGAATATCCAGTTGTCCTAGCACCATTTTTTGAAAAGACTATTCTTTCTCTACTGAATTGTCTTGGCACCCTTGTCAAAAACCAATTGACTATAAATGTGAGAGTTTATTTCTGGATTGTTGGTGCTATTTTATTGAGATATATGTTTGCCCAGATGCCAGGAATACACTTTTTAATTATTGTAGCTTTGTAGTAAACCAAGAAAGTATGAGTCCTCCAACTTTGTTCTTTGTTTTCAAGATTGTTTTAGCTATTTGGGATCCCTTGCATTTCCGTATAAATTTTCGAATCAGCTCATCAATTTCTGCAAAGAACCCAGCTGGGTCGACAACCCTTTGAGGTAGGGGCATATTATCTCTATTTTACAGACAAGGAAACAGAGGTGTAAAGAAGTTAAATCGTTTGCTCACGGTTACACAACTAGGAAATAGCAGAGCCAGGGGTTCAAACCACATCAGTTGGACTCTAGTGTCCACAGCCTGGGCCATGGCCACCACCTTCTTAGCTCCAGAGGGTGCCATGCTTCTCACTAGAAGACAGGGAACAGTGACAGCTCGTTGCTCTCAATAGCAGGGCACTGGCTCTGAGCTCTGTACTAGCTCCCAGGTGGCAAAGGGCTGAAGGCATAGCCACCAGCTGAGTTGGAGAAGGTCCCCCATATAAGGTGACACCCCAGCTAGGCATGGAAGGAGACACCTCACTGTTCTCTGATCCTGCTGGGGCTCTGGTTCTCCTCACCCCAGCCTCAGCCCAATAACTGGGGACTTGCTGGCCACGGGAGAGATGACCTCAAGCTTCCAGGCACAAAACTCTCCAATTCTTGACCCAAGACACTACTATAGCAGCCGGGATTGAACCAAAGTATGCTTTCTTGGTAGCTTTGTGACAGTGTCCCCAGTACTCCCAGTTAGACACTCTGATTCCTTCAGTGGTTATGAAGAAAGTGCTGGCAGCACAAGTCCACATAATGGGGAGCCAGCTTTTGAGGCAATGAGACAAAATGCAGCATAGGGCATCCTGGGCCTCGGGGAAGGAAGCCCCTCCAGAGAGCGAGAGAGACATCTGCAGGAAGAGGCACCATGACGAGGAGAAGCTGTGGGGAGCAGAGCCTGGTCAGAGGGTGGCTATTCTGGAGTAATAGCCAGGGCCAACCCTGCCTTGTGGTGGTGGCACGTGGTGCACGGTGACCAAGGGGCCATCCACGTTTGTGGGAACTCAGTGTCCATCCCTCTTGAGTCCAAGGAGCCCTTCCCTTCTCTGCCAGCCAGGCTCCTCCTCGGCCTCCTCTCAGCCCCTTCTTCTCCCTGCTCCCTCTCCGTTCCAAGGTAGCTCCAGGGGGGCTCAGGGGAGCAACAAAGCCCTCAGATCAGTCCCCAAGTCCCCTCGTACCTTTTTTTTTAAGACAGGTTCTCCCTCTGTCACCCAAACTGGAGTGCAATGGCACGATCTTGGCTCACTATAGCCTCAACCTCCCAGGCTCAAGCGATCCTCACACCTCAGCCTCCTGAGTAGCTGGGATTACAGGCATGTGTCACCATGCCTGGCTAATTTTTAAATTTTGTGTGGAGACGATTTTGCCATGTCGTCCAGCTGGTCTCGAATTCCTGGCCTCAAGCTGTCTTCCTGCCTTGGCCTCCCAAAGTGCTGGGATTACACAGTGAGCCACTGTGCCCAGCCCTCTAATACCTCTTTGAGAGAGGACCATGGGTTTAGCTGTTCCCCTCCCTGACTCAAGCCTTAACCCAGAATTTAAGGCAGGCCCCCAGCCTTAGCTGCCCCCACTCACTCATTCCCTGTGTCCAGCCCCAGTGTCCCCATAGGAGTTCGGGGCACCCTCTGTCTCCTGCCGTCCCCAGCTGTGTCCCCACCAGCCTCATGCACAGTCCCAGGGCCATGGGGTAAAGCTTTCCTCCCCTCCCTGCCTCCTGGCTCATATTTGTTCCCCACCTGTCCCTCCGGAGTGGCCCTGTGGTCATTTTATTTATTTATTTATCTATTTATTTGAGATGGAGTCTCACTCTATAGTCCAAGCTGGAGTGCAGTGGCATGATCTCGGCTCACTGCTACTTTCACCTCCTGGGCTCAAGTAATTCTCCCCGGCGGGTGAGCCACTGCACCCGGCCCCTGTGGTCATTTTAAAACAGTCCATACATTCTTTGACTCTCCATTGAAAAGAAGACTTTAATTCCCCTTGAATTCCCTGAATGTGGCTTGCCTTAGCGACTTGTTCTAAAGAGCTGACTATAGCAGAAGTGATGCTGTGTCACTTGGGCCGGCGTAGAAATGATGTTGCAGTTTCCACCTGGCTCTCTCTCTCAGGACGCTTGTCTTTGGAACCCAGCCACTATGCTGTGAGGAAGCCCAGGCCACACGGAGAGGCCATGTGGAGGTGCTGGGCTCACAGCCAGCATCAGCCACCAGACGCGGGAGGGAGGGAGCCTTCAGGGGATCCCAGCCCCCAGGCTTCAAGCTGCCCACGCTGATGCAGAGTGGAGCAGAGACAGCTGCCCCTGAGCCCTGCCCAGACTGCATATTTGTAAGCCAAATAAATGTGATGTGAAACCACCAAGGTTTGACGGCACTCCAGCCTGGGCAACACAGTGAGACCCTGTCTCTTAAAAAAAAAAAAAAAAAAAAAAAAAAAAGGCCGGGCATGGTGGCTCATACCTGTAATCCCAGCACCTTGGGAGGCCGAGGCAGGTGGATCACGAGGTCAGGAGATCGAGACCATCCTGGCTAAAACAGTGAGACCCCGTCTCTACTAAAAATACAAAAAATTATCTGGGCATGGTGGTGCTTATAATCCCAGCTACTCAGAAGGCTGAGGCAGGAGAATCGCTTGAACCTGGGAGGGGGAGGTTGCAGTGAGTGGAGATCACGCCACTGCACTCCAACCTGGGTGACAGGGTGAGACTTGGTCTCAAAAAAAAAAAAAAAAAATTGCCAGGCGTGATGTCTTACGCCTGTAATCCCAGCATTTTGGAAGGCCGAGGCAGGCAGATTATCTGAGCTCAGAAGTTCCAGACCAGCCTGGGCAACATGGCAAAAGCGCATCTCTACTAAAAATACAAAAAATTAGCCTGGTGTGGTGGTGTGGGCCTGTAATCCCAGTTACTCGGGAGGCTGAGGCACAAGAATTGCTTGAACCCGGGAGGCAGAGGTTGCAATGAGCAGAAATCATGCCATTGCACTACAGCCTGGGTGACAGAGAAAGACTCCGTCTCAAAGAAAAAAAAAAGGTTTAGGGTTGTTTGTTACAGAGCCTTAGATGATTGGAACAGGTTGCAGCCTTGGTTGTGGCAGATTTCTGCCCAAAGATAGTTTGTGGGGGACAGTGAGGTTTGACGGGGTTCTTCAGCCTGAGGCCTCTGGGCTATTTGAGATCTCAGGACCTGGATTCCAGTCAGGCCACTCAGCTTTGACACCTATTTCTGCTAACCTTCCTCACTGGAACCCTGCTCTGTCATCTACCCAAGCCTGGCTGAGACTTGTGATGGTTAGGGCAGGCCCTGCCTACATTTGTTTGTGTTTTGTATACAATTTGCATATATCTGCATGATCATATTTTGGTGGATTTTTATTTTTTTTTTTGACAGAGTCTTGCTCTGTTGCCCAGGCTGAAGTGAAGTGTCGTGATCTCGGCTCACTGCAACCTCCACCTCCCAGGTTTAAGCAACTCTCCCACCTCAGCCTCCCGAGTAGCTGGGATTACAGGCAGGCACCACCATGCCTGGGTAATTTTTGTATTTTTTAATAGAGATGGGGTTTCCCCATGTTGGCCAGGCTGGTCTTGAACTCCTGACCTCAGGTGATCACCCGCCTCGGCCTCCCAAAATGCTGGGATTATACGCGTGAGCCACTGCACCCAGCCTTATTTTCGTGGGGTTTTTTGTTGTTGTTGTTTTGTTTTTTTTTGAGACAGAGTCTCGTTCTGTCACCCAGGCTGGAGTGCAGTGGCATGATCTCAGCTCACTGCAGCCTCTGCCTCCCCGATTCAAGCAGTTCTACTGCCTCAGCCTCCCGAGTAGCTGGGATTGCAGGCATGCACTACCACGCCTGGCTAATTTTTGTAGTTTTAGTAGAGACGGGGGTTTCTCCATGTTGGCCAGGCTGGTCTCGAATTCCTGACCTCAGGTGATCTGCCCACCTTGACCTCCCAAGGTGCTGGAATTATAGGCGTGAGCCACTGCGCCTGGCCCATTTTGTGGTTTCTAAACATTTCCAGACACCTCCCATCTGGGACTCTTAGAAGGGACAGGGGCACTGGATGTTACTTGTCTACTCCCCCAACCCCACAGGGTTGACTTGAACAATCACCTCCCCAGGCTGCCCTTGGATGGCTGAAGTTGTTAAAACATCTATGTGTGCAAAGTGCCGTGTAAAGAAAGAGTTTTATATCTATATTTGAGATAGTTCTTTCCTGGGATAATCAGGGAAAGTCAGCAACCTCCCTGGAGATTCAGGATAGGCGCCCTATAGGCCTCAGCGCTCTCTTGCCTGGTTCAGCATCCCTAGCACCGTCACTGGTCCTGACCTGACCTCGGGCCCAGCTATCCACAGGCCTCTTCTGGAAGTGCCTGGCCAGGTACCTTCAGATGTTCTTTTAGGATCACAATCCTGCTTTCAAGTGAAATTTCATCAAGAATCCAACATGGGCTCGGCACAGTGGCTCACGCCTGTAATCCCAGCACTTTGGGAGGCTGAGGGAGGTGGATCACCTGAGGTCAGGAGTTTGAGACCAGCCTGGCCAACAAGGCAAAACCCTGTCTCTACCAAAACTACAAAACATTAGCCAGGTATGGTGGTTGGTGCCTATAATCCCAGCTACTCGGGAGGCTGAGGCAGGAGAATTGCTTGAACTTGGGAGGCGGAGGTTGCAGTTAGCCGAGATCGCACTACTGCACTCCAGGCTGGGCGACAAAGTGAGACTCTGTCTCAAATTAAAAAAAAAAAAAAAAAAAAAAAAAGCCAACATGTAATAAGACAGAAAAAATATGGGAAAAAATATTGAGCTGGTCTGGGTGAGGGTGGGTAGGGAGAGTGAGGAGGCCCTCCAGAGAGCTCCCCCTCACCCCAGCCATAGCCAGGGAGCCCAATTTACCCACTGCTCTCCTGGTACGTTCCTCTCGAAAGGTGCCCCTGGGTTTAGAACCTGGCTTTCCAGGTCTGCTGAGCCTCCTGGGTGTGAACCCAGGCTTTCAAATTCAGCAGTAGCTGCATTATACTGCTGCCTCTTACTAAGCTTGAGGCCAGCTGAGACCTTCGGATCTTTGTCAGCATAACTGCCATTAAGCCCAGCCTCTCTCGAACCTAAGCCATAGCAGCTCCAGGCAACTGGCTTCAGGAGCCTGGACTGAGAGACAATGGCAGAACAGAGAGGCCTGGCCGGAGTCCTGGCTGAGTGCCCTGGAGGGAATCACTCAGTCACAGCCTGTTTCCTCAGCTTCAGAACCGGGAGGAAACCAGTCCTTCCTCATAGACAGTGCGTGAAAAGCACACAGCCCTGCCTGGCCAGCACCTGGAGAGCGCTTAACCTTGGCGGGCTGAGCGAGCAGCCGCCTCGCTGCTGGCCGAGGAGGGGTGGGGCGGTGGTCAGAATGCAGAGCCTGGAACCTGGCAGCCTGGCCTGGATACAGACTCGGATCCTGTGTGAGGATCAGACTGACCAACTGCCTGTGTGGGATTGTGGACATTTCCTTCACCTCTTTTTTCTTGGTTTCATCAACTATAAAATGGAGATGACCAGCCAGGCACGGTGGCTCATGCCTGTAATCTCACCGCTTTGGGAGGCTGAGATGAGCAGATTGCTTGAGATCGGAAGTTAGAGACCAGCCTGGCTAACATAGCGAAACCTTGTCTCTACCAAAAATACAAAAATTAGCTGGGTGTGGTGGCGCACTCCTGTAATCCCAGCTACTCAGGAGGCTGAGGCAGGAGAATTACTTGAACCCAGGAGGCAGAGGTTGTGGTTGAGCTGAGATTGTGCCATTGCACTCCAGCCTTGGCAACAGAGTAAAAAACTGTCTCAAAAAAATAAATAAAATGGAGATGACGGTCACTAGCATATCTTAGTCACAGGGAGGGGTGAGGACTCAGGAACTGCACCTCATGTGGCAGAGAGCTGTAGTGTATAGGGTCTGCTGTTACTATCCCAGGTTCTGGGCCTGTGAGGGCCCTGGCCCACCCAGCACCGCAGCCCCTCCCCCAGGACCTGACACAACCACCCAAAAACTCCAGGTTCACTTTGGCAACAGGACTTTTATTCAGTCAAAATGAGCAGAGTGTGACAAAACCCAAGTAAGGCCAGGTGGCCCCCCAGCCCCCTCCTGCCCCAGCCGCACCCTTCCCAAGGGAGAGGGAGGCTCCCGAGAGAAGCTGCTTTGGGAACAGAGGGGGCACTGCCTTGGAGCTTTGTGGAGCCCTGGGCATCCACACATCATTTGGGAGAAGGGAAGGGACTACCCTTCCCCAAGTCCACGCGGACACAGCTCTAGTTTTCTAGGAAAACACCACAAATTCTATCTTCTTCAGCTAATTAACTAAAGTTCAGGGTGGAGGTGTCCCTAGAGGATTGGGGGTCAGGGATATTTATGGTCTCATTCTTAAGGAATACACTTATCTTTTTTCTTTAAAAAAAGTTTTTCTTCTGCTATTTAAAAAAATGTTTCTGAGTATAACCAAAAATAGGTATTTGTTTCCTTGGTTTTCTTTTCTTCTTCTTTAACTAAGTAGTTCAAAGAACAACACAACAGAAAAGAGTAACAAAAAGTCACAAGAACATAACCCTTAACACACCTTGTATAAAAATAGCTTCCGGCCATGGCTGCTGACAGTGGATGCTCCCCTGTCGAGGGGTGGATCAGGCTGGCTGGGTGCCTGAGGCTGGGGCGCCTCTGCAGGGGACACCCACACCCCCTCACCCTCCCACACACCCATCCCACACATGGTACATTCCAGGGGCCGGGCCTGCAGGACAGGAGGCAGGCGGCCAGCTGATGCCACCCTCCCAAGCCCAGGTTCCTCATGGGCATCCCCATCAAGGATGGGCTGGCTCAAAATGGGAGTGGACAGACAAGACGGGGACAGGCGGTGTGCTGGGAGGTGGCTCGTTTGGACAATTTATACTTCAAGGAACAAATTTCCTCTCATTTTTGGCTGCTTTCACATTTTTTCTCTGCCCAATCCATTTCTATTTCTGTAGGCCACAAGAGTTCCCCTTGGTGGCCCAACCTCTGGCCTCTCCTCTGCAGGAGAGGTAGGTGGGCTGTGGGCAGGAGGGGCGGGGAGGCAGGTCCAGTGACAACACAGCCCACAGAGCCAGCGAGCCTTGAGGTAGACATTTTCTTTCACATCTGGAAATGGGGAAGTGCTTTTTTTTTTCTTTCACACCTGGAAACGGGGAAGTGCTTTTTTTTTTTTTTTTTTTTTTACTCTGGACAACAGTGTGGGAAGGGAGAGGGGGTCCCCAGCAAGGGGACTTGAGGTAGGAGTGCATTCGGGCTCTGTGGGGTAAGGGGGCTGAGGCCACCGCCCCACTGCCCCCCAGGACATTCATTCCGGCTGAGGTAGGTGCTGAGAGCCAAAACAGCAAAAATCCATCCTGAGAAAACAAAGTCGGTGGAGGGTGACAGTGTCAGGGCCCAGCTACAGCAGGGTCATCTTTTGGAGTCTAATTCACCTTCCTCTATCTCTCTCCTCTTTTTTTTTTTTTTTAAGTTTTGCTTTTTAAAGAAAAATGTTAGTTCAGTTCCAAGTCATGTGGGTACCAGGCAGAGGCAAGGGGGCGTCAGCCCAGGGAAGGAACAGGCTCCTGCAGGAACTGCTCCAACTCCTGATGGGTGTTAGGGCCGGGGGGTCCCTGTCAAGGCTGCCTTGGGTTTTGACAACCCAAGAGGCAGTCAGGATAGAAATGCTGGGGAGCCCCCAGGACCATCCAAATCCCACATGACAGTAGAAATCTTGCTTTTGACCTGAGAATGGGCCCCGCTCCGTCCACCCTCTGGAGCCTGCCAGACACTGGCTACTGTTCCGAGTGAGCTGGCTGGGTAACCCGGGCCGCTGCAGGCCTGGAAGCCTGGCCTTCACTGAGGAGGCCAGGGCCTCCATCTGGGGGTGGTGGGGCAGCCGCCAGGCCGGCGCAGGGAGCCGTGGCCTCTGTGGTCTTCGCCTCCGTCGTCTTCCCCTCCATCAGGCCGCACCCCTGAAGTGGCAGCACGGAGAGCTGGGTCTCCTCACACGGAGCGGGGGCTGCAGGATCCTGCTGGGGAAAGAGCCCGTCACACAGGCGTCAGCTTGAGGGCCAGGGCGCCAGGCTCCAACTCACCCCACTTGGGCCTTAGGGTCTCCAGGTCTCCCTGCCTGACTCAGGGACACAAAGAGAAGACCTGCAGTTTGACTAAGGCCAATGATCGAGGCCCGTGGCCAAGGTGAAGGGGGGCAGGATTGGAAGGTGGCAGTGTCAGAGCCTGAGGCGGGGGTTTGTTTAAGACATGGGCACTCACTGTGGGTCTGGGGTCCGGCTGCCCTGCTGCGCTGGCCGGGGGGAACAGCTGCTCCAGCTCCTTCATATCCACACGTTTCTCGTCTCGGCCCAGCTGGCCCCGCTGTCCCCGTCTCGCCCCATTTAGGGCTAGAATGCCAGGGTCCCTCTGGCTCCGGGGACCCTGTGGAGGGGACAGCTGGTTTTCCACATCTTTACACAGGAGGACCCTAAGGGTTAGCCAAGAGTTGGGGGGAGGGAGAGAGAAAAGAGACAGAGGCAGTGAGCCCACACTCACCTTCTCTAGGCCTAGTCCCCCACACACCAGCCCAGCCCCTCTCCCTGGCCCAGGACCCACCTGCCCCTTTGGCCGAACAGGAGGAAGAGGACACAGAAGATGATGCAAGTGACCCCGATGTGGATGCCGATGACGATGCCTGTGGTGGACGTCTGGTTGGCGGCCTCCTCCTTCCGGCAGTCACATGGTGGGCTCAAGGCTGGGGACAGGGACGGGTTGGAGGCTTTGGCTCTCCAGGTCTGAAGCACTCCCAAACACCCAGCCTCTGGGGACTCCTCTTCCTTCAGCTGCTCCCACTCCCAAGTGGGAGTGGGAACATCCTTTGACTTTGCCTACAGGACTCCAGACCAATCTTTTTGGTTCTTTTTACCAGATACTAGGAATAGCATGGACCATTTCATCCTTGCCACAGCTTTGTAAAGTAGGTACTATTATCCCTGTATTATAGAGAAAACTGGGATCAGAGAGGTTAAGTAACTTGACCAAGGTCACACAGCCAGCATGTGCATGGCCAAGCTTCAAACTGTGGTCTAAGCCTGTGTTTTCAAGCGTGGCACATGCTATCTCACCCCATTACTTTCCCGGCTTCCCACCCACTCAGCCCCGCACTCCATCCCCAGCCCTCACCTGTCCTCTCAGATGCTCCCCTCAAAGACACAAAGCGGACTGTGGCATTGCCATCTCCATGCTGGTTGTAGGCGAGCAGCTTCACCTCATACACTGCAGTGGGGTCTGGAGGAAGGCAGGGCGGATGAGCAACTGCCCCTGCCCAACCACGTGCCCTGTCCTAGCCAGGAAAGGGAGGTGACCCCTGTACGCCACCTCCTGGCCCTCAGCGCCGCACTCTGCCAAGCCCCCTAGGCTCTGGGCTGTGTCTGCCTCACCGAGCTGGCTGAGGTTGTAGGAGGAGACGGTTCCAGGCAGCAGGATGGGGCCGGTGAAGGAGGTCTTGCTTGCTGGGCGGTAAAACAGCTTGAAGCCGCCCTCGTGCTGGGCCAGCCGGGGCCAAGGCTCCCACAGCAGCTGCAAGGAGGAGCTGCCCAGGACTCGCACTGACAGTGGGGGTGGGGCAGGGGCTGCAGGTAGAGAAGGAGGCCACGATGTGAGGACCCAGTGGAAGCTCTATCTTTCTACCTTCCACCTGTGACCCCGACCCCCAAAAGCCTGACAGCCCTCTGGCCTCTGGCCAAGGGCATGTGCTTATGAAAGCAGCACCTTCCTAGGAATTAGAAAAAGAAGCCCTTTCCTCCAAGTAGACTCAGCCCTGACAGCCTCAGGGCCGGGCACCCTGCACAGCGCACAACCAGAACAAGTGTGCATGGTGGTTCTGCTCTGATACCCTGAGTGAGTGCCTGTGGTTTTGTGCTCCACACCCAGGCCTCACCTTCACCCAGGGTGCTAGCTAGGGTGGGCACAGAGGCTGAGCTGGCCCCCCTTGGTGTGTAGGCCTTGATGTAGAAACTGTAGGCTGTGGAGGGCTCCAGGTCGCTGACCAGGTGCTGAAAGGTGCTCTTGCTGACTGCCTCCTGATACTCCAGCTCCGGTGGGTCTGGAGAGGCACAGGGTGGGCAGGGGAGTGTGAAGGACTGGGGGAGTCCTGCCAGCATTGGTGAAATGAGGGCAGCCAGGGTGCCCGGGGGGACAGCGGGGAGAAGGAAAGGGAGGCATCGGGTCACGACGTGCAGGATTGGAAGGAATAAGAAATAGTGAATTAGAGGAAGGGGCAACAGAGCTGGCCACGCGCACCAGCAGCCTTCCTGATGTGCAGGACGTAGCCGATGATCTCCTTGGTGTTGGCCAGCGGCTCACTCCAGGACACACGCACCTCAGTGGAAGACACAGAGACTGCCCGCACATTGCGGGGAGGCCCGGGGAGCCCCTCAGCCCACAGTACGGTCAGCCTGGCACTGGCCTGTGATGAGCCCGCACTGTTCTCGGCCACACACTGATAAATGGCTTCATCCTCAGGACCGATTCCAGAAATGGTCAGTGTGCTGCAGGGGAGAGAGACAGCCTCAGGTTCCCTCCTCCCTGGAGGTTGACCAAATCTCCCCATTTGAAAGATGGAGAAACTGAGTCTTTCCAGGAGACAAACGACTTGTGTGAGGTCTCCCAGCAAGTTGGTGGTGGAACTGGGACTCCACCTCAATCTCCAGACTCCCAATTCTGTGCTCTTCCCTGGCAGGAGGTGTACAGCCTACTCAGGCCACTCACTCCAGGCCCCGCTTTCCCTGCTCTCCCCTGGTCCTCACCCCAGCACACACCACACACATACCTGTTGTTATTCTTGAGCCTGACGTGGCCTCCTGGCCCCAGCACCTGTCCATTTTTCAGCCACGTGACATGAGGCGGTGGCTCACCCTGGGCTTGGCAGGTGAACATGGCTGTGGTCCCAGCTGGCCTGGAGATGGACTGGGGATGCTGCACAAACTCAGCTGGGGCTGCGAGTAGAGTCAGGAGGGTGGGGGCGCAGACAGACACAGCTGTGAGTGACGGCATGAGGAAGGGAACAGGGGATGGGACTGGAGATACACAGGGTGAGAGGTGGGCTCCAAACACACATCTGCCCCCTGGAGACTCCTCCAGGTGGGGCCCAGCCTCTACTCCTGCCCAGCTCAGGAGATGGCCCACCTCCCTCTTCCCTCCTCCCCAGGCAGACCTGAGAGGACTCCTTTTTAATGACTATTTAAAAGACTGACATTTGTATCCGAAAGCAATCAAGCTGAACTCCCTGTTCAGGAAATTGTTAAATAAATAAATGTGCTAATAGGTTTGGCTGCACCTCCAGAAAGCGGTAATGATGGGGAGATGGATGAGCCTCAGTACCGGGGGCCCCCTCGCCCCCACATTCAATTCCGCTCTCCTCCAATCCCAGGCCTCAAGCCTCTATTAAAACCGGGAAATGAAATGCTCCATCACTTTCATTTGGACAGGTTAACGGCACATGGAATGCTAAACAAATGGGCATTTAAGTTCCTAATTCTCCCACTTCCCACCCTTTCCCCCGGTCTCCGGTAGGGAACAACCACAGGAAAACCCTAAAAATGTTCATCCAAGCCCAGTGCATGGGGACAGTTAAACCCCACAGCCAGAGGCCGATGGAAGGACCAGGTTAGCGGCAGGGCCCCGCCCCACGGGAGGGGAGGCAGCTCTGCCTGCGCAGTGAGGCTGCCGGCGACAGAGTGAAAATGACAAGCAGGCCCGGAGTGCACAGGCAGGCAGGTGTGAGCGTGGAGATGCCACACGTGTGAATGAAAACAGCACGTGGGAAGACACGTGTGAGCGACACAGGTGGGGACACCAGCTGAGATGAGAAAGTGGAAATGACTCCCTGGGTGGAGGGGTATTGACGGACCCGGAGGGCACGCAGAGGCCGGGGAGCATGACCAAGACCATCCACCCATTCCCAACGCAAGCATTCCTCGGGAAGAACGCACCGCCTTTGGCCTGGCCTGGGGGCCGGTGAGGGGCGAGGGGCAGGGCGAGTCCAGGAGACTGGGGTGGGACAGGGCCCTGGGGTTGGGCCTGGGCTGGGAGGAAGGGACTGTGCGGAGATCCCTGCCCTCCTCCTCAGGGTTGGCTGATCCATACCTTGCACCACCAGCCGGCCCTGTGCCGTTCTCCTCACCCGGGTGCCAGGTCTGTTGGCTGCACAGACGTAGACGCCAGAGTGCTGGACCGTCACGTCTGAGATGATGAGGTTTCCTGTGCCCAGCACCTGGATGCCCTCCACCCCGATAGGGCGACCATCTGCAGAGGAAGGGGAGGGGGGATGGGTGAGGGTCAGATAGAGATATGGAAGAAGGAAAGTAAAGGAAACTTCCAGATGGCTTGCCCTTCCTCCTGTCTTCTAGGGAGCCCCAGTCTTTGACTCTGCCCCTTCCCTCCTAGGCACCTTAACATGGAAGAGGCAGCAGAGAGCAGCACAGAACCCTCGCGCCTAGCAGCGGAGACCCTGTCCTGACCCTAGCATCACCACTGACTCACGGGCCACCTGCAAGGCCCTCCCCTTCTGTTTCACAATCTGTAAAGGAGTCTGTCTTAGATTGACGTTTCCCAGCCTGGTTTGTCTCTCTGGATCCATGGTCAAATATCCATTCTATGCCTGGATGGTAAGTCACATCACAGTGCCCCTGTGACCTGGTTGGGGGGGGAACCCGGTTAACTTTGTTTCCCAAACTTGTTAGACCAGCAGGCCATTCCTTCCGGCTTGACAGATCATGCTTTGGGAAATGTTGGACCAGATGGTCCCTGGAGTGCCTAGAGGTTCCTCCTGATGGTGCGGCCACTCTTTCCAGCCTCTCCCAGGGACCCGAGCCCTTCCCCCACCCCCACCAGGATCAGATTAGCACAGTCAGAATACAAGGAGACAGCTCCCCATTCAGGCCCTGAAGTGGTGAAATCTACTCCATTATCCTGCCTGCTGCCCCCTCCCTCCCCATCACTCAGCTGCTACAATGTGGCACAGTCTCCCTGTGAATGCGGTGCCCCACCCCACCCCCTCCAGAGTTTCCTTCCCGAGTGACCTTTCTGCTCAGACAATGTGGGCCCATCTGCACCCTTTCATTTCTCTCTTTCAGCTGCCTGGGGATTTAGGCTGGGGGACTTAGGGGGCCAGGCTAGAGATTGGGGGGGCCCAGAGTGAGGGTCTGACAACTGGCTGGGATTTTTAGGGACTTGGGACTGCACAGCTGAGGAACACGGCCAGAGTATAGAGGGCAGGAGTTAGCAGGAGGGGACAGATTCTGGGGTGCTGAGGGCTGCTGAAGGGTGCTGGGGTCCCCGAGGCCAGGGTGAGGGGAGGACTGCAGGGACTGGACAAGGTAACCCAAGGAGCTAAGCCATCCCTGCAGGGATGAGAATGGGGTGGGCAGGCGGGCCTCCCTGGTCCTTCCAGGAGAGGGAAACTTACCCTCTTCCCAGGTCACAGGGATAGAATGGACCCCCACAGAGAACAAACAGGATTCCACATTCCCCTGGAGCTGGGTGAGGAGTCTGAGACCGGCCCTCCCAGGGGGTGGGACAGGCTGGGAGGGGCAGGGGCTGTGGGGATGAGGCTCACCCAGGCGGCTCCAGGACACAATGGGGCGCGGGTTGCCCGTGGCGACACACTCAAGCACCGCGGTCTGGTGCACTGTCAGGGTGAGGTTCTCAGGCCCCACGAGGATGGCTGGCTCCTTGTAGGCCCCAGAGCCCGAGCCTGGGAGGAAGACGCCACATATCCTCACTTCAGCTGGGGACTTTCCCGCTTCCTCACCCCACCCACAGCCCAGGACACAGCGGGTGGGAAACAAACACCAGCCCAGAAACCAGGTCCTGTGGGCAGAGAGATACCAGGAGACCAGGACGTTCCAGACATCCGTCCCTCTGCTGCGGGCTCTGCAGGGCTGCCAGCAATGGGGAAGTCCTGGAGATCAGCATAGGATGGGATTCCCAGGGGGAAATGAGCCAGAGATCCAGCCTTAGATTCCTGTGCACCCTCACGCCAGGCAGCACAGAGCCCGGCACTCTGCACGCACGTGGCTGAGAAGGCTGCAGAGGCCAGCTGAAGGGGGTTGATCTAAGGGTAGGGAGGAGGAGGAGGCCAGGTGGGGAGGTTGGGGGAAAGTGCTGAAGGACCCTCACCTGACACAGTGAGCCTGGCCCCGTGGCTGATCCGGATACTGGCGATGTTTGAGGCCACACAGTGGAAGATGCCACCGTCCTCAGCTCGAAGTCCTGTGATCTGCAGGACCCCCTTGGGCAGCAATGTGTACCTGTTGAGGGGAGGGACATAGTTGGCCACCAGCACAGCCATTGACATAATCAGCCACAAAGACTCTGGGCATCCAAGATACAGCCCAGGACCTAAGCACTGCACCATCCCAACATCAGCAGACACACACTGGGACTTTCAAAGGTGGACACACCCTCAATTCCAGCCTTGACAACGATCGCACACATCCTCAGACACATCCATGAGCCTACAATCTGGGCCCAGCCAGTCATGTGGATACCCAGTCTAAACTGTGGTTGCAGAAACACCACTATCTCAGGCACCTGTGGGCACCAACTGCAGCTCCCAGAGCCGCGGGCCATCCTTCTCTACGGCCAGAGTCACTGGCCACCTCTTTGTCCTCCCTCTGTCTTTCCCACACGTGGCTCACCTCTCATTGTCCGTGTCAATTGGGACTCTGTTCTTCTCCCAAGTGATCAGGGGTTTGGGAAGCCCATGGATTTGGCACTGGAAGCGGGCCACACCACCCTCCTCACCCACGGTGGCCTGGGGATGCACGTGGAAGTCCGACATGGCTGGGGGAAGAGAAGTGTATGAGTGCAGTGCGCTGCTGAGGGCAGAAGGTAGGAGAGAATGGGCTGCAGTGGCGTCACAGGCACGGAGACCTGGAGCCCACTCCATCCAGGGGCAGGAGTTTTCCTGCAAGGGCAATAGCTTGGGGGACCCATCAGCACTTACCCCAGCCTCCAATAGCTAGGAAACATCTCCCCTGAGAGGTGGTATAGGCTGGGCTGGGATACTTTGTAAAAAGTCTGGACAAACTTCTGGATAACAAACCTCTAATAAGGAAATCCTGCACTGTTGGGACTTCTCTTGGAGGCCTTGGTCCCCAAAACTGACCCATGAAGGCCAATCAGACAAAGCCCTGCTCCCGAGCCCCACACCCCACTTTTTCAGCAGCTTTCAGATTCGTTTTTGTAAATTCTCCCTAAGGCAGGCAAGGGCTCAGATCCTCAGTGCTTCACATTTTATAGAATTGGAAGCTGAGGCTCAGAGAAGGGAAGCAATTAGTCCTTTGTTGCCCAGCAGGGACACTGGTCATCAGGCCCTGGTTACCAGGGCCCGGGAGCTTTTTTTTGGTCCCTCCTTCTCCTACTCCTCCCACCCCCAGTTCATCTGCAGTCTCTCGATGCACCCCAAGAGGGTGTTGCATCCATCCAAGGTGACAAGCCTCTCAGAAGACTGTCAGACCTACCAATCTACATTTCAATGTGTCATAAATATTCAGGGACCCCTCCCCACCTTTTGGGGATCTGAACTAACTGCTTGAACTCTGGTCTGCAGAGATCATCAGTGCAGAGGGGCTGTGGTGCACCCTCCCCTCCCAGTTACAGGCTGGTTAAGTGTTTCTGCCCACCCCCGTTTCCACCCATGCCCAAACCCCACCCTGTAATGCCTGGGGAAGGAGCCCCTCCCACTCGGGTTCCCAGCTTCAGCACCAGGGCTGCGATTTCATTAAAATCCACTTTGCTTCAAGTGCAGGAAGGCGGTACACCATCTGTCCAGGCAGGCAGCCCCTCGTCTCAGGCACTCCATCAACTGGGACAGTCGCTCCCCTCCCAGAGGAAGCCCTCCCCCACAGCAGCAGGGACACTGGAGCTCGTCCTGGCTCCTGCTCCTGGCTCCCTGGTGTGGGCAGGCCACCCTCCCCGTGGCCCCCATCCCCCATCTCAGGCCCCCTCAATCCACCAGCCTGATCTGGCCTCCAGGGCAGCCCAAAAGGCGAGCCTTTGTGCCCTTCCACCCAGAGTCTCTGGGGGCTGGCTCCTTTGTGGCGTGTTCTCCATCTCATTTGCATGTGGTTCATTAAATATAAACATGCATAAAAATCACCGCCCTGCCTCCTCGTCTTTGAGGGCCTCCTGGGAGTGTGTCTGATGGGTGTGTGCGCCTCTTTGTACATGTGTGCGGGGCTGTGTCTCCGTGTATGTGGTCTGAGTGTCTGTGTCTGGACGGGAATCCGTCCACTGCTGCGGCGGGTGTGTACCTCTGGTTCTGTGCAGGTAATCAATCACACACATCCCCACGTAGGTACAGCCCTTATAAACAGTACCTTGGGGCCCTGGGGGTGGGAGGTGGGGGCAAGTGTCCCAGCTGGTGTTCCCATCAGGCTTGGTGAGAGGATCCCCAGGGAGCACTGGGAGGTGGGCCTTCCCGGCCTCAGGCCAAAGGCTGTGTTTGGCCAAGGGAGGTAAGTAAGCCCAGGGACTTGGGGGAGGGGGCCGAGGTGCTGCTGGAGCCCCTCTACTGCCTCTAGCCCTCCACCTCCAGGAAGGCAACTGGATGCCATGAGCCCAGGGAGTGGAGAGGGCACCCAGGCTCCCGGGTCAGCTGTCTACATCCCCCAGGCCCTGCTCCTTCGAAGATGGGGAGCTGCCAGCCTCCTCTTCACTCCAGCTGGATAGGAGTTCCCAGTCCCCCAGGGACCTGGGGTGGGGACTAATGGCTCTGCTGACTACAGATGCCTCCTCATTAAGGAACAAATCCTTTTGTGCTTCTAGCCCCATCCTGGGCTCCCTGGAGGCACCCAGTGCTAGGAGCTGGCCTGAGGAAATATACAAGGGAAAGGGCTGCCTCTTATCAGGGCGCTGGGGATGGAGAAAGTCTGGCTTCCACTGCCTGACTCCCTCCTCCTCCCCTCAGCACTAAGCAGCCACAGCACAGTTGGACATGGTGCTAGAGCTGGAAGGGTCACAGGTATGGAGCCAGTCTGATATCCGTCACTGTGCATAGTGCGACTGACTCCTAAGGGTCCCCTGGATGCACTTAAGCCCACCTCCTGCTCACATTTCCCTTCCGTCAGAGCAGCACCTTGCTGTACCTCTCGATCAGCTTGACTTGGTTACAGTTCTGCTAAACATTTAATTTGAAGGGTAGCTTTGCCTTTAAGAGTAATTGAAAACCATGAATCTGAAGCTAATCTCTTTATTTTAGGAAAGGGAAACTGAGGCCAGGCTCTCTGCTGGGATGTCCCTTAGTTTTCCAGCAAGTTTCTCACTCTCCAAGGCCAGGTAACTGCAGAGTGGACTGCATGCTGGACTAGCTTCTTCTCACGGTGTGGAGGAAAGGTAATGAGCTCTAGGGAAGGCTCTTCACCCCCACCCCTGGGAGCCCAGCTGGCTGCACAGGTGTGGTCCAGGAAGGGCAGGTGCAAGAGGGAGGGTGTGGTCCTCTTCATCTGAGGCTCCTCCTTCCCTCCCTTCCTTATACCCTCTCTCAACTCTTTGGTCAGTCCTGCATATTCCTTAGGCGTCCTAGGATTTCTGTGAGACCCTGGGCAGGCAGCATCCTCTCAGCCACAAATGAAGGGAGTGGATGAGTCGCTCTTCAGGGCCCCTCCAGCCCTGCCTCCTCATCTGTCTTCATGAACAGGATCCACAATCTCTGGGCCAGCAAACTCAGCTTAGCTGGAGTCTCCTAAAATCTTCCACACACATCTGGTTCATAAGCAATAGTATTTTTTCTTTTTTTTTTCTTTTGAGACAGGATCTCACACTGTCACCCAAGCTGATGTGCAGTGGTATGATCCTAGCTCACTGCAGCCTTGACCTCTCAGGCTCAGGTGATCCTCCCGCCTCAGCCTCCTGAGGAGCTGGGACCACAAGCGCGCACCACCACGCCCAGCTAATTTTTTAATTTCTTTTTTCTTTTTCTTTTTGAGACGGAATCTTGCTCTGTCACCCAGGCTGGAGTGCAATGGCATGATCTCAGCTCACCGCAAGCTCCGCCTCCCAGGCTTAAGCAACTCTCCTGCCTCAGCCTCCCGAGTAGCTGGTACTACAGATGCACGCCACCATGCCCAGCTAATTTTTGTATTTTTAGTAGAGATGGGCTTTCACCATGTTAGTCAGGCTGGTCTCAAACTCCTGACCTCGTGATCCGCCCGCCTTGGCTTCCCAAAGTGCTGGGATTCCAGGCGTGAGCTACTGTGCCTGGCCAATTTTTGTATTTCTTATAGAGACAGGGTCTCCCTACGTTGCCCGGACTGGCACAGCATTTTTTTCTTTAGGAAGTTTGAGGAAAAGGGATGTTGAGGCCATTTCGGCCCCCTCTAGTTTCTCAGGGTGGAACATGTTTGATTCACAAGTGTGTTTATGCCCTGGCTTGTGCCAGCAGGCCACAGAGCCGGGTGGACTGTCCCTCATTATGTCTCTCTAGGGAGAGGGTCCCTGAGCAAACATGAGGAAGTGGGGCTGAGGGCCGGACTTCAGGGCACCCTGAGATCTGAACAAGTCACCCTGCAGGCCACTGTGTTGCTGATGACAGTACAGACCAGCTAGTGTATTAGCATTGAGTATTTATGTCTGGTGTTGGTGGTATTGTGTCTGTGGCTGGTGCACGTGACAGTGGTGCTGTGACTTTGGCTCTTGATGCTTTACACTCCTGCGGATATCTGTTGGTCTGGTAGGGACAGTTTTGGGTCCCTCACTTCAAGTTGGGTGATGGGAAGGGGGTGATGGGCAATGGTCTTCCAGGTGTGAGGGCCAGAGAAAGCGACAGGGAGGACAAAGTCCTGCTTGGCAGTAGGTGGGGAGAAAGGAAGAAGGCACCTTTGTCCACAGCGATCTGGGAAGGAATCTCCCAGCACCGCCCTGCCCCCACCAGAGGTGCGACCAGGCTGAGGGGAGAGACAGAGGGCAGAGAGTGAGCTTAGCAATTCACAGGGCTGGAAGGGAAAAGAAACAGGAAGGAAACAGTTCCTGGACACCTCTATAAATCACCCAAGGGGAGGGGCCTCCTGAGAGCCAGATCTAGGGCCGCTCAGGGAGGGGAGGGGAACTCTCTTCCTGGTCCAGGACCTCTGGCGAGGTCAGGCCTGGATCTGATTAGACAGGCTCCAGGGGGAGGTGGGGGGCAGCAAAGGGTCGAGGTAGAGTGCTGGGAAGGAAGCTCAGGCCCCCCACCCTTTGGCCATAGCCAGACTCCTATCCGGTCTGTGATGGTAAAAAGATCTGGGGGCATGTTTGGATGGAGAGTTCAAAACATAACCTTTGCAAAAGCGAGGGGCCCTGGGGCTCTGAGGTGCCGGCTGTCCCCACCTCATACAGCCATTCAAGAGGGGCAGCTGTGAACCACAGACTCTTCTGAAGGCCACCGAGGCCCATTCCCTCCTTGTATCTATCCCTGCCAAAGACCAGGGACACGCAGCCTTTTGGATGTCCAGCCCCTCCTCAGGCAGCTGGGATGATTATCATGTTTTTGCTTACTCCAGACACATACCTGAATCCCATACACTTCTACTCACTGTACCCAACTTTTCCCTTTAGAACCACATTTTCTTTTTCTTTCTTTTTTCTTTTGTTTTTTGAGAGAGACTCACTCTATCACCTAGGCTGCAGTGCAGTGGTGAGATCTCAGCTCACTGCAACCTCTGCCTCCTGGGTTCAAGCAATTCTCCTGCCTCAGCCTCCCAAGTAGCTGGGACTACAGGCACGCACCACCATGCCCAGCTAATTTTTGTAATTTTAGTAGAGACAGCGTTTTGCCATGTTGGCCAGGCTGGTCTCAAACTCCTGACCTCAAGTGATCCACCTGCCTCAGCCTCCCAAAGTGCCGGGATTACAGGCGTGAGCCACCATGCCCGGCCCACATTTTCCAATATAGTGGCCAGCTATTAAGCACCTGAAATGTGGCCAGTCCAAATTGAGATGGGCTGTAAGTATCAAATACACATTGGATTGTGAAGACCTAGTATTAAAAAAAGAGAGAGAGAAAAGACCCTAATCTTAGGGAAATGCGAATCAAAACTACAATGGGATGTGTACTATCAAAAATACAGAAAATAGCAACTGTTGTTGAGGATGTGGAGAAATCAAAACCCTTGTGCAATGTTGGTGGGGATGTAAAACGGTGCCGCTGCTGTGGAACACGGTATGATAACTCCTCAAAAAATTAAAAATAGAATTAGCATGTGATCCAGCAATCCCACTTCTGGGTATATACCCAAAAGAACTGAAAGCAGGGTCTCAAACAGATATTTGATAATGTCTATAGCAGCATTATTCACAATAGCTAAAAGGTGAAAGAAACTTGTGTCTATTGACAGATGAATAAACAAGATATGCTATATCCATTGAGTGGAATATTATTCGGCCTTAAAAAGGAGGAAATCCTGACACATGCTACAACAGGGATGAACCTTGAGGACACTATGCTACGTGAGATAAGCCAGTCACAAAAAGACACTGTAGAATTCTACATATATGAGGTACCTAGAGAAGTCAAATTCCTAGCCCACAGGGCCTTACATCATCAGAAGACTTTGAGTAAGTTTCAATCATCAACCATCCCATGTCTGTGCTGTCTAATGTGGTAGCTACAAGCCACATGTGGCCATTTATTTATTTTTTGAGACAGGGTCTTGCTCTGTCACCCAGGCTGGAGTGTAGTGGCATGATCTCAGCTCACCGCAACCTCCACCTCCCAGGTTCAAGCGATTCTCATGCCTCAGCCTCCCAAGTAGCTGGGGTTACAGGCACCTGCCACCACGCTTGGATAATTTTTTGTATTTTTAGTAGAGACGGAGTTTTGCCCTGTTGGCCAGGCTGGTCTTGAACTCCTGGCCTCAAGTGATCCTCCCAGCTGGGCCTCCCAAAGTGTTGGGATTAACAGGCATGAGCCACCATGCCCAGCCTCACATGTGGCCCTTTAAATTAGAATTACAGCCAGGCGCGGTGGCTCATGCCTGTAATCCCAGCATTTTGGGAGGCCGAGGCGGGTGGATCACATGAGGTCGGGAGTTCAAGACCAGCCTGACCAACATGGAGAAACCTCGTCTCTATTGAAAATACAAAATTAGCCGGGCGTGGTGGCACATGCCTGTAATCCCAGCTACTCGGGAAGCTAAGGCAGGAGAATCGCTTGAACCCGGGAGGTGGAGGTTGGGGTGAGCCGAGATCACGCCATTGCACTCCAGCCTGGGCAACAAGAGTGAAACTCCGTCTCAAAAAAAAAAAAAAATTAGAATTACATACAATTAACAAATTTAGTTCCTTTCTCTTACTAGCTTCATTTCAAGTGCTCAGCAGCCACAAGTGGTTACTGACTACACTATGGGTCAGCACCAATAGAAGAACTTCAGTCATCACAGAGAAGTCTATCGGATAGTGCTGGTCCAGACCCGAAGCAAGGTCGTGGACTCCCCTTCCTCCTCTGCTGCCTTCTCTACTGCTCATGGTCTCTCTGGCCGTCCCTCCAGAGAGCATCCCTCCTCTCCATCCTCATCACTGGCCAGCCTTGCCCTTGCCTGCACTCCCCCCTCTTGGCCACGTGGACTCAGAGACTGATGACGAGGCCCACATCAGATCCCACGCTAGGGCTGTCACGCTGCAGGGCAGGGAAGGCCTCACATGGAAAGATTTCTGTTCCCAGTGGGGAAATACTTGCTAAAACTTTGTTTGCTTTTGTGTTTGTTTGTTTTTTTTTGTTTGTTTTTGAGACAGGGTCTCGCTCTGTTGCCCGGGTTCACCTCGACCTCTTGGGCTCAGAACTGTTTGAGGTAGTGGTATAGGGAGGAGATTAATGGTAAAGGTTCTGGAATCATACAGAACTGAGTTCAAATCTCAGCACCACCATTATGGGCTGTGGGATCTTGGGCAAGTGATAGAATCTCTGGAAATCTCTATTGTCTCACTTATGAACAGGGATGATCACAGCTCAAGTCACTAGAGCCACTGCAATAGGGGGATTCAATGAGCTATGTTCGTAAACTGCTTAGCGCAGGCCTTGGCAGAGAGCAAATACTTGCTATCTGTTCTTGAGGGAAGATGGTATAATCTTGAGTTAAAAGGGAACTGAGAGATTGTGGAAGAGCAGGGCGGGGGGTCAGGAAGAAATGGTCGTGTCTCTTCTCCAAGGGGCAGCCTCTTTCCTCAGAGGGGATGAGGCTCAGGGAGTGCATGGTGGAGCTCAAGCTGTCTGGAGAAGGGAGTAAAAACTGAATTTGCAAGGCCTGAATGGTGTGGGGGGAGGACATGTGTTGCGGGGGCGAGCAGCAGGGTATAAACCAGAGCCTCTTCTACCTTACTTCTGCCTGGGGGCTTCACGGGGTCCCAATAGACAAGCTGTCAGTTGGAAGAGGCCACTGGGTAATTGAGGCCTTGATTTCTCTAGTAAAATGTTTATGAAGCCTATAAACCCAGCCCTTTATTGGCCAGGCTCATTCCGGGGGTTGGATGTGGCTCTCCGAGGTATAGTTAAAACACCTGCTGAACTCAGGCGCCCGATGGCTACTCTGGCCTCCACGCAGACCCACCGGAGCCACCAGGAAGAGTGCTAGTGGGGCACAGCTGGGGCAAGATGGCCCCTGGAGGGCAAGGAGGCCAGCCATGTCAAATGCTCTTTAAACTCCTCAAGGCACCTGCAAATGTCCCATCTCTAAAAGTCTATGAGGAGAAAGGTGGTGGAGAGAACCCTGAATCCGGGAGAGGCTGGCCACTTGCTCAGGGTCCCTGGTGGGGTAGTGGTCTTGTCATCAGGGTTCTCTGGCCCAGGCTCACCCTTCCCAACCCTCTGTCCCAGGTACCCATCATCTGGATCCCCACTTAGCCCCTGACTTTGGCTCTGCTAGGGAAGAAACCCCACACTGACTGGCTGTGATCATCTGGGGTGGGGGAAGCATGACTTACTTCCCTGGGCTTCCAAAGGAGCATCTGAGAGTTGAATGAAGGCTCTGAACCCAAAGAGTATGTTTTGAGAAGCGGGGAGGCTGTGTGGCATCTGGGTGTTGGAGTGGGTGGGAGTGAGTATGGGAAGATGGGTGTCTGGCATTTACAAATAGCCTCAGGGGACTGTGGTGGCTTCACTGGGGGTGACTGACCCATCTGGGACTTTGCCTAGTGACCCTGCTCTGAGAAGCCTCTGGATGCCTCCGTCTGCCTTCTTGGCCTCCTCAAGTCCTTCGCCGCCTGCCTTGGGCCCCTGAACCCCAGCCCCTCCCTACTCTCTCCCTCACTACCACCAGCTCACCACTCCCCCGCACCCAATTCTGACACAAAAGGCAACTTTGTCTTTCAAGTCAGCAGCCATAAATCCACATCTCTCCCCTCTCACAGCCACCTCTGACAAACAGGGGCCTGGATGGGGGAGAGGTGGGGGGCAGTGGGAGGTTGGATTCCGCTTGGGAATGTCTCAGCATCTAGCTGTTGGTCCCCTGGCTGGTGGACTGGGTGAAATGGACTGCAAGGCCAAAGGCGTGGCTGCAGGGGAGGCAAACAGGGCTCTCAGCAGCCTCTAGGCTGGACTTTTACAACCCAAGGGGAATAAAACCGCTTAAAGCCCTGCTTTTAATTACTCAGCCCCATAATTTGGAGGCTCCAGTTCTTCCTCCAGATCAAGCCATGAGCAACTCCTCCCTCAGTGGAGGGTGTGAAGTGTGCCTGGGGCTGTGTGCTGTGGGATGCAGGAAGGGCGCCTGCCTTAGACAGCACAGGGACTGGGGGGTGCCCTGCCCTGCATTTAGTGGTAGCCTCTTACATTCAGGGAGGAGGGAAAGGGAGAAAAGCATCTCCTGCTCCATGTGACCACCCCACCAACCCCACAGCCAGGTTTTCAAAAGCAGTCCCAGTTTCGAGTATTTGGCCCTGTTTTCATCCTACACATCAGGCAATGAGTCAGGACATGTCCTGGTTTTTGGTTTGGGAAATATAGTCATCTGTCCTATTTACACAGCAGACCCACTGAGTCAACTGTAAGCATTCATTCAACAGATACTTACTGAATGCTAATGTCTCAGACAGGACATTCTGACACCCCAGGAGCAAACTCCCTCCATCCCACAAATCCGTCCTTAGATGTGCACACCCAACCTCCTAAGAAATAGAAGGATGATGGCCAGGTGCAGTGATTCATGCCTGTAATCCCCAGAACTTTGGGAGGCTGAGGTGGGCAGATCGCTTGAGCCCAGGAGTTTGAGACCAGCTTGGGCAACATGGTGAAATCCCGTCTCTACAAAAAATACACAAATTAGCCGGGTATGGTGGCGTGTGCCTGTAGTCCCAGCTACTCAGGAGGCCAAGGCAGAAGAATCGCTTGAGTCCAATAGGTTGAGGCTGCAGTGAGCTGTGACTGTGCCACTACACTCTAGCCCAGGTAACAGAGTGAGACCCTGTCTCACACGCACACACACACACACACACACGCACACACACGCATGCACACACAGACACGCACAAAAATAAATAAGAAAAGAAAGAAAGCAAAGCAAAGAAAAAAGAAACATCAGAAGGATGAAAGCACCAGAGCCAGGATCTTAGGTCACTGTCACAGTAATATGGTTCTGAAAAACAAAGACCTGCAAAGGCCATCAAGGGGCAAAGGTTAGATGTTACTTCCATCTGTATAACTCTGAGAGGTAGGGATTACTAGCCCTTCTAAGGCTCAGACAGGCTAGGTAACTTGCCCATGGTCACACAGCCAGTCCGTGGTGTTAAGGCAAACATTTGGACTTACAATGGTCTGACTCAAAATCCAAGTCTCTTTACCTTCATCACAAAGCTGTCCTCAGCGGGGAAATACATATTCAAATGACCCTTAAACATGACTGATGGGGCCTAGACTCACCCAGAAAAACAGAGAGGCACACAACATGCTAGACCCTTACTGCCACCCTTCCTACTCACACTCAGAGTCACCCATGACACAGCAGGCTTCACTTCGACTCCCCCAGGGTTTGGTGGTAGGTTTTATAGGGAGTAATTAATGCAAATAAGCACCATGATAAGGTGGTGTTATCACCCCCACTAATGGGCACTGTGCCCCCACATGGCTCCTAATTTCTATTAATACAGGCAAATAAACAACCAAGATGGCTCTTCCTTGAGTACTTCCAACTCTGCCCTCCAGCAGATCTGAGCTGTGAAGCCTTGAGAGGGTGGGCCTGCAGGTCTATGCCTGTAGTCTAGCCCACTGGGTTGTATAAAATAGAGGATTGATTTATTTTCCTGTTGTGGGGGGATTGGGAGGAAGCACTGTGAAATGCTAGTGGCGTCCATGGAGTAAAAGGGTGGCCACGAGACTCAGCTCTTTTTTTTTTTGAGACGGAGTCTCGCTCTGTCGCTCAGGCTGGAGTGCAATGGCGCGATCTCGGCTCACTGCAGCCTCCACCTCCCAGGATCAAGCGATTCTCCTACCTCAGCCTCCCGAGTAGCTGGGATTACAGGTGCCCGCCATCATGCCCGGCTAATTTTTTTGTATTTTTAGTAGAGACAGGGTCTCACCATGTTGGCCAGGCTGGTCTTGAACTCCTGACCTCAGGTGATCCGCCTGCCTCGGCCTCCCAAAGTGCTGGGATTATAGGCGTGAGTCATCATGCCCGGCCGAGACTCAGCTCTTTTAACAGCTGGATATGTGATCTTGGTAAGGGCAAAGCCCCTCTTTGAGCCTCTTTTCCCTCCTCTGTAAAATAGGGAAATGCGAGTTGGACAACTCAGTGACTGGGTCTCATCCAGCTGCAACCTTTGAGGCACATCTGCTTCCAAATACCAGCCAATGGTGCAGGGTCAGGGGCTGGGAGATGACTTGGAATTCCTCTCTGCCTTGGACTTGAAAATGTCCAGACCCAGCAGAGCCCCTCTCCACAGACTGTGTGTCTCTGCCAGTGTCAGGGTCACCAATCTTCCTTATGTAAACCTGCCCAGTCCCACAATATCCCTAACTTCCGTCGTTCTGGTCAGGACACCGGATCTCCCTCACCTCCCGGAAGGGTGTCTGGTTAGGGGGGCCCAGGCTGCAGCTATTAAGTAAATTGCTTTCACATGACCACAAGGACAACTCAACAAAAACAGATACTTCCCCCGAATTTCCAGAGCCATATATTAGGATTTGTAGGAACTAATATAGTTGGGATTTAGGTAACAGAGAGGCAGGCTGAGATCAGCTCCTGGCTCTGTCACAGATTCCCTCTGGGACCTTTTGGTTCCAACCTTGGTTTTCTCATCTGTAAAATGGGAGTGGGGCAGGATAGACAAATAATCTCTAAGGTCCATACTAACATTAAGATTCTAGGATAACACTGGGTAAAGTGACCCCTCTCCATCTGTCAGTGGCCTGTGAACCAGAGAAACTCCATCTTAAACACGAGTTGGGTGAAATGAGGCTGAAATCTACTGGGCTGCATTCCCAGATGGGTAAGGCATTCTAAGTCAAAGGATGAGATTTTGTCAGCACAAAATACAGGTCATAAACACCTTGCTGATAAAACAGGTGGCAGGCCGGGAGTGGTGGCTCACGCCTGTAATCCCAGCACTTTGGGAGGCCAAGACGGGTGGATCACCTGAGGTCAGGAGTTCGAGACCAGCCTGACCAACATGGCGAAACCCTGTCCTTACTAAAAATATAAAAATTAGCCGGGCATGGTGGCGTGTGCCTGTAATCCCAGCCACTTGGGAGGCTGAGGCAAGGCAGGAGAATTGCTTGAACCTGGGAGGCAAAGGTTGCAGTGAGCCGAGGTCACGCCATTGCACTCCAGCCTGGGCAACAAGAGCGAAATTTCATCTCAAACAACAACAACAACAACAACAACAACAAAACAAACAAACAAACAAAAAACAGGTTGCAGTAAAGGAGCCGGCCCAAGCCCACTAAAACCAAAATGGACACGAGAGTGACCTCTGGTCATCCTCACTGCTACACTCCCATCAGCGCCATGACAGTTTACAAATGCCATGGCACTGTCAGGAAGTTACTCTACATGGTCTAAAAAGGGGAGGCATGCATAATCCACCCCTTGTTTAGCATATCATCAAGAAATAACCATAAAAATGAGCAACCACCAGCCCTTGGGGCCGCTCTGTCTATGCAGTAGCCATTCTTTTATTCCTTTACTTTTTTAATAAACTTGCTTTCACTTTGCACTGCAGACTCGCCCTGAATTCTTTCTTGCGTGAGATCCAAGAACCCTCTCTTGGGGTCTGAATTGGGACCTCTGTCCTGTAACATATTTCTGGCAATCACAGAAGGATTATAGTGCAGAATCGCTGACCCAACAGCTACCTTTGGGTAAGTGTTGGGGTCCTGTAACATATTTCTGGCAAACAATGGAAGGGACGATACCGAGGAGACACCCCAACCCAAAGGGAATAGACTGCAGTGCTGACTGGAAGACTTTGGGTAAGTGATGCGGTACCCAGGTAAAGAATGGGATGGGGTTAGTGGCCCAACTTCGGGGAGTTAGAGTCTCTCCAAGACAGAGTGGGTTAAAGGCCCCTCTTAATAAAAGGCAAGGATGCTTGACCGACCCCGGGTTAGAGGCCCGACTTAGGAGGGTTAGAGTCCCTTCTAAGATTTTAGGGGGTTAGAGACCCCTCTCAGTAAAGTCCCTCTTGGCTAAGAACAGGTTTGGCACTATGGAATGTTAACTGCTATCTCTTTGGATTAAGCTGCTTTGCACTCTTTGCTGATGGCTGTGGGTGACAGGATTAGGCATGTACAGGATCTTGGGACATGGGGAGCTTTTTCCTCCCTAAAACGGGAAACTCAAGAGCTGATAGGGTTGCTGGAAAAGATCCCTGCTCAACTGACAGCAGCCACCTGAACTTTTCAGTGTCACTGCAATGGGTGGGTCTTTCTCTGGCCTCCCTGATCATTTCACTTTCCCCACCCTGCCACAGGCGATGCTTTTCTTTCTCTTTCTTATCTTTTCTATTACTCAGGGCGACCATCTTGTGCTGAAACTCCTAGTTAGAGGTTGGATTAAAGATGACAGGCCCATCTGGGGGCAAATTTAAGTCTTGACAGTTTGATATTGGGTGCTAAGCAGAGTAGCTAATGTCTATGTTTTGTTATCACAAGTATTTTGCTCTGGCCAGAATGAAAAAAAAATAATTTTCCTTTATGATGTGGCTTGGCCCCTGGGGCGATGGTGGCATAAGCCGAATCAGTAGGGCCACTCAGGGAAAGGGAACCCAGAAGGCTGACATGCCGGCAAAAGGGAAATAATTCCTTACCAGTCAGATTTTGGGTTTCTCTCTCTCTGTGCAAACGGTTGAATGAATGGAAAAAAAAATCTGTATCTCCTTTGTAAAGTTTTGATTAATGCGAAAAAGAATTCTAAGGCTAGTCTTAAGCTGGTGTATTTTGTGCTATGAATTCGTTTTTCTGTGTCGAGGGGGTACTTCAGGATAAAACATGGGCTTAGAACACCTGTATGTCCGCTTTTCAAGATGACTCAGCAAGCTGGTCGGTCACAAACTTGGTTGCAGGTCCCTGAAACAAACAAAAAACTGGATGAAGTCTCCACCTTGCTTTATGTTCTTGGGAGCTTCACCTTTTAACCACGTGGCAGTACTTTCTTTTGGTCTCTGGCTTCAGGGAACAGGAATTTTAGGGTTCATGTCATAGTAACTCAAAAAATCATATTAAATAGTTAAAAGCTTTTGCAAGCTCAAAATTAACTACTCTAGATTTCTTCTGAGAAAGAAAATAGAGATGGGCCCATCCTGTAGCTCAGTAGCTAAGGTTTTTGCACTTTCACAGTGGTGGTCTGGGTTCAGTTCCCCATCTAGGAAGTAAGTCGTTTATGGTTTAAATATCTGCGTGACCTTGTCTATTCTCTTCTCTGTGGACTGTTTTAAATTTTCCTTTCTCTAAGCACATAGGAGGTTACTTTTGGTAAAGATCAGAAGCTAGAAATATTGGCCACTTGGCATGGCTAAAGTTGGGTAATAAGAGATCTGAAAGGATTATTTATTTATTTATTTAAATATTTTTTTGAGATGGAGTCTCACTCTGTTGTCCAGTCGGGAGTGCAGTGGCTTGATCTTGGCTCACTGCAACCTCCACCTCCCAGGTTCAGCTATTCTCCTGCTTCAGCCTCCTGAGTAGCTGGGACTACAGGCGCCTGCCACCATGCCTGGCTAATTTTTGTATTTGTAGTAGAGACGGGGTTTCACCATATTGGCCAGGCTGGTCTCTGAACTCCTGACCTCAGCCCGCCTCAGCCTCCCAAGAAATCCACCTGCCTCAACCTCCCAAAGTGCTGGGATTACAGGCATAAGCCACCACGTCCAGCCTGAGACTTAGCTTTTTTTTTTTTTTTTCTTGAGACAGAGTCTTGCTCTGTTGCCCAGGCTGGAGTGCAATGGCATGATCTCGGCTCACTGCAACCTCCGCCTCCCAAGTTCAAGCAATTCTCCTGCCTCAGCCTCCCGAGTAGCTGGGATTACAGGTGCGTGCCACCAGGCCCGGCTAAGTTTTGTATTTTTAGTAGAGATAGGGTTTAACTGTGTTTCCCAGGCTGGTCTCGAACTCCTGACCTCAGGTGATCTGCCCACCTCAGCCTCCCAAAATGCTGGGATTACAGGCATGAGCCATGGTACCCGACCAAGAGTCAGCTCTTATCTGCACTTCTGCCTGGTGTGTCCTGGGCGAGGCTCTATACCTAGAGCATAATCAAAATCTCGAATTTACCAAGGTTTTCACCAAAAATAAAAGTTGCTAAGAGTTAACATTATAACATGTAATTGAAACTACTAAAGAAACAATTTCACATGCAAGGTGTGCAAAGAAAGTAAAATGTGTTTTGGTGAAAGATTATAAGAAGTCATGAGAATGTGTATTTTTTTTCTGCCTAAAGTGTTAAAGGATTGTTTTAAGTAAGAAAAAAATCTAAAGTTTAAACAAGGTGTAGAAGGTTCATAAAAATTAATTGTAAGATATTCTGTGTGTGAACATATTGGCTAAAGTTAAAGTCGTATTATTCAGTTTTTCCATAAATTAAACATTGGAATAGAAGCACAACAGGTTTTTCTTAGAGCACTAATCTGCTCTTTCACAAAAAAATGTAAAGGGTTATAAAAGGTTTATAAGAATCTTACCGGCTGGGCGCAGTGGCTCACGCCTGTAATCCCAACACTTTGGGAGGCCAAGGTGGGCAGATCACAAGGTCAGGAGATCGACCATCCTGGCTAACACGGTGAAACTCCATCTCTACTAAAAATACAAAAAATTAGCTGGGTATGGTGGCGGGTGCCTGTAGTCCCAGCTACTTGGGAGGCTGAGGCAGGAGAATGGTGTGAACCCGGGAGGCAGAGCTTGCAATGAGCCGAGATTGCACCACTGCATTCCAGCCTGGGCGACAGAGTGAGACTCCGTCTCAAAAAAAAAAAAAAAAGAATCTTACCTTACGGTTAAACATTAACATTGGGTAAATATGTCTATAAAATTTTATTTAAAATTGGGTTTAACATTTATAGTACATTAATGTAAAGGTGAAATTTGGCTTATTTGGTATAAAAATCATACAGGAAGCATTGTCAAATGTGAAATGGTGTTTTGCTTTCTTTGGACTATATTTGCATAAATGTGTTATTGGTATATGGTCCAAAGTTATGGGAAACTCCTATAATTTTAATATAACTTAGTGTATGTTATTAATAATTATAATTGTTATGTAACATTTTGTGTGCCACAGAAGTGACCAAATTTCCTTATCAATTGTGGCTTTAACAGTGGCTGTCCTAAAACTTTTTATCATCCAGACAATTGTTGTCTTGTTTTAATCCTCTTTAAAAGGTGGTTTATAATCAACTATAAAACTCTAGCAGGTGTTCTTAAATGCAGATTTCTAATAACTTTGGAAATTGTAACATTAGAATAGAGGAAACAACTTGCAGAACTCTCATGAAGAGCTGGAAACTTCATGAATATCAGATAGGAGTCAACTGAATTAACTGAACCAATAGAAAACTGAAGTAATCTTTTTAATTTTGCTTAAAACGTTGCTGATCCTTTGTTTTTCAGAGTCAAGGAAATTTTTTTGAGCTATTTGCAGCTTGTAGCAATTGAGTAAAGTATACTGCTGTGAACAAAATTTGGAACATATTTGTTTCTTTCTACCTGATTTCTCCAGAATTTGGAAACTAGTTGTGAGTATTCTTAACTTATGGCAATATAATTATTTGCATATAAGAGTCTGTTTTCTTTTGTAACAGGACTCAGTTGGAGAAACTGATTATTTTACCAAGGCTTTGACTGGAATGATGTGCTTTCCTTTAAGGAATCAAACTTGACTTGTAGAGCTAATAAAAGCCCTTTGGGGAACTCATCTCGTACCTTGCCTACACGGTCCCTGTACAGGGTTTCTGACCTATAACAAGTAAAGAATGTCACTTTCTCACAGGTCCAGGAGCCCCAAGTTATCTTGGGACCTCAAAAAGAGAGGAATTTACCCAATTCATAGGTATTTGAGGGTACAAGCCCATGGCAGGGCTCAGCTTTAAAAAAGTCTCATCTAAGGTTCCTTCTATGGAAGAGAGTTCCATCAAAGCCAATTTTAAAAGATCCTATGTGAAAAATAATTATTATTGCTGCACTTTATACAAATAATCAGGCCAAGTATAATAAAGCAAATCAGTCTTACCATGATTTGTCTTTAGTAAAAATGGGAAACTGGACAGAGAAATATGTTTCAAGAACTATGGTACACTTATTGTTAAAGTCTAGTCTCATTAGTTGTTTTTAAGTTTGTTTCTGCAATTTAGGCTAACTCTGCTTATTCCTGTGAACCAACCAGTAATCTCTGTCTGCTATTCATGAGAAACAAGAGGGATGGGTAATGTAAAACTCTGGATCAGTATTCCAATTTTGGGCACATTACAATCAGCTAACAACCCCATATCAGCTTGGTTCCAATAGTTGCCCAGTTAATGGAAACCCTTCTAATTTAGTTTACTTGGAACAACTTTACTTATTTTGCTTTACTCTTGTGGAATATATTGTGGAGTATCTTTGTAGGAATACAGGACAAGCGTACTTTTTTTTTTTTTCCTTCCTTCCTTCCTTCCTTCCCCTCCCTCCCTCCCTCCTTCCTTCCTTCCTTCCGTTGTTTTTTTTATAAAGAGTCTTGCTCTGTCCCCAAGCTGGAGTGCAGTGGCACAATCTTAGCTCACTGCAACCTCTGCCTCCCGGGTTCAAGCAATTCTCCTGCCTCAGGCTCCAGTGTAGCTGGGACTACAGGCGCCTGCCATCATGCCTGGCTAATTTTTTGTATTTTTAGTAGAGACGGGGTTTCACCGTGTTAGCCAGGATGGTCTCGATCTCCTGACCTGGTGATCTGCCCGCCTCGGCCTCCCAAAGTGCTGGGATTACAGGCGTGAGCCACCGTGCCCGGCCTCAGATGGGTAAGGCATTCTAAATCACAGGATAAGATCAGATAAAAAGGTCAGCACAAAATACAGGTCATAAAGACCTTGCTAATAAAACAGGTTGCAGTAAAGGAGCCAGCCCAAACCCACCAAAACCAAAATGGCCACAGAGTGACCTCTGGTCATCCTCACTACTACACTCCCACCAGCACCATGACAGTTTACAAAGGCCATGGCAACATCAGGAAGTTACCCTATATAGCCTAAAGAGGGGAGACATGCATAATCCACCCCTTGTTTAGCATATCATCAAGAAATAACCATAAAAATGGGCAACCAGTAGCCCTCAGGGCCGCTCTATGGAGTAGCCATTCTTTTATTCCTTCACTTCTTTTTTATTTGAGACAGAGTTTCACTCTCATCACCCAGGCTGGAGTGCAGTGGCGCGATCTCAGTTCACTGCAACCTCCACCTCCCTGCTTCAAGTGATTCTCCTGTCTCAGCCTCCCAAGTAGCTGGGATTACAGGCGCATGCCACCACACCTGGCAAATTTTTGTATTTTGAGTAGAGATGGGGTTTCACCACGTTGGCCAGGCTGGTCTCGAACTCCTGACTTCAGGTGATCTGCCCACCTCGCCCTCCCAAAGTGCTGGGATTATAGCCGTGAGCCACTGTACCTGATCTTATTCCTTTATTTTCTTAATAAACTTTGCACTGCGGACTCGCCCTGAATTTTTTCTTGAGTGAGATCAAAGAACCCTCTCTTGGGGTCTGGATCAGGATCCCTGTCTTGTAACACATCCGTAAAAGGACACTCTCCTCTCATGCTATGTCACCTTGCAGACATTCACCCTTGTATTCTTTGCTTCCACTGCCCCCTCTGCCTACAACTCTGTTGCCCCTTTTTCTACCACCGCCTCCGTCTTCCATATCCGCCAAAGGAAGCAGAATTCATTCCTAACTCTAACATGTTGCCTGCACGTCTCCTACCCCTTTTCAGACTGTATTAGAGTTGGCTGTTGATGCGTCTATCTGCCTACCCATCGAAGACCTATGAGTCCCTTAAGGGCAGGGAACAGACACATTTATCTCTCTACCTCCAGCACCTAGAACAAATACTAGGTAAACACTAAGTCCTCATAAACTGTTCCCTGAATGCTGACTTAAACGGTCATATGTTCTTGGGGATCACTCCTCATCTTGTCTTCCACATAAGTCCCCAGCCTGCCACAATTCAATGGCTCTCCTCCAACAAGTTATTATAATTCCTCTACTTGAGTCTCAGCTTCTTCAGTGAAAAGGAAGAAGGTGAATTAGGCTAGGCCCCTGGCTCTCAAACTCGGCTGCAGATCATAATAACCTAGGGTGCTGCCTAACCATGCAGATTTCCGGACCCTGCTGCCAGAGCTTCGGATTCATTGGTCTGGTGTAGTGCTCAGGAATCGGTGTGTCTACTAAAGCTCTGGAAGTGACCCTAGGACTGGGACACCCTGGCCTGGCAAGTTCTTGGGAATCCGGACCAGGGCAGAAACTCAGCCAAGCCCCCCAACCCTTGCTCCCAGCCGGCTGCTCCGGGCAGCCTGACTCCAACGCCAGGAGGTGAGGGCAGAGTGGGCAGCGGAGTGGGGCGGGTGGGGGAGCCTGGGGAAGCCCGGCCCCCGCGGGGCCCCACTGCAGGCATTCAGCTGGCGGGCGGGGTCAGGCCCGAGCCTGGGGCCCCGAGAGCCGCAGTGGCTAGGCGGCAGGAGTAAGTGGGACCATCTGCTCCACTCCTCGGAGGTCAGCGCTTTGTGTCAGACTCCCATCCCCCCCGCTCTTCTCCCTCCTTCCCCGCTCTGCCCTTTGACTCCGGGCCTCAAAGGAGAAAAGCACTGGAGGTCCTGATGAAAGTGGGAGCGTGATGGGGAGCGACAACAGCCACCGGAGCCCCGGTCCAAGCGGCCCCAGGCTCCCCGGCCCAGGGCGCGGCAGGGGCGGCGGGCGAGGGCGCGAGCCCGGAGGACGCGGCGGGCCCCTTCCCGGCGGCCGGGCCCGAGGCGGGGGCCGGTTCCCACAGCCGACCGGGCCGCGCGCCGCCTTTGAAGTGGCCGCAGCTGCGCCCCGGCCCGCGGCTAATCCCCGCCGACGCGGGCGTCCCGCCCCCCCGCCCCTCCCGCATAGCAATAGTGTCCGCGCTGAATGGCGCTGGCTAATTACCTCGCTCGCACCACCGCGGGTGAATGAGAGAATCCGGCATTGTGCGCGGCGAATGGAGAAAATAAGACAGCCATTGTCCTCGCACGCCAAACGAGGGTTTGATGTCGCTGGGGCGAGCGAGGCACCATTTCCCGCCACCCCCTCCCCCAGAGCCTCGGATTCCCCAGCTGGGCCCGGCCCCGGCGCACTCGCGGCGGCGGAGGGAAACTGAGGAAGCGGTGCCTGTCTCCCCGAGGAAATAGGCCCTTCACCTTCCGTGGAAGCTGGGCGGACACGCGCGGCCCCCGGACTCGCCCTCGTCCCTCCCTCCGGGCCCCTCCCCGAGCCTTCTCCACCTGCAGATTCTCAGGGGCGCTCTAACTGAGCGCGCAGTTGTCCTTAATTCAGGAAAAACGGGCACGGCTCTGCATTCAAAGACCTAATCCCATTTCGCCGATACACACCAAACACTTGGAGAAAGAGTGGGGAATTTACATACCTTAGTGCCCAGCTGTGTGCCACCAACCTGAAAGGACTGCCGAGGTTTAGGCAATGGCTGGGAGAGATGCGGGTAGAGAAGGCAGGAGAGAAAGACTGGGAAAAGAAGAGGGAAGATGGGGCACTGTGGGGAGCCTGGACTGATGAAGGGACTAGAGGAGTCGGGAAGAGGGAAATGGTCAGAAAGGGGAGGTCTGCAAAGCAAGGCCTCAGAATTTGGATTTAATGTCCCAAGCACGGAGGCCACTGTTTTGACCGAGATGCTCCTGGAAGCCAAGGCACCATGAGAAGCCCGGTAAGGCTGAGGCACTTCTTTTTTCACAGGTGAGGACACGAGGTGGCTCAACTTAGAAATCAATCAGAACTAAAGGAAACCACGGTGCAGATGGACAAGCCGATGGTCACACTATGTATGCATTCAAGAGATACTTTGTGCTACGTCAGGCTGCTTTTTCACCATCACCACCAAACAAAGTGGGTTTTTTTTTAAAGGCGAGGGTTGGGGGGGTGGGTGGGGAGATTACACCCTTCAAGATCAGGAAGTGTCTTATCTTTCTGTGCTATCCTTCACAGAGTACTTGGCACAGAGGCAGATAGGTGCAGGATAGATACTCTTAGAGATTTGCTGATGTGAGATTTGAGAATGGACCTGCTTTTTTTTTTTTTTTTTTTGAGATGGAGTCTTGCTCTGTCTTCCAGGCTGCAGTGCAGTGGCCTGATCTCGGCTCACTGCAACTTCTGCCTCCTGGATTCAAGCGATTCCCTTGCCTCCGCCTCCGAAGTAGCTGGGATTACAGGCAGGCACCACTATGCCCAGCTAATTTTTTTGTGTTTTTAGTAGAGATGGGGTTTCACCATGTTGGCCAGGCTGGTCTCGAACTCCTGACCTTAGGCAATCCGCCCACCTCAGCCTCCCAAAGTGCTGGGATTACGGGTGTGAGCCACCACACCCGGCCTGGACCTGCTTTAATACCCCTCAATTCTGCATATTCTTTTTCTGGAAACATGGACTTCCTAATCTCTTCTGATGGGCTCTTTGACTAATTCCACCTAAAGGAAGAATGATATGCTTATGTTCCAGTGTTCTATCAGATTTATTAAATGATTAATCAATTCTTTATCTGTTAAATAATTAGTGTTGCCCAGATCAACAGAAGGCTGTTGGCTAAACCAATAGCCCTTGGTTAGCACCATTTATTTGACACATATCACAGAGCCCTTTCTGAGGCTGCAGCATTTTCTAATGTCCATGTCACCATAATTCGATTATAAGCATTTTCTAGACTGCCCATAGCCAAACCCTTGCATAGAAGTATCCATCTATCCATCCATTTATTTGAGAATAAAATAAAAGAATGGGCAACACTTATTGAGGGACCAAACGAGCAGGAGCCAAGTTGTTCCTTGCTCTGACCAACTAACTGTATTTAACACTACCAAGCACTAGTAGTGACAGTGATACATGAAAAGCTTTCCAAAATTTAAGTATAACTCATTGTTTTCCTGAATCAAGGCTTAATCTAACCTTGGTCATAACCACAGATGTGATAAAAATGTTTTTCTTTATAACTCTCCTAAATGTTCATCTTAGAGTTATACTTCTTCTACCTAAGACTCTAGGCCCTTAAGCCCTCTTGGCATCACAGCACCTGCAGCTGCCGAACTACTCCCTGTTAGACCTATCTGCCTAGTTAGTCAGTTTAGAGAACTCCAAAACAAAACAAAACAAAAAGATAAAAGCTAAGCTGCCATTGATGGGGTAGATGTAGGATGCCTGGAACCCCACTTTGACCTCCCTTTTCCCCTCCACCTTCAGGATTCTAGGGAGAGGCTTAAAGCCCCCATTTCTAGAGAGAAAAAAGATCCAAGAAAACAACAGCTAGTTAGTTAGTAGCAGATCCAAGACATATTTTTTTTTTTTTTTTTCTGAGACAGGGTCTCACTTTGTCACCCAGGCTGGAGTACGGTGGCGTGATTTCAGCTCACTGCAGCCTCAACCTCTCAGGCTCAAGCGATCCTCCCACCTCAGCTCCCTAAGTACCTGGGACTACAGGCACCCACCACCATGCCTGGCTAATTTTTTGTATTTCGGTAGAGATGGAGTTTTGCCATGTTGCCCAGGCTGGTCTCTAACTCCTGGGTTCAAGTGATCTGCCTGCCTTAGCCTTCCAAAGTGCTGGGATTAGAGACATGAGACACTGCACGGAGCCCCAAAACCATTTTAATGCTATACAGGCCACTAGCTTCATTTTGCAAGACTAAAATGGCTGTTCAAACTGTAACTACAAATACATTTGTCACTATTTATCTCTATACATATGCCTTTGTGGGTTGCCTAGATTTCAACAAGGGTGCCTGAATGGCCAATCCTCAGATAAATTATATTTTGAGAAATGGCACATTCAAAAAGCAAGAGGAGCCTCCGGGCCTAAATTAGAGACTCAATACTTTTAACTGAAAAAGTGTCTTTATGTTTTATTTTATTTTAATTTTTGAGACATGGTCTCTCTCTGTCACCCAGGCTGGAGTGCACTGGTTCACTGCAGCCTCGAACTCCTGGGCTCAACCGATCCTCCCACCTCAGCCTTTTAAGTAACTGAAAAAGTGCTTTGATTTAGTTTATCTAATTAATTAGTTTATTTTTCTTTTAGATGAAGTCTCGCTCTGTCACCCAGGCTGGAGTGGAGTGGCGCGATCTTGGCTCAGTGCAACCTCCACCTCCCTGGTTCAAACAATTCTTGTGCCTCAGCCTCCCGAGTAGCTTGTATTACAGGTGTGTACCACCATGTCTGGCTAATTTTTGTATTTTTAGTAGAGACAGGGTTTCACCATGTTGGCCAGGCTGGTCTCGAAGTCCTAACTTCAAGTGATGCACCTGCCCCAAGTGCTGGGACTACAGGTGTGAGCCACTGCACCTGGCCTGAGAAAATGCTTTTAAATGATCTCTTCCTTTCCCAAACCCAAGACCATGAGTAACTTTAAAAATAATGCTCCATGGGTGAGTATTCTGATAGGAACATAATGAGTATAATAATGAGAGTATGTGTCCTTTTTTTCCCCCATTTCCACAGCAACTTGGGTTCACAGAATGCTTTGTTGTCATTATGGTTATAACAGGAAGGCAGGCATGTCTGTGCAGGGATAGGCCTTCCATGGGGGATGCACAGGACACTGCAGGGAAGAGGCATGCTTCTTAGCATGGAGCCTGGCCTGTGAGCTCTTCTGAGGGTAAGGCTGGTGGTCTGGAATCCTACAAGTTTCTCCAGCTTTCCTGGGAGGGTGTCCCATCCTGAGATGACTGAGTACCACTAGCCACCTCTCCTGGGATGGAAGACTGAGATTTGAACTCACCAGGCCAAGCCCTTCCCACTCAGTACTTAGTAGTGGCACCTGTGACTTAGCCTTTTCTCCATCCTCTCCCAAGTGGCCAATGGTCAGACCTTGGAAGAAGGGTGTTTCAGGGAAGAGAATAGAATAGGGATATGCGGGTGCCCTTTCATACCAGAAGAGACTGAAATAGGGGATTTAGGGTATAGTTAGATGCAGAGAAATGGATGAGACCTTTTCATCTTTGAGCCAAGAGCAGTCAGACATGGTCACTCTCAGCTCCTGACAGCAGGGACTCAGAAGCCTGCTGAGAAAGGCTTAGGTAAAATGCTCCTATAGGCCTTTCAGGAGTAATATCTGATTCAGCTTCATCTGCCCTCCCCCAATCCCAGCTGCTGAGTTATTGGGGGCGAGTGACCCACAGCAGGTAGGAGGTGTTCCTATCCTCCCATATAATACCCACAGCTCCCCATTCTCTCACCCTCATCAGATACCAACTCTAGGCCAAGCCCTGAGGGTGCAGAGGAGCTAGCCTTTCCCCACAATGTTTGCAGACAAGTGGGAGGGATAAGAGATATACTTGCTATTCCAGCATGAACCCTGTCTTCTGATTCCCTCCACCCCGCAAAAAGCAAAGCTGGACATACAGCCCAATGGATCCTTTTCAAACTGATGTGATAAAAGCAATATCACTTTATTTCAGGAAAGCCTTGATCTTATTAACATCATACCAGCCTGCCTGTAATGATCCTGATTTTGTTATGGTTTGATGGGAAAATGACAGACTTGAGAAGCAAAAATCAGAAACAGAGGAGGGCACGAATATCAAACAGCCTCAAGGCTGAGGATCTTTCTATGTAATATCATTATGGATGATCTGAGATAATGGAGTCAAGAATATTCTAATCTAATCTGCAACTGGGACTAAATTAGACAGGCCTTCTCTAAGGTACAGGAGAATTGGAATACAATTTTAAGAGACCTCAGAAAATTAGGATGAAGGGAATTGTTGCAGAAAGAGGAGGACACTCCATATAAGCTGGGATATAAGAGGCAAAACAAAAATAACCCAAGTTGGGGGAGGGAAAAAGAAACCAAATCTGAAGATAGCAGAAAAAGATCTGAGAAGTGTTTGTTGCAAGCCAAATACTGGGTTTCAATTCTCTAAGGTCCTATTCAGCTCTGGCTCTGAAGCTAGAGCCCAAATCCCATTTGACCAATCAGCATGCTGGAAAGAGCATCTGGGCCCTTTCTTTCTTTTCTTTTTTTCTGAGACAGAGTCTTGCTCTGTCACCCAGGCTGGAGTACAGTGGTGCAATCTCAGCTCACTGCAACCTCTGCCTCCAAGGCTCAAGTGATTCTCCTGTCTCAGCCTCCCGAGTAGCTGGGATTACAGGCACACACCACCATGCCTGGCTAATTTTGTGTATTTTTAGTAGAAATGGGGTTTCACTATGTTGGCCAGGCTGGTCTTGAACTCCTGACTCAAATGATACACCTGCCTCAGTCTCCCAAAGTGCTGAGATTACAGGCCATGAGCCACAGTGCCTAGCCGACCTGGCCCATTTCAAGATTTGCCCATAAACTTTTGTCTAGCTCTAGCTCCTTGTCAGAAATCTCTGGCCTACCGGCACAGTGGCTCAAGCCTGTAATCCCAGTACTTTGTTTGGCCGAGTCGGGGGATTACCTGAGCCCAGGAGTTCAAGACCAGCCTGGGCAACATAGTAGGGTCTAGTTTCTACTAAAAATAATAATAATAATAAAAAAACATTAGCTGGGTGTGGTGGTGCAGGCCTGTAGTCCCAGGTACTTGGGAGGCTGAGGTGGGAGGATTGTTTGGGCCCCAGAGGTTGAGGCTGCAACAAGCCGCGATCGTGCTGCTGCACTCCAACCAGGATCAACCAGGATGACAGAGCAAGACCCTGTCGAAAAAAAAAAAAGAAAAGAAATGGAAAAGAAAAGAAATCCCTGGCCTACCCCTCAAGCCCCCCAACTCCAGCTCTCCATTGTTCCCCCTCTCAGACCCATTCCAGGCTCCCAGTTGATAGGGGCGAGTTCCCCAGTTTCCAGATGAAAATATCCCCTCCCACGCTGACCACAGCAGCCTAGAAGAGTAGTGAAAGGCCCCGCGTCCTGGATGCTGGGAGCCCGGGAAGCGAGGACACACGCACACTCGCACACTCATTCACATCCACAGACACACTCGGGCACACAGTTCGATGACTTGACAGCCGAGCAACCATGCAGCGCGGCGCTAATTGCACAGGATCCCACCGCCGTGCTGGGGTAGGGGCGCCGCTCCTCCTGCCTCGAGGACGAGGCATCATTTTCGGAGCCTGCTGCAGGGCTGCTTCCGCGGCCGCCGCACTCTGCCCATCGCGCCCCGCCCAGGGCAGAGCCAGACGTTCTGCGACCAGGGATCTGCGACCGCATCCTGAAACTTCGCAGCCTGGGCTGCTTTGGACACGTGCGCGGGCAGGAGCCAGGAGGGCGGTGACAGAGTGAGGTTAGCAAAAGGGGGAGAATGACAAGAGCGCTATTCTCAAAACTTTCATCCTGACATTAAAAAAAAAAAAGAAGTGGTACAGAGGGAGCTGGGGGGCCTGGAGGGAGGCAGAGGAGGAATTGGAGAGCCGTGTTCAGGATGAAAATGGGGTAGTGTCCGAGAACTTTACAATTGGGAAGGGATTTTAGGAATGTTTTAATCTGGTCTCCCCACACCACATTCCACCTAGGAGGAAACTAGAGGCCCACCCAGTAGGGTAAGCAGATGGGCCCAAAGTCACACAAAGGTGAGTTGAAATTTTACATATTAAAAGCAGCTTCTCCTGGAAGTGGGAGCCAGGGAGGGTGCACAGGTAGGCATCATGGTGTCAGGGTCAAGTCCAAGCTCCTCCTATGACTTTCAGTCTATAATGGTGGGGCCAGAGGAGGTATCCCCTCCAAGCCAGGCACCTCCTGTCTCCAGGACTCCCCTGGCTTCTCTGACCTGCTCACACGAAGCCTGAACAAAAGGTGCCCCCACTGGCAAGGGGTGAGGGTGGGTGGGGGGGTGCACAGAACTCCACACTCCAGAAATGCCTGGGCCTTACTCATCCTCTCCCCTTCAGAATGACTGATGACAGGGCCGTGCCCCCTCCCATTTTCCACAAAGACAAACTGAGGCTCAGCAGTGTTCAGGGAGGGAGCTTGAACCCAGAGCCGGTCGTCAGTGCAAGACTGTCTGCATCTTGCACTGGGTCCAGCAACATGAGGTGTCAGACCCACCAACGGTCCTGTCGGGGTGAGAATACATGGGGTTTTATTACCAGCGAGGTTTGGGGATTTTTTTTTTTTTTTTTTTTTTTTTTTAGACAGAGTCTCGCTCTGTCACCCAGGCTGGAGTGCAGTGGCCCCATCTCAGCTCACTGCAGCCTCCGCCTCCCGGGTTCCAGCGATTCTCCTGTCTCAGCCTCCCGAGTAGCTGGGATTACAGGTGCTTGCCAAGCCACCACACCCGGCTAATTTTTGTATTTTTAGTAGAGATGGGGTTTCACCATGTTGGCTGGTCTGGTCTGGAACTCCTGACCTCAGGTGATCTGCCCGCCTCAGCCTCCCAAAGTGCTGGGATTACAGGCGTGAGCCACCACCCCCAGCTGGTTTGGGGGTAAATTCTAGGTTGTCTTTGATTTCGCCCCACAAAAGCCCACAGGTGGAAAGGGGTTAGGTTGGGAGGGAAACATAAAAGGATGCTCATGGCAGACAGGGTCACAAACCTGGGCTCATATTCCGGGAATGATGAGCCCCCAAAACCAAGGGCCTTCAGGATGGGGATGGGAACCAGAACCCTCACCAGAAGTCAGGCTGGGGAGCGAGTGTGTAGCACTGAGCATCCAGGGCCGCCTGCTGGACCCCCAAGAGGGTGTGGTTTGGTGCTCCCTGGAAGCAGTGGTCCCCTATTCTTGGCTGTCACTCCAGAGACCCAATGCTTGCCCAGCCCCAGAGTCGGCCCCGTGGGCGTGTAATTCCACAAGGCTGTAGGCCACCTTCCCTGGGGGCTGTGGCTATTGCCCAGGCAAGGGGACAGGACAAGGACAATCAGCTGTCTCAGCTCCTCCAGGATGATTATGGCTTCTCCCTGCTGCCCACCCCCGCCACCCGCCTCCTGCCAGGACCCCTGGGGAGAAGGAGCCTTCTCAAGCCATTCCAGTTCCTCTCCTGTGATTTGTTCTGAATTTTCAAACAAAGAGTAATTATGACAGATGTGGAGCAATCAGCATCATTATGCGGAAACAAGAAAGGGAAAGGGAGCAAAGAGGAGGGGGGAATTTGTCTTTCCTCCTCAGGAAGAAGCAACTCCCACCTCTACCTCCAGCAGCCCCAGCCACCTCCCAGCTTCCTCTTCACTCAGGAACCCATTCCCAGCCAGCTCTTGCCCGCCTCACAGGTAGAGCAAGACTTGTCTACACAGAGCCTCCTGTAACTGGGATGTCCCAGCAGCAGCTGGGTCATGGAGTATGTAATCCTGCCTGGCCCACCCAGAAGTGGCTCCCACCTTGGCCAGGGTTCTAAGCTGTCCTCTGTTCTCTACACTCCCCTACTCTCACATTACATGCCTCCAGGTATCTGCTTTTATTTCTGAGGCATAAATACTGATAGGTTCTCCAGGGGTGTGAGCCCCTGCTAGAGACATTCAGGCCAGTGAATTTTTTGGGTCAGGCAGAACTGGGTTGAAATCCCAGCTTCCCCACTTACTGTGTACCCTCGGCCAATTTAATTAATCATTCTGGGATTTCGTTTACTCATCTGTAAAACAGGGCTAGTAATTCCTATTAATGGAATTGTGGGAATTAAATAAATTAGCACACAAAGGGCCTAGAACAGTGCAGCCCCATATTACTCTGACCACATTTACTGTTACTAACTAGTTCTCTACAAGAACCAGCACATAGGTAGCCCTCACACCTGCTGAGCTCAGCCTCCAGGGTGCTTTGGAAACTCAGAGACCCTCTGCAATCTGCCATGGAGGTCAGGAGCCCACATCCAAGGCTTAACAAGCCCACACCCACAGATAAACCAGAGCAGCACGAAAGAAAAACAGAGGGGCCGGGGCAGTGGCTCACACCTGTAATCCCAGCACTTTGGGAGGGTGAGGTGGGAGGATTGCTTGAGGAGTTTGAGGCCAGCCTGAAAAACGTGGTGGAACCTAATCTCTACCAAAATACAAAAATTAGCCCGGCGTGGTATTGTGTGCTTGTAGTCCCAGCTTTTTGGGAGGCTGAGATGGGAAGACTGCTTGAGCCCAGGAAGTTGAGGCTGCCCTGAGCCAAGATCGCACCACTGAACTCCAGCCTGGGTGACAGAGTGAGACCCTGTCTCAAAAAAGAAAAGAAAAAGAAAAATAGAACATGCACGCCAGTGTTTCCTAGGGGAGGACCATATAAGACTCCTCCTTTCTGAACCAGAGGGCAGTGAAGAGTGAGGCACTGGGGAAGGCCAGGGTTCAGAAGCCTGATAAACCAGAGACTCCCTTACCTGCCCAGACTGGAGGACCAGCCATGTCCTTGGGCAGGTCACTCACCTGGGGCTTCGGTTTCCAAGTCTGTAAAATGAGAAAGCTGGGCTAGATGAGCACCAAGGTTTTTCCCGAAGCTCTAATCCTACCAGGAGACCGGGAAGACCCCTAAGGACCTAAGGGGGTTGGGAATTTCAGGATTCTATTGCTGCAGCCTGCGACTCAATGAAAGGGCTAGAACTTGTGTCTCTCTCACGGTGGTCTGTCCCCTCCTCCATTCAGGTGGTCTGGTCTCCATCTTCCCACCCCAGGACCCTGTGGCCTCTTGATAGTACCCCCACCCTCACATTCCAATGGCCTTGGGGGCAGCAGCCAGACCAGAAAGTCCAGTTCCTGCCCATTATCACTGCCTGCATCTGCACTGCAACCTAACACCAGCATTCCAGAGAGCAGCCCAGGGCTGCCCCCACCACCCACTGTGGTCAGTGTCAGTGTCAGTGTCCAGGCTCAGAGACAGGCCCCAACCAGGGTTGGGCCCAGGGTTCTCAGATTCCTTTCAGGAAAGGTCTGCCCCCAGAGAGCCCCTGACTTGCTGGGGGGCTATGGACCCCATCCTTTGTTGCCCTCTTTGAACCTTATCTTCCCAGTCTCTCTCCTTAGTCTCTGCAGAGGCCCGAGCTCACCTACTTCTGCTTCTGAAACAGAAATCCCACTCTAGACAAGGCAGAAGATGGTAAACACAGGAACTCTCACAAAACTGAAGAAAGAGGCAGGCCGGGCACAGTGGTTCACACCTGTAATCCCAGCACTTTGGGAGGCCAAGGTGGGAGGATGGCTTGAGGCCAGGAATTTGGACCAGCCTTGGCAACATAGTGAGACCCTCATCTCTACAAAAAATTTTAAAAATTTGGCCGGGTGCAGTGGCTCATGCCTGTAATCCCAGCACTTTGGGAGGCTGAGACGGGTGGACCACTTGAGGTCAGGAGTTCGAGACCAGCCTGACCAACATGGTGAAACCCAGTATCCACTAAAAATACAAAAATTGGCTGGGCGTGGTGGCAGGCGCCTGTAGTCCCAGCTACTCGGGAGGCTGAGGCAGGAGACTCATTTGAACCCGGGAGGTGGAGGTTGCAGTGAGCCGAGATTGAGCCACTGCACTCCAGCCTGGGCAAAAGAGACAGACATTGTCTCAAAAAAAAAAAAAAAAAAAAAACTAGCTGGATGAGGTGACACATGCCTGTAGTCCCAGCTACTCAGGAGGCTGAGGTTGGAGGATCTCTTGAGCCCAGGATTTCAAGGCCAAGATCACTCCACTGCACTCCAGCCTGGGCAGCAGAGTGAGATCCTATCTCTAAAGAAAAAGAAAGAGGCAGGAAGAAGGATAGAACAATAAAGAAAGAGAAGGAGGGAGGAGGAGCTGGAGAAAGGAAGAAGCTTGGGAGGACAAGGCAGGAGAAACTAGGACTGAGGGATATGAAAGACCAATATATGAAATGTGGCCTCACAGGAAGGCAGAGGGGGCAGCAGGGGGTGGGGAGTGTCAAAGACCAAGGAGCATGGACATCAAGACCCAGAGAAGAGAGAGAGAAGGGCGGGTGGAGCCCCTAGGGCACCAGCCCTTTGCATCACATTTCCTTCCTGCCTGAGTCAGGTGAGCCAGTCCTGGCCCCCCACCGGCTTGCCTGCATTAAGCCCACCCCGGCCCCTGCATCTCCCTGCAGTCTGGGGGTCTGCCAGCAGCTCCCCCGGCTTGCCACTCTTCAGGCCTCTCTGCTCAGCCCCCAGCTTCCCACCTTCACTGGGTCTCAACATCTATCGTGAGTCCAGGTGCCCACAGAAAGCCCTCTCTTCTGCTCTCCTTACATCTGAGGGCAGCCACAGAGGCATTTCTTAAAAGAGGGTGAACAAAGTTGGGGGCAGGGAGAGCAAGCTCAGAAATCAGGGAGAGGTTCTTTTGTGGGGATGGTGCAGTGCAGGCCAGCAGGCTTGCCAGAGTGCAGCTAGATTTTGGGCAGCCACCCATTGAATAAGAAAACTATGGCCCAGGCCGGGTGCGGTGGCTCACGCCTGTAATCCCAGCACTTTGGGAGGCCGAGGTAGGTGGATCGCTTGAGGATAGACGTTTCAGATCAGCCTGGCCAACATGGTGAAACCCCGTCTCTACTAAAAATACAAAAAAATTAGCCAGGTGTGGTGGTGCATGCCTGTAATCTCAGCTATTAGAGAGGCTGAGGCAGGAGAATCACTTGAACCCCAGGAGGCGGAGGTTGCAGTGAGCCAAGATCACCCCACTGCACTCCAGCCTGGGAGACAGAGTGAGACTTTGTCTCAAAAAAAAAAAAAAAAAAAAGAAAAGAAAAAGGAATGGGGAGAGGGGGGAGGGATAGCTTTAGGAGATATACCTAATGCTAAATGACGAGTTAATGGGTGCAGCACACCAGCATGACACATGTATACATATGTAACTAACCTGCACATTGTGCACATGTACCCTAAAACTTAAAAGTATAATAATAATAAAATAAAATAAAATAAAAAGGAAAACTATGGCCCAGACTCCTGGAGGGGCTACGGCCACACCCAAACACCCCAAATGTAAGGCCTCCCGCCACCCGCTGGCCACTCTCCACCCAGTGTCCCAGGGCTTGCCCCACTCCTCTCTCACTTCAGCTTGGTTGGGTAAGGGTCAGTCCCTTACAGGACCTAATAAAATTATCTATCACCTCCTCTTGCCCTAGGCTGGGTCTGTCCGCTCCAGCTTTCTAGCCTGGCTACTGCTCAAGGGAAGAGGGATTCCACAGGAGAGCCCTTTGAGGAGAGATGGACCCCAACGCTAGGCCCCTCGACATCCTTCAGGCACACACCTGTATGCTCAGACCCACCTGGCAACACACACACACTCACTCACTACTGGTCTCTACATTCCTTGTTTGCAACCAGGCTATGGCCAGAGAAAATAAAGGTGTCATAGGTTAGTTACACAAGGCAGACATTTTTGGTGGAATCACTCAGTCCAGTTTAAACAAAGACAGCAGTGAGCTGTTTGGTTTTTCATCCTGGGTACTCTTCTGTTGCATTCTACGTTTATTGAAAGCTATGGAGAACAGCCTTCAAGCTACTGTGGAAAACTCTCTCTCTTTCACTCACACACACACACACACACACACACACACACACACACACCAGCCTGCAGGCACTCTGGAGAGAAGAGGGGAGAGGGAAAGGCAATACAAGAAGGCCAGGAGTGAAAAAGTCCTTTCTCCCTGGGGGTGGGGAGGGGACAGAGGGTTAAGGGGGGCTGGGGGCCTGTTTCATTTGCAGGCTGCAAATGCCTCTCCTATTCACCGGCCCACATTCCCAGCCAAGGCGCCTGGCCGCTGACAATGCCAGGAACAGGAACAGAGAAGATTTGCACATTGTGTTTAAGGGGCCAGCTGGCTGCCTGTGACAGTGGAGCCAAGGTGTGGGAACCAGAAGCGTTCGACTTCCACACTCAAGTTCTGCGGGTGGGGGTGAGTGGAGGCCCTGCACACAGAGTAAGGGGGCCCTCCCCCTACAGTTGGGGGCCAATGAGCCTGGGGACATAGGCCTTGTCTAGCTAGAGAGTAAAGCCCAAGGCAGGAGACCCAAGACCCCTGCATGGAGGGGGTACCAGGCAATTTAGTCTCTGATTCACACCCCATCTGGTGAGGAAGAGAGAATCTCAGTTCCTCTAGAGATAAACACGCGGCAGCAGCACCCCAGGATCCTGCCCCGCGTGCATTATATTCCCCTGCCCATCCTCCCCGTTCACAAGCTTCTGTTCCTTTGAGCTGTGCTATCAATTACAAGGGGGGTGGGGTGGGGAGCAAAAGAGAAGCAGAGAGAGAAACAGAGGAGAGACAGAGAGACAGCTTTGTCCCAGAAGGCCACATGTTCATTTAGTTTTTACCAGGCTCCACAGGCAGGGGACATGAGAAATACAAAAGAAAGAAGCCCTTTAGGAGCTTAAAATCTAGTTGAGGAGACAGATGGAATATCCAGCCACAAAACAGTTACTTAACAATGCAAGCAGCCATCACCAAGAGGGTTTAGCGTGAATGCCACAGACCACAAATGCTCCCTGCCTTAGGAAGGGGAGGAAGATATGACTGTAAGCAGGATGGTCTTTGGGGAGGGATCAGGTATGGGAAGAACCAGGCAGAAATAGACTTGGAGGAGGCCCAGGGGAGGCAGGCACGTCTTGAAGATGGATGGAAGGAAGCCTTCGTACCCCAGAGCAGAGGTGAGCCTCAGTCCAACCCCCTCACCTTATAATCAGAAAAGCAAGGCCCAGAGAGGGTGGGCAACTTGTCCACAGCCACACAGGATCCCTGGTGTCCAGACAAGGGCTTTTCTACCACACAACTTCTCAGCGGTGTCAGAAAGGGTCAGTTTGTGCAGTGCTGACTGGCAGGTTAAAGTGTCTGAACCCCATCCATTTGCACCTACCTATGAGCTGAGGCTGGGTACAGGTGAGGCCCTGACATGAGGGTAGGCCTAGGTATGGGCACTCACTCATCGCTGGGGACAGCAGCTTCCTGTCCTAATGGACAGGCAGATGTGTGTGTTTGAGGAGCTGCGGGGGAGACTTCCTCAGGCCTCCCTCAGTTAAGCGGGAGAAGAACTTCATTCCTTCAAGAAGGAGAGAAGAACTTGCATTCCACACACCAGGCCTGAGCAACTAACCTCCAGGTGATAGAGGCCTCCAGGGTTACCAGCCACTGTGCCAGGAACTACCTCCCTCCATGACCCACCTCCCTACACAGGGCACCCTAAATACCAGGCTGTACTCCCCAGCAGCTCCTGCCCGCAGTTCTCCTAACCCCCACTCCAACCTGGTTCCACAGACCTCCACCCAGACCCTGCCCCCAGAGCCACACACCATGAGCCTTTTTGCTGAAAAGGGACTCTAGAATAGCTGGTGAAACTGCCTTCCCTCTGACAAGTTAAAATGATTCAGACTTCAGAAGTAGGAACTGAGGGCCTGAGAGGCTAGGTGACTTATTGAGGCGGAGAGAGCAGGGGACTAGAACTGGACTTTCTCTCCTCTCCCCATGTCCCACTGCCTCTTTCTAGGAGTCTGGAGTCACCAGGGACCTTTCCGGGAATGATACCACAACTAAAGGAGCTCATAATTTAACATGTTTTCACCTCTGTTAGCTCCTCAAAATGATAATAGTTAATATTATTAGTACCTGGCTGGACACGGTGGCTCACACCTGTAATCCCAGCACTTTCGGAGGAAGTGTGTGGATCACTTGAGGTCAGGAGTTAGAGACCAGCCTGGCCAACATGATGAAACCCTGTCTCTACTAAAAATATAAAAATTAGCCTGGCATGGTGGCAGGAACCTGTAATCCCAGCTACTCAGGAGGTTGAAGAAGGAGAATTGCTTGAACCCGGGAGGCAGATGTTGCAGTGAGCTGAGATTGCACCACTGCACTGGGTGATAGAGCGAGACTTGGTCTCAAAAAAAAAATATATATATATATATATATATTTATATATATATGTGTGTGTGTATATATATATGTATGTATATATATGTATGTATATATATGTATGTGTATATATATGTATGTGTATATATATATATATATATATATATATAAAATTAGTACCTTAATAATAGTTAAGGAATGCTGCCTTTGTGCCCTGTGCTAAGCTCTTCCTGCACATTATCATAGGTAATCTTCACAATATTTCTCCTTGGTATTTTTTATTATTTTATATTATTCCTCCCCCATGTTATTTATTTATTTATTTAGTAGAGACAGGGTCTTGCTCTGTTGCCCAGGTTGCTCTCAAACTCCTGACTTCAAGCGATCCTCCTGCCTCAGCCTCTCAAAGTGCTGGGATTTACAGGCATGAGCCATCACATTCCCCCATTTTAAAGATGAAGAAGCCAAGGCTCAGAGAGGTGAAGTGACTTGGCCAAGATCTCACAGCTAGCAGGTGGTGGGGCCAAGGCCCAAGCCCACCAAGCCCAGGTCTGTTTGCCACCACAACCCACATTTAAACCACTGTTGGGCCTGCCCAGGCAAGATGGCCCCAGGCTGGGAGTGAGGGCAATCCTGGCTCTTGGAGAACCCAGCCAGGATTGAGACACCTGGGACCTCATCCTAAATTAGTGGGCAATACTGAGCACCAACAATAATACTTAGCATTTCCTACATGCCAAGCCCTGTGCCAGGTGCTTTAGACCCATCACCTCATTTACTCCTCCAATAGCCCTGACAGATGGATGGAATGGTGCACATTTTTTCAGATGAGGGTACAGACTCTCAAGAGGGCTAAGTAACTCCTGCCAAGGGCACTGATCATTGAGTGGCAGAGCTGGGGTTCAGACCCATGGAAGTCTGGCCCTGAAGCCCTTGTTCCAAAGGCTTCACTATGCTGCCTGAAAATCCCCACAGCGGAGGTTATGACATGGGTGTGGTCTCTGCTAGCCCCTTGCTACTCAGAGTACAGCCTGTGGACCAGCTGTATTGGCATTACCTGGGCTCTTGTCAGTCCTTGGCCTAGAATTATGAATTCAAAATCTCAATGTTATCAAGATTCCCAGGTGATTCACAGGCTCAGTAAGGTTTGGGAAGTCCTGCACTACATCATAGAGCTGATCACCCCAGTTCCCCAAGAGACCTGAGATCAAGAATTAAGGCTAGGAAAGAGGGGCAGGGATTGAGGGTGGCAGGGACTCGGGGTAGGTCCCCCATCCTCCTCCCTGTAGCTAGTCCATCCTTTTTGGAGTCATTCAGGCACACAGGCCTCAGGTATGAGTCAATGCACACATTCCCCTGGGTCAGCCCCTTTAGAGGGATAGCGGAGGGTCTCACAGGCCAGGCCAGCTTCAGTCCACACCCTGAGGCTTGGGAGAACCCTCAGTCCTCCCAGGAAGGGGTTAAAACAAAACAAGATGCACTCTGGCTCCAATAATTCCACTCCCTGATAGCTTTCCCTGGAGAACTCCCTAAATGAATCCCAGCGAGGGAGAAAGCAGGGGCCGGGAGCAGAATCAGGCAGTTTGCTTTTGCTGGAGATTAACCTCCATGGGCAGCCAAGATTACATTTAAAGGCCATGTCAGTGAAACCACCTTTCAATGAGGAGTGCGGTGCCGGCTCCCGTTACTCAGTGCTTCCTGCGTGCCAGGCAAAGTGTGGGGTGTGCTGGTCCTCACAGCCGCCCTACCAGGCAGGATCACATGCACGTTTCACAGGCAAGGAAACTGGGATGAGGGAGCATTAACTTGTCCAGGGTCTCGTCCTTAACAAGTCTCAATTTTCAGCCCCCAAACTACAAGCACGTGGAGCTGCAATGCAGAGTCTAGGGCTCCTGAGCATGAATACTCTTAGGAGCCTGAGCTATTCCATTCTAAAAGGGAAACGCTTGAAACTGAAGCCCCAAGGAATCAGCCCGCGGTGTAGCCACCTTGGTCAGGCTGTCTTTTGAGGACAGCATCTGAACCCCCTGATGGAAGGGCGTGCATTTCCAACCATCCGCCTCTGGCCCGGAGCTCAGATGCCCAGCAGACCCACCGACATAGACCTGAACACCCATCTGCCTCCCTGGGTTAGTCTGCTGGGTGAACTGTGAGTCTGCGAGGGGTGCTTAGCATGCCCCCTCCCCACGGGCCCCTGAGGAGCAGGCAGAAGAAGCAGGGGCCTCCAGAGGCCTCCTCACACCTTTTCAGAAAGGCACCCTCCTGTGTCACACAACATCTGCAGTGCCGGCAGGCACACGGGCAGGGAGTTATTACGAAGGAGGAAACCCAGGCAGCTAATCAGCTTTGGAGGTTTCTAGGGACATCAGCCTGTGAAGTGAGAAAAGCGGATCCAGCCGCACCGTTGCTTGGCATCTGAGCATTCTCCCATGGGACCACAGCCTTGCAGGGGAGAGAGGGCCATGTCAGACTGCCAGAGCTTGGAGGCAAACCCCCCAGCTGTCTCCAGGACCCCAAAGGATTAACCAAGCTGACCCCACCCACAGCTTAATTTCTTGTACTATATTGTTAGGAGTTTAAGGAAACCAAACATCTTGAAGGTATTACCATTTATAAAAAAAAGCACATTTACAATTAGCTATATATATATAAGCCCCTGGGGATTTATCTCCCAGGATTCTAGGCTGGTGATGCAAAGGCCTCAGCAGGGGCCATCTATATCTCAGCATTGACACAGGCCAGGGAGGGTATGGGGAGCATCTCCCTGAGGAGTCTCATCTCTCTGATCTGCAAATCTTACCGGGGTCCCCACCCTCTGTCCACGCTTCCCTTCCTCACACCCAGCCATCTGCTCAGAGGCTGCACCAGCCTTCCCCTGCACTGCCGGGAGGGCCGAGAGATGAGGGTGGCTGAGCCAGAAGTGATTTGGTCTCAAAGTCCAGGGCTGCCTCCCAGCGAACTCCATATGGGGGCCTGGATCTGCCTTCCTCAGAACAAAGGGGCATCTTAAACCCAGCGAGAGGGCTCCTGCCTCAAACTGATTCATCACTCACCAGCCGTTCAGAGCAACTGTGCAAATGCCCTCAGAGCCAGGAAGAAACTTGTCAGCGATCAGACAGGAAAGAGGCGGCGTGCCACGGGAGCTAAGTGGGAGGGTGTGGGTTCAGGCTGCCCAGATGACAGTCCTGGCTCTTCTGCTACCAGAATGCCATTGAGTCCCCCTAAGGCTCAGTTTTCTCTTCTGTAAAAGGGGGATGATAATGACCTATCTTCCATTCTCCCAGGGCTGTTGTGATGACAAAATGAAGTAATTCATGTAAAGCACTTGGACAGGGTGCCCAGCATGCAGCAAGTACTTAAAAAGTGTTAGCTAGACCTGGGTGCAGGAGCTCACGCCTGTAATCCCAGCACTTTGGGAGGCTGAGGCGGGAGGATCACTTGAGGCCAAGAGTTCGAGACCAGCCCGGCAAACATGGTGAAACCCCATCTTTACCAAAAAATTCAAAAATTAGCCGGGCGTAATTGTGCGCACCTGTAATCCCAGCTACTGGGGAAGCTGAGGCACAAGAATTGCTTGAACCCGGGAGATAGAAGTTGCAGTCAGTCGAGATCGTGCCACTGCACTCCAGCCTGGGTGACAGAACAAGACTCTGTCTCAAAAAAAGAAAAAAAATGTTAGCTAGAATTGTTACCAACAATAGTCAAAGCAGCCTCTTTAAAGGGACACCCCCCCTTCCAGAGGTCCAGAGATATGAGATGGAGAACAATTTCCACTTGCCAAAACTTCTGCCCTTTTTCAGCCATGACCCCACTGCCCACAGCTCGCCACCTCCCTGGGATACATGGAGAATTTTGGTTTATGCAACACACTCCCAGTGTGCACAGATTCAACAATAACATAATTTTTGCAGGACAGGGCAGTTAAACCACAGTCATCATTTCATCACCACAATTGACGATCAAGCAGCACAAGCAAAGCACAATTCTAGAGCTGAAACATCTTGCCTCGCCTTTTCTCTCCCATTCAAAAACACACATTAGCATGAAGGTGAGTAGGAGTGATGTCATCATTGAGATAATTCTGAAATTATCCTACCATATTTTTTTAATGCAAACTATTAACAAGCTCCAGAATTTCATTACTGGTATATAGAGGTCTTATCCTACCCAAAGGTTTACATTAGTTTAAGCACATAATTAAAAATTGCATGTAGCCGAAATTACCCTTCAAGAATTTCTTTAATCACCCTTAAAGTATGGGAATGATTTATCTTTATACACAAGAATCAAACTCAGTGCACCGGGATGCTCAAAGTATGAAAGGCATATGGAAACTAAGACATGCTGACCCAAGAACTGGGTAAAGCTTTCTCCCCGACTCCCCTATGGGTGTTTGGCTACATTCTTGTCAATTCACATTCCAGTCAGTTAAACAAGCATCTGATATAATTCCACCGCCACGAATCACTGCCAGGCACCTCAAAACCGACCCATGCTGAGAAATTAGTCCTCCAGAAGGCTGCATAAGATGGGACTGCTCCCGCTGCCCTCATGCCCTAGGCTGACCCTGGATCACCAGCTGGCTTACACAAAGGGAAAACAAGGGATATCCACTTACTTGCAGCTTGGATGCGAGCCTTCCGGCTGACCACCAGCCCAAAGCGGTTCTGGGCCACACACTCATAGTCACCTTCATCCGAAGGGCTGCCTCCCGGCTCCAGCCTGAAGTGACGGATCATCAAGGACCCATTGGCCAGCAAGGTGGAGTGGGTACTCTCTGGCAGCTCTACCCCATTCTTCCTCCAGGTGATTCGCACTGGAGGGGTCCCCTCCACCCTGCAGTCCAGCACTATAGGCTGCCCGGGGACGGCAACATCATCACTTGGCTCCACAGCAAATGCCAGTTCAGCAGAGTGGCCAAGACCTGCATTGGGGAAGGGGAGATGGAAGGAAATAGGGGTGTTAGTATGAAATGAACATCCAGGAAGAACTCCACCCACATGGTTCCAAGTTCCTTGGGTCTATGCACCCCATCCCCATGTTTCTGTAATGTTAATAGGAATTCCTATTATATATAGAACTTTATGCATTACAAAGTGCCATCCAAGGCGGTACTTTACTTAATCATCAGACCATCTCAGAGATAGATATTATTTGTACTATTTCCTCTTTCACAGGTAAGAAAACTGAAGCCCAGAGATGTCAAGTGACTTGCCCAGGGTCTCACAGTCAGTAGTTGCAAAACTGAGACCCAAAAGCAAGACTGACTCCAATACAGATGCTGCTACTTCGATGGTCACCCTGGATAAGCACTGAAGCCTCACAGACCTTCAGGGTGTGACCTTAGGTAAAGTATTCAACATGTCCTGGATTCCCATTTCTCATCTGTTTAGATCAAAGAAGAACAATGGAGCTTGGGTCATAGGGTTGTATGACATGATTAACAGACTCAAAGGCACTATGAAAAATTTAAAGTTCTAAAGAAATACAGAGGGAGATAGTAATAAATCATGCTTCTTTTTGCTGGCCAAAACCCATCAGATGCCTGGTCCAATGCCTGGCAGGGAGCAGGGTGTGTGGTCCCAGTACCCGGGGTACAGACTAGGTTGTGGCCCCATTGCCCCTCTCCTCTGGCACTCTGGGTGTTGGTCCTTTTGCCTTTGTCATAGGGAGAGATGAAGAGTAGCAAACACCAACTATGGTTTCCCAAAACCAAGGAAGAGGGTGCTCCTAGAACCTTTACTTCCAGCCAACCTCTCTGCTCCTGCAGAAGAGAAATGAGCAGGAAAAGAAGGAGGCCAAAGAATAGATGGGGTTAAGGCCAATCAGAGAATCAGAAGCCCGGCTGGAGGGACAAGCACTCCAATCCCAGGCATGATGCCAAGTCACCAACTTCTCCAGCAAACAACTTACCAGACCAGTTACAACTCCACTCGAGGAGGAATGAACCCACCTGGTCTGAAATGGCAGTCACAGACCCCTCCTCACATTTCCAGATAACTAGCGATCCTGGAGCTGGCCCCTCCCCAGCAGACTAGGGCCCTCCCTGGCTGAGGGAGATGGGGAAATGGGTGGGGAGAAAGGAGGGGCGTTGGGGTTATAGGCATTCCCCGCCCAGCGCCCCCCGCGCCCCCCTCCCCCCGTCCCCGGCCCAGGAAGATGTAATGTTTTAAGACTTTTTAGGATCGCACTTATTCAAACCCCTGCGCATCCTCCCCATGTCGTGAGTTCACCCGTCTTAGCCCCGAATCCAACCCTGGTATAGCTGTCGGGAATAAAGTTTTTCCTTGATGCGGACGCGAGCTTCTACTTCTTGGGAGAGGAGTGGAGAGAGAATAGCCCAGATGAGTGTCTGTGGGGAACTTGAGGTGGGAGGGTTAAGGGACTAGATTTGCACTCTCCTCCCGGGAGATGGGACCATTGCAGCCACTAAAGGGAACAGAGTGGTGGTGACCGAGCTCCAGGCAGCAGAGCCGAGCTCCAGGCAGCAGAACCGGCGGACCGCGAGAGCCAGGGCAAGGTCTCCGCGTGTGCACACTTCGGGGAAGGGCAGGGGCACGTGAGCATCCCCGCGGCTCGCTCGCTCTCGCTTTCGGTGGCTTCTCCTCTCCTTCTTGGCTCACGGGCTCTGTCCCGGGTCGCTCCCTAGCCACGCGCCGCCCTCCAGGAATCTCCCTCGTCTTCTCCTGTCTCTCCCGCGCACTCCTCAGCCCAGTACCAGCTCCAAATGCAGGTCGTGCCATCTCCGCCCAGTGCAGCCGTCAGAGTCCCGGTCTCCGCTCCCCAGGCTGCTGTCCCCTGTCTTGGCTGCCTCGGGCTATGTCCACGGCCGGGCACCCAGCACCCCAGCTCGTCCGCCTCGGTCAGCGCTTAGCCTTGCGGTCTCCCCTGGCTCGTTTCCCTCGGTCTCCACGCCAGCCCGCCCCGCTTGCTCCCGCTTCGCTGCACTCCTTGCTCCTCAGTCTGGGCTCCGGGTCCTGCCCCAGTCTTCCTCCGGGGGGTTCCGTCCTCAACACGCCCCTAGGGCCCCCAGCAGTCCGGCCTTGGTACCCTCTCCCCGTCCGGATCCGCAGGGTCCCCCCCGCGCGGGGTCCGCCCTCAGGTCCGCGCCGCTCTCCCCGGGTCCGCCCCTCGCGCCCGCTCCCTCCCTGCTCGCCCTTCCCCTGGCTCCGTCCGCAACCGCCCGGTCCGGGGCGCTTTCACTCACCCTCGCTCGGCGCGGGCAGCAGCAGCAACAGCAGCGGCAGCAGGAGCCGGGGCCAGAGCGGGGCGGGCGGGCGGCGCGGAGACGCGGCGCGCTGCACAGCCATGGGGCTCTCGGTCAGCTCGGCTCGGCGACGCGCGGCTCCCGGGCCTCTCGCGGCTCACAGCGTCCCGCGGGGCCGGCGCCGGGGCCGGGGCTGGGGCTCCGGCCGGGGCCGAGCCCAGGCGGTGGGGGACTGGGGCCGCATGCCTGCTCAGCAGCGCGGGGGGCGCAGGGGGAGCGCCGCTTGCGCCATCTTGCACCCACCCGGGCGATCTGTCAGCCTCGCCCGGGGTGCGCGCTCCACACTCGCACCGCTCGCGGCCGCCCCGCCCTCCTCCCCAGCCCGCCGCCCCCCTCCTCTCTGCTCCCGGTCCCCTCCCCCAGCCCCCTCTCCCCGGAGGCCCGGTCTGGGGAACAAAAGAGCCGGCGAGCGCTTTAAGCGGCCGGACATTCCCGGCTGCGCGGCGGACGCGCCCCCTGCGCTTTGAACTGTGGCTGGAGCGGCCGGCGCCGTCCCGGGCTGCAGCCGGGTATCCCCTCCCCGCGGGCCAGCCGGGGACCTGGGGGGCTGAGGAAGTGGACACCAGCGGACTGGGGAGTGGGTCCGGGCTGCGGAAAGACACACAGCTGCGGGATTTGCTCTGACCCACTCTTTCTGCTGCGCCCTCCTCCAAGTCCATATTTTAGAGATAATTCTCTAAAAAGCTGCGTAAAGTTGTCAAAGATTCAGTTTTCCATGGATTTCTGGTCCTTCCACTCAAAGGATAGATCCTGTAGCTGCAAGCTTGGCTTCTCTGGACCGAGGAGTCCTGGCGCTCCGCTGGGGAGGATTGCCTGGAGAGAGCAGACCCAGCAGCAGGACAATGAGAGCTCTAAAGGGGCCTGGCTTCCGACCTGGGTTCTGCCTGCTGCCTAGCCCAGTCACTCTCACTGAGCTCATCTGAAAGATGAAAATAATCTTATCTCTCCTGTTCATCCCTAGAGACCTTTAAACCGCAGAGGTCCTGACAAATGACCTGGTAACTGGAAAAGCACATAGAAAGTTAAAATTCCCAGTAACGTTTCTGTGCCACAAAGAAGGCCCTCAATCGTTCATGTCAGAGAACATATAAGGAGACAACAGAGGTCCCACGTGAGAATGTTACAGAAGATAAGCATGTCTTTTAGCAGAGACATACCCATACTAGCCCTCAGAGATCTTGAATCTCAGCCACTCTCTATTAAATGGTCTTCTGTTGAGTCCAGCATGATGGACTAGTCCATCAAAATTATTGAGCAGCTACTAAGTTCTAGGAGCTAGAGAATTAAAGCTGGCAGGCTAGGCTTAGTGGCTCACACCTGTAATCCCAGCACTTTGGGAGGCCGAGGTGGGCAGATCACTTGAACCCAGGAGTTCAAAACCAGCCTGGGCAACATGGTGAAAACCTGTCTCTACAAAAAATACAAACATTAGCCAAGCATGGCGGTGCATGCCTGGAGTCCCACTGTATTCCAGCCTGGGCAACACAGACCCTGTCTCAATAAATAAATAAATAATAAAAGTTGGCCTAATGTAGCTATTTGCTCCTTTGGCACTGGACTGGGATGGCAGAGGAAAAACTAAGTCTTTCTTTTGATACCAACTCTGGAACTTTGGGACCATGTACGAAACTAACGGTGGCTCACGCCTGTAATCCCAGCACTTTGGGAAGCTGAGGCGGGTGGATTACCTGATGTCAGGAGTTCGAGACCAGCCTGACCAATGTGATGAAACACCATCTCTACTAAAAATACAAAAAAATTAGCCGGGCGTGGTGGCAGGCGCCTGTAATCCCAGCTACTCGGGAGGCTGAGGCAGGAAAATAGCTTGAACCCGGGAGGCAAACGTTGCAGTGAGCTGAGATTGCACCATTGCACTCCAGCCTGGGCGACAGAGCAAGACTCCGTCTCGAAACAAACAAACAAACAAAAAACTAACTTTGATACGGATAAGTAAGGAAGTACAGGCCTCCAGAAATCAGAGTGCCTGTAGATGGACAGGTTTACTAATGATGAGGTTGGCATAGCTCAGGACTGTTCACTCTAGGGCAGCTACTGGAAGATGAGCCTGAGAAGCAGGACATGAGGCATGTGAACAGCGGGAAGCAATGGAAAAATTCTAGGTGGAGGACTCCAATGTGCCAAAGCCCTATTGGATTTCATTGTGAGAAAGGGTGGGAGTGGTGGTCTACTGGCCTTAGGAAAGGGAGGGGAAGGGCCCTCCCTGGGCCTAAAATCCTGGAACTCCCTCCTGCAGGGCTTGAATTCTCAACAACCCCTTCTTGGCTTGTCCTGGACTCTGAAGAGGTCAAATTGGTCTCTTGAATTGCTGTCATTTTAAATTCATTTTGACAAGTGTTTAATTCTTCTTTATCACAACCCTTGGTCTGAGAGTGATATGCAAATAATGGCTATTCTGCCGAGTGCAAAATGTGCAGTATCTCTCTGTCTGATCTGTCAATTAACTCTGGGTCTGGCCCACCACTTTGGGGGTGGTCCTGAGCAAAGCAGCCTCTAGCTCTTGATTCCCTCCAATAGAAAGCATGTTCCGGGCTCTGTAAAGATCTTAGCAGACAGCAGCTGCCAACTGTGATGCCAAGATGTGTGTGGGGTGTGAGTGTGGAGTTTTGTGTGTGAGACTGTGTGCACATTTGCATTAACGGACAGACACAAGGGTGTTTGTGAAGGCAAAGTATGCATGTGCGGGTCTCTGAGCTTGTACACACAGTGCACGTGTGTGTGATTGTGTGGCCATGAGTAATTTTGGTGACCAGAGTTATACAGGAGAATAGTTGTGGAGCCCAAATCTCTGGAGTTGTTCCCTCTTTCCTGCACCCAAAAAAGTTCAGAGAAATGTGTGCCCAGATGGAAAGAGATCCCCAGAGAGTCTAAGGAAGTGCCATCAAAGGACACATCTTTCCTAAGTTTACGTCTTTTTCCTAAGTGCCTGTTGAGGGAGGAAGATGGTTTAGTTCTTTCCCATGACCACCTGCTTTTTACCCTCAAAAACCACCATTTTGAGCCGGGCGCAGGGGCTTATGCCTGTAATTCCAGCACTTTGGGAGGCCAAGGCGGGCAGATTACCTGAGGTCAGGAGTTTGAGACCAGCCTGGCTAACATGGTGAAACCCCGTCTCTACTAAAAATACAAAAATTAGCCGGGTGTGGTGGTGCATGCCTGTAATCCCAGCTATTCGGGGGGCTGAGGCAGGAGAATCACTTGAACCCGGGAGGCAGAGGTTGCAGTGAGCCGAGATCATGCCACTGCACTCCAGCCTAGGCGACAAAGTGAGATTAGTCTGAAAAAACAAACAAACAAACAAACAAACAAACAAAACACTATTTTGGGCCAAGAGGCAGTGGCTCATGCTTGTAATCGAGCACTTTTCGAAGCTGGGGCAGGAGGATGGTTTTAGCCCAGGAGTTCGAGACCAGTCTGGGTAAGATAACGAGACCACATCTCTATAACAAAAATTTTTTTTAATATTAGCCAGGCATGGTGGCATGTGCCTGTAGTCCCAGCTACTAGGGAGGCTACAGTGACAAGACTGCTTGAACCCAGGAAGTTGAGTCTGCAGTGAGCTGTGATTGTGCCACTGCACTCCAGCCTGGGCGACAGAGAGATCCCATCTCAAAAACAACAACAACATCATTTCCCATCACAGTAAGAAATAAAATCCCTAGGGCACAAAGGCTGAGGAAATTCTAGTCATGGTCAATGGTTCCAAAAGAGAATTCCACATTTCTGGAAAATAGTTTATTAATTCATTATAAGGACAGATACATGAATCAATGCCTTAGCTTAACACTAAAGAGTATCATATTTGTAAGGAGAAAAAAAAAACGCTGGAAGGATAATTAAATAGTACAGCATAAACTAAATACAGACAAATAAATGAGCAAGTACTGATTACACTTGTCATGCATCAAGAAAAGGAAGATTTTTAATTGAGACTCAGAAAACTTAAGGCATCAATGGTAGGTGACAAAGGGATTAATACCCTGTAAAAGGCCAATAGATTCTTTTCTAATAAAAATACTGCTACAAAGACACAAACCTAACACTTCCAAATTACCCAGAGCCCAAATCATATATAGTGCTAGTGAGAAATGGCCACTTTCTTATCAACTGTGAGTTATAGGCAGATACCAGATTTATTACTTATTTGCTTTTGAGAAACAATTTTCCACCCAACCTAATGGGTTATAAATTGTCTCATTTGCAGCTATTTAATTTAAACCAGAACCTCAGTGCCTGTTAAACAAGAACATGAAAAATGACTATGTGGTATAATGCTAAGAGCCTACTGTTAAAACAGCCATTTAATTCAGGGCAGTTTTTTTTTCTTCTTTAAAAAAAAAAAATCAAACCAGCAAAATAAAATGAGGCTTTTGACCTTCAGAGCAATGATGAAACATACACAGTGGTGTTAGCCACAGCAGCGCTGAATGCTACAGAAATACTACAAGTGACAATTCTGTCTTTAACGAGATACAAAACCAACATTAATAATCTTTAGTGTTATCATAGGCTGGCTGAAGGAGGGGGAGGAGGTGGAAACGTAGGTGCAGACATCAACAGTGAGTGACACCCGAGTATAATAAACACAGATGCTTTCAGGGTTTGAGGAAGCCGCAACTGTGCTGAGAGACATTCCACCATTTAAAAAAAAAAAAAAAAAAAAGGAAAAATGGACTGGTTATTTCGAATTTGGCCCAGAAGGCAGAGTTAACTCTTGATGTGCCAATCAGACATCATTAGGGAGTAAAGACCCTAACATTCTATGCTCCTATGAGAGGGCTGAGGTGAAAAACCAAATAAATGACATTGTTTTCACTACACAGAAAATAGAAGTCAAGCTTGTCCCTGTGCGGCAGGTGAACAGAAAATGACTTGAGGATTCAATTTAAAGAAAAAACAAACTGAAATGAGCTACCCCTTTTCCTGTGCAAAGACCTCCTTGCCAGCACCCCAGAGGGTGAGATTCCTGTCATCCCCAATCCAGATCAAGTCAAGCCTCACAGGGTGGGAAGGGCCTCCCTGAACTCTCACTCCCCTTCTCTTCCTTTAGCTTCTTCTGGAAGAGAGGCCCAAATCATCTCCATCCAGTAAACTTGCCCCCCTGCATAGAAGGGAGGGCATCTTTTTATTCTGAGCCTCTGGATCACAGCCCCCTTCCCTGTCTCAAACATTCCCCTCTATGACTTGGATCCATCCATGGAGAACCCTTGGATCCCAATCCCAAAGGCAAGATGCAGGGAAGCCAGAAGATCTTCTCCACACCCGCACTGGGCGTGGGTGGGCTGCCTGGGGCAGGGCAAGCAGAAGCACTGAGTGAAGAGGAGGCAGGAGGATGGCAGGCGAGTGCGCGGCAGCCGCGGATACAGGAAGGGCACGGGGGCCTTGAAGCAGACATGAGGTAGTCACGTTGTTAGAGAAGGATGCAGAGTTTGAACCCAGGCAGGAGAACAAGATGACATAGTCTGGGAGAGGTGTGAGAGATAGCAGAGGAAGGAAAACAGGAGAGAGGAAAGGAAAGAGTATCTGGGAGCAGGAGAAGGGCACTGGTGCTGGGAGAGCGAGGTGACTGGGAGACAGAACACTAGAGCAGCCAGGGGCAAGGAAGGAGGGGAAGAGTGAGAGAAAGCGGATTTTCAAAACCAGGCACTTCCCAGATTACAAAATTAAATGCAGAGTTGCTCGGAGGGGAGCCAGGGCCACCCTCTCTATTTGGGCAATAAGGAGCTGGGAGGTGATGCAGCTGAAATGCCAGGCATTCAGAGCCTGCTTGCACCCAACCCAGCCAGACAGGAGAATGGGCTGGGACTGTCTTTGTCAGACAGGCATTGGAGACACTCTCAGAGTGTGTAATAAAAGGCTGGGCGATGGAGGTGGGGGCCCACAGGGCTGGGGACTGACCACTGTGGGGCACCGTTCTGACCTGGAGGACCAATCAGGCTGTAGTGACCACTGCCTGGGCCACGGTTTCCCAGCTCAACAACCAGTACGCATACATGCACTTCACACATGTGCACATCACATGTAGCTATGTCTCGTATGTCTTTCACATGTCACATGTGTATCACAAAGAGTATGGGGGGAGTGAATAATCCATGTTTTCCTCTCCCCTCAGCCAAAGCAACTTAGGAAGCTCCAAAGGGCTTGATGATGTATCTACAGGCACACATGTGGACATACACGGCCACAGGTATCGCATCCTATGTGATCCATACCTGCCTGCCCCAAACCACATCCTCTGGGAAGAGCTAGGCAGAGGAGGAGACCGGGGATCTGGGCAGGCCTGGGCTGGCTCCTAGAGGGCAGGGGGATTTGAGCTGGCAGCTATCTCCAGGGGTCTCCTCTAGCACCTCGCCTGGCTGGAGGTCCGGGTAGGAGCAGGAAGCACTGGCTGCCTCTGGCAAGCAGGTAAGTCTGTCTGGCCCGGGGGCTGCCAGCTCACACCCTCCCAACTCCCTGTCCAGCCAGGCTGCCCCCTGCCCTGGATCCCCAACACCCGAGATGAGATCAGGAGCCTCTGGAGGCAGGGGGTCCTCAGGCTCCAGGTCTTGGAGATGGAGGTCAGGGTTCCCGTTAGATGCACTAAAGTCAGAGTGGACAATGACTTCAGCCTCCACCTGGTTCCTGCAGGCTGGGGGTGACTTCTTCCTCCCATTGCCCTGATCAGAGCAGAGAACACAAAGACAAAGTGACCATTACTGAGAGTAATCATCAGAATGACCAGCGTACGTGGGGCAGAAAGTCTGACCCTCCATCAGAGTAAGTATCACATGGGAGTCGGTGAAGGATACACAGGAACTGTTCGAACCTATACAAAGGCAGGGAATGATGGAATACTTCCCATTTGCCCTCATCCAGGAGTTTCAGGAGTACCAGACTCAGTCAGGGCCTCTGGGGACAGGAGGAAGGGCTGAGCGTACTCAGGCCAGCCACACCCTCAGATCCACGGAACTGCTGTGGCCCACTTAGGTCTGGGTAGAGGAGGGGCTGTTTTCAACCCAGGTTGAAACAGGTTCCTGCAAACTGGCCTGCCCTCCACCTACTCAACCTTTGGAGGCTCCAGGGGTCTCCTGGCTAGACTTCTATCCCCAGGAAAGTTACCACCCAGGGGTCTCCAGAGAACTCATTACTTCCTCTTCACAAGCACAGAGACCCTTTCCTCCTTTCCTGCCCCTTCCTTCCAGGACGCTGACCTTTATGGCGTCGTACACCAGAGCCTGCAGCAACAGCGTCTGCCCAGTTCCAGCAGGGGGCAGCAGGGCCCGGGTCAGAGCCGGCCGGGGGCCTGCCTGGGGCAGCTCACAGCCTGCCCAGGAACCAGCCCAGCTCAGCCCGCTTGGTTGAGCCCAGGAGATCTGCACGGGGGAAAGAAGGGGACAGTAAGGGGCACGACCAGGATTGGCTGGGAGAGGGAAGCCCGGGGGAGGGAATTGGGATGGGCCGCGGGGGAGCAGGGTCCAGACTGTCACCCGCTGCTCTCTCCCTCTCCAAGGCTCTGGGGAGGAGCATCGAAAGGGCTCAGAGTCAGCGGGGTAATCTGAGGATGAGTCCTCCTGCAGAGGAGCGGAACACCAGACGCTCTGCAAAGCCCGCGGTGTCCGAGCCAGGCGGGGAGAGGGTGAGGGAGGACGGGTCGGAGTTGGGTGGGATGTGCCGCCCCTGCCAGCATGAAAGGGACCAGCCCAGCGAAGGCCTCACCTTATCCTGGTCCCAGTCCCACTTGGCCACAGCCAAGCCGACTGGCCTCTTCTCCCCACACGGGGATGTCTGGGTCTCAGAGGTCTCCCCAGCTCCAGGGATGAGGAGGGAGCTGGGTGTTCTGGCTACCCTGGGTCACCTGCTGGGAGGCCCTTTCCTTCGTGAGAACCAAGCTGACCTATTCCGCCGGGATATGGAGGCCCATGTGCTTCCCTGACAGCCAACCATTCCGTGGAGGAGGGAGAGAGGCCCTAGCGTCCGCAGCCGGCTCCGAAGAGGAGGTAGAGCCATGCTCGCATAGCCACGCGTTGTGCTCTGTCGCCCCCTGGTGTCCTATTTAGAAAAGAGCCGCAATGTGGGGCTCTGACTTACCTTTCTTTTGGAGTGACTCCGGCCTTCAGAAACACCGCCACCCATAAGGCTGTGCACTTCAGCCCTGTCCTCCACGTCTGAGGGTGGCGGGGACCAGTCCTGGGGATGGGGGTGCACAAGGGACTCCAATTCATGGGCAGCTGGGGGGCTGGGGGGGCCAAGCCGAGCTCTGGAGTACAGCGCGGGATTCCCGGGGGTGGCGGTGGAGGACAGGCCTGGGAGGGATTCCCTGGAAGGGAAGACGGAAAACAAGGCATAGCGGTCAGAGTAAGGGGTCAGGCGGGGCTGGGATCTGGTCCAGCCTATGTCTCTGGGGAGGTTCCTGCCCATCTCTGGGATTTGCTTTCCTGGTCTGTGCAATGAGTAAGAAAAACTGCTATTGTTCAAAACAGCCTGATGCTGTAAACAGGGCTCTTCTTCCCTTGGCTGCAGGCATCTGGAGATTTGGGGCCCCTCTTTCCAAGATGCTGGCAGCTACAGAGGAAGTGGGAGTGAGGCAGTTCTGTTGGCCTTGCTGAGGAGGGTAGGCTGGGGCTCCCCTAAGTCCACTCCCCATTCTCAGGAGGACATCATCCCTGATTCCTTCATCCCAGAGTCCTGACTTTAACGGGGCTCCTGGGAGTGCCAAGGGCAAGTCATGGCCACTTTCCCTGATGGCCCATTCTGCAGCCCTTCCTGGAAGTCTCCCTTCCCTGAAGTCAGACTGGCTCCCCTGCTCACCTGTGGGGGCTGCGGCGCAGGCCAGCACACATGCAGGCCAGGAGGCAGAGGAGGCCCAGGCAGACACCCACGATGATGCCCGTGACTGAGTGCATGTCCAGCGAGTCTGGTGGGGGAGAGAGAGGCACAGAGCAGGTCAGGACAGAGGAAGGGCACAGGGCATAGATCAGGACTATCCATGGCTTTCTCAGGAGACACCAGCTGGACCCTCACCCTTCAGATGCTCACAATCTTCTGATACAAGGACAGGAGGGCCCTGAGCCTCACAGAAACTACTACTACCTCTCCCTCTGACTGTCCTCCCTAAAACACACCCAGAAGTTATGGTCTCTCTGCCTCAAACTGGCCTTTGGTGAAGCACGTGTTGCCTGCTCCCAGGGCTGTTGCATGGGTGTGCAACATGTGCAGGTGCGCAGACCCCATGCTTGGATGGACCCCACGCTTGAGTTCATGCTCTGCTGTCACCACCTTAAAATTCTAATTTTTTTTCTTTTGAGACAGGGTCTTGCTCTGTCACCCAGGCCGGAGTGCAGTGGCATGAACACGGCTCGCTGTAGCATCAACCTCCTGGGCTCAAGTGATCCTCCCACCTCAGCCTCCCAAGCAGCTGTGACCACAGGCATGAGCTACCACACCCAGATAATTTTTAAATTTTTTGTGGAGACAGGGTCTCACCATGTTGTCCAGGCTGGTCTCCAACTCCTGGCCTCAAGTGATCCTCTCACCTCAGCCTTCCAAAGTGCATAAGCACTTTGGATTACAAGCACAAGCCACCATGCCCGACCTCTAGCTTTTTTTGTTTTTGTTTTTGTTTTTGAGACGGAGTCTCGCTCTGTTGCCCAGGCTGGAGTGCAGTGGCATGATCTCGGCTCACTGCAAGCTCCTCCTCCCGGGTTCACGCCATTCTCCTGCCTCAGCCTCCTGAGTAGTTGGGACTACAGGCATCCACCACCACGCCCAGCTAATTTTTTTTTGTATTTTTAGTAGAGACAGAGTTTCACCGTGTTAGCCAGGATGGTCTCGATCTCCTGACATCATGATCCGCCCGCACCTTGGCCTCCCAAAGTGCTGGGATTACAGGCATAAGCCACCGCGCCTGGCCGTCCGACCTCTAATTTTTAAAATAAGGGATAGCACCTTTTCATTCTGCACTGGGCCCTGGAAATTACGTAGCCAGTCCTGCTGTCCACCTCCACACCATAAAGCTCATCACCTCACCAAGTTAATCCTCCAATCAAAGCAATTTCCCAAAGAAACTGGTCTCTAAAGCCAGTCCCAGCTGGATGCAGTGGCTCACACCTGTAATCCCAGCACTTTGGGAGGACGAGGTGGGTGGATCACCTGAGGTAAGGAGTTTGAGACCAGCCTGGCCAATGTGGTGAAAACCCGTCTTTACTAAAAAATACAATAATTGGCTGGGCATGGTGGCTCACGCCTGTAATCCCAGCACTTTAGGGGGCCAAGGTAGGCAGATCACGAGGTCAGGAGTTTGAGACCAGCCTGGCCAACATGGTGAAATCCTGTCTCTACTAAAAATACAAAAATTAGCCGGGCATGGTGGTGTGTGCCTGTAATCCCAGCTATTTGGGAGGCTGAGGCAGCAGAATCGCTTGAACCTGGGAGGCGGAGGTTGCAGTGAGCCGAGATTGCGCCATTGCACTCTAGCCTGGGCAACAAGAGTGAAACTCCATCTCAGAAAAAAAAAAAAAAAGCCAGTCCCCCACGAACCTGGCCTCTGAATCAAGTTATCACTGAACCACACCTATTTCCCCTTCACATTTGCTCTGCCCCCACCAAACCTGGAGGACAGCTGTGCAAAACAATGAAATTGTAGTTGTGTCCACAGGCAGGGGCTTGGAAGTCAATCCAGGGAAACCTGGGCTGCCCTGTGCTCATACCTGACAGCTTCTCCTGGAGCGTGATCACATCCTGCAGGCGGGAGAAAGGCCCAGGTCCCACCTCTGTGCGCGCCCCCATCTTGAAGAAGTACCGAGTGTCGCTCTCCAGGCCATGGACCTCAGCACTGAAGATGTTTCCTGGGGGTGAGGGAGGCAGGGAGAGCAGGGATGGTGGATGGGGTGGGTGGATGCAGAGGTGGGCAGGGAGGGGACTGGGAGAGTCTGCTCTCCACTTAGGCAGCAGCTTCTGCTTGCTTCTCCCAGTAGCCCCTGGAACAAACCCCAGCACTGTTCTCACTGCTGGAAGCGGGAGAGGCTGGGAAGCTCTTGAGCAGATGCCCTGGGGCAGGAGCCCTCACCCTGCGTGGTGAGCAAGGTCCACTGGTGCTCAGGCTGCGTGTGGTTGCTGCTGTACAGGATCAGATACTCCACGATCTCCCCGTTGGGCTCTGTGGGGGGGCACCAGTGCAGCCGAACCGTGGACGGTGTCAGGGGGCTCAGTCGCAGGTCGGATGGGGGTGTGGAGGGCCCTGGGGTGCGGGAGAGGAGATGGGGAGAGATGTCAGAGCTGGGGGACAGAGCATGATGATATGACCTCCCTTCTTCCTCCTTCATGGAACAAGCCACAAAGCAAAGATGAGGTCTGGTTTCTAGTTGGGGAATTCTAGAAAACAGTATGTGTGGTTGGAGGGACTTAACATTCCTCCCCTCCCAGAAACTCTTCTGCCCCCAGCTCTGCCCAAACCTTGGGGTTCTGAAGTATGTTTCTTGCTGCTGGGGCAAGAAGGAGTTGGGCAAAAGATGGGTTGGTGGCAAGGGGCTGGGAGCCACTCACGGTCAGGCAGGGTGGAGCGCTCCACCACAGAGCCGAAAGGCCCATCCATGTCCACGCCGTGAGACTGCACTGCAAACTCGTATTTGGTGAATGGCTTCAAGCCGCCAATGAGGATGTCTTCTCCAGAACTGCTAAGGCAAGAAACGTGACTAGTGCTCTCAGGCACACTCTCCCAGCAGGGCAGACTCCTCCAAATCTACTCCCCTGCAGTCAGCCCCAGCCCCAGGCTCTACCCTGGGAAGGGAAGCTGCTCCCTGGCCTGGAGGCGACTACCACCACCCAGGGACCTACAGAGAAGTCTGGATGTATGCTGCTCCAAGTCCAATCTCGAAACCAGACCCCTTCCTCCAGGAAACCTTCCTGGATTAATCCAAGTTATTCTCCACCTATGGAATCATCTCCGATGCATCTTTTCTTTGGCTTAATTTTGCCTTCATGGCAGTTGTATATATCGGTTGCTTTTTATGCGACTTTCCTCCGCCAAACCTCAGGCTCCTCAGGCTCTGTCTCCCCATCTAACAGGGTAGAGGGAGCAGCTCTGAGGACAGGGGTGGGGTTCTCTTCACCATCAGACTGGGAGCCCTCTGAGGTTGGAGAAACAGGTCTGTCCTGTGTCACATTCTCCGGAGTTTGAGAACAAGGCTCTGTTGTGAGGGGACGGGATTGGATGGCCTCCTTGCTACCATCTGGTCAGCAGGCAAGGACGTGGACCCTGTGCAGCCCCTCTGTGTGGCCTCAGCGTAACAGGTGAGCCATGACATGTTCCTGAATCCCAGGGGCCCTTCCCTGATCACCACCTGCTGCCTTCCCACCACCACCCCCCACCTATTCTTCCTCCCTTCTTTACATTAGTAAAGGCATTAGTCCCCACCTGGTGTAATAGGTGACCAGGGAGGCATTCCTGAGCCCCCAGGGGCTGAAGCGCACAGTGTAGTTGACAATCTTGACTGTGGTGAAATCTGGCTTTTTCCACCGAAGCCAGATGGATGTGGAGCTGTTTGATTCCGCATGGACGTGGGCTGGAGGCAGGGGTGGTCCCCTCTGGATAGGCATGTCTGAAAGGTGAAAACTAGAGTGTGAGGAAGGGAGGGAGGATACTCATCCTTAAATATGTATAGTGGTTTACAGTTCCCAAGGCTGTTTCTTTGACCCACTCCTTTGATCCTGTGAGTTGAGTGGCATCATTCCTACTTCACAGATAAGGCAATTGAGGCTTCCAAGAATTTGATTTTTGACTGTGGAACACTAGTCTGTAAGAACGTAATAAAGAGAGAGGCAGCAAATCACAGCAATGAATAACCATGGAACCAGACTCTGGAACCAGGCTGCCTTGGTTCAAATTCCAGCTCTGACACTTACTAGCTGTGTGACCTTGGAGAAATTACTTACCTTCTCTGTGTCTCCATTCACTATTCTAATGATAGTACCTACCTCATGGGGTTGTTATGAGGATTAAATTATTTAATATTTTAAAAATAGATAGGAAATTGAAATATAATAAACACTATATTTATAAGTGTTTATTTTAGAAACATAAAATAAACCCCAAGAGAGCAAGAACCTTATTTGTGTTGTCCACCACTAAATTCCCAAAGCAGCTGGCACTTAGTAGACACTCAGCGAAATATTTGCTGAATGAAGAAATGAACAAACTGGAATTAGAACTCAGCTGGGTGTGGTGGCTCACACCTGTAATCCCAGCACGTTGGGAGGCCAAGATGGGTGGATCACCTGAGGTCGGGAGTTCAAGGCCAGCCTGGCCAACATGGTGAAACCCCGTCTCTACTAAAAATACAAAAATTAGCCAGGTATGGTGCACACCTGTAATCCCAGCTGCTCAAGAGGCCGAGGCACAAGAATTGCTTGAACCCAGGAGGCAGAGGTTGCAGTGAGCTGAGATCATACCATTGCACTCCAGCCTGGGCAACAGAGTGAGACTCTGTCTCAAAAGAAAAAAAAAGAACCCAAGCTTCATGGCTTCTGGTTGATTACTCCCTCTGCTAAACCATGTGGCTGGGAAGTTAGGGGTGAGGGAGTATCATGATGGGCAACTGAGGTGTCCAATGCAGGGCCACAAGGCAGTGTAGTGCAGTGGAAAGAGTTTTGCCTGGAAACCAGGAGTCCCAGTTGTAGCCTAGGCTCTGTGTGACCTTGGACAAGTTCCTTTTCCTCTCTGAGCCTCAGTTTCCCGTTAGGTCACACAGGGATACTCACTCTTCTTAGACTTGAGAGATAGTCTGATAGTGTGATGTAGACAAATGTGTTTTTAAAAAAACTTGTTTTACAGTCAAACTTGGGGTCGGGAGTTACTGATCAACCATAGGGTTTCCCTCTGTTCAAACTTTGGAAATCAGCACTATTCATGGGTAATGCAAATAAGGTGGCAGGCCTAAGACAGTGAACAAACAAGCTTCTCTCCATGACAGAGGCTCTCTGGAGCTAAAAGAGGACCCCTGATCCTAGGAGAATGGGTTTGGGCATGAGCTGAGGCTACTAAAGTACCTGCTCACCAGGCTGGCCCAAAGGAAAAGAAGAGGAAGCGGCTAGCAGAGCCCTCACCTGAGCCCTCCCCGCCTTCTTCCCCCACCGCCCTCACCTGGTGCCGGCGCCTTCTCCGTCTTGCCCTTCCACACTGCTGCATAGCCATCCTCATGTTTGTTGAAAGCCACGAGCTTCACCTCGTACAGCCGGCCAGGGACTGGGGAAGGTTACAGGGCTTAATGGCTAGGGGGACATCTGGGGTCACTCTCCCGTCCACAGAGAGCATCCCATCTCTAACTTCTTCACACAACTTGCCCAGTCCCCACTGAAGCTACATCCCTCCCTCCCCCTCCCCCCAGCCCTCCTCACCTAGCTGGGTCAGCTCATACTGCTTCACTTTCTTCTTGAGCCGGACAGGCCCCACATCCCAAGCCTGGTCTCCACGGCCCCCTGGCAGGCGATCGCCATTGGCCTCCTCCTCAGCCCCCACCTCCCGCCAATATAGTTTGTAGCCAGAGATCTGGGTGGGGTGAGGGGGTGGCTGCCATGACACGACCAGGGACTCCATCTTTGCCTGCACCTTCAACTCTGCAGGGGCAAAAGGGACTGGGGGGCAGAGGAGCAGGATGGGAAAATTAAGGAACAGAATGCAGAATGAGGAGAAGGAGGCCAGGGATAGGAGACAGGGAAGAGGCATGAGGAAGAGACAGGAAGATGGCATTCAGTGAGAGCCTTTTGCCAGCATTCTCCCAACACATCACCACTCAGCCACCACTCTAAGTGCCAGTCCTGGGCTTGGTCTAGAGGTGAACTCACTGTTCTACAAGCACAGAGTGCAGGGAATGCAGGGGTGTCCGCTGGGCATTTGCAAAGGGGTCAGCAAGGAGCACCTCTGGAGTAGGCTGATAGCACCTGGCACAGAATCGGCCTCTGTGAAGTCTTCTGAAGGATCAAACACTGGGGGCAGTGGGGGTGGTGGTTGCTGAGGCCAGGAAGGAGGGATGCCACCATTACAGTAGGGAGACCCACTTGAGAGTGAGGAGCTTACAATGTGTCAAACACTGTCCTATGCACTTTGTGTAGTTATTATAACTTTATCCTTGCAACCCTCTAAAATAGTGAAAATACTACAACCTTCGCTTTACAGATAAGAAAACTGAAGCTCAGAGAGTTAAGTAATTTACCTAGTGTCGCATAGAGAGCATGTAGACCGGTTTGGTCAGCATTTAATCACTCTTCTATTGGGCCTCTCAACAAAAACAATCATCATCACCATCATCCTCGAAGCAGCTACAATTCAATGAGTTTTTATGTACTAAGCACTTTAGTTACAATACATTATTCAACCTCATGCCATTCCTGGGCAGTAAATGAAGCCTCAGAATGGTTTGTCCAAGGTCACACAGCAAATCGAAGGGACACCAGATCCCAGCCCTTCACCTCTGCACCTAAGCCTCACTCACCCATCAAGCGGAGGGAGCCATGGAAGGTCTCTGATGGAGGGCGGGGCCAGGGGGTGGGGCGCTGGGTCCCAAGGACACACGCACACCCACACAGTCACACACACACTGTCCTGTCTCTCCTCTAACCCCGTACCATGGCTCTGGTTGTGCATACTGGGCGTCCTGTGATGCATCCACTGGGAGGGGGCCCCGAAGCCGGCTGCTGTACCAGCCGAAATCCGTACTCGATACACCTTGTTTGGCTGAAGCGAGTTCAGCATAAGCTGTGTCTCATTTCCTCGCACCTCAGTAGAGAAAATCTGATCTGCAGGGACAGAAAAGGTGGGCTGCTGGGTAGCCACCTGAGGAACAGGATCCTAAACCCCCCTACATGGCTCTTCCGCCTCACATCCCGGTTCCTCCGTGCCCGTGGGAGCCTGAGGCGTTCTCAGCACTGACCCCTCAGTGCCTGGGCAGATTCTATGGCTCCAGGGTTGACGCTTGAGCCTCCAACTCTGGCTGATGCAGGCCATCAGCCTGGGCTCAGCTGCAGGGAGAATGATGGCAGGCTTTCCCCACTTCCCCAGGAGCTGTCAATGACCATCCCCTGCCAACACACACACACACGGGATGCAGACACAAGAGGCTGACCATGAAGGCCAGCAAGAACGCCTGGCTTCCAGAGCCCTGAGGGCCACCATGGCCACTTCCTCACCCTTCCCTCCTTCCTCACCTTTCCCTCCTTCCTCACCCTTCCCCTGGTCCCTCAGCTACCTTCCTCCTCCTAACTTTTTATCCTTTTATTTTTTTCTGAGACAGAGTTTTGCTCTGTTACCCAGATGGGAGTACAATGGCACGATCACAGTTCCCTGCAGCCTTGAATTCCTGGGGTCAAGTGATCCTCCCACCTCAGCCCCCCATTTCCCAGATAAGGAAACTGAGGCAGGGACTCAGTAGAAGTACACACTGCAGCTGTAGAGGGGTTGGGGTGAGAGCCCAGGCCTCCCTCTGCCTTAAGCTAGGCCCCTCTGTCTTCCCTTTTCATTCCTGCCCAGACCCCTGTTTTTCAGGTTCACCCTTCCCCAACCCCTACTCTGCTTCCTTTCCTCCGACTCCCGTACCCTGCTCAGGTCTCCAGCAGCCCTGACAGCTCTTCACGTTGATCATTCCCATACATGCCTGCAGCCCACCCACCCCCACTCACCTTCCTTTCCCAAACCGTATTCTATCTTGTACTTCACCACCTGCCCATTGCTCAGGCTGGGGGGCAGGGGCAGCCACGCCACCCTGATGTCCGAAGGGTTGGGGCTGGACAGGGAGAGCTGGGGTGCTGCACTGGGGACTGAGACAGAAGAACATCAGCATGAGCTCTGCTCCACCGACGTGGAAGGTGAGGCTCGGGAGCGGTCAGAGACTTGCCTGGGTCACACAGCAAGTCAGAAGTAGGCCAGGACCAGGATCTGAGGGAGGAAAGGGAGCTTCTCAGGGGAGCCCCAAGCTGAAGGATGAGGGGACATCTTTCCCACCCTGAAGCTGGAAAAAGTCTTGGAGCACAATCTTCCACGTCTAATGGGTTAATGTCACTGGCCCCTACCCCAGCTGGATGGCACATAGGTGTCAGGGAGAACTGCATGACACAGGGAATCATCACAGACCTGGGCTTAAGTCCCAGCTGAACTACTGACCTGGGCAAATCATTCTCATTTTCTGGGCCTCAGTTTCCCCAACTGTGAACTGAGGAGAAGAACCCCGCCCACTCTCTTACGGGGCACAAAAGATGATATGAGCAGGTAAAAATGCCTTTACATTAGTAAAGAGAGGGTGAGCTCCCCTCCCCAGGGAATTCTCTTTACCCCAAGCTGCCCACTGCGAGTTCAGAGGCCCTACCATCATCCAGTGTGTGCACCAGTGCTGGGGTGGAGGTGCGGCTGGCTCCCAGCTGGGAGTAGGCCACCACGTAGAACTCATAATCTGTGTTGGGTTCCAGGTCCCGAACCTGTAGTTCTGTGGTGTCGTTGTTCACTGCAAACTGGTATTCCACATTGTCCATGCCTGGTGACACGGGGGACAAGGGGACTGTCATAGTGCCACCCCCCCGTGCTGGCTAGCTGGAGTCTGTATAGGAATCCTTCATATTGTCCTGGTGTCTATTTATAGCTAAATCATCCCAGATAATCTGAGCTGGAGTGTATAAACTCCCTCAGCTTCCTGTCTCAGTGTATTAATTCCTCCACTGGTTAGGGAGTGCTTTCTGGAAATGACCCCCCTCTCCAGTTAGTTAACTGGGATGGGAGGTGGCTCCAGGAACGTCCTCTCCCTCCTCTCTCAACAAACATGACTGAGGGAAGCAGTGGCCCTTCCAGCGCCAGTTGCCTAATCCATACCTACCATACTTATGCGGGTCTCTCCTATGGGCTCCTACCCCAGTCCATCCTTGCCGCAGAGGTACCCATCAGGCAACCCTTCAGTCATCCGACCTGAACCCCTTCTGGCTGCGCCCCGCCCGGGCCTGCGCTGGTGCATCCCGCCCCAGGCCGACGTACCCCGTGCCTTCTGGTAGTGGAGAGAGAAGCCGATGATCTGCTCGCTGTGCATCTCGGGCCGCTCCCAGGCCACCAACACAGCGGAGCTGCTCAGTGGCGTAGCAGTGACCCGCGTGGGGGCGCTGGGCAGCCCCTCGCGCACCACCACGGCCAGCGACGCGGCAGCGCACGCCATTCCCGCGCTGTTCTCAGCCACGCACTGGTAGTAGCCGGCGTCCTGCAGGCCGATCTGTGTGATGACCAGGCTGCCACCGCCGCCCTGGACCTTGACGCGCCCGTTGGGCCGCAGCGGCGCCCCGTTGTGCAGCCAGCGCAGCGCTGGCCGCGGCTCCCCCGACGCGCGGCACACGAAGCGCGCTGTGCTCGCCCGCGTCCGCGACAGCGCCTCGGGCGCCTGAGTGATGGCGGGAGCCGCTAGGGGCGCGAGGGGCGACGCTGAGCGCGGGATCCCGCAACTAAGGTCTCTGCCCCCCCCCCAGTACCCCAAGCCTGCCCCCCACCGCCCTCCCTCGCTCCCCTTCCAATCACTTTAACCTCTCCCTGATTCACCCTTTCCAAACTACTCCGGCTCAGCGCAGACCTACCCTTTCTTCTCCCCATTTACCCCAGCCCCACAACGACCATTCTCTTTCTCTCCCAAAACTGTCCCCAGGCCTCCTCAGCCTCCCCTAAATATTGCTCCTCCCGGATCTAACCCCACCCCTAAATTTACCCATCTCCTTCCTCCCTGCCCTCCCATATGTCCCACACCTACCAGATCTACCCTGCCCCCCAGTTTTCTTAGTACCACTCAGATCACTCCACTATCCCCACAATAACCCCAGTCACAACTCCCCGCTAATCACCCGCTCCAGGCCTTAATCACCCCTCTCGCTCCATCCCAGACTCAACGCCCCGCACTCCGTCCTCCAGTTACCAAGTCCCCATCCCTCGTCCCACCTCCGCCTTACTAGGGACTCCTCCCTGAGTTCGTCCTCCAGGAGAGCGCCTGAGTGCCCCCAGCACACCCACCCGTCCACCTCCCCCTGCTCTATTCACCCCAGCCCCAGCTAACCCGCTCCCTCCGCCCTTCGGCCCGCCTCACCCAGCACACGGAGCTCAGCGGCTGCAGTGGCGAAGTCGCGCGTGCGGGGCTTGTTGGCGCGGCAGACATAGACGCCGGAGTGCCAGGGCTGCGCGTTGGCAATTAGTAGGTTGGTGCGGCCCAGGACGATGACATCTGTGGAGATGGGCTTCCCGTCTGGGGAAGGAGAGGGAGACGCGCTGGAGGGGACGCTAGGGACTGCCCTTCCCTTCAGTCTCCGAACCTCAGGAACACTCTGCACCCGGATAAAGCAAACACAACCGTCCCTGGTCCGAATCTCATTTCCTCCTCTTGCTGGGACTCTCTGAGCCCGGCTGTCTCCATCTGTAAGGGGGAATTAGCCCTTAACTGGCAGGGTTTCCATGAGGATTGAAAGAATGTCAGAACCCCTGGCACAGTGCAGGCATATATTAATCATAGGTGCTCAGCACACTCGTCAGTTTTCATTACTGAATTCATTTCTCTCAAGAAGGACATGCTCCTTCCCTGGGGTCCCAGCCCAGTACTATGATGAAGCTAGGGCTGGTAAGGTCGGACCAAGCCAACGATTCGAATGCGCACAAAGTTTTACCTCAATGTGAAATGAAAACCATTTAAAAAGCCCTTGCCTTGTAGACATGAACAGAAAATCTAGAGAAGCAATGCAAATAGCCAAGAAACACAAAAATGTTCAACTTCATGTCATCAAAGAAAGGCACTTCAAAACAGATGTTAGGCTGGGCACGGTGGCTCATGCCTGTGCTCTTGGCACTTTGGGAGGCTGAGGTGGAAGGATCACTTGAGACCAGGAGTTCAAGACCAGCCTGGGCAACATAGTGAGACTCCGTCTCTATAAAAAAAAAAAAAAAAAGATATTAAAACACAGATGTTAATTTTCACCCATCAACTTGAGAACATTTTTAAAAATAGTAAATTGCAATGCTGGAGAAAGGGCCATAAAGGAGCTTCACCTAGGCCTTGAAGCCAAGGATTCCATTTATGTGTACCTGTCCTAGGAAGATGATCAGAAGTACAGGCAAGTATTTGTGAACAGAGCAGATCACTGCAGTGTTAACTGTAACAGCGGATAACTGGAAAGGACTTAAAAATCCAACAGCAGGAACTGGTGAATTACATTATAGCTATATTTAAAGTATGGAATATTAGTCATTACAATTTTTTGAAAAAGTTTTAAAGATAGAGAAATGCTTATGGTATACTGTTGAATGAAAATAGGACTTGGAACTATAAATGCGGCACATGTTCTCAATTTCAGGGAGAAAACTGTACATAGGCATAGAAAAACCTGAAAGAAGATATACTGGTACATAAACAATTTTTATCTCTGAGTAGTGGAGTGTTTGAGTGTTTTCTGCATCTATTTTTTTCCTAGTTTTCTACGGTGAACATGTACAACATTTGCAGTCAGAAAACAAAACAGCCGGACACAGTGGCTCACACCTGTAATCCCAGCACTTTGGGAGGCCAAGGCGGGTGGATCACTTGAGGTCAGGAGTTCGAAACCAGACTGGCTAACATGGCAAAACCCCATCTCTACTAAAAACACAAAAATTAGCCGAGTGTGGTGGTGCATGCCTGTAATCCCAGCTACTCGGGAAGCTGAGACAGGAGAATCACTTGAACCCAGGAGGCGAAGGTTGCAGTAAGCCAAGATCACACCACTGCACTCCAGCCTGGGAAACAGAGCAAAACTCCATCTCAAAAAAAAAAAAAAAAAAAAAAAGAAAGAAAAGAAAAGAGAGAGAGAGAAAGAAAACAAAACAGGCCGGGAGCGGTGGCTCCTGTCTGTAATCCCAGCACTTTGGGAGGCCAAGGTGGGCGGATCACGAGGTTGGATCACGAGGTCAGGAGATGGAGACCATCCTGGCTGACACGGTGAAACCCAGTCTCTACTAAAAATACAAACCATTAGCCAGGCGTGGTGGCGGGTGCCTGTAGTCCCAGCTACTTGGGAAGCTGAGGCAGGAGAATCGCTTGAACCGGGAGGCGGAAGTTGCAGTGAGCAGAGATCGCGCCACTGCACTCCAGCCCGGGCGACAGAGCGAGACTCTGTCTCAAAAAAACAAAACAAAACAAAATCAAAAACAAACAACCCATGCCCCTTCCCTGACTTAGTGGAGTAAGTTCCTGGAAAGAAAGCAGTACTTGGGGTCAGGAATGAAGCTCCTTTCCAGCCCTTCTCTTCCTAGGTGTCAGGATCCTCCGGGACAGCAATTCTCAAATCCGTACTGTGCACACGAATCACAGATTAGCAGGGGACCTTGTTAAGATGTAGAGGACTGAGGCAGGGCCCCAGATTCTGCATTTCTAACTAGTCATAGGTAGTAGAGCTGAAGAGCACACTTTCAGTTGGAGCACCGGGCGCAGTGACTCATGGCTGTAATCCCAGCACCTTGGGAGGCCAAAATGGGTGGGTTGTTTAAGCCCAGGAGTTTGAGACCTGCCTGCGCAACATCTAGAAACCCTGTCTCTACAAAAAAATACAGGCATAGCGGCACATGCCTGTAGTCCCAGCTACTCAGAAGGCTGAGGTAGGAGATCACCTGAGCCGGCAAAAGTTGGAGGCTGCAGTAAGCTGTGATTACACCATTGCACTCCAGCCTGGGTGACAGGCAAAAAAAAAAAAAAAAAAAAAAAAGATTCCTGGAACACGACTCTCCGGGGTGAAGAAAGGAGTCTGCAGTTTTAATAAGTCCCCTGGGTAACCCTGATGCATAATCAGGAATTAAGAAATATTGACATTAGAACTTCTAGGTGATACCACAAGTTTATCCCAGTAGTACAAGGGTCCTGCTGGCCCCCTAAGTAGGCAAGTGTCACAGGTCCAATGAGGCAGTGCAGGTCAGATAGGTGCGAAAATGCCAGCACTGTTCTATTTTATCAGCTCATTGGTGGGTACATATTAATAGTTGTTCAATTTATTTTCTTTAAACTATATATATTCGTGATATACACTTTTGAGTATGAGATATAAACTTATATTTTTAAAGATGTATAGAGTAATAGAATGAGTTGGGGAAAGGGGTAAAAAGAACTGGATTTAAAACTTACTTCTGCCATCAACTTGGGACAAGTCACTTTTTAACAACAAATGGAAATAAAAATAACCCTTGCTTTCTTTTTACAGGACTGTAGGAACTGGCATACCAAAAAGAGAACAGACTTGAAAGCTTGGGTCCCAGCTCTTCCACTGCCTCTCTGAGCCTCAGTTTCTTCATCTGCCCACTGGGAATAATAGTTCTGGCCCCTCCTCTCCCCAGAGGGCTCTTGGAGGCTGACAGGAGAACAGGTGTGAAAGTGCTTAGGAGACTGCACAGTGAAATTTGGCCCAGCACTGGCGTTACCCTGATGGCATCTCCAGTCACTCAGTGGCACTTCTCACTTGTAGCCTGATACTGTCAGACCTCTCTTCATAGATGTGTGTTTTCTCTCCCTCACTAGACGATGAGTTCAGAGGGCAGGGTCCCTGCCTCTCTGTGTTTTGTTCACTGTGCCCAGTATGATACCAGTCACACAAAGACAGCAGTATGCTGGGGTGGACCCAGAGCTTGCCTTATAGTTGCACGGACCAACAGAGGGGTCTGGTTCCACCTAACTCACTGGCTGTGTGGCACCTTCCCAGCTCTCAAGTACTCACTTGTAACACCGTTGTGAGGAACAGAAATATGTAATTATGGTGGAGAACCTAGCTCAGCACCTGGCCTCAGGAGGGCTGCAATAACCGTTCTGTAAGTGGCAGCTTGGAAGTGCTTTTGTAAAGCACATGCTACACAGAGTGACAAGGAAGTCTGTCCAGTTCCCCACGCAGCTCCGACCTTGACCACCACACCCAGCCCTGGGAAAGGAGTTCGTGCCACACCAGAAGGTTCGTGACCACTGGGTCGTCACCCATACATCCCCCTGACTTAGGGGCATGTGAGATGCCACATCCCTCCCTTCCCATGCCCTCCTTCTCCCACCCCCTCCACTCACCTTGTCGGACCCAGGACACAAAAGGGGTGGGGTCAGCTGAGGCCACACATTCCATCACCACACTCTGGCCAGACACCACTGTGGTGTTCTCTGGGGCTGCCACAATGACCACGTCCTGCCCCCTGGTGGACGCCAGGGACCCTGGCGAGAAGACAGACCAGCAGGCAGCCTTACCATTAGGCATTTGCCATGCGATACCTCACCTGAGTCTCACAGTAACCTGGTGAGGTGGTACCGGGGACAGCAGCAATGATTCCATCTGTCAGATGGGGGACGTAGCCATAAAATTCAGCAGGGCTGGGACTGGACCTCTGAGCTGTTTCTTTTAGAGCCAGAAGAATTGCCTAGGCTTCAACTCAGCACCAGAGAAATGATTAGACAGACCCACACCTACCTCCATTCTTCCCTCCCAAATGCAACCCACCATCTAGGCAGAGGACTGTCAGGGTCATGGGCAAAGCACCAGACTTGGAGTCAACAGTTATAGTTTCTAGTTCCAGCACTGCCATTAACGCACTGGGTGACCTTTGGCAAATCCCTTCTCCAAAAGGCCTTGGATTTCCCAGTGGAAAAGGCAGACAGTGGGCTTGAGTTTCTGCCTGTGCGGCAGTTCCCTAAACCCTGATTTCCTGCCAAGTTCTTTGTGTGACCCTGGCCCCCTGGGTGGAGTGGTGAATATCTGGATTGTCCAGCAGGTGGAGGCAGATACCCCTTGAACAGAAGAAAGACGACACCAGACTGGGAGCAGCCTACCAGCTAAGCCCAGAAGGAACAGGATGGGGACGGGGTGGGAGTGCAGAGAGTGGGTGGGAGGTGGGAGGGATGCATGGCAAAGGGAAGCAAGGGAGGTGCCCCTGGGGGAGGCTTGAAGTGAGATCTGTTGAGCACCTGCCAGGTGCCAGGCACTTTCCATTCTTATCTCAAGGACTCTTCGAGCCTCTCTGAGCTGGGCATTTGATAAGGAGCCCAGGGTCATGCAGATGGTGAGCAGAGAAGGCAGGATTCAAACCAGGTCTTTCCAACCCCAAAGACTGTGCCCTTCCTAATCCATCACACTGGGGCAAGAGCTTTTCAAAGAAACGAGTAAAGGATAAGAGCACTAGGCCACAGGTAGCCAGATTTGCAAGGCACAGAAAGCAGAGAGGGACGAACCCCCAGTGCCTGGACCCCTCAGTGACTATAGAAGGGCAGGAGAGAAAGGGGCAGGGAGCAGGGCTTCCGGGCACTGACACCGCCTCAGATGCCTCGCATCCCCACCTCTGTCCCCAGCCTTCGACACTGCATCCAACCAGAGGGCACACAGGCTCTGCATGAAGAGAGGAGCCCTGCCCTTGGAGTCTGGGGTCTTGTGTTCCAGCCCAGTTCTTTCTTCTCTGGTTTGCTGGGTGGCAGTACCCTCTCTGGGCTTCATCGCCTCACCAGTCAATGGGACTAACATTTATCACCTACTTGAAGGCAAGGCCTGGACCCCTTGAGGTCCCTCCCAGCTCTGAGGTGGCTGGTTCCAGAAACCCCCAGGTTTCCCCACCCAGCCAGCCCCCTTACCTCTGTGGGCCACACTGAGTAGGGCCTCCTGGCTGAAGTGCTGGCGAGCTGAGTTGGTGGCCACGCAGCGGTAGGGGCCTGCATCACTCTCCTGAACATCCAGGATCTGAAGGACGCCGTTGGGAAGCACGATGAGCCTTGGGAAGAGGGGAGCAGGCAACTGTGAGGTGGGCAGGGGGGCCACAGGGAGGGTGGCTCATGGTAAGATAAATGCAAATTAAAACTCTAAGATACCAGGCTGGGCGCAGTGGCTCACGCCTATAATCCCAGCACTTTGGGAGGCGAGGCGGGCGAATCACATGAGGTCGGGAGTTCGAGACCAGCCTGACCAACATGGAGAAACCCCGTCTCTACTAAAAATACAAAATTAGCCGGGCGTAGTGGTGCATGCCTGTAATCCCAGCTACTCCGGAGGCTGAGGCAGGAGAATCGCTTGAACCCGGGAGGCGGAGGTTGCGGTGAGCCAAGATTGCACCATTGCACTCCAGCCTGGGCGACAACAGCAAAACTCCATCTCAAACAAACAAACAAAAACTCTAAGACACCATTTTCACCTATTAGATTGGTGAAAATCAGAAGGCTTAATAACACTCCGTGTGGATGAGGGAATGGAGGAAGGCACTCCTGCCTCGATGGTGGCCCTGCCCATACACCATCTGTCCAGGGCAAGTTGGTGATATCTCAACATCAAAACTTCTAGGGCTCTATCCCACAGATACTCTCAGATGTGTGCACAAGAGCATGTGTTAAACGATATTCACTCCAGCACTGTCTGTGATAGCAAAAGGCTGGAAACAACCCAAGTGTTCATCTGCAGGGTGGGAACTGGCTAAATTTGTTTGGGTACATTCGCACAATGGAATGTTAGGCAGCTGCTAAAAAGGAGGCAGCTCTGTGTGTGCTGATAGAGGGCCATCTCCAAATGTGTTCTGGTACAAAACAATATGTTTGGGGACATGTAGGCTTCTGTGCTTGCGTATACATTCAATGTTCCTGGTAACAGTGGTTGTCTCTGGGGAGGGGACCTGGGATCCAGGGGACTGAGGGTGGGAGGGACTGACTTTTTATTATATATCCTTGTATACAGTTGGAATTTTATTTACCCCTTGCCCATACTACCTTCTCCCTCCCTTAATAAAATACTCTTTATTCACACTATCTCATGTGACCCTTAAAACAAGCCCAAGACATAGAGGAGGTCACAACCTCCATTTTACTGGTGAAAAATAGGAGGGTATTTTCCCAGGATCTCACAGGTGGAGCAGAGTGAAAACTCGAACCCAAGTCTTCTGGTGCCAAATGTCATATTTGTCCTACCTGCCTGTCTCGGCAGCCATTGGATGGCTGAGAATGCCCTTGGAGAGGACGTGGTCTCCAAGCAGACCCAGCCAACACGTATGTTACTTAGAAGGGGCATGATGGATGAGGGTGTTCCCTGCCCTCTGGGCTAAAGAAATAGAAAGGTCCAGAGACCTTACTTGAGAAACGATGTAATCTGGGATAGGGAGGTCTCCATGGGGGTTGGGGTGGTGGAGACCAGAGTGGGCTCCGACCTAAGGAGGGGGTGAATGGGTCCCTCGGAATCCTCCAACTGGGATCCCTACAGGGTCAGCTCCAGGTTGAGAATCCTAGTTTCTCAACAGAGCAAATGGTGCTGGCCTCTGGGATGTAGGCTGGGCCAAGGTCAGAGAGGGAAGGGGGCAGTTGTGCGCTTGGTGGAGATCCCTTAGCTCCTGGGGAAGTGGGGTCTAAAAAAATCTAAACATGGAACAGGAGAAGTAGTTCAAAGGCTGGGGAGGAAGAATGTTCTAAACAGGGGCCCTACAAACCTGCTGTGGCCCAAAGACTTAAAGGACTTAGAGAAAAAAAGCATAAATATGCCCTGCTCTTTCCTGCATCACACAGGCAAACCCACCTCTGCCCCCAGCCTCTCACCCTCAGCTCCAACAGCTGCCTACATAAGTGCTGGGGCAGAGCGAGAGAAAGGGACAGGGAGACAAGTGTGGCTGGAGCAAAATCCTGGGCCAGGACCCAGTCTGCTGCCAGAGAAGAACTGACAGGAAAGGACGAATTGGGGAAGGACAAGTAGGACCCACCTAGAAAACAGGCCCCACCCCCATCCATCTAACGTGCTCTTCCTCCAAGACCTTTCTTTCTCCTCTTTTCCTCCCTCGAACTAGCGAGCTGACTATGCTGCTGGGAACTGCCTACATTTCCTAACCCCAGTGTTTCTAGGTCTTTCCAGGGAATATTGTGCTCCAAGTACTCAAGAGGTAGTCTCTCCTTTGAAAAAATAACATTCCCTTAATGATGTGATTGAGTGAATGAATGAATGAATGAACAAATTAATGAATGAATGAATTCCTTTCCCCAGATATGGTGCTATTGCTGCAGCCAATAGAGGCAAGATGGAACCACTTTTAGGGTTCATCTAAAATCTTTTCTGGCCGGGCTTTTTGGGAGGCAGAGGCAGGAGGATTGCTTGAGGCCAGGAGTTGGAGACCAGCCTGGGCAACATGGCAAAACCCAGTCTCTACAAAAAATACAAAAATTAGCCAAGGCATGGTGGTGCACATCTGTAGTTCCAGCTATTCAGGAGGCTGAAGTGGGGAGATTGCTTGAGACCGGGAGGTAGAGGCTGCAGTGAGCAGTGATTGTGCCACCGCACTCCAACCTGGGTGGCAGAGTGAGTCCCTGACTCAAAAAAATCTTTTGCTTTGCTAAAATGTGTTTTTAGAAGCTCTGTCCTTGGAAAAGTGTTCAAAATATATTAGTTAGTGGGGGGGGGGGAGTAAAAAAACAGTGTTTATGAAGAAATTCTACTTTTAGAAAATAGAGAAAAGTTATATTAGGATATACATAGAAAAAGCCACAGGTGGCAAAGCTCGTGTGGTTTATGGGGGTTTTCTGTAGGAGTGAGATTACGGGGGATTCTTATTTATTGTGCCTGTTAAGTGGGTTTTTTTTTTTTGCAATTAATATGTATCAGTTAGGAAATATAAAAATTTTTAAATGTAAATTGCTAATAATCTGTGCCCTTGTACACTTTGGTTTGTAACTTGGGCTCTAACACAGAAGCACTGTGACATGCTGGAGAGAACTGGTTTCAATGTATGTGATTTTAGCAAGTGACATTCTGTATCTGGGCCACAGTTTTCTCATTTGAAAAATGGGTTAAATAATTCCTGTCCTGCCTTCTTCACAACCCTGACCCTCTTATTGTGTTTTGAGCTCACATTAGATAACGGACATAAACATATTTATGAATTGCAAGCTCTGAACACATGTTTACAATGGTGTAACCCATATACGTATTTCAAAAGACTGCAAGGAGACGCTCAAATTGGTAAAAGCTGTGTTCAGTCAGTAGGTGACTTTTTTCCCCTTTCTGTAAAGTTGGTATACTCTACCATTTTAAGAGAAATTCAAATTTCAAATAAAATAAAAGCTACTTATAAAATGAAAAACAATCTCAACTCGAAAGGAAGGGATGATTCTTTTTCCAGCCTCAAACCTGAGTCTGCTGCTCCTACCCACAAAAGGCCACTTGGGCCCCGAGGATTAAAGAACACAGAAGAAATGACGCAGCTGCTCTGAATTTCCCAAGGGCCAAGGAGCCCCCACCCTAAGCCCTTGAGATCCACCCAGGGCAAGGGGATACTGGCTGGAAGTCACATGAGATTGACAGAAATGGTAACCACTGGGAGAGGGTAGGGCCGGAGCCCATGTTATTTAAGTCCCTTAGTTCCATGTTTCTTAAAATGTGAGTGAATGGCGATAACAAAATGATTTCAAGTGGATCCAGATACATGGCTTTTTATCCTAGAAGTTACATTATTTATTTTTATGGCTATCTTCTATTTATGGCAAGTGTTGCTGGTTTTCCATTTTATTGCAGTGAGATAATGTTCCCTTTTAAAATGTGTTCAAGTTACGAAAGAGCGAGTTGATGTAAAGAAAATTATGAAGTGGTTGTGTAAATGGTATAAGTATGGTCACAATTATGAAGGTGGTTTTTGAATACCTGGGATTTGGGAAACATTGCTCTCATTGATTACTAGTTCCCATGAAAGAAAAATTATCCCCTAGATTATCCCCTATTATTAGAAAATAGTATGAGTACCGGGGATTTGCCTTGGGGTCTAGTCTTTACCATCAGTTCCAAACGAAGCACATACACCCTGACGCAGTGTGTTTATTAACTGCACATGTGCCACGTTACACCAAGGCATACGGTCTCCTTCAAACCACTGGGCTGAGTTTATGAATAGCATATTTGTGCATGCACTATATCTGGGCATGTGTAAAAATACATACCTTGGGCATAATCAAGTTGCTGTTTTAGACATTTCTTTATTCCCCCCACACAATGTGCCGGGACATGCGAGCCTAGCTTATTTATAGATGAGGATCACTTTTCAGAGGACTTGGGGGCAAACACTCCCAGAGTCCAAAAACTGGCAGCTCTGGCCTCCTGGGTTAGGTTTGTGGCTTCACGGGATGACGCCTGAGCTAGACGTTGGGGGTGGTGGGGAGGTCTGAAACCCACTGGTGTGCTGAGAAGCTTTGGGGAAGTAACTTCTCTGCTCCCAGCCACAGTTGGACTACAGATTTCTAAATCCACCATTAATTTTTTAAAAAATTAAAGTTGTAATGTGATACAAACTTCTTCAGACCTCACAGGTTCCGCACCCAGCCACCAAATGACACCTACCAGAGGCCTGTGTATCCTCCACGCAGGTCGCTGGAGTCTGACACTCTGAGTACTAAGCTGTGTGACCTGGGGCAAGTTATTTCTGCCTCTGATCCTCCAATCCCTCATTTAACAATCCAGATAAAAATACCTACCATATCCATATGTACAGACCTGGAAGGATGTTTATCAAGTGGTAAGTGAAAAAAAAATTAAAATTGCAACATAATCCCATTTTTGTTTTTGAAAAAAAAAAAAGATGATTCAACAAAAAACCTAGTATGTACAATATAATTTATTATTATTATTATTATTCTGAGACGGAGTCTTCCTCTGTCACCCAGGCTGGAGTGCAATGGTGTGATCTTGGCTTACTGCAACCTCTACCTTCTGGGTTCAAGCGATTCTCCTGCCTCAGCCTCCTGAGTAGCTGGGTTTATAGGCGCCTGCCACCATGTCCAGCTAATTTTTGTAATTTTGGTACAGACGGGGTTTCACCATGTTGGCCAGGCTGGTCTTGAACTCCTGACCTCAGATGATCCACCTACCTCAGCCCCCCAAAGTGCTGGGATTACAGGCGTGAGCCACTGCACCTGGCCTAAGTTTTGTATTTTCATTCCAGCCTGGGTGACAGGTGAAGTGGCTCAATTTTGGCTCACTGCAAGCTCCACCTCCCGGGTTCAAGTGATTCTCCTGCCTCAGCCTCCTGAGTAGCTGGGATTACAGGCATGCGTCACCACGCCTGGATAATTTTTGTATTTTTTTTTTTTTTAGTAGAGATAGGGTTTCACCATGTTGGTCAGGCTGGTCTCGAACTCCTGACCTTGTGATCCGCCCGCCTCAGCCTCCCAAAGTGCTGGGATTACAGGCGTGAGCCACCGCGCCCGGCCTAAGTTTTGTATTTTTTGAGAGATGACATTTCACCATATTGCCCAGGTTGGTCTCTAACTCCTGAGCTCAAGCGATCCGCCCGCCTTGGCTCCCAAAGTGTTGGGAGTACAGGCGTGAGTCACCGCGCCCAGCCATATTGATATGAATTTTAAAAATGCATCTGCTGGAATATCAATTAAAAGTAAATAGAGGAAAATGTGAAAATAAGAAATACCTACATTAAAGGATGATTGGAAGGGTTAAGTGAGAAAACATGTAAAAGGCTCAGCACGTGCCTGGCCCAAGGTACACTCCCATTAAGTGGTTCATGTTGTGACTTTCAACATGGGGAGATTTTGCTGCCTTCTGCTACCCTCTCTGGGGGGCATCAGGAGTAGGCTCTCGCGTGGTTCTCTCCTGCCTAGCTCATCTGTTCTGGGTTCATGGAACTCCCAGGAGGCACCCATCATCACACAGTGGTGACAGGCTCCACATTTAGAAAGGCACAGAACTTCAAATGTCAGTGTTAGAAAGGCTGGGTCAGCATTTCCCAGGGTTCACCCTCTAGAATGCTCATTCATGGGATGTTAAGGGGCTCCTGGGCAAACGAGCCTAGGAAGTGCTTCGTTAAACAAGGTCAACAGGATTCTCGATACAGCACTTCTCAGGGCCTTGCCAACTCCAGGAGGGAGATTTACAGGCAGTTTCCTGTTCTTATTTGATCATAGAATACTTCATTCAAGAAGCATTTAAAGGGACTAACATTCTATAAAGGCCACGCTTTGGGAAACCACAATCTAAATCAATTTTCATTTGTTTCCCCCTTTCATTTTATAGGTGGGAAGGAGAATAGACTGGGTGAGAAGTGACTCTCTGAGGACCAGTGGGGCTAACCCATCACCAAAGTCAACAGGATGTCTCTCTCTTTTTTTTTTTTTTTTTTTGAGACAGGGTCTCGGTGTGTCACCCAGGCTGGCTGGAATGCAGTGGCATTATTCCAGCTCACTGTAGCCTGAACCTCCAAGTGATCTCGCTCAGCCTTCCAAGTAGCGGGGACCACAGGCACCACACTGCCACACTGGGCTAATTTTTGTATTGTTTTATAGAAACTGGGTTTTGATATTTTGCATAGGCTGGTCTTGAACTCCTGGGCTCAAGTGATCCTCCTGCTTCGTCCTCCCAAAAGGTTGGGATTACAGGCATGAGTCACCACACCCAGCCAGGATCTCTTATGTATGGACCTCTCACCCTCTTCCTCCCTCACAACTGTCCTGTGGCTTTTCTACCCCGAAGTTTCTCCTACAACCCCCATCCTTACCTACACATGGGCAAAAGTCAGAGGAGCTGGGACAATGCAACACAGGCAACAGAAGGTTGGATCCAGGGGAGAAAGGGCAGTGTTTCAGAGCCCAAGGAGCCCCACCTCCACCAGGACGGGAGAAGGATCTAGCTGGTAACTACAGCTACCGAGATATAGGGAGAGGACTGCAGGGTGGCTGGGAAAGGCCTTGGAGCCACATTTCCAAAGATACGTAAGAATCCAGGGGGTGATGACTGAGTCATGAGACCAACTCAGAGACCACAGATGCAAATGAGCCTTGTGGTTTCTGGTACGCTGCATACACATCTGGACCTACCCAGGAAGCCACAAGAGGGACCAAGTCCAAGGTCTAGCCTCTGCTTCCCTTCCGCCTTGGAAACTCTTCCCTGGGATTGCTCTACCCATCCATTGCCTTTACAGGGAAAGAGGAGAGTGAAAGAGGAAAGACCTCTACAATTCACTTCTCAGAGGGCTACGCCCCACTGGATGGAATTGAGAGAGGAAGAGAAGTTATGCATCTAGAGTGGAAACTCCGGAGGAACCCTGAAAAGAGAAAACCTTCCCAGCAGCCTCGGGGAGCCCTCAACAGACAACCAACATTCTGCCAATGGCTCATGGTACGGCTTGGGATAAGCCACAGCTCCTCTCTGGCCTTCAGTCTCCACAATAAAGCAAGTGGTTGGACTAGATGTGCTGGGAAGGACTCTACTACTACACCTACCCAGGCTCCACAGCTCAATGGGTGGCTTCCTCCCAGGGAGCAAAAACTTCTTGTCCAACTTCTCTTTGGGACTAGACATGAGCCAGGAGTCAGGCGGTGGTTAACACTCAAGTCAGCTTAGGTAAATGCAGCTACCTCGACTCTAAGAATCTCAGTTCTGAGCACACCCCAGAGCCCTCTCTGCCCTGCCTACCAGGACCCGCTCCCCTACAGGGCACTCACCGAGGCTCCTCAGGCAATGTCACCTGGTCCTTCTCCCAAGTAATGATGGGAGCTGGCAGCCCTTCAATGTGGCACTCAAAGCGAGCTGTCCCGTTCTCCTCCACCGTCTGAGACTCCGGGTGCAGAGAGAAGTCTGCGAGTGCTGGGGACAGTGAGACACAGGCAGGGACGGGAAAAGAATAGGAGAGAGAAGCCACAGCAAGCACAAACAGTGAAACACATCCGCATGGAGACACAGAAACACACAGTCACAGAAACACACAGCAGAGCCAATTCAGACCGAGGGAGACACAACAAGAAGTGGTGATTAGCGGTCAGATACTGCCAGCAGAATGAATTCCAAAGCCCCCCTGCCCAACATCATCATGATGGTCAAACTATACAGTAAGATGCACACTTCTTCTGGCCTGAAAGTTACTTCATGGTGATCTGTGCCTCCTGAGAGCCCCCTAAGGGGTAAGGCTGGAGCGTGGGGTTTGGCTCCACATGTTCCACCTGCCGTGCAGGCAGGAGCTCCCTTAGGAGGCAGCTTTGTGCCTCTGACACAAAGGGGGCACTCTGGCAGGCTCCCTGGAGGACAGCACAAGCCCAGACTCTAGGACTCAAAGGGAAAGAAAAGCAGAAGGAACAGGGGAGTGGAGAAGAAGCGGGAAGATTATGGAATACCCAAGAATGAGGATAGACAATACCAGGAAGAGACCTATTGAGCAGGATGGGAGGCAGGGAAAGGGGGAGTGGGATCAAGAGAGAGGCATTTGTGCAAGTAACTAACTGCAGATCCCACTTCGCACACCCCAAGTCTGGGTTTCAGCCTCAGACCCCCGCCCGATGCAAGCACTTACTGGCAAGCTTGACGACAGCAGTCTGGCTGGCCAGCACTCCGAGGGGGCCGTGGGCTAGGCACGAATAGTTGCCTTCAATGACCCCCACAGCCTCAGGGACTGACTCGTCACTGCCATTGGGTGCTAGTGGCTGGGACAGCCACAGGGAACCATTGGGCAGCAGGTGTAAGTGGTCGTGCTCCAGCAGGGTGTCCCCATCCTTGCTCCAGGTCACCCTGGTGGGGGGTCCAGCGGCAGCAGCCCCCAGGCTACAGTTTAGCACTGCAGCCTGCTCTGGGCCCAGGATCACTTGCAGTGGCCCCACTCCACAGCTCAGCTCCACAGTCGTCTCCTGGGGCAACAGCAGCTCCCCTGCATAGAGGAGGAGCACGGGGCCATCAGTGTATGTCCCCCCACCTCCCACAGCCTCTGCTCCTGAGTCACCCATGCAGGGGCTGGGGCAAATCAAGGAGAAACACCTGCATCTGGATCCTGGCTCTCCCCTTACTAACTGTGACCTTGGACAAACTGCTGCATTCCTCTGTGCCTGTCTTCCCCTGCTGCTCAATTTCCTCATAGCAGCATTATTCATAATAGCCAATGAGTGGAAACAACCCAAAAGCCCATCACCTGATGAATGGATAGATTACTCAGCCATCAAAAAGAATGAAGGACTGATGCATGCTACAAGGTAGCAAGAAAACTTGACGCTAAGTGAAGGAAGCCAATCATAAGATGCCACATTTTGCATGATCTCATTTCTACGAAATGCCCAGAGGAGGCAAATCCATAAAGACAGAAAGTGGATTAATGATTGTCAGTGACTGGGAGGAGGAAGGACAGAGAGTGACTGCTAATGAGTACAGGGTTTCTTTTGGGGGTGATGAAAATGTTCTAGAATTAGATAGTGGCTGTGGTTGCACAACGTTGTGAATATGAATATACTAAAAACCACTGAGTTGAACACTGTAAAGGGTGAATTTTGTAGTACGTGAATTGTCTCTCAATTAAAAAAGCATACCAGCCTGGGTAACACAGAGAGACTCCGTCTCTACAGATAATTTAAAAAGTTAGCTGTACATGGTGGCACAGGCCTGTGGTCCCAGCTACTCAGGAGGCTGAAGCAAGGAGGATCGCCTGAGCCTAGAAGTTCCAGGCTACAGTGAGCCACGATCACGACACTGCACTCCAGCCTGGCTGGCAGAACGAGACTCTGTGAGAAAAGAATATAGTGGCTGGGTGCAGTGGCTCACACCTGTAATCCCAGCACTTTGGGAGGCCGAGGCAGGTGGATCATGATGTCAGGAGTTCAAGACCAGCCTGACCAACATGGTGAAACCCCGTCTCTACTAAAAATACAAAAATTAGCCAGGCGTGGTGGCACGCACCTGTAATCTCAGCTACTCAGGAGGCTGAGGCAGGAGAATCTCTTGAACACAGGAGGTGGAGATTGCAGTGAGCCGAGATCGCCCCATTGCACTCCAGCCTGGGTGACAGAATGAGATTCCATCTCAAAAAAAAAAAAAAAAAAAAAAAAAAAGCACAGTGCCTGACACAGAATGGGAGCTCAGTAATGTCATTCCCTACCCTGGAACCTAACAGATCATATTGATCATTATTACCCAATCAAAAATATGCCACTGGAGGCCAGGCATGGCAGCTCACTCCTGTAATCCCAACACTTTGTGAGGTTGAGGGCCAAGACAGCAGGATTGCTTAAGCCCAGGAGTTTGAAACCAGCCTGGGTAACACAGGGAGACCTCATCATTATAAAAAAAAATTTTTTTAATTAGCCAGCTGTGGTGGGAGGATCCCTTGAGCCCAGAAGGTCGAGGCTGAAGTGAGCTGTGATTGCACCACTGCACTCTAGCCTGGGTAACAGAGTGAGATCCTGTCTAAAATACATACATATACATATATAGATCTCTCTCTCTCTCTCTCTCTGTACACACACACACACACACACACAGGCTAGAAAAATACCATATCCAAGAAACATTTAAAATGTATTATAAGTGTGAGAAAATGTGTGTGTGTGTGTGTGTGTGTGTGTGTGTGTGTGAATACTATATATTTTGAATGAACAAAACAAAAATAAGTCCCAGCTGTTTGGGGGAGCCACCTGGATGAAGGAAAGTCAGACATTCCCCCTTCCCCAACAATGAACTAAGTGAGCAGATCCTGCTGGGAATTGTTAAGTGCCCCAGGTAGGGACTAGACTCAAGCTGGATTCAGACCCAGCATGAGAGGAGGCTCACATGGCTCATTCCAGGCCCTGGCAGCCCACAGCCTGGTCTGTACTGGTGACTGGAGAAGCTCAACACTCCCTGCAGCTAATTTCCCCAAGGCCATGCAGGAGGCCAGAGCCAGGACTCAGGTCTCCTGACTCAATCCAGGGTTCTTTTTTCTCCCAAGGCCCCAGAGGAACCTACAGACCCCAACACTGCCCTTGCCACAAAGGGAAGAGTAGGGAAACAGTAGAGGAAGGGAATGCCATCCCAGGGTCAAGGCAAAAACACACAAAAGCCAATGTTTATTATTGGAACCAATGTTCTGCAGGGCCCAGCCACCATTATTCATAGACAAATGGTTGGTTCTCCCTGTTGTGTCTTCCAGAAGGTTGACCTGCTGCCTCCTTGTCTTATAAAAGCTCAATGGCCCAAGGTCCCTTCTTAGGCTCTGGTCTGACTCCTTACTTTAAGGCAGAATGGCATGTCTGAGAGGAACCAGGGCCAGAGGTCAGGACAATGGCCCATACTCATCACAAGGCAGGTCTGGGCTGACAGAGCCACGTGGGGACGTGCACAAAACAATGGCGAGGGAATCAGGAGACCCTCGGTTCTAGATCCAGCTCCATCACAGTCTAGCCATGTGGTTTTGGCCCAGTCATTTCCCCTTCTGGGCCCCAGCTCACTGGAATGTAGCAGGTGACCTCTGAGATGCTATGATTCTATGATTATTCACGACATGGACACACCTATTCCTGAACAAACATAAAACACCATTGAGACCACACACAAATTGGTAAACATAGCTCTGCACTCCTAAACACATGCGCCTCAGTCTCTGCCACACTCATCAACACTTGGACACACAGGTCAACATTTAGAAGCCCTGTGAGTCTCCAGACTCCCTTCCCACCAGCTCCAAAGAGGAACAAGAGTGAGGGGAGAAGAGCAGTGATGGCTGCGTGAAATAAGGAGGCCAGGGCCTGGGATTGCAGTGTGAAGGGCGGACGGAGAGACAGGACCTGACCTGGGCTGCTGCCTTTCTTAATTCATCAGATGGTTTCTGCTGGACACCTCTGGCTTCACAACTAGTCTCAGCAGTACTCGCGGGCTCAGCAGGGAGAAGCAGCCCCTGCCCTCACCAAGTTTGCATTCTAGTTGGGGAAACCAATCTGGCATTCACACTACTGCGGGCCACGTGCTGTGGTGGAAACAGCTTTTGACCTTGGGGAAGAAGATCAAGGTTTCAGTCTTGCTGCTCCACCTACCAGCTCTGTGACAAGCCACTTAACTTTTCTGGGACTCAGTTTCCACATGAAGATGATACCACTAAGCGTGAAGGAATTAAACAAGACAATGTATGTCAGGGCTACAGCCCAGAGCCTAATAGACATCACTCAAGGAATGGGAGCTTATTCTTTGTTTGTTTGTTCTTGCGACAGTTGTGCTCTGTTGCCCAGGCTGGAGTACAGTGACATGATCTCAGCTCACTGCAACCTCCACCTCCTGGGTTCATATGATTCTCCAGCCTCAGCCTCCTATGTAGCTGGGATTACAGGCATGCGCCATCACACCTGACTAATTTTTGTATTCTTAGTAGAGACAGGGTTTCACCATTTTGGCCAGGCTGGTCTTGAACTGCTGACCTCAAGTGATCTGCCTGCCTTGGCTCTGGAAGATCACGCCTTGGCTCTGGAAGATCCAGTGCTCTGGAAGAGCACATCCAAAGTGCTGGAATTACAGGCATGAGCTACCATGCCCGGCGGGGAGCTTATTCTTTAAAGGCACTTTGTAACTATAAAGGGCTGTACAAGTGCTATTTGCTGTTCTTATCATCCAGTCCCTTCTATCTCTAAGGCCCTAGATGCCATGATTCAAGTACAGGGTAGGAGGAAGGCAAGCCCGGCTCTCAGTCCAGTGGCTTCCAAATGCCCATTCCAGCCACTAAGCAGTAGGTTTGGGTTTCAGGGGAGAAAACCCCCAAAGGACACAAATCCCTGAGCCCTCCGGCAGCCTCCCTGCCCCCTAAAGCATGTCCCAGGCTTGGAAAATCCCCTGCTGCGTTGAACAAACAATGTGAACAGTTGGGGCCCGAGCAGCTGCTGGGTATGTCAGCAGCCTGGGCTCTGGCAGGCAGGACGGCCGCCAGAGGGGCTGGCGGCTGGCTGGGGAGCCCAGAGGAGGCTCCGATTCCCTTCCTGAATATTCATGGATCAGCAGATGTCTGGCTTCCCCACCTCTGAGGAGCTCAGCAAGGCAGGAACAGGGAAAGCAACAGGAACGTAGACACAGAGAGAAGACGGGGTCCCCCTCAGAGAGCAGCAGTGCTGTGCCAGGAGCCCAAGACAGCCCATTTTAGTGGAAACGTCTGTGAAGCCTGAGAATCCTCATTCCACAGATGGGGAAACTGAGGCCTGGGGAGGGGTCTCATCTCTGTGGAAGACAGTCTGGGAAAACTGCCCTTCTTTGACTTTTTGGGGATGAACCAGCATTGAGGAGACAACTGCTCCTGAATAAGAGGGTTCTCTCTGCCTCTGTGCTCAACCTGATTTCTGTGCCCAGGAAGCGCATCCTTAGGGACTCACGTGCCAGCCCTTCTGTGAGGCTGCTCCTACCTTCCCCAGGTAAAGTTTTTCCTAAGTCTCACACTGAAAACCACTTGCAGGTCCCTTACTCTTGCCTAGACAGACAAGGGGGTGTGGTGGGACAAGCCTGGCCTCAGAGTCCTGGGTTCTAAGTCCAGTCATTCATTGCATGACCTTGTGTGAGCTACTTTTGTCCTTTCAGCCTCAGTTTCCCCAATTTTAAAATGAGAAGTCTCCAAACTTCTCAAACGTTTTCACCCAAATTCTCTCAACAGCAGAGGAACACATATTTACGAGGCTCGCTGACTGCCTAAAATGTTTTGACTTTTTTTTTTTTTTTTTTTTTTTTTGAGACTCGCTCTGTCACCCAGGCTGGAGTGTAGTGGCGCAATCTCGGCTCACTGCAAGCTCCGCCTCCCGGGTTCGAGACATTCTCCTGCCTCAGCCTCCCGAGTAGCTGGGACTGCAGGCGCCCGCCACCATACCCAGCTAATTTTTTGTATTTTTAGTAGAGACGGGGTTTCACCGTGTTAGCCAGGATGGTCTCAATCTCCTGACTTCGTGATCCGCCCGCCTCGGCCTTCCAAAGTGCTGGGATTACAGGCATGAGCCACCGCGCCCGGCCAAACCTCTAGCACATTTTGCATTCTGCTCCATAACACAGCAATATTTGTTTTAATATAAGTGTGGCTCCCATACCACCAAATCTTTTCATAAAAGCGATGCTCTGGGGAGGGGACCTTATTTGTCCAGGAGCTTCATGGCCAGCGCTTACTTGCCACCCCCAGCCCACTGTCATGGCTGACCCCCAACATTTTTAGCCCTCCCTCTCAGTGCCGGGGTGGACACATTGCAGGTGCCCAGTGGACACTTGCTGCCCGCTGGCTTTCTGTCTTGAGGGGGCCACCCCTCCCATAATCCCTTCTCCTCAATCTCCTCAGTGAGACCCTGTCAGAGACACAGAGCTGCTGCATTTGGGAACCCTAGGGCCACCTCTCAATCTCCTTTTTCTGACAGATTATTTTACCCACTTACAGGATAAACTGGATTTTATGAGGCCAATTAGAACCCAGACAGAAAGGAGATTCGCTGCTGAGCTCCAGGGCCAGCTCAATGCTGTTTCGTGGGATTAGTGGAGGCCTGGCGTGAGTTCCATTTTTCAGTGAATTCTTAGGGAAGGGGCGTGTAGCTGGGGGAGGGGAACAACGAGGCCAAGATGGCTCCTTTATTAAGCCAGGAACTTGCCACAAACATCACATCAGTGCCTCCTCACTTCTGAATTTCAGGGCCCAACAGATTTACTACTTGTTTGCAGCCCAGGAGAAATTCTCCACGACACCATCACCATTCTCCTTTCCCAGAGAACACAAGTCGGTTCCTTCCAGAAACCTTCCTTCCTGCCCCCAACCTTGGCCACCTCCCTTACCACATGCTGAGCCCCTCCCCCCAACAGCTGGAAGGAGAGTTGGGACAGTTGCCTGGGACACAAGGAAGGCCTCAGCTCTCCCTTCATCTGCAATCCTGAGGGGAGAGTCTCAGCCTCAGCCTATCCAACAGCAAAGCCAGGCTCAGCTTGACCTGCCTATCTCCCGCTCCCCTGAGACCCTCTACCCCTCCACACACAGCAAACCATGGCCAATTCTCTGAAAACACATCTTGTTCCACGCATTGCTGGTGCTGCTCTCACTCCCTAGAACAGCTGTGATGTCCCTGGTTGATTTAGACACCTCTCCTTTTTCTGCCCCGTAGAACGCTGGCACCCCCATCATCGCAGTTATCACTCCAGATTTTTTTTGCGGGGGGAGACGGAGTCTCACTCTGTCACCCAGGTTGGAGTGCAGTGGCATGATCTCGGCTCACTGCAACCTCTGCCACCCAGGTTCAAGTGATTCTCCTGCTTCAGCCTCTTAAGTAGCTGGGACTACAGGTGTGCGCCACCATGCCTGGCTAGTTTTTGTATTTTTTGGTAGGACGGGATTTCACCATGTTGGTCAGGGTGGTCTCGAACTCCTGACCTCAAGTGATCCGCCCACCTTGGCCTCCCAAAGTGCTGGGATTACAGGAGTGAGCCACCATGCCCAGCCTTCACTCTAGGTTTTTGACTTGCCTTTCTCCTCAACTAGGCACCAAAGTCTTGGGGTTATGTCTTAGCTTTCTAAATCCTCGGTACCTGGAACAGTGCCTAACACACAGTAGGTGCTCAATAAACATTTCTTGAATGGATGAGTGAACCCATGAAGACATCCTCAAAAAGATAAGGCATAGAGCCCCCTATGCTTTTCCAAGCATCAGTTTCCTTATCTGTAAAAACAACAGTAACTCCCTTCAGGGCAAGAAAGGATGTCAGGAAGACATGTGGAAACTGCCTAGCACACTGCGTGGCACCCAGTAGACATGACATGCTTGAAAAGCAGAGATAGAACAGCTGAAGTCCACACTGAAAGAAACCCTGTACTTAAACATGACCAGGCTGGGGAGATCACTACCTTGCCTGTTCTCTTGCTGTATGGCTCATATGGTTAAAAAATTTATTTCTCTTGTGCCCACCTGTCTCTCCCAGTACTTTCTGCTCACTGGCCAGAGCTTTGTCCTGCAAACTATCTAACAAGGTCATAAGTCCCTTATAGAACCATCCAGGAGTCTTGGGTCTGCACCTGAAGGACAGCTTATTGGTCCTTGCTTCCCTGATCCCAAGGACCCCATGGGCCCCCAAATCCAAAGGATACCTCACTCAGCCTCAGCAGTGAGGCAGTAGTAGCTGGCAGCCCAGTTGGCACAGGTAACAGGGTTTGATTTCTCTGCATGTCAGGCTCCAAAACATACTCTCTGGTTTTCCTTCCCTGGCCCCCTAGCTCCTGTCACCCACCTCTGACCAGGCTGGGGTCCTCTCCCTCAGAGCCATGCTTACTCCTCCCCCTGCCCCCAAGCCTGCCTGGTAATGACATCTGCTCTGCATCTGGAATTCCGTATCAAGTCTGGTTGCTGTACCATGGGAGAGAATAGAAAGAGGTGGGGGGGGTTAAGTGGAGGAGGGTGGATTCCAGAGCCCAGATAGACCCACTTGAGAGGGAGAGCATGAAGCTGATAACGTCTCAGAAGGTATAGAGGAGTGCAAAGAGAGTGAACTTGGGTATCCCTAGAAAGGGTGGCCCCATTTCAGTCCCTAATCATGTAACTTTGGGAAGTCACTCAGTTTTCTCATCTGTAAAAACAGGTTCATGCTAAAATTGTTTCTTCTTTTCTTTCTCTTTCTTCTTTTGAGACAGAGTCTCACTCTGTTGCCCAGGGTGGAGAACAGTGGTGCGAGCCATCATAGCTTACCACAGTCTTGAACTCCTGGGCTCAAGCAATCCTCCCACTTCGGCCTCCTGAGCAGCAAGGACAACAGGGAACACCACCATGACCGCCATGCTTTTTTTTTTTTTTTTTTTAATTTTTCGTAGAAATGAGGTCTCAATATGTTGCCCAGTCTGGTCTCAAACTCAGCTCAAGCGATCCTCCTGCCTCAGCCACACAAAGTGCTGGGATTACAGGTATGAGCCTGGCCTGAAATTATTTCTAAGTTCCTCTCAGTGCTGACATTCAATGATGCGCTAATTGTGAAATTGCTTCACTTGAAAGAGATATGTTTAGGAGAAAAGAAATGCTAATTAACATGTAAATGTGTGTTTAATTGAGTCATGAAAGCACATAGAGGATCAATGAAGGTTTAGGTATCTTCTGGATAAGATTCATTATTAAAAGAAACTCCAACTGTTTGACCTGATTCCTAACTTCCAAGATGGGGAAAGAGGCCCACCCCAAATGACTGAGATTGGCCTCTGAGCCTCTGGGCTGAGAAAGGGATGGGGGAGGTGAGGAGTTCCCAGGTGAGGAGAAAGCTCTCAAGTTCTTAGAGGCCTCCCATTACTGACCTCTAGGTTCCCTACCCTCCAAATTCTGACTTGGGAAGAAGGGAGAGCCGAGAGCCCCACCTTTGTGCGTGTGATAAGAACAGAGCTCGGCTTCTCGCCACCTGTTCACAAAGGGGTCCCAGTCCCTGACTCAAGAACAGTGTTGGGAGGAGATGGGCAGGCACAGGCATTATCCTAACCCCAATACCAGCCCTTCATTCTGCCTCATGTTTTTTTGTTGTTGTTGTGTTTGTTTTTTTGAGACAGAGTCTCACTTTGTCGCCCAGGCTGGAGTGCAGTGGCGTGATCTCAGCTCACTGCAACCTTCACCTCCCAGGTTCAAACGATTCTCGAGTCTCAGACTCCCGAGTAGCTGGGATTACAGGCATGCACCACCACACCTGGCCAACTTTTGTATTTTTAGTAGAGATGGGGTTTCACCATGTTGGCCAGGCTGGTGTTGAACTCCTGACTTCACGTGATCCGCCCGCCTTGGCCTCCCAAAGTGCTGGGATTACAGGCGTGAGCCACCGCACCCGGCCTATTTCTTACTTTCCTCTCTCTCGCCCCCTACAAATTCAATCTATCCTCAAGTTCTACTGATTCTATTTCCTGAAAATCTCTGGAATGCAGCCACTCCAGCCCAACCCCAACTGCCACTATGCTAGCTGCCACCATCCTCTCTTCTGGATTGCTACAACAGCCTCGAAGGAGCTGGAGCTTCCTGCCTCCAGCCCCACCCAATCCATCCTCCACACTGGCTGGAATGAGATGATGCAAAGCTGATTTTAAATCCTGTCAAGGGCTCATGGGGACTCTCAGGCCAGAAACCTTGGTGGGCCCTGTAAAGCCCTTTGTGAGCTGGATCTAGCTCCCCTCTTCAGCCTCCTGTCTTGATACTCCCTGACCCCTTTCCATGCTTCCCTCACCTGCCCCCCATCCACCCCTTGTCCCTAAACTCCAGCTAGATTTAGTTTAATCCAATGATCTCAACTAAATCACCTCTGAACTTTGCACATGCTGTTCTCTGGAAAACTGTCCCCATCATCATTCTCCTTCTACAGGGCTAACTCCATGTCGAGCTCTACTACTCATCACTTTCTTCAGGAAGCTTTTGCTGACCTTCCCAGATCGGTGTAGGAGCCCCTCCTTCCTGCGTCTTCCCCAGCACTTCAGGGGACTTGTCAGTTTCCCCCTCCACCAGACTGAAAGCTTTGCACCAGGGATCAGGTCTGCCTCCTTATTTACTATATTCTAGGCACTAGGCACAAGCTAGCCTATAAAAGGTGCTCCATAAATATTTGTTGAACGAATGAATGACCTCAGTACAGATCAGGGTGGCTAGTCATGACTCGACTGGAGTGTCCCCCGGCCTGCTGAGATTTGGAGGACCAGGGCAAGCTGTTGTAGCCACTCACACTGCAACCAAGAGACGCCGCAACTCGGTCCCTCGCCTGCTTTGTGCGTTCGGGAGCAGGGAGAGGCCAGGGAAGCTGGGTCCCTCGCGGCAGGTCCTAAAGGTATTGAATAATGCGCCGGTGCGGTTCCCAGCCCTGATGCCGTTTAGCTGGGTGACCCTGAGCTCGTTCCAGGAGCCCTAGGAATAGCGGAAGGTGGGGCAGGGGAACTATTCCTTAATCCCCTGAGCTCTGGGAAGACAGACCTCTCTCTGACACTTCCCCGCCCCTTTCACCTGACAAGCCAGGGCCTCCAGCTCCTCTGGCCCAGCAGCCGAGACCCAGCCTCGCGGCGGCCTCCAGCTTAATCCGCTGTTGGGGCTGGAAAGGGGCGTGTCTTTGTAGGGACAGAAGGGGTCCGAGGAGTTCCCGGCACTTTCCCACCCGCTGTTTGGTTTTCCTGGAGATGGGCCTGGGGCTGGCCAGGCGGAGGCTCCTTCCCCCCGCCTCCCTCCCACGTGGCCTGGCTGAGTCTCTCTGGAAAGCCGCAGCAGCTGGAGAGAAATCCCCCTCCCCACCCCCACCTCCAAGTCCCTCCCCGACTCTCCCCGGACACATCCTCAGCTCCCCCCTCCGCGGGGAAGGCAAGAACTAGGCGAACAAAGCGGCCAGCCCATCCCCCTCCCAGCCCTGCCACCTACACTCCCCATGAGCCGCCCCCAAACGCACACCGGACAGGAAGCGACAGAGCTGTGGGTGGAAGCCGCAGCCCTAGACACACACCCTTGGGGACTTCGCTATCCCCTCCCCAGCCCTTTCTCCAGCTTGGACAACTCTGACTTACCCCGTACCCACTCCGCACTGGGCTGCGGACTGGATGAGGCCCTGCTGACCTCGTCCACGCTTCCCTGGTCGGTCCCTGGGGGGTGGGGCCGGGGTGACACGCGTCCCATCGTGAGAACAAGCGCTGGACATGTCCACGAAAGCAAATGGTTTCCTGCCCCCTCCCCCAGTCCACTGCTGGCCACAGGTTTTGGGGAGCAACACCTCCCTCTACCCCTCTCTAACCGGCCCCAGGGACCACACCCACTGGGCAAAGTTGAGTGTTGTTTTATCACCACCACCCCCAGTCAAACGGGATCCATCGCTCTGTCCCCCACTATGGGCAAGGACACTTCCCAAATGCCAAGGCCAAATATTAGCTCAGCCCCATAAACACAATTGCACACGCACCCGACCCAAATGGAGGTGCAGACACAACCCCAGTTCCCTCCTCTTTTACACACACTCTCAACCCAAGACACGCGCAGGCAAGGCAGAGCCCGCCCCGCGAAAGCCACCGACACCGCAGCTACCCGCCCCGCCGATGCCACGCCGCGACCATGGCACGCACTGCGGACACGACAGGAGCACTCCCAACACACACACACACACACACACACACACACACACACACGACTCCAGACTCTGCGAACCAAAGGCACACACCCACTGCGGACAAGCACGCCCCACAAACGCCCCCCGGCCGCAGCTCGCAGACCCCCGCGCAGGCATCGCGGGCACCTGGACGCGCAGCCCCCGCACTTGCTCGGGACTCCGGCTTGAGCCAGCCCCGCAGCCCGATGCAGACCAGGGCGCGGGCGCACCAGCACTCCGCAGTCGCTCCTGCCTCTCCGGGCGCCCGCCCTTACCGCGCGCGGCCAACAGGCAGAAGGTCAACGCGAGGAGCCCGCGGCCGCGGCCGGCGTCCCCCCGCGCCATGGGGCTGGGCTCGGGCCGCCGCCGCCGCCGCCGCCTCCCCGTGCTTCGGCCGCCGCCGCGGGGGGAGAGCGCGCCGGGCGTCAGTGGCCCGGGGAGGCGCGGCGCCGCGGGCGGGGGCGCGGCCTCGGGGGCCCGGGCCCGAGCTGGGGCCGGCGCGGGGGCCAGGGCCGCTGCCGCCTCACCCGCCCCTCCATCGCCATCTTGGGCGAGCGGCCCGGGAGGGGGCGCCCGGCGAGTGTGGCCACCCTGGCCCCGCCGGGGACCCTGCGCCCGCGCGCCACGGCCCTGCGCCTCGCGGGGGCTCCTCTCGGCCCGGGTCTGTGTCCCGGTGCCTCGCCCTCTCCGGGTCGCCGCGGGCCCCCGTGAGGCCGCCTGTTGCTGGGTCTGTCTCTTAGTCTCCCCGTCTCTGAGTCTTCTGGTCTCTCTGCCTCAGCGTCTCTATTTCTTCTCCCTGTTGCTGCCTCGGGGTCTCCACCTCCGTTCCAGGCTCAGGGGAGGCAGATTCAGGGCCACGGTCTTTGTCCAGATGGCCCCCTTGCCACCCGAGCCCAGTCCATTCCAGCCCAGGTCCTGGCCTGAATGCTGGTTCGCTTCTCCACACGTTGCGCCAGCCCACCTGCGGAGATCTTGATAGTCCTATCTGCCATCCCAAACCAAGGGCTTCTCTTGGCCTCCTTCCCTTGCTCTGGCAGTAACTAACACAGGCAGGACACTTTTACACTACCTTCAAGCACTACCATATTCAGATGTCGCCGCATGGGGAAACTGAGGCTGGAGAAGGTGAAGTGACTTGCCCAAGGACAGGAGGCTAGGGAGCAGCAGATACAGGACCTGAACCTTGGTTTTCTGACTTCGGAAGGTCATCTCCACTCCCTCACCCTGCCTCTGCTGTCCAGCATTTACTGAAGTACCCTTTTTCTCATTCTTCAACGGTACTTTCTCTAACCTACCTAGCCAGACTGTTTGCCTCAGTATCCCGCAAATATTTCTTGTTCTACAGCCAAGGGTTCAATTGTCAGGCTAGGGTGGGGAAAAGAGTACAGATTCAATGACCTAGTTAAGGTCCTTTCCAACTCCAAGATGCCATAGTTCTTCCCTTCCCTGTGTCTCTAAGTGTTCCTGTGACTTAGAGCCATCTTGTCTCTACACCTGTCTGTTGTCAGTTAACCCTCAATAATCACTGGCGCTTTGCATATCTAACAGGCCTGGCGTTTATTCATTCATTGCCACGCCCCATCTTCACTTGCCCTATCAGCAGCATTTGACTTAGTGAATCACTCCCTCTTCCTTGAAACACTTGCTTCCCTTAGTGATCTCATCTGGTCCTCAAGGCTTTAAAGAGCATCTTTATGCTAATGATGCCCAAATGTATACTTTCAGCCTAGACCATCTTTCCTGAACCCTGGACTTCTGTATCCAGCCATCCAGGCCCCAGTTCCTTTAGCTGTCTAGTAGACAAACTCATCCTGATCTTTTCTATCAATCTTTCTCCTCCCACAGTCTTCCTCATCTCAGTTCCTTTCCTGTTGCCCAGGTCAAAAATGTAGAGGCCAGGCTTGGTGGCTTACGCCTGTAATCCCAGCACTTTGGGAGGCCGAGGTGGGAGGATCGCTTGAGGCCAGGAGTTCAAGACCAACCTGGCCAGCATAGCGAGACCCCCATTTCTATTAAAAAAAAATGTAGAGTCATCTCCTACTCTTCATGTTCAGATGCTTCACCCTCCACTTTCTCACTGTGGCCTTGGTCCAAGACCCGTCGCCTCTCACCTGGATTGTCACAGCAAACTCCTCACTGATCTTTTTCTGTCCTTGTCCTCCTTGAGTGTTTTCTCAATACAGCAGCCAGAGTGCTCCTGTTAAAATGAGATCATGCCACTTCTCTGCTAGAAACCCACCAGCGGCTCCTATGTCAGAGCAAAAGCCAAAGTCCTTATTGTGACCCACAAGGCCTATCTGATCTGTAGGCTTGCTCTACCTCTCTGACCTCCCCTTCGACACCACCCCCTGTGCTCACCACCTCTCCAGCCACACCATCCTCCTTGCTGTAACTTGATCGCGGGCAGCCTCCTCCCCTCCAGCCTCAAGACCTTTGTCCGGCCAGTGCAAGTCTAGAGATCTGTTCCCTCATACTGGATACCATAAAGGCTTTCTCACAGCCTCACCCCCTACTCTTCCTATCCTCCTTCCCTGCTGTCTATTCTTGTCTTTAACTGTCACTTTCTTTTTTATTTTATTTTCTTTCTTTTTCTCTTCTTTTTTTTTTTTTTTTGAGACAGAGTCTTACTCTGTCCCCCAGGCTGGAGGGCAGTGGCTCACTGCAACCTCCGCCTCCTGGGTTCAAGTGATTCTTGGGTCTCAGCCTCTCAAGTAGCTAGGACTACATGCCCAGCTAACTTTTTGTACTTTTAATAGAGACGGGGTTTCATCATTTGGTCAGGCTGGTCTCGAACTCCTGACCTCAAGTGATCCACCTGCCTTGGATCCCAAAGTGTTGGGATTACAGGCGTGAGCCAGCACGCCTGGCCAACACTTGTCACTTTCTTTTTTTCTTTCTTTTTTTTTTTGAGATAGAGTCTTGCTCTGTCGCCCAGGCTGGAGTGCAGTGACACGATCTCAGCGCAGTGCAACCTCCGCCTCCTGGTTTCAAGAGATTCTCCTGCCTCAGCCTCCCGAGTAGCTGTGACTACAGGTGCCTGCCACCATGCCCGACTAATTTTTTGTATTTTTAGTAGAGACGGGGTTTCACCATGTTGGCCAAGCTAGTCTTGAACTCCTGACCTCAGGTGATCCACCTGCCTCGGCCTTCCAAAGTGCTGGGATTACAGGCATGAGCCACTGCGCCCGGCCAACACTTGTAACTTACTAATATGCTCTACATTTTACTTATTTTCGATCTGTTCCCCCACCCCTCACAATCACAATGTGTGCTTCATGAGGACAGGGATTTTTGTTTGCTAGGTTCACTGCTGAATGCTAAGCACCTAAATCAGTATCTCACACTGTGTAGGTGCCAGGGGACCTGGATAAAAAATACAAGTCCCTGCCCACAAGGATAGTAGTGTCCTAAGTGGCATGGGGTGGCAGGGAGGATGGAACAAAAGGAGGAGGGATTTACCGTGTGTGGGGTGGGGGGACATGGAGGTTGAGAAGGAAGGCTTCACAGAACTATTGATTGGACAAGTGTGATACGGTCTGTGATGGGGTACAGGGAGGAGGAGCACTCGGGCCAGACCTGTGGATGTTTGACATGGGTCTGGACAATTTAAAAGGCTAGAACTGACAGGGTGGTCAAGAAACTCCCTCTGCAGAGGCCCTGGGCTGTGAGAGCACAGGGAAGTGTGCTCTTCCTGCCTGGAAATGGCATATCCAATCATTGATTCAAGGGGTACCTGTTATGGGTCAGGCCCTGCTCTGGGCACTGGGAGCAGACTGGCGAACAAGAGGAATCTTGCCTGAATGGTGCTTAGGCTACTGAGGGAGATGGACAAGTGTGATACAGTCTGTGATGGGGTACAGGGAAGAGGGGCACTCGGGCCAGACCTGGGGGAAGCAGAGAAGTCTTACAGGAAAGACAATGTAAGCAGAGTGCAGGAGGTGTGGACTGGGCAGGGGAGCAGGGGCAGGACATGAAGCCAAACAGGGAGGCCAGGGCCAGATGGACTGGCCTCATATGTTATCTAGAAAGCAATTGATTTGTCAATTGAATGAATGAACAAGGTGTTGCCATATAGAGAGACTAATTCTACCAGCCACATACAAAAATCTAATTAATTTATCTATATTCATATCTCACTACATGGGCTCTGGGTAGGGAGTAAATGTGAGAGGAGGAGGGATAGAGTTACAGGTTCAGGCCAGCCAAGCCCAGCAGGAGTAAGAACCATAGTTCTTGTCCTGCCTTGGTTACAGACTTGCTGCATGACCTTGGGCAACTTCCATCCTCTCTCTGGGCCTCAGTTTCATCACTGAGACAAAAGGGTTGGGGTATGATGCACATTTCTAACCAGTTCCAAAGAGTTCACAACATTAAAAGTGGATATAGCACCTGTTTTAATGTGTTTTTAAAAATCAATCAGGCTGGGCATGGTGGCTGGCACATGCCTGTAATCCCAGCACTTTGGAAGGCTGAGGCGAGCGGATCACCTGAGGTCAGGAGTTCGACACCAGCCTGACCAATATGATGAAACCCCGTCTCTACTAAAAATACAAAAATTAGCCAGGCGTGGTGGCACATGCCTGTAATCCCAGCTACTCGGGAGGCTGAGACAGGAGAATCGCTTGAACCCGGGAGGCAGAGGTTGCAGTGAGCCAAGATGGCACTATTGCACTCCAGCCTGGGTAACAAGAGCTAAACTCTGTCTCAAAAAAAAAAAATCAATAATAAAATATTCTATTATTTTCCTCTTTCAGCTGGTAACATGGAAAGCTTCCAAGGGTGTATGGGGTGTTCCAGGGTGGTGGTTAGTGGAGGGTCGAGGAACATGCTCAGATAAACATGGTTCACTGTCATGGTTTTTATCATTAAACAGCTTTAACTTATTTTCATACTTGGTCATTTATACACTGTTTAATTTATAGCCATGTGGGACCATAAAAAATATATGACAGGCCGGGTATGGTGGCTCACGCCTGTAATCCCAGCCCTTTGGGAGGCCAAGGCAGGCAGATCTCTTGAAATCAGGAGTTCAAGACCAGCTTGGGCAAAATGGTGAAACCCCGTCTCTACAAAAATACAAAAAAATTAGCTGGGTGTGGTGGTGTGTGCCTGTAGTCCCAGCTACTTGGGAGGCTGAGGTGGGAGGATTGCTTGAGCCTGGGAGGCAGAGGTTGCAATGAGTCAAGATTTCACTACTGCACTCCAGCCTGGGTAACAGAATGAGACCCTGTCTCAGAAAAAATAAACAAACAAATAAAACAAAACTCAGTCACTGACAGGTCAAAAACCAAATTTATTTTTCGTTAGTTTGTTTGAGACAGGGTCTTGCTCTGTTTCCCAGACTGAAGTGTAGTGGCATGATCACAGCTCACCGCAGCCTCAACCTCCTGGGCTCCAGCAATCCTCCCACCTCAGCAGCCCCCAAGCAGTGGTAGGTGCTACCACACCTGGCTAATTTTGATATTTTTTTGTAGAGGTGGGGTTTCGTCAGATTGTCCAGGCTGGTCCCAAACTCCTGAGCTCAGCAGCAGTCTGCCTGCCTCAGCCTCCCAAAGTGCTAGGATTACAGGAGTGTGCCACTGTACCTGGCCTAAAAAACGATGTTTAAAAAAAAACAAAATCTAAGGACAACTGAATCTAATTTGGCTTGTTGTTTACTGGAAAGACAAATCATCCATATCCACAATATATTTTTTTTGTGGGGAATACTTCCCAATAAATCCTAAAATCTTTTATTTCACATCTCAGAAATAAAACTCAGAAAATTTAAAATATTTAGCACAAAAGGCAACCATATTATAAAAGCAATTTTTGTCTGTTTTTGATCCTATAACACACTATTATTAATTTGTTTTTCTTTTTCTTTTCCTTTTTTTTTTTTTTTTTTTTTTGAGATGGAGTCTTGCTCTGTTGCCCAGGCTGGAGTGCACTGGAGTGATCTGGGCTCACCACAACCTCCGCCTCCCAGGTTCAAGTGATTCTCTTGCCTCAGCCTCCCAAGTAGCTTGGACTACAGGTGCATGCCATCACGCCCGGCTAATTTTTGTATTTTTAGTAGAGATGGGGTTTCACTACATTGGCCAGGCTGGTCTCGAACTCCTGACCTTGTGATTCGCCCACCTCAGCCTCCCAAAGTGCTGGGATTACAGGCGAGAGCCATGGCACCTGGCCCACACTATTATATTTCGTTGTATATTTGGTCCTCAAACCACAAATATATATATAAATTATATATATATTTATTTGTTTTTTGACAAATGATGCTTTCTTTTTCTTTTTCTTTTTCTTTTTCTTCTCTTCCTTTCTTTTTTGAGACAGGGTCTTGCTCTGTTGCCCAGGCTGGAGTGCAATGGCGCGATCTTGGTTCACTGCAGCCTCAACCTCCCAGGCTTAGGTGATCCTCCCGTCTCAGCCTCCCTAGTAGCTGGAACCACAGGCATGCACCCAGCTAACTTTTGAATTTTTTGTAGAGGCAGGGTCTCACTATGTTGCCTAAGCTTGTCTTGAACTCCTGGGCTCAAAGCGATCTGCCCGCTTTGGCCTCCCAAAGTGCTGGGATTACAGGCATGAACCACTGTGCGTGGCCCCTAATTACTTTAAAATAGGCATGCATCATTTATTAAATGAGGAACAGGGTTTTTAAAATAATCAATTTAATTTAAATATATTAAAATTACCTTGAATTAACATGTTGTTTTTTTTTTGTTTTGTTTTGTTTTTTTTTTTTTTTTTGAGACGGAGTCTCGCTCTGTCGCCCAGGCCGGACTGCGGACTGCAGTGGCGCAATCTCGGCTCACTGCAAGCTCCGCTTCCCGGGTTCACGCCATTCTCCTGCCTCAGCCTCCCGAGTAGCTGGGATTACAGGCGCCCGCCACCGCGCCCGGCTAATTTTTTGTATTTTTAGTAGAGACGGGGTTTCACCTTGTTAGCCAGGATGGTCTCGATCTCCTGACCTCATGATCCACCCGCCTCGGCCTCCCAAAGTGCTGGGATTACAGGCGTGAGCCACCGCGCCCGGCCTAACATGTTGTTTTAAAGTTATTTTTTTTCTTAACTTCCCTGAGACAGTTCTAGGACAGAAGTGACATCTTGGGAACAGGTCAATGTAGTGGTTAAGAGAATGGGACAGGGCTAGAATTCTTGTAGGTTTGACTAGGTGGATGGGATACTACTAAATGAAGGGAACATGGGGGAGGAGCAGAACCGAGGAGAGAGAAGTGAATTGGCCTTTTAAACAAGTTGAGTGTGAGGGCCCTGTATGGCATCAAGTGACAGCATTAAAGTGCTAGAAATGCTGTTTCTTTTTTGTTTTTCTCGTTTCATTTCGTTTCTTTTTTTTTTTTTTTTTTTTTTTTTTTTGAGACGGAGTCTCGTTCTGTCGCCCAGGCGGGAGTGCTGTGGCTCGATCTCCGCTCACTGCAAGCTCCGCCTTCCGGGTTCAAGCCATTCTCCTGCCTCAGCCTCCCAAGTAGCAGGGACTACAGGCGCCCGCCACTGCGCCTGGCTAATTTTTTGTATTTTTAGTAGAGACGGGGTTTCACCGTGGTCTCGATCTCGTGACCTCGTGATCCGCCCGCCTCGGCCTCCCAAAGTGCTGGGATTACAGGCGTGAGCCACCGCGCCCGGCCCGTTTATTTTCTTTTTGTTTTTTGTCTCTCTTTTTTTTTTGAGACAGAGTCTTGCTCTGTCACGCAGGCTGGAGTGCAGTGGCTCACTGCAACCTCTGCCTCCCGGGTTCAAGCGATTCTCGCTCGTGTTTCAGCCTCCCAAGTAGCTGGGACTACAAGCGCCTGCCACCATGCCTGATTAATTTTTGTATTCACCAGGCTGGAGTGCAGTGGCGCGATCTCAGCTCACTGCAACCTCTGCTTCCCGGGTTCAAGCGATTCTCCTGCCTCACCCTCACAAGTAGCTGGGAGGCTACCATACCTGGCTAATTTTTGTATTTTTAGTAGAGACGAGGTTTTACCATGTTGGCCAAGCTGGTCTCAAACTCCTGACCTCAAGTGATCCACCCCCCTCGGCCTCCCAAAGTGCTGGGATTACAGGCATGAGCCACCGTGCCTGGCCAATTTTTGTATTCTTTAGTAGAGATGGGGTTCTGCCATGTTGGCCAGGGAACTCCTGACCTCAAGGTGATCTGCCTGCCTAGGCTTTCCAAAGTGGCTGGGATTACAGGTGTGAGCCAAAGGCATGAGCCACAGCGCCTGGCCTGGAAATGCCGTTTCAATCTAAGCAGAGAGATCAGAACCAGACAAAGTATTCTGTGAGCTGGTACTTCTCCTATCAGAGCACTGAGGACACTTTATTATCATCCTTTGTTAAATTGTCTGGCTCCACTGCTAGACAGTAAGCTCATTGTGGTGGGAACCATGTGTCCTCCCATCTCCCTGGCATCTAGCACAGTGCACAGAAGATAGTAAAATCCCAGTGAATGTTTTCTGAATGAATGGTTTTTAAAAGTTAATTCTTTATTATAAACCATGCAAAAATGATGAAAATTTCATTTATTTTATTATTTGACTTTTTTGGAGAGACAGTCTCCCTTTGCTGCCCAAGCTGGGTTTAAACTCCTGGCTCCAAGTGATCTTCCCACCTCGAACGTCCCAAAATGCTAGGATTACAGGCTTGAGATGCCTGGGCCAAAAATGATGAAAGTTCTAAATCTCTAAGCAGGGGACAAGATAGCACATTATTGTGAATGGAGTTTGAGCATCAAAAAAACATTGGGAAGCACTTACCTGAGTAATCTCTAAAATGTCTGTTGGCTCTCTGACTCTAGATCAAGAATTTATGGATGACCTGCTCTGTAGACCAGCAGTGGGGGTCCATGGTACTCACATCATTCTAGACTAGATAACCGAAGCCACCACCGTGGTGGTTTTAGAGTATGTCTACAAGTTATTTGACATTCTTCCCTTTAAGAAGTAGAGGCCAGGCGTGGTGGCTGTCACCTGTAATCCCAACACTTTGGGAGGCCAAGGTGGGTGGATCACCCGAGGTCAGGAGTTTGAGACCAGCTTGGCCAACATGGTGAAACTCCATCTCTACTAAAAATACAAAAATTGGCCGGGTGTGGTGGTGTGTGCCTGTGATCCCAACTACTCAGGAGGCTGGGGCCGGAGAATTGCTTCAACCCAGGCTTCAGTGAGCCAAGATCACACTACTGCACTCCAGCCCAGACAACACAGTAAGACTCGATCTCAAAAAAAAAAACAAAAACACCAGAATGTGGCAGAGGTGATACTGCCTGGTTTCTGAGGTCTGTCACAGAAGGGGATACTACTCCTGCACTGCTTTCTCTTAGGGAACATGCACCTTTGGAGCCCAGGGCCACCATGTAAGAAGTCTAGCCACTTTGAAGCCCTCCATCATGGAGACCCCATGGAGGCAGAGGGGCTGGAGGGGCCCCAGCTGTTCTGGCCCCCAGCTGTTTGACTCCTTCCAGCCCAGTAACCACATGTGTAAGTGAGGAAGCCTTCCCAACTGCTCTAGCCCAGCCATTGACTGCAACCACATAGGAGACCCTGAGCCCAGCCAACCCCCAGGACTGTGAGAGATAGTAATACAAATGACTGTTGTTGTTTTAGAGCACTCAGCTTGGGGTGGTTTGATATATGGTAACAAACCTGATAACCAGTAGAGCTGCTGGAATCTTTACTGGGTTGAGTTCACTATTAGAACCACTCATTGCCTCCCCCATTTATCCCCTTTTAAGGAAGATACAAAAGACAGGTATGTTTCTAATATCTTCACCCTTCATATTCAAAATTATCACCCTCATTGCTCCCCTGCTTAAACCCTCTGAGTCAGCAGGATGGGTCTCATTTCACCCTGAGTTGCCTTTCCACACCTTTCTCATCAAGTCTCTAATCAATTTGTGGAATTACGGGATATTTTTATTTTCTTCTTTGTGCTTTTCTATGTTCTTTGCAAACTATCCACATTGAACACTTATTTTTGTAAGGAGAAAGAGTAAATGTAACATAGAGAGGAAAAAAATACCTATAATCTTCAGTTTGGGATGATGAAAATATTCTGGAGGTAAATAATAGTGATGGCCACACAATGATGTGAATGTACTTAATGTCACGGAACTGTACACTTAAAAATGGCTAAAATGGGCCGGGCACAAGGGCTTACACCTATAATCCCAGCATGTTGGGAGGCCAAGGAAGGCAGATCTCTTGAGCTCAGGAGTTCAAGACTAGCCTCTGTGACATGGCGGAAACTCATCTCTACAAAAAAATACAAAAGTTAGCCAGGCTTGGTGGCGCGTGCCTGTAGTCCCATCTACTTGGGAGGCTGAGTTGGGAGGATCTCTTGAGCCTGGGAAATGGAGGTTGCGGTGAGCCGAGGTCTTACCACTGCACTCCAGCCTGGGTGACAGAGCGAGACCCTGTCTTAAACAAACAAAAAAAGTAGATAAAATGGTAAATTTTATGTTATGTATATTTTATCATAATAAAAAACATAGACTCCCTTAAAACTCAACTCGAGTCCACACTGACCTGTCTGTCCCACTCAACAGGTACTAACTAGATTATTTCTCATATGGTGACTTCTTTATGTTTATATTTCTCAGATGACACTGGAAGTTACTTGAGGACAGAAACTAGCACTGTGCAGGTGGCCATGCCTACAGTACATTCACACACCAATTGCCTGGAAATCCAAACACATTTCTCTAAAGAATCAGCACAGCAAATGATAGCTTCATCTCAGACTAGCAAATCAAAACCAATTTAACTCATTAAATATTTGAAATGTTGTATATATTGCAGGGAAACACTGGAAATACTAGCAATTAAGCAAAATAGATAAATCAATGGAAAGTTTGAGGAGTTTGGGGTCTAATTAGTAATAAATATATAAGCTAAAAAATAATTATTAACTAGGTAAAACAAAAAGCTGTTCATGACTGAAAACAAATTCAAAGTTTAGCAGTGGCTCATGCCTGTAATCCCAGCACTTTGGGAGGCCGAGGCAGGTGGATCACTTGAGGTCAGGAGTTCAAGACCAGCCTGGGCAACATGGTGAAAACTCATCTCTACTAAAAATACAAAAAAGTAGCCTAGCATGTTGGCGTGCACCTGTGGTCCCAGCTACTCTGGAGGTAGAGGTGAGAGGATTGTTTGAGCCCCAGAGGTGGAGGTTGCAGTGAGCCAAGATCGTGCCAGTGCACTCCAGCCTGGGTGACAGAGTGAGACCCTGTCTCAAAAAAAGAAAATATTTGAAGTTTATTGTGTGGATTCATCTTTGAATACATTTACATAGTCTTAACGATGTAAAAACTGAATATAATCTAGTAAAATTACAATAAAACTATATTGAAGGGATGAGGGAGATAGGAACTGTGGGTATTTGGTGGAAATGGAAGGGAAAACAGCTAAATTCTAATCATTCACAATGGGACGCCACTAGATAGTACATAAAAATTGAAAAAAAATAATAATAATACAAACATATTACTTGAGACTTATTATAGAACTTGACTCCAAGCTATGTGCCTGTGTAACCCTGATACACTTAAAACTTTTAAAAATTTGTTAAAAGGTGGTGCAGGTAGACACCCTCCTGCCCTCCTGCTCTCCCTCCTCAGCTCTCTAGGCAGACACTTTTCCACCTGTCCATCCCATCAACGGCTACTTCCCACTTGGAACCACTGCTCCCAGATGCTCACCTCTGCAAGGCCACCTGCCCCAGCAAGACTGGGGTTCAGATTCAGTCTCTCGGTCCCCTTTTATAAGGCCCCTGCACATCTGGCACAATGGGCTGAGACCTGCTCTCTCCTGGGGTCTCTCTGGACGCTCTGCCTGCAGCTGGACACACTGATCGTGGCAGGATGGGAGCACTGTCTTCCGCAGAACGGAAAGGCCTGCGACACTGTCATATTGTCCATCCCTCTTTGGAAGCTCACCACCTCGGGCTGGAGACTGTGTCTTCCCACAGCTTCTAGGGGCTGGAATCCTCACCCTGAGCCTGTTCTACCCAACAGTCCTTTGCTCCGACACTTTCCCCATCAAAGCACGACTATCCCATGACCTGTCCCGTCATTTGTCTCCAGATAAGCTAGGCCGGCTGAGGTGAAGCGAGCAGCAGAGCTGGGGGCAGATGCACAATCTCCTTAGCTTCCGTCATGCATGGCCCTTCGCACTTCTTCCCTGGCACCCCCAGCTTTTTCTACCATTCTCCCCACAATCAGCGCTCCCAGTATGCCAGCCCCCACACCCCTTATCCCTTCATCCCTATTCTCCCTGCCTGGAATGACTTCCTCCCACCTGGGGAAGCTTGTTCTTTAGTGCCCAATCCAAATGCCACCTCCTTTGTGCAGCCTTCCCTGACCACCCTCTTTTCCACTGCCCAGAGAACTAATAGCTCGTGTCTGAGTGCTACATGCCAGGCACTAGGAGCTTTGCATGTGTTTTCTCATATCAAAGCCCACAGCAACTCCGTGAAGTAGAATAATCATTAGCTCCATGTAGCTGCTCAATTCATGTTGCTCGCCGATTAGCTGGTGAAACCAGGATCAGCATTCCACTTCTGCACTGTGACCTTGGGCAAGGCATATACCTCTCTGAGTTTTCATTTCTTTCTCTGACCAAAAAAAAAAAAAAAAAAGTAGGGGAATAATAATATGCCTGACATCCCAGTTTTATTGTGAGGATCAAATTGAATATAATGATGTCATAAGGAAGTACTCTAAGTGGTGGGACACTAACCATACAAACGTTAGCAGTTGGTATTCAGAGGAAAATGTGTCACCTGGCTCACAGGTAAAACATTTTATCCCTAACAAGGGCCTTACAGTTAATGATGCCTTCATTTAAAGCAATATGCAGGTCGGGCACAGTGGCTCACGTCTGTAATTCCAGTGCTTTGGGAGGCTGAGGTGGGCAGATCACTTGAGGTCAGGAGTTCAAGACTAGCATGGCCAACATGGTGAAACCCTGTCTCTACTAAAAATAAAAAAATTAGCTGGGTGTGGTGGTGCACACCTGTAATCCCAGCTACTCAAGAGGTTGAGGCAGGAGAATCGCTTGAACCCGGGAGGCAGAGGTTGCAGTGAGCCAAGATCACGCCACTGCACTCCAGGCTGGGCGACAGAGTGAGTGAGGCTCCGTCTCAAAAGAAAGAAATAAAGGAATGTGCAATACCAGAAGATCATCAGCCTTTGGGTCAGGTAAGTGGGAAGTATCTGAGGCCAGGGCAGAGTTCAGTCACCCCCACAGGAGGCTTTTGTACCCACCCTTGTTCATGGCCCAGAAGCTGCTGTCCTCCCAAGATCCCTGGGGCTGAGTCATATTCCTTTCCCCTTCCAGCATCTATCTTCTCCCCAGGGTTTGGGCCTCACAGCTCATGTCCTGGAGAGCACAGTGCGCCCTCTGGCAGGCTTGGATGGGTGGGGTTGGATCAACAGCAGGAGGGCCAACTTCACTGTCATGAATCACTTCCAAACCCCCATCCCATGCTAGTCTGTACTTGACAATTTGGCCTCACAGCAACTCTGTGATGTATTAAAACTCCACTTTAGGGTCCAGGAAACCAAGGGTAGAGAAGCAGAGGTGTTGCTCAAAATCACAACTGCTGGGTCTGAACCCAACTCTATCAGATCCCAAATTCCCTTCTCTTTTTCATGCTCTCTCTCCTTTCTCTGGGCAAGTTCAGGGAGATTCACATCCAAGATCCACCCAGCACACACTTCTTGAGCTCAGCATCAGCTCAGTCCCTGAAGGATCTCAGACTTCAGGCAAGTATCATATTTCCTTGATTCTAGGATCATTCTTCTGTGTGTGTGTGTGTGTGTGTGTGTGTGTGTGTGTGTGTGTGTGTGTGTGGGTGGGTATTTGGTTTGGTTTTTTGTTTTTTGAGACAGGGCCTGGCTCTGTCACTTAGGCTGGAGTGCAGTGGTGCAATCACAGCTCACTGCAGCCTCAACCTCCTGGGCTCAAGTGATCCTCCTGCCTCAGCCTCCCAAGAAGCTAGGACAATAGGCATGTACCACCATCCCTGGCTTTCATTTTTTTTTGAGACAGAGTCTTGCTTAGTCGCCCAGGCTGGAGTGCAGTGGCGCCATCTCAGCTCACTGCAAGCTCCGCCTCCCGGGTTCACGCCATTCTCCTGCCTCAGCCTCCTTAGTAGCTGGGACTACAGGCACCTGCCACCACGCCCGGCTAATTTTTTGTATTTTTAGTAGAGATGGGGTTTCACCATGTTAGCCAGGATGGTCTCCATCTCCTGACCTCATGATCCACCCGCCTTGGCCTCCCAAAGTGCTAGGATTACAGGCGTGAGCCATTGCGCCCGGTCCTGGCTTTCATATTTTTTGTAGAGATGGGGTCTTGCTATGCTGCCCAGGCTGGTCTTGAACTCCTGGGCTCAAGCAATCCTCCCACCTCAGCCTCCTAAATTGCTGGCATTACAGGCGTGAGCCACTGCACCTGACTCTCAGGATACAGTCTTAATTCACGTTTTGATGTTTCTAATATTAGGGTCTTACAAATGGTGACATCTTAGATTTTAGGAAATTTAGTAGGAGTTCTAGATTGAGAGCCTTAGATACTGTATTCAGGTGTCCACGTTCAGCTACCGACTAGTTTGTGCCTTTGGGGAAGTCGCTTTACCTCCTTGTACCTCAGGGAGTTAGTTGGTCTGAGTTTTGGTTCCGATTCTGCCACTGAACAGCTGTATGGCTTTGTAGTCCTCTGGGCCTCAGTTTCCTCATCTGAAAGTGAGGGGAGGGGTCACTGGTTTTCTAACTGTTCTTTTAAGCTGCGGAACGTGTTTTCCCTGATTATACATGAGTAAACAGCTAAGTTGCTGTGGGTGAAACAAGGGGTGGGGACCTCCTCTACTCCCTGTGCCTCTGCTGAGACTACCCTGGCAACAGCCTTGGCACCCTCATTTTGGCGAATTTCTCTGCTTGGGTCTGGCTTGGGAGAACATTGTTCTGGGAGGTGGAGACACAGCTAGAAGCCTTGAGCTTCAGTATGGACTCTAGGCAGCTGGTTTGGCTGCGGAGTAATCACTTCCTGGCTTCACATCAGCTTCTCGTCTGTTAAGTAAAGTGGTAAATTAGATGATTTCTAAAAATACGTTCGGCTCTAACGTTCTGTGAGTAAAATCTTCCATTGCTCTACCTCAGGGACTCTGTCACCCAGGCTGGAGTGCATTGGCACGATCTCGGCTCACTGCAACCTCCGCCTCCCAGGTTCAAGCGATTCTCCTGTCTCAGTCCCCCAAGTAGCTGGGATTACAGGTGTGTGCCATCACAGCTGGCTACTTTTTGTATTTTTAGTAGAGGTGGGGTTTAACCATGTTGACCATGCTGGTCTCGAACTCCTGACCTCAGGTGATCTGCCGTCCTCAGCCTCCCAAAGTGCTGGGAATACAGGCGTGAGTCACCAAGCCTGGCCAGAGACTCTACTCTGGTTAAACATTAGGATCACCTAGAGAACTTATTTTTAACAAATTAAAAGATGGCAGGACCTCCCCTCCCCATTTTGATGTAATGGATCCTGGGAGGGACTTATATATGAATGTTTTTAAAAGCTGCCCAGACAACTATAATAGCAACTAGGGTTGAGAAGGACAATATCTCCTGACCTGAAGCCTCAGTGGGGGATAAAGAATACAAACTACAAGGACATTTTGAAAAAGGAGTTCTAAAAGCTTAAATTTGGGAATGATTTGGTTTCTTTTGCACTTACAAACAAATTGGTAGATGGGTACTTAGGAACCTATAAGCTATCAATCAGACAACCCTAAATGGGGGACGTCAGATATTTTTATTTGAAAATTGTTTTGGTATTCAAGTATCTCATATATCTGACCCTGCAGTAGGTATTATGGGTGAGAATTAAGCAAGTGTAAAGGTACCACTTTGAGAGTCTGTGATCCAACTGGAGAAACAAAACCGGTAGCAAACAGTATGGTATGAAATTAAATGCTAGGCCGGGTGAGGTGGCTCATGCCTGTAATCCCACCACTTTGGGGGACCGAGGTGGGCGGATCACTTGAGGTCAGGTGTCGAGACCAGCCTGGCCAACATGGTAAAACACCATCTCTACTAAAAATACAAAAATTAGCCAGGCACGGTGGCGCGTGCCTGTAATCCCAGCACTTGGGGACGCTGACGCAGGAGGACTGCTTGAGCCCAGGAGTTCAAGACCAGCCTGTTTGAACAAAGTGCGACCACATCTGTACAAAAAATGAAAAAATTAGCTGGGAGTGGTGGTGCGTGCCTGAAGTCCCAGCTATTTGGGAAGGTGAGGTGGGAGGATCACCTGAGCCTGGGAGGTTGGGGCTGCAGTGGGTGTGTTCATGCCACTGCATTCCCACCTGGGCAGCAGAGGGAGACCCTGTCTCAAAGAAAAAAAAAAAAAAAAAGCTTCCTTTAAAGGAAGTGGCTTCTGGGTGGAAAGTGAAGTGGGTCCCGAGAGCCTACTGAGGGCAAGGACTGTATCCTCTTCAGTTCTGTTTTCTGATGGCCTAGTACAGACCTGGCACATGATTGTTCCTAAATATTTGCTAAATGAAAGTTGAGAAATGCTTATTTGAAGTCACTTGGAATTCTATTCTTCACCCCGAACTCAGGGTGGATAGAGAGCTGCTGTATTTACCCGGCATTGAGATCGTGAGACCTAGACTGGGGAAGGAGCAACAATGGGAAAGAGGAATGGACGGTTGAGACAGCTTAAAGCAATTAACTGGCAGGGCAACACAACAAGTACCCAACTGAACTGCAGACAGTGGTATACACATGCATGCTTAGGGATGCAACTATGACCAGGTATGCGCTCAGTAATTAAGCCAGCACAGAGAGTTCATTTTACAGAGGAGCTGTGTGGTTTCCAGAACCATCCTGGCCAGAAGACTGACCTTTCTGCAAGTAACTGTCACCTGTGAGTAGAATGTTAAGCTATGCCACATCTACAGGGTGTTTTTCCAATAAAGATGGGGGAATCCTGGAGCCGGCTAAGGACAACTATCCTGGCTAATTGCTTCCGCAAACTTCTATTTTAAGAACACAGGTTTGGAGGCCAATTTACAGAGAGCATCTTTTAGTAAGGAGTAAGGAACAAACAGCAAACTGAACAATCTGTGTCTCAGAGCTGAAATTACAATGGGAGCTCAACCTCTTCCAGGGTGATAGAGCCAGCAGATGAATCCTTAAATCCTGGTAAATCCCCAAACTACACCGAACCCCAAATAAAATTATACTCTGGTTATGAGATTCTCATACTGTGACTGTTTCACTCTGCTCCCCACAAAAGCACCAAGGGATCAATATCTGCCTCTTCATATACACTGGGTGGGGTGGGTGAGGTTAAAAGGGCCAAAGGGAAGTCAAAAGGCTTCAAGGCTGCTCCGACTCTGGGGCACTGGAGTTCTACAGCTGGAAGTCTACACCTCCATCACAGTATGCAGACAGGGTCTTGTTGCCCAGGCTGGACTGCAGTAGTATAATCATAGCACACTGCAGTGTGCTCAAGTAATCCTTTGCCTCAGTCTCCTGAGTAGCTGGGACTACAGGCGTGCACTACCATGCTCAGTTAATTTTAAAATTTTTAGTAGAGACAAGATCTTGCTATGTTGCCCAGGCTGGTCTCAAACTCCTGAGCTCATGCAGTCCTCCCGCCTTGGCCTCTCAAAGTGCTGGGATTACAGGTGTGATTCACCTCGTCTGGCCTGAGAGCTAATTAAAAAAAAAAAATTTATTTTGAGACAAGGTCTGGTTCTGTCGCCCAGGCTGGAGTGTAGTGGTGTGATCTCAGCTGACTGCAGCCCCTGCCTCCAAGCTTCAAGCGATCCTCTCACCTCAGCCTCCCGAGTAGCTGGAACTACAGGCATGCATCACCACACCCAGGCAGTTTTTGTATTTTTGTAGAGATGGGGTTTCACCATGTTGCCCAGGCTGGCCTTGAACTTGTGAGCTCAAGCAATCTGCCCACCTCAGCCTCCCAAAGTGCTAGGACTGCAGGCATGAGCCACTGTGTCAGGTGAAAGCTGGTTTTTGATTTTTGATAGGCCAAGGTAATCTATAAAATTTCCCAACCATAGTGCCATAAGTAGATCATATGTATAATGAGATACTGATTTCTTTAGAGCTGAGGTGGGCCTGGACAGTCACTTCTGGCTACAAGCAGCCTTAACAGCTTACCCCAGTGTGCCTGTTTATCCCTGTGTCATACAAGTGTCTCTTTTTGTTACAAGATGAAAAGGTTAGGAAGCACTCATCTACAGCAGTCCATTACTTTTTATTTTTTTGAGATGGAGTCTCACACTGTTGCCCAGGCTAGAGAGCAGTGGCGTGATCTTGGCTCACTGCAACCTCTGCCTCCCAAGCTCAACCGATTCTCCTGCCTCAGCCTCCCGAGTAGCTGGGATTACAGCCATGTGCCACCATGCCCTGCTAATTTTTGTATTTTTAGTATGCAAAAATTCATTCACCATGTTGGCTAGCTGGTCTTAAACTCCTGACTTCAAGTGATCTACCCGTCTCAGCCTCCCAAAGTGCCAGGATTACAGGCGTGAGCCACTGCACCCGGCCTAGCAGTCCCTTATTTTAAAATCATCTTTATTCCTAATAATTTTTGTATACAAAATAAAAGTTTAAGACCCTAATACAGCTGTGGTTCTTAACTTTTTTGGGGTCATTATCCCTTTGAGTATTTGATAAAGCCAAAGAGCCTGTCTCCAGAATAATACACTACTACTTTTCATGCAATACTTCACATACAACTTGAGGGTTACAGAATCCAGATTAAGCCTCTGTTCTGGAAGGATTATCACAGAAACCCACATTTACTTATTTCAGAGGGGTTCATCTGCTTCCCCTCTGCCCTTTCTCTAATAAAACTTCAAAAAAACAGAATATTGTCAGGCCGGACGCGGTGGCTCATGCCTGTAATCCCAGCACTTTGGGAGGCCGAGGCAGGCACATCACCTGAGGTCATTACGGACTTCGAGACCAGCCTGGCCAACATGGTGAAACCCCATCTCTACATTAGCCGGGTGTGGTGGCAGGCGCCTGTAATCCCAGCTACTTGGGAGGCTGGGGCAGGAGAATCACTTGAACCTGGGCAGGGGAGGTTGCAGTATGCCAAGATTGCACTACTACACTCCAGCCTGGGTGACAGAACAAGACTCCACCTAAAAAACAAACAAAACAACAACAACAAAAAAAAAACAACAGAAACCTCTGAAAAACATAGTACATTAAACTCCCTCAAAGTTTCCTGGGCAGTAGGGGCCGGGCGTGGTGGCTCGCGCCTGTAATCCCAGCACTTTGGGAGGCCAAGGCGGGTGGATCACGAGGTCAGAGGTCAGGAGATCGAGACCATCCTGGCTAACACGGTGCAATCCCATCTCTACTAAAACTACAAAAAATTAGCCAGGCGTTGTGGCGGGTGCCTATAGTCCCAGCTACTTGGAAGGCTGACGCAGGAGAATGGCGTGAACCCAGGAGGCGGAGCTTGCAGTGAGCCAAGATTGCGCCACTGCACTCCAGCCTGGGCGACAGTGTGAGACTGTCTCAAAAAAATTAAAAAAAAAAAAAAAATTTCCTGGGCAGCATGCAGAAGCCACTATCAACCCTAGGTGGTATTCCCACAAACCCCCAGCTGCTCGGGGGTGGAGCTTGGGGCAGGGGGATATGCTCCTCACTGGCTCTAACACCATTTACCCTTGTAGTATCAACCACTGGATGTTGGTAACCACTTGCAGATAGAAAGCAGTTCTCTGCACACCTCCCATTGGGCTTGGATGCATTTTGGTTAGTGTTTATACTAAAACACCCATGTAATCCTTCATACTACAGTTTCTCTTCTCCACTGCAAGCACATGACCTTGTTCATGTGTATTAGTCCCTCCACAGTTGTCACTAATCAAGGCAAGGTTGTACATTTCCCATGGGGAAATGGAAGAAAAAGGAACACTTAAATCAATTAATTTCAGCAGCATCTTTATTGCAACAAAGAACCTGTAATAAAATGCAAGAAAACTAATGTTTCACTTTACATGATTAAAAGCCATATACCTAAAAATGAGAAAACCCATAAGCTTACTGGAGACATGCAATTCTTTTTATACAAGTCAATGCTTAAAACAGCAGGCACTTCATGTTCTAAAATTAAACACCTGAATTCCAATTTTGCTGAATACAATATAAATTTGTTTTGGGGTTACTTAAAAACAAACATACAAACACTACTTTTTCTTTATCTGTAAAGGACTTATGAAATGATCACCTAGAGCCCAGGACCTTGCACTAACATCTCTATATTTGAGGCTGGAAGATGGCTAGGTGAGGCTGGGAAGGTGGGAATCAAAAAAGTTTCCTTTTTCCTTTATATCTGCTGGGAATAGACACACTCACCTTATATAGTTTAGAAATGGCCATGTCTCTTTTCTTACATCAAATAGCTATAAAGATGGGCTCCCAGGCTTAAGCAAGCACTCTACTCTATATTCCAATCCTCAAATCCTCCACTATACCAAGGAAGACACATTTAGTGCAATGAGTTTAATTAACTTCAGAATGTCATATACTAATCAGAAGTACTGCTTCATTAATAAACATGCTTAGCATTTACTTTGGAATGGAAAAATTAACCATTTTTATGTGGTTACCTTTAAAATGTTTTATAGGAATATATTAATAAATATTTCTTTAAAAATTTACCTTTTCTATATATCATTTAACTACCATGAGGCAGGACACCTGGCTGGAGTCCAGCACCAACTGGATACTAACTGGCTGTGTGGTCGTGGGTATATTTCCTCCTCTCTCTCTAGCATGTAGGTTGTTCTTCTAACAAATGAGAATATCAGCTTAGATTAAATCAAATATTGATTCCATCTTGAAAAATGCATGATTTAATAATGAGAAATCTTATAGGAATCATTCCACCTAAAGAGAACTATGCTATAGAAAGGCGGGCTATACTTTCTGGAAGGAATAAAACAAGTAGTAAAAAAAAAAAAGTAAGCATCGGTATCAATATCGCATTCTTTTAAAAGGTAATGCATGCATTGTGACCTAATCCTCTTGTATGAGGCTTTGGAAAAGAACCAGGAATGGCATAGAGAGAAAAACTTTCATTCCAAAATTAATCTCCAGACAAAGGGGATAGAAACAAAGTAAACAACATCTCCTGCTGCTTTCAGAGTGAGACGGGGCCAAATAGTTACCACAGATGAGCAGCTTCATGGACTACTGTTTAGGTTCTTGTGAATCAGTCCAGTGTAAAAAATCACCTATTATTAATCCAACTCCATTCTCTATAGAAGAGTTTCTTAAAGTAGTCCACAGATGACTTACTATAGGATCGCCTGGAAAGCTTGTTAGAAATGCACATTCCTGGTGTCTACCCAAATCAATGGAATACAAATTTTTATTTATTTATTTATTTTGAGGCAGAATCTCACTCTGTCGCCCAGACTGGACTACAGTGGCGCCATCTCGGCTCACTGCAACTTCCGCCTCCCAGGTTCAAGCGATTCTCCTGCCTCAGCCTCCCGAGTAGGTGGGATTATAGGCACACGCCATCATGCCCAGCTAATTTTTTTGTACTTTTAGTAGAGACGGGGTTTCACCATGTCGACCAAGCTGGTCTTGATCTCCTGACTTCAAGTGATTCACCCGCCTTGGCCTCCCAAAGTGCTAGGATTACAGGCGTGAGCCACCATGCCTAGCCTGGGAATACACATTTTTAAGAGTGAGATTCAAAACTCTACATTTCTTTTAGAAGTATCCCAGATGAATCTTAGATTTTGAGTTCCACTACTCTGTAATGCTCAAGTAACTATCCCTCTGGATGGTTGTTCAAGTGTACACATTTATCAAGTCTTTAAAAACGTAGTATGATATTTAACCTAGTGCTTTTTGGCTCCCACTAAACTGTTGCTACTTTTATATATTCTTGCCGTTTAAGCTGTTACCCATACTCAGGGGGTACAAACTTTTAGTGAGATTTCTACTGATTGCCTCAATTGACTATGATATTTTCCACACTGATTGTAAAAAGCAAATTCAGTCAAACTGTCTTTCTGTAAGAGAATTCATTCAGGTATTTTTTCCTGCTAAAGAAGCAGAATGGCATTTAAGTGACTGGGAGTGATAATAGAAGCATTCTTTGTGATAGGAGGAAAGGAGAAGGCAACATGCAAAAGGAAAACACCTGTGAACTCCAGAGTACATGAAGTTTTCTAAGTTTGTTTCGGTAAAATAAGAGATGCCACTTTGAAGAAACAGCCTTAATGGGTGAGAGGTTTCAATGGAGTAGCTGCTTAAAAGCTACTGTATACCATTTCTACTTTGCATATATTATAAGGATAGATCCTTCGAGGCCAGTTAGTCCAAACAAAACAAAACAAAACAAAACAAAACACCCTCCACAGTCAGATATATACTTAAGGGGGAAAATACTTTCTTGGGGAAGAAAGTTACCCAAATCAATTTAATTTAACATTGAAAATATATATAAACAAATCTTGGCATGGGAAAATATCAAACATGAAAAGCAATACATATACAGATAATAAGAAAAAGCGTGGTATCTATTATACAGTATAAATACAAACAGCAAAACCCAATACCTTTCCCAACGACAGAACCACCATATCATCCTGCCATTTCTGGGCTTTCCCTACCTCCCACTTGGTGTCAATGAAGTCCACCTCTTACCAATAGTCACCAACCTTACTAATGGAGGCTGTGCTCTCTATGGGGAAATCTACTCTCTCTGTAGTGATGAGAAAGAAATATAGCAAATTTTCTTGGAGTGTTGTTTAAAAGTATTGGTAATAACTTTCTAAACACTGAAGTGTGTGATAAAAAGCATCAAACTCATAGATGCCTTCCCTGCCACTGGTGTCAATGTGACCAATCTAGCACCCCAAGACTCTAACAGGGCAGATCTCAATTAGCACCTGAAAGCCTATGAGCTCTCTTCATAGCTAAATCCTAGTGCTAAACCAAGAAAAGTTCATGATCATTCAGAAAAACTGTTTACAGGCTTTAAACACCAAAAAAAAAAAGAGAGCCATGGCTTGCCAGGGATTAGTTTATGGTAAAGAGGTTATCTATAAACATTTGTATTTTAAGCTTACAATATCTAAATTATGTTCAAATAATTTTAAAAGGATAAAGTTTAAATTTGTAAGATTTCTAAACCTAAGAGGAAAAAAAAAAAGAATTATAAAAGTAACTCTAAGGAACTTTTCCTCCCCTGAATCATGTTACTCTGTAGCTGTGCTGGCAAGACAGTGATTTATTGATTCTGGTTTCCTTAATATTACAGTTGTTTAAATTTCAGTTTCCAAACATTTTCATGAGTATTTTTGTTAAAACTACTTCTGCTTAGTTTTTAATCAGGCCCTCACCACCTCTTCTCTCTGTCATTCCCCAAACCCAGGTCTCCCCACCCCACTGTGATTCCCTTCAATCTCCTTAAAATTCTAGAATATTTTAATAAGGAAATACCAAATGGAAACTGGCACCACTAAATTTTCTGAAGAATTCTAGTGAATGTGTACTTTTTCCTTTTCTTAAAGGAAAAAAAAAAACTTGCCTGCAAATATTTAAGCTCTAATCATTTGATTAAAAATTTTCTGCCTGTAATTATCAATATCATGACTAATTAAATCCATGCTACATATACAGTTACTAGCCTTTATGCAAAAGGAAAAGCCCACTCTGTTAATATCATCAAAGAAAAATGAGAATTATTTATACTAGATACAGATTAAATTGGCTAAAAACTGGTCAGTGCCAAAACAAGTGTCTTTAGGAGGCCACTAAGTTATCCTTGAAAAATTATTAATGAATGACTGGTTAAGTCAAGTTTAATAGTTATTAGTTCATAACATGCTGGATATGCCCAAGCAATGAAGCATAAGCTATTCAATTACATTTAAGTGCTATCAAATCTGTAACTAGTCAAAGATTCTGGAACTGAACCAAACCAATCACTAATATCATCATATTTTAACAAACTCAAAAGTATACTGTAAAAATACACTAATTAAGTTCATGAAGTTTATAATACTATTAAAAGTGAAAATAGGGTAGTATGAATACATGGTGCTAATGTCTTTTTTTTTTTTTTTTTTTTAGTAATTCTTATGGTATTGCTGGGTCTCTCAGGAATATGTATCATTTGATTTTGAGCATGTGGGGTTAAGGTATTAGATTACTACCACAAACCGTAGACCCCTGCATGGCACCACATTTATTTTCAGGAGTAGATGTTACATGGCAGGTATCAAAATGTGATGATCAATTCTGTGTTTTCTGTTGATTAAACCTCCTCATTTGGTTAAATAGCCAGTGTATACCAGAGAGTTCTACACAGGTCAAAATTATATCACTTTTAGAGCAGCAATACGTGATCCAAGGTTTTCTTGAAGGTAGTGCAAAAGATGCAGTTCATAATGTTCTCCCGATTCAGGAACTCTTATGCTGTGTCTCTCCTGAGGATAGATCTTACCAACAACAAAAAATAAAGATACAAAAAAAAAAAAGAATTTAGTAATACATCTTCTTCCAAAGCTTTCCAGAGATTTTTAACAGGATTAATAATACGAAGCACAGCCTCTATGCAATATTGTAGAATAAATCCTATCTAAACGCTCCTCTCTTCATCTTATGATTTCCTTATTTAACATTAGGCTTAATGATGGATTTATCTGTAGACCAATGGTTTGTTCTCTAAGTGTGGTCTGCAGACTTTCAGAGGTCTCTGAAACCTTTTCAAGGGATAGACACGGTCAAAACTACTTTTAGAACAACACAAAGACATTATTTGCCTTTACTTGTTGTGCCAGCATTTACAGTGATGATACAAAAGCAAAGGTCAGTAAAACTGCTGGTTAGCATGAATCAAGGCACTATCATTAAACTGCACTAGAAGTCACAGTATTCCTCACCACCACACACTTCCAATAAAAAAGAAAAATGGCAGTTTCAATTAAGTAGCAGTAAAAATTAGAATTTATTAAGTTACAACCTTTGAGTAGAAGTCTTTTTAATATTCTGTGTTTATGAAATGGGAATGCATAAAGCACCAGTGCTATAGGATGTCTCAAAGAAAAGTACTAGTGTGAATGAGTCACAAGCTGAACTGCTGCTTTTTAAATGGAACTCCATTTTTAACTTCAAAGAATGACTGACAACTATGGTTATTTAGGGTATCCAGTAAATATTTTCTCAAAAGTGAATGAAGTGAGCTGGTCACTTCAAGGACAACACTGACAGTATTTGTTGCCAATGATAAAATCTGGGCTTTTGAGTTAGAATTTTGGAAAACTTGCATCTACTACTATTAACTAATGAGCTTCCCAATACTTAGACACTTTTCCGATGAGCTCAGTAGTAATATTATTATATGTGATTTTAAAAATATTGTACAATAAAAGGAGTCAATATTTGAAAGACTGGCATAACACAGTGAGCCAGTATTTTCCAGAAGGCCAATGCATGGTAAAAGATCCATCTGAAGTATAAGATCCACACTTTACTGTGACAGAGTATGAAGTTTATATATATCACTTCAGATTCCACACTAAAACCTAGCTTTAAGCCAGATGCAGTAGCCCATTCCCTGTAGTCTCAGCTACTTGGGAGGCTGAGGTGGGAGGATTACTTGACCCCAGGAGTTTGAAACGAGCCCAGGAATCATAGTAAGACTCTATTTAAAAAAAATAAATAAAAAACAACAAAAAATTCCTTGGCTGAGCATGGTAGCTCACCCTGCAATCTTAGCACTTTGGGAGGCTCAGGTGGGAGGATCGCTTGAGTTCAGGAGTTTGAGATCAGCCTGGGCAACTTAGTGACACCCATCTCTATTTATTTTTAAAAATATATTTAGGCTGGGCACGGTGGCTCATGCCTGTAACCCCAGCACTTTGGGAGGCTGACACGTACAGATAACGAGGTCAGAAGATCGAGACCATCCTGGCTAACACAGTGAAACCCCGTCTGTACTAAAAATACAAAAAATTAGCCAGGCGTGGTGGCGGGCACCGGTAGTCCCAGCTACTCGGGAGGCTGGGGCAGTAGAATGGCGTGAACCCGGGAGGCGGAGCTTGCAGTAAGCCAAGATCGTGCCACCGCACTCCAGCCTGGGTGACAGAGCGAAACTCCATCTCAAAAAAAAAAAAAAAAAAAATATATATATATATAAAATGTACATATATATATAAAATATACATATATATCTAAAATATACATATATATCTGAAATATACATATATATCTAAAATATACATATATAATATATAAAATATACATATATATCTAAAGTATACATATATAATATATAAAATATACATATATATCTAAAATATATATATATATATATATATATATATATATATATATATATATATATATATATATATTTAGCCTGGGTGTAGTGGCTCACGCCTGTAATCCCAACACTTTTGGAGGCCAAGGCCTCAAATCACCTGAGGTCAGCAGTTGGAGACCAGCCTAGCCAACATGGTGAAACCCTGTCTCTACTAAAAGTACAAAAAAATTAGCTGGGCATAGTGGTATGAGCCTGTAGTCCCAGCTACTCGGGAGGCTGAGGCATGAGAACTGCTTGAACCCGGGAGGCAGAGGTTGCAGTTAGCCAAGATCACACCACTGTGCTCCAGCCTGGGTGACAGAGCAAGTCTCCATCTCAAAAAGAAAAAAAATAAAAATAAATATATATATATATATAATTTAAAAATATATATATAATAAAAAGTATATATAATATATATATTTAAAACAACAAAAACAAACAAAATCCCACAACCTTTAAGAAACTACCACTTGTCCAGTTTTGGTACAGTATCAAAGAATAGTATTTACAATTATCTGAAAAAGCTAAAATACTCCTCCCATTTCCTTTTTTTTAAGACAGAGTCCACTCTGTCACCCAGGCTGGAGTTCAGTGGCACGATCTCGGCTCACTGCAACCTCTGCCTCCCGGGTTCAAGCAATTCTCATGCCTCAGCTTCCTGAGTAGTTGGGATTACAGGCATGCACCACCACACCTAGCTAATTTTTGTATTTTTCGTAGAGATGGGGTTTTACCATGTTTGCCAGGCTGGTTGTGAACTCTTGACCTCAGGTAATCCGCCTGCCTCGGCCTCCCAAAGTGTTGGGATTACAGGCGTGAGCCACTGCGACCGGCCCCATTTCATAACTACATACTCTGTGAGGCCAAACTTTTCTTCACATACTTTAGTCGAAACAACATATCACAACAGACTGAGTACAGAAAGAGACATAAGAATGCAAGTGTCTTCTTTACTACTATGTCAGACATTAAAGGAATTTAGAAAAATGTAAAATATTGCTGTTTTTCTCAGTAAATTATTTTTTGTTTTGGAATATAGTTTCTCTCTATGAAAAACGTGATTTGTGTTAACATGTAATAGTTTATTATTATTATTATTATTTTTTTTTTGAGACGGAGTTTCACTCTTGTTGCCCAGGCTGGAGTGCAATAGCGCGATCTCAGCTGATCGCAACCTCTGCCTCCCCAGTTCAAGCAGTTCTCCTGCCTCAGCCTCCCAAGTAGCTGGGATTACAGGCATGAGCCACCATGCCTGACTAATTTTTGTATTTTTAGTAGAGACAGGGTTTCTCCATGTTGGTCAGGCTGGTCTCGAACTCCTGACCTCAAGTGATCCACCTGCCTTGGCCTCCTAAAGTGCTGGGATTACAGGTATGAGCCACTGTGCCGGGCTGATAGTTTATTATTTTAAAATATTTAAAAATTTTCTCAGTTTTCATATCTTACATGAGAAATATTGATTGATATAATTGACATAAACAAAGTTCTTTGGTAGGTAAAGGTGTCCTGAAACCAAAAAGCTTAAAAACTACTGCTATAAATATCTCATAGTTTAAACATAAATATCAACTGAAATGTTAAAAAGGAAAAAGTAATTTTTTCATTTTTTGTGTGCACATAATCTGTTTAAGGAGTAAAACACAGTTTTAAGAAAAACTGGAATAAGGAGCAATGAATAATGGAGCAATGGAGGAGAGTAACTTGCTGGTTTTTCCTCCAATGTCAATGTAAAATAAAAGAAAATCAAAAGACCATATAATCAGGCCCTAAAAATCCTTTTACAACCATGAAATCAAAATAGCACATCCTCACCCTTCAAAGTGGAAAAAGAAAAGCAAAGGATAACAGTGAATGGACTTCCTGTCATCTTTTCCATGCTTCCAAACTGAAAGCAGATACAGACACACAGTCATGTAATCTGATAGGCAGGTATGTCAGCCTGACTGCAACAGAATCTTAATTTTTATCCAACTACAGGCACTACTAAATATGCCTCTTACTTTAGTTCTCTTAAGCAGAGGGTGGACACTCTAAAAATCTGGACTTACCCCACAGCTAATAGATTTCAAAGTAATCAATCACTAATCATGACTGCATTTAACTAGAAAATGTAGAGTAACTCACCTGTAAATCATATGGCTTTCCAGCCCTCACTAAAAAACTCAGTAATATACTGGTATGTGCAAAATGGACATTCTCATCCAGGAAACCATGTAAGAGCAGTAAACGATTTGGTCTGGAGAAATGGAAATATTAGAGGATTAGGCAAAATAGTAGAGTATTTGGGAAAACCATTTCACTTATTTAATCATACTTAACCATATTAACTTCCTTATACTGTAATGTTAGAATAAGAATTCAGTATTTTCAATATTAAATTTGTAACATATTAACCAGATGCCACATGCAATGAAGGATTAAAAAAAGATCTTGTGTTCAATTTTTTATAATTAAAATATTAGAACACATCTATAATTATAGCATGTCCCTAGAAGAACTATTTGTAAAATATATTCAGGCAGACATAAAATTTTTTCCACCTTGAAAGTCGTGTACTTAACTTTTTTCAGCAAAAACAACTGCTTCAAATATAACTTGTAAAGAAACATTATATGAATTGGCCTGTAATTCAGTTTTAAGAAACAGCCATGCTATTCTAGTATAACATTTGTCTTGGTTTTTCAGTATTTGAATTTTTCATTAGGATTAAAGACAATTTTTTAAAATACAATTGAAAATTTATAATCTTCATTTTAAAGCTTGAATTAGGCTGTGCCCGGTGGCTCATGCCTGTAATCCCAGCACTTTGGGAGTCTGAGGTGGGCAGATAACTTGAGTTCAGGAGTTTGAGACCACCCTAGGCAACATGATAAAACCCTGACTCTACTAAAAATACAAAAAATTAGGCGGGCATGGTGGCACGTGCCTGTAAACCCAGCTACTCGGGGGCTGAGGTGGGAGGATCCTCTGAGCCCAGGAGTTTGACGCTGCAGGGAGCCCTGATCATGCCACTACACTCCAGCCTAAGTGACAGAGTGAGACCCTGTCTCAATTTAAAAAAAAAAAAAAAAAAGCTTGCACTTACTCAGAGGGGAACTTTTCTGCTTGCATGGCCACAGATCCTAAGTAATAGCCCTGTTCATTCTGGTCAGGGTGACCCATATAACGTTCCGTGTATCCTGTATCATAGAAGATCCACAGAGTGACTGGGGCCCCAGCAATAGCAACCTGCATAAGATGACATTGACAGTCAAGTGTGGTCTGGAAAAAGAGAGTGGCTAGCAGTGAGATCTTACAACTGCAAATTTACAGTCTAAAATTATCCTTAAGCTTTAGCCTTACTACTGGCGCATACATGTCTTAGGCAACTCAGAATACGAAGTGAAGCGCTAAGGTCAAGAATTTGATACTCTGTGAGTCAGTTTCATGTTCCATGGGCATTCTACATACCAAACCTTTAACCTGGGCTAGCTGAAATATGAAAGCCAGGCCCGTTATTAAAAGACAACTGAACTATATCCTGCTACTGAGGAAAAAACGTGTGAGAACTGTCAGTTTTATGTAAAAAAGGAGCCACCTTTTTTTTTTAAGCCTCTGTTGGCAGTATAGAATTTAAAACAATAAATGAAATATACTAAAAATTTGCCTGTCCTATACGTAGTTTTATATTTAAATACTCTATTTTCTTGACAGCTACAAACCTGGGAAAATTATGGAAGTGGTCAGAATTTATTTATGGTTATTATAAAGATTATCTAGATATATGTGCAAGAATAAAAACCTTATTGTTTTTGTTCTTAAAAATAAAAATTAATGGTCAGGTGCAATGGCTCACACCTGTAATCCCAGCACTTTGGGAGGCTGAGGCGGGCGGATCACCCAAGGTCAGGAGTCTGAGACCAGCCTGGCAAACATGGTGAAATCTCGTCTCTACTAAAAATACAAAAATTAGCTGGGAATAGTGGTGGGCGCCTTTAATCCCAGTTACTTGGGAGGCTGAAGCACGAGAATCGCTTGAACCTGAGAGGCGGAGGTTGCAGTGAGCCGAGATCGCACACTGCATTCCAGCCTGGGTGACAGCAAGACTCTGTCTCAAAAAAATAAAATAAAATAAAATTTTAAAAAATTACTTTTCACTGTAAAGTAACATCATGTTATTGAAATATTAAAAAAGAAACACTACTCATAATTCCTATTCTCAACAATTGTTATCATCCTTATGTAATTTCTTCTAGTATATTTTTCCAAGAGTTTGTTTACAGAATTGTAAGCATTTATACATTTAATAATTAATTCATTCAACACATTTATTGAGGGCCTACTATATGCCCAGCATTGTGCTTGACTGCTGAAGATACAATGGTGTACAGGGCAAACAGGTCCCTGCCCTCATAGCTTGCAGTCCAACAATTAAGTAATTACGATCCATCAGGTATGTTGTATGTGTTTTACTAATCATAACCATCTCCTACACTCTTTGGCATGTATCTATAAACAGCCAGTAACTGGTTATCCAGTTGACAGATTTAAACATTATACATGTTTAAAAGAAAAATATACACACACACACACACACATACATATATATATATCTACACACATAAAACTTGAAGGCTGGGCGCAGTGGTTCATGCCTGTAATCCCAGCACTTTGGGAGGCCAAGGCAGAGGGATCACTTCAGGTCAGGAGTTCAAGACCAGCCTAGCCAACATGGTGAAACTCCATCTCTACTAAAAGTACAAAAATTAGCTGGAAATCACTTGAACCCAGGAGGTGGAGGCTGCAGTGAGCCAAGATTGCGTCACTGCACTCCAGCCTGGGTGAAGAGCGAGACTCCGTCTCAAAACAAAACAAAACAGAACAACAACAAAAAACAAACTTGAGATATATATACATTTCACATGGCTTTTAAACATACAAACCCTAACATTCTACAATATTGCCAACTCTGGGCCAGGCGCAGTGGCTCATGCCTGTAATCCTAGCACTTTGGGAGGCCAACGCAGGTGGATCTCTTGAGGTCAGGAGTTTGAGACCAGCCTAGCCAATATGGTGAAATCCCATCTCTACTTTAAAAAAAATAAAAATAAAAATTAGCCAGGTGTGGTGGTGGGCACTTGTAATCCCAGCTACTCAGGAGGCTGAGATATGAGAACAGGAGGCTGAGACATGAGAATCACTTGAACCCAGGGGCAGAGATTGCAGTGAGCTGAGATTGCGCCACTGCACTCCAGCCCGGGTTACAGAGCAAGACTTCGTCTCAAAAAAAAAAAAAAAAAAAAATTGCCAACTCTGTAAACCTTCAGAAAATAGACATTTTCATATATCCTCCATTTACAGAAAAATCTACCCTTATTGCAAAAATGAGTATAATAGGAAGTCACATACCCTGAAGATATCTGACCTCTGCATTAATGCCATCAGGGAGAGGTATCCTCCATAGGACCAGCCGTGGATGCCCACACGATCTAAGTCAATGAAATCATATCGAGAAGCTAGATATTGGAGTCCTTCCACCTGATCGTCAATTTCTATTTGACCCTGTCAAAAAAGGGAGAACATTTCACTGATTCTGATGAATAAAAGTCTCGTAAGAGTGCTTTCAAAGATGATAAATGTTTTTACTAAAAATACCTGTAGGTGTTTTAATTTTTATTTTATTTATTTTTTGAGATGGAGTCTCACTCTGTCACCCAGGCTGGAGTGCAATGACGCAGTCTCGGCTCACTGCAACCTCCGCCTGGTGGATTCAAGTGATTCTCCTGCCTCAGCCTCCCAAGTAGCTGGGATCACAGGCATGCGCCACCATGCCCAGCTAATTTTTGTATTTTTTAGTAGAGACGGAGTTTCACTATGGCCAGGCTAGTCTCGAACTCCTGACCTCAAGTGATTCACCCGCCTCGGCCTCCCAAATTGCTGGGATTACAGGCGTGAGCCACCACACCCGGCCCCGTAGGTTTTTTTAGATTAGAGTTTATTACCAACTGAGATTCTGTTGCCCCCTCTCCCTCAAATTTTTTAAAAATCTATTTGGAGATAGGGGCCTATATCTTCTGTTGCTAGCCTGTCCTAGAGTTTAGTTACCACTTAGTCATAAAGCTCCCTCCTACTGCTACTCAAACTGTCCCTTGCTATTTGGGTATTTCCCATTTCCATTTGTTCTGTTGTCTGCTAAGAGGTCAGCATCTTCCTTGTAACAAGCCTTCCTATACCCAAAGACAAAAAATTAGCCCCTTAAGTAATTAATTTTACTTTTCCTTTTTATCTATTTTTTTGGAGACATGGTCTCACTCTGCTGTCCAGGTTGGAGTGCAGTAGTGTGACCAGGGATCACTGTAGCTCAACCTCCCGGGCTCAAGTTATCCTCCCACCTCAAGCCTCCCAAGTAGCTGGGACCACAGGCATGCGCCACCATGCCCAGCTAATTTTTTAACTCATTTGTAGAGGTGGGGTCTCATTATGTTGCCCAGGTTGGTCTTGAACTCCTGGGCTCAAGTGATCCTCCTGCCTTGGCCTCCCAAAGTGCTGGGATTACACGCGTGAGCCACTGCACCTGGCCTACTTCTCCTTTTTAATTTTTAGTGCAGTAAAGCAGAAGGAATTGCTCTTGAGGCCCTGTCTTCTTATTTCCCTATTATACTACCTCTAGGAACTGAACATACTACTTCTTTAAAGTCCTAATTCCTACCACCACCACCTTGTCTATATTACTAGGCCTGCCAGTGCACGCAATCTCACTTCACTGAGCCAAAAACAAAAATAAAAACAAAAAAACTTACATGAGAATACAACATAAGGTCAAAGAACTGGCTGTGGGAGAAAATCCCCATGTCTTACTCAGCATGTCCAATAACACTGGCAAACACAGTAACTGCCTTACTGTGCAAAAGGAACATCGGATTCTCATCATTTCCCAAAGCAGCAGAAAGGACATGGGGCATCTCTAAAAGGTAGCATTTAAAGCTTCCTGTAGAGAGAAAGAGGCTTGTCACAAGGAAGGCACTAACCAGTTGGATTCCCTCTTCACAGAGGACAGAACAAATCTCAATTATTCCTCAACTGTGTACAGGATGCTGAAAGCTAAATGGTGCTAAATTCTACCCAAGTGGACATACAAAACAGAGAGGATATTTCTATGTACAAGTGGCTCTATCTCAGTTCCCCAAAGTTACGTATAAGTAGGGTGTACATCAAGTTGCATCTTCTCTCCCACCCCCAAACTCTAACACATACACTCTCACTCACTCATTCATAGCCCCTTCCCCCAACTCTCTTTCAAGGGTTTCACACCAAACAATGGACCAGAAAATGTAAATGTCTGTAAAAGAAAAGTGTTTTATGCTCACACACCATTTTATATTTAAAGGCGCCTTCAAATTTAAGCCCTCGGTGACAGGATCCCCTGTTGTCTATCACTACAACCACATAACCTAGAGAGGCTAGGGTATTCAAGCGGAAATACTTGACTCCTTTAAACCGATTATTCACCAACTGCACCTGAGGAAGAAACACAACTTCAGTTTATCATATGGAAGCATATAAAAACCCAAGAGCGGCTGGGCATTGCAAGAAATAGAAAGCTTAATTTCACTATTATTTTACCTTTAAAATGTAATTTTTTAAGTCATTTCTTTTTAAATTAACAAGTCTGTTTATTTGCTTCTTGCTTAACTTCACACTCAAGTTCAGGGCAATTACTGAACAACCATAGGCTTTAAAATTCTAACTTAAATATTAATTACATATAAGTGAATCAACCCACCCCATATAAAAAGTTACTAAATTGATTACTTCTACCCTGAAGAACTGTGCTATTCGAATGACAGTTACAAGGACAAATAAGAAAAACTTTCCTCCCCATCAGACATCAGATATGACTGCTGCTTGGCTTCCTCCACTGCCTACCATTACCCTTCAGAATAAGTCTACATGGCCCTTGAGATCTTTGGCTACCTCTGACCTCATCTCATACCATTTCCCTCCAAGTGCACTGTACTCTAACCTTATTGTCAACACTATCAAGTTGGTTCTAGCCCCAGGAACTTGACATTTACCGTTTTCTGTGTCTGGAATGCTTTTCTCTCACATCTTTTGCATGGCTCATTCCTTCTCAATGTTTGTAACCTCAGGAGAGGTCTTGCCATCCCCTTTCCCAGCAAATCTTCATAGAACTTCCATTATAAAAAGTCATACTTTTGGGCTGAGCGTGGTGGTTCACACCTGTAATCCCAGCACTTTGGGAGGCTGAAGCGGGTGGATCACCTGAGGTCAGGAGTTCGAGACCAGCCTGGCCAACATGGCGAAACCCCGTCTCTACCAAAAACAAAAAATTAGCTGGGCATGGTGGGGAGTGCCTGTGATCCCAGTCACTCGGGAGGCAGAGGCATGAGAATTGCTTGAACCCAGAAGGCAGAGAGGTTGCAGTGAGCAAAGATCACACCACTGCACTGCAGCCTGGGCAACACAGTGAGACTCTGTCTCAAAAAACAAACAAAAAAAGTCATACTTTTTTTTTTTAAGAGATGGGGTCTCCAGGCTGGAGTGCAGTGGTACAATCATAGCTCAGTGCTGCCTCAAATTCCTGGGCTCAAGTGATCCTCCTGCCTCAGCCTTCAAGTAGCTGGGACTACAGGTGTGCACCACCATGCCTGGCTAATTTTTAAATTTTTTTGTAGAGATGGGGTCTCACCATCATATCTTTTTATGTTTGCTTATTATTTTCCCTTTATGGTCCATGAAGTGGAATATTAGTCTGACATGTTCACTGGGTATCCTCACTGCCTAGAACAGTACCTAGCACATCACAGGAACTTAATACCTGTTTGCTAAATGAATGAATGAAAAAGAGAAACAGGAGAATAATGTTTTTTTCCCATTTCTACCTTGGGAAGAGGGCGTTTGGTGAGTAAAGGCACTTGTATTTATTTATTTACTTAAGAGATGGTGTCTCACTCTGTACCCCAGGCTGGAGTGTGGTGGTACAATCATAGTTCACTACAGCCTCGAACTCCTGGGCTCAAGTAATCCTCCCACCTCAGCCTCTGAATAGCTGGGATTACATGTGTGTGCCACAGCACCTGGCTAAAGATATTTGTCTTTAAAGGGAGAGTGCTGAAAGAAGAAATACTAGGCAGAGAAGTACACGAATATGAACATTTAAAGAAAATCACCTCACTTCTTTGTCTGCTACCATGTATAGAAGATGGTCTCAATTGCTTGATATGAACACTTAAATATAATGCCTTTTGGCACTGGGAATCCAAAAGTCTCCTTCAGTATCAATTCTTCAAAACCTGTGTCCTGTTATCATCTAGCCTGATCTCTTTGGATTTTTATTTGCAGAACAGTGTCTGGCACATTCTAGGAAACATAAGTATTTGTTACACAAACTTTTTTTGTTTTTTGAAATGTAGTCTTGCTCTGTCACCCAGGCAGGAGTGCAATGGCGTGATCTCGGCCCACTGCAACTTCCGCCTCCCAGGTTCAAGCAATTCTCGTGCCTCAGCCTCCCGAGTAGCTGGGATTATAGGTGTGCACCACAATGCCTGGCTAATTTTTGTAATTTTAATAAGGTCGGGGTTTCACCATGTTAGCCAGGCTGGTCTCAAACTCCTGACCTCAAGTCATCCGCCCACCTCAGCCTCCCAAAGTGCTGGGGTTACAGACATGAGCCACCTTACCCAGCCTTGTTAAATAAATGTTTAGAAACACAGCTGTTAATAATGGAAAGTTTAAGGAACTGATCCTTGATAACTTTAGTGGGAAATATCTGCTGCTTTTCTTGTATTTCACTCTTTCCTGACCTACAGAAATTGCTGCCTTTAGTGACAAAGTAATTCGCTTCATGTTATGAATTGTGACACTGTTGCTGTTTCAACATATTTCCACTTAGACGTGAATACACACCAAGAAAGAACAGTTTTGACCACATGAACATCATACTCTTAAAAGATTTAAACAAATTTTACAATGTTATTATGTGCTATTAAAAGACCTAGTCCTACATTAGAGAGTCACTTCATAATTAACCCAAATGAAGTCATCAAGCAAGAAGATGAATGATCTTCCAAGAGGCTGAAGGGACAGGGGCACTATATCATGTGAAATCTCATGGGAAAATCTCCCTGCAAACTGAACACCAGATTCTTTATTTTTTTTTTAACCTTAAAAAAAAAAAAGGCGGGGGGGGTCTTGCTGTGTTGCCCAGGCTGGTCTCAAACTCCTGGGCTCAACTAATCCTCCCACCTCGGCCTCCCAAAGCGCTGAGATTACAAGCGTGAGCCACCACACCTGGCCAGATTCTTCTGTTTCTTCTCTTTTGACACATGGTCTCACTCTCTTGTCCAGGCTGGAGTGCAATGGCATGATCACAGCTCACTGCAACTTCAAACTCCCTGGCTCAAGCAATCCTCCTATCTCAGCCTCCCAAGTAGCTGGGACCAGAGGTGTTTGCCACCATGCCCAACTAATTTTTTTATTTTTTGTAGAGATGGGGGTCTCCCTATCTGGTCTCGAACTCCTGGGCTAAAGCGATCCTCTTGTTTAAGCCTCCCAAAGTGCTGGGATTACAGGCATGAGCCACCACACCCAGCCCAGATTCTTCTCTGGCCTCACCAAATTTGAATTTTTCCAAAGAATATTCTGAGAAAGAAATCAATAAATCATCCTAAGTCACCTATAGTTTTTCAAAAACCACATGGTGAAATTCACTCATAGCCTTTCAAATATGACTGTTCGGTAAGTGCAAAAAAGCATAGCTGTACTGCATAAAGTATTCTAAACAATTAATTTTTGTTTTGGCCAGGTGCAGTGGCTCACGCCTGTAATCCCAGCACTTTGGGAGGCCGAGGTGGGTAGATCACCTGAGGTCAGGAGTTCGAGACCATCTTGGCCAACATGGTGAAACCCCATCTCTACTAAAAATATAAAAATTAGCCAGGTATGGTGCTGCGCACCTGTAGTCCCAACTACTCAAGAGGCTGAGGCAAAAGAATTGCTTGAACCTGGGAGGTGGAGGTTGCAGTGAGCCGAGATCGTGCCACTGCGCCCCAGCCTAGGCAACACAGCGAGACTCCATCTCAAAAAAAAAAAAATTGTTTTAATTGAATTGGCTAACATTTTTTAAATTATGGTAAAATATATATAAAATTTACCATTTCAACCATTTTAAGCATACAATTCAATGACATTAAATATATTCATGCTGCTGTGTAACCATCACCACTATCCATTTCCAGAACTTTTTCATCACCCAAACAGAAATTCTGTACCCATTAATAACTTCCAGACAGGCATGGTGGGTTACGTCTGTAATACCAGCACTATGGGAGGCTGACGCGGGTGGATCATTTGAGGTCAGGAGTTCGAGACCAGCCTGGCTAACATGGTGAAACCCTGTCTCTACTAAAAATACAAAAAATTAGCCAGGCATGGTGGTGCACGCCTGTAATCCCAGCTACTAGGGACGCTGAAGCAGGAGAATCGCTTGAACCCAGGAGGTGGAGGAGGCAGTGAGCTGAGATCATGCCTCTGCATTATAGCCTGGAAGACAGAGCGAGACTGTCTCAAAAACAAAGAATCAAACAAACAAAGCACTCAAACACTCCCCATCCTCCTTCCATCCAGTCCCTGACAACTTCTATTCTACTTTCTATCCCTATGAATTTGCCTATTATAGGTACCTCATACAGGTGGAATAATATTTGTCCTTTTGTGTCTGGCAATAATTATTTCACTTAGCATAATGCCCTCTAGGTTCATCAGTGTTATACTATATGTCAGAACATCCTCCTTTTTAAGGCTGAATAAAATAATATTCCGTTGTATGTATAGACCACATTTTGTTTATCCATTCATCTGTTGATGGACACGTGCACTGCCTTTTGGCTATTGTGCATAATGCTGCTATGGCTATGGCTGTATAAGTATCTGTTCCTGTCCATATTTTCAATTCTTCTGGGTATATACCAAGAAGTGGAATTTCTGGCTCATATAGTAATTCTATGTTTGACATTTTGAGGAAATGCCATACTGTTTTCCACAGCAGCTATAACATTTTATATTCTCACCAGCAATGAACCAGGCAGGGTTCCAATTCCTCTACATCTTGTACAGCACTTAATATTTTCCTCTTTTTGATAACAGCCAATCCAATGGGTGTGAACTGGTATCTCACAGTGGCTTTGATTTGCATTTCCCTAATGACTAGTCATATTGAGCATCTTTTCATGTGGCTAAGCCTCTTTAAACTTAATTACTCATATAAGGAATCCTTTAAATCTTTTTCTTGAGACAGGATCTTGCTCTGTCACCCAGGCTGGAGTATAGCGGCATGATTATGACTCACTGCAACCTCGAACTCCTGGGCTCAGGGGATCCTCCTGCCTCAGCCTCTTGAGTAGATGGGACTGCAGGCATGAGCCACCACGCCTAGCTAACTTTATTTTTCTGTAGAGACGGGGTCTCACTTTGTTGCTCAGGCTTGTCTCCCAACTCCTAGGCTCAAGTGATCCTCCCTCCCAAATTGCTGAGATTACAGTTATGAGCCACTACACCCAGCCTAATCTTTAAAATCTAGTTTTTAGAATGTCTTTTAACAATCCTATATACTGTATCATTTCTTCACTGGGAGGGGAAAATCTTCTTATTTAGTCTTACCATCAAAATAATTTAACAAATGTATAAAGCTTGAGAGTGTCCTATGATTTTTCTCTTGAGTTGCTTTCTATTAAGCCTTTTTTTTTTTTGAGACAGAGTCTCGCTGTGTTGTCCAGGCCGGAGTGCAGTGGTACGATCTTGGCTCACTGCAACCCTCCAGCACCTGGGTTCAAACGATTCTCCTGCCTTAGCCTCCCAAGTAGCTGGGACTATAGGCACTTGCCACCACTGGCTAATGTTTGTATTTTTAGTAGACACAGGGTTCCACTATGTTGGCCAGGCTGGTCTTGAACCTCTGACCTCATGATCCGCCTGCCTTGGCCTCCCAAAGTGCTGGGATTACAGGCTTGAGCCATCGCGCACAGCCGACCGTTTTTTTTTTTTTAAAGTTTACAAATATTTGACTTCAAGCTTTAACCAGAAGTCTAAAATTTAACTTCCTTTCTTTCTTTTTTGAGACAGGGTCTTACTCTGTTGCCTGGGCTGCAGTGTAGTGGCACAATCTCAGCTCACTGCAACCTCCACCTCCCAGGTTCGAGCAATTCTCCTGCCTCAGTCTCCCTAGTAGCTGGGATTACAGGTGTCTGCCACTGCGCCCGACTAATTTTTGTATTTTTAGTAGAGACAAGGTTTCGCCATGTTGGCCAGGCTGGTCTTGAACTCCTGACCTCAGGTGATCCTGCTGCCTCAGCCTCCCAAAGTGCTGGGATTACAGGCTTGAGCCACAGCGCCCGGCTAACTCTTTCATGACTTGTGTAGATGAAAATACAAATGTCAATCATATTTTGTTTGTAAACACACTTGATGGCAAAGTGATTTAGAGATTTTATGGTTTATGTAGTTATTTTACTTTTTTTGTGTACAATTTGGTATGTAGATACATTTCCAGATACTAAATAACTGGGTATAATTATTAAAGGGTATTACTGAATCTAAGGATTGCATTATGAAAAGACTGTAATTATATTTTAATTTCTTCCAAGGCTCAGTGTAGGATATATAATCAAGAATAAACAATTTTAAAATTTAGCAATTAACCAATACACCCATCCAAAATATATATATTTTGGACAGAGTCTCGCTCTGTCACCAGGCTGGAGTACAGTGGCACTATCTCGGCTCACCGCAACCTCTGACTCCCTGGTTCAAGCGATTCTCCTGCCTCAGCCTCCCAAGTAGCTGGGATTTTAGGCACGCACTACCACGCCCAGCTAATTTTTATATTTTTAGTAGCGATAGGGTTTCATCATTGTTGGCCAGGATGGTCTCGATCTCCTGACCTTGTGATCTGCCCACCTCGGCCTCCCAAAGTGCTGGGATTACAGGCGTGAGCCACTGCGCCTGGCCAAAATATTTCACTCCAATAGTCAAAGCATTTACTTAACAGTCATTGGCTAATACTTAATCCAGAATAAGGAAAATCAAGGTATAAACTTCTTACAGTGCTAAATAGTAGTATAGCAGTTGCCTTAACTAGCTGATAAAAATATTTTAATTTGCTTGAGAGACACAGCTTTAGAATGAAGAGGGAGAATTCACTAGGCTACCAAAGCTTTCTAAAAATATCTGTTAAGACTCTTTTGATTTACCAAGACATTTAATTATTTCATTTTATTTCCCAAACAAGTTTCTCTACATAGAAAGCAACATATTTACCTACTGACATGAACACCGCACTCCTCACAGAACTATAGTCCACACTGCAAATTAAGGAACTGCCTTAGTGGCAGGGCACGGTGGCTCACGCCTGTAATCCCAACACTTTGGGAGCCTGAGGCGGGTGGGTCACTTGAGGTCAGGAGTTGGAGACCAGCCTGACCAACATGGTGAAATCCCATGTCTACTAAAAATATTTTAAAAATTAGCTGGGCATGGTGATGTATGCCTGTAATCCCAGCTACTTGGGAGGCTGAGGCAGAAGAATCACTTGAACCTGGGAGGCGGAGGTTGCAGTGAGCCGACATTGCGCCATTGTACTTCAGCCTGGGCAACAAGAGCAAAACTCCATCTCAAAAAAAAAAAAAAGACTCAGTGATTTACAAATTAAACCTCCAACAAAAACCAGTTTCCTGACCCCCTAAACTGAATAATTGGAATATAAGACGGAGTCATTAAAAGCAAATGCCCAACAATGCTCAAAATCTTAAACTGACTAGACATTTAAAAAACAAAAGATCTAAAATACATATGCATATGGGTGTATGTATATATGTATATAAATATGCCCACCTGAGGACCACCATATATGAACAGCACAGTAGGATATTTCTTTCCAGGCTGTAGATCATGAGGCTTGTAGAGCATCCCATACAATGTAAATCCAGTAGTACTTTCAAAAGAGAAAATTTCTGGAGGAGTATAGTCAGGAAGAGGACCTGTGAATAGGTAACATAACAGAGTCTACAAAAGAGTTCTTATGGGAGTGCTACAATCTGGGAACAAGAAACAAGATATTAAAAGTCAGCCCCGCCAACACAAACTGACCACCCCTCTTTCAGATGATAAGCTAGAATTTAAGCAAGAGTATATTCATCTTTAAAAACAAAACTAGGCCGGGCGCAGTGGCTCATGCCTGTAATCCCAGCACTTTGGGAGGCCGAGGCAGGTGGATCACAAGGTCAGGAGTTTGAGACCATCCTGGCTAACACGGTGAAACCCCGCCTCTACTAAAAATACAAAAAATTAGCTGGGCATGGTGGCAGGCGCCTGTAGCCCCAGCTACTCGGGAGGCTGAGGCAGGAGAAGGGTGTGAACCCGGGAGGTGGAGCTTGCAGTGAGCTGAGATCACGCCACTGCACTCCAGCCTGGGTGACAGAGCGAGACTCCATCTCAAAAAAATAAATAAATAATTTAAAAAAAACAAAACTAGGCCAGGCACGGTGGCTCACACCTACAATCCTAGCATTTTGGGAGGCTGAGGTGGGTGGATTGCTTGAGCCCAAGAGTTTGTGACCAGCCTGGGTGGCATGGCAAAACCCTGTCTCTACAAAAAAATACAAAAATTACCCAGGCATGGAGGTGTGCTCCTGTAGTCCCAGCTACTCAGGAGGCTGAGGCAGGAAGATTGACTGAGCCCAGGAGGTTGAGGCTACATTGAGCTGTGCCCTGTGACTGCGCCACTGCACTCCAGCCTGAGCGACAGAACAAGACACTGTCTCGACAACAACAAAAACCCACCAAATAAAGAACAACAACAAAACAAACATATCAAATTATTTCAGAAGCAGACACAGAGTGTTACCAATAATCCTTGGAGCCTAGGAAATGTCTATGTGCAGAACTATACAGATACTTTATGCTCAATATAACTTATTGTTGATTAAACCATATATCTGGTTAGAAACAGATAAAGCTGGGTGGGGGGGTGAGGTAAATTATTAGTCAATTTAATTTTTCAGGGTAGGTGACCAAAAACATTTGCTTCTGATCATTAGAAAATAAGCCTAACCAGAACTCAGAAAAAAGTCATCATTAGCTTTTGGTTCACCAAAGCTATACAGACCTCTCCTAAGTGTTTGTGTACAGCAGATAATTTACAGTCTAAGCAGAGATCATCACCATATTACAAGTTCTGATTCTGCTTGTGGACATTAAAACACACTTATATTTTTTGGTTCTGTACTAATTTGTTTTTTCTTTTTTTTTTTTTTTTTTGAGACAGAGTTTCACTCTGTTGCCCAGGCTGGAGTGCAGTGGTGTGATCTTGGCTTACTGCAACCTCCATCTCCCAGGTTCAAGTGATTCTCCTGCCTCAGCCTCCTGAGTAGCTGGGAGTACAGGTGCCCACCACCACGTCTGGCTAGTTTTTGTATTTTTAGTAGATGTGGGGTTTCACCATGTTGGCCAGGCTGCTCTTGAACTCCTGATCTCAAATGATCCAACCACCTCAGCCTCCCAAAGTGCTGGGATTACAGGCATGAGCCACTACGCCTGGCCTAATTTCTTAACCCCTTAGCAGAAATAGCTAGTTAGTGAAAATACTAGAAAAAAAGATTGGAGATTAAAGTGAATTAGATGATACATAAAACCAGTCCATTCTTTTTTTTTTTTTTTTGACTCCGTCGCCCAGGCTGGAGAGCAGTGGCACAATCTTGGCTCACTGCAACCTCCGCCTCCTGGGTTCAAGCGATTCTCCTGCCTCAGCCTCCTGAGTAGCTGGGACTACAGGCGTGTACCACCACACCCGGCTAATTTTTTGTATTTTTTAATAGAGACAGGGTTTCACCGTGTTAGCCAGGATGGTCTCGATCTCCTGACCTTGTCATCCACCTACCTCGGCCTCCCAAAGTGCTGGGATTACACGTGTGAGCCACCACGCCCAGCCCAGTCCATTATTTATGTTTAAGAAATCAAATATTTTAAACAAATAATTCAGTTTTTCTCTCATTCCAGAGAGAGCAAGTGTTCTTTTATTAAAATAGCTATTACAAGTGCTTCAAAAGTTTAAGAAAGCTATCAGCTGGTTATTCTCCAAAGTTGCAGCTTCCTTGCTCAAAGAGTCTTACTAGTTCAGAATACTATTCTCCTCAAGTTCATTTGTTTACCTGAGAAATCATCAAAATTTGTGAATAAATTGTTTCCTAGCTGACACCTTGACTATTTTAATCTTATTTTCTTTATTTGTTGAGACAAGGTCTTGCTTTGTCACCCAGGCTGCAGTTCAGTGGTGTGATCTTAGTTCATTGCAACCTCCGCCTCCCAGCTTCAAGTGATTCTCATGCCTCAGCCTCCTGAGTAGCTGGGACAACAGGCACACAGCACCACGCCCAGCTAATATTTGTATTTTTAGTGGAGACGGGGTTTTACTAATTGGCCAGGCTGGTCCCGAACTCCTGACCTCAAGTGATCCACCCGCCTTGGTCTCCCAAAGTGTAGGGATTACAGGTGTGAGCCACTGCACCTGGCCTTAACCTTATTTTCAAAAAGGCCTTCCAGACTTGCTGCTGCTTGGAGTGAGAAGTAACCCATCTTATTCAGTAGCTAACAGAATAGGAGAAGAGGGATCTATCAGGAGCTCAGCAGCTCAGGGACAGGCAGTGGTGAGAGATGGAAAGACTTGTCCAGGAAATGTGAAAATATGACACACGTTTAGTGTACTAATATATTAATCCTACTTAACGTCAGGATCAGGGGGAAAAAAGAATACCTGCTGAATCCAAAATGGTGGCCCAAAATTCCTTTGTTTTGCAAGTTGGGTCATCTTCAGGACTTGATAGCTTGTAAAGGGACACACAGTGTGGATTCTTCTGGTTACTATACTTACTTATAAAGAAGTCACAGTGCTAGAGAAAGGAGAAACAATTATATTTTTCGTCAGGAAGGTAGAAAAGGTTATCTGCTGTTACATCTGCACTAATGATATAGCAAGAGTATTATAAGAGACTATTTATGTACATATACAATGTTGAAATTAAGCTTTTTAAAGCTTTTCCTTAGAGAATTAGGCTTTTGCAGGCCAATTTCACATCATTCAAAAGGAGTATTACATAAGCAGAGAGTTTTAATATGACACAAAACCCTTTTTAAACAAACTTAATACCTGACTGATGCAGCAAGAATGTGAGTAGCCACGGTCAGTCAGCCTTGTCACCTCTCCAGGATTTACGTAACTGACTACGTACAGGTGATGCTCTAAAGGGGAGTCTTTGGTGCCTTCAAAATATACCAGCCTTCTGACTTCATCAACTTGGATCTGACAAGATAACAACAATAACAAAATCAGGGCTAACATGACCTTGGCAAAGCTAACCCCCAATTTTATTTACAATCACTTGAGCCACTCCTTGACTTATGCCTTCTTTTTTCTTTTTTTTGCTGCCACTATTAATAAACCTGAGTTAATTTTGCTTATTTATTTATTTTTTAAAGAGTTGAGGTCTCACCTCTGCTACCCAAGCTGTAATGCAATGATGCGATCATGGCTCACTGCAGCTTCAAAATCCAAGGCTGAAGCTATACTCTCACCCCAGCCTCCTGAGTAGCTACAAGCATACACCACCATGCCCAGCTAAGTTTCTAAATGTTTTTAAGGAGATGAGGCCTCACTATGTTGCCCAAGCTGGTCTTAAACCCATAGCTTCAAGCAATCCTCCTGCCTCAGCCTCCCGAAGTATTGGGATTACAAACATGAGCCACCATGCCTGGCTGTTTATGACTTATAGCTAAGAACAGGTCCTGCCCTGAAGGAAAAAGGACACCTGAGTTACACACTGTATAGTTTCCCATCTGGTCAGAATGTGTGTTTTTCTTAAAATACAAGAATTATTTCCTTAAAATAACAACTCTTTACAGGGGAAAAAATACTCTGCTATATTGCAGCTTAGGGCAATCATTCATACATACTTGAAAGTCTAATTTTACTATCTTGTATATTTATTAGTTAGTGTTATATTATCTTAGGCAGTACTTTTTTGGTCTTTTGTACAAATTTGCAAACGTGTTTTATCTATTGGGTTGTGGAATAACGGAACTAAATCAGTTTCAATACTGGTATAGTTTACAAATAAACATGGATAAGATCTTTTAAGTCTTCATTCAGAACTCAAAAAAACCGCAAGTAAATTCAATAGCTGAATTCACTTAATATTCTTCTCAAATTACAGCACGATTTCAAATAAATGGCTTTCTTTTATTGTTCCTATAAATCTTCTACCAGCCAACTCAAACAATGTTTAAGAAAATGGCCAGATGTAGTGACTCACATCTGTAATCCCAGTGTTTTGGGAGGCCGAAGTGAGAGGATCGTTTGAGCTTAGGAGTTTGAGACCAGTCTGGGCAAAATAGGGAGACCCCATTTCTACAAAAAATGAAAAAATTAGCTGGGCATGGTGATGCATCCCTGTAGTCCCAGCTACTTGGAAGGCTGAAGTAGAAGGATCACTTGAGCCCAGAATTTGAAGCTGCAGTGAGCCATGATCATGCCAATGCATTCCAGCCTGGGCAACAGAGCAAGACCCTTATCTCAAAAAAAAAAAAAAATTCAAATTTTTTACACAGCAATGAAAACACATATAAATTTCTAAAAGCAAGTTATTTTTAAATGCCTTTTTTCCCCCCAGGAAGCTGCCTCTTCATCACTAAACATTTTTTTAGCATGCATAAATAGAAATCAACACAGTTGGGATTAAGTAGGCCCACATGACACATACAGAAAGCATACAAATGATAGGAAACAAATATTCATGAAACTTTACAAGTACGTGTTAATCTTTGCAAAAGATCAGGACTCATTCCGTTTTGACCTAGCGGATGGGAGTCAGGCCTTTCAAGACTAAAAAAATAACCAGTCAATTCCTCACCACCATCTACAATGGTTTTCTTCTTTCCTGTAACTACTTAACATCCAAGGAAGTATCATAATTGTGTGGGGGGCTTGTTAAACAGATTACTAAGCCCCACCACCAGAGTTTGATTCAGGATGTCAGAGGTGGGCCTAAGAATGTGCATTTCTTTTTGCTTTTTGAGACCGAGTTTCGCTCTCGTTGCCCAGGCTGGAGTGCAGTGGCGCGATCTCGGCTCACTGCAACCTCCGTCTCCCAGGTTCAAGCGATTCTCCTGCCTCAGCCTCCTGAGTAGCTGGGATTACAGGCATGTACCACCACGCCTGGCTAATTTTGTATTTTGAGTAGAGACGGGGTTTCACCATGTTGGCCAGGCTGGTCTCGAACTCCTGACCTCAGATGATCCGCCTGCCTCGGCCTCCCAAAGTGCTGGGATTACAGGCATGAGCCACTGCGCCCAGCCAAGAATGTACACTTCTAACAAGTTCCCAGGTGATGCTGACACTTTGCTGTTGGTCCAGCACTTTGAGAACCACCCTTAACAATAAAAAGCTCATAGGCAGCTGGGCGCAGTGGTCCAGGCCTGTAATCCCAAAACTTTGGGAGGTGGAGGCGGCAGGTCACTTGAGGTCAAGAGTTTGAGACCAGCCTGGTCTCACGGTGAAACCCCATCTCTACTAAAAACACAAAAATTAGCTGGGCATGGTGGCATGCACCTGTAATCCCAGCTACTCAGGAGGCTGAGACAGGAGAATCGCTTGAACCTGGGAGGCAGAAGTTGCAGTGAGCCAAGATCATGCCATTGCACTCTAGCCTGGGCAACAAAAGCAAAACTCCGTCTCAAAAAAAAAAAAAAAAAAAAAAAATTACAAAAATTAGCCAAGTGTGGTAGTGGATGCCCATAATCCCAGCTACTCGGGAGGCTGAGGCATAAGAATCCCTTGAACTCAGGAGGCAGAGGTTGCAGTGGGCCGAGATCGTACCACTGCACTCCAGCCTGGGTGACAGAGCGAGACTCCATCTCAAAAAAGAAAAAGAAGCTCATAGGCTTAAAAGTCTTAAAGCTTTACCCAATTACTGCCATTAGAAATCTTTGGGTAGATGGCCAGGTGTGGTGGCTCACACCTGTAATCCCAGCACTTTGGGAGGCCAAAGCAAGAGGATTGCCTGACGTCAGGAGTTCGAGACCAGCTTGGCCAACATGGCAAAACCCCATCTCTGTTAAAAACACAAAAATTAGCTGGGCATGGTGATGGGCACCTGTAATACCAGCGACTCGAGACTTAAGCAGGAGAATCACTTGAACCTAGGAGGCGGAGGTTGCAATGAGCTGAGATCGCACTACTGCACTCCAGCCTGTGCAACAGAGTGAGACTCTTGTCTCAAAAAAAAAAAAAAAAAAAAAAAAAGAAAGAAAAAAGAAAACAACTTTGGGTGGGAACAGTCACTTGTAAAAGTAGAGAAGGAAAAAGGTAACTTAAGTCAAAAAACAAATCAAGAATAGAGGGAAAGGGCTGGGCATGGTGGCTCACGCCTGTAATCCCAGTACTTTGGGAGGCTGAGGTGGGCAGATCACGTGAGGTCAGGAGTTCTAGACCAGCCTGGCCAACATGGTGAAACCCCGTCTCTACTAAAAATACAAAAATTAGCCAGGCTTGGTGGCAGGTGCCTGTAATCCCAGCTAGTCAGGGGGCTGAGGCAGGAGAATTGCTTGAACCTGGGAGGCAGAGGTTACAGTGAGCCAACATCGCACCATTGCATTCTAGCCTAGGGGACAAGAATGAGACTTGTCTCAAAAAAAAAAAAAAAAAAGAATAGAGGAAAAGGCCAGGTGTGGTGGCTCACGCCTGAAATCCTAGCACTCTGGGAGGCCAAAGTGGGCAGATCACCTGAGGTCACGGGTTCAAGACCCTCCTGGCCAACATGGCAAAACCCTGTCTCTACTAAAAATACAAAAATTAGCTGGGCATGGTGGTGTATGCCTGTAATCCCAGCTACTTGGGAGGCTGAAACAGGAGAACTGCTTGAACCCAGGAGGCGGAAGTTGCAGTAAGCTGAGATCATGCCACTGTACTCCAACCTGGGTGACAGAGTGAGACTCTTATCTCAAAAAAAAAAAAAAAGAGGGAAAATAGAGAAGAGGGAAAGACAGACTAACGTATCACAAGTAAACATGACATGAAAGAAAACTGATAAACGTAGTGGCAAGTAGTAGATGTTTAGGTGACTCAAATAAGGATCAGATGTATGCAATTACAATTATTGGGGTTCCCTCAGCATTATGTAATGACTCATCCTTCAATCATCACATAGCACGAAATTTACATCAGTGTAGTTTTCTGTTTTCAGAACCTAGAATTCCACAATAAGATTTTTTTCTCAGGTGACAGTAATATCCAAGGTACTTCAACAGAAAAAAATATTTGGAAACAAAAATAAAACAGAAAAAAATTATTTGGATATATAACAAGAAGGCCACTTGAGGATCTCAGTGGAAATGAGACCTTAAAGGTCAGTCTTGATACCCTGAAGTTTTTGTTGTTGCTGTTGTTTTGAGGCGGGTATCATTCTGACACCCAGGCTATAGCATAGCATTGTGATCACAGCTCAATGCAGCCTCAACCTCCCGGGCTAAAGCGATCCTCCCACCTCAGCCTCCTTAGTTACTGGGACTATAGGCATGCACCACCATAACCAGCCTATTTTTTTTTTTTTTTTTTGGTAGAGATGGAGTCTCCCTATGTTACCCAGGCTGACCTCAAACTCCTGGGCTAAAGCAATCCTCTTGTCTTGGCCTCCCAAAGTGCTGCAATTACAGGTATGCCCCACCACACCTGCCTAATTTAAAATTTTTTTTGCAGAGACGGAGTCTCACTATGTTGTCCAGGCTGGTATCTAATTCCTGGGCACAAGTGATCCCTCGACACTGGCCTCCCAAAGTGTTGGGACTACAAGTTTGAGCTACCATGCCCAGCAGATACTCTAAAGTTTTTACTAACAAAAACAAACCTGGGATCTGGATCTTCATTATGTCTCCTTAATCACTTTAGAGACTACAAGTGATTTTTACAGTAGCCAGTAAACATAATCCTTCAATAAATCTTCCTGTCAATTTGAGGAAACCACATTTAGTTAGGCCTTCACTAAATCCTGGCAGCATACCTCAACTATATGTGTCACACACATACAGGATGGAGTTCCTAGAGATCTCATGAATGTGATCATCCAAGTGACAGCTGAAACAAATGCAAGGTACTTCAAAAACGCAATTTTTTTTTCTTTAAAGAATTCACTGAATTGGTACTGAGAATAAAACACAGGGTAGACTTCCTTCCTTTTCCCTATCAATCTAAGCTCTGTATAAATGCCCATCACTCTTTGCAGGTGGTGGATTAAAGTTTAAATTTGTGGGGCAAGATAAACACATGAATGAAAGACAAGTACTACTTCAGAAGAAGTAAATGCAATTTATTTATTTATTTATTTATTGGTTTTTTTTGAGCCAGAGTATCACTGTTTCAGCCAGGCTGTAGTGCAGTGATGTGATCATAATTCATTTGCAGCCTAGACTTCCTGCACTCAAGCGATTCTCCTGCCTCAGCCTTCCAACTAGCTGGGACTACAGGTGCGCATCACCATGCCCAGCTAATTTTTTTATTTTTTATTTTTGGCAGAGACAGGGTCTTATATGTTGCCCAAACTGTTACTGAACTCTTGGCCTCAAGCGATTCTCCAGCCTTCATCTCCCAAAGGGCTGGATTACAGATGTGAGCCACTGTGCCCAGCCAGTAAACGCAATTTATAATGTAGACACAAGTAGTCTATAATAGATTTTTAAGTTACTTTTCAAACCATATGCTAACTTACAACTTTTGCTAGGCTCTAAAACTATGAATATGCCCCTTTCTCATCAAGGAGCAATAATACATTTTAAAATGGTGGGCTTGGCCAGGCGTGGTGGTTCACACCTGTAACCTCAGCACTTCAGGAGGCCGAGACAGGTGGATTGCTTTAGCTCAGGAGTTTGAGACCAGCCTGGGCAACATGGCGGAATCCCGTCTACAAAAAATACAAAAATTAGCTGGGTGTGGTGGTGTGTGCCTGTAGTCTCAGCTACCTGGGAGGCTGAGGTGGGAGGAAGGCTTGAGCCCAGGAGGCAGAGGTTGTAGTGAGCCAAGATTGTGCCACTGCAATCCAGCCTAGGCGACAAAGTCAGACCCTGTCTCAAAAAAGAAAAGCAAATGGTGAGCAGGACGCAGTGGCTCACACCTGGGAGGTGGCAAGGTGGGAGGATCCTTCAAGCCTAGGAATTCAAGACCAGCATGGCCAACATGACGAAACCCTCTCTCCTAAAAATACAAAAATTAGCCGGGCATGGTGGTGTGTGCCTGTAATCCCAGCTACTCGGGAGGCTGAAGCAGGAGAATTGCTTGAACCCAGGAGGTGGAAGTTTCAGTAAGCCAAGATCATGCCACTGCACTCCAACCTGGGCGACAGAGTGAGACTCCATCTCCAAAAAAAAAAAAAAAGAAGAATAGAGGGAAAATAGAGAAGACAGACAGACTAACCTATCACAAGTAAACATGACATGAAAGAAAACTGATAAATGTAGGGGCAAGTAGTAGATAGTTAGGTGTAGTAGGTGTTTAGGTTTGAGACCAGCCCAGACAATATATATGAGACCCTGTCTCTACCAAAAATTTAAAAATTAGCTTGTCGTGGTGGCGTACACCTGTAGTCCCAGCTACTCCAGAGGCTGAAGTGGGAGGATCGTCTGAGCCTGGGAGGTTGAGACTGCAGTGAGCCATGACTGTGCCCTGCACTACAGCCAGGGTGACAGAGCAAGACATTGTCTCACAAAAAAGAAAAGAAAATAACCTTTGGTAATCAGAACACATCTATAAAAGGGCTATAAAATAAATGAGATTTATCATTTAAACTAAGATTATTTCTTTCCAACAACTTGAGTAATTTTAGGCCGTAACTTAATATTTTAAAAATACTGGGGTCGGCTGGGCGCAGTGGCTCACGCCTGTAATCCCAACACTTTGGGAGGCTGAGGAGGGCGAATCACAAGGTCAGGAGTTTGAGACCAGCCTGGCCAACATGGTGAAACCCCGTGTCTACTAAAGATACAAAAAAATTAGCCGGGCGTGGTGGCACATGCCTGTAATCCCAGCTACTTGGGAGGCAGAGGCAGGAGAACTGCTTGAACCCGGGAGGTGGAAGTTGTAGTGAGCCGAGATCACCCCATTGCACTCCAGCCCTAGGCGACAGAGCAAGACTCTGTCTCGGAAAAAAAAATACCGGGGTCATATTAAATTACATTACTCATTTTTAGCACTGCATTCACACAGTAATACTGACCAAACATATCAGTAGAATAAAATAACATACATTAGATCCATGCCGGCCAAGAACTTCCCATTCACCACTGGTAATTGCTATCTCCTCTTTGATAGGACACTTGAAATCACCTGAAGATAAATATAATTATAATTCAGTACATTATACCAGACTATAAGCAAATGAAACAATTAAGAACAGTACTCTAAGCTCTTTTTTCCAAAAAGTTATGTTTGGGGTAATAAAAATGTTTTGGAACTAGACAGAGATGATGGTTGCACAGCATTGTGAATGTACTAAATGCCACTGCATTGTTTGTTTATTTTTATTTTTCATTTTTTTGTAGACAGTCTCGCTCTGTTGCTGAGGCTGGAGTGCAGCGGCATGATCACAGCTCACTGCAGCCTTGACCACTTAGGCTCAAGCTTTCCTCCCACCTCAGCCTCCTGAGTAGCTAGAACTAGACACCACTAAACCCAGCAAATTATTATTTTGGTAGCAATGAGGTCTCACTATATTGCCCACGCTGGTCTTGAACTGCTGGCCTAAAGCCCCCTGGCCTTGGCCTCTCAAAGTGCTGGGATTACAGGCATGGGCCTGAATTGTTTATTTTTAAATGGTTAACTTAACGTTTTATGAATTTCACTTCAATAAAAAAAGTCTACAGTTAAAAAAAATCCAAGTTATGAGTCTTTACAATACTCTGGAATAATAATGGAATGATCTATTTAGGTAATGCAAAAACAGCAAAAGAGATTTTTTGGCAAAGCCAGAGGAAAACTCAAAAGCACCTGCATTCTTGAACCTTTGGTTAGACAAAGAAGTCTAATGGATTGACAAAGCATTTCTTTTCGTTGTTTTTTTTTCATAACTTGTTTCTGTTGATTTCTCTTTTTCTTTTTGTAAAACTTTCCCAAGACATTTTCAGATTTAAAAATAAATAAAGTCAGTGTTAAAGGTGTTGGTCAGCCTTCTTACTTGTACCCTTCTACCTCTGACACTGGGGTAAAGGAGGAAGTCCAGGGCAATGCAGTGATATTTCTGCCAGGATACTCCCCCTCCCCTAAACTCAGTAGTTAGTTGAGAGTATGACATTTACAGAGAGAGGCTAGAGAGACCCAAATACCTCTATTCCACCCCAGTGGTAGGTGGAAGTTGGGTCAGCTGCTGCCCCGAGCCAGCTTTATCTTCTGAGTGTGGGCTTTGGAGGAACAGGAGAACTGGCTCTTGGCCACTGTGAGGGGTACAGCTTTGCCACTCAAATATACCTTATTATGGCATTCAGGGAGCCAGGGTCCAGAGCTGCAGGGCTGGGGTCCCTGTCTCACTCCCACATAGGCCATCACATGACCTGCCATAAAGGCATTAAAACCAGCCCGGTGCAATCCATCCCCAGGCACTGAATTAGGACTGGCTTGACTCCCTGGCACTTCTGAGGTAGCCATATCAGCTATTTCAACAAGGCATTTCTTCTAGAAATGCAACAAACTACTTTAAAACTCACAAAAGAAAATGTTTAATACAATTGTTCTTCATTTGCCAAAAAATAACCCAGGTAAGTGTTTACCATAGCAAATGTCAACATGCCCCATTTGTTTTGTTTTTGTTTTTTTCCTGTTCTGCTCTGTCGCCCAGGCTACAGTGCAGCGGCACCATCACAGCTCACTGCAGCCTTTACCTCCCCAGACTCAGGTGATCCTCCCACCTCAGCCTCCCAAGTAGCTGGGACTACAGGCTCATGCCACCACACTTGGTTAATTTTTTTTTGTCTTTTTTGTAGAGATGGGGTTTTGCCATGTTGCCTAGGCTAGTCTCAACTCCTGGACTCAAACAATCTGCCTGCCTCAGCCTCCCAAAGTGTTGGGATTACAGGCGTGGGCCACCTCACCCAGCACCCATTTGTTTTTATGAGCTTCTGTCTTGATGAGGCTCTCTCAGCGGCCTAAGGAACAGCTTAAAAAGTGAAAATCATTTCTCTTTTCCTCACTGCTTATATCTATTGCTGTGGGGAGTGACAGCTGATGACAGGCCTAGGTGGTGAGGCTGTATTAGTGTCTTTCCTAGGGTTCCACGTAAGTTTAAAAAAATATTTTAAACTCGAAGAGCACAAAAAAATTAAAAAATCAATTTAGTACTTTAAATACTATAGACAGAAATTAAAATAAAATTTAATTTTTTTAAAACATAAAATTATATGTTAACATATAGATAACAAATACTAACTGTTTTACATTACAGCTCTTAAGAAAGCAAAGAGGAGGGAGAAGGAAATGAAGTAGATATGAAGGTAAAGGAGGATGACTTGGAGCAAGAAAGACTAAGAGGGCTATTATTAAAAAAGCAGAATATAACAACTATCATCCGAACGTAGACAAATTAAAACCCTGTGCACTGTTAGTGGGAATGTAAAATGGGGTAGCAGTAGCCACTACCGTTGGTGTTCCAATGGTGTAGCTCCTATGGAAAACAGTATGGTAGCCCCTCAAAAAACTGAAAATAGAATTACCATATGATCCAGAAATTCCACTTTTGAGTACATACCCAAAAGAATTGAAAGCAGGGACAGGAACAGATACTTGTACACCCACGTCCACAGCAGCATTATTCACAATAGCCAAAAGGTGGAACCAATCCCAGTGCCCATCAACAGATGAACAGATAAACAAAATGTGGTATATACATACAACGAAACCTTACTCAGCCCTAAAAAGGAAAGGAATCCTGACATGCACTACAAAATGGATGAAACTTGAGGACATTATGCTACGTAAACAAGCCAGTCAAAAAAGGACAAAAACTGTATGACTCCACTAAATAAGACATCTAGAGTAGTTACATTCACAGAGACAAAGTGGCTGCCAGAGATTGGGGGAAGGGGGTAATAGAAAGTGACTATTTAATGGATAGTTTCAGTTTTGGAAGATGAAAAAAATTCTGGAGACAGATGGTGGTGATGATTGCACAACAACATGAACATAATCAGCCGGGTGAGATGGCTCACGCTTGTAATCCCAGCATTTTGGGAGGCCAAGGCTGGTGAATCACATGAGGTCAGGAGTTCGAGACCAGCCCGGCCAAAATACAAAAATTAGCTGGGTATGGTGGTGCATGCCTATAATTCCAGCTACTCAGGAGGCTGAGGTAGGAGAATTGCTTGAACCCGGGAGGCGGAGGTTGCAGTGAGCCGAGATAGCACCACTGCATTCCAGCCTGGGTGACAAGAGCGAGACTCCGTCTCAAAAAAATAAATGAATTAATTAATTTAAAAAATGTATATATATATAAAAACATACTCAATGTCACTAAACTATACCCTTAAAAGTGGAAAAAATGGTCACAATGTTAAATCTTGTTATGTATACTTTTCCACAATTTTTTTTTTTTTTTTTTGAGACAGAGTCTCCTGCTGTTGCCCACACTGGAGTGCAGTGGCGCGATCTCGGCTCACTGCAAGCTCTGCCTCCCGGGTTCACGCCACTCTCCTGCCTCAGACTCCTGAGTAGCTGGGACTACAGGCGCCCACCACCACGCCCGGCTAATTTTTTTTTGTATTTTTAGTAGAGAGGGGGTTTCACTGTGTTAGCCAGGATGGTCTCAATCTCATGACCTTATGATCCGCCTGCCTCGGCCTCCCAAAGTGCTGGGATTACAGGCGTGAGCCACCGTGCCGGGCCTTTTTCCACAATTATTAAAAAGGACCATGCCAAATCTGTTAAGTTACAAATGGCAGTTAAGCATACAACATAACTTATCATAAAGTGCTTCCTATTCTAAAACAAACTATATTATTAAAGTTGAGAACTGTAACTCGGTTTTAGGAAAACCCAGGAAAAGTGTTCTATGTACCCATTTACTTTTCCTAGGCTTATGCATCCATTCCGTATTATATTTTCCAGAAGGAAAACCACCACTTAAGGAAAACCACTTTTTAAAGAAAAATTAACTTCAGCTGATATAACATTTAATTTTACTTTGGGCAACATAATTATATCAATCCAAAGACCTATAACTATAAATTAACTCCAGTGTAGATGCAGATAGTATAAGAAACATCTAGTGTGTAAAAATATCTAATAATTACATAACATTTAAAAAAAATAGTGTTGTCTTTTTTTCTGTTGAGACAGAGTTTTGCTCTGTTGCCAGACTGGAGTGTGGTGGCGTGATCTTGGCTCACTGCAATCTCCGCCTCCTGGGTTCAAGTGATTTTCCTGCCTCAGCTTCCCGAGTAAGCTAAGACTACAGGTGCACACCACCACGCCCGGATCATTTTTGTATTTTTAGTAGAGATGGTGTTTCACCATGTTGGCCAGGCTGGTCTCAAACTCCTGACCTCAGGTGATCCGCCTGCCTTGGCCTCCCAAAGTGCTGGGATTATAGGTGTGAGCCACTGCACCCAGCCAAAAATAGTTTTTTTTAAATGGGCTCACTTTAAACAAATTAAAAATTGCAGTCAAGGCAAAAGTAAAAAGTAAAAATCAGTAATCCTGTTATTTAAGAGATTATTCACTATTAATACTTTATAATACGTGTCAATCCATTAAGAACATTGTCCTGTGTTTTTTACACATACATGTATTTATGTTTTAGTTTAACTTACATATTAAGTTTAACAAAGCAAGTATTGATGCTTATAAAGCATGCAAAAGATACATTCCCCTGTCCCTCCCACCTTCTGCTTCCAACATTTTTTCTTTTTTTAAAATAAAATGGATTTCTTACTTGGAGCAGGCAGCCCACCACTGGATCGTTTATATTTGCTTTCCTTTAAAATAGATGTAATTTTGTATAAATGACGGAAACCTGTTTTGCATTCAGAGGCAAAAATAAACTCAATTTCCTCTTCGTGACTTTGGGGAAAAACATGAAAGATGTCATGGATCTGTAAAATGAATAGCTAAATTTACTATACATATTATGAAAATACTACATAATTCAATTAGGCTACAGGAAAAATTTCTTGATAAATATACTTTGAAATATAAATAACCATCAATGCCAAAGGAATGCTATATTTACAGTAATAAATTTTGCTTGGGGCTTTCAGATTTATTTTACTTTAGTCAAAGACTTTTTCCACTGAGAAGTAAATGTTTTCAAATGGAGTAAAAAAGAAAAATATGACCAAAAGTTTTTTCTTACTCAACATCTCTATAATCCTTGAAACATGGCACAAGGTTTGTTTAATAATATAAATCTTGTTACAGAAAGATGAGGTAATTTTTTTTATTTTTGTTTTCCAAAAAGAATTTTTCTAATAGTTCAGGGGAAAACAGGTGTTCATAGGTGAATCATATGAAGCTTATATTCAGCTAGGAAGTGAGATGGCTTTATTTATTTTGTATCTTATTTAAATTTGTCTGCTAAATTGGAAAATTCAAAATTCAATTAAGAATTGGTATATTGGCCGGGTGCGGTGGCTCACGCCTGTAATCCCAGCACTTTGGGAGGCCGAGGCGGGTGGATCATGAGGTCAGGAGATCGAGACCATCCTGGCTAACAAGGTGAAACCCCGTCTCTACTAAAAATACAAAAAATTAGCCGGGCGCGGTGGCGGGCGCCTGTAGTCCCAGCTACTCGGGAGGCTGAGGCAGGAGAATGGCGTGAACCCGGGAAGCGGAGCTTGCAGTGAGCCGAGATTGCACCACTGCAGTCCACAGTCTGGCCTGGGCGACAGAGCGAGACTCCGTCTCAAAAAAAAAAAAAAAAAAAAAAAAAGAATTGGTATATTTTGGTACAGTTTACCAACATAAAAGAGAAAGTCTTTTCTAGACCAGACTCATGAAGTCCTCTCAGGAGCACTGATGAGGCTGTATATTTAATATCTATTATCTCCAGGAACAAATCTGAAGCCAAGGAGATGTCATTTCAATGGCATCTACTTTCTATCAATACAAACCATTCCATTCTGGAACCATCACTCCAATTGGAAATGCTCATACTAAAGAAATAACATGGTCCCTTTAAACTTAAAAAAAAATGCATTTTGATAGTTTGCTATATAACTTCATTTGCTTTAGCATTCTGAGAAAATATTTAAACAAATACAGGAAAAAATGCATACATTTATCCAGATGTCTGTTGTTTCTTCATAGATAATTAGTGGCGTCACAGAATCAGGCACTGACTCAATGAGTCTCTGCCTTTCCATAACATCATCTTCTACTGGGATAAATAATTCAGGTGAGATCAACACTATCTGTAGGCGAGTCTGGGAGCGATCTAGTAGGATGGACCAAGCACTATTTAAATAAATAAAAGAGAAGAACCAGAAATAAAGCAAGCTATCAGAAAAAGATTTCCCTATTATCTCCTTTGGCACCTATCAATTATATCTGTAATCACCATGAAAGAACTGCTTTAGTGTATATTAAATTATCACTTACAAATAGTTAATTAAAAATACACTTTAAGCTTGAACAGAATTTATAAAAAGTGGCTTTCTTGAAATTTCCAAAACCATAGTTGGCCTGTGAAAGTGTTTTATCCCGGTAGGCTGGCATGATGGCTCATGCCTATAATCCCAGCACTTTGGGAGGTCAAGGTGAGAGGGCTGCTTGAGGCCAGGATTTCGAGCTTACAGTAAGCTACGATCATGCCACTGCACTACAGTCTGGGTGACACAGAGAGAGACCCTGTCTATATAAACAAAAGTTCTGCCAAGTGCAGTGGTTCACACCTGTAATCTCAGCACGTTGGGAGGCCGAGACAAGAGGATCATTTGAGCCCAGGAGTTTGAGACCAACCTGACAACACAGTGAGACCTTGTCTCTACAAAAAATAAAAAAAATTAGCTGGACATGGTGGCATGTCCCCGTAGTCCCAGCTACTCAGGAGGATAGCTTTAGCCAGGGAGGTTGAGGCTGCAGTGAGCCATGATTGCACCACTGCACTCCAGCCTAGGTGACAAAGCGAGACCATGACTCAAAAAAAAAAAAGTTTTCTCCCTTTAGTATCAATGTCAACAAATGCCAGTCTTGTGAAACTCCTGTTGTCTACATTAGACACAGAAACTATTTATTTGTAATCATCCTCATATAAAGCTCTATAATTATACAATTTAAAAAATACACATTTATGTCTGAGCCTTAAAGCCATATGATTTAATCACAAATAACACTGTGAACCATAACTGGCTGAGTATAAAGACAGAATTCAACTGCAGTGCACCTATGCCTATAGGATTACAAATGCACAAATCCACTTAATTCAAGAAAAATGCCTTGTGTAGTAATAACTGTACTGCAAATTTACATGTGAAGGCAGCTCCAACTACAAGGCAAACCTAATAGCACAAATATTCCAAAGCTCTGGATCCTAAATTAGTTATAAAGAAGTAACAATTTAACATACGCACTATTTTCCCTCAGGAGTCCATCCAGCTCTGGCAATATATTCAACTCCTTCAAATAGAATCTCAAAAGGTTGAATTAGTTCCTTATCTATGACATCTATGATCTATTAAAAAAGAAAAAAAAAGAATCTAGTTATAGAAGATTTAGATAAATAATTAGCTTGCTAGTCTACTTTAACAATTTATCCAAAAAGCAGAAAATTTTTCCAGAGTTAGGTATTAAAAAGGAACAAAGGATATAGCAAATCTAGAAGTAAATTCTGGGTTACCTATACTGGTACTTAATTTCTGTGCCTAAAAAAGTTATAAGCACTTTTAACACAGCCTAAAAATCTATTTCTTTGAGTTGATACTAACAGAACACTTGATAATAACTAGTAAAATCAAGTTTTAATCACCTTAGACTCCAGTATCCAGAAAAATAATAGTCCCTAGTTCCCCATATTTCACCTAGAAATATATATATATATATACACACACTAATTATATTTTATTTATACATATATATGTGTGTGTGTGTGTATATATATATATTTTTTGAGACAAGGTCTCATTCTGTTGTCCCAGCTGGAATGCAGTGGCTTGATCACAGCTTACTGCCTTCACAATTTCTCAGGCTCAAGTGATCCTCCTGCCTCAGCCTCCTGAGTAGCTGAGACTACAGGTAAGGTGTGTGCTTGTAATGAAATTAAATAAAATATTAATTTTTAAATTTTTTGTAGAGATGGAGTCTCCCTATGTTGCCCAGTCTAGTCTCAAACTCCTGGGCTCAAGTGATCCTTGAGACACTGGAGAGTCTTCACTCTGTCACCCAGGCTGTAGTGCAGTGGCGCCATCTCGACTAACTGCAACCTCTGCCTCCCGGGTTTAAGTGATTCTCCTGCCTCAGCCTCCCGAGTAGCTGGGATTATGGGTATATACCACCACGCCCAGCTAATTTTTGTATTTTTAGTAGAGACAGGGTTTCACCATGTTGGCCAGGCTGGTCTCGAATTCCTGACCTGAAGTGATCTGCCTGTCTGCCAAATAGTTGGGATTACAGGTGTAAGCCACCGTGCTTGGCCCATTTGTGTAATATACTAAAGAAATAGTCCTGGATAAGCAAAGTTTTTTCTTTTAAAAGTCTAGTAAACACAATTTAAAAAATAAATAATTTTTAAAAACTGCAAAGGATCTGAATAGACAGTCCTCCAAAGAAAATATATACATGGCTAATAAACACAGAAAATGATTCCCAACATCGTTAGCCATCAGAAAAATGTAAATCAAAACCACAATGAGATACCACTTAAAACACAATAGGGGCCGGGTGTGGTGGCTCACACCTGTAATCCCAGCACTTTGAGAGGCCGAGGCGGGCAAATCACAAGGTCAGGAGATCGAGACCATCCTGGCTAACACGGTGAAACCCTGTCTCTACTAAAAATATAAAAAAATTAGCCGGGCATCTTGGCGGGCACCTGTAGTACCAGCCACTCTGGAGGCCGAGGCAGGAGAATGGCGTGAACCCGGGAGGCGGAGCTTGCAGTGAGACGAGATCGCACCACTGCACTCCAGCCTGGGGGACACAGCAAGACTCCATCTCAAAAAAATAAATAAATAAAATAAAAAAACAAAAAAACACAATAGGATGGCTATAGTAAATATAATGGACAAGAAGAAGTATTGGTGATAATGTGGAGAAACTGGAAATCTAATCCACTGCTGGTGGGAATATAATAAAATAGTACATGCTGAGTGTGGTGGCTCACACCTGTAATCCCAGCACTTTGGGAGGCTGAAGTGAGAGGATCACTTGGGCCCAGGAGTGCAAGACCAGCCTGGGCAACATAGGGAAATCCTGTCGCTACGAAAAATAAAATTAGCGGGGCATGGTGGTGTGTGCCTGTGGTCCCAGCTACTTAGAAGGCGGAGGCAGGAGGATCACTTGAGCCTGAGAGGCTGAGGCTGGGTTGAGCTGTAATTGTGTCACCATACTCCAGGCTGGGTGACAAAGTGAGACCTTTCTCTTTTTTGTATTTTTAGTAGAGATGGGGTTTTACCATATTAGGCAGGCTGGAGACTTTTCTTCAAACAATAAAATAAAATAAAATAAAATAAAATAAAATAAAATAAAATAAAATAAAATAGTGCAGCCACTTTGGAAAAACACTTTAGCAGTTCCACAAAAGGTTAAAAAAATAGTCATCCAATAACTCAACAATTCTACTCCTAGGTATATACTCCAGAGAAATGAAAACATAAGCCCACACAAAAACTTGTACACACATACTCATGGCAGCATTATTCATAATAGCCATAAAATGGAAACAATCAAAATGTTCATCACCTGATAAATACAATATGGTATATCCATATAAAGGTATTATTCATCAATTAAAAATAAATGAAGTATTGACACATGGTACAACATGGATGGACCTTGAAAACAATCTAAGTCAAGGAGACCAAACTACATATTGTATGATTCCACTTATATGAAATGTCCAGAATAGGCAAATTTATAGAGATAGAAAGTAGATTAATGGTTGTCTAGGCTGGGCACGGTGGCTCATGCCTGTAATCCCAGCACTTTGGAAGGCCGAGGTGGGCAGATCATGAGGTCAGGAGCTTGAGACCAGTCTGGTCAACATAGTGAAACCCCGTCTCTACTAAAAATACAAAAAATTGGCTGGGTGTGGTGGTGCGCCTGTAATTCCAACTACTCGGGAGGCTGAGGCAGGAGAATCATGTGAACCCAGAAGGCAGAGGCTGAAGTGAGCCAAGATCACGCCACTGCACTCCAGCCCGGGTGACAGTGCAAGACTCTGTCTCAAAAAAAAAAAAAAGGTTGCCTAGTGCTGGGGGATATGAGGAGGTTGGGGGATGACGGCTCAGGAGTATAGGGTATCTTTTTGAGGTAATAACAATGTTCTAAAACTGCCTGTGGTGATGGTTGCAAAACTCTGTGAATATACCAACAGCCACTGAATTTTAAAGTTTAAATAAATAAATCGTATTACATGTGAGTTATATATCTCAGTAAAGCTGTTTTTAAAAAAGTCTAGAAGAGGAAGACTGACTCGGGAGCCTCTCTCTCTCTGCAGGAGAGAAAGCTATTCTCTTTTCTCTTTCTTTCGCCTGTTAAACCTTGGCTCTTAACTCAAAAAAAAAAAAAAAAAAGTCTAGAAGAGCAAGACTTTTTTACCTAGTCTTGTGTGCATGCAGCTTATAAGCACTTGGCTGTCGAAATGGAAAGCAGAAGTACAAATTAACTGTGGGATATTTAATGCACCACAGATATCTACCCAACACAGAAGGTAACCAGTCAATAACTACCTTTTTTTCTTTTAACATTAATCTGGAGAATAAAGGCGAACAGAAAAACTATTGGAAAGGAGTGGTTAATATGCATATCCCCATATTCCCATCTTATGAACCAGCAGGATGATTTGCAAGTAAAAAATTAGGTCAATCTAAAATCATGATCCACCGATATCTCAGCAAGTTCAGCAAGTCCAAAAATAAAAAAGTGTATCAAAGAACCCTACTGGGCTGAATAGATTAGTCAAATGACGCAGAAGGTCAACTCAGCATTTTATACTTACCCTTCCTTCAGCATCAATCATTATTTCTGACATCTTAAAAGTGACTTTAGGATTTGCTGTACCTTTAGAAAGAGACATAAATGATAGTAATGTTTATCCAAAATTACTCAAATTAATTTTGCCAGATCAATCCTCTTTACACTTTAGTTAAGAATAACGTATAGGTCGGGTGCAGTGGCTCACGCCTGTAATCCCAGCACTTTGGCAGGTTGAGGCAGGTGGATCACCTGAGGTCAGGAGTTTGAGACCACCCTGGCCAACATGGTGAAACTCCATCTCTACTAAAAATACAAAAATTAGCTGGGCGTGGTGGTGTGCGCCTGTAATCCCAGCTACTTGGGAGGCTGAGGCAGGAGAATCACTTGAACCTGGGAGGTGGAGAATGCAGTGAGCTGACATCGTGCCACTGCCCTCCAGCCTCGGTAACAAGAGCGAGACTCCATCTCAAAAAAAAAAAAAAAAAAAAGAAAAGAAAGAAAGAGACATAAATGAATAGTAATGCTTACCCAAAATTACTCAAATTAATTTTGCCAGATCAATTCTCTTTACACTTTAGTTAAGTCAAGAGTAACGTATATGCCAGGCATGCTGTCTCACGCCTGTAATCCCAGCACTTTGAGAGGCCAAGGCAGGCAGATCACTTGAGCTCAGGAATTCAAGACCAGCTTGGTCAACATGGTAAAACCCCATATCTACAAAAAATACAAAAATTAGGCAGGGTGCAGTGGCTCACGCCTGTAATCCCAGCACTTTGGGAGGCCGAGGCAGGTGGATCACCTGAGGTCAGGAGTTTGAGACCAGCCTGACCAACATGGTGAAACCCCATCTCTACTAAAAATACAAAAATTAGCCAGGTGTGGTGGCACACGCCTGTAATCCCAGCTACTCAGGGGGCTGAGGCAGGAGAATTGCTTGAACTCGGGAGGCAGAGGTTGAAGTGAGCTGAGATCGTGCCACTGCATTCCAGCCTGGGCGACACAGCGAGACTCTGTCTCAAAAAAAAAAAAACAACACAAAAAAAACGGCCGGGCGCAGTGGCTCAGGCCTGTAACCCCAGCACTTTGGGAGGCTGAGGCAGGTAGATCACGAGGTCAGGAGTTCGAGACCAGCCTGGCCAACATGGTGAAACCCTGTTTCTACTAAAAATACAAAAATTAGCCAGGTGTGGCGGCGGGCGCCTGTAATCCCAGCTACTCGGGAGGCTGAGGCAGGAGAATCACTTGAACCTGGGAGGCGGAGGTTGTAGTGAGCTGAGATTGTGCCATTGCACTCCAGCCTGGGTGACAGAGCAAAAAAAAAAACAAAAACAAAAAACAAAAATTAGCCGCACCAGGCTGGTCGAGCTACTCAGGAGGCTGAGGTGGGAAAATGGCCTGAGCCCAGGAGGTGGAGGTATAGTGAGCCAAGATCACACCACTGCATTCCAGCCTGAATGACACAGCAAGACACTGTCTTAAAAAAGTAAAATAAAAATGAGGTGCTTGCCCATCAACCAACAAGTGGATTAAAAAAATGTAGTATATATACAACATGGAATTCAACAACTATTCAACCATAAAAAGGAACAAAATAATGGCATTCACAGCAACCTAGATGGAGCTGGAGACCATTATTCTAAGTGAAGTAACTCAAGAATGGAAAACCAAGTATCATGTTCTCACTGATAAGTGGGAGCTAAGCTATGAGGACACAAAGGCATAAGAATGATATAATGGACTTTGGGGACTCCAGAGGAAGGGTGGTGGGTGTGAGGAATAAAAGACTACACATTGGGTACAGTGTACACTGCTCGGGTGACGGGTGCACCAAAATCTCAGAAATCACCACTAGAGAACTTATCCATGTAACCGAAAACCACCTGTTCCTCAAAAACTACTGAAATAAAATTTAAAATAAAAAAAAGGGGGGCTGAAAAGAGCAAGAATGAAATAAAGTGAAAAGTGAAATTATGTATTATTTTTACAATTGAAATGCTGTAAGAAGCAAAATGGAAAAAAATCACTTATTATGAAAAATATCACTTAAAAATCTGTATTTGCTAGCAAAGACACCTTCTTTTTTTTTTTCTGAGATAGAGTTTCACTCTTGTTGCCTAGGCTGGAGTGCAATGGCATGATCTCAACTCACTACAACCTCTGCCTCTTGGGTTCAAGCAATTATCCTGCGTCAGCCTCCCAAGTAGCTGGGATTACAGGCATGCACCACCATGCCTGGCTAATTTTGTATTTTTAGTAAAGATGGGGTTTCACCATGTTGGTCAGGCTGGTCTCAAACTCCTGACCTCAAGTGATCCACCCACCTCAGCTTCCCAAAGTGCTGAGATTACAGACGTGAGCTACCACGCCCGGCGCAAAGATACCTTCTAATTCATTCCTTGAGGAAACCAATTGTGTAGACATCCCTACCTTTGAAAAGAATCAAAAAGATCACCCTTTAATTCAAAATCTATTTTTGTGGTACTTAGTGAACAACCCGTCGTAAATAAGGCTGGAAATGACCAATGTTGTTGGCTACACCTTTGGATGACTACAGAAAGAATCTTATTTGGAAAGAGGAAATGAGTGAATATAAATGCCAATGGAGTACAGTACCTGTTTTAGGATAACGGAATGAATCTGCCCTCCTTGTTTCCAACATAGGGGATGTAACATGAATAATTTCCACCTCAGATTCATCATTTTCTTCATATAGAATTCTAAGAATTTTACCACCACTGGGAGCTTAAAAGAAATTTAAATATTGAAAATTTAGAAGAATTATTCCAGAGAGTAGTCATAACCAACCGTTCCTTCTAGTATCAGATTTCTTATAGTGAAGAATAACTTATGTATAAAATATGCTGCCTTTTTTGTAGGAAAATATCACTAGTCTTTGCAGTAGCAAGGTGAGTTATTGTTAAGCCACTTCTTTTGGAGGGAAAACAACTGGAGATGATATGTATACATATTTTTAAAACAGGGAAAAACATTTTTGTAGGACTTTGTTCTTGCATACCATAAAATGCATTCTTTGTTGAAAAATGAAATATTTAATTACATGTATAATATTTCCTATTAAAAAAATAAATACTACTTAAATACAGTTCAGTTGTTTTGAATAGTTTCTGTATTTATGTAAAAATCATCTTCTAACAAATACAACAAAACATTTCACATCTTAAAATAAAATGTCCAAATCCAAGACATGGCTTAAAAGTATTTTTCAGGGTCTCTTAGAGAAGCGTTCAGACTGCTAGCTCCAAACCATGAGTAGGTCATGAAATCTGTTAACGGGTCATAATCAGTATTTTTTAAAATACAACACACAAACCACACCCTGGGCAACACGGCAATACCCCATCTCTAAAAAAAAATACAAAAATTAGCTGGGTGTAGTGGCTTGTGCCTGTAGTCCCAGGTACTTGAGAGGCTGAGGTGAGAGGATTGCTTGAGCCCGGGAGGCAGACTTTGCAGTGAGCTGAGATTGCACCACTGCACTCCAGCCTGCACAACAGAGACCCTGCCTCAAAAAAAAAAAAAAAAAAAAAAAAACCCAAAAACAAAAACAAAACAGCATAACAGTATCAGGGAGCATTACACATAAGAATAAGTATTGCTTCTTGAAATTCGTTTTCAGTTTTATCTATACAGTATATGTATTAGGCCACAATATAAGTACACTTCTAACTGGATCATGGTCAAAAAGTTTGAAGGCCATGCTTTAGTGAGCTTCTTCTCAGAGAGTGAGATACTTGTGAATTTGCCACAAGAAGGGGAGGAATTTTTTCCCTTTTATCCTATCCATTCATATACTGATTTGGTCATCTGTTTAACAGACTCTCTAGTCAATCACACATTTTTATAGCAACACATTAAGGTGTGGTTTTTTGTTTGTTTGTTTTCGAGACGGAGTCTCGCTCTGTTGCCAGGCTGGAGCAGAGTGGCGCAATCTCAGCTCACTGCAATCTCCACCTCCCGGGTTCAATTGATTCTTCTGCCTCAGCCTCCCGAGTAGCTGGGACTACAGGTGCATACCACCACACCCAGCTAATTTTTTGTATTTTAGTAGAGATGGGGTTTCACCATGTTGGCCAGGATAGTCTCGATCTCCTGACCTCATGATCCGCCCGCCTTGGCCTCCCAAAGTGCTGAGATTACATGCGTGAGTCACTGCGCCCAGCCAAGGTGTGGTATTTTTTATTTTGCCACCAATGCTGCCAGCATTACCAAGACCAGCCTCTAGGAGAAAAACTGGCAAAGAGAATTGAGGGGCCAGAGGCATTAAACCACAATACAATGGTTTTTACTAGACTTCATTATGATGAAATATAATCTACTTTTTTTTTTTTTTTTTTGAGACAGAGTCTCGCTGTGTCGCCCAGGCTGGAGTGCAGTGGCGTGATCTTGGCTCATTGCAAGCTCCACCTCCCAGGTTCACGTCATTCTCCTGCCTCGGCCTCCTGAGTAGCTGGGACTACAGGCGTCCCCCACCATGCCCAGCTAATTTTTTTTTTTTTTTTTTGAGTAGAGGCAGGGTTTCACGGTGTTAGCCAGGATGGTCTCGATCTCCTGACCTCGTGATCCACCTGCCTCAGCCTTCCAAAGTGCTGGGATTACAGGCGTAAGCCACCACGCCCGGCCATAATGTACATATTTTTGAGACAAAGTTTTGCTCTCATTGCCCAAGCTGGAGTGCAATAGTGTGATCTTGGCTCACTGTAACCTCTGTCTCCTGGGTTCAGGCGATTCTCCTGCTTCAGCCTCCCGCGTAGCTGGGATTACAGGCGCGTGCTACCATGCCCGGCTAATTTTTTGTATTTTTATTAGAAACGGGGTTTCATCATGTTAGCCAGGCTGGTCTCGAACTCCTGACCTCGGGTGATCCGCCTGCCTCGGCCTCCCAAAGTGCTGGGATTACAGGTGTTAGCCACTGTGCCCAGCCTAATCTACATATTTTAAATAACTATGGGCATGAATCAATCATCATCACTTTGGAATCTATTATCCGCTTTCAAATCTATTATCCAAGATTTAGAACTGTGCACTTAAATGACAGTTGAATCTTAACAATACTTTAATTGACCCATAATATATTATTTTGAACCCCCTTACTTGTTTCAGCTTTTGGACACCACCAATAGCCAGAATATCTATCAAATTCTTCTTGGAGAACAAAGGTAGCGACTCCAGCTGATCTGGCATCTTCTTCCATGTTGGCTAGCTCTAGACAAATATAAAAGGCAAAATTATCACAGAAAGCTATCTTTTCATAGGTACAAAGCAAAATGATTCAGTTTATTTGGAAAGGTGGCTGGAATACAGTGGTAAACTCTGGAGCTGAACGGACTGAGTTCAAATCTGGGGTCCATAATGTCTGACTTTGGGCAAATCATCCAATCTCATTCCACTGCAGTATCCCATTTGTAAATGAGAAAAGGCTACCTTGTGAGGTTGATATGAAGATTAAATTAATTAATTCACATAAAGCACTTAGAACAAAGCCTGGACCACAGTACATGCTCCAAATAAATGTTATTATTTTCCCAATTAGCAGGATCATGGAAAAAAGATTACAAGAAAAGGAGCACAGTATAGGGGACATATAACTCTCTTACACAGAGAAGTATATTTTAGACCTAGAGTGAATCTTATAGGTCATATAATTCGACCATTCTTCTTTCATCTCATTCAGTTGGAGCAGCTCAGCTTTCATCTGTTTTACACTTAGGTTTCCAGCAAATAGTTTGAAGGGGACTCGTTTTAAAAGAAAACCACAAAGCCATAATTATGTAAGATTTTGAGGCCAGGCGTGGTGGCTCATGCCTGTAATCCCAGCACTTTGGGAGGCCGAGGAGGACAGATCACAAGGTCAGGAGTTTGAAACCAGCCTGGCCAATATGGTGAAACTCTGTCTCTACTAAAAATACAAAAATTAGCCAGGCATGGTGCCAGGAGCCTGTACTCTCAGCTACTCAGGAGTCTGAGGCAGGAGAATCGCTTGAACCCGGGAGGTGGAGGTTGCACTGAGCCAAGATCACAACACCACTCCCCTCCAGCCTGGGTGACAGAACAAGACTCCGTCTCAAAAAAAAAAAAAAAAAAAAAAGATTTTGTGTCATGAGGAAATGTTTACAATATACTTGAATAAAATAAATCAGATTATTGAATAGCATTTATACTGTGATTCCATTTATAAAAATGCATTTTTAAAAAGTGCTGATATAAACTGAAATATGGTTATCTCCAAGCAGTGAGATTTTGAGTAGGATTTAAAAATTGCTTTATAATTTACAAATTCTTAAATGTACTGTTTATTTTTGAAAAATACATATACTTGTATGACCACATCCCTATCGCCACTTACACTTCCAGTACTCATGCTCCTTCCCAGTCAAGGCCCAGTCCCAACACAGAAACAATCACTGATCTGATTTCTATCACCAGAGGTCAGGTTTGCATATTCTAGAAGTTCATGTAAATGAAATCATACAGTATGTATATATTTGTTTGGCTTCTTTTGAGTTTCAATATTGTTACATGTGTCAGTAGTTAGTTGCTGTTTACTGCTGAGTTGTATTCCATTGCATACCATAGTTCTTTTATCTGTTAATGGATATCTTGTCTGTTTCCAGTTTCTGGCTATTATGACTAAAGATGCTATGAACATTTTTTTTGAGACGGAGTCTCGCTCTGTTGCCCAAACTGGAGTGCAGTGGCGTGATCTCGGCTCACTGCAAGCTCCACCTCCCGGGTTCACGCCATTCTCCTGCCTCAGCCTCCCAAGTAGCTGGGACTACAGGTGCCCGCCACGATGCCCGGCTAATTTTTTCTATTTTTAGTAGAGACGGGGTTTCACTGTGTTAGCCAGAATGGTCTTGATCTCCTGACCTCGTGATCCACCCACCTCGGCCTCCCAAAGTGCTGGGATTACAGGCGTGAGCCACCACGCCCGGCCACATTATTACTGTGTAAGAATTTTTGTGGGCCAGGCGCAGTGGCTCACGCCTGTAATCCCAACACTTTGGGAGGCTGAGGAGGGCAGACTGCTTGAGCTCAGGAGTTTGAGACCAGCCTTGGCAACATAGTGAAACCCCGCCTCTACAAAAAATACAAAATTTAGCCAGGTGTGATGGCAGGTGCCTATGGTCCCAGTTACTCGGGAGGCTGAGGTAGGAGAATCACTTGAGTCTGGGAGAAGGAGGATGCAGTGAGCCGAGATCATGCCACTGCACTCCAGCCTGGGTGACAGAGTGAGACCATGTCTCAAAAAAGAAAAAAAAGGGAATTTTTGAGAACATGTGTTTTTATTTCTAAGTAAATACCTACGAGTAATATGGCTGGTTAGTGTGGTAAGTGTGTGTTTAACTTCATAAGAAAGTGCCAAACAGTTATCCAAAGTATTTCTATTATTTTATATTATTACTATCAAAGTATGAAAGTTCTTCTCCAACATTTGGTGTTCTCAATATTTCTCACTGTAGCCAGTCTAGTAGGCATTACATATCTCATAGTGACTTTAATTTTTTATTTTATTTTTGAGACAGGGTCTTGCTCTGTCACCAAGGGTAGAGCGCAGGGGTGAGATCTCGGGTCACTGCAGCCTTCATCTCCTGGGCTCAAGCAATCCTCCTGTCTCAGCCTCCCAAGTAGCTGGGACACAGGCATATGTCACTAAGCCCAGCTAATTTTTTAAAAAATTTTTGTAGAGATGAGGTCTCATTATGTTTCCCAGGCTGGTCTCAAACCCCTGAGCTCAAGTAATCCTCTCACCTTGGCCCCCCAAAGTGCTAGGATTACAGGTGTGAGCCACTGCACCTGGCCTGATTTTAATTTTACCAGCAAGTTTTATTATTTTTGCTTATTTATATTTTCTATATAGTCTGACATAATGTACAGTGCAAACCAATGATTTTTTTATCCAAAAAGTTTGAATCCAAAAAGAAATATTTGGAATTCAGAATTTGGGAGAGCTCTTTTCTTTCTTTTCTTTCCTTTTCTGTTTTCTTTCTTTCTCTCTTTTTTTTTAGACGGAGTTTTGCTCTTGTTGCCCAGGCTGGGGTGCAATAGCTCCATCTCAGCTCACCGCAACCTCCACTTCCTGGGTTCAAGCGATTCTCCTGCCTAAGCCTCCTGAGTAGCTGGGATTACAGGCGTGTGCCACCACCCCGGCTAATTTTGTATTTTTAGTAGAGACAGGGTTTCTCCATGTTGGTCAGGCTGGTCTTGAACTCCCGACCTCAGGTGATCTGCCTGCCTCGGCCTCCCAAAGTGCTGGGATTACAGGGGTGAGCCACCGTGCCCGGCCAAGATTTTTCATATATTGTACATCTACCATAATACATTATGTAATATCTCCAGCAGGGTAACCAAATACCTTGCAATCATATACACCAATATTCCTGCAGTAAACTTATGAATAGGCACACTACACAGATAAGCATATTAAGTTTATCAATATCCTCAGGTCACTTCAGGTCAGGTGTTACTGCCAAATGAATTTTAGTAACAACCTAATGAAAACTAAGCTCAGTTTTCAAAGTGTTTTGAATTCTGGAATTAATTACAGAGCCAAGACTATGAAGATAAGTAACCCCCATTTGTATCTTCCTACTGTTTATTATAGACTTCCATTATTATTTATTAAATGAATAAATAGTATCATCTCATTGTCTCAGTAAGTCATTTGAGAGCAGAAGCTAGGATTTTATTACTTTTAAATTCCTCTATCACCAGGCAAAGAATAAACACATGTACATACTGATAGACCAAATCCATCTCAAGTGGACTTTCACTTAGAAACCTATTGTGAGTAAGTGGAATAAGCTGATGACATTAACTCCCTACCTACTTTCTATCTAAGCACATACTTACACAACAGTTACTATGTTTCAGGCACTATCCTGAATACTTCATAGATATTAACTCATTAAAGCCTCCTAACAACCCTATGTTGATGTGCTATTAATTAATATCTGTTTTTACAGATGTGGAAACTAAGAGATGGTTAAATAACCTGCTCAAGGCCACACAGTTAATAAATGGTAGACTTGAAATTCAAACCGGTTCTATATCCTTTTTTTTTTTTTTAGAGACAGGGTCTCTCTCTTTCATCTGCCACCAAGGCGGGAGTGCAGTGGTGCAATTATAGCTCACTCCAAGTCTGGAGTGCAGTGGTGCAAATACAGTCACTCCAAGGCTGGAGTGCAGTGGTGCAACAGAGCCTGACTATCCATGCTCAAGTGATCCTCCTACCTCGGCTCCCAGAGTAACTGAGAAACGGGTGCATGACACCATGTCTGGGTAATTTTTATTATTTTTTATTTTTTTGTAGAGACAGGGTCTCCCTACATTGCCCAGGCTGGTCTTGAACTCCTGGGCTCAAGAGCTCTTCCCACCTTGGCCTCCCAAAGTGCTGGGAGACCTCATCTCTACAAAAAAAATTAAAAATTAGGTAGGCGTGGTGGCACACACCTGTTGTCTCAGCTATTCAGGGGTGCTGAGGTGGGAGGATTGCTGCAGCCCCGTGAAGACTGCAGTGAGCCAATAGGAGACCCTGTCTCAAAAAAATTGAAAAAAAAAAAAAAAAGGGCATGAAAAAATCGCTAGGATTTCCAAAACAGATTTACTAACTACCAACCTAATCTTTCTACTGCCATTGGTAGTAGAACAGCTGTTCTGATTTCCTGACTTCAAAGGGAGACCCATTAAACACCAAAATCTATACTTTTAACTTAAGATTTTCCTTACTCCATCCCCTTTTCTCTATCCTATGCTCTAGATTTAGGCCATATAACTTGGATAACTGCAACAGTCAAGCTTTGGTGTTCCTGTCTCTACCCATGCTTCTCAAATTTAACCTCCACAAAGTATCCAGAACAACTTATCGACAATATGATTATGATGATCACACCACTCAACTGTTAAAAACCTTTCCATGGACCCTCATATCATGATAAAGTCCATGTTCTTTTACAGAAGATATGGTCTACCCTTGTCCTGGCCCTTATCTGCCAATCTTTTGCTACTTCTTGACTCAGAACTTATGCTTCAGAACCTTCACACTGCTTCTAACTCCTCACAAACACCATGATGTCTTTTGCATCAAGACCTTTCTCACGTAGTCCCCTTGTCAGGAGTGTACTGGATAATATATAGACATTACTTAGGATCAGTTTAGGTGTCATCTTTTCTGGAAAGCCTTCCCTGACCACTGTCTCACATTGGTGCTCTTATAAAACCCTATGTCTGGCCAGGTGCTGTGGCTCTCGCCTGTTCTCAGCACTTTGGGAGGCAGAGGTGGACGGATCACTTGAGGTCAGGAGTTCAACACCAGCCTGGTCAACATGGTGAAACCCCGTCCCTACTAAAAATACAAAAATTAACCAGGTGTGGTGGTGTGCACCTGTAATCCCAGCTACTCAGGAGGCTGAGGGATGAGAATCACTTGAACGCAGGAGGCAGAGGTTACAGTGAGCTGAGATAGCCCACTGCACTCCAGCCTGGGCAATAGAGCGAGACTTTGTTACAAAAAACAAACAAACAGGCTGAGCACGGTGGCTCGTGCCTGTAATCCCAGCACTTTGGGAGGCCGAGGTGGGTGTATCACGAGGTCAGAAGATTGAGAACACCCTGGCCAACATGGTGAAACCCCGTCTCTACTAAAAATACAAAAAAATTAGCCGGTAATCCCAGCTACTCGGGAGGCTGAGGCAGGGGAATCACCTGAACCCGAGAGGCGAAGGTTGCAGTGAGCAGAGATCACACCACTGCACTCCAGCCTGGGTGACACAGTAAGACTCTGTCTCAAAAACAAACAACAACAAAAAAGAACAAAAAAACAAACTTGAGAGAATATGTATCATTTTGTTTTCCAACCTGTAACATATCTGTTAACAATGATTTTCTTTCTTTTTTCTTTTTTTTTTTAGACGGAGTGTCCCTCTGTCGCCCAGGCTGGAATGCAGTGGTGTGATCTCAGCTCACTGGAAGCTCCGCCTCCTGGGTTCACATCATTCTCCTGCCTTGGCCTCCTTAGTAGCTGGGACTACAGGCACCCGCCACCACGCCCGGCTAATTTTTTGTAGTTTTCGTAGAGACAGGGTTTCACTGTGTTAGCCAGGATGGTCTCGATCTCTTGACCTCGTGATCTGCCCGCCTCGGCCTTCCAAAGTGCTAGGATTACAGGCATGAACCGTGGCGGCTGGCCTGTAATTAATTTTAACTAATGATTGATGATGATGAGGGGATAATGATTAAGAAAGATGACAGTAAATCAGCTTTGTGAACATAAGATTAAGCAAAAGTTAGACAAAAGAATTTTCAGTCATCATCTTCATTATGGTACTTAAACTCTGGTTCACGTGTTCAAAGAAAAAGCAATACACTATTTCCCATCTTTCATTTGTATGAAACCTTTAGAGGAAACCATTCACATCTCTCTGTGCTTTGAATAGTGCTTAGTATTATCATAGCCACTTCAATAAAACTTAATTAAATATTCCCACAATATACATAGTTCTACAAAGTTCTATTTTTTCTATTATGACAATAACTAAGTAGGCTCTCCAAAACTGAAAGATAATTTTTTTTTTTGAGACAGGGTCTCACTCTGTCACCCAGGGTGCAGTGCAGTGGCGCAATCACGTTTCACTTTAGCCTCGACCTCCTAGGCTTGAGTGATCCTCCTCCCTCAGTCTCCTAAGTAGCTGGGACTACTGGCACGTGCCACCACATCCAGCTATTTTTTTTTTTTTTGGTAGAGACAATGTCTTACCATGTTGTCCAGGCTCAAGTGATCTACCCGCCTCAGTCTCAAGTAGTTTTATTTTTTTGAGACAGGGTCTTGCTCTCTTGCCCAGGCTGGAGTGCAGTGGCGCAGTCTCAGCTAACTGCAACCTCCACCTCCCAGGTTCAAGCAATTCTCCCGCCTCAACCTCCCTAGTAGCTGGGAATTACAGGTGTGCACCACCATTCCGGCTAATTTTTGTATTTTTAGTAGAGACAGGGTTTCATCACGTTGGCCAGACTAGTCTAGAACTCCTGACCTCAGGTGATCCACCTGCCTTGGCCTCCCAAAGTGCTTGGGACTACAGGCATGAGCCACCACGCCCGGCCTCAAGTAGTTTCTTAGAGTGTGTAATTGGTTTTTCTATCTGTTTCTCAAAAACAAAACTAATTTTTAAAAATGTATTTATTTATTTATTTAATTTTGAAACAGAGTCTCACTTTGTCACCCAGGTTGGAGCGCAATGGCTCACCATAGCCTTGACCTCCTGGATCAGGTGATCCTCCTACCTCAATCTCCCAGGTAGTTGGGACTACACATGCCACTACGCTCAGCTAATTTTTTGTATTTTTTTGTCAAACGAGGTGTCACCATGTTGCCCATCCTGATCTTGAACTTCTGGGCTCAAACAATCTGCCTGCCTCAGCCTCCCAGAGTGCTAGGATTACAGGCATGAGCCACCATGCCTAGCCTAAAATTTTATTTTAATAAGAACAGTTTTGGGAAAATTCTGGCAGTCTTAGCAAGCTAAAAGAACAATCATGTCAGAGGTTCTTTTGTTTCACTGTTTGAAAATGAACATTAAAACATTAAAATGAATATTATACATGTGGTACATACAAGTTATCCTCTGTACTTTTCTCCATTTTTTAAAAATTTTAAAGACTTGAATTTCAAATATAAAGATCACCCAACGTGGTAATCTAATTTCAAAATGCAAGCAGCAAATTATACTTCAAAAAATACTGTTCAGAAAAGTAAATCTGAAGAACTACGCCTTACCATTGTGCACATAAGTGAGTCTCCTTTCTTCTCTGGTTACGATGTTAGATATCCAAATATCGTTGCTATGTATAAAAGCAATCCAGTCTGGATCAGCAGGGCATAATTTTGGATCCATCCGTATGTTGGGACAACTAGTTTCCACTAGATTGGGCCTTAAAGGTTGTTGCTAGAAAAGTAAACAACATTTTAAGGTAAGTATTAGGCTGACACATACATGTTCCAGCACCCTTCCTATAAGATGAACAATATTTCTAGGTAAAATGTCAACAATGAGGCCGGGCGTGGTGACTTACGCCTGTAATCCCAGCACTTCGGGAGGCCAAGGCAGGCAGATCACCTGAAGTCAGGAGTTCGAGACCAGCCTGACCAACATAGTGAAACCCCATCTCTACCAAAAATACAAAAATTAGCTGGGCATAGTGGTGGGCACCTGTAGTCCCAACTACTTGGGAGGCTGAGGCAGGAGAATTGCTTGAACCTGGGAGGTGGATGTTGCAGTGAGCCAAGATCGTGCCACTGCACTCCAACCTGGGTGACAAAGTGAGACTCAGTATCAGGAAAAAAAAAAAAAGTCAACAATGATAATTGCTTCCCAGAAAAATATACTTTCTATTGCCTTAACTTACCAGAAAGGAATTTTTTTTAACTTCAAATGAAAAAGCTAAGGGTAACAGGAGAGGACATAAAGGACATAAAGACAATAAAACACTACTTCATAAATTTTGTTGCCCAACCTGTTTAAGAGAGTAATTACTGTTCATTAAACATTGTTATTAAACACTTATTCACTCAATATTTTATTAAATATTTTAAAATTATTTTTACCAATATAAAATAGTTTGCTCATAAAAATGTAATAGAAGCCAGGATCATCACAATTCTCAAAAGAAGAGTTCCTAAAGCTCATAATCAATTGCCTAGGATAAAACCAAACATAAGCCACTTGAGAGGCTAAGGCAAGAGGATCACTTGAGCCTAAAGTCCAAGACAAGCTGGGGCAATCTAGTGGGACCCTCACCTCTAAAAAAAATTTTTTAAATTAGTAATTGGGTGTGGTGGCACATATCTGTAGTCCCAGCTACTCAGGAGGCTGAGGTGGGAGGATTGCTTGAGCCCAGGAGTTTGAGGCTGCAGTGAGCCATGATCTTGCCACTGCACTCCAGCCTGGATGACAGCAAGACTTTGTCTCCCCCCCAAAAAAAAAGTGTGTGTGTGTGTGTGTGTGTGTGTGTGTGTGTGTATATATAAATTTATTAAGATGAATTAGCTTTCAAGGGAAACAAAAAATTGTCTTTTGATAATGATCTTCCAAAACCTCCCTCAGTGCTTACACAGGAAGTGGGAATTGATGCCCGTTACCTTTCCTTTTTTTTTTTCTCTCTCTCTTAGTCTCACTCTGTCGCCCAGGGTGGAGGACAGTAGAGCGATCTCAGCTCACTGCAACCTCCATCCAACTCCCAGATTCAAGCAATTCTCGTGCTTCAGCCTCCCGAGTAGCTAGGACTACAGGTGCGCCTGCCTAATTTTTGTGTTTTTAGTAGAGACAGGGTTTCACCATGTTGGCCAGACTGATCTCAAACTCCTGATCTCAAGTGATCTGCCCGCCTCAGCCTCCCAAAGTGCTGGGATTACAGGTGTGAGCCACCATGCATGGCCTACTCTATCTTTCTATACAGCAAGTATTTTTACCACTTTAAAATTTGTATGTTTTTTTTTAAGACAGGGACTTGCTCTGTCATCCACGCTAAAGTGCAGCAGCACAATCTCGGTGCACTACAACCTCCGCCTCCCAGGCTCAAATGATCCTCCCACCTCAGCTTCCTGAGTAGCTGGGACTACAGGCGCATGCTACCTTGCCTGGCTAATTTTTGCATTTTTTGTAGAGATGGGGTTTCGCCATGTTTCCCCACGCTGGTCTGGAACTCCTAGGCTCAAATGATCTGCCCACATGGGCCTCCCAAAGTGCTGGAATTATGGGTGTGAGCCACCACGTCTGACCTAAAAATGGTATCTTAATGTAACTAGAAAGATTATTAACTCTTTTGTTTTGAGATAAGGTTTTGGTCTGTCATCTAGGCTGGACTGCAGTGGCACAATCACAGTTCACTGCAGCTTGACCTCCAGGTTCAAGTGATCCTCCCACCTCAGACTCCTGAGTATCTGGGATTAAAGGTGTGCACCACCATGCCCAGCTAAGTTTTTTTAAATTTTTTTTTGTAGAGACAGGGTCTCTCTCTGTTGCCTGAGCTGGTAAAAAAATTATCTCCTAAGGCTGGGCGCGGTGGCTCATGTCTGTAATCCTAGCACTTTGGGAGGCCGAGATGGGCAGATAACCTGAGGTCAGGAGTTCAAGACCAGCCTGACCAACATGGAGATACCCCATCGCTACTAAAAATACAAAATTAGCCAGGGGTGGTGGCGCATGCCTGTAGTCCCAGCTACTTGGGAGGCTGAGGCAGGAGAATCACTTGAACCCAGGAGGCAGAGGTTGCGGTGAGCCAAGACGGCACCATTGCACTCCAGCCTGGGCAACAACAGTGAAATTCTGTCTCAAAAAAAAAAAAAATCGCTCTTAAAATTGGAAACCAATCTCCATGTTTCTTGTTTTCATTGCTATTAAATTTCTTTGTTGGTGGGTAAACTGAAGTTGCTGGTTTGTTTATTAATTACCTTTCTGCTTTGGGTACAAATAACCTTTTGGACCCAAACCAGATTTAATCACTAGCAACTCCAACTTACCGTAAATCCTTGTGGCCCTCCATCTTTTACGTGATAAATTCCACTACCGGCTTGAAACAGAAATGTTCCACTTCCTTGGTGATAATCGTAAGAAGCAATTCCGACTGTTCCAATGCGTTTTCTTTCTCTTAATAGTTCTTCTTCTCGAGAATACATTCCATAGTCCAGTGTTGCCTAATGTGAAAGGAAAGTCACCTATTCCAGTCTTCTGAAAAACCATCTTTTGCTTTTAGCACTGAAATCCTAGAATCTCCAACATTATTGACTCTTTTTTTTTTTTTTTTTTTTTTGAGACAGAGTTTCACTCTGTCACCCAGGCTGGAGTGCAGTGGAGCGATCTTGGCTCACTGCAAGCTCTGCCTCCCGGGTTCACACCATTCTCCTGCCTCAGCCTTCCTAGTAGCTGGGACTACAGGCGCCCGCAACCACGCCCAGCTAATTTTTTGTGTTTTTAGTAGAGACGGGGTTTCACCGTGTTAGCCAGGATGGTCTCCATCTCCTGACCTCGTGATCCGCCTGCCTCGGCCTCCCAAAGTGCTGGGATTACAGGCGTGAGACACCGCGCCTGGCGACTCTACATTTTTTTTTTCAGCCTTCTAATTCACTGAGCACAGTCTGCAGGTTAAGTGACCCCAAAATTTGCTGGCAACTTTAAGCAGATTAATTTTAGGAAGTCTGCTGAAAGATTTCCTAGTAAAGAGTCTTTAGATGATTACTGTATACATTAGAGAACAAGAATAAAGTCCAATCATGTTAGCATTCAAGACTTTCTACAACTTAACTATAATTTAGTAGCCAGCATGCAATTAAGAGCACAGACTTCTAAGTCAAGTGGTTTGAATCCAAGCTTTGACCCTTCACTAGAAGTCTAACCTTGAGAAAGTAGCTTAATTTATTCAAAAGTAATTTTCTTCATTTTCAAAATAGTAATAAATCATCTATATCAGCTTTGTGAAGATTAATTTAGATAAAATATGTACAATGTTTAGCACAATGACTGACACAGAGTAAGCTCTCAAATTTGTCAGCTGTTATTAAAACCTTTCCACTACACTAGCAATACTCCTCTTAATAAAACCTTAGAGGTCAAGCTGGTCACATCACTGATCTGAATAAAACTCAATGAGTGGTTTTCTGTCTCCTGGTCTTTGTCTGTTCTACCCCTCTTCCCTGGACTCTTGGAAGAATGTTTTTCTTTCTACCTATCCCAGTTTACTTATACCCCAAAACCTTGCTTGAATTCTCAGCTAGCAAAGTTTTCCAATTCACTATTTCACAGTGATTTCTTTCTTTCTTTCTTTGAGACAAAACTCTCACTCTGTTGCCCAGGCTGGAGTGCCGTGGCGTGATCTCAGCTCACTACAACCTCTGCCTCCTGGATTCAGGTGATTCTCATGCCTCAGCCTCCTGAGTAGGTGGGATTACACACTTGTGCCACCACGCCCAGCTAATATTTTGCATTTTTAGTAGAAATGGAGTTTCGCCATGTTGGCCAGGCTGGTCTCAAACTCCTGGCCTCAAGTGATCTGCCCACCTCCGCCTCCCAGCATTGGGATTACAGGTGTGAGCCACCAAGCCTGGCCCTCATGAAAGAAGTGATTTCTTTCATTTATGTCCTAAATTATTTATAGGAGTTACTGTCTGTTACTTATTTAACTATGGTATTGTTTTTCACTTTTTCAGGATATTTGCTAAATGGAAAAAAAAAAAAAACTTCAGAGCAGAATCTCTGTGATTTTCTTTTCCTACTTAAAACATATTTGTTATAATGTCTCTCAAAGAAAGTTTGTGGCTGGGCGTGGTGGCTCATGCCTGTAATCCCAGTACTTTAGGAGGTCAAGGCAGGTGGATCACCCGTGGTCAGGAGTTCAAATCCAGCCTGGCCAACACAGTGAAACCTCGCCTCTACTAAAAATACAAAAATTAGCCGAGCATGCTGGTGCGCATCTGTAGTCCCGGCTACTCAGAAGGCTGAGGCAGGAGAATCACTTGAACCTGGGAGGCGGAGGTTGCAGTGAGCCAAGATCACGCCACTGCATTCCAGCCTGGGCAACAGAGCAAGAAAGTGTCTCAAAAAAAAAAAATAATAAGATAAAATAAAATAAAATTCTACTTAAAATGTTATTTAAAAAATAGGCTGACCCAATAGTAGTGGGTTATCGGAACTTATTAACATTAGTGTCACTAAAGTTGGTATACAACCCCTAACTGCTACATTTGACTGACATTAAAATAAAAAAAGAAAACAAAAATACTTAGTAGTAAATTTAACCAAAGAAGAGCAAGACGTGTATATGGGAAACTGTAAAACACTGTTCAAAGAAAGTAAAGATCTAAATAAATAGAAAGACATCACGTATGCATGGATTGGAAGACAGAGTAAATGCGTATCAAAATTCCAAATGCCTTTTTTCCAGATATAGACAAGCTGACCCTAGTAATATTCATACAGAATTGCAAGAGACACAGAATACCCAAAACAATCTTGAAACACCATTAATTATTATTATTATTTTTTTTGAGATGGAGCCTTGCTCTGCTGCCCAGGCTGTAGTGCAATGGCGCGATCTCGGCTCACCGCAACCTCTGCCTCCCGGGTTCAAGAGATTCTCCTGTCTCAGCCTCCAAGTATCTGGGATTATATGCATGCACAACCATGCTCGGCTAATTTTGTATTTTTAGTAGAGACGGGGTTTCTCCATGTTGATGAGGCTGGTCTCAAACTCCTGATCTCAGGTGATCCACCAGCCTCAGCCTCCCAAAGTGCTGGGATTACAGGCGTGAGCCACCATGCCCAGCCTGAAGTATTTCTTTATTGTTGATTACTTTTTTCTTTCTTTTCTTTTTTTTTTTGAGACAGAGTCTCCCTTGGTCACCCTAGCTGGAGTGCAGAGGTGCCATCTCAGCTCACTGCAACCTCTGCCTCCCTGGCTCATGCGATTCTCCTGCCTCAGCCTCACAAGTAGCTGGGATTACAGGCGCTGCACCCCCACCGCCCTACCTGACTAATTTTTATTTATTTATTATTATTTTTTGAGATGAAGTCTTGCTCTGTCACTCAGGGTAGAGTGCAGTGGCACGATTTAAGCTCACTGCAACCTCTGCCTCCCGGGTTCAATCGATTCTCCCACCTCAGCCTCCCGAGTAGCTAGGATTACAGGCACCTGCCATCATGCCTGGCTTATTTTTTTATATTTTTAGTAGAGATGGGGTTTCACCATGTTGGCCAGAGTGGTCTTGAACTCCTGACTTCAAGTGATCCACCCGCCTCAGCCTCCCAAAGTGCTGAGATTACAGGCATAAGCGACCGCACCTGGCCTTTTCTGTATTTTTTTTAGTAGAGATGAGGTTTCACCATGTTGGTCAGGCTGGTCTCGAACTCCTGGCCTCAAGTGATCCACCCTCCTTGGCTTCCCAAAGTGCTGTGATTACAGGCATCAGCTACTGTGCCTGGCCCTTTTTAAAAAAAATTGCGGGCCGGGTGCAGTGGCTCACGCCTGTAATCCCAGCACTCAGGGAGGCTGAGGTGGGAGGATCACCTGAGGTCGGAAGTTCAAGACCAGCCTGACCAACATGGAGAAACCCCTTCTCTAATAAAAAATACAAAATCATCCGGGTGTGGTGGCGCATGCCTGTAATTCCAGCTACTTGGGAGGCTGAGGCAGGAGAATCCCTTGAACCCAGGAGGCAGAGGTTGCGGTGAGCTGAGATCGTGCCATTGCACTCCAGCCTGGGCAACAAGAGTGAAACTCCATCTCAAAAAAAAAAAAAAAAATTGTGGTAGGGCCGGGTGCAGCGGCTCACGCTTGTAATTCCAGCACATTGGGAGGCTGAGGTAGGCAGATTACAAGGTCAAGAGATTGAGACCATCCTGGCCAACATGGTGAAACCCTGTCTCTACTAAAAATACAAAAATTAGCTAGGCCTGGTGGCGCACGCTATAGTCCCAGCTACTTGGGAGGCTGAGGCAGGAGAATCGCTTGAACCTGGGAGGCGGAGGTTGCAGTGAGCTGAGAACGCGCCACTGCACTCCAGCCTGGCGACAGAGCAAGATTCCGTCTCAAAAAAAAAAAAAAAAAAACTGTGGTAGAACATGCTGGGTGGGGTGGCTCACACCTATTATCCTAGCACTTTGGAAGGTCAAGGTGGGAGGATCGCTTGAGCTCAGGAGTTTGAGACCACCCTGGGCAGCACAGTGAGACCCTGTCTCTACAAAACATTTAAAAGATTAGCTGGCAATGGTGCCATATGCCTGTAGTCCCAGCTACTCAGGAGGCTGAGGCAGGATTGCCTGAGCTCAGGAAGTTAAAGCTGCAGTGAGCTGTGATCACACACCACTGTATTCCAACTTGGGTGACAGAGTGAGATGCTGTCTCAATTAAAAAAAGAATTTGTATACTTTAGAGATACATACTGATATATTTCAGGAATGACATATCTGGTATCTTCTTTAAAACTGTCTGAGCAGGGCCGGGCGCGGTGGCTCACACCTGTAATCCCAGCACTTTGGGAGGCCGAGGCAGGCGGATCACGAGGTCAGGAGATTGAGACTATCCTGCCTAACACAGTGAAACCCCGTCCGTACTAAAAATGCAAAAAATTAGCTGGGCATGGTGGTGGGAGCCTGTAGTCCCAGCTACTAGGTAGGCTGAGGCAGGAGAATGGTGTGAACCCGGGAGGAGGAGCTTGCAGTGAGCTGAGATGGCACCACTACACTCCAGCCTGGGCGATAGAGTGAGACTCTGTCTCAAAAAAAAAAAAAATAGTCTGAGCAGTAGGCTGTGGGGGGTTGTGAGGGGAAGTTAGTAGGGCTACAATCAACACTGATGCCTAAGATTTAATCCTTGTTGAAAATATTTCACGTTATTCCACTTTTGTATGCTTTAAAAATTTCCATTATAAAAGTTTAAAACAGTTTTGCCAATTTTTCTGAGAAAATTATCGTTATTTCAGTTAAAGACACTGGTCTCAGAATAAGAAATTTTTTGTTTTAAAGAAAAGTCACATGCCTATGTAAAGGGCAATGTTCATGACAAATAGTTGGAGTGAAAATGATTAGTTGTGGCCAGGTGCAGTGGCTCACACCTGTAATCCCAGCACGTTGGGAAGCTGAGGCGGTGGATCACTTGAGGCCAAGAGTTCGAGACCAGCCTGGGTGACATGATGAAACCCCGTCTCTACTGAAAATACAAAAATTAGCCAGGCATGGTGGTGTGCACCTGTAATCCCAGCTACTTGGGAGGCTGAGGCAGGAGAATCGCTTGAATCTGGGAGGCAGAAGTTACAGTGAGCCAAGATTGCGCCACTGCGCTCCAGCCTGGGTTGCAGAGCAAGACTGTGTCTCAAAAAAAAAAAAAAAAGATTAGTTGTTATAAAAGTTTTTTTTTTTTAATTTCTATGAGAAACAGCACATTCATGTTATTCAATTAAGAAATACTCGGCCAAGGCCGGTGCGGTGGCTCACACCTGTAATCCCAGCACTTTGGGAGGCCGAGGCAGGCAGATCACGAGGTCAGGAGATCGAGACCATCCTAGCTAACACGGTGAAACTGTGGCTCTACTAAAAATACAAAATTAGCTGGGCGTGGTGGCGCATGCCTGTAATCCCAGCTACTTGGGAGTCTGAGGTAGGAGAATCGCTTGAACCCGGGAGGCGGAGGTTGTAGTGAGCCAAGACTGCGCCATTGAACTCCAGCCTGGGCAAGAAGTGCAAAACTCCGTCTCAAAAAAAAATGATAATAATAAATAAATAAATACTCACTGTAAAAATAATAATGAGAACCAAAGAAGCAAACGATTGTACCGAAACATTATCTTTGGGATATTTTCAACAATTTACTTTCTTATCTAAAGATAAAATCGGCCAGGTGAGGTGGCTCACGCCTGTAATCTCAGCACTGTGGGAAGCCGAGGCAGGCAGATTGCTTGAACCCAGAAGTTTGAGAGTTTGAGACCAACCCGGACAACATAGCAAGACCCCATCTTATTAAACATATATATATGTAAACATATATACATATAAACATATACATAACATATATAAAATATATAAACATATAAACATATGTGCACTGAAATCCTGGAATCTGTTTATATATTATACATATATAAACATATATATGTTTAAAAACTATTATATATATATGTTAAATAGTTTTTAATAAGAAAAAATAAAGATAAAATATTGGGGGAAATAAAACCCCAACCTTTGATTTTACATAAATGGAATTATACTATTCAGAAGGTAAAACTGAACTTTGTACCTTTATTTTAGTGCTGTTACTGAGCTTTAGAAATACAAAATCAATTAAAATATATAAATAAGCCTTTCTGGAAATATTTATCAGTTCTTTTCTGTGAACAACTCCTTTAAAAAATGTGAGAACTACGTAAGTACAAAGTTTATGAAGGGAAATGCAGTTAAACAGGGAGAAAGCAGTTTAAAAAATTGAATTTTATTATCTCAGTTTCAGATATCAAGAATTAAATGGAATTTCAGGGTCATACATGCAAAAACATAAAAACATCTTAATTTTTTTTATTTACATCTACTTCAAATATAAAATCCCAACCTCTAAATAAATGCAGTATCTGAATACATACACCAAATCATAGGAATAACAACATTTAATCCTACCTGAAAAAGATCCAAAAGAGGCTTCCAAGAGAGCATTAAGACTGCTGCTCTATTGATAGTTTTGGGAATTTCAGAATAAAACAGTGTATTTTCTCTGTTCTCACCAGACATGGCTATAGGAGAAAGCAATCATTTATTATTATTTTTTCGAATAGCATTCTTACTACAGTCACAGTTGCAAGTACATAATGCCTTCTATACACTGCAATATTTTGCACTCTATGGGATATATAATGAATGTTAACAAGTAGAATGTGCTTATGCCATATGCCATAAAAATTTTCAATAAAACCAAGGCTAGCCTGGCACAGTACACATGCCTATAATCCCAGCTACTTGGGAGGCTACAGTGGGAGGATCACTTGAACCTAGGAATTCAAGACCAGCCTGGGTAACATAGCAAGATCCCAACTTAAAAAAAAAAAAAAAAAAAAGAAATCTGAGGCTTTAAAGAAAAATGCTCAGGTTTCATTTTGGTATTCAGATCTTAGTCCCTCTCAAAATAAATATAAAAGTATGTAAGTTGCTGTGTAGAGAAAAGTACCATTTTCAGAATTTTTTGAAAATTGTGAGTCCTTTACAAGTTGGCAACAGGCTCATGAGATTCCAATATAACAACTTCAGATTACTGTTTCTGAAACATTTAAAGTGCTTAATTGGAAACACATAGATCTAACTGAATTCTAGTTTTTATTCATTATAAAAGTTCTGTAGGCTGGGCGTGGTGGCTCATGCTTGTAGTCCCAGCACTTTGGGAGCCCGAGGCAGGCAGATCATTTGAGATCAGGAGTTTGATACCAGCCTGGCCAACATGATGAAACCTTGTCTGTACTAAAAATACAAAAAAATTAGCTGGGCGTGGTGGCACGTGCCTGTAATCCCAGCTATTTGGGTGGCTGAGGCAGGAGAATTGCTTGAACCCAGGAGACGGAGATTGCAGTGAGCCGAGATCACACCACTGCACTCTGGCCTGGGCAACAGAGCAAGACTCCGTCTCAAAAAAAAAAAAGTTCTGTAACTATAATCATTAATAAGACCTTTAGGGTTTCCAATAAAACTATACTAATATTAAAACAATACAGAATCTGGCAACTGATCTGCTGAAAATCTCTTTGTCCTTTATTGGGGAAGGGCAAAGGAAAAAGGTCTAAATTAAGTAGAAGCCAAATCTCTTCTGCAAAATCATGTGATAACTGGATGGGAAGGTCACAGCAGTGTAGAGTGAGTTACATATAAAAGATTGACAGAAACACACTATGGTTATGAAGATATGAACCAAAGAAAACATAAGGTAAAACAAAGCCTTTCTATTCTAAAAAGGTATTACTGGCCGGCCGAGGTGGCTCACACCTGTAATCCCAGCACTTTGGGAGGCTGAGGTGGGCGGATTACCTGAGGTCAGGAGCTCGAGACCAGCCTGACCAACATGGAGAAACCCTGCCTCTACTAAAAATACAAAATTAGCCAGGCGTGGTGGCACATGCCTGTAATCCCAGCTACTCGGGAGGCTGAGGCAGGAGAATCACTTGAACCCGGGAGGCAGAGGTTGCAATAAACCGAGATCACGCCACTGCACTCCAGCCTGGGCAACAGGGGCAAAACTCCATCTCAAAAAAAAAAAGGGGTATTGCTTCCAAAAAGCTGGAGGAGTGAAGGAAGGAAAACATAAATCACACAAAAATAACAAGAAATCTCCTGGGTGAAAGAGATCCTCAACCTATGTTTCTGAATTATTAATGCCAGCAGAAGGTAGCCTCGGGAAAGGTATTTATGATAACTCCCATGCTAACCCTTGCAAATGTTGAGGATAAGCCCCCAAATAACCATATCTTTTTTTATCCTCTTATTTTTCTAATTAGTTTATGTTGCCTTTGGAGTAAAAAGTTATATATCAGCTGACATTTACTTCAGCACTCAATTTTGTGTAAAATCTACTTTGTAGATTCCCAAGTTGCTTTGCTATAGAATTCTTAAGACTGTGGTCACCTATCAATACCATTCACAATTTTACAAAATGTGATCCTTCTAAGAGCCTTCAGTCTTCAAATATTAAAACAAAAAGACAAAACTGGTTTTCTTCTCTCCTCAGTAACAGCCATTCCCCCACAATCATTTCAGTTGCCCCTCCCTATATGCTCCTAGTTCCATAATGTCTGCCTTGGCTTTATCCATGACCAGTAAAAATTTCCCCAGCACATTCTATGTTCTGACATAAGCACAAATGGGCTTTTCTCATTCTTTCCTAATGGTATTTATTGGTCTTTAGAGCTACAGCAGTCATTTTGGGCCCATGTCTTCAGGCAACAGTATCAATGAGTCTTGTTTCTCTTTAGGATAGCATGACAAAGAACAAGAGGCAAAATTAAGCATGTGATGAAGTAAAATGCTAATGTAACGAAATGCTTGTTACTAAATAATAGAGCTTCTTCTAAGCATACCACGTTTGGAATAAGGGCTCTCAAAAATGTATGATTTCTTATAAAAGAAAAGATTTCTGGCCAGGTGTAGTGGCTCACATCTGCAATTCCAGCACTCTGGGAGGCTGAGGTGGGTAGACAGCTTGAGCTCAGGAGTTTGAGATGAGCCTGAGCAACATGGTGAAACCCAATCTCTACCAAAAATACAAAAATTAGCTGGGCATAGTGGTATGTGCCTATAGTCCCAGCTACTTGGGAGGCTGAGATGGGAGGATGGCTTAAGCCTGGGAGGTGGAGGTTGCAGTTAGCCAGGATCACACCACTGCACTCCAGCCTGGGCAACAGAGTGAGACCGCCATCTCAAAAAAAACAAAAAACAAAAAAGGCCAGGTGCAGTGGCTCACGCCTGTAATCCTAGCTGAGGCAGGCAGATTGCTGGAGCTCAGGAGTTCCAGATCAGCCTGGACAACATGGCGAAACCCGTCTCTACAAAAAAAAATACACAAATTAGCTGGGCATGGTGGCACACGCCTGTAGGCCCAGCCACTTGGGGGATTGAGGCGGGAGGATCACTTCAGCCTGGGAGGTCAAGGATGCAGTGAACCAAGATCATGCCACTGTACTCCAGCCTAGAAGACTGAGACCCCGTCTCAAAAAATAATAATAATTAATAATTAATTTAAAAAATAAGCAAACTTGGGACAATCCCACAAAGGATTAATTCACTTACTATATAAAAGGCTTCAAATCATTAAGAAAAAGAAACCCTCTTCAGGGGTTGGGTGGAAAAAGAACTTTAAAAAATAAAAAAGAAACCCAAACCAATTAAAAAACCAAAGATTATAGACTGTGAATGTACAGAAGAGAAATACAAATGGCTTTTTTTTTTCTTTACTTGAGACGAAGTCTCGCTCTGTCATCCAGGCTGGAGTGCAGTGGCACCATCTCAGCTCACTGCAACCTCCACCTCCCAGGATCAAGCAATTCTCCTGCCTCAGCCTCCCAAGTAGCTGGGATTACAAGTGTGTACTACCACGCCTGACTAATTTTTGCATTTTTAGTAGAGACGCGGTTTCACCATGTTGGTGAGGCTGGTCTCAAACTCCTGACCTCAAGTGATCCGCCAGCCATAGCCTCCCAAAGTGCTGGGAATACAGGTGTGTGCCACTGCGCCCAGCCACAAACGGCTTTTTAAGCATGTGAAATGATGCTCAACCTCACTCATAAGAGAAATAAAATAAAAACAATGAGAAACTGCTGTTCGCTAATCTGACTGGGAAAGATCAAAAAGTTTAATTACTCACTACTGGTGTATGCATGGAGAAATAGATAATCGGAGATAATGTCATGGTAGTATACACTCTATAACCTCTTTGAAAGGGGAGTTCAGTAATATCAATCAAAATTCAAAATATATATACCCTTTTTCCCAGTACTTCCACTCTTAGGAATTAGTTCTACAGATATATTCATACATGTGCAAAATGATCTAATACAGTGATATTCACTTCCTCATCTTTTGTAACAACAGATTAGAAAAACCTAAATGCCATTACTGGAGGTCTGGTTAAGTAAAATATGGCACAATTATATAATGGAATATTCTGAGTTGTTAAAAAAGAAAGAATCCTAGCCTGAGCAACATGGCAAAACTCCATCTCTACAAAAAAATTCAAAACATTAGCTGGTTGTGGCAGCGTGTGACCATTATTAGAGGTCTGGTTAAGTAAAATATGGCACAATTATATAATGGAATGTTACGAAGTTTTTAAAAAAAAAATGAATCGCAGCTTGAGCAACATGGCAAAACTCCATCTCTATTAAAAAAAAAACAAAACAACAAAACATTAGCTGGCTGTGGTGGCGTGCACCTGTAGTCCCAGCTTGGGAGGACTGTTTGAGCCTGGGAGGTCAAGGCTGCAGTGAGCCATTAGTGTGCCACTGCACTCCAACCTGGGTGACAGAGTGAGACCCTGTCTCAAAAAAAAAAAAAAAAAAACTATAATTATGACATGAACTCATGCAGACATCTTTAATATCTCCATACACACATACATACACACACCACACACACACACAAATAAATAAACACATATACACACACATTCACATAAACGAATAAAATTTATATTGGAAATATTTTGGAGGAGGGGAAGGAACCTACCTTTAAAAATTTAACAAACAAGAAAGTAAATCAGTAGATTAACATATTTAACATAGGCAGACATTAAATCTGGAGTGAATGGATTCAGGAAGAAGAGACCAAAAACAGCCTTGGATTAAAAAAACAAAAGCAGCAGCTGTTGAGTGGGAACAAACTAATGGTTTTATTGTTTGTTTTCCTAATCAGACCATCTAAAGAAAGGCATTTCAAGCTAGCTTTAGGAAGAAGCAATTTCTGGCATCTTCGATTTTGAAAAACGATCATGATCAATTAATGACTTGTTACCTACAAGTAAAAATAAAGTTAATGCGATACAACAAAATCGAATTCTTCAAATTATAGGCTTTTCTTTAATGAAACCAAAAGTCACTGATTAATTTATTCATCAAACTTTTGAGTGTCAATTATACCTAGACTTTAAGTTTGACTTAAGAGATCATTTTCTCTCAGAAACTACAACTTCGTACTCACCAAGGTAATAGATTCTGTCTGAATGAGGTCCATCTGGATCATTCCTCTTCACAAACATGAAATCATGTGGTGCCTTAGCCATCATGTAGCCATGATATTTTCTGGTATCGGCAAGCAGCTTTTTAAGCTGACTCCAGGAATACCGCTCAACATAAAAAGGCTCCAATTTAGGCCGATCCTGTGATTCAATATTCTCCTCACAGTCCGCAGTTTCAAATATCTCAACACCCAGCTGTTCTGTTTCCATTGCTGCTGCCATGTTGCATTTTCCTAGAAAAACAAGGCACATGAAGCTGTTCACGGGTCTATCTTCTATTATCAGAATGATTCTCTGAGAGGGTCAAAAAAAAAGCGGGGGAGTGGGGAGGGCAAGAAAAAAATGCTTTTTAGCACAGCTGCAATGAAACTTAGTAAGAAAAGCAACAGCTCTCCCTTCTCTGTGTTCAGTTTAAAAATGAAATTAAAAAAAAATTGAGGTCAGGTCTACTTCACAGTGCCTATAAATCCCTTTGGTAGCTTTTATAAAAGGCTCTCCTTAGGTATTTCTTGCCAAAACTCCCTTTTCTTTCCCACACTGGAAGGAAACAGGCCATTTGCCAGTTGGCTGCTATGCTCCACCCAAGAGCACGTCAATAGTGAAGCTAACTCTGCCAAGGAAGCTAAGTGTTTTGCATTTTAAAAAGTAACACATTTGGTAAGTGTGGATTTTTTTCAGCTAACAGAAATAACCACAACAAATGAGAACGGTAATAAAATTGTCAAAAATAACGTGCATGTAATAACCTTCCTAGGGTACTTACCCAAGATAATATATTGTTTCCTTTTAAATGGAAAGCCAAACAAAACACTTAACTGGCTGATGCATTTCTGAGTCTTCTGCTCTTGCTAGACATCACTATCATGATCATTTGTGGTGACTCTACATTTTTTTTTTTTTGAGACGGAGTCTCGCTCTGTTACCCAGACTGGAGTGCGGTGGCAAAATCTTGGCTCTTTGCAAGCTCCGCCTCCCAGGTTCACGCCATTCTCTGCCTTAGCCTCCCCAGTAGCTGGGATTACAGGCATGCACCACAACGCCCGGCTAATTTTTTGTATTTTTAGTAGAGATGGGGTTTCACTGTGTTAGCCAGGATGGTCTTGATCTCCTGACCTTGTGATCCACCCGCCTCGGCCTCCCAAAGTGCTGGGATTACAGGCATGAGCCACCGCGCCCAGCGTGGTGACTCTGTATTTTAAGGAAATTTACATGACTATTCTTACCAATCATACAACATATACTGATTAAATGGCAGGAAAAAAAGATACTATCTTAAAGTGGCTTTAATTAGCTGAAGTAGTTGATACAGAAAGCATTTAATATTTGTACCAACAGTATTTAGATAAAAAGTATAAACTGGGGTTTACCGGTTCAACCCCTAAATAGTGTTTGTTAATATCTCATCTGCTAATGTTTATTCTCATTTCACAAATCCAGAAGTTGCATTTCTCCTTTATCTTTTCCAACATTTAACATGAGCGAAGTACCAAATAACAAAAAGTGTTATCACAAACCAGTGTGTATTCCAACATATATTATTCATGACACTGCCAAAAAGAAGGAACATAAAAATTCTGGGCAATCTACTCTTTTTGAACTAATAAATGTCAAAGACATGTGGACTTGGGAGATAAACTAAATTGCATTTAATTATTAACTACTTCTATAATAATAAATACAAGGCTGTACATTTAATATATCTTTTTTAAAGCCCAAATTTGAAGGCTAACATAAATTCATAGTAACTATCACAGACTAAAAGTTATTAGCAGGTATGGATTGTGAATTAGTCCATTAAGCACACGTTACTGGCATGCCAAAGAACTGAATGAAGTGTGTGTGCAGCTTATTTTGTCTTTTTTCATGCTACAGTTACCTATGTTACCATTTTCAATATAACAGTAACAAAGTGGCCAGAAAACCTATTAGACAGTTACCAGGTATGCTTGTATCATTGTAACAAATGAGCATTCACTTTCAATGACTAAAATCCAAAACAGCTTGGCAGGGAATTAAGTCATTTAGTTCAAGGAGTATCCAGCACACTGATATTTACTGACAGTATAAGACTGTGGTGGTTATATACTATCATATGTTGTTTACTTGCCCTAATAAAAGCTAGCTAGTGGAGGCCTACTTTCTACCAAATGTCAACGGAACCAGTTTTGTTGTTGTTGCTGTTTTTGTTTTGTTTTGAGGCAGAGTCTTGCTCTGTCACCCAGGGTAGAGTGCAGTGGCGCGAGATCTCGGCTCACTGCAAACTCTGCCTCCCAGGTTCAAGCAATTCTCCTGCCTCAGCTTCCCGAGTAGTTGGGATTACAGGCACCCGCCATCGTGCCCAGTTAATTTTTGTATTTTTTAGTAGAGACGGGGTTTCACCATCTTGGCCAGGCTGGTCTTGAACTCCTGACCTCATGATCCACCCGCCTTGGCCTCCCAAAGTGCTGGGATTACAGGTGGGAGCCACCGTGCCCGGCCAACGGACCCAGTTTTATATCTAACAGACTGAGGGACAAATGAGAAAAGAACCTATACAAACTGGGCTCATTTTTCTCAACTTCTCTTGTGTTACGTTTGGAAGTTCACCTGCAAACCAGTGCTTGCAAGAATAGGGCTGGGGAACAGAATAGGGAAGCTCAACAGAAAGACCTCCTCCCAAGCCTTACTGTCCAGTTTATTTTTTTTAGACAAGTCTCACTGTTGCCCAAGCTGCAGTGCAGTGGTACAGCCTTGAACTCCTGGAATCAGAGGATCCTTATGCCTCAGCCTCCTGAGCAGCTAAGACCACAGGAATGCATCACCATGCCTGGCTAATTTTTTAAAACTTTTTTGTAGAGATGGGGGTCTCACTATGTTGTACAGGCTGGGATTATAGGTGTGAGTCACCGCGCCTGGCCATGCCCAGCTTCTTATTATTCACGTCACATCTTTCTTATGCAAAATGTACATTAGCTTACATTTAAATTATCTGGTATTCCTGAATCGTACTAAGCCCTGGACACTCTATGCATACACATGCATACTTGCGTGTACATGTACAAACATTGTACAGTCCAAATGATGGTCTCCTATTCTGTAAGTTCACAGCAAATGTCCATCCTGCATTTCTAAAATATACCTGATATTATATAATATTGGTAATCTGTGCAGATGTTTGGTAAATGACTTAATTCCTGATTATATACAAACACATTCTCAAAATAGGTGACCTGAATTTTCTAATGTCAAAAATAGGAAAATAGGGTCAGTGTACCTTCTCAGCACAGTGCATATATTTCACTGCCCCACCTACCTCGTCACTTAAGTAGTTTCCCTGGTGCCTACCTGATTTTATTTTCATCTGCTCAGATCTCTTCCACATTCAAAGAGATCTTTTTCAAGTGACTCGACTTCAAGCATAGAATCCCTCTGCTCATCCTGCTCTTCTCACAGGAATCTTTCCTTTCCTCACCATCAAAGCCTGCTCACCAGGATAATGAAATAAGATAAGACTTTGATCATTAAGATGGACCATATGTGGCCAAAAAGAGAAGCCCCAAAATAGTAGTTAAAACTGATACCAAAATATCACTTTTTGGGGCAATATATAATGCCTACATTATTTTGTATCTGCGTTTTATGTTATCAGAATTCAAGAATTATTTTATTTCAGAGATGTGTAGCCCAATATAGTCAAAAGAATATCCTAACATAGCAAACTTTGGTGTCCAGACAAAGGAAAACCATGGAAAGGCTTTAAAAAGTTACAAAAGGCATACAGATGTGAAGTTACTCAGTGACTATTGCAAATCATCAAAAACGGCATATGATTAATAAAATTTATTTTTATGTGCCTATTCCTGTTCCTCTTTTACATAATAATGTCATATCAAGCTGGATGGAGATAGAATTAACTCAGGAGGATAGCCAGTAAGAGTTACAGGCCATTTTTGCAGAAAGGGAATTAACTTGAATTTAATAACTTAAGACTTTTCACGAGATAAACAATTTTCTATTCATCTTAAGTGCATTCCATTTTCTTGCTGCATTACTCTGAGAATAATTTAAATAGGTAACTTTTCTGGAAAAAGAAGCATTAAACTTGTTGAAATTCTGGCTTAGGAAAAAAAAAAAAAGGAAGGTCTGCTATTACATCTGTTACTCTATAAGTTTTAATTTTGGGCTCCCATAGCCCAAGTAGGTGATGAAGGGATGGGGTGGGAAAAGCTAAGTGGCAAGTGCAGGAAAAACAGCGAGGTTATGCCAGCACAGCAACAATGGACTAAGATGTCAAGACACCTCATAGCACTAAGCCCCTCACTCAGAAATAGAGCATGTTGACTCAGAAAATAGCTTTAGGACTCTTGAGTTTGGATCCACTCAAGTGAAATTCCTTAATTTTTAACTCAAGGGCCAAACAGCCGTCCACTTAAACACCTAAAGCCTCACTGAAGCCTAGCTATCTCATTCTTTAGGGTCCACACCTAGTTGAGAGATTCAATAGCACAGAGGGGGCAAAGACCTTGAAAAACTATGAATGAGGAACAAGAGGAGAGGCATAGCAGAGAATATTGAGAAGAGAGATGGGAGGAATGCCAAGTCTTAGAAGAAAAGTGTGTGAGAAGACAGGTGTGGCAGGAAAGGAAAGTGTCCTGCTGCGAGTGGGTGGAACAGAATGGGAGAGGGCAGTGAGCAGGGAGGGAATCGACCTAGCATGAGGCAGGAGAGAAAAAAGACCACCAGCTGAAAAACCAGAAAATCTGAGGCCGAAGCCCATCTGCCAAGTCGGACTTAAGGAAAATCCCTTCGCCTCTGTGGGCTTCCGTTTCCTCATCTGTAAGCGCTGACAATACCCGGCCTCCCAACCCCAGCGAGACTCAATTAAGATAACGGACGTGGAAGCCAGGAGGCCAGCGCCCAGAGCTCAAGGGGCGCCCAGTGAACGGTGGTTGACTCGGAATCTCAGAGCCTCGGCTTCCTCTTCCGGCAAGTGGGGGGGAGGGGGGAAGGGCACCACCGGCTCTGCACTGGGCAGGGCGGCGCGCCGGGTAAACCGCAAAGCGCGCTGACCCTGAGAACGCGCCGAGCAGTCCCTCCGTGAGGCGGAAAGGGCCTGGTGAGCCGTGGCCCAGGCCTCGCCGGCGCAGGAGAAGGAGAAGGGGGCGGATACTGCACCTTCCCCCCGGCCCCGCCCGGACCGTCCCGACGTGCGCTATGGAGCGGGCCTGCGCCGCTTCATGCTGCGCCGCCTCCACTCCGGTCCTGGTTGCAGTGGCTTCCTCGGCGGCGGCGCCGGTGACAACCCAGGCGGCGAACGCGGCACTAAGAAGCAGCGGCGGCAGTAGCAGCGGCCTTGGCCTCGGAGGCTTTAGCACTTCCGGTTCGTTGCGATCCGCTTTCCGACTGGCGAAGGCGCAGCCGGGCCAAGAAGGGCGCCGCTGTCTGCTGGGTGGGGTCCAACACCACAGCGCAGTCTAGTGGCCGGAGGAGCCAAGGAGGCGCGGGGTGGAGACTGGGCCGAGCAGGGGATAGAGATGAACTCCAGAAAGGAACAGCGACTTGCTGAAAGTCACAGGGCAAAATGTGGCGCGTCTGTAGTCAATAAATAATATATATTGAGTGCCTGCTCAAAATAGACAAAATTCCTGTCCATGTGCCAGGCAGAGAGAGCCTTAGACGCTGGGAGCAAACCAGGGTAAATCCCTCCCCTTTCAACGAGATGATATTGAGGAAAGAGACTAGGGCCTTGGAGATCTAAGCGTCTCCTTGTGGTGGAAAGAAATCTGAACCTGGAGTCCGAAACTTGGCTCTAATATTAACTAGCGATCTTTCAGCAGGTCACTCAATCTATTTGAGCCATAATTTCTTTACCTCTAAAAGGGATATAATACATTTCACTTAATTGCAATTAAAGAAAACCAGCTGGGCGTGGAGGCTCACGCCTGTAATACCACACTTTGGGAGGCCGAGGCAGGCGGATCACTTGAGGTCAGGAGTTCGAGACCAGCCTGGCCAACATGGCGAAACCCCATCTCTACAAAAAATTCAAAGCTTAGCTTGGCATGGTGGCGGGCGCCTGCAATCCCAGCTACTACTCAGGAGGCTGAGGAAAGGAGAATCGCTTGAACCCGGAGGCAGAAGTTGCAGTGAGCTGAGATCACGCCACTGCACTCCAGCCTGGGTGACAGAGTGAGACTCTGTCTCAAAAAAAAAAAAAAAAAAGGTATGCACTTTAACACATAAAATGAAGAAACTGGGGCCTAGGGGAAAGAAGTGAATGACTTGTTATAATCAGAGCCAGAGGCAGGTCCCTTGACCTGCAATTTCTTTCCTGGTCTACACTGTATATTGGCTGAGAAAAAGGGAACTCAGGAAGATATCCAGGAAAGTAGCAGGTGTACAACAAAACTGTGCAAAAGCGGGGCCTCCCCTATTTTCTATTATTACAAAGAACAATGTGTCAGAGTCGTGTGTCATTAGGATTTATTATAATAGCACTAATAAAAAATCCATTTGGGTACTATGCTCCACTCCACAGTATATAATTATTCACTCTGAGGTTAAATGAGCCTTCCCTCAGGCTTTTTAAAGTTGAGCTCCCTTAAAAAAAAAAAAAAAAAAAAAGGCAAAGTCATTTTCCTTGGGTCTCTTCTATTAATTTTCTCCAAATGACCTGAGAGCAGATTTTAAAGGCTTTAAATGCACACACAAACACACACACACACAAAATACAGAGAAATATCTTGCACTTCATTAATTCAACAAGTGTTTGCTGAATCTCTGCCTTGTACCTGTCACTGTTTTAAGCAGCGGGGCCACAATAGTGAACAAAGTAGATAAAGCCCCTGTTTTCATGCAGTTTATAGCCTAATAAGAAGAGATAGAGCCCCCTCCCCGCAAAAGCAAACAATTAAAAATATATAATTTCATGCATTTAAAAAAAGAGCCATGGACAGATAAAATACTTGCTTATATCACATAGCTAATTATATATTTGACTAGATTGGAATCTAGATTTCTTTTTTTTAATTTTTATTTATTTTTTTTTGAGATGGAGTCTCAATGTGTCGCCCAGGCTGAAGTGCAGTGGCACCATCTCGACTCACTGCAAGCTCCGCCTCCCAGGTTCACGCCATGCTCCTGCCTCAGCCTCCTCAGTAGCTGGGACTACAGGCACTCACCACCACGCCCGGCTAATTTTTTGTATTTTTTTTAGTAGAAACGGGGTTTTACCACGTTAGCCAGGATGGTCTTGATCTCCTGACTTCGTGATCTGCCCGCCTCGGCCTCCCAAAGTGCTGGGATTACAGGCGTGAGCCACCGCGCCCGGCCAGAGTTCTTGATTTTTATTCTTATTTTCAAACCCTGAGAAAGCTGTAGAGGAACATCTCCACCGTGGAACGCTGGCCACCTTGCATGCATCATAGGCGTAGGCTTGAATCCAGGGATCTCTGACTCTTAGCAGAATGCTGTGTGATGTTCCTAGAATAGAAGAAAACAGGAGGCTGATAGGGACCTGGAGGCAACCTCCTCGGGGAGGCAGTCAGGAGACAGCTTCTCCTCTCCTCACAGTTTCTGATGAGGTGTGGGGCTTTCTCCCCACTCCCTCAGAATAGCACTGCTGAATACAAAATCATCTGGCCGCAGTCTAGAATTGGCTCCCGTTCAACAGGGTATCTCGCAACTCACGTTGCAGTCATCTGGCCCCTTTTGTTTCAGTACAGTTGTCCCTTGGTATCTGCAGGGGATTGGTTTCAGGATTCCTGGCAGATATTAAAATCAGCGGTACTCAAGTCCCTGATATCAAATGGCATAGTATTTGCATGTAACCTATGCACATCCTCCTCTCATATATTACTTTTTTTTTCTTTGGTGACAGTCTCACTGTGTCACCCAGGCTCTGGAGTGCAGTGGTGTGATCTTAGTTCAGCTCACTGCAACCACCTCAGTCTCCCAAGTAGCTGGAATTACAGGCGTGTGCCACCACGCCCAGCTAATTTTTGTATTTTTAGTAGAGACGGGGTTTCACCACATTGGCCAGGCTGGTCTCAAACTCCTGACCTCAAGCGATCTACCCACCTCACTTCCCAAAATGCTGGGATTATAGCTGTGAGTCACTGCGCCTGGCTGACTTTTTTTTTTTTTAATTGAGACAAAGTCTCGCTGTGTCGCCCAGGCTGGAGTGCAGTGGTGCAACCTTGGCTCACTGCAACTCCTGCCTCCTGGGTTCAAGCAATTCTCCTGCCTCAGCCTCCTGAGAAGCTGGAATTACAGGCACCCACCACCATGCCTGGCTAATTTTTTGTATTGTTTGTTTCCTTTGAGACAGAGTCTCGCTCTGTTGCCAGGCTGGAGTTCAGTGGCGCGATCTCGGCCCACTGCCACGTCCACCTCCGGGTTCAAGCAATTCTCCTGCCTCAGCCTCCTGAGTAGCTGGGATTACAGGCATCTGCCACCACACCTGGCTAATTTTTGTATTTTTAGTAGAGATGGGGTTTCACCATGTTGGCCAGGCTGGTCTTGAACTCCTGACCTCATGTGATCCACCTGCCTCGGCCTCCCAAAGTGCTGGGATTACAGGTGAGAGCCACCGTGTCCAGCCTATTATTTTTTTATATCAGTTTTTTTCTAAATACTTTTGACCCGAGGTAGGTTGAATCCCAGATGTAGAACCCACAGATACAGAGTCAACTGTATTGTCGTTTTTGATGTATGAGACAAGGATCACAAGCATCTATCACCATTGTGCATTTTTCCTTTTGCACTGTATGTAAGTAATAAACTACCTGAATCTAAAAGTGGCTTGGCCGGGCACAGTGGCTCACGCCTGTAATCCCAGCACTTTGGGAGGCCGAGGCGGGCAGATCACGAGATCAGGAGATCTAGACCATCTTGGCTAACACGGTGAAACCCCATCTCTACCAAAAATACAAAAAATTAGCCGGGCGTGGTGGCGGGCACCTGTAGTCCCAGCTACTTGGGAGGCTGAGGCAGGAGAATGGCGTGAACCCGCGAGGCGGAGCTTGCAGTGAGCCGAGATAGCGCCACTGCAGTCTGGCCTGGGCGAAAGAGTGAGACTCCATCTCAAAAAAATAAAAAATAAAAGTGGCTCAATGTATCTTTACTGGCTGAATCGGTCAGGCCGTGGCCTTGCCAAGTCTTGTTTGTGTGGTTGACAAACCCTAGCTGGCTTTCTTTGCCCTGCACTCTAGGGACCCATCAGGAAAAGACAAGTTATCTAGCACATGAGGTGTGATGAGATAGCACGGCCGGGGTGATGCAAAACCATCTGTATCTAGCAGTGGGTATTATCATCAACAAATATGTTTTAAACATCTACTTTCTGAAGCACATTGTGTTAGATACTACAGGATACCAAAAGGAGGTAATCTGTGCTCTATTGAGGTTTATAATCTCGGTGAGAAAAAAGATCATAAGCATGTAGTACATACACTAACAGCCATTGATTATAGGATATGGTGGGTCTACAGTTTCTTTTTCCACTTCCCCCCATACTTTCCCCCTTTTCAGGGTGTAGTTCAAACCAAACTGTAATAAGAAAAAAAGAAGGCGGGCACAGTGGCTCATGCCTGCGGTTCCAGCCCTTTGGGAGACTGAGGCAGAAGGATGGCTTGAGCCCAGGAGTTCGAAACCAGCCTGGGAAAAGTAGTGAGACTCACCGGGCATGGTGGCTCACGCCTGTAATCCCAGCACTTTGGGAGGCCAAGGCAGGCGGATCACCTGAGGTTGGGAGTTCGAGACCAGCCTGACCAAAATGATGAAACCCTGTCTCTACTGAAAATACAAAAATCAGCCAGGGGTGGTGGCACATGCCTGTAATTCCAGCTACTTGGGAGGCTGAGACAGGAGAATCGCTTGAACCCCGGAGGCGGAGGTTGTGGTGAGCCGAGATCGCACCATTGCACTCCAGCCTGGGCAACAAGAGCGAAACTCCGTCTAAAAAAAAAAAAGAAAAGTAGTGAGACCCTGTCTCTACAAAAAGCACAAAAATTGGCTGGGCACAGTGGCTCAGGCCTGTAATCCCAGCACTCTGGGAGGCTGAGGCGGGTAGATCACCTGAGGTCAAGAGTTTGAGACCAGCCTGACCAACATGGTGAAACCCCATTTCTACTAAATACAAAAAAATTAGCCAGGTATGGTGGCCCATGCCTGTAATCTCAGCTACTTGGGAGTCTGAGGCAAGAGAATTGCTTGAACCCGGGAGGCAGAGGTCACAGTGAGCTGAGATTGCACTATTGGAATCCAGCCTGGGAAATGAGAGCGAAACTCCGTCTCAAAAAAAAAAAAGAAAAGAAAGAAAAGCACAGAAATTAGCCTGGCGTGGTGGCGGCATCTGTAGTCCCAGCTCCTCGGAAGGATCACTTGAGCCCTGGAGGTCATGGCTGCAGTGAGCTGTGATCACACCACTAATCTGGGTGACAGAGCAAGACTCTGTCTCAAAAAAAAAAAAAAAAAAAGAAAAGGAAAGAAAGAAAAGAAAAGAAAAAAAGTCTTTCCCTCTGATTTTCTTTTTCATATTTAAGTTTTTATTTATGTACTTAATTTATTTTGAAACAAAGTCTTGCACCATTGCCCAGGCTAGAGTACAGTGGTATGATCATAGCTCACTACAGCCTTGAACTGGGCTCAAGTAATCCTCTGGCCGGAACCTCCTGAGTAGCTGGAACTACAGGCATGCACCAACACACCTGGCTAATTTTTAAATTTTTGTAGAGATGGGAGTTGTATTAGTCCATTTTCATGTTGCTGATAAAGACATAGCTGAAACTGGGCAATTTACAAATGAAAGAGGTTTAATTGGACTTACAGTTCCACATGGCTGGGGAGGCCTCACAATCATGGCAGAAGGCAAGGAAGAGCAAGTCACATCTTACGTGGATTGTGGCAGACCGAAAAAAAAAAAAAAAGCTTCTGCAGAGAAACTCCTGTGTGTGTGGTTTTTTTTTTTTGTTTTTTTTTTTTGTTTTGCTTTGTTTTTTGAGACGGAGTCTCGCTTTGTCACCCAAGCTGGAGTGCAGTGGTGCAATCTCAGCTCACTGCAAGCTCTGGTTCCTGGGTTCACGCCATTCTCCTGCCTCAGCCTCCTGAGTAGCTGGGACTACAGGCGCCCGCCACCATGCCTGGCTAATTTTTTGTATTTTTAGTAGAGACGGGGTTTCACCGTGTTAGCCAGGATGGTCTCAATCTCCTGACCTCGTGATCCACCTGCCTCGGCCTCCCAAAGTGCTGGAATTACAGGCATGAGCCACCGTGCCCATCTAAACTCCTGTTTTTTAAAACCATCAAGCCAGGTGCAGTGACTCACACTTCTAATCCCAGCACTTTGGAAGGCTGAGGCAGGCAGATTACTAGAAGTCAGGAGTTTGAGACCAGCCTGGCCAACATGGTGAAACTCTGTCTCTACTAAAAATAGAAAAAAATTAAGGCCGGGCACGGTGGCTGTAGTCCCAGCCTTTGGGAGGCTGAAGCAGTTGGATCACCTGAGGTCAGGAGTTCGAGACCAGCCTGGCCAACACGGTGAAACCCCATCTCTACTAAAAATACAAAAAATTGGGCTGGGCACAGTGGCTCACGCCTGTAATCCCAGCACTTTGGGGGGCCGAGGCGGGTGGATCACGAAGTCAAGAGATGGAGACCATCCTGGCCAATGTGGTGAAACCCCGTCTCTACTAAAAATACAAAAATTAGCTGGGCGCAGTGGCTCATGCCTGTAATCCCAGCACTTTGGGAGGCCAAAATGGGCGGATCACGAGGTCAGGAGATTGAGACCATCCTGGCCAACATGGTGAAACCCAGTCTCTACTGAAAATACAAAAATTAGCTGGGTGTGGTGGCATGTGCCTGTAATCCCAGCTACTTGGGAGGCTGAGGCACGAGAATCGCTTGAACCCAGGAGGCGGAGGTTGCAGTGAGCCGATATTGTGCCACTGCACTCCAGCCTGGTGACAAAGCAAGACTCAGTCTCAAAAAACATAAAACAAAACCAAAAATTCGCTGGGCATGGTGGCACGCACCTGTAATCCAGCTACTCCTGAAGGCTGAGGCAGAAGAATCACTTGAACCTGGGAGGCGGAGGTTGCAGTGAGCCGAGATTGCGCCATTGCACTCCAGCCTGAGTGTTGAGCAACGAGAGTGAAATTCTGTCAAAAAAAAAAAAAAAGAAAAAAAAGAAAAGAAAATGAGACTTTATTTTCTATAAAGGGTTACAGCTTGTAAGGTGACCGTGCTGATAGGCTGGGAAGTGTAGCCTCTCGTAAAGACCAGAGTCAGGTACTTTGAAGGATGAAGGGGTGGGACAGGAGCTTTATGCTGAATAGATTGGCTAAACATACATATGCAACAGGTTATAGGAGGAGGTATGAATATTCATGAAGGTGGTCCTGAAGCACGAATATTGAAGAAACATGTATGTTACATATGACCCATGTTCACCTTGCAGTGGAGACTTAACACTTAAATGTATTACAATTTGACCTATATGTCAAAAGGTCTTTTCAGGACACAAAGGCACTCAAATGTACAGCCTCTGTAAACTAGACAGAACTCGTCCGTGGTTGATAGTCTTCTTATCAGCAGAAGGTTACTGAAATAAGTCTCTTGTCCAATCAAAGCTATAGTTATGGCTTGTGGAACAAGGGGTCAGTTGGCCAGTGTCTGGTGAGGGGTAAGCTAGAAATTTTAATATTGATTATCTTAAGGCTAGTGCTTGTTTAGCTGCTAGAGAAAGAAAAACCTTGTGGCAGTTAAACATGGTTTATTCTTTAAGTGTAGGGGTGTGTGACTTAACTCTTGCCTAGCATGGCTTTAGGTCTTATTTATAATTTGGTATCATATTGCCACAAAGAGTCCGTTCCATCAGTCTTTAAACACATTATTTTTTATTATTTTTTGTTGTTGTTCCATCAGTCTTATGCTCTCTATTTTCACATTAATGCTGGTCAGTTGTTGTGTCTCAACCGCAAAAGGGAGGGGGTATAAGGAGGCATATGTGACCTCCCATCCCGTCATGACCTGGAACTCAGTTTTTAAGGTTTTTCTGGTGTCCCCTTGGCCAAGAAGGGGTCTGCTCAGTCAATTGTGAGGCTTAGGATTTCATTTTTAGTTCACACTTCTGAACTGTGGATTGACAGGTAGAGGGGAAGGTTTTCCCAGTAAAGATGGCCTACAATACCCATTCTCCAGGCAGAGTTGGGAGGCTACATGTGTATGATCTGGCTGTGGAGGATTCCCCATTAGATACCTGCACTGATCCAGTCAGTCTCCCTCTCCACACTTAGCTTTGTACCATCTAGAGAAACCTGACTTTGCTCAGGGATAACTGGCTGGGTGACCCTGGGTGGTTTGAATCCAGCCAAATTCTACAGCTCATTTTCTAAAACCTCTTCCAGAATAGAAGATTTTATACATAGATAACAACAAGGATGTGTATGACCCCTTGCCAAAGGCAGGAAATCAGCCTTCAGCCCTGGGAATGAGCTTAATCCATGGCAAGTACTCAGCAAATGCTTCCTGTAGTTAGTGGTGACTATTCTCTGAGAAGGGAGAGCTGGCCCTTGGCCAAATGAGGCTGGGAAGGCTGCATCTAGAAGGTAGGACAAAAAGACAAGGCTAAATTTGCATTTTCATTTGACCGATAGTATCATAAAACTCTTAGCCCTACCTATTTCAGCTTGGCACTGCCACTTGGCTCTGCCTTTTAATCTCCCCTGCCACCTTCCAGCGTATTTTGGTTTGCTTTTTTTTTTTTGAGACAAGGTTTTGCTCTGTTGTCCAGGCTGGAGTGCATCGGTGCCATCACAGTTCACTGCATCTCTGACCTTCCAAGCTTAAGAGATCCTCCCAGCCTCCTTAGTAGCTAGGACTACAGGCACATGCCACCGTACCTGGCTAATTTTTAAAATTTTTTATAGAGATGGGGTCTCACTGTTTTGCCCAGGCTGGTCTCGAACTCTTAAACTCAAGCGATCCTCCCACCTCAGCCTCCCAAAGCATTGGGATTACAGCATAAGCCACCATGTCCAGCCCCACCCTGGAGTTTTATAGTTCACCAGAATGATACTCTTTCTTCTCTCCATTTCTATTTTTTTTCTTGTTAGATTTCTCTTGCAGAGAGGGGTCCATAATAGTGGGGTCTCTTTGCAGAAAAATTTAGAAACAGCTGATAAGAGCATTAGAGGGAACCAAATCCAACTCATCAAATTTACCTAATTTGATGAATGTGGAAACTCAGGCCTAAAGAAGTCATTTTGCAGTATGTTACTAGTGGTCAAACCAGGCTGGATAGGCCCACTTCCACTGGACCTTTCTTATGAAGCATCTGAGGCAAAATGCCAACATTCAGTCTTCTTCTATATCAATAGCTTTCACCTTGGTAGAAGTCAGCTGATAAGCCTCAGGTTTCAAATACGCTGAATTAAAATTATTCTATTTTTTATTACCCACCTACCAGGATGGCTAAAATTAAAAACATTGGCTGGGGGTGGGGGTGGTGCTGGAAAAAAAAAATTAGGCTGGGTGCTGTGGCTCACGCCTGGGAGGCTGCAGCAGGAGGATCACTTGAGCCCAGGAGTTTGAGACCATTTGAGCCTAGAAGTTTGAGACCAGCATGGCCAACATGGTGAAACCCCATCTCTACTAAAAATAAAAAAATTAGCCAGGTGTGGTGGTGCACACCTATAATCCCAGCTACTTGGGAGGCTGAGGTAGGAGAATCATTTGAACTGCGGAGGTAGAAGTTGCAGTGAGCTGAGATCGCGCCAATGCACTCCAGCCTGGGCAACAGAGCAAGACTCTTTCTCAAAAAATAAAATAAAATAAAATAAAATAAAATTAAATTAAAAAGTCTGAAAATACTAGGGATATAGAGCAACTAGAACTTTCAAACATTGCCGTGGAATGTAAATTGACCAAAACACTTTGTAAAACTGCTTAGCACACCTACTAAAGCTAATCATACACCTGTGTAACCTAGCAATTCCCTTCATAGGTATTTATTCCAAGATAATTAAGAGCATTTATCCCCAAAAGACAGGTACACAAATATTCAGAGCAGCTTTATTTGTAATAGCTAAAAACTAGAAACAACACAAATATCCATCGATAGGAGAATGGATAAATAATTTGTGGTATACTCATATAGTCAACTACTACAGAGCAAAACCAAAAACTAAAAGAATGAATTACTGATTCACTCAGCAACATGGATAAATCTCATACACATTATGTTGATGAAAGAAACCAAGGCCCGGTGCGGTGGCTCACATCTGTAATCCCAGCACTTTGGGAGGCTGAAGCGGGTGGATCATGAGGTCAGGAGTTCAAGACTAGCCTGGCCAAGATGGTGAAACCCCGTATCTACTAAAATACAAAAATTAGGGGCCAGGCACGGTGGCTCATGCCTGTAATCCCAGCACTTTGGGAGGCTGAGGCAGGCAGATCACGAGGTCAGGAGTTAGAGACCATCCTGACCAACATGGTGAAACCCCGTCTCTACTAAAAATACAAAAATTAGCTGGGCGTGATGGCGGACAGCTGTAATCCCAGCTACTTGGGAGGCTGAGGCAGGAGAATCGCTTGAATTGGGAGGCCGAGGTTGCAGTGAGCCGAGACTGCACCACTGCACTCCATCCTGGGTGACAGAGCAAGACTCTGTCTCAAAAAAAAAAAAAAGAAAAAAGAAAAAGAAACCAGACACTGTAGGTTCCATTTATATAAAATTCAAGAACAGAACAGACAAAAAAGACTCTATGGTGATATATCAGGATAGTAATTACTGAGAGGCAAAGATATTTTAACATGAAATAACCTCTGGGATACTGGAAATATTCCAGATCTTGATCTAGGTGATAATTACATGGATATATACATATAGAAAAATTCAGCTTAAACTGAATATTTAAGATTTACCCATGTTCTATATGTAAACTACATCTCAATGTTTTTAAAAAGTGCCCCATATTGCATCTGCATTGTAGTAAACACAATACAATAAAATACCTTTATCATAAAAAATATTTTATCGTTAAAATTCAAGACTGTCAACGTCACTGCTTTCATCAACTCATTCTTGGCAGATTGCATTGGTCTCCCATTGCTTTGCCTACTACCAATTCCTCCTCCTCTCTGACAGGTCTTTCTTGCTGAGCACATTTGATTTTACTAATCTCCAGGTTAACAAACTTCCTTGGCTCCCATGTGTCTGTGGGATACAGTATAGGCACCTCAGTGAAGCAAACAAAGACTTTCCTAATGCACCCTCTGCCTTTCCAGATTCAGGGCGACCTCTCTCCTCTATGCCTTTAATCCCTAGCAGCAGAACCTCCTTCCACAACCCTCTCTCTTTTTTAAATTTTAAGACAGGGCCTCACACTGTCACCCAAGCTGGAGTGCAGTGGCGCGATCTCGCCTCCTGGGCTTAAGCAATTCTCCCACCCTAGCCTCCCGAGTAGCTCGGACCCCAGGGGCGCGCCAACCACGCCCTGCTAACTGTTGTATTTTTTGTAGAGACAGTGTATTGCCATTTTTCCCAGGCTGGTCTCAAACTCCTGGGCTCCAGCGATCCTCCCGCCTCGTCCTCCCAAAGTGCTGGGATTACACGCGTGAGACGCTGCACCTGGTCCACATCTTTTCACCTGTGAACGAAGCAAGCGCCCTGTGCTTCCACGGCCTACCTGGTTCTTACTCAGTCAAATTCCTACTCGCATTTCACCATCCCGTTCTCAAGGGTTGGCTCTCAAATGTCTGACAATGGTTCCCACGGCCCTCAGTTCCTATCATCATAAACTCTTTGTGAGCTCAGCACATTCATTATATGAAAACTCTCTATATTTTATTCTGTCCACTCTTGAGCTAAATGTTTCCAGAGAGCTAGCAGAATTTGTTTTCAGCGTTAGATCCCTCTGCTAAACAAACGGGTGCTAATAGAATCACTTTGCTAAATAAATGGGAGCTAACAGGATTGAATATGAGTTCCATTTTTGTCCCAGAGTTCTAGTTTTCATATAAATATTTCTTCCCATTAAATTCTTCTCTGCAGAAGAACTTGGGGATGAAACCCGATACAGACAAGACAGCTTAAGTAAGACATAAATGAGTGTTGTCTCTAGTTTGAGTTTCCTATTTTTTTGAGACAGTCTCCTGCACTGTCCAATAGAATAGCCACCAAAAATATGGATATTTAAGTTTAAATTAGAAGTGAATAAAGTTGGCCGGGCGCGGTGTCTCACGCCTATAATCTCAGCACTTTGGGAGGCCAAGGCGGGCGGATCACCTGAGGTCGGGAGTTCGAGACCAGCCTGACCAACATGGAGAAACCTCGTCTCTACTAAAAATACAAAATTAGCCGGTGGCGCATGCCTGTAATCCCAGCTACTCGGGAGGCTGAGGCAGGAGAATCACTTGAACCCGGGAGACAGAGGTTGCGGTGAGCCGAGATCGCGCCATTGCACTCCAGCCTGGGCAACAAGAGAGAAACTCCGTCTCAAAACAAAACAACAACAACAACAAAAAAAAAACAGAAGTGAGTAAAATTGAAAATTCGGTTATTCAGTTCAAGTACTCAAAAGCCTCATGTGGCTAGTGGCTACCGTATTAAAGAGCGCAATGTGCAATATTTCCATCATCACCTACAGTTTTATTGGGCAGCGCTGCCCTGGTCTTTATTTTCCCTTGTTGGAACGCTCTTCCACGCTGCTCCCACACCATGTCCCCTATCACCATTATTATCCTCATTTCATCTGTAATTACTTGCATCTTTTAATAGGCTGGGAGTTCTAAGACAGAAGGGACTGTGTCTCACTTCTGTTGTTCCAGTGTTTAGCTTTGAAACCCAGGCACACAGTAGGTACTCAGTAAACAGAATGCGAAGGACCGTCCAGAGACACCAGTCCCAAACCCTTTTCCAGGCTGATCGGTCCCCCATAAGTCTCCAGCCTTTTTTATTTTAAAGCTTATTTTAAAGCATGTCCCTGAAGACGAGTGGGGAGAGCAGACCACCCGCTGATTCCAATTCCCTAGGCGGCCGCGGCGAGCTGCGGCGTCTCTGTGCCCCGGCCTGCCCCTATCCCGCCTGCGCCCCGCCCCCGCCCGGCTCGCGCCAAGGCCCGCTGCTGGCGCCGCCGCCATCCCGGCGCGTCACTGCGCAGGCGCGGCCCGCGAGCGTGGGGTATCTCGAGGTGCCGGGTTGCAGGCGCTCAGGAGCGCTAGGGTTTGAGGCCTGCTTTCTGCTCGCGCCAGCAGAGCACTACCTGAGGCAGCGAGGCGCAGCGAGCCTAGCCTCCCCGCGCCCTGGGCAGTGTGGCCATGGAGAATCAGGTGTTGACGCCGCATGTCTACTGGGCTCAGCGACACCGCGAGCTATATCTGCGCGTGGAGCTGAGTGACGTACAGGTAAAGGCCGGGTCGGGCGGCGGGAAGCGCGCGGGATCGCGGCTCCGGGTACCCGCCAGGACCCCTGCCCCCTTTGTCCGCGTGCGCGCCGGAGAGCCTGCAGTGCGCCAACAAGGTCGGCGACGCGGTGCGCTTACGGCGTGCTGGCGCTTTTCGAGGCTCATCTGCAGATCTCGGGCCGGGGGCACAACCCCCCGAGGGCTGCAGGAACCTTCGGGTCCCCAGAGAGCTCGGCCTGGGCCTCTCAGGCTACCCCGGGCCTCTTCTTTGTTCGCAGTCGGCGGCCTTCATGGAGCCCAGGCCCGGCCCTGGCTGCCTGGCCGTCGGGGTTCGAGTTGGCTGGGGCCCTTCGAGATGTGGGATGAGCTTGTTGGGTCAGGGGTGCGGTTGTGACAGCGGCTTGCTGGGCCGTAGCTGAATGCCTGCCGCTGGCCTGAGAGGTCCAGCCAGGCCCCTCGGACGTTACTGAGGCTGGGCGCTGCCGGAGGTGGGGGAGGGGGAGGGGTGGGGGGCCACACCCACCTCGCAACCGTTCAGTGATGGAAATCATTCTCATTACTTTTAATTTTAAAATTCACAAGAGCTGGAGGAAGTGATTTCCCCCTCTGTTCTGAAGGTTGTGAGCTCAGGTTTGCTGAGTTGCACAGAGAACTTAAAAAGTTCTTAAGTTACATTAAGCATTTCTGTTTGAGCTCCTTGGCCCTTAATGTAAGCAAGCTGAAGGCACGTAGTAGTGGAGACTCCAGGACCTGTGTATCCTCATGTCTCTGTCCAAACTAAAGATTCTGGGCTTTGAGAAACTGGAATTTTCATTCTGGAAGGTTCTTTCTTTCTTTCTTTCTTTTTTTTTCTTTTCTTTTTTTTGAGACGGTGTTTCGCTCTTGTCGCCCAGGCTGGAGTGCAATGGCGCGATCTCGGCTCACCGCAACCTCTGCCTCCCGGGTTCAAGGGATTCTCCTGCCTCAGCCTCCCGAGTAGCTGGGATTATAGACGCGTGCCACCATGCCCGGCTAATTTTTGTATTTTTAGTAGCGACAGGGTTTCACCATGTTGGCCAGGCTGGTCTCGAACTTCTGACCTCAGGTGATCCACCCGTCTCGGCCTCCCAAAGTGCTGGGATTACAGGCATGAGCCACCGCGCCCAGCCTCTGGAAGGTTCTTTCTACAGTCATTCTTATTGGAAACTTCTCCTTAACATCTATGGCACTTTGTCATCTCTTTCACTCCATTTAACTCTCTCTGCCTCTGAACAGGCATCTGCTTGGATCACCCGTGGATCCGGTAAAATGTAGGTGCTTTCTGAGTGTCGACTTGAATTTATTGAATTTAATATAATCTTTGCTTCTGGAATATAAACAGTTTTCCTGTTGAAAGATGAAGACAGTAGTGGCCAGAATGCCTTTAAATAGGCTATGACATTGCATGGTGTGTCGTTTAATGTGTTCATCCAGACTGAGGCTATACTTTTGGGTCAGAGTATGAGTAAATGTTCTGTGCTGTCTCCCTCTACTGCTCCACGGTGGTTTAATAGAATAGGAAAAAACAAACAAAATCTTTTGTAGATGGGGATCAAAGTCCCCGTCTAGAGAGGGTTCTTCCAGCAGTCAATAAAAAAGTACGGAACAGGCCAGGTGCTGTGGCTCACGCCTGTAATGCCAACACTTTGGGAGGCCGAGGCGGGAGGATCACCTGAGGTCAGGAGTTCGACACCAGCCTGACCAACATGGAGAAACCCCATCTCTACTAAAAATACAAAATTAGCCGGGCATGGTGGTGCATGCGTGTAATTCACTATGTTGGCTACTCGGGAGGCTGAGGCAGGAGAATTGCTTGAACCCGGGAGGCGGAGGTTGCGGTGAGCTGAGATGGTGCCATTGCACTCCAGCCTGGGCAACAAGAGTGAAACTCTGTCTCAAAAAAAAAAAAAAAAAAGTAACCATCTAAAAATTTTTGGGGAAAAATAAATCATTTTTCCCCCTTATTGAGTTTTTGTTTTCTCTGGGGTTTCACATCTGTAGTTTTGAGGCACCCATATTTCAACTACCATTAGTTTAAAAGCATGATGTTACCCTCATAAAAGAGTGTTTACATGTGTTAGCAATCCTCTAACACATGTAAGGTAGTACAGATTTACAAAGGTGAGTCAGACCCAGCTTTTCAAGGGCATGCTATCTAGAAGGAGGCGTATCATATACAAACAAAAAGTTTTGTGTAGGAGTATGTTTATTGGTAGAATTGGAGTTGGATGTTGAACCAGGTATCTGGTGTTAAAGGAATTTGTTACCTTTCTTTCATTTAGTTAGTGATGACTTCCAGAAATGAGAATTATTTTTGTCAAACTAAGACTGGGAGAATGTTCCAGAAAGAGAAAGGCATAGACTTTTAGACACTTGTAATCTCTGACTTAAGCCGTGTCAATGCCCAAAGGCCACCAATAACACACCCGTAGTTAAACAAGTTGGGTTTATTACTCATTGCATTGAGAGAGCATACTCCATGGGGAACCCTGGGGTGTTTCATTAGGAGGGTGTTAGAACTGATTATAGGATTTGGGTGTTGGTGATTAGGGGAGGGGAGGGTTAAGGAGGTTGGGTTTCACTTCAGATAAGATCCTGTAAGAAAATATGGGAGTTTCGTGGTTGGGTATCTGAATAAATCTTACCTGTAGGGCAGGGAGACTAGTATAAGAACAAAACTGTAATTGCTACAGGAGTAGCAGTCACTCAATTTGGCCAAAGGGTGTTTGGTATTTCGTGAGTGGCATAGCCACTATGTATTTGTCTGTGCTTATAACAAAATTGTGAAATGGCCTTTGTCTCATTTTATGAGGATTTCAGAGTAACCTTGTCTGAGGTTGGTATTCTGTGAGATTGTTTATGTCCCATAGGAGAATAACATGGCCTGGCTGTGAGTGCTATGCCTGCTTCTGGAGTGTCACGGGTTGCCTTTTTTTTTTCTTTCTCAACTGATTGCTCTATGCAGGGCCTGTTGAAACCAGTGGTTTTACATGTGCAGATTTGTTATTTAAAAAAAAAAAAAAGAAAGAAAAGCAGCCGGGTGTGGTGGCTCATGCCTGTAATCCCAGCACTATGGGAGGCCGAGACGGGCGGATCATGAGGTCAGGAGATCGAGACCATCCTGGCTAACACGGTGAAACCTCGTCTCTACTAAAAATACAAAAAAATTAGCCAGGCGTGGTGGCGGGCGCCTATAGTCCCAGCTACCAGGAGGCTGAGGCAGGAGAATGGCGTGAACCCGGGAGGTGGAGCTTGCAGTGAGCCGAGACTGCGCCACTGCACTCCAGCCTGGGGGACAGAGCGAGACTCCGTCTCAAAAAAAAAAAAAAAGAAAAGAAACCAGTGGTTCTGGCTCTGGATGAAGCACTTCATTTATTTGTTCAGTAAAAATCGTTTATGGAGTACCTACTCTTGTCTATCATTAAGCTAGGTGTGGGGTTCTTGGACAGCACTTTAACACTCTCTGCTTTCTATAGCATGACCCACAGCTTATGTGTAAGTGTGAGTTTTAAAGTGTTAAGTTCCAGTTTGGAGGCATTGGCTCTGTCTCCCTCCATCCTGACACAGGGAACTGTCCAGTCATCACATCTCTATTCTGTCTTGGATGCTGCAGGGCTAGTGACTATGAGAGAACACGGCTGATGTGAGGAGAAATGGTGGACAATAAAGACTTCAGCAGTGGCATCGTCTGTGCTTGAGGTGAACGGTAGCAAAGAGGCCAGCTAAAGCAGGGTTACTTTCAAGATTGAATTTACTTTCACGATGAACATAATGAACGTGTTTGTCCCGAGAAACATAGTTGTTAAAGCATTGGTTTATTTACAAGGTGCTTGTTTGTTTTGGGTGTTGTGAGCAGAGAACAGAGCGTAGCTGTGTTTGAGAGCTGTTTGAAAGATATTGTTCCTGTCCTTACCTAACAGAGTCTGGTGGAAAGAGTGCTAACTGAACACATGAGATTGGGTCCTTGTTCTTATTACACTTATGCTCTAGTGACCATGATTCACTTAACCTTTATGAACCTGACGCTCTTCATCCAGACAGATATGAACAGTAGTGCCTAACTCATAGGACCATTTTGAGATTTGAATTGGAAAATGGATTTGAAAGTGCTTTGCAAATTCTAGTGTGCAGTTCAAGTGAGTGATTATGATGATTGCGATATTAAACCTTAGATGAGAGGGATGGTCACAGAGCAATGGAAGAATAGAGCCTATTAGCAGACCTATTCATATATGAAAAGTTAAGGTATGACAAGAGGCGCTCTTACAAATTAATGAGGAGAGAATGACCCATTCAGGAAATTGTACTGGGACAATTGGTAATCCAAATGGCAAAAAGAAAATAAGATCCTGCCTTATGCCATACACAAAAATCAGTTTCAGGTGCATTAATGACCTAAACGCATAAAGAAAAACTACTAAAAAGAAATATAGGAGACTATCTTTATAATATTGGAAAGGGGGAGAATGTGTTAAGCAAGATGCACAAAACACAAACCCTAAAGACAAAGATTGGCACATTTAAGACAAACTTGAAGAAGACATTTGCAGTGCATATCATTGAGAGATGACTAATATCACGACTATTTAAAGAACACCTACAGACCAATAGGCAAAAGACGTATTACCTAATAGAAAAAGGGGCAGATAATATAAACATTTCAGAGTAAAAGGAAACAAGAATGACCAATAAGTCTGAAAAGATGCTTGACTGCAATTATGACCAGGCACATGTACAGGCATACCTTGTTTTATTGTGCTTTGCTTTATTGTGCTTTGCAGATAATGCGGTTTTGACAAATTGAAGGTTGTGGCAACAAAGTCTGTTGGCGTCATTTTTCCAACAGCATGTGTTCATTTAGTGTCTCTGTGTTGTATTTTGTTAATTCTTGGAATAGTTCAGATTTTTTCATTATTATTATATCTGTTCTGGTGATCTGTGATCAGTGATCTTTGATGTTAACTTTTTTTTTTTTTTTGAGGCAGGGTCTCACTCTGTTGCCCAGGTTGGAGTGCAGCAGTGTGATCATAGCTCACCGTAGCCTTGAACTCCTGGGTTTGAGCAGTCCTCCTGGCTCAGCCTACCAAGTAGGACTACAGGTACCTGCCTAGCTAATTTTCAATTTTTTAATTTTTTTAGAGGTGGGGTCTCATTATGTTGGCCAGGCTGGTCTTGAACTCCTGGACTTAAGCAATCCTCTTGCCTTGGCCTCCCAGATCCCTGAGGTTACAGGCTTGAACCACTGTGCCTAGCCTTGATGTTACTATTGTGATTGTTTATTATTTATTTATTTATTTTTGAGACAGGGTCTCACTCTGTCACCCAGGCTGGAGTGCAGTGGTGTGATCTTGGCCCACCGCAACCTCCGCCTCCCAGCCTCAAGTGATCCTTCCACCTCTGCTTCCCAAGTAGCTGGGACTGCAGGCATGTGCCACTGTGCCCAGCTAGTTTTTGTATTTTTTGTAGAGACGAGGTTGGTCTCGAACTCCTAAGCTCAAGTGGCCTGCCCACCTCGGCCTCCCAAAGTGCTGGGATTACAGGTTTGAGCCACTGTGCCCAGCCACCATTGTGATTGTTTTATGGCAAAATGAAATGCACCTATATAAGATGGTGAACTTAATCGATAAATGTATGTGTTCTGACTGCTCTCACTGGCCATTCCTCCATCTCTCTCCCTCTCCTTGGGCCTCTCCTCTGAGACACAACAATATTGAAATTAAGCCAGTTAATAACCCTACAATGGGGTCGGGTGTGATGGCTCATGCCTGTAATCCCAGCACTTTGGGAGGCTGTGGTGGGTGTGTCACTTGAGGTCAGGAGACCAGCCTGGCCAACATGGTGAAACCCCGTCTCTACTAAAAATATACAAAAATTAGCTAGGTGTGGTGGCGGGTGCCTGTAATCCTAACTACTCAGGAGGCTGAGGCAGGAGAATCACTTCAACCTGGGAGGCTGAAGTTGGGTGAGCTGAGATCACGCCACCGCACTCCAGTGGCAGAGTGAGACTCTGTCTCAAAAACAAAACAAACAAACAAGCCCTACAGTGGCTTCTAAGTGTTAAAGTGAAGAGTTGCACATGTCTCACTTTAAATCAAAAGCTAGAAATCATTAAGCTTAGTGAGGAAGGCATGTCAAAACTGAGACAGGCTGAAAGCTAGGCCTCTTGCACCAAGCAGCCAAGTTGTGAATGCAAAGAAACAATTTTTGAAGGAAATTAAAAGTGCTATTCCAGTGAACACCCAAATGATAAGAAAGCAAAATATCCATATTGCTGATATGAAGAAAGTTTGAGTGGTCTGGATAGAATATAAATCAGCCACGACATTCTCTTAAGCCAAAGCCTAATCCAGAACAAGGCCCCAACTCTTTCAATTCTATGAAGGCTGAGAGGTGAGGAAGCTGCAGAAGAGAAATTTGAAGCTAGCAGAAGTTGATTCATGAGGCTTAAGGAAAGGCTCCATAACATAAAAGTGCAAGGTGAAGCTACAAGTGCTGATTGTAGAAGCTGCAGCAAGTTATCCAGAAGATCTAACTAAGATCCTTGATGAAGGTGGCTGCACTGAACAACAGATTTTCAATGTAACAGCCTTCTACTGGAAGAAGATGCCGTGGAGGACTTTTATAGTTAGAGAGAAGTCAATGCCTGGCCTCAAAGCTTCAAAGGACAGTCTGACTCTTTTGTTAGGGGCTAATGCAGCTGGTGGCTTGAAGTTGAAGCCAGTGCCCCTTTACCATTCTGAAAATCCTAGGGCCCTTAAGAATTATGTTAAATCGGCCGGGCATGGTGGCTCATGTCTGTAATCCCGGCACTTTGGGAGGCCGAGGCAGGTGGATCACCTGAGGTCAGGAGTTCAAGATCAGGCTGACCAACATGGCGAAACCCCGTCTCTACTAAAAAATAAAAAAAATTAGCTGGGCATGGTGGCGGGCGCCTTTAATCCCAGCTACTTGGGAGGCTGAGGCAGGAGAATCGCTTGGATCTGGGAGGCAGAGGTTGCAGTGAGCTGAGATCGCACCACTGCACTCCAGCCTGGGCAATAGAGAGAGACTCTGTCTCAAAAAAAAAAAAAAAAAGAATTATGCTAAATCTACTCTGCCTATGCTCTGTAAGTGGAACAACGACTCCTGGATGATAGCACATTTGTTTACAGAATGGTTTACTGAATATTTTAAGCCCACTGTTGAGGCCAACTTCTCAGAAAAAAAAAAAAAAAAAAAAAAAAATATATATATATATATATATATATATATATATATATATATATGTATATTCCTTTCAAAATATTACTGCTCATTGACAGTGCACCTAGTCCCACCCAAGAGTGCTGATGGAAATGTCAAGGAGATTAATGTTGTTTTCATGCCCGCTAACATAACATTCCTTTTGCAGCCCATGGATCAAGGAATAATTTTGACTTTCAGGTCTTATTTAGAAAATACTTTCCGTAAGGTTAAAACTGTCGTAGGTAGTGATTCTGTGATGGATCTGGGCAAAGTCAATTGAAAACTTTCTGGAAAGGATTCACCATTCTAGATACCATTAAGATCATTTGTGATTCATAGGAAGAGGTCAAAATATAAAAATGAACAGGAGTTTCGAAGAAGTGGAATTCAACCCTCATGGATGATTTTGAGGGGTTCAAGACTTCAGTGGAGGTAGTAACTGCAGGTGTGGTAGAAATAGCAAGAGAACTAGACTTAGAAGTGGAGCCTGAAGGTGTGACTGAATGCAGCAATCTCATGATAAAACTTGAAGGGATGAGGAGTTGCTTCTTATGGATGAGCAAAGAAAGTGATTTATTGAGATGGAATCTATTTCTGATGAAGATGCTCTGAACATTGTTGAAATGACAATGAAGGGTTTATACTGTTTCATAAACTTAGTTAATAAAGCAGTGGCAGGGGTTGAGAGTATACTCTGATTTTAAAAGAAATTATTCTCTGGGTAAAACAGTATCAAACAGCATTGCATGCTGCAAAGAAATCTTTAGTGAAGGAAAGACTCAATCAATGAGACAAACTTCATTGTTGTCCTCCTTTAAGAAATTGCCACAGCCACTCCAGCCTTCAGCAGTCACCACCTGGATCAGTCCACAGCCATCAACATTGAGGCAGGACCCGCCACCAGCAAAAAGATTACAACTCCCTGAAAGCTCACATGATCATTAGCATTTTTTAGCAATGAAATATTTTAAAGTTAAGGTATGTACACTGTTTTTTAGAATAATACTGCATACTTAATAGACTATAGTATAATATAAACATAACATTTATATATACTGGGAAACCAGAAACTTTGTGTGACTCACTTTATTGTGATATTAGCTTTATTGTGGTGGTCTGGAACAGAACCTACAATAGCTCCAAGGTATGCCTGTAAATTAAAATGATAGGATACTGTTTCTCACATTAGAGTAGGAAAATTGAAAAAGCCTGACATGACCAAGTGTTTCTGAGAATGTTCAGTGACAGGACTTTTTTTTTTTTTTTTTTTTTTTTTTTGAGATGGAGTCTCACCGTGTCACCCCAGGCTGGATTGCAATGGCTCAATCTTGGCTCACTGCAATCTCCGCCTCCTGGGCTCAAGTGATTCTCCCGCCTCAGCCTCCCGAGTAGCTGGGACTACGGGCGCCCGCCATCATGCCCTGCTAATTTATGTATTTTTAGTAGAGATGGGGTTTCACCATGTTGGCCATGCTGGTCTCGAACTCCTGACCTCAAGTAATCTGCCTGCCTTGGCCTCCCAAAGCGCTAGGATTACAGACGTGAGCCACCGTGCCCAGCCGGACTTTTTTTATACAGTTGGTGGAAGTACTAATTGGTACAATTGATTTGGAGAACAGTTTTACACTATCTTGTCAAGCTGAAGTTGTATGTCTTTATGAGTTGGAAGTTTTGCTTTTTAGAGAAGCTCTTACACATGCAGGTGGAGGTAGAATGTTCATTGCAGCAAAAAATTGAAAACAGCCTCAATTTTTGTCAGCTGGAAGAATGGATAAATTGTGGTATATTTATACAATGGCACACTGTACAACAGCTACAATGAATGAAACAGAACCATCTTTATAGAATTAAAGCTTAGAAATATAATATCAAATAAAAAGCAAGTTGAAGAATGATATAGGCAGTATGAAATTATTTTTGTGACATGTCAAATCATACTGTATATTGTGAATGCCCAACGTGTTTTAATGAATAAATAAATACAGTGGAAACGACCAACTCCAATCCTGGAGTAGTGGTTACCTGCGAAGTTGGGGCATGTTTGAGGGAGAGGGCATTGGGATTGAGAAATTGTATAATGTATCTGTTTCTGTTTTATTTCTTTTTTTAAAAATTGAGGCAAATAAAGCAAAATGCTAATGGATGTTAGATATAGTGGTGTTTGCTATATTTTTCTGTTTGATTTTGCTTGAAATATTTAATAATAGAAATCAATAAGTCTAAGCTGTTTATTACCACAGTACAAAAACTACTTATAAAGCAGTAAGTTAAATAATCTGGTAACTGTTGACCACTCACAATGGTCCAGGCACAGTGCTAAGTACTAGATATTCAGTAATGAGCAACACATATAAAGGCACTACCTTCAGATTGAGGGAGACAGACAATAGATATGTTAATAAATAATTACCTAGATAAAGTGCTATGAGGGAAATAAAGAGGGTGATGAAATAGAGAATAATTGGTAGAGGCTATTTTAAATAGAGTGGTCAGGGAAGGCTTCCTTGAAGAGGTGATATTCTAGCCGGGTGAAACTTGAAAGTTAAAACAAATGGTGCAGAAAGCTGGGGCAAGAACATTCCAACAAGTCCACAGACTTAGAGGCAGGCAAAGGCTTAGTGGGGTTCCAGGAGCAGAAAGGATATTAGTATGTTTGGAGTGTAGTGAGGAATAAGTTAGAGGGAGATGAGGATAGAAGGGTTTGCAAGATGTAGGTCATGTAGAGCCTTGTTGCCATGGTAAGGAGCTTGGGTTTTATTGTAAGAGCAATGGGAAACTATTAAAGAGTTTTAAGCAGAGAAGTGACTTTGTAGGATTTGTGTTTCAAAAAAGATTATTCTGGCTGCTATGTGGATTATAAAGGGGCAAAAGTGAACTCTAGAAAACCATTTAGGGAGGCTGTTATAGTAGTATGGGTAAGAGATGAGGTGGCTCAGTTTAGGGTTGTGGAGGTGGAAAGCCATGGACACATTTGAGATATATCTGAAGAGAACCTTGAGGCCTTGATGGACTCGTTGGAGAGGAAGGGAAAAGAATTAATGACTAGTCTTAAGATTTTGACTTAAGCACAGAGTAGATGACAACTGAAATGATTAAGACTGGAGAAGAGATTTAGGGGCCAAAATCAAGAGTCCCCTTTTGGACATACTAGTTTGAGAGTCTTGTTATAAACAATTTCCATGTGAAAATGTGAACTAGTGATATAACTATACAAATACAGAGTTCAGGGCAGTAGTCTGGGTGAAAATAGAATTTTATAGTATCTTAGACTTAATTGATTGTAAAATGCACCACTATTTTATTTTTTTCCCTCATGATGAGGGGAAAAATGCTGCTGATTATACTGTGATACAAGCTTTCTTATTACTTTGAGTATTTTTAATTTATTGAAAGAGCTCTCTGAGAGTTTATTTAAACTGTTAATGCTGTTCAGCCAAAGATCACCAAAACACACCTTGTAGTTAAATAAGTTGGGTTTATTGCTTGTTCCAGTGAGGGAAAACACACATCGTAGGGAAACATGTGGTATCTCAGTAAGATGGTGTTAAAAAAGACCTTGTTATATAGGATTTGGGCTTTGATTATGTGATGGCGGGGGTGTCTAAGGAAGTGGGGTCCGCTATAGATTGGATGTTGACAGAAAGCAGGGACAGTTCTATGATTTGGTATTTTGTGGTTGGCATAGTGACCTGTCATTAGACAAATTTATGCAATGGTCTTGTTTTGTTTAATTTTACCATGGTCTCATAGTAACCTCAAGTTGGTTGGTATTCTTTGAAATTGTCTGTGTCCCCAAAAGGGGGAATTAGAAGATGATACAAACTTTTACATACACCCAATTGAGTATTATACAGCTATAACAAGAAAGAGTAAGGTCTTTATGAGCTGATAAGGATTTATTTAGGTGAAAAAAAAAGCAAGATGTATAAGAATGTATATTGTATGCTAATTTTTGTATAGAAAGAAGGGAAAATAAGAATATCTGTTTTGGCCGGGTGCGGTGGCTCACGCCTGTAATCCCAGCACTTTGGGAGGCCGAGGTGGGCAGACCACGAGGTCAATAGATCGAGACCATCCTGGCCAACATGGTGAAACGGTGTCTCTACTAAAAATACAAAAATTAGCTGGGCGTGGTGGCATGTTCCTGTAGTCCCAGCTACTTGGGAGGCTGAGGCAGGAGAATCGCTTGAACCTGGGAGGCAGAGGTTGCAGTGAGCTGAGATCATGCCACTGCACTCCAGCCTGGCGACAGAGTGAGACTCCATCTCAAAAAAAAAAAAAAAAAAAGAAAAGAAAAGAATATCTGTTTTGTATGTTTGTTTGAGACAGGGTCTCACTCTGTCACCCAGGCTGGAGTGCAGTGGTGTGATCCTGGCTCACTGCAGTCTCCACCTCTCAGGCCCAAGTGAACCTCCTACCTCAGTCTCCCAAGTAGCTAGGACTACAGGCACATGCCATCACGCCAGGCTAATTTTTGTATTTTTTGTAGAGACAGGGTTTCACCATGTTGCCCAGGCTGGTTTTGAACTCCTGAGCTCAAGCGATCTACCCACCTTGGTCTCCCAAAGTGCTGGGATTACAGGCATCAGTCACTGTGCCTGGATGAAAATAAGAATATCTAAATATATTTGCAAATTTTTGCAAAACACGCATATACAGAGAATAGATAAACCAGAAATGAATGAAATGGTTACCGGTATGTGGGGAATAGGAATGTGGTAAAGGAGGATGGGTTTGGGAGCAAGACTTCTGAGGAAATCATTTTATAAAGTTTGAATTTTGAACAATGGGAATGTTTTACATATTCAAAGATAAAATTGTCTTAAAAAAAACAGGCCGGGCTTGGTGGCTCATGCCTGTAATCTCAGCACTTTGGGAGGCTGAGGCGGGCAGATGACGAGGTCAAGAGATAGAGACCATCCTGGCCAACATGGGGAAACCCTGTCTCTACTAAAAATACAGAAATTAGCTGGGTGCGATGGCATGTGCCTGTAATCCCAGCTACTCAGGAGGCTGAGGCAGGAGAATCGCTTGAACCCAGGAGGCAGAGGTTGCAGTAAACCGAGATCGTGCCACTGCACTCCAGCCTGGCGACAGTGGGACTCTGTCTCTCTAAAAAAAAAAAAAAAAGAAAGAAAAGAAAAAAGCAAATTAAATAAACAGAACCAAAAGGACCTAACTGTGTATCAAATTGATGACAAAATCTTACAGATAAATTAATCAATACACATAATATTTGAACACAGTACTCTGGTACTTTAGTAGATCATGTCCTTTTTAAAAATCAACCTTCCCCCCTTTTAGTGGAATATATTCTAAGGACAAAAAGAACTGCAATTAAATGTTACACTTACAAGGGTTATTTCTCCCTTTTCTTTTTTTTTAAATTGAATACAAATTTTCTTTTTTCTTATTTTCCACAGGGAAACTTCTGCAAGTAATTAGTAGGTTTATTGTTGGTAAAAAATATTGATATTCTAATTCTGAAACTTTTTTGGGATAAAACAAATATATAAATGTACTAATGTTATTAGGAAGCTTTTCACTGTAAAAGATATAAATCTTAAATAACAAGGTAGGGAGAAGCCTTGTAAGAGCTTGAATTGGAAACTTCACTATGACATCGTTTTTTAAATTCCTAGCTAGCCCACTGAAAGATGAACATTGACTATACCTCAGTGTACTTAGATCATGGCTTCTACATTACCATTTCCAACCAAAGAAACTATGCCTCCTTGAAAAAATGGCCAATTATTCCAAATCTGTGCCAGAAAAAGAACAGTATCCTCAAAAGCTACACGGTCATGTCAGAATCATACAGGACTTGATTTGAAGGGATTTCTACTGGCCAAGTTTGTGACAATTTGAACATCAACAAGAGTAATAATGGTAATGGAATTTGGCTGAGTGGATCACAAAAGAAAATCTGTGAGTCGGCGGGGCGTGGTGGATCACACCTGTAATCTCAGCACTTTGGGAGGCCGAGGTGGGCAGATCACAAGGTCAGGAGATCAAGACCATCCTGGCTAACATGGTGAAACCTCGTCTCTACTAAAAATACAAAAAAATTACCCGGGCCTGGTGGTGGGCGCCTGTAGTCCCAGCTACTCGGGAGGCCGAGGCAGGAGAATGGCGTGAACCCGGGAGGCGGAGCTTGCAGTGAGCCGAGATTACGCCACTGCACTCCAGCCTGGGTGACAGAGCGGGACTCCATCTCAAAAAAAAGAAAAAAATAAAAAGAAAATCCGTGAGCCCATAGTGAAAGTAAAAAAGAAATATAGACCAGAGAGGGTACAGGCTGGTGGTGTTTGCGAAGGCATCATGAGGGATCTAGAGCTGTTCAGTCTCTTTACTGTGACAGTTGGTAGATGAACCTATACAGGTGATCAAATTGGATAGAACTTAACACACAGACGCACATGCACATACCTGCAAGCGAATGCAAGTAAAACTGGGAAATCTGAATAACATAGGTGGGTTGTGTCAATGGCAGTATCCTGATTTTGATTTTATACTATAGTTTTGTAGAATGCTACCATTGGGGGAAACTAGGAAAAGTGTACAAGGGATCTCTCAGTACTATTTCTTTTTTAAAAATTTTTATTTTTGTGGGTACACAGTAGGTGTGTATATTTATTTCTTAGAGCTTCATGTGAATCCATATCTCAATAAAAATTTCAATTAAAAAAAGGGAGAGGAGAAAAAGGGAAAACTCCTTTTTACAGAAGAATGCCAACTAGAAAATGAAAAAGGAATGATTGAATTAGAAAATTATAATGTTGCCGGGTGCGGTGGCTCACGCCTGTAATCCCAGCACTTTGGGAGTCCGAGGCCAGCAGATCACCAGAGGTCGGGAGTTTGAGACCAACCTGACTAACATGGAGAAACCCTGTCTCTACTAAAAATACAAAATTAGCCGGGCGTGGTTGCACGTGTCTGTAATCCCAGCTGCTCGGGAGGCTGAGGCAGGAGAATTGCTTGAACCCGGGAGGCGGAGGTTGCGGTGAGCCGAGATGGCACCATTGCACTCCAGCCTGGGCAACAAGGGAAATTCTGTCTAAAAAAAAAAAAAAAGAAAGAAAGAAAATTATAATTTTGTGACCTCCAGTGTAAAATTGCATCAGGTAAGGATTAACAATGGTTGACCGTACCATTGGATGAAAGAGTGTTGTGAGGGAATGGCAGATTACATTATTAGGTAACTTGCTAATTACAAAAGGAAACACTACAGTGGAAAGTTCTGGCAGTCACCTTCTCAATTTAATGATCAAATTTATTGTCACCCTCTTAACATAAGGATGCCATAAGTAACCATATCACCTATGAAATATTTTTGTTAAAAATGGTTAATATGAAGGAATGGCCAGACAAATCCAGAATATGATACATTTTACAAGACAATTGGCATGGGCTAATAAATAAAAGTGTAAGTCTGTATTAAATAAAAATAGGCATGGCAATCAAGAGGAATGCATGAACCTGGATTGGATCCTGGATTTTTTTTTTTTTTTTTGAGACGGAGTCTCGCTCTGTCGCCCAGGCTGGAGTGTCTCAGCTCATTGGAAGCTCCGCCTCCCGGGTTCACGCCATTCTCCTGCCTCAGCCTCCTGAGTAGCTGGGACTACAGGCGCCTGCCACCAGGCCCGGCTAATTTTTTTTTTTTTTTTTGTATTTTTAGTAGAGACAGGGTTTCACCGTGTTAGCCAGGATGGCCTCTATCTCCTGACCTTGTGATCCGCCCGCCTCGGCCTCCCAAAGTGCTGGGATTACAGGCGTGAGCCACCCGTGGCCGATTCTGGATTTTTTTAAAGTGTAAATGTAGTGGCTTCAGGATAACTGCATCAAGAGTGCCATCAAAATTCGCAATTTATTTCTTCTTTCCCTGAATCTGGGCAGGCCCTCTGGCAGCTTAGTGAATAGAATGCTGGAGAATGATGCTGTGACCAGTTCCAGGCTTACTCTTTGTAAGAGAACTGCCAGCTTCCGCTTCTTCTCTCTTAGACCACTTGCTCTTGAGACATTCCCTCTCGGAACTGAGCAGTCCTGTTGCGGGAGACCCAAGCCACATGGAGTGGCCAAATATAGTTATTCTGGTCTTAGCTGAACTACCAAATGACAACCAGCAACAATTATGAGCTAAGTGAGCGACCCGTCTTGAATGTTCCAGCCCAATATACTATAGCCCCAGCCAACATCACATGGAATAGAACTATATAGCTGAGCCCCAGTCAACCTGTAGAATCATGTAGGATAATAAAATAGTTGTTTTAAGTTAAGTTTTAGAGTGGTTGCGTGCATTACAGTAAATAACAAAAACAATTGAACATCTTTGAGACAATTGTTCATGTAGATTTTTTATTAGATAATATGGAATTATTGTTCTTAGGTATTAGAAAGCTTTGGTAATTATACAAGATAATATAATTTCTTAGGAGAGGAAATATGTGGAGGTTAAGTATGATGTCTGCAGCTCATTTTGAAATAATTCAGCAAAAAACTATGCATATAAAAGGCAAATATTGGGAGCTTTCATTATATTTTGTAGAATGGAGGCTACCCCCACCCTAAAAAAACCAAATATGACATTTAGCAATCAATTGGTAGAAGGTATATGAGTTTTCATTATATTATACTATTTTTTCTTTTTTTACTTGAGACAGGGTCTTGCTCTGTCACCCAGGCTGGAGTCCAGGCTGGTCCCAAACTACTGGCATCAAGTGATCTGCCTGCTTTGGCCTTCCAAAGTGCTGGGATTGCAGGTGTGAGCCACCATGCCTGGCCTAGTTTTTCAATTTTTTTGTAGATTTAAATGTTTTCAAAATAAAACATTGGGGTGAAAAGGATCACATTAAAAATACACAGAGTTTTGGGGTTCCCCGGCAGCCACCAGTGTGCTCAGTGATTTGCTCGAAGGATTCATGGGACTTAGTATATAATTGTACTCATGACTAAGGTTTGTTACAGCTGGAGAATACAGGACAGGATCAGTAAAGGAAAAAAAGCACAAGTGGAGTCTGGAGAAATCCACGTATAAGCCTCTTTATCATTCTTCCTCCTGTGAGGGGGTATATTTGAGCACACTCCACCAGCGACGAAAAATGCAATGACTTATGTATAACTTTTCTGCCCAGGGAAGCCCGTTAGTGATTGAGTTCCCAGGATTTTTTTTTTTTTTGAGACGGAGTCTCACTCTGTCACCGAGGCTGGAGTGCAGTGGCCTGATCTCGGCTCACTGCAACCTCCGCCTCCTGGGTTCAAGCAATTCTCCTGCCTCAGCCTCTTGAGTAGCTGGGATTACAGGCGCACGCCATCATGCCTGGCTAATTTTTGTATTTTTAGTAGAGACAGGGTTTCACCATATTGGTCAGGCTGGTCTCGAACTCCTGACCTCATGATCCACCCACCTTGGCCTCCCAAAGTGCTGGGATTACAGGCATGAGCCACCGCGCCCGGCCAAGTACCCATGATTTTTATTGGGGCTTGTTACTTAGGTAACCTCTGCCTAACATGTACCAAAATTTCAGGCTCCTAGAAGGAAAGTTGATATTCACCATAAATCACATTGTTTGTAGGCACAGTTTAGGAACATTGGACCACCCTTATTAGTTAGGTGATGGAGGAAAGCCGAGTTTCTAGATAGATGCCAGCCAAAGGCTGATCTTGGAAGCAGGCCCTTTTAAAGACTGCAGCCTCAGGCTTGCTATATTAACTCTTCTGCACACATACTAATCACATAAATTTGAAGATAAATACTAATGATTTGAATGAGAAAGGAAACTCTTGTCTAAAGGGTTAGATAGCAGGTAGTTTATTGTGAACTCTTTGTAGTTCTGCCAGAGATTCTGAAAATGGGATGAATTGATTTCAGTTCACTTAACAGTTATTGAGGCATTAGGTATATGGAAATGAATAAGACACAGTCCCTGCCATCAAAGAAGTCAGGTCAAGAGGGGCAGTTAAATGATCAACAATGATTGTGGAACAGTGTGATAAGTATTATAGTAAAGGTGAATACAAAGTAGGAAGGAAACTGTTGATTCTGATGTTAGGGTGAGGAGGAGAGAACAGGAATTAACATTTGACCTGAACTTTGAAAGAGAAGTAGTGTTCAACAGGCATGGAAACTTAGATGGGCACTTTAGTCAGAGGAAAAAAAGCAACTGGAATGTGAATTCTTACTAGTTGCCAGGGTCTGTGTGTGCTATTATAACTTAATCCTTACAGCAGACCTGTGATGTAAGTGATTTTATTGTTATTTTTAAAATTATGGCTGGGCATGGTGGCTCATGCCTGTAATCCCAGCAGTTTGGTAGGCTGAGGTGGAGGATTACTTGAGCCCAGGAGTTCGGGACCAGCCTGGGCAACATAGTGAGACTTGTCTCTGCAAAAAATTTAAAAAAGATATTAGCCAGGCATGGTGATGTGGACCTGTAGTCCCAGATACTTGAGAGGCTAAGGTGGGAGGATCCTTGAGCCTGGGAGATGGAGGCTGCAGTGAGCCGAGATTGCACCACTTCACTCCAGCCCTGGGTGACAGAGGGAGATTCTGTCTCAAAAAAAAAAAAAAAAAAAGATGATTAAGATGATTTGAAAATTTTCGTATTCCCTTTTCCCTCTTCACTCCTTTTTTTGAGACAGGGTCTTAGTCTGTCATCCAGGCTGGAATGCAGTGGTGCAATAAAAGCTCACTGCAGCTTCGACCTCCTGGGCTCAAGTTGTCCTCCCAGCTTAGCCTCCCAAGTAGCTGGGACCGCAGGCATGTGCCACCACACTTGGCTAATTTTTTTATTTTTGTAGAGACGGTCTATGTTGTTCAGGCTGGTCTTGAACTCCTGGGCTCAAGTGATCTTCCTGCGTAGGCCTCCCGAAGTGTTGGGATTATAGGCATGAGCTACCTTGCCCAGCCACTCTCTTTCTCTTTTTATTTTTTAAAAGAATTAGAGACAGGGTCTGACTACTTGCTATGTATGTTCCCCTAGCTGCATTTGAACCCCTGGGTTCAAGTGATCCTCCCACTTCAGCCTCCCCGGTAGCTGGGACTATAGGTGCATGGCACCGGGCCTGGCTGTTCACTCCTCCTTTCATAAGCAAAGGCACAGTTTCTTTTCTTGTAAGAGATGGGCTAGGTTGTGTAGATTGAGCTTTCTAATAAAAACAACTAAAAGTGTTGAATAAAAATGTCTTAAAAACATCGAAAAGTTAACACGGTAGAAATGAAATTGGGAACTCAGATAAGCTGAACGTGGAAACTGCTTTTGCCTTGCGAACATTTGCTCAACTAAGTGAACTTGAACTTTGGTTTTGACAGCCCAACAGGGCGCAGGCAATAGAAGTAAGGTCAAACCCAGCCTGGTGCGGTGGCTCACAGCTGTAGTCCCAGCACTTTGGGAGGCCGAGGTGGGCGGATCACAATGTCAGGAGTTTGAGACCAGCCTGACCAATATGGTGTAATCCCATCTCTGCTGGGAAAAAAAAAAAAAAAAAAAAAAAATTAGCTGGGTGTGGTGGCGCACACCTGTAATCCCAGCTGCTCGGGAGGCTGAAGCAGAAGAATCGCTTGAGCCTGGGAGGTGGAGGTTGCAGTGAATTGAGATGGCGCCACTGTACTCCAGCCTGGGTGACAAAGCGAGATTCCATCTCAAAAAAAAAAAAAAAAAAAAAGATCAAAGCCCAAGACCCACCAAAGGTGTAACATGTAATAGGAAATCTTCTCCATAAACCGTATTTCAGAGAGGACTATACACTTAGGGTTAGGATGAACTAGAAATAAGCCCATTCCATCTGCCTGTCTCCAGTTGCCTTAACACTTAGCTAAGTATTAATAGAAGAAAAGGTCCTTGAGAAGTTAAAACTGTAAGTTGGCTCTCAAAGGTTATGTAGCCCAAATTCACACAATTTAGGAGAACCAAAACTCTAAACTTGAGAACCCTCAAGCCATGCATTTAGTTTAAAGTGGCCTCAACTGGTAGGACCCCTAGGTCCCTGGCAGAAGCAAATGCAGATCGATCCTCTGTAGTAGCTATGCTGATATCACACAAAATAGACTTTTAGGCACAAGTGTATTTTTAGAGATAGAAAGGGCAGTTCATAATGATAAGGTTTCAGTTTACCAGGAAGATACAACAATATTAAGTTATATGCATCTAGGCTGGACACAGTAGCTCATGCCTGTAATCCCAGCACTTTGGGAGGCCGAGGCAGGCAGATCACCTGAGGTCAGGAGTTCAAGACTAGCCTGGCCAACATGGTGAAACCTCGTCTCTGCAAAAATACAAAAATTAGCCGGGCATGATGGCAGTCGCCTGTAATACCAGCTACTCAGGAGGCTGAGGCAGGAGAATCGCCTGAACCTGGGAGGCAGAGGTTACAGTGAGCCGAGACTGAGCCATTGCACTCCAGCCTGGGTGAATTTTTCAAAAAAAAGAAAGAAAATATTAAACAAGTTCATATCAGATAAAATGGATAAATTCCAAGAAATAAAGACAGTTTCTATAAAAGAGATAGAAAACCTGGATAGCCCAATAACCATTAAATACATGGATTCAGTAGTCAAAAATCTTCCCACAGGGAAACTTGCAGGTCTAAATGGCTTCACCTGGAAGTTCTACCAAGCATTTAAATAAATAATTGCAGTTAATAATTATTTGTTAATCTGTTGCTACATAACAAATCACCCAATATGTAGTGGCTTAAAGCAACAATAGTCGTTTATTGTCTCTCACAGTTTCTGTGGGTTAGGACTTCAGGAGGGGCTCTGTTGGGTTGTTCTGGCTTGGAATCTCATGAGGTTGTGGTCAGATGACAGCTGTAGTTGGGGAACACAGAAAGCTAAGCCCACAGAAGAAAAACAAACACCGTGACACTGGGAAGGAGCTGCCTCTTGCTTGTTAACCTTGAGCTGGAAGTAGGAGTTGGGTTGTTTCTCATCCACTGGAAAAAGTGTTAAGTAGTTTCACTTTACATTATGATGCTAAATTGAAGGTATGTAGCAACTTCTGGGAATCAATGAGCAGTCTGGAGAATTTTGACCTCTCCCGAGTCTTGTTTCCTTTGGGGGTTAAGAGAGTCTGGAGCCTCTAAGTTAGAGACACAGGCACAGCGTGTTTCATTTTCATTCACCACCTGCAATCCTCTGCCCTTCCCTCTACCTGTTGGAATTAATTTATCATTCAGGTTGCAGTACAGGTCTCACCTTTGGTGAAGCTTTTCCCCACCACTCTATTCCTGTTGTGCTCTCTCTCTCTCCTAACTCTGCTAACACTTACTGCCTTTTACCACCCTTTTCGTCTTGACCATATGTTTCTTAATAACTATTTGATATCTTCTCACAGAAAGTGCCTCATCTGTCCCACTGGATCCTCTGTTCTACAGCTCAGGGGTTGAGTCCTGGAGATCTCTGTATTCCCGTGTCATATCTCACATAGCACCTTGCATGACTGGCCATTTTCAGAATGGACTAATTCAGTACTTGATTGTTTGCACAGTTAGAGCAGGTTAGGGTCCTTCTTGCAGGAGTCTGCAGTCTTAGATAGGTACAGACAGACATAGAGAAAGCCTACAGAGATGTGAATAAATGACTAAATATATTTCTGGGGGAGGCACAGAGTAGGAGTTTGAGTCCTTATGGGAGAGGGATGAGGGGAAGAAGCCCCTTGTTTAATCTCATTTTTTCTCTTCATTAAAATGCCTTCTTGCATCCTTGGTCTCTTTTCACAGAACCCTGCCATCAGCATCACTGAAAACGTGCTGCATTTCAAAGGTCAGTATCCCAGCAAATGCTCCCATCTCTATACACAGTTAAGGAGGTGTGGTGGTGGTTTCCCTTTTTTAAAAAAATGTATTTGTCTTACTTGTTTTTTGCTGATGTTCACGCCTCTGATCCTCATGAGGTAAGCTAAATTGTTTTGAAATATATGATTAGAAAAGTCAAAGAATTGGTTTAAAATCCTGTTTCCCCCATGGAGAGGCAGTAGATACAGTGAAGGAAAAAAAAAAAAAGAATCCTGGGTTAGAAATCAGGAGACGTGTCTTCTAGCTCTAATTCTGCCGCTATCTTGGACAAGTTATTGACTTCTCTGGACCTGTACAATGAAGATGCTGGGTTTTAATCTGTGTTTCTCAAACTCGAGGACCCGTGGACACCAAATAATGTTTCCACAGGACTCTCAAGGGCTCATGGACCCGAGATTGAGAAACGTGAAGAATTAAATATGGTCACTTTAAGTGATATTTGGCTCCACTGCAGCTGTGAATACAGACACACATACAGCTACTGATTGCATGGCAGTACTTGATTATGAAGTGGCCATCTAGATGATCCAGAATATGCTGCTTTTTTTAAAAAAAAATTATTATGGAAACATAAAATAGAAAATTTATTTATTTATTTATTTTGAGATTGAGTCTTGCTCTGTCACCCAGGCTGGAATGCAGTGGCATGATTTCGGCTCACTGCAACCTCCGCCTCCTGGGTTCAAGTGATTCTCGTGCCTCAGTCTCCCGAGTAGCTGGGATTACAGGCATCCGCCACCACGTCCAGCTAATTTTTGTATTTTTAGTAGAGACAGGGTTTCACTATGTTGTCCAGGCTGGTCTTGAACTCCTGACCTCAAGTGATCTGCCCACCTCGGCCTCTCGAAGTGCTGGGATTATAGGCGTGAGCCACCGTGCCTGTTTTTTGTTTTTTGTTTTTGTTTTTGTTTTTTTTAAATATTTTTCTTTTTTTTTTAAATTTATTATTTTTTTATTATACTTTAAGTTTTAGGGTACATGTGCCCGTTGTGCAGGTTAGTTACATATGTATACATGTGCCATGCTGGTGCGCTGCACCCACTAACTCGTCATCTAGCATTAGGTATATCTCCCGATGCTATCCCTCCCCACTCCCCCCACCCCACAACAGTCCCCAGAGTGTGATATTCCCCTTCCTGTGTCCATGTGATCTCATTGTTCAATTCCCACCTATGAGTGAGAATATGCGGTGTTTGGTTTTTTGTTCTTGCGATAGTTTACTGAGAATGATGATTTCCAATTTCATCCATGTCCCTACAAAGGACATGAACTCATCATTTTTTATGGCTGCATAGTATTCCATGGTGTATATGTGCCACATTTTCTTAATAAAAATATGGAACGCTTCACGAATTTGCGTGTCATCCTTGCACAGGGGCCATACTAATCTTCTCTGTATCATTCCAATTTTAGTATATGTGCTGCCGAAGTGAGCACATATTTTTCTTTTTAAACATTTAAAAAAATAATAATTATTTATTACATCCCTTCTCACTATTCCTAAGAAATTTTCTTGATGAGACTTTGTGGCTCCCTGATACTAGATTAGCAGACCAGTTTGAGAAACACTACACTCTAGATGATGTCTCAGGCCTTTTCAGCTCTGACAGTCTCTGATTCTGTGAATCTGCCTCTATCTGCCTTCTCCTCAGTCCCTCAGCAGATTTACTGCTCTACTGGAGAGGGTGGGATTTCCATTCACTGTCACCCAGTGGGGTAGGATTCTCTCTGCTCTCTGTTCCAGTTCCTGGGATTATTGGAGCATAAAGAGTTTCTGCTTTATGTGAAATTCCATCTACTGTAATATACTTGCATGAAAGTACAGCCTGGCTTTTGTATCTGCTTTTCAAGATGAGAGTAGTCACCACTCAGCTCAGGTTTTTTGGGAATTATATACATTTACATGAAAATTAAAGTGATAAAAGCATATCTTGCCACTTAGACCTTATATACTGTCCTACCTTAAGGAATTTATCGTCACAGAGAATAATTGCTACCTGTAGCGAATATTAGGCAGGTTATTAGTCTACATATGATCAGATAAGGAAAGAGAGTCCCAGAAGGGAACCAAATGGTAAATGAATCAGAGAGGAGAGTGGAAGGGTGGTTCAGCAGCAGCTGCTGGGTCCAGCAGTCACTGGCATCTAGGCATGGTGCCAGCTAGAATTGGGGAAAGGAGCCATGTCAAGGCATAGGGATGGGGCATTGGCCAACTCAGGTACTTCCCTCCTAGTTCCACCTGTCCTTCATAAGCTGCGAAAGATTGTATTTCTTTTTCCTTGTTCCATTTGGGATGTGCTAAAGGAGGAGTCAGCTTCTGCCTTCATTCTCTCTCCCTGGTTGGGAGGTTTTAGATTCAGAGCTGTCCAAGACAACCCAGCATTTCCATGTACCCTGCAGTCAAGATGATACACCCACCAATTTTTGTCTGCTCTAGATTTAGAGCCAAAGTAATTGTGAAAGTTAAATTTATATCCGTGTGGCTCCTTTGGCATTGCTTTCTCTATTCTTTTTCCTGCCTGTTATTTGTGTGGGGTATCATCAGGGTCACAGTGGAAGATTGGGTAAATACGCCAAAACTGACATCAGAGGACATATGGAGATAAACTTGTGTCAAAGATTTGGCCTATCTAGCTGTTGAGGAGCTCTGCGCACAAGCCCCCACACATTTTAACAGGACCCATTAAGATTTGTGGACTACGATGCTTCTTGGCCTTTTGGCTACAATCAAGTATGATATTCGTGCCAGGTACAGTGGCTCATGTCTGTAATCCCAGCACTTTGGGAGGCTGAGGCGGGTGGATCACAAGGTCAGGAGATCGAGACCATCCTGGTTAACACGGTGAAACCCCGTCTCTACTAAAAATAAAAAAAATTATCTGGGCATGGTGGCGGGAGCCTGTAGTCCCAGCTACTCGGGAGGCTGAGGCAGGAGAATGGCATGAACCCGGGAGGCGGAGCTTGCAGTGAGCCGAGATCATGCCACTGCACTCCAGCCTGGGCAACAGAGCAAGACTCTGTCTCAAAAAAAAAAAAGTGTAATATTCGCATACTTGGGAAAGAACTGCACCAAGCTGGCTTTTGGATGGCCTTGCTCTGCTCAAGTTTGCAGTAACCCACATTTCTTTCTTTATAGCTCAAGGACATGGTGCCAAAGGAGACAATGTCTATGAATTTCACCTGGAGTTCTTAGACCTTGTGAAACCAGAGGTATGTTCTTTCCTTTCTCACTTCCCTTCCCATTTTAGGAAATGAATACCAGTAGTTTAGTGAAATGGGGAGCAGGGTTTGTGGAGAGAAGAAGATAAAAACCAAAGGGGAATAATAGAGTTCTTTTATTTGGAACAGAGCCCAGGTTTTAGCTGCAGAGGAATGGGAAAGTCAGAGACCCCAAGTTGAGTCAGGGCCCTGCCATTTATTAGCAGTGTGATCTTGAACAAGTCTCTTAACTTCTTCGAGTTCTGGTGTTCTCATGTGTTAAATGAAGGTCTGGACTAAGTGATCCTTCCAGCTCTGATATTCTCTGGTTTTAGTGATGGCAGAGGAATATGGCACCCATTGAGAACAGAGTTACATAGAGTGGTTGAAGCCCCCACCAGGGGTTACTTTCATGTGACTTTGCCACAGTTGCAGGTGAGAAAAATAGAAATCAGAAAGGGTGAAGGCAGCTGGCCTTCAGAAAGAATGCTGCAGATATCATCAAAACTTCCCTTCCCTTAGAGCCTGAGGAAGCTTCTCTCATAAGCAGGGAGAGAATCCAATAGATGGGGTATTTTGGCTTCTGGAATTACACTTAGCTCTGGTGGCTTGAGCTTCTTGATTTCCGTGCGCAGGTGCTCAGTTGTTTTGAGAAAGCATGAATAATAACCAGTGGTACAGTGGGCAGAGAACCTGTCATGGAGCTTCCTTTGGAGAAAAGGGACAGGACATGTAGACAAACAATGAGCTGGAATGGCCTATAAGAATTTGAGTTTAGTTGGGAAGACTCCCCAAATTGACCCCTGTGAAAAAATCTGTAACTGATCCAATACAGTTCTGATCTTGATGCAGGTGTTTCTAAAACCGGGGTCTGCTGAGCCAGGACAGTCATTTTCATGGGAGGAAAATTTATAAGCTGAGGGTAATTGGATGCAGTACCCTTGAGAGGGTGATTGGACATAGTACCTTGCATGATGTGGCTGTGGCAGGAGGTTCATGCTAGTTCCCTCCAGCCTAACCAGGAACTATTTGCCTTTCTTATCCTGATATCCTCCTGTATCATTCACTGGGGGAATCAGAGAAGGACATTATGTCCTTACCAGTTCTCCATGCCAGCCGTTGGTCTAGATCAACCTTTTTGGCACCAGGGACCAATTTTGTGGAAGGCACTTTTTCCACAGATGGTGGAATGGGGATGGTTTCAGGGTGATTCAAATGCATTACATTTGTTGTGCACTTTATTTCTGTTATTATTACATTGTAATATATAATGAATACAACTCACCATAATGTAGAATCAGTGAGAGCCCTGAGCTTGTTTTCTTGCAACTAGACAGTCCCATCTGGGGGTGATGGGAGACAGTGACAGATCATCAGGCATTATAGTCTCATAAAGAGTGAGCAACCTAGATTCCTTGCATGCACAATTCACAATAGAGTTCACGCTCCTATGTGAATCTTGTGCCAATGCTGATCTGACAGGAGGCAGGGCTTAGGCAGTAATGCAAGTGATGGAGAGCGAGTCTAAATATAGGTGAAGTTTCACTCACTTGCCCACCACTCAGCTCCTCCTGTGTGGCCCGATTCCCAACAGGCCATGGACCAGTATCAGTCCATGGCCCAGGAGTTGGAGACCCCTGGTCTAGATGTTCCCTTTGCATCAGGACTTGCAGGACCAGAGAAAGAAGGAGAATAAATATATCCTGCAGCTTCTATGTACGGCGCCCCTGGCATGGTGCTGCTTCAGGGAACAGAAGAGGGCATTCTCACATTTTCACTTTCTCTCCTAGCCTGTTTACAAACTGACCCAGAGGCAGGTAAACATTACAGTACAGAAGAAAGTGAGTCAGTGGTGGGAGAGACTCACAAAGCAGGAAAAGCGACCACTGTTTTTGGCTCCTGACTTTGATCGTTGGCTGGATGAATCTGATGCGGAAATGGAGCTCAGAGCTAAGGTTAGTAAGGATCCTAGGATCTAGCCATTGAGGACAAATCATGGGGAACCCACGTTATTCAGGCCACTTCAGATACCTCTCGGTCTGAAAGAATAGCTACAAAGTTACAAATTCATTTAAAGACCTGGTGATGTGATTTTCAAGAAGTATTGGCTATGTATTTTATAGACTTTCCTTCGGTTGAAATCTGTCTGATGTTTCTCTTACAACTAGACTAAGGTGATAGATGTTGAGGAGAAGACCACTGAAGTAAAGTGCAATTCTTATCACATCATATCAAGAGTACATACGGCCGGGCACGGTGGCTCACGCCTGTAATCCCAGCACTTTGGGAGGCCAAGGTGCGTGGATCACGAGGTCAGGAGATAGAGACCATCCTGGCTAGCACAGTGAAACCCTGTCTCTACTAAAAATACAAAAAATTAGCCGGGCGTGGTGGTGCATGCCTGTAGTCGGAGCTGCTCAGGAGGCTGAGGCAGGAGAATGGCGTGAACTCGGGAGGCGGGGCTTGCCGTGAGCCGAGATCACGCCACTGCACTCCAGCCTGGGCAACAGAGCGAGAGTCTCAAAAAAAAAAAAAAAAAGTACATACTGTCAACGTGACACATCACTGTTGATATTAACCATGGGTTAGCTGGCTTGAGGTGACGCTTATCAGGTTTCTCTACCATAAGGTTATTTTCCTCTTGGCTCTCCTTGGAAGGAAGTCACTATGTGTAGCCTACATTTAAGGAGCAGGGAGTTATGCTTCCTGTCCTTTAGATGGAGGGAGTATCTACATAATTTATTTGGAATTCTTCTGCATAGGAGAATAATTATGCATGTCTATTGTCTCCCATTTATTTATTCAATCATTTATATCATGTGAGTACATGGGTATTTATTTTATACTTTGAGTTATAATCTAATATTATTTATTTTGTTGCTCAAATTCTTCCAGCTTTGGCACTAACTGGCCTTTGGTTATGTCCTCATCCTGCCCATCTTTCATTTGGCTTTTGTATCTTTTTGAGAAAGCGCCATCATTATGGGACTGTTTTTTTTTTTTTTTTTGAGCACTTCCTTACTTTCTGGCAGTATAAGCTGCTCCAGGCTTATCTTGCATGTATGTTTCCTGCTCCAGCCCTGGAACAGCCATTTCTTCAAGCATCTCTGTTCTTATTGTGGAATAGCATTGGAAACCAAGATCTGGGTGCCGGGTATGCTCATTGCTACCAGGTTGCCATTGCCTTTAAGTTCTCTTCACTGACAGAACAAGAAAATATATGTTTGGATAGTAACCCATGCATACACATACACCTGTAAATATTTCTGTATGGATCCATCTGTATCTCTGTTAAGCTAAACGTGAGTTCATAGTGATGTTGGAAACATGATCTTAGCTTCTGGAAAAATTATACTAAAATTCTAGAAGTCTTGAAAAATAAAATAGCAGTCTACCTCCTGCCTTAAACTTCTGTTTTATTTCTCTGACTGCGACAGATCTTCTGGATGTCCTTTCCAGCTTTAAGATTCCAAGGTCACTTGTCAGTTTGGAAGCCAGCTCACTGGGTTAATTTTGTGAACAATGGATGGGCACCTGTGATGCTAATGCTGCTTAGTAAGCAGGAGTCAGGCGTTTGGCCCTATGACCTAGAATATTCTCCCAATGATGCACTGACCCCAACTGGAGGAGTTGGCTTTGAGGGAGTCAGATTACTCAGCCAGCATATGGACTTTTGCAAGCATCTGGGAATTCTAACTTGTGTTCTTGGAAAACTTTTGTCTAAATTCTAGGAAGAAGAGCGCCTAAATAAACTCCGACTGGAAAGCGAAGGCTCTCCTGAAAGTAAGTTGTGCTGCTGCCATGGTAGTTACCAGTTAACTTGTGCTAGTGTTGGAAGTATGGATAATTGTGATGTGGCAGGAGAGCTAATGATTTCATCCCGGTGAGCTGTGTGGGTGAGTTTATGAAAAAGCTTTTAGGTCCAGTGCTTAAGGTCTGCACTACCCACGTCAGAATCCTTACCTTTAATGTGTCCTTTGTGTTTTGGTTGTTATTTCATGAGTACACCAAGGCTAGTGTAGCAGAATGAAAGAACTCCTGGACTGGCCTCATGGCAGATGGCAACCAAATCCTGCAGAGACTTGTGGAAATGATTGCATGGATCCAAGGCTACACTCCTTCAGCCTGGTGTTTTTCTCCCAGCTGAAATCTCAAAGGCTGTATGATACATAAGTGTGGTTGTCAGCCTGAAAGATGGAGAGTATTCTGTGTAGTCCTGCTATTCATTAACCTTTAACAAATCAATTTCTGTTTCCGTCTAACCACTTTAAGCAGGAAGCTCTGTAAGTGTATTATCTTCTGGGTGATGTAGTTAGATTAAATTCAGCAGCTATCTGTTAAAGTCATGCTGTGTGGCAAGCATTGTGCTGGGCCCTTGACTAAGAGCCAGAGGGATCCATCGTAGCGCCTATACTCAAAAGGGCTTACATTCTTAGTGAGGGAACTGCAGGTGTATGTAAAACTACCTCTGAAAAGCAGAATGAAATAAGTCCTTCTTACTTGTTCTAAGTTGAAATTTTTCAAATTTTAGTGGTACTTATCTAGCATGCCATAAATAAGGGAGGGGAAAGTTTTGGAGCAGTAGTTTTCAAACTGTGTTCCATGGTGCCCCAGGGGGTTCCCAGAGATGCTTTGGAGGAGTAGATCACACAAACAGGTCTACCTCAGTCAGAGCAGCTCTCTTTTGAGTGTTATGTGTTGGCATTCCGAATAAGGTTTCTTTTGAGAAGGAATTTTAAAAAATATTTGAATAGCGACTACCTTAGGGGAATATTCTTTCAGGAAAGCCGAGGAGGGGAGAGGTTCAGTGGAGGCAAAGAATAACAACATAAAAAAGCCACTTTGAGATTTAAATTAATGTTTTGGTGTCTTAAAGGGATAAACTTCAAAAATAGATAAAAATTCTAATATATGGATTTTTTGGGTGTTAGGTAAAGCTTTAACTGTTTTACCTAAATTCATAAAGTTTTCTGAACAAGGAAGTTCTTTATGGTGGGGAAGTGTAATAGATTTTTGTAGTTTTGAAGAAATAACTTTTAATTAGCTAAATGTTGCTAGAAGTCTGACATTTTTTGGAGTCTTAGGATAAGGCTGTGTTGTTTTTTTTTTTTTGAGATGGGGTCTTGCTATGCTGTCCAGGCTGATCTTAAGATACTGGGCTCAAGTGATCCTTCTACCTCAGCCTCCCAAGTAGCTGGGATTACAGGCATATGCCACTGTGCCTGGCTTAGGCTGCTTTTGATTGACCACATTATTAAATGTGATTATTTGAGGACCAACCAGATGTCTTTGCAGAATATCTGTAGCCTAGGAATAAATATGTAGCAGCAAAATCTGAACACCATAGATCTCCTCTTAAGAACTGTCCTTTTCTTTACCCTACTCCTTTGACTCAACAATGACTCTGTCAAAGCCTCTTGTTTCTTCCTTTACTCTGTAATTGGCTGTATCTTCATGAATCTTAGGCTGCAGATAAAATTAATGTCCCTTATTTTCCTGCATGTTGGTTTGAAATTGTCCTGCTTTGGTTATGTCCTCAGTCTGCCCATCTTTCAAAGCCCAGATCAGGCCAAGTATGATGGCTCATGCCTCTAATCCCAGCACTTTGGGAGACTGAGGCGGGAGGATCTTTTAGGCCAGGAGTTCGAGATCAGACTGGGCAACGTAGCAAGACTGTGTTTCTACAAAACATAATGGAATATAAAATTAGCAAGGTGTGGTGGCACAGACCTGTAGAACTAACTACTTGGGCGGTGAGGTGGGAGGATGGGTTGACTCCAGGAGGTCAGGGCTGCAGAGAGCTATGGTCCCACCACTGCATTCTAACCTGGGAACAGAGTGAGACCCTATCTCAAAAAAAAAAAAAAAAAAGCCCGGATTAGATACCAGCTTTATCCATGTAGACTAGCTTGATGCCTACTTCTCCAGCCTAATGTCGTTTTTTCACCTTGAAAGTTTCACAAGACATTACTTGTTACTCCCCACCTGGTATTACAGTTTTTAGATTGTAAGCTCTGAGGGCAGCCTTGAACTACCTTTGTATCCCAGTAGTTCTTCTCACAGTACCTTGCACATTGTAGGTATTCAGTTAATGCTTGGTTGAGTGAATATATAACCAAATATCAGGGTTGTTTTTTTCATTTACTGTATCTGTCTCTTTGAGCTAGTTTGACCTCAGTGACCTTAAAGAAATTCCAGAAAAGAAGAAACTATGGATTATATTAAGATGACTGGAGGGCCAGGCACGGTGGCTCATGCCTGTAATCCCAGCACTTTGGGAGGCCAAGGTGGGCAGATCACCTGAGGTTAGGAGTTTAAGACCACCCTGGCCAACATGATGAAACCCTGTCTCTGCTAAAATACAAAAATTAGCCGGGCGTGGTGGCGGAAGCCTGTAATCTCAGCTACTCGGGAGGCTGAGGCAGGAGAATTGCTTGAACCTGGGAGGTGGAGCGTGCAGTGAGCCGAGATTGTGCCACTGCACTCCAGCCTGGGTGACAGAGCAAGACTCTGTCTCAAAAAAAAAAGAAAAAAAAAATTGAGCCGGAGCTGAGGAAATCTTTATTTCCTTTTTGTAATGCCTCTTCAGATGGCCACTCATTTTTTTGCCAGGTGTTATGGAAAAAATACAACACTACAACACTCAACTGCTTTTTCCTATTTTCTTACTCAACAACAATCAACACAGAAGACTTCTGTGACCAAGTGGGTGGGTTTTTTCCCCCACATACCAAGCAAGCAATGAGTTCTGCAGCAGACACCAGCTGGGTGCCCTCTGGTTCAATTCTGACACTGTTTACCTAGAGATAGCATCAGGTTCCCACAGATGGAGGGCTCAGTCCCCAAGACACACCCCTGCCCCCAGCCTGTCCCGAGTCTGAACCTCCAGAACTTGTGACCAATAGGCTGTAAATTACGGTTCCCACAACCCGCTCCTGTGGTTTGATTGATTTGCTAGCGTGGCTCCACAGAACTCAGGGAAACACATTTGTTCATTTATTATAAGGGATATTATGAAGGATACAGATGAAGAGATTAGGAGGAAGTATGGAGGAAGTGGCGCGGAGCTTCCATGCCCTCCCCAGGTGTGCCACCCTCCAGGAACCTCCGTGTGTTCAGCTGTCTGGAAGCTGACTAAACCCTGTCCCCTTGGGCCTTTTATGGAGACTTCATCGGATAGGCATGACTGAAGCGTGTTGAACTGTGTTGAAATGTGATTGGACAAAAAGGGTCTGACCTAAACCCAGCAAGGCCTGTCTGTCCAGATTCTTCTCAGCCTCTCTGTGCAGTGTTCCCTCCTCCAGAGTATGAGGCAAGACCCTCTCTGGAATGAGGGTCTTAGGACCCACAATCAGATTAGAGTCGTGCCTTGGGCAGCTGAAAGGAAGGCAGGGAAGGTCATAGAGGGAGATTCTGTTGTCTGAGGCCTAAAGTGTCCCAACATTATAACAAAAAACTGTAACAAGGGCTGTGGGAGTTATAAGCCAGAAACCGTTGCCGAAAACCTATATATACATATACACATATCATAATATCACACCAGGGGTAATATTTTTTTCTTGGGTTTGTTATGTCTGTATACCTATTCTTCAAGGCTGGGAAAGGAAGTCCTGCTGAAAATACATGCTGGAGAGCAATGTTCCTTGTATGTTTCTCTGTGGGAGTAGGAGCCCAGGCTGGTGAGGACCTGGACCAGGTATTTGTGTGGGAGCTTAGGAGCATTCAGGAAGGAAAAAGGGTTGAAGTCATCCAGATATGCCTCATACACCTGTCTCCTGCTGGGACTATTGCTTTTAATAGCTTACTGCTTTGCTTTGCTTTACAGCTCTTACAAACTTAAGGAAAGGATACCTGTTTATGTATAATCTTGTGCAATTCTTGGGATTCTCCTGGATCTTTGTCAACCTGACTGTGCGATTCTGTATCTTGGGAAAAGGCAAGTAAGACATTTTTGGATTAATTTTCCCTTTCTCAGTAGTTTGGCCCAGTATTCACCAAAGGGAGCACTCTCTGCCTTTGATGTTAATAATAACCCCTGCATTTGTGCAGCACCCTCTACTTTTCGTTGTGCTTTCATAGCTCTTATTTCCCATGGCCTTGTGAAATAAGCTGACTGGTATTCTTTCCATATAACAGGTAATAAAATATAGGCCTAGAGATGGTCAAAAATGGTTCACATCCATAGCTAGCCAGAGCCACATCTTGGGCTAGAATCCTTTTGTAAAAATGTTCACTAACAACTAAATAAATTGATGTGATACTTCCAGTGCCAAAGTTATGCAAGGCCAAAAGGGTTCTCACCCTTTTGGAGCCTAAATACGTTCTAAAATGAACTATTCTAAAACAGAATAAAAAGAGCATCATAAAGATATTAGTTCTTCTTAAATTAATTTATGTGTTTAGCAGGATTCTGGCTTTGACCAGTGGCATTCCATTGGTAAATGCCAATGGGAAATTTTTGAGAATTTGATCTAAAGTATTCTGAAACTTTATTTGATGAATAAATAGGTAATAAAATTTAGGAGAAGAAAGATTAATGGGAGAGGATTTTTCTACCTGATAATGAAAGTATGGACCAGGTGTAGTAGCTCATACCTGTAATCCCAGCACTTTAACAGGCTGAAGTGGAAGGATCTCTTGCGCCCAGGAGGTTGAAGCTGCAGTAAGCCGTGATCATGACACTGTACTCTAGACTGGGTGATGGAGCAAGACCTTGACTCTTAAAAAAATTTAGAAAGGTGGCTGTGCGTGGTGGCTCACGCCTGTAATCCCAGTACTTTGGGAGGTCTAGGTGGGCAGATCACGAGGTCAAGAGATCGAGACCATCCTGGTCAACATGGTGAAACCCCCATCTCTACTAAAATTACAAAAATTAGCTGGGCATGGTGGTGCGTGCCTGTAGTCCCAGCTACTCGGGAGGCTGAGGCAGGAGAATCACTTGAACCCAGGAGGCGGGGGTTGCAGTGAGCCAAGATCGTGCCACTGCACTGCAGCCTGGTGACAGAGTAAGACTCCATCTCAAAAAAAAAAAAGAGAAAGGCATATAAGGTGTACGTGTTAACTTTCTGGTAACTGGTAGAGCTTACTATTCATGACCCCATTGGCCTGCACCCTTCCTGCTTAGTTAAGTAAGAAACTTGAATCTGACTGGATGTTTGTTATTCCTTTCTTACAGTTATTTTCACGAAAGGAGTAATCTAGTTTGAGAAATAGTTCTGTTGGAATTTACCAACTGATTCACCCTTAATGTATATTTTTGCCTATAGAGTCCTTTTATGACACATTCCATACTGTGGCTGACATGATGTATTTCTGCCAGATGCTGGCAGTTGTGGAAACTATCAATGCAGCAATTGGAGTCACTACGTCACCGGTGCTGCCTTCTCTGATCCAGGTATTGAATAGTTAAGCTGAAGGGTGGGTAATGGAAGGTCCCATTATTTGTCTAGTGGGTATGTGTATTAGTCCATTTTCATGCTGCTCATAAAGACATACCTGAGACTGGGCAGTTTACAAAAGAAAGAGGTTTAATTGGACTTACAGTTCCATGTGGCTGGGAAGGTCTCACGATCATGGTGGAGGGCGAAAGGCACTTCTTACGTGGTGGCGGCAAGAGAGAATGAGGAAGAAGCAAAAGCAGAAACTCCTGATAAACCCATCAGATCTCGTGAGACTTATTCACTATCCTGAGAATAGCATGGGAAAGACCGGCCGCACTGATTCATTTACCTCCCCCTAGGTCCCTGCCACAACACGTGGGAATCCTGGGAGATACAATTAAAGTTGAAATTTGAATGGGGACACAGCCAAACCATATCATTCTAGCCGTGGCCCCTCCAAATCTCATACCCTCACATTTCAAAACCAATCATGCCTTCTCAACAGTCCCCCAAAGTCTTATTTCAGCATTAACCCCAAAGTCCACAGTCCAAAGTCTCATCTGAGACAAGGCAAGTCCCTTCTGCCTTTGAGCCTGTAAAATCAAAGCACACTAGTTACTTCCTAGATACAAGGGGAGTACTGGCATTGGGTAAATACAGCCGTTCCAAATGGGAGAAATTGGCCAAAATAAAGGGGTTACAGTGCCCATGCAAGTCTGAAATCCAGTGGGGCGGTCAAACTTTAAAGCTCCAAAATGATCTCCTTTGACTCCAGGTCTCACATCCAGGTCACGCTGATGCAAAAGGTGGGTTCCCATGGTCTTAGGCAGCTCCACTCCTGTGACTTTGCAGGGAGCAGCCTCCCTCCCGGCTGCTTTCACCGGCTGGCATTGAGTGTCTGCAGCTTTTCCAGGTGCATGGTGCAAGCTGTCAGTGGATCTACCACTTTGGGGTCTGGAGGATGGCGGCCTCTTCTCACAGCTCCACTAGGCAGTGCCCCAGTAGGGATTCTGTGTGGGGGCTCCAACCCCATGTTTCCCTTCCTCACTGCCCTAGCAGAGGTTCTCCATGAGGGCCCCATCCCTGCAGCAAACTTTTGCCTGGGCATCCAGGCATTTCCATACATCTTCTGAAATCTGGGCGGAGGTTTCCAAACCTCAATTCTTGACTTCTCTGCACCCACAGGCTCACCACCACGTGGAAGCTGCCAAGGCTTGGGGCTTGCACCCTCTGAAGCCACAGCCTGAGCTGTACATTGGCCCCTCTCAGCCAAGGCTGGAGCAGCTGGGACACAGGGCACCAAATCCCTAGGTTGCACACAGCACAGGGACCCTGGGCCTCCGCGCCTGTGATGGGAGGGACTGCCATGAAGGCCTCTGACATGGTCTGGTTACATTTTCCCCATGGTCTTGGGGATTACATTGGGGATTACGTTAGGCTCCTTGCTACTTGTGCAAATTTCTGCAGCCAGCTTGAGGTTCTCCTCAAAAAATGGGTTTTTCTTTTCTACTGAATCATCAGGCTGCAAATTTTCCAAACTTTTATGCTGTTTCTCTTTTAAAACGGAATGCTTTTAACAGCACCCAAGTCACCTCTTGAATGCTTTTCTGCTTAGAAATTTCTCCTGCCAGATACCCTAAATCATCTCTCTCAAGTTCAGAGTTCTACAGATCTCTAGGGCAGGGGCAAAATGCTGCCAGTCTCTTTGCTAAAATATAACAAGAGTCACCTTTGCTCCAGTTCACCTTTGCTTCCAAGAGGTTCTTCATCTCCATCTGAGACTACCTCAGCCTGGACTTTATTGTTCATATCACTATCAGCATTTTTGTCGAAGCCATTCAACAAATCTCTACGAGGTTCCAAACTTACCTACATTTTCCTATCTTCTTCTGAGCCCTCCAAACTGTTCCAACCTCTGTCTGTTACCCAGTTCCAAGGTCACTTCCACATTTTCGGGTATCTTTTCAGCAACATCCAACTTTACTGGTACCAATTTACTGTATTAGTCCGTTTTCCCACTGCTGATAAAGACATACCTGAAACCAGGCCGTTTACAAAAGAAAGAGGTTTAATTGGATTTACAGTTCCATGTGGCGGGGGAAGGTCTCACAATTGTGGTGCAGGGCAAAAGGCACTTCTTACATGGCGGTGGCAAGAGAGAATGAGGAAGAAACAAAAGCGGAAACCCCTGATAAGCCCGCCAGATCTTGTGAGACTTATTTACTAACATGGGAATAGCACGGGAAGACCAGCCCCCATGATTCAGTTACCTCCCCCTGGGTCCCTTCCACAACATGTGGGAATTCTAGGAGATACAATTCAAGCTGACATTTGAATGGGGACACAGCCAAACCATATCTGTATGTTACATTTTGCTAAGAAGTCTCAATTAGTAAAAACACCTATTTGTACAGGAATAGCATTATTTTACCTGAACAAGAAAGAACATTTAAAACCCCAGGGTTATTTACCAAAGTAGACTTTTACTATTTCAGGTCTTTTTCATTTTTTATAATATCCTTATGAAATCACAAAGTTATAAAGAGCTTTAAGACTAGGGAAATTTGACTCTTAGGCAGGAGCTGAAAAACCTACCTTCAGTCTCCTTAGTTAGAAATGTATGTGGTCTCCTCCCACCTTGTGTAGATGAAGGCAGTACTTCTTAAAAACTTGTATTAATGAAAAGTACAATAATCAAACTTTAAAATTTACAGCCAGGCATGGTGGCTCATTCCTGTAATCCCCATACTTTGGGAAGCTGAGGTAGGAGGATTGCTTGAGGCCAGCAGTTGGAGACCACCCTTGGCAGCATAGTGAGACCCCATTTCTAAAAAAATAAAAATTTGCCAGGCATGGTGATGTGCACCTATATTCCCACTACTTGGGAGGCTGAGACGGAAGGATTCCTTGAGTGCAGGAGTTCGATGTTGCAGTGAGCTGGGATTGTGCCACTGCCCTCCAACCTGGGCAGCAGAGCGAGACCCCTGTCTCTAAAAAAAATAAAAAATAAAAATTTAATGGATAGTTTGTGTTGTAGATTAGACATAGCTGAAGAGAAAATTAGTGAACTGTTTTGAGATACAGGAAGGAATAGAGAGCACAAAAAGTAAATATACAGACGTAATTTTCTTGAATTATAAGACTCAATATTATAATATTGTTAGTTCTCATATTTCCCTGTAGATTCAATACATTTCCAATCACAATCTAAAAAATTTTGGAATGTGAGGAGAAAATTCTGAAGCTTTTTGAAAAAACAGAGGGCCATCCAGGATAGTAGCATCATTTTCGATAACTAAAATGTGCAAGCAACCCAAGTGTTCATCTACAGATGAATGGATAAGAATGACTGTTACATACATACAATGGGATATTATGTAGCCTTAAAAATGAAAGAAATTCTCTCGTATGCTACAATGTGGATGAACCTTAAGGAAACTATGCTAAGTGAAATAAGCCAGTCACAGAAAGTCAAATACTAGATGATTCTGCTTACATGGGGTACTTAAAATAGTCAAAACCATAGAGACAGAAAGTAGGATGGTGTTTGCCAGGGGCTGGCTGAATGGGGAGTTATTGTTTAATGGGTCATAGTTTCTTTCTTTTTTTTTTTTTTGAGAGTCTCGCCCTGTCGCCCAAGCTGGAGTGCAGTGGCACAATCTAGGCTCACTGCAGCCCCTGCCTCCTGGGTTCACGCAATTCTCCTACCTCAGCCTCCCGAGTAGCTAGGAATACAGGTGCCCATCACCACGCCCAGCTAATTTTTGTAGTTTTAGTAGAGATGGGGTTTCCCATGTTGGCCAGGCTGGTCTCGAACTCCTGACCCCAGGTGATCTACCCGCCTCGGCCTTCCAAAGTGCTGGGATTACAGACGTGAGCCACCGTGCCCGGCAATGGGTCATAGTTTCTATTTTACAAGATGAAAAGAGTTGTGGAGATGGATGGTGATTATGGTTGCACAACATAATGAAGGTATTTGATACCACTCAACTAAACACTTAAAAAATGATTAAGATGGTAAAGTTTATGTTATGTGTATTTTTTTTTTTTCAGATGGTGTTTCACTGTCACCCAGGCTGGAGTGCAGTGGTGTGACCTTGGCTCACTGCAACCTCGGCCTCCCACGTTCAAGCGATTCTCCTACCTCAGCCTCCCGAGTAGCTGGGACTACAGGCATCTGCCACCACGCCTGGCTAATTTTTGTATTTTTAATAGAGATGGGGTTTCACCATGTTGTCCAGTCTGGTCTTGAACTCCTGACCTCAAATGATCTGCCAGCCTCGGCCTCCCAAAGTGCTGGGATTACAGGCATGAGCCACCGCACCCAGCCATTATGTGTATTTTACCACAATTTTTAAAATGGGAAAAAGAAAAAAGCAAAAGGTCGAGAATATTCTTTAAAGACGAGCTCAAATTGGGGACTTACCCTATAAAAAATCAAGACAGTATAAAGATTTAGTAGCTAATACCACGTTGTATGGTACAAAGATAGTCACACAGACCACGGGAACAGAATAAAACCCAGAAACAGACAACCCAGATATCTATGAAGAATAGAATGTCTATCATATATTGGAATGTCTTGCCACGTGAAAATGAGTGGACTATAGCCACATGCATCAACATAGATGAGTCTTGGCCGGGCGCGGTGGCTCATGCCTGTAATCCCAGCACTTTGGGAGGCCGAGGCGGGTGGATCACAAGGTCAGGAGATCGAGACCATCCTGGCTAACATGGTGAAACCCCGTCTCTACTAAAAAATAGAAAAAATTAGCTGAGCGTGGTGGCGGGCGCCTGTAGTCCCAGCTACTCGGGAGGCTGAGGCAGGAGAATGGCATGAACCCGGGAGGCGGAGCTTGCAGTGAGCCAAGATCGTGCCACTGCACTCCAGCCTGGACGACAGAGCGAGACTCTGTCTCAAAAAAAAAAAAAACAAGACCAAAAAACATAGATGAGTCTCTGGCCCGTAACTCTGAGTAAGAAGTAGTCACAGAATGATACATATAGAATGATTTCAGAAAGTTTTAAAACAGGCAAAATGAAACAATATACTGTTCAGGAATACATACACAAGCAGTAATTCATAAAGAAAAGCCATGGGCCAGGCACAGTGGCTCATGCCTATAATCCCAGCACTCTGGGAGGCTGACGCAAGAGGATCACTTGAGCCCAAGAGTTTGAGCAAGCTTGGCCAACACAGTGAGACCCCGTCTCTACAAAAAAATAAAATTAGCCAGTGTGGTAGTACACACACCTGTGATCCCAGCTACTTGAGAGGCTGAAGTGGGAGGATTGCTTGAGCCCAGAAGTTCAAGGCTGCAGTGAGCCATGATTGCACCACTGCACTCCAGCCCGGGTGACGGAGCGAGACCCCGTCTCGATAAAAAAGAAAAGCCATGGAATTATTAACACATGATAGTAGTTATTTATAGGGGTCCCACGTTTGTAGTGCTCTATTTCTTAACTTGGGTTATATAAACTCAAATGTTTATTTGGCAGTATTCTTTAGACTGCGTTTGAACATGTGTCTGTATTTTAAAGAAATGATTTATGATATAGTTACACAAAATACTGTACCTGTCTAGTCACAAAGACTGGTTTGGGCACTTTACTTGTTCCAGAACTGGAGCAGGATTAAACTGGTCGAGGTCAATCTTTTCTATTTGCCTTGCATTTAGTGGGGTTAGATTTCAGATAACACATTTCTATAACTTTACATATATTTTATTAACTTTTTTCTCTCTTTTGGGTCTTTCTAATAGCTTCTTGGAAGAAATTTTATTTTGTTTATCATCTTTGGCACCATGGAAGAAATGCAGAACAAAGCTGTGGTTTTCTTTGTGTTTTATTTGTGGAGTGCAATTGAAATTTTCAGGTGGGTAGAAATGCCAGGATGGTGTTTGAATGCTGCTCCCTGTTTGCAGCAGCTCTGTTCTTGAGGGAGTTGTTATCTTAGCCAGAGTCTCATTTGGTTTGGGACTAAGATTACATATGTGGAGAATTCTGGTTGCACCTATGTGCTCTGCAAAGTTGAGACAGATTTTTTTAAAGCCGTCATTGGATCATAATACCAGACTGGATACTAGGGAGCAGAAGAGGAGAACCAGAGAAAGGGAAGACTCATCTTACCATGACTTCAGGATCTTGCAGTCTTGGAAAGAGAGGACCCATCCACATGGAAAAATTCTTGAAAGGGCTGAAGAAACAGGAGGTTGAAGGAGCAATCCAGGTTGGATAGAACTAATTTAAGACTAAATTTCTACAAGGGATGATAGAAATGAATCTTATACCACAAGATTATTGAAGTTTGAAATGGCCTCTAACCCAATTTTCCCGTTCTCGGTTGTTAGTAGCATAAATATCTTTTAAGAAATGGATCTAGTTAAAGTAGATGTATTCTTCTTTACCAGACCATACACACTCCATATGTCTTCCCTTTCAGTCAGCTGGAGCAAGGATTTTGCAAATGAACTTCTCAGCTCCAGGTTTGGTGGTATTTTGACAAAGTTGCTAGTTGAGAGAGAGAACAGGCCATAGCAGCCTTAAATTGTGTCTTAACCATGGTCTGTGTCCCATGGCACCCAGTGTACCCTCTAATAGCCTTAATACAAAGGTAAAACAGATTATAGGTCCTATGTTTTTCAAATCAGACACGTAATGTGCTGATGTAACAAGGTTTGAGGGAAGCACATCTCACACAGGAGAGTGAAAATCCAGTTATCACACTTATGAGCTATAAAAGGATCAGATTATGGGTCCTTAATGCAATGTTTACTGTTTGAGAAGGAACATTTATTTTCTCAAGGGATGTCTTTTAAAATAGCATATGTCTGATTCTAGATTAGAGGTCTTCTGTATACTTTAATTTTGGTAACAACTCACTTATCCAGAAATAAAGTATCTAATATCCTTACCCACCGGGAATGTATATCAGCACTAGGAATAAAGCCAAAAAACATCTGAGTATCCAGTCCGTTTACCGAATAAAGAGGGTTCCTTTGAGACCTAAACTTAGTCTGCCATTAAAGAGCGTTCAGATCCTTTGAAAATTTAGGGCGCAGTGTGGCAGGAGTTTATGGGTTGATAGCCAGCGTTATAATTCTGTTCTGAAGAAGCCATGTGTGGCTGAGAAATAGAATTCTTCTATTTAAATGATATTCTAAGGTTGCATTCGGAACCTGAAGTGGCTTTTCACATTGGAATCATTTATTTTCAATAGGTACTCTTTCTACATGCTGACGTGCATTGACATGGATTGGAAGGTGCTCACATGGCTTCGTTACACTCTGTGGATTCCCTTATATCCACTGGGATGTTTGGCGGAAGGTACTCTCAGGGACTCTTAGCTTTCATAGCTTAGCTCCAGGGGGTACCCAGAGGCTGAGAGACCAGTCCTTTCTTCCCCGGCCTTAGTCCGATAAATGGAAATGTTGGATTTTTCAGGGATTTCTTTCCATGGGCTTCCTTCCATAATACTCCTGGTACCCAGACTGTTCGAGAAAAGTAGCTCATTTTGTAACATTGGAAAGCCAGGTGGTTATGTCCTGCATGCTTCCCATTTGTATGATGCTTTTAGTATTCCAAAGGGGGTTCTTACTGATGACTTTATTTTATTCTGACAAACATCTCATACATAAGTCAGCTAGGGATTTTCCTCTCCATTTTATAGAATAGAAGAAGCCCACTACCATGACTTCCTCATCTGTCTCTCTGTTGACAGGTTGGAGGCTGATCTCTTAGAAAAGTAGGGGAAAAAAAGGAGAGGCATGAGCTTTCTGTACAAAGGGAGGAGAAAGCCTTTCCAGCACACCCAGAACTGAAACTTTAGAGTACTAGGACTGGAAGTTCCTGTCATTAAATGTGACTGTTTCATTTGCTTCTAACAAGTTCTTGTTTCTGTTTTCAGCTGTCTCAGTGATTCAGTCCATTCCAATATTCAATGAGACCGGACGATTCAGTTTCACATTGCCATATCCAGTGAAAATCAAAGTTAGATTTTCCTTTTTTCTTCAGATTTATCTTATAATGATATTTTTAGGTAAGTATTGATTCTTTAATACAGACTTTTTCTTGTCACTTCTTAGACAGTAGAATTAAATCATTCAGAAATGTAAAAGTCCATATGAGAATTCTTTTGGGACAGAATTAGAGAATGATTACTTTGCAAAAACAGACCCACTAGGGGAATATGCTATGGTAAGGAAATATTTCTTTTCTAAATCTCCAGCAGTTAAATTATGTTCTTTAAGTGCTCTTGGTGATTGGGAATATACCATAAGATATTTCTTGTTTAAAACAATGTAAGGGGACAGGCATGGTGGCTCACGCTTGTAATCCCAGCACTTTGGGAGGCTGAGGTGGGCACATCACAAGGTCAGGAGTTCGAGACCAGCCTGATCAACGTGGTGAAACCCTGTCTCTACTAAAAATACAAAAATTAGTTGGGTGTGGTGGCGGGTGCCTGTAATCTCAGCTACTCAGGAGGCTGAGGCAGGAGAATCGCTTGAACCCGGGAGGCAGAGGTTGCAGTGACCTGAGATTGCAGCATTGCACTCCACCCTGGGCGACAGAGCGGGACTTTGTCTCAAAAAAAAAAAAAAAATAAATAAATAAATAAAAATTAAAAAAAAAAAAGTAAGGAGCCTTTTAAAATAGACTAAGAAGCTCCCACTTTTACTAATTTCAGTAGCATATTCCTCATCCAGAGTTTATAGAGGTGATAAGACAACCAGCAGCAAGGAAGGAAGAAGGGAATAAAGGCCTCTGAGCAGCCAAGGGTTGTCATAAAGCCTTCCACCTCACAATAGGAAAGTCCCCTGCTCCTCATGGAAAACCTGCTGACCTATTAATTTATATAAAATCATAAATTCCTGCCTTTATAAACTAACAGAAGGGAAAAAGAAAGAAACCTAAATTATTACAAATATGACAAATTTAAAAGGCTTCCTAACTATAAGGATTTTTTTTTGTTGTTGTTGTTGTTAAATTCTTATTAGAGGCCAGGTATGGTGGTTCATGCCTGTAATCCCAGCACTTTGGGAGGCTGAGGTGGGTAGATCACTTGAGGACAGAAGTTTGAGACCAACCTGGCCAACATGGCAAAACCCTGTCTCTACTAAAAGTACAAAAATTGGCTGGGCTTGGTGGCGCATGCCTGTAATTCCAGCTACTTGGGAGGCTGAGGCAGGAGAATCGCTTGAACCCAGGAGGCAGAGGTTACAATGAACCGAGATTGTGCCACTGCACTCCAGCCTGTGTGACAGAGCAAGACTCTGTCTCAAAAAAAAAAAAAATTTATTAGTAATCAGTATTTGGTAATTTCTAAATGCAACTATACATGATTCTACCCATATTATCTATACTATACTCTATACATAGATGTGAAAATACATACATTCTTATGTGTAGGTTAAATACAATTTGAGAAAAATAATTTTTTCCTTTTAAGAGCAAACTAATACGTATCGATTTTAGTATGACAACTAAGAACATAAAAACAGAATGAAAGGAATTTTGTCATTAAATATATTTGAGAGGAGAAAACACTGATTATCATACATAGAACTTTACATGTTTAAGGATAAGACAAGCTCCTAACTATAAGGACTCTTTAAAGTTCTGATACATTTTAGTGGTAATTTATATATTTCTCCTTGCTTTATTTCACAAAAGACTTAAGGTGGCCCTAAATAAATATAACTGTCCAGTCTCCTAGCCACAGAAGGATGCAACAATAGTATATTAGTTCTCTATTGCTGTGTAACAAATGACCCCCAAAACTTAGCAGCTGAAAACAATAAATAGTTATTATCTCACATAGTTCCTGAAGGTCAGGAAGCAGCCTGGCTGGGTGGTACTGGCTCAGGGTCTCATGAGGTTTCAGTTAGGCTGTCAGCTGGGGCTGCAGTTTCTGTAGACTTGACTGGGGCTGGAGGATCTGCTCCAAGCTCACTCTTGTGGCTGTTGACAGGAAGCTTCAGTTTCTTGCCATAGCCCGTCTCCATATGGCTACTCATGGCATGGCTTCCCCCAAAGCAATTGGTTAGAGAGAGAGAGCCCGAAGCCACAGTGCCTAATCTCAGAAGTGACAAATCATCACACAGACCAACCCAGTATAACATGGGAGGGGACTACACAAAGGTATGAAATAACAGGAGATAGAGGTTGTTGGGATCATTGTCACGGCTTGCTACCCCAGACAGTGAGAGGAAGACCACGCAAGGTAAGCCCAGGAAGCCAGAAAGCCCAGTGGTCTTGGTCATTTAGTGTTGCGGGAGGAGAGACTTATACCATAGTATTAGGAGCCCCTTAGTGTGCCAGTGCCTGGCAGATGTACAGTTAAATAGTATACATTGTAGGCCCACGTCATTTGCAAAAGGTTAAAATTTCTTTCTTTTTTTCTGTTTCAGCAAAGGGTATAATCCATTTCAGAAATATTGCCAACCAAAAATATTAAAATGTTTTGCCCTTGAAGAGAGGAACCCTCAGTTCAGAAAATGTACTAATTAAAGACAGCTTTTTACCTTTATTACTGTATAAATTCAGTATAACTAGGCCCCATGAAATGGGCATAAGATAAAGAGGAATAAATATTGGAAAGACATTTAAAATATTTTAGTGAACAGGGTAGAGGGGTAGAAATATTTTAAAGTGCATTGACTTAGTATCTTTTTTTGTGTTGTTTATATTGTACACTCTAATTTGCAAGATTTTATGTTCATATCTACTTTGCTTATAGTGAATATGTAGTTGCTCTTTTCTTATTCTTTAGAATGAAATAAATCCTAATTTCACATTTATAATTTTGAAGCAGTGTAAACAGCCAGTTAACATTTGTATATAGGTCAAAGGACTTTTTAGTTTTTTTTTTTTTTTTTGAGACAGAGTCTTGCTCTGTCACCCAGGCTGGAGTGCAGTGGCACGATCTTGGCTCACTGCAACCTCCACCTCCTGGGTTGAAGCAATTCTCTTGCCTCAGCCTCCGGAGTAGCTGGGATTACAGGCACCTGCCACCATGCCTGGCTGATTTTTGTATTTTCAGTAGAGATGGGGCGTCACAATGTTGGCCAGGCTGGTCTCAAACTCCTGACCTCAGGTGATCCACCCATCTTGGCCTCCCGAAGTGCTGAGATTACGGTCGTGAGCCACCACGCCTGGCCATGTTCTTGAGTAGGCTTGAATTAAAAATTAGGTTGTTTCTGCACTTTAGATTTGTGCATTTCATTGTAAATTTTACTGTAAAAGAAAGAAAGAATATTGAACTATACCTACCTGAAGAATTAGGGGGGTGAGGTGTATTGATATCTGCAACTTAACACTGAAGTGCATAAAAAATGAGATGGCTGGAGGGATAGATGAATAGGGATGTGATATAGCCAATATAGTAAAAAGCAGTAAATCTAGATGTTCCCTGTATAATGATTTAATCTTTTGCGTGTTTGAAAATTTTATAAGAGAAAAAAATGTTTTAAACTCACTGGGAGGCTGGGTGTGGTGGCTTACGCCTGTAATCCCAGTACTTTGGGAGGCCAAGCTGGGCAGATCATTTGAGGTCAGGAGTTTGAGACTAGCCTGACCAACATGGTGAAACCCCACCTCTACTAAAAATACAAAAAATTAGCCAGGCATGGTGGTGGACGCCTGTAATCCCAGCTACTCAGGAGGCTGAGGCAGGAGGATTGCTTGAACCCAGGAGGCGGAGGTTGCAGTGAGCTGAGATTGTGCCACTGCACTCCAGCCTGGGTGACAGAATGAGACCCTGTCGCAATAAATAAATAAATAAACCCACTGGGGAAAAATTGCTTTGTGTCTATTGTATTGTTAATTTGTTCTAAATTGTACTCCTTCCTGAGCCGCTGCAATAAGCTTTTTGCTGTGGAATATGACGACAGCTAGATACTGTCCCTGCCACAAGAGCTTCTGGTTATAAATAGACAAAGACTCTAATTTCTAATTGACCTCTTTTCTTTTTCAGGTTTATACATAAATTTTCGTCACCTTTATAAACAGCGCAGACGGCGCTATGGACAAAAAAAGAAAAAGATCCACTAAAAAGAAAGATTTAGATGGCTTCTTGCCAGTTTGAGCCTAATCTGATTCTTACAGTTTTACCTTCTTGAACCAATGTAAAAGTTTTTTTAATGTTAAATGATTAAATTCTCAGTGAGGCTATCTTCCTTTTCCCCAGTAACATTCCTGAATTTACTGTTATCTTATTGTAGTACTTGCATGACATGGATTCCTGATATCTGATGAGAGGTTCATTCTTGTGTATTCAGTTAATGACACCAAAAGGCTCAGCCCACCCCAACCCTATCTCATGTTCAGTCTGTCTAATACATGCCAGAGATTTTTTTTTCAAAAAGTGCTTTATCCCTACAATGTACTGACAGTTCTTACAGTTGAGATTTGTTCTTTTCAGCTATTGCTTGTGAAAAAAAGCAAGACTATGTCACTCTATAGAAGGCTGTTAAAGTGACTCAGGCAGGAATTAATTATTCTGTACCTAAGGGGTTACTTGTTTAATGGGATGGCATTGACTTTTTGAAAATCAAGTGGACTGAGTCATTGATAAAACATTTCTAAGAGTGGGGCTAGAGAACATACTTTACATCTGACATCCTTTGGCCTAACAACATCTATTATTATAGTGCTCAGCAGTGTGGGCATTGAAGAGGCGCAGAATGCTTTGAAAGAAACTAATCAGAATCTTGGAACATCATGATCATGCCATTCTTAAGTAAATCAACTATTTTCAACACTGAAGAAAAATGAAACATTATTTAGAAAACAATGAGATTACAAGTTCCAAACTCAGCCAGGAATGTGGCTCACACCTGTAATCCCAGCACTTTGGGACACCTAGGTGGGAGCATCGCTTGAAGCCAGGAGTTCAAGACCAGCTTGGGCAACGTAGTGAGACCCCTATCTCTACAAAAAATAAAAAAATTAGCTGGGTGTGATGGCACACACCTGTTGTCCCAGCTACTCAAGAAGCTGAGATGGGAGGATCCTGAGCTCAGGAGGTCAAGGCTGCAGTGAGCCGAGATTGTGCCACTGCACTGCAGCTGGGGTGACAGTGCAAGACCCTGTCTCAAACCAAACCAAACCACACACACACAAACACACATACACACACACACACACGAGGTCCAAATGGTAGCAGGGATCCAAAGGGAACACAGTATGTAGGTCAAACTGGCAGTAACAGTGTACAGCCTTTGACAAACTAGAAATATTAGAGTAGGCCAAACACACCTCCAAACTGTAAGGCTGTGCACAAACATAAAAAATGGCAGCCTTCCATCTCCTGCACTGGCTGAGTCCATTTACTTGTGTACTTGTTCTAGTGAGTGGTGGGACTGTACATTTTTGAATAGACCTCAAAAATACTTCATTCTGCTGCTGTTCAGTTGGCTTTTTAAACCTGTCTGCAGTAGGACACTGAAAACAGCAAGAACTTCGGGGTGAACACCCGCTGATCCTTTAACAAGGATTTCTGGCAGGAAACTCACAAAAAGGAGAACTGAAAATTTAGACATACAGTTGGCCATTGTAAAAAACATCAGTTTCCTCTCATACATTCCAAGTAAACCAAGTAAAATAAGTGTTGGAGTAACACTTGCATAAAAGAATTTAAGGAGTGATAGCTCTTTCTGTTCTGCCATTCCCAACATTCCTGGGGGAAAGGAGACTCAATGAGTTAATACTATTTCACTGAGCCCAAGATGGAAACTTGGTTTGACCTAAAACATCTGATTAATATAGGCTAGCTGATTTCTTAAAAATTCGTTGCATTGAAGGATATTTTGCATGTCTGTAACACCTGTCAATACTTGTTTGTATTGATTTCTGATATTCTTGCAGCTGACTACGTGTAATTGGGCAGATCAGCTTTGCAGTAGATTATGCTGCATCCTCGTGGCAAAATTCTGTATTCTTAGTGATTGTTACAAACCCCTTTATTGCTGTCTGAGAAAGTGAAAGATTGTGTATTTCTATTAAAACATTTACAATCAAAATTCTAATGACTGTGCTTAAAGATAATTTAGTCTAATGGTTCTCTGTTAGTGATAAAGACCTTTGTTCAGGCAAAATATTATGTAGCAGTTCAGCATGTTAAACCAAAAACAGTTGCTCTGGTTGAAGCCTGAGAGTTACATGGAAGGTGGTGCAAATGAAAAACACTGATGATGCAGACAAAGCCTTGAGAAGTTGCCCAAAGTCATAAAGCTAGCTGATAAATTGGAACCATAATTAACTTTGGAATCGGATCGGTGATCTGTCAGGATTACCTAGCCAGAACCTTGCTTAGGCAATGAGGCCTAATCAGTGTCAGAAATAAGGAAACCTCATGATTTATGAATCTATGCCACTTAGAAAGTTGAAATTATATTAAAGTGATAAGACAGACCAAAAGCAAACGACCTTTAGTTTCATAGTGAAACCATTTTCTAGAAAATCAAATATTTTATTTTCATTAAAAAAAAACCTTGAATAATAGGAATCATTTTACACATTAATGGTTGCTCTTTAAAAGTTAGAATCTCAAGAGATACCAAAAGCACTTAAGAGTTACCACCACATTTTGCCCAAGTTCTAAGGAAAGTTCTGAAACTTAGTGGTGGTGTGTTTGTACTCAGCAAGCTCCAGACAGTCTGAGTTGCTCATTCCATGAACAGAAGCTTGAAAATGCCCTTACAGTTGAGATATAAACGAGGGAAGAGGTGAAGCTTTCAGGAAGCCAGAGAGCCCCTGCCGGTCAGGTTTCCTGAGGAAGGCAGGGGTGCTCTATGCTCATCAGTCATTCAAGCTTCTCAGGAAATGTGCCCATCATGGGAACAGCAGCTATCTTCCAAGCTTAAAAATTATGAATCCCAGGAAGTTAAAGCCCAACCAGCCAACCACCTTCACATCCTTCTCATACTAGTAGAGTCATTCAAAACAGCAAGTGGTGCTTCTGAGGCAGCCTCAGGAAGGTCTTTGGGTGGCTATTCTAGAGGTGAACATACTGGAAAGGTTTTTACCTAAAGCATTTTCAGTTGAAATGAAAAAAGAAGGAAAGCTCCAAAAGTCAGTTTCAAATTCTTTCAGTGCTGCTCCCAGAGAAGTCCGTGTGCAAAGGTGTGATGTTCTGGTCATAAGCGGCATACTCAGAGGTGCCGGTACTGGCCAGCTTGAGCTGCTGGGCAGCATGGGTCAGCTGGAATGCAGCATCAGGGTGGGCTGTCTCAGGCAGCAGTGTGCATTCCCTTTCCAGCATGTCAGCCACCCCTTTCAGCAGGTCCAGGAAACCAAAGGCTAGAGCGGCCTTTCGCAAACGGTTCAGCTCCTGAAACAAGACAGAAAATCACCAATGCTCCTGAAATGTGTTCCTAACACATACTTTCTAAGTGCTCAGCTTAGCATAAGTTCTCCTTGACTGAACTTTAGGGAGCAATTTTATATGAGAACAAATGTTTATTTAGGGATGCCAGTAACAAGAATGTGATGGTTTTACTGGGAAGTGGTTCCTCTGCAGGTGACCAGAAGCAGGCTAAGGAAGACAGCTGAATGAAACAACGTCATCATCACAGTTAATGAGCATTTATGCCACATGTGGTAGTCAGCACTTTGCATCCATCATTTCGTTACTCCTAACTTTAAGGAGGAGTACTTTTCCCCTGTTATTTAGGTATGGAAAAGACTTGCCCTCAATCTGAAAACGCTCTTAACCCTCTGATGCCACTGTGGTGGGGCCTCAGGCTAAGACAATAAACAGGCTCAAGAGGAGGCCCTGGAGGAGTCAGAGTGGAAAGACCAACAAAAAGAAAGGCTGGTTACTGATAGAAGCAGAGAAATATGAAGTGCCCCAACAACCCCTTAGTGGAGTGGTCTGGGCAAGTTATATAGCCTCTCTGGGTCTCAAAGGCCTCATTTATAAAATGAGGAGAATAACCCCTTCCTTACCCACTGCAGAGGCTGAAGCACTTTCCCTAGGCCCTTTTGAGCTCTAATATGTAGCATTATATAAAACCAGAAAAGAGAAATGGGCTCTCTGACCATCTTTCTACTATCATCTGTTAAAAAAGTGGAAAGTTAAGAAGAAGGCCAAACAAGTGTGTCATCATGAGTAAATAGCTGATGACTGTAGGAAGCTCTGCAGGGAGGATGGACTGTGTGGATTATGGGCTTCAGTTTAGGGAGGGGCCTGGCTGGCTAAGAAGCTCTCCAGTTGAACTCTTGATTAAAGCTGTTTTATTTCACCAGCTTACTACATAATTAAGTTTGAAGACAACAGTGACATAAAGGTAATGAGATAACACCCAGACAAAGTAGCATGTATCTTCTCTGGTTAAGATGCTAGCCTAAGGCTGGCTGTGTGTGCCACATTTTAGAATTAGAAAGCTAAGACACAAATGACATACTTTATGCTGCACTTAATTTAATTCCAGCCAAACACCAGAACAATAGGGGAGAATCAAGGAGCAAACCTAAATGTTCCCCACTCTACCCCACCCCCTGTAACTTAACAGTCTCTTCACCAATCGTTCTGGATTAGCTGCATATGATTCTGCAGGGCTATCTCCTCTGCAATTCATAAATGTGTAATGTTAGATATCATTCCTAGAAGCAGAGTCTCTGGTGCAATAAAAATGTTCTGGGGTGGCCAGGTGGGGTGGCTCACGCTTGTAATCCCAGCACTTTGGGTGGATCACCTGAGGTCAGGAGTTCGGGACCAGCCTGGCCAACACAGCGAAACCCCATCTCTACTGAAAATACAAAAATTAGGCCGGGAACGGTGGCTCACGCCTGTAATCCCAGCACTTTGGGAGGCCGAGGCGAGCGGATTACCTGTGGTCAGGAGTTCAAGACCAGCCTGGCCAACATGGTGAAACCCCGTCTCTACTAAAAATACAAAAATTAGCCGGGCATGGTGGCACACACCTGTAATCCCAGCTACTTGGGAGGCTGAGGCAGGAGAATTGTTTGAGCCCGCGAGGCGGAGGTTGCAGTGAGCTGAGATCGTGCTACTGCACTCCAGCCTGGCCGACAGAGTGAGACTCTGTCTCAAAAACAAAAAAACAAAAATTAGCTGGGCGTGGTGGCACGTGCCTGTAGTACTAGCTACTCAGGAGGCTGAGGCAGGAGAATCACTTGAACCTGTGAGGCAGAGGTTGCAGTGACCCAAGATTGCACCACGACACTCCAGCCTGGGCAACAGAGTGTGACTCCATCTCAAAAAAAAAAAAAAAAAAAAAAAAAAAAAAGAATGTTCTGGGCAATTCCCCATCCAGGAAGCCACATACATTGGTTGCCTGGGGTTGGCCTGGATACCCATATAGGAGTGATGAGGAGAGTTCAGGGCTATGACCCACAGGTCCTCTAAGCTGCTTCCATCAGTCATTCATTCACAGCAGCCCCAACACAGAAAAACCTTCTGCCTGTACAGAATTAGGCCATTTAAATTCTTCCAATTCTTGGATTTTAGGGAAGGAACAGACCTATCACTTTTACTGAGTTTATTTGAAAAAACTGAGGCACAAGTCATACATCTCTAACCCCTGCCCATATTCACACTGCCATCTCACAGTTTTACTGTCGTGAACCATATATTTTGGGCACATCCTCTTCTGTCTGTCTCACCTTATAGAATGTCTGTGTTTTTTCAGGTAGTTTCCTTGCATTTCTTAAAATCTTCTGTACATCTGTCTATTAAGGGTAAAAAAAAAAATCCAACATTAGAATTCTGTGGTAAAAAAGGGAAATAATATAAAAGAATGGATCTAAATGTTTAAAGAGATGAAAATGAGAACACAGCTACAATGTCAAGATGAGGATCCCTTCTGAGTTAATGTCAGTTCAACATTAGTAAAGCACTCCCTCCTTCAAAAGGCTTGACAGTAAAATAAATCCCCTGACAGAAACGAACTTGCCTCATAAAAATGTACCCAGTAAACCCATACATCTATTGCCAGGGACTTTTTTGCAAAGACGATTCAATGGGGAAAAAATAGTCTCTTCAACATTTGGTGCTGAGACAACTGGATATCCACAAGCAAAAGAATAAAGTTGGACCCTTACATCATACCATATACAAAAAACTAACTCAAAATGGATCAGAGACCTACATGTAAAAGCTAAAACTATAAAACTCTTAGAAAAAAACGGGCCAGGTGCAGTGGTGTGCCCCTGTAATCCTAGCTACTCAGGAGGATTGCTTGAGGCCAGAAGTTTGAGACCAGCCTGGGCAACGTAGTGAGATGTGTTTCTCAAGAGAAAAAGAGAAGAAGAAAAAGAAAACACAGCGGGTAAATCTTTATGACTTTGGATTTGGCAATGATCTCTTAGTTAAGACAGCACAAAGCACAAACAACAAAAGCAAGAGACAAAATTTGACTTCTTCAAAACCAAAAACTTTGTGTATCAAAGGACACTATAAAGAGAGTGAAAAGATAACTCACAAAATGGGAGAAGATATTTGCAAATCATGTATCTGCTAAGGATCATAATATCCAGAATATATAAAAAACCCAACAACAAAAAGACAAACCCAATTAAAAAATGGACAAAGAACTTGAGTATATACTTCTCCAAATAATATACACAAATGGCCAATAAGCACAGGAAAAGATGCACATTATTGGTCATCAAGGAAATGCAAAAACAAAGACATACCACTTCACACCTACTATGATAGCTATATGATAATAATAATAAAAGGAAAACAATGAGTATTGGTAGGAACGTGGAGAAACTAGAACACTTATACACTGCTAGCAGAAATGTAAAATGGTGTGGCTGCTGTGAGAGAGTGTGGCAATTCCTCAGTAAGTTAAAGAGAATTGCTGTCTGACCCAGCAATCCCATTCCCATTAAAATATATACCCAAGAGTATTGAAAACAAATGTTCAGACCAAAACTTATACATGAATGTTTGTAACAGCATTATCCACAATAGCCAAAAGGTAACCCTAATGTCCGTCAACTGAGGGATAATCAAAATGTGACATATACATATAGACATATGGAATATTAGCCATAAAAAGGAATGAAGTACTGATACATACTACAACATGAATAAACCTTGAAAACATCATGCTAAGTACAAGAAGTCAAACACAAAAGGCCACAAATTGTATGATTCTGTTTACATGAAATATCTAGAATAGGTAAGTCCATAGAGACAGAAAGAAAATCAATGGTTGCCAGGGCCCGGAAGAAGGAATGTGGAGTGACTTTCCTAATGGGCACAGGGTTTCCTTTTGGAGTGATTAAAATGTTCTGGAACTAGAGAGTGGTGATGGTACATTGTGAATGTACTAAATGGGACTGAATTGTGTACTTTAAAATGGTTGAAGGTACATTTTATGTATATTTTACCAGAATAAGAAAAATAAACCCAAGATAGTAGTGAAGATTCAAACAAAAAAAATTAAAAAAAATAATTTAAGAAAAGCTCAGCTATAACTGGTGGTGAAAGTGGTTCTAATATCCCTCTGACAAGGAAGCACTGGGGTCAGGGATATCAGGAAAATAGAAGACCCTGATTTTCCAACAAAGAGGCCCCTGACACTTTAGCCTTGGCAGGATGTGGTTCAGTCTCCATGGAAACGGGGCTCAGAGACTGTGCAGTCAACAGAAACTACTTTTGTTGTCCAAGTGGCCTGTCTCTTCTCATTTGGTTTAGGTTGAACTTACTGGAAGAACAAATGTAAATAAAGGTGCTCAAAGGAGAAAAAAGTTTCAATAAGTGATTTTTAAAAACAGGTATAAATGACTTTTTGCTGATGAAAGGAGAAATGTTCCTGAATACCATGCCTGAAAGCATCATTCCTTGATAATCATATTATCATATGTTCCTGAATACCATGCCTGAAAGCATCATTCCTTGATAATCATATTATCATAACTTCCTATGGAAGTGTTTTTGTGAAATGTAATGCTATGGCTTGAGTTCTACTGAAGGGATGGAAGAAATATAGTTATGAAGACTTTTACATCTTTTCCAAAACTGTTGTTAAAGCCAATACCCATTATGTTAGTCAATGCCTCACCATATAAAAAATTTCACACTAAAATTCAATGCCAGGAAAATATGTCTCTCTAGACAAACTGACAAATTTCCTTTCTTTAGACAAGAACAACTGACCTTGGTAACAGGAAGCTCAGAGCCAAAACACTCACATAAAGTTATTATTTTGCCTTGGGTTCCTGGCACAATTGTCTTCCTTCTTCCTCCTTCCTCTAGGATTCTTATTGCTCTAAATTTTGTAAAAAATGATTTTGCTATATACATGTTTTACTGTAGGGCATCTCAAATCCCTTTTGGAAATAATGACAAACATTAGAAGTAAATGAATTACTAAGTATCAAAGGAAAAGAAAATCAAATAAAATGCCTGCCTGCCTACCCAAATGTCTCCTGTCCCCAGTGGAAAGCAACATAAATGGTAATGTTACCTGCAGGCCGCTGGGTTTGATCCAGACAGTCACATTCTGGGCATAACTGCGTTTGTTTTTGGGCTGCAGGGGGAATGGACTCTTATTGTCATCCTCGCCATAAGGGTTTTCTTTAGCATCTTAAAAGAAAAGACATTCTTGAAATGACATCTGGTAAAACACAATCAGTTACATTTCCATTTAGACTAGAAGCTCTTTGAATCACTCAATCTTTGATATCCTATCACTTTGTTAATTAAGAAAATCCATTAACTTCAGTCAGGTTGGAGAACCTGTTCTCAATAGAAAGCCACTGATGTAGGAGGCCCATTTAAGTGAAAAACAGCTTAATGTTTTTAAAGAAACAAGCTTCACTTATCTGATTTATAAATTAAGGTCAAAGGATAAAACAAATACATATTTAAAAAATATATATATATATACATACACATAGACACACATATATATACTGCAATTCTATATAGTCTAACCCAGTGCTCTCCAACTGAACTTTCTGTATGATGGAAATGTTCTATATCTGTGCTGTCTAATGTGGTAGCTACTAACTACTAAGCACTTGCCCTGTGGCTAGTGTGACTGAGAAACTGAATTTCAAATTGTACTTAATTTTAATTAAATTTAATGTGGCTAGTAGCTACTGGATTAGACAGCATAGGTCTAGGCATTAAAATAATTAAAAAGGAAAACTATATATATAGCCAAATTAAGGCAAAGGGCAAGACAAGAAATACTTTTATTGGTGAAGCATACCCCAATATGGCTTATTAGTTTATTGCTTCCAAAAATGTAAAGCCACATTGGTTTTATAGCTACATGAACAAACAGGGTTTGTCTCTGTACCTGCTTCCTGAGTCTATGAAACTGCCACAAACTTATAAAGCACACATACTTCTAATGGTGTATTTGATCTTTATTATTATTACCACCTTCTCGTGTAGACAGAGCAGGAGTCATTTTCCTACAAGTTCAGAGAACTTAAATCTCTTGCCCAAAAGTTTGTGTTGAAAAATGTAATTAGACCAGTCTGTCTAATTGAGCCAGACATTCTCTATCCCTGATTTGGTCATTAATTGAAACACCTTGATATTGGACCAACACTTCCTTTGTCAACCCTCTTCAGCCCTGACTCCTCCATAAAATACTGGCCCAACTCTCCAGACGTATTTCCATTAATATTTGTCAATATATAAACCTTCTGAGTCAGGCTAAGGTCCTGCAAGTCCTTTCCCACACAACAGTTCATTTCCAACTTTCCTGCTATTTCTATTACTCCTCACTGCCTAGAATGCTCTCCCTTCTTATTCACTCATTTACTCATTCACTTATTCATTCATTATCTATAGTAAGACCCCACTACGTAGCAAGCACTGTGCCAGGAATTGTGCCTAGAGAAGATACTTTTCAGCCTCAAGGAACTTACAGAATAAAGAATATTTATTAAGTTCCAACTATGTGCAAGATACTTTACATATTCAACTTCTCTCTTTATAGCAACTCTAGAGCGAAGATGTTATTAGTCCCATTAAAGATGAGGAAACTAAGGCACAGAGAGGTTGGACTTATACAAGGTTTCACAGTGACTCAGTTGGGCCTGCTTCAAAAGCCAACACTTTTTCCACCATTCAACACTGCTGTTCCTTACTTATCCAAACTTACCTACCTATATTCCAAGTCCAGATCCTATCTTACCCCTTCCATGAAATTGTTTCAAGTTTTTCTGGCAGATAGTGGTTTTTGTAGACCCTTTTATCCCCTAGCACTTAGTATCAGTACCAAACATTTCAACATCTAATCAGAGCCTATTTTGTACTGTCATTAGTTGTCTGGAGCCTATATGTGGTAACTAACTGGCTTAGGAGACAGGAAATATTACATTTATGAAAGAAGAAATTTTAAAAAGATAGTATAAACAAAAAATAAAAGTTATAAGATAAATTTGAAGATACAGAAGACAGAACAAAAATTTTAAAAATGGGAAAATGGGCAGAAAGAGATAGAAAATTACAAACACAAATCACAAATATATGTTCCAGAAAAGGAGAACAGAGAATACAGAAAGAGGAAATCAAAGAAATAATTGATCTTCCCAGTACTGAAGATCATGAATTGCCAGATGGAAAGGGTCCACTGAGTGCCTAGCAAAATCAATGAAGAGACCAACATTCTGAAATTCAGAATACCAGGGATACAAAGAAGATCACCAAGGAATATGGAGAAAATACAGTTCAGGGTCAAAGGTCTTTGAGTCACCATGGCACTAACTTTCCGTAGCAACACTGGACTCCAGAAGAGACAACAGAGTAATGCTTCAAAACTCTGAGGGAAAATGACTTCCAACTTAGAACTCAATTCCCAACCAAACTATCATTAAATATAAAGAATGAAATAAACATATATATATTTTCAAAATATACAAGATTTCAAAATATTTACTTCCCATGTACCCTTTTTTTCAGGAGGAGTTATGAACAGGAGATCCATAGGAGAGATGTAAAGGGGAGACTCAGGACAACACCTATGCAACAGGTCTGGGGAATAACCATACCATTTATGAAGCAGGAGGATGGGAGATGACGCTAAGAAAAAAAAAGGAAACTGAGAAAATACCTGAAGAATGTATTTTACTTAGGGAGGAATTAGTTATATAGAAAACAAGCAAAGAAAAAAAATAACTGGGACTGAGCTAGGGGACAAAAAGTTGCAAAACAAAGGAAATACAAATTGGTATAGCTTAGTTGTAAATAACATTTACATCATGTAACAAGGACTGAATACTGATTTAACCAAAAAGAACATTATAACTATATTGGGAGGATAGTAGGAGGGGAAATGTGCGTCTTGTGTAGGTGGGTGGGAGATGGTGGTGTTAATAGAGCTAAATATTCATCCTTTAAAAAGTCAAAAAATGGCATCTAAAATGGGGGAAAAGGGCTGAGTGTGGTGGCTCACGCCTGTAATCCCAACAATTTGGGAGGCTAAGGTGGAGGATTGCTTTAGCCCAGGAGTTTGAGACCAGCCTTGGCAACATAGTGAGATCTTGTCTCTATAAAAAAATCAAAAAAATTAGCCAGGCATGGTGGCATGCACCCGTGGTCCCAGCCACATGAGAGGTTGAGGTGGGAGGATCACCCGAGAGGTCAAGGCTGCAGTGAGCCAAGACTGTGCCACTGCACTTCAGCCTGGGTGACAGAGTGAGACCCTGTCTCAAAAAATAAATAAAAAATAATAAGACGGGAGGCCGGGCACAGTGGCTCGTGCCTGTAATTCCAGCACTTTGGGAGGTCAAGGCGGGAGGATCACTTGAGGTCAGGAGTTTTGAGACCAGCCTGGCCAACATGGTGAAACCCCGTACCTACTAAAAATACAAAAATCAGCCAAGCGTGGTGGTGGACACCTGCAGTTCCAGCTACTGGGGAGGCTGAGGCACGAGAATTGCTTGAATACAGGAGGCAGAGGTTGTAGTGAGCTGAGATCACGCCACTACAGTCCAGCCTGGGCAACAGAGCAAGACTCCATCTCAAAATAAATAAATAAAATAATAATAATAATAATAAAATGGGGGAACCCCTGACAGAAATAGGGACATACCTATATTATTTAGAAATGTAAATAAGGCTGGGCAGAGTGGCTCACGCCTGTAATCCCAGCACTTTGGGAGGCCGAGGCAGGAGGATTACTTGAGGTCAGGAGTTTGAGACCAGCCTGACCAACAACATGATGAAACCCTATCTCTACTAAAAATACAACAATTAGCCGGGCATGGTGGCTTGTGCCTGTAGTCACAGCTATTAGGGAGGCAGAGGCAGAAGAATTGCTTGAACCTGGGAGGTGAAGGTTGCAGTGAACCAAGACTGCTCCACTGCACTCCAGCCTGGGCGATGGAGTGAGACTCTGTCTCAATTAAAAAAAAAAAAAGAAATATAAATAAATACCAAAAGAAACAAATAAGTTTTAAAAAGTAGTTGTCTCTAGGAACAGAATTGGGAGTAGGAGGGATTGGTACAAACAATAGTGCTATTTTGCATGTTTTGCTCAACAACCCTCTGAGGTAAGTTTTATTATTAATTGTTATTTGTTATCATAATTCCAATTCCAAGACTGCTGTGAGAGTTAAATGAGATGGTATGCTCATTATGTCCAGCACAGTGCCTGGCACAAAGTTAAGTTCATTATAATATTAGCTATTATTATCCACACTGAAAAGCAGAACAGATCCAGGAGGAAAAAACAACATGAACACAGGGCAGAGTGAACAGCAGTTCAACTGGAATGAAGAACAATTGTAACAAGCCAAGTGTTGCTATGTTGGAAGCCAGATCAGAAAGGAGTCTGAATGCTACTACTATCTTAGATTATAGATAGGCATCTTTGGTGAAAACCATCACAATAGTCTAGTCAGAGGTTGGCAAACTTTTTCTGTGAGGGCCAGACAGGTTGGAGTGCAGCGATGCAATCAGGGCTCACTGCAGCCTCTGCTTCCTGGGCTCAAGCGATCCTTCCACCTCCGCCCCCTGAGTAACTGGGACCACAGGTGCACACCACCATGCCCAGCAAATTTTTGTATTTTTGGTAGAGATAGGGTTTCGCTATGTTGGCCAGGCTGGTCTCAAACTCCTGGACTCAAGTGATCCACCTGCCCTGGCCTCCCAAAGTACTGGGATTACAGGCATGAGCCACCACACCTGGCTGAATATTTATCATTTCTTTGTGTTGTGAATATTCAAAATCCTCTCTTCTAGCTGTTTGAAAATATACACTAAATTATTGTGAGCAATATTCAGGCTACCATGCTACAGAGCACTGAACTTTTTCCTCCCTAACAGCTGTAACTTTGTATCTGTTACCTCTGCCTATTCTCCTCTCCTCACTACCCTTCCCAACCTCTAATGACCATGATTCTAGATTCTACTCTGTACTTCTATGAGCTCATTTTTTTTCAGCTTCCATATATGGGTGAGAACATGTGGTATTTATTCCAAGTTTATTTTTGTACACAAAAACTCAAAATTTGTGAACCACTGCCCTGAGCAATCTCCCTCATTCTCACCATTTTAACTATTTATGATAGGCTTACAACCTAAAATTTTATCTCCAACTCTGCCCTCTCTCCTAAACTTCAGACTTCTACAGAATTGTCTCTAGGTACCTCCACCTGTATCTCACAGGCACGAACTCAACATAAACAAAATATGTTCTTCCCAAATTTACTCTTCTCTCTGTATTATCTATTTCAACTAATAGTACTATCTTTCACCCTGCAGCCCAGGTCAGAAACCTGGGATCAATTTTAACACTTCTCTCTCCATAATTTTCATATCCAAACATTATTGATCCTACCTCCTAAATATCTTTTACCCCCAGCTATTGCCACGGTCTGGCTCTCATCTTCACATTTCCAGGATTAACACAGTAACTTTCAGCCACAGGTCCTTGCCTTTTCAGATCCACACTCCACAGAGATATCTTTCTAAATACAAATTTCTTATCTCTCACTTGGATTATGGCCATACTGTACAACTGCAGGGGGCACCAGCCCCTAAAATATAGTTTCCTAACTGGTATCCCCCTGTTCTCACTGTAGCCAGAAGGATCTGATCACATTACTCCTCTTCAGTGGTTTCCCAGTATCTGCAAGATAAATTCCTGGTTCTTCACATTTCAGACAAGGCCTGCTCCACTCTAGCTACTACCAATCTCCAATCTACCATCTGCCCCTCCCACACCCACTCTCACATTTTGTGCCACACTTCCTTTTCTTTCTGTAGGTGTTCTGTTTGCCCAGGATGCCCTTTCTTCCCTTCATTAGCTCAGCAAGTTCCTCCTTTTCTTCAAAACTCAACTAGGGTATTTCTCCTCTGTGAAGATTCTCCTGAGTCCTCTAGGCAGAGCTCATCATCATCTCCTCCAGGCTAACTCTGATTTGTGCCAGTCTGTGATCATTCCACTTTCCACTAGACTTTGAACAACTCCAGCTAACTCTTTATCCCTTAGGCCTGGCACAGAATAGGTTGCTTGGTAGATGTTCCTGAAATTGAAATGGGCCCAAATGAGTCAAAGATGACTACAGTTGGAACCTGAGTAGCTAGTGGCACAAATGACTTAATCAAAAGGAGGAGGAAAATCAGAAGGAGGAATAGTTTGAGGAGAAAGGGGTGCGGGACAATAGGTCTGTAACAAACAGCTGAGCTTGAGACTGTGACAGAATATCCAGGTGTAGAGATCCAACTAGGAACTGGAAATATGATATGCAAATTCCAGGGAGAGATCAGGTAAGACTAGAGTTATAGATTTGGGAAATGTGAAGTTATTACAGCTGATAAAATAACCAAGGGAGAAGAATAACCAAAGAGAAGAAGGCAAAGAACATGTTGGAAACCATGAGGCAAGGAGAAGAAAAGACAAAACGAAGAGAGAAAGAAAAGTCCGCCAAAGAAAAAGTCAAATCGGTACCAGAAGCAATGTCAGGAAAGCTACAGAAAAAAAGTTTCAAGAAGGAGGAAAGATTACATTATCTAGGAATGACAGGAAATTACTTGAACTATAGTACACCAAGAAAAAAAATTATGGAGATTAGTTTTTCACTCTAAGCCGCTGAAGAATTTGCATTTACTTAAAGCAATCTAAATGTTGATTTCTCCTGAGCTGTAAAATTTAGGAGTTCAAACATCAAACTCTCTTCAAGTTTTCACCGTACACATCCAGCATCATCCGAGACCATGGCATACCAGTAAGGGAGATCAATCAGTTCTCTGACTGCACAGTCAGAGACATTGAGAACAGCAGAATGAAAACAAAGTCAGGATAAGTAAAATCTGATCTGGATTATACCTGAAATAGGACCCAACTGTGCCATTTTCCCTAGCCATGGGAGAGGTTCTGGGCCAGGCTCAAAGAGAGACATCATGAGGTTTGATTTCTTCTTGCTGTCAGCTTGGGAGTAGAGCATTCCATGCCATTCAGGACTAGATGGAGAGAAGACGGAAGATCAGAAGAACATCAAGCCTGAGACTGTCAAGTTAAATAAGTCTAGCCTGTATTTTTCTCTTGAGAGACACAGGCTTCAGCTTTGAAATCAGGCACACTACTTTTACCAAAGCCAAACCCTAAACCTGAAAATGCATACTGCTGTCCCCTAATATTTCCATTCTTCTGAGACATTTATTATTATTCAGGTAAAATTATGTGGATATGGAAATCAAAAGCAATCTTGAAAGAGAAAAAACAAATCACAAAGGGCAGCAAGTAGCTGGAGAGGTGATGAGGAGGGGTAAAGGCTGTGACCTATAGGTCCTGTCACCTGCCTCACTGAGTCACTCACAGCAGCACCAAGAGAAGCCCTTCTACCACAGGGCTCAAGGCCATCATCCTGTTATGTAAAAGAGACTCTGTCCCCAGTTTCTCAAAGGGTCCCAGATGATTCTCATATTCAGACCAGTACAAGTAGCTTGGGTGCCAAGAAATATAGCAGACTAATATCTAGTAAGATCTGCATTCCTCTTTTTGGACCAGCTAATTTTAACTGTAGCAGAAATGGAGCCATGCTTCCTTTAATTAATCCTAACTCTTGATCTATACCAGCCAACCCCAGGTAGTGGCCAGAAAATGATCAGTGACCTCCTTTTTTCTAAAAATATGTATTATAGAAAGGGAAATAGATGGTTTTGCAGATTTTGAGACTTCAGAAAATGTAAAAGCTAACGGGGTTTCCTCACAGGGAAGGAACACAGCAGAATGATTATGAGTAGGCTCTGGAGTCAGAATGCATGGGTAAGAATCATGGTTCTTTCATTACTAGCTGTGTGACCTTGGGCAAGTTCCACAACCTCTCTTAAGCCTGTCTCCTCATCTATAGATAGGGATAATGCTGATACCTCCCATATAGTGTTGTTATGAGGGATTAAATGTGCTAACATATGTAAAATACCTAGAGGAGTGCCTGGCACATAATAAAATGCTCAATGTTATTAGCATCTTTTTTTTTGTTTCGTTCTATCCCCTCATTTTATAGATGAGAAGTCTGTGAATCCTGCCTAAGATCCTAAAGCAAGTTAGTAGCATTGCTATAACCAGAACCCAGGTATTCTAGATAGGATTAGAAAGAGGAAAATTGAGAAAGGATATAAAATAAAGGCAACGTAATTAAAAGGCTCACTCCACACTTATTCTAGGGGATGATTAAAAGAGTAGTTTAGAAGGTAATAGCAGCTAGGTACTGTGGCTCAATGCCCGTAATCCCAGCATTTTGGGAGGCCAAGGTGGGAGGATCCTTGAGCCCAGGAGTTCAAGACCAGTGTGGGCAACACAGTGAGACCCCACTTCTATAAATTAAAAAAAAAAAAAAAAAATTAGCCAGGCATGGTGGTGCACACCTGGGTCATGGCTACTTGGAAGGCTGAGATGGGAGGATTGCTTGAGCCTGGGAGGCTGAAGCTGCAGTGAGCCGTGATCATGCCACTGTACCCCTGGGGGACAGAGCAAGACCTCGTCTCAAAAAAAACAAAAAAAAAGGACTGTAGTAGCAGGTGGGAAAAGTGTGTGGCAGGAAAAGGAAAAAGGTGACAAGGACCTTTCTATTTCCTTCAGAAAAGTCTGCAAAATACTTCACTTTGTAAAATGATTTTCCCTTTCATTCAACCAAATGTAAACAAAGTTTCCTACCCTAATTGAACAATCGCTACCATTCCTTCCACTTTTAGGCTACCATGGAGCAGGACACAAAAGTTGGGTATTTTGCCTGCAATCTGATTGGCTGAATTTTCATCTTCATTGTCATCAGTGATGCCAGTACCCACCTCATCACCTTCTGTGAAAAAAAGAGAAAACAGGTCAGACTGAAATTACCTACAAAAACCCCAAACCCCAATTTATACTCTTGGATGTTTCTAGCCTTTAAGGGATAGTGTAGAGTTCTAAGGGAATATTATAACAAGCAGGAAAAACTCATTCCAGTTTTCCAATATCTACATAAAAGTCAGTTTCCACACATTATATGAATTCCATTTATATAAAACATCCAGAATAGGCAAATCTATATATACAGAAAGGATATTAGTGGTTATTTGGGGTAGGGGAAATGGGGGGAGGGGTCTGGGAGTTGATAGTTAAAGGGTACAGGGTTTCTTTTTGGGGTTATAAAAAAGTTCTCAAATTGATTGTGGTGATGGTTGCACAACTCTGCAAATATACTAAAAACCACTTTAAATGGGTGAAGTATATGGTATGTGAATTATATCTCAGTAAAGCTTACACACAAAAATCCATTCTCCACAGTTCCACTAGGATGTTTAGTTAGATGCTATCTGGAAGCTTCAGGCACCCATTTAAACAGAATTAGATACAGAGATGTCAAGTGCATTCATAACCAACAGGCTTAGGGCAGCACATGCATGTGAGTCCCCAAAGGTAAACAATGATTATAAGCTTTTTGACTGGATTCTCCAGTTTCTCTCACACTCTGCTGACAGATGAATCTTCCTACAATTAACTTCCCTCTAAAAATATCTGTCTGCTCTGCTTTGTTCAAAGACTTTCTAATTCAACAGGAAGAATTAGCCCAGTTTAGCTAGAAAATTCAACAGCCCTTACAAAATGGCCCTACTCTGCTTTCCCATATTTTTCTTTTTCTTTCTTTTTTTTTTTTTGAGATGGAGTCTTGCTCTGTTGCTCAGGCTGGAGTGCAGTGGCGCGATCTCGGCTCACTGCAAACTCCGCCTCCCAGGTTCACCCCATTCTCCTGCCTCAGCCTCCCGAGTAGCTGGGACTACAGGCGCCTGCCACTACGCCCAGGTTTTTTTTTTTTTTTTTTTGTATTTTTAGTGGAGATGGGGTTTTACCATGTTAGTCAGGATGGTCTCAATCTCCTGACCTTGTGATCCACCCGCCTTGGCCTCCCAAAGTGCTGGGATTACAGGTGTGAGCTACCGCGCCCGGCCACCTTCCCGTATTTTTCTTTTCACTATTCCCCTATATAAATGGTTTATTTTGCTTAATTTCTTTCTTGGTAAGTATACTGGCATGCAGAATTCCCCAGGGCCTTAGAACTAAGGGAAATCTGGCTGTTCTCTGAGAATAATAATTACCAACACAGTGATTATAAAGCTGTCTGTGGGTATATATTCAAGATTCTGTCTGTGAACATGTGATTGGTTATAGAATATCCAATACTCCAACTGAGATAACCTGGGCATAAATGGGATGTGGTCATTACTCAGTATGTGAAAACCTGACTGACTACATACAGTTCTTAGAGAAAGCTGATAAATATAAAGTGGATGGTCAGCTTAAAACAGAGGAAAAGATAATTTTAAGGGTAGAACTAGGATTTGAACCTGTAGCCAGTCAGGGACAAAAGCTCCTGCTCTATACCCACCACAGCACAGTGCCACCCCTGAAAAAGATAATTTTAAAGAGTTAGAGTCTAGCATTCTCCAGAGAGATGCTGAATTTGAGGAGATGACTTTATAGTTCCTAGAGATATATGCTGCAGTAAGGAGGACCCACAAGGGCCTGGATTCACCCATTCATTCAACAATATTTACTGAGTTATCTACTATGTGCTGGGCACCAGTAGAACAAAGAACAGATGTGATTCTTCCGTGTATAAAGCTGTATTTGACTTGCACATTTATCAAGTAACCATCTGATAACTACTTAAGCTTTCTCAGCATGTTAGTACTAGGAAAGGCAGAGCCCTGGATGAGGGACTAAGCATTCTCATCTCTAAAGAGGACCTCCACTGTCAATTCACAAACCAACACACAGTAAATATGTGTCAAAATGTTTCTACCATGTAAAGCAGAATTACTTTTTTGATATATTAGGCAATATTCCATTTTCTAAAATCCAATTCTGTAACTATTCCTTTCCCCTAAATTCTGCAAAATGGGCTATCCTACTATCTAAGATTTAAGAACAACTTTAGTTAATAAGACGCTTCAGACGTATCAGTGGAATAGGAACTCACCTTTGTTAAGTGCTATAGGTAAGACCAGATGTCTGGACAGAACTGGGGGACTTGAAATATCAGCTATATCAATAAATCCCACTATTTCCAAATCTGAAATGAAGGAATCAACACAGAATTAATTCATTCTATGGAAAAGTACATTATTTTCCATGTATTACATTTCACAAATGCACTGTTTAGGTTGGGGTTTCAAATATGATGACTGGGAAAGTTATTAGATTTGTATATGGAGTCGTCTAATAATTTGCATTTTAAGCTGCTCAGGAAATAATGATAACTGTCATTGATTTAATGAGTCTAAGTTATATGACAAAATCAGCTAAATTTTATTTTTATAAGGTTAGGACCCCAGCCAAGGCAAAAACTGAAAGGTCTAATCCCTCTGTGTAGTCAGGGATGTTCAGGTCACCAGGGGGCATCATAGTCAAACACTTCCGCAGCAACTACACTCAGCCTTTGAAGAATAAAGCTATTGTATTAAAAACATCTCTCTGAGAAAGAACTGTATTCTCTACAAAACTAGGGTAAGCAGTCTAAATATGACAATGACTTCTCTGCTTTATAGACGCTGTAGTAAAGACCAAAAGTATTTGTTGAAAACCTAAAATAAATAAAAATGAATGTTGTAACCAAAAGAACTTAAACATTTCGATTATATAATATAAAAACTTAAAAACAATAAAAATTATAAAGAAGAAAAAGTCACTCATTATTCATAATCAAAGGAAATCTCTATTAATATTTTATTGATGTGCTTTTCAGTCTTTCTTCTAGATTAATACCCATATTTTCAAAAGAATTTTTAAAAATCAGAATCATGGTGAACACCTTATATTTCTTTTTTCTTTTTTTGAGATGGAGTTTCGCTCTTGTTGCCCAGGCTGGAGTGCAATGGCGCAATCTCAGCTAACTGCAACCTCCTCCTCCTGAGTTCAAGTGATTCTCCTGCCTCAGCCTCCCAAGCAGCTGGGATTATAGACATGTGCCACCACGCCTGGCTAATTTTGTATTTTTAGTAGAAACGGGGTTTCTCCATGTTGGTCAGGCTGGTCTCCCGACCTCAGGTGATCCGCCCGCCTTGGCCTCCCAAACTGCTGGGACTACAGGTGTGAGCCACCGTGCCCGACCCTATTTCTAAAATATTAGGAAGTGTGCTTCTCTGGAGATTTGCTGTCCATACCTCCCTTAGCTGAGTAATAAATGCATTAGTATAAGCAGCTAGATATTTTTCATTTGAGTAGAAAAAGGTCTACTTTATTTTAAAGCAGTTTAGCTGCAAGAAAGATCTTCCACTAAGAGTTTATATGGGAAAGAAAAGACCTATTCAAATTTACTCATCGAAAAAGGATGGGAAGGAAGTGGAATCTAACTGTTATGAAGGCAACAAGACTTTTGGTACAACTTAATGTACTACTGTCTAGTCACAGTAGAAGAGATGGATGCCTTGCTTCCAGAAGCTAAAGGCACAAAAAGTAAAAAGACTGTTCACAGCCCCTCACTCCAACACTCCTTAAAAATCTGTATACCACAAACAATGAGCATTCACTGAACATTTAATTCTAATCATTTATTGACTGAACAATTACCTATTGGGCACCTACTAAGTGTCAGGCACTATGCTGGACATCAAGGCTGTAATGGTGACTGAAACACTGATAATATCCAGCCCTAAAAGATTTAACATGCACCTAAGATTCAAGGAGTCCACCCACCAATAGGAAGCAAGTCTCCTCTCCACTGCTCCTTGCTATTTTTGACTCTTCACTTTGCCAGTCTCAGTTAAGCATAGTATTGGCAACACGAACCAGGTAAAAGCTGTGGTACATCACTTTCTTTCAGTCATAATATAAGCAGCAGTGCTAGAAGAGTACACTATATCAGATCCAAGAACTCCAAGACCATCTGGTTGATTCTCCCTGCCTAGCCAATAAGAACTAGAGGAAGACTTCCCAGGGTCACATATCAAGAGTCATACTGCAAAGTATAGAAGCTAGCCCTTCTTATATGACCTTAATTATGATACTAATTAAGTTCAGTATGTCTATTAAGAATCATCTCAAAGATTTCAATGCTAGTGAATACGGCTATGATTTCCAACTCTAATAATTCGTGGTTATAATTATCTAGGATTGGAGATCAACTGATGACCTTACCATAAAAGACCAATATTCTGCCACCCCTTAGGTAATGAATCTTCCAATCCAAAGTGCTGATGACAACAGCACCCTAGTACAGGTTGAGTATCCCCTATCTGAAAATCTGAAATCCGAAATGCTCAACAATCCACAACTATTACACATGCACGAAGCTGACACGAAGCTCAAAGGAAATGCTCACTGGAGCACTTTGGATTTTCAGATTAAGGATGCTCAATCACTAAGTAAAATGCAAATATCCCAAACCCCAAAAAATCTGAAATCTAAAGCACCTCTGTTCCCAAGCATTTTGGGTAAGGAATACTCAACCTGTACCACAATATATATTTCTTTTCAACCTTCCTAGACAGAGAAGAGAGTAAAAGTCACAAGTCAGAAGAAAGTAAGGATAACAGAGAAACTAAGAAATAAGTTTTTTTAAAAAGTTACCTGTGTTAATGACTTTAGGGATAGGATCAATTTCTTCATCTACAACAAAAGGTTCTGGCCTGGGGAAGACTTGTACATCAGCAGTTAGGTGGCCACACTTGAGAACAGCATGGAAAGGCGTATATGCCAAATCTATCAGTTTTCTAGAATATGATAATTAATAGTTATAGGAAGAGTAATACGATACATATGAAGTTAATTTTTCAGGACGCAAGGGTTGTTTTCCTTTCAAGTTGGTTCCAAAACTAAGATCTGACCATCTGTAAAACAGAACAAAATCTGACATTTTTGGTGAGGAAATTTCAATTCTGAAAAGCCCAAGAGCAAGTTAATTTGAAATTTTGCTGAGTCATTATAAGGAAGTCAGTATCTACAGACAGTATAGATTTACTTTAAAAAACCATTACTACCCATCACTTTATCTGAAAAATGTACAACTTGGGGAAAATGAAATGACACAATTAGGAACAGTAAAACAGATAGTCTTCCTGGATGTCAAATTATAATACTGGATTGTAAAGAAGGCAAAAGAGCTCTAAGCATATACTCACCCAAACATAGACTGTACATTCTTCAAGCACAGGGGGCCATCAATAGTAAAAATCTGCCCTTCACCATTGTTTAAATCTATGAGACGTTCAAGGCATTCCAAGGAATCGGTGCTCTGGAGCTATAAAGCAAAACAGATGACCCTTAAAGTGGCTGGCACAAAATGCCAGATTATTCTCAGCTCACCAAGGTCAAAGCCATTACGATAACATAGGCAATAAATAACAGATGATTTTTTTAATAGCCAATGTGAGAAGAAAATAACAACAACAATTTTGACTCAAGGTTACCAAAGAGGAATGTTACGTAAAATAACACAGGTAGAGCTATTTCATTCAGGAGTAGTTTTGCAAAGATTCTCAGAGGTGACCACAGTATTTACACAGCATCTTCCCTCCAAAGTGTTTCTAACGTCTTTTGGTGAGAACCATCATTATCTACATTTTACAGAGAGAAAAACTGAGGGGAAAAAAGGTTAAATCACCTTCCCAAATGAATGGGAAAACCAAGAATTTAAGTGTTTAATAAAACGTGTATCAGAATAATGTTACTTTACTCTTCTGTCAAAGTCAAAGCACACTCTTGTCAACATTTCTGGTGGAATGGACATAAGAATTCTATATAAGGGAAATGAACAACACCAAAAAGAACACCTTGACCCTTTATGCACCCATCAGCAGGATGGATAACAACTCCAGCTATGTTCCCCAGATGAGGCAACACTCTGAAATTTCAAAGAACATTTGAGACCCAGAATCTTTTCAAATAAAATACCAGCCTCAGCTGAAACCAATGGAGTTCAATGCTACAGTATATACAATATAGCACTAGTGGTATATACTGAAAAATAAACTAAGCTGTAAAATATGCCTAATCAAACTAAAAACTTAGCAAAAGGTATTACCTCCTCCAAATTCGCCATGCACATGATATATAACTTAGATGGGAAAGGAAAAGGTAGTGGAAACCTGTTGCTCTCACTTCGTTGATTTTGAGTGGCTAGGGAATGTCGCAGTGACCCTCTACCAATGCCAAGACAGCCGTCTGTCACCAGGACAACCTGTTTGTAAAAAGAGAGAGAGGAGGTTGTACATTAAATTACATATTTAACGCAGTCCCATTTAGCAGTGTTTTCACTGCTAGAAAGGGGCACCAGGGCTGGCTATGGTGGCTCAAGCCTGTAATCCCAGTGCTTTGGGAGGCCAAGGCAGGACTGCTTAAGCCTAGGAGTTTGAGACCAGCCTGGGCAACATAAGGAGACCCCATCTCTAAAAAAACTTAGAAAAAAAAAATTAGCCAGGAGTGGTGGCATGCACCTGTGGTCCCAGCACGTTGGGAGGCTGAGGTGGGAGGATCACTTGAGCCTGGGAGGTCAAGGCTGCAGTGAGCCATGGTCACATCACTGTACTCCAGCCTAGGCAACAGAGAGACTCTGTCTTTTTAAAACAAAACAAAACAAAACAAAACAAAAAAAACAGGCCTGACATGGTGGCTCACACCTGTAATCCCAGCACTTTGGGAGGCCAAGGCAGGCAGATCACTAGAGGCCAGGGGTTCAAGACCAGCCTAGGCAACATGGTGAAACCCTGCCTCTACAAAAAATACAAGAATTAACTGGGCATGGTGGTGCGTGCCTGCAGGCCCAGCTACTTGGGAGGCTGAGGTGGGAGGATCACTTGAGCCTGGGAAGTCGAGGCTACAGTGAGTATGCCACTGCAGTCCAGCCTGGGTAACAAAGTGAGACCCTGTTTGGAAAAACAAAATAAACCCTCAACCTGGCCCCGCAAAAAAAAAAAACAACAAAAAAAGGCACGAGAAAATTTTGTGAGGTGCTAGAACCCCACTCCACATTATAGGATAAAGAATACTATATCTTAATTGTAGTAGTGGTTATATAGGTGTATACATTTGTCAAAACTCAGTGAACTGTATACTTAAGATCAATGTGTTTTACTCTATTTCATCTAATAAAATATTTTTTAAAAGCTTGCCTCTGAACACTTAAAAAAGGACAAAAACATTCACAACCAATTCTTACTTAATTGTATTAAAACTAGAACCCCAACTCTTAGATAAGGAGTTGGTACCTAACATAACAATGTCAAATATGGAATGAAGATTCATTTCACATGTGCTCCTAGGAAGTACCAGCACAGTAGTCTGAACTTTGCCACTTTATTTTCAAAGATGACAAACTCTACGCCTGGTCAACTAAAATGACACCTAGTTAGAATATGTATTTATAAAGGCTATTTAACCAGAAATATATAAGATCTTTAAAACGCATTCTTAACCTGTAATTTGAAAAAACCAACAAAATATACCAACAATGGATAGTAATTGCAAAATCATTTTCCTTTTCTTCATTGCTTCAGAATGATCCTGTGGTGGACAGACTTCCCATGCATCCCAGGAGAGGATTATTTTTGCTCTCCCTAGCCTAGTCCAGTAACTTGATAACAATAGGCCATTAAGGCAGTATTTTTTTTTTGACAAGGAGACTCACTCTGTCACCCAGGCTGGAGTGCGGTGGCGTGATCTCAGCTCACTGCAACCTCCGCCTCCCAGGTTAAAGTGATTCTCCTGCCTCAGCCTCCCGAGCAGCTGGAACTACAGGTGTGTGCCATAAAGCCCACCTAATTTTTGTATTTTTAGTAGAGACGGGGTTTCACCATATTGGCCAGGATGGTCTCGAACTCCTGACCTTGTGAACCGTCAGCCTCGGCCTCCCAAAGTGCTGGGATTACAGGCGTGAGCCACCGCGCCCGGCCCTTAAGGCAGTATTAAGTGGTGGCACTGTGTGAAATATCAAGATTGGCACTTACTGATAAAGCCCAAGAATGCTTAATAGAGGTCCCCTGGAAGGATGTCATCTTTTGGCATGACAGTCAATTGACTACAAGGCAATTTCCTTTTCTAGGTACCAAGAATTGCTATACAATGATTTACCTCCATCGGCTTTTTCAGATGCTATGGGATAATGAAATATTTCACGTAATGTCAAAATGAAACAGACTTTACTAAATAATAAAGACACAGTACAGCTGTCTAAAACCTTGGTTAAGGCTGGGTGTGGTGGCTGACAGCTGTAATCCCAGCACTTTGGGAGGTTGAGGCCAGAGGATCACTTGAGGCAAGGAGTTCAAGACCAGCCTGGCAAACATGGCAAAACCTTGTCTACTAAAAATACAAAAATTAGCTGGGTGTGGTAGTGCACTTCTGTAGGGCGTGATGGCACACTCCTGCAGTCCCAGCTACTCATCAGGTGGCTGAGTCATGAGAATCATTTGAGCCCGGAGGCAGAGGCTGCAGTGAGCTGAGATCATGCCACTGCACTCAAGCCTGGGCGACAGAGCAAGACTCTGTTTCAAAAAAATAATAATAAATAAAAAACAAAATCTTGGCTAAAAATTCCACTTTTTTTTTTTTTTTTTAAGACAGAGTCTCGCTCTGTTGCCCAGACTGGAGTGCAGTGGCACGTTCTCGGCTCACTACAAAATCCACCTCCCAGGTCAAGTGATTCCCCTACCTCAGCCTCCCAGGTAGCTAGGATTACAGATGAACGACACCACACTTAGCTAATTTTTGTATTTTTAGTAGAGACAGGGTTTCACCATGTTGGCCAGGCTTGTGTTTAACTCCTGACCTCAGGTGATCTGCCCACCTCAGCCTCCCAAAGTGTTGGGATTACAGGCGTGAGCCGTCGCGCCTGGCCAAAAATTCCACATTTAAGCAAGTTTGTTTTATAGTAACTGATTATAAAAACAATAACCAGTAAACACCACCTCTACTACAATGTTTTTTTTTTTTTTGAGACGGAGTTTCTCTCTTGTTGCCCAGGGTGGAGTGCGATGGCACAATCTTGGCTGACCAGTGCAACCTCTGCCTCCCCGGTTCAAGCGATTCTCCTGCCGCAGCCTCCTGAGTGGCTGGGATTACAGGTATGCGCCACCACGTCTGGCTAATTTTTTTATTTTTAGTAGAGACAGATTCAGGCTTGGCCCCTTGCCCTCACGTTGTCTCAAATTCAGATTCTTCCTTTTTTTCAAAAGAAGAAAATCATAAAAGTCAGAAGTCTGCATGATGCACAAGGTCTGGTTCTTAAAATCTGAATTTCTCCTCTAAAACCAAAGAAGAAATAGCAAATGAAACTGTGCTACTTGCTAGCTTTCAGTTCAGAAGATACTGACAACAAAACTTCATTTATTCACTATAATGTTAGGAAATAAGACATCCTATATGCATGGATTTACCAAAATAAGTAATGCCTATAAGCTGAGATGCCATAAAAAGCTTTTTTATTTCAGAAAAGAAATTGATCAAAAGGCATCTATTGATTTCTTCAGCAAGTATCCACTATATTCTATAAAACAGGGAGGTTTTCACAAGAAAAAATGTTTTTGTTGTTTTCTAAAGGTGAGTTTATTGAGATATAACTTACATGCAGTAAAATCACCCTTTTTAGTATACAGTTCTATGAGTTTTGACAGTTGTATTCAGTCGTGTAACCACCCCCACAAACAAGATAAAGAATAGTCCCAACACGTCCCAGATTCCCTCCTGCTTCTTTTGAGTCAATTCATACCTTTCCCTGACTCCCAGGCAACTACAATCTTATTTTTTTTAAGACAGGGCCTCACTATGTGGTCCAGGCTGGTCTTGAACTCCTGGGCTCAAGTTATCCTCCCACCTTGGCCTCACAAAGTGCTAGGATTATAGGTGTGAGCCACCATGCCTAGCTACAATCTTTTTTTTTTTTTATTAATAAATAAATACTAGTGATGCTACTGACATTACTGAGGAATCCTTTGTTTGACCCCATAATGAAAAGTCACACACCAGGGTCCAGCCAACCATGGCCCACAGGCTAAATTTGGCCCACTGTCTGTTTTTGTAAATAAAGTTTTATTTAAACACAGCCCTACCCATTCATTTACTTATTATCTATGGCTGCTTTCATGCTATAACAGCAGAGCTGAGTAGTTGCCACAGACACCTACAAAGCCTAAAATACAAAAAAACTTGCGGACTCCTGTTGTAGACTATTATGATTTTTCTTTTAGCAATGTTTCTGCTTTTTCCTTCAAAATATGCTACTACTTTTCAAAAGTATCTGTATAGAACAAATTTCCAGTTATCTTTTTCTGCTACTACTCTGCTCTGATTTGATACTAATGTGGCCTACTGTGGAGTCTAAGTAAAGAGCAACAGACTTTATGTTTGTTTGTTTTTGCCACACAGTCTCGCTCTGTCGCTAGGCTGGAGTGCAGTGGCGCAATCTCGGCTGACTGCAACCTCTGCCTCCCACGTTCAAGTGATTCTCCCGCCTCAGCCTCCAGAGTAGCTGGGACTACAGGTGCACACCACCACACCCAGCTAATTTTTGTATTTTTAGTAGAGATGGGGGTTTCACCATGTTGGCCAGGATGGTCTCGATCTCTTGACCTGGTGATCCGTCCACCTCAGCCTCCCAAACTGCTGGGATTATAGGCATGAGCCACCGCGCCTGGCTAGATTTTATGTTTTATACTCCTCACTTTTTAGACAACTCAGTTGAGATGGTTAAGTTTGCTGAATAAAGCTGGGCACAGTGGCTCACCCCTGTAATCCCAACACTTTGGGAGACGAGGTGGGCGGATCGCCTGAGCCAGGAGTTTGAGACCAACCTGGGCAATATGGCAAAACCTGGTCTCTACAAAAAATGTAAAAAATTAGCCAGGTATGGTGGCATTTGCCTGTAGTCTCAGCTACTCAGGAGGACGAAGTGGGAGAATCACCTGAGCCTCGGTGGTTGAAGCTACAGTGAGCCATAATAGCTCCACTGCACTCCAGCCTGGGCAACAAAGTGAGACCCTGTCTCCAAAAAAAAAAAAAAAAAAAAGTCTGCTGAATAATTGCATTGAGATAATGAAGACAGGCTATATTATACTGATGTTTACAATTTTATCACTCAAAATTATAATGACCCCTTCCAGGGATTGTAGTTCAAAAATTCCACTGTGAGCCCTTTGTGTTTTATATAACAGTACTAGTTTGCAATAAGTCAATTTACTAGGAGGATGCTTTCCTTAAGGCATAACTTTGCTGCTTTCTGAACACATTAGTGTTGATTTAGTACCTTCACTTAAGAAGATACCAATAGTGTAAAATGTAGTTTGTAGAAATTACAATGCATGCTGTGTCAGAGCCTGAAGAAAATCGAAGCACCTCAGTGGTTAATGTTGTTAACTTAGGGCAATGAAAAAGAATTGATCATTACCTGGCAAGGAATTGCACCACCCCATTCTTGCTGAACGATATTGCAAACACCAACTAATGCAGACTCCAAGCAGGTTTTGTCATAATCATCCATATTACTTAGTGCTTCCTTATTGAATAAAAGATAAAATTGCTAGTTACTCTTTAGTTTTAATTAGGTATTAGAAAACAACATAAATTGTTCAAAGTATGAATGTTACACAGGGGACACTGATGTATCTGAGAGCACCAAAGCATAGCTTCTTAAAGAAAAATGCTAGAACAGACTTCTTCAACTATTAAAGATAGTTAAAAGAATTCCATTTATTCTATCCTCTTATCAGGTAAGAGTGAACAGTCCACCAAGTTTACATTTTTGTTAAGTGGACTTTGAAGGAAAAAATTAAAAGGAACTTTTAAACACATCACAAAAATAATAACAAAATCTATTGAATATTAACTATGTTCTAAACACCATCCTAGGCACTTTTATGCATTTAGCTATCACAATAAAACTATAAGGTATAGATTATTAACCCTATCTTTAAATGAAGTAATTAAGGTATAGAAAGATTAAATAACTTTCCCAGGTCTCATGACTAAGGTGGCAGAACCTGGATTTGTAAGTATGCAGTCTGACTTCAGGGCTCCTGGTCTAAAACATTACGTCTCACTCCTTATATAGCAATTCTCTAAATTTCAGAACTGCAGAACATCAGAAATCCTTAGTTTATTCACCTGTAAGAAAGTCAGCATATATACCAAAAGTTTAATATCCTTTTACAGGAAAAGAAATTTAAAAAAAATTTTTTAAGTCACTAATTTTTTTAAAAAAAGCTTTTAAGTCACTTAAAAAATCTGAGATAAGGCCGGGCGCGGTGGCTCACGCCTGTAATCCCAGCACTTTGGGACGCCGAGGCGGGCGGATCATGAGGTCAGGAGATCGAGACCATCCTGGCTAACACGGTGAAACCCCGTCTCTACTAAAAATACAAAAAATTAGCCGGGCGAGGTGGCGGGCGCCTGTACTCCCAGCTATTCGGAAGGCTGAGGCAGGAGAATGGCGTGAACCCGGGGGGCGGAGCCTGCAGTGAGCCGAGATCGCGCCACTGCACTCCAGCCTGGGCGACAGCGAGACTCCGTCTCAAAAAAAAAAAAAAAAAAAATCTGAGATAATAAAAGGAATTATTTAACAAAATTTTGTTACTTACATTAAAAAATTCAAACTCTATTGATCTTGTATTTCTAAACCACCTAACAATTGTTAAAACTGTTCAGTTTAATTCCACAAATGCTTCTTCTTTTTTTTTTTCCTTCTTTTTATTAAAAATAGAGACGGGATCTTGCCATGTTGTCCAGGCTGGTCTCAAACTCCTGGGCTCAAGTGATCCTCTCGCCTTGGCTTCCCAAAGTGCTGGGATTACAGGCGTGAGCCACCACACCTGGCCCACAAACACTTCTTGACTGCTCACTATGGGTAAGACACTGTGTTAGGCACTGCTGGAAATATTATGAATATTATGATTTAGAGATGTTGTCAGAAAGTAAATTCTAACATAACACAGAAAACACCTTTGAAAGATAATATCTACCAACTGAGATTTAAAAATTATAATTTATTGGTATCAAAATCAAAGCTATTTGTTGGAAAGGAAATATCATTTTGAATTACTCTAGAATAAGAAAGGGCTATTTTTTCATTTCCTCAAGTTTTATGGGAGAGTAGAAAAAAATTAAGTGTTGAGCCTAAAGATCCTAAATTTTAGGGAATGGAACACTACATCCTGAGATGCTCACTTTTCCACAGAGAATTCCAGAAAACCAAGAGAGGAAAATAAGGGAACAACTCACAGCTGTAACTCATAGCTGTACCGAAGAAACAGTAGGCATAAGACCTACTGGTTGTGAATTCTTGCTGTTTAGTTACACATATTAAGTACTCATAGACTTATTAAATAATGCCAAAGTTCTAAATATTCAACGCATTATAACACTGTTTTCCTCCCAATAAATTTAGGCCCTGTACATACAATAACTTACTACATTTTGTACCTGTAGGGTATTATAATCTCTCGTGAAGGGGACCATCAACTCCCAAAGTGATGAAAAAACCACAAGTGCTGTAAATTCAAGCTTGTAATTTGTGGCCATGTGCTCAAACAGCATCGTTAAACCATGGGCTGCTAGGTGCTTACGCTGGTATTCCTCGGACCCCTCAATAGACACAGGTCGGGTCATGGAAAGGGATACATCCATTACCACCACTGTCGGCATGATGAAAATGATCCCAGTGTTCCCAATCAGAATGCAAACAGACAGCTATAAACGAAGAAATGCTGCAGAAAATAAATACGTTCTTACATGTCATGGAGAGAAAATAATATTTTTCACCATAACTTTAACTAACTTCTCAGAAATTAGCAGAGGCAAACACCATTTAAGTTGAGGTGAGGAATAATCTGTAGAGAACTCAGTGAGAGGGAAGTGAGCAGCTTAGTTCATTGTAAGGACCACTCTTAGAATCACCCATTAAGTGACCATAAATCAAGGACCATCTAAATATATCTACTGGAAAAAAAAAAGCCCTGCTAAATTCAGGTAGCCCTTAACTTTCACACATTCGACTTTTATGCAACTTAATAAACTCCCACATCTCCTAACACTTAATTTACTGAAGAACATTTCTAGTTGTCATATGTTGGTGCTATTTGACAAACAACCATTGTTTTTTGGCACTGTCACAACCTTTTTGCAGTATTACTGCATGTGTTTAATTATTTTGTTGGTTGGTGCTCTTGTTTTAGTAAAATGAATGCCAAATATAAAAATGAAAGGACTAGTAAAGTCATAAACCAAATTAGACAAATTGGAAATCATTACACATAACAAAAGTAATAAACTGTCAGCCTCAGTAGTATTCATTGTACATAAACTGGCCAATGGTGCTTCAACTGTGAAGGAAAAGAACAAAATTAAAGAATATGTAAGGTCGGGCACAGTGGCTCATGCCTGTAATCCCAACACTTTGAGAGGCCCAGGTGGGCGGATCTCTTGAGGTCAGGAGTTCGAGACCAGCCTGGCCAATATGGTGAAACCCTGTCTCTACTAAAAATACAAAAATCAGCCAGGCATGGTGGCTACTTGGGAGGCTGAGGCACGAAGATCCCTTGAACACAGGAGGTGGAAGTTGTAGTGAGCCGAGATCGTGCCACTGCACTCCAGCCTTCCAGCCTGGGTGACAGACGAAGGCTCCATCTCAAAAAAAAAAAAAAAAAAAAAAAAATTTATACAGCTGGAATTATCTCATGAAATTGGGTAGAAAAGTCAAAATGTACAAATGGAGTTATTCAAAATTATGGATTGAGAATTAGCATAAAGAAAACATTTTGGTGCTCAAAAATAAAAAAGTTTACAGATACACAGACCTGCTCATGGGTATATAGCCTGCTGCTACTCTATTATTAAGCAAACTGTAGGCTACTGACATGATGAAATATCATAAAACTATAAATAAATGACATATGTACTACAGATATCAGAAATACTTATAGAAAGCATTAGTAACTGAGAAAAGCAGGCCCCAGAACTGTATTATACACTGCTTACAACTTCATAAAAATCATAATGCAAATATACAATTAGAGAGATTAGGTGGATATAAACAGGTTAGAAATTTAATGTTCACAACTTTCTTTTTTGGGATTAACTTCAAAACATTTAACAGTAGCCAGATTACTTGTTTAAGGATGGTGCCCAGCTGCAAATGTGTCATATTCTAAAATTCCATTTGTTCTTTTTTGTTTTTGAGACGGAGTCTTGCGACATCTGTCGCCCAGGCTGGAGTGCAGTGGCGCGATCTCCGCTCACTGCAAGCACCGCCTCCCGGGTTCACGCCATTCTCCTGCCTCAGCCTCCCGAGTAGCCGGGACTACAGGCGCGAGTAGCCAGGACTACAGGCGCGTGTCACCACACTCGGCTAATTTTTGTATTTTTAGTAGAGATGGGGTTTCACCACATTGGCCAGGCTGGTCTCGAACTTCTGACCTCGACATTGGCCAGGCTGGTCTCGAACTTCTGACCTCGTGATCCACCTGCCTCTGCCTCCCAAAGTGCTGGGATTACAGGCGTGAGCCACCGCGCCCAGCCAAAATTCCATTTGTAAGTAGGCTGTTTCGAACTCAGAATACACTGGTTCATGGAAACAATGTTTACAACTCAGGTTGTAAGCATAGGCGTAAAAGAAGAAACTGAAAGTTCCTGAAGGATGGTTCACTCAAGCAGTATAGGCCCGACTGAAAAAAAAAAAGTGAGGTCCTGCACAATATTGGTTCAACTACACTATATTAGACCATAACATACGCTCACTAAGGGCAGGGACCATGCCACATTTTGCCCATGATGTCTCCTCAAAACTTATCACAGTAACTGGCACATAGTAGGTGCCCAACAATTTGATAACAACTGATGAACTACCCCTAAATCACCAGATATACCATATATTATTTAGCAAAATACATTATAAATGTTAACTCTGGACACCAGAAACACATTTCCTCTTCTCCTCATTCAAGCAGACATATGGGGGACTCCCTCACGTCTGCCCAGCTCCTGTGGTAGTCCCATTCATGCAGGGAGGCCTTTTTACAAGTTGAGGATCATGAGGAGTACTGCCCTCACCTCTTAGGAGAATGGGAGGAAACAGTTTACACAGACTTAGATCAAATACAAAAAAGCACTTTCAGCCCGTGAAATCTGCTGTTGACAGTGATGACAGCTGGCAGTCTTGCCTTCTCTGAAGACACCTCTGGAGCTGGCTCTTTCTCCCAAGTGATGCATTTGTGTCGACTCCCAAATGCACCTCATTAACAGTTACAAAGTCGTGGGAGATCAATTTAGTACTCAGGTTGGAGTAAAGGAGGGAACTGAAAGTTCCTGAAGGATAGTTCACTCAAGCAGTATAGGCCTGATTAAAAAAAAAAAAGGCCAGGCACGCCTTTAATCCCAGCACTTTGGGAGGCTGAGGCGGGCAGATCACCCGAGGTCAGGAGTTCGAGACCAGTCTGACCAACATGGTGAAACCCCATCTCTACTAAAAATACAAAAATTAGCCAGATGTGGTGGCGTGCGCCTGTGGTTCTAGTACTTGGGAGGCTGAAATAGGAGAATTGCTTGAACCCAGGAGGCAGAGGTTGCAGTGAGCCGAGATCGCGCCACTGCTCTTCAGCCTGGGCGACAGAGCGAGACTCCGTCTTGGGTGGGGGGGAATCCCTGCCCACCACAGTCTACCAATTTTGTGAGCACAACACTATGTATTCCTCACTTGGGTGGATTCTGAGCCCCCAAGTCTCCCACCCCCACCCCCTTCCCACGTGTACTGTTCAAACAACTAGGGCTCTTCTTTCTCAGGAACAGTCTGAGAAATAGGCCCTAGCCACCTATTTGGCCTTGAATACCAAGTGTCCATCAGCTAGACGTTTGTAATTCTTCCCTGAAGGTGATAATTAGCTCATTCATAAAGAACTGATTCTCAGCAGTCTCGCTCTCAAAGCAGGATTCTACCTGAATTTCTAGTGCCTCACCTGCTCTTTGGCTTTCCCGTCAGCCTCCGGGAGTCCCTCCCCAGTTCTCAGATATAATTTCATCTCTAAAAGTCCAGACTGAAAATCACATCTGGGAGATGTATTTTTACCTTAAAAATCAGTCAAGAAAATGTGGGATCTGGAAGTCTCTCTTGGAAAGAGGGGGCAGAGGGGAGCTGAGCAGAGGGCGAAATCGTGCAGTTTACGCGGAGCTGGGGACCCCGAGCCTCAGAGCGAGGGGAGGCCGGGAGCAGCGCCCCGGAACTGGCGCCTCACAGACAGCGCGGGGCGGCCGCCACGGTGGCGGGAAGGCCAAGCGCTGGCCCTGGGTTGTTCTTCACCCATAACCCCTTCACCTGTAACCCCAACAAGCAGCGAAAGGCAGTCCCGGGCCCTCGGCCTCCCCACTCACCCCGTGCCCATCGCCGGACACAGTCCGTCGGCATAAACTTTCCGTCGGCATAAACTTTCCGTCCGCGCGCCACAGCCGGAACTATAAGGCCGCGCGACAGAAGGGAATCCGGCGCCTGCACTCCGCGCTGGGCGGGGCGGTCCTTGGAGAGCTTCAGGGTCGCCCGGGCAGGGTTCTGGCTCATCCCGGAGGGACGCTAGGGGGCGCGGCCTCTCTTCGCGATGGCCAATCCGCGGCCACCCCTCTCCTCCCACAAATCCCCAACTTCTCTCGAGCCTTGGCTGGGTTTCCTGCCGTGTCTCTCTGCATTGCCCTGAATCTCTCCCCATTCTCGGGCTCTTTCCTTCCCCTTCTGCCCCACTGACCCATGGGCCTCACCTGGCCCGGTGACTCTGTGTCCGCTTCACACTTTTGTCCCCTCACTCCCCTGGGCCCCGTCGGTGCACGAGCCCAACCCTTCCTGCTATTTTCCTCGTCACTCTTTAGCCCCCTCTCTCGTATCCTCTGAACCGGTTGACAGAATCCTCTTCCTGTTCTTTTTAAACTGCAATTCCTGAACTACAAATCCTGGCCGGGCGTGGTGGTTCAGGCCTGTAATCCCAGCACTTTGGGAGGCCAAGGTGGGCGGATCGCTTCAGGTCAGGAGTTTGAGACCAGCCTGGGAAACATGGTGAAACCCCGCTCTCTACTAAAATACAAAAATTAGCCGGGCATGGTAACGAGTGCCTGTAATCCCAGCTACTTGGGAGGCTAACGCACGAGAATCTTGGGGGGAAAAACCCCAAAACTGTAATTCCTGGCTGAGGTATGCTTTGTATATCCTTCTTAGCTGACCTGAGCCCAATTTACCTCAAGACTTGGCCTCTTGGTCTCCTCAGCCCAAATGCTCACTTTATTTCCCCTATCCCCTCTTTGAGGGAAGCAGAGGGCCCTCGTTCCTCTCACCCTGGACAAGGCATGCGTGCTCAGATTTCCCTGTAAGGCAACATGGGCTCTTGCCTGCCACTCTGGCCACCTGGTGTCTCCATTGTAGTCTGTGCCTCAGTGAGGTCCTTAAGAGGGCAAGAGGTGACTTTCTTTCTAACCATGTAGGGAGCCAGGGAATCCCAGCTAGAGATAGGCTTAGATGGATGCCAGCAGGCCCCTGGGTAGTTACGGTTCAAAGAACAATGTGGAACCACATAGGTTACAAAGTGAGTACAGAAAGGCCTCTAGAAGGCCTCAGGCATTTGCCTTTTTCTTTTAGCTGATAGGATGGGGCGAGATTAGGAGATGGGACGAGGAAGGAGGATGCTTTGAACTGAACAGACAAATCTGTCTGACTTCTCACAGCTTGTTATGTGGGAGATTGTGGGGCCAGTTGCTTGTAGTTTTTTCCTGTCCCTGGGAATATCCCTGCCAGCACTGGGGCCAGGGCCCTGCAGACTGCCCTATTTGCTTCAAAACTTCTTTCCCCAACCTGGCTGATCTCACCATGTCAAGACCTAGTTATGCTTGAGCAGGCATTGGGCTCCAGGTAAGTAAGGCTGCAGCCTGATAACTTAGTCATGATTTCTAATCTTGCCCTATTGGGAGGGATGTGGCCAAGAATGTGTGGGTAAGCAAGTGTCTAGTTACCCCTAATGTGACAACGACTTAGCCATAGGGTTACTGTCCTCGTGGTAATTCTGGCTCAGTTGCAGGGTCTGATTCATTACCTTACCCAACCCTAAAGCTTAAGTTAGTTCACTGATGGATGATCAAATCTTGTGACCTAGTTCTTCTGAATAACAGGCTTTGGGAGACTTGGAAAGCAAAAAATCAATATATTAAATTGATGATAAAAGGCACAGCTACCAGGAGGACTGTGTTACTTAGGGCAACTAGTTTGTTTGTTTGTTTTTCCTCCTTAGTGGAATCCCATTACAAATCAGAAGGTTGTTCAGTGACTATAACATCAGAGAACATCAGCACAAAGGTTAGAAGGTTTTAAAGGGGGTGTCTTTCAAGCCATCACTGGCTGATGAATTTCTTTTCCCCACTCAAACGACCCTCAGCATTTGCGTGTTTCCACACACACATTAAAGGAAATCAATAAATAGTTTCCTTTGCATAATCTCTCATTCCCTTTATTTTTTCCTGCCTTGAAACAGTGGACTGCTGTCCCAAAGGCTTTGAAAGGCAGTGTTTGATCCCCAGTCTGACAGAGGAAAGGTTTATGACAGAAAAACCATGGCTCTCACAGGGGCTAGGTACTGGGGAGCTCAAAGGGAAGTCTAGATATCTCAATCTCCCAGAGCACGTGTTGAAAATGCAGATTCCCAGACCTTGCCAAGTGAAATGGAAATGAAATTTCATGACTTCGTGCTTGAGAATCTTTGCTGTTAAGTTCCCAGGGTGATTTTGTGTGTGTGTGTGTGTGTGTGTGGTGACAGGGTCTTTGTCACCCAGGCTGGAGTGCAGTGGCATGGTCATGGCTTCTTGCAGCCTTGACTTCCTGAATTTAAGCAATCCCCCCCAACCTCAACCTCCCACGTAGCTGGGACTACAGGCATGTGCCACCATGCCTGGCTAATTTTTAAATTTTTTGTAGAGATGGGGGTCTCACTATGTTGCCCAGAGTGGTCTTGAACTCCTGATTTCAAGCGATCCTCCCTCCTTGGCCTCCCAAAGTGCCAGGATTACAGGCATGAGCCACTACATTTGGCCCCAAGATGATTTTTCATCTACAGAGATAAGGGATAGGGAATGAGTAAGTGAAGAAAAGGCTGAGGGGTGGGGGAAGAGCAGTGGGCCTACTTCTCTTTTGCATTCTTCCCGCTCTTCTCATACTCCCATGATGTCCTTTGCCCTGCATTTCCCTTTCTGCCCCTGTAGTCTGGAGACTGTTCACTCCCAAATCATACTTCCAAGCTCCAGCCCCTTCCTCTCATCATTACCTCCTCCCTATTTCACTATTTTCACCAAAGCAGAAGTCAATCATAAATATGACCCTTCTGTCTTCTGAAAAAAAATTTTATTATGGAAATTTTCAAACATAGACAAAGATAGGGAGATTAGGATAATAAATCCCTGTGTGCCCTTCACCCAGTTTCTGCTGTCAATGCAATCCTCATCTCGTTTCATGTACACCCCTACCGACTTCTCCCCACATATTATTTTGATGGAGATCCCTGATAGCATAACATTTTATCCAGGAATATTTCCTTATGTATCTTTAAAAGAGAACTTAAAAATATATAATTACAATACCATTATCAAATTTAACATAATTAACAATAAATCCCTAATATCATCAAATATCGAATCAGCTTTCAAATATTCAGTTGTGTCATAAATATCATAAATTTTACTTTTTTACACTTTGGTTATTTGAATCAGGATCCAAGTAAGATCCAGATATTGAAATCCGTTGCTATATCTCAGAAGTCTCTTTTAATCCACAGGTTTCCCCCTCTTTTCCTTCGAAATGTATTTGGAAAACTGTGCTCCCCCTCCTTTTAAAATTGCTCTCAATCCTCTTTCAGTTTTTTCCAGAGCATTTGAGAAAACCGCAAAGCTGCTCTCTATTTTAAATAATGAAAAGACTCACTGAACAAAGAAAAGCTTTACACATTTCCAATTCCAACTAACTTTGCCTCTGCTCTGAAAATAGGGTGAGCTTTATCCATCACTGGATCCCCCAGGGTCTGGCATGTGATGGTGGATATGCATTTGTGGAAAGAAGATAGGAGGGGAGTAAGAGAGGTTATTGGAAAAAAAAGTCAAAGAGGAAAGCAGAGAAAACTTGGTAGATACTACATTTCTCTAAGAAAGTAGAAAGGAACTTCTTTCTTCCATACACTCTTTCCTTTGAAAAGTGCTATAAAGGCCTAGAGTGGTGGCTCTCAGCTCTTCGGGAGGCGGAGGCAGGAGAATCGCTTGAGCCCAGCTGTTCGAGACTAGCCTGGGCAACATAGAAAGACCTTGTCTCTACAAAAATTAAAATTAACCAGGTGTGGTGGTGTGCACCTGTAATCCTAGCTACTCAGGAGGCTGAGGCAGGAGGATTGTTTGAGCCCAACAGTTCAAGGCTGCAGTGAGCTGTGATTGTGTCACTGCACTCCAGCCAGGACAAGATCTTATCTCTAAAAACAAACAAACAAACAAACAAACAAAATGCTATGAAGTCTAAATTTTTAAAGGCCCCTCATGATCTGGGCCCTGACCCAGGCTCACCACTCACTCTCTTAAAACCTTAGTGGCATCTTTCAATGAAAAAGAAGATAAAGCCAAATAAAACTAGTTTTTAAAAACTTATAAAAAGTAATTTGTGAGGCTGGGAGGCCGGGCACGGTGGCTCACGCCTGTAATTCCAGCACTTTGGGAGGCCGAGGTGGGTAGATCACTTGAGGTCAGGTGTTCGAGGCAAGCCTGACCAACATAGTGTAACCCTGTCTCTACTAAAAATACAAAAATTAGCCGGCTGTCATGGCGGGCACCTGTAGTCAGCTGCTTGGAAGGCTGAGGCATGAGAATCGCCTGAATCCGGGAGGTGGAGGTTGCAGTGAACCAACATCATGCCACTGCACTCCAGCCTGGGCAACACAGCAAGACCCTGTCTCAAAAAAAATAATAATTTGTGTCTATGGATAAAAATTCAAAGTTAATTTTAATTTTTTTTTAGTCATACTTTAAGTTCTAGGGTACATATGCACAACATGCAGGTTTGATACATACGTATGTATGTGCCATGTTGGTTTGCTGCACCCATTGACTCATCATTTACATTAGTTATTTCTCCTAATGCTATCCCTCCCCCACCCCCCCACCCCCCAACAGGCCCCAGTGTGTGATGTTCCCTGCCCTGTGTCCAAGTAATCTCATTGTTCAATTCCCACCTATCGGTGAGAACATGCAGTGTTTGGTTTTCTGTCCTTGAGATAGTTTGCTGAGAATCATGGTTTCCAGCTTCATCCATGTCCCTGCAAAGGACATAAACTCATCCTTTTTTATGGCTGCATAGTATTCCATGGTGTATATGTGCCACATTTTCTTAATCCAGTCTATCATTGATGGACATTTGGGTTGGTTCCAAGTCTTTGCTATTGTGAATAGTGCCACAATAAACATATGTGCACATGTGTCTTTATAGTAGCATGATTTATAATCCTTTGGGTATATATCCAGTAATGGAATTACTGGGTCAAATGGTATTTCTACTTCTAGATCCTTGAGGAATCACCACACTGTCTTCCACAATGGTTGAACTAATTTGCACTCCCACCAACAGTGTAAAAGCATTCCTATTTCTCCACATCCTCTCTAGCATCTGTTGTTTCCTGACTTTTTAATGATCGCCATTCTAACTGGCATGAGATGGTATCTCATTGTGGTTTTGATTTGCATTTCTCTGATGACCAGTGATGATGAGCATTTTTTCATGTGCCTCTTGGCTGCATAGATGTCTTCTTTTGAGAAGTGTCTATTCATATCCTTTGCCCAGTTTTTGTTGGGGTTGTTTTTTTCTTGTGAATTTGTTTGAGTTCTTTGTAGATTCTGGATATTAGCCCTTTGTCAGATGGGTAGATTGCAAAAATTTTCTCCCATTCTATAGGTTGCCTTTTCACTCTGATGGTAGTTTCTTTTGCTGTGCAGAAGCTCTTTAGTTTAATTAGATCCCATTTGTCTATTTTGGCTTTTGTTGCCATTGCTCTTGGTGTTTTAGTCATGAAGTCCTTGGCCATGCCTATGTCCTGAATGGTATTGCCTAGGTTTTCTTCTAGGGTTTTTATGGTTTTAGGTCTAACATTTAAGTCTTTAATCCATCTTGAATTAATTTTTGTATAAGGTGTAAGGAAGGGATCCAGTTTCAGCTTTCTACGTGTGGCTAGCCAGTTTCTGCAGCACCATTTATTAAATAGGGAATCCTTTCCCCATTTCTTGTTTTTCAGGTTTGTCAAAGATCAGATGGTTGTAGATGTGTGGTGTTATTTCTGAGGCCTCTGTTCTGTTCCGTTGGTCTATATATCTGTTTTGGTACCAGTACCATGCTGTTTTGGTTACTGTAGCCTTGTAGTATAGTTTGAAGTCAGGTGGCGTGATGCCTCCAGCTTTGTTCTTTTTGCTTAGGATTGATTGTCTTGGCAACGTGGGCTCTTTTTTGGTTCCATATGAACTTTAAAGTAGTTTTTTCCAATTCTGTGAAGAAAGTCATTGGTAGCTTGACGGGGATGGCATTGAATCTATAAATTACTTTGGGCAGTATGGCCATTTTCACGATATTGATTCTTCCTATCCGTGAGCATGGAATATTTTTCCATTTGTTTGTATCCTCTTTTATTTCGTTGAGCAGTGGTTTGTAGTTCTCCTTGAGGAGGTCCTTCACATCCCTTGTAAGTTGTATTCCTAGGTATTTTATTCTCTTTGTAGCAATTGTGAACGGGAGTTCACTCATGATTTGGCTCTGTTTGTCTGTTAATGGTGAATAGGAATGCTTGTGATTTTTGTACATTGATTTTGTATCCTGAGACTTTGCTGAAGTTGCTTATCAGCTTAAGGAGATTTTGGGCTGAGACAATGGGGTTTTCTAAATATACAATCATGTCATCTGCAAACAGGGACAATTTGACTTCCTCATTTCCTAATTGAATACCCTTTATTTCTTTGTCTTGCCTGATTGCAAGTGTTGGCCAGAACTTCCAACACTATGTTGAATAGGTGTGGTGAGAGAGGGCATCCTTGTGTTGTGCTGGTTTTCAAAGGGAATGCTTCCAGTTTTTGCCCATTCATTATGATATTGGCTGTGGGTTTGTTATAAATACTTCTTTTACTAGAGACAGGGTCTTGCTATGTTGCCCAGGATGGTCTTGAACTCCTAGTCTCAAGCAATCCTCCCTTCTCAGCCTCCCAAAGTGCTGGGATTACAGGAGTGCACCACTGCATCAGGCAAAATTCAAAGTTTCAAAATAGATGAAGTGAAAAATAAGCATTTGCTTTCCTAGAAGCAACCATACATATCTCCCTGCCTCAAGTATGATTCTAGCCACTGGGTTGGAGAAGTGAAATATCAGCATTGTTGTTTGTTTTTGTTTATTCTATATCTATTGGTGACAGAAGTATAGACATTCTTACATATGCTTTGCAAAATTGTCTCTACGTATGTATGTATATATGTGTATGTATATACATATTATATAGACTATATGATATAACATATATAATACTTTCTACCTAAATGCAATAATGTTATATATACTGTTCTGCATCTTGCTTTTATTGTTATTGATTTATTAATATATCTTGGTCATCACCTTCATTCCTTTTAACTGCTGTATATAATTGACTATTGTAAAGATGTGCCATTATCATTTATGTAATCAGTTTCCTATTGACATTTAGATTTCAGTTTTTGCTACTACAACCAAAGCTGGAAAGGGCCTGGTAGACTAATATAGGGGCTTTTTCTCCAATTGAGATGGGAAGCCACTGGAAATTCTGGCATATAGGAGGGACATTATCTGATTTACAGTTTAACAAGGTCACTTGGGCTGCTATACCCGATTTACACATCTTCACCGGTATCTTCGATGGCACTGGGTGTTATTTAAATTTCTTACTCTTTGTCAGCTTACAGGGAAAAAAAAGGTATCTTGCTGTGCCTCAATCATCATGCCTTTGTAAAGTCAGATTTGACTTGGGAGTTTTACTTGGTGGGCTGTTTCTCTTACTTTGACGGGTGTTGTGAATAGTGCTGGGACTGTGTGGTTTCCTGCTTGGCCACACTGAAGTCCTCTGAAATCACCTCTCTGACCTTTTCTGTAGGCCTCTGGCCGCTCCAGAAGGGCACTTGACTGTAAGGATGAAATCCTGTCTCTGAGCTGCACTCAGTGTGAAGTGCCACCACCTGCATCCCCCTGTCTCAGGTATGGTTCTAGCCACTGGCTTGGAAAGATGTGTCATAGGATGTTTGGGGACTTATTTTGTTGTTTTCCACCAGTGACAACTGTACAGCCATTTTTAATCCTATAAACAATATAATATGCACAAATAAAACAATATAAACAAAAGGTCTTAGGCCGTGACATTGTACAGGTTGGACAGATCAAAGTGCTTTTCCACAGATTCTCTCACTGTTACTCTAACAGCAGTTCCATAAGGAAGCTTGTCTTTCCTGGTTTCATAAATGAGGAGCCTGAGAATGAGAGACCTTAGGCTTGCTCCTCATCAGACTTGTTACTTTATTAGAGGTTGCAAAGCAGTACCTGTAGGTTAAATTCAGCCCTCAGACTCATTTGTTTGCTTCCTAATATTTTTAAATTGTTTGACATTGGAATACTTATTGGTGGGTCATTTATTCTCTGTCCAGACATAGCCCCCAGCATGCTCCAGTTACTTAGAAAATGATTGATGTAACTTAATTTTATCTACCCGGGACCTAAAGGCATTAAAATTTGCAACCCATCAATGCTTGCTGTCTGCCAGATTAAAAAAAAAAAAAGAAATAAAATTTGCGACGCTTTCAAATCTTGTCTACTTTCTACTGTACAACTGTAGAGTCAGCTGCAACTCCTGATGTAGACCCAGAAATAAACCAGCCTTAGCCACAAACCCTCCACATCAGATGAAAAGTCTCGTTCCCTCTTCTTTCTGTTTTAATAAAAGTTAGGAAAGGCCTAGAGCTTTGGAGGGCAAGGAAAGGCCTCCTTGCCGTCCTGCCAAAGCTCTAAGATCTGCCTTCCTCACCCCCTTATCTTATCGTGAGGGTCAGAGCCAGATCTACCCCATCTGTTCTTCCATCCTGTTCCAGGGGAGGGTATAAAATGAGGCAATTTTGTAGAGCAAATTAGATCAGCTTCCTCTTCTCAGTGGTGCTGGCCATTCTCCATCCATTTGCTCTCAAAAGATCATGAGCTTTTTGAGTGGGCATTCTCCTCTCCATCCATGTGTAGCTCAGGGCCCCCATCTCTGAGCATCTTCCTCACTGGGTTATGCTTTTTATATTTAATATATATAAAATGTATTTAATAAATAACTTTATTTATAATATTAATAAATAAATAAACTCATTTATTTATTAAATACATTCATTGCTTGCCAAGCACTGTTCTGGGCTCTGGGGATTCAGTGGTGAATAAGACAGGCAAGTTCCCTGTCTTCTTGGAGTTCACCCGCTAGTAAGAGTTGCACACATTAATCAGGTGATTGCACAAATAAATACACGGTAGAGTGTTGTAACAATGAAATGCATGGAAACCTGCTGACCCCTCTAACACAATCTGATTGTGATACCTAAAAGCAGAAAAACAACAATAGTACCCGGCACTATTAATATGTTTTACAAATTAATTAATCCCCACAACAACCCTATCAAACAGGTAATGTCATTATCATCCTCATTTTACAGGATGAGAGGTTTATAACCACTGAGAAGTTAAATAACTTGTCCAAACTCACATGGCTAGTACAGAGGATGCTTCCATTCTTGGTTGAGCAGCCAAATTTCCTGCTGAATTTCAAAATGTGCCAGAATCCCATGATAATAAGACAGAAGAAACTGGGTTTACCCCCAGCGGGTAGGATTTAGGTTAGACACCAGGAAGAACTCCTTGGCAACATTTATGAACATATGAGAGAAAGGAATCACTTTTCTGAGGATTTCCTTCTCCCCTGAATTTTTTATATTGAATAAACAACATTGTAAAAATAGAGGAGTTATTTCAGAAAAAAGATCACTCATTTTACTTTGTGAATTATATTCCTTTTTTCATCTTTCTGGGCCAGATTGAGACTGTGTTACATAGTGGCATGAAAAGGGAAAGAACTAGATTTTGTTCTGCCCACAGCAGCATAAAGGCAAGGACATGTAACTAGCAGACCTCAGGTCCTGATCCCAGGCTTCCAACATCCAGAGTGACCCCAGCATACTCAGAGATGAAGCCAGCTCTTCCACAGTGGGTGGGCCCTTCTGTGGGCTTCAGCAGAGGGAGCTCGTGACCTTCTTACTGTTCCAGGCCACTCAAGGTGAAGCAGGGTAGAGGTGAGGCTGTGAGGATTAACTGCTATTTCAGATGAAAGTAACCCAAAGCATCATGCACCCAGGTACTCTGGAGGAAACAGGAAAGGGAGAAAGGGGCAGTCAGTAAATGTCAGGCCGAGTTAGCTGAATGATTGAAAGGGCTTCCAGATCAATGGTTAGGATCACAAGATCCCCACTACCTTACCCTACTCCCACTTTGATCAGCTCCAAGTCATGGGCTGGAGGCGCGGGGGGCTCAGGGCACCAACTCCTCAGGTATCTTGGGATGTCCCAGCCTGCTCTGGGGAGATCCATTAGTGCCCTCTACACCAAGGATTTCCTTTAGGCCTAATAAAATAGATTTCAGGTATGAATTGCTTTGAAGTTTGCTTGGTGTTTTCTCTATAATCTTTGTTTTTTATTTTGATTCTCACATTCACCTTACAAATAGGAAGGACAGGTATTATTATCCCCACATTTACTTTTAGATTACATTAGAATCACACAGTAGCAAGTCGAGCCTAATGCTAACTGAGGTCTTCTGATCTCTTAAGCCCCAGTCACTTTCCCTTCGTTTTCTCAGAGCGCCTTCTGAATCTTTTCAAAACTTTCCACCATCTAAGCATGGAAACCCTAGACCACCTCTCATTCTCATAGCTTAGAAACAAGTTTGAGAAATCTCCCCAGTTCCTCCATTGACTTTGTGGGCCCACAGTGAGCCCCTCTGTGTCCCTGGTGGAAGGCCCACTCTCTCAGGCTTGGTCAGGTGTACCGGGACCCAGAACTTGTACAATGCCCTGATAAGCTTCTTAGAGGAGGTGGGTATTAGCCACGATCGGATATTCTTCCCCTGAGCTGCCCTTCACACCCGACCCTGCCTTGAATTAGGATTCCATAGGAGAGCTGGGGGCAGGAGAATGGGGTGTTCCCTGCTGTCCAGCTTCAGACCCACTCTTTGAGATATTGGATTCTGACAAGTTTCCAGAGCTGAGAAGACAGCCAGATGTCAAGGTCTGAAGGTAAATGATGTAATTAGGTAGGAGGGATCAGCTGGGGTGCCAGTTCAGCTCTGTTACATAACACAGGAACATTAGAAAGAGAGAGACCCTCTGAAATTTCTGCTGGGGATACGAGTGGGCTTGCTGCAAAGTGTTGAGTTCATGGCAAGGATCGGGGGGCTGCAGGGAGATAGTGGAAAGAAAATTATAGAAATCAGGGACAAAGAAGGAAGTTCACTTATTCCTACTTTTCCTTTTGCTTGTCCCTCTCTTGCTTTTTAAGACAAGTACCTTTGCATCTCTGATTAGTGTGGCATGCAAGAAAGAAAGGGGAGTTAGGAGGCTCATCTGCTTGGCTACTCACTAGCTGTGTGATGTTAAGCAAGTCACATCTCCTCTCTGGACCTCTGTGTTTTCATATCTCAGATGAGGAGTTGTACCAGACAGATTCCATGGGTTACTCAGCTCACTTCTAATATATCATATGCAAAACTAATCATTTCCAGTTATTGTTTTGTAGTAGTTTGTGGACATTAATTAGAGATTTAATAAATAGTTACTTGGGCTGGGCCTCAATGCCCTTCTTTATAAAATGAGGATTCTTTGAGGGCCTTTCATGTTCTTCCCTCCTTCATTCTTGTATAAAACTAACCTTTCTGTTCAGTGCTTTTCTTTTTTTTTTTTCTTTGAGACAGAGTCTTGCTCTGTTGCTCAGGCTGGAGTGCAATGGTATGATCTCAACTCACTGCAACCTCTGCCTGCCAGGTTCAAGCAATTCTCCTGTCTCAGCCTCCTGTGTACCTGGGATTACAGGCATGCACCACCACGCCTGGCTAACTTTTGTATTTTTAGTAGAGATGGGGTTTCACCATGTTGGCCAGGCTGGTTTTGAACTCCTGACCTCAAGTGATCCGCCCACCTCAGCCTCCCAAAGTGCAGGGATTCCAAGCATGAGCCACCGTGCTCAGCCTGTTCAATGCTTTTCATATGTTTTTACTCGCTCAACATTCCTGTGACACTGTTATTATTCATATTCTAATTTAATTTAAATTAAAAATATTATAACATGCACATGATAAAAAGGTCAAACTAACAGAATATACAGTGAAAATAAGTCACCTTCTGACCTTTGATCCTCAGTTTCCCTTCCCCAGATGTCCTTCTAGAGATTATCTTTGCATAAACAATATATATGTTATCATGCCCATTTCACAGATGAGGCACCAAGGCTCAGCCTGTCCAGGATGACACAGCTGGTAAGCAGCAGAACAGGGAGTCTAGGCTTTCAACTCCATTCCCCATGATCCTCCCACCATGCCATATTCTCTGGGAAGCTCTATAACATTAACTTTTAAGCTTTGCCCACTCTGGATGGTGGAATTGTTTTAAGTCAGTTCAAAAAAATACATGGAGCCTTAATGTCCCTGGCAATGCCCTCCACTGCTGCCTCTTTTTGTCTATAGCTTAAAGCCATATCTCCCTACCTCCTTCCTGCCTTTGATAAGGTGAGACCTGTGGCCTGACACCAGCTATGGATGACTGAGCTCCCAGGATCTTAGGCTTGGACCTGAAGAGTACTGGCAGATCTTTTGCTGAGAGCCCAGGGAGGACTTGGTGGACTCCATAGTGCACTCAGGCTCCAGCTCAGGAACCTGGGGGGCTGGCATGCCTACATAGTACAGAGGACCCCTAGGCACTCTTTCTCTTAAGAGTAGGCATTTTCCTCTGGAGCAGGGGGCAGGAGTAGTTTACTCTTGCAAAGACCCCATGCATGATACTTTTGTGTTCCTGGGGCTTCTATTATCACTTTTTTCTATATGAGGGTGTTATGGATCCCAGATCTCCTCTTAGTGGTAAATAATCTCTTTTTTTTACCCACCTAGGGTTGTGGATACCCCCTGGCTGGGCTTCATGGAGAAATCTTCTCTGATCACCAACCTGAATCCCAGAGTAGCCTCCATCTTAGGACAGAATGAGAGGCCTTCTGTAACCAGATATAACTGGCCAGCATGGGGAAATTGATCAGGATGGGGCCGCAAGAGAGGTGGTTACTCCGGACAAAGCGGCTTCATTGGAGTCGCCTCCTCTTCTTACTGGGAATGTTGATCATCGGTTCTACTTATCAGCACCTTAGGAGACCCCGGGGCCTTTCCTCATTGTGGGCAGCAGTCTCTTCTCATCAGCCTATAAAACTGGCCAGTCGGGACCTCTCCAGTGAAGAGATGATGATGATGAGCAGCAGCCCTTCAAAACCTAGCTCCGAAATGGGGGGTAAGATGCTGGTACCCCAAGCCTCAGTGGGCAGTGATGAAGCAACACTGAGCATGACAGTGGAGAATATCCCCAGTATGCCTAAAAGAACAGCCAAGATGATCCCAACAACAACCAAGAATAATTACAGCCCAACAGCAGCAGGTACAGAAAGAAGGAAGGAAGACACCCCAACATCCAGTAGAACACTGACTTACTACACCTCAACTTCAAGCAGACAAATAGTAAAAAAGTATACCCCAACACCCAGGGGAGAAATGAAGAGCTACAGCCCAACTCAAGTGAGGGAAAAGGTGAAGTATACTCCTTCCCCACGTGGTAGAAGAGTAGGCACTTACGTGCCGTCCACATTCATGACAATGGAAACAAGCCATGCGATCACCCCCAGGACAACAGTGAAAGACAGTGACATTACAGCAACCTATAAAATACTCGAAACCAACTCTCTTAAGAGAATAATGGAGGAAACCACCCCAACCACTCTCAAGGGAATGTTTGATAGCACCCCAACTTTTCTGACACATGAGGTAGAAGCAAACGTCTTGACTTCTCCAAGGAGCGTCATGGAAAAAAACAACCTGTTTCCCCCCAGAAGAGTGGAAAGTAACAGCTCAGCCCATCCCTGGGGGTTAGTGGGAAAGAGCAACCCGAAGACTCCCCAGGGAACAGTCCTGTTGCATACCCCAGCCACCTCTGAGGGGCAGGTGACAATAAGCACCATGACAGGCAGCAGCCCAGCAGAAACCAAAGCCTTCACTGCTGCCTGGAGTCTTAGGAATCCTTCACCCAGGACCAGTGTATCAGCCATCAAAACAGCCCCAGCCATAGTCTGGAGGCTGGCAAAGAAACCTTCCACAGCACCCAGCACCTCAACAACCCCTACGGTCAGGGCAAAGCTGACCATGCAGGTCCATCACTGTGTGGTTGTGAAGCCAACCCCAGCCATGCTCACCACTCCCTCCCCAAGCCTCACAACAGCCCTGCTCCCAGAGGAGCTCAGTCCTAGTCCCTCAGTGCTGCCTCCCAGCTTGCCAGACCTCCACCCCAAGGGAGAGTACCCCCCAGATCTGTTCAGTGTGGAGGAGCGGCGGCAGGGCTGGGTGGTCCTGCACGTTTTTGGCATGATGTATGTGTTTGTGGCCTTGGCCATTGTTTGCGACGAGTACTTCGTTCCAGCCCTGGGTGTCATCACAGACAAGCTGCAGATCTCCGAGGATGTGGCAGGCGCCACATTCATGGCTGCTGGAGGCTCTGCTCCTGAGCTCTTCACCTCCCTCATCGGTGTCTTCATTTCCCACAGCAACGTGGGCATTGGTACCATTGTGGGCTCTGCTGTGTTCAACATTCTCTTTGTCATTGGCACTTGTTCCCTCTTCTCCCGAGAGATCCTCAACCTCACCTGGTGGCCCTTATTCCGTGATGTCTCCTTCTACATCCTTGACCTGATAATGCTCATCCTCTTCTTCCTGGACAGCCTCATTGCCTGGTGGGAGAGCCTGCTGCTGCTGCTGGCCTATGCCTTCTATGTGTTCACCATGAAGTGGAACAAGCATATCGAGGTCTGGGTGAAGGAGCAGCTCAGCAGGAGGCCAGTGGCCAAGGTCATGGCCTTAGAAGACCTCAGCAAGGTAAGGACAAATTGGCTCAGGTTTCTCTAGCCCCTTTGAGATGAAAGGATGTGGCGAAGCCAGGACCTGAAGAGAAGGTGCTGGATCAGACCTCAAGAGATGAATGCTCTGGTTCCCTTACTATTTATTCAACATTTATAGAGTACCTGTTCTCTGCCAGGCACTGTGCTGGGGCCTTTGTAAGCATGACATTGGCTCAACCCCTAATCACCCTATAAACTGGTTATATTATGATCCCCATTTGCAGGAGAGAAAACCGAAGCCCAAAGAAGTTAAACCACATGTTCAAGGTCACACAGCAAATAGGCAGTGGAGCCAAGATTTGAACTTGGGTTGGTGCGACCAGGTGTTTGGAAATGACATTTGAGTTGGGCTTTGGAGAATGTCCAAGAAGATGCCAGGCGAGGAAAAATGATCATCTCTTCCATGTGCATGGCGTTCAGGGTTTAGCTAGCACCCTCATTTTCATTTAATCCCATTAGTTCACATTCCAGACTTGGAGGGGCTGATGGCTTGGATGGCGTCTGAGAAGGGGGAGGGTTTTATATTTTTGTTTTGTTCTGAAAATATTAGAGAAGATGGGAGCTCTACTCACCCACTGACAAGCTAGCCCTGGGGACAGAGCCCTTCTCTCTGTGCCCGCTGGAGACCAGACACCAGGAGCACTAATCCTGGGCTTTCTCCTGACCCATAAGTTCCTTTCCAAGAACTTCTCTGCCCGCTTGAGGGACCTTCCTGTTAAATTCATTGGATGATTCAATAACCTGAAAGATTATTAATTGCAGAAGTGATCTCTGAAAATTCATTCCAAAATTTTTTGGGTTTTTTGGGTTGGGAGTAACTGGGACTACAGGCACATACCACCACACCCGGATCATTCCAAGTTTTTTGTTCCTTGAGACTCTAAAGTGAGGGTACCTTAGGGAACACGGACCCCACTTCTCTCCTGCTCCTAAAGGGTGAGTTTGGGTAAGGGTTGGCTCACAGCCTGCCTATTCCAGGTCTCAGAGAAGCCGCTGGTGTGAGCAGAATTTTGCATGCAGAGTGGAAGGACTTAGCTACTTAATCCAGAGCAGTTTTGATGAGTGAGCAGAATGGAGACCAAACTCAGCAACGTGTCTGTGAGATATTTGAGGCAAGGGAGATTAAATGCACTTCCTTTAGACTTTTTAGATAACATGTTGTTCTGGCCAAAGCACGGAATAGAGAGCCAGGAAACCTGAGTTCTAATCTGATTCTGCCTCTAATGAATTGTGTGACCATAGACAGGTCCTTTGCCCTCTCTAGGAGAAATGACAGAGTCCAACTAATCACTGAAAGGTCCTGTCTAACTCTAACATTCTATGATAATGTCTGTGTCCAAGTGAGTTCAGTTCTGTCAGGACCCAATGCAATGGTTATTTGTCTGATCTGGTCAACTGAGCTTCTATTGTGTCATTTGCAGATGATCCAAAAAAGGAAATATCCTGCCCAGGGTCATATAGCCAGCAGGTATCAGAACTGGAACAGGAACCCAGTCTCCTAACTCCCCATTCAGTGCTATTTCCCACCAGACTGTCCTCCATGAAGCCAAAGGCTTCAAAAAGAAAGAGAGGCTTAGAGCATTACAGAATTTAATACAAGGAAACAGGAACCTCCCTCCTAATGCAGGTCTTAGGGCAGGCCTTGCTAAGTTCTCAGGGGTGGCCATGAAGTCCTGGTATTCTCCTCTGAAGAAAATGCCTAATGCTTTGGTGTACAACAGGCCAGCAGTTTCCAAAGTGCCTCTGACTTGCTTCCTAGTCCCTCATAGTAATTCTGCTTTTATTTAGACTCTACAAACTCTGACCATCAAAGCAAAGCTTGCAGGACAAATGAAGCATAATCATCATTTCAAAAGAGAATACATAACCTACTGAAGGGACTCTTCAAGGGCTTTAGTAGCAACTCCTTGCCAACTAGTAAGCACAGTGATGATTACATCTCTGTTCTTATTTGTTGAAATAGATCCAGTATGAATTTTTTTAAAGAGACAGGGTCTTGTTCTGTTGCCCAGGCTGGAGTGCACTGGTGCACTCATAGCTCACTGCAGCCTAGAACTCCTGGGCTCAAGCAATCCCCACCTCAGCCTCCCTAGTAGCTGGGACTGTAGGCATGTGCTACCATGCCCAGCTAATTTTTAATATTTTGTAGAGATGGGGACCTCACCATGTTGCCCAGGCTGGTCTCAAACTCCTGGTCTTAAGTGATCCTCCCGCCTCAGCTTCCCAAACTGCTGAAGTTACAGTCATGAACCACCACACCTGGCCCCTTTAGCATTTTTTAAATGTCATCACCCCTTCAAGGATGCTTATTTCCCTTTAACCAGATCATAAGTCTGGTCACATCAGGCTTATCACTGCCACTAAATGGGGAAATAATTTTTGTGCCTCCTAAAGGGCCAAGCCCAGTGTCTTGTTCTTAGAAGAAGTTCCATAAGTATTTAGTTCAGTTTCCTCAGGTAATCCTAAAAGTTCCAGAACTCTAGTTTAGTGAGACAAAGGAGTCAGGGGTTGAGAATCCATGCTTACGGAGAGCCTATTCCATACATACATTGTCTTAACATTTCTCATAAAACCATACAAGGAATGGATTACCTTCATCTTGCAGGTGAGGAAACTGAAGCTCAGAGAGGATAATTACTCAGCCAAAGTTACACAGCTACTTGGTGATCCTTACCATTGATCATGAATCACGATATCTGGGTTTTAAGCCAGGTTCCATTGCTGACTATTCCTGTTTCCCTGGGCAAGTCAATGCAATACAACAAACCATTATTATTAAGTTAAATGAAAGCCACTGTGGGAAATAAAAAGATTGTATCCAGTAGAAGGGACAAGCCTAGAGAAAATTAACTGCAATGAAGTGAACCCTGTGCAAAGTGCTACAAAGCCACTTTGCTTTTCAAACAGGACTTAGGTTGCTCGTCTGTAAAGTGAATGGATGAGCTATGTAGAAGTTGGCAAACTTTTTCGGTAAAGGGCCAGACAGTAAATATTTTAGGATTTGCAAACCATATAGTCTCTGTCAAAGCTACTGAACTCTGTCCTTGTAGTGTGAAAGCAGCTACAGATAATAAATAAACTAATTGGAATGGCCACGTGGTATTTTAGTAAGAGCAACATACTTGCAGGTATTCTTCTTCCTGAGCAACTTGGAAACATACAATCAGCGGAGAACAATCCATTTTATTACTGGATATTCACCCACCTGATAGCTGTTGAGTTTCTGAGCTGGAGCATCTTTCACTTTACCGTTTATTCTGCCCTGAGTATCTAGAATCAGGATAATGGTGTTTTAGGAGTGATTCTAATCAGAATTTACTTAAGAATATTTCCAGAAAAAAATAAAGGACTTAGTATTTGACATAGACATATAGTAAGTATTTTAGAGTCTCACTTTTGATACTGGCTGAAAAAAATTCAAAGCTAAAAATATTTTGGACAACATCGTCAGATTGACATATATTGGTTTGAGGATGCCTTTTATGACCCCAGTAAGGAAATGGTAAATGTTTGCATAGTTATCAACACAGTCTAACTCTGAACACAGGCTGTCTCTCTGAAACTTAGTTTTCAAGTATACTTGGTTTTGAAGCTCTCAGTGTATTTGTTCTGGCCAAAAATGATAAATCTCTGACCTGCCTTGACCATGCATAGTCACAGAAAGCCAACAGACAGCAAAGCAGAGGCGCTAGGCTGGCTGAAAAGCATTATTGGTATTTGAAGGACAGCAGGGGCCCTTCTTTATACTTGACTAGATTAGCCAGGAAGCACCAGCCATCTACATGAGGTGTATGATTAGCAAGACAGTCCTGTGGAAAGCCAATGGCAAAAAGGGATGCAAAGCAGAGAAAAGAGCCTAGTTGGGGCTCCTTTGGAAGCTCCGTACCCACACTCTTCCCTCGAGAATACTCCTGGGGAAAAGTCTGCTATTCTCTCCTAAATGCACTGGGGGCTATTTTCATCCTGGAAGGACTTTTTTATTTATTTTTGAGATGAGGTATTGCCCTGTCACCCAGGCTGGAGTGCAGTGGCTCAAGCACGACTCACTACAGCCTTGACCTCCCAGACTCAGGCAGTCTCCCTCCTCAGCCTCCTGAGTAGTTGGGACTACATGTGCATGCCACCACACCCAGCTAATTTAAAAAACTTTTTGTAGAGAAGGTGGGGAGGGGGAGGATATGGAGGTGTGTCTCACTATGTTACTCAGGCTGGTCTCAAACTCCTGGCTTCAAGCAATCCTCTCACCTTGACCTCCCAAAGTGCTGGGATTACAGGTGTGAGCCACCACCACGCCTGGTCCCTGGCAGGATTTTAAAAATTAAACCAATCAACAAGACCTCAAGCAGACAAACCTGCTGCCTGTTTAGGGGCTGGTCCTCCCTTTTCTTATCAGGGTTGGCATTTATCCTAAGGGCTTCTATCAGTGACCTATAGAGCCAGCTACCTGCTTTGGAGGCAAGGGGCTGTGTGCAGGAAGCAGCCGCCGAGAACCCCCCCTGCCTCTGTGGGTCCTGCCTACACTAGACTCCAGGGAACTCACTGTGCTGCCAAAGGGCCCACTGTAGCCTGGGCTGAGGGGTTCCCTTCTTCGACTCTTTGAATAATAATCAGTTTCCCTCTAATTGTCAGGAAAAGATGGTAAGAGTTGAATGCTCAATTTTAGGGTTTCTCTTCATAAAATTTTCTTAATCTTTTGGCCAGGTGCGGTGGCTCACGCCTGTAATCCCAGCACTTTGGGAGGCCGAGGTGGGTGGATCACTTGAGGTCAGGAGTTCAAGATCAGCCTGGCCAACATGGTGAATCCTCATCTCTACTAAAAATACAAAAATTTGCCAGGCGTGGTGGCACGCATCTGTAATTGCAGTTTCTCGGGAGGCTGAGGCAGGAGAATTGCTGGAACCCAGCAGGCGGAGGTTGCAGTGAGCTGACATCATGCCACTGCACTCCGGCCTGGGCAACAGAGCAAGACTCTGTCTCAAAACAAAACTAAAACCTAACCACAATATTAAAAAAAAAAAGCTTTCAATGTTCACCTGCTAGTGGGTGCCAGCAGATGACAAAATGAATGCATGAGAAATAAACAAATATTAACAGAAAAACTCAAACATCTGATCACATCTAGTTTAACAGTTTGTTGTTTTCATGGATATGTGTAAGCTTGTAGTTGAGATTTTACATGCATTCATACAACCCAGTAATATTTTCTCCTAGTGCATATGATGGGATTCAATATGAAATTAGATATTCATGGTGTTCTACAAAGAACAGCATAATTTCTAGATGCTCTGCCACCTGAATTAATTGGAAATATGCAACCAACAGAATTTTTTTTAGTGTGGGGGAGTGGACATATGGATGAAAAACAAGTAAAATAAACTAAGATGTTAATTTCAGCATATGACAAGTACTATAAAGGAAATAAACAGGGCATGTGATAGAGAGTGATTGTAAATAATAGTGGGCCCCCTTTAGTGAGGGAGAGTGTAGGAGGTCTCTTGGAGGAGAATTTCAAGTAGAGATCTGCAGAATGAGAAGGGAAACCACCCCATAGCCAGTGACAAGAATTCCTGGAAGAGGGAACAGCATTTGCAAAAGCTCAGAGCTGGAAAAGAGAGCTTGGCACATTAGAGGAAAGAATAAAGGCCAGTGTGGTTAGTGAGTAATAGGGAGAGGGGTACAGAATACCACTGGAGAAGAGGGTGGGAGCTATTAGTTTGGTGCAAAAGTAATTGTGGTTTTTGTCATTAGTTTCGCTTTTAATGGCAAAAACCGCGATTACTTTTGTACCAGCCTAATACTCCATGCAGGGCCCTGTGCATCAGATACAGAGTTTGGATTTTATTTTATTTTTATTTTTGAGACAGAGTCTCGCTCTGTTGCTAGGCTGGAGTGCAGTGGCGCGATCTCAGCTCACTGCAACCTCCGCGTCCCAGGTTCAAGTGATTCTCCTGCCTCAGCCTCTCAAGTACCTGGGACTACAGGCACACGCCACCACACCCAGCTAATTTTTGTATTTTTAGTAGAGATGGGGTTTCACCATGTTGTCCAGGATGGTCTCGATCTCTTGACCTTGTGATCTGCCTGCCTCGGCCTCCCAAAGTTCTGGGATTACAGGTGTAAGCCATCGTGCCCAGCCTGGATTTTATTTCAAGCTCAACAAGGGAATGAAGTAATGAGAGTCCTCCCTAGCTGCTGAGTAGAGAATGAATTGTAGGTGTGCAAGAGTGGAAGCAGGGAGTCCAGTTAGGAGGCTGTTGTGGGCTGTTTATATGTATATGTATTTGTGAATGTTTTAAGACAGAATCATCTGGACTTGGTGTGAAGTGGATATGGAGGGTGAGAGAATCAGGAAAATCAAGGATGATGCTGATCTTTTTGGCTTGAGCAGCAGGGTGGATGGTAGTGGCATCCACTGAGAAAGAAGAATAAGTTTAGGGAGACACTTTGGAATAGTGAGTTTGGGTGCTTAGGTCACTTCCAAGTGGGTGTATCTGGGAGGCAGTGGCACAAATGAGTCTGAAGCCCAGGAACAAAGTCTGGGCTGGAAACAGAAAATTGTGAATCACCAACAAATGTATGGTAATTAAAATCAAGAACTGGCTGATGCTACTCTGAAAGACAGATAGTCTGGGAGTAATCCCTCAAGAACCCCAACATTCATTGAGCAAACATTCATTGAACATCTTTGTATGAGGCCTGTGGTAGGTCTGGCATATGGTGATAAATAAAGCACAGTTCCAGCTCTCAAGGAGCTTAGTCTAATGGAAGAGGTGGAGTTAATCTAGGTTTTGTGGGGCCTGATACTCACTAAGAAAAAGAATATAAAACTGTTGCCACAAAATTAGGTGCAAGCCTTGGAAGGGATTTGTGTAGGAGAGTGACAAGCCCTGAAGCTTAAGCTTCATCATCTCCATGGTAAATCCTTCTCAGTGGGAAAGACAGATAAGTAAAGCAGTAGTTTACACTATCACGTGTAATGGTATAGGTAAGTGCTGAGGGATTTAGTACTGCAGAGAGCCGACATCTCAACACACCAGAGGGTCAGGGAAGGCTTCCTAGGGGAGGGGATACTTAGCTGAATCTTGAAGGACAAGCAGGAATTCACTGACTATACAAGGGCTAGGGAGTCTCGTAGCCATGTGCAAAAACCAGAGAAATGAGAGGGCAATAAGAGACTGTAGCCACCAGCTGCATACAGCTGTTGAGCCCTGGAAAGGCGGCTAGTCTGATTCATGATGTGCTGAGTTTAATATATACACTGGGTTTCAAAGGCTTAGTCTGAAAAAATGGATGTAAAACACCCCAATATTTGTAATATTAATTACATGTTGAAATTATATTTCAGGCATATCAGGTTAGAGTGTATTATTAAAATTAATTTCACAGCAGGGCACAGTGCCTCATGCCTGTAATTCCAGCACTTTGGGAGGCTGAGGTGGGTGGATCATCTGAGGTCAGGAGTTTGAGAGAAGCCTGGTCAACATGGTGAAACCTCGTCTGTACTAAAAATACAAAAATTAGCCGGATGTGGTGGCAGGCACCTGTAATCCCAGCTACTCAGGAGGCTGAGGCAGGAGAATCGCTTAAACCCAGGAGGCAGAGGTTGTGGTGAGCCAAGATCTTGCCACTGCACTCCAGCCTGGGTGACAGAGTGAGACTCCATCTCAAAAAATAAAAAAATTAACTTCACTTGTTTCTTTCACTTTTAAAAAATGTGGCTACTAAAAAATTAAAATTACATATATGGCTTGCATTATATTTCTATTGGACAATACTGGACTGCAAGTAAGCAGGAGGCTGTGCTAAGTTAAGAAGTTTAGACTCTTACTGGGTGACAGTGGGGCCCCCAGTGTGTTGGGAGGGACATGATGTGCTTTGCTCAGAAACCCACTCTGGCTGAGGGGTGGCGAATGTGCTGGAAGAGAAACAGATCAGAAGTCAGGAGGCTGTGCAGGACTATAGGCAGGAGAGTGCAGAGACAAGGCGAAATGTGAGAACTCTCAGGAAAGAGGTCTGACAGCTAATTGGGTGTGGGCTGTGAGGGAGAGGGAGGAATTTGGGTAGACTTCTGGGTTTCCAGGATAGACAAATGGAGTGGATTGGGATGCAATACTGTATTCAGTGAAGGGCTAAAGTGAAGTGTGCTCTACCTGAGAGAAGCTGAGTGAAGGCAGGGCTCGGACAAGGGATTCAATAAATATTTGTTGAATGAACGTTAAAAAAAAAATTTAAGACTAACGTGTGGTTCAGGAAATGTGTTATGGATGGTTGAGAAGAGGAATTGCTGTATCAGTGGGAAATAGCAAATGGAGGTCAGGAGGACAAGCCCACTAGGGGCTACCATGGTTTGCCACCTGAAGTTCCTATAAACAGCTGCAAAGGATCCCATTGCTCATCCTCAGCAAGAGGCATGAAGACATCCTCTTCTGTTACCTCAGCCTCTTGCTAACTGTTGTAAGGAGAAGAAGGTGGGGGTAACTGGGCTGAAGAAAGAGCAGGGAGAATGTTGTGATGTGAGAGGTGAATGTGTTTGTGAAAAGGGCATGTTCAGAAAGCACCTACTTTCCAGTGCTGTTACTCATAAATGGACTCATCAGCCACACCCAAATGTTGACAAACATTCATGTCCATTTGCCTGAAATGTCGAAATATGAAATAGAGCCACTAGGGAATATAGATTTGACCTCATTTCCTTATTTATGCTTGGGAAAATAAATGGGATTTAGTAAAACCAAATCAAAAGCACCAAAAAAAAAAAAAAAAAAGAAAAAGAAAAAGAAAAACTGAATGAAGATAAGATCAGGGTGCTAAACAAAAAGAAAAAAAAGAAAAAAAGAGAAGAAGACAGGGTTCTGTCACCATCTTTGTGAGTGTGGGTAAGTGATGGAATCATTCTGCATCTCAGTTTTCTAATCTAGCAAAATAGCTACAATAATATGAGTGTTGTCTATTTCACAGAGTTGGTCGTATCAAATAAGAAAATGGATATGAAAGGCTTCAGAAAGTTAGAAGTGCATGCTGAAATTAGCCATGAACAATGAATCCTTAGAAAGGTATTTTGGCTTGAATAAATCTGAATGGCAGAGAAACCATTAGGGGTGTGCACCATGGGGCAAAGATCAGTCTCTCCTACCCCTCGGTGTACAGAACCATCCACCCTAGAGTGTAGACGGGACCCTCACAGTTCTTTGCCTCTAAAGAGAACTCTTGGCCAGGCGCAGTGGCTCACGCCTGGCCAAGCACTCTGGGAGGCCGAGGCGGGTGGATCACAAGGTCAGGAGATCAAGATCATCCCGGCCAATATGGTGAAACCCAGTCTCTACTAAAAACACAAAAATTAGCTGGGCCTGGTGGTGCACACCTGTAGTCCCAGCTACTCGGGAGGCTGAGGCAGGAGAATCGCTTGAACCCGGGAGGCACTCCAGCCTGGCAACAGAGTGAGACTCCGTCTCCAAAAAAAAAAAAAAAAAAAAAAAAGAAAAAAAAAGAAAGAACTCTTTGGGTGAGGGTTGGATGTGAGAAATAGTGAGATGGCTGGGCCAATGGGTTCAGTGCTGTAGCCTCTTAAATCCCAGTAAACTTATAGGTGTGTCACAAAAGAGTTGGGGGGATTTCTTAAAATGCACAGTGCCCCCTTCATATGCAGATTGGTTATTTATACTCTGTTTCATTCATTTTTATGTTCATTCATTCATTTAGCAATGTGTATCCAAGCATTCAAACCTCTCCCAATCCTTCAAAGCTTACTCAAATTCTACCTATTTCAGAAAGCTTCCTTGCCCATCACAGCATAGCACCTATCTGTGCCTTTTATTTCAGGAACCACATTCTTCTTTGTCATGCATCTGTATTATCATTGGCCTCAATTTCTTTCTGGACACAGAATCCATGTCCTAAGCATCTTTGTATCCCTAAAGCCACCAGAATAGCACCATGTAAATAGTATAGCAGGTTCTCAGTAAATAAGAACTGCATGAATGAATAAGTTGGAGGGATGGCTGAGTGGCCCTAGATCAAGCACTATTTTCTATATTTTCTGAGCTGAACAAAGAAGGGAGTGTAGCAAGTTCAATTCTGGTTTAGCCATGGAGGTTGGTGGGGTGAGGGAAGCAATGAGAAGGTAAAGACGATTGCTGAGGGCAGCTATTTGTGATCCTGCTGCTTAAAGATAACACTAAAGGCTGGATGTGCTGGCTCACACCTGTGATCCCATCACTTTGTGGAGGTGAAGCAGGAGGACTGCTTGACCCCAGTAGTTCGAGACCAGGTTGGACAACATAAACAGACCCAGTATCTACAAAAAACAAAAAAACGTAGCCAGTCACTCACACCTGTAATACCAGCATTTTGGAAGGCAGAGGTGGGTGAGTCACTTGGGCACAGTTTGAGACCAGCTTGGGCAACATGGTGAAATCCCATCTCTACAAAAAATACAAAAACTAGCCGGGTGTCGTAGTACGCACCTGTAGTCCCAGCTACTTGGGAGGCTGAGGTGGGAAGATGGCTTGAGCCCAGGAGGTCGAGGCCACAATGAGCCATGATTGTGCTACTCCACTCCAGCCTGGGCAACAGAGCAAAACTCTGTCTAAAAAAATAATAAGGCTGAGCGCAGTGGCTCATGCCTGTAATCCCAGCAGTTTGGGAGGCTGAGGTGGGTGGATCAACTGAGGTCAGGAGTTCGAGACCAGCCTGGCCAACATGGTGAAACCCCATCTCTACTAAAAATACAAAATTTAGCCGGATATGGTGGCAAACACCTGTAATCCCAGCTACTTGGGAGGCTGAGGCAGGAGAATCGCTTGAACCCAGGAGGGGGAGGTTGCAGTGAGGCGATATTGCACCACTGCACTCCAGCGCTCTGTCTCAAAATAATAATAATAATAATAATAATAATAATAATAGTAATCCCAAAAGCACTGAAGGTCACTCACTTGGGAGTGTCTACTCATTCAGCTCACCTTTACTGAGCACCTCCTGTTCTCAGTAAGACACTGCCACAAGGAAGGGAAACAGATAACTGTAAGTTCATTGCGTGGCAAAAAAAGAAAAAAAAAGGTAGAGTCTACATGTAGCTGGTAGACAATTCATGCAGTGAAAAGTTAAACAGTGCTTTTTTTAAAAAAAAAGTTCAAATGATATTACAAGACTGTGAGTGTAAAGTGGCAAGCTAGTGGTTCAGACAGTAAATACACAGGCTTAATGCTTCTTCATCTTGGATTGTCTAGGGCTGTCCCACTTCCCAGCTGGCTGCCCCATAGCTTTCCCAAAACACTAGCACTTACCTGAGCACACAGCTGATTTTAGTATCACAGAATGTGTTCACTGTTATACAGCTTTCCAGGAGAGAGGTATTGTAATGAGCTGAAGGGAGGGTGGGAGGGGGCATGGAAGGGGCATTTGGGAAAGCTTCATACAAGAATTCACCCTGAATTTTATAAAAAATGGATAAGATTTGAGTAGGCAGAAAGGAATGGAGATGGCATTTTAGGCAGGAGAAAAAGGCATGAACAAGGGAACAAGACTTAGAATAGATTAAGTGTATTTAGAGGACAGTTGATTTTCATTTATTCATTCATTTAATAAATATTGAGCTCTTGCTAAGTGCTGGGCAGTGTTCTCATGCTGGCCACACAGTGGTGAATAAAACAGTCTACCTTCAAGATGCTAGTGGGGCAGTCAACTTATTTCCACAAATAAATTGGGGAAAGTGCAGTGAAGGAAAAGAACAGGGGTCTATAAAAGAATTATACATGGCTTCCCAGAGGAAGGTGACACTTAAGTGGAGACCAGAAGCCTGAGGAGGGAAAGAGCATTACGGACAGGGGGCGAGGGGCCCTGTGATGAGGGTTTTGAGGTGGGTGAAGAGGATGGCACATTTCAGAAACCCAAAGACAGTTGGTGCCACTGGACTATGGTGAGTGGACAGATTCGACTGGGGGTACTGCATTGCAGGCTGAAGCCAGATTATAGAAGGTCAGACTGGAGGGATGGAACATGTTGAAACATTTTCTGAGACCAGGTTATCTCGGAGTGTGTTTCTGTATTTCAACCTGAGGACTTCCGTGGAGAAAGGGATGTAGGGAGAAAGTGAGGGTCTCGCCACAACATCTCGTGACTCCTCTCCCTGTTTGCAGCCGGGCGATGGGGCCATTGCGGTGGATGAGCTACAGGATAACAAGAAGCTGAAGGTGGGTGCCGTATGGAGTCTGCCCAGTGGGGACACTGCAGGGTCTCAGTGGATGATCACAGGCCCAGGGTATTGTGGCCCTGTGCTGGGGACCCTGGCTGTGCTCAGGCCTAGGAAACTCCTGGGAGCGCTGCCAGGGTGAGGCAAGGGAGGAGAGGGCTCTTTTTCTGAGAACTCTCACCTCTAGATGGCCTTTGAGGAGGTGCTAGTTTGGGAGCTAAGTCTGGAATGTTACAGTCCTCTCTGCCATTAGCTTGCTGTGTGACCTTGAGCTTCAGATTCTGCATCTGTAAAATGACTGTTTGAACTAGATGAATTCAAGTCCTAATGTACAGCCCAACATTGTATGATTGATATAAAAGCCAGATTACCTATGGCTTTGGAATGCCCCAGAACTAAGAGAAAGATAGCAGGGGAACTGGAGAGGACAGGAGTCTGAGGTTTCTGAAAAACTGTGTCTTAGCTGTTTATAGTCTATGAAGTATCTGGAAAGAATTATGGGGAACTTTGAAAGGAGTTCCGAACTTGAACCTAAAGAACCTCCCCCATCCAAAGAAAATCTCTGACTTGTGGTGAAGTAGTGTCACCACAACCACTAGATGGCAGAAGAGTTCAGATCAGAGGGATGAGGGGGAAGAAAGGAGGGAGGAAGAAGAGAAGGGAGGGAGGACTCCGCAAGTGTGGAAGCGTTGTCTTTGGATGTTCCATTGTAAATCAGATGATATTTCTATATGTGTCACTATGAATAAGTGTCACATCTGTGTCTGTACAGTATAGATGTGTGTGTATGTGTGTACCTGTGAGGGTCTCTGAGCACATGGGCAGAAAAAAAACCAAAACAAAACTGAAAACTGGGAATCAGAAGACCACAGAAGACCTGGGTACCAGTCTGACTCTTTCATTTACTTCCTGCATGACCTTGGCTTAGGCACCTAGCTTCTTTGAGTTTTCCTTTCCCTTTCCATAGATGGGGATCATAGCTTTGCTTGTCTCTGGGAGTGGGGCAATGATAAAACGTGATAATGCTCTTTGTGGACTGTAAAGGGCTGTAGCCATGTGCAGTGGGTCTGTCTGTGTGGTGTGTGGGTGAGGGAGTGTTTCTGAGGGTGTACTTGCAGGGATGTGCAAACCCTTCATAACGTGATATTCCTAATACACCAGGTTGCTCCCTGTGGAGACGTTGGGAAATTATTCAGTACCTAAAACAAAATAGTCCTGGAAGAGCTGAGGGGAGGCTGAGAAAGAAAGTAGTGTAACTCTTCTGGTTGGAGGTGGAGGAAGAGGGGAGGTCAGGATAAGGCATCTGTGCTTTCTCCCTGATCTTTATGGGAAAGAGGCAAGGTTAGTGATGCCCTCGTGTGGTTCCTCCCCTGGCTTGGACAGGGGCCCACTGTGCGGCTCTCCTCTTGCTCAGCTCCCGTCCTTGCTGACCCGAGGGAGCAGCTCGACCTCTCTGCACAACAGCACCATCCGCAGCACCATCTACCAGCTCATGCTCCACAGCCTGGACCCCCTGAGGGAAGGTAAGCAAGGCCTCTCCAGACCTTTGTGGTTTGCCCCATCCACTCCTTCCCTCCTGCAGCTGGAGAAGAACTGGGACCTGAAAATCCTAGAGGCAGTGAGGAGGGAGTGGGAAGAGATAATAAGCAGAGGAAAGTAGTAAAAGTCAGACAGTCTGGGAAAGAGGGTAGAGACCAAGACAGGGGACTCACCAAGAGAGGGCAACAAAGAACATGGAGGCTAAGGTCCTTGGGTATCCACATCCCACTTCCCTGCCTCTGTCCCTCCCTGTAAAATGAAGGCATTAACCTGCAGTTAGGCTGTGAGTACCATGTGCTCTGCACAGATTTGGGATGGGGCTGCCCTGCAAAGCCCACTGCCCAGGAGTCAGCCCCAGTGTTCCATGGAGAGTGTCTAGCCAAGCAGCTCAGCCCAGGCTGACTGGCCTGGGCTGCTTCTGGGGACGCCTCTTGTAGGGTCCCAAAGCCCAGAAGTTCTTAGTGGCACTTCCTTTTGCTTTATATTCAACTCTGGAGTCCTAGGAAACCTGCCAACTCCTCCCCAAGTCTGGAATCCCAAAGGACACCCTGGAAACTGCCAGGACCCTTTTAAGGGTGACGAGGGTAAGAGCAGGGTCCAAAGTATAGTGGGGGCTGTTGTCCAATTTGACAAATGGTGGCAGCGGCTGAGATTCTCACTGTCCACCTTACCACATCCTGCCTTCTGCTTCTCTTCCCCAGAGAGCTGCCCCCAACATGCATCTCAGACCCCTAAAGGGCACTTCTCAGCTACTCTCCTGCTCTCCTGGAGCCTCCCCATCTCTGGGGCTCTGGTGCAGAACCGGAACCCAGCCAGGAGGCCCATCAAGGAAATGCTAGCCTTTGTGCAAAAGCCAAGGGCTTGGACTGCAGTTGGGCAGGAGGGCTGAGGGCTGAGCTGAATATGACACCACAGAATGATCCATTGAGTCCCAGGGAGCACTCTGACTGACCTTTCTGGCTCAAGGACAAATTTTCGGGGCTCAGAATTTTCTTTAGGCTCTGAAGTCCTTTTCAGAGACAATATTGGGTTGTCAGTTGTTTTAAAAAAAAATACCAGCCAGGCATGGTGGCTCACGCCTGTAATCCTAGCATCTTGGGAGGCCGAGGCAGGTGGATTGCCTGAGCTCAGGAGTCCAAGACCAGCCTGGGCAACACGGTGAAACCCCATCTCTACTAAAATACAAAAAAAATTAGCCAGGCGTGGTGGCAGGCGCCTGTAATCCCAGCTACTTGGGAGGCTGAGACGGGAGAGTCACTTGAACCCGGGAGGTGGAGGTTGTAGTGAGCCGAGATTGCACCGCTGCACTCCAGCCTAGGCTGCAGAGTGAGACTCCACCTCAAATAAATAAATAAATAAATAATTTTTAAAAAGGCTGGACACAGTGGCTCACGCCTGTAATCCCAGTACTTTGGGAGGCCAAGGTGGGCGGATCACGAGGTCAAGAAATCGAGAGCATCCTGGGCAACATGGTGAAACCCTGTCTCTACTAAAAACACAAAAATTGGCACACACCTGTAGTCCCAGCTACTTGGGAGGCTGAGGCAGGAGAATCGCTTGAACCTGGGAGGCAGAGATTGCAGTAAGCCAAGATCGTGCCACTGCACTCCAGCCTGGTGACAGAGCGAGACCATCTCTAAATAAACAAACAAACAAACAAACAAATAAATAAATAAACCATACTGTGAAAAGCTGCATCAAAGACAAGTGATGAAACCTTCCTTAGGAATTCCTCAAGGTAAGAACAGAGAGAGAGAGAAAGGGAGAAAAAAATTAATCTAAGCTGCTGATGGAGCTGTTAGGAAAAAAAGAGAGAGAAAAGAAAAAATAAAAAGCAATTCCTCAAGGTAAACCTCAGCAGACATGTGAGAGAGGCCATCCCCAAATGTCAGCTCTAGAAAAATAGTACCTCTGGGGTTTGCAGAATGGAAGCTGCAGCCCCTGACAGCCTCTGGTGATGAGTGCCGGGGTGCTCTGGCCAGGGCCCCATGAGGAAAGCTGTATCTCTGGGTCATCAGTGGCTACTCCCAGAGGAATCACTGACTCTAGCAAAGTCCTGATGATAAAGACCTCTTGGGTGGGACTGGAGGGCCCCCAGCTGGGCATCTCCATGACCAACAGCCTCCAGCTGGCCTACTTGTCCTAACAGGATTATGTGATGTTCAGGCCAGGCTGAGGTCAGAGGAGATTGATGCTAAAGCCATGATCCGGCCCTGCTGAGAGGGGAGAGGCATGTGAGGAAACGAGTGCCCAGGAGCCAGCAGCAATCATCCCAGGGAGGACAAGCATGCTGGTACATTGTCTCTGGGTGTCTTTGGGGCATGGAATGGCTCTCGTGACTGCAGATGTCCTCTGGGATTCAGTCGTGCTCAAGAGCCCAGCCTGATTCTACACCCTGAGATGACATATGGGAGGGGTGGGGACCATGCAGGGCTGTGATGAGGGCCTTTGTTCCCCAGGCTCTCTAGATGCACATTTGTGTTTTTGTATGCTGTTTCCAGATGGCCGTCCAGATGTTTCCACTCTTTACAGGTGTTCCAGCTCTTTCCACAGAGCTGATCCGTGGAAAAGATGTTTCCTGGGGTCTGAACTCTCACCTTCCCTGTGAAGGGGCTTATCCTCTCCAGGGTCCCATGGCTTTTCTGGTGATTTCACTTGGATGTGTGTGAGACAGGGTGGGGGAGACCCTGCAGCTGACCTGTTTTCCTCAGTAACATGGGAAGTGAGAGTCTAGGCTGTGATGAGGATGAGAAGGAAAGGGGGAAGCTTGTGTTTATGGCTAGCCCTTCCAGCAACAGCCAGCAGATAATCTCAGTGCCAAGACCAGAACCAAGGGAGCCCTCCTGTGACAGCAGCTACACATTGCTCAACAGAAGACTTCAGGGTTTGATTAGTGCCAAGGGGGCACTGGGTTTGTCTGGACGAAGGTGTGTTGGCCCCCCACCTCTCAGTTCTGATGAGGACCCAGGCCCACCAGGCCACTTCGAGGGACCACACATGTCATAGTGGCTCTACCCATGGAGCTTATTGCCAGAGCCAGCTGCAGCTGAACTAACTGAGAGTTTAGGAGACAGGTAGAGAGGAGGAAATTCCAGACCCATTTATCTGTTTCCTGCTTGTCCTGGAGCCAGGCAGAGCCTTTGATCCACCCAGCTTCCCAGATTGCACTTTCCAGCTTCTCCGTTTCCTCTCAGTCCGTCTGTATTATGGACTAGATGATCTCCAGGGTTCCTTCTAACTCGGACCCTCTGGGATGCCGGGCATCATCACTGTGGGGTGCTTCCCAGGTAGGACAGCTGCTCTCAACTACTCTTGTCAATTTGTTTTCATCATTGTTGTTGTTGTTGTTACAGCTAAAAGTTATAGAGTGCTTTCTAGGTGCCAGACACTGTTTTGACCATATTCATGTATAAATTCATTTACTTTGTCACCAACTCTGGAAGATTTTACAGATGAAGAATCTGAAGTACAGAGAGCTTAAGGAATCACCCAGTTAGGTCCACAGCTATAGCGCAAGTGGCAGAACTAGGATTCAAACCCAGGTCATCAGGCTTCAGAATTGTGCTAAAGGAACAATATGAGTGAGGCCAGCATTTGCAGCAGTAAAAGTGTTTTTATTTATTTTGTCTCATGGATCCTCATCACATCAGTCCCCTGAGGATATGACGGTATTGCCTTTTTAGAGAGGATGCTGAGGCTTAGTGCCGGCACACAGGCTTCCCAAAGTCACCCGGTGCTCATGGGGCAGAGCCAGCCTAAATTCAGAATAGAGCCCGTAGATCCCATGACACCACTTTGTTCTTCACTTGCACCACTGCCTTCGCCCTCCCAGGCCACACAGCTGTGGACTCCTTCACCTCAGCCTTGTTCCTTCTTCCCTTCTCACCTTGAAATTATACACGTAAAGTGCTTTGCATGTTTCCTGGCACGTAGTCCCAGTTAAAGAGAGTTGCCTGTCCCGTGTTTCTCACCTGGAAATCAGGGCAGCACAATTCTGTGCATGCTGCCCTGTGGGCCTCCAGCAAAGCATGTGCATAGGGATCTGAAGGAGGCCCTTCTCGGGCTCTTGTTGTGCCTGGGGTCAAAAAGGGTGTATCCGAGAGCTTGTTGGTGAACCATTTCCCCTTTTCCACTGGAGAGGGAAGGCTTATGAACATGGCCATCAGCCGTCCCCCTGGAGCTATAACAAAGCCTCTAGTAGATTCATAGAAAGTAAGCTACAAAGATAATATAGTCCAAGGATGGCAAAAACATCTCCCTGCAATTATTTCTCCATTCCATGTCTATCACAGACATTACCAATCAATCATGGTACTTTTCTACAAAGTTTGGGTCAGAGTCCTTCTCAATTCAGTACCCAAGCAGGCCATCACTTGAGCTTGTAAAGGAAATAAATCCTATTTCTTGGTCCTGAGTCCAACCATGTCATTTTACCAGAGAGGAAATAGGCCTTGAGAAGGGAAATGACTTACCCTAAGGTCACAGCCAGTCAGTGACAATGCAGAGAATGTAAGACAGAACTTTGGGAATTAGGCACCACAACTAGGCCTCGTAGGATCAGAATCCAGATGTCACAACCCCCATGGCAGCCTTTTCCCACACTCTGCAGCTGCCCTCTGGCTGCTCAGCTGACTGTCCTAACTGAAAGGGCGTGGCAGGGATGATCCTACAATTCCAGGTAAGATGTATGTCCTGTCTCATTTGCAGTTCGCCTTGCCAAGGAGAAGGAGGAGGAGAGCTTGAATCAAGGGGCCAGAGCCCAACCCCAGGCCAAAGCAGAAAGCAAACCAGAAGGTGAGAGGATGGCCAGACCAGTGGGTTTTCTCCTGCCCCCCTCTCCCTGCTGTCAGTAGTGAGCTTGGCCTGGAGGCAGCAGCCAGCCAGGCCAGGGGCTGAGGCACATCTTTGGCCTCTGTGAGCCAGTCAGTTAGAGTGATGGTAGGGTGTTGCCCTGATCGCCGCTCCACTCCAGACTCTTCCTTCCCAGGTGCTGTCTTTCTGACATGGCCGCTGGTCTGAGAGTGGCCCCATACAGCTTCCTCTCCGTTTTCCACAGCTGGGGTAGGCGAGGGAAGGCTAGGGGTTGTTGAACTCCCACTTCTTTTTGCTAAATCTCATCCCAAATGAGACTGTGGGACTTTATTTCTTCTTCCTGTCTCTTCTGTACAAGGACAGTGTTGCTAGTTATTGGTCTGAAATCAGCAACCCCAGTGAGGGAAGGCTACCAGGGGTCTGGTGTCACAGAAGTCTAGTATCTGTGTGGCAGCTAGGACTGAGAAAGTGGGACAGCCACTGCCATGTGGGCTCTGCACAGCACACCAGGACTGCCTGATCCACCCAGCAACCCCTGGATGGAGGTGGAACAGCAGTCATTCTTCCCATCCTATAGACAAGAGTCTCAGAGAGGTCAAGTGACTTCCCAAAGCCACACAGCCAAGAAGTGAGAGAACCTGTACCTAAACCTAGCTCTCCAGACTTTCCAAGTTTCCCTTCCCGTCAGTCCTGTTCCAAGGCTTCAAAAGCTGCTGCCTTTGGAATCAGCAGGATCCTTCCCAAAGGGTCATTCTCTGAGTGCTGGGAGCTTTGCCCTCTCTCTGTTCTGACTGCCCAGCTGTTGACAGTGTCTTTGGCCACAATGGCCAGGATGGATATGTCTGTGAATTATAGGGGAGCACGGATGGTCACTTGCCAACTGTCTTCTCATCTGCAGATAGGTCAGGGCAATAACAATTCACATCATCTTACTTTTCCTACCAACAAGAAATTCCCCCAAATAAACCTTCAGAAACCCTGAAGTCCAATAGCCCTGTAGCCACTTATGCCAGTGTCTCTGCCAGCTTCCTTCAGAACCTTGTCCACTCTTCTGATGTAACCCATGTTTATCCTTTAAAGAGGAGGAGCCAGCCAAGCTCCCTGCGGTCACGGTCACACCAGCCCCTGTTCCAGACATCAAGGGAGATCAGAAGGAGAATCCAGGCGGTCAGGTAGGCACCCAGCCTTGGCACAGACAAAATTGGAGAGGTCTAGGGAAGGAACTCTTGACCAAAAATACATCCTCCCTGAAGGTCTGAAATCCTATTTGAGGTTCATTCCTCTGGGGGTAAATATTACCCTTTCTCTGAAGATCACTTGAAAAATACAAGTATCTCATGGGGCCAATTAACTCACTGGAACATCTTACATGAGTGAGCTAACATATTGACAATGTATTGTGAACTGTCACATGCTATAAGAACATAAGGAATAATTGTTAGTGGGTCTGTCAGCAACTAGGTGACAGTGAGACCAGGTAGCTCCTGAGCACTGGGAAGCTTGAAATGCAGGTGGGAGGGATGCTGGGTGAAGGCTTTCCAACCTTCTGAGGCTCCTCATTGCCTACTGCACCTGGTCAGGCATCTCAGCCTTGTCTGCAGAGCTTTCCAAGTCCTGATACTGCCCCGTCTTTACAGCCTCATGGTCTCTTCTTCTACCATGCTCCAGCCAAACTGGATTTCTTGTCTCCATGTTTTTCTTTTTTTTATTTTTATTTTTGTATTTTTAGTAGAGACGGGGTTTCAACATGTTGGCCAGGATGGTCTTGATCTCCTGACCTTGTGATCCACCCACCTTGGCCTCCCAAAGTGCTGGGATTATAGGCATGAGCCACCACGCCCGGCCGTCTCCATGTTTTTCTACCTCCCAGCCTTGGCTCACATGGTTTTCTCTCCCTAGAATGCCTTTTCTCCTCCATTTTCATATATCCTCATCTTACCATGCACCCCACCCCCCTCCCCAGCCCCTGGCCAGTATAAACACCTTTGTCATGTAGCTGCCTTGAACCACTCCAAATCTGAATGCCCCTGGTGCTCTGCACCTATCCCAGGGCTTTTACCAACTGTCTTCCTTGGATTCTGAGCCTGCTAGGTGGTGAGGTTCCTGAAGGCAAGATCGAAGTCTGAGTCATCCCTGTCTCCCCTACAGAGGGAAGCAGAATGCCTGGTGCACAGCTGGCTCAATATATGTTGAGTGACTGACAGTAAAAAACATTCCATTTGCAAGTTCCATCTCTTTTTTTCTCTCCATTCAATACCCAGAAAACGCTTGATTATATCTCATCCTTAAGCCAGCAACTTTGGGTTCAGCGTCTAAGACAGCTTCATGGTAACATGAGTAGGTCTATTACCGCTAGCTCAAGTAAAAAGGATTAAGAGGATACAGAGGTATTCCCTGGAATCCCAGGGCAGGAAGTGAAGCTTGATCTCATGAAGAGCTGGGCCTAGGCCTGAGAAGGCATCTGTGACCCTGGTGGCTTCTCATTCCATGTCCTGCTCTCCCTCACATTCCTTCTCTGAGTACAGGCTCTATCATGGGCCTCTCTTGGCAGGCTGGCTTCATTTGTTCCCTTATGAGCACACATATAACCCCAAGCTACAATCCCAATCCTGCATCCACAGGAGAATCAGTGACTGGTTTCCAGTCTTAAAAGAGAGAGAATCGGGCCGGGTGTTGTGGCTCACACCTGTAATCCCTGCACTTTGGGAGGCCGAGGCAGGAGGATCACTTGAGGTCAGGAGTTTGAGACCAGCCTGGCCAACATGGTGAAACCCCATCTCTACTAAAAATACAAAAATTAGCCGGGTGTGGTGGTGCGTGCCTGTAATCCCAGCTACTTGGGAGGCTGAGGCAGGAGAATCACTTGAACTGTGGAGGCGGAGACTGCAGTGAGCAGAAGTCGCACCACTACACTCCAGCCTGGGTGACAGAGAGAGACTGTCTCAAAAAAAAAAAAAAAAAAAAAAAAGAGAGAGACAGAGAGAGAAAGAATCGGTTCAACCCAGCTCCTTGGTCAAGAATCCAGCTTGCATCCAACTGGTTGTGGCTGGCTGACTTGACTCCAACACAGGAAGTGGAAGCTACTTGCTCAGCTGGGGCTATTAGGAGTGACAGTCTTCAGAGTAGAGGGTGCAGAACAGACAGACGCTCCCATATTTATGGGTTTAAATGACTTGTCATCTCCTCTGGGAAGCATTCTCTACCTGATGGGGGTAGACAGGAGAGGGCAGGAATGATTTCAGACGAAAATCTTCTCAATCCTCATTCTCAGTTCAAACTGCAGGCCTCATCAGTAGTATTTGTTGTCTTCATTGGGGGTTCTCAACCCTGGTTGCATATTAGAATAATTTGGGGAAGTAAAAAAAATGACCAGGCCCCACCCTCAACCAATGAAGTCAGAATATCTGGGGTGGGTCCTTGGGCATCAATGGTTTAAAAAGCCTTCAGGGCCGGGTGCGGTGGCTCACGCCTGTAATCCCAGCACTTTGGGAGGCCGAGGCGGGCGGATCACGAGCTCAGGAGATCGAGACCATCCTGGCTAACACGGTGAAACCCCGTCTCTACTAAAACTACAAAAAATTAGCCAGGTGTGGTGGCACATGCCTGTAATCCCAGCTACTCGGGATGCTGAGGTGAGAGAATGGCGTGAACCCGGGAGGCGGAGCTTGCAGTGAGCCCAGATGGTGCCACTGCACTCCAGCCTGGGCGACAGAGCAAGACTCCGCCTCAAAACAAAAAAAAAAGCCTTCAGGTGATTTTAATGTGCAGCACAATTGAGACTCACTCAACATCCTTTGGGGGTTGCCAATATCATGACATTTGTTACAGACAACATATTTACTCCATGAACACACAGCCCAGGGCTCTTGCTCAAGGGATGGACCAGCATATTGCTACAGGTTAGCTGGTTGCCTAATCTGAGGACACTCTGAATCAATGGCTTTTAATTTTATCTCTTTTTTTTTTTTGAGACTGAGTCTTGCTCTGTCGCCTAGGCTGGAGTGCAGTGACACGATCTCAGCTCACTGCAACCTCTGCCTCCCGGGTTCAAGCAATTCTCCAGCCTCAGCCTCCTGATGAGCTGGAATTACAGGCACTTACAGGCATGCACCACCACGCCTGGCTAATTTTTATTTATTTATTTTTTTTAAGTAGATATGGGGTTTCACCACTTTAGTCAGGCTGGTCTCAAACTCCTGACCTCATGATCCGCCCGACTCAGCCTCCCAAAGTGCTGAGATTACAGGTGTGAGCCACCGTGCCCAGCCTATCTCTTAAATTTTTTACAGGGGTATGGGGTCTCACTATATTGCCCAGGCTGGCCTGGAACTCCTGGGCTCTAGCGATCCTACTGCCTCAGCTGCCTGAGTAGTTGAAACATAGGCATCTATGTCTGAGACCACACCCAGCTATCAATGGCTTTTAGGGTGTGTGGAGATAGTCAGTGGTTCCCAAACACTGGTCTAAAGGTGGATGTTTTAGGAACAGCTGTGAGTATGTTAAAATACAGATTCCTGGCTTCCAATTCTAAAGATTCTAATTCAGTTGGTCCAGGTGGGGTCAGAAAATCTGTATTTCTTTTTTCTCTTTGAGACAGAGTCTTGCTCTGTCACCCAGGCTGGAGTGCGTGACACAATCTCAGCTCACTGCAACTTCTACCACCCAGGTTCAAACAATTCTGCCTCAGCCTCCTGAGTAGCTAGGATTACAGGCGCCTGCCACCGCGCCCAGCTAATTTTTGTATTTTTAGTAGAGACAGGGTTTCACCATGTTGGCCAGGCTGGTCTCAAACTCCTGACCTTGTGATCCGCCCACCTCAGCCTCCCAAAGTGCTAGGATTACAGGCATGAGCCACCGTGCCCAGCCTAAAAATCTGAATTTCTAATAAGCTCCTCAGGCTACCAAGTTTGGGAGCCAGACATCTCATTTGGCCCTTTACCTGGTATTGATTGGTAAAGCAGGATAGCTTGGTGGACCACCCATATTCAAATCCCAACTTCATCACTTATAAACCACGTGGACCATGGGCAAGTTACTTAGTTCCTTTTACTCTAGTTTCTCCATCTGTAAGATGGGCATAGTTTTATCCATATCATGAATTAATTGATTCATAAAACACCGTAAGTGCTAGCTATTATTATTAAACTACTTCCCATGGTGCCTGGCACATAAAAACCCTCAATAAATAGGCATTATCATCCTTATTTTGTAGATATAAGGTAATAAAACAATTTAGGAGTTTTAGTAGACTCAGCAATGCATTGTGACCACCAAAGGATGTCATGCCATATTAAGCAACATTAATGGAAACATTGTATCTAAGACAAGGGAGGTGATAGTCCTGTTCCACTCCATGCAATATTCTGTATTCAGTTTTGGATGCCCTCCTCCTGGGATATAAGCTAATTAAAATGAGTTCACCAGGATAGGGAGGAGGCTCTAGGCCATAGCATGTAGAAATGATATAAGGACCTGGGAATCTTTAACCCAGGGAAGAGAGCTGTCTCATGGAAGACTGATGTTTTGTAAGGCATCAAAGAGTAAACCTATACATGGGGGTAGAACTTTGATATAAATATGGACTTCAGATGAATCAGAGGTGCCAAAGATGACAGAAGCTGCTTCAGGTGGTGAGCTTTCCACCCCTGGAAATGATCAAATAAAAGCTGGACAGCCACTAGGTAGGAGTGTGGTCATGGGAATTCTGCTGAATTATCGCACTAGTTTTCTCCTCATACTTAAGTTTTCAGATACCTTCTGAGAAGCACGCCAACAAAAAAATGGGGGAGTAACATAAGGAAAACAAGCAGAGCAGTTACCACACATTAATCTGTTGGTTTTGGATTGCAGGAAGATGTGGCTGAGGCCGAGAGCACAGGTGAAATGCCAGGCGAAGAGGGCGAAACTGCTGGTGAAGGTGAAACTGAAGAGAAAAGTGGAGGTGAAACTCAACCAGAAGGTGAAGGTGAAACTGAAACACAAGGAAAAGGAGAAGAATGTGAAGATGAAAATGAAGCAGAAGGAAAAGGAGACAATGAAGGTGAAGATGAGGGTGAAATCCACGCAGAAGATGGTGAAATGAAAGGTAATGAAGGTGAAACTGAAAGCCAGGAACTCAGTGCTGAAAATCACGGTGAAGCCAAAAATGATGAGAAAGGTGTAGAAGATGGAGGGGGAAGTGATGGAGGGGATAGCGAAGAGGAGGAAGAGGAGGAGGAAGAGCAGGAGGAAGAGGAGGAGGAGGAAGAGCAGGAGGAAGAGGAGGAGGAGGAGGAGGAAGAGGAGGAGAAGGGAAATGAAGAGCCTCTGTCCCTGGACTGGCCTGAAACCAGGCAGAAGCAGGCCATTTACCTCTTCCTTCTGCCCATCGTGTTCCCACTGTGGCTGACAGTCCCCGACGTCCGAAGGCAGGTGAGTGTGCCCATCTGTATCTCAGACTCTTTATCCCCAGCAGGGCTGTGGGGTCTCTCGGCATGCGGGGCTCACACTCAAGAGGAGGAAGAGGCCAGGGACAACCAGCTTATCAGGGCTCCACCATTGAGATCTGGGAAGGGACTGAAGCCTTGGAGGGGGACTATGTGCTTAGGGGACATACCACTGGGACTGGGAGGCCCTAGATCTCATGCGCTTTATTCCCACTGCTATAAGCAGCATACACTAGTCCCTCTTTGACTCCTATCTCAGTTTCTTGATTTTAATTTGAGAATGATACCACTAAACCTCCTGCATATTTCACAGGAGTATTCCCAAAACCCAGGGAAATCACTAGTATTTATACCCAACATTCTTATTTGCAAGGAAAGGTCTGACCAGAAAGGAATGGTACAAGGAGGTTGCAAAAGCCAAACCAGATACCTAGATTGGCCTGGTTCTAGGGCAAGCAAACAGCTTTCTTCCATCTGGTGACTGCTGTCCACCCTACTGGCTGGACTCCCCTACAGGTGTACCCCCAACCTCCATCCTTTTCCATCCATCTCAAGGTCCTCCCTGGAGAGAGAGCTCTCAGGTCAAATGTCTCCATTTTGCCTCCATCACTCTTCCATTAGACCTTGTCACTGATTGTTGGGCTTGCTCAGAAGGGCCAAAGACCTTTTAACCTCTACAGCTTACTTCTTGTCCTTTTCAAACTTTCAAACAGGAGTCTAGGAAGTTTTTTGTTTTCACCTTCCTGGGATCTATCATGTGGATAGCCATGTTCTCATACCTCATGGTGTGGTGGGCTCACCAGGTGAGTGAACAGCAGGAACGAAATCCTCTACCAGCAGGTCCCAACGACACTTTCCTTCAGGATCAATCTCCGGTACTCAGGGAATCTCGAGGATCAAGTGAATTCGTGCAGTTTCTATGTTGTTTGTAAAGGCTTAAAAGTAGACTTTTTATTCCAGTGAACGCAGTGCTTCTCAAGTGTGGCTTTTCTGTCATATCCTGTAGCATGGCATAGAAGGCCTTGGAATCCTGCCTGATTCCAGCTGAACTTGGCTTATTAGCCTTATTTCCTGCTTTCTCTGCCATGTACCCATCCCTCTCACCTGGTGAAATCCTACGCATTCTGAGAGCCAGCTTTTTTCGCCTGCTCTCTGGCATTCAATTAGTCTTCCTCTGAGTACCTATAGTGTTTCTGTTCTGCCTGGAATACTGAACTGTAATAATTGTTTACTAGCTTTCCTCTCTAAAAGGCCGAGATTAGGGTCTATGTCATCCTGCTCATACTTCACCTCCAGCCTCTTAGTTCCTGGCACACAGCAAGTGTCCACATTCCTGGAAATAGAAATGCTGACATGAACAGCTCTTTGGAAGGGCAGTTCTTGTGGGGAGGTAGGGGTGTTAAGAGTTGGAATGACAGTGAGCAGCAGATCTGGTGTAGGTAACTTTTAGTCCAATTGTGAAAAGAAGAGCAACATGGTCCCTGTGGCCAGGAGCAGGAGTCTTGCTTGCTCTTCCTCTCTGTGGCCATCTCAGCTGTCGGTCCCCCTATCACCCTTCCTCACTCAGGCTGAGGGGGTGTGGCTGAGCTCCTTAGAAGGCAGTCTGTTTGCACAAAGTAGGATGTGGATAGTGCTTGGATGTGCCTCAGGTTTTTCACCTACTGTTGACCGTTGCCGTTTACCAGGTTGGTGAAACAATAGGGATTTCTGAAGAGATCATGGGCCTGACAATCCTTGCAGCAGGCACATCAATTCCTGACCTCATCACCAGTGTGATTGTCGCTCGAAAAGGCCTGGGAGACATGGCTGTGTCAAGCTCTGTGGGCAGTAACATATTTGATATCACTGTGGGGTGAGTGGCAATGTAACTTTCTAAGGGGTGTTAAGTATGACTGGAAAACACTGCATTGGCTCTGTTCACTGGTTTTCTGCTTTATTCATTATACATAGAATAAAAGGGCATTTATATTGTTAGTTTCTGCAAAGCAACAAAATATCTTCCCTTCATTCATCATAGCCAGATGGGATAATAGACCTAAAATGCTGCCTGAAATGTAACTGACTGGAATTTACAGATAAATTGAAAACCAAAGTCCATTTCATTCCATTACCAAATACCGTCAAATGCTCTGCTCACTGACTTTCAAGGCGGTGGAGGTAGGATTGGAAGGAGCAATGACTCAACTTCACTTCTTGGTACTACTCTTGCTCCTTTGTATGTGAACTCCTGCTAGCTCAGAGACTCTAAACAGCATTTTGTATAACACGCAAATGCCTTATCCTCCTGTACCCATCCTCTTACTCCATTCTCCCAACCTTGTCAGAAACAGGGGCTATTTTCATTTCCCCAATCATGTTCTGAATTTGGGTGGTAGATTTGTTTCCTTAAATTTGAATTTGTGTATGTGTATTTGGGGTGAGGGGCAGCTAAAAAGGCAGCCCTCATCACTAAAGAATTAAAAGAAATGTAGGCCTTATCAAAATGTAGAGATTTAAGAGTACATATCACATTGGGGCTGGGTGTGGTGAAGTGTGCCTGTAATTCCAGCATTTAAAAAAAAAAAAAAAGGCACACATCAACTGATCTGAGTCATATAGAAGTCATGAAGTATGCAGAAAATAAAAACAAAGCTCAGACTCAGAATACTTCAGTTTTAACCTAAGCTCTTCTAGTTATTAATGAGTCCTTGGGCAAGTAATTTAATTTCCCTGAAACTTAATTTCCTTGTCTGTGAAATGGGGCTAATAATTTCTGTTCACTTCATAGATATTTTATTGGTGGAAAAATACTTTGTAAAGTATAAACTACTATTTAAGTGTATGGGATTATTATAAACATTAAGGATATTCACATCGTTTCTTCAATCTTGCAGCTTGCCTGTTCCTTGGTTGCTTTTCTCTCTTATCAATGGATTACAGCCAGTTCCAGTCAGCAGCAATGGCTTGTTTTGTGCAATTGTTTTGCTTTTTCTCATGCTTCTGTTTGTGATCTCTTCAATTGCGTCATGTAAATGGAGAATGAACAAGATCCTGGGCTTCACAATGTTCCTCCTTTACTTTGTATTCCTGATAATCAGTGTGATGTTAGAAGATCGAATCATATCCTGTCCTGTATCTGTCTGAATCAGTCACTCTTGCTCACAATGGGCATGGATCAGAAGACCATGCAGAAGTTACTGTATCTCTTGTGACCCTAATGAAAGAATGTATATGATCCTGGAAAGTGAACTGGGTGACCTAGGACCTCTGATATGAATGTGATCTGAGACTAAAGTTTGTCCTTGGAAACACCTGCAGCTCATTGTGGATTAAGAACCTCACCCCTGGAGGGGTGGAGTTTCTACCCCTGACTCATGCAGACATCTATTACATGGAGGCAGTAGAAGGACCCCTGGAGCCAGAGGGTTTTCTAAATGAGATAACTGGGGGCAAAGGTTGGGATAGGCGCAGCAGCTATAAGACAAGCTCCTACGCTCACTGTTCCCTGATCATTCCAAAGGCTGCTGGCCCAAAAGATGCAGATGTGGTCTACATCTCAGCCTTCCTGACCTCTGCCCCAAACACACGCTGCAATTTTGTCTCCTCCTTTTCTGTTCAAATTGTGAGGTTCTATCAGGTTTGTAATCACTGTAGCTTCAGTTATTGGTGAGTCTAAGGATCCAAGGCTACAGAAAAAAAAGAAATATAACAGGAATTAATGATCATTCCACGTTTTGTAGCCCACTGCATCTGGATATATACCAGTATTTTCTTTTTTTTTTTTTTTGAGACAGAGTTTGGCTCTTGTTGCCCAGGCTGGTGTGCAATGGCGTGATCTCGGCACACCACAACCTTCACCTCCCCGGTTCAAGCAATTCTCCTGCCTCAGCCTGAAGTCGTGATCTGCCCGCCTCGGCCTCCCAAAGTGCTGGGATTACAGGCGTCAGCCACCGCGCCTGGCCTATACCAGTATTTTCTAGTTTAAAGGAGGACTACATTAACTCTTATTGTTGTGTTTCTGAAAAGTGAAATTTAAAAAGCAGCCTGAAAAATAAAAATTTATAATTTGCCCTTGAATTGGAAGGAATGGAGATTAGGGAAGGAAAACTACTCTAGAGGCCATTTAAAAGTATGTATTTATTAGAACATGCAAATTCATGTTGTCTCCATCAGTGGTCACCTTGAGGGATTAGACATTCTAATGGAATGTCCTGGCTCCACCCTCCAGCATGTTCTCACCCAACAATGACAGTTGAGTGGAGTGGGAAGGGAAGTCATTCTAAAGAGTCCAAAGTCAGTAGCGCCACATCTGGTTTATAAAGTAAGAGATCCAGTGGGACAATGCTATTTTTGTATGCCAACCTAGATAGGATTATAAAGCAAGACTGATTTCTTCTGTGGTTTATGAATGGATCTTAAGGTAATTACAAAAGGGAAATTCCAAGAATGCATAACACAATGACAACATGGTGAGAAAAGTGCAGTACTACTTCCAAGGTAGCTAGTGTAAAGGACACTTGAGTTTTTAAAACTGTGGTTAAATGTTTTATGTGGAATTTGATGAGTTTGTATATTAAATACCACTGCTTGCTGCTTTTACTAGAATCAAGTTAAGGGACACGTTAGAAATAGAACAGCTTAATATCACTGGCTTCAGAGCAAAATGAGCTCGGGTGACTGCAGATTATGATGGTAAATATGGCTTTAATTACAAACATGAGGAATGATTCACTGAAGATGAAAAGATAGGACGGATGTGATATGAAAAAAACCCAAACATTTTGGCATTGAATGATGGCTAAGGTGTTCCAAGTATTCCATCTTTTAAGATGAATTGCTTAATTAATTGCCTCGCTACCCCAGGATTCTCATTCTTTGGAAATAATTTTTATTAAATTTCAATAAACTGTGAATCCCAATGGTATTTTACTTTACAACATGGATGGGCTCATCCTTATCTTTAGGTCATTTGGTCAGAATCCTCCCGAGAAGACTGATGAAGAGTATGGAATCATGTTCCAATTCTATATTCTTAATTATCCTTATTCCTGATGCTACTGCATTGCTGGGTTTCCATAGCCAAGGCCTAAGAACAGGAGGAGAAGGCAATGCTTGTGGGAGGGAGGTCCCAATACCAAAATTCTGGGCACTAACCTGGTGTCTGCAGCCCGTTCCCGTTAGCCTCGGGGATGTCACCTCACCCACAGCCTGGGATCTGACGTTCTTCCTCAGACTGGAGTAAGGAGTGATGGACCGTAAAATGCTGTGTAATGATAAAAGGCTGAAATATCCACTGAATGATTAAAACCAACTCTAATAATCTGACATCCTTTTCCCAGTTTGCTGAATTTCTGGCATACCCCTTTGCCTAGAAAGGAAGTTCTGATCACTTTACAGTGTTACAGAAAAGGACAAGTACAAAAAATGAAAGCTGAGTCTTGATGAATGAGTAGGAATTCACTGGGGGAGAGAGTGAGATTACTTTGGTGAGATGGAAAACTTGTGTAACTTTTAAAAGACTAATTGGTTATACCTGGAAATTAAATTTTTTGGTCACACATTTACAAACGTACTATAATATTAAAATCATGCTGTTTTAGAGGTAAAGTACCATTTAAAAATGTCGAGATAATATTGAGATGGTCCTCTCACTTTATAGGCAGAATATTCTGTATATAGTTACTTGTGACAAATTCTAGGTCATTCATTCAGCCTGGAAAGTCTGAACTGTCCCAAATGGGTATTTGAATTGGAAGTCAGTGGCTACATGGATGACTTCTACCCCCTTAGGCTGCACTTCCTTGAAGGCCCTGATAATAGGTTTGAGCCAGATTTCTGAATTCTTCCTCATTTAATGGGTTAAGAGTCTATATAGTACCAGAAAAAAGAGATGTATTCCAAATTTTTCAAACTATGTGTTTAAATGTTTTTTTGTTTTGTTTTGTTTTAAAAAGAGACGGGGCCTTGCCCTGTCACCCAGGCTAGAGTGCAGTGACATGAACATGGCTCACTGTAGCCTCACCTTGTGGGCTCAAGCGATCCTCCCGCCTCAGCCCCCCAAGTAGCTGGGACTACAGAAGTGCACCACCACACCCAGCTGATTTTTGTATTTTTTTGTAGAGATAGGGTTTTGCCATGTTGCCCAGGCTGATCTCGAACTCCTGAGCTCAGGCAATCTGCCCGCCTCGGCCTCCCAAAGTGCTGAGATTACAGGCATGAGCCACTGTACCCAGCCAAAATGGTTACTATATATTTTGAACATTATATTGCACTGTCATCAATAGATTCGAAAATAGTTTTACCAAATTACAGGCTTAGTCTTTTATAGCTGTCTATATCAATATTATTTAAAGATTGAGTACCAAAGGGGGCAGGAATTGGAATGTATTATCTAGAGCACAGAATAGTAAATAATCAGGAAAAGGGCCGGGCGCGGTGGCTCATGCCTATAATCCCAGCACTTTGGGAGGCCAAGGTGGGCGGATCACGAGGTCAGTAGATCGAGACCATCCTGGCTAACACGGTGAAACCCCGTCTCTACTAAAAAAATACCAAAAATTAGCCGGGCGAGGTGGCAGGCGCCTATAGTCCCAGCTACTCGGGAGGCTGAGGCAGGAGAATGGCGTGAACCCCGGGGGGCGGAGCCTGCAGTGAGCCGAGATCGTGCCACTGCACTCCAGCCTGGGCAACAGCGAGACTCCGTCTCAAAAAAAAAGAAAAAATAAATAATCAGGAAGAATTGGTTGGCCTTATGTGCCAATGAATACTCTTGGTTCTGACCCTTTTTTGGTGGGAGGGTCCTCCAGCAGGTGCAGCTTGCAATGTGTACGGGGACTGGATGCTATGAAAGATGTAATGAGAGGGCTCATGAGCAGAGCTGCCTATCCCTGGGGGTTCACTAACGCCTACAGGACATCCTGGCCCAAGTCTGCCTGCACAACTAAAGGCACACTTCTGGTCTTTAGGTCCTTCGCTGTATGAGCAAGCAAAACCTGGAGAATTTCACTTGCAGAAAATCCACCAGTTGCTGCAATAGTTTTATCATAGTACTACATTTGAAAAAAAAATATTTAAATAGTAAAGGAGGGAGCCATCCAAATGAACAGGAACTGTGGAAAGGCAGCAATAACTTTATCAGAAGAATCTATTACCATCTCAGAGTACAAGCACATGCGCAGACTTTTGTAATCAAAGATGAAAATTCTTCAATTTGTGTACTGCTAATTTTGTTAAGAAATATAAGCCAGCCAATATGCTTACTTTGAGGCCAAAGGAGCAAGGTAGTATGAGGATGTTAAGACACCAAGTACTAAGGATATTAAGGTAAACTGGTATGCAGCTGCTAGAGGGTTCAGTTTTGAAATAAAGCTTAGTCTTATATCCAGACAGGAAGAGGCAGCACATGCTAACTTTAGCACGAAGGACAAGGGTCTTCTCAAAGAGACAGCCTGCTCTTTCTCTTCTTGCTCTGAGATAAAGTGCCAAATAGCAGCTTTCAAGTTCTAGTGAGAGAAATAAAAATAAAGCTGGGCTACTGCACATCACCAAACAAATAGGTATTTTCATATCGCATATTACAAAGTAGAGGTTGAGTATCCCTTATCAGAAATGTTTCGGACCAGAAGTGTTTTGGATTTCAGATGTTTTTGAAATTTGGAATATTTGAAAAATACAAACTGGTTGAACATCCCAAATATGAAATCCAAAATGCTCAAATGAGCATTTCCTTTGAGCATCATGTCGGTATTCAAAAAGTTTTGGATTTTGGAGCACTTGATTCCAGGAGCTCAGCCTGTATTTAGAAATTAAGCATAACTTCTAAATAGAGCTAGCTAATACTTGCTGGTTGCACTTAAGTATCATAGTAATTATCAGCATAAAGTAAAAATAAGTATTTACTGCCTAAAATGTTGAACCAATGTTTTCTGGGACCATTTCTCTAAATACACAAATGGGGAGACATACTAGAAAACCTTACAATTAAATATGCTGGTAGTGTTAGGGTTTTAGAGCAAAACAGAAATCCAACCCCCAAGAAAGTCAGGGAAAAGAAGACAAAAATCAGAAGATGAACAGCTGCATATTTCTCCACCTAACACTAGGAGGAAAAAGTAGAATATTTGAAATACGATATGGAATACAAATCTGTGCCATTTAGAACATAATGGTAGGACGTAGTAAACAAGCTACATCAGCACAGGACATGGTTTATTGTCAACCATTTAAACATATAAACAAAACTAAGAGTAAGAAAATAAAAGACAGATGCTGTAGCAAAAGGGCATTTCTCTCCAACATGATTGGCCATTATTCTCCAAAATGTATGGTTAACAGAAAATTGAAGAAAAGTTTGTATAGAGTTATTTTAAATGATTGATATTTTCTGGTTTTTTTTTTTTTTTTTTTTTTTTTTTTTGAGACAGGGTCTTGCTCTGTAATCCAGGCTAGAGTGCAATGGCATGATCACAGCTCATTGCAGCCCCAAACCCCCAGGCTCAAAGTGATCCTCCTGCTTCAGCCTCCCGAGTAGCTGGGATTACCAAGCATGAGCCACCATACCGAGCAAATTTAAAAAATTTTTTTGTAGAGACAGGGTCTCTCTATGTTGCTCAGGCTGGTTTTGAACTCCTGGACTCAAGCAATCCTCCCTGCTTCAGCCTCCCAAAGTGCTGGGATTACAGGCCTCCATGAGCAACCACGCCCAGCTCAAGAATGATTCACATTTTAATTTTCTTTTGAACAGGTTTACCACTTTGTATTTGTGTTTTAGGTTTTAAGACTAAATCTGTGCAATAATATTCCCTAGGGATTAAAAGTAGGGGAAATACAACCCTCTCCAAAAGCAGAAACAAAACTTGGGGTGGAAAGAGGAGGTAAAAATTACATTCGCTTTTCCAAATGAGTCTGAATCGTAAAACCATAAAGAATGGTTTTACTCATTCTTTGTCAGCCATTTGAAATCAATAAACTATGATTCCTACATTTTGTTTGTATTACACAAAAAGTAAACAACAATGAAAGCTGTTTTTAAAAGAATAAAAACCACCAACCACAAATAGAAGAGAACCCCAGACGGTTCTCTTGGAGGGATGTTTATCACCAGTGCCAAAAGCCTCCCCCCTCTGAAATGTTTCTCTCAGTTGACAACTTTCAAATGATTTAAAGAACATGAAGAACAAGTAGAACATGAAGCTTGGATCTGAATAGTAAAGAATAATATTGGAGTGGTATTTACAAAGGAGAGGCAGATATATGTGCCTAGCACCAGATTTTTCAAGTAAGCAAGTTCAGCCCCAAACTAACTGAAGTTTTACATTTTTAAACTCTCTCCATTATTTCCCAGAGTTGGAAGCTGTGAAATGTTTCAGCATGGTGCTATTCACTAATGGTGTGAACTCAAAAGGTGGGTTTTCTGCAGCTGAACTGATTCTAAGTCTCAGGACTCCAAGATACCTCCAGTCCAAGTGTCGTGGACTCTACTGGCTTTATACACCTAATTTGGGACTATCCATTTTTTCCTTCTTTAAAGCTGGCTAGGGAATTCCTTCACTAATGATAATGTGTGCAAACACACACACATATTGAAAATCTATAACTAATTCTAGCAGCCAAAAGATGTTTTTCCTTACCAGAAATTACCCAAAGAAAGTTACATTAGAAATAATATGACTAAAAATATATTTTTAAAGCTATTTAATACTCATGATGTCTAAACTTTCAATTTATTGTCTGATTTCTGGATATTTCTGTATTTTAGATTCTACAGACTTCAGATTCTGAAGCTTGTTGAAAAAGCTAAGTTCCTCAATATGGATGAAAATCTATCTGGCTGTACTTTTAGAGGGGAATTTTTCTACTTTTGAAAAAAATTCTGAATATTTATATATAGTATTAACAGAATACCCCAGTAAGTCATATTTCAGATAAATATTCTATAGTATAATTTGCATCATACCCAATATTTTAGATATTAAAATAAGGGTAAAATTTGGAATATAATCACTTGTCTGCATATTTCCCAATGTAAGTTTTCATGTAGAATATTAAAATTTAAATTGATATTTGGATTTATAAGCTGTTTTCCCTGTATACTATACGTATCTATTAGCAATAGAGACAATTTTGGAGTCATGGTATAGTGAACCTCTCTGGCTCTCCTTGCACAAGGCTCCATGAGTCAGTCTGGGCAGTGCACGCTACCCTTGCATAACTCACTCCCCACACTCAGGCTTAGGGGTACTAACATGCAATCCTAGGACAACACTTGACACTAGCACTGACATTTTAAAATTCATTCTCCCAAGTAATAAAAAATATATATATAGATAGATATACACAGAGAGATCTGCAGCTGTACTAATTACTTCAAATAGCAGCAGACAAGGAAAATACACGCTTGCTTGCTTAAGTTTAAATTCATTTTAAGTTTGCTATATTAAATTTAAAAATTAAAAAAATATCAACTTACTATAAACAATTTAAAATATGTATAATACAACTTCATGGTCAAAACATTTGAATAGTCTATGAAAACAGGAAATACGTTCATCTGACATTTCTGTTTAGATTCCATTCATGATTTTTCAATCTGTCTCTTCCAAAAGAAACCATAAAGCAGTTGTCATATTTTATGGCAACTAATTTTGTTTAGGGATTTCCTCATCACAAAAATACTTTATTTCCTATTACAGGGGAGTTAAAGAAGAAGAAAAAAGAAATGAGAAACAAAGTGGCTTTCTCCCCACTTGTCACTATTCTCTTCTTCAAACATTCTGTACATAAGCTGTCTGAGTCTTTTGAACCATTTACAAATTGTATTTTCAAAAATTGAAGAAAAAATATTTAGAGTCTAAAAGTGTTATTTTATACACTGACTATACAATATACATTGAATGTTTACACATACAAATACATCTTAAAGATAAGGTTCTCCAAAGGTTTTTCGACATTCCATCACCCCTGTACTTGGTGGTCTATCACAGTTGTGTGTACTCTTGACTTGACTAGGTGTGAGACGATCGTATGCCATCTTGTACTCTTTATCAAAAGCATCTGCAGAAATTGATAAAGAAATAAAAGAATAAAGAAATTTAGGTCTGATGTTGAAAACTATCAAGTTTCTATAATACTACAGAAACACAACATTAGAGGCCAAGAAGGAATTGCTAGGACATTTCTTTATCCAAAGGACCACAGCTGGATTGCACAGACCAGTGAAACTTAAAGGTTTGAAAATGCCAATTTTTAATTTTACCAGGTACAGATGTTAAAAACCACCAAATACCACACACACTTTTTTGGTACTTTGCTTTGCATACTCAATAAAAACAGTAAAAATAAATAATAGCCTTTTCCCACCAGGATTGACAAAAAGTTTTTTTGCCCATATTTTCTTTACACTAGTCCTTTTATGGTTTCATTTTTTAAATTTAAATTTTGCTTCAACAGAAATTTTTTTTGGTTTGTGTGTCCTAACTTCCTATATTATGGGCTACCTCTGGGAAAATAATCCAAATATCTGAAATCACCATGTAATGATTTTTTTTTCCCTTTTCCACATGGCAACAGATGGAGCTAACAGACTGTTACTTTTATTTTTAAGGACGTTATACCAAGGTCTGTGTGCCTTTTCCCCAGAAGATAGTCCACATGTGACAAAAAGGGACAACAGAGGTTTACAAGCTTCTGCTAAAAGTTTCTCTCAGTCTAGAAATCATGCTAACTTATTGCTTATTTTAAACACATACTGGATAAAAATTTGCCCCTCAGAGAGCCAAATGGGGTATGAATTATAACAATGTCACTAAGATCCTATTTTTCTGCTTTGGGGAGGTGACGGACCTAAGAACATCTTTCCTCTCTGAAACAGTACCACAGTGGTACCCATGAAGGCTTGTTGGAGTTGAGTCAAGTGCATGAGCAAGTGAGCTTCTCTAGCTTGGAGGTCCGGAATTTTTTAGACATTCAAGGAAATCCCACCTTTGGCAGAGGGCTAGAGTAATATCTGACTACAGTCTGGGCTTGTATTAGGTAGGGAATAAAGGGATGGTAACAAGGATCTGAATAATCCTTTTTGGTATCCTCTGTTTCACCATAGTTAAAAGGCCTAGCTCAAATAACACTATTCATGATTTTGGTTAAGTTCTGGCATCTTTCTCAAGTGGCTAGAATGACTATCCCAATGCCATTTAATAGTCTACCTTTCCTAACATTTTATTTTTTATATATATGTGTGTGTGTGTATATATATATATATATATATATTTTTTTTTTTTTATTTTTTTTTTTGGTTAGACGGAGTTTCACTCTTGTTGCGCAGGCTGGAGTGCAGTGGCACAATCTCGGCTCACTGCTGCCTCCGCCTCCTGGGTTCAAGTGATTCTCCTGCCTCAGGCGCCTGAGTAGCTGGGACTACAGGCATGCGCCACCACGCCTGGCTAATTTTGTATTTTTAGTAGAGATGGGGTTTCACCATATTGGCCAGGCTTGCCTCGAACTCCTGACCTCAGATGATCTGCCCGCCTTGGCCTCCTACAGTGTTGGGATTACAGGCGTGAACCACTGCACCTGGCTGATTTTATTATATATTATATTCCCATAGATATTTATGTTTATTTCTAGACTCCCTATTCTGTACCATTGATTTTTCCAGCTCTGCCCCTGGTAGCATTACCCTGATGTAATTACAGTAGCTTCTAGAAAAGAATCACCTTCTGTTGATTCTTTTTTTATCAGATAAGGTCTTGCTCTACAGCCCAAGCTGGCATGCAGCTGCACCGTCATGGCTCACTGCAGCCTCGACTGCCCAGGCTCACATGATACTTTCACCTCAGCCTCCCAAGTAGCTGGGACTACAGCCATGTGCCACCACATCTGGCTAACTTTTTTTTTTTTTTGGTAGAAATGGGGTTTCACCATGTTGCCCAGGCTGGTCTCAAACTCCTGGCCTCAAGCGATCCACCCACCTTGGCCTCCCAAAGTGCTGGGATTACAGACATGAGCTACCGCACCCGGCTCCTTTCAATTAAATAATTTTTCCTGACTAGTCCTTTTCTTGTCAGATTAACTTTTAAAAATTGAAATATAATCCATATACCATACAATTCACTAACTTAAAGTGTACAATTTAGTGTTTTTTTGGTATATTCACAAGATTGTACAACTATCACCACTGCCTAATTCCAGAACATTTTCATCTCACCAAAAAGAAACCTTATACCAGTTAGCAGTCACTCCCTATTCACCCCACCTCTTGGTCCTTAGCAACAACTAATCTACCTTTATATAATTACAGATTTAATATTACTAATAAAGTATAACTACTAATATAAAAATACTTTGAAAACTATTCCATGATATATAAATATTACATATTAGATATAAAGCTAAATTACCTATATCAATGTTTTCTCTTCCCAGTGCCACAAGTGAGAGAAATAGTATTTCTCTGTATAAACTCCTAGGGAGAAAAAGTCATGGAGAAAATATTAGTATCCATATAGTCCATATGTTCCCTATAAAAAATTTAATGCTATCATAAGCATGAGATATTCTAACAAATTACTAAGCAAACAATATGAATCTGCCTAGGAGAACAATATATTCGTCTAAGAGAAGGACTTACCTCTGTCTTTTAAAATGTGGACACTTATTCAGTGTCTCTAAAATCTGACTCATTGGTCCATAGACATCATTCATTTTAATGCTTTTTACCATACTTTTCAACAGTTCCTGGTTAAATGAGTTATCACTTTTTTGCAATAAATGGACCATTGGATATTTTTGGGCTGTAAACGAACAAAAGAACAGATGAAGGAAAATGTTCTGTGTAGAAAGGAGAAAGAAATTAAGCAGCAACTGACAGATATTAAGTTACAAAGCACTAAAAATAAATTAAGGGCAATAGATAAAGAAATAGGAATCCAAGAATGAAGAAAGCAAAAAATAAGACAAATAATGACAAAAAAAGGTCTAAAGCTTTCTGTGGTCTTAAATAGACAATAACTAAGAATATTGTTTCCCTTAATACAGCCTCTGATGAAAATTCTAAATCAGCAGCCTGGGATGGAAACAAATAAAAAATAAGTAAAAAGAAGAAATTGGGATGAGCAATGTGCTGAAAGCTGAATTCTGCAAAACACAACCAACCCCTCCAGCACATACACAGCACCCCTCAAAAAACCAAACCAAAACAAAAAACAAAAAACAAAAAAAAACCCTTAGACCTCCATAGAAGGTAGCACTAAAAAAATCAAACACTCACTCTCAAACAAAAGAGTACGACTTTGACCTGTAAGACAAAAAGTAGTACAGTAAAATAAAAGTCAGTTATACATTGGTTTATGCTATTTAAAGCTAGTAGAGATTACTCTCATATGAACAAAGTCAGCATTCTATGATGGCACTTACTGTGTGCATTCCAGAGAATGTACAAGGGCTGTCCCGGATCCTGATGTAACTTCATATTGTCCCATAACATTTGTATTAAAACATATTTGCTATCTTCAGACATACAGTGGCGGGGAATCTGTGTTATACAATAAACATTCATTAATGATCCTTACATGATAATTTTTCATAAGTATTTTATAAAATTCTTATAAATATTTTTTAGGATGTATATGTGCGAGACAGAAAAGAGAACAGAAAAAGACTGATTTATCTACATTTGATATCTACTACAGGAAGATGGGCTGTGTGGAAAAGCTAATGATCTCTAAAGATCAGATATAACAAAGTACTTGAGATCCGTGAGAAAGGGTACCAAGAAGAACTCATCTTGCTCCTCTTGCTCATGATTGAAAGTCACAGAAAGATAAATCCAGGAGTCCCATCCTATATCATCCAACACCCTGGCCCAGATAACGCTGAGTTCACATCTTTGTCACTCATGTATGATGTACTGAAAATCCGAAGCACATGCACAATCATAGGCATGCAGCACAAGAAGAGAGAAGGCAAGGTTCCTGAACTTAGAGACCACCATTTAGTGGCAGTGGCAGTATATGAAAAAGTAAAGACACTTTTATAAAACAACATACCGAAAATACAAATGAACATATAACAAACAAATGGCCTAAATGTTAAACAAAAATCCAGGGTAAAGGAATGACGAGAGTGGTAGCACATGATTGCAATATGAATTTCAATAGTCCCCCTTTATCCTCAGCAGCTATATTCCAAGACCTCCAATGGATACCTATAACTGCAGATAGTACCGAACCCTATATATACTGTATTTTCCTATACATACATACTTGTGATATTTAATTTATAAATGAGGCACAAAAAGAAATTAACAATAACTAATAATAAAATAGAACAATTAAAACAATATGCCAGCATCACTGCTTTGTGCCATTAAGTAAAACAGGAGTTACATGAACACAAGCACTGTGATACCATCACAGTGGGTCTGATAACAGAGATGGCTACTCAATGATTAACAAGCAGGTGGCATACACAGCGTGGATACACCGAACAAAGGGATGATTCACATCCCAGATGGGACAGCACGAAATTTCATCATGCTACTCAGAACAGCATGCAATTTAAAACTTATGAAGTGTTTCTTTCTGGAAGTTTCCACTTAATATTTTGAGACCACAGTTACCATGGGTAACTGAAACCTCAGAAAGGAAAACCATGAATAAGGAGGGACTGCTGTATAGATATCCTTAAAAAGTGTTAGGCTTGGGCTGGACACAGTGGCTCCTGCCTATAACCCCAGCACTTTGGGAGGCTGAGACAGGAGGGTCACTTGAGCCCAGGGGTTAGAGGTCACAGTGAGCCATGACCACACCACTGCACTCCAGTCTGGGTGACAGGGCGAGACCTTGTGTCAAAAAAAAAAAAAAAAAAAAATTAGGCTTGTTTTGAAAGAAGTACAAGATGTAAGTGGGCCTAACTCACAAATCTGCTTCCTAAGAGTCATTTCCAGTTTATTCTTGAAGCAATAGCAAAAATTCAAGTACGTTTAATGTAAATTTTAGGAGAAGGCAAAAAAAAAAGACTCTTATTGCTAGCCTGTAAGAAGAAAATATTATTTGTAAATACAACTAAAACAATTCTATTTATCTAATGACCCAGAGGGCTATTAAAAATATTTAGCATAGGCTGGGCACGGTGGCTCACGCCTGTAATCCCAACACTTTGGGAGGCTGAGGCAGGTGGATCATAAGGTCAAGAAATCAAGACCATCCTGGCCAACATGGTGAAACCCCGTCTCTACTAAAAATACAAAAATTAGCTGAGCGTGGTGGTGTGTGCCTGCAATCCCAGCTACTTGGGAGGCTGAGGCAGGAGAATTGCTTGAACCCTGTAGCTGGAGGCTGCAGTGAGCCGAGATAGTGCCACTGCACTCCAGCCTGGCGAAAGAGTGAGACTACGTCTCAAAAAATAAAATAAAATAAATTTAGCATAAAAACAGACCTTACTTTTTAATCATTAGGAATATGCAAACATTACAATGGTAACAGAAGCATTCATTGCCTTTTAATTTTTAGTCTCATACCTTTGAATACTTGTTACAGTGCTCAGAAGAAAGAATCAATCCAGGTAAGTTACTGGGCAAGTCAAGACGTCTGAAATACCATACCAGGTTCCAAAAAACAATTGGATGATGGTCCACAAAGTCTGCTACTGTTATTGCATGATCACCTTCATTTTCCAATAAGCTTTCAAGTTCTTTCCATACCACTAAAGGACTAAGATACGGAACAGTGACAGGATCGGGACTTGGAAGGTGCCATTCTAAACCTAAAGAATCCTGTTGAATAAATAAAAACCATAAATGGCAAATGCAAAATAATACTAAGCCATTAAAAAATTCAATGATTCCCATATGAGTAGAAAAGTAATATAATTGTATCATGGGATAAGAGACTCTTCTTGGCAATAATAAAGCTAATAAGACTACTTAAGACAAGGGGAACAAAATCATACGTAAGTGATCAATTTCCAAATAAAAAAATACACCAAAATACATACTGTAGCTCCTTGTAAAGTAGCTGGCAGGCTGCCTGTAGAAATGAGCTTCTGTCTTCCAGTATCTTCCTTATCCAAGGGGCCAGAAGTACTAATACTCCTGGCCATTGGAAATATTGGACATTTAGACATAGCTGTTTTTGATCTATTAGCAGGGATCTGAATACTTCGGGTGCAAAAATTTTCCTGCAGTTTAGATTTGCTTGGGAATTGAAAAAAGAAGAAAGTGTATCAGTGTCTAGATTTACTTTACTTCATCAACAAGGATCATGTTCTCTCTCTCTCTCTCTTTTTTTTTTTTTTTTAAGACAGAGTCTTGCTCTGTCACCCAGGCTGGACTGCAGTGGTGTGATCTCAGCTCACTGCAACTTCTGTCACCTAGGCTCAAGCGATCCTCCCACCTCAGCCTCCCGAGTGGCTGGGACTACGGGCACACGCCACCATGCCTGCCTAATTTTTGTATTTTTAGTAGAGATGGGGTTTTGCCATGTTGTCCAGGCTGGTCTCGAACTCCCAGGCTCAAGCCATCTGCCCACCTCGGCCTCCCAAAGTGCTGGGATTACAAGTGTGGGCCACCACTACCGGCCATGTTCTTCTCTTTAGAATCCGAGCTAGATGGTCGGGCGAGGTGGCTCACACCTGTAATGCCAGCACTTTGGGAGGCTGAGGTGGGTGGATTGCCTGAGGTCAGGAGTTCGAGAGCAGCTTGGCCAACATGGTGAAACCCTGTCTCTACTAAAAATAGAAAAATTAGCCAGGTGTGATGGCAGGCGCCTGTAATCCCAGCTACTTGGGAGGCTGAGGCAGGAGCATTGTTTGAACCTGGGAGGCAAAGATTGCAGTGAGCCAAGATTGCACCACTGTACTCCAGTATGGGCAACAGAGTGAGACTCTGTCTCAAAAAAAAAAAAAGAATCAGAGCTAGACATGGCAACATGAATGAAAGGAAATGCTACTCAGGCTTCAGCTGGGAAACAGGATATATTTTTAAGTAGTATAGTCATGATAAATTTCCTTTTTTATCAAATCAACTGTAAATATTCAAAATTCATTCATTTATTCAAAACATTTAGTAGACTTCTATATAGCAGAAAGCACACTAGACCATGGGGATAGAAAGCAGAGAAAAAAGGCACATATTCCTTCAGGAGTCACAACCCAGGAGACAAAGATAAGGGCTACAATAGACCGGTGATGAAAGAAGGTGCACAAACAGATTTTTGGTTTTATTAAGTAATCAAGATCACACAGGTCACGTTAGCCTGCCAACACTATACAGGCATTTTTTGGCACATGCAGCTACCAATATGGCTTCATCTGTCCAGCTATATATGGCTTATTTGGCACTTCCGCACAATGGAATTGATTTCTGCATCAGTTTTAAGTGTAGATTTACTTATATTAGGCTTACTATATAAATTTTAGTTTAATTTCGCAGTTCCTATATCAGCTCCAAATGTTTTCTTAGATTATTAAATATTCCCTAGGTAGAAAATTAAATATTAAAAAGTAGTAGTATTGACTTAATTCCTGAAGAGATAGAGACAAGAAAAAAGATAGTCATTATAAACCTCAAGTGTTCTACATTTTTTTTACCTTTAAAATACTAGTAAACATTATCATATATACATACAGCTTAAACTCTGGGGATTAATAAAGCATAACATATAACTACATATTTAAAGATTTATGTGATTAGAGAATTTTAACACTGTTTTAAGAGTAAGAATTTAAGATTATGAATCTGTTATTCATAGACATTTAAACCTGGAAATGGTCAACTAATTTTTCTGTCATACTTCTAAAATATGTGTAAATATATGTTGTTAAAATATAGTTCCACATAATCATAATTACCTATTTAGATCAAAATTCCCTTGAACAGAGAGAGCAGATGTGTCAAGACCAGAGGCTGATGTTGAAATGCAAGACTGCCTCGTCTGACTTGAAATGGAGGATGGAAAGTGCATATTTTCTGTTGATGGGCTTGACTTTAGAAAGTATCTGTAATGTGAATCGAAGGAACTTTTTGAGAAAAGAGATATTATAGGGAACATGATCCTTAAACATGAAGGAAAAAAATATCATTACCTTCCAGGTCGTCTTAAATCTCTTATTTCTATATTCAGAAAGGGTAAGAAGATATTGCCACAGAATGGGCATGTAGTATTGAGATTTGAATCATCTGCTGTCCAGCCAGCCATGATTTCCTCATCATGGACAAGACAATCACAAGTTCTACACCGAGAGCAACTTGAGATGAGAACCTGTGGGAGAAGATAGCACTTTATAAAGAAAGCTGGTTAATTCAGATTATGAATTAAAAACCATTTCAATTCATAAATTCATTGGATAATTAAAACCCAGAAGGATTCAGATGCTATACACAAACACTGGATTACATCAGTGTATTATATACTATAATCGTCTTCAGCTAAATCCATTCCAGAATTTTTGCCTGAAAGGGAAACTTGCTTTTAAGTGAGGATTTTTTTCATTATAAATCAGAGTAAAATGTGCTGTGGTTTTATTAATGGAAAAGTAAACTCAATCACTAATTTGTTAATACCCCAAACAGGCATTTGTAATTACATATTACAAATCAGTGTGGTTGCCAGACCAGTACTGGTCTACAAACACTTACTGGATTGTGATGAGATAAATAAGAAATTGAGAGGAGGATTTATAAACTTTTTAAAGTACTGTGATATTGCAGTAACATCTAAGTGTGTAATCAATGTATTTTCTAAGAATATTAGCTATGACAGATTAGAAATTAAACAAACAAAATGAAAACAACCCTGGTCTTTTACAAAAGACAGTTTAATAAGCATTGCTATAGATAACTATAAATGCTATCATTATGTTAAGAAAATATAGAAATTCTTGAAGCCTCCAGAAACTTTGTAAAGTTAGTGTTCATCATCTATGTTTTGGCTGTATGCAAATTTATTTTCCAGATTTATGCAAATTAACATAAAATAGCAACCATACTCACAAATGTATTTGGAAGCAATTTTTACAGAAAAATTAGGAAAAAGTTTTAAAGTGAAAAAGTATAACTTTTTCATTTTAAGTATGTGGGATACAAACGCTTACCCAGCAGAGACCTACGTCAAACTGACACAAAGAATGAAAAACATGGTGGAAGAAACTGACAACATAATGCCAAAACTACTCCCTGTACATTCACCAAAAAAGTATGCTTGCATAGCAAAACTGATTGTGTTTATTATGTGAAATAAACACTCAAAGAGAACATTCATGAAACAAACCCAAATACTAACAAAGAAAATTAAAATGCTTTTGTAGGTTGATAAACCTTAAAGTAAGCATAGATCTGTCCTAATAGAAATAAGTTAGTATGACTTCAATAATCTGAAATACTGGATATCCAAAAGCTAAATTTTAACTTTACTCAGATGCAATTCACATTCTGAAATTTCAGGTGCTATGTATTTAACTTATTATTTTTTCTCTTTTTTTGAGATGGAGTCTTGCTCTGTCGCCCAGGCTAGAGTGCAGTGGCGTGATCTCGGCTCACTGCAATCTCTGCCTCCCAGGTTTAAGTAATTCTCCTGCCTCAGCCTCCCTAGTGGCTGCGATTACAGGTGCCTGCCACCATGCCTGGGTAATTTTTGTATTTTTAGTAGAGACGTGGTTTCACCATATTGGCCAGGCTGGCCTCGAACCCCTGACCTCAGGTGATCCACCCATGTTGGCCTCCCAAAGTGCTGGGATTACAGGCGTGAGCCACCGCGCCCAGCCTATGTATTTAACTTCTATTACTCTACCTGGGACCACTAATACTTAAGAAATGTGCATTTTATAAAGCAGTATATGAAGATTCTCTTTTGCACAAAAGTGTACCTCCATTGCATAGTTCTGGAAGATATTTGTATTACTCGCGTTGAAGGAAGATGTCACTTCTGATTTCCCAGGTAAGGCAAACTTCGACAGAGATCCTGTTCATTAGTGAAAAACAAAGAACAGAAACCATTAAAATTAATGAGAAAGGATATAAGAATCTTTTACTTCCATAAGTTCTCAGATAAAATGTTAACCTATTCCAGTCAAAATATTAAAACTAATTAGGAAAAACAAATAAATAATGAACAAGATTTTTTCAAGGCATGAAGTTTTGAGCACAAACCTAAGGAAATGTGCTCTAATTCTGCTCATCCCCACATCTTAGGTGTGTCCACTCATTACTGACTTACTAAAGCACTTTATGTGAACAGACTAGAAAACATTCTAGTCATTAGTAATTATTGTGCTGTTTCTATTTTTTCATGTTTAAAATACAGGAAAGTATTTAGTTCCAAGGTCTAAAAAGTATAAAATAGCCCATTTTTATTTCAAATCATGAAAAAGATTTAGTGGCAATTCTCTCCTTATAAGGGTCTTTTAAGAACTAGAATAGCTGGGCATGGTGGCTCATGCCTGTAATCCTAGCATGTTGAGAGGCTGAAGTGGGAGGATTGCTTCAGGCCAGGAATTCGAGACCAGCCTTGGCAACATAGTGAGACCTTGTCTCTACAAAAAAATAAAAATAAAGAATTAGCTGGACGTGGTGGTGTGTGCTTATAGTCACAGCTACTTGGGAGACTGGGGTAGGAGTCCAAATTTCTTGAGTCCAGAAATTTGAGGTTACAATGAGAGCGTGGGCAGCAGAATGAGATCCTGACTCCAAAAAAAAAAAAAAGATGGTTAATCTTGCTGTTTGCTCTTAAATACTTGAGAAGAATTCCCAATTATATTATTAAGAACAATAGGATATTAGTAAATATTAAAACAATAACAACGAAAAAGTAAGGGAAGTTTTGTGGTCAAATCAGTTGTCGACAGTGATTGTATCTTGTCAGTAAAACTGGAGGTGATCTATGTTATACCTTCTCAACACATGTTTTTCTCTGTCATTACTACATTTTATGAATGAGTACTGGTATTTTTTTTTTTTTGAGACAGATCTCACTGTTGCCAGGCTGGAGTGCAGTAGCCTGATCTCGGCTAACTGCAACCTCCGCCTCCTGGGTTCAAGCAATTCTCCTGCCTCAGCCTCCCGAGTAGCTGGGACTACATGCGCATGCCACCACACCCAGCTAATTTTTTGTAGTTTTAGTACAGATGGGGTTTCACCATGTTGGCCAGGATGGTCTCGATCTCTTGACCCTCATTATCTGTCCACCTCAGCCTCCCAAAGTGCTGGGATTACAGGCGTGAGCCACCGTGCCCAGCCGAGGACTGGTATTTTTATAAAGATAAAGATCAAAAGGCCAGGCATGGTGGCCCACGCCTGTAATCCCAGCACTTTGGGAGGCTGAGGCAGGTGGATCAGGAGTTTGAGACCAGCCTGGGCAAAATGGTGAAAACCCTGTTTCTACAAAAAATACAAAAAAAGTAGCCAGGCATGTTACTGTGTGCCTGTAGTCCCAGCTACCTGGGAAGCTGAGGTGGGATGATCACCTGAACCCAGGAGGAGGAAGCTGCAGTGAGCTATGACTCTGCCACTGCACTCCAGCCTGAGTGATAGAGTGAGACTGTCTCAAAATAAATGATAAACAAAGGTTAAAAAAAAAAAATGGTGTAAACTACCAGTCCATGAGAAATAAGAGGGGATGGGAAAACATGTTAAACACCACCACCGGGATACAATCAGCATGATCCAGACTAAAGACTTGATTGCTTAGCAAATAAATAACAAGGAGGAAAAAAAAAAAAAAAAAGGTCCAGAACTATCACTGGTCCTACTCCCTACCATGTAGAGACACCCTAGAGAGGCAGAAAACGAGCTGAAATCTCACTGTCCTTTAAGATGCTTAGCACTGGTGGTAAATGCAGTTCTTCCCTTGATGCTTCTTCCCAAAAACCTTCTGTAATCCCTCTGCTACAGCTAGTTCAAAATTGCTTCCCCAAACTTTCTATTAGCCTTGAGTATCATTTATTTGAGCAGCCTACCTTTTGTATCTAACTAATCTACAGTATAGAATATTCATTTTAATAAATATGAATCAGGCTGTAAGTTTAGTGTTATTTGCTTAGACAATGAACTGTTCTTGTATGTTAAAAAAGAAAAGAAGGGAGTGGGGCTAATCACCTAATTTCTTCATAAATATACAGCAAGGGGGAAAAAAAGAGGGAGAGGAAGGGGAATAAAGACAAAAAAGAGTTAATAGACATATCAGCCAAATGCAAATGCTGGCCCTGTATGGACCCCAATGTGAAAAAACCATCTATAAAATGAGTTTTATAACCATGAAAATTTGAAACTAAATATTTGATATATATGATAAATATCACTTAAAAGTATGATGGTATTATGATTTATGTTTTCAAAAAAACACTTCATAAAAGATACATACTATTTGAGCCCATAAAGTGTTCAAAAATAGCCGAGTTAATCTATGGTGTTAGAAGTTAATGTTTACCTGTAAAGAAAGAAGTGACTAGACATGGGCACGAGAGAGGGTTCTAGATGCTATGAATGTTGTTTCTTGAGCTGAGTGCTGATTACTCAGGTGTGCTGAATTTGTGAACGTATTGACATTCATAAAAGTATAGCTGAGTGTGGTGGCTCAAGCCTGTAATCCCAGCACTTTGGGAAGCCAATGCTGGAGGATCACTTGAGCCCAGGAGTTTGAGACCAGCCTGTGAGATCCCATCTCTACAAAAAAATAGCCGGGTGTGCTGGTGCACGCCTGTAGTCCCAGCTACTTGGGATGCTGAGGCTTGAGCATGGGAGATCATGGTTGCAGTGAGCCATGACTGTGCCACTGTACTCCAGCCTGAGCAACAGAGTGAGACCCTATCTTAAAAAAAAAAAAAAAAGACACATTATATGTTACACTTAAATAGTTTAAAATAGATAACATAAAAGTCTCTTACTTTAGAGATACATATTGAAGTTTATGAATAAAATTATACATTGTCTGAGATTTGCTTGAAATAACTCATTGAGGAAGGAGAAAACGTTGGCAGCAAAGGAGAAAGGAACAGATAAAGTAAGATTGGTTATTGGTTGATAATTATTGAAGTTGGTGATGGATACATGGGGGTTCATAATGCTATTCCTTATACTTTTGCATGTTTGAAAATTTCCATAATAAAAGCTTTTTAAAAGAGCAAAGATAAAGTGAAAAACAAATCTTCTATTACATCCATTCTTCATACCATTAACCAGGATAACTTTCTATGGATCAAATATCTAAATCAGAGGTAAAATCCATATTTGTATGGCCCTGAGCTAAGAGTGTCTTTTACATTTAAAAAAGCTGTTAAAGAAACAAACAAAAAAGAATATGTGACAGAGGTGTATGTGGCCTGCAAAACCTAAAATATTTACTACATAATGCTTTACACAAAAAGTCTGCTGGCCCCAGAAAATATTAAGAAGGAAACCAGATAAGTATCAGAAGAAAACACTGGTGGATTCTTTTACATCTTAAGGAAAGAAAAACCTTTTCTAGCAACTCACAATCCAGAAGCAATAAGGGGAAAGACTGATACATTTGATGATATAGAATTTAAAACTTACATATGGCAAAAAAAACACCCCCAAAAAACAAACTTAGATAAACTACTTGCAACTTATATAAGCAACAAAGGATTAACTCCCCAATATAAAAAAAGCTACTAAAAACATTAAAAAAAAAAAGGACCAACAATTAAACTGTAGGCAAAGGACAGTCCACAGAAGAAGAAATGCAAATGGTCCTTAAACAGATTCTCAACTTCATTTATAAGAGAAATAGAAATGAAAACTGACTGAAATACATTCCTCACCTATCAGATGGTAAAAATCCAAGTGTGCCAACATAGTTTGTTGACAAGGCTGTGGGGAAATAGGTATTCTCATATACTGGCAGTGGGAATGCAAAATAACCTGAGGAAGGGAACTTGGCAATAGCACTTCAAGGAAGAATTCTGAAGTATCTTCCAAAGACACACTGGTAAAAATATAACATATATGCATTATAGCATTAGAAAAACTGGAAACTTGACATCCATTAATAGGGAAGTCGCTAAAATAAATTATAATACATCCACACATGATGTATAACTATAATTTTGTACTATATAGCTGAAAAAATGAATGGGGAACATTGCTATGGGATGATATAGAATGATCTTCAGAGTATATTAAGTGAAAAAATCAAGGGGTAGGAAACTATTGACAGTATGTTACCTTTGAGTAAGAAGACAGGGAAGTAATAAGGAAAAATATATATATATATATATATATATACCTATACCTATATTTTTAAAAAAGCAACGATGGAAGGATAAACCAAAAATGAATAAAAATGGTTGCTTCTAGGGATAGGGAGAAAACAGGATGAGGGAGTGGGGATGAAAGTTATACTTTTGTGAAAGTGCCTTGGTTTTATTGTTTTGACTTTGGAACTATACAAATTGTTTACAAAATTAAAAAACAACATTAAATCATAAAGAAAAAAGTGAAAGTGTCACAATTCAAATGAAACTACAAATCAAATGCAGTATGACAGAACTGTTTGGACAAACCTTCCAAGGATGCAGAACTTTCCAGGCTTATTCGGCTGAGATCAATTCTCTTAGTCCCTGAAGTAGCACTGGTCTCTTGAGAGGAGATAGGTCCTTCCAACTCATGGCAGACATCTTCATCTGTTAAAGAGGTAGATTCAGAATCCTGGGCTCCCACTGAAGAAAGACTGGTACGATCAGAACTTTGATCCTAAGGACATAATTATAAGCTTAATTTCTTGTACATTTAAAGGTAATTAATTAAAAAGTCACTTCTAAGGCAGAAAAAACACTTATCACCTAACTACCCAGATGATCAGCTGAACTAATATTACAACATCTAGAGAAAAAAACAAGCAATTTTACAAAGGCATGCTAATTTGGACAAATGTGCTGCAGTTCAATTTTTAGGAAATCATTTTTTAGTTACAGCAAAGTATATACTAGTTAGTAAGGTAACCTCGTTGACTTTTAATTTCCATTTATTGATAATTTTCCTCTCTGACAAGGTATCACCCAAACATGAAACCACTAGAATTACGTTTTATTCTTTTCCACAATATCCAAGGTTTCAAAGACATATATATTTCTACTTTTCATTTTTGAGAACACTGAAGTTAAATCTTTTTCTGATTATATTAAAAATACATGAGAAAATCTGGTAGCTGTAGATTTTTACACGAAAAAAATTTAATACCTGTAATTCCACCTTGGAACCCATAAAGGATGAAAATATTTTACTACATAAAAATGTTATGTGTGTGCATATTGTTATTTTTAATCATATAGGGCAAAAATTTTTTTTTGAGACAGGGTCCACTCTGCTTTCCAGGCTGGAGTACAGTGGGCAATCTCAGCTCACTGCAGCCTCTGCCTCCCAGGCTCAAGCAATCCTCCTTTCTCAGCCTCCCGAGTGGCTGGGATTACAGGTGTGCACCACCGTGCCTGGCTAATTTTTGTATTGTTGGTAGAGACAGGGTTTCGCTATGCTGGCCAGGCTAGTCTTTACTCCTGACCTCAAGTGATCCACCTGCCTTGGCCTCCCAAAGTGCTGGAATTACACGCCTGAGCCACCGTGCCTGGCCGGGCTTTAACATTTTTACATAGTAAAATATTTTCATCCTTTATGGGTTCCAAGGTCTGTATCTTGCTAATGAAGTAATTCTCCACTCCTAAATGAGAAAAAAATTTTTTAAATGTGCACTTAAATATCTAATCCATCTAGGATTATTATTTTTTTTGTTCAGTGAAGGGCAGGAATCTTTTCCTCAAGTGGATACCTAAGTGTACCAACACATTTATTTAATATTCTCATTTCCCACTGATGTTAAATGCTATTTTTTCATATCCCAAACTTCTATGTACATATACAGTTTTATTTCTGGACTTTTCTCCATTCCACTGGTCCATTTATCTGTTTTGCATTGATTAGCAAACTGTTTTAATTATAGTTTTAGCATTAGTTTTGTTAGTTTTGGTATTTTAGAGTGCAGCCTCTTATCTCTTTTTTTTTTTTTTTTTTTTCAAAGAATTTTGGTCTGAAGCCCAGGCTGGAGTGCAGTGGCATGATCTTGGCTCAGTGCAACCTCTGCCTCCTGGGTTCAAGTGATTCTCATGCCTCAGCCTCCCGAATAGCTGGGATTACAGGCGCCCGCCACCATGCCCGGCTAATTTTTGTATTTGTAGTAGAGACGGGGTTTCACCATGTTGGCCAGGCTGGTTTTGAATTCCTGACCTTAAGTGATCTGCCCGCCTCGGCCTCCCGAAGTGTTGGGATTACAGGCGTGAGCCACAGCACCTGGCCTCATACTTTTCTTTTTCAAAATTTTCTTGATTATTCTCATGTATCTTCTCTATCAATTTTAAAGCAGCTAATTATGATTTGTATTATTTAGTCACCAGGTATTTGGTTTGCCTTTTTTTTCTTGTATTTTAATTAGACTACCCTGACTAATTTGGTTAGAACTGATACCTTTACAAGACTGAATCCATCAGTAAATTATGTCCTTCAGTAAAGTATTATAGTTTTATTCATGTAGGTATTATACACTGAAGTTTACTTCTAGACATTTCATGTTTGTGTTCTAGTGAATTAGCTCATATTTTTCCATTACTTTTCTAACTGGCTATTGTCATATCCAGGAAAGCTGTTTTACAAATGTTTGTTGTTTCTAGCCACCTTACCAGTTCAAACAGTTTTTCAGTGGTAGTAGATAACCTCATTTATGAGAATATCAAGTTTTATTAAATTCTTTTACAACATTTTTATCTATCATTTTTTGTTTTGAGACAGTTTCACTGTGTCACCCAGGCTGGAGTGCAGTGATGTGATCACAGCTCATAGCAGCCTCGACTCCTCAGGCTCAGGTGATCCTCCCACTTCAGCCTTCCAAGTAGCTGGGACTACAGGTGCACACCACCATGACTGGCTAATTTTTTGTATTTTTAGTAGAGACAGGGTTTCACCATGTTGCCCAGGCTGGTCTTGAACTCCTAGACTCAAGTGATATGCCTGCCTTGGCCTCCCAAAGTGCTGGGATTACAAGATGAGCCACCATGCCTGGGCTTTATCTCTTACTTCTTTTCCTTGCCTTCTGGTATTGTTAGAATCCAGAATGCTGTTGGGTGGCACAGGTGTTCAGCATGCTTCCTTCCCTTGATCCTGACTTTATGATTTTATTATTATTTTGAGACAGAGTCTAGCTCTGTCACCCGGGCTGGAGTGCAGTGGCCCCATCTCAGCTCACTGCAACCTCCGCCCTCCACTTCCCAGGTTCAAGTGATTCTCCTGCCTCAGCCTCCCGGGTAGCTGGGACTACAGGTGCATGCCACCACGCCCAGCTAATTTTTTGTATTTTTAGTAGAGATGAGGTTTCACCATATTAGCCAGGATGGTCTCCATCTCCTGACCTTGTGATCCGCCCGCCTCGGCCTCCCAAAGTGCTGGGATTACAGGTGTGAGCCACCACACCTGGCCCGATCCTCACTTTAAAAGAAATAATTATAATATTTCAGTTAGGAATGGTGTTTGCTATAGTTTTTTGATACTCTATCAAGTTAACTAAATGTTCTTCTATTTCATCTTTTTTTCATTTTATTTTTTATGATATTAAAAACATTTTTTTGAGGTAGGGTTTTGCTCTGTCATCCAGGCTGGAGGACAGTGGCACAATCACGGCTCACTGCAACCTCCACCTCCAGAGCTCAAGCAATCTTCCCACCTCAGCCTCCCAAGCAGCTGGGACCACAGGCATGCACCACCACACCTGGCTAATTTTTTTTTTTTCTAGAGATGGGGTTTTGCCATGTTACCCAGGCTAGTCTTGAACTCAGACCTTCCCTTGAATGACAGAGCTCAATGTTAGCATGTCTGTAAGCAGGCCACCCTTTAGAGTGCCTGGATGGGTAATTGGAAGAGAATGTACAGGGCGACCAAACAAAGGAAGGTTTTACTTTGGTTGGTGGGTACTTCAGTATATTTTAAGTAGAGTGGGGCTTCCTTAAAAAAACTCTGGGCTAATAATGAAATTTTGGAATTACTTTTAACCCTACTTTCTTTCTCATCTCAATGCCTGTCCTTGGTATCTCTCCTTCACTCTTAGTACTTACAGATTTCATACCTTTGTGAGCTGGAGTATTTCATTTTCACAACTACTCCTGCAAGAGGAAAAACAACGCCTAGCCTAACTATTCCTTAAGTAGTCTTTTAATTTAATTACCTGGCTGTGTAATTTTATACTTCTGCCTGCTCACCTGGGCTTCATTCACAAGAACAGTTCTCATCTTGGTAGCTGATCTCTCTTATGACTACTTTGGAGGCTATACTTTCTGTATTCAGGCATTTTCATCAATCCAGTTTCATTTGCTTTCTCATTTTCAGAAAGGTATGAAAATTTCTCATCTCCTGATGGCATACTTTTCTTCTTTCATTGCTTTGATGGATTTATTATATTCTCCTATTTTTCTGTCACTTTAATGGGATTTTGAGGAGGAGGGAATACAGATATGTATTTTAACATCCTGAACCAGAAGTCTTGTTGCTGTTTATGCATACAAGAATTACTTAGTATAAAAAATAAGACGAATAGTTGAATTTTTCTAATTAAAATACAGATTATGCATGTTTGAGTAGATTATAAAAAAGAATGATTTTACATTGAGAGACATTAAATTCTTTATACATAAAAAAATTAATGAGACTAAATTTCACTGAGTATAGCAACAATAACCATTTATTTAGTGCCTTCAATGAAGGCACTGTACAGACCTACCTTGGAGGTATGGCAGGTTCAGTTCCAGACCACCTCAACAAAACAAATGTCGCAATAAAGCAAACCACAAATTTATTTCCCAGTGCATATAAAAGTTGTTCACATTACACTGAAGTCTACTGTACAACAGCATTATGTCTAAAAAATGCACATAAATTTTAAAATACCTTATTACTAAAAATTGCTAACAATTATGTGAACCTTCAGCAAGTGGTAATCTTTTTGCTGGTTGAGGGTTTTGCCTGGATATTGATGGCTGGTGACTGAACAGAGTGGTGGCTGCTGAAGGTTGAGTGGCTGTGGTAAAAAAGAGGATAATAATGAAGTTTGCTCCATTGACTCTTCCTTTCAAGAAAGATTTCTCTGTAGCATGTGATGCTGTCTGACAACTTTCTTTGCTCATCCATTAGAAGCAACTCCTCATCCCTTCAAGTTTTATTATTTGATTGCAGCAATTAAGTCACATCCTCAAGGCTCCACTTCTAATTCTAGGGGTTTTTGCTATTTTCACCATATCTGCATAATTCCTCCACTGAAGTCCTGAACCCCTCAAAATCATCCTTGAGAACTGGAATCTATTTCTTCCAAACTCCAGTTAATGTTGCCATTTTGATCTCCTCCTGTGAATTATGAATGCCATTAATTGCATCTAGAAGAGAATCCTTTCCAGAAGGTTTTCAATTTATTTTGCCCAGATCCATCACAGGAATCACCACCTATTATGGCTATAACTTTATGAAATGTATTTCTTAAATACTAAGTTAAAAGTAAAAGCGACTCCTTGATCCATGGGCTGCAGAATGAATACTAGCATGAAAACAATAAATCTCCTTGACATTTCTTTTTTCATCATTCAACTTGACTCCTTGACATTTCATTTTTTTGTTTTTTTTTTTTTTGAGATGGGGGTATAATTCTGTCAGCCAGGCTGGAGTACAGACAGTCATCTCAGCCCAATGCAACCTCCGCTTCCCAGATTCAAGCGATTCTCCCACCTCCGCTTCCTGAGTAGCTGGGACCACAGGCATGTGCCACCACACCCAGCTAATTTTTTGTAGAGACAGGGTTTTGCCATGTTGCCCAGACTGGTCTCAAATTTCTGAGCTCAAGGGATCCGCCTGCCTCAGCCTTCCAAAGCGTTGGGATTACACGCGTGAGCCACTGCACCTGGCAACTGCTTTTCTATTGGAGCTCTTGCATGACTAGGTGCATTGTCAATGAGCAGTAATATTTTGAAATAAATATATTTTTTCTGAGCAGTAGGTCTCAACAATGGGTTTAAACATTCAGTAAACCATGTTGTAAACAGATGTGCTGTCATCCAGGTTTTTTGTTCCATTTACAGAGCACAGGCAGAGAGTAGCTTTAGCAAATTCTAGGATTTTCAGAATGGTAGATGAGCATTGGCTTAATTTAACATCACCAGCTACACTACCCCCTAACAAGAGAGTCAGCCTGTCCTTTGAAGCCTGGACGCCGGACACTGACTTTTCCTCTCTCTCCATCAAAGTCCTAGATGGGCATCTTCTTCCAATACAGGGCTGTTTGATCTGCATTGAAAATCTGTTGTTTAGTATAGCCACCTTCATCAGTGACCTTACATAGGTCTCGGGGATAATTAGCTACATCTTCTATATTAGCACTTGCTGCTTCATCCTGCACTTTTATGTTATAGAGACAGCTTCTTTCTTTAAACCTCATGAGCCAACCTCTGCTGGCTTCAAACTTTTCTTCTGCAGCTTCCTCAGCTTTCTCAGCCTTCATAAAACTGAAGAGAGTTAGTTAGGGCCTTGCTCTGGATTAGGCTTTAGCTTAAGGGAATATTGTGGCTGATGTGATCTATCCAGACCACTCAAACTTTCTCCTTTTTGGCAATAACACTGTTTTGCTGTCTTATCACTCATGTCACTTTTAATTTCCTTCAAGAACTTTCCCTTTGCATTCACAACTTGGCTGTTTGGTGCAGGAGACCTCACTTTCGGCCTTTCTTGGCTTTTGACATACCTTCCTCATTAAGCTTAATCATTTCTAGCTTTTGATTTAAAGTGAAAAATGTGTGACTCGTCCTTTCATGTGAACACTTTAGAAGCCACTGTAGGGTTATTAATTGGCCTAATTTCAATATTGTTGTGTCTCAAGGAATAAGAAGGCCTGAGGAGAGGGAGAGAGTCAGGAGAATGGCCATTTGGTGGACAGTCAGAAATTACACAACATTTATCGATGAAGTTTACCATCTTATATGGGAACAGTTCATGGTGTCTCAAAACTATTACAATAATAACATCAAGGATCATGGATCACAAGTCACCATAACAGATATAATAACAAAAAAGTTTGAAATATTGCAAGAATTACCAAAATGTGACACAGAGACATGAAGTAAGCACACGCTGTTGGAAAATGATACCAATTGACTTGCTCAACACAGGTTTGCCACAAACTTTCAATTTGTAAAAAGCATGACATTTGTGTAGAGCAGTAAAGCAAGTGCAATAAAATGAGACCTGCCTACGCTAGGCTTTAAAAATATTATTTATTTTAATCTTTAGGTGGGATCTTTCTGATATTAGTGATTGTGTTCTCTTTTTCTAGATCAGTCTAGCCAGCAGTGTGTCAATTTTGTTCTTTTTAAAGAATCAGCTTTTGGTTTTATTGATATTCTTATGCTTTCCATCTTTTCAGTTTTACTGATTTTTGCTCCATGTTTATTACTTCCTTCTTCCTACTTTGAGCTTACTTTGTTCTTTTTTTCTAGTTTCTTAAGGCAGAACCATAAATCATTAATTTTAAATCACTTCTAACTACAGCACTTAAAGCTATGAGTTAACCTCTAAGCACCTCTTAGTTGTATCCCACAAATTTTGATATATTTTTGTTCATTCCACTCAAACATTATTCTAATTTCCTTTATGATTTTATCTTTGATTCAAATTATTTGAAAGTGTGTTCAGGTTTTTCTTGATCTCTTACTTATTCTTAGTGATTTGTAATTGAATTCTATTGTGGTCAGAAAATATGCTTGATTTAAAAGAAACCTTATTGGGGCTTAATTTTCATGTCATAACATTCACTCATATTAAGTCTACAATTCAATAATCTTTGTAGTAAATTTACCAACTTTTAGAACGTTTCTAATTTTAGAAAATCTTTACCACCCCAGTAAGATACCTCATGCCCATTTACAGTTAATCTCCATTGCCTTCCTAACACCAGGCAACCACTAATATACTGTGTCTACAGATTTGCCTTTTCTGGACATTTCATATCAATGGATTCATACAATATTTGGTCTTTTAAAATCTGGCTTAATCCACTTAAAATAAACATGTATTTGAGGTTCACCAATTTTTAAGGCATGTATCAGTATTTCGTTCTTTTGTATTGCTCAATTATATTCCACTGTATAACACATTTTACCTATTTTCCAGTTGACGGAAATTTGGGTTGTTTCCACTTTTTGGCTTTTATGAACAATGTTATGATTATTCACATAAAATCTTTGTGTAGTCTATGTTTTCATTTCTCTTGGGTAGATTATTTAGAGTGGAACTGCTGGGTCATATGTTAAATTAATGCTTAGCTTTTAAAGAAGCTGCCAAATTGTTTTCCAAAGTGGCTGTACCATTTTACATTCCCAACCAAAAAAGTATGAGGGTTCCCATTTCTCCACATCCCCTCCACTTGTCATCATCTTTTGGATTATAGCCATTCCTCTAGTGAGTGTGAAATGGGATTTCACTGTGGCTCCAAATGCAATTAATGCCTAATAACTAATTATGTTGAACATGTTTCATGTGCTTTTCGTCCATTAATATCTCTTCTTTGGTGAAATATCTATTTAGATCTATTTTTAACTTGGGTTGTTTATCTTATCATTGAGCTGTGTGAGTTGTTTGTATATTATGGATTCAAGTCCTTTACTAAATACAGAATTTGCGTATCTTTTCCCCAGTCTGTGGCTTTTCATTTTCTTACATTTTCATTTTTGGATCACAAAAGTCTTCAATTTTGATAATGCCTAACTTATCAATTTTTCCTTTTATAGACTGTTTCTGGTATCATACCTAAGAATTCTTGGCTTAATTCAAGGTCTTAAAAGATTTTCTTCCTATATTTTCTTCCAATTTTTTTTTTTTTTTTTTTTTTTGAGACGGAGTTTTGCTCTTGTTGCTGAAGCTGGCGTGCAATGGCGCGATCTTGGCTCACCGCAATCTCCGCCTCCGGGCTTCAAGCGATTCTCCTACCTCAGCCTCCCAAGTAGCTGGGATTACAGGCATGCACCACCATGCCTGGCTAATCTTTCGTATTTTTAGTAGAAACGGGGGTTTCACCATGTTAGCCAGGCTAGTCTTAAACTCCTGACCTCAGGGGATCTGCCCGCCTCAGCCTCCCAAAGTTCTCAGATTACAGGCATGAGCCACCACGCCCCGCCCACAATTTTTTTTTTTTTGAGACCGTGTCTCACTCTGTCGCCTAGGCCAGAGTGCAGTGGCGCAATCTCAGCTCACCGCAAGCTCCGCCTCCCGGGGTCACGCCATTTCCCTGCCTCAGCCTCCCGAGTAGCTGGGACTACAGGCGCCTGGCACCGTGCCCGGCTAATTTTTTGTATTTTTAGTAGACACGGGGTTTCACTGTGTTAGCCAGGATGGTCTAGATCTCCTGACCTCGTGATTCGCCTGCCTTGGCCTCCCAAAGTGTTGGGATTACAGGCGTGAGCCACCGCCAGCCCACAATTTTTATAGTGTTAGCTCTTACATTTAGACATCTTATCCTTTTTGTGTTAATGCTTGTATATAAGTTGAGTGTCTACATTCACCTACAGTCATCCCTCAGTATCCACAGGGGGTTGGTATTTGCACATAACCTATGCACATCCTCCTGTACAAGTTAAATCATCTCTAGGTTACTTATAATACCTAATACAATGTAAATGCTATGTAAATAGTTCTTATACTGTATTATTTGTATTTATGTAATATTTTCAATCTGTGGTTGGTTGAATCCATGGAAGCAGAACTTGCAGATACAGAAGTCTGACTGTATTTGCATGCAGATATCCAATTATCTCAGCACCATTTTTTGACAAAAACTATCATTTCCCCATTGAATTGCCTTGGCATCTTTATTGAAATTTAAATAACCATAAACATAAGAGTTTATTTCTGGAGTCTAAATTTTATTCTCTCATCTATTCATCTCTGTTTATGCTAGCAGCACAGTCTTGATAGCTGTAGCTTTGTAGTAAATTTTGAAATTGGGAAGTGTGAGTCCTCCAACTTTTTCTTTTTCCAAATTGTTTTGGCTATGCTGGGTCCTTCTATTTTCTATATTAATTTTAGGATCAGCTTGTCAAATTCTACAAAATCCTGCTAGAATTTTGATAGGTGCAATTTTGATATACATTTAGATGCCAATGTAGGGAGGGTTGCAGCTTAACAATACCGAGTCTTCAATTCCATGAACATGGCATGTCTCTCCATTTATTTAAATCTCTTTTAAAATCCCTCAGTAATGTTCTGTAACTCTTTACAATGTACTTTGATTTGGATCCTTTTCAATTGACTGAGGTTTTTTAAATAGCCAAACATAGTTTATCTTGATGACTGTACTGTATACACTTGAAAATAGTGTATTCTGTAGTTGTTGAGTGTATATTCTATAAATGTCAATTATATAAAAGTAGCTGATTGTGTTGCTGAGATTTGTCTTGACCAATTTTTGTTACCTCTTCTATCAACTGAGCGTTTTTAAATTTCCTACTCAGATTTAGAACTCCCCTTAATTCTACCAATTGTGTCATTGTTTTGAGGCTCTGTGATTTAGTGAATATACATGGATAATTATTGTGTCTTCCTGATGAACTGTTTCTTATAATCAATATTTTTCAGAGACAAAGTCTTGCTATGCTGCCCTGGTTGGCCTAGAACTCCTGGACTCAAGCAATCCAGACCTCCCACCTCAACCTCCTGAGTAGCTGGAACTACAGGAACACACCATAACATCCAACTCCTCATTATTATGAGATCAGTCTGTTGCTCAGGTTGGAGTGCAGTGGCACAATCATAGCTCACTACAGCCTTGAACTTCTGGGTTCAAGCAACACACCTGCCTTAGCCTCCTGAGTAGCTAGGACTACATAGGTATGTGCCACCATGGCCAGCTAGTTAAAATTAAAAAAAAAAAAAAATTGTACAGACAGGGTCTTGCTATGTTGCCCACGCTGGTTTCAAACTCCTGGCTTCAAGCAATCCTCCTGGCTTGGCCTTCCAGAGAGCTGGGATTACAAGCATGAGCCACCATGCCTAGCCAAAGTCTGCCTTTTAATTGAGGTGTTTAGATTGTTATCATTTAATTATTCATATGGTTAGATCTAGTCTATTTCTCTGTTCCCCCTTTCTTGGCCTCTTTAAGATTTCCTGTTCTCTGTAAGACTATTTGAATATTTTTATTGGCTTTTTGGCTACATCTCACTGTATTTTTTAACTCAGTGCTCCAGGGATTACAATATACATATCTAATCATTTAAAGTCTACTTGGAGTTAGTTTTATATCATTTCATATTTAATAATATAACTATAATGAAGGTCTGTGGGGTAAGTTCCTTTACTACTGATGTTCACTACTGTCAAACATCTATGCATATTTAAAATTCCATGAGATAATGTTACTATTTTTGTTTTGGACAATTATAGGTTTTTCTTTTCTTTTTTTTTCAGTTTAGGAGGCAAAAAAGTAATCTTTTCTAATAACCAGCTATTTACCATTTATTTTGCATTTATTTTATTCCTGAAGATGCAGGTTTCTCTTTGGTATCATTTTTCTTCAGTTTAAATAACTTCCTTCAGCATATCTCATAGAGCAATCCCATTGCTCATGAATTATTTTATCTGAAAATGTCTTTATTTCACCTTCACCCATGAAGAATATTTTCACTGGATATAAAATTCTGAGTTGACAGGTCTTTTCTTCCAATGCGTTAAAGGCACCATTCCACTAAATTCTTCCAAGGATTGTGATGAAAAGTGCATGGGTACATTCAAATCTTTATGGCTCCGTAGGTAATGAATAATTTTTTAACAGCTTTCAGTGTATTTTAATTTTTTTTTAGCAGCCGTTTTCTTGTTAGCAGGTGAATATCTCTGATTTTTAGTTTACTTTTGATGTGTGCAAGTGTGGTTTTGAGTTTAATTCTGTCTGTAATTTGCTGAGTCTCTTGTATCTATAAATCTGTATCTTTTACCAATTTTGGAGGTTTCAGCCATTATTTTTTCAAATCTTCAAATATCTTTTCTAACAGAATCTCTCTTCAGTTCTTCTGGAACTCCAGTTATCCATATTTCATTTGTTCCTTTTGATATTGTCACACAAGTCCCTGAGGCTGTTTATTTTTATAAAAATCTTTTCTCTCTTCTTCTAATTTCTATTACTGTATCTTTAAGTTTACTTTTCATTGTCATCTCCATTCTGTTATTTAACCCATTTGATCAGTTTACATTGGATTATATTTCAGTTATAAAATTTGTTTTAATACATTCTATTTCTTGCTAGAATTTATTTTAATTTATTTCAAATGTGTTTTCCTTTACCTAAAGGAACCAGTTATGGAAGCTGCTTTAAAGTTTTTCCCTGATACTTCCAACATCTGAGTCATTCTGGAGTTGTCTTTTCCTTGAGAACTGGTCACATTTTCCTGGTCCTTTATACCAAGTAATTTTGGATTTTATCTTGGACACTGAATATTATGTTATGTAGCCTGGGTACTGTTATAATACTTCCGAGATTGTTGATGCTCTTGTTTCAGCAGGCAAACACTTGAGTTATATTCAGACTGTAATTTGTGTTTTACTTTTTGTAGGCAGTGAACTTGCAGTTCAGTTACTTAAGCCTTTTCTATTCCAGTTTGCATCTGTCCCATAACTGTGCAGGTCAAGGGGTAGGGTGAAACTTGTATGGGATTCCCCTCAAACTTTCTGCACAAAGAGGCCTCTTTCTCAGGCTTCTCTGTTCAGGAAATATGGGGTTTCTCTTGAAGTTTATCTGCCAGAGGTGCCATGCCATGATGTGACTGCCCTTGGGGCAAAGATGCATGAGGAAAGGAAATGATAAACTCATTTCTGTGTTGGTCTCTCCCCAGAAACTGCCTGCTTTTATTTATTTTTCAGAGTCCTTAGTTGTTTTTTATATTTTGTCTGGTTTTTAAGTTGTAATCAGTGGGAAGGATGGGCTGTGGTGGCCTTACGTTACCACAGTGGAACCAGTATTCTCACCCCAATTCCTAAAGAATATTTTTGTTGAGTACAGAAAAATAGGTTGACAGTTATTTTCTTTCAGCACTTTAAAGATATCTTTCCAGTGTCTTCTGACATCATAGTTTCTCTTCAGAAGACCACTGCTCCTTTGCAGGTAATGCATCTCTTCTCTCTGGCTCAAGATTTTTGCTTTTTATTTCATTTTCAGTTCTAAAATTTAGGTTTGATTATTTTTAATACATTCCAATTATCTAGTGAAATCTTCCATCTTTACAGTTATTTTTTAAACCTTTTCCTTTATATTCTTGAACATATTATAATTATTTCAAAGTCCCTTGTTAATTCAAACATCTGGATCACTTGAGGGTCTCTTTCCGTTATCTGCTTTCTTCATTTTTTAGCTATGTTCCTGTCTCTTGGCATAGCTATTTTTAATTGAGTGATAGACATTGTATATTAAAAACTGTAAGGATTCTAACTGATGTTTTATTTCTCCAGAAAAGGTACAATCTTTTCTCTGTTGATAGAGTAAAAGCTGATTATTTTAACCAAATCACAGATAACCTGAGTCAAGTCTAGGTTGCAATTTTGGTCAGGCTTAGTCTACCTCTGGTTTGCCAATGGTCCTAAGGCATACCTCTGTAAGTATTCCAACTGAGGCCCTCCTCCCTCTGGCAGCTCCTGAATCGAGCTATTATGATTCCAGTACCATGAAACTTCTGAGAACTTGATTTCTCACAGACGTTCTACTTACCCTTCTCATGCAGTATCAAGTATTTGGAAAATGTCTTGAAGGAAGAAAATCTTCAGTGTATTTGAGGCCCTTAAAGTCTTCAATTTTGTCTCTCTAACCCACAAGTTCCCAAAACTTCTGATAAGGGAAAGCCTAGATTTACAACCTAGTGCTTCATGCCCATAATGAGCAAATCCCCTCAGGGAGAAAGTGGCTCTAGAACTTCAGCTCACCTCTCTAGAATCCTGCCTCTCTGCTTTCTAGTTACTTCAGCAGTTCTCTGATGACTTTAAACAGATACTTTCTCTATTTCATCTAGCTTTTAGCTCTTAGGGGAAGGTATGTAAGTCTATCGTAAGTTACTCCATCCTAACCAGAAGGGCAAATCATATGCCTGACTGGTAATTTTTGAGGGCATATTGGACACATTATCTGGAAAAAAAATCTGCATCTTGAAGGAAATACTGAAATTCAGTAAGTACTTTCACGTGACACTAATTCTTACTCCAGCTACAAATCACTCTTTCAAAACTGAACTACAAATATAACCTTAGTAAGTTTTCTTTTCTTTGAAGTTATTATTTCAGTTCCAATTCTGATACTTACAAAACTTACATACCCAATGAGTCCTTTTTATAAAGCTATGTTTAGAAGAATAGTTAAAACGAGTAAGGGGCTTTTGGTGGTGATGGATATGTGTGTGTGACAGTAAAAGTAGCAAATACTAACCAAACTTACCTTAGATGATGTGGTGTACATGGTGAATCTTGAATACCATTTGCTTGCTTTCTCTGCAACTCCTTTTCCAGCAGTGAACATACTGTTTCTTAGAACATCTAGTTTAGGTACTAGTAGTGTATCTAAGTTAAATGAAGGTGATGAGTGGGTTAATGTATCCTGAGATTCTTCCCTAAATGGGCAAGTAGGTGAGAAGGCTGGAGAAGACCAAAGTCTATCCCTTGGTTTCTCCTCACTTTTTGTGTAACTTTTAGATTTGGTAAGTCTCACTGGCTTAGGAGAATTAGGAGGCAGACTAGATCTTCTGCATGCCTTGACCAATGGTGGACTTTTCTTATTTAATTTATCATCACATGCCCGTTGTAAATCAATGCTTGGTGTACGACTTGTCAAAGGACTGCTCATGTTATTCATATACATCACAATTTCTTCAGCTAAATCACGCCTAGCAGATGGTGTTGAAATGCTTTTGCTATCATCTTCATCCTCCTCCTCTTCTTCTTTTTGCTGCTGTTCAGTCTCAGCAACCAAAAGAGAGAGGGGATCAAATCCTGTTGCGACATCAGTTTTTTCAAAAGGTTTTACTGAAAAGCTGCTGTTCATACGTTGAATCCTCTTGGGATTTTGTGTAGCAACACATCCTGCTTTTGATACATCTGTTTCACTGTCTAAGTCTTCTAAGTCAAAAATAACAGGAGAATCCACTTTATCTGCCAAATAGTTAGAACCATCAAAAGGTGTATCATCATCACTAGATTCCTTTTCTAGACTGTCTCTTTTTGATCTTAAAGGTGGCTTCCCAATATCAAGAGTATTTGGTCTCGTGCTTTTTGAGATAACATTTGAAAGAATTTTTGCATCAGCTCCCAATTTTTCAACTATATCTCCAGGGGTTGCTTCCTGGTTAATTCTATTGAGCATAAATCCCATCAGTACCCCTCCACTAAGATTACGGTTTCTATTTCCCCAGACCACTTGCTGCTGCAAATTAGTTTCATTGTCACTTTTATGTCTTTTCCTGAAGCATCTACTTTGAATGTTTCGTGTTTCATTTGTATCTTCAAGAGATGATATTAAGAGCAGCTCAGGTGTGCTTTCTGAAAAACAAGTAAAGTGCTTTTAGCCATGAAAATATAATAGCAAATATAAGTCATCTTAAATATTTAAAATTCTAGTGATGAAAATGATAATAGCAAGCACTCACTGAGTGTCTGCTATTTGACAGATACTATACTAAACACTTTACTTATATTTCCTACTGTAAACATTCCAACATCCTTATGGGTTGAGAAAAAAGGAACACTCAGAGAGATTAATTATCTAGCTCAGAGTTACCCAGTCCTTAAGAGACAGAACTGGGATTCAAATTCAGATTTGTCCAATTATAAAGGGTATGCTCCTAGACATCAGGATGTACTGCTTTTTAAAAATGTTATCAATTAAGATTTATATTTAATAATGAATTTATATTAATTCCACTAAATAAATTACAATGGTTTTACAATTGTGGTTATACTAGATGACCTTGAGATTCTGAGTCTTCCTTTTTTTTTTTTTTTTTTTAATTTGCTAGACACAGGATCTCACTATGTTGCCCAAGTTGGTCTTGAACTCTTGGGCTCAAGAAATTCTTCTGCTTTGGCTTCCCAAAGTGCTAGGATTATAGGCTTGAGCCACCATGCCCAGCCAAAATTGTGAATCTTCTGCTTATTAAAATGAAAAAAGAAAAAACATCCAAAACATGAAACAAAATAGAAGTATGTTAACTTTATCCATAAATAAAGGTTATTTTTTAAAACTCCAAGTCCTTATAACTATAAATGGGGCCAAATAATTTTACCCTTGCTTAACATATTGATTGCACATTTATACCAGTCAAATGTTAATGGCCACTTCACATTATTTGGAAATACTGTTCACTGTTTTCTACCAAATTACTTAGATGACAATACTAAAAGCAGAAATCTAGATCTCTGATCACTTTAATTGTTCTTACTATATGTGGGAGTCCTCTAAAGCATTAGTCTAGGTATAGTATCATCAACTATTCTTCTTACATGCTTTATGCACAGAATTAGCTCTCTATAGCCAGACAAGTATTGAAAATGTGCCTTTTCTTGTCATGTGATGCATGCAAATGGCAGGGCAAGAGATAAGAGTGGATACTAGAGGTCATAAAAGCCTACATCTAATATTACTTAATAAGGATATACCGTTAACAAGAAAAATGACATATCAGAGAGGCAAAGTTTATTCTTTTTTTCACCAGCTTACGATTGAGGACATAGGAAATCAAGAACACACTTTCTTCTGATATTCTGGGAAATTTTCTGCTTGACAGGTTAAATATTACTAAAGACCTGGAGGAATCTTGTAACCAAAAGATAATACTCTGGAATTGCATTTAAATAGATGTGCAAGGGTTCCTTTGCAAAGTCAGTGATATGCTATGACCTGAAGACCAAGTTGGTTATCAGACTTTACCAGAGGTTTGCAAACTATACCAATGAGCCAAATCTAGCCTGAGGCCTGTTTTTGTAGAGTCTCAAATGGTTTCTACATTTGCAAAGGGTTGTAAAAATCATGCACCCAGAAGAACAGGTAACAGAGATTCTATGTGCCCTGCAAGGCCTGAAATACTTACTATTCGGCCTTTTACAAAAAAGTTTGCCTGATCCTAAGTTTACACACATGCTAAATTACACATGCTAGGCTGGATGCTGCATGCCTCTAACACAAAGACTGCAAACTATTTAACTTCCTTGGGCTAGGTGGCTCTATGACATAATTCCGGCCAGTGATATTAAGGTATAGTTTTTGAGGGTTTTTGGAAAAATTATTTCCTGAAAAAAGAAATAGATATGGCTGGTGTTTCTCTTCCCATTCTTTTTGGCTTGATCGAATAGGTGATATGGGGAGTTACCAGTGGCTATACTGTAATCATGGTTAGGTCAAAAGAACTGATGGCAAAGCCCCTGAGCCAACATTTAGAGCAAGTGCTTACCTCTGAATTTCCTGTTTGAGAAAAATAAACTGCAACTTCTTTAAGCACTGTTAATCACATATTCGAGACTTAAAGCTGAAAGTATGCCCAGCTGATATACTAGCCTTTTCTCAGATCTTTGAACACGCTGTGGGATTCCTTTCTACCAAACAGCCTTTTTATACATGCTTCCTTCTGCTTGGAATGCACCCTCTCAATTCCTCCTTTCTGACTCCTACCCTCATTTATTTTCCACTCATATTTGAAATTTAAGCTCAAAAATGATATGCTGAAGGAAGTCTTCCCTAACAACCCCAAACCCAAGACATATCTATTATATGTTCTTATAGCAACTTACTGTCCTTTTTCATAGTATTTAATCTAAGAATACTTTCACATTTACTTGATTAATGTCTTCCCATCCCTTCTACCTGCTTTCTCCATGAAGGCAGGATCCGTGTTTATTTTTTGTTTCTTATTATAATATACCCCCAGTAGCACCTGACATATAGTAGAATCTAAAAGATATTTACTGAATGAATACTGTCTATTAGGCAGTAACTGCAGCCAACAAACCAACCTGGAATATAATACATTACATTATAATATTAAAATATTATATTATGGGTAGCTAAGGATAAAAAGTAAAGGCACACTAAAACCAGAATTAGGCTTAGAGAAACATCTCAGAATTAAACTTCTCTGTGGTTGAACACTCAGTAATTCAATATGTATTTATCAAAACATTAAATTCTCAAGATAATAATGAGGGCTGGAGCAGAGGCTCACGCCTGTAATCCCAACACTTTGGAAGGCCAAGGCAGGTAGATTGCCTGAGGTTGGGAATTTGAGACCAGCTTGGCCAACATGGTGAAACTCCGTCTCTACTAAAAATACAAAAATTAGCCAGGCGTGGTGGCGTGTGCCTGTAATCCCATCTACTAGGGAGGCTGAGACATGAGAATTGCTTGAACCCAGGAAGCAGAGGTTGCAGTGAGCCAAGATCGTGCCACTGCACTCCAGCCTGGGCACCAGAGTGAGACTCTGTCTCCAAAAAAAAAAAAAATTCAAGATAGGGTGATGATTTTATTTCAATATCCAATCAAACATTAAAACATATCTTTGTTTATTCTACTCCCATATATGTATACATTTACACACAAACACACACAAACACACAAGGGTGTTCAATGATATAAATAAAATATTCATATATTGTACTGCAAAATATAAATAAACCCGAAAAATGCTTTAAATCCTAGTATGTACAAGTATATAATAAGTATTTCTATATATCCCATGTATGGTCTTTGGCAGCAGTAATAAACCCATAGTACTTAACAGATGAGAGTTTTCAAGCCAAAAGCATCAAGGATAAACCAATAACTTTACTTCACACCAAAGAAATCTACTCTACACTTTTATAAAATTCACTTGTTCAGCATATAGGGTAACTGAAAGCCAGATGATTAACCAGATGCTTATTATTCTGACAAAATGTCAAGATCAAAGGATGGTGTACAATCATATTTAAATAAAAAAATTAAACACAGATCTTAAGAGGAGGGCAAGCATGAACAGACAGCAATGAAAGAACAATAAAATAAAGATCAAAGGCAAGTTATCAAGAGTTATAATTAGAAAATTAGTTACAAAGGACTAAATGGTTGTGAAACAACTCTATGACATTGAGGAAAAATTTTTTAATGTTTCTGTTACAACAATTATCTAACAAAGAAATGCAAAATAAGAGTTATAGGTGATCTAACTTTCTTTTGTCTGTTTGATAGAGTAGGTTCCGCAAACTTTTTCTATCAAGGGCTAAAGAGTAAATATTGTAGTCTTTGCAGGCCATGTGGTCTCTGTCACAGCTACTCAACTCTGCTGTTGCAATGCAAAAACAGCCAGAGATAATACGTAAATGAATGAGCATGTCTGTGTTCCCAGAACTTTATGAAAACTGATGTTTGAATTTCATAAAATTTTCATGTGTCCCACAATATTAGTCTCTTTTGATTATTTTCTGACAATTTAAAACTATAAAAACCATCATAGCTTGGTTAGCTTGCAGGCTAGTATAATAATAGGCTTCAGGGCAAATTTGGTCCTTGGGCCTTAGTTTGCCTTTCCCTGAACTACAGGCATATCTAACTGTGTTGCAAAAAAACCAGACACCATTGCAGCAAAAAACAGAGATATTTCAGCCTTGACAGCACATGTTCTTCAATATTTTTTATATTACAACATCATGCAAAAGTAAGCTAATACAAAAAAATTTATTAGGTAATCACACTATTAACACTAAAAACTCCAAATCTTATGTCTATTTAATCCCCTAAAAATGGTCTGGTAAAACACTTTGAGGCCAAATATTATTCTACTTCTAATCTGACTTTTCTATTAACTATTGATAATTTATGTGACCTGCCAATCACTGAAGTATGCTTTAGTTTTCTCATCTTTAAAACAGTGCTAATATCTCCTTTGATACAAGCATTTCTATGTTAATATTATATAAAATAATATATAAGAAGACCGTGAAAAGAAAAATTATTGGGTATTGTTACTTAAACTATCTGAAGGACTATCCTTTTGCCTCTGGAAAAACAGGAATAATATGAAAACTAATAAGCCATATACTTCATTTGAAACTTAACTAGGTGTATGGTACCCTCAGACTCATCACCTCTCCTGATGTCACTTTCCCCTTCCAAAAAGTCCCAACAGTCTAAACTCAAAAGATAGTATACAAGCTGGAGGTTTACCCCTATGCCTTGCTATAATACAAGCTTGAACACAGCATGTTATAAAATATAGAACTCAAGTTACTAAGCTATGCCATGAGAGGCTGCACAAAATATTTTTTAAAATCACCTTGGAGAATTAAGACTATTAAAAAAATAAGTATTCACTAGTCATACAGATACAATTTATTCCGCACATAACACAAGCGTACTATTCAACTTACCCATGCTTTCTCCTGATATTTTACCAGCACTGTTGTTACTTGTACCAGTGAGGCGAACGATACTGGAAGAATTTTGATAACTGAGCTTAGGAAGGCAATCAGCACTTCCTTTTGTACTCTCACTCTCTGACACTGTAAAGATGAAAATGAAAATGTTAATAAAATGAAATCTATATACACTGTAGGAGGTATCAAGAGAAGTTTTCAGTTCTACATATTTTTACTTGAAAATAGGTGACAAGAAAATATTGAACACCTCTATATCTGTTTGTCAACCACAAATAAGTGATTTCACTTATTTGAGGCCTCAAAGTGTAGATCAAACTACTGAATACTGATCATGCATGAGGTCCATGCACAAATTTTATATTTCCTCACTGATTGTAAAGGAGTGCTTTTGGTGGAGTGGGGAAGGGGGTAAATATAATCACAATCCATTAAACAAACTTTTTTTTTTTCTTTTTTCAGGTCAGATGGGTAATGTGCTGATGTCGTAACAAGGTTCAAGGGTGGCACATCTCACAAACATGGATGAATACCCAATCATCATGCTCATAAACTACAAAAGGATCACAAGCTTTAAAATATTGTTAAGTCTCAAAAAAGAAATAGTTTCAAGAAATGTATATACAGTTCTACTAAATACATGTATTTTTGGAATTACGTAGCATTCATTCTAATGGTATTTGATTTGGGAAGTGTTTTGCCACTGAGGCTATATACTTCATACATAAAGCATTTGTATGAGAGTATGTGGTGGCTGAGAGGGCACGTAATGGTAGAAAAGAAAGAGTTATAATGGAAAAATGGAAAGTAAAACCAGCACTTTTATAAAATCACCTGCATTTTCTATGAATATAAGTTCTCAATTTTATACAATATCAACTTAAACAATACCTACAGGAACTACAATCACTCCCTTTTTTATCTTTTTCTTCTTGAATGTCTTCAGTAGATGTATCCCCTCTTCTAACTTCATCTTTAGATAATGAATTATATCCAAGATCAGACTGGCCACCTGGTAAAAACAAAAATAAACAAAACTCTATTAGAAACTTCTTTAGTGAGTGCAACTGGAATTAGGAGCAACATACTAGTGTTTGGATTTCCTTATAAATTTTTTTCTGGACAACTTCCAACTTAAAGCATTATTTTGTTAGCTACCCTTAAAGCATTAGTTTGTTAACTATCCCTTCCATCATCTCTATTAATATAAGAAAGAGATGATCTTGAAATAATTTACTCTTGGTTCCACACTGTAGTCAAAAGTAACTACATACATTCACACTACTATATGAGCTCCAAGACACAGACAAACCAGACATTCTTTATACAAGTCCATGACCTTTCTAGTTGAAAGTTTGAGTTTCAACTAAGCAATGGAGAAATCTGTAAAGAATTTATAACAGAACATTCATACATAGGTCACTAGAGCTAAATGTCTAAATGATTTTACAAAAAAATTGGATTTCTTCAAATTTATTGATGGGTAATTAATTTTTAAAAAAATTTAGCTGAATAATCATTGAACTGTATGTGAGTACAAATACATGGGAATGAGATAAAAATCTAGTGTTGAAGATATTGTTAAGAAAAGCAAAAGGGGCTGGGAGCAGTGATTCATGCCTATAATCCCAGCATTTTGGAAGGCTGAGGCAGGCAGATCACTTGAGCCCAGGAGTTTGAGACCAGCCTGGGCAACACAGTGAGACCTCATCTCTACTAAAAATAAAAAATAAAAAAAATTAGCCAGGAATGGTGGCATGCACCTATAGACACTTCTTGGGAGGCTTCTTGGGAGGCTGAGGTGGGAAGATCACTTGAGCTCAGGAGTTCAAGGCTGCAGTGAACTATGATTGCACCCCTGCACTCCAGTCTGGGCGACAGAGTGAAACCCTGTCTCAAAGAATGGAAAAAGGTCTATCAATATAAAAAAATTTTCTAATACACTGTGTTGCTAAAGAGGCTCTGCATCATTTTTAGAAAATCGTTTTCACCAGATTAGTCACAAAAGATAAAGTTTTGAATCCTAGTTCTCTATCTTAGGAGACATATGATTTTAAGTAACAATGTAATCTTTTTGTTTGGATTTGAAGTTCCCAAATTTGTAAAACGTAAGGTTGTTATTACTATATGAGACTATATATGAAAAATGTTTATAAACTTGTAAAGCACTCTCTAAAGAAATTATATTATGTATCACTAGATATTCACTTTAATATCGTTGTTATAATTTTCAGTTTTTATTTTTTCTAATCAAACTTCAGGTCCATTTTTAAAGGAATTATAAATAGAAAAATCTGAGAATAATCTTGATGAAATTCATGCTTTTATTAGGTTTTACACTATTTTAAGATAGCCTTTTTTTTTTTTTTTTTTTTTTTTTTTTGAGACAGAGTCTCAACTATGTTGCCCAGGCTGGAGTGCAGTGGCGTGATCTTGGCTCACTGCAACCTCCACCTCCTGGGTTCAAGCAATTCTCGTGCCTACGCCTCCCAAGTAGCTGGGATTACAGGAATGTGCCACCATGCCTAGCTAATTTTTGCATTTTTAGTAGAGATGGTGTTTCGCCATGTTGGCCAGGCTGGTCTTGAACTCCTGGCCTCAAGTGACCTGCCTGCCTTGGCCTCCCAAAATGCTAGAATTACAGGTGTGAGCCACTGCACCAGGCCTAAGATAGCCTTTTTAAAAGCCACAGTTAAAAGATAAGATTTCTTCATTTGTAAGAGATAATGCCAAAGGATAACTATTGTAACTGATGAAAATCACACTGCATAATCAAGGAATAAAATCAATCAAGGAAGAATAACTATGAATATTACATTTCAACAAAATGAGCTTACATTTATTAAACTTTAGGTATAAAGTAAGACAGACCAAAATAATATTGACATTTGCAGAGATAGGGGCCTTCATATTTTATTAGTAATGCTTCAATTTTTAAAGTTTCTGTCCTTTAAGAGTTTGCTCTTATCTGTAGTCAAAAGTCATGTGTAATTTTTGAAATGTAATAATAAAAAGAACAGAATTATGTAAATAATTTATTTTTAAGTGTGTCAATTGTAATAATAGTTAAGAAAAGCTGATATACGAACTTATACTTCTATGAAATTAATGCCATCTTCGGCACTATAATTCTAGCACTGAAGTATACAATTCTATATACACATATATAAACATACACATAAGATATATAATTCTATATACACATATATAAATACATATACATATGTGTATATGTATTATACACACATGTTATACATATACTACTACACATACATATATAATATTATACATATATTATTTTATATATATATATAAATTTTTTTTTTGAGACAGGGTCTCGCTCTGTCACCCAAGCTGGAGTGCAGTGGCTTGATCATGGCTCACTGCAGCCTCAACCTCCTGGGTTCAAGCAATTCTCCTACCTCAGCCTCCCTAGTATCTGGGAGCACAGGCATGGGACACCAAGCCCAGCTAATTTTTGTATTTTTGTAGAGACAGGGTTTTGTTATGTTGCCCAGACAGTCTCAAACTCCTGGGCTCAAGTGAACCACCCACCTTAGCTTCCCAAGGTGCTGGGATTACAGGCATGAGCTATCACACCCAGCCTTAAAATGCTATATTTTTATATATTTAAAATTTTTTATTATGACTTTTAAAATCACTTAAGATTTAGAAGTTGCAAAAACATTACAGTACAGAGAGTTCCTTGGTACAATTCACCTAGCTTCCCCCCATGATAATACCTTACATAACCATAGTACATTGTCAAAACCAGGAAACTGATGTTGGTACAATACTATTAACTTAGACACAGAGCTATGCTTCTTTTTTTAAAAAACTCTAATATCATTTTCATAATTTCAAAGAATTTATTATAAGAAAATGATAGGGTAAACAGATCTATGTCTACGCAGAGTTAACTGGATTATCATATACTAAATACTTGAATAAAGTGATTTATAACCTCTCTTAAAACTTTTATTTCTATTCAAATAAAGAATGAATAAAATTTCATATAGTTATTAAATCTAATATCAAATAAAATACATAATATATAAAATTAAAAAGTGACAGTTAAACATCACTGAAAATGAAAATGTAAAAAAACATAGGCTAGCAAATCTAGTTTTAAAAATGTACTATAATAAATGTATACATAAGCATACACAAACCTGTACTAGATCTATCATCAGTAGCATATACTTTGATTAAACCCGTATTAAAAGGTGCCTGCTCCACAGTGTGTGTCCCATGACCACTATCCATGCTGCCATGACTAACAGCATCCAGGTCACTGCCATCTGCTTAAGAACACAATTTGACAGCATTTTACTACTCGAAGAGGTAAATACACATTAATTTGTTGCTCAAGCTAATAATCCACCAATGTAATACTGAACATGAAAAGTGCCACATACTTAGCAAAATACAACTATAACAAAGAAACCTATTGTGAGTTATTAATGAACACTAAAACACACACAAAGGTCGTCAGAAGTTGAAACATTTAAACAGAAGTGAAATCTGGTGGTTTTTAAATGGGAAGAGTAATATAATTTGCTTAATAAAACTAAAAACTAAAACATTCAATATTTTAAAACTATTTAAAATTTCTAAAAATGTAAACTGTAGCTAATCAATTAATTTTGAAGAACAAGTAAAACACATACATCCCTTACCTGAGAGAGTTGTTTGTGATAAGTGTGCATGCTTCTTTAAAGCTCTTTTGAACTGTGTTACTCCTAAAACAACATTTCTTACTTTTGTCCAAAGAAAATAGCCACTACGACTTCTTGAAGGCCAGGTACTTTCCAAAACAGCCTATTCATTCAACAAAATAAAATAATTAGTAAAATAATTTTTATAAGTGAACATATATTGGTTTCAGAATTAAGCTAAAGAATATCAAAGTAGGCCAGGAGTGGTGGCTCATGCCTGTAATCCCAGCAATTTGGGAGGCTGAGGCAGGTGGATCACTTGAGCCCAGGAATTCAAGACCAGCCTGGGCAACAAGGTGAAACCCCACCTCTCCAAAAAATATGAAAATTAGCCAGGCATGGTGGCACATGCCTGTAGTCCCAGCTACTCAGGAGGCTCAGGTGGGAAGATCAATTGAGCCTGGGAGGTCAAGGCTACAGTGAACCATGATTGTGCCACTGCACTCTAGCCTGGCGCTAGAGTCTCACAGAGTGAGACCCTGTTTCAAAGAAAGAAAAAATCAAAGTAGATTGTATAACATAAAAGAGAACTAAAGTCTTCCTTGATTGACAAAATGTATTTTATATACTCTAAAATAAATGCCAAATAACCCCCTGCATAAATTATTTCTGCCATTAATGTTGCATAATGACAAAAGTAATACTCTTTATCCATTAAACCAAGGTATTTACCTTATTATAATAACCATAAGTAATGGCATTGGGGTCAATACCAGCTTTCTGCATTTCAAAAAGCACTCGAACTGCAAGCACTGGCTGATCATATTGTCCACAGAGTTGCATAAGAATGCGGTAGCATACCTGAAATACAAGTTCAAAATTGTACCGAAACACAGATGTCACCATGTACATAAATCTAGAATAAAATAATGCATTTTAAACAATAATTGTGGCAGGGCACAGTGGCTCATGCCTGTAATTCCAACATTTTGGGAGGGCAAGGCAGGTGAAGCTCTGGAGCCCAGGAGCTTCTGACTAACCTAGACCACATAGTGAGACTCTGTCTCTACAAAAAAATTAAAAAATTAGCCAGGCGTGGTGGCACATGACTGTAGTCACAGCTATCTGGGAGGCTAAAATGGGAGGATTGCATCTCTTGAGCTCAAGAGGTTAAGACTGCAGTGAGCCATGACTGCATCACTGCACTCCAGCCTGGGTGACAGAGTGAGACCCCATCTCAAAAAAATAAAATAACAACAATAAAATAATTGTTACCTCATCAGGTGGATCCATCTTCTTTGACTGCATTTTTTTAAGCACATCATATGCTGTTTTCAGAGCCCTGACTTTTGAATGACAGACTTTCACATAAGCTGGGAGACAAATAAACCACAGTCCATAACAGTGGCGCAGTAGACACCTAGACCACATCTGAGGGATGGAAGAGTACCTCTTTGCAATTTTATGGGCTGATTTAATTTCCTGGAAAAAATATAAAGATCTTACTAATAAATTTATGCACTTAGGCATCTTTATTTAACTGAGTGCTAAACAAGTACAAGTCACATGCTTTTATAATGTTTCCATAACAAAATATGTCTGTAATTAATGCGTTTTCAAGTTTCTTTTTGAATCTGTATTAAACAGCATATAAAATAAAGTTCTAGGACAAGAGAACTAGTTAATTTCTTGAAGTCAGATTGCTCCATCTTCACAGTGCTTTGGTGAACATAATAATCTAGTAATAGTTATATATGAAGTGATAAAGCATATTACGGGAGGATAAATATCCAATTTATTTCTTGTTCTAAAATTTGATTACATGAAGAATGTGATAAAGTACCTGTTTTGTTCTTCTGAACATGGGCAAAGGGCTATTAGGACTACTTGATTTTGAAGGCAATTTGTTCTTCTTTGCTTGTAGAAATCCTTCAGGTCTTTCAAATAAATTGTTCCTAAGAACTGGAAATCCATTATAGCTGTTTTAGAAAAAACAAAACAAAACAAAAAAGAGTTCTCAAGCACACATAGATGATCATAGTGGTTACAGGTTAATATAATTACGACCAATAACTTCTTCACATAGAATTTAACTATCTTTCTTTGTCAGGCTGTGATATACACTCAACAAATATTCATGCTAATGTTGCTCTTCTTACTATAATTAGAAATGTAATAGCCAAATTCAGACTCAAGTTAGTTTTTGAGGAAAAGGGAAAAACATAAATGAACATGACATCCAACTCCAAGGTAACTTTAGCAAACTTTTAAAAGTTAGTACTCTTGTTAATACATAGCAAACATATTAGATAATATGACAGTTGGTAAAAGGCCTACCAAATTAAGACTCTTTCAAAAAGGGCAATCATTAATGTCATTGCTTTGGATTAACATATTTACTGTTGAACCTCCCTTCTTAGAAAGATGCAAATAACAACCTTAGGTTTAGCATATTAGCACACCAGGCCTTGCTCTCACATTCTCATGAATTGGTTTGTCAGGTTAGCTAGTGGGTTCAGGGCATCATTTATGAGAAAGAAAATTGAGAAGGCTAAATAAGAGGAAGAAAAGGTTAGAATAGGTGCTCTATTAGGAGGTAAACCTAATAAGGGTGCGAGACCAAGATGCTCTGGACATTTCAAAGCTAGCAGCTAGGCTGGGTGCAGTTAGTGCATGCCTATAATCCCAGTTACTCAGGAAACTAAGGCAGGAGGACTGCCTGAGCCCAGGAATTCAAGGCTGTAGTGCACTACGGTTCTGCCAGTGAACAGCCACTGCACTCTAGCCTGGACAACATAGTGAAACTTCATTAATAAATAAGTAAATAAGTGAAAGGCAGCAGTTAGGAAAAAGATATGCTGAAAGAAACCAAAGCAGCCCCCTGAGCAATACACTTAACCTGTTTAAGAATACTATGTAATATTTTCTTAAAAGCACATAGTTTTAATTAAGAAGAAACCTAACTATAATAAAAGAGGGTAGACAATATTTTTTACACATTACTATAGTCAAATTCCATAGAATAAGAAAATATTAGTAATGATTCAATGTTGAGTAGGAAACAGCAAAGAAATCCAGGAAAACCATGCCCCTTAAAAAATTCATTGTATGTATATGATGAGATAATAAGACCATTTTGTGTGTCTTATTTCAAATGCCTCATTATTTTACAAAGACAATGTAAGTTTATGAGTAATCTCTTATGAGGCAGACTCTGTGCTCATTAAGGACATTTACGGTGTTTTCCCAATTATGGTAATGATTATACCAAAATTATATTGGTAGTCTGAAGAAAAAAACCGACAGATTCTTAAAAAACAGAAACGTCTTCAGATAAGTAATTTTCTTATTATTTTATTTTTTGATTTATGTCTGTTCCATCGCCCAAGCTGGAGTGCAGTAGCTCAATGATGGCTCACTGCAGTCTCAACCTCCCAGGCTCAAGTGATCCTTCCACCTCAGCCTCCTGAGTAGCTGGGACCACAGGTGTGCAGCACCACGCCCAGCTATTTTTAAAAAATTATTTATAGAGATAAGGTCTTGCTATGTTGCACAGGCTGAAATAATGTGGTTTTTTTGGAGATAGAGTCTCGTTCTGTCACGCAGGCTGGAGTGCAGTGGCACGATCTCGGCTCACTGCAACCTCCACCTCCCCGGTTCAAGAAATTGTCCTGCCTCGGCCTCCCAAGCAGCTGGGATTACAGGCACCTGCAACCATGCCTAGCTAATTTTTGTATTTTTAGCAGAGACAGGGTTTTCACCATGTTGGCCAGGTTGGTCTCGAACTCCTGACCTCAAGTGATCCGCCCACCTCAGCCTCCCAAAGTGCTGGGATTACAGGCATAAGCCACCGCGTCTGGCCAAATTTTCTTAGAGTTAAAGGACTAAATCTAAAAATAAAATTTAAATTAAAAAGTTAAAACCAAACCACAGAAACACAAAACTCGAAGTGACACATACCAAAAGACAAATAAGCATAAAGTACAAAAGAGATTAAAAAATGAGAACTTGTTTAGAAAGACAAAGAGAGGAAGAGAGAAATTAAGAGAAATATTTTAAATATCTTTGACAGAAGACATTTAAAAAGTGATACAAACATCATCATCACTGGATGAAAAGAGTAGAAATCAAGTGGTCTCTGATTAATCAACATTCATAAACATCTATCACACCACTTTTTCATCTGTAAAAGGAAGAATTTAATCCAAGTCATAAACAAAGATGTCATTGAAAAATCCTTTTTCAATGAAAATAACAAACCATGATTCAATGGGTGATAGATGTGAAATGGTTTTTAGAATCTTTAAACAAAGTAAGAAAATATTATTGGAGAATTAAGAAATCTTTTAAACTCTAAAAGAAACTACAATTTTAAGTAAAAATAAATGCATATTGGGAACTAAATAATGCATTCACCTCTATCATAGCCCTTATTTTACTGTGCTCAGGACTTTTCTCTCTTCTTCACTAGACTTGAAGGCAGGGACAATATATCGTTTAAGTCTGTATACTTAGCACAGTGTCTAACCAAATTCCCTAAATTAACAATGATCAATTCTAATAATTCTGAATTTCCATGACTTAAAACTCATGAAAAAAATTAGTAACTTAAAAAATTATATCGTACAAATCAAGGCCACGAAGATTGGCTCTAAATTAGATTTAATCTTTTTGTAAACCAAGGCTATATTAATCAATCTGTGTATGAGATGAAAAGAGGAATTGAAAGTGAGGAAACCAGCTTTAACGAAAAAAAAATCAAAATTCTAGTGCTGCATTTGGTGTGGGGAGTCTAACTGAATGTAATCAACATTTACAAGGAGAGATACTTATGCAGACATCATTAGAGAGCTTCCCAAGTCTATATTATGCAAAATTATATATGTTTTCTTTTTATACCTCAAAGCTTAATAATGGATGTGGGATAAGCTTGCTTACCACCTAAAAATTAGGGATCTGTAAAGTTTGGATTTTTGAAAATACCACAGTCCTTAGAAAGCTACGTCACAGATGATGGATTGCTTCTCTCTTTCAATCTCAAACATTCTGCCTCTTGAATACCTGTACTGTAAAGGGGGTTCTTCACCATTGGGTAGGTGGGGGATCTCAGGTGGTGTTACAAAAACAGTGTGTTCACTTTTGAAAGATTCATCCAGTTCTATAAGTCGTACTTCACCGCTCTTGTCCATATCCACCTAAAGGAGTTTTAAAAACATATATTAAAAAAGCCACATTGGTTAGCCAAGTGTTCATATAAAGGGAAGTGGTTAAATAAACCATCTGCACAATGGATACTAAACAGCTATTAAAAAAGAAGAGTGAGCAAGTTCTCTATGAGTGCCAAAATAATTAAGTGAAAATAGCAAAGTGCAAACTGTAAATAGTATATTACCTTTTGAATAAGAAAAGGGGAAAATAACACACACACACACACACACACACACACACACACACACACACACACACATATATATATATATTTTTTTTTGAGACAGTCTTGCTCTATCGCCAGGATGGAGTGCAGTGGCACGATCTCAGCTCACTGCAACCTCTGCCTCCCGGTTCAAGTGATTCTCCTGCCTCAGCCTCCCAAGTAGCTGGGACTACAGGCGTGTGCCACCATGCCCAGCTAATTTTTGTATTTTTAGTAGAGACGGGGTTTCACCATGTTGGCCAGGACGGTCTCGATCTCTTGACCTTGTGATCTGCCCGCCTTGGCCTCCCAAAGTGCTGGGATTACAGGCGTGAGCCACAGCGCCCGGCCTTTCATTTTTGCTTATATTTACATAAAGAAATACTAGAAGGATACTAAGAAAAGTACCTATATGAGGAAGAGGAAAGGAATAGGGTAGACAAGGATGGAATAGGACCCAGATGAATACATACCTTTTTATATTTGAATATACCTTTTTATATGCAAATGTTTTGCATTTGAATCATGAGACTGTAATCAAGAAATAATATTTTTTAAATCCACGTACATGTGTGTCTGTGTGATAAGAATAGTGAATTCTATATATTTTTAAAATTTATACTAAATATAACAAATTTCCCTAAGCTCTTTCAGCATATGTAGACGTATATTTGAGTTAAACTCTAGTCACATCAATATCGAAAGCACTTTGGTAGTACTATTTCCACTAGATACTCGATAGCAAGGTAATATCCAGAAAAAATGAAAACTTCATAGAACCTAAACTGCCCCACAAGAGCTCATAAACTAAAAAGAATAATATTGATATTAATAAAAAAGGATGTTATACATATGACAAAACACATTTCACAGAACTTTATTAGGTTAGAAATATCACATACCATGTGGATTAAGTGGAAGAGCAAGAATTATTAAGTAGTTAAACCTTTAAGATAAGGACTTAGGGCAGAGTATACCAAAAAAGAACAGAGATGAGTTTTAAAAATTTTCTAACACTTAAAGGAACCAATACATTCAAAAATCTTCTTATATAAATTATTGATTATAATTTCACAGCATTATATGCTATACTCTCTTGGATTAAATAATGTTTTTAATGGTATATCCATACAGTGAACTAGACAAAAATTAGGACACGATTCAGAATTATAATAATGAGAAAAACATTTACAAAATAACAATAAATGAGAAAAGAATCAGACTACTAAATCGTATACATATTATGATTTTTTTTTTTTTTTGAGACAGAGTCTTGCTCTGTCACCTAGGCTGGAGTGCATGGTGCAATTTTGGCTCACCAGCACCACCGCCTCCCAGGTTCAAGCAATTCTCATGCCAAAGCCTCCCAAGTAGCTGGGACTACAAGTGCGTGCCACCACACCCAGCTAATTTTTATATTTTTAGTAGTGACAGGGTTTTACCATGTTGGCCAGGCTGGTCAGGAGCTCCTGACCTTAGGTGATCCGCCTGCCTTGGCCTCCCAAAGTGCTGGGATTACAGGCATGAGCCACAGTACCCAGCCTATATATTATGATTCTTAATGTTTTTTTTGAGACAGGGTCTTGCTCTGTTGCCCAGGCTAAAATGCCATGATGCAATCACAGCTTGCTGCAACCTCAAACTCCTAGGCTCAAGTGATCCTCCTGCCTTAGTCTCTCAAGTAGCTGGGACTACAGGCACATGCCACCACACCCAGCTAATTTTTCTTTCTTTCTTTTTTTTTGGTAGAGATGGGGTCTTGCTATGTTGCCCAGACTGGTCTGGAACTCCTGGCCTCAAAGCAATCCTTCTGCCTCAGCCTCCCAAAAATGTTGAGATTACAGGAATGAGCCACCATGCTCAGCAAATGTTTATTTATTTAATAGTTCTCACTCTTTTTTTTAGCAGCTTCTCCCTCTCCATATTGGTGCCTACTTTCCATTCTCTAGCCATATTGTTCTCATAGAAAAGTGTGGGGTCCAGGACAACTGCTCTAGTTTTCGGTAAAGTCTATACAAATATTAAAATTTTGCACTGTAGACTCAATAGCTTGGTAAAAGATACTTCCTTCTACTTATATACCAATAAAATCTCATTTTAACATTATAAAAATAGCCGTGCAATAAATCCTACATTTATCAGTTGGACATCTCTGTCTTTTGGAAAGCATGGTGACATCTGTCTCTATCGAGAGAAAAAGAAATCCAACACCCACAGCAGGATAAAATTAAAATAATTTTCATATTCTCTTCATATTTTCCCACAAGACATTAATATGCTCAGAAAACACTGGAAAGGGATTCTTGGGAAACCAAGAAAAAATCTTACCAGACTATTTGTTACACAAAACTGCCTTTAGTTAAGCACCATCCCACAGGAACAGATTGTAAGGATTTAAAATATAATCATATGAAGAACAAGAACACATGGTTCTTAAATTAGTCATAAATGAAACTCACATAATTCTCATATATTGTTTTTCTTATTTCTATTCAGTATTACCCGCTCCAGCTTTTTAAAGTCGGTCAAGTGTTTTGTTTGGATATGCTAAGATCAAAAGAGTTAATATACCATGTGAGAATAAGTGAATAACAGTATCACACGTCTAATTTTTGTTCAATAGTAGTCATGAACCATATGAGACAGTTAACGTATATTTAATGTTATTTATTTTCTATAGCTAAACTGCCAGAGGTAAGAGGATTTGTTCACTTAAAAACTTAAGCTCAAAGTTACTCAACTAAGGAATAACCCTCACAAAAATTATTCTTTTTAAAGTGTTACTGATATTCAGAAAACATATGCAGATGAATAGTAAGCACTGATTTTTTGTGAGTCACTTACTATGGTATCAAAACATGAAAGGTAGTAACAGCATTGTATAATTATTTACATTTCAGAGAGTTCTGGCTAATAACACCACCAGGGATACAATTAACCTCTGCTCTAACTACATATGAACTTTATTAAGATACATTTTGAGCCGGGCACGGCGGCTCATGCCTGTAATCCCAGCACTTTGGGAGGTCGAGATGGGCGGATCACCTGAGGTCGGGAGTTTGAGACCAACCTGACCAACATGGAGAAACTAAAAACACAAAATTAGCCAGGTGTGGTGGCACACGCCTGTAATCCCAGCTACTCGGGAAGCTAAGGCAGGAGAACTGCTTGAACCCAGGAGACGGAGGTTGCGGTGAGCCAAGATCATGCCATTGCACTCCAGCCTGGGCAACAAGAGCAAAAACTCCATCTCAAAAAAAAAAAAAAAAAAAAAAAAATATATATATATATATATATATAATCTCGTGACACTTTATTTTCTCTAATAAGTCTCTTGAATTATAACAAAGCAAATACAAGTAATTATGTTTTAATGCATTAATTTTCAGTTTTGATTTTCTGAGTAGTCATTAAAATCTTTAAGTATAATGTTAATTCATATATATAAGTGATCTTTTGTTGGATCTAGATTTTGAATAGATAAATAACATTTTAGGAAAATAGTCTACCTAGAAACAATGATTATACATTTAATAGAATTTTCTTTTTCGAGACTTCTCAGAATTCATAATCTTTAAGCAATGATTCCAGTCACCTTCTGCATGGACTACCATCACATAAACAACAGGTGGCCTACAGAAAATCCTAGACAACATAATGTATTAACCATGAGTACTAAGATATGCTCCTTAGGACGTAATACCCTAGTTAGCAAAATTACAAATCTTGTATATCTTAGATATTAATATTTCTTTAAATCATGTGACTTAGCTAGGAATCCTGAGTTCTTAGCTAAAACAGAAACTTGTGAATGGGATACATAAAATAGGCCAAAAATAAAAGGGAACAATATAAGACTTCTCTCTTCTCACTGTTATTTGGATTCTGACAACCAATTCAGTGTTCTCATGTGGATTAATAAATTTATTGGCTAAAGCATGCTATTGGCAAAACCTTGGTTACCAATTTGGTCCCTTATGATTCAGTAAGGTTTGCACAAGGAACAATAGTTACACAAATGTATGCCACTGTTCGTAAGGGAAGCTCAGTGAGAACATATATACAACCAATGGAAGCCCAGCACCTGTGAGAAAATCATTCAAAGTTGGTAATGCCAGACAGAAACATCATCTTTATATACAAAAAAAAACCCACAATTGTTCCTATAAAAAAGAATGTAGAGGAATTATTTTTTAAAGCACACCTTTCTATTTATTGCCAATATTTAATTTTATAAGCACTGATATGGTTTGGATATGTGTCTATTCCAAATCTTATGTTGAAATGTAATCCCCAATGTTGGAGGTGGGGCCTGGTGGGAGGTGTTTGGGTCATGGGACAAATCCCTCATAGCTTGGTTCTGTCTTTGTGGTAGCAAGTGAGTTCTCTCGAGATCTGTTTTATTTAAGCATATGGCAGTTTCTACCACTCTCTCTTGTTCCAGCTCTGGCCATGTGACATGTTGGCTCCCTAGTGGCTCCCCGTGGCTTTCTGCCATAACTGTAGGTTTCTTGAGGTCTCACCAGAAGCAGATGCCAGCACCTCGCTTTCTATAAAGCCAGTAGAACTAGGGGCAAATTAAACCTCTTTTTTTTATTAGTTCTCCAGATGCAGGTATTTCTTTACGGCAACACAAGAAGGGCCTAACAGAAGTGCCAAATAAGGCAAACACAAAACTTTGCTTAAAATATTGAAAAACAAGTTCTTGGTATAATACTCAAATGAAGACAAAACTGTCAAAGAGCTATGACATTATCTCTTCAAAATAAACAGGTTTTCACCACGAGCAGGGGCCACTCCTATAAACCCAGCACTTCGGAAGACTACTACAAGAGGATCACTTAAGTCCAGGAGTTCAAGACCAACCTGGGCAACACAAGGAAACCCTGTCTCAACAAAAAATTAGCCAGGCATGATGGCATATGCCTGTGGTCCCAGCTACTCAGGAGACTGAGGTGAGAAATCACTTGGGCCCAGGAGGTCGAGTCTGCAGTAAGCTGAGATCGTGCCACAGCACTCCAGCCTGGGTGACAGAGAGAGGCCCTGCCTCAAAAATAAAAAATAATAAAGAAAAAAAACCAGGTTTTCAAAGCTTTATAGACCAGAACTCAACATACAAAATGCAGGGTTCCACAAGTCTGTTTGTAAGTAGGTTATTCAAAATGTAGAAAATAAATCTTCCCCCAAAACAATCTACTTTCTGGGGTGATGAAAATATTTGGAACTCATGGTTACATGGAAATACATATTTGTCAAAACTCATTAAACTTTGTACATCAATGGTGTATCTACTGTTTGTATATCTCAATAAATTTGATTTTTAAAAATGTCTTAAAAAGTGGTTAGCATATTATTCCACACACACACAAAATTAATACTTCGTTGTTGTTGGTTTTTGTTTAGAGACAGGGTCTCACTACGTTGCCCAGGCTAGACTCCAACTCCTGGGCTCCCCGCTCAGACTCTTGAGTAGCTGGTAGTAATTGCTCTAGGGATTAAAGGTGCACACCACCATGCCCAACTTATAAAAATTTAACACGTATTTATAGCAAAACACTGCTACCATTTGAAGTATGGCTAATCACCATTTATAACAGTGTTTCTATGGGAAAATGAATTGAGAATTTTAAGCAGGTAATGGCATGTATCCATCTTTTCCCTATTCCAAAGCATTTTCAAGAAAGAACTAGGGATGATATTTCTGGATACTTTGATTTGTTAATTCCCTAACAGCACCAGAAAGAGTATTTCTCTGTATCAATCATCCCTCAAGTGTTCTAAATTGAAGGAAAAGGTAGATGTCTACAAGGCTCTGAATGTGTTCCTGTTCATATGTACAAATCATTCAAAAATTGAACATTTCTGTTATGAAATGATAAACCAAATGAACCATTAATCTATAAACGTGAATAAAACCCAGTTAAAGGCAAAAACAGTCATAATATTTTCTTTTTAGTTTATACAACACTACTCTGAACGCTATGATAGGCAGCTATAATTATTTCTCCTCAAAACATTTTAAAAACATACATAAGAAAACAACATATAAAGACTAAATGACTAAAGTCACAAGTATAATAGTCAAGATTAAAGTACTTCTGATTCCCAATGTAGTATGTTTTTCCTAGTACACTATTTTCCTATTCATAGTGAGAATCACTTCTCATTTTTATATGACACATTTGGTACATATTTAACAATCAGTAAGGCCAATTTTATGTTAAACTAAGAACTGAACCAATTTATGAATATCAAGGGATGAGTTGTATTTTGGCTGTTGTGTTAAAAAAAAAACTCACTGATTTTCTTTCACAGTCACATAAATTTGAAAGTGATGGACTTCTTTAAATAATCTTAACGTTACAAATTGTTGTGATCATATATAATAAAGCTTTTATTTCTTCCTTTTTTCTATTATCATGGCCATAACATCATGGATACTATATACCTATTTAAATACAAATTTACAGGAAAATTTAAGCACAGTATAAGTAACTTCTTCCCTTAATCTTTGAGAGTAAGCTGCTGAGCTGATGACCCATCATCACCCCTGAATACTTTTATACTTCCTACAAAGACATTCTCCTACAGAAATACAATCATCTGGGAATTAACATTGATACATTATTACTGGAAATCAACACACTAATACATTACTACTACATACTCCTCAAACCACATTCAAGTTTTGTCGATTAACCTAATAATGTTATGCCAAAAGGATCTAGTTCTTAACTAAGCACTGCATTTGGTTGTCAAGTCTTCTTACTTCACTTTAGACAAGTTTCTTCTCCATTTTTACTTTATTTTCTTAACCTTAATACTTTCTAGATTACAGAATAAGTATTTTGTAGAATATCATTTAATATGTGTTTGGTATTTCCTTGAGATTATATAGGTCATACATTTTTGCAGGAATATTACAGAATTGATGTTGCATTCTCATTGTAACCTATTAGAGGAACACAATGTTGACTTGTCCCGTTACAGATGATGTTCATTTTGATAACTTGATTAAAACGGCATTTGCCAGGCTTTTCCACTATAAAGTTACTCTTTTCCCTTTTGTCATTAATATGCATTTTGTGGGAAGGTCCTTAATAACTATGTAAGATCCTGCTTCTCAGATGACTTTCAGTTGATTGATATCTGTGTACACTCATGGTTTCTTATTTTACTCAATGGGCTAATCTGTTACTAACATTTGATGCTCAAATTGTCCTAGATTTGCCTGTGGAAATCCCTTCAAATTGACTTCTGTGTGTGTATTTTGTTGTAACATGTCTCATCATTCTTAGAGCAATTCTTGGTTTTCTAGCACAAGATACTTTTGGGCTTATCGCCTAATAATGTCCTTGCCCTAAACCTGGGGCTGGCCATTTCTCTGAGTCCTGATTCTTTTAGTGGAGAATGGTATTTAGAAGTCAAAATCTATACATTAGGTGTGCTCATTGCTTTTGGGGTGTGGCTGCATCCAGGTCCTCTCAATGTACAGAGGTAGGGAATATATGTATATATACACACAGACACATATACTTACATCTACATTTATTTCTGTATCTATCATTGAAAACCAATGATATACAGCAAATCTCCAATTCTATTCCAACACTATGGGGTTCATTTTAGTTTTCTTCACTTCTGTATTTGTAAATCTCTTCTCTCAATAAGAAACTTTATTATCTTTGGCCGGGTGCAGTGGCTTATGTCTGTAATCCCAGCACTTTGGGAGGCCGAGGCGGGCAGATCACGAGGTCAGGAGATCAAGACCATCCTGGCTAACACAGTGAAACCCCATCTCTACTAAAAAAATACAAAAAAATAGCCGGGCATGGTGGCGGGTGCCTGTAGTCCCAGCTACTCGGGAGGCTGAGGCAGGAGAATGGTGTGAACCTGGGAGGCGGAGCTTGCAGTGAGCCAGGATCGCGCCACTGCACTCCAGCCTGGGTGACAGAGCGAGACTCCGTCTCAAAAAAAAAAACAAAAAAAAAACCCAAAAACTTTATTATCTTTAATATACTTATTTGATCAATCTCCCCCATATGTAACATTCTCCCATCTTCACCACCACCCCTCTCCCACACAGATGACTTCTTCACCTTAATGTGGTTTTGACAACCCCCTCCAGACCAAATCCTGCCCCACCATGCTGGCACCTCTCTCATCTATATGAAATTCTGACATCTCATTTGCTTCCCTTGCTATCCCCATGAGGACACTCTCCTCACCCTGCTCAGACTCTGACACTGCATGTTGTGCTCACCTTTGTATGAATGCTCTTCTCATCCTGTTTAGGTTCTGACACCCTGTAGCAGTCTGCCCCTGAACATGGATACCCTCTTTAAACTGCCTGTCCTCTGATTCTCCATGTTAGACCATGCCTCTCCAGGAATACTCTCCTTACCTGGCTTGGGCTCTGACATTCCAGCTAGGCTGTTCCTCTCTCTCCACCCTATTTAGGTTTTGAAACCCCTCTCTGGACTACCATCCTACTACCTCCTCTCTCTCCAGCATGAATACCTGCCTTGCTCTGTCCTACCTAATGATATTAGGACTGAAGGGAAAGGTTTCATACATAAATTTAAAATTACAGAACTAATTAATTTAAGCTACGAACTCATTCGCAATTGTAGAAATATTCAGGTAAAACATTTATTATACTTTCACACCTACTTTCAGCATGTGATAACCCATATCAGACAAAAAGGAGAGGTGAAAATCACAGACGTTCAAGTTGGAGGTGCACAGGCTGGCAAAAAATTCCTGGTTTTGTAAGTGGACAGGGAGGGTTAGGACTTGATTGCTACAATAAAACTTATGATTACAATTACCTTGTAGTAAAATTCTACAAGGTAATTGTAAGAGGTGCATTCTATAATTTCTAGCAGGCTACCAAAACTTTCATTTAAGTGGTCAACGATGAAAATGAAATTAATTTCAATTTCATTAAAAGCTGTACATAGAAACTATAACTCATAACATTTATAACAGTCACACAAAATAAGTTAGGGCATTGTAGATGTACTGTTACTTACTTTATCTACACAATCATCAAAAAATGCCAGGCTTGCATCTTTGTCACTAACAAAAGAACATTCTTCAATGAAGCGAATAAACATTTGTGTTTTGGTCATCATGTTATAGAATTTTTGATGTGACCGGTCCCGGCTTCTTAAGAAAGCTGTTCAACAAAAATATATAATGTCAGAATACATAATATCATTCATAGATTCACAGAATATTTGCACTAGAAAGAATCTGAACAACCATGTCATCTATACCTCCCACACCACTACCATTTCGCAAGTGCTGAGAGGGAAAATGACCTGACAAAGAAATAGGAGAATAGTAATAAAGGAACATAAACCCAGATCTCTCAAATCTTCATCCAGAACTGTCTCCACTGTTCTCTCACCATCTTAAAGATTATAAACTAGTATATTTGAAAATTGCTCTCTTTTCCCCTAAAAGCTTTGCATATTATGTGCACATACTTGCTCTCACACTCTCTCCATATAAATATATATATCATATATATATAAATGGCTTTCTCAAAGCAGCAGTAACATTCCCTCGTATTCATTCATGTTTGTGTCTTACTTATTGAAAACAGAGAAAAGGTTTATTTCCTGATTCACCTTACTAATTATGCTCAGTTACACTGCACTTGGGCCTTCTTTCAGGCCCAGGAATTCAAGCTCTTTCCAGTCTCAGGGACTGTGTAAACTGTTCTCTCTGCGTAAAACACTCTCCTACTTTACCTTTGTCTGGCTAATTTCTTTCTTTTTTTTTTCTTTTATTTTTCTTTTATTATTATTATACTTTAAGTTTTAGGGTACATGTGCACAATGTGCAGGTTTGTTACATATGTATACATGTGCCATGTTGGTGTGCTGCACCCATTAACTCATCATTTAACATTAGGTATATCTCCTAATGCTATCCCTCCCCCCTCCCCCCACCCCACAACAGTCCCCAGAGTGTGATGTTCCCCTTCCTGTGTCCATGTGTTCTCATTGTTCAATTCCCACCTATGAGTGAGAACATGCGGTGTTTGGTTTTTTGTCCTTGCAACAGTTTACTGAGAATGATGATTTGCAATTTCATCCATGTCCCTACAAAGGACATGAACTCATCATTTTTTATGGCTGCATGGTACTCCATGGTATATACGTGCCACATTTTCTTAATCCAGTCTATCATTGTTGGACATTTGGGTTGGTTCCAAGTCTTTGTTATTGTGAATAGTGCCGCAATAAACATACGTGTGCATGTGTCTTTATAGCAGCATGATTTATAGTCCTTTGGGTATATACCCAGTAATGGGATGGCTGGGTCAAATGGTATTTCCAGTTCTAGATCCCTGAGGAATCGCCACACTGACTTCCACAATGGTTGAACTAGTTTACAGTCCCACCAACAGTGTAAAAGTGTTCCTATTTCTCCACATCCTCTCCAGCACCTGTTGTTTCCTGACTTTTTAATGATTGCCATTCTAACTGGCGTGAGATGGTATCTCATTGTGGTTTCGATTTGCATTGTCTGGCTAATTTCTACTCATCTTTCAGATCATGGATCAGATGTTACTTCTTCAGAAAAGCCTTCCGTGATATGAGGTTGTGAACTGAAGTTGTTCACTCTTTATTTCCAATTGCCTATCCTCTTGATTATAAGCTCTCTGAGAGAAATAACCATGTCTCTCATCTTTTACTTTTTTTTTTGGCCATGTCTCTTTTGCATACCACTATATATCCAATGCCTAGCATTCGGAGGTACTCAATATATACTTATTAAATGGATTTCTCTTTCAAATGTTAAATACTACAAAAGAAAGTAAATATGTATTATAAAACCGGTTGCACTCCAGAACTTCCCAACTTTTTTTACTTCATGGCACAGATAGGAAATATTTGTAAATATTTGTAAAGTACATAATATTTGAAAATATTTGTAAAGTATACTGAAATAAAACAAATGAGGTTATTCAAGCCTGGAGGTGACCATCTCAGGGGTTCCTCTTATCCCCAACACTGCCTGCTGCTCTGAAAGCTGAAAGTATCAGTATCTCAACACACATGTGACACAAAAGTGTAGTCGGTATATGGTTGGGAGGCTCTATACTTTTCTTCTGCATATCTGCTAATGGGATTATATCTAATATGCCTGAAAAATAACTAGTCCTATGGAAATGGGTAACCAACAAAGCTAGTATTCAGATTCTCCTCAAAATAGGTATGTATTCTCATAAATATGAGCTATTAATACAGACAGCAAATGAATCATCACAAAGTTAAGCTCAATAACCTGAAAGCTTTAAAACTATGCAGTCACTCACCTTGTAGGGCAAAGAGAGAGGCTGCATCTGTGGCTGTCTCAGATGGGGCTTGTGTTATTGGCCTTAAGTATGATCTGTAACCTTTTAAAATAGAGGCCATGAAAAACAAAAATGCCTCTTGGATTTCCAAATCTATCATGTGCAACCTCTTTCCAGAATTAAAATCATAGTCATTTATTGCTAAATCCATGAGTCCATCATCTCTCGGTCTCTGCTGCACTGTGAAGACATACAGTGTTAGTGTTTTCTCCAAACTCACAAAACACTCATGATGGTACCAATATAATTTTGTTGTATTTTCAAAAGGACCCAAGCTACCTCAACTCTTTGTTTACATAACTTAATCATACGTAAACCTTAGCAAAGCTTGCCATAGCATTTTGTAGTCTCCGTTGAGTAAATTTTATCCAAATTAAACACAAAGCTACCCGTTTATCTCACTACCACCAGGAAAAAAAAAGCTCAGGTCGGTCATGGTAGCTCATGCGTGCAATCCTAGACCAAGGCAGGAGGATCACTTGAGGCTAGGAGTTCAAGACTAGCCTGGGCAACATAAGAGAGATTCTGTCTTTACAAAATTTTTTTTAAGTTCATGTTCTAAAATAACTATATATAAGTTAATAATGATTGTAACCGAGAAGGCAATAGAATATAAGAAAGCTGTTCAACATAAATATATATCACTCATAGGCTCACCAAGTATTGGCATTGTTCAGAAAGAATCTGAACAACCATGTCATCTATACCTCCCACACCACTACTATTTTGCACATGCCCTGAGAGGGGAAATGACCTGACATACGAATAAGGAGAATAATAAAAAAGGAACATAAACCCAGATCTCTCAAATCTTCATACAGAATTGTCTCCATTGTTCTCTCACCATCAAGTGATTATGGTGAGATTATACATAAACTAGTACATTTGAAAATATTTCAAAAACTGCCCCCCTTTCCCTCAAAAGTTTTGCATGTTTTTTTTCCTTTTTTTTTTTTTTTTTTTTTTTTTTTTTGGTTTTTTGAGACAGAGTCTTGGTCTGTCACCCAGGCTGGAGTACAGTGGCACGATCTCAGCTTACTGCAGCCCCTACCTCCCGGGCTCCAGAGATTCTCCTGCCTCAGCCTCCTTGGTAGCTGGGATTACAGGTGCCCATCACCACGCCCAGCTAATTTTTGTATTTTTAGTAGAGACGGGGTTTCACCGTGTTGGCGAGGCTAGTCTCGAACTCCTGACCTCAGGTGATCCGCCTACCTTGGCCTCCCAAAGTGCTGGGATTATAGGCATGAGGCACCATGCCCAGCCACTTTGCATGTTATGTGCACATACTTGCTCTCACACTCTTTCCATATGAATATATATAAAACATACATATTTTATATAATACATATATATGTCTTTTTCAAAGTGGCAGTGACATTCCCTCTTGTATTCATTCATGTTTTTGTCTTACATATTGAAAACAGACTTTTAAAAAAAGGGAAAGAAGAACTATTGCATTTACCCTGTGCAAACTGAGTGCAGGGCAAATGCAACAGTTCTTCTTTCCCTTTTTTTTTTTTTTAATATAAGTACCTGCAGGAAGAACACACAAGGATTAAAATATAAAAAACAATTCTTCTTCCTGGACAATTCAATGCTAAAGCCATTAGATAGTAAACATGTAATTTTATAGTAGAGAAGTCTAGTAGACACCACCTTAATCAAGTGATCGAAGTGAATATCTTCATCAATAATGGGACAAAGCAAAATAGTGTGCGATCTGATATAAGGACGCAATGAGAGAGACACAGCATCACTTCTGTGATATTCCTGTCAAAGATGTGTGACCTGGGCCGGGTGCAGTGGCTCACATCTGTAATCCTAGCACTTTAGGAGGCTGCAGTGGGAGGATCACTTGAGCCCAGAAGTTCAAGACCAGCATGGCAATATAGTGAGATCCCATCTCTACAGAATTTTTTTTTTTTTTAATTAGCTGGGTGTGATAGCTTGTGTCTGTAGTCCCAGCTTCTCAGGAGGCTGAGATGGGAGGATCACTTGAGCCTGGGAGCTTGTGGCTGCCATAAACCGTGATCGCGCCACTGCACTCCAGCCTGGGTGACACAGTGAGACACCCTGTCTCAAAAAAAAGAAAATAGATGGGTGGCCTGTATTTATTATGAGAATGCTCAGACAAACCCACACCATGGACAATTCTACAATGGTAAGTATAATCTTCAAAGATGGCAGAGAATCTGAGGAACTGTTCAGAAGGAAAGGCAAATAAAGAGACTTGAAACTACATACAACACCTGATTTGGAACTGGATCCTTTTGTTATAAAGAACATTAAGATGATAACTGGCAAAACCTGAATGTGGTCTGAGGATTAGGACAGCAGTAATTCTCAATGTTAATTTTCTGATTTTTATGGTTACATTGTAGTGATGTCAAAGAATGTACTGGGTAGGAAATACATTCTATTCAAATGTCATGAAGCATCTAATGTCAAAGGGTCAGGAAAAAAGTTTGTTATTACTTCAAAATTTTAAAATATAAGGAACAATTAATCGTCTTCGAGAGTTTTTGGAGGAGTTCTTATTGTCTAAAAAAGTGAAAATACTGGAAGAACGTAAGGCATTGGAACCAGAAAGCCTAGGATTTTTTTTTTTTTTTTGAGATGGAGTCTCACTCTGTCTCCCAGGCTGGAGTGCAGTGGCACAATCTTGGTTCACTGCAACCTTTGCCTCCCAGGTTCAAGCTATTCTCCAGCCTCAGCCTCCCAAGTAGCTGGGACAACAAGCGTGCACCACCACATCCGGGTAATTTTTGTATTTTTAGTAGAGACGGGGTTTTACTATGTCGGCCAGGCTGGTCTCGAACTCCTGACCTCAGGTGATCCACCTGCCTCGGCCTCCCAAAGTGCTGGGATTACAGGTATGAGCCACTACGCCCAGTCAAGAAAGCCTAGGTTTTAATCCCAGCTTCATCCTTGTTAACTGTATGATCTGTGAGAAGCTACTATACGCCTCCTTCAATCTCATTCTCATAGCTGTAACGTAAAAGAATGTATGTGAATGTGCTCTGAAGCTATAAAGCGTTAGAGTCCTTAATTATCAGTATTATTTAAATGTTTGTAGTTTTAACCTTTGAGATTCTGCCTTTCACAAAAGTTGAATGGGCTGTTTCATTGATTATATATATATATATATATATATATATATATATATTTGTACTTTTTGCAGAGACAAGGTTTCAGCATGTTGCCCAGGATGGTCTCAAACTGCTGGACTCAAGCGATCTCCCTGCCTCAGCCTCCCAAAGTGCTGGGATTACAGGCCTGAGCCACCCTGCCCAGCCAATGTTAATAATATTTGAATATTGCTACAATAGCTGTTGGGCTTCTTAGCTATTCAAAAGAAGTGCAAACACTTTTAGAAAGCAATTAACTAGGTAACAAATGATATTACATGCATGATTTATTTGTTCCATAAGGCAAAATTTTGTTACGTTTTATGTAATTTGTTTAATATCCCAATACTTATGAGCTACTTTGGAATCATCTACTTGTTATGAAGTGTACTTTGTAAATACTGTTTTTATCCATGTCTATTTCCAACTACACTATACACTATGATGAATCCTCAAGGGTGTAGGCTACCTCCTATGCTTATGTTGTACCTAAACATAAATGTGTATTACATAAATGGGTCATCTGCTATAATACCAAGAAGATCAGATAAAGAAATGAAGGTTTAATTTTCCTTAACAGTAGAAAAGAGCATGGTGATAAAGCATTGCGAGGCATTTGGACTTAAAGATAGCTTTAATGACTCCACTTAAAAAAAAAAAAAAAAAAGAAAGAGAAAGACGACGTCTCACTCTGTCACCAAGGATGGAGTGCAGTGGCATGATCACGGCTCACTGCAGTCTTAACTCCCAGGCTCAAGTGGTCCTCCCGCGTGGTCCTCCTGCCTCAGCCTCCCAAGCAGTTGAGACTACAGCTACATCTTAAGGAGTCAAATACTGCTATACCACTATTGACTGTACTTTATATAATAAGTATTAAGTTATGGATTCTGAATGGGTCATCTGCTATAATACCAACAAGATTAGATAAAGAAATGAAGGTTTAATTTTCCTTATCAGTAATTCTGGACAAGTCAAGATATATTCTCATATAAGCTTTTTAAATAGAAATATTCCATATCCTAATCAATTTTCATTTTGATTAATTTCTTAATGCTATTGGCAAACTTCGATTTTCAAACTTTAAGATAGGCACACAGAAAAATAAAAAACATTTTTAAAAGATAAGCACAGCATTAAGATCCACTGAAGGTGAAAAGCTCTTACCCCACTGATACCATCAGCATTTTCTAATGTAGTTTACATCATTTGTCTTCGATTTTCAAAACTAACTTTCTATTCTGTGTATGAAAAAAATAGGCCAGGCATGGTGGCTCATGCCCGTAATCCCAGCACTTTGAGAAGTCGAAGAGGGAGAACTGCTTGAGCCCAGGACAACATGGTAAGACCCTGTCTCTGTAACAAATTAAAAAATTAGCCAGGCGTAGTGCCTCATTGTGTCTGTAGTCCCAGCTACTCAAGAGGCTGAAGTGGGAAGACTACTTGAGCCCAGGAGGTCAAGGCTGTAGTGGGCCATGTTTGTGCCACACACTATAACCTGGGTGACAAAGCAAGACCGTGTCTCAAAAGAGAAAAAAAAAACAATATAAAGGTGGAACCCCACATTTTTTCCATGGTATTTCAGTAACGGTAAAATAAACCACCTTAACATCCTTTTGAATTTTATTATTTTAAGATGGTTCTATAAAAATTTGGTAGATATAATATACATATTTTGCATTCCAGCCTGGCAACAGAGCGAGACTCCGTCTCGAAAAAAAAAAAAATACACATTTTATAAATCTCTCATTCATCTTCTAACAAATTTTGCTTTAATGATCATCTGCCTTTAAAATGGTAAAACCGCTTTCTGCTAGATAAACATTATTCTTTTATAAGTAAGGCAAAGTAATTGGAGTCCCTTTTTCAGATTAAATTACCTCCTTTAATTAAGTTATCCACTTACATTTTGCCAATTGCTGATGCAAATTATTCAGTGTGTTCATCAGATTTTTACATGGCTTCTTTGGAAGTATCTTCCAGGCTACATTTTTCTTGTCACCAATTCTAAGATTAAATAACAACAGGAATATATTTGTTACATGGTCTTTTGGAGGGGAAAGGTATATATCTGTTATATATAAAAACGGGAAAAGATTAAACACCTTGAATGAAAAATGAAAAACAAAATATTTGCATTAACAAGAGAAAAATCCTACAGGGGTAAATTGGCATGTTGAATATACAAAAATTAATTTGTATGAGGGTAGAACCTTGTATTAAATATAGTTCACAAGTTTATATTTATACTGAGTAAATTCCAGTTGCTTTGGAATCTTGCTAATCACCATAAAGCTTAATGTGGTGATCTTTACTCTTAATCTCCATTTAAGTGTGCTTAGACACCTAAATAATAGAAAAATCCTACCATAAGTTTTTTTCTTAAATACTGTAAGAAAAAGCACTACAAAAACTTTCAGTAAATTCATGATCCACAGAGCTTATCAAAATACTTCGGTATATTTAAATACTTAGTTTCTTAGTTTCCTAAGAGTATAAGTAAGGATCATTTTTGTTTCTTTCAAAAAAGAAATAACCTATTATACTAAATTACTTGAATAAAGCATAATATTGTGAAATACTTATATAACTATAAAAGAGGATATCCGTTAAAAATGATAAAGCAGTTTCCCCCTTATCTGTAGAGGATACATTCCGAGACCCCCAGTGGATGCCTGAAATCACAGACAGTTCAGAACCCCATATTTACTATGTTTTTTCCCAAGCATATATACCTATGATAAAGTTCAATTTATAAATTAGGCACAGTAAGGGATCGATAACAATAATTTATAATAAAATAGAATTATAACAATATACTTTAATAAACGTTATGTGAACGTGGGCTCTCTCTCTCAAAATAACTTATTGTACTGTACTCATGTACTTTCAGACTATAGTTGGCCACAGATAACTGAAACCATGGAAAACCAGACTGTGGGTAAAGGAGGAACTATTGTATCTTTGTTTCTGGGACAGGCTCCTATAATCTCCTTTATTATAGCAATTACAACACAGTTGGTCTCTAAACCATACATGGGGTAGGAGTAGAAAAGAGCATGGTGATAAAGCATTGCAAAGCATTTGGACTTAAAGATAGCTTTAATGACTCCACTTTAAAAAAAAAAACCAGAGAGACAACGTCTCACTCTGTCACCAAGGGTGGAGTGCAGTGGCATGATCACGGCTCACTGCAGTCTTAACTCCCAGGCTCAAGTGGTCCTCCCAAGCAGGCCTCAGCCTCCCAAGCAGCTGAGACTACAGGCGCGCACCCCTACAGCCTGCTAATTTTTATTTTGTAGAGATGAGGTCTTGCTTCGTTGCCCAGGCTGGTCTTGAACTCCACATCTTAAGGAATCCTCCTGGCCTCTGCCTCTCAAAGTGTTAGGATTACAGGCAAAAGGCACTGTGACCAGCTGACTCTACTTTTTTTTGAATCGTTTTTTTTTTTTTTTATTTCAAAAGCAATGAATATTCATTTTAGAAAACTTGAAAAATGTATAGAAAAAGAAAAGAAAAGTAAAACACTCATATTTTAACCACCACAGAACAACATAGCACAGGTGTGTAGTGGAACTTGCTGAACCTTTTTATATTCCCTAAACTTCCTACAGAACAAAAAAGGGCAAATATCACTTTGAAAAGTAAACAAAGAAAAAAGAGTGGGATAAGAAAGCTTAAGCTGAACAAAAATGACTGTCTTGGAATTTGTCCCCTCTATCTTTCCACAAATGAGAATAAAAATAAAGATAGGGCAAAGTCAAACTGCAGATGTCCTGCTGTGAAGGTGTGATTACATTTACAATGTGACCAACAGGATCCTGTGTTATAGTAAGAACGCAACATAGAAACACTTTTTAAAATTATTTTCTTGATGAAACTCAGTAACACAGCTTTCCCACTGTGTCTTACCATTCACTGCATAGTGCCTGTCTTGCTAGACTTAATTATGAGTGTCTTAAGAGAAAGAAGAATATGTGGTTTGCTATTTTATTCCCAGTGCCTAGCAAAAAAAGGGCACTCGGGATATGTTTGTGGCGTAAATGAATGAACAACATCTTGGTATCATCTGATCACATCTAATTACTGTTACTTACTGCTATAATTTCTGCCTCTTTCCTTTGATATCTTCCCTCTAAAACTTGGCTGGGTAAGGGAATTTTTTGAAGTACTTGAGTTTGGTCTATGATCATCTTCTTATAAAAAAGATCATCTTATGAGTAAATGTATATTTACTCATGATGACTTCCACTTACAAGATTACTACATTATTTTATGACATACACATATTATATAGTTACCCAATAATTAGTGGTAGAAGCATTAGTTTTGGAGTCAAACAGTAATGGCTTTAAAATGCAGTTCTGACAACATAAGCTATATGCCCTTTGATAAATCGCTTAAAAATCTAAGCTTTGGTTTCCTTGTCAGAAGGGTTAATAAGAACTACCTCGGCTGGGCGCGGTGGCTCACGCCTGTAATCCCAGCACTTTGGGAGGCCGAGGCGGGCAGATCATGAGGTCAGGAGATGGAGACCATCCTGGCTAATGCGGTGAAACCCCGTCTCTACTAAAAAATTCAAAAAATTAGCCAGGTATGGTGGCGGGCACCTGTGGTCCCAGCTACTCGGGAGGCTGAGGCAGGAGAATGGCAAGAACCTGGGAGGTGGAGCTTGCAGTGAGCTGAGATCACGCCACCACACTCCAGCCTGGGCAACAGAGTGAGACTCTGTCTCAAAAAATAAAAATAAAAAAAATAAAAAAAAGAACCACCTCACAAAGTATGGAGAATAACATGAGATAACTTAGGCTACACATGTAGCTTTACACTTGGTACATACATATTAATTTCTTTCCCTTTCTTCAGAAATTTCTTCATATTTAAAAATAGTCTGTATCATATATACTTAAGACAGGGAAGGGGAAAAGAAACCAAAAATTCCATACTTGGGATTTGTTTTTCTTTCAAACTTCAGGCTGGGGCTTCAGAAATTCTAATTGAAGGAAAGTAGAAAGCTGTCAGTTCGCTAGTCTAGTCCTCCACCGGTTTGGGAGGGTGGTAATGGCAAGAATTCATGAGCACAAACAACTTATCTTTCTTTGATTCTTTAACTCATTAGTGATCAAAGCAGAAAGAAAAGAGCTCAGACCTCAGCAACTTCAAGAAAGAAAGAAAAAATAGTAAGTAGGAAGACAAAATTCTTTTTCTAATTTTTAAATTTTTTGTATAAATGGGGTCTCTTCTGGCCTCAAGTGATCCTCCTGCCTCAGCCTCCCAAAGTGTGGAGATTACAGGTATGAGTCAAGACACCTAGCTGAGAAAATTCTTTTAACAAATTAAGAGACATTGTAAGGTGGAAAATACAATTTATTACCATAATAAACACAGTATACACTCTTACCACTGTTAATTTCAATTAAAAAATATTACATCACGTAACATTAACCTGGCAAGGAAAAGTTGTATTACTTTAATGTTTAAAAGTATTAAACAGTTCTGGTAAAGAATGAAATGTTGATGGTAAAGAATCATTGAATCTATTGATGCCGTATGTAAAATGGCTTTTATGCATAAAATATATTTCATATTTTCTTGGTTAGGCTTTCCATGAATAAAAATTTTGACAGTATGCATGCTTTATAACAGAATACTCATTTTCTGCTAAACTTTTCTAATGGTTTAGGCACTTGAGGTTGTGACATGTGACAAGACTGAGAACTAATCTAAGGTTTCATAATTAAATCGAAAAGCTTTAGGCTGTCTCAGCCCTTTGGGAGGCCGAGGCAGGCAGATCACCTGAGGCCAGGAGTTCGAGACCAGCCTGGCCAACACGGTGAAAACCCCTCTCTACTAAAAATACAAAAATTATCCAGGTGTGGTGGCACACACCTGTAGTCCCAGCTACTTGGGAGGCTGAGGCAGGAGAATTGCTTGAACCTGGAAGGAAGAGGTTGCAGTGAGCTGAGATTACACCACTGCGCACTCCAGCCTGGGCAACAGAACGAGACATTGTCTCAAAAGAATAAAAAGTAAAAAATTTTTTTCAAAAAAAGCTTTAAGATAAAAAGCTCTTACTTAAAAATGGAGAAAAACTGGGTGTGGTGGCTCATGCCTGTAATCCCAATGCTTTGAGATGCCAAGGGGGGAGGATCACATGAGGTCAGGAGTTCCAAACCAGCCGGGACAACACTGCAAGACCCCTTCTCATTTTAAAAAATTAGCCAGGCATGACCGGGCGCGGTGGCTCACACCTATAATCTCAGCACTTTGGGAGGCTGAGGCAGGCGGATCACGAGGTCAGGAGATCAAGACCATCCTGGCTAACATGGTGAAACCCCGTCTCTACTAAAAATACAAAAAAATTAACCAGGCATGGTGGCGGGTACCTGTAGTCCCAGCTACTTGGGAGGCTGAGGCAGGAGAATGGTGTGAACCCAGGAGGCGGAGCTTACATTGAGCTGAGATCGCATCACTGCACTCCAGCCTGGGTGACAAAGCGAGACTCCGTCTCAAAAAAAAAAAAAAAAAAAAAAAATTTAGCCAGGCATGGTGGTACACACCTGTAGTCCTAGCTACCTGGGAGGCTGAGGCAGGAGGATTGCTTGATCCCAGAAATTTGGCAGTGAGCTATGATCATGCTACTGCACTCCAGCCTGAGTGACAGAGTAAGACCCTGTCTCTTTTTAAAAAAGGAGAAAAACCTACTTCACATTTACATATTTAAGTGTAAAAGCTGTACCAGCTTTTGGGCTTTATTAGACTAAATCATAGTTATTATAAACATGTCCTGTGGGTGCAATGTGGACAGTGCATCAATTTCCTCTTCCCTGAATAGATTAAGTATGATTAAATTTAAAATAAGGGACACAAAACAATACAGAATTATAAAAAGGCTTTAAAAATAGTTCCGATAGCTATAACTTACATATAAATTCAGTGCAAAGAAATGAAAACATAAAACCCTTGCATCCCTAGGGTGTAAAGATAATGAAATTATGTATAATTTAAAACTTATTTTAAAATTTTAAAGCATTATTTTACTATGATGAGTTTTTTTTGTTTGTTTTTTTTTGTTTTTTTCTTTTGAGACAGAGTCTCCCTCCGTTACCCAGGCTGGAAAGCAGTGGTGCAATCTCGGCTCACTGCAGCCTCCGCCTCCCGGGTTCAAGCGATTCTCCTGCCTCAGTCTCTGGAGTAGCTGGGATTACCTGCCACCACGTCCAGCTAATTTTTGAATTTTTAGTAGAGACAGGGTTTTACCATGTTGGCCAGGCTGGTCTCGAACTCCTGACCTCAAGTGATCCGTCCACCTTGGCTTCCCAAAGTGCTGGGATTATAGGCGTCAGCCACCACGCCCAGTCTATATTTAAGTATTCTAATAGTATTATAAAAGACTAGAAATAGGATTGAAATATTAATCAAAGAATGGTGTTTTAATTCAATTTGTGATTTCACCTATACTCATATCATTAAAGGGAAATAAACTTTTTCTATTTCTAACCTCAATTTCCCTTTGGCTAAATTTCTTTTTCTTTTTTTCTTTTTCTTTTTTTTTTTTTGAGACAGAGTTTCACTGTTGTTGCCCAGGCTGGAGTGCAGTGGCGCGATCTCAGCTCACCACAACCTCCACCTCCCGGGTTGAAGCAATTCTCCTGCTTCAGCCTCCCGAGTAGCTGGGATTCCAGGCATGCGCCACCACGCTCAGCTAATTTTGTATTTTTATTTTTAGTAGAGATGGAGTTTCTCCTTGTTGGTCAGGCTGGTCTCAAACTCCTGACCTCAGGTGATCCGACCACCTTGGCCTCCCAAAGTGCTAGGATTACAGGCATGAGCCACCGCGCCCGGCCCCCTTTGGCTAAATTTCTAAGCAAGCCTAACATTAAAATGTTTCTTAAATATTGAAAGCCTGAGGATGAAAGGTATAGTCCTTCCAACAAAACCTTCTTTAATACTCTAAATCTACTCCATTGACGCATAATAAGGTCTGATTCAAAGACGGTGATTACCCCACATAACAAGGAAAACAATATATCTTAAAAGAATCCTACTTAACAATCATAAAATATACAGTTACATACATATGCTACAAAGTTGTAAAATATACATGTAGAATCACTAAAATGTACTTACTGAGAAATAGTGTTGGTATCTACATCAACACAACTGACATCTGGTGGAGGATCATAGAGATCAAAGTATCTTGAATCAATCCCTACTATGAATGGACATGGTGCACTCAAGACATCTGCTAAAGCCAGTGGGCAGAGAGGAACATACGGGCATGGCCAGTGGAAAGGGAAAATCATCTTGGATAAACAAAAGATAGGAGAGAATTTAGCTTTTTAACACTGAAGCATAATTTATCAGCACACACAAAAAACTGTCTTTTAAGTATTATCTAAAGCCTAATGCCTGATAATGAATGAAATAATTATAACTAGAGTTAATGGTCAGGAAATCAAAACTGCTTTCAAAAAACACAAATTCATTACTCTCTGAATTTTAGTTAAGTTATATTAAAATGGCTTTAAGTTATATAAATAAACTAAGTTTAAACTAAATTGACTGCCAATAAGAAACTGTGATACTCACAGACACTAATGCTTCTGTCACACTAGTAAGCACGGATGGCCGTAGGGAATGGATAAGAATTTTATGTTCTGTTACTGCAAACACCAGTAGTGTCACAGCATTTTCAGGGCCTAAATTCTGCAGTAGTGTTGAAAACTTGCCACCACTGTCAATCCAAACAAAAATATATAATTAAAAAATAATGATCCAAACACCTCATTATCTAAAACAATGGGCAAAAGTAGTTGATTAGAGTAGGATTTGTATTATATATGTTGATTAGGGTACAATTTGTATTATATATTCACCGTTAAACATGATTGCTGCTATGATGCAGGGAAAACACTGCATCACAAACACACTATGAAAACAATGCAGTTTTAGGAGATTCCAAAATCATTCTTTTGTACTGTATTCAATATGGAAAATGAAAAGTCATCTGCTTCATTTCATATAAAAACATCTGTCATATAATGTCCAAATAAAGAATGCAATTTATAAAAGGGATGCTTTGATTGAAAGCAAATCCTTAAATGGAAGTTTTTGAACATGGCCTATCTTCCACTGTAATTATCAGAAAAACCATATGACTTACAGGCCCACTTCCCTTAAGGTAAATACACATTAAAACTTAATTTTGTGAATAATCTTTACTACTGTAATGATAATAGTAATAGGAAATCAAGAGGTACAAGATGATAAGATACACATACAAAGCAAGTTAATAATGAAAACAATAAACTTAGGCCTTCTATATAGTAACAAAATACTGAACTGACAAAGTAAATAAATAGTTCAGTAAGCCAGCAAGTATTTTGTTTATATAATGCTAAACAACTAGTTTCACTGGAATAATCTTTTAAATAAAGCAAAACTAATAACAAAAGCCTCTTGGTGAAATGAAAACATATGTCCACAAAAAAATCGGGGTAAGTTCATAGTAGCCAAAATGTGGAACTATCCCAAATGTCTATCAACTGATAAACAGATACATAAAACGTATATCCATACAATGAAATATTATTTGGCAATAAAAAGAAGTACTGATACATGAGGCAACATAGATAGACCTTGAAAACATTAATCTAAGTCAAAGAAGCCAGACTACATATTGTATGATTCCATTTATATGAAATGTACAGTATAGACAGATCTATAGAGACAGAATGTAGATTAGTGGTTGACTAGGGCTGCAGAGGGGTATGAGTATGTTAGAGATGGGAGGAATTAAGGAGGTTAACTGCCGAAGGGTAAAGAGTTTCTTTTTAGGGTGACGAAAATGTTCTAAAATTTATTACAGTGATAGCTGCAGAACTCTGTGAATATAATTATTGAATCATACACTTTAATTGGGTGAATTACATGATATGTGAATTATATCTCAATAAAGCTGTTACCTAAAAAAGTCCTTTATGTAATTTAGAGTGACATACATAGTCTCACTCATTGTTTCTAGTTTATTTTCAGCTCAAACAAAGGTTAAGAAAACATTTGTCACTCTGGGCTGAGAGCTAGTGATGAAATAATCTGCAATTCTTACAAAATTAATGTCAAAGATGGCAGCTAGTCTCCCTTAGGTATCTCCTATATAACTTAATCAGACTGTAACCATTTCTCTGATGAAAAAATTACACAGCTAATCAAATTTCAAGAAAGGATACTGTAGAGAAAACATACTTAATGATTTCTCTGAACTTCTAAGGTAAGAAAATACATTGTCCTATTCTACAATTTAATAATTAGAACTATTTTTTTTCTTTTGGGTAAAATTTAAAATTAATTGCATTTTAAAAAGAAAAAATTAATTGCATTTGAATGTTCTTCAGAGGTTAATTAAAGCTAAAAATAACTGTTCTCATCATCTACATACATAAATACACACACACACACACTTACACAATAGTAGGTATTTGATGATAATAGATACACAAAATACAAAACACTATTAGAAAAGTTTCCTTTTTTCATTAATAACTGCAACCCAAACATTAAGTAAAAGGAATTTAGAGAAGTAGTAGTTAAATGAGAAGTATTTCCATCAATATTTGAAATTTTAGCTAGGAAAAATAAAATATTTGAATGTTATGCTAGATTGAGAGAAAAATAAATAGAAATGAGGTTTTACTTGCCTTAGTGGAAGAGGTGAAGACACAGGCTGACTGAGAATCAGATTATCATGTGGTGATAACTGGAAGAAGATTTAAAATAAAGAATTTGAAACATAAAGATGAACTTTAAAACACCACTTTCTGTTAAAAATATATAAAATAATGATTATGCCCATGAAGTTTCAGTATATCCATTTACCAGTATCAGAACACTTTGTATCACTCACTAAGATCTTGAAAAACATGTCCTGACCCCTTTCAACTACTAATTCTTCTTACTGTGAATCCTCTTTTCTTCTGTCCTCAATGGTTTCCCCTGATGCCATTTTAACAAATTCACACTGAAAGACTAAATTATTCATTTAATACCATAATACCAGGGTCAAAAAACCTATGGCCTACATGGCAAATCCATAGATTGCCTGTTTTTGTAAATAAGGTTTTACTGAAATATAGGCATGCTCATTATTTACATATTACCCAGCTGCTCTTGTGCTGTAACAGAAGAGCTGAATAGTTGTGACAGAGATCAGATGACAAGTAAAGACTAAAATATTTAGTGTATGACCAATAACCAAAAAAGTTTGTTAACTTCCATCATAAAACAATCTTTTGTGTGTATTTAAACTGAATGTGTTATGTATATTCTTACACTACATTCCAGGAAACAAGACAGAAATCACATGTGGATATTCAGACTGAATATAAAGCTCAAAATATTATTTTTCTAGATATTTTATCTGTATCAATATAATAATGTAATTACTCTTATCTATGTTTTGAAATTTATGCACACACAACTTTCCCTTAACTTATTAAATAACTGCCAAAGGCACAAACTTTCAAATACCTACAACAAATTTAGGGGAAAAAAGTTCCTTTCTGTGTATTCAAAATGTCTACTTCAACCTACTTCTTTAATTCTTGAACCCGTTCTCTAAGAAAAGCAGGAGATGTCTGGGAGGAGTTAATAAAACATTAAGGGCCCAAACTACAACAGGTAATAGTATCTGGTTCTCTCTAAATCTCATTAGGTTTTTTTCCTCATTCAGAATTGTTATTCTTATGTTACATTTTGACAGAGCCAATAACAACTCATAGGTCCCCCAATCAAAAACAAAAAAACCTTACCTGAACTAAAATCCGTGGTCTCTGAGGAGATGGAAAAGGAACTTTATGCATAAAATGAGAAATATGCCTTGAAAACAAACAAAAGTGTAAGTGATTCCAAAGTGAACGTCATATGCTATAAAGCTCAACATGTCATCACAAGTCCAAGTTGAGTCAAAGCCCTGTGTCCCTATTATTTTGAAATCCCTAATACTATGAAAACAAGTGAACAACCAAAAATCATTCATCCCATTAAAGTTGCTTCTGCCTAAACCCAGTGACTTTTCACATTAATAGGCATTCACATTCAACAATATTTGTTATCACTGTCTTAAAAGTCTGTTTAACTTTTACCTAGATAGTATGCAATATATCAGTGATGTGGAAATTACCCAAAAAGTAAATTCTTACATTTACAATATGCTTTTTAGTCAATTGCTTGTCTTATGTACAACAAACACTTAAGGTGCTCCAGAAAAAATGAAACAGTTTAATACTTCTAAAAACTGAACAGTATTCTTTCTATTAATAATACGTTAAAAATTATATTACTGATTTTGTAGGTTTTTTCCCCAGAATAAGATGGATAAAAAGCTAGATCTATGGATTTTGTTTTTAACACTATGGAACAGAAAAAAAGCAACCATAGTGAAAAATCTTTCCTAGGGGGGAATAAGCTATTTTATTTCTGAATTTTTTTAAAAATTTTTGTTCCAGTCTGAATATGTTTGTATTATTTTTTAAAAAACATTATTTCAAAATCATCTTGGTTTCAGAATGGAGAAAATTTCAACTAGATAGACAATATTAGAAATTTATTAATTTACAAATATGTTTTGACTGTTTACTATATAAAAACACACCAACAGACATGACAGGATATGTAAAAAAGTCATAAAAAGCCACCAATGTCTACCATTAATGTGGGGAAAAGCAAGAGAGATCAGATTGTTACTGTGTCTGTGTAGAAAGAAGTAGACATAGGAGACTCCATTTTGTTCTGTACTAAGAAAAATTCTTCTGCCTTGAGATTCTGTTAATCTATGACCTTACCCCCAACGCCGTGCTCTCTGAAACATGTGCTGTGTCAAACTCAGGGTTAAATAGATTAAGGGTTGTGCAAGATGTGCTTTGTTAAACAGATGCTTGAAGGCAGCATGCTCCTTAACAGTCATCACCACTCCCTAATCTCAAGTACCCAGGGACACAAATACTGCGGAAGGCCGCAGGGACCTCTGCCTAGGAAAGCCAGGTATTGTCCAAGGTTTCTCCCCATGTGATAGTCTGAAATATGGCCTCGTGGGAAGAGAAAGACCTGACCGTCCCCTAGCCCGACACCTGTAAAGGGTCTGTGCTGAGGAGGATTAGTATAAGAGGAAGGCATGCCTCTTGCAGTTGAGACAAGAGGAAGGCATCTGTCTCCTGCCCGTCCCTGGGCAATGGAATGTCTCGGTATAAAACCCGATTGTACGTTCCATCTACTGAGATAGGGAAAAACCGCCTTAAGGCTGGAGGTGGGACATGCGGGCAGCAATACTGCTTTGTAAAGCATTGAGATGTTTATGTGTATGCATATCTAAAAGCACAGCACTTGATTATTTACCTTGTCTGTGATGCAAAGACCTTTGTTCACGTGTTTGTCTGCTGACCCTCTCCCCACTATTGTCTTGTGACCCTGACACATCCCCCTCTCGGAGAAACACCCAAGAATGATCAATAAATACTAAGGGAACTCAGAGGCTGGCGGGATCCTCCATATGCTGAACGCTGGTTCCCCGGGTCCCCTTATTTCTTTCTCTATACTTTGTCTCTGTGTTTTTTTCTTTTCCAAGTCTCTTGTTCCACCTAACGAGAAACACCCACAGGTGTGGAGGGGCAACCCACCCCTTCAATTAAAGTACTCATAATCTAAACAAACGTCAAGCAGGGGATGAATACCACAGCACATACATCTGCTTGAACTATGAAGTAGTTAGAACAGAAGAAAACAAAGTGTGATCCAAAAACCCCTAAAGATATTCAAGATCCATTCAGGGAAGATCTGCAAGGTCACAGCTATTTTTATAATAATAGTATGATGTTGGCCAGGCGCGGTAATCCCAGCACTTTGGGAGGCTGAGGCGAGTGAATTGATTGAGCCTAGGAGTTCAAGACCAGCCTAGGCAACATGGTGAAATCCTGTCTCTACAAAAAATACAAAAATTAGCCAGGCATGGTGGCATGTGCCTGCAGTCCCAGCTACTTGGAGGGGCTGAGGTGGGAGGATGGCTTGAGCCCAGGAGGTCCAGGCTGCAGTTAGCCATGATCATGCCACTGCACTCCAGCCTGGGCAACAGAGTGAGACACTGATTCAAAAACAAAAACAGGCAAGGCGCGGCGGCTCACACCTGTAATCTCAGCACTTCGGGAGGCCAAGGTGGGCGGATCACTTGATGTCAGGAGTTTGAGACCAGCCTGGCCAACAGGGTAAAACCCTGTCTCTACCAAAAATACAAAAATCAGCCAGGTGTGGTGGCACACACCTGTAATTCCAGCTACTCAGGAGGCTGAGGCATGAGAATCACTTAAGCCCAGGAGGCAGAGGTTGCAGTGAGCCAAGATCACGCCACTATACTCCAGCCTGGGCGACAGAACCAGACTCTGTGTCAAAAAACGAAAACAAAAAGAAAAAAACAAGCAAACAAAAAATTATATGATGTCATTTGCTTTCTGCACAATGTTGACATTTGCACTGACAGTGCAAGAGCATTGTGGGTAAAACTGCTGGTGACTTACTATGAATCAAGGCAGTGGCACCAAAGTGTACTAGTAGTTGCTATATTCTTTACTACTATATAATTGCAGTAAAAGAGTGTCAATATTGGCAGTAAATATTACTAATTTTATTAAGTTTTGGCTGTAGTGTACATTTTTAAAATTCTGTATGATGAAAGGGAAACTATACATAAATAACTTCTGCTGTATACAGAAGCACAATGGTTGTCTTGATTTTGGAAATACACTTGTGCAACTGAGTTGTGAGTGAACTTGCTGGTTTTCTCCCACAGAGTGCAATTTTTGTTTGAAAGATGACTGACAGGCCAGGTGTGGTGGCTCACACCTGTAATCCCCAGCACTCTAGGAGGCCGAGGCAGGTGTTTCACCTGAGGTCAGGAGTTCGAGACCAGCCTCACCAACATGGCAAAACCCAATCTCTACCAAAAATACAAAATTAGACAAGCATGGTGGCACACGCCTGTAATCCCAGCTACTGGCAATATTTGCCAATAATTAAATACAAACTTTCAAGTGGAAATTACAATTTCGCCACCATGAGCTTGAAAGCTTCCTAATGCTCAAAAACTTTTCTAAGATGGGGGTGATATTAACAAATGTGATTTTTTAATATTAATAATAAAATGTGTCTACATTTGGAAGATGGGATTAACTTGGCAAATCAGTATTTAACAAATGACCAATGCACAATGCTACAAAATAATGCATAAGTGAAAGTTCCACCCAAAAAGTCAAACAGAACAATAGATTTTTTTATTTTTTATTTTTTTGGAGATGGAGTCTCGCTCTGTCGCCCATACTGGAGTGCAGTGGCATGATCTTGGCTCACTGCAACCTCCGCCTCCCAGGTTTAAGCAATTCTCCCTGCCTCAGCCTCCAGAGTAGATGAGATTACAGGTGCCCACAACCACAGCTGGCTTTTGTATTTTTTTTTTTTTTTAGTAGAGACAGGGTTTCACCATGTTGGCCAAGCTGGTTTTGAACTCCTGACCTCAGGTGATTCACCTGCCTCAGCCTCCCAAAGTGTCGGGATTACAGGTGTGAGCCACCACACCTGCCCAGACCAATAGATTTTAATGTAACTGACAAAGTTCACTACTACAGTTTTAGATTGCAAATAACCTGTAAGAAACCAGCATTTGTCAAGCTTGGTGCAGTGTCAAAAAAAAGAATATCCCAAACTTTCTGAAAATATGATCCAAAATCCCTCCCTTTTCTACCTACATATCTGTGGGAGGCCAGGCTTTCTTTGTATATTTCAACCAAAACAACTACTGCAACAGATTGAATGCAGACCATATATGGAAGCCCAGCTATGTTTAATTAAGCTAGACATTAGAGATCTGCAAAAATGTAAAACAATGCCATTCTGCTCACTAAAGTTTTTTTAGTTTTGGAAAAGTTATTTTTCAAAAAAGACATTTATATTAACATGCAATGGGTGTGTTATCTTTAAAATAAATTGATCTGGCGATTCCATTACTGCATATATTGCCAAAGGAAAAAAAATGCATTCATCTAATTTCTCCTTTACATTCATTATATGTAAATACGGTAAGGAAATTTTTTTTTTTTGAGGCAGGGTCTCCCTCTGTCACCCAGGCTGGAGTGTAGTGGCATGATCGTGGCTTACTGCAACCTCTGCTTCCCGGGTTCAAGTGACTCTTGTGCCTTGGCCTCCTGAGCAGCTAGGACTACAGGCATGGGCCATGTCCAACTAATTTCTGTAGTTTTGTAGAGATGGGGTTTCACTATGTTGCTCAGGCTGGTCTCAAACTCCTGGACTCAAGAGATCTGCCTGCCTTGGCTTCCCAAAGTGCTGAGATTATGGGCGTGAACTATTGCACTCAGCCCCAGTAAGAAATATTTGTAAAGGTTCATAATAAATTTAAATTATATGTAAAATAAGAATTTAAAAATTAGTAAAAAATTTTCAGCATCTGTCCAGATTAGGATCTCTAAACTTCCCAAGAGCATTAAACAAATGAAACATTAATTTCATCTCACTGGAGATAAAATTATTTTAAATAACAAGACTACAAACATACAATGGAGAAATACTACCTGACTGAAATAAACCATTTTTTTCAAATAACTCTTGAGAAATCTAGTATCCATATAAAATTTACCCAGTTGCCGACACAAATTTGCCACATAATGGAAAGATCTGTCAAATGTTGAACCAAGAACACTTAACTTACTTCTCAATTGGAAGGACATGAGGCCCAGAGATGGAATAACGATACAGAAAAGTCAGAAACTTCCTGAATGCATCAAAAAAAGGCCAGTGAGAAAGAAGACAGATGCATTTGTTAGTATGAATTGTTTTGGAACTATCAGACTTCCCATCTGCTGATGTTAAACCCAAAAGAAGTCTCTGCTTTTCTGTGAGATTCTCCTCAGAGTATGGTTCATAAAACTGAATAGCAGCACCATAAACCTGCAAAACAAGTAATATATCCAGTAAATATACTTTGTATCATATATCCAAATCACATCATCAGTTAAATATTTAATAAATGCTTGCTATGAGCCAGGTGAGAGGCCAGGTATTAAGAACACAGTGATGAAGAGACACCCCTCCTGCTTTCTTGATGTATCTAAGAACTATATAGTGCTATTCTCATGTTACCTTACTACTGAAAGAAAAGGTGTTTTGATTAAATTTATTTGTTTTATAAAGAGTGGAAGCAATTTTATCAATATTCTCTATAAGAAAATGATTGAAAATAATTACTTGGTAGAAAGTGAGATGAAACTTTAGATAACGAAATACAAATTCCAACTTTGGGCAATTCATTGAATTTCTCGGGACATCAATTTCCCTATCCATAAAATGAGGACATTAGACTTGATAATGTCCAAGGTCCCTTCCAACTATCATGTCTATAATTCTAAATTGCATTATATATTTAATAATGTTACTTTCAAAGCTTCTTTATCACAGAAAATGAATAAATGAAGGATCATCATTTGATGATGAAAAAATCTTTCACCATAATCACAAAAAAGCATTTAGGTGGATGGGACAGAATAAAAATTCTCTTTTCCTATGTCCCTGGATACAGTTATTTTAATCAACTGGAAAAGTATGCATAATCATTCAATTTAATCAGTTTTTCCCCTACTATTCCTTGCATTATAGAAAACTTGAAAATGTACAAGAAATTTGTAGATACAATTTGTCAAACACATAATACCTTTTCAGCTGAGGCTCCAGTTAAAACAAAAGTAGAAAATACAGGCAGAGGGTATTTGCTATTTGATGGCCAACATTCAATGGTTGCACCCATTGGTAAACAAAATAGAGGAACAGATTCCGGTAGTGAGAATGACTCATAATCTTCTTGAGGATATCTACAAATTAGGCCTATAAAAACAACAATAAATATTAGGTCATCATCTCTTGAATTTAGGTACTTATTATTTCAATGATGATAAAATGCTTTGTTATTTCACACATTTGGAATGCCAAAGCATTATATATATGTTCATCAAATAACACTGAATACTTTGGTAGGATTCATAGAGATTTTAATCCTTGAACATTACAACTATTAACTAACTGCTTAATATTTATCAAGCTTCATCTATAAAGGCTATGTTAAAGCTAACAAGAAAAAGATATCCTATAGAAATGCACAAACATACTCCTAAAAATTCAGCTTGTGGTCACACTACCTTAGAAAGAATACTAAGTTTTTGAAATTTTCAATATGGTTTATTTTCATCTATCTACTTCATCAGCTCTCAATAACTTTTACACATTAAAATTCATATCCCATAGGAGTATATGTTAATTTCTAGCACAAATACAGGAAAATTTTTCATAAAAATAGAAGAGTCACATATTTACAATGTCTTAGGAATAGTATCAACTCAAGCTCAGCTTCTAAATAACACCAGGTTATATGAAGATAGAGTTTTAAGTTGCCTATGATTTCACATTAGGTAAACTAATGTTTACATTAGGAAAACGGTCCAGGCATCTTCCACTGAATACACTCCAGGAAGAACCTTGTACCTCATTTTGTGGAACTAGAAACAGAAAATAGGTTCCCTGGCCATAAAGCCCTTAAAGTCAAGTAGAAACTATCACTAGACAGCCACAAAGACAAAAAGATAAACTGGGGGAATATAAGTGGTTGTTGGTTCTGCCACTAATATATCTGTGGCTTTGGACAAATGACATACTACAGGAGTATGGTTTTCTCATCTATAAAATCAGATGAAGTAGATAAACTAAGGTCCAAGGCAGTTCTAAAATTATTTAATTACATGCTAGCCAGCAAGTAGGTCCCATGAGGATCTATAGTTAACTCTGTACTACTCTCTCAGGTCATGAGGTAATTAATAAAGTCATAAAGTAAGTATAGAAATAGTGATGAAGGCCGGCTGGGCGTGGTGGCTCATGCCTGTAATCCTAGCACTTTGGGAGGCCGAGGCGGACAGATTGCCTGAACTCAGGAGTTCAAGACCAGCCTGGACAACACGGTGAAACCCCATCTCTACTAAAATACAAGAAATTAGCCAGGTGTGGCTGTGTGTGCCTGTAGTCCCAGCTACTCGGGAGGCTGAGGCAGGAGAATTGCTTGAACTCGGGAGGCGGAGGTTGCAGTGAGCCAAGATCGTGCCACTGCACTCCAGCCTTTCAATGGTTGCACCCATTGGTAAACAAAATAGAGGAACGGATTCTGGTAGTGAGAATGACTCATAATCTTCTTGAGGATATCCACAAATTAGGCCTAGGGCAACACAGTGAGATTCCATCTCCCAAAAAAAAAAAAAGAAAGAAAAAAAAAGAAATATTGATGAGAGCCAGTAGCCAGCACAGCAGCTCACGCCTGTAATCTCAGCACTTTGGGAGGCTGAAGTGGAAGGATCACTTGAGCGAAGGAGTTCAAGAGCAACCTGGGCAATACAGCAAGACTCCATCTCTACTAAAAAAAAAAAAAAAAAAATTAGCCAGGCACGGTGGCACATGCCACCATGTACTCTCGGTAGTCTCAGCTACTTGGGAGGCTGATGTGGGAGGACTGCTTGAGCCCAGGAGTTCAAGGTTGCAGTGAACTATGATCCCACGACTGCACTCTAGACTAGGCAACAGAGCAAAACCTTGTCTTTAAAAGAAAAAAAAAAAAAGGTGATAAATTGTAGATCTAAAAATATCAAAGGCCGGGTATGGTGGCCCTCACCTGTAATCCCATCACTTTAGGAGGCTGAGGCAAGAGGAGCGCTTGAGCCCAAGAGTTTAAGACCAACCTGGGCAACCTAAGAAAGACCCTGTCTCTACAAAAATTTAAAAAATTAGCCAGGCATGCTGGGACACTCCTATAGTCCAAGGTACTAGGGAGACTGAGGCAAGAGGATACCTTGAGCACAAGAGTCTGAGGTTGCAGTGAGCTACAATCATACCACTGTACTCCAGCCTGAGCAACCGAATGAGACCCCGTACCCCCCCCAAAAAAAATCAAATGTAAAAGAGAAACTTGAGTCTAGAACTCTAAACACACACGTATATAAATGTATATGTATATATGTATATATTTTTAAAGATGGGGTCTATGTTGCCCAGGCTGGTATATATGTATATATTTTTAAAGATGGGGTCTATGTTGCCCAGGCTGGTCTTGAACTCCTGGGCTCAAGCAATCCTCCTGCCTCAGCCTCCGAAAAAACTGGAACCACAGGCACATGCCACCATGCCCTGCATAAAAGCAATTTTTAAAAGGCTGAATCTGTTCTCTTGTAAATAAGGTCACTATGTTTGGTATTTTGAGGTCTCTGAAAATTGGACATTTTGACTATGGATTATAAAACTCCAAATTGGTTTATAATATTTTCCATTATTATGAAACATGATTTCATGTGAACTACAGCTCTTACTAAATTTAAGTATTAAAGAAATATTAATTTAAAATGAAAATACATTTTACCATATTTCTGCTGATTTAAAAACTTAAAGATAATTGAGATCTTATTATTTATTTAAACCCAAGGCTTAAAATAAAAACTCACCTTATTTTAAAATTAATCTTCCATCAAGCATCCAATAAACATATAAGTGAAGACAAAAATGAGAATCAGAAGATACGGATTGTAGTCCCAGTCCTGATACTAACACAGACTAGGCAGGTTTCTTTACTTTAACCTTTCCGGGCCCTATAATACATTTATATATGAAGTATTGCATGAAAAATTACACTTACCAGCTTTGTAAGATACAGTGTTCGTCTTTGCCACCGATTTTTTATAACACAAGTATACTGCTGATCCCCACTGGATTTAAAAAAATAGAAATATCATTTAATTTTTAAAAGGTAGGAACTTGATAAAATGGAATCTCTTTGAGCTCTCTAGTATGTATTATCTAATATGTAGTAACAAATTTCCCTCTGCTAGCTATTTTCAGTTGGCTGTTTTGTCAATATTTTATTGGAATCACTGTCCACTTTTCTTTCAGAAGTAAATTACTACTTTTTTCCCCTTGCAACAGCAATAACATGAGGAAAACTTGACTCTTTTAAACAAAGCTAAGTCACAACCATTTAGATTTTATTCTGAGTCCAAACTGTGGGTATAAATGATAAACTATAAAGTATCTACTCAAGTGCATACCTTTGACTCCACAATCTGTTTCAGATATTGCCAGGTTTTTCTGCAATCCTTTATGCCTCAAGAGTTGTAATTTGTTAAGTCCACTTCCTTATTTCCTACTTTCTCCCAAATTCATTTCCAATCAGGCTTTAATTACCACTCCTTAAAAGAATAACTTAACTTTCAAATCTTTTTTTTTTAAATGGAGTCTCGCTCTGTCACCCAGGCTGGAGTGCAGTGGTGCGATCTTGGCTCACTGCAATCTCTGCCTCCTGGGTTCAAGTGATTCTCATGCCTCAGTCTCCCAAGTAGCTGGGATTACAGGCACGTGCCACCATGACTGGCTGATTTTTTTTTTTTTTTTTGAGATAGAGTCGCAATGGTGCAATCTCAGCTCACTGCAACCTCCGCCTCCCAGGTTCAAGTGATTCTCCTGCCTCAGCCTCCTGGAGTAGCTGGGATTACAGGAACATGCCACCATGCCCGGCCAATTTTTGTATTTTTAGTAGAGATGGGGTTTCACCATGTTGGCCATGGTGTTGGCCAGGCTGGTCTCGAACTCCTGACCTCAGGTGATCTGTCCGCCTCGGCCTCCCAAAGTGTTGGGATTACAGGCGTGAGCCACTGTGCCCAGCCTCTTTTTATTCTTAAGATTATTTATCATTACATGCTATATTTGTTTGTTTATTGTCTTTCTGACTTGAATATATGCTCAATGAGGGTAGGGATTTTGTTTTCTTCACCACTGTACTCCCAGAGGCTCACACATAGTAGTTAAATAAGTTTTACTAAATAAATATATACATAATTTATTTAAAAGTTTTGAAATAAGGGTAAAATAGTTTTATGAAACACATTCCTTACACAATCCATGCACATGAAGAAGTGTAATGTCATTGATAATTAAAAGGAGTATATAATAAGTTTTTATTATTACAATTTAACGTGATTTGTACAACTCCACCCCTAGTACCCTGGATTGCAATAATCTCCCAAACGGTCTTCCTCCTTCCACCTTTGCTTCCCGCCACAGTCTATCACTACATAAACGAGTGATCCTTTTAAATCAAATGTCAGAGCATGTCACTATTCTGTTCAAAATCTCAGTCTCTCTCAGAATAAAAGCTAAAGTCCTTACAATCACCTAAAGGCCCTAATCATCTACCCCCAATTCCAATCTCTTTATTCTCCCCATAATTTATTCTGCTTTAAGACACACCATTTTCCTTATTGTTCCTAAAACATGCCAGGAATGGTCCCTCCTTGAGGCCTTTTGCACAGACTGTTCCCTATATTTCAAACATTCTTTGCCTGTGATATCTGAATGATTAACTTCCTTACTGCCTTCAAATATTACTTTCAAATAAGGGCTTCCCTGACCACTCAATTTAAAATTGCAACCCATTCCCCTCTACTCCCAATCCCCTTTTATGATACTTTTAGGTTTTCTTTTTTACTACAGCACTTAACACTTTCTAACATACTATACTTTAAAAGTTATTTGTTTAAAATTTATTATCATCTATTTTCCTCCACTCTGATAAGTTCTACATTCTGTTATCATTAATACCTAAAACAGTGCCTGGTGCATTACAGGTACTCCATAAAGTATTTGCTGAATGAATTAATCTTGGAGCAGAGGTTTCTAGGTAGAAGGAATGTCAAGAGGAAAGGCCCTGATACAAAAGTATGCCCGTCATGACCTAAGAGCTAAAGAGGCAATGACAGCAGAGAAGAGTAAATGAAATACTGATGGGAGATAAGGAAGCCAGATCATGTGGGTCCTTTTAGGCTGTTTTAAGGATTTTGGCTTCTATTACTCTTGGAGATAGTGAAAGCCACTGGAGGGTTTTGAGCAGAAGAGAGGCATTATCTGACATACAGTTAAAAGGTCACTCTGAGTACTATGTTGAGAAGTGGGGGTGGGAGACAAGGAAGAAAGCAAGTACTCATAATTATTTTGTATCAGTAATCCAGGCAAAAATTATGAGAGTTTGAATAAGGGTAGCAACAGTGGGAATGATGAAAAGAGGTCAGATTCTGGGTATATTCTGAAAATACAGACAAAAAAAAATCCTATCTGATTATATGAAGTACAGTATAAGAGTCAAAGATGATGCCAATGCCTGAGTAACAGGAAGGAAGAAACTCAATTGAGATGGAGAAGACTGTGGATAAAGCAGGTTTGGGGTGAAGATAAGGGGTTCAGTTTTAGACATGTTAAGTTTGAAACATCTATTAGACATCCAAGTGAAGAACTAAATAGAGCTAAGGTAAGCGGTCTGAAATGGACACACAAACTTGAGAGAGGTCACCATTTGATGTATAGGTGATGAGAGAAATTTACATGGCACACTTCCTCACCTCCATGGGGTATCAACTCAAACATCATCTTATCAGAGAGTCTTCCTTTCACCATTTTACATATAATAACAAGGCTCCCTCCACCCTGCCCAGTCCTCCCCATCACCCCTCTCTTGCATTTTTTTTCCTCCTTAGCATGTATCACCATTTGGTGTATTATATATTTTCTTAACTATTATCTGAATACAAAAAAGTTTACTTACATAAGACTAAGTAAACATTAGTGGGTAGCTCTGAGAGACTCATAAAGTATAAGCTTTTAGTGTCTGAACTTTGTATCTATTTTGAATGTACAGAAGCCTTTTTGTTGGCTTGTTTCTCATGTAATCCTTTCAAGAATTAAATAAGAATTGTACTTGAGTCATTTCTGAATAAAAAATGCATTATATACCTGTCAAAAGCCAGGTGACAAGAGGTGACAAGTAGTTACTTAAAGGTAACGACTAAAACTTTGGAAAAATATCAGTATTACAGAAAATACAGACAAGTTACATAAGTATTTTCATGTAAGAAGCCAAGTGTCTGAATATAAATTATTTTCCAACTTTGGTTTCTCTGATATTTAGTTCACACTCACTTAATCAAGTTCTCATTTAGATGTACTTAAAAATCTGATGAATAACAATGAGAAGATATCATAAATAGCACTATATGATCATTTAATAATATTTTATCAAGAAATGACAATCTCCTGAGTATTCAAAAACATAAATCTTTGCTTTTCAACTTTAAGTATCTGTCAGCCTTCCAAATACTGAATAGCTAACAGCATAATGTGGTCAAACTAAAGTGAAAGAGAATAATATTCAAATATCTCTCTTATTTAAAACACACAATACACATAAAATAATATGTCTGGCTATCTGCAAATATCTTACTAAAAAATAAAAACCCTTAACCTTTTATTTTAATATAGTTTAATGAATTATGTTGAGATTGTAGCCTTGGGAAATTTTCTCTTGATGGAAAAATATTAAAGCATTTATAAAAATAAAATCCCAACACAGCAATGAACATAAGCAACATTTAACACACTAATCTACTGGAAAAATATTTTTTAAGTCACATGAATATGTAAAAGTCAAGCAGATATTATGAATATAGGCAAACAAATTTTGGTTTATCAAATGGATAAAAAAAATTTTATAAAAATGGGCTCTCTATTGGAAAGTCCCAACTCTACTTCCCAATAAATCCAATTTGTAAAGATAGCAAGAAAACTTCAATAATAACTTTGGTGACAATAAAAAAAGAACTATATGACCATTTGGATATAGTAGAAACCAAAAGGAATATTCTATAATGAAAAACAAGGAGTTAGAAATGCAGTATAAGTTACGGGGCTCTGTAGGAAAGAGAACCATGGATATTAAAATTAAGAGCGGGGCCAGGCATGGTGGCTCATGCCTGTAATCCCAGCACTTTGGAAGGCCGAGGTGGGCGGATCACCTGAGGCCAGGAGTTTGAGACCGGCCTGGCCAACATGGTGAAACCCCGTCTCTACCAAAAAAAAAAAATACAAAAATTAGCAGGATGTGGTGGCGGGCACCCTTAATCCCAGCTACGCAGGAGGCTGAGGCAGGAGAATCCCTTGAACCCAGGAGGCGGAGGTTGCGGTGTGCAGAGATCATACCATCGCACTCCAGCCTGGGCGACAAGAGTGAAACTCCGTCTCAAAAAAAAAAAAAAGGAATTAAAAGCATTTTCCAAATTTTTTTACACACAAGGTTCAAGGTGAAAAAAGAAGGAGGCATTGTTCTAAAACTACTTTAAACTCTCTACCAATAAGTATCCACATTGTGGTTTGCCACAGCAAAAACGTACTTTCAAATTCTTCCTCTTTCCCCCAGAATTAGGTACATGATTTAATTACTTCCCTTGTTAACAATTCTACTTTTTTCTCTTTTTTTTTTTTTTTTTTTTTTTTTTTTTTTTTTTGAGACGGAGTCTCGTTCTGTCACGCAGACTGTAGTGCAGTGGCATGATCTCGGCTCACTGCAACCTCTGCCTCCCAGGTTAAAGCAATTCTCCTGCCTCAGCCTCCCGAGTAGCTGGGATTACAGGTGTGCACTACCAGGCCTGGCTAATTTTTGTATTTTAGTAGAGACAGGGTTTCAGCATGTTGGCCAGGCTGGTCACGAACTCCTGACCTCAAGTGATCCAACTGCCTCAGCCTCCCAAAGTGTTGGGATTACAGGTCACAGCACCCGGCTCAATTCTACTTTTCTAAGTAAACTCGCTAAATCAAATGCTGACATTCTTGGACAGTTGTAAAACAAGAGCCATGTGGAAAGAGTATTTAAAAAATACCCTTAAGGAGACTCAGCCAGGTGCAGTGGCTCACATCTGTAATCCCAGCACTTTGGGAGGCCGAGGCAGGCGGATCACTTGAGATCAGAAGACCAGCCTGGCCAATATGGTAAAACCCTGTTCTCTACTAAAAAAATGGTAAAACCCTGTCTCTACTAAAAAAAAAAAAAAATACAAAAAATGGCCGGGCGTGGTGGCGCATGCCTGTAATCCCAGCTACTCGGGAGGTTGGGATAGGACAATCACTTGAACCCAGGAGGTGGAGGTTGCAGGGAGCCGAGATCGCACCACTACACTCCATCCTGGGTGACAAAGTGAGACTCTGTTTAAAAAAAAAAAAAAATACTCTTAACGAGAGTCAAAAACTAAGGAGATAGTCTCAAATTTGCCAAAAATTAGCTGTGTGTTTTAAAGCAAGTCAAGCAAGCTACCTGGACTAAATATTCTTCTTCACAAATTTTTGCAATTTTAGATTGTATGACCACTCTAAGTTCTCATCCAGCTCTAAAATACTGTAATTATGTTCTAATATCAAATCAAAGTCCAAATCATTTAAGGCTATGGTCCAAGGTTTAAAACAAAGTAATTTTTGAAAACTCTTTCTATAAGCTTAATATGGATTAAACTAGATGCTATTATCATCCTCATTTTACAATCATGTAACAGGCACAGAGAGGTTAAGCTACTTGTCCCAGGTCACACAGCCAGTAATGGTCAGAGATAGGGTACAGACCCAGACACTCTAGAACCAGAGTTTGTGCTCTGAACACACTAATCTATACTGATTTTAATCACTATGAAATACAGATATCCTGTGCTATCTTATTGAGAGGGTTAAAACCAAATTCAGGGTCCCAAAATTTGTACTGTATCCAGCCACATATCAATACACCCCAGTTTTTCGTCTTTTTGCTTCATCTTAACCCTCAGTATCTCATGTTGCTATATTAAGAAAGTAAAAATAGTTTTAAAAATCTGCTTCCTGGCCAGGCACAGTGGCTCATACCTGCAATCCCAGCACTTTGGGAGGCTCAGGTGGGCGGATCACAAGGTCAGGAGTTCAAGATCAGCCTGACCAACGTGGTGAAACCCCATCTCTACTAAATATACAAAAATAGTCAGGCGTGGTGGCGCGCGCCTGTAATCCCAGCTACTCAGGAGGCTGAGGCAGGAGAATCACTTGAACCCGGGAGGTGGAGGTTGCAGTGAGCTGAGATGGCACCACTGCACTCCAGCCTGGGCGACAGAGCGATACTCCGTCTCAAAAAAAAAAAAAAAAAAAAAAAAGGAAAAAAAAAAAGTCTGCTTCCCTACACTTCAGAAAAAGGAACATGAATTTTTAAAAAGTCAACTTCCATAAAAACTTAACACATGTTGAAATGCGTATAAAATCTTTAGATCTTAGCAAAGTGTTAATTTACATAATGATAATAGGACACTGTAAATATCTGCTCTAACATCAAGAAATTAGCTTTTGAGGAAAAATTTAAAAATTAAACAAAATCCACGCAAGATAGGGTGAGAAAAAATAAAATAAAATAAAAAGAAATTAAATTTACAGCTAAGCAAAGTCACTCATGCCTGCAATCCTAGTGCTTTGGGAGGCCAAGGAGGGAGGATTGCTTGAGGCCAGGAGCTCAAGACCAGCCTGGGCAATAAAATAAGACCCAATATCTACAAAAAATTTTGAAAATTAGTCGAGCATGGTGGTGCATGCCTGTAGTCTCAGTTATTTGGGAGGCTGAAGCAGGAGAATCACGTTAGCCCAGGAGTTTGAGGCTACAAAGAGCTATGATCATGCTACTGATGTACTCCAGCCTGGGTGACAGAACAAGATCCTGTCTCTAAAAAAAAAAAAACAAACAAAAAAAACAAAGAAAAAGAAAGAAAGAAATTAAATTTAAAATTTTGTGATTAAAAACCCAATTGTTGGCCAGGCACAGGGGCTCATGTCTGTAATCCCAGCACTTTGGGGGACTGAAGAGGAATGCTGGAGCTCAGGAGTTCAAGACGAGCCGGGGGTATGTAGGGAAACCTCAATTCTACAAAAAAGTTAAAAATTAGCCAGATGTGGTGGTGCACACCTGTGGTCAATCCACTGAGCTGCTCGAGAGGCCAAAGTGGGAGGATCACTTGAGCCCAAGAGGTCGAGGCTACAATGAGCCATGAGCAGTCCACTATACTCCAGCCTGGGCAACAGAACAAGACCCTGTCTCTAAAAAAAAAAAAACAAAAAGAAAAACCCAATTGTTTCTTCAGAGTAGCTGCAGTAGAAAAAAAGAAAAAAGAGACCCAATTGTTGACAAAATTATGAAAAAAAAACCAATATTCTCGTACTTTATTGGTAGGAATTTTAATTGGTTAAACCCTTCTGGATAAAATCTTAATAGTAAATATGCGCTTTGATCCAGAAATTCCAGGACGAACCATAAGGAAATAATTAATGCAGTACAGTGCTCAGGAGTTTGGTTCTGGAGTTCTGCAACCTGAATTGGATCTTGCTTTAACTACTAATTGAAGGTATGATCATGGGAAAGTAACCACCTCTTTAACTCTCAAATTTTCTTCTTTGTAAAATGGGGAGAAAATACCTATTCAGGGTGGTTGTGCAGAACTGAGTTATTGAATGTGAAATACTTAGAACGGTGTATAGCACAGAAGAGCTAAATAAATGTAACTTGTTTTATAGAAGATTTAGTTATAAGTATGTTCGTAACAGCTTGCTTGCAACATTTTTAAAAACCAGAATCTAAAGGTCTTTACAAAAGAGGATAATAAATAAATTGTGGCACATCCATTTAATACAATAATATTTAGCCATTCAATAATATATTTAATACACTGATATTAAGTATATTTAATATTTAATAAATATATTACAATATTATCAACCTCCACAATAAGCAAAGAAATGCAAATTAAAATTAGAACAATTTTGTATTATATAGTCAATAATTAAAAAGTCAATAATTGGTAACAACCAATGTTGGTGAGGTGTGGGAATGTAGGAAATAGCATTCTCATAAACTATGCCTGCTGGGAGTAAAAACTGCCACAGCGTTTTCAGAACAATTATTTCAACACTTTCAAAATGGTCAGCATACTCATGGACCCATCAGTTCCACTTACAATTACTTATTCTTCCAGAGACACTCAAATATCTACAGAAAATGCACAGCATTAATCAAAGTAGCATTACTAGGAATGGAAAAAACTGAAAATAACTTGTATTCATCATTCTGCATTTGTACTTTCTGGAATACTATGCAGTTGTTAAAATAATTAAGTAGAAAGTTAAATAAACTGATAACGATAGAAAAAAGGCTTATATCAGAAATATAAAGAAATTTCCATTTTTTTAATACTATACAATCATAAAAAAAGAATGAAATCATGTCTTGTGCAGCAACGTGGATGCAGCTGGAGGTCATCATCCTAAGCAAACTAATGCAGAAACAGAAAACTAAATACTGCATTTTCTCGCTTATAAGTGAGAGCTAAATATTGGGTATACCTGGACATAAAGATAGGAACAAAAGACGCTGGGGACTACTAGAGGGGGAAGACAGGGAGGAAAGCAACGGCTGATAAACCACCCATTGGGTTCTATGCTCACTATCTGGGTGATGGGTTCAATCACACCCTAAACCTCAGCATCATGCAATATATACCTTTGTAACAAACCTGCAAATGTACTCCGATTTTAAAATAAAAAGTGAAAAAAGAAAAAGGAAATACAAAAAAATTCAAATTAAAAAAAAGGATTAATTTATTATATATACCCCACATATGTGAACACAAAAGGGTCTGGAAGGACACAAGTCAAATTGCTCATTGTTAGCCCTGACAAAACATGGAAGTAGGAACAAGAACCTTCATTTTCTCACTTTCTACTCCATAGATCTACAATTTGTATACTCCTCGCCCTCCAATTTTCTTTGAGTATACATTCCTTTTTTTTTTTAATTTAAAACAGTAATAAAAGAACAAAGACAAGACAGTTAAGGATCATGCATGGGAGGACTTTGGCTTTTACTAAGAGTGAGATGAGAAGCCATTAAGGGTTTTAAGCAGAGTAGTGATAGGATCTGATTTATGTTTTTAAAGGATCACTCTTGTCTATGCAAAGAATATGATAGAGAGAGCAGAAGTGGAAGAACTGATCAGTTAGATAAAAAACTATGGCCTGCATTTGGCCCAAGGTCTGTTCTTGTATATCTAAACTAAGAATAGTTTTTGCTTTTATAAAGGGTTAAAAAAAAGAGATGACTATGAGACAGAGATTGTATGACCTGTAAAACTTAATTTATCACCTAGCTCTTTAAAGAAAAAATTTGCCTGACCCCTGGATTAGGACACTACTGCAATAATCCCATTAAGAGACAATTATGGCTTAGACTAGGGTTATGGCAATAGAGGCGTTGTGAAGTGGCCATGTTCGAGATACATTTTGAAATTATAGCTAACAGAGTTTACAGAAGAACTGAATGAGGAGAAGATAAAGGTTAAGTTTACTCCAAGGTTTTTCAGTGTGAGTTACTAGAAGAATGGAATTTCCATTTGCTAGATAAGGAAGACTATAAGCAGGTTTGGAGAGAAACATCAGGAGTTCAGTTTTGGACATATTAAATTTGAGATGCTTCATTAGATGAGATATTCAAGAAGGGATGATGAATTAGAGAAGTCCAGATTAGACAAATTTAGAAGTCATCCACACGTGGCCTATATTTAAATGATTAGATCACCAAAGGAGTATGTTTAGGTGGTGAAGATAAATGCTTTGAGGACTGAACCATGAGGCACTCCATTGTGTAGGGATGGGGAGATGAAAAGGAATCAGCAAAGGCAGAAAGGGAATGACTGGTGAGGTAAAAGGAAAAAGCAAGAGAGTACCTAAGAAGAGAGTATATTTCTTCTTCATTGCACTGTTTCAAGAAGGAAGAAGTAACCGTTTATGTAGAAACCTGCTGAAAAATTAAAACAAAGTATTGATCTCTGGATATGACAACAAGAGAAATCTTGATGGAGTGATGGAGACAAAAGGCTGACTGGAAAGAGTAAAGTGAGGAATGGGACAGAATATACTCAACTCTTTTTAGAACTTTTACTGTAAAGGATAATGAAATGAGGCAATGAAAGCAGAGGAATATGAGATCAAGAAGTTTTGCAAAGATAAGAAATATTTGCATGTTGGAGGAAATAGGGAGGGAAAAACCAATGATTTACAAAAAAGTAGGGAGGACTGCTAAAGCCATGTCTTCAAATGGGTAAATTGAGATGTGGGATCTAGTCCCGTTGAGGTGTGGGATCTAGTCACAAGTGGAAGGATACTCATTGCTTTTGTAGTGGGCGGGGGGGGTGGGGGATATTATTTTTTTAATTTAAAAAAAAGTACTTTGCATAGTTTCTTTTGAAAGTACAACCAAAGTACTTTCCGAAAAGTAAAATATCTAATATCTTTAAAAACACATTTTTCAATTCTGTAATTAAACTATGCTGTTTTCCAAAAAAAAAAAAAAAAAAAAAAAAAAAAAAAAGATGTATTTAAAATTATGCTCTTTTCATCAGTGGTTAATGTTACCAGTGCAAGTAAGTCACTTACCATACTGTTATTGAGATTCTTGTCGACTTTGCAGAACGTGTGTGGTGGGCTTTCTCCTTTACTGGGTATAATAATACATATGTCAGTGACAGCCAACGTATTCTGAGTCATGTTTTCAGAGGCTCTTCGGTAAGTGATATAAATTCTTTGTGATGAGGTACTCCCACTAATATTTGCGGGGCGCCCATAGGGAGTACTCTGAATAATTTCACAACCCTGTTTCAATCTTTCTTTCCAGTCATATAAAACCCTAAAAATAAATTTTTAAAAATAAATACACAAAGCACTTTAAATATGAAAAGTAATATTCTCAGGCATCATCAACTGATCCTTAAATGTAGTAGCATGGTAAAAATATTCCAATCTTACTGCAATTTTAAAATGCACGGTCTTGTATGAATTAAAGAATAACTCTTTTCCCCACCAAAAACTTTGTTTTAAGGAAAAATTCTGACAAACCATTGTGTTTGTTAATATAAACCAGAGAAAGGTACAATTAAATGTGAAGGTACCTATTTTGGCACATCATTTAATATAGTTATTAATTTATTTTTTGTCTCTAAAACAAGCACCTTCTTTAGAAAAAGCAACTGGGCATTTTGGCCAAAGTTAAAATTTTACAAAAGGTTACTTGCCCAACTGTGTAGAGTCTGCTTGCACGCTTTTATCTCCAATACTTTCCTTAGCTTTAAGAGACAGTTTTAGGCTAAGAGAATGTAACTTCAAATCCATCCTTAATCAAAAGTCTGGGTGAGGCACTAGGCTTTTATTTTCTCTTTATTGGGGTAAAATCATAGGCTTTTAGTACAGGGTGGACCTGGCATCCATTCATTAAGTTTTCTATACTTAAGCACTAAGGAACACTAAAAAAAATAGTGCTTAAATAACATTAGTTTATTCCCTCATTAAATTCATTGATTTGTACTTTAATGCCAAGTCCTTGGCACTAGTAAAAAAATAAAAATAAAATAAGCTATATATGGTTTTTTTGAGACAGAGTCTCGGAGTCTCACTCTGTCACCCAGGCTGGAGTGCAGTGTTGTGATCTCAGCTCACTGCAACCTCTGCCTCCAATGTTCAAGCGATTCTCCAGCCTCAGCCTCCCGAGTAGCTGGGATTACAGGCGTGTGGCACCACACCTGACTAATTTTTGTATTTTTAGTAGAGACAAAGTTTCACCATGTTGGCCAGGCTGATCTCGAACTCCTGACCTCAAGTGATCTGTCTGCCTCGGCCTCCCAAAGTGTTGGGATTACACGTGTAAGCCACTGTGCCTAGCTACAAATTAAATATGTTTCTGCATTTGCTATAAAGCTATAAATTAAATGTGTTTTTGCATTTGCTATAAAACTTGTAACAAGCAATGTCTTCATCATCAATCAATATTTCTCATATAAAATCCACTATACAAATAAAATATAATGCCAAAAACTGGTCAAATTATTTCTTTCTTTCTTTTTTTTTTTTTTTTTTGAGATGAAGTTTCGCTTTTGTTGCCCAGGCTGAAGTGCAATGGCATGATCTTCGCTCACTGCAACCTCCGCCTCCTGGATTCAAGCAAGTATCCTGCCTCAGCCTCCCAAGTAGCTGAAATTACAGGCACGCACCACTACACCACACTAAGTTTGTGTTTTTAGTAGAGACAGGGTTTCGCCATGTTGGTCAAGCTGATCTCGAACGCCTGACCTCAGTTGATCTACCCACCTAGGCCTTCCAAAGTGCCGGGATTACAGGCATGAGCCACTGTGCCTGGCCAAATTATTTCTAATATAAGTTTTAATTTCACTTTTTCTTCTGGCCATCAACAAATTAAAAAAAAATCTTCTCAATATTTTGAAAATTTACAGTTAAATTTGATGCTTAATCATAGCAACTGCATGAATCCTAATGTTAGCTTAAGTGCTTATTCTTCCTTCTTTTGATCTTGTTTTGCTTTTTCTTAACTTAAAAAAGGCACCTACACACAGAGAAGTTAGACAATCTAAATTCAAATTCCCACCACCTGTTACTAGCTGCAGTTCTGTAAGCAGTTACTTAACCTCTCTGAGCCTTATAGTCAGCTATAAAATCTAAACATTTTGGCTTCAAAGGATTCCATAAAGAAAAGTAAAAAGAACCTACAGAAAATATTTGTAAATCATTTAACTGATAAGCGGCTTTATCTAGAATATATTAAGAACTCTTATAGCTCAACAAACAAAAAGACAACCAAATTAAAAATGGGGAAAGGATCTGAATAGACATTTCTCCGAAGATATACAAACTTGTCAGTAAGCACATAAAAAGATGCTCAACATCATTAGCCATCAAGTGAATGCAAATCAAGACCATATGAGATACCATCTCACACCTGCTGGGACAGCAATAATCAAAATAATATGAAATGCTGACTAGGACATGGAGAAATTGGAACCCTCATGTACCGCAAGTGGGAATGCAATATGGTACAGTTTGCTTAGCAGTCTGGCAGTTCCTTAAAAGATTGAACATGGAATTACCATTACGATCCAGCAATGTCACTCCTAGGTATATACAAATAAAAAATGAAAATACATGTCCACATAAAAACTTGCACATGAATATTCATGGCAATATTATTTATAATAGCCAAGAAGTGGAAAAGTCTCAAACATCCATCAACAGATGAATAAACTGTGGTATACCCATATGATGGAATATTATTCAGTCATAAAATGGAATAAAGTACCGACACATACTATAACATGGATGAACCTTGAAAACATTATGCTAAGAAGTCAGTCAAAAAAGATCATATACATAGTATGATTCTATTTATATGAAATGTGCAAAATAGGCAAATCCATAAAGACAGAAAGTAGCCAAAGGCTAAGTGAGTTAGGAAATTGGGTAGCAACTAAGGAGTACAGGGTTTCTTTTTGGCATGATAAAAATGTCATAGAATTTATTGTGGTGATGGTTGCAAAACTCTGAAAATACTAAAAACTATTGAATTGTACACTTTAAATAAATGAGTGGCTGTATGGTATACGAATTGTATCTCAATAATAAAGCACCCTAAGTAAAGCTCTAATTTACCCCAATATCCTTCTTTGATACACACAGTTAACAATCCATCTATAATGGGGCTGGGTGTGGTGGCTCACATCTGTAATCCCAGTACTTTGGGAGGCCAAGGCAGGAAAATCACTTGAGGCCAGGAGTTTGAGACTAGCCTGGGCAACATAGCAAGACCCTGTCTCTACAAAAAAATTAAAAACTAGCCAGATGTGACAGCGTGTATCTATAGTCCCAGCTACTCAAGAGGCTGGGGCAGGAGGATTACTTGAGGCCAGGAGTTTGAGGCTGTAGTGAGCTATGATCATGCCATTGCACTCCAGCTGGGTGATAGAGATTAACCCTGTCCCTTTAAAAAGAAAAAAATCCATCTATACTGATCATTATAACATGCTTAAAAGCCTTTTTTCGTACTTTAAAAATAATCAAAAATTTTCCAATCAGGATAACACTTTAATTTTCTAGTACTTTCCTGCAAATGTTTTTCAAATTCTCTCCCCTGCCTCTAACTGAAAGAAACCCAGGCAAGGTAAGACTGCTGGGAACTTCAGGATAAAGAGAGACAAAAGGAAACAGGGAGAGAATACAGGTTTCTGAATACAAACTTGTGTATTTTTCTAAATCTGCCATACATCTATTAATGACCAGAATGAACAGTTAATCTCCAAATCTACAAGGCATATTATTTGGATCAATAACAGTAAGTCGTTTAAAAAAATACTTACCCCAGATCTGTAAGTGGAGGCTTATCTCTTCCTCTTCTATAGCAAAGGTAAATCTGTGGCCCCACAAGACTTCCATTATTAAGATCAGCTGACAATCCAGTTGGGGTAACATCAATACAGATATAATCCTGTGGGACTTCCTCCCCAAGAGATTTGATAATAACTGAAACATCTGTAATAGGTTCTTTTGGTTTAGCTACTTTATGACAAGCATCATTGAAGTGAATTTCTTCTTCTAGAGGCTTTGAAACATCAGTTAATCCTGCTACAACAAAGTAGTCAGCAACACGAGGCCCCTTGTCTTCAATCATCTTCCATTACAGAAGGTTACATCTAAAAGGAAAGTAAAAGACTAGTACTCCCCTATAATAAGCAAAATAAATACAAGTGGTTTGTGTGCAAATAAGAACAAAAAACTACAAAAAGAGCACTAGTTCCTTGATAAACACAGTAGCATTGTATATTTAACTTACATGTAAAAAGAATTTAACAATAAAAACATCTTTAGCAATCTTTTATTATAAAAGTAATGGATGAATTCCCAATTTTGGCAATAGTGAAACCTACATTACCTAAGTAGACAACAAAAAGAGATCTTTTTAAATGCACAGTCTGGCCAGGTGCAGTGGCTCACGCCTGTAATCCCAGCACTTTGGGAGGCCAAGGCAGGTGGATCACCTGAGGTCAGGAGTTTGAGACCAGCCTGGCCAACATGGTGAAACCTTGTCTCTACTAAAAATACCAAAAATTAGCTGGGCGTGGTGGCAGGTGCCTGTAATCCCAGCTACTCAGGAGGCTGAGGCAGGAGAATCTCCTGAATCCGGGAAGCTGAGGTTGCAGTGAGCCGAGATCGGACCACTGCACTCCAGCCTGGGTAAAAAGAGTGAAACTCCATCTCAAATAAATAAATAAATAAATAAATGCACAGTCGTTCAGTAAACGCTTTTAAATATAAATCTTACACAGACTTGTAAGAATGTAAGGGAAATTCCTAGGTCCCCAAAACACTGAAGAAACCAAAAGTCAGAATGCAGTCTGTAAACTACCACTGAGTGGGGAAATTTACTGATCTCCTCAATAATCAAGAGGCTTGTGTGTTTATTTTGTTTTATTCTTCTGAGATGGGGGGGGGGGGGTCTCACTATGTTGCCCAGGCTGGTCTTGAACTCCTGGGGTCAAGTGATCCTCCCATCTCAGTCTACCAAAGTGCTGGGATTACAGGCATAAGCCACTGCACCTGATCCGGCTTGTGTTTTAGAAGGCATTAAAAGCATGGGAGATAAGCACTTCAGACCACATAGATAGAGAATTGGAACTGAGCCACCTATATAAAGCTGAGAGTTTCAAAGGACTATACTCCCAGCCAAAGAGTGGTTTTAAAAGACCTATCCACTGACACAGGGAGATAATAAAGTTGTAGGGAGGGTAGCGGGGGAGTCTCCTCTGAGAATTCCTAACAATAGGCCTATTCACACTTGGGTTTGGGGTTTGTACTTAAACCATATGGATGGTCCCAGGAAACTACAAACTAAGAAATTAATAATAAAAGCGCTCTCAGGTTGGCCGAGCGCGGTGGCTCACGCCTGTAATCCCAGCATTTTGGGAGGCCGAGGAGGGCAGATTACCTGAGGTCGGGAGTTCAAGACTAGCCTGACCAACATGGAGAGAACCCATCTCTACTAAAAATACAAAATTAGCCAGGCGTGGTGACACATGCCTGTAATTCCGCTACTTGGGAGGCTGAGGCAGGAGAATCGCTTGAACCCAGGAGGAAGAGGTTGTGGTGAGCTGAGATCGCACCATTGCACTCCAGCCTGGGCAACAAGAGCGAAACTCTATCTCAAAAAGAAAAAAAAAAGTGTTCCCAAGCTAGTGATTCCCCTTGAAAAGTAAAACAGTTCTTGAGGGTACAGCCTCAACCCAGGTTTTCCACAGACAAAGCCCAGTGGAAGACAAGTTCCTGTTCCAAAACTACAAAAATGCATACACAAAAGTCTACCAGAAGTTAAGTCTCAGCAGATATATCAAACAGAAGAATTTCAAATAATAAAAGTAGGTAAGAGAGTGTAACAGTAATGCATGCTTACAACAGATTCAAAGAAAAAATACACAAAATAGAATCTATCACATATTTGCAGTCTCCTTTGGTTGTCCGGTATCACTTAATTTTATTTATGTATTTATTTATTTTTGAGACAGGGTCTCGCTCTGTCGCCCAGGCTGAAATGGAGTAGTGCAAACATGGCTCACTGCAGCCTTGACCACCTGGGCTCAAGCAATCCTCCTGCCTCAGCCTCCCATGCAGCTGGGACCACAGGTGTGCACCACCACGCCTGGCTGGTTTGTTTTTGTTGTAGAGATAGAGTCTCATTTTGTTGCCCAGGCTGGTCTCAAATTCCTGGGCTCAAGAGATTCTCCCGCCTCAGCCTCCCAAAGTGTTGGGATTACAGGTGTGAGCCACCATACCCAACCTATTTGTTTCTTTAACTAGGAGAATACATTCCACAGTACCATCATTATTTATATACCACTATTATAGGAAAAAAGTTTAATCTAAAACAATTTCCCAGAGTTTGTTTCATGTTAGACACAGTTCCAATAAGTGCAAAGAAAAGATTCCATGGACAAATAAATTAGGTATACACACTATAGGTCTCTTTGGATACTTACTATATATATAAAAATACTAAATCCTCAGCAGTCTTTTGATAAAGGCAGCCGATAAACTTTGCTTAACTCAGGATTTCCCAAGCCTATTTGAAAAATGAACCACATTTTCCCACTTAACAACTAGAAACAACCCTAAGAAAATGCTAGTTTACAGTAAACAATCTTCCCTTGTAGACCATAAAATCTCAGGGCAAAGACATTCTTACGTAGTATATACTTGTTTACAATATAATTATTAACATTTTCATCAAAATCCCAAAACTCATTTAATTTTCTATATTGCTAATGTCATCAGTTTTCAGAATTCATGACACATTTCTTGGAATCTGTATTCATCACTCAAATATACTCTAAGTATTCCCACTATTTTCTTTAAAAATGAGACTAGGCCAGGCAAGGTGGCTCACGCCTGTAATCCCAGCACTTTGGGAGGCCGAGGCGGGTGGATCACAAGGTCAGGAGTTCAAGACCAGCCTGGCCAATATGGTGAAACCCCATTTCTACTAAAAATAACAAAAATTAGTCAGGTGTGGTGGCATGTGCCTGTAGTCCCAGCTACTCGGGAGGCTGAGGCAGGAGAATTGCTTGAACCCAGGAGGCGGAGGTTGCAGTGAGACAAGATCGCGCCACTGCACTCCAGCCTGGGCGACCGAGCGAGACTCCATCTGGAAAAAAAAAGGAAAAAAAATGGGACTAAAGAAGATTAAATGTTTCTACTTGTTTTATTTACATACTAATGGCGCCTATGCAGCAATTTCCTTACATATAGGATTTCTACATATAATAAAGGGCTTAACCTTTTCAGAAATGCCTCCTAGATGGACACTTAAAAAGAAAGTGCTAACAATCTGTTCTGAGAAGACTGTTAAATGCTGACTTATCACCCTCAGCTCGTTGCATATAACAAGTGCTCCAAAAAAAGAGCAGTTTTACCCAATTGACCATCTATTTATTTAAGAAAGTTGCAGAATAACAAAAGGACTTTTGTGTTTAACTTTTTTTCTCCAGTTCATTAGTCTTTGAAAACAATTTTTAAAGGGCTGCATAGTATTTTATTTTATGGATATACCATTTTTGACCTATGTGCTTACTGTAGATCATTTATTACTTCTACTTATTTTGCTAATTTTTTTTAAAGGGTACAATGAATAATCTTGATAAACCTCTGGACACAACTCTAGTATTTCTTCAGGATACATTTGTTGAAATAGAATTATTAGGTCAAAGGTTATATCAGCCTTTATTTATGTGCTTTCGTGTGTACATGAATTTTATATTATAAGCTCTAAATACACATAACCTTAAAAATTACTCTGGTAAAGTATTTTCATTCCATCATAATGAAGAAACTAAAACATCCTCCTTTTTCCTAGATGCTAACTTTATGTTATTTAAACTAAAGCATGGCCAGGCGTGGTGGCTCATGCCTGTAATCCCAGCACTTTGGAAGGCCAAGGCGGGCAGATCACTTGAGGTTAGGAGTTCGAGACCAGGCTGGCTAACACGGTGAAACCCCGTCTCTACTTAAAATACAAAAAATTAGCGGGGCATGGTGGCGCACGCCTGTAATCCCAGCTACTCAGGAGGCTGAGGCAGGGGAATTGCTTGAACCTGGGAGGCGGAGGTTGCAGTGAGCTGAGATCATGCCACTGCACTCCAGCCTGGGCAAGAGTGAGACTCTGTCACAAAATAATAAATAAATAAATAAATAAACAAACTAAAGCAGGCAAACTAAAGCAGATAGTCACTATTGCATAAAATAGTTTTATGTCTTGCTACGTAGAAAGAAGGGTAAGAGGCCGGGCAGAGTGGCTCATGCCTATAATCCCAGCACTTTTGGAGGCCGAGATGGGCAGATCACTTGAGGTCAGGAGTTCAAGACCAGCCTGGCCAACATGGTGAAACCTCGTTTCTACCAAAAATACAAAAATTAGCCAGGCATGATGGTGCATGCCTATGATCCCAGCTACTTGAGAGGCTGAGGAACAAGAATCACCTGAACGCTGTAGGCAGAGGTTGCAATGGGCCAAGATCAACGCCACTGCACTCCAGCCTGGGCAACAGAGGGAGGCTCTGTCTCAAAAAAAAAGCGGAAACAGAAGAGATATAGTACTATCATGAAAACATATATTTAATAAGTTTTTTTGAGAACTACCACCTTATCCTTGGAAATAACTAGCTATTATAAGTAAATATTTGAGATAAATTTATTCATAAAATTCCTTTTCATTAGTTCTTTTGGGTATTTTTCACAAAATTTAATAATTTGAACTCATTCACAATAGAACGCAGGAAATAACTACTAAAAGGGAACCGTATACTTCACATTGAAGATTTTGTCTCTAATAAATGGTGTTGAATTAATTGTGATCCAAGGCACATCCTGAGACATCTTTCAATGAATTATTTTGTATCATTTGTTACCCATAATTATTACATGGAGAATATATTCCAAATTATTAAGACTTCTGGAAAACTAAGGTTTCACTGTGTTTAACACAGGAAATAGCTAACTGAAACAAATCAAAATGAAAGCCAAAAACTACTTACACATTACCGAAAGTTTCTCTCTGAAAAAGATGACAGATTTCAATGTGTGAACTCCGCAGCCTCAGAGTTTGAGAAATAACTGTATTGAAAACAGTAAGAATTGGACTTAAATTCATTCCAATCAAATATTTCCCCCAATATGCCTGTGGATACTTAAAGTTCTGTTAACAGTGATAATTACTAAACTGATTGCATTTATTGTTTTCTTGTGGTTAAGAGCCAATAAGCAATTTTTAAAAACAAGATTTCAGTAAAGAATAAATACATACTTTAAAAACAAAACATGCTGAAGAGAGGCAATGAGAAAAAAAAAGAAAAAACTAGCAGATAAGGGGGAAAAAAAGAAAGCAAGAAGAATAAATAAGGGTACAAAAGAGGAAATGTGTACAGGGCAAAGAGTGTGAGAAAGAACAACATGACTATTTCTGGGGCACTGTACAGAGCCTCATTCACAGGGGAAAAATGTATACATTTAACATAATTCAAATATAGACTCAAGTAACTTCCATATAAAAAAAAGTTTCAAAGAAGTCAATACCCAAAAGTACTTTCCCTTTATTACAAATTTCAAAGATACTACAGTCAGCCTTCTGTATCCATGAGTTCCACATCCATACCATGGATTGAAAAGATGTTTTTTGTTGTTGTTATTGTTGTTGTTTTTGAGACAAGAGTTTCGCTCTTGTTGCCCAGGCTGGAGTGCAGTGGCTCGATCTCGGCTCACCGCAACCTCCACCTCCTGGGTTCAAGAGATTCTCCTGCCTCAGCCTCCCGAGTAGCCGGGATTACAGGCATGTGCCACCATGCCCAGCTAATTTTGTATTTTCAGTAGAGACCAGGTTTCTCCATATTGGTCAGCCTGGTCTCGAACTCCCAACCTCAGGTGAGCTGCCTGCCTCGGCCTCCCAAAGTGCTGGGATTACAGGCGTGAGCCACCGCACATGGCCTGAAAAGATGTTTTTCAAAAACAATAAAAATAACAGACTGGGCTCAGTGGCTCACGTCTGTAATCCCAGCACTTTGAGAGGCCAAGGCAGGAGGATTGCTTAAGCCCAAGAGTTCAAAGCCAGCCTGGGCAATATAGTGAGGCCCCCATCTCTAAAAAAAAAAGAAGAAAGTTAGTGCCAGGCAGGGTGGCACGTGCCTGTAGTCTCAGCTACTCAGGAGACTGAGGCACGAGAATCACTTGAGCCCAGGAAGCTGAGGCTGCAGTGAGCCCTGATCACACCACTGTGCTCCAGCCTGGGTAACAGAGTAAAGCTCTATCTCCAATGAATGAATGAATGAATGATACAACAAAAAATGTAATACAAATTTAACAAAATAATTCGGTATAACTTTATATAGCATTTAATTGAATTAGGTATTATAGATAATCTAGAGGTGATTTAAAGTATACAGGAGGATGTGTGTAGATTATGTGCAAATACCACACCATTTTACGTAAGGGGCTTAAGTATATGTGGATTTTGGTATCCATCGGGTGGAGGTTGGGGGTATCCTGGAACTAATCCATGGAGGATACCAAGGGGCAAATGTACTTACATAGAATCATTTATATCAAATCTCACCAAGGAACCAAATTCTTCTGAACAAGAGAATAAGCAATGTCATATTACAGAATTCAATATGCCAGTATCTTATTTTTTTAAATTAAGTAATTTAGTAACTTGTAATTATGAGTCATTTTAAACACTAGATGGAAAGATGATGCCACCGACAAAGTCTTAAGAGTAGAGCCAGACCAACTGTATTGTACCAAGCACTATAGGTTAGCTTTAACACTGGACACATGCACACACAAAATGAAGTTCAGTAAGAGTCAATAGCTTCTGCGGGGAAACAAGCACAGAAATCATAAGCACCTCAAGAGGAAGAAACCACAGCTTTAACCAACATGGAATATCTACTAACAACCAGGAAACAGGAGCAGCTACACCCAGACACAAGATTCATCTAACTTGGTTAGGTCCTTGACATGTGTGTGTCTGTGAGAAGTGGAAGAGAAGGGGGTAAGGGCATAAACTGAGTCAAGAATTTAATAAACACCAGGTACAGTGGCTCATGTCTATAATCCCAGCACTTTGGGAGGTTGAGGCGTGTGGATCACTTGAGCTCAGGAGTTTGAGACATGGCAAAATCCTGTCTCTACAAAAAATACCAAAGTAGCCAGGTGTTGGTGGTGCAGTCCTGTAGTCCTAGCTCCTTGGTGGGGCTGAGATGGGAGGATTGCTTGAGCCCAGGAGGTCGAGGCTGCAGTGAGCCTTGTTCACACCACTGCACTCCAGCCAGCCTGAGTGACCAAGCAAGACCTTGTCTCAAAAAAAAAAAAAAAAAAAAAAAATTCGATAGTGTCTTGAAATAGAGGGTGAAAAGAATGAAAGCAAAATAATATATTCATAATCTTATTACCTTTTGAACTGCTAAATATTGTCAGGATAGATATATGTATTTTTAAAATGAGGATGCCAAAAGTTCCCTGAAAAAATTTCAGGGAGTAAATATGCAGTGGTAAATGTACTTTTCAAATATCTCTAAAATGTTATTGCTGACAATTGGCAATGAAACAATGTAAATACTGACTTGCTGAAACATTTTTTAAAATTCAACATCAGTTGTCACAAAAATTTCTAGTAAAAATACTGTATGTATATAGAAATACTTGTAAATTTTGAAAATTATTTATTTTATTGGTAGAATATCAGACTTATTTAGATGTAATTATGAATTATGGATGTGCTACAACCAATTTCAAATACATTTTCTGCTACATTGTTTCTTAATATAGTAAGAACACTGTTTTGACCATAACTCTGCCCCATTAAACTTAATATTTGTATCATTATTCTAAAAACAGGCCAGGTGTGATGGGTCATATCTATAATCCTAACACTTTGGGAGGTCAAGGCAGAAAAATCACTTGAGGCCAGGAGTTCAAGACCAGCCTGGGCAACACAGCAAGACCTCATCTGGACAAAAAAATAAAATTGGCTGGGCATGGTAGCTCACGCCTATAACCCCAGCACTCTGGGAGGCAGAGGTGGGAGGATCACTTGAGATCAGGGGTTTGAGACCAGCCTAGCCAACAGGGCGAAACCCCATCTCTACTAAAAATACAAAAATTAGCTGGGCGTGGAGGCATGTGCCTGTAATTCCAGCTACTCGGGAGGCTGAGACATGAGAATTGCTTGAACCCTGGAGGCGGAGGTTGCAGTGAGCAGAGATCGTGCCACTGCACTCCAACCTGGGCAATACAGCAAGACTCTGTCTCAAAAAAACCCAATAATTAATTAAATTTAATTTTTAAAAGAAATTAAAAAAAAATAACAAGTGGCCAGGCACAGTGGCTCATGCCTGTAATCCCAGCACTCTGGGAGACCGAGGCAGAAGGATCACTTGAGTCAGGAGTTTGAGACTAGCCTGGGCAACATAGTGAGACCCCATCTGTACAAAAAATTTAAAAATTTGCTGGGTGTGGTAGTGTGCACTATAGTCCCAGCTACTTGGAAGGCTAAGGTCGGAGGATTGCTTGAGCCCAGGAGGTTGAGGCTGCAGTGAGCTATGATGGCACCACTGCACTCCAGCCTGGGTGACAGAGCGAGACCCTGTCTCCAAAAAAAAAAAAAAAAAAAGTAACATTTTCTTTGATGTTGAATTCACATTAGCATTCACAATAATATCAAATATTTCCATTCTGATGAATGAACTTCCAAAAACTTTAATTTTATTCCATGAATTGTACGAAAAAAAGAACTATTATTAGAATTAACTGATTTTCTATTTGACACAGAAGATGAGGCTGACACAAAACTGGCATCACTTAAGTGTTTGCAAAGTTCTTCTTCTGCTAATGAAGATAACACATCACAGCTATTGCCTTACTTTCTATACATGCACAAGAAAACCCGGAATAGAAAATTTATAAAATCTATTTAGCAGAGCATCCTTTGATTGTAAATGAAAGTCATGCTCCACAAAGTGATATATGAATGTGCTTCCTGCAGCTACATGTGCTAAGCCATTATCTTTTAACACAGACTTCTTTAAATTGTTATTTTTAATTGAAACTTTTAGTTTGAGATAATTGTAGATTCATATTCAGTTGAAAGAAATAATAGAGAGCTGGTATACCTTTCACCCCGTTTTCTTCAAATGGTAACATCTTGCAAAACTATAGCACAGCTGTATTACTGACATTGATACAATTCACCTGTCTCATCCTGATTTCCCCAGTTTTATTTGTATTCATCTGTGTGTGTGTTTAGTTCTATGCAGTTTTATCACATGTGCATAATACAACATATCCATCACCAAAATCAAGATACAGTACAGTTCCATTACAAGGATCCCTAGTATTGCCCTGTATAAGCACAGTTTTGTCACATGTGCATAAAACCATGTATCCATTACCAAAGACAAGATGCAGCGCACTTCCATCACAAGGGTCCCTAGTGTTGCCCTTTTATAAGCACACACACTGCCCTCCCTGATTCACCCCATTATCCCTAATCCCTGTGGAGTGGTATATTTTTATCACAAAGTACATACGGCCAATGAAATGCAGAGATATATTTCCAAAAACAATACTTTCTTACAAAATAGATGCAGAAGCCGGGCGCGGTGGCTCACGCCTGTAATCCCAACACTTTGGGAGGCCAAGGCAGGTGGATCACGAGGTCAGGAGCTCAAGACCAGCCTGGCCAACATAGTGAAACCCTGTCTCTACTAAAAAATTACAAAAATTAGCCGGATATGGTGGTGCACGCCTGTAGTCCCAGCTACTCAGGAGGCTGAGGCAGGAGAATCACTTGAACCTGGGAAGCAGAGGTTGTGGTGAGCTGAGATCAGGCCACCGCACTCCAGCCTGGGCAACGGAGTGAGACTCCACCTCAAAAAAAAAAAAAAAAAATAGATGCAGAAACAAACCAAAGCACAAAGTATAAGCTTATTTGGCGTGTTGAATGCCTTGTTGGTCACATTCACTCAGGCATCCAGAACATTATACTTGAACATAATTAAACAAACATATAAATACAGTTGACTCTTGAACAACACTGATTTGAACTGTGCAGTTCCACTTACACATGGTTTTCTTTTTTTTGCAATAAATATGTCAGCCCTCAGTATGGGCAATTTTGCATCTGCAACCAACTTGGATCAAAAATATGGTATTGTGGGACACGAAAGCTGCAAAAATAGGCCAGCTTTTTGTATCCACAAGTTCTCAACAGGCAACTGTGGGGCTTGAGTGGATTTTGGAATCCACAGGTGGTCCTGGAACTGGTCCCCAGCAGACAGTGAGGGATACTACACACAGACATATATAGGCACACAAAAGATAAGGAGGGCAGAGAGTGATCATCCATTAAATCCCAATGAAAACCAATCTACTAAATTCTGAGATAAATTTTCCTATCCTGGCTAAGTTCCAGACCGAAAATAAGTGGACAACATAAAATAATGCTACAGAACTACAGTGAGGATTCCTACATATATAAGAACATTAAAAAAAAGGAGTATTATACTGTGTTCAGGGGCAACCCTGTCCCTCACCCAGAAATTAGGTTGCAGCTGAAGTAGCTGCTATTCCCTTGAGAATATGGATCTGTTCTGGACAGAATAAGAACACACTGGAAATAACAGTGTTAATATACAGATACCTCTTGTTTCCAGACCGACTATAAACAATTCAAAGGCAGAAACTTTGTGCTCTACTTTTTGATTCTCTCACATGCATAGCAGTTATAAACACATGGTAGGTGTGTAAATATTTACTCAATGGATGAGGTCAGCACAGTAGAAAAAAATGAGAAAGTTAAAACACCACAGAATCATGGGATTTTAGAGCTAGGAAGGTCCTTAGAGATATTGTTTCAAGTACCTTTAGTATAATTGAACAAACTGAGGCATAAAAATTAACCAGCTTGCCTGTCTAACATACCATATGTCTTATTTATTCTCTCTCTTTCCACAAGATTGTAAGTTCCATGAGGGTACAGATTTTTCTGTTTTATTCACTGCTGCATAACCAGCACCTAGAACAGTACCTGGCAAATAGTATATGGTGAATATCTGTTAAATGAATGATTATTTATTTATTTGGCACAAAGACTCATTCTGTCACCCAGGCTGGAGTGCAGTGGTGTAATTATAGCTCATTGCAGCCTCAAACTCCTGGGCCAAGCAATTCTCCTACCTTGCCTCCCATAAAATGCTGGGATTACAGGCATGAACCACCTGTAATCCAACCAGGAATAATTTTTAAAATGCAACTGATACCATTATCGAGTACCATGGGATGGTCAGAAGTAAAAGAACAGATGTAAACATAGAAACACAAACACATTATTTAAATTTAGTGTTGAATGAAATCAGTAAGAAGCAGAAAGGAATCTACAGCAAAATAGCATTTATATAAACTTAAAACATATATATTAAAGTTAGCATGATAGTTTTCAAAGACATTCAGGATGATATATTAGACATATTCAAATGGACAACTGTGAGGGAAAGGGAATTGGATGAAGACGAGAGATAAAGGAGAATAAAATAAAGCAGGGCTTCATACAAGTTAGTCACAAAAGTATACCATGAAATGAAAAATATGATGAAATCAGTTCTCCGTATCTCAGGTGCTCTTACCCCACTTCCTTCCAGAGAGAAATATGTAACCACTGGTTTCAGCAAACCTCAAATCAGTGTGGAGTGTAGTGGCACGATCATGGCTCACCTCAAGTGATCCTCCCACCTCAGCCTCCTAAGTAGCTTGGGACTATAGGCGCACACCACCACGTCTGGCTAATTTATCTTTTTCTTTTTTTTGGGTAGAGATGCGGTTTTGCCATGTTGCCCAGGCTGGTCTCGAACTCCTGGTCTTGAACTCCTGGGCTCAAGTGATCTGCCCGTGCCGGCATCCCAAAGTGTTGGAATAACAAGCATGAGCTACTGCACCTAGCCTGTTTTTTTCGTTTTGTTTTGTTCTTTTACTTTTTAAAATATAACACACATATAGAAAATGTACAACTCCAGGAATTATCACAAAATAAACACATCATCCATCACAAACACCTCACAGGTCGAGAAATAGTACATTAACAGTAACAGGAAGCCCCCTCCAACCTTCCCAAAGAGAACCACTATCTTGAATGCTAACAGTAGATTAGTTTTTTTCTATTTCTGAACTTTTACATAAATGGAACATGGAAGGACATATAAAGTGTACATTATTTTGGTCCAGCTTTTTTCATTCTACAATGTTTTTTGAGATTTGGCCATACTCATATATAGCAGTTTGTTCATTTTCATTTCTGTATAGTTTTTCATTTTAAGAATACACAATTTTGCCAGGCGCGGTGGCTCATGCCTGTAATCCCAGCACTTTGGGAGGCCGAGGCAGGTAGATTACCTGAGGTTAGGAGTTCAGGACCAGCCTGGCCAACATGGTGAAACCCCGTCTCTACTAAAAAATACAAAAAAAAGAAAAAAATAGCCGGACGTGGTGGCGGGTGCCTGTAATCCCAGGTACTCGGGTGGCTGAGACAGGAGAATTGCTTCAACCCTGGAGGCAGAGGTTGCAGTGAGCTGAGATCACACCACTGCACTCTAGCCTGGGCGACAAGAGCAAAACTCTGTCTCAAAAAAAACCAAAAAACAAAAAAAAAAACCCCCACAATTTTATGTATCCATTCTATTGTTAATTGACATTTGGCTGGTTTCCAATGTGAGGCTGTTATAAATGATTACAAAGTCGGATATAAACTATTATGAGTTTTCATGCATATAAAAACGCATAGATTTTTTAAAAATAGCTAAGAATGAAATTCCTAGCATATAAGGTATACACACACACACACACACACACACACACACACACACTCAACTGTGGTAGGTAATGCCAAACTGTTTTCCTAAGTTTTATAGTAAGACCTTATATTTGGTGAGTAAGATGGCTTAGAAATAAATAAAAACCTTTTTTCCTCCACAAACATAAACATTCCTCTGAGCTCTCTAAAATACTGATTTGTTGTTCCTGTTTTAATTCATTGCTGAATACAACTATATGAAAACTATAAAATGTAGTAAGGTTTAGCAGCTACATGCTCTGAAATCACTTCAGCCAAATTAAAATCCTGGTTCTATCCAGCATTAGATTATCAGATACGCAAATAAGCTCATGGCTTGGGTATTTTAAAATAAGGGACCAAAAAAAGTATAAATTCAATTCAAATAATTTGATGTAAATCACTTAATGAGGTACTCGTCATTTTAAAAAACCAGAAATATGCTGAGTTTGCTTATCTTTTGTTTATTTTATGGTTTGGTATTGATTTTCTTTTCTTTTTTTTCATTTTAGCAGTTTTATTCAACAGATGCCATAAATTAACTACATTCAGAAAAAAATTTAAAGAACAAAGCCACCCTATCCAGCATTCTTTCACTCACAAAGAAGTACCAAAGATATGTTTATGTTCCATTAACCGAGTATGCAGCAAATTCATTAAAATATTACAACTGCTAAACACAGAAGACCAGAAATCAAATAGTTTTATCTCCAGTATACAGGCACCAAAAACTTCAATTTCCAGCTGTTTTTTTTTTCTAATTCATAATATGGAATTACTTACAAGGAGCTTATTCCTATAGGATTAATTCAATTACTCAATGGTGAATAGATTTTAGCTCAGTATTTTTAAAGGAGGACTTGCTTTAAGTTACTATTCTACCTGCTGCTCTATTTCTGCTCACACTTGCATGTGGCCAAACAGATCATGCTCTGATCAGATAAGTATACTATAATCTACTTACATGTTTAGGAGTTGGCATAAGGTTAAAAGGCACAAAGCTGTATTTTAGTATTCATTTTTCTTATTACTTATTTGTAGAAGAACTTCTTTGGATCCTGCTTAAATGATCACCAAGAAACTGCAAATTTCTATGGGGGAAAATGTGAGTCCTCTTCATAAATTTTGGCAGCCCTTCAAGGACATACACATCAAAATTTGGTGGCCTTTAAAGTATTGGAATTGTAAATGACATAACTGCACTTTACTGTTGAAGACCCTTTTAGTTTACTATTTATAGCCATTTCCTCATATTTTCTTTAAAATCTATCAGTATAGCATTTCATTTCTATGCATGTATATGTATAGTAATTCATAAAACTAAATAGCAAAATGATATTCTACATCAGTTCATTTATCTCAATATATATTTTGGAATATAACGGCAATATTAAAAATATCAATTCCCTCTAAGCTGATAATACTATAAGATTTTACACAAAGTTAAAGTTTTTGTTTTTTCTTTTTGAAAAAGTTTCATTGTTTAAAGTCCACATATTTGACACCTTGATAAGGAAAACGTAAATGTGTCATATAACATTTATTCCATCAATTTAAACTGAAGTGTCTCACGGAGCAAAACACTAAAAGAATTTAAATAAAAAAGCAGTAACCTGTATGTACACAAAGTGATCATTCCATAAATCTTTACATGACAAGGGAAAAAATGGAGAATCACTAAAACTGGAAATTGCTACAGGTGTGATAATCCTTTCTCAAGACATTTTAGTTAGGAATCATGCAAGCTTTTAAAATGAAAATAATTGTAGAAGCGTAACTAAAATATTCCATTTTAGTTTTCAGTTACTATTTAAAGGAGCCAGTAGGTCATAAACAGTCCAAGATTTCAGGAACCAACTATTCAGTTTAATTTTCAGTATCAGATCTTTCCCTTCATCTCTCATGATGAAACTAAACTTACTTACAGAAAAAATAAAGAGTACGCTAAAAGGTATAAATAAAAATTCCAGTTCATCCTCCTTTATAAAGACCGGTAAGCCGCTCTAATTCTTTACAGTTGTCCATGCTCAAGGCATCTGACTTCCTTCGGAGTCGATCACCACGGTATACTTTTGCTGCATACTGCATATCTGTTTTTTGTTGTCTTTCTTTCCAGCAGTTATTTCGAATATTAGTCACATAATCTTCCTCCACACTCTTTTCTGCCTTTTGTAATAACATTCCTTTATATTCATTTTTAAAGTCCTTGCTGACATAATAAACACCACCCAAGTTTTCTGTCTGCGTTTTAATAGTTTGCCCTGTTCCAGATCTGGGATAGAAGGAATAAGGAGGATTACAGACCATCAACTGGCTTAATAATGACACGAGGATCAATACAATTATGGGCATCAGCTGGATAAACACAGAAAAACCTCCATCTCCTCTTTCCTCTTCTCTTTCATGTCCACTATGTCAATGCTGATGTTGTTGGCTATAACCAGCTCTTCCATTTGAAAAAGAATGTATACTACCTGAAGGAAATCCACCCCCAAAAAATATATTAAACAAGTCTTCTGGAGTTATATCAACTTCACAAAACCTCTATGGAAATTAAATCTGCCATTGTTTTGGTGGTTACATGCTTGTTCTTCATTGCCCGTGAGGTCATACTGTTTTCGCTTTTCTGGATTACTTAAAACAGCATAAGCATTCCCAACCTTTTTAAAAGCATCTGTTGCTCCAGGTGCATGGTTTTTGTCTGGATGAAACTTCAAAGCAAGCTTTCTATAAGCTTTTTTCAAATCTTCATCACCACTATCTTTCGTAACTCCAAGTACTTCATAGTAATTTTTATATTTGTTTATGCGCAGGCCAAGGGCAGTGGGTAGAGCTTCTCGGCCTTCTGCAGGAAACGCTGGGCCTTCTCGCGGTTGCCAGCATTCAGAGCCTCCTGGACGATGTCGACACATTTCTCAGCTTCATCCCTGTTCCCCTCCATAGCTTGCTCCTTCGATTTTATTTTCAATTACATTAGCAACACCATTATCACTTCAATGTTTGGTGACTTAAAGGTCTAGAGACAGGAAATCATGACTCTGATTCTCTCATTCACTCATCTGACAAATATTTATTGAATACTGAAATGGACATGTATCAGTTTTATTTTTGACCATGTAGCATGTGAACTCCCTTTCTATGTTTAGAAAATCTGCCACTGTATGTATCTTATAAAAAAGGCTGGATGTCCGAACCAATCATGAAAGCAGAAAAAGACCAGATATTTGGCCAGGCACGGTGGCTCACACCTGTAATCCCAGCACTTTGGGAGGCCAAGGCAGGCAGACCATGACGTCAGGAGTTTGAGACCAGCCTGACCAATATGGTGAAACCCTGTCTCTACTAAAAATACAAAAATTAGCTGGGCATGGTGGCACCCGCCTGTAATCCCAGCTACTCAGGAGGCTGAGGCAGGAGAATCGCTTGAACCTGGGAGGCGGAGGTTGCAGTGGGCCGAGATCGAGCCACTGCACTCCAGCCTGGGCAACAAAATGAGACTCCGTCTCAAAAAAAAAAAAAAAAAAAAAAAAAAAAAAGACCTGATATTTGCTCTCCCTATTTAGGGACCAAGCACACAGATTGGTCAATTATATGCACTCATGCAGAATTTGAATCTAGAGCTAAAGTAGCAAAAACAGTTTAAGATTCATTCTCAGGGCTGTTTCCACCATGTGAGGATACACGAAGTCAGCAGTCTGCCACCCAAAAGTGGACCCTCACCAGAACCTGACCTTGCTGGCACCCTGATCTCGGACCTCCAACCTTGAGAACCATGGGAAATCAATTTCTATTGTTTCTAAGCAAAAAAAAAAAAAAAAAAAAAAAAAATCATTCTTAGAGCAGTGATATACAGCACCCAGTGGCAATGCTCCAGCAATGGCATCCAGTGGCATCAACGGTGTGTTCAACAGGAAAAGGATATGGCATAACTTTGGCTATGGTCTAGCCCTGAGGTTTGTTTCATATTTGTTCTCTGAGTCTGGTTCTCTAGTCTTCTAGTCATTTCTGTAAGCCAACCAATATGCTTCCAATAAATTCCTTTTCTTTTGGTTCAGCTAACCAGAATTAATTTCTGTAATTTGCAACCAAGAATCCTAAAATGGTACCTCTACCATGTGGTCTGAAGAACCAGGCACTAAAACACAAAGACAAATGAGACATGACCCTGCCTTACAGCGGTTTAATAGAGAAGGCAGACAAGAAAACAAGCAATATAATACATGATAAGTCTATAACAGGAGTAATCACAGGAAGCACAAGAAGGACACACAGCTTAGGCTTGAGGAGTCAAAAAAGAACGACACCATCTAAATTCTGAAATATCAGTAGGTGATAGAGGAGAGATGGAAGGGGATTCCACATGAAAGGAGGAACAAGCACAATGGATATCACCTTTTCTTTACTCATCATTTCCTTCCTGGACAGTATCAAAAGTATATTTGAATATACCTCAATAAAGTTAGAGGGAAACATATTTGAAAGATAACAGTGACAAAAGGAAGACTGGTCACTTTTGTCGCTTTTATCACAAACCTCATGCTTCAAACATACACACACCACTGCTGCCGCCTCCACAAATCTGGCCAAAACTACTTTCCTTCTCTCCTTCTCATCTCAGTCACTTCACAGAACAGTCAACCTGGGCTTTTTAGGGGTTTTTTTGTTTGTTTGTTTTTGGTTGGTTGATTATTTTTAATGGGGTGGAGGAGGAATCATGAATGAGTGGATAAAGGAATTGAAAAGAGAAGTAAAGGTGTTAATCAACTGTCATCAGGGTAGTGAAGCACAAGGCATTCTGCCAACTGCCTACACTGGTTTTGCTTAACAGTAGGTACAATTTTATGAAGAAAAATACTGATATAAAATGTTTTATTGGCTGGGTGTGGTGGCTCATGCCTGTAATCCCAGCACTTTGGAGGCCGAGGTTGGTGGATCACTTGAGGTCACGAGTTCGAGACCAGCTTGGCCAACATGGTGAAACCCTGTCTCTACTAAAAATAAAAAAATTGGCCAGGCACGGTGGCTCACGCCTGTAATCCCAGCACTTTGGGAGGCCAAGGAGGGTGGCTCACCTGAGGTGGGGAGTTTGAGACCAGCCTGACCAACATGGAGAAACCCAGTCTCTACTAAAAATACAAAATTAGCCAGGTGTGGTGGCGCATGCCTGTAATCTCAGCTACTCAGAAGGCTGAGGCAGGAGAATAGCTTGAACCCAGGAGGTGGAGGTTGCGGTGAGCCCAGATTGAGCCACTGCACTCCAGCCTGGGCAACAAGAGTGAAACTCCATCTCAAAAAAATTAAAATAAAAAATAAAAAAGTTAGCCAGGCATGGTGGTGTGCACCTGTAATCCCAGCTACTTGGGAGGCTGAGGCAGGAGAATCGTTTGAACCTGGGAGGCAGAGGTTGCTGAGTGAGCTGAGATCGTGCCACTGCACTCCAGCCTGGGCAACAAAGTGAGACCCTGTCTCAAAAAAATAAAATAAAAATAAAAATAAGATGTTTTATAAAATAACATATATATGCTATTTTCTCTAAAATTATAAAATTTCAGAATGACATTGATTTTAGAGATTATGTTTTAAAATTACATAGGCTTATACAATGTATTATTTTTGCTTTTTTTAAAAAAAAATTTTGTGGATACTTAACAGTTTTACAAATGTTTACTTTTTTTTTTTTTTTTTTTGAGAGACAAGGTTTCACTCTGTTACCCAGGCTGGAATGCAGTGGCACAATTATAGCTCACCTTAACTTCGAACTCCTTGGCTCAAGCAATCCTCCTGCCTCAGCCTCCCAAGTAGCCACCACACACAGCCCATATGTTTACTTTAATAAAAAATATGCACTTCATAAGCTTTATAAGCTCTACCATTTTCAGTCATCCACTGCATGAAGGTCCAGGCTTATACAGGAAAAACTACCATAAAAGTAAACTAACAAACCAACCACTATTAGAAAAATTTGAGACCCCATCTCTACAAAAAAATTTTTTTAATTAGCTGGGCATGATTGCTCATGCCTGTGGTCCCAGCTACTCAGGAGGCTGAGGTGGGAGGTTTGCTTGAGCCCAGGAGGTCAAGGCTATAGTGAGCTATGATCACACCACTGCACTCCAGCCTGGGGGACAGAGCCACACCCTGCCTCAAAAAGAAAAGAAAAGAAGTCACGGTGGCTCACGTCTGTAATCCCAGCACTTTGGGAGGCTGAGGCAGGCAGATCACCTGAGGTTAGGAGTTCAAGACCAGCCTGGCCAACATAGGGAAACCCTGCCTCTACTAAAAATACAAAAATTAGCCGGGTGTGGTGATGCATGCCTGTAATCCCAGCTACTTGGGAGGCTAAGACAGGAGAATCACTCGAACCTGGGAGGTGAAGGTTGCAGTGAGCCAAGATCATGCCACTGCACTCCAGCCTGGGTGACAGTGCAAGACTCCTCAAAAAAAAAAAAAAAAAAAAAAAAAAGCAATAAAGGAATCTGAAAGCAAATGATCAGTGACATCTCATTCCCAATTCCCAAAATGACATCAAAATTATATAACAAAAAGTGATTTGAGTATTCTACAATGTACAACTGCCTCTTGAAAAAGGCAATCATTACTACCATGTGAAGGACAGGTATGAAAAAAAGTTTTAGTTTAAGTTTCATTAAGTTAAATGGGGTAAAAATTCACTTCAGTCATACTGAACCATTTACAGTTTCCCCCTTTACACAACTCCATGCCACCTTTGCAAATTCAGTTCCTCCTATCAGAATATCTCTATTCCAATGGTCAACTGCTATGTAATATTGGAGACCTGCTCTTCGAAGCCTTCCTTACTGTTTTCTCCATGAGACCGTCATTCTCTTTTTGTATGCTTCTAGAGTATCTTGTACATATCTCTACTATGATTATCCCATTAATATTCCAATTATTTCTTTGAACATCTATTCTTCTCAACTAGATTATGCACTAAGAGTAAGCAATGTTACACCCCCATTTCTGTAAATATCTGTTTTAGCATACTCCCTGGCAGAGAGAAGTCAGTCAATAAATGTTTGCTAAATAAAGAATGATGTGATGTATTAATGGTATTAATATTAAAGAAGGTATATATCATCATACACATATGCTCATAAAATAATGACTCAAACTTCCAATTCTGTATGCAGAAGCTAATCACCTCCATTGTTTTTTACTTAAAAAAGGGAGACATTTTTAGTCTTCACAATAATCATGTATAGATTGGGGATGAAATAATTTAAGTTTCCTACTATATATAAAGCCACTGAGCAGTAACTTTTTTATTTCATAAAAATCATAATTTTTTTAATCATTAAGTATCCCTTTGTATCCACCACCTTTTAGAAAGTCTATTTACCTACACACCTATCCTCTGAGAATTGTATGTCCTGTATCATTCCCCTTCCATAAAAATTGGGCCTGAAAGCCATGTTTTATGAACCTTTGGCTTCATCGGCCACAGTTGATTAGACCAGAAAGAGATACCTGCCTCAGACTCAATTTTCTCCCAGAGGTTCAGAATGAAATCACAGAACCATGAGCGAATATATGAATTTAAGAGTTAGAAGACATGTCCATCCACGTGCAGTGGTGAAAGACAACATGCAAAGTAAGAAAAATGAAGTGGAAAAGCAGGAAGACTCAGAGAAATCATGCTACCCCAGGGTAGTAAGAAAATAGCTGCATGGGGCTGGGCACGGTGGCCTGTAATCCCAGCAAGTTGGAAGGACGAGGCAGGAGGATCACTTGAGGCCAGGAGTTCGAGGCCAGCCTGGACAACACGGTGAAACCCCATCTCTACTAAAAATACAAAAATGAGCCAGCCATGGTGGCATGTGCCTGTAATCCCAGCTACTCAGGAGGCTGAGGCAGGAGAATCACTTGAACCCGGGAAGCGGAGGATGCAGTGAGCTGAGATAGCACCACTGCACTCCAGCCTGGGCGACAGAGTAAGACGCTGTCTCAAAATAAAGAAAGAAAAAAAGAAAATAGCTGCCTGGGTTATAAATTTCCAGTTCCTGGTTTCCCTTCCCCTTCATGAGTCTTGGCTGTACTTCTATCATCGGGTACTGTGAAAACTCCAGCATCTTTGCCTAATGGGAACTAATTTCCCTTTTTGGGTAAGCCAGCTTACATTTTTTAAATTACAAACAATTTTTTTTTTTTTAAGACAGAGTCTTACTCTGTTGACCAGGCTGGGGTGCAGTGCCACGATCTCAGCTCACTGCAACCTCCACCTCCCAGGTTCAAGCGATTCTCCAGCCTCAGCCTCCCAAGTAGCTGGGATCACAAGCACGCACCACCACGCCTGGCTAATTTTTGTATTTTTAGTACAGATGGGGTTTCGTCATGTTAGCCAGGCTGGCCTCGAACTGCTGATCTCAAGTGACCTGCCTGCCTTGGCCTCCCAAAGTACTAGCATTATGGGTGTGAGCCACTGCACCGGGCCACAAACAAAAAAATTGATTAAACAAACCTCAAAAAAGAAAAGCAAAATATCAGTTAATCAAGGAAGCCAAAAAAAAGTTTTGTTTAAAAAAATGGCTGTTAGGCTGGGCACAGTGGCTCACACCTGTAATCCCAACACTGTGGGAGGCCAAAGTGGGCAGATCACAAGGTCAGGAGTTCGAGACCAGTCTGGCCAATACGGTGAAACCCTGTCTCAAATAAAAATATAAAAAGGTAGCTGGGCATGGTGGGATGCACCTGTAGTCCCAGCTACTGGAAGGCTGAGGCAGAAGAATCGCTTGAACCCGGAGGCAGAGGTCGCAGTGAGCTGAGATCAGGCCAATGCACTCCAGCCTGGGCGACAGAGGGAGACTCCGTATCAAAAAAAAAAGGCTGTTAAGCTGGTATCTTCAGATATTCCTCAGCACAATAAAATGAAAAATATTCACCAAACAGCAGTTTCAAACAATATTCTATAAATCCAACTTCAGTGTAGTTATGAGTAAGTATGAATAAAATTCTATTACAAAGTTCTGGTGTCCAGAAAAAATGAGAGATTAATAGGGAATTTCTTAGACTTTATCTGAACAAATTATTTTTTAAAGAAAAATAATATCAGTTACTACAATTTTGACCAAAAAGGGGGTGAGGTTTTTCTTCTCTGGTGATAACAGCCAGTCTTATCTAACAAGCCAAAGTAACACTGTATAGTTTCCCCCACCCATCTACACCCATTTATCTTAAAAACATGACATTTCAGAGTCCTCAACTAAAATACTCAGTGGTAAAATACAGTGACCTAAAAAAAAAAAAAAAAAAGCGTTCCCCAGTACCACAGTCATTACAGCTATACCTCAGAAATACTACAGGTTAGGTTCCACATCACTACGATAAAACCAATATCACAATAAAGGAAGTCACATGAATTTTTTGGTTTCCTAGTGCATATAAAAAGTTATGTTGCAGGCCAGATGCAGTGGCTCATGCCTGTAATCCCAGCACTTTGAGAGGATGAGGCGGGCGGATCACGAGGTCAGGAGATCGAGACCATCCTAGCTAACAGTGAAACTCCGTCTCTACTAAAAATACAAAATTATCTGGGCATGGTGGCACGTGCCTGTAATCCCAGCTACTCAGGAGGCTGAGGCAGGAGAATCGCTTGAACCCAGGAAGCAGAGGTTGCAGTGAGCTGAGATCACGCCACTGCACTCCAGCCCGGGTGACACAACGAGACTCCGCATCAAAAAAAAAAAAAAAAAGGCTATGTTGCTTTCAGCTCAGAGGAGGCCAACATGCAATTAAATACTGACTGCTATAAAAAGGATTTTAGGGCCCCATAAGGTGGTGCATGCCTACAGTTTCAGCCACTCAGAAGGCAGAGACAGTAAGACGGCTTGAGCCCAGGAATTTGAGGCCAACCTGGGAAATATGGCGAGACCACATGTCTAGAATAAATAAATAAAAATTAGAAGGAAAAAAAACCTTTGTTAATCTCAAGATACAAATTCAAGAGAAGGAAAAAGGCCAGGCGCAGTGGCTCACACCTGTAATCCCAGCACTTTGGGAGGCCGAGGCGCGTGGATCGTCTGGGATCAGGAGTTCAAGACCATCTTGGCCAACATGGTGAAACCCCGTCTCTACTAAAAATAGAAAAATTAGCCAGGCATGGTGGTGCACACCTATAATCCCAGCTACTCGGGAGGCTGAGGCAGGAGAATCGCTTGAACCTGGGAGGCAGAGGTTGCAGTGAGCCGAGATTGCACCCCAGCCTGGGAGATAGAGTGAGACTCTGTCTCAAAAAAAAAAAAAAAAGAGAAGGAAAAAAAAGCTGTTTTTTAGTTTGTTTGTTTGTTTTGTTTTTAAAGACAAGAAACTGTTGCTGAGGCTGGGGTGTGTGGCACAATCATAGCTCACTGCTGCCTCAAACTCCTGGGCTCAAGTGATCCTCCCACCTCAGCCTCTACAGGGGAACACTACCATGCCTGGCTAGCTAGGTGGTGTTTTTCGTTTGTTTTCGAGAAAGAGTCTCACTCTGTCACCCAGGCTAGAGTGCAGTAGTGCGATCTCAGCTCACTGCAACCTCTGCCTCCTAGGTTCAAGCAATTCTTGTGCCTCAGTCTGCCAAGTAGCTGGGATTACAGGCATATACCACCATGCCCAGCTAATTTTTGTATTTTTAGTAGAGATGGGGTTTTGCCATGTTGGCCAGGCTGGGATTACAGGCGTGAGCCACAGTGTCTGGACTTTATTTATTTATTTATTTATTTTTGGAGAAATGGGGTCTAGCTATGTTGCCCAGGCCAGTCTCAAACTCCTGGGCTCAAGTGATCCTCCTGCTTGGCCTCCCAAAGCACTGGGATTACAGGCATGAGCCACCACACCTAGCAGGGAAAAAAAAAATTTAAGTAAAGATTTATTGTAACTGTTTACAATAATGGAAGAAGGCAGAGGTATCAATAATTTTTAATGACATATTGCGGGCTCGAGAGATCCGTACGCCTTGGCCTCCCAAAGCGTTGGGATTACAGGTGTGCACCACCCCGCTAGGCCCATTCTGTGCTCTTGTTCAACCTTTCTCTGTAACATGCTTTCATTTATGCCCGAATAAAAAAATATAGTCTTAGTACAGCTACCTCCCTCACACCTTAATCCAAAAGAGAAAAGGCTAGTTAAATGCTACAGTACAGATTAAATGAAGATTAAAAGTAAGTAAAGGGCATTCCTAGAGTTTAAACAGTGCTATTAATAAGAAAAGTATGCTGAATTTTAAATAAGCAACTAATTAAGTGGTACAATTAAGAAATACTAATCATCATCAACACCAATTTCAAATTTGTGACAGGACACCAAATGTTGGACCTCCTAGAAAGACTAATGGTCAACTTTCCATGACATTTTCAAAAGCTAGGGTTGTGTCTTTGATTTTAAAACCCAGGATTAGTTGGTTTGTTCTTTCATTCACTAATTCATAGCCTGGTGGAGAAGATACATAAATTAAAATATTTAAGGGCAACGATAGTTATAATAGCTTACTTACTGAATATTTATTAGTCATAGGCATTGTTCTAAGTACTTTACTTGCACTAGCAAACTTAAGCTTCACAAACACCTTATGAAGGCATCAATAACCCCATTTACAGGGAAGAAAATGAGGTACACAGAGTTAACACAGTCAAACAGCAAAGTCACGTTTCAATCCCAGACAGTCTGGGTCTGGAACCAACTACTTTATCCTGCTTCTCCAATACTATAGTTCATTCCATAAATTCTTACTGAGTGCCATGTCTGGTCTGGGTGCTTGAGCTATAACATAGTTACCAATAGATTATTCTGGGAGGGACCCAATTATCCAGGCAAGAGTATGGATCTGAGAAGGCGTTCTAGAGAAAGTAATGCCCAGCTGAGTCCTAAAAGTTGTAAAGGAGTTAGGTAGGCAAAAAGAAAAAGGAAGGAGGAAACAAAGGCATTCCAGGCAGAAGGACTACATAAGCAATGGTCAACAATCCAGAAATAGTACGTATATTCAGCAAATCTTCAAAAAGTAGCTCTGCAGAGTTGGAGTGGAAAGTAGAAAGCAGAAATTACTAGAGTTAAGATTAGAGAACCAGGTAGAAGCCAAGTCATGGAGAGTTTTAATGACATACTAAAACCTTATCATGTTGACAATGGGGAGTCAGTAAAGAATTTTCAGGTTTATGTTTCAAACATACCATTCTGGCAATTCTGAGAAGGTGAATCTCAAGGAGATAAAACCGAAGACAGGAAAACTACGAAAAAGTAAGGAAATAGTTCCTAATAACGCAGAAGTTGGAACAAGGATGCTGGGGAAGTGACTGATTCAAAAAATATTTAGGAGATAAATCCAGCAGAATTCAGTAAATAAATGGATGTAAGGAATGAGAGAGAGAGAGGGAGATGGAAGAAATCATGAATGATTCCAAAGTTTCTTCCTTGGTTGATGAAGTCAACAGTAGTCCATGATGTCTTTGAAAGAAAAACTATAGATAGGTAAATAAAGTCCAGTTTGGACAAGAAGAGATGAAGTGAAGGCGATAAATAAAATAATCTAATCTGATGCTTTGGAAAGATACTGATGCTGGAAAAAATGGCCTGGGGAGTAATGGGTAGATACATGGTAACTGAAACTATAGGGATAACTGTAACTTAGAACAATGTGAAGGCTGAGAAGAGCAACTGGCCAACTCAGAAACACCACTGTTTATGGGACAGGCAGAGAATACACAAAAGGGGATGGCATAGTGGAAGTAATGGGACAGAGTTTCTTGAGAAAGTATTATTGTCACTGGTTACTTTACAAGAGCAAGTTTAGTGATATGAAAAAGTAGAAATTAAACTACAGTGGGATAAAGAGTAAATAAGAGAAAAAGGATTTTAGGGCCCCACAAGGGCCCTTGTCATTGATACAGACAACTCTATTTTCTCATCTGCAAAACTGAGATAGTAGGTGACTGTGAATACTAAACAATGTACTACACGGGACCTCACATATAGTAAGTGTTACAGGCCCTCATAGACTGTTTTCACCCTTGTTCACTACACCTAGCCACATCAGGTGCCTTTCTGCTCTCAAACATCCCAGGACCCTTTGCATTGCAAGGCTTTGCACTTGATATTCCTCTTTCCTCACTCAGCTCTTCACATTTCTGGCTCCTTCTTGCTTGTCCAGCGTCAATCTCCCAAGAGACGGCTTCCCCAAGAAGTACTCTAAGGACCCTCTTTCGTTCATTCTCTCAGATCACCCTGTTTTACTTCCTTCATTACCCTTACTACTCTTCGAACTTTTCTTATTTATTTAAAGATAATATGCCAAAGTGATTAAGAGTGCAGGCTCCACAATCAGACTGGTTGCAAACTGCAGCTTTGTCATTTACTAGCAATGTGACCTCGGACAAGTTGTTTAACATCTCTGTGTCTTAACTTCTTCAACTTTAAAATGGGCAAAATAACACACACACATACACACATACACATACCCTGAAAACAAAAAAATAAAATAAAAATAAATGGGCAAAATAATTATTTACCTCATAGACTTCTTGGGGGAGTTAAATTAGCTAAAACATACAAAGTTACCACAAGAATACAGGTACATTTTAAGCTTTCAAATATTATTACATATTTGTTTAGTTGCAGTAATCTTAATGCTCTATCAAAGAGCATTTATCAATATGTACCACTAAAAATATCTGAAGCAATAATAATTCTTAGTCCAAATGTAAAGATGTCAACTAACAACCAAATGAAGCAGTGCTATTCTGACTAAACCTCAGGAAATACTACTGATGGAAGGGATCTTTTTTTTTTTTTTGGTCACAAAAGTCAGGAGGAAAAAAAAACACATCTAAAGCTAAAGATCTTTAGTTGGGCAAGGGAAATTTTTTATAAGCTTTATATATAATTACCATGTAATTTAGATCAATTTATTAAAAATAAAATTAAAATACAGATGTCAGGGGAAAAGGTTTGATTTAAGTAACTTTGGGAAACTTGAAACTGGAAACTCTAACAACAAAAAGAACTGTATATAAGCACTGTTCTTTTTTGGTAAAGGCATTTCTCATGGAGATACAGGTTAACAATTCTAAAAGTGCTGTACATGGACGATGGGACTGAACAAATAAGTTAATAGATGTCAGATGGCGTGAGCCAGATTTCTCACTTTTGGAGAGGGAGGTAATAGATAGCAGAGTAAAGCCAGAATGAACTATATAGTACTGATAGTCAAAGTCATCAGTATGAACTCATGTTTACCTCAATATAGATACAGATAATAGTTATATATGTGTATACATACATATATTTTCCAGGTCTATACACTGAAAAGGCCTAGAAGTCATGATATTCCAACAGCAATGAGCACACTGAGTAACCAGATCTTGGTTTCTAACATGATTCACCAAAAAATAGAACCAGGGATCCTTGGAAAAATGGCTGATTCTAGGGCTGGGGCAGGAAATATACAAGATGAGTCTGGAACTTCTTCTAGTGCCAGAAAGTAAGGAAGTACTCAAAAAACAAAACAATGGAGTATGTCCTGTTGGTAGAAAAATTTGAGCAACAAAATAAATAAAGTAGTATAGGATTATGACCCCAAGTATAAAATAACCATCTATGAGTCCATACATATATAAATAAATGATTGAATAAATATATAAACGGAGAAGAAAAAAAGACTATCCATAGCAGAAGAATTCCAAATAATTTTATAGACAGCTCCCCTTTAAGAAAACAGACCTACTGAGTGTGGTCTACAATTAATGACTTGTTTCCAAAAAGACGAGTACGGGAAAACAATACAGTAAAGAAACCTGGCAAACACTAGCTCAGCCTGGTGACCGAGGTTAACAATATCAGTGATAAGCCGTACTGATAGTATTTCCCCTTGATATGATGCAATGAGAGCGGCACTTTATCTCTGTGACTCTCCTCCCCCAAACCCATAATCCCAGTCTAACCATGAAGAAAACATCAGACAAACCCAAACTGAGGGACATTCTACAAAATCCCTGACCAATACTCCTCAAAACCATCAAAGTCATCAAAAACAAGGAAAGTCTGAAATGCCATCACAGCCCAGATAGGCTAAGGGAAGATGTCAACTAAATGTATTGTCGTATTCTGGATAGGATCCTGGAACCAAAAAAGAACCTTAGGTAAAAACTAACAAAATCCAAATAAATGAATTTTAGTTAGTAGTAATGTACCAACATTGGTTCCTTAACGGTGACAAATTTAACATTGAAATGTCAGACACTGGCAACATGACGAGACCCCCATTTCTTACAAAAAAAAAAAAATAGGGGAAACTGGGTGCAAGGTATACCTTAACTCCCTGTAACTTTTCTGTAAATCTAAACATATTTTATAAGAAAACATTTATTCAAATTAAATAAAAATATGGGGAAGTTGTTGCCTTAACCAATCTGATTTTAGTCCTTTAAGGCATGTATAGTGGGTTGGACAAAAACAGAAATACAGGTAGTATTGTGCAAAATAATCTCAACATTGATGAACCATTTATAATACTGTATGTGTAAGTGCCTATAAGTCATTTTTTTATGTGCACATTTTGATTCCTTAATTGGTAAGAACTACAGGAGCAGAAAGCCCTCCTCCAAGCAGGAGGAGGCCACTCAAATTTGGGACTAAAGCAAAACTGTGGTACTAATTATATTAATAAAAATTCCACCTGGGCCGGGCAATGGTGTCTCATGCCTGTAATCCCAGCACTTTGGGAGCCTGAGGCGGGCAGATCACTTTAGGTCAGGAGTTTAAGACCAGCCTGACCAAGATGGTGAAACCCCACCTCTAACAAAAAATACAAAAATTAGCAAGGCATGGTGGTGTATGCCTGTAGTCCCAGCTACTTGGGAATTGCTTGAACCTGGGAGGCGGAGGTTGCAGTGAGCCACCACTGCACTCCAGCCTGGGTGACAGAACGAGACTCTGTCTCAAAAAAAAAAAAATCCACATGGCTTTTGTAGTGGTAAATATTTTTTTTGTTTCTAAATGAAAGCCGAAATACAAAGATCAGAAATTTATAAAGGCTGGGCATGGTGGCTCACGATTATAATTCCAGCACTTTGGGGGGCCAAGGCAGGCACATAGTTTGAGACCAGCCTGGGCAACATGGCAAAACCTAGTCTCTACAAGAAAAAAAAAAAAAAATTAGCCAGGAATGGTGACATGTGCCTGTAGTACCAGCTACTCGGGAGGCTGTGGTAGGAGGATCATTTGAGCCCAAGGGGTTGAGGTTGCAGTGAGCCATGATCACATCACCGCGCTCCAACCTGGGTGACAGAGCAACATCCTGTCTCTAAAAAAAAAAAAAAAAAAAATTATTAAATTCTTTTTGTTGTTATATTGTTTTGTACGAGACATTTTTATTTTTGAAAAGTTTTAAAAATAAAATTACCGAAAAATGTAGTATACACTCACATACTCATATATAAAGCATTAACATTTTTCATTTTTGCTTCAGATATATATTTAATAAAAAATAACTACGTATATAATAGTTATCACATTGAATTCTGAAACACTGAAACACTTCCTCATGGTCTCAGAAAAGGAGCATAACTAAACATACTTGGAGAAAGTACATTGGAAAGCTCACTATCAACAATATATACTATAGGACAAAATTACAGTAACTTGGGTCCATATTGGTCACTGTTCAAGAAATCTGGAAACTTCAAAAGCCAAATAAAAATAAGTTTTCCTAACATTTGTAACTATCCTGAAAATACCTAAAAACAAACAAAAAAACTTACAAATCAGTAAGAAATCAAAGAATTTGATAACCCTAACTGCTGGCAAGGATATGAAAAAACAGAAATTGTTTGCAATATCCTATAAATATCTTATAAAGGGAAAAATATTTATATCCTAGGACCCAGCAATTTGACAGTCAGGTATATGACCTGGAGAAACTATGGCATGTTGCTTCAGGAGCTACAAGAATATTCATGAGGCAATGTTTATAATAGATAAAAAATGAAAACAATTTAAATGCTCATCAATAGAAGAAATGATAAATTGTATATATTCATTCACTGGAACACTATACAGCTGTGTAAATAAATGAACTACACCTACAGTATCAACAAGGATTGAGGGCAGAAAAAAATAAAATGAAAAAAGCAAGCTTTAAAATCCATTATACCATGACACAATCATATTAACAGCTGCTTAAACTTACTAGAACATACATGTTTTGTTTTTTTTCTAGTGCCAGGCTCAGTTTTTACCACCTTATATAAATTAGCTCATTTAGGCCAGGCACAGTTGCTCATGCCTATAATCCCAGCACTTTGGGAGGCCAAGGCGGTAGGATTGCTTGAGCCCAGGTGTTTGAGACCAGCCTAGGCAACATGATGAAACCCAGTCTCTAAAAAGAAAAAAAAATTAATAAAAATAAGTAAAACAAATAAATAAGCTCATTTAATTTTTACAACAATTCTATGAAGTGGACACCTCTATCATCCCTATGTGATAGATGAGGACACTGAGGCATGTAAAGAATTAAATAACTTACCTAAGGTCACAAAATTAAGTAGCAGAGTCAAGATTCACACCAAGGGAGTATGATTTGAAATGTACTACAATGTGCATGTTCTACAAAAGCACCCAAAGCAATGCCATGTCATTGCTCATATATATAGTTTATTAAAAGATAAACTAGAAGGATACAAATCAAATTCATTACAACAATTTCCTCTGGGAGGGGAGATGAAGGTGAGGAGGATAAAACTGGGGAGAACAAAAGGGACTTTAACATGATCTGTAATATTCAAGAAAAGTATAAAGTTCTACATTGCTCTTTTAGAATTCAATGTGATAACTATGATATAAATAGTTATTTTAAATTAAATATATATCTGAAGCAAAAATGAAATATGTTAACATTTTATATGTGGGTATGTGGGTGTATACATTTTTGCTATTTATTTTTAAAACTTTTCAAAAATAAAAATCTCTCATCTACAAAACAATATTACAATAAAATTAAGAAATTTAATAAAGTTCTGATCTTCATATTTCAGCTTTCATTTGAAAACAAAAACAGCTAAACTGTGTGAACTTATGTATGTATATACACTTTAACATACATATGGAAAACACATTTTTACACAGATCAAGAGAGACAGGTTTTAACAAAGTATATCAGAAACAGTATCTCTCTTACTATACATTTTAATGACTCACTATTCTCAGTGAAAATAAAGTATAACACTAGCAGGAAAATTCCCTTGATATCTTTCTACCTCTTTCTTTTTTGTCTCTTCTCTCTCTTGCTTTCTACTTGTGATTTTTAACAGAAGGAAGCACAAAGTAGGAACTAAGAAAGTGTCACACATTTTAAAAATAATAACGGCCATAGATGAATATATACCCAGCCCTTCTAAATATAGCATTCCCGAACCTACAATCAAGTAATGTTTCAAAAATTTATTTGTAAATTTTTTGTCTAGAACTCACAGCATACCTTCCCATGAAGAAAGTTACAAAAGGATATGAGCACCAGGAAAAAGATACTGCCTAAGGTGCCAGGCTACTGGCAGAGAAACAGGAAAAGCAGAGTACACAATATGTACTGATGGTCCAGAAAGCAAAAAAAGCATTGTGACCCAGGGTCTGAGGGCAGAAATCACTATTCATTTATTTACCTTTGTAATCTCAGTAACTAGCAAATTATCTGGCATCTCATAATCAAAGACCATTGCCTACTGACTGATGAAGTAATGGGGAAATGACTAAGCAGAGGAATCCATCAATACGTGGCACTGTCAACACAGAACAGCTTTGGTGGAGGAAAGAAAAAGCTTGGAGAGAAGCAATGTTTAATGACACAAAAATCCACATATGTAAAACTATTACAAGGTTAGTGCTGGTTATTTATTTATTTATTTTTTTTTTTTTGAGACAGAGTCTCGTTCTGCCACCCAGGCTGGGGTGCAGTGGCGCTATCTCTGCTCACTGCAAGCTCCGCCTCCCAGGTTCACGCCATTCTCCTGCCTCAGCCTCCCGAGTAGCTGGGACTACAGGCGCCTGCCACCACGCCCGGCTAATTTTTTGTATTTTAGTAGAGACAGGGTTTCACCGTGTTAGCCAGGATGGTCTCGATCTCCTGACCTTGCGATCCGCCCACCTCGGCCTCCCAAAGTGCTGGGATTACAGGCGTGAGCCACTGCGCCTGGCCAGCGCTGGTTAAGAGAACACCTTCATCTAAATTACAAGCTGTGTCTATTATTGTGTAATGCAAATAAGCATGATATTTTGGGTTAGTTTTGCTAACAATGAATCTTAAGATAGTTTTCCTACTGTAGCAATAGTTATTTGGGATTTTCAGTATTTTCTCCTATGACCCTTGAAAATATTTCAATGTCTTCTTTGTAATTATAAGAGTAATAACCGGCCAGGTGCAGTAATCACAGCACTTTGGGAGGCCAACGCGGGCAGACTACTTGGGCTCACGAGTTCAAGACCAGGCTGGGCAACATGGCAAAACCCCATCTAAAAAAATACAAACATTAGCCAAGCACAGTGGTGCACACCTGTAGTCCCAGCTACTTAAGAGGCCAAGGTGGGAGGATGGCTTGAGCCCAGGAGGTGGAGGTTGCAGTGAGCTAAGATCACGCCACTGCACCCCAGCCTGGGTGACAGAGCCAGGACTTGTCTTAAAAAAAAAAAAAAAAAAAAAAAGTAATAATTATTCAGAATAGAGAAAAGCACAAAAACTAAAATAAAAATTACCCATAATCCGATCACCCAGGGATAACATCTCTTACTATTTTATATGTCTCCTGCAAATCTTTTTGCCATTTACATGTATATGTTTCTTTATATTCTAATTTTTCTCTTAATATTATATTATACTTATGTCAGTACATTTTTAAAATGATTTTTAGAAGTTGTATCCACCATATAGATTATCATTAATTTCACCATTCCCATACTATAATGCATTTGACTATTAAAATTGTTCCACTCTTATAAAATGCTAAGTTTTAAAAAAAACTTTTGTTTTTTGAGACAGGGTCTTACTCTGTTGCCCAGGTTGGAGTGCAGTGGCACAATCATAACTCACTGCAGTCTCAAACTCCTGGGCTCACGGGATCCTCCTGCCTTGGCCTCCCAAAGGGCTGTAATAACAGGCGTGAGCCACCTCATAGGGCCTAATCACTTCTTAAAAGTACATTTCTACATTGGTCTTGTAGAATTCAAAGTGATAACTATGATATACAATAATAAAGTGTGGTGTGCTTGACTCCCTCCACGCCCAGCATCCTCCCACAAATTCTACTGAATAAACAATCAATATAGGGTATTAGATTAAAAAAAAAAAAAAGGAAGAAAAATGTATCAGCTATTCTCAGTCACTCTTCTTCTACCTGTGGTAGGAAAAAGGAAAAATCCCACAAAGATAAGTCTCTGACATCAGAGAAGGCAAGAATAACAAGTCAATTTTCCTGCTAGAGCAACTTTTGTTTTCCACCTAGAACAACGCACCATCAATTTAAGTAGGAATAGCACAAGGTTTATTATATACCAAACAACTCTATCTGCATCAGTGCTTTAACTAGGTTTTTGTAGGACATAGAATGCTTTGAAAAATTCTGCAAACAACAAAATATAATGTAACTAATATCACTCAGTGGAAAACCAAGTTTTATAATAGCAGTTATAAGAGTAATAACTGGCCGGGTGCGGTAGCTCACGCCTGTAATCTCAGCACTTTGGGAGGCCAAGGCGGGCAGATTGCTTGGGCTCACGAGTTCAAAACCAGTCTGGGCAACATGGCGAAACCCCGTCTCAAAAAATACAAAAATTAGCCAAGCACGGTGGTGCACGCCTGTAGTCCCAGCTACTTTTATTTTACAATTCTATTAATCCCAGCTAATTTTATTTTACAATTCTGCCATAATTTTTTTAATGAATTAATAAATGTCATGTAGTCTCTTCTTCTAGCCTCCCAATTATACTAAATACTATTCAAGTTACCAGAAATAGGACAACAGTTCCAGGAACTTGAGAATCAATAACTCTTTAAACCAGTGGTAATTCATGTGGAAAAGTTCAGAACAAATCAGCATCAACTTCCTGGCTCTCTTGCACAGACAAAAAATTCATATTGCTTCACCAATTTTCAAAAATGTAAATTTGTGTATATAAGTTTAAAACTTGGACCAAAAGTTATCTACATTTATTCCCAATTTGCGACTGGTATCAAGATCAATTAACTTTCTCAGCAAGTACACTGTTATAAAATTCCACAGTGATCCCAGAATGGAAGGGGCTTAAAAAATAATATAAAACAAAAATTAAACTCCACAGTGAAGTAGGTCTATGTTTAATCATTCAGAAAAAGAAAATTATGTAACATATTATATATAATGATGATGATAACATATGCTGTTCTGGACTCCTACTGAGAGCTGTGGTTCAAAGGGAAATCGTGAAAATAAAGTAAAAATTGCCGAAAATGTTTAATTCTGCCCAAAACAGTTTCCAAAAAAGAAGCCAAATATAATATTTTATTTTAAGTTCAAACAGGGTTCAAACAGCTCAGAAATTTTGTATACTTAAGTTTTCAGAAGTCGAATCCCAGAACCGCTATCAACATAAACTGAATAACTTGCTCAAGAGTCCTTACTTATTACCCAATCTTAGGTCCCCCAGAATACTTCTTAAAATAATCCCAAATGTACTACAATAGATTAGCGTAACCGGGGCTACGCTGTTTACAGGTGTCTCCACCTCCTCCCCCAAGGAGAGAAGAGGTATACTAGGGTAAACAGAAAATAGAAGGAGACTATATACACACCAAATAACAGCTTGTAATCTTCTAAGACTTCTTTTACATTCGGGCTATTCTTTTCATTAACGTATAATACATTTTAAAGAATAACATATTCACAGAGTAATACAATTTCTGCCCTCACGGGTCTCTAGCTGGCTGACACGCGTTTTCTCCTCAAATAAATACATGCCTGTTGACTGATGCCTGTCCTGCTGTTGCAAACAAGAAATAACTGTCCTATAAGACAAAAACCTCTCTCTACGGTTCTAGGCGTAACCATACGTTTGAATTAAAAGCACATTGGAACAACAACAACAATCTTCCAGCACATCTGTCATTTAAAAGCACGATAATGAAAAGCTGTCGCTGCGACCCAATTTTAGGTCACAAGCTTTTTACTGTTTTTCCTGCCCCCCACCTCCAGAAAACAATAAACTTCAAAGGGAATGGTGGTAACCAGGAACAGTTCCCTTCCCCCACCACACACCCCCCCAAAAAGACTAGAAAAAAAACTGGTCAACTTGGACGCTGGCCGCGCTCACGCAGAACCCGTGCCCGCGGGCCGGGGAAGGCTGAACAGACCCTGGGAGGAAAAGTGGGCCTGCAGGCACCCCGGGCTCCCCCCGCCGCCTGTCTCAGATACCGAGCAGGTGGGATTCCGGGAAGCCACCTCCGACTTACGTAACGGGCTTGTCAAAATCCCAGATCCAGGACCTCCCCCTCCCCGCCCCCACTCCCAAATAACAACAGCCCCAGGCCAGCCTGGAATAGAAAATCTGGAATGAAAACACAGGAGCCCCCCACGCGTCCGACGCAGAGGCGCGGGTGCTACTCTCAGCACCGCCGCGCCATCCCGGGGCGGACCGAGCCGCGGAGCACCTCCCGGATCTCAGGAGCTCTCGGGCGGAGATCTCGGCCATCCGTGCCTCCTCCCCGAACCCACCCGCCCCGCTCCCGCGCCCCCGGCTGTCACCTCTCCGGGCCGTGACAGCTCCACCTGCCACCGCTGCCCGGGTCGCCGCCCCCGCACTCACCACCCAGCTGGCTCCCGTGCGAGCAGCGGATCGAGCTCGGAGAGCGGCGCCGGAATCCCGCACGCGCGGTAGCGGAACACGAGGGGCTGAATGCCGCGGCGCTCTGAGCCCGCTTAGCTCATCCCCAGCCCGGCGCTCCGCCCTTCGCGGCACCCCCGCCCGCCCGCCCAGGCCTGCCGTCTCAGTCAGACGGGACTCCCCCTCCCCTCGCGGCCGCCACTGCCTCCGCCTCTTTCTCCGACTCTAGCCTCCGCGGCCACCGCGACCGGCGCCATCTTGGCAATGACGGAAGGGGCGGGGGCGGGAATCACGCCCGCGAGCACCAATCGAAGGCCGGATCTGGCCCGAGTGGGAGGAGAGGGCCGAGTTGAGGGTCGTGGGGTCCTAGCGCCAAACTGATAATGGGGCGGTGAAGGTGGGCGGGACTAAGTCGCCTTAGTCCGTGACGTGCGGTGTAGTTGGGGAAACGCACCGTGGTTCCCCGTCGGGTCAGGAGATCCCGAGCCCCAGGCTGGCGTGGGCGAAGCGTACAATCCCTTCACCTTTCGTCACCCAGAGGCACAAGAATCCAGTTCGCGCCAACTGACCTGTTTCTTCCTTCCTCCCCGGCACTCTGGGAGTCCTGAGATTGCCTTGCTCGGTTCGTCTCAGACTTGCTAGATCTGAGCAGCTGCTGCTCCTCCACCAAGGGTGCTCACATTCTCCAGGAAACTCCCTTAAGGGTTAGCAACCGCCGAGTAGGTTTCGGTCCCAAGATAGAAAGGTAAAGCGGGGAATTCAGGGGGTTTCTCCGAAAAGTACGTTGATGAAACAGCTATTGTTGACTGACGGGGTGTCGATTACTTTGGATTAATTGGATACGGCCTACTTAAACCTGACTGTGGCTCTCCACCATTGATGGCTGTTGACAGATGAGGTTAATAAAGCTTGATTACCCCCATGGGGTTGCTCGGGAGTTAAATTCTATAGTACCTGTGAAGTACTTAGTATAGTGCTTGAAAGTACTCAATAAATGTTAGACATTATTCCATGGACAAATGAAAGAAGAAACAGGACCCCCAAAATCCCTCTGCTTTAAAGTCAACTTTTCCTAAATTGCATAGCCTTTTACTAACCAAGTTTACAACTTTATTTCCTACCTCCAGTTCTTTCATTGTATTCATTCATTCAGTCAACAAACATCCATACAGAGGGTGCACAGTGGTGAGGGAAACAGAAAACCTTTGCCTTCAGGAAACTGCAGTTTAGTGGGAGAAGAGGGACAATAAAAAAGTACTTAAGCACATTTTAAGGGGAAACATGCTATAAAGGTTAGAAAAATAACTGAGGCCAGGCGCCTTTGCTCATGCCTGTAATCCCAACGCTTAGGGAGGCCGAGGCAAGAGGGTCAGCTTGAGCTCAGAAGTTCAAGACTAGCCTGGCAAAATGGCGAGAACCCTGTCTCCACCAAAAATACAAAAAATTAGCCGGGCGTGGTGGCGTGCGCCTGTGGTCCCAGCTACTTGAGAGGCTGAGGTGGGAGGATCGCTTGAGCCCCAGAGCCGGAGGCTGCAGTGAGCCGAGATTGTGCCACTGCACTCCAGCCTGGGTGACAGAGCAAGATTTTGCTTTAAAACAAAACAAAACAATCGAGTTGCATACTTTAAATATATGTAGTCCTCTGTATGTCAGTTAAAGCTGTAAAAAAAGACTTGTTTTTGACACAGAGTCTTGCTATGTTGCCCAGGCTGGAGTGCAGTGGCCTGATCACGGCTTACTACAGCCTCCCTCCCAGGCTCAATTGATCCTCCCACCTCAGCCTCTGGAGTAGCTGGGACTGCAGGTGCCCACCACCACACCCAGCAAATTTTTCTGTTTTTTGTAGAGACTATGTCTCACTATGTTGCCTAAGGCCGGTCTTGAATTCCTGGGGTCAAGTGATCCACCCACCTCAGCCTCCCATAGTGCTGGGTTTACAGGCATGAGCCATTGTGCCCTACCTTAAAAAGCTTTTTTTAAAGTCCAGTTGGGAACCCTCCCAATTCTTTACCCATTGGACACAGATTTAGCCTTTCATTAGTTTTAAGTGTTGCTAGACGTATCAGGTCAATTCCTCTTTAAGGAGTAGCTTGGCATATCAAAATATTCCACTAGCAGCAAAAGCACTCTTTTAGTTGGTTATACATGTATATGTGCATATATATATATATATACACACAAATATTTTCATCTACAGAGTACCAATTAAAATGTTATATAGTTGCATGTAGCATACACAATGAGATTCTAAAACCTTTCAAAAGTTTAAAAGGCGTGAAGGTTTTTTTAATCAGAGAAAATAGCTTCTTAAAGAACAATATTGATAAACAGTAGAAAACCAATACGCAGCATTTGACTGTGTACCCAGGAAGTATCGTACCTCAGAGCCCCCCTTAACAGTCATATCAGGAGTCCTCTCAACACTCCAGGCATATGTGACTATAGTCACAGTTAAACCTAAACCCTAGATGTGATTTGGGCAAGGGATTCTAACAATGTAGACATGAGCCAAATAGAATTTTTTGGATAATAAATTTTGGCCCCATGCCATTTCTGAAATTGTCATATTTTATATGTTGAACTGTATCCGGCTATTTCTTAGAAGTTATTTTAAAATGCTGTGATTTGAATGATGCATGAAGGAAAACTATGAAACCAATAACCATTTAAAGCAATGGAAGCGCAAGCTGTTGTACAGCCTAATCCTCTCCACCTGTTGAATCTATGCACCTTAATTGCTATACCAGAAGTTTCTCACATCTTTAAATGAAAACCTGGAGCCTCTAGAGAGCAATCCTTTTTTTTTAAGACAGAGTCTTGCTCTGTCGCCCAGGCTGGAGTGCAGTGGCGTGATCTTGGCGCACTGCAACCTCTACCTTCTGGGTTCAAGCGATTCTCCTGCTTCCCGGGTAGCTGGGATTATAGGCGCCCTCCACTACGCCTGGCTAATTTTTGTATTTTTAGCAGAGATGGGGGTTTCACCATGTTGGCCAGGCTGGTCTCGAACTCCTGACCTCAGGTGATCCGCTCTCCTCAGTCTCTCAAAGTGTTGGGGTTACAGCCATGAGCCACCACACCCGGCCCATAAAGCAGTCCTTGATAGCTATGCTACAGGGCTTCCTTATGGGTGAGAAAAACTACCAGGGATCTATGGCCTATTAGAAACTATTTAGATGTGTCACAAAGCAGAATCCATATTGACAAATTGTATTCACTGTGAAACAGTGTTTGAGTGACATTCCAATGTATTTAATCCAAAAACTAAAATTTATTAGCAATGTGGTCAAATTATCCATTTGTTTCTTAAAAACACAAACCTGATGAAATTATTTTTGAAAGAAATTATCTGCCAGCCTGGGCAACATAGCAAAACCCCATCTCTACCAAAATACAAAAATTAGCCCATGATGGTGGTGCATGCATGCCTGTAGTCCCAGCTACTTGGGAGGCTGAGGTGGGAGGATCACTTGAGCCCAGGAGGCAGAGGTTGCAAAAAAAAAAAAAAAGAAAAAAGAAATTATCTGAACAATTTTCAAGAATAATAGTAAGAAAAGTCATGTTAGAAGTGACAAATTCTGAAATTCTGGCTGGGCATGGTGGCTCATGCCTGCAATACCAGCACTTTGAGATGCCGAGGTGGGAGAATCACTTGAGCCCAGGAGTTTGAAACCAGCCTGGGCAACATATCAAGACCTCATCTCTACAAAAAAAAAACAAAAACAAACAAACAAAAAACAGACATGGTGGCACATGCCTGTAGTCCCAGCTACTTGGGAGGCTGAGTTGGGAAGACTGCTTGAACCCAGGAGTTCAAAGCTGCGATGAGCTAAGATCCCACCCCAGTATTCTGGCCTGGGTGACAGAGCAAGATCCTATCTCAAAAAAAAAAAAAAAAAGAAATATAAATTCTAAACCTGGTGCTTGAGAAGAGTGGCCAAGGACAGGAGAGCTGTAGCAGTCTGAGCCATTGCTGTCTCTGCCGTTTTGGTAGCCATCTGAGGAGTCATATCTTTGACTCAGCACTTTTTCAAATTTCTGAAAATGATCACTTCTCAACATTTTCCTCAAATTAACAATTTTACCTCTTTCAGCAATTCCTTATAAGTTGAATTTTTACTTCTTAAATTATCTGCAGGGGAGTTGTTTTAAAAATATGTATTTTAACTGTCATTGACCACGAAGTATACTCCTCTGACTTTCTTGAAGTGGTAGACAATATTTTCATAACTTTTAACAAATTCACTTCAGAAAACATTTGTATACAAAACACTGCACTAGGCACAGAAGGAAAGCAATGACAGATAAGCACACATTAGAGGCAAAAAGTATTTCCTAGGCATATAACTTTAGTAAAAGTCAAACTATGACAAATTCTATGCTAGATGGATAAACTCGTTGCTATGGGAGCCCAAGCGAGTGGAGTGATTAATTCTCATTGTGAGAATTGAAGGTGACAAAATAGACAAAATAGATGGCATTTGGACCAACCCTGAGAGAAACTGGACTTTCTCTGAAGGATAAGGACATCGTTGTTTGGGGAACGGGGCTGAGGGTGGTACAAGGAAGGAAAGGTGTGTTTGTTTGTTTGTTTTTACTTTGCATCTTTATAATAGAGCTAACAAAAGAAAGAGATGCTCATAAATTGTTGCAATACTTTGATTGTCTTTGGGAGTGGCCAGAGGTTCAAATTCTTTGGAAGGATGGATATCTGTGCTGACTTGCAGGAAATATGAGTCAGCTTTTCTCATGAACTCAGCACTGTTGTTATAGCTAGGCTATTTGGGAAACCTGAAGCAGAACAAATCAGACACCACAAGTCTTTTCTTTTTATTGATTGGCCCAGACATGCATCCTACAAGGGTGGACAACAAGAATGCCCTTTTTATTGTCAAGACTTAAAGGAACTCTGCCAGCAAGGGGAAACACCTGCAATTGAGAATAAACTAAAAAAAAAATTTAAAAAAAGCCCTCCTCTTTTCTGTCTATATAATCACTCAGAATAGGAGACACACACGTCTTTAGTCCATACCTCTCTCCTGCACTTCAGGATTGTGTATTCAACTGCCTCCAGATAGCTCAGTCCCAAGTATACCTGAAATTCAGCATTTAAAGGTGAAGTCATTATCTTTACCCCAAACCTGTTACTCCTATAATTTCTCATTTCCTGAATAATTTATAGTTGAACTCACCATGCACCTAAAAGCTAAAGCCGCCTGTGGAGACTGAATTTTTTTTTTTTTAGGAGTTCGAGACCAGCCTGTCCAACATGGTGAAACCCTGTCTCTACCGAAAATACAAAAATTAGCTGGGCATGCACCTGTAGTCCCAGCTACTCTGGAGGCTGAGTCAGGAGAATCACTAGAACCCAGGTGGCGGAGGTTACAGTGAGCCAAGATCATGCCACTGCACTCCAGCCTGGGAGACAGACTCCATCTCAAAAAAAAAAAAAAAAAAAAAAAAAAAAAAGTCAAAACCTGAGTCATCAACTCCTCTTTTTCCCTCATTCATTGACACCTAATTAATCTTGAAAAAGAATTGTTGTCATCTCCTTAACATCAGTAGTATCCTCCCTCACTTCATCCCCATTCCCACTGACCTAGTTCAAACCCACACCTTTTGGTTTGTTTTTTAGCCTGAAATTTTGCAGTAGTCATCTAATTGGATTTCCTATCTCTCTCTCTCTCTTTTTTTTTTGAGATAGAGTCTCTTTCTGTTGCCCAGGCTGGAGTGCAGTGGCGCAGTCTTGGCTCACTGCAACCTCCACCTCCCAGGTAACTGGGATTACACCTCCTGAGTAACTGGGATTACAGGTGCATGCCACCATGCTCAGCTAATTTTTGCATTTTTAGTAGAGAGGGGACTTCACCATGTTGGCCAGGCAACGAGCTCATCTCAAACTCCTGACCTCAAGTGATCCACCAGCCTCGGCCTCCCAAAGTGCTGGGATTACAGGCGTGAGCCACCACGCCCAGCTGGATTTTCTATCTCTTCTCTTTCCTTCTTCATCCATCCCTGTGTTGGCAGGCTGATTTTTCTAAGGAAACATGATCAGTTGTTCCAGACATCACTGGAGATTCCTAGCTTCCTCCTCTCCTTTCTATTCCTGGTGGAAAGTTCATCAATGTCCAGTCCTGATGTTACCTAAGAAGAGCAGGGGACTAGGGCCTATGCTTCTCTCTCCCCTACCCCTCTCTAGTGTGGTGGAGATAGTCTCTCATTTGGAACACTTTCAGACTGTCAACACAAGGCTCTTAATTGAGAGAAAGCATTTAAGCTGCTGCCGCCCCTAAAAGCATCTTGTTCTTTCCTACGTATGTGCCTGCAGACAAAGAAATTGATCAGTTAGTTATATCAGGTGCGCCAAATCAAGGGCAAAGTTAGTCCAGAAGGGAGAAACTCTTAACTATTAGCTTATTCAAGATTTGGAGAACAATAGACTTTTAATAATAAACATTTAAATTTAAAACAAAAAAGATTTCTAAAGCCTCTTGTAAGGTGGTTACCTTGTTAATTAAATAATCCCCCAAAGCTATTTTGGGCTCTCTAGTGTCAGCATCACTTTATTATCTCCTAGAAATGGAAAGCCTTCCTCTACATTTCCCATTCATAACCCTGCAAGTATTCATATCTGGTTGTAATTATCTTAACGGCAGATTTAATTTTAATAAACATTGATGTATTAGATTTATGTCATAATAACTTACATAGTTTAAAATTATGCTAAAAGAGAAACAGAAGGAAGTCGAATTGAGATGAGGCTTTTACTTGACTATATTAGATCTGAAATGGAAGAAAGGCTTTTATTTTATTTTCTTTAAAATTTTTTTACTTTGTTGAGATGGCATTTTGCTATTGTTGCCCCAGCTGGAGTGCAATGGCACGATCTTGGCTCACTGCAACATCTGCCTCTGGGGTTCAAACGATTCTCTTGCCTCAGCCTCCCAAGTAGCTGGGATTACAGGCATGCGCCACCACGCCCAGCTAATTTTTGTATTTTTAGTGGAGACGAGGTTTCACCATGCTGGTCAGGCTGGCCTCAAACTCCTGACCTTAGATGATTCACTCACCTCGGTCTCCCAAAGTGCTAGGATTACAGTTGTGAGCCACCACACCTGGCCGAAAGAAAGGCTTTTGAAGATGGCACAATCAGGGGGTGCAAACTGCTCCCTACCTGTGCAGTTCTCTCTGGAAGGTAATGGATGGTACAGTTGAAGAAAAGAGATCCACAGAACCCTTGATGTCAGGCTAAAGAGAGGATATAATTATACAGCTCATTTTTTTTGTTTTTTGGGTTTTTTTTTTTTTTTTGGTTTTTATTTGTTGGTTTTGAGACAAGGTCTCACTATGTTGCACAGGCTGGTCTCAAACTCCTGGGCTCAAGTGATCCTCCTGCCTCAGTCTCCCTAATAATACAATTCATTTTTAACTAGCTGTATGCTAAAAGGGAATGGGGAATTAGTGGCATTATGAAAAGAGACAAGAAACATATTCTTCCATTTCAAATTCTGATGATCACATAAAGTAAGGCCCTGTTTGCTGCAAGGGTAGGGCCAGGAGTTGAAATACTAAGGGTAATAAAAATGGTCATCAGTTGCAAAGGAAGATCTCAAGGTTAGAGTTTAGGTAACATGTAGGACAATTGGACAAGGGTAGGGCTAAATGGATTGGGCTATAAAAAAGTTAATGTGAGGCAGGCAATTTTTAAAAAATGGATTTACAGTTTATCATCTGACCTACATCATAATGTCTTCATGAGAATGACACTCATAAATTGATTTCATGTTTCTCTGATCCAGAACATAGGATTATTTTTAGCAGGAATGAATCTCAGAGATCATCTAGTGAACATTTCATTTTCAAAAAGTGACCATTTCCCTCTGCGGCTTGTCCAAAGTCATATACAGTACACCCAAAAGCATGAGAAGAGCTAGGACTAGAATCCAGATTCCTAGATTCCTAGTTTTTTAGTTTGTCTTTTACATAAATATCAATCGGTTCTTGGAATTCAGCATTCCAAACTCCCCATGAAATACACTGGATACATAGGAAAATCCTATTTTGGAGATGAAGAAACTAAAGCTCAGAAAGGCGTAATGAGTTTTCCCAAATCACATGGCTAGACGCCTTACAATCCCTGGGCCAATAGGCTTCTACCAAACCACACTGCCTTGTGGATTTTTAAAAAGTAAAATCTTAAATGCCATGTGCCTAGGCATAGAATTCATTCCCTCAATCTTTGTACTGTTATATACAATGCACTCTGCTAGTTGTCAGGAAAGATTACAAGACTATTTATTTTGTAAGACTAGATTTCTATTTTGCACGACTGAATATTGAACATTACCTAATTATTAGGGAAATGCATGTTTTTTGGTGGTTGATAGCTAGCAAGAAGTAAGTCTTGGTATACTACAACATTAGGAATATTTGTAAACTTTCACCTAAGGATGGGCTTCATTCAGATTCTTTACTGTTAATATATTACCCCATCCAGCTGGGTGCGGTGGCTCACATCTGTAATCCCAACACTGTGGGAGGCCAAGGCGCGTGGATCATGAGGTCAGGAGATCAAGACCATCCTGGCCAACATGGTGAAACCTTGTGCCTACTAAAAATACAAAAATTAGCCGGCGTGGTGGTGTGCCCCTATAATCCCAGCTACTCAGGAGGCTGAGGCAGGAGAATCGCTTGAACCTGGGAAGCGGAGGTTGCAGTGAGCCAAGATCGTGCCACTGCACTCCAGCCTGGGCGACAGAGTAAGACTCCATCTAAAAAACGGAAAAGAAAAAAAGAAAGAAAGAAAAAAAGAGTTCAGTGAAACTGGCCAAGTTGCATTAGAAGGAGAAAGTCAGTAGAGGTTAGTGTTGCAATCTGTAAATATACGTAAGGAATAGATCTAAGGAAGAAACTAAAAAAAGTAAGCAGAATGAAAGTATGGCCAGTAGTGAAACTATAATTTAGGGTAAGAAGTGGTTGCAGCTTTAGGAGAGTTTGCTGCTGGATTGTTTAGTTGACCCTTTATTTTACTTACTTAGGTTTGGTTTTATTTTTCTACAAAACGTATGCAAAGTCTAACACATTGCCTATGTAAATTTACTATGAACTACAAAATCTAATATAGAAGCTTTATTAGTACTTCAACTAAGGCACATATTTAAGAAAAAGCAGAATTTTAGAATGTTAGTAAGTCCTATGTCTAAAAACAATCAATGTAAAACAAATATTCATACCTAGAGAACACAGTGAAACTGTTTATAAGGAACTACCAAATGCAAAATAGACTCTAACTGATGTTATATAGAGTTTTCCAAAGCAACAGGGAAGTGGAAACCAGCACATTTGGGGATTAGAGTCTATTGGAAATAGTTACAGATGAAAGTTTTGGGAAAAATCGATAATGCCCACCCCAGTTCTCAGAACTGAGGAATTCAAAGAATTTGAATAACTGAAGCAGAAGTTCACATGGGTAAACAAGAATGCCATCTAGACTGGATGTAACTAAGCTGCTAACTAGAGTGGCTCTGAAAATATCTTCCAAAAAACTTTGCTCTTGTCACTACTGTCACTTTGAATTAAGAGAGAAAGATGTATGGCTTAAATGAGTGCACTGCCTGTGAGACAAGGTTTTGTTCCATATGTTAACCAGCTGTCGAGTAAAATTTGTCATTTTCCAGGACTGAAACAAGAAAGACACTAGTGATATATGTTTTGTTTGGAAGAGACTATGCAAAGCTTTGTACCATGATTATTAGCCTATCATTCCTAGGAAGCTTCATACCTGGGACCTAAGAAACCTCACTCAATATTTTTCTTTTTGGCCTAAATTTTTTGAAATAGGGAGTTACAATGCTAATTTTTTTCAAAAACTGTGCAGATACCTCTGGGAAACTTTTGTAAGGTCCTTTTAAAATATATATATATATTATATATATATAATATATATATATTATATATAATATATATAATATATATAAATATATATATAATATATATAATATATATAATATATTAAATATATATATAATATATATAATATATATATATAAATATATATATAATATATTATATATAATATATAATATATAATATATAATATATATAATATATATTATATATATAAATATATAAATATATAATATATATTTATAATATATATATAAAATATATTTATGTTATAAATATATAAAATATATTTATGTTATAAATATATAAAATATATTTATGTTATAAATATATAAAATATATTATATATATAAAAATATATAAATATATAAAATATATTTTATATATTTAAAATATATAAAATATATAAAAATATATAAAATATATATTATGTATATTTTATATATTTAAAATATATAAAAATATATATAAAATATATATATATATAACTTTAGCTGGGCATGGTGGTATATGCCAGTAGTCCTACCTACTGGGAAGGCTGAGGCAGGAGGATCACTTGAGCCCAGGAGTTCAAGGATGAAGAAAGCCATGATCGCACCACTGCACTCCAGTCTGGGTGACAGAGTGGGACCCTGTCTCTATTAAAAAACAAACAAACAAAAATCTATAACTTCAGAGGGAGTAGGAAAAGGAATTTTATTTTTAGCCAGCTGGGCATGGTGGGAGGCTCCTGTAGTCACAGCTACTTAGGAGGCTGAGGTGTGCCTGAGCCCAGGAGTTTGAGACCAGCCTGAGCAACATAGTGAAACCCCATCTCTAAATCAAGGAAAGAGAATTTTTGCATAGGATGAGGACTTGAGTAGAAGGCCTGGACATGAGGTAACTCATGGAAGGACTGTTTTTTTGTTGTTGTTTTATTTTTTTGTTTTGCTTTGTTTTTTGTTTTATTCACAACTGAGAAATTGTTAAGATATTAACAAATCCTAGTCCAGATTCAGGGATACTGGGGAGAAAACCCTGACTATTTTTTGTTTGTTTGCTTTTTAACTAACTACCTTCCTTCCACTCCAAAAACAAACCCAACTATATATTAATCATTCCCCGCTTTTGAGTATTTTATAATCAAGCCTATAATTGTTTGAAGGACAAATCAGCTCTTTTATTACACTACGTGTCACTCATTTTGTGAACAGTTGTCCCAGTTCTTAAGTACATAGTTTATAACAACCTATGTGTTTGTATAGGATGATTGTTAATTATCATCATCAAAAACATTCACATGTCTATATATATCCACACAAGTAGGCATTTACAAAGGAAATTCCAAAGACATATTCCCTTTCCTCAATCAGCCAATAATAACATTGACCCAAGACAATTAGTTTATGTGATAGATTTCTTGTTTCTCATTTTTATTCCTAAACCCCATCTCAAACCATGAAACCTCAAAAGGAATTGTGTAGGATCATATACCTTATTGGTACTCGATAAATGATGATCAACTGTTGTTATTCCATTCGTCTTCATAATTTTCTCATATTATAAAAAAGACAGTCATTTATTTATATGAGTACTTGCCTTTAATCCTGTTTTATCCTAAGCTGTAGAGTCTCTGCAGGAACCAACCACCTTAATCTTTATTAAAAACAGGGCTCATTCAGGGTAGAAGCTCAGAGAACTTATAATTTTTTTGTTTTACAGGCTCAGTGGCTCACACCTGTAATCTTTTTTTTTTTTAGATGAAGTTTCCCTCTTGTTGTCCAGGCTAGAATGCAGTGGCACGATATCGGCTCACTGCAACCTCCACCTCCCAGGTTCAAGTGATTCTCCTGCCTCAGCCTCCCAAGTAGCTGGGATTATAGGCCCGTGCCACCATGCCCAACTAATACTTTTATATTTTTAGTAGAGACGGGGGTTTCACCATGTTGGCCAGGCTGGTCTCGAACTCCTGACCTCAGGCGATCCACCCACCTCGGCCTCCCAAGTTGCTGAGAACCACCATGCCTAGCCACACCTGCAATCTCAACACTTTGGGAGGCTGAGGCAGGTGGATCACTTGAGCCTAGGAGTTCGAGACCAACCTGAGCAACATGGCAAAACTCTGTCTCTACAAAAAAATTTTTAAAAAAATTATCCAGGTGTGGTGGTCCACGCCTGTGATCTCAGCTACTTGGGAGGCTGAGGTGGGAGGATCACCTGAGCCCCAGGAGGTGGAGGCTACAGTGAGCCATGATTGTGCCACTGTACTCTAGCCTGGGCAAGAGAGTGAGACTTGTCTCAAAACAACAACAACAACCAAAAAAACTGGTTATTTACTAAAAGACCTTCATGTGAAAGTTACATAGAATACTTTTTCTCCTGGGCCAGGTGTGGTGACTCACACCTGTAATCCCAGAACTTTGAGAGGCTCAGGTGAGAGGACTGCTTGAGTTAAGGAGTTCAAGACCAGCCTGGGCAACATAGTGAAACCCCCATCTCTACTAAAAATGAAAAAGTTAGCTGGGCATAATAGTGTATGCCTATAGTCCCAGCTACACATGAGGCTGAAGATGGGAGTATTGCTTGAACCCAGGAGGTTGAGGCTGCAATGAGCTATGATAGCACCACTGCACTCCAGCCTGGGCAACAGAATGAGACCCTGTCTCAAAAATAAATAAATATATAAAGAATCCTTTTTTCTCCTAATCTCTCTCTCTCTCTCTCTCTGTGTGCTGTCTTCTCGGTTTGCAACAGTCACAGCAGCTATGTTACAACCACAGAACAAGGTTTTGCAACAGTATGGCCTTGAAATAGAATACTGCCCAGTTGAAAACTTAAGCAATCAAAATGGAATATATGAAACAATGCCTGCTAGACTTCATGTGTTGCTTCTTATTAAGGAAAGCTATTGCCTTTTTCAGGAGAATGTTACTCTTTAAGTGGCAGTTTACCCTCTTTATATCAGAGTTCTCAATTGCTGTACTATTCAGACATAGCAGTGCAACTAAGACATAATCCTGTTGTCTAAAGTGTTACTTTAGTCACTAAAATGCAGCTTCAGAAAATGTATGTGTGCAACTACTTGGTAAAAGTCATTGGTAAAAACTTACTGTAAATGTCTACGTACCTGAACTCCATCAGCATGTGAATTTAACAGCTGCAATAGTGCTCTGAAGCCAAAGCCTGTTTGTCAAAAATGTGTTAATCTCTTTCTCTCTCATTTTTTTTTTCAAGAGGCCTCATTACTCAGGCCCCAGATGACTTGCTTGGGTTTCAAAGTGTTTTCTTTTTCCTCAGTTTTGATTCTGATATGAAATTGAAATGATAAATAGCAGCATGTGGGCCACCCTGATACACTGAAAATTCTCCTTAGGCTACACATGGTTCATGATAACTGTGTAATATGCTGCCATTAGTACTGCTTATCTGGCCATCTCAAAATATTGTGTAAACACAGCATATCCACTCAAGGCCAGCCTAATGGGAGTAACTCTTCCACATTTTCTCCATTCCTACATGCATAAGGTTATTTTTAATGTGGAAACTTGAAGAATTTTTTTAAAGTTTTTTTTTCAGCAATTGTGGGTAGATTGCCCACCTTCTTATAAATGTCACACGCCGGTGGCCAACAGTTCAGTAATAGGGCTTTCCTAACCACACACAGTGCATCCAGCCAATCATCAGTCTCATGCTCTATCAAATAGTTTTAATCGTGTGACTGGGGGCACTATTTTAGGACAATTAGGTGAAACTGAACCCTCAGAATAAGCACGATTCTGGGGCAATATAGAATACCAGTTTCCTTTGCTCTTTTTTTTTTTTTTTCTATACAAGATTTTTGGTTTCTTGACTGGTTGGAATAACTTACTTTAGGTGATCTTGGCATTGGTTGAATTTTTCTATAAATTAAGATTTGTGTTAAGTAGTTTAATGGAAAGTCATGTACCGAATAAGCTGTTATAAGCACTCTTAAATCCTTCCTTATATAGCACTTGAAGCTGTGAGGAGTTACATAAAATTGTCTTCACTTAATCTATTTTGATTCATAGTTAATGAAAAGTGATTGTTCACTTGTTACATATAACAGGACCAAAGGATGGTGAAAATTTGACCTGAAAAGTGAAGAATCTCTTGCATTTGTGACAGTGTCTATATAATACAAAGAAAAGTGAAGATTTGATGTGTACTCAGTTCTAGTTATTTTGAGAAATGGGGAAAATTAGTCTGGACTTTGTGGTCTAAATTATTTCATTTGGATTGGTCTCTTTGGGTTTGACTCTTTACATTAAAAAAAATACTATTGCTTAAAAAAAATACTATTGCTCAAAAAAATGGCAGTGTGTCCATGTTGCTGATTCTCATCAGAAAAAGAAAGCAAATGAAAGCAACTATTGAAGTCTCCAGCAAGAATAAACAACCATGTATATTCCTCTTACATGCATTACAGAGCAAACGTAGTCATTCAACTTGCAGGAAAGAATCACACATTATGATTTTCATTTTGTTTTTCCCAGATTGAGGGAAAACTTTGTTTGGAAGTTTACCTGCATTTTAAAGCCCATTAATAAAAAGGATCTGGAGTTCAACTCTTATGAAGCTCACTATGATTCTTTAGCTAAAAGTTTCTTGGCTTAGCCTTAGACTTATGATTCAGATTATTCTCGGTCTGCTGGCTTAGTTCAGAAACCAAGCACCCTGTACAACTCTGAATTAGAAGTCACAAAAAAACCCACTACTTTTCTTAACTACATGTATTTTATAAGAAGATTACGCCTTCTAAAATTAGCTCTATGATGGCAAAACAGCTGGATGAAAAGGGAAAAATTCAGAGACTTGTTTTGCTGTTTTAGACATAAAATTCAACCGCCTCTTTGATTCTTAATCTCCATATGTTTTACAGTTTTATAAGACACACAGAACTGTGGTACATATGTATTTGAGTGTGATATGTATGGATTTTTTATTTGCTGCTACATATTAGCAATCTAAAAATAGAAATACTTTTCATTTTTAAATAATGGGGTTTCGTGCATAATCTTGTAAGAATGAGAATTGAACTTTTTTTTTTTTAGCAAGTTTGCCTTTTGCCAAAAGATACTGTCAGAGACCCTGACATTGTATTTTTACCCAGTCTGAAAATCTTTGTCTTTTTTTTTTTTTTTTTTTTTTTTGAGACAGAGTCTTACTCTGTTGTCACCCAGATTAGAGTGCACTGGCATGATCTCGGCTCACTGCAACCTCTGCCTCCCGGGTTCAATTGATTCTCCCTGCCTCAGCCTCCCGAGTAGCTGGGACTACTGGCTCGCACCACCATGCCTGGCTAATTTTTTTTTTTTTTTTTTTTTGGTATTTTTAGTAGAGACGGGATTTCACCATGTTGGCCAGCCTTGTCTTGAACTCCTGACCTCAGGTCATCCATACACCTTGGCCTCCCAAAGTACTGGGATTACAGCCTGGCCAACATGGTGAAAGAAACCCTGCCTCTACTAAAAATACAAAAAAGAAAAAATTAGCTGGGCGTGGTGGCGCACGCCTGTAGTCCCAGCTACTCGGGATGCTGAGGCAGGAGAATTGCTTGAACCTGGAAGGCAGAGGTTGCAGTGAGCCAAGATTGCACCACTGCACTCCAGCCTGGGCAACAAGAGCGAAACTCTTTCTCAAAAAAAAAAAAATTTAATTTTTTTTTTTTGCAAATGCAGAGAGTATTGAAACCACTGCCACAATCAAGACATGAACACACTCCATGAAAATTCTCTTGTGCTACCTACCCCTTTGTGATTGAACCCCCACCCCACCCCCAAGCCCAGGCAATCACTTATCTGTTCTCTGCTCCTATAGTTTTACCTTTTCCAGAATGTCATATAAATGGAATAGTACAATATGTAGTCTTTTGAATCTGGCTTCTTTCACTTAGCAGAAGTTTTTGTTTTTGTTTTTGAGACAGAGTCTTGTTCGGTCGCCCAGGCTGGAGTGCAGTGGTATGAACACTGCTCACTGCAGTCTTGACTTCCTGGGCTCAAGTGATCCTCCCACCTCAGCTTCCTGTGTAGCTGGGACCACAGGCATATGCCACTGTGCTCACCTAATATTTTTATTTTATTTTTTGTAGAGATGGAGTCTCGCCATATTGCCCAGGTTGGTCTCAAACTCTTGGGCTCAAGCAGTCCTCCCACCTCAGCCTCCCAAAGTGCTGGGATTACAGGCATTAGCCACTGTGCCCTGCCTGCAAAATGCTTTGCAGATTCATTCATATTCTTGTGTGTTTCAAGAGTGCATTCCTTTTTAAAATATATATAATATATATACATATTATATATATGTATACATATATTATATATATTATATGTATTATAATATATATTATATATTATATGTATATACATATTATATATATAATATGTATATACATATTATATATATAATATGTATATACATATTATATGTATACATATTATATATATAATATGTATATACATATAATATGTATACATATTATATATATATTATATGTATATTTTTTTTTCTTGAGACAGTCTCACTCTGTCCCCTGGGCTGGAGTGCAATGGTGTGGTCTCGGCTCACTGCAACCTCCACCTCCCGGGTTCAAGCAATTCTCCTGCCTCAGCCTCCTGAGTAGCTGGGACTACAGGCGTGTGCCACCACACTCAGCTAATTTTTGCATTTTTAGTAAAGACAGGGTTTCACTATGTTGGCCAGGCTTTTGAACTCCTGACGTTGTGATCCCCCCATCTCAGCCTCCCAAAGTACTGGGTTTACAGGTGTGAGCCACTGTGCCTGGCCTAAAAATATATTTTTTAAAGGTTCTGCAAAAAAGATAATAGCTGGATACTGTGGCTCATGCCTGTAATCCCAGCACTTTGGGAGGCTGAGGCGGGCGGATTGCCTGAGGTCAGGTGTTTGAGACCAACCTGGGCAACATGGTGAAACCCCATCTCTACAAAAAATACAAAAATTAGTTGGCATAGTGGCACACACCTGTGGTCCCAGCTACTTGAGAGGCTGAGGTGGGAGGATTGCTTGAGCCCGAGAGGTAGAGGCTGCAGTGAGCCAAGATCATGCCACTGCCCTCCAGCCTAGGCAACAGAGTGAGACCCTTGTCGCAAAAAATAAAAAAAAAATAGTAATTTATATTTAAAAAGAGGTGGTATCTTACTATGTTGCCCTGGCTGGAGTGCAGTGGTTTTTCACAGGCAGGACCTGACTGCTGAAGAACTCATTCCTTATTTATTTTATCTTATTTTTTTGAGACAGAGCTTCACTCTGTTGCCCAGGCTGGAGTGCAGTGACACGTTCTTGGCTCATTGCCACCTCTGCCTCCCAGGCTCAAGCAATTCTCCTGCCTCAGCCTCCCGAGTAGCTGGGCTTACAGGCGTGCTCCACCATGCCCAGCTAATTTTTGTATTTTTAGTAGAGACGGGCTTTCACTATGTTGGCCAGGCTGGTCTCAAACTCCTGACCTCAAGTGACGCGTCCGCCTTGGCCTCCCAAAGTATTGAGATCCAGGTGTGAGCCACTGCTCCTGGCCTCATTCCTTTTTTATTACTCTTGGCATTTCATCATATGGATGTGCTACAGTTTATCCATTCACCAGTTGAGGGACATCTGGGCTATTTCCAGGTTTTGGTTATGACAAACAAAGCTACCACAAACATTTGTGTTCAGATTTTCAGTGAACAATTTTAACTTCACTATGGTAAATACCTAGGAGTGAGAGTGCTGGGCCTCGGGTAATTCTGTGTTTAATTGTATTTTTAAAACTGCCAGCCAAGCACGGTGGCTCACGCCTGTAATCCCAGCACTTTGGGAGGCTGAGGTGGGTGGATCATTTGAGGTCAGCAGTTCGAGACCAGCCTGGCCAACATGGTAAAACCCCATCTCTACTTAAAAATACCAAAATTAGGTGGGTGTGGTGGCAGGCACCTATAGTCCCAGCTACACCTTAGGCTGAGACAGGAGAATCGCTTGAACCCGGGAGGTGCAATTGAATTCAACTCAATTGCAGTGAGTTGAGATTGTGCCATTGTGCTCCAGCCTGGGTGACAGAGCGAGACTTCATGTCAAAAAAAAAAAAAAAAAAAAAAAAAAGACACTCTTAAGAGAATGAAAAGACAATTCATACAGAGAGAGAAAATATTTCTCCTTCTCTGTCTTCTCTGTCTTGCAGATATGCAAATCACATAACTGACATTTGACTTGTGTCCAGAATACATAAAGAACTCCCAAAACTTGACAATAAGAAAACAAACAGCCCAGTAAAATAATGGGCAAAAGACTTGAGTAGACATTTAACCAAAGAAGAGGCATGGCTGAAAAACAGACACATGAAAAGTTGTTTAACAACATTAGTCATTAGAGAAATGCAAATTAAAACCACAAAAAATACTACTACACAACTGTTAGAATAAAATAAACAAATAAAGCAACCCACAAACATTTGTGTTCAGATTTTCAGGTGAACAATTTTAACTTCACTATGGTAAATACCTAGAAGTGAGAGTGCTAGGCCTCAGGTAATTCTATGTTTAACTGTATTTTTTTTTTTTTTGAGACGGAGTCTCGCTCTGTTGCCCAGGCTGGTGGGCAGTGGCACTCTGTCGCCCAGGCTGGTGGGCAGTGGCGCGATCTCGGCTCACTGCAAGCTCCGCCTCCCAGGTTCACACCATTCTCCTACCTCAGCCTCCCGAGTAGCTGGCACTACAGGCTCCCGCCACCACGCCTGGCTAATTCTTTTTGTCTTTTTAGTAGAGACGGGGTTTCACCATGTTAGCCAGGATGGTCTCGATCTCCTGACCTCGTGATCCACCTGCCTCAGCCTCCCAAAGTGCTGGGATTACCGGCGTGAGCCACTGCGCCCGGCCATTTAACTTTATTTTTAAAACTGCCGGCCAGGCACAGTGGCTCATGCCTGTAATCCCAGCACTTTGGGAGGCCGAGGTTGGTGGATCATTTGAGGTCAGCAGTTCAAGACTAGTCTGGCCAAGATGGTAAAAACCCACCTCTACTAAAAATACAAAAATTAGCTGGGTGTGGTGGCAAGTGCCTGTAGTCCCAGCTACTTGGGAGGCTGAGACAGGAGAATCACTTGAACCGGGAGGTGGAGGTTGCAGTGAGCTGAGATCACGCCACTGTATTCCAGCCTGGGTGACAGAGCAAGACTGTTTCAAAAAGAAAAAAGAAAAAACAAAACAAAAAACTGCCCAACTGTTTTCTAGAGTGTCTGTATCACTATCCATTGCTATTATCAATGTATGAGAGAAACCAGTAGCTCCCTATTTTCACAAGTGCTTGGAATTGTCAGATTGTTTATTTTAGTTATTCTGACAGTTGTGTAGTAGTATTTTTTGTGGTTTTAATTTGCATTTCTCTAATGACTAATGTTGTTAAACAACTTTTCATGTGTCTGTTTTTCAGCCATGCCTCTTCTTTGGTTAAATGTCTACTCAAGTCTTTTGTCCATTATTTTACTGGGCTGTTTGTTTTCTTATTGTCAAGTTTTGGGAGTTCTTTATATATTCTGGACACAAGTCAAATGTCAGTTATGTGATTTGCATATCTGCAAGACAGAGAAGACAGAGAAGGAGAAATATTTTCTCTCTCTGTATGAGTTGTCTTTTCATTCTCTTAAGAGTGTCTTTTTTTTTTTTTTTTTTTTTTTTTTGAGATGAAGTCTCGCTCTGTCACCCAAGCTGGAGCACAATGGCTCAATCTTGGCTCACTGTAACCTCTGCCTCCCAGATTCAACCCATTCTCCCGCCTCAGCCTCCCAAGTATCTGGGACTACAGGCATGTGCCACCATGCCCAGCTAATTTTTGTATTTTTAGTAGAAACGGGATTTCACCATGTTGACTAAGCTGGTCTTGAACTCCTGACCTCAATGATCCACCTGCCTCGGCCTCCCAAAGTGCTGGGATTACAGGCATAATACAAAATTTTTGTTTTGATGAAATCCAAATTGTCAGCTTTGCTTCTATGGATCATGTTTTTGATATTCTATCTAATAACTCTTTGCCTAACCCAAAGTTGCATATATATTTTTCCTATATTTTATTCTAAAAGTTTTATTTGAGTCTATGATGCATTTTGAGTTTATTTTTTGTATCAGTCTTTGTCTTTTAATTGGATAATTTAATTCTTTTATATTTAATGTAATTGCTGATATATTTGAATTTGTAACTATCATCCTATTTTTTTTTTTTTTTTTTTTTTGGACAGATGCTTGTTCTGTCGCCCAGGCCAGAGTGCAGTGGCGCTATCTCGGCTCACTGCAAGTTCTGCCTCCCAGATTCAGGCCATTCTCCTGCCTCAGCCTCCCAAGTAGCTGGGACTACAGGCGCCAGCCACCTCGCCCGGCTAATTTTTTGTATTTTTAGTAGAGATGGGGTTTCACCGTGTTAGCCAGGATGGTCTCGATCTCCTGACCTCGTGATCTGCCCGCCTCGGCCTCCCAAAGTGCTGGGATTACAGGCATGAGCCATCGCGCCCAGCTACCATCATCCTATTTTGTGCTTTCTGCATGTTCCTTCTGTTCTAGTTTACTTTCCTTCTTTGCTTTCTTTTGAATTATTTTCTTTTTCATTTCAACTTTTCCTCCTCTACTAGTTTGCAATTTATACTCAGTTTTTGCTTTCTTTTCATGGCTCATCAACAGTGCTATTTAAAGTGTGGTTTTAGGCCCGGGACGGTGGCTCACACCTATAATCTCAACACTTTGTGGGGCTGAGGTGGGAGGATCCTTTGAGCACAAGAGTTCAATACCAGCCTGGGCAACACAGTGAGACCTCATCTCTACAAAAAATAAAACAAAAAATTAACCCAGCATGATGGCACATGCCTGTAGTCCCAGCTACTTGGAAGGCTGAGGCAGGAGAATCACTTGAGCCTGGGAGTTCAAGGCTGCAGTGAGCTGTGATCATACCATTGCACTCCAGTCGGGGCGATAGAGTGAGACCCTGTCTAAAAAAAAAAAAAAAAAAAAAAAGAAAAATGAAAAGAAAAAGCATGGTCTTAAATAATTAGTATCAAGCTGGGAGCTTGTTATAAATATAAATTGTTAGGCCTTCCCCCAGACCTTTTAAATCCTGCTTGTTTTTTTTTTGAAATAAAGGTCTCACTCTCTTGCCCAGGCTGGAGTACAGTGGTGTCATCAGGACTCACTGCAGCCTCAAACTCCGTGAGTCAAGGGAGTCACTACACCCAGCCAGGATCAGTTTCTTAAGTACATTCTTTAGAACTTCCTTTTATGAATATTGTGGAAGCAAAATCTCTCACTTAATTTGCCTTAAATGCCTGTTTTTCATCTTCCTTTTTGAACTTTTTATTTATTTATTTATTTATTCTTTTTTTGAGATGGATTCTTGCTCTGTGGGCTAGGCTGGAGTGCAGTGGCTCAATCTTGGCTCACTGCAGCCTCCGCCTCCCGGGTTCAAGCAATTCTCGCACCTCAAACTCCCGAGTAGCTGGGATTATAGGTGCACGCCACCACACCTGGCTAATTTTTGTATTTTTAGTAGAGGCAGAGTTTCACCATGTTGGCCAGTTTGGTCTTAAACTCCTGACCTCAAGTGATTCACCCACCTCGGCCTCCCAAAGTGCTAGGATTACAGGCATGAGCCACTGTGCCTGGCCAAAAGCTATTTTTTGAGGGGTAAAATTCTAAGTTCGCACTTATTTTTTTCTCTTGTGAAGTCAGCAGTCAATCAGCTTCTGAGATCATTTGTCTCTGGTATGCTGTTGTTTCACTATGTTGTGTTTAACTGAAAATACTTTTTTTTTCAATCCTGGTTGAAATTCAGTGGACTTCTTAAATCTGTGTTTTTAAACAGATTGGTCCTAAAAATTTCTTAGCTACTGTCTCTTCAAATATTACCCTTTTGGCCAGGCATGGTGGCTCACACCTATAATCCCAACAGTTTGGGAGGCCAAGGCAGTAGAATGACTTGAGCCCAGGAGCTCAAGAGGAACCTGGGTAACATAGTGAGGCCCCGTCTCTACAGAAAATAAATGTTTTAATTAGCTAGGCATGTTGGCACATGCCTGTGGTCCCAGCTACTCGGGAGGCTGAGGTGGGAGGATCGCTTGAGCCCAGGAGTTCAAGGCTGCAGTGAGCCATGGTTGTGCCACTGCACTCCAGCCTGAGCAGCAGAGCAAGAACTTAACTTAAAAAAAAAAAAAATTACTTCTTTACCATTTTCTCTCTCCTTGCCCTCCAGAACTCCAAATTTATCAATACATGTTAGATTGTCTTAATTTATCCTCCATATCTATTTACTGCTCTTTCATGTTTCCCTTCTTCTTGTCTTTCTTTACTGAAGGCTGGATAATTTTCTATTGTCATATCATTCAGTTCGTTTATTTTTCTGTTCACTTGTATGTAATCTGAGGTTAAACTTGTCCATTATTTTATTCATTTCATTTCTAGAAGTTCTATTTTTTAAAACTATTAGGCTATTTTCTATAGTTTCCTGTTTTAAATAGGTATTTTCTGTTCCTTTTTTTTTTTTTTTTTTTTTTGAGACAGGTTCTCACTCTGTCACCCAGACTGGAGTGCACCCTCGACCTCCTTGGGCTCAAGCGTTCCTCCCACCTCAGCACCCCAAGTAGCTGGGACTACAGGCGTGTGCCACCACACCTGGCTAATTTTTGTATTTTTGGTAGAGATGGGGTTTCACCATGTTGCCCAGGATGGTCTGGAACTCCTGGGCTCAAGCAATCCTCTTGCCTTGGCCTCCCATAGTACTGTGATTAAAGGAGTGAGCCACCATGTCAGCCTTAAATAGGTATTTTCTTTCTTCTTTTTTTTTTTGTCAAGAGAATTAAATCGTTTATTGATTACACATGATAATGGATGACACACAAACTTCATTCCCATCTATAATTTTATCTGGTACCATTATTCAATTTAGATACATTGCATAGGATGTGCCAACAATCTTTTTTTTTTTTTTTTGAGACGGAGTCTCACTCTGTCACGTAGGCTGGAGAGCGGTGGAGCGATATCAGCTCACTGCACCCTCCACCTCCTGGGTTCAAGGGATTCTCCTGCCTCAGCCTCTGGAGTAGCTGGGAGTACAGGCACAGGCCACCATGCTCAGCTAATTTTTTTTTTTTTTTGTATTTTTAGTAGAGACATGGTTTCACCTTGTTGCCCAGGATGGTCTGGATCTCCTGACCTCCTGATCCGCCTGCCTCGGCCTCCCAAAGTACTGGGATTAGAGGCGTGAGCCACCACACCCTGCCAACAATCATTTCTATAACCAATAATTCCATGATTTTGCTTGAGTAATCCCTTTTAATGATGAACTTCAGGTCACAACAGTAACTATCAGTTCAACTATACCAAGGTTTGTGAAGACAACGGCTTTTCCACCCAAGCAGGTTGCATATAAATTCCAAATAGAACCTGGCGTCAGGCCAGGCACGGTGGCTCACGCCTGTAATCCCAGCACTTTGGGAGGCCAAGGCGGGTGGATCACCTGAGGTCAGGAGTTCAAGACCAGCCTGACCAACATGGAGAAACCCCGTCTCTACTAAAAATACCAAAAAAATTAGCTGGGCGTGGTGACGGGCGCCTGTAGTCCCAGCTACTTGGGAGGCTGAGGCAGGAGAATGGCGTGAACTCGGGAGGCGGAGCTTTCAGTGAGCCGAGATCGCACCATTGCACTCCAGCCTGGGCAACAGAGCGAGACTCCACCTCAAAAAAAAAAAAAATACAAAATTTAGCTGGGCATGGTGCCGCATGCCTGTAATCCCAGCTACTCAGGAGGCTGAGGCAGGAGAATCGCTTGAACCCTGGAGGCGGAGGTTGCGTTGAGCCGAGATCGTGTCATTGCACTCCAGCCTAGGCAACAAGAGGGAAACTCCGTCTCAAAAAAAAAAAAAAAAAAAAGAACCTGGCGTCACCTGAAGGAATTCTAACTTCATACTGTTGGGGAAATTTACCAAGATGGCTTCAGAGTAGACTAACTTTACACAGCACTTTAAAAAAAAAAAAAGACACATTTATTGAGTGTCATGATCAGACTATTACATTTAGCAATGAACAGCATGGGTGCAAAAAAAAAAAAAAATCTACATTAAAACCCTTTGTTGGAATGCTTTATACTTTCCACAGAAGAGAAACTAAAATAAGCTGTTATGCATAATTAGTCACAAATACAGTCCTTGAGTTTTTTGCCCATCCACATGAGTATTTGTCTAAAATATGTCTTCTTTGTAGCAGCTGGGCCCTGCCACCACGGTACTTGGCTGAGTTGATGAATCTATTGTAAGCTGTAGCTCCACTGGGTCACTTCTCTGGCTCTCCTCTCCTGCTAAGCTTTGTTTCCTAATTAAAATCTTCTGCCACTGCCATAGCTACTGCTGCTACTGGAACCGCCACGGCCACCTTGGTTTCGTGGTTGGGCAAAGTATTGGCCTCCACCACCATAGGGGCCAGAGCTTCTGCCTCCAAAGTTTCTTCCCTTCATGGGTCTGAAATTTGAAGACCGATTGTTGTAATTGCCAAAATCATCGTAGCTTCCACCACCCCCAAAATTGCTTCCATCATTACTAAATCCATTATACCCATCCCCACTGCCACCATATCCACCACCACCAGAGCTGTCATTAAAGCCACCAAGACCACTTAAGTTTCCTCCATGACCAAAATTGTCATTCCCACCGAAACTACCTCCATGACTACCACCAAAGTTTCCAGAGCCACTTTGACCTCTGTGGCTGGCTGAAGCACCAGCCATCTCTTGCTTTAACAGGGCTTTCCTAACTTCACAGTATGGTTATTTCTGAATGACAGTCTTATCCACAGAGTCATGGTAGTCAAAGGTTATAAAGGCAAAGCCCCTTTTCTTGCCACTGACTCGGTCAGTCATGATTTCAATCACTTCAATTTTTCCATACTGTTCAAAATAATCTCTTAGGTGCTGTTCTTCAGTGTCTTTTTTTTTTTTTTTTTTTGAGACGGAGTTTCACTCTGTCGCCCAGGCTGGAGTGCAATGGTGCAATCTCGGCTCACCACAACCTCCGCTTCCCAGGTTCAAGCGATTCTCCTGCCTCAGCCTCCCGGAGTAGCTGGGATTACAGGCATGCGCCACCACACCCGGCTAATTTTGTATTTTTAGTAGAGACTGGGTTTCTCCATGTTGGTCAGACTGGTCTTGAACTCCCGACCTCAGGTGATCCGCCCACCTTAGCCTCCCAAAGTGCTGGGATTATAGGCGTGAGCCACTGGGCCAGGCCCTGTGTCTTCTTTAATGCCACCAACAAATATCTTTTTCACAGTTAAGTGGGCACTGGGTCTTTGAGAATCTTCTCTTGAGACAGCTCTCTGTTTCCACAGCTCTTTCATCCACCTTGCGTGGCCTTGCATTCACGGCTGCATCCACTGCCTCCACAGGGGCATATGTGACAAACCCTAAGCCCCTGGAGCGCTTGGTGCTTGGATCTCTCATTACCACACAGTCTGTGAGCGTTCCCCATTGCTCAAAATGGCTCCTCAGGCTCTCATTCCAAGCTCAACCCTCCAGTGAAGAGCTTCCTCTGCTGTTCTGGTTCTTTAGGAAACTCCGCCTTAGACATGATGGCAGGGGGAAGAGAGACTTTAACGATGCTCCCTCCGTGGGGTTCATGAGCCTAATAAATAGGTATTTTCTACTTTGTATTTTTTTTTTTCTTAAATAAGTAAAATGGTGACCAGGCACGGTGGCTCATGCCTGTAATCCCAGCATTTTGGGAGGCTGAGGAGTGTGGATCACCTGAGGTCGGGAGTTCGAGGCCAGCCTGACCAAAGTGGAGGAACCCCATCTCTACTAAAAATACAAAAGTAGCCAGGCGTGGTGGTGCATGACTACTCCCAGCTACTCCAGAGGCTGAGGCAGGAGAATCGCTTGAACCCAGGAGGTGGAGGTTGCTGTGAGCCAAGATCGCGCCATTGCACCCAGCCTGGGCAACAAGAGCAAAACTCTGTCTCAAAAAAAAAAAAAAAGAAGTAAAATGTTTTTTTCACCTTGTATGTGTGATAATTTAAATTTCTCAAATATTTGTAGATGTTTTCCATTTAATTCTATTGTATGTGATTTCTTCTTTCTTCTGGTTTTCATTTATATAGTAGCATTTCTTTGAGTGCTTAATGTTTGTTACTGTGAGCTGCTCAATTTTCTTAGAAAATAATTTGTGAGTTATTGAGGTACCTTCCTCCAGAGAAGATTTGTATTTGTTTCTTCCACGCACCTGGGGCCTGCCTACTCAACTTAGAGTAATAGCTTGAGGCTTTTATGAACCTGTTTTGGCTGTAGATCATCACAAGTCAGTCTTTCAGTGACAGTATTTTTTAGTACTTAGTTCTACTTAGTTCCACAGGAACTTTTTGTGCAGTACCCTGAGGATGAATGGATATGCTGGTTTTCATCTCCACCTAAAGGGTCCAAGCTTTATTGGGAGAATGGTCTCCAATGGGATTCTCCAAGCCCTCGGCTTTACCTTGTCTCTGGAACCATTGTGAAGCCCAAGCTGCAGTTCACCAGGTTGAGCAAATGCCCTTAGGGCAAAGTGATCTCAGGGCCATAGCATCAAACAACCCCAAGAGCATCATTTAGGTGAATAGAATCCAAATGGTGCCTCCTGGTGTTGTACACCTGGACAGTGTTGTCCACTTACCTGTCTGGATTCCTTCTTCACTTCTCTTTGACCTAATAATTTCTTTCTTTCTTGCCCATGCTCAATGCTTCTAAGAGGTTTAAGATTTTTTTTAATTCAGCCTTTTTAATTGTTTCCAGTGGGAGGTGCAGTGTGAATTCCTAGCCTGCCATATACCTGGAAACAGAGCTCTCAAAACTCAACTTGATATACCCTACGATTTATAAAAATATCTGATAGCCCAATTTGTTCAATTCATAATTACCTTTTTTTTTCTGGCACCAAAGCTTTAATTAGGAATAGTTTGATGGAATCAGAAAGAATCCATAATCCGTGGTACTTAACTCTTCCCTCAATGAATATTGCTAACAAATGTATGGATTTACATTGAAATACCAAAGTAGCTCAAAGATCTCATAGTGACCACAATTTTTAAAATAGTGACCACATTTTAAAATGTTTCTCAGAAAATGAGTATGTTAAACCAAAATCATGTGTGTCACTTGCATGGAAAGTGCTGTGTCTCCATAGTTACACTAAAACATAACAAGTACAAAGGGGAAATGTCTCTTGGTGGTTGATAAGCTAAACGGAAGTGAGTCTTGTTCTACTATAATACTAGAAATGTTTTTAAACTTTCGCTCAAGGATGGAGGGTTTCATATCCTTCTGTATTACCCCTTGCTAAAACATAAGTAAGCATAGTTATGGAAAAAACACATGGGCAGTCATTGCTAAGACTCAGTGTATTGATGTCGTGTAGAAAAACATGATACAGAGATCTGTTTTTGTGGTTTATTTAATTGTCTTTGTTGTTTATAGTATTTGCTCTGAAGTATAACTCTATAAAATTTTAACAAAGACAAAGACAATCTGTCTTAGCCCAATATTAGCCCTATTCCCCACTTGGGAAAAAGTATTTTATAACACATATCAAATCAGCCTTGGAGACCATAGCATCCAATTATGCCTAGAGTGTACTAGATATTCGATAAGTGTTTGTTGAGTCAATTACTTAATGGACAATATATAATGGGTTGTTGTAAATAAAGCAGAGCAGTGACTAAAATGTTGACTTGGTCATATTGTGGGAGCATTAAAGAAGGAAAACGCCTGGGATTCAATGCCCATTCTAGGGCTGTCTGGTGCTATGGCTCTGGGTAATCCATAACCACCCGGGGCCCCAGTTTCTTCATTACTTGCCCTGTTCTTTGGTCAGACTGCACAGTCACTCCCTGTACATGCAGCATAATTTCCCAGTTCAGGGTCCTTGTCCTTATGGTTATCTAAAATGCCCTTGCCCCATCCGCTGTATGACTAAACCTATCTAGTCATGATATCCTACTTCTTTTAATCCTTCTAGTATAAATACTCTCCCACCAAGCTTCCTTGACACCACCCTGACTAGAAGCTAACTTTTCCTCTGAGCTTTTTGAATAGCATCTTTTTTCTTTTAACTCAAATGGTGTCATTTTTAATACTTTATAGCTTATATTATGATCTTTTATGTAGATATCCATACTATACTGCTTCTTTGCTAGACTGAATGTTCATAAGGGTAGAACCCATGCTTGCTATATTTTTGTAGTTCTCCATAACACCTAGCAAAATACATTAAAGATTATATGTGCTCAGTAAATATCTGTTGAATCTGAATATAGAGCATAATAATGCTTTTAATGCTTTCCTTTCTCTCTTTTCTTTCTTTCTCTTTCTTTTCTTTAATCTTTCTTTTATTTTCTCTTTCTTTCTCTTCCTTTCTTTTCCTTTCCTTTTCTTTCCTTTCCTTTCTTTTCTTTTCTTTCTTTTTGATAGGCTCTCATTCTGTCGCCCAGGCTGGGGTGCAGTGGCGCGATCTTGGCTCACTGCAACCTCCACCTCCTGGGTTCAAGTGATTCTCCTGCCTCAGCCTCCCCAGTAGCTGGGATTACAGGTGCCTGCCACAACACCCAGCTGTTTTTTGTATTTTTAGTAGAGACAGGGTTTCACCATGTTGGCAGGCTGGTCTCAAACTTCTAGTCTCAAGTGATCTGCTTGCCTTGGCCTCCCAAAGTGCTGGGATTACAGGCATGAGTCACTGCACCCCGTCCAATAATAATGCTTTTGTTTTCTTTTCTTTCTTTTTTTTTTTTTTTTTTGAGGCAGAGTTTTGCTCTGTCCCCCAGCTGGAGTGCGGTGGTGGGATCTCGGCTCACTGCAACCTCTGCCTCCCGGGTTCAAGTGATTCCCCTGCCTCAGCCTCCTGGGTAGCTGGGACTACAGGCATGCGCCACATGCCCGGCTAATTTTTTCTTCTTATTTTAGTAGAGACGGGGTTTCACCACGTTGGCCAGAATGGCCTCTATCTCCTGACCTCCTCGTGATCCACCTGCCTCAGCCTCCCAAAGTGCTGGGATTACAGGCATGAGCCACTGCACCTGGCCCCAGTAATGCTTTTCTTGCTGATGATAGAGGGCTGCATCAAATTATAGCTTGAGGCCATTTATACCTTGTAGACCAATGATTGTGGAGCATTAATGGGGAATGCTGGATATAAATAAGGAAAATTGCATAAGCTATTTATCCATTAGTGGGAGAAGAAAAGAAAATACTTGGGTGGATCAGATCCCATTTCAAAGCAGAGATGAAAGTGAAATTGAAGCAAGAGTAGAAAGCAACAAGAGCAGCATAGGTTGGTTATTCTATTTTGGTCATTTAAGAAAGTTCTTTTCTCAACTGCCTGTTTTTAGACTATGCATACCTGTGTATAGCTAACATAGTATGTACATAGTTTTGACAGATTCCCTGAGGACTTGAGCCAGAAGATGAATTGCATCTTTAGAATATGGTCAATAATTTCACAGACATAGTGTTGAGTGAAAGAAAACAAATACAATACATGCTGTCTGATTCTATTAATATGAAGTTCAAAAACAGGCAAAACTAAATTGTGGTGATAAAAGTCAAAACAGTGGTTATCCCTAGAGGGTGCTGACTAGTATAGGGCACAGAGATTCTTCAGAGGTGCTAGTAACAATCTATATGTTGAACTGAGTGGTGTTACATGATACATACACATGTAAAAATATTTTGAGTTGTCCACTTAGAAGTTATGCACTTTGGCCAGGCTCGGTGGCTCGCGCCTGTAATCCCAGCACTTTGGGAGGCCGAGGCAGGCGCATCACCTGAGGTCAGGAGTTCGAGACTAGCCTGGCCAACATGGTGAAACCCCATCTCTACTAAAAATACAAAAATCACCCGGGCGTGGGGGTGGGCGCCTATAATCCCAGTTACTCAGGAGGCTGAGGCAGGAGAATTGTTTGAACCTGGGAGGCAGAGGTTGCAGTGAGCTTCCGAGATTGTGCCAATGCACTCCAACCTGGGCAACAAGAGCAAGACTCCATCTTAAAATAAAATAAAAAAAAAAGGCCAGGCACGGTGGCTCATGCCTATAATCCCAGCACTTTGGGAGGCCGAGGAGGGCAGATTACATGAGGTCAGGAGTTTGAGACCAGCCTGGCCAACATGGTGAAACACAGTCTCTACTAAAAATACAAAAATTAGCCAGGCGTGGTGGCAGGCGCCTGTAATCCCAGCTACTCGGGAGGCTGAGGCAGGAGAATTTCTTGAGCCTGGGAGGCGGAGGTTGCAGTGAGCCGAGACTGTGTCACTGCACTCCAGCCTGGCTAACAGAGCGAGACTCTGTCTAAAAAAAAAAAAAAAAAAAAGTTGTGCACTTTACTGTAGGTAAGTTATATCTCAATTTAAAAAAAGAATCCAAATTGCCTTCTGTATCCCTGATGAACACGTAAAGGATAGATTGGAGCTATGCAGTGTGTTTCCTGGAAAAATAAAGCAGACTTTTTAAAATTCCAGAGTTTTCTCCAGGAACCTGTGACCAGATGGCTCTTATAAATAATACATCAAAATATGGTTAGGACTAGAAGAATTCAGGATGTGTGATAAAAAGAAAACAACTAATGATCATATAGTTTACTCTTTTTGGCTTTCATTGCAATTTTCTGGAAGAGTCAGGATTGCTAATAAATGGTCGTGCAGCAAGAATGGAATAAGTCCTGCAGCATGAGGGTAATTGCTGGCTGTGAAACCTTCAATAACTTTCAGGCTTTCTGGGCACTGGATGCTTCCTCTGCTAAATGGAAAAATATTTTACCCGCTCGAAGACAGGGGAAAGGATCAAGTGATCTCTTAAGGCTCTTTCCAGCTTGTAAAATCTTTGGCTTGGCCGGGTGCAGTGGCTCATGCCTGTAATCCCAGCTCTTTGGGAGGCCAAGGTGGGCGGATCACGAGGTCAGGAGTTCGAGACCAGCCTGGCCAATATAGTGAAACCCTGTCTCTACTAAAAATACAAAAATTAGCTGGGCATGGTGGCATGAGCCTATAGTCCCAGCTACTTGGGAGGCTGAGGCAGGAGAATTGCTTGAACCCAGGAGGCAGAGGTTGCAGTGAGCTGAGATTGCACCTCTGTACTCCAGCCTGGGCAACAGAGGGAGACTCTGTCTTAAAAACAAAACAAAACAAAACAAAGACTCTTTGGCTTATGGAAATTGAAACTATAAAGAAACAACTGTGAGCCGAGTGCAGTGGCTCATGCCTGTAATACCACCGTTTTGAGAGGCTGAGGCGGGCGGATCACCCGAGGTCAGGGGTTTGAGACCAGCCTGGCCAACATGGTGAAACCCCATCTCTACTAAAAATACAAAAATTAGCCAAGCATGGTGGCGGGCACCTGTAATCCCAGCTACTCAGGAGGCTGAGATAGGAGAATCGCTTGAACCCGGGAGGCAGAGGCTGCAGTGAGCTGAGGTCGTGCCACTGCACTCCAGCCTGGGCAACAGAGCGAGACCCTGTCTCAAAAAAAAAACCTGTAATAATAAAATCTGTAAAAATATGTAATAGGCAACAAACAATGTAGGTGGCCACACCAAATAGAGATCCAGGCAGAAAACACCTTTTCAGATACAGTGAGCTACCTGAAACCATTTGCTGTTGTTCTCTTGGGATTTCCTTATCTTTCAGCAAGTTTACCTAATAATACTTAAAAAAAAAAGAAAAAGTAAAAGAAAAAAAAAGGTAAGGGAACAGTTTTAGACCCCAATCAAGGAAAGCATTAATTATATGGTGAGTTTGTCTGTTATGAGTTCACATTTGCAGAGACTAAATCCATTGCAGAAAGTGGTATTTTGTAAAATATATGAGCAGAGAAGGAGCACTAGTCTAAGTTTGGCTCAAAATCTCACAGCTAGGTGGCTAGGCGCGGTGGCTCACTCCTGTAATCCTAGCACTTTGGGAGGCTCAGGCAGGTGGATCACTTGAGCCCAGGAGTTTGAGACCAGTCTGGCTAGCATGGTGAAACCCCATCTCTTCTAAAAATATAAAAATTAGCCAAGTGTAGTGTGGCCCACTCCTGTAGTCCGAGCTACTTGAGGGCTGAGGTGGGAGGATCACTTGAACCCTGGAGGCAGAGGTTGGAGCCGAGATCGCACCATGATACTCTAGCCTGGGCGACAGAATGTGACTGTCTCAAAAACAAAAAACAAAAAAAAACCCTCACAGCTAGAAGAAACTGCATGGCATCATCTCTGCTTTCAACACCAGTAAGCAAGCGTCATCTCTTCATCTCTATTTTCCTAAAGAGGCCAGTGAGGCTCCATGAGGCTAAATGACTTGCCTATGGTCACACAACTGGGAGAAGCACAGAGTGAAGAAAAAAACAGTTCTCAGGCTTCCAGCTAGCTGTATCCTCCACTGCACCATTCTGCCCCTTGTGGTTCCTTTCGGATTGACTTGAACTCCATGGAAGAGCCAGGGAGGCCTTCCACTGTGCTTCGTTTGAAAAGCAATTGAGAAAGTGGGAAGCTGGTGGAACTGGGAGTCAGAGGACCTGAGCCCCTCCAGTTATTAGTGACTGTGACCTTGGAAAATCATTTAACTTCTCTGAGATTCAATTTCCTCATCTGAAAATAGCACCTCCCCCTGTCACTGAAGCAGAGATCAATGAAAGTATTTGATGAGAAAGTGCTGTGTAAATGGTAAACTAAACTATAGCTATTAAAATGGAGACATCTGGCCAGGGGCAGTTGCTCCTGCCTGTAATCCCAGCACTTTGGAAGGCTGAGGCGGGAGGATGAGCCCAGGAGTTTGAGACCAGCCTGGGCAGCATACTAAGACCCTGTCTTTTTTATTAAAAAAATAGATAATAGAAGATAAAATAGAGAAATTCGTGTCTACTTAGTGAATTAATGAATTAGTGATTAGAAAATAATGATACAAGAAATAGAAAATACAAAAGAAAAAAGAAAAGAATATAATGATACAAGATAAAAATGCTCAATGGATACATGTTAACAGCAGGGCTATTAGCACACATAAAATAACGAATGAACCTGTAACAGAAGCGTCCTTTGTTTATTTATCACAACAATCTAGCATAATATAATCACTTTTAATCTCTCTCAGGAACACTCCCTAATGTGTAGATTCTCGTTGTTAAAAGAACTTTTATGTGAGGACAAATGTCTCTATCTCCCTCCATACTTTGCATTATCAACCTTTTTACATTTGTGAACCCAAATGGGAAAAAAAATATTGTCCTATTGTTATTTTAATTTGCATTTTCCTGATTATAAGTGAGGTTTAGCATCTTTTCAACTTTTTATTGGAAATGTAAATTGATAAAGCTTTATGTAAGGCTAACAGACAGTACCAAGTAAAAAAAAAATTTTTTGGGGGGGTCACCCAGGCTGGAGTGCAGTTGCACAATCTTGGCTCCACTACAGCTGACAGCTCACTGCACGACTTCCCAGGTTGAAGCAATTCTCGTGCCTTAGGCTCCTGAGTAGCTGGAATTACAAGCACACACCACCATGCAGAGCTAATTTGCTATGTTGGCCAGGCTGGTCTCAAACTTCTGGACTCAAACAATCCACCTGCCTTGTCCTCCGAAGTGCTGGGATTACAGGTGTGAACCACCATGCCTGATGCTACAGTTGTGGGAAAAAAAATTTTTTTTTTAATTTTTCAGAGTTGCAAGATGAGTGAGTCCAGTTAAAGCTGAATTGATCTCATACCTGTCACTATGAGAGAAGAGAGACAGACCCTCTCATATTGTTTTATATTGTTTTATACTCAGAAAAGGATAGAGAAGCAAAACTAAAGGCAGGTAGCCTGGCACCTAGGAACCAGACCCAAAACCTAGGAACCAGACCCGAAACCAGGCCTGGGCCTGCCTGACCTAAGCCTAAAATTCGACCCCTGACCTAGCAACTGATGTTATCTATAGATTATAGAAAGACATTGTAAAACTTCCCGGTCTGTTCTGTTTCACTCTGACCACTGGTGCATGCAGCCCCTGTCACGTACCCCCTGCTTGCTCAATTGATCACAACCCTCTCACGCGGACCCCCTTAGAGTTGTGAGCTCTTAAAAGGGACAGGAATTGCTCACTCAGGGAGTTCGGCTCTTGAGACAGGAGTCCTGCCGATGCTCCTGGCCGAATAAACCTCTTCCTTCTTTAACTCGGTGTCTGAGGAGTTTTGTCTGTGGCTTGTCCTGCTACAACGAAAGTGAAGAGGGAAAAATATAGTAAAGAATCAAAATCATCTAAAATATCTATGTGTGTGTATATATGTATCTATTTGTGTGTGTGTGTGTGTGTGCGTGTGTGTGTATATATATATATATATATATATATATGTATATATGTTTTTTTTTTAAGACAGGGTCTCACTCTCTTGCCCAGGCTGGAGTGCAGTGGCTCAATCTTGGCTCACTACAGCCTCAACCTCCCCAGGCTCAGGTGATCCTCCCACCTCAGTCTCCCTGGTAGCTGGGACAACAGGCATGTGCCATCACGCCAGGTTAATTTTTTTTACTTTTTGTAGAGACGGAGTTTTGCCATGTCACCCAGGCTAAAAATATCTGGATATTTAATATCATGTAGAAATTGACTGATTTTTCTTTCACTTTTTGTCCAGATATCAAATGGAGACAGATTGAAGTTCACCTCTCATGTCACTGATTTTAATACACTTAAATAATTGTGTCCTTTGTTAATATTTTCTATTGAGCAGAGTCCATTTCAATAAGAAAGGCTCTCCTTTTTGGCACTGGCTTTTTTCCTTGATCACAAAACTATTATATGCTTAATATGAAAAAAAGGAAAAACATTGAAAGCTACTAAGAAAAAAAAGTAATCCTATCATCAAAAGTAAATACTGCTCACATTTTTTAGATGTTTTTCCTTTTGCATATAGGTGTTCAAGGAACTGGGTTAATACTGTGCATACAGTTTTGTGTCTTTGTTTTTTTCAATTAACATTTTATTGTAAGCATTTCTACATATCATCACAGATTCCTTAAAAATGTTTATTGTGTCATGACAATATTCCAAAGTATGGATATACTATAATTTATCCTTCTATTATAGGAAATTTAGCTTATTTTCTTTCTTTTTTTTTTACTATTATACTTAACCCTGTGAAGAACATTCTTATATATAATTCTTTGCTTCCATCTTTGATTATGCCCCTAGGATATATTCTAAGGAGTGGAACTACAGGACTGTGTAGGTTATTTTTCACTCCTGCCCCCACCCCTACCGCAATCTCTGTCTTTCTTCATTCCAAAGAATTGCATCTCCAGCATTCCTTGCCCCTTGGCTTCCTTGGGATTTATTCAGGGGTGGCACCAGCCGGAGATCACGTATGCTAGAAGAGAGAGAAGTCAGGGTATTTCCTCCTTACTCTCTTCCTGCTTTGAGCCAGCTAGCTGCTTACCCCTCCCCACCCCCAACCTAGTCTCCTTTCTTGGGGTTGGATCCCTCCTCCACCATTCCCTGCTCTTACTGGATTCTGTAAGATTATTTCCTCCCTCTGTTCCTTTATCCCTAGGATAAGGAAATGTTGCTTCCCACTGTTGCTTTTCTCTTGGTGCCTTAACATCCCTGTTTACCCCTTAGCCCAGCCTACCTGTCTGTAAGTAGTTCTTTTATTAAAGTCTCTTCATTGCCAGGCACAATGCTCACACCTGTAATCCCAGCACTTTGGGAGACCAAGACAGGCGGATCACTTGAGGTCAGGAGTTTGAGACCAGCCTGGCCAACATGGTGAAACCCCCTTTCTGCTAAAAATACAAAAATTATCCTGGGGGTGGTGGTGGGTGCCTGTAAACCCAGCTACTCAGGAAGCTGAGGCAGGAGAATCGCTTGAACCCGGGAGGCAGAAGTTGCAGTGAGCCTAGGTTGTGCCACTGCACTCCAGCCTGGGTAATGGAGTGAGAGCCTGTCCCCCAACAAAAAAAAAAAAAAAAAGAGTCTCTTCATTTGAACCATCCTGACTCAAATCGTTTTCCTTTTTCTTTTTTTTTTTTCTTTTGACAGGCTCACTGCAACCTCTGTGTCCTGGGTTTAAGTGATCCTTCCACCTCAGCCTCCCGAGTAGCTGAGACTACAGGTGTGTGCCACCATGCCTGGCTAATTTTTGTATTTTTAGTAGAGATGGGTTTTTACCATGTGATATAGTTAGGCTTTGTGTCCCTACCCAAATCTCATCTTGAATTGTAATCCCCATAATCCCCATGTGTCAAGGGAGAGACCAGGTGGAGGTTAATTGAATCATGGGGGCAGTTTCCCACCTGCTATTCTCGTGATAGTGAGTTCTCACGAGATCTGATGGTTTTATAAGGGGCTCTTCCCCCGTCACTCAGCACTTCTCCTTCTGCCGCCACATGAAGAAGGTGCCTTGCTTATCCTTTGCCTTATGCCATGATTGTAAGTTTCCTGAGGCCTCCCCAGCCATGCTGAACTGTGAGTCAATTAAACCTCTTTCCTTTATAAATTACCCAGTCTTGGGCAGTTCTTTATAGCAGTATGAAAACAGACTAATACACCATGTTGCTCAGGCTGGTCCTGAACTCCTGGGCTCAAGCAATTCACTCATCTTGGCCTCCCAGAGTGCTGGGATTGTAGGCATGAGCCACTGCTCCTGGCTGAAATCCTTTTTCTTTTGGGATCCTGACAGACACAGCATTAAAGAGTACTTTTGAAATACATTTTAAAATACATTCTTGATAGATACTGTCAAATTGTATTGCAGAAAGGTCATATCAGTTTACACTCCCATTAGTAGAGTATGAAAGCCTGATGAGATGGGCTCTTGAGGTTGCAATAAACTTTTGAAGGCACTCAGTTTCCTGTTTGTTATCTAGTGCCTTCCGCTCTGATGTCACTCATATACAGAAGGTTCGGCATGGGCCATCTAAAGAAAAGTCATTCATGACACAGGTGAAAATATTGAGATAAGCAGTATTATATTATTTACAAACCTGAAATTCTAAGTGCAAGAAGAGACCCTGGATTGTGTTGTGAAAACAAGTCTTTTTGATTGATGTATAGGGAAGAACACATTCTGGCTGGGCATACAAATAGTGTGGTGTGGCTAGGGAATGTCAGCTCACATGCAGGTTACAGCATAAACATTAACCTAGGAAACCAATGGGGATGCAGTGCTGTTACCCTTAAGGTCTTAGTACTCATGTTGTGGAAGAATTCCTACTTCATCTTCCTAGTCCTGACTTTAAGAGAACAGTTTTTAGGTACATGGATTATGAGAAGCAGAAAGAATCCACAAAGACATCTTTGTGGACATTCCCTGCTTCTACTCAAATGAGAGGTAACCACTGGCATTTTAATCAATGATTGCTAGGACGGGGCTGAGATTTTAGCTAAGTGATTCCCATGTTTATCCTATAGCTGACTGGTAACACAGGTAGAAACATTGTGCTTTTCCATTTTCTTACAAAATAACGAGACACCTAGTGGGCACAACATGAAAATACCGTCATGGGAGTTGGTGAATTCAGTCAATACCCAGGTGAATGATATTTAGTAACTGCTCCAATGTTTAATTCTACAAAAGTAGTTTGGGCCAGGCATGGAGGCTCATGCCTGTAATTCCAGCACTTTAGGAGGCTTAGGCTGGTGGATTGCCTGAGCTCAGGAATTCAAGGCCAGCCTAGGCAACATGACGAAACCCTGTCTCTATAAAAAATGCAAAAATGTGTTGGGCGTGGTGACTTGCGCCTGTAGTCCCAACTACCTGGGAGGCTGAGGTGGGAGGATCACCTGAGCCTGGGGAAGTTGAGGCTGCAGTGAGCCTAGATCACACCACTGCACTCCAGTCTGGGTGACAAAGCGAGACCTAGTCCTCTTAGAGAAATACCCAGGTCCAGAAATCAGACCAACCATTGACTCATACTGGATAATTAAAATATACTTATTGTCATATATTTTAAAGCACTCATAGTTTTCAAAGTTCTTTCAACACAAAGTTTCTTTCCATAACACTAAGAACATACAATAGTCTCCCCCACTGGGCTGTGGGCTCCCTTAGAAAAGGGGCCACACCAGTTTCCTCCCAGCACAAGCCTAGTGTGTAGTACATAAAGAATACATAAAGAATAGGGGCTTTGGTAGCCCCTATTTGGTAGTTTGATGACTGAACTACCCTAGCAAGTGGGATAATTTCTGTTTTTTTTCTAGGTGAGAAAACAAAAAATCAGGCCGGGCACAGTGGCTCATGCCTGTAATCTCAGCACTTTGGGAATCTGAGGTCGATGGATCACTTGAGGCCGGAAGTTCGAGACCAGCCTGGCCAAGAGAGCGAAACCTCGTCTCTACTAAAAATATAAAAATTAGCCAGGCATGGTGATGCATGCCTGTAATGCTAGCTACTCAAGAGGCTGAGACATGAGAATCACTTGAACCTGGGAGGCAGAGGTTGCAGTGAGCCAAGATTGCGCCACTGCACTCCAGCCTGGGCCACAGAGCGAGACTCTGTCTCAAAAAACAAAACCAAAAAACAAAGAGTAGAGAGAGTTGTCCTCCAGTTAAATAAGTATAAAAGCCAACCATGAACCACACCCTATATACCTTGACCTTTGCCCATGCCCAAACAGACCTTTTGGGAAAGCCTCCTTGCTGACATAAATGCCTACTGGCCTTCCCCTCTGTTTTGAGTTACCAGCATCCATCTTTATTCCATCACCAGGGACCCTTTTGGAAGGTCATAGTATCTAAGTCAGGAGTGATCAATCCACGAACCAAGTGAGGCCCCAGTGGGAGGCCTTCCTCAGAGGATCTTCCATGTTAGATCACCTGATATCATACTCTACTTTCATCTCATGATGGGGTTAATGCATTTCTATCCTCATAGATCACATGCTCAATTAAGTATCTGGAGAGTAGATGGAGTAATAACATACTTATGTTACCAAGGTTCAGCCAAGGGACTTATAAATCCCAAGGCATCCCTGGCCAGACTTTGTCTTTGGAAAGTACATTATAAAGAGTTTTCATCACATAGCATGTAAAAGGGTCACAAATCCTGGGAGGTTACCTGGGCCAATGTTTCTCAAATTGGGGTTCAGGGACCCTTGAGAGTTCTACTGATGAGTTCTTAGGGCCTTGACATTATCTACAAGTATATTTTAGATTTCCCTCAATGATTATCTACAATTAACCTACACTTCTGGACCACCTGGCTAGCCACCACATAAGTGAATCTTGACACAAGGTTTCATTGTTCTGCACAAACTATTTAACATATTCTAATACCCAGTAATCAACTAAAATAATATGTAACTTTTAAAATTAAAATAATATGTAACTTTTAAAAGTTAGATATGGACTGAGGGTACAGTGGCTCACAGCTGTAATCCCAGCACTCTGGGAGGCTGAGGCGGGCGGATTACTTGAATCCAGGAGTTCGAGATCAGCCTGGGCAACATGGTGAAACCCCATCTCTACTAAAAAAAAAAAAAAATACAAAAAATTAGCCAGGCATTGTGTCATGCTCCTGTAGTCCCAGCTACTTGGGAGGCTGAGGTGGGAGAATCACCTGAGCCCAAAAAGTTGAGGCTGCAGTGAGCCAAGATGGCACCACTGCACTCCAGCCTGGGCAACCAGAGTGAGACTCTGTCTCAATCAATCAATCAAATCAAATAAAATGTAGATGTAATTCATATGCCATAAATGCATCCTTTTAAAGTATACAATTTAGTGTTTTTTGGTATACTCATAAGGTTGTGCAACCATCACTGCTACATAATTTCAGAGCATTTTCATCACCCCCCACACCTCAAAAAACCCCAAACCCATTAGCAGTCCATTTCCCTCTCTCCCCAACCCCTGGCAACCACTAATCTACTCTCTGTCTCTTTGGATTTGCCTATTCTGGACATTTTATATAACTGGAATCATATGACATGTGGTCTTTGTGTCTGGCTTCTTTCATTTAGCATGTTTTCGATATTCATCCATGTTGTAGCACGTACCAGCACTTCATTCCTTTTCGTTGCCATTGTATCCCATTGTTTATCCACCAATCAGTCAATGGACATTTGGGTTGTTTTCACTTTCTGGCCATTGTGAATAATACTGGTATGAAAAACTTGTAATTCCGGGCTGGGCACGGTGGCTCACGCCTGTAATCCCAGCACTTTGGGAGGCTGAGGCGGGCGGATTACAAGGTCAGGAGATTGAGACCATCCTGGTTAACATGGTGAAACCCTGTCTCTACTAAAAATACAAAAAATTAGCCGGGCGTGGTGGCGGGTGCCTGTAGTCCCAGCTACTCGGGAGACTGAGGCAGGAGAATGGCGTGAACATGGGAGGCGGAGCTTGCAGTGAGCTGAGATCATGCCACTGCACTCCAGCCTGGGCAACAGAGCAAGACTCTGTCTCAAAAAAAAAAAAAAAAAAAAGAAAAGAAAAACTTGTAATTCCGACTTAAAAAACTGGGGTCTACAGGTCTTCAGATATGTTCTTGGGGCTCTGTGACTTCTCAAATTTGAGAAATACTGAATCAGACTACATCGCTTAATAAAGAAAAAAATTGATCAGGTCCCACTCACAGTTAATGGAAGCTTCTATGACTAGATTTGTAGCACAAGCTGCTGTCTTTCTTATCTATAAGGAGTGGACATCTTGTTTTAGGGCCTTCCCAAATCATCTGTTCAATTCTTTCCAGGAGAGGGCTGCAATTAGCAGTATGGTTAACATTTAACTAATAATACTGACGTATGTTGGTTTAGCCCAGATGCTGGCAGCTTTTAATTCTCCAAACTCCTGGCCTGAATACTGATCATGTTTCCTCAGGCTAAAAGCCAGCAAAAAGAATCACCTGGCCAAACATCCCCTTTCAGTCTGCTTTCCTTAGAATGGCCTCCCAGGGGAGCTCTCTGGGCAAACAAAGCTGTTGACCTAGTTTGAAGGCCTGGAAAATTATCATGTGAGTCACTGGGACAACAGAGCAAAGTGCCAGGCCCCTGAGAAACTGTAAGCACAGGTTTCCGATGTCATCTATGTCCTCATAGGCTGAGAGAGGAGTCCCATAGCGGCCTGCCACTTTTCACCCAGCTGCTCCTTCAAGTGGTTTCCAAGCTCCTTGGCCCTGTGCATGGTGCCGCAGGGGCCCATTCCTGTTTTCCTCCCAGCGGGCTCTGAAAACAGCAACTCAGAGAGTGACAGCTCAGTTGTAGGAAACCAAAACAAAACCGGATACTTAGCGGAAGTCCTGTGGTGTTGTTTGGAGCAAGGCCACAAGCCCTCTCTGGGAAGGAAGTGCTGAAGCAGCTACAAAAATTTCAAACTGAAGACCAGGAATCCAGAGGCAGTATTTTAAAATAATACTCACATGAGCGAGGCAGGGCCTTGCAAAAGAGCACCTACACATTACTTAAGGAGTGTTTTATAATGTTTTGAAGATGCTACTTCCTAAATTACACAAAGAGCTAGAGAAGTTAGCCAGAAAAGCAATGTGGGTAAAACTGTTGTTACATTTAGATGGGTTGGACAGTTTGTAGCCTAGATGTCAGAAAGAGTGCTGAAACCTCCATGGGTCCTCATATAACTTCCCTGGGCATAAAGGACCCCTTAAGAAGGGTGAGTATCAAAGCAGAGGCTTCTAAATATTCAGGATAGCATGAAGACAGAAGGAGGACATATTGACAGGACTAGGTGAGGAGACAGTTCATTCATGGCTTTTTTTTTTTTTTTTTTTTTTGGTAACACTTGATTTTTTCAACACTTATACTAGGGTCTTCTTCATCAGGAGGATGTGGATGTTTAACATATCATTAGGCCCGGGATCATTTAAATCCATGTTTGGTGAGTGCTTTAAGAGAGTGAGTGATTATTAAATTCCTTCCATTGTAGGAATGGCAAATGAAATCTCCTTAATGGTTTTAGAGAATAAGCTTTTGTGCCTGGAAGAACTAGAAGACAATTCGATCACCAAGTTTTGGTGTCTTTAGCCCCACTCCTCTCGTTCTCCTCACTTAACTTCTTTCCTTTTTCCTTTCTGCCTCTGTCTACTTCTGACAGAGCAGGTGAACAAACAGCAAATGTGCAGAAAGAGGGTGTTCACTTCCCACCCTGGTGCTGTTGCTGCAGACTGCTTTAGAGCTGCTGTCTCCTGGGCTCAGGCAAAGTGCCAGCATCAATCTTTGTCATCAAAATCCCCGTGTCTGCCCTGTGTGCTGGGTGCCCTTCAGAGCCAGCAGGCCAGTTCCAGGCATGCATTTAGGTAGAAGACTGAAGGAGGGACTAGAGAAAACATTCAGAATTAGACAATAAGGATGAAAGAGGGGCAGAATCAGGTAAAAGTAAATATTTCACCAGTCTGTGTCTTACTGATGCATACAGTAGTGTGCCAGTAACACTGTTCATTTCAACTTTTTGCAATGATGGAAATGTTGTATATCCATGCTGTCTGATATAGTAGCTACACATGGGTACTGAATACTTGCAATGTGGAAAGCGAGGATGTTTTTATCCAGTTTAATTTTTGTTTATTTATTTTTTTTGAGACAGAGTCTCACTCTGTCGCCCAGGCTAGAGTGCAGTGGCGTGACCTCGACTCATTGCAACCTTTGCTTCCCAGGTTCAAGCAATTCTCGTGCCTCAGCCTCCCTAATAGCTGGAATGACATGTGCATGCCACCATACCTGGCTAATTTTTGCATTTTCAGTAGAGATGGGGTTTCACCATATTGGCCAGGCTGGTCTTGAACTCCTGACTTCAAGTGATCCACTCACTTCAGCCTCCCAAAGTGCTAGGATTATAGGCATGAGCCACCACACCCGGCCCAGTTTAATTTTAATTAATTTAAATGCAAATAGTCATTTGTGGCTGGTGACTACTGTATTAGAGACACTAATGTTTCATTGTTTGTTTTTTTTTGAAATAAGATCTCTCTGTGTTGCCCAGGATAGAGTACAGTGGTGCGATCATGGCTCACTGCAACCTCCGTCATCTCCTGGGCTCAAGCTATCCTCCCACTTCAGCCTGCTGAGTAGCTAAGACTACAGGTGAATGCCACCATGTCCGGCTAATTTTTGTATTTTTAGTACAGATGGGGTTTCACCATGTTGCTCAAGCTGGTCTCGAACTCCTGGGCTCAGGCAATGTGCCCGCCTCGGCCTCCCAAAGTGCTGGGATTATAGGTGTGAGCAACCTCACCCGGCCAAGACACTGGTGTTTTAAAAGATAACAGAGAAACATAGGAGACCAGAGATTAGTGTTGGAGTTCTGGGGTCAGATCCCAGCTCTTCTATATATATTTGTTATTAGCTTGTAAAGAAGACACTTAAGCTCTCTGTACTACTTTTCATACAACTGTAACTGGGGCTTAATAATGTTTACCTTATGGTATTGTTATGATAGGTATGGTGGATGGAAGCTTGGATGGGAGGAAAGAGTCATTGACAAGTGTACTCTATCAACAAAACTGGCCGTAAGTATCTGGAAGAGGCAGAGGCCCAGGAGATGTGTACCTTTTCACAAACCCGGCAACCCTGGATTACCAATTGTGTTGCCAAATTGTTGCAGTTGCATTAAGATGTCACATTCATAGCTCTTTTTACTTTTTCAATGTTTTCATTGGAATCTTTCACTTTTATTCTGAGAAACAGATGTTAAAAGAAAAACTGTAGCCAAATTAAATTTAAAAGAGTTTAATTGAGCAAAGAACAATTTGTGAATCGGGCAGCCTCCTGAGCCAGAGTATGCTCAGAGACTCCAGCGCAGCCACATGGTGGAAGATTTATGGCCAGAAAAAGGAAAATGACAAACAGAAAAAAGAAGTGAGGAGGAGAAACAGCTGGATGGGTTACAGTTCGGTGTTTGCCTTATTTGAACACGTTTGAACAGTTGGCCATCCTTGACTGGCCAAAACTCAATGATTGACACAAAAGTAGACTACAGCCTGTATACAGCTCCATTTAGGTTATAGTTCATGATGTACAGAGAAACCTTTAGGCTGAACTTAAGATATGTAAGGAGGCAGCTTTATGCTAAACGTGATTTAACACTGGTAAGGCAAAGGCTATCAGTTGGATTTTCCAGATGAGAACACAGGCCAGGCACAGTGGTTTACGCCTGTAATCCCAGCACTTTGGGAAGCCAAGGTGGGAGAATCACTTCAGGCCAGGAGTTTGAGACCAGCCTGGGGAGCATGGTAAAACCCTGTCTCTACTAAAAATACAAAAATTAGCCAGGCATGGTGGCACACACCTGTAATCTCAGCTACTCGGGAGGCTCAGGCAGGAGAATAACTGGAACTCGGGAGGTGGAGGTTGCAGTGAGCCAAGGTCATGCCGCTGCACTCCAGCCTGGGCGACAGAGTAAGACTCCATCTCAGAAAAAAAAAAAAATTGCATAACAAAACCTTCTCTCTGGAAGACAGCAACTGCAGTCTTTACCACCAGAGAATCTCATGTATGGCTTCCACATGGCTGTGAATAAATGATTTTGTCCTGCAATCTCCTCCTTTGTCTGGCTGAGTTTATAAAGTGCTTGCTACTCAGGCATCAAGAGTATTTCAGCAGACATCTGCACATCCATTTGCTTATACTTTCATCCTATAATTATTTAATTACCTTCTTTTAGTGCCTATAAATAAGAGCTCTGTCATCTGAGAAAAGCCCAGGAAAAATAGAAGGACCATAGAATTTATTTTATTTTATTTAATTTATTTTTTTTTTTTGAGACTGAGTTTTGCTCTTGTCGCCCAGGCTGGAGTGCAATGGCACGATCTCGATTCACTGCAAACTCTGCCACTGGGGTTCCAGCAATTCTCCTGCCTCAGCCTCCAGAGTAGCTGGGACTATAGGCATGCACCACTACATCTGGTTAATTTTGTATTTTGAGTTAACTTCAGGTGATTTCGCCTGCCTCGGCCTCCCAAAGTACTGGGATTACAGGTGTGAGCCACTGCACCTGGCCAGAAGGGCCGTAGAATTGAAATTCAGGTGGGAAAACCACTTTCCCATCTTGGCATGCACAACAATGCCCCCTGTTGACTGAGGCATGCCAGCTTAAAAACAACAACAAAAACAAAGAGTAAGAAAAAAACCAAAATAAAACAAAACAGTCCTCCCCGCAATAACAACCAGCTTTATTGAGGTATAATTGTTATACAATAAATTGTCCTACTTAAAGGGTACAATTTGATGAGTTTTAACATGAGCATATGCTGGTGAAACCACTGCAGTCAAGATAATGAACGTTTCTATCCCAGACAGCTTTTCCATTTCAGGGCAAACAGGGTGAGCACCTAGTTCAATACTATGTGGTAAAAGCTATACCCTCCTTTTAAAAATAATAGCACCGGCCCCTGCAGGGCCTTATTTATTTATTTATTTATTTTGTAGAGATAAGGTCTCCCTATGTTGCCCAGGCTGGTCTCAAAACTCCTAGGCTCAAGTGATCTTCCTGCCTTGGCCTCCCAAAGTGCTGGGATTACTGGTGTGAGCCACCACACCCGGCTAAGGGCCCTCTTTATTTCAGTGTCTGTTCTCATTGGAAAGAGAGCCCTCCATTTGATCTGTATGTGGCCTTTCCTCCTCTCGTCCAGTTACAAGGCTTGTCATTCTGTTGAAGGCTAACTTCTGTGGTGCTTTGGTTCTTATCCTCTTCCAGCTTTCTAGAGATTCCTTTTTAGGGAGCAGTCTCTCTCTCTGCTGAATCATTCACTTATCTACTAGCTCCTTTTCAATAGTAAAAACAAATACAAACAAAGCAAACAAACAAAATTAGTACCTCTTTCTGCCTCCCCCTTCCTCCCTTTAGGCACCCCTTGCTGTACCTCATGCCTTCTTTTCTCGGCCAGACTTCCAGAAATAATTGTCCAAACTCACTCTCTCTCTCTCCACTTCCTCACTTCCCTCACTCTCTTAAAGCCACCCCCACCACCACCACCACACAGATACTATTCTTGACTAGGTCACTCACTACTTCCCTGTTGCTCAGTCCACTGGACCCAACTCAGTCCTTATCATACTCAGACACTGTTGACCATTCTGTCCTTTAAAAAATAGCTTTGTTTTTACAAAAGCAATTGATGCTTTACAAAAAAAAAAAAAGGCAAACAATAAATGAAAGAATTAGGAGGCTCCTCCATGGTTCACTTGGTCTCACTGCTGCAAACAGGGCCAGTACTGCAAGAACTCTCAGCAGCCAGCCAGCCACCCAGTGCAGCTGCCCAATTCACAGAGCAGCCCCAGAAAGTCCCAGAAATTAGTCACTGTAGCCTTCTAATTTGGGGAAATTTTCTTTTTTTTCCTCTTTTTTTTTTTTTTTTTTTGAGACTAAGTCTCACTCTGTTGCCCAAGCTGGAGTGCAGTGGTGCGATCTCAGCTCACTGCAACCTCCACCTCCCGGGTTTAAGCGATTCTCCTGCCTCAGCCTCCCAAGTAGCTGGGACTACAGGCACATGCCACCACGCCCAGCTAATTTTTTTGTATTTTTAGTAGAGACGGGGTTTCACTGTGTTGGCCAGGCTGGTTTTGAACTCCTGACCTTGTGATCAGCCTGCCTCAGTCTCCCAAAGTGTTGGGATTACAGGCGTGAGCCACCGCACCCAGCTGGGAAATTTTCATACTTGCTCTTTCATAGACATTATGGAAGCTTTGCAAATTTTTTTTTTTTTTTTTTTGAGATGGAGTCTCGCTCTGTGGCCTAGGCTGGAGTGCAGTGCCACGATCTCGGCTCACTGCAACCTCCGCCTCCTGGGTTCAAGCAATTCTCCTGTCTCAGCCTCCTGAGTAGCTGGGATTACAGGCACGCACCACCAAGCCTGGGTAATTTTTGTTTTTGTTTTTTGTTTTTGAGACAGAGTTTTGCTCTTGTTGCCCAGGCTGGAGTGCAGTGGTGCAACTTCGGCTCACTGCAACCTCCGCCTCCCAGTTTCAAGCGATTCTCCTGCCTTAGCCTCCCTAGTAGCTGGGATTACAGGCATGCGCCACCAGGCCTAGCTAATTCTGTATTTTTAGTAGAGACAGGGTTACTCCACGTTGGTCAGGGTGGTCTCGAACTCTCAACCTCAGGTGATCCTCCCGCCTCAGCCTCCCAAAGTGCTAGGATTACAGAGGTGAGCCACATGCTTGGCCTTGTATTTTTAGTAGAGATGGGGTTTCACCATGTTGGTCAGGCTGGTCTCGAACTCCTGACCTCATGATCTGCCCACCTCAGGCTCCCAAAGTGCTGGGATTACAGGCATGAGCCACCGCACCCAGCTGGACAAATTTTATATAAATAAGTACATACATACATGATCGGATGCGGTGGCTCACACCTGTAATCCCAGCACTTTGGGAGGCCAACGCAGGTGGATCACCTGAGGTTGGGAGTTCGAGACTAGTCCGACCAATATGGTGAAACCCCATCTCCACTAAAAATACAAAAATTAGCCGGATGTGGTGGTGCGTGCCTGTAATCCCAACTACTTGGGAGGCTGAGACAGGAGAACTGCTTGAACCGGGAGGCAGAGGTTGCAGTGAGCTGAGATTGCGCCACTGCACTCCAGCCTGGACCACAGAGCAAGATTTCATCTCAAAAAAAAAAAAAAGGAAGGAATGCCATCATCCCAAACCAGGTGTTCTGGGAATGGGGTTGGCAGATTAACAAACAAACAAACAAACAAACAAACGTACATACATATATAAACAGAGAAGGGCCTATATTCAGTAACTCTTCAATTCTGGTCCTAAAAGTGGCTTTCAATCCTGCCCTAGAGATGACACAATCCTGGATCTACGTAACTAGCCCATGTTGGTCACTTTGAGCAGGAAGCCAGTCAGGGCATGGCTTTCCTGATAGCTACCAGTCATGTTCCCCTCCTTAAAGCTTATCTTTAAGAGAATGACAGGAACGAAGCACACAGACATATGGGATCTTGGGAGGCTGACCAAGTCATTTTAAAGGCTTATGCATTTTTAGACACATACAGAAAAATGGGTTTCTCATGACCAGTGATTTTACCCAACATAAGAAGGAAATAAAAGTCACCGCCAAAATCCCACCGCCCATAGCATCCATACCAATTTTGGTGAATATCCTTTAGACATCTTTATGCAGTATATATACCTAGAGGTATATGAATATAGTTTCACATATGTGAGATGATAATTTATATATTATTCTGTAATTGCTACATTTACTGAGAATATGCAATGGGTAGATTTCCAAGTCAATAACCGTAGACTAACACCACGATTGTTAATGATCAACAGCTATTTGTAATATTTACAAACCATGATTTATGCAACCTTTCTCCTGTTGTTGGCCATTTCGGTTGTTTGCATTGTTTAATATTGTAAACTACACGTGAAAAACATCCTGTGTTCTGCTTTTGTGCAATTTTCTCCTCAGGGTAATTTCTAGAAGTGGACAAGTTCAATACAATGGTGTGTCCATTTTATGATACAGTTACCTGACTGTCTTCTGGAAATTTTACTCCTACCAACACTGGATTTAAGGACATGTTTGCCCCACTGTCAACAACATTGAGTTTTATCGATTTCTGATTTTAGATATGGGTCTTGTAGTCTGATTCTGTTTTTGGACTAATTTAAATATATTTCTTTCAATAACAGTTTATTTCATTCACATAATTTTAATTATTAGATGTGACTCTCATTCTGTCTTTCTGTTTTGTTTTCTATTGTTATGCTTGCTTGGCATATATTGTTTTCTGTCTTTCAGTAAAGTATATGTTCTTCAGATTTTTTTTTCTTCCGGTAATTTTGAGAGGATTTTATCTGCTTTAAAAAAGTTCTAGGCCAGGCGTGGTGGCTGTCGCCTGTAATCCCAGCACTTCGGGAGGCCAAGCTGGGTAGATCACTTTGAGGTCAGGAGTTCGAGACCAGCCTGGCCAACATGGTGAAACCCCGTCTCTACTAAAAATACAAAAAATTAGCCGGGCATGGTGGCATGTGCCTGTAATCCCAGCTACTTGAGAGGCTGAGGCATAAGAATTGCTTGAACCCTGGGAGGCGGAGGTTGCAGTGAGCCAAGATCATGCCACTGTACTCCAGCCTGGGTGACAGAGTGAGACTGTGTCTCAAAACATAAAAAAAAAGATTTTTTAAAGTTCTGTAAGTGGACATTTGTGCCTTTCATATATACTTAGTTTTGTTTTTCTCAAACAATGCAATATTTGCTCCATTCTAATAATAACAATAGCTAACATTAACTGTATGTTTACTGTGTCCTCGTAACAACCCTATGAGGTGGATGAAAATATGTTTTCCTTCCTTCCTACAACTTGCTCATATCTCTAGGCTTGGGTCATCTAATCTGAGTGCTTCGTGTACTTCTCAACTTCCTTTGGCTGAGCGCAAGAAGATGAGGTGGGAGGATCCTGGAGCCCAGGAGTTTGAGTCCAGCCTGGGCATCAGAGTGAGACCTTGTCTCTAAAAAAAATAAAGAAAAATTCCTTTCTGCAGGGCATGATGGCTCATGCTTGTAATCCCAGCAGTCTGGGAGGCAGCACTCAGGAGGCAGCCATGAGAATCGCTTGAATCTGGGAAGCAGACGTTGCAATGAGCCGAGATTGTGCCACTGCAGTCCAGCCTGGGCGACAGACCGAGACTCCTTCTCAAAAAAAAAATGCAAAAAATTAGCTGGCACGTTGATGTGTGCCTGTGGTTCCAGCTACTTGAGAGGCTGAGGTGGGCGGATCATTGGAGCCCAGGAAGTTGAGGCTACATTGAGCCGAGATTGCGCCACTGTACTCCAGCCTGGGTGACAAAGTAAAACCCTGCCTCAAAAAAAGACAAAAAGAAAAAGAAAGGAAAATCCCTTTGGAAAGAAAAATCATACCCTGCTGGGGTCTGAGCTCAAGTAGCTCTCCCTTGCACTACTGAGCAGCCATGATTATTTCTGTTTAGAATTATTCAATGTCCCTCCCTCACTTCCACCCCCATAATCAGTGACATCCCAAATACACTGTTTTTTAAATCAATCCAGGCTACTGTGCTACAGACTGCACTTTCACATGGATAATTCCATTCAGTCCTCATGGCAATCCTGTTAAAATGTCTCTAATCCCCCACATTAGTGACAAGAAAACTGAGTAAAAGAGCTTGTGTGATTTGTCTTTGTGCTCAATACTTGGTGGGTGTTCTTAGCTACTGTCCTTTGACTGATTGCCACATTTTATTTACTTGTTTGTTTGTTTGTCTGTTTGTTTGTTTGTTTTTGAGACGGAGTCTTGCTCTGTCACCCTGGCTGGAGTGCAGTGTCATGATCTCGGCTGACTGCAACCTCTGCCTCCTTGGTTCAAGCGATTCTCCTGCCTCAGCCTCCCAAGTAGCTGGGACTACAGGTGCATGCCACCACACCCGACTAATTTTTGTATTTTTTAGTAGAGGTGGGGTTTCACCATGTTGACCAGGCTGGTCTTGACTCCTGACCTCAGGTGATCCACCTGGCTTGGCCTCCCAGAGTGCTGAGATTACAGGCGTGAGCCACCGCACTCAGCCTACTTGTTTATTTAGTTATTTATTTGAGACAGGGTCTCACTCTGTTGCCCAGGCTGGAGTGCAATGGTACAGTCACAGTTCATTGCAGCCTCAACCTCCCAGGCACAAGTGATCCTCCCACATCACCCTCTTAAATAGCTGGGACTACAGGGATGCACTACCACACCTGGCTAATTTTTTAATTTTCTGTAGAGCTCAGGTCTCCCTATGTTTCCCAGGCTGGTCTCAAACTCCTGGCCTCAAAGGATCCTCTTGCCTCATCCTCCCAAAGTGCTGGGATTACAGGCATGACCAACTGCATCTGGCCCACATTAAAAAAAGCAGGATAAAGCAATAAAAACCAGGACAATCTAAAACATCAAATAACATTCTTCAGGCTTTTGCCAAAGAATATACTTTTTTTTTCTTTTTTTTTTTTTTTTTGAGGTGGAGTGTTGCCCTGTTGCCCAAGCTGGAGTGCAGTGGCACGATCTTGGCTCACTGCAACCTCTGCCTCCCTGGTTCAAGTGATTCTTCTGCCTCAGCCTCCGGAGCAGCTGGGATTACAGGTTCGTATCACCACACCCAGCTAATTTTTGTATTTTTAGTAGGGACGGGGTTTCACCATGTTGGCCGGGCTAGTCTCGAACTCCTGACCTCAGGTGATCTGCCCACCTCAGCCTCCCAAAGTGCTGGAATTACAGGCATGAGCCACCACGCCTGGCCCAGAATACACTTTTAATTGGATGCTATTTAGCACTTGTCTCCTTGTTGAAAGAATTTATATTTATGAAATATTGCTTAAAGTAACTTTTTGCATCATAGGATGATTTTACAACTGTGTGCATCTGTCAGGATATTTTCTTCTCTTTTTTTTAATTTTAATTCCTAAGATATCATCAGCTAGTGATACTTTCTTTAAGCTATTAGCAGATTTGCCAATATGTTTACTAGCTCCTTTGCTCACAGTTGCACTCGGCTCCCACTTTTTTCTTCAGAGTTCAATTTCTTTCTTTCTGAACATATCCTTGAATAGCTCTTTCAGCAAGAATCTGTAAAAAGCAAACTCGGGCTAACTTTGGCAGCACATATACTAAAATTAGAACAATACAAAAGATTAGCGTAGAACAATACAAAAGATTAGCGTGGTCCCTGTGCAAGGATGACACACAAATTCATGATGCAAAAAATTCCCTTTTAAAAAATAAAATAGGCCGGGCGCGGTGGCTCACGCCTGTAATCCCAGCACTTTGGGAGGCCGAGGCGGGTGGATCATGAGGTCAGGAGATCGAGACCATCCTGGCTAACAAGGTGAAACCCCGTCTCTACTAAAAATACAAAAAATTAGCCGGGCGCGGTGGCGGGTGCCTGTAGTCCCAGCTACTCGGGAGGCTGAGGCAGGAGAATGGCGTGAACCCGGGAAGCGGAGCTTGCAGTGAGCCGAGATTGCGCCACTGCAGTCCGCAGTCCAGCCTGGGCGACAGAGCGAGACTCCGTCTCAAAAAAAAAAAATAAATAAAAATAAAAAATAAATAAATAAATAAATATATAAATAAATAAACTCAATTTTTTTTTTTTTTTTTTTTTTCAGATAGGGTCTCACTTTGTCACACAGGGCACAGACTGGAGTGCAGTGTTGTGAGCACAGCTCACTGCAGCCTCCACCTTTTGGGCTTAAGCCATCCTCCTGCCTCAGCTCCCAAGTAGGTGAGATTACAAAAGCATGCTACCATGCCTGGCTGATTTTTTGTATTTTTTTGTAGAGACAGGGTTTTGCCACATTGCCCAGGCTGGTCTCAAACTCCTGAGCTCAAATGACCCACCCACCTTGGCCTCCCAAAGTGCTTAATCTTTGTTATGTCTGGAAATGTCTTGAGTGAGAGTGTAAAAGTGTTTGATTCTGTTACTGTTCCTCAGCACTTGGGAGGTGATAGTCCATAGTCTGGCATCTACTGTTGCTCATGAGAAGTCTGCTATAAGTCTAATAATAGTCACGCCTTTGTAAGATAAGCTTTATCATCTCTGGTAATTTTAAGATTTTTCTCTTTGACTTTGATGTTCTATAATTCTACTTCAATGTGTTTAGGTGAGATGTATTGTTATTTTCGTTGGCTAGGAGACTTCAGTTTGAAAAATCAAATATTTAACATTTCACTCATTATTTCTCCAAATATTTCCTCTTCTTTATTTTCTTTATTTGTAACTTCTATTGGATATATGTGGGGTCTTCTCATTTTATTCTCTACATCTCTGTTTTTTTAAAAGTTTCCTTATCTTGTTACCTGTTTTGCTGCATTTTGGATGATTTTTTAAAATCCAGTTTCCAATTCATTAATTTCGCTTTAGCAATGTCTAATATACTATGTAATTTGTCTGTTAAGTGCTTTTCACAATGATGATAATGATGATGATGATGATGATGATGATTTTTGAGACGGAATCGTGCTCTGTTGCCCAGGCTGGAGTGCCGTGGCACAATCTCAGCTCACTGTGACCTCCGCCTCCCAGTTTTAAGTGATTCTCGTGCCTCAGCCTCCCAAGTAGCTAGGATTACAGGTGCCTGCCACCACACCTGGCTAATTTTTGTATTTTTAGTAGAGACAGAGTTTCGCCATGTTGGCCAGGCTGGTCTGGAACTCCTGACCTCAAGTGATCCGCCCACCTTGGCCTCCCAAAGGCCTGGCATTACAAGTGTGAGCCACTGTGCCTGGCCCACAATTATTATATTTTTTTACTTCTGAAATTGCTAATTGGTTCTTTGACCACATTGGTACTTTTAAATATAGTGCCCTGTTTATGCCCTAAGGTATCCATTCCTTAAACACTTTAGAGAAACTTCTTTAAAAATCTCTGTAGATTGTTCTATTATTTTTAGTTTTCAGGGTATATATTTTCTTGTCTGTTGTTTCTGCCTCTCCCTCTTATAGTCTCTCGGTGACATCTCCTTTTGTGATTTGTAATTTTTCACTTTGAGCATCTATGCAGCAGGATTGTTTCCGAATGAGTTATGTGTGCCATTTGAAGATGTTTCTAATAGGTCAGTTTCACAATTTGCTATTTCCAAGGCCCTGCAGATGTCCCTAACTATGGAAGAATTTTGTTTTGTTTTGTTCTTATTGTTGTTGTTGTTGTTTTTGAGATAGATCGAGTGGCATGATCTCAGCTCACTGCAACCTCCTTCTCCCGGGGTCAAGTGATTCTCCTGCCTCAACCTCCTAACCCCGGTGGCTGGGATTACAGGTGTGTGCCACCACGCCCGGCTATATGGAAGAGTTTTGGGTTTTTTTTGTTTTTTTTTTAAGAGGAAGTTTCGCTCTTGTTGCCCAAGCTGGAGTGCAGTGGCGCGATCTCGGCTTACCGCAACCTCTACCTCCCGGGTTCAAGCGATTCTCCTGCCTCAGCATCCTGAGTAGCTGGGATTACAGGCATGCACCACCATGCCTGGCTGATTTTGTATTTTTAGTTGAGACGGGGTTTCTCCATGTTGATCAGGCTGGTCTCAAACTGCCGACCTCGGTGATCCGCCTGCCTTGGCCTCCCAAAGTGCTGGGATTACAGGCATAAGCCACAACGCCTAGCTGGAAGAATTTTTATGTGAAATTTTGAGCTCAAGATTTCTGCATCAGATGCAGAAAATTTTCGGGTGTGTGTGTGTGCATGCATGTGCATGTGTGAGTGTGCAGTGCCTGCCTAAGGACATGAATAAATTAGTTCTTTATTTCCTTTGGCATTACGTAGGCACAGAATTAGTAGAATGGTGTTCACGGTTTTAAAATCTGTCTCATTTTTCTCAAAGCTCTTTCAGCTCAGTTTTTCAATTTTGTTTCAAAGTAGTAAAAATTGAGCTCCTACTTTCATTCCTTTATGTCGTAAAAAGCAGGATTTGTTGTTTTAAATGAAATCAACAGTTCAATACTTGAGTACTTTTTCATGCTTTCTCTGTTAGCTGTTTCTGTTTTCTCCTCTGGGATGAAAGGCAGTGAGGCTTGAAGAATAGACTTGTTGTCTATAATTTAGACTTGATTGGAATGCACTGTGAATTATCCTTATGAAAACATAATGATTCACTGCTTGTTGGGGAATTGGAAACTATTGATCTATGTTCTGCCTCAGGAGATACTGCTTCTCTTTGCAAAGGGTGCATTATAGGGTTTAGTTTGGGTTTGCATTCTCTGTCAACAGGCAGACTATTGCCTACTTTTAAATCTAGGATGCAAAGAAGTCTTCGTTAGCTCTGGCAGGTGAAGTTTTGATATAGAACTATATATATTCCCACATCTTTCCCTCAAATGTTAGCCCATTAGACCAAACTTTCCAGAAAATGACAGATTTATTTGTTCAAGACATGCACTGTCCAATAAGGACGTCACTAACCACATTTCACCTTGTTCACATGTCACCCTTGTGGTCACTTGGAATTGAGATGCACTGTAAGTGCAAAATACACACTGAATATAAAAAAGATGTAAAATATGTCCTTAATAATTGTTATACGGATTACATGTTGATTTTATATATATATATATATATATATTTTTTTTTTTTTTTTTTTTTTTTTTGAGATGGAGTCTTGCTCTGTCACCAAGGCTGGAGTATAGTGGTGCAATCTCAGCTCACTGCAACCTCCGCCTCCTGGGTTCCAGGAATTCTGCCTCAGCCTCCCGAGTAGCTGGGATTACAGGCATGCGCCACCACGCCCAGCAAATTTTTTTGTATTTTTAGTAGAGACAGGGTTTCACCATATTGGCCCGGCTGGTCTCAAACTCCTGACCTTGTGATCCACCTGCCTTAACCTTCCAAAGTGCTGGGATTACAGGTATGAGCCACTGCACCTGGCCTGATAATATTTTTAATATATGGCCAGGAACGGTGGCTTTTGGAGGCTGAGGCAGGTGGATCACCTGATGTCAGGAGTTCGAGACCAGCCTGAGCAACATGGTGAAACCCCATCTCTACTTCAAATACAAAAAAATTAGCCGGGCTTGGTGGCACATGCCTGTAATCCCAGCTACTTGGGAGGCTGAGGCAGGAGAATCGTTTGAACCTGGGAGGCGGAGGTTGCAGTGAACCGAGATCGCGCCATTGCACTCCAGCCTGGGCAACAAGAGTGAAACTCTGTCTCAAAAAAAAAAAATTTAGATATATATTAAGTTGAATTAACTATATTGTTTGTCTCACCTGTTTTTTTTCTTTTTTTGAGACAGAGTTTTGCTCTATCGCCCAGGCTGGAATGCAGTGGTGCGATCTCAGCTCACTGCAACCTCTGCCTCCAGGTTTAAGAGATTTGCTTGCCTCGGCTACCTGAGTAGCTGGGATTACAGGGATGCACTACCACGCCCAGCTAATTTTTGTATTTTTAGTAGAGACGGGGTTTTGCCATGTTGGCCTCTGCATGCTGGTCTTGAAATCCTGGCCTCAAGTGATCTGCCTGCTTCAGCCTCCCAAAGTGCTGGGATTACAGGTGTGAGGCACTGCACCTGGCCAATTTCACCTGTTTCTTTTTCCTTTAAAAAATAATGTGGCTTTAACTGGCAGCTCTGGTGTAATTAAAACAACAACAACAACAACAACAAAAACAGCAGCTACAAGAAAATTTAAAATTACTTATGTGGCCTATATTATGTTTCTGTTGGACAGTGCTGCTATAGAGTGTCCTACAAACAAGGAAACCCATAAATTCTCTAATAAGAACTTCTTTCTGTCTGTCATTCTTTTCCTGTACTCCCACTCACCATTTTTTTTTTTTTTACAATGTCATGATTTTTGGTATAAGTTAATGCTCTACTACTGCAATCCAGGCAAATGTACAGGGGATAGTATCTCACCTGAGTGAAGTCCAAAGGTCAGCATATAGATGAACATTGAATATAATAAAAATTGCCTTTGGAAATCTTTTAGGAAGGCCTCAAGCTGTCCCAATCTTTTAACTCTCACCCAGTTTTTCCCCTAGCATTAGGACAGATCATTGTTTTTTCAGGTACTATTAATAGTTGGAGAAGTACTTGTTTGTGTTTGGTACAGTATTATAGCAAAATACAAATCTAAGTTCAGAATCCCCCTCAGCCTGGAGAGATGCCCGACTATGAGAAGCAGAAGGTTCCTGTGGGTGCCTGAGGTTTACACTTCTTGTTCACTTGGGGTGTACATTCACTGAGTGCCAGAGAGGAGGGCCTTGCCTGCTCTGTTTATTTCTCTCTCTTACCTCCAATCAATTTTTCTCTATTTCCCTAATTTTGTGTTTGGTAAGTTCCTGTAGTTGTATTTACATACCTTAGTATGTAAAGATCTCTCTCTTCCCCAGATTCTGTAGATATATGATTTGAAAGGTATAACTAAAGGCCAAAAATGAAATTGCAAAGCTAATGTGAATGTACTTAATGCCACTGAACTGTACACTTAAACATGGTTAAAATGGTAAAGTTATGTTATATACATACTGCTGGGCATGGTGGTTCATGCCTATAATCCCAGCACTTTGGGAGGCTAAGTCAGGTGGATGGCTTGAGCCCAGGAGTTTGAGACCAACCTGGGCAACATGGCAAAACCTCGTCTTTACAAAAAATATATATATATAAAAAATTAGCTGGGTGTAGTGGTGTGCACCTGTAGTCCCAGCTACTCAGGAGGCTGAGATGGTAGGATGGCTTGAGCCTGAGAGGTCAAGGCTGCAGTGAGCCGTGATTGTGCCCCTGCACTCCAGCCCACACAACAGAGTGAGATCCTGTCTCAAAACAAACAACCAAACCCAAAAGTTATGTTGTATATTTTTTACCACAATTTTTAAAAGCCATAATGAAGCATACTTACATCTTGTGGGGAGAGAATGTGGGACTCTGACATGAGACAGAATTGGTGACTGGAAATGTCACAGATTGAGTTCACTCTTTCCAGACTGTGGATGGGGTCATCCCTGCAGCCCTTCTTCTAGCATGTCTCCTTCAGCTTCCTATTCATTCTGGGGGCTGCTCAATATCCCTCTGACTAAGGCCCCCTTTTTGGGCTGAACTTAGCCAGTTCTTTTTGTTTGCAACCAAAATAGCCCTAACTGATGCGCTAGGGTTCAGATCCTGGCTCTACCACATTTAAGCGTTTGCTCTTGTGTACATCTTTCTGAATCTTGGTTTTCTCATCTGCAAATTTGTCATCATAATATCTTCCTTACAGGGTAGAGCCAGGGTAAAAGATAGTATACGTGCCTAGAATTGTAACTCATAGTCCAATGGGGTTAGAAAACTAACAAGGGCAGTCTCTGGTCCCCTAGTTTACACTGGTGAGTTATTCCACCAGAATGTCAAATGCCTTATGTGGGAAATATGGGAATAATGAGGATTTCGTGTTTGTCAAATTTCTATTTGCTGCTGCACTTCAACACTGTCTCCTCTATACCGATCTTCCCTCAGGGGTTGAGGGGTAACACCATTCATGACACTACAGCATGAAATAATGGGATGAGGGAAGGAGACAAGAATCTATCTCTCTGAAAATGTCTGATCAATGAATAATCAGATGGAAAATGTAAAAAATAAAATTTGTCCAACGGGGTTTATAGTGAAGTCTTTTAAAATAGCTGACGTTGGCCAGGTGTGGTGGCTCACGCCTGTCATCCCAGCACTTTGGGAGGCCGAGATGGGTGGATCATGAAGTCAAGGGTTCGAGAGTAACCTGGCCTGCATGATGAAACCCTGTCTCTACTAAAAATACAAAAATTAGCTGGGCGTAGAGGCACACTCCTGTAATCCTAGCTACTCAGGAAGCTGAGGCAGGAGGATTGGTTGCAGTGAGCTGAGATCATGCCACTGTAACTCCAGCCTGGGGGGACAGAGCGAGACTCCATCTCAGAAAAAAAAAATTAATTAATTAATTAAATTAAATTAAATAGCTGACACTGGAGAGAATGGCTAATAACTGCTTTAGGATTTAGTTCTATTAAATAATTTTTGTTTTTTTTTTTTTTGAGACAGAGACTTACTCTGCTGCCCAGGCCCAGGCTGGAGTGCAATGGCACGATCTCAGCTCACTGCAACCTCCGTCTCCCGGGTTCAAGCGATTCTTTGTGCCTCAGCCTCCCAAGTGGCTGGGATTACAGGCATGTGCCACCACATTTGGCTAATTCTTGTATTTTTGGTAGAGACAGGGTTTCACCATGTTGGCCAAGCTGGTCTCGAACCCCTGACCTCAAGTGATCTGTCCACCTCAGCCTCCCAAAGTGCTGGGATTACAGGCGTGAGCCACTGCGCCTGGCCTTAAATTTGTTTTGATGATTACTTCAGTCCATGTTACATTGTTGTGTATATGATAACGCATGGAATTGTAATGGGATTCTACTGCACTTTACCACACAAAGCAGGATGGGGATAAAAATGAAAAGACTCAGTAACAAAGCTCTCCAGATGTTGTAGCTTTTATACACTCTTCCTTTGCCCCCCAAATCAACCCTTACTGCCAATATCAGAATACTTAAAAGTGTTTTCATTGAATTATTTATGTCTTTGTCTTCCTTAGGCTACAAGTGCAAAAAGCTGAATGAAAAATGGAAAGGTTACTGCTGAAATATTTACAGATGGAAGGATATGATGTCTAGAATTTGTTTCAAACAGTAAGTATGTGGGTGGGGCAAGTAGCTGGTGATGTAGATGGAATAAGACTGGTCACAGGTTAATGTTTTAAGGTGCTAGGTACTAGTAGATGGGGTTCATTATTTTATTCTGTCTATTTTGCATATGTTTAAAATTTGTCACAATACTTTTTAAAATTGGATAATTACACTACTTAAAATATGCATGTGTGAAGCAAAGACTGAAAGAGAACAAGAAAAATAAAGTTATGTTGGGTTTAGAGTAGCTGAATTATAGGTGAATTACTTTTTAAAACTTTAATATTATTCTAATTTTATCTTTCAATAAATAAAAATCCGAAGGAAAAACACACACAAAAACTCTTTGAATGTAAGGACCAGTGGCATGCTGGAGGTGGCTTGTTATCAGCTTGAGAGAACTGATTGTTAAATTTTCAGGAATTTTGCATCCTGGCTAATGTTATGTGGGCAGCTTGAAATTGACCATGGTAGGAGTATTTATACCTGAAAATTAGCAAACACTACAAATCAGTATTCCCAAAAGCCAGTTGTTAAACATTTGCCATTTGTGGGCTGTATTGTAAAGACTGCATTGTATACTTTTCTACCCCAAATTATCTAAAGGTCCTGAAGTCAATGGGCAGGTACTTACTAATTTATTTTACACATATTTAATGAGGTTCTACCATGGGCAAGAAATCGTGCTAGGCACTTTGGGGAATACAAAGAATTATCTAAGAAAGGAGGAGAGGATATCCTAAAGTTCGTGTGAGAACATACATGTAAAAAATTATGCAGGCTGGGCACGGTGGCTCACGCCTGTAATCCCAGCACTTTGGGAGGCTGAAGTGGGTGGATCACCTGAGGTCAGGAGTTTGAGACCAGCCTGGCCAACATGGCGAAACCCCAACTCTACCAAAAATACAAAAATTAGCCAGGAGTGGTGGTGGACGCCTGTAATCCCAGCTACTCGGGAGGCTGAGGTAGGAGAATTGCTTGAACCCGGGAGGTGGAGGTTGCAGTGAGCCAAGATCATGCCACTGCACTCTAGCCTGGGCAACAGAGCAAGACTCTGTCTAAAAAAAAAAAAAATTACAATACAAATATGGCAATATAGGGGTGCTGAGGCAGGAGGACTGCTTGAGGCCAGGAGTTCCAGACCAGCCTGGGCAACATAGTGAGACTCCCTGACTCTATTTTTTTTTTCTTTGAGACAGGGTCTTCCTGAGTCACCCAGGCTGGAGTACAGTGGCGCAATCTTGGGTCACTGCAGCCTTGACCTCCCGGGCTCAAGCAATCCTCCCACATCATCCTCCCAAGTAGCTGGGACTACAAGTGTGCCATCACGCCTGGCTCATTTTTGTATGCTTTGTAGAGATGGGGTTTCACCATGTTGCCCAGGCTGGAATCGAACTCTTAGATTCGAACCATCTGCCCACCTCAGCCTCCCAAAATGTTGGCATTACAGGTGTGAGCCACCTCACCCAGCCTGCCCTGACTCTATTAAGAAAAAAGAAAACTTGCCATTCAGCTACAAGGAATGTAGCTGGTTGACAGCCTCCAGCTGCTAGTGACTTTAGGATCCACCTCAGCTTTCTAAAAAACACTGAATTGTCATGCCAGGTGTGTTGGTATATGCCTGTAATCCCAGCTACTCAGGAGGCTAAGGTGGGAGGATTTTTTAGTAAGTGAATTGTATCTCAATAAAACTGTTATTAACAAAAGGAAGGAGGTTGGGCATGGTGGCTCACGCCTGTAATCCCAGCACTTTGGGAGGCCGAGGCAGGCAGATCAGTTGAGGCCAGGAGTTCGAGACCAGCTTAGGCAACATAGGGAGACCCCCATCTCTACAAAACATTTAAAAATTAGCCAGGTGTGGTGGTACACACCTGTAGTCCCAGCTGCTTGGGAGACTGAGGCAGGAGGATTGTTTGAGCCCAGGATGTGGAGGTTGCAGTGAGCGGAAATCGTGCCATTGCACTCCAGCCTGGCTGACAGAGGGAGACACTGTCTCAAGAAAAAAAAAAAAAAGAAGAAGGAAACAGGACAAAGATGAAAGATGTCAAGATGTCAGCCACTAGTTCTATTTTTAAATTTTAAAAAATGTTTTTCTGGAAGGCCTAGCTAATGCAATAGGACAATAAAAATAACTTTTGAAAGAGAGTTAAAAACATCATTATTTGGAGGCTATTTGATCTACTGAGAAAATATCAAGAAAGAAAATAATATTAGTTCAGGAGAGTGGCTAAGTGGGTATATACTATACATATGTGTGTGTATGTCTTAGTCTTTTTGTGCTGCTATAACAAAATATTGCGAACTGGGTGATTTATAAATAATAGAAATTTCTGTCTCACAGTTCTGAAGGCTGGGAAGTTCAAGATCAAGGGGCAGGTTTGATGTCTGGTGAGGGCTGCTTTCTCTCCTTTTAAGATGGCGCCTTGTTGCTGTGTCCTCCAGAGGGGACAAATGCTTTATCCTCACATGGTAGAAGATGAGAGGGCAGAAAAGCAGCAAACTCTCTCTGAATGAAGCCTCTTTTATAAGGACATTAATCCATTCATGAGGAGCCCTTATGACTTAATCACCTCCACAGAAGCTTCACCTTTCCGTTCCACCACAATGGGGATTAAGTTTCCACATGAATTTTGGAAACACACGTTCAAACCACAGCAATATGTTTATAAACAGACACACACACACACACACACACACACACACACCCCACCCCTCCACATGCCAGTTAGAAAAATACTTGATTCACAGTAATAGCAACAGCTGTGAAATACCTCCGATAAAACTTAATCTAAAATGTGTAAGACCTTTACAGAAAAAACAAAAATTCTGCTAAAATAAATAAAATAAAACTTGAATAATAGACATATATATTTATGGAAGGGAAAACTCAATATATAAATCAACTCAAAAATAAATCACTTCTTCACATATTAATCTAAGATTGCAATGGAATTCAAAACAAAATCCCAATAGATATTTTAAAATTTGTTAAATTGTTTCTAAAGTTCATCTGAAAACACAGATGTGAGATAAGCCTAGAAAAATTTGAAAGAAAGAAAAGAATTATGAGAAGCACTGGCATGCGGGTAGAAAAAAATTAATGGAACAAAATGGAAAGTCCAAAAGCTAATCCATGTACTATGGAGTTTTAGAGTGGGAAATGAAGATATAAAAATGGCATTTCAAAACAATGGGATGGGCCAGGCATGGTGGCTCATGCCTGTAATCCCAGCACTTTGAGAGGCCAAGGCGGGCGGATCACCTGAGGTCAGGAATTCAAGACCATCTTGGCCAACATGGTGAAACCCTGTCTCTACTAAAATTACAAAAATCAGCTGAATGTGGGGGTGCACACCTGTAATCCCAGCTACTCGGGAGGTTGAGGCAGGAGAATAGCTTGAACCCGGGCAGCAGAGGCTGCAGTGAGCTGAGATCACACTGCTGCACTCCAGCCTGGGTGATGGAGGGAGACTCGGTCTCAAAAACAAAACAAAACAAAAAACAATGGGATGGTTTATTAAATAAATGATGTTGGGGCAATTGGATATTCATATAAGAAAAACTAATGCTAAAATAAATAAAACTTATATATGGAAAAGATTCCATTTAAAAAGTTAAAATACAGCCAGTCACTGTAGCTCACACCTGCAATCCCAGCATTTTGGGAGGCCAAGGCAGGTGAATCACCTCAGGTCAGGAGTCTGAGGCCAGCCTAACCAACATGGAGAAACCCAGTCTCTACTAAAAATACAAAATTAGCCAGGCATGGTGGCGCATGCCTGTAATCCCAGCTACTCGGGAAGCTGAGGCAGGAGAATTGCTTGAACCTGGGAGGCTGAGGTTGTGGTGAGCCGAGATCGTGCCATTGAACTCCAGCCTGGGCAACAAAAGTGAAACTCCGTCTCTAAAAAAAAAAAAAAAAAAAAAAAAAAAAAGTTAAAATACAAAGAATGAACTGAAGAAAATATTTGCAACATGTATGATTGACTAGGATTTAATATCCTTAGTTCTATAAAGAGCTTTTATGACTCAATAGGCAAACAATAAATATCCTGATAGACAAACAAAGGATTGAACAGGCAATTCACACACACACAAAGGAAATGGCCATTAAACATTTAAAACTTCTCAACTTCACTTGCAAAAGAATACTGCTAATTATAATAAAAGATGTAATTTTTATACATTAGCAAAGGTGAAATTGATGGACAGGATAATATTCCATATTTTAAAGAATATAGAGAATCAGTGGCCGGGTGCCATGGCTCACACCTATAATCCTAGCACTTTGGGAGGCTGAGGCAGGTGGCTCACTGGAGGTCAGGAGTTAGAGACCAGCCTGGCCAACATGGTGAAACCTTGTCTCTGCTAACAATACAAAAATTAGCTGGGCGTGATGACACGTACCTGTAATCCCAGTTACTCAGGAGGCTGAGACAGGAGGTTGCAGTGAGCCAAGATCGAGCCACTGCATTCCACTCCCACCCCCGCCAAAAAAAAAAGATAATCAGGAACTCTCAAGCATTACTAGGAATAAAAATTGGTACCACCATCAGGAAGGCATTTCTTCTAGAAATGTATTCAAAGGAAATGTTTAGAAGGATGCTCACTACAACATCTTTATAGTATCAAAACATTGAGAAGATCCTAAATGTTTATCAATAATAGGTTGGTTAAATAAACTTTGGTTCATCCATATAACAGAGGTATATAAGAGTTTAAACTAGATCTGTATTTCTTACTATTGAAAGATTCAGAGAAAAAATGAGATTGCTCAACAGTGTATATTTCACTTATGTAAGAATTAAATACACATCTTCATATATTGTATATTAAAGATTCTGCAGGTTGAAGAGTCTGAAAGACTATATGCCAAAATGTTAATGCTACTTGAGGAAAGAAGGGGAAGGTATCACTTGTATTTTCAGTTGCAAGCAATAGAAAATTAGAGTCAAATGGACTAAAATAATAAGGGGAATATATTGGCCAAGTAGTCAAATGCCTAAAGGCAGAGTGGGCTTTGGTGATGGGTTGACATAGGTGTTCAACGTGTGGTTCAGCTTTTTTTCCATCTTGCCCTTTGCCTTCAAGGTAAAAGCCTCTTTTTTTTTTTTTTTTTTTTTTTTTTTTTTTTTTGAGACGGAGTTTCCCTCTTGTTGCCCAGGCTGGTGTGCAATGGTGCGATCTTGGCTCACCGCAACCTCCGCCTCCTGAGTTCAAACAATTCTGCCTCAGCCTCCTGAGTAGCTGGGATTACAGGCATGTGCCACCACGCTCAGCTAATTTTGTATTTTTAGTAGAGATGGGGTTTCTCCGTGTTGGTCAGGCTGGTCTCGAACTCCTGCGTCAGGTGATCCATCCACCTCGGCCTCCCAAAGTTGCTGGGATTACAGGAGTGAGCCACCATGCCTGGCGGTAAAAGCCTCTTAAAGACATTATATTGAGTGAAATAAGTTAGACATAAAAGTGTAAATACCCTATGATTCCCCTTAGATGAGATACCTAGGGTAATCAAACTCATAGAGACAGAAAGTAGAATGGTGGCTGCCAGGGCATTGCATAATGGGTATAGAGTTTCAGTTTTGCAAGATGAAGAGAGTTCTGGGGCCGAGCGAGGTGGCTTATGCCTGTAATCACAGCACTTTGGGAGGCTGAGGCAGGAGGATCACTTGAGGTCAGTAGTTCGAGACCAGTCTAGGCAACATGGTGAAACCCCATCTCTACTAAAAATACAAAAATTAGCTGGGGGTGGTGGCGGGTGCCTGTAGTCCCAGCTACTCGGGGGGCTGAGGCAGGAGAATCGCTGGAACCGGGGAGGTGAAGTTTGCAGTGAGCCAAGATCGTGCCACTGCACTCCAGCCTGGGCAAGAAAGCAAGACTCAGTCTCAAACAAAAAAAAAAAAAAAGAAAGAAAGAAAATAGTTCTGGGTATATTTGTTGCATAACAATGTGAATGTACACTGTACAACGTAAAAATGGTTGAGATGGTACGTTTTATGTGTATTTTATCACATTTTTAAAGAAAATTACATTGCCTAAAAAGGTATAATAAAAGCCTCATCCTAAGGCTAGCTCCCCCTGGTGGTGGGAGAGTTGCAGCACATTGAGGCGAGGCTACAGGTGTCACTAAGGTGCTGGGTGTCTCCCTTCACCCATCATGCAGCCCACCCAGGCTTCTCTCTGGTTGGACCATAATAGTATGTTTCTGGATCATGCACTCTGCTGGCATCACATTCTAGGGCTCTCTTTGGAAATTTGGGAAGAAACTTTTTTTTTTTTTTTTGAGACAGAGTTTCACTCTTGTCACCCATGCTGGAGTGCAGTGGCGCCATCTTGGCTCAATGCAACCTCTGCCTCGTCCCCCGAGTAGCTGGGATGACAGGCACGCAACACCATGCCTAGCTAGTTTTTGTATTTTTAGTGGAGACGGGGTTTCACCATGTTGGCCAGGCTAGTCTCGAACTCCTGACCTCCAGTGATCCGCCCGCCTCGGCCTCCCAAAGTGCTGGAATTGTAGGCGTGAGCACTGCACCTAGCCTTGGGGAGAAATTTTGGCTGTCACAATAATTGGTCATTTACAGAATGTGGGCCAGGGGCATTAGATTTCTGATAATGTATGGGTAAATACATTACAGAATTTTCCCACATTCCGCACAACTTTTAATGCCCTGCTCGACATTAATGTAGATTTTTAAAAACTTGTGTGTAATAATTTGAGCCTAGCCTCTCATTCCATTTTATATATAAATATAAACTATTTTTGCATGGTTTTAATATAAACAGAATATCCAGATATGAGGCTAATGAGTAAATTGACAGAAAATAGTATTTAGCTACATTTGGAACTTTACCAAAAGTTGTTCACTGTTTCAGAAAATCATGTCTTCAACAACCAACACTTGTGGTATTTGAGTCACTGATTTAGCCCTGCATATTGCAATTCACACTGCATAATGCAATTCACACTGCATATTTTAACATCTCTGAAATCAGGATGTATCCTACAATCAATGACGTCTACAAAATACACTAGTGAATATTAGTCTGCATTTGAAGCTGTTGCATTGATTTCTTGCTTGGATTCTTATAACAACCTCCCAACTGGTCTCCCTGCTTCCATCCTTCTCCTCCTACAATGTTTTCAACAGAGCAGCCAGATTTTTCCTTTTAAAATGTAGGTCAGATCATGTCACTCCTCTGCTCAAAACCTTCTCATGTTTCACCAGTTTACTCAGAGTACAAGCCTTACAGTGGCCCATGAGGCCCTTCAAGATCTGGCTTCTTTACTTCTCTGACCCATCTCCTACTTCTGCTTTTATTTATAGTACCTGCTCTAATCCACCTCCCTGGTCCGTTTACAGACCACGCACTTGCTAGACAAGCTTCTGCCTTAGGGTCTTCACATTAGCTATTCCACCTGCCTGCGTATTTTTCCCCTAGATAATCGGTGTGATTCATTCCCTCACCTCCTTTAAATCTTTGCTCAAATGTACCTTCTAGTGAGGCTGCCTTGACTACTCTATTTTGAACTGCAAGTCACTACCCACCTCTCTACTGCTCTGAACTCTTATTTCCTTTTACCCTGTTCTACTTTAAAAAAGTCATAACAGGGCCGGGCGTGGTGGCTCAGGCCTGTAATCCCAGCACTTTGGGAGGCTGAGGTGGGCGGATCACCTGAGGTCAGGAGTTCAAGACCAGCCTGGCCAACAAGGTGAAACCCCATCTCTACAAAAACACAAAAATTAGCCGGGCATGGTGGCACGCACCTGTAATCCCAGCTACACGGGAGGCTGAGGCGGGAGAATCACTTGAACTGGGGAGGTGGAGGTTCCAGTGAGCCGAGATAGCACCATTGTACACTGTACTCCAGCCTGGGTGACAGAGCAAGACTCCACCTCAAAAAAAAAAAAAAAAAAAGATCAGAACAGTTGTCATCTTCTAATGTAATACATAACTTACTTATGTATTATGTTGATTGTGGTCTATAACCACACCACCCTGCTAGAATGTTTGCTCCATGAGGCAAGGATTTCTTTTTCTTTCTTTTCTTCCTTCCTTAATTTCCTTCCTTCCTTCCTTCCTTCCTTCTTTTCTCTCTCTCTTCTCTCCCTCTTTCTCTCTCTTCTCTCCCTCTTTCTCTTTCTTTCTCTTTCTTTCTTTCTCTCTCTAACCCTCCCCCCCGCTTTCTTTTTTTGTTTTTTTTTTTGACATGGTCTCACTCTGTGGCGCAGCTGGAGTGCAGTGGTGTGAACTTGCTCATTGCAACCTTTGCCCCCAAGGCTCAAGCGATCCTCCTACCTCAGCCACCCGAGTAGCTGGGGCCACAGGGATGCACCACGATGCCCGGCTATTTTTTTGTATTTTTAGCAGGGCCAGAGTCTCGCCATGTTGCCCAGGCTGGTCTCGAACTCCTGAGCTCAAGCGATCCACCCACCTTGGCCTCTCAAAGTGCTGAGATTACAGGCATGAGCCACTGTGCCCAGTCTAAGGCAAGGATTTCTGTCTGTATCCCTAGTAAACAGTGCCCAGCACATAGTAGGTACTCAATAAACATTGTTACATAAATGGTGATTCTGTTAGGTGCAAGTATCTAATTACTTCATTATGTCTTCTATTACACTTGTGCTCAAGCATTTACTTTTTTTTTTTTTTTTTTTTTTGTAGAGACGAGGTCTTACTACCATAGCCCAGGCTGGGCTCAACTGATCCTCCTGCCTCAGCCTCCCAAAGTGCTGGGATTACAGGTGTGAGCCACCACGCCCGCCATCAAGCATTTACTTATTGAAACACATATCTTTTTATAATGCATTATTTTCTTATTTATCCTTTATACTTATAGCATTATATTGATTTTTAAAGTGTGTGCACTCACCTATGCAGCACTCAAAAGGTTCTCTAAAATGATGGTTGACATCTTTCTTCAACTCTGGTGTTTTCCTATGTAACTTTTTCTAAGTGTAATATGTACTCAACAACTAAAATAGGATGTATGATATGTACATGCCTGCATGGGCATACAAAGACACACATACACATATATAAAATAAAGAAAACACTAAAATATCAGCAAGCTTGACTCCCAACTTAAAATTATGTGTGCAGGAAGGTATATCATAAGATAAGATCTATTGATGTCAGGATGGTAAAGACAGTGTTATGAAACGTTTGTTACAATATCAGGGTTTGGATGTTAGGATTGAGAACCTCAGGGTTAGATAATTCCAGAAGCCACTCCTGGAGCTGTGGGTAGGGATAATCCCACCCAAACTGCCTGGCTGTTTTCTGGATGGAAGGGGTGGGGTGGTGCTGGGGAGGAAACCACAATGTTGGCAGCCAGGAGGAAACAAACTTCACTTTCCAAGTTTACTGTACTTCTATATTGTTTGTGTTATTTGACTATTTTACAATGACTGTTCATTCCTTTTGTAACAAGCAAGACCAGTAAAGCTTTTTTTATTTTAAAATCTCCTATAAAATATAGAAAACAGATAAACAAAATAATAAAAATCACCTGTAATCCTATTCTGCAGAAATAACCACTGCTAACATTTTATTTTTATAACCTTTTGTTTTCAGGCATGTGTGGACTTACATAGATATTTCAATGATGGCTCTGAATAATAGGAATCATGCAGTTGGAGGTGTCATTTGTTAAGATTATTCTGGCAGCCACCAGCATGTTGGATTGAAGTGGGAGAAAACTGAGGGTAGGGTTAGGTTGTAACCAAACAGTGGAGAAGGAAATCACACCAGAGTGGTGGCTATGGGAATGGAAAGAAACATACCAAGAGATATTGTAAAGAAAGGAACCATGGGCTGGGCACAGTGGCTCATGCCTGTAATCCCAGCACTTTGGGAGGCCAAGGCAGGTGGATCACAAGGTCAGGAGATCGAGACCATCCTGGCTAACACAGTGAAACCCCGTCTTTACTAAAAATACAAAAAATTAGCTGGGCGGTGTGGCACGTGCCTGTAATCCCAGCAACTCGGGAGGCTGAGGCAGGAGAATTACTTGAACCCGGGTGGCGGAGGTTGCTGTGAGCCGAGATCGTGCCACTGCACTCCAGCCTGGGTGACAGAACAAGACTCCATCTCAAAAAAAAAAAAAAAAAAAAAAAAAAGGAAAGGAACCATGTAGGTGACTTAGTGGTTAGTGTGTATGAGAGTAGTGATAATGATTTTTGGCATCTGAGTATTCCAATCTTGCATTCAAGAATATCAAAGATGAGGGAGGACTTTCTGTTTTTGTGCTCTCCTTTTTCTTTCTTGATCTTGCTCTCTCTTTCCAGAAAACAATACAGAGCACCTGTTTAAAATGTGAAATTTGATGAGTTTTGAGATATGTATACACCTGTGAAACCATTAGCACAATAAAGATAATGAACATATCCATTATCCCTGCAAGTGTCAGCTGGGCTCAGTGGCTCACACCTGTAATCCCAGCACTTTGGGAGGCTGAGGCGGGCAGATCGCTTGAGCCCAGGAGTTTGAGACAAGGCTGAGCAATAGAGGGAGACCCCTGTCTCTACAAACATTACAAAAAAATTATCTGGGTGGGGTGGCATGTGCCTGTAGTCCCAGATACTTAGGAGGCTGGTGTGGGGAGGATCACTTGAGACTGGGAGGTCAAGGCTGCATTGAATCGTGATCTTGCCGCTGACTCCAGCCTGGGCAACAAACCCAGACCCTGTCTCCAAAAAGTCTTCATACCTTGTAATCCTTCCTGTCTTTCTCTACTCTGTCCCCAGACAACTACCAATCTGCTTTCTGCTTTCTGTCACCATAAGTCAGTTTGCATTCTGTAGACTTTATATAAATGAAATAATACAATATGTACTCTTTTTTCCCCCTCTGGCTTCTTTCACTCAGCATGATTATTTTCAGATTCATTCACATTGTTATGTTTATCAGTAGTTGATTCTTTTTTGTTAATGAATAATAGTCTATTGTGTGGATTTACCAAAATTTGCTTCCCCATTCACCTGTTTATGGACATTTGGGCTTTCAGTTTTTTCTATTGCAAATAAGACTGCTATCCGAGAATCGCTTGAACACAGGAGGCAGAGGCTTCGGTGAGCTGAGATTGTACCACTGCACTCCAGCCTGGGTGACAGAATGATACTCTGTCTCAAAAAAAAATTTTTTTAAAAAAGTCTGCTATGAACATTTGCATACAGCTTTTTGTGTGGGTATATACTTTCATTTCTTTTGGGTAAATACCTAGGGGTGGATCGATGAAGTTGCACAGTAATTATTCCCCTGTTCTAAGCCTTGGCTCCACATCTAGAAGTGTCATCTTTGTATCTTTATCTTTTTTATTTCTTTTTTTTTTTTGAGAAGGAGTCTCACTCTGTTGCCCAGGCTGGAGTGCCCTGGCGCAATCTTGGCTCACTGCAACCTCCGCTGCTCGGGTTCAAGTGATTCTCCTGCCTCAGCCTCCCGAGTACCTAGGATTACAGGTGCCCACCACCATGCCTGCTAATTGTTGTATTTTTAGTAGAGACGGGGTTTACCCATGTTGACCAGGCTGGTCTTGAACTCCTGACCTCAGGTGATCCTCCCACCTTGGCCTCCCAAAGTGTTGGGATTACAGGTGTGAGCCACCACACCTAGCCTAAGAAGTATCAGCTTTATCTTCTTTTTGCTCACCTGACAATTTAATATTGTGGTATTTTTGTTTTTACATTACCAAAAGGTCTAGTATTTTCTAAATAAATGATTGAGAAACAAAAATGAGACTCTACTAGTTTTTTTCTCCTCCTTTGAGTGAGCATAGTTCTTATCCACATGGGAGAATGCAGGAACATGATGGAGTCCCACAGAGCCAAGGCCAGTTCACTCCTCTAGGAGGCAGTAGTAAACACACAGCCATATACAGAGGCACATGGTGGGGGTGTGGGGAAAGGGGAGGAGCTGGCAATCAGTACGTAGCTAAAGAAATGACTCTGTGGTGGGATTTCAGAGGCCAATGGAGGTGTCTTTTCTGGGCTGGGTGTGGTCAAGGGTGAACAAGCTGATTTTGGTCTTGAAAGCCAGCCAGTCCACAGGAATTCTGGGAGACTGTCAGGAAAGAGGCAAACAGCCCCCAGAGAGACAGGGATCTTGTGAAGACTAAGGACCTCACAGGAGCCTGTCCCAGTCTTGCACCACTATCAGCCCCTTCATCCTAACCTTCTGTTTTTTGTCTTTATTATGATAAAATCTGAGATTTAAGTTCCTTTTAGTTTTCTTTGTGGTAAAATACACATAACAAAATTTACCATTTTAGCCATTTAAGTGTATAATTCAGTGACATTAGGTACATTTGCAATGCTGTGCAACCATCACCACTACCTCTTTTCTTTTCTTTTGAGATGGTCTCGCTCTGTCACCCAGGCTAGAGTGCAGTGGTGCGATCTTGGCTGACTGCAACCTCTGCCTCCTGTGTTCAAGCAATTCTCGTGCCTCAGCCACCTGAGTAGCTGGGATCACAGGCATGCGCCATCACATCAGCTAATTTTTGTATTTTTAGTAGTGATGGGGTTTTGCCGTGTTGGCCAGGGGTCTCGAACTCCAGACCTCAAGCAATCCTCCTGCTTTGGCCTCCCAATGTGCTGGGATCGCAGGCTTAAGCCACCACACCTGGCCTAGTACATTTATTTGTAAATATGTATATTTTATCACTTTTTTCTTTAAGACTAGCTGATACTTTAGTTACTACAAACAAATAATCAGGCCAGGTGTGGTGGCTCATGCCTGTAATCCCAGCACTTTGGGAGGGTGAGACAGGTGGATCACCAGAGGTCAAGAGGTCGAGACCAGCCTGGTCAACATGGCGAAACCCTGTCTCTACTAAAAATACAAAAATTAGCTGGGCGTGGTAGCATGTGCCTGTAATTCCAGCTACTCGGGAGGCTGAGGCAGGAGAATCGCTTGAACCTGAGAGGCAGAGGTTGCAGTGAGCCAAGATCACTCCACTGCACTCCAGCCTGGGGTGACAGAGCAAGACTGTCTCAAACAAACAAACAAAAACCCAGCCAATCAAAGCTGAGAATTTTCCTGATCATGTACACAATTTGTCACCTCATAATATACTATATATAATATGGTATTATATAGATTCTAATATATATAATATGGTATTATATAGATTCTGATATATATAATATGGTATTATATAGATTCTTATATAATATGGTGTTATATAGATTCTGATATATATAATATGGTGTTATATAGATTCTGATATATATAATATGGTGTTATATAGATTCTGATATATATAATATGGTGTTATATAGATTCTGATATATATAATATGGTGTTATATAGATTCTGATATATATAATATGGTGTTATATAGATTCTGATATATATAATATGGTGTTATATAGATTCTGATATATATAATATGGTGTTATATAGATTCTGATATATATAATATGGTGTTATATAGATTCTGATATATATAATATGGTGTTATATAGATTCTAATATATAATATGGTGTTATATAGATTCTAATATATATAATATGGTGTTATATAGATTCTAATATATATAATATGGTATATATAGATTCTAATATATATAATATGGTATATATAGATTCTAATATATATAATATGGTATATATAGATTCTAATATATATAATATGGTATTATATAGATTCTAATATATATAATATGGTATTATAGATTCTAATATATATTCTATATAATATAAAAGATAAAAAAGACAAAAGACAAATTTCACCTCTTTTTAAATTTTTTACTTATTTTTATTTTATTGGAGACAGGGTCTCGCTCTGTTGCCCAGGCTGGAGTGCAGTCATGCAATCACAGCTCACTGCAGCCTTGACTTCCCTGGGCTCAGGCTATTCTCCTACCTCAGCCTCCCAAGCAGCTGAGACTACAGGTGAACGCAACCATACTTGGCTATTTTTTCTTATTTTTAGTAGAGATGGGATTTTGCCATGTTGCCCAGGCAGGTCTCAAACTCCTGAGCTTAGGCAATCTGCCTGCCTTGGCCTCCCAAATTGCTGGGATTACAGACAGGAGCCACCATGCTGGGCCAAATTTCACTTCATAAGGTTTGTCAACTTTTCTCTCTCAAAAACATTTTTGTTTTTTTTTTGGAGACAGAGTCTTGCTCTGTTGCCCAGGTTGCAGTGTGGTGGTATGATCATGGCTCATTGTAACCTTGAACTCCTCGGCTCAAGTGATCCTCCCACCTCAGCCTCCTGAGTAGCTGGGACTATAGGTACATAGGTGCCATCATGTCTGGCTAATTTCTCCATTTTTTGTAGAGATAGGGGGGGTCTCGCTAGGTTGCCTAGGCTGGTCTTGAACTCCTGGCATCAAGTGATACTCCTACCTTGGCCTCCCAGGCACAAGCCACCATGCCCCATCTAAAAATTGTATTGTGAAATAAACCTAATACTATTACAAAAGTGCATAAAACTGGTATGTAGAGTTTAACACACAGTTATAAAGGGAACAACCCTGTAAAAATCCTTTGAGTTAAGAAATAGAACACTGAGGCCGGGCGCGGTGGCTCACACCTGTAATCTCAGCACTTTGGGAGGCCGAGGTGGGTGGATCACTTGAGGTCAGGAGTTTGAGATCAGCCTGGCCAACATGGTGAAACCCTGTCTCTACAAAAATACAAAAATTAGCCCGGTGTGGTGGTGCATGCCTGTAATGCCAGCTACTCAGAAGGCTGAGGCAGGATAATCACTTGAACCTGGCAGGCAGAGGTTGCAGTGAGCCGAGTTAGTACCACTGCACTCCAGCCTGGGCGATAAAGAGAGACTCCATCTTGAAAAAAATAAGAAAAAAGAAAGAAATAGAAGAGTGATAGGTTTATTTAACAAATGGAAGCCACTATGGAAGCTTTCTGTGTCAGGCCGGTGGCCCCCAGGCTCTGCTTTATGGGATACTGACGGGAGGAACGTCTGTCCCTGGGCATTCTTCCTGAGACCTAGGGAGTGAGTTCGCTTTCTTCAAATGAGCTAGGACAGGGAGGTGAGGATCATGGCACCCTGCCCCTTTCCCATCATAGGCTCTGGCCTCGCATCTGGCTAATTCTTAAAATAATAACTCATGGTTCTCAACTTTGGTAACTATTAACATTTTGGGCCAGATAATTCTTTTTGATGGGAGTGCTATCCTGTGTGTTGTAGAACGTTTAGCAGTATCCCTGGTCTCTACTAGATACCAGTAGCACTCCCAAGTAGTGACACTAAAAATGTCTCCAGATATTATCAAATGTCTCTGGGGACCAAATTGACCCGTTGAAAATCATTGCATTTGGCCAGGTGCAGTGGCTTATTCCTGTAATCTCAGCACTTTTGGAGGCTGAGGTGGGAGGATCGCTTGAGCTCAGGAGTTCAAGAACAGCCTGGGCAAAGATGGCAAAACCCCATCTCTACAAATAATACAAAAATTAGCCAGGTGCGATGGCGCACACCTGTAGTCCCAGCTGCTTGGGAGGTGGAGGTGGAGGTGGGAGAATTGCTTGAGCCCAGCATATGGAGGTTGCCGTGAGCTGACATCGCACTACTGCACTCCAGCCTGGGTGACGCAGCAAGACCCTGACTCAAAAAAAAAGAGAAAAGAAAATCAATGCATTCATAAATATTTATTATATGCCATGCATGATATTAACAGCTATACATTGTTACTTAATTCCTTCTTCCTGTTTGTCCCCATTTTGCAGGTAAGAAACTGGGATTCAGCAGGATTAAATTATTGAAATTGACACAGCTTTAGTGAATGGCTGAGCTGAAGTATAAACACAGACTTATCAGTCCTCACTTTGTTTTTAACAAACATGTAAAGTTACCTCCCCAGATGTGGAGGGTGAGATATATTTCAGGTCTTGCTTCTCCCCCATAGTCTAAGGCTAGGCATTTCTAAATTTATAATTCCAGGCTTTTTACTAGAGAGTTCCTTTTGATTTTCTTACCAACTGTACTAGTCAGGGTTCTCTAGAGGAACAGAACTAATAGGATAGACACATATATAAAGGGCAATTTATTAAGTAGTATTAAGTCACATGATCACAAGGTCCTACAATAGGCCTTCTGCAAGCTGAGAGGCAAGGAAGCCAGTGCGAGTCTCAAAGCTGAAGAACTTGCAGTCCAATGTTCGAGGGCAGGAAACATCCAGCACGGGAGAAAGATGTAGGCTGGGAGGCTAAGCCAGTTTAGCCTTTTCATATTTTTCTGCCTGCTTTATATTCGCTGGCAGCTGATTAGATGGTGCCCACCCGGATTAAGGGTGGGTCTGCCTTTCCCAGCCCATTGACTCAACTGTTTCTGCTTTGGGAACACCCTCACAGACACAACCAGGATCAATACTTTGGATCCTTCAATTCAATCAAGCTGACACTCAGTATTAACCAACACACCATTTTTATTAGTCATGCTTGAGACTAAATTAAACATTAGTGTTCTTTTTTTTTTTTTTGAGGAGTCTTACTCTGTCACCAGGCTGGAGTGCAGTGGCGCAATCTCGGCTCTCTGCAACCTCCATCTCCTTGGTTCAAGCAATTCTCCTGCCTCAGCCTCCTGAGTAGCTGGGATTACAGGACCTTAGATAAACTTACTATCACTTTATAGCAGTAGAGAAAGCACGGAAATTGGCACTGTATTTGTTTTCTATTGCTTCTATAACAAATTACCACAAACTTGGTGACATAAAACAACACAAATTTATTGCTTAAAGTTCTGTAGGTCACAGGTCTGACAAGTGTCTCATTGGGCTAAAATCAAGTTGTCAGCAGGGCTGTGTTCCTTCTGGGGGCCTTATGGAAGAATCTGTTTCCATGCCTTTCCCAGCTTCTAGAAGCCTCCAGATTCCTAGGCTCCTGGGCCCTTTCCTCCATCTTCAAAGCCAGCAAGGGCAGATTGAGGTCTTTTCAAGTCACATCACTCTGACCTCTTCTGCCTCCATTTTCCACTTTTTTTTTTTTTTTTTTGAGAACGAGTCTCTCTCTGTTGCCCAGGCTGGAGTGCAGTGGCGTGGTATCAGCTCACTGCAACCTCCGCTTCCCGGGTTCCAGCAATTCTCATGCCTAAGCCTCCAGAGTAGCTGGGACTACAGGCACCCACCACCACGCCAGACTAATTTTTTGTATTTTAGTAGCGACAGGGTTTCACCTTGTTGGCCAGGCTGGTCTTGAACTCTTGACCTCAGGTGATCCACCCACCTTGGCCTCCCAAAGTGCTGGAATTAAGGCCTGAGCCACCGTGCCCAGCCCATTTTCTACTTTTAAGGACCTTATGACAACACTGGGCCCACCCAACTAATCCAGGATAATATCCCTAATTTAATGTCAGCTGATAAGCAACCTTAATTTCATCTGTAACCTCAATTCCCCTTTGCCATGTAACCTAACCTATTCAGTCTCCAGGAATTGGGAAGTGGACATCATTGGCAGGGGGCATTATTCTGCTTGTTATAGGCATACTTGCCCACAAGTCTAAATCGAGAGTTTGCATATAGGAGGTAGGAGGTGTGACAATAATTGGATAAAGGCTTTTCTGGAATGACAAAATTCTCTTCAAATACAGGGAGGCCCTGCGACATGATATCTGGCAAATCACTTGAGTCTTAGTATCCAAACTTCCGCTAAAATGGAAATTACCATCCTTTGCTTGGCATGTTAAATGAAATACTTATGTAAACGGACTTAGATTAGAGGCCTACAAATAGGACTCAAGTTCTTGATGAATCTTGATGAGGAGGGTGGGCGAAGTACTCTAAATGAAAATGAGATAGATTGCGAGATTTCCGGAGAGGAGTGAGTGACAAGCGCCTACCCGTGCATGAAGCTGGAGGTAGAAAATTCCAGCAAAAGGAATTTTCAAGTTTCACTGAAGCTTTTGAATCAAGGCTTGAAAGCCCAGGGTTAAAAAAAAGGCAGTGAAGAAGCTCATTAAGACAACCCCCCGCCAGGTAGCAGATAGCACCTGAAATGCAGTGGGAAATTTGTGAGGTCTTCATAGGCAAGGATTAAATTTTACATCTCCATCTTAAGATGTGTCATAGTTGTTCAATTACTTAGTGACCAAAAAAGTGAATTAAAGATGTTGTCAAGATTAAAAAAACAAAAACCAATGCAGGTTCCACCGAGATTTGAACTCGGATCGCTGGATTCAGAGTCCAGAGTGCTAACCATTACACCATGGAACCGCCACGCATGTGTAGCTGCCTTCGGCTGTCTAATCCTCAGAGAACCCCGCCCCCATCCACAAACCCACCACTCACAGGCGGTCCCGCCTGGTTCCAGCGAGCCGCTTCCGGCACGGTAGCTCGAGAAATGAGCAAGCGGCCACTAAGACTATGGTAGCTAGGAGTTCCAGGACTCAGTTTCCCCTTTGAGCCTCCTTTAGCGACTAAAGCTTGAAGCCCCACGCATCTCGACTCTCGCGCACACCGCCCTTGTTGGGCTCAGGGGCGGGGCGCCGCCCCCGGAAGTACTTCCCCTTAAAGGCTGGGGCCTGCCGGAAATGGCGCAGCGGCAGGGAGGGGCTCTTCACCCAGTCCGGCAGTTGAAGCTCGGCGCTCGGGTTACCCCTGCAGCGACGCCCCCTGGTCCCACAGATACCACTGCTGCTCCCGCCCTTTCGCTCCTCGGCCGCGCAATGGGCACCCGCGACGACGAGTACGACTACCTCTTTAAAGGTGAGGCCATGGGCTCTCGCACTCTACACAGTCCTCGTTCGGGGACCCGGGCCACTCCCGGTGGACCCTCGTGCCGGCCACCCCTGCACTGATATAGGCCTCCCTCAGCCCTTCCTTTTTGTGCGGTTCCGTCTCCTACCCAGCTCAGCCTCTTCTCCCCCGCTCAGACAGGGGTCCCCATCACATGCCGCTCTCTGAGCGACCTCTCCATAGGCCTTCGCTGGCCTCAGAGCCCCTCCCTGCGTGTCCTTCCCCTGGCGGACTGCCTTCTCCCACATCGTCGAATTCCTTTCCCCGGGTTCTACGGCCCCGCCGCTCCTCCCACCATCTCTCTTTTCGGGTGTAGCGCCCCCTCCCCCTCGGCGTACACCCTTCCCAGCTCGCGTCCTCTCCCGAAGCCCCTCTGACGGGTTCTTCGCTTCCCTCTTGGCCTTGCCTTCGGTGCAGACTCCCATTACAGGTCTTTTTCTTATCTGCCCTCTTTCCCCCCTCGAGCGAGCGTCTCTTCTGTATCTCCCCTCCACTTGGACGGCCGCCCCTCTAAGCTTCTCCCATCCCGGGTCCAGGACCCCGTAAAATCTGAGCGGGCCAAGGGCCTCCGCCCCCACCCTCCGCCCCGCGGTTCTCGCGGTCCTTAACCTTCTCTGACCGCTCCCTCTCCCACTCCCCATTTGGCAACTCTCTCTACCTTCCCTCCCCAAATCGTGTTTAGAGCTCCCTTGTCTCCGTTGCGACCTGGGTGGTGGGAGGGAGGGTAAGAGGGATCGCCCATCACCCACTCGCGCACTTGTCGCAGTGACCCGGCAGGCTGACATTACTTCCCACCTAGCCTTTTCTTTTCTTGCCCTCCCTACTCAGTGGCACCCAACCCGGGATAACTCTTTACTCGGTTCGCGAGATGAGGTTGCGGATGGGTGGTGGCTGTTATCCTTGCCAGACCTGAAGGCCTGGTTCCTGAGCAGGAAAGGTTGTGCGCTGCACAAATACTAGCTTGCTTTATCTCTATGAACTGGTTGCTTCCTGCTGCAACGCTGGGAGGATCCAACAGGAAGGGAAGAGCCCTAGTTAGCCACATACCTTTCCCAAAAGGTTGGGGGTGGGAGGAAGTTGTGTGCTCTTTTGGTTACATTAAATATTTATTATAAGATACGGAAACATGTAGTGCCCTTGGACAGAACATATTGGAGGGTCAGGGTTGGTTAGAAAGAATTGCTTATTGGTTGAGTCCGGAAGGAATCCGGTTTTTTTTTTTAATCAACGAAGATAAAGGGTACATTTTTCAATGAGAAGAGAGTACAGTAGATGCTTTTTTTGTTCAGTGAATGCACTCTCACTCTGATGCTCTTTCTCTGCTCCTGAATTGGGAAGGTAGCCATCAGTAGTGTGCCGAACAAAGATCATTACCACTGAGGAAGAAGCCATTGCTATTAAAGCTTTACTGTGGAGGGTGGAGTTTCAAGAGTGTTAAGCATGGTGACTGTTTCTGTCTTTGCCATTGGGTGCTAAGAATGATTGACTAAACCAAGCAGGAAAGATTTCTTTGCTTTCCCAATACTTTGCAAATCTTGTTATACTAACTAGTCTGCTGTTATACTCTTATCATCTCTTACTCCTCTGACTCAGAATATTCTACTGTATAGGGTGAATACTTTTGGTATCCACCCTCCCCCTCCATACTGGAAAGTACTTTCAGGGTACTTAGTTCATTTTACAAATACAAAACTGAGGCCTGGATTACAAAAAGTATATGACAGCATACCTTTTGCCGAAGGTATCTGAGATGATGTGAAACTATTTGAATCTCTTGAGACTTTGGGGTTAAAGGTTAGGTTTGTGTTTTGAAATATGGTATAATGGTAGTGTGCTTTTATAAAGGTTGTCTTTGAAGTAATTAATTCAGAACAAGATAGACCGTCAGGGTATTTCTCCTGTTTGGTTTGAACTTGAATGTTGGTTATACAAGGTCCTTTTATTTTTTAACAAAGAATATTAAATATTCTGAATTGGCCTAAAGTATTTTAACTTTTTGATTAGACCATCCTTCTAGCAACAATTGAGAGCACTGAGCTTTGGAATCACGTAGACCTCGGTTTAGATCCTGACTCAGGTCTTATATTTACTTTATGACCTTGGAAAAGTTAACTTTTCTGAGTCTCAGTTCTCTACTTTATAAAAAGGAAAATACCTGCCTCTTAAGATTGTGAGAATTAAATAATGAGACTGTTCGTAAAATTTTAACCATGAGGACTCAATAAATGGTAATAATGTGAAAGAAGTTACTGTGGTTTTGTCAGTTTTTTTTTTTTTTTTTTTTTTTTTTTTTGGAGACAGGGTCTCGCTCTGTCCCCCAGGCTGGAGTGCAGTGGCACAATCAAGGCTCACTGCAGTCTCGGCCTCCTCAGGCTCAGGTGACCCCCCGACCTCAGCCTCCCTAGCTACTCTCTAGCTCCTAGGAGTAGCTGAGACTACAGGAGCGCGCCACCACGCCCGGCTAGTTTTTTGTTTTTTTGTAAAGACAGGGTTTTGCCATGTTGCCCAGGCTGGTCTCGCACTCCTGGACTTAAGCAATCCACCTTCCTCAGCCTCCCCAAGTGCTGGGATTATAGGCGTGAGCCACTGTGCCTGGCCTTTGTCAGTTTTTTGAACCTTAAATGTAGGTTCAACTACAAGAGCATTTAAATATTATTAAAGAAAATAAAACTAGGAACTTCGAATGCATTTTATGTTTCCATGGGTTATGGTTTCATTTTGTTGTGCATTTTGCTGTTTAAGATAGGGTGTTAAAAATTCTGCTAAGGAGGATTTCTACTTTTTTTTTTTTTTTTTGAGATGGTATTTCGCTCTTGTTTCCCAGGTTGGAGTGCAATGACGCGATCTCGGCTCATTGCAACCTCTGCTTCCTGGGTTCAAGCGATTTTCCTGCCTCAGTCTCCCGAGTAGCTGGGATTACAGGCATGGACCACCACACCCGGCTAATTTTGTATTTCTAGTAGAGACGGGGTTTCTCCATGTTGGTCAGGCTGGTCTCGAACTCCTGACCTCAGGTGATCCGCCCGCCTGGGCCTCCCAAAGTGCTGGGATTACTGGTGTGAGCCACCGTGCCTGGCCAGATTTCTACTTTTTTAAAGCTCTTACAGGATATGAGTCACTTTTTCTTTTTCTTTTTTAACTTCAATGCTGATTATTTAGCCAATTTCTTATTTATACAAGTATCCTACTTTAAAGTGAAGCAAGAATGATTTTATTTCAAAATGGCTTTATTGTACAGAGATTTATTCACTGAGATGGACTGCAGCTGTTTCTACTTAGAAGGTTTACCTAGCAAATGCAATAGTTGAGGGAATTGGAGTTAGTTTGTAACTAACCAGTTCAAAATAAAGGGATATTTTGATTAATAGGGGATGGAGTGGTCTAAATAGGAATGTAATGTGGGGCGAGCAGGACAATTATTCTAAATTATGTGTTTGTTCTTGAACAGTAACCTTTATTTAAGCCCAATAGTGAGACTTTTGGTGGGAGGGAATTAGTTTTATTTTATTTAAAGTTGACTTTTTATTTTTAAAACTTTAATTCCTTAAGTATTTACGAACAATGTGGTTAAGGCCCTGTGGGACATAAGTAAGCATCAATCATGATTTCTGTTTACAAATATTGTGTGGTAGACACCAATCCACAGTTAGATTTTCTGAAAATATCTGGATACATAGTCTATTGCTTAAGACATTTTCTTTTCAATCACATTGGAGGTCAGTAGTAATTAACCATCAGCTGATTGTCAGTAGAAATTATCATAGGAACTTTGCTGTCTTGCATCTTGGTAGTAGTTTTTCTTTCACAAGTTTTGGTTGAGCAACTCAGATTCTGCTGAATCTGGAAAAACTTGTCTAGACTTGAGCCTTATTGTATGCATTATATCTATATCTATATCTATATATATATATTTTTTGAGGCAGGGTCTCCCTCTGTTGCCCAGTCTGGAGTGCCATGGCACAGTCATAGCCCACTGCAGCCTCAAATTCCTGTGCTCAAGAAATCCTCCTGCCTCAGCCTCCCAAGTAGCTGCAACTACAAATGTGCTCCACCATGCCTGGCTATTTTTTTTTTTTTAAGACTATCCCACTTACAGAAATAAAATTTTCTTTTTTGTAGAGATAGGGTCTCCCTACGTTGCCCAGGCTGGTCTCAAACTCCTGGGCTCAAGGGATCCTCCCACCTTGGCCTCTCAGAGTGCTGAGATTACAGGCATGAGCCACTGTGTCCTGCCTTGAACGCATTGTATATTAAAAACTTTTGAGGAGGTTGGACTATGAATATAGTTGAAAGAATAGAAATGTCTCCAAATTTATGAAAACTAGAATGAAAATTACCAGTTATTCTCTCACGTGGTAACTTTTAGGGTTGAGGTACTGTCTTTGATGAATTATATTTTAGTCCAGTAAATTAGTTTGCAAGAGAAAGTATAAAACTAAATGTGGTTGAAGAGGCAGAAATTTTCAATGGATAATTAATATGTATATTCTGCTTTTATGCATTTAGCAGCTTGATATTCAGTATTAGGTATTTGCGATGATACTCAAATACAGCAGATGTCTAGTTGATAACTTTTTTTTTTTTTTTTGAGATGGAGTTTCACTCTTGTTGCCCAGGCTGGAGTGCAATGGCGCGATTTCAGCTTACTGCGATTTCAGCTTACTGCAACCTCCGCCTCCCGCTTCAAGCAATTCTCCTGCTTCGGCCTCCTGAGTAGCTGGGACTACGGGCATGCGCCACCACACCTGGCTAATTTTGTGTTTTTAGTAGAGATGAGGTTTCTCCATGTTGGTCAGGCTGGTCTCAAACTCCCGACCTCAGGTGATCCACCCTCCTTGGCCTTCCAAAGTGCTGGGATTACAGGTGTGAGCCACCACGCCCGGCCTAGTTGAGATAACTTTTTAAAACATTCATGAATTTTGAGTTATTTTCAGATTAGAGTGCTTTTTTTTTGTAGTGTTAACATTAATTGGTTACATTAAGAGAAAAGTTCCCTTGCTATCTTTATGATGGTATAAGGAGTTGAGATTGGTGAGATAATGAACATAATCATTAGTTAAAAGTGGAGGTCAAAAGGGAGGAAACCAAAACTTGAAAGTGCTGGAGTTGGCCGGGCATGGTGGCTCATACCTGTAATCCCAGTACTTTGGGAGGCCAAAGCGAGTGGATCTTTTGAGCCCTGGAGTTTGAGACCCAGCCTGGGCAACATGGCAAAACCCCATCTCTACAGAAAATACAAAAAATTAGCTGAGCGTGTTGGCATGTGCCTGTAGTTCCAGCTACTAGGGAGGCTGAGGTGGGAGGATCCTCTGAGCCTGGGAGGTCTAGGCTGCAGTGGGCTCTGCTTGTGCCGTGGCACTCCAGCCTGGGCGACAGTGAGACCCTGTCTCAAAAAAAGAAAGAAAGAAAGAAAGTGCTGGAAGTTTTTTTTTTGAGACAAGTTCTGGCTCTACTCCCCCGGCTAGAGTACAGTGGTGCACAGTCCAGGCTCACCACAACCTCTGCCTCCCAGGCTCAAGCCATTTGCCCACCTCAGCCTCCTGAGTAGTTGGGACTACAGGCATGCACCACCGTGCCTGTCTAATTTTTTTGTTTGTATTTATTCATGTATTTTTTGTGTATTTTTTTGTATTTAAATTTTTTTTTTTGTATAAGTGATTCAAAGGCCATTTCCTTAGCAAACATCCAGCCTTTTGTACTAAGAGGCAACAGTGAATGTATCCTATTAATAATAGACTATTAACTGAAACTGAGATTTGACTTCATATCCAGAATGGTGGACCTTGGAAACTAGTATATCAACTAACCATCCTATAAAATTGAAAGTGCATTGCTTTTGTACATCACTTTAATAACTTTGACATTTTCTTCTGATATCAAATAAAAGCATGTATGTGTTTGCCACAGCATCTTTGACACCCTCTAGTTGACTCTCTAGTTAGAAATAACCATTCTTTGTGCTGCATTGGATTCACTGCCTCCTGAATGATTTCTTGCTGAATCAGCTGACTGAGAAAGCCAGAAAGATATGCATTTGATAATGTACTCTGTCCAAGACTGTCCAGAGGCTAGCTTATATCCACTCCTGTGGCAAGGAGGGAATGTATAATGGACTCTCTTTGCCCTCTGACCAGAATGCAGTGAGCTCTCAGTTTTTACCATTCTTTCCACTCGTACCACCATCCCAGTCTCTTTAGTAAGGAATGGTCTTACTCCTTGGCCTTATTTTTGTATGTTTGATTTTCTAGTCCTGATGTCTAAATCAATTAGCTAGTTTAGATAAGAAGAAGTCTTAGTAGTCAAAAGTAGGAACGAATGTAATGTTTCCTGAAATGCTGATACCAATTTTTACAAAGGAAAAAATATCTAGCTCAGATTCTATAAACGTGTGAACTCATTTTGAACTTTAAATTCAGATAGAAAATGTTTTAAAACAACTTAACTGCCTGTTTCTCCATTGTTTTTGAAATTCTTAAGCGTAATACCACTTTGAGTGAAAAAGAATCTCCATGTATCTAGTTAGTAAATAAACTGCTGCCTATAGAAATCACAGGAAGCAAATTCATCTAATCAAGACCTATTTTCAAAAAAATCATGGAGTCATAAGTGAAAGTATATGCCCTCCTTGCTTTGTTGTATTTTATTTTATTTATTTTTTTAAGACAGAGTCTCAGTGTGTCGCCCAGGCTGGAGTGCAGTGACACAATCTCGGCCCACTGCAACCTCTGCTTCCCGGGTTCAAGCTATTCTCATGCCTCAGGCCCACAAGTAGTTGGGATTACATGCGCCCACCACCACACCTGGCTAATTTTTGTATTTTTATAGAGATGGGGTTTTCACCATGTTGGCCAGGCTAGTCTCGAACTCTTGGCGTCAAGCAATCCGCCCACCTTGGCCTTCCAAAATGCTGGGATTACAGGTGTGAGCCACCACACCCGGCACTTGCTTTGGTTTTGACTCACAGTATGTCAGAATTATTAGTTTCCTAATACCCCCTGTTTATCTGTAGTGGCTTGGGTTTTTTTGGCAGAGGGGTCTCTAACTTTGAACCAATCTGATAAATGCAACTATTAAAGGTCATTTTAGTTTCTGTGATCTGTATGGTGATGTTTATAAACCCTATGCCTCATATGTTAAATGTTTTTCATTTTGCCTAGGTCTCAGTCCTGAGGTCACACCCAGTCTTTGATGAAACGAAGTATATTCATTTTGTCCTTCCCTACCCACTAACAGCCTTTGTTGTTTTCATTTCTGATACATTACATTTTAATATCATAAATTATTCATTTAGTTTAGGATTTATCTTTGAAGTTGTTATCTTCTAAAGTAGTAAGATTGGCATAGCATTGACGGTAATTAATGCCTGTCATCAATGCCAAGGGCATCTGTGATTAAAACTGCATGTTTAAGACAGGGTACCGTATCTGTGCTAAGCAGATGATATGTGGAAGTCATGCAGGTAGAAACAGGTTGAAAAGAATAAATCGGTTTTATTGATTGGTAACTGGTCAAGAACATGCTGTTCAACCCCCTACCCCCATTCCTTTTTAAAAGTCATATACCTTATTTTTCTTGCTTTATTTACTCTGAAGCCAAACTTCATTCTGTTGAAAGCATAGTGGTGTTCTGAATATGTTTGCCTCATTCATCTGACATTGAATTCTTTGTCTTTCCAGTTGTCCTTATTGGAGATTCTGGTGTTGGAAAGAGTAATCTCCTGTCTCGATTTACTCGAAATGAGTTTAATCTGGAAAGCAAGAGCACCATTGGAGTAGAGTTTGCAACAAGAAGCATCCAGGTTGATGGAAAAACAATAAAGGCACAGATATGGGACACAGCAGGGCAAGAGCGATATCGAGCTATAACATCAGCGTAAGTCTCATGGTTTTTAAGTTCTGTGAAATGGGTTGCCATCGAGTGAATTAGCTGACTTTTGGTATTGGAAAAAGAACTGTTGTTTTTTTCTTTTAAGAATTCTAGTATTAGGAATCCTTAGAAATTTATTTATAAGTATGTTTTTAAAACTCATGATCCATATTTTGAGTTCTTCCTGGTGTTTGCTTCCATCTTGTGGTTTTCTGATACTAAATATGTTTCTGTTTTCAGATATTATCGTGGAGCTGTAGGTGCCTTATTGGTTTATGACATTGCTAAACATCTCACATATGAAAATGTAGAGCGATGGCTGAAAGAACTGAGAGATCATGCTGATAGTAACATTGTTATCATGCTTGTGGGCAATAAGAGTGATCTACGTCATCTCAGGGCAGTTCCTACAGATGAAGCAAGAGCTTTTGCAGGTTAGTGATAGGAATTCCATGATATTTCTTACCATTGTGTCTTGTGGTTTTGATACCTTCCAATGAGAGTAATAGGTTATAATAGTTTCAGAGAGGTAAACATGAATGCTTAGCAAGAATTGTTTTGAAAGTTTGTGATGACTGTATAGCTTTTTTGCTTTGAGTCATTAAAACACTAATATTTTGCTGCCAAAAAATGAATATAAACATTGTATATTCTGTCTCTTTTTCTGTTATGTTTCTGTGTTTACAAAGGCTGCTGTACGTGAGCTCTATGTGAGTGAAAGGCAGAGGCTCAGGGAGTGTCAGGGACCAACAGGGATGCAGCTGCTTAGGAGCTGTAACTTTTTGGCTTCATAAAGAATTCACGTGTCTCTTGCCCCTGTTCTGGTAGGGACAGCATGCCAGAAGACAACATTGTGCATTGTGGCTAGTGAAAGTCTTGCGGCCGGGCGTGGTGGCTCATGCCTGTAATCCCAGCACTTTGGGAGGCTGAGGTGAGTGGATCATGAGGTCAGGAGATTGAGACCATCTTGGCTAACATGGTGAAACCCCGTCTCTACTAAAAATACAAAAAACCGGGCGCGGTGGCGGGCGCCTGTAGTCCCAGCTACTCGGGAGGCTGAGGCAGGAGAATGGCGTGAACCCGGGAGCAGAGCTTGCAGTGAGCCGAGATAGCGCCACTGCAGTCCGGCCTGGGCGAAAGAGCGAGACTCCGTCCCAAAAAAACAAAACAAAACAAACAAAAAAAGAGAGAAAGTCTTGCCTTTGCACTAATGCTTATGCTATGAATAACTTTCTGTAACAGTTTTTTAAATTTCCCATGCAAGAATAGCTTTATTGTAAATAATATGGCTACAACATACGGAATACTATAGCCAATGTAGTTGATGGAGAGGATAGCAAGAGATGGAAATAACTGGGCACTTGATACATTTTTACCACATTTTAAGTGGTGTCATTCGTCACTAGTGAGTAGTACTTAGATATAACAAGTATTTATTTTAATTAAGGAGCCAATTGACAATTTCTCACTTTTTTTTTTTTTTTTTTTGGGAGCCAGGATCTCACTCTGTGACCCATTCTGGAGTGGAGTGGCACAGTCAAGGCTCACTGCAGCCTCGACCTCCTGGGCTCTAGTGATCTTCCACCTCAGCCTCCTAAGTAGCTGAGACTGCTGGTGTGTGTCACCACGCTCAGCTAATTTTTAGTATTCTTTATATAGAGAGAGCAAAACCTCTCTCCAGTGTTTTGCCATGTTGCCCAGGCTGGTCTTGAACTCCTGGGCTCAAGCAATCCGCCTGCCTTGGCCTGCCAAAGTCCTGGGATTACAGGAGTGAGCCACCATGCCCAGCTCTCTTGCTATTATTTTTAATCTATTAAAGTGTAAATATTAAAGTGTAAGTAGGGTCGGGCATGGTGGCTCATGCCTGTAATCTCAGCATTTTGGGAGATGGAGGCAGGAGAAACTCTTGAGGCCAGGAGTTCAAGACCAGGCTGGGCAACCTAGTGAGACCTGCATCTCTACTTATATAAAGAAGTAAATAAAGTAAGTAAATAAATAAAGTGTAAACAGAATGGTGCCCTTACTGTCCCAGAAGTTGAGGAGGTCTTAAGTTTTAAAAAGTTCTGTTATTTTTCCTTTTGAGGGCTTGAGTATATCCTATTCCTTGTTTTAAAACTTAACAAGACTGAACTTTTGTGTCTCCCCTCAGAAAAGAATGGTTTGTCATTCATTGAAACTTCGGCCCTAGACTCTACAAATGTAGAAGCTGCTTTTCAGACAATTTTAACAGGTAAGACTTGTATTTTCAGATTACACCAGTAGGACTAGAAGTTTTAGGAAGGTAATTTAAACAAACTAATCAGTAACTAAACTATATATCAGCCGAGAGTGACTATCATTTGAGAGCTACTCTAGCAAAAGCTGTTTAGAGTGCAAAATTAACTACAACCCTTGCTCACTGAGCTTCAGTTGTCCTAATTCATCTGATTTATAGTGGGAAAAATACTTTGAAAATAATTCATTCACTTCCATTATTACTTCAGTCCAGGTATTCCATTCTTCATGGTCACAAAGTAATGTTTAAATGTACTTTTATGAGGTAAATATTGAGATCCCAGCTATAGAAAGATATAAATGCCCTTTTTTAAATTTAGTAAAGGCAAAGCTAGGGAAAAAACATTTTTAAAAATTATAGCGACAAAATAAAATTCTCCCATGATACAGAAGAAGGGTATCCCTTGCGTATTCTATATTGTATCATGGGAGATAATTGGTAGATAAAATCAGCCAATGATTGCATATAGAAAAGTTTTAAAAAGTAGTTGGAAAGAGATGGAGTTCATGCTGTTTTGGAATGTGAATGACCAGGTCAGCCTCTGAGATAAGAAGTGTTCACTCATATTTATCCTGAAACTATTAGAATAACCAGATTTATTAGTAAGATTAGTCTTAATCTTCTAATTAGTACTTTGATGGGTTGTTTTTAAATACTTTTAAATTGTATGTTACTTTTAAGAACTCATGATTTAAAATGTGGTCTTAATATATAGTATAGTTTTACGTGGCATTGTTCTAAAAAGTCTATACAGAGATATGATTGAGTTTCCAATTATAATGTAACAAGTTTTGATTTATTGTTTGTATGCAGCCCCTGTATTAGAGATTAACAGATTTTAACTTTAACATGTTATCTTCTTTTACTGTAAAAATGTAAGCGTAAAGTCAAGGAGTTAAGATTTGGAAGCCTGACTTGGGTTCTAGTCCTGGCTCCTCCACTTACTGTTAGTTGTACAATCTTAGGCAAGTTACCTAACCCTTTTAGGCCTTAATTTCTCCATCTATAAAATTCATATATATTTTGAGGAGTTTTGTTATTTCTTTTTTGAGAGAAGGCTTATATTTATAAAATCTTGTGATAGGATTTGACTTGACTTTTGTGACCTAAAGGTTTTTTGTCTCAGTAACCCTTAGCAAAGAATGGTCTGTCACTGCCCTAGACTTCAAAAATGAGTACCTGTAAAGTACCCATTTTGAATACTGTAAATTACTTATCTATCCCTGGTATATAGAGAACAGTTGGCAAATTAGTAGCTGAACGGCAATTAAGGCATGAGAAAATTGGAGATTTATGTACCTATTTTATTATAATTCTTTTCTGTTATCAGAAGAATAGTGCTGGGGTTGGATAAGCAGTCTTTGGAACACAGTAGCTTTCCTTTAGAATGTTCTCTGTCAAAGTTTCACTGCAGATTGTTTTAAGCAAGCAAGATTTGATTAAATATGTAGTATGTCTGCAAGTCCTTGTTTTCTTTATAGCCATTTGTGTACATTTTATTAAGTCAACATGTAGAGTACTAGATTGAGACCCAGGAGTTCTAGGGCATTACATTTTTATCACTTTGCTTCTACTCCCCGTTTAACTAAAGTCACTGAACCTCCCTGCTCCTCAGAGTCATAGTCTTAAAACATGTGAATTAAATTACCTTAAAGATGTGTGAGCATTTTAAGGCCTCAGAAAGTCTCATCTGAAAAAACTTTTTAGACAGTCCTCATTGTTGGAATATTTTTTATGTTCCATCAAATCTCCTCTGCTGTAATTCTGGCCCATTTATTCTGATATTAAGTGAAGATGAGCCCAAGTCTTCCATCTGCAGTTAACTATTTTATGCATCATTTTGTAACATTGAGCTTCTGATCCACTCAAACATGAACTAGTCGGTACTTAAAATTGAGCCCTTTAAGAGCTGGGCATGTTGATGCACGCCTGTAATCCCAGCATTTTGGGAGGCTGAGGCAGGCGGATCGCTTGAGCTCAAACATCCTAACACCTGTAGAACAACACAGATGTCTGCTGCCACATGCAGTGATCTCAAAAGTTCAAGACCAGCCTGGGCAACATGGTAAAACCCTGTCTCTAAAAAAAAAAAAAAAAAAAAAAAACACAAAAAAATTAGCCAGGCATGGTAGTGTGTGCGCCTGTAGTCCCAGCTGAGGTGGGAGGATTGCTTGAGCCTGGGAGGTTTAGGCTGCAATGAGCCGAGATCATGCCACTGCACTCCAGCCTTGTGGGCAGAGTGAGATCCTGTCTCAAAAAGAAAAAAAAAGATGAACATATAGTTGCTTTTCTTAAAATTCACTCTAGATTGAACTTTTGTTACAGCTTAATTGTTGCTTGAAAGCAAAGAAGACTTTAGTTTCACTTGCTACCACTTTTCCTTTCTATATTCACTGTTTCCTCAGCTTCCTGCATAAATCTCACTGTTGGTCTGTAGGATCAGAGATCACTGCATGTGGCAGCAGACATCTGTGTTGTTCTGCAGGTGTTAGGATGTTTGTTCTAAACTTTCTTCCTCCTGTATGCCAGTGGAAGTGTGAATGCATAGAGAAAACAGTGAAGAGGACAGACTCTTTATTGCACTTGATTCTACCTTAAATGTTAACAGTCTTAAGGGAGTATTTACGTTGTGTTTTGATATTGCTGAAAGAAAAAATAGCTTTAAAATTTCTAAAAATTGAGATGGAGCCCAGTCTGGTCTTGAATTCCTGAGCTCAAGCCATCTGCTTGCCTTGGCCTCCCAAAGTGCTGGGATTATAGGCATGAGCCACCATGCCTGGCCAAAAATTTTAAGTTGTAAAATTATATATCAGAAAATTTACATTGTTACTTCAGAGTTAATTGTGTTGTTGGTTTCAGAATAGACCCATGGCATTCTTGACACCCATGAATTTGAAAGTGACTCCATGAGATGATTTTGCTGATGGTATTTTTTTAGAGGTAGTTTACTAGTATGAGAGTGAGACTGGTAGATTGCTCCGCCTCTGAATTTCAGTACAGCTTTGTCTTTTCTCAGGTTCACTAAAGGATGTTTTTAATACATACCTTTTACTTTTTTATTTTAACTTTGCATTTTGACAATTTCAAATTTAAAGAGGTTGAAATAATAGTAAAAAGAATTTGCAAATATCCTTCACCCATATTCCTCAGATGTTAATATTTTACCACATCTGCTTTGTCCTTTTCTTTCTCTTCGCTCTAAATATATACATATTTTTTCGGCACCATGTGAGATTAAGTGGCAGACATGATGACCCTCATCCTTGAGTACTTTTCAGTGTATATTTTGTAAAAACAAGGATATTCTCTTTTATAGCCACAGTATAATTATCAAAATCAGAGAGTTAGATAATAGTGCCACATCAGTGTTTAATTACAGACCTTATTCAGATTTTGCCAGTTGTTCCAATAATACCCTTATTAGCCAAAGAAAGTCCAAGATCAGGTCATGCGTTTCATTCAGCAGTCATATCTCTTTAGTCTCCTCTAATCTCGAACAGTTCCTCAATCTTTTGTTTATTGACCTTGACATTTTTGAAGGGTACAGTCCAGTTATTTTGTTGTGTACCTCATTTTGGGCTTTTCTGATTTCTTTCCTCATGATTAAACTCAAGTTATACACTTTTGGCAGGAACACCACAGAAGTGTTCTCAGTGCATCATATCAGCAGGTTTGTGATAATTGGATGTCCTATTAATTACTAGTGATGTTAACTTTGACCACTTGGTTAAGGTGATGTCTGCTAGGTTTCTCCATGTAATTAATATGTCCAGGATATCTTTTTAGCATGAACACTAAATTCTTTTTTTTTTCCCCTGAGTCTTGTTCTGCCAGGCAAGACTCTGCCTCCTAGGTTCAAGCAATTCTCGTGTCTCAGCCTCCCGGGTAGCTGGGATCATAGGCCTGAGCCACCATGCTCTCTAATTTTGTATTTTAAGTAGAGACCGGTTTTACCATGTTGGCCAGGCTGGTCTCTAACTCCTGGCCTCACGTGATTCGCCTGGCCTCCTAAAGTGCTGAGATTACAGGTGTGAGCCACCGCCCCTGGCCTTATTCTGCTTTTGGTATGTCAGAAAATTTCCATAAAAAAAAAGTTAGAGATGTATTAACTGAATTACTACATTTTCCAAAATTAAGAACTAATTTCTCAGAAGTTGAAAAACAGTAAGCTGTAGTCAACTGAATATGTAAACTAACAAAAACAGACAGCAAGTGTATCTTTTCTTAGATTCTTTTGTGGGGGAAGGGGAGTGGCTAAAATTTATGTCTGAGAAGGTTGACAGTGGTTCAAATGTGAAGAGGCATTAAGGAAAGACAACTAGGATTCAATAAAGACAGGCTACTAAAATTAAAATTAAAAAAAAAAAGGATATGGAATCTTTATTTAGATTTTGTTTCAATGAAAAAGGATGGGATGGGAGGGTGCCAAGGCTAAAGAAAAGGATTTACCTTTCAGTCATTCAATCAGATGAGTGGCTAAGGAATAAAGATAATTAACTTGCATCTTTAAGCTTTCCCTCTAGTCTCAAACTGGGAGGCTCTTCTTTTTCAAGTGTAAATTATGTGTGTAAATTAAGATGAAATATGTAACCCACTGTAAGTTTTAACTTCCTTATAAATTGTTTTGAAGATTAAATTAGGGGAACCAAAACAAAGAAAAGTTCTTACATAAAAAACAAATATATGTAAAACTGGAAGAGAGGGAAAGGCAGACTTCTCAAAGAACATAGAGAAGTAAATAATTAAAGAGATCTCATTACAAAGCAAGAAATTTGAGCAGTGTTGGTGTGTTACAAGTACAGCATACTGTTTTTTAGAAATAGATTACTGCTGCACTTACTCCAGTTACCAAAAAGGATGTCTGCTAATAAAAATGCCACCAAAGCAATAAAGAGTGATTGGCTTTAAGAGGTTCCACAAGTAATTTACATACTTAAGTCTCTTGTGGCTGGGTGTGTCATTAAAAAAAAAAAAAAACCAAACCAAAAACCTGATAAGAAAGTAGGAAGCAGGTAACTTCTAGCTGTCTGATTAGAGAAGGTTATTTCATTGGGAGTTTTGTGGGGGTGGGGGGGTATGCTAAACTAGATCTATTTCCTTCTTTCAAAGGCATGTTCTCCTTTAGAACCAAATGAATATACCAATTCCTATGCAGTCGCCCCCACCGTTTTTTTTTTTTTTTGGAGACAGGGTCTCACACTGTCCCCAGGCTGGAGTGCAGTGGTGCAGTCTCAACCTCACTGCTCACTGAGTGAGACTCTGTCTCAAAAAAAAAGGCATTCTCCTACATAATCACAATACCATATGTCGTATCCAAGAAATTTAACATTTATACAGTTTTTTTTTTTTTTTTTTGAGACAGTGTGCTCTGTTGCCCAGGCTGGAGTGCAGTGGTGCTATCTCACTACAACCTCCCCTCCGGGACAAGCGATTCTCCTGCCTCAGCTTCCCAAGTAGCTGAGACTACAGGCGGGTGCCACCCCACCTGGCTAATTTTTTTTTTGTATTTTTAGTAGAGACGGGGTTTCACCATGTTTGCCAAGATGGTCTTGATCTCCTGACCTCGTGATCCGCCCGCCTTGGACTCCTAAAGTGCTGGGATTACAGGCGTGAGCCACCTCGCTTGGCCCATTTATACAGTTTTTAATGTGCAATCCATATTCATATTTCTTCAGTATACTAATAATGTCCTTTGTAGATTTGTTTTTTAATTAAAAAATTCAAGATCCATTTAAAGATCACATGTATAGGAGCCAAGGGAAGTGTCCCTATTGCCCTCTGAAGGTTTGCTGAAAGCTATCTGATACAGCTTTGGACCTTTCACGAGGTCCAAACGATAGGTAGAGGTTAGGAAGAAAAAGAATCCTGCTTTATCATTTTTATATCATTTAGATTTCTCTTGTAGGAGATCTAAATAGAAACCTCTGAAAGTTTGCTGGAAAATCAACTCACAAAAGGCATTTTAATTGGAGAAAAGGCATACGAAATTTATTAACATGTACACTGTACACTGGTTTTCTCTGGGGAGAACCAGAGAGATGACCCACCTCCCAATGGCATTCAGAGGCTTATGCCATTCTGGCAAAACAGGTTATGGGAAGGAGGAGAAAAGGAATTCTGTTGAGGGGATTACTGGGGAGGATGAACGGATCAGTGGACAGAAATTAATTGGTACATTATCTCGTGAAAGAGTCTGTTTAAGTGTGGTTACATTCTTGATCTTACAGGGAGGGGAAGAAAAAACAATTGTCCCTTTTAGTGGGTCTGGATCTCAGGCAGATGAAGGAACTTCAGCTTCATCCTGTGCCAGGGAGAGAGGATGAGGGGGAGAAGGTCAGAGAGACCTTGAGGCTTCTTTAGTTCAGCATATCAAAACGCCATTTTGGAGTATGGGTTTCTGAGCCTTAACAGATGGAATTGTTTTGTATCTGGGATGTTGAATAAAGTAGCCACAGGTTACTATTGAGCACTTGAAATGTGGCTAGTTAGATGAGGAATTGGATTTTAAATTTTATTTAATTAAAATAGATGGCTACTCTCTTGGATAGCACAAATTTAGAACATTTATCCCCATCTCAGTCTGGATTTATCTCATTATTTCCTCATGATTAAATTAGTTTTAAATATTTTTGTCAGGAATACATGGTGTCCTTTATAGGAATACATTGTGTCTTTCCTAGTACATCGTATTAGGAGGCTAATTGTGTTAATTTGACACATTTTTAGAATTATCTTGCTTTTTGAGAGTAGTGTTTTTGGAGGGACAACTGGGAGAGTAAACAAAAATAAGGTACATTCTCTGTTCTTAAGGACTTTATAATCTAGTCACAGGGAACAACTTTTAGGCAGTGCAGTATAAGACCAAACGTGTTACATACAGATACTTATTGTGGAGGAATTTAGTGACATTCATGCGGTTATTTATTTATCACAACACATGTTATATGTTGCAGTACAGCAGTAAGACAGACACAGTTTTGATCCTTACAGAGTTTAACACTTAGTAAAAGAGGCAGACACTAAATTATTTTTGATAAGTGTCATGAAATAAAAATAGAGTTTACATATAACATCTTAAGTTGCCTATTTTGTATCATTCTTTAATTACAATTTAAGTTTTGTTCAGGAGGTCACTGATAAACACATTATCTTTTTTTCCCTTCCAAGAATCGTTTGGGATTTTAGCATGTTTGTTAAGATGTACTCTGCCGAATGCGTCTGATAGTGCAAATTTATTTATTTTTTGTGTGGTACAATGTCATTGTGTGTAGGCAATTTTTGTTTGTTTGTTTGTTTTTTGGGGTAAAGGTAGACTGAAAATACTCTTATGGTTTACTTTGAATCTAAGTCCATAAACAATGTAATGCTATTGGCTTACCTCTTTTTTTTTTTTTTGAGACCGAGTCTTGCTCTGTTGTCTAGGCTGGAGTGCAGTGGCACGATCTCATCTCACGACAACCTCCGCCTCCCGGGTTCAAGTGATTCTCCTGCCTCAGCCTCCCGAGTAGCTGGGATTACAGGCACCCACCATCATGCTTGGCTAATTTTTGTATTTTTGTAGAGACAGGGTTTCACCATGTTGGTCAGGCTGGTCTTGAACTCCTGACCTCAGGTGATCTGCCTGGCCTGGTTTACCTCTTTAAACAAAGATTTATTTGACTGGTGAACCTTTCCCTCTGACATGGAAAAACCTTTGTTTCTTTTCTTACCCAAAGGGCAATTGTTAAAATAAAGGGTTGAATCTAATCAGTGGCTGTTTGAAAATAAAACTTTAAATTTATGTATTCTCTGTTCAGTTTCCTTAGGGACTTTGATGCAAATATATCTCCTACCTTTATGTATCTTTTATCCTAACTATGATAGGTTTATTCACACTAAGTATTGTGGTTTCTTTTTTCCTTCAGAGATTTACCGCATTGTTTCTCAGAAGCAAATGTCAGACAGACGCGAAAATGACATGTCTCCAAGCAACAATGTGGTTCCTATTCATGTTCCACCAACCACTGAAAACAAGCCAAAGGTGCAGTGCTGTCAGAACATCTAAGGCATTTCTCTTCTCCCCTAGAAGGCTGTGTATAGTCCATTTCCCAGGTCTGAGATTTAAATATATTTGTAATTCTTGTGTCACTTTTGTGTTTTATTACTTCATACTTATGAATTTTTCCATGTCCTAAGTCTTTTGATTTTAGCTTTATAAAATCATCCACTTGTCCCGAATGACTGCAGCTTTTTTTCATGCTATGGCTTCACTAGCCTTAGTTTAATAAACTGAATGTTTGGATTCCTCAGTTATTGTTTACTTTTCATCATGGAAGCCTGTCACTGTATGTAGGACATAATAGAACTTGATCACTTGAAGCTCAGACCTATTGGTCTTGATCAAATCAAACTAAGAAGACCTTAGAAATAAGCTACCATTTTGCCACAGAGCAGCTTATAGGTAATACACTCTTCTCTCAGTGCAGTGTACATTTCCACAAATCTAAGAATTGCCCTATAAACATAGCAGGATTTTGAGAGCTTGAAAATTTTCCATTATTCTGGACATGAATTTCTAAAATGCCTTAATAGGTTTATGTAGTTGAGTAAATTTTGTTTTTTAATTTTTGTAAGCATCAAAGTTGATTAGAGAGGGGGGCACTTTTTCTGGAGAATTCTCTTAGTAAACACAAAAGATTGTTACGGTTTCATTAGTAGTATGGTTGTGGGGCCATAAGTTAAACAGTGCTGCCTGGTAGGCTGGGAACTGAAGAGACTTGTGGTATTCCATCTCGGGTGCCTCTGTTGGCAATGATCAGGCAGCCCAAAAGATTTAAATGATCTATAATAATTTCCAAGCGGTAGATTATGTGGCATTTTATTGCTCAGGCAATAATTGGTTTAATGCTGGTAGTGTCAAATTTTGAAGTGTTAATTTTGTCTTAGAACCTTCCAGTAAGTGAAATACAACCTAGTTTTATCACCATATCCACCAGCAGGCATGGATAATTATTTTAACAATGCTAATATTTGAGTTTTGCAGTATATTATAGAATATAGTCCAGTTAAATCTTTGGTTTCAGTATGTCTGAAGAGTACAGTGAGAGGTTAATTTCTGCTCAAGTGGTACCACTTAAAGGCATGTATTCTTTTAGTATGTAAAATGAAATAGTACCTTGAGTTTAAATAGAATGCATTTAGGCATTGTAGAGATCTGAAATAGTTTTCTTCCACTACATTGTTGAAATCAATGAAGCAATTAGTTTCTCATTCAGAAATGTGCACACTAATATTTAGTTTTGCTTTCTCGTGGATAATATTAAGCACTTACTCTGCAGTTTCCTGGAAGTTGTGTCAACTGCAGTGATACTATTCAGGATGGTGGGAAATCCCCAAAAATATGTATGTGTGGGCTTGCTTAGATTACTATATTTCATAGTTAATCTTTTGTCTCTTGCGGTGCTCATGATGTGTGGGGCACACGGAAGGCATTGCTGTAGTCAGTCATTTTGGTTTTCTTCTATAGCCATTTTATTATTTTAGTGTATTAGTTATGAAGATAATATTATCTATTTGTAAATTGCTACTTTGTATTTTATGCATGCTCTGTAATTTGATTTTTTTTTAGTTATTGATTTGGATTATATTCACATTCTAATAAACAGTTATAGGGGGATTATTTCTTATGCTGTCAGATTACATTTTTCCTTTGAGTGCTTTGGGTGCAGCCGTGGAATCCTGATGTAAAAGCATAGGTTCTTGCATTACTGAGTAAACATTGAATTGGGAGCATCAGTGTGTGAATTCAGCTTTGATTTTAGAACTGCAGTTCAATTATGCTTTCCTTGGAAAAAGTATGTCCAAAAACATTAGGAAAGTAGTGTGTATTTTCATATATAACAGTGTCACCAGACCCAGGAAAAGAAACCATCTCTATTTTATTGAAAGTTGGTGGTAGATTTTTTACAAAGTAAGGAGAAAAGAGAAAAACTAAATAGTGAATTGAAAATGAATAAAGTAAACTTAGAATTTTTACCCAAGTGTAGACTTAAATGTTGCTTTGAGTATGGCTGGATCTTGGGAGAATTCCAGGAAATATTAGGTATTAGAAAATGACTTTGATTGCATTTCAGCAGGTGTCTTTATTCTGAGTAGTATCTTAGGAGACAAACTGTCTCAAGCAAGAAACAATAAATTTTTAAATATTATGACAGTTCAGGGCTTAAGGCAGTTTAGAAGTATTTTGCTACTTGACCTTGATTTTCAGTTATTTTAACTTTGAATTTTTTTTTTTTTTTTTGAGACGGAGTCTTGCTCTGTTGCCCAGGCTGGAGTACAATGGCACCATCTCAGCTCACTGCAAGCTCCACCTCCAGGGTTCATGCCATTCTCCTGCCTCAGCCTCCCGAGTAGCTGGGATTATAGGCGCCAGCCACCACGACTGGCTAATTTTTTGTATTTTTAGTAGAGACGGGGTTTCACCATGTTAGCCAGGGTGGTCTCGATCTCCTGACCTGGTGATACACCCACCTCGGCCTCCCAAAGTGCTGGGATTAAAGGCGTGAGCCACCGTGCCTGGCCTTGAATTTTTTTTTAACCTGTTATATAGTCTCCTGAATAGTTAGCCATGGTGCCTTGATTTAATCTTATGTCATTGTTCTCAAATGCCATGATTTCTCTTTAATAGTAGTTGTCATTATGTAAGGGTAAGTTATTGCCCATTTAATTGTAATTATAAGAAGAGGTGCCAGCTAGTGACCTTACATCAGTGATCTTTTAAGTTCTGAAGGGTTCTGCAGAAAAGTTACACTTCTTGAGTTTGGGTTGCCCATCAGAGCTGGTCACATTTCTTTGATCATTGAAAAAATGAATATCTTAATTTTTGTCTTTGCTGACTGGTATTTATAAAATACAAATGCTTTTAGTGGGTTGAGCTGTTGTGATAATCTCTTCCATCTACCTTAGAGAAGAAGCTGTACTATTTAGACAGTTTTGGCCAACACTAGAAGCAAAAGAATTCAAAGGCTGGGTGGATATTTAAGAACTTATTCTAACCTGTCAGGTTTCAATTTGTGGGGCTTGGTTTAACAGAGGAAAAAAATATAAATTGATTTTCTGATGTCTCACAAATATCACATACCTGGAAAAAAATTAAAACAAAAAATGAATTTTGTAAAAGGTTATGTATGACTTCCATTTGCTCTGTAAAAAAATGAACAAAGATTGTGAAAGGATCCTCTTCCACCACATCATTTAATGGGTTAGCGGAACAGATAGGGAGCTATGACACTAGCACCAAAGAGAGATTTTTCTTCTGGTTGGGTGGTGCTGGTGCCACGCCCCTTTCTGGGATTTGACAAGTCTTTCCCACTCACCTATACAATATGCCAAATCAACTGGAGTTGTCATTCTAATGTTTTAAAGAATGATTGGGTTCCCCCAAACTGTAGGAGGTCGATGGTAACAATAAAGTGATACAAAATGCTTATGTCATTATAATTTATGTAAGGGAGACCATTAGGCTGAGAATCAATATGATTGAGGTTATCTATTCTCCTGAAAAGTGAATTGGAGAATAAAGAAAGAATATTTGAAAGGATGTTGTGTACTAGGCAATATACTAGCATGTATTAGAAAATACGGTAAACTGTGGGTTAGAAGAGTGAAAGTAGCTGGTATGATAGAGCACTGGACTGAGTAACGAAGAGATTCTAGTCATGGCTCTTGTGGTCATTTCATTTTTGAGCCTCACATTCTTCCAATTAATGAGGGTACCAGATTAAATAAACTCTGGGGATTCATCCCAATTCGAACTCTGTAATTCTCTGAATGAACTCTCTCTTCAATTAAAGCCAAATTATTAACATTTTAACTCAAGTTTAAATTTAATAGAGAAGTCAAAATGAGGTATGCACTTTGTGGAATGTTTTTGGTCTTATCACAATAACCTGATTAAAATGGTGCCTTTATTTCCATGTTTACTCCTTTAAATAAGATGAAAGCTTTCAGAACATTTATTTGCAAAATGACTGTCAATATCAACAATATGCATCAAAGTACCATATATGCTAAGGGAGAGGAGCACTTGATGGGCTGCTATGTTAACTGTAAATTGAGAACTGCTTGTTTTATGGCTTTTGCTGTTAAAAAAAAACTGCTGGCTTTTAATATGTACTTTAAAATATACTCATGTCTGGGAGAGAACTTTTAAAAACATTTTGTGTTTAATTTTTAAAAAATTATTTCTTTAATAGGAATCTACAAGAAGGTAGATCAGTCCACAGGCTAGCTATCCAGTAGAACCAGTGATTAAATCCAAGTGTACAGGTTTATGTGTGCATGTACATGATACACATGGTATTTTGGGGTTGTTGATCTAGTGATCTAATTATTAATAGTCAAAACATTATTTAAATTCAATTCTTTGACATTTATTAATTATAGGATAGTTCCTGACACGGGTGTGAGCACAAAATGTTATGTATATTGGCTAACTATGTTACCAGTACCAGTGATGGTAGTGAGAATTAGCAGCCAACAGGATTCCTTTACTATGTTTGAGTCAGTGGAACTTAACCTTGCTCCAAACCACAAAATCTCAGACCTTTTTAACTCTCATCCCAATGAATAATGTACTGTTTTTAGCACCTGTCCCCCTGTTGACAACCTCTAATCTCTCAGCATACCATTTTCTCAGGTATTTCTAGGGAAGTGGTACCGTTCCTTGTCATATCTTTTAAGAGGTTGCTGACCATTGTACTAGCCTCTATGCCAGTCTTTCATCATATGGGCCGAAGAATACTGTAGAAGAAGATCATGCCTGAGAAGGGACAGTCTGGGAAGCCCCAAGAAGCAACACTTTCCATAGGCTATCTTTGATGTGAAACCAATTCTGGAGGAGGCAGTTGGGGTCCTCAGTTACTAGTTTTGGTTTACATTAGAGTGGATGCCTAAATAACAGGACTGTACTTTGTACAGTCCCCATGCTTTCTCTTACCCAAGGATCTGGAGGGCCATCTGCTAGGCTGGACAGTGGCTTGGGAAGCAGAAGGTGGAATGAGGCGGGAATCTGACAACTGAAGCTAAAGACCAGAGCTTCCACTTTCTGTGGGTTTGGATTAGAGCATTGTTTAGTCTTTCTAGCTTTGCAAGCCCAGGGAAGAAAATACATAATCAGCACCCCACTAATCACCAGGGCTCTCCGTTTATCTCTCCCCTTTGGTAATCACTACATTGTAAGATCCACAAGGGCAGGGAACATGCTTTTTTCATACAGGTTGAGCATCCCTAATCCAAAAATTCAAAAATGCTCTAAAATTGGAAACGTGAGCACTAACATGATGTCACAAATGGAAAATTTCACACCTGACCTCAGGTGACAGGTCACAGTCAAAACGCAGGCACGCCACACAGTTTATTCAGTGTTCCCGCAGAGGTGTACAGTAACCTTTCAATCAAAACAGCATCGTAGGTGGAGACTGAAAGCCAGCTGTTGGTGGTGGTTAACTGCTGGTACAGATACTCTGGTGATGCTACTGTGCTGCTTAGTTACCCTGAACACATTCTTTTTCACTGTATTAATGATACATCATATTTTTTAAATACTAGTGTGAATGTGTGAATAAGTGTAAGAAAATGAATTGCTTATTGGTAGCATAGAAATTCACAGTCATGAATGATGGTGTTGCAAACCACCACAGATTGTCCACATGGGTGGCTGAGACAGTGACACCTTTGCTTTCTGATGGTTCCATACACACAAACTTTATTTCATGCACAAAATTATTAAAAATATTGTATAAAATTACCTTTAGGCTATGTGTACAAGGTATATATGAAATGTAAAATGAATTGCATGTTTAAACTTGGGTCCCATCCCAAAGATAGCTCATTATGTATATGCAGATATTCCAAAATTTGAAAAAATCCCGAATTTGAAATACTTCTGGTCCCAAGCATTTTGGATACTCAATCTGTATTTACATTCATAGTATCTATCTCCCCCTCCCCTTGACAGTTCCATGTCAGGACAATTAGGGAGGGCCATCTAAAAAGAGTGAGAGGGCTAGTCTTAGGGTTCATTCTGGTGTAGCCTGGGGAGCTATGAGAATTACTATTTAAATTTTAAAGTTTTTTATTAAAAATTATACAGAATTATATATTACAATTATATAAATATATACTTATATATAATTATTATACAAAAGTATAAAAGTACAATGAACCCCCCTATGTATCCATCTCTTCATAGAAAGAGTTTCCATCTCCTGTTGCTGCATATTGATTAAATGGGCCTCTTCTTTCTTCCCTCTGGTTAAATGAATGGCTAATGTGTCATTCTTGAGTGCACAACTTGCAGCAATTGGCCATTAGTTATCATTCATAGTATTGAGTAATATTCTGAGACTTGTAATGCATAATCTTACACTACTGTCAGTAAATATCTTTTTTAGTCTTAAAACTCTTTGATTATGTTTTGTCTTTAACTGAGATGTCAACTCATAGCTCTTGAGAATTACCTATTAGTAATTTCTTCTGAATGGGTCTTCAGAATGTGAGGGTTATGTACATATGAGGATTATATACAAACCTTTGGAACTATGAAGGAGGAATTTTAAACTTATTTGAATGAACTCAGTAAGCCATATTTTAGCATCTGTATTTTATTACAAAATTAATCCTGTTGCTTCTTTACCAGTTTGATCACAAGTTTATGTCTTTAAAGTTTATAAAATAGATATACCCATAGTAACTATACTGGATGATAACTTCTACTAGTGGAAAGCTATTCATTGCATTATAGAAATGAAGTGGACCTTACACTGGCCCTTATTCATTCCATTTAAATACCTTTGTGCCTCTGGAGCTGAGCACAAACTGTAATAGTTGTCTTTGAGTCCAAATGTTTGTGAAAGCTGAGAAACCCTCTTAATTTTAGTATACTGAATGTATATGAGATTTTTTTTTTTTTTTTTTTTTTTTGAGACGGAGTCTCGCTCTGTCACCCAGGCTGGAGTGCAGTGGTGCGATCTCGGCTCACTGCAAGCTCCACCTCCCAGGTTCACGCCATTCTCCTGCCTCAGGCTCCTGAGTAGCTGGGACTACAGGTGCCCGCCACCAGGCCCGGCTAATTTTTTGTTTGTTTTTTTAGTAGAGACGGGGTTTCACTATGTTAGCCAGGATGGTCTCGATCTCCTGATCTCGTGATCTGCCCGCCTCGGCCTCCCAAAGTGCTGGGATTACAGGTGTGAGCCACCGCACCTGGCCCCGAGATTTTTAAATAAGTTTTGAACATGAATAAAAATATGGTGCTCACATTTATTACTTTAAAGAAAGAGACTCGTCTATCAAAAATTTGATACAAGTTTTTCACTTATTTTCAAACATCTACTAGAATAATTTTCATTCTTCCAGGTGTTCAAAGTGCCCAAGCAGGATGTAGGTTAGTTCTACCCTTAAACTTAAGGTGTAGATTATAAGCACGTTTTCCATTTGCAACACAACAGTAGGCATTCTTGTTAAATTAGTTTGAGAAATTTGTTTTATTTTGTACAAGGTACAATCCCTCTGCACAGTGAACATATATTACAAATCTGTGATTTAAAAAAGTATTGCCGTTTCATAGTCTCATTAATACCTCTGTACAATAATGGTTTTTCTTTCATTCATTTTAATTGTACACATATTAATTTTTTGAAAATTTAGTTTCTGAAAAATAATTGAACAGATCTTTCAAAGTCACCCATAAAATGCACAGTATACATGTTTAGGCTGACCATGAACCTATTTGTGATGGTGTTAGACAGAAGTTTCTAACAGTTGCTTTGTAAGATTGAAATGTCTTTTACTGATAACTGTTCGATAGGGGAAGGCAGCTATTGTCACCATAATCACACCCTCTGCCTTTCCCTTCTCCTCTGTATTGCCTGGTTTGACTTGTATTACATTTCCTTAAAAAGTCATGGACTGCTAGAGCTGAAGGGTTAGTAGAGCTGTCTTCCCACTCTCTGCTTCTCCCCTTTTTATGCATAGGAAAAAAGGGAGCCCAGAGAGGGCGACTAACTTGACCAGAGTAACACTGAAATCTCTTGATTCAGTGTCTAGCCATTCCACCTCTTGCTGAATACCTTTGCCCAGAGGATAGTTGACAAAAGCGGCGAAACTTCAAACTTGAGTGATGCTGCTTGTTTGCAGTTTGCCAGGCAGCAGTTATTGTACATGCAGGATAAGGGAAGAAGAGAAAACCTGGGATTGAGTTGAAGTTTCTCCTTGCTGATCTGACATCTTCATGCTGCTCATCCTTGCTTCACAAACACTTGCTGCCCTGAAATACTGAGGTAAGCTGCTTACCTATATTTCTTTCTACATATGTATGAGAAATATTTACTTGGGTCTCCAAAGTAATTTTCTAATATTTATATTTTAATAAGGCTTTTTTGGAAAGTAAATTTACTATTGCTACTCAGTTGCTCCCATGCACACATGCAACATTCATGTAAGTATTACATATTTTCCTCTAACAGTAAAATCTGCTTATGCCTTGAGTGATGTGGGAAGGGGAGATGTACTCATTTATTTATTTTTTTGCTTTTTCTGATTATTGCCCAAAGTATTGTGTTCCATGGCAGGCTTCCAGTTTCTATCAAGGGTTTCAGAACTCTCATACTTCCTGTAGCAGTATTCCAGCTTCGCAGTCATTTAGTTCCTCTTCTGTGTATCTTTTTGGAAGTGTTTTTTACTGGCTGGACTGTACCAGTGAATAGAGTGGTACAGGAGTAGCCGTTAGCTTCCTAGGTTTGCCCTTTTTGTTTTTAATTCTTGTGAGAAGGTTCTCTTTAGGGCTTGGGAGTTGATTTCATTTCATTTGGACTTATCTGAGCCTCAGTTTATCTGTGTTCATAGTGGAAGGTATAGACACATCTGAATACTGGGATCTGGAGCATTAGCTCATTGTAATGCATATTGGGCTAGCTCAGTAAGTAGTAGTTTTAAGATAGAAGGTGGAAGGACTTCATATCCTCATGCTGTTTACAGTAACGTTTTTACATCACGTTACAGCAACTGGTTACAGTCCATTCTTTTTTTGATCATTTAGTTCCATTAAAAAGCATAATGTACTTTAAGCAGTGTAAACTTGCTGTATCCACATTTGTCCAATTTCCTGTATACTTTTAGGTTTCATACTACGTCAATCTCAAGATTTATGAAGAACTTGAAAGCAAGTACTCTTGAGTCAAGGGATGCTGACCAAATAAAATGAGGAGGCCAACTAGCCGTCTTTTACTTAATCCCGACCAGTCTATGACTGCTTGCTTAAAGGATCATCTTAGAGCTCTGTTTTACATGGAATGATTCAGGTGTCGGATGGACTAAGTAGATATGACAAAGCCAGGACTAACTTGTAATGTCCTTGAACTTTGAATTGGCAAAATTTGATAAAGCTGCCCTAGGAATCTTATTGTAGACTGAAAGAGACACTGCTGCACTTTGGAAACGTGTGTGTGTGTCTCTGTGTGTTTAAACCTATCACTTAGGGGGCAGAAGAAAGTAAAGTCTTGTTTTTTAAAATAGAAGTTGTCAGCATTAGACTATATAGATTCTGTAATCTTGGCTGTTGTAATTTGATGGACCAGACAGATATGTACAGACATTTTAAGACTGTTCTGTTTAAGAACAGTTCATGTCTGTGTACTAATTGTCTTCGGTAATAAAACAGATGTTGATGGTAACAGCAACCAAAAGTACATATACGTTTCAGGTGCTTTAAAGTAATCCTCTTCCCTCCCCAGTCTCCTTTTTGTCCTAGGAAGGTTTGTTAAACCTACATGTTTTTAAAATATCACGTTTCAGATAAATATATATATATATATCAGCTATATTTAGCTGATGTTGATGAGTAGCTGTATCTTAAAATGTTTTAAAAATCATATAATCCAGGGCATTTGGGGCTGAGTGGGTGATAGGATTTGCCTTTGAGAACACAATTCCTTGAACAATTATCCCAGTCCCACCTGGACGCTCTTCTTTAGTTCCAGGTGAACGTAATAACTAACATGCAGCTGGAGCCAGTCTGTACCATTACTTCAAGTCAAGGGACTGTCTTCTTTCAGAGTCAGAATATTCAGTAGAGCACACTGCAAGAGAGAAGCTTATCCCTCTTAAGATTGCTTGTCCTGGGACGGCCCATTGGCAGGGCTCTGTCTTACTGGGAGGAGGTCATAATGACCAGGAATATGGCTGTTCCTAGGTAGGTCGTATGCATTCTGGATATAGCTGGAGTTATGACCGCAACCTTCTTGGACCACACTGACTGTGGGCTCTAAGAAATATAGTGAAAAATGAGTTCAGAGAACAGATTAGCTTTGGTTGCCTTGTTGGAGAGGAAGAGAGTTCTACTTAACTTGGGGAAAGGAGCCAGGGATTTATAAATCTATGGCAAATACATGAGGGTTAGGACTGAGGCTTGCTCAGGAGATGGAAAACTAAGTGAATGTGCTGTCAACATCCAAGCCTCTCATCAACACCAAAGGATTTAAAATATCCTAGAGGTAGGAGTCTTACCAGTGAGCCCAGGGACATAAACTGGGAGAAGGTAGAAGGTGATTTAGAGACTTGTTGATGTCTCTGATTGCTTTCTTTTTTAAAATGAGATTTGTATCAACAATCTGTGTGTGTGTGTGCGCGCGTGCACGTGCATGTGCCCATTTCCCACCCCCAGTATTTGTTTCATATTAGTCCTGGTGTTTTTTAAAGCAGAGTTGGTACAATAATTTGACTTCCTGCATTAGCTAGGAGGGTAGTCCTAGGAAAGACAGTTCACCTTAGAGATGCCTTTAAAAGCAACAAAAGAAGGATGTGTGGTCAAGGTGGGGTGAGTGGAGAGGGCTTGCTTTTACTTCAAATGCTGCACTATTGCCCTGATTTCACTAAGTTACTTATTTGAGACACCTACCAACTTCATATATATTTTTATTAGATGTCGACAAGGATGGCACATCTGTGTACGGAGACCCCATGTGCACAGGCGACTTCATTTCTACATAGCTGCTTTCTGGAAGCTTGCAGGTGAGGATGGGTGGGTCCTTAATTGTGGCGTAAGGGTTTTCACTGCTATTCAAGGAACAAGTACTAGAACTGCACACGGATTCTTTCATGTAATCTGCAAGGCAAGAGACATTTCTTAGGACAAGCAAGAATACAAGTCTTCATGTTAATATCAGAAGCAGACTGCAGTTGAGTTTATGTGCCTTCAGGATCTTAGAGCTGGAAAAGCCAGGATAATCCAAGATTTATTTACTTATTAAATGTGCTGAGAAGTGCTCTCCCAGGTAGGCAGAGTTCTTTTTCCAAAGAAACTTATGTTTTTGGAGGATAGGAACATTTTTGTTTTTAGTAGTTGGGTATTAATTCAAGATATGCATAATATGCTTTGACATGTATTTAATTTTTGTAAATTCCTGCAAGGGTTGCTGATAGTTGCATTTTATGAGATCAAGGCTCAGAGATATGAAGTGACTTAGCTAAAGTCACACAGCTAGTGAATGGCAGTGCCAAGAATTGAATCCATGCCTTTGGACTCCTTGGCCTGTGCATTTTCTGTGATGATATTCTTGTGAATTCTTCTTTTTTGAGATGTTGCCTAGGCTGGTCTCAAACTCCTGGGCTTAAGTGATTCTCCCGCCTCAGCCTCCTGAGTAGCTGGTATTATCGGTACGTGCCACCACACCTGACTTGAATTGTTTTCAATGACTGAGAAGCTTAGGTTCAGAAGAAGTAGGCATGCATGTTTTAGCACAGATGTCAGCAATTTGACAGCCTATAAGTGGCAGACTCTTAGCAGTATCCCTGCCCTCCAGGAGCTCATCAGAATAGGGTAGACTGAAGTGTAATTGAGGTGTAAAAAGCACGTCAGTCTTAAGCTAGCCTTTGGAAAGTTCCTGTTTTCTAGCAAGCCTGTAACGTGTTCTTGGGTTGCTTACCCCCCTGTTCTTGTCAATGCTAACTGAAACCTATTTCAGCAGTATCTTTCTGATACTAGAGCTCATGCTTCCTTTCCTGCCACCTCTCAGTTGTATAGTTGTACCATCCCCGAGACTTCAGAGTACAAAAGGATGCAGGCTGGTTTCCAAATATGAAATGAGGTACTGTAGTTTCACTGGAGGAAGATGGGTTCTTTAGTGACTGGGAGTTACGGAAGGAAAGGGGATTCCCTCTTTCAGCCTCTGTACCATTCTCTGTTTGGGGAAGATCACTGACTCCTGCAGATAGTCCCAGGCAAGGCAGGATTTGCCTGGAAAGAGCAGTAAACTCTAATCTAGCAGCTCTGACCTTCTTCTGTGAAGCTCTGCTAGACAAGGGATCTAGACACAAGCACTGAGCTGCTTGAGTTGATAGAAGTGATCTAAAAGGCGTCTCAGCACTAAATTTCTGTGAAAGGTAGCAGATGGTGAAATTCTTGGATGATCTGTCACTAGAACTACCACAGTTTACATTTTGGGCTGCTATTTATGCTGTCTCCAATTTGTGAGAGTAATGAAAATGGTAAAAAGTGAAAGTGATAATGTAACTCAATGGATGTCTTAGATGTACCTTGGGACCCTGAAAGCAGAACACTCCGTATGGCTGAAGTAGCTAGATGTGTGCCACCACAAGTAGTCTTATCTCCCATAAAAGGCAACTGGTTGGAAGAGTATTTACTTTTCTGTTAAAGTAGATGTCCATTCTGTTGATGTTTGTTTCAGCAGATAGTATTTCCTCAATCTTGTACAAAAATATGTTCAGCCATTAGTTCCTTCAAGTGTTCACACAACACTCTGTGGTATAGGTAGAGCAATAATTCTCTCTCTCCTTCTCCTCTCATTGCTTATTGAGGAAGTCATTGCTTATGAGATTTAGAGTGGAAATTGACTTCCTCAGGATCACACTGCTTATCACTAGCAGAGCAAACTCTGTAGAACCAGGCTCAGCATTTTCCATCACAATTTAGCCCAGAAGTAGAGAGGGATATTGGCTTTAGTCACGTCTTAAGATTGTGGCCTCTTTAGCATATGACTCTAGAGAGAAGGAGAAAACATCCTTGCGAGACACTGAACGATCTCAGCTAGCACCAGCAAGGCCTAAAGGGAGGCCAGATATAGGCCCAGATGCTGGTTGACTTTTATTTCAAATGCTGCACTAGTGCCCTGATTTCACTAAGTTACTTATTTGAGACACCTACCAACTTCATATATATTTTTATTAGATGTCGACAAGGATGGCACATCTGTGTATGGAGACCCCATGTGCACAGGTGACTTCATTTCTACATAGCTGCTTGGACCCTTGACTGTGACCTGCCCAAACCACATAAATTTGCCCCTTAGAGGGTACTTAGTTTTTTAGTACAAGGAAGTGGTGGTAAGTCCAAGAACCCCAGCATGGCCCATCTGTCCCACTTTGGGTTCTCTGAACTCACCAGCCAAGGAGTAAGGCAATAAGGCACAGAGCTTCTGGTTTGGAAGCTGAGGACTAGTAGTATTTAAAGAAAGGCTATTGCACCTGCCTCAACTGCATATTTTCTAACGTGATGAATAACCACTTTATGTAGCAATTATAGTCTTCATTCCAATTAGGTCATTTGAAACTTGTTACATAATGAATAGGGCTGTGCAGAAAGGACTATTACTACTTCAGAATGAGGAATCTGAAGCTCAGAAAATTTGCTAGTATAATTCCTAATGTTAGTAAGTAGTTGAACCCCTATTGTCTCTTAGTTGATACCAATCAAGATGTTTTCCCTCACTACGTGTCTTGTTATCCAGTGCTCCTGTCCTTATCTCTAAAGGCAAACTGTATCTGCAGCAGCTCCACCTTACTCTGAACTCACCAGTCAAGGAGTAAGGCAGTAAGGCACAGAGCTTCTGGTTTGGAAGCTGAGGACTAGTAGTATTTAAAGAAAAGCTATTGCAGCTGCCTCAACTGCATATTTTCTAACATGTGAGGAATAACCACTTTATGTAGCACGTATAGTCTTCATTCCAATTAGGTCATTTGAAACTTGTTACATCGTGAATAGGGCTGGGCAGAAAGGACTGTTGTTTCTACTTTAGAATGAGGAATCTGAAGCTCAGAAAATTTGCTAATATAATTCCTAATGTTAGTAAATAGTTTAGTCAGGACTCAACCCCTGTCTTCTCTTGATACCAATCAAGATGTTTTCCCTCACTACGTGTCTTGTTATCCAGGGCTCCTGTCCATATCTCTAAAGGCAAACTGTATCTGCAGCAGCTACACCTTACCCTTAACAAGGAATGTCTTTCATCTATGGGGCTAAGCCCAGCTGAGAGAAAAAGGCTAAGCTCTTAAGTTTTTTGTGGATATCCCATGACTGAGTTAGGGCAGTAGGAGAGCCTTGAAGTTCAATGCCTAAAAGAACCTCGGCCAGTTGATAGTGCCTCTTCTCATTTTCACCAGAAAAGTCGGGGCTACTTTAAAGTTTTGGGGAATCAATTGTTGGCTCTGGAGCAGGGGATGATCCTAAATGGATAAAAGAGAAGTTGATGTCTGTGGGGAGGGGCTAAGCTCAGGGGGAAGTATCTTCCATACAGGAGCAGAGGATGGAGCAGTGCATGTATGTGTTGGCTGGGTGGTGAGAAAAGGGTGTTGAATTATGGACTCTTCTGTACCCCATCTCTACTGGGACTGGAGAATGGGGAAGGGCTGGGCAAGCTGGAAACTCCACCTCAGGAAGCCACTTTGTTCTCCAGCTGAGTCATCCACCTGCCTGCAAGAGGGGAGGGCAGGGTTGAGTGGAAGAATAACCAGCTGCTCTTAGATACTTCCTCATCCTTTCATAGCCCCACCCCTGTCCCAGTCCCAGCCCTTCAGGGCATTTTGCAAAGAAAGAGGAAGCATCAACCCAGGCTACCCAAGCTCTGGGAGTCACTCCTCCAAGGCTTGTCATTTGCATCAGGATTGGCGGCTTGGTCCTGTAATGCCCTGGCATTTGGTCTCATCTGGTTCCTGCCTCCCCACATAGTCATACACTGTCAGAGACAGAGGGGGCTTCTGAGATGAACTAAACATTTTCATTTTATAAAGGGAGCATCAAATCTAGAGAGAGGCAGTGACTTTCCAGGGCCACCTTGTGTGTGGGATCTGAGCCCACCTTGGCTTCTAGGTGCATGCTAACCTCCACTAAGGCCCAACTTAACTGTCAGGGAAAAACCCAGGCACCGAATATCCATCTCTTGCTTCTTGGCTTGCTACTATTAATAGAAGGCCACACTGCCTCTTCTCTTCCTGGGCCATAAATTAGCATCCTTCTCTTGATTGAGAGATAGGAGGAGGAGGTCTTGGGGTCAGAACACTGGCTTTAAAAAGTAATCTTCAGGATGTCATTGGGCTCCTAACTACCTAAGAGCCCAAGTTTACGCAAAGACAGACTTGGAAGTTAGATGGGAACGAGCACACAGGTGGGGAAAGTGGCAGCAACAGTGGGCTCAAGGATTCCAGCATCATAAAGGCGATGGAGAATAGCAATTTGAAATGGCTGACAAGGAATTGAACACGAGGCAGTTTGTTGCAGAATCACTGTGCTAGGGGGAGAAGGGGAAATAGAAGGGTGTTGAGCAGTGTAAGTGGTCTCCCTTAACCTCCGGGATGACAGTGAGTGGAGTTCTTCAGTAAGTAACAGGGGAAAGGGCAGGCATTGACTAAGGCTTTTGGAATGTCAGAGCTTGAAAGGGCCTCAGAGATGCTGTTAGTACAGCCCCATCGTTTTATAGTGGAAGAAACCAAGACCCAGAAAACAGTGCTGTGACCTGGTCAGCACCATACAGCAAGAACTAGGACTACAACCCACATTCCTTAACTCCTAGGCTAGGGCTTTTTCCCACTGAGTTCAGAGAACACTGAGACTCTTAATTCTTAGTAGTTCTGATTTGGTTTGGCCCAGTAGTTTTAGGAACTAGTTTCATTTGTGCTAGACTAGCTTATTAAGTGTTTATTTCGGGGGGCGTTAGCCAATTAGTGGGATTTATTCCATGTTTTGGTAAGTATTGTTATAAAGTTCTGAACTGTGACATCATATTTTCCTCTTTTTCAGTTCTCTTATTCTGATGTATTGGTCCCCAACACCTGCTGGTACATTTGCTTACATAGCTCTCTTTTCTTTTTAAAGGATGATTGTAGCCAGAGTGGTAAAATAAGATCTGGCTGGCTGCCTGCTGAGCCCTCGCCTGCACTCAGAGGTCAGATATATGATTCTACACAATAGTAATGAAATGTATGCTGAGGCAGAGACACTGCTTTCCTGAGCTTTGTTTTACATGTATGATTGCGAATCTGAAAGTAACCACCCTAATCAATGTACAGGACAACACAGTGCATAGGAAAGTTGTGTGTTCAGTTATTGGGGTTTCTGGTCCTGAGTTTATTCATGCTTGAGTCATGCGTGTTCTTCAGCTAGAAAGGCCCTTAGAGAGCTTTCTGCCCAATCCTTATACCTTTTTGAGAAAGAAACTGAGGTGCCAGGTCATAGTCACGAAATAGAACTGTTCTTTGTTTTCAGCCTTACCTACTGTTCCTCATTTGGATGGTTTAAGTCAAAACACACAGAAAATTGCCAAAATAATGCTTCCAAGGGAGTAATGTCTGTTGGCTGGCTGGGGATGACCTTTTGTCCTCAGACAGTTCTCTTGGGCTGTGTATATCCTAACAAAGGCCGATAGTGACTCAGCCTTATCGCTGTCTTGTTCAGAATGCAGTACTTACCACCATCCCCTACCCTGAGCTCACCCCACATCTAATCATCTCCCCAAAAGGACTGTAGACGACTAGCTGTTCTTGGTTAGGGAATGGTTGTGTCTTGGTGTATGTAAAACTAGGTCTGAAAGACTAGAACGGTAATCAGGGACATCTGGGTCAGTCTAGACCAGTGTTTGGGGAATAAGCTGCATAAGGGTACCCTGAGGGTGCTCTTCACACATGCAGATTCCAGGGCCCCACTCTAGATTTGCATCAGAGTTTTGAGGAGATGGGGTGTGAATATCTGTATTTTTAATAAGCTTTCCAGGTGATTCTGGTACACTGTTAGATTTAGGATATGCATTGGGACCTCTGCTGTCATATCTGTTTGGCTTAAGCGCTTTTTTCTGAGACAGAGTCTTGTTCTGTTGCCCAGGCTGGAGTGCAGTGGCACGATCTGGGTTCACTGCAACCTTTGCCTCCCGGCTTCAAGCAATTCTTGTGCCTCAGCCTCCCAAGTAGCTGGGATTACAGGTGTGTGCCACCATGTCTGGCTAATTTTTGTATGTTTAGTAGAGACAGGGTTTTGCCATGTTGGCCAGGCTGGTCTTGAACTCCTGACCTTAAGTGATCCACCTGCCTCGGCCTCTCAAAGTGCTGAGATCACAGGTGTGAGCCACTGTGCCCGGCCTTAAGCTGTTTTAAATAGACCTCCTAGACAAAAGAATAGCCCCATTACATTAGTACCACCTTTACAGTATGCAAAAAACACTTCCCATTGGTGATTTTATTGGTTACTCATGATAACCTTGTTAGACAGTAGGACAGGCATTAGACAATAGGACAGGCAAAATTATCCCAACCTTGCAGATGAGGAAACTGAGCCTTGGAAAGCTCACAGTCCAGTCTAAGGTCACAGTTAATGAGCAACAGAGTGGCAAGTGACAGAGTTCCAAAGCCCCCTATTTCACACATTCCGGCATTTAAACCTAGGGCAGGACCTGACCTTTCATCTTTGGCTTCACCTGTAGACTTCCTAGAGGGATGATCCAACTTGCAGTTCCCATGTGTTAGGGATTTGTCTTGGCTTCTCTGCTCTTGGAGGCAGAGATCTCTTGAGGTTGGAGTGCCATACAATATTAACACTGCGTATCATTTTCATTCCTTGTGCCCCCAGAAAGCCAGCAGGTGCAGGGTGGCATTCCTTGCTAGTGCAACGACAGGAGGCCTCTGGGGCAGGTAGATCAACTTTATTTCAGATTTTATAATCAATTTAACTCGTACTAATTGGTTGGATAATGACGCTTTACATTTCCGAAGACATTTAGTTGGCATCTATAAAAAACCCACAAGCATTTGCTAAGCAGGTGCAACTGAAATCGAAAGATGAATTCATTATTATTATGATTGATTGCTCCTCCTGGGCACAGCTACCCAACAGCCCCAGGCCCTGTGGTCTTTTAACCTTCTGTGGGGGGCAGGCACACACAGTTTGTCTCAAGTGGAATTCCTGGCCATTTCAGATCTGCACTCTTTATCTTGCTAAGCCCTCTGTAATAAGACAGCAGGATTGGATACTCTACCTTTGAAGCCTTTGTCCATAATGTATGTGTTCTGACGTCTATCCATTCCACAAGCACCTGTGTAAAAATAACATGTAAGGAAAGAAAATATGGGGGTGAGGTTTACTTAGACTGCTTGTGTTCTTCTTTCTTTTCTTGCTTTTCCCCCCCCTTCTCCCCTACCCAGAAAATAAATAGTTGTTTATTGCTAGAAAATGATTCTGGGGGTTTAATCTACCTGAAATTGTTTTGATAAATGATTCTGGGTTTAATCCATCTGAAATTGTTTTGATTATAGGAATTATTAAAAGGCTCATAAGCTACAGCGACCCCCGGCATATTCAGCACTCCTTCCCTTTAACCTTCACCCTAGGGGAGTGTCTTTCAGGAAGGAATAAAAGGCTGTTCTGATGCCATTCCCTGCAGGTGAAACTCCAGGCTCCAAGGGTATAGGATAAGGAATGAAGCAGAACCAGTTCTTGGCTTGAGGGAAAGTTGTATGACATTACAAATCACAGTTCTGTTGGAATTTGGCATGGGTTTGAAGACAGTATTTATCACCTCTCAGCTCTGGTCCTGTCTGTCCTCTCCTGGATCCAAGGCTTATCTGAGGGTAGCCAGAGAGAAACAGAGGGAGACAGGTGGCTGAGGTTCTTGATTAGTCATCTTTGTAGGATGTACAGACATTCCCTCCCATAGCCAGTTCTCTTAGTTACTCATTTTTTGGGGTGTGCCATTTGCACATAATGTAGAATTGTTTTTGAAAAGTATTACCAGTGTTTTCAGCCCCAAGGATTTCTTTCTACCTTTCGGCTGTCAGTTTTTTCCTAGGCTCCAACAATGCATGATGGCCCTGAGCCTCAGCCAGAGGCTTCAGGGACTAAGCTTGGGTTCTTTGCTGCTGGTGATCCCAGAAAAGAAATTGTTTGGCATTTCTAGGTTGGGACAGTAATGACTCTGGCTCAAAGTCAGAGCAATTTTTTCTTCTAGCTTTTAACTGAGGACACAGCACCAAGCAAGGCCTGCAGCAAGTACTTACTAAAATACAGTTTGACTCTCCTTGACTCTTCCCAGTTTCTGACACTGAAGACCACCCTGTTGCTATCGCTCCTCTACGTAGAGTTCCCATGTTGAATTTGAAAGCGTCTACTCCTATCTGCCTACGTTCCACATATTACTGAGAGATATGGCAGAACCAGGCCCAAGTTTTTCTTTTAAGTTTGCTATTTTTCTTTTTTTCTTTTTTTTTGAGATGGAGTCTCGCTGTGTCACCCAGGCTGGAGTGCAGTGGCGCAATCTCTGTTCACTACAACCTCCACCTTCCAGGTTCAATCGATTCTCCTGTCTCAACCTCCTGAGTAGCTGGGACTACAGGCATGCACCACCACTCCCAGCTAATTTTTTTGTATTTTTAACAGATGGGGTTTTACCATGTTGGCCAGGCTGGTCTTGAACTCCTGACGTCACGTGATCTGCCTGCCTCAGCCTCCCAAAGTGCTGGGATTACAGACGTGAGCCACCGTACCCAGCCTCAAATTTGCTGTTTTTTCTGAGAGGCTTATAGGTACCTGTGTCCTTCAGAATCATGCCTGCAACTGCCTATATGCTGGCATTAGTTCAGCACTTTATGCCAGACAAGGGCTTCCTTTGCCCTTCCTGAGGGAAGCTGGCTAGGGTATTAACTTTTCCTTTTTACAGAACAGGGAACAGGCCCAAAGAGCAACAGTGGCTTGTCCAAAACCACACTAGCAAGTGAGAAGCTGAGTTACAGTTAGAGCCCAGATCTCTCCAAGTATTCTCTCTCACTGGATACCAGCCTGCCTGGGTGTAAGACAAATGCCAGCGCATGGCGCTCTGGCTACGCTAGTTGAAGAGTGAGATCTGTAAAGCAGGGAGAAATCTGGCCTAGTTCAGAGGATACTCCCTTGTAGAAAGAGATACAGGGTGGTGGTGGTGGGGCTGTGTGTGTGTGTATATGCTGGAATGGGAGAGATTGTAGTTGGTGGGGTTATTAAATGCCCTAGATACTGTCCAGGGGACCCACAGCTAATAACACAGCCTCCTGAGTATAGGCCCAGGGTCCATGCAGCCCATGCCTGCTCAGTGGGCAGATGAATTCAGAACATTCACCCTTCCTGGTATTACTGGACCCAGGGACCTGCAGGGATTGGTAGAGCAGCTCAGTTTCCTTAGAGTTCTAGAAGCCACCTAGAGCCTGAGGTCAGGCCTAGAGTTGTCTGGTATACCAAGGCCCTGCCCCAGGGTGCCCCAGAGGAGCCACATTGTAGGGAGGCCACATTCTCTGTTCATTCATTGCACTTGTTCCCATGATACCTTCTGTAACTCCTACCCACATGTTCCCATAATCAGGGCTAACTTTCCAAGTCTCTTGTGTGTGTGTCTCCCAAGCCACCAGATTTCAGCCCAGGCTGTACTCAGTACATGAGTACAGGTGATGTTGGTTGATACATCCTGCCCCAGCCTCTCCAGATCCCTGTTTGACAACCCTACCCTGTGATTTGAGAAAGCTTGGCTTGGGCCACTGGGGTTTCTGGAGTCTCTGGGAGACATTGGACTTTATTGGCCAGAGAGCTAACTCCCTGTTATCCACTCCAACAGGGCCCAGAGAACCCCAAAGATGTCGCCATCCCCAAGTCATTTTTGAAAGGTGTAGGATTGTATTTTGTGGCCTGTAGGGAGGGCAGTTTTGTTGTATCTTCTCCACCCTAAATAGCCTGTTTGTTCACATCCACCGTTCACTATGGGAACAGAATGGGTGATGGGGAAGATCCAGACAGGTTTCCATCTTTAGATAGGGGATTGAGCTGGTAGACATGTTGGGAGGGAAGAGGGCTTAAAAGGGAGAGTTCTGGGACCACAGGGTGGGGGTCAAGGTGCAGGGATGGGGATTAGGGCAGGTGCTGGGTCTGGTCTGGCATGAGGGGGTGGAGGGTAGGGCTGGGGTCTGACCTGGTGAGTGTGGCTCAGCGGGGCGGCTGAGGTGTCTAAGTTCAATGTAGAAGTCCTCGGGCGGGTACCTGGCCTCCAGGGCACTGATCTGGAAATGGGAGTCTAGTGAGAGGAATGACAGGGAGGAGCCATTATTCCCAGGGCCCTGGTATAGCAGGGGAAGGGGGTAGGAAGTACACAAGTGGGCCAGGGTCAGGGTGAGGCAGGCTGGGAGGACTTGGGGGCCTCTGTGTATAGCATCCAGAGGGGCCAGGGCCAGCGGGGCCAGGGGCTCTGTTAGAGCCAAGGTCATCTGCCTTGTTTCCCCTCTCCTTCCCTCCCTCCCTCCCTCTGCAGGAATTAGTGCTCCTCCACCAGGGAGGAGGCAGGGGGAAGAAGCCCTTGAAAGGAGCACCTTGGTAGGGCCTGGGTCAAGCAGAGGTTCCTATCCAGATGGTGAGTGTGTCTTTTGCTTCCATCTGGAATCCCTACACCCTGGCCCTGGTTTTCTCCCTTATGGTCCCTGGGTCATAGCAGGGACTTAGCCCTAATATAGTAATGGAAAGGGATTCTTGGGCTTCATCTGCTTGTGAGAGCCAAAATTTCTCCCTGGGGGAAACCATGTTCAGAACTCATAACCCTGTCCCTTCAAGCTGGGTGCTTCTCAATATGGAAGAAGAATAGGGTGGGACATGATGGTGGGGACCAGACTCACACCACTACTGACCTAACACGTTCACATAGCTGTAGGGGGTCCAGCCTGCTGTGTCTCTGTCAAGGGACTTGTTACTGAGCTGTTTGGAGAGTAGGAGAGCCAGTTAATATCTAGTGCCCCAGGTACCCCTCCCCAGTCTTCACTTTGCGTAGCTTCAGTGCACACACCCTGTAATAATCCTGACCCACCTGGGTCCTAGGCCGTTGAGAGAAAGGGCGAGCTAGGTGTTCCATGACAGGCCACCATGGTGTGGTTGATGCTAGTGGGAATAGAACATACCCCACCCCAGCTGTTGGGCTGAAGTTGTAGGGTTCCCAGGCCTCCTGGGGTAGCTTGAGCCAAGCTGGCCCTGACAGAGGAAGCAGATTAGCTGGGGGGTGGGGCTGAGCTTTAGGAGAGGGGCCTCTGGTGATGTCTCAGCTGCAACATGAGGCCATCTCCAGCACAGAGGGAAGTCTTGAGGCTGCCTGCAATATCACTGTCACCTCTGCCACCTGATCCTGATTGGGGCTGAATGTGAGATTTTCCTTTTCCTGCGACCAAAGGAAAGCTTCAGAACAGAGTGTCTTGAGGCTTATATTGTAGTCCTTCCATTCTCTGCATTTTCACAGCTGCCCTTCATATGAGGCAAGGATGGTTATCCTCATTTCACAGATGGCGACCTGAGTCCTGACTTGCGTGCCTTGCTCATGAACACACACGAGTCAGTGACAAAGCTGTGTCTGGAACTCAGTTCCCAGTGCCGTGTCCTTTCCATGTCATCACAGCTGCCTGCCTCTGCTGCAGATGCCCTATCTGTTAGACTGGTTAACCACAGAGAGCCACTCTGGGCCCCTGGGCTGAGGTGACCCAGAGGGTCACCAAGTTGGCTACTCTGCAGTAATTCCAGCCCCTTACCAAAAGAGGGTGGAGGCTGAGAGTGGCCTTGGGGTGTTGGCTTGATAGTGGTTGCCCTTGAGGCTGTATAGTATCTATATTACTATTGCTGGACCAGGTCTGTAGGCTGATGGTCATTCTCCATGGGACAGACAGGGAAGAAAGGACTCCTAGATCTCTAGGGCATAGCCGTGGACTATGAAAGCCATGCTTTTGTCCCTGAATGGATATTATGGGAAGCTAGGAGTCCTGAGATTCCCACTCCCACCATGGCCCTGCTCCCCACTGTTTTGTGTCTATGGGCACAGGCACAGGTGGGTGTCCAGAGGTATGCAGCATGAGCCTCTCAGACCTGTCCTTGGGGGCTGTTCTTCCTCACTTCTTGTTTCCCACTCTGCCTGGTATGGGTCCGGGCACATTAAGGGAGCTCCCTATGTATTATCTACACATAGGTGCTGAGACATCCTTGCCCAAGGGCCTGTTGACTATAAGAGGACATCTTGCCAACAGCCAGGGTTATGCTGGAAGCTGTCAGGGAAGGTCCTGTCCAGAAGGGTGCACACCTGCCATGAAGACCTACAGAACTCAGTGTCCACAGAACATTGGCTATGGCTGAAGTTTGGGTTCCACATCCCTTGTTGATTCAGACTGCAACAAACGGTTATGAGTGGGTACTGATGAAATGGATAGGTTCAGATAAAAGAAACATTGTGAGGTGGTTATCTGAATAACAGTAGTTACTCTATAATATGCCACTTGCACACATTGTGTTGGTAGCATACTGCAGTGATTTGTGGTAGGTGGTCTAGTTGTTGTTGTTGTTTTTTGAGGTGGAGTCTTGCTCTGTCGTCAGGCTGGAGTGCAGTGGCGTGATCTCAGCTCACGGCAGCCTCCACCTCCTGGGTTCAAGCGATCCTCCTGCCTCAGCCTCGCAAGTAGCTGGGACTACAGGCGTATGCCACCATGCCCAGCTAATTTTTTGTATTTTTAGTAGAGATGGGGTTTCACCATCTTGGCCAGGATGGTCTCAATATCTCGACCTTGTGATCCGCCTGCCTCGGCCTCCCAAAGTGCTGGGATTACAGGCGTGAGCCACTGTGCCCAGCCTACAAGGTGGTCTAGTGTTTTGATTACGTGTTGACATGTGGCAAAAGTGTCTACATGATTATAGGTGATAAAGCAAATACATGATTACATGACTTGGTACCAGTTGGTTACACACAGGGTACAGGGGTATATGTTATACTGAGTGATGCTGTGGGTTGGTTACACGGCACTCCACATAACATGCTGGCTCCATTACATGCCTCACAGAGTGTTTACGTGTACCACGGATTGCAAGGTTGCTTTTAATGTATTGGTGGTCAGTTCTACATGGACCCTCCATGTGGCGGGGGGCGTGCAGTTCCTTCCTGGGCAGAGGTGAGGGTTAAATGAGAGGGCAGTGAGTGGGGGCTGGGGAATCAGGGGCCCGGTACCTTGGTGGGGCTGTTCCTGTCCAGAGTGCTGGCCTGGCTGGTGGCAGGCCCCCCACATGCCAGTGCGTGGTAGCTGGAATTGGAAAAGCAGTGGGCATGGCTGCTACTTTGAGACAAATCTGGGAAGAGAACAAGGTGCCACATACCATCATACCCCTGCCCCTGGCATGAGATACCCCCAGTACTAATGCTTGCGCTGGGAGCCTTGAGAGAGCCCTGCAAAGACAAACAGGCAAGTACCCCATCCCCCAAGCTTCCTGGCATCCACTACTCCTACTGAAATCTGGAGAGCCTGATTTGCTCCTTCCCTTACGCTGGTCCTCCCTGCAGCATGCAGAATGCAGGATAGGCTCACCTGTGCCAAGGGGAGGCACTATCAACTGGAGCCTGGATGGGGCATGTTTGCTTTGATAGCCTTACATGTCCCTGAGTCCCTATTTAGGGCTGGACTCACCTGCTTCCTTCTAGGGTCACATCCTGGTAATGAGATCATAAAGAGAACCTCACTTCTGACTCTGCTCTTCCCTCCTAAGGATTCCAGAACCTCTCCATAGGGCTGGGGAATACCAGAGGAATGGCATAGGAAACCCTAGCCAGCCTTCTCAGTATAGTCATAGAAGAAAATCCCCAAATCTGTGTGTGGGATGTCTGCTTTGGCTGTAGTGTGGCATGTAGACCAGGAGCTCCTTGAAGGCATGGTGTGCACTGGCCTGCCTCTGTCTATCCTGCAGTGCCTAGCATGAAGCTGGACATACAGAAGGCAACACTTAGCAGGAATGGGCTGAAGTGATCTGGGTTTTCTAAGCACAAGATGCAGGAGGCTGCAGATGAGCCATGAGCCACGTGCCATGGAGCTACCTGGAGAGAGCTGTCACCTTGTGCTCACCCAGACAGGCTCAGCCTCACATAGCCCAGGACTATAGGGCAATTTCAGAGCATTTTGGCCTCTACTGTTTAGCCAATATGAAGCAAAAAACCTTTCGTATTTCCAAGGCAGCAGTCCAGGGTTCAGGGGAAAGGAAGGATATCGCCCAGCAGCCCCATCTTGACCCCACTCAGACTCCCAAATAAAATGCCTATTGGAGCTGTTAACCACATTCATGGATGCACTGGGCTCTGGCACACTTGCCAGAGGGACATTGTCCAAACTTTCAGACCTCCCAAGTCAGGTACTGTCCCCTTCCGCTGTACTAATAGGACCCTCCTAACTGGGAACTGGGAAGGAGGGTTGTCCTGAGGCGTTCACCAGGGAAACAGAAATGGATGAGCTCTGGGCACTGGGCTCCAAGGTCTAGCCTCCTGAGGTGGTACAGGCATCAGGTTGGGGAGACAGTCCTCTGGAGAGCTTAGGAAAGTGACTGGTTAGTGTGGGTGCTCCTGAGGCCGAAGGCTGGTGAGAAGGATAGGGAAGCTCTGGGAAAATGGCAGGAGGCTCCCAACCACAGCTGCTCAGAGCTAGGGACTCAGGAAACAATTTTCCCTTGGAACCCCAGATATCTTCTCTAGGTAGGCTCCTGCTCCCCATCCCCACTGTCACTCTAGGGGAGACTGAGCTTCCACATTCAGCCACAGCAGCCAACCCTACAGGCACAACCATTCCTGGGGTATGTGTGTGTGGAGGGGAAGAGGAGGGAGGCCAGGAGCATGGCCCTTACCTGAGAGGGAGTAGTCGGTGCTGGTCATCCTCATGGCAGGTGTGTAGGAGACACGGGGAGCCAGGTCTCGGCCCTTCTCTTTCTGCCGCCGCCGATGCCAGGCAAATAGGCCCAGCAGCACCACAATGAGGAATAACAGGAGCATGATGCCTGTGACAGCACCCACCGAGTGCCGCTCTGCACCCAGTGCTGGGCTGATCTTGGTGTAGGGATTCAGCTCCTCCATCATGAGGGCAGCTGCGGGCAGAGGGAGGGCCTGAGCCTGGGGCTGGCCTTCTTGCGCTTCAGGTCTCCTGGGCCTGGGTTCAGATGCGTGTAACCCCTCTAATGTTAGGAGATCTGGTTCTGGCTTTGGCCCGATTCCTGAGTCCCTATGTGACTACCCCCAGCCCTCACTGTGCCTTCATCCCTAAAGGGGATGGAGTCTCAGGGTCATGACAAGGAGCAATTGTGACTGTCGATGTGAAACAATAAATATTATTTTACTCTGTTCCAAAAATGAGTTAACAGATATTAATTCATTTACTCTTCAGCCCTGTGAAGGGATTAGTATTTTCCTTTCACAGATGAAAAAACCAATTTATCAAAAGGTTAGGTAATGTGCCCAAGATTACATAACCTATAATTGGCGGAGTCAGGAAAAATTGAACACAGCTCCTCTCCCTGCTTCCTAATTGTGTGGCTCAGAGTCCCTGGTTTGCTCATTTGTAACATGGGGACAATAACCCCACCCTCCCCAGTCGTGAGCACCAAGTGATAGACTGGCAAGGAAGGCTCTTAAGTACTGTGCTGTTATTTCCAGGATGACTGCCCGCAGGACCCCTCTTGGTTATATATGTGAGGGCTGCCCCCACCCTCCATGCTGATGCTTAGTCTAGGAGGCTGTCCTGCCAGGCCCACAGTGTCTAGACTTCTCCTTGACTGTTGGCTGCTGGCTGAACTGAGCTGGCCAACATCACTAGGGAGGTAAATGTGCTGCAATATCGTTCTCAGTGATTTATCCTCAGAATGCAACGGAAATCTGTCTTTTGGCTCCTTTTCTGTAATGTGAATAATTGAGAGCCCATTTTCATCCCCCATCTAGAACCAACATGTTTGCAGCACATTATAAAGGCTTTTATATAACAAAGCCAGCATTTATTGGAGTGTTCACTTATGGGCCAGGCACCCCGCTGAATCTCTTACTCATACTGTCTCAACGTGATTCTCACAACTGGACCCTGGGACTCCATCCCCTTTAGGCCCTATGAGGTGTCATCCGACTGTAGTGCTAGAACCAAGGTTGAGCCCCTTTGGGCTCCTCGGCCTTCAGAGTAACCTTGTGTCATGGGGGAAGATGATTAATCTACTCTTCCCGCTTTGCATGTGGAGTAACAGGCCTAGCAAAATCAAATAACCTACCCAAGGACACCTGGCGGGTAAGGCAGAACCAGAACTTGGCAGATATTCTAACTTGGTCTGGTGGCCTTTCCATAGTACTAGCTTGTGGCTACCCTTGCTTGGCTCATGGGAAACTTGCCAAGGGTGAGCCTAGGGAGGCTGTGACTGAGAGACTGCCTGCTCCTTATGCCTCTTCAGCACTTGGAGCCTCTGCAGCCCACCCTATTCCTGCTGTCCTCACAAATGTGAATAAAGGGAAGTATCATCAAATCCAGCTGTTCGAGTTGGAATCTCCCTAGAGCTGCCATGGGGCCCTTTCCACAGACCCCGGGGCTCTGCCACGTGTGTATTACCTTGGTCACACCTGATTCCTTTGAAGCCAGGGCTGCAGTAACAGGTGCCGGTGACATGGTCACAGGTGGAGTTGTTCATGCACTCACATAGCTGCTGACACCCATAGCCAAAGGTTCCTGGGGCACATCCTGTGTGGCACAAAGAGTTAGGGTAGAGGACCCACTCACTCTCCACCCCTCCCCTTCCATGTTTAGACAGCTATGGCAATAAGCCTGTTTTGCCTCCCACTGAGTGAAGCCTATTCCCTTAGCTCCTGTTGAGGAGCATTTATAGCACTGAGTGGGGGACACAGGGACAGAGGAGGAGTGAGCAGGGCCCACTCACCCCTACTTCCTCCTCATGCAACACATTTAAGCAGTATCTTCCACCTGCCATGCCCTAATCTGAATGCCATAGGGACTTTAAAGAATAATAAAAAAAAAATCCTGCCTCCCACTATTCTCTCATTACTTGCTATGACCTCTGCCCTAAATGCCCCCACCAACTGAAGGGAGAAATTCTTCAAACAATAATGTAGGCATGACCTTCCTCAGCATTTTTCCTTGGAAGTTGTCCCCAAAGTCAAGGGACCAAGGGGTACAGAGCCCTGAGTGAGTGGACCTTGAAGTGGGAGCCATCCTCTGCAGGAGGGTAGGGCCCAGCAGCATCACCCAGGATCAGGGGTCAGGGCAGCTTACTCTGCTCACAGTGTTGCCCGGTGAAGCCTGTGCGGCAGGTGCACTTGCCACTGATGTGGTCACAGCTGGCGCCATTCTGACACTGGCATACGCGCCCACAGTCCTTCCCAAAAAATGCTGCTGGGCAGCCTAGAGAAACAGGATTTCCAGTCACGAGAGTTGCTGCTGGGTGGGGACAAGGGGGACAGCAGGAACCAGACCTGTCTTCTGTCTCTTTTTTTGCTGAGCATGGGATGAAGACTAGTGAGACCCTGCACCAGAGTTGTCTCCCTGCTCAGGATCTTCATGCTGAAGTGGTAGGGGCAAGGTGATCGTTGCCTTTCCAAGACAGAGGGGCCTTGGAACCACAGGTCAGGCTAGGGTCTACTTCCTGTGTGGACACAGGCTGCTCCTCCCCACTCTGGGCCCCACTGTCCAAGGAAGGTCTGGTCTTGGTGATTGCTGGAGTACCTTGCAGCCCTGACCTTCCAGGACTTTGGGCTTGTCAATCCCCTGAATCCAGTCAGGTCTGGAGCTGCCCCTGCAGAGCTCCTCAGTTCTCGTGGGGCAGGAGTCAGGTACCACCAGTCCTGGGGCTGCCTGCATTCCTCCCTCCCTGCTGGTCTGGACAATGCCCACAGTGGCCAGTAGGCCGCAGCATGGTATTCTAAGTGGCTGGGAGGCCAGGAGGTGGGGCTTACGCTGTGTGCAGAAGAGTCCAGTCCAGCCAGGGGTGCAGTGGCAGGCCCCGTCCTCGGCGCTGCAGCTCGCCCCGTTGTGGCAGCTGCATGCGTGGAAGCAGGCGGGGCCCCAGAACCCGGGTGGGCAAGCTGGGATGTCGGTGAAATGCAGAGGGTGAGGGGAAGGCAGAGAGGGGCAGACGGAGAGGGAGAAGAAGGGGGAGTACATGTCAGAGCCAAGATGCCAAGATGGACCTGGCTGACATTTCCTGGCTTTCAGGGGCTTCATGCACTGTTCCCAGAATTCCTGCACTTACTTCTTGGCTTAGTTACCCAGGATTCCCATTAAGCCCAGATTCTCTGCCCACTCTCCAAGTCTTTGATGACTGACTCAGCAGGACTCTGAGGGCCCCCGAGCCTCCCCTCTCAGGGGACTGATTTGGAGCATGCGGGTAAACACTGTGGTTTACCGTGTATGTACTGTGTGTGTTTCCCCATGAGAATGGGGACTTTCCTAGGGCAGGAGCTCTCTTCTCTCAGTTGGTGAGCTCCTGATGATGGAGCCTGTCTCCTCATCAGAATGGAAATTCCCTCAGCCATCTAACTAGGACCTCCCCAAGGGTACTGGCTAGGTCTCACCCATCAGACAAGGAGCTCCACAGGGTCTCTGTCCTTAGTTTGGGGGCTTCTGGAAAGGGGCTGTTCCCTTCACATCAGATTGGTGCACTTTACATGAACAGCCTCAAGGACATCATTCACATGGGCCACCCAGAGGGCACTGCACCCTCCTGAGGTGGCTGCCCGGGCCTCATCTCACTTCCCTACTCCCAAACTCGAGCATGCTGTTGCACCACCTCTTCCCCATCCAAACTCGGGCTGCTCCTTGTGCAGGTGCTAATGGAGTGTTAAGTCTCAGAATTCATAGCATTAATGGTACTATCAACAATATCAGTACCTTTGATACCAGCAGTTAATACCAATGATCAATCCTAATAATCCATCATGTTAGCTATAGAGCTAAATGGGGCTCATTCCTACATGCAGAAGGAGATTTCATCCCTGGAAGTGGAGGCACCAGGACAGAGAGGTTTTGGGCAACAAAGGGAGAATTTTTGGGCCTGACCCCAGGTAGGGGCATTCCCAGGTGGCAGCAGCTTACCCTGTGAGCAGTCCTTGCCAATCCATCCAGGAAAGCACTGGCAGGAGCCATCGATAGGGCTGCAGGTCCCGTTGTTGGCACAGGAGCAGAGCTGGGCACAGTCCTGCCCAAAGTATCCTCCAGCACACACTGTGGGCACAGGGCAGCCTGGCACCCATCCTCCCACCTGTGTTCCTCTGACCTCCACCCACAGCCTCATCCCTAGAAGTTCCCAAGCCACAGCCATGATCACCCAGGGGTCATGGATCTGGATGGAGACCACGCCCGCCTTGGTACCCTTGTCACCCTTCTCCATTTGCACATAAATGAGTTGCCCCTCTCATGCCTACAGCTGCATTCTTCAGAAGGCTCTATTATGATTGCCTTTAAGAACAGCCTGAGGCCCATGGAGGTAGAATCACCTGACTTAGGTCTCACAGATGAGAAGTGGGAGGCTGAGCACTGTACTTCTGGACTCACAGTCCAGTGCTCCCTGTACTGTTCCACAGCCTTCTGCTTTCTATTACCACTTTCACCAACATCACGGATTCCACAACCACGAGGGTAGAGAATATGTACAGCTGGACAGAGAGGGACAAATGCCATGTGGCAGGCCTGCCTGCGGTTTGACTGTTAAAGGACCAGCCCTGAATGTCTGTCCCTGCCTGCCTCTTTCCTCTGACCTGTTGCTCAAGCCTCTCAGCTCAACATCTTCCTCAAGAAAGCCCTCCTGAGTTCACAAGGCCCTCTCCACCACTGGTATTTCCAATTTGAGTCACTTGGAGGATTTTGGTCACAGACCTTCCTGGAGGAGTCACTGCTTGGTCCCTGGAGGAAGAGCTGGTTTCCTCAGTCAGGCTGCAAAGCTCTTTTAGGACTAGGTTTGAGTATTCATTGAGTATTTAACCTTTTGTTTCCCTGTGCAATTCATCCCCCACCTGCTTTCTACAGCTTGAGCTCTCTAAAGCACAGCTTTCTTCATGGCACTCCTATGTCCTGCTTAGAGAGCCTCAGTGGATTCCCCATCGCCACAAAATAAAGTCGATCCTGGAGAGCAGCACAGAGAATGATGGGAAGGTGTTGATTCTTGAAGATACATGACTTCCCCAGGGCCCAGGTCTCTCACATCTTGGGCTGAAACCCTCTGCTTTATACCACACTGCCTCATATTGGTAGTTCTTCCCCAGCCAGACGGTGGGCCGCTAGTGGCTAGGATCTGAATCTACTCAGTGCCTCTCCTGGACGTGATTGGTAGTTGAGACAAATAATACAGGCAATGGTGGACCAGACTCTCCAGTCCAAAGCCTTGGATTTAGGTCTAAGTTTTCTTTATGTAGTCAACAAACATACACATGACACTTAAATGCACCAGACACTGTTCAATGTGCTTCACAAATACAGGCATACCTCAGAGATGTGGGTTTGGTTCCAGACCACTGCAAGTGAATATTGCAATAAAGCAAGTCACACAAATGTTTTGGTTTCCCAGAGCATACAAAAGTTATGTTTACATTATACTGTAGTCTATTAAGTGTGCAATAGCCTTATGTCTAAAAAACAATGTACATGTCTTGATTAAAAAACACTTTATTGCAAAAAAAAAATGCTGACACAGACACGAAGTGTACACGTGGTGTTGGAAACATGGCACCGACAGGGCTTGCTTAAGGCAGAGTTGCCACAAACCTTTGGTTTTTTTGTTTCGAGACAGAGTCTCGCTACGTTGCCCAGGCCGGAGTGCAGTGGTGCAATCTCGGCTTACTGCAACCTTTTCCTCCCAGGTTCAAGCGATTCTCCTGCCTTAGCCTCCCCAGATAGGCACGCGCCACCATGTCCGGCTAATTTTTGTATTTTTAGTAGAAACAGGGTTTCACCATGTTGGCCAGGCTGGTCTCGAACTCCTGACCTCAAGCCTTGGCCTCCCAAAGTGCTGGGATTACAGATGTGAACCACTGCACCCGGCCAAACTTTTAATTTAAACAAAACAAAACAAAAAACAACAAGCAAAATGCAGTTTCTGTGAAGCACAATAAAACAAGGTATGCCTGTATTTAGTTCACTTACTCTTGGAATACTATTATATAGTCTCACTATTATGCCTTATCATTAACTCTGCTTTGTAGATGAGAAACTGAGGCAGGTTAAGTAACTTGCCCAAGGTCACACAACTAGGAAGTTGTACTGCTTGCTGGCTAAGTGCCTTTGAGCAAACTCTCTGTTTCCTCATCTTTGAGGTGGGAATGGGAACCCTCACCGACTGTCCTAGGACCATGGTTAGTAGCTGTGGCAGGCTGGCTGATTTGGGGCCCCATGCTTCCCCTGGCAGAAACCTTGGCTCCCTTCCAGGAAGTTCCAGTGCCAAGAGGGTGACATGCATCTCACCTGTTTGCAGCTCAGGCTCCAGCTTTTTGAAAAGCAGGCTGCCCAGCCTCTTCTTTCCTACCTCTGGGAGGTGCTTGATTTGGGGAACCCATCCCCAAGTCCTGGCCCTCTGTGGGGAGTAGGGTGCCAGAGCTGCTCCCCCTACCCTACCCCCAAAATGAACTCTGAGCTTCTCTAACAAGAGTCTTATCTTTGAAGTCTTTCTCACATACATGAGGCCAACAAATTTACCCACAGAACTGCTAATATGATCAATCTAATCCATTAATTGGTCGACTTCTTAGCTGAATCAAGAGTAAGGCAAAGAGAGGGGCAGTGGACAGAAGGGGGGCTGGTGAAAAGAAAACATCTGGTTATATTTAATCTGTGTTTAATGATTCTGCGTAAGCAGTGTCTGTAATTTGTAACTTGCTGGAAAGCCAGTCATTAGAAGGTGTCAGTTCAATTTTTTACAAGGTTTAAGACTTAACCAGGGCAGTTGCCATTAATAGCAAACTCCATTAGATCTATATGTGGGAAATACTCATTAGGCCAGTGGGCGATAAATCAGACAACGCAGCATCTGAGAGTTACTCCTCGGGCTGCATGGGTCCTAATTTAGACCTAGACTATCTGTATTGATGGCCTAGTCTCCTGTGTTTAATAAGTGAACCTCGACATGTCAGGTTATGATTAAACCATCCTAGGAGGGCTGCAAGTAAATGAAACTGTCACATATGTTTCTCTGGGGCTCAAACTTCTCATGACCTCAAAGCATCATGTAGTAAACTTTCTATTCATACATATTAACAGCCCACACACTTGCAAAAATAGCCCAGCTCAGCAGTGATTATTCATCAAAAGAATGGGTTCCCCTGGGAGGTAGTGAGCTCTCAGTCAACAGAAGTATTTAAGCAGAGTCCAGATGAGATTTCTTGCATAGATGACCTTGAAGTTGCTTTTAGCCCTAAGTTTAACTTACCCTAAGCTCCCTTCACTCCTTTCAGGTTAGAATGCAAGTTCTGTAACCTTGTGTTCAAACCTGTTCTGAAGGTCCCAGCCTACCTTCTGAGCCCCATTTCCCACCCCCAGCTACCATATCCATCAGCTGTTCCCTGTAGCATGCCCATGTCTCTGTGCTTTGCCCAAGCTGCTTCCTCTACACAGAATGCTTTTCTTCCTTTTCCACCTTTCAAGCTAAGGCCCAGCTGAAGTCCTGCATGGTCCATGGAGCCTTCACCCAAATCCACACTGTCTTGTCCTAAGAAAGCCAGGGATGGCAATAGGCAATGATGTGTGGAGGCAGCTCCTACCTTCTCACTGGTTGTTCAATATTTGGGAATTTTGTGAATGATGTTAAACCATTGGTACCTTAAAATCAGCCGTGGTAGGAATATTTATATTTTAAAAATCTGCAGATGTTACAGATCAGGGTTTTTCCCCCACAAAGAGCTGGTAGGGTGGAACACCAATGCAAATAAGCTTTATATCTCTTTTCAACTCCTGCTGAGTGGTAGCAGTTCTTGGAGTCGGTATTGTGAAGGATTCTGAGGTCAAGTCAGGAAAGCATATGGGGAGGGATTAGGGATGGTGGCCTGAATATGACGGGGAGAAGGGCTTGGAAGTTGCCATCTCCAGCCAGAGCCAGCTCCTCTGCACTCCCACAGCATTCTCTGCCTTTACCCTTGGCACTCGGCACAGACCACATGGTGCCACTTCTGATGCAGATCTCTGTGCTTGTTTCACTTTTCATCCCTTCAGCATGCATGTCGGAATCAGAATTTGTTTCTGCCACTTGCTAGCTGCGAAATCACAGACAAATCATTTCACTTCTGTGAGGCTGTTAACTGTGTTAGGGCCTTTGTCTCATGCCATGTGGGGCTCAATTCTCATAAAGGCAGCCCAAGTCCTGAAGAGGGAAGGAGCTACCTCCATAGCGTATGATGAAAATCCCCAAGCCCTTCCTTCCCTGCCACTTTCCTCCCAGAACCTCTCACCTCCCCACCCAGTACCTTCCCACTGGAGACAGTACCTTGGTTGCAGAGAGCTCCAGAGAATCCTGGGAGGCACTCACAGATGCCGCTGATGTGGTGGCAGGGCCTGCTGCTGTGCACGCAGAGGGGGCATGGCTGGGCGCAGCCGTGGCCATAGAACCCAGGGGGGCAGACTGAGGGTGAAGGGAAGATGGTGGTCAGCAGCCCAAGAGACCCCAGCCAGCCTAGCTACCCTTCCTGTTCCACACTTCTCAGAAACATGGGGAGACCTGCATCCTTCCCTCATCTTGGAGGGCGCATCCCTTTCTGCAGAGAAGAGCTGTGGTGTGGCCCTGTTTCCATTGAGTAGCTGGGCTGGGCCCCAAACCTGGGGACAGAACTGCAGAGGGAGAGACTAGAGGGAAGGAAGAGATGGGGGCTGATTCAAGAGCCCAGCCTCTCTCAGGCCATGGCTAGTTCCAACTGGAGAGGGCTAGGGAGGATTAGCCCTCTGAGCTCTTCGGGGTCAGGGGATTAGCCTTACTTCTCTGGCATAAGGGTCCTCGGAAGCCAGGGGCACACTCGCAGCTCCCATCCTCTGGGGAGCAGGAGCCTCCATTCTCACAGCTGCAGGAGACAGAGCAGTTGGGGCCCCAGCGGCCAGGTGGACACGTGCTGTCACAGCGGATGCCTGTGGGCCAGAGGCAGACTCGGGTCAGTGGTAAGAGAGGTGAGGATGAAGGGAAGAATGGAGGGAAGGGGGACAGTGCAGTATGAAGAGGTGGAGGCAAGCATAGTGCATCCAGGAATGTAGAGGAGAAACCCGGCTGAGGCTTGGCTGGTCATGGAGGATTTTCAGGAAGAAGTGATGTCCAGAGTTCTAAAAGTCGAGGAGGAATTGACCAAGCAAATGAAATTATATGTACAAAGAGCAGGAGGCAGGAGAAAGAATCATGTCTTGAAAGAAATTACAAATAGCAAGTGTGGCTGAACCACAAAGTGCAAAATGGGGTACGGCAAGAGATGAGATTGTGGGAGTAAGAAGGGACCAGATCACAAGGGCCTCTTCTGTATGGCATCCAAGAACAGGACCGGGAGGAACCAACTATGGGCAAGTAAGTGCCAGCTGGGAGTGAGCCATATGCCCACGCATGTTAGCCCAGGAGCCACTGGTGCTGCTGGGTCCCTGCCAACCCACCCAGGGAGGGGCTCAGAGAGTAGGTAGGATCTTTTCAGATTCTTCTGACCAGACTCCTCAGCGCAGTATGTGTATCATTCATGCATACATACAATAGAAACCAGTACTTTGCAAAAATTACATTTACTGTCACTATGTATGTTGGACTCTGATGTTTTCTCTGTACTATGATGTATTCGATTTCAGCTTTTAAAATGCTAGTTGTAACCCAACAATTTGATTTAATGACCCTCAGTTTGACAGAGGCTTATGGGGGAATGGATGGAATTTCTCAATAAGAAAAAGGAACAAAGTCTATAATAGTCTTTTTGGGCTCAGGTAGAGGAAATGTTTGTTAGGTTCCCTACAGCCTGAAGGTGAAGAAGGAATTTTAAAAGGCCTGAGGCTGGATGCCCCAGCTCTGGGGTAGGTTTTCTTCCCAGGCAGAAAGGCTTCCAGTCTGACATGCATTAGGGAAATGGAACATGTGAGCCCAGGAGATTGGCTTGGCTTCAGCAGGTGAATATCAGAGGCTCAGAGAGGGGCAGAATTAGCTGAAAAATCATGTCTGCCTTGTTATAAGGACAGTGATTGTGGGAAAGAGAAAGAAAGGAGAAAGACACTCATGCCCAGTGAACAGAGCCAGCCCTACCAGCAGCAGGAGAGCAGTGGGACCAATTTAGAGGCAGACTGGAATTGTACAAGCCCACCTGGGCTGGCGAGGAGAGGGGAGGGAGGGTGGAACCACCGGAGAGGGGAGAGGGAGGGAGATGCAACAGGCTTTACTCATCCTCCTGTTCCTCAGTCTAGCCCAGCATCTGTGCTCCCTCCCTGTAATGTCTCAGTTTTGCAGCAGGGTAGAGGCTTCAGATGCCACTCTCTGGGAAATGGTTGCGGGTGGGTAGGTGGGGTGTGGGTGGGGGGGGGGGCAAGTGGTTTCCTCCCCAGGGAATGGGATCTGGCAGCCATATTTGCCATATTTTACCCATTGACAGGGGTCTCTCCCAGTGGTGGTTCAGGTGCCCAAGAGGTGAACCCTGGACAGGCATCATAGATTGACTAGAGGGAGCTTGGGAAAGTGGAAACCATAAAACTGTTCAAGGTTTTGGATCCATCTTCAAGTTTCTCCTTTTCCTGGGCATAACAAAAGCTGTGATCTGCCATAAGGCTTTTTTTTTTTTTTTTTTTTTGGAGACAGGGTCTCACTCTATCACCCAGGTGGGAGTGCAGTGGTGTGATCTTGGCTCATGGCAACCTCTGCATCCGGGGTTCAAGCAATTCTGCTTCAGCCTTCCGAGTAGCTGGGATTACAGGTATAAGCCACCACCACAGCTGGCTAACTTTTGTATTTTTAGTAGAGACGGGGTTCCTCCATGTTGGCCAGGCTGGTCTTAAACTCCTGGTCTCAAGTGATCCGCCCGCCTCAGCCTCCCAAAGTGCTGGGATTACAGTCGTGAGCCACTGTGCTGGCCTAGGATTTCTTTTGCCTATGGTTGTTGGAAACCCAGGATTCAGACCACAGGCCTAGGGACAAAGCTGTTCCTTGCACTGAGGTGGAGCTTTGCTGTCCACAGGGCCTCCAATTCCACTGCACACCAGGCACTCTTTGCCAGCTGACCAAGGCACATGTGTCACACGTAGACAGTGCTCTCTCCTAAAACTATAGGTATTACTGTGTTCATAAAACACAGTGTATGTGAAAGCACCACTGAATTCGTGGCAGCTGGTTGCTATTGTGTTTATCCCAGCCAGTGGCTATTAAAAGTATAGCTACTCTCATTGTGGAATCCTTAGTGTTTTCATGTCAAAAGGGGTCCTCATTTATGGAGATTGAGAACCATGAGTGTACCATGTTTATTCTCAGACTGAAGGTGGCTGCAAAGTCCCACTGGGTTCTAGGACTTGGCAGTTATTATATTCTGGGCCTGTTTCTGTGGGAGTGGGGCTGTTTGTGGTTCTTATATGTCCCAAGACCTTCTTGGAGCTTAAGACATGGGATCTAAGTGGAAAGAAGGGTCAAGGATTTCCCCATATGGAGTGCCCAGTTCCAGAAGCAACTTACTGATATGATCAAAGGGGCTGGCCTTGGCCTTTGTGGGAGGCTCCCAGCTGTAGTTTCTGAAGAAGCAGCTTCAGTTACCTTCCTGGGCCCCAGTTTTCGCTACAGTTGGATAGGGATAGTCCCCCTCAGAGGTCCTTTCCTTTCTTACTCTAGGGAACCCCCTTGCTTTATTTTTCAGGACTCCTCCCCACCCCCACATCTAAATTGGTGGGTAAACCTAGGCTAGGAATCCATACATGTTGATCTCTAGTTCATGCAGTGAAGCCAGTAGCCACTCAGCAGCCCATATCCTTCAGGGTCCGTTTAGGGCCCTCCTTCTCCAGGAAGCCTTCTTGGATGTCTGCCCAGGGAGACAAGCATCTCTTTGATAATCAGCAGCATACAGCTTTGTCTCTACCTGTTACTTGAAAGCTTCATACACAAGACCTGTCTCCCCTGCCAGCAATTTGAAGACAGGTACCATGGCTTACTGCCACTTCTGACTTTGCTTACCTAGGTGCTCCTTATGGACAGGATGCCATCTTGGTCATTTTTGCATCTTTGGTGCCCAACAGTGTTTGGCACACAGTAGGTACTCAGAAACTGTTGCTTTTTACCATTTACTGCTGAGTCTGGCATGGTGCTGGGCACAAGGTAGCTGCCAATATAAAGGCTTGGTAATTGCTTGAGTCAATAAATGCTAGTTGATTGAATAAATGGTTCCCCCTTAAGATACAATCCTGAGTCTTTCATCCTATTGGCCCTAATGTCCTGAGACCCCAGACAACTCCTTTTCCTTATCTGTGGCATGAGAAGGTTGGTGGAGATAATCTTTAAAGCCTCCCCCACTTTAAGGGGAAAAATTATGAATGGTTATAGGCCAACTTCCAGTTTATTTCAGTAAACATTTAATAAGCACATATTATGTGCAGGGCAAGATGAATAAGACAAAATGCCAACTGTCAGTAAGCCTATGGCTTATGAGGGTTAAGGGGAGACACATGCACAGCTCAGGGCAGCCCCAAACCTGTGCCAAGCCAAGGAATGAGCGGTGTGCCAGGGACTGGGAAGTTAGGCACAGATTTTTCTTGAGGCAGAGGTGAGTGGGGAGGGCTCAGTGGGAGGCCCATCTCTGTCTCTCATTGGCCCCCTTCTGCATGACAAACCTCAGGACATCAATCACTTCTTTGAAAAGACTTCAGGACCACATTTGGGGAAATTAGGTTTAGAACAGCAGAGGCCTTGCTGAAAGGTGGTTCACCAAAGACAGAATTTTTAAGCACTAGATGTCATTAAAATCTTAATTGGCTCACTCAAAATTAAGGCAATGAAAAATTAAAGTTGATTTCCACTTGGCTCCTGCTGAGATTCTAGGGTGCCAGTGACCAGGGTTGAGCCTTATTCTTTACTGACGGGCAGGAGCCAGCAGGGCAGGGGAAGCCAGGCTGGAGATACTGCAGAGGAAGCAATGTCCCTGGCTCTTGGCTGCTTAGAAACTTTCTGGTTATGAACACAGGCTGTGCAGCAACCTGGTGTTAATTATTTATCTGAGAACCTATACTGCCAGAAATGACTATATTTCTTTCTCTTTGCTGCTCATCACCTTGGGACTGGCTAGTAGGTTCACTTCTGAAATGCTTATTAAGCACTTCCTGTATTCATGGCCTGCTTTTACTGAGCACTTACTATGTGCCAGGCACTGTTAGCACTTTATAGGTAGTAACTCATTTAAGCTTCAAAACAACCCTGTAGTTGCAAGGATAATTATCTGTATTTTATGGATGGAGAGTTCAGGCCCTGAGAGGTTAAATGACTTGCCCAAGGTCATAAACCCCAGCAGTCTTGCTCCAGAGCTGGGTTCTTAACTACCGTGTTATCCATATCTCAGTGTGTGGCAGGCAGTGGATACAATGGTGAATAAGGCAGATGCCTCCATATAGCTGATGGCCACATTAGGGAGGCAGATAATAAACAGTTACCACAGTTGTCATTGAACTCTGATTTAAGTACCACAATAGGAAAAGTGTAGGGTAGAAGAATTAATAAAGGGAGTGCTTTTGTCTTGGTCAGGTTGGGGTGGGTATTGTAGCAGGGGAAGTGCCTTCCCAGAGGAAGAAAGCTTTACATTGAAATCTGGTAGACAAGGAGTTATCAGGTGAAAAGGGGAAGGAATGATCCAGGCAGAGGGAATGGCATGTGCAAAGGCCTGGAGTCAGGAAGGTGGTTGGCTTCCTGAAGAAGTAGACTGCAGCCCTGGTGGCTGGAATGTAGTGAGCCACAAAGTGAACAGAGTGAGGTGGAGTCAGGCAGAGCCAGATCCCGTGGGCCCTGGGCCATGGTAAGGATTTAAAATTTTATGTAAGAGTCGTGGGAAGCCACTGAGGCATTCTGAACAGGGACTGAAATGGCAGATCTGGGTTTGAAAAGTTGACTCTGGCCACCAGGTGCAGAATGAATGCAGCTGGGCAAGAGCGGAGGCCAAGGCAGTGCCAGATGCGGGATGGTACCCAGCAGACCGTGTGGTGGCAGTGGGATGGAGAGAAGTAGATGGATTCACCTTGTATTTAGGAGGCAGGCTGACAGGATAGATATAAGGACCAGGATTCTGAGACTGGACTAAGGAGAAAGGCCCTTGTCCCCTTCTCCATCATATTCTCTAGATTGAGCACTTACACCAACCATATGTCAGCTTTTGACCTACTGGAGTGACTCCAGTGCCTTGGACAGAGCTTATACCTAATAGATGTTCAATAAATATTTACTTGAATTAAATGGAATGGAGAACTGGAACCCAGAGCAGATAAAGGGAAAGATGCATACTCAGGGATCAAGAAGAGAGGTATTGAAGAAGAAAACGGTCAAGAGAAGTAGGATACCAAGAACCCAGTTTCACAGTACCTGGGTGGTGGCACAGCAAGGGAAGGTTACCTGTCCATCCGGCCAGGCAGCAGCAGTGGCCTGTGACGGGGTCACATCCATCAGCATGGCTGCAGTCACAGTGTTCACTGCAGTTCAGCCCAAATGTGCCATCCTGTGGAGAAGACAGGGAGAGAAAAATGATCAGACCCAAACCTCCAGAGGTTTGTGTACTTCTATGGATCTTTTCTTTAATTTTTACTTTTGGAGGGTCCAGTGAGATCTACTGGATCTTGATGACAAAACTGAGCCAGAACCCCACAGAGATGCAGGGAGACTGGGGCTGGGGCACAATGGGGACACGTTTTGTAAGTGGGGATAACACAGCCATGAAGACACTCTGAAGAATTATTTGGCTGCATTAACAGGAGTATGAGGTTGAGAAGGAGGTGATACTCCTGCTCTACTTCTCAGTGGTCAAGCTCAAAGGCCTGTAATGATCATTAACTAAAACTGTAAATGAAAGTGCACTTTGCAGATTGTAACACATTGATCATCTGTGAGGAATGACTATGATTTATTCTTTGTTGCCGGGGAAGAAGGTAGTCACCAATTCTTATATGCTCATTAGGTATCAAGAGCCTCATATACTTAATTTTTCTTAATCCTCACAGCAATTCCATGATATGATTCCATTGTATTCCCACTTTAAAGATGAGAAACAAGGTTAGAGAGGTGAAGTAACATGCTCAAGGTAACAAAGGATGTGACAAAGCCAAGATTTGAACCCAGGATTGCAGGACTCCAAATTGCTCATTAAGGACTGCATTGCTCATCCAGCAATATCATATCAGTGGGTTTAACTTATTTGTATCTCAGACCTATAAGATGAAGTGATTAAGTCTGGGTGGTTATTATTGAACAGTGCTTGCTTTAGTCACCACACACTCTGATCATAAAAGTACAGACTGTTGGAACCAGAAGGAAGCTTAAACATTATCTACCAACGAATGGCAACTCTCATGGATTAGTAAGGGCTGTCTTGTAGCACTGGGTTGTGAAGGAATCTGAAGCTGCATTTGAGCTCAAGTGCCAGAGTCAATAATGTTTACCAAGAGCAGCACGGGAAAAGTGATGCCATGTCACCACATCTGCCAAGTATTTGCCATTTTATAGACGAGGGGGATGAGGGCCAAAGTAGTAAAATAGCCACAGAGAGGTTAGGACTAGGACTGTGACCTAAATCCAAGTGTCCCATCACCTAGCTTAGTGCTGTTCTCTGTGCACTCTTGTGGACGAACTAACACCAGGGAAAGGGCGTGAGGGGATGCGGAGCCCAACCTGTCCCTCCCCACCCTGGCACTCACCGGGCAAGGCAGCTCACAGGTGTCTCCCAGCCAGCCAGGAGTGCAGGAGCAGGAGCCGTCTATGGGGCTGCAGGCTGCCCCATTGGCACAGGTGCAGCTCTCGTTGCAGTTCAGGCCCCACGTCCCACTGGGACATGGCAGGGTGCAGTCCAGGCCCTGCCACCCTGAGGGGAGGGAAAGGGACTGTCACTTCTCCATCCAGGCCCAGTGTGTCTTTTTTGCCCACTCCCCCCAGCTCTGCACACAGCATTCCACCCAAACCACTGCTTTCCTGAGGGCTGGGTTAGAACACACATTCCACACAGAGTTCAGAAATACAACAGAGCTGTTAGGAGAGCTGGGGCTAGAACCCAGGTCTCCTGCCTCCGGGTGCTCATTGTTTGTGCTGCAGGCAGATGATCCTACCTGGAACAGGCACCAGCTCAGGTGGGGAGTGCTGTTTCTGCCCAGGGTGGAGTCTGGCAGCTTATCTCAGGACCCTCTGTTTGAGGGACGTCTGATTCTCCATTCTTAGGCTGGTCACTGGCCTCTTTGCCTACCACACCATTTCTCCCCTTCCCTGTTCATGGTGGGGGCTGACCCCTGCAGGCTGCACATCCCAGGCTCCCCCTCAGCTGGCTCCCAGCCAGGCTGCCTGCAGGAGACCGGCCCACAGACTGGAGAGCGGGAGCAGGAGAGACAGGTGTGTCCTCTCCCTCTTTCTCTGCCTGGGGCCTCAGGTGGTGGCGCAGCCCCTCTCTCCACGTCCCACCTCTTACCAGGTGGCCCTCACTCCCAGGCTCTGGGAACGCTTTCTTTTGTCCCTCCAACCCTAAGAGTGATAGCAGCTTCTCCCACAGGTGTTAACGTGTCTCGGTTGCACACTTTCCCTGTGTGCTGTTTAGCTCTTCAAACAACATTGCAATGAATCCCCTCATTACATTCCTGCTATTGAAATTCCTGGCATGGGTTTTCTTGCCTGGAACCCAACCAATATAGGCTCCCTGACCTTGCATGTGGGGGCGGGGGTTGGGGCAGCCCCACCTGAGACCCCTCAGCTGGCAGCACCACCTGGGGAATGTGCTCATATGTCAGGGATGGGCTTGGGAGAGAGGGCACATTACCTTCCTTGCAGGTACAGGAGCCATCTACTGGGGAGCAGGTGCCACCATTGTTACAGCTACAGATGGACGAGCAGTTGGGGCCATAGGTCCCTGCTGCACAGGAAACGGCACAGACCTCTCCCTGGAAAGGGAGGGGGTGAATTTTGGATCAAAGGTTGCTCCATGTTGGATGGCTGTGGTAGGCAGGATAATGACCCCTGCTGCCCCCAACATGTCCATGTCCTAATCCCTGGGATCTGTGAATATGTTACCTTACATGGCAAAAAGGGACTTTGCAGGTGCGATTACGGACCTGGAGATGGAGAGAATGTCAGGCGTTCAGGGGTTATCCAGGTGGGCTCAATATAATCATGAGTCCTTAAGAGTAAAAGATGACCAAAGAAGGTAGGTCAGAGAGATACACCATGAGGAGCCCTCCACCCGCTTGTGCTGACTTTGAAGATGGAGGAAGGGGCCACGAGCTGAGGAATGCAGTGGCCTCTAGAATCTGGGATCAACAGCTCTTTTACAGCTACCAAGAAAATGAGGGCCTCAGTCCTGCAATCAGAGGAACTGAATTCTGTCCACACTGTGAGCGAGCAGGAAATAGACCCTCTCCTAAAGCTTCCAGGAAGGAACATGGCCTGCTGGCACCTTGGCTTCAGCCTCGTGAAACCCATGCCAGACTTCTGACCTTCAGGACTGTCAGATAATAAATTTGTGCTGTTTGAAGCCACTAAATTGTGATTTTTTACAGCAGCAATGGAAAACTAATATAATCCTTCTCAGTTATTGGAGGGGTCAGGCCTCCAGACCACAATACCAGGGACCTTGACTCCAAAGTCTGTATTAGGTCGAAGAAGCACCAAGTCTAACCCATTGTCTCCCAATCTTATTTCTCACCCATAACCCCATGACACGAGTAGTAATATCCTATCCGCATTTGCCTGAGCCTCAGAGAAGTTAAATGTAAATGATAGCTAATGCATATTGAGTCCTTTCTCAATATCATGTGCCATACACACTATCTCATTTAATTGTCACAGCACTCATAGGAGATAGAAGCTACTGCCTCAGCATTATTCTCACCTAACAGATAACTGCATGGAGAAGTTACTTAACTCTGCCAAGGTCACAGAACTAAACCCAGTTGCTCCTTGCTGGAACCCAGGCTGGCTGCTTAACCATTACATTACCGGGGATCCTAAACTGGCTACCCTGGAAAACATTCTGAGATAGAGATTAGTGAGCTCTTGAGAATAATCCCGATGAGAATAATCCCGATAAGGGATAAGGGAGGCGGTCGAGGCTGAGGAAAAGTTGAACCAAGGCACAGTTACAGTAACTTCTGCTGATCTGGCAGGAAGCTCTGAAGCTGAGATGACCCCTGGAGTTGTCCCACATGGGGGTAAAGGGAGGGAGATCCTTTATGCCTCCATCAATCACTGGCCATCCACTGGGATGGGGGAAGGGGCCATGACTCCTCAGGTGAGTTGGCTAACTTGGAGGGCGATGTCTATAGAGGGCCTCACCTGCGAGCCACTAAATTTCTGGCAGCTGGGGAAGAATGAGTGCTTCTGTCCTGAGGGGTGAATCTGGGCGTCCACTCTACCGGTAAGTGGGTATGCTGTTAGCTCCACTAAACAATTTGGACGAGGGGCAAGTTACAGGGTAGGAGACCAGGAATGGAGGCTTCAGAGGCCTTGAGGGGTGGGAGCATTTAATCAGAGAAGAGTGGGGTAAAGGGGATCCAGGTAGGAAGAGGGTTGTGGACAAGAGTGCAGAGGAGTATGAGCTGGGAATGTGCTAGGGGTGGCTGAAGGGAGGAGTGAAGGAGATAGGTAAAAGTGGGGCTGGGAGTCTAGAATGCCAGGGGAGGGAGTTCAGGCTTTCTTCCCTGAGTCCCCCAGGACATGCTTCCCCACTTAGGAACCTACTGTGGGGCTGTCTATGCCGGAGCAAGTGGTCACTGGATGTTGAATTCCCACCTCCAGCCCCTAGGGAGTGTCTCCAGCCAGCGTCTCAGGCCTTACACCTAAGCTTTCCGTGGGAATCCTGATAATAAATTTGTCTGGGCTGGGAGACCAGAGCTTGTCTGGGCCCCACTAGCTGTGTGACACCAGATATGTACTGCCCGTCTCTGAGTCTCAGTTCCCGCATCTCTGAAATGACAGGCTTGGCATAAAGGAGCTCCCTTCTCAACTCTAAGGGTCCAGGCATCTGGCTTCACTCCTATGTGGGCCACAGAGAGAACCGAGGGTGTGGGTCTTTGCCACGGAGAGGCTTCTCTCCAGCCCTTTTCTGCTTCTGTCTCGCCCTTGGGGGCAGGGAGTGTGGAGTCCTTCCCCGAAGGCCCCACGGTTCCTGCTCTTTCCCCCACCAGTCCCCAGCAGGCCTGACCAGTTGGAGTCTGTCAGCTTTCCCATTACCCAGAAAACTCCAATTTCTCCAAGATGATAAATAGCACATAAGAATCTGACCTCTGAGGGCCTTGGACTGGGTGCAGACTGCAGGCACAGCGTATGCCTTTCTCTTCATGAATCTGCTATCAGAAGGGGTTTCTCTCCCAGTGTCCTCATTAGTGTCCCAAACCCTGATCTCCCTGCAAGGCCTCAGGTTGCCTGTGAGCCCTGTTGCAGGTCTGTTGATGGGGCTCAGAGAGGCCTCCTGCCCTGGCCGTGATCCATGGGACAGGATGCAAGAAGCCAAGCTCGACACATCTGCTCCCCACAATGCCGTGTCAGTTTCCTCCCAGAGAAGCCTATGCCTGGTCTTTGCGACAGTCCTGGGAGGCCACTGGGCTGAGATGGCTTTCTGCTTCCCAGAGAAGAAAAGGGAGACTCAGAGAGGGGCAGTGGCTTATCCAGGACCCCTGGTGTGTTAGTGCCAAGGTTAAGGAGAAAGAACCAGATCTTCCATCCTGAAAGGCAGCAGGGGTGAGGGATCAGAGGGTGGACTCTGGTACCATCCTGCTTCCACAGCTTATTCACCATGTGACCATAGGCAATTTACGACATCCCCTGAGCCTCAGTTCCCACATCTGTTAAATGGGAATTAAAATGTCCTCTTCTCATAGGATTAAGAGGATTAAATTAGTTATTGTTTGTGTAGCAGTTAGAATAGTGCCTGATGGGTAGAAAGCACTATACAAGCTATTAGTGCAAAGATATAGCATCTCTTAGGGAAAGAATACCTTGTTTACCTTTTTATCACCTTCTCTGGGCTGGCTCCCTGTTCCCCCTCACAGCTGACACAGGCTGGAACTTTTATCACCACACACTACAGGTATGGTCTTGGAGGACGGAATGACCACTCCCTGAGGGCCACTGTTCCAAACACTTTGCATTTGTCAGTTCCTCTGATATTGTGAAATATAAGGTCTTCATCCAGTTTCCTGCCAAGCAACTCCTGGAATCCTTAGAATCTCCAAAGTGAGTTTTTGTTTGTTTGTTTGTTTGTTTGTTTTTGAGTCGGAGTTTCGCTCTTGTTGCCCAGGCTGGAGTGCAGTGGCACGATCTTGGCTCACTGCAACCTCCACCTCCCGGGTTCAAGCGATTCTCCTGCCTCAGCCTCCTGGTAGCTGGGATTACAGGCATGTGCCACCACACCCAGATAATTTTTGTATTTTTAGTAGAGATGGGGTTTCTCCATGTTGGTCAGGCTGGTCTCGAACTCCCGACCTCAGGTGATCCACCCACCTCGGCCTCCCAAAGTGCTGGGATTACAGGTGTGAGCCACTGCACCTGGCCAAAAGTGAGGTCGTTTTGTATGCTAATGACTGATGGCTGCTTCAGGATGGGGGCTGGTCACCAGAAAGACCAAGGCAGGATTAGAAAGTTGGGACTTACAGCCCCACCCGCTGAAGGGGGAAGGTATAAGGAAGAGGGGCTGAAGTTTAAGTTGATCACCAAAGGCCAGCAATGTAATCAATGATTCCCATGTAACGAAGTCTCCATAAAAACCCCAAAGGACAGGGTTTGGAAAGCTTCTGGAGATAGCTGAACATATGGAGGTTCCGGGAAGATTGTGCACCTGGAGAGGGCATGGAAGCTCCATACCCCTTCCCACATGTCTTGCACTCTGCATCTTTTCATCCATATCCTTTGTAATATCCTTTATAATAAACTGGTAAATGTGTTTCCCTGAATTCTGTGAACCTCTCTAGCAAGTTAATTGAACCCAGGGAGGGAGTTGCAGGAACCCCGATTTATAGCCCATCAATTAGAAGCACAGCCAAGGCTGGGCGTGATGGCTCAGGCCTGTAATCCCAGCGCTTTGGGAGGTTGAGGCAGGCGGATCACGATGTCAGGAGATTGAGACCATCCTGGCCAACATGGTGAAACCCTGTCTCTACTAAAATACAAAAAAATTAGCTGGGCGTGGTGGTGCACACCTGTAGTCCCAGCTACTTGGGAGGCTGAGGCAGGGGAATCGCTTGAACCCGGGAGGTGGAGATTGCAGTGAGCCGAGGTCACACCACTGCACTCCAGCCTGGGTGACAGAGCGAGACTCCGTCTCAAGAAAAAAAAAAAAAAAAAAAAAAAAAAAAAAAAAAAAAAAAGGCAAAACAGCCTGGAGCTTTTGACTGGCATCTGAAGGCAGGAGGGTGAGCAGTCTTGGGGCCTGAGCCCTCCACCTGTGGGATCTGACGCTATCTCCAGATAGATAGTGTCAGAATTGAATTGGAGGGCACCCAGCTGATGTCTGCTGCAGAATTGATTGATTGCTTGCTGCTGGGGAGAAATCCCCACACATCTGATCACAGAAGTCTTCTGTGTTGATTGTTGTTGAGTGGGAGAAGAGAAGAAACTCTTTGTGTTTTTTTTCCAGTCAGCTCCTAATAGCAAAAAGTCCAAATGGGGAATCAGAGAGTTTCTAAAGTGCACAGCTCTGCCCTGAAGGAGTGTAACCTTGGCACAGCTAACTTTGAGCACTCTGCTCTTCCACCTCACTGTCCCGGCCCCCTGGCCTCAGTACCAATGCATACCAGGTTCTAACACCTCAACAAGCACAAGTATTACACTAACTGTTAAAGTTTTTTGTCAAATTCCCTAACTTCTAGCCTCTGATCTGAGGGTGAGGCCTGGTGTATAATTGACTGGCCAGTCTCCGGTGATTGATGTTCATAGCAAGCCAATCACGAGCCTATCTCAGATTAGACTATCAGCTCTGCCCACCCCGGCATATCCCCTGGCCCAAGGTGTAGTGATACCTTTTTGATTTGGGGGACCACTAACAAACAAGCCTTAATCATGATGGTCTGTGTGGGACCCAAGTCTACATGGGTTGGCATTGATGTCCACACGTGCTCAGGCAGTCAGTGTATACATCTGTGTGTTTCTGTGGGTGTTTGCCTTGGGTATGTCTGTGTACATTTTCTCCTGGGTGTCTTCCCTGACACTCCTCTCCAGCCCACCAGCCCTGCCCTGGTGGGAATTGGGTGCATACATAGCAACCTTCATCCTAGCACTGGATGGTTGTGGTTGGCTCAGTGCCTTCCTCCACCTTAGGCCTGTGAGCTCCGTGGGGATGGATCTGATTGCATTCATGTCTAGATTCTCAGAGCTTGGGCCCCTGCTGGTACATAATGGATCCTTGATAAATGTTTAATTGAAATGAGATGTTTGTGTGTACATGCTGGCTTCTACTGTGGACAGGAGCAGAAGGACTTGGCACTTTCCATATGCTTTCTCTTGTATGCCAGGCAATTCAGCAAATGTTTGCTGAGTAAGGGCCAACTCTGAGCTAGCCATGTTGCAGGCTCCAAGGGCACAGAAGAGACTGGGACCCAGTCTCTGGCCTTGGGCAACTCCCAGGCAGTACCCACACAGGTATACTCATGCCTACATCCAGGTATGTTTCTTTGTCCACTTATTTACTCTCTGCCTCTCCCAGAGAGACTAGAAGCTTCATGAGAAGAGGGGCCTTACCTGTCTGGGTTCCCCAGTACCTGGCACAGAGTATGGGAATTTTGTAAATAATGTGTGAGTGAGGGGCCCTGGTAGGCTGGGTTCTGTGGTTCTCATCACACACAGGCAACAGAATATTGTCTAGTCTAAGGATGGGCCCCATGCTAACACACTTGACTCTGAGCCTCCATGGGGCTCTTGTGAGAAAGGAAAGCCAGGAGATCCTGGTCTATGCTTCCATGCCTCACCCCATCACCCCCTGCCCAACTCTGCCTACCAGAGAGTGAGAAGCACAGGCAAAAATTACCCAGTTGGCCTCTAGAGTATCCACTCTGGGAGACAAGACCTTCTGAGCTGAACAGACATTAGAGATGATCAAATCCACTATGAGCCAAAGTGGGCCCGCAAGGCAGAGCTGGGACTTGCAGGCCACTGCTCCCAGGGAACTGGCTGCAAGGGTTGTGCTGTCTACACCTGCCTCCTCCTGCCTAGAGCCTGACCCAAACCAGCCCTCAGTTCATGTCAGTTGATCTTGTCACACACTGGAGAAAAGGCCAGGATGAGAGCCAGGGTTGTGAGCTGGGGAGTTTGCATTTGGCATGTCATGTGCTTTGCTTAGCCTAGCAACTCTGCCTACTCCCTCAGCCAGGCCTGTCCCCTAAGGTCCTTTATTGAGGTTGTTCCCCTAAAATCACCATCCGGAATTCCTGCTAGAAGTAGTCTATCTTCTCTTCCGATAGATTCATGTTAATGCAAGATAATGTACAGGCCTTGGTTTCTTTATCAATCATCTGAGGCTATTGAAACCAGTCTCCCCAACTTCTCACCACTAAGGACCCTTGTTAGTATTCTCCGCCTACAAAGCCCTCTCCATTTGAAAGACACTGCAGTCACTCTGGGCTGGTGTCCAAGGCCAGTCATATATTGGACAAATACAATTTGGCCAGTGGCCACATGCCATGTGACTCTAGTGGCAGCCTCTTGTCCACCAGTCATGATCTAGATATTCCTATGATGTCACCTATGACCAATCAGAGCTTCTGATCAGCACACACTAACCAGGGATATCACATAGAGTTAATTTAATTCTAATTAAAAGCAAAAGAAAAACCTTGGTGTTTCAGTTAACTTCATCACAGGTAATACAGGATTTCCTGTAGGTTTTGTGAAATGTACCAAACTGCTCTTGGCAACCTGCTGCAGCCTTTGCAAGTGTCCAGCTGGGAACCACTGGCTATGTGATCTCTAAGGGCCCTTTAGCTCTGACTCTGAGCATCTTCTTGCCTGGACTGGGGGTCTTAACCCAAAGGTGTGAGGAATGGTAGGAAGGAGGGCCAAAGACGGGGAGCCCTCTTGGGCTTCTAAGAATCCCACCAGCTGTGGTCCACCTGCTCTGCTAATGCATGGCCTCGGCCTGGTCACACACCTGTCCTAATGGTGGGTAGATAGCCCATGATGCTAGAGCTGAAAGGGACACTGGGAATCACCTGGTCCAGCTGCCTTGTTTTATAGGTGAGTAAACTGAGGCCAAAAAAGGGAAAGTGACTTGCCCAAGATCACACAGCCAATGCAAGGTGAACATTCATTTGGAACTCAGATCTCCTAGCTCCCATTTGGGTCACAGGATGCTAACAGCCTAAATGTGGGAATTCTGGGTTGGCCTGTGCCATCCCTGTTGATATGGAAAGTGCACTTGCCACCTAAGCACAGAGCAAGACATCCAGAGGACATGGCCCTGATCTTGAGGGAGTACCACCCACCAAGGCCTAGATGCTCTGACCCTTTCTTAGCACCTGGAAGTTGATGCTTGGGTGTCTTTCTATCTTCATCTATCCCCATCTCCCCAGTCCACACCACCTACAGGGCAGGTCCCCATGCTTCTGCTGGGGATGCCTGCCAGTCCTGTTCAGCATCTTTTTTCTGTGAATGCAGAATGAATGTGAACCCTTCCTCCCATCCAAAGGCCTGTTAATTATAGATGCAGTACTGGCTATTAACATCTTGAGCTTGATTTGAAAGCACTACTAACAAACCCTCGACGCTGGTCCCACTAAAGATGCAAATCGCTCCTCTACCTTCCACCTGCCTCCATGCATAACATGATGGCACAGGCCCAGACCCCGGTGGGTAATGAGTTGTATGTTCTATTAAATTTGTTTCAAATATTGTTTATTGAATTTTCTCCCCTGCAATATGCTGCTTTGTAGTTTGGCCCTGTTTGGGAAAATTAATCAACAGCTGAGCTTCTCATGTTGATCATCTGTTTTCCTTGCAATGGACAGGAGGTTAATGAGTATTTTTTGGACTAATTGGAGGAGGATGGAAAGTGGTTGACCCTCCCTCACACAAAAGAGGGAGGCAATTGTGTGAGTCTGTCTTCTAGTCCCCTTAAATATGCTCTGTGGGTAGGAGGCAGTGTAAATGGAGTGGAACTGAGTTCTCTAGATACAGGCCAAGGTGGCATGAGCCTGCCAGCCTGTGGGAGCTCAGCAGAGATCACTCTGGGACCAGCAACCAAGGAAGTTGGCCTGGCTCAGCTATCCTTTTGTTGGAGGAGTAGGTGGGGTAGGATGACTCAAGGCAAGAATGGGTTCTGGACCTGGGGACAGAGTACATAGGTTCAAGTGAGGCAAAAGCACTAGCCCAAGGTGACTTCCTCATTCATTCATTCAATCTGTGTTTCTTGAGCATCTATGACAAGCAAGGCACTGTGATAGGCCCTGGGTCTTGCTAACCATTACACTAGACTAGATGAGACCTAAGGTCCCTTTCAGCTCCCAACTTTTTTTTTTTTTTTTTTTGGAGACAGAGTCTCGCTCTGTCGCCCAGGCTGGAGTGCAATGTTGCAATCTCAGCTCACGGTAACCTCCACCTCCCGGGTTCAAGCGATTCTCCTGCCTCAGCCTCCTGAGTAGCTGGCATTACAGGCGCATGCCACCACACCTGGCTAATTTTTGTATTTTTAGTAGAGACGGGGTTTCACCATGTTAGTCAGGCTGGTCTCGAACTCTTGACCTCGTGATCCACCTGCCTCAGCCTCTCAAAGTGCTGGGATTACAGGCGTGAGCCACCGTGCCCAGCCCTCTTTAACTCTCCCCCAGCCCTCCCACTTCCAGGGCAAGTTTCCCTGTTACTGCTCCTTTGTGTCACTTACCACAGTTGTAATGAAATAATCATTTAAAAAATTCAGCTCTCATTTACTTGATTGCAAGTTCCATGAGGATAAGGATTGAGTCATTTGTGTTCAGTACACATGGGTTGAATTATTCAGACATTCAGGAAATGTTTCTTAAGTGCCAGTATGTGTCAGACACTGTGCGAGGTCAGGGGATACACAGGGAGTGGAATAGAGCTTGTCAGTAATGTCTAGTGGCTAGACGGGGTGGGGCATAAAATGAGGCTGTGGCATGAAAGGGGCACAGGCTAGTCCCTCCCTACTTCCATGGGTTCTGCAGGCGGCCTGTAGTGGCTCTGGTTGCTTCTGTTCATCACCCCAGCCATTCCTGGAGTTCCGGAGCTACTAATGGGGACTGCTTTTGGTGTCCAATGCCGCATCCATGCCAGCAGCACACAAGAGTTGCATGCTTTACTGTTTACAAAGCCCCTTGCCAAGCAAGTGCCTGCTCCTTGTCAAGCAGAATGCCAGCCCTGGGCTGCTGCACTCTCCTGCCCACCCTTGTCAGTCACACCCCACTCCCAACTCTAAGCGCTAGGACAGTGGGACTCCCAAGTGGGGAGCCTTATTTGTAATTTCCTAGGGAGAAAGAGTGACACGTGGCCCACAAGGCAAACAGAATAGCTTGTCCAAATGCCAGCCACAGCAGCCTCTCCAACGCAGAGCAAACCTCGCTGGACCTAATTGGTGCGTCACTGATAAAGCAGCAACTGACAGCAGGTGCATGTTGGGGAAAAGAAAGTCTGCATAAGGTATGAGGAACAGAGAGCCACAGGGATGAGAAAGAGAGAGACTTGGAGGCCACTTGTCATATCCATCCCTGACCCTGCCTTCCTATGCTGAGGGAGAAATGTCCACAGCCTGTGGGGCTGAGTCATTCTGTCTGGCTCCCATGCAGGTGGGAGGAGGAGAAAGGTTAGGACTGGAAGCCCCATGTAGTATTCACTCTCACTTATGTCTATCAAAAATGAATAGGCTGCCAGTGATCTGAGGTTACTCTGTGCAGTTGTGTAGGGTGTGCACTGCACAAATCTAGAGGTTTTATTCAAATGACAGTCATTATAGATTTGTGTATATATTACATCAGTTTTCTGGCAGATGTCAGTAGAATGTCTTGAGAAAGGGGTAACTTATTCTAATTTGCACAAATATGTGATATGGCTCTGACATCTCAAGGGGCCTCTTTGGAGGAGCACAGACACCTTCCAACAGTTCCCAAACAGACACCAAAACATTTCAGAGAGATCTGGCTGGGTGCAGTGACTCATGCCTGTAATCCCAGCACTTTGGGAGGCTGAGGCAGGTGAACTGCTTGAGGTCAGGAGTTTGAGACCAGACTGGCTAACGTGGTGAAAACCTGTTTCTACTAAAAATACAAAAATTAGTTGGGCGTCGTGGCAGGCATCTGTAATCCCAGCTACTTGGGAGGCTGAGGCACAAGAATAGCCTAAACTTGGGAGGCTGAGGCACGAGAACAGCTTAAACCCGGGAGGCGGAGATTGCAGTGAACCAAAATTGCTCCACTGCACTCCAGCTTGGGTGACAAAGTGAGACTCCATCTCAAAAAAAAAAAATTCAGACCCAAGAGGCGGTCCATGTGGCCAAGAAAAGGTGTTTTAGATCAAGTTGAGGCCGTGCCACTTACTGGCTGAGTCATCCAGGGTGCTCCTAGGGACTCAGTTGCAGTTCTTGTGGAGCAGTTTCTTTTCTCCTCTGTATTGATGCTCTTGTGCTACCTGTAGCCCCTTCTCCTTTTCTAACCATTCTCTTTCCTGAGATTCTGTACCGAGTTTAGAGAAGGCATTACTGGCTAATATGGACTTATTGAGCAAACTCATGAGAGGTATTTGTACTTTACTAGGAGACCCAAAATCTAAAATCTCTGGAGATGTTTGCACAGTATATGCATGATGGCCAGCCCCAGGAGGGAGTGGGGAGCAGGACCCTGGTCCTAACCAATGACCACACCCCTTCACCCCTCCAGACAGGGCTGGCCCTGTGGCTTAGGGCAGACCCACACATCCCTAGTGCTGATGACAGGAGAAAGGAAACTCCATATTTTTCACGCCCCTGCCCCTTGGTGACAGGCTTGTGCCAGGCACTTTTTTTTTCCCTCTTATCTCCTTTTGTTCTATAACAGCCCTGCAGGGAGAGAATTCCCTTCCTAGAGAGAGAACTATCCTAGAGAGGGTTTGCAAACCAAGGCCGGAGAGGTCGATTTGCCCCAGGTCACAGCATGGGAAAGGGAAGGGGCAACTGATTCCAAAGCCCAAGTTCTCTCCCCTAGACCAGGCTGCCTTGACTGCACACAGGTTGGAAATGATGGGGACTCAAATGTCCTGAGCCCATGCAACGTGCCAGGCTTGCTACCAGGTGCCTGTGATGTGTAATTTCATAATCTCCTGTCCTACCCATTTGTTGTTAAATATGTGTTGACAATGAAGGCAGAAATGGCTTATGGGGGCTTATGGAGGGAACTCTTAGGGGGCATTTGTATCTTATGTTGTTAGGAAGCTCCTGAAGTACAAAAGGTTTCAAGACTTTAGGGTATAAAGCTAAGATGGCGGAATAACAGGCAGTGGGAGTGAGTTAGTATTTAATAATGTATATCCTTTGAATGAGAGAAAGCTGGTTTGATGATGATGATGATGATGACTATGGTGGTGGTGGTGGCGGTGCTGTGTTGCTGCTGCTGACCTCAGATGCTATCAGCATCCCACATCCAGGCAGGTCTCTGCCCTTATTTAGAAGGAAGGAGCTTCCTGCTGCAGCTTTGATTCCCCGTGCCTGGCCTCATCTCTCCCTGCTTCCCTGGCGCTGAGCCCTGTCCAGAGCTCTGTGGTTCCTGAGGGGCTGGGGGTGAGGATGGTTATGGCCACAGGGATTCAGAGCATCTCTTACAGGTCTGCTGGGACCTGCTCCCTCTGAGAACAGAATGAAGCTTCCCTGCAAATCCTGGGCCTCAGTCTTCAGGGGTTTCTGGGCAATCATTGACAGCATATGACCCTAATCAATCTATGTTAGGTTTCATGATATCCATAGTGCTAAAAACAAAACAAAACAAAACAAAAACAAAAAAACAACTTGGCTTTTTTTTTTTTTTTTTTTTTTTTTTTTTTAACACGGAGTTTTGCTCTTTTGCCCAGGCTGGAGTAAAGTGGCACAATCTCGGCTCACTGCAACCACCGCCCCCCGGGTTCAAGCGATTCTCCTGCCTCAGCCTCCCGAGTAGCTGGGAGGCACATGCCACCAGGCCTGGCTAATTTACTAAAAGTAGAGACGGGGTTTCACCATGTTGGCCAGGCTGATCTCAAACTCTTGATCTCAGGCGATCCACCTGCCTTGGCCTCCCAAAGTGCTGGGATTACAGGCATGAGCCACCACGTTCCACCCAAACCTTGTCATTTTTAAGTGCCAAAAAAATTGCCTCTAAACTTCTGGGAAAACCTATGTTGGGTGTTGGGGGAGGTCTTTCTGAGCATTTAGAGGAGTATGTATGTGGACCATGGAGGCAGGGAGGGGCACAGGCTGGCAACTTCTCCACGTGCATGTTCTGCAGGCTGTTTTGGTGAGCTTGTGTATGTGTGCTAGCGGTGGTATATATTCCTGATGTATTTCGTGTGATTAACACGTGAGCCCTATGTGTGTCAGAGGTACTAGATGTACATGTGCTCTGCATGTATGGAGAGCAGGTTAGGGATAGGATTTGGGCCTGCTGTCCCAGTGTCCTGGTTTGCATGGTAACTTAGAGGGTCACCCCCTACGTGATCCATGTAGTATGTGAGTTTGGTATGTGTGTGTGATATGTATTGGTGGTGTGACAGCTGTGGGGCAAGCTTAGCATCTGCATGTCAGACATCTGGGCTGATCCTGGCCATGAAGCCCCAACGGTGATTTGATCATAGTGGCTTTGAGCATGGTACGGGTCAAAGTCAGGGAGGGGTGGCTTGGATCTATAGGGTATACATGCATGTGTACCGTAAAAGAGCCCAGCGCCCTAGGTGAGGGCTGTGTAGTGTGGACTTGGGGCAGTGGCCTGCAGAGCCAGAGTCTGACAATAGTGATGGTGACAGTGTCCTAGGTGGGAGCCAGACTGTGGGGGACAGAGGGTCTTGCAGAGGCTAATAAAGAAAACTAGGGTCCAAGTAAAATGCGGTGCATTCACATTTTAGGGGATGCTTCTAAACTATCTGTGCATTTATTCAACACATATTTACTGACACTCTGTGCAGGGGACTGTGCCGGGCTTGGATAGGCTGGGGGTTAGGAGGTGGCAGGGTGGGGAATAGAGTAGGCACACAGGGATGAAATGGACAGATCCTTGGAGCTTTCTGTTTAGTAGATGGGAGAAAAACATCCACAATGTGCCACCAGAGTGGGTATGTCAGTGTCCTGTGGAAAGGCTCTGTCCCATAGGGAAGACAGCAAGAAGGCTTTATAAGGAGGTGGCAACTGAATGGAGACTGGAGGGTGCACCAGCAGGATGTGGCTGAGGGGGATGGAGAGCAAGGGTATTCGAGGGAATGGGCAGACTGAACAAAGGCGTGGCAGTGGGGCCACACGTGGGTTGGGGGGCTGCAGGGTAAGGCAGTTTGGATTTGCTGGAGTTCAGGGGTTAGGGAAGGGTGATGAGAGGCAGCAGCAGGAGCCTGGAGGTCAGGCTGGGCCCAGCCAGGATGGCCTTGAGCGACAGGCATGAACTTTGCTTGGGAGATAAAAGAGGGCCCCCTAGAGCAGGTGAGTGACTCAGTGTTCCAGCCTGTTTTAGAAAGGTGCCTGGGCCCTTCCTCTCTGGCTGAGAGTCTAGACTCTGGCAAATCCAATTGCTTATTGATTGTGGAGTCATTATAAAAACAATTATAGGCTGAATGCAAAGACAGCCCAGAATTTAACACTGGAGAGGCTTTTACTAGAGAACAAAAAAGGAGTTGGGGTGGGGACGGCTGCCTCTACTGTCCAGTGTCCTCTGGTCCATCCGCATCCCCAACTCCCCAACTCATATAAACTCTCAGGTTTTTTTTTTTTTTTTTTGAGATGGAGTCTCACTCTGTCACCCAGGCTGGAGTGCAGTGGTGCCATCTCAGCTCACTGCCACCTCCATCTCCCGGGTTCAAGTGATTCCCCTGCCTCAGCCTCCCGAGTAGCTGGGATTACAGGCGCACACCATGCCTGGCTAATTTTTGTATTTTTAGTAGAGGTGGGGTTTCACCACATTGGCTAGGCTGGTCTCGAACTTGTGACCTCAAGTGATCTGCCCTCCTCGGCCTCCTAAACTGCTGGGATTGCAGGCGTGAGCCACCGTGCCCAGCCCCTTGGGTTTTTAAAGCTAGTTTCCTCTAGATTTTTCTGGCCCTAGAGGTTTCTCAGTCAAGTTCTCACAGAGTGCCTCACCACACAGAACACGGGCCTGGAATGTGCCCTCCATGAAGGCACCCAAGCCCAGGAAGGGGCAAGTTTGATGGGAGCTCAGGGCAGACTTCCCTGCAGGGCAGACCTGGTGTGGGGCTGCAGGCCTGAGGGAGGAGAGGGGAGCAGAGCTACTGAGGGAGATGGGGTGGGAGGGGGCACCCTGGGGAGCAGTGAGGGCCTGAGGAGGGGCTCAGCCCTGGGCTGGGGAGTGCTGAGATGCCCCAGAGACTATGTAACCTTGCCACGCCAGTTTATTTATTGGTAAAATGTCGGTGGCACCATCACAGCCCTCAGAGGGCAGTGAGAGCACATGAGATGGTGTTTATTATGAGTGTTTTGTATTGGAGAACAGTGATACGGATGGACAGCGTGGTGACTGGGCACTCCATTCCTGCCACCACCTGGGGAACGGACACCTCCCCTGAGCTGCCTGACAGGTGCCTGATTCCCCCATCATTTGTCAGCCATTTCCAAATTCAGCTCTCCTGGCTCCATCACCCCCAAGGCCACAGTTAAGGTTTCATCCTGTTGGGGGCAGTGAGGATCACTCTGGGTTTACCCGCAGCTCACAGGCAGGGGCAGGCGGGCGTGTCAAGCTCATGGACTATGCAACCTGACTATTGGGTTCAGGTCTTGGCCCTGGGGCTTTTTGGACCTTGTGCAAGGTGTTAACCTCTCTGTGTCTTAGTTTCCCTATCTGCAAAATGGGAATTACAATAGTATCTTCTTCCAAGGGTAGTGGTGAAGATGAAATAAGTTAATATATGTAATGTTCTTAGAACAGTGCCTGGCCCAGAGTAAGTGCTATAGATGCTTTCAGCGTTTTATTATTACATATGACCCAACAGGAACTAGGCCCACTGCAGGTGCAAGAAGAGGCTATGATTTACCTACTCTGTGCCAAACACTTTTGTAGAGCTTGCCCTGTCTCATGCTCACAACCGTCCTACAAGAAACATCCACGTGTGAGGCGAGCAAAGGGTGAACCTACCCTAAGCCACCCAGGAGGTGAATGGCAAGGCTGAGATGCAAACTCAGGTTTCCCTGACTCAAAGTCCATGCTCTCCCCACTCTGCCAAGCAGCCTCCAGTGAAGACATTTGGGGAGGATGGGATCCAGCATCTACTGAGCACCTACTACATGCTCTATCACCCAGGCTGGAGTACAGTGGCGTGATCTCGGCTCACTGCAAGATTCAAGCTATTCTCATGCCTCAGCCTCCCAAGTAGCTGGGACTACTGGCACCCACCACCATGCCCGGCTAATTTTTGTATTTTTAATAGAGATGGGGTTTCACCATGTTGGCCAGGCTGCTCTCGAACTCCTGAGCTCAGGTGATCCACCCACTTCGGCCTCCCAAAGTGCTGGGATTACAGGTGTGAGCCACTGCACCAAGCCTGCGTGCTGGTTCTTATTCTGTGACATCACCATCTCCCGACACAGAGAATGGAGGTCAAATACAGTACTGTTTTGTCACAACCCTGCTCGAGACGGCAGTGGCTCCCTCTTGCCTGCTGACTTAAGCACAAGACCCCACCTTGGCATGCAGGGCCCACCTGCTCTGCTCCCACTCTTTTCCTTCCACTCCCTCCCTACACCCTCCTCGACACCTGTGCCTCATGGCCAGGGAGCCCCTGACTGGCTTCCCTGGGCCTGTCTCAGGGAATTATATCTCCCTCCTCAGAACTTTTAGGAGAAGCAAGAATATGAATTTTTTAGTGTTTTTGGGAGATAACTTTTAAATAGATTTTTTGTTATGTTTTTTCTGTTTTTTGCATTTACCCCCATTGTTAGTTTTCTTATTAGCCCCACTTTGAAATAATTTATTCATGACCTTTTTTTGCAATATCCTTCATTTTCCAGACATAATCACATCTTCTGGCAGGAATCCCTTCCCCTCCTGGGGTTGATAATTACTCTTGCAGATGGAATTATCGGCACTAATGACTAAGGGAGAGGTGGCTGGGAGGGGCTGGGCTAGGGGGCTGGGGAGCTGGGGCACTGAAGCTTGAGCGCAGGGCTAGCAGGAGCTTTCTTTGTTCCAGGCCTGCAGATTTTGTGGGGGGACTAGAGCCTGTGGGCTCTTCTGCACAATGAGGGTGCAAACGCTGACCCCCTGTCTCCTGGGGCTGGTGTAAAGCTCCAATGAAACAAGCTGTTGGGAAGGATGGGTAGAATCCCAGAGTGCAAAGTGGGGATGCTACAGCCCCACCCTACAGGGTTGTTGTGAGGATTAAACACAATGTACATAGAACAGAGTGCCTGGCCTAGGGCCCACTGCAAAATATGAGCCATCATCACCCCCATTTGGTTGTCTACTTTCTCCAGACCTTTCAGGGAGGCTTCTCTGATTTGTGGCCCTATCCCTGCCCTCTAGAATTGGTGAGGTCAGACCCAGGCCCTGGGTTCTGGCTAGGACTGGGAGCCAGCAGAAGCCCCATCTATGCTGAAGACTTGGACAAAAAGAAAACCGGGTATACTTAAAGCATAGATGCCGCAGATCTGCTCCAATAGCTTCTTTTGCTGCACAGAGATTGCTGCGGCCACTAGGCCTGAGACAAAGCCCCAGCCCAGACCCCAGTAATGAGGGTACTGATAATAAGGACATCAGGAACATGACAGCAAGAGGGTGGTCTGAGATGGCAAATGTTTATTTTTTAGAGTAGAAGAGTCAGCAGTTTTCCCTAATAAGCTGTACAGTGGGGTCCCAGAGGGGGAAGGCTGGCCTCATCTTAGTGACATAAAACCAATTTTCCCTACTTTGCTCTGTGAATTAATTGACAACATGACTTAACCCCCTGGTGACTCCCTTTGTGCCCCCACCGACCTGCCACCCCCACCATCCCTCCCTGCCCAGGGAAACATCAGTACGTGTCTGCTGTGGGTACAGGAAGCTCATGAGATGGAGGTAAAGGTGGAAAGAACAGTAGGCTGGGAGTCATGTCGCCTGTATTCCATCCCAGCTCTGTTACAATATGCTGTGTGACCTGAGGGAAGTTCACTTTCCCTTTCTGACCTTGTTTTTTTTTTGCTGTGCACTGTGGAAGCCCTGAGCATTCTTCCAGCTCCACCATTATGAAGCTGTTTTACAGTGTTACACCTGTTTTACAGCGTTACACCCTGCATCTCGCTCAGTGCGCATACCGACCCCGAAGGGCTGGCATTATTAATCCATCTCACCAATGAGAAACGGGCTCTAAGAGGCTGTGTTTCCTAAGGTCACACAGCTACTGAGTGACAGATGTGGGATTCCAACCCAGGACTGTCTGATTCCAAAGTCCATGTCCTTTTGCTTGCAGTGTGTCTTCTCTCCACAACCACATAATAAACCCTGACAAACATTTACTGAACATTCGCTACGTGCCAGGCTTTGTTCTAAATATTTTATCTAATTCAATCCTCAGAATAACACTACAGCATAGTGCCATTAATTATCCTGTTTTATTGATGAAAAAATGAGGCTTGAGAAGCTTAAGTAACTCCAACAAGACCACATAGGAGGTGATAACAGAGCTAGGACTTGGGTACTGGAGTGTGTGTGTGTGTGTGTCTTATTTTTGGATGATCATTTCTGCTATTTTGCAGTGTTTGTACTCCTCTGTTCGCACAGGCATGGCAGCTAGAGGATGAATTCCTCATTCCCGGTGCTGCATTCAGGAAAATCTTTTACTACAGTAATTGGGAAATGAGTCAATAGTGGGAGGTGAGGGGATGAGAAGCTGGTTTTCTGTTCTTAGGGCTAACAGCCTGTAGATCTCAGCTTGATGAAGAATGAAACAATTAGAAAAGAAAATGCACACACATGATATCCATGTCACCTGGCTGTCATTTTCAGTCTGCATTCTCTACTGGTCACACTTCTCTCACTCCCTAGTTCCAGCTTAGGAGCCACCCAAGAGGTGGACACGCACTCTGCCCAGCTGGGGGAGGCCGGGGGAGCGTAACGTCTTTAAAGGACATTGGAAACCTTGGAGGGAAATTCAATCACTGCTCCACTGATCTGAATTTTCATAACTCTTGCGCCCCGCTCCCACCTTCCCTGGTCAGAACAGCTGAGGTTTCTGTATGACCTACCAGTGGCACAGAGAAAGGTGAGAAAAATGCAGAAACAAATTTGTTCATTTGGGTGATGGAGTGCCTGCTCCCCTCGCCAGCATGCAGGGTTGAATAATGGCAGACAGGGCTTCAAAAAATTGCAGCATAAATAGATGAGCCCTTTAAGGTAATAGAAATGCTGTCATCCTGGGGAGAAATATGGGCCCCAAATCCTATGGGAGGGGACACTGGAGCCCCTCTCCTCTGCTTCCCGCATTCCCGTCTCCATCACAGTGGAGCTGAAAGGGAGCATCTGGGCTGAGGAATGGCCAGAGGGCCCCTTATCTTCCAGACACGCAGGACCCATGCGGGAGGAGGCAGCCGGAAGGGGGTCTGAGAAATCAAGTTTTTGCAGCCCTGGCAGTGACCTCACAGACAGTTCACTGCAGGCACCAAGGTGGCAGTAATTAGTCCTACAGCAGTGGAGGAGGCTCCATCAGTCTGGCCGCCTAGGTGAGGCCTTAATTAAGGAAAGGAAGCCTAGTCAGCAGAGGAGCATGGTGGAGCCGAGAAATCAGCCTTCTTCCCCCGTGTGAGCAGGAAGTCTATTCTCGGTTCTGTGGCTGCTCTTGGGAACCCAGGAGCCCTTCGCAACCCTGCTGTTCCCAGCCAAGGGAAAGATTCAACTAACTGCTTCCTTTCTCTCACCCCCATTTCCACCTCTACCCCCAAACAGGGCACTCAGGCCAGGACCAGTCATCCTCTTCAAGTGAGAGACCCCTTGGTGTAAATAACAACAGCAGCAGCAGTAGTGGCATCATCATCATCATCAACAGCAATAACAGCTAATGCTTGTTGAAAGATTACTAATATGCTAGACATTCTAAGCACTTTATATTTGCTAATTAATTTAGTCAGCCCAATAATCCTACAAGGCTATGTTATTATTCCTTTATATAAGAAACTAGAGGCAGGCTGGGTATAGTGGCTCACGCCTGGAAATCCAACATTTTGGGAGGCCAAGATGGGCAGATCATGAGAGGCCAGGAATTCGAGACCAGCCTGGGCAACATGGCAAAACCCCATCTCTACAAAAAAATCAGCTGGGCATGATGGCGTGCACCTGTAGACCCAGCTACTTGGGAGGTTGAGGTGGGAGGATCGCCTGAGCCCAGAGAGGTCAAGGCTGCACAGTGAGCCAAGATCGCACCACTGCATTCCAGCCTGGGCAATAGAGTGAGGCTTAGACACACAGACACACACACACACACACACACACACACACACACACACACACAAAAGGAAATAAAAGAAACTAGGGGCACAGAGAGGTACAATATCTTGCCCAATGTCACACAGCTAATATGCAGCAAAGCTGGTATTCGAAGGCAGAGAATTTGGCACCAGAGTCTCTGCAAACCACTACACAAAATTTCATAAGGCAGAAGCTCATGCCACTGCTCAAAGAATCTGGAGATGGTGTGTCAGGGGTCAGCTGCTCCAGTCCCACTGTAGCTATCTGTTTACATAAATTTCAGAGAAGCCAACAGGTAGAGTCAAGTCCCAGCCCTACTGGCAAGGCCTCTTGGGAAATGCCATGAATGTCCTTACTGTAAAGCTCAGGAATGTTCCAGAAACTTCTGCTTTAAGGGCATTGGGTCTACCAGGGATTTCATTCATTTCAGGGAGTTTGCTGAGCAAGATATTTGTGTGGTAGGCATTGTAGGCTTGTTAGGAGGTCCAGGGTTAGAGGGAAACATGTTATTGTCCTTAGGGAGATAGAACCTGAGTATGAGCCACACACAGTGGAAACAAAGGGATGGAATGGTTAATTCCGAAGAGAGGAGTATTCAGGGAAGGCTTCATGGAAGAGGCAGCCTTTGATTTCCTGAAAGGCTGAGAAGGATTTTCATAGATGCGATAGGGACTATGGGAAGGGCATTCTAGGAAGAAAGAGAGGTTTGAGAAAAAGCACAGAGGCCCCAAAGAACATATAGTAGTGCCCCCTTATCCTTGGTTTCACTTTCTATAGTGTCAGTTACCTGAGGTCAACTGTGGTTTTAAAGTAGGTTTGTGGCTGGGCACAGTGGCTCAAGCCTGTAATCCCAGCACTTTGTGAGGCCGAGGCGGGCAGATGACATGAGGTCAGGAGTTCAAGACCAGCCTGGCCAACATGGTGAAACCCCGTCTCTACTAAAAATACAAAAATTAGCTGGATGTGTTGGCACATGCCTGTAATCCCAGCTACTCAGGAGGCTGAGGCAAGAGAATTGCGTGAACCCGGGAGGTGGAGGTTGCAGTAAGCTGAGATCACGCCACTGCATTTCAGCCTAGGCAACAGAGCAAGAGTCCATCTCAAAACAAACAAACAAACAAACAAACAAAAAAACCCCAACAAAGTAGGCTTGTACAATACAAGAAGATATTTTAAGCCTAAGATGAGAGGATTGCTTGGGGCCAGGAGTTCCAGACCAGCCTGGGCAACATAGTGAGACTCCATCTCTACAAATTTTTTTTTTTTAAATAGCTGGGCATGGTGGTACATGCCTGTATTCTCAGCTGCTCAGGAGTCTGATGCAGGAGGATCACTTGAGCCCAGGAGTTTGAGGTTACAGTGAGCTATGATTGTGCCATTACACTACAGCCTGGGCAATAGAACGAGGCCCTATCTCTAAAAAAAATTTTTTTTAAAGATATTTTGAGAGGCCACATTCACATAAATTTTATAGCATATTATTATAATTGTTCTATTATTAGTTATTACTGTTAATCTCTTATTGTGTAGTACATACAGAATTCAGTACTGCCCACAATTTCAGGCACTGGAGGTCTTAGAATGTATCCCTCATGGATAATGGGGACTACTGTACTGTGTGTGGGGAGGAAATGAGTTATGTGTGCTACAGATTGTGGCAGGACTTAGTGGGAGATGAGATTAGGGTAGACTAGGTTCGAGGGCATATTACAAAGGCCTGGGATTTGAGGTTTATTTGGTGGGCAGTGGGGAGCCACAGAGAGGGGTGATGTGATGCCAACCTGCAAGTGGATGGACAGCTCCACTTAGTCCCCTCATCCACAATTCAGCTAATTCCCTAGCTCAGCGGGGTGTGAAGAAAGGTCCTCACCTCCTGGATAGGATCATCCTCACAAAGACAGGTATTTCAGGACTCTGCTGGCCTGACCACTGTGTCATATGACCCCTCACTCTGCCTTCTCCCATCCCTGTTCACCCTGGTGTTCTGTCTGGGCGAGGACCCTGGATTCTAAGAAGGCACAGAGTAGCCTTGAATCCCTGGCTCATGAGGCTGTCCAAGGTGCTGAAACGATGCCGTTTCCACTTGTAAGCACTCCCACTGGAATGACTAGCTCCCACACCACTGTTTCCGATGGGCAGGGAATTTCATTCCCATTTTATAGATGAGAAATAGAAACCCAGAAAGTTAGCAGAGCTAAAGCTACAAACTCATTTCTTGTTTTCTGGTCCAGGGCTCTTTGCCCCCACTGGGCAGCCACAGTGCAATTTACCAATGCATACCCCAAGTGATTCTATCACTGCTGCCAAACAAACATGTAAAATGCCCAGGCTCTCTTCCCACCCCCATCTCTATCTCCATTTCCCCAAATGTTGAGAGGCTTGTCCACTCGTACAGTGCCCCCTGAGACCGACCATTCAGGGTGACCCACAGGTGCTTGGGTGGACCTGCCTAGAACAGCAGTTGTGCACGTTCATGGCTCTGATCCATCAGGTATCCGTGGGTACAGCTCATCCCAACACCCTCCTACTGGTATCACGGGCATGGGGGAAGCAACGTTCCCCCACTACTCTCATAGCTTACCGGTAATTGCTGCCATTTCACCAAGTGTCTGTTGTATTTCAGGCACTGGCTTTGAACTTCTCATATAATGTTCCTAATTCTCATAAGCAAAGTCTTGTTTTAGCAGATGAGGAAGTTCCATGTCAGGCAGGATAAGTGGCTTGCCAGTAGTCAGTGTGGGGATTGGAGAGCTAGGATTTGAACTTAGATTTGTCTGGTTCCATGGTCACCCTTCAATCAAAGCTCATCAACTAATATGAGAGTTCAGTGTCTCCCACCACCGCTGGCTTTGTGATCCCAGGCAAGTCGCTAATCCTGTTTGAACTCCAGCTCCTCATCTGCAAATTGAGGAAAGTGAAAGTGCATCTCCATGGGCCCTTGTGAGGCATAAGTCAGACGAAGCATGCAGCCAGGATTCAGTGAGTGTTCACTGCTAGTGTGAATGTGCTTATTACTAGAACACAGGTTCCTGGATGGGGGTCTGATTAGTCTTTCCACATCCCCACCTGCCCCCTAAGTCCTAGCAGAGGAAACATCCAGTATTTCACATTTCAGTGAACAGGATTCCACTTCCAATGTCCTGGGAAGGAAGTGGAAGTGTGTGAAGGCCAATCCAGAGCCCCAAGCAGGACCTGCTTCTGCCCCGTGTCCCTGTGCTCTCGGGGGTGGAGACCACGTGACTAGGGCAGGCATGCCACTGAGCTCACAGGTGTGGTTCTGCACTACTTCATCAGCACTCCTCACGTTTATGTTGAGCCCGAGACCATTCTCAGCCCCTAGAGTCTACTTTCATAAAGCTGTCCCAATATCCTCCCTAAAGACCCCGGGCAGGGAGAGCTGGGGTGGGAGGGGACAGCTGAGGATGCGGTTTCACATCCACTGTCATGGGGGATACTCACATCCAATAGCAGGCAAAACTGATTTACTCCTCCCATCGTTCAGATAGGGAAATGGAGGCCCAGCAAGGTAAAGCGACATGTCCAAGATTACTGAGCCTAGAATGAAGGTCTCCAAACACTCAGAAAAGGGCTCCTTTAATTAGTCCTTAACTGACTACCTATCCTAAAATCATTCAAGGATAAAGGCGCGTACATACATTCACAAACCAAGCAACCAACAAAGGCATTGCTAATTATTACTGACTGCGGGACATCTTGAGGCGAGTCTCTGCTGAGTCTGCTCTGCTGATTGCTCCTACTTTGACCAGAACTGGCTGATTGTGGGAAGTTGCATTCACTCAGAAGCTGGAGTGAGGACAAGAGTAATGGCTTCCCCCTCAGGGCTTGATGCATACAGGAGTGAGTCATGCTGGTTGAGAACAATGAACTGTTCTGTAATCACCTCCTGCAGCCCCTGCCCAACATCCAACAGAGCCCCAGAGGAGCCTTTCCAGGAATAACGAGGCTGGGTGGGAGGAGATGGATGGGAATTCGCTGGGTCTCACCAGGGCAGCTTGACTCACAATCTGTATTAGCCCTGAGCCCCAGGCAGGGGGCATTCCACAGTGAGATGACTCTGGCATGCACCTGTGCCCCAAAGTTCAAGGACAGGAAGTCATTTGCATCTCAGGTGCAAGGAAGAGAGGCAGTGGCCTGGCCTCCAGACTGTTGGAGCACTGGGGACAGTGAGCAAACAGATGCTAGTCTCCCAGGCCTTTCTGGGGCCCCAGTTTTCCCTTGTTCTGAGGAGAAATGAGTAGGCAGGCAACTGGGGATAAAGAAGGGGGAACAGGGAGGAAAGACCCCCAGCAGACACACAGACAATGTATATGACCAGACCGTAAAACCCTCAATGAGCTTCCCACTCCTATGTATACACATACCTTCTTGCTCCTACTTTTCCCCTTTTCCCCCAGAACAGTGTTTCCTGACTTGATCCATGGAGTCCATACAGTGGACCATCTTAGAAGTTAATAGGTTCTTCTCTCTCCCTGTATACACCCCATCCACAGATGCCCAAAGTCCTACAGCTATGCTAGAAGCCAAGCTGGGACAGGGGTCACCCATGAGCAGTGTGGTGCAGTCACCTGACCACTTGGCTACGTGAGATTTTTTAATCCCAAACAATTATTCTCTCCTACCCAAATTCAAAACCCAGGGCACCTCCATTTTACTGTGGAAATTACAACAAAAAATGTACACTAACAAAGGTAAATTAAGAGAAAACCAGACTTCCTTCTCTTTCAAAGATGCCAAAGAGTTCATTTTTACCCAGTTTTATCTGCACTGGGGAGGAAGAAGGGGGATTGTAACTGTTTTTTTTTTTTTAATCTTAGTATAATCTTAGTAATGTGTTTTTACTTAAACAAATATATTTAGGCCAGAAGTGGTGGCTCATGCCTGTAATCTCAGCACTTTGGGAGGCCAAGGTAGGTGGATCACTTGAGGCCAGGAGTTCAAGATCAGCATGGCCAACATGGCAAAACCCTGTCTCTACTAAAAATACAAAAATTAGCTAGGCGTGGTGGCACATGCCTGTAATCCCAGCTACTTAGGAGGCTGAGGCACGAGAATTGCTTGAACCCAGGAGGCGGAGGTTGCAATGAGCCGAGATTGTGCCACTGTACTCCAGTCTGGGCAACAAAGTGAGACTCTTAAAAAAAAAAAAAAAAAAAAAAATATATATATATATATATATATATATATATATACACACACACACACACACACAATACTTTAAATATATAACATGTAATCAATATAACAAAATGATTGAGGTATTTTATATTCACCTTTTCATACTAAGTCTTGGAAATCCAATGTGTATTTTCCACTTCACATCTCAATTCAGAACTAGCCACATTTCAGTTTGAACAATGTTTTGTTCTGGGCCTTGCTCTGCAGACCAGGGGCAACCTGGCTTTAAAAGACATTGTCACCAAGCAAACCCTCGCTTGATCTACAAGAATTCCCTGTGGATCAGTGGATCTCCATCTTAGCAGCACACTGGCCTCAGCCAGACCATGCCTAGACCAAATACATCAGAATCTCTGGGAGTGGGGCCCAGGCATTGATGTTTATAAAGCTTTCCTAGTGATTTCACTGTGCAGCCCAAGTTGAGACCCATGGCTACATATCAGCGTCCTACTCAAAGTGAGGACCACTGACCAGCATTATTGGTATCACTTGGGAGCTTGTTAGAAATGCAGAACCTCAGGCCCCATCCCAGACTGACTGAATCAGAACCTGCAAGTGAACAAGGACCACAGGTGCTTAGAAAATTTACTACTGCCTGAGAAGCCTGCTAGAATGCACTCTATATATCCCATCTTGACACCTGATAGCAACCTTGCGAGGCAGGTGTTCTATTTCACGGGTGAGGAAACAGAAGTGAAGAGAGGTTGAATCACTGGTCCAAGGTCACACAATTGGTGAGTAGGATAGCCAGGGTGCAACCTAGGTCTGGTTCCAAAGGCCACACTCTTTCAACTGCACAATTGTACCACTTCCTACAGCACAATTAAACATGGCCATAGAGAACCCCTGAGTGTTTGGCTCCTTGAGCCTGCTGGGCATGCCCTGCCTTTGAACAGGATTCCACTTCCAATGTCAAGTTCCCCAGAAACAAACCTCATAAAGACCAGCATAATTCATGAGAAAATACAAATTGTAAACAAACATAGGGAAGATGTTCACTCTCCCTCGTAATCAGAGAAATGCAAATTAGAACAACATTGAGGAACCATTTTCTACCTACATAATTAGCAAAAATTAAGAAAACCTTAGCAAAGTTATTCTGAAATAGGTACATTCATACACAATTGGTGGCGGTGTAGATTTATAGAACACTTGAGGAAAGTAATATGGCAACATCCATCAAGAGCCGTAAATATATTATGCCCACTGACCCTGGGAATTCACCCTAAGGAAATAATTCAAGGGTGCGGTGAGGGAATGCTATTTGTATGAAGATGCTCACTGCAACATTCACTGTTAACACTGGAAACAATATTCAGCAGTAAGAGAATGGCTGAATAAACTGGGGGTACATCTGCTCCTGCAGTGTTATGAAGCCATTTAAAATGATAATTAAGAAGCCTAAGCAGCAACATAGCAATGTGGGTGAAAGAAAGCAGAATGCAAAACTGTCTCTGTACATTGTGGTTTTTCTGATGTAAAAATATTGTGTGCATAAGGATATGGACAGGCAGGAGCTGGGCACAAAGGAAGGCAACCTTCAGAGTTGGGGGTGATGGAAAGACCCCCTCCTCCTATTATTTTTAGTATTACAAACCCTGGCCCTTTGAGAACAGCTTCAGGGGCTCTCCCCTCATGAAGTCTGTCTCTGAGGCGGACACAAGGAGGCAGCTGGGTGCAGGGCCACAGTCCTGATTGCACCAGGAGGTGAGGGGAACTGGCCCGGTGGAGGTCAGGAAGGCCACGGGAGGCCCCTCCCATCTTACCATGAAGCCCGGAGCACAAGTGCAGCCCCCAGTGATGCTGTGGCAGTCGGCGCCATTCTGACAGGTGCAAGGCAGCTGGCAGCCATCGCCATAGTAGCCAACAGGGCAGGATTCATTGCAGTGGTGACCAGACCAGCCTGGCTGGCAGGTACAAGCTCCAGTTACTGGGTGGCAGCTGCACAGATGAGAGAAGGGTGAGAAGACAGCTTGTTCTGGGAAGCAGCCATGTCCCCGCCCTCTGTCTACCCCAAGCCTGGCTTGCCTAGGGTAGCAGGATCAAAGGACCTCTGGGATTAAATTGCTCAATGCCTTTTCTGTTTATCAGAAGATGCCAAGGCCACATGGTCTCATTAGCACCCAGAAGCTGAGGCTCAGGGTGATTATATAACTACCCTGAAGTCAACAGCAAGGAGAAGTCAAGAGCGGGATTAGAACACAGGTCTTCTGACTCCCACACAAGCCTTCTTTATAATTCAGACACATGGAAACCAAAATGGAGAGTGGCCTTTTAGTCCCTTGGCTTATAGACTATGCAGTCCAAGGCTTCATCCATCCCTCACCTAAGGTGAATGCCTAGTGTGGGAACAGGACAAGAAGGTAGCAATGATACCCCAGTGGCTCTCCACATTGTAGGTGTTCAATGAATGTTGGGCTGAGTGAAAACAAGACTTTGGGCCAGATGTGGCCTCCTCTCTCTGGCAATGTCTGCCCTGGAGAGAGCAACCCCAACCTACGCTTTGCCAGGCTCTTTAACAGTGAGCAAGCTCTTCTCCATCTCCTGTTTAGGCTAGAGAAAGGACCATTCGGCTAGAGGCAGGGGATCCCTGGCATGACCTCCAGAGAGTAGGGCAACCTCTAGCTGGCAGCCATCTGATCCAATAGCCAATGTCTATTCATGATCAGCGGGATGCCAGTTGTAACCATGTGCTGTTCAGAACTTCTGCGGGAGCATAATTGACCTATGGCCCCAGTGCTGAGTTTGAAATCCAGAGGCCACATTTCCCCTGCGCCACTTCCAGCTGGAACACAGCAGGGATACTAAGGTGGGCACACTCTTGGGAGATCTGGGACTCCTCTGATGGTTACCTTGGCTTTAAGATACCCCATCCTGGCAAACTTTCTTAGAACCGTGCTGTGGGTTAAGACTCTTTCTCCCAACTTTCCTTCCTTCCTTACATGTGATCTGTCAGCTGTCCCAGCCTCCTCAGCTTCCTCCCCACTTTCCCTCACAGATGCTTCCCCTAGTAAACCTCTTGCTCTTGGTATCTGCTTCTGGAGCAGCTCAAACTAACACACCAAAGAAGTGCTGGGTGGTAGAGACAAGCCTTTTAGATTCCTTGTGGCACTGGCCTGCCTGCTCTGGAGCCCAGCTCTGGGGATAAGGTCAAGAGAAGCATGCCCTGGGCTGGCAGGGAGAACCTGGGGCAAGTCTTGGTTCTGCTAACTTCCATGGGGCCTTGGCACCTTGCCCCGCTGGACCATTGGTGGATCCCCAACACCTGGCTCATATTCACTGCCCTGGTGAATATTTGGGAAATGAATACAGCTTCCTCTAAATATAATTATCTTCCATTGATTCTTTATTCTTTTCTACTGATTTATCATCTGTCTTCTCCACTAGGTTGCAGCTCCGTGGGGGAGAGCCGTTTGTCTTGTTCCCTTCTCAGGGCCCAACAGAGTCCCTGGCACACTGGAGGTGCTTAATATATATTTAGAAAATTAATTAATGAGCAAACTAATTGTGTGAAGCCTAGCCAAGCTGTTTCTCTTCTAGGGACCCTGGTTTTCTCACAGAAAATGAGGGGGTGGACAGGAACAGGCAATTCCTGAATAATACTTGCAAGTAGCTAGTAATCATTTCAGAAAAGTGTTTAGTCTCATTAATCAAGTCTAAACAACAATTGGACACCACTTTTCCTCCATCAAAACAGTGAAGATGCTTTAAAATGCTGGTAAAGGTTTCAAAACAATCTGAGGCTACATATCAGGAGACTTACTTTTAAGTCTTTAATACTTTAATACTTTTATTCAGACTCTGGTCTCATAATTCCATTTCTAAGACTCTATCCTAAGGAAATAATCATAGCTGTGGAGAAAGATTTATGCACAGAGATGTTCCCTGAAGCATTATTTATAACAGTGGAAAATGGAAGCAATTTAAATGATAATAAATAATATGTGACTAGGCTATTGAGGCACCAGGCACGTTATATATATATTTCTAATCGTCAAATAAGCCTGTGAATTAGGTATTTGAGCCTGTATTTCACAGATGGCATTTAGAGGTTATGTGACTTGCCCAAGGTCACATAGCTAAGACAGTGAGTGGCAAAGCTGTGATTCAAACCCAGGTCTGTCTGGCCACATTTTGTCCACTGCCTCATGCCACCTCTCACCACAGGGCATTGGTTAAATGAATTATGACATCCATATGAAGGAATGCTAAGAGATGTATTCAGTTGTTTCTCAAAATGTTTAATGATATAAGGTCAAGTGAAATAAGCACTTTGTATACAAAGCCATTTCTATCAATCAATGCTGCATCTGTTGGCTAAATCAAATCTTTCAAATATGAAAATATATCAAATCTAAAATATGAAAACGATATAGACATCGACAGATTTACCCCAAAATGGCTTTTGTGCTATCTCTGGATTGAGAAACTGAGTGATGCTAAGTTTTTTCTTTAAATGTATTCCCTAACTTACCAAAACTGAGCATCTATTTTATTTATAAACAGATGTAAAGCAATAAAAATTGTAAATATCTAACGAAGAAGAATGGGTGTAAAGGATGAGTGTTCAAAGACTTTCTGACCTTTACAGTTTGAGAAAAATTCCTCTCTGAGCCCCAAGGCACTGGAAGGGGAGACAGCGACCTGCGTGGGTATCGTGGGGAAGGCGTGCCCCTTGGTGGCCCTGACGCTCTGCTAGATGGTTTTGGAGCACTCTTCTCTTTAGGTTGCATCTTTCCAAGAGCTTCCTTTGAGGTTTAGGGTTAGCGTAGAGAGACTGGCTCAGTCACGGTTGTGGAGACTGACATGCTTGAACCTAGGAATGACCTGGCAGGTCTTGGCTGCAGCCATCAGCTCTGCTGAGCACTGGAGATTCTAAAAGGTCTCAGGCACCTTTCTGTCTCTTCCATCAATAGATGCTTCTGCTGTCTCTGCCTAGCAAATGGTCACGCTGGAGCTCATCCATTACACGCTCTTATTTTGGTGAGGGCACCACCTGGTGAAAAGCACACTCCACACACAACGAGCTAGCAAATGCTGACCTAAGTACTCTTTGCATTTCCTGCTTTTGATCTCTGCTGCCATCACTTTGGCTGCTCAGGGATATGTTAGGCACTAATTTTACTCTTTACTCTGAGAACCAGAAGGCTCAAAACCAAATCTAAAATCATTCCTTTTTTTTTTTCATATCCCTACAATTCTTCTAGAAATGGGATATCTACTTTCTTAATTTGATTACTCTACTTATCTTATAGAAACTCCAAAAGTCCCTTTGAAAAGAGGATGGAGAGTGACAGCTGACTGATCATGATGGAGAGCTGTGATTGCCATGCTTGGAACCTTTGTCCCTCAGCAGAGTGACTTGCACAGCCCCTCTCCCAGGCATCCCTTCTTCCTGGTGGTGGTCCCCATTCTCTTGAGTCACATGGCAGGCCAGGGACTGCTGTTTTTGGCTCAGGCAGAAGTTACAGTCACTTGTGTTTAGCCTGGTTCCGTTCTCTCTGGTTTTTTCTTTTCTCCCATTTCCCCCAGACATAGATTAATCACAAGTTAATAGGAACCAAAAGCTGAACAATACAGGAATCCTTCCAGAGTGGATTTTTCTGCCTTTCTTTCAGCTGCTATGAGATTTCTATCAATGCTGCATCTGTTGGCTAAATCAAATCTTTCAAAGGTAATACACGATCATGGCTGCTGGAATTAGTCTATGACAACCCAATTGTGGAGGGGACATTTAAGATCCCTGACACACAGGTGCTTTCTCTCTCAAGGTTATTCCTGTATAAAGGAGGATGGTTTCTTTGTGTGTGCTGCAAATAATTGATAAAGGGAATGAAGAGTTGGAGAATCTCACCAGCCACTTCTTCCTTCCCAGGGCATGGATTCAATCTCTGTGCAGCAGCCTTGCCGGAAGGGCACAGACCAGAGAGAGGCTGGAGCTGGGTGGCTAGGGCTTTCTTTGGCTGGGGGCTGGGATTACTTTTTCTGCCTAGGAAAGATGCTCAAGACCTTGCACACTGTTGTGGTGGGGGCTTTGTTGTAAGTTCTGCAGAAGGCAGGGAGCTTTGAGGCTAGGCTTCTAGGGATCCCACGTTCCTTATCTCAGGGAGTTGGGTGGAAGCTTCACGTTCAAAGACCACAGGAAAACATTTCCCCCACTGGGTTGATGAAAGGTGATGGACAGATTGGGAAACGTATGCATAGAGAGGAGAAGAAGGACGTATATCTTATGTGCATATATCAAGTGCCCTTATTACGGATACTTGCTTAGACAGAGATAGGTTTGAGGGCAGGACTCAGAAGTCCCAATCCCCACTCAGTACCTGAACTTTAACTGTCTTAAGATTAGAAGTCACAGAGTCATTCCTTTGCTTTTCTTGAATCTCAAGAGAAGACTCTATAATGGGCCAAAAAAGGCTCATGGGAAGAGAGGGGCTGCCCTCCATCCACATAGAGGAAGAGAGCTGTTTTCTGGTGTCCATAAGAACAATCAAGCGCAGCACGAGAGAGTTCATTTAGCCCAGAGGCTCTCAACCTCTGGGAATTTTTCCTGCCCCACCCCACCCTGGGACATCCGGCAATGTCTGGAAACATTTCTGATTGTCAGAACTTGGGCAGTGGAAGAAGGGTGCTACTGGCATCTAGTGGGTAGAGGCCAGGGATGCTGCTCAACATTCTACAAAGCACAGGACAGCCCTCTACAACAAAGAATTACCCAGCCCAAAATGTTCATGGTGGCAAGGTTGAGAAACCCTAACTTCAACTGAACAAAAACTTTGTGCCAGGGGCTCAGTCACTGGGCCAGTGTACCAAGAGAAAGGGAGAAATATGTTTTTTTAAAAAATAGGGTTGACGTCAGCTAATGGGTAGAACCTCCTAGAGGGATGGGCTGTTTAAGATGAGTTCAGGGACTCCTCTTACTGAAGGCCTACTCTGTGCAGGCACCGTGCAATGCTGAGGCTAGAGGCCACAGGGATGGACAAGCCAGGCTGCTGGTGCCCTCAAGGAGGTGGTGATGCAGACTCAGAGGAGACCAGGCTGGGGAGTAGACTGGTGGGCACGCTCAGAGCCCCCACTCTGAAGAACTGCTACTCCCTCCCAGTCCCTGAAACATGATACGTTTTAAAGACAGTAAAGCAAATAATCATCAATATTGGATGGGCTGAGATTAGCGGGAGAGAAGAGGGGGAGTCCTTTCAGATTAATAATGCATCGAGGACTCCTTCAGAGGAAGGATGAATTATACAGGGCATGGTTGCCCAGGCACAGGAGGAAAACAGTAACCCTTTAATTTGGGGCTTGGTTAGATTTCTGTGGCAGGAGCTCCCTGCATTGGACCCCGGCATCAGCCTTGCTTCCTGTCTTGGAGAGGGTCCTCCCTCAGCTTCCCAGCAGGAGCGACAGATTCTGGAATCTTAATATTTAGACACATGCAACAGTCTGAGCCAGCTGCCCAGTCCCCTGACCAGCCATATGAGATTTCTGTAATTAGCGCCTTGGAGCTCTCACTCTGCTCTCCAAACCCAGCCCAGATGCCACCTCTTCTAGGAAGCCTTCCCTGACCAGCATCACATAGTCCTGGGTCACAGTTACTTGGGCACATGTTGGGACCCAGCAGGGCCAGCCACATATATTTCATCAGTTCTAAGATGTACTTCTCCTCTACATTTTCACATCTCTGATATTGGGTAATTCATATCTCTGATATTGGCTATACAATCAATGGTATGTCATGGTTCAGTTGATAGAATTTTCCTAGTAGTAACCCAAATAAAGCTATGCCTCACTACTGGTATTGTCTTGTATTTGAAGAAATACGGTAGAAGGTGCTCGGGGTTTCCTCCTCATAGCCCAGCCCTGTGGGCGCTCAGTGTTTGTTGAATGAATGACCGAGTGAATGAATGCTCAGGTCATGGACAGGCCAGCTCCACTGGCTCTAGCACCCTCTCTGGACAGTCTCTTTCCCGGGCCTTCCACCTCTGCCTCACACCACCCCAGCTGCTCCACTCCAGGGAGGGAGGACCTTTTAGTTTAACTCGTTAACACTTGCCGACATGCCTCTGCTTGCAGTGAACGAGGCTCCAGAGTGATTTGTGAAAGATCAAAGCCTGGAAATGAAGAGGGGCCCAGGCTAAGTCCTGGCCGTCCCAGCGACAGGGCTGCAAAGCAGAGGGATTCTCTGTCTGCCCTGCCAACAGCAGCAGCACCCATGCCCAGGGTGGCCGGTCTTCCCTGGGCTGTCCGTAGGCCTGAGGGAGAAGGGATGCTCCCCTGACCTTCATCACCCAGATAAGAGGCAGCCACGATAAAGGGCTGTGGGGGCGTTCATCCAGGGCTGACAGTCTCAATTGTTACCTGGGGCAGTGCCAGCTGGTGCGTGAAGCGGGCAGGGAGGGGAGCTGGGAGCAGTAGCCCAGAACAGCTCTGCCTTCACAGGTTCAGGCTCCTTTGGAAGTGGGGGGTGGAGGGACAACTTCTGCCCGGATGTCCCCAAGCCACAAACGACACAGAGTGCTGGGGGAGGGGCTGGCCCCAAGTTCAGGCCCTGATAAAGGGCTGCCCCTGTTGTTCCTGCTCCTCTAGCCTTGCCAGGGTCTGCTGGGACAACCCTCCTTAGGCCCTGGATGGCCCTCGTGATTTTTAAGGTCCCTTCGAGTCCTGACCTTCTGCAGCTCAAGCCTCTACTTCTGCCCTGGTGCCCGTGTCTCTGGTTGGATGCCACGCAAGTGGAGGGAAATATTCTCCAGGACAATGTGCTCAGAGCTTGTGGCACCCGAGCCCTGCCATCCTAGCCCCCAGGGTCATGCAGCTGTGCTCCACCCCACCTCCTTGTTCTCTCCTTGCTCCCATGTGTGGAGTCTCAGACAGGCACATTTGGAAATGCAGGTAGCCAGGTGGGGTGGACAGAGGTGAGTGATCTGGCTCTAGTCCTGACTGTGGCTATGTGGCCTTGGCTTCCCCTTCTTTTCATCAAAGTGGTTCTCAGGGCTCAGTGCTGAGGTCCTAGCCCTTTCCCCCACCTGCCTGGATGTCCATGCTAGAGGTGGGGGGCCACATCCTAGCAAGCCTCCTCTCTACCTGAGCACCCCCCGCCCTTGTCCCGGGCTCGCCCATTCCCAGCTCATACCTGATGGTGTTGTCAGCGTCACAGGGGCAGGGCAGGGTGCAGCCTGGGCCATGCAGGCCCTCCGGGCACAGTCGCTCCTGGCAGCGTGGGCCCTTGTAGCCAGGCTCACACTCGCAGGCACCCGTGGTGGGTGAACACTGCCCCCCATTGTGGCAGTCACAGTGCTGTGAGCACTGGAAGCCGAAGGACCCGAAGGGGCACTCCTCTTGGCACCTGTGGGAGAGCAGAGTGGGGCTGAGGCTGTGGGCCAGGATCCCTCACCTGTGCTTCAAGATCCTCCAGGATGTGGTCCTCCTGGCCATCTGGCCCAGGCCTGGTGTGCTCCACGCTGCTCACAGCCTCCTCCCCTTTTCTCTCTCCTCCTCCAGGAAGTAGTCCATGGTTTAGTTCGCCCCAGTCATTTCTGCCTTTCATGCCAGGTCGGCTCAGTCCCCCCAGCAATGAGTTTGTACCACCATATTTTATTGATTCCAAGCCTAATAATTTTTAAAAATTAAAGTTGTGGTGAAATATACAGGTTATGGTTTAAATGTTTCTCTCAAAATTCTCATTGAAACTTAACACCCAATGCAATGGTATTAGGAGGTGTGGCCTTTGGGAGGTGATTAGGGTATGAATGGATTAGTGCTTTCATAAAAGGGGCTGGAGGGAGCCAGTGAGGTCCCTTTCTTTCTTTCTTTCTTTCTTTCTTTCTTTTTTTTTTTTCTTTTTTTTTTTTTTGGCTCTTCTATTCTTTTCGCCCTCTGAGGATGCAGGCTTCAAGGCACCATTTTGGAAGCAGAGATTGGGGCCCTCATCAGACACCAAACCTGTCGGCCCCTTGATCTTGAACTTCTCAGCCTCCAGAACTGTGAGAATCAATGTCCATTGTTTATAAATTACTCAGTCTTGGGTATTTTGTTATAGCAGCATGAGCAGACTAAGACAGTACACCCCATAGAATTGACTGTTTTAACCACGTACAGTTCAGTGGCATTAAGCACATTCGCACTGTTGTGCCACATCACCACCACCCATCTCCAGAATGTTTCCGTCTTCCCAAACTGAAACTCTGCACCCATTAAACAAAAAACTGTTTAGGTAGGTTTAAAAACACCTTGCTTTTTTTGTTTGTTTGAGATGGAGTCTCACTCTGTTGCCCAGGCTGGAATGGCATGATCTTGCTGCAACCTCCGCCTCCCAGGTTCAAGCTATTCTCCTGCCTCAGCCTCCCGAGTAGCTGGGACTACAGGGGTGCACTGCCACGCCCAACTAATTTTTGTATTTTTACTAGAGACGGGGTTTCACCATGTTGTCCAGGATGGTCTCAATCTCTTGACCTCATGATCCGCCTGCCTCGGTCTCCCAAAGTGCTGGGATTACAGGCATGAGCCACCTTGTTTTTAAAAGATATTTTTATATCTCTGAAATTAGATAAGTCTTGTAATTGGTGACATGTCATAGTTTAATTGCCAGTGTTTTTCATTCTTTGCAGCATATGAAACAGTGATGCATCTTACGATCAGTGGCACCTTAGGTTTGATGAAATGGGGTGATTTTGTTTCTATACAGTATCTCTGGTTTTTGAGCCTTTGGGCCAGATGTACAGTCTCTCTTGTCCTACTGGGAGACATATCTCCTCCCTGACTGCGGATTTTCCCTCGAGTAGAGGAAGCGTCTTCCTGCATTGGACTATAGAATGCCCTGTGACAAGGCTATTTTCCCTTCCTTGGAAGAAGGTCCCCTCAAGGTAGGGTCTGAGTCTCTCCCATCAGCCTGTGAGCCCCTAAGGAGGAAGCCTGGGACCACCTTTGTGTCCTGTGTGTGTCTGGGCTAGTACTTGGAGATCCCAACATAAGGATAATTATTCAACTTCATTTAACCCACAGCCATGGGTGTGGCTCCTCCGTGGGCGAGTGTGACCCCCCACTGCTGACCACCTGGTTTCCTGAATGTGCCTCAACACCCCTTACCCCCACCCTGGGCTCTTTCCCAGAGGATGCAGACTTATTGTCACAGCAACTAGATCCGGATAAGTCAAGGGTTAAACCTGGAGGAATAGGGGTAAAAGAGGGGGATGACTTCTGGCATCCCAAAGACAAATGGAAATGGCCTCTAGCCTCTGGGGTTCTGGGATATCTTTGTTCCAGCACTGATTCAACAGTGCGGATAATGGAGAACTAACCTAAAGCTCTGACATCCTCTTCTTTTTCATAAAATGGGACGATACTCACTAAACCTCATCGGGTTCTGTAAGAATTAAATGGGATAATGCGTGTAAACATTTAGAAAGGCGCCCAGACCATAATTGGGGCTCAATTAGAAAAGTTAGTTATTTTCACTAGTACTCATGTTAATATTGTTTTCAACAGTTCTTATAACAGAGCCCATCTGACCTTCTGGCCTTAAATTCAGGCATGAAAAAGCCCAAAGGGAAAAATTCTAAAATGTTAATAGTAGAGTGGATTTAAGGAGTTAGTGTTTTAATTATCATATGTTTCCATTTTCCAGGCTTTCTGTATATCTTCTACAGTAATCAGAGGGGAAAAGCAATTTAAAAAAAAATACAGCTCTAACTTCTTTATTATGTATTTTGGAGGATCGTGGGGGTGGAAGTATTCTTCTACAGACAGGGCAGGGAGATTCTGTGTCTGGATGACTCAGTTGTCTATGGTGAGGGTGAGTGGTCAGACCCTCGTGGATGTGGCAGGGCCAGCTAGCAAGTGTGTGGGGGATGAGAGCAGCCAGTGTGTGGGGCACCAGCCTTGGCAACTTGAGACTGGGGTGTCCTTGTCTCTGTTCTGTGCCTTTGCTGCTCTGTGCCCACAGTGACAAGGAGAAGAGGACGGTGACTGGGGTCTGGCCTTGAGTGCTTCCTTCCCAAGAAGATGCCACTAGCTCTCCCCTCTCAGAGCCACTGTAGCAAAGGAGTGATCTGGCAGAATAGTGGGGCAGCAGGGATCATGATGACAACACCCCCGGGCACCGTATACTGAGGGGCTTCCAGCTGCTCAGGCCCCAGAGCCTGTCCCCAGCCCCTGGAGCAGCACATATTCTCATCACCCTCACTTTAGAGTTAAGGAGGCTGCCATGAGACAAGTGAGGCAACTGCTCCAAGCTCACGCAGCCTGCATGTGGCTAAGATGACCCCAGATTGTCTTTCTGCAAATCTTGTCATATTTCAGCCAATCTGAGGCCTCATGAAGGGAAAGAGAGCAGAAAAGAGAGGGAAGAGGAGGCAAGAAAGAAGGTGATGTCTGGAGAAGGAATGGAAAGTAGAAGACAGAAGGAGGAGAAGTAGAATGGGGGAAGGGAAGGAGGGAAACTGAGGCAGAAGGGGAGGAAAAAGAGCAGCTGAAGACCCAAATAATCACTATCTGAGTTGCCAGCCCCTGTTCAGCCTGCAAATGGATTTCTCCAGAAGTCACTGTGCTTTGCTGGCCTCGAATGTCTCAAATGTCGGGTGAAAAACTCAAACCAGATACCTCCTGATACCTGTTCCTTTTCAAACATTCCTGCTCCCTCCTGCTTAGCAGGACTGGACAGAGCCCTGAACCCTAAACTCCTCTGAAGGGCAATTCCCTAGCCCACTATATTTTTGGGGTGCCTGGATCTACAGCCCCAGAAAAACAATCTGGAAATGAAATATTGACAACCTAATTCATTTACTTAATCAGCCTCTTTTTTTTTTCCCTACTCACAATTTAAACAACTTATTTATTTAGAGATCAAGCAACGATGGCTAATGAATTTTACACAAAGCATGCTAATAATGGGGCCTGCGGAACAGAAGGATAATCACAGCAGGAATTAGTTTTCTACTTAAACATCCTTCCTTTGCACCATATCAATCTAATGTGTCCAATATTGCCATTAACAACCAGATACATTGCTCAATTAAATTACAAAATGAGCTGCAAAGCCCTCGTTACATTTCGTGTTTAATTTGCACTGGTTTCTGCCTATCCGGGGAGGCCTGCATTATTACACCCACTCAACTTTAATATGCTCATGATGATTTGGGGTGGGTTAATGCAGCTGTCACCTACGAAATTAATGGAGGCAATTTTACAAAATATTAAACACCAGGCAGCCCGTTTAGGTGAGAAGCCCAAATGCTGCCTGGCCTCCTATTGAACCCTCCTGTGGTTGATTGGCAAAGCTTGCTGGAGGGCCCCTTGGCTTTAGGGGTTCCTCTCTGCCCAGGATCATGGACCAGGCTCCAACAAGCAGAGAGATTTTGGATTCTTTCTCTATTTGGCACATCTCGACAGGGAAAATCGACAGCACCAATGAGCTAGGGTCTACTGGTATGGAGTCCAGCCGGCTAGAGCCCTGGGCCTGCTCATTTCCAACAACAAGCGGGCGGTTTGCACTCTCATGAGAAAGTGGACTGAAAAAGGAGTCCTGTGCTGGCTTGAGGATCTTCCTGATTCCAGTCCGTACTGGCTCATCCTGAGCATTTCCTTATTTGGGGAGATGGTGAGGATGGGAACATGCACTCAATGTTTCAGCCCTCTCTCCCATGGGTCAGGGAGGGATGGATCCCCAGATGCCACACCCCACGTTCTATGCTGGGGAACAGTGTTGATGAACACTGGCTCACAAAGAGATCAGATCTGGCTTAAAAGACTTCCAGCTGGAGGTAAATAAGCCCAAGGCTAATGGACAATCTCTTTTCTGGACATCACTAAGGATTTGGGGCTGATTCTAGTGGGAGCTGGAGGAGCCCCGATTATGTCTATTAGAAATGGAGGGATTCATTGGTTAACTCAGCCTACATCCCGGCTTTCTGATGTCACCCAGGCATGGAATGATGAAAAATGTTTCCTCATTTTGTCTGAGAAGAGTATAAAGTCCAAGAGCCAGAAATGAAACATGGATCCCCACAGAACCAGGCATGGGGTGTGGGGGCTGCCTCTGTACGGCCCTTCTCTGCTTGAAGAGATCCATGTGGTCAAGAGTGAGAGGGAGGAGACTTGGCCTGGGTTCTGTGGGTTTCAAATATCTTTTTCCAGCTTCCAATCTACTCACCATCACACACACCGGTTGCTGTTTCTCCCTTTTCCTCTGCACCTGCCCTGTCATCATGGCCTCCTTCTTCCCGCTGTGGCACATGTGCACACATGGCAATTCCCCAGTTCTGTGTTTTTTTGATTATCCACTCTGCAAGGCTGGTTTCATTCCAGGACATTGGCACCGTCCTTCAGTCTGCTCTTAAGCCACAAGCCTTCAGAGGATGCAAACTGATGCCAGTATCCTTTTGGTGGAACCCAAATTAGGACTAAAAATGCCCTTCCAGAAGAAATCGTGCAAAACATATGAATGAAGTGATTTTGTACTCTCAGCTTCCTTGGATTATCTGTGCCATTGCCTCCCTCTATGAGTGCAGAGAGTAGAGAGTGGGGGCAGGTGCTCACCTCCTTCCCCCAGGTGAGCCCATTTAAATTCAGGGCTTGGGCCACTAGGCTAGAGAAGAGGGTGTCTCTGCAGGCCGAGGGTGAGGAGGGATCAGGTGCCAACCCTCCCTGGCAGGAGAGCTCAGAGTGCTTTCTGAGAAAGGAACTGGAAGGCTGGCAGAGAGAGGGCTATGAGCTGTTCTCTGCAAGTCTCCTATGAATATGAGTAAAATGGACAGCAAAGATAACAGTTAACACTATCCTTACCTGTCCCCCATGTATCCAGCTGTACAGTGGCACTGTCCAGTCACGTGGTCACACTGCCCTCCATGGTGGCAAGGACAATCCTGGCTGCAGTTCTGGCCAAATGTCCCTGGTGGGCAGGGCTGGGCACACACTGCTCCCTAAAAGAAAGGTGGGAAGACATGCATGGCGGTGCTCCAGAAATGCCAAACTTTCCTGGGAATGGCACACCTGCTGTGGCTCCAGGGACCACCCAACTTCCCAGAAGAAGTTCAGACAGCTGGACACCAGGGCTCCAAAGCCCTCCTCTTAGAGATGGGAGATGGGAGACTGAGGCCAACTTGCTCATCCAGTTATTCAGCACAATTTAGGAACTGCCTATTGTATACGAGGTGCTGTGTGAGACACTAGGGGTGATTCGATTTGATTCCTGTCCTCCTAGTCTACCACAGAAAGAGCCAAAAAAACCGCTAAGTACAAGGCAGTAAGTACTCTCACATGGGTACACAGTAAAGTGCTGAGAAGACATAAGGAAGGAGGCTGAGTAAACATGCTGGTATGGAGACGTGCACTTTGCTCAGCTTCTTTCTCAAACCCAGCTGACATGAGAGTCAAAGGGGTACAGGTATAAACCCACAAAGAAAAGAGGAATAGGAGACAAAGGATGTCACACACTGGAAGATGGAAAAGCAGGTGGAGGAGTGATAACTGCTTTGGTTTCTGCTTCCTGGGCAATGTTAAGTGCCTGCAAAGGGAGCGTCACAATGCTGGATGATGAAATCCTTTGTAACCTCAAAAAGCTCAGGAATCAGAGACACTGGGACCCTCCGAAGGTGAAGGTGCAGGTATGATCAAAACAGGACTGTTTGAAAGTTTATAAAATAGGGAATTAGACCCCCAATCTCTGCCCCCACCTTGAATAGCAGCCAGGTGAATTGTCCAAGTCTTTCAGAGAGGTTGGTGTCACAGGCTGTGGACAAGGGACACAGGCACAGATGAAGGTGGGGGTGGAACTCTCCTGCTGCTCTCTTCCCTGCTGCGCTCCTAAAGGCTGACTGCCGGACTGAACTCCCTGTGGCAGGAGGTTGGAGGGTTCCTTTCTAGGGACACTGAGGAGCTCAAGAGAAATGACCTAAAGATATTGATAGTTGAGGGTCCCATCAGTCAACACGCCTGACATCTCCCTCCACCCCCAGGTGTCCAATTGGCTTTTCTGGGGCTCACTGTAAAACATGAACAGATGGCCAAGGATCACCAGATATTTGAAATAGGCCCTCACATGAAAGAGAAACACTGAAATAAACAAATAGGCAACAGGAACACAGAGGAAATAGGAACCATGCCTGGAGCAAGGAAAACCTAAAAAAAGAGAAGGAAAAAAGCCTCTGTCATAATTAAAATGAACATGCTCATGTAGCTATAAGAAAACATTGCACCTATGAAAGAACAGAGTGCTATAAAATAGGATATCCAGAGAATAGGAAAGAGGTCTTGAAAATTAAAAATAAAATGGTGGAAATTAAAATGTTGCAATAGAAGAGCCAAAACATAAAGTTGAGGAAATTTATAAAGTATACCAGAGAGAGAGAGACAAAGATAGAGAGATGAGATTAAAAATAATAGAGAAAATATAGAGGACCAATTCAGGTGGTCTGACATCTAATTAACAGGAGTTCCAGACAGTAGAACAGAGAAAATAGAGGTGAGTAAATTGATGGAAAATATAATAAAATTTCCCAGAATGGAAGGATGGAGAACCTGGGTTTCTGAACTGAAAAGGCCTACAAAGTCTTTAGCAAAAATATAAAACAAGACCCACATCAAGGCATGTTATCGTAAACTTTTATATCTCTGTGGATAAAGAAATGATGTTAACAGATTTTAGAAAGAGGAAAACAGGCTAGGTATGGTGGCTCATGCCTATAATTCTAGCACTTTGGGAGGCTGAGGCGGGAGGATCTCTTGAGCCCAGGAGTTGGAGACCAGCCTAGGCAACAAAGCAAGATCTCATCTCTACAAAAACAAATAAAAATGAAAATACAAAGAGGAAAACAAACATACAAAAATCAGGAATTAAGAGGGTTTAGACTTCTTAACTGGAAGCCAGAAGACAATGGAGCAATGCCTTAAAAATCCAGAGGAAAAAAATAATTTCCAACTTAGAATTCTACACCCAACTAAACTAACACTCAAGTAGGGGACTCAGTAAAGACATTTTCAGATTTGAACAGCCTCAAAAAGTTAACCTTCCATAAACACTTTCTCAGAAAGCTATTGTAGGATTTGTTTTCCATCAAAAAGAATTACTCAAGAAAGCTGGGCACGGTGGCTCACGCCTGTAATCCCAGCATTTTGGGAGGCTGAGGTGGGTGGATCACCTGAGGTTCCAGACCAGCCTGACCAACATAGAGAAACCCCGTCTCTAATAAAAATACAAAATTAACCGGGCGTGGTGGCACATGCCTGTAATCCCAGCTACTGGGGAGGCTGAGGCAGGAGAATCGCTTGAACCTGGGAGGTGGAGGTTGCAGTGAGCCAAGATCACACAACTGCACTCCAGCCTGGGCAACAAGAGCAAAACTCTGTCTCAAAAAAAAAAAAAAAAGAATTACCCAAGAAAAAGAAAGGCATGAATTCCAGGAACTAGGGACTGCAACAGAAGACAGAGGTAAAAGGAATCCCAGGATAGCAGTGAAAGGAAGCCCCAGATGACAGCTATGCTGCAGGCCTGGAGAGCAAAGAGTTAAAGAGTTCAGACTGGAACAGAAGAGACAGGCTTCTAAGAAACTTGCCTCAAAAACAAAACAAAAGCAAAAACTGGAGAGACTTCTAATGGGTCTGACCTTATTGAGAGGAGTTTGAGAGCTCTGTTAGAGAGTTTTAAGGATAAATTAGTAACAATACACATGTATATTAACATAAATATTAAAAAATAATTTAACCAAACTGGACATGGTGGCACCTGTCTGTAGTCCCTGCTACTCAGGAGGCTGAGGCAGGAGGATCACTTGAGCCCAGGAGTTCAAGGCTGCAGTGAGCTATGATTGTGCCTGTGAATAGCCACTGCCCTCCAGCCTGGGCGACACAGCCAAATCCCGTGTCTTAAAACTTTTTTAAATGATTTAACCACAAATTGTAATATAACTCCACTGGGAGGGTGGGAGAGGGGTTGCGTGTTTGTATGGGTGTGTATGACAGAGCTGAATCTTATTCTGTGGCAGAAAGTCAATGGATTCAATGACTGTCTAAGATGGAAAAGTCAAGAAACGGCTATAAAGCATGTTATGTAGAAAAATGGAGGGAAATGCCAGAAGAAATACCTAAAAGATTTGAAAGTGTTGCCTTTAGGGAGCAGGATTTGTAAATGGAGCAGGGGACTCCCCTGCCCCCCAGTATTAGCCTTGTGGTATTATATAACTTAAAATTACATGCATGAGTCTTAGGTTTTTAACAGATCTGAGCCTGCTCTTGTCTCCTGCTGCCCTTCCAGCCCTGCGCATACCCGACAGTCATTTCTCTTATGGAGATCAAGGATGTTCCTCCAATTAATTAATCAATTAGTTCAACACACAATTATTAAGCACCAATAATCACCAACCCTGCAGAAGCTAGTTTATTCAGGAAAATTGTGCCAGACCAGAGTCATCTTTCAAGATCATCCAGTTTACTTGTAATGAGTTAAACAGGAGGCCATTCAGCTTAGACTCTCCTCCACACACAAGTCAGAAGTAGGGGGGCTAAGAGGAGGGGCTGAGGCGGGGAGGGGAGGGAGGAGTGAAGGGCAGAAGCAGCCGAGGACAGTGAGAGAATGCGTGTGTGTGAGAAAAGGGGAGAGAAGAGTCACTCAGGCCAGGTGCGGTGGCTCATGCCTGCAATCTCAGCACTTTGGGACATCAAGGCAGGTGAATCATTTGAGGTCAGGAGTTCAAGACCAGCCTGGCCAGCGAGGTGAAACTCCATCTCTAGTAAAAAATACAAAAATCAGGCGTGATGGCAGGTGCCTGTAATCCCAGCTACTCGGGAGGCTGAGGCAGGACAATCACTTGAACCTGGGAGGCGGAGGTTGCAGTGAGCCAAGATTGTGCCACTGCACTCCAGCCTGGGCAACACAGTGAGACTCCATCTCAAAAGAAAAAAAGAAAAGTCAGAGTAGGGGTCCTTCTTCCTCCTGGAGGTGTGGGGGTACTCCAGGCATGGCGGGGGCCTCTCTCAGTGCACATTATAAGTTCTAGGTATTCAAAAGGGAGGAGAAGTCTTTCTGGCTTCTATCTGACTCAGTCTTCTACAGTCCTGGGCTGGATAAGGACACTCTTGGAAAAACTTTCTTTTTTTTTGAGATGGAGTTTCGCTCTTGTTGCCCGGGCTGGAGTGCAATGATGTGATCTCGGCTCATGGCAACCTCCACCTCCTGAGTTCAAGCGATTATCCCATCTCAGCCTCCTGAGTAGCTGGAATTACAGGTGCCCGCCACCACGCCCAGCTAATTTTTGGTATTTTTAGTAGAGATGGGGTTTCACCATGTTGGCCAGGCTGGTCTTGAACTCCTGACCTCAGGTGGTCTGCCTGCCTCAGCCTCCCAAAGTGCTGAGATTACAGGCATGAACCACTATGCCCAGCCAAAAGAGATGGGGTCTCACTCTGTCATCCAGGCTGAAGTGCAGTGGTGCCATCCCAGCTCACTGTAACCTTGAACCTCTGGGCTCAAGTGATCCTCCCGCCTCAGCCTTCTGAGGAGCTGGGACTGCAGGCTCATGCCACCACATCTGGCCAGGTTCCTGTCCTTTTTAGTACTTCTCAGACACAACCAGTGCTCTCTGAGGTCAATAGAGAAGTCTGGTACGTAGAATGCATCCTTCCGGCATTCCCTAGGGAAATCAAGCATCCTTGAGACTTTTTAGTGAAGTGGGTGAGCACCTCTTTCAGCCCCTGCTCAGGATTCCCAAACTGCAGGCATCCAAGCCCGCCGAATCTCTAGTCCTCTTCCCTGGTTTGAGCTCATGGGGCCTGAGAGAATTTGATATCTTGGAGGTCCTGTTGCCTGGTCTGGTGGGAAGAGCACTGGGTTCAAAGTCATGATTTGGGCTCAGATCCCAGCTCTGCCTCCTCCCAGATAGGTGAGCTAGGATAAGTCAGGTGATCATTCTGAGCCTTAATTTTCTCATCTATAAAATGGGAGTAGTAACTCCTAGTCTTCCAGGTGGTTATAAAGACGAAGTGAGATTAGAGATGTGAAGGAACCTAGTACAGTGCCTTAAACAGGGGGCACTTAATTAATAGTAATTGAACCAAGTTGACACCTGATGAGGTGGCACATGGTGGGAGCCCCATATATCCTGAGACTGAGAAGAGTAGAAGAGAACTGTAGGAGTCATCACCCACTGCTGGCTGGAAGAACAGCCTTTTGGGGAGAGGCAGGGGGAGAGAGCAGCCAGAGAAGTCAGCTTAGGAGAGGGCTATGGCCTGTGGTTTCTCTCCTGCTGCAATGAGCTGAAGTGTACCCCTTCAACATTCCTTTTTTTTTTTTTTTTTTTTGAGATGGAGTCTCGCTCTGTTGCCCAGGCTGGAGTGCAATGATGTGATCTCAGCTCACTGCAACCTCCACCTCCCAGGTTCAAGCAATTCTCCTGCCTCAGCCTCCTGAATAGCTGGGATTACAAGCATGTGCCACCACACCCAGCTAATTTTTGTTTTTAGTAGAGACTGGGTTTCATCATGTTGGCCAGGCTGGTCTTGAACTCCTGACCTCAGGTGATCCACCCGCCTCGGCCTCCCAAAGTACTGGGATTACAGGCATGAGCCACCACGCCCGGCCAACATTCCTATGCTGAAGTTTTAACCTCCAGTACCTCAGAATGTGACTGTATTTGGAAACAGGACCTTTACATAGGTAATCAAGTTAAGATGAGGTCATATGGGGGGGCTCTCATCCAACATGACTCATGTCCTTACAAGAAGAGGAGACTAAGACAGACCCAGAAAAAAGACGACATAGAGACACAGGGAGAAGATGGCCATCTACAAGCCAAGGAAAGAGGCTCAGAAGGAACCAACGCTGCCGACACCTTGATCTTGGACTTTCAGCCTTCAGAACTGTGAGAATCAGTTTCTGTTGTTCAAGCCGCCTAGTCTGTGGCACTTTGTTATGGCAGCCTCAACAGATTCATGTACTTGCCCTGTGGTCAGTTAAGTGTGTATCTCCAATTGTAGTGGGATCTTGGACTGCTGTGGCATCTAGAAGGTTGTACATGGGGTAAGGTGATATTTTCTGTTCCTCTCAGAACTGGTTAGACCAAATGGCTTTGTCAAAATCTGGACAACAGTCGCACTTTAAGAGGATCTTGGCGGCCAGGTCCAGTCGCTCATGCCTATACTCCCAGCAATTTGGGAGGCCCGTAATCCCAGTACTTTGGGAGGGCAGATCACAAGGTCAGGAGATCGAGACCGTCCTGTCTAACACGGTGAAACCCCGTCTCTACTGAAAATACAAAAAGTTAGCCGGGCGTGATGGCGGGTGCCTGTAGTCCCAGCTACTTGGGAGGCTGAGGCAGGAGAATGGCATGAACCTGGGAGGCGGAGCTTGCAGTGAGCCGAGATCGTGCCACTGCACTCCAGCCTGGGCAAGATTGAGACTCCGTCTCAAAAAAAAAAGAGGATCTTGGCTAAGTGGAACATAAAAAGAGAAGGGGCCAAGATGGTGAAAGGACTTAAGGCCATGCCAGCTCTCCTGGAGGGGAGGCAACTCAGCCTCATCAAGCATCTGAAGGCATTTCTAATGATCAGTGATGCTCCAGGGTGGCATGGACACCCTCAATGGACAGTGAGCTGTGGTTGGTATGGGTGCTGTGAAGGTGATCCAGGCCACAGGCCGGGAAGTGGGGCTCCATGAATCTTCCTTCTCAAACCTGAGCATCTGTGATGCTAGGCCTCGGCCCCAAAAACTCTCTCCCTCTTTTTTTTTTTTTTTTTTTTGAGATGGAGTCTTGCTCTGTCACCCAGGTTGGAGTGCAATGGCGCAATCTTGGCTCACTGCAACCTCTACCTCCTGGTTTCAAGCAATTCTCCTGCCTCAGCCTCCGAATAGCTGGGATTACAGGTGCCCACGACCATGTCTGGCTGATTTTTTGTATTTTTAGTGGAGATAGGGTTTCACCATGCAAAACCTCTCTTTGGCCCTCTAGGATAACTGGTCCTATTTCCCAGCTCCTCAGCCTCCTCTCTTCCAGTCTTTTCTTTGTGTGTGTGTGTGTATGCATGTAGGCACACACACACTGCATCCAGTCCCCAACGTAAGACTGTGAACTCCTAAGGGTGGGGGATGTCAATCCTATTTCCTCCTGCCTCTCTGTCTCTAGTGCCCACTCACATGAAACTACTCAGACTTGGTTTCTCTGCTTTGAAAGGTCTCAGAGCCCAGAAAAAGAGGAGAAACAATTCCCCAGGCTCTTTGCAAAGACCCCTCCTGAAACAGGCTTCATGTTGGGCTAGCGGAATATCCTGTGGGCATGCTTAGGGCCTGGTGGCCAGGAATCTCTGAGGAGGGGCCTGGAGGGCCAGAGTTCCTAGCAGCTCCTCTCTCCAGTTCCACACAATGGCCTGGGTCTTTGGGGAGGTGCATGGTGTGAATAAGCAATCTCTATATCTCTGAGTTGGAAAATGTGTGGTTGAAGTCACATAGGGCCATTGGGAAGTCAGGCAACAGAAGATGCTAAAGTGGGAAGCCTTCTCCCCAGTATCCATTCCTTGGTCCCAGCTCTCCCTGGGAGGAGCCTCAGGCATGAATGCAACTTCATTATACAGTGACTCTGCATGCACAAGGGGTATTAATGATTCATACAAATCTGCAAGTTAAATGCTATGTCAAAAATAGAAATTCAATTGTCTACAATAAAATTAAAAACATAAAGTCCTCAAATCCAAAGGCTTCTATCGACAGTTTCCTGTCATCTGGAAAAACAAACCTCTTGCTGTGCTGGGGAGAAATACAATCCCTCCATGTGTTTGCTTCTCACCTTCCCCCTGTTCAACCACCCGAGCCTCAGCAGTGTCTCCAGAGAGGCCTTTACAGGCAAAGGGATGCTGTGTGCTTGTTCTCCCCACCACATCCTGATCCAACCTTTCTGCTGCAGCTGGGCCTCTGAGGACCCAGCCTGCTGGGTGGATTTCTGAAAGCTGGTTGGAGATGAGAGGGTCTTTCCAGAGACTGGTTCAGGGTGGAAGAAAAGGTGGTGGCGGTCCCTTTTTCTTCCTCAGAGGAGACAGACAGATGGACAGACAGACACCAAGGGCTGGGAGTCAGAAGACTTGGATTCTAGCTCCACCTCACTCCTAACCACCAGTGTGGACTTGAACAGGTCCCTTACCCTCTCTGAGCCTCAGCTTCTTCATCTGAGAAAGGAAGGTATTGACAGACCAGTGGGATTCAAATCTCTTAAAGCTGGGAAACCCTGTTTTTATGTGAAATCTTACCTAGAGCACCTCAATATAGAAACTAGATTAAAATGGAGAGGTGGGGGTGGGGTGGGCACCAGAGTCCTAACGATTAGGCTCCTGCCCCCACTCTCCGTCAAGAAACCCTAGGGTTCTGTGAAACACAGAAGGAAGTCCTATGGTCTGGATCAGTTCTTTCCAAATGAAGACCTGCAGACAGGACTGGCTGCCTCAGAACCATCTGGGGAGCTTATTAAAAATAGAGATCCCCCAGTCCCAGGAGGTCACAGATGCAGCCTGGGAATCTGTATTTTAACCCCCCACCACCCCCTTGTCAGCTCTGGGGTGCAGTCAGGTTTGGATACTGTGGGACCAAGTGGTCCCCAAGGTCCTTTCCTGCCCTAAAAAAATTCTGTCAAGACTGTGCCTGCATCGATGGGCCCTGCAGGTGTCCTCCCATCTGTCCCTGTGACCTCTGCATTCGCAGCCTCCTAAAATATCCTGCTTCTGCTCAGCAGCCCTTTCCTCTCTGGCTTTGCAAAGCCTCAGGCCCCAGGGGAGGTGGTGGACTGTGTCGCTGAGCTTCCCCTGAAACGGAGCGTGTTACTGGAGAGTCAGAGGCAGGGACGCAGCCCAGGAAGGTCAGCTTCAGCTGACTCACTGCCTGTAAGGGCTTGGTCTGCGAGGCAGGCACTGACAGGCAGGGTATGTTGGCTAAAAGGAGGCTTGTGGAGGGTCTGTGGCACCCAGGGATAGAAATCAAGCTATCATAGAGGGCTTCAGAGTTTGCAAAAGACTTTGGACATGCACAGCCTCACATGAGCCAGCCTCCAACCATGGCAGCTGGGCAGGGCAGGGCTCACTGTTGTTATATCAGTTTTGTACTTGGGGGAAGGGGAGTAATTGAGGCTTTTTTCAGGGTCAACATTGGCTTTGAGACCTGAATTTAGGCCCATGAGGTTACAAATCTTACCCTCCTTTCCCACAGTGGTTTTTCCCAGACATGAGACCTGGGCTGCTTCAGGCTACATCAGAATCACCTATAGTACCTGTTAAAATACAGATTCTGGGGCCCACAGAATCAGAATGTGTGTGTGTGTGCAAGTGCAGGGGGCGAAGTTAGATAAATTCAGGTCATCCATACCTGCTGTTTCTCCTCCTTTCCCAGCCTTTTCTGCCACCTCTGGCCCAGGGCCTGTGGCAGCTCATGTGGGTGCTCACACCCAAAGACAAAGCTAATCTTACAAGAAGAATTCAATTTCTTTGCACACGAGAGACCACAGGCTCAGAGAGGTGAGTAACTTGCTTCAGACCACACAGCACTTAGAGATGGCAGACCTGGGATTCAAAGCTGTGTCCATGGCACCACTGGCAGCGTTTAGTGATGCCCTATGGCGATAAATAGGAGGGAGGGTATTCAGAGTGGGAGAAGAATTCAGCTTTTTTTTTTTTTTTTTTTTTTTTGTGAGACAGAGTCTCACTCTGTTGCCCAGGCTGGAGTGCAGCAAATTGATCTTGGCTGTGACCTCTGCCCCCTGGTTCAAGTTATTCTTGTGCCTCAGCCTCCCGAGTAGCTGAGATTACAGACGTATGACACAACGCCTGGCTAATTTTTGTATTTTTAGTAGAGATGGGGTTTCGCCATGTTGGCCAGGCTGGTCTCAAACTCCTGACCTCAAGTGATCTGCGGGCCTCGGCCTCCCAAAGTGCTGGGATTACAGTCACGAGTACCATGCCCGGCTAGTTTAGCCTTTTAAGGTATGTGTGAGTGATGAAGGCTCAGCCCTCCAGTGCCCCACCCAGATCCTTTGGGCCCACTTACCGTCCAGCCTGGGGGGCAGGCACACTCGCCAGTGATGTGGTGGCAGGTGCCCCCATTCTGACAGGGGCAGCGCAGCTCACAGTGAGCTCCATGGCTCCCAGGAGGGCACAGCTCCTCGCAGCTGCATGGAGAAGCAGAGGTGTTAGACACAGCAGCATTCAGATCAGGTGGCAGGGCCCCAGTGCTCCAGGGTTCCCTAGGAATTCCTCCGCAGTTAATGGATCTGTATTAGGCACAGCATCCGCTGAACTGCAGTCCTGCTCCCTGCCAGGAGGGGGAAGCAAGGCTCAGACTGAATACATTGGAATGTAGGGTGCTTGGGCCAATACTTGTGGGATGACTTAAGTGTTCTTAGTGTACAGAAGAGTATTCTGGGGAGGAGGCTGAGGAAGGCTTCCCAAGGAGGAAGGCATTTTACTTGGGCCTTAAAGGTGAAGTTAATTTAACCAGGAGAATGGAAGGAAGGGCATGCCAGGCCAAAGTCATTGCATTAATGAAGGCACTGAGAAGTGCTCATGGATCCCATCTTTAAGAATCCACCTAGATTCAGAGAGGGGAAGAATCTGGAGCACGTTCCTTCCAGGCTCAGGAAGGCTCCCAGCTCCCATGACAGGCTCATTTGCAGGGACTGGGTGCTGTTGAAGGGTGGGGCAGGATTTGCATGGGGTCTTGGTCTTGGGCCTTCATCCAATGGCCCTGGCCTCTAGCTCACTAGGACTTGGGAGCTGGCCAGACATCGGGGTAGGGAACACCCTCAATCAACAACGTCTCTGTGGTCAGAGTCCTTGGCCACCCCTCAGGATCTAGGCTGTTGGAGAGGCCACAGAGTCTGCTACAGGGTTGGGAGGAGAACTTCAATCTTGCCTCTGAGGGGGTCTCAGCTAAGCAGTCTTGTAGGTCTCCTGTCAATACTACTCTCTGGGGAACTGGAATGAGGGGCTGTTTGGTGTCTGGGGAGAGAAAGTAGGGGAGAGGAACAGGCAGAGTAATCCTCCCAAATCTGTACATGGTATCTGCCTAGGACCCTCACCTCTCTCTGTCCCAAATGCCCTAGAAGGGAAGGCCCCAGGTGAGCAGCATCATTTGGGTAAGGTCAGAAGAGACTTTCAAGATAAGGGCTGTCTCTGCCAGGAAGGGCCTCCTGGGAGGGTTTTAGGGAGTGCCCACTCGGGCAGTCTCAGGAAGGACCAGTCAACGCGGTCCTGGAAGGAAGGAATCTGAGACCTGCGTGGGTGAGGCCTGGGCATTTAGACTCACAGGAGATTTCACAGCCAAGACTATCCCTCCTGGTCCCACCACCCAGCCCACCCACAAGGAGCCCAGGGCTGGGCGTGCAGCTGCGGTGAGGGCAGCCACTCCAGGCCCCGCCCCAGCCCCTCCACCTCCTCTACCCTCCCCACCCAGGCACCCTCCAGGTCCCGCCCCTCCAGGTCCCGCCCCTCCAGGTCCTGCCGCATGACTCACTAGACGCCGGTGTAGCCAGGTGCGCAGAGGCACTCGCCGGCGCGGGGGTCGCAGCTGGCACCGTGTCGGCACTGGCACGGCAGCTGGCATCCCTTGCCGTGGGTGCCAGGTGCGCAGAGCTCCTCGCAGCGCCATCCACGGAAGCCGGCGGCGCACACGCAGGCGCCTGTGATGGGGTTACACAGGGCGCCGTTCTGGCACTGGCACCGGTTGCTGCAGTGGGGCCCCCAGTGGTCGCTGTCGCAGCCTGCAAGAGACGGGACAGTCAGGGATCAGGAGCCCCGAAGGCTCTCCTTGGGGCAGGGGCCAGGAACCGATGCCCATGCGGCCTTCCCATCTTTGCAGCGCTGCTCCCCGGACAGGTGGCAGCAAGGGGTGCCTGGAAGCTTTGGTGCCTCATAACCTGCATCAGTTCTTCCACCAAGCCATGCAAATAGTCGCACAGGCTAAGAAGGGCAGAGCGTTTGTTTCCTCAAGGCAGCTTCAGAACCTACCTCCTGGTCCGGCCATTCTCTTCCAACCAAATGGCTGCCCTAAGCCCCCCTCTCCTGTATTGAAATTCCGGAGCCACAAGCTGTTTACATCCCTCTTTGCTAAGCTCTTGGTTGGCTGCCTGTTTCTGTTCCTTTCTGCCGGGCCCTTTCTTTTCCCATCTGCCACCCCTCTCCTCTGTGACCCTACCCCTCTCTTCTTGGGACCTGCGGGACCCAGCCCATTCCAGCTCCCATTTCTCTATCTTTCCTGCCCGCTTCTCCCTCTTCCCCACACGCATTGGTTTTCTCACCATTTGCATTTCACTCACTCTCTGGGAATATTTCCTCTAACTCCCTGCCCCTCCCCTGGCTCCATCTCCCTGTCACCCTTTTCATCTCTTCCTCATGCTTCTTCCTTTCAGTAATGCCTACGCCCCCTGGTTGCTTCAGCTTCAGTTCAGTTTCATTACTTTCCAAGCAGCCAGCTTCAGAAGGAGCAGGAAAAAGAAAGGCTTCCCTGGGAAGTAACAGGCAGCCTTCAAGATCTTTACATGTAATTAAATGTTTCAAAGAGAGATAGCTGAGCCAGTGTTGCAGAAATTCACACTCTACGGCTATGGAAAGGGGCTGAGTAGCAGAGCCCCAGAGAGGTCACCAAGCCTGCTGCCACCTCCCACTCTGACCCTCCCCGATGCATATGGGACACACAATAACAAGATGTCCTCAGTTATAGCCTCATTCGCTCAAATTCTGGGGTGAAAGTAGGGTGTGGAGTTCAGGCATGGACAGGCACACATAATGTTCTGGGAGAAGTTGGATGGAAAGAATGATTGCTCCCAGCTAAGGAGACCAGGCAAGGCTTCTTAAAACAGAAGCCATCTCAAGTGGGCTGTAAAGGATGTCTCACTTGTCTGGCTAATAGGGTGAGCAACCATCTTGCTTTCAGCACTGAAAGTTCCACATTCTGGGAAATCCCTCAGTCCTGGGCAAACTGGAGTGGCCGGTCACCGAGATTATCTGTTGCTGTTTGTGCTCCAGGTTTCTAGGGTTTAGACACTCAGAGAGGAAAGGGGGCAGGTGAGTGGGACTGGGAAGGTGTCACTGGGGTAGACTCAATATAAGCAAAGATACAGTGGCGTTCAAGTGTTGGGCGTGTACAAGGGTACAAGGTTCCAGTGTGGCCAGTAAGTGCATGTGATCTTTGGGGGCTGAAGGTTGGTGGAAGGATCAGCCCCACCAGTCCCCGACATGTCCCTCCTACCTGCTGACCAAGGTCAAGCGGTCAATGTCATGGAGCCTGCCTATCATCCTGTAGCAGACAGAATCACCAAGGCCTGGAACTCCCATTACCCTATCTTGGTTCATCCCTTCTTCATCTGTGCCCCAAGTATTCACACACACACAAACTGAACTGCCAAGTTATGAGTGAGTCTCACCCTATATTTTCCACCTGCTATTACAGTGAGTAAAGCAAAAATTAAATCCATTTATGCTACAGCCTCCACTCACATTGAAAAAGGCTCACAGAAGGCTGGACACCGTGGCTCATACCTGTAATCCTAGCACTTTGGGAGGCCAAGGTGGGTGGATTGCTTGAGCTCAAGAGTTCAAGAACAGCCTGGGCAACACGGTGAAACCTCATCTCTACTAAAATACAAAAAATTAGACTGGCGTGGCAGCATGCGCCTGTAGTCCCAGCTACTTGGGAGGCTGAGTCAAGAGAATTGCTTGAACCCGGGAGGCAGAGGTTGCAGTGAGCTGAGATTGCACCACTGCACTCTAGCCTGGGCGATAGAGCAAGACTCCGTGTCAAAAAAAAAAAAAAAAAAAAAAAAAGGCTCACAGGACAGAGAGTGACTGAGTATCCAGCAGTCCAGCACCTCCTACCTCATCCTCTCTTTGGGACACACACTCAGTGAGCAGAAGGACTAGCAGAATTATCTATGGTACCATTTCTCTTTTAGTTGCCAAGCACACGTAGTTGAATTCACATAGCTTATTGTCCATATGTTGTGACTATTATGATAATGACAACCACATTTTACTTATTTATTTATTTATTTATTTATTTTGAGACAGAGTCTCGCTCTATTAGGCAGGATGGAGTACAGTGGTGTGATCTCGGCTCACTGCAACCTCTGTCTCCCGGGTTCAAGCAATTCTCCTGCCTCAGCCTCCCGAGTAGCTGGGATTACAGGCGCCTGCCACCACGCCTGGCTAATTTTTGTATTTTTAGTAGAGATGGGGTTTCACCATGTTGGCCGGGTTGGTCTCAAACTCTTGACCTCAGGTGATCCACCTGCCTCAGTCTCCCAAAGTGCTGGGATTACAAGTGTGAGCCACCACGCCCGGCCAGACAGCCACATTTTAAAAGCTGCCTGTGTGCCAGGCACCATCCTAGAAGTGCTACATACATGACTAAAATTTAATCCTCACAACAACCATGTAAGTTAGGTTTTCTTATTTTCCCATTTGACGGAGAATACACGGTCAGAGAAGTTAAGTGATTACCTGAGGTTACAGCAAGAGCAAGCCCAGCTCTCCTGGTTCTAGCTCTCCCCACTGCAGGTCTTTGGGACACTTTCTGGAGGATGAGTCCAAGGAGTGAAGTTTAGAGGTGGCCTTGGGGACAAGGTGGCAGCCACGAAGCACAGATCAGGGATACCACAGAGACTAGCCACTTCTTCTCTGTTCGTCACTGTGAACCACCACAGGATCCAGCACAAGGAATTTCCTTCGTTTGTTGGGGCTGCAGTTACTGCCCTGAGACCTTGGTTCTGTATGAAACTGTTGGAGCCAAAAGGCAGTTTGTTCTCGGTGCATCGCAGGGCATACAGTTATGCTTTGCTTATCAAACAACCTCTGTTCTTTCTGGCACAGCCAAAACCCAGTAGGAAGCAAAACTAGCCGCCTGATAAGGAAGCCAGAATATTGTCATAAAGTCCACATGGTAACACTTGGGTGTTTTCATTCTTCTGCTTGTCCATTCAAAAACATTTACCAAGGACCTGCTACTGCCAGAAAGCACCCTGCCCTATTGGGGTGCACAGTCTAGTAGGGGCAGAAATGCTGGAGCAGCATTCATGGTACCCTACGAAAGTGCTCTAATAAGGGCAGCTCAGGGGATTATAGAAGGACATGTAAACACAATTCTATTAAGCCTGGCACTCTGCTTTCTCACAACACAGACTGGCATGTGAGTGTGTGTGTATATGCACATGTGTATGTTTGTGTCTGCATTTTTTTTTTTTTTTGAGACAGAGTTTTGTTCTTGTTGCCCAGGCTGGAGTGCAGTGGCACGATCTCAGCTCACTGCAACCTCCACTTCCCGGGTTCAAGCGATTCTCCTGCCTCAGCCTCCCGAGTAGCTGGGATCACAGGCACCCACCACCATGCCCAGCTAATTTTTCGTACTTTTAGTAGAGACAGGGTTTCATCATGTTGGCCAGGCTGGTCTCGAACTCCTGATCTCAGGTAATCTACCTGCCTCAGCCTCCCAAAGTGCTGAGATTGTGGCTCAGGACAATGTCTGCATGTTTTATGGGGCTCCTAAAAAGTATGTGAGCAAGAGCTCTGTGTCATAGTAAGAAACTATGGAAATAGGAAACATTTATAGATGAAAAAAAGCAAAGCAACTTGCAGCCATTAATATAGGGGCAAATAGCCTCTCATATCCAAATTGACAGGAAGAAGTGACATTCAATTTAGAATATTCTGATTAAGGAAGCAGAGAAGTGTGTAATTCATTCCAGAGAAATTTCCCACCAGAGTGATTAAACAAAAAAAAACAATGTTAGGGTTCACAGGGATAAGCTTCAGTTATCTAGAAAATTCACTTAAAACACCTCATTCTCCAGCAATGACAGAGAAATGAGGCAGAGCTGCAGCGAGTCAATTATCAACTCTGCTGAAGGTGACTAAAAACTACCATCATTATAATTACAAGAAGACTTTGCATTCTTTCACAGAGAATCGCAAACTCTTACCAATTTGGCCTTGGAATGTCACCCCTCACACATTTCTTTTTTTCTGTCCCAGGCTTTCCTTCCTAATTATATTGGGCTTTGGCTGATTTTTCCTTTTTTTTTTTTTTTTTTTTTGAGACAGAGTCTCAACTCTGTTGCCTAGGCTGGAGTGCAGTGGTGCAAACTCGGCTCACTGCAACCTCTGTCTCCTGGGTTCAAACAATTCTTGTGCTTCAGCCTCCTGAGTAGCTGGGATTACTGGCTGATTTTTTAAGTGGCTAGATTGTCTCTGGGCAGCTACTGGGGGCTGAAGGGCACCTGGAAGTGTGTGGCCCGGCTTGTTCTGTTCCTCGAGGCTGGGCAACTCACCCCCTTCCCCTGCTGACTGCTTCAGACTTTGGGGTCCAGGCTTAGTGTGCCCCTGGGTCCCCAAGAGGGCAAATGGCTTCACCACCGTCTTCTTCACCGACAGGCTTTTAAATTTGTAACTACAGTTGATCAGGCAGTTACTAATGCCAAGTCATGAGATAAAGGTGCAAAGTGAATTTTCTCATTTAATTCTCACAACAACCTATAATAATAGCACTTGCTGCAGATGGACACGGTATGCTGGCAGCCAGCCTGGGCTTAAACAGCCACCCTTGAAAATCCATAAAGAGGTGAGAGCAGAGACTGATTTTCCACAAGTGCCTTATTCAGGGACTGGTTTATGTGTGAATGGTGGGCGTAGGTCCTAGGTTTTCCACGACTGGCCCTATTTCCCAAAATTTTATTCTCTTAAGATTATCTATTGTTTACTCAGATTTTTTTTCTATTGTGGTAAAAGATATATAGCATACAAATTTCCATTTTAATCATTTTTAAGTGTGTAATTCAGTGGCATTAATTACATTCACAGTGTTGCACCAACTATCAGCACTATTTCCAAACTTTTCCATCACCCCAAATATAAAAACTCTGTAGCCATTAAGCAGTAACTCCCTAGTTCCTCCCCTACCACACTGGTAACCTTTAAGCTTCTTTCTTTCTATTTTATTATTTTTATTTTTTTGACAGAGTCTTACTCTGTCACCCAGGCTGGAGTGCAGTGGTGCGATCTTGGCTCACTGCAACCTCCACCTCCTGGGTTCAAAGGATTCTCCTGCCTCAGCCTCCTGAGTAGCTGGGATTATAGGCATGCGCCACCATGCCTGGCTAATTTTTGTATTTTTAGTACAGATGGGGTTTCACTGTGTTAGCCAGGATGGTTTCGATCTCCTGACCTCGTGATCTGCCCACCTTGGCCTCCCAAAGTGTTGGGATTACAGGCATGAGCCACAGTACCCGGTCTTTTTTTTTTTTTTTTTTTGATGGAGTCTCGCTCTGTCCCCCAGGCTGGAGTGCAGTGGTGCGATATCTGCTCACTGCAACTTCTGTGTCCCAGGTTCAAGTGATTCTTCTGCCTCAGCCACCTGAGTAGCTGGGACTACAGGCGTGCATCATTACACTCAGCTAATTTTCCTATTTTTTTGTAGGGATGGGATTTCACCATGTTGGCCAGGCTGGTCTTGAACTCCTGGGCTCATCGATCTACCTGCCTCGGCCTCCCAAAGTGCTGGGATTACAGACATGAGCCACTGCACCTGCCCTCTGTCTTTATGAATTTGCCTGTTTAGATATTTCTAGATTCTAAATGGAATCATACAATATCAGTCTTTTGTATCTGGCTTATTTCACTTTGCATAACATTTTCAAGGTTCATCCATGTTGTAGCCTGTATCAGGACTTCATTCCTTTTTATGACAGAATACTATTCAATTGTATGGACAGACTACATTTTGTTTATCCATTCGTCTGTTGATGACACTGAGTTGTTCCACCTTTTGGTTATTGTCTAGAAGACAACAGTGAACACTGGGATATAAGTATCTTTTAGAGTCCCTGAAGACAATTCATTAAAGGGACACAACTAAATATGTTTTGATGCCGTTATGGACTGTACTAGGAATAATAAATAATGCGGCCGACCATTACTTTTCTGCCTTCACTACTGTATAGGAAGGTTTAGGTGCCTGTGCCCAGTCTGCTGCATTAGCCCTGGAGTCTCTCTGGGCTGGAGGAAGACAGGAGCTAAGGTGTGTCCTTAGTTTGTGATTGCCCTTTACTTTCCCCACATCCACCATCTGGTCCCACCCTGCAGCCAGCTCAGCGGGGCACAAGAAGAGCTGTCAGCAGTGCTGTTGAAGGTGACTGGCCAGCCCTTCTCCCAGCTACCAAAGAACCCCCTCCCAGCTGCTTGTAGGATTCACTTCTTCAGACAGTGGTTCTTGGCCTGGCTGCAGATCAGCATCACTGGGGCAGTTTTAAGAAACACTCTTGCTTGAGATCTACCCATGGCCATTCCAAATGAATTGGTCTAGGGTGGTAGGGCCCAAGCATAGGTCCCTTGAAAAGCTCCCCAGGTGAGAACTCTTTTTTCCCATGATCTCTGTTCTCACTGGTCCTCTCAGGGAGATGTGCAGGAGGATGCTGGGCTGGAGGTGGGGTGGGAGAGAAGGTTAGTCCTTCCCATTCCATAGACAGGAATCCTGAGACCCAGCAAGCAGGAGGAGTTGGCCTCTGAATTGAAGGTCAAGGGATGGAAATGAACCTGGAAGCCACTGCCCCTGAGCTACCCCAGCTTGTACTAAGGACTGGGCCAAGGCCCCCACCTCCCTTCTCCTCTCCAGCAATGGGAAGGCCTGATGCAGTCACAGCCCCTCCCAGAAAGGTCTGTGGCCCCCAATCTTCCACCCCACCCACAGAAGCAGCAGCGAGAGCTGACAGGTCACGGGATTGCTCCTGAGTTTACAAAGCAGTAGGCAGGGAGGCAGAGATGGAGCAGCAGCCGCCGGAAACCATTCCAGCTGATAAATAAAGTGACTTCCCAGTGAGTGAGGCCATTTGTCAACTGACTTGCCCCAGTAAAAGCAAAGTCAAGTTCTCCGAGGCTGAGCCCCTTGCTCTTTCCAGGCCTAAGCTGCAATTCTGAGGGAGCACTGAAGGATGGGTCAGAGCCAATGCTGGGTACTCCTGGGCAGCCTCCTTCCCTCTTTGGGCCTCTGTTTTTACATCTGTAAAACAGGTTTGGATCAGTGGTTCTTGCCTGGAGTAGGTCACCCTCCCCAAGACAGCATCTGGAAATGGGAGGGGGGAATTTAGGTTGTCACAAATAATCCCAGGGACAATTGTACACAATTTAGAACTGTATCCTGGCTGTGTGCAATGGCTCGTACCTGTAATCCCAAAACTTTGGGAGGCCGAGGAAGGAGGATCACTGAGATTAGACACTTGAGACCAGCCTGGACAACACAGTGAGACCCTGTCTCTACCAAAAGCTAAAATTATCTACCAAAAGCTAAAATTATCCAGCTGTGGTGGTGCACACCTGTAGTCCCAGCTACTTGGGAGGCTGAGGTAAGAGGATCACTTGAGCCCAGGAGGTCGAGGCTGCAGTGAGCTATGACTGTACCACTGCTCTCCAGCTGTGCAACAGAGACTCTGTCTCTAAAAATAAGATAAATAAAATACAAATAAAAAATGCCAAAGATGTCCCCATTCAGAAATACTGGGCCAGATGCGGTGGCTCACACCTGTAATCCCAACACTTTGAAAGGCTGAGGCAGAAGGGTAGCTTGAGTCCAGGAGTTCAAGACCAGCCTGGGCAACGTGGCAAAACCCCATCTCTACAAAAATTATAAAAATTAGCTTGGTGTGGCGGCATGTGCCTGTAGTCCCAACTACTCAGGAGGCTGAGGTGGGAGAATTGCTTGGGCCTGAGAGGTCGGGCTGCAGTGAGCTGTGATGGCGCCACTGTACTCCAACCTTGGTAACATGGTGAGACCCTGTCCAAAAGCAAGCAAACAAGCAAGCAAGGGAAGAAAGGAAAGAAAGAAAGAAAAGAAAAGAAAAGAAAAAAAAGAAAAGAAAAAAAGAGAAAGGAAAAGAAAAAAGAAGGAAGGGAAGGGAAGAAAGGGAAGAAAGGAAGAAAGGAAGAGAAAGAAAGAAAGGAAGGAAGAAAGAAAGAAAGAAAGAAAGAAAAAGAAAGAAACAAACAAACACTGGTAGGTAAATGCTGGAGACTCTTCAAGTCCCAATGCTGTGTGATTCTCTGCCCTGTTGCCAAATGTCCCCACTTGAGAAACAGGCCAGAGGACACAGGGATAGGAGGTGTGTTTGTATGAAAAAGAAAAATTGGAGGTGGTTACCCGAGCTCTGAGCTGAGCTATCACTCAGTTTCCTATCTTTCTGCCACTTAGATTGTTGGAATTAAATATTAATAGACCAAGGTAGATTAAAACCCAAATCTCTTGACACAGTCCCTAAGCCTAGAAGATGCTGACAGCACAGGATTATAATGATGTATCATTAGCTCTTAGTGATCTATTTATTACACTTGTTACTCGGTGTTACTTAACCACACCGTCTATACCTCCCTTAAACCTCCAAGGGGAGGCTGGGATTCACAGAGGCTGCGGCTGCATATCCCACCCATCTCCTAGGGTAGCAGGGATGGAGGAGTGAGCACACGCACGTGGGGAAAACCCTAACCCCGAGAGCTTACCAGGGACCAGCTGCATTCTCCCATGGGTTGTTTCCTCTAATTTTCTTACTAATCCTGTGCCAGTTATTCATACCCTGCCTCATTCCAAAGAGGATCTGAGGTAAACCATGTGAGATGTGATTATGATTCCATTTTCCAATGAGAAAACTGAGGTTCAGAGGCATTAAATAACTAAATCAGGGCTTCTCAACCTCAGCACATTTTGGGCCAGAAAATTCTTTGCTATGGGGAACCATCCTGTGCATTGCAGGGCATTTAGTGGCATCCCTGGCCTCTACCCACGAGATGCCAGTAGTACCTCCCCGACACACATACACACAATTGTGGCAATCAAAAGTGCCTCCAGATATTGACAAACATCCCCTGGCAGTGGGTAACATCACCTGATTGTGAAAGGTGAAGTTGAGAGTCATATATTGGCTTTCTTTACTGCTAGGCTTTAGAAGTCATCTTGTGTACACTCCACATTTTACAGGTCAGGAAACTGGGCCAGAGAAGCTGAATGACTTGCCCGTGACCACACAGCTAACAAACTGGAGAGCTGCATTTGAAACTAGCTGACTGTATCCATCTAGGGCTCTTTGCCTCCCATCACACCAGCTATTACGAGATGAGAGGCTCAATGTCAAACAATTATCAAGCACCTATCATGTTAGGGGCTCAGAAGCCTGCAGTCAGTTTGAGAAACAGACAAGCAAATGGGAAACTGTCAGAACACGGGGTGATGAGAGGAGCTCTGGGCAAGCTGTCTGCTAAAACTGGGGAGGGTGCTCCACTGTCAGGCTAGAGACAAGGAGGCCCGGGAGCGGGCAGTGTCTCGGGCAGCAGGGCAGGAGGGGGAACAAAGGCCATGGGTACATTCAATGCCCTGAGCAAAGGCAGTTGCTCCAGCTCATTACCTTCCTCATCTCTATTGCCGTAGCTTCCACCACAGCTCCAGGCAGCCAGGTCCATTTCAACCAGGAGTATCACCATCAACATTTCAGGAGTGAGTGGGGAGATTCAGGAGCAGTTTTATCAGAGCCGGGCATCTCTCTGCAGATGGCTGAATTGAAACCAACACTGAGCCCCTGCTTGAAATATCACTGCACCTGCTTGGCACTGCACCATTAGGACCCCGTTCCTCAAGGGCTGCAGGAATCCCTATTAAAATGCAAACAACCCCGTTTGTGCCTCTGTGTGTGTGTGTGGGGGGGGGGGTTAGTCACATCCTGAGGCACTATCAGCCATTAATATCTCAGTTATCTCTTAATATCCAAGTGGCAATTAGCAGATCTGGAAGCCAGATTCAGCAGGGTATGTGTATGTTTATTGACCTGCTTTAGGAGAGAGGAGGTGGGAAGATGGGAAAGTCAAATTTATCAACTTCGGGGACTTTATCAGGGACTTTATCGGGGACTTTTTTTTTTTTTTTAAATCAGCATCTGCTCTGGATGTAGAATGCCACAGTATTGTGTGGACAGATAATGGGAAGGAACAGTAAGTGTGAGAGACTTTGCAGGTATGATCTTGTTCAATTTAAGCCACAACTGCTCAGGATAGCTATAGTTATCCCCCTTCACAGAGGAAGGAACCAAGGGCAGGTGTGGCCAGGTGGCTTGCCCACAACTTCACAGCGAGGGTGATCTCTGGCCTGTTTCTGAGATGAGGACATTGAGGACCCAGGAGGCACCGCAGAGCTGGAACATTGGAGTTCTTTTATACTTTGTTCAGAAGAAGGTATTGACACCCAGAGAGCCAGATCACCCATGAGAGGCAGGAGAGGAGCAAGACTCCCGGAACTCCTGCCAGGTCTCCAGACGGTGCTGATCACGGAGGCTGATGCCACCTACCTGCGCTCCCGGCAGGAGCACCCCGCACTGTCCTCCCTGCTGTTCTAGAGTCCAAGTCAGCACTCATGCACCACCCCCAACCTCTGTCCTGTGGCATTTATCCCAGCAGATAAAGGTACCTCAGTGACCCCAGCACTTTCACCTTATACCATACAGCAATGAGGTCTATGAGGCTCGGGGTGAGAGGCAAACTGCAGTGGGCTGTCCCACAGGGACCCAGGGACCCAGAAAGCTATCTGTCCTTAGCTCTGCTCAAAGCCCTCCCCTCCACCCACAGGCTTTTAATGAAGGCCCAGCTCCCAGCGGCCCAGCAGCTTCTGATCTGTTTGCATCACTGCCTTTGAAGCTTCCCAGCCCCAAAGACCATTTATCTCCACAATTTGCCTGGAAAGCCTCATAAATCATGTCTGTGCACAAAGGAATTACCTCTTTGGAAGAGCCTTTCAAAGGCAGCTGGCAGAGACACCGGGCTAGCCTTGTTGGTCCTGCACCCTCCCCGACGTGGCCCCCTCACTTGCCTTTTGGGGTCCCTGAGCAAGTCTCAGGCTGTGTGGGGGCGGGTAGGGGAGGGAGAGGGTAGGGATCAAGGGGAATTTGGTGATGCTTTCCCAGCCATGTAGGCTCTGAGGGAAATGAATTCACAGTCGGAGTGGGCAACGGCACTGGAAGTTGTGGGGTCCAAGCCCATTTCCTCTGAGGAGTGAACTCCAGACATGACCATTTCCCCATCATTCCCCTTCCCACCATGAGGTCTGGTCTGGAGGAGGGAGCCTCTCTCTATCTCTCTCACGGGCTGTGGGCAAGGCACCACCCTTCCAGACGTCAGTGTCCCCCTTGGCAAAAAACAGGATCAGGCCAGATGACTGTGTGCCAAGCTGTGCCCATGGAGTTCAGAGGAGTTCTCTGCCTGGAGCGGGGTTGGGCTGTGACAGGGGCCCCGGACCTCCCATTTCCAGGGCTCCAGAGCTGCTGTGTTTTCGACCTGGATCCTCACACAGGGACAAAGCACTAAGCAGCTAAAAGCGGGGAGGGTGTGCAAAAACCTAATTTCTGCCTTTAAACGTCTGTGTTTAATTCCTCTCACACTCAGAAAGTTCTTCCCTAGGTCTCACTGAGGAAGTTCTCACTGGAAGTTCTTTCTTTTCCATCACCCACTCACTGAGCAGCCACTTCAGGGCCTGGCACTGAGAAGGATGCTTGTGGGGAGGCAGTCAGACTGGTACTGTTCCTAAGGGACTTTCTGCCTGGTACTGTGGGCCACACCCCCACTAAGAATAAGCAGGAAGCAGAGACAGGAGCAGTGGAAGTGGAGGCTGTGCAGAGGCCCGGCTCCCTGGTGGGCCCACGGAGCATTTTGGAATGAAGGCCTGCCTCACCTGTTGCCCTATTCATGCTGGAGCTGGGGGCCTTTTTCACCGGGTGGGAAAGAGGAGTGAGAGAGGAGTTGTGTTGAAGCGACTCCAGCAGCTTATCTGTGGGTTCACAGGCACCAGGGAGAGGTGAAGCAAGTTAGGGTGATTTGGACCTGGGCAGCCGAGAGTCAGCCAGAAGGGGGCCGTGGGCCAGGGGCAGGAGGGACCTGGGATCTGCCCTCTGGGCTGTTCATCCTGGGAGTTGATGCTGCACCCCAAAGGCCTGGCAGGAGGCTGTTCCCACCAGCAGGTTCACTGGCTCTGCTGATCGTCCAGCAGCATTCACACCACCACTGTTTCAGCCAAAGGAATTCACAGTTGTGCCACCTTTCATTTTGGCAAAGGCAACATCTGGAGCCAACTGGTGCTCCTGGTGCTTGGAGTTGCTTTGGCCTAGGTCTACTAAGAACTGATTGGATGTAGGGTCCAGACTGGGTGGGGCTTAAGTGCAGCAGCTAGAGGTCACATGAGATGCTGAAGGCTGGGCTTGCTAGAGGTCAAAGTGCATTGGGAGCTTGGGTGTGGTGGGGAAGGGGTTAATCTACCTAGGATGGCCTTGTGTAATGAGTGGGATTTGATCTGGGATCTTGAAGGAGGAACGGGATTCTGATGGGTGGGAACACAAGGGAAGACAGTCTGAGTGGAGGGGCCGGTAAGAGCACAGGGAGGGGGCGTGCAGGGCTGGCAGGGCAGCCTGGAAAGGCGGGTACACAGCCTGGGTAGGCTGCAGAGGGCCTGGAAAGGCTAGACCACTACTTCCCAAACTCTCCATGGGGAAAGACCAAGTGTCTTGTTTTGTTTGTTTTCTAATCCATCATATGGTCCTCACTGAGCATGACTCCTGTGATGTTCATACCACCTGGGACTCATCATGAACATCTGACAACACCCAAGTTTGTCTATACTCTGCTCAATGAGAGGAACCCTCCAACCATGTGCGTGGCTGTGACAGCAATGTCAAAATTACCATAAAGGTTGCTAAACGTTTACTCTCAATTTCTTACTTATTTCATCATTGGCCAGTAACAGCCCCTAGACTGCATGTCTAGAGAGCACACTCTGAAGAGCACTGGGCTAGGCGCAGGTCAGAGGAGAGCTGAAGAGCCCATCAAGACAGGTTTGCAGGTGGTTTTACTCCAGCTAGGCAAGATTCCTGTCCTTTCTGTGTCCTTCAGGAAGTCCTGCAGATTCCCAGAGGCTGCTGTGCTACTTAAGGGATGAGGCACTTGGGGATGATAAATATAACCAAGGATGATATTCAAATGACTTCCTTACTGGCAGAGCAGGGTGCCCACCAGCTGCCTGGTGGGTTGGCGCCTGCTGGCTGTATTCAGGACGTCCAGGGCAGTGGCAGCAAACACACAATGCGCCCTACTATATGTGAAGCACTGTCTGAGTGCTTTACAAGTAGTATCTTACTGTACCCTTCCATCATCTCCATTTATAGATGAGCAAACTGAGGCACAGAGAGGTAAGGGACCTGCCTAAGGAGAGCATCCAGATGTCACCAGAGTCCTGGGGAAGCCTCCACCCTCCCTGCCTCTCACCCCATCTGGGAGCTGTGGACACTGGGGTCCTAGTCCAGGTCCCTCTGCTGACTTTCGGGGTGGCCTCAGGGAAGACACATCCCCTCTTTGGCGTTTAGTTTTTCCATTGTAAAATAAAGACACTAGCACTGGATGCTCCTTGACATGCCTTCCATCTCTCAGAGTCACCTGGGGAAATCCGTAGGGCAGGGATGAGAAGAGCACGTCCAAAGGGGGAAAGCAAATTGTGGGGTGCAAATGAGTGTTGGGCACCTCTGCTCACAGCTGCCATTGAATGATAGGCAGAAATAGAATTTCCAAACCAATACAGCAAATGAGCATTTGCCTCACTTTATGTAGCCCTTCTTCCAAGTTCTTGTGCAATGAACTTGCCCTTTAAATACTGTGGGAAACTTGCTATTTGAAATAGCCCTGTTTATCTCTAGCACACTTTTTTTTTTTTTTTTAATCTCAGATGGAGTCTCACTCTGTCGCCCAGGCTGGAGTGCAGTGGTGCGATCTTGACTCATTGCAACCTCTGCCTCCCGGGTTCAAGTGATTCTCCTGCTTCAGCCTCCTAAGTAGCTGGGATTACAGGCGTGAGCCATCACACCCAGCTAATTTTTGTATTTTTCGTAGAGACAGGGTTTCATCATGCTGACCAGGCTGGTCTCAAACTCCTAACCTCCAGTGATCTGCCCACCTCAGCCTCCCAGAGTGCTGGGATTACAGGCGTGAGGCACCATCTAGCATACTTTTGAGCTTCCACAGCACCTCTATGCTGACCAGAGCAAACACTGGCATTCCCACTGGTCAGATGGATAGCCTGGGGCCCAGAGAAGTAAAGCAGCTTGCCCAAGGCCATTGGTCTGGTGAGTTGGAGAGTTGAGACCCCAGGTCCACCCAGCATTCTCCATGGCGCCACTTCCCCAGTGGAGTCACTTCACATGGGCCCCACCTATCGGTGGGAAGCACGTCGCTTTGGGATTGGGGACTTCCTCAACTCTGTCTTGCTATTTATGTTATTTGTGTCATGGTCCATTTGTCCCCAGGCAGGGGAGGGACTTTGAGAGGAGCTCCCAGCTGGGTCTGCCAGTCAGAGGACACTCTATCCATCACTGCTGGACAATGACCCCTGGTTTCCCTGGAGAGAGGAGGCCTGAGAGTGAGTGACAAATGGTATTCCTGTCTATTGAGAGTTATTATCAAAGGATGGGACTGGATGCTCCTGGGATCTGCCAGGATGAAGCCAAGGAACGACACTTCTGCTGCAGCAGTAGGAGGTCAGCTTGGTGGGTCATTTGTTCATTCACTCAACAAGACTTGATTGCTATGTGCCAGTCACTGGGGATTGAGTGGGGAATAAAAGCACCATGGTCCTGTCCTGGAACTCACAGCCTAGCAGCAAAGTGAGACAGTAAGCAAAGCAAGGCCTTTATTCCTCTGCTCAAACACTACATCCTTAGAGTCTTCTTGGATTACCCTTTCCAAGCTCTCTCCCCCATCCTCTGGCTTTATTTTTTTCTTTAAAGCGCTTATTCTATCTAATACGATGTAACCACTATATTGCCTACTTTCATCCTTTTGTTTACTGTCTGGGATTCTTACTAGAATGTCAGCTCCATGAGGGCAGGGGCTCTGTTTTATTCACTGTTATATCCCCAGCGCCTCGAACAGTGTCTGGCATATAGTAGATGCTCAATAAATATTTGCTGAATGAGTGAATAAATTAACAAGTAAGTATATAATTATAAGTTGCAGTAAGGGTATGGAGGTGTAAACAAGAGCTTGATAGAAAACAATGAGAGGGACTTCCTTTCAATTGGGAGGCCAGAGAGGTCGCTCTGAGAAGGTGACCCGGACACTGAGAACCGAAGAATGAGAAGGAGATGGCCATGGGAAGAGCGGGAGGTAAGAAGTGCTTTCTAGGAAGAAGAAAGGGCCCGGGCAGATGTCCCGGGGTGGGGAAAGGCTTGGTAGAGTCAAGGCACGGGCAGGGGTGGGGGGCACTGTGAGGGAAAGGTGGCTCTAGGTGAGGTAGAGAAGGCAGGTGATGTGTGGCCACAGCAGGGAGCTGGGATTTTAAGAGCAATGGGAAGCACTTTAAGTGCTCCATCATGAATTCATGAAAGCAGTAAAGCAGGACTTCCCTGTGGCAGGACTTGCAACCCTGGTCTAAGAGGGAGACAGTCCCTCTCTGCAGCTCATCATCATCCCTGGTAGGCCAGTGCCTGCTCGCTTAGAATGAGAGAGAGAAAGAGAGAATGAGTCTTTCCACTCCTCAGATTTGTTCATGACACTGCCCAGTGCCGGTGAGATGCACTCCCCTGCCAGGTAAGAAAGACACAGCCAGGGAGGAGCCAGGTGAGGGCAGGAGGAGCAGTTGGGGCAGCTCAGTGCATCCAGGAGATTCAGAAAATGTGCTGACAGCTGTACACAAACCGAGACTTCTTAAATTACAGCGCCCCTCTTTAGGAGCAGCGGAGGCCTCACTAAATATAGTTCCCCTCATTGTTATTTATGTCTCTGGGTGCCAAGCAATGATTCCTGAAATCTTTCTTACCCGTCACTAAAAGCGGGTGCTGCATTTGCCAGAAGTTGGAGACGTAAGAGGGCAGGTCACGGTGGTGGTGGGTCCCCACATGCAGCTGAGAGTTATGGCAGGAGGTTCGGGGGTGTGGGGAGGACCAAAGCCATTCTGGGAGCTGATGGCCTCGTCAGTCACCCAGCAAGGAACACAGCCAGCACTTGAGCAAATGGTGTGAGGTTAATGACCCTTAGGATTTCTCATGACCTCAGGCGTGGCCCACAGCAGCAGGAGGCTTCATTAAGCAGGACATCTACATTTTCTGCTGCTGGAACATCCTGGGAGCTCTTAGGGGTTTGGGACTTTGGAGGGAATCTAATGACCTTCACTTGGTAGAAGTGGCCCAGGCCTCAGCACCCCCTCATTCTGTCTAGCGGGGCCCAGCCTCTTCCAAAGGACAACGCTTGTCCTCCATGTGGGTGTCACTTCTTTTTTTTTTTTTTTAAGACAGGGTCTCGTTCTGTTGCCTAGGCTGGCACACAGTGGCACAGACACAGCTCACTGTAGCCTAGGCCTCCTGGGCTCATGTGATCCTCCTGAGTAGCTGGGACTACAGGCACATACCACCATGACCGGCTATTTTTTTTTAATTGTAGAGATGGGGTCTCCCTACGTTGCCCAGGCTGGTCTCAAACTCCTGAGCTCAAGCCATTATCTGGCCATGGCCTCCCAAAGTGCTGGGATTACAGGGGTAAGCCACTGCACCTGCCCGGTATCACTTCCTTAAAGACCCTGAAGACCCTACATGAGGGGGGCTTCTCCATCCTCTAAAAGCCCCCTTATCCTTAATTAGGCTCAGATTAATGCTTCCTCCTTAGAGAAGCTTCAAGAACCTTCCTGCTTCCTCCACCTCATGTGCCCACTGCTTTTTGCATTGGGTTAAGGTGGATACTGACCCATCAGGCCCCTGAGCTTTGGAATCACACAGACCTGGGTTCAAATCCCACCTCTGCCTCTTACCACCCATATGACCTGAGGAAGCATTCACTCCTCGGGTCTCAGTTTCTTCATCTCTCCTATAAAATGGGGCTCTTGTGTGCCTGATAGGGTTGCCATCAGGATATGATACAAAAGTACCTTATTCAATGCCTGGCAAGAAGGAGGTGCTCGGTACTACATTTCAACAAAACATTCAAGAAAATGTGGAGATAAATGAATGAATAAAGTCAATGATCAAGGCATCATGCTATGTGCAAGTAAATTAATTAGGTAGCAGAATTACTGTCAGGATTGACGGTAGGTCATTATCATCATCCACTGGCTGTAAACTCCTTCAGGGGAGGCACTTGGTTTGGGCTTCCCCAGAAGCAGACCCTGAGGTGGCTCCAGGAAGCCAGGTAAGGGAAAGGGGCAGTGCACAGGGAAGGGAAGGGAGATGAAGTACAAGTGCTGCTTAACCCACCGGACCTCTGGGAGACTATGAAGGCCACTGCCTCAGTTATCCCAGTCAAGGGCACGGAAGCCAGGGCATTTATCCATCAGCCTCTCTATCCTGTCCTTGGTGAAGGGCAGCTTAGGTGTTGGGTGCTCCCCACTAGCTCTGTGTGTCCTTCTGTGGTGGAGTGACAGGTGCTTGCTGGGGGCAGCCTCTGGTGTGTAAAGGTGAGCACTGAGGGGTCTAGGGAATCAAGAGCATCTGCAGCTGGACATGGTGGCCCACACCACTTTGGGAGGCTGAGACAGGAGGATGGCTTGAGGCCAAGAGTTCAAGGCCGGCTTGGGCAACATAGTGAGACCCTGTCTCTACAAAAAAATTTTTAAATATTAGCTGGACATGGTGGTACACACCTCTAGTGCCAGTTACTTGGGAGGCCGATGTGAAAGGATTGCTTCAGTCCAGGAATTCCAGGCTGCAGTGAGCTATAACTGCACCACTGCAGTCCAGCCTGGGTGACAGAGAGAGAACTGTCTCTTTGAAAAAAAAAAAGCAAAAGCACCAGCTTCAGGGCCCAAGTCTGTTTTGTTCCCCACTGTATACACAATCCCTGACATAACATGCTGTCTGATGTGTATCAGGGGTTGATATTAATATTTGTTGATTCAGTGAATAATTCATCAGCAAACTCCATACAGGAAATGGTTAGAGAAGCTAGGGATAACAAAATGACATGGTCCTCAGGTCTTCACAACCTAGAGTGGAGAGACGGAGACACTATTCCACAAGAAAAAAGACAATGGCTAAATCACACTAAAAGTGGAGAAGCGAAAGGCCCCAGGAAGAGGTGAAGGCACTTGAGGTAGGAAGAGGAGGATAGCCTCAGGGCTGGGAAAGCTTTAGGAGGAGATGAGACTTGGTGGGGCCTGGAGGGAGAGTGGGCTTAAAGGATGGGGTGGAGCTTGGGAGAACAGCATGGGCAAAAGGCTGGAGGCAGAAATGGCATCACAGGTGTGTTGGGAAACACTTGGGCAGGATACTCTGGTTGGAGAGTCTCTAGGTTCTCTAACCTGTCTGGTTCAGAGTTGACATGTGGGGACAGAAATTTGGCCTCAGAGGATGTCTAGAGTTAGGATTGGGAGCAGCCGCCAGCAGTGTGTGCCAGTAAGTGCATGTTGGAGAGGCTCCCTGCTGCTCTCAGATGCTGCTGGGAAGGCTGGAGTCCCCCCACACATCCACACGCCCCCACGAAAGTTTCTCTGTGTCTATTCTATGCAGTGCACAACCTGAACATCTGTACCTCGTGGCTCTGTCTGGCTGGTATGAGGAAGGGAGGAGAGAGGAATAAGAGGCACTTAGAAACTGAGGAAAAATAGACACTTCCCCAGGCTGGAAGGATTGGGAGCCCCTCAGGTCTCCAGCCTCTGTACTCCAGAGCCGGGTAGAGGATGCTGTCACAGCCAAGCATCGGGTTCCCTGGAAGCTGAAATACTAAAATGGTGGTCGTCACTCTGCTGCTCAGCCCCACCCTGAGAGGACAGGAGGCTGAGAAGCAGCTTCCCTGGTGTCTCTCCTCTCTCTCTGTCTCTATTTCCATCTCGGTGGCCTCACTCTCATTTTCACCTCCTTTACTCTGCCCCACCTTTCTTTCTCTCTCATCTCCCCTCTCAATGGCTGGGTCCTGAAGAGGTGGAGGTGGGAGGACTAGGTGAGGCTGTCCCAGACTGACATGCTGGGAGATGTAGGGGGGTAGCTGGGAGGCCGTTTGAACTGGATGTTTGAACCAAAGGGGGTCCCAGTGGGCCTCCCCGAAGTGTGGGGTTTTCTTTTCTTTTCCTTTTAAAACATTTCACTTTCAAAGGAAGCCAGGCCCTGAGTGAAAGGAGCAGAATAAACTCAGGTGCACAATCAAAAGGCCTTTGAGCCTGGCTGAGAGCTCTGCGGTCCTCTCCTCTTCTGGGTCAGGGCTGGCAGGGGGATGGGGGACCTTTCAGTGCCTAATTGGCAGCTAATTGAATACTGGGGGTGGGAAATGGAATCCCCTCCCCTCACACCACAACCCCAAGGAAGTTGTTGGGGATTGGGTGAGCACAGATCTTTTCGACTCAGTGTAAAAGTGGATCTGTTACAGGTTTTCTTGCCTGCATCTTGGTGGTGGGGAGACAGGCTTCTGTTGCTTAATGAGCTCATGGCGCAAGCTGTCTCCAGCTGCAGAGCTCGCAGAGGATTTCAAGGCAAAGTTAACACTGTAGTTAGTTCTAGCTGGCTACCTGTCATCACTCAGGCTCGAGAGAGAGAACAATCTTATTAAAATGAGCAAACAGGAGGTAGGCTCCTCAGTAGAGCTCTCTAGGGGTGAGGACGGGGGTGGAGTCTGGTCACTCACAAAGCCCAGGAGAGCCCCAGACAAGTTTTTGCCTCATGGTTTAAAGTGGACCAAGGAGAACTTGGAAATCACTACTGTGGGGGCCTGGCCTGGGCCTGAGCTTGGGTCTGGGCATTAAGGTATAGGAATTCAGAGCATGAGCTGTGGACACCAATGGACCTGGGTCAAGTCCTGCTTCTGCAGGTGACCTTGGGCAAGTTACTAAAACTTTCTGTGCCTCAGTTTCTCCCATCTGTAGAATGCAAATGATAATAGCATTGACATGGTAGGGTAGTTGCAGTAATTGAATGTTTTTACACAGTGCAAGCACATGATAAATGCACAATAAATTGTAGCAATTATGATTATGAAGGACCAGGGCTGAGCAGGCTGTTCGCAGACCTCAGAGTCAAGAGTCCCATAGGTGACTCAGAGAGGTTGAGGAGGAGGATGTCAGTATAAAGTATTAGAACTGCAGAACCTGAGCAATCAGCTAGTCCAGTTCTCCCTTTTTGGGGTGAAGAAGCAGAGGTTTAGAAAGGGAAAATGATTTTTTCAAGGTCACAGGATGAACCAGGGCTGAGCCTAGAATAGTTCTCTTAAGTCTAGGGCTGTTTCTTTCTTTTCTTTCTTTTTTCTTTTTTTTTTTTGAGATAGAGTCTAGCTCTGTCACCCAGGCTGGAGTCATGCAGTGGTGCAGTCTCAATTCACTGCAATCTCTGCCTCCTGGGTTCAAGCGATTCTCCTGCCTCAGCCTTCTGAGTTGCTGGGATTACAGGTGCGCACCACCACGGCTGGCTAATTTTTGTATTTTTAGTGGAGACAGGGTTTCACCATATTGGCCAGGCTGGTCTCAAACTCCTGATGTCAAGTGATCTGCCTGCCTTGGCCTCCCAAAGTGCTGGGATTACAGTCGTGAGTCACCACGCCTGGCCCAGGGCTGTTTCTATCAGAGCATCTGAGCTGAACCACAGTCCTAGACATCCCCATGTGCTTGTCTTTTCCCTGCCATGTGCCAGTGAGTTATGGAGGTTTTCCTTATTTGTCATGTTTTTCTTAGGTCTCATGAAAGCAAATTTTCTATCCTTAGGGGTGGCTGAATGGAGGGTGGGGAGGAGATGGCCTAGGATAAGCCAGTGAAGCCTGAGAGTTGCCTTATCTGCCAAGCAACCCAACAGCACCAGGAGAAAGAGCAGCCGTGGTGGCCACAGACTGTTGTAACAGGCTCCCAAACCAGCACCCCACTTCGAGTCCCCTCCCTCACCCCACCTCTGCCCACCCCAGAATGGTCTTTCCAAATGACTAATCTGGTGAGGTCACTGCCCTGCCAAGAGCCTCTCCATGGCTTCTTTGTAAATCAAGGTTCAAGTCCAGGTGCATGACGGCCTGGCATTCAAAGCCCTCAGTGCTCAGGCCCAGCCTTCCCACTGCCCAGTCCCTCCATTCACCCCTTCATGCCCAGGTTCCTGGAAGCCCCTGCTTTCCTGTGCCTTAAACTTCACCAAAGCTACTCCTCCTGCTCCTGCACCCACAGTCCTGCTCCACTCTGTCCCATGCTAGACCTCCGACAAGGCAAGTCCATTTGATTTCCCTTATTATTCAGTTATCTTGGCCATGACTCAAATTTCTCATATGGAAAAGGGGGTAGGCTGAGGAACTTTTCCAGTGGTGATTTCTCTGATATTTCCACTTGCAAAAGGGTGACTCAATATCTTGGAGCTGAGGGAGAGAGCTAAAAAGTCAGAGAAACAACCCAAACACCTGTAAAACGGACATACCAATCCATGTCCTGCCCCACATTGAAAGCTGGAATGAAAGTAAAGATAATAGCCGTAAAAGTGCTTAGGATCACCCCTGAGCTCTTAAGTCCTCCCCCTAGACCTTGTTTTCCTCATTTGTTACATGAAGGGATTGAAAAAGGAGGTCTCTAGGAACTCTTCTGTCTCTGACATAACTTTCTGGATGAAGGGTCTTAACAACCATACACATGACCCCTGGGGAGAAAGAGAGGGAGGATAATTCAACCAGGGAGGGGCACAGAGGGGGGGCTTCAAGTATTTTTGTAATATTTTCTTTTCTTAAAAAGAATCTGGGGCAAATATAGTGAATATTAATATTTGTTCAGTCTGAGTGGTGGGTGTTTTTCATGTTATTTTCTCTATTTTCCTGTATGTCACAAATATTTAATAATTTTAAAAAGAATTTGGTGAACCTCTTCTCAACAGCCACCATTCCCTGACTTCCTGCACTTACGGAGATGCTGTCTCTAAGTGCAAACTATGGATCAACAGAAAGGACTGAATTTGGGGGTGGTAAGAGCCCCACTGCAAAAGGTATTCAAGCAGAGGCCAGATAGGCACTCAATATTGTGGGAGTGAATTCTACAGTGGGTGAAGGTTGGACTCTGTGACCTGAGAGGACCTTTCCAATTCTCAAGCCTCACAACACCCAGGGCTAGCGTATTTCTGCAGGCAATGGGACCCGGTGTGCTGTCCTTGGTGCTGAATTCCACCCCAATGAAATTTTGAACACAGACCTTGGAAACTAGAATAATAATCTTGTTACTATAAGACACAAATTAAGCCAGGCATGGTGGCACATGCCTGTAGCCCCAGCTACTTGGGAGGCTGAAGCAGGTGGATCGCTTGAGCCCAGGAGTTCGAGGTTGCAGTGTGCTATGATCATGCCTGTGAATGGCCTCTGCTCTCCATCTGGGGCAACATAGGGAGACTCCATCTCTTAAAAAAGAAAAACAGATACAAATTAATGGTTTAATTTCCAGGATATCCTGGTGATCGAAATGACAGGAGGGGATTCTGGCATTTGTTCTCCTGAAACTTCTTCTCCCACCTCCACTTTCTGCTAGTCGGTGCTTGTTCTTTCACAGCCTTAAACTGAAAAATACAGAACTGGGAGCCAGAAGCTCAGAATTGAGTTCAGGTTCAGTCACTGATAGCCTTTGTGACCCAGAGCAAATCCCTTACAACAGTGAGTCTCTGATTCTTCATCTGCCAAGTGGAGATCATTTTACCAGGTGATAGAATGCTTGAAAACATGCTTGTGAAAACACTTAAGTGCAATACTATAATTAGAAATTGGCAATACTCTTATGATTCGTGCTCCAGTAAGTATGCAGTGGAACGATCTCTCAAGGTGGGAAGCAAAAAAGGCAGGAGTGTGGAGGCTTGAGTTAAGCTGGAAGAATCCTTGAGAAAGTTTTAAGAAAAATGGTCCAGTTGGCTTCCCTGTGGGTAAACAAAAACCTTTTCAGATGGTGGCTGGTGACATTTGCAAGCATCACGGACTTTCAGAGTGGAGGTGGGCAGTGACATATCTTAGGTGGGAAGGATGATGTCACAGCGTTCATACTCATTGAGCTGAGGGACAGTGTCATCGTGTCCAGGAAATGGGGTCCACCAGGGATGGTATAAAGTGCTAGCAGGCTGAGTGTCAGAACCCACACTCTAGCCCTGGCTCAGCCACTAACATGTACACGCAGTGAAGAGTAGCCGGGCTCAAGTGCAACTTACCCACTGACTAGCTGTGGAAAGTCATTTCACTTCTCCAACCCTCAGTTTTCTCTAGGGGGAAGTGAGTTTACTAAAATCGATCCACCGAAATGGCTGTAAGAGTAAAACTGAATCAGATGACAAAGGGCTTGTTAACCAGAGGCGCTGTACGATGTTTGGTATTTAATCTTTCTAAGCCTCAGTATTCATCATCTGCAAAATGGAGACAATAAGACCTGACCTCATAGAGAGATAAATGGGATAAAGATAAGATGAGTCACACATACACCCTATTTGTTGTTGCTGTGAAGGAAGAGGAGAGGCAGGCTGGGACTGGGGAGAGATGGGAATCAGGAGCCCGGGGCTCTGGCTGCTGTTCTAACACAGGGTCTCTAGAATGAAGAATGGGACTCAGTCCCTGCCAGCTCTAATGTTTTATGCACCTAGGCACCAGGCTTCTCCCTGAGTTCCCTGAGCCTGCAGAGCTAAAGCAGTGCTGGCCTAGAGCCCTCTGAGGGGGATGAGGAGAAGCCAAACCATTCCATTTTCATTTAATCTCTGCTTGGCAGGGCCAAGCATCAAGGTCTGGAGAGTAAACAAACTTTCTCCTTCCCCCATTCTCCACATGTGGCTGAGCTCTAAGGGCATGACTTATACATGGTGGGCCCAGGGATTCCAGACAGAGACTCCTAGGGCTGTGAATTCCAAATCCTGCTGTTGTGTTGAGCTCCCTGCTCTGGCCTGGCTCTCTCTCTGCTGCTGGCATCCTCGACAGGAAAATTAATTGCTGCTGTCATTCTGCTTTTTGTTCCAGTCTATATCCCAGGAATAAGAGATCCGAATGACATTAAATAACCTGTATATAAAAGCCCTTTCTAAAGAGCAGAGCAGTGAACATGGAGAGGTGGGCTTTATGGCTGGGAGACAGCCAAGGGCAGCTCCCTGCTGGCAGCCCCTCCAGTCTCCAAGAAAGGGAAGCGTGCACATGTGGACACATAATGGGAGGGAGACCTTCATGCTTTCCCTTGGAAGCAGAGGAAATTGAGCCCACTGATCCAATATTGCAAACAAACACAAGCCCCCTCCCTCTCCCTCACCCAGGGGTTTACCTCACCACATTCTTTCTATTAGCCTGGTTTGAATTCTTCCCCTCTTGGCTCAGTGGCTAACAGCAAGGCTAATTCAGGTTCGGATTCAGCGGCTGCACGCTGTTGACCTGCCTGGGGCTGAGGGTCCACCGTGCCAGCACTGAGTGTGCTAACTTAGGAAGACTCATAGGTCAGCACACGTGAGTCACCAGGCACTTTGGCTAGCCCTGGCTACTACCTTATGTTGACGGCAGCGTTTACATGCATCACTAGCAGCATGAGGCTTATGCAATGTTTAGCCTTAAGCAACAGCCAAGCCCATACTTGGGACAAACTCAGGAAAATAAAGTCACACATTTATACCACATAGCATATTCCAGAGGCAAGTGAAATGGCTCCCCCTCAATTCAAATATTTTGATTCCCTGCTAGGTTCTCCTTGTCAGGGAAAAGTTGAATAATTTCCCTGTGTGCATGCTAGGGTAAACATCAAACAAAAGAAATGATGGCCCAGGCTGGGTGTGGTGGCTCACGCCTGTAATCCTAGTACCCTGGGAGGCTGAGGTGGGTGGATCACTTGAGACTAGGAGTTCAAGACCAGCCTAGGAAACATGGAAAAACCTTATCTTTACAAAAAATACAAAAATTAGCCAAGCATGGTGGTACGTGCTCGTGGTCCCAGCTACTACTCCAGAAGCTGAGGAGAAAGGATGGCTTGAGTCTGGAGGCAGAAGCTGCAGTGAGCTGAGATTGTGCCACTGCACTCCAGCCTGGGCAACAGAGGTGGACCCTGTCTCAAGAAAAGAAAAGAAAAGAAAAGAAGGCACAGAGGGCACATTCTCATTACCCCTTCACCCAGTCAGTGACTATTTACTGAGCATCTACTAAGTGCCTAGCACTTATTTAGGCACTGTGCTGCTAGGGGGCAGTGGTGGGCAAGGGTTGGGTATTGGAAAGAAGCATCAATATAAACACAGATCAAGCACAGTCCCTGGCTGCATGGAGCTGTGGCATGGTTGTCAGGGTTTCAGGCCCTCTCTGCAGCACCTCCTCCTGCCTCTTCCAAGGAGGATGTATGGGACAGTGAAGTGTCCACTATGCAGACCAAGAGCCCAGGGGAAACACAGGGTCATCAACTCAGAGGCTGTTGAGGTAACAGGAACCACACACTTCACTGTGGCCTGTGGTTTTCAACAATGTTTTTTAAAATCAGGGAACCCTGTCTTCTAGTGAAACCATAGAAAGAACCACAAATACAAGATATACAAAAGTAGAGATGTTGTAGTTGAAGCAGAGATAGGAGTCAGGAAGGGGTCCCTGAGTCCTACCCTCTTGGCCCTTCCTTCAACCCTTTTTCTAAGCACTAGGGGAAAACCATCAATTTTCCCAGCGTCACTTGAGCACTGTGCTAAGTACTAAGTCATTCACGATGAAACACACATGCACACGCGCGCGCGCACACACACACACACACACACACACACACACACACACACAAAATTACAGCCTAGTCTAACTCCCTTCTTTTAAAGATGAGGATGCTTCTGCCCCTCAGGAGGGACAGTGACTTGCCCACCGTAAAAGAGTTATAGGGCATGGTGGTTCATGCCTATAATCCCAGTACTTTGGGAGGCAAAAGTGGGAGGATTGCTTGAGCCCAAGAGTTCCAGACCAGCCTTGGCAATATAGTGAGGCCCTATCTCTACAAAAATTTTTAAAACTAGCCAGGCATGGTGGCATGTGCCTGTGGTCCTGGCTACTCAGGAGGCTGAGGTGGGAGGACTGTCTGAGCCCAGGAGTTCAAGATTGAAGTGAACCATGATTGTGCCCCTGCGCTCCAGCTTGGACAACAGAACAAGACTCTGTCTCTTAGAAAAAAAAAAAAAATAGTTAAAGGGGCTATAAACTAGTTGCCTGGAATACCAGGCCAGGGCTCCTTCTTCTATACCATTCTGCCTCTATCTTACAACAGCTCCTCTTCTAGGACCCACAAAATAGCAAAACCTAAATTTCTGTTCCAGCCTGCCTGCCAGGTGAGCTGGAGGCTGCTGAAAAGGACAGCAATGTAACCAGAACTTCATAAAGGCTTTTCACTCTTACATTCTAGGAGGAAATCCCTGGTTCGTTGGAGTCTGTCTACTTATGGTCTTAATTACTTGCATGTACAAGATCTTGCAATCTGTGCCTGGGGACTCTTTGAATTGCAGATTAATATTCAACTAGCTGGAACGATCTTCAGAAGGAGGCTTGTGGTAATTAAGTTGGTTAGAGAACACGTTAACCTAAGTTTTTTTTTTTTTTTTTTTTTTTAAATAGCACATGAGTGCTATAAATTACCAGTAGAGGAAAGACCAGTCCCTTAACAGTACTTCTTGGGAGTCATGGGGGTGGGGAGGGTGCAGGGGAATGCATGTCATTCTGGGAAGAGGAAGTGTCCTTGGGGATGCTTCCTAGTGGCTGGGAGGCTCTGTTAGGCTGACTCACATCTATGACTCAAGACTTTATTTTCCCCAAGACCCATTGACCCCTTCCTGGGAGGATAGGTGTCTTAGGGTGAGTTGTAGGGGTGGGTATTTCAAAAGCAGAGGCTGGGGCCACTGAGCAGAATCTAGAAAGTGAAAATTCTGGGTCACATATGGTTTTTTTTTTTTTTTTTGAGACAGAGTCTCGCTCTGTTGCCCAGGCTGGAGTGCAGTGGCGTGAGCTCGGTTCACTGCAAGCTCCACCTCCCGGGTTCACGCCATTCTCCTGCCTCAGCCTCCCGAGTAGCTGGGACTACAGACACATGCCAACGTGCCTGGCTAATTTTTTTTGAATTTTTAGTAGAGGCGGGGTTTCATCGTGTTAGCCAGGATGGTCTCGATCTCCTCACTTCGTGATCCACCCACATCGGCCTCCCAAAGTGCTGGGATTACAGGCGTGAGCCACCGTGCCCGGCCCACATATGGTTTCTAAAGAAAAGGTGGGTAGGGGGAAGAAGGCTTGAATGACTTTGTCCAAAGCTGTAGGTATTTCAGAAAATATTTTTTAGTACCAGTGCAGAATAATCTTCATATTTTGGATGAGGTGCTCTTAGTGTGGTGTTGTATATGACAAACCAGCATAATCCAATAGAGAATGGGTGTCCAGTGTTTTGGCTTCCCAGGGCCACATTGGAAGAATTGTCTTGGGCCACACATAAAACACACTAATAACAGCTGATTAGCTAAAAAAAAAAAAAAAAAGTGCAAAAAAACTCATAATTTCTTTTTTTTTTTTGAGACAGTCTCACTCTATTACCCAGGCTGGAATGCAGTAGCATGATCTCGGCTCACTGCAACCTCCGCCTCCTGGATTCAAGCAATTCTCATGCCTCAGCCTCCTGAGTAGCTGGGATTACAGATGTGCACCACCATGCCATGCTAATTTTTGTATTTTTAGTAAAGATGGGGTTTCACCATGTTGGCCAGGCTGGTCTCGAACTCCTGGCCTCAAGTGATCTACCTGCCTTGGCCTGCCAAAGTGCTGGGATTACAGGCATGACTCACCGCACCCAGCAAAATCTCATAATGTTTTAAGAAGGTATATGAATTTGTGTTGGGTCACATTCAAAGCCATCCTGGGCTGCATGCGGCCCATGGACTGCAGGTTGGACAGCTCTATTGAATAGAGTGCAGGGTTTGTCACAAGTGATTTGCTACTAACGTAGTTCCAAGCTGGCGAATAATTTATTTCTCATACTAAATAACAGAGTGTCAATGTTGGACGTGCATGATAACTTCCCTCTCTATCACTTGCATGTCTAGATGTTTTCTTAAATGGGAAAGAAAACATGGGGTTCCACCACTAGGAGCCACTGAAATGCCTATAACCCACAGCCAACTTAACTGGGCTCCAGTCCATGTGGGCAGCATGTGGAATGAGGATTGAGAAAACCACTTTCAAGCATGGTCAGAAAGTCCACTCTTGACAAGTGGGAAGCCATTGGGTGTGGCAGTGGGGAGAGGGGCACAGGTGCTGGGAGGGAATTGCCCAGCTAGAGCACTGGGGACAATGGAGACTCTCTATGTGGCAGCCACACTCATTGGTACAATACAGGGTGTGTGTAAAGGGGGTCTGGCAGGAGCAGTCACAGGTGGTGACCATCCCAGAGCTGGTATAGAAATGCCAGGTGGGGCAGGAGCTGCTCTGACCCTCCAAGGGCTTTAGTCTCGGCACTCAGTTGAGGACAGATGTTCTCAGGGATTGTTGTGCCCACTTGTGGCCACCGTAAGATTTCAGAGGATCCTGAGGGAGCAGTGAGGAGGGAGGGGACTGAGAAGGAAGGTGGTATGGGAGTGGGAGGCAGGTCAAAAGAGTTCTGGCCAGGGAACCAGGAGGCCTGGCTCCCTTCCTGGGTAAGCCATTGCCCAGCTATGGGACTTGGACTAAATCACTTCCTCCCTTCAGACCTCAGTGTCTTCATCTATAAAAACGACACTGGGACAAGAAAAAGCGAGATGCGGAAAGCTGTGTGTGGCCACCCACTTGTGAACATCGAGAAGTCAGAGGCAGAACAACCTCGGACTTGAGAGCCCTCATCTTCCCACACCCCAACTTCAGCAAGCCTCCAGTGACCCCAGACAAGTCACTCGGGCAAGTCGCGTAACTCCTCTGAGTGTTCCCTTCCCCATCTGAAGTGGATCCTAATAGCACCTGCTTCGGAGGGTTGTCATGAGGATCAGAAAAAACGATGCATGTAGCGCCCACAGTGCAAGCAGTGAGAATGGACCCCCAGGGAATTTAGCTATTATTATTATTATTATTATTATTATTAAACAACTTAAATGGCCAACAATGGGGAACTGGTTAGGCAGATTATGGTATATCCAGAGAATACTATGCAGCCATTCAAAAAGATAATTTTGTGCAAATAAAGGAACAGTTATGCCATGATGTTGAGAGAAAAAAGAACACAATAGCACATAAATTATGTATGTATTATGGTAAGATGATGTATGCATGTGCATAAAGAACGCAAAATAGGGCTGGATGAGGTGGCTGTAATCCCAATGCTGTGGGAGGCCAAGGTGGATCACTTGAGCCCAGAAGTTTGAAACCAGCCTGGGCAACATAGTGAGACCCCATCTCTTAAAAAAAAAAAAATTAGCCAGGCGTGGTGGCACATACCTGTAGTCCCAGCTACTTGGGAGGCTAAGGAGGATTGCTTGAACCCAGGAATTTGAGACCAACCTGGGCAACATTGTGAAACCTGATCTCTACCAAAAACATTATAAACACAAAAAGAAGAAAGCAAAATAATGAGCAGAAATATATTTTCTCCTAAAATCCTTACTGTTTTTCATTAAAAAATGTAAGTATTGGGTGAAATGCTTCTTGAGGGCCTCCAGCTTGGGCATTTGGAGGCCCAGGGCTCTCCGCTCCCTAGTTAGTGGCAGGTGCTGGAGCTAGGCTCTTGTGGTGTGGGGGAGTCTGGGACTCATGTGGGATGACAGACCCCAAAGCTAGAGCCAATGGGATGTCTTCAAGCGCCTGCCCATGCAATGTCAAAGCAGCCCAACTGACTCCTCCTTTGCTTAATTTGTGTCAATCGATTTCCTATTTTTAATTAATAATTCTAATTATGATGCAGCAAATTTACCCAACGGCCACGACTGAATTAATTAGGTTCCATTGATTGGGCCTGTAGAGTTATCCCACAGTTTCTGACATTATCGATTTCCTGTTGGGAACAAATAAGAAAACACAAGGAGGGCAGATGCAGCTGTCATCTCTGTGATGCCCACAAGCCCTAAACTGGGCCCTGAAGCACCTGCCCTCTGCTCCCTGCCTGCCAAAAGCCACAGCCATCAAGGCCACCAGGCAGCAGCGCTTCCCCTAGGAGCCCTGGGGAGGCCATCCCAGACTTTGCCAGCTTTCTCTAGGAAGCAGGGCCAGTGATGATGATGGGCCAGCCCCCGCACAGGGGTTCTGCAGTAAGGGCCAGCCAGCTGGACCGGGCTTAGTTTGGAACTCTGCTGCTGTATCAGTGGGTGGAGATTAACTTCCATCTCATTGTCCTTTTTGTAGTAAGAACCTTGGAGATTCTCCTCTTTCGCCTTGTCATTTTACAGATAAGGAAAGCAAGGCCCACAGAGGAGTGGGTCTTGACCAAGATAGCTCATGAGTCATTGCCCAGGTGGGGCTGGAACTCAAGTCTTTGTCCTCCATGCCCTTTCCCATCCACATGGAAGCTGAGCTGGAGGAGACTAGAGGGCAGCGGCAGAGTTCATCTTGTTCTCTGGCCTCCATCGTCAGTCAGGGAAGCATGTCAGTACCCAAGTGGCCTTGGTGAGCCAGCCCTGTCTGCTCTTAGCCTCACCCTCCCACTCAGGCTCTGTGCTTGCTTTGCCATTATCCTCTGTCTGGGCCTTGAGAATTCAGGCCTCCCACCCCCACCCCAGGTCTCCAGGCCCCACAACTGCTCTTGATATTAACATGGCAACTTATGTTGCACACCTGCAATCCTGAGTCCTTGGGGATACAGAAGGAGCCCCCATTTCCTGAGTGACTTCTCTGTGCTGGGCACCTGACATGCACATTCTAATCTAATCTCCACAACTCACTGAGGAACAGATGTAGGAGGAATCTGAGGCTCAGAGAGATCAATTAACTTGCCATATCCCCACAGTGAATTGAGGCCAAAGATCTGAAGCTGGGCTGTCTTACTCCAACACCCATCATGATTCTTTTGAAGGAGAAAGAAAAGAAGGACACCCAAGGGCCGTATAATAGTGGGGACTGTATAGGAAGCATATAGTCTCATGACAATGCAGAGGGGACACCACATCAGTAAAGAGAAGAGTGAGACTTTGCACCTGGCAAAGGTGGGAAAGTATAGGGAATGAATAAGAGTAGTTCCAGTTGGATACAGGCTGACTTAGGCAAGTGAAGGCAAAGAGAGACTGAGGCTGGAGGAGCAGTTAGGGGCCAGATCATAGAGGTCTTATCAATTTCAACAGGAGAATCTGAACTTCCTTTCTGGGGCCAGGAAAGTGACTGCAGGCTTTGAGCAGAGGAGGGCCATGGTTGGGGTGGTGGTTCTGGGACTGTGATCTGATTACAATGGGTTTGAGTGAGGAGAGGCCAGAGGAAACACAGAGGCCGTTAGAAGTTAGGCGATGGTCCAGGCACAAGCCAAGGAGACCTGGAACAAAGGCAGTAGTGATGGGGATCGTGAAGAGAGAAACATAAAAAGTTGAGTAGCACTGATAGCACCTGCAAGAGAGTAACTGTGGGGACTCCTAGACTTTGCCATGTCTGTCACTGGATTAGGGCCCACACTAATCCAGTATGATCTAATTTTAACTTGATTACATCTGCAAATACCGTATTTCCAAATAAGGTCACATTCACAGGCTCCAGATGGACATTCATTTTCAGAGACACTATTCGATCCAGTATACAGGAGAATAATATATCTGCCCCTTAGGGTGGCTCCTTCCTAGGGCTAAACAAGATTTGGTTATGTCAAACAATGACCTGGCTTCCATTGTTCCTCTTCCAGGCACTGGGTTTGCTCCAGAATTTCCAGCCAGAAAGCCTCAGAAAGACCACTTGTAAAAACAAATCTGGGAGGCAGAGTGATAGGCACGAAAAACCGCTTTGAGATTCCCAGGGTACCCCAGGAGGAGAGTGCTCATCATTCAACAAAGGTCCTGGGGAGGCAACTCCAGGGACAAAGAGCACCCTACTCCCACCCCACCCCACCATTCCCCAACATGGAGATGCCACTTTCTGTGAGAGGCAAGAAAATTAAACTGCTGAGAACTCTCCGCTTTCATCATCATGGGCTTCCTGTTACCAGCACTGCACCTGTAGCAACTTGTAGCCAGTGACAAGGGATGAATTATGAGGTCAGACAGCCCTCCCCAGAGAAAATAACCACATAGAGATGTACGCTTCACAGTTGCACTTCCCTTGGAAGCTTCCTGTTGCCAGCTGTAACCTAGTCAGGGATGTGCTTGTACGCGCTCAACAACCAGCTCTAGAGGAAAAAAAAAAAGTCCTGATTTGTAGCATTTGCCAATTTCCATGGTGTAAATCGTCCCACCATGATTGCTTTCAAGCTTATCAACATGACGTAACAAAACATGAAGTTGCAAAGAGATGTGCACACTTGACTCTCATGAGCTAGTGCAAGACAGCACCACAACAGCACGGCACACAGTTATCTGTGGACCAGGGAGCCACACGGAGGGGTCTACATACCCAAGTCCCCTCTCCCCTCACCAGCAATTGCTCTTTTGGATTAGTCACCTCTGCAGTGGTCATCAGCCAACTGGAATGAGCTTAGAGGTTTCAGAGCCCACTGTAGGAGGGTGAGGGTCATCTGGGCAGCTCTGATGATGCAAAAGTTGCTCTCGGCTAGATCTGAATCCAGATTCTGCCACTTACTAACTGCATAACCCAGATACACCATCTAACCTCTTGTTGAATGTTAATCATTCATTTAATCGTTCATTCAACAGTTTTTGACCATTCACTGTGATAGGGTTATGGGGAAATAAAGATGAAAGATAAAACAGTCCCTGGGTCAAGAAACTCATAATCTGGTGAAGAAAGTCATAAAAGTTATAGTATCATGGGGGTAGGTGTAGTTTCCTCATCATGAAAAAGGGGGTAAGGAGTCTACTCCCAGAAAACTGAATGAGAACACACATAGCAAGCTCCCAACACAGTATCTAGAACAGAGTAGGGGCTCAGCAAATGTTCCTGGGAATCTAGAAAAGCAGACCTGTGGTGAGTAATTAGATTAATTTATTCATCCAATAGACAGCGTACACCTGCCCTGGGAAGGAGTGCTGGGAACTGCAAGGTGGCCACCGGGCCACAGCCTGAGAGGACGATGAGAAGATTCCACCTTTCCCAGCCCTGAATCTCTGCTCATCCACTGATGATCTTCTTTTCCCTGTGCTACTGTGTGGGTGGGGTTGGGTGGGGTTCAGTGGGGTAGTGGGAGTTGGTGGGGGGGCTCTGGTAGATTCATCAGAGCCCACCTACTTGGGGTGGGTGGGTAGGCATTGGGATGGATGTCTTGGTGAGAGGAGAGAGACCCTTCCACATTCCTAGGTATCAAATCATAGAATGGGAGAGGGCAAAGAATTAGCTATTTATAGAATTATCTTTTCCTTCTATTTAACTAATTTAAAAAAAACCCACTCGGCTTCAGTAATCATCACTATATGGCCAATCTTGTTTCAACTATATCATGCTCCCGCTTCCCTCCTCCATCCTGTGGTTTATTTTCTTTCAATGATCAATTAGGATCATTTATAGAAGAGGATCAGTTATTTGCTGCCAGGTTTGCAAAATAACCCTCCTCTTGAGTACTTTTCCTGCAATATTTGTACACTGCCATCAGAGAGCAGCAGCCTGCCTCATTTACATGGTTCAATGAATTTTATGTGAGATCAGAATCACAACCCCGAGTTTTCTAACGACCGCAAAACAATTTGTCATTCTATTCTAAAAGAAAAACAAAGACTCTGCTTTCCATCCATTCAGTTTTTTTTTTTTTTTTTTTTGGAAGCAAGGAGTTAAAATTTAAACACAGTGTCTCCTCTTAGCAACGCCCTTGACAACCTGCAACACCGACAAAGTGTCTTCAATCCAAACTGCCTTCTTTTACAAAGCTTCCAGCTACAAATCCAAGCTGACAGCTGAATATCACCTTCAAAACGACAAGTTTAAGTGAGTTATTATTTGTAAAGGCCTTATAAGAGTGTCTAGCACATAGTAAGTGCTATACAAGTATTTGAGGTTTACTTTTATTCACTTAATTTATTATAAATATAAATTCATTCAAATGCCGTGGGAATTAGCAATGAATGAATCTTCTTTATGCTGGTGTACTTGTCTGCTCCCTGTGAATGGGGAAAGGGATGCCTATAGAGACAGGAAGTTTTCCCAAAGGTGGCCTAACTTGGGCAGGGACTGATTTCCCTTCTCCTCTGATACCTCCATGAGGGGAGATTCCGAAGCTCTCTCTGGTTCACCCATGGTCGTCTGACTCAGAGCAGAGCCAAAGCTCCTAATTTCAGGGATGTTGGACAGGGGTTATTTTTTGTTCCTGTCCTTCCCAAGTTAAGTCATGAAGAGCTGCTGGAGAAGCACAGCCCGGGTGAGTGCGATCGATTAAATTATCATAAGCAGTAGGGGACGGAGGAGGGGGAAGCCACACAGACCAGGCCCATGATTACTGTAATGGAGCTGTCATCTGCAGACAGACGGCAGCCTATCAGGCCTGGCAGAGATGGTCAGGATGACAGGCAGCCTGGGAGCCACCTCAGGGAACTGCTGGTGCCCCTGGGTCCTCAGGATACTGCTAATGATGGTGACAATAGGGACTGCAGTTAACTGAGCACCTTCTGTGGGCCAAGCACATTTCATCCTTTAGCATCTAAACAGATACGACGGTGCCCACTTTTCAGAAGGAAAAACTGACTGAGCGCCAGATGACTTACTCAAGCTTATACAGGTTGTGAAGTGAAGAACCTGGATGGGGCCAGGTCTGTCTAGCCACCATGTTCCCTCCCACAGCTGGTTTTTCTTACCATCAGCACCCGGAATCCTCCGGCCCTGCTGGTCTGACCCGTCCTTCCTCCCCTCCCAGGATGCCTCCCCCAGGAGGTCCTTGCTTGCTCCCTGGTGTCTGAGGGTCACACCCTTCTCCTCAGTACCCACAGGCTCGGCTCCACTTGCTAGAGGGGTCTGAGAAGCCGAAGCCCAGAGGCTATTTGCTGATGTCTTTGCTCCAGGCGCAGAATGACCATTGGTCTTGGGTCCAGAGAGAGGTTTCCCAAAGGGAGCACTGTGGCCTAAGAGTGAGTGAGCAGGAGTGCTGGGAGAACCTGATTTGTCAGGCAGCCTGTAGAGCACAGAAGGACTGGGGTGCTGATCTAGCGGCTGCCAGGAAGACAGAGAGATGAGAGGCAGGCCCTCAAGGACAAGAGAGGGTTTCAGGGAAGGAGCCGCTCGCAGGGCAGGCAAAGAGCCTGATTGTCACACTTCAGGGAAGGAGCCGGGTGGGCTTGAAGCCAGAAACAGTCAAGTGGTGAATGTGAGAGGGAGCGGGGAGGAAGGGCACTGGGGCACCAACATGTGTGTGATGGGGCAGTGCCCACCCCAGCAGGGTCCCTCCAGCCTCAGGAAAAGGAAGGGCAGTCCACAGGATGAGGCTGGCTGGGCCACAGAGCCGGGGAGTCTCCCTTGGGTGCCTGACTGTCTCGGGGTCCATGGAGCCCCCAGCACAGTTCAGAGTCTGCCCCTCCCATCTCATTCCAGTCACTAAGCAGGGCACAGACCAGCCAGCCAGTGGCCCTGCCCATTTGGGAGAGTCCTTCCGCCTTGCCCAGCTGTGCTCTTCAGGAGAAGTGACACCTGTGGCTGGGCTCCTTCCTCTAGGCTCTCCCCTCCGACTCCTCCCTGTGAAATAAGAGAGTGGGGCTACAGGCAGCACAGGGTGGCCTGGACTCAGCCCCGCTGTGGTTTCTGTGCAGTGCATGAAGAGTAAGGTGAACCCCAGATGCCCACTCTAGGGCAGGGAGTGGGGACAGAAGACCCTGGCTGTATCTGCTGAGTCAGCCAGCAGCCCACGACCGTGAATGACTGTGTGGGAGAGGGTGTGCGTGTGCAAGCTGGTGAGCGCATGTGTGAGTGTGTGCGAGCGGGTGCCTGCCTATGCGTGGGTGAGGGTGTCTGCGTGTGCAAGTGTGCACCTGTGCATGAGACTCTGTGTGAGTGTGTGTGGGGTTGTGGAATGGTGCTGAGTGTGAGGTTAGGAAGAAAAAGAGACCTTCACAGACACAGCCAAAGAGATACTGAGACCAAAAGAAACATTTGGAGAGAGACTGACCCTGGAGAGAGGCCAGAGGCCGGGAAGCCAGAATGAGATGTGTAGAGCAGGAGAGAAGAGAAAGAAACCAAGAACGCTAAGGTGAGGAGGAGAAACGCAGAAAGAAGAGAGATTTGGCAGAGAGGGCAGAGTCATCTGCTCTGCCCCCCAGATGGGGACCTCTTAGATGGCTTCGGAAGGTCCATCTGACAGTGAGGCCCATCACCACGACTCCAGGCCTGTGGGACTCTCCCTGTCTCCACACGTCAGGCTTGGTCCCTCATAAGTGGCAAGGGGCAGGGAGGCCAAGAAAGAGGGGAGGGTGCAGCGAGTGTGGATGATTTTGGTGACAGGGCCTGTGCGTGGGAACCAGGAGCTTGACCTCCTGACCCTTCCCTTCTGGGCCCTCAGTCCTCCCAGAGGCCGCAGACAGCACTCCCCTTGCCAAGCACCAATCCTGACATGGCATCCTTCTGCTGCTGAACGAAGTCTAATTTACTTGGGGAAAAAAACCTTCTGTGGCCCCCAAATCAAATCACTCAGGGAGGGAATGGGGTTGAAAGGAACCAGGGGAAATAAATGTATTCAGCAAGTGTATTTTTATTCCAATAAAACTTGATTCAATAACCCCCATGAATATTTCATTTGCAAGAGGCTGGCCCCTCCTGCGGCTGCCTTGGTCTTAGGCCAATTTTGCCCTCCCTCCCCTGGGGGCAGCACAAGCCTCTCCTCCAGGAACCCAGCAGCTCTGAGGGAGGCTAGGGAACCGCAAGCCCCTTCCAGCCCCGCAGCCAGCAGCAGACCGGCTCCTCCAGGGGGCCTGGCGCTGTTTCCGGAATGCTGCTGAGAGCTTCGGATGGAGAATTGGGTTGGAATACTGCTTGCTGGGTGACCTCGGGTATGCGACCTCACTCGCTGAGCCTCTGTTTCTTCTCCTCATCTTACGACATTCTTATGAGGATCAATAAAGACAATATGAAAAACCTCACATGCATCACTTATGCCATCCTTCCCACGGACTTAGAGCCAGGGTGTGGGTTACCTAGGAGCTTTTATCCCTCCAGCAAGCCTACCAGCTTCTGGCTCTGGGCTTGTAAGCTATTTCCACCGCTACCCATTTCCTTCAATCCTTCACCTGCCCATTCCAAGACAGCCCATGGCCACTCCGGTAAGCACACGGAGGTGGGGTTGTGATGGAGCTAAACCGGGGAGGGGATAACGGGCAGCTGTTGTTTTGTCAGCATAAAGCCACCGCCCCTCCCCAGCTCGGGTCCTGTAGGTGGTCCTGTAGGAGGTTGATTCTACCCTTGTACAGCACAGGGCCCAGGCCCCTAGGATTAGATCATTCAATTTCCTGGTCGCAGCGATTGGTTCTGGAATGTGCATGTGACCCAATCTGGCCAATGGGATTCAATCCTGGGACTCCAACAGGAACATTGGGTAAGTAGGTGTTCTCTTCCATTTGGGCTGTTAGGCTGGGAGACTGTGGTCCTGGAGCTGTTGGTGTGTATCTCTGCTATTACTTGGGAAGAGAAGACTTCAGAACAAAGCCAACACAAAGGAAAACCGAGGCAAGGTGCAGACAGATTGCTGACAACATCATCTGAGCCCCTGGTGTGGCTGGGCCTGAAGCAACATCCACCTCTGTTCTTTCCAGTTACAAGAGGCAACAAATCCCCATTTCTGCCTAAACCTTAGGTTGGGTTTCTGTCTTTTGCAATAAAAAGTATTGTTTAATGGTATCTGAAGCCTGTCTTTCCAATTCACTAATGAAAGCTTTCTTCCTTCCCAGGGAAATGTCTGGGGGAAAGACTGGCATTAGGTTGAAAGAAATGGTGAGACTTCCTGCTGGCTGGTCCCAATTCCCTCACTCCTGGAGATATCTTTAAGAATTACAGTGCCGGCCGGGCGCAGTGGCTCACGCCTGTAATCCCAGCACTTTGGGAGGCCGAGGTAGGCGGATCACGAGGTCAGGAGAGCGAGACCATCTTGGCTAACACAGTGAAACCCCGTCTCTGCTAAAAATACAAAAAGTTAGCCAGGTGAGGTGGTAGGCGCCTGTAGTCCCAGCTACTCAGGAGGCTGAGGCAGGAGAATGGCGTGAACCCAGGAGGCGGAGCTTGCAGTGAGCCGAGATCGCGCCATTGCACTCCAGCCTGGGCGACAGAGCGAAACTCCATCTCAAAAAAAAAAAAAAAAAAAAAAAAAAAAAAAAAAAAAAAAAAAAAAAAAAAAGAATTCCAGTGGCATCAGAAGTAGTGATGTTGGGTCTCCACACCGTCCAGGAGGACACTGGTCCTGAGAAATTCCCAACCTCTCTTGGGGAGGTGATGCAGGGGCCTGCAGGGACAACGCTTGGGGAGCCCACCCCTACCTTGTCTGGTGCTCCTGCTCCTTGATATTGTCATAAGTCAGTCAATCAATCAACAAAAAGTAGAGGAAGGTTGGGCTCAGGGTCAGGAAGCCATGGGCAGGCCAAATGTTCCTCTCAGCCTCCGTTTCCCTGTCAGCAAGATGAGAGGGTTGGACAATGTGAATTCAAACCCAGCCCTAGTATCTTTTATATGTATGAGTCTTTATTCTGTTGTAGACACTTGGAATAAAAAGAAATCTCTTAACCCTACAATCTCTTTGGGAATAGAAGCCATACATATATAAACAAAATAAAACAAACCAAAAAAGTCAATAATGCTGTCCTGAAGGTGAAGTCTGAAATAGAGGAGAATTGGCCAGGGTGGTCTGCAAGCTCCTTTCTGGCTCTGAAAATCTGTGAGAAGGAAAAAGGCTGTGTCCCAGGGAGACGGAAATTCAGCAGCCAGTGCCCGGGGCTCAAGCCCAAATGCTTTTCTACAGGAGGCTCTGGGACTGGCAGAGTTTCCCAGATACCCCTGCCCTTCCATGCTGGTTTGGCAAAGTGTGGAACTAAGACCCAGTTAGGCTGGTGTGAGTTGGACATCTCAGGATGGGGAGGGGAGCCGAGAGAGCAGGGGGAACACTGGCACTTGTGGGGATTTCCTCCTGCTCTCTGTTCACTATTCCATTTGCAAGAGTTTGCAAATTTCAAAGTGGTTTCTGGCAAGACAGCAAAATGTCTCTCCAGAGTCTGAGGATGACTTGCGGCTAGAGCTGGGGGACAGGGCAGTCCAGGGAAGGGCGGGCACAGGGAGGAACAAGCCATGTGATGCCTCTTGGGTCAGGCGGGATTAAGGGCATGGGGGTGATGAGGAGGCTCTGTCTAGCCAGGCAGGTGGTGGGTCTGGAGGCTCCACAAGGTCCAGGAATAAGGATATAAAGACCCATGCAGCGAGAACAGAGGGCCACCCTGGCCCTGGGTCATGGATGGCTGAGCTCAGGGCTCCTTCCTGCAGACAGAGCCTGCATGTGGTGGTAGCCAGGACAGGTGTGGGCCCTCAGGTCTGCTGGCGATTCCATCAGATGTACTCTCTCAGCTCCATGTAAGGTAATGCAATACATTTCCTGCAAAAAAGTGCCCAGTGTGGCCTCTGGGCCTACCTGCAGTGCTGATGGTCATGCCCAATGGCCTCAGGCAGCTGTGCTTTGACCACACTGTTAGGTGACAGACGTTTTTAAGAATCTGATGAAAATGTGGACTGTTTCTACCAAAATGTGCATGCATGCAGGCACACACACGTATGACTTTGTACATAATTTCAAGGAGTTCATGGTCATACTGTGGCCCAGTGCATGCACTCCAGGTTAAGCATTTCTGTTTGGGCCCAGCACAGTGGCTTACACCTATAATCCCAGTAGTTTGGGATGCTGAGGCAGATGAGTCACTTGAGGCCAGTAGTTTGGGACCAGCCTGGGAAGTATAGTGAGATCCTATCTCCACAAAAAATTTTTTAAAAAATTAGCTGAGGCGTGGTGGCGCATGCCTGTACTTCTAGCTACTCAGGAGGCTGAGGTGGGAGCATCACTTGAGCCTGGGGTTGGGGGTGGAGGGTGGGGGTCAAGCTTGTAGTGAATTGTGTTTGCACCACTGCACTCTAGCCTGGGCAACAGAGCAAGACCCTGTCTCAAAAAAAAAAAAAAAAAATTGGTTGGGGGTAGTGGCTCATGACTGTAATCCTAGCACTTTGGGAGGCTGACGGGTGGGGTGGATTGCTTGAGGTCAGGAGTTCGAGACCAGCCTGACCAACATGGTGAAACCCCATCTCTACTAAAAATACAAAAATTAGCCGGGTATGGTGGTGGATACCTGTAATCCCACAGGCTGAGGGAGAATTGCTTGAACCTGGAAGGCAGAGATTGCAGTGAGCTGAGATTATCCCACTGCATTCCAGCCTGGGCAACAAAGTGAGACTCCATCTCAAAAAAAAAAAAAAACAAACTTGTTTGAAGCTCTAGGTCCCTTGGGCTCAGAGAAAAGCCCAGATGGAGATTCCACTCTTTCACCGTCCTCTGGAGAGAGGCCAGTAGCAGCTGCTTCTTGCTCTGAATTCCAGGGTGCAGCAAACTGCCCATCAGCTCAGGGCCTGGGGCTGGAGCCTGCCTGGAAGAAGCACAGCTATATCCATGAGAGCCTCTAAACATGGCCCTGCAGGGTAACCCAGTCTGCAGGAGGCCCAGCTGGGGCTAGAGACTGTAACCATGTGCCCAGGCCACATGCAGACCCAGTGAAAAGGCAGATGAATGGGTGGTCAGGTGTGAGGACGTCAGCCAAGGCTCCCTGCCAGGGAACACAAGGCATCTGTGTGGCTTTATAAGGCACTTTATGAATCCCTCTTAGCTGGCCTTTTTGAATGGAGACTCTTCTCAAAGACTCACAGCCCCAGTTGCAAAAAGGCTCCTCTGTCTCTGCTCGTTGCAGAGTCTGCACAGACCCAAGTGGGGTCGGCGTGCCCATGAGTGTGTGCAGAAGAAAAGCCACTGAATCAATGGGCTGGATTACAGACCCTGCTGCCCTGGGCAGATAATTGCAGTGAAGCACCAGTTGCTCAGACCAAATGTCCTTACCCTGCACTGTCAGAGAGTGCCAATCACAGGGGATTAAAACCAGCTGGGGCACAGCCCTGCCGAGAAAGACTTGAGGCTAGACTGGCAGCCAAGGATGGGGTTGGGGATGGTGAGGGTCGGTCTGAAGGCTGCAGGGGGAGGGGAGCATACAGGGTTGCCAGTGGTGGGCTGAGGATGGGGACAGCTAGGGCTGGGACCAGGGCAGGAGAAGTTGGGACAGAGGGGATGGAGGTCACCAGCAGAAACCAGGTGGGTGGGCTGAGCAGTGGGAAAGAACTGCAGGCTCAGGGTGGGGCTGGTTCGTTCCTGGGGAACCCAGAGCAGAGTGAGGAACCAGACTCTGGATCTTGCTGACCCAGCAGTCTCTGTACTCCTGGTACCCAAACCAAAAGCTGGAAGAATTTTAAAAGCCACAAAGGCCTCCATTTAGAGTTCAGGTACTTTGGGGAACATGGCTGCCCAGAACAAGTCCCTCCATGGGGGCAGCGCCACCAGCTCCAGAATTCTGAACCTGCAGTCAGCCCTGGGGCGCCCGGGGCTGCGCCCACACATTCTCTCAGCTGACCTTCACACAAGTCTGGGAGGTGGGGATGTTACCTTTGGGATCTCACAGTGGAGGACACTGAGGCTTGGAAAGAAATGACTTTCCCAAAGTCACACAGCTGGCCAGAGGCACTTCCATGAGCCTCCTCATCTGGGAAACAGGTGTGCTAATATCTGCCTCAAAGAAGTAGTAATAACACATTGACTGTGTGTCAGGCACTGTGTTAGGCCCTTTACATGCATTATGTTGTGGCATCATTTCCAAAATGCTGTCAGGCTGGTGGTGTTGCCCCATCTTGCAGATGTGAAAACTGGCTCAGAGAGGTGAAGTAAATCACCCAAGGTCACTATATAAGTGACCAAGCCAGGACTGAATCCCTGGTAGCTCTGGCTTCAGAGCTTGTGAAAACCAAAGGAGAAGGGGCTCTATAAAGGGCTTTGTGGGTGGTAATTTTCAGGGATGGGGCCGGGACGGGGGCACTGTAGGGGCAGGGAGAGGAAGAAGCAGGATCTCAGCCCCTCCCAGCTCAGCTAAGAGAGGCCAGAGGCGAACTGGGTCCTGCTGAAAGTGGACTGGGCACCTATTTGGGTGGAGTGGGAGCTGTGGTGTGTGTTGGTTGGGGGAGTGTGACCCGCCCCTCCCTGGCTTTGAGCCTCCCCCACCCCTGTTAATGGCCGTCAGGGGAAATCATCTGCAGGAGATCAAAGCTGGCCTGGAGTGAGCCCCTCACTGGATAATGAAGATGAATTCCGGCCAGGTCTGCCCAGAAAGAACGTTAACTAAATGAAGATGACAGTACAGTGACTGTGGAGTTTGTATCAGAGCCAAATTGAACTCTCTCTTCCAGCAAGTCTATGCAAAACCTGGGCCAGTGCCCAAGAGAAGGGGAAAACACACCCGCATTCTCCTCTCCTTGCCCCCTCCTTGAAGTCCCCTGCTGCTGGCAGCCACCCAAGGGAGGGGCTGGTCCCAGGCTGATTCCTGAGTGGGGGGGCTCCTCGTGGTCCACTCCTGCTTGGCTTATTGAAACTCATGCTGGGCCCCTCAGTCAGCCTGAGGCAGGGAGGAGGGAGGAGGGAGAGGGGCTGGGCTGGAGAAAGCTCCAAAGGGAGGGACTTGAGGCGAGGAGGTCCACTACCTCTTCTAGATCTTTACCCTGAGGACAAGGGTAGCACGGTGGAGTCGGACTTTTGCTCAAGTCCTAGGTCTTAAAAGCCTAAGTGACCTTGAGCTAAAACCTAAAATCTCCAAGCCTCAATTTCTTAACCTATAATATGGGAATGATGATGAAACCTGCCACCCAGATCCACTCCTGTTAATGCTTTGTGAGTCCTTAGGAACGGACCATACCTCCTTTTGCCTTCAGGCCTCTCGGGACATTCCCCTGTCTCTTAATTTGTTCAGCCCCCCGCCGAGGCTGAGTCTGGGCTTGCAGACTTACACTTCTGTGAACTTCTAATCCAGACCCCAGGACCTGCTTCCCAAGCTCTGGGGTCCAGCATCTCAACCCCACAATGATGGGGGAATTCCTGGCCCACCTATTTCCTGAAGATGATAATTAACAATGCCTCCCAACTGCACAGCACAGAAAACTTAAAAGGAGAAAAGGGCAGGGCAGTCAGGAGAGAAAGGCCTGACCAGCATCGGTTAGAACATCCCGGACTAGTGGCTCCTCACCTTAGCCCCACATTAGAATCACCTGGGGAACTTTAAAAATGTCAATGCCAAGGCCCCGCTCCAGATTGTGATTCAGATCTCCGGGGATGGAGCCCTGACAGGGGATTTCCCCCACTCCCCAAAGCTCCCCAGGTGATTCTAATGTGCAGCCAGCATGCAGAAGCTATCTAGAGACAAGGCTTTTTCAACTTTAATGTGCATGAGAATCACCTGGGAGGTCTTGTTAAAATGCAAATTCTGATTCAGGAGGTGTGGCGAGGAGCCTGAGATTCTGTGTTGCTAACAAGCTCAAGGTGGTGCTGATGCTGCAGGACCGGGGACCACACTTTGAGTAGCACTGCTTGATGAAGGGACCACGGCTTTATCATCTTTGTTCATTGCCAGCCCTCCGGCTTCTCAGGAAACGCTTGTGGAATGGATGCACCCCTAATTGAGGCAGTGCAGGATGTGGAGCCTGATGACCTGTATTTGAAGCCTAGCATTATTATTATTTTTTGAGACGGAGTCTTGCTTTGTCACCAGGCTGGAGTGCAGTGGCGCGATCTTGGCTCACTGCAACCTCGGCCTCCCTGCTTCAAGGGATTCTCCTGCCTCAGCCTCCCAAGTAGCTGGGATTACAGGCGCATGCCACCACACCCAGCTATTTTTTTTTTTTGTATTTTTAGTAGAGACGGGGTTTCACCATGTTGGCCAGGATGGTCTCGATCTCCTGACCTCATGATCCACCCACCTCGGCCTCTTAAAATGCTGGGATTACAGGCATAAGCCACCACACCTGGCCGAAGCCTAGCATTATTGCTCTGGCTATGTGGATTTAGGCAAGGTACTTATCAACTGTGGCCTCACATCTGCATCTGTAAAACAGGTATGCTCTTACTGCCCCAGGAGCCTTATAGGATCAGTGGGAGAATAAAATGGTGTCATTTATATGAAATGTAAATTGAAAATATCCCTTTTTTCTTCTTTTACCTGGAAGGACACATATCCCACCTGCAGTGATGTCTTGGTGCCTGTGATCCGCCTGATTATCTCTGGTAGCCCTCATGCACCAGCACTCCCAGTCCTGAAATCCAGTGGGCACTGGACACGCTAGCTGTGGAGACCCTTCTGGGCCTCCCAGCAAGCTCCAGGGCCCTGGCCAGGCCAGCAAGCTCACTCAGAAACAAGCACACTTCCAGACTGATCAGCACACTTCCAGATTGATCAGCACACAAAGACTCAGAAGACACAGGTTCAAATCCCGACTTTACCCCTTCCAGCCACAGGCTGAGTCCACACTAGGGTTCCCAGTAGCTCTTGTAAACAACTTATCACCCTCTTCTGAGGCAGCACTGGGCTGTTATGCCTGAGTACCAGTGACCACGTCAAGCTGAACCCACTGGCAGTCACCATCCCTCACAGACAGGGGCCTATGATAAGGCAGGGCCACCTGAAACTCATTCTGCTCCATCACTGTGCACCGTAACATTTGCTGAGATAATGGGTGCCCCATGCATTCTTCCCGTTCACAATGGCCAAGCCCCAGCTTTCCCCTCTGCCCCACTGCAGGTCCACTTCCTGTTCCATCACCCCCTATCTCTGGGCTACGAGCCAGGCAGTGCCTCAGAACTACCCCGAGAGTCTGGAGCTTCAGATCCTGGGCCCCTCCCTTGATGATTCAGATTGCACAAATCTTGGGTGGGGGTGGCAAGAATCTACCTTTTCTTTTTCAGCTCCCAGTGGTTCTGATGCATGATCAGGGCTGAGAGTCACTGCCCTCTATGCCCTCCTCTCCTGTTGGCCTGATGTCCCCTGGAGAGCATTGGGCTTAGGATCAGAAACCCCAGGCTAGCGTTCTTAAGCTCTGCACCTTAAGCTGTGACCAAATGTGAGTTATTTAACAGACTTGGGCCTCAGCTTCCTCATCTGCAAAATGGGGACAGTGAAGACAATTGTCTTGGAGGAATATTCAGGGTCAAAAAAGATCAAGAGGGAAACCCTCTGAAAAGAGGGACGTAGCACACAGATGCAAGGTGCTCTGACAACTGTGATGTCAGCACACCCACCAGCTTCCTCCCAGAGTCCCCTGTCTCAGCTCCCTTTTACTGGGTGCAGTAAGATGTCTCTGTACCCAGTCTTACTGTACCCAGTCTCCTCTTCCTGGTGATCAGTTGTATCCCTGTCTGTTCTGGACTGCAAGCTTGAGGACTGGGACCTTGTCTTATCTCTGCAGCCCCTGCAGCACCCAGCACAGACCCTGCCACATAGTAAGTATCCAATAAAGGTCTTTCATAACACAGAAAATGTCTGTCCTTGTTAGAAAGCCAGTAAATGCAAATTAACACAACAGGGAGGTCCTATTTTACACTTCCTAGATTAGCAATTTAGGGAAACAAATAACATGCACTGCTGACAATGTTATACAGAAACTGGTACACACATTACTGATAATGTTGAAAATAGGAATGATCAAATGATCATTTTGGAAAGCAATATGGCAATATATATCAAGGGTCATAAAATGCTCATTCACTTTGACCCAGTAATCCCACTTGTAATACTGTATCCAATGGAAATCATTCAAAAGAATAACAATTATTTATATGCATGAAGATATTCATTGCAACATTACAATGGCCCCAAATGGAAAACAACCTAAATGGTCAAACAATAGGGGAATTGTTAAGTAAATTATGGTATATAAACCCAACGCACTATTATGTAGCCATTTAAAATATTTATGAAAACTATGTTATGTGGAAAAAATGCTTATGGTAAAATGTGAAATAAAAAAGTTAGAATGTAAAATTATATGTGTGTATAACTACATAATCAAAATGCTGACAAGGATCAGAAGGGACTATGCAAAACGAAATTAATTACTGTGTTAAGGTGGAAGGACTAGAGGTGATTTATTTTTGTTTTTAAACATTTCCTGTAATTTTGTTGTAATGCCATTTTCACAATGCAAAAGTTAGATAGCCAAATAATAAATGTTTGTCAAATGACTACAAGGAGAGAGAGGAGGGGAGAAGGGTGATGTTTGGGGGTCTCCGAATCCATCCCTGTCTGTATCCCAGAGTATCTTGAGAGAGATGCTCAAATGAACAGTTGGATTCTGGATGGAGCTTAGCCTTAGAGAAGTGTGGCCAGGCAAACAGAATTGCCTTGTTTTTTTTTTTGGGTGCCCTCAAATGATTCTGGGTACTTTTGGGGAGAGGTTAGATTTTCTCAGAAGCCCATGCTACCCTGTGGTGTTCTGATGGGGGTTGAGCCAGGGAGGGGTGCAGAGAATGTTCAAGTTCAAGGGCCTGGTGGCATTCGAGGTCTTCTCTGCTGGAGCCTTGCCCACAGGAGGTAGGCTGAGCCTGGGTGAGGAATGAGAAGTCTTCCTCTTTACACTCACCTTTCCTGACCTCTAAGGCTTTGGAAACTATACATCCTGTGTGCCTGAGACAGTCCCAGTTTTCACCTGCTGGCCTGGCATAATTATTAATAGCACTCTTCAGTCTCAAAAGTGTCCCATTTGGGACATGGCCACATTACTGAAACCTCTTTACAGCAGGAAAAGAGGAGAGGAAAGCTGCTCTGTGACTGATGAACGGTGGTGTGATGGTGGGGTCTTTCCCCTGAGGGGCGCAGACCCAGAGATGTCAAGAATTGTTCTAGGTGGGCCCTGGGCCACCTGCCCCCTACTCAAGACTTCCATGAGTTACCTCTGTCCTGGGAGCTGAGTGGGGACCTCTGTGCCTTCCTCTCTCCCTCCCAGGCCTTCCTCTTTGCACATTTCTCCACCAACATCAACGCCCCTCCTGGGGCTTCCGGCTTCCACTGCCTATGACTCTTCCCTCCTGCGCTCCTCTAGGCTGAGCTGTCCCTTTCCCTCCTCTGGACCTCTCCCTCCTGGTAACAGATATTTTCAGTTTTAATCAAGTATTCCTCCCTGTCTCCCCAGCACCAGCTCATCCTCTGCTAAGCCAGTGTAACTCCTTTTTCTATTCCTGGGGACATTTTTCATCCATACTTTCTCCAACCAATGTTATCTCAGCGCTAAGCGGGATCATAATTCTGCCCAATGTCATGGGAATTCTCAGCAATCTTGCTTCTGACAGTGACAATGTCCTTCAGGCTCAAACACCTGAGCACACACAGAGATTCAGACATGACTTCTCGTGCACACAGGCCACACGTCTGCAACTCATATGCTATGTACCTGCCGCATGCAAAATGGCAGGTATTCACATGACATATCCAGCCCATACCACATTTCCACATCACACCCAGTGCATATATATCAGAAACCTCACATGTAATATCTACCCTTCATGGACCCATGCTATGTCAATACACATGACATATCCCATACATGTTGTATACAGGCCTCAGACCACACATCCATTACCTCACTCACACACACAGTCCTCAACCTTTTTATTCTTTTTTGATATGGAGTCTTGCTCTGTTGCCAGGTTGCAGTGCAGTGGCATGATCTTGGCTCACTGCAATCTCCACCTCTCGAGTTCAAGTGATTCTCCTGCCTCAGCCTCCGGAGTAGCTGGGACCACAGGCATTCACCACCACGCCCAGCTAATTTTTGTATTTTTAGTAGAGATGGGGTTTCACCATGTTGGCCAGGCTGGTCTCGAACTCCTGACCTCAGGTGATCTGCCTGCCTCGGCCTCCCAAAGTGCTGAGATTACAGGTGTGAGCCACTGTGCCCTGCCACCCCTCAACTTTACATACAGGCTTTGGAGCCCCTGCAGTGTCAAGATCCTCCTCAGGAAAAAATGCTCAATTCCTACCACAGAGGCCACGTCCCCCGTGCCAAGCTGCACAAGGACTTCAGCAAGGAACATCCATTACTGCTAACGAGCATTACATGCCTAATTAATTCCCAGGCTTGGTCTGAGGATTCAACCTGGGGCCTGATTTCCATTCAGGGAAAATAAAAGGGAAATGTAAGAGGGCTCATAAGCTGTTTAGTAGGATTTAGGTCCTGCCTGCACTTGCCCATTCTGTACCCAAACCCAAACCACTGGGATTATCAGCCTGATAGGATAAAGCAAATACCTTGTCCAAGCAGAGGGAAGTGGGGTTTCCTTTCTGACCACCTTTCTGAAGCATCAGGACCAAATTCTCAAAGTTAGGATGTCTTAGAAGCCTCTTTTGATGGGGTCTGTCTTCTACCCAAGTAAAGGTCCCTTCACTTTTTCCATGAAGCACAGCCCATCCTAGGTACCCGCTAATTAACATCTGATATGCCCCAGTGCGTGTTCCTCGATGTTGGGTAGATTTGCTCATTGGCACACAGTCAGGACCTTCTATACCCAGTCTGGTTTCCCTTTGTGAGATAGGGCATAGAATATGCAAGGATGTTGTCTTGGGAGGGGAGGGCCTGGGTGAAGGGTTAGCAAAGTTGAGGTCTTCCTGGCAAATGTCACTTTGAGATCACTACACTCTCTCCCATGGAGGCCGGGCTGGGGTTCTACCTCAATCCAGCACCAGATCAGAGGTGGAGCACAGGATAACCATTTCCCACTCCAAGTGAAGTACTGTCCTCACATTCAGGAATTTACGTGGGGGGATGGAGGGGTGAAGACATCCATAAGGCAGTGAGGAAGAGTGGTGGAGAGGCTGAGCTTGGGCAGAAAGCTGATCTGAACTTAAATCCACATTCTGCCACCAATTCAGTGTGTGATCTTGAGCAACTACTTATCTTCTCTGGGCCTCTGCTTCCAAATGTGTAAAATGAGATTATGACAGTACTCCCTGCTCTGGTCTGAATGTGTCTCCCAAAAGTTCGTGTGTTGGAAACTTAATCCCTCTGCCCTCGTGAATGGATTAATGTTGTTATTACAGGAATGGGTTCATTATCTTGGGAGTGGCTTCGTTATGAAAGTACTGGTCTGTAGCCTGTTAGGAACCAGGCCACATGGCAGGAGGTGAGCAGCAGGTGAGCGAGCATTACTGCCTGAGCTCTGCCTCCTGTCAGATCAGTGGTGGCATTAGATTCTCATGGGAGCACACACCCTATTGTGAACTGTGCCTGCGAGGGATCTAGGTTGCAAGCTCCTTATGACAATCTAATGCCTGATGATCTGGCATAGAACAGTTCCATCCTGAAACCATCCCCTTCATGGAAAAATTGTCCTCCATGAAACTGGTCCCTGGAGCAAAAAAGGCTGGGGATTGCTGCTTTACCACATGTCTGTGCCATGCTCTTGAACTTCCCAGCCTCCATAACCATGAGCTAAATAAACCTCTATTTTAAATAAATTACCCAGTCTGTGGTATTCAGTTATAGCAATAGAAAACAGACTGTGACAGAAAATTGATACTGAAAAATGGGATTGTTGTTACAGCAGATACCTGAAAATGTGGAAGGGTTTGAGGACTGGGTAATGGGTAGAAGCAGGAACAGTTCTGAAGTGAATGCTGGAAAAAGTCTGCATTGTGAACAGAGCATTAAGGGTGATCCTGGTGAAAGCTCACAAGAAGAGAAGACTGGAGAAAGTCTGGAACTTTTTAGAGATTAAATGGTTGTGACCAGAATGTTGATAGAAATATGCATAGCAAAGGCCACTCTGACAAAGTCATAGATGGAACTAAGAAACAAGGTATTGGAAACTGGAGCAAAGGCCATCCTTGTTATAAAGTAGCAAAGAACTTGGCTGAACTATGCTTGTGCTTGAGAAGATTACGGAAGGCAGAATTTAAGAGTGATGAGCCAGGATATCTGGTGGGAGAAATATCTAAGCTGCAAAGCACGCAGCCTGCTGCATGCCTGCTTTTAACTGATTACAGTAAAGTAAGATAGGAAAGACAGGATTTAAAGACAGAATTTATGATTAAAAAGGAAGCCGAGGTGGGCAGATCATGAGGTCAGGAGGTCGAGACCATCCTGGCTAACACGGTGAAACCCCATCTCTACTAAAAATACAAAAAATTAGCCAGGTGTGGTGGCAGGTGCCTATAGTGCCAGCTACTCGGGAGGCTGAGGCAGGAGAATGGCGTGAACCTGGGAGGCAGAGCTTGCAGTGAGCTGAGATGGCACCACTGCACTCCAGCCTGGGTGACAGAGTGAGACTCCATCAAAAAAAAAAAAAAAAAAAAAAAAAAAGAAGCAGAGAAGAAATATCTGGAAAATTTGCAGCCTAGTCATGCAAAGAGGGAAAAGGTAGGTTTTGGAAATGGCACCTAGGTGTGGCCAAGAGATTGTTTGCTGAAGAGATTACCATACACAGAAGACACCAAGACAATAGGGAGAAAGACCCTGAAGAACATTTCAGAGATCTCTGAGGCTGCCCCTCCCATAACAGGCCCCGAGCTCTAGGAGGGCAGAATGGTTTTGGGGGAAGGGCCCCAGGGTGCCCTCCACAGGCTCCATGCCCAGAGCCAACTAGGGTCTCTGCTCCCTGAATTCCAGCACAGCATAGTGCTCCTTGGCTGACCCAGTCACAGCTCAAGCAGGCCCAGGTGCAGCTTTGGCCATCACTCTGGAGGGAACAGGCAGTAAGCCTTGGTGGCGTCCATGTGGTACTGACTCTGCAGGTATGCAGAGTGTGTGCACTGTGGGGTCATGGTGGCCTCCATCTAGATTTCAAAGGATGTAGCAGATGGTCTGGGTACCCAGGCATAGGCTGATCCCAGCAAGGCTATGGGGATGGGGCTGTCTGAGGCCTTGGGGGCCCAACCCCCACACCAGTGTGTCCAGACTGCAAGACACGGAGTCAAAGGAAATTATTCTCCAGCTTTAAGACCAAATATAATTTTCCCTGTTGGTTTTGGATTTATTTATTTTTATTTTTTATTTTTATTTTTTGTGAGACGGAGTCTCGCCCTGTTGCCCAGACTAGAGTGCAGCGCCATGATCTTGGCTTACTGCAACTTCTGCCTCCTGGGTTCAAGCAATTCTTTGCCTCAGCCTCCCCAGTAGCTGGGATTACAGGCGCCCACCACCACACCCAGCTAATTTTTTGTATTTTTAGTAGAGACAGGGTTTTACCATTTTGGCCAGGCTGGTCTTGAACTCCTGACCTTGTGATCCACCTGCCTCGGCCTCCCAAAGTGCTGGGATTACAGGCATGGGCCACCATGCCCAGCCTGGATTTACTTGTTATTCCTTTCTTCTTGCTAATTCCTCCCTTTTGGAACGGAAGTGTCTGTCCTATACCTGTCCCACCATTGCATTTTGGAAGTAGATAACTTGAATTCACAATCTCACAGCTGGAGGGAATTTACCTCAAGATGAAATGTGCCTTGAGTCTCACCCATATCTGATTCAGATGAGACTCTGGACTTTGGACTTCTGAGTTGGTGTTGGAACAGTTAAGACTTTGTGGCTATTGGGATGGAATGAATATATTTTACATGTCAGAAGACATGAATTTTGGGGGTTGGGGTGGAATGCTGGTTTTTTTTTTTTTGTTTTTGTTTTTTGGTTTTTCTTTTTGAGACAGGATCTCACTCTGTCACCCAGGCTGGAGTACAGTGGTGTGATCTTGGCTCAGTGCAAACTCCATCTCCCAGGCTCAATTGATCCTCCCCGCTCAGCCTCCTGAGTAGCTGGGACTACAGGGACATGCCACCATGCCTGGCTAATTTTTGTATTTTTTGTAGAGATGGGGTCTTACCATGTTGCCCAGGATGGTCTCGAACTCCTGAACTCAAGCGATCCTTGCACCTCAGCCTCCCAAAGTGCTCGGAATACAGGCGTGAGCCACTGTGTCTAGGCAAATGCTATGGTTTGAATGTGTTCCCCAAAAGTTTATGTGTTGGAAACAATCCCTCTGCCCTCATGAATGGATTAATGAGTGTTCTGCCCTCATGATGAATTAATGGATTAATGAGGGCTCTGCCCTCATGCATGAATTCATGTCACTGTTACAGGAGTGGGTTCATTATCGCAGGAGTGGCTTTGTTGTAAAAGTGAGCTCTCTCTGGCTCTCTTGCCCTCTTGTCATGTGATGCCCTCTGCCATGTTATGACACAGCAAGAAGGCCCTCACCAGATGCCAGTGTCACGCTCTCGTACTTCCCAGCCTTCAGAACCATGAGCTAAAAAAAAATCCTTTTCTTTATTAATTACCCGGTCTGTGGCATTCTGTTATAGCAACAGAAAATGGACTAAGACAATACCTCAGGGGGTTGTTGTGTAGTTTAAATGAGCTGAGGTACCCAGAGTATGCAGCAAAGTACCGGACACAGAGTAAGAACTTCATAAGTAGTATTACAGTAGTTGTTTTATTAGTAGTATATTATTTCTTCTAATATTACTGCTACTACAATCACCATGACTACTACTACTGCTGCTGCTGCCGCTGGTGCTGCCACTCTAATGGTCCTGTTGTGCTTAAACTCCTCAGTGTTGCAATAACTGCACAATGTGGCCTCACCTTGTACATTCAACCTTTATTTCCCCAAAGTGATTTTGCTTGACATGGGCTGATACCCCACACACATTCCCATCTCCGTGCCTTTGCTCATGAGGTCCCTGGCCTGGGAGGCCCTTCTTCCCCCTTTACCTAGCCAAATTCTACTCCTCCTTCAAAGCCAAAGCTTTTATCCAGCTTCCACCATGAACCACACCCTCCAAAGGCAAGTATTGAGGTCCTTCCTTATGCATTTCTATGGTGTTTATGATGACGATGAAATGTTTTAAAGACACAAAAAGTAATGAAACAAACACCCATGTACCCACTACTTAGATTAAAAAGGAGAAGACAAATTGTCAGTACAACCGAAGTCTCCTGTGTTCACTTCCTGAATGTGCTTCTCTTTTTCTTCTTAGAGGTAACCAGCATCCTGGATGTGATGTTCATCACTGCCATGAGTATCTTTCTGTTTTTAACACACATATATATCCACTATCAATATATATTATAGTTTTGCATGTTTTTAAGCTTCACATCTACGGGTGAATCTGTGGCTGATGGCTTGTGTCCTCTGAGCCACAGCCCCTCAGCCCACCTGCTTTCAGCACAGCTGTGGTGACAGCTCAGAGCACCCCGCCAGTGGCCCCACTTCAGTCCAGTGTCCTTTCTGCTTTCCTGCCTTGGGCTTTCTCCCGAGTTCCAGGAGGCTGATCAGCCTGTGCAGGCACAGCCAGAGGGGCCAGGAGCTGGCATCCCTGGGGACAACCTTCAACCAACGGGAACAGGGATCAGTGATAACCACCCCAGGTCTGTCCTTCAGAGGCCATTTCTCAAGTCCACGCTGCATGATTCTTCGGAGGGACTCCAGCTGCCCACAGCAGTGACCTACTCAGTCATGCACCCTTTACTGGCTTTCCTCTTCTCTATCCTTTCTCCCTGCTCCCTCATTCTCCCTCCCAAAGAAGCTCCCTGCACACTGGTTCTGCCTTTGGGAACCCAAGCTAAGGCAGTATTGCTTTTGCTCTCTGCATTGCTTTGCAGAATTATCCACGTTGCTCCATATTACTCTATTCATTCATTTTCACGGCCACACAGCATTCCACAGAACTGAATATATATCCCCTTTCCAGGTGATGGACATTTGTGTTGCCTCCAATGTTTTGCTATCACACACAGTGCTGCACTGAGCATTCCCATCCAGGTTTTCTGACAGCCTCAGTGTTTCCTATTGGCTTTTTGACACCGAGTCACACCTGCCTTGACCGTCATTTCATCTTTGGAGTCCATGTCTTCCTAACTAAAGGCAAGCCCTGGAAAGTAGAGGAAGGAAAGGGGCGGGGAGGCAAATTAATTCACCAAATAAATTGAGCAGGGAGCTGGGAGCCTTAAACATAAGCTGAATTCAGATTGGTACCCAGCTTGGCATCACCATCCACTCCCAAAGGACCACTCATTCATTCATGTAGGAAGTATTTATGCGCCGGGCACATTAACTGGGATAACAAGCGTCTATCAACTTCCCCTTCCCCTCTCTAATTCCTCCTTGCATTTTTTCTTTCTTCCCTGCTTCCCTGGGGATCCTCCCAGGCCTCAGGGACTCTTGCAGAAAGGGAAGTGCAGAGGCAAAGGCCCTGTCCCTGGCTGGGCTGCTATCCTTGCCAGCAATAACCTACGCTGTCTCTTAGAACAACATGCTGATAATGACATTTCATGGCCTGTTACCCTGCATGCAGATGGCCTGCAAGTGGCAGCTCCGAGTGCTTGTTGCCGGTCAGGCCTCAGTGATGCTGGGAGGGTGATGGGGAAACAGTCCTCGCAGCATCCAGCCCTCCCATTACACCCCACCTGCTCTGGGAAGGCATCCCTGACTCTCCCAGGCACCAAATCCTGTAGGATTTAGCATTTCCGTCTCATACTTACCATGAGTCAATGAACCAATAAGCATTTACTAAACATCTACTACAGTTGGGATAACTAAACCCACTATCTGCCAAAATGAGCCTGTCAGTTTTCGTATCTGAGCTCTACTGCTTTCTTAGTGGATGGCTTCAGGCAGGTGACTTAATCTTTCTATGCCTCAGTTTCCTTAGCTGTAGATAAGAATGGTCCCTGCTTCATAGGGTTGCCATGAGGGCAAAAGCAGTAATCATGTGTAGGTCCATAGAGAAGCACCTGGCACGTAGTAAGTGCTCTTTGAGGGTGAGCTCTTATAACGTGGAAATTCTCCTGGTCCCATCATAGGGTGGGGTGAGGGCAAGTGGGTGGAGAAATGCAAGAAGCTCTGAAACTCAATTGGGGCAGCTCTCTTCCATCAGAACAGGTCTCTCCCACCATCCTGGCAGCCCTCGGCAGGCAGGAGTTTATTTCCCTTATTAGACTAGATTTTCCCTAGGAAAGTCATCTTCCTCCTCAGATTAGAGGCTCTCCAGCAGTAGGAACAATGTCCTCGCCAGTCTGGCTGCTGCCCACTGTGTCTAGCCCGGGGTTCCCCACTGCCACTTCTTCTCTGGAAGAGGAGGTGATCGGGACAAGCACAGGAGGCACCCTCAACCCTGACATCCCCATGGCCACATGATACCTGGAGGTTTGAATAATTAACAGGAAATGTAAAAACAACTGCTTGAAACACTCAAAAAATTCTTTTTATTATCAGCTAATGGTAGCACTTACCAAAGCGGTTTTATATGTAATAAAATTTCTTTATTGTTTCAGGCTTGGCTTAGAGAGGCAGAAAAGGAGACAAGCCCAGAACCAGGGAGAGCAAAGAGAAGAGTAATTAACAAGATGAATAATGGAAACTTCCTAGGAGCACCAGGAATGATAAATTGAGGTGCATACCTGGCTTCTCTTCAAAGACGGGGTGACGGAAAAAGCAGAATTTCTGAGCCCAGGTTTGGGGAGATGTTGATACTTTGGTATGGAGGAAAGAGCAGGGCTCAGGGGAGAGCTGGATTCTTCTCCTGGTTTTGCTATTTGACCATGGGCATGTCACTTCCCTGCCTGCCTCTGAGCCTCCATTTTCTCCTTTATAAAATCGAGGGATGGTTAAGGGAGCGATGCCCTAAAGTCCCCTCAGTGGCTAAGGCTTTGCATCTTTGTGATGTTAGAATCTGTTTTTCACTATTTCCTCTCCTTTCACACCAGGGATAATAAGATTATAGTCTTTTTGCGGCACTTTAATTTAACGAGGCTGTTCAAGCACATCCCATAAAAACATGGGCGGTGTGCCAGGAGAACAGTAATGTCCCCATTTTACAGATGAAAAAACTGAGGCCCAGGCAAGCTAAGTCCCCATTGCTTCAGTTACAACTACTAGCAGCCCAAGGTCACACCTATTATGAAACAGATACCAGGCTGAACCCCGGTTCTGCCTCTGAGTCCTGTGTTCTTCCCACCTTATAATGCAGTTTCCTAGGGCAGATGATGAGAAATTGAGCCAAGTTCACAAATCCAATCACCTGGGTCTCACTGGCATCTGTGCCGAGCAGCACCTGGATCCAAAGCAGGAGGGGAAAAAAGAAGTGGGCATTCCAGGGAAGGCTTAGTTTAACCCTTGGGCACCTGTAGGGCTTAACAGTTCACTCAGGGCACATACTCCTGCCAGTGCAGTCTAGGGAATGGTTCTCAAATTACAGTCCCCAGGCCAGCAGCACCAGCAGGACTGTCTCCTGTGAACTTGCTGGAAATGCAGTCTCGGGCTCCACCTCAGCCCTACCAAAGGAGAAATGAATGATAAATGGGTCCATTTTCTACAGGGTAATGAGGTGACTACCTATGCGATAGAATTTGAGGGATGGCAGCGATGGGATGCATCACTCCACCGAAAAACATCGCCCTTGAGCAGACATGAAAAGACAGAGGAACTTCCATTCCACAGCGAAGAGGTCAGCAAGGATAAATGCTCCCAGGAATGGAACTGCGGTGACCCCACCCACTCCCAGAGGTGGCGGGAGAGGCTTTGCTCAGAGCAGGTCCTGACAGCTGAGGAGGAGGGGAGTTCAGTGATTCTTGATCTCAGCCTAACTTCAGCCTGGGGACCACGTCTCCTGCCTACGGGAAGAGGGAAGAGAGTGGATATGTGCATTTGCTCTCTAATGTGCTGAGCACTGAGTTAGACCTTTTACTGTTATCATTTCATTTGGTTCTCACAGATAGGCATTCTCCCTACTTTACAGACAGAGAAACAGACACAGTGAGTTGAGTAGACTGCCCAACGTAACTCAGGTTACGTTAAGTGGCTGCACCAGGGTTTAAGTTTCAACCTAGGTCTCGATTTCACCCCTCCCACCCCTGCTTTCTCCACCGGACTACATCCTCTAGGAAGCCTGGACTGTCTCAAAGCCCGGCACCTCCAGACAGAGCAGAGGTGAGCCATTTGGCTGAGGGTTCTGAGCCGGGTCAGGCGGCGGTGGGGTGACGGTCCTGAGCCGGGTCAGGCGGCGGTGGGGTGACGGTCCTGAGCCGGGTCAGGCGGCGGTGGGGTGACGGTCCTGAGCCGGGTCAGGCGGCGGTGGGGTGACGGTCCTGAGCCGGGTCAGGCGGCGGTGGGGTGACGGTCCTGAGCCGGGTCAGGCGGCGGTGGGGTGACGGTCCTGAGCCGGGTCAGGCGGCGGTGGGGTGACGGTCCTGAGCCGGGTCAGGCGGCGGTGGGGTGACGGTCAGCCTTCTCTCATCCCTACCTCGTAGCAAGTGTCAGTTACAGTGTCCGAACTGCTGGTCTTTCAATGATGTTCGCTGGGGTTTAAGAGATGAAAATGCCTCACGTGGTATCAGAGGGCTTACTGTCCAACAAGGAAGACAAATGTAACCCAGTCGAAACAGTTGCCAATGGCAGACAGTAAGTGGCTAGACACCAAAGTGAGTGGTTTAACAATTCAGAGAGGGGAAAGAGAGCTGAGTGTGACCTGGAGCAGCTCAGGAGGGCTTCCTGGGTGAGGTGGCAGGTTACAGGTTCGATCTTTGGCCCTCAGATTCAGCACCTGTGGTGGTGGTGGCTGCAGAAAGTGAGGCACTTCGGACTGGCTCTTCGTCAGCACACTAAAACAATTCCAGATGTTTCACTAATGCAATCCCGGCCTCTTTCTCACATAACAATCATCTTTTAATGACACACACTAATGCAGATTGGGTACACCGGGAAGTATATTTCACAGCGATACGTTCTCTGTCCTTCAGGTAGGGCCCCCTCCAAGTCCTACAAGGTGAGGAAGCTGTCTACAGTGGTGGTGGGAGGAAGGTTCATGCCAAGGGCTGATTATGTGGGCACAGAGGTGGCAGTGCTAAATGGGGAGGGTGAAGCCAGTGGATGAGGAGAGGAGTGGAGGGCATTCCAGGGCCTGTCCCTCATCTGGCTGTCGGAGCACTCACATCACGACTGTCATCACTCACTTCCATGGTTGAAACCTCTAGTAGACTGAAGCTCCAGGGAACAGGAACACCATGCATGGTTATGTATGTTGTGCACTGCTCAAGGTACCTGGCCAAGGGGAAAATGGGGCTGAAATCTAGTCCTCAACTGCCCTACTATAGATTCGTATCCACTCAGAGGAAGGGACTTTTTTTTTTTTTCCCCCCCGGTTTTCACAAAGAGGCCACTTAGGCTGACAATAGCCCTGCCCGAGACCATGCCTGTTTGGTCCTGGCTATATCTCTCTCAGTACATGTTTGGTGCATAAATACCTGAATGAAAATAAATAAATGAATGAACATAAGCAAGAATCCATGAATGACTGCATGGCAAAAAGAACTCTTTGAGATGGGCAGGTTTGTTTTTCCCAATTGGTAAATAAGAAGCTGACTTTTGAAAATTGGGGCAGGAACAGTTCTTCCTGTCTAAGCTGGATACAGCTCTGGGCACGGAACAGGTCTTTGGTAAGTTGATCGACTGGGCAAGAGATAAACTGTGTTTATTAAGGCTCACAGACTGCTGGGCAGAAAATGCAAGCTCTCTGCCTTAGGCTCACTACAGAACAAGATGAAGAACTTCTCTGGACCTCAGATTTCCTGTCTGCAGAGTGGGGGTACCCACAACCCCTTCCTCAGAGGGTTTCCATGACAGTGAATGGAACTGTGCATGAGAAAGGGCTCTGTGCTCCACAACAACTGCCCCCATGCACGGAGGGTCGCCTTGCGCTGCACATTGCACTAGGTGCCTCCGATGTACTGTTCAAAGGTTGGCAAACTGTGGCCTCTGGGTCAAACCCTGCCTGCCATTTGTTTTTGTAAATAAGGCTTTATGAATCACAGCAGGCCATTTCTTTGTATGCTACCTGTGTCTGCTTTTGCTCTCCAATAGCAGAGTGGAATCGTTGCGACAGAAACCTTGTATGTGGTTTGCAAAACCTAAAATATTTACTATCTGGTCCTTTACAGAAAAAGTTTGCCAATCCCTGTATTAACTCATTTAAGCCTTCTAACTACCCTCTGAGTTTAGGGCTCATAATATCATCACTCCCATTTTACAGATGAGAAAACAGATGAGACACAGAGTAGCTAAGTTACGTGCTCAAGGTCATACAGCAAGGAAGTGGCAGAGCTGGGATCTAAACCAGGGTCAGCCTGAGTCCATGCTCTTAAAAACCAAATCATCCTGCCTCTCTTGACCCTTAAGCAGCTTTTCTGATCATAAGGGTTCATGTACAAGATCCTCGACCCCCAGGACAAGGAGGGCTCTAGCTCAACAACTTAGAGCCAATTAGAGGGAGGTATTTGGTCATGTAGCAGAGACAGAATGCACAGATTTCTTTCCCTTTTTTTTTTTTTTTTTTCCTGAGACAGAGCCTCACTCCATCACCCAGGCTGGAGTGCAGTGGTGTGATCTCAGCTCACTGCAAACTTTGCCTCCCAGGTTCAGCGATTTTCATGTCTCAGCCTCCCAAGTAGCTGGGATTATTGACGCGCACCACCACACCTGGCTAATTTTTGTATTTTTAGTAGAGACGGGGTTTCACCACGTTGGCCAGGCTAGTCTCGAACTCCTGGCCTCAAGTGATCTGCCCACTTCGGCCTCCCAAAGTGCTGGGATTACAGGCATGAGCCACCACACCCGGCCAAGAATGCACAGATTTCATTACCCAGGGGACGTCAGAGCTGTGAATGGAGGCCAAGAAAGGTTCAGATAAACTTCTGGGGAACAGATATTTTTCCAGGGAGCTCAGAGCACTGGGGGGGAACATATCAGTTTCCCAGCACTGCTGTAAAAATCCACCACAAACTGGGTGGCTTAAAACACAGACATTTATCAACTCACAGTTCCAGAGGTAGAAGTTCTGAAATCCCAAGTCCTGGCAGGGACACACTCCCCCTGAAACCTGTTAGGGCAGTCCCTCCTCGCCCCTCCCAGCTTCTGGTTTGCTGGCATCCTTGGCCTTCCTTGCTGGCCGCTGCATAACTGCAGGCTCCGCTTTGGCCACCTCATGGGATCCCCCATTTGCATGTCTTTACACGGCCTAGGACTGCAGGGCATACTGGATCAGGTGCCCAGCCTCCTCCAGTATGACCTCATCTTAATTTAACTGATGACATCTGCAATGACCCTACTTCCAAATAAGGTCGGTCACATTCAGGCACTGGGGGTTAGGACTTCAATATGCTTTTTTAGAGGGGACATAATTCAGCCTGTAACAGGGAATGTCTCAAAACTCTGAGGGGCTGTCTCAATCCTTCCGAATCAGGGACCCAGCCAGAGATAGAAGAGAGTCCTTCAGGCAAACAAGGCGGGCTGGGGCCATGGCTGTTTCTTATGGTAAATATTATCTTCTAGAGCTTTCCTTGTCTTCACATATTGAGAGCTCTTCGAGGCTGGGTCTGAGTCTTATTCCCTCTGACTCCAGCAGGTGCAAGCACATAGTAGGTATTCAACAGTGGTTGGCAACCCAATGGTCATGTCTAAGTGTCTCTCAGTGCCACTGTCAGAAATGTAGCAGGGCCACAGGGCTGACCAGCTCTGTGGGTCCTCTTGGGCTGAAATCAGATCAAAGAACAGGGCCTTGCCAGGCCAGCTGGGATGCTGGGGGCGTCCTGGGGGACTGAACTGGCCCCATCTGCTCTCCTGGCAGGACTTCTGAGGGATGTCTGGGCAGAAGCCACGATAATACCACACTGCGTGGCCCAGAGGCCCTTCGCCTGTGTGTTTGCACAGCGAATGTAATTATGCCCGCGTGATGTTGACACAAAAGAAGCCATATTTGAGAAGGCTTTATCAGCATCCAGAGTCCCAGATGACCACAACAGAAAGGTTTTCACACACTGCAATCTAAGGAACGTCCTACCCAGAAGAACTGGCCCTGCTGAGAAGCCAGACTCTTTAGAAGCTGTAATGGGGCAGTGACAGGCACCAGGAACCTACTCATGTCCCCACATGGGACTCTGTCATTTATTCACTCAACAGACACACCCAGTTTCTAGTGAACTGAGCACTGGGGAATTGAAGATGAAAAAGACCCAATACCAGCCCCAGAGCGGGAAGGATGAACAGAAGTAAGCGACCACATAAATGCTGAAGTATTTACAGATCAACCAGCACGATGCCTGGGCAAGGGGGAAAGGGAGTGGGGTAATCATGACATGGGAGTCATTATATTATTCTTTTGCTTTTATATATATTTGAAATATTCCTCAATAAGGCTTTTAAGAAACAAAAACTGAAAAGATGCAAGGGGTGCTTGGTGTAGTGGGTGGTGTATGGAGGAAAGTTTTGAGAATGCTTCCCACAGGAGGCAGTGATCTGGGTCTAATCTGAGAAAGGAGAGGAAACCTCGACCCTTGGGGAGCTTGTACAAAGCAATGAACATCTCCACTATGGCAAGGTGATGTGGAAGGAATATAGTTGCTAGCATCACCCAGACCTGGGTTCGAATCCCATCCATAAATTAGGGAAAATAATACATACCTTATAGAGTAGTTGTTGGTACTAAGGAAGGTAATAGGAGAGAAGGGGCAATGGAGTAGACACTGAATTGTGATCATTTCATCCAACCCTCCACTCATTAATCCATCCATCACCTGCTCATTACCACACTGTGTTCTCTCTGTGCTCCAGTCCACATTGTGAACTTCTTCAAGGCAGAAAGGGAGAATGTACATCTTTCTATCTCTGATGCCACACACAGGGCCAGCACCCCAGGAGGTGCCCATAATTCTCAAGAGTAAACAGGTGATGAGATGTCCTCTTACTTCTGCATTAGGGGGTCACTTTTCTTAAAAATTGAACTGGTGTGCTGGCTCATGCTTGTAATCTCAGTATTTTGGGAGACTGAGAATTGCTTGAGTCCAGAAGTTTGAGACCAGCCTGGGCAAGGTAGCAAGACCTCGTATCACTAAAAATAATAATAATAATAATAATAAATAGCCAGGTGTGGTGGCAGGTGCCTGTAGTCCCAGTTACCTGAGAGGCTGAGGCGGGAGAATTGCTTGAGCCCAGGAGTTGGAGGCTGCAGTGAGCTATGATCACATCACTGCACTGCAGCCTGGATGACAGTGAGACCTTATCTCAAAAAAAAAAAAAAAAAAAAAAAAAAAAAAGAAATTGAACTGGAATGTGAGGAGAATGGAGAGGTGATGTCTTAACCATAAGGCTTGTGTCCACAGAACGAGGAGCTGGGAGAAAGTCTTAGCAGTGCCCTGCAGCAGGACAGACTGGATTATGAAGCTCAAACAGTGCAAGATGAAAAAGTATATTAAGTCAGGATAGTCTGGGTCCTGCTGCTATAATAAACATCCCCCAAATCTAAAAGCCTTAAAATAACAAAAATGTATATATCGCTCATACAAAATCTATTGTGGGTCCAGGCAGCTTCCCAGGGCGGTTGGCCTTCATGAGAGATTCAGCAATCCAGGCATTTCTGTTTTGTAGCTCTACTATCTCTACCTGAGGCTTCCAGTTTGCCATGGCAGGACAGAGCCTCTCATACCTCACTGCTCTCCTGTGGATGCCTAGAGCCCTGTGGCTGTAGAACCCAGGAGGGCTTTTGTCCAAGGGTCCTGAGCCATAGGCTTGGCAGGAGAGAGGGGAGGGATGGGGAGTCTGCTGCTGCCTGCCTGCCTGTCCACTTAAGGCACTTTCTGAGGGCTCGCCTGCCCATCCCAAGCCCTGAATTGCCCTGGGCAGTGGTTGCTCTGATTCAGGACCCCTTGGCTCAGCATCTCAGCTTGATATCAATGCCCACCCAACAGCCCATGGGCTCTACTCCATTTCCCCTTGTAGCCAGGCAGGTCTGGAAGACTAGTCCGGGCCAGCAGGCTGTGAATGGAGTGACATGTGTCACCTCCAAATGAAACACAGAAGAGTGGGTGTGATTCTGACATATACCCTAACTCCCTCAGTCTCTAACAACTGCAGTGCTTTATGTGGGCAGGGCGCTTTACAGTTTGCAGAGTGGTTTACAGTTGGCAGGGCACTTTCTTCACCCTTATCTCATTTGAGCCTCCCTACAACCCTGTGCAATAAAGATGACTGTATCCTGGCTAGGCACGGTGGCTCACGACTGTAATCCCAGCACTTTGGGAGGTCGAGGTGGGTGGATCACTTGAGGTCAGGAGTTCAAGACCAGCCTGGCCAACATGGTGAAATCCTGTCTCTACTAAAAATACAAAAATTAGCATGGTGTGGTGGTATGCACCTGTAATCCCAGCTACTCGGGAGGCTGAGGCAGGCGAATTGCTTGAACCTGGGAGGCGGAGGTTGCAGTGAGCCGAGATCCCACCACTGCATTCCAGCCTGGGCAACAGAGTGAGACTCTGTCTCAAAAAAAGATTACTGTATCTTCATTTTGCAGCTGTGGCAACTGAGGCTCAGAAAGGTGAAGGGACCTGCTCCAGTTCACATGGCAACTAAGTAGCAGGAAGCTGACTCCTCACGCTTCCTTGCCTTATTTTCTTCTTTCTCTTCCCCTAGCTTACTACCTCCCCCTGCAGCCCTTAACGTACACCCAGGATCCCAAATCGCCATCTGGACTATCCAAACTTCCCAAATATCCCACATAGCCTTTGAGAGTTCTTAACCTAATGGAGGAAGCACACCCCAGACTCCAGAAGTGTAGGTACCCAGGCTGCATGCAGTGTAGGCACCTCACGGGACGTGGTGGTCAGGCTTTCTTTAGAGCTCAGCTGAAGCCGAAGGGACGGCAGAGCTGGGTGGATGGTCAGACTTTGGGGACAGGCACTGCCGAGCATCCTGCAGGTTCTCTGCAGCTGCTGCAGGCTGAGGGCCTCAGCTCTTGGCTAAGACTTCTCACGCAGGCTTAGGCTGAGTGCCGGGGCCAAGGGGGCTTCCTTGTTTGCTTTGTTCTTAAAGGATTTGCCCATTTGTAGCAGACACCGTGCCCACTTCTAAAGAGAGAGCCCAGAGCAGTGATGAGGAGAGATGCAGCCCCTGAGCCTCAATACCCAGCCAAGCCTGACTTTGCTAACACACACAGTAGGCTTTGCTGGCCTCTGTATCTTTGCCTAGGCTGTCCCTTATCATATTTTTCCCTCCCCTCTGCCCAAGGCTCACCTGTGTACAATCTGCCAGTTCCCCTCCTCACTCCAATCCCCAGCATCACTGTGAGGAATGGGGACAACAAGGACAGGGAGGTCCCCAGGTTCCCCCTGCAGGTGACACACTGCTCTTTCAGGAAGTGATATTGTCAGTGAATGTACAAAATCAATACACACAGATTTCAGCACATCCCATGAAGTTCACCTCTCAGCAGATTCTGAAAAGCTGGGTCGAAAGGGAGCCACATCAGGTGTTGTGCTGACCTCTGCCTTTTAAAGGAGGACTTAGGAGGCAAACACCCTCCCCACAGATGAGGGATTCAGTGAGGTCCTCTCCAAATGCCTGCTGTGTAGAACAGGCATTTAAAAAGCTGCTGGGCAGTTGTCAATAGCATGGCATAGTGAAAAGAGCTTTTTTTGTTGTTGTATGTTGTTCAACAAACAGAAGTGGGATTCAATCCCAGCTTTGGCGTTTCCTAGCTGTGTGACCTGGGGCCAGTTACTGAACATCTCTAAGCCTCGATTTCTTCTACCACTTCCTAGCTAGGCGAGTTACATGTCTTCTCTGAGCCATGGTTTCCTCATCTACAAGATGGGACTGACTCTACCCTCCTCATGAGCTTGTATTAAGGATCAAATGAAATATGAGCACACACCTACAGCACTGGGAATAATAAACACGAACTCCCCAGTCTTTATGATGGCCATGAATAACCTGTTCCATCCCATAAAGAATAACACCTGGTGTCTAGAATAGACACCTTCTTCAGGTCCTTTTATGTCCTTACTGTTTTTAATCCCTTTTTCCCTGGCCCACAAACTCCATCCAAACCACCAGTGAAGCTGCTTGAAAAGGTGAGAACAAAAGGGGTTGACAGCAGGCAGGAGGCCCAGTGGGCCTGGGGGAGTCTGGGCCGAGCGGCTCTTGCAACATGCCAGCCAGGCTGCCTGCTCTACAGGGACGTCCCCCAGGACTGGGGCTGAGAGATGGCTTCTTGGCCTACATGCCCTCCCGTGGGGCAGAAGCGTGGTCTGAAGTAGAAGGTGTCACACTGGGCCTCGGGTGGAGGGGAGGCCTGAGGGGACATTGTTATCTCCATGGGCCCTGGGAGGAGTGTTTTTTTTTTTTCTTTTTTGACAGAGCCTCTACCCAGGCTGGAGGGCAATGGTGTGATCTCAGCTCACTGCAACCTCTGCCTCCTGGGTTCAAGTGATTCTCCTGCCTCAGCCTCCCTAGAAGCTGGGACTACAGGCATGTACCACCACGCCCAGCTAATTTTTGTATTTTTAGTAGAGGCAGGGTTTCACCATGTTGGCCAGGCTGCTCTTGAATTCCTGACCCCAAGTGATCTGCCCGCCTTGGCCTCCCAAAGTGCTGGGATTACAGGCATGAGGCACCGCGCCCAGCCAGGAGGAGGGTTTGTTTTACTAACTGCTCATGGAGAAGGCTCACAGGAGCAGGGGTTAGAGGACCCAAGGAAGAGCTCTGTGTCTCTCTAAGCCACCCAATCCTGCACTATGTCACCAAGGGGGTGACCCCGCAGGCACCCTTCTCTGGGAGGTTCAAAGGAAAGCAGAAACAGCCATTGGCATGGATTTCAACAAGGGACAGACGGCTTCTCTCTGCAGCCCAGGGGCTCTGTGGGCTTAGCAGCCATGTGAGCAAGTCTGCTTCTGAACCCAGCCACCCTGACTCCCTGCCCACAAAACACCTCCCCGACAGCTCACTGATGACCAAGGGAAGCAACACACACAGAGACATCTTGTGGGCTGGTCTGCAGACGCCAAGTGCCTGGCCTATGCTGGCTGGTAGACTGAACCTCCTGCCCACCTTGCCACGCTGGTGGGTGGCAAAAAGGGAGGGAAAGGCCTGGCCCTCTAAGGGTCCCAGATGGGCAAGTGAGTCCACAGGGGCCTAACTTGCCCCACAAGTGACATTGTTAAGTTCTAGGCAGCAGAATTGACAGATAAAATCCTAACGCTATCCCCTTGTAGAAATTTCTGGGGCCCTCTGCTCAGCACTCCACAGGCATTACCCCCTCCAGACCTCAAGGCAGCCTTGGGAAGGGCACGCTTTCTACATTCTCATTTTACAGTTGGGGAAACTGAGGTTAAATGACCTTCAGCCCAGCTCTCTCTCCTCTCAGAAGAGACCACCAGGGGTTTGTCCTATAATGAGAGGAAGGGCTGCAGAAGAGAGCTGGGGCCAGAGTGGGCATTCTGGGGGAGGCAGCCACAGTGCCCAAATTGCATCCCTCAGCCCCGCAAAGTCACAGCATAAGCTGGAGTCACCCCTGCCTTTGGAACTGGTTAAGTATTGGCTCCCAGATGGGCTATTATTTCCTGGACTGACTGCAAACCAGGCGAGGATCCACTTATTCTCAGGAGGGTAGGATCTAGTCCCTATTATCTTCCTCATCACAGAAAGCCTGTATTCTAGGTTCCAACTCTGGGTTTTAAATTGCATCGTACCTGGGGCTCCTGGGTCAGGAAAAGGGTTGGGGTAGGGGGAGAGGTGACAAAGGAGAAAGGCTGGTGTGTTCATAGTTCTAATTTACTGATAGCAATTAGCTTCCTAAAACGGCTGACCTTTCAACCTTCTGCCTGCCTTCACTGGGGGAACTATTGACATTTAGAATCTATCTGCAGGCCAAGTGCCGCAGTGAGGGAAGCAATGTTTTTTTAATGGGGACTTGCGCCTGTGGAAGCGTTTTCCCCACCCCATGCCATTTGCATACTTTACAGGGTATAGGTCGAGCTGCATGTTAACGGGTTTGCTGGCTTTCTGGAAAAGTGAGTGCCAGTGATTATGGGAATTATTACATATGTGGTTTCCAGATGCATCTGTTGTTGCATCCTTACACCCTCTCTCTGCTCTGGAAGAAGAGGCAGAAAGAGTGGCAACTGGGATGGGGCCCAGAGCTTCACTCCCTCAGGATCTAAGCAGGTAAAAGGGTCCTTTTCCCCACCTGCCTTCTGGCCAAGAACCCACCCTTCTCCCAGAGCTGATGGCGACTTCCAATAGTCACGGCGTCTAGCCCAGCCAGGGCCTCTCTGTCTCTGTAATCTATTCATCCACTCATTTATTCATTTATTCATTCAAGCAACTAATATTTATCAAGGGCTTCTTATGGGCTGGGCACTATTCTAGGTACTGAGGATACAGTCAAGAATTAGACAAATCTAGTCTCTGCTCTCATGGAACCTACATTCCGTGTTAAAAATTTTTAAAAATATAATTGAGACAGGGTCTCACTGTGTTGCCCAGGCTAAACTACAGTGGTGTGATCATAGCTCACTGCAGCCTTCAACTCCAGGGCTCAAGCAATCCTCCTGTCTCAGCCTCCCGAGTAGCTGGAACTACAGGTGCACATCAGCACACCTGACTAGAGCCCCTACATTCTGGTGGAAAAGACAGAGGATAAACAAAAGAACTAAATGCAATACGTGGAATAGACTGTCCAATGTGGGAGAGCAATATGTAGGGAAAGGGGAAGAGGGGGCTGGGGTAGAGACCTACACTTTTAACACAGTGTCAGGAAAAGCCTCAGCAAGGACACATTTGAGCAAAGACCTGAAGCGAGCAGTGAGCCATGTGGAGGCAGAGGAAACAGCCAGTGCAAAGGCCCTGAGGTTCCTGAGAGACCTGCCATGTGCAAGGGGCAGGAGGGAGGTCAGGGAGGCTAGCAATGAGTGAGAGAGGTGGGTAAGGATCACACGGGGCCTTAGACACCCACATGGGGCTTCGGCTCTTACCCTGAGTGTGATGGGAGCCATCGGAGGCCTGGCATGACCTGACCAATGTTTTAAAAGGCCCACTCTGACAGCTGCATGGAGAGTAGCTATTGGGATTAGAGAATAGATGGAGAGCAGTTAGGAGACTCTGGCTGTAATCCAGGAAGAAGGTCATTGCAGCTCCAGGGGAGTCCACACATCTTCCCAGCCAGGGCCCACCCTGACCATCAGAAGGGTCACACATAATCCCATATGTGCCAGGGATCAGCCAAGCACTCACCCTGGGATTGCCGGGCCATTTCAGAGGCTGGCACTGCCCTCTGGGGGTTTAAAGCCTATCTTGGGGCAAGAAGATGCCTGAGTTAAAAGATAATTAGCCTTACCTGGCAGCATTTACAGAGAGCTCTTCCCAAGGGAATGACTGAGGGCATCCAGTTCAGAGGAGCATGGCTTAGGCATTTTTCTGTGACAGATATGAGCCCCAAAGGACAATCATTACAACGAACACTATGCCTCATAGCACTTGACCATACAAAGTGCTTTCACCTCCATTATTTCATGGGAGTCTCACAACAACCCCACAAGTTAGGTATTATTATTTTATTATTGTTAGTATTATTCCCTTTTTGCAGATGAAGAAACTGAGGCCTCAGCTGGGGGAGCAGAGAGGAAGTACAGGGAGTCAAGACTGGGAGATGAGTGTTGGCGGGAAGAAGGGTGGACCCTGGAGAGTCCTGGGTCTCATTGCTTCCATTTTCCATGCCAGACAAGCCCATTCAGACTAAAGAGGCTGGGATGGGAAGCAGGAAAAAAGCCAAGACTTTCAGGAAGTAGACTCTGAGACCTGGTCCACCCCAGACCTACCAGGTCAAACACCCCCTTTTCCAACAGAGAAGTCTGTCTCAACTCCATCCAGGGAAGAAAAAGCACAGAGGGAAGACAAGAGTTGGCTTATCCCAAGTCAGCTCTCTCTCAAAGGCTTCCCCCTGCCCATTCCACCAGATGAGAGCATTCCGCCCAGCCACTTCAGATTTGCCATGCCCCAGAGTTGTTAAATGAAGGTGCTGGTGGCAGCCATCCCATCTGCAGGGGCTGGAGCCTTGGGGCATGCTCGGTGGCTCCTTGGCTCTGTGTAGCTTCTGCTCTCACAGCTGACCAGGGCTTAGAACTCAGAGGGGAGGGAGGGAGGAAATGACTGGGAAGGGCTCACTGGTCGATTTCGGCATCTCTGGCACCTGTTCGTTCAGGTGCTCATTTAGACTCCAGAGAAAGCGAGTGCTGTGCAGTTTCGTGGAACTTCCTTGGGAACTTGAGCCCACATTTATAATAGATTTATAAGAACAGTGTAGACATGTTTGCTGTTTTTTCAGCCCCTCCTAAGTGATGCCATTATGGCGGCCATAACTCTTATTTACTCCATCAGCAGGCTGCTGGCAACGGCACAAAAATAGATTTGGAGAATTTATCTCATACATGCATCATGAGGAGGCAACAGAGGCGCACAGGTGAGATTTATGTGGGTAGGGGTGAGCATCCATCATCCCCACTTTCCCATTAACGCTGCTCCTCAAAGAGAGGCATTAGCCTTCTTAATCAGAGCAAAGTAATTGTTTAAACTTCCTCCCTGCAACGGGCTCATCACTCCTCATTGCTCTCCAGGTGGGGCTGTGCTGGGGGTGGGGGGCAAGGTGTTTGCTTTCAGAGAACAGCAGGATGGATGGTAAATGATGATGGTGAGATGATGGCCCAGCCGTCCTTGTTACTTCCCCTGTTACTCTGGTATGGGCCACAGTCAAGGAGCTCCACAGAAGGGATGCCTGGGTGTTTGGGAAGAGGTCTGTTTGTTTTATGACTTGAAAGAGCTCTCAAAAGCACATAGAGGTTCTTGTCTCCAAATTCACCAGCCTCAATCCTGATCCACATCCTGGGCTGCGCTGTGACTCCATTTCAACTTGAAACGACTTTTCCCCTGTCTATTCCAGGCCTGCCTGTTCTTCAAAGCCCAGATCAAATCATGCCTCCTTCTCGATGCTTTCCCCAACTGCTAGCAGAGAGGGCTAGGAGAAGCTACTCTAAGCCGAGAGAAAGATGATAATGGGCCAACTCCCGAAACTACCATCATCCAGGCCTCCCCTCAGTGGCTGTGAGGCTGCACTAGGGGGCTTCTAGGAACCTTCTGAGGCCCTCCCATCTTTGAACAACTAAACCATGTTAGAAGGTTCTCAACTCTGGCTACGTATTGAAATTCCCAGGGAGCTTTTAAAAAATACCAAAGCTTAGCCCCACCCTTGACCAAAGAAATTAGAATCTCTGGCGAATTGGGCATCAGTATTTTTAATGCCCAGGTGCTTCTAATATGCAGCCAGAGTGGGAAGAATCAACTTAGGATCTTGATGACCCAGTTTATAATGACTATGGTAAATGCCAAATGGATGGATGCATGGGTTGATGGGCAGATGAATGGACAAGTGGACAGGTACATGGATGGATAGATGGATGGATGCATGAGTGGCAGGGTGGATGGGTAGGTTGGTGGGTGAATGGGTGGGTGGGCCAGTGAATGTATGGATAATAAATGGATACTTCCTTGTAATTGTTCACTACTTTCACTGGATTAACTTTGCCTTCTCATTGAGCTTCCTTAAGGCAATGATTTTTCATATCCTTTGTGTTTTCCACAATGCTTAGCATAGAGCCAGATATAAGTATGCGAAGGAGTACTAACATCCTTGCCTGTTAAAAACACTAGACGAGGAGATGGGGACTTAAATATTACATCTTCATTGATTGTGACTTTAGTTCAATTAACCTGCTTTAGATTTCTCATGCTGTTAGTAACAACATGGCAGGGTCAAGTGGCTCAGATAATTTTGAAATGTAGTATACATAGGGGAATGGGGTTATCATTATTATCATTATCATTATTTAGTTCCCCAACCCAACAGCAGTTTTCCCAATCTCCCTTACATTGCTGGTAATCAGCAGCCATCCTGCCTTCTGTGATGTTTTAGTTGCCACCCTCAGGGCCCAGACCCCTGCTCATGGAGACATGGCCCAGACACTCTGGGAACCCTTGAAACCTAACACTAATCCTCTCCATTCCCAGCCAGGGCCAGGACTCAGCTCCCCCTCCCCTGGCACCAATTTTTTTTTTTTTTTTTTTTTTTTTTTTTTGAGACAAGGTCTCACTCTGTTGCTCAGGCTGGAGTGCAGTGGTGTGATCATGGTTCACTGCAGCCTCAACCTCCCTGGGCTCAGGTGATCCTCCTACCTTAGCCTCCCAAATAGCTGGGACTACAGGCATGCACCACCATGCCTGGCTAATTTTTGTAGAGTCAGGGTTTTGCCATGTTGCCCAGGCTGTTGGTCTTGAACTCCTGAGCTCAAGCAATCTGCCCAGCTCAGCCTCCCAAAGTGCTGGGATTATAGATTTGAGCCACCATGCCCGGCCTCCCTGACCCCTTTGATCTCCACTGGAGGCCTTAGCCTTTCTTTTGCCAGTTCTCCCCTCCTGGCTGGCATCCTTGCCCTCTTGGGTCCCCAGTTCCCAGCTCTGCTCAGTTCCCTGAAGCCTTCCTGGCAGGGCTGCCTGGCCCAGCCCCTGTCTCCTAAGTGCCTGCCTGGTTGCGTTGATGCAGCAGCTCCTAGCCAGCTGCTCTCCACTGGCTGGCAGTCCACCCTGTACTCTAGCCAACCATGTGAAACACAAAAGCGATCAGGTCCCCTCTTGGTTTAAAATTCTCTGCAGGCTCCTCCATGAGGGCCTCTCACAGCCTGATCCTAACAGGTCCCTCCAGAGTCAACTCCAGCCCCTCATCTCCACCTGCCCCCACAGACTCTCCAACATTCCCAGACTACCTGGGCCCTTTCCCAACTCCTGGCCTTTGAATGTGCTGCTCCCACTGCCTAGAATGTCCCTTCCCCACTCTGGCTTCTTCACTTGGCAAACTCTAACTCGGTCTTTAAAAATCACCTCCAGGGGTGTCTGGATGAAGATTTCCTCCATTGGCCTGGGCAGAGTGAGCGGCCTGGAAAATGGAGTGAGCACACATGTTGAACACTTGGGCTGCAGAGGTATTCTTTTAAAAGTATCACAAGAAAGGCCAGATAATGGAATTAGGGCCTTACTCTACTATATAAAGTCTTCATTTTAAACACACAGTCATTGAGAGGTGCTCTTAAATAGGGAACTACCTTGGGAAATTTGATGCAGTCCTCAAACTTGAGGAAAAGGCAGGGTTATGAGGGTGGTAAAGGGAAGATTAAAGGTGGAAACGAAGGAAAGAGAGGGAGGGATAGTAAAGAGAAGAGAAAAGGATGAAATACAAAAGGGAAGAAGGGAATAGTCCAGAAAGTATATGTCTACATCTCAAGATTATAAAAGAGGCTATTCTCTAGAAGCCGGCAGTAAATTAGATGCTATTATTGGTGTAGACATGGAATCTGGAAAAGTGAGTACAGACTTAGAATCTGGGTGACTGGGTAGCCATCCCTCCTGTATTGAACCACACAAGAAAGACTAACCAAGTTAGCTCTTGATAAAATACACCCACAATTCCACCGGCAAGTGCTCACTGCCCTTAGACAAGATTCGTGGTCAAACTGTACCGGTTTAGCTCTGATAAGGCTGCACACTACTGAACCTTTAGATTATTTTACGAGATGTAATGCATAAATACTCTGGGCCATTGGCACTAAGGATTCAGTAAAACTATCGAGATTCGTAGGCCCAGGATAAAGCTCATATAAAGTTCGTGTTCTTTAGCTAATGCAGCTTTCAATTATGCTCACCCATTTTACACTGTAAAAGATGTAATTTAATCAAACATTTAATTTGCAAGTGTTTTTCTTCGTAAATGTCATGTACAAGGAGATATTCAGACGTGATCCACAACATAATTGCACGAGGGTGCCTCGTTCGGTAGCGTGTGTTTGTGCTGGTGTGTCAGAATCGGGGGGACAGAAACAGCCTCTTTGGTTCTATGTATTTCTTTTCTCATTTCAGAGCATAGAGCATTTGGAAAACAAACCAGCTGCTATTTATAATGTTTGGTAACATTCGGGACTCAACACAGTTTTCACGTAAAGATCTTGCCTGTGACACAAGCTCTGTGATTCAAGAACCAAGTAAATGGAAGGGACCAACTTGTTGTTCAGTTACTAGTTATTAAATCACAATGGTGGGAAGCCTCACGCGGCCGCACTGCTTAGGTTTTACATACAGAACAACCTCAACATGATTCGGGAGGCTCTGCAGTTGAGGGGTGGTGGTGGTTTCCATCTCTCTCGTAGAGACTGGCCAGGATAAAAAAGAAGCCCCGAATTCCAGAGTCAGGAGAATGGGCTTTCTGACCATTAGTATGACACTGGATGGAAGGCTTCGGGAAAGCATGGAGGCAAATGGCTCTGGTAGGGTGATCCAGGCCCTTAGTAATTGAAATATGGTCCTAAACCAGCAGCAGCAGCACCATATGTGAGCGTGTTAGAAATGCAGAGTGTCAGGCTCCACATTTCACCCCCTTCCCCAGCTACTATTGGGAATCTGTACTTTAACGAGGCTCCCAGGTGACTGATGGGTGCATTCCAGTGGGAGAAGTGCTGGTCTAGTTAATGCCTTACCCAATCCTTCCAATCACTGGAAGCATCTGACCCATTTGATTTCTTGCTGTTCTGGGCCTGGAGAGAAGAGGGAGGGGCTGTAGAGGGGGCAGGGTGTGGGGTGGTAAAAAGGAGCAGGACTTAACCTTCTGAGCCTCATTTTACCCTTGTAAAACAGGAGATCAAAATAGGAGCCCCAGTCAGCATTGTTGTGAGGATTATAAACAAGATAATGTAGATATAGTGCTCAGCCCTGCACCTGATATAGTAGGTACTTAATAGCTATTGATTCCCTACCCACATGAGCCCGACATGTGGACAGTCATGCAAGCAAGAACCTTAGCCTGCCCCCGATCTTCAGCATTGGGCCTACAACTCGTAATTCAGGCAAGGACATCTTCGTCTTTTGAGAAGAAAGGAAACAAAAGCCAGAGAAGAATGCAGGGCCCTCTCAGTGGTATGAGGCTATAAGCACCAATAACATAGAAAGGTAAGCTCAACAATGAGACCTCACCTACCCAGAAGGGGATAGAGTGAAGAACTGGTCTAGCCCTTAGGAGGCTGGAGCTCAAGACTTGACTCAGCCAGGAACTTGCTGTGTGACCTTGGGCCTCAGTTTCCCCCACTGGGAAACTGACAGCGTCGGATTCATCACCTCCAAGGTCCCCCTTCACCCTGTCATTCTCTGATTTTGCTTAGGGATGCCAGGAGCAGCTTTCGCCAAGCTGCATGTGGACTTTTCTCACTGGGAAAATTAATTCAGTCCTCAATGTTGCAGTCTATAAATTACTGGCCAATCTGTTTCAGAAATATTAAAGGAGCATTTATAAATTGCCCCTTCCATTCAATGCTGCAAAATAAAGATTTTGGGCCCTTCAGATGTTTATCTTACTTAAAACCACAGCAGGAATCAATCTCCCCCAGCCTTCATGGGAGAGAACATCATTTCAGGGGGTGGTGGGGAGGATGTGTCAGGCTGACTCTCCCTTCCCATTCCCCCAACTCCCTGCTCCTGAGAATTCACATTCCAAAATTCAAACTGGAGGCTTTCGGTGAAGCAAAACGAGGGTAGGGCGTCGGGGAGGTTGGCTGGTGGCAGGCAGCTTGGGCTGGGAAGATTCCCCTGAGCAGCGCTTGAAGGGCAGAGGGCAGTGGTGCTGGCTCAGAGACCCTAAGATCAGGGCTGAAGAAGTTAAGCTGTCTTTTGTAGTAATTGATTTTGACAGTGTAACAAGTTAATTCGTCACTGTTTTGCAACTTCCTTGAGAATGCATTGGTAAGCAGCATCCCGTAGGATACCTTGTAATCACTTGTAAACTCAAATTAGGTCTCCCAGTTAAATATTGTTGATATCAGGTAGAGCTGGGCTGCTACAATGACTACAAATGTGCTGATTTCACCTTTTCTATTACGTCAAGGACATGTTCTGGCTAAAAGTGATGCAAGCAGATGAAGGCTGTTATAGGCACCTAATTAGGGTCATCATACTAACTGGAAATACCTTTATAGGAGGGGTGGAAAGGTGGACCAGGTCCCCTACCCTTTAAATACACACTTATTCTCCTATTATTATGATTATGTTTAGGCTCACTGACATTTCATCATAAAAAAGGAAACAAACTAGGATTCAAAAGATCTGTTCAGGGCCCAGCTCTTAAGTAGAATTAATACCTGAACGAAAACCCCCTTTCAGCAGGGTCTTCTCAATACTTTATTGTAATAGTTTATCAGGAACAGTTATTTTAATGCCAGGCCATAAAGATGAAATCAAGCAGTAGCTTTATTTCCCAGGAGTTAACTATTAATTGCCACACAAAAAGAATTTAGAAATGACATGGGGAACAAATATTCCAGCTTCCTGCAAAGTGAAAAGAATTCTTTAATATTAGCATCTCCACAATAGGGTGCACACTGAGGCTTAATTAAAATGCACAATTGTTCTCTGATGTTTTTTATTCTTGGTGGTTTCAATGAGATGGGCTCACAGATGGAAGCCGGGGCCATATCCCTGCAAGATGGGCTGACAGCTCTTGATAAAGCACCACCTCTCAGCCATATAACAGGGCAACGGCAGTAAATGGATAATATCAGAATACAGGCTGTGCGGAAGGCAAATGCAACTTTACCTAAGAGCCTTAAAATGTTTTAACTACCATTTCCATCAAGCCTGGAAGTTTGAAATGCGGCACTAACACACTTCTTCAAGAAGCTGTTTTCTTTCCACCCCCAGAACTAATAAATCCAAAAGGCCTACTTAGGCTAAGACAAGCCAGGAGCTGAGGAGGCAGTTTCAGGAGCTGTTAATAACATCTCTCCAAGGGGTTGAGAGACAGCTTTGGGCTGGGCCCCGGAGCACCCCAATACAGTCAGGCAGAGACAGATCTGGGGAACAGGTTTCAGGGCTGAGGCATCCCAGTTATGTACTTCCCCCAGATTCCCCCTCCACAGGTCTAGAGGCTCTGAGGAAGGGATAAAGTTGCCTCTGGGTGCCTCAGTCATTCTCTCTCTGTAGGGAGGCATCAGGGGTCACTTCATGCTATCCTCCCTCTTCGGGGTGGCCCTATTCCAGTGCATCCTGCTCCCTACCAGGAAGGAGGAGGAGGAGGTGGTGATGCCTCCTTTGATGACATGCAATGCTGTTATTTAGCTGATACACTTTGAGATGTCTGTCCCAGTCATGAAAATCCTGAAATATCTCCATATTAGCTGATAAAGAACCATTTCCCCAAGCCCTGTAGTGCCCTGAGTCTCCCCATTACCCCAGACCACCTCAGCCCCTTCACTGGGACCTCCCCATCCAGGACTCCCAACCACTCGGCAATTAAAGGGTTGATCCTTCCCCTGCTAGGAGTCTGGGGGTGAGTAGGTCAGGGCCCCGTCATCAAACCCCAGTGACTGTTGAATATTTGGAACATCCCCCCTAGTTACCCTGGAGGAGCCTGCTCCAGATTTGGCTCCATTTAGAAACCATTGCTCTAACCTTAACTCACATGGAGGACCAATGGGAGGGTGTGGCTTAGTGGCACAGCCGGGGAGAACCCAGCCCAGAGCTGTTCCCTCCCCCGCGCCATCCTCACCACGAGGAAGTTCTCCACTAGCTCTAACCTAAGTCTTTGTTGCACTTTCTCTGGCTCAGTCCTGCCAGGCTCATTAGAGCCCCGCTACCCCTTCTCCCAGCCCATAGCATTCCTGCAGAAGAGGAAAGGCGCCCTGCTCAGCAGGTCCTCATTCGGCTAATTGGGTTTTAATGGTCCTAGGCAGAGGAACAGGGGCTCATCGGCTGCCATATTTGCCCCACAGTCCAAGTGGGGATGTCAGGAAAAGTGGGGTGTGTGGCTTAATGAGCAACACCTGCAGCCCTCATTACCCATGTGCTTTTGACTCAGCAAAACTCCCAGCCCTCCCGCCCCTGCCCAGTCCCAGAGACCCCCCACAGCGCTAGCCAACCAGTTGCCCCAGGTTCTTAAATTCAGAGAAATATGAACTGTGCTGGCTGAGGAGTGGAGAGGGTGAGCAGAGGGAGAGATCCAGTGATCCCCATTTGTCAGGGCCAGAAGAGGACCAGAACGTCCCAGAACCCCAGGGACTCCCCTGCCCACTCTACCTACGGTAGAACTGCTCCTTCTAGAAGAAGCCCGGCTCCCAGGCAGGGAGCTAACATGCTGATTTATTTACCTAATTATAGTAAAACAAACAAGCTGGAAACTAAGGCAAATCTGCTATCTTGCTCGAAAAACAACCACACCTCCTTGGCCAGGGTTCCTGGGAAGGTTGGGCAGCACAGAAGGACAGGGAAGTGTCTGAGGGGGAACCTGGGAAGGGACAGGTCAGGCAGTGGGTGGGGGAGCATTAGGATTGTGGGATGGGGGCAGGCGGGGAACCAAGGGACAAGAGAGACAGAGGGATGGACAGCAGAGGGATGAAGGATGGGGCAACAAAGAGATGAGTGACTAGGAGATGGGGCCCGGGACCGGAGATACTGTGAAAGGGGAGTGGGGTTGACGGCTAAGGAGTCAGAGGGATGGGGATGGAGGGGGAAAGAGAAGGCAGGGAGGTGGAGGACAGAGAGACAGAGACACGGCAAAAGCTGCCCCAGAAGTGGTGGCAGAAGGAAGAGATGGAGCAAGCACCAAAGCCTCAGGTCAGAAAATCCAAATCCAATAAAATCCCAAACTCCTTTCCATGCCCTTGAGACCCCCAAGCCAAACACAGTCTCTCCCCTTGCAGAACTAGCTCAGTACCCAGCTACTGCTGCTCTAAGCTGCTGCCCACCATTGAATGACACTGCACGCTCCATCCAGCCTCCACGCCTTTGCGCAGAAGCCTCCGAGGGATGTAGCCTTCTCCTCTCTGCAGTACCTGTTGGAACTGTCTTCCTCCTTCATCCATGTCAAAGGCCACATCCTCTGTGAAGTGTACCCTCCAGGCAAATGACCCTCTGTCCTCTGGGACCCCCCAAGGCACTTGGCCCCCCCGCCATGGCTTCAGCCTTGGATGTTGGTTAACCTGGTGTGTCTGTCCCTCTCTCTAGACTGTGAGCTCCTGAGGAGAGACCACATCTGTTCATCCCGTGTCCTCGCAGCACCTACAGCACTAAGTGAGCAGGAAAGATCTGTGCAGTTGAACTGATTGTGGACAGAGATCTAGGAATATGAGAGGAAAACTGACAACAGATGTGAGGATATGACAGTCTAAAGGGACGGAAACAGAGACCCTCATGAGGCCTAGCCTCTGTGGCTTGAAGCAGTCTGGGCAAACCCACCTGCTGTGCCCAGGACCCATGGCGTTGGCTCCTAGCCCTCCTGAGGACGCCTAGGGCTGGAATGGGGACTGGAGGGGCAGGGATTCCCCAGCTAGGGCCAGGGTAGCAGTGAAGATGGGGAGCCCAGTTAGGAGGAGGAGCTGGTTACAGAGACCTGGGCCTCAGGAAGGATTAAAACAATGTGACTCCCAGGCGCCTCACTGAAACGTGGTGACTGAAGGCTGTCACCTCAAAACCTGGGGACCTTTTGGATCAGGGCCAAGGGGTAAGTCCCGACTCTGATCAGAGGACCAGGGAGAGTGGAGCTGCCCCACCCTGACTTCACAGAGCAGGGGCTGAGGCCCAGGGAGTGCAGGCAGTCCAGGGAGTTACTGCAGGCCGTCCCAGGCATTCTGGCCAGGGCAGTTTTCCCACCTCACTGTCCCCTTCTCCTAACATGGGGCTGGAAAGGCTTGACCCCCACACGTCAGACTTAGCCTCCTTTACTTGTTCACTTCCATTTCTCTTGAGTGTGGGGCATGGCTCCAGGCATGGGGAGATGCTGGAGGAGGCAAGAGGAGGCCCCACAGCTGGCTGACAGCTACAGCAGAGACAGAAGGCAAACTCATGACCTACTCAATAAGATGATCACAGATTGTCATCAACGTCTGGCTGGTGATTAGGGGCACAGTGCCTAGGGTAGGGGGTGCTAGAACCTCTTTTTTTGAGCCTTTTTTTTTTTTGAGGCAGGGTCTTGCTCTGTCACCCAGGCTGGGGTGCAGTGGTACAATCATAGCTCACTGTGGCCTCAAATTTCTGGGCTCAAAAAATCCTCCCGCTTTGGCCTCCCAAGTAACTGGGACTATGGGCATGCACCAGCACACCCAGCTAATTTTTTAATTGTTTTGTAGAAACAGGGTCTCCCTATGTGGCCCAGGTTGATAATCAAACTCCTGGGCTCAAGTGATCCTCCTGCTTCAGCTTAAGTAGCTGGTACTATAGGTGCACACCACCACACTTGGCTAATTTAAAATTTTTTTGTAGAGACAGTCTTGCCCAGGCTGGTCTTGAACTTCTAGGCTCAAGTGATGCTCCTGCCTTGGCCTCCCAAAAGTGCTGGGATTACAGGTGTGAGCCACTGAGCTGGCTTGCAGCCTCTTTTTGGTCAGGTGATCTGGGAAGGCCTCTCTGGGAAGGTGACATCTGATATATGAGCAATCAAATGTCACCTCTGCAAAGAGCAGGAGGAAGCTCTTTCCAGGCACAGAGAGCAGCAAGCAAAGGCCCACAGGCTAGGGTGGCCCCCATGTTTGTCCCCTCCCATCTTGAGTATGGGCTGAACTTATAACTTGTTTCTAACTAATAGAATATGGCAAAGATGATGGGCTGTCCCATGTTAGGATATGAGGAAAGCTTTATTTTGCTAGCATGCACTAGAAAGACTTTTGTCCCTTACTAGCTAGAAGTTGCCACGTTGTAAAAGGCCAGTGGAGATGGCCACATGGCAGAGAACTGTGGGCAGCCTCTAGGAGTTGAGTGTAGCTCCTGACTGACAGCCTGCAGGAGGATGGGGCCCCAGTCTTATGGCTACAGTGAGATAAATTCTGCCAACAACCAGAGGGACCTTGGAAACAGATCTTCCCCAGTCAATCCTCTGATGAGACTGCAGCCCACCGACACCTTGGTTGTAACCTTGTGAGACACTGAGCAGAGGAGCCAGTTAAGCTGTGCCCAAACTCCTGACCCACAGAAATTATGAGATAATAAATGTGGGTATTTTATGCTACTAAATATGTGGGAGTTCTTTCTACAGCAATAGAAAGCTAATAAGGTGACATAGTGAGCTTTGTAGATATTTGGGGGAAGACAATAATTGCAGGTAGAAGACACAGCCAGTGCCAAAGGCCCTAAGGCAGGAAAGGAACCCTATGGAGGTCAGCATAGCTGGAGCAGGTGTGCAAGGGAGCAATTATAGGAGATGAGGTTGAGTGGCATGATTGAGTGACATGGAAGATTGTTTTTATTTGTGAAAGTGATAGACATTTTTGTTAAACCATCCCTTTAAATTATGGAAAAGAGTGTTTTCAGATGTGAGTTTTAAAAATACGATCTACAAAAACATCTAGGTCAGGTATGTGTATTCTGAGGAGCTAAGATGTCACTGAACCATAGAGTGTTAAAAAGGCATATTTTCACTGCTGTGAAATTTCTCTTTTATTCAAATGCTAACAAGTTACATAATTTCAAACAAATGGCTTTGCACCTAGACAAATTGATACTTTTATTTGAAAACACTCCAGGACAGGCTTGAAGCTTTAAATATCATTTCTAAGTGGCCCCTGGAGGCTTTTGAGCAGAAGAGGGATGTGATCTGACTCATGTTTTAGAGTTCACACTGGTTGCTGGGTAGAGAATGAGATGGATGGGGCAAGGTCAGATGCAGGGAGCCCAGATGAGAGGCAGTTACACTAGTCTTGGTGAGCAATGAGAGAACTTGCCAGGGGTCCCTCCCAACTAATCAGCCCTAGCTCCATTTCTGATGGGCCCCTGGGGTGGCCTGGAAAGCCTGGGGAAGTGATACAGCCTGGCCTTCATTCTTGGGCAGCAGAAATTCCAGGCCATAGTTCCAGCCCCAAACCATGCTGCAGGAGCACCTACTGAGTGTGTGCACGGCCTCTCCCCACAAGTCTTCATTGTAAGTCTTTCTGCCTGGGTACAAGGGCCCCAAGTGGGGCTTAGGAGAGACAGACCCCAAACTATTTTCAGGGAGCCTTTCTTGATTAACCCCCGAAATTTGGAGTATTTCTTAGCCTGCAAGCTCTCTACACTTGGGAGTTCTCCATTAAATTTGCATCAGTCAGATTAAAATCTGTGGAGGAAAGGGATAAAGGGAAGAAAACAAATATTTGTTAAGAACCCACTCTTTGTCAGACATTGCTGGGAGCATGTACTTCTTAAGTGAAGCTTGTGATTGGGTATGACTATCCTTACTTTTTTCTAATGAGGAAACAATCTCAGAAAAGTCACATTATAGGTTCAAGGTTGCACAGAAACTGTCAACTCTGCAGGTGGGATGTGAACCCAGTCTGTCTAACTCCAAAGCCCATGTTCAGAACCTATCACCACACCTGCCACCTAGCACGTTGATGAAACGCCATAGCAACAAAACAAAATACTGGCTGGGCGCAGTGGCTCACACCTGTAATCCCAGCACTTGGAGGCTAAGGAAGGCAGATCACTTGAGGTCAGGAGTTCGAGATCAGATTGGCCAACATGGCAAAACCCCATCTCTACTAAAAACACAGAAAATGAGCTGGGTGTGGTGGCGCACGTGTGTAATCCCAGTTACTCTGTAGGCTGAGGCAGGAGAATCACTTGAACCCAGGAGGTGGAGGTTACAGTGAGCCGAGATTGCACCACTGCACTCCAGCCTGGGCAACAGAGCAAGACTCTGTTTGAAAAAAAGAAGGAAAGAAAACGCTGTATCAAACAACTTCAAATCCCATTAAATAACACATTTTCCCCAGGTAATACTCACTACAACAGAATTTCAGGACAATTAATGAATTAGGGCCATCTCTTGGAAGGGTAGGGGTTTGTGAGATGATTTTTTCTTCTCTTTTTGAGATGGAGTTTCACTCTTGTTGCCCAGGCTGGAGTGCAATGGTGTGATCTCAGCTCACTGCAGCCGCCAACTCCCGGATTCAAGCGATTTTCCTGCCTCAGCCTCCCAAGTAGCTAGGATTACAGGCATGTACCACCATCCCGGCTAATTTTGTATTTTTTTTCTTTTTTTTTAGTAGAGACTGGGTTTCTCCATGTTGGTCAGGCTGGTCTTGACCTCCCAACCTCAGGTGATCCACCAGCCTTGGCCTCTCAAAGTGCTGGGATTACAGGCATGAGCCACCACTCCCGGCCTTGTGAGATGATTTTTATATGGTTTTTTAAGTGCTATTGTTCCATCATCTTATAGACAGGGTCTAGATTCCTCCATCAGGCTGGGAGCACTGTGAGTCAGAGCCTGGAGCTCCCACCCCAACCTGGGAGTGTCTGGAAGGCACCAGGTCTCCTTCTAAGCCCTCTTCCTCCTGGTCCATGCAGTGCCATGCCAATAAGCCCTGATTCACTGGCCCTTGTGTCCATAGAGACCCAGCAGGTTTTAAAAGCACAGTCACAGCTCAGAGGCAAGAGGGGAAGCAAATGCTGCCACGGGTGGGGCAGGAGGGGGATGCACCCATTGTCAGAGCACACGTCCCTAACATCCCACCAGAGCACCTAATATTCTTTGGCAGTTATCAGAAATAGGATGGAAAAATGAAACTTTGCAGCATACACAATAAGCTAGGAAATGATGGAACATAAACCAGGAGTCTATTTATTCTATGATGGTGAAAAAAAAAAAAAAGATCCAGTTTATCTCCAGGAGCAAATAAAAAACAAAGGGGAAAATGGCAAGTGTCAACTCCTGGTAAACCTCCTGTGGCCAAGTTAGATGGGATGCCACCCCCTGCACTTTTGTGTCCTTTGCTCTGCATGTCTGGATCTGAGGGTCCACTGCACTGGGGTCCGCACTGGTTGGGGGATGGGCTAACTCACTTCCAAGTAGCGTTTCCCTTGTGGAGACTCAGACCAGCTCCCTTAAAAGACACAGCCCACAGCCGTGGTCCTTGGGCAGGTGGGGGTGGGTACTGAGGTGCCCTTGAAGTCCCATTGCTCAGCAAACATTTCCTGCGTCCAAGAGGACACTGCCGAGTGTGGCTTAATGGCCTCCTGCGGCTCTTTGCATTATTGATTGCAATACCTGCTTAGAGGCTTGAAAATGAGATTTTTTCCCCCTATTGATTTTCCTGTCTTTTCCACTTGGCAAACATCAAGATCTCCCCTGACTTTCCACTGTGGAGGGTATTTAAGGAGGGCCCGGCGAAGTGGGGGAGCAGTGGGGTTTCCCTCACCTTCCAGGGAACTTGGACAGTGTCCACCCAGGTCTCCTGGCACAGAGGGGCTGGGGCCTGGGGTGAGGGCTGTGCCTTGGTGGTGGGAGGACAGTTTGTCCTTGTGTTCTTGCAGAGGCACCCCAAGTTAACAGGATTTGAGACCTGAAAAAGCCATTTCATCCATCTCCCAGTTCATATGGCTCTGAACAGGGACCCAAATGGACAGCAAATTTGAAGGAAAGGCATTGGATAGCTCTGTGGGTTTGGCCTCCCTAAGAACTTCCCAAATGCCGGAAGAGGAAGCCTGACACGTGAAGCTTCTGCCAGCTCAGGAACAAGATCATGAGCAGGGTGCCAGGACATTTCCCTGAGGGCAGCAGCAGGGTAGGCAAGAGGAGGCCGAGAGACGCCAGGGGCTCAGGGTCAGGGGAGCATGGCTCTTAGGGTCCCAGCACAAACACCAGAGCCCCCCAGTTGGTTGCTGACCTCCCTCCCCACCACCTCCCCACTGTTGGCATGCTGGGATCCATCTAAGGCAGTGTTTCTCTAGAATTGCTGGAAGCCCAGGGGGAATCTATAGGAATTTAAAATTTTTATGTGGCTATTTCAATGATAATTTTAAAAACAACAAACATCAGCATGTTGTGCAAAACCTGGAAGACCACATTATAACCGAGCACCAAGCTGTCCTCCCTGGCTGCCCGCCCTGGGTCCAAGTGGCCTGCGTCCAAGTGGAGACCCTGCTCACTACAGGTCTGTCTGAAATGCACCTGCTGCACTGTGGTCACACCAAGCTCCACGGCTGCGAGTCCCTGCCATCTCCTTGCCACACCCCTAGGGGGGCTGGGAGGTCTCTGGATGCCAGCCAGAGGGCTGAGCCTGCCTCCTTAATGCACCTCCCTGATCAGCCCACCGGGCTGAGGCTTGGAGTCATCCCAAAAATCAAGCCCCACAAAAACAAACCATTGTGTTTCCATTTTGCTGCAGGGAGGGTGGGGTCAGATGATGCTCTGTGGCCCCAGCAATCAGGAGAGAGAGAGACCCCCAGAAAGGAGAGGCACCATCTGCCTGTCACCCACAATTGATTCCAGTTCTCCTCCGTGTGAGGGTGGAGCGTGGTCACAGGGGGAGCTAATCTGCCTGCGCCCAGCTGCACCACCTTGCTATCTCTCTGGGCTTCGGTTTTCTCATCTGTAAAATGGGGATCATATTCATCCCTAACTCATAGGTTTGATATGAGGATTCAATGAGTTAATACAGATAAAGTGCTTAGAACGGTGTCTGGTGCATCACAAGTGCAGGATGAATGAAAGCTATTACTTACACAATGAACTAGATGGATTTATGAAGCTTTGCCCAGGTCTAATGTTTGATGACACCTCAGATCCAGTCTCGGGCCTAATGTTTGACTAAATCCCTGTACGTTACTACTGCAGTTATTATTACCCACACGGTGGTCACCAACAGTAATGATGCCTAGTACCTCAGTAAAATGCATTCCTATCCACTGTCTACATCTGTCACCTTATTAGAGCCTCAGGACAGCCCTGAAAAATCAACATTACTGTTTCCACTTTACAGATGGAGAAAATGAGGCCCACAGCAATTACAGGACTTGCTGGAGGCCTTAAAGCTGTTTTTGGATCATAAAATGGACCAGAATCCAGCTCTCCTGCTGCAGCCCCACGTTCTTTCCCGGCAGCATCCTACCTGTGGCAGGTGGGACCCTTTGCCTTTGGCCAACCAGACCTACAACACCTGAGCCCTGGGAAGCTCCTTTTCTGCTCACTGAGGCTCCCACTGTAGGGAGGAATGACATCAAATAGCCTTTTATGGCTCCCATAAGCACGCTAACAAATGTCTTGCTAGCAGCAGTGGCTGGAAGCAGATTAATGTCTCTGTGGCCCTAACACTTCTCCAGCCCCCTTTGCCTGTCAGGTCATTACTGGCTGGTTTATAGTCATGAGGCCCTTTTCCAGTTCGCTAAATGGTTTGCATGATAAAGAGACAGCAGGGCTAAGCATTCCAAGCTCCTTTCCTCTGGTGTTGCTGGCAAGGACTTAACGCCTCGCTTCAGGGCAGTTAGGAGCATGGGTTCTGGAGTAAAAATGACGATGCCACCACTTACTAGCTGTGTGGCCTGAAGCCAAATGCTTCACTTTGCTGAGCCTCAGTTTTCTCATCAGTAAAATGGGAGTAATAATAGTTTTTAAGGGTTGTTGAGGATCAAGTAAGCTAGTTCATGGAAAAATAAAAACCCCTGGTATTAATATATAGTTAGCAGTCAGCCCATATTAACTCTTATTATCATTATTCCTTATAAGCTGTGAGCCCCAATAGGGCAGGGATCCTGTCCTGTGCACTGCCTGGTGCATAGTAGGTACCTGATATATAAATGTTTTATGAGCAAATGAAGAATGGGAATTTGGAGCTGGATATAGATACAGGGTTTCTCTGTAGTGGCACTACTGACATTTGAAGTGGGATAACCCTTGTGTGGGCTGTCCTGCACGCTGTAGGATGTCTAGCAGCAACCCTGGCTACGACCCACCACATACCAATCGTGCTCTTTCTCCACAACTGTGACAACCAAAAATATCTCCAGACATTGCCAAATGTCCCCTGGCATTAAAAACCATTGATCTAGTGAAATCTAGTACCTAATTTGAAAAATGAGAAAGTTGAGGCCCAGAGAAAGTAAGTGACTTGCCTGAAATCACAAAGCAAGTTAGTGGCAGAGCTGGGATTCAACCCCAGGGGTCCCAATTCTAAGCCAGTGCTCTTTCCACCTGGCCCTTGTCTTTCATGGCCCACTGTCCAAGCCTCTTCCATCAGGCCATTGTCATGGGTTCCAGAATGGAAGAGGCTGGTTGCTGCTGCTCTGTTCTTCAGGTGACTGAATCAGGGGAGGTCATACTGAAATGAGGGTGCTGGTCATGGGGGAGAGTGGGTAGCCAGCTGTGCAAAGTCCCCTACCCTAGTGACAATGCATGAGGCACAACAAACTCTGTGGTAATGAGGCACAATGTATGGGTGAAAAACAGTGTCTGCCTGCTCTTGGGTGCCCCTCACTCACAAATTCACTCATCAAACATGGGCCCCTACTACAAGCCAGGGACACAGCGGTGAGACACCAGGGAGTGGCAGTGTGCTTGGTCACTGGGTGCTCCTGGGTCAGACAGTCTGGACTGAGTCCTGCATCTCATGGCTCCTTACCCTCTCTCAGCCTCAGCTTCTGCATCTGCAAAATGGGAATGATAATGGTATCCAGTAGGATGGTGCAAAAGTAATTGCAGTTTTGCCATTAAAAGTAATTGCAAAAAAGTACTTAGAGACCACAAGGGCAAATATCCCTTACCGTCCAAGTCTGTTTGGTCCTGAGCTCAGAAAGAAGGAAGGAAGTCGTCACAGTGAATGATTAATCCGAAACTTTATATGTGATGCTTTTCTCTTTCTGAATTTGAATTACCAAGGGTTTGGATGGGCAGGTGCCCGTACCTGCCATGAAGCAAGGAATAGGAATTTGCCATGAGGATTAAATGAGTAAACCAGCATGGACTGAATACTTTGTCAAGGCACCGTCTAAGTGCTTTACATGTAACACCTTATCTAACCCAGACAGAACCCCTGTAAAGAAGGTACTGTTAGCTCCATTTTATAAAAGGAGAGATTGAGGTAAAGAAGGTCATATTACTTGGCCCAAGGTCCCACAGTCGGGACCATGGTGATGCTGGGATAGGACCATCCTGCCTCCAGAACCTGTGCTCTTAACTGCCACAGAGTCAGCATTTAGCCCAGACTGCTACTGCTTCTATTATTATAGTATCATCCTAGGTGATGGAAAGGTTTGGCCATCCTGTCTTTAAGGCATTGAATATTTTCCATAGAAAAACACTGGGATGAAAAATGCTACTGTTCTAAAGTAGAAATTGGCAAAGTTTTTCTATAAAGGGCCAGATAATAAATATTTTCTGTCTTTTGAGCAAGACAGTCCCTGTCACCACTACTCAACTCTGCTGTTACAGTGAGAAAGCAGTCACAGGCAATCCAGAAATGAATAGGGATGGCTGTGTTCCAATAAAACTTTATTTATAAAAGCAGGCAATGGAATAGATTTGGCCCATGGACCATAGCTTGCTGACCACCGCTCTAAGAAAACTGGTTTAATTAGGGCGTGGCCTAGGCTCCTCTTTCCCTTTTCTCCAGCCCAAAGGAAATGACCTCAGCAGTCTGGGGAGGACAATCAGGAAAAGACTGGAGTGAAAGTCACTCTGTCTGGGCTCTGGGGTGGTAGTCTGCTCACCCAGAGGGTTGGCCCTGAGGTTGCCCCACAGGCAATGAGGACTGGGGAAGCCCAGCTTTAATCTTCGGAGATGTCGGTTTTAGAAACAGTCTGGGAGCTGAGAAAACTGTGTCAGGCTCAGCTGCCCCTTCAATCAGAGCTTGAAGTGAGCAGCCAGAGAGGTGGGCTCTGGAAATTTCCAAGGCACACCTGACCTGGGCATTACCTGCCCCACTTTAACACATCTCCAACCAAAGGCCAACTGCCCAAGCCTGTCCTGGCTAGGTGGCAGGTGTCCATGTGACAACCAGGACCAGTTTGGCAGGAAAGGATTAAGCATTAAGCCTTACGGGATCACCAATGAGCAAGCAAAAATGATGTTCAACAATTGCTGGTTGAAGGGTCTGTAACCCTGTATTCTACAAGAGGCTGGCTCTGGTGGTGGTGGGGGGTATCTTTGTAAAACCCATTTACCAAATCTGCAGAGCTAGATAGGTAATGCTGGGCTAAGGTGAACGTCATCTTACGCAGGTATACTCTTTCAAATTAATCTCCCTCCCCACCCCGCAGCAGCGGGGAGGCCTTGACTATATCACCTCTCAGTCTCCTCATCTGTGGAATGGGAATAACTTGCAAGGCTGTCGAGGAAGTGGGGGGATTAAGTGAGGCCAATGTCTGTGAACACCCAGCCCAGAGTCCACCACATAGTAAGTGCTTCATAGTATTCATATCTTTCCCTAGACTTTAGTGTAGTCAAGCAGTTGTAGAAACCAAAGTTTATAGGAACATATTAAAGGGAAAAACATGGAATCGAGGAGAAAACTATGTATTAATCTCCCCACCCCTCAAGAACTAGAAGATGGCTCTGATTCATTTCAGCTGTGGTGTATCTTGGTGGCACTTAGAGACTGCGTTGTCCCATATTCTTCATTCTATTCCACGCCTGTTCTGTGCCAAGCATTGTATGGGCATAAAGAAGGAGATAAAAGCTCCACCCAAGGTCCACCTTATAGAACTGTCCTCTCCCTCCCCGCCCTCACCTCCTGCCCCGTACACAGGTATAGGATAACACCTACCTGTTCAGGCCCTGATGACTATGCCTGTCTCTCTCTCCTAGACTCTACGTTCCTTGAGGGGAAGAGCTGACATTGTCTCTGCATTGCCTAGCCTGGAGTCTGCCCTCCAAGAGTCTCCACCGTGGGGTGCCGTGCCAGCCTCTGAGGTCATCAGCCAATCAGCTTCCAAGGTGCATGGGAAGCCACTGTATTTCTTGGTTGTTCTCTGCAACCCTTGGCTGTGACCCATGTCAAGAGAAGTTTAGAGCTGAGAGCAAATGTGGAGAAGGTGGCCCTGCTAATCTTTATTTGCTAAGCAAATTGTATTGAATTATGAAAGAGAATCGCTCATTTCAACGGCAGACCGGCCTGTGTGGCGTGTGCTCTCCCCAGAAAGGCCCTGCAGCTGCATCGGGGATCTGTCATTTCTCATGATCTGTACCATCCAGGGCTCGGGTTCCCAGTTGGGGCTGTGACCTGGAGCCAGGAGACATGCAGTGCACAAAAGAGGGGAAACCTCAGTGATTTCCTTTGGCAGCAGCAACAATAAGGAAAAAAATCCATGCCACTCATCTGCTGCCAATTATTAAAAGAAAGCTGGTTCCAACTCCGCATTCCTCCCTGCCCATAGTTCTTTTGCTGATGGGGCAATATGTGTCATCTGCATTTCTCCAAGAAACAACTCCGTTCACTCCGGTAATTAATAGGACACACGTGCCCACCCAGCATCAGCATCTGACGGAATAAATGAGCACCACTGGGACCCAGGCACTGCTCACAGAGCCCACAGCTCCTGCCAGAGGACTCCCTTCCGGCGCTCTGCTCTCCAGGAGCTCTTCCCTGCTCATCCAGGCAGGAAGGGGCCTGTGCCTTCTCTGAGCTTTCAGCAAGATGCCTTCGCGTCCCCAGCCGCCCTGCCCTATAGTTCCTTGCATGGTGCATGATCACACCCACTAGATAGAAGGCATTGTGTGAGCAGGAACATGCTCATCCATTTGTAAATCCTCTGCAGAGCCTGGCAATTGTCCCCTGAGTGTAAAACAAATTTTCTTCTGCTGAGTCAAAAACAGACCAAGAATGAGGGCTGACGAACACAAAGCTCCCCTAGTTTTTGGCCTGGTGGCTCCTCCTTGCATTCAAGTCTTGGCTCAAATCTTCCCATGAGCTCCCATGAGGGCCTTCCCTGACCACCCCACCTCACACACTTTAACCCATCACGCCCTTTTATTTTCTTCTTAGCATTTATCACCAATTGAAATTACCGTGTTTATTTATATTCTTGTTAATTGTGTTTCTGTTACTGAAGGGTAATATCCATGAAAGCATGCACCTTCTCTGTCCTGTTTACTGCTGAATCCCCAGCATCTAAAACAGGTACGCAGTAGGCCTCTGATACAGATTTATTAAATAAGTGACATGTATTCCTGAGTGAGCGAATGAATGAATGTAATCAGTGCTACAAGTCCACTTTACCTGAGCCTTCTCCCTGCTGGCTTTTGGAAAACCTTGGGAAGCTGGTCTCCTCTGAGCTCCTCCCTAGGCAGCTTTTTCTAGCTTTACAGAGCTTGGACAACTATCATCCATAGGCCCTCATGCAAGCTGTAGGGTCAAGGCCCAGGAAGGTTGCCTGGCTCGCTCCAGCAGTGGCACTAGAACCTCATCTTCCTGACTTGCTGTTGCCCCACTGTCTGCAAGGCCCCGGTCTCTGCCTTGCCCTATGGGCCCTCTGATTTAAGGTGGCAACTTTTGCAAGGGAACAGCAGAACCTTAATAAGAAATCGGCCAGGGCTGATGGATGGCAGATAGTTGGCACCAGCCTCAAGGTCAGAAGAAGTTATTTTAAACTATTCAGATTTACTAGGAAGGGAATGAGTCAGAGGAGGATTTAGGGGCTGGCCTCCTAGCAAGACATGTGGCCATGTCCCCAAGCAATCTAAGACAGACACTTCCTGTGCAGTGCACCCCCACCTCCGCCTCGCCAGCCTGAGATGAATGGCGAGGCCTCTGGTGTGAGGTGGCGAGGCCTCTGGTGTGAGGAATTTACTGGGAGCTGGTCAAATAAATCGGAAGTCTGGGATCTGAGCAGAATCACGCCCCCCTTCTTCCCCGCTGAGCCCTTGCTGAGGATGGGCGGTGGAAGTGGCTGTCCCTGAGAGGCTGTGCCCTTCCTTGTGGGCAGGCTGTCTCCCATCTCCCACAGCTTCCGGGAACCCAGCACTCCTAAGCTCCTGTGATGAATTAGACCCACCTCTTCACTCCATTTATCTTATCTCCTCCTGGGCACTGCCATCCAGGGAGCATTTCACCATCTTAGCTGCAGTGCTTCAGCGTACAGTCCTGAGCTGCTTCATCGTCTCTTCTTTCCCATCTCCTTTCCAGGATCTAACAGATCACTCTCTCCGTTTTTCAATGCCCATCATGGTCCTCACCTCCTCCAAGGAGCCTTTCCTGGTTCCCCAGGGAGACACAGGGTGAACTTGGGCTCCTCTTTGTGGCATGAATGTTTACCTGCTTTTTATGGCAGAGTTGGGTGGGCAGCCTATTCCCTTGCTGAGCTCCAAATTTTCACTGGTAATATCTTCCCCTTCCTTGCTGCCCAACCCACACCTCACACCTGGTATTGTCAGACCCATAGTGGGTGCTCAATAAATATTTGTTGAACTACATTAAGTGAACACCTGAGTTTAGGACAAGCCAACATGTTTTCCCCCACATGAGCTTGGGTGCTGGACAGGTGGACAAAGAGGTGTCAAAGGCCTTTTTCTTTTGCATATGGACTGTTTCATGTATTCTGTAAAGTTTAAATAAAATTAAAACAACCATAGTGTATCCATCAAACAGATCTTAACATCCTCCAGTCTTGCTACAGATGTTTTCATTTTAGATGAAAAACATTACCCGGTTGAAATTCCTTGGGTATCCCTCCCTAGCCCATCTTCTCCTTCCCCAGGGGTAACCTGAGCCTGACTGGTTTGATGTGGATCCTTTCTATGCCTGTATTTGTATTTTTATTACATATGAATGGACCGATAAATAACATATTCATTATTTTGCATGCTTTTACACTTCTATAAATGATACCATATGGTTTGTATGAAGCCCTCTGCAACTTGCTTTTTTCACTCAATATGATATATTTGAGATTCATCCAAGTAGACAGGTATAGCGCTAGTTCATTCATTTTAACTGCTGTGGAGACTCCATTGTATGAGTATATTACAATGTATCCACTTCCCTCTTGAGGGACCTGTAGCTTTTCACCATTATGAACAATAATGCAGGCTTGCGCCTGTTGGAGAGGCTCTCTGGAGCCGAGTTTTTCAAACTGCAGTTGTAACCCAGAGGAGAGTCATGAAATCAATATAATGGGCCATGATCACCATTTTTAAAAGTTAAATAGAAGAGATTTTAAAATATCGGTGTGTGAAAATGTATGTGCTGGGACATGACATGAAATGAATTTATGAATCTAGGTTGTGGTAGAAAAAAGATTTGAGATGCATGGCATTCTGAGGTTGGTATTATCTCCAGCTTTATTTAAAGTTACCAAACTGCTCCCTAACGTGGTACTGGCAATTCACTCTCTCATCAGTATCATATGAGAGTATCCATCTCCCTGTGTCCTTATTAACACTTGCTATTATCAGGAATTGATTTTCCTCAATCTGTTGGGGGTCATAGGGTGGCATCTTAGTTTTAATTTGCATATCTTTGATTCCTAGTGAGGTCAGCATCTTTCCATACACTTATTACCCGTCAAAATATGCATGCTAAGTACATGTTTATGTTCTTCACTAGTGTTTGAATTGGGTTTCATCTTATTGATTTGTAGGATTAAAAATATATTCTGGATATTAATCCTTATAGATTGCAGGTATTGCAAATATCTTCTCCCAAACTACAGCTTGCCATTTTACTTTGTTTAGGGTGTCAAAAGGCCTTTGCTAGCTCTGACATCCTGATTCACAATGAAGCAAAAGGGAACCCATGTTAGAGAGGCCCTCTAGAGCAAGGTCTTTCTGCATCCCCTGAATATATCAGGCCCCTAATAAATGTTTGGTGACTGTAACATACTCACTAGAGAATTCTATCAGATTAGGCCAGCACAGATCTGGGCTTACAGCAAGGGCTCTATGGAGACTTAATGACATGGTTTTGCTATGCTATGAGAAAAGTTCCAATGTCCAGCAGAGAAATCAGAAGCAGGATATTTTCATTGCAAAAAGAGCACTGGCTTTATGGAAGGATTTCCTGAAGGATGCCTGTAAAGTATGAGTTGATGTAACTCAGAATTCAACTCATGTCCAGTGTTCCAGACAGCAGACTGGGATCTCCAACAGGTGGCCCCAAGCCTCTCGACTCTCACCATTCCTGTGAGCTTACAGCAGCACAGTGATCCTTCATATTTTAAAGATGGGCCAAGAAAAAGTAAATGTCTTGCCCCAGATCACATTGAAGACAGGGGACAGAGTGAAGCCAGATCTCACAGCCACTGATGGCTCGGAGAAAAGGTCGGGACCCAGAACAGTGGGTGTTTTGAAGCAAGCAGATCCCTGAGCTCTCAGATATAGGAGAATGAGCTAAGCCACCTTGGGAAGGAGCCCATTACCTAGCTCAAGACTATGTTTAAGTCCAAATAGCTGCGTATGTATCCATGAAATAAAGGGAATGAGATGAAGGGCAAAAATGATATTTGGCAGGACCTCTGAAGAGGAAGAGGAACAAGAGCTTCTGTGACTCAAAGGTCACTTGCCTGGGCTGAAAGGTCCTTAGGGCAGGGACAAGGGAAGGATCTTATTCATCTCCATATGCCCGGAACCTAGCACAGTGTCTGGCACATGGAAAGGGCTTAAGAAATGTCTGCTGAATGAGTGGATGAATGAATAAACAGATGGATGTATGCATAGATGGACAGATGGATGGAAGAATAAAGAGATAGATGGATGAATGGACAGAGTGATGGACAGATGGATGGACTGATACATAGTTGGACAAGGGGATGAATGGTTGGACTGACAGACAGGATGGATGGATGGATGGATGGATGGATGGATGGATGGATGGATGGATGCATGTTCCTCATCTGGAAGAGGGATTGGTCTCAAAAGAACTTCTCAAGCAGGCAGCCAAACTTGATAACTCTGTCATGTTACTAAAGATCTTTGTAAAAAAAAAAAAAAATACCAAGTGGCATAACTATGAGAAATAACTGCTTCTAATTGGGCTGAATTATTCTGGCCATATAGTAGACATATTTTTATAACTTTATTAATTATTCAATTTGAGGCCATTTACCCAGCCTGCCAGAATGGGTTTTCCTTATTAGAGGGTGACAGAGTCTCCAGTTCTGCCACTGCCTCTGTTGCTGTGGCACTATTGAACAGTGACTGCCTGCTTTGGGGCAGCACCAGGGTCTGAGGACTGGATGTGGAGGGCATGGCTGCTCCTGAGAGGCAGGCTGGGAGTCAGAGATGTCAGGAGACAGTAAGGCTGTACCAGGATATCTCCCTGGCTGCACCAGGAAAGGCAGAGGGAGGTCAGGCCAGGACATGTCCAACCTGGCCTCTGTGGGTCATCTTCTGCCCAGATCCATTCACCAACTCTTAATCACAGCAATCTCCCCCCATCCAATCTGTTTCCTTCCAACGCCAAGGTAGCCCGCCATATGTTCTTCAGTAGCCTCCAGTCAGGGATGGAGGAAGTAGAGCATTGCCCAGCTACCCAGAGGGACTGGCTGGGGCTCCAAGGGCAGATCAAAGCCTTCAGCATCCTCTCTCTTCCCATACCTAGGCCCAGAGCTGGTCACATGCTACTTAGGAGAAGAAAGAGTTAAAAGGTTGCCCACCAGGAAACGCTGCAGAGTGAGTAGATGAAAAATAAGCCTTCAGGGGCTCCCCATGCCCACAGAATAATGCCAGAGCCCCTTGGGCTGTTGGTGTGAGAACACCATGCCACCTGCCCTGGCCCACCAGTCCAGCCTGGCTCCCACTCCTCTGGGTGCCTCCGCTTCAACCACACTGACCTGCTCAGCACTGGCACCTTTGCTATGTGGGTGGGCCTGCCTGGAGCACCCTCTCTTTCCATATCTGATGACTGAAACCTCACATCTCATCCTTCTTTGAGCTCTGCTTCTACCATATTTTTAGCATCTTTCCGATCTCTCCACAGGATATGATCTCTGCTTCCTCTGAAGGACCAATTTGACTCCTGGCCTCATATTGCAATTCTTGGGGCACGTGTCTGGCCCCCTACTCCCCATAGGTGAGAAGCATTGGAAGATCACGTGATATGGCTTTGCATTCTCTCAAGCATCCAACCCAGAGCCCCATAATCTTCCCTAGTCCCACCTCCACCTCCAGAAGGAACGAAAGACGTGATAAGACAGGAGAGCAAGTCTACCAGATTCCATGTAACACTGCTTAGTACCTTCCATGTGCCAGGCAGCATGAGGTGCTCCAGGTCATAGAGACAAGAAAGACGTGGGTCCTGCATGAAGAGGCCTCAGGGGATACGGGTGAGAGGGAGACAAACACAATCAAACCAAAACTGCCCAGGGTGGCAAGGACCGCCTGGCCATGTACAGAGTCGAGGCCCCTGGGAATCAGGGAACCTTCACAGCAGGGGGGCATCTGTGCTGGGCTTTGACAGCAAAAGAGCAATGGGTCAGTGGATGAAAGAGGGCAAGGGTGGGAATGATGGGAGGGAGATGAGGTTGAAAGCCAGGCAGGTGCCACATCCAGAGGGGCCAGGAAGGCCGGGCCAAGGAGATGAGCACTTCCCGGCAGGCAATAGAGAGCAGGGACACAGGTGTGGCCCAATTGGCGTTTCAGTAGCCTCCCCACCTCCCAAGTGTGGGAGGGGTTGGGGAGGGAAGGCAGAGGGCATCAACCAGAGTTTCAAGGGTGGTCTCCAGGGACAGACTGCCTGAGTTCAAATCATGCTGCTGCTGCTTATGAGTACCCTTGGGCCAGGTACTGAACCTCTCAGAGCCCATTTCCTCCTCTGAGAGATGGGGATGAGAATAATAAACTACTTTCTCTAGGACGGTGTGTAGAGGAAGTACTGGATGAGTTAGGAGAGATGCTGAAGCAAGAGCAAAGCCCAGCCTCCTTCCCTGTCAGCCTCAAGTGCCACCTCCTCCACAGCCCTGCATCGTGGCGGAAACACGCCTGAGTGGAGAGCTCACACTTGCCGTAGCCGAGTGACCTTGGAGGATGACTGGACTTCCCGGGCCTCGGCTCTCTAACCCCACCTTATGGGGCTGCGTCAGGAGGAAAGGAGGTCTGCGGTGGCCCACAGGTGGGCAGGGGCTGGCTGGCGCTGACATTCTTGGGGGCAGGGCTCCCCCATCACCAGGCCCCTCTCTGCCCAGGATGAGATGCACCTTCTCCCTCTCCTTCCCCTCAGAGTTCTAGGGACATCCTGCAGGCTGGTGGGAGCAGGTGGGTGCAGTTCGTGAGTCCCCTCCTGGAGACCCTGCCTGCAGGCTGCCCCTGGAAGTGCAGGTCCTTTTCACACCTGTGTGGGGCTGGGGAGGGGTATCCGCCCGGTTGCCAGCACGTGCGACAACGCCAGCTGGGCTCCCGCCACTCTATTCTGCTTTTGTCACATTCAAGGTGGGATCTCCACTGCCCGCCTCTTGCCAGTTCTCGAGACTCCCTGTGTGTCATTTATTTATTCATTTTGTTCTCAGGGAGCAGATGGCAGGAACTGAGTTGGGCAGAATGTACCTCCCTCCCCACTTACAACACTCCCGAGTACACAGTTCACTCGCAGACCCCAGGCTATCCCGTTTCTGGCTTTCTCAGGTCCAAAAATTCAGGAGGAGCCACACGTGCCAGGGCCCTGCCTCACCCCCACCTCCTGCTCAGATGTGACTGGCCCCAAATCTTCCCTGGTCTGAGGGGCAGTGGGCAGTGGGGAAGGGGTGAGACTCTGGGAGACTGCCCTTTCTCAAGAATGGGGAGAGCAGTGGCCCCACACCGCCTCCTGCCCCATGGCCTGCCTGCCTTCCTGCCTGTGAATTTTCTTGGGGGGACAGATGAGGATTTGTCTGGGATTTTCTTGGGGGGACAGATGAGGACCCTCAGAAGGTCTCCCCTCCTTTCCTGGTGGGCATCTGTTGTGCTGAACCCCTAACAACTCTAGTGGGGATGGCACCAGGTTCAAGAGGCCAAAGAAGAGACCCAGAAACAGCAAAAGAGACATGGGGTTTTACTGGGGGCTTATATGCAGAGGAGAGCCCAGCAGTGGCGGGCTGGGCAGAAGAACCACAACTGCTTGTAAAAGGCATGCAGTTGCTATAGCATTTCCACTCAGCACCCTAACAACCTCCACCTGGGAACCTTCATTCACACCCCCCCCCCCAGCACCCCCGCCAAAACTCAGGGCTTAATCCCCTGTACAGCCAGTGTTCCACCAGACAGGCCGACGGCTCAGATATTCCTCATAGACAAGGAACGAATCTCCAGGTTGGCCACTCTCAGATTCCCTAGCTCAGAACACACATTCAGGTGCGTTTGCCATACAGGGTCATTCTTGGGGTGCACTTAGGTGATCGCTCTCAGGTGCGTTTACCTGGCAGCAGCATCACAGGAACATGAGTGGGTGGAGGGTAGAGATGGGGTGGGAAGGACCAGCTGCCTTTGAGCTGGTGTTCTGGGGTCTCCATGGGCTGCCCCTTCCCAGCCTGATCCTCATCCTGACAAAGGTCTGGGCTCCCACAAGGGCGGGGCTCCCCAGCACCTGCTTCCTCCCCTTTCCCGTTTCTCCTGGGAGGCACTGTGGAAGAAACGGAGCATGGGAGAGAGGAGACTCATATCTCCGCTGGCTTCCAGAGTGTCACCAAGGCTGGAACATCTCAAAGAGAAGGAGACAGAGGCTGGGGGATGTGACAGCCAAGGGCGGAGAGATGGACATCAAGGCCGGCAGACCCAGGTTCTTGCTGTTCCTCCCCTGCGGCCCACAGCCCCCCAGGACTCAGGGGCTGGGCAGTCTCTTACCTGTCTCATGGTCTCTTTCAGGCTTGAGCACAGGCTCCTCACAATTGAGTCTGTCCTCGCACTTCTGACCCCATGACCTCGTGGAAAGCCTCAGACAGACCCAGCCCTGACAGTCACCAGATGCGGGACCTCAGGCCATTATGTAACCTCTCTGTGCCTCAGATTCTCTTTCTAAAAGGGGGACCGCAGCACACACCTGGCTCCTGCCTTCCACTGCCCTCCCATGATGGCCTCGCCATCCAGGTCCCCCTCCCATAAAAGCAGAGCCTTTCCTCTCCTGCCTCCTCCTCCTCCCTCCTCTCTGTGCTGGTGGTTCTGGCTTCTGCTCAAAGTTCTTGGAAGATGGAGGCTATGCTCTCCTCATCTCTGAACCCCCCATTTGGTCCTGAACCCTGGGCACTGTTGGCCTTTGAGAAGCGCTCAGTAAATGTGCACTAAGAGGAAGTCAAGGATGGAGAATACTGAGTCGATGAGGCCAGTGGTCCTGGCTATTGAATTCCTTTTTGTTCAAAATTAGAATTCCAGGGTGAATAGCAGCTCCTCTTACTCATAAACCTTGAAAAAGCATTTGCTGCTACGTACACAGCTCCCTTCTGTCCCCGTCACGGTGACTGTGCCCCAGTGTGTGGGGCTGACACAGAGCCCACCGTCCCGGGGAGGCCCACAGGCACACCAGATGCCGGCAGAAGGCGGCCCAGGCGGGTCTGCGAAGGGCCGCGGGCTTGGCAGAGCTGCACGCGAGGAACAGTGAGTGTAATTGCTTTGCGGTGATTCATCTGAAGTTGCTTTAACCTTGACAGCCGGCTCGATGCAGTGAAAAAACAACTCGAGAGAGAGCTGAGGCCTCCCGGCTGGCACAGCACCCTCTGCACACCCACTGCACGCATGAGCTATACCTGGACAGCATAGGGCTCAGCAGGAGCTCCCACCTGGAGGGGGCGAGGATGTGATCACAAGGCCGCCCCATCCCCCTCATGCCCTGCCTCCCTACCTCCCCATCCTCTCCAGGTCTGGGAATGAAGAGAGAATCAGGGTGGCCATGAGCGGGGTGGCAGGAAGGGGAGACATCCTCCATCAGGGGGCAGCAGGGAGGTCACCAGGGCCTCGGATTAGGTGAGCCAGTCCTGGACTTTGACTCCTTAGAAATAAAACATCATGAGCTGTCACAGTGGAAATAGCCCTGTTTACCTTCCCACTTTCTTTTTTCTTTCTTGAGATAGAGTCTCACTCTGTCATCCAGGCTGGAGTGCAATGGCACGATCTCGGCTCACTGCAACCTCCGCCTCCCGGGTTCAAGCTATTCTCCTGCCTTAGCCTTCCAAGTAGCTGGGATTACAGGCGCCCTCCACCATGCCCAGCTAATTTCTGTATTTTTAGTAGAGACGGGGTTTCACCATGTTGGCCAGGCTGGTCTCGAACTCCTGACCTCAAGTGATCCACCTGCCTCAGCCTTCCAAAGTGCTGGGATTACAGGTATGAGCGACTGCGCCTGGCCCTTCCCACTTTAAAGATGAGAAAACTGAGGCCCACAGAAAGGAAAGGACCAGGGTCCCCCAGGGAAGACCTGGAACAAAGCCAGCTTTCCTGTATGTTAAGGCACAGGACTTCTGCTATGAACTGAATGTTCAAGTCCCCCCTAAATTCATATTGAAACCCTAATCCCCAATGTAGTGCTGTGTGGAGGTGGGACCTGTGTCGAGTCTGTGGGAGGTAATCAGTCCCCTTAGAGGGCACTGATCTAAAGAAGAGACATGAGGGACACGACCCCCTTCTCCACTCTGGAAGACACCGTGAGAAGGCAGGCCCTCGCCAGAAATAGAGTCAGCCAGAACCTTGGTCTTGGACCTCCGAGCCTCCAGAACTGTGAGAAACACTTTTCCGTGGAAGCCACCAAGTCTTGTTACAGCAGCCTGAACTAGCTAAGGCAACTTCCACCCCTTCAGGGGCAGCATGGAACTTAGGGAAGAACACAAGTTCTGGGTTCTGATCCCAGATCTGCTGCTTGATAGTTGGGTGAATATCAGAAGTGACTCCACCTCCCTGAGCTTTGATTTCTTCATTTGTGGAATAGAATAACACATATGTCCTCCCCAGGCTGCTGGGCAGATGAAATGGGATAGTTGGCCAGGCGTGGTGGCTCATGCCTGTAATTGCAACACTTGGGAGGCCTAGCAGGGGCAGATCACCCGAGGTGAGGAGTTTGAGACCAGCCTGGCCAACATGGTAAAACCCCATCTCTACTAAAAAAAAAAAAAAAAAAAAAAAAAAAAAAAAAAAAAAAAAATCTATCTATCTATCTATCTATCTATCTATCTATCTATCTATCTATCTATAAATAAATTAGCCAGGTGTGGTGGTGTGTACCTGTAGTCCCAGCTACTGGGGAAGCTGAAGAAGAATTGCTTGAACCCAGGAGGCAGAGGTTGCAGTGAGCCAAGATCGTGCCACTGTATTCTGTATTCCAGCAAGATGGAGCAAGACTCTGTCTCAAAAAAAAAAAAAAAAAAGGGCGGTGCGGAGGGACTGTTTACGTGAAGCATTTGCACACAGCGGGAGCACAAATCACCATCACCTTCCTCCTCCAAATCGTGGCCCCTCATCATGCTTCTTTCTTCCCGCCTCCCTCCACCTCTCATTCATTCATTCTCCTTACTCCCTTGCTGGGAGGAGCCCTAAAGTTTTGGCAGTGGCCCTTCCTAGCTGACACATGTGGTGGGCCACACACACCCCCATCTGGCCCTGCCTATCTCCTTTTGGGACCCCTCACCTGTCCCAGGCCAGGGGCAGGGACCCAGGCCCCCATCCTATACCTCTGCTTTGCCCCCTATGTCCTGGGCTACCAGGCTGTGGTGTTGCCATTTTCATGAGAGTGTGTCCAGGGGCGCCTGAGACAGAGACACTCCCTGATGTACTTTCCAAATCAGGCAGTTGGTTGGGTTGACATCCCTGGAAATCCCCAATCCCAGTGCTGGCCTGACCTGTAGTCATAGGTTTTGGGGCTATACCACCAGGCCTCCCCAGGAGCACAATCATTTCTGGTATGAAGGTAGAGATCATCTTTTTGGTTTTTCAATAAATGCCAATTGTACATTTCATTCTATTATAAATCTGTATTTGTTTTAACTTAAGGAAATGTTTAAATTATCAGGTAACTAATGTGCCATTTACATGGTAAAAACTTTAAACTTTGTAGCTTCGAGAGTCTCTAGCAAAAGTCTTTTCAATAAATAGTATTGGGGAAACTGGATATGCACATGCAAAAAAATGAAATGGAATCTTTATAAAAAATTCACTCAAAATGGATCAAAGACCTAAATGTAGGAGCATACCTATAAAACTCAGAAGAAACCACAGGGGTAAAGCGTCATGACATTGAATTTGGCAATGATTTCTTGCATATTACACTAAAAGCACGGGCAATGAAAGAAAAAATAGTTAAATTGGACTTCATAAAAAAAAAAAACTTTTATATATCAAAAGACATGATCAATAGGCTGAGGTGGGGGCATTGCTTGAGGCCAGGAGTTTGAGAACAGCCTGGGCAACATAGTGAGATCCTGTATTTACGAAAAAAATTTAAAAAATTAGCCCAGCATGGCGACACATGCCTGTAGTCCCAGCTACTCAGGAGCCTGAAGCCACAGGATTGCTTGAGCCTGGGAGATCAAGGCTGAAGTGAGCTATGATTGTGCCACTGCCCTCCAGTCGGGTGACAAAGTGAGTTCTTATCTCTAAAAAATTAAAATAATTTTTAAAAATGACACTATCAACAGAGTAAAAAGGGAACTCAGAGAACAGGAGAAAATATCTGCAAATCACATATGGTCATGTGTTGCTTAACCATAGGGATATGCTCTGAGAAATGCATTGGTAGGTGACTTTGTTGTTGTGCAAACATCATAGAGTGTACTTGCACAAACCTAGATGGTATAGCCTACCACACACCTAGGCTACACCATCTAGGTTTGACTACCATCGTATATGCGGTCAGTCACCGACACAAACATCATTATGTGGTGCATGACGGTATCTAATAAGTGGTTAATATCCAGAATATATAAAGAATGCCTATAACTCAACACAAAACAATCTGATTAAAAAAATGGGCAAAGGGTTAGGGGATCATGGCAGATGGGAGGCAGGACTAGATTGCAGCCCCGGACAATGCGGCGGCTTGCAGTGTGAATTTTAGCTCCAGATCAACTGCAAGAACAAGCCAGCAATCCCGAGAGGAACCACAGACCCTCTGAAGGAAGCAGACTGCTCCTGCAGGACCCAGGAGACACCCCAAATACTGTGAGTGCCCCAAGTGTGGAAGTGGGAAAGGGAGACCCTCCTCTCCCGAACACACCCCCCCACTGGAGAGGCTGAAGTCTGTTTGTGGGAGAAGTTTCTGACTTTACCAGGAGCTGAATCAAGTTAGAGAGCCGAGTAAAATACAGGGGTAGAGGAAGCAGCAGAAAGGCTTAGTGGTCCCCAGGCAGCCCATTCCTGCCTGGCACCACAGGGATCCATCAGGAGGGTGGCCAGAGGAGCAGGAGGTAAAACTCCACAGAGAGAAGGAATTCTCTAGCAGAAATTTGTAACAACTTGAACGGGGCGAGAAGCCTCCTGGCCATAACTTGGGGGAGGGCACGAATCTGCTGTGGAGACCTCACAAGCAAGGGAAGAACTAAAGCCCATTTCTTTTGCAGCTGGAAGGCAGATAGCCTTGGGCAAGTTTTCAAGCCCATTTTGCCCTACACCTGGAAACAGACTCCGGGCTGTTGCGCGAAGGTGGCGGGGGAAGGGGGGACGGGGTGCAGCACGGTGGGAGTGAGGCTGGCCCTTTGATTTGCATGGGAGCTGGGTGAGGCCTCTGACTGCTGGCTTTCCCCCACTTCCCTGACAACCTGCACGACTCAGCAGAGGCAGCCATAATCCTCCTAGGTACACAACTCCATTAACCTGGGAACCTCGCTCCCATCCCCCACAGTAGCCGCAGCGAGATCTGCCCAAGAAGAGTCTGAGCTCAGACATGCCTATGCCCACCCCCAGCTGATGGTCCTTCCCTATCCATCCTGGTAGCAGAAGACAAAGGGCATATAATTTTGGGAGTTCTACAGCCCCACCCACTACCGGTCCCTCTCCACATTACTATAGCTGATGCTTTCTGGAAAGCGCCACCTCCTGGCAAGAGGCCAACCAGCACAAAAAAAGAGCATTAAACCACCAAAGCTAAGGACCCTCATGGAGTCCATTGCACCCTCTGCCACCTCCACCAGAACAGGCACTGGTATCCACGGCTGAGAGACCATAGACAGTTTACATCACAGGACTCTGTGCAGACAACCCCCAGTACCAACCCGGAGCTGGGTAGACTTACCAGGTAGCTAGACCCAGATGAGAGACAACAGTCACTGCAATTTGGCTTACAGGAAGCCACATCCATAGGAAAAGGGGGAGAGTACTACATCAAGGGAATACCCCATGGGACAAAAGAATCTGAACAACAGCCTTCAGTCCTAGACCTTCCCTCTGACAGAGCCTACCCAAATGAGAAGGAACCAGAAAACCAACCCTGGTAATATGACAAAACAAGGCTCTTCAACACCCCTAAAAAATCACACTAGTTCACCAGCAATGGATCCAAACCAAGAAATCCCTGATTTACATGAAAAAGAATTCAGGAGGTTATTAAGCTAATCAGGGAGGGACCAGAGAAAGGTGAAGCCCAATGCAAGGAAATCCAAAAAATGATACAAGAAGTGAAGGGAGAAATAGTCAAGGAAATAAATAAAGAAAACACAATAAAAAATTCAGGAAACTTTGAGCACACTTTTAGAAATGCAAAATGCTCTGGAAAGTCTCAGCAGAATTGGAAAAGTAGAAGAAAGAAATTCAGAGCTCGAAGACAAGGTCTTTGAATTAACCCAATCCAACAAAGACAAAGAAAAAAAAAGAAAATATGAACAAAGCCTCCAAGAAGTCTGGGATTATATTAAAAGATCAAACCTAAGAATAATCAGTGTTCCTGAGGAAGAAGAGAATTCTAAAAGCCTGGAAAATATATTTGGGGGAATTATCAACAAAAACTTCCCTGGCCTTGTGAGAGACCTAGACATCCAAGTACAAGAAGCACAAAGAACACCTGGGAAATTCATCGCAAAAAGATCTTCACCTGGGCAAATTGTCATCAGGTTTTCCAAAGTTAAGACTAAGGAAAGAATCTTAAGGGCTGTGAGACAGAAGCACCAGGTAACCTATAAAGGAAAACCTATCAGATTAATGGCAGATTTCTCAGCAGAAACCCTATAAGCTAGAAGGGATTGGGGACCCATCTTCAGCCTCCTCAGACAAAACAATTATCAGTCAAGAATTTTGTATCCAGCAAAACTAAGCATCATATGTGAAGGAAAGATACGGTCGTTTTCAGACAAACAAATGCTGAGAGAATTCGCCATTACCAAGCCACCACTACAAGAACTGCTAAAAGGAGCTCTAAATCTTAAAACAAATCCTGGAAACACATCAAAACAGAATCTCTTTAAAGTATAAATCACACAGGACCTATAAAACAAAAATACAAGTTAAAAAGCAAAAACAAAAACAAAATCAAAGTACACAGGCAATAAAGAACAGGATGAATGCAACGGTACCTCACATTTCAATACTAACATTGAATGTAATTGGCCTAAATGCTCCACTTAAAAAATACAGAACTGCAGAATGGATAAGAACTCACCAACCATCTGTTGCCTTCAGGAGACTCATCTAACACCTAAGGACTCACATAAACTTAAAGGGGTGGGAAAAGGCATTTCATGCAACTGGACACCAAAAGCGAGCAGGGGTAGCCATTCTTATATTACACAAAACAAACTTTAAAACAACAGCAGTTAAGAGAGACAAAGAGGGATATTATACAATGGTAAAAGGCCTTGTCCAACAGGAAAATATCACAATCCTAAACATATATGCACCTAACACTGGAGCTCCCAAATTTATAAAACAATTACTAATAGACATAAGAAATGAGATAGACGGCAACACAATAATAGTGGGGGACTTCAATACTCCACTGACAGCACTAGACAGGTCATCAAGACAGAAAGTCAACAAAAAAACCATGGATTTAAACTACTTCCCAGAACAAATGGACTTAACAGGTATATACAGAACATTTCATCCAACGACCACAGAATACACATTCTATTCAACAGCACATGGAACTTTCTCCAAGAGAGACCATATGATAGGCCATAAAATGAGCCTCAATTAATTTAAGAAAATTGAAATTACATCAAGCACTCTCTCAGACCACAGTGGAATAAAACTGGAAATCAACTCCAAAAGGAACCTTCAAAACCATGTAAATACATGGACATTAAATAACCTGCTCCTGAATGAGCATTGGGTCAAAAATGAAATCAAGATGGAAATTAAAAAATTCTTCGAATGACAATAATGACACAACCTATCAAAACCTCTGGGATACAGCAAAGGCAGTGCTAAGAGGAAAGTTCATAGCCCTAAACGCCTTCATCAAAAAGTCTGAAAGAACACAAATAGATAACCTAAGGTCACACCTCAAGGAACTAGAGAAATAAGAACAAACCAAATCCAAAACCAGCAGAAGAAAGGAAATAGCCAAGATCAGAGCATAACTAAATGAAATTGAGACAACAACAACAACAATACCAACAATAAATGAAAGAAAAAGCTGGTTCTTTGAAAAGATAAATAAAACTGACAGACCATTAGCCAGATTAACCAAGAAAAGAAGAGAGAAAATCCAAATAACCTCACAAAGAAACGCAACAGGAGATATTACAACTGACGCCACAGAAATACAAAAGAACATTGAAGGCTACTATGAACCCACCTTTATGCACATAAACTACAAAACCTAGAAGCGACGGATAAATTCCTGGAAAATTACAACCCTTCCAGTTTAAATCAGGAAGAATTAGATACCCTGAACAGACAAATAACAAGCAGTGACATTGAAATGATAATTTAAAAATTACCAACAAAAAAAAGTCCAGGAGCAGACAGAGTCACAGCTGAATTCTACTAGACACTCAAAGAAGAATTGGTACCAATCCTTTTGACACTGTTCCACAAGATAAAGAAGGAACTCTTCCTAATTCATTCTAAAGCCAGCATCACCCTAATACCAAAACCAGGAAAGGACATAACCAAATGAGGGGGCTGGGCGCAATGGCTCACGCCTGTAATCCCAGCACTTTGGGAGGCTGAGTGGATCCCTTCAGGTCAGGAGTTCAAGGTCAGCTTGGCCAACATGGTGAAACCCCGTCTCTACTAAAAATAGAAAAAGTAGCTGGGCGTGGTGGCATGCACCTGCAATCCCAGCTACTACTCAGAAGGCTGAAGCAGGAGAATCACTTGAACCTGGGAGGCGGAGGGTGCAGTGAACCGAGATTGCACCACTGCACCCCAGCCTGGGCGACAGAGCAAGACTTCATTCTCAAAAAAAAAAAAAGGAAATTCCGACACATGCTATGGCACAGATGAACCTTGAGGACATTATGCTAAGTGAAATCAGCCAGTCAGAAAGGGACAAATACTGTATGATTCCAATTATATGAAGCACAGAGTAGTCAAATTCATAGAGACAGAAAGCAGATTGTTGGTTGCCAAGGGCCAGGGAAGGGGGCAACGGGGAGTTAGTGTTCAGTGAGGACAGAGTTTCAGTTGGGGAAGATGAAAAAGTTCTGAAGATGGATGATGGTGATGTTTGCACAACAATGTGAATGTACCAATGTTACCAAATTGCACATTTAAAAATGTTAAAATGAGTAATTTTATGTTATGTATCTTTTACCAGGACTTTTTAAAGAAAGAATTTGTAGCCAACACTTAGTTTGAGAAGCACTGACCTTAAGGGTCCCGAGCTAGTTTAGGAGCATAGGCATATTTCTGAGCTGGTTAACATTCTATTTTAATCTGCAGATAGCTTAAAGCCAAGTCGGCCTGGGGTCCCACACACCATTCAAGATAAGAACACGCTGGACTTGGCAGAAGCTACAGCTGGTGATGGGCCAGCTTGGTTCCAGCTGCCTTCATCACTCAGGCCTCTCTGTAGTCCTGCCTTGTGCCCAGTGTCTGGGGAGTAGGGGAGCAATTCTGCAAAAGAGCAGGACAGTGTGTACCGGGCTTTGACTTATCCTGCACTTTGTCCTAAGTGCGTGGATAACACCAGTTTGGTGGAATACATGATAACGTGGAAAATAATGGGAAACGGAAGAGCAGCCTTCTCCCTCATCTCTACCCCAGGCCTTCTGGAGGGCAGGCTCAGGCCCAAAACCAAAATGCCATTCTGTAGCCTGGAACCCAAAATGCAAAGCACCCTGGGATGGGAGGCAGAGAAATGGGACCCAGGAAATACAATAATTAAATCATACAATGAAAGCTTAAATTTCCAAGTTAATTCTTGGGCATCGTTTATAAAAGTTAACAGGGCATATTTAATTTAGGAATTGGCTCACGTCCTTCTCCGTACAGCTGAAATCTCATAAATGAAGTATACTGGATCATTTCCCAGTGCGGAAATAAAAGTTATGAATAATGTTTCTATCTCAATCATTGTCAGTGCTTTAATATTCCTAATTACTTTAAAAAGCTAGATATTCAATATAGGAAAACTTTCTTCCTTTTTATCTCCACTTGTGAGATTAGTGCAATTTAATAAGAGTCACTCTGTCGTCTTTATTCAGTATAAATTGACATTTCATTCTTTTACTCTTCATTGTTATATGGGATGGAGGTTTATGACCAGGCATGCAGCCACTCCATTTCCCCATAGTGGTCCATCTAACAGCCCAGAATTATCTGATAGTTGGTGTGTCAGCCCACCAGGCAAATCAGCATCATCTCTCTTCCTTTATGGAGCAGAAAGAAATTAGTCCAGGCCTTAAAAAATTTCAGCTAGGGGCTTATAAGTCAGTAAAAGAATGAGAAGTCCCCACCCAACCCCGGTACTACATTTATCCCCTTCACTGCTGTCAAAGTCATAAATCCATTGGCAGCCACAAAGGGCAGGGCAGGGCAGGGTAGGGGCAGGGAGTTGGATGATGGATCTTCAAAACCCTCCCTGCCACTTCCAGGAATTTATCCTAAGAAGAAATTGGGACAAGTGGGCAAAGACATATGCATAAGAAGAATCACTACAGCATTTTTACACAGGGCCACAATCCAAAAATCCCTAAAAAGTCCAAAACATGTTTTAAAAAATTCAGCACCAAAATCCATTTAGAGGCAAAATCTGCATGAAACCGATTTGAGGTTATATATTGCCTTTATGTCACTAGATGTGATCAGTCATATGTCACTTCAGAAATATCACTGTTTCACCCAGGGTGCTGCCCAGACCCCCATGGGGGCATATGTCACACACAACATACTCACCACATGCTTTCTAAACTCTGAAAAATTCTAAATTCTGAAGCCAGCAGGCCCCACGAATCTTGGAAAAAGGACGGTGGGCCTATGACAGTGAAGAATCAGAAACAACCTCAATGTCCATCAACAAGGGACTAGTTAAATGCATGTGGTAATCCATAGAATGAAATTCTGTAAGGCCATTACAAATCTAGAGGAGATTCACGTTTATTAACAAGAAAATGAGTGCATGACATAAAGTTAAATTTAAACAGCAAGTTATAGACTAGCTCATATATTTGATCTAAATAATAAAAGTTATATCCAGATCTAGCCCAATGTGCAAATGTATAGAGGAATGGCAGGAAGGATAAGCACCCAAATGCCAGCAGTGGTTATCTCTGGGGTGGAGAGTTAACCTTTTTTGTCTAACTTTTGCTACAGTTTGATTTTTCTTTTTAACATGAACAGGTATAACTTAAGAACCAGAGAGAAAAAAACAAACAAGAATGATGCTTTCAATTAAACAAAACCAAAGCTTCTCTGAAAGGGTGTCACACATATAGACCCCACTCAGTGATCTCCAGAGACCACACTGAAGAGGGACCAAGATACTTGTCTCCACAGATTTGGGCCCACAAAGACCCTAAGGCACTGCAGAGAGCACACTGGCAGATAGACCCCCAAATAGCATGTAGCAAGCAGGCTCAAATTACTTGAGGAAAGCTGGTAACAATTTGCGTCCCATGGCCGACTCCTCTATCTCCACAGCAATATCTCAGGGCCACATCTTTTAAGCAGAGCTCACTTTTCCCTATGAACAACCATGTTTTCTCATGACAGATCAATTTCAACCTTGGACTATATTAACAGAGGTTGAGCATCCAGAAGGAGGTAGAGTTATAAGTTACAATTGTATAAATAATTAAGAGTTCAGGTTCAGGACATAGGTTTTTGCTTGGGTGATAGTCCCAGACTTACCATCAACTAACTGTGTCTGCTGGAAGTTCTTTAACCTCTCTCTGCTTCAACTTGCTCCTTTGTAAAATGGGGATAAATAACAATTCCCATACTATAAGTTTGTTGTGAAAATTAAACAAGTGGATAAGTAAATAAAGCACTCAGTGCATAGTAAAATTCAATATATAGTAGCTATCTCCACTATCATTTTTCCATACTGGTCACACCAAGCTCGCAGTTGTGTGGCCAGATCTAGGAGTGAGCATTTAAGAGGAATAAAGGCCACGGCCAACGGAGAGAAACCAGATGGGAAAGGTAGTCCCGATGACATCAGGTGAGAAGCAAGGGAGCTTGGAGAAGAAACACTTGGGGAGGAAAATGATCACTATCTTCTAATACCTGACCCATTGGAGGGTCTCTGGTTTCTTCTGTGCAGCCTCAATGGCTATTATCAACTGCTCTGAGATGATCATTTCTATACACACAGACTGTGGTCTTATCCAATGAGGTCCTTGGAAGAAATTCCAGGGACAAGGAGCATCATGGTCATCCATCACCCTGCCCTGGACTTTATTATGAGCAAGAACCAATCAGTAGAAGCTAAAAGGTAGATTTCCACTGCAGAGAAGGGAAAACTTTCCAACAATGAGAATGGGCTTCCGAAAGAGGTAGTGAGCTCCTTGTCAGTGGAGGTATTCAAGCAAAGGTTGGAAAGCTCTTAGCAGAGCATCTAAACATTCAGTGCTCTGAATGACACTGAAGGTGAGAATCTATGAATTGCTTTAATTCAATGCTGCTGTCCCTCAAACAGGGTTGGAACCCCTTTTAGAACTTCCCATGGGTTCAATAGCACATGCCTTTGAGTAGATCCAAAAGTCATGGCTCTTCAACCAATGAGGGTGGATTTAATTGAGAGCAAAGAGCTTTTGGGTTGCTTAGCACCAAGTCTGGTGACTGAATGGGAGGAGTTAAATCAGACAGCCTAGTTCTGTGCTATAAAGTAACAAGTCTGTTTCCCTGCTTGCTTGGTAAATTCACTCTGGGGGGCAAGTCATACTCTAAACTGCCTAGTCCTGTTCATCAAATGCCACCTTTGTTCCATCTCTTTCATTAGGCCAGAAACCCTGAAAAGACACAGACCATGTCTAAAAAACCCTCCAGGGCCCTCCCCACGGCCCAGCACAGTCCCGAGCATAGAGCGAGCACTAAACACAGTTGCACTCACTGGTGGTTTCTATATACTCAGGGCCCCGGGGGACCCAGGCTGTATTTCAACCTCCAATAGGCTGCCTTCAGCATTATAATCCAGCAGCAGCAGGCAGACCCATCCCAGCAGGGCTGACCTAATCCAAGTCAGATATTCCTTCCTCAAAGATTCCTTGTAAGCCAAGTTACGCAAAACAAAACACAGATAAGGGCGGGGGAAGCCCAGACATTTTACCCAGTGTGTTTTGCAGCTCAAGTCCACAGAAAGACTGGTTGGACATCTTCCTTTATTTAGCTCACCTGTGCCTCAGTTTACCTTTCATTGTCTGGCCCTGTTTCCCAGTCATGGCTCACTCAAAGCAGTAGGACAAGTGGAAGGAGGAGGCCACTGTGGTCACTGGAGGTCCTAACACATTAGGGGGTTTCTTGGATACCTCAAACAGATCATGGACTCCCTGAGCTAAGATAATCACCCAGGCTCAAAACAAAGCCACATACTGGCTTTGGCCAGAATGTTCTCATGCACTGCATAGACAGAGAGGCTCCAGTCAAGGCCTTTGGGAAAACAAACAAAAAAACATAACTAGATATTTCCACTGCAGCAGAGAGAGGGGAAAAGGACAATAGCACTACACTGGGCCAACATGGACCCAACATTCTCCTAAGTTTTCATGACTATGGTAGTCAGGTATGGGATGGGGAACATGGAGGTGGCTCCCCAAGATGGGCGAATAATCGGGCTTAGATCCCTAGTGGAGCCGCTTGGCTATGTTATCCACTCAGGTCACCATAAAGAGACTCTACTCCAACTCAAAGCAGGAGGAAATTTGGGCTTCAACCTTAGTCAAGTCCTCTTTGAAAATCAAACAAGACCATGATATTAACCAACCCTTGACTGCATAATGTGCCAAGTCATCTGCAAATATTTGGGGGCAATAAACCAGAGGGGAAGGAGGATTCATCTTCATCTGGGTTCTTGGCAGAGAATTCCCTGAACTGCTGCCAGGTATGCCTTACCCTCTTGGTGGCCAGCCCCACAGTAGAGACAATGCACCATGCCACTGTGGGTCACTGGGCCAGCCTGGAGAGCATCCACCTCACCCCAGGCTCAGTAGGAAGGCTTCCCTGGAGAAGGTGAACCATCCACCCACAAAAATGTAGGAACACAAGGACCTGCCCCTGCGAGTGTCCTGTTCTAATTTTGGGGACACAGAGACATCCCAAATGTCCACCAGTCTCACAAATCACTTCCTCTGAGCCTCTGTGGGCACCCACAAAACTGAGCTTTTGGACCAGTGAACCTGGGGACCAGGGCTAGACGACGGCGACCTCCTCAGTGTGTACTCCTGGGCACTGTGTCAATTTCACATCAACCATCAAAGACCATATCTAGAGGTGTTCCATCAAAAGTCAGAGTTGTCCAGATGATCCCACAATTCCCTACACATACAACACACAATGCCCTCACAGGCCCCCATAAATCACCATCCCTCAAGTGCCACCATGTTTTAACTGTAGGTATACCTCCTCCCTGATGTTCACACAGGCCCAGGTAGCCCACCCCAAGTCGCCCCAGCACAACACAAAAATGTAGCATGCACACACCACAACCCACTCCCCTACCAAGTCAGAGCCAGGGTGCCTCCTGACCCCCAAACCCCAGACTCACCGCTGGAGCAGTCGGGCCCTCCCCAGCCAGGCTCGCAGTGGCAGGTGTCCGGGGAAACGCAGCGGCCGTGCACACACTCCTCCGTACACAGGGCTGAGGGGACATGGGGAGAGGGAGGAAGAACCAGAACAAACAGTGAAAACCAACCATCTGGTCAAGGAGCATAATCCATTTTGTCACAACTCCCTGGTGCCCAGGGATGCTTAGAACGCATGACTGGCTTGGGGGGGAAAATCAAGCTACACCTGACCTGAGTTATTTAATTAACTCCAGAATGGATCCTACAAGAGTACATTTCATCCCAGCTCATTTCTTAAAATGAAACCCAAGCTGGAGAAGCGGTAACTCCGTTGGCTTTTTGAGAACATTTCCTGCAACGTTTAACAACAGAGACCGCCGCAAACCTCAGCTCCTAAATCCACACCCCTGCTCTCTTTCCCCATCTGCTTAGGAAATGATCTGTCCCTTGTATCTTCTGCTTTCCCTAGTATCCTTCTGAAAAGGCCCCAAAATGTATCAGCCTGCCTGAAAAGAAGGTCCCTTCTCACTTTTCCCCCCACCTTTCTGCCCTCCTCCCCAAATGTCCCTATTTTGGGGCTCTCAAATGTCAGCAAATCTGCAAAGTACACACATGCAGAGGAAAAAAGCAACAGCTAATTATAAGAAAGTAATTAAGAGAGACATCCACGATGATGATAATTGTAATTAGAAAGTGCCTGGCAATTTCTTATCACGCAGTTGAATGCTGCAGCCTCCTGAGGTGGGAGGTTACAGCGGCAGGCAGTTTGCCTCAACCACTCTGGTGCTGAGGCTTATTGACAGCAGTTTGAGGAAGGGAAATTATTTTTCTCTTTCTTTGACAGAATCCACATTTCCTCAAGGTCATCTTTTGCTCCTGAAAGATCTGCCCCACCATCTAAGCCATCAGTGAAGGATTACAGAAAGCCCCCATGTGCCACCTCCACCAAGTCTGAAAGCTCAGGGAATCAGCAGTTACCATCAACCCTGTCAATTCCTTAGACCAGATCTAGATGGTTTTTTGTTTTGTTTTGTTTTTCCCGAAAGCAAGAGACTTCTCTCTGCCCAGTACTGGCCTGGGCTAGGGGAGCAGATGGTCCCCTTTGATGGCCTCCCACCCACTGCCTGGCCTAAATGCCCACTGGGAAGATGCTGTTGGGTTAAACAACAAGGCTCATTTTATGGCTGATGTGGTCCTCTGGCCCCTCCTAAGCACAGAAACTGACCCCGAAGCTGCTGCCTTAGCTTTGCCCAGGCCCCAGGCAAGGTAGACCCCAGAAGAGCCATTTCACATGCCCCACTGGTCAGTGGTCTGGAGTCAGCCTGTCCACTGCAAGCCTGGGTTGTGGTGTGTCTGGAGATCCCTAGTACCTGGGTCCTTCTGATTGCCACAGGTAGCCTTCGGGGAGGGTTGTGGTGCTTCCCCAGTGCTGGAGCCCCGCTCGCTTGCAGCCCTGAGAAGCGGCTAACCCAGTGCTGGAGAACCCAGTGGGCCTTGACCCCGGGGAACAGCTCCACTTAGAACCACAATGTGCTGCTCACGCGGCAGCTAGCAAGACTGTCAGTCCTGCTGCCCGGGCTCCCCCTGTTCTCACTGGACTTTCCAAACAAGCTCAAATGGGTCAGTGCCCCCAGGACACACCAGTGTCCATCCTCTGGCTCCCCATGGGATGCCAGCCCCTCAGCCCAGCCAGCTCCCAGCCCTGGCCTCAGCTGCTCCCTGTCCCTCATCCCCACCCCCACAGGCTGAGGTCCCTGCATGCTCCACAGCTGGGCTCATCCGTGTTACAGCTTGTCACATTAGCTCACTAACACCGCCAACTGTTTTCTGACTGCAGAGAGCAGGACCTTGATCCCTGGGGTCTCTGCCGAGGGCGGTGAAATCAAGCAGTGACTTGCAACCTGCCGAGTGTCAGGACTCGAAGAGACTTAAGAGAAAATCATGTCCTGGCCCATTGTTTTATACCTGGAGAAGCTGAGGCCTGAGCGTTCATGGCCCCTTGGGCAGTGTGTGGCCTCTCAGACAGGGAGGAAGGAGCTTGGGGTGGCTCCTGGAGCTAGAGGCCTCTGAAGGTGGAGAGAGCCCAAGGCTGTGGGGACTTCACATTTTGCCCAGGCTGTATCCAGCCTCCCCCGCCCACATGGCTCAGGGGCTGGCGGTGGGGCCGTTCCAGAGGGAACAGCAGAGGGGTGCTGTGACAGGCCCACAAGAAGGTCAGTGGTGACCAGAGACAGAGGGTGGAGGAGCTGCTTCAACATGCTCAGCACCACACAGGTTAGGGATAGGGTGGAGGGCAGGTAATTTGAGAAGGAAGACCACCCAATGACCAGCCTGCCCCCTGCTCCCGATCCTAGAGACCCAGCCCATCTGCCTACCACCTGTGCCTTCTCCAAGCTGGGGGGGAACAGCCTTCCGGTGCTCTGAGCAAGCTCCACACTGCACTGCCTTTTCCCTTGGTCACTTCCCAAAGCCCCAGAGACCAGCAGGACAGTCTGCAGAACACCGCCCCCCACACTGCAGACACAGACCTCAGCTCAGTCCTGTATCCAGCCCCTAGACCCTGGTAAGGACTCTGCTAAGGCAGCAGCTTCGGGGTCAGTTTCTGTGCTACTCATGGAGGACGGTCATCCCACAGTCCCTTAGCTTGACCCCAGGGATGCAGGTGCATCTCCCTCCTTTCCTCATCGTCCTGGTATTTTGCCTGCACTATTTGCTTGTCAAAACCTCAATCCATTCATATTTCGTAAGTGTTGTTTGAAGCATGAAATATTGATAGCAAATACCCGAGGCTCAGGCTGCCGTATTTGGCAATTGGGCCACCGCGTGTTTGGACACCTGGTGGGGAGGGGCTGGGGGTGCTGCGGGGAGAGTCTCCTAGGGAGGATGGAGGTGGCCATCCCTGGCGCTGGGGCGGCTGACTCCTATGCCAGCAGCTGGCAGCCCATCTCCAGAGGCCTGGGGTTACTCAGCTGCTGCTCCTAGAGCGTGTGGGTGCCCTAAGCTCTTTCAGACCACAGACCCCCATGCCAGTGACTGCCTGGGAGGGGTTGGGTTAGGGTGCTGCCACCCTGGCCTCCTTCTTGGAAACTTACAACTCTAAACAGAGTGTTTTGTCAAGTCCCTCTTCACACTGCTGCACATCCATCTGCTGTCGTGGACAGGGCAGCTGGTTGGGCTCTGACAGCACCAGCCGTGTGATGGGGCCAGCCACTCACCCTCTCCTGGCCCCACCAAGAAATATGAACTGCACTCTCACCACCCTGCTTCAGTCCTGCTTCTGACCTCCCAGTGTGCTAGAAGCCTTCTAGCGAGACTCCATCTCAAAAAACTACAAAAAAAAAAAAAAAAATGCCATCTGTTTCTTGGTTGGGACTCTAACTGGTCCAGGAGCCAAGCCGAGGTTTGCACCCACACGTGTGATGCCAAAAGCCTGCTCGCACAGGGTAAGATGAGTAAGATCCAGCAGCAGATCTGTCACTGACTTGCTGTGAGAACTTAGCTCATCTCCCTCCCTCCTCAGGGTCTGTTTGTCTGTCTGTGAAATGAAAGGGTTGGATGACAGGATCTAAATGTTCCCTCCAGCTCTGGGAGTAAAAGCCTCCATGATAGCAACTGCCAACTTCTTTGGCTGACTGATTCAAGCTAAGTTTGAGAGGAATTTGTTCCACAAATGCAGGATAGAGCTTGGCCCGGGAACAAACGTGTTCAGAGGTACAGATGGAAGGCCAGGGCATCAGTTCTGGGGCAGCAGGTGAGCTTGCATAAGCAGGCCGGGACCCAGGACAGCGATCTTGGCACCAAGCAAAGGTGTGTGTGCGTCAGACTTGGGGTCTCCTCTGCAATCAAGCTGCTCAGATAACACTGGCCCTTCCCTAACCAAAGGTGGCCCCATCTGCTGTCCCCAGCTCATGGAAGCCCTCTGAATCAATTCTCCCTTCTATTGGGCCTCCACCCAAGATGACCCACAAGTCCCTGAGGTGCCTGTGGTCATATATTTTGCCTGGAAGTTTGCAAATGGTCTTACTAGTTAATGGAACTATAAAAATTACTTACATGAAAGGGTCAGGATAAATAAAGACAACTTCCACGCCCCCTGGCCAACTAGCCTGACATTCAGCTAAGATCCAAGAAGGCTGGGAGGTCAGGGAAAGGGTGGTAGCCTCCCAGAATCCTCCAGCATATCATCTCCAGAGCCACCCCCGAACCCAGTCTCCCCAGTGCTCCAAGGCACATTGATCAGTCTGCCATTAGCATTCTTGGCAAGAGGTCTCAGATCAGGCTGTCATTGGATTCAGCTTGGAAATAAAATGACCTACATCCACGTGGACCCAAGTGCCAATTCTGAGGTGACATGCTTAGCATGAGTGATTCTGCCATGCCCAAGGTCACACGGCATGTGTGTACGTATTAGTGTGTGTCTGTGTCTGTAGTGGGGCTCAGGGAGTCACCAAGGGGAATTCTAAAACACTTCATCAGATGTGTACCACTCATTCTTTACAGTTCCCAGCCCTCAGTCCCCTCCATAGCCAGGAAGAATAAAAATGGCTGGTCCTTTCCTCAGCCCACCTAGAGTTGGCTTTTAATTGCTGTGGCCACATTGGGCTTCCATATATGAAGAGACAATTATTGTTTTAACAAGCAGCACTTCCCCAGCAAGGCTGATAAGGTAGAAGGACATTAACGGCCAAACACTCTCCTGGGTTGCAGGACTGGGGCCTGCAGGGTGTGACTCCCACCCAACCTGGCCAAGAGCCACTCCCCATCCCTCCCACCCCTCCTTTTTCTTTTTTTTTTTTTTTTTTGATATGGAGTCTTGCTCTGGTGCAATCTCGGCTCACTGCAACCTCTGCCTCCCAGGTTCAAGTGATTCTCCTGCCTCAGCCTCCCGAGTAGCTGGGATTACAGGCACGCGCCACCAAGCCCGGCTAATCTTTTTGTATTTTTAGTAGAGACGGGGTTTCACCATGTTGGCCAGGCTGGTCTCGAACTCCTGACCTCAAGCGATCTGCCCACCTCAGCCTCCCAAAGTGCCGGGATTATAGGTGTGAGCCACCGCCCATCCTGCCACTCTCCTTTAATTTGGTGGTGCCCTTGCTGATTTGTATTCCAAGGCAGCAATGCATTAAAAGCCAAGGTCCCTGCTCTGCCACTCATTAGCTGCATGTCCTTGAGCAACCTCTCTGGTCCTGTTTCCCCTTCTGTAGAATGGCTGTTGACTTGGTTATTGCACAGAGTAAATGAGTTAACTCATGCAAAGCACCAAGTACCAGGGGTTAGTTATAACTGTTGCTTTCTTTTTAAAATGTTGCTGTTGTTATTAATATTCCTCTTCCCAGGACTGGGCTGGGGAGCTGGGGTACCATGGCCCCTGAGCATGCTCAGGCTCATTTCCAGCTCAGAGGATGATAGAATGGCCTGCGTTAGGCAGGGAGCGGGTGGGGAGGAAGGAGCCCTGGTAAAACTAGAAGGGCTGGGACTGGGAGTGGGGAAGGAGACACAGTCCAGAGTCAACTCACTGGTGAATGATCATCTACCAGGGCAGCACTGGGCATAGCCCTTTCCGTGTCTGGTCCTCAGAGAAGAGGAGCGTGGAATGAAAGGAGGCCCCAGTCCCACCTTCAGGCGCTTTGTCTCATGAAGCCCCAGTGGTTGCGCTTTGGGGGGGAAATGTGAGCTTGTACCCCAAGGTCCCCCTGCCCCCGTGCACGCTCTGCCCATTCATGCAGTACCATGTACATGTGCATTCACTCTACCAGTGTTTACCGGGCACCTCCTGTGGGCTGGGCTCTGTGGGCAGGGGTTAGATAGAGGAGTCCAAAATACAGAGAGGGCCAGGCCTTGCCCTGCCTCCTGGTCTTCTGGGCGGTGAATCCTCCCCCTACCTGCTCCTGACCCTTCCCCTAAAGAGCAGGGGCCTGGAGTGCCGCAGGGAGAATTCTCTCTCTCCGGCACCCCATAGAGAGCTGTCCAAAGAGGGACAAGGGCCGCACTTCAATTCCCACAGGCCAGGGTGTAAGGTCAGAGAACAGACCGGGAGCCAGGCTGTCGGGACTCAGGCTTGGATTCTGCTACTTCCCGGTTGCAAGCCGTGGGTTACTCAGGCAAGTTATTTAACCTCCCTCAGTTTTTTTCACCTGTGAAACATGGACAATGGTCCCTTACCTCACACATTCATTGCAAGACTAAATCATTAACACTTGTAAACTGCTGAGAACAATGCCTGGCACATGGGAACCTCACTATGTTTTTCAAAGTCATTCATTCCTCTGAGCAGTCACTCACTCCCAAAGCATTTATTAAGCACCTACTATGTGCCAGATGCTGTGCTGGGAATACCATAAGCAAATAAGTCACAGTTCCTTCTTTCGTGGTACCAACAACCTGATGGCAGGAAAGGGAGACGGCACCTGAATGAGTGAGTGAGCCACTGGATGGGTGGGTGGGTGGGTGGGTGAGTGGGTGAGTGAGCGAGCGTGTGGGTGGGTGGGTGAGTGAGTGGGTAGGTAGGTGAGCAAGCGTGTGAGCCAGTGAGTGAGTGGGTGAACAGGCGGGTGAGTGAGCCAGTGAGTGGGTGGTGGGTGGATGGGCACGTGGGTGGGTGGGTGAGCGGGTGAGCAGGCGGGTGAGTGAGCCAGTGAGTGGGTGATCCAGCGAGCAAGGGCACTGGAACATTACTGGTGCTGAAATCATAGCCAGTTCAGAGTGCAGGATGGGCCCTGAGAGAGTAGACACTTCTTCCACATGTCAGGGACAGGGGAAGACATAGGAAGAGCTTCACAGAGAAAGTGACACTTGTCTGTGTGACTCCTTCAGCCTCCTTCATCAGGCCCTCACTTCTCCAGCCTGCCGCTCCGGACGGCTGCCCTCTCATCTTTGGCACTGGAACTTCAGGTTGTGAATGAGCCCCTGCCCTCCCCACACTGGGCCTTCAAACAGCCTGGAACTCCATCTACAACCTGCATCTCCAGCTCTCCCACCACTTACTTGTGTACATTTCACATAAACTTGGATGTCACTTCCTCCAGGAAGCTTCCCCTGACTGCACTGCCCACCCACTCCCCACAGGCTGGATGAGGTCCTCTCACTGCTCCCACAGTATCTGGTTTGCCCCATAGGCCACAGCACTGACTTCTCTCTACTACTTGTCTGTCTTCCATACCTCCATGAAGGCAAAGAATGGGCTATGTCCCAGCACCTAGCATGATGCCCGGCACATGGCAGGTGTTCAATAAATATTAATACATCCTGAACAAATGAGTATCTGAATCTGCAGAGGCTCCCTCTCCTCTCATCAGGGCTCTAATTGTACTAACTTGAGCCATGCCCATCTGGCTGAAGGTGAATACATAATTAAGCTATAAGACCAGGGCAATGCTGAGCCCCAAATCCCTAGATGGCAAAATGCTCTTTAGAAAAATTCCAGTGACTCTGCATCAAAGCCTAGGCTCTGGCCTCCCCAGTCTGAAGCCCTGGGGGCCCTCTGTCATCAAATGCCAGTGTCAGATTACAAAATCCCCTGAGGACCTCCCTTGCAACGCTACTAATCGCCCCAGGGTATTAGCCTGCCTCACCTCAACATGGCTTAACTGTTAATAATTGTTTATCAATTAAAATTGTCAACTTGTCAGAACATTCCCATTGGGTTTCCACATAAAGCAATCACATCCAGCCACTGGGCCTGATAAAAGCTCCAGCATTGCAGTCAATTCCCTTAATCGATGCTTCGGGCCCCAGATCTGCTCGTGGCCGGCTCCTGGTACCCCAGCCTTCCTTGCTTTGCAAAGGATTTTCTCGGCCGAGCTGTTCGAACCACCAATGCTGTATCCCTGCAAGGAGCAACATCTTTGCTGTCTAGGTGGAAGTGGTACGATCTGTGCATGTCCTAGAGCAAGCAGAGCCATGACTAGGCTTCTCCATTCATCAAGCTGAGTTCCTGCACCTCATTTCCATGATGAAGACTAGGAGCTTGGCAATATTTATTTGCTGTTCTCTCTAACCATTTTAAACATTTTCTTTTTTTTTTTTTTTTTTGAGACAGGGTCTCACTCTGTCGCCCAGGCTGGAGCAGCCATCACAGCTCACTGTAACCTCCAACTCCTGGGCTCAAGCAATCCTCCTGCCTCAGCCTCCCAAATAGCTGGAACTATAGGCATGCACCACCACAATTAGCTAATTAAAAAAGTTTTTTTTGTAGAAACAGGGTCTTTCTCATATCAGATCCCAAGTTGCCTAAGCTGGCCTCAAACTCCTGGCCTCAAGCGATCCTCCTACCTCAGCCTTCCAAAATGCTAGAATTACAGGCATGAGCCAGCACACCCAGCCTAAACATTTTCTTTAGGTAGACAGGGAGGGGTCTTGTCCACCTCCCAACTCTATGCTTATACACCCAGGGTTCCTTCCCAGAACTGAAAACTTGTTTCCTTTGGCCCTTGGCCTAGCGGTACAGCTTTCTCTGCGTTATCATGCTGTACTGGATAATAAGAGCTGACACTCAGCACTTACTGTGTGCCACACACTGTTCCAAGCACCTTACATGAATTTATTCACCTAATCTTCCCAAGCCTTTTCACAAGTGGAAAGCACTGTTATTATCCCCTTTACACAAATGAGGAAACTGAGGCACAGAGGGAATTAACAATAGGGTTCCCCAGACCAAGTTCCATCCCAGCAGCAAATGAGAACTAGAATAGGAACTGAGTGGGACAGATGGCTGGATAGGGGATGAGGTGACCGCACACAGTGGGGGTCAGACCGGCAGCTGCAGCCATATCCCATCAGCTAAAATCTGTCCCTCCTCAACCTCCAGAGATGCCAGACACAGAAGCTTCCAGTGCAGCCTTGGAGCAGCTAAGTCTGCAGGCTACTGGCTATAACGGAATGGTTATTATGAGCGTGAAAATGACACCAGATGCCTGGGTTTGACTCCCCAGTTCTAGTGCTTCATTCCTGTGTGACCTTGGGCAAGTTACATAACCTCTCTGTGTCTCCATTTTCTGAGACACAGAGAATTGTCTGAGAATGTTAATAGTACCTACTTCATAGGATTGTGAGGATTAAATGAGTTAGTAATGAGGCCTAGCGTATAGTTTGTGCTATGTAAGTGTTAGCTATGTTGATGACAGTGGAGGAGGAGGAAGAGGGAAAGAGTAAGAGGAGGATGGGAGAGGAGAAGGCAAAGGAGGAACATGAGGAAGAGGAGTAGAATATTGTTATTTCTACTGCCAGCCGGTCAAGGTGGGGGTGGTCAGGGGCTGGTGAGGACAAAGCCCCATCATATTCTCTTGTGGCACAGGGGCTGCTACTCCTATTTTGTAGATGAGGAAAGGGAAACTCAGAAAGTAGAACAGCACATCGTAGTCTTTAGCTAGTTAAAGTGCAAGGCAGGGCTGCAACCCATGGTCCTTAAGCCTAAGCTAGAGCTTAGACACTTTACAGCACAGACCCCCAGCCAGACGTAGGGGCCCATTCTTTTAAACTTAAGGTCCTGGTGGATTTCACAGCCGCAGCTTTTTCTGCATCAGTGCCCTGGAAACCCAGCTCCACTGCTTCCTAGCTGTGGGTCCTTCGGCAGGTGATTTCACTCCTCTGAGTCTCAGCTGTACACATGTAGAGAGTGAAATGCATTACTGCAAAGTCACTGTAAGGATAAAATTAGATAACATGTGTGAAGGCCTGACACCAAAAATGGGAGCCCCTCCTTTGTCCCTCCCTCCCTTTGTGAAGGCAAATGTCCTCCAGGAAGGTCTTCATCTAGAATGTGCTCCACATGGGGCTGATGGGTCCCAACAAGCTTCGTTATCTTGTCTGGAGTTACAGCTTTCACAGTCTGGTCACTGTTAGCTCACCTTTCCCCTCTGCCCACCCCAGCCAAGCAGTTAAGTCTTTAGAAGAAACTGTGAAGGCCTGTGACAGCCTGTTTGGGGATGCAGTCTAGGAAGAAATGGCCCTGCCCTGGGAAAGCTTAGGAACCTCTTACCCTCTTACCATAGTTACCATGAAACTATGTACGTACACCATCTAGAAACAAGCCAAATGGCATTTCCAAGGATGTTTCATGATTCTTTTCTAATCACTTTGCCTCTCTTAAGTTCTTTCTCTAATTCATTAAGAATGGTAATTGCATTTTTCCATTTTAAACTTTTCCTTTGGTCTTGGGTCTCATTAACTTTGCCCATTGGCTTCAAAATGAGAAAAACCTCTGCTCTACAGTCACCACAATTTGAACTCATTTCATAGAAATTCAGAGCTGATAGGTCTTCTTACATTACAGATAAGAAGCTAAGACCCAAGGGAGGTGGAATCCTGCATCCATTCACACAGCAAGATGATGGCCGAGCAGGTGAATTCCATCTCTGAAAGCCAGGTCAGGGCGCACATCTAACAGCATCATGGGGGTTTCAAGCCTGAAGCGGGTGGCTCCCTGCTAGAGGCAAAACGCGAGTCCTCTCAACTTGGGTTCAGTGGCCTCCTCCTCCTCCTCTTCCTTGGAGCCAGAAGCCAGAGTTGGGGAGGCATCTCAGACAACAAATGCTGCTTAGTGCCCGGGTACTGCAGAAACCCCTCCAACCAAAACTGTCCCATCAGGGACCAGATGGCATTTGACTTTGGGGCTGAAGACCTCAACTAGATTCAAATCTGGCAACCCACAGAGAATGTAGCCCCAAACCTGGATCTTGCCTCAGGAGTTTCCATGCAGAGATGCAATTAAAAAACGGGGAGCAAAGGAGAAGCATGTGCTCTGATTAGGAAAAACAAGGGCGGCCACTCCTACAAAGCCACAGGGCTCGTCCTAGTGCTTGCACCTGCTCCTTGATTCTAGGGTCCAGATAGAAGGAGGAGGCCCAAATAAAGGAAAGGAAAAAGCAAGAGGAGGAGGAAGAGAGAGACAGAAAAGGGAGAAGGAGGCCCTGCCTGGCCTCCCTTCTGCAAGGCCGGGCCCTGCCATGGTCCCCTCCCCAGCATTAATCCTCTAGTAGTGCTTTATATAAGTCCATTGTGCAAGAAGATTAAAAGGGACAGGCAGAACAAAGCATTGGTCTCCCTAACAAAGGCCCCTCCACTTAGTAAATTAGGAGCTCTTTCTACCTGACACACTTTTAAAGGGAAATCTTCAATTACTATGTGCTGGCGGGGCAGGGCAACAAAAGGTCTGTCTGGTGACTTTATTCTCAAAGCCCTGAGCAGGCACTGAAATGGTTTTATGTAATAGAGATACTAATCTAGTCCATATAATTTTGAGAATCCTTTATGGAGGACTGAAGGATGTTTGAGCCCTGCGGCTGTTTCAGAGAGAATTTCTGCAGCTTATGCATTTACCTTGCCAAAAGTTTAGCTGAGCAAACAGAGTCCTCTAAATCACACTTGCTGTTGATTTCCTATCAGGCCTCCGCAGTTTGTTTGGTGGATGAAGCCCTGTGGATCAACAGAGGCCAAGGCTATAGTCCCTGCACCTGGCCACACCAAAGGGCTAGGGGCTGCCTTTCAGTTGCCGCCACTCTGGCTCCCAGATTTGGGAGTTTTCCTCTCTTTCCAGCCAATGCAGGATAAAGGCAACCAGAGGGGCAGTTCTCTGGCCAGGGGAGGGAGGAGGCCTCCCTGGCTTCTGCCCTTGGTTCCAGGTCTGCGTCCATTGTGGGAATGAGATTGATGGTGTCATTTGGCTCCCCTTCCCCACCCCATCAGGAGCAAAGAAGCGATTCTGGCTCCCTTGGTGACAATTCAGCACCACTGCTGCTTAAAAAGGGAAAGGAGAAAGGAGATGGGAAACAATGATGGGGAAGGTGACTCTCAGGAGAGTCTAGGGAGAAGTGAAGGCACAGCCTCTTCGAACATGCCAGCGTGCAGTTATGCACTTGGTACATAGGTTACTGGGGGCTTTTTCATGGACAGACATGTAATATACACATACAGCAAGTAATACATGCAGAACATACGGGTGCACACATGTGTAGGGGGAGCATTTTACACACAGCAAAACCCAGCTCTCAATATACATGTGTGTATGCAATAATAAACGCCATCACTTCCATAGCACCCTCCACATGCCTGGCACCATTCTGAGCTCTTTACATACCGTCACTTACTTAATCTTCCCAATGAGGCCACAAGGAAGGTACTATTTCTACCCTTGTTTACAGGTGAGTAAACTGAGGCACAGAGAAGCTAAGTAATTTGCCCAGAGTCACACAGGCAGTAGGCAGCAGTCTGGCTCTAGGGTCTATGCTGTTAACCTTGATATCAGCTGGTATAACACGCCTGCACAGACATCCCTCACGTGGATTGGGAGCAGCCTCCACACATGCAGACTCACAATCCCATATGCACCACGTGGACACACAGCCAGACATCAGAGCAGATATGCCCCTTCCTCAGAGGTCCAGACATATCACATCTGCAGCGTCAAATGAGGGATTCCAGTTCAACTAAGACTAGGGTAAAAGACACTGAATGGTAAAATATTAAAATATTCCTCTTCTCATTGGTAAATGGTTGCTTACCCTTCCAAGACCCCCACCTTCCTATCATCCAGCAACTACAGGGTTAACAGCTAGCCACACAGGGGACCTCCAGGACCTATTCCATTCTAACTTCGTGATAGGGGTGCCAAGCCTGTAGTTCAATGTTTATATTCCTACCCCCCCACCAGGTATAGACAGGGAGGGGATGGTGGGATGTGTGCCTGCAACGAGGGACCCTGCTCCTAGGCTCTCCACTGGGCTTGGCCACTGTCAGGTCAGCACAGCGTAAGGAGTGTCCAGCTCCCCAGCCAGTCCCCACCCCGCCTACTTGATGGACAGCTGAGCAAGGCTCTTGAAAGACAGGTCTCCAAAGACATTGAAGTAGCTACTGGGAGGCAGTGGGAGGCTCTGAGCTTGCATTGTCACCCTCACTGGGGCCACTCAGCAGCCCTCACTGAAGAGCAAGCATTAGAGGAGATTTGGGGACCGGCATGCCCATTGTCCACAAAAGCCCATTAGTGGCCAGGAGGGAGGAAGGCGCTCAGCAAACCAGGAGGCACTGCATGAGGAGCTCCGTCCCTCCCACGTCCCTCCAGTCACTGCTGCCCTACGTCCTGGAAGCTCAGCTTCTAACTCAGAGGTGGCCTCCTGGGTTCTGCGACAGTAAGCTCAGTCCCCACAGAGCCCCAGAGCAGGGTTCCCAGACTCTTCACACACATGGGACATGGGTACAGATACCAGAATTCTGGGAGAAGCTTTGGGAACCTGAGGTCCTGGAGGGGAGGATAAAAGAGGAGAGGAGCAGCCCTCAGACCAGGGACCTGTCTGAAGCAGGCCACCCTCCACTCTGGACTCTCAGGCCCTGCCCAGAGACTACTCCTTTGGGTATCCCTTGAGTGTACCCTGGAAAAGCCAGCCCACTCATCCTTGTCATCAACCAGCCTGCACGTTCCAGCACTGGGCCCTACAGATACAGAGGGGTCCCACATTCTGGGCCCTCAGGAGCTCATGGCCAGTGAGAGAAACAATAAACACATTGACAATGGGACCTGGAGTGAAAGGGGCTGCAATCAAGACAGGGCCGGGGCTGGGTAGGGAGGTGTCGAGTGGGGCTCCCAGAGAATGTTAGGCTCCACACTGAGTTTTCAAGGACCAGTATGCAAAAACTGCAAGAGCAGGATGGGGGTTCAAGGAGGCGAGGGCAGCCTGCACGAAGCCCCAGGGAATGAGAGAATGTGGAGAACTCAGGCAGCTGGGTGGGATGCAGAGGCTCAGCAGTGAGGTAACGGGACGTTGAGGAGCAAGACAGAGAATCACGAGTGTCATGTGAAGGACCCTGCGGAACGCACCTGGAGTGGGCAGCCCTGGACGGAGAGGAAGAAAATGCCAGAAACCACAGCAGTGGGGCAAGGCAGGAATAGAGTGGATTGAAGGTGCCTCCAATTTTCCAAGGCTATTTTCTGAGCCCCTACTATGTGCCTGGCACATCATGACCCACTGTAGACTCTACAGTGATCTGTGTTGAGTGTATAGTTCCATTGAGGAGACAGAAATTTTAAAAATGTATATTCTATGCCAGGTAGTGATAGTGCAAAGAAAAAAACAAAACAAAACAAAACAGGCTAAGAGGGTATAGAAAGATGTCAGGGAGGAGGCCGCCATTGCAGACGGGGCGGTCAGGGAAGCCTCTCTGAAACACAGTATTTGAGTGAAATGAGGGACGGGCCATCTGGTGCCGTGTGGCTATCTGGGGAAGAGCATTCCGGGCAGAGGGAACAGGAACTGCCAAGGCTTCCTGTGTACAGGAGGAGCCAGGAGGCCAGCGTGGGAGGCACAGAGTCAGCTGGGGCCAGGCTATGTGGGGCTTGCAGCATCAAGCAGCTAACGCCCAACAAGGACCAGACATCCAAGGTATGAATTCAGAAGATCAAAAGGGGGCCATTGGCAAGTTCCCGTAGAGAAACTGGCGCTTAGACTGGGCACAGGGTAGCCACTTCATGGGCTTCAGCTGGCCCAGGAAAACCCAGGAAGAGAGCTTACATAAATGCCTGACTGCTTCTGACACAACCAAAGGCTTCCCTTCAGAGGCCGCCCGGTGCAGATGGCAGAGGCTTAATTACATCCACAGCTGGTGATTAAGAAGCGATGCCTCAATCCTCCCACGGCTGTATCAGCACGAGGGGCCCTGCTGGCACTCACTGAGGGTGGAGGAAAGTCCTGCCAGAGAAAGCTAGAGCTTGGCCAGCAAAACCCAGCCGCCAGACCCCAGGTCTTCATCCCCTTGACCAAGTCCTTGAACACAGCCATCCATGGCTCACCCATCCCTGCACACCCCCCATAACTTGCCTTTCACCACCTTCACTGGTGGTCCATGCTGCTGCCCCCAGAGCAACCACTCCCTGATACCACCTCACGGCATCGCTTGCTACTTAAACCCCTTGTTGACCTCATGAGATTGTCCGGGCAGTGTCCTGACCCCTCTGCTGTCTCCCACGTCTCGCCTTTGCTCATGCTGCCCCTCTGCCAGACGAGGCCCTCCCTCACAAAAGTAAACCAAGAACAATAGCTAAGTTTTACTGAGCTCTTCACATGCCAGGCCCTCTACTAAATGCTTTATTTGTAGCAACTCATTGAATCTTCACAACAGCCCGAAGAGGTAGTTACCCAATGGGACTCTGTTTTACAGATGAGAAAGCCGAGGTATGGAGAGGCAAAACAACGTGCTCGGGGGCACACAGCTAGCAGAGGAAGTGAGTGGAGTCACTCTCCGGCCGGCTGAGGTCTGAAGCTCCATCTTACCCACTGCCCATCTCTTGTTCTCCTGGTGAATTCCTACTCATCTTTCAGACTCAGCTCAAAACTCACCTCCCTGAAGGGGTCTTTCTTGACCCCCATTCCTTCCATCCCTAGATAAAGCTAGTTGCCTCTCCCTAAGAGGTCTCTCAGTATTTGTGGTATGAGTCTATTTCACTCACTCACTAAATTCAGTGGTTTATCAGTACTCAGGGCTGGACACCGTGCCTGGCCCTGGGGAAAGCCTCGCAGAGACTTGATCCCTCTGCCTCAGGAACTCACTTCTGAGTGAGAGAGATGGACAGGCACAGCAGCTTCACAACCAGCAGGACAAGGGTGCAGAGGGGCCCCGGGGTGGCAGGGCCAAGGGAGAGACAGGATGGTGGGTACAGAGTACTTGTACCAACCACCGTGTGGCTCCCAAACAGGCGGAGTTCCAGGGTGGAACAGGAGGAATCCAACATAGGCATTAACAGAAGGGGGAATCCAGACAGACCACCAGGCATTGTGGGTGCCCAGACCATGAATTCACTCTTTCAACAATTATTTATTGAGGGCCTGACAAGCACTAACAAGTGGACAAGGACAACTCTTTGGTAGTTACATTTCTCATTGCAAATGAATTAATTGGTATCAGGGTTAAGCATCCGTATTTATGAGTTTGGTCAGTGTGAATCATCACCTGGGTCTCAGCTACTCTGAACATTCTAAATCAATGTTCTAAGCCCACGGACTGGGGACCAGACCACGGTGGCTGCATTAACTTTGACCTCTCAGTGGGGCTCTGTCGGGGGTGGACGGGCAGCTATGCCTTCCTTGCCTCCCTATTTAAACTGTGCTTATCCTTCTGTGATGGCATCTCTCCCGCTAGACCATGTGCTTCTTATTCATCTCTGCATCCCCAGGACCTAGTAGTACCTGCAAGGCATAGATATCTAATAATAATAAATGGTGATGGATGGATGTTGTTCTTCTAGGCAGCAAAGCTCAGCACCAGGTGTTGGTGACCCAAGAGAGTGGTGTCAACACTGTTTCTGGTGATGGCAGCAGGCAAGACTCCTTGGGGAGCCTCTTAGAGGTTTAGCAGGGAGTTTTTACCTAGCAGCTAGGGAGAGGCTGAGTTTCAGACAGGCCCCACCATGCTGCTTACACATATGCCCTTTCCTCCACCCCCCATGCCCTCTTGGCACCTTGATCCTGGCACCTGTTAGGACCCACACCTTAGCAAAAATTTGAGCTCAAACCAGTATAGCTTCAGTCCCCTCCTCCCCCTCCAAACCTCCTCCCCTGCCCTCTTGACTGACCCCACTTCTCTCTTCTGGCCACAGGTTTCTCCTACTCAGAGAAAACCCACTGTAGGAGGGGAAAGTACAGGATTTAAAGTCGCACTCATCTGAAATCTGGGCCTGCCACTTATCCATGTGGACAAGTCACTTAGCCTCTCTGAGCTTCAGTTTTCTGTCCTGTAAAAGGGCAGTAACAATAATGCTCACTTCTCCAGTCTACTGAGCAGATGATATACTGCAGGTGAAAGCGCCGGCTAAACCACCAGACATTACACAATTGTCATTATTATGGTCGAAAGTTAGCAATCACTCCAAGAAGGCATTGAATTAAATGTCACAGGGGTTGGTTATAAAGCCCCCATTCCACTTCTCTCTGTAAAACAGAGTCAGTTCCAGTGATATGGAGAAAGTGCTAATGCAGCTCCTCATGCTACAAAAGTGCTCCCAAAATACAGTAAAAATATGTTTAAATGCATAGCTGAGCTCTAAGGAGAGCACGGTAAATTTCTAAGTGTTGGGGAAAGGGGGAGTTTATAGGAGAGCAGAATGTGAGATGCTGAAGCCAAGGTAGCTCAGGGAACATTAGACCTGGCTACAGCCACCACCCCCCACCCCCAGCGCAGGCTGGGAGCCAGGGACTTCATACCCACTCAAGGGCAGACTTGGCCTTGGAAGTCGCCAGCTCCATGTAGGGGGGATTTGAACATGCTACCCACCAACCTAGAGATAAACAAGGTATTCTGGATGGAGAAAAAAAGTCTCCCACAAGAAACAAAAAGCCAGGATAGGGGAACAGGCAGTGACTGCTGAATGGGTATGGGGTCTCCTTTAGGGGTGATTAGATAGAGGTGATATTTGCACATCGTGAATATACTAAATGCCACTGAATTGCACACTTTAAAATGATTTTATGGTATGTGAAATTCACATCAATTAAGAGAAAAAACACCCCAAGCCTTTACCAAACACAGCATAAAATCCCAAATCAGGCTACCAAAGTAAAGGGTGATCTTGAACCGGGGGAAACCATTAGAGTGCCCGACAAGAAAATGTAAAACTAATGTGTAGGGCCGCTGAACAATTTGGGGCATAAGGGAGGGAAGAAAGGGCTAATAGTTAAAAAAAAAAAAAAAAGTACAACCTGTACAAGGAAACAATCTGCCATAATGGAGAATCAGCAGGCTCCATGAACAGGAGAATTGATACTCTAGGAACTTGAGCTAATAGAACTAATCGCTCGAGATAAAACTATCTGAAAGAGACTATAAAAGAAATATGTTTAAAATAATTAAAGCAATAAAAGAAGGAATGGAATTCATAATGAAAGAATAGGACACGACAGAAAAAGCACAACATATCCGAAAAAGAACCAATGGCACTCCTAGAAATGAAAAAAGAAACTGAAATTAAGACCACACCAGACAGGTTAATTAGCAGAACCACAGCATCTAATAAATGGATCTAAGGAAAATGTCCAAGGTGCAGCATGGAGAGATAAAGAGACTGAAAATGAGAACTTAGGAGAGACAGAAGATGGAATACGAGGATCCAACATATTGGAGCTCCAACAGGAGAAATTAAGAGAATGGAAGAAAGGAGATTTTTGAAGAGGTGTGGTTGGCAATTTTCCAGAATTGATGAAGGACATGAATCCTTAGCTCAAAGATGATATATACCTCTGAGAAGCAAAGAGTATAAAACAAACAAATAAAAACCCCCAGAAACTCCACACCCAGACACATCCTAGGGAAACTGCAGGGCAGGCAGTGCAAGACAAAGTCCAGAACACAATGGAACACCACTTCTCAAACTGTTGGAAGAAAATGACTGAAAGCCTAGAATGTCACAGGCAGCTTAACTATCATTCAAGAGCAAAGGCAAAATCAAAGCATAAGACAAATAAAGCATAGGAGCATTGGTAACTCATAGACCTTCCCTGAAAGAACTAAAGAACTTTCAAGAAGAATGAGGCTGAACCTAGGAGAGTGATGCAAGAGATGATGAGCAAAGGAATTAGGAAACATAGGAATTCGATTTAAATTTAAACAATAATTGTGCAAAGCAACAGCAATAATGAAACAGGAGTACATAATTTGGCATAGAGTTGACGTGTCGAATTTACTGAATTAAATCTTACACTGCCTGACCCCCTGCCCAACCCCCCACCAGAATCCTCTCCCCTCAACCAGAGTCCACCCGTGAGGCCAGTCTCCCAGACCCTCAGCTGCTGGCTCCCTCGGACACCATGTGCAGACCACCTCCTAGGGTTGGCACAGTCCCTTTCCCTGGGGACAACCTATGCTCCCCAAGCCAGCCGGGCCCATCAGCTGCATACGTGCCTGGAGTTTCTGGTGGATCCCTCCACTTCTGGATTTCCTGAAAACCATACTGCAGAGGGTGGCCTCTGGCATTCCAAGCCACCACTGAAAGGGCCAGAAGATTTCACCTGGAAGCTTGAGGGAGTTCATTTGCCGGGGGGAAACTATGTCGACCAAAAGGAAACAGGAGACGGGGAATTGGGCAGATAGACTCCCCCTCCTTGCCCGCTGCAGTGAGGCATGCTTTCTCCCTGCTGCCGCCCGCAGCAGAAGCCCTGAGTACTTAGGGGATGCACCTGCTGGGCCTCTTTGTAACAGATTCGCAAACTGAGTCAGTAAAGAAACCCTTGGCTCACGCCTGTAATCCCAGCACTTTGGGAGGCCGAGGCGGGTGGATCACGAGGTCAGGAGATCGAGACCACAGTGAAACCCCGTCTCTACTAAAAATACAAAAAATTAGCCAGGTGCGGTGTCGGGCGCCTGTAGTCCCAGCTATTCTGGAGGTTGAGGCAGGAGAATGGTGTGAACCCGGGAGGCGGAGCTTGCAGTGAGCCGAGATTGCACCACTGCACTCCAGCCTGGGCGACAGAGCGAAACTCTGTCTCAAAAAAAAAAAAGAAAAAGAAACCGTTGCCTAGTGGTTCTCAAGTGTAGTTCCCATCCATCAGGATCACCTGGGAACTTGTTAGAAATGCAAATTCTTGGGCCCCACCTCAAATCTTCTGAATCAGAGACTCTGGGACTGGGGCCCAGCAGTCTGTGGTATAACAAGTCCCCCAGGTGATTCTGGTTCGGCAGCTCACGTTTGAGAACCGCTGGAGTCAAGCACACAGAACCTGTCTCATATTGTTATTAAGTGCTTACCAAAGATACATTCGAATGAGTTGTGGTTTGTGAGCACCGTGGCCATCTGTGTGGGACTTGTGATAGCAACTAATACTGCTCACTAAATGTTTCTGATCCTCTCTGCCTTCAAGACTAATTAGAGCCCTCTTCTCTCTGCCACAGCAACTAGCAACATTCCAGAGAGTTGCTGCTCCATCAGCCTAGGACCTGGGGTGAGGCTGACAAGGAGCAGGCCTTAGCTAGCCCACGGCGGACACCTAATATGAAGAAGAAATTAAACTTCACTGTTTCAAGCCACTGGGATTTGGACGTTGTCTGTTACCGCAGCAAAACTCAGTATGCTCATAACTCAGTCCTGTATCATCTGGTTTGATACAAGACTAATATTTTCAAAGAACAGAGCTTCCCAAAATGCCTCAAACTCTACTACATATGTGAAAGTCTGCTTCTGCAAGACATAAAACTAGCTCCATCTGCAGAGGCAAAAATGCCTCTGTCCTGAAAGAAGGAAGAAAGGGAAGCTTGGAGGGAGGGAGGAAGGCAGGCAGGCACTTCTGCCCAGTGATCTCTAGGAAATATTTCATACCTGGTGACCAAAGTGGGCCAGGACTCCGCTGTAGCTGTAGATAATGGAAGCGGAAAGAGGTATGAGTTGGGCAGGGGTGGGTGGGAACCTCTGGTACGGATGGTTTCAGGAGGGCTCCCAGATGAGAATGGCAGTTCAAAGGCAGACGAAATTGTACAGAGAGGAGAAAAACAGTGCCCCCCTGCATCTGTATTGAGCTCTGTGTTTTCCAGGACACTCTGGGTCCCTGTTCCATCTCTTCCTCCTTCCACACACAGGGATGGTCCGTCCTATGTCACCGCTGCTCCACAGAGGCAAAGGACTGGCCCAAGATTGCAGAGCAAGTTGGTGGCTGAGTCAGCCAAGGCTTTCACGCCCGGGCCTGCTCCTTGTCAGCCTGCAAGAAACAAGGCTCCCAGAAGGTGACTCTGAAGGGAAGATGACATCCTCCCGCCCTGCCCAGGGCACAGGTGATGTTCTTGTGCAGGATCCAGAGAACTCTTGGCATCCGATGGGTTCTCACCAGGTTCTGGTGAAGTTGGAGGTTCTCTGGCCTCTGAGCGATCTGGAGAGACAAGTCGCAGGGCAGGGCTGCAGGCACCAGCCCCTGAATGCTCCCAGGCTCACAAGTCTCCCATCTGTCCCCCAGTGCCCTGGCATCATTCTTCACCCTCTCACTACCATTTCTCCCTCTCACAAGCTCCCTCACCCTGGGGTCTCCATTCTCTCATGGGCAAGTGCCAAAGCCCATGTGGGGCCAGTTGGTGCCCCCTCCCTTTCCTCCCATCACAATAAACAAGAACAGGAGGATGCTGGTAACAGCTGACACCAGCCTCTTCAGATTTCCTATGTTAAAGTCTCAAGCTGCAGCACCTGAGACACGCCCTTATTTGGAGATAGGGTCTTAAAAGGCAATCAAGGGTCTTAAACAGCTGACACCAGCCTCTTCAGATTTCCTATGTTAAAGTCTCAAGCCGCAGCACCTGAGACACGCCCTTATTTGGAGATAGGGTCTTAAAAGGTAATCAAGTTAAAATGAGGTCATTAGAGTGAGCTCTAATCCACTATGACGTGTGTGCTCATAACAAGGAAATGTGAAGCCACGGGAAGAACACCATGTGACGATCAGAGTCCTGCCGTTGCAGCCAGGAAACTACCAGAAGCAAGGAGAGAGGCTGGAACAGACCCTTCGCCCAGCCCCGGAAGGAAGCAGCCCTGCCAACACCTGGATCTCAGACTTCTGAGCCCCAGAACTGTGAGACGATAAACCGCTGCCGGTGAAGCCGCCCAGCCTGTGGTACTTTGTAATAGCCACCCTAGACAATTGACACACCCAACCCAGCCACCTGCACCTCCCGCTGCAGCCCAGGTCTGCCCTCTGGGGTCTGGCCAGCCTCCTCACCGCCCACCTCCATGCCTTTGCTGATGGGGTTCCCTCTCCCACCCACCCCTGACGGCGTCATTGCAACCCTCAAGGTGGAGCTCAAGGCCCCGTGAAGCAGGTGGCAGCATTCTCTCCTGCCGCGCTTGACTGTCTCTGTCTAGCCTTTTTCACATCCAGTCTCTGGGCTGTTATGGAATGATTTTACTGAGTGTTAGTCCCGCCTTCCCGTCATGAAAGTAGATTCCACAAGGGCAGGGGCTATTTGTATTTCTAACTCTTCTCTTCTATCTCGTAGCACAGCACTGTGGGTGGGCCATAGTAGGTGCTTAATAAATACTGGCTTGAAACACCTTTCTAGTACACCCTGTAGCATACTCTAAGTCCCCTCCTTTGACTAGGCTGGAAACTCCTTGAAGGCAGCAACTATCCATCATCTGTATCTATGCCCCTGCATCTTGCGTAGCAAGAAGTAACAAATACATGCTGCATGGGTAACATGAACATGTGGTAACGTTACCATGCAACAAGGACCCTGTAAGGGTTTCAGGGGATCCATGAACCCAATGAACCCATGAACTCAATGCAAAGGACTTTGTGTGTTGGTATGTTTATATAGGTACTATGCATTTTCCCAGGGACAGTGTCCATGGGCCTCTTTGAGCAACTAAAAGCCAGGACTCAAACAATGTGGAGCACCAATGCCATGGAGGAGGGAACTGACATTTACTCAACCCCCACTCTGTGCCTGGTGAGTGCAGGTGTTACTACTGCCATTTTACATGAATGAAAACTGAGGTTCAGAGAGGTAAAGCCTTGCCTAGGTTCGTGAAGAGACAAGCAGCCTGCCCAAGCCATCCAAGTGCAGAGACTCTGGAGCCAGACAGCCTGGATTCAAATCCAAGTTCTGCCACTTTCCAGATGTGTGATCTTGGGCAAATTACAGAAGCTCTATGACTCAGTTTCCCCATCTGTCAAATGAGAGAAATAAGGATACCTTCCTCATAGGGCTGTTGGGAGCAGTAGATGGATCAGCGTATGTAAAGTGATCAGAATGGTGCCTGGCATGTGGCAGGTGCTGGGAAGATGATGAAGATAAAGAGGAAGAAGCTGGCAGTGGCAGAGCAAGGATCAAACCCAGACCCCTGTGATTCTGTGTCATTACTACCAGCACCTAGGGTGCCACACATCCCATCTCCCTGCCAGAACTCTCCTGTCCCCTCCTAGAAGTCTTTCATCCTGAAAGTGGCTTTTTGAGCTTGATTTCCTGGTGGACCGTCCTAGGGTCACCTGGCCAGAAGGTAGTACCCAGTGGTTACATAAGGAGTAAGTCGGAAGGTATAAACTGCCCTTGCCAGTCAGCAAGACTGGGCCTCCTGTGCAATCAGGACGCTTAGCACTTCTGCCCTGCTCTTCATTTTCCAAGAGCTTTGCCACCGTTCACTAATGGAAATTAGAAAGGAAATGTGCTCGTCCATTCCTGGATCTCTGCGCTGACGTCCAAACTCCCTTCATAATTTCCCTGAGTCCATCACTGGGCCCTGAGCTTGCGCGGGCCGCTTACATCTGTCCCTGAGGCTTTGTGAGTCCCGTGTCCTACCCCTGGTCTCATTTCGCACTACTCCATACAGACAGAGCAGCAGCAGGAAAGCCTTAGTACTGATCTCACATCTACACCTGGGTCTCAGTTACCCCATCCCAGGTGAGGTACTGACCAAGGCCTCATCCTAGCTCAGTCCTCTGCCCTGCCCCTGAGGAACGGCCTTTTAGGTGAACTGCTTTGTATCTTTCCTACAAAACCATCACTACCGAACCCATTGGAGGGTACATTTTTCATTCATTCTTGTAATGCAATTAGAATTGAGTTTCTCCAGCATTGGGGGAGATGTAACAACAGTAGGAGAAAATTGTCATTTTATTCCCAACATCAACACACCCACTCTGCCCAAATTTTCCCTCTGGTGCGAACTCTCTCTACCCACTCGAATGGCAAAGAGAATACTAACAAGGAAAATTGCTCTCCAAATGAAGAGGCAGAAGCTTTGGGGGTGGAATCTCTTCTCAGTCATTAAACGAGGGCCTCCCAGCTCCTCTGACACTCTCCTACAGTAGAGGGAACCTTCTAAGGCCCACTGGAAAGTCCACTGGCCCCATGTCACTGGGTCAGAGGTGAGTGGGGAAAGAGTCCCTTAGAACCCAACAGGGACCCTACGATCATCCTCCCAGAGAGATTAAGTGTCTTGCCGAAAGCCCCATAGCTAGGAAGCCCAGATCTACAGGCTCCTGCTCCGGGGTGCCTCCACTGCACCACACTGCTCTTCTCCCAGAGGGCCTGCAGCTGCCAGCAACTCAGCTCTTGTCTTTCTTAGGGGACACTAAGGCCTGCATTTTCTGAGCTGCTCTAAGCAAATAGGAAAAGAGGCAATGTTTGTCTTTCATGCACCCACCTCTTCTCCAATGTCCCCCAAATCCTTTTTGGAAATCCTCCCAGCTCCCGGAACCACTTCCTCATGGTCCATCTCATCTTTGCCCCCATCCTTTTCTTACTGTGGTTTTGACATCCAACAACTCAGCCTTCCTTCCTCCCTTTCCCATTTCCACCCATCCAACTGTCCATCTACATACCCATCCATCTCTCCTTCCATCCAGCAAAGCTGTCTTGAGCACCTGCACATCTTAACCCTGTGCCAGGCACCCAGCACTTCTTCTCCCTTGCTTCTCAGAGTGCCCACTCCAGAAGGAGCCACTTCTCCCCTATCCCCCATCAAGGCCTTGAACTCACGCACTTCCATCCACCCTGTAAGGAGGTTGATCTGATGGCCCAACCCTTGCTACTGTATTTGCACCAAACTCATTATTCCTTCTGAGCACTGGCAGCAGGCAGGGACTTCTGGAGCCATCTGGCTGAGGACTGCTGCCTAGGGGCCGTGGATATCAGCCCCACCTCCCCTCCCCTCCCCTCCTTTTGCCTCTCCTCCCTTCCCCACTGAGGGCAGAACAGCAGCAGCCCCTACATACGTATGCAGAAGTCTCCGCTCTCATAGTAGCCAGGGCAGCACTGGGACCTCCGCCGGTACATGGTCCGGAGGCCTCTCCGATACGCCGTCTTATAACTGATCCTAAGGCACAAGGGAGAAAGCCACTTGAAAGTATTGAAAATCAATCACTCCCATTTAGAATGATATTTGTGTTAAGCTATATTGAGGATGCCATTCAATAATTACTTTAAAATGCATGGCGACTTCAAATATGAAGGAACACAATAAAAAAATCAATAGTGGGATTTGGGCTGTTGTGATGCAGAATGTATTACTAACATGGCACTTACTAAACCTGCTGACTTTTCCCCAGTCACTTCTAAATAGAAGGGCTGCAGAAGATACTTTCTGGAGTGACATTGTGGAGGGCAACCATGAACTTCTCCTTAGTTCCTTAAAACACCCAGATTCTGGGCTTGAAGAGCCCACGGGGTGACCTGGATAGGAGTCAGGCCCTGAGGGTTTCTGTGCCCGCCCTGTCCCACCCCTCTAACAAGCCAGACTGCTCACAGCCCCCTGAGTATTGGTCCCCCCACTTGAAGAACTGAGGCAGAGTCAGCAAAAGGACCCTTTGAGTCCAACTCAGTCCCGGAGAGTAGATTAATCTCCCCCACACCAAAAATAACACCTCCGGGAGAGGAGCCTCGCATGCCATCCCTGGGAAGGCCCTGAACTGACCCTTCACCCTGCAAAGGAAGAAGCTGAGGCCCATGGAGCTGCAGCACTGGGAGTCAGACATGTGGGTTCCAGACCTTACGCTGACACAAGTGTTAAGGCTTAGCCCCATGCCAGAGGGACTATGATCAACATCTCATTCCATTCCCTGGGGCAGGCACCATTACTATCCCCCTTTATTTTATTTCTTTCTCTTTTAGAGCTTTTATTCTATTTTTTTATGTTCCCCTCAACTCCCCACCCTTTGTTTTATGAATAAGAAAACTAAAATTAGTGAAGTTAGTGACCAGCACAGCTAATCAGGGTCAGAGCCAGGATTCAAACCTAGCTCACTCCAATTTCAAAGCTGCTAGGCTTAACCTACTGCCCTCTACCAGGTTTCACAGGGTAGATTCTGGCCTTACAGACGGCCACAGTGAAGGAGTAAGTAAAAAGAAATACTGAGTCCTTAGAAGGAAATCAAAATGGGGTATTCATAGGCAAAGCCCCTTCTTCACACGGACAGTCAAAGTGGAAGAGATTTGAAGTGGCTACTAGAGACTAGAGAGAGGAAGTGACCTGCCCAAGGTCATGGAGTGGAACTTGGACCCAACCCCAAGTCCTTGGGCCTTGAAGCCAGACCTCTTTCCACTTTTCCATCAGCACCCAAGGGGAGCTTGCCCTGTGGACTCTTCCTCAGCAGCACAGCAGCAGGGTCTGGTCATCAGAGACGCCTATAGGCTGCGTTCCATGGAGGGCCAGGCCAGCTTGGGAAGAGAGTCCTGTAATACAGGCTGGGACAACCCTCCCACACCTTAAAGCCCTCACTTCATAACAAATGACAGTGCAGAACTCTGGGGAAATCTGTGATATTTGGGAATGTCGTAAGCTAAGGTCATTCAACTTTGTCAAAAACCCATAATGGAAGGAAAGCTGGCCTCAAAGTAAAGCTACTTCCCTAGCACAGAAGGCAGCTCCCGACAGTTTCAGGGGTTGTATAAGCCTCTCAGGTAAAGAATAACTCAGAATCGACTCAGAGGTCATCCAGCCTGTTCTCCCCAGCAAACAGGATTATCCCCAAGCCCCGCAATGGGGGGTGGTCTGGGCATCATTAACGCCCCTCAGGAAAGAGTTGCCACCCAATTGTTTCTAGCTCACCCATCTTTGTTTGTCCCTGTGCAGTTTGGAAAGCAAGAGAGGGAAGCAAGGCCAGGTGCCAGGCTGCTCTCAGGGGAAGGATGCTGGGTTAAAACATGCCATTCCAAACCAAAGCTGACGGAGGGTGCAAGCTGTTAGCATGCACACTCTAGGTCATCAGGAAAGCTGCAAGGCAACTTAATAATTTAGCAAAATAATTCATGTTCTAGGAATACAGCCTATTTTAATAAGCAGCCACCACCTCAGTGGTGATGGATGGCAGCCCTAGCCTCCAAGTACCCAAAAGGGCCATACCCCTGAGCAAACTTGGCTCTCCCACTGGGTCTGCCAGGGCTTTGGGAGGAGCAGCACTACTATTTCTGCCTCTGTCTTTGACCAGGGCCGCAAGCAGCCAACTCTGGCAAAATTGGTGGGGTGAAAGAGAGCATTTAGTCCCACCTCCTCATTCCACAGTCAAATGCTAGAGGAAGGGGATGCAGTAATAGCTGAGTTGCTCCTATTGGACCACCTTTCTGCAAATAGCAACTATAAAATCTAGGGGGAAATATACAAAACAACTACCTGAAGGCACTTGAGGGAGGACAAAAGCAGGCTGATACTGGAGGCAAGTGGACATTTAAGAGAAGGGAATGGTCCTGGGCAAGTTAGCACAACAATACTCCGGGCAACTAAAATTCAGATAGAAAACACACAACCTTGCTCGTTTGAAGAACCACAGGACAAGGCCAGGGTGGACCCAGCAGGTAGCAGGTGAAAGGGGAAACCTTAAAAGGTGAGAGTCACAAAAAGGGAGCCCCAACATCTTTGTAAAATCCCTGCCCAAGCGTCTGGCCACTGATTTATCCTTATGGAGGACATATTCCAAGCAGCCTAGCTAATGCTAAAAATATTAAACTTTCAGAGTTTGGAATTTGTGTTTAGCCAAGTAACCAGGCCGCTAAAGAAATAAACAAACAACAACAAATTAATATTCTCTGGAGGAACATAATAGAATCCGGTCTCCCCATGTCATTCATAATGCTCACAATATAATCCAAGATTACTAGGCATATAAAGAAACACACTGGCCAGGCGTGGTGGCTCACACCTGTAATCCCAGCACTTTGGGAAGCTGAGGCGAGCAGATCACGAGGTCAGGAGTTCGAGACCAGCCTGGCCAATATGGCGAAACCCCATCTCTACTAAAAATACAAAAATTAGAAGGGTGTGGTGGTGGGTGCCTGTAATCCCAGCTTACTCAGGAGGCTGAGGCAGGAGAATTGCTTGAACCAGGAAGCCAGCGATTGCAGTGAACTGAGATCGCGCCACTGCACTCCAGCCTGGGCAACAGAGTGCGATTCTGTCAAAAAAAAAAAACTACCTATGCAGAAAAAAAAAAGCAATCAGTGAAGACCAACCCTGAGATGACCCAGATGTTGGAATTAGCAGGCAAGGATTTTAAAGCAGCAAGCATAGCTCTGCTCAATGTCTCACAGCCAGTTAGTAGCAAAACCTCAAAGAAAACCAGGACTTCGGCTTCTCAGCACAGAACGAGTTTTCTCATCTATGTTGCCGCCCAGCATGATTCCTGAATTATCCTCAAAGAGGAACTGGGCTCATAGGAGAAAGCAAAGGAGAAATCTGGAATCAACAGATATTCAGCAACTAGGAAAAGGGCCCACCCTGGGGTCTCTCCCTTACTACCTTATTTACCCTTCAACAGCTAGTCTCTCACCCTTCAAATAGTGTCGCTTCACATGTGGCTAATATCTCACACTTTCCTCCATTTTCCCCTGTATTTTTCAAAGTAATTTTCACACTCCTGACCTCCGTGGACACTGCAGGGTAGGTAGAACAAGGTTTATTAAGGCTTTTTTGTTTTGTTTTGTTTTGTTTTTTTGAGAGAGAGTCTCGCTCTGTCGCCCAGGCTGGAGTGCAGTGGCATGATCTCGGCTCACTGCAAGCTCCACCTGAATGGCGGAGTTCATGCCATTCTCTTGCCTCAGCCTCCCTAGTAGCTGGGACTACAGGCGCCCACCACCACGCCCGGCTAATTTTTTGTATTTTTAGTAGAGACGGGGTTTCACTGTGTTAGCCAGGATGATCTCGTTCTCCTGACCTTGTGATACGCCCACCTCGGCCTCCCAAAGTGCTGGGATTTCAGGCGTGAGCCACCGTGCCTGGCCAGATTATTAAGTTTGATGAGTACACTGGGAATCCCAAAATAAAGTGTCTTTCCCAGGGTCATCCCTTAAAGCATGTTGTTTCTTCCTTCCTCTTGCCTTTCCCTGAGTGACATGATAACATATAATCTGCAGGAGGGCTGCAGACAAGGGTACAAGACTGCCATGTGCAGTTGTTCATGTTGAGCACTGCTAAGGAAAGCCTGGTCAAGGTGCCGAGAGGTTGCTGAATTCTAGCCTGCACTCTGTTCTTCAAGCCAGATGCCCTGATATGGGGCTACATCTGCTCAGGGCAGGGGGCTGTCTTAGGTTGGGTTTTCCCCCAAAGGCAGACCCTAAGAAAAGGATTCAAGAACAAGTAGTTTATTTTGGAGGCAATCCTAGGAAGTACCGGTAGGAGGATGGAAAAGTGAGACAGGGAAGTAAAGGCAGCCAATCTATGGTATATTATTGAGCAGGTTACTTCTACGGCAACTGGGGTTCCATCACTGGAGACTTCTAGGATACATGTAGAACATGGCTAAGAGATGTTCCTGCCATCCCAAGTGTGAGGAAGTTGGGGTAGTTATCCACCACCTCCCCATCTCCCCATCCCTGGTTGAGGGATGCCCTCAAGAGCATTAACTCTCCAGCACTGCTGGCCTGTACTACCCGCAAGCTCTTTTGGCCAGAAAGAAGCCATCAGCAGAGCATCTTGGGTGTTCAGAGTGGAGGCGCGTGACAACATCTGCTCCAGCGGCCTTTTTCTAACTTGCACAGAGGCAAGCCCTGAGAGCCCAGTGCCTTTTCCCTGCCCCATCATCTGAGAGAGGTACTCACCGGTGCCTGGTGCACTTGAACCAGTTGAGGATGTCTGTGCATCGTGTGTAATAGATCTGATCGAAGGGGTGTGCATACGATTCCTGGACAGTCACAGCATAGCTGAGAACCAGATGGGAGATAGGAGCCATGATTAGCACTTGGGAAGCTGAGCTGATATTCCGCAGGGCATCTGAGCCCACAGCCCTGAGGCCAAGCTCCACAGCCAAGTGTCCGGAGGCTCTGACCTCCCCCCTCCCAACTATCCTCCCCCTGCCCTGAATGCCCTCATATTCCAGCCTCCCCGACCCCAGGTTGGCCCCAGGACATATTTACTGACCTTTGGCCCAGATCATTTTCTAAAATTCGAGTTCATTTGTTCATTTAACAGAGAATGAATAAAGAAGCGGGGGGTAGTTTTATTCTGTGTGGCTCTGGAAGGCAGAGCCAACAAGTTTAAAAATATGTGATTGTTCATATCTTTATGGTTTTCAAAGAACATGCTTGGAAGCTGGTCTTTGCAGCAACTCTGTGAAGTAAGTGGCCCCATTTTATAGAGGAAGAAACTAAGGTTCAGAGAAAAGTGACTTGCCCAGCTCACACTGCAGTATCAATAGGTGCTAACATTTATCGAGCACCCTGTGTCAAGTGTTTCAATACGTTTCATTCCTCACAATCTTAGGCAGGTGGAATTGTTCTCACTTTACAGACCAGGAAACTGAGCATCAGGGGGCATAAGTGGCTTCCACAAGCTCCCCCAGTTACCTTTTACTCTATTCTGCCTCTAGTATAGCTGGGGGTACATTGAGGATATGTCCCTGATAGAATTGGTTTTTGTCATCCTGCCTGTTAGCTGTAAACCTGGACCAGCAGGTGGAAGCCACAGGGAAGCAGATCTCAGCTTAACCAAAATAAGCCTTTCTACCTGCTGGCCCCTGGCAGGGGTTGCATGAAGTGTCATTCAAGCCAGGATGCTGAAGTGAGGACTCATGTTTCCTAAGCAGGCTGGAGAGAGGACCTCAGCTGAGATCTAAGGAATTAATTTCTATGTAGGCTGGTATTATTCAGTGTTTTTCCCAGAAGGCTCACTGACCTGGGCCAGATGGCCGGGTCCAGGCTGTAAAGCACGTCTGCCTTGCCTGAGGAAACTGCATTGGTTACCTTGCAAGGGGGCTGGGCAGGCCAGCTCCCCAAGTGGGTCCACGGTAGGCTCTCTGATGCCTGAAAGGTCAAAGGTCTGGCATCCAGAAGGAGGAGGCCAAAAGCAGTCAACAATGCTCAGAGGCCTGGGTGGTGGGAAATTCTGTTTCTCTGAAGCACTGGGGATGTAAGGAGGGCTCTCGGTGTGCCCCCACCAGCTGGCACACCTGAGATATGCCTCAGAGGCACACATCTAGGAAAAAAACAGCCCAAACCCTGTTTTAGCTCCAGGCTTGGGGAAACTGAGGCAACTCGAGCCTCACTCCAGCCACCCAGAGTCCTCTTCCAGCTCTGGGATCGCATGAATCTTTGCTCCAGCACATCTCCTGAATGCCTCACTTAGAGCAAGAGGATGAATGGGGAGCGTGCACGGGCCCTGGAATCCAAACGCGGAGGCAGTAGGAGGGCGAGTTTGAAGCCTGTTGCCTGTTAGCAGCATGCTCTTAGATGTGTTGTTTGACTCATATAAGCCTCTGTCTCCTCACCTGTAAGTCTAACCAGGTTGTGTGGTTACTGTGAGGATTAAAGGAGGGCAGTAATATTCTCTATCTCTCAGGGCAGTGGGAAAATAAAACGAGATACACTATACACGTAACATGCTTAAACAGTAAGTGTTTAATAGATGTTGACAGGCAATGATTCACTTCCCGTGCTAGGCACTGAAGGATCTTTCCTCCCTGACCAAGGTGGGGAGAGAGGGAGCAAGACCAACACACAGAATGGATTCCCCACCTTTGTTAAGCACTTTGGGGTCCAGCCTCCCTTTTCAGCCCTAACATAGACCTTGGATGCCCAGAGAGAAGCCCAGCAGAGGGCTGGAGGGGGCAGTCACAGGGCAGGGACCAGGCTTTGCAAGATGCCCTGGGCCGAACGAGTCTGGCAACCAGGCCTCGTACCAACTCCAAGTTCTCTGACCCGAAGTGTGTACCCCTGGTTTCATGGCTGGGTGGCTTAACACTGCTCATTTGCTAACATGCTAATGAGGGGCCAGATTAATCTTGGACGGCCAGGCTTTACTAGCCGGGAGAGGTCTTTACACTGGGTTTTATGGTGGAGGGGCATAATTAATGAGGAGCCGCCAGAAGCACTAATCCAGCTGAGAAATTCTCCCTAAGTGGTCTCCAGGGACCGGGGTGTGTTTCTGGAACAACACAGGCTAGATCCCTCCACATATAACTTACAATGGAGCTCAGCTGGAAAGACTGAGAAGAAGAAAGCACCTGGTGTCACCAGGCATCGCCCACAAGCCTTCCCCCTTGGGGCCGGAGAAGCCCAGAGAGTCCCCAGACCTCATTCCAGCTGTTAGGTTTCACTCCTTGTCTTCCCATCCAGGCTGTAACCCTGGCTGATAGCCTAAGAAGCCTGAAATGCCAGCTCAGTTCAGCTCAGTTCAGAATATTTTCACATTCCAAATGTATTCATGTTGGGCAGGTGTACAAAATTAGTGAGTACAAATGGGGCTCAGACAGAGAGAGAAGTCAGAGGGGGCCCTCCCTGTGGGGGACGCTCCCTGGAAGAGAGGGACTCTGGATAGAGCCACTAGGGCAGGCAGAGGTGAGCAGCTGCAAAGGAGGCACTCGAGGGGCTGTGAGGCAGCAGAGACAGTAGCAGGAAGCAGGTGTGTCTTAACAGGACCAGAGGGATGAAAGGGGTCCTCTGAGGCTGGAGTCCAAAACCCACAGAATAACGTGGGGCTCTTCCCGATACCTCTCTGACCCACTGGGAAATAAAGGTTTAAATTCACCAAAGCCAGAACGGGCAAGGGGCCTGAGTAACCTCAGAATCACGTAGAAAGCTTATGAAAAATGCAATATTGAATCAGCATCTCCGGGATAGGCCCCAGGAGACTTTTTCGAATGCACCTCCCGTGAGTCTGATGTGCACTAAGGTCCATGATAACCAGTTCCTGCAAAGCCACAGTTGTCAACAAGAAAAGACAGTAACTGACGCTTATGGCCCTCAAAGCACTTTTGTGAAACGGCTGCCCTTGATCCTCCAATGAGCCTGTGAGGCAAGGATAATGATTCTCCCCACTTTACAGAGGTGGAAGTAGGCTCAGAGCCGTTCAGAGACTTCCCCAGAGTCACACAGCTTAGAGGTGGAAAAATCCAGATTGGAATGAACTGAGGTCTTCTCATCACGGATCTTGTTTTCTTCCCACTTCACCAAAAAGGGACACACCACAGTACTGCCTTTTGCTCCATCCTCAACTTTGTTGGGACACCACACACAGGATCTGGTCTCCAGGGATCACACAAGTGCAGGCACTGTCCCTCTGCCTCCCAGCTGATCCTTCCTGACCCACAAGTGTCCAGGCTACCCCAGAGCCAGGTCCTGCCTGGCTGAGGTGCCTTTCCCTGCCCTAGGGCTGGGCTATCCACCCTCATGGGCATGAAGCACGGACCCCCGCTCCGAGTCCCCCGCCTTTCTTCTTCTACCATTCACTTCTCCCATAGGGCCCTCATCTTAATTTTATTCATTTGATTTATTAACATGTAAGTGGCAGAGTCATCCTGGTCAGCATGGCCAATCAATTCCGGGGTTTAATTCGGTTTTTTCCTGATTGGGTCTCTGGTCACTGTCTTTCTGCTCACCAAAGTCAATACTTTAACCTTGTGCTTCAAAGTCAGGCCGTCTGCAGGGACCCGGCCCATTCCCCCAGGACCTAGCGCCGCAGCTGGAATGCAGCCCGCTCTTCCGCTGCAGCTTTGGCCACCCTTCCCCAGCAACACCCTGCCCCCACCAGACTGGAAGTAGTGGGACCCCCTCACCCGTCCTCCTCAGGGCAGGCTGCTGGGGCCACACATCCAAGCTGCCACGGGGCTGCCAGTCCTGGGAGACCAGGAAAGGCATCACAGCATCAGAGAGCATGCCACCTGGGACCAAAGTCCGCATCCCCCCACTTACTGCACCCCATCTGGCTGTGGACAGGGACTGAGCCCCTCTGTGTCTCTACTTTCTCATCTGTGCAATGGCTGGGAAGTGCTAGTGCAGGGAGGGGTAGGACAGTGCATCGTAACTGAAGTTAATGTGAGTTGCCTCCACCCTGACCTTCCAGACAGAATCTACACATCTCTGTCCTGTCTCTCAGCATGTGGGCCATCTCCCCAGCCAGGCTGCAGACCCTTAGAGGGCAGCTCCTGGATCTCCTGACTGCCTCTGTCCCCTACTGCCATGCCCAGGGCGATCCCCCAGAGAGTGCCTGGCCATCTGAGGCCCACACCTTACCTCTCCCAGTGGCTGCACACGTTGGGGTCCTCGGGGTTCAGGGCAAGGGTGGCTTGCAGGAAGGAGAAGGCAATGAGCCCCGTCAGGGAGAGCACCATCCCGGGCCCTGCACAGGAGAACAAAGGAGGCTGCGTCTGTGATCAGACCATGTTCCTGGCAACTACTTAGTTTCCCATCGTCGTGGGTAATGAGCATTTGATATTTCACATTGCAGGCTTTGACTAACACTGTAACAGTTCACTGGTTCTGAGTAACAGGAGAGTGGGAAGCCTGAGTCAGGAAAAAGTCCAAATTCTAGGCCAGGGGTTCTGAATGTTTTTTGACTCAGGGACTGCTCTGAGAATCCAGTGAAAGGTATAGATGTTCTCTCCAGGAAAATGCCCACAAGTGCAAAATCGGCTATAATTGCAGGGTGTCCTCAGGCCCCCGGGCCCATCCTTGGACCCAGGGACCCCAGATCTGGACTGCTTTAAAGGGAATGCCCTCCCCATTCCCTTATCCCTCATCATTGACATTCTTTGCCCATCTACTTCCTTTCCCTACTCCCTCCTGCCAAGGAGAAAGAGAAAAAAGATGTCTGGTGTGGACCTGGGGGGAAATGAGCCAAGAAAACCCTGAGCTCTGGGCCCACAAGCCATGGAAGACTGGATCTTGCTTCTTCTGTCTCCTATGGGGTATCAGCTACTTCTGCCCAGAGTGATGCAGTCATCACATGCCATTCCCACTGAGGGATGCCAGGCCTAGACCACCTGGTAAGGGACCGTAAGGAATCAGTTTGCAGGCTTTGATCCAGGCCCCTGAAGTGACAGCCTATGGCAGGTATGTGCCTACGTGGGATGCCAACTCCCTTGCTTCACTAAATTGGGGTCCCCAACAAGGGGGTCCTCACAGAGGGCAGACAACCTTTCCAGTGGGAGTGGCTGAAGTGCCTCCTGAGGTTCCTTCCTGTCCTGGCACTCCAGGACTCTGTGGTCCTCCTGCCTCAGAGAACTTCCAGTCCAAGGGTTGCGACCTGGTGGGTCGCTGACCTTGAGGGGTGCAGAGGAGCTGGAAATCACACGCACCCAAACATCATCTGTAGGCTGAATGAACGCTGCGACTCAGAAAGACAGAACTATTTTTCATGTGTACATAGATGCTATCGTGATTTATTTAAAAGCTTTACTGAATTCAGAGTAGCTTTTCTTCTTAATCAGCAACACTAAAAATTACAACTTCTAATAACTGGGGGTGGGGGTGTCATAGAAAATATTTTGACATTGGAAAGGGGTCACAGGCTTGAAATGGTTGGGGATCTATCCCGCTGGCCCTGGGTTCGCAGATGAGGAAGCGCTCAACCTACTTAGGAGAACAGATACAAGCCGGCATGTATTTTGCACACACCCCCATTTGTACCCTCAGGGAAGCTAAATGGAGTGCCATTCTTCTGAAAGGTCAAACACTCTCCTTCGCTCCACAATGATTTCCTTGTTAAACTCTTTCTCAGCAGCTCCTTCAAAGATAAACAAATTGTCACCAATTCTGTATAACCGTGGGGGTCTAAATTAATGATTAATGAGGTGTTCCTGTTTGAGATCTGGAAATCATCTGACTGAAATGCAGATTTAGCCAGATTTCAAATGAATGCATTCTGAAAATCAGAAAGAGGGGAGCGATTCTGGTGTTTCTGCTCAATGTGCAGAGTCCAGGAGTATGCAAAGCACAGCTGCTCAGAGCTCCCCACCCAATCCCCCTAGCCCACTCCTCCATCCCCAGAGACCCAATGAGCACCTCAGAAGGCTCCACACAAACTGGAGTCTGTGCAATGCCAGGGCTGCAGAGGAGCTCAGCGATCATTTCAATCCATTCTCCTCTGGGAGATTCAACCTAGAGCAGAGAAAGAGCCTGCCCGGGACATGGCATTGAGCTATGCGGAGAGTCAAAAGTGGAACAAGCATCTTCTTCCAAGTGGGGTTTGGGCTAATCAGGCATCAAATAAAGAAATAAACAATGGGACACAGAGTTCCAGAAGGCATGGAGTCTGAATGCCAGCTGTAGGGGATGCCTTGCCTTGTCTTGATTCTCTCTGTGGCCCTGACTCATTACTTGGGCCACTCCTATAATCTCCAGCATTCTCCCGAGAGAACCTCCTGACAGCATCTTCAAACTTATTACACCAAGAGTATCAAAAGATGAGGCCACCTGGACAGGAGAAGATTGTTCCTCTGGTCCCTTTTGACCCATGTGATGGGAGAGAGAGGTAACTTGGATCATTGCTGTAATTTGTGAGATTTTAAAATCCTCATGAAAAGAAAGAGAGAGAGGGAAAGGAAAGGAAAGAAAGAAGAAAAGGAAAAAAAGGAAAGAAATAAAGAGAAAGGAAGGAAGGAAAAGGAAAGGAAAGGAAGGGAGAGGGGAAGAAGGAAAGAAAAAGAAAGAGGGAGGGAGGAAGGAAGGAAGGAAGGAAGGAAGGAAATTCTCCTTGTCTCCGATACTTCACTCAGGCGCAGTGAAGAAAGAAGCCATCACCACATGGGGGCAACTCATCCCCATTAACTTTAATGGGACTTTTCCAGGATCTCTCTGAGGACAGATCCCAAAGACATATGCTTATGAGATGACTGAGGGAAAATCAATCGTGCTGCAGTGATTATTAGGCCAACTCCATTTGGAGTGACAGAGGTTAACATATTGGGCACCATCTGATTTAGGGCATTAATAATTAAATAAGAAAATGCCCCTGGTTTCACTTCAGGGGAAGAGTCCATGTAAATAGATCTGCTGGTTCTCTTCCCTCTGGTCCAGCTCTCTACATATTAGGGAGCAGAGGAAGTTGCAGAGGTGGAAAATTTTCTTTCCTTATCGGGCACCATGGCTGCTTTACAAACCCTGATGGACTGGGCAGGGCGGATAAAGGGAAGAGAAAGTGCCCAGGAGGCGTACCTCTCACACCTGCAGACAGGGTGTTGTCAGCCCACATGGCCACCCATGGGCCATGGCCCAAACTGAGCACTCTTGGTGCACCACCTGCCCGGGCCTGGGCCGTGCTGTGGAGGACACAAAGAAATAAGATGCCATCAGCTGCAGTGCACTTGAGGACTCTCAAAGCAGCAAGTGATTAAGTCCCACTGGCAGAGCTGTGAAAGCCTTTGTGGAGTGGGTGGGACTTGGACTGGATGGTGTATGCAAAGGTGGAGGCTAGAGAAAGGGCATTTCTGGGTCAGGTCCAGCCCAAGCAGTGTGTGGAGGCAGGAATGTGCAGGAACTTTGGAGGAACCAGACAGCGGAGAGCTTGCACTGCAGTACAGTGGTGGGCAGCATGGGCACCTCTGGAGGGCATTCTCTACAGCTGGGTTCTGTGGAACACTAGTCCCATGAGACATTGATAGAAATCTCTCAGACAAAGATCTCCAAGGGTGAATAAGCTCAGGAAATGCTGCTCGCTATGTCCTCATCCTAAATATTCAGTCTAAGCATTTTAGCATAGCTTAGACTCTGAGAAGACCCAAAATAAAGAGACCATTTGACTTTTTATTTCACCCAATATTTCCCATGGAACTCTTCCCAGTGACACAGCTCTAAGAGCGGTGTTCCTGATGATAGCGGCTTAGGAAACTCTGCTCCCCTCCCTCAACACCAAGTCTGAAGAAAGGCCTGGTGCATGTCAAGCTGTGTCCTGAGAGTCTGCATGCACTTGTCTATTCTAACACTCAAGGGCCTCTTATGCCTGGCACCTGGTGTTAAAGGAAAATGCCGCCAGGTTGCTTAAGGGACACTGGCATCATAGCAAACGATCCCTCCTCCTGTCCAGGGCTTCTGCTCCGGCCTGGATCGGCTTTGCTGGCTGAGCAGATCTTAGAGATGGCAGCATCCTCTGGAGGCCCCTGCCTCTGCCTAGGACCCTGCCATCATTAGCACCAGCACCTGTGGAGGCCAGTCTCTCTCTCTGGTGGCAGCACACACCTGTCCAGACATTAGTTGCTCACATTATCCAAGATGCATAAATTGGGGCAGAAGGCAGACAGACAGATGGCCTCTGCCCTGGGATCAGCTGTTACAGCCTTAAGATCCATCTAAGCAAAAATCCTACCCCACCTGCTTCACTTCCACCACTGGCTTCATCCTCCTGACTGTGCCTAAATCTTGGACGCTGGAGCCTGGAGCCTGGCCAACGTGCCTGCAGCCTGCTCTCTGTCAATCCCAGTCCATCTTCCCGTGATCCTTTGCTTCTCAACATATTTGCACTGGCGGCAGGAGTGGCAGCAGTCAGACACTATTTTGTGGGCCCAGGGAAGTTCCCACTCCCACAACAATGGGGATCTATTATAGTGGCTGTTTAGAATGCTGTGCTGAGGAAGGGGGGCTGAGTGGGAAAGCTTGCCAGGATTGATTAGTAATGTCTGTCTTAAACTCTGGGGAGGGACAACACAGGTGCCATGTACCGTGCCTATATTGCTGAACAGGTGTTACCACTTTGGAAATTTCTCCCCTCCTATATTTACCACTTAGATATGGCCTTGGCTCTTCCTTCTGGACCCTAGGACCTAAGGATTATTTCCTTCCCCTTGTACCATGCCACTAGAACATATACTTCATGAGGGCAGGGGTTTCCATCTCTTGTGTTCACCGCTATGTCCCCAGCCCCAAGAGCATTGCCTGCACATACAGCAGCTCAAGACATCTTTGTCAACTGATTACTGACTCTGCAGCCAACCTCCACCCCAACCTCTCAACCATCCCAAGCCTCAGGATCAGCCACATTGCTTGTGTCTGGCCCGAGAGAGGACACCAAAGACCCATCCCAACAGCAGGTCACACTGCACAAGGCATTCCATGTTGTGTTAACATTGCATTTGCAGAGACACCAATCTGGTGGCATCAGATACTGTACAGTGGGCACCCAGGACATCCTGAGAGCAATTCAAAGACTCCTGCCTGGACCACCCCATCAGCACCAGCGCATGTCTGCTCCCCACACCAGCACAAGGCAGGCATTGAAGCACAGGCAGTAGCTCAAGCTGCAGTTGGGGACTGGGTGTTCCAGACGCCTCATGAAAAGGCGCTTTCAGGTCTGGGAAGCAGCAGAAGCAAACCCCAAACTGGAGCTGATAAAGCAAACGCCTCACATTTCTCCCGGCATGTGGGTGGAGAAAGAGCTTTCTATCTTCTAATTATAGAAGATACACACACACTTCTCTACTTTTTTCTGAATAAAACAAAAAGCCAAGTTTGCACACAATGGGGCAAATGCCAAGGTTATCGCCCCGTCTAGTGGCCTTCCCCTTCCTCTGCCCTGGCTCTCTCAGCTGGCTCCCAGTCCCCAGCCCTCTCTATTTACTGGCCTTGCTAGGGCCTGATTAGTGCGAGATGAAAAGAGGAGTTGGATCAGCCCTCGTAATTAAGAAGCTTCGTCCTTTGCCTTGATGAAGCCTCCTGCCCTGCAGCAATCCCACCAGGGGTTGGGTTTATGTTGAATGCTTTCTAATCTTCCTGTACTTAAAAAAAAAGAAAAAAAGTTTTAAAAATAAATCCACAGCTCTTAATCTCCTAAAGAGTGATTCCCTGACTGCAGGAGCACAGCAAAAATTCTCAGCGCCAATGTGGAGTCTCTGCCAGGTGCCTGGCCCCCGGGATAAATCAGCGGGGATTGGAGTCACCTCCTGAGACAAGTTAAATGTCCCCCTCCAAGTCCCTGCTCCACCACCCTGATAAATTCTGCTTTCTCCTTGCCTGGGAAGCCTCGGGCTGCAAATCCTGAAAATGGTACCATGAGGGTTGCAGCCACCATTAATCAGGGTCAAGAGACTGTCCTGTCCCCTGCACTCTCAAGCCCAGCAGAGAGCAAGTGGCCCTGACATCAGTCAGGCCCAGAGAAAAATCACAGCCTACCCTGGAGCAGAGCAGTAGAAACCGCCAAACTAATAAAGCGCCAGCCTCCCTCCCACAACAGGCACAGCCTCTGAATTCTGGGCCCTCAAACCGCCTCCTGCTCGCCCCAACTCCCAAGCAGGCAGCATCTGCACCCCCAGCCTCCAGCCCCTCGAAGATGAAGGGAGAAAACTTATCTATGTTCTTAGGCCATTCCATTTCTCACAAAGCAATTATCTCCATCTTTCCATTTCTTTGCAAATCAGGACACATTCAGCTGGCCTGACCAACCCGGACACCTGCCTGGCCCCTCCCCACCCGCAATCTGCCCACTCCTGGCCTTCTCAGCCACCCTCTCCCACCTCCTCCCAGGGCTATGGAGTTCTCATAACTGTAGGTGTCCCTCATGCCCTGCATTAAATCATGGTGACATCCACAAAACCTCTGAAGACAAGTCAGCCTCCCAGGGCCCTTCAGCTCCATGGGGATTTGTCCCCATTCCTGCCCCCTTAAAGAAAACATTCCTTAAACAACAAGGTGCAGCTACAGGGGCCCAGCGGGGAGAAGGGCGCTGAGGGAGGGAGCCCTCGAGAATCCCTGGAAGGCCAAGCCTCTCACGGGAGCTGAGCTGTGAGGATGATGGGCTGGACAGCAAGCCACATGGTGTCAGAACTGGTGCCGAGAAAAACCTGGGAGCAGAAAGAGTCCAACACCTCATCCTCTAGGAGGGGAAACTGTTCCCTGAAAGGGAGGTGACTTGCTCAAAGACACACGAAAACTTGGTTGCAGTCTTCATGTGAAGGGAATGGTGGAGTCCACCTGACTTGGGTTCGAATCCTACCCTTGCCTTCCTGGCTGTATAACCCAGTAGAGTCATTTACCTGCTCCAGGGCTGAGTGTTTCACGTCTTGCACATTAAGGAAGACCAACTTCAAGGGCTGTTAAGATAGTAAATGAGAACGCAGGTAACGTGGTTGGCCCAAGGTCTGGCACATAGATGGTACCCAATGAACTATTAGTTTCCTTCCCAGCCACATCCTTCACCTCAAAGACTCTTCTAACTCTGTACTTTTAGAATTTCTAAGGAACTGGAAGAAAAAAAAAGACAATGACAGAAAAATACTCTGCTGGAGAATCTAGGCATGGCTGTATGTTTTGGGAGACCCCTGGATCAGTCTTAACTGTACAATTATCAAGGCAGATCTCATCTTTCATCCATCCCCTCAGCAAACATTATTGAATGCTCATCAGTCACTGTGACACAGAGAAGACTCAGGCGGGGCCCTGCCCCAAGCCCCTGAACACTTGCTCGAGGGGAGGTGGGAATGGCTAGGAGAGGGTAGTAGACCCAGGATGTGGCTTAATTCAAAGCACCGAGGCCCCTCCCTGCAGGAAGAGGCCTCTCCCTGCAGGAAGCCTCGGGCCAGTGTGATGGGAAATCAGAGGCCTTTGCAGGTATTGATGCTAATGTCCCAGGAGATCCCCTGTGTGTTGAGTCTGGCCCATCTCCATTCTAGATGCCTCTGGATCCACTCTTGATCAGGGCTGCCTCTGAAGGGAGAGAACCTTTCACAAGCTCATCCAGTCTCCCAACTCCATCCTGTAGGGGCTCAGAGAGCCATACTTCCCCTGCCCTTGGGTCTTTCCTATTGAATTCAAAGTCAGTACCAGTTCCCCTCTGCCTCCTAAGTCACTACCTTGCTGTGTGACCCAGGAAAGGTTGCTTAACCTCTCTGAGTTTCACTCTGCTGGTGCACAGGGCTGGAGTCAGACTACATCATCTCTTGGGCCCTTCCAACTCTGTAAGCTTACCTATGAAGTATCACCCTTCCCTGCCCTTCCCCTCCTCATCTTCTCCTCCCTCTTCACCCTTGCACTTCAGGTTTGCGCCATCTCCCAGCTGCAGGGAGATAATGCAGAGGAGGCAGCAGAATTGGATTCTAGTCTTTGATCCTGGAAAACTCATTTAACTGCCCTGAGCCTCCTTTTCCTCTTTTACAAATAGGAAGGGTGAGAGAACAACAGTTTCTTGTGAGGATTAAACAGGTAATGCAGGTGGTGCCCTGCAAACTGCAGCCCAGTGGTGAAACGCGGAGATCAGTATTGCTGTCGTGGTCGGGATCCTTAGTTGCTGCCCACCTCTCTGTCCAATCTTCGGCACCCTTTGAAGATGGGCCTCTTTTGTGTGCTCCATTCCAGCCAAGAGCCCACACTAGGACAGGGTCTCTCCCGCCACACCTCAGGGACCACGTCTCCCCAGTCAATAGACCCCCTGAGTCTGGAGATAAACAGAAGAGCCTGGCTGTCAGCCCACAGACATGGGCATCAGACAAGGGTAGCCTCTCCAGGTTTCCTTAGAGAACCTTCCCGACCGACCTAGGCCAGGGGATTCTGAAGCCAGAAACCAATTGTTTCAAAGTTTGAAGTGCCCTACACATGTTCTAAAAAAAGGTTGTCAATATAGATAAACATGTTTTAACATATATCTTTAACCCAGCATTCCATTTCTGCAATTTCATGTTTAAAAACTGGCCGGGTCCAAAGACAGGTTCAAGAACGTTTGTTGCATTCTCTCTTGATAAAGAAATATTTGAGCCAGGCACAGTGGCTCAGGCCTGTAATCCCAGCACTTTGGGAGGCCAAGGCAGGCAGATCACTTGAGGTTAGGAGTTCGAGACCAGCCTGTGCAACATAATGAGATCCCATCTCTACAAACAATACGGGAAAAAAAATAGCCAGGCATGGTGGTCTATGCATGTAGTCCTAACTACTAGGGAGGTTGAGGTGGGAGGATCACTTGAGCCCAGGAGGCTGAGGCTGCAGTGAGACGTGAGCATCCTCTCCAGCCTGGGTGACAGCCAGACTCTGTCTCCAAAAAAAAAGAGAGAAAGAGAGATGCTTGCCACAGCACTGAAGCAACCTAAATGCCCATGAATGGGGCCTTTGCTAAATAAATTCCACCATGTCTATATAACAAACTATTATGCAATCATTAAAAATATTGATGTGGAAAAGTATGGAAGCCCATACACCAGAGCATTAATAATATTGGTCATCTTTTGGGGAAGGGATGGAAGATTTGTGCTTTCTAAGTCAAACATTTTTGTTACATTAGTATTTCTTACAAAGAGCATTATCATCACTATAGTCAGAAAAGCAAAGATATTTTAAGATTATTATGTGTAAATTCACCGACGTGGGAAGATGACCCTAAAGTCTTATTATGTGAAAAACGCAGGTTACAAAGCAGCATGAACATTATGATCACATTTATATAAACTGTGTGTGCACGGGCATACGGTGTGCGTGTGCCAACAGTGAGGGAGGAAGGACAGGAAGATGCTCGGAGTATGTTAAAAACATTAACAAAGATGTCTGGATGATGATATTTTGGGTGACTTTCTTTCTTTTTTTTTTTTTTTGAGACAGCATCTCTGTCATCCAGGCTGGAGTGCGGTGGCACGGTCACAGCTCACTGCAGCTTTGACCTCCCTGGGCTTAAGAGAGCCTCCCACCTCAGCCTTCCTAGTAGCTGGGACCACAGGTTCACACTACGACACCTGGCTTTTTTTTTTCTCTTAGAGACGAGGTCTCACTGTTGCCCAGACTGGTCTGGAACTCCTGGACTCAAGTGATCCTCCAGCCTCAGCCTCCCAAAGTGCTGGGATTACAGGCATGAGCCACTCTGCCTAACCAACTTACTTTCTTCTCTATATATTTTCAGTATGAGCAGGTCTCAATTTTCAGATTTCAAAAACCAGCCAGGCACAGTGATGCATGCCTGCAGTCCCAGCTACTCAAGAGGCTGAGGCAAGAGGATGTTTTAAGCCTCGGAGTTTGAGGCTACAGTGAGCTATGATTGTGCCACTGGGTGAGATCCAACCTGCGTGAGATGGCAAGATCCCATCTTAAAAAATTTTTTTAACCACAATAAAGCCACCTTCATTTTGAAAACAAAAAAGGGAGGGCCCTACAGGCAACTCCTCCACAGCTTACCCTCCTCCAGGCCCAGATTCTCCCCCTCTGCTCCTTAGGGCACATTTTCCCAAAGAGCAGGGGTTCACAGAGGACTTGAGCCCTAAACCTGCTACCCCTAGGGACACAGGCCACTTAGGGGAGCCTCCCAGCCAGCCCTTGAAGCCATCTGGCTGCGGTGAGACTGCTATCACAATGGTGTGGCATGTGTCCACGCTGTGATGGTATACTCATGCTATGATGAAAAACATTATGCCGTTTCAAAGACCCAAAATGATCTCACGACACAGAAAAATAGATGGATAAAGCACGATTTTGTCAGCTGTATTCAGAATAATAAATGAGTCAGGTATTCAGATTTTTAAAGCAATTTATTGAGGCTCTTTGTCCATGACACTGATAACTTCTGGCTTGCAGCCCGGTCGGGTCACGGCCGGCACTTCACCTCCCTCCTCTGCTCTCACACTGGCTCTGCTCCTCCCTGGAACAGCAAGCACAGGGAGCCCTGGAATCTCAGGAGGTTTCTGAGTCCTAATCCCAGCTCTGCCTCTTACCAACTGCATGGCCTAAGGATGGTCATTTAACCTCCCGGGCTCCCAGCTTCCTCTTCTGCAAAATGGGGTTAGTAATAAACCTGACTCCCAAGGTTGAGATGCCAAAGAGACACAGGTTATGAGAAGGGCCTGTGAACAGCATAGCCCCAGGGAAAATATCAGCATGGCTGGGTTTGGCATTGTCCTCTCTGATGGGGCGTATGGGATGCAGTACAGATACTACTGGGGGTGCACAGGGGGAATGAGTATATTAGGGTCCTGGGCCTGATAAGGACTGCCTCCCGGGGGTGGGGCAAGTCTGCCAGAAGGGAAGAAAGGAACTGAAGGTGAATTTCAGTAAGTTTGCAATTTGGCCCAGCCCAGGCCCTGCTGACTTGCAGTCTAAGCTAGTGATGATTCCAAGTCTGGACCAGAGGCCAATTTGGCTGCATTTCTGGCCTAGGCTGTGTCTGACAACCATCTCACAGCCACATGCATTTGCAATCAAACAATTCCTCTGAACTCTAATTTCCTGGAGGAGCAAGAAGCTCACCCACCTTCCAGAACTTGAGCACCCTATATGCCCTCCCAAAGGAAAGACCCACTAAAAAACAGTACTGTGGCCGATCAAAATCTGTCCCTCATCTCCCCAGGTTTAATTTGGAAAATGGTACATAAGTCCCAGAGTCACTGTGTGCCTGGCCTGATTAGTCGTTGTGTATTTCAGTGTTTTCCAGGAAATTGTTCATTAAGGATAAAAGCACCTGCTTACTGTAAGAGAGCATTACACAAAGACTCTGTCATGGGAGCCTGGGAAGAGCATTAATTAATGAAGTGAAACTGAACAAACATGCTATAAATTAAAGGTCTGAAAAGAAATGCCCTGGCATTTAGTGGATTATGAAAGAAGGATGAAATGAAACATCATATTTTTAGACCACAGTAGGATAAAAAAAAAAAAAAATGGGAGGGAGAAAATTACAAAAGGTGGCCGAGGTAACGATCTATTTCTGGAGCAACTGAAGCCTGTGCTTCCATTAAGAGAATTATCAATCAATTCTGTTTTGTCTGGGGGCATGTACGCACTGTGTGTGCTAAATTAAAAAGCTTAACATGTCAGCGTAGTTTCTTCTGAGGGTTCCGTGGAAGAATGCCGACCAAGGCATTTAGGCTTCAGAGAGGCAAGGCAGGTTATGAGGAGGAAGTCAGGGGGACTTGAGCCATGTCACTAAGTCAGGCCCAGCAGGGCACAGGCCACCCTGAGCACCAGTGTCAAGAGAAAATGTAGCCAAACCCCAATTAACTGGAGCCTTCAGTTAATTGAAAGGTGGCCAAAACAGCCGATCACACTCCCCGGTGCCAGTCAGGCTCAGTCCTCACCGGCGCATTTCAACCAAAGCCAGTGCGGTTTTTTCTTCCCCTCTCCTGAAAAGCAGCTTTTAGGGCTAGCTTCTGATAACTTATTCAGCTTAATTTCCCTCCCTTCATACCCACTCCTGAACAAGGACAGGCCTTTAGGAACAATGATCCTGAAGTCACACAAAATCCTGATAAATCCAGAGAAATTTGATCCTATTCATCATACTCCACTTCCCTGGGCAGGAAAGGAAAAGGGCACAATTGCAAAAGCGTTTTGGTAACAGGTGTTGAAACTACAGAAAGGTTTTTTCTGCATACCTTCCAACTCAGTAGGAAATTCAGAAATGTGAACCACCCATTCCTTATTCCTGGAGGCAAAATGGAGGCAGGGGCAGGTTTCCCGCCTGACTCCAGCTTCTCTCAGTTGCTTTCTGTTCCCTCCTCAGGCAGGCCTGGGCCCATGAGGTACTAACCCTCAATACACTGAATCACCCTATGTAGAAGGCAGGACGCTTGCACCAAGTCCAAACCATGCTTCCCCAGTGTTCTAATTCTGTGGCGTGCCCACAAATTTCTAAATTTGCCGTAATACATACAGGGACTCAATAGGGTAGGAAGAACGGGAGGCAAGCCAGAAGCTTGCTAAGCCATGGGAGGCCTCTGACACAGGTATGTTTGGCTGTGCGAAGAGGGAAAGAGGAGAAAGAAAAAGGAATAGGGGTGGGGAGTGAGGCCGGTGGGAGGCCAGCCTGGCAGGCTTGGGAGAGCAGGCATCTGTGGGCCTGGGTGTGCACAGCTGGCAGGAAGCGGGCCTGGAAGTCTGAGCTCAGCCGGGTATTGGGTACTAATGCCATATTCGGGGACTTGCGAGCCCTTACTAAGAATACTCTGTGAATATTCCCTGTTGGATTAGAACCTAGATGTAGACTCGGTTGAACATTGAGTGTGCTGTTCACTCATCAGCCACTGTGCACCTTACTGAGCACCAGGGCAAAAGAAAAATGGATGGTTCCCAAGACCTTGTACTGTGCCAGGTGCCAGCCTTGGTACATGGCCAGTTTCAGTCCTTCCAGTAACTCCATCAAGTAGGCATTATGATCTCCTCTTGCAGGTGGCGAAATGCAGGCTCACGTGGATGACCTAGACACAAATTCAGGACTACCGGCTTGTCCAATGCCAAGCTTCTGGGATGTCTCTGTCCTGCAGACTCAGGGGTGTGTGTGTGTGTGTGTGTGTGTGTGTGTGTGTGTGTGTGTGTGTGTGTGTGTGTGAGAGAGAGAGAGAGAGAGACAGGGATAGGCTCATCTCTTTGGATCAGAGCTTCCTCCATGCTCACGAGATTGGAGCAGCGGAGGGGAGGATGTTAATGCTATTGTGAGAAAAGAGAAGACGACTGGCTTGGAACTCAGAAGACAAGCTTGGGCTGGCTGTGTGACCTTGGGTAGGAGGCTGCCTGCTTGGTGCTTCATTGTCCTCTGTTAGCTGAGAGGAAGCCTCTGTCAGCCAGGGTTTCTCCCACCTGAACCACAGCACCCAGAAGAGGATTAATGGACAATTTTCTCAGTTCTCCCAAGGATGGTACATCCTAGATGCACAAGAGAAAAGTCAATCTGCTACATGCAGTGGTCACATTAGGGCCTGAGGGCAGGATTCTCTCCTGAACCTGGCTGAGAAGGAACTAGGTGGCCCCGAAGGTCCCTTTGGCTCTGACCTCAGGAGATGGGCTGCAGATGAGGATGCCAGACCTCCTGAACCATGTTAGGTCACAATATCCTGTGTGTATTTCCCTCCTGTCATCCCTTGGCCTAACATCATCTTTAAATGAGCCGATTGTGCCTCAGCTGTGCTTTGAGGAATCTAGGGAGAGACTGGGGATAGGCCTCAAAAGGGGATAAGCCCTACTCCTCACTCCCCACCCTTAGGGCAAGCATTGTGTGTGTTGGGTCGGTGGGGGGATCGGCGGCAATAACTGGCAAGAGATCTGAATAGGAAAGGTGAGCTTGGGGATCAAGAATTAAGCACATGATCCCCCTGCGCCTCCCCTACCTTAGAGGATGTGGAGTTTATTTTATTACACAACAGGCCAGTTCCCCAGCAAGGCAGAACAGTGGTTTGTACCCCAGGTATAAGCAATGCCCCATCCTATTCTGGGCTCCATCCAGAAAATACTCTAACAGCTTAAAAAGTGAGAGCACTCCTAGACCTCCTTAATTTTAGGCTTTGCTCATGGAGCCCCCGCGATGGGAACTGGGAAGGGACAGCAAGTTGTGGAATTCTGCTACCACTTCTGCACGGCTCTCAAGAAACAGCAGTAGCCGTGGCAACATCTTTGCATCAAAAAGGACATATCTAGACAGAACAGGCGCCCGCCAGACTCTGGACCATTCCACAAAGTGGAGATGAGGATAAAATCACCCCGAGGGAGGAAGGCAGAGGAGATATTTATTTCAAGCCAATTTCACCCACTGTGGAGCAATCACTAAAGCCAAATGGTAGAGCTGTGCATATATATGTCTCAGTGAGTAAGCGTGGGAAGAGTGAGTGAGCCGGCACGACCGCCAGCCTGGCGCAGCTGCCACAGGGAGGCCCTGTGAGGGGACAGCATCTGCTGATGAGACTGAGTCTGAGGACGGCCTGAGCTGAGCCCCCAGCCAAGTGCCAGGAGAAACAGGCCGGGGACAAAAAAGCACAGAAGTGGGTCTCTTGCCCCAGGTGTGCCAGTAATCAGCTGTGTGACCCCAAATGAGTCACTGCACCTCTCTGGGCTGTTCTTTGATGAGAAGGAGCTAGAATCACTTCTCAAGCAGGTGGTCTCGCTTGAGAAGAGGACATGGGCCTGAAGGCCTGAGTTTGAGTTTTCCAGCAGCATCCACCAGCCATGGGACTAACAGAAGAACCTTAACAGCTTCTCTAGGCCTTAGCTTCCCCATTTGTAAAAGGAGGTTGACTGACAGTCCTGCAGTTTGAAAGCCAAATCAGGATCCTAGTTCAGGTCTCTTGCAGCTCTGGAAAGTTCTACAGTGATTCCAAGCAAGAGCAGACATGAGCAGGGAGGGGTGCGTCCTAGTGCTCTCAGCACCTGCCACAGTGCGGATATCAATAAACATTCGATAACTAATCTATGATTGGATCAATGAATCAGTGAACAAGTTCCTGCATTTGCGAGAGGGAACTGAAGACGGTGGTGGTGGGAAGAGACTTGCCGAAGGTCACACAGCTGATCATAGCAGAGCTAACCCCAAATCCAGCACTCATCCCACTCCACCATGCTCCCAAGAAAGGGAAAGGAGGCCCTGAGCAGCACCTCCGGTGGGGGCTAGGCCAGGCCGAGGCAGCCTGCGGACAGGGGATGAGATTCCCTTTGGAGCATGCTGGATTAGGCCCCGGAATCCACCAGCCCCTCAGTCTACTCCCTGTCCAGCCCATTCACCAAGCCCCTGTCCCATGGGGTGCTTCTCGGGTGCAGACAGAAGGGCTGGCTGCCCAGCAGCTGGCCAGGCTCTCTCCCTGGCACCTCCTTCAGGCTTTCTTACAGGTATTTACTTTCCTCCTACAAAGATGTGCACAGAGGAGGCAACTAATGACAGAGGCAGAGCGAGATGCCTCAGGAAAGCTTCCGGAAGTTGACTTTCTTCTCTCCAGGGACCTCTGCTGGGAAGTCACAGCCTGATCCTATTCTATTCTCTCTACCTGCTTTCCTGGGCCCTCAGAAACTGTTTTCACCAGCCCTGTCTCCCCAGGACTCAGGGGACTTTGGCAGAGACCATTCCTTACCTCCTAGTGAGCTTTTAACAAAGCTCACCCTCATTCACCGTGTCCTTTGATCCCAGAAGAGCCTGTTACAGATGAGGACCCCGAGGTGGGACTCAGGAGGGTAGGAAGTTTCAGTGGCAGAGTGGGGACCAGGAGGGGACAGAGGGGGCAAGAGGCACCTCAGCCTTTCCTCCGGGTCCTCCTCTGTCCAGGAGGAGCTACAAAGGCAGAAATCAAAGCTCCCCCATCAGAGAGCTCAGGGCAGAGGCTCCAGGTGGGGATATAGGGAGGGGGAGACACTCCTTCTGGAGGGAACATCTCGTTCCTGCTCCCAGCACACACGGACACTAAGCCACTATGCCCACCCTGGCTGCGCATTAGAATGGCCTGACGAACATTTTTCAACTCTCAATGCTGTGACCTCATTCCCAGCCAACGAGGTGGGAGGGGTCAACTAGGTGTGGGTGGAGCTGGGCATCGGTGTTGTCCAAAAGCTCCCCCAGGTGATTCCAATGAGCAGCCAAGATGGAGAACCACCCACCAGGAGCTCCCTGAGAGCAAGGGCATCAACAGGAAAGCCCACCAAGGGGATGACCTTGTTCTTTCTTCGTCTCTTTCTCCCTTCCCACCCCACAGCACAGGTACCCAGCATGGGTACCCCCTTCCTGCCAATATCCTAGTTCTTCCCTGGAATCACAAGTGTCCCCCAACCCATCAAAGTGTCAGTGGGTGGCAGAAATATGGGCCCTCTAAGCCATTAGTGAAGTTGCCTGTTACATCCAAAAGGCCAGCTAGGCCCAGGTGAAAGGGAAAGGCGACATCACTCTAACAGGAATGCCCACTGACCCCTCCCCTTAGCAGCTATACAGCAACAGGCACAGGGCAGAGAGGTTCATAGCTCCCCCAGCCACCCCGGGGCTGGTACAAGTGCCCTGGGCACCAACCACCACCACCTGAGCCCAACCATAGACTGTCAATGAACAAACCTTTACCTGCACCTCTGCAGGCAGGTGCCGTAGCATCCATGGCAGATCCTATCTGTAGAGACAAACCTGTTCATCCTTCTCTCTCCCTATCTATCTCCTCAGCCATTATGTACTGAGTGCCTCTGATATGCCAGGCACTGAAGATACAACAGTGAATGAAGTAGACACTGTTTCTCCCCATAGAGCTTATCCACTGTAAGCCCCATTATACAGATTAGGGGAATGAGGCTCAAAGAGGAGTGATGGCAGAGCAGGCGCCGATCCAGAATTCCCGGACAGCCCTGCTGTAGAATACCTGCCCAAGTCCTTCTCTCCAGTCCCACAGTGAAAAGCAGCCAGACCCTCCTGCAAGGATAGGAGAGCAGAACTCACTTAGCAGAGGCCTGAGCTGAGAGCAGGCCCAAGCCCCAGAGCCTCGAGGTCTCCACATCTGATGGTGTCTGTTCTCCCTCCCTCTCCCTCTTCTAATGATAACTCTGTGAGCTGCAATGAAATTCACCTTAATAAGCACTCATTAGAAATATGCTAATGGGGAGGAAGCTGATATCATATGCCCTAAAACCCAAAGGGAAAAGGAGGTAAAAAAAAAAAATTCAATATTGGGTTTTGTCTCATTTCAAAGCCACTTACAAAGTGGCCATAAATCTTCTGTGAGACATGACATAACGAGGAGCTGCCAGCAGCTCGGACATTAATAATTAGCTATAGCCAGGTGCTGAACTGGATGCATTTGGCTTTGGAGTTCTTACTACAGGGAGAGAGAGGGAAGGTGCATAGACTAGGACCTGGGTGCCATCCCCAGCCTCACACCTGCATATCTGGAAGGGTAGGGGGCTGGGCCGAAGCTTGTGGCTGTGAGAGGCTACAATATGTGCCAGAAAGGCAAGGCTCAAATAACGGAGATGGGGATGAGCACACACACTTTGCTGGGTCCTTGGCAGGACCCTGTGAGGGAGGCATCTGGCTCCATGTTGTGGTTAAGGAAATGTGCTCTGGAGTCAGAGCTGGTCTGAACCACAAACCAGCTCTGCTAATTACTAGCTGAGTGACTCCGGACAAATGACTTAATCTTGCGGGGGATCTGTTTCCTCACCTGCAAATGGAGATAGCAATTGTATCCATTGTGAAAATTAAATGAGATAATTACACACGGTATCTGGAACATTGTAAAAACTCACCAAAGGTAGCTGCTATTACCGTTGGGCGCACAGTAAACAGAAGCTACTGTTTACACTGCTGCTTCCTTCAGTTTCCTTAAACCTCTCTTCACAGCCACCCAGAAAAGCCCCTGGGTGTTGTGTCATATCCTTTTTGGGTTTTTAATTTGCTGGGTGATTTTGGGAAATTGACTTAACTTCTCTGATCCTTCACTGCCCGTTCTACAAAGTGAGGATGATAATTCCTGCTCTGATCTACCTCTAGGGTGGTTGTAAAGATCAAAAAGATAACGCAAGCGAAAGTGCTTTGAAATGTATACTAAATGATACATGTTCAGGGAATTATCCTCATTCACCTCCAGCGGGAAGGCTGTTCTAGATGCCATGGTTTGCCTCCCCTCTCCCGGCTGCAAGGGACTCTCTCTCCCGAGACCTCACAGGAAGAGTCTACATTTCTTCTAGACAACAGTGTCAGCAGACTACAACTTTTAATTCCTACAGATGTCTAACTGAAGTTCCCAGGAGAGATGGAGATAAACCAAAGGCCACCGTTTGGATGGGATGGCCTCATCATCTGGAACGAGTTGTTTTTCATTCCCAATAAGACACGGATTGGTGCATGCCTTCCCGTGGCTCTGCCACGTGTGACTCACCACGCACGCCGACACCTCCCACAGAGGCCTCTATCCTGATCAGTGTGGGGACCCCGCTGAGCACAGGCTTGGATGTTGGATCCGTGTCAAGTTGTCATGAAGTGTCTAAGGACTCTCTCTCAATTCTGTCCCGATCTCACTGTGGACAGCGGCCTGTGCGCTGGCATCAGTCCACGGAGGCACACGCCGAGTAGCTGGAAGGCAGTGGGGGCAGAGGGACAAAACGGGGTCCTCGGCCTGGGTCCTGCATTGTCTGCATTGTTGGTGAAGGTAGGCACCTTCTCAGGGGGGTGTCTTATTGCCTCACCCTTGTACCTGCTCTTTGCCCATCTCCTCTGCCTTTGTTTTATCTTACTGCTTCCTACAGGTTCCCATAATGCCCCCACTTGCTCACTCAGTACCACTCCTGAAGCCATTCTCTCCAAGGCAGGCATAATGTGGACACCATTCCTCACTGGGAATTGGGGATAAACGGTAGCCCAATTGTAGCCGCTAGGTCCCTGGATTGTCTCCTGAGTCTCTTCTGCTGCCACTGACACCCAAAAGTGAGCCTCAGGCATGTCACATGCTCCAAAGCCCCAGTCTAACTGTTGTTGTCCCTAAACCACCACCTCCCACAGAAGCCCAGTCCATATCAATCTGGCTCCCACCCTAGTCCCTCCTCCTAAATTCTGACTCATGACCCCTCCCCAAATGGCACCTTACATGGTTGCGCAGCCCAGGGCCCTTGCCAGCCTCCTCCCAGGGAGTAAAGCCATGCCCTTCATCCAGTCATTCACTCAAGACAGAAGTACCTACTAAGTGCCAGGCGTCAGGCAAGGCCCTGCACATGTAACACGTCAAGTCATATTCTAACGGGAAAGAGAATAACATTACCAGAAAACCACAGACCCTGTGGTTTGGTCTCCTCCCTTTGGAGACCTAGACTTCAAGGCCATTGCCACGGTTGCTGGGAGGGAACACTGGCCAGAGGAAGGGGCACACATGCTGAGACCTGAAGGAGGCAGATGTGCTAACCAGGTAGGGCAACAGTGCTCCGGGCAGAGTGGGTGCCAAGGCCTGGAGGTGAGAAAGAGCAGGTGCACCGAGGCAGCAGAAGTGGCTCTTTCTCACCTAGGAACTCTAGGAACAGAGTTTGAGGAAGCAGGTGGTGCCTTCTGAGCTGGAGGGGGGCTCAGCCCCAGAACACAACACACCTTGTGAGCCAGGACTGTTCTGAGATAAATGGGCAGCCATTCAAAGGTTTTAAGCAAGGGACCAATCTGGCCAGAGTTGTGTTTTCAAAAGGTCCTTTTCTGATTAAAAATAATTTTTAAGTGGAAAAAAGTGAATGCTCATTAATAGGGGAATGATGTTTTAATGATGGACATTCACACCATGGACGATTTGGAGCCATGCATGGGAGCCATGCATAGGAAGAATGCATGGGAGCAATATTGGCTGACTTGGAGGGACTGCCAGGAGGTACCGGAGAGGGGGAAAAGGCCGAAGCCATCTAGTACAGTCCTGTATTTACGAAGCCAATAATTGCCTATAAATGTGTACACGCGTGCATGTGTGTGTCTGTATATGGCTCTTAGTTATATGATACAAAGGATACATGGCAAAATGTTGGCAGGGACTCCCTGAGTGGGCAGGGGGTAATGATGTGATGTAGGGAAAAGAAAGGAGAGAGGCAAACTAGGAAAAAAAAACATTTAAAAGATTGAACTGAAAAATGAGCTTGAGACAATCCCACTTAGGTGAGATTATTTACGCAGAGACCTTCAGGTCTTATCTGCCCTGTTCTCTGGCCAGTGCCCCTTCCCAGGCTCCTTTGGCAATGGCCCCAGAATATCAAAAGCAGTTAGGAGAAAGAAAAGTCAGCACTCTCCCACTGGCTGAGATGAGGAAAGAGGGATCAGACAGGATGGGGCTGGGGCAGGAAGAACGACAGGAGGTTGCCACAGTGGGCCTGGGGCCCCAGGTCCCTCTGTGGTCAAATGACCTGACACTCCAGCCAACCCCACATCCACCTCAGAGGCTGAGTAGCAATTGGGTTGCACAGGCTCTTTGGTCACTGTGTTCTTGCCCACCTCTTGCCTGCCCAGCCAGTGCCCCCTCTCTATCAGCCTGGGCAGTCTCTCCACATCTGTCCTGGCCCAGCTGTTGACAAGCACAGGGTTGAGGGTGGAGAGGGAGTGGGTAGGTCTGGTGCGGGGTCCCTGGTCGTCTTCCCTTCCCACTGGAGTTCTGAGGTCTGATGTTCCTGTTAGAGCAGAGGCTGCTTAAGGCAGGAACCGTCTGTCCCACCACTTCACTCCCCTAGGGTCCCCCAAATGGCTGATTCCTGGACATGGCTCTGCCATTGAATAGTAAGAGGACTTTTAACAAGCCAACCACCTCACCATTTGGGGCCTCAGTCTCCAGAGCTGTAAGGAGATGCTGAAAAGACCAGACAAGAGGAGGCAGGGCAGACACCCAGGACGGGATGGAGTCAAGGGTCTGCGCCCGGCAGGAGCACCTCCAGCCTCCTGCTCGCCCTTTGCCCCTGGCTCCCACTCAATGATCCTTTCTGGCCCCTCATCTTCCTTTCCTGCACAACCACGGCCACAGGCCCAGGCGCCCTGGAGATCTAGTGACAGGGAGCCTCTACTGGAAGAATCATAAACTCTCCAGATGCGTTCCAAAAGCCACATAGAGGAAAAGTCCTCTGTGGCATGGCGAGTCATAACCCCAGACAGTCTAGATGGGCTTGGTTTCTGATTCTGCCTTCCTTGTGGCCTTGACCGTCACTTGATCTCTCCAACCCTTGGTTTCCACCTGCAAAGTGGGAATGTTAACAGAACCTACTTCAAGGGGTTCTTATGAGAACTGAATGAATCAATATAGGTAATCAGCCTAGCCTGGGGAAGAGGTATTTCTAACTATTATTGGTGGTGGTGTCCATGGATCTCTTCAGCCTATCTTTCCACTGTCACACCCCCCTCCACCTCCCCAGCAGTTACCTTCCTGAGCTCTGAGCTGGACAGACCTCACTCTTCCCCCATCTCCATCAGCATCACGCAGAATACAACCCACTGGGGTTCAGACAAAATGTACTGAGTGAGAAGCTGACTGTCATGCAGTTACAAAGGTTAATTGCAGGATTCAACAAAAAGAGGGAGGGAGCCTGGCCCACTCATAAATACAGCCGATTAAGAAACAAGCATCATTTAATAATTATGCCACTGATAGAAATACACCATCCACTTAGCAGTTTTAGAGCCCAGTGGGGAGGTTCACCTGAGACACTCCTGATGATGGCCACACCAGGGCTTCCCAGCCCCACCAGACCTCACTGGAGCATCACTCAGCACTGGGCTCTTCAGAAGCAGCAAGTGGCCTTGGGCCTAGAAGAACGCCCATCCCATTGCTCCCTGGAAGCAGTGCCTGCTGGACCCCTCGAGCTGTCCGTTAACAGCATCTGGCTAATTAAAGCGAGATGCTACATTTCACTCTTTGACTGAGTCAGAGCTGTGGCGGGAGCCTGGGAGAAGCAGCCCCCACATCCCAGCCGGCTCCCCCTTTCATGTGGCTCTGGGGAGACAAAGCTTCTCTGATCCCTTTGAAAGCTGTGGTCCCTCCAGCCCCCGAGCAGGGAGCCAGGCCACCCAGGGGAGAACGGCAGTTCAAAGCCAGCCTGGCGGGCATGGTGGGGTCCAGTTGGGATCAGGAATAATTAGGGCATTCCAGACCATAAGAATCAATAACACAATTAACAAATATTGTGCTATTCCTCAGAATCTTGCTAGGAATTATGCTGTCTTTGATCATACAATGTTCCCTGACTGTTAATGACATGTAATATTAATTACCGGAGAAAGGGAACTACTCAGAATGAAGACTTCCTTGGAGAGTAATTAATATTCTTTGAGGAGTCGCAGAGCCTGGGAGTGGGGCTTTTTCCCCCAATTGTGATGACATTAACTGCAGTAAGCCCACCCTCCCTGTCCATGGGCAAGCAGGCCTATCCCTTAAGGAAAGGGTGACTTACACATAGTAGGCATGTTAGAAAGACTTATTAGTGGAAGGAAGGAAGGAAGGAAGGAAGGAAGGAAGAAAGGAAGGGGTTCACCTGGGAATCTGTTAGAATTTTAGCATATGAGGGCAAGAACAGTCTTTGAATCATTATCTAGTCCAACCACCTCTTTTTTCAAATGGGGAAATTGAGGTCTAAAGAGAGGAAAGATCACACCACTGCACTCCAGCCTGGGCAATAGAGCAATGCCCTGTCGAGAGAGAGAGAGAGAGAGAGAGAGAGAGAGAGAGAGAGAGAGAGAGGAAAGAATTTTCCAAGGCCACACCCCTTGTCAGTGACTAAGGGTGAAAACTCAGGTCTCAGACAATCATCCCATCCCCTTGCCACCAGGATCACCCTGCTGAGCTCTCTAGAAGGTGAGAAGGATTCAAGGGGCAAGGAAGGAATGTCAAGGGACAAGGGCTGGGGAGGTCCCCTTTTTGCCTCTAAATGCATTCAGAATATTTCAGGAGTGTCCCACCTCCCACCTTTGAACTACTTGGAATTCCCTGAGTAGGAGAGGAGTGTCCTGACCAGCTGAGACACCCCCTAACCCTAACCCTAAAACACAGGCTGCATGCGGAAAGCCACAAAGCCCTGACCAAAGTCCCCAGAAATGTCTCCTGCCCCTCAGACTCCTCCCTAGACCAGAAGGGAGGACAGAGCAAAGAGAGGACCAACACAACCTTCTTCCTCGGCACACACAAACGATCCCTGCCTTCTCCCTGAGCCACGTGGGGCTGAGCCACCTCGGGGGGAATTTAGACAGTGCACCCAAGGGAAGGTGGGGATGAGGGAGAGAACCCTGAGTGTGGGGTTGGGACACTGGCTCCAAGTTCCACTCTGCCACCAGTCACGGACAGATCCCTCCCCATCTCTGGGCCTGGGTTTCTTAATCTGTCAAGGAAGCTCACCACACCAGACAATCCCTACATCTCCTTCCAGGCTGATATCCCTAGATTCTGAAATGATAGGAGAAATCCCAGTCTCCTGATCTTCTAAGGAGTCCTCAGTTTCCCTTCCTGCTTCCTAGAGCAAAGACTTCTCCCAGGAAGAACAGGTCATTAGCTCTGGTTGACTCTTGTTTCCAGCAGACAAGAGCTCCCAGTAGCTGTGGGAGGGTCATCCCCAGGGAGCCCCAGACCCACTTCCCCCTTCTTCCTGGGAGCCAGAAACAAGCTCCCAGCTCCGTTCGCAGCAAGACAGACCGCTGACCCTGGGAGGGTAGGATAAGAAGGGGAGCAGGGCTGGCTCCCTCCCCACCCGGCTGCTGCCCAGATGCTCTTCATCAGTGCCTGGCTCCCAGCCTGAAAGCAATCATAGGCATTGAGTGGCACAATGGCCTGCCATGGGGCGGGGGGCAGGGTGTGCAGGCAGATGCAGCAGCACCGCCCTTCACCCCTCCCACCTGCCCAGCTCCAGGTTCCAAGGCCCCAGCCTCGGCGCCTCTCCTCCTACTTCCTGGGTTTTCATTCCAGGAGCTCTAGCACCACCTTGCCCACCTGCTCTTCCAGCTCTCAGCCCCTCATGGGCACTGCCAGCTTCTCCAGGAAACATGGGCCTGTCACCAGGGATGGAGAGGTAGTGTCTCGGTGTCCCCACTTATGAATATGAACCCACCTTGGTCTCAAGTCTCACCTTTCCCTCAATGCATCCCTAGTGCCCTCAGAGGGTAGGAAGGGCAAGAAAGAGGGTCCCTGGTTTTCAGAGACAAAGATAAAGGGTATGAGCAGCTCATGAAGGAACTGGGCATGGATCCCAGACTCCCCCCTCCTCCTCACCCTTCCTCTCACTGATTCGGGACTTTGCGGTGTAAGTCACCTCTCAGCATCACCTTCTAGGCAGATAAACAGAAATTATTCTGCAACTCGCTTATCCAGAAGCATAGGCTGACCCTTGATATCTGACCCCTGATATCTGAAAGGCCTTGCCAGGGGTCCTGTGGGTAGGACAGGGTTTGTCCCCTGAAACCTTCATCCCTTGGCCCAGTGGGGGATGTGACCATGCTTCTCTCTGGACCATTATGTGGATAAGATCTCTGTGGAGAGAAGCACTGGTCTGAAACCTCCCCTTCCTTGACAGGAGAATGCAGAGCGAGGGGCACATGAGACTCTCCCCCTGCTGTCCTCCCACTGTGGCCTGTGGATGCACATGGCCGGATGGCAGTGGGTGGCCAGCACGCTTCCTGAGGCCAGCCTGCCCAATTGGCAGTGGTGACCCAGAGCCCAGGACATGGCCCCAGGACCGGGCATGGGAGGGTATCCAGGCTGAAGGAGGCTGCCCCTCCCCGCCGAAGCCACCGCTTGCTCACATGCAGCCCTCCTGGGCCTTGTGTGTACTGCCATGCCGGTCCCGCCTTGACAGCCCTCTCCCCTGCTCTCCGCTCCTTCCCTTCTCCTCCAGGACCCTGCTCCAACACCTCCAGCCCCACCTTCTGTCCCCCAATGGAGAGCCTTTAATGGACACACCATCCTTCCACACTCAGTCCTTTTTGCTTCCCACCCAGTCTCTAAACTTCTCACAAAGGGCCCTGGTTTCTGTGGCTCCCACACTCCCCACAGCACTAACAGAGCTCACTTGGAGCCAAACAGGTGATCAACAAAAGCTCTTTAGTGGATGGGCTGGTCCCATCTCAAGGCAAGCTCTCCATGGCTTACCCAACGCCCATGAAAGAAAGCAGTTCTGGGCCAGGCGCGGTGGCTCACACCTGTAATCCCAGCACTTTGGGAGGCCGAGGTGAGAGGATCACGAGGTCAGGAGATCAAGACCATCCTGGCCAACATGGTGAAGTCTCGTCTCTACTAAAAATACAAAAATTAGCCGGGCATGGTGGTGGGCACCTATAGTCCCAGCTACTCGGGAGGCTGAGAGAGGAGAATCGCTTGAACCAGGGAGGCAGAGGTTGCAGTGAGCCGAGATCATGCCACTGCACTCCAACCTGGGCAACAGAGCGAGACTCCATCTCAAAAAAGAAAAAGAAAAAGAAAGAAAAGAAAGAAAGCAGATCTGACTCATGATGTGATCCAAAGAAGCACTTCCTGCTCCCTTTGGCCCTCATACCTGACACCCAGGTGCGCCCAGACACAGAGAAGTCACTTCTTAGCAGGAGGCACCCAGAGCATGGCAAGTGATAGGGTCTGTGGCTTTAGAATCAGGAACCTGGGTCCAGCTTTGGGTCTGTCTTCCCACTCTACTCCCCGGGCACTCTGCTGCTTCTCTGAGCCTCAGTCATCTTACCTGGCAGGGAGGCAGACAGGGTCACACGGGCTCGTGCATATTAAGCACCTGGGCAACAGTGGGCCCTCCCCAAATGCAGCTCCCCTCATCCCCCCACTGGCTGGCTCTGGGTTCCAATCTGGGCCCTGGTGACGGGTATCAACAGCTGCAGGGGGGCACTGCACAGCTCCCCGAGCATGGCCACCCTTGCAGCTGGGCTGCCACTAGCCCCTCAGTGGTCTGCTTCTCCAAAGACAGGCAAAAACAAACAAAAAAAACCCTTCTCTGACACCCACCAATGAGCAGCTTTGCGTGAGACAGGCAGCCCAGCAGTGCCAGCAGGTGTGGCTGGAGTAAATGATAGTGTAACCCTTGCTACCCGAAACAACAACATCATAACTGTCAGAGCAATTTTCCACATCAGTAGTTTAACACCTGAACTGTTGCTTCACTCCATTCTCCCTCCCCAACCTCGCGCTCGCCCACACTCCATTCTGCTGTACTGAAGTCGGCCCAGCTCTCAGCCATCTCTTCTGGGATCTGCAGCAAAGAGTACTTGCCCCGCAAGAGCCAAGGGGCTGCGAAATTAATCAGCACATGGGCTCTTCGGAGCAGAGAGGGAAGGAAAAACCCGGGGGCTCAAATACCCAATCCAGCATCTGTCAACATCTGGGTTATAAATAATCCAGGGATTTAACAGTGATTCCAACATTAGATGCCTTCAACACACCATCATAAAGATGCAGTTATTAACTTTTATTTACTGGGATTGTATTTATTTTCCTAGAATGAAAGGCAAAGTGCTGGAGGGACGTGCAAGACAGAGACACTTCTAAAATGCCGTCTGTCTGTTGGAGACCTGCCAGAGAAAGACGCACACACCTGGGTGGTAGTCAAAATCTTTAACAACTAGGGGGGCAAAGGAACCAACCAGCCACCCCTGTTGGGCCAGGAGGTAACCTTTTCAGTTGATGAACCTTGGTGGGGTCTCAGTGGGGGAAGGGAAGGGCCCAGGTGGCAGGGAGGCAGCTATGTTCCAACCAATATTCAAGTGTTTCAATATTTGCACAACCTTCACACATGCGCCTTCCTACCCTGGTTTCTCTAGCAGGTTTTCCCCAAGGAACCATCAAGCTCTCTGAGAGCCAACAAGATTCCCTTCAGGGGAAACTGAAGGCCAAATTAGAATCACAGAGTCAGGATGTCAGAGTTGGAAGGGATCATATTCAGATGCTGTTGGCCAAGTCTTCAGTTGACAAATGTGGAAACTGAGGCTGCTCAAGGTCACTGTGTGATTTATGAGCAGGTCCTGAATGAGACCCTGGCCCCTGACTTCCTGGTCAGTTCTGGCTGTCCTGGCTCTGTGCCTCAGTGTTGCAAGGTCACCCCCTGTGCAGTAATCAGGTGGGTTGGGAGACACACATGGTGATGCCCCCCACCCCCCGCTATGGGGTAAGGGCTCAGAGGCAAGACAGGAGGGAGAGCCCTCGGCTGTAGAATTTGCCTCAGAGTGAGGGCGGGGAGAGTGGGGCAGGAAAGAGGCCGGGTGAACCCTAAGAGACCGGGTTCTCTGAGCCTGGGAAGAAAACACACCCCAAATTTAGGATGGGGTGCACACAGAGGTGAAGGGCTCAGGTAGGCACTCCCTTGCTGACTTCCTCCAGTCTCCCGGCCTTAAATAGCTTCTATTATACAGGGACCACTCCCAAACTTATCATTCAGGTTGGGCTTTGTCCAGAGCTCCAGACTCATGTTTCCAGCGTCCTACTCAATCTCTCCATGTGGAAGTCTAATAGAAACCTCGATTTAACATGACCCAAACCTGATCTCCCCCATAAGCCTGTCCCTCTTTCAACCTCTCCAATTTCAGTGACTTGGGCCAAGAAACTTAGCCTTGATTTTTCTCTTTATCTCACCTCCCTCATCCCAACCCTCAGGAAATTCTGTCAGCTCAACCTTGAAGGTGGAGCCCAAGTCTGTGTTCTTCTTCCCCACTCCACTGCTGCAGCCCGCTCCTGGCCACGCCAGCTATCACCTGGATTAGAGTAATCACTTACTCATGGGTCTTGTTTCCACCCTTACCCCTTTTCCAGGCATGTGGTGGGAGCGGGTGATGGTCCTCAAGTGGCACAGACCCACCGACCCATCAGCCTGGGATTTGCTGCTTCCCATCTGGGACCCTGTGGGGAAGCTGCTGAGTTGGTCTTCAGGGAAGGAAGTATGGATGAATCAAAGGGTCTCGATGGCCACACCTGCACTTGGGGACACATCTGATCCCCTCAGCCAATGTGGCCTGGAGTCCCAAAGTCTCCAGGTTGGAAGGAGGGTCAGAGGCCCCCGAACCAACTTCCTGCCCAGCACATGGGTCCTCTCACAGCAGCCTGGAAGTGAATGTCCAGGCATGGCCCAGACACCTGCACTGCTGGGATCTCCCCTACCCCTGGCTGGTTCTGATAGCTCCCACCACCTTTCCACACCTTGGTTCTACTGTACTCCATGGAATGTTCATGATTAAACATCAGTCCCCCTTCTCACCAGCATGGCCTCCACAGAGAGGTCCAAATTTCAAAATTCAAGCCACCAGCACCTGGTGGGTCATCGGTCCCACTTGACCACTCCAGGCAGCCTCACCTTGCACGTCCCAGGCCTGTTCTTAAAGACAGCCACAGCTGGGGATCCAGTGGTGGCCCTGTGCTCGGCCACCACTCCCTGTGTCAGGACACGGCAGAGCCCGGCCCCCGAGAGGAGGGAGAAGATGCTGCTCCCTGAGTCAAGACTCCTGCCAGCCCCTTGGTTTGGAGCCTTCTTTCCTCTGTGGCTGTGCACCCTGTCCGTGCCCCCTTCCAGTTCCTTCTGCCTTCGTTAACCAGGGCTAGACACTAAAGCAGGCAATTCAAGTCCTCCCTAGTCTGGTGAACTCACAGCTGCACCATCTCTGGGTGGACCTATACCACCTCTGGGTGGTGTCTAAGATGAGAGGACTTTATCATCACAGTCCAATTTCCTCTGTACTGAGAGAACAGAGCAACGCAAGAGGAAATGAACTTCCCCAGGTCACAGAGCCAGGCAGAACCCCCTAAACCCCAACCTGTCCCTTCCCACCGGCCTTGGAACCCTGAGTCAGGTGCCTCCAATATGAGCAGCCACCCACCAAAGCTCTCTCTTCTTCACTGACCATGCTTTGTGGGGAAGCCCGGACTCAACCAGACCACCACTCCTCCTAAACCCTTGAGGCTTATGACTCTCCAGCTGTGGAAATGGGACCAACGCCTTACAGGTTTTAGAGAATAAATGGGACCAGAGACGTGCCAGCAGCTAACAGCTCCTGGATCAGAACATATGTGGTATTGACAACCCCACACGGACAACAGTACCTAGGCCATGTCTAGTGACATCTCCACGGGCAAACGTAGCCAGCCTCCCTCCTCACTCCCAAGGGAGCCATTCCACCCATGCTCTGCTTTCCTGATCACAGCTAGCAGGGTGCTATTCATCCTTTGATAAGAAAACAAATCAGCTCTGTTCTAATTAGTCAAAGTGAGCAAGGGAGTGCAAGGTCCTGACCTGCCATCATCCCACACACCCCATGTCACGGCAGCTACAAGATCCCACCCCTGGATCACAACAATCCCATTGCTGATCACACAGGAATCAAATCTGGGGGTGGAGAGAAGGGCACCTACTATGTACAAGGCTTTGTGCCAGGTATTCTCTTTAGCCCCACAGCAGCCCTGGGTCCAGAATCTCCTGCCATCTTCGTCCCTTTCTCCTGCACTAATGTCATTAAGAGGGGACATTGTTAGAAGCATTTAAGCAGGACTCCCAGCCCCCTAGCACCTGTCCTGCAGACGCCTGACAGAGGAAGATAAATATATTTATAATATGAAGCAAAGGGAATAACAAAGAGTGTATATAGTTGTCTATGACAAAGCTGACAAGCCAAAGCCAGCAGCTTTAATCAGTTCCCAGCTGAGCCCAGGAAATCTACAGGAGCACAGCTCTGACCTTTTGGGCTGATTTCTAAAGGGAAGGTTAAAGTTTTGTTGCAAAGTATTTTTTTTAATTTTAAATGAAAGAGGGGTGTAAGGTTGAATATACGTGCCAACCTCTGAGGTGGTAATAGGAACACAGGCACAGGATTTTATTTTAAATTAATCCATGAATGTACCTCCCGCTGTTGCCCCTTGAAATGTTTTGTTCTCCGGGTGAGACATAGCTTTTCCCATTTGTCGGATGAAATGTTCACTTGCGTGAATGACTTGCAAATGGGCTGAAAATGTATGTGGCTGCAGATTCCCAGATTCATTTTAGATAATAAAAAAAAATTGCTGGAAAAGGGACTAAATGTTTAAAATCATTTTCACCCCTCTAGCCAGAAGCACTGCTGAGGACACCTGCAAATCCTGAGCTGGCATCACCCACAGGAATTCCTCTTCCTGTGTGCAGAGTGGACAGTCAGGAGCTTCGTGTGGAAAGCTAATGCAATTTGGTTTAACAGTAGTCAACCATTTAAAAATTCTCCTATTCAAAAGGAAGGCTTCACCAGCTCACAACCCCCTCTTCCCATCAGATGGAACCGTGTGGACTCAGCCTCAGCCCAACTTCCTCAGAGGCTGCCTGCTCTGCCCCTTGGGCTGGGAACAGAGCTGGTGGTGCCAGGTCCCAGAAATGCCTGCTTGCCTTAGGCACAGACAGCCCTGTGCACCCCTCCGGGGCCCCAAACCTGGCTGCACATCAGAATCATCTGGGGTTGCATGGAGGATCCAGGGTTCCTGGGCCCCCACTCAGCCCCACTGATGGGAATCTCCAAGCGTGGGGCCTGGGAAGCAGGATTTTTGAAAGCTTCTCCAGAATCCTAATGAGTAGCCAGGCTAGGGAAGCATAGGCTTCAACAGTCCCAGCATGGTAAACAGCAGAAAAATCACCGGCTCTCAAATATCTCCTTCACCTTTGGGTACCTGAAGCCTCCCCCTTCCAAGGCCTGTTTCCATAGCATCCACATGAACCCACATTTTAAAACAGGCCAGACAACCAGCATCCAGTCTCCGCTTAATATCTCAAAGTCCTCCATGCAGTAGCTTCTAAACTCTGTGTCTTTAGACGAGCTGAAATTGCACCTCTTTTAAAATGTCCTTACTCTTAAAGGGACAACATTTTAAGCTGTTGTTTACACCTATGTCTCAATGAGGTTCTAATTTTTGCTTTGAGAGTTGATCTTCCTCTAGACCTTCCACGTTCCTGAACTTAGCTTGAGTAATAATGATTCTAAGTCTGTCAGGTTCACAGGATGTTTTCACGACCATGATCTCATTTGATTTCAAACAATTGTCTCACAGTTATTGCTGCCTCCACTTTCTAGATGAGAAAACTGAGGCTCAGGGAGTTTAAGAAATTTGCTTGAAGTCCATGTAGTAGAACTCACACAATGCCCAGAGGGCCTTGTCTTCCACTTGATGGCCAGCGTCTGGCTGTGGTGGCACCCACTGTGCCCATCTTGAAATATTTTCCTTCCCCTCCTCTACTGCAGACCTGTACCCAGGAGCCACAGAGGTCAGGGAAAGACCAAGAACCTCCAGAAATGAATGACCCATTCCTAGTCCTGGGGTCTAGGGCTGTTTAAGATGCTTGGAATCCAACGTTTTATACATTGGAGAGGAAATCCTTTGAGGCTTTTCAGCACCCTGACTTGGCCCACAATAGTGGTCACTCTAGGCACACCCTCTGCATAACCCAGACCACCATTCCCAGCCACAGAAGGACACTCAGTGACCTACAGCGTGTGGGAGGATGGGAAAGGCAAGATTCAGTCATGAGCATTGGTGCTAGAGGGGCCACGATGGCACTTACTTCAGACCATGAGGATAGACCTGGGGCCTGGAGACATGATCTTGGTGCAGTGGTACCTTCTGGGGACCTTTTGGGGAAGGGGGATGCTGAGGAGCTGGGAGAGAGCCCTGGTGGGAAGGATGGCCAGGACCTCACACCTGGGCTGGATTCTCGAAGGGTTAATTGAGGGAGACCAGTGAGGCCCTAGAAGAGGGTGCAGCGGTCACCACAACCCACATGAGCTCTCTGTGGACAAGGTGAGTTGGAGTAACCATGATTCTTCTAGATCAGGAAAAGGCAGGAAACAGCATAAGAGATCTTCTGAAAGGTTTTGATATCTCTTATGATGTGGTCGCTCCCTCTCCCCATTTTTCTTTGCTAATGGAACTCCAATTTGTCCATGTGATAGATGGAGACCCTTTCACCCCAGGAGCCAGCACCAGCCCCAAAGGCTGAGTTAAGATTGGAAAGCTCATCCTCCTTGGGTAGCCATGGTGTAAGGATGGGCACATGTTCCTATTCTGGGAGGGAGAAGTAGGCTAGAAAGGGCTTTGTTTCCTAAACAAAAGGACAAAGCCTCCCAAGGAAAAGCCCTCTCTCTCTCTCTCTCTCTCTCTCTCTCTCTCTCTCACTGCTTTCTGCCTAGAACGTGGATGTGATACCTAAGGGTGCAGCAGCCACCTTGTGATCATGAGGTAACAAGCCAACAGGCAAAGAACAGGAGAGTCAAAGGAGATAAAAGGCCTAGTTCCCCAGTGACACCGTGGAACCACTTCACCAGCATCAGACACTCAACCTCCAGATATCTTGCCATGTGAGAAATAAATACTCCCATTGGTTTAAAATACTCTAGTTGGTGGGTTTTACTTTTCCTGACTTGCAGCTGAACTCTGTGCTGATATCACATCCATGAGGGTAAGGTAGAATATAATTTCTAATGTCATTCATTCATGCATTCAATAAGCATTTATTGAGTGCCTACTATATGCCAGGCACTGCTCTAGGCCCTAAGGGGACACACACACACACACACACACACACACACACACACACACACCCTTGCCCTAGGAATTTATTCCTGCCCTTCTGCTCTATTCTACTAGGGAGGAAGAGGTGATTAAGAACATAAATAAGTAAATGATGTATCTGTTATGTGGTGATAAGTGCTAAGGTGAAAAATAAAGCTGGGAAGGGAATCCAGTATGCCAGAGCTAGAAGCAGGATGGCAGCTTAAACAGAGTGGCCTGGAGGACCTTGCTGAGAAGCTGAAATCTGAGCCTAAGTAGGTGAGGGAGAAGCCATGCAGGGATCAGGGGAGGAGTGCCCAGGTGCAGGGAAGAGAAGTCTAGGTGTGCCCACGAGGACAGCAAAGCCACCCTGGAGGCAGGCCCGTGGCTCGTGACATGAGGTCACAGCCTTAGCCCTCAGCCCTAGGTTCTTCAACTTTTTCTCAAAGACTGGGACAAACACCTAAAGTAGAAGCTCACAAGATCCTTGAATACGTGAAGTCAGATGGGATCAGATGAGGATCTCAGAAAATCTTGACAGGCCGGAGCAATGTACTGAGTGGGAGGAGGTGAAACATAATAGCGATGAATGTAAGGGGCTATGCTTCTCATCCAAGGGATCAACAGCACAGCAAAGACAGGCAGCCACACGGGTGAAGAAAGAAGCTCAGGAGTACCCTGTGGCAGGAAACCAGCAGAAGGATGTGTTCACTTGAGAAGCTGGTCACATAATCTCCACTTTTTTTTTAGACAGGATCTTGCTCTATCACCCAGGCTGGAGTGCAGTGGTGTGATCTCAGCTCACTGCAGCCTCAACCTCCCAGGTTCAAGAGATCCTCCCACCTCAGCCCCTTAAGTGGCTGGGACTACAGGCGTGTACCACCATGCCTGGCTAAATTTTTGTTTGTTTGTTTTTTGTGGAGACAGGGTTTCACCATGTTGTCCAGGCTGGTCTCAAACTCCTGAGCTCAGGCAATCTGCCCTCCTTGGCCTCCCAAAGTGCTGGGGGATTACAGTCATGAGCCACTGCACCCACCCACCACCAACTTCTTAATGAATATGATTTAAGTGAGGATGAGCACTCAGAGGGACAAACACTGATTCTTGTGCTTCTAGGCACTCAGTGAGCACCTACTATGTGCCAACCATGGTTCTGGGAAAACAGAAGTGCCCTCACGGAGCAGCAAGCCAGCAGTTACACCACCAGTGGCTTTCAAGTCTTTGAAAACAACCCACAATAAAAAGTATGCTTTGCATCATGACCCACTACCCACAAATACATGTGTGCATATACACGCGGAACTGAAACAAAAGCTCCACAAAGCAATATTTACCTCTACTACAGAGGAGCCAATCTAATATTTTCTATTTTTCTGAGATGATTTGAGGCCCACGGAATTGATCCTATGACACACTTGCTGCCAGCAACATGAAAAACAGTGAACCATGCGTGATAAGTGCCACCATATGGGACAAACAAGTGCTGGGGAGCAAAGATGGGATCAGGGCCAACCACCCTGAGAAGTAAGGTTCAGGCTGAGCCCAGAAGAGGAGCTTGGGGACAATCAGGCAATTTTTAAAAAGAGAGTGGCCCGATGGCAGTGATGGTCGTGAAACAACGTGAATGTGCTTACTGCCACCAAACTGCACACTTAAAAATGGCTCCAATGTTAAATTTTATGTGATGTATATTTTACCACAATATAAACATTAGTTTGACTTGTAGAAAGAGAGAGAATGGCCCACAATTTAAATGCCTTTAAATAGGGTAGTGTTGTGTTGCTTTAGGAATATTATGCAGCACTGTAAAATAAGAAACTTCCCACAACAAAAATGACGTTATGCCAAGCACAAGATGCTAGAGACAAAATAGTGCTTACTGTATGATTCCATTGGGAGAAGTTCAAGAACAGGCAAAAGTAATCTGTGGTGATAGAAAAACAAAACAAAACAAAACAAAAAAAACAATAGTTACCTCTGGGAGGGGAGAGGGCATTGATGCCAAAGGCACGAAGTAGCCTTCTAGGATGATAAAAATGTCCTGTATCTTGGTCTGGGTGGGGCCACACAGGTGTATCTATCTGTAAAGATTCCTCCAGCTGGACACTTAACACTTGTGCACTTTACTGCTTATCAGTTGTACCTCAACAGGAAAGGAAAAGTAAGAAAAAATTTTTTCGAGGAAAAGAAATGAGAGAGAAAAAAAAGAAATCTAATTGAATTACTTCTCAGGTGGAGGTTAAGTTCAAAAGTCATCTCGAAAGGGTAACATTGCATATAGTCAAAATCACCCTGGCAAATCTCCTAAATCACCCACAGAGATTTGTATATGTAGGTATATTCGATCCTGCAACATACTGCTCATATACCCTGAAGTTTGAAAGCCACAAGATTCAACCAAAGCCTAGAACAAAGAGAACGTGGAGACCCAGATGCTGAGGCCTGCAACCCCCAACGTCTACGGTTACCGCCACACCCATGTTGGGAAACAGAGGGCAGAGGGGGAATCTGGAGCTCCTGTCCACCCATCTGGGCTCGCTCCATCCTGCTTTAATATTCAGCCACCACAGTATGTTTTGTTCTATAGAACTGATTTGTGAGAATTAAATGAGCTGGGTTCTGAAGCTAGCAGAGAAGTTGCACATAACCATTACTCTATCTTTAGGCTCCTTCTATTTGGCTCCAAGGAGACTAAACAAGATGGAAACCCTAGGAAGGCCGATTTCAGCTTGGGAGAAGAAAGGGCTTGTGAACTGAAGTGGAGGAGCGCTCCAGTGATGGACTGGGCAGGTAGATAGTGAGTTCTCCATCAGCAGAGGGAAGGCACAGGCTGAAAATCTGTCACACCAGGTGACCTTTATAGGCCCTTTCCCGCCTGGAAGTTCTGAGCTGGCCAGCTGTCCTGGCTCCCCATCCTGGGCATGTCCCCTCAGCTCACAGCTGCCTTGACAATGAGATGTGGAGCTGGCTAGAGGAACCTGCCAGAAACTCCAGGTGGCTGTCCTAATAGAGGATTGTTCTGCCACCCCTGAGGATTTACAGCCTCCCTCCTGAGTTATGGGAAGGCGGGCGGAGCCTATAAAAAGATCCGTCCTGGCTGTGCAGTGCACGGGGCATCAATCAGTGGCAGCCTGGCCACTGGAGCAGAGTGAAGATCAGTCCTCTGGGCCTCACCTATAAATCCTCCCCGCATGCACACGAGGCACAGATGCGTCATATTCGAGAAGAGCTTGTGCCACCGTTTTAATTCCAGTGATGTGGGTGGAGGGCAAGAGAGAATGAGGAAGAAGCAGGCCTAAATGTAGCTGTCCTCTGAACTCACCTCTCACCCAAGCCGCCAAACCTCCCTCCTTCCAGTCCCATCCCTAAGCAAATGGTGTTGAGTGGGCAGATGAGAGAAGGTTGTCTACCTGGGGGCAGGGTTGTTGGATTTGCAGGGGTGGGGTGGGGTGGAGGTCCATTGTGGCCTGAACGAAGCTAAACCAGAGGTGGAGCCACCACACATGTTTCTGGAGGCTGGAAGTGCACCCCTTTCCTCCATCTTCTATTAGTGGCAGAGAGGTCTGATGGCAGAAGTTCAATGGATGGACAGAGAAGGGCCAGGCTGCCCTGGACTCAGAATTGTTGCACTGCACAGCTTGGAGTGCTTTTCACCTCATCACTGTGCCAATGGAGTTGTGCAGTACACAACCTGGATCGCTGCACGTGAGGGGCCTGCTGGATCTACATCACAGGTCTTTCTTCTTGAGAATAGGGTAGTGGAGAGAATATTAAACCAAGAGTTAGGAGACCTGGGCCCAAGTTCTAGCTTCATCCCTGACTTGCCATGGACCCTGGGCAAGTGCATTACTTCTCTGAGCTTTATTTTCCTCACCTGTAAAATGGGGACAATAATCCTGTCCCACTGGACCTTTCTCACCAGGTCTGGCATGTCTCCTGTGGGCCTCGTGGAGTTTTGGACAGAGGACAGCTTCTTCTACATATGACCCCTCCAGGATCCACTCAGACCCCAATCCCAATTCTTGGCCAGCCTTTAAAAATTACCATGCTACCTTTCTGGAGGCCACTCCCTTCTGGGACAGAACCTACTAGAGCTGACAGGATTTATAGCCATGCATAAGGTGCCCCATAATTTCTGAACTAAAAAGCAGTACATTTGTCTGACAACCAGAGAACATTTGAAATTGGAACTGTCCCAGAAACCCAGGTCCATCTGTTTGCCAGTTCCAGGCAGGTGACTGCAGCTACTAACAGCTGTCCCCACCAGGGAGGGGGCTCAGGGGCAGGAGGTACAACTGAGCACAGGCAAACTTCAGTGGCAGGACTGCCGGCAGCTGGCTGGGAGACTCCCGGACAGCAGATTTCCCTGTCTGAGCACAGCCGGGCTCATCTCTCAAACTAGGGCAACCCCTATGACCAACCCCTCACAGCACGTTAGAAACAGTATTTTCCAAAAGTTCACAATTTTTCAGGAATCTGGGCTTAGCTGCTGAGGGAAATAAACCAGAAGTGAGGTGGGATGGCACAGGGGCCTGGACTTGGCATCTGGCAGGCACGGGTTTGAATCCTGCTTCCACCACCCCAAAATCCCATGACCCTGGGCAAACTATAAACCTCCCCAAGCATCAGGTCTGTCATCTGGGAAATGGAGGTGAAGCCACGGACTCACAGGGTTGGTGCAGAGTGGAGAGAGTACACATGAAGTCCCTGATATACAGCAGGTGTCCACAGGGCAGCTGACCTTGTCAAACAGCTTCAGACCATTTTACTCAGGAGAGTAGGGGCTCTGGGGAACTAGTCACCACCACCAGCACAGAAGAGAGAAAGGAACATCTTTTTTAAAAACTCTCTCGGTCCTTCTCTTTCCCCCTTCCTCTCTCATTACCTCTGCCCTGCCCCAGCTCTCGCCCCAAGTCTTCTGGCCCCTCCTGATCCCTGGGGAGCCCCTTTTGGGCCTCGCCTCCCTCTGCCCTCTCAGTCTCTTCTTCTCTCCTCTATTTCCTACCTTTTTTCCTCTCCCTCATTTCTCCTGTCTCCCAGGCAGGTGGGGGACTTATAAGGAAAAGGCAGGAAGAATGGCTCCAAGCTCCCTTCAGAGGCCCCCATGACAAGAAAGGAAGTGAAGACCAAAGGCAGGGTCTCCCTCCGTCCCCTGTCCCAGTCCTGCCAGGCCAGAGACACCTTGCCCAGGCTCAGCTCTACTCAGGAATGGAGGTGGACTCCTGCACCCAGGACAGACCGTGCCCACAGCAAAACTGCTCCAGGTGCCAGGTAGCCCTGCCAGGCAGGGTGGCTGAGCTCTGAAAAGCAGGAGGAGGAAGTCACAAAGCCCCTCCAGCTATACACATATCCCCCACTCCCTGGGTGATCTCATCCATCTCTGGGCTTTAAATGTCATCAGACGGTGCCCATAGTTACATCAGCAGGGCCCTCACCCCTGAGCTCCAGATCCATATCGCCAGCTGCCTACTTGACATCTTCCCTGGGACGGCTGGTAGCTTCTCAAACTAAACAGGAACAAAATAGAACTCTGTGCCCCCTTGCTCTCCCCGCCCAGGGTTTGCCGCCATGGGGAGCTCACCACCATTCATACTGCTACTGGAGTCACACTGATTCCTCTCTCTTTCCCACATCCCCACATCTAGTCCATCAGCAAATCCTGCTGGCTCTGCCTCCAACATGCGTCCAGAATCCCATCACTGCTCAGACTCTGATCCATGCACCAGCATCTGTCACCCCAGGAGCACCCCCACTGGCCTCCTGCTTCCCCTCTTCCAGTCTACCCTCTACTCAGCAGCCAGGGAGAGCTTTAAAGATATAAATCAGATCACACTGCTCCACTGCTTAATACCTCCCAGTGTCTTCCATTCACAACCGGGATAAACCCAAACTCCTCACTAGGCCCAAAGGCCCTTCATGATCTGGTTCGTGTCCTCCCTGGCTGCATCTCCTTGTTCCCTTTGCTCCAGCCTGATGGTCCTCCTGTCTGTTCCTCCAGCAAGCTCGTTCCCAGCTCATGGCCTCTGATGTACTTCCTTTCTGCTTGGAAAGCTCTCTTCCCAGATCCGCCTCTGGCTGGCTCCGCCTTGTCATTCAAGTCATCGTCTCTGAAATGCTCTCTCTGACCCTGTCTACACTCACTTTGGCATCCCAGGCCCTGGCACGCCACCTGGCACACAGCAATCCTGGATAAATAAATATCTTCTAAATAAAAGTACAAGTGAATAAAGGTTTCGATTCTTACAGCTACAGGGTGGAGAACACAGCAGAGTCAGGCCAAACTGCCCCTCAGGATGTGCCTTTCAGGTTCCCTGCTCCTATCCTTCCTCCCCTGGACACACTCAGCTTGGTCATGGCCCTTGAGGTCATAGTTGATGCAGAGTTCCAAGGGGCATCCTCTCTCCTCACCTGAACGCTGACTTACAGCCCTGCCTTTCATAGACACATGGCTCCAGTGGGCAGAGCCACCATGGAGCTGGGCATCTTGATAAAGGCAAACAGCCCCAGGGTGATGGACCATGGCTCCCACCCTGGGGGTAAAGAAAGAAAGTGCCCAAGCCCAGGGCCAGCCGGGGCAGAAGAGGTTGTGCCCCAAGACAACCCAGAGGGAGACTCCATCCTACTCTCATGACGTTTCAGAAACCCTTGGTCCACATGCCCTTCTGCTGCTTCATTTTTATACAGCTAAAGAAGGCCCATGGATGGCTGGGCACGGTGGCTCACACCTGTAATCCCAGCACTTTGGGAGGCCGAGGCGGGCGGATCACCTGAGGTTGGGAGTTTGAGACCAGCCTGACCAACATGGAGAAACTCCGTCTCTACTAAAAATACAAAAACAATTAGCCAGGCATGGTGGCGCCGGCCTGTAATCCCAGCTACTGGGGAGGCTGAGGCAGGAGAATCGCTTGAACCCGGGAGGCAGAGATTGCAGTGAGCCGAGATTGCGCCATTGCACTCCAGCCTGGGCAATGAGAGCGAAATTCCGTCTCAAACAAACAAACAAAACAAACAAACAAACAAACAAACAAAAAAGAAGGCCCATGGATAGAGAGAAGAAATGTGAAATCTGTCTGAGGTTACATAGCTAGGAACTGGAGCTGAAATCTCCATCTACAGCCCTAACTTCCAGGCAGGTCAAACTGCACTGATCTGCTCAAAACATGGGTAAGTTTTAACCACGCTGGTGCCTCTCAGACTTTGTGAGGCCGGGGGGAAGGGGCAGCAGCTCTGAAGAGGCCATCACTGGCCTGGCCTCAGGGGATGTAGCCTTTCCCCCCTGAACCCCTGCTGGGCAGGCAGCATTCTGCAGCAGCCTCCAAGATGGGCCTCCTGCATTCTCCTAGGCCAGGCTCCTCCCAGCAGCCAGAGGGAGCTTCAGAAAACCCACATCTGATCCTATCAACCCTTGCTTATACGCGATTCCTCCTATCAAACCAAAATGCTCACGGTGCATTCCAGTCCCGCCAGCTCCTACCTGATGGAGCAACCTCACCTCCAGCTCGTCTTCTCCTTGCTCACCACATTCCAGCCACCGTGGCCTTCTCAGCCTTCAACTCCCCATGTGGCCTTTGCACATGCACTTCCCTCTGCCTGGAATGTTTTTGCCTTAACTCCCTTGTCTTGGTAACTGCTGCCTCTCCTTCAGACTGCATCAAATGGTAATTCCTCTGATGCCCTCCAGCTCCTGCCCAACTATCAGGCCTGCCCACTGGACACTGTGTGACCCTCTCCTCTGCAGAACACCCACAGTTGTGTGTGGTTGTGAGATCAGTGATGATCTGCTCCTGCACCATCCAGCATGATGGCCACTGGCCATATATGGTTACTGAGCACTTGATGTAAGTTACTGAGCACTTACAGCTCAGTGACTTACAGATGGGGCAGAGGGAGAATACCTGGGGAGGGAAGCCACCAGTCCAAACTGAGATGTGCTGTTTCAAATATCTCATTAATTTCATATATAGGCCACATGTTGAAGGAATAATCTGATACCATTTTGGATATAACAGGTTAAAGAAGATACATTATTAAAATAAGGCTGGGTTCGGTGGCTTATGCCTGCAATCCCAGCACTTTGGGAGGCCCAGGTGGGTGGATCACCTGAGGTCAGGAGTTCAACATGGTGACCTGAGATCAGCCTGGCCTACATAGTGAAATCTCATCTCTACTAAAAATACAAAATTTAGCCGGGCGTGGTGGCGCATGCCTGTAATCCCAGCTACTTGGGAGGCTGAGGCAGGAGAATTGCTTGAACCCGGGAGGTGGAGGTTGCAGTGAGCCAGGATCGTGCCATTGCACTCCAGCCTGGGTGACAGAGTGAGACTCCAACTCAAAAAATAAAATAAAATAAAAGTCACCTGTTTCTTTTTACTTTTTTAAAGTGGCTGCTGGAAGATTTAAAATCCCACATGTGCTCGCATGTGGGGCTAGCATTTTATTTCTGTTAGACTGCACTATCTGGTCGATGCTGCCTCCATCACCCCAGGCAGCTTCTGTTCAGCACCATGTGGTTTCACGGAGGTGCACAGACCGCAGCGTCCTGCCTGACGCAGCCACTCAATACACATTCGCTGAAGGATTAAACGCCAGGCTGCCCAGTCTGATTTCAGAAGGGAAAATGATGCAATTGAGCCACCTGATCTCCCTGGCTTCAGCCCCCAGCCTCCGACCCTCCACCGTCTGCCCAACAAAAGCCCAGGCCCAGATGTCTAGACTCGAGAGACTTGGCCGGGACCAGCAGAGCCAAATGTGCAGGGAAGGGATGGTCCTGACACTCAGTGAGGGAGAACAGAGTCAGTTTCTCTCTCTCTCTCTCTGAAATATCATTTCTCATGGTTTGGAATGAAACCCATTATTCCCAATTAACCTGCGGTGAACCCGCATACTTGCTGGCTTGCCCATAATTATTCATCCATAGTAATAGCTAAAGTAAATTCTGGCTGTCTCAGCGAGCACTGACATCTCCTTTGGGAAAACTTTCAAAGATGCCACGTCCTTGGTTCCTTATCTAAAGCTTCCCTGCCCCATTTTGTTTCATTTTCTTTTTTGCAGCTAATCCTTGTGAAGAAGGCATCGTAGACCAGGATAGCTCCTTCTTGACCCCGGGTGGTTGGGTGAGACGGCCAGCGCTGCTGGGTTCCTTCCTACCCGCAGGCGGAGCAGGAGCACCGCGGCAGCCGGACCATCCCGGCAGGTCACATACACACAGTTTGTACAACTGGCCAGTCCTTCTCCAAGCTCCCTTCACCCTGCCATCCCAGGAACTGGGCCCCATGAGTCCACAGAAACTGCATAAAGTGTCCTTCTGCACAATTTATTTTGGGGTGTCAGATGTAATTTACTAAGAGACCGTCTGCCGAAAAAAAAAAAAATTCCAGAATGAAACCTAACTTGTCATTTTAAATTAAGTGTAGCTCCTTTTGTTCATCTTTCTACCAAAAAGACTGCACTAAAGACAGAATAACCTCTTCTCTATAATCACAATAATAATAGCAACAGGAGGAAGGCCTGAGTCAGAACCTGGGTGCGTGTTAGGAGAGATGGGGCAGATGGAGAGCACCTGTGGAGGCCAGGGTGGTGAGCTGTGCCTCCTTCCTGACACCGCTCAGCCTGCCAGGGGCGTTTCCAGAGAGGAGAGCTCTTCTGGATATTTTGCGTTTTGCAGAAGAGATTGGCTAAGCAGGTGGTGGGTAGGGTGGGGGAACTGTGTGCAAGACACTCATAGCATGCTCTATTTGGGGCCATTTCTTTCTCCCATGAAGACAGCAGAGTCTCTTACAGGGAAGTCTACAGGGTGGACAATCTGAGCTGAATCCACTCAGTAGCTGCGATGGGTTCAGGCCCAGCTTCCTGGCCTATCAGGGCATGCCATGTGACCTCTCTGGGCTTCAGCGTCCTGTCTGTAAAATGGAGATCAAATCCTTCTTGCCAAGTGAGTTGAGTAAGATAATTTTTTGAAAGGAACCAGTAGTTTGTGATGTTCTATACAGGTGTAAGAGGTTCTTATTATTGTCGTCATCCCTCATAGAATGGGAGGGGGGCCTTTGAAGTGGACACTGTGATGCCCCTTCCCCCATTTGCTGTGAGGTGGGCTGCTGAAGACCCCCACTCCCCATCCCCACCTCCCTCCCCACAAGCACGGCCCTCAGCTGACTGCAGCCCCTGTCCAGGAGGTGGTCAATTCCCCTTCCTGACAGCTCACAGGCAGTAACTGCCTAATGCCAGAGGCTGGCTCACTCCCCACCAGGGCACCACTCGGAGGTCCAGCTCAGGCTCCAAAGCCCTGCCCCGGGGGACCACCAAAGGTGGACTTGATGGATGTGACGCCATGTCCTCGCTCAGCTCCTTCCTCTTCCCACCCTGCCTCCCTCCCTCCCTTTCAGGTTTCTTTCTGAAAAGCACCCCAGGAAGTCACAGGTCCTGGAGCCTTGTCTCAAGCTCTGCTTGAAGAAGCTGCTGAAGAGGACTCCTGCATGGTGAAGGCCGCTGTTGCTGCTGTGGCTCTTGTTGGAGTCACGGTGACCACAGCACCAATGCAGGATGCCATGTCCTGCCAGGGGAAGGAGAACACCAATGTTTCTGCCAGACCTGCAGGCCGGGGCAGGTATCTGCTCAACCACGGGGGCGGTCAAAAAGACAGAGAATCGGGGAAGCTGGGACTGGGAGGAGAGCTAGGGTCCCACCAGTGGTGCCAGGGCAAGGCCCTTGCCTCTAAGATTCTGGTCCTGCTCCTGTGAATGCTGGAGCAGACGGAGGATGATGAAAACGCCCCTTGCTCCAAGTACTCTAAGATTCCAAGGACAGAGAGGACTGCTGGTCCCTCACCCTACATGGGGCTGGGGACATGGGTGGGGGTCCCTGAAGAAGGGAATGGAGAGGTGGGAGGAGGAGGGACACCTGCATTCTGGGTCACCCTGTGCACGTCTCCAGAGGCTCTCTCTAGCTTGTCTCTTTTTCTGACCTTGTCTCTTTTTCTAAAACCACATGGGGACTCCTCCCACCTGTCTGCTCCCCCAAAGCCGATCTGCAAGAACCCCCACGCAACGCTCCCTCCTGTCTGAGAGGGTCCCCCCAGCCCTGCAGACTCACTACCATGCGCATTTTCCTCCAGTTCCCCCCACCCCCAGCGCTCACCCTCTCCCCGCTTCACCCTTTGTCAACAGCTCTTTTCACAAGGTCATCATTACCCACTAATTGTCCAAAATTTCATTCCCTCATCTTTCTTGGTTAAGGATTGATTTAAGGAATGAGTTCAATATCCCCGCCGTCTCCAAGTGCTTATTAATTCCCGGCGCCTCCAGCTCCCTGCGCAGAGCCTGGCTCACCTCACACCGCTTCACCCCACACTGATTGGTAAAGCCCCGGCTTTTAGGCCTGCAGGATGGGAGGCCTAATGTGCACTAATCTATCATTACTTCACACGGCTGGCAGAGTGACGGATGGTGGCGGTGGATGGCTCAGTGAGGGAGATGGTCCTCCGCCTCCTCCAGGACTAGGCTGGAGTCGGAAGTTTGCTCGGCAGGAGAATGACCACCACCTTTAACAGGGCAGGCAGGGGAGGCACTGTCTTGCAAGAGTGGAGACCCAAGACATCAGCAGGAATCAAAAAATGTCTCCTCTCACCCTGCCTCCCTCCAGGAGCTGGAAGGCTACCTAGTCCATTGCCTCGTGGGCTGGGTATTGTCCACTCACCCCTCACATTCACGGCCCTGCCTGCTCCGTGGCCTGGTGGGCAGAGCTGTGTGGACAGCATCAACCGGCAGCCTTGCCCTCTGCTTCTACTTGCATTCAGCCAATGAGGAGCAGCAGCAGATCGGAGGGAGGGGCGTGAGGCTGGGTGTTTACTGGACTGGGCTTTCCCCGCAGGGCTACCACAGGCTGCCTGTGTCATGAAGATCACAGCTCCCATCAGGTGATCCCCCCTCTCTCCTAATGCTCCCTTCCCTCACCCCTTCAGGTCTGAGGCCCCAGCAGTCCCACTGTCACCCACTCCAGGGGCTGCACCACCCTGTGTTTCCCCCATACTCTGCCACACCTTTGTAAAAGTCCCTTTATTCAGCTCCCATCAAATTACCCAGCTTTACTGTGCCATCTGTCTCCTACTGGAACCCTACGGGAACCCTGACCAATACCTCTCATTTTACCAATGAGGAAACAGGCTCAGACAGGACTGCAGCTTGCCCTAGGTCACACGCAGTCACAGCAGGGCTGGCTCCAAAACTCCAGTCTTTTGACTCTGTCTAATGAGACTTCACCAGCCTGACTTTTCCGCGTCCCTTTTCTGTCCCTCCTGACCGCAGTATGCATCTCTTTGTATATGGGCTACCCTGGGAGGGGAGTGTTCAAGGTGCTATCAGGGCTCAAAGAACCTGTGCCTGCCCAGAGACAGCAGTGTTGATGCACCTCAAACGCCCTCCTCCACAGCACGTTCCAGATGTCGGGGACATCCGTCTTTCAGTGGCTCTGTAGCCTGGAGCACCCTTTCTTATGGTCTTTGTATTTGTCCCCTCAGGCAACAGTGCACCTATTGAAAATGCCAAACCCTAGACCATCTCTACCACAAGCAAACCCCAACCAAACCAATAGATCTGGGGTCCAAGTTTCCACCCAAAGCCTCTCTTTTTTACATAAGTCCTTCATGACAGAAGGCAATTTTTTTTTAATTTTTATTTATTTTGAGATGGAGTCTCGCTCTTGTGGCCCAGGCTGGAGTACAGTGGTGCGACCTTGGCTCGCTGCAACTTCCTCCTCCCGGTTTCAAGCGATTCTCCTGCCTCAGCCTCCTGAATAGCTGGGATTACAGGTGCCCGCCACCATGCCCTACTAATTTTCTGTATTTTTAGTAGAGATGGGGTTTCACCATGTTGGCCAGGCTGGTCTCAAACTCCTGACCTCAGGTGATCCACTTGCCTTAATCTCCCAAAGTGTGGCATTACAGGTGTGAACCACCACACCCAGCCAACAGAAGGTGATTATTTAGTCAATAAACTTCTACTGGAGTTTCTCCTATAGCTGTGAACTGCCTCCCTCCACCATTACCCCTCCCCTCCCCAGGAAGGAGACCAGTGAGGTCGACAGGGACAACTCCGAGCCCTGCGAGCTGTTCACGAAGGGTCCAACTCACCCTCTACCATCACAGGAGTCATTCACTGCAGGGAAAAGGCCCTGACCACCTGCTTCCTGCAGAGACCACCCTTGGACAGTTTGCCACAAATCAACAGCCCATCCTGGCAGCTCAAGTCAATATTCTCTTGGATGGTCAAGTGCCTCTGCTCCAGAACAGTCCTCAGAGGGGCCGACCCTGCCTTCCTCTATAGCCTGAGACATGCTCCCATATGTCCTCTGTCTCCTGAGGCAGAATCCTCTCCCTGTGTTTCAAGGCACCTGGTGATGGGTTGTCTGCTCACCACTTTGTGGTCCACACTTGACACTTCATTCTGGCCTGGTCTCAATTATTTCACAGGGATTGAGAACCCACGAAAACTGCCAAGTCCATATATACCTGGCCCAAGCCTAAAAGTCATCAGCAAATCCTATTTCCATGGTCATCTTGAGATGGAATAGGCTATCACCCAGAAAGCCTCCCCAAAGGGAAGGATAAGGCCAGAGATCAGAAAGGGGCTGCAGAGAGATGGAGGTGGGGCTGTTCTATTATAAACCTCTGGTAACAGCCCTATCTCCATCCCTCCCAAGAGGGGAATTAAGCATGTGCCCGAGACTTAATCAAGAGAAACTCACCCCGGTGAATTGAGGCATGGTGTAGGGGAAACCTCTGGGCTGGGGATCAGGAGACCTGGATCCTCTCTCAACCCTGCCGCTTAGCCCTTCTTGCCTCCTGGCCTCTCCTGTAACATGTGGGGTTGGTTGGATCAGATGAGCTTTAGTGCTGTAAGTGATATAACTCTGCATTTTTCCAGGGAGAAGGAGAAGCAGTGGCCTTTAATCCTGGTACTGCATTCTAGATGATCCCAACCCCATAATGCCCTTCCTGAAATAGAGCCACAGGGAAGAAGCCCAGCCCAGCCCCACCTGTGGGGCTATCTCAGCTGTTGGAAGAAGCTGCTCTGAGGAACTGACATAGATCATTCCAAAAGGAGTCAAAACCCCCAGTCCCTTTAATTTGTAGATACCTTTGGGTGGTATGGTCATTTCAACAATATTAATTCTTCCAACCCATGAGCATGAGATGTCTTTCTTTTTTGTATGTGTCCTCTTCAATTTCTTTCATCAGTGTTTTATAGTCTTCATTGTAGAGAACTTTCATTTCCTTATTAAATTTGCTCCTAAGTATTTTTTTGTAGCAATTGTAAATGAGATTGCTTTCTTGATTTCTTTTTCAGCTAGTTTGTAATTGGTGTATAGAAATGCTACTGAGTTTTGTGTGTTGATTTTGTATCCTGCCAATTTACTGAATTTTTTTATCAGGTCTAAGAGATTTTTGGTGAAGTCTTTAGGTTCTTCTATATATAAGATCACATTGTCTACAAAGAGTGACAATTTTACTTCCTGTTTTCCAATTTGGATGCCTTTTATTTCTTTCTCTTGCCTATCTCTAGCTAGGATTTCTAGTACTATGTTAAATAAGAATGGTGAAAGCAATCTACAGATCCAATGCAATCTCTATCAAAATACCAATGACAGTCTTCACAGAAATAGAAAAAACAACCCGAAAATGCGTATGGAGCCACAAAAGACCCTGAAGAGCCAAAACAATCCTGAGCAAAAAGACAAAGCTGGGGGCACCACACTACCTGACTTCAAAATGGACTGCAAAGCTATAGTAACCAAAAAAGCATGATATTGGTATAAAAACAGACATATAAGCCAATAAAACAGGTTAGAGAACCCAGAAATAAATCCATGTATTTGCAGCCAACTGATTTTCAACAAAGGGGCCAAGAACATACAATGGGGAAAGGACATTGTCTTCAATAAATGGTACTAGGGAAACTAGATATCCATTTGCAGAAGAATGAAACTAGAGCCCTATCTCTCATCATACAGAAAAATCAACTCAAAATCTATTAAAGACTTACATGTAAGACCCATTACTATAAAACTACTAGAAGAAAACATAGGGGAAATACTGCAGCATATTGATCTAGGTGAAGATTTTATGGGGAAGACTTCAAAAGCACAGACAACAAAAACAAAAATAGACGAATGGGACTATATCAAACTAAAAAGTTCTACACAACAATGGAATCAACAGAGTGAAGACACAATCTATAAAATTGAAGAAAACATTTGCAAAATATTCATGGGACAAGGGACTAATATCCAGAATATATAAGGCACTCAACAACAACAACAACAAAAACACATAATCCCATTAAAAACTGGGCAAACGATCTGAACAGACATTTCTCTAAAGAAGATACACAAATGACCAATAAACATATATAAAAATGTTCAACATCACTAATCACCAGGGATTTGCAAATCAAAACCACAATGAGATGTCATCTCACCCCAGTTAAAATGGTTATTATAAAAAAATAACAAATGCTGATGAGGATGCAGAGAAAAAGGAACTCTTACAAGCTGTGGGTGGGAATGTAAATGATGACAGCCATTACGGAAAACAGTATGGAGGTTTCTCAAAAAACTAAAAATAGCACTACCATAGGATCCACCAGTCCCACTGCTGGGTATTTATCCAAAGGAAAGGAAATCAGTATGTTGAAGAAATACCTGCACTCCCATGTCTATTGCAGCACTGTTCACAATAGCCAAGATATGGAGGGTAGGGAGGCTGGGGTGGAGGGGGGATAAAGGAGATGTCTGCCAGGCATACCCTCTTTCATACAGTAGCCTTATGTAGCTATTTAGATCTAAATTAATCAAAATAAATAAAATTTAAAACTCAGAGCCTCAGTCACACCAGTGACTCAGCCACATCTCAAGAACTCAATGGGCACACACGGCTAGTGGCTACTGCAATGGCCAGTGTTGACAGAAAACATTTCCATCACTGCAGAGGACCCTTTGGACAGTTCTGGTCTAGAAGCTAAACTTTGTTTTTGGAAAGCGCTTCATCTTGCATTGCTGATTTTTTCTTGCTGCTGAGCCAGCCCGTTTACTCCAGTCCTCTGCTCTGGGGAGGTTCCCAGATGGTTTTAGGATGAAGCTGGGCCAGATGACCACAGGATAGGGGTTCTGTCTGCCTGAGAGATGGCCTTGGGTGTTTCAGCCACCTACCAGATCCTGACAGGAACAGTCAAGCTAACAATCATCTGGCACCTGAGAGAAGTTCCCCACAGATCTTAAGCTTCAAGCAATGACAAAGTTCACAGGCCATGCCTAGGCCAGCCCACTCCCTCCCTTACCATTTGATCTAACCCCTGGTAACTCCCACCTTTCAAGGATACTACACCTTGGGTGGGCGTAGAGGAGAAAGAGTCAGAGAACATTTTAGGGACTCCAGGATTTGGGAGATTTCTGCAGACATGACCAAAGGGAGCTCAGAAAACCCCAGAGGTCCTTTTGGGGTCCTTATCTTCCCCCAAATTATTCATATATATGGCTGGGAAAATCCCCACAAGGAGTTAAAAGCCAAGAAAATAACTTTGCTCTGATAGCGTAGATGCATGGCAGGGATGGGGTGGGGTAGTGGGAACCAGACAGCTAAATGGGTTATCGAGAAATTACAAGAGGCTTTAAAAAGTAGAAAACTTACCATAAGTCAAGCCTATAATGTATAGACAATAATTATTTTCCACTGAATTTTTTGTGTTTAATTTGTGGTGACTATCTCCTTTTACATCATGTATTCAGCAATCACTCTTCTCCTTGCTTAATATGCACAGTAATCTTTCTCCTCCGATGTCACATATTCAATAATTCCTCTCCTCTGGTTCCAGGGGGTGGGATGAGGGGAACGGCACATTTTAAATTAGTAACGGCTGTTTTTGTTTTTTTTTAACTTTACCTCCACCAAAGCACTGTAAGTATCGTGAGCTCCAAAAAGCAACTCAGAGCACAGCACCCTGTCTGCCCCCTTCCCCAATTCCATTGCCTTTTTCTTCTTTTTTTTTTTTTTTCTTTGAGACAGGGTCTCACTTTGTCACCCAGACTGAAGTGCAGTGGCGGAATCACAGCTCACTGCAGCCTCAACCTCCTGGGTTCAAACGATCTTCCTTCCTCAGCCCCTAGTGTAGCTGGGACTACAGATGCATGACACCAGGCCCAGATAATTTTTGTACTTTTAGTAGAGACGGGGTTTCGCCATGTTGCCCAGGCTGGTCTGGAACACCTGAGCTTAAGCGATCTGCCTGCCTTGGCCTCCCAAAGTGCTGGGATTACAGGTGTGAGCCACCATGCCCTGCCCTTCTTTTTCACTGATTGATTCAGGGTCTCACTCTATTGCCCAGGCTAGAGTGCAGTGGCACTATCACATCTCACTGCAGCCTCTACAGCCCCACCGCCACTTTGCTCAAGCAATCCTACCTCAGTCTCCCAAATAGCTGGGACTACAGGCTAACCATGCGCTGCTAATTTTTAATTTTTTGTAGACGAGGGAATCTCACGATGTTTCCCTGGCTGGTCTTGAACTCCTGGGCTCAAGCGATCTGCCTTCCTCGGCTTCCCAAAGTGCTATGATTACAAGCGTGAGCCACTGCACCTGGCTCTTCACTACCCTTTTGAGGGCTTTTCTCTGGTCTGCCTCAGGAACCAAACAGGCCAGAGAAGGGAGCGCTGGGCAGTTGTCCAGCTCCATCCCAGTTAACACAGGACATGAGGCCTCTAAATGAAAACTTGCTCTTCCTATTAATACCTGTTTGCAGTGGTGTACCCTGGTCTGTTTAGCTCACGGCCAGCTCTGTTTGTTGCTGTCCATGAGGTTTTAGCACCTGAATTCCCCAGATATTGTTTGGTTCTTCCCCTGAATGTGGCATGCACAGCAGTCAGGAGAGCAAATCCAGGACCTAGGTAAGACAAGCAGGTGCCTAGGGCAGCATTTAAGGAAGCCCGCACTCTCAGATGCTGACCCTGCATTTGCAGACCCTGAGAGTGAGTGCCTCCTTAAATGTTTCAGCCCCAGGTATTCAGCTTGCCTCACCCGGGTCCTGGGTCCCAGCCCTTCAGAGGGACCAACCCCTTGCCTGTCTGAAAGTCAGAAGCAAAAGAGAGAGAAGGAGAGTGGGGGTGGGGGATAGACACAATACCAAGAAGAAGTGATTCGGAAAAAAGGTCATTAACATGCTTCAACGGACTCCAAACTCTGAGAGTTGTTTTATTTTTTTTAAGACAGAGAGGAACTTAGCAGGAAATCAATCAACACACATGCTGAAAACTTATTCCATGACAAAAAAGAAACAAAAACCCCATAAATTCCTGTAGCCTCCGGGTAGCCAGTGTCTACTGCTGCTAATTAATTTTCCAGTACTTTCACTCTCCGGATATCTCAAAACAGGGTCAATCTGTCAGCCCGGGAAGCATCACAGCCCCAGCTCTAGGAGGTTGGTGACTCTGTTTTGTTTTGGTTTGTTTTTGAGATGAAGTCTCTCTCTGTCATCCAGGCTGGAGTGCAGTGATATGATCTCAGCTCACCGCAACCTCTGCCTCCCAGGTTCTAGAGAGTCTCCCTTCTCAGCCTCCTGAGCAGCTGGGACTACTGGTACACGCCCCCACACCCAGCTAATTTTTGTATTTTTAGTAGAGATGGGGTTTCACCATGTTGGCCAGGCTGGCCTTGAACTCCTGACTTCAGGTGATCCACCTGCCTCAGCCTCCCAAAGTGCTGGGATTATAGGCATGAGCCATTCCGCCCAGCTGGAGGTTGGTGATTCTGGAACTTCTACCACACGTGGGAGGAGGGGAGCAGAAGAGCCCAAAGCAACTCGCAGACCTTCAGGAACAGGCTCTCCGCCTGTGAAGCTCTGAATCTCCATTCACCCTGCAGTGCACCACGTCCCTGAGCCTGCTCAGGCCAAGAGGAACAGCATGCGAGAATGTAGAGAGTGCAACCAGGAAAAACCTACCTCCCTGTCTCAGTTTCCCCAAATGCAAAATAAGGAGATTGTACTCAACCGGGTTTCAGGTTCCCAAACCCATGTTACCCCACCCAGAATTAAAGCCACGTGGATACTTATCTAATCTATGAACTCCTTGAAGACAAGGATTGTCTTATCTCTGCAAGCCTGCCCCTGCCACCACCCCCCCACCCCCACCAACACACAGTGCCTAACACCCTCCGACACACAAACGGTGCCTAACAGAGGACTGCTGGATTGCTCTGTCTCCTACTCTCCTGGTCCTGGCCTGTCCTCACCATCAGAACCAGGCAAGGGTTTACCAAGCCCTCGATAGCTGGGAGACCTATGATCCAGAAACCTTGCTCCCAAGAGTCCCTTCTTCCTGCCAACTCTATAAGCTCATTGGTATCTCCCAAAGGAACAAAAAAGGAGAGAGTTCTGACTCTGTAAAGTTCTCCACAGTTGAAAAATTCAAATTACAACTCCAAATAGCCTGTGACTGACAGTCATCTTCTGCACTCTGAGCCCCAGAGGAACAAGCAAGCCACTGGTAGCCAGGGCCGTGCCCTGACCCCACTCTTCAGAGAGAATGTGAAGGAGCTAGAACATTCCCCAGGACTCCAGAGCAGATGGGCAAGCAGTGAGGTTCCAGGCAGCTGCACCCCTAGGACCTGAGGTTTGGTCACCTTCCTGGGTGCCTTTCTTGAGAAGGTGACCGGATGAACCAAAGACCCTCCACGTCCCTTCTCAGGGAACCTCAATGCCACACACAACCCCTCCCCATACCCCATCCTGAGCCAGCCCCATAGAGCCAAATGGTGATGCTGTTTTCCTTCACAGAGACCCAGGAGCCCTCGCCTCACAGGCGGAAGGACACAGTCTCATCCCCCTCCTGACAGTGGCTTGTAGTTTCCTTTTTTATTCATTTATTTTTCTGTTTCCTTAAACAGTATGTGCCTAGAATGAATACCAGGCTCTCTCTGGCAGAAAAAAAGGAGCATGAAGGAGAAATGTGAGAGCGGTAATCCATTGTAACACTTTAGGGGAAACTGCAAGCAATTTCCATTCTATTGATCCTCCCCGGGCATCAAAGCCACACTGAGTTTATTTGGAAAATTAAATTCTGGAGCATGTAGCATGAGGGGGCTCTAGTTAAGTTGTCTAGCTCTACGGCCACAATTTAATTACATTCTCACTCTGCCTCTCCATTTAAATACAGCAAAGGAACTGGGCTGCCTGGTCCAGGCCCCTAATCGGCCCTGGCTGTGACCCTGTGCCCACAACAGAAGAGCCTTTTGCATCTCAATTGCCCTCAGCTGACCACTCACCAGCTCCTCCGGCTGCGCTCATTTACATCTTATGCGATTTTTAACAGAATATATTCATTAAAATGTAAATGTTTGCTAAAGTAACCTAATTTTAAGCATTTGCTCCTTTTCCAAAGGGAAGATTTTTATCTTAACAAAAATCTGTTATTATTAGAAACAAAGTAACATATTACCTAGGCAAAAATTAGATACAATGTGTTATCCATTTGGGGAAGAAGCTAAGAATCAATGTCTGATTGGTGTTGCCTGTTGTTATCAGACTTTGAAGATTCACAGAATTTGTGTTGTTGTTGAGACAGGGTCTCACTCTGTCGCCCAGGATCTGGAGTGCAGTGGCACAATCACGGCTCACACGGCTCACTGCAGCCTCAACCTCCCAGGCTCAGGTTTTTGTTTTTGTTTTTTTTCAGAATTTGGAGGTTCACAGAACAGTAAGATTTATGCACACTTGAATGCACACACGCATGCACACACATTCACACTTTAGTGAGCCTGGCAGAAATTTGCCAGCTTTTTATTTAGCCACATAAGGACTTTGCGGTCATCTTCTATTCTCTTCTACTATAACTTCTACTATCATCCCAATTTCCTGAATACCAGGGATGTAGGATGCCAATCTTAGAAAGAATAGTCCTTAATAGTGAATATGTTTAGCTTCATGAAGAACTCACTTTCTCTGTTCTCATTTTCCTAATCTCATCTGTGGAAAGTTAGCTGCAGTCTAGCACAGGTCTACAGACCACCCTTGGGAACCACAGGCATAGACTAATTTTTCTTAATTAAATTTTTATTTAGTGCCAATGCTGGGGGAGGGGCGCTGTGTCTCTGCCGCTTATCAGCCCTGGTAATTGAGAGCAAAGTTCTTTTCACAGTAGTCCAGAGGAACTGACCTCCCATCCTGTGAGTTCCATGAATACTAATCTGTTTGCTCCTAAATGAGGAAGGGCTCCACTGAAGTTCTCCTAGAGGAATGTCCCCTTGGGCAACCAGCCAGACCTTCTGCCCAAGCCCCACCAAACCAGCACAGAGCCTGGCATTTGGTAGAGTCTCATTAACAGTTGCTGAATCCCTCTGAAAAGTCATTGGGCGGCCCCCTCCCTCACAGTGGAACTCCTCCCATATTTCCCAGCCTCCTCCTCTGCAAGGCACCCCCTCTAAGGACAACAGCAGGTGGAATAGGGAAGGAGATAGACATGCCTTTTGATGATCTCGGGACCAACGGCAAATAGAGTCTGCCAGTCCTCATACCCCTCCACGGGCCTGCTCCCCATCCTCTCACAAGCCCTGAGATTCCTCTGAAGGAAGTAACTTTTCCTGCCACTTGTAGGTGCCACAGGTAAGCAGGAATGGCAGATAGAACCACGGTGTGTGGGTGTTTGATCCTCGGGGCCCACACCAGAGGGAACATCAGCAGTATTTGACAAGCTGACCAGCTGTCCCAAGAATAGAACTGTCAAGCCAACAGGGAAATCATTACCTGATCTATAAATGATCACACAGGAGTAAGAACTGTCACTTCCTTCTGAGGAGTTTGCAGAATCGGGATTTTAAACAGACCTGCAAACTGGTGCAACACTGAGCTCCCTGGAGCAGCTGGTGTATTATTCGCAGGGAGAAAAAAAAATCAGAAGTTAAAGCACTTCAGGAGCTCAAGGGGACAAGAGAAGGTCTCAGGGACTCTGACTATCAAAGGATTTCAGACCATCCCTGGTGTCAGCTACAAACTTAACTCAAAGGAAAACATAACTATTCAGATCTTCTGCCTGACAGTTTGCAGGCCTGCAAGTCTCCATGGTCTTTCCACTTGCAAAATAAGCGATGGGAGTTAGGGCTGCAGGCAACATGGGTCATTTAGTCTAAGACACTTCTTTTACTAAGACACAGACTCAGGTTCCACCCACGGGGATGAAGCCGTTTATGGTGGAGAGAAGCTGGAAACATCTTTAGGTGTCCCTCACCCATGACGAGTAGCAGGCAGTGGAAACACACTATGGAGAACTCACCATCAGTAAAGAGCCGCATATCGGATGTATGCAGAGCAATATGGGTGGTCACAATAACGCGATGTTGAGTGAGAAAAGCTGAAATGGAAGATTTGTAGCACAATAAAATGTATGTTAATTTAAAACACACACACAGAATGACACTACATATTTTACAATGATACACTACTTGCATATTTTAGAACATATTCCAAACACTTCAGAGTGGGTGTCTGCGGGAGTGAGGAGAGGGGAAGGAGAAGATACACACGGTGGCTGGGCGTGGGGGCTCACGCCTGTAATCCCAGCACTTTGGGAGGCTGAGATGGGAGGATCGCCCATGGTCAGGAGTTCGAGACCAACCTGGCCAACATGGTGAAACACTGTCTCCAGTAAAAATACAAAAATTAGCCAAGAATGGTGGCTCACGGCTGTAGTCCCAGCTATTCGGGAGGCTGAGGCAAAAGAATCGCTTGAATCCAGGAGGTGGAGGTTGCAGTGAGCCGAGATTGCGCCACTGCACTCCAGCCTGGGCAACAGAGCAAGATTCCATCCTGCCACCAACACCCCGTGCCACCCACACCCCCCTGCCAAAAAGAAAAAAAAAAAAAAGAAAACGGATGCCACGAAGCAAAAGAAAGGCCAAACAAAAGCTGTTCATGACAATGAGTTATTAACTAAGTGTAACTGACTCAACTCCCTCCACCTGAAGTCCACAGACAAGGAAAGAATGTGAGGTCCAGAGAGCTTAGGACAGGGCTTCTCAGACACCTGGGGATCGGGGATCCTGTGAAAATGCAGATTCTGAGTCAGGAGGGCTGGGCAGTGGGGATGGGGCTGAGGGTGTGCCCTTCCAACAAGCTCCCAGCTGATGCAGATGCCGCAGTCCCATGGACCTCACCTTGCGCTGCAAGGTCTCAGGAGACTTAATCAAGATATAAATTGAGCAGCAAAGTCCAAATAAGATTCTATATGCAGTGTGGATGAATCTCAAAATAATTATGCTGCATGAAAGAAGACAGGCAAAAAAAGAGTACATATTCATAAACTATGCTTCCATTTATATAAACTTCTAGAAAATGCATACTAATATATAAAAATGAAAGGCAGATCAGTGGGTGCCTGGACATCAGGCTGGGGGACAGATGAATTAACAAAGAAAACTCTTGGGGGTGATGGATATATTCACTATCTTTATTATGGCGATGGTTTCCTGGGTGTATACATATGTCAAAACTCATCAAATTGTAATGCTTCAAATATGTGCAGTTTAATATGCATCAATTATACCTCCACAAAACTGAAAACAAAAAAAGAATCTAGGTGGCCTTCCTCCCCACGCATCCCACACTGAAGATGCCTGTTTCCACTTCAACCTGAGCTGAGCAGCTTTTCAGCTAGCCTGTGGTCTCCAGGGCTGGAACCCATCCCCCTCCCTCTTCCACAGCTCCCACCATCTCACCTGGGCCGCCCTAAGAATCCGTGCCCCGATTTCATCTTCACCCTCCATTCCCCATCCATTCTCCACAAAGCAGTCGGAGTGATCTCTTTAAATTACAGATCTGACCACATCACTGCTACCTCACACCTCCTCACTCTCCCCACAACCCCAAACCACCCCCGCCATCGCTACCTGCCCACCCCCTACCTTAAAATCCTTCAAGATGGAAGGGTATAAAGACCAAAATGTGCACCCTGCCCTGGGTGCCTCCCACCTACTCCCCCTCAACCCCTCTTTCCACCCCTCTCCTCTCACTCTCCACCCCTGCCTCGCTGACTTTCTAGGAGTTCTCCCAAAGCACCGTGTTTCCGTCTGCTCAGGATCTCTCTCTGTAACTCCCACCCCCAACCCCCTTCTCTTGTCTGGTGAACTCCTACACATCCTCCATCCCAGCTCAGCTCTCCTTCCCTCAGGACTCTCCCCGCCTGCTTCCCAGTTCACCCAAACCAAGGCAGGCTCCTTTGCTTTACGTGTTCCTAGAGCCATATTCCTTTCCTTCCAAGCACTCACTCCATCTGCATGCATCTGTCCCATGCAGCCCCCTACACAAGTGTTTCATTCCTGCTTGTCTCTCACACTGCATAGTACTCCCCAGGAAGGCCACCGGGTCTGTTCTGCAGCCAACACAGTGCCTGGCACCCAGGATGTACCCCATACATACTCGTTTCTTGAAAGAATGCTTAGCAAATCCTCCAAAGGGGCCATGGTCATCCCTTAGCAATGACATCTCTAGAATGTGGGGACGGCAGCTCATTTACAACCCCTGCTCCCTGCACCCTCCTCCCACCCTGCACTGCCCCGCCAGCCCCTGCTGCCTCAAGTTCTGCAGAGAAGACCCACAACCCGCCCCTGTTCCAGCAGGAACTCCTGCCTCCCTCACGTCTACCCTAATCCTTACCATTCCTCTCAAAGCCACTTTGCATAAAGTAAATAGCACATTTGCTTTTGTGGGGTTTTTTTTCTTTTTTTTCTTTCCACAATTTCAACACTGCTGTGTTTGGATATAATCATTTCCTTTTTGGGCTTGGATCCCAAACTCTGGCAGTGCCTTAAGGGTAGGAAGATAAGTGTCAGAGGACAATCTGGATTTAGACAAAAATCCCCTCCAGTAGGGCACACGCACTGGCCTGAGCATGTGAGTCCACCAAACCTCTGGACTTGCTCCCCAGACCCTGTCAAAGACTCAGGAGATGGAGGAGGTCACCCCAAAGTGTGGGGAGGTGGTAGGGGAGGTGTCAGGCAGCAGCGACATCAGGATGGCAAAGGTCAGGGGGCAGTGGGTCAGATGCCCACCCAGCAGCCAGGCACCAGGTAGACCAGAACACCAGAAGCAGAGCCAGGGAGCAGGCTTGGTCTTTGTCAGAACTTCAGAGCCCTGGGCAGTCCTAGGAATTAAAGAGGCAGGGCCAGGCAGGGGCTTAAAAAGTCAAGCACACAGCCAGGCACACAGTTCAGAGGGTCTGGAGCTCCAAGCTGCTAGTTGCCTTCACTCCTGCCCTTCTCTGTGCCATAGCATTTGCTCATCATTTCCCTGCCTGAATCCTACTGAGGCATCGGGACCACTTCAGCAGCTACTGGGGAGAGGTGGGGGCAGCCCCAGGACCTTCCTTCATAGGGTTCAGCTTCGCCTAGACAGATGAGGACATGGAAAGGAATGGATGCCCATGAGCCCCAGACCCAGGTTGACCACTCCCCATAATTTTCAGGCTTCTCTATCACTTTAGATGTCACTGGAAAAGAGGAGGAATTTAACAGCATAGACCCTCCGGGAAGCAGAGAGGGTGACTCATGGTGAGCTTCCCCTGGGGTCTGGAGTGTGGCCCAGGAGGCTAGAGTTTTTGGAAGAAGAGCAGTTTTTGGAGCTGGGCAGCCAGCAGTGGTCTGTCTGCCCCGGGACTGGCCAGCAGCCCCTGGGCCCTCTCTGGGGTGCCAGGACCTCAAGCCTTAGAGGAATCCCTTCTCTGCCCCCAAGCCATTGGAATTTGCCCTGTGGGGAAGGAGCTGGCATCATTCTCTGAGGGCTTAGAGCTCACCCAAGACAGTTTCCAGAAAGGAGACTGTAGGACAGGAAACAGGCCAGCTACATATATTAGGAGATCATCCTCAAGCAAAGGCACCTGACAGATGTCTAGCTATGGGAGCACTCCCTGTCTCCATCTCTCGAGCCCCGGGCTGTGTCCATCACCGAGTGGTCCTGATCCAGCTAAGTCAATCACCCCTGCTGAGCCTCCACCCACTCACCCCATGGACAGGGAATCAAATGCAGAGGCAAATACCATTTGTGTTAACGACAAAATCTAACTGAGAGATGGTCTAGACAGGTTTTCTCTCTGTCCTGTTTGGCCATGAAAACAGACATGATGATCCTCATTTACAAAAGGGGAAACTAGGATTCAGAAAAGTCAAGAAACTTGCCCAGGGTCACAGAGCTACTGATGGCTGAGCCAGGCCTTAAACTAGAGGCAGCACTGGCTTTGAAGTGAATCCTATCTACAATTTTGTCTTAGCTCTGCTGCCTACCAGCTGTGTGTGGCCTCAGGTGCATTATTTAACCTCTCTGAACCCCAGCTTCCTCTCTTAACAAATGTGTTAATTATGATCTATCTCTCAAAATGCAAGGAAGGATGAACTAAGATGAAATATATGAGAGTGATGGTACATGGAAAGCAGTTAATGTTTGTTCCTTCTTTCCAATTCCAAATCTTAAAACATATTGTTTTGGGATAATTCCAATGTGGAGGTTACAAAGGACTTTCCTGGGGAAAGGGAAGCATTTCTCAAGAGATTGGAATCTAGGAACACGCCTGGCCAAGCACTTCTCTGTCTTCACTGATGCCAGCTCCTTTGTTCCCCCATCCCTCTCTCTGTGAAAGGACAGAAAGAGCAGGCCTTCCCAGATACCTGTCATGTTCTTCCACACACAGGGGAGCCCAGCTCCCTGTCCACTGGGGCACCCACCTGCTCTCTGTGGCTCAGTGGCTGAGCCCAGGCCTGCCTCTGAGGGTGGAAGTCCTGTCGACAACCCTGAGACTGGCCACAGCTGGAGTGTCGCAACCAGGAACCACCAGGAGAGAGGCTGCCCCTCACACCCCCACCTCTCATTCCAGCAGGAAGGCTCTGGGTGGAGTTGGTGGCATTACGGCAGTCTTGTGTACTCACACGCAAAGCACGGTCTCTCCTACCTGGGACTCATTTCCCCTCATCCACAACCCTCGGAGGGGAGGAGCAATGGAACAGAGAGAAAAATGCCAAAATTGGCCAGGGTCGTGGGGCTTGATCTCAACAGCCCAGAGCTCAAGCTTCAGTCCATTTCCATGTACGATTCCAGCATCCTTAACGAAGAGTCCCACGTGCTTCCTGAGGATCCGCCAGCCGGCATCATACCTATGGCTTCCCTGTATCAATGTGAACTCCATGATTTTGATAACTGAACGGTGGTTATGGAAGAGAATGCCCTTGCTTTTAGGAAATACACATTGAAATGTTGAGGGATAAAGGGGTATCTCGTCTGCAACTATCAAGCAGTTCAAGTATACACGCATGCACACACTTCCAACCTTAGCACTACTGACGTTTTGGGCTGGATAATTCTGTGCTGGGGGGAGCCGGAGGACTGTCCTGTGCACTGTAGGACATCGAGCAGCATCCCTGGCCTCTATGCACTAATGTAGTAACACCCCCCCATGCCCCATCCTTACCCCAGGCATTTGAAACAACACAATTGTCCAGAGATTGTCAAATGTCTCCTGGGGGACAAAAATTGCTTCTTGTTGAGAACCACTGGGGATCTATATATATATGAGAGAGAGAAGGGTAAAGAATATAAATTCTTGGTACTGTTTTTATCTTTCCTGTAACTTTCCTGTAAGTCTGAAATGATTTCCAAATAAAAATTGTTCAAAAAAAATAAAATTTTATGAACACTTATAACATGAAAAGAAAGAAAGGAAGAAAAAAAAAAACCTTGCCAGGTTACAGCCCTCTCTATGTCTGCCCCAAGGCCCTGACTCCCTTTGCTCACAGATCAGGGATCCCACAGTGGAAGGCATTTAACCACCGGTCAGACCCTGCTAGACCTTCCCGCACACACGCTCATGGAAGCCCCATACTGGCTTGGTTCTGGTTTCCCCTCTCTGCAGATGGGGACCCCAGGGCCCAGAGGGAGGGTCCACCTTGCCTGAGGCCCTGCAGCTGGGAGCACCAGTAGATACCAGTACCTGAACCCAGTATGCAGACTCCTGGCCTTCTCCTCCCCTCCACCTACTGGCCCTTGTCTACCCAGTGAGCCTAGACAGCCATCTGGTGTTTTCCCTAGCCTCCATCAAGCACCCCACAGAGCACCAGGTACCAAGCACTGAGTGGACACCCTTGCAGAAAGAAAATCGAAAGTTAACCACATGTGCAATTTTTTTTCTTTATCCTGTTTTCCTAAAGGGGGTTGCAGGGCTGGGCAAAGTTGCCTTTCAGATGCTTCCCAGTCAGCAGATTTTGCCTCCTACCTTCGCCTTACAATCTGTGATGATTCTGAGTGGAGCTGGCTAGTTGCCATTTGAAGCAAATTGGTTATCCAGGAAAAAGCAAAAGAAAAAACTTTAAACAAACAAATAATACAAGGAAAGCCATGGGGGAGGAGGGATGGGGAGAGAAGGAAAGTAAATTGCACAAATGCAAATTAGAATTATTTAAAAATTAAAAGTTACTTTAAATTATTTAACCTAATTACCGCCCCGTTCTCCCAGGGAGACAGTCACTTGTGTTCTGCGGAGCACGGAGGATTAAGCAGAATCCTCTGGCACTAGGGAGGGGAGGCCAAGGAATCCAAGCTTCAAAACCCCTCAGCATGCTGGGGTGGGGTGGAGGCTGAGGGGAGGGGGACAGATGCCAGCGGGAAGGGGACATGTAATAAACATAACGAATGTGGGTATCACACTTCATGCTTTACAGAGCACCTGCTCATTTTCTTTAATCCTCATGACTGCCGGAGGGGCCTGCGTTGTTATCCCCATTGCGCACATGGGGAAGCTGAGGTTGAGGCCCAAGGTCACACAGGTGATAAGCAGTAAACCCAGGCCTGGAGCCCTGCAACCCTGGGGCCTGCAGGAGCCCTCTCAGCTCTGCTGGGCTAATCCCCAGGAAGGACAATGAGAGGGGGCGCAGGAGAGGGCACCACTGGAGTCTCATCCTGCCTCTGCTGCTTCCCTGCTGAGTGATCTTGGGAAAGAAACCTCACCTCTCTGAGCCTCAGTTTCCTCATGGAAAAGATGGAGATGCTACTTCCCACAGGGCTGTTGAGAGGCTTGCGGGGGACAAGATATCTAAAGCCCCTGGCACTTAGTAGTTGCTCAAATAATGGGGCCTTAGAGTTCCAATGAGCAACAGGGGAAAGATGAGGGGCATTAAATCCCACTCGAAAGCAATCGTATTCTTCTCAGGAGGCTGAAATGACAGGATCACTTGAGCCCAGGAGTCAAGGCTGTAGTGAGCTATGATTGTACCACTGCACTCCAGCCTGGGTGATGGAGCTAGACCTTGTCTCCAAAAAATAAATTGTATAAAGCCCAGTGACCTGTCAAGCCAGTAGTTCTCAAATGGGCTGCATACTGGAATCATCAGGACGCTTTCAGAACTCCTGAAGCTCATATGGGCCCCCAGAGCAATCAAATCCGAATCTCGGCATGTCTAAGCTCTCTGGGTGATTCCAGTTGTGCAGCCACAGTTAAGGACTTCTGCGCTAATCTGTCTCCATTAGGATACAACACAATAGCATGGATTATTCTGCAGTTGGAAGGATTTAGGGTAGACACTAAATGGGGCTTTTCTTTTCTGTAAATTGCTTTGTAGAGGTGGGGGTCTTGCTATGTTGCCCGGGCTGGTCTCAAACTCCTGGCCTCAAGCGATCCTCCCACCTCAGCCTCCTGAGTCACTAGGACCGCAGGTGTGAGCTTTTCTAGAAGCCAGGTCCAAGGAAAGATGTAGAGTGTCTATGGGGATTGGTAAGAGCAGAACTGAGCCCTTTGTGACCAAGGAAGGAAACAGGAGGAGGGGGCAGGGGCCTTCCAGAGGTCCTCCTCAGACACACTTGAGGCTAAACCAAGCAAGGTCCCTGGTAGGTAGAAAGGGAAAGGAGTGGAGGAAGAGGGTTTGTAGGTGGCCAAGAGATAGCACCCCTCAAAATGCCTGACCTGTCTGAGATCCTTGCCCACCTGAGACCTCCAGAGGTGACCTGACAGCCTTCACCCCACTGAATCTCGGGACACACATGCCCTCCCTGGCGCCTCCATTCACCCCCCACAGCACACTAAGATTCACAATACACTCTATGCTGTGTCAGGCCCTGGGCACTACCCAGGGCTTCAATTTCCTTTTTATTAGTCCAGGAAGGGCCTAATTTGCATGTCATTTGCATAAATTTGCTTGTTTCAGTTCAAAAAAGACCCCAACTCCAAGCAGGTGAGATAAAATAAATTAGCTTATTTATCGTCCCTCCTGCTGCAATTGTATTCCAACCTAACATCAGGCTTCACGGAGTGTTCACAGGGGAGACTATTACAACACCGCAGCCTGGAGAGAAACTGCTGGAGGTGAGGACACAGCCCGGCTGGACTTCCAGGGATGGAAGAAAAGCAAGTTTCTCCCCCGATATCAGGCCAGACTTAAGATGGAAGGCTGCCTCTGAAGAAGGAACACAGTAGATTCACTATTTTAACTATATCCCTCCCCCCGCCAAAAGAAATAAACAGCAAAAATCCTACTTTGCTATCCCATCCTGCAATGGGGACCACGGTGAAGTCTGAGCTCGGGCTGGAGGGAGGGCCGCTCTCCGGGCTGGCCATTTAATTGATTATCGACACATTCTCAAGGCCAAAGCACAAAGGATTCGGCTTTTAAGGTCCCTCCTGACTAAGCTTCTATACAGGGGTTTCAATGGATGCTCTGCATCACATAGTTGGGTGGAAAAATCCATTATCTTAACAGCTGGCACCAGGATGCCTCTGGGGGAAGAAAATCTTTGATATATTGTCTGGGGGACCTGGACCCTGAGGGTCGGGGTTGCGGGGGTGTTAAGTCTGGCAACCGCAGACGGAGCAGCACTGAGGCAGTGCCAATGCAGGGCACTCATCTGCTTTCCCCCGAGGGGAGAGGAAGGCAAGATGTGGTGGGGCACAGGAGCGATGAGGGGTGACCAGTTGAGAGTACCTGGTATCACAGCGGCCTCAGAGCAAGCCATCAACCCGGTTCAGATGCCCCCTTGAGGAGGGCATGGGAATGACACTGTCTTATCTTGATTTCAAAGGCCTGGGGGACCCCAGTGGATGCCTGGGTTATAATCTTAATAAAAAGACCTACTAGGCGGGGCCCGGTGGCTCACGCCTGTAATCCCAGCACTTTGGGAGGCCGAGGTGGGTGGATCACAAGGTCAAGAGATCGAGACCATCCTGGCCAACATGGTGAAACCCCGTATCTACTAAAAATACAAAAAAAAATTAGCTGGGCATGGTGGCACGCGCCTGTAATCCCAGCTACTCAGGAGGCTGAGACAGGAGAATTGCTTGAACCCAGGAGGCGGAGTCTGCAGTGAGCCGAGATCACGCCACTGCACTCCAACCTGAGCGACACAGCAAGACTCCGTCTCAAAAATAAATAAATAAATGAAAAATAAAAAGACCTACTAAATAAATGGTAGTTCAACAAATATCGAGGGCTTACTCTGAACAAGGCATTATGCTGAAATCGTCATAATGGCCAGGCACAGTGGCTCACACCTGTAATCTCAGCACTTTGAGAGGCCGAGGCGGGGAGATCACTTGAGGCCAGGAATTGGAGACCAGTCTGGCCAACATGGTGAAACCCTGTCTCTACCAAAAATACAAAAAAATTAGCCAGGTGTGATGTTGTGCACCTATAATCCCAGCTATTTGGGAGGCTGAGGCACGAGACTCGTTTGAACTGAGGAGATGGAGGTTGCAGTGAGCCAAGATCATGCCACTGCACTCCAGCCTGGGTGACAGAGCAAGACTCCATCTCAAAAATAAAATAAAATAAAATAAAATAAAATAAAATAAAATAAAATAAAATAAAATAAAATAAAATCATCATAATGAGCCTAGGATATAGGTTTTATAATTACCCCAATTTACCAATGAGAAAAACTGAGGTTCAGAAAGGCTACATAATTTGCCCAAGGTCACAGAACTAGAAGGTAACAGAGCCAGGATTTGCCCCTTAACCACCACTATATACAATACTAGGCAGGCTTCTCAGCCTTCCCATAAAGGCAGGAAGAGCAACATTATTGGAGATGAGGAGCCAGCATTACTGTGAATCTGATTCACCTAAAATCATCAGCTAATAGGTAGGATCTTCTGATTCCTGGCGTGGCGCCCTTTGCACTATATCATTTTGCCTCCGTCTGTGATGTCACCAACATCAAATGATTCTATAATTTGGTACTAGCTATTCATTGGCAACATGGCAGTGGCAGTGGTGTGATGGAGAGGAATAGGTCAGCACCAAGGCAGCACCAAGGACATTCCCAAACATCCCAATCTTCCCTAAATTGGGAAATATTCACTGGAATGAACCAAACAATCCCTGGATCGATATAAATCCTTAAATCCATTTCTGTTTTCAGATTAGTACCATGTGTTAACAAACTGTCAGTATACAAAGGCAGAACCCATGCCGAATATACCATTTTAACATTTTGTGAAGACTCCTAGGTACTTCTAGTTATGGAAAAAAATCCTGTTCTTTGACTCCAAACCCATTATGAGTCTACATGTTGTGCTCACATCCTCCCTCTAGATGTCTGGGCTCAGACTGAAGCTGACTCCTTTGTGTTCATATAGCTGCTCAGTGACTGCCTGGACCCTTTCAAAAGCTTTCGACTTCATTCATTGATTCATGCAACAGAAATCTGTTCAGCACCTACTAAGTGCCAGACGCTGTGTTAAGCACAAGAGGTACAAGGTTAAGTAAAGTAGGTGCAGACCCTAAACTCATGGAGCTTACAGTCCTCTAGGAGAGCAATATAATAGAATAATTAGATAAGTATATAAGTACTAACTATAATACATTTACAGTTAACTCATGAACTTCAAGGGTCCACTTACCCACAGATTTTTTTCCCACCAAACATAGATCAAAAATACAGTATTTGTGGTATGTGAAACCAAGGACATGGAGGGCTGACTTTGTATACGTGGGTTCTGCAGGTTCAATTACAGAACTTGAGTTTGTGTGGAATTTGGTATACGAGGGAGTCTGGAACAGTATATGTCCCACATATACCAAGGGAAGGCTGTATATTAGTTTGCTCAGGCTGCCGAGCAAACTAATATACAGCCATATATTATATTATATTATTCTGTTATAAATATATTGCTTTCCTGGAGGACTGTAAGCTCCATGAGTTTAGGGTCTGCACCTACTTTGCTTAATGTAATAAATACCACAGAACAAGTAGCTCAAACAGAAATTTATTTCCTCAGTGTGAAGAGTCTTTAAAGAACTAAAAGTAGATCTACCATTTGATCCAGCAATCCCATTACTACGTATCTATCCAGAGGAAAAGAAGTCATTATACAAAAAAAGATACTTGCACATGCATGTTTACAGCAGTACAATTCGCAATTGCAAAAATATGGAACCAGCTCAAATGCCCATCAATCAATGAGTGGATAAAGAAAATGTGGTATACATACCATGGACTACTCAGCCACAAAAATGAATGAAATAATGGCATTTGCAGCAACCTGGATGGAACTGGAGACCTTTATTCTAAGGGAAGCAACTCAGGAATGGAAAACCCAACATCATATGTTCTTACTCATAAATGGGAGCTAAGCTGTGAGGACACAAAGGCATAAGAATGATAGAATGAGCCGGGCATGGTGGCTCCTGCCTGTAATCCCAGCACTTTGGGAGGCTGAGGTGGGTGGATCACCTGAGGTCAGGAGTTCAAGACCAGCCTGGCCAACATGGTAAAACCCCATCTCTACTAAAAATATGAAATTATCCGGGTGTGGTGGCACACACCTCTAGTCCCAGATAGTCAAGAGGCTGAGACAGGAGAATCGCTTGAACCCAGGAGGCAGAGGCTGCCATGAGCCAAGATGGCACCACTGCACTCCAGCCTGGGTGAGACAGAGCAAGACTCCGTCTCAAAAAACAAACAAACAAACAAAAAGAATGATACAATGGACTTTGGGGACTCAGGGAAGAAGGGGGAGGGGGAGGGGGAGGGATAAAAGACAACATATTGGGTACAGTGTACACTGCTTGGGTGACGGGTGCACCCAAATCTCAGAAATCACCACTAAAGAACTTATCCATGTAACCAAACATGACTTGTTCCCCCAAAAACCTATGAAATTAAAAATAACTAACATAAAAATTAAAAATTAATGTAGTTTCTAAAAAAAATAACAAACATAATGCAAAGACAAGTTTTGAACCCCGTTTGTGCATTTGGGCTTGTCGTCACTTGCTGCTCTTGCCAACCAGGCTAAGCCTGGGTTAGCCTGCTAGATCGTAAGTGGCACGTGGTCTAGTTATGTCCATTGTCCTTGAAAAAAAAAACAAAAGAAAGAAATGTATGTCCTCACAGTTCTGGAGGCTAGAAGTCCAAGATCAGGGTGCCTATGGGACTGGTTTCATTCTGAGGCCTCTCTCCTTGGCTTGTAGATCCCATCTCCTCTCTATGTCTGTGTCTTAATCTCTTCTCATGATGATGCCAGTCATATTGGATTTAGGGCCCACCCATATGAACTAATCTTATACTACTTACCTTTTTAAGGCCTTCTCTCCAAATATAATCACATTCTGAGGTATTGGGGATTAGGACTTCAACATCTGAAGTTTTGAGGGACACCATCAGTCCACAACAACATTCTAAGACATAAAAGTTCAGGGATATATAACAGTAAGAGCAGATAACAGGGACTCTGGGGGGTCACTGAAGGTCTCCCTAAGGAAGTCACATCGGGGTTGTGTCCTAGCCTGGGTTCCCCCACAAGCAAACCTAAGACAAAGGTATGTGTGCAGGTTGTTTATTTGGGAAGTGATCCCACAGGGCAAGAGAGAGGTTCAGGAGGAGAGGAACCGAGAAGAAGGGAGAGCAAATACAGCTATAGGCCAGCGCTGCAGGCAACTGGGCTCCATCTTACTTGGACTCCTAAGGAGGGTTCCAAAAGGTCCATCCGGGAAATGAGACGGGGAAGCATTTATCCATCACTGCTGTCCCCACTGGCTAGGGACAGCCACACTGCTGGTGTTAACCCCTGAACTTCTACACTAGCATGTAGGTTCCCTCAGAGGTCTCTCACCTGTGTCAGAAAAGCCCCAGGACAGGAAGCAAGAGGTATGTGGAATGAGCCGCGGTGGGGCCCTATCAGGTTGCATCTGTGCAAAGCTAGTCAAAGCCTGTGTGGAACTGGTCACCACAGCAGGGGCTGGAGTAAGACGTGGTGGGGAGAGGATGTGAAGTGAGGCTCAAGCGGTGTCTGTACAAGCTGTGAACTGCAGGACGAGTAGGAGTTAACCAGAGCGGGGTAAGTGGCAGGAAGAGCTTTCCAAGCTGAGGAAACAGTATGTGCAAAGGCCCTGAGGCAGGAGGGCACACAGAGCACTCAGAGCACTAAATGAAGGCCAGTATGGCTGGAACCGGGGGAGAACCAGTGCTGGGAGATGAGGCTGGGAAAGCAGGCAGGTGGTACATGGTGCAGGCCCATATTCAGGATTTGGGGTCAGGCGTGGTGGCTCATGCCTATAATCCCAGCACTTCAGGAGGCTGAGGCGAGTGAATCACCTGAGGTCAGGAGTTTGAGTCCAGCCTGGCCAACATGCAAAAACCCCGTCTTTACTAAAAATACAAAAATTAGCCGGGCATGGTGTCGGGCGCCTGTAATCCCAGCTACTCGAGAGGCTGAGGCAGGAGAATCACTTGAACCCAGGAGGTAGAGGTTGCAGCGAGCTGAGATTATGCCACTGCACTCTAGCCTGGCAACAGAGTGAGACTCTGTCTCAGAAAAAAAAAGTTGGTGGTGGTGAGGTGGGATTTGGGATATTATCCTAAGTGTGACGAGAGCTACTGAAAGTTTTAAGCAGGGGTAGGAAGAGACCTGTAGCAGATTTCTGTTTAGAAAGGTCACTCTACCTATTTAGGTGCAGACAGGTTTAGAGTGGGAAGAACGGCTCTTTTGTGACTTCTCTGAAGTGTGGCATTCACTCCATCTACTTTCAACCAGGAATTAAGGTGACTAAGACCAGAAACTATTGCCTGTGGCAACTGTAGGTGTATCATGGCTCAAAGTGGTTTCCCTTCTGAAAGGAAATGGTTAAGGGGGAATGTGGGGGAATCCTGGGAAAGAAACATGACTGGTCAAATCCCCTAGTAAACATGCTAAAGACAGATGACAGACCTCTAAAAATAAACCAATGGTGTTTGCTAACAGTAAGTCCTTATCTGTAGAATTCTTTAAGGCAGATGTACCTCGTTTATATGAGTGTCTAGGATTGCTTATGGTAAATAAATATGGAAATCTACACATTTACAGAGCATGGATCCCTTTTGTCACATAAACTATGTAACTATCTGAGTATATGCTGGAGATTTTTCAAAACTAAAATAGCTCTCTTCTGTGTAAGTAATGGAGCCACATACAGTTCTTAGACACTTCATATGTAAATCTGGGCAGAGTAAGTTCTGATGTGAGGAAAAAAGGCTTGGTGAGATGTGTAGTGGTCCCAGACCTTTGTCTGTCTCATTTGTGCTTCCTGATTACTTATGTCCTTGAAATTATTAGTAAATCTTAATACTGGGCAAGATCTCTGATTCATCAGAGTCTGATGCGATAATCCCAGGCTCTGAGATGTCTCGGTAGGACAGTATGTTCACTCTCATCTCCAGGTTCATTCCATGCACATTTTCCCTGCCTTTGGGGCCACTGCTCTCATGGAGCTGATGTTTTTTGTTGTTTTTGTTTTTTGTTTTTTTGAGACGAGTCTCGCTCTATCGCCCAGGCTGGAGTGCAGTGGTGCGATCTCAACTCACTACAACCTCCGCCTCCCGGGTTCAAGCCATTCTCCTGCCTCAGTCTCCTGAATAGCTGGGACTACAGGCACATGCCACCATGCCCGGCTAATTTTTTGTATTTTTAGTAGATACGGGGTTTCACCATGTTGGCCAGGATGGTCTCAATCTCCTGACCTCGTGATCCGCCCGCCTCAACCTCCCAAAGTGCTGGGATTACAGGCGTGAGCCACTGCACCTAGCCAGATGTTTTTAGGTTCCAACTACATCTATACCGCCTCCAAAATGTCTTTGTCCTTCATTGTGTCCTAACAGGTAGCTTACATCCCAGCAGGAGTTCAACATTTCTTCCAATAAGGACCTCTTTAACGAATTCTCCTGAGCCACCCCCCGCCTTAACAAGGCCTCCAGGTTTCAAGAAATTTTGCCCACAGAACAAGTTATATTTATCAAGAAATAATTGAAAGCTGGGCACGCTGGTGCATGCCTGTAATCCCAGCTACTTGGAAGGCCGCAGTGGGAGGATCGCTAGAGCTCAGGAGTTCAAGACCAGCCTGGGCACTACAGTGAGACCCCATCTCAATAAATAAATACATAAACAAATAATTGAAACAGTTTTTCCAATTTTAATCAAAGGCATTCATAACTACCAGTCAAGAGCTCTGATCAGCGTGAAGACTACCTACCATGTGAACTTGACAGTCTCAAATAAAAGCAGAGAAAAATGGTCCCTTAACATAGACAAACGTTCAACAGAGGCGGGGAGATTCTTTTGGAAATTCTGGGTATACTTCTTAAAGGGACCCTGGGTTGGAAACCACTGCTATGAATCTATTTCTTTATACTCAGACACTTTGTCCCTCATCTACCATTTCTCTGATCGCGCACAAACCTCTTCAGTTTCCCCCATAGCTGGTTTGTTTCCTACCTTGGTACTTCACCACCCATGTGATCTCAACGTCATCAGCAAGCCTGAAGCTCATTCATCGAAGTCACTTTCTTTTTTGTTTTTTGTTTTTCGTTTTTGAGACGGAGTCTCACTCTGTCGCCCAGGCTGGAGTGCAGTGGCGCAATCTCAGCTCACTGTAACCTCTGTCTCCTGGGTTCAAGTGATTCTCCTGCCTCAGCCTCCCTAGTAGCTGGGACTACAGGCATGCACCACCACACCTGGCTAATTTTTTTGTTTTTGATAGAGACGGGGTTTCATCATGTTGCCCAGGCTGGTCTCAAACTCCTGACCTCAAATGATCCACTCACCTCGCCTCCGAAAGTGCTGGATTACTGGTGTGAGCCACCGAGCCCAGCCTCCTTTTGTTTCTAGAGACTGTGTCTCACTATGTGGCCCAGGCTGCTCTCAAACTCCTGGGCTCAAGCCATCCGCCTGCCATGGCCTTCCAAAGTGCTGGGATTACAGGCATGAGCCACCATGCCCAGGCTGAATGCTGACTTTCAAATCACTTGTAAAAAAGTTAAATAATCATCTCTGGAGTAAGCCACTGGGTGTGACTCTGAATTCACCCAGAGGCCCTTTCTCTCCCTCTGGAGGTCCTCCTAATTGCACTGGGGCCCTACAACCTCTTCCTGGCCTGGCTCAGCCCCTCAACTCTTGATAGCAGGTGTTCTCCAAAGGGGCAAAGGGGTCTGTGGCATGCAAGGGAAAAAAAACATATCTCCTGTCTGAATTATTTTCTCTAAATGGAGAAAAATAATTTTATTAATTATTTAGTGTTCATTGATAAGTAGTACATATATACTTCATTCATAAATTGACGTATATTAGAGTTCAAAACTTCTTTTATAAAGAGCAGTGGATAATCCAAAAAATGTAGATGCCATAGCTGAAAATCTCCCCATTCCCCACCCTCCTCTCCTCCCAGTCCTAGTGCCCTGGGTGTTTTTCTAGCCTCCACGTCCGTCAAGTCTCCACTCCGCTGCTATTTGCTGTCAATCTCTGGCTTGCTCTCCTGCCTTGATGTTTCAGAGACTCCAGTAAACTGACTGGCCATCAACTGGGCCAGGACCCTGCTCCCCAAGCCAGCCCAGAGGCTCCCACTGCCAGAACCAGTTCCTGGGCCCACAGCCAAGACCAAAGCCCCAGATCTCTATTTATGTGAGTAATTGTGTAGTTAAGGCACACCAACACTAACAAAAAAATTTAAAAATTCTCTGGGCATAGTGATGTGTTCCTGTGGTCCCAGCTACTCGGGAGGCTGAGGCAGGAGGATTGGTTTGGCCCAGGAGATGGAGGCTGCAGTGAGCCATGATTGCACCACTGCACTTCAGCCTGGGCAACAGAATCAGACCCTATCTTAAAAACAAAAAACAAACAAACAAAAAAAGATATGCTAACAATGTAAAAAAAGTCCCTTGAAATATTACATAATATAGTCCAAACTAGAAACAATCTAAATATCTACCAGTAGGGGTTTGGCAAAAATAAAATAAAATAAAATAAAATAAAATATGGTATATCTACAAGATGATCTATCAGCAGCCAATTACAACCTTATAATAACATTAGGAAATTCTCAAGTTATAAGATGAAATGCAAAAGCAGATCTATATACAAATCTGTATACGGTATAACCTCAACTATGAATACGTCAATATTCACAGAAAACAAGCCTAGAAGGAAACATACCAAAATGTTGCCAGAAGCTTTGTTTGCCTTTGCCTCCTTCAATGGTTCAACAATTCTCCAGTGAGGCTCCTTATGTGTGTGGCACTGAGCTAGGCCCTGCTTTACGGAATCACAGCTGATTTTGGTTTTCTACTTTATACGTTTCTGGGTTTTTGTAGTTTTTTGTAAAGAACAAGTTTTACTTTTACATTTACACAAATAAAACAGAAACAAACAGTGGTTTTCTTATGAGAGCTTGTACTGTAAACCCAAAGACTGTTTTGAAATCTGAATTGTATGTATTGATTCCTGCTTGCTTACATTTTTTCACTCCTTGTAAGACTCTCTAGGGGATAATCAGGTATGGTTTCTTCGAGAGAAATGATTATACTTTTCCTAGGTAGTTATTTTCTCTAGTAATTCAGGGGTCTTACCTCATGATCAGTTATCCTCATCCCTCCCCCCGCCTTAGTTCCAGGGAGGTGACAGGAATGACAGAGCCTAGGCTACCCAACAAGGAGGCTGTGACAACAGCAGCCACCTCCATCTCCACTGGAAGAGTCAAAAGAGATTATACTTCTACATGAAGGAGTGAAGTTAAACTTAAGGCAGAACCTTCCTATTATTAGCATGGCTGTTAAACCACAAACTGAGGTGATTCCTGACTCCAGCGGGGTGCAGAAGTGGGCCGGGTATGAGCAAGCTCACTCTGAGGTAGGGGTTGGTGAATCGCCTCTGAGGTTCCTTCCAGCCCTAAAGCCCAGCATGCATCATGGAGTCTTGGGTGAGGTCAGGTTGTCCCTAGAGATTATTGCCACTGAGATCCAAAGTACCCCTCAGCCCTCCCCACTGCCAAACAGAAGTATTCAGACACGAGCCCAAGGCCAGATGGCTGGGCTGCCCCTGCATGTACACCCCATTCAGAAGGTAGGGTGGCGAGTAGAGTCAGGACCACATGGCCTCCATGTGACTCAGGATCATAAGGAAAGGGTCTCCAAAGGACCAGCCCTGGTGTGTGATGACAGACCAAGACCAGAAGCCCTCACTGCTTGGGTAATTAGGTCCCGTAATTCCGCAGACCCCACTGAGGTCCTCGCTTCTCCCTCATCCCACCACAAGTCCAGCTCACCTATCCCTCTCGCCCTGTTCTTCCTCCAGGCCTCAGCCTCAGGAGCACAGCCCCTCCTCCACTGTTATCTTTCCCTGGTCCTTCCTCCTCCTGCAGAATGTGGGGCTGGAGAGGCTGTTTCGAGGCTGCAGAGGAAGCCCCCACCCACAGTTGCTCTCAGAAGATTGTTGGGGTAGGGAGGGATTGACACAGGGTAGGAGACACCAGGGGGAAGAAAGGGTAGGATGAGGCACACGGCACCCAGGGGTGCTGAGGCCAAGCAGCACTGGACAGGGGTGATGCTCAAGGGATAAAGGGGTGATGGAGGAGCTGTGAAACCACAGCTAGAAAGGAAAGTGTAACAAAAGAACCACTGCCGCTCTGCAATGATGGCACCTCTCCCTGCCGACACCCTGACATGTGGCCTGCCATTAAAAACCTGCCTCCAGGCCGGGTACGGTGGCTCATGCCTGTAATACCAGCACTTTGGGAGGCCGAGGCAGGTGGATCACAAAGTCAGGAGGTTGAGACCAGCCTGGCCAATATGGTGAAACCCTGTTTACTAAAAATCCCAAAAAAAAAAAAAAAAAAATTAACCAGGCATGTTGGTGCGAGCCTGTAGTCCCAGCTACTCGGGAGGTTGAGGCAGAAGAATCACTTGAACCCAGGAGGCGGAGGCTGTAGTTAGCCAAGATTGTGCCACTGCACTCCAGTCTGGGCGACAGAGCAAGACTCCATCTCAAAAAAAAAAAAAAAAAAAAAAAAAAAAACCTGCCTCCAGACCTAGCTCTTGATCCCGGTGGGGTGGGGTGGCTTTCTCCAGTGTCCCAGGAGAGCAGAATTCTAGGAAAGAGGAATGGCAGATGGGGGGCTGAAGCCATGGTAAGTGCTGAGACCCCCAATGTACATTCACGCGTGCATGCACACACACACACAAGTGATACACACACACATACTCATCACACATGCATGCACCAATACCTTACCTGTGCACACCCACCATATATGTAGACAATATGTGCATATACAACCCCAAATGCGTACACACACCACACAGGCAGCCACCAGCCATTAGAGTAATCAATGCCCAGTGCCTGCTTGGCAGCCCATTTGAACCCCTGTGTTTTCACAATGAAATATTTAATGGCAGTAGAGAGCAATCACACCCGTGGTGAGCGGGCATGACGGCCCTCCATGCTAAGGTTGGGCTCCGTTCTCCTTGGTAACAGCCACTCAGGCAGAATGAGGAGTGGGCAGCACTCCAGCCCCTCTGGAGGGAAGGAGCATGCTGCAGCTGGCCTGGCAGTCTGCTCTTCAGTCTCCGTGACCCCTAGGGGTGGCCCTGGCCCCAGCACACCTGCCTCTGGCCTCCCCAACATCCTGCTCACCCTCCTTTCCCTCAGTATCTCTGAGCAACAGCTCCCTGATCCCCAACTGTCCAACCAATACAGAATGTCGAGGAAGTCCTTCCCTTTCTGGAAACTTCCTTCGGGCCTCTGGCTGGATTTCCTTCAGGACTGGTCAGTTTCTTTCAGGACTGCCAGTCAGGACTCTGCTCCCCTCTCCAGAAGCTCTGGCGCCCACAGGCAGGTAAGTAGCCTCTCAGAGGGCGATGGTCTGGCCCATTTGGCACCGAGGCAGCATGTAGAAAGCAGGTATGAACCATGTCAGGAAAAGACGCCACTTATTTCAGCCGTGCTGACCTGGTCTTTCCACCCTCCAGGGCCTGAAGGAACTGGCTAGAGGCATCTGGCTGTAAGACGGGTGCTATTCTCCCACCCCCAGCCTACACTCTCTTAGCTACAGAAAGCTCTACACAGAACAGCTACCTCATCCTCAGTTCACCGTCCGAGGAGAGGAGTTTCCAGATCCTGGACTCACAAAAGTCAGCCCCAGTACTCACATACCTCAACCCCCTGCCCCTGTGCCCACCCCAGCAATCCCAAAGCACCTCTGCCATCCCAGCTGCCTGAGCCTGCGCACTCAGCCACCCCCAAGTGGGGTAGGAGCTGAGACCTTCATGGAGGTCGGAGAGCATCGGGCCACTGATTCCGAGGGCCCGCCTCACATGCAGGCTACCGTGTGGTTTTTACGGGCATGATAAATTCTTTGCAGTGGAAGGGAAAAGTCACTTTGAATTGCACCCACCACTCTGGCTTCTCAAGAAACAGCATGAGTCAATTTTTGTTCTTTCATTTGGAACTGGCAACTGAGGCCTTCTAGTCAGACTCTGGGGTCCCAGGGCAGGAGCTGGTGTACAAAGTCTAAGTTGTCCTAAATCTAAACTCTGAGTATGTGAGGGTGAACTCTCAGGCCCTCTCCTGCACCACAGCTTACCTGCTTACAAGAAAGACAGGATCCCAAGGAGAACTCTGACCAGAGGTCCCCAGAGAGAAACTGAGTCAGAGAGTCCCAGCTTTGACCCCCTAAGCACCTTTGCTCCTTTCTACCCTCTCCACCAAAATCAGCCAAAACAAAACTCTTCAAAGGTCAGAAACCAACCCAGGTTAAACAAGACAAAGGGACCAAACAACCAATGCAATAATGAATAGCTATAAGAGACATTTGGGTGACAATAGAGAAAATTTTAATATGGATTAGATACTAGAAGATATTAGAAAATTATTAATTTTGTCAGTTGCAATAATGTTCTTGTGATTATTGTGATTATGTAGGAAAATGTGGGGATTTTTGGAGATGTATGTTGACATAGGAGTGAATATCTTGATATAATTTATTTTAAAATGTTTCTGTGGGCCAGGTGTGGTGGTTCACGCCTGTAATCCCAGCACTTTGAGAGGCCAAGATGGGAGGATCACTTGAGCCCAGGTGTTTGAGACTAGCCTGGGCAAGACAGTAAGATCTCATCTCTATTAAAGGGGGAAAAAAAAAAAGGTTCTACAAAAAAGATAATAGTCAGATGCTGTGGCTCACACCTGTAATTACAGCACTTTGGGAGGCTGAGACAGGCAGATCGCTTGAGCCCAGGAGTTTGAAACCAACCTGGGCAACATGGTGAAACCCCGTCTCTACAAAAAGCACAAAAATTAGCCACATGTTGGGGCACACACCTGTAGTCCCAGCTACTCAGAAGACTGAGGTGAAAGGATCACTTGAGCCCAGGGTGGGACAGAGGTTTCAGTGGGCCGAGATTGTGCCACTGTACTCCGACCTGGATGACAGAACAAGACCCTGTCTCAAAAATAAAAAAGAAAAAGAAAAAGAAAAAAAAGAAGAAGCAGTTATAAACCACGTTTCCAGGCCTTGTGATACCAGTAGCAAACCTAGATTTTAGCTGCTGAGTGACCTGTGGTAGAAAAGGCATGTGCACTGGGTTCAAGGCCAGTACAGGCCCGCCTACCTGCCTGAACCTACTCTCTCTGAGCCTCAGGTTATTCGTACCTGTAAAGAGGGAATAATGAAACCATCCTTACCAAGTCATGAGAACTCAATAAACTTGCACATGCAGAAGCACACAGCACCCAGGGGCCTCCATCAACATTCATTCTTGTCCTCTTCTGCATTTCCCTACTTGGGAAGACCACCGGTCTAGCAAGAGACAATGAGACTCAAAATTTAAGGAAGGATTTCCACTTCCAGAGAGATAAAGTAAGCATATTTTTCCCTATTCCTTCTGCTAAGCACAACTAAAACCCCTGGACATTACATGTAAAACAAACATAAGAAGACTGTGAAAGGTAGAGGGAAGAGGCCAAAGCAACTAGGAACTTTAAGCCCCAAGGAACAACATGGTGGTGTGTTCCTTGGGTTGAATTTTTTTTTTTTTTTTTTTTGCTCCATATATCCCTGATTTGGAGCTAAAGACACTAGGAACCCAGAAATGCCAATAGGAGCATACACAAAAAACACCAACAAAATCCTGCTCTCTCTTGCCAGAGGACTAAGAAAGGGGCAGCTTAGCAAGACAAGAAACTTTTAGATAATAGCCACTCAGTCAGACACAGTGGCTCATGCCTGGAGTTCCAGCTCTTTGGGAGACTGAGGCAGGAGGATCACTTGAGGCTAGGAGTTTGCGATCAGCCTGGGCAATATAGCAAGACCCTGTCTCTATAAAAAATTTAAAAACTTAGCCGGGCATGGTAGCACGTACCTGGATAGTCCAAGATACTTGGAAGGCTGAGGTGGGAGGATCACACAAGCCCAGGAATTTGAGGTTACAATGAGCTATAATTGCACCACTGCAATTCAGCCTGGGAGACAGAACGAGATCCTGTCTTGGGGGTGGTGGGGATAACAGCCATTCAACTCCAGCCAAACACCAACTGTGGGCCCACAAGCAAAGGCCAAGAGGGAAGCCCAGACTTCTGTCTTCTCAAGGTTGTACAAGGCACCTCAACACACTCGCTGGTGGTATCAGAGAAGACCAAGAAAGGAGCTGAAACTTTCACCTTCTCCAGCTAGTAACAAACTGCCCCCTGCAGTGTCAGTGGAGACCATGTGGTGAGGTGGAACTCCTACCCGTGCTCAGCTGGCACAAGTAGGTGCCCTCACTCTTTGGTGTCAACAGAGGACAAGCGGGGAATCTAGATTTCTACATCTACCTGTCAGTAACAAAGCAGCCCCACCTCCTTCCCCTGCCAGAGTTGTCAGACAAAGTCAATTGACACAGAGGTTTAATTAAGATATAGAGTCTCATATTATAACATGAAAATGTCCAGGTTTCAATACAAAATCACTCACCATACCAAAAACCAGGAGAATATCAAATTGGATGAAAAAGAACAATCAATAAATGTCAACTCCAAAATGACAGAGATGTTAAAAATTATCTGACAAAGATTTCAAAGCAACCATTACAAAAATGTTTCTTTGAGCACTTATGAACATGCTTGAAACAAATGAACGAAACAAAAAATCTCAGCAAAGAAATGCAAGGCATAAAGGACAAAATGGAAAAACATAACTGAAATAAAAATCTCAGTGGGTGGACTCAGCAGCTGAATAGAGGGGCAGAGAAAAGCAGCAGTGAACTGGAAAACAAAACAACAGAAATTGCCCATTCTGAATAACAGGGAGAAAACAGACTTGAAAAAAATGCAGCTTCGGGGGCTTATGGGACTATAACAAAATATATAACATCTGTGTCATCAGAAGGAGAAGAGCAAGAGGAAAAAGAAGAAGAAAAAGAAAGCAGGGCTGAAAGAGTGCTTAAAGAAATAATGAGAGAAAACTCCATCAATTTGGCAAGAGACACTCACCTACAGATTCAGAAGCAAACCCCTAACAAGATAAACTCAAGGAAATCCATTCTAAGATGCATGATTATTACACTTCTGAAAATTAAAGATGAAGAAAAACAATTGAAAGCAGCCAGAAGTTATTTTTTTAAAAAGAACTAAACAGATATTCTGGAGTTCAAAAAGTACAATAACCAGAATAAAAAACTCACTAGAGGCCAGGCGTGGTGGCTCACACCTGTAATCCCAGCACTTTGGAGGCCAAGGTGGGTGGATCACGAGGTCAGGAGTTCGAGACAAGCCTGGGCAACATAGTGAAACCCCGTCTCTACTAAAAGTACAAAAAAAAATTAGCCAGGCATGGTAGCGCACGCCTGTAGTCCCAGCTACTCAGGAGGCTGAGGCAGGAGAATCGCTTGAATCCGGGAAGTGGAGGTTGCAGTGAGCTGAGATCGTGTCACTGCACTCCAGCTTGGGCAACAGAGAGAGACTTAAAAATTAAAAAATTCAAAAAATTTAAAACTCACTAGAAGAGCTCAGCAGCAGCTTTGAGCAGCCAGAAGAAAGAATCAGTAAACCTGAAGATAGCTCAAGTGAAATTATCTAGTCGGAATGGAAAAGAATGAAGAAAAATGACAGAGCCTCAGAAAGCCATAATACGCCATGAAGCATGTCAATACACACATAATGGGAGTCCCAAAAGGAGAGTAGAGGAAAGGCAGAAAAAATATAGAGAGAAATAATAGCTGAAAACTTCCCAAATTTAATGCAAAACATTAATTTACACATCCAAGAAGCTCAACAAATTCCAAGTAGGATAATCACAAAGAGATCCACACCTAGACACATCATAATCAAACTGTTAAAAGATAAAGACCAACACAGACTCTTGAAAGCAGCAAAAGAGAAGCAATTCGTCCTGTACAATGAAACTCAATGAGATTATCAGCTGTTTTCTCATCAAATCCATAGAAGCCAGAAGGCAGTAAGATGTATGTCTTCAAAATGTTGAAAGTAGAAGATAGTCAACCTAGAATTCTATAACCAGCAAAACTACTATACAAAAATGAATAAACTAAGACATTCTGGATAAACAAAAACTGACAGAACTCATTACTAGCAAATCTTCCCTACAAGAACTACTAAAGGAAGTCTTTCAGGCTGAAATAAAAGAACACTAGATAAGTAACTTGAATCCACGTAAAAAATAAAGAACGTCACTAAATGTAACTACATAGGTAATTATAAAAGACTGTATAAACCTATTTTTGTTGTAACTTTTTTTACCTATATGATCTAAAAGACAATGCCAAAAGCAATAATTACAAATACTGTTGATGGGCACAGAATGTATGATGTAATTCGTATGACAATTACTGGCATAAAGGAGAAGGAGAGGCCGGGAATGGTGGCTCACGCCTGTAGTCCCAGCACTTTGGGAGGCCAAGGCGGGTGGATCATCTGAGGTCAGGAGTTCAAGACCAGCCTGGGCAACATGGCAAAACCCTGTCTCTACTAAAAAAAATACAAAAATTAGCCAGGTGTGGTAGTATACACTGTAGTCCCAGCTACTGGGGAGGCTGAGGCAGAAGAATTGCTTGAACCTGGGAGGTGGAGGTTGCAGTGAGCTGAGATCACACCATTGCCCTCCAGCCCAGGCAACAGAGTGAGACTGTGCCTCAGAAAAAAAAAAAAAAAGAAGAAGAAGCAGAGACTGGAACTATATAGGAACAAAGTTTTTGTATACTATTGAAGTTAAGCTGTATTAAATCTATCTAGAGGAAATATTTAACACAATTATATTATACATGGGGAAGTCTAAAGGGATATAAAGAGAGATAAAGTTTCTATACTTCATTCAAATTGGTAAAATGACAACATGAGAAAACTGATGTTTTGTGTATATAATGAAATACCTAGAGCAACCATTTAAAAGGCTATGCAAAGATATACTCAAAAACACTATAGATAAATCAAGATGGAATTTTAAAATATTAAATAATCCCCAAGAAGACCAGAAAAAGAGGGAAAAGAAAAACAGAAAACAAAAATAAAATGATAAATGAAAAATGTATCAATAATTACATCAAATGTAAATGTTCTAAATACACTAATTAAAAGAGAAATTGAAAAATAAATCAGAGTTGAGGGACAGGAGAGGATGAGATTGGCAAAGTGGATTTAAAAACATGTCCCAGCTGGGAGTGGCAGCTCATGCCTGTAATCTCAGCACTTTGGGAGGTCAAGGTGGGCAGATCACCTGAGGTCAGGAGTTTGAGACCAGCCTGGCCAACATGGCGAAACCCCGTCTCTACTAAAAATACAAAAATTAGCCAGGCGTGGTGGTGGACACCTGTAATCCCAGCTACTCAGGAGGCTGAGGCAGGAGAATCGCTTGAACCTGGGAGGTGTGCAGTGAACCAATATCATGCCATTGCGCTCCAGCCTGGGCAACAAGAGTGAAACTCCATCTCAAAAAAGTAAAAAATAAAAAATAAATAAAAACATGTCCCAGCTAGAGTAGCTAAAAAACAAAACAAAACAATGACCAAATGCTGACAAGGACATAAAGAAACTATATCACTCATACATTGCTGCTCGGAATATAAAAGGCTACAGCTACTCTGGAAAATAGTTTGGCAGTTTCTTTAAAAACTAAACATGCAGGCCGGGCACGGTGTTCACGCCTGTAATCCCAGCACTTTGGGAGGCTGAGGCGGGTGGACCACAAGGTCAGGAGATCGAGACCATCCTGGCTAACACGGTGAAACCCCATCGCTACTAAAAATACAAAAAATTAGCCGGGCGTGGTGGCGGGCGCCTGCAGTCCCAGCCACTTGGGAGGCTCAGGCAAGAGAATGGCGTGAACCCAGGAGGCAGAGCTTGCAGTGAGCCAAGATCGCGCCACTGCACTCCAGCCTGGGCGACGGAGCAAGACTCCATCTTAAAAAAAAAAAACAAAAAAAACTAAACACGCAAGTACCATATGAGCAATTACGCTCCTCAGCATTCATCCCAGAGAAATGAAGACTTGTGTTCACACAAAAGCCTATACAAGAATGTTGATAGTAGCTTTATTTGTAACAGCCAAAAACTAGAAATAACCTGGATGCCCTTCAAAGAGTGAATAGTTAAACAAACTATGGTACAATCATACCATAAAATACTATTCAACAATAAAAGGAACAAACCATGGATAAATCAACAACCTGGATAAATCTCCAGAGAATTATGCTAAGTGAAAAATGCCATTCATAAAGGTTACATACTATAGGACTCCATTTATATAACATTCTTGAAATGAGAATATAATAGAAAAGGAAATAAGATTAGTGGTTGCCTGGGGTTTAGGAAGGGGTAAGGGTGGGAGGGAAGTGAGTGAAGCTATAAAAGAACAACAGGAGAGATCCTTGTGGTGACAGAAATGTTTTTTTTTTTTTCCTCTCTTCTCATTGCTGTCACTCAGGCTGGAATGCATGGTGCAAACATAATTGCAGCCCCCATCTCCTGGGCTCAAGTGATCCTCCCACCTCAGCCTTCCAAGTAGCTAGGATTACAGATGTGTACCACCACACCTGGCTAATTTTTTACTTTTAATTTTTAGTAGAGATGAGGTCTCTCTATGTTGCCCAGGCTGGTCTCAAACTTCTGAGTTCAAGCGATCCTTCTGCCTCAGCCTCCGAAAGTGTTGGGGTTACAGGTGTGAGCTACTGCACCAGGCCTGGAAATGTTCTATATTTTGACTACATTCATGTCAATATCCTGGTTATGACACTGTACTATGGTTTTGCAAGATGTGACCATTGGAGGAAACTGAGTAAAGGGTATAATTTCTTCAACTGCATGTGAATCTACAAATATCTCGAAACAGGACCTTAACTCAAACAAATGTAAAGAGGCGCTCACTCTCAGGGTGTCCAGTGGCAGGGTCAGCACCTGAGAGTGAGTGCTTCCTTAAGTGTTGACCCTAAGTGCCCTGCCTGTCTCACTCTAGTCCCAGCCTTGCCTGGGAATGACAGCTTCTTAGGCCCACTTATCAGGATTCTAGAACCAGAGGAACAAAGTTTGATCGCTAAGGGGAGCAGGGGTGGGAATCATCTCGATGCTCCACCACCAACCACCTCCCAACCACCCCAGGCCAAGTATCTTGCAAAGTGAAAGCTCGGCTGTATGAAGGATTCTGGGTAAGGAAGCATGGGTGGAATGATCCCCTGCACTCAAAGGAAAATCGACTGCATTCTGCAGAGACAGGATTTTAAAGGGGAGAGGGACTTTCAAGATCATCTGGGGAAACCGAGGCCCAGGAAGAGGGGCTACCCTCCCAAGGCTAGATTCCTCCCTGGAATTCTTACCGCAGTATGTCCTCCTCTCAGGAGCAGGAAGCACATTAGAATGAAAGGCAAACATGGCAACATCTCTGCCTTCTAGGTAATTCCCAGCAATGAATATCGCCAGGGCCACTGGTTCCAGGAAGAGCTGGACTTGAGCCCTCAGGACAAGGGGAAGAAGCAAGTCACAGATGGCAAGAAAAAACTAGTAGTCAAGGATGAATTTAGAGTACGGTGTCAGCCCTGCCACACATTCCTACTTCTAGCCTGCTCTGGACCAGCTGCCCTCCTAGGCAACCAGCTGCCTACACTCCAGAGGTAAGAAGAGAGGGGCTTTGGCCCTCCCAAAGACCACTCCAAGGTGCACCTCACCAGAAACCTCCAGGCACCTCCTCTCCCACTGCCACCTCCATTCCCCTGGAGGTATCACATACATATTAACTTGTTTTCTTTGCATTTTTTCCCTCTAAGACAAGCCTCTGCCATTGGCCATAAGAAAGAAAATCATCCAGCCGGGCTTGGTGGCTCACGCCTGTAATCTCAGCACTTTGGGAGGCCAAGGTGGGCGGATCACGAAGTCAGGAGATCGAGACCATCTTGGCTAACACGGTGAAACCCCGTCTCTACTAAAAATACAAAAAAATTAGCCGAGCATGGTGGCAGGCACCTGTAGTCCCAGCTACTCAGGAGGCTGAGGCAGGAAAATGGCGTGAACCCGGGAGGGGGAGCTTGCAGTGAGCCAAGATGGCACCACTGCACTCCAGCCTGGGTGACAGAGTGAGACTCAGTCTCAAAAAAAAAAAAAAAAAAGAAAATCATCCAATGTGAGCTGCACTCAAGGAAGCCGAGGGTCTCTCAGCCAGTCACCGTTCCCTCCCCAGGAGGGGTGCTCCCAGGCAGAGGTGGGAAGCCAGCCCAGTCACACAGCTCAATGCCTCATTCTGATTGGTCGGTGCTATGATGTGCTAATTGTCAAATATTTTGACTATGACCCTGAGTAAGACACTCTCCTGACCCACATGGTACACAAGGAAGTCTCATGAAAGTGGTAGCCCTCACCCTCTCCTGGGTATATTCAAAATGCTACGCTAAGGCTCATTTCATGTTCCCTTCTCTACATAACTACCCCTGTCAGAGAAGTCACAGAAGAATATACTGACTCACTACCCTAAGGACCCAAATCACTCATACAGACCACAGCACAGACCTAATGAAACAAAATCAAAACTCTCAAGACTCAAAGAGACCACCAGAATTTCTCTCAAAAGCATTTAGCTGAGAGCAAGGGGGACTGTGAGGATGCAGCCACTGCCAGGGCCCAGGCAGGGGGAGACAGCCCAACCTCCCTCTCCTCCCGCCCGCCAGTCTCCCGCAGGGCCTCCCATTGGCCAAACCCAACCCAAAGACAGAAAGCAAGGGAGCCCACACAAGAGCAAGCCTCTCCAGGGCAGAGGGCAGGGCAAGGAAGGGCAACAAGGGACGGGTGTCAGGGAGCAAGTGGCAATCAGAGAGACCCAAAGGGATGGCGGACCCCTCTCACACACAGCCACTTACACACCACGGCCGAACCCCAGGCCCAGCACACAGAGGTGGGACTTGGCACCCACCTATCATCTCTCCGCCCTCTGGATTGTATTCTCCCATCCCCATCAGCACAAGCTGGGTGCATCGTGGGGGGACTGGCTGCAAAAGGGAAGCTAGGGTGCCCTCCCTGGCCCTACCCTAGGCCTCTAAGAAAGAGAGAAGATAAAGGAGGCTTCTCCTCCTAGCATGACCAAACCCTCAGCCTGCAGAGCCCTAGAGCCAGGCTGGGCTGGCCCCTCACTCTGCCAGGATCCCAGTAGTGAAGGTAATTACATTTATTTTTCTCCTCTTGGCACAGAGCCCCCCAGTAACACAAGAATGCGCTTCCTTCCACCCCCACTGCCAAGTCTTTGCCTGGCCTGCATCCGCACACGCGGCATCCCCATGTCAGGGCCCATCCCCCAGAGGCTTGCTGGCAGATGTCCTGAGGTGGCAGCCAGCACAGAGTCCCCACTGCCAGGGACTTCCTGCCAGGGACTCCCCCCCAGCCATACAGGAGCACCAGCAGTTGGGACTCAAGTTGAAGGCTCCAGCAGTTTACCTTAAACCACGGAACACAGAAGGTATCCAAAGGGAGAAACAGCTGCAGGTTCCAGACAGTGGAGGCAGGGAGGACCAAGCTATGTGAATGGGGTGAGCCCCTCATGCCCCGCCCAGGCTTCCAGTCCTGTAGATCTGCGAGGGAGGGCCAAGAAGCTGTTTGGTGATATCGGGAAATTGTGGACAAAGGACGGGCAGAAAGGAGAGGCCGCAGGAGATGAGGCCTGCAAATCCCTGCACTGGGGAAGTGCTGGTGAGCCACAGCTAACTGAGACCTGAAATCAAAAATCAAATCTGCCACCTCATCCTCTCCTGCTCTCTCTGGCCCCTCCTCGTGAATAAAATAAATGAAATCAGCCAACTAGATACTTCAGATCATAGCTCATTAAAGCTGAAAAGGATGCCAGAGATGAGGCCAACCCTTCAATTTATGGATGAAGAGACCCAGAGAGGGGAAGCAGTGTGTCCCCGTTCACACAGAAAGATGGTGGCAGCATCAAGGCTAGCACTCCTCAAGTGTCCAAATACTGAGCGCCTACTATGTGCCAGGGATTCTTCCAGACGGTAAGGACACAGCAGTGAACAACACAGACAAAATTTCTGCCCTCGTGGAGTTGGCAATCTCCAACTCAGCCCAACAGAACTTTTTGTCTGATAGTGATATAGGCACTCCTGCTTTGTGCTGATTAGTGTTTGCATGATATATCTCCTTTTCCATCCAGAAACTTTTTTTTTTTTTTTGTAGAGAAGGGGGTCTCGCCATGTCGCCCAGGCTGGTCTTGAACTCCTGGCTTCAAACAATCCTCCTGCCTCAGCATCCCAAAGCACTGAGATTACAGGTGCAAGCCACCACACCCAGCCTTAAATTGTTTATTTTATTTATTTTTAATTAATTTTAATTTAAATAACCACATGTGACTAGTAGCTACAACATTAGACAGTGCCATTTCAGAGGATTCAGCTCAGCAAGCTCTCTCCACCCTGCCAGGAGCTAAGCTGAGAAGTGCCTCCACCCAGGGCAACACTGCCAATGACTATCCCCTGGAACTTTCAGAGGCCCCAAGATGGCTCCCAAACCAGAGAAACCTACCCCTTGGTAAGGATATGGCCGCCAACCCTTCTCCTCTCCCTGAGACCTCAGAAGCAGTTAGATATGCCCAAAATGAGCCGGCCACTTTTTTTTTTTTTTTTTTTTTTGAGATGGAGTCTCACTCTTGTTGCCCAGGCTGGAGTGCAGTGGCACAATCTTGGCTCACTGCAACCTCTGCCTCCCGGGTTCAAGTGATTCTCTTGCCTCAGCCTCCCGAGTAGCTGGGATTACAGGTGCCCACCACCACACCCGGCTAATTTTGTGCTTTTAGTAGAGACAGGGTTTCACCATGTTGGCCAGGCTGGTCTCAAACTCCTGACCTCAGGTGGTCTGCGCCTCAGCCTCCCAAAGTACTGGGATTACAGGGATTACACTGTGCCTGGCCAGAGCAGGCCACTTCTGAGGACAAAATTCGTCCCTGTCCTTGCTGTAGGTGGTTTCTTGCTCCCAGCCTGACCCCTCCCAGTTCTGGTCCTCATGCTGCAGGGGAAATGACTCTCACGATGTGATCTGGGAGGTCTCGGGCAGGGGGAAGCCCTTGCTTTCCTGGCTGAGGCCTGTGCAGCAGCAGCTGGAATGACACAGCAGAAGAAGAAGGGGCAGGCCTCTGGGAGGAGAGAAGTGGTGGTTTGATTAATTGAGATTACTTATAGGTAAAGCCAGCCAGGTAGGATCCATTGCTGCCAAGGACTGTTCAGGCAGAGACACCTCCTCTCTCCTGGGAGCTCCCACACACCCTCCTTCTCACTGCATCATCTTGTGTGTGTTTATTTGCCATCTCACCCCAAGACCGGCCTCTCCTCAAAGGAACTCAGGACACTGTGGGCACCCTTGCCACGCACAGGGTACAGGCTGCCCCTTCCTCCTGCACTAACACTGCACTCAAGGCCCAGCTCAGAGCTGGAGAGAAATGAGTGTGTGTGGAAAGAAGATGGGGGTAAGAGGAGAGGAGGGAAGAATAGGGGAGGGGAGGGGTGCAGAGAAGGAAAAAGAAAAGGATTGCTACCCTAGGTCAGCAATGGTCCTGCATGGCAAGGGCTGAGGAGCAGGAGGGAGGCAGAAGCACATGGAATGCACAGGTAAAGAGTCTTGATGTTCTCTTTACCATTAACCTCTCATCTGGAGCTCTAACGCCTCCTCCCACACACTCATACGCGCTCTCTGCAGCCCTCTGTATTAAGACCACAAAGCTTAATCTGAGTTCTAGTCTCAGTGCGTTTTCACTTTTTATCTGCTGGGCTCTTGACACTATCCCAGCATCTTTACCTTCCCTCAGCCATCGCTTTGTATCTTCGCATTGGTCTCTTAGACCTGAGCTTAGAAGGCAGTAGAGCTGTGAGCCCAGTGCAAGGAGTGGAAAAAAGAGGAGAAAGAACAGAGAATGGAAATGCCCCCAGAGGGACCACCTGAGCCCTGGGAACCTCCACATTGCACAGAGCACACCTCCACTTTAATTTACACATCTTATTTCATTTTCTTACCAAATAAACTGTCACAATAATACAGGAGCTGATTCAATTCAAGCAGAGCTGCATAGATCACATCAGAAAATGACTGATAGTCTTGATGCAGAAATTGCATTTATCATACAGACAAATAAAGTGTGAAGACATACACTCAGGATCAAGGTTTTATCTGTACCAGAGTGTACAATTGACCTGGACCTCCCCACCCTCAAAAATGAGGCATCAGCACAGGTTCGAGACAAGATTGAAATGGGGAACAGGAGGGTCAACAGAGTTGGGGGCCAGGAAGACCAGTGGGTTGGGATAAACAGTTCAGTGAATGTTGGGAGGAGATGCTCTCCAGACACCAGGCCACAGTCTCCACCTCCACTGGCAGGAGGGAATGAGGGACAGAGGACTGCACCCTGAGAGGAACTAGGAATGGCTCCACATTGGAAATTCATGGCAAATTGCTCCTATAATTTACTGGTCTGGCTGGAGAAATGCATCTTTGAACTTCAGTGAGAGACTTTGAAAATCATTCTCAACCGAGGCTCTCCAACCCGTCTGAGATGAATTAAAGGGAATTATGCACATAAACCCCACAGATCAAGGGGACACCCACTCTCCTTCAACTGCCTGCGAGGTGATTAGACAGAGTTCATAGCAGAACAGGCGCTCAGGCTGGAAAAATAAAATAAAATAAAATAAATTTGAAAGGCAGAGATTGATGGCTTCTGTCACAAAGTCTCTCCAAAGCCACAGGCTGTAAATTGAAATTCCCATTGATGCTGAGGCAAAGGTGATAGCTCAATGGCAGCTGTTGGCCTGGAGGAGTCTTTGGGGGAAGGATTCCAGATCCTTCTTGAAATTATGCACTGTCCAATCTTGGGGGACTGCAGCCATCATGTAGGGGGATCCACATCCCAGGGAAGTGGCTGTGGTTCTTAAGGATGCCCTATCATTGCCCTAAGGAGACATTGAGGCACAGAACCGCAGAAGGGTCAGGTCACATACGAACTCCCTTCAGCCAGAGATCTTCCTAATCTGGGCCCTGGGACTCTCACAGCAGCACTGTGCCCAGTACCCTGCACACAGCTGGTACTCAGCCATGTTTGTGGAAGACAAGATGCTTCCTGCCTTCCAGGGCCCTGCTGAGCAACCCACCCCAACCTCCACCTTCTCTGGCATAGCACAGGTCCCAGGCAAACCAAAGAAGGGAGGCAGCAGAGAGGCAAGTCCTAGTGCTGCCCAGACCCTGGTCCAACCTGGAAGCAGCTGACAGTCAGAAGTACAGAAATCTGGGCTAGATTTTCTAACCCAGAAATGGACGTATCTCAGGCTGGAGTATTTAGGGAGAAAGGAGGAGGAGGGATATGTTGAAGGCTACAGTATGCTGCCCAGAACCCCCTTCAGGACTGAGGCACTCATTCCCAAGTCACTCTCTAGAATTATCCTCAGCTACAGAGAGCCACTTGGCTCAAGGATACACCCCAAACCTCCAATGCCTGGTTAGTTGGCTAAAGAGAAGGTGCTTTCAAAGGCTTGGCCCTCTTGCCTCAAGGCAGGGCAATTCTGCAGGGCCTTCTCCAGAGCACCCCATGGGACTGGCCGAGGCCTTGGTTGCCACCACATTGCAGCCCAACTTCTCTTTCTGCTCCTTTTGCTTCCTTCACTTCCTCCACGTGTTGACACCAAGGGCACTCCCTAAAAATCTTGCTGCATGAGATCTCCACCTCAGAGTCTATTTCTCAGGAAACCCCACCTAAGTCAGGGGGCATGTCTAGAACAAGACAGACAATCATGAGCTATCCACAGAAGGCACCTCAGAGACCAGCTGGTCCGACTCTCTCCTTTCACAGATAAGGAGCCTGAGGCCCAGAGAGGGAAAATGGCTAAGAGAGAGGGTTCACCTGCGCAGGGACAGCCTCCAGCTCCCTCTCACACAGACTAGGCTTAGCAGGAAGATGAGTGTGGAGATGGGCCCCTTTGGATGTGGTGTTTGACCAACATCTACTTCACAAAAGGACAGCTATGCAGCTGAGGCTTGTGATAAGAACTGACTACCCACTCCTCCCAGGTACAGAACTTGTTGTTTGATGTTAAAAAGACCCTCTGTATCCCCACTAAAGTGTGGGACTTTCTTTGTAGAGGTGGCCAACATGCAAATATGTGTTCACATCTTCCAGGGCAGAAGTACCTGGCCAGGGGATTAAGGCACAGGAAAGGGAATTTTCATGGCCAAGATGGAGACAAGCCTGATGTTGTGGGTACCACAGAATTTGGAGTGACATTAGGCCCCTTGTTTCATCTAATCCTTCATGTCAGACCCAAGGGGACCCAAAGAAGGGAAGAGATTTGCCTCTGTCCACACAGCCAGTCCCTGGCAGAGCTGCTTCTAGAACTCGGGCCTCCTGACTCCAACTTTCCCAGGAACCATCCAGAAAGCTGAGGCCCCAAGCATCCCTCCCCAGAGAGAGGCTTGGGCCTCAGCTGAGTAATGGAGAAGGGTCAGGTCCCTGTCCCTATTCACCCCACAGCTTCTCTGTTATTTTGTGGGAAATTCGGTGTCCTGAAGCCAATAACTTGCTGGGTGATCTCTCGGCAGCTCTTGGCACATGTCCCCAGCATCCTTCTCAGAAAAGGGCACAAGCACTGCCATTTTACAGGATTTATTGGGAGCCTCTTTCTTTCAATGAAGGAAAGAGATACTTTTATTGGTTTTGGCTGGGTTGTTACAGTCGACAATCACCTATATGTCCCCAAAATTTAAAAATGGGGGAAAAATCACCCAGCATTTACATCAATGTGGTTCATCCCTAGAGGGAGATACATTAAAGAAAGGAACAAAATGAAAGCTAACTGATGAGTTGCCATTTTAAGACACTTGGTTGAATTAAGCTAAAAGCCTGTTCCCAGGGCCACAGTGATGATCCCCAAACGCTGCCAACACACCCGCATGCCAGGGCAGGGCTCATGGGGCCTGCAACCAGGGCTCCCCAACAAGAGTCATCATGCTCTAAAAGCTAAGGAAGAGACCCCTGCAATCTGTCCCCAAACTCGATTTTCCCATTTAGGACCCACTCCTCGGATCCAGGCTTGATCCCTGTGGCACCTAGCCAATCAAACCCTCCCTGCTCCAAGGAGTTTCATGTGGAGATGGAGGCACTGGAGCGGGGATGAAGGTTTTACTGCCAAAATGTGGAACTTTCGTTTTTGATTGTTTGCTTGCCTGTCCACTTGCTTCACAAAAGGTGGCCCCCTGGGAACTGATTAAAACAAAACAAAACAAAAAAGGTGGCCCCTAGTGGGAAGCCAGGGCCTGTTTTGGCACTAAGTAGCCTCAGTTTTCTCATCTTTAAAATAGAATGTACTTGGACCATGAAAACCCGGATGTTAGCCCCCATCTGTTGATGGCTTGCAGTGTGACTTCAAACCAGTCCCTCAGCTTCCCTGGGTTTCAGCTTCCTTAGCAGTAAAATCAGTCTGAAGTGCCTGTTTACCACACCACACTGAAGCTTAAAAATGTTGGAAGAGAAAAGATAGCCTTTCCAATAAATGGTATCAGAACAACTGGATATCCACAGGCAAAAAAAAAAAAAAAAACCTTAACCTAAACCTTATCTACATATAGATAGAGATAGAGACATAGACATGTCTATAGGGAGAGATGTAATGTTTATATATTTAAATTCAAAATGGACGGTCTTAAATGTAACATGTAAAACCTTCTAGAAGAAAACATAGAAGAATATCTCTTAGGGCAAAGAGTTCTTAGACATGACACCAAAAGTGCAATCCATAAAAGAAAGAATCAATAAATCAGAGCTCATGAAAATTAAGTGCTCTGCAAAAGACACTGTGAAGAGAATGAAAAGACACTCTACAGAGCGGGAGAAAATATCTGCACATCACATAGCCAACAAAGGACTTATATCCAGCTGCAGAAAGAACTCTCTAAACTCTACAGGAAGAAGTCAAAAAGTCAATTTTAAAAATGAGTGAAACACTTGAACTGACACTTCACCAAAGAGGACATACAGATGGCAAATAAGCACATGAAAAAAATGCTCAACATCATCAGCCATTAGGGAAATGCAAATTAAAACCTCAATGAGATCTCATGCAGAATCTCATATCAGCATAGCTAAAGTACAAACGCCACCACACCCAATGCTGGCAAGGTTGTGGAGAAACTGGATCACTCATACATTGCTGATGGGAATTTGAAATGGTATAGCCACTCTGGAAAACATTTTGGCAGTTTCTTAAAAAATTAAATGTGCTTGGCAAGTGGCACTGGTGTTCAAAAACAAAACAAAAAAAAACGTATCTACCATACAACCCAGCAATTGCACTCTTGAGCATTTATCCCAGAGATAATCTTATGTTCACATAAAAATCTATATGAGAAAGTTTATAGCAGCCTTATTTATAATAGCCCAAACCTGTAAATAGCCCAGATGTCCTCCAATGGGTGAATGGTTAAACAAGCTGTGGTACATCCATACCGTATATATTAAGTTGAATAGTGTTCCCCAAAAATTCATGTTCACCCGGAACCTCAGAATGTGACTTTATTTGGAAATAGGGTCTTTGCAGATATCATTAGTTAAAATAAGGTCATACTGGATTAGGGTGGGCCCTAAATCCAATGACTGGTGTCCTTATGAGAAGGCCACGTGAAGACCATGTGCCAACAGAGGTAGAGACTGGAGCAGTGCATCTACAAGCAGCACAAAGGCCTGGGGAGAAGCAAGGAGGGATTTTTTCCCTAGAACCTCCAGTACCTTGATTTCACACTTCTAACCTCTAGAACTGTGGGAAAACAAATTTCTGTCGTTTTAAGAACCCCCCACCCCCCGCCATGTGGTACTTTGTTACGGCAGCCCTAGAAAACGAATACACCGTGGAATACTACTTAGCAATAAAAATTAATGAATTGATGGCACAATAATCTAGGGAATTACACTGAGTGAAAAAAAGCCAGTCTCGAGAGATTACTGTATGATCCCATTTATATGACATTCTCAAAATGACAAAATTAGAGTGATGGAGAACAAATCTGTGGTTGCCAGGGGAGGAGGAGAGGAAGGGTATGATCATAAAGGAGGAGCACAAGGAGGTTTCGTTGGGTTTTTTTTTTTTTTTTTTTGCTTTGTTTTGAGACAGGGTCTCACTCTGTCACACAGGCTGGAGTGCAGTGGCGTGATCTCGGCTCACTGCAGCCTTGACCTCCCAGGATCACGCAATCCTTTCACCTCAGCCTCCAGAGTAGCTGGGACTACAGGTGTGTGCCACCGTGCCTGGCTAATTTTTTAATTTTTATAGAGACAGGGTCTCACTGTGTTGCCCAGGATGGTCTCAAACTTCTGGGCTCAAGTGATCCTCCTGCTTCGGCCTCCCAAACTGCTAGGGTTACAGGCATGTGCTACCATGCCCAGCCACAGGAGTCGCCAAGAGTTTTAAATCAGCAGTTCTGATTGTGGTCGTGGTTACATAAATTAATGCATATGACAAAATTCAGAGGAATATACACTTCCCCCAAAAAGTGAGTGCATGTAAAAACTGGGGAAATGGAAGTAAGGGCTGTAGTTTAGTAAGTGGTATTAATGTCAATTTCCTGGTTTTGGTCATCATCAGGGTGAAAGCTGGGTGAAGGGTACCCAAGAACTCTCTACTATTTTTGCAACTTCTATGTGAGTCTAAAATGATTTCAAATTTAAAAAAAAATTTTTTTTTTAATCCACAGGGATGGTGCTGGCCTGAGTCCCACGGCAGGGTAACAGCCTGCAGGGACCATCCCCCAGGCCTCCCAACTGCATTCAGTACTTCTGTCTTCCTCTCTGCGACTCTCCTTGGGAGAGGGCTGCCTGGGTCACGGGCTCGCAGCCGCTCCAGCACGCCTGCCTCCCTCCCACACTCCTGAATCCTGCCCATGCTTCCGGCCCCAGCTCAGTCCTGCTTCTTCTCCCTTGAAAGCTTTCCAGATTATTCTAGCCTGCAAGCATCCCTCCTTCCACTGACAGCTGCTTCTACCCTCCATTGCCTTTGGTATCTACAGACCTCACATAATTTCACAACTGTCAGAGGACCTCGTTCACCCTTTCCAGTCAGACCACCGGCTCCTAAGGACTCAGACCATACCACCCTCCCCACAGCCCTGGCACAGCTGAGCACTTAGAAGGCAGAGAGAAGTGGGGAGGGAGCGGGGACAGACCTCTCTTTATTTGAGTATATGTCTCTCCAAATTCTGTCCATATTTTGTCTGATTTCTGGGGTACTCCCTTATCTTTTTCCAAACTTGATGGGATTTAACATTTTTCCCTAAAGAACAATCTCTCTCTTCCTACTATAATTTTGCCTAACAACCCCCTGAGAATTAAACTTTGGGGTAAAATTCCACTTTTAAGTTGAGACTTGCTCCCTTTGTGACTAACTGAGATGCCAGGATCAAACCAAGTCTTCAATCCCATTACATAAAGCCACATAAAAGCTGCCCCTGCTAACAGCACTTTCCTGATTTCCTCAAGCTGGCCGGCAATAAGTATTCCTAATTGTGCTTGTTAAAAAGTGGATTTATGAATCCCAATTAGGCCGCTTGCACTTACGTGGCAGCAGTTTTCGATACCACCAAACCTCCCTTCTTCCCAAGATGAAATTATTTTTGGTGGGTGACAGGGTAATTACTAAAACATAAAAGGACCCACCCGGTACCACAGCAGCAGCTTCAGCAATTCTGTTAGGAGGCCTTGAGGACAGGCAGGGTTTTGATGGCAAATCTAAACCCAAGTTCAGCGTCCCCAACTCTGTGACCCTCAGCACACAGGTATATCTCCTGGCTCTTTCTCCTTGGACCCAGTACCAACCTCCAGATGCCCTGCCTCGCCATTCATCCTGCTCCTGATTTCCCAGCTGCTCCCCAACTATACTGTGGGCCTTCTCCAGAGCAAATTCTTCCACTCAAAAGGCCTTTCCTCAAACCTACTCTCCCCCAATCTTCCTTCCTTGACGCCTGGTCAGATGCAATCAGCAGCAGCCACCCACAGCCTCTTGCACCTATTGCTGTTCAAGCATTTACTATATCTCTCTGACTCCTTGTGTTTGCCTCCTACACAATTGTGTTTGTCTTGTGTTCGTCTCCCGCACAATTAAGGAGCTATAAGCTTCCCAAGGGCAAGGACCGGGTCTCATTCATCCTGGCTTCCCCAGTGCCTGGTTTGTAGTAGGCTGGCTCATTCGCTCATTCATTCATCTTCTTAGGACCTAAGTTTAAAATGAGCAAAGGATCTGAATAGACACTTCTCCAAAGAAGGTATATAAGTGACCAATATGCACATGAAAAGAGCTCAACACCGCTAATCCTCAGGGAAATGCAAATAAAAACCACTTTGAGATAACTTCTTCAAACCCACTAGGATGGTTACAATCAAAAACTCAGATAATAACAAATGCTGATGAGGATGTGGAGAAATGAAAACCCTCATACACTGCTGGTGGGAATGTAAAATGGTGTAGCCACTTTGAAAAACAGTCGTGCAGTTTCTCAAATGTTAAACATAGAGTTACCATATAACCCAGCAATTCCACTCCTAGGCATGTACCCAACATAAAAGAAAATACGTGTCCCTGCAAAAACCTGTACATGAATTTCATAGCAGCATTATTCATAATAGCCAGGAAGCAGAAACAAACCAAATCTCTAACAACCAATGAATGGATAAATAAAACGTGCTATATTCACAAAGTGAAATATTATTTGGCAATAAAAAGGAATGAAGTACTAACTAGTTCATGCTACAACACGGATGGACCTTGAAAACATGCTAAGTGAAAGAAATCAGTCACAAAAGACCACATATTGTATGATTCCATTTATATGAATTGTCCAAAACCGGCAAGTCCACAGAGACAAAAGTAGATAAGTGCTTGCCAGGGGCTGGGGGAGGGGAAATGGGGAGTGACTGATAAGGGATATAGGGTTACTTTTTTGGGGTAATTGTGGGATTATACTACAAAATTGACTGTGGTGATGGTTGCATAACTCTGTGCATACACCAAAAACCATTGAATTGTACACTTTAAAATAGTGAATTGCGAGATGGGTGGATCACTTGAGGCCAGGAGTTTGAGACCAGCCTGGCCAACATGGTAAAACCCCACCTCTCCTAAAAATACCAAAATTAGCCAGGCGTGGTGGCACATGCCTGTAATCCCAGCTACTCGGGAGGCTGAGGCAGGAGAATCGCTTGAACCTGGGAGGCAGAGGCTGCAGTGAGCTGAGATGGTGCCATTGCGCTCCAGCCTGGGCAACAGAGCAAGGCTCAGTCTCAAAAAAATAAAATAAAAATGAAACAAAATAAAAAATAAAATGGTGGATTTATGGTATGTGGATTATATTTCAATAAAGCTGCTACAAATCTTTCTCTTGTTTTAGTCATTTAGGCACTCATTATGTGTGGAGGGTGTGGGTTCATGAAGGACTGAGCCCCAGTGGCCCGAACTCCTGTACGTCCCCCTCCTTGGGGTGGCTGAGTGTTGGGTATTCTTCCACTACTACAACCTCCCTCAAGAGGTCAGCCCCCTGCTTGGCCCAGGAAGGACAGTACAGGTGACGGGCCTCTTTTTTCAATCAGTCATGATGGGGGAAATTTAATCAACAACAGGACACTTTGCTACTTCAAGACATAATATAATGTAGTGGTTAACTGCAGTCTCCAGAACCAGACCACTTAGCATTAATCCCAGCTCCGCCTATTACCAGCTCTGTGACCTTGGACAAGTTCCTTCACCTCTCTGAGCCTTGGTTTTCTCGTCTGTAAACTGAGAGGATAATAACATTATCTACCTCATAGGGCTGATGTGTGTGTGGATAAAAGGAATTAATGCATATAAAGTATCTGGCCGAGCACAGTGGCTCATGTCTGTAATCCCAGCACTTTGGGAGGCCAAGGCAGGTGGATCACTTGAGGCCGGGAGTTCGAGACCAGCCTGGCCAACATGGCAAAACCCCAACTCTACTAAAAAACAAAGAAACAAAAAAACTAGCCGGGCATGGTGGCGCATGCCTGTAATCCCAACTACTTGGGAGGCTGAGGCAAGAGAATCACTTGAACCCGGGAGGCGGAGTTTGCAGTGAGCCAAGATGGCGCCACTGTACTCCAGCCTGAGCAACAGAGTGAGACTCTGTCTCAAAAATATATATATATTTATTATATATATTTAATATATATTATATATTATTACTTATTATATTATATATTTATATATAAAGTATATATTTATATATAATATATAAAGTATATATATTTTATATATACATTTTATATATATCATATATGTATATCTCATATATATATATTTATATATATAAATAAAGTACCTGTCATAGCATAAGTGCTATCCAAGGATTAGCTGTAATATTTCCCCAGATGGGGGAGTGAATCTCATTAATTGGTTTAGTGACGGGCAAGGCTTACAAAATGCATATTCATCTCAATCAGCACCCCCAAGCACTCATTTCTCCTTGAGCTGCACAGTTCTTTCCCCAACCTTCTCTCCCCTTAGCCCAAGCACGCCAGCCCCTCTCCTCCTGGGAGGAAGGGTCTTGCTGGAGAATACAGGCACAGGAAAGAACACGGCGTGTGTGGTCTGGCCATTCCCGAGACCCTGAGACAAGGAGGCAGTGTGCAGCAAGGCCCAGGCTGGGCAGAGCAGCCAGCCAGAAGGGCCCGGCCCTGCCATCTGCTCTCCCAGCCAAGGTGAGTGGCCTGGCATGGATTCACACTTGGTCACGGCCCAGCACCTCTACCAAGTGCCCATTAGGGAGCAGAGCCAAGGCTCAAACCTGCAGGAGCCATTTCCCATCCTGGGGAAGAGGCAGCAGCCCTGCCTGAAAAAGAGGCCTCTTCAGCATGCTTGCCCACCACCCACACTCCATTTTGCCTAAGAGTGGCAATAAAAACCAGCTCTCTGCCCAGAAAGGCAATGGCTGAGGATGCTGTTCTCCGTAGGTAATATGGCCTTCAAGAGCCCTAGTGAGGAGCGGGGAGACCAGCGCTCAGTGGGTGGTGCCACCCTCTACCTTACCAGGCTCCTTAACTGGGTCTGGAAAATTCAAATGCTTCCTAATGATGCCCTTTGGAGGCAGGAACCTAGTGGGCTTAACCCATCTGGTCACATCTGGCAGACACACTCACACACCAGCGTTATGTTTACAAGCACACATTCACATATGGTCCTGCACACTTGAGCACACACATGCACATATAAACAGCTTACATACATATACAATCATAGACACATGCACACAACCCCATGCACTCACACACACACGCACACTATCATACACACACTTACATGAATACATATATGCTCACATGAAGGCATATGTTTACAAGCACACACTCGCATAAGATCACACACTGAGGCATGCACACAGCACGTAACAGCTTACATACATATACAGGCACATGCAAACATGCTCATATGCACACATTCACTCCCACCCACTGTCATGTCCACACCCACACTCACACTCACATGAACACACATACATACAGCAGCCCCTTATCCACAGTTTTGCTTTCTGCAGTTTCAGTTACCAACCACAGTCCAAAAATGTTAAATGGCAAATTCAAGAAATAAACAGTTCATGAGTTTTGACTTGCATGCAATTCTGAGTAGTGTGATGAAATGTCGTGCCCTCTTACTCCCTCCAGCCCGGGACATGAATCATGCCTTCGTCCAGTGTAGCCACGCTGTAGACGCCCCCTGCCCATTGGTCACTTAGTGGCCATCTTGGCTATCAGATCGACTGTCGGTGGTATCTCAGTGCTTGTGTTCAAGTGACCCTTATTTTACTTTTTTTTTTTTTGAGACAGTCTCACTCTGTCACCCAGGGGTGGAGTGCAGTGACATGATCTCAGCTCACTGCAACCTCCACCTCCCCATTTCAAGTGATTCTCCTGCCTCAGCCTCCCAAGTAGCTGGAATTACAGGCGTGTGCCACCACGCCTGGCTAATTTTTGTATTTTTAGTAGAAACAAGGTTTCACCATGTTGGCCAGTCTGGTCTTGAACTCCTGACCTCAAGGGATTCACCCACCTCGGCCTCCCAAAGTGCTGGGATTACAGGCATGAGCCACTGCACCCAGCCCCTTAATTTACTTAATAATGGCCCCAAAGCGCAACAGTAGTGATGCTGCTATATTGTTATAATTGGTCTATTTTATTATCAGTTATTGTTAATCTCTTACTATACCTAATTTACAAATTAAACTTTATTATAGGTATGTACGTACAGGAAAAAACATAGTCTATATAGGGGTCGGTACTGTCCACAGCATCCACTGGGGGGGCTTGGAACATGTCCTCCGAGAATAAGGGGTGACTGCTGTATACTCACACCCTCACATGGGCACACAAACACACGTGTGTTCACACACATCCTCTAGCGCATGCACACTCACACACATACCCAGAGGCAGCCCTGCAGCCCGCTGGGGCTTCAGGCTCTGCTGGGAGGACAGGTTGCCAGAAGCCAGCAGTCAAGTCACAAGATGGTCTTCTCGTTTGCCAGGCTCTTTTCCTCCTTCGGAAAATCACAACCCAGGCAGGATTCCCAGGGAGGTGGTGTGAGGCGTGGAAACAGGTCCACGGAGGCCTCTGAAAAGCCTTGTTCTGAAAGACATCTCTGAGGATTTCTACAGCCCATGGGGAGGACTAGGTAGTAACACTGACAGCATGGGAACATCTTTTATTAGGTCAATAGAAAATAAGCTGGGGTTCTGCGGTTCGTGGAGGATGCCTTCCTCCATTACCTCACTGAGTCCCTGCTGTGCTGCTTACTGACGGGATCATCCTGAGCCTCAGTTTCCTCCTGGAGCTGCTGTGAGGATTAAACAGGATAACGCGTGGGAATTGCTGAGCCCAGTGCCTGCCACGTAGTAAGCCCCAGTAAATTAGACCTTTTATCCTCAGCATTATTATTAATATTGGATATTAATAGTAATAAATCCCATAGCAATCCTCTGAGGTATTATTTTCCCCATTTCACACAAATGAAAACAGAAGTCCAGCACTTTAAATGATTTGTATACAAGATCACACGGCCAAGTGGGAGAACTGAACTCGGGCCTTCCTTCTAACGCCAGGAATTCTTTCCACTTCTCTATGCCCACCACCCACCCGCATACCTGCTTCTCCTGGGGCAGGACCCCCATTGAGCTTCACCCAGCTTCTCAGCATCTCCTGCAGAGAGGGCAGGAAGGGAGAGGAGAGGAGAAGGAGAAGACAGCACCTTTCTTCCCCAGTTCAAGCCATGGAAGCGCCGGGCTTCTGCTGTTTGGGACATGCCCTGAAATGGCTGTTATCTTATATTTCTTGGTCCCCATTCCACCAGTGGTCCCCAGGGAAGGGCCACCCCAGCCCACTTAGACAGTAGATTCTTTTATGCTTCAGATACCATCTTCTAAGACTAGCTGGGCCCAGCCAGCCTCTGGGTGCTCCAGCCTTCCCGTCAGACTCCACCACCTCCCCACTCCAATGACACATGCCAGGGCATCTGGGGTGAGGCCACAGAACCCCCCAAGCCCAAGAGCTAGTCCAGGTTCCTATTCCTGCCCTGGGCCCTAAGTCACCTTGTGACTATGGGCAGGTCACTTCCTCTCCCTGGGCCTCGGTGTGCTCTCTGCCAAATGAGGGGGTGGAAAGGTCCTTTAAGTTTTAACCTTCTCTGGGGCTGGAAAGCTGCAGAGAATCTCAAAATCCAAGGCAGGCTACTGGGGAAGATCCTTCGAGACCAGGGGAGCTTAGCAAATCATATCACAGCAGGAAGGCTCTTCAGAAAACACCACACACAGAAAGCATTCAAGTAGGAGAGTCAATAAAGTGACGGAGCCCTGCCCAGGGGCTTACGAAGCCTTGTCCCCACCACCAAGACTACGGAGCCAGCCCTCCACAGACAGCCAGACCTGCTCTTCCTCCTCCACCAGGTTTCCTTTTAGAAGGAAGGCTTCTACTTGTGACAGGCTATGGAGCCCCAGAGAAAGAGGCAGCTGGGGAGAGGGGGTGCCCATGCACTCACACATGCACACAGACACAGAGGAGCCACACACAGCAGGACGGAAAACCAGGCCAAGAGGCCTGCAGGGCACGAGCTCTTGGGCCCCAGAAATAACAGCCCCTACCCCAGAGAGAAGATGGCTCCCCATTATCAGACCAGCATCCCCACACGACAGAACCATCTCCTACCGCAAGCCAGCAGAGGGGTTGGGACTCATCACCTTATCACACTGTTGCCAGTGCTGGATGGTTTCCACGTGTTTCTCCAGAGCTTCTCTCCATGCTTCCCTCTGCTCCAGGCCCAGGAGGCTGACAAGCATGGGCTTTATGAGAGGAGGCCCCCTTGATCTCTGGCTTCCAGTTGGGTTGGGTAGTGGGGCACGCCACAGGATGTCCCAGAGCTGGAGGAGACTGAGCTGGGTCACTGTGATTTGGCTGCCTCCATCCCAGGAGGCCCCACTCCTGTCACAGGCAGTCCTCTCTACACAGCGCCCTCTCCAAGTCCCTGCAGACCTGGCGGTGGTAACTGCTCCCCACTGGTGCTAGCGTCAGGGTGCTGCACTACCCTTTGCTGATTTTCCTGCACTCTGCCCTCCCCTTTGTAAACAGTCCCTTTATTAAGCACTCATCAAATTGCCCGGCTTGTGTTCACCACTTGTCACCTGCCAGGATCCTGATATATCACTCAAGAAAAAATGTTCTTAGTCAAATAATGATGACAAACCCATCATGACCAGAAACAACAAAGTCAAGCAGAAACAAATTTTGGGTTAACTAGCCTTGCAGCTTCTGAGCACAACCAAGCTCTCTGTGGTATGCTTCCCCAGCCCCAATGCGCACCAGGGCCAGAGCAGGACTGTCCACAAGCCCCAGGCTCCCGGTGGGCCATGGCGACCTGGATATGCACGTGTCCCAGCCGAATGGGGAGGCCACCACTCAGCTCCCTCGACTGTTGCCAGGCAGAAATGTGGGCCTGGAGTTGCAGATCTTCTCCAGGAAACTGGAAATACATTTTTTAATGTAAAATCTTCTCTTGGCTTACATGTTTTCAAAGCAAAATTCAAGCCAAACTTATCGGTAGCCAAGAGAGAGCTGTTTGTTCCCCTACAAGTTACAATCTGGGACTGAAATTCCATCTCCTACATAGACAATTCAGTAGGATGACAGCTTTGGTGGCCCTTCCGAGGCTGCATACTCTGAATCTCTGAGTCTCTCTCTGCTCTGGGGAAGGAAGAGGAATGGCAAGGCTCCCACAGGGAGGAAGGGCCCTTGGCAAAGCCCAGACAACAGAGAGAGCTGGGTAGCGGGGAGCAGCTGGGTGGAGGCCCCAGGACAAGGACACAGAGCTGGCCAAGATGGGAAACTGGAATTTAGGTGATTAAAATGAGGGGACCCCATTGGGCAATGGGGCTGGCCTCAGAAAGGTTGGGGTTACTCTGGATCTATTTGTTTGGTCTCAAGCTCTGTTTGTTTTGAGGCTGCAACAAATTCTGTCTGAAAGTGGCAGTGGTGCGAACTTCCTGTCCTGTTGGGAAGTGCTGGCAGCAACTTTACCTCCTACAAGAGAGGGAGATTCATGTCATTCACAAAGGTCCAGAATCTGTCCTCCTTAGAACCACTGCATCACTAGGGTTTAGGCGGCTGTGTCCCGGAAAGGGCATCTCATCCCTCCAGCTGCCTCCGAGCCCAGGCAAGCTCACAAACTAGCTGGGTAGAGGGGACTCTCTCCAGTGAAGGAAAGCCTCTGGCTACATACTCCCTGCCTCCTGCTTCTCTCCTTCCCTGAATTACTCTAGAATTGCCTGCTCCCTTGTCTGGCAGCTGCCCACGGTTCCACCAGGAACTGTGAGGCTGTTTTTCAAACCTTCTGTCTTACCTCCCCCACTAGATTGTAAGCCCTCTGGCAGCAGGGCTGGGTTATAAACGTATTTCCCCTCAGGGCTCAGCCCAGCTTCTTACAAATGGAGGTCTATAATATCCACATTACTGGGCATTTTTGGTGATGTGACTAGAGACAGTAATAAGAAATTATAAGCATACTAATAATGATGACAGATGCCTTACATCTGTGCAGCACTTTGAACTTTAGGAATAAGAATAATAAAGTTAATAATAATAATGATAGATGTCTTACATTTCTATAGCACTTTGAAGTTTGCAAGGCACTTTCATAGACTTAATTTCACCTCATCTTCAAAACCATTCTTATAAAAGGGGGGAGATGAAACAAGATAGGCAAAATGCAAGTAATTGCTGAAGCAGGTGATGCGGACGTGGGAGTGCACTATACTGTTCTCTCTACCTGGGGTCTCCAAAATTTTTCATTGTAAAGAGTTTTTAAAAACCCACTCTAGTATGTAAGTGATGGAAGAGGCATTATTCTCACCCATATGTTCTAAAGCAGAAGAAATGGAAACCCAGAGAGGGGACTTGGCTCGTCCAAATCACTCAGTCTGTGTGGACCCACAGAACCAGAGAGGCAGCGTTCCCATTCCTGGCCAAGTGGGCTCCTTCCTACAGCAGCCTTGCCCAAAGTGGGTCCCACAACACCACTTCCTTAGGATGTTAAAAGCGTTCTATAGAGAATAAGGTCCCATGGTTAAATAATTTTAGAAAATACTAGGTTAAAGAAAGCAATCATGTCCATTTCCTGCAGACTTTTTGGAACCTTTATAGAACATTCTGCAGAACTGGTGTTCCACAGAACACAGGCTGGGAAATGCAGGCTGCAACAGACCTGCAGGTAAAGAGGAGCCCTACTTCACACCCCAACCCCCACCATCCCCCAAGGCAGGACTTTCCAGAAACCGGAACCCTGGCCAAGTGAAGTCTGCATGAAGGAGTGTGCTGCAGATGAACCCCCCTGAGGGCTGACAGAAGTAGGACACATAATCTGCCCAGGGAGAGGGGACGGTTATAGGGTGTGATACGGCCTCTAGATAATGGCGGGGTCAGAACGGAAGTTGTCAAAGATGCCAAGAAGGCACATGAGGCCCTTCCTGGGCCCTGCCCTCCAGGCTCCCAAATTACATCAGGGCTCCACAGAGTTTCATTCTGAAGAAGGGAGAGGAGCTGTTTTTCCTACACAGGCTGCCCCTGAGCACTCTACAGAAACAGATGCTCCAACCGTCTCCTGAGTCATGAACTGAGCTGCTGATTCAAACTCCCGCCCCTCCCTTGCTTGCTAATCCTCATCCCTGGACCCTTTTGTGCTCACACCAGCTTCTCTGGCAGCTTCACAGGCCCTTTGGGCAGCTATAGTGATGCTTAATCACTAATGAAGCATAGGTTTTTCCAGCTTTCTCTCCACCCTTCTCCCCCTCAGTAGTGACGACTTGGGTCATGGAAGAGCAAGTAAGAGAAAAATACAATTTGCTTTGTGGAAGCTCGGAATACATGTGTTTATCATCCTCAAATAACAACTAACCCTCACCAAGCCCTTACCGTGTGCTAGGCCTTGTGCTGAGTGTTCACCCACTTCCAATCCCCCCAACAACCCTACAAGTTAGGTTCTATTTCAAGCCCATTTTACAGATGGTCAAACTGAGGTACACAGAAGCTAAAGGATTTGCCCCACATTACTGAGATGATGGTGGTAGAGCTGAGCCTTGAACCCAGGCAGGAGGAGTCCACAGGTGCTGCTCAGAACCCCTCCACCAAGCTGCCCTCGGCAGGCAGCCTAGGCCAGGAGCCTGCAGAGCTGAACATCCTCCAGAGGCAGGTCTCAAGAGTCAAAGGTGGCCCTGGGGCAGCCAGCCTGAATGCACCAAGACCTACAGGCTGTAGAGACCTTCTCTGGCAACCCTAGCAACTTCCCAGACCCATAGCTTAACCATTTCCCATTATCTTCTCTCCCCACTCCCAGTCCTGGCCACCAGCCCTTAGGAGGCTTTTACCTACAGCTGGACCGGCCCCAGTCAAGGCAGACAGTAGGATCTGGAATCAGCTGTGCTGCGAGAGACTCAGCATTCCAAGTCCCCGGGGAGCTCTGGACAGCCTTGTGCCATCTGAGCTCCACCCTTCTCTTTGCCCCTGGCCTGTTGGCTTCTTCTAAAATCCTAGCTCCCTTAAATCCTAGCTCTAAAATCCTAGCTCTCTCCTCTAAAATCCTAGCTCTCTCCTGCCTCATTTCCCAGCTGGCACTCCAGAACCTTAGGGTCTGAACCCTGGCCTTCATTTTCTGCTTCATCATACCACCCCCAGGAGAACAGACCCTGCTCCTTATACCTCCAGTCTCTGATTAGGGTCATGCGCCAAATGAAATGAGTGCCTATGAGGGAAAAGGAAAGGCAAGGAGTTTTATCGAGGCCTACCGTGTGCCAGGCCCTGTGCCAGCCAAGTGCCATACTTACCTGCCTTATTTACTTAACTCACCCAACAACACTATAAGATGAGTAAAAGTATCACCATTTTACAGATGAGGAAACAGAGGCTCAGAGAGGTTAACTAGTTTCACCAATGTCACACTACTAGGTGAGTGGAGGACCCTAGTCTGATATGAAAGCCCAGGTTACGAACGAGGATGCCATAGGGCTATGACAATAACAACACCACCTCAGTCTCCTAGTGTTAACAAAAGGCAGGTGTGACCCTAGAGAGATAACACCGTGTCCATTTTACACAGCACTGTTACCCAAACAGGTTAAGCAGCGTGCTCATATCACTGGGCTGTTCATAATACCAGCACCTAGCATAGAGCATACTATGTGCCAGGCATCCTGCTAAGCACTTAGCATACATGTCACATTTCATTCTCACAACGCTACAAGAAAATCCTATTATTATTATTTTGTTTGTTTGAAACAGAGTGTAGCTTTGTCGCCCAGGCTGGAGTGCAAGAGCATGATCTCAGCTCACTGCAACCTCCGCCTCCCAGGTTCAAACGATTCTCCAGCCTCAGCCTCCTAAGTAGCTGGGATTACAGGTGCCCACCACCACACCAGGCTAATTTTTGTATTTTTAGTAGAGACAGGATTTCACTATGTTGGTCAGGCTGGTCTCGAACTCCTGACCTCAAGTGATCCGCCCACCTCAGTGTCCCCTAGTGCTGGGATGACAGGCATGAGCTACTGCACCTGGCCAGAAAGTACTATTATGATTATTCTCACTTTACAGATGGGGAAACTAAGGCTTAGCAAGCTAAAACAAACTACCCAAAGTCACCACAGCAAATGCCTGTCCAGCAGCCACGCCCTTTCCCCATTCCCTGAGTGCCCCACTTCTGTCTAGGTGCCCACTTCTCTCCAACATGACTCAGGGAAGCATGACCCAGTGAATCTTCCTTACTCTGACCCAATCATGGTAGTCCCTTTCATCATGCTAGTGACTGGTTTAGGAAGGAGCATGTGACCCAGTTCTGGCCAGTAAGATATGAGGAACGCCTGCCAAAGGTCTTCTGGGGAGAGTGTCCTTGCTCTTAAAAAGAGATGTCCATTAAGAGAGACAGGCAGTCCTTTGTTCCACTGGACATTGTCATTTCTTTTTTTTTTTCTTTTTCTTTTTTTTTTTTTTTTGAGATGGTGTTTTGCTCTGTCACCCAGGCTGGATCTCAGCTCACTGCAACCTCCACCTCCCGGGTTCAAGCGATTCTCCTGCCTCAGCCTCCGGCTGATTTCTGTATTTTTAGTAGGGACGGGGTTTCGCTGTGCTGGCCAGGCTGGTCTCAAACTCCTGACCTCAAGTGATCCATCCACCTTGGCCTCCCAAAGTGCTGGGATTACAGGCACGAGCCACTGCACCCGGCCAGACATTGTCATTTCTGAATGTAAGACTGGAACTACTGCAGCCATGTCACCACCATGAGGCGCTATTGCGAGGATGTGCTAACACGCCGAGAGGAACAGCCAGAGAGGCGGAAAGGACCTAGATTCTTATTATTTAAGCCTCTGATATCATGCTTTTCTGTTACTTGCAGCTTAACTGATATAGCCAAAGAGAATGTCAACTTCAGTCCTCTGGCTATAGACTCAAAACTAGACCATTTGAGTCCAAGCCCACAGCATGTATCTATACGCAACGCTGAAGAGTGGGTATCAGGCTGTCAAACTAGACAGACCCAGGCATGGTTCTGCCCCCTTGACCTTGGGACCACCTGGTTTACTCCTACATGGAAGACACAGGCCAGGGCCCAGGCCCAGGCCCACCACCCAACCCTGAATATGATCCCTGAAGGACAAGGATCCCAATCGGGTCCCTACAATGGAATGCAGATGTCCTACAATGGAGGGAAGATTCTGGAGCCAGCCTCTGCCCAAGTCTCATTTCATTCTCCATTTCCACTGCCTTCCTCTGCTGCTGCCCCATAAATCTCCAGTTTATTAATCCTTTACATGAAGCAGTCGGTTCAGGATCCTGATTTACTCCCTGTTCATAAAACGCTGAGAAATTAAAGATGAAAATTACCCAGAAGGACACCGAGCCTCCAGTGGGGGAGTCCCAGAGCAATCCCTGGCCCTGAACCAGGTCCTCTCTGCCCTTCCCACCTTCGGAACTCAGGGTCTGGTGATGTCATTTCACTGTCCTCATCCCACAGGAAGTAAGGGGCTCTTTCCTATGCTTCCACACCCTCCACGCCTACTCTGCACAAAGCAGGAGAGGGGGCGCCACGCTTTCCCTGAAAACCCATTTCAGAGTCTCCTATTTTTTGAAGATCTTCCTCTGCTTAAATCCCTTGTGTTACACATGGCGGAGGGCGGGGAAGGTGCAGAGAATCAAGTTAGGGACAAAAATTAGGGAGCCGATTAAAGCAATTCAAAGGTCAAAATATAGCAGGGCAAGGTGGCTTATGCCTGTAATCCCAGCAATTTGGGAGGCTGAGGAGGAGGATTGCTTGAGTCCAGAAGTTTGAGACCAGCCTGGGCAATGTAGGGAGACCTCATCTCTATAAAAAATTTTAAAATTAGCTGGGTATGGTGGCATGCACCTTTATTCCCGGCTACTTGGGAGGCTGAGATGAGGGGACTGCTTGAGCCTGGGAGGTTGAGGCTGCAGTGAGCCATGATGGTATCACTACACTCCAGCCTGGGCAACAAAATAAGACTCTGTCTCAAAGAAAAAAAAAAGGTCAAAATCTGTAACAAATCCAGAGACATGGCCAAGAGGGAGAATAGAAACTGACTACCTACCCAGGGGTCTCAACTACCCAGGATCATCCTCGTTTCTCAAGCCTCTGAGCAACAGCACTACACCCCAATACCTGCCAAAACCCTCCAGGCACTCAGAGCAGTGATGTTCTCTAAACTCCAGAAGAGCCTGGGTCCTCCTACAGGATCCTGGAAGCGTCCCAAGACTGCCCGGGCTCCCACATCTCACAGTCCACCCCAAAATTGCCTGCCAAATCCCACCTCTTCCCCACAGGTCAAGGAGAGCCACAGGCAAGCATCAAGTCTCCATATCAAGGACAAGGACTATCCCGGTTCAGTGTGACAACAAATCTTTAACCCTACTACATGCCAGGGACAGCACTGGGTACTGGCTCCCTGTTTGACCAAGTCCCTCCTCCTGAGGCTCTCACTACAGTGTTGAGTGTATTTGACTATAATAAGCACAGAGAGTCAGAACAGAAAGACAAGTCACTCAGCCCACCAGAGGGAGGGGAGTTCAGGGAAGGCTTCCTGGAGGAGATGGTGTCTGGGTTGAATTGTGGAGGATGAGTAAGAGTCAGCCACATAAGGAAGGTAGGAAGGGCTTTGCAGTCAGAAAACAACATATGCAAAGACACAGAGGTGTGACACAGCACTGTGTGTTCTGGAGGAGGGAGGACCAGAAGCGGCTTGGTGCTACCCAAGCATCAAGTGCAAGGTGGATTATAGAGGATGGGGTGAGGCTGCTGGGCCTTGACTCTGTGCTAATGAGTTTTGACTTCATCCCGAGGGCAATGGGAAACTGTTAAAGGGTTTCCGACAGGCAGGGACATGGTCCAGTTTGCACTTTAGAAAGATCCTTCTGCCTGCCACAGGGAATGTGGACTGGGGAGGGAAAAGACATCACAGGCAAAAGGGAGAGAAGTCCCAAGCCAAGGCAAAGGACTCCTGAGCAAGAAGCAGCTCTTCAGTCTGGGGGCACAGGCTGGGTCTGCCCTCAATACCATTCAATACCACCAATGCCATGGATAAAGTCTGGATGGGACAAGGAAGAATGAGAGGGCGTCCTGAGAATTCCATGGGGGTGTGGAAATGGCTGTGCTGGAGGGAAGAACAGCAGCTCGAACCCTAGTCCTCTGGCCCAGGAAGGGTCCCCAGTGAGCCTCCGTGCCTCCTGGCTGTGGTGGTTGTTTGCAGGCAGCTTCCTGTCCCCACCTCCTGCCCCTGCTCAGCATCCAGCTCCTCTGCCGGTCCTGGTTTGGGGAGAACACAACCCAGTTCATTTCCTCCACATCAGAACAAAGGGGCAGAGGAGCTGAGCCAAGATGGGCGGCCCGCTGTAACACCCCGGGAAGAACAAGACTGCTGTCCCCGCCATCTCAATCTTGATATTCACCTCAATCATTCTCAGGACCCTCCGTGTGCCCGGCATGGGTCACATGCCACTCCCTCACCCAGCACCTCCTTCCCTTGTCCACTGGCAGCACCATCCAGGCACCCCGGGCTGTTGGAATCCTGGTGCCTGCATGCTAACACCCATCACACCTCGTCACACTAGTTATGTGTCTGTCCATTTCCACCAGACACAGTGCCTCATCCAGGGACCACGTTATCTTCATTCCCAAGTCCAGCGCTCTCGTGATTCACAGGAGGGCCTGGGTGAAGCCTGGATGAAGAAACTCCCAGATGGACTCTGGAGTGTGGTTTCTTCTCATGGTGTCTTATCGGCCAGAGAAGGTGTGTGCCTGATGACAGTGGGGTCCCACACCCTGTCTCCTTCCAACTCACTCCCCCCAACAAAAGACCACCTAGCTGCCAAAACAATACCCTTAAAATTGATGGTCTCACCATTTCACCTCCAAATAAGGACGTCAGCAGCATGTTTTAGTGCCTAACATCTGCTGTTATCTCTAATTCTCAAATACTCCTGCAGAGTAGTGACAATGGCTGCCGTTTTAAGGGGTAAGAAATGCCAAGCCCACCTTCCAGGTCCACCGTCCTGTGGGGAAGCCTAAGATTATGACTTTGGGCAAGTGGGGCTGCCTCTCTGGCCTCTGTTTCTCCATCTATAGAGTGGAATAACAACAGGACCTCCTTCCTGGAGTAGTTTGGGAGAATTGAATGAGTAATCCTTGAAGACACTGGCACGTGGCTATCTCCCGCCGGGCTCAATGCTGTCTGGAGGGCAGTCTGCCACACAGCAGGCACTTCCTGCCTCCACCGCCCCTTCCCATGGATGGCCAGGAGAGGACCACTCCTGAATGATAAGTGAACCAATAAATCAATCTTTTATCTAGGTGGGAATAAATTATAACAGGAAGCTTTTGAGGCTGGTATCTTCTGTGGCATTAGATGTATTTTAATATCATTAATTATGTATTAAGTGTTTGAAGGGAAAATACAGCAATATCCTATAGGATGTATTTGCACGGTAATAGAGGATTGATTCGATGCAATATCTATACTGAAGCTACTGGGATTCAGGTCCTGGGGCTTCGCAGTGGTGGTAAATCACAGCCACAAAAATCTCTGCAATAGTAAATAATAGTATCCGAATTGCTGGAGGGACTCTCAGCGCCTGCTGATGAGAACTGGGCTGCCACCCAGCCAGGAGGGTGTGAATAGGGCCAGCCCTGCATCCCCACTGCTAGGAGCCCAGTTTTCTGGGTGGGAAACCCCCTCCCCAACCCACCCTGAGCTGATCTAGGCCAGAAACGCCTGCCCACCCCAGTCCACAGATGCCCCAGAGAAAGGCTGGAAGCTGCTTCCTAAACCTGGAGTTTGCTAAAGGCTTTTCTGCGATTCCCTCAGGGACTCAGATGCTCGAGTAAAAAGAAAATGCATGTGTTGCTTCTCAGACTGCAGGTTGTGTGCCCCTTTCAATGAGGAGACAGGGAAGGTTGGAGGAGATCCCCACACGCACTCTTGGGGAGATGAAGGCCACCAAAATCCCTGTAGTCTAGAGCCCAGGAGCACCGCCTGGAGGCAGTAGAGATGGACTCCTACCTCAGCAGTGGTGACAATAGTGTTTCACTGTGTGCCAGGCCAGGTTTAAACCCACTGCGTGGATTAACTCATTTAACCCTCACAGCAGCCCCTGAGATAGGTTCTATCATAACCCTGACTGTACAGGTGAGAAAACTGAGGCAAGGGTGTCTCCCCTAGATATCAGCATGTCTCACACCCTCCCCTCCTCCAGGTATAACTTAAAGGCCACCTTTTTATTGCAGACCTTCCCTAACACTCTTTTTTAAACTGCAACCCCACCCCCACCCATCACTGCCTCTTCACCTGTCCTGCTTTCCGCCACATCGCTTGTCACCTTCAAATAAACCATCTACTAACTTACTTGCTTAGAGTCCGGCTTCCTCCACGAGAATGGAAGCTCCACAAGGAAAGGATTTGTGTCTGTTTGTCTTGCATTGCTCACTGCTGTACGCCCAACAGCAAGAACAGTCTGCCACAGAGCAGGTGCTCACTAAACATTGACTGAATGAGTAGAAGTTGAGTCACTTGCCCAAGGTCACCTGCTTTTAAATGGCAGAGCTGGGGTTCGAACCCAGGCACTCTGGTCTCTGACCCACTTCAGAATGATCTCACCTTACTCGGGAAGGACATTCTCCTCTCTGATTAAGACCTCTACAGCTGTCATGGGGGACTCAGCCTCCTCACTGCTGAGTGAAACTCCATAGGCAATGATGAGCTAGGAGCATTTTCTGTTCCCTGAACTGAGTTAGGAATGCCAGGTCTTCTGGTATCAACCCCCATCTGAATCTTTGTGGACAAAGACATGTAGGCCTGAGCAAGGACCCTCTCCAAATAACTCATGTCATTACTGAACACTGAGCAGTCTCTCACCTGCTCAAGAACCACTGATGACTCCCCCCTGCCTACAGGGGAAGGCCCAGACTCCAGCACCTGGCCCCAGTCGTGAATTGATTCATTGATTAATGATGGCTGAATCAGACCCTACATATGCGCTTTCCCAGATTTGCTTGGCCCCACCTGCCTCCCAGACCATCACCTACTTTCTGGGTGGAGAGCTAGGCCACCACTACCAGTGGTCTCATCTAACATCACTGGCTGCCCCAGCCTCCCCCAGGGTGAGGGCCAGGCTCTGGCACAGCCTGCACTGCACACTCCTCAGAAGCCAGAGCAGCTTCCGTACCAGGGTCCACCCACCGGTCATGTGGAGCACTGGATGCTGTCATGACTTCTGGGCCCAGGTGAGGCACCATGCCACAGGGCATGGGATTGGGCTTCTCCAGAGGCTTCCCAACAGGGTCAGGTGATATGACCCGGAGGTGCAAGGGAGTTAATGCTCCATGAGGAAAACCTGAACCAATGAAACACCAAAGAGCTAGCAGATAAACTCTATCACTTGTACCTGCAACAAACTGTTCTGAGTCACAGTGGCTCCACTCAGCCTAACAGGAGCCATCCCTCATGACTAAGCAACCAGCTTTCTTTTCTCCCGAAGTGGCGGCTGGCATTCGCTTTTCCTCCCTCCTTGCCTCACTTTCCTTTTTCCTCTCCCTCTCCCTGCCCTGAGCTCCACCCCAGCCCCCCAATAAAGCACCAGCACAAAGACTTCGCTCAAGCTCTGTTTTCTGGGGAACCCAAAATCTGCTCTGCTGTGGAAGGGCCTGGGTGTCCAGCAGGGCCTTGCTCAGAGGAAAGACACATGAGAGAAGATGAATGACTTGACTTTGAGAAGATGAGATCTTGCCAACCCTGGAACCAGGGGAGAGTGGGGGCTGAATTTTCGGAGACACAGACAAGGGTGCTCCTGCTTCCCCAGCTGCCTTTGCAACACTTCCCCTTGTGGGAAGGCAAAAGCAGCCAAGGTCCCCTAGAGCTGGACTTACAGAAAGGCCACGAAGGGACGCAGGCCTGTTGCCTGTCACGCGTCTGAGGTGCTTCCGGTGAACAATTTATACGAAGCGATAAAGACCACACCCTGGAACCTCTGTTTTCTAATACGCCCATGGGGACTGGCAAGTCAGACATTCACTGAGTCTTTGTCTTTGCTACATTCCAGACACTAAGCTAAGCCTTTTACCTGCCTTGTTCATTTGAGTTTCACAACCCTATGTATTATTAATCTTAAGTACTGTTATCACTCTCCTCTTACAGATGAGAAGCAGGGTGCTCAGACAGGTTAGGTAGCTGGTCAGAAACCATGCAGCTAGTGCATGGCAGAGCCAGGACTCAAATCCACATTGAAAGAGGAGATGTCTTGCATGGGGTGACCCATAAGGAAGATACTTTTTGGGTACAGCTGTCCTGGGGAAGCTTTTTGGGTACAGCCCTCCTGGGGAAGCTTTTTGGATTTGTGTCTTCCGTGGCATCAGAAATATTATTAAGTATGTATTAGATGTTTGAAAGGAAAAGACATCTTTGACTCCTTTGTTTCCTATAAGGCCAGCCCAGCCCCGTGGCCCCTCCCCAGCCAAAGATGGGTATACAGACGTTGAAACATCCATGGTGGTCCTTCCCTAACAGGAGTAAGTCATGGGGACTGGGCAAGCAGGCAATAGGCACAAGTTGGACTGTGTTATTCCCTGCCCTCTTGGGATCTGGGCCGAATCAACTACCTCTGGGTAAGAAAATCTCCCCCGCAGCTGCTCCTCCTCCCAGGGCCCAGGGTCTCTACCCACTGAACCAGGCCCGCTGAGTGGAAGACTGTCACAGTGTCCCCCAAGCTGGAGGCCCAGGGAGGGGCAGTGGACCAGGAGGAGGGGCTGACGGAACAGCAGAGGCTTCTGGGGCTTCTATCCTGCCCTACCCTCCCGGTTCTGGGAGAGTGGTCTGGACCAGAAAGAATAAAACAGAGAAAAATTCTTAATATAATGACCTTCAAGAAGAGCAACTACATTTTACCTTGAAAACTGCAGAACTGAAAGCACAGTCTGTATAGACAATGCAAATGATATGCAAACACGAATGCAAATGGACCAGGGGCCCTGCCACCTCGGAAGCATTCTTAGGCCCCATGTGCCTCCAGTGGGAGGCAGAGGAAAACAGACAGAGGGCAATTAGGAAGGTCTCCAGGAACTGCAGGAGGCTTTTTTGCGGGGAGGAGGACACCATAGGGACCTTAGAGGGGACCCAGGTCCAGGGCTCCTGTGCACTGTGAAGCTTCCTGAATCCCTGGAGATCTCTGGGCATACCAGCCCTGCAATACACACACACATAGAGCAGTCATGCCATCATGGAAACACTGACACACAGAGACACAGCTGCTCACAGGCACAAAGCACGCTACTCAACCCAACACGCAAAGACACAAGCACAAAGACATATACAGACGTCCTCACATCCCTATCTACACCACCACACTCAGAAATACACACGTGGATAACAGCAGCACATACACAGACAACAAAGAGAAACACACCAATCTAGACACAAGTGGAAACACAAACACAAATACAAACATAGCCATACTGACAACTGCAGCCAGTCAAATAAATCTATCTGGAAAAGAAAGAAATTTAGATGTCCTGAATGCCTTTGTGTGAGGCATGGTGCAGAACATTAAATCTTCATTTAGTCTTCACAAAGCAGCACTAACAAGTAGGGGCAAGCCGGACATAGTGACTCACATCTATAATCTCAACACTTTGGGAGGCCAAAGCAGGAGGATCACTTGAGCCCAGGAGTTTGAGACCAGCCTGGGCAACACAGGGAGACCCCATCTCTACAAAAAAAAATAAAAAATTATCCTGGCATGCCAGTGCACACCTATGTTCCCAGCTACTTGGGAGGTTGAGGCCAAAGGATTGCTTGAGCCTGGGATGTCGAGGTTGCAGTGAGCCATAATTGTGCCACTGCACTCCAGCCTAAGCAGCAGAGTGAGACTCTGTCTAAAAAAAAAAAGAAAGAAAGAAAGAAAGAAAAAGAAGAAGAAAGAAGGACAGATGGAAAGAAAGAGAGAGGGAGGGAGGGAGATAGGGAGGGAGGGAGGGAAGGGAGGGAGGGAGGGAGAAGTGGTTGGTTATCTCAGTATTACCCCAATATTTACTGACAAGGAAAAGGAGGTCCAAAGATGAGCTGATATGCTCATGCCTATCCAATAAGCAGTAGGAAAGGGCAAGCAAGAGACCCAACTCTTGATGATACCACAATGCTGCACCATTCCCCTCTGCCCTCCTCCCCATACAAGTGGGACACAGAAGTTACTGTCAACTCCTTCCTCTTCCACCTCGAGGTCCTCTCCCACCTGGCTTCCTTGGAGATACTTCAGCCCTTCTCTCTCCTGCCCTATCACGCCTTCAGCCAGAGGGTACTCTGCAAGACAACCTCACATTAATTCTGGCCTATGCATAATCTAATTTGGAAATCTACTGAGAGAGGAAGGAAATCATTTATTTCAATGGAAATGGGACACAAGGCTGAATTTTCTGTTGCCACTTGTCTCTGGGTAAATGATCATAAGAGAAGAATGACTCTTTCCCCCAAAGTATACAAACTTTAAGCACTACCCTGCCTACCCTCTTCTACATACACACACACACTCAAAAAGAAATGTGCTTCTCAGAGCAAAGAATGAACAAGTGTTCTCACTTCCTGCCATTAACTCACCGTGGCACTCTGGGCAAGGCACCTAACCTCCGGATCTCGGTTTCCCCATTTGCCCCTGAGAGGCCGGAGAAGCTGATTCCTGAGGCTGCTGCCCTGCCCCACCCTGCATGTTCCCTGACAGTACAAGGGTCCCAGGTTGACGGTTGCCCATGGTGTTTCCCAGAAATGTCCCCTGGCGTTGAGGACTCCCTGCTAATGCTGGGATCAGAGAGGGGCTAAGGCCTGGGCCCTGACCGGGGAGGCAGGACAAGGTCAGCCCAGCCCCAGGGTGAGGACTCACCCGTCATCCCTGGACCTCCAACCTGCCAACCTGAGACACTCTCCATCCATTTGGTAACTTGAACTTCCAGGGGTGCAGAAGGGCGGCCAGCTGGGAGCGGGGCAATCTTAAAATATAACAAGGCCACGATCACTGGAAGTGAGCTGGAAGAGTTGTGAGATGCCAAATTGTTGGTTTTGAGTGTATTTTAGGGCCTCAGACTCCCTTTCCAAATTAATATTCATGGAGACTGGCATGCCATTTATTTGCATATGTAGATTGTTGCTCATCCTCTGCAGGAGGAGAAAGAGTTTTGGGGTGTTTTTATTTATTGTATTTATTTTAAGCTTGGATGATAAACCAGGCAAGTCAGGCAGGGGAAGGACAGGTTCCAAGGACAGGAGTGGGTTTTAAATAATTTTTGGTCTGAGAAAAGATAGGCCCTAGATACACAGGGGTAAGTCACCTCTACCGACCTGCAGAATCAATTCCAGAACAGTCCTTCCAACATCATACTATGAAGCTCCTACCTCAGGAAGCATGGCCACCTCACGTGGTCCACATGGCCTCTGGAAAACCAAGCCTGTTGTTGTCACTCAGGGTTACTAACCATTGGGAGGTAGGCATCAAGTCGGGGTGTGACTTGGGCCAAGCCACTTGAACTCTTTAACATCCTGTTCTGAGGACAATAACCTGCTCTACAAAGTTGTTGTAAGACACAGTCTAGAAAATACATGCGCCTGAGAAGTGCCTGCTCAACCGCGAGGCCCTAACAATGGTGGTCCTTGCTATGGTCTCACACCTCATCTCTCCCGCAGTAAACATCGCCCACTCCTCCCAGACACCCCCAAAGAAGGCTCTATGTCCTGCCCACTGTCATCCAAGGCCTTCTGAAGACCTGAGGCCCATTAGTAAGTCCTCTCCTGCTCGTTACTGGCTCTACCCCTCTTTTCTGCACCAAGTAACACATCTTATCTGTTCCACCAGAAAGCTCAGAGTCCGCTGCTAGAATCTAGAGGTTCCTGAATTATTCCAAAGTCCTGGGGATGCAGCAAAGCAGTGGGGCACAGTGGGACACAAGGAAAAAGAGACTGGGAGAACAGGCACCCAAAGGTCGGGAGAACTTCAGGAAGATGTATGCAATAGAAAACATAGAGGAAAGAAGATGACCCTGTTCCTCACTCCTCTCCTGCTGGCTGAGTGAGCACAGGAAGCCACCCGACTCTCCCAGAGCCACGCTTTCCTCATCTGCAGGATAACACCAAGAATCCCGACTTCACAGGGTGGTTACCAGGCTCAGTTAAAATCTTTCCTAAAAATCACCTGAAGTAGTACCCAGCACAGAGCAGGAATTCATTAAATTTAGTCCCTTTCCCCAGTTGAGGTGAAGAAAAAAGGGTGAAGATTAACTGATTTCTCAGGTAAATAATCTATTCCTATGATTTATTAATTCAACAAATACTGAAGTGCTGTGTGCTTGCTGGCCACGACCCTGGGTATAAAGACAGATACACCCACCCCCACTGCCTTGGGTCCCAGGGGTCTTATATCCAACTGGGAAGACAATAAACACACCAATAAAATGTTATCAATGACAACAGCAGCATATTAAGTGCCAAATTTGTGGTGCGGGCAATAATTGCTACAGAAGTTCATGGGAAGGAAAGATCAATGCTTGGATATCACTGTGGGCTCCAGTAGTGAGGGGAGGTCACCTGAGGATGCAGGACTAACACTGGTCTTAAAGGAAAGGGTGATTTGGATTAAACACAGGGAAAGACAGAACTTGAAGCTGAGTCAGCCATAATGGTGAGTCCTAGCAGTGAACAGGTAGGGACTGGGGAGGCAGGATGCAGGCAGATTGTTGAGACTTTCAACTGTCTATTTGAGGAACTTGGGCTTCATCTGGTAGGTGCTATGGAAAAAAAATGTAAGATAATGAGTTGGTTAAAACAATGTTTTAGGCCAGGCACAGTGGCGCACTCCTGTAATCCCAGCACTTTGGGAGGGCAAGGTGGGAGGACTGCTTGAAGCCAGGAGTTTGAGACCTGCCTGGGTAATATAGCAAGACCCATCTCTGTAAAAAAAGAAAAAAAAAAATTAGCCAGGCATGGTGGCATACACCTGTGGTCCCAGCTACCCTGGAGGCTGAGGCGGGAAGATAGCTTGAGCCCAGGTGTTCAAGATGGAAGTGAGCTATGATTGCACTACTGCACACCAGCCTGGGCAACAGTGTGACCCTGTCTCCAAAAACAAACCAAAACCAATGCTTCAGTGTGATATGAAGGGGAAAGAGATGAGAGGCTGGAAAATGGCTCCCAGAGCAACATATTGGATTTGCAGCCATGGATTCCGGACTCATTGCAGAGACTCTACCCCTCAGTAGAATTTATAAAAACTATCCCATTTACAGAGCCCCCATAGACTACTCCCAAAGACACATGTCCCCCCATACACCTATGCACTATGCTCTGAGGATGGCAGAGTAGGATGCAGTGCCATCACCCGGCATGAGTTAGAGAGGACCTGAGCAAAGAAGATTTCTCATGTCAGAAGGGAGAGAACATATACAAGAAACATCCTAAAAACAAAAGGCAGCCAGGCATGGTGGCTCACTCCTGTAATCCCAGCACTTTGGGAGGCCGAGTGGGGTGGATCACCTGAAGTCAGGAGTTCGAGACCAGGCCAACACAGTGAGACCCTTTCTCTACTAAAAATACAAAAATGAGCCAGGCATGGTGGTGCAAGCCTGTAATCCCAGCTACTCAGAAGGCTGAGGCACAAGAATTGCTTGAACCCGAGAGGGAGAGTTTGCAATGAGCAGAGATCACGCCATTGCTCTCCAGCCTGAGTGACAAGAGCAAGCCTCCATCTCAAAAATAATTAATTAATTTTTTTTTTAAAAAAAGCAAGTCGATGCTTGAGTATTGCAAGCAGAGTGTATGGAATGGGGGCAGGGGTACCTGCTCAGGTTTTGAGCCCAAACATCTGGGAAGGTGGTTTCGCCAGCAACAAAAGTGAAGAAACCAGAAGGGGAGATGACTTGAGAGGTGAGGAAACATTAGATTTCAGTTTAGGCATATAGGTTTCATGATGGCGGCCAGGCATCCAAATACTGCTTTTAATAATAATAATATCTGCCCAGTGCAGTGGCTCACGCCTGTAATCTCAGCACTGTGGGAGGCTGAGGTGGGTGCATTGCTTGAGCCCAGGAGTTCAGGACACTAGCCTGGGCAATATGGCAAAACCCCATCTCCACCAAAAAAAAAAATAAAAATAATTAGCTGGGCATGGTGGCAACACCTGTAGTCCCAGCTACTTGGGAGGCTTAGGTGGGAGAATCGTTTGACCCAAGCAGGTCAAGGCTGCAGTGAGCTAAGATTGCACCACTGCACTCCAGCCTGGGCAACAGGAGTACGATTCTATCTCAAAACTAATAATAATAATAATATCTAATCAGGAGATGAAACGTGGCTTGAGACATGGAGATTGATGCGTGATCCAGGACTGGAAACCAGGAATCCAGGGCTGGCGAGGGAGTCACTGCGGCCTCCCTCCCAGAATCATGCTAGTCAGTACTGATCGTATTTGGATTGACTATCAAAGCCACTGTGATTGTAGAGATAAGATTTTTATCTTGGCCAAATGGTCCCATTTTACCACTGAGAAAAAAGCAAGAGGAAGCAAGTTGGGCAGAAAGATTTTATAACCTATCCATACTTAAGTGCTGGAGTTTCAGTATGAGCCATGAACCACCTCCTCCAGGAAGCCTTCCCTAGCTACTATGGCTCCCATTGATGTTATGCTCCTCCTATAATGGTGGGTCTGCAAGTCATGATTATTTATTCTCTAGTTCTGTTCTCCATTTGATATTCTTGATGGTCTAGTCCTCACATGTCCCCTGCATTAGATGATTATAAATTCTTTGATTCAGAGATCAATTTACAAATAATCTTCTACTCTCTTGTACTAATCAAGTATAATTATGGTGCTAATTCAGATTTATCTTCCCAATAGATCCCCATCCTAGGTTCAGTAAACTGAGGCACAGGAGGTGAAAAACAGGGCTTAAAACGAGTAGAAAGATAATTCAAACCCATGTCTTGAGCTCTATGGCAACCACTGTTAGTTACTCCTTTCACCCTTCCAAAAGAATCCTAATTTTGATCCTCTCTGAGGCCCAATACACAAATCAAGGTTGTTCTAGGCCAAGCCAGGTGCTGTGGTGCACATCTGTGGTCCCATCTACTCAGGAGGCTGAAACAGGAGGATCACTTGAGCCCAAGAGTTTGAGGCTGCAGTGAGCTATGATAGCAGCACTGCACTCCAGCCTGGGCAACAGAAGGAGAGCCCTTTAAAAAAAAGATGGTTCAGCCGGGCGCAGTGGCTCACACCTGTAATCCCAGCATTTTGGGAGGCCGAGGCTGGCAGATCACCTGAGGTTGGGAGTTTGAGACCAGCTTGACCAACATGGAGAAACCCCATCTCTACTAAAAATACAAAATTAGCCAGGCATGGTGGCGCGTGCCTGTAATCCAGCCACTCGGGAGGCTGGGGCGAGATGGCACCAGCCTGGGCAACAAAAGTGAAACTCCGTCTCCAAAAAAAAAAAAAAAATTGTTCTAGGTCAATTACAATGACTTCCTTCTCTTGCCTGTGGTGGTTGACTTAGGCGTGACACATGATTCACAATTCTAGCCAATAAGACAAAAGGGAAAGTCTGCTGAGGGGCTTCTGGGTAAGACTCCCTCCTGCCTTTTCTGCCTCTGCTCATGATTGTGAGGATATAACACCTGGAAATGTTGCCACCATCTTGTGATCTTGGGAACAGGAAAGATGAAAAGCATCCGGATCTTTCATGATGCTGTTGAACAAACTGAAAGAACCAACTATAGGGCAGACATAACCCAGACCTCTTGTTATGGGAGATACTAAATTCCTTATTGTTTCAGCCAGTTGAATTCAGCTTCTCTGTCACTTGCAGCCTTCATTCCCACTCCAATCAAGGGCTTTTGTCACAATGGATACCTGAGCTAACCATTATAAAAGATATATAACTAGTAAAGTCCTGGCCCCTGCCCTCATTGTGCCTATCCCAAGGTTTGGCATTCAATAAGTATTCAATCTATATTTGATTAATTGATCTTCCCCTTGCTCACCAGGTACAGGGGATATATTCCCTGAAGGCATCTTTCTTCCCTTTACTAAGCCTCACTGATTATCTTTAAGTTTCAGCCTCACATTTTGACTGTGGTCTCAACATTACTGACCAGGTCCTTCTCCATAGTCTCCTCCCACCTCTGAGGATCAAACTAAAAGCAAGGTACTCACACTTGGCCCAGAGAGACCATCAGCGAAACTCCTCATTCCTAAATATTTGTTCTTTGAAATGTCTTTTTCAATTAGATCTCACCCAAATGTTTGAGAGTCAGGCTGAATTCCAACTTCCTGCTCCAGAACAGACATGTTAAGCCTGCATAATTACTGCAGCCAGCTTTATTTGCTATAAAAACATGGATTTTTGCTCCCTCTCAACTATAAAATAATCGATAAATAGAATCCAGATGAAAAATGCTGGCGTTTAGGAGAACAACTCTTTTATGGTTCTTTTCTTTTGGGTCTAATTAACACATTGGGGATAAAGTGTGCTGTTACATTTACCAGGCCAGCCAAGTTGAAACACAAACTCTCCTCTTCCTGCTGAGATACAGCTTCATATCAGAAATACAGGAAGACAGACAGACAGAGTTTCAAAACATTTTGAGATGCTCAACAAACAGACCTGTGAACCTGTGGTGTGGACTTCCTTCAGCACCTCTCTGTTCACACTGGCTGTTCAGTTGTTTCCCCCACCCCTCCCAATTCCTTAAGAACACACTGCATAGTTACTGTCAAATGAAACACAGTCCCATTAGCAGGAGAAGCAATCTCTCTTTCAGTCTTTTAATGAAGAAGGCATGTTTTTTTGGACAATGACCACCCAGGCCATGGAAGTTTCATGAGGGGCTCTCGGAGTGGATGACACCTTTTCAATTATAACACTGCTATAATAAACCCCCACAGAGCCACCGGGCATGGAGTCTACATCCAATACACGACACCTATTTATTCCCTAATTATATTGCAATATATTCTCTCTGTGTATGTGCTGATGAAGATAAAATATTCTTTTAATTCTATGGCCTCTTGGATGGGGAGGGGGAGGGGATGTACATAGCAAGTCTTATGAGTTCCTAGAGCTAAATCACAGCCTTCGTTCCAGGCTTCCCCATCTTATAATCTCAAAAAATCATTCACTTTCCCTTGTTCTACCACATTGATTCTCAAAGTGTCCAAGTGTGGTCTCCAGAACTAGAGAATCAGCATCACCAAGGAACTTGTTTAGAAATGCAAATTGCTGGACCTACTCCAGACCCATTGAATCAGAAACTTGGGAGTGTGGCCCAGTAACCTGTGTTTTCACAAGCCCTCCACACTGAAATCTGAGAATCACTAGTCTGCAAGGAAGAAATGCTTTACTAGGAAGAAAAGAGCAGCATTTTAAATTGAATCCTGTATCAGGGAACACCTGGATTCTATACGGGCTGGGCCCCTCTTACTGCACAGCTGTCCCAATCTACAGATTCAGGGCTCCATTTACTCATCTGTACAATGGGGCTCCAGAGCACACCAAACAGCTGTGGATGCTGGAATTTAAGAGGGACATGGTTACCTGGCACCAGTCTCTATGGATACCTAGCAAGATCATAGTTGCCAGCACTCACCAGCTCCCTTCCTGGCAGAAGATCTGCACAGCAGTTCTCCAATGCTGCCTCTAAGGTCACCACTGCAGCTGCCTTTGGGTTACCCCTGGCAACCAGGAGCTGGGGTCATGCAAGCCCACAGAATCTCCAAATCTCACAGCCAACAGCGTCAAATCTTTCACCTTGGAGCCTTGAACCACTAGAGGGGAGGTTCAGAATTCCCTATTATATTGTCCCATTTCAGGACTTCTTCAGACATTGTTGTGTATTTGCCTCTGTTCTACGACTAAACTTTAAGCCTATGGAGGAGAGAGCCTAGAATGTCAGCATCACAAGGTATGGGACTCCTCCTGTCTGATTCATTGCTGTATCCCAAGGGCCTAGTCCAGTGCCTGGCACAAAGAAGGAGCTCAGTAACTATTTGCTGACTACGTGTTCCTGCCTTTCATAAGTTCGGAACACTGAAGCAGCTAGAAGTTATGGTTGGGAAGAGGCAAAAGGGCTGGGTGCGGTGGCTCAGCCTGTAATCCCAGCACTTTGGGAGGCCAAGGCAGGCAGATCACTTGAGGTCAGGAGTCTGAGACCAGCCTGGCCAACATGGCAAATCCCCATCTCTACTAAAAATACAAAAATTAGCCTGGCATGGTGGCCCACACCTGTAGTCCCAGCTACTTGGGAGGCTGAGGCAGGAGAATCACTTGAACCCAGAAGGCGGAGGTTGCCGTGAGCCAAGATCATGCCACTGTACTCCAGCCTGAGAAAGTGAGACTCCGTCTCAAAAAAAAAAGAATGAAAAAAAAAGAGAGAAGGGGCAAAATAATGAGAATGATTGAAACCCCTGGGAATGATGAGAAAGGAGAAAAGAAGCAAACGCCAGAATACTGCCCATCTGACCCCACCACACTTGGCTCATGGGGAACTGACTTGCCGGCCGATTGCTCACCCTAAGTCTAGGCCTAGAAGACCCCTGGGGCCAGGTTCTGAGCTTGAGCTCTGAGCAACTGGCTCTTCTAGCTTCCCTAGTGATTCTCACACAAAGGCCCAGTGCTCATTGGCCCTGACAGTGCTGTGCTTTGACCAGCCGCTTAACCAGCTTTCCTGCCTCCTTCTTAGGACTCAAGCCCTGTATCCTGACAACCCTCCTTCCCCAAATGGAAACCTACCCGAGGATCAGCTCCTAATCTTGCCTTCTCCACGGACTATCCCTAATCCAGCCCCTCCCGAAGTGATTTCACCTGAGAATGCCTACATGCACTCACTTCCTTGACTACAAAACAATGGCTCCTCTTTCCCTATGGGTTGCACCTGATGGGGCTGAGCCCTGTGTGCGGGCTCCATTTACCCCCAGAGCTCGGTGCAGGGACAGAACAGGTATGCAACAAACTGTCACATGAGTGATTTATCCTGGGAGATGCTCCCAGCACAGCACCTAACCCGAAAATCCAGAGACAGGTCCTCTGCCTCTAACCTCACACACACCCAGCCCTCGAGCCTGTCAAGGATGTGCAGTGGCCTAACTGGGAACACTTGCCCTGTGCGAAGAAAGCAGTAAAGTTAGAGTGGAATACTAGAAAAGGCCCTGACCCAGAAGTCAGGAGACTTGGTTTATCTACTCTTCCTCCCGTATAGCAGCTCTAAGCAAGTCCTTTCACTTCTCTGGACCTCAGTTTGCTGATCTGTGAGTGGGAGGAAGTGGCGAGATTGCAGTCCTAGACCTCGAATTTCTAGCGGCTTAAACAAAATGTGAGCAACGGAGAGAGCTGGTGCATGGTGTGCACCAGGAAAATCCGCCGGAGGAGCAGAGGATGCTCAACGTCTGCTCAACGCCCTCGGGGCACCCCGCCCAGTCTGCAGGGAGTGACGGCAGAGGGACCCTCTCCGGAAAGCCTCGAGCTTTTGGTACCTCTAAACCCCCTAAACCTCTCAAGATAATCTCCCGACAGCACTCCAACAAAGAGAGCTGCTGGGCCGGGGCTCCGCTGGCTCCGAGAAGCCGCAGAGGTCGGCGAATCCGGCCCCTCCGACTCCGGGAACGAGTGGGACTGAGCCCCCGGCAGGCTCCGATTGCCCCAGCCGGCCGCCGCGAGCCGCACCCCCCGCCCCCCACCCCCCACCCCCCACCGGCCGGGGTTTTAACCCTTGTTTCCCTGGCAGAGCGCCGGAGGGGCGCTGGTGCCGGGGCGCGAGGACCCCTGCCCAAGGGAGCCGAGATGGCCAGGAGCCCAAACCATCCCAAAGGCCTCCTCCAACCCGCCGCAGGCCCTGTTCTCTCGGCTCTTGGAGGGATGGAGAGTGGGCGATCCTGAAGCGGAGCCACTTTGAAATATTTTTCCGGAGAACATGACCACTCGGGAGACAGTCACACTGGCCTCGCAGCGCGGGCTGCGGGGCACCGATCCCGAGACGCGGCTGCCGCTGGATGGAGCCCGCGAGTCCAGGTCCGGGAGAAGCCGCCCGGGCTCGGGGGCTCTGGGCACCGCCACGCCGAGGCTCGGCGCTCCCGGGCTCAGGACAGGTGACGGCTGCATCCCACTCAGGGACCTTGACGCCCTCGAGGAACGATTCTGCCTATTTTTAAGTAGTATTTTTTCTAACAAATTAGGAAAATAAACCAAGTCCAGGAGGAAGGCGGCTGCGCTCGGCAGCTCCAAGGAGCCACAACCACCACCCATTTCCCCACCTCCAACACTACCGCCCACGGCTGGGCGAGAAGTTGGGAACTTCGGGACCACGCTCCAGGCGCGCGCAGAGAGTCACTTGCTTCTCCTTTAACTTTGGGAGCCAGGGTCGCAGTCTAGGGCAGGAGGATCGTCCTGGGAGCCAACCAACAAGGCCGTCCAGGTCCTGGACTTCCCGGAATAGAGTAACGGCTATGGGATGGGAAAGAAATAGGGGGATACACGTTCCGCCTCCCTTCTCCCAAAAGCAAAAGCGTGCATGGCACTTGCTGGGGCTTAGCGGCCGCGGGGCGCATCGCCGGCCGCCGCCGAAAACCTGCTGCGTCCCCGCAGGCTCTGCCTCCCGACCCCGGCGGGGAAGGCGCCGGTGCAGTGAGTGCAGCCGGCGCACCCGGGGCGGCTTGAGAGCGGAGTCCCCAGACTCAAGGGGGCGGACGGGCGCCCTCCCCGGGACACCCGCGCCGCGCCACTGCTCTCGGGTCTTCCCCCGCACGTGGAGGCGCCGCGGACGCTGCATCCCGACTGCGGCCGGAGGGCTGCGGCTGCCCACATTGAGGCGCCCTACATCCTGCCGGACCCCCTGGCGCTCCTGCAAGCCCCGGCATCCACCTACTCCCGGAGCCAAACTCGGCTTCGGCAGCCGGGACCCGGGCAGGGCGGCCGGGGTCCGCGGAGCTGGTGGAAAGTTAGTCGCGGGGCCTCAAAGTCCCCTCCCCAGGGCCGGAACCCCCACCCCCGCGTCCCCTGGTGCCCCCGGCGTCCGAGACTCCGCGTCCTCGCGGTCCCCACTCAGCCACCTACCTGCTCCCGCGGCCGGCCCAGGGATCGGCCGGCCAGTCGCGCGGTCCTGTCCTCCGGAGCCCGAGCCTGGCCAGAGCGCCAGGCAGGAGCAGGGGGCCGCGAGCAGCCGGGAGCCGGGCGGCGGGCAGCGGGCACCGGGAGCGACTGAGCGAGCGAGCGAGCGGGCGGCTGGAGCCGCGGCGGCTGCTGCCGAGCCAGCCCCCACCCGCTTCGTCCCTCGGCCCCTCCCTCTCCTTCCCTCCCAGCCTTCCTCCTCCCGGCTCGCAGCTCCCTCCCTCCGCTCTCCCGCACACCCCCCTCATTTTTTTCCTCTTTCTCTCTGTTTGGTCCTTTCAGATCCTGCTGTTACGCGCGCGCTCGTTCGTTCTTTTTCCTGTCTTCAGTCTCTCTCTTCAGCTTGCCTTTGGATTCTCCTTTTTCTCCCATTCATCCTTTTCCAGCATCTCACCTCCCTCCTCCCCACTTTCGTTCTTTTGGTCATTTTTCTTGCTCCCTCTTTTCTCTATTTTCTATTTTCTCCTCCTGCTAACCTTCTCGCGCGTCTACTCCCCTTTCTCTTCCCTACTCCCCCTTTCCCTCCTGGGGGAGTGGAGCGGCCTGCGCGCCTCCTCCTCTATGCTCTCGATGGGAGATCCCGGGGATGGGAGTGGGGGTCTGGGGGTTAAATGGAGCCAGGGGCACCCCCAGGCCGTGCTCCTAACAGGCCGAAGGTCGAGAGGGAGGGGTAGGGCCGGAGACAGGGACTCAAGACAGGGGCTCGAGAAACGTCCCGGCAAGGAAAAGGGCAAGAAAAGCAAAGAACTCAAAATGTTAAGACCCAAGTCGGGCTGAGCCGTGCCTGGTGAGATGAGGAAACTGAGACCCAAAGAGAAGAGGGCAATGAACTTGTCTTGCCGAGGTCTACTCCAGGCAAGGTCGAGACCCCCACCGCTCCTCGCAGCCTAGGACTGGGCTCCTGCGCTGATGCGGGAAGTGCGAGGGCGCCTGAGGCCCGTCAGCTCGTTCCCGTCCCTTTGCCTGCCTCTGCGCCCAAGTCCCGGGGGCCATGGGGAGGAAGCCTTCCTCCTCTGCTACAGCACCTGGGGCCGCCTGGCTGCCCCACGACACTCCTAGTGAGGCCAAGCCAGACAGGGGTAAAGACCTGGCTCTTAAGAGTGGTGCAGGGAACCCCCTTTCCTCCACCTCCTACCCCTTCCCAGGAAATGTGGGCTGACTCCTGCTTACACGGGATAGGAGTGGCGGCAGGGTACTTTGCTCGTGGGGTTTGCCCTCTTTTGTCCTTGAACTAAAACTGGAGCGGAAAGGCCCAGGGTTGGAAAGGTGGTTATACACACCTGGGGAGATGAATTTTTGCGAATAAAGTAGGCCTAATGCCTGAGACTGGGAGCTGTGTGTCCGTCCGTGTGTCTGAGCACCTAGCCCACCCGGGCCATTCTGGGTCTGATGGAGCAAGTCCCTCCCCTAGAAGCTTTTCCTGGCACTTCCTCGTTTCAGCCCAGTGGAGTCGGGCGGGAGGAGAGACGTGGGGTCTCCGTTCCCATGGAGTCCACGCTGCGGCCCGACACCACCAGGATTCTCATAGTTCCACCCCTAATTTCTGGGGCCAGAAATTTCTGTGGTACACAACCAGAAGCAGAAACAGAAGTACAACCAGAAGCAGAACCTCTGCTCAGCCCCTGGGTAAAAATCTACTTTGGGGTGCTAGCAAAACTCTGCACAAATATTCTATTCATTCCTCGCTTTGGGATATCAAATTAAGTCAATAAAGCCCGGCCTGGGCCTCTGTGGTTCACACCACAAAGCCAGAAGAAGCATCTGCTCAAGGCTGAGACTTGGGTGGGGCACGTGGAGTGCTCACCCTCAGAGTCTGCAACTGAGGGTGAGCGCCTCCTTAAATTCTCCCCTCAGAGCCTCCCTGCCTCACCCTAGTCCCGACTGCAGGCAAATCTGAGGGCTGCTGTTCACCAGCTGTCTGGCCTTGGTCCATGGCCGCCCCCATGCTGGCATTATTTCCCCACCTGACCATGAAGAGGCTGAATTCGATGTTCTCTAAGATTTTCTCCAGCTCTGAGGTGCCACAGTTTGTGGGTATCATAGATGCCAAATTTGTATGCCTGCTCCACCACTTACTAACTGTGACACTGGGCAGTCACTTAACCTGTTTCCCTATCAGTAAAATGGGAACGATGATAGTACTGTGAGCTGTGTGAGGATTAAACCACATAATGCACCGAAGCACAATTCCTGACACAGAGTAGCACTTGACTACTGTGAGCAATTAATACTGCACAAGGTAGGGTTTGGCATATCTTTCCTTCATCTTCACATTCCCATTTTCATTATGAGTTGTAATCCCCACCATGTCCCACAACCCTCCCTCTATGTGGTAGCCATCCACTTATAAGTCTCAGACTTCAGTTCTGATAGGTTTGGGAAGGTAGACAGGTCTTCCCATCTCATCCCATCTCGATGACCAATAAATAGGAAGAAACTCCCGCTCCCTCCTCTTATACACTCACACCTGCCAGGCTTGAATTGTGTGTCTGAGGATTGCTGGCCCCCTCCACGCTGGGCTGGGGATTGCCTGGTTTTCTGCTACACTCTAAAAAGCCATACCAATCTATAGAGCTGCACCTTCCATACCCAGATGGCAAGGCTCCAAGGACACATGTCCCAACAGAGCCAGAAACACTTTTAGCAAGCATCTCTGAGGTTGGCTGGGGGTCACATTAGAGCCCATGGTCCATCATTCATTTGTCAGTCTCTGAGTGCCTACTTACAGGAGGCGCCACTCTGCACAGCCCACTGCCATATCCACCTTCAACTAGCTGCAACAAGGTCATTTTGGAAGCTATGCCATCTAAAGCCAGGCTACTCACTGAAGGGCATATTTGAGATAAAAATCCACTATTCTGTGCTATAAACCCTGCTATCAAAAAGTTTGCATACCTGGTTGATGCTGCCAGAAAAAAAAAAAAAAGCAAGCTTATACTCTGGAGTCGGAAGACAGTGGAAAAAAAAAAAAAAAGAAAAAGAAAAGGAGCAGAAGCAGAGTAGGGAACCTGGAAGAGGAAGCCTGACTTCAAATCCTTGGCTCTGTCACATGTTAGCTATATGACCACAAGCAAGTGCAATTGCACCCTCTGCACACTTTGGCCTGGACAGGGGTGAAAAGTAAGGAAGCCAAAACTCCGGCACCTAAGGTGAGAGGATCTCCTCCTCTTAGAAATAAATTATCTGAAGGCTAGGACACTGGAGAGAGGATCCAAGGCTCAGACCACAGTGGTCTTTCCTTCAGTCAAGTGTGCAGGCAGGGAATTCTCTTTGTTTTCCTTCTCTCTCCCTCCATTCCTTGAGGGGAGATCGCCTTTCCCTCTCTATCTTCCTGCAGAACTCTGACTCAAAGCCCCAAGCAGGAATACCCACAAAGCAAACCCAGGGATGACTGGAATTTGTTGAATGAATGAACGATTTCAGAACTTGTGGGGTCTTTTAAAACTGCAAGTGGAACACAATATGTCAGAGTGCTTGGGAGGGCGGAATGTCTCCCTCCCCACCAGACTCTAACATAATTGGGGTCAATACCATGTCTTATTTACCTTCATATCTGATACAAAGCCCAGCATAGGGCCTTGCCTTGGAAAAAGAATAAGTAAAATATCTACAATTTATTAATAAGATACACACATGTTATCATTTAAACTTCGTGACAATTCTGTATAGTAGGCATTATTATTTCCCTTCTACAGAGGAAAGACTGAGGGCCAAAAAAAAGTAATTTGCCCTAGGCCACATAGCCAGTAAATGACAGAACCTGAATTTGAACTCAAGCTTGTTCTAAGCTCTTTTCTCGATGCTGTAGTGTCTTGCACTATGGGACTGGGACTTGGGTAAGGCAACCTAGGGAGGCATTCACTCTCAGGAGCTGAATGCACATACACAAACCTGAAAGTAACCTTCGAAAAATGCCCCCAAAGAATTATAGAGAATTTTGGGATCCATGTGGTCCTAGCCATCAGTGAGGTGCAGAGAAGAAACCATTGCTCAACTGCATTACATCCACTGATAGAACATACACTGATACAATATATGCCAGACCCATCTGCAAATATACCCACACACAACAATCCTGCCCGATACACAAATTACTGGGAGATGACAACCCAACACACCTACACACACACCAACACACCCCAAACATCCCCTGCACACACAAATATAACACAATTCCTGCACTCTTAAAAACGGGCGGGAGGCAGAGGATCAGAATAAGACGCAGTGGCATGACTCTTTTCACAAGCTTTTTATGAACCCACAACCACCAATCGAAGTCTTGATTAACTTGGTTGTATTTATTAAATCATGTTCAATATTTAATAACTTTGAATATGGATTGAATATTTAATGAGATTGGTGGAGATCTATTTGTGTATAAACGTCAGAAGTGCCAATTGCTTTGAATTGAGAATTGAGTCTGTGACTCATTCTCAGTAGCTGGTACTGGAGAGCTCTCCATTCTACATTTTCATGGATTTATTTAAATTACAGGTTATCATCATGACATTATTACACCATTACTTATTATGATGCTCCACTATTATAACATTATTAGGCTGTCCCAGAAAATGTGGCATTTAGATACTGAATTTCCTTGCATCCAGTAAAACCTGGATTGGGGTCTCTTGGTCTCCTTCCTCCATGTTTACTAGGAAAAGGGGCCAAATATGACACTGTGAAATGCATGCTGTCTTAAGCCCTCAATCCTCCCACAGGTACAAGATGATCTGGAAGCAATTTCTGGGTTATACTTTGTCCAAGACTAATTTGTCCAAAAGAAGAAACTCTACTTTGTGGACTGAAGACAAGCAACATGAATTTCTGAAACTTCTTTTACAGAAATATGAGAATCGGATGCATAATGCAATTTTCAGAGGCATCATGGGGATTCGTGAAAGTCCTTGGAAGATTTGAGATTCAGGAACTCAATGAATAAATTTAACTATCCATAAGTGTGGATTTTACACAAGGTACAGTTATATATTAATGATGTTCTCTGGCTAATAAGTAATTACAAAATGTAGTTTGTTAGGGGTCAAAGAGAAATCATTGGAAATAGCCCTTGTGCCACAGCAGGCTGTTGCCTGGCAGGATATAAACTGCTTACTCACAAGAGAGACCAAATGCATTCTCCATCAAATAACTCTCATCACTGACATACCTTTGTCATATTCTGATTTGCTCTGATTTTGGGTCCAAAGCAAATGTAAATAAATGCTACCAAAAGAAGAATAATTATAACACCACCATTAGGTGGAGAGTAGCCTTCTGACTGAAATCAATGTAATCATACTTCTTGGATACTGTTTTATATATATGTAAATATATATATTTATATATATTTATACACACAGGGTATGTGTGTGTGTGTGTGTGTGTGTGCGTGTGTGTATACATATATATATACAGGGTCTCACTCTGTTGCCAAGGCTGGAATGCAGTGGTGTAATCATGGCTCAATGCAGCCTCAAACTCCTGGGCTCAAGTAATGCCTCTGCCTCAGCCTCCTCAGTAGCTGAAACCACAGGTGTGGCTACCATGCCTGGCTAATTTTTTTTTGTTTTTTTTTTGTTTTTTTTGGTAGAGACAGGGTCTCACAATGTTGCCCAGGCTGGTCTCAAACTTCTGGCCTCAAGCAATTCTCCCACCTCAGCCTCCCAAAGTGCTAGGATTAAAGGCCTGAGCCACTGTGCTCAGCCACTGTTTTCATTTTATTTGCAACAAATGATTAGAAAAATTTGCACCTCTAAACACTTTTCTTTATTCTCCTCACCTTCAATACTCGACCAACTTTTAAATTAAATTCTACCTGATACCACACCAGTTTATTTGCCCATTCTGAATCCCCCATAGTGTCCTGGGCTTCCTGATTTTTTTTTTTTTTTTTTTTTTTTGAGACAGAGTTCGCTCTGTTGCCCTGGCTGGAGTGCAATGGCACGATCTCAGCTCACCGCAACATCTGCCTCCTGAGTTCAAGACATTCTCCTGCCTCAGCCTCCCAAGTAGCTGGAATTACAGGCATGCACCACCACGCCCGGCTAATTTCGTATTTTTAGTAGAGACAAGGTTTCTCCATGTTAATCAAGCTGGTCTCAAACTCCTGACCTCAGGTGATCCACCCGCCCTGGCCTCCCAAAATGCTGGGATTACAGGCATGAGCCACCGCGCCTAGCCGTGCTTCATGATCTTATTTATGCTGTTCTCAGAGCCTTAATGACTTTCCCATCCTCTTTTAAGCTTGGCAAACTCGTCTTACCCTTTAAAATTCTGCTCATCACTAAGGCCTTCCTTGGTGCCTTTACCCTACCTGTTTACCTACCCTGATTGGCACTTTTCTCACTGTAGTTTGATTATATGTTTACAGGTCTACCTGCTCACATTGTATGGTGAATACCATAGTCATTTCAATATCTCCAGTGTCTTGCATAGTGCCTGGTCTAATCCTGGGCGGATGCATGGATGAATGAATGGATGATGGGTGGATGGACGGACTTGGAAATAAAAACATACGGGTTTTATTATACTTGCGGCTCTTTATCCTTTGACTTGGGTTGAGCAGGGTGTTGGAGTAGGAGCCATCTTATTTTCCAGGAAGCTCATAATGCCATTCATTCTTAGACTCAAGTCAAAGCTCAAAGGGATTAGCTATGCCTTTGTTTTACAGAGAAAGTCATCCCCCTCATGGTTTCCCAATAACACATGTTTTCATTCAACAAACATTTATGAAGTTCTTACTATGTGCCAGGCTCCCTGCTCACTGCCTTGACTCACAACCCAAATCACTAAATCAACCCAGGTGGATTTCTAGTAGCAGGCAGCATCCAGGAACAACTTCTCTCCAGCACTGTTGGCAGTTTCCTCGCAGAAACCAACAGACTTTGGGGGAAGCAGAAGAATCTCCTCCTCGAGAGGGGGTCTGGAACTCTGGCTGAGTGGCAGCTTGACTTGGCAAATTCTTAGCTTTATATAAGCACCTCAAATCCTTTGTGGAAGTAGGTAGGGTATCAACACAATTCTCACACATTAAGCAAAATGTCCTCCTCTTCTTCAGCTTCCTCTGCTACCACTCCCTTCTCTACATTTGTCCTCCAGCAATGCTGAAAGAGGCTTGTGGGCCCTGTGCCCACTAGAACACAAGCTCCATGAGGAAGGGACTTTGCTTTGTTTGCCATTATACATCCAGCATCTAGAACTACACCTGGATATAATAGGCCATCAGTGAGTATTGGATAAGTTAATGAATGATATGTCATATTTTTGTCTTTGCTAGTGATGTCTTCTGTGCTTGGGACGACCTGTTTCTTCACACTAACTCTTACTCATCCAGCAAGACTAAGTCAGGCATATTCTCTCCTAGATAATCCTCCCTGAAGCCCCCGGGTTGGACCATACACCCTTCCTCTGGGTTTCCTGGCACCATGTGCACAGGCCTCTCTTTGCACTAACCACAATGTACTGCATTTATCTGTTATGTGTCTGCTCCCCATTCCAGACTTTGAGCATCATGAAGACAGGAACCATATGCTATTCATCGTCATACCCTCAGCTCCTTGGCAAGGTATCTGGAACACAGAGAGAACTCTATAAAGATTTGTCAAGCTGTACTGAACAACCCCAAGCGGATGCAGATTGGGTCACACCAAATGTGACTGCTGATTCATGTGGTCATTTGGCAAATATTGATTGAGTGCCTATGATGTGCCAAGCACTATTCTTAGCCAACGCTAAGCCAAATACACAAAAATAATGATAAAGTGAGTGCTTGTCAATTAGGTACAACCCAGGTATTTTACCAGGCTAGTTAATTGGTGTGTTGAGTCAATATGAAGACTGTTTTAAACTTCAGCTTTTGCTATAATATTATTTAAGCCTAGACAGGAAATTCAGGGTTCCAATAACTCAATGCTCTCTCTTTCCTGGGCTTCAGTGTCCACACCTACATGATGCACATATACTGTAGTCTCCCATGAGATATTTTGACATATGTTTATACAGGATCCTCTGAAATTCCTTGCACATTTTTAAATCTTAACAATTTGCCTAGAAACACTTTACAAATTGCATTAAGTATTTCAAGGCTTAGAAAACACTATTGCACAAAATGCCTTTGTATTTAAGATCTCATGATAAAGTCCATGTATTTATCTCATGATAAATAAAGTCCAATCAGCTTTCGATTCAGTTGAAATTCAATGTGCCTTTAAAAGCCATGTATTGATTTATTTGATCATACCCATGACCTATGTTACATTTAAGAAACTTTTATTGAGCCCTTTTATTGTATCATGCATTGTAGTAGGCACTAAAGAAAACAAAGATTAATAAAATGTGATCTTGACCTTTAAACAGCGCCAAGTTTGTTGGGGGAGCCTGAAACACAGCTGACCTACTGTAACATGTGAGATTGAGAGATGTTGCAACCCAGGTATACACAAGATGCTATGACAGCATAGAAGACCAACACATTCATTTTGTCTGCAAAGGTATCAGGGAATGTTTGATAAAAGTGGTGACACCTGAGCCAAGCCTAAATAAATGAGTAGAATTTGGCACAGTGAAAAGAAAGTACTAGAGAGAGGGGAGTGACATGGCACAGTGATAGGAGGCACATGGCACACTCGAGGGATACGTGCCATGGGCAGCTAGAGCAAAATGTAACTGCCAGGAAAGAGAGAGGAAAAGGTTGGAAAGGTGAGCTGGGCTCTGATGGAGGAAGATATTGATTGATAACAAGGCAGAATTTTATTCTGGAGATAATGGAGAATATTATTAAAGCTTAAAAGTTTTTAAATTGGCCGGGCACTGCGGCTCACACCTGTAATCCCAGCACTTTGAGGGGCCAAGGCAGGTGGATCATGAGGTCAAGAGATCGAGACCATCCTGGCCAACATGGTGAAATCCCGTCTCTACTAAAAATACAAAAAATTAGCCAGGCATGGTGGTGGGCACCTGTAGTCCCAGCTACTCAGGAGGCTGAGGCAGGAGAATCGCTTGAACCTAGGAGGCAGAGGTTGCAGTGAGCCGAGATCGCGCCACTGCACTCCAGCCTGGCAACAGAACGAGACTCCATCACAAAAAAAAAAAAGAAAAAGTTTTTAAATTATATGATGCCTTTATGCATCTATTATATAAAAAGACATACATTATAATACTCTGTCACACACACAAAAATGAATAAACACCAATACTATCTGATATGGTTTGGCTGTGTCCCTGCCCAAATCTCATCTTGAATTCTCACATGTTGTGGGAGGGACCCAGTGGGAGGTAACTGAATCATGGGGGCAGGTCTTTCCGATGCTGTTCTCCTGATAGTGAATAAGTCTCATGAGATCTAATGGCTTTATAAAGCAGAGCTTCCCTGCACAAGCTCTCTCTCTTTGCCTGCTGCCATCCATGTAAGACATGACTTGCTACTCCTTGACTTCTGCCATGATTGTGAGGCCTCCCCAGCCATGTGGATCTGTAAGTCCAATTAAACCCCTTTCTTTTGTAAATTGCCCAGTCTTGGGTATGTCTTTATCAGCAGCATGAAACCAGACTAATACACTATTTGTCTTTTATGAAATGAAATATCTACTCTGTACCAGGCAGGTGCCTTGCTAAGATAGGAATTCTTGCATTTTATCTTCACGAAAACCCTGAGATGTGTCATGATGCCCATTTTACAGATGAGGTAATGGAGGCTAAGAGTAGTTAAATCTCTTAGCTACTCTGTAGTGGACCTGGAACTTGAAATGTGTCTGACTCCAAAGTCCGTGATCTTAACTTTTAGGCTACGGCAGCAGCTTGTACAAACAATAAACAGATTCACGAATTAGAGGTTTACATAAAATTATTTTTAGCCTCAGGACATATCAAAAGCCTTAAAATGTTTACACTCTTAAACCCAGTAATGACAATTCTGAGAACAAATCTTACAGAAATAATCGGAAATTCACCCAAAGATTCATGTATAAAGATGATTATTGCAATGCTATTTATAACAGAGAAAAGTTGAAAGCAACCTAAGTACCCAACATTAGGAAAGGGTCCCTTATAAAATGGTGTATTATTTAATCATTAAAATTTTGATTGCATGGGATAGAATTATATAATCTCAATCTGTAAAGAAAAAATGCACAGTAAAAAAAATGAAAAAGAAACATTTCACAATGTAATTAGCAGTGGCCTCTGGGAGAAGTTAGAGGTGATTTTTTTCTCCTATGCATTCCAAATTGTCTACGCTTGAACACCTCATTCTTGAAATCAGGAAAAGATACAGTTAAAAAAAATCCATTCTGTGTCTTGATTACAGTCATGTCAGCTGGGTCAGCCTGGATTGTCAGCAGGATGAGAAACGTAACAGCAAAATCACCTCCCTGGCCCTTGATCCTACGATGTCTGGAGATCAAAATATTGACCAAGCTGGCACCCTGTCAGTGACACCCAAGGGTCCAAACTCAAATCATTTCACTTATTCATAGTCGCTCATGTATTCAAAGAAAGCAAAATAATTCATCTTACTTTATTTTCTTTATACTGAAAAGTTGCAGAACTTCATTTTAAAATCAGAAATATACATTGCAATTTTCTTGCAATTTGTTAAATTAACACATTTGTTAAATATTATGTTTGTTCTTAGCATGACTGTTAATTATTCAGGGGAGGTGGAGGGATGGAAAACAAAGAACAAATCCAGAACTTTGGGGCCCAACCTGGGACACCGACTGTGTGGTTAAGTGCTGAAACTCACTGTCAGACTGTGGGGCTTTCTCCGAGGAATTAGAGTTAGGCTAATAACCCAATTTGGAATAATTTAAAGCTCTTTTTAGGGAAGTTTTTGACTCAATTGGGCTCATTATGCATAGGTTTAATGCGTAACAATTTGTTCTTGAAAGCTAACATTATTGTTGGCAATAAAGATAGGAAGTGGAAATAAGCTTCCAATGTGTAAAGCAGATTTATTTCTCGTTTCATATGGACTTGTTCTGGGTCTCTGCGTGTGAATCACACTGTGCTCCCTGCAATAAGATGCTGTCCATGCAGTTGGTTATGATAAATGACCTGTAATTGTGAATCTGATATTGGTTTTCAATATTGAATTTATCATTCTGTCCTCTTAACAGCTATTAAATACTTTTAAGAATTTATCCATTTGCCTGATCCACCTGTGATTTTTCAATATGTAAAATTTATTGGTTTCCTAGTTTTTTGGGATTTTAACGGCCGACAGCATCATTAATAACGCTGAGTAATGGAGCTGACCTCTTTCAAACCTCGTTCCCTTCCACTACTACAGAACATCAAAATTGAATCAAAATGGATTTGATGTGGGAACCCAGCAAGAAAACGGCGGCGGTGGGGTGCCTGACTCGAAATGCGGCTGGTGCAGGCCAAGCCACACACTGTCTGCTTCGACTCTTCACCTCCAATCCCCGGGCAGAGGGAGCCAGGCCTGGGCTGCCTGGGCCTTCCCAGCCTCCGCCTCCTCCTCCCATTGGATGAGCCAGCTCAGCAGCCTTCCTCGCCTTGAGCTGCCTCAGTTTCTTCAGTATTGGGTGATTGATGGAAATAATAATGCCGCTTGCCTGGCTCCCTCACGGACAGCGCTTTGTGAATTAATGAAAGCACACAGACTGTACACACAGAAAGCCCCCTCCCAGACAGCTGCATCGCTGCCCTAGAATTCTCATGAGCTTGACAGGGAGGGATCTTTGCCCTTCACCATGAGGACAGTGCAACCAGAGGCTGAAACAAATTAGGCCCTGTGGCCTGGCGCCGTGGCTCACTCCTGTAATCCTAACTCTTTGGGAGGCCTATGCAGGAAAATCGCTTGAGGACCAGCCTGGGCAACACAGTGAAACCCCTTCTCTACTAAAAATACAAAAATTAGCCCAGCGTTATGCTGCAGTGCCTGTGGCCCCACCTACTTGGGAGGCTGAGGTGGGAGGATCACCTGAGCCTGGAAGGTGAAGACTGCAGTGTGCGGTGATCACACCACTGCACTCCACCCTGGGTGACAGAGCCAGATCCCGTCTCAAAAAAAAAGAAAAAAAAATCAGGCTGTGTGGAATAACAGCAGAGTAGGACTTCCCCTGACCCCTGGTTCCGTATGTTAGGACCACCCATGTATGTTGCCCCCTGAACTGCAAGAAGCTAGCTCAGGGTCAGAGCTTTGGGTTATGCCTTTGCTGGTTTTTTGTTTTTGTTTTTGTTTTGTTTTGTTTTTTGAGACAGAGTCTTGCTCTGTCACCCAGGCTGGAGTGCAGTGGGGAAATCTTGGTTCACTGTAAGCTCAAACTCCTGGGCTCAAGCAATCCTCTGGCCTCACTCAGCCTTGCAAGAAGCTGGGACTACAGGTGTGTGTCACCATACCAGCCTAATTTTTTTTATTTTTTGTTGCCCGGGCTGGTATTGAACTCCTGGCCTCAAGCAATCCTCCCATCTCAGCCTCCCAAAGAGTGAGGATTACAAGTTTGAGCCACGGTGACTGGCCTTTTGTTTTTCTTAAACCCAGCCTACAAGGCTACATCTCATGGCTCCTGTAGTACTACTCACTGTGTTAATGGGACACAGGCACACAGACCTGCAGAACTGAGTTCTCAAGTTCAGAGAACATGTTGACCACCAGCCACGGGGGTTCCCTCAGCTGGAGGCCCAGAAGGGCATGAAGCCAGAGCTGTGCACACATGCAGAAGGACAAAGAGCCTCAGAGCAGGTGGGGGGAGTGGGCAGAAGCTTCCCTGAGGGGGGATCTAGCTGAGTTTCCTGGTCACCCTTCTCAGGGTGACTCCATGATAAGCGGCCCCCTGCTGCCTCCAACCTATGGATAATTGAAAATTAGGCCGGGCGTGGTGGCTCACGCCTGTAATCCCAGCACTTTGGGAGGCCGAGGCGGGCGGATCATCTGATGTCAGGAGTTTGAGACCAGCCTGGTCAACATGGTGAAACCCCGTCTCTACTAAAAAATACAAAAAAATTAGCCGGGTGTGGTGGCAGGCGCCTGTAATACCAACCACTCGGGAGGCTGAGGCATGAGAATCGCTTGAACCTGGGAGGCGGAGGTTGCAGTAAGCCGAGATCGCACCATTGCACTCCAGCCTGGGGGACAAGAGTGAGACTTCATCTCAAAAAAAGAAAAAAAGAAAATTAACCACCTCCCCTGAAGCCTAATTTCATATTCTTGGGGCAGCATAACTGACTTCCAGTCCAACGGAAATCTATTTCCTTGGAAGTTTTGTCTATTCAAATGGGCTAAGTTCAAATCTATCAGAAAAAAAAAAACAAAACAGGAGCTGTCAATAGAGTCACTGACAGGTGAAAAATTTCCAAAGGGCTCCTGAGACAAGAGGAGATGTGATTTCTACCAAAAGCCACAGGGCCACCTGGTTCCAGACCTAGTCTAGGAGGCAATAACAGATAAGGCGCTCAGTTCAGACCAAAAGCCAAGTCCCCAAGCTCCCTCTGCAATGCTCCTTCTGCAGCGCTCCTTCTGCCCTACCATGACATGATTTACAAACTGCTAGAAAGGAAGATATGCCTTCCCCAAATCCCAGACATTTCAGAACCTTCTGTAGACTCAGCTTTTACTACCAAGGTCTCTCGTATACTTTTTGTGTCAATGGCTCACAGCAAAAGGTAATTTTAATCTGACAAATGTTTATTGAGTACCTATGAGTGCCTATGTGCTTGGTGAACTGGGTGAACTCCTATGGAGACACACACACAAAAACAAATAAAATACATTCTCTGCCATCAGGCAGGCCTGATAATGGCACTGCACTTAACAATCAATTATGAAACATTTACTGCACGCCTGGCACTGTGCTGGATGCTGCAAAGGACACAAGGAAAAGAATCATGCTCAGTCGCTTCCCAAGGAGCTTACCTTATTGGAGAGAAAAGATCTTCATATACCAACCATGACGACTCATAATGAAATGTTTAGATATGTGGTGGAGGCAGTGAGTACAAAAGAATTGGAAAGGATCAGTGTAGGCTCCAAATAATCAAGGTAAACCTTATGGAGTTGGAGGTAATGGAAAAGGATCATGAGAGAAGGATGGGTGGGGACAGTGAGGATAGGACAGACGTGTGTGTGTGTGTGTGTGTGTGTGTGTGTGTGTGTGTGTGTGTGTTGTCAGGAATTATTATCTTTATCATTCAGCCTTCAAATATCTGCCCACCCTTTCAGGTACTCACTCACACATATCCTACAAAAGAAAGGGTCAACAAACATTAATGGAGAACCTGCCTCATGCCAGGAGGCATTTTGCACTTAGATCCATTACCATATGCACCCTTCCCAACCACCACCCTGCCAAGTAGACATCATGTCCCTCTTTTATAGAAGAGGACCCCAGAGTTCAAAGGGTATGTCATTTGCCCAAGACTGCTTCACCAGCAATTGGCCAAGCTGGGACTCAAACCAAGGTCTTGGCCTCCAATGCTCATATTTTTTACCATTGAATCACATGGACTCTAGGAAGAAGTGGCAGTACCCCAAGAACACAATGCTGGACCAGAATCTAAAAGGAAAAGGAGGAGGAAGGGAAATGGCATATAATGACTGTCAGGCCAGGTGCTATGGTGGGCAAGAAAGAGCAACCAGTAGACCATTCACCTTTGGAGACAGCCACTACTGCATTCCCTTGGGACATTTCCTGGAGCTGCCATCCCAACTTTGACTTCCAACCATGATGGCTGCTACTTTTGGCAAAACACCAGTCCTCTAGAGGACACAGGGCTCTCTCCTGCAGGAGCTGGAGTCCTCACTGAGGCTTATTATCCTTCATCCAGAGCAAGGCAAGCTTAGTTAGGTTTGGTGCCCAGACCTGGGCCATCTCAGAGCTATGTTATCTTCCAAAGTATGGGAGGGAAAAACCCTCACTGAATCAGAAAATACATCTTTTCAGTACTTAAATGGGTCCTGTTTTAAGCCAAAATCAGTGTAATTAAATAAGAAAATAAGACCAAGTATACCCCCCACTGTCATTAATTATGAGCAAGAGGAGACGGAAGAAACTCTGGTATAGTTTATTTAAAAGGTGCAATCCTGAAGTGAGACAAAAAAAAAAAAAGAAGAAGAAAAGAGAGAAAGAATAATTAAAATGAAGGTATCATTATTGTTTCTTTAAAGGATCTCGTTGGACAGAGGGGTCTGATTGACAGACAAGTCACATGAGGTTCTCAGAGTGACTGTTCTGAAGATGAATATGCAGGAAGCCCTGGCCTCTAGGACCTCTTGCCTACCTCCCACAGCCTTTCTAAGCAACCGGGAGAGTAGGAAAAACACCGAGGGGCAGAGTCTGCTGGACAAGGACCCTGCCCCTGGGCATGTTAATGTCAATCATAAGAAATGCTTAAGTCTCTGAAGCTCTCTTGGCATACAGGGGGTGAAGCTACTACATTTCTATTATCATCGTTATGGCTGCTATTATTAACATTTATCCAGTACCAACATTTTACTTAGCACAGCACAAAGTGTAAAGGAAGATCCAGCATCTGCTTTGAAAATAAACATCTAGGCTCCCCCACAGATTTGTGCCCCAGCAGAGGAACCAGCCTTTAGCCACTCAGGGACACTCCACAGCCCCACCTCCACCTCCATCTCCAACACTATGTCTCCATTTTCCTTGGGCTACTACGTCAGGTCTTCTGGAATCTGTTCAGCGTTCCAAGGCCCTGGCTGGGTTGCATGACCCTCTGTGGCCAAAGTCAGGGTTCAAAGAACCAGGCAGAGAGCAGAAACAGACATGAACAACCAGGACTCTGAGACAGAGCTAGAGCAGGCAGGGTGCATGGCGAAAGAAAGCACCGTGCTTTCTCACGACTCACGTGTGAGTCAAACTAAATGCTTCACTTAATGTCACCACTCTACTGCTCCAGTCGCCTTGTTTTTCTTATCACCTCATCATGCAACCTCACACTTTACGAATCCTCTCATACACTTTAAAACTCAAGACCCACACCATAGTAAATTTTATCTGTACAAGTCTTTGGAACACGAAAGCATTGACAAGTGTCCATGGCCATCTAAGAAATGTACAAATATTATATATACACATCAGTTCCTCAAGCAAAAGTCCCACTTCCCACTGCCAAATGTTATTTTTTACAGCAGCTCTGCAAGATGAGTGAAGGCGTATATTTCACCAGAGTGAGCCACTTTTTATAGAGTGGGGGAGAAAAAAGAAGCCCAAACGCTTTTATTGCTTTCTAACCAACAGGATTTCTGGATGCAAATGAATGAATCACCTCTGTGACGATTGGCTGCCTGAGTTTCCTTGTCACACTTGGAGCAGGCTCGGTGGATGTGACTTGTATCCTCATGAGTCCAAGGCAAGATAAAGGACTGACATTGCTACCAGTGAGTTATGAGATTTGTCTTTATCAGTGAAAATAAGGTCATAACGCAGCCCAGCCATCGCCTATTATATGTGGCTTCCATCTACTTTTCTGTATAATGTGATCCACTGTGCAAGGTGATTTGGAGAAGCCCAGTGAATAAATTAGTCATTTTTAAAAGCTGCGTTAAGTCTTTAAGGCCACCAGGGTAGCTTTTAATGCATTGCTGCCATTCTTCAATAGACACTGGTCTTCTTTTGACATGCATTTTGATGACAGTCTGGTGAAAAAAGTAGCTGGGAAGATTCTCCTAAGCATATTTAAAATTAAAGGCTGGACGCGGTGGCTCACACCTGTAATCCCAGCACTTTGGGAGGCGGAAGCAGGCAGATCACTTGAAGCCAGACCAGCTGGCCAACATGGTGAAACTTCATCTCGACTAAAAATACAAAAATTAGCTGGGTGCAGTGGAGCACACCTGTAATCCCAGCTACTCAGGAGGCTGAGACAGGAGAACTGATTGAACCCGGGAAGCAGAGGTTGCAGTGAGCTGAGATCACACCACTGCACTCCAGCCTGGGCGACACAGCGAGACCCTGTCTCAAAAAAAATCAAAATAAAATAAAATTAGAGAAAAAAAAGTAATATGGTGACCCACAGCTGGATCCCAGTTAGAAAGCTAACCAATCATGGGATTGAGTTCCTGGCAGCTATTTCTTAAGAGAATGCATAACAAAATCATTCATTCATCCCTCACCTGTTAATTGTGATTTAAAAAATAATAAGATCGGCTGGGCACGGTGGCTCACACCTGTAATCCCAGCACTTTGGGAGGCCTAGTTGGGCAGATCACTTGAGGTCAGGAGTTCAAGACCAGCCTGGCCAACATGGTGAAACCCCGTCTCCACTAAAAATACAAAAATTAGTTGGGCATGGTGGCGCATGCCTGTAGTTACCGCTACTTTGGAGGCTGAGGCAGGAGAATTGCTTGAACCGGGGAGGCGGAGGTTGAAATGATCTGAGATCACCCCACTGCACTCCAGCAAGGGTGACAGCGAGAGTCTGTCTCAAAAAATAATAGGAAGAAGAAGAAGAAGAGGAGGAGGACGAGAAGGAGGAAGAGGAAGAGGAAGAAGAAGAAGAAGAGGAAGAGGAAGAAGAAGAAGAAGAGGAAGAAGAAGAGGAAGAAGAAAATTCAGCATTAGCTTAGTTTATGGAGTGATTTCTCCATGTGAGGCACTGTGTGGACCTCTGAAGTCTCAGTTCTTCCAAAAGTTTGAGAGGGGTCAACATGCTTTACATTATGGGAGTTCTTTAAGAGGAGACGAATGATGAGGAAATTCATAGGTGTTTTCTGAAACACTGCACAAGTTGACACTAAATCTCATGAAAAATGATGCTTTTGATGTGCAGGATTTAAAAAGATAAAAATAAAAGATTCTGAAAGTGGTTTCTCCTCCACACAGCCTTTGGTCTGGAATTTGCACATTTGGTTTTCCTGTAGCTACTTCTGCAAAAACAAGCGCACCTACTCACTGTCACAACACAGTAGGCTAAATTTTCTCAACAAATATATTCTTTGTTCTCTTCCACAGTAACAACAAAGCTTTGAGAGTCAGCAGAGGGCAAGGGAAACACAGAAAGAACACAGACACAGGGCTTGATCTTCAAGGAGTTCAAATACGATTCACTGAATAAATAATTACTGAGCATCTACTCTCTACTCAGCTAACCGTTCTTTTCAGACACAAGCAAATTCATGGGGAAAAACAACTGAGAGCCTTTCCCCCCCCAATATACAAAGAATCTAACCCATTCATTCATTCAACATGTGTTTATTGAAAACCTAATACAGTATGTGCCAGGCATTGTTCCAAGCCCTTGGGGGAAAGTAAACAGAATAAAGTTCCTGCCCTCATGGATCTTACACCCAATGTGGGAGACAGACAATAAACAAACGCATACATAACATATGCATATCTTACACATAATATACATTTATAATGAGAAGCGCATAATAATAATATAATATAATATAATATAATATAATAATAATATAATATAATATAATTCTGGATCCCAACTGCCTCGGTTCAAACCCCACCTTTGTCAATTACTAGCTGTTGAACTTTAGAGAACTTATTTAACGTTTGATGTCTATTTTTCTTATCTGTAAAATGGGGATAATAATAATAATACCTAATCCACAGAGCTGCTGTTAAGATAGTTATGTCAGGTCAGGCGTGGTGGCTCATGCCTGTAATCCCAGCACTTTGGCAGGCTGAGGCGGGTGGGATCACTTGAGGACAGGAGTTCGAAATCAGCCTGGCCAACATGGTGAAGTCCCATCCCTACTAAAACTACAAAATTTAGCTGGGCGTGGTGGCACACACCTGTAATCCCAGCTACTTGAAAGGCTGAGGCAGGAGAATCACTTGAACCTGGAAGGTGGAGGTTGCAGTGAGCTGAGATCGCGCCATTGCACTCCAGCGTGGGCGACAGAGCAAGACTCCATCTCAAATAAAAAAGAAAAAAAAAAGATAATTATGTCAATATATGTAAAGTGTTTAGAACCAAAGCAGGCACATAGTTAGTACTATTATGTGTGTGTGTGATTAATATAAATTCTCCACTTATCAGGTAGAGATAAGGGAATGAATTAAAAATAAAGGGGCCTGGCACAGTGGCTCACGCTTATTATCCCAGGACTTTGGGAGGCTGAGGTGGGAGGATCGTTTGAGTCCAGGGACTCGAGACCAGCCTGCACAACATAGGAAGACCCCATCTCTACCAAAAAAAAAAAAACCTAACCAGGTGTGGCACTACTTGGGAGGCTGGGGTGGGAGGATTTCTTGAGGCCGGGAGGTCGAGGCTGCACTCCATGATTGTGCCACTGCACTCCAGCCTAGGGCAACAGCACAAGACCCTGTATCCAAAAAAATTAAAATAAATTTAAAAACAGAGGGACATAGAGGGGCCAGGTGTGGTGGCTCACGCCTGTAATCCCAGCACTTTGGGAGGCCAAGGTGGGCAGATCACAAGGTCAGGAGTTTGAGACCAGCCTGGCCAATATGGGGAAACCCCGTCTCTAATAAAAATACAAAAATTAGCCAGGCGTGGTGGTGCACCCCTGTAGTCCCAGCTACTCAGGAGGCTGAGGCAGGAGAATCTCTTGAACCTGGGAGGCACAAGTTGCAGTGAGCCGAGATAGCGCCACTGTACTCCAGCCTGGGCGACAGAGCAAGACTCTGTCTCAAAAAAATAAAAATAAAAATAAAAGAAGGACATAGAGATGATAGGGGGTGCTATTTAGATTGAGTGGTTAGCGAAGGCCTCTCTGAAGGAGACGACATTTGAGCAGAGGCCTGAATGAAGTGAGGGCACAAGTCATGTTAATAACCAGAGAAAAGCATTTTTGGCAAAGGGAATAACAAGTGCAAAATCGTTGAGGCAGGGTCATGCTTGGGGTGACAAGGAACAGCAAGATGCTAAAAATGGCTCAAGCAGAGGGAGGGGGAAGAATGGCAGGAAATGAAATTGATGAGGTAGCTATGGGCCTGGTTATATGAGGCCTCGCAGGCCATAAGAAGGGGTCTTGGATGTTGTTCTAAGAGGAATGAAAAGTCAGTGGAGTGTTCTGAGCAAGGGAGTGACAAAATGTATGTTTTAAAGTCTTCTGCATATGGTGGTTCCTTAAAAAATTGAAAATAGAATTACAATATAATCCAGCAATTTTACTTCTGGGTATATACCTAAGAAAATGGAAAGCTGAGTCTTGAAGAGATATGTGTATACCCATGTTCTCAACAGCATTACTCACAATAGCCAAAAGGTGGAAACCACCCAAAGTGTCAATCGACAGACGCATGAATAAACAAAATGTGCTCTATCCATACAATAGAATATTATTTATTTATTTTTATTTACTTATTTTTTTTTTTTTTTGAGACGAAGTCTCGCCCCGTTGCCCAGGCTGGAGTGCAATGGCGTGATCTCGGCTCACTGCAAGCTCCGCCTCCCGGGCTCACGCCATTCTCCTGCCTCAGCCTCCCAAGTAGCTGGGACTAGCCACCATGCCTGGCTAATTTTTTGCATTTTTAGTAGAGATGGGGTTCACCATGTTAGCCAGGATGGTCTCGATCTCCTGACCTCATGATCCACCCGCCTCGGCCTCCCGAAGTCCTGGGATTACTGGCGTGAGCCACCACAGCCGGCCTGGAATATTATTTGTCTTAAAGAGGAAGAAAACTGCTGGGCGTGGTGGCTCACACCTGTAATCCCAGCACTTTGGGAGGCAGAGGCAGGCGGATCACTTGAGGTCAGGAGTTCAAGACCAGCCTGGCCAACATGGCAAAACCCCATCTCTACTAAAAATAACAAAATATTAGCCCGGCTTAGTGGTGCGCACCTGTAGTCCTAGGTACTTGGGAGGCTGAGGCATGAGAATCACTTGAACCCGGGAGGCGGAGGTTGCAGTGAGCCAAGATCGTGCCACTGTACTCCAGCCTGGGCAATAGAGTGAGACTCTGTCTCAAAAACGAAAAACAAAAAGGAAGAAAATTCTGACACATGGGTGAACCTTGAGGACATTATGCTAAATGAAATAAGCCAGTCACAAAAAGACAAATACTGTATAATTCCACTTAAGTGAGGAATTTAAGAGTTAAGTTCATAGAAAAAGAAAGTAGAATGGTGGTTGCTGGGCCTGGAGAGAGGGGAAAATGGGGAGTTATTGTTTAACAGATACAGAGTTTCAGATTTGCAAGATGAAAAGTGTTCTGGAGATTGGTTGCACAATAATGTGAATATACTTAACAATACTGAACTATACTTAAAAATGGTTAAGGTGGCTGGGTGCAGTGGCTCATGTCTGTAATCCCAACATTTTGGGAGGCCGAGGTGGGCAGATCACCTGAGGTCAGGAGGTCGAGACCAGCCTGGCAGACGTGGCAAAACCCTGTCTCTACTAAAAATACAAAAATTAGCCAGGCGTGGTGCCACATGCCTATAATCCAGCTTACAGCTTTGGGAGGGTGAGGTTGCAGTGAGCCAAGATTATGCCACTGCACTCCAGGCTGGACCACAGAGCAAGACTCCATTTCAAAAAAAATAAAAAACAAAACCAAAAAAAAGGTTAAGGTGAAGCCAGGCACAGTGGTGCACACCTTTAGTCCCAGCTACTTGGGAGGTTGAGGCAGGAGCATCACTTGAGCCCAGGAGTTTGAGGCTATAGTGTGCTGTAATTGCACTTGTAGAGAGCCACTGCGCTCCAGCCTAGACAACACAGTAAGTCCCTGTCTCTAAGAAAAGAAAAGAAAAAAGGTTAAGATGGTGAATTTTATGTTATGAGTATTTTACCACAATTTTTTTAAATCTTCTGGAAAATAGATTGGTGACAAGTGTGGAATTAGGGAGACCCCTTAGATGTTTTAGTTATCTATTGCTATGTAAAAAACTAACCCAAAACTAAGTGTCTTAAAACAACCACCATTTTATTATCTCTTATTATTCTACAGGTCAGTAGGGCTCAGCTAGGTGGTTCTTCTGCTCCACCAGGGGACAGTAAAAAGTTATGGGGGCAGTAAAAAGTTGGGCTCAGCTGGGACTCTCTCACTCCATGCAGTCTGAGGCCTCTTCCTCTTCATGTGGTCTCTTCACTTAGAATCTCTGGCAGAGATACTAGTACCTAGACTTCATACAGGTAGCTCAGGGGTCTCAGAAGTATAAAATCCTTCTCAATACTTAGGTCAGAAACACACAGCATCACATCCTCCACATTCTACGGGCTAAAATGAGTCACAGGTGAGCTGAGATGTCCATGTTGTACAAGCAGTCCTTGAGGACTGCTTCATTGAGGACCATCTTTGTAGTCCAGCCATACAGGAGACCACTGCAGCAATCCAGGTGACAAAGAATGAAGGATTAGAGCAGGCTAATAGCAGCGAAGGTGATAAGAAATGGTTGATTTGAAATATATTTTAAAGATAGAATCTGTGAGATTTGCTGATGGGTCAGATATGAAGTAAGAGGAAAAAAGGAGTCAAGGATGAGTCTAAGTTTTGGGCCAAAGCCACTGAATGAGTGGTGGTCTCAGGCATTAATCAGGCAGCAAAGCATCACCAAAAGCTGCAGACTTGGAGCCTTGGAATTAAGTCCTTCCTCTTTTGTTTAATTACCATATTGCCCTAGTAACCCCATCTCTCTGGAGTTCTCCTTCCTGATCTGAAAGATGAGGATGATAATACCTGCTCACCCTGTCCTGTAAGGTCATCACAGGATCAGATGAAAACTTGAATGTAACTACAATTGTCTTGAGTTTGTTACACACGCAGTGGCCACAGAAAAACCACCACCTTGAAATTACAAAATCCGGTTCCAGTCCCAGGTCTGTCTTAGATTTGCTGAAGGAACTTGGGCAAGTCATTGAACCTTGCCTTGACTGTCCCTTAGCTGTAAAATCAGACAGCCCATTATATCTGTCCTGCCTATGCCAAAGAAATTTTTGTGAAAATTAATCACAAAAACATGAAACACATTTTTGAAAAGGCATAAAATGGCAAGTAAAAGGTATTATTATTGCATCGCTAATTACAGACCTAATATCTAGGCTCGGGGAAAATAAAATCCTTGGAGTCTATAAAATCCACCCATTCTCATTTGACCCAGGGGTTCCAGGCTTGGCTTGAGGAACAGCCAAGGGAGAATACCATTCGGAGGTGCTGTAAAATACAACACATAATTGCAAGTCAATCATACACATGGCATGAGGGTTGGTGAGTTATTCATCATAATGGAATACAGATAACAAGCTTATATTTGTAGCACTTTGACTCTAAGGGAAATTGTTTTGTTGCTTGATTTTTTAATGCACTGGAAAACCAAGGGGTGAAAGTAGCAGGTCATGTCACAGAAGCAAAGAAACCACAGGAACTGAGGGAATAAAGGCCCAAATAAACAGCTCTCTTCAAAAGTGAGTGTGTGGGCTAGGCACAGTGGTGCACACCTGTAATCCCAGCACTTTGGGAGGCTGAGGCGGGTGGATTGCTTGAGCCCACGAGTTTGAGACCAGCCTGGGTAACATGGTGAAACCCTGTCTCTAGAAAAAACACAAAATTAGCCGGGCGCAGTGGCTCACGCTTGTAATCCCAGCACTTTGGGAGGCTGAGGCCGGCAGATCACGAGGTCAGGAGTTTGAGACCAGCCTGGCCAACACAGTAAAACCCCATCTCTACTAAAAATACAAAAATCAGCTGGGCATGGTGGTGCACGCCTGTAATCCCAGCTACTCAGGAGGCTGAGGCAGGAGAATCGCTTAAACCCAGGAGGTGGAGGTTGCAGTGAGCCGAGATCGTGCCACCGCACTCCAGCCTGGGCGACAGAGCTAGACTTCATCTCAAAAAAAAGAAAAACAGAAAACACAAAATTTAGCCGGGCATGGTGGTGCACGCCTGTAGTCCCAGCTACTCTGGAGGCTAAGGCAGAAGTATCATTTGAGCCTGGGAGGTCGAGGCTGCAGTGACCAAGGTAGCGCCACTGTACTCCAGCCTGGGCAATAGAGTGAGACCCTGTCTCAAAACAAAACATAAAAAAATGTAAAGTGAGTGTGTGACATGTGTGGCCAGGCCAGGTTCTGGAACCCAGGGCAAGGACAGCAGGACAAGAACTTCAGCATCTCCAGTAGCCACAGACAGCTTTTGGGTTTTAAGGTCTCATCTGAAAGACACCCACACACAAAATAGCCTAGTATTCAATTTATTCTCTGTAGAAGAATAAAAGACCGAGTCAATGCTGCAAGGATGTGAACTTGGTTTTGGAGGCAGTCGGGAGCGGCCGTCTAAACACTAAACCATCCCCTTCAGGCAGGGAGCACATATATACTAAAGGACGGGGAAAGCAGTCATTCCTTTTAGAAAGAGTGCTTCTGTTTTCATTATCATTTAAGGCTGTAGTCAGTGTTGAACAATAATAAGAAGCTGGCATGGGGAAAAAAATGCACCCAAATCACAGGTGTACACAATAAAAATGCTATTATAGACTTTTGTGAATATAAATAATTTTTTAAATGAGGCTGCTAAGACTGGCATCCCAGATGCTACCTGAAAAAGAGTCATGTTTATATATTCCAGCAGTTGCACCAGTCACCAGTCTCGGATTGCTACCACAGAACGGACTGGGTCATTCTTTTGGCATGAATATCAATGCAGACTGGCTGTGGGACAAAGAAGGAAGACGCGGATCGAAGTGGAGAGAGCACAAAGGGCAGAGAAAAGGGACTTGATGCTCAAAGGGGAGAAATTGAAGAGGACAAAGGAATAGGAAGAATGAAAGGCAATAAGGACTGGCTTACTGGGAATCCTGCTAAACTATACAGCCTCAATTGTACCTAAGCATGGGCTTCACTTCCTGATTTTGTCTTTGCGTTTAGCAACAAACCCAGATGGTCAGGGTGCAAATTTCTTTGCTTTCCTCTGTTCTGGTGGAGGCACTGCAATAATAAATGAGTATTCAGCAGAAGCATAATAATGCTGGCTTTATCAGAGTTACCCCATGTACACATGAGCTCGTAGATGTCAAGGGGGCCTAGTCCTGGTCACAAAACGGGGGCACATTGGAATTCCATGTGGAGGTCAAACGTCAATGTGAGTGATGTAAAGTGGGCAAAAGGAAGGGCTTCCTGACAGCGGGGAGTGGGGAACACAGGAGGCATAGTCAGAAGAGCTGGTGGAATCCCAGAGATATGGGTCTGCCCAGAGGAGGAGATACAGGCTAGAGCAACCTCCGCATTCCCTTTTGAATTGTCCAGGTACAAAACACTTAGTCAGTCGGGCAAGGATGCTTGGTGGGTGGTATGCTGGACCTAAGAATACTGACCACCAGCTGGAGAAGGCGTGGGGAGCTTGAACATCTATCAAGTGAGTTTCAGCATCCTCAGTAGATCCTATCAGGCACTGGTGTTGAGTCCTTAGGGCATGAGTAAAGAGATGAGCACATGCAGGTGGAAACCACCAGCCGGCAGTTGAGGAAGTGGGACTGGAACTGGATCACTGCTGTCTCTAGAAAAAATACAAAATTTAGCCGGGCATGGTGGTGCATGCCTGTAGTCCCAGCTACTCTGGAGGCTGAGGCAGGAGTATCATCTGAGCCTGGGAAATGAAGGCTGCAGTGACCAAGATGGCGCCACTGGATCATCTGGATGCCCCATCAGGGCCTCTAAGCAGGACTCAAAACAGTCTGCTCTTCTTGCCCTCTCCCAAAGGACCTCTCTCCACACTTGGCTCCTTAAGCTAGTGGCACCACCATTGTCCTAGTTTCTGGCTCCAAACCTAGAGTCATCCATGCCTCATATGCTGTTGCTGCTGCTGCTGCTGCTGCTATTGCGCCCCCTCCACTCATTGCAATCTGTCTTCCGCCAAGTCCTTAGGACTTCTCTCCCCTCCATCCTTTCTTTTCAAGCCCTTCTGGCCTTCTCATGCTTAAGTCATTTCTCCTCTGCAGAAGCTTCCCCTTATTCTCTCATTCCCTTCATCCTTCCAGATCACCCTGGCATCACCTCCAGATTGATCTTCTAATACACTACTTGGATCATACCATTCCTCGGCTCAAAAGCTTTCCAGGGTTCCCCAGTGCCTACAGGACACATCCTGCCATTTGAGACTCTCCCCAGTCCTCCTGCCTGAAACTTTCTAACCTAACCCTCTGTCACAGCCAAAGCCACCTTCCATTTTCCCATTGCCACATATCTGCTGCTGTTACAATTTCTGCTCTGCCTAGACACGGTTTAGTCACCATCTCCACTGCTTGGTCTCACCCTGCCTGAAATATTTCTCTTCCCTGAATGCACAATACAGAGTCTCTACCATTCTTCTGGCAATTTGTCACTCACTACCTGTGACATCTCATCTGTTATACATAACATTGTGCTATTACTTAACGTTTTGTCTCTTTCCCCACATCCCCGTCGGGTTGGAATTTTTTTGGTCTGCAAGCACCATCCAGGTTTTAATTTTTTATGTACCCTAGCCTAGTACCCTGAACAGAGTAAGTGCTCACTAAATATTTATTAATTTAGGAGACGGGAACCTTACGAACATTCTTCACTGACTTCCAAAAGGCTTTAGCCCCCATTGAGGCAACACTCTCCATGACCCAGGGCAAGCATCCCACCTCCTCTGACCTACGGCTCAGCTCCAGTGAAAAATTCAAGAGCTTTTCTAGAAATGCCTGCCACAAGTCAAGGTAGCTTCCAGCAAGATTTCATGAAGGTCCCAGGTTTTAACCCAATAAGGTGGAGGCTAATTTTGGCTCGTGACTCATTAATCTCCACAATTGGGGTTAGGAAGACAGGCCCTGCCCTCATATTGCAAAAGCACATCCTTACCCCCCTCCCCCCGGGTACACACATGCCCCACTGTGCACAGACACAGGCCAAGGCAATATAATCATCCATGGCACAATTTTGAAACTTCGTTCCCAAATAGCCCATGGAACTGAATTTCTGATATCTGAGTGCATACACGGATGTGCATTTTCTATTACTTGTTTAGGCAGACTATAAAACATCACTACTGAGGAGTCACCAATTGATGAACAGGTCGCAGGCTTCAAGTTCATGGGTTGGCTATTTGGAACTTAGAAGTGTTTTTCCCTGAAAGCAAGAGTGCCTGGGTTTTCCAGCCAACCTACACAAACCCATTTAACCCTTAATGTACTGCATTATAATACCACAAAGTGATTTTTATTCTATTCAGGAGGGGTTTGCAAATGTGAATGCCTGAAGTGGCCAGGTGGACAATACATAAGCAAGGAGAGTCAGACCAGGAACATAGGGCATGATGGACATTGCATCTAAAAGGGGCCACCAGCCACTCCAGGCTGCTTCTAAAAGGGGCCACCAGCCACCCCAGGCTCCAGCATCGGATGGTTGCCCTGGGAGAATGCGGACCCAATGCGGCACATTGGGAGAAGCCAAAACCCGAATTTTTATGTGAAATAGTTGGCAATTAATTAGAAAAAAGTTTCAACACAGTGCAAATGAAACAAGATCTATCAGTAAGCTGAAATTGGGCCAGTCTTGCAAACTCTGCTCAATAATGTTGCTTCTGTGGAGAAAATGCATTTTAATTTCTACAACTCAACACCAGAAAAGCATTTTCCCCTCTTCTGACTCTTCCTGGGCACTATCCCCAAGGTAAGGCACTACCTTGTGTGAGAGAAGGCTAATGTCTCTGTGGTTCTAAGAACTCAAGGCCCCTCGCTGAGTTTGAGGACGTGACCTCTCCACTCCTTCCTGGTGTGTCTAGGTCATTGGTTCACAGGGTGTGTGCAAATTAGGACCTGCCTATGTTCTGCTTTTGTGGTGGTCGTGGGGATTTATTATTGCTCCGCTGTTTTTGTCTCTGTTTTCTTCTGATTATAAATGTTACATAGGTTCACTAAGAGCAAATTTGGAGATTTTTCTCTCCTAAAAGTAATCACTGGTTTTTGTTACTGTTGTTGTTGTTGTTTTTAGAGACAGAGTCTTGCTCTGTCCCCAGGCTGGAGTGCAGTAGTGCGATCTCAGCTCACTGCAACCTTTACCTCCCAGGCTCAAGCGATTCTCCTGCCTCAGCCTCCCGAGTAGCTGGGACTACAGGTGTGCACCACTAACCCCAGCTGATTTTTTGTATTTTAGTAGAGTCGGGTTTCACCATGTGACCCAGGGTGGTCTCGAACTCCTGAGCTCAGGCAATCCACCCACCTCGGCCTCCCAAAGTGCCAGGATTACAGGCATGAGCCACCGCACCCAGCTGTGAAAGTAATCACTGTTGATGATTTATTTTTTCTATCTTTCCTTTTAAAAATTTTCTCACATTACACAAGTATTGTGGGTTGAATGATGCCCCTACTTCAAATACTTGTGTCCACATCCTAATCTCCAGAATCTGTGAATAAGACTTTATTTGGAGAAAGGTCTTTGCGATACAACAAAGTTGACGATGTTGAGATGAGAAGGTCACTGGATTCTCTGGGTGGGTGAGTGCCTTTATAAAAGGGAGACACACAGACACACAGAAGAGGAAGAAGCAATGTTACCAGGGAGGTAGAGGTTTGAGTGATGTGGCCGCAAGTCTAGGAGTGCTGACAGCCCTGCAGCTGGGAGAGGCAAGGAGCAGGTTCTCATTCAGAGCCTTTGGAGGGGCACAGTCCTGCCAGATTTTGGACTTCCGGCCCCCAGAATTGTCAAAGCATTAAATTCCTGCCTTCTCAAGTTGTGGTAATTTGTTACAGCAGCCCAGGAAACCAATACAACAAGTAATACATGATAAATGTAGAATGTAATTAATTCAAACAATACAGGATTACACCAAGTAAAATGGGAGCAAGTCCCCTACATGCTACACAAATCCCATTCTATTCTGCCATGAATAGTAAGTGTTTCTAGGCCTTTTACTATGGACTTCACACAGACACACAAATGTTTATATATATTTTATGTGCTTTTTAAATAAATGAGATCATAGTATTCTGCTACTTGCTCTTTTTAAAATTCAGTATTTCTTGGGGATATTTGCATGTCTGAACATAAAGATCTGCCTTATCCTCCTCATTAACTGCAGTATATTCTATGAACATTGCCTATGTCATTGTTTTCATTAATTCTAAACTTATGAATGTAACAATATTACAATAATAAATCAAAGTTGACTTGCTTGGCTACAGTTGAAGCTATTTCTCCCCTTTTCAATCTACACATTATAATACATATCTATGTGTTCACCAAGGATTTCTGGCTCTCCACCTGCTACCATTGGAATTGGGTGTGCCCAAGTAACTTGCTTTGGCTAGTACTGTGAGCAGGTCACTTGTGTCATTTCCTATGGGAAGCTTGTGCTTAGTTTGCCTCATTCTTTTTCCCCTGCCAAGCAACTGCAGAAGCACTGAGAGGGTGCTCACCATCAGCCTAGGTCTCCTGGTGAGCTCAACAGAGCAGAGGGACATATTGCATGAGTGAGGAATAAACCTTTGTTGTTTAAAACCACAGAGACAGGGCTTTTTGCTACTGCAGTATAACCCAACCAATCACAACTGAGTATATATAACTGATATCATATGTATTTTTATATATAGAATATATATATATATATATAAAACTAAAGAAAGCTTAATACAAGTATTTTGACAGAGAAAAGTGTGGTTTATTACAGCCTGCTCAGTATTAATCAACAATATTACTTTGTTTTTTGTTTTGGTTTTGTTTGTTTGTTTTTGAGACAGGGTCTCACTCTGTCACCCAGGCTAGAGTGCAGTGGTACAGTCACTGCTCACTGCAGCCTTGGCCTCCTCAGGATCAAGCAATCCTCCCATCTCAGCCTCCCGAGTAGCTGAGACTACAGGCATGCACGACCATACCTAGCTAATTTTTTTGTATTTTGTAGAGATAGCGTTTCTTTTTTTTTTTTTCTTTATTTGAGACGGAGTTTCACTCTTGTTGCCCAGGCTGGAGTGCAATGGTGCAGTCTCAGTTCACTGCAACATCCGTTTCCCAAGTTCAAGTGATTCTCCTGCCTCAGCCTCCCAAGTAGCTGGAATTACAGGTGCCCGCCACCATGCCCGGCTAATTTTTGTATTTTTTTAGTAGAGATGGGGGTTTTCCCATGTTGCCCAGGCTGGTCTGGAACTCCTGGACTCAAGTAATCCACCCACCTCGGCCTCCCAGAGTGCTGGGATTACAGGTGTGAGCCACCACACCCGGTATCAACAATATTACTAACAATACAATTTTACTTCCTATTTAGTCATTTTTCCTTTTTACATTTTCATTAAGACGATGAACTTAGTGACAAAGGAAATGAAACACTACATTTTCAATATCACAAATATCACACTAGCCATAAATCAATAAATGCATTTGGTGAATATGCAAATTCATGGCATTGTTTTCAAGTCTAGTAAATGCCACTACCCTCGGCGTCTATTAAAAAACAATGGGTTTCAGGTTGTTTTCTATAGTTTCATGTATATTTGAAATAACAATGCTCTGTGCGCTCAAAGAACACCCCTTCTCTCTTGCTCAGATTGGCAGGTGCTTTTAGCTTCACGGAGGGGGAAGTACTGTTGTCTGATCAACAGTGATGCCTCCAGCTGATTAAAGAACATTGTCTGTAGAACTGGAAGGGGATCAAAATGCTTTCCGTTCTCCAGGACAGAAAAGATAAGGCCCTGAAGGCTTAAATGGTAAACATGACAAGAGCCTTATGGTTTCAGTGAAAGATATCTAAGATCCAAGCCCTTTCTCTTCAGGGAGGAAGAATATTTTTTAATGATATCTCTTAAAAATGTCACATTTAATAGAAAAAAAAAGTGAAAAGGAAAGCCCTCTGCATCCCCCATGCAAACACTGCAATCAGAGGAGGTTCCTGAATCACAGCTCTGACTCTGTCACAATTCCACATGGAAGATGAGCAGCAAATACCCACAGCCTCCCACTCTCCTGGGCTTGATCACAGCAGCCAGACGCACAATGAAGGAGGCCTCTGATGATGATGACATTCTATTTAAAATTCAAATCTTCACAAAACGCCAGGCTTCCCATCACCTGGTATGAAGTCTTTAAGAGAGGATCCTAAGCTGGAGGATACAGCCTCATTCCTCACAGGTAGGAAAAGGAGTGGAACGAAGAAGACTATTCTCACCCACAACACCTCCCAGCCTCACTGCCCTCTCCAAGTGGGTCTTGTTTGTAGAAATGGAAGGGGATCAAAGTGACTTCAGTTCACTGCCCTCTCCCCAAGTTGATCTTGTGATAGCAAAAGCGGCTGGGCACTGTACAAGGATTCCTGAGTGAATTCTGGGCCCGGTGTAAATCAGTGCTACTGAAGATGAACAGCCTGTGGGTTAATATATATTGGCAGAGTTCTCTGCCCCTCAGCTTGAACTAACCGAGGCGGCATTCACCATCATGTATTTACTTTTGTCTAGCCTCTGGATTACCAGCCTGGTTCTCCTATTCCTTTTTTTTTTTTTTTCCTTTTTTGAGACAGTCTTACTCTGTCACCCAGGCTGGAGTACAGTGGCATGATCACAGCTCACTGCAACCTCCGCTCCCTGGATTCAAGTGATTCTCATGGCTCAGCCTCCTGAGTAGCTGGAATTATAGGTGTATGCCACCACACCCAGCTAATTTTTGTATTTTTAGAGAGATGAGGTTTCGCCATGTTGGCCAGGCTACTTTTGAACTCCTGGCCTCAAGTGAGCCGCCCACGTCAGCCTCTCAAAATGCTGGGATTACAGACATGAGCCACCACACCCAGCCTCCATTCCTTTTTTAAGAACATTATTTATGCTGCTCTCAAATATTTAACAAATACCATAGTTTTAAATATAATTTATTGAGTTCAAATGATTATTATGCATCATGGTAGGCAGAATTCTGAGATGGCTCCCAAAGATTCTTGAACCCTGGCATACACATTTTTCCTAGTTATTCAGTCAAAGGCTAATGTAGGTGCCACTCTGAAGAGATTTTATAGACGAAATTGAAATTTTTTAGATTTAAAAAAAATGTCCCAAATCAGCTGACCTGAACATAGGAGATTATCCTCAGTGGGCCTGATCTGATAAGGTGAGGCCATAAAGTGCCTGGCTTCCTCTGATGAAAGAGCTTGGAAGTGTGCAAGGGCATGGCAAGGAACCGCAGGGGCCTCCAGGAGCTTTGAGCACTGCTGGCTAACAGCCAGCAAGAGAACTGCAGGCCCGGCCCTACAACCACAAAGAACTAAATTCTGCCAAAAACCACGTGAACTTGATAGAAGACCCCAAGCTCCAGAAGTGATTGCAGCCCAATCAACACCTTGATTTTGGCCTTGTGAAACCCTGAGCAGAGAATCTAACTCAGCCATGCTCAGACTTCTGAACTATAGAAACTGAAATAGGCCAGGCATGGTGGCTCATGCCTATAATCTCAGCACTTCAGAAGGCTGAGGCTGATAGATCACTTGAGCCCAGGAGTTCAAGACCAGCCTGGGCAACATGACAAAACCCTATCTCTACAAAAAAAAAAAAAAAAAATTATGAACATTAGCCAGGCATGCTGGTGTGTGCCTGTGGTCCCTGGTACTTGGGAGGCGGAGGTGGGAGATGGCTTGAGCCGAGGAGGCGGAGGATGCAGTGAGCTGAGATTGTGCCAGGGCACTCCAGCCTGGGTAAGAGAGCCAGACCCTGTCAAAAAAAAAAAAAAGAAAAAAGGAAAGAAACTGTGAGATAATAAATTACTGTTTTTAAGCTGCTAAATTTGTGGTAGTCATGCAATAATAGAAATCTAGTATAATCAGATACAGCATATTTGCTCTGGCCTAAAATGTAAAGAAAGTTAAGTACAAATGCAATTTTAAATTTTATACCTCATTCTTCTTCCTTTAGAAGCAGGTACAAAAGAATAGAATGTCTTTTCCTTTATTAAATAATAAAATTTAAATTGGGTCAGGTGCAGTGGCTCATGCCTGTAATCCCAACACTTTGGGAGGCTGAGGCTGGTGAATTGCTTGAGGGCAGGAGTTCAAGACTAGCCTGGCCAACATGGCAAAACCCTATTTCTACTAAAAATACAAAAATTTGCCAGGTGTGGTAGCGTGCACCTGTAGTCCCAGCTACTCAAGAGGCTGAGGCATGAGAGTCACTTGAATGCAGGAGGTGGAAGCTGCAGTGAACCAAGATCACACCTGCACTACATTTTAATACCTCATTCAGATGTATCCAAAACCTAGAACTTTAGGATCATTACTAAGTACTCCTTATTCTCTTTCATTTTTCATAACCTTCCTATTGTAATTATAAGGTTTTAGAATTCAGTTTATCAACATAAGATGTAAAATGGGATTCACTTTCCCAAGTTCAAACATATACAGTAACAAAATAGCAAAAGAGCCGGGCGCGGTGGCTCACGCCTGTAATCCCAGCACTTTGGGAGGCTGAGGCGGGCGGATCACGAGATCAGGAGATCGAGACCATCCTGGCTAACACGGTGAAACCCCATCTCTACTAAAAATACAAAAAATTAGCCGGGCATTGTGGCGGGCACCTGTAGTCCCAGCTACTGGGGAGGCTGAGGCAGGAGAATGGCGTGAACCCGGGAGGCGGAGCTTGCAAGTGAGCTGAGATCGCGCCACTGCACTGCAGCCTGGGTGAAGAGGGAGACTCCGTCTCAAAAAAAAAAATAGCAAAATAAGCCAAAAGACTTTATGTAGTGCATTTATCCCATGAAATAACTATATTCCATGACTGGTAATAGAAATCCTACAAGATGGATGAAAACTTAATTTCATCAATTAATACAAAAAAATGAAATAATAGTAATGTTTCTGTTTTGAAATTATAAATTGCTATTTACATCACTGAATTTTCTCCTAATCTGCTTCAAGACAAAGAATTTTCTTTTTCTTTCCTGTATTAATCATTGAAGATTAGTTTCTAATTAATTTTGGAGCATCAGAGCCTTTCAGCTCCTTGAATAAAGATATTGTTAAAATTCTAAGGTTTTGTTTGTTTGTCTGACTCAATTAATTGGATGCATTTTAATGCCAAGTTTCCAAGACACAGAGAAGACTTTAGGAAAGGCACTCAAAAAAAAAAAAAAAAAAAAAAAAAAAATTCAATGAAGCAGCGCCCCTTAGTGGTAGAAGGACAAAATTATCAGTACAGTAAAGATCTTGCTGAGGTATAACAATTTGTAAGCGCAAAATAATTTTCCCTTTAAAAAATTAGAAAGAGTTAAGTAAAACATTTTAGAGTAATCATTGCAAAGTGGATTATGGGGATTCGCAGGGCGTTTAGAAAGCCGAAAGGGAGTCATTGCATCTGCTGGGGAAAGTGAAAATCGAGGATTAACAGCCTTTAACATGTAGGAAATTAAATTATCCCTAATACAAGTAGCAGAGTAATCTCAACAGCCATTTGTCCTCCAATGACTCTTTCACTGAGATGAAGTACAAATGAAAGTAAGCTGATTTTGTAGATATATGGGGTAATTTTAGGTACAGTATTTACATGACCCTTTAGCATCATTGATTCATTAATATCAATACTCAGCAACATAAGACCTGCCAGCCATACTTTACAGTTGCAATCACTAAGGCTCAGGGAAATGAGGGAAGTGGTAGAGTCAATACTTGGATGTCACTGTTTCCAGTTCTGTAACCCTGTAACTGGGTCCATCCATGGTCCACCACATAGAATGTACTCCATCCTAGAACTCTCCTTGTCTACTAGCTAAAAGGTATATGGCTGAGTCACTACTGTGTGAACTCTGTAGCCCAACTGCTTGGGTTCAAAGTCTGGGTTTCCTGTAATCCCAGCACTTTAGGAGGACAAGGTGGGAGGATGCCTGAGGCCAGGAGTTTGAGCTCAGCCTGGACAACATAGCAAAACCCTGTCTCTACAAAAAAAACTTAAAACTTAAAAACAAAACAAAACAAAACAAAACAAAAAATAAACAAACAAAAAAACCCTGGCTTTGCTTTACACTGAGTGTGTGGCCTGGGTAATCACTTCGGTCCTTCTCTACCTCAGTAGAAGAAGTAGCAAGACATTGTGTTGAGGATTAAATGAGAAAATACAGAAAGCGTTTGGAGAAATGCCTGGCACCTAGTCAAAATTTGAGAAACCTTAGTTGTAATTAGCTGATATTGCATAGATTGACAAATTCTCCAACGTATCGCAAACTTTGGGTTCTATTTAAACTCAGGATGCATTCCAGCTATCAACAATGGTGAATTACTTGGGAGGAGTAGACTTTGGATGGAAAGAGAGCTTCAACGTTTATACTTGGCATACTTCAGTACTGTTTGAATGTGTTACAACATGTATGTTGCACTATTGTAATTTTAAATAAATAAATACAGAATATTTCAAAGCTTGCTTCAGTAATCCACTCTGGCCCTTGGAGTTCACTTGCTGGAATTTCTTGCACACATTTAACCCCCGTCCTCTTAGCCCTTTGCAAAGATGTCCCACTCCACCCCAGGCTAATTTTTTGATGAGACCTTTTGATTACAATCCAGTAGTTGCTGATGGCTGCACTCCAAGAGCACATCTGCCAGAAGTCATGTCAATGCTACAAACTCCTCTGCAGTGTAAGCACACTGGTGCTCAGCCTGAAGAGTGAAGTCATGCACCAAAGAAAACAAGCCACAGTCACAGATTTCAGTCGGCAACAGAGTACTGAAAGCTGTCACAGCATTCTTCTGTATGGATGTCAGGCTGTCCATCTGCACTTGGATTGACAAGGAAAGGGAAAACTGAGAGGAGAAGCAACCCCCAGGCATCCTTCCCAGTGTTACACTGTAGCCCAGACCAAACCAGAACATGCAGGCCACTGATGCTCTCCCACCTCCTAGAGAACTGTGCAATTCAGAACTGCCCTAGAAATCTCGAGCAGCTTCTAGCCGGGTGTGGTGGCACACACCTGTAATCCCAGCTACTCAAGAGGCTGAGGCAGGAGAATCGCTTGAACCTAGGAGGTGAGGGTTGCAGTGAATGGAGATCTTGCCACTGCCCTCCAGCCTGGGTGACAAAGTGAGGCTCTGTCTCAAAAAAAAAAAAAGAAAAAAAAAAACAAAAGAAAAAAGAAAACTGTAGCAGCTTCATGAGGACATTTAATATCTAGTGAAGGATTTTGGAACAAATAGCCCTACACAACTCTTGGACAAGTTCCTTAATCTCCTTTATAAAGAGAGTAATTAGTTAGGGTGATGATAGGTGCGGTAACAAGTTTATTTCTCCCTTACAAGAGTCCACTGTGGGCCAGGCGCGGTGGGTCACGCCTGTAATCCCAACACTTTGGGAAGCCGAGGCAGGCGGGATCATCTGAGGTCAGGAGTTCGAGACCAGCCCGGCCAACATGGTGAAACTTCATCTCTACTAAAAACACAAAAATTAGCTGGGCATGGTGGCTTGCGCCTGTAGTCCCAGCAACTCGGGAGGCTGAGGCAAGACAGTCGCTTGAACCCAGGAGGCAGAGGTTGCTGTGAGCCAAGATTGCACCACTGCACTCCAGCTTGGGCCACTCCGTCTCAAAAAAAAAAGAGAGAGAATCCACTGTGGATGCTCCTGGGTCAAAGGCAGCAGCACTCTGCTGTGAACAGTCCTTCAGGGACCCAAGTTGATGAGGGGCCTGCCATCTCTAATGCTGGCTCTCAAAATCCCCTGGGCATTGGTCTCCCGCTGGTAGAACAGGAAAAGGAGCATGCATGGGAGGTTTTTATGGGCCAGGCTTGGAAATGGTGCCATTATATTCCGCCAACTAGAACTCAGTCACATGGCCACACCTGTGTATCTGCAAGGCAAGCTGGGAAATGTCATTTATCTCTGTGCCCAGAGAAAAAGAGGGCATGGATTTGGCAAACAGAGAGCCAGAACCAGTCTCTGCCACAAGAAATCACATATTTACACTGAAGAGTTGTGATAAAGATTAGAGATAATGTGGTGATATATCCTTGGCCTACGGGGTCATGGAGTTTGGGAAAGACACATCAAATATGAAAAGAGGAGAGCAGTAGAATGCCCAAGCAGAGACCAGATAGTGGGCTGAGCTGAAGTAGTCACAAGCAACAAAGGTTAAGGTGCTGGCAGAGCAGACTGATTCATTTAGGGATAAGGGATTTGAGCTAGGTCACTCAGGTAGTCACTGATGCTGTTCACCAAAGGGCTTCAGTGCTCTGCCCTTCAGGTCATGAGGTGGCACACACTTCCTGCCCCACCCACCCCTATTGTGTGGTCAATAGGCAGAATTGAAATGTGTCACTTCTGGACTGAGCTTTTAATTGCTGGGATGAGACTCTCTGGGGGACTTTTTTCCTTTGCCAATGACCACAGTCTGTGTTCCAGAGAGGGCCTGCTCTATCAGCCTGGGTCCTGGAAAAGGGCACAGAGCAGAGCCTCTTGGTGCCTAGGCAACATCTTGTCATTTTAAGTCACTGAGATTTTTTTGTTTGTTTTTTTGAGACGGAGTTTTGCTCTTGTTGCCCAGGCTGGAGTGCAATGGCACGATCTTGGCTCACTGCAACCTCCACCTCCCAAGTTCAAGAGATTCTCCTGCCTCAGCCTCCCGAGTAGCTGGGATTACAGGCATGTGCCACCATGCCCGGCTAATTTTTGTATTTTTAGTAGAGACAAGGTTTCTCCATGTTGGTCAGGCTGGTCTCGAACTCCTGACCTCAGGTGATCTGCCCTCCTAGGCCTCCCAAAGTGCTGGGATTACAGGCGTGAGCCACCGCACCTGGCCAAGTCACTGAGATTTTTAAAGTTGCATATTACCACAGCATAAACTGGCTTATTCTTACAAGTATAGACACTTTTTTTCAGGCAAGAGGCATCAGATGGCCTGTGAGGCAAACCAACCAACCAACCAACCAACCAACCAACAAAAAGGCACTCTTGTCCATTTTAGCTCATTAGTTCCAAGAATTAAGGAATCATGCTTTTTAAAACATAATTTATACATTATCGCCAAAATGCAAGCAAAAGAAGTGCTTAATGGACCTTGAATTATTTAAAATACTAATAAAGCCAACTTTCAATAGAACTCCAGACACACTCTCTTCCTTAAAAGATCATTTGACCCAATTTGAAGAAAGTTTAAAGCTACCAAGTGCTAAAAAGCGATGTCATGGGCATATTAGTATCTAATCAACACCCCCCCCCCCCCATAACCTGGTATAATCAGAAATAAAAGAAAAATGAACGTGAGGGAGCTTTGAAGGGAACTGTGGTCAGCTGCCTGGAACATATTTATGTAGGGGACAAATCTGGCAACTTGACTGTCCTCTGGGCTGTCCAGAACTGACCTCCTGAATTAGGGACAGCCTCCTGCACTGCTGGTTGCCTTACAGGCCAGCTCTGTGCTGTTTTCCTAATTCGTGCAATTCCACCTCAGATCTCATTCACATCAGCTCACACTGCAGGGTAACTTGACATGGAAGTACAATGAGTGGGAGATCGTGGCTCTCTTTCATGCATTCCTGTAGAGTGACAAGAGCCATCCAACAGAGCATCCTCAGTTCTGCCTGCTTCAGCATCACAGGAAGTCTGATGTTTCCAGCCAGCTGGTTGAGCTGCCTTAACTGGAGCTCACCAAGCAGACTATAAAGTCTCTAAATGCAGGACCTGTATTTTACTCATCTCTGAATAGCACGGTAATTACTTCTGAGCCTCCTTGGAATTCAGTCAGATTCTGGCTTGAATATTGATCCCACCACTTAATAACTGGGTAACCTTGGCCACTTAACTTCCCTAACCCTGTTTTATAGTCTATAAGATAGGAATGATAATGCCCCACTCCTTTGACTTGTTGTGGAAATTAAATGGGACACGTATACAAAGCTGCTAGTGCAGCTCAAAAGTCTTAGTTGAGTGCTTGGAAGAAGAGTGGATTCTATCCCATCAAGGGTGTGTGATCTCAGAAGAGACTGTGTGCATCTCTTTATCAAGAGCTACAGGCTGGGCGTGGTGGCTTACGCCTGTAATCCCAGCACTTTGGGAGGCTGAGGTGGGAGAATCACTTGAGCCCAGGAGTTTGAGACCAGCCTGGGTAACATAGTGAGACACTCCCATCTCTACAAAAAAAAAGAAAAGAAAAGAAAAGAAAAAAACGCTAGGCGTGGTGGAGAAGATCGTTTGTGCCCAGAAGTTCGGGGGCTGCAGTGAGCCATGATCATGCACTATACTCCAGCATGAGTGACACAGCAAGACCCTGTCCAAAAAAAAAAAAAAAATTAATACAAACATGTACGTTTGTGATTGTGTCACAGTGGCAGTTTAAAGGAGAAATCCTTTGCCAGAGGCTGCAAAAGCTATAAAAGTTGGAGTGGAACAGTGCTTCAAGGGAAGAGATTGGTTTTCATTTTATCTGCATTGTTTGATTATATAAGTACATGATAACTTCAATAGGGATACCAAAACAAATAAATAAATTTTAAAAAGAACATGAAAGGCCAGGCGCAGCAGCTCACACCTATAATCCCAACACTTTGGGAGGCCGAAGCAGGTGGATCGCCTGAGACCAGCCGGGCCAACAGAGCAAGACCTGCCCCCCTCACCCTCCCATCTCTACAAAAAAAGAAAAAAACTTTAAAAAAAGTACATGTAATTTTAAATGAATATAACTTTTTAGAAATGTTCGGCTGGCAGGGTTGCCGGCTTATGTGCTGAGTCTTTTACCTCGTTTGGAGATAGCGAGAGCAACGAAGAGAAAACATTAATTACCCGGTATTAGTATTAATACGGCGGCTCCATTCCCACATGGACCTGGGGGGGACAAACAAAGTCTCCTAATCTTGGACAGCTGCGCCCAGCCCTTCTTCACCTGCCGTCCAGGTATCATCCTAGTCTTCCCTCCGTCTCTGGGGTAGGTCGTTTCCACCCCTCCGCCCTGGTCCAGGCCACTGAGGGAAGGGAAGAAACTAAGGCCGGGAGGGCCGGGCCCCAGCCTGGAGCGTGTAGCTCCGGGCCTCCCCCGGGCGCGGCAGTTACGGCGGTTCCGGAGCCGCGGCGCCTAGGGCCGAGGGGCGGGTCCGAGGCCGCGGCCTTGCCTCCGCCGCGCCCGCCACTCCGCGGCCGCCGGGAGACACGCCGCCATGCTGCAGAAGCGGGAGAAGGTGCTGCTGCTGAGGACCTTCCAGGGCCGCACGCTGCGGATCGTGCGCGAGCACTACCTGCGGCCCTGCGTGCCCTGCCACAGCCCGCTCTGCCCGCAGCCCGCCGCCTGCAGCCACGGTCAGGGCCGGGGCGGGGGCGGGGACGGGGCCGGCGGGAGCGGGCGGCCGCAGTGAGGGGCTGAGCGCGGCCGGGAGGCGGAGCGCCAGCGGCGGGGACACGGAGGCGTAGGCCCCGCGGCCTGCGCCCGCTCGCCGGCCTCACCCCCCGGCTCTCTGCCGGTGGGGACCCAGCGGCCCGGGTCCGCGGCTTCTGGGGCGCCCGGGACTCCCTTACTGCTCCGCCCTGTCCAATGGGAGGGCCCGACAGACCCGCACCCCATGCCGGAGGCCGGGTGGTTTGGCTCCTCAGAGGGGCCTGAGGGCGCGGAAGCCGAGGCCTCCTCCCGCCGCAACCTCGCGCCGTGGAGAAATGGGGAGGTCCCGAGCTGGGAGCCCCCGGGAGCTACAGGCCAGCTGCTGCCGCTGCGAAGCTGACATCGCCTGCTTTGCAGCCACAGGTTTCCTGACCTGCCCGCACTGTTGCCCCAGACTTTTCCCCCAGTGGAGAGCCACTTCACCGTAGATTTGTGAACTCTCTGGGCCCGCACTGGAGCGGAAGGTCACGGGGAAGTTGGACTGGGGACTCCTGGGCCCCAGTCCTTGGTTTCTAGGCCACAAGGGTGGCCGATAGAACGATGCACGTTACTGGCTCTCTTCCCCCATGGGAGGATGAGAATGGGCTGGGGGTCCTTGTCAGCGAATGTGTGGAATCCTCCAAACATTGTGATTAAGGTGAACATTTCAGTTAGAGCTTGGCTAACCAGCTCTCAGATGCAGGTCTGGTGGGAAACCTCACCTCTGCACGTTGCTTGCACGGAGCATTTTCTCTGTTCAATCTTTCTGGCCCTTGGAGGCTGCTGAGCACGTGCAGAAGCTTGACACAGAGCCAACTTTAAATTGCTGGGCATCATACACAAGTGGTATAAATGTGGGGGTGCTTCATTTGAATGTGTTTGTCAATGATGAGTTAACACTGAAATATTCAGGTTATGCTGAAAATGTGCTTGTTCGTTGTTAAATCAGCCATCCTCTCCGGCACCTCTGGCAACACCATAAACCACGTTGAGCTTGTATTTATCACAGCTTCCAAAAAAATGAGGGTGCTCAATATACCTGAACTTTGGGCCTCTACCAAAGTAGATTTGTCTTTTAAAAACTCCCACCATGGAGTTAAGACTGGAAGTTATTTTGCATGCCAGAGCACCGTGACATTTAAATAAACCAGGTTTGAAAACATTGTCTAATCTCTTACATTTTGAATTATGTTTCAGATGGGAAACTCTTGTCTAGTGATGTGACTCATTACGTGATCCCAGACTGGAAAGTTGTTCAAGATTATCTTGAGATCCTTGAGTTTCCTGAGTTGAAGGGAATTATTTTCATGCAGACAGCTTGTCAAGCTGTGCAGCATCAAAGAGGCAGGAGGTATACGTTTTGCATTCTTTATTTCTATATGGCATAGGTTCCCCCCACCTTAGAAAAGGTCCCTTGTCGGAGGGGGATGGGAGGAATTCATTATTTTGTCAGAAGGGACTTTTAAAACTAATTTCGTATTCTCTTTGATAGTGAGGAATGCAGTAACATTATTTTATATTTCTGCTTCAACACCTGGCCAAGAGATCTGACTGTAGATTAGTAAACTGCAGTGTCCCCAGTATGTGGGTATTTAAGATTCTAGTGTGAATTGTCTTTTGGCTTGCATTTTTATAGTGGCAGGGTTATTGCTTATTTCTTGTTGATAATGTGTATTATTTAATCTTATTTATAGATACATTGTTTCAGAAGCATACGTTCTTTTCTTGGGGAAAAGAGTACTTTATTTTTAAATTTTAGACTCTTTTATTGGGGATGCAAATTGTACTTGTAATGATTTATTCAATGAAACCAGAAATAGCTTGTTTTATTTTTAGATTACTAGTGTAACTACCAGCCATAGTCATTGTATTTGCTAAACAAAGGCTTTCTAATTGAACAAGTCTAAAATTCTTGCCTAGTACTTAAATGAAGAATAGCTGTCTACCTTTTAAACAAATACTTTGAAAAACGATTTTGCTTCCTTTAATGTTGGGAAAGGTTTATGACTTGAACTTAAAACTGTATGGAAATAGCATATTAGAATTATACGTCCAACCTTTTAACACTCTAAGTTATTTAATAAGCACCAACTATGCATTTATTCTTTTTTAAAATGTTGTGGTTTCTTCAGGCCTTAGTGATAAAAGATGAAGTGTTTTTATTTGTATATGAAAATGGCAAAAAATTGTCCTCTTATTATATGCTCAGTTCAAAAAACATACATTAACCAGATTGTGTGCAGGTTTTTTCAGATAGAATATTTTTAAATGATCTTCAAGTTGATTTTGTTCAGACACCAAGATATAGATGTTTATACACATCCAAATTTAAATGCTGCTCCAGGTGTCATATTTCAGTTTCTGCTACTAAAATCAATTTGTTGTTATCATTCAGATTGCTAACACACTGCGAGCCTTTTCAACTTCTGTTTTCTGAAATATTTTTAATGTTAAGGATTGTTTTAGAAACCAGTTCCTGGGACATTCAAAGACAAAGAGTTGGAATTTAAACGTTTTTTTCTCCTGAACATTTCAAGAGTAGTTAACTTGATGAAAAACTATTGGTTTTCCACTGCCTTACCATGTCTTTGAATATACTAAATGTGAAAACAAAAGATGAGGAGTTATGAAATAGGGCCATATGATAACACCCTGATTTTGTTCGTTGGGTAAGCACTTTTTAAGCTCTTAGTTCCAGGCCTTGGGGAATAAAAAAGAAGTCTTTTTTTTTTTTTTTTTTCCTTGAGATGGAGTCTGGCTCTGTCGCCCAGGCTAGAGTACAGTGGCGTGATTTCGGCTCACAGGTCACTGCAACCTCCACCTCCCGGGTTCAAGTGATTCTCCTGCCTCAGCCTCCTGAGTAGCTGGGATTACAGGTGCACGCCACCACGCCCGGCTAATTTTTGTATTTTTAGTAGAGATGGGGTTTCACCATGTTGGTCAGACTTGTGTTGAACTCCTTACCTCATGATCCGCCTGCCTCAGCCTCCCAAAGTGCTGGGATTACAGGCATGAGCCACTGTGCCCGGCCCAAAATCAGTCTTAGTCCCTCTAACAACAAACCTATTGTCTTGCTGGGGTTAGATAGAAGAAACAAGACAGTTATTATGAAGCGCCTTAGACACACGAAGGATAATTTAACGTGGACTATGCAAAGTGCAGAAGTAAACGTGGAGTGGAGCAATTAGGCCAAAAAATCCTTTGGGGGAAATGGATTTGAGACTGGTCTTTAAGGCGTATTACGAGTATGATTGAAGAAGAGGAAGAAATCAGCAAATTTGGGACTTGGCACTTTGTTTACCTGTTAAGCAACCAGCAGGTGCCTTCAGGTTGACATAGCTAAATGACCCAAATTGTCTGAGCACTAGAAAGTGTCATTTCTTAAAGGCTAACTTTCAAATTAATAATAGGCATTGAATACATAAGATCTGAGAGATGTGCTTGATTAATTCAGCCTTCCTAAGTGTTAAGTGTAAGTTATTTGACTTTTTTTAATTGACAGATTAAAATTGTATGTATTTGGCCAGGCCTGGTGGCTCATACTTATAATCCCAGCACTTTGGGAGGCCAAGACAGGAGGATAACTTGAGCCCAGTTCAAGACCAATCTGTGCAACATAGTGAGACCCCTGTCTCTATTAAAAAACTTATTTTTAAAAATCATATATATTTATGGTATACAACATGATGTTTTAAAATATGTATACATTGTGGAAAGGCCAAATCAAGCTAATTAGCATATGCATTACTTTACATACTTAACATTTTTTTGGTGATAATTAACTTTTTATATTTAACTGAACTTGGCCTAGCAGAAGCTCTCTAGTGTTTTGTTCATTTAATGTTGGGGAACATTTTGTTTTGTTTTTCATTTCTTCCTTGGACATTTTTGAGATGCAAGTAAATAATTCATTTTATCCAATATGCTTTTAGGAACATTCTTGGTTAGGAAAGTTTTGTCAGTTAATAATCCCTGGTCCTGTCTGGTGTCTGGTGTAGGATGCTTTGCTTGTTCCTTTTGACTCCCTCCTGAATTCCTTCTGTATAGCTTCAGAGAGTCTCCATATTTCATGCCTCAGTTTCTTGATGGTATATAAGATGGGAATCAGGCCAGGCTGAGTAGCTCATGCCCATAATCTCAGCACTTTGGGAGGCTAAGGCAGGTAGATCACTTGAGGTCAAGAGTTTGATACCAGCCTGGCCAACATGGCGAAATCCTGTCACTACTAAAGATACAAAATGCGCGAGATGACGTGGCGCATGCCAGTAATCCCAGCTACTCAGGAGACGGAGGCAGGAAAATCGCTTGAACCCGGGAGGCGGAGGTTGTGGTGAGCCGAGATCATGCTACAGCACTCCAGCCTGGGCAACAAAAGCAAGACTCCGTCTCAAAAAAAAAAAAAAAAAAAAAAAAAAAGATTGAAATTGTAGAATATTATGGTTGGAGAGATCTGAAAGGTCACATGATCTAACTCCCCATCCAGTACCTCAGTGTTCTCAACATGAGTGATATATCCATCTTGTTTCTAAAAGAAAAAAATCCTCCTGGATACCCAGTGTTATTTTCTTCTATTGTTATTTAAATGTGTTTAAACATAAATCTCGGTATAAGTCCTCATGTTTAAGTACTTTAATACAACCCTAGTGTAAGCTAAATAATCAAAGTAACAAAATCAGAAAACCGCAAATGAACATTATTCAACGTGACAGATAACATTGTTTTGCTGAAACAAAATCACCAGAGTTAGGTTTAACAATGGAAAGACACAGCCTTTAATCTGGTTATATTTGTAATAAGATTTCCTATTTTGACTTCAATAATATCAATGCAGAGAATGCTTGTTCTCATAAGTGTATTGCACAGAACAGTATGACTAATGTCAGGTCTTAAGTCGTTCAGGATAATCACATGTTCTGCCATCTAATAATCTTCAAATAAATGCTTATTTAATGAGGAGTCCCCCTGACAACTCTGTAAGGCTGTTTTGTCCACCATGTTCATGTGTTCACATGTGTGTTGGTTTATTCAACAAATGTTCACCAAGAGACTATATGTGCCAGAAACTGCTAGCACTGAGGGTACAGTGGCGAACCAAAGCAGATGGAGTCCTGGCAGGGTGACAGGCAGTAATCGGGCAATTACACAAACAGATGCAGAACTGCAACTGTGACAAATGCACTGAAGCACAGGGATGGGGCGCCAGGAGAGCCCAGACCACCCAGGGAGGCAAGGAAGGGCTTTTCTGAGGGGGACGCCTAGGTGGAGGTCCAAGGGTTGGCATAAACCAGGCAGAGTGGAGGAAAGCTTTCAAGGCAGAGGAAAATGCCTGGGGCCCATGGGGAGGGGCCTGTGGCACACCCCAGGAGCAGAAAGAATGCCTGGGTGGGATGGAAGGCCTCATGGCCTCAGGGATGTCAGGGAAAACTTTTAAGCAAAATGGGATAACATGATCAGATTCCTGTCCTGAAAGGATTACTCAGCGGTGGTTCACACTTGTAATCCCAGCACTTTGGGAGGTGGAGGTGGGTGGATCACTTGAGGTCAGGAGTTGAAGACCAGCCAGGCCAACATGGTGAAGCCCCATCACTACAAAAATCCAAAAATTATCTGGGCGTGATGGTGGGTGCCTGTAATAATCCCAGCTACTCAGGAGGCTGAGGTGGGAGAATTGCTTGAACTTGGGAGGCGGAGGTTGCAGTGAGCCACGATCACGCCGTTGCACTCCCGTCTGGGCAAAAGAGCAAAACTCCATCTCAAAAAAAAAAAAAAAAGGGATTACTGGGCCAGGTAGAGAAGAGGCCTGGAAAAAAGAAGGGAGGAGGCTTTTGCTTTAGTCCAGATGAGGGAATGTTGGTAGCTTAGAGATAGAGAGAAATAGATGTTTCCAAGGAGTATTTAATAGGTAAAAATATATAAAACTTCCTAAGTGTATAACTAAGAGAATTGAAAACATGTCAACATTGAAACTAAAAACATCATACACAGCCGGGCGCGGTGGCTCACGCCTGTAATCCTAGCATTTTGACAGGCCAAGTTGGGCAGATTGCCTGACCTCAGGAGTTCCAGACTGGGCAACACGGTGAAACCCATCTCTACTAAAATACAAAAAATTAGCCAGCTGTGTGTGATGCACGCCTGTAGTCCTAGCTACTCGGGAGACTGAGACATGAGAATTGCTTGAACCTGGGAGGCGGAGGTTGCAGTGAGCCAGGATCGCTCCACTGCACTCCAGCCTGGGTGACAGAGCAAGACTCCATCTCCAAAAATAAATAAATAAATAAAAATGAAAACATCATACACAAATGTTCATGGCAGCTTTCTTCATCATAGCCAAAACATGGAAACATCCCAAATGTCCGTTAATTGATTATGGTTAAGCAAAATGTGGACTATCCATACAGGGGAATATTATTCAGCCATAAGATGGAATGACGTACTGATAGATGCTACAGTGTGGATAAACCACAAAAACATGCTAAGTGGAAGAAGCCAGAGCACACATAAAAACATCATATGTTGTATAATTCCATTTATGTAAAATGTCCAGAACAGGTATATCAATAGCAACAGAAAGTAGATTAGTGGTTGCCGGGGGCTGGGGTCAAGGGGAACAGGCAATGACTGCTTAATGGATGGATACAGATTTCTTTTCCGAGTGATTAAAATGTTCTGTAATTAGATCGACGGTGATGGTTGCATAACTGTGACTATACTAAAACCCACTGAACTGTGTGTGTTTTAAGGGCAAATTTTATGGTATGTGAATTATATCTCAATAAAGCTGCTCTTTTTTAAAATCTCTAGAACTAGTGATAGATTTAGGTACAATAAAGCTGCTCTTTTTTAAAATCTCTAGAACTAGTGATAGATTTAGGTATGTGAGATGGCGGGGAAGGTAGGGTCAAGAGTATCACTGAGGTTTCTGGCCTACATGACTGGATGGAGAGAGGGAACACTAGAGGAAGCCTGGGGGCAGGGGAGTCAAGGTCGAGAGTTTGAAGTGTCTCTGGGGCATCTGAGAGGGCCGCACTGACGCCAAATGGCAGTGCAGTTAGAAGGCAGTCGTTCAGATGGCCCCAAATGTACTCCATAAAAATGTTTTGTGAGTATTGTCTAATATAAATGGCAATATAAACTTGTGGAAAACTCAGTGGTGTCTGAAGGTAAGTCTGTGAGACCCTACCTGGGTTCTGCAAAATCCAGGTGATGAAACACATTTAGTACAGAATTCACTTTGTAGGTCTTTCCACTGGTGTGGGACTCCCACTTCTAATCCTTAGAGAGAACAGTCAGCAGCGGAAAGGGATGTTGCATCTGTAGGTAAGGTCACCACTGAATAAAAATAGTAAAAAAAATCAACCTAAAGAAGGTAGGTTTAACTGCCCCTCTGAGAAATTGCTTAAAACATTAAGATGATGGAGTTTTAGAAAACATCCAAGCCAGTCCAAGGAACTAAGGTTTTTCTGCAAGAGTTGAATTTATATTTATTTATTTATTTATTTATTTATGAGAAGGAGTCTCGCTCTGTCACCCAGGCTGGAGTGCAGTGGTGCCATCTCAGCTCACTGCAACCTCTGCCTCCTGGGTTTAAGCGGTTCTCCTGCCTCAGCCTCCTAGATAGCTGGGAATACAGGCACCCACCATCATGCCTCGCTAATTTTTGTATTTTTAGTAAAGACAGGGTTTTGCCAAGTTGACCAGGCTGGTCTCAAACTCCTGACCTCAAGTGATCCTCCCGCCTCGGTCTCCCAAAGTGCTAGGATTACAAGCATGAGCCACCACACCTGACCTGTACTTGACTGTCTGAAACCATTGTTCTCCTGTCATTCTGGTCGAATTCGCTTAAGGCACATGGTGCTGTTTGCTGACTCCGTGCAGGATGTTCATCTATCTGGTCCCATCATATGCACTACAAAATCCTGACTAGCAAAAAATATGACTATATCATATGTATGCGCTATTAAATTATAACTGTAAGCCCACATGTCTACAAGCAAACCTGACTGTCACACTCAGAGTGATTCGCTGTTTGTTTCCTGCTTTCTGCATTAATATTCTTTTGCCGTTTGTTCATTTGTTTTATCTGGCTGATAGGTAGCTGACAAATGGAAGCTTGCACTAAAAGTCTAAGAAAATATATATGGGAGTGAAACTTAAAATTGAGAACATTTTTTGTTAAGTGATATATTTTTCTAAATATTAGGAAGGATTGTCATTACTCTAATCTGGTGGTAACCCCTGGGTCTGGCTTGTGGCAGACACATCAGTATTTGCAGAGAACAGAATTCAAGAATCCCTGGGTCTGCACGGTGGCTCACGCCCAGCACGTTGGGAGGCCAAGGCAAGAAGATAGCTTGAGCTCAGGAATTTGAGATCAGCCTGGCTAACATAGTGAGACCCTGTCTCAATACAAAAAAAACCAAAAAAATTAGCTGAGCATGGTGGCCTGCGTCTGTAGTCCTAGCTGCTTGTGAGGCTGAGGTGGGAGACCACTTGAGCCTGAGAGTTTGAGGCTGCAGGGAGCCATGATCGCGCTGCTGCTCTGCAGCCTGAGCAACAGAGCGAGTTCCTGTCTCAAAAAAACAAAAGCAAAAACAAAAACCCTGGGTCTGAAGTGAAGGTGTGAAAACAAATGCAGTGATGTCTATGAAGCTTAGCAAAAGGCAACGGGGCTCTGGAAATGTCAGTTTATTCAGGGGCGTTATTACCCTGCACTTGGATCACTGTTATCATGTAGGGCTGTGCATTCATTTGTTCATTTGGAAAGCATTGATTCAGCACCTGGGGGTAAAGCACTGAAGTAAAGCCTTACTGTCTGCTGTCTCGCACATTCCGCCCTGCTCTCGTCTCTTGGGCTCTTTGTCTCCACTCACTCTTATTCATCCTTCAGAGCTCATGGGTCACCTACTCCAGGAAGCCTTCCCATCCCTCCCATCTTCTCCTTTCAAGCACTTATCCCACCGAAATGGGTGGTTCTGTCTTATGTTTGGTTTGTTTTTGCCAAGTAGCATAGCTTTATTTTAAATTGTGGTAAAATGTACATACATAAAGTTGTCATTTTAACTATTTTTAAGTGCACAGTTCAGAGGCATTAAATACATATGCCTTGTTGTCAGCCATCACCAACATCTGTCTCCAGGACTTTTCATCTGTCCTAACTGAAACTCTATACCCCTTAAACACTGTCTCCCCTCCTTGGCCCCTATTCTGCTATTCTACTTTCCATCTCTGTGAATTTGACTACTCTCAGTACCTCATGTAACTGGAATGACACAGTGTTTGTCCTTTTGTGAGTGGCTTATTTCACTCTGCATAATGTGTCAGGGTTCACCCATGTTATGGCATGTGTTGGAACTGTCTTCCTTTTTAAATGTGAATAATATATTCCACATTTTGTTTATCCATTCATCCATTGATAGATTGCTTCCACCTTTTGCCTGTGTACTGTGAGTAGTGTTGCTGTGAACATAGGTATACAAATGTCTGTTTGAGTCCTTGCTTTCAATTTGGGTATATACCCAGAAGTGGGATTACTGGATCGTATGGTATGTCTATTTTTCCTTTCTTTGCTGCAGACATGGGGCACTGCCCTATCTATGCCGTAGGACACTATTCAGATGCAGTGGGATGTCTAGTTGGTATTCCCCAGGGCATTCAGTGCAGCACCCCTCACCTCCCCCAGCAGACCTGGCACATAGAAGCAAAGATTTTCTAAATGAAGGATGCTTAGCAAGAGAGATCATTTGTAAACAAATAACTACAGTAAGTTCAGATACTTTGTAATGGTGCACAAAATATGATGGTAGGTAAAGGGAATAAAAACTTCTAGGGGACAAAGGAAGCACAGGCAATATTTTTTCAATGTTTTCTCTGAAATAACAAATTGCAGATGCTTATGAAATCACTCCAAAAATTGTTCCTATTACTTAACAAATAAGTGCTCATTCTTAAAATTCTAAGCATTACCGAACTGTGTAAGGCAGAAAGTGAAAGCCTGCCCAAACTGTTAACAGTGTGTAGGCCGGGCGCGGTGGCTCATGCCTGTAATCCCAGCACTTTGGGAGGCCGAGGCGGGTGGATCATGAGGTCAGGAGATCGAGACCATCCTGGCTAACACGGTGAACCCCGTCGCTACTAAAAATACAAAAAATTAGCCAGGTGTCTTGGTGGGCATCTGCAGTCCCAGCTACTCGGGAGGCTGAGGCAGGAGAATGGCGTGAACCCGGGAGGTGGAGCTTGCAGTGAGCCGAGATTGTGCCACTGCACTCCAGCCTGGGCAACAGAGTGAGACTCTGTTTCAAAAAAAAAAAAAAAAAAAAAAACAATATGGCATAGACTCTTCTAAGAGGCTTTTAAAATAAGTTTTAAATGTGTCTTTATCCAGGCATGGTGGCTCACACTTGTAATCCCAACACTTTGGGAGGCCAAGGCAGGAGGATCGATTGAGCCCAGGAGTTTGAGATCAGCCTGGGCAACATGACAAGACCCCGTCTCTACAAAAAAAATACAAAAATTAGCCGAGCATAGTGGGGTGTGCCTGTAGTCCCAGCTACTCAGGAGGCTGAGGTGGGAGGATCATCTGAGCCCAGGAGTTTGAGGCTGCAGTGAGCCATGATCGTGCCACTGCATTCCAGCCTGGGTGACAGAGTGAGACCCTGTCTCAAAAATATAGTGTCTTTGTGAAAGTGGGAAAATTACTGATATAATATGTTCTACGCATCTTGAGAGGTGAGGGAACAGCTTTTGTTTGTACAAGTGGAATTCTGTTAAGAAAAGCTGCCCTTCATAGAAATGAAACTGAATCCCTTTGTTTATTAAGATATTTTATGGCCGGGCGTGACGGCTTATGCCTATAATCCCAGCACTCTGGGAGGCCGAGGCGGGTGGATCACCTGAGGTCAGGAGTTTGAGACCAGCCTGGCAAACATGGTGAAACCCCGTCTCTACTAAAAATACCAAAATTAGCCAGGCATGGTGGCGGGCTCCTGTAATCCCAGCTGCTCGGGAGGCTGGGGCAGGAGAATCACTTGAACGTGGGAGGCAGAGGTTGCAGTGAGCCGAGATCGTGCCACTGCACTCCAACCTAGGCAACAGAGTAAGACTCCGTCTCAAAAAAAAAAAAAAAAAAGGATATTTTATAAGTTGCTATTTATGATTCTTTTCACAGTGACTCAAAATTAGAATTACTAAGAAAATAAAATCGATTTCTTTTTTTTTTTTTTTTTTTTGAGCCGGAGGTCTTGCTCTGTCACCAGGCTGGAGTGCAGTGGCCTGATCTCGGCTCACTGCAAGCTCCGCCTCCAGGGTTCACGCCCATCTCCTGCCTCAACTTCCTGAGTAGCTGGGACTACAGGCACCCACCACCACGCCCGGCTAATTTTTTGTATTTTTAGTAGAGACGGGGTTTCACTGTGTTAGCCAGGATGGTCTCGATCTCCTGACCTCGTGATCCTCCTGCCTCGCCTCCCAAAGTGCTGGGATTACATGTGTGAGCCACCGCACCCAGCCCTAGTGAAATCTATTTCTTGTTTTCTAATAAAGTGTAAGACCACACAGATTGGTGATCAGTGTTTATGCATTTAACAAGATTCGTTGGGGAGTTCGGCCTTTGCTTCAACGAAAAGACTCAATTTTTAAAACCTATGGTGGCAGGCTGGAGGTGTGGAAGGAAGGGTACAAATGTTATTATATTAAAACACATGTTAAATCTGATTTAATATGAATCCATTTTTATTTTATATTTATTTTGTTAGAGACAGGGTCTCATTCTGTTCCTCAGGCTGGAGTTCAGTGGCACAATCATAGCTCACTGCAGCCTCAGACTCCTGGGCTTAAAGGACCCTCCTGCCTCAGCCTCCCGAGGAGCTGGAACTACAGGCACGTACCACCATGCCCAGCTAATTTTTGTATTTTTAATTTGTGTAAAGATGGGGTCTTGCTACTTGGCACAAGCTGGTCTGCAACTCCTGGGCTCAAGCAATCCTCCTTCCTCAGCCTCCCAAAGTGCTGAGATTACAGGCATGAGCCACCACACCCAGCAAATTCATCTTTAAATAAGCAGTTGACTCCCTTTAACATAACTGAGTGTTTTCTGTAATTTTATAGTATCTAGACTATTGAAAAGCACCTTCTTAGAAACTGGCCCATAGGAGACTTGATGTTTGATTTATGGCTTCGGCCAGCATTGTGGGAAGGATCTTTTTTGTTGTTGTTTTTTGAGACAAGGTCTCACTGTGTAACCTAGGCTGGAATGTAGTGGCCCAGTGCAGCCTTGACTTCCCAAGCTCAAGCAATCTTCCCACCTCAGCCTCCCAAGTAGCTGGGACTACAGGTGCACGCTACCACGCTAATTTTTGTATTTTTTGGTAGAGACAGGGTCTCCTTATGTTGCCCATGCTGGTGTTGAACTCCTGGCCTCAAACCATTCTCCTTCCTCGGCCATGGGAAGGATCTCTTGATGGACAAAACCTTAAAACTTTCTGTTAGTTGTCTGACAGATGAGGCTAGCTCTCATTTATGTAAATCAGGGTGGCTGCATAAATAAAATTCACAGATAAATCCCCAAACTTATTTACCTTACATGTTCTTGTCTAGGGCTGCCAGCAAAAAGTCAAATGTATTAATGCTTAATGACATTTATAGAACAAAGTGAGGTCCAAAAATAAAGTGCTAAACTCTCTGCTTGCCTCCGTGCACTCAGGCTTTGAAGAAGGGGCTAGGCAGGGCAAGGTGGTATAATTACATAATAAAATGGCTGGAAGTCTCTGAAGGGGAAAGGAGAGGGAAGGAGTTTAATTGATCTGCAAACTAATTAACTAGGCCCTGCCCAAGCACCTTCTAGCAGGCAAAATCGAGAAACAATAGCAGCCCGATAGGACTGAGCACACTGAGACCAATATAAATACATGTTCTTCAGGTTTAAAGTAATCAATCTTTTGCTCTAAAATACCCCATCCTTTTTTGATCCTTAGCAAGAGATAGCAGTGGATGAGTACCTGCTTTGTTAGAGTTATTTTTCTCCTCCGTGTCACAGACAGTATAACAAACTGCGAAACCTGCTGAAGGATGCGCGTCATGATTGCATTCTCTTTGCTAATGAATTCCAGCAATGCTGCTATCTGCCACGGGAAAGAGGAGAGTCCATGGAGAAGTGGCAGACCAGGTATGGCCCTGACTTGCTGCTGTTTTCACACTGTCGTCTTCTTTCATTTCCTCATCATTGGCTGTTTGGGAGTTGATCTAAATAGTCTGCTAGAACAAACCAACAATTATTCTGGAACCATGATTAACACCGAAATGCTTACCATGTCAATATTTTAGATATATCATTTGAATATATAACTGATACATTTTTTAAAAATTGCAGTTAGGAAGATATAGGTACCCAGAATATGTTTGCCCCAGACCCTAGCAGCTGTCAGGATCATTCCAGTGAACTAGAAGTCATAACTTTAATGCGTGTATGTATGGAGAAGGCAGAAGAGCTCCTTTTTTGTTTTTTTATTTTTTTTAATTTTTTTTTGAGACAGGGTTTTTTGCTCTGTCACCCAGGCTGGAGTGCAGTGGTATGATCACAACTCACTGCAGCCTCGACCTCCTGAGCTCGAGTTATCCTCCCACCTCAGCCTCCCAAGTAGCTGGGAACATAGGCCAAGTAGCTGCCACCACACTTAGCTAATTTTTGTATATTTTGTAGAAACGGGGTCCCATTATGTTGCCCAGGCTGGTCTTCAGTTCCTGAGTTCAAGCAATCCACTTGTCTTGGCCTCCCAAAGTGCTGGGATTATAGATGTCAGCCACTGTGCCCGGCCAGGCTCCTACTCCCAGTCTTATTAAACTGAAACTGGTCATTTAATTCTGAAAAAGCTGCTTCAGGAAACACAGTGTCCTGATTTAAGTCTGCTGAAAGCAGAGCCTAAAGTGAGTCCTTGAGTGTGGAGTGTTTATGTGGAAAGCAATTCCCAGAAGCAGGAGTGAAGAAGCGGGGAGAGTGAGATGGAGATGGAGATGGAGGGAAGGTGGTGAAGGATGTGCTGCTGCTGTAGGAAACGAAGACTCCATCAGTGCTGCTGAGGAGCCACACGGAATGTGCCTCAGAAGTTACCTTGAAAGCTGGGCATGGTGGCTCATGCTTATAATCCCAACACTTTGGGAGGCTGAGGCAAGAGGATCAGGAGTTCGAGACCGGCCTGGATAACATAATGAGACCCCATCTGTACAAAAAGTTAAAAATTAGCCAGGGATGGTGATGTGCACCTGTAGTCCCAGCTACTCAGGAGGCTGAGGCAGGAGGATCACTTGAGCCTGGGAATTGAGGTTGCAGTGAGCCATTGTTCACCACTGCATTCCAGCCTGGGCGACAGAGTAAGACCCTGTCTCAATCAGTCAGTCAATCCAGTCCTGCACACAGTTCTCCAGACCTGTTTCCCAGTTCTCTGTTTCCCAGTTCCGGTTCTTTTTTGGAAGATTTCCAGGCATTCCATATGGTTCCATATCAGACCCTATTGGATTATGATCTTCAGCTACTTGCACCTTAGTTTTTCTCTTAGCCAAAGACTTGCTTCTTCATCTTTTAAGCCTCACATAATATAGCTTGTCATCTTGTGTGCTGCCCCAGTTAAATGGTGTAAAAGATGGCAGAGCCTCATGGTTTCTAGGCCATATCAAGAAATGAAAGTGGTTGCAGTGGTGGTTGGATGTCTTAGGGAAGAGAAGTCAGGTTCTTTCTGGTTCATATTTGTATCCCCCAGAGCACCCAGCCCAGGGCTTCTTTATAATGGATACTCCAGAAGTATTTGTTGAACGAATGAATGGTTATCTATATAGTCCAAAGGATAGCAAAAGCCAGATGTGAAATTCTGAACAAGAGCTTGTGTTTGTCTGCCTGGGGAGAGCTCATGTGCCCTTTGCTTTTCCAGGAGCATATACAACGCAGCTGTTTGGTACTATCATCACTGCCAGGACAGGATGCCAATTGTTATGGTGACAGAAGATGAAGAGGCAATTCAGCAGTATGGAAGTGAAACAGAAGGAGTATTCGTGATTACTTTCAAGGTATTTCCAGATATTGTATATGTATGAGTGCTCATTTTCTAAGTAGTACCCATAAGGCTCTAGATCCCTTTGGTAACACAGAAAAGAGAAAAGAGGAATAGACATTAAGTTCCATTTTGGCCAGGCGTGGTGGCTCATGCCTGTAATCCCAGCACTTGGGAGGCTGAGATGGGAAGATCACTTGAGCTTAGGAGTTCAAGATCAGCTGGGCAATCTAGTGAGACCTTGTCTCTACAGAAAAAAAAAAAAAATATATATATCTCCAAGCATGGTGGCACGCACCTGTAGTCCCAGCTACTCAAGAGGCTGAGATGGAAGAATCACTGGAGCCTGGGAGATGGAAGCTGCAGTGAGCCGTGAACACACCACTGTACTAATGCCTGAGTGACAGAGTAAGACCCTGTCTCAACAAATGAAGTTCTACTTCTTCATTATGCCCCAACTATTTAATGTTGACTTTCACAAATTCAGACCAACTTTGACTATAAGGCCCACAGCATCTAATACCAGCCCAGTAAACTCCTACTGACAGTAAACTAACATTTATAACTATAACAGTAATAGTAATGGTGATGATGATGATAATAGGTTGAATAAAATTGCCAATATTCTTATTGTTGACCTATAAAATGGCAGTTTGACATGGTTCTACCTAATGGTAATAACCAACACATCTATGCCAGCCACTTTTCTGTGTGTATTATTTCATTTAATTCTTGCAACAACCCTATGAGGTAGGTATTATAATTTAATCTTATTGGTAAGGAAATGGAAACACAGAAAGGCTAAGTAACTTGTTAAAAGTCACACAGTAGAAAATGGTAGGGCTATGGTTAAAATCCAGGCAATCGGACCCCAAAGCTCTTAGCCACCATGCTATACTGCCTTCCAAGTTATTTTTCTGAAAATGCACACGAAACAAACTGTCTTAAAGGCCAGTCTTTTTTTCCAACTGTTCTTCACTCTTCCCCACTTGTGAATGTTCATAGGGGTTAATAGGGATAAATGAAAGGGTTGAGATGTGATATTATTTATGTGAATGCTGTCAGATCTGCTTAGTACAGATCTCAGACAGGAGTGGCATTATCAGTGACTGTTTCTTTGGGCTGTCTCAGCAACGCAGTTCTTCCTATCTCTTAGGTACCTTTTGTGAGAGTAGGATGACTGTTAATCTCTCAACAGATCGCTGGTCGCTTCTGTCTGCCCAGCTGGTCAATTAGGTTTCACTTGTTGATATCACTTTTTGGTGCAGAAACTAGAATAAGGCCCTGTATTACCCCTGTCAGTTTATAGAAAGTCTAGTTGGGTTTTGAATTGCAGATTCTGTAAGGGTTCCCAGGTGCATATATTGCTAAAGATTTGCCAATAGAATTTTCTTGGCCCTGCTATAAGAAAGTGCTCTGGCATGCCAGAGAATTCCAGGGGCGCTGGATATTAATGGCAGTGTCACTTGTTTTTTCTGTTGCAATACATCATGTCTTGTTCCTGCAGAGGACAGTTGACTAAAATTACATTTTTCTACTTTTTTGAAAATTACTTTTCTTTGTAGTCCAGTGGTATAGTACAGTTTTATTTTCTATAGTGTTTCTCAAGAAAACTGTGTGACCAAGGGCTCCATAGAGGTGAATGATAGTAGAAAAAAGAGATATTGTGAAGTTCAGATGAAAGGGAAGCCTAGAATTCTCTGTGGGGACTTGAAGTTAGATGGAGAAGAGCCAAGATGATAAATCCCTCTTGAAGACGTAGTTCATAATGACAAAGTGTAGTGTTGATAAGTGATAAGTGACCATAGAATTGGGGCACTGACATTAGCACAGACAGAATTTCTGGAAGGAGTAGGGAAAGAAAGGAAGCAGTTTGAACAGGACTCTGAAATTAGTGGGAGAAATGCTGGAGTTGACAGAAAGTATAACCTGTTTTCTTTTCAATTTGAGAAGAGAGAATGTGCTAGACTCTACCCCTCAGACTTAAAGTTGAGTTAAAATACATAAAAAAGACAAGAATGGCCTGGCACAGTGGCCCACGCCTGTAATCCAGCACTTTGGAAGGCTGAAGCAGGAGGATCACTTGAGCCCAGGAGGTCAAGGCTACAGTGAGCCAAGATCATGCCACTTGTACTCCAGCATGGGCAACAGAGCAAGACCAGTGAGCCAAGATCACGCCACTTGTACTCCAGCATGGGCAACAGAGCAAGACCCTGTCCCTTAAAAAAAAAAAAAAAAAAAAAAAGACAAGAATGTACACATACTGCTGGGCACAGTGTAATCCCAGCACTGTGGGTGGCCAGGGCAGGAGGATCACTGAGCCCAGGAGTTTGAGACCAGCCTGGGCAACATAGTGAGACCTCATCTCTACAAAAAATAAAAAAATTAGCCATGTGTGGTGGCATGCGCCTCTAGTCCCAGCCACTTGGGGGGCTGAGGTGGGAGGATTGCTTAAGGCAGGGGGAGGTCAAGGCTGCAGTGAGCCAAGATTATGCCACTGCATCCAGCTTGGGCTATAGAATGAGGTCTTGTCTCAAAAAAAAGTACATATAGGCCATTGTCTGCAGCAATTAGATACACATAAAGACAGGCTGCCTGGACGTGCGCAGGTGTGTATGTGGTGTGTGTGGAGAGAAAGAGACTTGAAAGCACAAAGTAGCCTAGGAGGTGGAAGTGTTCCACGGTGGAGTGGCTTCCTGGGGCTCATTTGGCAGGCTCAGGGGTTAATGTGGTAGTAGAGAATGAATGGTGGAGTGAGGCTCAGGAAGTCCTGCTCACTGAGCACCCCCTCAAGATGGCAGGCCAGCAATTCCTAGTCAGGAGTTTCTGTCATAGTACCATGGTGAAGAATCAGTACCTTCTGACCGTGTTTCTCTGTGCCTTTATTAAATACAGAATTACCTGGACAATTTCTGGCCTGATTTAAAAGCTGCCCACGAGCTTTGTGATTCTATCCTTCAGTCTCGACGGGAGAGAGAGAATGAGAGTCAGGAGAGCCATGGGAAGGAGTACCCAGAACATCTTCCCCTGGAAGTGTTAGAAGCTGGGATTAAATCTGGACGCTATATCCAGGTGAGGGTGGTAATTTAGAATGTGTCAGGGCTGGGCACAGTGGCTCATGCCTGTAATCCCAGCACTTTGGCTAAGGCTGATAGATTGCTTTAGCCCAGGAGCTGGAGACCAGACTGGGCAACATAGTGAAACCCTGTCTCTAGAAAAAATTTAAAAATTAGCCAGGCGTGGTAGTGTGCACCTGTACTCCCAGATTACTTGGGAGGTTGAGGCAGGAGGATCACTTCAGCCTGGATGGTTGAGGCTGCAGTGAGCCATGATTGCACCACTGCACTCCAGCCTGGGTGACAGTGAGAACCTGTCTCAATTAAAAAAAAAAAAAAAAAAAGAATCTGTCAGGACCAGCCAGTATGTTTTCTCCTCTTTTTACTGCATCCTGTCACAGGCCTCTGATTTCACAGGCTGCAAACAAGATGGGCATGAGTAAGTCAGGGTTGTCAGTGTTTCAGGTGGCTTGGGAGTCATTCTTTCCAGACACTGATTGCCCAGCTTGAAGCTACTCTGCGATGATGTCCTTAATTCTGTTACATATTGAACATCATACAAGCAGACTGTGGAAGTCGCCTGGTAAATGCCTCCTGTCACTAGAAAAAAACATACCTCTTTGAATCAAGGTCTGGAGGTTTGGTGATGTTGTAAAATTGGTGAAATTTAGCTTCTTTCCTCCTTTGCCATTTTTTTCTCTGCCCCTTTCAAGGGCCTCTTTGTGATCCTCCCAGGACCCTAGAACTCAGATGCTGTCAGGGTCTTGGGAAGGAATCAGATACAATTTTTATTCAGATTTCAACAGTTTTATATGCACTCATTTATGTGTGTATGTGTGTGTAGCTCTATGCAGTTTTATCACATGCATAGATTTGTGTGTCCACCACCACAATCAAGATACAGAATTGTTCTATCGTGGATTTTGCATTTCTAATGAGCAACTCAGTAGATTGTCAACCACAATCTAAGAGCATCACTCCAAAGCCACTCCCTAAAAGTGTGGGGATTTTAAATGAGTATGTCTAGAGAGGCTAATGTTTCCAACTTAGTAGTAAAGTTTATGGCATTCCTGGGAGGACTTTTTTTAATTTTAATTTAATTTAATTTATTTTTTTATTTTTATTTTTTTGAGACCCAGTCTCGTTCTATCACCAGGATGGAGTGCAGTGGTGCAATCTCGGCTCACTGCAACCTCTGCCTCCCAGGTTCAAGTGATTCTTCTGCCTCAGCCTCCTGAGTAGCTGGGATTACAGGCACACGCCACCATGCCCAGCTAATTTTTGTATTTTTAGTAGAGACGGGGTTTCACCATGTTGGCCAGAATGGTCTCGATCTCTTGACCTCGTGATCCACCCACCTCAGCCTCCCAAAATGCTGGGATTACAGGCGTGAGCCACCGTGCCTAGCCCCTGGGAGGATATTTTGAGATAGAAGATTTTTAAAAGACTACTCATCAGTTACATAAGATAGAGCCTGGTACTTTCAGCACTTTGTATAGCTAAGAGTAGTTCAAAATGATGGTATTTTTCTCCAAAGAAAATAAACCTTAGTGATTAATATTATTCCTACCCACGCATGGTTTCTCATGCCTGTAATCCCAGCACTTTGGGAGGCCGAGGTGGATCACAAGGTCATGAGTTCAAGACCAGCCTGACCAACATGGAGAAACCCTGTCTCTACTAAAAATGCAAAAAATTAGCTGAGCGTGGTGGTGGACACCTGTAATCCCAGCTACTTGGGAGGCTGAGGCAGGAGAATTGCTTCAACCTGGGAGGCAGAGGTTGCAGTGAGCTGAGATTGTGACACCGCACTCCTGCCTGGGTGACAGAGCAGAACTCCATCTCGACAAAAAGAGAAAAAAAAGTGTATATGTGTGTGTGTGTGTATATATATATGTGTGTGTGTATATATATATGTGTGTGTGTGTACATCTCGAAAAAAAGAAAAAAGTGTATATGTGTGTGCGTATATATATGTGTGTATATATATATATATGTGTGTGTATATATATATATATAGTTCCTAAAGGGATCACAAACCTTAAAAGAATATTATGGGGATGTTTTCACATAATTTTAAAAACTGGACCTTTTGGAGATAAACCAGGCGGAAAAGAACATTTTTCATATTGATTTTTTAAATTATGATTTTAGGGAATTCTGAATGTCAACAAACACAGAGCCCAAATAGAAGCTTTTGTTCGACTTCAAGGAGCCAGCAGTAAAGATTCAGGTTCAGTATAAACCTTACATAAATTTCCATACTCCTTTTTTATTCTGACGTTATACAATGAAGAAAGCAAAGTTGAAATTGTCATGTCATATGTGCCCTGTTATGTATGCCTACATACATTGGGTATGTGAGATTGTGGCGGGGGGTGGTTCCCCTAGCTTTTTGTCTATAATTTCTGATTTTATTGCAATAAATTTAAACTACAACACAGAGAAGCAAAGTAACTTGCCCAAGGTCACACACCTGGTAAGTGGTGGAGTTGAATTTGTAGCCAAGGCAGTTTGGCTGTGATTTTAACATATTAGTCTGTGCTGCCTCAATGTGCTATATTGCTTTATTGGAGTAAATTTTTTTTAAGTAATAAAAATGAAAAAATGTGTAAATAAGTTGTATCATAATCAGGTGTAGTTCTTAGTTCTGTAATGACAGGGTGAAAAAGAAACCCTGCTAGTCAAAGGAGCATGGCTGGGTGGAGAGAGAATGAGAAACTGGCTTTCTTCGGGCCCTTGCTCGTCAGCATTCCCCCTGTCGGTTCTGCCCTATCTATAGTTCCTCAGCCCACTGACCAATCCCTTGGCTGTGTAGGATCCTAAAGGTATTTGACAGAAGTCCAGCATAGGCTCACATAGTTGCATGCAGGGAACTAATACCTTTTTAAAAGGTGGTGAAGGGGATGGGGATATTTTTTTGAAAGATGATTGAGGGTGGCACTTATGAAATCTCAATATACAGTATGACATGGTGCCAGCAATTCTTCATTCCTAACCTGCAGAACAAAAGTTTGACTCTACCTTTGAAAAGAAAAAGCTTTACTTGCAGGAGTACTGATTAGACTTCGAGTATATCATGCGCGGAATGCCTCACTGGTGTGCCATTCCCTTGGCTTTATGGGTTTTTTCTGTGCTGCCCCAAACACAGATTTAGTCAGTGACATCCTAATCCACGGGATGAAGGCTCGAAACCGCTCAATTCATGGAGATGTGGTAGTTGTGGAGCTGCTTCCTAAAAATGAATGGAAAGGAAGAACCGTAGCCCTGTGTGAGAATGACTGTGACGACAAGGCTTCGGGCGAGTCCCCAAGTGAGCCCATGCCTACAGGTGAGCCAGCTGCAGAGCCACTCCGATGTCCATTTTTCTTGTGGAATTATATTTGTCTCCTCTTTAGCAATCCAGAAATACTGCCCTTATTTTATTTATTTATTTTATTTAAATTGACAAAAACTGTATTTATTGTGTATAATATGATGATTTTTGTGTATTTACTGTGTATAATATAATATGATGTTTTGATATAATGCATTGGAGAATGCTAGACTGAGCTAATTAACCTATGCATTAACCTCACTATGTGATGAAAACACTTAAGATCTACTCTCTTAGCAATTTTCAAGAATACAGTACATTGTTATTAACTATAGTCACAGGTTGTACAATAATAGTTCCTAACACGAGATATAGTCTCTTCCTCTCCATTATCAATTTTCCCACTCTGCAGGTTTATTTTACTCTTATCAGCACCCAAATATGCTGTAATGGCTTCCATCTTAAAATCAAACCAAAAATCCTCCCTGAGTCCCATGTCCCTTTCAGCTGCTGCCCCTTATCATTAAAGTCAGAGTATAGTTAACTCCACGTTCTCTCTTCCTCTCTGCTGGTCTCTCATGCCTGCCATTCTGACACCTCCCAAGCCCTACTCCTCTAAAATTGTTCTTGCCAAGGTCACCAGTGACCCCATTGCCTGAGCACTGGTCAGCCTCCATCGTCTGGAAGCTGTCAGCAGCATTTGGCAGGGGCCCTCTGCCTTCCCTGGGTCTCCTCCCAGTTCTCCCACCCTGCTGGCTGCTCTTCTCAGTTCTCCTCCTGGCTCTCCATCTCATTGTCCTCTTGTATGTGCAAGGGCCCCATGCTGGATCTTCTGTTCTCTGCGCTCTCTCCCTCAGGGATCTCCTGCAGTCCTTTAATTTTAATTTTAATTTTAATCTCTGGCCCTTCCTTGGCTTCCAGTTTTGTTTACTCAGTTGTCTATTTGGCATCTTCCCCTGGACGTCTAATGGGCATCTCAGACTTAACGTGTCCCACACAGACTCCTGATTTCACCCCTAGACCTGCTCTTCCCCACGTGTTCCCCAGTCTCAGTAAAGGGCAAATTCATTCTTGGTCAACCCAAGACACCTTGGGGTTATCCTTGACTTTTTTTTTTTTTACTCATCAGTAAATGCTGGCAACTCCAACTCTAATGCATGGCCTGAATTCAGCCACCTGCCATACTTCCCCCACAGCTCTCCTGCTTCAGTCCACTGGCACCTCAGGATTGTCAAAGCAGCCTCCTCACTGCTCTTCCTGCTCCCACCCTTGCCCCTCCCCATGTAGTCTTTTCTCCACTCAAAGACACAATGATCCTTCAGAAAGTGAGTTGAGCTGGGTGCTGTGGCTCATGCCTGTAATCCCAGCACTTTGGGAAGCTGAGGTGGGTGGGTCACTTGAGGTCAGGAGTTCGAGACCAGCCTGGCCAACATGGTGAAACCCTGTCTCTACTAAAAATACAAAACTTAGCCGGGCGAGGTGGTGCACACCTGTAGTCCCAGCTACTGGGAAGCTGAGGCACGAGAATCGCTTGAACCTAGGAGGCGGAGGTTGCAGTGAGCCAAGATCATGCTACTACACTCCAGCCTGGGCAAGAGAGCAAGACATTGTCTCAAAAAAAGAAAAAAGAAAAAGAAAGCAAGAGTTGGCTCCTGTCATTTCTCTGCTCAAAACTCCTCAATGGCTGGTTCCTGTTTCACTCAGAATAAAATCCAAAGTCCTTACCATGGCCTGCATGGTCCCACCAGCTGAGGCCACCTTCTGCCATTTTCCTCTTCATGCTTTGCTCCAGCCGCAGTGACAACTTGTTCTTTCCACCACCTGGATGAAGCTTTCCCCAAATATCCTCACATCTGTTTTCCTCACTTCCCTCAAGTCACTGTTCAAATGTCACTTTATTTAAAATAGCTGCCACTTCTGACCCTCTGTCACTCTTGATCACCTTACCCTACCTTGTGTCTTTCTTAGCAACTGTCACAACTTCACATTTTTTTTTTTTGGTCTATTTTCCACCCCCACAGACACCCAAACTGATTTTATATAAACCCCTTGAAATCAAGGACTTTGCCTGTTATGGTGCTGCTATATTCCCTGTACCTAGAACAAAGCCTCATACCTGGTTGGAGCTCAGTAAATATTTGTGGGAAAAAAAAAAAAAAAAAGAAAAAAGAGAACATTTTTAATTATTAAAGTTTGGTCTCGGCTTCAGTCAGTGATGATTGAAAGTGTTGTGTATCAGTCTTATGATCTGTACACTTTTCTGTGTATAATGGACCAAATAAGGTTAGCTGGTGAGAGAAGGCAAGAAAGACTGAAAACGCGCAGTTGAGGGCACGGTTTAAAACAAGAGTGAAAATCATTGACTTTTCCCAATATACCAAAATGAGATTGATAAGATAATGGCAAAAGAGAGAAAATGGGACAAGTGGATTCTAAATGTTATCTCAGGAAGAGAGAGCATACTGACAATGTTATTTTAAAAGTTACCCATCTTTGCTGGGTATGATGGCACGTGCCTATAGACCCAGCTACCCAGGAGGATGGATTGAGCCCAGGAGTTTGAGACTGTAACATATTATGATAGTATCTGTGAATAGCCAGTGCACTCTAGCCTGGGCAGCATAGTGAGATCCTGTTTCTTAAAAAAAAAAAAAAAAGAAACGAACAAAAACAAAAAGTGTTTTTAAATTATCCATCTTTAAAATAAAATACCAAGAAGGCAAATCTTCAAACATACCTTTTCTTGTTGTTGTTATGTGTGTGTTTTGGTTTTTGTTTATGTGTTTGTTATTGAGACGGCATCTCACTCTGTTGCCCAGGCTGGAGTGTAGTGGTGCATCTCGGCTCACTGCAAGTTCCGCCTCCCAGGTTCAGGCGATTCTCCTGCCTTAGCCTCCTAAACAGCTGTGATCACAGGCGCACGCCACCATGCCCAGCTAATTTTTGTATTTTTAGTAGAGGTGGGGTTTCACCATGTTAGCCAGGCTGGTCTTGAACTCCTGGCCTCAAGTGATCCTCCTGCCCCAGCCTCCCAAAGTGCTGGGATTACAGGCATGAGCCACCATGCCTGGCCGTTATTGTTGTTAATAAAAGCTTCCTTTCAAAAACATTCTTGAGTTGGGTGGATGTGCTTGAAAAAAAATAGGACACTGTATTTCTTGTTCTTTTCCTTACTGCTTGAGGTGGTCAGAGTCCAGATAGATGGCACCTAACCAGTTAATGCCTTGTTTTGTTTTGTTTTGCCAAAGGTCGAGTGGTGGGCATACTTCAGAAGAACTGGCGGGATTATGTGGTGACATTTCCGTCCAAAGAAGAGGTCCAATCTCAGGGCAAAAATGCTCAGAAAATCCTGGTTACACCTTGGGATTACAGAATTCCCAAAATTCGAATTAGCACTCAGCAAGCAGAAACCCTCCAGGTAGTTGGCATTCTACCTCTACTATGGGATCTCTACGCTTTCTCCTTCTGTCTTTACCAGCTTTTTAGCAGTACCAGAAAGCATTGTTAATTCCTTTGCATATAAAGAAATAAATTATTGATGGCATCTGGCATTCCAAGATACTGGGATGTGTTTTTTGGGGTTTTTTTGTTGTTGTTCTTTTGTTTTTCCAAGACAGAGTCTCACTCTGTCACCCAGGCTGGAGTGTAGTGGCGTGATCTCAGCTCATTGCAACCTCCACCTCCCGGGTTCAAGCAGTTCCCCTGCCTCAGCCTCCCGAGTAGCTGGGATTACAGGCTCCCGCCACCACGCCCGGCTAATTTTTGTATTTTTAGTAGAGATGGGGTTTCACTGTGTTGGCCAGGCTGGTCTCAAACTCCTGACCTCATGATCCACCACCTCCACCTCCCAAAGTGTTGGAATTACAGGTGTGAGCTACCATGCCCAGCCGTGTTTTTATGTTTTTTAATTCTTTTTTTGTAGAGATGGGGTCTCACTTTGTTGCACACGCTGGTCTTGAACTCCTGACCTCAAGCAGTCCTCCTGCCTTGGCTCCCCAAAGTGCTGGAATCACAGGCATGAGCCACTGTGCCCAGCCCCAAGATTCTGTTTTTTAAAAATTCTAAATATATGAAAACCATCCATTAAGTAGTCTGTGGTTAATAAATTCAGGCCAGAGAGAAATTGTCCTAGAAAGAGCTGTGTAGGACAACCAGAGAGAACATACATTATCCAGCTGTCCAACATAGAAACTTTCTATAGATACACTTTGCCAACACTAACAAGCTTTCCTCCAGCAAGCAATATAGAAATACGATCACTCTGCCCTGTAGGGATGATGTAGTGGTACTTCACAGAATTGATTATCCATAAAGGAATATAGCACTGGAGAGAAGACATAAACAAGAAGGTTAGAAATTAACCTTTACTTGTGTCAAAAAGTATGGGCATTGCCCAATTTAATTCCCCCTGATATTTTACAGTTTGTAAATGAGACACTAAAGCAGGATGTCCCCAGCCAGTAACCTAGCCATTGTGCTTTTACATCTTGAAGCCTTATGCAGGCTCTCCAGGCCAGTTGCACCTAATACATTTTCCATTCCCATGGTTTGCTGGAATTTTGGGGTAGTGGGGATTCAGTTTACACGACACCTTCTTCTCCACCAAAGACCATCTTAAGAGGTCTTCAAAGAGACCAGGCGCAGTGGCTCATGCCTGTAATCCCAACACTTTGGGAGGCCGAGGCAGGTGGATCACTTGAGGCTAGGAGTTCAAGACCAGCCTGGCCAACATGGTGAAACCCCATTTCTACTAAAAAAAAAAAAAAAAAAAAAATTAGGTGGGCATGGTGGTACACGCTTGTAATCCTAGCTATGTGAGAGGCTGAGGCAGGAGGATCACTTGAACCCGGGAGGCATAGGCTGCAGTGAGCCAAGATAGCACCACTGCATTCCAGCCTGGTTGATAGAGCAAGACTCCATCTCGAAAAAAATAAAATAAAATAAAATAGACTTCAAAGAAATTAGGAACTACCTCCCACACACAAAACATTAAGATTGTTGTTTTAAAACTTAATTTGGAGCATGCATAATTGAGTTTTCCCCTAGTGTTGCAAGCGTTAACTAGAATATATTACAGTTAACTAGAATATATTACGGCTCTCTTCAGCAGACTAAAATTTCCAGCCCTCTTCATTGATGTAGAGAGGTAATGCCTCCCTTCAAAGCATTGGGTCAAGCATTTCATACCATCTGGCAATTTAGTAATAGGAAGAATGAAAAACAAAAAAAAAACCCTACCATACACCACTATTTGCACCTGGCCACTCTCCTTGGAACCCAGTATTGTTTGCCTCTTGTTTGTTTGATGCCTCTAATTGACCCACTTAACTCCTGGTGCTCAGCTGTGTTTTATTTTTTCCTTTTGTGCAGGACTTCAGGGTGGTCGTGCGCATCGATTCCTGGGAGTCAACATCTGTGTATCCAAATGGACATTTTGTGCGTGTTTTAGGAAGAATCGGAGATCTGGAAGGGGAAATTGCAACCATCCTGGTGGAAAACAGTATTTCAGTTATTCCTTTCTCAGAAGCTCAGGTCAGATTTTCCAGAAGGCTTTGATCTAGTGACATTTTCTTTTTGCTTTTGTTGTTGTTTCATCATTAAGAAAGAAAAGTCTTTGTGCTGTGGAACAACCCACTGTGTGAAGGCACAGATAATGGAAAAATCTCAATCCTCTTTATTCTATATTTGGACCAAACTGAAGTCAGCTTCAAGTGTAGAATTAGTTTTCTATAGCCTCATAGCTCTCAAATTTTTATATTTTCCAACTGGGCTTAAAAATGATATGTCAGTGTCTCATAGTCAGTATACATCCATCCCCAGCAACTACAAGGACACCTAGTTACAGACCCAACTGAGCTCCACACTCTCTGTCCAAATCATTCAACCAGAGGCTGCATAAAGCTGCAGGGGGTGGATTCCTGGGATCCATACATCTCCAACCCATGGGTCAAAAATTATGCTCATTATGAAACAGTTTTTGTGACCTTTACAGAAAACAAAAATCTCATAAACATAAAACATCAGCTATTTCCATCACTTTATGATCTTTTAAAACCCTCATAAATCTTGTGTATTATTCTTGAATGACTATATTCATTGTGTGCACACACTAATTTCTGTTCTGCTTCTTTCACTTAAAATTATTTTTATATATTGACATAGCCTACTTATTTTAATGGTTATGGTAAATTACGGTATATTGACGTACCCTAGTTTGCTTAAGCATTTCTTGATTTTTGGGCATTCAGCTGTCTAACTTTTCAGTGTTATAAAAAAATGTAGGCCAGGCGTGGTGGCTCATGCCTGTAATCCCAGCACTTTGGGAGGCCAAGGCAGGTGAATCACCAGGTCAGGAGTTTGAGACCAGCCTGGCCAACATGATGAAACCCCGTCTCTACTAAAAACACACAAAAAAAGTATCTAGGCCTAGTGGTGGGCGCCTATAATCCCAGCTACTCGGGAGGCTGAGGCAGGAGAATTGCTTGAACCAGGGAGGCGGAGGTTGCAGTGAGCCGAGATCGCACCGCTGCACTCCAGCCTGGGTGACAGAGCGAGACTGTCTCAAAAAAAAAAAAAAAAATGTTACTTTGAACATTTTTATAAACACCGCTTTTTAATTTCTTTTTGATCATTCTCTTGGAATGTAATCCTTAAAGTGAGATTACCAAGTCAAAGGGTATAAAAGATTTAAATAGCTTCTAATATGTACAAGCAGATTGTTCTCCAGAAAAATTGGACCCATTTGCATTACCATAAGGAGTGTCTGGGTGTTCTTATTTTCATTAAAGTTTTTCACAGAACGGGAGCTATCATAGTAAACTATTTTAGAATATTTTACATCATTAAATTTTTATATTTAACATTAGTTTCTGGAAATTATTTGTTGACTTGTTTGGCAGCTCTTAGTGAAAATGTTACAATAAAATAAAGTGTGGGCTATACATCATAGGACTAGAATTTTCTCTTCCCTTTTAGCCTACTTAACTGCAAATTGATGGCTTAAACAGATAATAATGGAGAGAAAATGCCCTAGATAGGTCCTGTATAAAATTATCTTTAAGGGGTAAGCTTTTAATATTTGGAACATGTTGATTATTTTTTTCAAGGCTTAAATTTAAAGCTTGACTACATTTAAACAAATGGATCATTTGAAAATGGGCTACATGTTGTACTCTTGTTCCAAGCCCCTGTAACTAAAGAGGCTGGTAGAAGTTGTGGGACATTTTCTGTCCAACTGTAAGGGTCCTCAGGGGTGTAGGACTTTGTCTTTCTTGTTGACTCCTGACTTTCCAGAGCCCAGCACAGTACCTGGGATATCTGAGGCACCTAGTAAACAATTATTGATCAAAGGAAGCCAACATAGGTTGATGAAGAAGGTAATTGAGAATGAATGAATTTCTATGTGGTCATACTGAGAATATTAGTGAGTGGATTTTTACAGAAATTTGTGGTGCATGAATTGCTGAATATTTGGTTTCTCATACAGATGTGTGAGATGCCAGTAAACACACCAGAAAGTCCCTGGAAGGTGAGTCCTGAAGAGGAACAAAAACGTAAAGACTTGAGGAAAAGCCATCTCGTATTCAGCATTGACCCCAAAGGTTGTGAAGATGTGGATGACACACTCTCAGTCAGAACCTTAAATAATGGCAACCTGGAACTTGGGGTCCACATCGCAGATGTAACACACTTTGTGGCACCAAATTCTTACATTGATATTGAAGCTAGAACAAGGTAATGCTATTTGAAATCAGCTCTATGGTTGTGTGTATGTGACTGGATATTTTGTGTCTGTACTAGTTTCAGGTGTTCAAAGATCTCATGTTTGTGCAATTTTGAAGGTCCCTTCCAGAAAAAAAAAGTTGAGGTCCACTCTCCATTTTCCTTTAGAAAAACAGTACCTTGATCAATTTACCTTTGCTTTTTAACATAACCTTTTCACACATTGTTTCCTACTAAATCGAAATGGGTTAAATTTTCATGTAGTAATATACTATTTTTTAAAAATACTGGATCATTACACTCCAGTTTTTCTTATACGACAAAGATTCATGTCACTTGCTCTTTCTTTCTCTTATCAGTGGAAGAATATTCAGCCCAAAGCAGTGTCACTTAGAAAAGTGGGACCATGGGAATAGTTTTATTACCCAGTCTGCTGCACTTTATGAAACAGCAACAGCCTTGGGGAATCTGTAGTGAGATTTTGGCCATTTACCTCCCTGCGGCCCACACAGTCAGCAGTTCTGCTTCTCCCTGCTAAAGGTCGCGTTGCCGCGTGTGTGTCATTCACAGGGCCACCACTTATTATCTAGCAGATCGTCGCTATGACATGCTGCCTTCCGTCCTCAGTGCAGATTTGTGTTCCCTTCTGGGAGGCGTTGATAGGTGAGTTTATGGCTTTTGTCTTCAAAGCTTGTCCTGGCCCTTCTGTGGCTCCTGATGCTGCCTGCTTCTGGCCTCATGTTTCTTCTCTGCTATGCCCCACCCCAGCCCTGTGTCTCCCCTCTGACCTCTCAACCTCACCCCCGACCCCAACCCCACACCACTTATCTTTAGGCAGCTTTATTTCTCTAGCCTTCCCTGCCCTTTCCCTCCTCTCTTCTGTCTGCTAGCAGTGGGGCTCTGCGTCTCCCTCTGTTGCTGGCTTTTTAAAGTCAGCTAAAATCTGAGAACAAATGTATGTAGCTTTGTGCTTATGCATTCCCTGGCGGAAGTTGTTTGGCATGAGGATCATGAACTCGGGGAGTTTTTTGTTTGTTCATTTGTTGAGTTTAAACTTTGTTTCTCTTTGAATAGCTAATAGAATCATATAGGCCCGAACTCATATGTCCCAAGAGGTATTTAATGAAAGGTTCCTCCCTATCACTTTCCCTCACTTACCAGTTCCGTATTAGTTTTTCTAGATATAATACATACATGAATATGCATATGTGATCTTTTTTACACAAATGGTTGCATTTTATATATATATACTGTTTAGCACCTTCCTTTTAAAAAAGAACTTAATGGTATCTTGGAGATCATTCCGTATTAATAACAGTTGCACTATCTATGGAAATTTGGATAGTTTCCAATCTTTTGGTATTACAAACAAAGCTGTACTGAGTTAACTTTGAACATAAGTCATTTCACATTTTCATTTTTATTTTTATTTTTTGAGACAGAGTTTCACATGTTGCCCAGGCTGGTCTTGAACTCCTGTGCTCAAGTGATCCTTCCGCCTTGGCCACCCAAAAAGCTGGGATTACAGATGTAAGCCACCATGCCCAGACCATTTCACATTTTTTAAAATACAGTATATGTGAAAGAGAAATTCCCATATTTGATTATGGGATTTCTGTGTCAAGAGTATGTGCATTTGTGTTTAGATCAATATAATCAAATTGCCCTTCTTAAATGTTACACCAGTTATATTCCTGTCACCAATGTATGAGAGTGCATATTTTCCTATAGCCTTGCCAACACAATATGTTGTATTTTTTTATCTTTGCCAATTTGATAGATGAAAAATGGTATCTTAGATTGGTTTTAATTTGCATTACAAATAAAGCTAACCATTTTTTCGTATGTTTGTCACTTATGTATCCCTTTCTGTTAACTATATTCTTCGCCCATTTTTCTTTTGGATTCAAGATCAATTACTGATTAATTTGTAAAAGCTCTTTACATATTAGGAAAATTAGCCCTATGTTTTTTATGAGTTCCAAATGTATACCTTTTTTTTAAATAAAATGACTTGGTGGCAAAGAGTTTTTTTACTAAATGAAATTTTTGCTAATTTATCTGTCATCAAGATTGATATCACAGTTCAGTGCCATCCTGTAGGATTTGCAAGACTTTGCTCTAATTTACTGAGCTAAAAAGACTTGACTCTATCAGTGTCATGCTTTTCTAATCAAAATAGAGGACATGGCCGGGCACGGTGGCTCACGCCTATAATCCTAGCACTTCGGGAGGCCAAGGCAGGTGGATTGCCAGAGCTCAGGAGTTTGAGGCCAGCCTGGGCAACACAGTGAAACCCCGTCTCTACTAAAATAGAAAAAATTAGCCAGGCATGGTGGTGCACGCCTATAGTCCCAGCTACTCAGGTGGCTGAGGCAGGAGAATCACTTGAACCAGGAAGAGGTAGGTTGCAGTGAGCCGAGATCGCACCACTGCACTCCCACCTAGGCAACAGAGCAAGACTCCATCTCAAGAAAAAAATGGAGGACATAAAGTAAGGTTTGTAATGTCACATATGAACTCATTTCAAATTTGTTCAGAGCTCAACAGTCCCCAGTCTAACTTTGTTGTTTTAATTTAAAATATTTTTTGATTTAGTTGTAAGGTGGTTGGATTGACAAACCAGAAACCTGTAGCTTTGTAATTTCTTTTAAGTTACAGTTAGGTCAAATTCCACTTGCTTCAAAAATAGAAGACTTAGGTGGGGCATGGTGGCTTACACCTGTAATCGCAGCACTTTGGGCAGGAGAATTGCTCAAGTCCAGGAGATTGAGGCAGCAGTGAGCAGTGATCATGCCATTGCACTCCAGCCTGGGTGACAGAGCAAGATCCTGTCTCAAAAAAACAAAAAACAAAAAAAGCCAGATGAATTTGAATAGTGATGTTGTCAATGTTACTGTTTTTGTAGGTATGCTGTAAGCATCATGTGGGAACTGGATAAAGCCTCTTATGAAATTAAGAAAGTGTGGTATGGCAGAACCATTATTCGATCAGCATACAAACTGTTCTATGAAGCAGCCCAAGAACTACTGGATGGAAACTTAAGCGTTGTTGATGATATTCCAGAATTCAAAGACTTGGATGAGAAGAGCAGACAAGCCAAGCTGGAGGAGTTGGTGTGGGCAATTGGAAAGCTGACCGACATAGCTCGCCATGTCAGAGCTAAACGAGACGGATGTGGTGCCCTGGAACTGGAAGGGGTAGAGGTTTGCGTACAGCTAGATGACAAAAAGAACATTCACGACCTCATCCCCAAGCAGCCCCTGGAAGTCCACGAGACAGTGGCTGAATGCATGATCCTGGCCAACCACTGGGTCGCCAAAAAGATCTGGGAGAGCTTCCCTCATCAGGCCTTGCTGCGCCAGCACCCTCCTCCACACCAGGAGTTCTTTTCAGAACTCCGGGAATGTGCTAAAGCCAAAGGCTTCTTCATAGATACACGGTATTCCTCTTTTGAGGGGGCAGAGGAATGGAGTGGCATGCTGTATATTTAGTTATCTTACAGTTGTTCTTAAAATGTGACAGCCAGATCTTTGACCAAAAAGAGAAAACAGATTCTTGGCTCTCCTCATTTTTGAAGACACATTTTTCCCTCTTCATTGTTATGTATAGAGACTTAAAACAAGTTTATTTAGGCATAATTTTGTTCCTTGGTTTTTTGTTTCAATTTTTTTTTAGATAGAGTCTTGCTCTGTCACCCAGGTTGGAGTACAGTGGTATGATCTCGGCTCACTGCAACCACCACCTCCCAGGTTCAAGTGACTCTCCTGCCTCAGGTTCCTGAGTAGCTGGGACTACAGGCACACGCCACCATGCCTGGCTAATTTTTTTGTATTTTTAGTAGAGACAGGGTTTCGCCATGTTGGCTAGGCTGGTCTTGAACTCCTGACCTCAAGTGATCCACCTGCCTCGGCCTCCCAAACTGCTGGGATTATAGGCATGAGCCACCACACTGGACATTTAGGCATAATTTTGACCCACTACAATTTGGGTTTTTTTGTTCGGTTGGTTTTTTTTTTTTCTTTGAGATAGAGTCTCGCTCTGTCATCCAGGCTGGAGTGCAGTGGCACAATCTTGGCTCACTGCAACCTCCGCCTCCCAGGTTCAAGCGATTCTCTTGACTCAGCCTCCTGAGTATATGGGATTACAAGCATGTGCCACCACGCCTGGCTAATTTTTGTATTTTTAGTAGAGACAGGGTTTCACCATGTTGGTCAGGTTGGTCTCAAACTCCTGACCTCATGATTCGCCCGTCTCGGTCTCCCAAAGTGCTGGGATTATAGGCATGAGCCACTGTGTGTGGCTGACCCACCATAATTTGTAATACAGAAGTAGGGAACCTGTTAGTTACCCTTGATTTAATTTCATGTACCCCTTAAGTTACAAAGAAATAATCCTATTTATTTCAGTACTTTTAAAATGCAGCATCTTTGTGACAATATCATAAGATACTACACCAACAGTGAATTTATACCACCCTCAATTGAGTGAGACATTTTTACTCCCTATCTCTAGGATAAAATACTTCTTTCATTAAAAACCAAGTATAGGCAGGCTGGGCACAGTGGCTCATGCCTGTAATCCCAGTACTTTGGGAGGCCGAGGCGGGCAGATCACGAGGTCAGGAGATCGAGACCATTCTGGCTAACACGGTGAAACCCCATCTCCACTAAAAATACAAAAAATTAGCCAGGTGCTGTAATCCCAGCTACTTGGGAGGTTGAGGCAGGAGAATGGCATGAACCCGGGAGGCGGAGGTTGCAGTGACCCAAAATCGCACCACTGCACTCCAGCCTGGGTGACAGAGCGAGACTCTGTCTCAAAAATAAATAAATAAATAAATAAAAACTAAGTATAGGCTGGGTACAGTGGCTCACACCTGTAATCCTAGCACTTTGGGAGGCTGAGGCAGGCACATCACTGAGGTCAGGAGTTCAAGACCAGCCTTGCCAACATGATGAAACTCTCTCTGCTAAAAATACAACGAGCCAGGCATGGCGCACTCTTGTAATCCCAGCTACTCAGAGGCTGAGGTGCGAGAATCGCTTGAACCTGGGAGGCAGAAGTTGCAGTGAGCCAAGATTGTGCCACTACACTCCAGCCTCTGTATGGTCACTGTATGAGCTGTCTGCATGCCAGGCACATGGGACAAGGGCTTTCAGACATCCTCTTGGTTAATTCTTAATGCTGAGGTGATGGCAGCATCATTCATATTTACAGATAAGTCAATTAAGTCTGAAGAGATTAAGTAATTTGCCTGTAATTTAACAGTCAGGGCAGAGCCAAGATTTGAATCCAAGTCTGTTAAACTTGCAAGCTCACATAGTGACCACTTAACACCTTGCCTCTCTGTTCATCATCATGCTCTATTTCTCCTTTCCCCCTTTTCCCTTAGCCAGCCACAATATAGGACTGAATTATATGTTATTAGTTTTATTTTTAATATACCTCTATATTTCCTGGGGCTTTGAAATTATTATTTTGAGGCTGTATGCAGTGGCTCACACCTGTAACCCCAGCACTTTGGGAGGCCGAGGCAGGAGGATCACTGAAGGCCAGGAGTTCAAGACTAGCCTGGGCAACAAAGTGAGACCCTGTCTCTACAAAAAAATTATTTTGAGAATAAATAAATAGAATGCTTACTACCTCTTTAAAAAAGAAAAACTAATTTAGGTTTCTTTTACTTGTACACCAAGTCCATTATTTTACCTATATATAGAATGTTTAAGGTTAAGGATGTAAAGAATTCAATTCAACGAGTATTTGACCACCTATTATAGCCAAGCACTAACTTAACCTAGTATTAAAATCAGTACATGATTCATTTCTACTTAAGAAATGTATTTAAATTCTGACACTCTTGTTTTGTTTAAGCCGTAAAGCAAACTAGATTTCTGTAGTTGAAAAGAGGTGCTTCTGAAACGTGTCCAAAACAAATTTACTGGCAGATGAAGGTATTCAGACGGATGAGTGAAGGGTTCCCCTCAAAGTGTTGTCTTGTAAATTACTGTCTGGGACTAGCTAACGGTTTTTCTGTTCTTTGTCAGGTCCAATAAAACACTGGCTGATTCTCTGGATAATGCGAACGACCCCCACGATCCCATTGTGAACAGGCTACTGCGCTCCATGGCCACGCAGGCCATGTCGAATGCTCTGTACTTCTCCACCGGATCCTGTGCGGAGGAGGAGTTCCATCATTACGGTGAATCATACCATATTCCTATGTGTGGCTGTAACTTTGCGCTAGTTATTTTAAAATAGTTTTTGTTTATTTTGATCTTTTGCTTTCTTTTTGAAGGTCTTGCATTAGATAAATATACCCACTTTACTTCTCCAATAAGAAGATATTCAGATATTGTAGTACACCGCTTGTTAATGGCAGCCATTTCAAAAGATAAGAAAATGGAAATTAAGGGAAATCTGTTCAGCAACAAAGATCTTGAGGAATTATGCAGACATATCAACAACAGAAACCAAGTAAGAGGGAATTTCAAAATTCTCTTACCTGTCATCTCTTGCTAAGAAAATATCAGCTTTATTGTGTAGTACCGTGAAGTATCATATATTCTAGCAAATTAAATTCTAGAATTATTCTAACCAGTGCTTTCAGAACATTTGTAGATGTTCTCAGGTAACTTGTGGATTTGGGAGATTTGACGGTAGATTATCAGATTTTTTTTTTTCCGAAAGGTGGAAATGTAAAGATTCAAGCAACGCATAAAGATATGATGACAGAGGCCAGACGTGGTGGCTCACTTGAGGGCGGATCACTTGAGGTCAGGAATTTGAGACCAGCCTGGCCAATATGGTGAAACCCCATCTCTACAAAAAATACAAAAATTAGCCGGGTGTGATGGCACGCGCCTGTAGTCCCAGTTACTTGGGAGGCTGAGGCAGGAGAATCTCTTGAACCCAGGAGGTGGAGATTGCAGTGGGCCGAGATCACACCACTGCACTCTAGCCTGGGTGACAAAATTGAGACTGTGTCTCAAAAAAAAAAAAAGATATGAAGACAGAAACATCACCTGTTATCTTACCACCCAGAGCTAACAATTAATGATTCTAGACACTGCTAACATTTTTATTTATAAAAATATCGGCCAGATGCGGTGGCTTGCACCTGTATTCCCAGTACTTTGGGAGGCTGAGGCAGGTGGATCACGAGGTCAGGAGATCGAGACCATCCGGGCTAACACAGTGAAACCCCATCTCTACTAAAAATACAAAAAATTAGCATGGTGGCAGGCGCCTGTAGTCCCAGCTACTCAGGAGGCTGAGGCAGGAGAATGGTGTGAACCCGGGAGGCGGAGCTTGCAGTGAGCTGAGATTGCACCACTGCACTCTGGCCTGGGTGACAGAGCGAAACTCCGTCTAAAAAAAAAAAATCACACCGTGCCTGCTGTTTGAATCTGCTTTTTTCATGTAACCCAACTGTTATTGATAGCACACCATGTTATATCATTGTTTTGAAGCTGCTTTCTATTCTATTTCATATTACTAGTTGCTACAAGATTGCACAGCATAGAACTAGACTATTGGGTAACGCAGGAAATTGGAAACTACCTAAATGTTTAATGTAATTTTCTATATCCAATGGTATAGTTGTCTGCTGTGCAATGTTGTAGCACTAGCCATGTGGACTACCTAAATTTAATTAAAATTAGAAGTAGAAATTTGTCTCAGTAGAAATTTGGCCAGTGTCTCAGTCACACTGGCCACATTGTATAGCTCAGTGGCCACTTGTGGTTAGTGGCTACATATTAGGCAACACAGATAGAGAGCATTTCTATCATTGCAGAAAGTTCTGTTGGGCAGCACTGTTCTAAGCAATCAAATTTATAACCATCCTTATGGATACACTTATACAGACATTTCAGATGATTTCCTGGAAAAATTCCTAGAAATGGAATTGCTGAGCCAAAAGGTGTGCATGCACAAATGAAACTGATAGGTCAGGTGCAGTGGCTCACGACTGTAATCCTAGCACTTTTCGAGGTCGAGGCCGGTGGATCACCTGAGTTCAGGAGTTCCAGAGCAGCCTGGCCAACATGGTGAAACCCCGTTACTACTAAAAATACAAAAATTAGCCAGGCATGGTGGTGCATGCCTGTAATCCCAGCTAATCGGGCGGCTGAGGCAGGAGAATCACTTGAACCCGGGAGGCAGAGGTTGCAGGGAGCCAAGATCGCGCCATTGCACTCCAGCCTAGGCGATAGAGTGAGACTCCATCTCAAAAAGAAGACAAAGAAACTTTAATACATATTACTAAATTGTCTTCCTTATCAGTAGTGCTAATTTAGACTTCCACCAATAGGGTTTTCATTGGACAGGCTTGAAAAGAAAGAAAGGCTGGCCGGGCGCGGTGGCTCATGCCTGTAATCCCAGCACTTTGGGAGGCCGAGGCAGGCGGATCACGAGGTCAGGAGATCAAGACCATCCTGGCTAACACAGTGAAACCCCATTTCTACTAAAAATACAAAAAATTACCCGGGCGTGATGGCAGGCGCCTGTAGTCCCAGCTACTCCAGAGGCTGAGGCAGGAGAATGACGTGAACCCAGGAGGTAGAGCTTGCAGTGAGCCGAGATTGCACCACTGTACTCCAGCCTGGGTGACAGAGTGAGACTCCATATCTCAAAAAAAAAAAGAAATGCAAGTAAGACATGTGTAATACTTTTCCTGTACCCAAGGTGAACATGACCCAAATTTGCTGATCTCTAATTTCATGAACTATAAATGGGTTTCATTTTATAAAATAATTCATTTTCTAAGACATTTTTGAGGAGATAATACTAGATGGTTAAGTTCCCACAAAAAGTAATTTAATTTCATAGTAGAGAACAATTTTTATATTAATAGTTTTACAGAATCTCACATTTGAATGAATATGAATTTCGTTTCTTTGGGGAATGCCAGGGGAGTGTTAAAATGCTTTGGAGTTGTGCTTCTTACAGGCAGCACAGCATTCTCAGAAGCAGTCTACTGAGCTCTTCCAGTGCATGTACTTCAAAGACAAAGACCCTGCCACCGAGGAGCGTTGCATATCTGACGGAGTTATTTATTCAATTAGAACAAATGGTGTGCTTCTATTTATACCAAGGTATGTTACATCTAATGCAATGGTGCATAAGAAATCATAGTTAAAAGTGTAGAACACAAACTGTACATTAGATATAATTTATTAAAATATTTAAGCAACTAGTTATCATATGTACATAATGTAATGTATAATTCAGTATATAAATGTGAAGATTGGAGGCCAGGGGTGGCTCACGCCTATAATCCCAGCACTTTGGGAGGCCAAGGTGGGCGGATCACCTGAGGTCAGGAGTTCGAGACCAGCCTGGCCAACATGGTGAAACCCCGTCTCTACTAAAAGTACAAAAATTAGCCGGGCATGGTGACGCATGCCTGAAATCCCAGCTACCTGGGAGGCTGAGGCAGGAGAATCACTTGAACCCGGGAAGCAGAGGTTGCAGTGAGCCAAGATCGTGCCACTGCACTCCAGCCTGGGCGACAGAGCAAGACTCTGTCTCAAAAAAAAAAAAAAAAAGTGAAGACTGGAGTGTGTGTGTGTGTGTGTGTGTGTGTGTGTATATATATACACACACACTTCTATATCCATTTTAGGGTCTTTCTTATCCAGCAAAATACTTTGTTTCCATCTGCTAAGGTGAAATAAATACGTGGAGGTAAACCACAGGAAAAGTGATTTGTTTTTAATCTAGGAGAAAAACTAGTATTCTAGATAAGCATACAAGATCTGTGTACTAAGAATACATTGTCTCTGGATTTATATTCTGGTCATAATATAGGTTTGGGATTAAAGGTGCTGCTTATCTAAAAAATAAAGATGGTTTAGTCATCTCATGTGGCCCAGATAGCTGTTCTGAATGGAAACCAGGATCCCTTCAACGATTTCAAAACAAAATTACCTCTACTACAACAGATGGGGAATCTGTTACGTTCCATTTGTTTGACCATGTAACCGTAAGTCTGTGTTTCTATTAAGTATTATTAATATTTTAAATGTAAGGAATAAATAATGTGATTTAGTAATATGTATTTTCTTCTCTATGCTAGGTAAGAATATCCATACAGGCCTCACGTTGCCATTCTGATACAATCAGACTTGAAATAATTAGTAACAAACCATACAAGATACCAAATACAGAACTTATTCATCAGAGTTCCCCCTTGCTGAAGAGTGAGTTAGTGAAAGAAGTAACTAAATCTGTGGAAGAAGCTCAGCTTGCCCAAGAAGTCAAAGTAAACATCATTCAGGAGGAATATCAAGAATATCGCCAAACAAAGGGAAGGAGCCTATACACACTTCTAGAGGAGATACGGGACCTAGCTCTCCTGGATGTTTCAAACAATTATGGAATATGAGAGGCTCTTACTTCACTAAGAGCTGTCATATGTGAATGTTTTACAGTCTTTTCAAACTTAACATTTAATGTGTGTCACTCAGTGCTCTAGTCGATCAGGACTGGGTAGCTATTTCGCATATATGTAAAATGTTCTCAGCCGGGCACGGTGGCTCACGCCTGTAACCCCAGCACTTTGGGAGGCTGAGGCGGGCGGATCACGAGGTCAGGAGATTGAGACCATCCTGGCTAACACGGTGAAACCCAGTCTCTACTAAAAATACAAAAATTAGCCCGGCGTGGTGGCATGCGCCTGTAGTCCCAGCTACTTGGGAGGCTGAAGCAGGAGAATTGCCTGAACCCAGGAAGAGGAGGTTGCAGTGAGCCGAGATCGCACCACTGCATTCCAGCCTGGGCAACAGAGCGAGACTCCATCTCAAAAAAAAAAAAAAAAAAAAAAAAAGTTCTCTCATTCATTAAAGTTGCATTAAATAAAGTATAATTAGGTCACTATGGAAACAGAGTTTTCAGTAATGAGTGGACAGTAAGTGGTGGCTCTGCAGATGGCCCCTTTCTAATAAGTTTAATAAACCCGAAATTACTGGTTATCTCGTCTCCAATCAGTTCTTTCAAATGTTTTATTTTTCCAGTAATTACGTTTGGGTCATAGGCCCCTCTGACATTTGTCAGGTAATTTTCAGTCACTTTCAGATAATAAGACTTAGTCCTGAGTCCACTTCTCCACTTAAAAATTCCTATTTCATATTTGACTCAACCCTTACCTGCTGTCTCCAGTACTAGCTGGGATTAGGACACAGGGCGGGTGGTAGGATGCACAGGTAAAGTTCTGTCACAGGCCTTCCTTCCCACTCTCCCATTTTGATGAGGTGCATTGGCCTTCCCCTTGTTGGAAACTTGTTACTTTGCCAGCAAACACCCCACTAGAAAAATTAACTCTAGGCCGAGCGCAGTGGCTCACGCCTATAATCCCAGCACTTTGGGAGTCCGAGGCGGGTGGATCACAAGGTCAGGAGTTCAAGACCAGCCTGGCCAAGATGATTAAACCCCATCTCTACTAAAAATACAAAAATTGGCCAGGGACAGTAGCTCATGCCTGTAATCCCAGCACTTTGGGAGGCTGAGGGGGGTGGATCACAAAGTCAAGAGATCAAGACCATCCTGGCCAACATGGTGAAACCCCATCTCTACTAACAATACAAAAATTAGCCTTGTGTGGTGGCAGGTGCCTGTAATCCCAGCTACTTGGGAGGCTGAGGCAGAGAACTGCTTGAACCCAGGAGGCAGAGGTTGCAGTGAGCTGAGATTGCGCCACAGCTCTCCAGCCTGGGCAACAGAGCGAGTCTCCATCTCAAAAAAGAAAAATTAACTCTTCTTTCTCAGTTATCTAATGTAGTTTGTGAGGGTAGACAGAAGCCTGAACCTGCCCTCCTGAGGAAGCAGTTTCTATAGGCATTGGCATCTTGAAACTGCTCTCCATCTTCTAGCTGATCCCCTATTGGCTGCAGTTAGCCACAATCCTCCTAATGCACATGCTTCTTGGCCCATCCCTGTGGCAGTTCCCAGCAGGCCCACAAACCCCTCCCCCACCCCCATCCCAGATGTTCTCCTTGATGTTCTTGTGCTCAACTTCCTGGCTTTTCTTAAATTTTTTTTTTTTTTTTTTGAGATGGAGTGTCGCTCTGTCACCCAGGCAGGAGTGCAGTGGCACGATCTCGGCTCACTGCAAGCTCCACCTCCCAGGTTCACGCCATTCTCCTGCCTCAGCCTCCCGAGTAGCTGGGACTACAGGTGCCTGCCACCATGCCCAGCTAATTTTTTGTGTGTGTATTTTTAGTAGAGACGGGGTTTCACTGTGTTAGCCAGGATGTTCTCGATCTCCTGACCTCGTGATCCACCCACCTCAGCCTCCCAAAGTGCTGGGATTACAGGCGTGAGCCACCACACCTGAGCTAACTTCCTGGCTTTTCAATCAAACCATCTTTGTCACTTCCTGTCCCCACCTGAAGTCAGAAAGCCTGAAGAGAAGATGCCTGCCTGTCCTGGCTTTGCAGATGGAAGCCACTATAGCACCATCACTCTGCCCTTTCCCCAAGGAAAAAGAGAGTGAGAGGCCAAGTGCCATGGAAGATCACTTGAGGCCAGGAGTCCAGGACCAGCCTGGTAAACATAGTGAGACACCATCTCTACAAAAATTAAAAAAGTAGCCAGGCATGGTGGTACATGTCTGCAGTCGCAGCTACTTGGGAAGCTAAGGCAAGAGGATTGCTTGAACCCCAGGAGTTTGAGACTGCAGTGAGTTAGGATTGGGCCACTGTATTCCAGCCTGAGTGACAGTGAGACCAACACACACACACACACACACACAATAGTGGCGGGGGACTGTGGGTAGGGGTGAGGGGGTGGGGTGGGAGAGCCTTTCCTAACACTAACCTTTCTTATTTGTAACTACCCCCTCTACCTGGCAGGAAGAACTCCAATCAGGTGTTCTCACGATTTGGCCCTAACACATCTAACCTCAAAATCAGCATTCCTAAAATCTGCCTTATCCCCTTAATCTTATTTCTGTATCATTATTGTACATGTGCTTCCCAATACTTGGAATCTCCTCCACCAAAAGCAAAGTCTTTCCTGTAAATCCTCCCGAGATGCTATGTTCCCCACGATACTTTGCAAGTTTCACTCCAACTAGTCAGTAAGTTCCCAAAAAGCATTCTTTGAACTACCCTAGCACCTATGAGGGCCAGGCAATGTATCGGCCTTTCATGTGACCTTTTAACTATTAAAGTAACTCCTTAGAAAACATGTAAAAATCTTGTATTTACCAAAAGTGTAAACTGCAGAACTATATAGCAATGAAAACCTCCCATAAAGCCTGTAGATAGTTTTTAAGATAATTTTTACTTCTTTTAAAAAATTGACATTAATATTCAGTATATATGTACATCTCAAAACTTCACCCAGGCTGGGCGCGGTGGCTCACACCTGTAATCCCAGCACTTTGGGAGGCCGAGGGGGGCGGATTACCTGAGGTTAGGAGTTTGAGACCAGCCTGGCCAACATGGTGAAACCTCATCTCTACTAAAAGTACAAAAATTAGCCAAGCGTGGTGGCACACGCCTGTAGTCCCAGCTACTCGGGAGGCTAAGGCAGGAGAATTGCTTGAGCCCAGGAGGCAGAGGTTGCAGTGAGCCAAGACTGTGCCACTGCACTCCAGCCTGGCCAACAGAGTGAGACTCTGTGTCAAAAAAAACAAAACAAAACAAAACAAAAAACTTCAACTAGACTACTCTGGGCACACTGTCCATGGATTAGCCCTGCTTTGCAAGGAGCAGTAAAAAACAGAAACAAAACCTCCCAACTTAGTGAAAACAAGGCATTCAATGACAGACCAGCAGCAGAAACTGCTTATTACCTCCTAATCATTTTATGAAGAAATACCTATATAAAAACAAACACTAAAGAGAACAAATAGATTTAACTAAAGTGACAAGCATAATTATAAATAAATACCAGATTATCAGATTTTAAACAATAATCTATAACAGTTTTACTATCTAAGGATTTTCACTCCAAGAAGAAAAAATACATAGTAACGCCAAGCTTGCAGGACGATGACTTAACAGATACATTTTCTCTTAATGGAAACTTATCTAGCTTCAGTAATATTTCTGGATGTAGCATCAAGTTGCTGTTGCACATTTTTAAAAGACTGGTCCAGCAGTGTTTCCTCTTCATTTAAAGTATTGGCAATAGCATCATTACATGGATTGTCCAGAATGTCTTCGTTTAATCCATTTGACTCCTCCTTTTGATCCTCATCAGTATTAACCTCTTCAACCGTGTGTGCCCTGGGTGTATTCATTAACATATCTGAAAGAAATCATACCATTATTATTCATTATAAGTACCTGATCCAATCTTACCGCATGAGTACAAACCTCTTCAAAAGCTCAGTTTAGTAAAATGAAGTCTAAGATCACTTAATGTTAATTATGATCACTTTCTTCTAAATATATCTTTTTTTTTTTTTTTGAGATGGAGTCTCGCTCCATCACTTTGGCTGGAGTGCAATCGCACGATCTGGGCTCACTGCAACCTCCACCGGGTTCAAGTGATTCTCCTGCCTCAGCCTCCCGAGTAGCTGGGATTACAGGTACCCGCCACTACACCCGGCTAATTTTGGTATTTTTAGAAGAGACAGGGTTTCACTATGTTGGCCAGGCTGGTCTCGAACTCCTGACCTCAGGTGATCCACCCGCCTCAGGCTCCCAAAGTCCTGGGATTACAGGCGTGAGCTACCACGCCTAGCCAATAAGCCCATTTTTATACAATTAAGATCCATTTTAAATGCAAGAGAGGCCAGGCCCGATCCCAACAATGTGGGAGGATCATTGGAGCTCAGGAGTTCAGGACCAGCCTGGGCCACATAGTGAGACCCCATGTCAACAAAACATCAAAAAAAATAAAATAAAAAAAAAAATAATTAGCTGGCTATGGTGGCGAACCATGATCGTGCCACTGCACTCCAGCCTGGGTGACAAAGTGAGATCCTATAACCAAAAAAAAACAAAAAAAAAGCAAAATGGTTTTGAATGTTATTCAACTCACACTCTTGGATCATAGTCAAATGTAACTGTTCTTATTCAAAATCAAACTACTATTGGCCAGGCACAGTGGATCATGCCTGTAATCTCAGCACTTTGGGAGGCTGAGGCAGGCAGATCACTCAAGGTCAGGAGTTTGAAACCAGTCTGGCCAATATGGTGAAACCCTGCCTCTACAAAAAATACAAAAATTAGCCGGACATGGTGGAGCACGCCTGTAATCCCAGCTACTCGGGAGGCTGGGACAGGAGAATCGCTTGAACCTAGGAGGCGGAGGTTGCAGTGGGCCGAGATCAGCAACTGCACTCCAGCCTGGGCAATACAGTGAGGCCCCATCTAAAAAAACAAAACTGAAAACTACTAGAAAGAGGTCTAATAAAAACCAAGTGCGTTTAGGTTTTATGTCAGAGTGATCCATAAGAAACTTTAAAGTACTTATTTCCATTTGGACAAATTTTAAGTTGTATATGATAAACAGAGGTGAGCTTTAAATACCAACTGCCAGGTATACTTGATATTGACAGCAAAGAAGCCACTGCCATCAAGAATAATGCTATCTTCATGTAATGTTTCACATGGTACTAATAAAACATCCATTTATAAAGAAAAAGTAAATTGGCCAGGTGCGGTGGCTCACACCTGTAATCCCAGCACTTTAGGAGACCGAGGTGGGTGGATCACGAGGTTAGGGGATCGAGACCATCCTGGCTGATACGGTGAAACCCTGTCTCTACTAAAAATACAAAAAATTAGCCAGGCGTGGTGGCAGGCACCTGTAGTCCCAGCTACTCGGGAGGCTGAGGCACGAGAATGGCATGGACACGGGAGGCGGGGCTTGCAGTGAGCCGAGATCACGCCATTGCACTCCAGCCTGGGTGACAGAGCAAGACTCCGTCTCAAAAAAAAAAAAAAAAAAAAAAGGAAAAAGTAAATTCAGCTGGGCATGGTGGCTCACACCTGTAATCCCAGGACTTTGGGAGGCTGAGGCAGGCAGATCACTAGGTCAGGAGTTCAAGACCACCCTGGCCAACACAGTGAAATCCCTTCTCTACTAAAAATACAAAAATTAGCCAGGCATGGGGGCACGCACTTGTAGTCCTAGCTACTTGAGGAGGCTGAAGCAGGGGAACTGCTTGAACCCGGGAGGCAGAGGTTGCAGTGAGCCAAGATCACGCCACTGCACTCCAGCCTGAGCTACAGAGCAAGACTCCATCTCAAAAAAAAAAAAAAAAAAAAAAAAAAGCAAAAAGAAAAAGTAAATTCATCTTAACTGAAAAAAAAAGTAGCCAAAATAATTTTCACTTAAAAATGTTAATATATTGGGTGAAACTTCGTTTACAACATGGTATCTAGTTATTATAATTCTTTTTTTTTTTGTAGAGACGGGGACTCACTATGTTGCCCAGGCTGGTCTTGAACTCCCAGGCTCAAGTGATCTGCCCACCTCAGCCTCCCAAAGTGCTGGGATTACAGGCAAGAGACACTGTGCTGGGCCTATAATTCTTATTTTTCCATTTTGAAAGGAAAAACTGAATGGGAAATTAAGAAAGATATACGCAATCCTGCTTACTTCATTCAAAACCAACTTGCAATTCTTTCTAAATATAGTTTTAACAAATTTGGTTATATAGTTTCCAAACCCACAATGTGTGTTAAAAACAGCAAATTTAGGCCAGGTACACTGGCTCATACCTGCAATCCCAGCACTTTGGAAGCCCAATGCTGGAGGATTGCTTGAGACTAGAAGTTCAAGGCTGCAGTGAGTCAAGATCACACCACTGCACTCTAGCCTGGGTGACAGATTGACAACGTTTCTAAAAATACTAATAATATATTTTTTAATAAAGCAAATCTTCAGGCAGTTTTAGAAGTGAAAAGGGAATGCTAAAGATAAGCAAATTAAACAGCTACTTTCAAAAGTACAGCTCACAACCAAGTGACAAAACACAAGAAAAAGCATTTTTTTTTTTTTGAGACGGAGTCTTGCTCTGTCACCCAGGCTGGAGTGCAGTGGCCCGATCTCAGCTCACTGCAACCTCCACCTCCCAGGTTCAAGCGATTCTCCTGCCTCAGCCTCCCAAGCAGCTGGGTTTACAGGCAGGTACACACCACCATGCCCGGCAAATTTTTGTATTTTTAGTAGAGACGGGTTTTCACCATGTTGGCCAGGATGGTCTCGATCTCCTGACCTTGTGATCCACCCACTTCAGCCTCCCAAAGTACTGGGATTACAGGCGTGAGCCACTGCGCCTGGCCTTTTTTTTTTTTTTTTTTTTTTTGAGATGGAGTTTTGCTCTTGTTGCCCAGGCTGGAGTGCAATGGGTTGATCTCAGCTCACTGCAACCTCTGCCTCCTGGGTTCAAGCAATTCTCCTGCCTCAGCCTCCCAAGTGGCTGGGATTACAGGTGCACACCACCATGCACAGTTAATTTTTGTATTTTTAGTAGAGGTGGGGTTTCACCATGTTGGCCAGGCTGGTCTTGAACTGCTGACCTCGGGTGATGGCCCACTTTGGCCTCCTAAAGTGCTGGGATTACAGGCATGAGCCACTGCACCTGGCCTATTTTTTTCTTTATTTATTGTTATAATTATTGTCCTAAAGGTAATAGTATATGGCACATGCTTTAAGGAGTCAGGGAAGAATGTTTATTAAGAATTTAAAATCAATTTCAAGTGATTAAAATAAATTCTTTTTTTTTTGAGAGCGTCTCACTCAAGTCACCCAGGCTGGAGTGCAGTGGCACGATCTTGGCTCACTGCAATCTCCACCTTCTTGATTCAGGTGATTCTCGTACCTCAGCCTCCCAAGTAGTTGGGATTACTGGTGTGCACCACCACACCTGGCTAATTTTTGTAATTTTAGTAGAGATGGGGTTTCATCATGTTGGCCAGGCTGGTCTTGAACTCCTGACCTCAAGCGATCCACCTACCTTGGCCTCCCAAAGTGCTGAGATTACAGGCATGAGCCACCACGCCTGGCCAGGTGATTAAAATAATTTTTTAAGAGGTACTCAGCTATCCAGAAAACCATCTTGGATTCATTTATTCTTTAAGGAACACAGCCATTCTCTCTCTCCTCTCTCACACACACTGTCTCTAAAATATACATAAACTTAATATCACACTTTTCCACTCCTAGAAGTATTTTATTTTGGGGGCTAGCAGAGAAGTTAAAATTTCTAACATGTCCTTGATATATTAATGGTAGCATATAAAATTTGGCATAAAATTTACCATTTCCTAGGGTCTGACTATTACTCAGCAGCTTTGCCTGCCTTCTTTCCAAGGCCAGTTGTTTATTTCTCTCAATTCTTTGTTGTTGCTCTTCTGTTAGGCTTCTACTTAACTCAGAAGCAAACATCTCACTTTCAGATAAGTTTGTCAGAAAGGGATCTAATTCAGTAGAAGTGACATCATGTTCATTATTCTCCGCAACTTCATCTGCAATAGAAAAGAAATAGTACATCTGTGGTGTTAGACTAGTTAGAGAAGGGCTTCTCATTGAAAAAGAATTTAAAGTGGCAAGGTGACAGACCTGAAAAAACAATTTGTGAAGTATAAGAATGTTGTGGGCCGGGCGCGGTGGCTCACGCCTGTAATCCCAGCACTTTGGGAGGCCGAGGCGGGCGGATCACGAGGTCAGGAGATCGAGACCATCCCGGCTAACACGGTGAAACCCCGTCTCTACTAAAAATACAAAAAATTAGCCGGGCGTAGTGGCGGGCGCCTGTAGTCCCAGCTACTTGGGAGGCTGAGGCAGGAGAATGGCGTGAACCCGGGAGGCGGAGCTTGCAGTGAGCCGAGATCCCGCCACTGCACTCCAGCCTGGGCGACAGAGCGAGACTCCGTCTCAAAAAAAAAAAAAAAAAAAAAAAAAAAAAAGAATGTTGTGAATACATGCTTGATTCAATTAAATAAGAAATATTTATAAATCAGTTTAAAGAGGAATGCTAAGTCAAATAAAAATACAATTTAAAATATGCATGAAGGCCGGGCGCGGTGGCTCACGCCTGTAATCCCAACACTTTGGGAAGCCGAGGCGGGTGGATCATGAGGTCAGGAGTTCAAGACCAGTCTGGCCAACATGGTGAAACCCCATCTCTACTAAAAATACAAAAATTAGCTGGGCATGGTGGCGCATGCCTATAATCCCAGCTACTCAGGAGGCTGAGGCAGGAGAATTGCTTGAACCGGGACCCGGGAGGCGGAGGCAGCAGTGAGCAAGATTGCGCCACTGCACTCCAGCCTGGGCTACAGAGCAAGACTGTCTCAAAAAAAAAAAAAAAAAAAAAAGAAAGAAACAAAAAGTTCTTGATTGTAATTAGAAATATTTTATGCTTGGCCTAATCAAAGAGCTTAAGGAATCCAAACCATATTCTTGTTCTACATTAAACCAACACATTTCAATAGTTTCCCAGTGTCAATATGGGAAAAGGTAATTTTAATACATTTTATTTTATTTTTTGAGACGGAGTTTCACTCTTGTCACCCAGGCTGGAGTGCAATGGTTCGATCTTGGCTCATTGCAACCTCCGCCTCCCAGATTCATGTGATTCTCCTCCATCAGCCTCCCGAGAAGCTGGGATTACAGGCACCCGCCACCATGCCCAGCTAATTTTTGTATTTTTAGTAGAGACAGGGTTTCACCGTATTGGCCAGGCTGGTCTCAAATTCCTGACCTGAGGTGATCCACATGCCTCAGCCTCCCAAAGTGCTGAGATTACAAGCGTGAGCCAATGCACCCGGCCAGTAAAAGGTAATTTTATGTAGGACATTATCTTTTGTAGAGTTAAACACAGACAAATGAAAAAAGAAAAGAAATTTAAAACTTTATGGACATATTTCCAAATTAATTTCTTTTTAAATTCAGTGTGCTCTACATTATAAGTAATACATTATTAAAGCCCTGTAAACCAGTTAACTCAAGGTAGGATGTCCCCAACATGATCCACAGTGGTATTAAAGTAAATAATAGATCTTCCATTTATATTTCATTTAAGAATTAAGAAAAACTATGTTTTACTAACATATTTAAAATAAGACTGGCAGTGGTTAACTGTCCCTTGTCCTTATGACAGAGTTACTGTCTGATCTGTGAGCCACTCTATAGGCAAGATCCATATTGTAAAAGGGTGGAGAATGGGGCCCCCACTGACTTTACAATGTCAGATATACAGCTGTTTCTGATTGCCCAGTCAAATAAACTGATGGATTTCATCTTACTAATTTAACCAAACAACCCCAACAAAATGTACAAGTGTTAGGTTAAAAAGATTCTACAAAATAACAAAATGCCTGTAGGTAGAATAGAAGCACAAGCAAAAAATAAAAAAAACAGCAGAGCTGACACTTTACCTTCTATCTACATCATCCATATTATGAAATTAAAAGAAAGATAAACCCCATCACATCTGACAAGTTGGTCAAAAAATTCAAGTCACCATTTGAAATATTTATATACATTATCCTTGTTCTATGTATATATTATGCCTTGAAATATTAGCTAATTATAGAAAAACTATCACAATTAAAAAAACATTTAAAACATAAAGACAGACCTTTACAATTATTTCAGTGAGATTTAAAAATCATGATACTTAATTCAGCCCTTTACAATCAAACTCCCTTTTAAGGTTTCTTCCTTAATAGTGAAAAACGAAAAGCCACTTTTCCTTCCTGACATGGAAAACAAAAATGTAGGAAGAAACTAAAATGGCCTCCATTGTCAGGAAATACTGATAAGAGTATATGTATGAAACATTGCTGAAGCAGTTAAGAAACAAGCATTAGAGCCACTTATGAGCCAGGCGCAGTGGCCCACACCTGTAATCCCAGCACTTTTGGGGGCCGAGGCAGGCAGATCACCTGAGGTGAGGAGTTCAAGACCAGTCGGACCAACATGGTGAAACCCCGTCTCTACTAAAAATACAAAATTAGTCGGGCATGGTGGCACATGACTGTAATCCCACCTACTCAGGAGGCTGAGGCAGGAGAATCACTTGAACCCGGGAGGCAGAGGTTGCAGTGAGCCGAGATCACACCACTGCACTCCAGCCTGGGCAACAAGAGTGAAACTCCGTCTCAAAAAAAGAACCACTTATGAAACATGGGGTTTTTAATGTGCTTCATCTTACAGGGTTGCAGGATTCTAAATCAATAAGAAAATACATAAATAACTACTTTTTTTTTGTTTTTTTCAAGAGATGGGGACTCACTCTGTCACCCAGGCTAGAGTACAGTGGTATGATCATAGCTCACTCCAGCCTCAAACTCCTTGGACTCAAAGGATCCTCCTGCCTCAGCCTTCTAAATAGCTGGGACTATAGGTGTTGACCACTCTGGTCCCTAACTCCTGGCTTCAAATGAACTCAAAGAACTAATTTTGACTGGACAAGGTGGCTCACGCCTGTAATCATGGCCCTTTGGGAGATTGAGGCAGAAGGATTGCTTGAGAACAAGAGTTCAAGACCAACATCACCAACATAGCAAGACCTCGTCTCTATTACAAAAAAAAGTAAAAAAAAAAGCAAAAAACTACTTTTTATGAACCAAGAAAACAAAGGTATCTTCAGTAGTAAATGACCTATTTATATAAACAATATATTTTGTAAGCAGCAGCTGGTTCCTTTGAGTAGGATTAAAATGAGATTTAAAGCTGGGTGCAGCAGCTCACGCCTATAATCCCAGCACTTTGGGAACCCAAGGTGGGAGGATCACATGGACCCAGGAGTTTGAGACCAGCCTGCAAAACATAGGGAGACCCTTTCTCTACAAAAAAAAAAAGAAAAAAAAAAAAAAGAAAAACTTGGGCAGGCAGGTGGTGCATGCCTGTAATCCAAACTACTCAGGAGACTGAGGTGGCAGGATTGCTTAAGCCCTGGAGGTCGAGGCTGCAGAGCTATGATCATGCCACTGTGCTCCACCCTGGGCAACAGAGTGAGGCCCTGCCTCGAAAAGAAATAAGTAAATAAAAATGAAATTTTAAAAAATTAGAAGTACGCATGAAATTCATTTACTGCAACATTCATTGGCAAGTGATTATGGCAAAGAAGCTAAAGCTAGAAATATTCAGTGTGTTACAGGATGCCGTCATTGTAGTAAAGACAAACTAAAACATAAGTAAACTATATAAAAATTAAAGGGAAACAAGGGCAATGCAAAAGGAAACAGCATAGGGGAGTCAGAAATGATGGGAGTGGGGATGCAACTATAACAGTGTAATGGGGAGGCTTCACCAAGTTGTCATTTGAGCACAGTTTGAGGAGTGTAAGACAGTCATGCGGACTTGAGGGGTACAAGGGAAGAGTGTTCCAGGCAGAGTACGGCAATACAAAAGCCTTAGAATAAAAATGTGCCTGAAATGTCCAAGGAACAGCTGGAGGCCAAGCACAGTGGCTCACACCTGTAATCCCGGCACGTTGGGAGGCCAAGGCAGACTGTTTGAGGCCAGGAGATACAGACCAGCTTGGGCAACATAGTGAGATCCTGTCACTACAAAAACTAAATTTAGGCCGGGCACAGTGGCTCACTGGCTCACGCCTGTAACTCTAGCACTTTGGGAGGCCAAGGCAGGTGGATCAACTGAAATCAGGAGTTTGAGACAAGCCTGGCCAACGTGATGAAACCCTGTCTCTACTAAAAATACAAAAATTAGCCAGGTGTGGTGGTGCACACCTGTAATCCCAGCTACTGGGAGGCTGAGGCAGGAGAATCACTTGAACTGAGGTGGAGGTTGCAGTGAGCCGAGATCGCACCACTGCACTCCAGCCTAGGCAACAGAGTGAGACTCCGTCTCAAAAAAAAAAAAGTACATTACAAATCACATCCGTATAGAAGTAAATGTATTTAATCAACAAATAAAATGGTCAAAACATTTTTACTTCTGTGGCACCTGATCAAAAAAATTTGGAGACTATTAAGATACAAATTAAATATATGACACAACAAACAAAAATCTCAGATTCAGTTCTCTTATTTGTACCCTATATTTCAGCATGCTTGTAATTCTCTGAATGGTCCATGTTAATTTATCTCCTTTTTTTTTTTTTGAGACAGAGTTTCACTCTTTTTGCCCAGGCTGGAGTGTAATGGCGCAATCTCGGATCACTGCAACCTCCGCCTTCCGGGTTCAAGCAATTCTACTGCCTTAGCCTCCCGAGTAACTAGGATTACAGGCATGTGCCACTACGCCAGGCTAATTTTTTGTATTTTTAGTAGAGATGGGGTTTCACCATGTTGGCCAGGCTGGTCTCGAACTCCTGGCCTCAAGTGATCCGCCCGTCTTGGCCTCCCAAAGTGCTAGGATTACAAGCGTGAGCCACTGCGCCTGGCCTTAATTTATCTTTTTTTTTTTTTTTTTTTACTGCCATAGAATATAGAGCCTGAAATCCAAGTTAATTTACACCTCTGCATAGATGGCTCCCCCATTCAAAATCACCTCTGCCTGACCTCTACTGTTCATTCAAAATACTTTTTTTCTTTTTAATTTCTTTTTTCTTCCTCTCACCCCCAAATCAAAATTCTTCTGAATCCTCCTTTGTGAAGTTCTCCCTCTACCCCCAGGGACATGTAACTATGCTCTCCTTTGCATCCCACCCTGCGACCTACTCATACCTCTAATTACAACACCTACCACACTACTGGCAATGTTGTATGTCTGATTCATTCACTACTGTATTTGCCCACAAAGGGGCCTGATCGTAGTCATTTTTTTAGCCCTGAACCTTTATCACATACCGGGCACCTCAAAAAGTAACCCAGTAGTATATGCTGTGGAATTTAGAACTGTAATAACTCATTCCTTTACATATACCCAATCCTATGCCATCCATACATACCATATTTTACCAAGAAATTTAAATCACGGATTATTTAAATCACATTCCTTTTTTTTTTTGAGACGGAGTCTTGCTGTCGCCCAGGCTGGAGTGCAGTGGCGTGATCTCGGCTCACTGCAAGCTCCACCTCCTAGGTTCACACCATTCTCCTGCCTCAGCCTCCCGAATAGCTGGGACTACAGGTGCCCGCCACCACACCCGGCTAATTTTTTTTATTATTTTTTAGTAGAGACGGGGTTTCACCATGTTAGCCAGGATGGTCTCGATCTCCTGACCTTGTGATCCACCCGCCTCGGCCTCTCAAAGTGCTGGGATTACAGGCGTGAGCCACCGCGCCCGGCCTAAATCACATTCCTTTACATGTTTGAAAGTAGTTTATAAATAACTTTAGGGTATTCTACATGGAACCTGTATTTTCTTCCACATCTGTTAAAAGTTAAAAAACAAAAACAAACATGTATGGAGCCATCGCACAGAAAATCTGATAACTATACAGACCCTGTCGGCAGGAACCATCTGTTTTAATGTGTGTGACTGTCTATGGTTGCACTGTACAACTAACAAATGCAATCAATACCAGGAACAGTCACAAAGGTCTCACTAAAGTCCTATATCCGAGAGCTGCGCTCCAAGTGAAATGCAAACTTTCATCATAAATTATTTTGCCTAATTTCCCAGTACCACTTTATCCAATGGTGTATATGTATATGAACACTTTTATCTTGATATATATTTTTATTAACAAGTGCTATATAGGATCAGTGGGTCACCAGAGTTTTCAAAAGTTCATATTCTACAACAAATTTGATATACAACATTCTAGATGTACCAAGGCTTTGTTTTTTTTGAGACAAGAGTCTCACTCTGTCACCCAGGCTGGATTGCAACGACGCAATCTCGGCTCACTGCAACCTCCACCTCCTGGATTCAAGTTAATTCTCCTGCCTCAGCCTCCTGAGTAGCTGGGATTACAGGCGTGCACCACCCCACTCAGCTAATTTTTGTATTTTCAGTACAGATGGGGTTTCCCCATGTTGGTCAGGCTGTTCCCAAACTCCTGACCTCAAGTGAACTGCCCACCTCAGCCTCCCAAAGTGCTGGGATTATAGGCATGAGCCACCACGCCCAGCCCACTACCAAGGCATTTTAACTTATCTATTTATTGTACTTTACCATACTCTAATTATATACACAATATGGACTAAGGATCTGGTCCTATAATACTGCCTCCTCTAACTACTTCTATTCTTTCTTTCTTTTTTTTTTTTTTTTCCAGACAAGGTCTCTCACCCTATTTATTGCCCAGAGTATAGTGGTGTGATCCTGGTTCACTGCAGCCTTGAACTCCTGGGCTCAAGTGATCCTCCCGCCTCAACCCCCTGAGTAGCTACAACAGGCATGTGCCACCACACCTGATTAACTTTTTAAAAATTTTTGTAGATGGGGTCTCACTCGGTTGCCCGGGCTGATCTCCAACTCTAGGATTCAAGTAATCCTACCTCCATGGCCTCCCAAAGAACTGGGGTTGCTCCAAAGGTAATGAGTTATCAATTCACAGTCACAGATCAAACTCCTTGTTCTACTCTTTCCTCCCTTTTCACTATTGCATGTGGCTAGTCTTCAAAAAAAAAATAACAAGCCAGGCGCAGTGGCTCACGCCTATAATCCCAGCACTTTGGGAGGCCAAGGTGGGCGGATCACGAGGTCAGGAGTTCAAAAACAGCCTGGCCAACATGGTGAAACCCCATCTCTACTAAAAAAAAAAAAAAAAAAAAAAATACAAAAATTAACTGGGCATGGTGGCGCATGCCTGTGATCCCAGCTACTCAGGAGGCTGAGGCAGGAGAATTGCTTGAACTGGGACCCAGGAGATGGAGGTTGTAGTGAGCCGAGATCATGCCACTGCACTCCAGCCTGGGCTACAGAGTGAGACTCCAGCTCAAAAAAAAAAAAGTTGGCCAGGCACAGTATGGCTTGAGGCCAGGAGTGTGAGAGCAGCCAAGGCAACGCAGGGAGATCCCCATCTCTACAAAAATTTTAAAATTAGCCAGGCACAATGGCATGCACCTGCAGTCCCAGCTACTCGGGAGGCTGAGGCGGGAGGATCCCTTAAGCCCAGGAGTTGAAGGCTGCAGTAAGCTATGATTGTGCTACTGCACTCCAGACTGGGTGACAGAGCAAGATTCTGTCCCTAAACATGAAACAAAAAAGCAAAGCGCTGGGATTACAGGGTTGAGCCACCACACCCTGCCTAGATCTATTTCTAAAAGCAAAATTGTTATAAAGTAGATAAACCTATATTCTTACCATTATTGCTAACAAAATCTTCATGTAAAATAGGGAGATCAAGTCGAATTCGTTTTAAACAGGTCTGAAAATGAAAAGAGATTATTTATTTTTACCTCTTTACCAATCATGTTGGGGGGAGATAATTTGCTATTACTTTTCCCTCTCTACCAAAAGAGATTTCAAAATGAACACTTTAAACAGCAATTTAGCCTCAACTAAATCTACCCTACCATTTAGCATGTGAATGATATTTATAATCATCTCAACACTTACCTGAACTTCCTTTTTACTTCCCAGGTATTCAACTCTGTCAATAAAATCCTCAAACTGCAGTTTAGGGAATAGCCTATGTGCCCAGTGCTCCATGTGTCTGATTAGCATCTTCAAGTCTTCAGCCTGCCACATAAAAATAAAAATGCTAAACAGGAGTCTCATTCTCACAGCTGACCCCGTCAGCAACTTTCAGAACTGAAAAGCTATGCCAAAATCACTGGGGTCATTTTATATTTATAAGGTTGAAAAACTTATAAAAGGAACTTTAATAAGAAAAATATTGGCCAGACACAGTGGTTCACACCTGTAATTCTAGCACTATGGGAGGCCTAGGGGGACGGATCACTTGAGCTAAGGAGTTTAAGACCAGCCTGGGAAACATGGTGAGACCCCATATCTACTAAAAATACAAAACAATAGCCAGGCATGGTGGTGTACACCTGTGGACCCAGCTACTCAGGTGGCTGAGGTGAAAGGACTCCCTGAGCCTGGGGGGCAGAGGTTGCAGTGAGCCAAGTTCACACCACTGCACTCCAGACTGGGTGACAGCGAGATCCTATATCCAAAAAAAAGAGAGAAAATTATTAAGAACTTAGAGGACTGCAGTCTAAAAGAGCACTGGATACAGGGGTTTTTTTTGTTTTTTTGGTTTTTTTGGTTTTTTTCAGAGAGATTCTCGCTTTCTTACCCAAGCTGAAGTGCAAGGGCGCAATCTTGGCTCACTACAACCTCAGCCTCCCGGGTTTAAGCAATTCTCATGCCTCAGCCTCCCAAGTAGCTGGGATTAGAGGTGTGCGCCACCACACCTGGCCTAAATTTTGTATTTTTTAGTAGAGAGGAGGTTTTGCCATGTTGGCCAGGCTGGTCTTGAACTCCTGGCCTCAAGTGATCCGCCCACCCTGGCCTCCCAAAGTGCTGGGATTACAGCATGAGCCATAGCACCCCGCCTGGATACAGATTCATAAAAATTAGATGAAAAAAAATCCCAGTACAAAAACTTAATAAAGTTGGCCAGGCGCAGTGTCTCACGCCTGTAATCCCAGCACTGTGGGAGGCCGAGGCGGGTGGATGACCTGAGTCAGGAGTTCCAGACCAGCTTGGCCAACATGGTGATACCCCATCTCTACCAAAAATACAAAAATTAGTTGGGCGTGGTGGTGGGCACTTGCAATCCCAGCTACTTGGGAGGCTGAAGCAGTAGAATCGCTTGAACCCAAGCGGCGGAGGTTGCAGTGAGCCAAGGTCGAGCCATTGCACTCCAGCCTGGGTGACAAGGGCAAAACTTCATCTCAAAAAAACAAAAAAAAAAACACTTAATAAAGTTAAAAGATAGTAGGCCGGGCAGTGGCTCACGCCTGTAATCCCAGCACTTTGGGAGGCCAAGGCGGGCGGATCACGAGGTCAGGAGATCAAGACCATCCTGGCTAACACGGTGAAACCCCGTCTCTACTAAAAATACAAAAAAAAAAAATTAGCCAGGCCTGTTGGCGGGCGCCTGTAGTCCCAGCTACTCGGGAGGCTAAGGCAGGAGAATGGCGTAAACCTGGGAGGTGGAGCTGGCAGTGAGCCTAGATTGCGCCACTGCACTCCAGCCTGGGCAACAGAGCAAGCAAGACTCCGTCTTAAAAAAAAAAAAAAAAAAAAAAGAATATATTAGATATTAGAAACACTTGAAAAACTACAAAACTCTCTAAAAATATACTATCATCTGCAAAAAATTATACCTACACTCCTACATAATTCAAAAATAGATTTCAAAATGTGCATTTGTAAAGTGATTCAGTTACTAAATGTATTCATTTTTTAACCACACTTTACTGACATTTATTATGAACCAGGCACTGTGCCACATCTTGGGGACACATAAGTGACTGATACAGGCAGAGTCCTTGCCCTCATGAAATTTAAAACTTTGAGGTAGACAAAGTAAATTTTATTCCTGTAAATTATAAAATAAAAACTGAGACTTTACAGACACAGGTGTGATTTTCCTATAGCCAAGGTTTAAGCAGCAAAAAATGAGACTGCACAAGACATGCTTTCTAATTCTTCAAACAGTTCCCTTTCTAGTACATCACAACTGTTTCTCAAGACATACGACGACTAAGGATAGTATCTTAAAGCATTCTGAGATTTCCAAGATCATAATGGGTCCACATTTTTATTGCTATTTTAAAAAACAAAGGTCTAACATAAAAATCAGTTCTTACCTCATGACCTTTACCTTTGAATTTTGCCTTATCAAATACATGCCTTAAGGCTGGAAGTCCTCTCTCTGAAATTAATCTGTGAATAAAAGTATGTTTTTAATTTCAAGTTTTATTTTCTTTTTTTTTTTTTTGAGACGGAGTCTCACTCTGTCGCCCAGGCTGGGATGCGGTGGCGCGATCTCGGGTCACTGCAAGCTCGGCCTCCCCCAGGTTCACGTCATTCTCCTGCCTCAGCCTCCCAAGTAGCTGGGACTACAGGCACCCACCACTGCACCCAGCTAATTTTTTGTATTTTTAGTAGAGACGGGGTTTCACCGTATTAGCCAGGATGGTCTCAATCTCCTGACCTCGTGATCCGCCCACGTAGGCCTCCCAAAGAGCTGGGATTATAGGCGTGAGCTACCACGCCCAGCCTAATTTCAAGTTTTCTAGAGTTTGGTCCAAAGCAAGACCATAAGAAAAAATATGTTCTGCTGAACTAAAAAAAAGTTTTTAGAAATATAAGAGCTCCACATCATACCAACCAAAAGTTTATAACATTAGAAGAAAAACAATGGATATTAAAAATAAAAAGTATAAATGTATAAGAATATAGTAAATGTACCTCTGAGCATCCAGCTTGGGTATATTTCTTTTAACTGTTCTCTTTGGAGGTACACGAACAGGTGCTCCATTTCCTGACTCTGGTGAAACAAACCACGATTCAGTATTACTGTACTTAAATGATTTGTATTATTTATTATGTATCATTTCCAAGCTGATAAGATAACTAAACATGGGACACCTTTTTTTGAAACAGGGTCTCACTCTGTTGCCCATGCTGGAGTGCAGTGGTGCGATCTTGGCTCACTGCAGCCTCAAACTCCTAGGCTCAAGAGATTCTTCTGCCTCAGTATCCCGAGTACCTGGAAGTACAGGTGCTGCCTACCACACCCGGCTAATTTTTAAATCTTTAGTAGAGTTGAGGTCTCGCCAGGCTGGTCTTGAACTCCTGGGCTCAAGCCATCCTCCTGCCTCGGCCTCCCAAAGTGCTGGGATTACAGGCAGGACCCACTGTGCCCAGCCTCCTTTTTTTTCTTTTTTCTCCTCAAATACCTTTTACCACAGCCACCACACCCCGGCTAATTTTTGTATTTTTAGTAGAGACGGGATTTCACCATGTTGGCCAGGCTGGTCTCAAATTCCTGACCTTGTGATCCGCCCGCCTCAGCATCCCAAAGTGCTGGAATTACAGGCATGAGCCACCGTGCCTGGCCTCACAGCCTCCTTTTTAAAACTCTCTATACATACCTTCATCAGGCTCAGTTCCTTCACCATCTTGTCTCTCTGGAGAGGCTGGAGGTGGGAAAGGAGGAAAAGTTTCATCTTCTACATGCTCATAATCTGGTAGGTCAATCACGCCATTCTCCTGTGGTTCTAGCATCTTTTCCTCTAGGGGAAAAAATTAAAGTTATTTGTATTCATCCAAAATAGTCTCCACTATATAGACAAGTTCTACCTGCAGCCATTTCATGTGTTTCAATCAGTTAGACCACATTTCAAACTCACACATCATGAAAAGTAGAGAAGATACTAATTATGAAAAAAAAGACTAGCCTAGAAATCTAAGTTCCAATGTAGACCCTAACACTAAATAACTATATCATTTTGAACAAATCCTTTTACCTCAACTATTGAGTTTCCCCTACCATAAAAAGATGAATTTGACTTTTCAGAGGGTTTCAAACTGTGATCCAATAGGGTATGAAATACGCAGGATATAGGTACTTCACCCCCACTTCAATTAGAGCTGCTTAAAAAAAAAAAATCTGGGCTGGGCGCGGTGGCTCACGCCTGTAATCCCAGCACTTTGGGAGGCCGAGGCGGGCGGATCACGAGGTCAGGAGATCGAGACCATCCTGGCTACACGGTGAAACCCCGTCTCTACTAAAAATACAAAAAATTATCCAGGCGTGGTGGCGGGCGCTTGTAGTCCCATCCACTCGGCAGGCTGGGGCAGGAGAATGGCGTGAATCCAGGAGGCGGAGCTTGCAGTAAGCCAAGATGCCGCCACTGCACTCCAGCCTGGGCGACAGACCAACACTCTGTCTCAAAAAAAAAAAAAAAAATCTGTTTATATACACCTACTACGTGCCCACAAAAATTAAAAATAAAAAAAAATTTTTAAATGTGTTTACATATTGGTCTTCTAGGTAAGGTTTCCTGAATGGGAAATTATCCTCAGGTTGATAACTCGAAAGAATGTTTTTCAGTACTGCCTTACTTAACTTCTCAATAACAACTGACACTTTTGGTCAGTTTTTTTCTGGGAAAAATGTTTACCTTAACTTCTAAGACATGCCGGTAATCCCAGCAGGAGGCAGAGGCAGACGGACCATGAGGTCAGGAGTTCGAGACCAGCCTGGCCAACACAGTGAAACCCCGTCTCTACTAAAAATATAAAAAAAATTTAGCCAGGTGTTGTGGCACGCACCTGTAGTCCCAGCTACTCAGGAGGCTGAGGCTTTCCTCCCTTTCTGGGCACTCCTCCTGGATTTTCTTTGCAGGTTTATCTTCTACCCCGGCCATTAAGTATCCAAGACTCCATCCTAGGGCTTCTTCATTCATTTATGCACAGAGCTTTAATAAGTACTGATTTATAGATGACTCCCTGATTTTTATCTCTACCCTAGGCCTTGACTCTGCGATCCAGATCACTACTTCCCATTTTACACTTCCTAAACGCCTGAAAGGCACCTGTAACTCAGCAGGTACAAAACCAAACTTCTAAATTTTCCTAACTCATTAAATGACATCTATCCAGCTATGCAATTCAGAAACCTACAAGTCATCTTTAGCAATTCCTTCCCCTATCCCACAGATCCTGCCCATCTTATTTCCTAAATATCCCTTGAATCTGTCTATTTCTCCTTATCTCTATAACCACTTCCCAACATTTCTTGCTTGCATTACTCCACTACTCTCATCCACTCGTCTCCTTCAATTGTCCCTATTACATCTAGACTGAATCTGAAAATATAAAGCTGATCACCTCACTTGGATTAAGTATTTCAATGGTTTCTGATTGCTCTTAAGATAAAGACAAAACTTCAAGGCCCTGTGTGATCCAGCCTCTTACTACCTCACCAGTCTCACTTCACACTACTCTATGCTTTTTCTTTCCTTGAAAGAGCTATATCCCTCAGGCCACTGGCTCTTTACAAATACTATTTCCTGTCTTGAAAAAGCTATTCCTTGACTCCTAATATCTTCCAGATCTCAACTATCACCTTTTCAAAAGTTTACCTCAATTTCTCTAAATCCTTCTTTAGTAAGCATTCATAGTGTCAAGTACAAGTGTCATGGCACTTATCCAGTTTCAATATCAGGTTTTATTTATACAGTTATTTATTGTTCGTCTCCCAAACTAGACTGTAGCTCAAAAAGGGCAACGAGGTTAAGTCTCTCTGTGTTACACAGCTGGAACCCCAATGCTGTTACACAGCAAGTGCTCAATATATATCTTTTTTTTTTTTTTTTTTTTTTGAGAAGGAGTCTCGGGCTCTGTCACCCAGGCTGGAGTGCAGTGGCGCGATCTCTGCTCACTGCAAGCTCCGCCTCCCGGGTTCTCGCCATTCTCCTGCCTCAGCCTCCCGAATAGCTGGGACTACAGGCGCCTGCCACCACGCCCGGCTAATTTTTTGTATTTTTCATAGAGACGGTGTTTCACCGTGTTAGCCAGGATGGTCTCGATCTCCTGACCTCGTGATCCGCCCGCCTCGGCCTCCTAAAATGCTGGGATTACAGGCGTGAGCCATCGCGCCCGGCCCCAGGTGCTCAATATATATTTGATGAATGATGGAATGCAAAAAAAAATTCCAGTTTCCCCAAATTGGAGTTAGACGATCTTTAAAATCTCACTAATTCTAAATTTCGGTTACCATAAATATAAAAGCAAAGCATCGGCTGGGCGCGGTGGCTCACGCCGGTAATCCCAGCACTATGGGAGGCAGAGGCGGACGGATCATGAGGTCAGGAGTTCGAGACCAGCCTGGCCAACACAGTGAAACCCCATCTCTACTAAAAATACAAAAAAAATTAGCGGGGCGTGGTGGCACACGCCTGTAGTCCCAGCTACTCGGGAGGCTGAGGCAGGAGAATCATTTGAACCCAGGAGGCGGAGCTTGCAGTGAGCCGAGACCGCGCCACTGCACTCCAGCCTGAGCGAAAGAGCGAGACTCCGTTTCAAAACAAAAACAAAGCATCAATTCCTGATCATGACCCACTGTAACTTCAAGCAAGCTACAAGAATCTATACTAGGGTTCAGACCTTTGAGGCTGACAGCGAGCTTTGAGTTTGATGACAGTACCTAAAATATATTAAGTGTACTCAGGAACTGGCCAAGCATGGGGTGGGGCTTGTCAGGAAACTGGTATTTCTTTCTTCTATTTGTAGTGAATAAGATGCTCAATAGACGACTTTTACTCCTCGTCAATGGTCGCATAACTGTCTCTTTTTAGACACTTATGAAATTGTCTGAACTTCCTCCTCTACTTCTCCAACTCCCAGAAGAGTGAAGGTAACAAATGTTATGTCCAAACCACGGTTTGTTCCCAGACCCTGGTTTCCAATGCCCACCTCTTTTCCAAGAAGTCCAAAGAGACGCCCCTCATCGCAAAGGAAGTGCTACCGTGCTGCCTCGATGTCCCCCTTGGGTGCCATCCCTGAAACATCGAACCTCCCATACCTCTTCTCCAGCCGTCCCCCTCATCCTCGTTCCCCGCCTACCCTCTCTTCAACTTCATTCATTCATCCAACATTCGCTGGGGGATTTCTACATTGACACGCCCCGGACAGAAGCCTGGGGTAAAGATGATCAGGAACACGTTCCCTCCCGCTAAGCGGCTTGGCAGAGTAAGAGGCATCCCAAAACCTAAGCAACCGGGACACGCGCCCACCTCCCCGCCTCTCCAGGCCGGGTCAGGTCGACCCCCCAACCTCCTGACCCCCTTCCTGCGACAATTAGGCTTTCCCGCTAGTCTGTCTGGCTCCCTGGCTCTTCCATCTGGCTCCCTGGCTAGTCCGACTCCCCTCTCCCCGCAAGAACTTCATTGGCCCGCCAGCCAGCTCTCACCTCACGCAGAAAACACGGGACACAGCGCGGACCTCGGCGTGCAGACTAAGCGCGCTTCTCGCGATACTCGGGAACTCCTGGGGCGAGAAGGGCCCGCAGCGTTTGGCGCCAAATCCGTGCGGGGGGCTGGGCGGAGCCTGCAAAACCCGCCTCTCAGGTTCCGCCCAGCACGCCGGTCCCGCCTTCGGTCCCACAATTTCCGCCCTACTGAATTCTTCAGAGGAACTCAGTTAAGCCTCCTTATTTGCATAAAGTTAATACTTGTTATTCTGGGGTTTTTCTTTTTTTTTTTTCTTGAGACTAAGTCTCGCTCTATCACTCAGGCTGGAGAGCAGTGATTCGATCTCGGCTGACTACAGTCTCTACCTCCCGGGCTGAAACGATCCTCCCACCTCAGCCTCCCTTCCCCGACTAACACCACCACACCGAATTTTTGTTTTAATGGGTTTTTGTTTGTTTGTTTGTTTGTTTTGCAAAGACGGGGATTAGTTGCCCAGGCTGGTGTCGAACTCCTTAGCTCAAGCGATCTTCCCACCTCAGCTTCCCAAAGTGCTGGGATTACAGGCGTGAGCCACTGTGCCCGGCACTTTAAACCTTGGAAATAGGTCTCGGTTTTTGGAAAACTGAGTTGTGGGAGGAGGAAAAAGGACAGAGGCAAGCAATAGTGAATAAGAAATTACCGCTTCTTCAGAGTTCATAGCAGAATGCTTCGAACTCAGAGTTTTATGAATTGTTTATTGAATAATAAGCTGAGAAAAGAGGTGGTAAAGAGAGGAAAAATAGGGCTGAACATAGACACTGGCCAGGTGCGGTGTGGCTCGCCTGTAATCCCAGCACTTTGGGAGGCCCAGGCAGGCGAATGGCTTGAGCCCAGAAGTTGAAGGCGGCAGTGACTAGGATCGCACTGCTGGCGATCCAGCTGGAGATCCAGTCTGGGTGACAGTGAGATCTTGTCGCAAAAAAAAAAAAAAAAAAAAAAAAAAAAGCGAGAGAGTGTGAATGTAAACAAAAAAAAATGTCAAAAATATGTTACTTGGGGCCGGGTGCAGTGGCTCACGCCTGTAATCCCAGCACTTTGGGAGGCCGAGGCGGGCAGATCACGAGGTCAGGAATTCGAGACCAGCCTAGCCAACGTGGTGAAACCCCATCTCTACTAAAAATACAAAAATTAGCCGGGCGTGGTGGCGCGCACCTGTAATTCCAGCTACTTAGGAGGCTGAGGCAGGAGTATCACTTGAACCTGGGAGGCAGAGGTTGCAGTGAGCTGAGATCATGCCATTGCACTCCGGCCTGGGCGACGGAGCAAGACTCTGTCTCAAAAAAAAAAAAAGTTATTTGGTCAGACTTGGTGGCTCATGCCTGTAATCTTAGCACTTTGAGAGGCTGACGCAGGAGGATTGTTTGAGCCCAGGAATTCAAAACCAGCCTGGGCAACATACTGAGACCCTGTCTCTATTAAAAAGAAAAAACATTTTTTAAAAAGTTAACTTTTCCATTTTTAAATAGTAAGTCCAAATATATTTGTATTTGTTTGTATACACACAAACATACACACACAACCTCAGAAAAATATATAACTAGAACCTATGCAATGAAAGTGGCATATGGGATAGAGTGGGATGGGAACTTAACTATAATTTTTTTTGAACATACAAATGTATTAACTATTCAAAAAACTAAATTTAAAAATGTTATCTGAAGCAAATATAGCATCATTAAGATTTGCCAAACCTAGAAGATAATTAGGGAATACTGGCAGCATTATTCTCTCCACTTTTCTTTCTTTCTCTCTGTCTTTTTTTTTTTTTCTTCTTTGAGATGGTCTCACTTTGTTGCTGAGGCTGGAATGCAGTGGTGCGATCACAGCTAGAATCAGGTGATCCTCCCTCCCCAGCCTCCCAGGTAACTGGCACTACAGGCTCGCACCACCACACCCAGCTAATTTTTTAAATTTTTTGTAGAGATGGGAGTTTCGCCATGTTGCCCAGGCTGGTCTCCAACGCCTGGTCTCCAGCGATCCTCCCCTCCTCAGCCTCCCAAGGTGTTGGGATTACAGGCGTGAGCCACCGCACCCAGCTACTTTTCTGTAGCTTGAAACATTTTATTAAAAATTTAAAAAGTGAAGCCAGGTGCAGTGGCTCACACCTGTAATCCCAGCACTTTGGGAGGCCAAGGTGGGTGGATCACCTGAGGTCAGGAATTCGAGACCAGCCTGGCCAACATGGTGAAACCCCGTCTCAATAAAAATACAATAATTAGCCAGGTGTGGTGGGTGCCTGCCTGTAATCCTAGCTACTCGGGAGGCTGAGGCGAGAGAATCGCTTGAACCCAGGAGGCAGAGATTGCAGTGAGCAAGATCACACCACGGCACTCCAGCCTGGGTGATATAACTAGACTCTGTCTCAAAAAAAAAAAAAAATTTAAAAAACACTGGGTCCCGGATGTCGAGGCTGCAGTGAGCCATGATCATGCCACTGCACTCCAGCCTGGGTAACAGAGTGAGACCCTGTCTCAAAACACACACACACACACACAGACACACACACACACACACACACACAAAGATAGAAAGTAAATTACCAATTCTGTCTAAAATTATGTGTGCACATGTATCTATGTGTCACATTTCCTTTATTTTATGATTTTATTTCTATACTTGTGAGATAATATATATTAATATTAAGCAATTAATAAAATTAACATAAATTTAGTTTTTTTTGTTTTTGAGACAGATTCTTATTCTGTCACCCAGGGTGGAGTGCAGTGGTGCAATCTTGGCTCACTGCAGCCTCAATCTCCTGGGTTCAAGAGATTCTCTGCCTCAGCCACTCGAATATCTGGGATTACAGGCAGGCACCACCATTCCCGGCTAATTTTTGTGTTTTTTGTATTTAGTAGAGATGGGGTTTCACCATGTTGGTCGGGCTGGTCTCAAACTGACCTCAAGTGATCCATCCACCTCAGCCTACCAAAGTGCTGGGATTACAGGCGTGAGTCACCTCACCAGGCCTAAAAGTTACATGAATTTGAATGAGAAATGTCCATTTCAGTAGTCTGAATTGTTGAGACAAGAGGCATTCTTTTAATTATCCAGGTAAGTTTATATACTATACTTTTTGACTAATAAAGTAAATGTAAAAGCACTCTGAGAAGTTAAAAAAAGTTATACACCTTCCCCACGCCGCCCCCAGCCTGCCAAAAACGAACAGAGCAGATACTGATACTCTTGAAGGTTTAAATCTCAGTTCCGTCATTTACTGGTTGGTGACTTTTAACTCTGATTCAGTTTCCTTTTTTTATTTTTGATCACCTGAGTTGGAGTGCAGTGACACAATCATAGCTCACTGTAACCGTGAACTTCTGATCTCAGGTGATCTTCCTAACTAGGCCTCCCAAAGTCCTGGGATTATAGACATGAGTCACCCCGTCTAACCCAGTTTCCTCATAGGGTTGTAAAGAGGAGTAAAAAACCATATTTAATGGTATGTTACTGTAGTATCGCAGGTACTTCAGAGTCTGAGGCAGGAGGATTACTTGAGCCCAGGAGGTCAAGGCCAGCCTGAGCAACATAGGGACATCCTATCCCTAAAAAATAAAAATAAAAGTAAAAGACATTAATACATTTTATATAACTATCCATATGATTTTTGGAATGTTTCACCCTTTCAGAAAATGTAAAGATTTTGGCCGGGCATAGTGGCTCACACCTGTAATCCCACCACTTTGGGAGGCTGAGACAGTAGGATTGCTTGAGTCCAGGAGTCCCGGACCAGCCTGGGCAACATGGTAAAACCCCATCGCTACAAAAAAGCAGGAAAAGAAAATGTAAAGATTTTGTTAACTGTTTGTTGTTTTATCTGAGTTACAACCACAGTTGTCAGTCATTGATATTGTCAATAACTAATTGTCCACCGGATGCAGTGGCTCCCGTCTGTAATCCCAGCACTTTGGGAGGCCAAGGCAGGTGGATCACTTGAGGCCAGGAGTTCAAGACCAGTCTGGCCAAAATAGTGAAACACCGTCTCTACTGAAAAAACAAAAATTAGGCCTGATGCAGGTGGCTCAGGCCTGTAATCCCAGCACTTTGGGAGCCCAAGGTAGGCAGATCACCTGAGATCAAGAGTTCAAGACCAGCCTGGCCAACATGGTGAAAACTCATCTCTACTAAAAATACAAAATTAGCCCATCGTGGTGGTGGATGCCTGTAATCCCAGCTACTGGGGAGGCTAAGGCTGGAGAATCGCTTGAACCCAGGAGGCGGAGGTTGCAGTAAGCCAAGATCGCACCACTGTACTCCAGCCTGGGCTACAGAAGGAGACACCATCTCAAATAAATAAATAAGAATTAGCTGGGCATAGTGGCACACACCTGTAATCCTATCTACTCGGAAGGCTGACGAATGAGGATCACTTGAATCTGGGAGGCGGGAGGTTGCAGTGAGCAAAGATTGTGCCACTGCATTTCAGCCCGGGCAACAGAGCGAGACTTTGTCTCAAAAAAAAAAAAAAATTAAACTGAACATTTTAGTACCTTGTTCAGATTTATCCAAAACTAGAAGTTTAGGATCATTACCAAGTATTCCTTATTCTCTTTTCATTTTTCATAACCTTTCTATTGTAATTTTTTTTTTTTTTTGAGATGGAGTCTTGCTCTGTCACCCAGGCTAGAGTACAGTGGCACGATCTCTGCTCACTGCAAGCTCCGCTTCCCGGGTTCACACCATTCTCCTGCCTCAGTCTCCTGAGTAGCTGGGACTACAGGCGCCCGCCACCACGCCCGGCTAATTTTTTGTATTTTTAGTAGAGACGGGGTTTCACCGTGTTAGCCAGGATGGTCTCAATCTCCTGACCTTGTGATCTGCCCACCTGGGCCTCCCAAAGTGCTGAGATTACAGGTGTGTGCCACTGTGCCCCACCTGTAATTTAAAAAAAAAAAAAAAAACAGCAAAAAGCAAGAACCTATTGTCTTCTTTTCATACATGAGGAATATAAGAATATGTTTTTCTTAGCCATTTCACCGGAGATATAAAATATAGTTTTCCTACAGACCGTGTCATTAAAACTCTTTTAAAAGAGTTTAACGTTTTAGGCCAGACACGGTGGCTCATGCCTGTAACCCCAGCACTTTGGGAGGCTGAGGCGGGCAGATCACCTGAGGCCAGGAGTTTGAGACCAGCCTGACCAACACGGAGAAACCCCTTCTCTACTGAAAATACAAGTTAGCTGGGTGTGGTGGTGCATGCCTGTAGGAGAATCACTCCAATGTGGAAGTGGGGGGATGCAGTGAGCCGAGATTGTGCCACTGCACTCCAGCCTGGGCAACAGAGCCAGACCCCGTCTCAAAAAAGGAAATAGAAAGAAATTGAGGCTGGGCGCGGTGGCTCTGCCGGGCACAGTGGCTCATGCCTGTAATCCTAGCACTTGGGGAGGCCAAGGCAGGCGGATCACCTGAGGTCAGGAGTTCAAGACCAGCCTGGCCAACATGGTGAAACCCTGTCTCTACTAAAATACAAAAATTAGCTGGGCATGGTGGCACATGCCTGTAATTCCAGCTACTCAGGAGGCTGAGGCAGGAGAATCGCTTGAACCCAGGAGGCAGAAGTTGCAGTGAGCCGAGATTGCGTCACTGCATTCGAGCCTGGGCAACAAAGAGCGAAACTCCATCTAAAAAAAAAAAAAGAAGAAGAAGACTTTTGAAAGACCAAAAATTGAATATAGTGTCAGACTTTTTCTAGCAGGGAACCCAGTCCACCACAAATCTATATAGGCTCTCAGAGATCAGGTTTGAAAGAAGAGAAATGGAGGCTGGGCACGGTTTCACGCCTGTAATCACAGCACTTTGGGAGGCCGAGGCTGGCAGATCACTTGAGGTCTGGAGTTCGAGACCAGCCTGGCCAACATGGGGAAACCCCATCTCGACTAAAAATACAAAAATTAGCCAGGTCTGGTGGCACATGCCAGTAGTCTCAGCTGCTCGGGAGGCTGAGGCAGGAGACTGGCATTAACACGGGAGGCAGACGTTGCAGTGAACCAAGATCAGGTCACTGCACTCCAACCTAGGCGACAGAAAAGACTACATCTCAAAAAATAAATAAGTAAATAAAAATAAAAAGAAAAGAAATGGAGTCTCTTAAAACCAAAAGACCATGAACTATCTCAATCCCACATTAAAAAAGCAAAATCCCTGAGTCTTCTTTATTGGCTAGTGTTTTTTGGATTTATCACTTGTGTAAGTGCTGGGTTGCCAGTGATAGTGGTCTGCTGTGTATTTGAGGGACTCCATCTCAGGATTCTGACATATACTTGCCCCCACCTGTACACCACATGCCCAAACTGGCATGCCCAAACTAGCACCCATTCAGAGCTGCAGCAGCATTAACAATTCAGTTGGGCAGGCCAGAGAGTTAAGATCAGTTCAGCTGCAAATGATGGGGGGAAGATCCCAAAAACTAAATAGAGACTGGGTGCGGTGGTTCACATCTGTAATCCCAGCACTTTGGGAATCTGAAGCAAAAGGGTCTCCTGAGGCCAGGAGTTCAAGACCAGCCTGGGCAACATAGTGAGACCTTGTCTCTGAAAAGTAAAAATAGGCCAGGTGTGGTGGCTCACGCCTGTAATCCCAGACTTTGGGAGGCCGAGGCGGGCGGATTGCCTGAGGTCAGGAGTTCGAGACCAGCCTGGCCAACATGGTGAAACGCCGTCTCTACTAAAAATACAAAAATTAGGCCGGGCACGGTGGCTCACATCTATGATCCCAGCACTTTGGGAGGCCGAGGCGGGCGGATCACGAGGTCAGGAGATCGAGACCATCCTGGCTAACATGGTGAAACCCCGTCTCTACTAAAATGTAAAAAATTAGCTGGGCGTGGTGGCCGGCACCTGTAGTCCCAGCTACTCAGGAGGCTGAGGCAGGAGAATGGCGTGAACCTGGGAGGCGGAGATTGCAGTGAGCCGAGATCGCGCCACTGCACACCAGCCTGGGCAACAGAGCGAGATCTGGTCATTTAAAAGCATGCTGGCAACCTCTGCTTTCTTGATGACCTCACTATCTTGAAAAGAGCACCGCTGGGTGCGGTGGCTCACGCCCATAATCCCAGCACTTTGGGAGGCCAAGGTGGGTGGATCACGAGGTCAGGAGATCGAGACCATCCTGGCTAACATGGTGAAACCACATCTCTGTTAAAAATACAAAAAATTAGCGGGAGGTGGTGGCAGGCGCCTGTAGTCCCAGCTACTCGGAGAGGCTGAGGCAGGAGAATGGTGTGAACCTGGGAGGCAGAGCTTGCAGTGAGCTGAGACTGCACCACTGCACTCCAGCCTGGGCAACAGAGCGAGACTCTTTCTCAAAAAAAAACAAAAAACAAAAACAAAGAGCACCAAGCCATGAGGGATCCACCCCCATGACCCAAACACTTCCCACCAGGCCCCCATCCAGCACTAGGGATTACAATTCAACATGAGATCTCGGCAGGGACAAATATCCAAACCATATCAACATGCTATAGAGAAATCTTTCTTTTCTTTTTTTTTTTTTTTTTTTTTTTTGAGACAGAGTCTTGCTCTTGTTGCCCAGGCTGTAGTGCAGCAATGCGATCTCGACTCACTGCAACCTCTGCCTCCCGAGTTCAAGCAATTCTCCTGTCTCAGCCTCCCAAGGAGCTGGGATTACAGATGGGCGCCGCCATGCCCAGCTAATTTTTGTATTTTTACTAGAGACGGGGTTTCACCACGTTGGCCAGGCTGGTCTTGAACTCCTGACCTCGTGATCTGCCCGCCTCGGCTTCCCAGTGTTCTGGCATTACAGGCATAAGCCCATGCCCAGCCAAGAAGTCTTTCATGAAGGAAAGAGTAAAGACAAGCAACCATAAAGGACAAGGACCCTCTAAAGTTCCACTAAAAAATCAACTTGCAAAAGGCAGATTAATAAGAGAAAAGGATTACAAATGTATTCAACATGTATACACTGGGGCATTCCGAATGAAGACTCAAAAATACAGGGCAAAATATTTTTATGCTTGGGTTCAACAAAGTATGGAGAGGCATGTAGAAATGTAATTGGAGGCTCACACTTCTAATCCCAGCACTTTGGGAGGCCGAGGCAGGCAGATCACCTGAGGCCAGGAGTTCGAGACTAGCCTGACTAACATGGTGAAACCTCGTCTCTACTAAAATACAAAAATTAGCTGGGTGTGGTGGCAGGCGCCTGTAATCCCAGCTACTTAGGAGGCTGAGGCAGGAGAATTGCTTGAACCCGAGAGGGAGAAGTTGCAGTGAGCTGAGATCACGTCACTGCATTCCAGCCTGGGTGACAAGAGTGAAACTCCATCTCAAAAAAAAAGAAAAAGAAAAAGAAAGAAAAGAAAGAAATATAATTGGAGAAAAAGGCATTTGAACCAGAGCAACTGTGTCTTGAATAAGAGCTGAAGTAAAATGAGGATGAGACCCGTTGGGCTGCATTCCCAGGAGGTTAGGCATTCTTTGTCTCAAAATGAGATAAGAGGTCAACAGGACTGGTATTGCAAGAGACAGGTCACAAAGACCTGCTGGTAAAACAGGATATGGTAACAAAAGCCAGCCAAAACCCACCAAAATCAAGATGGTGGCGAAAGTGACCTCTGGTTGTCCTCACTGCTCATAATACATTATACATAATACATAATACATAATACATTCTAATACATTAACATGCTAAAAGACACTCCCACCAGTGCCAGGACAGTTTACAAATGCCATGAAAATGTCTGGAAGTTACCCTATATAGTCTAAAAAGGGGAGGAACCCTCCATTCTGGGAATTGCCTGCCCCTTTCCCAGGAACCTCATGTTTAATCCACCCGTTTAGTATATAATCAATAAATAACCATAAATATACTCAGTTAAGCAGCCCAAGCTGCTGCTCTGCATATTGTTTTTTTTGTTTTTTCTGTTGAGACGGAGTTTAGCTCTGTCGCCCAGGTTGGAGTGCAGTGGCACGATCTCGGCTCACTGCAACCTCTGCCTCCTGGGTTCAAGCAATTCTCTTGCCTCAGCCTCCTGAGTAGCTGGGATTACAGGTGCGTGGCACCATGCCCGGCTAATTTTTGTATTTTTAGTAAAGACGGGGTTTCACCCTGTTGGTCAGGCTGGTCTCGAACTCCTGACCTCGTGATCTGCCCGCCTCAGCCTCCCAAAGTGCTGGGATTACAGGTGTGAGCCACCGCGCCCAGCCTGCTCTGCATATTAGTTTACTTTTTTTACTTTCTTAATAAACTTGCTTTCACTTTACTCTGTGGACTTGCCCCAAATTCCTTCTTGCACAAGATCCAAAAACCCTCTCTTGGGGTCTAAATTAAGACTATGTTCCAGTAATCTCTTCCTGGCGACCACAAAGGGACAATATTGGAGAATCACCCTACCCAAAAGAAATATACTGCAGCATGAATTGCCCACCTCTTGTTAAGTGGTGGAGTATATTTTATCCCAGGTAAAAGGCAGAATTGAGTTAGAGACCCAATTTAGGAGAGTTAGAGTCCCTCCCAAAAAAAAAAACTGGGGGTTGGCCGGGCGCAGTGGCTCACACCTGTAATCCTAGCACTTTGGGAGGCCGAGGCGGGCAGATCATGAAGTCAAGAGTTCGAGACCAGCCTGGCCAACATGGTGAAACCCTGTCTCTACTAAAAATGCAAAAATTAGCTGGGCATGGTGGCGGGCGCCTGTAGTCCCAGCTACTCGGGAGGCTGAGACAAGAGGATTGCTTGAATCTGGGAGGCAGAGGTTGCAGTGAGACGAGATTGTGCCACTGTACTCTAGCCTGGGCAACAGAGTGAAATTCTGTCTCAAAAAATAAAGCACATTAAGCTGGGTGCAGTGGCTCATGCCTGTAATTCCAGCACTTTGGGAGGCCGAGTCAGGAGGATCACGAGGTCAGGAGATCGAGATTATCCTGGCTAACACAGTGAAACCTTGTCTCTACTAAATATACAAAAAAAAAAAAAAAAAAAATTAGCCAGGTGTGGTGGCTTGCGCCTGTAGTCCCAGCTCCTTGGGAGGCCGGGGCAGGAGAATTGCTTGAACCCAGGAGGCGGAGGTTGCAGTCAGCTGAGAATGCACCATTGCACTCTAGCCTGGGCAACAAAGTAAGACTCCATCTCAAAAAAAAAAAAAAAAGAAAGAAAGAAAGAAAAAAAGAAAAAGAAAAGAAATTCCAAGGAAGCAGTGGACTATGTGTGTCCAAAATGCAGGGAGAGAAATCCAGGGCAACAGTAATAAAATTGGAAGCCCATTGGCTGGGCATGGTGGCTCATACCTGTAATCCCACCACTTTGGGAGGCCAAGGCAGGTGATCACTCGAGGTCAGGAGTTTGAGACCAGCCTGGTCAACATGACGAAACACCGTCTCTACTAAAAATACAAAATTAGACATACGTGCTGGTGAGCACCTGTAATTCCAGCTACTTAGGAGGCTGAGGCAGGAGAATCGCTCAAAATGGGGATGCAGAGGTTGCAATGAACCAAGATCGCGCCACTGCACTCCAGCCTGGGCAACAGAGCAAGACTCTGTCTCAAAAAAAAATCTATATCTATATCTATATCTATATCTATATCTATATCTGTATCTATATCTATATCTATCTATATATCTATATCTATATCTATAGATATATATCTGTTGATGTTTTTGAAGAAAATAAATTAGTACATCTATGTGGACAGAAAAATCAAATGATACAAACAACAGACACAAAAAGCAAAAGGAAAGATTTTCTTCCCATTGAGCAAGTCTGTCTTTTTTTTTTTGAGATGGAGTCTCGCTGTGTCACCCAGGCTGGAGTGCAGTGGCATGATCTCGGCTCACTGCAACCTCTGACTCCTGGGTTCAAGCGTTTCTCCTGCCTCAGCCTCCGAAGTAGCTGGAACTACAGGCACCCACCACCACACTTGGCTAACTTTTGTATTTTTAGTAGAGATGGGATTTCACTATGTTGTCCAGGCTTGTCTTGAAATCTTGACCTCGTGATCTGCCTGCCTCGGCCTCCCAAAGTGCTGGGATTACAGACATGAGCCACCACACTTGGCTAGCAAGTCTTTCTAAATATAATCACTGTAAACAATTTTTTATGTTTTTTTTCCAAGAAAAAAAAAGGACATTACTTTGTGTTGCTATTTTGTTATTATGAGTAATGCTGAACCAAATGTCCCTGTTATACATAAATCTTTGTTTTTGTTTTTTTTTTTTTGATTCAAAGTCTTGCTCTGCTGCCTAGGCTGCAGTGCAGTGGCGTGATCTCGGCTCACACAACCTCTGTCTCCCGGGTTCAAGCAATTCTCCTGCCTCAGCCTCCTGAGTAGCTGGGACTACAGGTGCGCGCCACCATGGCTGACTAATTTTTGTATTTTTAGTAGAGATGAGGTTTCACTATGTTGGCCAGGCTGGTCTCGAACCCCTGACCTTGTGATCTGCCTGCCTCGGCTTCCCAAAGTGCTGAGATTGCAGGCGTGAGACCCTACGCCCAGCCTAAATCTTTGTACATCTTGGATTATTTCCCTAAAATAAATTTCTAAATTTGGACTATATACATCATGGGCATTATAGGAAATTGCTTTTTAAAAAAATAGTCTATAGACTGGGCACAGTGGCTCATGCCTATAATCCCAGCACTTTGGGAGGCCAAGGAGGGAGGATCACTTGAGTTCAGGAGTTTGAGACGAGCCTAGGCAACATAGCAAGACCTCATCTTTACAAAAAAAAAAAAAGCGCTGGGTATGGTATCACACACCTGTAGTCCCAGCTGCTTGGGAGGCTGAGACAAAAGGAGTTCCAGGCTGAGACTTGAGCCTGGGAGTTACAGGCTGTAGTGAGCCATGATCGTGCTACTGTTCTTCAGCCTGGGTGACAGAGTAAGACCCTGTCTCAAATAAATAAACAAAATAAAAATATAGTCTATAAACTAAGTTTGAATGGCACCTAGATTTGCCAGTTTCTGTGTTAGGCCCCAAATCCATAGAACTCAAAAGAAGTATGGATTATGATATATCCAAATATATTGAATTTATGCAAAATATGGCTTGCTATAACTTGAAATTGAAGGTGAGTATCAAAACTGGAGAAAGGTATGATAGACAAAGGAAAAATAATCATATTATTGTTTTTTGGCATAATCAAGACGTTTAATTAGAGATATTTGAAAATGTCCTAGCCAAACAAACCTACTAACAATCGATAAAACTAATTTTACCTATCTACTCTTTGGCAAGATACCAGAGACTTTTTAAAAGATCATGGGTCTGGCAATCAGATGATGTCCCTGTTCTAACCCTAACTAGCTGTGCGACCTTGGAGGACATCACTGAACTCTCTGAAGCTGAGTTTTCCTATTTATAAAGTGGGCTGCCTGAACACCAGGACCTCTAAAATTCGGCTCTAAAATTCTAAGATGAATTCAGTCTCCCACTCTTTAAATGCAAAAGCCGCATCTCAGGTGCCAGTCTAGGATCCAGTTACAAAGGTCTATCTATTTAGAGAAAGCATAGAGGGGAGCAAGGATAAATAGCTGCATGGTTCAGCGGTAATCATAATGACACAACAATGTTATCATTATAATAACAAGTTTATATTTTATGAGGCTGTACAATTAAAGCAATCTGGCACATTGCACAGAAGAGATTCCTTGCTCCCTGGGAGTATATAAATAAAGTACAAAATGCATGAATGTACCAATAATAATAGTTCACAATATCTTTTTTTTTTTTTTTTTTTGAGACAGAGTCTCGCTCTGTCGCCCAGGCTGGATGGTGCCATCTTGGCTCACTGCAAGCTCCGCCTCCCGGGTTCACGCCATTCTCCTGCCTCAGCCTCCCGAGTAGCTGGGACTACAGGCGCCTGCCACCATGCCCGGCTAATTTTTTGTATTTTTAGTAGAGACGGGGTTTCACCATGTTAGCCAGGATGGTCTCGATCTCCACATCTCGTGATCCACCCGCCTCAGCCTCCCAAAGTGCTGGGATTACAGGCGTGAGCCACCACGCCCGGCCTTACAATATCTTAAAATATACACGAACTCATGACTATATGCCATGCATAGTTCATTGTTGGAGATGAAACCTTTTCATGCAAATTCTCAGCTCTCTATAATTTGACCTGCCCCTGAGCAAGAGGGAATTATAAAAACACCGATAAACTTTATAATGGCTCTGCTGTATAGGTCCCACATCCTCTTATTATCATAGTTGCCTGATCACTGTAGCTCAAATGGTCATTCTCATTTTAAATTTCCTGCTTGTAATCTTTGCAAAGCACTTGGCAGGAAACGGATGATGCAGGGGTTTTCCATTGAGTGGAAGAAAGCATGAGGGAAAAACAAACAACAACAAAAAACCCCAATTATGACATGTATTTGAATGAATGTCCTGGGAAAGAGATTTGAGATTTGTTTACTCTCAAACCAGACTTGAAAATAAGAATATCCGGGATTCTGGACTGTGATTTCAAAGGAAGTCACGACTTCCTTCTCCACAGCTGCCCTCGAGGAAGCTGGTATGTCCTGAGTATATCTTCTTTCACTGCGCTATCCAAGGGTAAAAAGCAAAATACCACAGTACCACGTCTGCCAAGCCAGAACGAGGTCCCTACCCTGACTCCCACCAAAAAACAGGTGCTGGATCTGACATCCTGTATGGTTTAAGCCACATCCTTAGAGAGCAATTGAAATTGCATCATCTTTCACCTTGTTGAGGCATCTTTTCCTTTAATTAAAGGGCAAGAGACCATTAAAAGTGGCTCTCAAAATAACCTAGTGGTTTCATTGCATTCAGAATGTCGGACGTGAAGAACCAAGGAAGCGGATGTCCTTGGTGGGGGGCTGGAGGGGAGGAGGGCCAGCAGGGGCATGGGGCGGGGTGCAGAGGGGATAGTAATATCACTCTTTGCACTGTAACTCTTTACTCAGTTACTCAATAGGAACAGCTGCCAAACTCACAGGAGCTTAAAAATCCAGACAATGGATTTAAAAGCAATTGATATAGAGCCAGAGTTCTCTCAGGATTAAAGTATAGAAAAATGTGGTATTAAAATAAGAAAAAAAGTAAGGTGGAATTTCTTCATGTGAAATAACTTCCGTGTGCAATGAGCAAGTTTTTTTTATTTTGAATTTTCCAACTGAACTTTTCATAATAAAAGAATAAAAGATCTTAATTTGTAAGGAAGCAAATATGGACTTGCCACTAAAATAAAACTGTTCAACTGATAATATCATAAACCTCACTGATCCTATAATATCAACTGCACGTGAATATGGATGAAAGTGTATCAAGCAAGGCCAGGCGCGGTGGCTCACACGTGTAATCCCAGCACTTTGGGAGGCCAAGGCATATGGATCACTTGAGGCCAGGAGTTCGAGACCAGCCTGGCCAACATGGTGAAACCTCGTCTCTACTAAAAATACAAAAATTAGCCAGGTGTGGTGGCACATGCTGGTAATACCAGCTACTCGGAAGGCTGAGGCATGAGAATCACTTGAGCCCAGGAGGCAGAGGTTGCAGTGAGCTGAGATCTCGCCATTGCACTGCAGGCTGGGCAACAGAGGGAAACTCTCAAAAAAAAAAAAAAAGTGTAAGTGTATCAAGCTTTCTACTACCTGTTGTATACTTTTCTGGTCTCCCTCCCCTCAACTAATAAGGTAGTATTTGTTATATAATTTAAAAAACAGAAAAATTTGGAGCAAAACCCACAAAATTCTCAGAAGACGTAAGTGTTTTAATGTGAGAAAGGCCTATATCATTTTTTTCAACCTAAAAAGCAAAAGAGGACAAATAAAAATATATTTGGGTCAGTCTGCTTTATTTTCTGGGAAAAAAAAAGTTTTTCCATGAGTTTATTTATTTTTCTTTTCTCTGGTAATTGTTTCTTTTTTTTTTTTGGAGATGGAGTCTCACTCTGTTGCCCAGGCTGGAGTGCAGTGGCGCGATCTCGGCTCACTGCAAGCTCTGCCTCCCAGGTTCAGGCCATTCTCCTGCCTCAGCCTCCTGAGTAGCTGGGACTACAGGCACCCGCCACCATGCCTGGCTAATTTTTTTTTGAATTTTTTAGTGGAGACGGGGTTTCACCGTGTTGGCCAGAATGGTCTCGATCTCCTGACTTCGTGATCCGCCCGCCTCAGCCTCCCAAAGTGCTGGGATTACAGGCGTGAGCCACCGTGCCTGGCCTGGTAATTGTTTCTTTTGCCCAGGCTGGGGTGCCATGGCATGCTCATAGCTCACTGCAACCTCAATCTCCCCAGCTCAAGCAATTCTCTCACCTCAGGCTCCTGAGTAGGTGGGACTACAGGCACTTGCCATCATGCCTAGCTAATTTTTGTATTTTTTATAGAGAGAGGTTCTCACTATATTGCCCAGGCTGGTTTTGAACTCCCGAGCTCAAGCGATCCACCCACCTTTGCCTCCCAAAGTGTTGGGATTACAGGCATAAGCCACTGTGCCTAGTTGGTAATTGTTTTACTGAAGGGTAACATACAGACAGAAAAGTACACAAGTCATGAATGGAACACACTGTGTAACCAGCACCCAGATCAAGAAAGCAGAGGTTGCCAGCACCCAGAAAGCCCCCTTCATCTCACCTTCCTCACTCTCTTCCTCAAGGATAACCACTATCCCAACTTCTACCACCATAGACTAGGTTTGCCAGGTTTTGAACTTTATATGAAAGAAAAAAATAATATTACTTTCTTGTGTCTAGCTTCTACTCAACAGGATGTTTGTGAGATTTACGCATATTGTTGCAAGTAGTAGTCCATTTTTACAATGCTATGGAGTATTCCATTGTGTGAATTTATCACAATTTATCCATTTACTGAAACTTGGGTTGTTTCCCCAATAACTATTACAAATAATGCTGCCATAAACTTTCTTGTAAATGATTTTTGGTGAACATATATAGCCACACATCACATAAAAACGTTTTGGTCAACCACAGCCCACATATATGATGATGGTCCCATAAGAGTACAATAATAGGGCCGGGACCTGTGGCTCACGCCTGTAATCCCAGCACTTTGGGATGCCAAGGCAGGCGGATCACGAGGTCAAGAGTTTGAGACCAGCCCGGCCAACATGGTGAACTCTGTCTCTACTAAGAATACAAAAATTAGCCAGGTGTGGGGGCGGGGGCCTGTAATCCCAGCTACTTGGGAGGCTGAGGCAGGAGAATTGCTTGAACCTGAGAGGCGGAGGTTGCAGTGAGCTGAGATCATGCCACTGCATTCCAGCCTGGGTGACAGAGCAAGACCCCGTCTTGGGGAAAAAAAAAAAAGATTGTAATACCAAATTTTAATGTAGCTTTTCTATGTTTAGATACAGAAATATCATTGTGCTGCAACTGCCTACACTATTCAGTACAGTAATGTAACATATAGGTTTGTAGCCTAGGAGCAATAGGCTGTATCATGTAGCCTAGGTGTGTAGTAGGTTACACTATCTAGGTTTGTGTAAGTATACTCTATGTTGTTTGCTCAATGATGAAATCGCCTAATGACACATTTCTCAGAACATATTCCCATCATTATGCAATACATGACTGTATATCGAAATAAAATACACAGTCATGGCCGGGCGCAGTGGCTCACGCCTGTAATCCCAGCACTTTGGGAGGCTGAGGCGGGAGGATCACGAGGTCAGGAGATTGAGACCATCCTGGCTAACACGGTGAAACACCGTCTCTACTAAAAATACAAAAAATTAGCCAGGTGTGGTGGCGGGCGCCTGTAGTCCCAGCTACTCGGGAGGCCGAGGCAGCAGAATGGCATGAACCCGGGAGGCGGAGCTTGCAGTGAGCTGAGATCGCACCACTGCACTCCAGCCTGGGCGACAGAGCGAGACTCCGTCTCAAAAAAAAAAAAAAAGGAAAAGAAAAAGAAATAAAATATACAGTCATGTATATTTTGGGTCACAGGGAAGATGTTAAATCTTAGAAGATATCGCCAGTTTTCCAAACTGGTTACACAAATATACTCTCACCATCAGTGTAAGGAAGTCATAATAGTTCCACATCATTATCAACATTTGATATTGTCTTTTTCTTTTTTTATTAATTAATTAATTTGGTTTTTTGAGACAGAGTCTTGCTCTGTCACTCAGGGTAGAGTGGAGTGCAATAGTAGGATCATGGCTCACTGCAGCCTCCAACTACTGGGTGCAACTGATCCTCTTACCTCAGCCTCCTGAGTAGCTGGGACCACAGGCATGTACCATTACACCTGGCTAATTTTTAAATCTTTTGTAGAGACAGGGTCGCCCTATGTTGTCCAGGCTGGTCTTGAACTCCTGGGCTCAAGCGACCCTTTTGACTCGCCTTCCCAAAGTGCTGAGTTTACAGGCATGAGCTGCCATGCCCAGCTTGTCTTTTTTCAATTTAGCCAGAATAGTGGACGTAGTATCACACTGTGTGTTCTTAAATTGTGGTAAAATATACATAATAAAACATTTACTATTTAGATTGTTTTAATTTTTTTTAAGAGACAGGATCTTGCTATGTTGCCCAGGCTAGCCTTGAACTTCTGGGTACCAGGAATCCTCCTATCTTAGCCTCCAGAGTAGCTGGGACTACAGAAGTATGATCCCCTCACACTGTGCCCAGCTTAAATCATTTTTAAGTTTACAATTCAGTAGCATTAGGTACTTACACTGCGGTTTTAATTTGCATTTCCCCATAACTAAGGAATTTCAGCATCTTTTCATATATTTATCGACTATTTGGATATCTTCCCTTGTGAAGTTCCTGTTCAAGTGTTTTGCCCATTTTTAAAAGTGTATTTATTTATTTTGAGACAGGGTCTCACTCTGTCACCCAGGCTGGAGGCAGTGGCTTGATCTTCGCTCACTGCAACCTCTGCTTCCCAGGTTCAAGTGATTCTCCTGCCTCAGCCTCCCAAGTAGTGCATGCCACCATCCTCGGCTAATTTTTTTTGTTTGTTTGTTTTTGTTTTTGTTTTGAGATGGAGTTTCGTTCTTGTTGCCCAGGCTGGAGTGCAATGGTGCCGTCTCGGATCACCGCAACCTCTACCTCCCAGGTTCAAGCGATTTTCCTGCCTCACCCTTCCAAGTAGCTGGGATTACAGGTGCCTGCCACCACGCCCAGCTAATTTTTTTGTATTTTTAGTAGAGACGGGGTTTCACCATATTGCCCAGGCTGGTTTCCAACTCCTGACCTCAGGTGATCCGCCTGCCTTGTCCTCCCAAAGTGCTGGGATTACAGGTGTGAGCCACTGCGCCTGGCCAACTTTTTTGTAGAGACAGGGTTTCACCATGTTGGCCAGGATGGTCTCGAACTCCTGACCTCAAGTGATCTGCCCTTCTGGGCCTCCACCAAGTGCTGGGATTACAGGCCTGAGCCACTGTGTCTGGCTTTGCCCATTTTTTTTGGTTTTTTAATTGGATTGTCTATCTCTTTTTGTGTTAATGCGTAGGGGTTCTTCATATATTCTGGATATGAGGTTTGTGGGTGTTTTTGGATATATGCATTATATGAGCCAGGTGCAGTGGTGCATGTCCATAATCCCAGCTACTCAGGAGGCTGAGGTGAGAAGATCGCTTGAGGCCAGGAGTTTCAGGTGGCAGTGCACTATGATTGTGCTTGTGAATAGCTACTACACTTTAGCCTGGGTAACACAGTAAGACCCCTCCTCTTAAAAAATATATTCATTGCAAATGTCTTCTTTCTTTTTCACTCTGTTTTTGTTTATTTATTTATTTAGAGACAAGGGTCTTGCTATGTGGCCCAGGTGGGTCTTGAACTCCTGAGCTCAAGCGATCTGCCCACCTCGGCCTCCCAAAGTGCTGAGATTACAGGCATGAGCCACGACGCCCAGCCTAATGTTGTTTTTAATTGGAAAAGTTATATATATATATATATATATATATATATTTCAAAAGCCCTTTAAAGAGATTGCAGCAGCTGGGCGCGGTGGCTTATACCTGTAATCCCAACACTTTGGGAGGCCAAGACTGGTGGATCACTTGAGGTCAGGAGTTTGAGACCAACCTGGCCAAAATGGTGAAACCCCGTCTCTACTAGTACCAAAGGCTGCAAAATGAAAAGGAAACTTAATCTGCCTCCAGGCTTCTCAGAGTTCCTCCCCGGAGACAAACACTATTAACAATTGCTCTTTTGTGCTTACGGAAATTTTCTTTCATATAAAAGCACATATACAAATATATTCTTGTCCAGGTGTTCATGCCTGTAGTCCCAGCACTTTGGGAGGTTTAAGTGGGAGATCACTTGAGGCAAGGAGTTCAAGATCAACCTAGGCAACATACGGATACACTGTCTTTACAAAAAATAAAAAAATTAGCCAGTCACGGCGGCGCACGCCTGTAGTCCTAGCTATTGGGGAGGCTAAGGCAAGAGGATCACTGATCCCAGGAGTTCAAGGTTAAAGTGATCTATGATCCAGCCTTTGCACTGGAAATGGAGTGAGGCCTTGTCCCAAAACAAAACCAAAACCCACAAAACCAAATATATCCTTTTTTTTGTTTTTCTAACAAATAGTTACTACACAATGTTCTGCTCCATTTATTTTGTTTCACATCATACATTTTGAAGATCTTTCTATACCAGCATAAATATGTCTGCCTCATTCTTTGGAATGACCGTACTGTATAGTACTTCTTTGTATAAATGTGTCATGATTTATTTGTATGTCATAATTTACTCTCCTTTTGACAGACAGATTCCAGTTTCTTTTTTTCTGTTTTAAATAATGCTGCAGTAATCATGTATGTAGAAAAAGGTTTTTTGGTATATATGTCTAATAATTTTTTTCTTTTTTTTTGTTTTTGTTTTTGAGACGGGGTTTTGCTCGTTTCCCAGGCTGGAGTGCCATGATGTGGTCTCGGCTCACCGCAACCTCTGCCTCCCAGGTTCAAGCGATTCTCCTGCCTCAGCCTCCTGAGTAGATGGGATTACAGGCGTCTACCACCAAGCCTGGCTAATTTTTTGTATTTTTAGTAGAGATGAGGTTTCATCATGTTGGCCAGGCTGTCTTGAACTCCTGACCTCAAGTGACCCCCCCACTCTGGCCTCCCAAAGTGCTGGGATTACAGGCATGAGCCACCGTGCCCAGCCCCAGGTCTGATAATTTCTAAGGAAAAATTATGCAATGCTGGGTCAGTATTGGGACTTTAAACAGTTATTGCCAAAATGCCCTTTAAAGAGATTGCAGCAGCTGGGCACGGTGGCTTACGCCTGTAATCCCAACACTTTGGGAGGCCAAGACTGGTGGATCACTTGAGGTCAGGAGTTTGAGACCAACCTGGCCAAAATGGTGAAACCCCATCTCTACTAACATACAAAAATTAGCCAGGCATGGTGGTGGGCACCTGTAATACCAGTTACTCAGAAGGCTGAGGCAGGAGAATCGCTTGAACCCGTGAGGTGGAGGTTGCAGTGAGCCGAGACCAGGCTACTGCACTCCAGCCTGGGCAACAGAGCAAGACTCCCTCTCAAAAAAAAAAAAAAAAAAAGAGAGTGCAGCAATTATACTCCCAGCAATAGTGTATGAGAATGCCTTTTCTCCCATATGTTCAATAATATTGATAAGTGAAAGGTGATCTCTCATAATTTGCATTTCTCTAAGCGAGTAGAATTTTGAAAGCCATTTGTATGACTTTATCTGTGAACTACCTATATTGATGTATTAATACTTTCCTTATGTTTCTATTGGATGAATGATGATCTTCTTTTAATTTGTAATTGCTCTTTTTCTTTTATTTTTATTTTTTGAGACATTCTTGCTCTGTCACCTAGGCTGGAGTGCAGTGGCGCCATCTTGGCTCACTGCAACCTCCGCCTCTTGGGTTCAAGTGATTCTCCTGCCTCAGCCTCCTGAGCAGCTGGGACTACAGGCGCGTGCCACCACGCCCAACTAATTTTTGTATTTTTAGTAGAGATGGGGTTTCACCATATTGGCCAGGCTGGTCTCGAACTCCTGACCTTGTGATCCACCCATCTTGGCCTCCCAAAGTGTTGGGATTACAGGCGTGAGCCACAGCGCCTGGGTTTTTTTTTGTTTGTTTTGTTTTTTAACTTGGAGTCTCGCTCTGTTGCCCAGGCTGGAGTGCTGGATTGCAGTGGCGCAATCTCGGCTCACTGCAACCTCTCCCTCCTGGGCTCAACCAGTTCTCCTGCCTCAGACTCCCGAGTAGCAGGGACTACAGGCACATGTCATTACACCCGACTAATTTTTTCTTTTTTTTTTTCTTGAGACGGAGTCTCGCTCTGTTGCCCCAGCAGGAGTGCAATTGCACGATTTGGCTCACTGCAACCTCTGTCTCCTGGGTTCAAGCAATTCTCTTGCCTCAGTCTCCCAAGTAGCTGGGATTACAGGTGCACACCACCATGCCCAGCTAATTTTTTTTTTTTAAACAAAGTCTCACTCAGTCACCCAGGCTGGAGTGCAGTGGTGTGATAGCTCACCACAACCTCTGCCTCCCAGGTTCAAGTAATTCTCCTGCCTCAGCCTCCTGAGTAGCTGGGATTACAGGTGTATGCAACCATGTCCGGCTAATTTTTGTATTTTTAGTAGAGACAGGGTTTCACTGTGTTGGCCAGGGTGGTCTTGAACTCCTGACCTCGTGATCCGCCCACCTAGGCTTCCCAAAGTGCTGGGATTATAGGCGTGAGCCACCGCACCCGGCCAAATTTTTGTATTTTTAGTAGAGACGGGGTTTCACCATGTTGGCCAGGCTTGTCTCCATCTCCTGACCTCGTGATCTGCCTTCCTTGGCCTCCCAAAGTGCTGGGATTACAGGTGTGAGCCACCGCGCCCAGCCGATTGCTCTTAATTATATTAAAGAAATTAGACTTTTATTATATTGCAGATATTGTAAATGTTTATTTTCTCAGCTTACCATTTGTGTACTTATATCTCTGTACAAGGTGTTTTTTCTCCATGGAGAAATGTTAAATCTTTGTGAGGTTAATTTTATTAATCTTTGCCTTTATGGTTTTGACAGTTTGTGTCTTTCTTCAAATGTTTTTCTCATTCCAAAATAAAAAAAAAAATTTCCCATGATCTTATCTAGCTTCTCTAGCAGTACTTGTATGATTTCACCTTTCTTTCTTTATTCTTTTCTTCCATATTTTTTTTTTTGAGACAGGGTCTCACTCTATTGTCCAGGCTAGAGTGCAGTAGTTTGATCATGACTCACTCTAACCTGGACCTCCGGGGCCTAAGTAATCTTCCCACCTCAGCCTCTCAAGTAGCTGGGACTACAGGGATGTACCACCATGCCTGGCTAAGTTTATCTTTTGTTAATTTTATTAAAAATATTTTCTTAAGAAATGGGGGTCTCACTATGTTGACTAGGCTGGTCTTAAACTCCTGGCCTCAGGCAATTCTCTCGTCTTGGTCTCCCAAAGTGTTAGGTTACAGGCATGAGCCGCCGTGCACAAAGTTTTTTTTTTTGTAGAGATGGAGTCTTCCCATATTGCTCAGGCTGGTCTCAAACTCCTGGCGTTAAGCAATTGTCCCGCCTCTGCCTCCCAAAATGCTGGAATCACAGGCATGAGCCACTGTGCCTGGCCTTGATTGCATCTTTGATGCACCTGGAATTTATTTAGCTATTTACTTTTCTCCAAATCAACAGGTCTTTTATTACATCATTTAAATATCACAAGTAGGTCTTAGGAGTCATCTGGCGTCTTCTTTCTGTAGCTGGATAACTCTTAGATCTTATTCATCATCCTGCTGAACAGTTCCTTTTTCAGAGACATAGATACCATTCAAAAATTTCCTGATATCCTTGTTTTAAACTGTTGTGGCTTGCTGAATCAAAGCCGCTGAATTTGAAACAAGCTCAATGTCATTTCCTTCAAAGATTAATTCATCTTTCTGGGCTTGAGATACTGAACAAGCAACACCTGGTCTCATCCGCACCCTGCGGATGTATTTTTCACCCAAGAAATTTCGGATTTCAACAACAGACCCATTCTCCGGGATAACGACGATGATGGGGAAGTAAGCATACACAGACCTCATCTTGTAACGGAAGCCCAGTGTAACACCCTTGATCATGTTCTGTACATGACTACAAATAGTCCGAACGGTAGCCAGTTCTTTTCTGTTACCCCACCATTTGTCAACCAGAGCCTCTTTTTTTTTCTTTCCAAGAAGACTGAGTTCTACATTGATGTGATTGAAGTCCCTCCGCAGGGTTCCTCTGGGGCCATTCACGATAACTGTGTGTCCCTTCAGAGTAATGTTGACATTTTCTGGAATGTCGACAGTCTGATTAATGAGAATGGTCTTCACTCTCGCAGTACACACGGCAAAGGACCTGGAATTTATTATAGGATAAAAAGTAGGGATACACCTTCATTTCTTTTCTTTCTTTCTTTCTTTTTTTTTTTTTTTTTGAGACGGAGTCTCGCTCTGTCACCCAGGCTGGAGTGCAGTGGCGCTATCTGGGCTCACTGCAACCTCCGCCTCTCAGGCTCACGCCATTCTCCTACCTCAGCCTCCTGAGTAGCTGGGACTACAGGCGCCCACCACTGCGCCCGGCTAATTTTTTGTATTTTTAGTAGAGACGGTGGTGTTTCACCGTGTTAGCCAGGATGGTTTCGATCTCCTGACCTCGTGATCCACCCCACCTCGGCCTCCCAAAGTGCTGGGATTACAGGCGTGAGCCACTGCGCCCGGCCCCTACACCTTCATTTCTTTTTCAAATGGCCAGGTAGTTGTCCCTGTTTCCTTAACTAAATACTCCATGACATTGAAAGTCCTGGCCATTTCCCAGATACCTATTATGTTCTATTGGTTTTTACCAAAAATAGTTGTGTCCAGTGCTATCTCACTCTACTTTCATTTGCCTTTGGGTGTTGATATAGACGTTACGTTTTTTCTGTTTATGACAAAACAATAGAGATCTGGGCCAGGCGCGGTGGCTCATGCCTGTAATCCCAGCACTTTGGGAGGCCGAGGTGGGTGAATCACCTGAGGTCAGGAGTTAGAGACCAGCCTGACCAACATGGTGAAACCCCATCTGTACTAAAAATACAAACATTAGCTGGGCGTGGTGGCGGGTGCCTGTAATGCCAGCTACTCAGGAGGCTGAGGCAGGCAAATTGCTTGAACCTGGGAGGCGTAGGTTGCAGTGAGCCCCAATTGCACCACTGCACTCCAGCCCAGGCGACAGAGCAAGACTCCATCTGGAAAAAATTAAAAAAATAGAGATCCTAGGTTTTTCTAGAAGTACTGTTAAAAAATATTAATCCCTACTGTTTGAAATTTCTAGAAATGAAAGTCTTTTCTTGTCCAGTATTTAATCATACGGGTGTGTCATAAATGATGTAATCATTTCTCTTCTGTTGAATATTTAGGTAATTTCAGATTTTACCTATTTAAATAATACTATGTTGATCATTCTTCTGTATAGCTTTCATAATTTCTTTACAAGAGAGTCATGGAAGTGGAATTACTGAATCAAAGTGTGTGAATATTTCTGAAGAAGAAATTGTCTCCAGGAAAGCCTCTATAAATTATTCTCCTTCGGCCGGGCACGGTGGCTCACACCTGTAATCCCGGCACTTTGGGAGGCTGAGGTGGGTGGATCACCTGAGGTCAGGAGTTCAAGACCAGCCTGCCCAACATGGCGAAACCCTGTCTCTACTAAAAATACAAAAAAATTAGCCGAGCGTGGTGGCGGGCGCCTGTAATATCAGCTACTCAGGAGGCTGAGGCAGGCAAATTGCTTGAACCTGGGAGGCGTAGGTTGCAGTGAGCCCCAATTGCGCCACGGCACTCCAGCCCAGGTGACAGAGCAAGTCTCCATCTGGAAAAAATTAAAAAAAAAGAATAGAGATCCTAGGTTTTTCTAGAAGTACTGTTAAAAAATATTAATTCCTACTGTTTGAAATTTCTAGAAATGAAAGTCTTTTCTTGTCCAGTATTTCATCATATGGGTGTGTCATAAATGATGTAATCATTTCTCTTCTGTTGAATATTTAGGTAATTTCAGATTTTAGCTATTTAAATAATACTATGTTGATCATTCTTCTGTATAGCTTTCATAATTTCTTTACAAGAGAATCATGGAAGTAGAATTACTGAATCAAAGTGTGTGAATATTTCTGAAGAAGAAATTGTCTCCAGGAAAGCCTCTATAAATTATTCTCCTTTGGCCGGGCACGGTGGCTCACACCTGTAATCCCACCACTTTGGGAGGCCGAGGTGGGTGGATCACCTCAGGTCAGGAGTTCAAGACCAGCCTGCCCAACATGGCGAAACCCTGTCTCTACTAAAAATACAAAAAATTAGCTGAGCATGGTGGCGGGTGCCTGTAATCCCAGCTACTTGGGAGGCTGAGGCAGGAGAACCGCTTGAACCTGGAAGGCAGAGGTGGCAGTGAGCCGAGATTGCACCACTGCACTCCACCTGGGCGATGAGTGAAACTCTGTCTCAAAAAAAAAAATTATTCTTCTAGCAGATTATGTTTACATGATGAAAACCTATCACCATCACCATTTATTTAGCTCCTGTATGTTAGGCACTATTCTTTCAAAGTTTCATTTAATGCTCATAACTATTTAGTGCAGTAGTAGACAGTATAATTCTCATTTTATAGGTAAATTAACTGATGCTCAGAGAGGGTAAGTAATCAGCCAAGGGCAGAACTGGAATTAATCTCAGGTCTTTCTCTCTCAAGTTGATGCTTTTTTGTTTTGTTTGATTTTGAACCTAAGATATAGAGGTCTGAGTTAAATGTACTCCTCAATTCTTGATATGTTTTCATCACTGGTTGTCCTTGTATTTCTTCTGTTTTCCAGGCTGGTGTGCAAGATCATGGCTCACTGCAGCCTTGACTTCGGCTCAAGCGATCATCCCACCTCAGCCTCCAGAGTAGCTGGGACTGCAGGCATGTGCCACTATGCCTGTCTAATATTTGTATTTTTTGTAGAGATGGGGTTTCGTCATATTGCCCAGGCTAGTGTTGAACTCCTGGGCTCAAGTCATCCACCTGCCTCAGCCTTCCAAAGTGCTGGGATTACGGGAGTGACAGGAGTGAGCCACCACACCTGGCCTGTATTTCTTGGATCTTCACATTTGTGATCTAGCTACACTGTGTACAAATGGGATGAACCAGTATTTGCCAATATTCAAACATTTTTGACCTACAAATAGAGCAACCTGATATGGTTCAACCAAATATATATGTTACAGTGTTTATTATTATACATCACTGATTCATACACATATAGTTCAGTCTTATTCTTGTCTGTATGGTCAGCACTTATGTTAGGCCCTCAGGAAAAGTTGACAGAACCGATGGATCACTGCCGGTCTGAAAAGGAAATGAGGAAAACAAATTCTCCTACCTTGAACTATTCTGCAAACTTTAACCATTGGGGTAATTGTTTATCTGGGCTTCTTGGATCATGATAAGGGCTTAGGGTTTACTCAGTGGAGGCCAACCCAGCATGCATAGAATCATAATATTTCAATATTAAAAAGAATGCTGCATTTTACACAGAGTGGAAGTGAGGCCTTGAAAATTTCAATTAATTGCTCAAAGTCCTAATAGTTTTTATTTGAACTAGTAAATATAAAATTATACCAGAATTCAGATAGACTGCCTTGATAATAGATTACTTTGAAAAGTTTCAATTTTTTTTTTTTTTTTGAGATAGTCTCACTGTGTTGCACAGGCTGGAGTACAGTGGAGTGATCTTGGCTCACTGTAACCTCCACCTCCTGGGTTCAAGTGATTCTCCAGCTTCAGCCTCCCAAGTAGCTGGGACTACAGGCACCCGCCACCACATTCAGATAATTTTTGTATTTTTAGTAAAGACAGGGTTTCACCATGTTGGCCAGGCTTGGTCTTGAACTCCTGACCTCAGGTGATCCTCCCACCTCAGCCTCCCAAAGTGCTGGGATTAAAGGTGTGAGCCACCACCACACCTGGCCTTCAATTCACTTTTTAATGTTTATTATTTTACTCTGATACTAAAAATTATGCATGTTTAACATGAATAAGGACACACTTCTACACACACATGCATACATTTACATCTATGCCTCTATATTAAAAAGTATGGGGGAAAGAAATGGGGAGATGTAGGTCAAAGAATATAAAGCAGCAGATATGTAGGATGAAGAAGTCTAGAGATCTAATGTACAACATGAAGACCATAGTTAATAACATTGTATTTTATTTGCGTTTTTTGTTAAATAAGTAGATTTTAGCTGCTCGTCATACTTTACACAAGCCTTTATGTGACGGTATAGATATGTTAATTCACTTCACTATAGTAACCATTTTACTATCTATATATATCCCATAACATCATGTTACAAACCTCAAATATACACAATAAAATTTATTTTTATTTATTTAATTTATTTATTTATTTTTGAGACGGAGTCTTGTTCTGTCGCCCAGGCTGGAGTGCAGTGGCGCGATCTCGGCTCACTGCAAGCTCCACCTCCCGGGTTCACACCATTCTCCTGCCTCAGCCTCCTGAGTAGCTGGGACTACAGGCACCCACCACCACGCCCGGCTAATTTTTTGTATTTTTTAGTAGAGATGGGGTTTCACCGTGTTAGCCAGGATGGTCTCGATTTCCTGACCTCGTGATCTGCCCACCTCAGCCTCCCAAAGTGCTGGGATTACAGGCATGAGCCACCGCGCCCGGCCTATTTTATTTATTTTTGAGACAGAGTCTTGCTCTGTTGCCCAGGCTGGAGTGCAGTGGTGCAATCTCGGCTCACTGCAAACTCTGCCTCCCTGGTTCAGGCAATTATCCTGCCTCAGCCTCCTGAGTAGCTGGGATTACAGGTGCCCACCACCATGCCTGGCTAATTTTTGTAATTTAGTAGAGACGGGGTTTCACCATGTTGGCCAGGCTGATCTTGAAGTCCTGACCTCAAGTGATCTTCCAGCTTTGGCCTCACAAAGTGCTGGGATTACAGGTGGTAGCCGCCACTGCATCCACCCAGAATAATTTATTTTTTAAAAAACTATGAGTTCAGGCCGGGCGCAGTGGCTCACGCCTGTAAACCCAGCACTTTGGGAGGCCGAGGTGGGCGGATCACCTGAGGTCAGGAGTTTGAGACCAGCCTGGCCAACATGGTGAAATCCTGTCTCTACTAAAAATACAAAATTAGCCAGGCATGGTGGTGCATGCCTGTAATCCCAGCTACTTGGGAGGCTGAGGCAGGAGAATCACTTGAGCTTGGGAGGTGGAGGTTGCAATGAGCCAAGGTTGCGCCATTGCACTCAAGCCTGGGCAAAAAGAGCAAAACGCCACTCAAAAACAAAAACAAAACAAAACAAAAACACCCCCCCAAAAAACAAAACAAAACAATGAGTTCACACTGATACCTCCAATTCCAATACAATAGCGTAAGGTATTCTCCCTTCCCATACTTCTAACGTCATTCTACCACAGTGAGAAAGCTGGCTCTGTCATGCTTAATATATTTAGTGACTTAATCAACCATCCTGAATGCAACTAACCTCCCATCTAAGCTTCTAGGCCTTCCCCACTTGGATGCCTTGTTCTCCCCTCTTGGGCCCTACGGCTAAGACTTTGTGTAGGACTGCCTCCCAGGTGTTCAAGCCCTCTTCATTTTCTCAGGTTCCTCAGCCTCCTTACCTGCTAGGTCACCAACACCTGGCTGTGGATAACCAGGTGTAGATGTTTCCTTTGTTCTGTACACGTTTCCTTTGTTCTGTACACCTAATGTCTTTGACACTTAGTATTTTAGGATGGGAAAGGGGAAGAGGAACACTGAATGTGCACTTTTAAATGGGTATTGTGCCTCTTATTAAGCTCTTTATTCACATCTTATTTCTTTAGTAATTCACAGAATTGGAATTTTTGGATTAAAGTTCTTTTTTTTTTTGAGACGGGGTCTCACTCTGTCGCCCAGGCTGGAGTGCAGTGGTGTGATCTTGGATCACTGCAACCTCCGCCTCCCGAGTTCAAGCAATTCTCTGCCTCAGCCCCCCAAGTAGTTGGGATTACAGGCACCCGCCACCACGCCCAGCTAATTTTTTGTATTTTTAGTAGAGATGGGTTTCACCATCTTGGCCAGGCTGGTCTTGAACTCCTGACCTCGTGATCCACCCGTCTCGGCCTCCCAAAGTTCTGGAATTACAGGCGTGAGCCACCGCGCCTGGCCTGGATGAAAGTTTTTTTAAAGGGAGTCTTGCTCTGTAGCCCTGGCTGGTGTGCAGTGGTGTGATCATAGCTCACTGCAGCCTCAAACTCCTGGGCTCAAGTGATCCTCCAGCCTCAGCCTCCTCAGTAGCTTGGACGACAGCTGCACACAACCATGCCCAGCTAATAGAGACGGGGGACTCACTATGTTGCCCAGGCTAGTCTCGAACTCCTGGGCTCAAGTGATCCTCTTGCCTGGGCCTCCCAAAATTGGGATTACAGGCGTGAGCCACCGCTCCTGGCCCGAAAGAGTGTTTTTAAGGCTTTAAAAAAATATTGCCAACATGGTGAAAACCCGTTTCTACAAAAATACAAAAAGGATCCGGGCATGACGGCGAGTGCCTGTAATCCCAGCTACTCAGGAGACTGAGGCAGGAGAATCGCTTGAACGTGGGAGGCAGAGGTGGTAGTTAGCGGAGATCGCGCCACTACACTCCAGGCTGGGCAACTGAGGGAGACACCGTCTTAAAAAAAAAAAAGTTCCCAAGTCTAAAAAAAAAAAAATCATCAATCTGCTCTCAAAAACTGTCGCAACAATTTACAATCTCATCAGCACTGAGTATCCATTTCCTTGCACCCTTCTCAGTAGTATTACCATTAAACAAACAAAATTTATATGCGTCAGTTTGTTGGGCTCAAAGGAGCCTCTCGACAAGTTTCCTATTCCCCACGCTGCCTCTCCTCTGGACACAGGAAGGGGTCCTTTTCCTTATTTATTTTGTTATTTCATTTTCGTCAACACGGCTCGGCTTGGGGACAGGGGTCGGGGGCAGGCCGGTTACCGCAGAGGTGGAGGCCGCGCGGCACCTGGCCTGGAGAGCTCACCACACAGCGACACAGACTTCTTCTCAGCTGGGTCCACCTGCTTGCCTCGGGGCGACAGAGGGCGCCACGGCGTCCGCGACGGACCCCGCCCCCAGGCAGTGCGCCGCGCTCCCGTGACGTATTTCCGCGTCATCTGCCGCCGAGGCTTGCCCCCATTGGTTGTCTGCGAGGCAATAGGGGCGGAGCCGAGTGGGAGTGTGGAAAGCGCCGCATCCCGGGTGGGAGGCGAGGCTTCCCCTTCCCCGCCCCTCCCCCGGCCTCCAGTCCCTCCCAGGGCCGCTTCGCAGAGCGGCTAGGAGCACGGCGGCGGCGGCACTTTCCCCGGCAGGAGCTGGAGCTGGGCTCTGGTGCGCGCGCGGCTGTGCCGCCCGAGCCGGAGGGACTGGTTGGTTGAGAGAGAGAGAGGAAGGGAATCCCGGGCTGCCGAACCGCACGTTCAGCCCGCTCCGCTCCTGCAGGGCAGCCTTTCGGCTCTCTGCGCGCGAAGCCGAGTCCCGGGCGGGTGGGGCGGGGGTCCACTGAGACCGCTACCGGCCCCTCGGCGCTGACGGGACCGCGCGGGGCGCACCCGCTGAAGGCAGCCCCGGGGCCCGCGGCCCGGACTTGGTCCTGCGCAGCGGGCGCGGGGCAGCGCAGCGGGAGGAAGCGAGAGGTGCTGCCCTCCCCCCGGAGTTGGAAGCGCGTTACCCGGGTCCAAAATGCCCAAGAAGAAGCCGACGCCCATCCAGCTGAACCCGGCCCCCGACGGCTCTGCAGTTAACGGGACCAGCTCTGCGGAGTAAGTATGGGGCGGGCGGTGAACCTCGGGGCCCGGCTGGGGAGGCCCGAGCCGGGGAGCAGGAGCGCGCGCCAGGCTCCGATCTGGTTTGTCACGTACGTCTGGGGCTGGCAGGGGGCGAGAAACTCCCGGCCGCCGAGGTATCGGTGACTAAGCACTGATTGTGTTCCTGACTCAGACCAGTTAGCGGATCCCGCGGGTCTCCATTCCTCTCTGTACCCCTTTTCCCGACCGTTTTAGTGGTTCCTGGCCACTGTACAGTCTTCTCCCAAGAAAATAAAAGCTAGCACGTCTCCCCTGCCTCCTCCCAGTTCTGTTCTAAATGTGATCATCTGGGAGTCTGGCCTGTAACGGGGAGAGGAGGCTAATGTTTTGGAAAGAATTAAGATCGCATCTGTGCTTTTGAGACCAGCTCAGGGTATTAAGTGTGGAGCATCATCCTCACCTTCATGCCTGACACCTGTGGGGCCTGAGTGCCTTGTTGCAGGCCAACTGCCTGGCCAGCGGGGGCGTGCTGGAAGTCCGTGTGGACTTCGTGGCTTTTCCTTGCTGACTTTGGAGGTTCCTGGTACTTGGCCTTCCTGGGAAATTGCTCAAGAAAGCGGCTTTCTTCTTCATCCTACTCTTCATTCATTCATTGAACAAACCATTTTCTCACTAATGATTTCCTAGCTTTCCGTACTTCACCAGGAGCCCCTAAACTCCTGACCTGAGGCATGAACACCATGACCTAGAAACCACATGCTAGGTGCTCCATCTCTGCAGCTTCCAGCGTTGCTTACAAACGAGCACTTTATTTCATTAAATAATCATGAGTCTGTTTCCTGGGGGTTTCTGAGCTCCCACAACTCTCTTGGGTTCTAGGTAAGGGACAAGACTATGTGAGGGAAAGCTGCTTAGCTAGCTAGAGAAATAGCCAGAAAAGATTAGGTTATTATTATTTTTTTGCCTTTTTTTGGTTGTTGTTTGCCCAACCTTCAATAAGGATTGGGTTCTTAATCTTTTACCTGCACACTGCAGACTTTAGGAAGCTAATTGATGAAATCAGAATAGGCTTGGACCTTATGCTCTTTGGTGATTTCTGTAACCTCCCTTCCTTTCTCTAGATTTTTAGAAAATTTTATTTTTTAAACTTTTATACAGATGGGGTCTTGCTATATTGCTTAGGCTGGTCTTGAACTCCTGGACTCTAGCGATCCTCCCAAAGTGCTGGGATTACAGGCATGAGCCACTATGCCCAGCCAACTTTCTCTAGATTTTAATAACCCGGGGACCTGTTGGCTTGATGACTTGTTCCATCCCTGTAATGATCACAAGGTCGATGGTGGACCTGTGGTGTGTGTTCAGCTGTGTTTTTCAGACCTGCTCCCAACAGACTCTCTTCTTTAGTCCCCTCTCAATCCTGTGGGGTCTATTTTGCATAATACTGACTTGTATAGGTAGTTGGATTGCATTATTGCATTGCAAACATTTGTTCTTTTTTTTTTTTTTTTTTTGAGTCGGAGTTTCACTCTTGTTGCCCAGGCTGGAGTGCAATGGTGCGATCTTGGCTAACTGCAGCCTCTGCCTCCCGGGTTCAAGCGACTCTCCTGCCTCAGCCTCCCGAGTAGCTGGGATTACAGGCATGCGCCACCATGCCCGGCTAATTTTGTATTTTTAGTAGAGATGGGGTTTCTCCAAGTTGTTCAGGCTGGTGGCAAACTCCCGTCCTCAGGTGATCCACCTGCCTCGGCCTCCGAAAATGCTGGGATTACAGGCATGAGCCACCGTGCCCAGCCCATTTGTTCAGTTTTAGTATACAGTGTTTCACCCTCTTAAAATAGACTGAAAGTCATGACTGTTGTTAGGACAAGTTTTGACCACAGTGGATTCTGGCTGAGTGTTATGGCCTCATTATCCTTTCCTATTTGATTTGGAAGTGGATACTGAGTAGAAGTACCTGTTATCATTCTGTTGTAATCGTGATACCACAACTGTATTCTCTCAAGGAGGAGGAATTTCATTAAAACAGTAAAAGCAGGATGAGAAGAAACTACCCCAGATTTGGTGGCAGAAAAATTTGGATGGTACTGGGAGAGTCTAAACAGTGGTTAAAAGGTAAGGGCTCTGGAGTCAGGCTAAGTTTGAAGCCTAGCTCTGTTGTGGTTTTTTTTTTTTTTTTTTTTTTTTGACAGTCTCGCTCTGTTGCCCAGGCCAGAGTGCAGTGGTGCGATCTCGGCTCACCACAACCTCCACCTCCCGGCTTCAAGCGATTCTCCTGCCTCAGCCTCCTAACTAGCTGAGACTACAGGCACGTGCAACCGTGCCTGGCTAATTTTTGTATTTTAATAGAGACAGGGTTTTACCCTGTTGGTCAGGCTGGTCTCAAACTCCTGACCTCGTGATCCTCCCACCTCAGCCTCCTAAAGTGCTGGGATTACAGCCCGGCCTCTGTTGTGGTTTTGTGACCTGGTTCAAGTCTTTTAGTCTAAGGCTTAGGTTTAGTTTTTTTCATCTGCAAAAATGGGGCTAATGATAGAACCTACTTAGCATAGTTGTGAAGATTAAATGAGGTAGTACATAGTAAACTTCCAAAGCTGTTGGCTGCTGGTGCCTTTGTTACTGCCTAAGTGTTGGACCAAAGGAAACTGGAAGGTGATTTTCATTCATGGTGGTAGATTATGTGTTAAGGTGCCTTTGCTTCTGGACAATCAACTCTCCCTAGTTTGGTTTTTTGTACCATCTGCATCTACCTCTATGACTCATTGCTGTGTTACAATAGGAGGCATCTTTGTGTAGGCTGCCCAAGACAAACAGGGACTGTTTCCCTGTGTTTCATAGCACTAATGAGAGGGAAAGCTGTACACATCTTCATCTTTCACTTCTGAGAGTGTTCCTCAAGCAAAATGTTCCCTATCTTGGGCTACCAGCAGAAAGAATTCTGTTGCTTTCATGATTTCTGTGATTAGACCAGGGCACAATTTTGAACGTTATCAGACAATGTGAACTAAAGAGGAAGAAAATCCATTTTGACAGTAAAGAACTCTTGGTACCAAATTGGCAAGGTTGCTTTTCCCTTGGCACCTGTGCTTACCTCTAACATAGCCCTTACCCAGTTCAGAGATGGAGTTGGGTAATACGGGACCTGAAGTTGATGCAAGTTGTAGGGGTCCTCAAAGAAAAATCATGCAAAAATAGCTTTCTTTTGTGTATTTTGCAGAAACATGTGAGCATATTACTAGGGTCTTAAGTGTTAGAATGAGATAATGAGATAATATTGTTCCTCTGTTTAAAATGTTCTTCTGGTTCTATTGCAGTTACACAAAATCCAAACTCCTTATATTGGACTATGAGACTGAGTGATCTGCCTGTTGTCCCCACCACCCCCTCCCACCAATCTCTTTAACCACATTTCCTGCCACTCCTTTCTTCCACCACACTAGTCCTCTTTCACTTCCTCTATGGGATGGTCTATACGCACTGCAGGCCTCTGTACATGCTGTTCCCTTTGCCTGGAATGAATCACTCCTCCTTCCCTAGGTAGGCAGGAAGCAGTCTTCACCTATTTGCCTAAATGTCACTTCCTCTGAGATGTTTATAAGCATCTCAGAGGAATGTGGTCCCTCTTTGTCATGTCACCTGAGCTGCTGCTTTTTTTTTTTTTTTTGGTATGGGGGTCTTGGTATGTTGCCCAGGCTGGTTCTTGAACTCCTGGACTCCAGTGATTCTACCACCTCAGCCTCTTGAGTAGCTGGGACTATAGGTGGGTACTACTGTGCCTGGCGCTCACCTGAGCTTTTAATAAGACTTAATCATTGTAATTTTTCATTGGGGTGTTCTTAATATTTATCTCTCCTGTACACTATAAACTTTAAGCACAGCACTGCCTTTTTGTTTTTTGAGACGGAGTCTCGCTCTATCGCCCAGGCTGGAATGCAGTGGCACTACCTCGGCTCACTGCAAGCTCCGCCTCCCAGGTTCATGCCATTCTCCTGCCTCAGCCTCCCAAGTAGCTGGGACTACAGGCGCCCACCACTGCGTCCAGCTAATTTTTTGTATTTTTAGTAGAGATGGGGTTTCACCATGTTAGCCAGGATGGTCTCGATCTCCTGATCTCGTGATCCCAAAGTGCTGGGATTACAGGCGTGAGCCACTGTGCCCAGCCTGCACTGCCTTTTTTTGACTCACCACTCTGTAAGTACACCCAAAATAGTTCTGGCACATAATAGGTCCATAGATGTTTGTTGAGTCAGTGAGTGAATGAAATTTCTAATATTTGCACAACGGGTTTAATAAACCTTTTTATGTCTTTTCCTTTTCTTTTCCCCTTTATGCTCATTCCTTTTTTCCCCATTTTCTTTTGTTTTAGTCACCCACTCAACCATTCTAAGATATTTATATGGTTTTATAATTCCACCTGTTAGTCTGGTTATGTGTATACCCTTGGGAAGTAGAAGGATGGTTTTGTATGTATCTGCTTAGGATTCTAAAATGTTATTGTGCTACAAATCTGCATTTCATAGACAGGATAGAATAGGTTATGTTGAGGTAACAACCACAAAATCTCAGTAATTTAACACACTTTCAGGTCAGTGGGAGGCTCTGTAGATTGGAGTCCTTTAGGGATCCAGGCTGATCGAGGCATCGTCTCTCAAGTATACCTACATGAGGAGGGAATCTTGTGAAGAGCTACATTCAGGCTCTTAAAGTTTTGCCTAGAGGTGAGCCTTGTCATTTTTGCTGCCATTTCTTTGGCCAGAGCAAATCATGTGGCCATGTTGACCTTCAAGGAGGGCAGTGACCTTTTTGGAAGGGGGAGAACCACGAATATTTGTGTGTTTTTTTTGGGTTTTTTTTTTTTTTTTTTTTTTTTAAGAAAGGGTTTCGCTCCCACTGCCCAGGCTGGAGTATAATGGTGCGTGCCACCACGCCCTGCTAAGTTTTGATTGTTTTGTAGAGATGGGGTTTCACCATGTTGCTCAGGCTGGTCTTGAACTCTTGGGCTCAAGCGATCTGCCCACCTCATCTTCCCAAAGTGCTGAAATTATAGGTATGAGCCACTGTGCTGGTGCACCAGGAGTATTTGAACAGAAGCAATGACCATCCCTAAATTTTATATCAGTTTCTTCTTTGTTTTCTTTTCTTTTCTTTTTTTTTTTTTTTTGAGATGGAGTTTTGCTCTTGTTGCCCAGGCTGGAGTGCAATGGCATGATCTCGGCTCACCGCAACCTCCGCCCCCCAGGTTCAAGCTATTCTCCTGCCTCAGCCTCCTGAGTAGCTGGGATTACAGGCATGTGCCACCGTGCCTGGCTAATTTTGTATTTTTAGTAGAGACAGGGTTTCACCATGTTGGTCAGGCTGGTCTCGAACTCCTGACCTCAGATGATCCGCCTGCCTCAGCCTCCCAAAGTGTTGGGCTTACAGGCGTGAGCCACCATGCCTGGCCTTAGTTTCTTTTTTTAACCAATTTTGTTTTGAGCTCTATTCATGATGCTATACAATATGTGTCTAGTTCATTATTTCTCTTGGTTGTAGAGCAGTCATGTTTGCCTGCCACATTTTACTTATTTATTTCTCTAGAATTAGACATCTTTGTTGTTTCCCAACCCCTTGCTGCCTCAAACAGTCATGACCATGCCCATCCTTGCACATCCTTGTCTCCTTTGGATGTTGTGAGAGAGTTTCCTGTGGAATGTACTCAGAAGTGGAATTGCTGGGTCTTAGGGTACATTGTCTCTCCTTCCAGGATAAGGCATGTTATCTCTTTCTCTCTCTCTTTTTTTTTTTTTGAGACCGAGTCTCACTCTGTTGCCCAGGCTGGAGTGCAGTGTTGCAATCCTGGCTCACTGCAACCCCTCCCCACAAGGTTCAAGCAATTCTCCTGCCTTAGCCTCCTGAGTAGCTGGGATTACAGGTGCCTGACACCATGCCCAGCTAATTTTTATATTTTTAGTAGAGACAGGGTTTCATTATATTGCTCAGGCTGGTCTCCAAGTCCTGACCTTGTGATCTGCCCTCCTTGGCCTCCCAAAGTGCTGGGATTACAGGTGTGAACCACCGCACCGGCTATTAATCTCTTTCTTTAAAACAATACCGTTAATCCAGTTGCAGTAGTGAGGCAGGGTACCTCTCAAGATCTCACTTTTTCTTTGACCTTGGGCAAGTCCTTTCTACTTTCTGACTCTTGGTTTCCTTAATCTGTAAAGTGGAGGTGATAATTGTTTACAAAATCTTTACCATGGTGGCCTACAAGGCCCTACCTGACCAGGTCCTTAGTTTTCTTCCAGTGTTCTCTTCACTCATGCACTCTAGCCACACTGTCCTTTGTGCTGTTGGGTTGTAGGTTGGGCACATTCTTATCTTAGAATCTTTGCATTTGCCATTCCTGCTGCCTGGAAAGCTTGTCTCTCAAATACCGTATGACTTGCTTCCTCACTTCCTTCACCCCTCTGTTGAAATGTCTCTTCACAGAGGCCATCTTTGATCACTGTAATACAGAACTCCCTGTCATTTTCTACCCTTTGATTTTGCCTTATTTTTCTTTGTAGCGCTGATCACTAACTGATGTTACATCGTGTATAAGTATTTATCTTCTTCTGCCACCCCAAGTGTAAGCTTCATGATGGTTGGGGCTTTGCCTTGTTCATTGCTCAGTGTGTAGAACAGATTCTGGCACATAGAAAATACTCAGTAGATACCTGTTGATTAAATGATTGACTAGATCCTACCTCAGAGGAATACCTTTGAAGATGTATAAAATTTCTTTGAAGGCTATAAGGTGCCGAATAACCTTAGGAGGGTTCACTGCTTGGCCTTAGTAGCGTTCATGATTTTGGATTTTGAATTGTTTCTATGTAACCCTGAAACACTCAGACTTACTTATTGCATTCAGGGTGTAGTTCATAGCATCAGCAGTTCTGCCAGGTTTGTAAGGAACACACATCTGTTAGAGTGTGAAGGCCCTGGAGGAAGAAAGGTTGAGACAGGTTGATGTGCTTTTTTTTGTCTCTTATGGCTCTTTCTGAGATGTGTACCATGATGATAACCAGGAACTTTTTTTTTTTTTTTTTTTTTGAGAGACAGGGTCTTGCTCAGACACTCAGGCTGGAGTGCATTGGTGCTCACTATAACCTTGAACTCCTGGGTTCAGGGAATCCTCCTGCTTCAGCCTCCTAAGTAGCTAGTACTACCGGCATGTACCACCATGCCTGGCTAATTTTAAAATTTAGAGATAGGGTCTTGCTGTATTGCCCAGGCTGGGCTCAAACTCCTTGCCTCATGCAATCCTCCCTCCTTGGCCTCCCAAAAGTGCTGGGTTTACAGGCATGAGCCACCATGTCTGGCCTGATAAGTAGGAGCTTTTGAAGTGGTTTCACACTGATTTTGTAGTTTTGAACTTGGATGCTTCTTTTGGGTAGTTGATGCAGTAACTAATACTGGTGCTGTCTTTCAGAACAGCTTCATGTGAAAAAGGCCTGCTTAAGCCTGTGTCTTTGGGAAGAACATCTCTGCCGCTGTTACAGCAGATACAGTAATAGCAAAGAAAGTCTTAAAGATGATTTAGCCCATGGCAAGGAAATATATGGGACTCTTGTTTGAATATAAACACTCACAGAATTCCAGTTTCACTTATTTATGCACCTTTCAAAGAAAGGAAGAAGATACTGTGGTAGAGTACAGTAGTCCTCCCTTATCTGAGTGGCATATGTTCCAAGACCCCTAGTGGATGCCTGAAACCACAGATATCAATAGTACCAAACCCTGCATATACTGTGTTTTTTCCTATGCAGTATATGCCTATGATGAAGTTTAATTTATAAATTAGGCATAGTAAGAGATTAACAATAATAACCAATAAAAAAGAATTATAACAATATATTGTAATGACAGTTACATGAATGTGGTTACTGTACTCACTGTGGGTAACTGGAATTGTCAAAGCAAAACTACATTTAAGTGGGTACTCCTGTAGCTGTTGGCCCTGCCTTGCCTATCTAGCTTAATTTTCCTCTGTTTTTCCGTTCACCTGCTGTGGTCCACTTACCACTTTCTTTACTCTCCTCACTGTGCCACCAGCATACTGTTGCTTACCTTCTTACATCTGTCTGGTCTTGCTGACATGGTTTTTTTTTTTGTCTGAAATGCCCTCCTCCACTTTCTTGCATGATTTTTTTTTTTTTTTTTTTGAGACGGAGTCTCACTCTGTCACCCAGGCTAGAGTGTGCAGTCACATGATCTTGGCTCACTGCAACCTCTGCCCACTGGGCTCAAGTGAGTATCGTGCCTCAGCCTCCCGAGTAGCTGGGATTACAGGCGCACACCACCACGCCGGGCTAATTCTTGTTATTTTTAGTAGAGACGGCGTCTCACCATGTTGCCCAGCCTGGTCTCGAACCCCTGACCTCAGGTGATCCACTGCCTCAGCCTCCCAAACTGCTGGGATTACAGGCGCCTGGCCCTCTTGCATGTTTTTATTTTTGTTTTATACTTGCCACTACACTTTAACTTCTGTGAAAACAGGGACTGTGATTGTCTTGTGTACTGGTATTTCTCCACCGTCTGCTGTGGGGCCTAGAATAAAATAAATGGTACCCATCTTTTTTGTTTTGTTTTGTTTTTGGAGATGAGTCTCACTCTGTCCCCAGACTGGAGTGCAGTGGCGCGATCTCGCCTCAGTGCAACCTATGCCTCCCGGGTTCAAGCGATTCTCCTGCCTCAGCCTCCCAAGTAGCTGGGCTACAGGTATGCGCCACCACATCTGGCTAATTTTTGTATTTTTAGTACAAAATTTAAAAATGATGGCCTCGATGTCGTGATCCGCCCTCCTCGGCCTCCCAAAGTGCTGGGATTACAGGTGTGAGTCACCGTGCCCGGCCCTTTTGTTTTTTTGAGATGGAGTTTCACTCTTCTCATCCAGGCTGGAGTGCAGTGGCATGATCTTGGCTCACGGCCACCTCCGCCTCCCACATTTTCCTGCCTCGGCCTCCCAAGTAGCTATGATAACAGGCACACACCACCATGGCCGGCTAATTTTTTTATTTTTAGTAGAGACAGGATTTCACCATGTTGGTCAGGCTGGTCTCGAACTCCTGACCTCAGGTGATATGCCTGCCTCAGCCCCACAAGGTGCTGGGATTACAGGCGTGAGACACCGTATCTGCCCCGGATGGTACCGATCTTTCAAGATCTTACATAAAGCTTATCTCCAATGTGTGTAGTCTTTTCTGAGCAACTCCATGCCATGCTCAGTTACATCACTCCCTACTTAGTTATAATAGTTCTTTTTTCTTTTTTTGAGACAGAGTTTTGCTCTTGTTGCCCAAGCTGGAGTGCAATGGCGTGATCTCGGCTCACTGCAACCTCTGCCTCCTGGGTTCAAGCGATTCTCCTGCCTCAGCCTCCCAAGTAGCTATGATTATAGGCGCACACCACCACTCCCAGCTAATTTTTGTATTTTTAGTAGAGGCAGGGTTTCACCATGTTGGCCAGGCTGGTCTTGAACTCCTGACCTCAGTTGATCTGCCCACCTCGGCCTCCCAAAGTGCTGGGATTACAGGCATGAGCTACCATGCCTGGCCTGTAACGCTTCTTTTTTTTTTTTTTTTTTTTTTTTTTTGAGATGGAGTCTTGCTCTGTCGCCCAGGCTGGAGTGCAGTGGCACAATCTCGGCTCACTGCAAGCTCCGCCTCCTGGGTTCACGCCATTCTCCTGCCTCAGCTTCCCGAGTAGCTGGGACTACAGGCGCCTGCCACCACGCCCGGCTAATTTTTTGTATTTTTAGTAGAGACAAGGTTTCACCGTGTAGCCAGGATGGTCTCGATCTCCTGACCTCGTGATCCGCCTGCCTCGGCCTCCCAAAGTGCTGGGATTACAGGCGTGAGCCACGGCGCCCGGCCTGTAACACTTCTTAATGGTGTGACCTCGGTCATATCACTTAACCTCACTGAGCCTAGTTTTCCTCATTAGTAGAGTAAGGCTGGTAATAAGAAACCCATGAGGGAAGTAGGGTGGGAGAGCATCATCCAAAATAACATACACGGAAGCACTTTATGGGGAGGCAAGAGTGGGAAAAGAAAAAAGCACTTTATGATCACTGGAATGCTATGCAAATGGATGTGTTAATGATGCCGGCTTTTGATTTCTTCCTTCTTAGAAGGCTGAATGGTTCCTTTTGTTCTTAATAGCAAATTGTAAATGTTGATAAATCATGTTGATTTAGATATTTCATACGCTGCTTGTCCTTCAAATCTAGCCCAAACCTACATCTAATCAAGCCTTTAGACCTAACTTCCTGTTTATAGCAAATACGGGGATAGAGGAATGAGTTAATGGCACCAAGAGGAAACAATCAGACAAACCTAGGATGTGGAACATTCTCTAAGACAACTGACCTAGTCTCTTAAAAAGTCAGTATAGGCCATTTGCGGTGGCTCACGCCTGTAATCCCAGCACTTCGGGAGGCCGAGGCGTGCAGATCACGAGCTCAGGAGTTCGAGACCAGCCTGGCCAACATAGTGAAACCCCATCTCTACTAAAAATACAAAAATTAGCCAGGTGTGGTGGCACGTGCCTGTGGTCCTAGCTACTTGGGAGGCTGAGGTGGGAGAATTGCTTAAATCCAGGAGGCGGAGGTTGCAGTGAGCCAAGAGCATGCCATTGCACTCCAGCCTGGGTGACAGAGTGAGATTCCATCTAAAAAAAAAAAAGTCAGTATAAGGGTGGGCATGGTGGCACACACCTGTAATCCCAGCACTTGGGCACTTGGGGAGACCTGCCAAGTCAGGAGGATTGCTTGAGCCCAAGAGCTAGAGACCAGCCTGGGCAACATGGTGAGACCTTGTCTCTACAAAAATACAAAAATTAGCCAGATGTGGTGGTGCGTGCGTGTAGTCCCTGCTATTTGGGAGGCTGAGGCGGGAGGATTGCTTGAGCCCAGGTGGCGAGATTGCAGTGAGCGGTAATCGTGCCACTGCACTCTAGCCTGGGTGAGAGTGGGACCCTGTCTCCAAAGAAAAGGTGATATCAAGGGAAAAAAAGGAGAGTGGTGCTGTTCTAGGATAGGAGACTAAGGAGACATACAGATCAAATGTACTGCATGGGTTGGGCATGGTGGCTCACACCTGTAATCTCAGCCCTTTGGGAGGCTGGGGCAGGAGGATCATTTGAGCTTGGGAGGTCCAAGCTGCAGTTAGCTATGATTGTACCACTGCACACCAGCCTGGGTGACAGAGTGAGACCCTGTCTCAAAAACAAAACAGAAAAAAAAATGTACTGCATGAATCCCAATTGTGTACCGGATCAAAAAATAGTTATAAAATGCATTGTTGAGACAGTTGGGGAAATGTGAGTAGAGTATTGCTAATTTTTTTTTTTTCTTTTTTTTTTTGAGACAGTCTCACTCTTGTCGTCCAGGCTAGAGTGCAGTGGTGCGATCTCGGCTCACTGCAACCTCCGTCTCCCGGGTTCAAGTGATTCTTGTGGCTCAGCCTCGAAGTGGCTGGGATTACAGGCACGTGCTACCATGCCCAGCTAATTTTTGTATTTTTAGAAGAGACGGTGTTTCACCATGTTGGCCAGGCTGGTCTCAAACTCCTGACCTGAAGTGATCCGCCTGCCGCGGCCTCCCAAAGTGCTGGGATTACAGGCGTGAGCCACCGTGCCTGGCTGTATTGCTAAATTTTTAATGTAATGATGGTACAGATATTATATAGGAGAATTCATATTCATACATAATGCACAAAACTTACTCTGAGGTTCAGGAAAAAAACTCAAACATACACAAACAGTGGATAAAGCAAATGGAACGGAATGTTCACAGTTGTTTTGTTTAGTTAGAGTTTTACTTTTATTCTTTCAATTTTTCTGTATGTTTGAAAAAAATTTGTAATACATTTAAAAAGTACCCCAAAAGCAAAACTCATTCCAAGTCTTATGTACTTTAATGTCAACTAATATTTGCTCTTTCCCATCCCTAGATTCCTTTGTGCTGCTTGTCTACATTGTATGATAAACATCACATTAAATGCAATCTCTCCCCTCCCACCCCCTCTTTTTTTTTGAGATAGGATCTCGCTTGCTGTGTTGCCCAGGCTGCAGCGCAGTGGTGTGGATCGTGGCTCACTGCAGCCTCACCGTCTGGGCTCAAGTGATCCCTCCCCAGAGCCTCCACTTCCCAGTACCCGGGACTATAGGCACGTGCCAATACACCCAGCTATTTTTTTTCACTCTCGCCCAGGCTGGAGTGCAGTGGCACGATCTCATGTCACTGCAGCCTCCACCTCCCGGGTTCAAGTGATCCTCCTGCCTCAGCCTTCTGAGAAGCTGGGACTACAGGCATGTGCCACCATGCCTGGGTAATTTTTGTATTTTTAGTAGAGATGGGGTTTCACCTTGTTGGCCAGGCTGGTCTGGAACTCTTGACCTCGTGATCCGCCCACCTCAGCCTCCCAAAGTGCTGGGATTACAGGTGTGAGCCACCATGCCTGGCTATCGCCCAGCTGTTTTTGTATTTAATTTTAGATTCAGGGGGTATATGTGCAGGTTTGAGCATGATGCTGAGGTTTTGGCTTCTTGCATAAGTACTTTATTATATTACTATATAATTTTTATTCACTAAATCTACTTTATGAATCTTTTTCTTATTAGGAAACATACTTTTTTTGTGTACAGTGTACAATTGAATGTACAGCATTGCTGATTCGATATATCATTATTGGTAGATTTGAGAACACCAAAATACATTTAAACAAACAAACTAGCAAAAAAAAACCTTTTCTGCTGGCTTTTCTTTTCTTTTCATTTAAGACAGGTTCTCACTCTGTTGCCCAGGCTGGTCTCAAACTCTTTGGCTCAAGCGATCCACCTGGCTCAACCTCCCAAAGTGCTGGGATTACAGGTGTCAGCCACTGTGCCCAGACACTTTCTCTTTTTTTCTTAACTCCCTCTTTGGAACTTTTTGCTAGCATTTCTCTGTGTGGATATTCCACCACATCCCCCTGAAGTATGAGTCAAGCAGTGGTGAATCTTTCTGACACATTGAGAAAGCAAATCCAGAGAACACAGAGACTAGGAACAAAATGAGGCAAACCTGAGAAAAAAGCTTAGGGTTCCAGCTTTGTTTCTGTTGTTCACTTCCAGAAACTGCCAATTTCGAAAAATCGTCCTGGTCTCTTGCTGCAACTTGATTGTGTTTTTACTTCATGTCCTGTGCCCTTGTTGCTCAGAATCCCAAGAGAGCTGTTTAGAGGCTCAGTTACATGTTTGCTAAGTTTTCGTCTTCTCCTCCCAAGATGAATAGTGTTTTGTTTTGAAATAGCAGGTGTTTTCTGAATCCCATGAAGGGCCAAAAGCTAAAAGTGCTGATCCTGACTCTGATTTCGCTGCATAACTCCCAGGGGCATCCTGCTCTGATGTCAGGAAGGGAGTCAGGTTAAGAAGAGGTCACCTGGAGGTTGAAGAGAAAATGGACAAGGTAGAAAGACCTTGAGCCCCTCCCTTTGAATAGTTGCCTGCTTAAGGACAATGCTTTAAAATTTTTGAATGTATGAATACCTTCTAAAGAAAAAACCTATAGACATTACATTCTCCAGTTTAACTGTGTTTATTCCATTGTATATGTTTTTGGATAGTCGAGATCAGTTGATTTTTTCCTGATTTTTACACATGGACATAATCCTCATCCTTGTCATTTTTATTGGCTGAAGAGTAGAGTTTGATAGGATCTGGCTAAGCAAATGACACTTTGTTGATTATTAGGTGGCTTCCAGATTCTTATTATTTAATGATAGGCTTGTAAATGTTTTTGAGTCCATTTATTTTGTTTTGCTTCTAGATGAATTCATCTACCAAATCAGAGGCAATGGACCGTGCTACTGCTGTTGTTACATATTAACAGAATATGTTCCAAAAAAAGATTGAACCAATTTACAATGTATATTTCAACTGTTTCCTCAAGCCTCAGAACTTTTTTTTTCAGTTTAGTGGTTTTTGATAGTTTAATAGGCAGTTTAAGGGCTCCTTTAAAGGTCAGCTTGCTTCCCTTTAATTGTTGTATTTTTGAATTGCATCAATTCAGTTTAAACTCATATTTATTGAATGCTTACTGAATGTAAATCACTATTCTGGGAGCTGCAGGTAGGTGACTCAAGATGAGTAACATTATCTCAGCCTTCAAGGATCTTAAAATCTAATATGAGAGTGTAGGGGGAGATTTTAGGAGCACAAGAAGGAGGAAACAATGGCTGCAGAGTAAGAAAAGTGCCACAGAAAAGCTACAAAGCAAGCACTGTTGGAGCTTGGCCTGAGGAGGGAGTGTGCGCATCCAGGAGGGGAGATGAAGAGAGCCTTCATGGAGGAGATGACAGTTGAACTGGGTCTTGAAGGATGGCTAGGATTCCATGGGAATGGAGGGGCGTGGCAGGAAGAGAGCACGGGATGAGCAACTTCACACAAGTGGGAAAGCCTGGGATGTGCAGAGAAGCCAGCAAGTAGTTGAGTGTGACGGGTGCATCGGTTCGGGTCGAAGGAAATGAAGCTGGAGAGGTAGGCTGAGGTGGTTTTGTGGTTCCAGGCTGAACATTTTGAAAAATCACATGCAAATTTTTCTTCCTTTCTGATCATTTTAAAGTATTTCTGAGTAGTTTTTATATGCTTTGTATTTTGAAGTTTTATAAATGATGTGGTTACTACATTGTTCCATTGTGTGTAATGTATTAAGAAAAAATATTTCATTTTTAAATATTCAAAAGCGTGTTTTTTGACTGGGCATTATGTATAGCATACTTTTCATTAGCGGTTTAACATCTGTCATCTCTACACAACTAGCAGGAATATGTGGCTTCATTTTCTTCTAACCTTTTTCCCCCTTTTGTGATTAACTCTTTTTCCCATGTGGAATTAATATGCTCGGTATGAGGTGTATGTCTAAGTTAATTTTTCTCCACAGTGAAGTCTAGTGTCTTACTGGAGTTTACTAAACATGATGCATTTATCCATCTGTTGTATTTTCAGGTTTACCTTGGTCTTTATGATATTTTTATCTACTAAAACTTTTAACCCACTCTTACGTAGTTTTGAGAGTCATATATATTTTTTAATTTGGTGGGGTTAAGGAAAACTTCAGCAATTTTCGTGGGGTATCTTTCCATTTGTTCATGTGTTCCTCTTTCTCATTTTAGGGTATTATAGTTTCTTAATAATTCTCTTGCGTCCTGAGTTAATATTTCAAATACGTAACATTTTGATGCTGTTGTTATTGAACATTTTTAAGTTTGTATTTTCCATCTCGACTATGGTTTGTTTTGTATGAACTGGTTATATCCAGCAGCTTTGTTAAATCCACTTAATCTATCTAGTAACGTTTTTTGATTGAATATATATGCATTTGTAGATTTACTAGTGTCATCTGCAAAACAACTTTTTCTTTTCAATGTGATAGATATTTTATAGCTGTCTCATCTTGCGTTGCTCTCAGTAGCAGTTCTGGTGTCTCAGGGAACACTATTAAGTGTAACGAGGTTTCTCAAGGACCTCCTGGGCCAGGGACTTTTCTGTTCTTTCCAAGGAGCTGTGAAAAAAGGAAGCAGCTGCCCAGATTTATAGAAGCAGAGCTTATTAGGGCTGGATGGGACCTAACAGGTTCTCTAGACCTGGGCCTTCATTTGAGAGATGAGGAAACCAGACCTAGAGAGGTGTGAATTTGCCAGAGTTCACACTGCTGCAGTGGAAGGAGGTGGTTGAGCTTTTACTCTTATTTTTTTATGGTACATATTACATACAGTACATGTTTTCATTTGGGAAAGTTACTTGGTTTGACAGTTTTCCAAGTTTACCCAACATTAAATTTTGGTAACTATGCAATATCCTTAAAAAAATTATTTTCAAGTAATTATCTGAAGCTCTAGAAAAGGTTACCCCTCTATATCCTCACTCTCCTAGGTGGTTGAGGGAAAAGAGAATAAAGAAAAGTTGTGGGGTTGGGGCTGGGACAGGGAGGAAAGGGTATTTTAGTCCTTGATCCTTAGTAGGAGGGCCTATTTTTAAGCTTCATAATGTCAGTTTTAAAAGCAGTGGTTTTCAAAATAACCGCAGACGAAAGTCCCCTTGAAATGGATGCCTTTCTGGAATTGACCTATTTTGAGTTTAGCTGTTACCAGAAGGGTTCAGAATCTCGAATGCTCTTAAATGCATTTACTTTTCAGACAAAGTGGAAATTGAGTGCATAATCCACGTGGGTTCCAGATTCAGGTTAAATTTAGAAATTTGGGGAGTTGTGGAGAGAAGACATGAAATGAGTCAATCGTTGTTTTACAGGTTTGTCCGAATCCAGGTTAATTATATTTCCTTCTTTATTGAATTATAATTTGTATATCCAGGTTAGTTTTACAAATTAGATCAGACCCTCAGTCCATTTGAGAGTAGACTCAGAGTCAGAATTATTTGCCCCCTTTGCTGCTTTCATACCACCCTTTAGTAAACAGTCCTCAAGAATGTCCTTATGTCGGGGAGGGCAGACCTCAGAAGTTAGCAAGAATTCCAAGCTCACTGTAAACCTTTTGTTTAATGGTTTACTCAAATCCAGATAGAAATTCTACCAAAATGCCAGCCTGTATTTCAGCTCCTCTTTCTTGGAGTCTTTAGGATGGTGGGAAAACAGGCAGAAGAAAGCTGTTTAACATTCCAATAATTATTAATAATAGAAAATGTATCCTGCTAATCAGGCACTCATTTGCGTCCACTGATAAAACTAGGTCATTGGAGCCAAGGAAAGGTACCGTTCACTAAAGGAAAGACCAGTAGATAGTCAGGCATGGTGGCGTGTGTCTGTAGTCCCAGCCACTCGGGGGCTGAGGCAGGAGAATCACTTGAACCAGGGAGGTGGTGGTTGCAGTGAGCGGAGATCGCGCCACTGCACTCCAGCCTGGGTAACAGAGTGAGTGAGACTCTGTCTCAGAAAAAAACAAAACAAACAAAAACAGTGGAATATTGGGCTAAGCTCTTAACACATTATATTTAGAGATTGCAACACTTCAATATTTACTGGAATACTCCTATAAAACGGTCTCTTTTGCCTTGTTTTATTTTGGTAACTAAGTGAATGCTGGGTTAGCCATAAAGGTAGCTTGCTGCATTTCTATTTCTTGTGTTCTAAATCACTGAATAATTTTTTAAAAAAGTAGTTCTAAAGCATTTCCAGTTAAAAAGGAAGGCGTAACATTTATTAGGGGAAGTCAAGGGGAGAGGTAGTGAGGAAAGTACCAGAAACCACCAACAGGTGTTTCGGTTACGTTGAACAAAGAATCAGCTTGATATGCAGTCCCTGGGAAGAGTTTGTAAATTCCTGAAGGAGGGTGAGAGCTGGAGGGGACACGGTGAGCGGAAATGGTGAGCGGAAATCAGTGGTTCCTGAGGCACAGAGGACTTGGGTTACCGGAGGCTTGCCCTCAGCTGAGGACCTGGGAACAATTCCTGAGCAAGTTGCTTTTTTGATAGACAAGGATGCATCTGTAGGACCACTGCTGTTAATCTGTGGGGCAATAAGAATTGATCCTACTGCAAGAAAGAGAGTAGGATAAGTCAGAAGACATGGAACTTGTATCCCTAGAGGACATCGCAACTGGAAAAATAGCTACCATTTATGAAGGCCTACCTCATCTCTTTGCATTCATTATCTTGAATTTGCACTAAAATTCTGCAAGAAAGGTCATAGTATTCTATTTTACAAATAAGGAAAATTAAGCTCAGGGAAGTTATTTCATAAGGTTGCACAACTAGTAGGTGGTAGAGCTAAGTTTAGACTCAGGTCTGTCCTACTCTGATAGGCATGCTTTTTCCACACGGCCCTCTCAGTACTGTGTAAAATGCCAGAGGGCTTTCTGGATCTTCACTTCCCAAAACTGCTAAATTTAAATTAATTAAAATTAAAGTTGAAAAATCAGTTCCTAGGTTGCACTGCCCACATTTCAAGGGCTCAGTGTCCATGTGTGGCTAGTGGCTACTATACTGGACCAGCACGGATTAGAATGCTTTCTTCATTGCAGAAAGTTCTATTAGTGCTGGTCTAGAGGTCATTCAGTTTTGCCCCTTTATTTAATTTTTTCCCCCTTTTATTCCACAAAGGAGAAAATGAGGGACAAAGAAAGGAAGTAACGTTCAGCATCAGACAGCTAATTAATCCAGTTTTTTGGACTGGTTGCCTGTTAGATTTTCCCATGCCCCACATTCTTCCCTTAAAAAAATGAACAGAATGGAAATGTGAGAAATGGAGTGACTCCGCTACTCTCCCAGCTTTGCCTGGCCTTTAAACTAGATTCTTTCTCCCAAAGAATCCTGCATTTTACCAAGTTCAAAGGGCATGTCCGGATTAGTTTCCCCAAAGGAAATGAAATATATTTGTTGGAAAGGAATTCCATTCTTAATGTATGAAATAGCACTTGGATTCCCTCTGGTTCTTTCTCTGACTTCCTACCAAGCGCTTTGTAATTGAACTTGCAGCTGCTAACCATTTGTCTTCCAAAGGAGACCAACTTCAAACAGTTCAAATGACAGAGGGATGTATACTTTGAATGCAAGCAGCTGCCTATTATTTGCCATTGATTCAAATGGCATTTATGTTAGAGTCAAATAGATTTAGATTATGGCCAAAATTACAACAATAGATTTCTAACTTGTATGTTAAGAGTAAGATGTATTAACAGTCATTGAACTGATGTTTAGTGTTTAACTCATACATACCAGGCACTGGGTTGCAACATGAACTAAAAGGACTTTTGCTGAAATGGAAAAAGATGTCTTATTATGGACAAGTTGAATGCATTTTAAATTCCTGTCTGAATTATATTGCTGGTATTTGCCATCCATGTACCTTCCTGTTTAGCCTTGAAATTCAGTAAAAGCCTCAGTGTGGATCATACTTCATAGCTCTGAAGTAAAGTGAGGAGTCATGTGCAAATGTCCTTTTAGTAGATGCTATTAAAAGGCATTTAAATTATACACTCCAGTGTCTAAATGACAGTCTGAAGTGTATGTGTGTTTGGAGGATGGGCAAGTGGGAGCAAAAGGAGGCATTGTGCTGGGGCGATTGATATTTTTAGGAAGCCTAAATGTAATGTTTGATTTCGGTATAACTAACAGACTCATGGTTTAGAAAAGTTGTCTATCAAAAACTGAGAAATTGAGGTTTTGGTTTCTTCTTAAAGAAATGTTCAAGTCATGTGCATGAGTATGCTCAGAGAGATTAAAAATGGAGAGAAATTGGAATGGTGGCAAGGTATCCAGGAAAGTACCTGTCTTCTCTGAGAGTCCAAGGGCAGGAGCAGAAAGGACTTTAAAGATGGTGGCAACAGGCTGGGTGCGGTGGCTCACACCTGTAATCCCAGCACTTTGGGAGGCTGAGGCGGGCGGATCACCTGAGCTCCGCAGTTTGAGACCAGCCTGACCAACATGGAGAAACCCCATCTCTGCTAAAAATACAAAAAATTAGCCGGGCGTGGTGGTGCATGCCTATAATCCCAGCTACTTGGGAGGCTGAGGCAGGAGAATCAATTGTGCCATTGCAGTCCAGCCTAGGCAACAAGAGTGAAACTCTGTCTCAAAACAAAACAAAACAAAAAAAAAGATTGTGGCAACAGCTGGAAGGGGTCCCCAGGAGCTCTGACACAGGGTTTTCCAACTGCCCAACATCACGGGGTTGGGGAGCAGAGCATCCAGAGGGCTCCGTGTATTGTTTTGTAGTATAGGGTCTAACTTCTAGAAAGTTGGGAATAGGCTTCTGAGAGTTTTGGAGTCAACAGGCCTGAATGCAGAATGATCAAAAGAAGATGGCTATTCCTCTCAGAGTGGTGCTGGTTTTGGGGGCCAGCAGTGCAGTGAAAAGCCCAATTTCCCAATCCTATTTTGAATATTTCTGCCCCCACAAGCGTTTCATTTGACTCCAGAGACTAACCACTCTTCCAGAGGGTCTAGAAGTCTTCAGGCTTCAGAATTTTTAGGCCATAGTGCTTTGGAATAACAGTCCCTTGTGTAGAAAAGTGTGAGATCTGAGCTCTTTTCCTGGTCAACCTGTGAAGTCACTGCATGACCAACTCTGTGCCTCAGGTTTTTTCTCTGCAAAGTGGGAGTGATGGTAATGGCTTCCTACCTTTCAGGGTTTGTATATGAGCTGCACATAGTTTCATGGGTTACCACTCAGCATGCTTTCACGCAAGTAGAGATTACATTTTATTGTTGAAAGAAATCTTGGTTGTCTTCTGTTGTAATCTTACCTTGAATCCAGGGCTACAAAGAAGGGTTAAAGCTAGATATGGCTCATGCCTGTATTTCCAGCTACTTAGAAGGCTGAGGCGGGAGGATTACTTGAGCCCAGAAGGTTGAGGCTGCAGCGAGCTGTGGTAGTGCCACTACACCCCAGCCTGGCCAACAGAGCAAGACTTCGTCTGTTAAAAACAAAACAAAAGAAAAGAAAAACCAAAGTAAGGTTAAGAGAAGTTGGCTATGTCACACAGTATGTTCTATTTGGAATTTTGTGACTTTTGAGTAACATAACCTAAAGGCCGTGTGGCACAGTGGAAAGGCTTTGTAGCCAGCAGACTTTGAGTTTGAATTCTGACCCTGCCTTACTATGTCTGTGGTCTTGTGCAAGTGCTTTTACATCCTTGGGTCTGTTCCCACATCTGTAAAATGGGCATAACAACATTTATCCAACAGAAAGGATTCATACACTCTGTGTGTAAACTGCTTTTTGTGATTAACAAGACTAATGATAACAGCCAAGATTAGATCCCCAGTGCAGGTTGCCTTACTTTCTATCAGGTGAGAAGGAGAGAAAATTCTTATTTCCCAAAGAACTTACAGTGACGGGGCTCTTCAGCTGCTCTTTATCCAACAGACTTAGAATAGAGACAACACCGGGCATACTTGCAATTTTTTAGGATGTGCAGGAAGCAAAAGAATTATTTTCAGTGAAACAGGAGTCTGCAAAAGGTGCCTTAGGAAACAACTGCCACACAGTACATCCCAATATAGACTCCTCCCAGCTTCTCTAGGGCAGCCATCTGCCTGACAGGCCCCACCCAGATAAGCCCAGCTTTCTTCTCCCAAGAGTTTAAGGAAGATTTCCTGATGTATGTGTGCGTGTGTGTGGGGGTGGTATGGGGTTGTGTTGGGCGGGGGTCAAGAGGGGTGTTAATTTGGGATGGGTAGTCACTGGCTTTTGGTGGCATAACTGGAAGGTAACACTCCCTGTGGCTGAATCCTGATCCCTGTGGGGATCAGCGCATGGTTCATCCAGACATCTTCCTCAGTGGGTCCTGGCCTCTGCTCATACTATGTCTTCTACTGGGGATTCCCGTCTCCACCTCCAATATACGTATGTTGAAATCTTCATCTTACGTCAAAGCTCAACTTGGAGGTCATGTCTTATGTAAATCCATCACAGACCTCTCCTCCACCCCATCTGGGCAGCGGTCATCTGCTCCACCCTCCGGAGCACTCTGTACATATTCCATCACACTTCAGTTACTTATGTAATTGTCTAGTCAGCAGAAGATACTCCTCTCCAAAGGGCAAGGTTCTGCTAACCGCTGTGAAGCCTGGCTTTGAGTTTATGAGGGGTGATTCTTTTCAGTTTATAATTTCTTGGCACAGGAGGGTCACAGTGTTGTTGGTAACCGTAGCATCTGTCCTGGGAGGCTCTGTATGCTCTTCATTGTTCATACATCCATTTATTTCTTCACTCAGCCACATGAGGCATGTGGGATGTATGTTATCTCTGCTTGATACATGAGGAAACTGATTCTGGTTAAAGGACTTGTGCCTGTCATACAGGCAGCTAAGAGTGCCTATAGTCCTTTGTATTGCCTTTTCAGCCAACAGTCCCATCCCAGCCCAAAGGAGGAAACATTTGGGGAGCATATACTGGTGAGAACATCTTCCCTATTCTGTGGCGTTCTCTTAGCCTTATGCCTGGCACAGAGGAAGGCTCTGGGAATGTTTGGGCCGGATGGATCTGGGAGCCTCTTTTGCATGCCAAGCTGCATACTTATCCCTAGCAAATGCTGGTCTCCTTGATGGATATGTGACATGGGTGGCTGAATTTACATGGCACCTGGTGGCTTCTCACACTCCTCCGCCACGCCTCTGGGGACTAGGATAGGACAGATGGCCACAGACAGGATTCTCAGCTCTGCAAATCACATTTGGGAAAAAGTTAAGTTTGTGCAATAACACAATTTTGGTAACATGGTTTCATGCTGCTGGTAAATTCTATAACACTCTCTGGATAAATCACACTTCAGCAGAACTCACTTGGGAACAGAGTTTAATTTCACTGTAGGTGGCTGTGATTCCCACCCACCAGTCTTCACACCCCCGCTAATATATCTAGGCTGATAAGGTGAATGCTGTGCTAAGCAGGCTATTTCTGGGCCCAGGATAGAATTACATTGTGGTTTTTAAAGAATTTTTTTCTGTATATTTTTCTATTCACAGACCCTTTGAAAGAAGAATTACATTATGTTAATCATCCGTTTCCCCATCAGCACCTTTAATTCCTTCTCCCCAGAGTATAACCACTTGTCCTTAAAATGACAGAGGTGGAAAAGATCTTGATAGTTCAGCCTCCTGTATGTATATATGAAGAGGTTGAGGCCCAGAGAGACTGGGCAGCCTACTCAGTTGTCAGATGGCTGGTGAAGACCTGCATCCGGATCCGTTGACTTCTCTCCTGTGCAGGGCCCTTGTTTTTTGCCCTGCCCTACTGCTTAACCTTGTCTTCTGTCTTACAACTAGGGGAGAGTCTATGGCATGTTCAGTTTGAAATGAATAAAAGTGAATACTTGTTCATTGTTAAAGGACCCCAACACAGAACTAATTTCCTGTTAACCCTTACATTTTCTCTTGACATATCTTTGGTGAGGACCATTAAAGGCTTAACACATTTCTGTACAGTGACATGCAGTCCTAGGGGTTAACTGTGTGGGTTTGAGCGATAGGATTTAACTTTTAGGAAAAAGGGGAAAAAAGAGAGAAGGTTGATAAGTGTATTTGGAGAGAGAGAAAAAATAGTTAATTTTTCTCTTAACAGTTAATCTGAAATGATAACACAATTGTGCCTTTTGGCTCTAAAATCACCATATTTTTGATATATAATCCAAAGGCAGGTATCCAGACTGCTGAAGGCTTATTAAAATGTAACAATAGGTCCAAGTCTAGAACTTGAAAAAACTTCTCATTTGTCAAAGAAGTTCCAGTATTCTACATTCTCTTGCTAATGAATTTGGGGAGCCTTGGAAGCTCAGCAACTGGGATGCCATCGACAGGTTTGCGGTCCTCTCTAGTCTGGGGTAGGTCTTAAGGGGAAACTTTTGGGAGGGACACACATACAGTACAGTGAAACTGTACATGAACTACTCAGGAGACAGATCACTTGGCAGGGATGTGGCGATCTTTGTACATATTTGTTCTGCTTTACTAGCTACATTGTAAGCTTCTGCAGATGAAGAGTTCAGCCTTGATGTCCCATCTCCCGCCCAGGCCTGCCATGTACTAGTTGATCAGTAAAAGTGGAATGAATGAAAGCCAGTGTTAGTTTACAGAGCTTCTGTGGGACAGAAGCTTTGTTCAGTTGAGTTTCCATCAATATCAAATGCAATGTTATGTGCGTTGAGTTTCTTGATAACTGTTCTTGAGGTTTCTTTTTTTTTTTGGTCCTTTTTGACTGATTAAGCAAGGCTGGACTGGTTGGAGACCCCAGATGGGACCAAGAAATGCGAATCCTGCCTGGATTGTTGTAGGTAGAGTGCTTAATATGGGGCCTGGCATGAAGGAAGTTGGGAGTATTATCTGGTCAACTGGAGTTTAGTTATTAGGTTGTAAATGACTATGGTAGGTACAGATGTCATGAATATACTAGGGTCTCAGGGTCTGAAAGAGTTAAAGCTCCTCTCAGAATAGCCCAGGCAGTTCCCAGGAAGTAGCTTCTTAGGCAGGATGTGGCAAACCAGTGGGTAAATGAGAGCCCTTCTCCTTTGGAAGAAAAGGAAGTAGGTGGGGAGAAGTGAAGAGGAAGAGCTTGGTAGACAAATCTTTTTATCTGCTTCTTTTTTAAGTGCCAGACAGACCCTGCAGATTTTTGATCCAAAGTGACCAAAGTCCTAAGAATGCCAATAATATTGGTTTTGCTATTGTCTTTTCCCTGCAGCTAATAACTCAAGTTTAAGATCCACTAGAGTGTTGTTTCAATAGATTTTGTTTTCTAATTTTGATCATTGGTGTATTCTTCAGTGCGCTTTCAAGATTCACAGTGAATGTGGTGTCATCCAAAATCACATTCTTTTCTAACCAAGGATAAGTCAGAAGAAAAGATATATATATGTATATTAGAAAAGTGTCTCTTTAATGTGTTTACCTATTTATCCATTTTAAAACACATTCCCACCCATTCTCTGTCCAGGTGCTCATAACAGTCCCTTGTGATACAGGACAAGAGTGTGCTTCCATTTAAGGCAGGAGAGAGATCTTGCCCATGGTTAGATGACCAGTTACCAGCAGAGTTAATAGAGGGCTCCAGACCCTCTGACTTCAAGTTCAGGGTTGTTTCCACAATTTTGGTCCTTTTTGTTAAGAATATAGTTTATACATTGGAGACAAATTATTGATGGAGGCTGCAATTTTGCAAATAAAAATAACCCTCAAAAATCCAGTAATGTGTATGTGAAATGAAATAGGTGAACTGAATTTGGTGAGCTTTAGTGTCGCTGTAAAAGCAACTATCCTTTGTAAACTTACTGCATAGCTAATAATGTAAATCAGTGTTGTGTTTAGGAATCAGCTCCAGGACTGTGGTTTGATATGTGGAAACACCTCTGCGTTTGCTGTGGGCTGGTAGACAGAATGGGCTGGACCTGGCTGTACTGTGAAAGGCTTCTTTGAGCTGGTTCTTTGACCAGGTAATGAAAACGTTAAGCATCTAAAAACGAAGTCTTTAGGAGGCTTCCAAGGATCTGGAAAGCTGAACTCAGCAATTTTTAGACTTCAGTTTTCTGGACAGGACAGCTCTTCTAGTCAAGGAAGCCAGTATCTCCTGCATTTGTGTAGCTCTTGACTCCATTTCTTTGAAGGTTTCAAATGATAATTTTTACACTTACCCAGATAATCTACTCTGCCTGAGCACATAATTGGTAATTTGGCCCAAAGACTGCATACTTAGATTGCATCCTGGTCACACTGATATCTTACATGCATTTTAGATATTTAAATATTAAAACAAATATTCTTATGGCAATTTTTGTTTGTTTTGAGATGGGGTCTTGCCGTATTGCCCAGGCTGGAGGGCAGTGGCTATTCACAGGTGCAGTCATAGTGCACTGCAGCCTGAAACTCCTGGCTTCAAGCCATCCTTACATCTCAGCCTCCTGAGTAGCTGGGACTACAGGCGCATGCCACTGTGCCTGGCCCTTGTGGAAATTTTATTTATTTATTTATTTTATTATTTTATTATTATTATTATTTTTTGACACAGTCTCTCTCTGTCGCCCTGGCTGGAGTACAGTGGCGTGATCTCGGCTCACTGCAACCTCCACCTCCCAGGTTCAAGCAATTCTCGTGCCTCAGCCTCTAAAGTAGCTGGGACTACAGGTGCTCGCCACCACGCCCAGCTAATTTTTGTATTTTTAGTAGAGACAGGGTTTCACCATGTTGGCCAGGCTGGCCTCGAACTCCTGACCTCAGGTGATCCACCTGCCTCGGCCTCCCAAAGTGCTGGGATTACAGGCATGAGCCACCACGCTTGGCCCCTTGTGTCAATTTTTAGAAGCTAGGATGTCAGGCTGCTCTTTACTGAACCCTAAATATCCTGAAGCATTCTGGGCTGGTGTCTAGGACCATCTTGATCCTAAGGGAATAAGCTTGACTCTTCTCCTCTTGGTGCTTCAGCACTGCATTTTCCTCAGTGGGATTGGAACAAGCATTAAAGCAAAACAAAAAGTTGTAAATGAGACTTAGGGCAACTAACCTGCTCTAGCCAGAATGAAAAATTTGTTGACGTTTAAAGTTCTCTGACCTCCCTGTGTCTACCTGTTCATAATACTAAAACAAATTATGAACTTAAGTAATAAGAAAAAAGATTATGGCAGATTTCACACAGCTAAAATAATTACAAGAATTCAGCAACCACAAAAATATTTCTCACTGCAAATTCTCATCCATTTCTGTATTGTAGGCATTTTTTTTTTTCTTTTGGTTTTAGTGTTTATTGTATACCTCACACTGGGTTAGACTCAAGTTTGGGGGATACTTCCAGCTTAATTGAGGGTATGAGCATGTAATTGCAAGGCATTGTGACACATGCTCTAACTCTGGTGTGTGATACAGCACAGGCTATGGGAACTCAAAGGGTGAGTGACTAACGCTGTCTTGAGGAGTGAAGGACTGTATCCCCAAAGCAGGGATCTGGGCCTGTCTTGGGGTTTTTGGGTCTTCTGTTTTGTTCTTATTTTTTTCTTCTTCTTCTTTTTTTTTTTTTTTTCCTGTAACCTTATTTATGGTGAAGGGACTTTTTTTTTTTTAATTGTTTACACTTGCCCTTTTGATATCCTCTGCATTCGTGGCTCTTATCATCATCTTAGACTTGTGAACCTGCCTCAGGTCTCTGTTAGGAGTTTCTGGCCTATCTGGTCAGCCATATACTGAGTAGCTCCACACGTAGAGCCTGCAGGTTATCTCCAACTCACCTTTTCCAAAAAATAGATTTATAATCCTCTTGTCGCCTGTGATGACCTCTCATGCTAACTACCCAGAGTCAGGCAGACCTCATAGGTTAAACACACAGTCCTCTGTAAGACTGCCCTTCATAAGACTGTTACAATCTAAGGGGTTTCCTGACCACACACACTTCTGTTGAACTAGCTACAAATTGGGGTTTTCACTATCCTCTCAGGTTCCATAGTTTGCTAGAGCAATTCACAGAACTCAGGAATGCACTGTACTTCTGATTACAATTTTATTATAGCAAAAAGGGTACAAATCAGGAGCAGCCAAAAGAAGAGGCATATAGGGTAAGGCCTGGGAGGGTCCCAGATGTAAAGCTTCTGGTGTCTTCACCTCTTGGAATCAGGGCACAGTCACTCTCCTAGTACATTGATGTGTAACAATATGCACAGAGTATTATTAACCAGGGAAGCTCCCCTGAGCTTCAGTGTCCAGAGTTTTTACTGGGGCCCCATTACATAGGCATGATTAATTGAATCATTGGCCATGTGATTGAACTGAATCTCTAGCCCTTTTACTCACTGCAGGTTAGGCTGTATTACATGGCTCAGAGCCCCAACCTTGTAATCACATGATTGGTCTTTCTGGTATGGCCAGCCCCCATCCTGTGTCTTTTTTTTTTTTTTTCCCCCAGTCATCTTTTATTTGGAGGTTAATTCCCATTAGGATATGAAAGGATTCAGCAACGATCGAGACTGTGTTCCTTATGGAGGGGCTCGGGCCAAGAAGGTCATGGCGGGGAGTGCAGAGCATGCCCTCTTCTTCAGTGGTACTTGCATAGCCACTTGTGCTTGAGCTCCTTGTAGGAAAGGCAGTAGCTGAAGAGCACGTAGCTTGCCAGCACCATGGTAACCCCTGAGATGCTCCCCTTCTTCATGTCAATGCACTGCTTGTAGTACCAGTAATAACCTCTTCAAAATGCTCCGGTAGTGCCACTATTGCTGAAGTCCTGCATCAAGCTCCAGCTTGGCAGCTCCCCTAGTTTGACCTCCAGAAGTTTCTTGTTCTTCACTGGTATGACTGATGCCATCTTGGAGTCCTGGTGTCCACTGTCCCTGTGTCATCTTTTTAAGCAAACTGTGGGCCCACATTGAATCACCTTATTGGCGTAAACTATCAGGGCCCACTGTGAATAACAAAGACACTCCTATTACTTGAGAAATTCCAAAGATTTAGAGGTTACCTCCAGAAACCAGGGACAAAGGCCAGCCAAATTCTTTATTATACAACATCCTCCTAACCCCCAAAGCTGTCTAGTCCTCATCTTTGTGATGTGGTAAGTCAGATCCCTCTGGATGCCCAGCCAGAAACCTGGCATCACCCTCAACTCCTCCCTCCCTCCCCCCATATCCAGATCATCACCCAGTCTTGCCAACTCTGCCTTCAGTTTCTGTCCCAGCTCTTTATTGCCTGGCTGCTGTGGTGTTCAAATTCTCATCTTGTCTTGTTTTCCTTGTTGCCTTCAAGCTGACTTTCCTGGCTTGGCTCTCCCATTTCTAAGTTGCCAGACTCTTGGTTCCAAAATATAAAACTGATCTTGTCACTTTCTTTAGAATTTGCTGTTGCAGAACAATGTGTGTATTATAATTCCATTTTCGTTAAACAAAACATACTATATATATTCACTGGAAATGTATTTCAAAGAAATCTAGAAGTGTATATATTCTACAGTGTTAAGAGTAGTTATCTGAGGGAAGGTGGAACATAGAGTTTTACTTTAGACTATATATTTCTAGACTAGTTGGATTTTTTCATACTGAGCACACATTAGTTTTTTTAGGCCTGGTAATATTACAGAAGTCAAATTACAGAAGTCACCCTAGCTCCCCACTCGCCTTCTAAACCTAATTCTTTAGCATGGTGTGCTGTGCCCTTCATGGTCTAGCTCAGTTTACCTGCAGCCCCATCTCATCACTCACCTGGATGCATCCACTCTCAGGATATTCTCAGGATTAAACTTGGGGATTACATTTTCTGACCTTCACTTTCCCTCCCTTATCTTAGATGGAATTAGGGAGTTTTTCTGTATGTTCCCATAGCTCCCAATGCCTACCTTGCTTTTAGCATTTTGACCTACCCTACCCTGTAGATTGTTGTTACACTTGTATAGTTGTTGCTGTACTTCTTCTTAGTATCCTTTCCTATGTTTGGCTTACATTGTGATACACACCCCCCTACAATCCCCCCCAAACACACACACCCACCCACACACCCACCTTTCAGACTGCCTTGTGAGGACAGGGATCTTGTTGTCTTCATAGCCTAGCCTCTAGTATACATAGTGCTTGTCATGGAGTAGACGCTTCATAGTAAATCTGCATTGTATTTTCACAGCTGTAGGCATAAATGGATGTAACCCAGAGATTCACTCAAGTTACCTATCCCATGCCCTTTTCTAGATTGGAGCACTCCCCGAGGTTTAGATTCTCATCATCAGTTCTGCTGTGGGACTCACATTTCCCTTTCTATGTTTTTTCTCTTTTTGCTCTGTTCTTGAACTAGCTTGGAATTTGGCTCCTTTTCCTTGGTTTCCACTATAACAACAGTGAGAACAAAGTATACACAAAGCTATTTGTGTGCACAGCAGATTGGACTTGGAAGGTTTGGGGTGGGGAGGGTATATTATATTACAGCAATACAGGTAACTTAAAATCTAATGGTGTTAGGTGTCTTTGGTCTTAAATGACCTTTGCTACCCTGCCATGGTACCTCCTTTCCTTCTGCTCTTGCTGCTCTTAACGAGTCCCCAAACAAGCTTTTCTCATTTTATTTTGCAACGTAATTCAGCTCTCCAGCTGCACCTCTACATGCTGTTCAGGGCTGCTTCTGCCCACCCCAAGGCTGAGGAGCAGGCCCTTCTAAACTATGGGCAAGCTTTCTGGTTCTCTAGTAGGACCAGATCCCACTGTGAACAGGTATTGTTAGCCCAAAGACTTATTTCCCCACCCCACATCTTTTTTCAGAAGACAGAAGCAAGCACTATCAGTTTTGGTTTTAATTAAGTTTCTTTCTGTGATATTACTTCTTCTAGGTAGGTTTTGACTTTACTAGACCAATTGCTGTTAATTTGATGGTCTAACTAGTAATTTTCTACCCCTAGTTTAACATGTTGAATGTTGACCAGGTGCAGTGTCTTACGCCTGTAATCCCCGCACTTTGGGAGGCTTAGGTGGGTGGATCACCTGAGCCCTAGAAGTTTGAGACCAATCTGGGCAACATAGTGAAACCCTGTCTCTACAGAAAATTACAAAAATTAGCCAGGCATGGTGGCACGTGCCTGTAGTCCAGTTACTTGAGAAACTGAGGTGGGAGGGAGGATCGCCTGAGCCCAGGAGATTGAGGCTGCAGTGAGCCATGATTGCACCACTACACCCCAGTCTGCGCAACAAAATGAGACCCTGTCTCAAAAAAACAAAAAACCTATGCTTAAGTGAGCACCTGCATTGACTTCCAGTCCTGATCCTGAAATCAGGATTCCCTGAAGGTTGTTGGAAAGTGATCTGGGGGTAGGGTTTTTTCCCAGAGGTGATACGTGCTCAGGGATGAGATTTGCTGACCCTCCTGTGTGTATTTGGGCAGGGAGAAGGGTCCAGCTGTAACAAACAGCTGTTCTTGTATATAAGGGGGAAGCAAGTCTGGAGAATTGACAATTTCTCCTGTGGACTAGAATTGGAGACATATTTTGAGTGCTGTGTTTCATCTGACTGTATCTTCCTGCCCTTGGGTGTGCTTCTGGGCACTGGCTACTGACCTTTTGCCTTGGGGACCCGACCGTACTTATGGTTCTGTTAAAGTTGGAGGGTGTCCAGGTTCTTGGCATCTTCAACAAAGAATTGGACAAAATGCACAAAGCAAGGAAGGGACGAAGGGATTTATTGAAAATGAAAGTACCCTCCACAATGTGGGAGCGGTCCCAAGCATAGGAGCTCAAAAGGCCCCGTTGCAGAGTTTTGGGGAATTTAAATACCCCCTAGAGGATTCCATTTGTTATTTTGGGTACGCTGTATGTAAATGGAGAGGTTGAAGTAAAGTTACAAAGTCATTTGCGGCCTATGACCTATGGAGAGGATATTTCCTGTTATAGCTGAAGAGTGAATTGGCCTTATGTTCCCTACCTCCAGACCCAATTTTCCTGCCTCAGTTCTGAGTTATGAGGTTTAACTGATTGGGTCACATTGGATCCTGTACCTTCTCCCTCATTGAAGAGCAAACTGCATTCCTGATTGATAGACCAGCATGGGCCATTATTATACAGGGATTTTCTAAAAAGCTCTTTTTCTTTTTTTAAATTTATTTAAACTATTTTTTCCTCATTATGACTGGAAGGATAAAAGATATTTTTCTATATCAGCTTCTCAAGAACAGGGAATGGGTAATGTCCAGTACGTCATCTTTCTAAGGCCATAGCCAGCTTGTCTTTTCAGTAACAGCCAGCCCCACTGTTTAGTGGTCACCACCAGACCCAGGGCTCCCTTTGTTTTTCTGATGCTGACCACATTTTTTTTTTTTTTGAGACGGAGTCTCGCTCTGTCGCCCAGGCTGGAGTGCAGTGGCGGGATCTCAGCTCACTGCAAGCTCCGCCTCCCGGGTTCACGCCATTCTCCTGCCTCAGCCTCCCGAGCACCCGCCACCACGCCTGGCTAATTTTTTGTGTTTTTAGTAGAGAGAGGGTTTCAATGTGTTAGCCAGGATGGTCTCGATCTCCTGACCTTGTGATCCGCCCACCTCAGCCTCTCAAAGTGCTGGGATTAGAGGTGTGATCCACTGTGCCCGGCCTTTTTTTTTTTTTTTTTTTTTTCCTTTTTTCTTTTTTTTGAGACAGAGTTTCACTTTGTTGCCCAGGCTGGAGTGCAATGGCGCAATCTTGGCTCACTGCAACCTCTGCCTCCTGGGTTCAAGCGATTCTCCTGCCTCATCCTCCCAAGTAGCTGGGATTACAGGCGTGCACCACCATGCCTGGCTTCTTTTTTGTCTTATAACTTCTGTTTTTTTTTCCCCCCTCTCCCTCCAAACTCCATCACTTTTCCTTTTGTACTTCTACAGAAGCCTGATCCTTTAAAAATTATCTGGCTGGGCGCGGTGGCTCACACCTGTAATTCTAGCACTTTGGGAGGCCGAGGCGGATGGATCACCTGAGGTCAGGGATTCAAGACCAGCCTGGCCAACATGGCAAAACCCCGTCTCTACTAAAAATACAAAAATTAGTCGGGCGTGGTGGTGCATGCCTGTAATCCCAGCTACTGGGGAGGCTGAGGAAGGAGAATTGCTTGAACCTGGGAGGTGGAGGTTGCAGTGAGCTGAGATTGTGCCACTGCACTCCAGCCTGTGTGACGGGAGCGAGACTCCATCTCAAAAAAAAAAAAATTTCATATGCGGCTAATATGAAACACATTTTATATACTGGGACAGAAGGAACCATAGGCTGTCACTTGTTTTAAGCAACAATATGACACCCCCTGTCTGATTCAGGATGTTATTCAATATTTGAGGAAAGTCTTTGTGAGTGGGTGGTCCTCATGACTCCAGAGGCTCCTCTGTGTGTGTGTATGTGTGTGTTTTTCAACATGACTGCAGAAACATGTTGTGGGAAGGTAATTTATGTGATTTCAGAAGACTGTTTGATTCCCAGGGGGTGTTTTTGTTTGTTTGTTTCTTTTTAAAGGATAGGAATATGTGATTCTTATTCTACCTGGGATTCTTTTTAATCAAACCTGTTTTTATGACATAAACAAAAAAAAAGTCTGTTGGCTTGGAAACTACCTGATTTACAGTGAAATTAAAAATAAATGCCTTGGCCAGGTGTGGTGGCTCACACCTGTAGTCCCAGCACTTTGGGAGGTGAGGTGGGTGGATCACCTGAGGTCAGGAGTTCGAGACCACCCTGGCCAATGTGGTGAAATCCTGTCTCTACTAAAAATACAAAAATTAGCTGGGCATGGTGGTGGGCACCTGTAGTCCCAGCTACTCGGGAGGCTGAGGAATGAGAATCACTTGAACCGGGGAGGCGGAGGTTGTGGTGAACCGAGATCACACCACTGCACTTCAGCCTGGGTGACAGAGCAAGACTCTGTCAAATAAATGAATGAACGAATGAATGAATGAATGAATGCCTTTCAGCCGTGCACAGTGGCTCACACCTGTAATCCCAGCACTTTGGGAGGCCAAGGTGGGTGGACCACTTGAGCCCAGGAGTTTGAGACCAGCCTGGGCAACATGGCGAAACCCAGTCTCTACAAAAAGTACAAAAATTAACCAGGCATGGTGGCCCAGCTACCCCAAACGCTGAGGTGGGAGGATCACCTGAGCCTGGGAGATCAAGGCTGCAATGAGCTGTGACTGCACTGCTGCACTCCAGCCTGGGTGACAGAGTAACACCCTGTCTCAAAAATAAAATAAAATAAATGTCTTTCAACCTGGGGAAGCCGATTGAAAAGGTAAATAAATTTACCTTATTTATTTTTCAAAATAAATTTACCTGTCCTTTCATTTTCTTATTTTTTTATTTTAAGCTTTATTCCCCTAATACTTACTCTTGGCATATATATATATATATGTGTGTGTGTGTGTGTGTGTGTGTGTGTGTGTGTGTGTATGTGTGTATATATATGTGTATATATATGTGTGTATATATATGTGTATATATATGTGTATATATATATGTGTATATATATGTGTGTATATATATGTGTGTATATATATGTGTGTATATATATGTGTATATATACACATACATACATACACACACATACATACATATATATACACACATACATATATACATACACATACATATATACACACACATACATACACACACATACATACATATATACACGTGCATATATATACTTATAATTTTTATATGTACAATTTTATATATATGTACACACATACACACACACATATATACACATACACACACATACACACACACACACACACACACACACACACACATATATATATATATAAATTTTTTTTTCTGAAACAGGGTCTCACTTTATCACCTAGACTGGAGTGCAGTAGTGTGGTCTTGGCTCACTGCAACCTTGACCTCCCGGGTTCAAGCGATCCTTCTGCCTTGGCCCCCCAAGTAGTTGAGACTACAGGTGCATGCCACTACACCTGGTGCATTTTTGTATTTTTTGTAGAGATAGGGTTTTGCCATGTTGCCCAGGCTGGTCTCAAACTCCTGAGCTCAAGCGATCCGCTTTGGCCTTCCAAAGTGCCAGGATTACAGGTTTGAGCCACCTTGCCTGGCCTGGCTTATAATCTTTTTTTTTTTTCCTTAAGTGCTAACTGCGAGTTAATGGTTTATAATATTCCTAATCCTAATTCTATACCATTGTCGCTGGGTGCAGTGGTTCACGCCTGTAATCTCAGCACTTTGGGAGGCCGAGGTGGGCAGATCACTTGAGGTCAGGAATTGGGGACGAGCCTAGCCAACATGGTGAAATCCTGTCTCTACTAAAAAAAATACAAAAATTAGCCTGGCATAGTGGGGCCTGTAATCCCAGCTACTTGGGAGGCTGAGGTGGGAGGAACACTTGAACCAGGAGGTGGAGGTTGCAGTGAGCTGAGATCGTATCACTGCACTTCAGCTTGGGTGACAGAGTGACTCCATCTCAAAAAAAAAAAACCAACAAAAAACAGCAACAAACCAATTCTATACCATTGTTCACAGATTAGCCCCTACTAGAATGCCCTCTTTCTCTTTTTTTTTTTTTGCTATCTCATTATTTTATATCATTCTAGACCAGTTTGAGCCTCATATCCCCACAAAACTTACTCTAGCATATCCTCAACTACACAGCTGCCTGTGTTCTAGGCCCTTTGTGAGAATTAGGCGAACTGTGGTACAGTCATTGCCCCAGAATCACTTTTGAAGTTGGTGGTGAAACCATAAAAGCAATAAAGGTAATTAACTACATTGTGCATTTTCCCCAGATTATTTATTGCATGAACAACATGAAAACGTGGGGATTAAATCACCTTCTACCCTGCCACAGCAACTGATTTCATTTATCTATGTTTCTTTGCAGTGCTTGTTCGTATACATTCATTTTTCCCCCATAGGTAATACAATATAATTCATTTGCACCTGAGAGTGTTTGTCAAAATTTCTGATACCTATAAGTGTGTGTGACTTTGGATAAGTCACTTCTCCTGAGACCCAGTTTCTCCGTCTAAACCAGGGGTTTAGACTACATGTCCTGTAAGGCAATAATCATGAAAATATCTTCTGTTGTGGAGTATTTCACAGTTGCTTGAACATTTGTATTGTTATTCTTTACCATAACTACATGGGATTGAGTGGAATATGATATTCCTTTTTTACGGATTGGGAAACTGAAACTGAGGTAGCCAAAGAAAACACTCTTAGGTGAAAATGAATTATATTGTAGTACCTATGACGGGAAAAAAATGAACGTATATGAACAAGCACTGGAAGGAAACATAGATAAATGACTTTAAGGTTGACTTTTTATCTCTGGTTTTTAGCAGTTTGACTATGATGTGTCTAGGTGTGGGATTTTTCTTTTTTTAAGTATTGCTTAGGGTGCCCTGTGTTTTTTCGATCTGGATGTTTGTTGTTTTTTGTTAATTTTGGGAAATTCTTGGCCTTTATCTCTTCAAGTATTTCTTCTGTCCTGTTCCCTCTTGTTCATCCAAGACCCCAACTACATATATGTTAGACGATTGGATCTTGTCCTACAACTCTTGGATGCTCTGTTCTGATTTCTTTTATTCTTTTTTTTTGCTTTAGTTTGGTTAATTTCTTTTTTGTTTTTTTGTTTTTTTGAGACAAGCTGGTCCCAAAGTCTGGGCCTCAAGTGGTCAAGCTGGTCTCAAACTCTGGGCCTCAAGTGGTCCTCCTGCCTTGGCCTCCCAAAATATTGGTATTACAAGCATGAGCCACCGTGCCCAGCCTCCATTTAAAAAGTTCTGTCGACCTATCTTCAGGGTCACTGATTGTTCCCTCAGCTCCATGTAATCGGCTAATGAGCCTGTTGACCTCTGATGCCACGTTTTTAAAATTTCTAGCATTTTAATTTGATTCTATTTTTAGTTTTCACCTTTGCTGAAATTCCTCATTTGTTCATACATGTTGTCACCTTTAACATATTAATCATAGTTATTTTAAGGCCTCTGTCTGATAGTTCCAACATCTGGGTCATCTGAGTCTGGTTCTGTTTATAGCTTATCTCTTGATAAGGTTGTTCCCCCCCATCCCACTTCCCAACCCTTCTTGATTTTTGTGTTTTTCTTTCCTTTTTTTTTTTTTTGAAACAGAGTCTCACTCTTTTCACCCAGGCTAGAGTACAGTGGTGCAATCTTGGTTCACTGCAACCTCCCTCCCGGTATTAAGCAATTCTTCTGCCTTAGCCTCCTGAGTAGCTGGGATTACAGGTGCCTGCCACCATGCCAGGCTAATTTTTTTTTTTTTTTTTTTTGAGATGGAGTTTCACTCTTGTTGACCAGGCTGGAGTGCAATGGCGCAATCTCGGCTCACGGCAACCTCTGCCTCCCAGGTTCAAGTGTTTCTTCTGCCTCAGCCTCCCGAGTAGCTGGGATTACAGGCATGCACCACCATGCCCGGCTAATTTTGTATTTTTAGTAGAGATGGGGTTTCACCATGTTGGTCAGGCTGGTCTCAAACTCCCAACCTCAGGTGATCTGCCCACCTTGACCTCCCAAAGTGCTGGGATTACAGGTGTGAGCCACTGTGCCCCACCCATGCCTGGCTGATTGTTTTATTTTTAGCAGAGATGGGGTTTCACCATGTTAGCCAGGCTGGTCTGGAACTCCTGACCTCAGGTGATCCACCTGCCTTGGCCTCCCAAAGTGCTGAGATTATGGATGTGAGCCACCGCACCCAGCCATGTCTTGTGCATTTTTTTTTTGAGGTGGAGTTTTTCTTTTGTTGCCCATGCTGGAGTGCAATGGTACTGTCTTGGCTCACTGCAGCCTCTGCCTCCTGGGTTCAAATGACTCTCCTGTCTCAGCCTCCTGAGTAGCTGAGATTACAGGCATATGCCACCATGCCCAGCTAATTTTTATATTTTCAGTAGAGGTGGGGTTTCGCCATGTTGGCCAGGCTGATGTCGAACTCCTGACCTCAAGTGATCTGCCTGCCTCGGCCTCCCAAAGTGCTGGGATTACAGGCATGAGCCACCGTGTCCAGCCCGTGTCTTGTAATTTTTGATTGAATTTTGGATATTATGTGGTAGAACAGAGAATTAGGTAAATTGTCTTTATCCTCAGAAATGGGCATGCTTTTCTGTCATGCTGTTAGTTTGTGTTAGGCTGTTAGCCAGATTTGAGCTGGGTTTGGGCTTTCTTTTTAATATTAACTTAAATGCATCACATGCTTCAAATTTCTCCAGTAATGGGTTTTTATCTTGCACTTAGCGGGGAGCCTGAGTTGCATACATTTATTTTTTTTCTCAGTCTTTCTACTGCTTCTTCAGCTCTGAACTGTCCCTTAATCCTTTGCCACAAAGGGACTCTTTCTCTACACTCTTGCCCCTTTCCTAGGGGTAAGCTGCAGTTGCTTTTTAGTGGTTCTTGGCTTGAAGTAGAGGTAGGGAGGTTCTCATTGTCTTGATCCAATCTCAATCTTTTTTTTTTTTTTTTTTTTTTTGCGATGGAATTTCACTCTTGTTGCTGAGGCTGGAGTGCAGTGGTGCAATCTCGGCTCACTACAACCTCTGCCTCCTGGGTTCAAGCGATTCTCCCGCCTCAGCCTCCCGAGTAGCTGGGATTACAGGATGTGCCACCAAGCCCGGCTAATTTTGTATTTTTAGTAGAGACAGGGTTTCTCCATGTTCGTCAGGCTGTTCTCAAACTCCCAACCTTAGGTGATCTGCCCGCCTCGGCCTCCTAAAGTGCTGGGATTACAGGCATGAGCCACTGTGCCCAGCCTCCCGTCTCCATCTTTAGCAGACCCTGTGAGTATAGACCTTGGGTTTGGGGTTTTCCCAGCATTCTTTCCCTTCCTGTGTATGGCAGCCAGACTTTGCCTTGTATCTGCGGCAGGTCTTGGGCAGGAGAAAGTTTTGTATACCTCCTTCAGCAGTTAGTAGACTTTTGCTTTCTGTTGGTGTTGAGCACAGCTTTAGGCTTAGATTCTTCATCAACTAGGAGAAGCTGTGCTTCAATACAGTTATTCGTTTGCATGGTTCCTAATGTGCTTCACTCAATTTAGCAGAATTTTTTTTTTTAACCTCTTCCTTGACGCTAGCTGCTTGTGCAAATCACATCTTGGCCGCCTACTCTTCTTCACTTGCTGACAGATGTGTAGGTGAGAAAAGTCTCATAGTCATTGTTCCTGAAAGAAGCTTCCAGACCCACTTCTAGGGCCAGTGACATATGCAGGAAATCAGCTGCTTCTGGGCCAGGACAGAGCTGGTCTTTTTTTTAGTGGGGGATGGCGGGCAGTGGGGCAGGGGACATTCAAAATTTATTTTCCAACAGACAGATAGCATCAGCAGGTACAACTACAAGGGTATCTACATAGATCATACATTCACAAGGCATTATTAGTTCAACAGTGAGAAAGCCACTCGTGGGTTTTCTGTAACAATATCCCACTTCATAGTGTAAACAGGTACTATTTTGTTCACTTACAATTCCGGAAGGAAGGGCACACCTTGCAGGGGGGAAGAAAAGGGGAATCCTAAAGTAAGGTGCAACAATTAAGAGACAACACTTTGGCTAACAATCTTGGATCCACATTTCAGTCAGGGCCTTCCACATAGAGGGGAAAGACTTTTCTCTCAGAAGTTAGAATCTTTCTTCCTCCTTTCTTGTTAAACTGAGAGCAGTGTTTTGTTTGCTCAATATTACATGTACAAAAGGAGATTAGAAGAAAATGCATCACAAAACCATCTTGAACGTTCAGCTCTTCCTGCCAATACATCACAACTCTTAGGTTTTAGACGGGGCCTGGGAATACGTAAGTGTTTTTTCTTTTTTTTTTTTTTTTAAGTGAAAGCAAGTTTATTACGAAAGCAAAGGGATAAAAGAATGGCTGCTCCATAGGCAGAGAGCAGCCCAGTAATCTTAAAATAGGAAAATAGACACTATGGCTACAAAAAATAAAAAATAAATGAGGTAGATAAAATTTTCACACCCAGGACTTGCCTGTTCCAACTTCATAGCCTTCATGAAATATTCATCAAGAAGACAAAAAAAAAAAAAACCTTTATAATTACTTGGCATAAGTCGCAACAAGAAAATTCAACAAAAAAATTAGCATGTATACCTGTGATAGGAAACACATCCTTCCATGAGTTTCTTCTCAAGAATGAAAACCTAGTTCTTCAGTAGAGTAGGCACTGGCAAACTAAGTCACCTGAGATTTCCTGCTCAGGTGCCCTCTTCTTCTGGGGTTCAGGAAGAGGAAGGCATCTAAGAAGTGTGGGAAAGGACATTGGCACTCTCAGGGCAGAGCTGGTCTTTCACATTGTGGTGAAACTACTAGAAAGAAGAAAAACATGCTTGTGGCTACTCTGTGCCTGCGAAATAGGTGTGAAGCCTTTAGGAGTCAGAAGACCTGGGTTCAACTCTAATAGTCACTTACTCTGTGAACTTGTGCAAGTCACTTCTCTGTAGTTTTTCTTACAGTTAAAACTTTAAAGTTTTGTCCAGTGCTAAAATTCTCTAATCCTAACATATCCTTCTGTAGTGTTACAAGGATAGAACTCTCCAGGTAAATACCAAGGCTGTGCTTTTCTGCAAGCATAGTGGTTAGCTTCTCGTGTTATATGGTTTGAAGCCCTAGTTGTTACTTCTTGCCTGCATATAAACCCCATTGACGATGATCTCATTTTGTTTTTCCTTTGAGAATAAATTGATTGTTTTGTCTTCCCAGGTCTTTGAGAATGCGTAAGTTCCGGCACTAGAAGGCCCTCAGTAAAGTAACTAAAGGAGTATATACAGCTAAGGGCAATTTAAGTCAAAATGTGATAATAAGTAAAAAGTGGTTGTAGAAATTAAATGAGAGTGAAATATTTTTTTAAAAGTTGGAATCATCTAAATGCTAAATGCATATTTAATATTGTTTTGCTACTGTAATCTAATTAGTTAAAAAGAATAACATTTGGGCTGGGGGTGGTGGCTCATGCCTGTAATCCCAGCACTTTAGGAGGCCGAGGCGGGCAGATCACGAGGTCAGGAGATCGAGACCATCCTGGCCAACACAGTGAAACCCCGTCTTTACTAAAAATACAAAAAATTAGCCGGGTGTGGTGGCGGGCGCCTGTAGTCCCAGTTGCTCAGGAGGCTGAGGCAGGAGAATTGTGTGAACCCAGGAGGCGGAGCTTGCAGTGAGCCAAGATGCACCACTGCACTCCAGCCTGGGTGACAGAGCAAGACTCCATCTCCAAAAAAAAAAATAATAATAATAACATTTGATAGTATTTATTGAGCACCTACTGTGAGCTAGATGAGTGTGGGTGAGCTCCTTTAGTCTCCTGACAACCCCAAGATGTGTTTACTACTGTTAGCCCCATTTTACTGATGAAAAACCTGAAGCTTAAGGCTTTTAAGAAACCTCTCTGGCCAGGCATGGTGGCTCACCCCTGTAATCCCAGCACTTTGGGACGCTGAGCCTGGCGGATCCCAAAGTCAGGAGTTAGAGACCAGCCTGGCCAACATGGTGAAACCCTGTCTCTACTAAAAATACAAAAATTAGCCGGGCGTGGTGGCAGGCACCCATAAACCCAGCTACTTGGAAAGCTGAGGCAGGAGAATCGTTTGAACCCAGGAGGTGAAGGTTGCAGTAAACCGAGATTGCGCCATTGCATTCCAGCCTAGGCAACAGGGCAAGACTCTGTCTCCAAAAAAAAGAAACCTCTCCAACTTGACGTGGCTATTCAGTGGCCAAATAGGGCTTCATACCCAGATAGCCTGACTCCCAGGTTCGGGTCAGGGTACATTTTTATGTATCATAAAAGCATAGTTGATGAATTCTCAGAAACCGAACACACCATATAACCAGCCCTCAGATCAAGAACAGGGCATTACTAGCACCCAGGAATTCCCCTCCTTCCCTATATTAGGGTTCACCAGAGAAACAGAACCAACAGCAGTTGTGCGTGTGTGTGTGTGTGTGTGTGTGTGTGTGTGTGTGTGTGTGTGTGTGTGTGTGTATGAGAGGGTTATTGATGTTTATTTTAGGGAATTGGCTCATGTGATTATGGAGGTCTGGTAAGCCTAAAATCTGCAGGGATAAGCCAGCAAGCTGAAGACCCAGGGTAGGGTTGCATGCGGTTCAAGTCCAGAGGCAGGCTACCAGCAGAATTCCTTCTTTTGGGCAGGTCAGTCTTTGTTCTCTTAAGGTTTTCAACTGATTGGCTGAGGCCCATTCACATTATGGAGAGTAATTCACTTTAAGTTTACCAATTTAAATGTTAATCTCATCCAAAAAACCCCCACAAAAACCAAAAACATTTTCACAGAAACACCATGGCCCAGCCAAGTTGACACGTAAAATTAACCATCACACACCCCCTCTTAGTTACTTCCCCCTGAAGGGTAATCACTTTCCTAATTTATAATTGCAAAGATTAGTGTTGCCCTTTTTTGAATTTTCTTTCCTTTTTTTTTTTTTTTTTTTTTTTTTTGAGACAGGGTCTCATTGTCACCCAGGCTAGAGTGCAGTGACGCGATCTTGGCTTACTGCGACCTCCGCCTCCCAGGCTCTGGTAATTCTCTCACCTCAGCCTCCTGAGTAGCTGTGATTACAAGCACACGCCACCACGCCTGGCTAATTTTTCTATTTTTTGTAGAGATGGGGTTTCACTATGTTGGCCAGGCTGGTCTCAAACAACTGGGCTTAAGTGATCCTCCCGCCTCGGCCTCCCAGAGTACTAGGATTACAGGTGTGAGCCAGCATGCCTGGCCTTGAATTTTTGACAGATGGAATGACATAGTGTATTAGTCTGTTTTCACACTGGTTTATAAAGAACTGCACAAGACTGGGTAATTTATAAAGTAAAGAGGTTTAATTGAATTACGGTTCTTTATGGCTGGGGAGGCCTCAGTAAACATACACTCACGGCATAAGGCAAAGGGGAAGCAAGGACCTTCTTCACATGGTGGCAAGAGAGAGAAGTGCCAGTAGGGGAAATGCCAGACACTTATAAAACCATCAGCTCTCATGAGAATTCACTCACTGTCACAGGAACAATGTGGGGAAAACTGCCCCCATGACTCAATCACCTCCCTCTCTCAACACATGGGGATTACAATTTAAGATGAGATTTGGGTGGGAACGCAGAGCCAAACCATATCATATAGTACATACTCTTTTCGTGCCTGGCTTCTTTCACAGAGCACATATACACATTCCTAGAATTTGATTTCCTATAGGTAGTTGAACAGCCTCTCCTAGAGTAACCTGAAGGATTGAGGTATGGGAAGGTATAGAACGCCTTCCCCAAGATGTTGACTGGGGCTGTCCCTTGCCACTGGGTCTGCACTGCGGCGCCCCCCCCCCCCCCGTCCCCCCCAACACAGATGGGCTAGCCTGGGGTGGAATCTGGAAGTTGGTAAGCTGTGCTTTTGGCACTCTCTGCCTTCCTCTTTCAGGTCCATTCTCCTTTCCTGTCTTACTACTCCTTATACGCCTAACTCTCAATCCTCAGCCATCCATGGTTTGACTGTTCAGAGACCCATGGTGCCAGTTCTTTTTGTTCTCATATTGCCCCCTGTCCATTGAAGCTCCTCAGCCCCTCAACTTGAACACGCCCCCGTTCTTATTCTGTACCTCCTCAGATTACTGTCACATTGACGGACTTGAACCTCAGAGATAGACAACTTTTCCCTTCCCTCCTCTCCTCCTTCCCATATACTTTTCTTATGGATATGGAACTGAGGACCAGAAAGGAAGGTAACTTACCCAAGATCTCACAGATGGGTAAATAGGGGTAGAAGGTGTGGATCAAGGGATTGTATGCAGCCTTTATCTCTAGGTGCTGGTCTCTCTTACCTTGGGTCTGTCTCTTTTGCCTCTCCTTTCCTCTTTCCCTGCTACTTGACTTGTTTCCTACCCTGGTAGCATTCCTGCTTGCCAGATGCCACAGGGGAAGGAGAACTTTACAACTCCCTGGGCTCTCTGGTAAGAACACCCACCTGCACGGGGACCCTTCCTCTCCTTCCTACAGTGATTGGTTGTCATCCTCTTCCCTTCCTGCAGTGTACCCTCCTGGCAGAGGCAAGGCTGCCATCGAGGCTAGAGCAAGGCTCAGATTGGGTGGCATGCAGTTGTGGCCTATTTCTGTTTGCTGTGTGGCAGTTTGGAGATCCCATTTCTTTTTCTGGATATCACCCCCCTACCTCCTCCTGTCATTCCTTAGGCCAGCCTCTAAATTCAGTGACCATCAGGGTTGAAAAGGGCAGTGTGGGGCCTAGAAAGGAGCTCTCTCCTAGGAGTTAGGAGACCTGCCAGCAGTGAACTGTGTGAACTTGTCCCTTTGGGCCTCAGTTTTCTCATCTGTAAAATGAGAATTGGATAAGTTGGTCTTCAAGGTCCCTCCCTGAGATACATTTTATGCTGCTGCTTGATTTAAACCACTGAGCCACAAATGAAAGGTTCCAGTTGCAACAGTGTAATTAGGCTTAGCAGATGGGTGAGATGAAAGGAAGGACATGTTCTTGCCCATAGGATTATCCTTTCCCACCCATTTCCTTGCACCTCACTGGTGTTTCCAAAAAGCAAATGACAACCCTTGTTTTTCTCTGCATTCCCATTCAAACCTTTAATCTTCTTTTATCTTGATGAACTTGTATTTACCGTTAGACAGCCATGATGCAGAATTCACATTACAGTGTGTGGTTCTAACTCTGCCATGGTGAATGTGATGGAGGTTGGAGCCGATCACAGCTGGTCCCTGGAGAGAGGGCTGTGTGTGTCAGATTTATTGTGCTGCAGCTCCAGTTTTGTTTTGGTTTAGTTTTTAAATCCCCAGTGTCAGTTTTGCTGATTTCAGTTAAAACTAAAGATTGTGAAGGGAGACAGAGACAGGTTCATGCCCTCTGAGTTTTAGAGATTGGTGATATAGTCGTTGGGTGAGGGCCCTCTGTCTTATATCCTTTGCTTAAAACATTTCACCTTGGAAAGGCAGAAATTAGCCTTGTTGAACTTCAACTCCCTCTGCAAGAGGAAGAAATACTGAATACTGTTTCATTATTGATATCTTTTTAATGAGTACTGAAAGCCACTACAGGATCTTTGTTTCACCTTCAGATAAAATGTTTCATCTTTCATTCTCTGAAAAAAAAAATTGAGTATTTTAAGAATAATTAAAGGAAAGGCAGTAGTTTCTGGATCCTGCCGTTGCTGCCTTGGCCTCTCCTGCCTTTTCTCCACTTCCACTCCTCTCCCTCTATATTAGTGTAGAAATGTGTCAAAAATTTCTTGCTTCTTCCATTAGTTTCTATTTTGACCCACCCCAGTGAATGAAATAAGCATAGAATTGTTACTTCTATTTTACAGAAGAGAAATTCTTATTTTTTTGTTGTTTTTATTTTTAAGTTCAGGGGCACATGTGCAGGATGTGCAGATTTGTTAACATAGGTGGACCTGTGCCATGGTAGTTTTCTGCACAGATCATCCCATCACCTAGGTTTTAAGGCCAGCATCTATTAGCTATTCTTCCTGATGCTCTCTCTCCTCCCCCACTGACAGGCCCCAGTGTGTGTTGTTCCCGCCCCTGTGCCCCTGTGTTCTCACCATTCAGTTCCCACTTACTAGTGAGAACATGCGGTATTTGGTTTTGTATACCTGCGTTAGTTTGCTGAGAATAATGACCTCCAGCTCCACCCATGTTCCCGCAAAGGACGTGATCTCGTTCCTTTTTATGTCTGCATAGTATTCCATGATATATAGAGGAGAAATCTGAAATGTGGCAAGGTTAAGTGACTTGTCCATGGTCACACAGCTGGTTGATGAACAATTTGTGATAAGAATCCAGGACTCTTGAATACTAGTGATTTGTCAACACGATTCCATCTCCAGTCCTCATCCATACACACCTGCCATTAGGAAAGTCTTTACCACCCCAGCCTATAGTCTTTGTCATTTCTCTCACTGGCCAGCTTCTGAAAGTACAGGTCAGAAGCCAGTTCATTAGCTGGTAGGGTGGGTGGTTAAACGGCAAGGCATAGGAGGTAGAGGAGGGAGAAAGGAAGCACAAAGCTCAGGCTTAGTTTTTCCTCCAGAAGGTGTAAGAATTACTTATTTCAAAGAGTCAGAAAAGTGAACAGAGTCAGCATTCCCTTTTCCTTTGCAAATTGATTGAATTTCTATGGCGAGTATTAGCTGCAAGGCAGTGTTAATCTGCTCCAGCAGATCCATCATCAGATTGATGTGCAGGGGAGACAGGATTGTCTCTGGTGCAAAGGCCTTTTTGTGTAGGGCACACCATCTTTATGTATGATTGAGGCCTGGTGTGTTAAATGCCTCACACTGGGATCTTACCCATGTTTGTCAGTTGCCTCCCTTGAAAGTATTGAGCTTTTTGAAGATAATATAGCATCATGGTTAAGGTAAGACATTCGTTCTCTCTGCCTGAATTTGAAACGTGGCTGTGCCACTTACCAGCTCTTTGACCTTTGACATCTTAGTTCACCTGTCTGTGCTTGAGTTTGCTCATCTGTTCTAATTAGGGGTTGTGGATTAAATGACTTAATAAATGTAAAGCACTGAGGAGAGTTACACAGTGTTGTGAGGAAAGCAGTTTTTCTTCCATGCAGCCCTCCTTCCATTCCCCCATCATGCACAGTGTGTGTGTGTGTGTGTGTGTGTGTGTGTGTGTGTGTGTGTTGACAGCTTTTCGAATCTGCATTTCTAGCTGGCCTGCTGAGCCTGTCAGGCAGCTGTAACCTCACTCAGGTTTTAGCTGTGGGGTCCATCTACATTTGACATGTGTTTCTAAATGTGGTCCTCAGTAAGCTCCTTTGTGGGGAGACCTTGGAGAAAGGAAACCAGAGAGTGTGCACTGTGCACCCCCAGCCACACATGTTCTGGGTTCCCACACCTTAGGGACTGGGGACACTGCAAGACATAGCCGAACCTTGGATGAAAATATTGAGTAGCTGCCTCAGTTTGCTTGGACTGCTATGATAACATATCATAGACTAAGTAGCTTAGACAACAATAGTTTATTTTCCCACTGTTCTGGAGGCTGAAAGTCTAAGAGCAGGGTGCCAGCATGGTTGGGTTTTGGCAAGAGCCCTCTTCCTGGCTTGCAGATAGCTGCCTTCCTACTGTGTGCTTGCATGGCCTTTCTTTGATGTGTGCAGCAGGTGGGGTGGGGGGAAAATCAGTGAGGAAAATCAGTAACCTCGGCCTTGCATCTTCTTTGGTCCCATGCATGATGTTATTTGTAAGGCAGTGTCAGATCTCCTCATACATGGAGAGGCATTAAGTCTTCATTTCCCTGTCTTCTAGAGGTTTGGGATAGAGGGTGTGAAGGAAGAGCAGATTATGCTTACTCTATCTTTTAAGCTCAGAACTGGGGTGTGTGTGTTGGCAGGAACACCAACATGATGATGTATAATGAAGGCCTATCTTGTCACCTGTGTCACTTCAGCCACCCCACACAATTGTCACTGACATGCTTCACCTCCCGGGACTTCAATTTGAAACCCAATGAAATCCAGTGAAACACAGTGGAAACTCTTACCACCTTCCTGTTAACCAACTCACAGGAGTGATGAACACTTTTCAGTTCCCTGGATGAAACACTCTTGAGCAATGCCCACAGCATGCTGAATGCACTGCAGGCAGGCTGCTCTCTGCCATACCCACTCGCTTCAGCACCCACTGGCTGAATTATGTGCTTACCAAGAGCCAGCTTGTTCCCAAACCCATTTGTTCAGCTGTAGCTGGTATTGTAGTTAAGTAATGTATTTAGGTATCAGATAAACTGATGAAATGTAGCTGCAAATGAAGTGATTTTTTTCCCCTATGAACACTAGTTAAAAGCTGTGGAAAGACTTATAAGTCCAAGTCACTAAAACACATTACTGTCAAACTAGATGAACATTAAGATTGGGGGAAATCATAAAACTCTAGAATTTTATATTGTGATTACTCTGCAAGTAATCACAATATAACTTTAACCAGCTTTAACAAATCAGGAATAGGAAATTGTCGACAATGTATTATGTTCTGGTCCATGTGCGAAGGATGATGTGGACCTCTTAACCAGTGGGTCCTCTTTGGACCCTTATTCAAAGAGTCTTGCCCTATGTTAAAGAATGGGCGAATGAATGCAGATTTATATACATTGAGTAAAAATAAGAATTTTAGATATGTAATTTTTATGATTTTTTGCTGTGACTTTTTTGATTAACCTGGTTCCTGGACCTGATTACATTGAAAATGAGGATTTCTACTGTTGTGATTCAGTTTAAAGTTGGTTTGATTTCATTTTAGTGAATTTAGGGTATTTTATTTTGCGTATGGTAAAAACAATAAAACCAACAGTAGTGGGGCTTTTTAAACTGGGGTTTTAAAGCAAATTAAGGTGGCTCATTCTGGATTTTAGTAGGTTCTTTTGTTCCTCTCATTGACTTGCAGCATACTGAGTGAGAAAGACCTAATTTTTTCACTTTATAAATGAGGAAATTGAAGCCCTGAGAGGTAAAGCATGTTGGTGATAGTCATCCCGGGTGGCTGGAGTGAAGTGGGCAGAGCCACAGTGGGAGGGGGCCTCCTCTCTAGCCTCCCACTTTGATTATCTGTCTGGCCCCAGACCTGGAGCTTTCTTTCCATGATAGGAGTACTTCTTTGGGTTGACTTCTCTGGTGACAGTATTGACTTGTGCTCCCCACTTTGGAACAGGACCAACTTGGAGGCCTTGCAGAAGAAGCTGGAGGAGCTAGAGCTTGATGAGCAGCAGCGAAAGCGCCTTGAGGCCTTTCTTACCCAGAAGCAGAAGGTGGGAGAACTGAAGGATGACGACTTTGAGAAGATCAGTGAGCTGGGGGCTGGCAATGGCGGTGTGGTGTTCAAGGTCTCCCACAAGCCTTCTGGCCTGGTCATGGCCAGAAAGGTGAGTTTGCCTTGATTAACAGGTAATTGGATTATTTCTCAGGGTACTTAGAAGCCTGGGGACCAGGGTAGAAGGAAGACTGATTTTACTCAATACCTTTTTGTGCTGTTTGAATTTTTTTTTTTTTTTAAGACGGAGTTTCATTCTTGTTGCCCAGGCTGGTGTGCAACCTCCATCTCCTGGGTTCAAACGATTCTCCTGCCTCAGCCTCCTGAGTAGCTGGGATTACAGGCATGCGCCACCATGCATGGCTAATTTTTTTGTATTTTTAGTAGAGACAGGGTTTCTCCATGTTGGTCAAGCTGATCTCGAACTCCTGACCTCAGGTGATACGCCCGCCTCAGCCCCACAAAGTGCTGGGATTACAGGTGTGAGCCACTGTGCCCAGCCGTGCTGTTTGAATTTTGAATGCTTGTTATCTATATTAGATTATGGATAAACACACTAATGACTGTGTTAGTGTATTAATCCCCATCCCATCTGGAAAATAATAAGTGACTCTTTTTTAGCCTTCTGTGTGCTGTGGAAGGAATGCCAGGATACCTGTTTATTACTTATCAAGTGCTGGAGAAGCTGCTTTCATTCACCCAGCCCCAGCGATGCACAAAACAAGGATTTCAAGTTGTTTCCCTCTTGTGCTCCAGCCCTGCCAGTGAATCCCCTTTATCTTCCTGCATTATAGCATCTGAACTCCTATCATAGCATGTACTTGTAGAGCTGGACTTCCCTTTCCTATCTACCCTTGGTCCTCTTTTGGAATACAGCCCCTTGCTCCAGAGAGGTTGGGCTCTTCAATGTTTTTTTGCACATGGTGTTCACTCCTGTGCCCATAATTTTTTTGTGTGCTGTTGCTTCTGTCTTTTCAAACAGTGCCCATTTTCTAGGTCCACCTCTTGTCTAGCTTTTACCAGGTGCCCCAGCCCACACTGGTAACCACTGCATCCATGTTCTCTGACACTCGCTGTCTGTGGGATTTTTTTAGAAGTTCAACCTTACTACGTAACTATTTAATGTGACTGTCACTTGTCTCCCCAGCTGGAACAAGGGAAAATGTTAGGATGACATAAGGTAGCACCTTAGACTTTGGCTTAGTCTCAACCACATCAGGCTCCTGAGCTCAAGGAAGAATCTTTTGGGCAGCCTAGGTTAGCATACCTGAGTTCCTCATACCCTTCTACTTTCACAACTCTTGAGTGTGAACCAAGTCCTCAAGGTCAATTTCTTTTCATATCTGAGCTCCAAAGCCTCTCTTGGAGTAAGCCCTCCCTTAACTTTGTTCCTGTCTAGGCTCCCAGGAGCCGAGGCACAGCTGGAACAGCCTCCAGTGCCAATGCCTGCCTTAGTACAATGACACTCATTTCTTGGTTGAGCAGAAACTTGTTTGTAACAACTTAACCTGTTTCTCCTCCCTCTACCTTAAAGAGCTTAAACATTTAACAAGACTATATCTTTCATCCCTTCCTCCCTCTTTCTTTCATAAAACCTCTCTTTCTTCCACCTTTCTCCAGCTAATTCATCTGGAGATCAAACCCGCAATCCGGAACCAGATCATAAGGGAGCTGCAGGTTCTGCATGAGTGCAACTCTCCGTACATCGTGGGCTTCTATGGTGCGTTCTACAGCGATGGCGAGATCAGTATCTGCATGGAGCACATGGTATGTGACACCCTCTCAGCCTCTGGAGCAATGGCCTTAAGAGTTGGGTGGCTCTGGCCTAATCTTTGGTCTGGGAGGTGACCAGCTACCTCCCTGCTGCTCCTGGGATCCACATCACTATCTGGGGCATCTGGGAAGTCTAACTGTAGAGCTTGGGATATTCACAAGATGGCAGGCCTCCTTTCTAGGTCCTTGCCTCTCTTGAAGGAAGTGGGCAGTATTCCTGGTGGGTGTACCTAGAGCACCTCTCATAGTTTTTTTGATTCTGATTACCCTAAGATGTGATGTAAGTAAAATCTGGTAAATACAGTTTAAATCCATTTCTTGTGTACAATGCTGTATGCTAGGTGCAAGGCTCTGGAGTTAAAAAGATGACATAATCTACTGTAAGGGCAGCCTGAAGGGTTTCTCTGGGTTTCTGTATGATGCACGTTAGTGGAAGGAGAGGGCAATGGAGAGAGAGGGCATTCATGGGCTAATTAATCATATGCATGTTAGCTGCCAATCATTTTACCACTATGTTCTTGGAGTCCCTCCTTTTCTTCAGATATAAGTCTTCCAACACACTGTGCAACTTAGGGAATTCTGCAAGTATTAGTCTTTGCTTTATTCTCCCTGGGCTGATGGCTTAGAGATGAGGGCTGACGTGAGTCTGCACACTTGGTGGCTGTTGTGCTTTCAGTCCAGTATTGTGTCTCTCAGCTCCTACCCCATTTTATTCCTGATACTTGAGACCTGCCCTGACCTTTAGAATAGGGATCCTGGTGTGCAGCCTTAATGAACTTTAGAAGAACCCTCCTGGGAGGATTCTCTACTTGTGCCTCCATTATTTTGAACCTCTCTTCATTGTAATGATCACGAAGTGCTGCATCCACTGTTATAGGCATCTGCTGACATTTGTGGGTGCCATATGGAACCTAAATCCTAAAAACGTCTTCTGCACATCTAAAGGTTAGAGAAAGTGCTTGTTCCTTCTTTCCTCAATGAGAGCAGAGCATTCTCTGTGGGAAGCATATGAACATTTCTGGCTTGGTCCTAGTGCTTGGCCTGGGGTGCTGATTATTTTCTGCTTGGGTCTTGGCTTCCCCTCAGGGAGCTGTTTCTTATCCCTTGGGTCTCTTGTGTTCTTTTTTTTTTTTTTTTAATTTATTTTTATTTTTTAGGGTGATGAAGGGTTTTTTTCCCCTTTCTTTTTTTTTCTTTTTGTTTTTTTAGACAGAGTCTCGCCCTGTCACCCAGGCTGGAGTGCAGTGGCGCGATGTCGGCTCACTGCAACCTCCACCTCCCAGGTTCAAGTGATTCCCCTGCCTCAGCTTCCAGAGTAGCTGGGATTACAGGTGCGCACCACCACGCCCCGCTAATTTTTTTCTATCATTACTAGAGATGGGGTTTCACCATGTTGGCCAGGCTGGTCTCGAACTCCTGACCTCATGATCTGCCCGCCTCGGCCTCCCAAAGTGCTGGGATTACAGGCATGAGCCACCGTGCCCAACCAATCTTTTTATTTTTCTTACATTGACCTCTTTTGAGATACTAGGAGGCTTCTTCATTTACATTGACCTTTTTTGAGATGCTAGGTGGCATCCTTATTCTGGAATTCTTTATTCACTTTGAACTTACAGATGTTGATCACATCTCTTGTGCCCTTGCCATGTCCTCCCCTTCCTTCAAGCCTTCCTCCTCCTTCAGGAGAAAATGACACTGGAAATGACTGGAGTTGGTTTCCCATTCTCTTAGCCCATTTCCAGTGACTGCAGGTCAGTTTTTCCCCCCATGGATTTGGCTCTCTGGAAATAGTGAGATGTTCCTGCACAAGTCTCTGGAGTTATCGTGGAGAGCATGAGACTGGGAGGGGAAAATGTTTCAAGGGCCAAGCACAGTGTCTGGCACCTGTTAGGTGGTATGTGTTGAGTGACTGAATGAGAGTGGCCAGGATGGGGAAGACCTGGTCAGGCTTGGGACTCGATGGGGGAGGGTTAGGCCTTGGAGCCTGCCATAGGACCTTTTGGCCCTGGGTGTACATAGACCCAGAGGGCAGCTAGAATAGTCAGTCAGTGGTAGTGAAGAGGCTCAGGTGCTGCCGGAGCGTCTAGATGGGACCATGTAGGAAGCAGCTGTGGCCTGAAGACCAGGCAGCCATGAGAGCCAGAGTGGCTTTCTGCTTCAGCTCTGGGCACTCTCAGCCCTTCCTTATTCCTGAGCAGGTCCTGTTGCAGGAAAGGCCCTGCCCTGGCTTCCTCTGGATGGAAAATTCTGACTATGGGCTGCTGCTTCCCTTGGACCTTCTGCTTTGCCTCAGCTTCAGTTTTTCAAAGGTGTTGTCAGGTAGAGAGACCTCTGTTCGATAGCCACATCCCAGCTTCTGAAGGTCTTTGGTCCTCTCTCTGTCACAGTCTTTGCATGAGTTTTGTGTCATGAATATTATTTTCCCAACACTTTATTATGAAAATTTTCACAGGCTGGGCATGGTGGCTTACACCTGTAATTCCAGCACTTTGGGAGGCTGAAGTGAGCGAATCACCTGAGTTCAGGAGTTCAAGACCAGCCTGGCCAACATGGTGAAAACCCATCTCTATTAAAAATTACGAAAATGGCCAGACACGGTAGCTCACACCTGTGATTCCAGCACTTTGGGAGGCTAAGGCGGGCAGATCACCTGAGGTCAGGAGTTCGAGACCAGCTTGACCAGCATGGAGAAACACCATCTCTACTAAAAATGCAAAATTAGCCAGGCGTGGTGGCACATGCCTGTAATCCCAGCTACTTGGGAGGCTGAGGCAGGAGAATCACTTCAACCCAGAAGGTGGAGGTTGTGGTGAGCTGAGATTGTGTCATTGCACTCCAGCCTGGACAACAAAGGCAAAACTCAGTCTCAAAAAAAAAAATTACAAAAATTAGCTGGCGTGGAGGCAGGTGCCTATAATCCCAGCTACTCAGGAAGCTGAGGCAGGAGAATCACTTGAAACCAGGAGGCAGAGGTTGCAGTGAGCTGAGACCACGCCATTGCACTCCTGCCTGGGTGACAAGAGCAAAACTCCATCTCAAAAAAAAAAAAAAAAAATTCTAGCATGCAGGAAAACCTGAAGGAAGTGTACACTCGTACACCCACCACCTAGATTCTACAACTTATGTTTTGAGATATTTGGTTTACCATATATCCATTTCTCCGATCAATTTTGGGGGGCGCGTGGGGTTCTGTTTTTGTTTGTTTGTTTTTGAGACAGGGTCTTGCACTGTTGCCCATGCTAGAGTACAGTGGTGCAATCTCAGCTCACTGCAACCTCTGCCTCCTGGGCCCAAGTGATCTTCCCACCTCAGCCTCCTGAGTAGCTGGGACTACAGGCACATGCCACTATGCCTGGCTCATTTTTGTGTTTTTAGAAGAAATGGGGTTTCACTATGTTGCCTGTGCTGGTCTTGAACTCTTGGGCTCAAGCAATCTGCCTGTCTCGGCCTCTCAAAGTGCTGGGATTAGAGGTGTGAGCCACCACGCCTGGCCCTGGGAATGTGTTTTAAAGTAAATTTGTGTCATCAGCATTGGTTGAGCCCTGTCTTCTAAAGCACTCAGCCAGGGGCTGATCTTTCCTAGAAATAAGCTCTGTGTGCACTGCCCAGTCTGAATTTTGAGACCCAAGGAGGGAAATTGATGCTCTCTGATCAGAACAGGAATGCTTTTATCTTTGGGGAAGTAGATTGCTGCTCAGGTTGGTAGCTGAGCCAACCGGAGAACTAGGGACCCAGAGTTAATGGTTCTTGTGCAGGAATAAAAGCTTTTGAACTGTTATTTTCATAAAGCATTTGTCTCTTCCATAGAAAACCTTCACAAAAGCACCATTGACTTAGTTAATAATTGGCTTCTAAAAATAAGCACAATTTCAGCAGCTTAAGGCAAGGACTTGGCAACAGTGAATTAGAATTAGAAAGTTGTATGGTTAGTTGCAGGCAACCCTGGGGAATCCTGACTGGTGTATGCCCCTTACATTTTGTAATTCCATCGTTCACACTATACTCTGCTTGAAGCTCTGTGGAGGTTAAAGGGAAGAGAGCCAATGTTTCCTTTTTGTTTTAAAATTAACTGATTAATTTTACAGATACGGTCTTGCTCTGTTGCCCAGGCTGGAGTGTGGTGGCATGATCATAGGTCACTATAACTTTGAGCTTCTGGGCTCAAGCAGTCCTCCCGCCTTAGCCTCCCAAGTAGCAGGAGGACAACAGATGTGCATCACCATGTCCAGCTAATTTTTATTTTTTGTAGAGATGGAGTCTCACTACTACGTGGCCCAGGCTGGTCTTGAACTCCTGGCCTCAAGCAATCCTCCTGCCTTGGCCTCCCAAAGATTTGGGATTACAGGCATGAGCCACTGCACCTGGTTTGTTTTTTCCTTTTTAATAGAGATATTTCTCTTACCAACCCCCAGGGGAAGTGTAAACCAAGACAGTTATCTGGGCTGCCCCCTGTCCTAGGCTGCATTTAGGGTCAGTTGAGAGGTAGTGCTGGCTGAGCACAGTGACTCACACTTGTAATCCCAGCACTTTGGGAGGCTGAGGCAGGAGAATTGCTTGAGCCCATGAGTTCGAGACCAGCCTGGGCAACAAAGTGAGACTCCCCATCTACAAAAAAAATCAAAAATAGCTGGGTGGGGTGGCACGTACCTGTGGTCCCAACTACACGGAAGGCTGAGGCAGGAGGATCACTTCCTCCTCTGAGCATCAGTAGCATTGTCTGTTCTCTTCATTCAACTGTTTGTTCCCTGCCTTGTTTCAGAGGAGGATTTAAAATGCCTTACCTCTTATGAATATATTCTGTCTCCCTAAGGAGAGAGTGTGTTCTATCTTTATCTTAAAGGTTTAAAAAAAGACAAAAAAAAAAAAAACCTAGTTCTTACATATACAGAGGCATTTGATAAATGATAGAAGATGATGATAACTGCTCAATATAGACAGGATACTTTAGAAAATTTGTTTTGAGTTTTCAGGAATTAGGTCTACATCTGAGAGTAATTTTAAGTTGCAAGTGGTAACTGGCTACACCTGAAGCCATAGGGGAACTTAACCTATTTCTGCCTTGATACATCAGGATCCCCTTAGTGAGGCATTTCTTCAAGATCGCAGGTTAAAATGTAGAACCCCTTAACGGGAGCCCCTGGTATGTGAGCCCTGCAGAGCCTGGCTTCACACCATACTTGCATCCTCTCTTGTGCTCTCTTTCCACTGCCTCTGTCCGGCACCCCATTCATGTCATCTCATCTCCTTACCAGTCTCTCTGCCTCCAGAGTCTTGTTTGTCTCCCTCAGCTGCTGTGATTCTCATCTTTAAACACTCAGGTTGGATTCTTTTACTTCTGACTCCATAAAGTCAAGTCCCGGTTCCTTGGTGGGGTTCTGGTCACAGCCGGCCATTTCTAGCTTGCACCTCTTCATGCACCAACAGTGAAATGACCACATCATCCCAGGAGTACTCAGCAACGTGATGCGTCCCTGCTTTGATCTTATTGCAGTGCTCTGTTCTTCTCTCCCTTTTCTCCTCCCCTTTTCCAGGTATAGAAATCATGTTCATCCTTTGAGTAATATTCAGCTCAAATGCCATCTTTTAAGTGAAGTCAGAATTACTTCTCCCTTCTTCTGCATGTCTGTATCACTTTCTTAGGCAGTTATGGTTTCATTGTAATGTTGGGAAAAACTCCCAGACCGTGTTTTTCCTTTACTGTCACACCACAACAATCAACACAGAAGACTTATGTGACCAAAAGTGTGGAGGGATTTTCTCTACACTCTAAGCAGTGGACACCAGCTGGGTGTCCTCCTGTTTAATTCTGACACTACCAGATGATCATGTCAGATCCCATGGGTTCAGGGCTCAGTCCCCAAGACTGCACCACCACCAGTTGCCAGTCTGGGCCTCCAAAATGTCTGACTGACTGGCTTTAAGTTGGGACTCCCATGATCCTATCTTTGAGTTCGATTAATTTGCTGGATTGGCACACAGAACTCAGGGAAACACTTAATTTTACTGGTTTATTATAAAGGACATTGCAAAGGATACAGATGAAGAGACACATAGGACAAGGTATGGGAGTGGGGTACGAAGCTTCCATGCCTTCCCTGGGCGCACCACCCTCCAGGAACCTCCATGTGTTCAGCTGTCCTGAAGTTCTCTGAACGCAGCCTTCTGGGGTTTTTTTGTGTGTGTATTTTTTTTTTTTTTTTTTTTTTTGAGACAGAGTCTCGCTGTGTCGCCCAGGCTGAGTGCAGTGGTGTGATCTCGGCTCACTGCAAGCTCCGCCTCCCAGGTTCATGCCATTCTCCTGCCTCAGCCACAGCCGAAAGTTATCACTTGAAAGAATAGTTAGAACATTGTCACTAACTGGTCTGGTATTCTCGATCTTAGGATGGAGGTTCTCTGGATCAAGTCCTGAAGAAAGCTGGAAGAATTCCTGAACAAATTTTAGGAAAAGTTAGCATTGCTGTGAGTATGTTATGAAGTTTTTCTTCTAAGTTCCTCATTGATAAGTTAATGAGTCGGTAAGAAATGGACAAGAGAGGAAGATGGGAAGTCAATGAGGGGAAAGTTTATAAGAAAAGTGGTATTTTCTCACTAGACTCTTCCCTGTCTGGAGTCTATATACACTATTCTCTCTCACATTAGAATGAGAAAAGTGACTTTCTTTATATTAAAATCTGTGTGTCTTGAAAAACGGGCCAGGCACAGTGGCTCGCACCTGTAATCCCAGCACTTTGCGAGGCCAAGGCAGGAGGACTGCTTGAGCCCAGGAGTTCAACTCCAGCCTGGGCAACATGATGAGACCTCGCTTCTACAAAAAAATAAAAATAAATAGCTGGGCGTGGTGGTGCACACGTGTAGTCCCAGCTACTTGGGAAGCTGAGGTGGGAAGATCACTTGAGAGGCTGCAGTAAGCCATAATCCATGATTGTGCCATTGCACTTTAGTCTGGGCGACAGAGTGAGACCCTGTCTCAAAACAAAACAACTCTTTATACCATGTAAAAAGATGGTTGCTTGATAAGGCAGGTTAAGAAAATGAAACAAAAGAGTAAAAAATAAGGGGCTGGGCGCGGTGGCTCATGCTTGTCATCCCAGCACTTTGGGAGGCGGAGGCGGGCAGATCACCTGAGGTCGGGAGTTCGAGACCAGCCTGACCAACATGGAGAAACCCCCATCTCTATTAAAAATACAAAATTAGCCGGGGGTGTTGGTGCATGCCTGTAATCCCAGCTACTCGGGAGGCTGAGGCAAGAGAATCGCTTGAACCCGGGAGGGGGTGGTTGTGGTGAGCTGAGATCACGGCACTGCACTCCAGCCTGGGCAACAAGAGCAAAACTCTGTCTCAGAAAAAAAAAAAGCCCAGGCACGGTGGCTTACACCTGTAATCCCAGCACTTTGGGAGGCCAAGGTGGGTGGATCACCTGAGGTCAGGAGTTCGAGACTAGCCCGACAAACATGGAGAAACCCCATCTCTACTAAAAATACAAAATTAGCCGGGGGTGGTAGCGCATGCCCGTAATCCCAGCTACTCAGGGGGCTGAGGCAGGAGAATCACTTGAACCCGGGAGGTGGAGGTTGTGGTGAGCCGAGATCGCGCCATTGCATTCCAGCCTGGGCAACAAGAGTGAAACTGCGTCTCAAAGGAGGAAGGCAAATTTGTGATGATGATAAATGAAGTATTTTCCTAGAGTATTTTAAAATAGATTGAGTATTTTTCTTATCACCAGTATTTTCTTTTCTTTTACATTCCCTTTCCTCTAGGTAATAAAAGGCCTGACATATCTGAGGGAGAAGCACAAGATCATGCACAGAGGTAAGAAGTTATTTGCTAGTTATTTTGCTTTGAATTTTAGATATAATCCAAAGGCTGTTGCTTCCTCTTTTTTCTATGTTTTGTTTTCGTGTAAAAGCCTTTTAATAACATGTTAAATCTTTTATTAAAAGTCTTTGTTTAGTTTGGTGGCTGAGGCAGCAACTCCTACCCTCTTTTTGGTCTTGCTACACCTATTGCCTATAGCTGTGATGGACAATAGTCATAGTCACCCTGGAAGCCCAGCTAAGAGCCTCAACCAGCACTTAGTTACCCAGTCTCCGGTGTCACTATTCACTGGAACAGTGAACAGTGCATGTGCATATGCCTAAAGCCAGGACTGGCCAGCTGCATATGAGTTTTACTATAAAAGAAACTGATTTATTGCTGGGTACAGTGGCTCATGCCTATAATCCCAGCACTTTGGGAGGCCGAGGGGCAGCGGGGGGAGGTGGGGGGGTGGATCATGAGGTCAGGAGTTCGAAACCAGCCTGACCCAACATGGTGAAACCCCCCTCTACTAAAAATACAAAAATTAGCCGCCAGCCATGGTGGCGAGCACCTGTAATCCCAGCTACTTGGGAGGCTGAGGCAGGAGAATTGCTTGAACCTGGGAGGCGGAGGCTGTGGTGAGCCGAGATTGCACTGCTGCACTCCAGCCTGGGTGGCACAGCGAGACACAGTCTCAAAACAACAACAACAAGAAGAACAAAACACATTAAAAAAAGAAAGAAACTGATTTATTTTAATAAAGGTACACATACACTTAACCATGTGACCATACCATCTTAGGCATTTGTCCAAGATAAAATATAACATGCATCCACACAAATGTTTAAAGAAGCTGTATTTCTTGTAGAAACAACTGAAATGTCCTTCAACAGGCAAAGAGAGAAACAAATTGTAGTATATCTATACAACAGAATACTCTTCAACAATAAAAATGAAAAGACTACTGATAACACCTAACTTTGAATTTCAGGAACATTTATGCTGAGTGAAAGAAGGCAGATACAAAACAGCCCAAGCTGTTTCCATTTATGTGAAATTAGAGAATAACAACAAATCCATAGTGGCAGAAAGTAGATCAGTGGTTGCCTTGAGGGGTCTAGGGAGAGATTAAAGGAGCATGAAGGAACTTTTTGGGGTGACACAAATGTTACATCTTTTTTTTTTTTTCAAGAGCACACATCCACTTCTATGTATTGACTTCTCATTAGTTTAAATCCTTGAAGGGGGCTGGGCACGGTGGCTCATGCCTGTAATCCCAGCATTTTGGGAGGTCGAGGCGGGCAGATCACCTGAGGTCAGGAGTTTGAGACCACCCTGGCCAACATGGTGAAACCTTGTCTCTGCTAAAAGTACCGAAAATTAGCCGGGCGTGGTGGCGGGTGCTTGTAATCCCAGCTAATCAGGAAGCTGAGGGAGAAGCTTGAACCCGGGAGGCAGAGGTCGCAGTGAGCCAAGATTGCGCCACTGCACTCCAGCCTGGGTGACGAGCAAGACTCCGTCTCAAAACAAACAAACAAACAAAAAACATTCTGGCTAACACGATGAAACCCTATCTCTACTAAAAATATAAAAAATAGCTGGGCGTAGTGGTGAGTGCCTGTAGTCCCAGCTACTCAGGAGGCTAAGGCAGGAGAATGGTGTCAACCCAGGAGGCGGAGCTTGCAGCGAGCAGAGACTGCGCACCACTGCACTCCAGCCTGGGCGACAGAGTGAGACTCCGTCTCAAAAAAAAAAAAAAATCCTTGAGGGGTACAGCATCACTTGGATTCTGTTTCCAATAGCCATAGTAGGAAGAGTGCTTCAGAATTTGGCACAAACTATGCCACTGGTTCTGTGGGCCCGAGTTACCTTTCTCCAGATTACTCCAGTGTTGTTTGGTTTACCACCAGGAGTCACTGTGTTGTTCTTTGCTTTGTATACATAAGCACATCTCTTGCCCAAATAGAATTCTGTTTCATCTCGGGCATAAACACTTTCAATTTTAGGAAGAACTGCCTGCTCCCATTGGTTCCGGATACCCTGCTTATAGCCGGCAAAAATGGCCTTGCACCACAGCCTTCCACATATTTCCTTTTAGAAGTCCTGTTCCCAGCAGGCCTCCATGGCATCCAAGATGGCGGGAAGTGCAAATGTTATATCTTGACAATGGTGATGGATACATGGCTATATACATTCGTTGAAAGTCAGCTGTCCACTAATGTGACTGCATTTTATAGTATGTAAATTATACCTCAGTATAGTTGCTTTTAAAGAAGATGAAGCCAGAGGACAGGAAATTGGTAAACATAGTGCTGTCGGCCATGTCCCTTCAGCCACAGCACTGCCAACACTGACTGGTGTTGAGAGGAGAGCTGAAGCGGAGATGAGTGGACTAGGGTGGGCTGTTGGAACTGACTGGACAGCTTACAAGCCCCGTAGATTAGGTGATACATCACTGGTGAGCAAGCTGAGCACTGAGTGGAGCCACCTTTGACATGGCTGACTCCTGGATGCATTTTTTTTTTTTTTGACGTCCCCCTTCTCTCCCCTAGTGTTCTTTTTGTTAGTCTAACTTCTTCCAGATACTGATCTTTCAGGTCTTCAGTTAGAGGTCACTTAATTATGACAGTGTTTGCAAGTGTTGGAGGGTGGTTCTGATTCAGTAGGTCTGGGGTAGGGCACAGGGACCTGAAAATTTAGAAATAGGCAATTAGCTGGGCGTAGTGGCTCATGCATAGTAATCCCAGCACTTTGGGAGGCCGAGGCGGGCGGATCACTTGAGGTCAGGAGTTTGAAACCAGACTGGCCAACATGGTGAAACCCCGTCTCCACTAAAAACACAAAAATTAGCTGCGTGTGGTGGCGTGTGCCTGTAATCCTGGCTACTCAGGAGGCTTAGGCAAGAGAATTGTTTGAACCTGGGGGGCGGAGGTTGCAGTAAGCTGAGATCATGCCATTGCACTCTAGCCTGGGCGACAGAGACTCTGTCTCAAAAAAAAAAAAAAAGTTTAATTGTAAAAAATATATACATAAAATTTACCATTTTCTCAAGTTTTCAGTGTATAGTTCAGAGGCATTAAGTACATTCACATTCTTGTGCAGCCATCACCACCATCCATCTCCAGAACTTTTTTCATCTTACAGACCTCAAGCTGTGTCCATGTAACAACTCTCACCGGGCGTGGTGGCTCACACCTATAATCCCAGCACTTTGGGAGGATGAGGTGGGCAGATCACCTGAGGTCAGGAGTTCGAGACCAGACTGGCCAACATGGTGAAACCCCCTATCTCTACTAAAAATACAAAAATTAGCCAGGCGTGGTGGCACACGCCTGTAATCCCAGGTACTTGGGAGGCCGAGGCATGAGAATCACTTGAACCTGGGAGACGGAGGTTGCAGTGAGCTGAGATTGTGCCACTGCACTCCAGCCTGGGCAGCAGAGCAAGACTCCATCTCAAAAAAAAAAAAAAAAAAAAACCCACTATTTCCCCCTTTCCCCATCCACTGGAAACCACCAATCTACCTTCTGTCTCTATGAGTTTGACTACTCTAGGTACCTCATATGAGTGGAATTACACAGTATTTGTCCTTTAGGGACTGGCTTGTTTTAGTTAGAATAATGTCTTCAAGGTTCATCCATGTTGTATGATGTGCTAGACACTGGTTCTTAAGTAAGTGCTGGTTCTAATGCTGTGGTCCATAGCCACATTTTGGGAAACACTGCATTGGGGGTAGAGTGAGTAGCTAGGTGGGCTGTGTAGAAAGAGGAGTAATGGCAGCTTGTCCTAGTGGGATTTGTCGGGAGAAAAGAAATAGAAAATGAAGCACAAAGAAGAATATTGTGCAAGTGTTCCCTCTCATTTCCAGGGAAAATTTCTCAAAATATTGAAAGATTTCTGTCCATGGCAGACTTGTAGTTGGAATTTGCATGACCAGCTTATAGCTTGTACATATGGTTCAGTTTTGTGCATCTATTAATTTCAACCTGGGCCACCAAACTGCATTGTTAAGAACTAGAGACTATTGGCTGGGCACAGTGGCTCACGCCTGTAATCCCAACACTTGGGGAGGCCGAGGTGGGTGAATCACAAGGTCAGGAGTTCAAGACCAGCCTGGCCAACATGGTGAAACCCCCGTCTCTACTAAAAATATAAAAAATTAGCTGGGCGTGGTGGCGGATGCCTATAATCCCAGCTACTAGGGAGGCTGAGGCAAGAGAATTGCTTGAACCTGGGAGGCAGAAGTTGCAGTGAGCTGAGATTGCGCCACTGCACTCTAGCCCAGGCAACAGTGTGAGACACTGTCTCAAAAAAAAAAAAAAAAAAAAAAAAACAACAACAACCAAAAACATTCAGAGAGAGGACAACCATTTTGGAAAACAGGTATTAAAATTTCTTGTTAAATTATACCACCATGAACTGCACTCCTTGGCATTTACCTAAGATAAATGAAAACATTTGCTCATGCAAGGACTTGTTACACAAATATTCATAGCAGCTTTATTTATAATTGCCCAAAATTAGAAGCAACAAAAATATTATTATCAGATGAGTGGGTACATTTTAGTGTATTCAAACAATGGAGTACAACTCAGGAATAAAACTATTGATACATATAACTTCGATGAATCTCAAAAACATGCTAAGTGGAAGAAGCCCTGTACAAAAGAGTACATACTGTGAGAGCCTGCTAATACGAAATTTTAGAACAGACAATCCACAGTAACATATAGCAGATGAGTGGCTGCCTGAGGGTTTAGAGGTAGGGATAGTTTAACATCAAAGTGCATAAGGGAACTTTTTTGGAGTAATAGAAACACTAAATCTTGTTTGTGGTAATAGGTTCACAGGTGTGAACATTTTTGAAAATGCATGAAAGTATACACTTAAAATGGTAACTGTAGGCTGGGTGCGGTGGCTCACGCCTGTAATCCCAGCACTTCAGGAGGCCGAGGTGGGTGGATCACCTGAGGTCATGAGTTTGAGACCAGCCTGGCCAACATGGTGAAACCCCCGTCTACTAAAAATACAAAAATTAAGCCGGGTGTGGTGGTGGGCGCCTATAATCCCAGCTACTTGGGAGGCTGAGGCAGGAGAATGGCTTGAACCTGGGAGGCAGAGGTTGCAGTGAGCCAAGATCATGCCATTGCACTCCAGCCTGGACAACAAGAGCAAAACTGTCAAAAATCCTCAATAAAATACTGGCAAACCGAATCCAGCAGCACATCAAAAAGCTTATCCACCATGATCAAGTGGGCTTCATCCCTGGGATGCAAGGCTGGTTCAATATACGCAAATCAATAAATGTAATCCAGCATATAAACAGAGCCAAAGACAAAAACCACATGATTATCTCAATAGATGCAGAAAAAGCCTTTGACAAAATTCAACAACCCTTCATGCTAAAAACTCTCAATAAATTAGGTATTGATGGGACGTATTTCAAAATAATAAGAGCTATCTATGACATACCCACAGCCAATATCATACCGAATGGGCAAAAACTGGAAGCATTCCCTTTGAAAACTGGCACAAGACAGGGATGCCCTCTCTCACCACTCCTATTCAACATAGTGTTGGAAGTTCTGGCCAGGGCAATCAGGCAGGAGAAGGAAATAAAGGGTATTCAATTAGGAAAAGAGGAAGTCAAATTGTCCCTGTTTGCAGACGACATGATTGTTTATCTAGAAAACCCCATCGTCTCAGCCCAAAATCTCCTTAAGCTGATAAGCAACTTCAGCAAAGTCTCAGGATACAAAATCAATGTACAAAAATCACAAGCATTCTTATACACCAACAACAGACAAACAGAGAGCCAAATCATGAGTGAACTCCCATTCACAATTGCTTCAAAGAGAATAAAATACCTAGGAATCCAACTTACAAGGGATGTGAAGGACCTCTTCAAGGAGAACTACAAACCACTGCTCAAGGAAATAAAAGAGGACACAAACAAATGGAAGAACATTCCATGCTCATGGGTAGGAAGAATCAATATCGTGAAAATGGCCATACTGCCCAAGGTAATTTACAGATTCAATGCCATCCCCATCAAGCTACCAATGACTTTCTTCACAGAATTGGAAAAAACTACTTTAAAGTTCATATGGAACCAAAAAAGAGCCCGCATCGCCAAGTCAATCCTAAGCCAAAAGAACAAAGCTGGAGGCATCACACTACCTGACTTCAAACTATACTACAAGGCTACAGTAACCAAAACAGCATGGTACTGGTACCAAAACAGAGATATAGATCAATGGAACAGAACAGAGCCCTCAGAAATAATGCCACATATCTACAACTATCTGATCTTTGACAAACCTGAGAAAAACAAGCAATGGGGAAAGGATTCCCTATTTAATAAATGGTGCTGGGAAAACTGGCTAGCCATATGTAGAAAGCTGAAACTGGATCCCTTCCTTACACCTTATACAAAAATCAATTCAAGATGGATTAAAGATTTAAACGTTAGACCTAAAACCATAAAAACCCTAGAAGAAAACCTAGGCATTACCATTCAGGACATAGGCGTGGGCAAGGACTTCATGTCCAAAACACCAAAAGCAATGGCAACAAAAGCCAAAATTGACAAATGGGATCTAATTAAACTCAAGAGCTTCTGCACAGCAAAAGAAACTACCATCAGAGTGAACAGGCAACCTACAACATGGGAGAAAATTTTCGCAACCTACTCATCTGACAAAGGGCTAATATCCAGAATCTACAATGAACTCAAACAAATTTACAAGAAAAAAACAACCCCATCAAAAAGTGGGTGAAGGACATGAACAGACACTTCTCAAAAGAAGACATTTATGCAGCCAAAAAACACATGAAGAAATGCTCATCATCACTGGCCATCAGAGAAATGCAAATCAAAACCACTATGAGATATCATCTCACACCAGTTAGAATGGCAATAATTAAAAAGTCAGGAAACAACAGGTGCTGGAGAGGATGTGGAGAAATAGGAACACTTTTACACTGTTGGTGGGACTGTAAACTAGTTCAACCATTGTGGAAGTCAGTGTGGCGATTCCTCAGGGATCTAGAACTAGAAATACCATTTGACCCAGCCATCCCATTACTGGGTATATACCCAAAGGACTATAAATCATGCTGCTATAAAGACACATGCACACGTATGTTTATTGCGGCACTATTCACAATAGCAAAGACTTGGAACCAACCCAAATGTCCAACAATGATAGACTGGATTAAGAAAATGTGGCACATATACACCATGGAATACTATGCAGCCATAAAAAATGATGAGTTCATGTCCTTTGTAGGGACATGGATGAAATTGGAAACCATCATTCTCAGTAAACTATCGCAAGAACAAAAAACCAAACACCGCATATTCTCACTCATAGGTGGGAATTGAACAATGAGATCACTTGGACACAGGAAGGGGAATATCACACTCTGGGGACTGTGGTGGGGTCGGGGGAGGGGGGAGGGATAGCATTGGGAGATATACCCAATGCTAGATGACACGTTAGTGGGTGCAGCGCACCAGCATGGCACATGTATACATATGTAACTAACCTGCACAATGTGCACATGCACCCTAAAACTTAGAGTATAATAAAAAAAAAAAAAAAAGAAAAAAAAAAGCTAAATATAGAAAGCCACCTGCTTTCTAATTGTACTGGCTGCCATCTTGTCTTCTTTCTACTGACAAGAAAGTATCAATAAGAGGTAGTGATTGGTTTGAGGGGGAAACAGTTTTTCTACCAGTTTAGTCCTTAATCTGTGGCTTCTTAAGACCTCTGAGTTCCATGTTAGAATATTTTAATGTATTAGTTTCTAGGAAATAGGAGTAGCTGAAAGGAGAGGAGGAGTGAACATTCTTAAGCATGGAGTTATGTTCTAGGCTGCGATTGACATATGCAGTCTACCACTATGCAAGGACGAATGAGGTCAGTGTTGTAGGAACATCTGGTGGAGTAAAGGCATCCCATCATCTGTGAAGTGGAGTCCGCCTGCCTACTCAGAGGTTGCTGTGAGGATTAAGAAATTACATATGGAAAGCAACTGGCAAAGTGTTTTGCTTATAGAAAGCTCTAATATGCTAATTGCCTTCCCCGTTTCTTTATATAATTTATAAGGAAACTAAAAACCAGCGATTAAAACCTTAGCTTTGGTTTCTATATGTGTAAAATATAGTTCTTATGTTTGTCTCTCATTAACCTGTAAGTTTCTTCAAATCTGGGAACATGTCTAATTGCTGTGTATATATCTTCAGTCCTGAAGATGATAGTAGAAAACAGTTCTTCTTTGAAGGTTTGTTACATGGATGGATGGATGATTAACTTGTGCCAGAACACACAGGAGTCAACAGTGAAACTGGGCCAAGGACCCATGTCTCTTACTCTTAACACAGTGTTTCTTTCTAGTCCTGTGTTTTTCTGTACTATGTACCTACTATGGATCATGCCCTGTGTTTTGCAATGAAGACCTCTAACTTTATTTCCATTCCAAGGAGAGGGAGGTTTCAGCACACTCCTGGAACAACCAGCTTTCTTTTCCCTTCCGCCTAGTGCTGCCCCCACCTGCTTAGGGCTTTCTTTTTTGGCTTCACCAATTGTTGCTCTTTGGCATGAAGAGATGCTTTGTGAGCCAGATGGGTCTCTGAACAGATGTCTTTGATGGAGAGTTTACCACTTGCACAGCCAAGAAAGGGAAGTCACTAGAAGGACTTCTGTGTGGGCTGGCCTGGCTGCTCAGCATTTCAGACTCCTGTTGTTTACAAGTCTTCTCCAGAAGCCCTGGAAGAATGAACTGTAAGGCCTGGACTATGGAATGGTACCTGTGCACCAGCAATTCCTGAGCAAGCAGCACAGTGAGTAGGTGATTCCTGGAAACCTGAGTTCAGGTGAAAATGAGAGAGAGCAGTCTCCTTGTCCCTGCCTATGGGCTTCCTCATGGCCAGTTCTACCTCTGTTCTAAATATATTCTTCACTGATGAAATTTCAACTTCATTTATTCTTCTGTCCTTGAGGAAAAGTGGGGAAGAGTAAAGAGGTCTTTTCTCTGCCTCAAATTTTTATTTGTTCTTATTTGTTGATACTTATTTGCTGGAGATAGCTTAGTGGTTTTTTTCTCTTTCTTTTTGAGACAGGGTCTTGCTCTGGTGCCCAGGCTTGGAGTACAGTGGTGCAGTCATGGCTCACTATAGCCTTGGCCTCCTAGGCTAAAGCGATTCTCCTGCCTCAGCCTCCTGAAGTGCTGAGACTACAGGCATGAGCTGCTAGGCTTGGGTTGATTATTTCAATTACCATTTGCTATGTAACGAGGCTCCAAAACTTAGTAGTTTAAAATAATAATTTATTACCTTACACAGTTTATTACTTTTTCTGTGGGTTGGCAGGTCCTCTTTCCCCATCCTCTGTGAGGCTAAAGCCCTGGTTTCTTCCAGTAGCAAGAGGGGGTAAACCCTACTACTTAAGTACCCTTTAAGCCTCTGCTTATGTCAAGTTTGTTCATGTCCATTTGGCTAAAGCGGGTCATGTGTTTCAAGCCAAGATTTAAAAAGTAGAGTGAAGTCTCCATCTCTTGTTGGGAGGAGCTATGAAATATGGTGGCCCGTTTTTTTCCACTGTATCACAGTGATAAAGTTGAAGGTTCAAATTGTGACTGTGCTACTTGTTGTGTAACCTTGGATGAGTCATTTAACTTCTCCAAACCTCAGGAAAATGGAGAAAACAGAACCTACCTAAAGGGTTGTATGCAGATTAATTAATACATACAAAGCACTTAGAATAGTACTTAACATGTAGTAGGCACTTAATACATTTTACCTGTTGCTTAGATAAATTGGTAGAGGTTTTTATGATTACCAGCAACAGAAACCAGCCTGACTTGGTTTAAGCTTCTAAAAATTTATTCATTAGAAGGATCTGGCTGGGAGCGGTGGCTCATACCTGTAATCCCAGCACTTTGGGAGGCTGAGGTGGGCAGATCACAAGGTCAGCAGTTTTGAGACCAGCCTGGCCAACATGGTGAAACCCCATCTCTACTAAAAATACAAAATTAGCTCGGCGTGGTGCCGTGCGCCTGTAATCCCAGCTGCTCGGGAGGCTGAGGTGAAAGAATTGCTTGAACCCAGGAGGCGGAGGTTGCAATGAGCCGAGATCGTGCCACTGCACTCCAGCCTAGGTGACAGAGTGAGACTCTGTCTCGAAAAAAAAAAACAAAAAAAGAAGGATCCAAGGGAAGTTCAGAGAGTCCTTTGACAAGCTGATCCTACAAACCACGGTAGGGTGGGAACCAAGGCTACTCTAGTTGGGAGGTTGGCTCAGTCAGGCAGAGAAATAGCTCCCTGGCGTACAACTCTAACAGTGCTATTGCTGCTGGGCCAACTGTCCTCTCCTAGCCTTATTTAGGGGGTAGGCATGGGCTCAGTGATCTCCCAGAGGGGTCCAGAGTCAGTGCCTCTGAAGAATCCACTCTCACCACAGTCATGCAGATATCAAGGGGACAGCATCCTCTCCTGCTCAGTGTTGGGGGCTAGTTGATAGTCCATTGCCTAGTCCAGGTTGAAAGTGATTTCTGAGTGTGCCCTGCTCTAATAAAAAGTAACGTACAAAAATAGTTTATAACACAAGGTGCTCTGGGTGCAATGTTTTGCTCTTTCAAAGCATTCACTCTAGGTAGGATTCTTCAAATAGAAGTTTTCATAGAATCTTGAAAAAGGCAAGCAAATTACATCAATTTGATTCATACATTTCTTCTTAGGAATATGTCAGTGATTTAAAGGTAGGTATTCCTGCACTTAGGAATTTTTAAATGAGAAGAAGTGCCTCGTGGTATTTTGAGGAAGATTAGCTGTTTTCAGGTACCATTTAGTTACTGTTTTTCCACCTAGGTGGTAGCCTCTTGAACATTTTTCAGTTATCTTTCTTCAGCTGGGTGAGTATGTCCTGGTCCTAGTTTGGTACATTGCCTTGGTTGTACACATGGTAGTTTTCCTACATTTCTAATGTGTCTGCACCAGGTGGGAACCCAAAGGCAAGCATGTTCTCACCCTCATTCCTGAAGTGATTTGTCTCTGCCATAATGGAGCAGGACTTCTTGGGCAGAATAAGTTCAACTGACAGTCCCAGTGCCGAAGCTCTGGCTAGCTCAACTGGTCCACTGTGATTTGTTCTGTTATTATACAGAACATTGTATTCTATTTCCCCTGGGTGTTCAAAGGGAGAAACAATCTGTGTGGTTTAGCCTGATGTATGTGATTTGTGAGCTGTTGATCAGGGGGTGGGTATAGATCTGTCACCCCTTTGGGGAGTGTTAAGTTTCTCTAAAATCTCTGGGTGACATTCTGACAGTCATGGGTAGGTACAGGTATATGCTCCTCCGTGTCTATTCGCCTACCTCCTCAGTCTTTTCCCCCATCAAAGAGAAGTAATTCATTTTGTAAAATATTTATAGAATACCTGCCAAGTGCAAGGTATTAGGTGAATTACTCGTTAGGCATAAAGTTGGCTCATAAATGAATTGTGTCCTCCAGGAGCTTAGAGTCTAATGGGAAAGGGACATATCTGTAAATGACTCTTGTATATTGTGGAACATAGCCAATATCATTTTTTTGTGCGTGAATCACTACCCTGCCAACTTTCAGATAGAATCCGATGTGACATAGTGACATAGATTATTAGTCAGAATTCTTTGGTGTGGCAGAAACCCACCTCAAGATTACTTAATCAGAAAAGAGAATGTATGGTTTGGGTCACCAGGAGGTCGGAAGGCAGGGATGAATATGAGGTTGAAATGATGGCCTCAGGTCACCTCTCAGCTTTGCTCATTCTTGTGTGGGCTTCCTTTTCAGTCAGATTCTCTTCACTGGAGGCAGGATGGACCTCACTAGCCCCAGACACATCTAGTCCTTAGTGCTCCCTATCCCAGAGAAAGTACTCCACCCACTCTCCCCAGCATCCAGATCAGTGTTTGAACCACTGATTGGCAGACTGCCTCTGCTTGGAGTGCTTGCCCATGGCTGGACCATTCACTGTGTCCAGGGGACTAGTGTTGCCTGGTGGGCCACCCTGGGTTATACACTCACCCCTGTGGTACAACAGATGGCGCCTCTTGATGAACACCCTAGCAGAAACAGTTGATGCTGGGGAGGAGTGTATCCCAAATGAAAAGGAGGGGCTTTGTTACCAGGAGATGGGGAGAATGAATGGGTGCTGAAAGCAAGCAAATTTTTAAAAAGTTTTCCGCTTACAAATTCTGTTAAGCATTGGGTCAGAAAGACAAAACACTAACATAGGATGAAAACAACAAGCAGTTAACACAGGTGTGAGCAAACTGGTCCATGGGCTAAATTTGGCCTGCTGCCTGTTTTTGTATGGCCTGCAAGCTAAGAATAGTTTTCAAAATTTTGTGACATGTAACAATTATACAAAATTCAATTTATTATTATTTTTATTTTTTGAGACCGAGTCTCGCTCTGTCACCCAGGCTGGAGTGCAGTGGCGTAATCTCGGCTCACTGCAACCTCTGCCTCTCAGGTTCAAGAGATTCTCGTGCCTCAGCCTCCCAGGTAGCGGGGATCACAGGCATGTGCCACTACGCCTGCTAATTTTTTTGTATTTCTAGTAGAGACGGGGTTTCCCTATGTTGCCCAGCCTGATCTCAAACTCCTGGGCTCAAGTGATCCACCTGCCTTGGCTTCCCAAAGTGCTGGGATTACAGGCATGAGCCACTGTGCCCTGCTGGAAATTCAGATTATTGTGTCCATAAATAAAGTTTTATTGGATCACAGCCATGCTTGTGTAAATGTTGTCTGTGCCTGCTTTTGTGCTATAATGGTAAATTTGAGTAGTTACTTGTGAAAGAGATGACTGTGTGGCCCTCAAAGCCAAAAATATTTACTCTCTGGTCCTTTTTTTATAGAAAAATCTTCCTAACCAAAAGGGGAAGGAGAATCCCTTGACAGAAGCTTTAGAATTTAAGCACAAAACTGGGCTTTTAAGCACAAAACTATGGTGGCTGTAGCCTGTAATCCCAGCACTTTGGGAGATCAAGGCGGGTGGATCACCTCAGGTCAGGGGTTCGAGACCAGCCTGGCCAATGTGGTGAAACCCCGTCTCTACTAAAAATACAAAAAATTAGCCAGGCATGGTAGCAGACGCCTGTAATCCCAGCTACTCAGGAGCCTGAGGCAGGAGAATCACTTGAACCCAGGAGGCAGAGGTTTCAGTGAGCCGAGATCGTGTCACTGCACTCCAGCCTGGGTAACAAGAGCAAGACTGTCTCAGAAAAAAAAAAAAAAAGAATTTAAACACAAAACTAAACTTTTAAATGTGTCAGCTTTAAGTTCTCAAGGAAAACATGATAAGTGACGTGGGTAGGAGACAGGATTATTTTTCCTGATCCTGGAGCTCTGAAAAGAATTAGCTGCCAAAATTTATGTCGAGTCTTTTCATCTGAAGCTGAACCAAGTAGGTAGTTGTGCTGTGAGTTAAAAAGGGTTGGAGGTGAAGAGGGCGCTAGGATACTGCTCTCTTTCATTCTATTTAAAGCAATAATTTGCATTGCCACCCTGCCGTTCTTAACCTGCTCTAATTATCAAGGCCTTATTTTGACTAAGACCCTGAAAAAGCGTTGCATGATTTAGATCAATACGCAGTTCATCCAACTTAGCCGTAAATTATTTCTGCCTTGGAGTTGTTAGCTGATAAAGATCAATAAATGTTAACAACAGTTTTAAATTATAACTCAACTTGTTTTTCTTTTCCTTCTATCTAATGAAACCATGTGTAACCTAGATTTTTAAATTTTACGTATTTATGTGTGACATGTATGTGTGTATGTATAAATGAACGAATGACAGGTCTCGCTCACTCTGTCGCCCAGGCTGGAATGTGGTGGTGCGATCATGGCTCACTGCATCCTCAACCTCCCCAGCTCAAGCGATCCTCTCACCTCAGCCTTCTGAGTAGCTAGGACTACAAATATGTGCTATCATGCCTGACTAATTTTAAAAATTTTCTTTTCTAGAGATGCGGTCTCTCTCTGTTGCCCAGGTTGGTCTTGAACTCCTGGACTCAAGTAATCCACTTGTCTGGGTCTCCCTAAGTGTGGGACTACTGGTGTGATCCACTGTGCTTAGCTGCCAGCTTAGATTTTTGAGGGGTACATAGCCCACTGTAATTGGATACCTCTCTTCAGAGCCATAGTAGCTTATTATACCTTGGGGCCATCCTGCTTGGAGTGTGCCTCAAAAGTGTTCCTTTATTCCCTAGGTTAGAGAGTTATGTAAAAACGGGGCTCTCAGGTCAGAATGAGATTTAAGGCTTCTGCAGAGCCTATATGAAAGTGTTTTTGGGCCGGGCACAGTGGCTCATGCCTGTAAGCCCAGCACTTTGGGAGGTTGAGGAGGGCGGATCATGAGGTCAGGAGATCAAGACCATGCTGGCCAACACGGTGAAACCCCGTCTCTACTAAAAATATAAAAATTAGCTGGGTGTGGTGGCACACGCCTGTAATCCCAGCTACTTGGGAGGCTGAGGCAGGAGAATTGCTTGAACCCGGGAGTCTGAGGTTGCAGTGAGCCAAAATCGCCACTGCACTCCAGCTTGGCAACAGAACAAGACTCTGTCTCAAAAAAAAAAAAAAAAATGTTTTTGGGCTGGGCACAGTGGCTCATGCCTATAATCCCAGCACTTTGGGAGGCCAAGATGGGTGGATCACTTGAGGTCAGGAGTTCGAAAACAGCTTGACCAACATGGTGAAACCCCGTCTCTACTAAAATACAAAAAAATTAGCCTGGCATGGTGGCGGGTACCTGTAATCCCAGTTACTCAGGAGGCTGAGGCAGGAGAATCACTTGAACATGGGAGGTGGGGGTTGCAGTGAGCCAAGATCACACCACTGCACTCCAGTCTGGATGACAGAGCAAGACACCATCTCAAAAAAAAAAAAAAATTTTTTTTGTATCCTTTTCCTGGGGAGAGCTGGGAGTCTCCAAAGTGTCTCACGGTGTCCCAGTGACAGCCTCCAGCAAATGGGGTCTTCAGCAATGGTCAGGATTACAACCTCTAAATTCTTCCTCTCCATTCAGACTTGTTGGCACTGATAGCAAGATCTGAAGTGGCTTGTTTGGTTTTGTTTTGTTGTTTTATAAGCTGTTTGTAGCAGACTCACACGTAATGATTTGAGTGGTTTCTTCTGCAATTTTTGCAAGGAACTATGCTGCCTCTGCCAGGCATCGCTGAGCAGAAGTCAGAGTGGCCCCTGCCTCCACCAGCCTGAGGCTACACACAGGATTCTGTTCTGAGCATGGTTCCTATCTGTGTGTGACTAAGGACTGTTGTCTGATCCTTGAAACACAGAAGGTTGCCCATGGTATATACACAAGGTGCTCCTGGCTACATCTCTCTCCCATCACAGCCATCCCATAGCTGTGTGGCTTACACAGGAAGGGATTCCTTTTGACTGTGTCAGACTGCCCTGCCTTAAAGATGGAGGGAGACAGAGTGGCTCATTAGTAGTGGAAAATTCAGTATGCTGGTCTCTTGGTTAGAAATGTGAGTCTCGTTTTATCTAGAATTATTTCATCTGCTAGATTCACAGTGATGATTATAGCTCCAGGTGAGTTTGTCTCTTAGCTCCTTAAGAGAGGCTTAGATCTCTTTAGGGAAGCATGGAGGAGATGGTATTTGAGCTGAGCTTTGAAGCATAGGTAGAAGTTATATATGTGGCAGGGTCAGGGAAAGGAATTCCAGGTAGAGGGAAGCATGAATCATGGCATAGAGGCAGGAAAACACAGACATGTTTTTACAGGAAATAGCAAGTGGTTCAAGTTGTCTACAACAAAGGGTTCCTGATGGCAAGGGGTGAGAATTAAAGTAAGAAATAGTTGAAGCAGTGAGGAGGGTCTTCACTGCCATGTTCAGGAAGTGGATTTTATCATGGGCAACAGGAAGCAGTGGAATGATCCTGCACAGAGAAGTGAGATGTGCTGTGGTTTAAGGAAGAGGACTCTACTGTTACGGCTAAGGTGAGCTGGAGAGGGGAGAGGTCAATTAGGAGGCCGTTGCTATGGGCCAGTGAGAGATAAGGGGGGGTCTGAGTTAGGATAGTGGCAGAGTGAAGGGACAGGATGGGGACAGATGGGAGAGAGATGGTGCAAAGGGCAGGGACTGGTGTGGGAAGATGGGTAGGGGAGTAGCAGGGAGACTTGGCCTTGGCCCTTCCTGGGGTGGTTGTGGTGGGAAGGAGCCTGAGGCCCATGGCCGTGCTCCAGGGCTGTACGTGGAGAGCTGTGTTCTCCTCCTCCTCAGATCACAAAGCCTCATTTCTAATGGAAACCTGAGGCTGGGGCTGCCCTTTCCTAAGTTACAGATTATTTCCTGAGGAGGATCCCAGCCCTAAGAGAGCTGGTTTGATTTGAAAATCTGGACACATAGGAATGAAACTCAGAGTGAATTTTATTAACCACTACCCAAAGCAAGATGGAACTTAGCTCATGATGCCCAACACCATAGAGGAACAAGAGTGGGCTGGGCGCAGTGGCTCACGTCTGTAATCCCAGCACTTTGCGAGGCTGAGGCAGGTGGATCATGGGAGGGCAGGAGTTTGAAACCATCCTGGCCAACATGGCGAAACCCCAACTGAAAATACAAAAATTAGCCGGGTGTGGTGGTGGGCACCTGTAATTCCAGCAGGCTTAGGCACGAGACTTGTTTGAACCTGGGAGATGGAGGTTGCAGTGAGTCAAGATTGCGCCACTGCACTCCAGCCTGAGTGACAGAGTGAGACTCTGTCTCTAAATAAATAAATAAATAAATAAATAAATAAATAAATAATAAAATAATAATAGAGTCTAGTGATATAGCTCAGCTTGAGGATGGGAACCAGCATAAGGCTTGATAAGACCAAACTAATTAGAAACAAACACGATGGAATTTTCTTTTTTCATTTGAAAAAACATTTCAAAGTTTATTGTTGGAGGTAAGTGCTTACCACCCTGTGAAGTGCGTGCAGGGCTGTCATTAGGTGGTGGTAACAGGCACCAAATCCCCAAGAAGCTGCTACCCACCAAGTGACCTCCGAGCCACTGTGTCCTCTCCCTTTACCTTTCTGGCTATGCATAGAACCTTATGGAAGTTTCCTTCTAGCCTGGCTGTTGGCTTCCTGGGTGATCCTGGCAGAGTTGTTTATTATTTCTGAATCTCACCTTCTTTTAGAGGTAATCTCAATTCCTTTTCCATCTCCTGGAACTGTCCTCAGGATCAGATGAAACTCTGACCAAGTGTTGTGTAATAGCATTAAAGTTATGGCATTTAAAAGCACATTGCGTATACAATGCTGGGCTCCAAAGAGGCAGAAGAGATAGTTCCTATCCTCTTAGAGCTGTGAGTCCTAGTTGGAAAAGCAAGACTGTACTTTACAAGTCAGATGAAAGGTTTATGGGTGAATTAACACATGAGGTCTGGGATTTGCCTTAAGACATTCCACTCCCTCCCACCCTGCAAAGAAAAAGCTGGGGGTTATAATGAAATAAGATTGGGGCGGGGCACAGTGACTCACACCTGTAATCCCAGCACTTTAGGAGCTGAGGTGGGTGGATCACCTGAGGTCAGGAGTTGAGAGTAGCCTGGCCAACATGGTGAAACCCCATCTCTACTAAAAATACAAAAATTAGCTGGGCGTAGTGGCACATGCCTGTAGTCCTAGCTACTCGGGAGGCTGAGACAGAATTGCTTGAACCCGGGAGGCGGAGGTTGCAGTGAGCCGAGATCGCACCAGTGCACTCCACCCTGGGCGACAGAGCAAGACTCTGTCTCAAAAAAAAAAAAAAAAAAAAGATTGGTAAAAAAATGGATTATTGTTGAAGCTGGGTGATGGGTACATGGTTACTGTCTCTACTTTTGTGAATATTTAGATTTTTCTGAAAAAAAAAAATTGGCTAAAAGAAAATAGCATATGTACTGACATAACAAGTGACATACATGATAAAAAACCTCAAGGGTTCCAAGGAGAGGGACTCTTGTGGGTGGACAGCTGTCAGGGGAGGCTTCACAGAGGAGCTGGGAGCTGGGCTTTGTTTCAGTGAGGATTCTTGGTTACACATAACAGAAACCAACTTGAGCCAGTGTAAACACAACAGGGGACTTCCTTATAGGGATCCAGGGGGCCCTTAGGGAACGTGAGGACCAGATGTAGTCAGTGCTCGGGAAGGGATGGGACAAGACAGGGACCAGAAAGCCACTGGAATTCTAGGCGGCCTTCCTGCTTATTCTGCGTGCTTTGCACTTGTTTCTTTGCTTCTCTGTCCAGAGGGCAGGAGGAAGACACCACCTCTCAGCAACCAGTGTGTATCAAGTCCATCCCAGACACAGCCCAGATTCAACCTGACCCTCTTAGCACAATTCCCAAGTCTCTGAGTAATCCACCAACACTTATATAGTGTACATTGTGGGTGGGGCTCCTTCGGGTGAGTGAAGGGAGGTAATTAGGGGGATACATCTGAATTAGGAAGCCCTCCTTTCTCCCTTCTTCATTTGTCTGAATCAGACTGGAAGGACAGTAGGATATACGTGAAGAGAGAAGATATCTCGATTGAACAGTAAGTGCTTCAGAGTCAAACACGAAGGGAACATATATGGAACAGTATAGATCCTCCTGGCACTGAGGGGGTGTGAACCCCAAATATCTGAGACTACTCTCAGTTAATTTAGAAAGTTTATTTTGCCTAGGTTGAGGATGCATGCCCATGACACAGCCTCAGGAGGTCCTGACAACATGTGCCCACGGTGGTCAGGGCAGGGGTTTTTTCATTAATTTTTGAAACGGAGTCTCACCTCTTGTTGCCCAAGCTGGAGTGCAATGGTGCGATCTCGGCTCACTTCAACCTCCACCTCCTGGGTTCAAGCGATTCTCCTGCGTCAGCCTCCCGAGTAGCCGGGATTACAGGCGCCTGCCACTACGCCCGGCTAATTTTTTGTATTTTTAGTAGAAATGGGGTTTCACCATGTTAGCCAGGCTGGCTTCAAACTCCTGACCTCTGGTGATCCACCTGCCTTGGCCTCCCAAAGTGCTGGGATTACAGGCGTGAGCCACCACGCCTGGCCAGAGGTTGGTTTTATACATTTTAGGGAGTCGTGAGACATCAATTAATATACGTAAGATGTACACTGGTTCTGTCTGGAAAGGCAGGCCAGCTCAAAGCAGGGAGGAGGCTTTCAGGTCACAGGTAGGTGAGAGACAAATGGTTGTTTTCTTTTGAGTTTCTGATTAGCCTCTCCAGAGGAGGCAGTCAGATATGCATTTATCTCAGTGACTTTGAATAGAATGAGAGGCAGGTTTGCCCTAAACAGTTCTCAGCTTGACTTTTCCCTTTAGCTTAGTGATTTTTGGGGGCCCCAAGATTTATTTTCTTTCACATTTCCCCCCTTTTCTTTTTAAAAACTTTTGAGAAAGCATTTTAGAAGAAAATGAATCTTTCGTCTCAGGTTTCATCGGATCTCTCGCGGCTAGGACAGTTTATTCCTAGACAGGTAGGTAGGTCCCAAGTTACTAGGAAAGCTCATTTTTAGCAGGTTGTGGTCTCATGTCCTATGATGAGAAAATAGGGGGAGAAAGGGAGAAAAACTACAATAAACAAAAGAATAATTCTGGAAAAGTGATATAGGCCACATTATTCTGAAGTCCATACATCAGTAGGCAGGTATGAAGGTGGCTTATGTATGCTGTTATTTTCTTTTGAAGTTGTCTAGCTTCGGTTCACAGGGCTTTAAGAAAGCACAGCTTAGTTTTCAGTAATTTCAAATTAGGAAAGATGGGAAAAAGGAAAAGAAATTGAAAACATTGTTTTTTTTGTTTTTGTTTTGAGACGGAGTTTTGCTCTTGTTGCCCAGGCTAGAGTGCAGTGGCGTGATCTTGGCTCACTGCAACCTCTGCCTTCCGGGTTCAAGCAATTCTCCTGCCTCAGCCATCCTGAGTAGCTGGGATTACAGGCATGCGCCACCATGACCGGCTAATTTTGTATTTTTAGTAGAGACAGGGTTTCTCCATGTTGGTCACGCTGTGGTCTCGAACTCCCAACCTCAGGTGAATCCACCTGCCTCGGCCTCCCAAAGTGCTGGGATTATAGGTGTGAGCCACCGTGCCTGGCTGAAAACATTGTTTTAGAGACCTGTAGCCAGGAAAAATTAGAATTAAGTCCAAACTGTAAAAAATGATAAAAATTGAAAAACTAGGTAAGACTAGAATCTAACAGGTGTACTATAGCCAGGCACAGTGGCTCACACCTGTAATCCCAGCACTTTGGGAGGTAGAGGCGGGTGGATTACCTGAGGTCAGGAGTTCAAGACCAGCCTGGCCAACATGGTGAAACCCCATCTCTACCAAAAATACAAAAAAATTAGCCGGGCATGGTGGCGCATGCCTGTAATCCCAGCTACTTGGGAGGCTGGGGCAGGAGAATCCTTGAAACTGGGAGGCGGAGGTTGCAGTGAACTGAGATTGTGCCACTGTAGCAGGACAAGTCGCAGACAAAACCCCTCAGACACCGAGTTAAAGAAGGAATGGCTTTATTCGGCTGGGAGCTTCAGCAAGACTCACATCTCCAACAACCAAGCTCCCCAAATGAGCAATTCCTGTCCCTTTTAAGGGCTCACAACTCTAAGGGGGTCCACGTGAGAGGGTTGTGATCGATTGAGCAAGTGGGGTACACGACTGGGGGCTGCATGCACTGGTAATCAGGTTGGAACAGAACAGGACAGGGATTTTCACAGTGCTTTTCTATACAGTGTCTGTAATCTATAGATAACATAACCGATTAGGTCAGGGGTCAGTCTTTAACTACCAGGCCCAGGGTGTGGCACCAGGCTGTCTGCTTGTAGATTTCATTTCCGCCTTTTAGTTTTTACTTCTTCTTTCTTTGGAGGCAGAAATTGGGCATAAGACAATATGAGGTGGTCTCTTCCCTCACCACCACACTCCAGCCTGGGCAACAAGAGCGAAACTCCATCTCAAAAACAACAACAACAACAAAAAAACGGGTGTACTATAGTTTTTGAAACGTATTTTTTCTCTCTCCACTTTCCTGTTTTTACTAAAGACAAATCATGGTAGGACCAATTTGCTTTATTATACTTGGACAGATTATTTCTATGAAGTACAGTAAGAATAATTATTTTTCACATAGGCTTTTAAAATTGGCCTTGATGGAACTTTGCTCTGTAGAAGGAATCTCAGATAAGACTTTTTTTAAAGATAAGACTTTTTTAAAGCTGAGCCCAGCCATGGATTTGTACCATCAAATACATACAAGTTGGGTGAATTCCTCTCCTCTTGATGTCCCAAGATAACTTGGGGCTCCTGGGCCTATCAGAAAGTGACATTCTTTACTTACCACAGGCCAAGATCCCTGTACAGGGACTGTGTAGACAAGGTATGAGGCCAGTTTTCCCAAGGGGCTTTTATTGGCTTTATAAATCAAGTTGGATTCCTTAAAGGAAAGCACACCATTCTAGTCAAAGCCTTGGTAAAACAACCAGTTTCTCCAATTGTGTCCTGTTACAAATGAAAACAGATTTTTATTGCACATATGCAGATAACTATATTGCCGTAAGTTAAGAATACTCCCACATAGTTTCCAAATTCTGGAGTAATCAGGTAGAGAGAAACAAATATGCTTCAATTTTTTTCATAGGCGTATGTATACTTTATTGTTAAAACCTGGCTGGGCGTGGTGGCTCACGCCTGTAATCACAGCACTTTCGGAGGCTGAGGCGGGTGGATCACTTGAGGTCAGGAGTTCAAGACCAGCCTGGCCAACATGGTGAAACCCCATCTCTACTAAAAATACAAAAAATTAGCTGGGCGTGGTGGTGTGTGCCTGTAGTCCCAGCTACTCAGGAGTCTGAGACCCAAGAATCACTTGAACCCTGGAGGTGGAGGTTGCAATGAGCTGAGATCATGCCACTGCACTCCAGCCTGGGCAACAGAGCGAGACTGCATCTCAAAAAAACAAACAAATTGTTAAAACCTGTCAATAGCTCAAAAGAAAAGTTTCCGTGACTCTGAAAAACAACACAAAGAATCAGCAGCATTTAAGCAAAAAAATAAAAAAGATTACTTCAGTCTCCTGTAAGTTCAGTTCATGCAGTTAATTCCTGTTCTGCTTGATATTCATGAACATTTCAGCTCTCCATGAGTCATGAAAGTTTTTCCTCTGTTTTGATGTCACAGTCTTTAAAGTTATCAGAAGCCTGTATTCAGGAGCACCTGTTAGAGTTTTATAGTTGATTATAAAACCACCTTTTAAAGAGAAACTGCAGGGCTGGGCATGGTGGATCACCTGAGGTGAGGAGTTTGAGACCAGCCTGGCCAACGTTGTGAAAGCCTGTCTCTACAAAAATACAAGAAATTAGTCTGGGTGGTGATGAGCACCTGTAATCCCAGTTACTCGAGAGGCTGAGGTAGGAGAATCACTTGAACCCAGGAGGCGGAGGCTGCAGTGAGCCAAGATTGTGTCATTGCATTCCAGCCTGGTCAACAAGAGCGAAACTCCGTCTCAAAAAGAAAAAAAAGAGAAACCATCATTGCAAAATTATAACTGAGACAGTGAAAAAGATCTGACCGAACTGACTCCATGTTGCTTCTAATCTCCAAGCTGTCCTTGTTCATTCCTGGGCATAGACAGAACTAACTTTGGGAGGAACTTAGTTTATAGTTGAGCTTTGAAACAAAGACGATAACAGCCTTTTCCCCAAACCCCCTTCCTGCCTGGGGACTAGGCTGCCTAAAGCCACATGATTAGAAGTTATGGTTATTTTACTAAATAATTCAAGACTTAGCTATTTTCACTAAACCAATGTCAGTCTCTTTCAATATTTACAGAAGCAAAGATCTTTTTTTTTTAAACAAAGTCTGGCTCTGTCACCCAGGCTAGAGTGCAGTGACATGATCTCAGCTCACTGCAACCTGCGCCTCCTAGGTTCCAGTAATTCTCCTGCCTCAGCTTTCTCAGTAACTGGGATTACAGGTGCCTGCCACCACGCCCAACTAATTTTTGTATTTTTAGTAGAGATGGGGTTTTACCATGTTGGTCAGGCTGGTCTTGAACTTCTGACCTCAAGTGATCTGCCTGCCTTGGCCTCCCAAAGTGCTGGGATTACAGGCATGCGCCACCGCGCCCGGTGGCTCACAAGCAAAGATCATCCTGTTTTGGGCTGGGTTTATAGTTTTGTAATCCCTATGCCAAATTTTGACACCTTATAATATTTGGCAGGGATACATATGAAATTTCTTGATCAAAAAATGCAAACAAAAATGTACCCTGGCTATTCTTAAGGCATTTCTAATAGTACTTTACCAACAATTTTAAAGGTAGCTTATCTATCAAAGATTTTACGTAAACTTGAGAAAACATTTGACTAGTCTTTCATTTTCTGATAAGGTATTTGATTTGTGCTTTTATTTTTCCTTAAGCCAATTAATTAGAGCTGTTTTATATTTTTTAGTAGTAAATCATTGTGTACACAACACATAAATACGTGGACATATTAGACATACTGATAGAAGTACATCTTAAAGGTAAGACAGACCTCCTTTTTTTTTCCCCCCTTCTGTCTAAGACTTGCAAACTCTTGATAACCTGTTTCATTATGCTTGGCAGTTGTCAGCTAAATAGCTCCTAAATCTGCGTATTGAAGGACACAACTCTTTGGTGAAAAATCAGATAGCAAAATTTACATCATAAAGTACAGAGAGGAAAAGTCTGGTGGTGCTAGAGGAAGATTAAAGGTGGATGCCAAATCAAACATACAATTATAGAAATCTATCATAGGATTGTATAAGGAGACCAATTTATTTAGATAGGTACTACCTATCTTAACTGGATCTCTGAGTTCTGAGTAGAGCCCACACTGAATTCTGGGTCTCCAAAAAGGAGGCTAGACCACATGATGCTTTTAAAAAAAATTTTTTTTTGGCTGGGCGCGGTGGCTCACACCTGTAATCCCAACACTTTGGGAGGCCGAGGTGGGCGGATCACGAGGTCAGGAGTTCAAGACCAGCCTGGCCAACATGGTGAAACCCCATCTCTACTAAAAATACAAAAATTAGCTGGACGTGGTGGTGCGTGCCTGTAATCCCAACTACTTGGGAGGCTTAGGCAGGAGAATCGCTTGAACCCAGGAGGCGGAGGTTGCAGTGAGCTGAGTCTGTGCCACTGCAGTGAGCTGAGTCTGTGCCACTGCACTCCAGCCTGGCAACAGAGCAAGACTCCGTCTCAAAAAAAAAAATTTTTTTTTTTGGCTGAGCACAGTGGCTCATGCCTGTAACCTCAGCACTTTGGGAGGCCGAGGCGGGTGGATCATGAGGTCAGCAGTTCCAGACCAGCCTGGCCAACATGGTGAAACCCCGTCTCTACTAAAAATACAAAAATTAGCAAGGCATGGTGGCAGGCGCCTGTAACCCCAGCTACTCCGGAGGCTGAGGCAGGAGAATCGCTTGAACCCAGGAGGTGGAGGTTGCAGTGAGCCGAGACCGTGCCATTGCACTCCAGCCTGGGCGACAGAGCAAGACTCCGTCTCAAAATAAAAGTTTTTTAAACAAAGACATTTCTAAGTGTCTAAACTACACTCTTCATTAAAAACCCAAGAGTAGCCTCTGTTGCAATAACTATTTTAGTCAGAAAATCAGGTAACACAATACAAAAGCAGTTTAATAGCTGAGAGGAACTTGTTTATACTCTTGGGGAGACCCATAAGGAAAAACAGGTTTCTCCCCCAAAGGGAGTCTGGTGCCTCCTTTTTTTTTTTTTTTTTTTTTTTTTTTGTTGAGGAACTCCAGGCTATTATAAACTATTTTAGGTTTCTCATGCAGCAGAGGGTGCAAGAGAAAGGAGAGAGAGCAGAAGTAAATGAAGAAAACAGAATTCTGTCAACTGAGAAGAAGAAAAATTTGTCTCAAAAAAAGACAGGGTCCTAGACAGAGAAAAAACAAACCCAAAACATAAAATCCTTTTAAAGACACACACACACACACACACACACACACACATATCGGATGTTAGCTTTTAATTAAGCTGACTTTTAACCATTGAGCTCCTTTAAAAAAATCTGTTTAAATCTCATTGCCGTATTTCTGCTTGGACAAATTGCTGCTGTTTCAGAAGTACCAAATATCAAACCTTTCAGAAAGGGCTTGATTTAGGAACCAAACCTAGGCTGTCATGAAAAAAAGAAGGCAGAACCTTATGTATGGAACTGCAGCCTGAGGTGATAGCTATTGCTCCTTCAGTTTGGCCTGGCTAGCAAAAACGTGGCATTGTTTTGTGAATAAAGCCCCTTAAGGAGTCAAATAAAAAATCTTTCCTTTTTTTCTTTTGCTGGCCGTTTTTCTCCCTCCACCATGCCACTTTTTTTTCTTGTTTTTTTTTTTTTTTTTTTTTTTTGTGGGAATTTAGCCACTTCAGAGGCCTCGTTCCCCATAATTTGGAACTTTCCTTCAAATTTGATCAAGTTGCATAGAGTTGGTCAAACCCAAGGGGAAAAAGACCGAAACAACAACAAAAAGAAACAGTAAAGCAAAACAAATGATCACACAACCTATACAAGTACTGAGAGCTCTAATGGTAAGGAGAAATTAAGACCAGCTGGTTGTTAATCATAACTGTAGCCAAGACAAACCCTAATTCAGTTACTTAGGGATGGGTTTCATGCTGAAGACTGCCCTCTACCATCCTAGAAGCAGGAAAAGACTCAAACCTGTCCTCCCTGTTGGAAGCAAGCTCAAAACTCCGTAAAGGAGTTACTTGCCTTCCATTGTCACGGAAGCAGGAAAACTTGCCTTCCTTGTGTCGGAAGCAAGTAAAACTCAGAAACAAAAAAGGAGTTGTACAGCAAAATAAACTTTAGATCACCTCCAAATTTTGGGAGATCGGGGATTCTCTGGAGGAGGTGCTTCCAGGCGTCAGCAAATTGTCTGATTGGTTTGAGGCACAAAGATAGCTCAAGCTGGTACCAGCCACCAATAGGAGATTTGTCAAAGGTCAGGGGCACCTCCACTCAGAATCCCTTGGTGGTTACCAAAATGTGAACCCTGAATAACTGAGACAGGTCTCAGTTAATTTAGAAGGTTTATTTTGCCAAGGTTGAGGACCCTGTGACACAGCCTCAGGAGGTCCTGATGATATGTGCCCAAGGTGGTCCAAGCACAGGTTGGTTTTATACATTTTAGGGAGACATGAGACATCAGTATATGTAAGATGTTCCTTGGTTCTGTTGGGAACGGCAGGACAACTTGAAGCAGGGAGGGGGCTTCGAGGTCCCAGGTAGGTGAGAGACAAACACTTGGATTCTTTTGAGTTTCTGATTAGCCTTTCCAAAGGAGGCAATCAGATACGCATTTATCTCAGTGAGCGGAGGGATGGCTTTGAACAGAATGAGAGGCAGGTTTGCCCTAAGCAGTTCCCAGCTTGACTTTTCCCTTTAGCTTAGTGATTTCTGGGGCCCCAAGATTTATTTTCCTTTCACAGGGGCCATGTTATGTAGAAGCCAGGCTGAGAAGGAATCTGATTCCTTATATTGGTTATATTTTTTTCTGAAATAAATGTTAGCTTTTATTTTCCCTCCAAGCTGCAAGAGCCATTGAACTCTGACTTCTGTGCTTCTCACATTTAAAGCCTCCTGATTTGAGTACTTAGTACCTGCCAGACATTAGCAGGTAGGAGTTACTATTCCCACCTGACAGTCAAGGAAAGGCTCAGAGAGGTTCTGTAACTGGGCTGGGGCCACAGAGCTAGTAGATGATAGAGCTAGGATTCAAACCCAGATCTGCCTAACTTCAGATCAAGGTTAGTGGTGCTGTTTCCACACCACCCTAAATGGCCTACTTAATAATGAAATTTATGATGCCAGCTGATGATAAGAATCACTGGGTGTTAAGATTCTTGGTTGCTAATGAACTTGAATTAGCTCAAACAATAAAGATGATTTTTTTTTTTGTATCAGCTAACCAAACCCCAGGAAGGATAGAAATACAGCTGGCCTGATGGATAATTGTATCCAGGGACTCAAATGCCATTAGCTCTTATACTTTGATTAAAATATACTTTAAAAAGATGCTGTTAGTGGCCGGGCATGGTGGCTCACCCTATAATCCCAGCACTTTGGGAGGCCAAGGCGGGCAGTTCGTGAGGTCAAGAGATTGAGACCAGCCTGGCCAACATGGTGAAACCCCGTCTCTACTAAAAATACAAAAATTAGCTAGGCGTGGTGGCAGGTGCCTGTAGTCCCAGCCACTCAGGAGGCTGAGGCAGGAGAATCGGTTGAACCGGGGAGGCGGAGGTTGCAGTGAGCTGAGATCGCGCCATTGCACTCCAGCCTGGCAACAGAGCAAGACTCCATCTCAAAAAAAAAAAAAAAAAAGATGCTGTTAGCTAGCCTGGCCAACATGGCGAAACCCCATCTCTACTAAAAAATACAAAAATTACCTGGATGTGGTGGTGGGTGCCTGTAGTCCCAGCTATTTGGGAAGCTGAGGCAGGGAGAATTGCTTGAATCTGGGAGGCAGAGTTGTAGTGAGCTGAGATCGTGCTACTGCACTCCAGCCTGGGCGACAGTGTGAGACTTCGTCTCAAAAAAAAAAAAAAATGCTGTTAGATCTCTCCCTCTCACTTGTTTCCCTTTCGATGTTGGCTTTCTTCTCTCGGGCCAGCTGTCTACCAGATGGAACCATGGTTTCCTGCTTTACAGTTTTGTTATCAGAAGAGTTTTTCTCACTTCAATTAGAAAGTTCTGAGTGAGGACTCCTGATTGGACTGTTAGGGGTCGTGTGCCCAGACCTATGAGATCACCGTGGCCAGGTGACAGGGAGCTGTAAGTGGCCCAGCCTGGGTCAGGGGGCTGCCCTGTAGCCAGGGACAAGGTTCTCATTGTGTCAGTCTCCACCTTAAGCTGCATTTGCCCCAAAGAAGTATGTGTGATGAGGAGACAAGGAATGCCTGACATCTGTCTTTAAATTGTCAAACACATTCTTCTAAGTCTTTCCATTACGGGTTATCCCAAGCTAGGAATAACTGGTGAGTAGTTTCTTGACCTTTTTTCCAGACCTTTTTTGGTGAATTATGTTAAGCTGTGACCCAGGCACAAATGGGGAGGCCATACTTTGGTGGAGCCTGGGTCACATAAATATGGTGACCTTACTAGAAATTCTTTCCTACTTACTCATTGTTTAATAATGAACAGAACTCTGGCCTATCTTCTTTTGTCATTGTTTAACACCCACCTCACTACCTCCCACCTCTCCTGCTAAACAAAATTAGCCTTCAGCAGGTCAAAACAGATTTTTAGCTAACTTCCGTTTCTTGAATAGCATATGATAAGAACTCAAGTTAGCCAGGTTTGTTCTCCTGCCTGTAGGTGGTTGATTGGGTTTGTGATACTGTGATACATTGCATATCTGCTCCTCTGAGGTAGCCCAAATAATCTGGTGGGGGAAATATGCTGTTTTAATGTTATTTTGTGACCTTTGGCAAGAGATTTTATCCTCCAGCCTCAACTTCCATATCTGTAAACTAGGACTATTCTGCCAAATATTACGAAGGGTCATGAAAAATGAGAGATCAGGCTGGGCGTAGTGGCTCACGATTGTAATCCCAGCACTTTGGGAGGCTGAGGCAGTAGGCTTGCTTGAGCCCAAGGGTTTGAGACCAGCCTGGGCAAAGCTGGGAGACCCTGTCTACCAAAAAAAGAAAAAGTTACTTGGGCATGGTGGCGTGTGCTGAAGTGGGAGGATCGCTTGAGCCTAGGAGGTCGAGGCTGCAGTGAGCCATGATCATATTACTGCACTCCAGCCAAAAAAAAGAGTGCTGTCAGGGAATCTGGGATTCATAAGCATTTCCCTTGACTGCTCTTCTTTCCTTTCTTTTATTATACCTCTCTTCTCTCTGTACCCCCTATACCTTTTGCTCTGGCTTTTGTTACATCCTGTATTAAAATTTTAGATAATTTATGTTATTTTTCTTTTTTGAGACAAAGTCTCGCTCTGTCACCCAGGCTGGAGTGCAGTGGTGCAATCTCAGCTCACTGCAACCTCTGCTTCCCGGGTTCAATGAGTTCTCATGCCTCAGCCTCCTGAGTAGCTGGGACTACCGGTGCACACCACCATGCCTGGATAATTTTTTTTGGTATTTTTAGTAGAGACAGAGTTTTGCCACATTGCCCAGGCTGATCTTGAACTCCTGGCCTCTAGCAATTCACCCGCCCTAGCCTCCTGATGTGCTGGGATTACAGGCCTGAGCCACCATGCCCGGCCTAAAAATTTAGATAATTTATTGGAATGTTGTGTGCCAATGAAAAGCAAATCCTAAGCTCCTGCAACATCATCTCATGTTTAATTGTCAGGGTTTGTGGGCCCTCTGGGTCAGGGGATGAGCAGTGAATTGGCAGAGAGGGGTGTAGGGAGGGTAGAGAAGGAGAGCATTTCAAAACTAATGAGGCTTGGAAGGGAAGGAAGAAAAGAAACTTAAAATGCAGTTTCTGGGCTTGGTTGTAAAAATCTTGAAAGTGAGGGAGATAAAAATAGTTGCTTGTTAGGACCTGGCAGGCATGCTCTGGAGGCTCCCTGTTTGAATTCAGTTGCTAATCAGGAGGTGGGAAACAACCTCTGGTTCCTGCTGTTAGCACCTTTCTTGCAGTTGGCCTTGTCAAGAAGGATAATGGGCTGGAGCTGAGAAAGAAGCATCGTGCTCACTCGCTAAACTGGAGTGGAGAACTATTCTCTCCTTACTGAATTTCAGGGATTTCAGCCTGCCCCAAGTCAAATCCTTGTTCCCAGAAATAAAGCTCATTACATCTGTAATGTGAATGATTCCTTCCCCGGCCACAGCTCAATAAGGGCTCTTGTGAAACTTTGGAGTACAACTTATTATGGGTTGCCTTTAGTCCTGTTGTCTGGGCCCTGATTTTTTAGATCCTGGAGAGAACGCTCCCTCAGGGGTCTGAGTTCTAACCCTTGGCCCTATCGTTAACTCCCTGTGCCACCCTAACAGGTGACGCCTTCCTATTCTAGGCCTCAGTGTTTCTCATCTGTGTGCAATGGTTTATAATGCTTACCTCACAGTGTTACTGTAAGGATTAAAGAAGATAGTATATTTGAACTGGGGAGGCGGAGGTTGCAGTGAGCTGAGATCATGCCACTGCACGCTAGCCTGGGTGACAGAGTAAGACTTGTCTCAAAAAAAAAAAAAAAAGTATATTTAAAAGGCCTGACATAGCAGGTGTTCCATAAATCAGAGCTGTTGTAGGATCTTCTTAGGTCTGCTAGGCTCGCCTGCACCTCTCATTCTCCCACCTAGTCTCTCAGCTGCATCCTGGCTTTTTTTTCCCAATGCTCTTGGGGAAGGAAATTTGGGTGGGGGAAAAGAGCTTACAGGTAATGGCTAATTGAAGAGTTGGGGATTTTCTCAGAATTTTAATTATCTCTGCTACTTAATTAGCTCCTTGAGGCCATGGATAGCTGGAGGTGGCTCTGTAGAGGGTGCGATTTGACTCATCCAGGTCAGCTCCCTTTCTCTCTGTTTCTTCATCTTTAGTGGGGAGAGTTATTAAGGCTTTGCCAAGGATACTAAGAAGAGGTTGTTTGAAGCCTAAAGTCGCCATTTTAAAAAATCTTCATTTGCCTTTTTTTAAAATCCTTTAACTGTTGCTTATCTACTTTTGGATTCAGCCTTTGTCACAGATGAGCAAGAATCCAGCTTCCCTGTGTCACTCTGCTTGCTTCTCAGCAGCCCCTTGCTCCTTCCTTCCACCTCTTCTCTTTCTTTTGGGCTCCCCACTTCACCCCTCCACTGCCTTTCTCTTCCCCCAAGCCCCACCGTCTTCCATCTTGCCTTAGGGAATTCAGCTGCTTTTAATATTAGCCTAAACCAAACAAAATGAAGGTATTAGGATATAGTGGAAACACATAGAAGGCCGAGATTCACCTTGGTTCATCTACCTGCCGGGGGCCTTGTCAGCTACTCAGGCTATCATCTGATGGGTGGCACCCATCCCACCTGGTTGGAAGAATTTAGAACGAGTCCACGGGGCCTTGACCACATCTTCATCTTTGCCCTTACACGTGCACATGTTCTTGTCATTTGTTGGATTCTGTCTCCCCTGATGGTGACAATCCCTGTGTCCTTTTTACTCTTAGCTCAGTGCAGATACTCTGTGTTTCTAGAATAAATAAATGACTCCCTAAATTGTTTTATCCAAACACCTTATTTTAGAGGGGTAGAAAATACTTAATAGTTAAACTTCAAAATGTGTGCTCTTGAGGGAAAAATCAGGAGGCTTTGAATAGTGTTATTCCTGGGACAGAAAATATCGGAGAAGAACATACTTTCTGAGTTTTTCATAAAACCTCCTTGTTCATTTTTGAGGAAGGAGGGGTTACCCATACTCATTGTCACAGAAGCTGAGCAGAATTGGGGTTATTAGATCTCAGCCTCCTGTGGGATTCCTAGGGAAGCTTATGAGCCTGGGAGCCTACTGGGTGGTTGATGCTTCCTCCAGAATGTAGCCTGGCCAGCCAGCTGCTGGGGACCCTCTCAGCATCACCTTTCAGTTATCAAAGGATCAGAAAGAGAACGCAAGGCCCAGAGGTGGCCTCAGGAAGTAGAGAAGGACTGGGCCTGTGATTTGAATGTTTGAGGGCTCTGCTAGGAGAATGTGAGAGGAAGCCCAGTTAATCCTCCCAGGACTCCAGGAGCAGGGCATTATCCCAAGTTGGGAAGGGGATTCAGAAGAACTAGGCATCTAGGAGTAGAGGTGACAGGGTGATTTGAAAGGAAGACTTTTTAGATGCAAGGACCAGCACAAGAGAAGGCGAGACTCTTACACAGGGGCAGTTAGAGAGGCAGGCCAGCCCCAACCAGGAAGAAGTGGATGTGGAGACGTGTTGTGGTGTGAAGTTGGAGAGGAAAGGAAGAAACAGTGGAGGGCATGGAAAGGCAGGCAGAGGGGCTGGGGACTGTGCTCTGAGGCAGAGGGCAGCCATGGCAGGCTCTGTGCAGGGGCTGTCCCGCTGGAGGAGTGCTGGTTTCTGTGTAGGCGGGGGGAGGGAGAAGATGCTGGAGACAGGAACAGTGTGTGAAGGGCCTGGCTATTGTGGGAAGCAAGTGTGGGGTGCTGAGGAAGATCAAGAAATGAATTCTCTCTGGACTTGTCTGCCATCATGTACCTCTTTTCTGTCCCCAGAGAAGAGCTAGACTTGGGTGTGGCAGGAGCAGGGGCAAGAGGGATGTCCTAGCCTGGCGGCTCCAGCAGCATGCTCTGGGGTTCAGTGATCTCATGTGCCCAGGTTTCCAGGTGGCTTCTTGTGAGGCCCTCCGGGATCTGGCTCCCAGGACCAATGTGGTCTAGCAGTGAAAAGCCCCTCAGAATTTCCCTTCTCCTCCTCTCCAACCCCTTCCATCTCTGCTGCCTCCTAGGCAGTGTTTTTCCCTGGAGCGGGTGGGAGAAGCTGGAGCTGACAGCCAGGGATGGTGGCAAGCTGTGTTATGTAAGTTTGAAAAAAGGAGGCTTGCTTGCCATGTGAATAGAGATCAGATACAAGGACAGCTAGAGGCAGCACAGCCATGCCTGAGCAGCAGCTGTAGTCTGAAGAGAGGTGTCTGAGCCAGCAGAGGAAGAAGCTGCTGGACTGGGTGGAGGAGACTGTTCTTGTGGGGAAGGAGAGGTGTCTGGTTCTGTGAACTGCCGATCTTGGAGGGCAGCCTGTGAAGCAATCATTGTCTATTCCTATAACATGGTGTGCTGCTTATATGCCATGCCTTATTACATCAATCCTGGTCTGTAACTTGTGATGGTATGAGAGCCGCCATTGTGACTGTTTCAATCATGGCAAACCATGGCCCAGAAAAGTCAAGTGACTTGCTCACGGCTGCATGTAGAGTAAGTGGCAGGGTCAGGATTTGACACAGGGCTTCTGTCTCACTAGCCAGTGCTGCTCTTTTACTCTAAAACAGGCTTAACAGATCATGCCTAAACAGCCCATGGGGAGAGTGTGGGCCGGGTGAGGGAGCCTGGTGCCGTGTGGCCTGGCATGGATGAGAGGCAATGGCACTGGGTGGGAGGAGTGGAAGAGGGCTTGTGTTGGAGCCCCTTGGTGTGCCGCCCCAGCAGGCGCTGTCACACCCCTTACCCTTCTCAGTCTCGTTCCATTTTCAGCATCATTTTCCAAATCCTGAACACCTGACCTCCAGGGGCCAGGTACCCAACACCGGTCCTCTGAGGGGCCATGGGCATGGTGGGATGAGGAGGTACACCTCCAACAAGCAACTGCTGGACTCATGCCTCGGCTGAAGTGTTTGTGGGCTCTGTCCTAACACTAGGCCCAGGGAAAGAACAGAGCTCGCCCCTCTCCTCCCGAAGTTCAGAATCTCCCCATGGTTCTCTGAGAGGCTGCATGGCTCGCTCCCTCTCTCTGTTCACATCGTTGCTCAAATGTCCTCTCCTCACAGGGCCGTTCCTTGCCACCCTGTCACAACAGTACCCCCTTACTCTCTCTGTCCTCACAGGGTTTTATTATATATATATATAAAAATCTGTGTATATATATTTAACATATATATATATACTATATATACCTGTATATATATAGTATATATATATGTTATATATACACACATATATGTTAAATATATATACACACATATATGTTAAATATATATACACAGATATGTGTGTGTATATATATATATACACACAGGTATATATATATACACACAGGTATATATATATACAGGTATATATATATATATACAGGTGTATATATAGAGGTATATATATATATATTTTTTTTTTGAGACAAGAGTGTCACTCTTTGCCCAGGCTGGAGTGCAGTGGCACGATCTCGGCTCATTGCAACTTCTACCTCCCGGGTTCAAGCAATTCTCCTGCCTCAGCCTCCCTAGTAGCTGGGATTACAGGTGATGTGCTACCATGCCCAGCCAATTTTTGTATTTTTAGTAAAGACAGGGTTTCACCATGCTGACCTCAAATGATCTGCCTACCTCAGCCTCCCAAAGTGCTGGGGTTACAGACGTGAGCCACTGCGCCTGGCTGGGTTTTATATTTTTCTTTGTGCCACTTAAGACCACCTAATGTTACATATTTGTTCATTGATTTGTCTGTCTCCTCACAATAAAATTTAAGCTTCATGACAGTGGGGGACTTGGTCAGTTTCTTGACTGCCCACACAGAGCCCACAGGTAAGGTAGCAGGTGTTCAGTGGACAGTAGGTGATGACCGTTAGAGCATGGCAGCAGGGTGGGTAGAAGAGGACAGGTGTAAGTGTCAGAGGGCCTGGGATCTGCTTTCAGCTTTACCCAGTTTTTGCTGTGTGACTTTGAACAAGTTGCTGGATCTCTTGGGCCTTAGCCTTCTTTTTTTTTTTTTGGAGACAGAGGAGTCTCACTCTGTCACCCAGGCTGGGGTGCAGTGGTGTGATCTTGGCTCACTGCAACCTCTGCTTCCCGGGTTCAAACGATTCTCCTGCCTCAGCCTTCTGAGTAGCTGGGGATTACAGGCGTGTGCCACCACACCTGGCTAATTTTTGTATCTTCACTACAGAGAAGGTTTCACCATGTTGGCCAGGCTGGTCTTGAACTCCTGACCTCTGGTGATCTGCCCACCTAGGCCTCCCAAAGTGCTGGGATTACAGGCGTGAGCCACCATATCCTGCTGGGCCTTAGACTTTTTGTTTTCATCATGAAGGGGAGGAACTAGGTGCCCTCTAAGGCTGCTTTTGGCACCTCTCTTCTGAAAGTCTATGTGTAGGAGACGAGGGTCGCAGAGGGGTTTGCAAAGATTTGTATCCTGTGTTCCTTTACTGAAGAGCCTGACTTGGGTCTGCACACTGTGGGGTAGGGGAGTGACATGATGAGGGCTGGGTCTTAGGAGGACTACACCAGTGATGCAGTGTGTGCATGCATGTATCCATGGTGCATTTAGAACCATTCATTCAACAAGGGCTTTTGGAGCACCTGCCCTCTGTCAGATACAGTTTGGGCTCAGGGCTTAGAGTGGTGAGGCAGACAGCCAACGTCCTGCCCTCCTGCAGCTGATTGGGGCAGAGAGAGGCTAGAGCTGGCCTGGAATGGTGATTACCCCCAGGCTGAAGATGAAGAGGGGCCAAGTGGAGTTGGGGCACTGGGATATTAGAGGGTCATGATTTTTTTTTATTATTTTTATTTTTATTTATTTTTTTGAGGCAGAGTTTCACTCTTGTTGCCCAGACTGGAGTGCAATGGCGTGGTCTCAGCTCACTGCAACCTCTGCCTCCCAGGTTCAAGTGATTCTCCTGCCTCAGCCTCCTGAGTAGCTGGGATTACAAGCATGCGCCACCACGCTAATTTTTTATTTTTATTTATTTATTTAATAAATATATTTTTTGAGATGGAGTCTGGCTCTGTCACCCAGGCTGGAGTGCAATGGCATGATGTCGGCTCACCACAACCTCCTCCTCCCAGGTTCAAGTGATTCCCCTGCCTCAGCCTCCCAAGTAGATGGGATTACAGGCGCCCACCACCACTCCTGGCTAATTTTTGTATTTTTAGTAGAGATGGGAGTTACGCCATGTTGGTCAGGCTGGTCTCAAACTCCTGACCTCAGGTGATCTTCCTGCCTTGGCCTCCCAAAGTGCTGGGATTATAGGTGTGAGGCATCGCCCGGCTTTTGTTTTTCAATTTGTCCTTGGAAAGATACTTAAATAGACCTGTTTGAATCTGTTTAAGAATAAATAGCCAGCCATGGTGACTCACGCCTATAGTCCCAGCTACTTGGGAGGCTGAAGCAGGTGTGTTGCTTCAGCCCAGGAGTTCAACTCAGCCTGGGCAATGTAGTGAGACTCTGTGTCTAAAAAAAAATAATAATAAATGCATTCATATAACAGTATCGAAGAGAAAAATAATGAAACGTTATTAGTGGCTCTGCTGGGTTGTATTATAGGAGGTTTGGGTTTTTTCTGTGATTTTCTAGATGTCCTATATGGTGTCTATATTATGACTATTAATATAGACACCATATAGGTTTGGGATGTCATGGTTTAGCATGTTTCCTAGATATGGTCTGCCCTCAAAGTGAGTGTCATTGTTTGCTGATGTCTGCTCCACAAAGCCCTGCTCCAGGGGCCTTCACCAAGTCCCAGCCTTGGTTTGCTCACCTATAAATGAGGATAATTGACCCTGGTCTATGCACATTACAGGACAGTTGTATGAATCAGAGGATACAGCGGAAGAAAAAATGTTTGGAAATTTAGGTCTCTGCAAACTAAGGGCCAATGTACTGGTATTTGTGACAGTGACCGGATGGGTGGGATGGGGTGATAATAAGAGTGCAAGGAAGGGGGATGGGGGCATCGTTTTGACTCTGAGGAGCAGCTTTAAGGCCTCTCACATTCCAGCTCCAGGTAGCAAGGGGTTCCCCTTGACTGGCAGGGTAGATGTACCTGTGTAGGCTGTTAGGTGAGTGACTCCAGTGGAATGGAATGGAATCATGACTCAGCTCCCACCCTGCCACACATATTTGTAAGAAAAAGACCCACATGCTCCATGCCTGGTGCAGAAGTCTAGAATGGGAATTCCCGCCAAACCCTGTCCCCTTCTAGCCTGTGTAGCCTCAGCAAGCAGATAGGTCTTATTACTTGTTTTTTTCTGCCTCCTTCATGATCCAGCCATAGATACTATATCTTACCAGTAGGGGTGGTTGAAGCAACAGACTTTGAAATCCTGACTGTTCATGATAACGGACTCCTTCCTGTGGATCATCTGGCCAAGTCTGCATTCTTAGAGAGTGGAAATCGACTGTCTTTCTGTTCTACTTCTACAGCAGCTGCTCATTTCATCTCCTGACAGTTGCTTCTTGAACTCAGAACAAAGGGCCTTGGTGTACAGTGTTTGCAAGCCAAGGGCTGCCTCTGATGGCGGACGGGGGTGTGGTCCTGGGACTCGTGGTCAGGGCTGGTCTGTGTGGAATGCTGATCCTTCTCTTCCCCAATCTACCTGTGTCAGTTCCCTCCTTTTCTATTTTCTCTTCCCTGCAGATGTCAAGCCCTCCAACATCCTAGTCAACTCCCGTGGGGAGATCAAGCTCTGTGACTTTGGGGTCAGCGGGCAGCTCATCGACTCCATGGCCAACTCCTTCGTGGGCACAAGGTCCTACATGTCGGTATGAACAGAAGTTTCCATTGCTTGAGCTTCTTGTACGGTCAGGGAGAGGAGCCCAGTGGGTGCCTTTCCTGTGGAGCCAGAGTCTTGTGCTGGGTAGGGGACAAGAAGTGAGGGAGGAGGCACAGTGCTCTGCCCTGAGGAGATGAAGTTGAATGGGAAGATGGTCTTGGTCTTTCTTAGGCCTTGGAGCATAACTGGGATATTGGGGCCTTGACTCACTGAAAGGACTGTCCAGCTCCAGAGTGTGGCTTTCTTTCTGAAGGATTGTGAGCTCCAGCTCCCCTCTGGGCATCTCTACATGATAGTCTTCAGATCCACAAACCCAGGATGCTCAGATATAATCCACCCCAAACTACCTCACCTTCTCCTTTTCTCTTAGCAGTAAATAGACAGCATCATCTCCCTGGTTTCCCAAGGTAGAAACCTGAGCATTGGCTCTTAACCTGCCTTCTCAGCAGCCCGTCCTTTCAGTATCTTGTAGCTCCCAACTCCTGAGAGTCTGTTCAGAATTGTCCAGCCTCTTTTCTCCCTCCTCACTATGTCTGTCAGACATGTACCCCTCCTTCTAACTGCAGCATACCTGGACCCCTCGCCAGAGTCTCTGCTCCACTTCAGCCAACACCCTGTGTTGAGGGTATTTCCTCCTGCTCCTGGCTCTGCTGGCTCACACTGTCACCAGAGCATTGTGTGGGGCCATCCTCACACTATGGCAGCACCAGCGTGTTTTCTTCCCTCCTCCATACCACCGGTTCCTTGGGGACAGGGACAAGGTGTCTCTCTTGTCCCTAGTGCCTGGCATGGGGCCTGGCATGTGGTAGGTGTTCAGGGAATGCTTGGCAAGTGGGTAGATGTTTAGTTGGCTGAGTGGGAGGGTACATGGATAAAACATTTCTGAGAATGATTTGGAAAGGTGGAAACGTGAGTCTGGGCCAGTGCTGAAGTGCGGCAAAGTGGAGGAGCGTTGGAGTGAGTAGGCAGTCTTTACAGAAGTGGCGGGGAGTGCAGGCCCGCGTGGAGAGGGGGACAGGCGCAGAGGCTCAGATCTTAACTTGTACAAAGCATTTTATGTGTTCTCTGTCAAAGCACATGTCATGTCCCTGGAAGGTCTCATTTGATCCATGTGGTTGTCCCAGGAAATAAAGATTATTGTTCCCATTTTAGAGGTGAGGAAGTCTAGATTCAGGGAGGTTAAGCAACCTGCCTACTTAACCTTGCTGAGCCAGGATTGAAAGCTAGCTGCCCCCTTGCCAGGCAGACGCCCTTTGCACAGCACACCCTCATTTGCCTCTTGGGGAGGATTTGGCACCTGTGCCCAGATCCCAGTGTGAACACATCCTCATTCCTTCTTGCTGGCACCTACCCCCCACTGTGACTCCAGCCACTGTCAACATCACTCACCTGGCACTGACCCACATCCCCACCCCTCCCCTCCAGTGACCCACAGTGGAACTCTCTTTCTCTGTCATCTCCTCATTGCTTCTTCCCTAAATGTCTAATAACTGAGCAGCTGGCATCCTGGGCCATTTGACTGCCAACTCTCAAGTTCAAAATCCATTAACAGGCCCTGGGAGTTACTAATCAAGGGTTTAATGGTTGGGGTTTTTGTGGTTATATGGTCAGTTACGAAATAGTCCAGTGTTGGAGTTAGTGAAAAATGCTACTGGAGAAGTTAATGTCTACGTGAATATACTATGGGCAGAATAAAGATTTTTTCGGTAGGGTTCTTGAAATACATGTGCTATTTCAAATAATGCTCATTAAAAATAATGCTTTTGTATAGCACTGTATACTTTTTTTCTCTTTGGCTTTTCCCACCAATATCAACCAATATTTGTATTGCATTTTACAACATTTGACATACATTTTCTTTTTTTTTTTTTTTTTGAGACGGAGTCTCACTGTGTCACCCAGGCTGGAGTGCAGTGGTGCAATCTCGGCTTACTGCAAGCCCTGCCTCCCAGGTTCACTCCATTCTCCTGCCTCATCCTCCCGAGTAGCTGGAACTACAGGCGTGTGCCACCACGCCCGGCTAATTTTTTTGTATTTTTAGTAGAGACGGGGTTTCACCGTGTTAGCCAGGATGGTCTCGATCTCCTGACCTTGTGATCCACCCACCTCGGCCTCCCAAAGTGCTGGGGTTACAGGCATGAGCCACCGCGCCTGGCTGTACATTTTCATTTGATTTGATCTTCTTAGTAATCCTAAGTAGAGTTTTCTTATATCATTGTTACTGTCATTTTCATCATCATCAGCCACCACCCCCCCCCACCTTTTTTTCTTCCGACATGGAGTTTTCGCTCTTCTTGCCCAGGCTGGAGTGCAGTGGTGCGATCTTGGCTCACTGCAACCTCTGCCTCCCGGGTTCAAGTGATTCTCCTGCCTCAGCCTCCCAAGTAGCTGGGATTACAGGCATGCACCACCATGTCCAGCTAATTTTTGTATTTTTAGTAGAGATGGGGTTTCACTATGTTGGCCAGGCTGGTCTCGAACTCCTGATCTCATGTGATCCGCCTGCCTCAGCCTCCCAAAGTGCTGGGATTACAGGTGTGAGCCACTGCGTCCCGGCCCAGCAGCAGCCCCATTTTATAGATGAGGCTGATATTCAGGATCTTTTAGCTTGTAAGTCCCGGAATTGGGATTTAAGTCTCAGGCCCACTGACCCCAGATCTTTTGTTCTATGTATCCACGGCACCACCTCACTCCCAACCCGCATTCCACAAGCTTCATGTTTCAGATTCAGTGACAAGATGAGCCTCTCATGCTGGGCTTCGGACAGGCTGCCCTGCGTGTGCAAGACTGTGGCCAAGCTGGGTAAAGCTGGAACCACAGGCTGTAGTGGCAGCCAGGGCACAGCTGATTACATGTGGTCTGTCAATTTAGGCCAGATTATAGGAGAAATAGAGCAGGGATGAGGGGTTAAAGCCACAGAAGCCAGCTAGGATTTGGTAAACACAGTGTTGGGGGTAGGCAGGAGGCCAAATTCAAGAGGTTAGTGGAGCTCTTGAAACAGGATATGAACTATTGAGAAGGGACAGAAGAGAAAATGCATTAGCAGACCCAGGGGTCCAAGTTAGGTTAGGTGATTATCACTGTCTGTCTCTCCTGCAGCCAGAAAGACTCCAGGGGACTCATTACTCTGTGCAGTCAGACATCTGGAGCATGGGACTGTCTCTGGTAGAGATGGCGGTTGGGAGGTATCCCATCCCTCCTCCAGATGCCAAGGAGCTGGAGCTGATGTTTGGGTGCCAGGTGGAAGGAGATGCGGCTGAGACCCCACCCAGGCCAAGGACCCCCGGGAGGCCCCTTAGCTGTGAGTAGCCTGGTGTGTCCCCATCTTGGACTGTTGGAGGGGAGGGTCCCTTACTTTCAGGGGTTTCTGGAGGGCTGATTCTCTGTACATTCTGCCAAGACTGATTCTCTGTCCCTGGATGCCAGGCTAGGGCCAGGGGAAGCAGCAAGGGTCTCCAGGTGGGTGTTGTTACTACCAACAACTTCCTACCATTTGTTGAGTACGTACTATGTTCTAGGTACTGCACTTAGGACTTTATACATTATCTAACCTTTTGTATTTATTATTTTTATTATTAAGGGTCTTGCTATGTCGCCCAGTGCAGTGGCTAGTCACAGTCTTCAACTCCTGGGCTCAAGCAGTCTTCCTCCCTCAGCCTCCAGAGTAGCTGGGACTACAGGTTATAATTTATTTGCGGGGGTTGGGAGGGAAGGGGCTCACTCTGTCACCCAGGCTGGAGTGCAATGGCATGATCACAGCTCACTGCAGCCTCAACCTCCCAGGCCCAAGTGATCTTCCTACCTCAGCGTCCTGAGTAGCTGGGACCACAGTCACATGCCACCATGCTCAGCTAGGTTGTTGTTTATTTTGTAGAGATATAGTCTCCTTATGTTGCTCAGGTTAGTCTTGAACTTTTGGGCTCAAGCAATCCTCCCGCCTCAGCCTCCCAAAATGCTGAGATTACAGGCATGATCCACCATGACTGGCTTCTAATTTGTGGGTTTTTTTTGTTTTGTTTTGTTTTTGATACTGGGTCTTGCTCTGTCACCCAGGGTGGAGTACAGTGGCGCCATCATGGCTTACTGCAGCCTTGACCTCTTGGGCTCAAGTGATCCTCCTGCCTCAGCCTCCTGAGTAGCTGAGACCACAGGCATGCGCCACCATGCCTGACTAATTTTTTTAATTTTTTTGTATAGATGAGGTCTCACTATGTTGACTAGGCTGGTCTGGAACTCCTGGGCTCAAGTGATCCTCCTGCCTTGGCCTCCCAAAGTGGTGGGATTATAGGCATGAGCCACTGCATTCTAATTTTTTAATCATGACTTTTGGTAGATTTATTTTTTATTGAGATATAGAATTCACATAAGACAAAATTCACATTTTAAAGCATGTAGTTCAGTGGTTTTTAGTGTATTGTTCCATGTTGTGCAGCCATCACCACTGTCTTATTCTGGAACATTTTCATTACCCCAGCAAGAAACCCCATCCCCCACTCCCCCCTGCCTGATCCACTGACAACCACTAATCTACTTTCTGTGTCCACGGATTTGCCTAGCATTATATAATTTTAATAGCATTTCATTTGTGATCACGACTATAATCTGAATTTTAAAGATGAGGAAACTGAGGCACAGTGCACTTGTCAAGGCCACATAGGCTTGCAAGTAGCCAAGTCTGACTCCCAAGATGATAAACACTGTGCAGTACCACCTGCCTCTCTGAATGTGAATACTGGGAAGTAAACCTGGTACTCAGGGAATAGCCTGACCTAGCCAACTGTTTTTTATGTAGCTCCTGTCTGGCCAGGGATACCTGCCCTGTACCTCCATGAGGTCCACATGAGAGAGAGCTTGTATAAAGGGGAAAGCAGAGGGGGCTAGAGGTAGCTGATGGCAGGTCATTGGAGGGGCTGGTGGCTGTGGCCTCTGAGGCTCGCCAGTGACTCTAGGAGACAAAAGGAAGAAACGCAACTTCATGGAGAATTAAAACTAAGTCCTTTAGTTATTTAGTTGCTATCTCATTTGTGCCTCTCTCAATAGAAGGAAGGGGGAAAGGACAGACATAATTATTATGTCTCTGCTTTACAAAACTCAGAACTTTGTTTGGCTCAGCAGTGAACTGATTTGCCAAAGGTTACGAACTTAAGATGTGGCAGAGCCCAGACTTGTACCCTGGCCTTTGCTGGTCCCCTCTGTGTTCAAGCCTTATCTGTGGCTGTTTAATGTTTATTGTCCATGACCCTGTTCTGGTCCCAGGGATCCATGCCCAACCCCTTGCCTCATATTAACAAGTAATCTGTTTCTGAGAAGTATTTTTTCTTTTTATAAAATTTGTAGCATACGGAATGGACAGCCGACCTCCCATGGCAATTTTTGAGTTGTTGGATTACATAGTCAACGAGGTAAGTACTGCCTGGTTTCCTTCACCTTGGAATTTACTTGCTCATCTTAAGAAAACACCCAGGTGGCCGGGTGCAGTGGTTCACGCCTGTAATCCCAGCAGTTTGGGAGGCTGAGGCGGGTGGATCACACGAGGTGAGGAGTTCGAGACCAGCCTGGCCAACAAGGCAAAACCCCATCTCTACTAAAAATACAAAAATTAGCTGGGCATGGTGGTGCACGTCTGTAGTCCCAGCTACTCGGGAGGCTGAGGCATGAGAATTGCTTGAACCTGGGAGGCGGAGGTTGACTCTGGGAAAAACAAAACAAAACAAAAAAACAAAAAAACACATCGCTGTCACAGGTTCAGTCTACTAGGGAGTTTAATTTAACCTCTCTTTACTGTATGCACAGCTTTATACTAAGCACCATGGGCTGTAGAAAAGCAGTTTCAGGATTAGTTCGTCGCTGCTTAAGGATTTGAGGGAGGCAGAGCATGTTGCATTTGTAGGAGTCAGAAAAAAAGCCATCCATCCTCTACTGCTGGGGACCTAGGCTAGGTGGTTCTGGGTGGTAGTCATATTAAGGGAAGGGATATCTGAGGTTAGATACGCCATTGCGTCTCCTAGTGTGCACTGCTTTCTTCCAAATTTTCACATTAATTTCCCATGCAATTCTCCCAAGCATTGCTGAGGTAGGCCAAATTGGTTCCTCTTCAAACAGGTGAGGAAATTGAGCCTCCGAGATGAAAAGTAGCCCAGGTCCTTCCCACCCAGTGCTCTTTCTTCCTTGCCACCTCCCACCTCCCATTCTTACCTCCTAGGAGGCTTGGCTGCATGGCAGTTGTTCTACTGCAGCCTCTGCTGGCACACAGCCCCTCTGCTGCCTAGCTCTTTCCTGTTCAGAAGGAATGGATGCTGCCTCTGGAGGCCAAGCTGCTGGTCTCCTCTCTTCCTTGAATGGTCCCTTGATTCCCTCAGCAGTGGGGACAGTCTGCAGAATGGGGCTTGCTCTGGGTCACTGTTCTAAGAGCTGAGTTCTAGTCCTCACCTAAGATCAGACTGACATGGCCCTCAAAGGAAGAGCACTAGGTTGGGCTTTGTGGTGGGGATCAGTGTCTCATTTTTAGTCCCAAATTAAAAACGAGATTTTGGGCTGTACATCAGAGCAGTGACATCATGGACATTATGTCTGTGGGTCAGCATGGGTACACACAGCTCCCAGCCCAGGTACATAAGTGGGCCCACATTTCCTGGACTGCATGGAACGCCATGAGCCCAGTGCTCCAGAGCCTTGTACTGTATAGTGCTGCATGATCACCATGGGAAAATCTGAAAACAGCCTCATTTCTGGAATGTACAGGTAACATTCTTCCAGATCCAGCCCTCTGTCAGTTAATGTTTTATTAACTTTTCACTGCTTCTCTAGGGCTCAGAAAAGGGATTTTTAAAAACCGGTTTGCTTCTGCAGGTGCTGTCAGACCTGGGCTATGCCTGGTGGTTTGCACGTGCCCCTAGCTGTTGCTGCCAGTAAATTGCTGGTTACGTTCCCATGCCGCACTCCAAGATTTACCATTGTAGAGTGTCAGAGCTTGAAAGGGTCCCTGAGATCATTAGGCCCAACCTCTTCATGTCATAGAAGAGTAAACTGAGGCTCATAGAGGAATAGTGATTAGTTCAAAATCACCCGACAAGTGAGTGGACTTGACTTGGTCCCAATTCTAAATGTGCTATTTGAGATCAGTGGTTCCAACATGGTTACCCAACAGGCAGCACTGGCCTTCTACCTGTGCCTTTCCTTGACTGGATGAGAGTAGTACTGCCTTTGGACTGCAGAGAAGACTTTAAAAAAAAGTAGCACTGGCTGGTGGGAGGGGTGGGATGGGGAGAGGAGATGGCTGGAGCAAGGAGCCAGGCATTTTTCTTATCTCAACATGTGTTTGCAGCCTCCTCCAAAACTGCCCAGTGGAGTGTTCAGTCTGGAATTTCAAGATTTTGTGAATAAATGGTAAGTTGGCTCCTTGTTCTCTGGAAGCGTATACTCTGGATTTGTCAGGCTCCCCACCCCATTTCTGGAAGCACCAGCATTGCTTCTGCAGGCAGAGTTTTGCCCTTTACCCTCCCGTCTGATGATTCTTGGCTGCTGCCATAAGCCCTTTTTTAGAGTGCCAAGACTTATGTGGCATGTCTAACTACATCATGGATGTAGTAGCTGCTCCTTTTGGTACTTGCTCTCCAGGGATTGGCACGTTGCTTTTTGACCTTAGTTTAACTCAGCAAGAATGTATTAACTTACTGTGGGCATGATACTGTGCTTAGAACAGGAGGATGAATCAAGCCCAGGCAATCCTCGGCCTCTAGTGTGCAGAGAAGACAGGCATGCAAACATGTTATTTGAGCTAGAACCAGTGCCAGGCAACAGCTCTTACCTTGTCTTTCTTCCTTTAAGCTTAATAAAAAACCCCGCAGAGAGAGCAGATTTGAAGCAACTCATGGTGAGTCTATTTATTCCGGATTCTTACAGTACCTGTTTATTCATTTGTTCTTCTCTGTCAGTCATCTGTGCAGTACTTCCAGAGCCCATTCATTCCCTGCCCACTGTGGTCCAGCTGAGCCTGGGGCTGCAGAATACCAAACACCAGTCTCCTTTGCTCTCCCATCAGTTTAAGGGAAAGCTGGGGTGACCCCCGCAGCCTGAGTAAGCATATGCCAGAGGAAATGCCTGAGGGGGCCATGGGAAAGAAAAGGCCAGCCCACCCCCTTCATGGGGATGCGGCCTTTCCCTAATACTGACTGCCTCATCTTACATTCAGCCTCCTTCCAGAGTCACTCTCCGCCTGCTGTCTCGTTTGGTGGCAGTGGAAATAGCTAAGTAATACTGTAAATATCTGGACAGCCATAGACGGTGTATATAGTATATAATATGCACTAAGTCCATCATTTTCTTTGTCCCTTCTAACAAGCCTGTGAGGCATTTAAGGCAGAGTTACTGTCTCCATACTGCACGAGTAGGCTCCAAGAGGTGACTTGCCCAAGGCCTCACAGCTGCTGTGACTGGTGGAGCAGGTCTTTGGGCCTGCAGCTGGCCCCACTGTTGCTCAGGGGCAGGTGCCAGGTGCTCTTTCCAAGTGCAGCACAAGCTCTAGACCTGAAACTCTTGGATTTTCCTTCCTGGTGGGTTTTGTTTTTTTGTTTCTTTTTAACACCACGTCCTCTCGTTTCCTTACATGCAGGTTCATGCTTTTATCAAGAGATCTGATGCTGAGGAAGTGGATTTTGCAGGTTGGCTCTGCTCCACCATCGGCCTTAACCAGCCCAGCACACCAACCCATGCTGCTGGCGTCTAAGTGTTTGGGAAGCAACAAAGAGCGAGTCCCCTGCCCGGTGGTTTGCCATGTCGCTTTTGGGCCTCCTTCCCATGCCTGTCTCTGTTCAGATGTGCATTTCACCTGTGACAAAGGATGAAGAACACAGCATGTGCCAAGATTCTACTCTTGTCATTTTTAATATTACTGTCTTTATTCTTATTACTATTATTGTTCCCCTAAGTGGATTGGCTTTGTGCTTGGGGCTATTTGTGTGTATGCTGATGATCAAAACCTGTGCCAGGCTGAATTACAGTGAAATTTTGGTGAATGTGGGTAGTCATTCTTACAATTGCACTGCTGTTCCTGCTCCATGACTGGCTGTCTGCCTGTATTTTCGGGATTCTTTGACATTTGGTGGTACTTTATTCTTGCTGGGCATACTTTCTCTCTAGGAGGGAGCCTTGTGAGATCCTTCACAGGCAGTGCATGTGAAGCATGCTTTGCTGCTATGAAAATGAGCATCAGAGAGTGTACATCATGTTATTTTATTATTATTATTTGCTTTTCATGTAGAACTCAGCAGTTGACATCCAAATCTAGCCAGAGCCCTTCACTGCCATGATAGCTGGGGCTTCACCAGTCTGTCTACTGTGGTGATCTGTAGACTTCTGGTTGTATTTCTATATTTATTTTCAGTATACTGTGTGGGATACTTAGTGGTATGTCTCTTTAAGTTTTGATTAATGTTTCTTAAATGGAATTATTTTGAATGTCACAAATTGATCAAGATATTAAAATGTCGGATTTATCTTTCCCCATATCCAAGTACCAATGCTGTTGTAAACAACGTGTATAGTGCCTAAAATTGTATGAAAATCCTTTTAACCATTTTAACCTAGATGTTTAACAAATCTAATCTCTTATTCTAATAAATATACTATGAAATAAAAAAAAAAGGATGAAAGCTACTTTTGCTTTTGTGGTAAGCTTTTCAGTTTCTTTAGTACACAAGAAATACTGGTTTAGCCAAGCAACACTGGTGAGGGGGAAAGGTGAAGATGAGGAGGAGGCTGGAAGGCAGAAACAGGACACCGAGTTCAGTGCTTTGGACTAATGGGGCTTCCTGTAATTTCAATCTCTGGACTCAGTCCAGCTCTTCTCACCCAACACCCTTATCTGTGACTCTTCCAACCACCTTCCTTGTGGGACCTGTGAATAGATCCTGTATATTCCTTTGATCTCTTTTATACAAGGGAAAAGCAGCTGATGGGGGACTGGGAGCAAATCTGAGAAAAATGACAAAACATTTCTTATCTCACAGAACATTTCTCATTTTCCATATACCAATAGTTGAGCTGAGGGCCTGCCTGCACTTTTAGGCTGTCATGCTCATAGGAGGGCCTTGCTGGTGGCCAGCTTGCCTACCTGGTGTGGGAGCTTTCTGCACAACATAGGACAGTCTGTCTCCTTTGCGACATTAAGCAATGGTTTCCCTTCTTTCACCACTTACACTTAACCACACCTTCCTGGAAAGGAGGAATGTGCCTGGCGCTGGCTTTGTCATGCCTGTGAGGTGGCAGTGATGTCACAAAGCCATTGGGAACTTCTTTTAGGTACATTTGAGGCTGCTGGTCAATACCTCTCCGCTCATTATTTTCTTTGAAAGGGCAGGTTACAGAAACTAAAGCCAACATATATATTTATAAATAAAAGGCCCATTCCTTTTTAGATTAAAAACAAAACTTGGGTAAATAATCTTCTAAGTAGGTAGTCCAATCTAGAGGTACCAGAGCTTGGGATATTGCCAGGATTTTAAAAAAATGATCAGTGTTGTATATACTGCTGCCTAAGCTAGTCAACTTTTTTTTCTCTCACTGTGAAGTATAGCTTTTCTAAGTCAACAGTTTAACTTATACATTTTCAACATATAAACATTTAGGCTGGGTTTTAACATTTACACTGTGTGTCTTTTACAAATGACAGGATACCACCACTACTGAGAATGTTTCATTAAAATGAGAATACTACATCCTTAGAAGAAATGTTATAACCTGGTATCTAAAACCTAGATCTGACCACTTTCATGCTCAGTGTCTTTTGAGGGGTGTTTAGATTTTTTTTTTTTAATTTTTAGCCAAGAATTATGATCCCCGCATGAATCTTGCAGTGTTTTGAGCTCCCAATGCCAGATTCTTACTGAGATACCAATGATAGTTGGATTTTTAAATGATCTCATTAGCACCTCATAGCAACCTGTGAAACTGCTAGAGCAGATGTGAGTATCTTCACCTTACAGATGGGAACGTGAGTTGCAAAGAGGTGAGAAGACAAGTGACCAGTTTGTGGTAGAGCTGGAATTCATAGTCAAGTTTTCCAGCTTTTAAAACTCATGCTCATATTTTAAATTAGACCCCCAAAATTTATGTACCTTGATGCTTTTTGTTCCCAAACTGTCTTCCCATTGTGTGTTCTAAGGAACATGCTCATTTAAACTTCTGGCTGTTTCCTCTAAAAGCAGCTCAAAATAACTTCAATGAAATGTGGATTAACAAAAAAAGTATTCTTTGTTTTCTTTGGGAACTGTTACATAAGTTCTGCTTGACATGATTCTTTGTGTTTTGTTTGGCTTTTACTGTTGCTTGGGCAGGGGAAATTAATTTTATAAAATTAAGCAACTACTTATTTCATGGTAGTCAGTGGAAAAGGGACAGTATGCAGAAATGAACCTCAACTTCAGATACTAAGTAAAAACTCTTATTCTGTAACTGTCATCTGTTAACAAAAATCCAGTCTTCCGGCCTGGTGTAGTGGCTCACGTGTGTAATCCCAGCACTTTGGGAGGTCGAGGCGGGAGGAAAACCTGAGGTTGGGAGTTCGAGAGCAGCCTGACCAACATGGAAAAATCCCATCTTTACTAAAAATACAAAATTAGCCGGGTGTGGTGGTGCATGCCTGTAATCCTAGCTACTCTGGAGGCTGAGGCAGAAGAATCACTTGAACCCGAGAAGGGGAGGTTGCAGTGAGCCAAAATCGCGCCATTGCACTCCAGCCTGGGCAATAAGAGTGAAACTCCGTCTCAAACAAAACAAAACAAAAAACAAAACAAAAAATCCAGTCTTCCAAGCATGGCACATCTCTCTTAAGGACCAGAAATGGATTTCAAACCATCCTGTTGTATCTTTTCCTCAGAGAAGGAACTGCTGCTTCTCTCTGTCGCTATCTAGAAACCAGCAGGCTCCATGATGGCTACTTATAAATTTATTTATAAAACATTTTACCAGTGAGTGATGTCTCAAGTGAGAGGTGGTAACAGATACACAAAGCAGTTTATAGCATGCAATATTTCAATGCCTCTGAGAGGTAGAAACAGCTTGTGCTCTCAGACGGCCCTCAGTCCTTCCCCTTGTCATCTTTCTGTCCTAGACTGTGTCCTAACTGCTCACAAGGGTTCAGCGGCATGCAAACAGTCTTTAATTGGTTTTCTTCAAAGAGGCATTGTTGACTGGAAAGACTGGCTTGTATTTAAACTCTGCTCTTTTTGCAAATGACAGACTTTCTCAACAGTATTTCAGAGGAAATTTTGTTCTGAACAGTTAACTGAATCTGACCAGATTACAGACAGCACCACCCATATTACTCAATGCTAAGACACAGCATCTTTGATTTTCTGTATGTCATAACATTCTGAAGCTTGAGTTACCGATGGAGCCATTTTTGCAACTACACATCCTCCTTATAGTTCTTGCTTTCCTTTCAAGCAGATCACAGGGCCCAGGGCAAGATGATTTCCTTGAGGAGAAGTAGCCTGAGCCTTAGAAATGCAATTTGTATAACTGACCAGCCTGGCTTTCCCCCTCCTTTAGGAATCTGATTCTTCTTCCTCTTCCTCCTCCTCCTCTTCCGTCACATGACTCTTTGTGCTCAGCTCCAGGGTTGTTTGGTTGATTGATGCTTCATTGTCTACATGCACCAACATCTGTATTGGCCAAGGGCATCACAGATTAGCAGGAAAGATGCTGGCCTCAAAACAGCAAATTCTTAAAAATGACTTAAAATCAGATCTCAATTGCATATCTATCCCCAGTACTTATGACTAAGAGGTATGGCCACTTTCCTTTTATACCCCCACCTCCATTACCAAAATGGGGCAACAGTAAATGCCCCAGATTCAGTAGAATGTTACCTCATTTACAAACATTATTACACAAAGCTCCATAAGATTTGTGCCAACTTACATGTGCTGCTGTATCATGGTTTTAAATGTCTTAACACACAAAATCTGGGAGAACTGCTCAAATATTGTGTACTTAGATTTTGCTGACTTACTTGAGGGCATTTGGTAAGAGATGAGTATGATGAGAACTGGAGCTCATCTTTTAGCACTGTGCCTTGTACTTGAAGCCACACTCTTGAATCTCAAGGTTACTTATTCACAAAAAATCAAGAGTTTTGACATCGTCCTACAAAAATCTCCACTCTCCCCCGGGTTCATCTGAGTAACTAGACAGAATGGATGACGAGGAGGATGGAGGTAAAACATTAGTAACTACTTAATTAATTAGTGTATAACTAGCTGGTAGGAAGGTGGTTAATGGAGAGTTGCCACCTTATTAAACCAGAAAACTGTTATCAGCACTTCTCAGAGCCCTTTGGGCTAGGTAATGTGATTTACAACAGTTCTTCACCACCCAAGCAGCATGGGAGCAGAGCAGACTTTGCATTCTCTCCTAGGCCTGCACTTGATTAAGCTTACATCATGTGACTGTTCAGGTACAGTGTGAGAAGACAGCATCTCATCCCCTCTTCTAGAACTGATCATTGATTGGAGGGCTAATTCTTCAACCTAGAAAAGAAGAGTTGAGGACACTTTTCCTTACTATTTCACTGGACTACTGATGTGGGTAAACTGCTGGGCACACTATGAAACATTTGCATCAAGAGAGGGAATGAAAACTATCTCTGTGTTGCTCTAGAGGGAAAGTTGAGGGGGTAGGCTCTTAGGTTTTCTCTCTTTTAAGGAGATGAGTAAAGAAAGACTCTAGCCCTTCTCCCCTGGGCTGAACAGGTGTTCTGGCTGAGTCATGGCTTCCACTTCTACAGACCTAGCAACTCAAAGTACAAGTGTGTCATTAAAACAGCCAGGTGTCATCTGATTCCTCAGAGAGAGAGATTCCCTGGACCTGAGGCTGTTACTCAGTAATGAGAACGTGAAGGAAAGAAGAATAGAAAACAGAGGTGTTTGCTGAAGCATAAGGAAATCTGGGCTTTGGAGGTGGTCATCAATACACTCATTAAGTACTTGTAAGGGTACCGTGGCAATATAGAAACACAAATAAGTGGAGGGCATTATGACTTCCCTAAGGAGGCCGGGCGCGGTGGCTCACGCCTGTAATCCCAGCACTTTGGGAGGCTGAGGCGGGCGGATCATGAGGTCAGGAGATCGAGAACATCCTGGCTAACACTGTGAAACCCCGTCTCTACTAAAAGTATAACTTCCCTAAGGAAAAATGCTTATGATTTTGATATGTCACAGGTGTACAATACTTTTCCTTTTACAAAGGGCTTTGGTAATCCTCACCTCATATGGACTTAAAGTTTCTGAAAAAGGGCCGAGCCCAGTGGCTCACGCCTGTAATCCCAGCACTTAGGGAGGAAGAGGCAGGTGGATCACCTGAGGTCAGGAGTTCGAGAACACCTTGGCCAACATGGTGAAACCCCGTCTCTACTAAATACAAAAAATTAGCCCGGCGTGGTGGCACATGCCTGTAATCCCAGCTACTTGGGAGGCTGAGACAGGAGAATCCCTTGAACCCGGGAGGCGGAGGTTGCAGTGAGCCAAGATTGCGCCACCGCACTCTAGGCTGAGCAACAAGAGCGAAACTCTGTCTCAAAAAAAAGATTCTGAAAAGAATGCTGAGCAGGGATTAGCATAATAACCTCCCTGGGACTTTTTTTTTTTTTTTTAAGGCAGGGTCTCCCCATATAGTTGCATGCTGGAGTGCAGTGGCACAATCTGGGCTCTCTACAGCTTTGACCACCTGGACTTTGGCCATCCTCCCACCTCAGTTTCCCAAGTAGCTGGACTACAGGCACGCACCACCACGCTCAGCTAATTTTAATTTTTTTTTGTAAGGCCGGCCGCAGTGGCTCACGCCTGTAATCTCAGCACTTTGGAAGGCCGAGGCGGGCTGATCGCTTGAGCTCAGGAGTTCGAAACCAGCCTGGGCAACATGGTGAAACCCCGTCTCTACTAAAAATACAAAAATTAGCCGGGCGTGGTGGTGCACACCTGTAATCCCAGCTACTTGGGAAGGTGAAGCACGAGAATCGCTTGAACCCAGAAGGCGGAGGTTGCAGTGAGCCGAGATCATGTCACTGCACTCCAGCCTGGGCGATACAGTGAGGCCCTGTCTCAATTTTTTGTAGAGACGAGGTCTCACTATATTGCCCGGGCTGAGGGGCTGCATTAAGCACAGGTTTGGGAAGTGGCCCACGTGGGCCTAAATCCCGACTCCTCCTCAAGGCCATGGCGTCAGTAACAAGAGCCACCGGAAGCTCCAGACGTTAGGACAAGTCTCTTCTCCCAGGGCCTCAGTTTCTTCCTTGGTAGCATGGGAGGATCTAGGAGTTCCTTCTGGCTTGGCAAAACTAGAGCATTTCAAGCGCCAAAACAAACTAGAAAACAGCAGCTCAGGAGGAAGGGGTCGGTGGCCAGAGGGGTCTAGGCGAGCCTTCGGGAGGGAGCACTTCCTCAGCGTGCTGTCTGAGGGCGATGAACATTTACAGGAAGCAGCAGGTAGGACTGCACTTGCCAAACACAGATCCCTGAGCCTCACCCTAGACTTGCGAGGTCACGATTCTGAAAGATAGGGCCTAAGAAGCGCACAGCAAACTCCCCAGGTGATTCAGATACCTGTTTGTTTGTAAACCTCTAAATTGGCGCCACCACAGCTAGTGAGTAGCGGAGAACTGGCCGCAGCAGGTGGTCACCACAGAGGCCCAGGTTGGGGGGAAATGGTCGCTCGGGAGGAATGGAGGAGGGGCAGGAGAGGGCCGCGGGGTCACCTTGAGGCGGTTCAGCTGGTCGTGCAGGGCTGCCTTCAACCGCAGCAGCGTCTCCTCCTCCTTGCGCAGTTCCTGAAGCCGGCTCAGCATGTTGCCTGGTCACATAGCCAACCTCCGGGCTGCTGTCGGCCCGGCACTCGGTGATGACGCCATCGCCGCCGACTCCCGGAAACCGAGCGGGGAGGCGGGGCTGCCCGACACATTGAGGAAAGGCGAGGAGTGCGCCCCCTTCCGGCGCCCGCCGTAGCCTGGCCACTCCGCGGGGGACGAGCTGCAGGAAGGGGTACAGCCTGTGTCAAAACACCTTGATTCATGAGTAATGATCAGGATTTTGAAATTAGATCCATGGAGCTGTAAAGAACCTGAAGAAATCTTGGGTTTGGCTATCCTTTAATCCGATAGGCCATTTGCGCACCAAGTGGTCAAACACCGTTTCAAATGACCGGGTGAACAGCACTTCCAATGTGGTGTGCCACCAAGTGGCTATCTTTAACCCCACAAAACTTGCACATGTGTTTGAAGGCAGGCACCAAATCAGTAGCACATGAACTCTACTGTGTTAAGAGGCCCTGCAGGGTAGGACTCACAGTGGACTTTAAAGGGGTAAGGCTGCACAAAATAGAGAAATAAAGAGCATGAAAATAAAGCCGTGCTAAGAAACGACGTGCTTAAGAACTGAGATTTGGCCCTGGAAATGGGGAGGGTTAACAGATCACCTTGGCTGTGAACTGAGACTGTCTTGACAGTTCGAGACTGTCAGAGAGAAGCTGACAGTTTAACAATCCAGATGCAAAACAAGACTTTTGACACAGGACAAGAGGTTAATTCTAGGGTAATATTTGCAGTTTAGCTTTATGGGTAAAAAAAAACACCCTTATATCTGGAGGCATTTCATGGGTACTTCTTTTGAACACAGTTGGTTAACATAATCACCAAGACACACAGGCAGTCCTGAAAAATGCTTCTGGTACTTTTCAGAGAGTCTTGCTCTGACGCCCAGGCTGGAGGGCAATGGTACAATCTTGGCTCATTGCAACCTCCACCTCCCAGGTTCAAGTGATTCTCTTGCCTCAGCCTCCAAGTAGCTGGGGTTACAGGCATGCACCATGACTGGCTATTTTTTATATTTTCAGTAGAGACGAGATTTCATCATGTTGACCAGGCTGGTCTTGAACTCATTGGCTCAAGTGCTCTGCCCACCTTAGGGTCCCAAAGTGTTGGGATTACAGATGTGGGCCAGTGTGGCCTTCTGGCACTTTTTCAAACCATGGGTGAAAATACTCAACTCTATTGTTATAGCTGGTTAAAAAGAACACTTCTCAAGAGGTAATCAATTTTACTGCAGTACCAAAAAAATTGTGCTCTCCAGTTGTGCCCTCTTGTGGTTAAAGTTAAATCTTTACAGAATTTAACCTATTTTCCATCTGGTGGGGAGCTAAACTTGAACAGCCTCTGCGTTTCTGACCAAGTCCTGTTACACCTATTTTTCAAGCCACATTATTTAGAAAACCACAACTTTTTTTAAATCATTCCCCTTCCACTGAACTCCATGGACTTAGTATAAATCCATGCCCCATTTTATACCACACTATATAAAATGTAACAGTCTAAATTATGGCCAACAAAATGTCACTTTAAAAAAATTCTAACCAAGCTTTACAGAGCACACCAAGTCATGTTTCTCACTGCCTGTATAATCAGGTCTTTATTCAAAAGAAGCTGTCCAAAATGATTTGACCTTTATGGAATAATCAAATTTAAGAGTTTATGCAGCAGGCTTCTTCTCCTCTGTAGTAGGTTTCTTCTCTGCAGGCTTCTTTTCAGGGGCTGGTTTCTTGGTAGCTGCTGCCTTTTTTCCCACCAGAGGCTTCTTCTGCTTCTTAACACCAACAGCAGCCTTCTTTCCTTTCTTACCTACCACAGGCTTCTTGCCTGCAACCGCCGCCTTCTCATCTGATTTGGCTTGTAGTGCCGCTGCTGCAGCAGCTGCCTTATCCACCCGGAGCTTGTGCTGCAACAAATTAGGCAGAAAACAGTAAGAATCAAATCCCTGTAAGAACTTAATGTATCAGGAAGAGAAAAACAAAAACAAAACAAACCAGCCGGGCACGGTGGCTCACGCCTGTAATCCCAGCACTTTGGGAGGCCGAGGCAGGTGAATCACCTGAGGTCAGGAGTTTGAGACCAGCCTAACAATATAGTGACACCCCGTCTCTACTGAAAATACAAAAATTAGCCGGACATGGTGGCGTGCGCCTGTAGTGCCAGCTACTTGGGAGGCTGAGACAGAAGAACTGCTTGAACTTGGTAGGTGGAGGTTGCAGTGAGCTGAGATCACGCCATTGCACTCCAGCCTGGGTGACAGAGCGAGATTCCGACTCAAAAACAAACAAACAAACAAAAACTCCACTCACATTCCTGGCCTGGCGAAGAATGGTGTTCCGGCGCATGGTCTTTGCATATGGGTTTAGCTTCAACATGATTCTCAAGTTTTTCAGTGGGTTCTTCTTTAGGACTCTGCGATGGATCTTCTTGCTATAAAAAAGCAGATACTGTATCAACATTTTACTTAACATTATACACATACAAATTTTTGAAACAACCAATAGTATAGGGTTGGGGCGAGAATTACACTCTAAGTATCACTTTACCGTGGTGCTCGAAGGGCTCTTTGGATCTCTGGGCTTTTCAAGATTCTGCTAAGATCTGTATTAATCATCTTGTGCATGGGAAGACTGAAAGGGAAAAGATTGACATGTACATGTAAAAGTAATCAACCAAAGAACAGGAAGCTCAACTGAAGCTTTATTTTTAGCCACTATGCTCTCCAAAATATCTACTACACTATCACTTCTCATAAACATGGACCAGGCCGGGTGTGGTGGCTCACCCCTATAATCCCAGCACTTGGGGAGGCCGAGGCGGGTGGATCACCTAAGGTCAGGAGTTCCAGACCAGCCTGGCCAACATGGTAAAACCCCAACTCTACAATTAGCCGGGTGTGGTGGCACAAGCCTGTAGTCCCAGGTACTTGGGAGGCTGAGACAGGAGAACTGCTTGAACCCGGGAGGCGGAGGCTGCAGTAAGCCACGATCACACCACTACACTCCAGCGTGGGTGAGACAGAACAACTCTGTCTCAAAAACAAAACAAAAAACCAAAAATATAGACCAGGTGAGTCTCATTTTGGCATACTGTTGCTGCACATAAGGGGAAATGGGAATAAATTTAGAAAACATGTAAGCCAATTCTGAATGTTAATATCCACAATATAAACATCTGTGCTTAGTATATGAAAGATACTTACTTGTAGTTACTCTTGAGGGAAGCGGCTTTACGCCAAGTGCCGTACAATTCATCTAACTTCCGGAAAGCACTTTCAGTCCAAATGCAGAAACGTCCCACATGCCCACCAGGAGCAAGCTTCAAAATGTTCAGCTTGCTTACATTAAGCAGAGTAATTCCTTTTAAAGGGAAAGAAAAATTAGGGAGCCTGTATTCCAACAAAAGAAACACAAATCATCTTTATGGCTTAAGAGCTATAAAAGGTACCTGAGAACTTATTAATTATGAAGTTTCAACCATCAATGGTGCAACTCTTTCAGCCATAAATCAGAACTTCCACAAAATCATTTGTTTCAGAAACACGGACCTTAAGTGGAATCTCATCATAACAAAAGCTGAGTAGACTTGCAGAGTATACCTAGTCAATATATGTAAGCAGTTTAATTACCAGGGATGTTTCTGAAGGCCTTGATGATACCATTATCCTCATTATAGATGATGCACGGGCCCCTGCGCTGGATACGGCGACGGTTTCTCATTTTGCCTTTGCCAGCTCTCATTCGCTGAGAGGCATAGACCTACAAAGTGAGCAGTTTTAGTATTCTGATTAAGATAGAATCTCTGCAATAGATCTTCAGAGTTTTAATTCCTTTTTACAGATGATTAAACTGGGCACAATAACTTGCCAAGGTTACACAGAGCCATAAACAGCAGTTAGGATTCAAACCCAAGTAATCGGGCTCTGAGGTTCTTGTTCTCTCACACATTAAGGATTAGCTATACTGCCCTTATCTTCTGAAATTCAAAGTGACAAACTGTGAACAAGGAGTACCAAACTGTAAATGTGCTCATTGAACGGACCTTTTTGATATCATTCCAGGCTTTAAGTTTCTTAAGGAGCAAAACAGCTTCCTTGGTCTTCTTGTAGCCTTCAACTTTATCTTCAACTACCAAAGGAAGTTCAGGAACTTCCTCAATACGATGACCTAACAAAAACCAATGACACTTACTTGGTTATCCTGAAACTTTTGGAGAAAAAAAAAAAATCAAACATTTTATACAACCAATAAAAGCAAAATGGTATTCCGTTTGCCAAGTCAGAATTTCCACAAATATCATGTGTTTCAGAAACACGGACCAATTAAGTGGAATCTCATCATTTTGACAGTTAAATAAAAATGCGATGGGTACGCAACAGGCAAGTTTAAGTTGGAAGTTTTCTAAGGATATACTAAACTACTACTTGAATAGTTCCCCAGTTACGCTAGTATTCCCTGATTGATTTGTCAGATTTAAGTAGTCAGACCTAGTATTTAGTAAAGGATTAAAATTTAATCAGACACTTCAGAATGAAAAGAATGTGCAATTTTAACAAAGGTTCACGTGAAAGAAAAAGTGGGGCATTTTGTATCACTGATACGAAATATTTTTGATTAAAAAATTTTTAAACCGGTATGTAACATGTATTTCTGGAGTACATTTGATAACTGAATGCACTCATTTGTCAAGATCAAATCAGTGTAACTGGAATATCCATGAACTAAAATATTTTATGCTAAAAACATTCAAATTATTCTCTTCTAGCCATCTTGAAATGGGTTACTGTGAATAAAAATCACCCTAATGATCAAATAGTAGGTGTCTTATTTCTTCTATCAAACTCTCTTATATAAAGTATTACAAACCTTTAGACATGACCAGTGCTGGTAGGGCTGAGGCAGCCAGGGCAGAACAGATGGCGTATCGTTTTTGGGTTGTGTTCACTCTACGATGCCAACGGCGCCAGGTTTTGGTTGGTGCAAACATTCGGCCTCCACGACACATCTATTTTTCCAGTCAAGAATCACATTTCTCAAATTTTAGTAATTACAACAAGGTTATTTCTTGCTCAGTAAGAATTTTCGTCAACCTTCTGTACCAGCTTACTGACAGCAGGCAACTGTCGCTGAGAACAGAGTAAGACGCAAATTACGACATCATTGCAAGCAAAATAACCCCATATAAATGAAGCCCCTTCTCTTCAAGACAAAAAAAAGTAATATTTTTACACCGTATTATCATCAATAAACCAGACCCAGGCCGCTAAATTCCATCAGAGATGACCAGTCTTAGGTAGTGAAACAAAGGATACGTTTCCAAAAGCACCCTGGCCAGAGCGGTGAGTCCCACCACCTCGAACTCTGGGAATTCGAGCCACAGCTCTGCCAGTACCCCAAGACTCAGCACTAGTCTGATGACCTAAAATTGAGAAGAGATAAAAGTTGTAGCTGCTTCATCATACATACCAACCCATGACTATTATGCATGGTAGCAAACAGCATCAGAACATCCGAGAAAATCATGTGGTTCAGAAACACGGACCAATGAAGTGGAATTTCATCACTACTGTAAAGCAGTCCCTAAAATATCTGCAGAAGATATAAATCCATACCTGCTAATTCACTGACAGCATAGGGCTGTCTGTTGTTTTTGCGCAAGTTGGTGTGAACAAAGTTCACAATATCTGGTCGAATAGGAGCCTTGAATACAGCAGGCAAAGTGACATTTTTGCCAGATGACTCCCCCTTTTCGGAGTACACCGATATCAGTGGGCGAGCACACGCCTAAAGAAAAAGACAAGGATTATTTTTATTGACAAGTAATGTTTGAAGCAAACTCTTCTCATACGCCAACAATACCATTAAATACTCAATTGCAGAAGAGACTGGTATGGTGAGGCAAACAACCCTTAAACCAAAATAGCAGTAAATGACTAGAACCCTTAGAATCTCAACCTCTACTGCACAATTTTATTTTCAAAAAGAATTGTTTATCATAAAACTTTCAAAGCAAGCCTTATAAAGCACAATAGCTAAATCAAAACCATATTGTAAGGTTTGGAGATGCTGTTTAATGCCAATTAATCAGCAAATCCTGTCTACCCGGGCTCTACTCATCCCAACTTCCATCCCTGTCCCACTCACCCTCACCCTCTACTAAACACGTGTTTCCAAAGCTCACCAGTGGAAAGACTGGTGATATTACTTTTTGTTTAAACCTCCAAGTCTTCCCAACTGTGAGTAAACTGAAAATCCTGAGGCTGACCTACACCATCTTCTCTACTTCTGATCTCAACTCCCATACACTCTTCCAGATATTTTTCGGTCTCAGGACCACCCAGCACTTGCCTCAGACTTTCCAAGTGTTCACTCTAAAGCTCCTCTTTGCCAGCTTTCTCACATCCTTCAGGCCACTTTAAGCTTTCTCTGATCACTGTTTAAAGCCAAACCACTCCTATTCCCTATGTTTTCATCTCTTACTACCATAGAATATTACTACGTATTTAGTCCAACGCAACTACCATCCCAGTCAGGACAGTGTCTGTTTTGTTCGCTTAACTCCCCCGGCACACAACACTACATAGTATATACGAACACTATTTGTGGAAAAGCAGTACACATATAACACTGGTCTTATTACGAGTTGGCTAAGGATTCAAAGATTTTGATAACACCGAACAATTTTTAGGCGAAGAGAACCAGAAAGCTTTTAATAGAAATGATTCCCAAGCTAGGCAGAGACAAGCATCCAGAAAAAGGCTAAATAAGCAAATATTCTAACAGAAGGTCCCACTGCTCCTGAGAACGACCCAGTGCTTTCCACTACTGCTTCCCGGCGCGTCCTGTGCTGGGAACCCCACGTTGCCTCTAAGATGGCTGCCGTATCGCCGCACATCCCAGTTCCACACCAGAAAAAGACGCCTTTGGTCCTCATCTCCCTCTCCTCGCTCTATCTCCTACAGATTCTATGCTCCGAACCCCAAATCCTTCCTTACTGGCCCCGAGATACGGGGTAAGGCCAGCCAAGAGAACTTCCACTCACCATGGCGGAGAGAGGAGACAGCCACGCTCCTCTCAGCCCGGCTGCTGCCACAGGAAAAGGAAGTGCTTACCACTCCCGCTGTATATGTCACCTTCCCCTTGACCGCCCCACCTTGCCCCGCCTAAGAACCAACACGGATACAAAAAATATCTCTCTACCACACTACAAAAGTAAAAACGAGAGTGTTATTTCTTTATTTGTGGGAAATTACGGTATCTATTTTCTTCCAAACGTAATAATAATTCTTAGAAAATAGGGACTCCTTTTTGCGGAATAATCCATAGGGGGCGAGGCCAACTCTCGCGAGTCGAGGTATCTTCTCCCCAACCACTGCTCTTATTTTAATTATTGCAGACGGAAGTTGAAGACTATTGACATAGTAAATAGCTCTGGGTGGCTTGAAACGAAAGTTTAACTTTGCGGACAAACAGGACTTATTGTAGGGGGTGGTCAAAATAGTCCCGGCGGGGCGGGGCCATGACCCCTGACGTCGCCGGTCCGGCGCGCAGTTCAGTTTGGCGGTTCCGGTACCGCTCTCACATTGGGGCGGGATGTGGGAGCGGCTGAACTGCGCAGCAGAGGACTTTTATTCTCGTCTCCTTCAGTGAGTCTAGTCTCTTCTTTTGGCTGGGGTCCTGGGACAGCACTTCTTTCCCTGGGTGTCTGGATCCCCGCCCTAAGCCTCTTGCCACTCTGGGGATCAGCGCTTTGCCAGCTTTCCTGGGGTCCAGGAGTTGGGGAGAGGCCGGTTCTCGGCTCCGGTGTGGGGTTGACCGTGTGGGAGCTTGCTTGTCTCAGGAGAAAACGTGTACGTCATCAAACGAGATGGAAGGTGGCAAGTGTTCCAAGAGGCGATTTATTCTTTCTGCTGATGGACACACTTGCCATAAGTAGAGGCACCACCCGGGATACGGAAAACTAGGTGTTGGCATCCTTCCCCTGTTTAAAGCCTTGTTGACTCCTAAGAATGAAATGTGGTGTTAGTCTGTTAATCTCTATTATTCGAGGTAGTTGCCACATCAGCTACAATTGTAATGATAGCAGATTGGTGTGTTGCATTTTGAAAACACCTTTATTTTTTCACTGTGCTCCAAGACTTCATTTTATTCTTATGGTGAAGTACTACTACCAAGGGGATTCCATCAAGTTCTGCATCCTATGTAAAAATCTAATCCATAGTTCTCAAATTTAGCATGCATCAGAATCACCGGGGGATTGTCAAAACACAGATTGCTGGGCCCCACTTCCAGGGTTTCTGATTTAGTAGGTCTGAGATGGGGCCAATTAATTTGCCCTCCTGATAAATGCTAGGTGTAACGGATACGGCTGGTTGGGCATCACACTTTGAGAACCGCTGTGTAATCTAGCCCATGATTTCCTAAATGTTATAATTTTTCATTGTTTATCTTCATTGCTTTTTTTCCTGCTTACAAAAGTAGTGACGCTTGTAAACGTTTTGAATAGAAAGAGCACTAGCTTTTAAAAAAAACTGGCATGTCTTGGACATCTTTCATTGTGACTCCTTATAGATCTATCTCATTGTTTTTAGCTGCTATATAGTATTTCACTCTATGGCTGTTTCATCTTTATTTAAGATAAGGCCGGGCGCGATGGTTCACGCCTGTAATCCCAGCACTTTGGGAGGCCGAGGCGGGCGGATCACTTGAGGTCAGGAGTTCTAGACCAGCCTGGCCAACATGGCAAGACCCCGTCTCTACTAAAAATACAAAAATTAGCCGGGCATGGTGGCGGGCACCTGTAATCCCAGCTACTTGGGAGAATTGCTTGAACTCGGGAGGCAGAGGTTGCAGTGAGCCGAGATCGTGCCAGTGCACTCCAGCCTGGGCAACAGAGCAAGGCTCTGTCTCTAAAATAAATAAATAAATAAAAATAAAAATCTCCTATTAACTAGGCATGGTGGTGCATACCTGTAATCCTAGCTACTCTGGAGGCTGAGGCAATAGGACTGCTTGAGCCCAGGAGTTGGAGGCCAGCCTGGGCAGCGTAGTGAGAACCCGTCTCTAAAAATAAATAAATAAATAAGTCCTCTATTGATACAACTTTATTTAGACCCTTTTTTTTTTTTTTGAGATGGAGTCTCGCTGTGTTGCCAGGCTGGAGTGCAGTGGTGCGATTTTGGCTCACTGCAACCTCTGCCTCCCGGGCTCAAGCGATTCTCCTGCCTCAGCCTCCCGAGTAGCTGGGACTACAGGCGCATGCCACCACGCCTAGCTGATTTTTGTATTTTTATTTTTAGTAGAGAAGAGGTTTCACCATGTTGGCCAGGATGGTCTCAATCTCTTGACCTCGTGATCCACCCACTTTGGCCTCCTAAAGTGCTGGGATTACAGGCGTGAGCCATCGTGCCCGGCCCATTTAAACCCTTTATACTTCACATAGAAAGTATAACACTGTTTTTTCCCCCACTACTGGGAATTTTCACACGGGACCTCAGATCAATACCTGCAAAGCTGAATTAATCTTTTCCTCCAACTGGACATTCTACTTCTGAATTCTGTCTCTGAAGCGTTCTAATTCCAAAACCCCCACCCCTGCCTTATCTAGTCGATCCTCTTATTCTTCCTCCATCCATGCTCTTTTCATTCAGGCCATTATCAGTTCTCTGAAGTGCTACAAGTTATTCACAGCTATTTTCCTGGACTCCAAGTTATTACCCTCCACATTACTGTCAGATCTTTCCCATTTAAAGTCATTTAGTGAGTTCCTCTTGGCTTTCAGGTTAAAGTTTAAGCCCTATAGCTAAATTTCTACTATAGCTTCCTATACTTGCCTCTCTCTGAGCACTTACCACCATGGAACTGTGGTTTACTTGTTGGAATCCAGTCAGGACTGTGAACCAGGGACTATGCTTTTGTTTGATATTCTCAGCATCTAGCAGGAGTGACTGGCCTCTATTAAACATGCTGGAGACATTATTGCAAGACTGATTAAGTGCATGGTGAAACCCCATCTCTACTAAAAATACAAAAAGAAAATTAACCCGGCGTGGTGGCAGGCTCCTGTAGTCCTAGCTACTCTGGAGGCTGAGGCAGGAGAATGGCGTGAACCCGGGAGGCAGAGCTTGCAGTGAGCGGAGATCACGCCACTGTACTCCAACTCCAGCCTGGGCCACAGAGCGAGACTGCATCTCAAAAAAAAAAAAAAAAAGACTGATTAAATAACATCCCTGAGTTATACGTAAGACATAAACATCTGTAAGAATAAATCACGATCTTTCACAATATGGCAAAAGTGAATCAGTCATAGGCCTAGCTCTTCTGTTTCTATTTCAGGAAGTCATATAGTATTAGATCAAATATAGATATAAATGGTTTCTTGAAACAGTTCTGTTGGGTTCCTTCAATGACTAAAGATTTCTTTTCAGTGTAGATCAGGCTGGTGTGTATTTTGGTATGTTAATGGATTACAGTTTAAGTGCTTTAGATTCACTATTTTAAAACTTTCTTGAATTAAAGGATAATAATTAAATGATATCCTGGAGTTTCATGCTTACATTTTGAAAAGGAAATGGTCAACATAATCAAATTTACTGACTTTGAGTAACAAGTTATAAAAATGGAGGACAGATGCTTCCATTTTAGCCATAGAAATCTAAGGCCTAGGACCCTTAAGTAACTTCTCTGTGGTTACCCACTGATTCAGTAACAGATCAGAATCCAATCATTTTTACTTTGAAAGGTCATGTGGCAAGTTACATTTTAATTTTAACTGGTGATGTGTTTGAAAAGACACACAGTAGAAGCAGGCAACCCAATTTCCTGCTGCCTCTGAGAATCAGTTGTACCCAATTGAGGGCAACAGTCTATTAATCTCTGTCACAGTTTTCTTTTTTGGTTCTCTTTTCTTCTTAACCTAATGCTTCTTTTCTGCTTTTTTTCTCTCTCTGCAACTACATCTTAGGGCTGCTGTAAGTACTTGCTTTTTGCCTTTCCTATAGGTGTCCTGCAGAGATAAAGTGATGACTGACTCCTGAGTGTGAATAACGGGAGAGATAATGTAGTTCTGTTTTTCACATGTGGTTCTGCGTTTCAGGAAATTTAATGAAGAAAAGAAAGGAATCCGTAAAGACCCATTTCTCTATGAGGTATGAACAATTTGGTTTTTAAACACAACTCTAATCCTAAAATTGTCTGTTTTTATTTTTATTTTGAGACGGAGTCATGCTCTGTTACCCAGGCTGGAGTGCAGTGGCGCGATCTCGGCTCACTGCAAGCTCCGGCTCCCGGGTTCACGCCATTCTCCTGCCTCAGCCTCCCGAGTAGCTGGAACTACAGGTGCCTGCCACCACGCCTGACTAATTTATTTGTATTTTTAGTAGAGACAGGGTTTCACCATGTTAGCCAGGATGGTCTCGATCTCCTGACCTCATGATCCGCCCGCCTCGGCCTCCCAAAGTGCTGGGATTACAGGCTTGAACCACCGCGCCCGGCCGAACTTCTGATAAATTATTTAGTCACCACCTATAATCAAGATATAGAATATTTCTATCCTCTCCAAAAATGTTCTTATGTCCCTTTACAGTGAGCCCTTTGCCCTCCCTTAGTTCCTGGCAAACATTAATCTATTTTTTGTCTCTGTAGTTTTACCTTTTCCAGAATATCCTATAAATAAAATCATACAGCCTTTTGGTTCTGGCTTCTTTCAATTAGTATAATGCATTTAAGATTCATCTATGTTGTTGTGAGTATCAACAATTCATTCTATTTCTGAGTAGTATTCCATTGTATGGATGTACCATAGTTTGGTTATCCATTCACCAGTTGAAGGACATTGGGTTTTTTCCAGTTTTTGATGATTATGAGAGCTGCTATAAACATTCATATATTTATTTAGTGTCTAATATGTGCTGACTTGTTTCATAAGTAAACTCTCCATACTTGGGGAGATAAAACCTATGTCCATGAAATAATTAGCAAACTAAAATAAAGTATACATTAACAGACAAGCTGGGGGTGGGGGGAATACTCATGAATGAGAAGCTGTAATATCTATAATTATGTGTGTGTGTGGCTACATATATATATATATATATATATATATATATATATATATATATATATATCTCTTAAAAATCAATGAGGAAGATGGCTGGGCACGATGGCTCATGCCTGTAATCGCAGCACTTTGGGAGGCTGAGGTGGATGGATCACCTGAGGTCAGGAGTTCGATACCAGCCTGGCCAACATGGTGAAACCCCAGCTCTACTAAAAAATACAAAAATTAGCTGGGCATGGTGGCGTGTGCCTGTAGTCCCAGCTACTCAGGAGGCTGAGGCAGGAGAATCACTTGAACCTGGGAGGCAGAGGTTGCAGTGAGCCAAAATTAAGCCATTGTACTCCAGCCTGGGCGACAGAGTGAAACTCCGTCTCTAATAAAATAAAATAATAAAATAAAATAAATAAAATAAAATAAAATATAAAATAAAATAAAATGCCAGGTGCAGTAGCTTGTGCCTATAGTCCCAGCTACTAGAGAGGCTGAGGCAGGAGAATCACTTGAACCTGGGAGGCAGAGGTTGCAGTGAGCAGAGATCGCACCACTGCACTCCAGCCTGGGCGACAGAGCGAGACTATCTCAAAAAAAAAAAAAAATATCAATGAGAAAGACAAAAAAGTATAAAAGAAGAATAGGCAAAGGACACGAGTAAGTAATCAAGAAAGAAACATGCAAATAGAGTTACCTTTCACTGTCTGAATTCTCACTAGCCAAACTCAAGAATCAGATATATCTGGGTAAACTCATTTATCCCTTCCTGCCTGAATTCTTGCTGCTTGATATCTGTATTAGTTTCCTAGAGCTGCTATAGCAAAATACTGCAAATTAGGCAGCTTCAAACACAAAAATTTATTCTCTCCCAGTTCTGGAGACTAAAATTCTGAAATTAAGGTGTCAGCAAGTGCATGCTCTTCCTGAATTCTCTAAGAAAGAATCTTTCCTTGCCTCTTTCTACCTTCTGATGGTTTCCAGCAATCTTTGGTATTGCTTGGCTTGTAAACACATCACTCAAATCTCTGCTTCTGTAGACACGTGGTATTCCCCCTGCGTGTCTATGCCTCTCTCTTTCCTTTTAAGTATACCAGTCATTGGATTTAGGGCTTGCCCTAATCCAAATTAATCCTCATCTTGATTACATTTGCCAAGATTTTATTTCCAAGTAAAGTCACATTTATAGGAACTGGAGGTTAGACCTTCAAGATACCATTTTTGGGGATACACTTCAACCCACAACAGTACCTGAAACTCCTCAAGAACCTAGTAGATTAGAATAACACAGTATCCTTGGCTCTCTGTGCTTGGTTTCTTCATGCTTTAATATCCAAACTAAGAAACCAAATGGATTCAAATAATAAGAATATTTATGATTAATAAGCATATTAGAAACTGCTGTTTACCTTGGCCGAGTGTGGTGGCTCACACCTGTAATCCTAGCACATTGGGAGGCTGGGGTGGGAGGATTGCTTGATCTGAGGAGTTTGAAACCAGCCTGAGCAATATGGTGAGACCTTGTCTCTACAAAAAGCAAAAAAAAATTAGCTGGGTGTGGTGTCACGCACCTATAGTCCCAGCTACTACTACTGGGAGGCCTCAGCTGGAGGATTGCTTGAGTCTGGGAGGTTAAGGCTACAGTGAGCCAAGATTGTGCCACTGCACTCCAGTCTGGGTGACAGAGCGAGAGCCTGTCTTCCAAAAAAAAAAAAAAAAGATAAAAAGAAACTGTTCACCATCATTATTGATCAAACAAATGACAAAACAGTAAGATCTTATGTTTCACTGTGAGATGGTAAAAATAAACAATGAAAATGCTTTTTTTCTTTCTTTTTTTTATTTGAGATGGAGTCACTCTGTCATCCAGGCTGGAGTGCAGTGGCGCGATCCTGGTTCACTGTACCTCTGCCTCCCAGGTTCAAGTGATTCTTCTGCTTCAGCCTCCCAAGTAGCTGGGATTATAGGCACCCACCACCACGCCCTGTTAATTTTGTATTTTTAGTGGAGACGGGGTTTCACCATCTTAGCCAGGCTGGTCTCAAACTCCTGACCTCAGGTGATCCGTCTGCCTCGGCCTCCCAAAGTGCTGGGATTACATTCGTGAGCCACTGCACCCAGCCGTGAAAATGCTTAATATGTTGATATAAGTGATGGAAGTATAAATGTGTAGGTGCAACATTTTGAAAGGCAGTCTAATAGTATCAGTGTGATTTTAGGTATTAATCTTAAGAAAATAATTCAAAAGTGTTCATTTGAATTGATGTCATCAATTGTTTATAATAGCAAAAAACTGGAAACTACTAAAATATCATATAATATGGAATTAGTTATGTGACAAAAGAGCTGTGGTACTAGACTGCCAAAGAACATTGAATGACACAGACATTCATGATATAAAACTATTAGAATCCTGTTTTTATTAGGCAAAATCCTATTAGATATCTAAATAGATACATTTCTATTTTTATTATCATTTTTTAAAGAGATGGGGTCTTACTCTGTTGCCCAGGCTGAAGTTCAGTAGTATGATCAAAGTTCACTGCGGCCTCAAACTCCTGGGCTCAAGTGATCCTCACACCTCAGCCTCCCAAGTAACTGGGACTACCAGTGCACCACCATACCTGGCTATTTTTTTTTTTTTTAAGAGACATGGTCTTGCTGTGTTGTAACTAGTCTCAAATTCCTGGCCTCAAACCATCCTCCCATCTCAGCCTCCCGATTAGCCGGGATTACAGGTGCCAATGTGTCCAGCATATATTTATATTTAAACAGAGTTATATGCTTGGAAAAGGAACGTGTACCAACCAGGCTAATAACGGTAATGATTATCCTGTGCAGAATCTCACTCTGTTGCCCAGGCTGGAGTGCAGTGGCATGATATCGGCTCACTGCAACCTCCATCTTCTGGATTCAGGCAATTCTCCTGGCTTAGCCTCCCGAGTAGCTGGAATTATAGGCACCCAGCACCATGCCCAGCTAATTTTTGCATTTTTATTTGTGTATTTATTTTTTACTTTTTAAGATGGAGTCTTGCTCTGTTGCCCTGGCTGGAGTGCAGTGGCACAATCTTGGCCCACTGCAAGCTCCACCTCCCAGGTTCAAGCAATTTCTGCCCCAGCCTCCTGAGTAGCTGGGATTACAGGCCCCCGCCACCATGCCTGCCTGATATTTTGTAGTCTTAGTAGAGATGTGGTTTCACCAGTTTGAGCAGACTGGTCTTGAACTCCTAACCTCAAGCAGTCCACCCGCCTCAGCCTCCCAATGTGCTGGGATTACAGGCATGAGCCACTGTGCCCAGCCTAATTTTTGTATTTTTAGTAGAGATAGAGTTTCCCCATGTTGGCCAGGCTGGTTTCAAGCTCCTGACCTCAAGTGATGTATCCGCCTCGGCCTCCCAAAGTGCTGGGATTACAGGCGTGAGCTACTGTACCCAGCCTGTTTTCAAACTTTTAAATAAACTTCCAGTTGGAATGAGAATGTATGAAGTTTTGGCCAGGACAGTGGCTCATGCCTGTATTCCCAGCACTTTGGGAGACAGAGGTGGGAGGACTGCTTGAGGCCAGAATTTTGAGACCAGCCTGGGCAATATAGCGAGACCCCATCTGTATGAAAAATAAAATAATTAGCCAGGTGCGGTGGCACACACCTGAAGTTCCAGCTACTGGGGAGGCTGAGATGGGAGGATTGCTTGAGCCCAGGAGTTTGAGGCTGTAATGCACTATGCATATGCCTATGAATAGCCATTGCACTCCAGCCTGGGCAACATAGTGAGACTCTGTCTCTTTTTTTTTTTTTGAAACAGAGTCTCACTCTGTCCCCCAGGCTGGAGTGCAGTGGCACGATCTCGGCTCACTGCAAGCCCCGCCTCCCGGGTTCACACCATTCTCCTGCCTCAGCCTCCTGAGCAGCTGGGACTACAGGCGCCCGCCACCACGCCTGGCTAATTTTTTGTATTTTTAGTAGAGATGGAGTTTCACCGTGTTAGCCAGGATGGTCTCAATCTCCTGACCTCGTGATCCACCTGCCTGGGCCTCCCGAAGTGCTGGGATTACAGGCGTGAGCCACCGTGCCCGGCCGAGACTCTGTCTCTTAAGGAAATTTTCCATTGACTTGCATAGAACTGGTCTTTATGTGTTTAGATAGTAGAAATATATAAGTGTATGTATAATGTTGCTCGATACCTGTTTTAACAGGCTGATGTCCAAGTGCAGTTGATCAGCAAAGGCCAACCAAACCCTTTGAAAAATATTCTAAATGAAAATGACATAGTATTCATAGTGGAAAAAGTGGTAAGTACTGGTTTGACTTTGTGGTTGTTTAATTCTCCATAACCAAATTTGGTTTCTTGGGAATAATCTAACGTACACGTTTTAAAATCAGCATCGGTGAAAATGAGTTCTCATTCTTTTAGGAGTAAGTGTAGTGCTGTCCAGTACAAATAAATATGAACCACATATGCAATTTAACATTTTCTTGTAGCCTCATTAAGAAATAATCGATAAAATTCACTTATTTCTTTTTTTTTTTTTGAGATGGAGTCTCGCTCCGTCACTCAGGCTGGAGTGCAGTGGCACGATCTCAGCTCACTGCAACCTTCACCTCCCAAGTTCAAGCGATTCCCCTGCCTCAGCCTCCCGAGTAGCTGGGATTACAGGCGCCTGCCACCACGCCTGGCTAATTTTTTGTGTGTATTTTTAGTAGAGAAAGGGTTTCACCATATTAGCCAGGATGGTCTCAATCTTCTGACATCGTGATCCACTCACCTCGGCCTCCCAAAGTGCTGGGATTACAGGGGTGAGCCACCACGCCCTGCTGACTTACTTCTTTTGTTGTTCAGTTCCATGAATTTTAACACGTATGTAGATTCTTGCAGTCACCACCACAATCAGGATATATAACAGTTTTATCTCACTGAAAAACTCCCTTGTTGTTATTATTGGCAAGGCTGAGCTATTTAACTATTTTGTAAACACATGGATAATAGTACCCACTAACACCAATCAGAGGTTATTGCCCTAGAGAAAAAGACTGTGGGCCTAAGGTTATAGTCCAGAAAGAAGGTCTTCCTGTTTTGAGAGTGAAAAATCCAAGAACGTCTGGGTTTCCTTGGTATTTTACCTTTACCTAATCATTTTGTGCAAGTTGGAGCACTTCCTTTTCTGCTTTTAAGGTAGTCTTGCTCTTTTGCCCAGGCTGGAGTGTGGTGGTACTGTCATGGCTCACTGCAGCCTCCACCTCCCAAGCTCAAGCAATCCTTCCACCTCAGCCTCCTGATTAACTGGGACCACAGGTGCATGCCACCACCCTGGCTGATTTTTTTTTTCTTTTCTTTTTTTGGTAGTCACAGGTCTCCCTGTGTTGCCTTGGTTTGTCTCGACCTCTTGGGCTTAAGTGATTCTCCTCCTCAGTCTCCCAGAATGCTGGGATTACAGGCATGCGACACCATGTCCTGCCGAGCACTTCCTTTTCTAAAAGCATCAGTTGCTTCCTTTGCTATTAGCAACTAAGGTCAATATCTTTTTATAGGACAGTTGAAATGCTCCTGATGGCAAGATTTTTTGGTACCAAGCTAGTTTGTGGCTATTCTTGCCAAAACCCAATCATTTGTGCTTAAGGGTATAAAAATAAGTACATTATGTTCTACTTGTCATTATTCTGTAGCATAGTAAAGAGTCAGCTGCTATCCTATATGCTCTTTTGTCTGGTTAAATAATTAAGAACATTTTTAAAGCCTTTAGAAAAGGAAGAAACAAGTCATATTGAAGAACTTCAATCTGAAGAAACTGCCATATCTGATTTCTCTACTGGCGAAAATGTTGGACCACTTGCTTTACCAGTTGGGAAGGCAAGGTAGGTTTTCTCTTATGCTGAGTAGGGGTGGCAACTAGGATTTAAATTGAAACATTCTTATAAACGTTGGGAAAAATAGGCCTCTAGCCCTTATATCTTCCTTCATCTCCCCCACCCCCTGATAAGTATACCCAACTAAGGATAGTTCTACTTGAATATTTGATAGGTATCCCAAATGTGACCAAGAATACTGCACTTATCTTCCCTTTCTCTACACCTCTATACCAATTTATTGTTGTTTCTCAATTGTTTTCCTTATGTGTAATCTGGTTCCCCTCCAGTCTTTCTTCCTCAAATGAAAGCCTGACCAAGCTTCTTTCCTGCTTAAAATCCTTTAGAGGTTCTTCATTGGCTTCATGATAAAACCCAAATTCCTTAAGAATGACACACAGGAACTTTCATTGTCTAGCCCCACTGGTCCTCCACCAGGGGTGGTACCATACCCAGAGGGAATTGGAAATATAGGGGAGTATTTTGGTTTGTCACAGTGACTGAGAGGAGCTACTGGCATTTAGTGCACCTGCGCCGTGGATGGTAAACATCCTGCAATGCATGGGACTCTCCTGCACAATGAGCAGTTATCTCACCCCAGGTGCCAGTAGTGCCCCTGTTAGAAACTTGAGAGCCTCTGGCTACCTCTCCAGCTTCACTTCCTGCCTCCCCACTGTGTAGCTATGTACAGTTCCCTCTGTCCAGCCTCCTCCTGCCTCCAAAACCAAAAAGTCCTTGTCTTCAGGGTGTCCTGGCGAATATAGTCATGCAAATACTAACAGAATGGTATGAGAATGATAACTACTGTAATAACGTTCACAAAATTATATCTTCATGCTGGTTTTTACTTGCTCTATAGAAGTTTTTTTTTTCTTTTTTTTTTCTTTGATATGGCATTTTGCTCTTGTTGCCCAAGCTGGAGTGCAATGGTGCGATCTCAGTTCACTGCATCCTCTGCCTCCTGGGTTCAAGTGATTCTCCTGCCTCAGCCTCCCGAGTAGCTGGGATTACAGACACACACCACCATGTCCGGCTAACTTTTTGTATTTTTAGTAGAAACGGGGTTTCACCATGTTAGCCAGGCTGGTCTTGAACTCTCACCTCAGGTGATCCACCTGCCTTAGCCTCCCAATGTGCTGGGATTACAGGCATGAGCCACTGCGCCCAGCCTAGAAGTTTTAAAAGTTTAATCAGCCTCTTCCTTCATAGGTACTTGATTTTAGTCATATTTGGCCTGTTTTCTCCCTACGACTTAAATGTTAAATATTTGTATTATTTTCTCCAGCCAGTGTTTGTGTGGGTTGATTCATGCGCTTATTTCTTTGCTCTCCATTTCTTCTTGCATTTTCCTTCTGGGGTTATTTTACCTCTTTTTGGAAGTAAAATCCCCTAGAAATTTTTTTCCTGGACATCTGTTGGTAATCAATTTAGTTTTCATGTCTTTGAAAAATAAAAACATAAGCCACATTTTTTGGTGACTTTCAATTTTGATACACTTTCAAATTTATGGGAAAGTTACAAGAATAGTGCATGAACTTCTGTATATCCTTAATCCAGATTCACCAATTGCTTAGATTTTACAGCATTTGCTTCTTTTTCTTCTCCTTCTTCCCCTTTTCCTTTTTCTCTCTCTTGTGTCTCTTTCTAGATAGATATATGCAAAGCAGTGTATTGCTATGTATGTATTCATATATAGTTATATATGTATATTGTTACAACTATATATCATAACAATATGTTTATAACTATTGTTATACCTATAGATTTTGTGTTTGTGTGTGCGTGTGTGTGTGTGTATATATATATATATATATATATATAGTAATGTACACACATACACCATTTTAAAAATGAAGTATTGACAATGTAGTGAAGATCTGGCACTCTTTTACCCCTAAATGCTCCACTGTGTATTCTCTATGAACATATACATTCTCTTACATAACCATGGAACAATGATGAGAATCTGGAAATCTAACATTATTACAATACCATTACCTAATCAGAGCCCATATTCAAATTTTGTTAACTGTCTCACTAATGACAGCATCATTTTGTGTTTATTGGGTCCTACTTCTTTCTTTTCTTTCCTTTTTTTTTTTTTTTTTTTTTTTTTTGAGACAGAGTCACTCTGTCGCCCAGGCTGGAGTGCAATGGCGTGATCTCGGCTCACAGCAACCTTTGCCTCCTGGGTTCAAGCGATTCTCCTGCCTCAGCCTCCTGAGTAGCTGGGATTACAAGCACAAGTCACCACACCCGGCTAATTTTTGTATTTTTAGTAGAGACGGGGTTTCACCATGTTGGTCAGGCTGGTCTCGAACTCCTGACCTCGTGATCTGCCCACCTCGGCCTCCCAAAGTGCTGGGATTACAAGCTTGAGCCACCGCGCCCGGCCTGGCTCCTACTTATTTCTTTAGATTAATCTCACATCCTACCTCTTCAACTTCTACTGAACTTCCACTCCTGCTGAACCCCCAATCCTTGCCATATTGAAGCTCCCTGCTCATAGTAGCTCCAATCCTGTCATACTCTGTCACTTTCTGGTGCGTGCATTTTGATCTGCCTGGTGAATCTATTAATGGATAAAGTATACATATACATACATGTTGCTATTTAAGTTTTAGGTTGTTGTTTCTGTGAGACCTCTCGTGTCTTTTTTTTTTTTTTTTTTGAGACAGAGTCTCACCCTGTTGCCCAAGCTAGAGTGCAGTGGTGCGATCTGGGCTCACTGCAAGCTCTGCCTCCCGGGTTCACACCATTCTCATCCTCCCAGTAACTGGGACTACAGGAGCCCGCCACTACACCAGGCTAATTTTTTGTATTTTTAGTAGAGATGGGGTTTCACCGTGTTAGCCAGGATGGAAGACCCCTCATATCTTTTTAAAAGAAAATTCTGGCTGGACGTGGTGGCTCATGCCTATAATCCCAACACTTTGGAAGGCTAAGGCAGAAGAATTGCTTGAGGCAAGTAGTTTGAGACCAGCCTGAGCAACACTGCAAGACTCTGTCTCTACAAAACATAAAAATAAGCCTGATGCAGTGGCTTGTATCTGTAGTCCCAGCTATTTGGGAGGCTGAGACAGGAGGATCACTTGAGCCAAGGAGGCCAAGGCTGTAGTGAGCTATGATCGCACCACTGCATTCCAGCCTGGGCAACAGAGTGAGACCCTGTCTCTCAGAAATTAAAGAAATTCTTGAATTGGAAATCTCTATCTATAATTTGTCCTTACTCTTGTTTTAAAGGCAGTTAATTGGACTTTACACCATGGCTCACAATCCTAATATGACCCATTTGAAGATTAATCTGCCAGTTACTGCCCTTCCTCCCCTTTGGGTAAGATGTGACAGTTCAGATCCTGAAGGTACTTGTTGGCTAGGAGCTGAGCTTATCACAACAAACAACAGCATTACAGGAATTGTCTTATATGTGGTCAGTTGTAAAGGTGAGTGCTCTCTCTAGAGAGTGTGTGTGTGTATTTATTCATTTGTATAGTTATTGTTTCATGTTTTTTTACGAAAATTGATATTGTTATGATGAAAGTGCACAAGGTAGAACTTGCATTAATCACCATAAATCTACTCTGGTGTGTAACTTGCAGCATGTGGGAGGTATTCCAGAAACACCAGAAACAGATCTCCAAAAGTCTGGACAGGAGGTTTACACTTCTTTGATTTGGGTTTCATTTTATTTCTATGTGTATATTATTGAAAAATTTCATTGGAAGATACAAACTGACAATATGTTTCCAATCGTAGACATTTAATTGTATTTTTGGTAGTAGTATTGACCTTCATTCCACTTTATTTTTTATTTGTGTTTATTTACTTATTTATTTTGAGACGGAGTCTTGCTCTGTCGCCCAGGTGGGAGTGCAGTGGCGCGATCTCGGCTCACTGCAACCTCCGCCTCCTGGGTTCAAGCAGTTCTCTGCCTCAGCTTCCGGAGTAGCTGGGATTACAGGCACCTGCCACCACGCCCGGCTAATTTTTTTGTATTTTTAATAGAGACGGGGTTACACCATATTGGTCAGGCTGGTCTTTAGTAGAGACGGGGGTTCACCATATTGGTCAGGCTCCTGATCTCAAGATCCACCCCCCTCGGCCTCCCGAAGTGCTGGGATTACAGGCATGAGCCACCGTGCCCAACTTCCACTTTATTTTTTATTTACTTATTTTTTTAGAGACAGAGCCTCACTCTGTAGCCCAGGTTAGGGTACCGTAGTGCATTCATAGGCCACTGCAACCTCAAACTCCTGGGCTCAAGTGATCCTCCCACCATAACCTCCTGAATAGCTGGGACTACAGGAGAGCACAACCATGGCCAGCTAATTTTATTTTTATTTTTAATTTGTTTTTAAGAGACAGGGTCCCACTGTATTGCCCAGGCTGGTCTCAAACTCAGCCTGAAGCAGTCCTCCCACCTCAGCCTCCTGAGTAGCTGGCATTACAGGCAAGTGCTGCTGCGCCTGGCTGTTACACTTAAATTCTTATTTTTAGTTTTTTGAGGTAGGATCTTACTCTGTCACCCAGGCTGGAGTGCAGTGGCGCAATCATGGCTCACTGCAGCCTCGACCTCCTGGGCTCAGGCAATCCTCTCACCGCAGCCTCCCAAATAGCTGGGACTACAGGCACATGCCACCACACCTGGCTGTTTTTTTAATTTTCTATAGAGACAGGGTCTTGCTATGTTGCCCAGGCTGGTCTCGAACTCCTGGGTTCAAACGATCCTCCCTCCTTGGCCTCCTAAAGTGCTGGGATTATATGTGTGAGCCACCATACCCAGCCCACTTTCATTCTCTTATAAACATTTCACTTATCTGTGATTTAAAATTTAATTTTAACAGTTATTTTGTTGAGTTGTGGTACATTGAGAATGTGAGGGATTACAGTTTTGTAGCTCTGACAATGTAATTTTGAGTTGTGCCTTTACATTTCTTTCTTTCATTTCCTATAGCTGATAAAAATTATTCTGTAAATCTTGAAAACCTAAAAAATTTACACAAGAAAAGACATCACTTGTCTACTGTAAGTGTTTTGCTTCTACTCATATTATTTTCTTCAAATTGTTGTCAACCTGCCTTCCTAGTTTACAGGTTTTTTTTCACTCCTAAGATGACTAGATATTTTTCTGTAGTATGAAAATGTTTATGTTTATTTTCATATCAGCTAATGACCAAAATTAAAATGCCTTCATGCCTTTTAGCCAATCTTTGTGGTTTCAAAGAATTGTCTTACTTTTCTATTTGGGATATATGGAAAGTATATATCCCAAAAATATATGGAAAGTATATATCCCAAAAGTATGGCGTGTGTGCTCTTTTTTCTTTTGGGACAAGGATCAAAATAATTTGGGTAATGGACTCTTGGCCATGTGGAAGCACAGCTAAATGATCTGCTGGGTACACTCTTTTCAGGTAACATCCAAAGGCTTTGCCCAGTATGAGCTCTTTAAGTCCTCTGCCTTGGATGATACAATCACAGCATCACAAACTGCGATCGCTTTGGATATTTCCTGGAGTCCTGTGGATGAGATTCTTCAAATCCCTCCACTCTCTTCAACTGCAACTCTGGTAAGAGTGGGCCCTATTTCCTTTTCGGGTTCATGAGACTCCTAAATGTTGGCTTACTTGGTTGTTGCTGGTGCTCCATGCCTCTAGCCTTGGCACTTGCTGAGTGTGAGCTTGGACAACTCTGAAAGGCCCACCTTGCCACTAACGTCTCACCAGGGCAGCCAGTGAAGGTTTTGTCAGGTGATCTGATCTATCAGTTGCCCTCAGCCCTATAATAATATAACTTAAGAATTTTCTAGTGATGAATAAAGTTTTTGAGTGGTGGCTCAAGTGAATCCGTGTTTTTGTTTGTTTGTTTGTTTTGTTTTGAGACAGAGTCTTACTCTGTCACCCAGGCTGGAGTAAAGTGGCACGATCACTGCTCACTGCAGCCTCGAACTCCTGTGCTCAAGCAGTCCTCCCGCCTCAGCCTCCTGAGTAGCTAGGACTACAGGCAAACGCCACCACACCTAATTTTTTAACTTTTTTTGTAGGGACAGAGTCTCCCTATGTTTCCCAAGCTGGTCTCAAACCCCTGGGCTCAAGTGATCCTCCCACCTCCACCTCCCAAAGTGGCTCACGCCGGGATTATAGGCGTGAGCCACTGTGCCTGGCCCTCTTATTCTTAAAAGGGTGGAGTTATTGGTAACACATCAAGAATCATTATAATATTAAGCCCTTTCACTCTGTATTTACATTTCTAGGAATCTGTCTTAAGAAATCAGTCAAAATTGGCTGGGCGCAGTGGCTCATGCCTATAATCCCAGCACTTTGGGAGGCTGAGGAGGATGGATCACGGGGTCAGGAGTTCAAGACCAGCCTGACGAATATGGTGAAACCCTGTCTCTACTAAAAATACAAAAATTAGCTGGGTGTGGTGTTGTGTGCCTGTAGTCCCAACTACTCGGGAGGCTGAGGCAGAAGAATCGCTTGAACCCGGGAGGCAGAGGTTTTAGTGAGCCAAGATTGTGCCACTGCGCTCCAGCCTGGGTGACAGAGTGAGACTCTGTCTCAAAAAAAAAGAAGTCAAAATTGCTAACAAAAATTCATGTGTAAGATATTCAGTGCAGCGATATAACTGTGTTTCCAAAATACTATAAACAAAACTGGAATGTTCAGTAGGGAATAGTTGAAATAGATTTCTTTCTTTTTTTTTTTTTTTTTTCTGGGGCGGAGCCTCGCTCTGTCTGCCAGGCTGGAGTGCAGTGGCGTCATCTCGGCTTACTGCAGTCTCTGCCTCCCTCCCGGGTTCAAGCAGTTCTCCTGCCTCAGCCTCCCAAGTAGCTGGGACTACAGGTGCATGCCACCATGCCCAGCTAATTTGTTTGTATTTTTAGTAGAGACGGGTTTTCACCATGTTGGCCAGGCTGGTCTCGAAATCCCAAAGTGCTGGGATTACAGGCATGAGCCACCACACCTGGCCTAAAATAGATTTCATGATGAAATATTATATACAGTCTCTAAAAGCCTGTTTTAAAATCTTGAATATTAATAATAGGATGTGCTTATTAAGCAAAAAGAAAAAAGAAAAAGTATAAATTATTTATGTAGTGCGATCTCAACTATATTGTTTAAAAAATGTATATACAGAAGCCTGGATAGTGTTAATAGTGGTTCCTTCAGAGTGGCAAGATTATGGATAATTATATTCTTTTTTTGAGACAGAGTCTTACTGTCACCCAGGCTGGAGTGCAGTGGCATAATCTCAGCTGACGGCAACCTCTGCCTCCCAGGTTCAAGCTATTCTCCTGCCTCAGCCTCCTGAATAGCTGGGATTACAGGGGCATGCCACTAAACCTGGCTAATTTTTGTAAGTTTAGTAGGGACGGGGTTTCGCCCAGTTGGCCAGGCTGGTCTTGAACTTCTGACCTCAACTGATTCACTCACCTCGGCCTCCCAGAGTGCTGGGATTACAGGTGTGAGCTACTGCGCCCAGACATGGATAATTATATTCTTTATACTTTTCCTGTAATGGGAATTTACATACATTGGCATATACGTTTTTCTTTTTTTATGTTTGCAATCTAAGGTTTGTAAGACATTGACCTCTGGCTAGGACAGCACACTGTTAGTTTAGTTAGAAGGAGTCTAATAAACAGATTTATTGGGAGACTTCATTTTGGTTTGTGATAATGCTAAGTTATCACCGAATCTTGAGATATATTTATGTAAATTTCTCCTACCTTGTCCTCCTGGAAATTCCTTGGGAAAAGGCAGGGGAGTGTGTGAGGAGGGCAGTTGTTCCACATAGGTACAATTGTTTATGTCATAGAAAGAGGATAAGTGGTTTTAATTTAGATTATTGGGTCAAGATGGCAAAATCTCTGAGTAAGATGTTCTAAATGATGTGTTGACCTCATTTTTCAATTCATTGGTCCTTTATGAAATATATTTTTTAATGTGTGAAAGATAGTTTGAAATGCAAGTATAACACTTATGTAGAGAAGGTAGGATTAGCACTAGAAAACTGACAGACTTTGGAAACTTTTTAGAATATTAAAGTGGAATCAGGAGAGCCCAGAGGTCCTTTGAATCATCTCTACAGAGAACTGAAATTTCTTCTTGTGAGTATCCTTCTAGAATTCCTTTCCTTAAATCTATGTTTTTATAAACATGTGTGCTATTGTTGTTTTTACTTAGGTTTGTGTTACTCAAAACTTCTTCAGATGTTATGTATCCATTAGAAGCTCTGACAGTTTGGGCAGTTAAATTTTACTTCTGTGGTAGTTGTCCTTACAATTAACGGGAGCATTAGGTCGTTAATAGCTAGATTTCTCTCACCCTTTGTGTTGTTTTATTTTTTTAATTAATTTATTTATTTTTCCATTGTGTGTGGATATACCACATTTTGTTCATTCATCAGTCGATTGACATCTTAGTTGTTTCTACTTTGTGGCTATTATGAATAATGCCTCCATGAACATTTACATGCAAGTTTTTGTGTAGACATGTTTTCACATGTCTTGGGTGGAGTTACTAGATCATATGGTAACTGTATATTTACCTTTTGAGGAACTGCCAAAATATAACTGTTGTCCAAAGTAGTTATGTTATTTTATATTTCTTTCAGTAGTATATGAGGGTTCTGATTTCTTTACATCTTTGTGAACACTTGATATTGTCTGTTTTTTAATTATAGCTATCCTAGTGGTAGTGAAGTGGTATCTCTTTGTAGTTTTGATTTCATGTGCTTATTGGCTCCTGCTTATTTCTTTAGCTTAATCTCACACTTTACTTCCATTCCCACTGAACCCCCAACCCTCATCATACCAAGCTCCTTGCTTGTAGCTCGGATCCTGTCATACTCTATCATCTTCTGGTGTGTGCATCTTGATCTACCTGGTATGCACTTCTCCCACCTCTTTGCTAGGTGAGCTCTCTGTGATGGTTGCATTGATCTCACAGAATGGCTTGTGTTGCTGTAGAACTCCACACATACCTCTTGTCAGTGTGTTTATAAAACACAGTAATTTGTTTACTTATCTGTCTCCTCTACTAGATTTGAGTGCCTGGTTCCCTATTGTGCCCTTACCATCTAGCATAGTACCAACTATTTTTGATACTTTTACTTCCTATGAGTAAGTATTATTTCTCTGTTTGTATAAAACTGATAGTTTTCCTACCTTTCTCACCTTTCTTCTTTCTTGAAAGCCCCTCTTTTAGGACCCTTACTGCGGGCCTCCATCATACTTTTGCCCTCACATCTCTGCCCTTCTCTCTCTGCACCCCTGCAGAGCTGATCTATTCAGTGATTTGACTGACACCTTTGTGAGCAAGCTCCAAACCCTCATCTTTAAGCTGATAGCACTTCCCATCTTTCCAACTTCCACCAAATTATTTCCCACTTGGGTAGAGTGCTATTGCTTCAAGAGTCAGTATGTCAAAATGAAACTATCTTCTCCAGACTACATCCTCTTTGAAAACCCCCCATTTCTGTCTGTGGTCCCATCGTTCCTTCAATTTCCTACGCTAGAAATCTCATATTTCACTTTAGTAAGAACTGTTATTTCTATCACCACTACGTACTACTATAGCTAGAAGCTGCCACTCTGCTGTGTGCCACCCATGGTGCTGGCTGGTTCAGTTATTTTGCCTGAAGGTGACAACAAACTGGTAAATGGAAGAGCTGGCACAAGTTCATTTAAATGTGTGTTTGTCTAATTCAAGTCTCCCTTAAAAAGTCACAGAATCTTAGATATACATGTGGCCATAGTCTGTCTGTGTTCAACCCCCTATATTTTATAAATGGATAGGATTTTTTCTTTTATTCCACATATACCTTGCTACCCTTCCCCCCATACATATACAATTCTTTTCCTCCTTTGAAGTCTCTTTCACTGTGCTCATCTTAGTTAAAATCTTTACCATCTTCTTCTGGGACCATGCTAATGATGATTCATTGTTTCTCAACAGGGGCACTATTGGCATTTGGGCAGGAACATTGTTTGTGATTTGGGACCATGGTACACACACCAAGATGTTTAACATCCCTGGCCCCCACCAAACTCCATGCCCCAAGTTCGCCTATGCTCCTAATCATTTATGACAACAAAAATTATATTCACATTTTTCTTTTTTTTTTTTTTTTTTTTTTTGAGACGGAGTCTCACTCTGTCACCCAGCCTGGAGTGCAGTGGTGTAGTCTTGGCTCACTACAGCCTCCTCCTCCTAGATTCAAGTGATTTACCTGCCTCAGCCTCCCCAGTAGCTGGGATTACAGGTGCCCACCACCATGCCCTGCTAATTTTTTTGTGTTTTTAGTTCAAGAGGGGTTTCGCCACGTTGGCCAGGCTGGTCTTGAACTCCTGACCTCAAGTGATCCACCTGTCTCGGCCACCCAAAGTGCTGGGATTACAGGCATGAGCCACCATGCCCAACCATCTTCACATTTTTCTAAAGACCTCCCCCCGGGAGTGGGAGATGATAGCATTTCAACTGGGAAATGTTGTATTTTCTCTTTCCTAGGAATCCATCCTTGATACTTCTGATAGAGAAATTCTTAACTAGATCATGTCATTTTCCTGCCAAAAAAATCAACATTGGCTGTTTTCTGCCATATGAAGTTAAAAAACTTTTGAAGATCCCTTGATGGTTTAGCTACTATTTCTTCTAATCCTATTTCCCGCTGCTTCATAGTCGCTTTTTCTACCCTGGTTGGGATCACACCACCCTCTTCATCTTATTTCATGCCGTTTTCCTGCCAGCCTATGGTTCCCACATTTGAGTTGCAACTGAAGTTACAAGTTGTTTCACTGGCTTTTGCGGCCTAACTTGACTGCTTTTTCTTTCTTTTTTTTTTGAGTCTTGCTCTGTCGCCCAGGCTGCAATGCAGTGGCACCATCTTGGCTCACTGCAAGCTCCACCTCCTGGGTTCACGCCATTCTCCTGCCTCAGCCTCCCGAGTAGCTGGGACTAAAGGCACCCGCCACCATGCCCAGCTGATTTTTTTGTATTTTTATAGTAGAGACGGGGTTTCACCGTGTTAGCCAGGATGGTCTCGATCTCCTGACCTCATGATCCACCCATCTCGGCCTCCCAAAGTGCTGGGATTACAGGTGTGAGCCACGGCGCCCGGCACTTGACTGCTTTTTCTTAAGTCCATTGAGATATTGTATGTATGTGCATACATATTTATATTATTTTAATATAAACTTCCACTTTTTACATTTATTCATCCCCAGACTACTTCATTTGTCTTATCCGTCTATCTTTGCCAAAGTTGCAAGCATCTCCAGGGCAAACCCAGTATCCTCAGTCTTAAGTCCTCTGTAGCACCTATGCACGTGGCATCATTGTTCAGAGTACCATCTTTGGGATCAGACCACTGGGTATATATCCTGAGACTATCAGTTACTAATTGTGTGACCATGAGCAAGTTACTGAACCTCTCTTAGCCTCAATAAGATGAGAATAATAGTAATATCTACCATAGAGTTTTGTTAGGATTAAATAACATGTACTATACATAAAGCACCACAGCAGTACCTGGGATGTGATAAACACTCAAGAAATGTTACTGCAATTAATATTATTATTACATACATCCTTATTGATTAAACAGTGTTTTCTGCTAACAAGTTTTTGGGGTTTTTAAATCTCCTGTAGGTTTTGGCTGATGGTTTGAGGACTGGTGTCACTGAATGGCTCGAGCCCCTGGAAGCAAAATCTGCTGTTGAACTTGTTCAGGAATTTCTGAATGGTGTATTACTTGTTTTATTAATTGAGAATTTATACTTGCTATGTTTAAATATAAGTTTCTCTTTAAGCTTGATACTCTTTTTTGATTGGAATATATACAAAGCTATGAGATCTGTTATGGTCAGAGGGACAGCTTTTGTTCTGAATTGCTAATGGTAGAGATCTAAGTAATCCTAAGAATTAATAAGATTTAATTTATATTTGAGATTGAAGGAAAAAAGAGATGAATCAGTAGCCTTTGAATACCTACCATGTGCCTGATGCCATGTGTCAGGGGCTTTTCTGTTACCTCCGTTCATCCTCACACCCCCACCTGATGGATATCTATTATAATCTCCACCAGAGTTCAGTGATTTGCTAAAATCCTTAGTTAGACTTCTACTGTCCCCATTTACCATTTGAAAATAGGATTAGGATGGAAATAATTTGGAAAGCAGAAAAATCAAGAGCTAATAAACTTTTGCCACTTTCTAGACTTAAATAAGCTGGATGGATTTGGTGATTCTACAAAAAAAGACACTGAGGTTGAGGTAAGTGATTATTATCAGTTAGAAATATACACAGAAATAGCTTTTAAAATTCGGTTATGCTGACATCTTTCATGTTGTACCATCGCAAATGGATTTGGGATATCAAGGCAGCATTTAAGGGGAATTTTTGTTGATCTTTATTGTCAGCACTGGTTATTGTTTTCCTTAAGAAATGATAAATATTTTTATTTAATTATTATTATTTTTTTGAGACAAGGTCTTGCTCTGTCACCCAGGCTGGAATGCAGTGGCTCCACCATGGCTCACTGCAGCTTTGACCTCCAGGGCTCAAGCGATCCTCCCACCTCAGGTCCCCGAGTAGCTGGGACTACTGGTGTGCACCACCATGTCTGGCTAATTTTTAAATATTTTGTAGAGATGGGTTCTCACTATATTGCCTAGGCTGGTCTTGAACTCGTGGGCTCAAGCAATCCACCTGCATTGGCCTCCCAAAGTGCTGGGATTACAGGCATAGCCACTGTGCTTGGTCAGAACTGATAAATATTTTTGAAGAGAACTGGTATATATGTATTATTAGTTGCTCAATTGCAGAGAAGTAGAAATGAATATGTTAATATTACTATAAAATGGCTCTACTATCATATATTAATATACTCTAAGATGGTACTGTTAAATTAAACTAGATATATTCTCATCTGACAAATAGGAAAACGGAGACCAAGGTAATTTAATTTTTTTTTTACATGGAGGGAAAGCTGAATGCTCACTTTTAGGCACTATAATTTTAAAACAATATTAAGGGTCTTGTTTTTCACTGTTGATTTGTATCTCCTCATTAGTGAATGAAGTTGTAGAAAATTCGTTCATATCTTTGTGTGTGTTCATGAATCCATAATTTCTCAGAGCAGCATTTGAAGGCTTAAATTATTTCACTTAAAAAAAAAACTGAGTATTCTCTGAAGGTTGCTTCTTTTTCAGACCTTGAAGCATGACACTGCTGCAGTCGATCGTTCCGTCAAGCGTCTTTTCAAAGTTCGGAGTGATCTTGATTTTGCTGAGCAACTGTGGTGCAAAATGAGCAGTAGTAGGTGTCCATCATGATTTAAATTTTTCCTCTTATTTCTTAGGTTTATTTTTAAGTCTTTTGGAAATAATACAGTGTGTACCACTAGTTTTGTGGGGAAGTCTGGTTCTTAACTTTATCTAATTCATTTCTAATGACACATTGGTGCATTCTGCTTAAGAATTGTACTAAGACAAAGTAATTTGTAGAATTATCCTTTTCTCCTGCCTTTTTAAATATAAGACTTAGGTAATTTTCATGATCTATTTATATGAACCAAAACATATACCTTACTGAAATTATAATTATTGAAAAAGGAAAAGATATTCTTTAGTATTTTACTAAGCATATTATTTTTTGGCAATCTGAATTTGGTTTCTTTCTTTAGAAATTCATTAAATCTTTTTTTTTTTTGCCACTTTAATTTCTTTCCCTTTCCCCTGCTTGCAAAGTACAAATTCTTGCTTTCTACTTCATTTGTGTATCCTTAAGATTAATGATATATTTGATCTGTAGAAATACCCTGAAAATAATGTTACACTGACTTGTTTTCCAAGGTGTGATTTCATACCAAGACTTGGTGAAGTGTTTCACATTGATCATCCAGAGTCTACAACGTGGTGATATACAGCCATGGGTAGGTTTAGTAGTGTGTGTCAGATCATTTTCTCAGCAGCATAGCATGATGTAAAGACACAGGCTCTGAAGCCAACTGCCTGAGTCTGAATTTCAGCTCTGCTACTTTCTAGCTGTGTAAAGTTCGGCAGGTTCCTTTACTTTTCTTGTGCCCCAACATCCTCATCTGTAAAGTAAAGGTAAGAATAGTATCTACCTCGTAGTGTTCCAGGATTGATTAATGTTATCCATGTAATGCACCTAGTGCCTGGCTCATACTTAAGGGCCCAGTGTGTGTAAACTACTAATATTGTCATTGTTAAGTGTTGCTGTGAATGAGTATTCTCATATACTACTGATGAGAATGCAAGTTGAGATATTCTCTAAAAAGCAATTTTGGTAATGTATTGAGATCCTCACAATGTGTCATGGCCTTTGAACCAATAATTCTTTTGTTAAGATGTACCCTAAGCTCATACACATAAATATGTATCAAGACTTTATGTATCAGAATAGTCATCTCAGCCTCATTTATATTGGCATAAAAATTTAAAGGACCTAAATTTCTCTTGCTAATGGAATGGCTAAGTAAATAATGATATAGCTACATATGGCACATGTAATAGTTGCTGAAAAAATGATGCTGATAAATGATATGGAGAAATGCTTACAATATTTGATAAAAAGGAATATACACAATTGTATATGAAGTTAACTTTTGGAGAGAAAAATCTGGAAACAAATATGCTAAAAATCTTAATAGCAGTCACCTCTGGTGGAAGGGTTACAAATGACTTTTTCCAGTCAGGCGTGGTGACTCAGGCCTGTAATTCCAACTCTTTGGGAGGCTGAGGCTGGCAGATCACTTGAGGTCAGGAGCTCGAGACCAGCCTGGCCAATATGGTAAAACCCTGCCTCTACTGAAAATCAAAAAAATTAGCCAGGCATGGTGGCAGGCACCTGTAATCTGAGATACTCAGGAGGCTGAGGCAGGAGAATTGCTTGAACCCAGGAGGCAGAGGTGGCAGTGAGCTGAGATTGCACCACTCCACTCCAGCCTGGGCAACAGAGTAAGACTCCGTCTCATAAAAAACAAGTTTTTCCAACTGTGTTATATTTCTACTTTATGAATTTTCCACAGTGAACTTGTGCCACTTTTATAGTCAAGAAAAAGCTAAGTAAAAAGTTAAAAAGATTTTTAATAGGAATTATTTTAGGTAATATGACTACCAATTCATCATTATAAAAGTTATAAACTTTTATGGGTGTGAACAAGGTACATTCCAGAGTAAAGGCATGCAAGCTCTGCTTAATTGGGCATTAGTGATTCTAGGCATTTTAGTTTTAGCCGTTGAATTTTTCTCTTGAGAGTTTCTGTGTTCATGAGATGTTTACAAGTATAACCTTACTAACCTTACCATGTACTATTAGTGCAAACAAAGTGAAACTATGTGTATATTGTAAAAAGACCTTGCAAAGATTATGATGAAAGTTAAAGTAGAGAAATAGAAAGTAGTGGGGAAATGACATTTTATGAGTACCTAAAATGAATCATTTAACATTTGGAACACAAATTAAATTGTAAACTCACAGCTCTTTTTAATTTACAAATTATCAAGTTCGTATGTTGGATATTGTAGCCAATGAGGAGTTCCTTATGAACATGCATGGACCATTGAGGGAGCTTGTTTAACTGCAGCAGCAGATTTTTGGTGTAGAAGAAGATGTTCAATTGTGGAAAAGATTCTCCTCTCAGCTAGGAGAGGAGAATTCCTAGTTGTAAAGTTTCAAAGGAACAGCTCTGGCTTCTCTTTGGTGGAATCGTATCTGGGGATGATAAGTTTAAACCCTTCTTAGTTGCTTTGGACTTAAACACATGAGATAGGAATGGCTTTTTAAATTTTATTTTATTTTATTTTATTTTTTTGAGTCAGAGTCTTGCTCTATTGCCCAGGCTGGAGTGCAGTGCTGTGATCTCGGCTCACTGCAGCCTCTGCCTCCCAGGCTCAAGCTGTTCTCTTTCCTCAGCCTCCCGAGCTGGGACTACAGGCGCTTGCTACCACGGCCAGTTTATTTTGTATTTTTAGTAGAGACGGGGTTTCACCATGTTGTCCAGGCTGGTCTCAAACTCCTGACCTCAAGTGATCTACCCTCGTCAGCCTCCCAAGTGCTGGAATTACAGGTGTAAACCACTGCACCCAGTTCCAGAAATGGCATTTGAAAAACTGACGTTCTGGCCGAGTGCCATGGCTCCTGCCTGTAATCCCAGCACTTTGGGAGTCCGACGCGGGCGGATCACGAGATCAGGACTTTGAGAGCAGCCTGGCCAACATGGTGAAACCCCATCTCTACTAAAAATATAAAAATTAGCCAGGTGCAGTGGCATGCTCCTTTAGACCCAGCTACTCAGGAGGCTAAGGCAGGAGAATTGCTTGAACCTGGGAGGTAGAGGTTGCTGTGAGCCGAGATCGTGCCACTGCACTCCAGCCTGGGTGACAGAGCAAGACTCTGTCTCAAAACAAAAAACTGATGTTAATAACTTGGGGGGTTTTGTTCAAACAATTTATAGTGTTAGGAGACTAGGAATGCAAGCTTATAATTTTTAGTTTGTAGCTACTGTAATTTGCTTCTCTTTTACTTGTTGGGTTTATTTATATATTTATTCATGGTTTTATAAAATTTTCCTGATTTCTAGCTCCATAGTGGAAGTAACAGTTTACTAAGTAAGCTCATTCATCAGTCTTATCATGGAACCATGGACACAGTTTCTCTCAGTGGGACTATTCCAGTTCAAATGCTTTTGGAAATTGGTTTGGACAAACTAAAGAAAGATTATATCAGTTTTTTCATAGGTAAGTATCTTTCCTGGCTCAAAAAATTAAAAAACACATCACAGTTATCAGTCACAGATATTCTCGGATTTTCTGTTTCTGCTTGTCCCTCATCGTCTGTAGTCCTTCCTGGCTTTGTACCTGGTTCACTATGAGATGAGCATTTCCCTTCTCTGGGCCTTAGTTTCCCCCCAATAAAGATATCAAATGCATTATATCCATAGTTCTTGATAATTTATTTGTTTTTAGTTCAAACATTTGCGGTTCTATAAAGTTAGTATTTTAAATAAAAAAATCCTTTTATGAGATGCTGTTTTAATACCCTACACTTGGTTGTTTTTAATGAGAGAGAAGCTGTGATCATTTTTAGAATAAATATTAGTATATATTTATGGTATAATATGCCAGGAAACTTGGCCTTTTGTGAGGAACTACTTAGCTTGACAATCTCTTTCATATAGGAACTATAAAAAATTTATATAGATTCCTTAATATGTAATTTAAGAATTTAAGAATTTAAATAGAAATTTAAATTAATTTCTATTAATATGTAATAGAAAATACCTGAAGTGTTTTTGCATGTATGTGTTTTTTCTTAATAGGTCAGGAACTTGCATCTTTGAATCATTTGGTGAGTTTATTTTTTTATTCTAAAATTGGTTTTTCTTTTATTCAGTCATTCTGTGTGCAGTTATTAACTGCCAATAATATGCTAGCCACTGTCTTAGGTCCTGGGAAATGGATAAATAAGACAGTCAGTGCCCGTAGTTATTACTGCCTAGTAAGATAGACAAAAAAGTAGCCCATTCAATGTCATTTCTCACTCTCTATAAATTTGTGATACTTATATATAGTTATATCCTACTGAAGCCAGTGTACTATCACACATCTCATCTATCCAGAATGCTTAGGGAATGCCTTTCTTTGATAGGTTCTGTAAAGCAATGTTTGTTTTATTTTCTCTTTATTCATTTATATTACACTTGAAAGTTTATTTTCCAAATAATTTATAATCTTTAATGTATACTTTTGGGTTTCAGGGTCATCGTTATGAACTTTGTTGTATTTTCCTAGCCCATTCAGAAACTTCAGAAAGTTGAATAGTGTCTGTACTGATCTTTGACGTTCATTGAAAGATCCTTTTGAAAATGAATTTATAGTATCAATTTGTTTATCATTTCTCTCTTATGAAAATACAAGATAGAAAAACTATATCTGTTGTGCAAAATAGACTCAACTGGATTCTTCTGAGGTTTAATTTTTACTATTCAAATTTTAAACATTTTATTAAGGGCATATATTTTTAGTGGACACATGTTCTAGCAAAAACTACACACACACACACGCGCACACACACACACACAAACATACATACACACAGTTGGTCCTCTATGTCTGTGGGTTCTGCATCCATGGATTCAACCAACTGCAGATTGAAAATGTTTAAAAAAAATACGCTGGGCACAGTGGCTCCCTCCTGTAATCCCAACACTTTGGGAGGATCACTTGAGCCCAGGAGTGTGAGATCAGCCTGGGCAACATAGGGAGACTCCATCTCTACAAAAATAAAAAAATTAGCCAGGCATGGTTGTCTGTGCCTGTGGTCCCAGCTACTTGGGAGGCTGAGGTAGGAAGCTCACTTGAGCCGGGGAAGTTGAAGCTGCAGTGAGCTGTGATCGTGGGCTACTTTTTTGTCTATCTGCACTCCAGCCTTGGTGACAGAGCAAGACCCTGTTTCAAAAAAAAGGGATGATTATGTCTGTACTGAATATGTGTGGATTTCTTCTTGTCATTATTCTCTTTTTTTTCTTGTCATTCTCTAAACAGTAAGTGTAACAACTATTTATGTAGCATTTACATTGTATTAGGCATTACAAGTAATCTAGAGGTGATTTAAAGCATACAGGAGGGTGTGCATAGGTTATATGCAAATACTATACTATTTTATATAAAGGACTTGAGCATCCATGGATTTTGGTATACAAAGGGGATCATGGTACCAATCCTCCATGGATACCAACGGACAACTGTATCTGTATATACAGTCATACTTCACTTAATGATGGGGATACATTCTGAGAAATGTGTCATTATTTTTTTAAATGTGTGATTAGGTGATTTCCTTATTGTTCAAATTTCAGGGAGTGGCGTAAACAAACTTAGATGGTATAACCTACTGCACACCTAGGCTATAAACCTTTACAGTATATTTTTGTACTGAATACTGTAGGTAATTGTAACATAATGGTATTTGTGTATCTAAACATAGAAGGGGTACAGTAAAAATAACGTACAAAAGATAAAAACGTGGATACCTGTACAGGGCACTTACCATGAATGGAGCTTGCAGGACTGGAAGTTGCTCTGGGTGGGTCAGTGAGTGAGTGGTGAGTGAATGTGAAGGTGTAGAACATTACTGTACACTATTGTAGACTATAAACACTGTATACTTAGGCTACACCAAATTTATTTAAAAATTTGTTTCTTCAATAAAAATTTAACCATAACTTACTATAACTTTTTTACATTATAAACTTTTAAATTTTTCTAAACTTTTTGGTTTTTTTGTAATAACACTTAAAATACAAACACATTGTACAGCTATACAAAAATATTTTCTCTTTGTATTCTTATTCTATGAGCTTTTTTCTATTTTTAACTTTTTTTTTTGTTTGTTTTAAATTTGTTTGTTAAAAACTAAGACGTAGACACACACATTCGCCTAGGTTGGGATCATCAGTATCACTGTCTTCCGCCTCCACATCTTGTCGCACTGGAAGCTCTCCAGGGGCAAGAACACACATGGAACTGTTATCACCTATGAGATAACATAGGTGCCTTCTGGAATACCTCCTGAAGGTCCTGCCTGAGGCTCTTTTTGAGGAATAGTTTTGTTCATACCAATATCACAGCTAACAAGGGAATAATGCATTGCACTACATTACAGCTACAAAGTCACTACTGGCGAGAGGGATTTTTCAGTTCTATTGTGATCTTATAAGACCACTGTAGGCCGGGCGCGGTGGTTTACGCCTGTAATCCCAGCACTTGGGGAGGCTGAGGCAGACAGATCACTTGAGGTCAGGAGTTTGAGACCAGCCTGGGCAACGTGGTGAATTCCTGTCTCTAATAAAAATATGAAAATTAGCTGGGTGTGGTGGTGCATGCCTGTAATCCCAGCTACTCAGGAGGCTAAGGCGGGAGAATCACTTGAATCCAGGAGGTGGAGGTTGCAGTGAGCCAAGATCACGCCACGGCACTCCAGCCTGTGTGGCAGAGTGAGACCCTGTCTCAAAAAAAAAAAAAAAGACCACTGTAATATGTGTGATCCATTGTTGACTCAAACACTGTTGTATGGTGCATGACTATAATTTAGTTTGAATAATAGTATTGAAAGGTGAGAAATTCTATCTAGCTTCTTCTGGTCTTTTTTTTTTTTAATGCCTGTTATCAAGCATCCAAATGTAGGTGTAGAAGGCATACCTATATTCTTTACAAAGGTTACACAGGTGCTTTAAATCTCTATTTTGCTTATATTTTTTCATTCCAGGAATACTTCATTGCTCCATCAGTAGATATACAAGAACAGGTTTATCGTGTCCAAAAACTCCACCATATTCTAGAAATATTAGTCAGTTGCATGCCTTTCATTAAATCTCAACATGAACTCCTCTTTTCTTTAACACAGTAAGTACATCTGTATTCTTCACTTATATAGAAATGTATTTCTTTTGAAATAGTTACAGCCTAAATATGTACAGTTTTTATTACCAGTTAGGATAGAACCTCTTCATCCTGTCTTTACAGTAGCATGCATGAGTCTAAGTCAGTGCCATAGGCAGGAAAGGCTTTGGATTCAAAAGGAATCAGATTTGACATTGGCTGCATCACTTCCTAACTTCCTTAGGAAGTTTCCATCACTGAATCCTGTTTCCTCATCTGTAAAAAGGATCTAATAACCTCATGTATTCGTAAATACTAGTTCCTTCTCTTCTTTATATCCCTGTCAATTTGGGTCAAAATAGCCTTGCCAGCCATCTAAATGATAACAATGGAATCAAATAGTACTACTAGACCTCTGTCAGTAGCATTGCTGTAATTGTAGAGACTGCTGTAATTTGAGATTCCAATTAGTTTGACTAGAGGTTATTTGGAAAAATTCTCAGACACGGACTGCTGGTATCTTATGTGTATTTGAGGCCTCAAACTAGGAAGTGAACTGTCCAGTGGAAGGACTGGGTTTCTTTTCCCTCTGGAAGGAAATGTACCATTACATTTTCCAAAATTACAATTTGCCTCAGTTGTAGAGGGGAAAGTTTGAAATTGTTATTGTTTATAGAATCTCCAAGTTTTGTTTTTTTTTTCCCCATTATAGATCAGTGGAATGAATGAGTTAACTGTAATTCCTTGGACTCTGAAAACCATGGAAGCTGTACTTTTGTTTCTCTTCTGCCTCTTTTTTTTGTATTGTTTCTCTCTTTCTGTAACCTCTTTCTCCCCACGAAGCCTTTCTTTGGCCTCAAATTTATTTTATATTTATGAGAAATATGTCTATTAATTTTTTAAAAGTGAATGAGATTTGTTTTCAAAGAAAAAAACATAACCTAAGTTTTGTTTGTAGGGTTGTTGTGTTTGTTTGTTTACTTTTGTGGCTCTAAAAGTGTTCGCTGATGTTTTAGTTAGTAGTACTCAATAAAATGTTTCCCTTACGAGCTTTAGACTACCAGAAAAACGTTATGTCAAATGGCTCTTTTTTCCAAAAGAGGTTCCATTTTGTTTTTTCAGGATCTGCATAAAGTATTACAAACAAAATCCTCTTGATGAGCAACACATTTTTCAGCTGCCAGTCAGACCAACTGCTGTAAAGAACTTATATCAAAGGTAAGCAATTTTTGCTAGGCATGGTGGCTCATGCCTGTAATCCTAGCACTATGGGAGGCTGAGGTGGGAGGATAACTTGAGCTCAGGAGTTCGAGACCAGCCTGGGCAACATAATGAGACCCTGTCTCTATTAAAAAATAATAATAGCTGGGCGTGGTGGCTCACACCTGTAATCCTAGCACTTTGGGAGGCCGAGGCGGGTGGATCCCCAGAGGTCAGGAGTTCGAGACCAGCCTGGCCAAAATGGTGAAACCCCATCTCTACTAAAAATACAAAAATTAGCTGGGCATGGTGGCATGCACCTATAATCCCAGCTACTCGGGAGGCTGAGGCAGGAGAATCGCTTAAACCTGGGAGGCAGAGGTTGCAGTGAGCCGAGATCATGCCATTGCACTCCAGCCTGGGCAACAAGAGTGAAACTCCGTCTCAAAAAATAATAATAATAATGATAATAAATAAGCATTTTAATTTATTATCTTAAGTCCACCCATGATCCTAGGCAATTTCAGTGTTCATATTCAGTAGGGACCTCATGACCCAGAGCTTCGTCACCTCTGAAACCTTAATCATCTGTGACCATAGTCTGAGAGAGTTCTCCCTCTTCCTTCTCTCAGACCTCTCTCTAGACTGTTGGGCCTCTAGTCTTTCATTTTTCTCTGTATTTGTTATTCCTTCAGAGAAGAGTGGAAAGTATAGCCAGAAAGGAAATGATGGATTAGGAGAAAAATGACCAGGATAGTGATAACAGGGTCTAGGGTATGACTGTGGGAGTGAGAGAAGGGTTTGGGATTAGAGGAAGTAGGGAACTGTGAGGCTGAGATGATAGATTGTTCATCCACATGGACACTGAGGTTGCCTCCAATGAGGGTCTCCTTGACTCTTCTCTCAGCATATGATATACTTGAAATTTCTCTCATACTATAGCCACTCTATTTATGTCCTCCCTGTATTTAGTTCTTTCTTAGCCAAACTCTCATCACTCCCCCTGAAATTGCTCTGGCAAAGGTCACCAATGACCTTCTAATTGTCAAATCCAGTGGATGCTTTTCAGTAAAAGATTGTTTTCTATCTAGCTCATTGTGTAATTGGTTGGCCCACCCAGTCTTCCTACTTCAGTAAGCACTTTTTTTTTTTTTTAGACAGAGTTTCGCTCTTATTTCCCAGGCTGGAGTGCAGTGGCGCAATCTCAGCTCACTGCAACCACAGCCTTCTGGTTTCAAGCAATTCTCCTGCCTCAGCCTCCGGAGTAGCTGGGATTACAGGCGCCCACCACCACACCCGGCTAATTTTTGTATTTTTAGTAGAGACAGTGTTTCACCATGTTGGCCAGGCTGGTCTCAAACTTCTGACCTGGTGATCCGACCACCTGAGCCTCCCAAAGTACTGGGATTACAGGTGTGAGCCACCATGCTCGGTCTACTTCAGTAAGCACGTATAAGGCTGTTTGGCATTTAGCACTATTGCTGTCTTGAACCTATCTCCTTATTTTCTGTGACGTAGCATCTGTCTTAATTTGAATTCTACCTCTCTGGCCCATCTGAAAGGCTGAGAACAGTTCTCTTTTCAAGTACTTCTTCTTCTGCCACTTTTCACCAGAACTCTACCCTCTGCTTTCTTTTCTTCTTACTTCCTATCTTCCCTTGGTGATTGCATTTATTCTCAAGGCTTCAACTTGTCTAGGCTAACGATAATTCATAACTCACATCTCCAGCTTCTCTGAGCTTCAGACCCATCTTTCTAAATGCCTATTAGCTGTGAATCCCCAGCTTATTGAAGTAGCAGTTCAAACTCTAAAGCCTAACACCTCATCCCCTTCTCAATGCTTTTTCCTCCTCCCATACTTTGTCTCTCAAATCACCATCATTAATCTCTATCTAATGGCCAAAACAAAAACGTAGTGCTTATCCTCCGCTCATCCCTCACTCCTTTAAATGGTTACCGATAGCCTGGGCAACACGGTGAAACCCTGTCTCTACAAAAAATATAAAAATTAGCCAGGCATGGTGGCATGCACCTGTAGTCCCAGCTACTAGGGAGGCTGAGGTAGGAGGAATTTCCTAAGGCCTGGAGGTCGAAGCTGTAGTGAACTGTGATCACGCCACTGCACTCCAGCCTGGGTGACAGAGCAAGACCCTGTCAAAAAAAAAAAAAAAAAAAAAAGATTACTGAGTCTAGACTAGACCTTGGTAACTCTAGAATTTGTCCCCTTCTCTACATCTTCACATCATCATTACTTTGTTTCACATCTGCATCATTTCATACCTGGACTGTGGTAAAATCCTTTTTCCTAACTGCGCTCTGCCTCTGTTATCTTTCTTTTCTATGTCATTGCCAAAATGATCTTCCTAAAAATTCAAATCCCACCAGGACTTCCTCCTGTTTAAATGTCTCCTATCACAGGGATGCTGTGTTACTGCATTTCTTCAGACATTCCACACTCTTAACCCTCGGTGCATACTCAACATTTCATTCCTTCATCCTGGAGTTTATCTGCCTAACTAACTCCTGGTTATTTCATACTCAGCTCACACATCACAGCCTCTGAGGATTCTTTCCAACTCTGCTATCCCCAATCCGAGTTACATTCCTCTCTTCAGTTTTCCCCTAACACATCTAGTATTTCTCTGTTGTAGCATTTTTTTTTCCAAATTGTTATTTTTATTCTTATTTTTCTTGCTCTCTTGACTATACACCTCAAGGGCGGGAATTGTGACCCGTTTACCTCTTTGTCCTCAGTGCTTATCACATGAAGACTTCACTAAATGGCTGTAGAGGGAAGGAAGTAAATGGCTGTTTTTGAAAATTTTTCTTTTGTCGTTTTATTCTTTCCTTAGTGAGAAGCCACAGAAATGGAGAGTGGAAATATATAGTGGTCAAAAGAAGATTAAGACAGTTTGGCAACTGAGTGACAGCTCACCCATAGACCATCTGAATTTTCACAAACCTGGTAAAGATGGTTTATAATCTGTTCAGATAAATAATTCCAACAGAAAATAAACTAAGTCTGGCTGGGCACAGCGGCTCACGCCTGTAATCCCAGCACTTTGGGAGGCCGGGGTGGGCAGATTGTGTGAGCTCAGGAGTTTGAGACCAGCCTGGCCAACATGGTGAAACCCCATCTCTACTAAAAATACAAAAAATTAGCCGGGCATGGTTGCATGTGCCTGTAGTCCCAACTACTCACGTGGCTAAGGCACAAGAATTGCTTGAACCCTTGAGGTGGAGGTTGCAGTGAGCTGAGATCGTGCCACTGCACTCCAGCCTGGGCAACAGAGTGAGACTCTGCCTCCAAAAAAAGAAAAAAGAAAATAAACTAAATCTTACTGGAATGGATTATTATTATAGCTCTTGTGTGCCCAGTATTTTCTTTCTTTTTTTTTTTTGAGATGGAGTCTCCCCCTGTCGCCCAGGCTGGAGTGCAGTGGCACCATCTCAGCTCACTGCAGCCTCCGCCTCCTGGGTTCAAGTGATTCTCCTGCCTCAGCCTCCTGAGTAGCTGGGATTACAGGTACGTGCTACCACACCCAGCTAATTTTTTGTATCTTTAGTAAAGATGGGTTTTACCATGTTGGCCAGGCTGGTCTCAAACTCCTGACCTCATGATCCACCTGCCTCAGCCTCCCAAAGTGCTAGGATTACAGGTGTGAGCCACCACTCCTGGCCTGTGCCCAGTTTTAAGTAATTTTCCCGAACTCTAAGTGTAAAACATATTTATTCTTTAAAAAAGAAAACTGCTGGGCCCGGTGGTTCGAGCCTGTAATCCCAGCACTTTGGGAGGCTGAGGCAGGTGGATCACTTTGAACTCAGGAGTTAGAGACCAGCCTGGGCAACATGGAGAAACCCCATCTCTACAAAAAAAAAAAAAATACAAAAATTAGCCGGGTGTTGGTGGCTTGTTGCTGTAGTTCCAGCTACTCAGGAGGCTGAGGCGGGAGAATCACTTAACCCAGGAAGTGGAGGTTACAGTGAGCTGGTCGCACTACTGCAGTCTAGCTTGGGCAACAGAGTGTAACCCTGTCTCAGAAACACACCACACACACACACGCACACGCACACACAAAACTATCATTATTTTTATGCAACTGTAATACCCAGAAAAATTTAGTGTATAATAATCAGAAAAGAATGCTTTTTCTCCTTATCTTGTATAGAGGAACTTTTACTAAAAGAGATCAAGCAATAGGGACATAGGAGTAAAAATAGGTTGTAAGATGGAAATGCTGATTCATACTTGACACTTTTGGGCACTGGTTAAAACGATGATGATATTTCTGTCATAGTGTCTTCTCCATGGTTGAAATAAGGGTTGAGATTGCTAGTATTCTATCACAGATGGTCCATATTAGGCAAAGAATGTCTTTTAGCCCTTTGTGTAATTAGCTAGCCTACCAAGTCTTCCTCCTTCAGGAAGTACCCTCAAACTCATATCTTCATGCACGTGGGTTGTACGGTGCTGTTGTCTCTTATTCATATGGGTCTTAAATGCCTTCATTTAAATATGTAAAGATTATTTGAAAACAAATCTGATAGTTTTCAGACTGAATCTATTAATTAGATTTCAAAGGCCTATACTGCTGGGAATACAAATAGTTTTATTTTACTGATTAATAACTTGCAAAAAATTTTTCCAGAAAATGTTTGTGCTCCTGCCCTCCCAAGTATATTCTGATTTAGGTATAATGGAAATTTCTGTCAGTTAGAGGCTCTGTTCATATAGTTGAACTATAAAAGTCATAACCAAACTGAATTTTTCTGAGAGCCATCAGTTAAAATTGTGCTGTTTTTTTCTAAGTGTTATACAAAACCTGGAAGTGATAAAAGACTGAGAATCAGCTGTAAAAGTAGAAAAATTTCTGCATGGCAAAACAGACAAATTATAAACTAGGAAAAGAAATTTGTAGCCCAGGCCGGGCACGGTGGCTCACACCTGTAATCCCAGCACTTTGGGAGGCCGAGGTGGGCGGATCACAAGGTCAGGAATTTGAGACTAGCCTGGCCAGCACGGTGAAACACCATCTCTACTAAAAAAATACAAAAAAAGGCCGGGCGCGGGGGCTCACACCTGTAATCCCAGCACTTTGGGAGGTCCAGGCAAGTGGATCACGAGGTCAGGAGATCATGACCATCCTGGCTAACACAGTGAAACTCCGTCTCTACTGAAAATACAAAAACTTAGCCAGGTGTGGTGGCATGTGCCTGTAGTCCCAGCTCTTCGGGAGGCGGAGGCAGGAGAATCACTTGAACCTGGGAGGCGGAGGTTGCTGTGAGCCAAGATCGCGCCACTGCATTCCAGCCTGGGTGACAGAGCAAGATTTCGTCTCAAAAAAAGAAATTCGCAACCCATGTTCAGAAAAGGGGATATATTTCAGTAAGAAAAATATTAATAGCTCAATAGAAAAATTGATAGTAAGGTAAACAGTGTACCAAAAGGAAATTCAAATGTGGTTTTAAAAATAAGATATGCTTGCTTGTACTCCCAGCTACTTGGGAGGCTGAGGTGGGAAAGATTGCTTGAGCTCAAGAGTTCAAGGCTAGCCTGGGCAACATAGCGAGATTCCATCTCTAAAAAATGTAAAAGAATAAACCATGCTCAACCTCACCTATAATAAGAGAAATGCAAATTTATATTATATAGATACCTTTTCCATATTAGCAAAGATCAAAAAGTTTGGTGTCTGTGCTGGCGTGGGTATGGGAGAACGGGCAATCATTCTCACACATTTCTGGTTGGAATGTAAAGTTGTACAGCTTCTGTGGGAGGTAGTACCCATCAAAATTGTAAAAGAATAGCTGGGCATGGTGACATGTGCCTATAATCCCAGCTACTTGGGATGCTGAGTCAGGAGAATTGCTAGACTTTGGGAGTGGGGGGCTGCAATGAGCCAAGATCGTGCTCTTGCACTTCAGCCTGGGTGGCGGAGCAAGACTCCATCTCAAAAAATAAATAAATAAATAAATACATTCTTTGGCCTAGCAGTTTCATAAGTAGGAATTTATTACACACATAAAATCAGACCTATGAACAAGACTATTAGTTGTGGTATTGCTTATGGTAGCAAAAACATGGAGACGGGGACTTAGATAAAGACCTAGAAGGATACAATCCAACTTTAGCCATGAGATGTGGAATGGTGATTGCAGAGATGATTACCAGTTTGGGCTGAACATTAGAATCATCTGCAAAGCTTTTAAGGTTCTATTGCCTAAGCTAGGTGCATTGGCTCACGATTTTGTAATCCTAGCACTTCGGGAGGCTAAGGCCTGGGAGGATCACTTTGAGCCTAAGAGTTCAAGACCAGCCTGGGTAACACAGTGGGACCCGATCTGTACAAAAAATACAAAAATTAGCTGCGTGTGGTGGCATATGCCTGTAGTTCTAGCTACTTGGGAGGCTGAGGTGGGAGGATTAGTTGAGCCCAGGAGATTGAGGCTGCAGTGAGCTGAGGTTGTGCCATTGCACTCCAGCCTGGGTAGCAGAGCAAGACCCTGTCTCAGAAAAAAAAAAAAAAGTTCTGTTGCTCATGCCAAGTAAATCAGAATCTCTGGGAGTACAGCTGGGACATCAGTAATTTGTAGAGTTCTTCAGGTGATTCCACTGTGCAACTGTGGCTGAGAATCACCAACCTAAAGTAAACATTCTGTCTACATCTATTGTTTTTTAAAGAAGAAACATATATTCTTTAAAGATTTTAAAGAAGAAACATGTCTTTTAAAGAAGAAAACATATGGCTCACGCCTGTAATCCCAGCACTTTGGGAGGCCAAGGCGGGTGGATCACCTGAGGTCAGGAGTTCCAGACCCAGCCAACATGGTGAAACCCCACCTGTACTAAAAATATAAAAAATTAGCCGGGCATGGTGGCGCATGCCTGTAATCCCAGCTACTCAGGAGGCTGAGGCAGGAGAATTGCTTGAACCTGGGAAGCAGAGGTTTCAGTGAGCCGATATCACGCCATTGCACTCCAGCCTGGGCAACAAGAGCGAAACTCCATCTCAAAAAAAAAAAGAAAAAAGAAAACATATATTTTGTTTTTTAAAGAAGAAACGTATTTTATGGTTAAAAAGAAAATGTTATTTATTTATTTTTGAGACAGGGTCTTGCTCTGTCACCCCAGCTGGAGTGCAGTGGCATGATCTTGCCTCACTGCAGACTCAATCTTCCAGGCTCAAGCAATCCTCCTACTTCAGCGTCCCAAGTAGCTTGGGACTATGGGTGGGCGCCATCATGCCTGCCTAATTTTTTCCTTTTTAAATTTTTCATAGAGGCGAGGTCTTGTTATGTTGGCCAGGAGTTCTCAAACTCCTGAGCTGAAATATTCCCCCTGGCTCAGCCTCCCAAAGCCCTAGGATTACAGGTGCGAACTACTACTGCCCCCGGCCAAAAGGACAATTTTAAAGACATAAATATATGTGAAACATTTGTGAAAAAAATGCCTTGTTTTTTTGTTGTTTTTTTGGTTTTTGTGTGTGTGTGTGTGTGTGTGTGTGTGTGTGTGTTTGAGATGGAGCCTTGCTCTGTCACCCAGGCTAGAGTGCAGTGGCGCGATCTCGGCTCACTGCAACCTCCGCCTCCCGGGTTCAAGCTATTCTCCTGCCTCAGCCTCCCAACTAGCTGGGATTACAGGCGCGTGCCACCACGCCTGGCTAATTTTTGTATTTTTAGTAGAGATGGGGTTTCACCATGTTGGTCAGGCTGGTCTCAAACTCCTGACCTCATGATCCGCCTGCCTTGGCCTCCCAAAGTGCTGGGATTACAGGCGTGAGCCACTGTGCCCAGCTGAAAAAAATGCCATTTTAAAGTAAATTTTGGCCAGTTGTGGTGGCTCACACCTGTAATCCCAGCACTTTGGAAGGCTGAGGTGGGTGGATCACCTGAGGTCAGGAGTTCGTGACCAGCCTGGCCAACATGTTGAAACCCTGTCTCTACTAAAAATACAAAAAATTAGCCAGGCATGGTGGCGGGTGCCTGTAATCCCAGCTACTCAGGAGGCTGAGACAGGAGAATTGCTTGAACCCTGGAGGCAGAGGTTGCAGTGAGACAAGATCACGCCATTGCACTCCAGCCTGGGCAGCAATAGCAAAATTCTGTCTCCAAAAAAATAAAGTAAATTTTATTTTGTAGAGATTAGAGTTCTGTTTTGAGGAAATTCATACAAGATGAAACATCTTTTCCTAATAATGCTGAATAAGCAAGTATACTGAACACATCATTTAATGTCTTTTTGACATGGATTGCAACAAAAAAGAGTGAAAGTTATTTTGAATGTTGGAGTTAAAGCAATTTTCTAGTGCATTGGTCCAGTGACTCCTTTTATGAAAATAAGGAATTCTTATAAAATCATATATTTATGTGCTTAGGAACACACTCAAACTCCATTTTGGCTTGAACTTTATAACCTCTTGTAGCCATCATATATTCTTGATATGTTTGTCTAGAAATTATTCAGTGTCTTTTATCCCCAAAGCAAGACCCATTTTCGAAGGGGGTATCTCATTTGTAAAAGTCATGGGCTATTCAAACAAAGTCTTAATTGTAAATATGGCCTAAAATGTTTAATTTTCTTTCGAAGATCGTATGCTTTTAAGGAGTTAGACTTCTTATTTCTTTGGACTGAGCACTTAAGTCCAATACTAGCTTTTCAAGAAATTTAATGGTATGATGCTTTTGAGTAAAATAGTTGACATCAAAGGCAGGGAGACTTAAGAGAGAAATGTGTACTTTTAGCCACCATGGAAAGAGAGAGGGTAATGATTTGGAGTTAATGGAGGAGAAAACGTGACCAGTGGAGTGCTGCTCACCCAGTGGGTGCTCAGTAAATGATTGTTGATAATGATGAAAATATGGAAACCAAAATGTTGACCCACAAGGAAGTGGACATTATCCCATCAAAATGTTGATTGGACCATTTATTTTTGAAATAAAATAGTCTTTGGGAGAAAAATGGATATGTGTCTAGCCCTAAGACTACAAATCTTAAATAGAAATTCTTTTCTGAAATTTATGTTAGGATTGGAGAAAAGACAGTTGTGTAACCCTAGTTAATATGGCACAAAAAATAAAGCAGTAAGTTTCCAAATTAAAAAGATATAATTAAAAAATAACCTGCTTCATTTTTAGTTTATTTAATCATGTTTTAAATGCATCAAGAGTTTCATATTTAAAGCAAGTGTCCTTACTGAATTTTTCCCAATGAATTCTCTTAAAGTAGAAGACACATTGCCATTTAGACCACCTCTTAGTTATTGTATTGGTGTAAAATTCAGCATTATACATGGTAGAAAAGCAGGGTGTTAAGCAATTCTGATCTCACTCTCTTTTTGATTACAGATTTTTCGGAATTAACACTAAACGGTAGCCTGGAAGAAAGGATATTCTTTACTAACATGGTTACCTGCAGCCAGGTGCATTTCAAGTGAAGTGTGCTGATGAAGTCCTCTATAAGGTATTTATGTTCACATTTTAGTCTCTTTGTCAAATACTTTGTAATAAGTACCTTACGTTTAGTTCTTTCTACATTATCAATGTCGATTTGCTACATTAGGAATAGGGATTATTAGTAATCACATAAAAGGCTTACCAGTTGTTATTGAGCAGTGCAACTCTTTAATTTTCTTTCTACCTTTTGTGGTCAACTTTTAATAGGTCAATTTAATCCTAAAACCAGAGAAATAAAAAAAAATTCTTGAGTGGTAATGTCTTTGCATTTAAAATCTGTATATGTAGTAGAAAGTGAGTTTGATTTTGAAAACATTGATGCAAGAGAAAAACCCTGAACAGGCATACTGATTTGCCGTTGAAAGCGAAGTTTTGTTATAAATAATTTTATTCCAGCCCAACTATAGGACAAGCCCCAGATGTAAATACTCTTCTTAAAATGTTTTGATTTGAGATCATATTAACCAAAAGAATTAATGGAATGACATTTTCTTTTTTTTTTTTTTTTTTTTTTTTTGAGACACAGTCCCGCTCTGTCACCCAGGCTGGAGTGCAGTGGCGCTATCTCGGCTCACTGCAAGCTCCGCCTCCCAGATTCAATGCCATTCTCCTGCCTCAGCCTCCCAAGTAGCTGGGACTACAGGCGCCTGCCACCACGCTTGGCTAATTTTTTGTATTTTTAGTAGAGACATTTTCTACTGTCTTATTCTTTTTTGGTTTCAGAAACAGTATTAAGTAAAATCAGATAATGAGAAAAATGCATGAGATTGTTCTTAAGCCATGTTTTATCCCCAAATAAATGGAAATTAATTAATTTTAGCATTTTAACATAGTTAAGAGTAAAATGAATCTTTATTATAAAAAAGACGATATTGAGTTACCTAGAAGATAAATAAAAAATAAACATGTAATATTTCTTTGAGGTATTTCATTGACTAAAGTAAGTTGAATTTAGTCAGAGTTGTCAGACTAAATTCAGACTAAAGTGTCAGAAGAGTGTACGTGCTCATTTACTTGGTACCCACTTCATGCTTTTCTGTGGTTGGCTAATAATATTTACAACCTGGAAGGATTGTTATCTATAGATTTCTTTTCTTTTCTCTTTTGAAACGGAGTCTTTCTCTGTTGCACAGGCTGGAGTGCAGTGGTGTGATCTCAGCTCACTGCAACCTTCACCTCCCAGGTTCAAGCGATTCTCCTGCCTCAGCCTCCCAAGTAAATGGGATTACAGGTGCCCGCCACCATGCCCAGCTAGTTTCTATATTTTTAGTAGAGACAGGGTTTAACCATGTTGGCCAGGCTGGTCTCAAACTTCTGGCCTCAAGTGATTCACCAGCCTCAGCCTCCCAAAGTGCTGGGATTACAGGTGTGAGCCACTGTGCCCAGCCAGATTGATTTTATCTATCAGGTATGGGACAGTGCTGAGATGGCAATCATTTGAACATTAAAGTAATATTTCTGGACAGATTTTAGAGTGATAAACAATCAAGTCACAACAGTTTGTATACTATGATGCCATTTTTGTAAATAATTCATAATATACATTCATTATATACAGCAAAATCTTAACATTAACTTTAGGAGGGGTGAGATTACAAGTGTTTTTTTTTTTAATTTCTGCTTATTTTTATTTTCTAATTCTTAAATCCCAGCACAAGCCAAAAAGAGAAAGAGAAAAAAAGGTAATTATTGTAGAACCTGAAAACAGCAATGTATGGAAACCCTCAAAGCAGAAAAGGGAGGAAGATCCTGAAGATTCTCTTATGAAGCTCCAAAATTGATAATCCTGTCTCAGCTCTGCCTCCTCAGGAGGAGCATTAGTAGAACAGCAGTGATGAGGACACAGAGGGAGCAGACAGTGGGTACCACGATCTCCGTAACCATTTGCATGTGACTTAGCAAGGGCTCTGAAATGACAAAGAGAACGAGCACCACAAATGAGAACAGGATCATTTTAGTAAATACAGCTTTATCCCAAAAGCTTTAACTGTATTGGGAAAACTTAAAAAATAGCATCCTCAAATTTTCTGATTCTTATTTGCCATGAAATAGAACTTAGTAAATTAAATGTTATTTGAAAATGTTATAAGAGCTTTGTAAATATTTCAGAAAATATGGGATAAATGCCTGAATTTGGTTCTTCTACAGGTGCTATAATAAAGTCCATCTCTCAATACTTATACTTTCTAAATTCATCTCAGAATATTAGCAGCCATATTCCACAGTTCCTATAATTTTTACTGGGGGGGATTTGTGATAGGAAAGTCCTTGGGAAACATTTCCAATCTTTCAAAATATTATTGTGTATCTTAAGAAGTATAGGAACTTGTATGTTGAAATGTTGTATGGTAGTTCTTGTATAGTTAAATAATAATCTTTTTAAGAGTTAATGATAAGCATATGTTATGTGCATTATTAATAAAATAGTGGCCACTTAGGTAATACCCACTTTTATCTTGTGTGCTGGGTACTCTGGTTACTGAGATAAATAAGGCACTGGACATCCTCACGTGGAGTTCACAGGCTCATCAGTGAATTCTGTACCACATTTCAACCTTGTTTATTTTAGTTTAATGGAATATACATTCTTAGTATTGCCTGATTATTTAAATTTGTTGAGGGGGATTGCATGTTGCTTTATTGGCCTGTAAAAATAGCTAGTTTGGTAAGATTTGGTCTCGCACCTTCCATCTTTGCTACCACATTAAAGATGAGCTTGTTAAAAAGGAAAGCATATTTCTCTGATTGCCCTTATGGAGAAATAAAGATAAAATTCAAAGAAACAAATAATATGTGTTGGCATTTCTTGATGCATAGTTGCATCTTTGTTATTCGACATCTCTGATCCTTTTAGACCCCATTACATAGGAAATGATGTCTTCTATGAAGACAGGGACCTTGTTTTGTTCCTGGCTATATCTCATGACTTAAACATTCCCTGGCAAATAGTGAGTGCTTAATAATTGCTTGCCGAATGAACAAATATAAGATCTCAAGTATTCTTTTTTCCTTCATCCCAGTTGGTATAGTGGTTGGCTTTTCCTCTCCTTGCCCAAGCCCACTATAACAAAAATAGTAGGTATATAAATTTATAGGTATGATTCTGAAAGAATAAAACTTGAATGGATAAAATGGATAAAATGTTTATCTTTCATGGTAGATTAAATGCTTTAAAATGCTTATAAATAGAAATTTGACATTGCTTCAAAGAAACCTGATTTTAATCATAAGTAGTTTTGGAAGATTGACTTCAAGTAGAGCCACATTTTGAGATTTTGAAAATGATATGTATAATTATTTAGTTTAATTATTAAAGGAAAACATTGAAATATACTGACTCACCTGCAGCAAGCATCTGATTGTTGATAGAGCAAGTTTCCAAAGCTTTGAGGTACCAACTTTCCACCTAATAAAAACCCACTTGATAAGTAATGTTGTCTTAGACTAATTTTTTGCTGTTTCAAATCATTTTTGAAATAAATGTGGGGTAAAAGTAAATATTTTTTAAAATCTATCTGTAGTTTATGTTTTTAAATCATTTTGTAGTTTAAATTAGTTAATATTTACTGTACATCCATGTACATCATAGTGAGGGAGTCAAAGAACAGTCTTTATTCATGAGGAGTGTACACTCTAGTGCTTTTCTAATAATGTAAAAGTAGCAAATGCCTTATGGTTTTTAGTCACTGCTTCCATTTAATAGTCCTACGGGGCTCACCTTAAAATAGTTTTGGTAAACAAGTGAAATTTACTTTTTAAAATTATTTTTATTAAGACACTCTATTTTATTTCATTTTTTAGAAACAGAGTCTTGCTCTGTTGCCCAGGCTGGAGTGCAGTGGAGCAATCATAGCTCACTGCAGCCTCAAATTCTTGGGCTCAAGTGATCCTCACACCTCAGTCTCTGTAGTCAGCTGGGACTACAGGCGCATCACCACATCCAGCTGATTTTTAAATTTTTGTAGAAATGATATCTTGCTATGTTGCCCAGGCTGGTCTTGAACACTTGGCCCCAAGCAGTCCTCCCACTCCAGCCTCCCAAGGTGCTGGGGTTACAGGCATGAGCCACCGTACCTGGCCAAGACACTCGAGATTACAGTTTATATTCCCTACCAATAGGTGCAGCAACAGAGAATAGAGAGCTGCTAGAAAAGTTTTCAGGTTATTGAAAATGTTTGGTAGATGCTAAAGGATTACTAAGTTTGATTACTTTAGATCTCATTTTGAAGCCAGTGTGTGTGTATGGCTCTGCTGCTTGGCTGGAAAATAGATGAAAATGATATGATAATTATACATTTGATTTACTTAACTTTTTAAATATATGTTGAAGAATAGGTAGTATTTGTTTGCATTAAGACACAAGATTTGGGCCAGGCGCGGTGGCTCACGCCTGTAATCCCAGCACTTTAGGAGGCTGAGGTGGGCAGATCACGAGGTCAAGAGTTAGAGACCATTCTGGGCAATATGGTGAAACCCCATCTCTACTAAAAATACAAAAATTAGCTGGGCGTGGTGGCATGCCCCTGTAATCCCAGCTACTCAGGAGGCTGAGGCAGGAAAATCGCTGGAACCCAAGAAGCGGAGGTTGCAGTGAGCCGAGATCGCACTACTGCACTCCAACCTGGCGACAGAGTGAGATTCTGTCTCAAAAAAAAAAAAAAAAAAAAAAAAAGACACGAGATTTAGAATAACATTTAACTATAAGTCTCTATTGTTTTTGCCCTATCATAACTTAAAGCAAACGGAACTCCTTCATAACCTCTGGTAGTGCCCTTAGATTGAAGTTTACATCATGCTTGCTCCATTCTAAGCAAATGAGTAAAGGTGAAATAAAGGGCCATGCCGCATGCCCCGTCCTCTTTCATGGAGGAAAGAGAAGAGAAACTTGCCAAGTTCTTTGTGTGTTCCAGCTATCTAGCTCTTCCTAAAGTTCAGAACAGATAACATTGATAATGAGGCCTACCTCTCTTGGATTGGGAAACCCATTGGCAATGATAATCTTCTTGTAATATTGAACTGAAGCCTTTGGATAGCGAGGCTTATTTCTGTCGTTAAATTCAACATAGTAGAATCCATATCTATCTGAGTATCCTTTCTCCCATTCAAACTTATCCAACAGAGACCAGGAAGTATACCCCTTTATATTAGCACCATCTTTTATAGCTGCAAAGACATTTTATTCCATTTTAAATATATTTCATTTACTTAGAAAAATAAAACTGAAGATAATGTTAAAATGTTTTCATTTATGAGATTTAGAAGCAAGTTTCAGTTGATTGTGTGTTAATCACATTTTGTCTCAGTTAAACGGGAAAACTGCAGACAATCTTGGTTTGTGTCTCACCTTTTAGCATTTCATTTATGTATCCTTTAAGGTATTGAATTCTCCACTCATCACATAATTGAGTACAGTGGAATTTTTGAGATGCTCCATTTTCCATCACATATATGGGAGGATCACCGTATTGAGTCTGAAAGTGAGTCATAGCAACAAATATCTTAAAAATTCTGACCTACAGGTAGGTTTCTGAGTCAGAGGCTCATATAGGAACACATATTCAAGCCTGCCACATTCTAATCAAGTGTATTTTGGCATTTAGTAGATGTCAGATAACATGTTTATTTAGAGACTAATGTAGGCAGGAGACAGGTTCTTATAAAGAATGTATTTCTCAATAAATGAACATTGTTGCCAGGCGCGGTGGCTCACGCCTGTAATCCCAGCACTTTGGGAGGCCAAGGTGGGCAGATCACCTAAGGTCAGGAGTTTGAGACCAGCCTGGCCAACATGGTGAAAACCTGTCTCTACTAAAAATACAAAAATTAGCCAGGCGTGGTGGCATACGCCTGTAATCCCAGCCACTTAAGAGGCTGAGGCAGGAAATCACTTGAACCTGGAAGGCAGAGGTGGCAGTGAGCCGAGATCATGCCACTGCACTCCAGCCTGGGTGACAGAGTGAGACTGTCTCAAAAAAAAAAAAAAAAAAAAAACATTGTTGGAGGGGACATGTACTTTGGTCTTGTTCTTTGCCACATATTCCAGTTTAGGTGTGAAGGACAGCAAAATAAATGTGGGATATGAATTTTTTAGCTAAAGTTATATACATGCAAATGGTTATGCATGGTAGACGTGAGTCTGTAAGGCCTACATTTAGTAGCCTCTGAAGTATGAGTAACTAGGTTTATTTTGTTTTATTAACTTTCTAATGTAGGCACCTGAGCTTAAGCTGTGAGAACATGAATTCAAGTCTAAATGTCCTTTGAATAGCTGAATGTGATAATCACCTGAGCAAAGTTAAGGAGCCTCCTAAATCCCCATGGCACAGAATATAGCCATTTAGACCCCAGATCTGGCCAGTTTGGGTCAACCAGCTCTATCAAGTCACGATCGTTCTGGTAGCTGGGCCCCTGGCGGGAGGGGTAGTTCCTTTCCGTGATGTACCGAGTAGTAAAATGACCTAATCCCAAGAAATCGGATGTGCCTTTAATGTAGCTCTTCTCCTGGAGTGAGAACACCGGTAACCTCGACATCTCCAGGCCTTGCTCTGCACTCTTTCTTCCTTTTGAGAGAGAAAAGTAGAATTTAACAAAGCCTTATTTTCTCCCAATCACTGTGTTATGTATCATGACGATAGTGACATCTTGACATAAACGGTGGGCTTTAGGATTCATTTGCATGGGAAGTATAACCTTAGCCATCCAAAGTGGAATTTTTGAAATTTCAATACTGTCCAAAATATTTATAAGTTTATATTGCTTAAAAATAGCATTTTCAGGCCGGGCGTGGTGGCTCACGCCTATAATCCCAGCACTTTGGGAGGCTGAGGCGGGCGGATCACAAGGTCAGGAGATCGAGACCATCCTGGCTAGCACAGTGAAACCCCATCTCTACTAAAAATACAAAAAATTAGCCGGGCGTGGTGGCAGCCGCCTGTAGTCCCAGCTACTTGGGAGGCTGAGGCAGGAGAATGGCGTGAATCCAGGAGGTGGAGCTTGCAGTGAGCCAAGATCGTGCCACTGCACTCCAGCCTGGGTGACAGAGCGAGACTCCATCTCAAAAAAAAAAAAAAAAAAGTTGTATTTTCACAGATTACTCAGTAAGTGGTGTGTAGCCATCTGGAGAAAAAGTAGAGTTGGGCTCCTATATTGTTCCTTACATTAAAAATGGGTAATTTGGCCGGGTGCAATGGCTCACGCCTGTAATTCCAGCGTTTTGGGAGGCTGAGGCAGGTGGATCACTTGAGATCAGGAGTTCGCGACCAGCCTGGCTAACATGGTGAAACCCTGTCTCTACTAAAAATACAAAAAATTGGCCAGGAGCGGTGGCTCAAACCTGTAATTCCAGCACTTTGGGAGGCCGAGGGGGGCAGATCACGATGTTTAGGAGCTTGAGATCAGCCTGACCAACATGGTGAAACCCCATCTCTACTAAAAATACAAAAATTAGCCAGGGGTGGTGGTGCGTGCCTGTAATCCCAGCTACTTGGGAGGCTGAGGCAGGAGAGTCGCTTGAAGCCGGGAGGTGGAGGTTGCAGTGAGCCGAGATCACGCCACTGCACTCCAGCCTGGGCGACAGAGCAAGACTGTCTCAAAAAAAAAAAAAAAAAAAAAAGTAGCTGGCTTGGTGGTGGGCATCTGTAATCCCAGCTACTCGGGAAGCTGAGGCAGGAGAATCACTTGAACCCAGGAGGCAGAGGTCGCAGTGAGCCAAGATCATGCCATTGTACTCCAGCCTGGGCAACAAGAGCAAAACTCCATCTCAAAAAATAAAAAATAAAAATGTGTAATTTTAGCTGCCTTTGGGAAGGGAACTGGAAGGCCAGTGATGGTATGTCCTATCTTTGTCCCATCTTTCAAAGTTGTAAAAGCATATGTCCTTTCATTGACCAATTCCAAATCTGTTTACACTTTACTCACACATGTAAAGGGATGTTTGTACAAGGATCTTCATTATAGATTGAGTGGCAAAAGATTGGAAACAACCTAAATGTCTGTCAGTAGGGTCTGGTTATGTAAATGAAACATCCATCAGTACAACACTATGCAGCCTTTAGAACAAATGAGGTGGCACTTTCTATAGCGATGTGGAAAGCTTGCCAGGATATAGGTTTCAGTGAAAAAAAAAGCTTCAGAATGTTGCGTGTAATCATAAGCACATACACTGACCACATGCACAATCCATCTCTGGAAGTATACTTGCTTCTGGGGAGGGAGAGAGAGAGGCCTGACTTTTTACTTCATATTTTTTGTACTTTAAAAAATTGGAAACATGTCCAGGTGTAATCTATACAAAAAAGACTTTTAATATATAAATCAAGAAAAACAACATTTTCCCTGAATTGATCTAAAATATAACCATAAGAATAGTTCCAAAGAGGATAATAGTTTAGATAAAATGAATACAAAGTTTGTGTTATTAAATACCCTTAAGATATTAGCATAAAGCAAATAAAATATTGGCACATTATTTCAGTTACATTTAGTGACTTAAGAAAAGCCACCAGCTATCGTCATTGTCCTTGCACTGATACAATAGCCACTAGCTGCATATGGCTATTAAAATATAGTGACCGAAGGATTGAATTTTTAATTTTAATTTTAAATTTTTTTTTTTTTGAGATGGAGTCTTGCTCCATCTCACTCTCCCAAAGTTTCGAACATGGTGAAACCCCATCTCTACAAAAATACAAAAATTAGCTGAGCATGATGGCAGGTGCCTGTAATCCCAGGTACTTGGGAGGCTGAGGCAGGAGAATCACTTGAACCTGGGAGGCAGAGGTTGCAGTGAGCCGAGATCGCACCACTGCACTCCAGTCTGGGCAACAGAGCGAGACTCTGTCTCAAAAATAAAAAAAAAGAAAGAAAGAAAAAGAAAACATAGAGCAAAAGCACCGTGACAATTAATTAGGCAGTTATATCTTGACTCTGACGCCAAAATCACAGGCAACAAAAATAGGCAAAAGAAGCAAACATAAATAGACAAATTGGACTTCATGAAATTTTTAAAAATTTGGGAATCAAGACACTAGCAACAGAATAAAAAACCCACATAGAATGGGAGGAAATATTTGCATATCATATATGTGATAAAAAGATATGTAGAGAATTCCCAAAACTCAACAACAAAAACAACCCAATTCAAAAATGGGCAAAGAACTTGAATTGGCATTTTTTCTAAAGAAGATCTACAGATGTATAAGCACATGAAAAGATGCTCTTACTAATCATTAGGGAAACACAAATCAAAACTGCAGTGAGATACAACCTCACACCCATTGGGATAGCCATTATTAAGCAAAATAACAAGTGTTGGCAAGGATGTGGAGTAATTGGAACCCTTGTGTATTGTTGCTGGGAATGTAAAATGGTACACCCACTGTTGAAAACAGTACGATGCTTCCTTAAAAAAAAATTAAAAATGGAATTTTTCATATGACCCAGCAATTCTACTTCTGGGTATATTCCCCAAATAACTGAAAGCTGGATCTTGAGATATTTGTACACCCGTGTTTTTAGCATTATTCACAATAGCTAAACATGGAAGCAACCTAAGTGTCTATTGATGGATGAATGAATAAGCATAATATGATATATACAGACAATGGAAATTTTTTTTTCTTTTTCGAGATGGAGTCTCACTCTATCACCCAGGCTGGAGTGCAGTGGCGAGATCTCGGCCCACTGCAACCTCCACCTCCCAGGTTCAAGTGATTCTCCTGCCTCAGCCTCCCAAGTAGTTGGGATTACAGTGGCCTACCACCATGCCCAGCTAACTTTTGTACTTTTAGTAGAGACGGGGTTTCACTATGTTGGTCAGGCTGGTCTCAAACTCCTGACCTCAGGTGATCTGCCCACCTTGGCCTCCCAAAGTGCTGGGATTACAGGCTTGAGCCACCGTGCCCGGCTGACAATGGAATATTATTCAGCCTTAAAAAGGAAGGAAATTCTGACATATTACAAAATGGATGAATCTTGAGGACATTATGCTAAGTAAAATAAGCCAGTCACACAAAGACAAATACTGTATGATTCCACTTATATGAGCTACTTAGTCAAAATCAGAGACTGTGGAATCGTGGTTGCCAGGGACTCGGCAAAGTTTCAGTTTTGCAAGATGAAGCGTTCTGGAGATGGATGGTGGTGATGGTTGCACATTATGAAAGTATTTTATACCACTGAACTGTACACTTAAAAATGGCAACACAGGTACATTTTATGTGTATTTTGCCACAATAAAAAAAAATTGGGGAAAAAAATGGCCAAGAAAGCCCACCCCAAAACTTATTATGACAGAGTGATTCCCTTTTTCTGTCTTTGGGTGTTGACGTGTAAAGATGCGATGCCTGGGGTTGCTGCAGTCATCTTGTGGCCATGGGGATTGGTTGATGGGCTAACTGAAGGTGCCAGAGTGGAAAGATGGAATGAGCCTGGGTCCTCAAGGGCACCCCTGAAGGCTAGATTACCTAGCCCTGCATCACCCTTCCCTGGGCTCAGGTGAGATGATAAATTCCCTACTTCAAGTCATTTTTAGGTAGAATTTTCTGTTACGTGGCAGTTAAAAACATCCAAATTGATATATCCCTGTAAGCCTTACTTGTGTTTATTCTCTTCTCCAACACTGTGGAAACTGGAGCTTGGAAAGTATTTCTCCATTGACAGAAAGAACCGACAATAGAAGTGACACAGGCCCATGACTGTGTCTGACCTCTCTCCTGCTTGACTGCAGTTAAAGTGGGGTGGAGGAAGGGCAGGGAAGCAGAACATAAGAGAGACCAGCCCAAAGACCACCACTTTCTTCCCTGAGTTCTGAAAATTCTCAATTTCCAAGTCTAGGGAAATTGAGAGGTCTAGGGTTCCTCCCTGCCAATTCAAATGTCTGGTTCTCAATTCTTTTGAGTCTGGATTATCCCTTGAGTACCTCACCCAGGCCCAGTGAGCTCTTCATCCCCCTGCCTTTTGCTTGTTTCACATGGGCTCAATAACTTGCCCTAGTATCTGCAGTTTAAAATGAGACTGGGCTCACCAATGTAGTCCTTCATGACTTGGGGGTAGTCACCGGCATAAATGGGGTTGGCAAACCAGCCCAGACAGAACTGTAGGTATCTCTCGGCAGCCTCTAGGTCCTTGGGGTTACTAATGTCCACAGGTTCCCCCCAGTCACAGTTCAATGAAATTCCCACCAGACCTTAAAAGAAAAGAAAGAAAAGGGAGTGGGGAGTGGGCATGCCATTGCTGCTCCGGGCACTTGGCTGTCCTGGGTACATGTGTGGGGCCACAGCTCACCTTGCTGCTTGCTGCGCCACGTGGTGTTATAAGAATGCCAGGCTTTGGCGTGGGCCTGAAAGGGGAGCAGAAATTCATCGTAGGTACCTGGCCCATCCATTTCCTCCCTTTCAATCTGAGTGGCCTTTCTTTGCTTCCTAACTTTAGAGCTATTATTTTCATCAATCCAGCCTTGTTTATCCCGATCCAGTCTTCTTTCCTCTAACTTCTTGAGGCACTTATTTTCTTTATATTGTAAATGAAACTTGATGTAAGTCTGGCTCAAACAACTTTTTGTTGTTATTTATCGTTTTTAAGATTTTTGCTAAAGTTTCCTGTTTTGTTCCTCTTAGTCCTCAGTAGCAACTAGGCAGTACTTTTCCTCAGAGGAGCTCAGTAATTTAGGAAAATACCAAGTGTCTGAAATAGTCTTGAGAAATGGAATCTAAAACACGCCAACCTGCCTTCTCTTCATATTCTACCAGTGACCCGCTGGCCTGCCTGAGGCTATTTCAGCTAGCCACCGCGCTTGGGTAGGTCAACACCTAAGAGAGATGGAAAGTAATCTAGAACAGTGATTATCGGTGTGTGATCTCCAGACCAAGGTCATCAGGATCCACTGGGAACTTAATAGACATGCAAATCCATGGGCCCTTGCCAGACCTACTGAATCAGAAACTCAAAGCGGGGCCCAAGAATCTGTGGTTTTTGTGTGTGTGTGTGTGTGTTTTTTTTTTTTTTTTTTTTTATCTTGAGATGGAGTCTCGCTCTGTGGCCCAGGCTGGAGTGCAGTGGTACAATCTTGGCTCACTGTAACCTCTGCCTCCCAGGTTCAAGCCATTCTCCTGCTTCAGCCTCCTGAGTAGCTGGGACTACAGGCACCCACCACCACACCTGGCTAATTTTTGTACTTTTAGTAGAGATAGGGTTTCTCCATGTTGGTCAGGCTGATCTCGAACTCCAGACCTCAAGCAATCTGCCCACCTCAGCCTCCCAAAGTGCTGGAATTGCAGGCATGAGCCACTGTGCCTGGCCAGCAATCTGTGCTTTAATAAGCTTGTTTTTTGTTTTTTGTTTTTTTTTTCTTGAGATGGGGTCTTGCTTGTTGTCTAGGCTGGAATTAAACTCCTAGGCTCAAGTGATCCTCCTGCTCAAGTGATCATCCCTCCTACTCAAGCCTCTCAAATAGCTGGGACAACAGGCATGTGCCACCACACCTGGCTCAGTAATCATTTATTAAATTATTTTGATGTGTGTTAAAATTTGAGAAGTACCAATTTAGAAGACCTGAATATCTGAAGGCTATAGAATTCGGGGTTGTTTTGTTTGTTACTCACAGAGAACCTGTATTTATCAGACTTCTTTCCTTATAATTCCTTTTGCCAACCAGCAATAACCAAGTGAATCATGGTATTGTCTGATGAAGTGGAACATGTCAAAACAATATCAGAATCACATCTCTTCAGGCCGGGTGCGGTGGCTCACACCTGTAATCCCAAAACTTTGGGAGGGCAAGGTGGGTAGATCACGAGGTCAGGAGTTGGAGACCAGCCTGGCCAACATGGTGAAACCCTGTCTCTACTAAAAATTCAAAAAAATTAGCCGGGTGTGGTGGCGTATGCCTGTAATCCCAGCTACTCAGGAAGCTGAGGCAGGAGAATCATTTGAACCCAGGAGGCAGAGGTTGCAGTGAGCCGAGATCGTGCCACTGCACTCCAGCCTGGGCGACAGAGCGAGAATCTGTCTCTAAATAAATAAATAATCGCGTCTCTTCAGCTCACTACTTTTGATGGATAAGAAGGCCCAGAAAATGACTTCCATGTTTAATATTAAAAATATCTTGAGGCGGGGCGCTATGGCGCATGCCTACAATCTCAGCACTTTGGGATGCCGAGGTAAGGGAATCACCTGAAGTCAGGAGTTCAGGACCAGCCTGGCCAACATGGTGAAACCCTGTCTCTATCAAAAATGCAAAAATTAGCTGGGTGTGGTGGTGCACGCCTGTAGTCCCAGCTACTTGGGAGAATGAGGCAGGAGAATGGCTTGAACCCGGGAGGCGGAGGTTGCAGTGAGCCGAGATCACGCCGCTTCACTGCATCCTGGGTGACAGAGCAAGACTCAGTCTCAAAAAAAAAAAATCTTGAGAGCTCTGCCCTTTAAATATTCACAGTTTAAGAAATCATAAGCCAAATGTAGAAAAAATGAGAAAATGTTCTCCCTGATATGAGTTTGGGGATCTGGAATGTCACCCAGTGGTTCCTTGCCTTCCAGCTTAGACAGATTGTCCACCTTCCGCTAAGTGTCCTTTGGGGCCAATCCCGCATGCCTCGTATCCCTGTTCTCCAGTTACCATCATGTATACCCTCATACATGTCCTGTAATGTGACCCAATTCCTTCCCCAGCGACAAGGCTTTCCAGTAGCCCTTCCTTCCTGCAGCATCTTCTCCGAATGGCCCCTTTACTCTCTTGTGTGACTGATGCCTGCTGGCCCTAAGAGCACCTCCGCTGCAGCTCCTTCAAGCAGAGGCCATTTGTTCCATCACACTCCACATACCTCTGAGCTGGGAGTAAGGTGGAGTCTGCCTGCTCATTATCGCTGCTTCCAAACTAGTTTTCCTTCCTCCTTCAAAATTCCCAGGTTCTTTGAAGTCCACACTCTGATGACCACTTCTAACTCCTCTTACTGCTGTCCTTGATCAACCCCAGTTACTTCTACTGATTCATTGAAGATTTTAACCCCTGGCTCGCTGTCACACCCCTTCTTCCTCCTGTCACAGCTTGGACCTGTAGTTGACGCATTTCCACATGGATGTCCCCTTGGCTAGGCTGTAAGCTCTTGGGAGTCGCTATAACAGCTCAGCCATAGTGTCCCCCAGCGCCCTGAATGACAGAACACGCCCTCCATAAATCGTCACAGAAGGGAAGGTGCTATGGAGTATGCTGACTCGGAGGTGGAGCGGCAGAGGACCAAGCTCAGGCTAGAGCCCCTGGGGCAGGCTGAGCTGACCCTGAGGCTGTTCCTCCACCAGAAGGACCCACCTCACCTTAATGATGTGGTGTGCTGCCTTGTACAGGCCGGTGCCGCGGAGCTTCAGGCCCGGCGCATGGTGGCCCGTCTCATAGCCTTTTTCTGCCATTGCCTATAGGGACAGCAAGCAGGACCACAGGATCCATAAGAAGTGGCAGGGAGTGTCACATTCTCCCACCTGGAGGGGCCCTGCTTACCCGAGGATCACTGAACGTGATCCAGTGCTTCACACGGTCCCCAAAGGCCTCAAAGCACAGGTTGGCGTAGTCTCTGAAGTAGTTGGCCATGCTCACATTCTGCCACCCACCGTATTTGACCTGGAGCAGCTGTGAACACAGAGAAGCAGATGCCCCATGAATGAACCGCAAAGCGGTTTAAATGTGGAGATAAGCTGTGTGACAGTCCTCAGACAAACAGGAGGGAGGCCGCACAGGGAGACTGGGACTCTCATGCCTAGAAAGAACTGGATGGATTGAATATTTAAGAAAAATTGCCAGGGGAAAGGGGCCTAATAATGGGGAAGCATCTTAGATCTAAGTTCTGGAGAAATGAGATCTGATGCTAGGATGAACACTCTGATGAGGATTTTGAGGGCCACACAGATGTCAGAAAGCTCCTAGAAGCCTTGGGACAGAGTCTGCCTTCTTCGGCAGAGGGCTTTCCCAACCAAAGACATCTGCCCATGACGGCAGAATTCTCCCAAGACTTGTCACTGTATCGAGACTACCTGTCCAGCTCTCCTTGGTGGGTTTGAGGGGATGTTAATGGGGCAGGCTCATGAAAGCAACCAGGGAAGAAGCTGGAAGGTTCATCTCCCTAAAGCCTGCTCTGCCCTCCTGCCCAGTTAGAGGACTCTGGTAGCTCCCATTCCCACAGAATAAACCCAGTTCCCAGTCATCTTAGCTCAGCACTCGAGGCCTTCGAGGTCTTCCCCAAGCCACTTCTCCAGCCTCTAACCCTTCCCTCTCCTACCTGCTCCCCAAATTCTAACTGAACCGAACTGCTTGCCCAGCTTCCCCCTCTTTGCCATGCGCCCTCCAATCAGAACACCCTTTCCTCCCACCTCCTGCCCAAACCTTCCAGGGCACCGATGGGACCACCTTCTCCCCAGTGAATGAAAATATTGCCTGAGGCCAGGCGCAGTGGCTCACGCCTGTAATCCTAGCACTTTGGGAGGCCGAGGCAGCTGGATCACCTGAAGACAGGAGTTCGAGACCAGCCTGGCCAACATGGCGAAACCCTGTCTTTACTAAAAATACAAAAATTAGCCGGGCGTGGTGGCACATGCCTGTAATCCCAGCTACTCAGGAGGCTGAGACAGGAGAATCACTCGAACCCAGGAGGCGGAGGCTGTAGTGAGCCGAGATCATGCCACTGCACTCCAGCCTGGACGACGAAGCAGGACTCCATCTCAAAAAAAAAAAAAAACAAAAGAAAGAAAATATTGCTTGAATCACAGTGACATAGTGACGTTCTGAAGCATGTTGTGATTTCATGGACATTGCTGGGGCAGGGGTCATATATGAGTGCTTGTGATACTGGCTCAAACAAATTGTAGAAAAAAGGCTAAACTTGTTCATTATGCTATGTCGCCAGATCTTTTTTTTTTTTTTAGACGGAATTTCATTCTCATTGCCCAGGCTGGAGTGCAATGGCATAATCTCGGCTCACTGCAATCTTTGCTTCCCGGGTTCAAGCGATTGTCCTGCCTAGCCTCCCAAGTAGCTGGGATTATAGGCGCCTGCCACCACGTCTGGCTAAGTTTTGTATTTTTCGTAGAGACTGTGTTTCACCAGGTTGGCCAGGCTGGTCTCGAAGTCCTGACTTCAGGTGATCCACCCACCTCGGCCCCCCAAAGTGCTAGGATTACAGGCGTGAGCCACTGTGCCTGGCTGCCAGATCTTAGTTAAAAGACATATCTTTATAGTTTTTAAAATTTGTTTTTATGCCAAGTTTTTTAGAAAACAAAAGGATTCACTCTTTTCACTTACTACACACATCAATTAAAGCAGTGTGACCTCCCTGCCATACATGAGTGCTTTGGTTTGAATGTTTCTGTCCCCTGGAATTCATGTTGAAACTGTATCCCCTGTGTAACAGTATGGGGAAGTGTAGTCTTTGGCAGGTGATTGAGTCATGAGGGCTCTTCTCTCTTGAATGGGATTAGGTGCCCTTATAAAAAGAGGGACACGGCATTCAAGGCATCATCTTGGAAGCAGAGACTGGGGCCTCACCAGAGTCTGCACCTGCCAGTGTCTTGATCTTGGACTTCCCAGCCTCCAGAACTGTGGGAAGATACATTCCCGTTCTTTACAAGTTACCCAGACTCAGGCATTCCATTGCAACAGCAAAAGTGGATTAAGACAGTGAGTCAGAGAGATTTTTTCACTCACTCGCATCTTATAGTCCTGCGCCAGAATCCAGACCCTAGTCTCTGCTCCACCTTGGCAACCCAAGTCCTCAAACTGGGCTCCCTCCTGCTTAGTTGAGTCCCCTTTGGGCCTGTGAGCCTGCTCAGGTCCTCACCTGTGGCAGATCCCAGTGGTGCAAGGTCACGATGGGAGTGATGTTGCTGCTCAGAAGGGCATCGATAAGATCACTGTAGAATTCGATTCCCTTCTTGTTCACCTGCTCGGCTGCAGGTGAAATAAAAGAAGATGCTACCAGAAAGGACCTCGGCCTTGGCCTTGGCCTTCTGGAGTGCAGCATTCCTGGGCCCTGTTGCTTTTTGAAGGCCTGAGGCACCCTCAGCCCACCAGCATTCTGGGAGCCCAGTTACCTGCAGAACCTGTGAGAGCTGCTACCGTCAGCAACTACGTTCATGGGCTGATCTCCCTCCCCAGGACTCTGTGGTGCCCCTGCAAAGCCAACATTGCCGGAAGGGGCCTCACTTGGGTTCAAGAGGGGCTTCCCTAGCTCACCTCGGATGCCTGTGGGCAGGAGCCGGGGCCAAGACAGGGAGAATCGGTAGTGGTTGACGTGCAGTTCCCTCAGCAGAATGATGTCCTCCTGTGCAGACAGGGGTGGGGAGACAGGTCACCTGGGCCCTGGGTATGGGAGGTAGGGGTCCATCGGGCTCTAGGGCCGAGGCTCACTCTTGTCTGTAGCTGTTAGTGGGCAAGGAAGAACCTGCTTCCTCACCTGTACAACAGAGGTGATGCCACCTGCCCACTTCATGCAGGGGATATGCCAAGAGTCAAAGAAAACGCAGGACAGGGAGGCACTGAGAGAAGTCCATCAGGGTGCCCCTAGTAAACCTGGGTGATGAGTTCCTCAAGAAGCCATCCAGAGAGGAAAGTGGGTGCTGAGGATGAGCGGGTCCCACTCCCTCCACAGGGTGCAACTGACAAGCAGGGACCAGGGGTTCAGGCCACTGTGGCTGTAGGCCCTGAGGCTGTGGGATCAGCCCTTCAGCTCCCCCTTCACTTGGCCTGAGGCACTGGCTCAGGTGAGGCCCCACTTTCCTTTCCTCCTACATCCACCTCACATCCTGGCCCCTCCCAAACCTTCACCCCCACTGGCCCTGCCCCCTCTGGCTGCACTGGGGTAGAGGGTGTTTGGCAGAGCATGGGGATGACATTGTCATCAGAGCTCCCCCAAACGTCACTCCCTGCCTCCCAGCTAGGCATGTACTCACATGTGTGTGCACGCGCGCGCACACACACACACTCACACCCCGCACTCACCTGGACCTTGTAGTAGCCGTCACAGGCTACATCTGCCGTCTCATTCCCAAGCACTTTCCCCTTCCCACTGTGTGTGAAGACGTCCCAGATGCTAGGCCCTTTCCCGTCCTGGTCCCAGGCGCCCTCCGTCTGGTAGGCAGAACTGCCCACGCCCCAGGAGAAGCCTGCAGGGGGAGACCCGTGCTGGGTCCCAGGTGCTCCCATGTGTCACCCAGAGCCAGGACTCTGGGCTGTGCCTCCCAGGCCTCAGGGACTGCCCCTCCCTACCACGCTGCCCCTGTCCCACTGGGGACTTGTCTTCCTAGGAGTGTGAGCACATGAGGCACGGTAGGGGAAGATATATTAAAAACATTTTTTGCACAATTTTAGCTCTGATTAGCATACATTATCTGTGTAATTTTTAGTAACTTCAAAAAAAAAATATCTGTTAGGAGCTTTTAGAACAACCACACAAAGGTAGGTTTCTCATCCTGCCAATCAGGAAGCAAGAACACCAAACTCCTTGTCAAGTCAGCCAAAGTGGGCAGGTGGACGACAGACAGGCAGACAGACGAACAGAGGCGTGGCCGTACCAAGAGGGAAGGTTCCATAGTAGAAGGAGGCCTCTTCTGGGGACCCCTTCCGGGCGGCCCCCAGCCTGGGCACCAGCAGTAGCATCCACAGAAGGGTGGCGACCCACACTGGCTTCATGGTGCCTGGCCCTCCCCCATACCTGAAAAAGTGCAGCTGGCTCTGCAGGCCCCTGCAGCCAGGCTGATGGCCAGGTCTTGGCTTAGGGCAAAGGCCAAGTGGGGAGAGGAAGGGAAAGGAAGGCGCTTGATCTGCACCCAGCAGCAGAGGCTGAGGCTGGATGTCTGATGCTGTTTCCGTGCCTGGGGAGCTCTGAGACTGATGGGCAAGACTCCAAACTATCCCTTCTCCCTACCTTGGCTCCTGTCTGATGGGGGAGACCCAGCCCATACCCCTGAGTGGCCTCTATCTAAGGGGGAAACCACGTCTACCTCAGGGAAGCTCCAGTCTGAGGGGGCAGGTGGGAAAACCCACAGGGCCCTTTGGCTCTCCCAACGACACGCAGACCCCTCCCCCAAGCCGGGGTTGCCCATCCCAGTGCCTCTGTCCTGCACACGAGGGAGACCCCTCGCTCTGGAATCCCCTCTTTGGTGCCAGCCCAGCCAGCTTACCCAGGATCGTCCTTGATCGCAGACACCCCCAGAGCAGTCGCTGGTAGTCAGAGCCCTCTCCAACTGACCCCCAGGGCCTACGCTGTCCCCTGAGAGAGGAGCCACAGCACAGCCGAAGGCTCTGGTTGGGGGTGTGGTCTGTGGCTACAGAAACTTTCAATAGCTCCATTCAGTGGGGGCCGGGCAGGAATGCTGAGCTGGCCGGCAGGGCCTGAGTCAGCAGCTGGGGGAGCTTGGCGCTGGGTGGGGGGCGGGGGGGCAGGGGAGCTATCAATCAACTCCCCATCCTGGGACAGAAGGGCAGCCAAGGAGGGGGGAGACCTGGTCCTCCTGGACCCTTCTGGGCTTGACATGCCACCTTCAGCACACCCCAGTCCTTCGAGTCCCAAGCTGGGGGTGGCGCAGGACCAGTGTATGTTGCCATGTGTCTCTGTCTACTTGTCCCAGCTGCCAAAAAAAAAACAACCAAAAAACCCACCATAAAAGATAGAGTTGGTTTTTCCACCTTGGCCTTCTCTCTTTGTATCCCTCATTCATTTCTTTCCTCACTCATTCATTCAACCAGCACCACCTGCTAGAACAGCCCACCCTGTAGTCTCAGCACCTCTTGCCCTCATCTGCTGTGGCTCCCTTCCCTGCAGTGCCCTCCCCATCAGAAAGGCCTCCTTCACATAGCTCAATTTCCAGCCTCCCTGCCTTCAGCTGAGCCCTCACCACAGCTCTCTCAACTGGGCCTTATGGCTTTGTTGTTGGTTAATTTCTTTGTACTCTTCCTTTGGGTCTTCAATGGGTAGCACCTCCTCCAGGAAGCCTTTCTGGATTCATGCACCCTCAGGCCAGACTAGGTTCTCTGGATTTTGTTTTCTTTTCTTTCTTTTTTTGTTTTCTTTCTTTCTTTCTTTCTTTCTTTCTTTCTTTCTTTCTTTCTTTCTTTCTTTCTTTCTTTCTTTCTTCTTCTTTCTTTTCTTTCTTTCTTCTTCTTTCTTTTCTTTCTTTTTCTTTCTCTCTCTCTCTCTTTCTCCTTCCTTCCTTCCTTCCTTCTTTCTTTTTCTTTTAAACAGTGACATGGTCACGGCTCACTGCAGCCTGGACCTCCTGGGCTCAAGTGATCCACCTCAGCACCCCAAGTAGCTGGGGCTATAGGCACCCACCACCACGCATGCCTAATTTTTTGTAGAGATGGGGTCTTGCTATGTTGTCTAGGCTGTTCCTGGGTTTTCCTACAGCCTGCGTTTACCCCTCCCACCCTGCACTTCCACATCAGCTGTTTATGTATCTGTCCCCTGCCCCTTTGTAGGTTCCTGGGAGGCGGGAGGCGGCCAGCCTGGTTCATCAGCATCCAGTCCTCTAGTGCTGCCACCTAGTGGACGCTTAATAATGTGAGTAAAATCGAAATAGTACAATAATGAACCTAACCGTGGCTAACGTTGACTGGGTGCTTCCTAAGGTCCAGGGGCTTTCATGTATTCATTCATCAACCCCTGAGACAAGGCAATAGATGCAGCTTCGGCTGCAGTGGGGCGGGAGGTTCCAGGCTCCAGCAAGGGCAGGCTTGTACGGCTGTGTGGACAAAAGCCGGCCCCGTCTGGACTGACCCTGGCCTCGTGGTGGCCCTGCTCTGAGGGTGGTGCTATTACTGGAACCGTTAGAGGTTGAGGAAACTAGAGAGCTCCTTCAGGCCTCGCTACCTAGCAATTGTGCGGAGGTTTGCTGAGGGAGGCCAGGGGGTGGGTGGGGTGGGGGTCTAGACCCACCCACCTGGGGGGTAGGCTGGGGGGAGGCTGCTTTACTGGGGGGCCCAGCTGGTGAACGGGGCCAGGTCCCTTGGGGTTTCCCTGGTGATGCCTGTGGTGAAGGCACTAAGATCTTTATTCCCAAATTCTGACGTTCCCCAGGTGCATTCATGGGGACAGGAGTGATTCTCAAAGTAGAAGCCAGGGCTGGGTCCCTTACAAAAATGTAGTGATTGGATGGGGGTGTGTCAATAAGGATATTTCCCCCACCAGATTTCCTACCTGTCTGCCCTCTAGCCTTTCCTCAAGAAACATTTCCTGAGTCCCCAAGAGGCCCTGGCCAGAGTAAAATAGGACTTGGCCTGTGGGCCTCTGGAACTGGGGGTCTCATGAGGACAGGAGGCGAGCAGGGAGGGGAAGGGGGGAGGTTCTGGATGTGGTGCAGAGTGGCCGGGCTGTAATGGATGGAGGGATGGAACGCTGAGAGACTAGGGGTGTGGGGCTGTCTTCGAAGGGACACGAAGGATGCAGAGACATTTGCCAGGCGTTCGTGGAGGCACAGAGTGGGGAAGGCATTGGAACAGGTGGAAGGATAGCATGAGTAAAGGCCCTGAGATGTATTTCTGGACCTGGGAGGTTGGTATCTTCTCTCTGCTTGCACCTGCCCTGCAGTGCCCAGGCAAGGCTGTGTCCTCAGGGGTAAGCAGGCCGCTGAACAGGCGAGTGGGCTCTGGGGACTCTGTTCCCTGGGCTGAGGTAGGCAGGAAACATACGACTTTAAGAGCTGATGTCCGCCTGGCGCAGTGGCTCATGTCTGTAATCCCAGCACTTTGGGAGGCCAAGGTGAGCAGATCACTGTCAGGAGTTTGAGACCAGCCTGGCCAACATGGTGAAATCCCATCTCTACTAAAAATATAAAAATTAATGGCCAGGCGCGGTGGCTGACACCTGTAATCCCAGCACTTTTGGAGGCCAAGGTGGGCAGATCACTTGAAGTCGGGAGTTCGAGACCAGCCCGATCAACATGGAGAAACCCCATCTCTACTAAAAATACAAAATTAGCCGGGTGTGGTGGTGCATGCTTGTAATCCCAGCTACTCGGGAGGCTGAGGCAGGAGAATCACTTGAAACCGGGAAGTGGAGGTTGTGGTGAGCCGAGATCACGCTAGTGCATTCCAGCCTGGGCAAAAAGAGCGAAACTCCGTCTCAAAAAAATATATATATATATACACGCACACACACACACACACACACACACACACACACACACACACACACACACACACATATATATATATATATATATATATATATATATATATATATATATATATATATAAAAATTAGCCAGGCATGGTGGCGCATGCCTGTAATCCCAGCTACTTGGGAGGCTAGAACCCGGGAGGCAGAGGTTGCAGTGAGCCAAGATCGTGCCAATGCACTCCAGCCTGGGTGAAAGAGTGAGACTCCATCTCAAAGAAAAGAAAAGAGCCAGGTGCGGTGGCTCATGCCTGTAATCCCAGCACTTTGGGAGGCCGAGTTGGGTGGATCACAAGGTCAGGAGATCGAGACCATCCTGGCTAACAAGGTGAAACCCCGTCTCTACTAAAAAAATACAAAAAAATTAGCTGGATGTGGTGGCGGGCACCTGTAGTTCCAGCTACTTGGGAGGCTGAGGGAGGAGAATGGCCTGAACCCGGGAGGTGGAGCTTGCAGTGAGCTGAGATCGTGCCACTGCACTCCAGCCTGGGTGACAGAGCGAGACTCCGTCTAAAAAAAAAAAAAAAGAAAGAAAGAAAAGGAAAATAAAAGAAAGGAAAAGAAGAGCAAAGCTGATGTCATCTCTGAAAAATGCCCCTTCCGGTGGAGCCAGGGCCAGTGTTTGTGTTGGAGGGGCTGCTCAACTGGCCTGGGGTCTGGCTGCAGACACAGCCTCCATCATTGAGGCCCTGTTTTCCTCCCATGGACTCCAAGCCTGGCTCTGGCTGGAATGAGGATGGATAAGCCCCTGCGCTGCTCTGAATGTGTCCCCGAATTTCATATGTTGAAACTTAATCACCGATGTGATAGTATTAAGAGTTGGGGCCTTCATGGACAGGATTAGTGACCTCATAAAAGGGCTGGAGGGAACCTGCCGGGCCCCTTTCATCCTTCTGTCCCTTCCCCCATGTGAGGACACAGTGTTCGTCCACTCGGAGGGCTCAGCCACAGGGCACCACCTTGGAAGCAGAGAGCAGACCCTACCAGACGCAAACCTGCTGGTGTCCTCATCTTGGACTTCCAGACTCTGGAACTGTGAGAATTACGTTTCTGTTGGTTTGTAAATGACCCAGTCTGAGATATTTTGTTATAGCAGCACAAGTAGACTAAGCCATCCCCGCCTTCCCCTCCTCCATACATGCTCTGCAGAAGCTGCCTAGGCCCTGTCTGAGGCCTGGGCTCCCAGTGCTTGGCCAGGGTGAGACCTTTCCCTCAGCAGTGGGGCTGAAGTCCCTGAGGCCAGGCCTTAAGTGGCTCTTGGGCCTCTGTAACTTCCTTTTCTTCCCTCCCTGCAAGGGGCTGCAGAGGTGGGGGCCCAGGCCATAGCCAGAGCCCTGTGACTTTTAGAGACAGGCTTTGTAAAGGCAAAGGGTCTGGTCCTCAGTTCTGGGAGCACAGAGAGGGTGAATGCTGCAGAAGGTCCCAGCCTGCTCTGTGCCTCAGGATCATTAGGAGCAAATTGAGGGGTGGTAGTGAGAGGACACTGGAGAGTCAGAAAAACTGAGTCCCACCTCCATCTTGCCAGGAACTGGCTGTGGGATCAGTGCCAGGCACTTCCTCTCTATGGGCCTGAGGCTCCCATCGATAAAGTGAGAGCCTGTCTTTCGGGATCATCCCAGTAGACACTGTTGGGCCCAGCTTCAGCAATTCTCTCCTCTGGCCCTAGGAGCTGGTCCTTCTCCAGGGGGTCTCTCGGTCCCCCACCCCCAACCTCCCCAGTCTTCACACCACCAGCCCTGCAGCCCAATTCAGCCCTGCCCAGCCCTGAGCTAAGGGAGCAAGCCCCAGGGTCAGAATAAGGGGCAGGAGACAAGGTTCAGTTCTGCCTGCTGGGTGACATTGGACCTGCCATTGTCCCATGCTGGGTCTTCATTTCCTCCTCAGTAATGAAGAGGAGGCTGGCTACAGATGTCTGAAGTCTTTCTTAGCTCTGGGATTCTAGTAAAGAGGTGATAGGCTTTTTTCAGGGTTTTGATTTTGTGGTAGGCAGGGAATCTGGTAGGGGCAGCCCTGAAAATGCTGGGATGGATGAAGCGGGTTTGCAGGGATGAGAGTGGGGCTGGCTTGACCCAACAGGAGGTCATGGTGTGTGTGCATGCATGCTTGACTACATGTGTACCTGTGTGTGCATGTGTGTGGGTCCAGGGAGTGTTGGGGAAAGGACCCCCGCCCCCAGGGTGCAGAGCTGTCTTGAAGAGCCTAGAGTTGGGTGAGTCGAGGGGATTAGGGGTTTCTAGGAGTACTTTGGGCCTGATATGGTTATGCTTTGTGTCCCCACCCAAATCTCATTGTGAATTGTAATCCCCATAATCCCCATGTGTCGAGCAAGAGACCTGGTGGGAGGTGATTGGATCATCGGGGCAGTGTCTCCCATGCTGTTCTCATGATAGTGAGGGAGTTCCCACAAGATCTGATGGTTTTATACATGTCTGACTGTTCCTCTTGCTGCTGCCCATGTAAGACTTACCTTGCTTCCCCTTCCACTATGATTGTAAGTTTCCTGGGGACTCTCCAGCCATGTGGAATTGTGAGTCCAATAAACCTCTTTTCTTTATAAATTACCAAGTCTTGGGCAGTTCTTTTTTTTTTTTTTTTTTTTGAAATGGAGTCTGGCTCTGTCGCCCAGGCTGGAGTGTAGTGGCGCAGTCTCGGCTCACTGGCTCACTGCAAGCTCCGCCTCCCGGGTTCACGCCATTCTCCTGCCTCAGCCTCCCGAGTAGCTGGGACTACAGGCGCCCACCACTACGCCCGGCTAATTTTTTGTATTTTTAGTAGAGACGGGGTTTCACCATGTTAGCCAGGATGGTCTCGATCTCCTGACCTTGTGATCTGCCCGCCTCGGCTTCCCAAAGTGCTGGGATTACAGGCATGAGCCACTGCGCCCGGCCTAGTCTTGGGCAGTTCTTTATAGCAGTGTGAGAATGAGCTAATACAGGGCTTAAGCTTAGAATTTCTACTGAGCTTTCTTCTGAGGGTGGAGCAGAGACGAATTGTCTGGACAGGCCTCTGAAGGTGAGGGTGGTGAGGAGGAAAGGGGAAGGAACAAGAGAGGGCAGCAGGTGGAGTGGAAGAGAGCAGTGGTTAGGGTCAAGGACTCGAGCCAAATAAGACACTGAATCCCAGCTCAGCATTTGCCAGTTGAGTGGTTACAAACAAGTTACTGCCCTTCTTTGGGCCCTGTTTTTAATGTATAAAAGAGGATGATGATAGTATCTCCTACACAGGGTCATTTGAATGTTAAATGACATGACAGATGTAATACAGAGTGCCTGGCACAGAGGAAAGCCCCCATAAAGGATCCCTCATCCACACCATCACACTGTCCAGGCTGAAGTCTAGTGCTGCCACTTGCAAGGGCGTTATGTCTGGGGCGCAGAGCCTCAAGGGCAGACGCTCCCTGATGGCCTGGCACAGGACTTCTATGGTCTGAGAGCTTTGACTGGGCGACACCAAAACCCTGGGAGGCTGTGGCTCTGTGGGGAGCCAGGCCTCTCTGCTTCTGCTCTGCTAAAGCCACAGCTCTGCACCTCTGAGCCCATCACTGCCTGTGGGAAACATGCTGGGGTTCAGCCAGTTTTGAGGCCTGCTGCCAGCTCTGACTCTGTGGACAAAACTCACAACTTTTAGTCTTCTGGGTGTGGATGATAACTCCCAAAGCCCACTTAATTTCTCAGAGCCCTCAACTTTTTATTATGAAATATCCAAACATACAGAAACATTGAAAGAATTGTGGCTGGATGCGGTGGCTCATGCTTGTAATCCTAGCACTTTGGGAGGCTGAGGTGGGTGGATCACCTGAGGTCAGGAGTTCGAGACCAGCCTGGCCAACATGGTGAAACCCTGTCTCTACTTAAAAAATACAAAAATTAGCCGGGGGTGGTGGCACGCACCTGTAGTTCCAGCTACTTGGAAGGCCAAGGATGGAGGATTGCTTGAACCAGGGAGGCAGAGGTTGCAGTGAGCTGAGATCATGCCACTGCACTCCAGCCTGGATGACAAAGTGAGACCCTGTCTCAAAAAAAAAAAAAAAAAAAAAGTAAAAAAAAAGAGGCTGGGTGTGGTGGCTCACGCCTATAATCCCAGCACTTTGGGAGGCCGAGGCAGGCAGATCACAAGGTCAGGAGATCAAGACCATCCTGGCTAACACAGTGAAACCCTGTCTCTACTAAAAATACAAAAAATTAGCCGGGCCTGGTAGCAGGTGCCTGTAGTCCCAGCTACTTGGGAGGCTGAGGCAGGAGAATGGCGTGAACCTGGGAGGCGGAGCTCGCAGTGAACCGAGATCACCACTGCACTCCAGCCTGGGCAACAGAGTGAGACTCCGTCACACACACACACACACAACAAAAACAAAAACAAAAACAAAAAAAAATCACACAGACACTGGCCCTGGCTCCATGGGAAGGGGACATTTTTCAGAGATGACATCAGCTCTTTTTTTTTTATTTTTGAGATGGAGTTTTGCTCTGGTCGCCCAGGCTGCAGTGCGTTGGCATGATCTTGGCTCACTGTAACCTCTGCCCCCCGGGTTCAAGCAATTCTGCCTCAGCCTCCCAAGTAGCTGGGATTAGAGACGAGTGCCACCACGCTCAGCTAATTTTCTGTATTTTTAGTAGAGACAGGGTTTCACCATGTTGCCCAGGCTGTTGTCAAACTCCTGACCTCAGGTGATCCACCCGCCTCGCCTCCCAGAGTGCTGGGGTTACAGGCATGAGCCACCGCACCTGGCCGAGATTCTACCTGTTACTGTATTTGCTTCATAACATGCCACATGTCCCTTATCAGGTCACTTCAGCCCTAAACACTTCAGTAGCAGCATCATGAACTGTATTTGTTTATGGTTCTTTTCTTTTTGAGGTAACATTTGCTTACAGTGAAAGGCACAAGTCTTAAGTGTGCTATTCTGTGAGTTTTTTCAAACGCAGTCACTCATGTCACCAAACCACTGTTAAGATATGGAAAGTGAATCTGTTCCCCTCTAAACTTGCATTGCGCCACCTCTCCTTTCTGAGGACTTTTGGGGGAAATTCCCAAAGTTCTCAAGAACTGAAATCTGTATCATCTTATTTCCCTCTTAGCTCTGGATACTTGGAAATTCTGAGATGCATTTGTGGCCAGTCTCCAGCATGCACACAGGACTTGGATTATGCATTTGTGTGTGACGTCTTACTCTCCCTCCCAGCTGCTCCTTTTGTCTATTATTCTAAGACCTGTCTGAGGTATGCATACACTTCTGCAAGCTGGTTCTCAAATCCTTCTTTTTTTTGGAACAAAACTGAAGGAGTACTGCACAAAGAAATAATCATATTGGAATTTTCTGGACATTTTCATGGTTTGTGGTGTCCAACTATGTGGAATTGAGTTTGTTCCAGTAAATCTGGAATGAATTGACATCCTATCCACAGAGTATGGACTTACGTGTATAACACGCATGTGTACACACACACACACACACACACACACGTGCACACGAATTCCTGTCTTGGTGCAGACACTGGCATTGGCAGTAAAACATCAATTCCAAACTGAAAGATCTCACATGGCAGTGGCCTTGCTGCCTGGGACCCCTGCAGGGCGGAGGTGTGGGGAGGGACAGAGATTTGGATATGGGCCTTGGAGGGCTGGAGGCTGGTGCTGGGAACAAGCGATGATAATGATGGTGACAGGTCTGGAACTGGCCCAGCCAGCACCTCCCACCAGGGCTCTTTGGCCTGAGCTCATCTCCTAGAAATTTTCAGGATCGTGCCTTGCATTTTTCTCCCCCCATTTCCACCTGTGGGGAACCCCATGGCTGGCTGCTGAAGATGCCAGCCAAGTCCTCTGCTTCCAGTTTCTGAAGGGTGAAAGGAGGAGGCTGTGGGGTAGGGAGAGAGGAGAGTCTCTGTGAAGATGGGAAGAAGCGCCTCAGCTTGTCTCCCTCAGGACATTCTCTGGAGCCTGTCTTCTAGAGCATCCATCACAGGCCTCGTTTCACTTTTATTTAGGAGGCTGTTTGGTAAGAGTCCATCTCCTCATAGCTTCTAACCTTGTCTGTTTTTATTCTCCATTGAATCCCATGGTTTTGCCTATGGTACTGCTGTTTGCTTAAGGATGAATGAATGAATGAAGAGTTTTTCCCTTCATCCCTGCAGAGGCCGTGAGAACAAGCTCAAAGGATCACCCCTGGGCAGAAGCAGGCTGGGTTTTGGAGTGAGGGCTTCAGTGCACCTCCTCTGGGAAGAGGCGCCATCTTGGAAGGAGGGAGCCTGGGTCCTTCTTCAGAGAGGGATGATGGGGGTGGCTCCTTCCTAAGGAAGAAGTGCCCACGAGGGCCCAGCGATGACCATAGAAGTGTTCCGAAATACTAACCGGGGACCCAACATTTTAGAGACAATGAATGCTTCTAAGGCTCGTAGAGCTCCTTGTGTTTGCTATGGTTGTCTCTGAAGCTGGTTCTGTTGAGTGATGAGCAGTAAGGCCTTGTAACAGAGTTGACCTATGAGCTTGTGTTTGGGGCAGGAGGGGAAGATGAGTCCTGAGGAAACTGCCACTCACATCAGAGCCGAGCCTGGCCTGGGGTTGGTGCGGGTGGAGGGAGAGACAGAAGGAGAACCCAGAGGGTGGAGCTGTCACTCATCCGCCTGGGAGAGGACAGCTAGAGCAGTCCGTGTACCCAGTGGGGAAACTGAGGTCCAGAAAGGGCAAGGGTCACAGGCAGTCAGAACTAGAATCCATTTCTCAAGGTAAAGTGGTATTACTTCTTTACTTATTTTTGGAGACAGGGTCTTGCTCCACTGCCCAGGCTGGAGTGCAGTGGCAGGATCATAGCTCACTGCAGCCTCAAACTCCCGGGCTCGAGCAATCCCCCGACCTCAGCCTCTCAAGTAGCTCCACAAGCACCCTCCACCATGCTCAGCTTTTTTTAAATTTTATTTTTTACTTTTTGTAGTGATGAAGTCTCATGTATATTGTCTAGGCTGGTCTTGGACTCCTGGGCTCAAGCCATCCTCCCGCCTCGGCCTCCCAAAGTACTGGGATTCCAGGCGTGAGCCATTGCGCCCGGCCACCTCGCTCTTTTTAAGGGCTTCACAGCACTCCCTGGCCTGGATGTTCCATGACTGATCTAGCCAGCCCCCTGTGGATGGACACTTTTTTCTTGACAATGTTTTGTTCTCCCTGTATATCCCTGTGTCCTTATGTACACCTGTGAGTGTGTATTTATTCCTAAAAGTGAATTTGTGATTTTTGTTTTATTTTATTTTTGAGACAGAGTCTCACTCTGTTGCCCAGGCTGGAGTGCAGTGGCATGATCTCAGTTCACTGCATCTCTGCCTCCTGGGTTCAAATGATTCTCCTGCCTCAGCCTACCGAGTAGCTGGGATTACAGGTGTGCACTGCCACACCCAGCTAATCTTTGTGTTTTTAGTAGAGATGAAGTTTCACCTTGTTGGCCAGGCTTGTCTCAAACTCTTGGCCTCAAGCGATCTGCCTGCCTTGGGCTCCCAAAGTGCTGAGATTCCAGGCATGAGCCACCGTGCCTGGCTGAAATTGTGATTTTGGTGGATGTTGCCACGTTGTCTTTCATTAGAGGTAACCTCATCCTTTTGAACCAAAGCATGTTCAACTTAAACATTTAACCAACGTACCTAGTTAGAGGTGAGCATGGAACTATGGTTCAGGACGTGGGAGCCAGCAAGGCCTGCTGCCCAGTGGCTGGGGGAGGGCTGACTCCTGCTGAGAGCTCAGAGGCAATACTGAGGTATATTTGCTCCGGTTAACTCCTGAAGAAAACATCACCGGTCCAGAGCTTTACAGCGTACTGAGTATATTTCTACTTCTGTGCACAATCAATCCCATTTAACCCCATGTGATATTACTTATCTTTTTTTTTTTTTTTGAGACAGAATCTCGCTCTTGTTGCCCAGGCTGGAGTGCAGTGGTACAGTCTTGGCTCACTGTAACCTCCACCTCACAGGTTCAAGTGATTCTCCTGCCTCAGCCTCCTGAGTAGCTAGGCCTACAGTGTGCGCCACCACGCCTGGCTAATTTTGTATTTTTAGTAGAGATGGGGTTTCACATGTTGGCCAGGCTGGTCTCGAACTCCTGACCTCAAGTGATCTGCCCACCTCAGCCTCCCAAAGTGCTGAGATCACAGGTGTGAGCCACCACACCTGGCAATATTACTTATCTTTATCCCATTCTGTGGATAAGGAAACTGAGGTCTGAATGAGGCCCACGTTCATGTAACTGGCAGGCCCAAGGTCTGAGACTGCAACTTTGAGGTGCTTTCCACCATGCCAGCTACTTTCCCTTTCCTGGGCCACCTCGTCTACACCAAATCAACAGTGATTCTGAGGATCCAACTCTATTGGAGCCACCCACTCAGCTCCAACAAACCCAGGAATATGCAATAAGGTCAGAGGTGGTTAGGATGTGTCTCCCATGCATCCTCTGAGGCTGTCTCAACATGGGAACTTACAGGTTCTTACTGCTTAGACAGGCTCCAGCACGGAAAGCAGGGGCTGGATTCCTTCCTACCCAGCCCCTTGGCTCTATATAGAAAAGCAAGAAACCTAATTTACAAAGATGCTTTATCATCCAGACCCTGTTAGCGTTTTTTTGTTTGCTTGTTTTTTTGTTTGTTTGTTTGTTTGTTTTTTCTGAGACAGAGTCTTGCTCTGTCGCCCAGGCTGGAGTGCAGTGGCACGATCTTGGCTCACTGTAACCTCCGCCTCCTGGGTTCAAATGTTTCTCCTGCCTCAGCCTCCCAAGTAGCTGGGACTACAGGCGTGCGCCACCATGCCCAGCTAATTTTTGTATTTTTAGTAGAGACGGGGTTTCACCATCTTGACCAGGATGGTCTCGATCTATTGACCTCATGATCTGCCTGCCTCGGCCTCCCAAAGTGCTAGGATTATAGGCATGAGCCATCACACCCAGCCTCCTGTTTGCTTTTTAGATGTGGATAGGTGTTCTGTTTTGGTTTTTCCTCTTCAGGTATTTTAGTATTTGTTTATTTTAAGTTCCAGGGTATATGTGCAGGATGTGCAGGTTTGTTCCATAGGTAAATGTATGCTATGGTGATTTGCTGCAGCTATCAACCCGTCACCTAAGAATTCAGCCCAGCACGCGTTAGCTATTTTTCCTGATGCTTTCCCTGCCGCTGCTCCCCCACTCCACACAGGTGTTTCTAACAAATTTCTTCCCATCTTTTCCCCTATTGTATTGTTAAGTCAGATGTGATCACCCTGTGTTAGCAGTTTTGCATCCTGTTGTCTTCATTTAACTTAAGGTCATAGGCCAGACATGGTGGCTCATGCCTGTCATCCCAGCACTCTGGGAGGCTGAGGTAGGAGGATTGCTTGAGTCCAGGAGTTCGAGACCAGCCTGGGCAGCATAGGGAGACCTGGTCTCTACAAAAAATAATGATTAAAAAAATTAGCCGGCTGTGGTGGCATGCATCTGTGGTCCTAGCTACTTGGGAGACTGAGGTAGGAGGATCGCTTGAGCCCCGGTAGTCGAGGCTATAGTGAGCTGTAATCACACCATCGCACTCTAGATCCTGTCTCAAAAAAAAAAAAAAAAAAGGTCACATACATCACATGGTAGTTAGCCTCTAAGAAAGCCCCCACTTCCTGGTATTCATGCCCTGTGTAATCCTCTCCCTTTGAATGTGGCTAGACCTAGTGACTCACTTCCGAGGAACAGAAGTGAGCAAAAATGAAGGGTTGTCACTTCCAAGATCCGGTTACAAAGGACTGGGTGCCTTCCACGTTGCTTGCTCCCTCTTGCTGTCTTGCTCGTCCTGAAGAAAACCAGCTGCCACGTTGTGAGCTGCCCCGTGGAGGGGCCCACATACTGAGGAACTGATGTCTCCAGCCCAGAGCCAAGGACCTGGGCCACAGACTTGTGAGTGAGCTTGGAAGTGGACCTTCTTCTAGTCAAGCTTTGAGATGGTCACAGCCCCAGTAGAGACCTGGATTGCAGCCTTGTGACAGGCCCTGAGCCAGAGGCACCCAGTTAAGGCATGCTGGTGTTCCTGCCCTATGGGAACTATGAGATAGTAGGTGTTTGCTATTTAAGGCAGTAAGTTTGAGGGTAACTTGTTACTCAGCAGCAGGTAGCTAATACACATTCCATGGGTACCTTTTCCTATGGCTGGACATCAGGGCTGTTTACCTTTCCATTATTACAAAATTCAACTTTTTAAAAAATTTTTTTATTTTGAGACAGGGTCTCACTCTTGTCTCCCAGGCTGGAGTGCAGTGGTGTGATCATGGCTCACCACAGCCTCAACCTCCCAGGCTCAAGCCATCCTCCCACCTCAGCCTCTAGAGTTGATGGGACTACAGGTCTTACCATGTTGCCCAGGCTGGTCTTAAACTCCTGAACTCAAGCAGTCCTCCAGCCTCAGCCTCCCAAAGTGTTGGGATTACAGGCATGAGCCACCACACCCAGTTCAAAATTCACTTTAGAGTACATCTTCTTTGTCTAAAAAGCTTTTTCTGAATTTAGGATTATTATCCAAGGGTGACTTCAGCAGGGAGAAGATTGAAGCCAACACTCTAACATGTATGATTTTTAATAAATATCTCCAAATTGCTGTCCTCCAAGGAAGGGAACTTGACCAAGGTGGGCCACCAGAAGCATATGGGTCCCCATTTCTGGGCACTATTGGCCAGCACCTTTCTTTTCTTTCTTTTTCTTTTTTTTTTTTTTTGAGATGGAGTCTCACTCTTGTTGCCCAAGCTAGAGGTGCAATGGGGTGATCTGAGCTCACTGCAACCTCTGCCTCCCGGGTTCAAGCGATTCTCCTGCCTCGGCCTCCCGACTAGCTGGGATTACAGGCGTGCACCACCACGCCTAGTAAATTTTTTGTATTTTTAGTAGAGACGGGGTTTCACCATGTTGGCCAGGCTGGTCTCAAACTCCTCACCTCAGGTGATCCGCCCACCTCAGCCTCCCAAAGTGCTGGGATTACAGGCGTGAGCCACTGTGCCTGGCCTGGCCAGCACCTTTCTTAGGCTCTCTGTTCATTGATGTTTCCCATAGCAATCAGGTAATGATAGTGCTTTTCCTGCTCACCTCTCAGTGTTATTGTCAGACCCGGAATCAGAACTATGTAAATGAAGTCTCTTGGAGGCCTCACAGTGCTCTGTAGGACTGGGAGGGGTTAAGGGTTTTCTCACAGTCTCAGAGCTCAGCCTATGCCAGCCCCTTCCCATTTCATAGGACAGAAAGCAGAGGCTAAGAGATGCCAGGGGCTTACCCAGGGTAAGAGAGTCATTCATGGTAGGGCAGGCACAAAATACTCAGGGAGGCAAAGGACCTGGGCTAGAGTTCTTCCCCTTGACCCACACAGCCTCCCAGCTTATCTGCTTTGCCTGAACCAAAGCAGAACCTCAGGCCTCTTCTTCAACCCCTGAGGACTCAGAAAATCATGTGTTATATGTCAAGAAATCTCAGCTGGATGCGGTTGCTCACACCTGTAATCTCAGCACTTTGGGAGGCTGAGGCAGGAAGATCACTCGAGCTCAGGAGTTCAAGACCAGCCTGAGTAACATGGCAAAACTCTGTCTCTACAAAAAATTAGCCAGGTGTGTTGGCGAGCACCTGTGGTCCCAGCTACTTGGGAGGCTGAGGCAGGAGGATCACCTGAGCCTGGGAGTTTGAGGTTGCCGTGAGCCGAGATGTCACCACTGTACTCCAGCCTGGGTGAGTGAAAGAGACGCTGTCTCAAAAAGAGAAAAAGAAAAGAAAGAAAGCTAGCTTCAAATTCTTCCTCTCTTTTTCCCTTTGTTGTTGACCTGGCCACCAAACAAACCACACTTGTCTCCATTCTTTGAGGCCAGAAAACTGCCATCTGTGGCTCTACCCCGTTCATTCCTCCTGCCTCTCTCCAGGCCCCTCTGTTAGGCCATGAACCCCAGCCTGGGCTGTTTCCATCACCCTGCCACTGTGGCCAAGAAAACAGGAAGCATCTGAGTCACCCATTGTCCCCCTGGGCTTTGGCTGCCTGGGCTCAAGTTCTGGAGTCAGGGAAGGACAAGGAGAGAAGAGGTTGGCTCCGCAGAAGCCAGGACTGTCCTGTGGGGCTCTGTCTTCCCACAATGTGGGACTCCAGACACTCAGTGATCCAAGAACCTCTCCCCCATTCTTCACACTGCCTTAAGATTTGGAATTCTCGAGTAGACTCTGCTCCCCACTGGCTGTGGGCCTGGGATTGACTGGTGGGTCTTGATTTTGGCTGTAAATTAACATCACCTGGGGGTGCTTTAAAAACTACTGACACCTGGGTTCCACGCACGGTGCTTCAAATTAAATGTTTAAAGCTTCCCCAGGTGATTTCAAACTGCAGCCAAGCTTGAGAACGACTGGGCTGGTCGTTCTCCCTAAGTCCAAGTCTCTCCCTGCCAAAGGGGGCTAATGATGCCTACTTTCCACAGTTGCTGGAAACAATGGAGATCCTGGTGTGTTCAGGCACATCGAAACATGTAAATGGTAATGTAATAAATCTTATGTCCACCCATGGGAGGGCTTGAGCAGAAGTGGGGTACCCTCAGGCTTTCCTCAGCCAGTAGAGCCCAGGTCAAGATGCCAGCGGCAGACATTGAGCAGCGTGCTGATGGGCATGAGCAAGCCTGTATACTGCCCCCACTGTGGCCATCCTCCAAAGTGCCCCGCACTGAGCGGGAAATTCAAGGTGAGAACAGCAGATCACCCCAGGCTCAGCCCCCTTGGGCGGAGCTGCCCAAGACCATGGGAACCCACCTCTTGCATCACTGTGACCTGAATGTGAGACTTTGAGTCAAAGGAGATAATTTTGGAGCTTTAAAATTTGACTGCCCTGCTGGATCTCAGACTTGCCTGGGCCCTGTAACCGCTTTGTTTTGGCCAATTTCACCCATTTGGAATGGCTGTATTTACCCAATGCCTGTCCCGCCTCCATATCTAGGAAGTAACTAGCTTGCTTTCGATTTTACAGGCTCATAGATGGAAGGGACTTGCCTTGTCTCAGATGAGACTTTGAATTGTGGACTTCTGGGTTAATGCTGAAATGAATTCAGACTTTGGGGGACTGTTGGGAAGGCATGATTGGTTTTGAAATGTGAAGACATAGATTTGGAGGGGCCAGGGGGGAATGATATGGTTTGGCTGTGTCCCCATTCAAATCTCAACTTGAATTGTATCTCCCAGAATTCCCACGTGTTGTGGGAGGGACCCAGGAGGAGGTAATTGAATTATGGGAGCTGGTCTTTCCCGTGCTATTCTCGGGATAGTGAATAAGTCTCACAATATCTGATGGGTTTATCAGGGGTTTCCGCTTTTGCTGCTTCCTCATTCTGTCTTGCTGCCGCCATGTAAGAAGTGCGTTTCACCCTCTGCCATGATTATGAAACCTCCCCAGCCATGTGGAACTGTAAGTCCAATTAAGCCTCCTTTTCTTCTCAGTCTCGGGTATGCCTTTATCAGCAGCATGAAAACAGACTCATAGAGTGTGAGCTGTGAATGGAGGAGAGGGGTCAGGCAAGAGGCCAACGTCCAGGGGCCAGCACTCTCTTCCAGTGCCTTTCCCTTGAGTAAACATAACAGCACATACTGTATGATTCCATTTATGAAAAATAACAAGCATGTTTGTTTTATAGTGTAATATGAGTTTCTCATGGGTCTGTTTTTTATATCTATTGTGTCAGCTGGCCCTTCGTTATATTGTCTTGTCACCTTGTGTGCCTAGTTATCTTTTTTTTTTTTTTTTTTTTTTTTTCCTGAGATAGGATCTCACTCTGTTTCCCAGGCTGGAGTACAGTGGCATGATTATGGCTCACTGCAGCCTCGACCTCTAGGGCTCAAGCAATCCTTCCACCTCAGCTTTCTGAATAGCTGGGACTACAGGCACATGGGAACATGCCTGGCTAATTTTTGTATTTTTTGTAAAGATGGGGTTTCACCATGTTGCCCAGGCTGGTCTTGAACTCCTGAGCTCAGGTGATCTGCCTGCCTTGCCCTCCCTAAGTGCTGGAATTACAGGCATAAGGTGCCACACCTGGCCTGGTTATATTGATGTAGGATGGACATTTGTTTCAGACATTATCTTAGAAATTACTTTAGGCCTAAATGATGTCACGTTCCTTCATTTAGGACTTTAGTTAGCTTCTGCCAGGTATGTGGCGGCACTAGTAATCCAAGGTCACCTTAATCAGTTTTCAAGGATTAAGACTTTCTGACCTACCCTGGTAATTCAAAGCCAGAGCATAGTACTTGCAAGGGCCAGTTTGCTTCTGGTCACCCTTACTATTTTTTTTTTTTTTTTTTTTGAGACAGAGTCTTGCTCTGTCCCCCAGGCTGGAGTGCAGTGGCACAATCTCGGCTCACTGCAAGCTCTGCCTCCCAGGTTCACGCCATTCTCCTGCCTCAGCCTCCCGAGTAACTGGGACTACAGGTGCCTGCCACCACACCCGGCTAAGTTTTTGTATTTTTAGCAGAGATGGGATTTCACCGTGTTAGCCAGGATGGTCTCGATCTCCTGACCTCGTGATCCGCCCACCTCAGCCTCCCAAAGTGCTGGGATTACAGGTGTGAGCCACCGCGCCCGGCCCACCCTTACTCTTAAAATTTAAGTCCTTTGGGTTTCCCAGCCCCAAGTGTGGGGTAATTTCCCCACTGCAAGTTCTGTTCCTTCATGCCCCCAAGACTCTCATAGGCTCTGCTCAGCTTCTCAAGGTTGGCAAACTCTACCATGGCCAAAGTGGCTTCCAATGCTGGGCTCACTGGCCAGGCAATTTCTTCATATCTTCTTAGATCTTTGATGCTTTTAAGATGATTTTAAATATTTTGGCAAGTTTTAAAAGTTGCTTTCTGTAGGAAGATTGGTCTGAATAACCTAAACCTGCTTCTACTGAAAATGGAGTTTCTCTCCAACTTAGTTCTAACATTAAACTTAGGTTTTTTTTTTTTTTTTTTTTTCCTTGAGGTGGAGTCTCACTCTGCTGCCCAGGCTGCAGTGCAGTGGCACAATCTCAGCTCACTGCAACCTGTGCCTCCCAGGTTCAAGCAATTCTCCTGCCTCAGCCTCCTAAGTCCTGGGACTACAGGAGCCCACCACCACACCTGGCTCATTTTTGTATTTTTAAGTAGAGACAGGGCTTCACCACATTGGCCAGGCTAGTCTCGAATCCCTGGCCTCAAGTGATCCACCCGCCTTGGCCTCCCAAAGTGCTGACATCACAGGCACGAGCCACTGCACCTGGCCCTAACATTGAACTTAGTTCTAACATTACAGTGTTCCTACTTATTTTTTTGATCCTATAATTGTACATCTTTTTTTAAAACTGAAAATATTGCTATCTAACAAAATACACATATTTGCTTTTTCTAACAGTATGAAAGCAAAGTTTCCAAATAACACTGCTATGGTTTGAATGTGTCCCCCAAAGTTTGTGTGTTGGAAACTTAATCCCCAATACAGCAACGTGGAGAGGGGAGACCTTTAAAAGTTAATCAGGTCATGAAGACCGTGCCCTCATGAGTGGATTGATGATGTTATTTCAAGAGTAGGTTTGTTATAAAAGTGAATTCAGCTGCTTCTTGTTCTCTCTTGTGCGTGTGCTTGCTTTCTGTTGTGTGCACACATGGTCTTTCACTCTTCCGCCTTCCCCTATGTGATGAGGCAGCACAGAGGGCTAAGTCAAGGTCTCACTAGATGCCAGCCCCTTGATCTAGGACTTGCCAGCCTCCAGAACCATGTGAAATAAATTCATTTGTTATAAATTACCTATTCTCAGATATTCTGTTATAGCAACACACAGCAGACTAAGACATATACCAATATGAGCAAGAAAAAACACAGCAAGCGGTATCCACCCAGCATCAATCCTGATGTTATCTGTCCCGGGTCTATGCAGTTCCTTGGGATCTTACTGTGGTCTTTCCTCAGGCTGCTGTGGATACCCCAGGGCAAGACCCTTCCCCTCTAGGCTCAAGCTACCAGAGCAAATAAAAGTAAGGGTTGGCCAGGCACGTTGGCTCACACCTGTAATCCCAGCACTTTGGGAGGCCAAGGCGGGCAGATCACCTGAGGTCAGGAGTCCGAGACCAGCCTCACCAACATGGTGAAACCCTGTCTCTACTAAAAATACAAAAATTAGCTGGGTGTGGTGGGTGCACGCATGTAGTCCCAGCCACATGGGAGGCTGAGGCAGGAGAATTGCCTGAACCCTGGAGGTGGAGGTTGCAGTGAGCCAAGACTGCACTCCAGCCTGGGTGACAGAGTGAGATACTGTCTCAAAAAAAAAAAAGTAAGGGTTAGCTTCTAGATTTTCAAATTCAGCTTGCAAATCTTATTATTCTATTTATGTATGGCAATTTTTTTTTTTAGACGGAGTCTCACTCTGTTGCCCAGGCTGGGGTGCAGTGGCGCTGTCTCAGCTCACTGCAACCTCTATCTCCCGGGTTTAAGAAATTCTCTGCCTCAGCCTCCAGAATAGCTGGGATTACAGGCATGTGCCACCAAGCCCAGCTAATTTTTTTTGTATTTTTAGTAGAGACGAGGGTTCAGCATATTGGCCAGGCTGGTCTTGAACTCCTGACCTCATGATCCACCCGCCTCAGCCTCCCAAAGTGCTGGGATTATAAGCGTGAGCCACCGCGCCTGTCCGTATAGCAAATTTTAAGTCTCCTTTAAGAGGTCTTCAAATATCTTTGGTTCGGTTTATAAATTTAGATAATCAAACATCTTACAATATTTTAAACTGTATTTAAAAGTTAGACATATTTGAGTATTCCAGTTTTTAACTTGACTAACAAAACTTTCCTTCCTGAGTATTGAATAATCTCTATGAAATTTTTATAAGTTAAATTTATAAAAAGTAAAAATCTAAATATGGAAAATTAAAATAAGATGAATTTAAAGTTCTCTTAAGTCTTCTAATATTGCGCATAAACTTAGTAAGATTTCAACTTAAAACCCTCAGCTTATTCCATTTACTTTTGGTTTTTAGTGATAAGGTTATAACTTGAAAAGACCAATTGTCTTATACAACTATTACAGACTACCAAACACACACAGATTACCTAACACCCTCTTAACACCAAAATATGAGTGTCACAGCCAAGTAGCCCACCTGTAGCAGCTCAAGGGGTTCAACTTGCCCACTACCTAGACAGAGCTGATTTATCAAGATGGGGAATTGCAATAGAGAAAGAGTAATGCATGCAGAGCTGGCTGTGCGGGAGACCACAGCCTCCAAAGTAGCTGGGATTACAGGCATGTGCCACCTTGCCTGGCTTATTTTTATAGAGATGGAGTTTCACCATGTTGCCCAGGCTGGTCTTAAACTTCTGACCTCAAGTGATCCACCTGCCTCGGTCTCCCAAAGCGCTGGGATTACAGGTGTGAGCCACCGTGACTGTCCCCCTCATTCATTCTTCAAACAGCTCCTGTAACACCATGTCGAGGGCCATGGCGGTGAATGAGACTGAGTCTCCACCCTCACAGAGCTCCCACGCAGGGAGAGCCACAGATGGCAGCCATGCTGTGCTGCAGTAAAAGCAGTGACAGACAGCTGTGCAGAGTACGCCTCCAGCACCGAGGGGAGACGGTGGGACGGAGTGGGAGGTCAGGAAGGGGCTTGGAACACACAGACTGACAAGTCCTGGGATATTTGTGCGGACAGAACAACAGACTGTTTAAAACATGGCATGGCCAGCCTGGAAAACACAGAACGAATGGTTGCCATGCCTGAGGGCCCTTGGTGGGGCGGCAGAGAGACCCCAGGTGGGGCTGGTGGGGATCACATCGGAGCCTGGTCTGTCGGTCAGCGTGGACTCAGGCAGGCTGGGGTCCAGCCTCAACCATGTCTAGTGACCTCAGTTTCTTCATCTGAACAATATCATTCACACTAGAACCTTCCTCCCCATAGGGAGGCAGAGGAGTGCAGGGAGAGCAGGCTATGTCCAGGAAGCTGACCTCAGCAGGTCAGCTGGGCTCCAGCCAGTGCAGCCACTGTGCGGCTGAGCCCACTCACCTTCAAGGAAATCTCCTTCCCAATCCCCACTTTCCTTTTTTCTTCCTCTTCTTTCTTCTCCTCCTCCTCCTTTCTCCTTCTCCCCCACTCCTCCTTCTCCCCCACTCTTCCTCCTTCTCCTCCTCCTCCTCCCCCTCCCCACTTCCCTTCCCCCTTCTCCCCCTCCCCTTCCCCCCTTCTCCCCCTCCCCATTCTCCCCCTCCTCTTCCTCCTCCTCCTTCTCCCCTTCCTCTTCCTCCTTCTCCCCTTCCTCTTCCTTCTCCCCTTCCTCCTCCCCCTCCTCTTCCTCCTCCTCCTTCTCCTCCTCCTCTTTCTTCCTCTTCTTCTTCCCCTCCTCCTCCTGCTTCTCCTTCTCTTTCTTCCTCTTCTCCTCTTCCTTCTCCTCCTCCTTCTCTTCCTCCTTATCTTCCTCCCCCTCCTTCTCTTCCTCCCCCTCCTCCTCCTTCTCTTCTCTCTCTTCTTTTTTTTTTTTTAGACAGGGTCTTGTTCTGTCACCCAGGCTGGAGTGCAGAGGTGTGCACTGTAGCCTTGACCTTCTGAGCTCAAGTGATCTGCCCACTTTGGCATTCCAAAGTGCTGGGATTGCAGGTGTGAGCCACTGTGCCTGGCCACCTGCTTCCCTTCTTATATGAAGTATTGTCGGTGCCTCTTTACCATTCTGAAATGAATGGTATAACCATTCATTTCAGTATAACCAACCCACAGACGTAATTAAATATATATTTTCATAATTGTCATATGAAGGAGAAATAAAAAGAAAGCAATTGATAATGAATAAAATGAAATGTATTTCAGTCTGTAAATATTTTGAGCATCACTGCATTAGGAAAACTTTGTAATGTTTAATTACTCCCAGCTTTTAGCTATAAACAGAGGCACTGAGAAGGTGACAAGTGATATGCAGGTGAATACAAGGTGTTATTCTGGTAAGTCAACTACCTGAGATGGTTTTCTGAGAGAGGAATATTTCTTGATAAAATTCTACACTAAACAAAGTATAAACATGTAAACGACATTTACATAGTAGTTACATTCCCGGCAGCGCAGCTCCACCTCTTCCTCTGCCCATTCAAACTTGGCTCCCTTCCCTTCACAGGAGTTGATCCCAAGGGCTCTTTTTAAGAAAGCCCTACAGCCTAAACTGCATGGCAGAGCCTGCTTTCCAGAGAACTCCGTCCGTGACACATGGCATTGGACAGCATAGGTTACTCATGTGACTGAAGTCCTGGGAAGGGGAGCTCATTCCTGCTGGGGGCATTTGGGAGGAATGGGGCTGACTTGAAGGATAGGTAGGGCTTTAACAGTCTGAGACAGGAGGAGAAGGTCATTGTAGCTGGCCATTATCGTTGTCACTGTAAGGATGTGGCTTTGCAGTAGCACTTTATTCACACATTTCACAGGGGCCAGGGAATGGTGAGTCCTGGGGAATGGTGAGGTCCTGGGGCTGTGATGGAAGAGGAGGCTAGACTGGGGTAAAATGCACTTTATTTACAGGGCAATGGAGAGTCAGTGGGAAGAGATATGACAGGTAGGCATTTTCAGAAAAGTCTCTGGTACAAATCCATGCTGTATTAAGAGAGTTTGTACCATTGCTGACTTCTGGGTGAGATACCATGAGGCCTGTCCAGAGCGGGGACCATGGGAATGCAGATGTGAGAGATTCAGGAGTGGAAGGCGCTGAACAAGGTGATGGTTGGGTATGGGAGTGGGACACAGGGAAGGGCCAGAGATGGTCCCAAGCCAGCCCCAGCCCAGATCCAAGCATGCAGAGGGTAGCCACTGAGCAGGCATGGGTGGCTGCAGGGGCCATGGTTTTCCTCCTTCCTTGAGTGAGGAGGTAGTTTTGTCCAGGGTCCGCTTGGGGGCGCAGGTCAGCCTGTGGGGCACATCAGGCCTGGGGATTCCAGCCTCTCTCAGCGGTCTGTCTGAGGAGAGGGGCCCTGAGAGGAAGGGCTGATATATTAGGGTAACAGTAGCTAAGGTAACACGGAACTCCCCCCAGCACACACACCCATTTCAATGGCTTAATCCATTAACAGTCTGATTTTCACTCCTGAAACGGTCCCATGCAGGTGTTCCTGGCTGGCCGGCAGCTCTCTTCATGGTGATTCAGGGTTCTGGGCTCCTTCTAGCCTGTAGTTCTGTGAGCCTCTAAAGGCCTTGGTGTTCTGCACGTTCCATGGATAGATGGGGAAAGAGGGACACATTCCCTTCTTACCTGCCTTGACCAGGAAGTAACACCCATTACTTCTCACATCCCATTGCTGAGAACCAGTCATGGGGCCACACCCAGATGCAAGGCAGCCTGGGAAATGTGGTCCTTGGTCAGGCGGCCCATCCCAATGACAGTGCCACACCCGCGAAGGGAGCACAGTGTTTGGTAGACAGGTAGCCGTCTCTACCACAGCTGGTGCCAGCCAGCAGGAAATGCCCTTAGTCCCCGGCGGGCTTCCATAAACAGGTGGACACCTGGAAGTGTTGAGGGGACCTGGAGGTGCCTTGAGGCTGAGATCTGCCCGCAATAGACAAGGGGCTGTAGCGCGTGTGGAGCGTGAGCCATGCATGTACCTTCATATGTGATGTGGCACTTGTATGCTCTGTATTATACACAACCCTTTCGTTTCAAGAAAAGAAAACTGGCTCAAAGGAGTCTGAGTTCTGTGAGGCTTGCAGGCCCAAACAGCCATGAGTGTGGGACTTCAGTCATGGCCTCCTCCCTGTACCCATGCCTGGGGACAACTGTTTAAAGGCATTTTGTTCCTGAGAGCTGCCTCACCCATTATCTTCATTTTCCTAGAATTTGTCATACAAAGAACAATGTGGCTGGGCACGGTGGCTCGAGCCTGTCATCCCAGCACTTTGGGAGGCCGAGGTGGGCGGATCACCTGAGGTCAGGAGCTTGAGACCAGCCTGACCAACATGGAGAAACCTGGTCTCTACTAAAAATACAAAATTAGCCGGGCATGGTGGTGCCTGCCTGTAATCCCAGCTACTTGGGAGGCTGAGGGAGGAGAATCGCTTGAACCTGGGAGGCAGAGGTTGCAGTGAGCCAAGATCGCACCATTGCACTTCAGCCTGGACAACAAGAGTGAAACTCTGTCTCAAAAAAGAAAAAAAGAACAAGGTATAGACAATCAATAGCTTATGTCATTTTATGTAAATTACTGGTAAACAATTCAGGAACTACCTCTTCTTTTTTCCTTTAAAACCCACTTGTTTTGACCAGGCAGGGTGATGCATGCCTGTAATCCCAGCACATTGGGAAGCTGAAGTGGGAGGATTGCTTGAGCTTAGCAGTTTGAGGCCAGGGTGGGCAACATGGCAAAACCCCACCTCTACAAAAAATACAAAGATTAGCTGGGTGTGGTGGTGCAGCACCTGTAGTCCCAGCTACTCAAGAGGCTGAGGTGGGAGGATGGCTTGAGCCTGGGAGGTTGAGGCTGCAGTGAGCTTCGATCGCGCCATTGCACTCCAGCCTGGGTGACGGAGTGAGACCCCGTTTCAAAACAAAACAAAATACCCACTTGTAACCACTGCTAATTGGAGTGTATATTCAGGTCAACTTGAATCTATGCTTCCAGGTAGCCACTCTCAAATTTGGTCCAAATAAACTGTCTACTTACATTAATTCCGCCTCAGCTTCTTCCTTTTAGGTTGACAGTTTTCTGTTCCTTCTTTGTCTTTTTCTTTTTTATTGTTTGGCCCGTCCCCCTCAGTTTTCTTTTCCAGCATAACAAATTACCACATATTTAGCAGCCTAAAATAACATCCATTGATTAGCTCACAGTTCTGTGGGTCAGAGTCCAGGTGAGAATGACTGGATTCTCTGCTTAGGGTTTCAGAGGGCTGAAATCAAGATGTTGGCTGGGCTGGGCTCTTATCTGAAGGTTATCTGCTTCCAATCTCCTTCAGGTTGTTGGCAGAATTTAGCTCCTTCAATTGTAGGACTGAAGTCTCTGTTTTCTTGCTGGGTCAGCTAGGGCTTGCTCTCAGCAACTGGCAGCCACTCTGTATTATGTGTGGCCCCTCCATCTTCAAGGCCAGCAATGGTGCATTGAGTTCTTCAGATGCTTCGAATCTCTGACTTCTCCAGCTCTCGGTACCTGAAGTTCATGTTTATTTACTTCTTTTCTGTCTCTGTTTCCTGGAATATAAACTCTGCAAGAGCAGAAATCTTGTGTTTTGTTTAATACTGCACCCAGCAACTAGATTGCTGCCTAACACATAGTAGGCATTCAACACGTTTCTCGAATGAATAAAGGGATGGATATCGAATAAATGAATCACAGGATATGGCATGTGGCAGGAGTTTGGTAACCTTCCTCAAGGTGGCCGTAGTAAAAGATTTGGGCACTTTCCCAGGGCAAGGAGGTCAGCATATCTGGGTACCCCCTTTCCCCAAAGGGGAGGAGAACTCAGGAAGCAGCTGTTGAATGATGAAGGGGTAGGGCAGCACTGGATTGGGACTCCAAAGACCTAGGTTTGAGTCCTGTCTGTCCTATCACTAGCCATTGGACACAGATGCTTCTGGCTCCCATCCCTTCCTGGTTGCTCTCTGAGAGGTCTGGTACCTGGCTGGAACTGGGCCACTTAGGTCAAGGACCCATGGTAGGTTCTGCTCCTCACTGTCAGGGGCATTAGCCTTTTGATACTAATTTTCTTTTCTGCAAAGTAGGCATAATCATATTACAAAAGGATATTGTGAGAATTAAGTATGAATTAATATACTCAACAAATATTTGTCAGGCACCTACTCCATGCCAGCCACAGTTCTGGGCCCTGGGGATATCGCAGCAAAGATAACAGCAAAGATGACATGTGCTTGCAGGGTCCTAGCGGAACATCAGGCATATAGCCTGTGCTTGGGAGGTAGTCAGAGTCACTGGCTTTAGACAGACATTTAAGGCCCTCATGCTGAGGCCCTGTTTCTTCCTCTAAGTCTCTGTGCTTTCGCCATCCCTCTTCCTGCTGCTGCCTGGCGCAGGCAGCCTCCTGCACCTTCCCCCATGCCCAAGAGCAGACATCTCCCCTTTCTCACTGGGAGGATACTGCTGCCTCCCCTGAGCTCAGGTGGGCAAAGTGATGGCAGCATCGGTGTCTTCGCCATCAGCTCCATCCAAGTATTCAGGGAATTTGTCCTTAGATGTCTCCTGGGACATTTAAAGCAATTAAGGGATGAGGTGGATCATACCTGTAATCCCAGCACTTTGGGAGGCTGAAACAGGAGGATCTCTTGAGCCCAGGAATTCAAGACCAGCCTGGCCAACATGGCAAACCCTGTCTCTACAAAAAGTTAAAAAGTTAGATAGGTGTGAGCTGGGCGCGGTGGCTCACGCCTATAATCCCAGCACTTTGGGAGGCTGAGGCGGGTGGATCACAAGGTCAGGGGTTGGAGACCAGCCTGACCAACATGGTGAAACCCCGTCTCTACTAAAAATACAAAAAAATTAGCTGGGCGTGGTGGCAGGCACCTGTAATCTCATCTACTCAGGAGGCTGAGGCAGGAGAATTGCTTGAACCCGGGAGGTGGAGGTTGCAGTGAGCCGAGATCGCGCCACTGCACTCCAGCCTGGGCGACAGAGAAAGACTGTGTCTCAAAAAAAAAAAAAAAAAAAAAAAAAAAGTGTGATCCTGTCATCCCAGCTACTTGGGAGGCTGAGGTAGGAGGATCATGGGAGCCCAGGAGTCCAAGGAAGCAATGAGCCGTGATCGCGCCACTGAACTCCAGCCTGAGTGACACAGCAGACTGTGTCTCAAAGCAATTAAGACAAATATTTATTGATGTTCAGCAATGTGCTGTGTCCAATTCCTCCAGGTAGCCTTCCCAGACTGCCCACAGCAGGGCATGATCCGTCTGAGCAGCCAGTCTGGCCTGCCTTGTCTCCTGTAGCACTTTGCGCCCCACCCCACTGGGAGTCCTTATCTTATCTCCATTCCTGCTCCCTGGCTGGGAGGGCTGCTAGGGTAAGTTGCCTGAGGAAGCAATTGATTGAAGTCTTGCAAATTCCAGCTTTGACCCCTGCAACTCTTCACACTTGAGAAAATCGAGGCCAAAATAGAGTCTTCTGTTTTGCAGTTGCCATTCTAAGGCTCTAACCTCTTCCCTTTCTCTTCCTGCTACTCCAAATGACTCCTTTATCCACATCTTTAATTCCAGTCCTATTCCACTGCCTACTGCCACCCCAACTCACATATCCTCTCCAGTTCCCCAGTGTTAAGAAACCGTCCTTCCACCCTGCCCTACAGATGCCTGATGAGTGAATAGATGATGCTGGCAGGTGAGCATGGTGGGAAGAGGCGCGCTGGGATCCCGGCCTCTGCCGTGCCTCGCTGTGTGACTGAGGGGGAGACCTATAGTCACTCAGAGCCCAGGCTCCCTATGGGTTAAATTGGGATGGTTACCTCATTGTCGTGGGGGCCCTAGTATGATGCAGCCTGGTTGGAGTGCAGAGAGCTATAGAGGAGGACATGGGGAGGCCATCTGTCTGTGGGTCAGAAAAGGCTCTGGATAGGAGTCACTCTCAGGAAGAGAGGCAGGCCCAGGAGGTGGCCCAGGACAAAGTTGGCTCTCAGAGGGGAGGGGTCACCTGGGCACAACAGGGAGCCTTGGTTGTCAAGGGAGAGGGGACTTGATTCCAGCCAAGGGAGAAGAACATTTTTTAACAGTGGAATAAATTCATGTTTATGAGCTGTTCTTTCCTGTTACATAAGAGTCTTTATGAGATACGCTTTGGGAATCTCCAGACATACTTAGGGAAACTTGGCAGAGGACTGGCCAGGTGGCCTTGGCAGGAAGGGACCACAGCCTGGGAAACATGATGGTTCATACACACATCGAAGCTCTGAATGACACAGTGTCACCAGTGCCACTAACCAATGCCTCCTTCCCTCCTGAGAGTAGGGGCTGCTGCTTCTGCCTGTTTGTGGGTCCTGTAAGGTCCACCTAAGCAGCTACCCCATAGTAGACACTCATGGTTGCAGATTAAAGGGGATATCTGCACAGGCGTGCCACGCATGCGTGCTGATCCTCCCTCTGGGGACCATCTTGGCTGCCATTCCTTCAGCCCAGGTAGTAGAGAGCTGACCTGGTAGAAAGGATCATGGAGAACCTGGTGCCTGTCTACTGAGAGCAGGAGGCTGCAGACCTCAGGGAAGAGGAATTCAGGCCGTCTGAAAGCAGAGTGAGGATGGAAGAAGGGGAAAAGGCCGCATTCTATCTTAGCACAGAGTAACCAGGCATGAACACACGCATGTGTGAATGTACATGTGTGTGTGCTTGCTTTTGCACATATGTGTGAAGCAGGAACCCAGGAGACTGACATTTCAATGGCTGAGCACCAAGTCAACTTCCAAGAAATTTCTAAATCAAAAGACATTTTGTCTTGCCTCCTGCTGTATCCCTCGTATCCTCAGAAATGACTAGCAGGCCGGCTGGCTGGCTGGATTTCAGGTACTGAGGCAAGGTCACTGGTGCTCACAGCCAGGGGTCCTGTTTGGAGGGTCCCTGCCAGGCACCCCATCCCCCCAGCCCTGCCCCTTTGCCCAGAGGCCCCCTAAGCTCCTACTTTGCTGCTCTGCCATTGTCAACGCCCCGCCTCCGTCTTGAGGTCTGAGGTGGCTGTTTGTCAGGTCCCGGCCCGTGGGAAGGGTAGAAGCAGGAGCGGAGGTGTGCGCATCCCCTTTTAGGGCACAGCCCGGAAGTTGCCTCTGTCCCAAGTGCTCCTGCCCACGATGATGGAGCTCAGTCACATGGTGCCACCTAGCTGTGAAGCAGGCTGGAAAAGGTGAGCTTTAGCTAGTGGCCATGGACCCAGCCAAAACACAGGGTTCTGTGGCTAACGGAAGGAGAAAATGGGTATTGGAGGACAGTTAGCAGTTTTGTCCACAAAGTGAGAGAGAGTGAATGTGGAGGCCGGGACACCAGGCAAGAGGCCACTGCGATATTCCAGGTGAGAGATTATGGTGGTCCAGACTAGGAGGTGGCAGCCAGATGAAACAACTGGGAAGATTCTGGAAATACGGAGAAGGTAGGATCCACAGGATTTGGTATTAAATACTGAGGACGAAGGAGAAGGCGGAATCAGGGACAACATCTGTGTATCTGGCATGAACGTTTGGCACACTTATTTAGCACACATTTATCAAGTCCATCCCACTTAGCAGGCACCAGGCCCCAGTCCTACTGCAGACATGTGGCACCATCTCTGTCCTCGAGGGCATTGGAGGGGAAAGTGTAAGCCCAGGAAACATGGGGAGAGCTGCTAGATGGTTGGAAATCAGTTAGGACTGACTGTGGGTGGACAGGATTCCAGGGGAAGCAGAGATTGTCTCAAACATAGGGACCATTTGGTAGGGCTGCACACTCCTAGGGAAGAAGGCAGGCAGGTAAGCAGGAGGACTCAAGACTTGAAGGTGGCCTAAGTTATCAGAAAAACCTTTCTGGTGCCGGCAGTGATGGCCATGGTGCAGCAGCAGGAGATCTGGCTTTGCAACCAGATGGTTCTTAATTCAAATCCTGGCTCTGTTCTCATGCATTGCTGGTGAAATTGTAAATTGGATCAGCCTCTATGGTAGACTATTTGGCATTATTAATCAAAACTACAAACACACATACCTCTGTAGGAATTTATTCTACAGATATACTCACTTATGTGTGAAGCAACAAATACACAAGGCTATTCACTGCAGCATTAATTTTGTAAATGCAAAAGATTGGAAACAGCCCAAATGTCCACCAGTAGGGGACTAGGTAAATAGGATATACAGTTGATCCTTGGGTAACATGAGTTTGAACTGTGAAGTCCACCTATACATGGATTCTTTTCAATGAATATATTGAAACTTTTATTGGAGTTTTGCCACAATTTGAAAAAACTCACAGATGAATTGTATGTGTAGCCTAGAAATATTGAAAAAAAATTAAGAAAAAGGTATGTCATGAATGCCTAAAATATATGTAGATACTAGTGTATTTTATCATTTACTACCATAAAATGTACACATATCCATTATGAGAAGTTAAAATTTATCAAAACTTACACATATACTTAAGATCATATATGGCACCATTCACAGTTAAGAGAAATGTAAACAGATGTAAAGATGCAGTATTAAATCATAACTGCATAAAATTAACTCTGGTATGCACACTACTACTGTAATAATTTCATAGCGACCTCCTGTTGCTATTGCAGGGAGCTCAACTATTGCACGTATCTGCTTAGATCACTGAATGACGCTAATCATCTCTGCATGAGCAGTTGTGTCTCCAGTAAATTGCATGTGGCAGACAAAGCGATCTCTCACAGCTCTGGTGTGTTTTCAATTGCGTTTAGTGCAATACCATAAACCTTGAATCACATAATGGGACCCACATGAAGTGCCACTAGTGATGCTGGAGGTGCTCCCAAGAAGCAGAGAAAAGTCATGACATTACAAGGAAAAGCTGAATTGCTTGATATGTACTGCAGATTGAGGTCTGCAGCTGCAGTTGCTGCCATGATTCAAATAGATGATTCATCTTGTAAACAGACATCGCAAACTTATGGTATTCATATTGATAAATACAGTTCAGTACTGTCAATGCATTTTCTCTTTTCTTTCGTTTTTTTTTTTGTTTTTTTTTCTTTTTTTTTAGACAGTGTCTCATTCTGTTGCCCAGGCTGGAGTGCTATGGCACGATCTTGGCTCACTGCAGCCTCTGCCTCCCAGGCTCAAGTGATCCTTCCGCCTCAACCTCCCAAGTAGCTGGGACTACAGGCGTGCACCACCACATCCAGCTAATTTTTGTATTTTTAGTAGAGAGGGGGTCTTGTCACGTTGGCCAGGCTGGTCTCGAACTCCTGGCTTCAAATGATCCACCCGTCTTGGCTTCCCAAAGTGCTGGGATTACGGGTATGAGCCACTGCACCTGGCCTCCTTAGGATTTTCTTTTTTCTTTTCTTTTTCTTTTTTTTTTTTTTTCAGATGGAATTTCACTCTTCTTGCCCAGGCTGGAGTGCAATGGTGCAGTCTCGGCTCACCACAACCTCTGCCTCCCGGGTTCAAGTGATTCTCCTGCCTCAGCCTCCTAAGTAGCTGGAATTAAAGGCGTCTGCCACCAGGCCCGGCTCAGGGTTTCTCCATGTTGGTCAGGCTGGTCTTGAACTCCTGACCTCAGGTGATCTGCCCACCTCAGCCTCTCAAAGTGCTGGCATAACAGGTGTGAGCCACCACGCTCGGCCAGGATTTTCTTAATAATATTTTATTTTCTTTAGGTTACTTTATTGTGAGAAGACAGTATATAATACATATACTAAATATGTGTCAATTGGCTATGTTATTGCTAGGTTTCTAGTAGATTATTAGTAGTTAAGTTTTGGGGTAGTCAAAAGTTATACATGGATTTTTGACTGTGCAGGGGATCAGCACCCCAACCCCCAGGTTGTTCAAGAGTCATCTGTATTTATGCAATGGAATACTATGTGAAAAAGCATGAAGTGGCCAGGCGCGGTGGCTCACACCTATGATCCCAGCACTTTGGGAGGCCAAGGCAGGTGGATCACCTGAGGTCAGGAGTTCGAGACCAGCCTGGCTAACATGGTGAAACCCCGTTTTCTGGTTGTGGCCAGCCGGAGCTTTCAGCAGGATGTAATCAGGGCCAGGAGCTTGAAACCAGCCTGGCCAACATGGTAAAACCCTGTCTCTACTAAAAATACAAAAATTAGCCGGGCATGGTGCTGCATGCCTGTAATCCCAGCTACTCAGGAGGCTGAGACAGGAGAATCACTTGAACCCGGGAGATGGAGGTTGCAGTGAGCCGAGATCAGGTCACTGCACTCCAGACAGAGTCTCGCTCTGTCACAGGGGGAAAAAAAAAAGTGAAACTGTTCTTAGCTCACATTTGTTCTTAGTTGTACAAAAATAGGCAGTGTGGCCTTGTGGCCTTCGATCCATAGTTTGTGGACAAGTCCCCTATCCCCTCAAATTCTCTGATAGGCAGAAAAGGCACCTCTCGCACAAATGACTTCATCTGTCTGGATCTTTGCCTCCCGCAGGCCAGTGGCCATGATGCTAACACCTGTCCCCACTGCCTGGGTGCCTATTTCCAGAATAAAGGAGGAAGGGGTGGACCCCTGGGCTCTGTTCCCTGATAAGTCCAAGACCTTTGAAGATCCGGCTCCTTCTAAATTAGAAGCAGGTCTTCTCAAGAGCCTGACCCTCCTAAGTTGGGCCAGGAACTGGGGTCATCTTGGGGTAGGAAGAGGGGCAAAGTTTTGCCCCAAGGCTGCCGCTCTTCCTCTCTGTCCTCCACGCGTTTCAAGCCTGCCTCTGGGCCAGCCTCTGACACAGGCAGCTGAGGTGGCGTCAGGGGCGCTGGGCTCAGAGAGGGATGAGGAGGCTGACATATACCTGGGCCTGCCTTCCTGTGGTAGGAATGGGGTTGGGAGATTTTCTTGAAAGCCTGAGGGTGGAAGGCTCCGATGAGGTAGACTGTGCTGACCACTTCCTTCCAAGATAGCGTCTCTGATCTCCTCTCTGTTCTTTAGTTTTGGCTGATCTCCTCTTCCCTACCCTCTTTTCTTCCTCCACTCTCTGAACCTGTCTCTGTTTCCTTCCTCTCTAGTCCCCCAGCACGCCCACTCTGCTGCCTCTGAACTTTTGCTCAGATAGCTCTCTCTGCCTGCCATTCCTGTCTCCCTTTCCCACCGGAAGTTACCATCTTTCTGATCCCATCTCTTCGCTCCAGTGGGCCGGCCTGGGAGCTGTCTTCCAGATGATGAGCACATGGAGCTGGCCTGATGAGAACCACACCCCAGTTCTGTGGCCCCCAATCGCCCGGAGGGCACCTCCAGACCCCTCAGCCTGGCATTCAAGGCCTCTCATGGTCTGTCTCTGGCTGCCTTCCCATCCAACTGCCGCTTACTGCCCTCAGAGTGCTGGGAGGGGAGGGAATAGTGTAACCTAGGGCTGGCCAATAGAAATATAATGCGAGCCACATGTGGAATTTTTAGTAGCCATATTTATTTATTTTTTTTTGAGACAGAGTCTCACTCTGTCACCCAGGCTGGGGTGCAATGGCATGATCTCGGCTCACTGCAACCTCCTCCTCCCAGGTTTGAGTGATTCTCCTGCCTCAGCCTCCTGAGTAGCTGGGACTACAGGTGCCCACCACCATGCCTGGCTAATTTTTTATTTTTAGTAGAGATGGGGTTTCACCATGTTGGCCAGGCTGGTCTTGAACTCCTGACCTCAAGTGGATCTGCCCACCTAGGCCTCCCAGAGTGCTGGGATTACAGGCGTGAGCCACTGCGCCTGGCCTGCCACATTTAAAAAGTAAAAATAGGATTAATTTTAATAATATACATCGTGGAACCCATTATATTTCAAATGTTATTTCAACATGTAATTGATATAACATCATTAATGAGATATTTCATGCTTTTTTCTACCAAGTCTTTGAGATCTGGTGTGTGGTTTATGCTCACAGCACATTGCCATTTGCGGGAGCCAACCTCAGGTTCCCAGAAGCCACACATGGCAGGTGGCCCCTGTACTGCAACAGCTCAGGCCCTGCCTAACCCTAACCCCCAACCCTTCACCCCCAAAAAGGTAGGTGTAATAGAAGGTCCTGTGGGGATTAAACTTGCGAGGGTTTTCTTTTCTTTTTGCTTTCCCAGGGTAGACGTGAAGGGAGATTATACCTGTTAGAAGCTTGGTGTATGCTCACAGTCCTGGGCATACAGGACTCAACGAAGTCTTGTCCAGGAACCGGGGAATGGGCAGCTCTTTGTGTACAAGGGTTATAAAAGGAGAGGTTTTGACATGGGTCCTTAGAAGAGAACCAGGTGTCTGCATCAGGCATGTGTGTGTGTGTGTGTGTGTGCGTGCATGCACGTGCGTTGCAGGCAGCTCATTACCCTGGAGGACAGGGGAGTGGGCTCTTGTCAGCACAGCTTGGAACAGGAAAGCTATGCTCTGGAACCCTGTGGAGTCCTGGCTAGGGGCGGCCCCTTCCCGTTATGGGCAGCAGGAAAGTTTCTAGGAGGGGGACCTGGGAGTCCTATCTTTTCCTTTCAGCACCTCCTTCCATCCCTCCCTTTTTCATGCCCCCTTTCTCTCCTTGCCCCAGAACAAGGTGAGCGCCGCAGGTGCAAAGGCCCATATCTACCTGCTTCTCCTTGGAATGCCCGGGCTCTGAGTGGCTCTGAGGAGAGTCCTGGGAGAAGGGGCTGCAGAGGCCGGATTCCATCCACTTGGAGGCCTGACTTCCAGGCAGGGAGCCCCTCATACACTTGCACATTGCGACTGGGCAGGCAACCCGGTTAACCTGTGGCTTCAGACACTAGCACCCTCCCCTCAGTCACTTATAAAATGTGTGTGGGTGTGGGAAGGGGATCCCAGACTGAGGGAGGTGCAGGGGGCTGTCTGGGGCACTGGGCTGATGGCTGGGGTCTCTAGGAAAGGCCTGGTATAAAGGGTCATTCATTGTGACAGGTGTGCAGTGGGTACTGGCCTGGTCATGGCCAGCTGGAGCTTTCAGCAGGATGTAGTCAGGGCTGAGGTGCAGCCCTCCCTCCTGAGCTCGAGCTGTGCTCTTGGCAGAAGTCACTGTTTCAGACTGGAACACTGTGTTGGTAACAGAAGGGCAGCCTGGCCTGGCCAACTAACCATACAGCTAGAAGGTGACCTCGGTGACCAGCTGGTGCAGCCTCCCATGGTACAGATGGGCAAATGGAGGCCACTGGTGGAGGGAGAAACTGAAGACGGACTCAGGGTGAGGGAGTGCGCCACACTGTATCTGAACCAGCCCATTCACAGCTCTCCGAGGTGGGGCTCGTTCTTCCTATTTTACAGATGGGAAGAGCCAGGTTCAGAGGCGTTGTGAGCTTGGTAGACACTTGTGGCTGGCAAGTGGAAGAGCCATGTTCCAACCCCATGACAGTGATGCACCTGCACCTCCTGATGGGAGCTCATCTTTCCTTCAGTGTCTCTCCCCTTCCTCCAGAACCTTGTATCTCAGAGTTTGGGAACAGGGAGGGAGAATTTCAGGGAGTGAGCCTGGCAAAGTAGCAGGAGCATCAGCCCACTGACTTAGGTGAGTGAGAACTAGAACTTTATTTTTCTATCATTTTACTTAGTGTCAGTTCAAGCCCTCTTGGAGGATGGGAAGCAGAAGAGGGAAATGGCACAAACTCAATCTCAGGTGGTTTGAATTACTCCCCTTTGCCCCAAGAAGTGGTCTCAGTTAAACCAGGTGGCTCTCTCCTGACTATATATAGTGCCATTTCTAGGGACCCCAGAGTCATTCTGCTGCTTGGGCATTGGTGGCACCCAGACACTTCTGTGAAGTGTTCATAGCCCTGTCTAGACATGTGCCCACCCAACCCCATCCCCACCAATTCTCCCTCAAGATCTCCTGCTGTCCTAGGGGGTTCACTTTGGGTGCAGCTCTCCTTGGTTCCTGGACCCTTGGGTTCAGCAGCTTCCCAGGACATCTCAGATTTCATATTGATGGTTTCCATGATCTCCCCTCCCTGCAGCCTGAGGGATGATGGGTCAGCAAGGAAAGTGGGGAGGTTTTCCTCTGGACTTCTAGGGACAGACCACTGGCATGGGAAGAGCACCCACTCTGGTCCCTGGCTGCTCTGCTGATGGGGTGGGGGTGGGGGCACTGTTCTGAGGGTCTCTTAGCATGCAGGTGGTTTCCATTCTCTTTCTTGTGGACAGTTCACATATTGCTCTGACATCATTAGTCAGCCTCAATCTCCCAGGGCCATGGGGGTCTGTGCCCCACCAGGCTCTGGAAGCCTTCACTTTTTGTATAGAGCACCTTGGCATAAGTGACTCCATCTTAGAAAAGGACTCCACCTTACATTTCAAAAGGCATCAAACCAACAGGGTCCAGATATTTGCCTAATCAGTAGAGATAACACCCAAACAGATAAGGGCATCACCCTTTACTATCAATCCTCAACAGAGGACTCAAGGACCATAAAATGAGCAAGATTTCATCACCTAGACCCTGCCGTCTTGACAGACCCTGTCTTGCTGTCACTTGGGATCAGCACCCAGCATCTGCCGCTGAAGGCTCTGCCCAAATCAAAGACTCTTCCTTGCAAGATGTTAATGACTATCCGGATTAGACCAGGACTGATTCATTAACCCTTTTTCCTCTCTCCTTTTCTTTTCTTTTTTTTCTTTTTTTCTTTTTTTTTTTTTTTTTTTTTTGAGATGAAGTCTTGCTCTGTCACCCAGGCTGGAGTGCAGTGGTACCATCTCGGCTCACTGCAACCTCTGCCTCTTGGGTTCAAGCAATTCTTGTGCCTCAACTTCCCAAGTAGCTGGGATTACAGGCGCACCCACCACGCCCAGCTAATTTTTGCTTTTTTAGTAGAGACGGTGTTTCGCCATGTTGGCTAGGCTGGTCTCGAAATCCTGACCTCAGATCATCTGCCCGCCTCAGCCTCCCAAAGTGCTGGGATTACAGGTGTGAGACACCACGCCCGACATCTTTTTTTTTTTTTTTTTGAGATAGAGTCTCGCTCTGTCGCCCAGGCTGGAGTGCAGAGACATGATGTTGGCTCACTGCAGCATCTACCTCCCAGGTTCAAACGATTCTCGTGCCCCAGCCTCCCAAGTAGCTGGGATTACAGGCAACCGCCACCACACTAGGCTAATTTTTGTATTTTTAGCAAAGACAGGGTTTCACCGTGTTGGTCAGGGTGGTCTCAAACTCCTGACCTCATGATCTGCCTGCCTTGGCCTCCCAAAGTGCTGGGATTACAGGTGTAAGCTACCGTGCCTAGCCTCTCCCCTTTTCTTTTGATGTTCAATGTTACTGTTCGGTGTGAAATTTTAATCTATAACATTTATATGTGAAATATACTACAGTGTATAGTTTTCAGTATGGACTGACTTGTTGAATGGCTTGAGCCTGTGTGCACATGGCTCTACCAAGTGAACCGAGAGTGCTAAGAATTGCCTCCTTGGGAACTCCATGGTGCTCGTGGCTTTTATGATTGAAACAACATCAGTAAAAGTCTGACCTTGTGGAAAGACAATGTGTGTGGACCTGGTTATGTCTGAGCTTATGCCGCTCATGACACTTTCACCAGTCAACGCAGGGAGAAGGGGCAGGCTGGTTTGCCCAGGACTGGAGTGGGGTGGTTCCTGGGAAGATGAACTTTCAGTCCTAAAACAGACATAGCCCGGGCAAGGGGGCTCACCTCTATAATCCCAGCACTCTGGGAGGCCAAGGCAGAAGATTGCTTGAGCCCAGGAGATCAAGATCAGCCTGGGCAACATGAAAAAACCCATCTCTGTAAAAAATACAAAAATTAGCCAGGCTTGGTGGCATGCATCTTTGGTCCCAGCTACTTGGAAGGCTGAGGTGGGAGGTTTGCTTAAGCCAGGGAGGTCAAGGCTGCAGGGAGCCGAGATCATGCCACTGCACTGCAGCCTCAGTGACAAGCAAGACCCTGTCTCAACATAAAATAAAATAAAATAAAACAAAAAAAATAAAACTGGGACATCCTGGGTGAACTGGGATTCGCTGGTTTTCTTACCTCTCTCCTTCCTTCTCTCTCTCCCTCCCCCAGCCTGGTATGGCTGGCCTGTAAGGGGAGGACAGGGTCAACGGCCCTTCGTCTTTGTGCTTGGGACAGGGTGCTAGGCAGACCAGGCCTTGGGAGTTGGTTTTGGGGGATGAGACTCCTCCATGAGACCAGCTTCAACCCTCCACACTGTTCCCACCTCCAGGGTTTCTCCTAACGTTTGGGCCAGAGTTTGCATTGTAACAGCCATCTGTGGCCATTTTAACTTAATATTTTAAATGACATCTTTTCTTGTCCAAATGTTGGCCTCGAGTTTAACTCTGGGGGTGGGGTGGGGATGGGTTGGGTATAGTGTTTCCTGGGACATGTGGACAAGCCGCCCCCAGGGGGCGCTCACAGCCCGTCTGGGCAGCACCATGTTGCCAGCGATGCCTCCTGGGATGCAGTCTGCAGACCCCTCAATGAGTGGTTCCCAGGAGGGGCAGGAGAGACTCTCAGGGCAGGGTGGCGGTGGGGATTGGTGTGCTGACCTTTCAACTCCACAGTGTGATTCCTCCTCCCATTAGGAGACGGTCCCCCAGAAGGTCTAGTCCTGCCCAGAGTGGGGCAAGGATGGGCTTCAGGGAATTTGTATGCAAAGTGGTGTGAGGGAGACATGTAGAATATTTCTAGGGAAAGGGCTCATGGTTTTAATTAAGCATCACAAAAAGGGTTGGTACCCGCTTCACAGTTAGGGACCCTGCTCTGGGTACCAGAATCCCCAGACGGGAAATAGCTCGTGCACCATGGCTGACTGGTCATTCTGGCAGCCCCCAGGCAAGGTGGGCAGGTCAAACTTCTCTGAACACCCTGAGAAAAAGCCAACAGAGACCGCCATTCTCTTCTCCAAAAGGAGACAGAAAATGCCCCCTATTTCCTCTTGCCCCCGAGCTCTGCTCTGCCTGAGCAGGGCCCAGGACCCCCTGTCTGAGGAAGCAGAAGGCCTAGTCCTGCTACTTACTTGCCCAATGTTGCTGGGCCTTCATTTCCTTGCTTGTAAAGTGGGGATGTGAGTACCTGGTGTGTAGGGTGGTTCTGAGAATCAAAGGAGATGATCCTCATGGGCAGGGGTCTGTAATTCCCATAGAGCTGGGCACAGGGAGCCCTTGCTGCCTATTCTTGGCTGATGCCCCTCCTCCAGGGTCGAGGCCCTCTCTCCTGCAGGGCAGAGACATGGGCAGTGTCCATGTGCTGACCAGGGCTTCCTGGCTGCAGCGGGACAGCGTGTCTCCTTTAGAAAGGTAACAGGTAGGTCATGTAATTAAGTTAGAATGTGAGTTCCACAAGAGTAGGAGTTGTGTCTGTTTTGTTCATTCCTGTATCATCAGGGCCTAGAACAGAACCTGGCATGTAGTAGGTGCTCAAGAAATATCTGTCGAGGCCGGGCATGGTGGCTTATGCCTTTAATCCCAGCACTTTGGGAGGCCAAGGCAAGTGGATCACTTGAGGCCAGGACAGCCCTGGCCAATATGGCGAAATCCTGTCTCTACAAATTACAAAAATTAGCTGGGCGTGGTGGTGCACACCTGTAATCCCAGCTACTTGGGAGGCTGAGGCACGATAATTATTTGAACCTGGGAGGCAGATGTTGCAGTGAGCCGAGATCGCACCACTGCACTCTAGCCTGGGAGATGGAGTGAGACTCTGTCTCAAAAACAACAGCAACAAAAAAAGAACAAAAATATCTGTTGGATAACAAATGGGGCACTGGGGAAGGGGAGGCGCAGCCAGACATATCTAGTAAGGTGTAGGGAATGGGTGGGGAGGGGCTGTGTGACATTTTCCCAAAGACCCGGTTTTAGTTCTGCCATAAACTCTCTGGATGACCTTGGGTGAGTTCCTTCTCCTCTCTGGGCCTGTTTTCCCAACTATAAAATGAGAGGATTGGCTGAGGAGGTCTTTGTCTCAGCCCGGCTCCGACGCCCTGTGCCTCCATGGGAAGCATGCCCCACACTGTCTAGAGAAGAGTGTCTGATGGGGGAGGAGGGAGGGACACGAGAAGCCCAAGAGGTCTGACAGGGACCAAGAGGAGCTGCCGTGGCATGGGAGCATGGCAGGTGGGCACTCATCCTATAGTGAGACCCAGACCCATCCTCTGGCAGCTGGTGACTGCGGCAACTTTCTGCTGCCACCCACAGGAACAAGCATCTCTCCTCCCATCCCCAGCCCTTCTGCCTTCACCTGTAGAAGGAGGCGCTGCAGGTGTGTGCTCCTTCTCAGTTTGCAAACTGAGCAAATGATAAGACTTCTAGGATACAATGTCATCTGGGTCCAAGCAGAACCGCTGGTTGAAGCTTTGGGGAAAAGACATTCCATCTCTAGTTGAGGCTCTGCTGCACCCCTTGGACCTGGGTTGAAACCTTCACAGCCCCCTGAACCTCGGGGTGATAGCGAGGTGACATGGTGGGGCTTTCATGTAGCTCCATGATATTATAAGCCATTAAATACTAAACTTAACACCACTGCCCTTTCTTTGGTCTCTTGTCCTAATTTTCTTCTGAGAGTAAGCTGACAATTACTTTCATTCTATAGCCTGATATAAAGACATATTGGCCAGACACAGTGGCTCATGCTTGTAATCCCAGCACTTTGGGAGGCCAAGGCGGGAGAATCACTTGAACCCAGGAGTTCGAGACTAGCCTGGGTAATATAGTGAGACTGTGTCTCTACTGAAAATTAGAAAAAAAAATTTAGCCAGGTGTGATGATGCTATCTGTGGTCCCAGCTACTTGGCAGGCTGAGGTGGGAGGATCACTTGAGCTGGGGAGGTCAGGGCTGCAGTAAGTGGTGATTGCAGAACTGCACTTCTAGCCTGGGAGACAGAGTGAGACCCTGTCTCAAAAAAAAAAAAAAAAATCCAGGCATGGTGGCCCACACCTGTAACACTTTGGGAGGCTGAGGCAGGTACATGGCTTGAGCCCAGGAGTTTAAGACCAGCCTGGGCAATGTGGCAAAAACTCATCTCTACAAAAAATTAGCTGGGTGTGGTGGCGTGGGCCTGTAGTCCTAGCTACTCAGGAGATTGAGGTGGGAGAATCACCTGAGCCCAGGGAGGTCGAGGCTGCAGTGAGCCTTGTTTGTGCCACTGCACTCCAGCCTGAGCAATAGAGTAAGATAAATAAATAAAATAAAATAAATGAGACTCTTATGTGTTCTTCTGAGAAAGTTCTAGCATGTTGCCCACCACCCACAAAAAAACCTAGCACTGTCTCCAGCAACCAGTGAAACCATACTAACTAAAACCCAATTGGATTAAAAATGACTTACAACAAAAGTAGAATGTGCTTTTGTGTGAACATTGCAGAATTATATGAGGTTTTTTTTTTTTTTTTTTTTTGAGACAGAGTTTTGCTCTTGTTGCCCAGGCTAGAGTGCAATGGTGTGATCTCAGCTCACTGCAACTTCTGCCTCCTGGGTTCAAGCGATTCTCCTGCCTCAGCTTCCCGAGTAGCTGGGATTACAGGCGCCTGCCACCATGCCCAGCTAATTTTTTGTATTTTTACTAGAGACGGGGTTTCACCATGTTGACCCAGCTGGTCTCGAACTCCTGATCTCAGGTGATTCACCTGCCTTGGCCTCCCAAAGTGCTGGGATTACAGGTGTGAGCCACTGCGCCCAGCCAAGATTTTTTTAAGTGAAAACTCTCACTTCCCCTCCATCTCATTGTCTAATATGAATATTTTGGTGCATCATTCCAGACATTTCTATGCATATATGGACTCTGCACACACAAACATTTATATGCTTTTTTCTACAAATAAGATCAGAATCTACATACTATACTGCAGTATATATATTCTTCCAAGTCAGCACTGTGGTCACTCTTTGACCACATTAATGCACATTTGATTTATTTCCAGTTTTCTATTATTGCAAAGATTGTTGATATGGCCTTTTGTACCTAATTTTTGTGCAGTTGTGTGAGTTTATCTGCAAGGTAACTTTCTAGAAGTGGCATTACTGAATCAAAGCATATACATATTTAAAACGTTTATAGATATCATCAAACTACCAAGCTCAAATTTTTGTACATTTACATGTTCACCAACTGCAATTTGCTTATTTCCCCATACCATTACCTGACCATTTAAAAAATCTTTATCCTGTAGGTGAGGGTTGTATTACATTTCTTCAAATGTAAGTGAAGTTGAACACCTCTTGTATTTATGAACCTTTTATATTTTTTCCTACTCTTTAGTTGTCTGTTTCGTTTCTTTTCTTTTTTTTTTTTTTTTGAGACAGGATCTCTCCCTGTCACCCAGGTCGGAGTGCAATGGTGAGATCGCAGCTCACTGCAGCCTCAAACTCCTTGGCTCAAGCTATCCTCCCACCTCAGCCCCCTGTACTGAGTAGTTGGGACTACAGGTGTGCACCACCATGCTCAGCTTATTTTTTAATTTTTTGTAGAGATGAGGTCTCACTGTTTTGCCAAGGCTGGTCTTGAACTCCTGGCCTCAAGTGATCCTCCCGCCGCGGCCTCTCAAAGTGCTGGCACTATAGGTGTGAGCCACCATGCCCAGCTATTTTTTTTTTTTTCATTTTTAAAATCCACATGGTAACAATGATTACTATTCCCTTTATGGAGTCCTGGTTCCTTGCCTAGCTGCATTTTTAATACTACAGCCCTGGCAACTATGAAGGTCCTTAGTCCACATATTGAGATTCAAGGGAGAAAGGTTTTTTTTGCCAACTGCAGCTGAAGAGCAAGAGATACAGAGGGCCTGTCCTTTGCCAGGTCTAGAATCTGATCCCTGCAGGGAGAAAAGGTACAACTGAGAGAGGGAAGGTAAGCTGGAGAGAAGTCTTAGATTTTAGTGCCCCTGGTAGCTGTCCTATCTCCCCTTGACTCCAGTTTCTCTAAATGCAAAATATGATTGAATCAACTGAAGTAACGCCAAAGTGACATCCTGTTTTAACATTTGCTGATGCAGCCATAAAAAAAAAAAATCATGTCCTTTGCAGCAACATGAATGCAGCTGGAGGCCATTATCCTAAGCGAATTAATGCAGGAACAGAAAACCAAATACCGCATGTTCTCACTTATAAATGGGAGTTAAACATTGGATACTCATGGACATAAAGATGGGAACAAAAGAAACTGGAGACTACTAGAGTGGGGAGGGAGGAGGGAAGGCAAGGGTTAAAAACTAACTATTGGGTACTATGCTCAGTACCTGTGGGATGGGATCATTGGTAATCCAAACCTCAGCAGCATGCAATATAGCCAGGTAACAAACCTGCACGTGTACCCTGGAATCTAAAATAAAAGTTGAAAACATAATTAAATAAAACTCCCAGGCCAGCTGAGGTGGCTCACGCCTGTAATCCCAGCACTTCGGGAGGCGAGGCAGGTGGATCACCTGAGGTCAGGAGTTTGAGACCAGCCTGTCCAAGATGGTGAAACCCCATCTCTACTAAAAATATAAAAATTAGCTGGGTGTGGTGATACACGCCTGTAGTCCCAGCTACTTGGGAGGCTGAGACAGGAGAATCATTTGAACCCAGGAGGTGGAGGTTGCAGTGAGCCAAGATCACACTACTGTACTCTAGCCTGGGCAACAGAGCGAGACTGTATCTCAAAAGAAAAAAAAAGAAAAAAACCCCTCCCATTCATTGAACAAATGAATGATACTAGGCCCACAGCAGTTAAATGGCTTATCAAAAGATACACAGCTGGTTTGTGATGGGTGGAGAGGCCTGGGAACCAAAGAGAGAGCTGTGTTTGGAGTTTTCTACCCCATCACCTGGCCTGTGGCACCAGCCCGCAGGTGGCTATAGAAGTTTGTGTCAGTTTCTTGTACTATTTCTGCCATATGTGATGGGTGATTTAAATTAATAACACCCATTTTATTCAGAATAATTCCTAAAAATGCTTTTTTTGGTATAATTTTTTAAAATAAATAATTCACTCTTGGCCAGGCACAGACGCTCATGCCTGTAATCACAACATTTTGGGAGGCCAAGGCAGGGAGATCACTTGAGCCCAGGAGTTTGAGACCAGCCTGGGCAATATAGTGAGATTCCTGTCTCTATTTTTTAAAGGTAACAATAATAAAAATAAATAATAATTCCCTCTCATAGTTTACAATAAAAATTGTGAAAATACTCTATGCCACCCTGTCACTCACTCAGCCACCCAGTTCACTTCCCCACAGGCTACCTGTGTTATTAGATTCTTGTGTAGCTTTGTAAATGTATTTTATGAATGTGCAAGAAAATAAATTTTATATATTCCTTAAAAAAAAGTTTGATGAGTTTATTCCTACATGATGTGACCTCAGACCTATTTCTCTTCCTCTATAAAAGGAGGAGGTAAAATAGTGAAAAGTCAGTCCTTTCCAGCACTGCAGACTCGCGATGCCATAGCAGAACTTCCCAACCTTCGCTGTGCATCGGAGGTCAAGGAGCAGTCAAGAATGCTGATGCTCCGGCCATACTCTGGGACAATTAAATTAGGAGCTCTGGGGATGAGGCCTCAATCACTTTTAATGCTCCCAGCTATTCTGATGCTTGCTATGTCCGGAGTGCAGCCTGAGATTCTGCATTTCCAGCAAGCTGCAGGTGAGGCTGATGCTGCATGCTCGGGACCACACTCTGAGAAGCCAGGGTGGCCACATCGGCATCACTGGGAGCTCCTTAGATATGCAGACCCTCAGGCCCCACCCCAGTCCTCCTCGACCTACATGTCAGCAGTTCAGCAAGAGCCCTGTGAATCAATCTTGTTGACAAGACTCATTCGGGTGCCCAAATCTGGCAGGACAGTGATGCCCAGGGACCTCTTTCCCAGGCAGAGCAGCCCAGCCTGATCCCCCAGTCTGGCTTCCCCAAGTGCCTCTGTGCTGCTCAGGGGAACACATTCATTTTCAAAAGCAGCACCTTTGAAGCAGAGGTTACACCGTTGTATTCACTTTTTGAGAATTCATTGAGCTGAATACTTATGATCTTGCCAACGAAAAAGGGACAGGACCAGGTTATCCCATCCCAAACTCCAAAAAGGTTGAGTAGCCCTGACTCAGCTGTACTTTGCAGGACAGGTTAGACACACAGGGATAATATTTGCGAGTCAAAAGGGTAGTAGGCGTCTGCTTTCTTTCTAACATGGAAGGAAGGAAGGGGTGAAGGGGTCTGTGTCAGCTATTAAACAGTACCTGGGTCTGTTGACAATTGAAATGGATCTTGAGTGAACCTCAGTTTTCTCATCTGTATGAGGTGGCTAGTGATGCCTCTTTCTCTAGGTTTTTCTTTTCTTTCTTTTTTTTTTTTTAAGATGGAGTCTCACTCTGTTGCCCAGGCTGGAGTGCAGTGGTGCGATCTTGGCTCACTGCAACCTCTGCCTCCCGGGTTCAAGTGATTCTCCTGCCTCCGCCTCCCAAGCAGCTGGTATTACAGGCGGGCACCACCATGCCCAGGTAATTTTTTTGTATTTTTAATAGAAACGGGGTTTCACCATGTTGGCCAGGCTGGTCTCAAACTCCTGACCTCAAGTGATCCGCCTGCCTCGGCCTCCCAGAGTGCTGGGATTACAAGAGAGAACCACTGTGCCCGGCCAGGTTTTTCAGTTTAAGGTTAAACAATATTCAAGCAAAGTAGCTAGCCTGGCACATAGTAGGTGCTCAAATCTATCCAATGCAGCCTTGTTGGGGGCTTCCCATGAAATGGGTTATGGTCAGGTCTTGGTGCCATGGTTAGTGGCGTCAGACAGACCTGGCCTGCCCCTCACTAGTTGCAGGACCTTAGATTAGTCATCTTGTCTCCCTGCACCTCAGTTTACTTGTCTGTTGAATCACATGGTAGAACCACCTTGGCAGAGTTGTCATAAGGATTAAATGAGGTCGAGAGTGTGAGGCTTGGTGGCTGGTGCCAGGCCCAGAGCCGCGGCTCTGTCGGCCTGAGTTCAGGCTGTGGGTAGCCAGCTGTGGGAGACCTGGCTTCAGAGAACAGAGTCCCCTTTGACTCTGCCGGCCACTGTAGTCATTACTCCACAATCGCTGAGCCCTGGAGAGCAAATATCCCCACAGGCCAGCTTTTTTCTTGGCTGCAGCCCCTTCAGCCAGCCAGGTTTGGGTTGGCAGGCAGAGCGAGAGGTGTGGCTGTGACGTGAGCACGAGTCCCCATGTGTGCTGAAGCTACGCAGGTGGGGGTGGGGGCTCCCAGCCTGTCTCAGTGGCTCAGGGCAGCGCCTACTCTTAGCTTCCAGAGCCTGGCAGGGCCCTGCTGCTTTGGGCCAGTGGAGGGAGAGCACCTTGGCCTCAGTGGGGCTCAGGCCATCCCTAAGGCATGGGTGTGATTGTTATTCTCATTTTATAGTTGGGGAAACTGAGGTCCCCAACTCTGGTGACCACCAGAGTGTACAGGAAGGCAGAGGCCCTTTCTGATTTGGTCCTGCTGTGGGTCTGAAGGTCCAACCCATTCCCTGGGAAAGGCTTTGTCTCCAGAAGTCATTCATTCATTCATTCATTCATTCATTCATTTCACAGGGACTTGCTCTGTTGCCCAGGCTGGAATGCAGTGGTGCGATCTTGGCTCACTGCAGCCTTTGCCTCCCGGGTTCAAGCAATTCTCCTGCCTCAGCCTCCTGAGTAGCTAGGATTACAGGCACCCACCACCATGCCCAGCTAATTTTGTATTTTTAGTAGAGATGGGGTTTTACCATGTTGGCCAGGCTGGTCTGGAACTCCTGACCTCAAATGATCCACCTGCCTTGGCCTCCCAAAGTGCTGGGATTACAGGGGTGAGCCACTATGCCCGGGCTCAGAAGACCTCCATTTAAATGGCCTCATCAGGCCAAGTGTGGTGGCTCATGCCTGTAATCCCAGCACTTTGGGAGACTGAGGCAGGTGGATCACCTGAAGTCAGGAGTTTGAGACCAGCCTGGCCAAGATGGTGAAACCCCGTCTCTACTAAAAATACAAAAATTAGCTGGATGTGGTGGGGGTGTCTGTAATCCCAGCTACTTGGGAGGCTGCGGCAGGAGAATTGCTTGAACCCAGGAGGTGGAGGTTGCAGTGAGCTGAGATTGTGCCATCACACTCCAGCCTGGGCAACAGAGCAAAAACTCCATCTCAAATCAAAAAAAAGGCTAGGCGCAGTGGCTCAGGCCTGTAATCCCAGCACTTTGGGAGGCTGAGGCAGGCGGATCAGGAGGTCAGGAGTTTGAGACCAATCTGGCCAATATGGTGAAACCCTGTGTCTACTAAAAATACAAAAAAGTTAGCTGGGCATGGTGGCGCATGCCTGTAGTCTCAGCTACTTGAGAGACTGAGGCAGGAGAATTGCTTGAACCTGGGAGGTGGAGGTTGCAGTGAGCTGAGATCGCACCACTGCACTCCAGCTTGGGCCACAGAGCGAGACTTCATCTCAAACAAACAAACAAAAAATAATTAAAAAAGGCCTCATCAGACCTCAGAAGGGCTAACTCATGCCCACAAAGGCTTATTGGGCATCTGATTTGTGCCTGCCCCTGTGCCCATGCCAAGGAAGCAGGGAAAAGGGAGTCAGACACAGTCCTGCCAAGGCATGGGTTCAAATCCCAGCTCTGCCACTGGCTAGCTATGGGGGCAAGGCAAGTATCCACTCTGGGCATCACTTTCCTCATCTCTAAAATAGTTGTAGGGAATGAAATAAGAAATATTGTGTGTGGTTTTTAATGCAGTCCTGGTTAATGTGAGAGATTATTAATACTCCTGAGCTAAAACTCAAGTATCTGTCACCAAAGCAGAAAAAGCACAGGAGAGAAGGGTTGGGGGGCTGCAGGCAGTTGCACAAGTAGGTGTATGGGGTGGGTTTGTTGGGGGAGGAAGATGTACCTCTAGACAGAAGGCTGGAAGGGGCAGAAGGCTGGTCTAGCCTTTGCTGTTCATGTTTGAGAGAGAAAGAGACCCAGAGAGGGTTTTGCCTAAAGACTGTGGCTAAAACAGGAGCCACAGTCTAGACTTCTGGGAGGGAAAAATGCTTTAACCACTCTGAACCTCAGTCCCCCGCAATCCCCATTGGTCACACAGGGGCTGCTGGGAGTGCTCTGTCTCTGGAGCAGGTGTGTATCTTTTGTACAATGTGATCCCCATGTCTTATGGGTGACCAAGGGTCCGTGATGGTGTTCTGGCAGCCCTTGACGTGCCAGAGCATGGTCCACTGAGGAATGAGACTTCATCCTTTTCCAAGTGGGGTTGGTCTGACCTCGGGGCCAGGCTTAGGCCGAGCCAGACTGATGGGAAAGGGGTCAAATTGTGGAGAGCCCCGGTGGGGTTCCAGGGACCCTTAAGAGAGGAGGTAGACTTTGGAGAGAACAGCAGCTTTGTCTCCTCTGACTGTGCTGTGGACAAGATGGTCCTGGGTCCTGGGGAGGTGAGAATTCCCAGGCTGATCCACAGGCACTCTAATCCCAGGGTGGGACCTGAGGCAGGGAGAGAAGCCAGCCCAGGGTTCTGGGCCTGGGGGTCTGAGTGGAGGAGGAGGAGGGAGAAGAGGAGGCAGAAAACTGTTGTCAGCCAGGAAATGTCTGCCGGAAGCACTTGAGCTAGTGTGCTTCCGGTAGGCGGTGCATACAGGCCCAGTGAACTCACCCCTCAGCCATTCCAGGATAGCCCCTCATTCCATGTAGACCATCCCATTGTCCCCTAGAACAGCAACCTCTTTGCATCCAACCAACATCCATTCATTCAACAATGTTTACCAAGCACCCACTTTGTGTGGGTACTGCACCAGGCACTAGCATTCAGGGACAAACTTTGGGGCTCAGTGGCTAATGGGTCTACATTTTCCAGCCAGCTCCCTGCACCTGGAGCTGGTGCAAATCTCCTTGCCTGCTGCTTTGGTTGGGACACTGAGGTCATCACTGACGAAGAACAGTCCCTAGAATGGGAACACCCCAGGGGTGGGGATGGCCTACAAACATTGATTTGGGCCCACTCATGACAAGTGCTACATTGGGGGTCTCCATCTGTTGTCTCATGAAGTTTCCCAACAACCAGTGGAGTGTCTCCTCCTCACTTACAGAGATGTACACATGAGTCTCAGGGGAGCTGGTGCCACGTCACACAGTTCATAAGAGTCTGCGCCAGGATTCAGACCCAGGTCTTTCCTGGACACCAAGACTTCAGAACTTGTACAACTCAGAACTTGAAGCTAGTACAAGTGAGCCTCTGATCTTGATTTGAATCCTTGGCTTAAAACCGCGTCCTAGTCTAGTGGTTTGGGGAGGGTTACCTAGCTCCTCTGAGCCTCATTTTTCTCATCTGTAAAATGGGGCACATGGAGATAGTTCAGAGGAGGGCTATGAAGGTTAAGTGGGACAGTGATGTAAAAGTCCCTGCCCACTGGCTGAAGCAAGAAGCTTCAGGAGAACTCTTTCAGGGAATTTTATCTCCAGAATTCTCTGGCTAGAGAGGACCTGGAGGAGTCACTGAGTCCCCTCCCCTGCCCCTACGCCTAATCACTTTAGGTTATTGCAAGAACTGATAGACTGCACACCATTTTACTAGGCTTAATGAGCAGGGACAGATGGGGAGGAATGAGAGGGGAGGAAGGTACAGATGAATAACAGGAAGTAGCATCCCCTCTCACCCTTCCTCTCCTCTCTCAATACTTTAGAATATTGGGGATAAAGAAGAGCCATCCTGTGTGAAGCAATGAGACCAGTGTAGGCCACCACAATGATCATCTCTTTACTTACACTTCCCCTTATTAAGATAGCTCATGTCTTATTTCACCCCCGACACAGCTCTGTCAATTGCTAATATTATCCCCATTTTATAGAGGAGCAGATAAGGACACTGATTATTGGACAGATTTACCTAAGGCCCCCAGGCTAGTAAATGGGTGAGAGTTAAGCCTCTGTTGGTAACCCCAGTTCCTCTAGGGGAGGCTTCCGGAGCCAGGCAGAGGAGGGGGCAGGTTCCTATTAGAGAAAACGAGAAGGACTTTTCAGCTGTACAGAGCTTTTGCAAAAGGCTTGAGGCAGATAAAATATAAACTACTGGATTAAAAAAGCCCTTCAGATGTTTGTCCCTCTCCTGCCCCTCCTTTACAAGAGACTCCTGCATCACATCTGTCTTTCTGGCTGCAGATGCCATGCCTCTCCCCTGTCCAGCCCTCGATGGTCGGCACAGTGGCACCCCCTGGATGGACAGGCAGATGATGGAAGGCCTCCATAGCCTCCCCTGAGAGCAGCCAAACAGCTCTCCCAGATGCTGGAGCCGGAGTCTTCCAGCCCCATGGGTTCTGCTCATTTCTGTCCGACAGGTAGTTATTTATCCAGAGAGTGATTCTCTTTCGGAGACTGGGATTTTAAAACTTCTCTGAAGACACTCTGTTGAAAGCAAGGCATTTGTTCCCCAAGGGCAGCTCCACTGCATTTCTGGTGTGTACATGTATGCATGTGAGCACGTGTACGTGTGAACACTCACACAGGCATTCTGCCTGGCTGAGCCTGGGATGACAGTCTTGGGGCTTCTACCATTCTGCCCAGGTGTCCCTGGCTATCAGTCTGGCTTTTCCATGGAACTCCTGCATCAAACCTAGGGACCCCAAATCCAAGACTGTCCAGATACAGCTGGGGGCCTGGTGAGGGTCTTGGCTGCCATCACCAGCTCTGTGAGGCATTGCAATCTCTCGAGGCCTCAGTCTTGGCTTCTGTTAAATGGGAATAACAACAACAAAGTGATGGGAAAATTACACTGAGCATGGCCTGGAACAGCTGGTACTACAAGCTTCTGGGTTTGACTTCCATTCTGCCTTCCCCCAGGAAGCATAGCTTTCTCTCTTTTCCTTCTGCTTAAAGATGGCATCAGATAAGGGGAGGCAATTTTGCTACATGTGAAAATCCTGGACATCAACTACAGAGAGCTGAGCTCCAAACTGGACTCTCCCTTGTGCCAACTGTGTGGTCCTGATCAAGTGAGCCACTTCTTTTTTTTATTCTTTCTGAGACAGAGTCTCGCTCTGTTGCCCAGGCTGGAGTGCAGTGGCACGATCTCGGCTCACTGCAACCTCCACCTCCCAGATTCAAGCAAATCTCTGCTTCCTGAGTAACTAGGACTACAGGTGCCTGCCACCATGCCGGGCTAATTTTTGTATTTTTAGTAGAGACAGGGTTTCACCATGTTGGCCAGGCTGGTCTTGAACTCCTGATCTTGTGATCCACATGCCTCGGCCTCCCAAAGTGCTGGGATTACAGGTGTGAGCCACCGCGCCTGGCCTGTGAGTCACTTCTTTGAGCCAGTTTTCTCATTTGTAAAATGGGCGTATAATGCCATCCCCTCAGACTGAACTCCCTTCGTTCAGCTGGGTTACTTCCCACCAGAAAGGAGATTTCGTGATCAGATGGATGATTCTGTGGAGAGGGCAATGTGTGGCCAGAGGAATGCCTCAATGCTGGAGACATCTCGGAGCAGTGGGGAAGATGTTGCAGGGTGAAGTTGGGGGAGGGGTTCTAGTAGTTCCTAAAATCGAATTACCTACATTGTTAGTTACTCAGATGGAAACCTGGGTTGAGATATTCATAGAGGGAAACCATGTTGTTTCAAGAGAGGACATGACTTAGGCCACAGGGTGCCAAATTAGATTGGCCACAGAGCCCCAGAAAGGGAAATGGATTGGAAGCTGGGCTGCCCTAGTGTAACCAGGTCAATGCAACATAAACTTTTTGAGCTTCTGCTACATGCAGTCACCATACTAGGCACTTTGTATGATCAGGTAGATCTGGAATCAGACATTAATTCTGCCCTTAAGAAGCTCATAGTTGAATGAAAAAAATTAATTAGGTAATATGAATAAGATATCTACCTTCATGCCCCCCTGCTTCACAGTCACTTTGCACAGAGCCTGGTATGCAGTGGGTGCTCAGTACATGTTTACTGAATGTAACCAAACTATGAACTACAGTAGGGAGCAGACCCAGAGCAGTGGGATGGTGTCCCAGAGGAGGGGTCATTTATACTGGGCTTTGATGGCTGCTTAGGAGTCCTCTGCTCCTTCCATTTGTCCACTAATCCTCCACCAGGATTGATGAAGGCCACAGCAGGGCAAGGCCCTAGCTTCTCCCCTCCTGCCCACCCAGCCCTCATTCAAACTTTGAGGAGTCTCCGGATGTGAAGAGGAAGTGGCCGGGCTGCGGAAGGCAGGCTCATTTCCAGTGTGGGGCCTGGGCCGCCAGCCCCAGGTCCTGTTTACACAGCAAGGCGGACAGGCCGACAGAACTTGGCGGCAAATGAGCTTCTGCCTCTGAGAACAGAAGGGGCTGGCAAAGCCCAGCTAGGCCAGGCGTGGGGAGGCTTGTGCCAAGGGGAAAGTCGAATCTAAAGAGTGTTTCCTCCTGGCCAGGCGGCCCCAGACTTTTGTCTCCAGTCTGTGAGCAGTTCCTCCAGTGATTCATAGTCAGCGGGAACTTATAAATAAACCCCACCTCAGCCTCTCACCACAGCCTGGCCGGGACCTGGGCAGGGGTGTGGTAGGGGACTAGGAAATGGGAAGACTGAGGAGAGGCCCTGAGGAGCCATGGGGGACCCAGGTGACGCTGGCTGCAGGGCAGGAGCACCTCTGGCTTTCCATGGGGGATTGCAGGGCGGTTGCCAACTGTCACGGGGGCTGGGCCACCAGTCTAGAGCAAAGAACTCTCAGAGGCCTGGATTTCCACTGGCTCACCAGGAGTGTGGTAGAGGAAACTAGGTAGAATTTGGAAATGGCTGGGCTTTAAAACACTTTTGATATAATTTCAAAATAATAGAATAGAGACTTTGCATATACCCTGTAGCCAGAATCATCCATTGTTGACGTTTTGTTCAATTACGCTTCATTTTCTCTCCTCTTTATTTTTATTTTATTTATTTATTTATTTTTGAGATGGATTTTCACTCTTGTCGCCCAGGCTGGAGTGCAGTGGCACAATCTCGGCTCACTGCAACCTCTGCCTCCCAGGTTCAAGCGATTCTCCTGCCTCAGCCTCCCAAGTACCTGGGATTACAGGCACGCGCCACCCTGCCTGGCTAATTTTTTGTATTTTTAGTAGAGATGGGGTTTCACCATGTTGCCCAGGCTGGTCTTGAACTCCTGACCTCAGGTGATTCACCTGCCTCGGCCTCCCATAGTGCTGGGATTATAGGCATGAGCCACTGCGCCTGGCCTCCTTGTTATTTTCTCTGAACCATCTGAAAGTGGGCCTCCGGCATCGGACCTCTATGGCCCTTCAGTGTGCACCTCCTGAAACAGCTAGTGTTTGCATTTCTGAGTGACCATTTACTGAATGTATTCCAGGGCATGCTATTCAAGCTAAGTCCTCTGCGTGTCCCGTCTGTGAAATGGTACTAAGAAGGTCCCTCACCATGGTGAGCATGAGAGAAGTAACAATGAAAAGCATTTGCTGTAATCCTAATGATAAGTACAGCTCATTATCATGTCCAAGGCAACATGCACACATTGTTATTTGATCTTCACAACGGTCCTCCTTTTCTAATAAAGAAACTGAGGCTCAGAGACGGTGTGTAATTTGCACAGGGTCCCACAGCAGGTGAGCTGAGATGCCAGGCTTTGCTGCACACACCTGGGGCCTGTCCTCTTCCCTGTTTGTTGTGTGATCTCTGTTGAGGGCTGGCCTTCCTAAGGCCTCAGTCTCCCCATCACTGTGTGGGCAGAGGGATCTCTGGGGTGGGACGCGAGCTGCCTTCACAGCAGCTCAGCACTTGAGACCCCTAGAGACTGGACAGAAAGGAGCTCTTCTTGCATCAGCGCTGGAGTAGAAGTTGCTCCAGCAGCCAAACCCAGCTTCTTATGAATTATTCTGGCTGCCACAGGATCCGGGTTCAAAACTTGCAGATTGTTTCTGGAAACTCCAGGAAATCTGACCAGAAAACTCTGGGCCTCCTGGCCTTGGGAGCTCCTGTAGTGATGGGGCTCGGCCACCAGATGGCCCCACGCCGGCCACTGGACTCAAGGAAGCAGAGTCACAGTTTTTCAGGGCTGTGGCTCACCTCTGAGTGTATCCACACCACCATCCCTTTAGCCTCGGGTCACAGCCAGGGAAACCCAGCCCCGGAGGCGCAGCAACCTGCACCCGTTTCGAGGCCCGCACTTTGCGCTTCCCAGGGGTTGTTACCCTGGTCGAGCAAGGTCCCTGGTGAGATTCTGGCCTCGCCTCTGGGGCCAGTCACAGAGTTGCCAGAATCCTTAGGACCTGAGTTTCCACATTTACAGAAAGAGGAGAATCACTTCTGCCTGGCTTTCTTCATGGGGTCTGGGTGTCACGTCAAACACGGGGCCTCAGTTTCCCCATCTGTGAAACTGGTATAAAGGTAGGGGCTGACTGGTGATGTTGTGAGGATGAAAAGCAGCCAACATCCAAATGTGATTTGAGGCATGAAGCCTGCAGGCCAAAGTCTGGCCACCTACAGAGTCACCTTCTGCTTCCAGAACAGCCTCTGAACAGCAGCCTAGGACCTCAGGGTGGGAGGAGACGGCAGAGCGGATTCCACCTGCACCTTCCATTCCTCACATGGAGGAAAGTGAGGTCCAGACAGGACCAGGGACTTGCCCAAGGTCTCACAGCCCCGTCTGACTACACCAGAACCCAGAGGCATTCACTCTGAGGACAGTTGTCATTAGCTTTCCTCTAACTTCTGCAGGGAGGCCCAGCAAAGAAGCCCATGTCGGGAAGGGCTATGCAGCTGGGGCCGGAATGGGCACAGAGGGGCCACTGCGAGCTGGACCGCCACACTGCAGGGGGGCCCAGCTCGGAGCCTAAGGAACCTTCCTCCCTGAGGGACAACCAGTTCCCCCAACCAAGGTCTCCCCCTGGAAAAGCCCCTCGGGGCTCACCTGCCCAGACCCTGGGGGGAATATTTTTAAAAGTTTAAACACTCTCCAGGGAACATGCTGCATTTCTGTTCATACAGTGTATCTATGCTTTTATTTACGAAATAAAAAGGCTTCTGTTCTGTTAATTAGTGGGCTCATATAAACCCTCTCCCTCAGTTCAGGATGTGGGGGCAGGGGGAATAAACCAACAAAAATATAAAAATTTTGAATTCCAGATACGCTGAGCATGACCAGCCTTTCTGCCTGGGGAGGAGGAGGGGCATATAACCCCAAACCAGTAACTGCCCAGAATCTCCGGCTGATAACATGCATATTTTGAGAAGATCATGCTGGCAACTTGAATGTATTCATATTCATATTCGACTGGAATGGAGTGGCTTTTCTAAGAGTACATCTGAATGGGGGAGAAGGAGGGAGCAGATCCCTGAGAGCCTGGGGAGGGGGTATGTGCACAGAGAGGGGAAGCTGAGGACCCCAGAGGCTGAGGGTATTGCCCATGTGCCAGAAGGAAATGGGGGGGTTGCTATTGTTTCTAGGAGAGGCCTGGGGTGTAGGGGGCACAGAAAACTCAGTTTCCATGAGTCAGTGCTGGTAACCTGGAGAAGAAGGGGGCATTCTTATAACCCAGAATTTCCCCCAGGGGGATGGGCTGGCCTGTGGGCCTAGCTCCACATCCATCTCTCTGCAGACCCCACAGCTGCCCTGGGAAGGAGACACTGTCTTCATCCCCATTTCTCTCCCCGTAGACGGAGGCCCTGAGAGAGGGAGCAACTTACCCAAGAGCAGCCACACTGAGGCAGCGCCGGGATTCCTGGAACTAAGGTCTCTTGATGAGTTGCTTTGTACTCACATTCTGCCTGAATCTGGAGCTAGGCCTACCTGATTTCTGGCTTTGTGACCCTGAACAAGTTACTGAGCTCGGTTTGCCTCATCTGTACAATGGGTGTGATAGTGGCTGTCTCCTGAGGTTGCTGACAGGAAGGGTCTGGCACACAGCAGGCATGCAAGCAGTGGGAGCTGAATCACAGAGGAGTCAAATCTTACATAGAACACGGTTCTCAAAGCAGCTTAATGAAAAGAAAAACTTCCTGGAAAATCCTTTCTGGAAGGAGCCATAAAGAGTGAAGTCCTTGGGGACGGGTGGGGTGAAGGGAAGGCGTCTATGGGAGAAAGAGTACGGCTTTAGAATTGTCCAGAAGGTCAAAAAGTGAATGAGGCCTTGAGGCGGGCAAGCTGTGTGCAGTGGAAGAGGGGCTGGCCCCCTCATCCCCGTGCAGGTGCAGGAGGAGAACAGTGCCAGGACAGGCTTTGAATGCGAGCTGGAGAGGTCAGGCCCCGCGCCCTGTTGGAGATGCCTGGTCTTGGCAGTGGGGTGATCACAGGGGGCTCCCTCCGTGTGTGCCTGGATTTCCGGAACCCCACCCCAGAGCTGTTTCTCCGAGGAGAGCTGGGGCCGGTGGACGGCTCCTGGCTGCCCCTGTCAGGCCTCTCCCCCAGTCCTCCGCCTCCCTCCCTGTCTGGCAGCCAACTGAATTTTATGTGGGGAATTTGAAGAATTTGAAAAGGCAGAATGCAAATGCCAGTCTTAGAGATTTCCTTGTCAGCCGCTGAAGGGGAAAAGCCCCTCTTTGTGGGGCAGTGGAGAGAGAAGTGGAGTGTGGAGTTCTGCACTCGGGTCCCCACCGATGCTGGCGGCCAGGTGGCCAGGGACAGTCCCTTCGCCCCCCAGGGCGTCAACTCCCCGTCTGCGGAAAGGGCAGCTTTGTCCCCATCGCGCCCCTCGAGGCCTGGCTGAGAGGAACCGGGTGACCGAGAGGTCCGGGCGCAGGCCGTGTGCGAGGAAGGAGGTCACTGACGATTCTTCCAGGCCCTCGTTTCACAGAGGAGGGGACTGCAGCCAAAGAGACGGCTGCTGCGGGGGTCGCCGGGGCAGCCCCGCGTGGTCCCTGCGCCCTCCCGGCCGTGGGCTTCCCTCAGCCCTCGCCGCCCCCGGGCTGCCGGCTGGGCCAGGGCGCCTCTATCTCCCGCGGCCGCGGCGTCTCCGAGTCTCGGCCGCCCGAGCCCTGGGCGTTATCTGCGCTAGCCCGGCCGGGCCCCTTCCCGCCTTCCCGCCTTCCCGCCTTCCCGCCGGGCCAGGGCCGCCGTGGCGACGGGCCGCTCCCGCCTTATCGGCCGCCCCTGCGAGCCCGCGGCCGACCCCGCCTGGCCCTCCCCGGGCTGCCCCTCCCAGGTGCCCCCTCCCCCGGCAGCCCCCCGCCCTAAGATGCCCCCTCCCTGGGCTGCCCACGCCCCCTAGATGCCCCCGCGCCAGGGCGGCCCCCTCCCTGGCCAAGGGGCGCCACATCAGAAAAGGGTTTTCCTCAGATTTGTTCTTTCTTTAAAAGACAAGCCTAGCTATGCTTCGTTCCATTTCAGCCACATTTTAAACGATTTCACAAGAAAGGCAAACTTCTGCAAAATAACACAAAAAACAAAAGCACCCAACCCAGAAACCCACCAGGCATCAAGGCTGTCAGGGAAGCCAGAGCCCTTTATTCACCAGCTCTTTCTAAAATGCTCCTGCTGGGACTTAATGTGTTAGATGTGGCAGGCCTTGGAACTTCGGTTTCCCCACCTTAGTGTCTGAATCTGTAGGGCATGATACTCCCCGTGGTGCTGGTGGCAGAGAACATGGGTGCAGCCCTTTGTCATAACAATTTGGCAATATAGATGGAAAGCCATAAAATATTCATGCCCTTTGACTCAGTAATCTCACTCCGGGAATGCATCCCAAGGAAATAGTTCAGCAGCAGCAAAAGAAATAAAAAAGTATGGGTTCATCAATGTGTTATTTGTAAAGTTGGTGAGCATATCTTTCAGTGAAAAACTAGAATACATGAGTGGCATGGGACTGGGTTTGAAACCAGCACAGCCACCTATGGACCCTGGGAGAGGGGCTTAACATGGCTGATTTTCTGTTTCCCTATCTGGAAAGTAGCTGGCTCCAGCACTCAGAGGACATTGGTGAGAATGCCAGGAGACAACCCAGAAAGGCAGCTAGTACAGGGTCTGGGATAGAAGAGGAGCCTAGCAAATGTTTATTTGCCTGGTCTCCATCCTTACAGAAATGAAAGTATGGAATATTTCAAGTTACATTTGTAAATATCAGAGAAAGTATACATGGTGGTCAAGAGCTCGGAATTTTTGAGTCCTTGCACCTTGGACTGGGTCAGAATCCTAGCTGCACCATATGTGTGATCTTGACAAGGTGTACTTCCTCACTTACAAAAAAGGATAATAGAACCTGCTTGGTAGTATTGTGAGGGTTAAATGAGCTGATATGTGCAACGTGTTTAGGTCCGTGCCTGGTAGGTAAGAGACACTCAATAATCTGTTGGTGTTATTAAATAGTATTTAAAACTACACCAGCCTGGCCAACATAGTGAAACCTCGTCTCTACTAAAAATACAAAAAATTAGCCGGGCATGGTGACACGTGCCTGTAGTCCCAGCTACTTGGGAGGCTGAGGCAGGAGAATCCCTTGAACCCGGGAGGCAGAGGTTGTGGTGAGCTGAGATTGCGCCACTGCACTCCGGCCTGGGCAACAGAGTGAGACTTTGTCTAAAAAACAAAACAAAACAAAACAAAAACTACAAACAACTTCAATATCCCAAAATACTCCAAGTTAAATAGGTAACTTTCAGTGGAATATGATGCAATATTGAAAAAGAATGGGACAATCCATATAAGCTAATGAGGAAGGAAGTACATGAAGAGTTAAGAAGCAAGTTGCATCCATCTGGACAAATTTTCAGAGGCGTTTGAACCAGAGTGACTCCATCTTGAATATGGGGCTGTGTAAAATAAGGCTGAGACCTACTGGGCTGCATTCCCAGGAGGTTAGGCATTCTAAGTCACGGGGTAAGATAGAAGGTCAGCGTAAGATACAGGTCATAAAGACTTTACTGATGAAACAGTTTGCAGTAAAGAAGCTGGCCACAACCCACCAAAACCAAGATGGTGATGGGAGTGACCTCTGGTCGTCCTCATGGCTTCTTATACACTAATTATAATACATTAGTGTGCTAGAAGACACTCCCACTACCTCCATGGCAGTTTACAAATACCATGGCAACACCGAGAAGTGACCCTATGTTGTCTAAAAAGGGGAGGATCCCTCAGTTCTGGGAATTGCTCATCCCTTTTCCAGAACACTCATGAATAATCCATCCCTTGTTTAGCATATCATCAAGAAATAACCATAAAAAAGGGCAACCAGCAGCCCTTGGGGCTGCTCTGCCTACGGAGTAGCCATTTTTTTATTCCTTTACTTTCTTAGTAAACTTGCTTTCACTTTTACTCTATGGATTTCCTTCGAATTCTTACTTGTGCAAGATCCAAGAACCCTCTCTTGGGGTCTGTATGGGGACCGCTTTCCAGTAGCAAAATGACCTAAATATATAAAATTAGACAGTAAAAGTATAAGAAAAATATTCAGTAAAATTCTTGTATCAGTGTATAGTCTTGGATGTAGGAAGGATCTCCTCAAACAAACCAGGAACGCAGGACCATATAGGGAAAGATGGATAGATTATAAAATGTTTAAATGTCTACCTACATGGGTTTTTTTTGTTTGTTTTTTGTTTTTGAAACAAGGTCTCACTTTGTCGCCCAGCCTGGAGAGCAGTGGCGCGATAATGGCTCACTGCAGCCTTGATCTTCTGGCATGCACGACCATGCCTGGCTAATTTTTTGCATATATATATATATATATATTTTTTTTGTAGAGATGGGTTTCGCCATGTTGCCCAGGTTGGTCTTGAACTTCTGGGCTCAAGCAATCTGCCTGCCTCAGCCTCCCAAAGTGTTGGGATTACAGGCATGAGACACAACAGCCTGGGCTTACCTACATGTTAAGAGATTCCATGAGGCTGGGCACGGTGGGTCACGCCTGTAATCCCAACACTTTGGGAGGCCGAGGTGGGCGGATCACCTGAGGTTGGGGGTTCGAGACCAGCCTGACCAACATGGAGAAACCTTGTCTCTACTAAAAATACAAAATTTGCTAGGCATGGTGGCACGTGCCTGTAATCCCAGCTAGTTGGGGAGGCTGAGGCAGGAGAATCACTTAAACCCAGGAGGCGGAGATTGCGGTGAGCCTAGATCGTGCCATTGCACTTCAGCCTGGGCAACGAGAGCGAAAATCTGTCTCAAAAAAAAAAAAAAAAAAAAAATAGAAAGACTCCATAAACAAGTCCAGACACAATAGTAGATGGGAAAAAAATATTTGTTATAGAGATAGATAAAGCATTCATATCTTTTATATACAAAACCCCTACAAAATAATTGGGAAAAGTTAAACAATAGAAAAACAAGCAAAACCATGTCAAAGAAGAGGAAATGCAAATACAAGCATAAACATGAGAAAGGCATTCAACTTCCCCAGTTGTTGGAGAAATGCAAATTAAAAATATAAGCAAAATGCCATTGTTCTCCAAATACTAACTATTCAAATAGAAATGGACATGTTCTTTGCCCCAGCAAGCCCACATTGGAGACTCTGTTCATAAAATCTAGCCCCCCCTCTGCTTTTTTTTTAACCGCAGTGTCCATAGTGACAATCTCAGTGTCTACCTCTAACAGTATGAGGGGATAAATTTGGTTGTATCCATTCCAGGGAGGGAATATGTTGGAACTACTGAGAATGAGCTCATTGAATTTATATGCAGTGACTTGTGGGGTTGTCTGCGATATTCTATTAGGTTAAGAAAAGGCAGCTATGCAGGTGAGGTAAGGTGTGTGTAACGTATGATCCCTTTTTGTGCTTTAACAAAGTGTGTGTGTGTAAGACGTGGGAGGCAAGGCTTCACCAGGGTAAATACAATCATGTGTTATGCCATGACATTTTGGTCAATGACAAATTGCTTATACAGAGTGGTTCTATAAGATTATAATGGAGCTGAAAAATTCCTATCGCCCAGTGACATCATAGCCATAGTAAGGTAGTGCAATGCATTACTCACGTATTTATGGCAGACTGGTGTAAACAAACCTACTGTGCTGCCAGTCATATAAAAGTGTTTCACAGCACTTTGGGAGGCTGAGGCTGGAGGATTGCTTGAGCCCAAGAATTCAAGACCAGTCTGGGTAACACAGGGAGACCCCGTCTCTACAAATTAAAAATAAAAAATACAATAATTTGGGTGTAGTGGCGTGTGTCTATTGTCCCAGCTACTCAGGAGGCTGAGGTGGGAGGATCACTTCAGGCAGGAGGTCGAGGCTGCAGTGAGCCGTAATCACACCATTGCACACTAGTCTGGGCAACCGAGTGAGATTCTGTCACAAAAACAAAAATTTTTTTAAAGTATATTACATACAATTACTTATAATACATAATATTTGATAATAATAAATGACTATGTTACTGGTTTATGTATTTATTGTACTATAATTAATACATCAATATTTTAGTGTTACTCTTTCTACTTATAAAAAAAGGGTTTTTTTTTAAATTTGTTTTTTAATGAAACAGTCTCAGACAGGTCCTTCAGGAGGTGTTCTAGTAAAAGACTCTGTGGCTGGGCGTGACGGCTCACGCCTGTAATCCCAGCACTTTGGGAGGCCGAGGCGGGTGGATCATTTGAGGTCAGAAACCCCGTCTCTACTAAAAACACAAAAATTAGCAGGGCATGGTGGTAGGCGCCTGTAATCCCAGCTACTGGGAAGATTGAGGCAGGAGAACTGCTTGAGCCCGGGAGGCGGAGGTTGCAGTAAGCAGAGATCACGCCACTGCACTCCAGCCTGGCGACAGAGCAAGACTCCATCTCAGGAAAAGAAAAAAAGAAAAAGACACTGTTATCATAGGAGAGGACAGCTCTATGCCTGTTATTACTCCTGAAGACCTTCCAGTGGGACAAGACGTGGAGGTGGAAGACAGTGATGCTGATGATACTGACCCTGTGTAGGCCTAGGCTAATGTGTGTATCTGTGTCTTAGTTTTTAACAAAAAAATTTCAAAAGGAAAAAAGTTAAAAACGGAAAAAAGCTTATAGTATAAGGATATAAAGAAATAAAACTTTTTTACAGTTGTACAATGTTGTTTGTGTTTTACAAAAGTCAGAAAGTTAAAAAAATTAAAAAGTTTGTGAAGTAAGAGTTACGATAATACAGTAAGCTAAGGTTAATTTATTGAAGAAAGAAAAATATGTTTTCATAAATTACATTTTATAAATGTAGCCTATGGGTATAGTACTTAGTGAGCCTACAGTGTATAGTAATGTCCTAGGTCTTCACGTTCACTCACCACTTACTCACTGGCTCACCCAGAGCAACTTCCAGTCCTGAAAGCTCCATTTGTGGTAAGGGCCCTGTACAGGTATATTATTTTAGATCCCGGCTCACTGCAACCTCCGCCTCCTGGGTTCAAGCAATTCTCCTGCCTCAGCCTCCCAAGTAGCTGGGATTACAGGCATGCACCACCACGCCCAGTTAATTTTGTGTTTTTAGTAGAGACAGGGTTTCTCCATGTTGGTCAGGCTGGTCTCGAACTCTCGACCTCAGGTGATCCTCCTGCCTTGGCCTCCCAAAGTGCTGGAATTACAGGCATGGGCCACTGAGCTCGGCCTTTAAATCTTTTATACCATATTTTTACTGTATCTTTTCTATGTTGAGATACACACATACTTAGCATTGTGTTACAGTTGCCTACAGCATTCGGCACAGTACCATGCTGTACATGTTTGTAGCCTGGGAGCAGTAGGCCAGACCACACAGCCTAGGTGTGTAGTAGACTCTACTGTCTAGGTTCGTGTAAGTACACTCTGAAGTTTGCACAATGACAAAACTGTCTAATGACACATTTCTCAGAACATATCCTTGTCATTAAATGACACATGACTGTATGTTGGTTATGTTTGTATGAGCCTAAAGAAAGGTAGGTGCATATATATAATGAAAGAAAGCAGCAAGTGTTTTTGCTCATCTTTTAATTATTTGACTTTTTCTATGTAATTTGTAAGAGTTCTGGACCTGGCTAGGCGTGGTGGCTCACACCTGTAATCCCAGCACTTTGGGAAGCTGAGGCAGGTGGATCACTTGAGGCCAGGAGTTTGAGACCAGCCTGGCCAACGTGGTGAAACCCCATCGCTACAAAGAATACAAAAATTAGCCAGGCATGGTGGCGAGTGCCTGTAATCCCGGCTACTCAGGAGGCTGAAGCAGGAGAATTGCTGAAACCTACGAGATGTAGGTTGCAGTAAGCTGAGATCATGCCTCTGCACTTCAGTCCGGGCAACAGAGGGAGAGTCCGTCTCAAACAAACAAACAAACAAATAAAAAAAGAGTACTGCATATGAGGGATATACATCCTTCCCTGCCTGAGGAAAGATTCCTGCCAGCCTCTTCTTGATGGTTCCGTGGATCTCCAGGAGGTAGGAAAGACAGGCATGGCCTTTTTTGGTCCCCATTACCCTGTGACATCTGGCTTGTTGCAATAGCATGTATTGTTATGGTAGATTGAGAGAAAAAAATGCAGTTAAATAAATTTGAATACAAGAATGGAAAAGAAGAAGTTGCAAGGCAATATGTACCCTGGGTTTCAGATTTTGTGAAAAAGAACAGCCTGTGTTTATAAATATGCAGAAGGGCTGGGAGAGGACACAGCCAACTACGGGAGGTCACTTCTGAGCAGTGGGGTTTGCTGAAGGGGATTTTAACTTTTACACACCTCTATTGTTTGGATTTTTTACAATGGACATTTTTACTTTTGTAATAACAAAACAATAGAGTATTTTTTCCCTTGAAGTATAAGGTGCTGTTTGTGTATTGTGATTGCAAGGAGAGGGGGATGTGGACAAGAATGGAGATTGGGTTAGGATAGCGGACAGCTCCCCAGTATTTGAATGTGGTAGATTGCCATCAGGTAAATTCTGAACTGGTGTCTCTGCATGGCAGGATAAGCAGACCCAGGGGAAGGAGGAGGGAGCCCCACCTTGGGAAGCTCCAGTAGCACAGACTGCATGAATGACACTGTCGGCCCACCCAGCCCTCCGGAGGAGTGTGACAACTCTCTGTGAGTCTGAGGGGCAGGAAAGCCTCAAAGAGTGTTGGATTTCACCATGTTGTGAGGAAGGGCATCCTGGAAAGATGGAACAGCCAACAATTAGCATTTGCTGTGTGTCAGGATTGTTCTAAGCAGTTTATAGTGTGTGTGTGTGTGCGCACACACACACGACTATATATATAAATTCATTTAATCCAGCAACACGTCTATGAGATAGGTACTATTATTATTATTATTCCCACTTTACAGATGAGGAAAGTGAGACTCAGAGAAGTTAGATAACCTATCCAAGGATACACAGCTAGAATGAGGAGGGGCTGAGTCAGGAATGACGTTCATGACTCCAAGTTGGAGAGAAGGCTGTGTGTGCAGGCGAGTTTTGCTTTGTTTTTAGCAGGAGGGGGTTCTTTGGTGAAGGGGCAGCTACCCAGAGCTCTAGGCCTTCAGGAGCTAGGTCACTAATCCTCTCTAAGCTGTGCCTGTGAAATGAGGACAATGATTTTTGCTCCCCTAATTTCCCTTTCAGAGCTGGTCCCCTGTGCTGACAGCAGAGAGTATTCTCAACTGTGCAGCAAAGCACCGGGGCATGGGGGTGGTGGAGCTGCTCCGGGGTGGGGGACACTCCAGAGGCTCAGTGCTAAAGCTAGGTGTTTCCTCAGGCTCCAGTCAGCCCAGAGGGATGTGGGAGCCTCAGGGCTTCTTCCTGCACAGCTCTCCCTCTGCAGGAGCCAGTTCAGGTCAGCATGGAAGGCCCTGGAACAGCTGTGCCCCCTGAGGGTCCTGGGCAAAGCAGCTGGAATCCTGGCTGCACCCCTGCTGACTGTGTGACCTTGGGCAAGTGCCTTACCTCCCCAGAGCCTTTGTCTGCTTCATTGGGTTGTTGTGAAGATTAAATGAATTGATCTGTTTAGGGTGCTCAGAATGGTGCCTGGCCTGGAGTAATTGCTACATAAGCAGGACTGTTGTGTTTATGCTTCAGTAAATACTTATGAAGCCTCTAGGTGCCAGGCACCATGCTAGGTGCTGGGGACACTGGGATGGATGAGGCAGGCCTCTTCCCTGCCCTCTAGGATCTCTGTGTCTAGTCGGATGACCAACTATCCTGGTTTACCTGGGCCTGATGGCTTTCCTGGGACATGGGCCAATCACTGCCCAAACTGGGAAAGTCATTGGCAAAAGGACAAATTGGCTTCCCTACATCTAGTAGGGGCACAGATAATTGGACAGGTCTTCCCAAGAAGACACAGTAAAGAAGTTCGGGCTGTCATGGAAGCATTGGACAGGGCAAGACTGAAGCCTGGGCACCGGGGAGGGCTCCCAGGGAAGAAGCATTTGAACTGAGACCTAAGGATAAAAAGGGGGTTGAGCAAAGGAGGAAGGTGGGTGAGAGAAAGGGGCGTGGAGGAGAGTGTCCTGGGCAGAGGGATGGCATGTGGGCAGAGCTGGAGGCCAGTGAGAAGGTGGCACATGTGAACTCAGGTGTGCCCAGAGACCCGGGCCCGTGCACCGAGACATGCTTGTACAAGTGCTGAGAGGAGGATGCAAGGGGCAGTGTGGCAGGGAGATATATACACATGGATATGTACATGCTGGTATAGCCGCAGATCGCCTCTCACGACAGTGGTTGCCTCTGCGGAGGAGTACTGGGGAGGGGGTGCTGGAGAGGTGGGACAGAAGCCCTGTGGAGCATTGTTAAGTCGTGAGAATGTAATACCTACTCCAAAAGATAAAATAATCTAAAGCCACAGCCTCGCATGCCTGGGCTCACTCCCACGCCTAGCTCATTCCGGCAACGGGGCCTGGAGACAGTGGCTGGAGGGGCCCCTAGCAGGGGCTGGCCCAGCCTCAGGGGCACCAAGCTGGCCTAGGAAGGGGAAGAGGCCACAGCCACACTGTCTGCCGCCCCAGCCGAGCTCCGGCCTCCCCCAGGCCTGCGGCAGACAGAACTAAACAGGCTGGCTTATCAGCTGTCGCCACTGTGTCCCACCCGGCTGAGCTGGGCTCCGGCCGCCAGGAAGGTGGCCCCCAGCTTTTTGCCAGGGATAGTATTGGCCCAGGGTGGGGAACCTGTGGAGGTGTTTTCCCAGGGTCAGTCTGGGGTGGGTGGGGGTGTCTGGTAGGTGTGTAGCGGCAGTGGTCAGGGGGCAGGGGGACTGGGGCCCAGGGGATGCTCTGGGCCCCAGATTTGCTGTGGAGTTTTAAAGGATTAATTTTTGGTATTATTTTAAATAATTTGGAATTATTTTAAAATAATTCAATAATTCATTATCTTTTAAAAAAAATCAGGCTATTCTTTAGCGTGCGAGTTGTGAATTCTTCCTCTGGAAACAGGCCTGTGGGGTGCTGGGTCTGCTGTACTGTGTCATGTACATGTCCTCATTCAGTCCTCAGGGCTCCAGGAGGTGGGCACTGTCATACTTATTTTACAGATGAGCAAACCAAGGCTCAGCCCAGCGAAGGTTTGTTCCCCAGGCCCCAGGGCAGGGATGTGGCAGAGCTGGTTTCACGCCACCTTCCCATCCTCTTCCAGGGGCCCCCAGTACCTCCTCATTGAGAGGTGGGGGCACGGAGGTCAGAGGGGGAATGTGACTGGGCAGGCATCCTCTGGCCTCCCTGGTCCTCAGTGTCCTCCTCTGAGCAATGGGTCAGACATTCTGGCCCTGCTCCCTGTTCGGGGAAGTTGTGAGGATGGGCCAGGGACTGTGTGTCTCTGTGCAGAGGAAGGAAGGGATGGGGCACTCCTTGTGTGTTTACCTCTCTTCCTTGGATCCCAGGAGCCCCAGTGGGGGTGGGGGATTGCCCCTAACTACCGCATTTGTCATACAAGGCCTGTCAACCCCCAGGGGTTTAGTCCCCAGAAACAGCAGGCCTGGCCTCCCTCAGCTGCCCCCTGGCTTCCTGCCCAGGGAGACCAGACTGCGCCTGGCTGGGCCAAACCAGAGCTCTGAGGGTGGAGAGCGGCATGGGAAGGGGGAAGGAGAGAAGGAGGAGGGAACTTCAAAGCCCCCATAGCTGTGAGACAGTTTGGGCAGAGACTGCTGGAGGCTGGGGGTGGGAGACTGGGGGCTGAGGGACAGAGTGAAGGCAGAGGGTGGACCCACGACTGTGAGGGGTCCCACAGGCACCCCCACTCAGCTGGTCTGACATCAAACTCACTGCCTTTCTCCAGACCTGCCCCAGCTCTTGGGAGTACACCATCCACCTAGAAATCTGGGTGTCCTGCAGTCCCCTCCCTTCCCGGGGACAACCAGTCACCAAGTCCTGATTCTCCTGTTTCCCCAGTATGGCCCCAGCCTGGGCCAGCTCTCCATCCCCTGAGGAGTTCGGGCCTCTCCTCCTCTTATCAGGACCCTGACCACTGTTCCCCAACAGGCCTCTTCTGCCCCCAGTTTCTTCTTCACCACCCCCTACACACACACACACACACACACACACACACACACACACACACACACACATGCAAATGTGCACTTCTCCCCAGAATCCCCTAAGTTCTAGCTCCAACATACAATCGGACACCCTCTCACCCTGGTTTAAACCATTTAATAGCGCTGCACTGCTAGAGGGAGTGTCTGAGCTCCTAGCATGGCCTGTGAGGAACCCTCCCCCAACACCCCCATCTATTTTGTCAGCTCTGCCCCCTTGCCGCTCCCTGCCCCACCCCGGGAAAAGCCTCCCTATGCTGTAACTCAGGGTGTCTTTGCTAGCCCCAGACCTTCGCTCTGCCCTGGCTGTCTCCTCCCTAGAAGGCCCTCTTTGCCACCCACTCTTGACTCCTTCCCCAGGCACTACCCTCCTTCCCCCAACACCGCTCCTACATGGCTTAGAAGGGGGTCCACACGCGGGTGCATACATCGCAAGGCAGTGTGGGAAGGGTTCCGACAGATGAGTGCCTGTCTGTCTCCTTCTTGGGACTGAGTATTCCTTGAGGGCAGGGCTGGGCCTTTCATCTCCTTGGGAAATGGCCAGGAACTCAGTAAGAGTTTGTCAAATGGGTAATAAGAATAGGATGAGCCTGGTGCTGAGTGCAGGGACGTCAGGGACATCAGGGTTCCCCCTTCGGGAGCCCCTGCATGATGTGGGCCTGAGGCATTCCATTCTGGTGGCAGACACCCTCCTGGAGTGGCCTTGGCCGACCCCAGCCCAGAGCATCTCTCAAGGCAGGTCCAGCCTGGCAGAACTTCCTCTTAGTGGGGGCACCCCAGCCCACACAGCCGGTCCCTGCGGCATCATCATCTTCCCGAAGATGTTCCCCAATACTCCCACGGCGTCCCTCCCTGGCTCGTACCCCCCCAGCAGGAAGTCCCCACTCCTCGGCCGCCCTATGCCTCCCCAGGCTCTCCTCTCCACAGCCCAGGCTCCCGCCAACACCAACAAACAGAAAACAGCCTGCTGCTCCCTGTGTGCCCTCTTGTTCTCACCCCAGAGCCTTTGCCTTCGCTGTAAATGCTGCCTATAGCTTCTCCCCAGTCTTTTCCTTGGTCCAAAGCCTGCCCCTCCCTCAGGCCTGGCTGAAATGCAGCCTCCTAGGGGTCCCTCCCCAGATCCCCTTGTTGGCCAGCACTAAGCTTCCTCTGCCGTCTGCTGGAGTTATTTATTCTGGGCTGATGTCCCTGTGAGCCTGGAATGGAGCTTCCTGAGTCTCAGTCCTGTCACTGGAGGTGCTTTTTCTGTAGATTGGTGCATGGGGATTTGCCATGCCTCACAGACAGGCAGGCTCAGGCTCAGGTCTTTGAAGCCAGCCTCCCGCCTCCTGGCTATAAGGCCTTGAACAACTGACTTAGCCTCTCCGAGCCTCAGTTTTCCCTCCTGTGAAATGGAGATAATGATCGAATCCCCCTCTAGTAGTGCCTCAGATCTGACAAATGCTTCATCTGGACAAGCCCCTCATGGAGCAGGTAGCCTGCTGGGCCAAGGGGACATGCCACCCACAGCCTATACCCCCCTGGCTCCCAACCACACTCCAGCCCCAGGCACCCCACAATTCCCTCCCCATGGCCCTGAATAGCCCAGGGCCACCCATTTGTAGGCGGTGTGGGCAGAGCTGGAGGTAGAAAGGGAAGCGGGGAGGCTGGGAGGGTCCAGTTTTGCCCATGCCACCCATCCTGGTGAGGAACTCTGAGGTCTTCAAGAAATTTAAATTTGAGCCTGACCTTCCCAGTCATTCTGAAAGCACATTAGCTACATTTGTCAAGGCAGGAAGATGGTTTGGTTTACAGCTTTTAAATATTTAGACATGCAGTAGGTGGGCCCTGGGTCCTGCCAATGTTAGGGGAGGCTGGACACCTTGCAGGGGCTTTGTGTGGATTAAACAGGATGGCCCCTGTGCAGTGGTTAGGTTGCAGGTTGCCCAGAACACAGAAGCACAGGTGGTGCTAGTCACTATCACCAAGATACAAAAGGCTGAGGACAGGAATCGGGGTGAGTGTGGCTGCCCCGGGAGGAGTTGAGGAGCAGGAGGAGGAGGAGAGCTGCTTGAATTCCCTACCCGGTAGGGTGCACACCGGCACAGACTCTTCTGCCGCTGCTGGTGTGCAAATGCTGGTGGTATGGCCTCCCTTCTCCTCTATGGGCACTCATCCCCACAGGGTCATCAGGTAGGGCCTCACTGAGGAGGTGTTGCTGTGCTGGCCAGGGAGGGGTCTCACCATGTCACAGGGAGGCTGTTTATTAAAGGAAGAAAGCTGTTAGGCCCTGGGACAAGAATCAAAGCTAGTACTTCTGTTCGTTTTATAATTTTGGAAACTTACTATTATTGTTATTTTACTATATAACAATGTATAGTCAGACCATTGTCAAAATGTTAACACATAGAGATAAGCCAAGGGAAAAAAAGCCACTGGCATTCCCCTTGCTGGGGACAAAGCCATCACGAACATTATATTGGGGTTTCCTTACACTCCAAGGGCTGAACCTAGAATTCTTTTTGGATGAGGCTTTGGAAAAGAATTCTAGGTTCAGCCCTCGGGCTGTAAGGAAACCCCAATCTCTGTGGGTTTGAAACTCTAGGATGAAAAAATTTAATTCTAGAAATGTCTCCCTGGTCCTGTCGTCTCCCTGCCCATCCCGTATCTCCTCCCTTCTGGGTCTGCTCAGCCCTTCCTACCCAGCCTCCGCCTACCCCTGAATTGCCTGGCTCAGTCCAGCCCCCAAACCTTTGCTCAGGATACGAATCAAGACAAGCTACTGGCCAGGCCAAGAGCTCATCTGAGCTGACCGCTTTGTTTTACTTGGTGGGAAAGGGGGGACACAGAGCGATGTGGTGGCACTGCTGGGACAAAGGCTCAAGCCTTCTGACTCCCAGTCCGGTGCTCTTCCCTGTAACCTATAACTGCTTGCCCTCTGTCTGTCTGATTCCTCTCCATCCATCAAACCTCCTGCCTCCTCCAGGGAGCATTCCTGACTGCCATATGAGAAGCCTCTCCCTCCCGCAGCTCACTGATAATGATAAATAACATACTGAACACTCAGGCACAATTCTAAAAACCACAGAATAACCCTATTATCCCCATTTTATAGATAATGAATCTGAGGCTTTGAGACACAAAGTAAATTGCCGAAGATAACCCGGAGTTGACAGTGGCAGACCAAGCCCTTCACAGCCCCTGCCCTTCTTGACCCTGCCTTCTCCTGGGCGGTTAAGTCCTGACCTTGAGGTCCTTCCAGGCAGCTAGGGTACAGCAGAAAGAGCACTGGACTTGGAGTCCAATCACTTGGCTGCAAGAGCCAGCTGTGCTGCCACTGCCCAGCTGTGGGAGCTTGGGGGAGCCTCAGCACCTCTTTTGGCCTCTGTTTCCTCCTCTGTAAAATGGGATCACCCTGTCTGCCCTGCCCACTTCAGAGGCCTATTTGAGAATTACTGAGGAAGGGTACTGCTTGGACTCACAGCAGAGTGTGTTCTCCGAATGTAAGATACCCCAAACTCCTGACAGCTCTCAACAGTAAGTTTACACAGAAAATAATACAGGGGCAGGGGCTCTGTTTGCTGAGGCACTTGTTTGAGGACTGGGCTGGGGAAGAGCTGGGCGGCCCGCCTGGCTCCCTGAAGAGTACATGGGCCTCTGTCCCCTCCTGGCTTCCAGGGGAGGACTGTCTGGCCCTGACTAGCTCTGTCCCCTCTGGTCTAGGTTCTGAGTGCAGCCTGAGGCTGCTGAGGTCTGCTCCTTCCCATGGGCCCATTCCTCCCACATGTAGGTCTTAGACGTTGGCCCGGAACTCAGGGGCCTGTGGGTTTGAAACTCTGGGATGAAAAAATTTAATTCTAGAAATGTCTCCCTGGTCCTGTCCTCTCCCTGCCCATCCCGTATCTCCTCCCTTCTGGGTCTGCTCAGCCCTTCCTACCCAGCCTCCGCCTACCCCTGAATTGCCTGGCTCAGTCCAGCTCCCAAACCTTTGCTCAGGGTACGAATCAAGACAAGCAATTTGGGCCCTGCCCCCCAAAGAGGGTTTCTGTGTGGTTTGGGAAGGACAAAGAATGTCTTTTGCCAACAGGGCAGAAATGACATGGTGGGTATTCCTGGCAGGAGCATAGGAGTGGGACACTAGCCTTCAGTCTGACATGGGCGCCACCGAGCCATGGAAATGCACTTTTAATTACAGCGTGGATGTAGCCGGCTGGACCCGAGTGTTATATTTTATTTATTTATTTATTTGAGATGGAGTCTTACTCTGTCATCCAGGCTAGAGTGCAGTGGCGCCATCTCAGCTCACTGCAATCTCTATCTCCCAGGTTCAAGTGATTCTCCTGCCTCAGCCTCCCGAGTAGCTGGGATTACAGGTGTCCGCCACCACGCCTGGCTAATTTTTGTATTTCAGTAGAGATAGGGTTTCGCCATGTTGGTCAGGCTGGTCTCAAACTCCTGACCTCAGGTGATCCGCCCGCTTCGGCCTTCCAAAGTGCTGGGATTACAGGTGTGAGCCACCGCTCCCAGCTGACCTGAGTGTTTTATAGGATCCAAGTGGGACGAACATTAACCAATTCCTCCCACAGGGGTTGGGGGATGGACTCAGAGATGCTGAGGCCAGATTTGAGGGAAGGGCAGGGAGGAGGGCAAGGCTGTCTCCAGAAGAGTCAGGTGTGATGGGTGATGGGTGGAGGAGACAGGAGAGGTGGGAGGGAGCAGCCTTGGGAGAGAGAGGGTGCCCTGATGTGGCAGTCAGACCGGCCTGAGATGGAATCCAGGCTGGTGACTTCCTGGCTGGGCAGCCCTGGGCAAGTTGCTCAGCCTCACAGCCTCAGAGCCTCAGCTTCTGTTTCTCTAAAATGGACATAATAGTTGCTTTGTTGCCAGGATATTATGAAGACTATAGATAATGTGTATAACGTGCTGAGCATAGAGCCTTTACATAGAGGTGTAAAGAAAGAAAAACTTTATTTCCCCAGGGTAAGAGTCAAATCTTGGATTTCCATGAATTTTATAATTTTGAAAAATTATTTTTCTTACTGTAAAGCAATATATGGTCATTGACAAAATATTAGCCTACAGAGATTTTAAAAAGCCATAGATAGTCCCTTTGCCAATTATTATTTATGATTATTTATTTATTTGAGACAGAGTCATCTGTCGCCCAGGCTAGAGTGCTGTGGTGTGATCTTGGCTCACTGCAACCTCCGCCTCCCAGGTTCAAGCAATCCTCCTGCCTCAGCCTCCCAAGTAGCTGGGATTACAGGCACGCAGCACCACACCTGGCTAATTTTTATACTTGATGAGATAGGGTTTTGCCATGTTGTCCAGTCTGATCTTGAACCCCCTGGGGCTCAAGTGATCTCCCACTTTGGCCTCCCAAAGTGCTGGGATTACCAGCATGAGCCACAGCATCTGGCCATTGTTTATTAAGTGTTACTGGTGGGATGTAAGGCGTGAGAAATGTCTGATGGCCTAAATATTCTCAGAGTCCCTGAAATTATTCTGCTTTGACTGACCCTCATTTCGCCAATGTTTAAGCAGCCAAGTGAGGGTGAGGGCCTCATGGAGGTGGCAGGCCTTTGATTTGGTTACATTGGAAGCTGGTTCCACTCCTGGAGAACACCAGCCTCCCTGTGAAAGAGGGTCCTGCCCAGCCATCTCCCAGACCAGCAGGTTTTTCCATGAAATGCTACAGAAAAGGGCAAATAATTCAAGTTTTGGAGCCACATAGGCCTGGGTTCCAAGCTGACTCGGACCTTCAGATGCTTTGTCAGTTTTATTATTTTGGTAGAAATGATGCATGTGATTGTTTTAAGAAAGTGTAAAGAGGAAACCACAAACCCTACCACCGGAGGTTATGAAGCATCCTTCTAGTCATGTCTCTATGCAGAGAGGGGTGTGCACAGTGTGTCTTGGCACTCGCCTAATTTAGCTCTCGAAGCCTCACAGAGGTGAGCAAGGTGGAGCATCAAGGCCGGGGCGTGGTGGGGGTAACAATGGGATGCTGGTCCTTTATGAGATAGAGTTCATATTTATAATGTGTTGCCTGTATTCATAATGTGTGTCCCAGTCAGGGGTGGTGAAAAGCCCTGTGTGTGCAGGGAGAGAAGGAGCTATAAGAAAGCATGCCAGGCCAGGTGTGGTGACGTACGCCTGTAGTCTCAGCACTTTGGGAGGCTGAGGTGGGCGGATCACTTGAGGTCAAGAGTTTGAGAACAGCCTGGCCAACATGATGAAATCCTGTCTCTACTAAAAATAATTAGTTGGGCATGGTGGTGCACACCTGTAGTCCCAGCTACTCAGGAGCCTGAGGCAGAAGAATAGCTTGAATCCAGGAGGCAAAGGTTGCAGTGAGCTGAGATCAGGCTACTGCACCCCAGCCTGAGTGACAGAGTAAGACTCTGTCTCAAAAAAAAAAAAAAAAAAAAAAAAGAAGGCATGCCAATGCCACCTAGGACAGGGCCCTCCAAGGGTCTCTCATCTATCCTGCACCATTTTCCAGGAAGCCAGTATGACACTGTGGCTTAAGACAGTGAACATGGGGTGCCTGGCTGCCTGGATTCAAAGCCAAGCTCTGCCACTTGCTAGCTGCCTGACCTGGGGCATGTTTCTTGATTTCCTCATGCCTCAATTTCCTCATTTGAAAGTTGGGGGTCAATAATAGAACCTCTGTCATAGGGTTCCCTGAAGTTTAAATGAGTGAATTCAAATAAAGCACTTACCATTTCTGGCACAAGGTGAGTGATTCATAAGTGTTCGTTGTTATTAATGTTATTATTGTTATTCTATGGCCACATTGCTCACGCTATGGAACCAGCAGGACAGCTCCAGAGGATCGGGGGCCAAACGGGTCTGGAGTCGGCTGCTCTGGGCTTCCAGATGGCCCTGCCTCTCCCTCCCTGAAACTCTCTGTCTCTGGATCTTGCTCACCAATAGCACCCACCTTTTATCAAGGTTTGGGGAGGCAGCAATCACATTGGATATCTGGGAACACAGGGTGTAATTTGTAAAGCCCTGGCTTATATAAGCCCCCTGATATTCTTAGCTACTTCTGATCTTCCATCCCCCAGATCAGAAGAGCCAGAGAAACAGTTGTTATTGTGGTGGTTGTTTTTTAAAAACTGGCCTTTCAGGACTTCTGAATTGATCTCCCATTTTATATAGAGGAAACCCTAGGCCCAGGGAAGTGAAGTATTGTCACCCACCGTGAAGTGGCTCTGCTGGGCTTCCAAGTGCAAATTAGGAGCTCCTTTCCAGACCCTGGGCAGTGACCTGGCTCTGTGTCCACGCTGCAGGCTCTGAGAGCTGTGGTGCTGCTGATGTTTTGCTTGAGTCTTTCAGCGTAGCTCCATGCTCAATTAATGCTGTTCTGGAAGAACCACAGAAGCACATCTTTCACCCTCTTGTACACAGGAAGAAACAGAGGCTCAGAGAGGAGGACTGGCTGCTCTGAGTCACACGGTGACCAGGACAGGGAGCTAGAGCCCAAGGTTCCTGGTGTCTGGGCCAGTGCTGTGCCCACTCCTCTCCCCGCCTTTCTATTTAGTGCACTTGCTGAGCCCTCCACGAAGGAACAGAGCCACTGTGGGGAGTGCTGTTGGCACCAAGAAGATGGCGGGAGAAGGTGGAATCCTGGCTCTTGGGGCCAGGCCTGAGGCGTAGGACAGAATGGCATGTGGCTCGGCCCAAGACTATATTTCCATGAGGGGGTTTCTTTATCCATCTTAGATCCATCCTTTCATGAAGGTTGGAGAGGGAGGAGGCCAGGCTTGTTCTATCCTGCAGTTAGGGAAACTGAGGCAGAAAGCTTCAGAGCAACATAATGATTCATTTAGGGCCAAAAGAGGCCATGTCAGTGCCTTCTGCTCTCAGCTCTCCAACTTCCAAAGCTCTGGCCCAGATATCCCCAGCCCTTGAGGGTACCCTCAGACTGAAGGGATCTAGAGGCAGAGGGTAAGGCCCACTCAGCCTCTCACTTGCTGGATGACTTTGGGACAAGTCGTAGCTCTTCTCTTGCCTCAGTTTCCTCATATGTATAATACGTTGATGGTAATTCCTGGCCTCACTCATCCCCTGAGGACAGATACAGTCACAAATGGATGTGACTTTTCTTTGAAAATTATAAAATGGGCTGGGCATGGTGGCTCATACCTATTATCCTAGCATTTTGGTAGGCCCAGGAGGGCAGACTGCTTGAGCCCAGGAGACCAGCCTGGGCAACAGGGCGAAACCCTGTCTCTAGGAAAAAAAAAAAAAAAAATTAGCTGGGCATGGTGGTGCATGCTTGTGGTCCCAGCTACTCAGGAGGCTGAGGTAGGAGGATCACCTGAGCCCAGGAGGTTGAGGCTGCAATGAGCCATGCATTCCAGCCTGGGTGACAGAGCATGGCCCTGTCTCAAAAAAAGGAAAGAAAGAAAATATAAAGTGAAGAGCAAGTGTGTGAAGTAAAGAGAGCTCAGATAGCAGGCACAGCTGTTGGGGGAAGAGGCTACTATGGGAGGTATGCATACTCTGTGTGGACATTGTGTTTTCATTATTACTCCATTTTTCATGTTTTCTTATATAATTAATTTGTCTTTTTATTGTCCCTGAAATTAACTTTAATACAAGGGTAAGGAAATACAGAGAAGCAGAGAGAGAGAGAAAGAAGGAAAGAAAGAAAATCCATAGTCCCAACTCCCAGGACCCCACCTTGGACCCCGCCAGGGGAACCACTGTGAACGTTTTGGTGGAGTTCCTTCCAGGCCTTTTTCCATGCATTTGTATCAAAATAGCAGTATGTATATATGTATTGAATACCATAGAATAATATTTTATTGATTGTTTTGTGAAGTTTTCTTTTTTCCATTGGCAATATTTCAACAACATTTCACTCTGTCAACACATGTTCTTTGATGGTATTCTTTATTCATGGTGGGGAGCGTTCTGTGGAGGGCCTACGGTGGTTTGGTGCACCAGCCACTATAGATCCAAGCTGTTTAAGTGACACAGAAACTGTCTTCAGTTTCTGTGTCAGTTTCTGTCTTCAGTTTCTGCCCCAGGGGATGAGGCTGGGAGTGGAGTGGGGGCTTAGGAGGCCTTTGGGACATGAGGCCCACTGTCTGACAACTTAGGCTGGGGTGGGACTCAAGTGGGGTGGCTTGGAAGAGGGAGAAAGACCAGCTCCCCATGGGCAGGCACAGATCTGTCTGCACCCAAGCCCTCCTCCACTTGTTCTCAGGGCCTCCTGCAGGGCTTGGGATGGCTTTTCTCCTCTGCTGACCTCTGGCCAGGGCCACCCTGGTGTGGGCAAACCAGTGGTGGAGGACATCCAGAGACAATGTGGCCTGGAGTTTGCCTTGTTCCCTGCTCAGCCCTCCAGGCCCTAAGCCCTGAGGAGGGGACTTTGTTCCATGACATTGAGGCCAAAGGCTGCTCTTCTAGACTTGGGGAAGGCCTTGAGGAGCAAGGAAGAGGGAAGGCGGTGGTTCGTCTTGGGCTCAAGGGTCATCTGATCTTACCTGTCATATGACAGGTGGGAACACTGAAGCCCAGACATGGGAGGACTTTTGCCCAAGGTCCCACAGCAAGTGGTAGAAGTGTCAGGCCTGGTGACCCGCCTAGGGCTCCTTCTGTGACACCTCACTGTATGGGAAAGCATTGCCACTGAGGACACTGTCCCTACAGCCAGAATCCTGGTGCTGCTACATACACTCATTGTCAGATGTATGACAATGGCCAAGTTGCTTCACTTCTTGGTGCCTCAGTTTCCCCCTCTCCAAAATGGTTATAAGAATTGTCACATATGTATTTCATAGGGTTGTTGTGGAGCTTAAACAAGTTAATTCTTGTAAAGTGCTTTGAACAGTGCTTAGCACACAGTAGGCACTCCTAAATGTTACTGGTTGGAGTTTTCTCTCCAGCTGTCCAGAAAAAGTGAAGGCCAACTTGTGCCCCTGCCCTTCCCTCACCGAATCTGCAATCCCAAAACTTGCTGAGCTGGCAGAACACACAGAACATGAGGACATCACCTTTCAGATATGCTCAGCTGAGGGACTCAAGTTTGTCCTCTTTGGACTGTGTTTTCCCTGGATGTGCTAACAGGAGCCTGGACTTTCTGGATATTTTTATTTGCTGCATCACGTGGGATAAATTACTTCCCCTCTCTTGGAAACAAGGGTTGGACTTCAGGACGGTTATAGCTCCTTCCAGTGCCAAAGCAGGTTTGGGATGCAGCCTGGAATGGGGGGGACTTGACAGTTGGGGACTTAGCAGGTGTTATGGGCTGAACTGTGTCCCCCAAGAATTCATATGTTGAAGTCCTAACCCCCAGTGCCTCAAGATGTTATGGTATTTGGTGACAGGGCTTTTGAAGTAAAGAGATGAATAAGGTAAAATGAAGCCATCAGGGTGGGCCCTAATCCAAATCTGCCTAGTGTCCTTATCAGAAAAGGAAATCTGCACGAAGACATGTAGAGTTGGCCCTCCCTGTCTGTGGGCTCCTCATCCATGGATTCAACCAACTCTGGATTGAAAATATTTGAAGAAAAAAAAGGATGTTTGTATCTGTACTGAATATGTATGAACTTTTTTTCTCATCATGATTCCTGAAACAATACAGTATAACAATGATTTACATAGCATTTGCATTGTATTAGGTATTATAAATAATCTGGAGATGATTTAAAGTATAGTGGAGGATGTGCATAGTTTATATGCAAATACTGTGCTATTTTATATAAGGGACTTGAGCATCTGTGGATTTCAGTATCCGAGGTGGGGTCCTGGTACCAGTTCTCCATGGATACCGAGGGAGGCCTGTACAGAGGGAGACCTTGTAGAGACACAGGAAGAAGATGGCCATCAGTAAGCTAAGGAGAGGGGTCTCAGAAGAAATCAACCCTGCCTTTTTTATTTTTTTATTTTTATTTTTTTGGAGATGGAGTCTCGCTCTGTCGCCTAGGCTGGGAGTGAAATGGTGCGACCTCGGCTCACTGCAACCTCTGCCTCCCAGGTTCAGGCAATTCTCCTGCCTCAGCCTCCCGAGTAGCTGGGATTACAGGCCCGTGCCACCACTCCCAGCTAATTTTTGTATTTTTAGTAGAGATGGGGTTTCACCATGTTGGCCAGGCTGGTCTTGAACTCCTGACCTCAGGTGATCTGCCTGCCTTGGCCTCCCAAAGTGCTGGGATGACAGGCGTGAGCCACCGCGCCCAGCCATCCCTGCTGACACCTTGATCTCAGGCTTCTAACCTCCAGAACTATGAAAAAAATAACTTGCTGTCGTTTAAGCCACTCAGTCTGTGTGCCTTGTTATGGCAGCCCAAGCAGACGGATACAGTGGGGTATAGGTTGTTCATCTGGTTCCATAAGGACGGCTTTGGATTCACCAGGTTGCCAGGATCTGTTGAGGGCAAGGATGTGTGTTCCTGGTGCTTCTGAGAGTCCTTCAGCATTGGGTCTGTGGCCCCTGGGGTCTCTGGGATGACAGAAACCAGGGCTGAGCATGTAGAGAATGGTGGATCATTCTAGCCCCACTGTGTGCCAGCCCTGCGCGTTCTTTGTCTCCCTTAGTCCTCCCAACACTTCAGGGAAGATATTCTTAACGACATTTTTCGGAGGGGGAAACAGTGGCTTAGAGAGCCACCTGCCCAAGGATTCCAGCTGTTTTCTGCCTGACCCCAGACACATGCTCTTTCCTGCATACCCCGTGCCCCTCCAAAAAGGCCTCCCACATTGTCCTGGCTGGCCTGTGCCCCTGTCACTGTGTGGCGGTGTAGACCCTGGCACCCTGTACCCCAGAGGCAAGGGAGAGCCAGGAAGGGCCCAGGCTCCAAAGCAGGAATGTACCCCCCCGCCGACCCCCCACCCCCAGCTTTCCTCAGCTCTTTTTCTGTTGTTTCTTTGGTCAGCCGGGCCCTGTTATCTTCCTCTGAGCCTGACGCCTTGTTCTTCCTGTTTAAAATTCAGACTCTGGACTTTTCCTTTGGGGGCGGTTATATGTTTGTTTTGTGTTTTGGATTCTCCTCCAGCCCCTGTCTCTGGCCCTTTAGGTCACCCAGGCTTAGCACTAAACCCGTTTTGAATACCCCAGTGACTGAGTAGGGGGTCCTCTCTGCCCAATTCCCTGGCAGGGGAAGAGGGAGGATTCTGCCGCTCTTTCTCTGGCTGTCACATCCAGGCTCCACCAGCCCTGTTCCGCTGCCCCCTGTTCACCCCACGGCTCCCCTTCCAGTCCCATCCCACGCTGAGGGGCTCCAGGCTCCCTGCAGCACTCTGTTTTGAGCCCAGCACACCCCAGGAAGGAGATTCAGCCATAGAAGAAGAAAAAAGCTCAACTGTGAGTCACCCCGATGGGCTGCATTTTTGATAGTGGAGACAAGACCTTAAAATAGCTGGCATTGCTGCCTAAGGGGAGAGGGCACGGAACTGGGAGTGAGGAGACCTGGGCTCCCATCTTGGCTGTGCACTCTGTGCTGTGTGAGCTTGGGCATGTCATGTCCCTCTCTGGACCTCAGTTTTGCCACAGAAGGGTGGCTGGGAGTTGGGCCAGCCACCCCTGAGGTCCTCCCAACCTGATAAGCTGTGAGTTCAGGTCATCGTGAGATGCTCTTGAGGACTCCGGGTGGGGTAACTGTGGGGAGACCCAGGGGATAGAGCACAAGCACGGGGTGAAGTGTGGAAGTGTGCTCAGCTTTGCAGTGCAGACCCAGCCCCACCTCCTCCAGGCAGCCTTCTCTGGCCTCCTGGGCCATCCTCTGAGCCAGGATTCCACCCTCACCAGGAACACTGGGAAGGCCTTAGGCTTGGAATGAAATGTTGGGAAGATTTTTTTTTTTTTTTTTTTTTTTAAGACAGAGTCTTACTCTGTCGCCCACTCTGGAGTGCAGTGGCGCAATCTCGGCTCACCGCAATCTCCGCCTCCCAGGTTCAAGCAATTCTCCTGCCTCAGCCTCCCAAGTAGCTGGGATTACAGGCACCTGCCACCACACTTGGCTAATTTTTATATTTTTAGTAGAGATGGGATTTTGCTATGTTGACCAGGGTGGTCTCAAACTCCTGAACCTCATGTGATCTGCCTTGGCCTCCCAAAGTGCTGGGATTACAGGCGTGAGCCACCGCACCTGACGTTGATTTTTAACCTCTCTGAGCCTCAGTGTGTTTCTTCGTCAAATGGAAATAATATCTATCTTGCAGGCCTGTTGGGAAGACTGGAGATGGTGTGGGGCCTAGCACAGAATGGTGGGCCTGATGGTCATTATCTCCCAGTAGGAGAATGTATGTGAGGGCTTCTCCCTGGCTGTGAGCTCCTAGAGAGCAGGTGTCTGGTCACACCTATCCTTGGGTGCCCCTAGCCCAGGGACCATTGACTGAAAAGGGAGCTGCCTCAGTGAGATGTGGTGTCAGGCATCCCTTGACCCTCCCTCACATCCACTGCTTACCTTTGTACTCCAGCTCTTGCTAGGGCAGCTAGCTCTGTGCAGGTGTCAACTGATAGCACCTGGCCTTGCAGCCCAGCTTAGTGCTTGCTTCCTGCCCCAGGTGACAAGAACCAGTGGGTGATGTTTTCCTTCCAAATTGCAGGGGACCAATTCTGAGCCACATCCTACCCATTCCTCAGAGGGTCCCCAAAATTATGGGACCCCAGGACCCCACAGCAGTGCTAGCTCGCTAACGCCCCACAGGCTGGCTTTTATTCCTTGCCTGTTTCACTCATCCCAGGTCCTCATTGCTGACTCTGGAGGGCATCTGGGAGAGTCCCGAGACTTTGAGGAAGGTCCCCTGGGATAGTGGTCAGTGCGTGGGCTGCAGCCGGCATGCCTGGAAACCTCAGGCTGAAGCCAGCTGGGTGGGGCAGGAGCCTGGTGATGGGGCACAGCCCTATGCAAGGCCTTTGCCCAGATTCTCTCTGCTCTGCTCAGCGGCGCAGAGGTGGGGGGGCTCATTGTCCCATCTTGTGGGCGGAGCTGCAGATGAAAGTAGCAGAGCTGGATATGGAAGCCCCCCTGCAGATTGCTAGTCCACCCAGGCCTCATTCATCCCGCTGGCTCCCTGAGGAAGGGCCGGAGCCGAGTTCTGCTCCACTCCTTTCTCCTTTCATTTGCAGGTTTTGGAATATCTTTTCTGTTTACTAATTTTGGAAAAAGTCTAGCTGTTTTTTGCCATCTCTCAACTCTTCCCCTTTGAACCCTCAGGGAAGGCCCTGTAGCTCAGGGGCAAAGGTCTGAGGGGCTTCCTGCACCCACCCCAGGGCCCTGTAGCCTCCCCCAGACAGGGAAAGCTGGCTGCCCTAGAGCACCTTGCAAAGGTCCAGCTGTTAGGAGCCTTAGTTTCCACATCTGTAAAGTGGGCCCAATAACATAGCTGACCTTATAGGGCCCTTGTGAAGATTGGTTCAGATAACACAGAAGATGACCCATGGTGAGCTGGCTCTATTTTATTTCTTGTTCTGAGTGGTTTCCTGCCTCCTCAGGCAGCAGAATCAGGTTCTGGCAGACTTGGGTGAGGTATGGGATGGAAGAGCACCTAAAGTTTGGAACCAGAGAACCAGGTCCCAGCCTGGCTTTGCTGCTAACTGGCTGTGGAACTTTGGCCCCCTGCACAGTGCCGAAGACACCACCTGTACGTGGGTACATTGTGAGGAGGCTCCAGTGAGGGGTAGGGCTGGTATGCTGGGGCTTGTCCCTGCTGGCCTGTTCTCAGTCCCCACCCCAGCCAGCCTCGGCACAAGGACAGGCGGGCACAGTGATCCCCACGTAGCTGGCTCCCAGCATCCTGCCGCCAGCTCCCCAGGCTGCCCGTCTGCAAGCCCTGCCCAGCCCTGCCCGGCCCGCCAGAGTGGCTGAGGGCCTGGAGCCGATGGAATCAGCGTGCCCTTCCCTTCTTTGTCTGCTGGTGCTTCCTTCCCTTCACAGCGTGCTTTCTTTTTTCTGGTTTATCAGGTCCTGGGGAAAGCCTGGGCCAGCCAGGCTCCCAGCCGAGCACCCTTGGGAGGCCGCCAGCCGGGAGCAGACATCCCCATCTCAGTCTCCGGGCCGGCAGCTCAGCAGTCCCCTCCCTCCACCTGATCCCAGCAGTTCCAGCCTGGCGGCCAGGGCCCAGGGACCCAGGCCCAATCCTAGCATGGAGGTGGTGGGGGTCCCCAGTGTCCTGAGACCTGAGAACTTCTCTTTCATAGGGTGGAAGCCTGAGGAGTCCTTTGGATACATTGAGACCCACCCCCCTCCTCACTTTAGGAGGGAGGAAACCGAGGTCTACAGACAGGCAGTGCCTGGAGGAGCCGGACCCTGGCTCAGGGCTCCTTCTCAACCAGCTGCAGCTTCCTCTTCTCTTCCGCAACACAGCGGGCAAGTCCAGGGGTCTGTGGTCTGAAAATTCCAGCTATGTATCGTGACCCCATCACTCACTAGCTGGGCAAGTTAACAAACATCTATTCTTCAGTTTACAAATCTATACAATGAAGATAATGATGCCTGCCTCACTGGCTGTTCTGAAGGTTAGAGGAGCCAGTGTAGATGACTGCCCACCCCAGGATGGGCATTCTCAATGGGAGTGATATTGCCCTCAAGGGAGCAAAACTTGGTTCAGGAAGGGGGTTAGAAAAAGTCTTCAATTATGAATATACATAGAGTGCAGAGCAGATATTCAGTATCTCTGTACTGTTAGAATTTTGTAGTGGGGAACGATTAGAAAAAAACTTATAAAGATTCTTTGGGGGGTAGGAGTCCTTATGAACAAAAAGGTGAGAAACATCACTCTAGCGTTAGAGCTCAGTTACTTCATCCCTCTACATACCCCTTTCCTCTCTTCCCTGGCTGCCCCCACCCAGCACAGGCTGTGCAGTAAGGTCAGGAATCAGGTTATGCCCGTCTTCTCAAAAACTCCTGAGAGGGGGTGGTGGGATCACCCACGTTTTGACATCAGAAAAGCTCACTCATTTGTTCATTCATTCATTTGACATTGCCCAAAGTCACAAAGCTACCTTTCAGAATAGTGCGCAAGTTGGGCAGTGATGGCCCTGATCCCAGCTCTCAATGAATAACCAGGACAAACAGCCAGGAAATGTAATACACCTGTACTAGAGGTGCGACCAAAGCCGGGTGGGCAGGCTAGGTGGGATGGCAGGCTCATCAGAGAAAAAGGGACATATGAGGGGGGCTTTGATGGATGGGTAGGAGTTCTCAGAATAAGGCAGAAGGAAGTGCCAGGTTAGGGGCATAACCTGAGCAAAGATACACAGGTATGCCTGAGGCCTGATGTGGGATTGGAGCTCTGGCAAGGAGTGGGTGAACAGGAGACCATCACACCTAGGGAGTGACTTCACTGGGTAGCCTTGTTCATCATTTCTCTTTGGTCCAATTTCTCCCCTGTAATGTCATTTTTTTTTTTTATAGACAAAGTCCAGTGGTGCAATCTCAGCTCACTGCAGCCTCCGGCCTCCGCCTCCCAGGTGCAAGCAATTCTCCTGCCTTAGCCTCCCAAGTCGCTAGGACTACAGATGCGCACCACCATGCCCCGTTAATTTTTGTATTTTTAGTAGAGACAGGGTTTCACCATGTTGGCCAGGCTGGTCTCAAGCTCCTGACCTCAAGTCATCCACCCGCCTCAGCCTCCTAAATTGCTGGAATTACCAGCATGAGCCACTGCCCCGATCAAATGTCCTTTGATATCCAAGTCATGTGTGTTCTTTGTAGGAAGGTTGGGAAGCCTTAAGAAACAAACAGAAGCCCCAGTCTTCCACGTTGGAGGGAGTTTTTGCAGAGGTTTCTGTGCTTTGTGTCTCCTCCTCCTGTCTCTGATGAGCTGGCCCTTGCTTTCCGGGCTGCTCACAACTCTGCTCACAGGAGACAGCTCTGCCCCGACGGTGGGGCAGACGAGGGAGCTCCGAGCTGGGAGGAAGCTGGGTCCTGAAGGGGCTTTTTCTCTGGCCTTAGCTCCTGTGCCTGACCTGGTTCACTTTCAGGAGGTTCTTAGTCACATGTACCCTAACGCTCTCTTGCTGAAGAAGCATATTATTTCTTGCTTTCTGTGCTACCTGCAAGCAGTGGGTAGCAAAGAACTCTGGGTTCCTGCATGTTTATTAGATAACTAACCAATCAAATAAAACAAACACACCAACAATTCCTTGCAGGCCTGTTGGGCAGAGCTAGGCTTTGCTTGGGACACCTGTCTTCAGTTGCCCTTGAATCTGAAGGCTTTAGACAGAGTAAACCTGATGACTTACATTATCTGTGAGGAAACTGTCAGACTTCTCCTTCTGCAAGAGCAATGCCAGCCACACCTGGGCTCTGCCCAGGCCTCAGTCTCCCCATCTGTTACATGAGGGGACTGGACAAGTTGATCTCTTTAGCCTTTTCCAGTGCTCACCCTGTAGTTTCAATGATTACACTGTCATACCTCCTTGCTTTGGCTCCTGCAGTGCCCTCTGCCAGGGATACCCTGCCTCTTGTTTCTGCCTGGCCCACTCCTCCTCACCTTTCAAGACCTGCTTCAAAGGCCACTGCTTCTGGGAAATCTTCCCCAATCTTTTCAACTAGAAGAGTTCATGCCTTATTCTGGAATCTTACCTCATAGTGCTCGTATCTTGGCAGTGCACTGAGAAGTATGTCCTGGCCCACCCAGGAGCAACCTGAAATCAGGGGCTGTTTTGCTCAACACTGAATCCCAGCACTAGCACAATGCCTGACATTTAGAGGGTGCTCTGTGAATTTGTGGAATGAATGAGTAAATTAATGAGGGAGTCAATGGCTGGATGACCCTAAAGGTCAGTGGCTTGGGAGGCCTCCCCCACTAACCATGTCTCAGCATCTTGGTAAAACTGGCCGGTAGTTGGTATTTGATGCGGCTCAGCTGGGAGGGCTGGGTGAAGTGCATGTACCCATTTATTTGGTTTGGCTGGTCTGTTGCCTTGTACAATACAGCCTTAGTCTGGGGAAGCTCATGGGAGCCATGGGGAAGTGGGACAGGGAGGGCCCACAATGGTCTGAAGATTCTGGCTGCCTGGGTCACCAGCCATCTGGGCCAGCCTCCTGGCCGTCTGACTCATCTCCGGCGGCCAGGGCACAGAGATGACCCAGCCAGTGCCAGAGGTCACCAGGCCTGGCCAGCAGACAGAAATGACTCCTGAGAGCCACTGCTCCAGCCCTGGACCTAGAATACAGACAGGGAAACTGAGGCCTGGAGAAAGAAAGCCCCTGCCCCAGGACTCATCATCGATGTGTGGAATCATAAAAGCTGAGTGGGGTGGGAACTCAAAGGTTACTCTGGTCTAATTCTATATTTATCTTTTTTTTTTTTTTTTTGAGACGGAGTCTCACTCTGCCCCCAGGCTGGAGTGCAGTGGCATGATCTCGGCTCACTGAAACCTCCGCCTCTCGGGTTCAAGTGATTCTCCTGCCTCAGCCTCCCCAGTAGCTGGGACTACAGGTGCGCACTGCCACACCCGGCTAAGTTTTGTATTTTTAGTAGAAATGGGGTTTCACTATGTTGGCCAGGCTGGTCTCAAACTCCTGCCCTCAAGTGATCTGCCTGCCTTGGCCTCCCAAAATGCTAGGATTACAGGCATGAGCCACCACGCCTGGCCTCTACATTTATCTTGAAAAATGGGGGTGCCACACACCAAGTGAGTGTCACCATGACTGCCTTTTGTCTTGTGGTTGTTGCATGTCAGACATGAGGCTAAGCACTCCACTCTAGATTAGTGTTCATTTTATAAATGAGGAAACTGTTTCAGAGAAGTTAAGCAACGTGTTAAAGATCACACAGCTGCTAAGTGGTATAACTAGGACTGAACTCTGTGCTAGGCTGACGTTTGTGCTTATACTTCTGACTGCTTGGCAATACTGCCTCTTTGTTGCCAGATGTGGACTTGTGGATAAATTATATTCTTTGATTTTTTATCAAAATTTCTGCATTTTCTAATTTTTCTTCAATAACTATGGAATACTTGTAAAATAAAATCAGCTACAGCCTTGGCAATATGGCGAGACCCCATCTCTACAAAAAATACAAAAATTAGCTGGGCGTGGTAGTACTTGCCTATGGTCCCAGCTACTTGGGAGGCTGAGGCAGGAGGATTGCTTGAGCCTGGGAAATCGAGGTTGCAGTGAGCCATGATCATGCCACTGCACTCCAGAGTGAGACCTGGTCTCAAAAAAAAAAAAAAAATCAGCTAAATGAAAATAGCAGTTGTGTATGAGTTTGTATGCATGTGTTTTAGCGATTTTTTCCAGTAGTGATACATTTATGCAGCCCTAAGTATCTCTAGGCATCTCTTTATACCCTCTCCCAAACCAGCTGTCTTCAAAACCAACCCCCTTCAAAAATTATCAAAGAGAGACCCCTCAGCCTTCCCCACAACTTAACTGACTGCAAGGTCACCAGTACCTTTTGCAAACACAGACCCAGCATGGTCAGAATGTTTCTGCGCCCAGGTGCTGAGGCAGCAGGGAAAACATTGGCCTGGGAACCTGTGATCTGCGGTCTGGCCTGTTGCCTGCTCTGGAGCTCTGAGAAAGTCACTGCCCCTCTCTGGGCCTCAGTTTCCCCATCTGTCAATGAGTTAGACCAGGAGAGCTCTGAGGACCCCTCCTGACCTCGTGGTCCTGTTTGCAGAGTGTTCTGTAAACCTCAAGGTAAGATAAAGGCACCTCAGGTTATCTCACATCTCTATGGCAGTAGGAATTTCAAATAACTTTCCCCCCACCAAGTAACTGGCAGGCCAGCCACTCTGGGGAACAGCCCTGTAGGCAATCCTGCCAATGTGTGTTTGTGAACAGAGTTCATCGAGGTCTTGCTTTGTGTAAATAGTGTGGAAACACAGATACCCTCCCACGCTATAGCCCTGGCTGCCCACCAGGTGATTGGGTTTGGATGCTGTATCTTGGGGGTTGACCTTTAAGGAGGCAGGCAAGAAGTCACTGTTCAGCATGTGCATCTCTTCTTGGAGGATCTGTAGTTTATCAGGACTCTGGGGAGGACAATGCTTATGAGAAAGGAGTGGAGGTCTGAGGGGGTACTTCCAGGATAAAGGATGGGCAAAGAGTAGTGTTTTCCTGAGGCCTCCCAAAGCACTTCCATGTGGACCAGTCTGGTTGGCATGAAGAATCTGGGCCAATGGGGATGTCCTCATCTATAAGCAAGCTCCCCCTGTGATCATCCTGCTGTTCCAGCCTGGCACTGTGCTACTCTCTGTTTGTCCCTGATGTCCTGTTTCTGTGGCTATGACTCCCTGGAAACAGGTCTGTTAGGCCAGACGTTTTCCTCCACAGTGGCCCTGACCATATAGAAAGGGCACAATCTTGGCTCTCCCATCCACCACCAACACCAAGTTGGAGAAAGACAGGGAGCAAGTGGAGCCAGGAGTCTGGGGAGGCTTCCTGGAGGAGGTGGTCTCTGACTAGACAAAAGAAACAGGAGACCAGGACTTGGTTCTGAGGATGATGGGGAACCAGAGAACCAGGCCAGAGAGGAGGACGGAAGACAGATTTGTGTTTCAGAAAAGCAGTGTCTGTGGGGAGGGGGAGGAACTCACGAACTTGAGATATGAAGGCAGACTGGTGGGATCGGGTGTGGGTGAGAGAGGCAGTGGGAGGGGTCAGGGATGCTCCTAAGTTTCTGCCTGGGGGAAGGGGCAGGGGAATCTCAACATGTCCTTTTAGGGCAGGTTGCTTTCAAGGAGGCCAGGGAGAGCCAGGCGGAGTGTCCAGTGTGCAGCTAGATGAAGGCATTTGATGTTTTTGAGTCAGTTGTGTCCAGGTGGTAGTTGAATCTGTGAGCAAGGGTGAATCTTGAGACAGTGGGAAGAGGGAGCCTGAAGCTGGGGTGTCCCAGTGTTAGAGGCAGGGTGATCAGAGGGGGAGGGGGACCTGGCGATCACGAGCCCTAGGACACACAGACAAAGGCAGTTCAGAGAGGGAGCATCCCGCAGGGCCCAACTGCACACAAGGTTGTGTGGATTTGGCCACAGGGAGGCCACTGATGGGCCTGTCGAGGGCAGGTCAGTGGAGGGTGAAGCAGAGGCCAGATGGACCCACTGAGCCCGAGGCCCTGGCATCTCTCTCGGGGGGCCCTGCCACAGCCTCCCAGTTGGTGTCCCTGCTTCTGTCCTCACCCTCCAGTCCATTCACCACACAATGGCCAGAGGACTCTGAAAAACACACCCGGGTCATGGCACTCCCCGCCTCCGACCCTCTCTCTACCTCCTCGCCACCACCCCTGACGTGGACCACTGAGGCCCATGCCTTCTGGCTTCTGCCCTCTCCTTTCACGTCTTGGGCCCCTGCTCTGAACAAGGGGCCTGTTTTTCGCTCTCAGATCTGTGGGGGTCTCCTCTGGCTTCAGCACCTCCACCCAGAAGACCCTCACGGCCCACACTCTCACCCTTCACCTGGGTCAACCCGCCCTCAGATCTGAGCAATCAGTGTCTCCCAAGGGAAGCCTCCCCGAACACCCGCTCCCTGCGCCCACATAGTTCAGGTTCTCTAGTTTTATACGTGCTGTGCCACATACAAAACACTCCTCACAGGCCTACCTAAGTTTTTAATCACGTGCCTTATCTGCCTTTCTCATTCGAACGTGAACTATTGAGAGGGACCGGGGCCAGTTCTGCTGTGTCCTCCATAAACTGCAACCAGGCATGGCACCTGGCATGGAGTGGGTGCCCAGTACATGGGAATGAATTAGTGCTAATGAATGAGGACAAGGATACAAAGGGATTAAAGAGAGTATATAGGACAAATGTTGTCACTGAGACACTTGCATGAGAAGCTGGAAAAGGACAGTGTGATTCTTGGAGGGGGCAGGGGGTTTAACCACCTGGTGCCAGCCTCCGTCAGGCTTCCTGTCTATATTAAAAAGGTAACGATCATAATCGTTGGGCACACAGTGTGTGGTCAGTAGATGCTGGTAAACAGCCTCGCACCTGCTTCCGAGGTCTTACAGCGCAGTTCAGGCTGGGCTGAGGGTGCGGTCTCATCCACCATCCTGTCAGGACGGTGAATCTCCCCGACCCCCAGCAGGACCAGCTCAGGGCTGGGCTCTCCCACAGTCCAGGAGAGCCCACGGTGCTGCGGGGTCGTAGGACCTTGGCGTCAGGCCACTCCATTCCCAAGTTCCCAGGGACCCCTGCCCTCCCCAAACTGGAGCACCAGGCGCGGGACAAAGGAGGGGGCGCCCGGCATCCCTGGCCTGTCTGAGTAGGTCGACTACTGCCCCCAGCCTCTCTCTGGGGCGGGGCAGGGCCCTACCAGGGTGAACCCGGGGAGGGCATCCCGGCTCTGAGTGGGGCGCATCAGGGTCGCCCCCACCCCCTCCCGCGGCCCGCCCCTCCCGCGCCGCCGGATGTTTGAGTTTGGTTTTTGTGATCGAGCGGAGCTGGGAGGGGCCGCCCGGGAGCCGCCGCCTTATCGGGCTGTCCCCGCGCTGTCTCCCGCTGCCCCGGCCTCCCAGGCTGGCGGCCTCTCCCCCCACCCGGCTCCCGGCCCGGCTCCGCGCTGGCGGGCCGGTCCCTCTGGGCTCCTGGAGGGCAAAGCTGGGGGTGGTGGGGTCCTGCAGAGCGGGGCCGAGCCCGCCCGCAGCGCCTGGGGCCTGGGGAGTGGGTGGTAGGGTAGGACTGGTGTCACGAAGACGCCCCGAGGGCAGGAGGCCCTAACCACTCCCTTGGCAGTGGATGTGGGGAGTGGGAGGAACTGGAGGGCTTTTTTTTTTTTTTTTTTTTTTTGGAGATTGCCCCATCCCTTTTTTGTTTTGTTTTGTTTTTTTGTTTTTTTGAGAGACTGGTCTTACTATGTTGCTGAGGCTGTTTTCAAACTCCTGAGCTCAAGCGATCCTCCTGTCTGCCTTCCAAAGTGTTGGGATTACAGGTGGGAACCACCGCGACTGGCCCCCATCCCCATTTTATGGAAGAATACCCAGAGCTCAAAAAAGGACACCAACCGGCTAAAGCCACCCCCAGGCGCCATCAAGATCCTCCCCAGCCCCGGCCTGGAACGGCTTTCCTCTCCCGGGGCCCGTTGCCCGTGGCAAAGAGGCGAGGTCTGCTGAGCCCCGGAACATGCTAACCTCCAGTGAGGCCTGTGGGGGCCCAGGCCCCAACACAGTGAAAAATGATTGGGTTCCTCTCTCTGCTCCCAGCCACACTGGCCTCCTTTCGCTCTGGCTGGTCCCTCAGCCTAGAATGCTCTCTTCATCTCGGCTTACAGAAATCCTGTCTCTCCAGGGCACCACCCGAGACTACCTTCATTCAGCCCCTAGAGGATGGAGGACTAGAACCTCACCTATGAAAAAGAGCAAATACCACCAGAGGACAATCGAGTGAGGGTTCTGAAGCTTGGGGTTCCCTTCGTGAAGTGGGGAGCTGAGATGGCAGAAGACACCTCTCCGCCTCCTGAAGCAGCCCAGGAGGTTTCAGGTGAAGACACCTGAGATGGGAGGAGGTGGTGTAACCTGACATCCAGGATCTAAGGGTGTGGTCAGCCCTGCAGGGCCCATACCCAAAGGTGAATCTGAGCCCAGATTTCATGCAGCCACTCAGCAGTCCCCACAGTGGTATCCAGTGGCTGTGTGTCAGAGGGTGGGGCTGCTGAGCAGGGAGGGTAAGATTGGAGCAGGCATTGTGGAGTCCTGGGGGAGGAGGGAAGTCAGGGACCATCCAGGAGGGAAACTTTCAGCTGCTCTGGAGTGGTTAAAAAGAAGAAGGTAGGAACAGGAAGGTAGATTCTGGCACAGGCAAAGGTCTGGGGGCCCACGAGAGGAATTTGGGGGCAGGGCTTTAGAAAGATGGAGGGATGGCTGGTGTCGGTGGAGATGTCAGGGTAAGCTGGGGCCCACTGGGGAGACTCTTTGTCGTTGTTGTTGTTGTTGTTGTTGTTGAGACGGAGTCTCACTCTGTCGCCCCGGCTGGAGTGCAGGGGTGCGATCTCGGCTCACTGCAACCTCTGCTGCCTGGGCCCAAGCGATTCTCCTGCCTCAGCCTCCTGAGTAGCTGGGATTACAGGTGTGTGCCACCACGCCCAGATAATCTTTGTGGGTTTTAGTAGAGACGGGGTTTCACCATCTTGGCCAGGCTGGTTTTGAACTCGTGACCTCGTGATCCACCCGCCTCTGCCTCCCCAAGTGCCGGGATTATAGGCATGAGCCACCGTGCCTGGCCGGGGAGACTCTTAACCCCAAGGCAACGACAGAGGAACCTGTCTCACATTACTCAACTGACTCCCACATTCATGAAATGGTAAATCATAGGTGTTATGCCCATTTTATAGTCAAGCAAACTATGGCCCAGGGAAATGACTTGGCCAAGACTATGTCAGTAACTAGGAGAATTGGAATTTGAGCCCAGATCATCCTGTCACAAGGGCCCAGGCTGCTGCCTCCCTGCTACCGCCTCTGGGGAGTGGCCTGGGGAGAGGCCTTTGGGTTAATTTACTCCAACCTCCTCCACTCTGTTTTTGTGGATGAGGACACAGAGGGCCTGAGAGGAGCCAGGCTTAGCCCCACTGTCCTTCTTCCTAATGTGACACCATCTGACATCCTCCCAGGGTTCCCAGGCCAGGAGCTGGTTAATAACACAGATTTCCCTCCCCTCCGTGCAGCCTCCTGCTCTCCCATTTAGTGGGTCCTGGGTGGGGCCTGGGAATCTGTATTTTTGGCAAGCTTCTTGGTGGTTCTGTGTCAGCTGCTTGCCCTCAGGCATTTGGGGCCCATAAACTTTTCCCTCCAGCCTCTCACTGAGCCCCATCTCCGCTGGCTTCCTCCCTTCCCCCTCAGCTTACTCCCCAAGGGCACACATTCCCCCCATTCCCCTCCACTTCTGTGCACCCCAGGCCCTTCCTCTTCAGGCTCCCCCTCTCTCAGAAAAGTGAAAACACATGGTTTCCTAGGCAACCACATCCCTCCTCCTAGCTTGCCCTGAGACCTCCCAGCGTCTCTCCCCCGTTCAGAGGAATATTTCAAATACCAGCCTTGCCAGCCTCACTGTCAGCTGGGGCTGACAAAGGCTGAGTCCCCGCAAACTCTTCTCTCTGCAGGACAATAGCCCTGTTCCCCTCCAACCTAGAGTCCTGGGATCTCAGGAACAAGTTCCAGGCCATCACCTTAGTTACCCCTGAGGCCCACTCCGCTCACTGTCTCTCAGCAGAGAGGCCTGGTGCTATTTGGCCTTAGAGATTTGTTTGGATGGGGATACTAGAGCCCAGAGAGGGAAGGGACTCACCCAGGTCACACAGCAAAACTGTGGCGTGACCAAGGGACTCCAGGAAACAGAAGGGAGGATCGGTTGAGCACCTACTGCCTGCCAGGCACCGTGCTGAATGTTCTGGAAACAGAACTTGTTATCCCTCCCCATAACCCTGTTAGGTCAGTTTTTATTCTCATTTTATTGTTGAGAAAACCAAGGCTCAGAGAGGTGAAGTGCCTTGCCCTGGGCCACCCAACAAGTGAATGGCAGAGCCAAGTTTTAGAAAGTTGGGTTTGTCTCTCCACCAAGGCCACAGTCTTTCCAGTGGCCCCTGCTGTTCCCAAGGCTGGGCAGGGGTTGGGGGAATTACGGGGCTCTGCGGATTCCTTCCTGCCTATTATTTTTACATTTCCTCATTAGGAGATTTTGGCTGAAGTTCTTTGGGGGCCGGGCTCCAGATGAGTTCCTCTCTCCCGCGGCCTCTCCCCATCTCTCAGCCCCAGATTCCCTGGCCAGTATTTCCCATCCCAAGACATCTTGAACCAGATGGGTAAGGTTAGAGAGCTGCCTCTTTTTTTTTTTTTTTTTTTTTTTGGAGACTGAGTTTGGCTCTTGTCGCCCAGGCTGGAGTGCAATGGCGTGATCTCAGCTCGCTGTAACCTCTGCCTCCCAGGTTCAAGCAATTCTCCTGCCTCAGCCTCCCGAGTAGCTGGGATTACAGACACCCACCACCACACTCAGCTAATTTTTGTATTTTTAATAGAGACAGGGTTTCACTACGTTGCCCAGGATGGTCTTGAACTCCTGACCTCAAAGTGCTGGGATTATAGGCGTGAGCCACCACGCCCGGCCGAGAGCTGCCATTTTTGCAAGTCACGACTTCTCTCTGGGCCTCAGTTTCCCCACTGGTAATATAAGGAAGGTTGGAATAGAAGACTTTGAAGACCCATCCTAGCTCAGACATTCTTGAATTTTCACATCAAGTGTATGTGTGTGAATGTGTGTGATTGCGTGTGAAATTATAGAGGATTAGGGGTGTGTATGTGTGATTACTGAGCAACTGTAATTAGAAGTGTGTGACTGTATGTGGGGAATGGTGTGTAAGTGGGTGTAATTGTATGTGTTAGGGTGTGTGTGTGTGTGTGCATTATATGTGGATGACAGACTAGGTGTGGATGGTTGGGAATGTAGGTGTGATTGTGTGACTATATATGTGTATGGGAAGGGTGACTGAATGTCTATATGTGTGTATTGGGGGTGAGCATGAGTGTATGTACATGTGTGGGTGATTGTGGTATGTGGATCTGTGTGCAATTCGGACTGTCTAGGAGTATGTTATTGTGTATAATTGTGTGCACATGTGAGTGTGTGTGTGTGACTGCATGGGTGATTTGGAGTGACTGTGTCCGTGTGTGTTGTGTGTGTTGGAGGGCAATGAAGCTTCATCTCAGCCTGGACCTGATTCAGGACCTGGATGGGGACCGAACCCTCTTCCTTGACCTACTGATGGGTATGTCTGGGCTGGGGCAGAGCAGGGGACCCTGTGGGTACCCAGGATGCCAGCAGGCCAGCGGAGTGTGTTCCCCCTGGTAATTAGCTCCAGACATGGCAGCATGGCCTCTCCCTGACAGGGAGCCTGGAAGATGCTGGAAACGTGTTCAGGCCCCAGCCAGGTCTCTTTGGGGGAAAAAAAATTAAAGGAGGAGAAAAAAAAGAAACCCAAAAGACAAATCTTTATTGAAACATTTTGTGACACTCACACCAAGTAATTGATTTCCTTATTAGTAGCAGATTTTTCTCCCCGCCTCTTCTCTTGCCTGAACTTATAAAAGCAAAAGAGGTGGAAAACCAGTCTAGTACAGACCCTGGACTGAGTCCTGTCCCTCTGCCCTTCCTAGAGTAGGTCAGCAAGGGTGCAACATTTGCTTTTTCAGGTCTAACTATAGATAGAAGGGCAACGATCACCTGGGGGACCAGGTTTCAAAAGCCTGGGGAAAGCCCTCTGTCCATCCCTCAATTTCCTCTTCTTCACCTCCAGCTGCTATGAAATCTGACCATTAGTGAGTCATTCCATTTTCTTTCTTTTCTCTCTCTCTCTTCCTTCCTTCCTTCCTTTTCTCCCCTCCCCTCCCCTCCCCTCCCCTCCCCTTCCCTTCCCTCCCCTTCCCTTTCCTTTCTTCCCCACCCCGCTCTCTCTCTTTCTTTTTTCAGACAGGGTCTCACTCTGTTGCCCAGGCTGAAGTGCAGTAGCATGATCATGGCTCACTGCAGCTTCAAACTCCCTGGCTCAGGCGATCCTCCCACCTCAGCCCCTGGAGAAGCTGGGACTACAGGTGTGCACCATCATGCCTGGCTAATTTATATATATATATATGTATTTATATATATATTTTGAGACAGAGTCTTGCTCTGTCACCCAGGCTGGAGTGCAGTGGCGCGATCTCAGCTCACTGCAAGCTCTGCCTCCCAGGTGCAGGCCATTCTCCAGTCTCAGTCTCCCAAGTAGCTGGGACTACAGGTGCCCACCACCGCACCCAGCTAATTTTTTGTATTTTTTAGTAGAGACGAGGTTTCACCGTGTCAGCCAGGATGGTCTCGATCTCCTGACCTCGTGATCTGCCCACCTCTGCCTCCCAAAGTGCTGGGATTACAGGCGTGAGCCACCGCGCCCGGCCAATTTTTGTATTTTTTGTGGAGATGGGATTTCGCCATGTTGGCCAGGCTGTTCTTGAACTCCTGGGCCCAAGTAATCTGCCTGCCTCGGCCTCCCAAAGTGTTGGGATTACAGGCGTGAGCCACCACGCCCAGCCATTCCATTTACTTTGGGCTTTCCTTCACATCAGAATGCACGTGTGGGCAGCTCCCTAAGCACCCACCCCTTAGTCGTTTACACAGAGCTCATGCAGTGGACTCTGGGAGCCTCCTTTCCGCCTGTAAAATGGAGGGTTCCGTTGTCAATGTCACAGGGTGGCTGTGGAGACTAATTGAGATCATCTGTGTGACTCCCGAAGCCCGCTGTAAATGTAGCTGTTCCCATTATGTGACAGTGACCTTCTCACGTGTGGCACAGCCACCAATGGCACAGTTGAAGGCCTGGGAGTTCTCAAGGGGACTAGGCCTTGCACTGAGCAGAGCAAGCAGGGCATGCTTCAGGAGAGGTGGTTAAGGTCCCTCTTGGGAGACCATTCCCCTCCAACTAGAAAGCGAAAGCTACCTCTCAGTCTGGGCCTGTGGCAGGTTGTGGCTCACTCTAAGAGTTCGTGGAACAGGAGGGGAAGACACTTTACCCAAACATTCCAACAGATGCGTTAGGTGTGTTGTTATCCCCATTTGTCAGAGGAGGAAACTGAGGCACGAGGGGGTATACAAGTATACCAAAGAGCACCCAGCTATGAAAGGGGAGGCAGGGATTTGAACCTATATGCCATTTATTTAGGTAAAAGCAAGGGCAGCCCCTTCTGTGGAGATGCACAAACCTACGTGTGTGAATATCTGATCCAGTGCTCCCTCCTCCAGTGCCGTGGCTGCCTGGCTCCTTCCCCAGGCCCCAGCCCTCCCCACATCCAGAAATCATAAAGGCACAACAGGGGCATCCAGGACCCTGCTATGATGGTGGATGAAGGCCTAGACCAGGAGCCCAAGGCCGGGCTGGTGTCCCTTGCTGTGATCTTGTGACTGCCTTCTCACATGGGGTGGGGGACAGCGGCTGGGAGCCGGAGTCCAGGCTGGGGAGGCAGGCCTGCCGTTTGACACGTCCCCGTCCATTCCATGCGGACTTCCTGGGAATGACCAGAGGCCTCTATGCAGTTCCTGTTCCCAGCGGCTCACAGTCGCCAGGCCCAGGGAGACAAAACGTCCCTGAATGCGGTGGGGCAGGGAACAATATGGGGCGGGCGGAGGAGGGCCACAGGAAGTGTGTTAGGGACAGCCGGAGAGCTGGCGTGGGGCTGGGGGTGACTCAGGGACTTGTGACTTGATAAGGTACGATGACTCTGAAGGAAAACAGCCGGAGTCCAGGGAGGGCGCCGAAATGGTGGACAGGACGGGGTTTCTGGCGCCTGTGCGGACCTGAGTTCTTGAGTCCCCATAGGTCTCCCTGCAGCAAAGAACCTTAAACAATATCCAACCAACCACGTTACAGTCCCTGGCTCTCTCAGGTAGGGATGATGATCCTGACCTCACTAAAGAGGGGACTGAGGGTCAGAGAAGTGAGATGACATTCACCATTCCAAGATCACACAGGAATGTGCAATGGTGCCAGGATACACAGCAGGCCAGTCTCATTCCAGGGCATGTGTACCCAGCTAGGCTTCCTGGCACTCAACCCTGACCCTTGTGGTCCCCCAAAACTAGACACTCCTGTATTTGAGCCCAAAGCCTCTTACTGGGTCTTCACATCCTTGCTTGCAAAGCCAGAGCCCCCATCATACCCCACCAAAGACCCCCAACGAACAGGACCATTTTGCCATTAGAATTTAGAGTTTAAGAAAATGTTTGAAACTGGGGAAAAGAACACCTCTTAGCTCCCAAATATAACAAGAAAACTGCAAGTTAAATTAATCATCACAGTTAAATCACATTCACGATGGGATCTGTGGGTTTAATATGCCTGATATGGAGTGGGGATCTCAAAACTAAGAGCGCCAGGGTGGAGGAGAGACTCCCAACAGCCCTGGCCAGGCCTGGCCCTGCAGCCTGAGCGTTAACACCAGCAGTAGTGTGCTAGGACTGGGAGGCTCCACCAGCTATTATCCAATCAAGTCACTTCTCAGAGCCTCAGTTTCTTTATTAGTCAAATGGGACCATAGTTAGCTAATACTGGGTTAATGGGAGGGTTAAATACAATAATGTGTGCAGGGAGCCAGGCCCCATAGTCAGAGCTCAGCTATTGTTCTTGCCTCCTCAGGCGGCCCTGCCCAATTTCAGGAAGTCCTTTTTGGCTGGAAGCTTCTCAGGATGAAAGAATGTTGGAGAGAGAAGGCCGTTAGAAAGAAAGCAGAGCCCACCTCTCACATGGGAGGGTGACTTCTGAAACTCAGGAGGCCCCAGGCCTTCAGCTCTGTCCCCGCCACCATTCTCTGCCTACACTTTGCCTTTCCAGCTTCACTTTTCCAGCCTCAGGCTTTGATTGAGTGCACGGCCTTCCCACCACCCCCACCTCCGCACCCCGACCCCACCAGAGTGCTGGCAGCAGAGTCCAGGTCAGGTCTATCTCTGTATTTCTTTTTTTCATTAAAAACAAAAACAAAAACAAAAACCAGCTCTGTTGAGGTGTGGTTGGCATACAGTAAACTCCACATACTTAAAGTGCGCAATGTGATAAGTTCTGACACATGTTTACACTCATGAAACCATCGTTATAATCAAGAAAATGATCATGCCCATTGCTGCCAAAAGTCTCCTTGTGCCACTTTATAATCCTTGCCTCCCTTTCTGCAAACTCATCCCCACTCCAACCCAGTCTCCAGGTGACCACTGATCTGCGTTACATTACTATACATTCGCTGGTTTTTTAAAAATTATTTTTTTGAGACAGGGTCTTCTGTGTCCAGGCTGGAGTGCAGTGGAACAATCATGGCTCACTGCAGCTTTCACCTCCTAGGCTCAAGCAGTCCTCCCACATCAGCCTCCCAAGTAGCTGAAGCTGCTGGTGATTTTGTGTGTGTGTGTGTGTGTGTGTGTGTGTGTGTGTGTGTGTGTGTGTGTGTGTAGACAGTGTTTCACCATGTTGCCCAGCCTGGTCCCAAACTCCTGGGATCAAGTGATCTACCTGCCTCGGCCTCTCAAAATGTTGGGATTACAGGCATGAGCCATTGCACCTGGCCTGTGTATGAGTCTTTATATGAACATAAGCAGCTTTCATTTCTCCTGGGTAAATACCTAGGAACTGATGGCTGGATCATAGAGTTGATATGCTTTAACTTTCCAAAGAAACTGCTAAGCTGTTTGACAATTTTGTTGTACCATTTTCATTCCAACCAGCAGTGTGATAGAATCCCAGTTGCTCCATAGCCTCACCAGCACTTAGTATGATCAGTTCTTTTGGTTTTAGGCATTCTAATAGGTATGTAGTGATATCTCATTGTGGTTTTAATTTACATTTCCCTAATGATTAATGATATTGAGCATCTTTGTATTTGCTTACCTCGTACTTCTTTGGTGAAGTGTCTGTTCAAATTTTTTGCCTTTAAAAATAACCGGGGCCAGGCACGGTGGCTCACACCTGTAATCCCAGCACTTTGGGAGGCCGAGGCGGGTGGATCACCTAAGGTCAGGAGTTCAAGGCCAGCCTGGCCAACTTGGTGAAACCCTGTTGCTACTAAAAATACAAAAATCAGCCGGGTGCGGTGGCAGGTGCTTGTAATCTCAGCTACTTGGGAGGCTGAGGCAGGAGAATTGCTTGAATGGAGGCAGAGGTTGCAGTGAGCCGATACTGTGCCACTGCACTCTAGCCTGTGTGACAGAGCGAGACTCTGTCTCAAAAAAAAAATTATTTTTTAATTTTTATCTTATTTTTATTTTTTGTACAGGTGGGGTCTCCCTATGTTGCCCAGGCTGAACTCCAACTCCTGGGCTCAAGCAATGCTCCCATCTCAGTCTCCCAAAGTGCTGAGATTACAGGTATGAGCCACTGTGCCCGGCCTTATTTGTTTTATTATTATTGTGTTTTAAGAGTTCTTTATATGTTCTGGGTATAAGTTATCAAATATCTGATTTGCCAGCATTTTCTCCTAGTCTGTGGCTTGTCTTTTTATTTTCTTAACTATGTCTTTCAAAGAGCAGAAGTTCCACATTGCTAAAATCCAACTTATCATTTGTTGTCTTGTATTGACTGTGCTTGTGTTGTGTATCTGAGAAATCTTTGCCTAATCTGAAGTTACAAAGATTTTCTCTTATTTTTTCTTCTAAATTTTATGGTATTAGGTTTTACATTTGGGTGTATTATCTATTTTGAGTTAAATTTTATATATGGTGCAAGGTACTTCAGGTGGTGTTTTGTTTTTTTTTTTGCATATGGATATCCAATTATTCAGTACCCCACCACCCCCATTTTTTTGTGGGACAGGGTTTTGCTCTACTGCCCAGGCTGGAGTGCGGTGGTGCTATCATAGCTCATTGCAGCTTCCAACTCCTGGGCTCAAGTGTTCCTTCCACCTCTGCCTTCTGAATAGCTGGGACTACAGGTGCACACTACCGTACCTGGATAATTTTCTCCTTCTTCTCCTTCTTCTTCATTTTTTTCATTAAGAGGGAGTCTGACTATGTTGCCCAGGCTGGTCTCAAACTTGGGTTCAAGTGATCCTCTTGCCTTGGCCTCCCAAAGTCCTGGAATTACAGGTGTGAACCACCATGCCTGGCCAGCACTATTTATTGAAAAGACTATCCTTTCCCCATTGAATTATCTTGGAAACTTTGTTAAAAATCAATTGGCCATTTATGTGTAGATCAATTTCTGGACTCTGTGCTCTGCTTCATTGGTCTACTTGTCTATCTTGAGGGCAATGCCGCACTGTTTTGATTATTATAGCTTTATAATAAGTCAGACTTGTTTTGGCTATTTTAGACTATGCATTTCCATATGGATTATATAATTAGCTTGTCAATTTCAAGAAAAAAATGCCTGCTGAGATTTTGATTGGGATTGCATTGAATCTATGTGTCAATTTGAAAATAATTGGCATTTTAGTAATATTGAGTCTTCTGATACATGAAGACGGTATATCTCTCCATTTATTTATTTATGATTATATATGCTTTAATTTTCTATTCACAGAGTTTTTTAGATTTCACTATATAGGCCTTGCACACCTTTTGTCAGATTTATCTGTTTTTAACATTTTAAATGCTATTGTAAATAGTACTGTTTTTGTTATACATTTAGATTTCTGATTATTGACAGTTTCGGGTAACAGGAACTGGATTTACCCTGTCACCTGAAACAACTGAAAAAACAGACAAGGGCTGGGTGTGGTGGCTCACACCTGTAATCCCAGAACTTTGGGAGGCCAAGGCGGGCGGATCATGAGGTCAGGAGTTCGAGACTAGCCTGACCACCATGGTGAAACACCATCTCTACTAAAAATACAAAAATTAGCCAGGTGTGGTGGTGGGTGCCTGTAATCCCAGCTACTCAGGAGGCTGAGGCAGGAGAATTGCTTGAACCTGAGAGGCGGAGGTTGCAGTGAGCTGAGATTGCACCACTGCACTCCAGCCTGGGCAATAGAGTGAGACTCTGCCTCAAAAAAAAAAAAAAAAAAAACACCTGACAAAATAAAAGAAACAAGGATTCTAAAAACACTGTATGTCAGGCAATGGAGGATATGATACCTGAATGATAGAAAAAAGATGAGATGAGCTACCATTACCCCAGCTTACTGCCGGGAGAGCATTTGCAGGCCACAGCAAAGGGACGGTGAACCCAGGCAGAGCCCAGCGGTTGCTTTGAGTTGAGGAGATGGAACTGAAAGTCCAAGGAAGTCAAGGTAGCTAGGATTCACAGAGAAGGGTCCTGGAGAGAAGAGACGGAGAGCACTATATAGGAAGGGAAAGTCACAGTCTCTTCTAGTATTCAGCTGAGTAATGACCAGCAAATGCATGTGAGAAAACTACTTGAGGCCAGGAAAGAACTCTAAAAGATTAGAAGGAGCAGTGCTTGGAGCTCTCATAAGACTCAGAATAGTGCCTGTTCCCAACAGCCAGAATGTAAAATAGCATAACTCATGGGACATCAGTTACAGCCCCACAAAAGGTCTCATCTCAGTAGTAGGGAAACAACCCTAGACTAAATGCTACTCTTGTCCTGCCTAATAAAGCTTAAAATCAAGACCTAAAAGGATCAAACTCTTTCCAAGTGACTTAACCACATCTCATAATTAATCTTAAAATAATTTTAGGCCGGGTGTGGTGGCTCATGTCTGTAATCCCAGCACTTTGGGAGGCCGAGGCAGGTGGATCACGTGGTCAGGAGTTTGAGAGCAGCCTGGCCAACATGGTGAAACCTCGTCTCTGCTAAAAATACAAAAATTAGCTGAGCGTGGTGGCATGCACCTGTAATCCCAGCTACTTGGGAGGCTGAGGCAAGAGACTGGCTTGAACCCAGGAGGCAGAGGTTGCAGTGAGCTGAGATCGTGCCACTATACTCCAGCCTGGGTGACAAGCAAGACTCCGTCTCAAAAAATAAAATAAAATAAAAATTTAGAAAATAAAATAATTTCACTTAACAAGGTAATATCCATAATGCCTGGAATCTAATCAAAATTATCAGGCATTCAAAGGAGAAGGAAAATAAGGCACACAATGAAAAGAGGGTCATTAATACATAATAAATAAAAGGCATTAAAACAGCTTTTATAACTGGATCCCATAAATTCAGGAAGCTAAAGGAACGACTGAACATGTTAAAGTGGAGATATAGAAAACATTAAAAAATTCAAAGGAAACTTCTAGAGATGAAAACTACAATATCTGAGATTAAAAATATACTGAATAAATGACGGATAACCTATGCTTGAGGAAAAGTTACAGTGAGGAAGCTGGGTCATTTATCTGACGTCCAGGACCCTGCCCAGCTGGGTGGTGCAAATACCTCACTGTGAGAAGCAGGGTGGCAGGAGAATGAGTGTATAATTCAGAGCATGTGTATGTAGGCTACATGTGAGACATTGGGCAAGCAACCCCACCCATCCAAAACTCACTTTCCTGCATTTTAAAGTGGGGGTGAGAACCTCTCCATGACCTTGCGCTCAGGATGAGTGGGATGTTGGTAATGGGTGAAAATGCTCTGAGGGGTCACTTTCTTCTTGCCAAATGGTCAACTGCAAGTCCTTGGCCGGCCCCATGTGCTGTCCTCCTGGAGGGCTGAGAGGGACTTCTCTGACGGAGGCATGTTCCTCCTATCTGCCCCAACACTGGAGACTTTGAGGAAACTGAGGCCCAGGCTGTCCCACTGTGCAAGTTTGAGGCTGTTCCAGTGATTTCACAGACATTTAGGGATGCGGAGGTTTAAGTAACACTTGTGGGGTGGTCAGAATAATGCCCCTGCAACTGGTCCACATCCTAATCCCTGGAACCTATGGAACCATTCAGTTACATGGAAATAGAGAATTAAGGTTGTGGATGGAATTAAGGTTGCTAATCAGTAGACCTTAGATTGGAAAGATTATTCTGAATTATCTGGGTGGACCCAATGTAATCACACAGATCCTGAAAAATGGAAGAGGGGGGCAGAAGAAGAGTCAGAGAAAGGGATAGGATAAGGGAAGCAGAGTCTGGGTGAATGCCACGTGAGAGGGCTTGGTTCCCTATCACTGACTTTGAAGATGGAGGAAGGGCCCACGAGCCAAGGAAAGCAGGCAGTCTCTAGCAGCTGGAAAAGACAAGGAAATGGATTCTCCCCTACAGCGCCCAGAAGATATAGAAGCTTACTGACACCTTGGTGTTAGAGAATCATGTCAGACTTCTTCTTTTTTTTTTTTTTTTTTTTTTTTTTTTTTTTTTTTTTTGAGACAGTCTCGCTCTGTTGCCCAGTCTGGAGTACAGGTATGATCTTGGCTTACTGCAAGCTCCGCCTCCCAGGTTCAAGCAATTCTTCTGCCTCAGTCTCCCAAGCAGCTGGGATTATAGGTATGTACCACCACACCTGGCTAGTTTTTGTATTTTTAGTAGAGATGGGGTTTCACCATGTTGACCAGGCTGGCCTTGAACTCCTGACCTCAGATGATCCACCTGCCTTGGCCTCCCAAAGTGTTGGGATTACAGGCGTAAACCACAGCCCCCAGCCAGACTTCTGACCTATAGAACTGTAAGATGATACTTGCGTTATTTTAAGCCACTAAGTTTGGGGCAATTTGGTAGGGCAGCGATAGCAAACTAACATATTCCAGAAGTTACCGCCCTGCCAGCTCTCTCCCTGTGCTGGAAGCCCCAGAAGATTTGGGGATTTCATGGGCTTGGGTTCCATAGGCTTTCATCCAGTTGTCAGGCTTCAGGTCCACTGATGCTCCATCTGGGCATGCTGGCTGTGAGGCCCTGCAGGACTGTGTGTGATCAGAAAGAGTTGCTGGCCAGCCCATCAGGAGGCCAGACTTGTTCCAGGCCTCAATTCCACCCATGGGCCCATTTGGGAGCAGACCTGCCAGTGGCTGCATGGAGGAAAGAACACTGGCTTTGGAGTCTCAAGGGCCTGAATCTAAGTTTTGGATTTGCCCTCTACCACGTGTGTGACCAAGGGTGAGTTACGTAACTTCTCTGTGCCTCAGTGTCCTTGGCTGCAAAATGGGGATAATGGTACTCACCTCACAAAGTTGTTAGAAAGAGTAAATGAGTTCATACATGTAAAATGTTCAGAACAGGGCCTGAGACTTTTTTTTTTTTTTTTTTTTTTTGAGACGGAGTCTTGGTCTGTTGCTCAGGCTGGAGTGCAATGGCGTGATCTCGGCTCACTGCAACCTCTGCCTCCTGGGTTCAGGCGATTCTCCCGCCTCAGCCTCCCGAGTAGCTGGGACTATAGGCGTGCACCACTATGCCTGGCTAATTTTTTTTTGTATTTTTGGTAAAGAGGGGTTTCACCAGGTTGGTCAGGCTGGTGAGACTTAGTGAATGCCTAAAAAGTGTACATTGTAACTGGTATTATCTGTATTAAGATGACCACATCATAGTTGCTGTCTTTAGGTGGTGAACCATCTAGCCGGGAGTCATAGTTGTGTGGGGAAATAAGTGCAGAGGCGGGACGGGGAGCATACCGTGGGAGACAAGGATCATTCCTCTTGAAGTTGGGGATTCAGGAAAGGCTATAGATCCAGTGAGGCTTAAGCTGAGCCTTGGGAGGTGAGCACATCTCTGCTGGACAGGTTGCGGGGTGGTGTTGGGGGTGGTGTAGGAGCACTCCTGGCAGAGAATGCATCTTGGACTAAGCTCAGGGCAGGTGAGAAATCGCCTGGTCTGCTGGCAGCACGGTATTGCTGGAAGTTGCGGTGTGTAGGGGGGATGCAGAGGCTTGCAGGAGAAAAGTGAGAAGAAGGGCTGGAGCCGGCTCATCACGCGGCTAGTAGGCCCACTGAGGAGTGTGGACTTTATCATGGCAGTAGTGGGACCCTCTGAAAGTCCCCTCTGAATATGGAGTGGGCGGTGGGTTGGAGAGAATGTGCAGGCTGGAGGCAAGCGTGTCCGTGAGAAGGCCAAGGCTGTGCCCTGGGATTGGAGGATGGGCCCTGGGTCTGGGGATTGGGGATGGGGAATGGGACAGACTCAAGGCTACTTAGGAAGCAGTCTCAGTCGGCCTTGGTGGCTCCCTGAATGTGGGAGAGGAGGGGCAGGGAGGGCTCTGAGTGGCTCCTGGTAGCCAGTGGCCGGCTGATTGCCTGGCCTTCCTCTTGCCGTAGCAATGGAGGCCATATTTGGTTCTGTCAAAACCTCTCTAAGCTGAAATCATCTGATCTTCTTCCCAGCTTCCAGCCCCACACCCTCCCCACCACGTCTGGCTATGAAGCCAGCCTCCCCATCTCACGCCCACATTCCTATTCCTTTAGTCAGTCGCTCAACAAACCTTCACCGAGTCCCTACTATGTGCCAGGTGCTGTGCTGGAACCTAAGGGATACAGCTATGAACAAGACAGTCCTGCCTTTATGGAGCTCACAATCTGAAGAACAATCCGGATAACAGTGACCAACAAAGACGTGCAAAATGTCAGAGGGCCACAAACTGCAGAGGGTAAGGGGTGGTGGGAGGCAGGCGGGAGAGCATTGCATACATTTTACATGACATGGTCATCTTAATACAGACCCAGTCACAACTTACACTTTTTAGGCATTCATTAAGTCTCAGGCACTGTTCTAAGCATTTTACACGTGTGATCTCATTTTGCACTGCCACTGGAATGAGGGAAAAGTGGAATTCCAGAGTTTCATATCCCAGCTCTGCCACTACCATGAGGTCTTGTGCAAATTGCTTCTCTCTGTGCCTCCGTTTGCTCATCTGCACAGTAGGCATAGTGATTGTTTCTACCTGCAGGGTTGTGAAATGCGTGAGTGTATGTGAAGCGCTGAGACAGTGCCTGGCACATTAGTAAGTGCTGGACGTGTTTGCTCCTTCTAGGTCTACATTTTTAGCAGAGGGAATAGCAAGGGCAAAGGCCCTGAGGTGGGAAACACGTTCCAGGAATGGGAAGAAGGTTAGGACGACACAAGGGGAGTGTGGCGAGGGCCGAAGTTAGGGAGGCAGGGCCTGGGCAGGTTGTGGCTTCCCCTCCCCTGAGTCCTTTTCCTGACTCAGGTGTGTCTGCCCCTCCTCTGCCCCGCCCCCCTCTGCCCCACCCCTCCTCTACCCCGCCCCTCTCTGCCCCGCCCCTCCTCTATCCCACCCCTCCTCTACCCCGCCCTTCCTCTGCCCCGCCCCTCTCCTCTGCTCTGCTCCTCCCACAGCTTCCCGCTACCTGCCCCAGCCACTCCCGCCTCCTGGCTTGGTTTTCCAGGATGTCCACTGTGCAGCTGCTCCTCCTCTGTTCTCCAGCCTGAGGTGCCCGCCTCCCACCGCACCGCCTGCTGTGATCAGCCGGAGCCTTCCATCTTCCCCCAGAATTGCTTGGCGTCTGCTCATCCAGACCCTTCCTTTCACAAGGGAGCCTGGAGCCCAGAGAGGGTTGTGACTAAACCAGGGCCACACAGCGGTTCAGAGGCCAAGACTGGAGCCCGGATTTTCAGGACTCTGTGCACCATGGCTTCTAGTTTCCTAGGTCAGACACTTCCACCGATGTTGCTGTATCACAAATGTAACTTGAGTTGAGGAAGGCGGGAAGAGGCAGGGAACGAGGAAGGCACAATCCACCAACTAGAAATCACTTCTGTGAGCACATTGGTGTCCGAGCCTTTTTAATGCTAAGCACACTGTTCCTCAGAGAGAAACGGTGTGTGAGGCTGGGACACAGAGCGAGTAGGTGCTGTCCATTCGCCTTTGCTGTGTCCCTCCATTCCTACCCTGGGAGAGCCGGGGATCCCCATCCACTAAAGGCATGTCATGCAGGCCCCAGGGTCACACAAGGGAGTGATGGCACAGCCTGCCTCCGCGGCCCCAGGAGGAGTGAGACTGAGAAAGGGGAGGCAGAGAACTCAGGAGAAACATGATGAACTTCTAGGAAATCTGTATCTGGCCAAGCATGGTGGCTTACGCCTGTAATCCCAGCACTTTGGGAGGCCAAAGCAGGTGGATCACCTGAGGTCAGGGGTTCGAGACCAGCTTAGCCAACATGGTGAGACCCCCGTCTTTATAAAAATACAAAAAAATTTAGCCGGACATGATGGTGGGTGCCTGTAATTCCAGCTATTTGGGAGGCTGACGTGGGAGAATCGCTTGAATCCAGGAGGCGGAGGTTGCAGTGAGCCAGGATCACGCCACTGTACTCCAGCCTGGGCGACAGAGCAAGACTCCGTCTCAAAAAAAAAAAAAAAAAAGAAAAAAGAAAAAATCTGTATTCGTTTGCCAGGGCTGCCATAACAAAACCACAGACTGGGGGCTTAACCAGAGGTAATTTCCTCACAGTGCTGGAGGCTGGAAGTCCAAGATCAAGGCACCAGCAGGGGTGGTTTCCTCCGATGCGTTTCTCCCTGGCTCACAGATGGCCACTCTCTTGCTGCCTCTTCACAGGGTCACCCCTTTGTGGGTGCACAGCCCTGGTGTTTTCTGTGAATTCAAATTTCCCCTTCTTATGAGGGACACTAGCCAGATTGGCTAATGGCCTCACTTTAACTCATTTGAACCCCTTAAAAGCTCTACCTCCAAATATAGTCACACTCTGAGGTACTGGGGGTTGGGGCTTCAACGTATGAATTTTGGGAGGGTATAATTCAGCCCATAATGAAATCAAACACCAATCTATCAATGCTTATCCCTGGGCAGGAGTGCAAAGACTCAGGACTCCTAGCAGGGAGGCACCCTCAAGGGTAGAAACATTCTGGGAATATTTCCTGGAAGAGAGAAACTTGAAGCTTTGGTCAAAAGGGGATTAGAAGGAAGGACATTCCAGGCCAAGGGAACAGCATTAACAAGCGTCTAGAAACACATGCAGGGTGTGCTTTGGGGAACACAATGATGTAGTTGTCTAGAGGAGTCACTGGGGCTAATTCTTCTGGGGGTGGAGTAGAATGGGCGTTAAGTTGTGAAAGGCCTTGGATGTCAGGACAACTTGGGCTTGATTCCATGGCACTAGGGAGCCATTGATGGTATTTGAGCACAAGAAATATAAGAGTCTTGCTTTAGGCCAGAATTACGGAAATGACATGTTAGAGCAGTGGTTCTCCAGCTTGAGCATGCGTTGGAATCCTGGGGGTGGCTGGCTAAATCAGACGGCAGGACCTTATTTCCAGAGTTCCTGACTCAGTGGGTCTGAGGTAAGGCTGAGAGTTTTCATTTCTAACAAGTTCTCAGGGGCTGCTGTTGCTGCTGCTCTGTGTAATGTGAAAATCACCGGAAGTTTTGCTGGAAGGCAGGAGCAGGGGTGGGAGGTGAGAGGTATGGTTCCTCTCTGAGGCCTCTGAGGCACTAGCAGTGGAAAGGCCCCTCACTCCCATATTTTAGACAGCGAACTGAAGCTCGGAAGGCGACGTCCACAGTTGGGGTCGCTTCCAGGCCTTGAGCCTAGATTCTTGGGTCTAGGTTGCCATGGCACCAGGAGCCTGGAAAAGAAAGGCTCCTCAGGCACCCGCTCTGGGGTCCATCCGGCCCATGCTCTTGCAAGGGCACTGCGGTTTTTGCTTGGGAAACGGGTAGCAAACAGCTAAGACTCCCAGAACGTGGGAAGGAAAACGAGGCCCAGCAGAAGAGCAGGAGGGCGGCGCTTTCCGGTCGGGCCCCGGATTTAACTGTCTTCACCTACAGAGGCCCCACCCCACCCCCCCAACCCAGCCCCAACCCTGACCCAACCCTGCCCCAAGCCCGCCCCATCTCAGACTCAGCCCAATATAGCCACGCCCCCTGCGCCAGCCCCGCCTTCCCGGTTAAGAGTGCAGTGCCTGAATCCCAGCTCTCCATCCTACTGACTGGGTGACCTTGGGCCAGATACTCAACTTCTCTGTACTTCATTCTCTTCATCAGTAATTTGGGAACCGCCTATCTCATAGGGTTGTCATGAGGATTAAAAGAGTGTATATTTGTAAAGTCCTAGGAATACTGCCTATTAAGCACTGTTACTAAGTGCATAAGCTTCATCATTAGTGGTAATTGTTATCTTTGCCCTGTTGGAGCTTTGATTCACTTAGTAACAGTGCTATTAATTTTATTATTAAATTTTTAAATTTATTTTATTAATTTTTAAATTATGATCTATTTCAGACATTAAAAAAGAACATAAAAAATATAAAAACTGTGTCCCCATCACCCAGTTCAAGAACGAAAGCATATAAATGTTTTCTCGACCTGGCGCAGTGGCTCACGTCTATAATCCCAGCACTTTGGGAGGCCTAGGCAGGCGAATCACTTGAAGTCAGGAGTTCGAGACCAGCCTGGCCAACATAGTGAAACCCCACTTCTACTAAAAATACAAAAAATAGCCCGGCATGATGGTGTGTGCCTGTAATCCCAGCTACTCGGGTGTCTGAGGCAGGAGAATTGCTTGAACCCAAGAGGTGGAGGATGTAGTGAGCTGAGATGGTACCACTGCACTCCAGCTTAGGCGACAGAATGAATGAATGAATGAATAAATAAATAAATAAATGCTTTATCTCTACTCAACTTTAGTCAGAATCTTCTGCCTCCAACCCATCCCCTGCACTGCTCACCAGCTGTGAGAGATCCAGAGAAAATATAAGTAGAATCCTGCCACAACCCTGCTTGAAAATCCCCACCTATAAGATAAAGTCAGACATATCCCTTGACATCCAGGCCCTTCACACCTGACCTGTGCTGAACCTTCTGTTTGGTCTCTGCCACCCAAGACTAAAGTCCCCCTTAACATTTCTTAAGCATCCCCAGCTCTTTGCATATGTTGACCCCTCTGCCTGGGGTCTTGTATATCCTTTCTTCTCTCTCTTTTACTCACTTGAGGGGAGCACCCATTCTTTGGTCCCCCAAGGCTCCCTAGCCTGCCCACGGGGAATTTATTGTGTTTGCGTGCCCCTCCCCTAGACCGTAAGCACCTGGCAGCAGGCCCATGGCAACTCTTGATCTGCTCCTGGGGCAGGGAAGGCACTCATTACACCACACAGTTGTAGCTGAGTGTGTTTGGGGTACTGTTCTGGGATGTGGAGGGGGTGGTCATCTGCCAATTAATGCCCCATTCTTTTCATGGGGAACTTGCAGTCTGTCAGCTGTAAAAGTGCCGAGGAAGAAAATAAGAGTAGGCTGGGTGTGGTGGCTCACACCTGTAATCCCAGCACTTTGGGAGGCAGAGGCAGGTGGATCATGAGGTCAGGAGTTCGAGACTAGCCTGACCAACATGGTGAAACCCCGTCTCTACTAAAAATACAAAAATTAGCCAGGTGTGGTGGTGGGTGCCTGTAATCCCAGCTACTCGGGAGGCTGAGGCAGGAGAATTGCTTGAACCTGGGAGGCGGGGGTTGCAGTGAGCCGAGATCATGCCACTGCACTCCAGCCTGGGCGACAGAGCAGACTCTGTGTCAAAAAAAAAAAAAAAGAAAAAAAAGAAAAAAGAAAATAGAAGTAATTCAATAGGGTCCTCATTTTAAAGAAACTCCAGAAAGTGTGATTTCCTCTAAAGTGCCCGGTTTCCCCCTCTGAAACCACTTCCTGCTTCTTCCCCCTTCTTCCTTGGTCCCTATCTCCTCCCTCTGAGGACAGTGGGTTCCTCATGATCAGTGGATCTTCCCCAGGGACTTCTACATGGGACATGCAGCAGCCATGTCCTGGATCCAAAAGGCTTGTGGTTTTGGAGAAACCAAATGGATGCCAAGCCTGGCCCCAGACAGCCTGGGTACTAGGAGCAAAGAGGATGTGCTTCCAGACCAGAGGCTCCTGGCCTGTTTTCATTCTGTCAAATGTATTTGCAAAGCAGAATCTCTTTGAAGAGAGAAGAGAGCCTAGGTCTTCATTTAGGTAAAGGAGAAATAAATTGGTGAGTGCACTCAGACCCTCTGGTGGGAGCCGGGTGCTGGGGTGGAGTGGGGAGGGACACTTGCCTCTAAGGACATTTTGAAATTTGTTCTGTGTTCACATCTGACCTATTTTTAAAAAATGAACACAAATTGGAGCATAATCAGAAAAGCCAATTTCCAGTTTTGCACATACCAATGACCAGCCTGTTCACCTTGGTCTCTCAGAGACTCACTTTAATCACCACCCAGTTCTTAGGCTCCAAGAGTAGACACAAGAGGGACCTCTGTAAACTAGATGGAGCTGGGCACACTTAATTATTATTTACTCTTCATTCAGTCCCTCTCAGGAGACAATAGCTGAGGCCTTCACTATTGGCCACAGTGTGAGGGTCTCTTTGTGCGAGTCTGGGTGTGTATGTCTGGACATGAGTGTGTGAGTCCAGGATGTGTGTGTGTCTCTGTGTGTGTCTAGACATGTTTGGGTGGGGTGTGTGTTGGCTATGAAGTTGACCATTACAGGGTCTCTGCCCCAAGGAGCTCCTGGTGAAGCAGGATAGGAGGCCAAGTGAAAAACTTCCTTCAACCCTCTTGAACTCTGACAAGTGCCAAATAAAGGGCTGACAAATGTGAATGCACAGAGAAGGGAACACACCAACTCAAACAGGGGCCTTTGCACCGGCTCTTCCCTCTGCTTGAAATGCTCTTCCCCCAGGACCCTCAATGCCTACTCTTGCCTCCTCTAACTCTTTGAGCAAATGGCACCTTCTCACAAGGCCTACTTGGTCACCTCATTTAAATAGCAACTTTCAGGCTGGGTGCTGTGGCTCATGCTGTAATCCCAGCACTTTGGGAGGACGAGGCAGGAGAATCACTTGAGCCCAGGAGTTTGAGACCAGCCTGGGCAACATGGTGAAGCCCCATCTCTACAAAAAATATAAAAAGCAGCTGGGCATGGTGGTGCGTGCCTGTGGTCCCAGCTACTTGGGAGGCTGAGGTGGGAGGATCACTGGAGCCCAAGGAGGTCAAGGCTGCAGTGAGCAGTGATCGTGCCACTCTACTCCAGCCTGGGCAACAGAGTGAGACCCTGTCTCTAAATGAATAAATAAATAGCAACTTCATCCTGCACTCCCTGAGCCCACTCCTGCTTTATTTATATATTTATAGCCAATTATAGTCAATGCATTTCTTTTCCTTTTTTTTTTTTTTTTTTTTTTTTTTTTTGACAGTGTCTTGCTCTGTTGTTCAGGCTGGACTGCAGTGGCATGATCATGGCTCACTGTAGTCTTGACCTCCCAGGCTCAAGTGATCCTTCCACCTCAGCCTTCCTAGTAACTGGGACCACAGGCACATGCCACCATGCCCAGCTAAATTTTTAATTTTTTTTGTAGTGAAGAGGTCTCGCTGTGTTGCCCAGGCTGGTCTCAAACTCCTGAACTCAAGCAATTAGGATTACAAATGTGAGCCACTATACCCCACTGCATTTATTTTCAAAGAGAGCAAAGTTACCTATACTCAACTAACTTAAAATGCTATATGTTTTACTCACTTATTTTGTTTTATTATCTGTTTTCCTCATTTCCTACATTAGAATGAAAACTCCATGAGGGATGCTACAATGTTTGCTTTGTTCACAGCTGTGTCTCTAGTGCCTGCAACAGTACCTGGCACATAGTAGGCATGCAGGAGGTATTTGTGGCTATGGTGATAATAGGGTGGGTGTTTGGGGTAGATGGTAGCAAGGCCACAGACATACCTCTCTATTCTGGAGGGGTGGCTGGAGGTCTGAGGTGGCAGCCGTGGACTGAAGGGGCACCTGTGATGTGGGTCTGCTGTGGAATCTGATGCAGATGAAGTGGTGGAGGCAGAAAGAGTCCAACAGGCACAGGGAAGAAGATGTGGCCTGAGAAAACCTGAGACATTTTGGAGGCCATTCTGCATGCCCCAAATTCTAACTCAGTGCCCATCTCCTCCCTCTGCCAGAGCCTATTGATACCAGGGAGGGAATAGTCAGGGGACACATTTGGAGGTTGGGGGAGGTGCTGGTGGACCCATTTGTGAGAACCGAAGGCCACTTGAGGGTGTCTTGGCTAGGGGAAAGTACCTGGCTGGGTAGAGGGCATTTAGAAGGGAGGAGGCAAAGGAAAGCCTGCAGTGGTGGCTGGATTGTAGGGTTGGTGAGAACAGACATGTTTCTCTGAGCGTTGGAGAATGTGAGCAAGGCCCAGGACCAGAGAGTGCTCACTGGACCAGGGGCCACAGAAGAGGCCTGGCTGGAAAGGGCTTCAAAGGCCAGGCCAGGGAGTCAGGATAGAATCCCAGGGGCCCCCAGGAGCCCCTGACGATCTGGAGCCAAGCGTAGGAGGTGGCAATGAAAGGAAGTTGTATTCAGGAAGAACTGCCACTCAGGGGTCTTTCCCAATGCCAGCTGCCCAAAGAGGAGGAGGAGACATGCTCTCTAAGCCTTCTTATAGACAGAGAAGGGGGATAGAGAGGCTCTTTCCCTTTGGCAGTTCATTCATTCGCTCTGTCACTCATTCGCTTTATTAAGCACGTAATGTGTGCTGGATTCTATTCTGGAATCGGGGGATGCCACCAGAAATTAGCCCTGAATTTTGACCCCATGCAAGGCAGAGGGTGCCCCAGAAGAGGTGTGCCAGCTCTGAGGAGGCTGTGGTTGTGCCCAGCTGGAAGACCAGAGAGGGCTTCCTGGAAGGGGAAGCATCTGAGCTGGGCCCTCCATGATGGTCAGCGTTTGAAAGTCAGTTGTTCAGGAGGAGAGGATGGTTATACTCCAGAGCTCTTCACCAGGAGGTTTTACCATATATCGCTTCATTTAATTCACCTAGCAAACTCGGAGATGGCGAAGGCAGAGGAAGTGACTTATTTTACAACATGAGGAAATAAGGATCTTGGGACCAAGCCCAGACAGGGTAACTGTTCAGCCCCAGGTCACCAGACTGAGCAGCCGAGTTGGGACTAGAACCCAGAGCTGTTGGACTCCCGGCCAAGTGCTCATCCTGTGGGTTCACAGAAGTCACTGGTTGTTTTCCAAGGTGCTGTGGAGAAGCTGTCAGCAGATTTCTAACACGAAGGATCTTGTCTGTCCCCTCCCTGACTCCAGAGAGGGCCCAAGACAGGGACCAGTGACTTACTCCAGGCTCCTCACTGGTTGGTCAACAGTAGACAGTACCCAGAATAGGAGAAAAAAAAAAAAAAAAAAAAGGAAAGAAAGAAAGCATCAGACTTTGAGTTTGAGGACTTGGGGCTGATCCCAGCTGGTCCCATGTCCTGGCTGTACAGCCTTGGGCAAAGCACTTCATCTCTCTGGGCCCTTCAGTTTCCTGCTCTGTCAAATAGGGACAATGCTCACTCCAGTACTCCCCACCTCCAGGGAGTTGAGAAACTGAAGCCGTAATGGACATGACCCACATAAACATTAGCTACTATTATTTATAAGAAACTGGGGGTTGGCCATACCACTAGGATGATGACGAGGACACTAGGACACTGCTCCTACTGCAAGCTAACTTAAACTGAGCCCTGGCCAGGCCCAGTGGGAAGTGCTTTACATACATTAATTTATCCAGTAAAACGAGGACTTGAAAACATTGGCAGTAAAAGCATCATCAATATGTAAAGATAATGATGATGATAAAGGTATCTTGCAAAGCAATGTAATTAACAGATTCACAAGTTTTTAGGAGCAATTGGGGGCCATGAAGACTGTGTCCCCTGGCCCCTTGACACAACTCTGGGCCTTTGCTTCCTTCATCCTCGGGGTACAGGCAGCCAGCCCCTCACTCTCAGCCCCCTAGCCCCTGGAGGTTGTTCAGGCCTCAAGCCAGGCCAGCCTGAAGATTCCTATTCCCAGGCAGCTGGGCTGTGGCCCCAGGAGGGCGGCCAACAAGGGGCCTAGTGGCTTATCGCTCTGCAGCGACTCCCCAGCAGGCAGACTGGCTCCGCTGCTGCAGAGCAAAGCTGATAAAGAGGACAGAGCCTGGTGTTTACTGGAGCCGAGTCTGGGGAGAGTTGGGCCTCCCAGGGGCGGCCCTGTCTCCTCTGGGAACAGACTGTCTGTTTGCGGAGATACCATCACATTCCTGCAGCCTTGGCCACCCCAGGATGGATTGGGGGAGGGAGTGGCGGAGATTGGTGGGGAGGAGGCGATATGACAGCTGCGGTCCTCTGTTTCCCTGGGGCCAATGCTGAGGAGGCCTGAACTGGGTCCTCCAGGGGGATTCAGGTTTCCCAGCCTGATTACCAAGTACTTTAGATCATTAATAGCCAACATGGGTGCAGTACTCTACAAAGTATTTTCTCAACATTTACCTTTGTGGGTCTTCCAGATAGCCTTCCATTCACATAGTCTGGGGTAATGTTTCCCAGAAGGGAAATGCCCAGCAAGACTGGGGCAGGGGACCTGAGTGACCCACAGCTGACCAGGCCAACTCATATTCATAGCTAACACTTTTGAGTACTTACCATGTGGCATGACTGCAGAGGCACTTAAGGTATATTAACTCATTTAATCTTTGCAACAGCCCTTATGAGGTAGGTGCTATCATTACATTCATTTTCCAGACGAGGAAATTGAGTCAGACATAGGCTAAGTAGCTTGCCTAAAGTCACACAAACAGAAAATGGGAGTGCTGGGATTTGAACCCCAGCAGCATGGCTCCAGAATCCCCACTGTAACCAATGTGCTACACAACCATCTTGAAGCAAGCTTGTGATGTATTTCTATTCTGTGTGCAAAGGCTGTGGGCATTTGCAGCTGCAGGAGGTGGCCTAGCTGGCTTTGGAATTAGACCTGTGTGCTACTCCCAGCACTGACACTAATGAATGCTGCTGTGGCAGAATCAGAACTCTGTGAGTCTCAGTTTTCTCACCTGGAAAGTGAAAACAGCACCTGCCTTAGCAGAGAGTGTGAGATGTTGTATGTGAAAGATCTGGTACATAAGAGATTTTCATTAAAGAAGTACTATGACTACTTTGACAGAGGCACTGGGGAGGTGGCCTGTCAAAAATGGAAGCTTCAGAAGAGTATCTCTTAAAAGAGAGGCCCAGTTACTCAGTTATGGGAGCACAGAGGAGGGGTGACTTCTAATAGAAGGGATCAGGGTGTCCTCAAAGCAGGCAGCATGAGCAAGTGGTTGGGACTCTGGCCTTCAGAGTTGGGCAGACTCGAGTTCAAATTCCTATATCCAGCCCTTACTCACTGTGTGACCTTGGGGAGTTACTTCTTTGAATACATAAAATGAGAACGCTAAAAAAAACCCTCTCCATAGGGTTGTGAGGAATGGATGAGATCATTCAAAGGTCAAAGAGACCTTCTGGGAAGAAGCTCTGGGCACAATGGCAGGCACCTAGTAAGTGCTCAATAAATGCTTCTGCCATTATTGTTTACAGGGGGGTAAGGGGGTGGGAGTGAGGTAGGGTGGTGGGCAGAGTAACGGCCCCCTAGAGATGTCATGCCCTAATCCCTGGAACCTGTGGATGTGTTAGGTTACATGGCAAAGGGGAATTAAGGTTGCAGGCGGAATTAAGGTTGCTAATGAGCTGACTTTGAGATGGGGGAAATTGTCTTGGGTTATCTGATGGGACCCTGCCTAATTGCAAGAGTCCTTACAAGTGGCAAAGAGAGGCAGAAGAGGCAGTGTCAGAGTGATATGAGTTTTCAAGAAAGGCTCTACCAGCCATTCATATCTTTGAATTGGAGGAAGGGGCCACAAGCCAAGGAATGCAGGCTGCCCATGGAAGCTGGTCAAGGCAAGAAAACGGATTCTCTCCTAGAGCCTCCTGAAAGGCATGAAGCCCTGCCAATGCTCTGATTTTAACCTGATGACACCCATTTTGGACTTCAGACTCCCAGAACTGTAGGAAAGATAATAAATATGTGTTGTTTGAAACCACTAAGTTCATAGTAATTTGTTACAGGAGAAAAAGAAAAGTGATACAGAGTGTGAATTGGTCCTTGAAGACTGGCAGAATGGTCACAGGCCAAGGTGGGGCAGGACAGCACAGGAGGAGGAAACTGAGCCTTCAAAGGCCTGTGGATGGCCGGTTGCAGAGGCTTATGCCTGTAATCCCAGCATTTTGGGAGGCCAAGGCGGGTGGATCACCTGAGGTCAGGAGTTCGAGACCAGCCTGGGCAACATGGTGAAACCCCATCTCTACTAAAAATACAAAAATTAGTTGGGCATGGTGGCGGGTGCCTGTAATCCCAGCTACTCAGGAGGCTGAGGCAGGAGAATCTCTTGAACCCAGGAGGTGGAGGTTGCAGTGAGCCGAGATCACGCCATTGCACTCTAGCCTGGGTGACAGTGTGAGACTCAGTCTCAAAAGAAAAAAAAAAAAGGCCTGTGGGCTTGAAAGCACAGGCATTTCAGGGGAACACTTGGGAAAGCTCATGTGGTTCTTTGCAAAAATGGACATAATTCTCCATGCCTGCCAGTACCTATTTTGCAATGTAACTTGGTAACTGTTCCCATCAAGAGATAGAGTCTATTTCTCCACATCTTGAATCTGGGTTTGGCCCTATGACTTGCCTTGGCTAACTATATGCAAATTCCAAGCTTGGGCCTCAGGAGACTGTACACTTTTGCATTCACTCTTGCTGTTCTTAGGTGGAACATTGCCACCACCTAAGATCAAGCCCAGTGTGACCAGCAGCCTTGAAAATGGCTCCTGGCATGAACGCCCTGTGTGATCCTCTCCCATTGAGTATGGGCTGCACCTAGTGACTCGCTTCTCACCAACAGAATATTGCTAAAGCGATGGGTTGGCTCTTCTGATATTGGGTTTTAAAAGGCTGTGTGACATCCATCTTGTGGTCCCTTTTTTGTTCCCTTGCTGAGGGGGGTCACTGTTCCCTTGCCAAGGGGGTCCACTGCCATGTTGTGAGCTGCCCTATGGAGAAGCCCAAATGGCAAGGAAATGATGTCTGTCCCCAACAGCCAGTGAGGACCTGAGAGCAACCAAAGGCACATAAGTGAACTTGGAAACAGACCCTCCCCATCTGATACCTTGACTGTAGCCTTGTGAGAGAGGCTAAGCCATAGTATGCAACTCAGCAGCACTTGAATTCCTGACCCACAGAAACTGTGAGAAAATAAATGTGTATTGTTTTTAGCTGTCCAATTTGTTACACAGCAACAGATAACGAATACATCTCTAGGCTAGTCTGCTGGATGATGAGTGACATATGGCCTACTCACTTCCTTTCACCCAGCCAACACCCAGACAACCACCAGGCAAGTGAGTGAGACATCCTAGACCAGTCTGCTGTCAGCTGCTTGCAGACATGTAAGTGAGCCAAGCCTGGCCCTGATCAGCAGAACTGGGCAATAACAGAAGTTGTTGTTTTAAGCCACTGAGTTTTGGGGGTGATTATTTTACCCAGAAATAGCTGACCTTTATAGCCAGAGGGTTATGCGTGTAGCAGGAACTGAAACCAGGAAACTGGGTAGGGGGCTAAACATGGAGGGCTTTGATGATGGATTAAGGCATTTGGAATGGGGGCAGGTTTTTGAGCAGGAGAATAACATCAGGATCAGAGCTGTGGTTAAGGAAGTTTCTTGAGCAGCAGGGAGTGGCATGAATCGCAGGCAGGGGAATCATTTAGAAGGCTGCTGTCATGAGGCAGATGAGCAGTGTTGGAGGCCTGAAATTGAGTAGAGGGTTGAAGTGTGGAGAGAGTTAGAAGTGGAACCTATAGATCCTATTCTGTGTGGAATGGGGGACAGGGCAGTGGGAGAGTGGAAGTTGACACCCAGGTTTTGACCCTGGGATACTGAGTGGTTGGAGGTGCTATTGACAGAGATGGGGAAGTCAAGATGGGGGATAGGGAGATGCATGCTATTTGGTGGACTGAGGGTTAAGTGCCAAAGAGACCTTCTGGGAAGAGGCCCAAGAAACAGTGATTCAAGACTCCAAAGGGAGCTCTGTCCCAGCCCCGTGTATTGATCAGGTTTGAGGAAGGATAGAGGATAGCACCTTCTGGCTGGGTAACTGAGGGAGCTGGGCAAAGGATTATTTGCAAGAGTGTGGGAAGGGTTTGAGAATTGCATTAAGGGATGTTGAAGTATCCTGGGGCTGGCAATGATGGGGAGCTTGCTTCTTCTTCTAGGCCCGAGAAGGCAAGGGAGGGAGCAGGAACCAGAACCAGAGGAGGTAAGAGTATGGAGAGTGCTGCCTGATGGAAGCTGTGGCCTTTGGTCAAAGATACAGCAGACTTATGGCAACCCAGCAAGGAGGGCACCAGGAGAACAAACACTTTGACCTCTCCCTCTTCCCATTCTTTAAGGACTTCTTTGGTATTCCTCATTAGCTAAGTCCACCCTGAAGACAGACAGCAAGGTTGCCTGTAGATGTGGCCCACACATCAGCCTTGCAGGTCAGAATGGGTGGAGAAGGGGAGGGCCACACAGAAGATACCTAGCCACCTAACACATGAAATTCCTTTAGCCTGTGTCAGCTGATGACCCTATTCTGGGAAATGAGATTTGAGGAGAAAGCTGGTAGGGAGTTTCTGGGTAAAAGTTTTTTACTCTTAGGAAGAAGACAGCAGGAGAGATGTTCTTCAGGGTGTCTGATGTGATGCCTGGAACTGCAGCAGCCATTTTGCAACTGTGAGGGAAGCCAGTGGAGTCAAAACTGACCTACTGTGGATGGAAATACAAATAGACAGAAAGAATTAGGTTCTTGATAACTTCATGGAGCTTCTCTAAGAGCCTGTCCTACATCCAGGTTTTTTTTTTAATGAAATAATAAAGATTCTTGTTGTTTGAACCACTTTCAGTTGGATTTCCAGTTACTTGCAGCCCAAAGCCTTCTTTTTAAATTTTTTACCCAAAGGCACCAAAACATTCTAATGGACACAGCTGCCATCTACCATGTTCAAGCCCCTGTGCAAGCTCTCTTAGCTTCCACTGAGTGCAGGTCAAGCCTTCCTGTTTCTTCTGCTGACCACAGATTTGCACTAACTGCATCAGATTCAGTGAGAATTTCAAATCCTTTTTCAATCTATGAGAAAATAAACAGACAGAAATAGGTCATGGGGGTGTTCTTCCCTTAACTTAGGAGAAACTGAGGAGAAATCCAGCTAAAGGCAGTGGAGATAGTGGGGGCATTAATCTGAGTCTCTGGGATGGTCAGGAGAGAGAGCAAAGGTAAGAGACTGGTTCCCATTACCCACCTCCCTGAGAGGTGTGGTGCATTCACAGAGACCCAGGTTCTGAGCCTTCATTTCCCTGTCCATCAGCTAAAGGGTAAAGTGGGCCCCACCCAATCTGGACATGCATCATTAACACAGACTCCCCACGTGGGTCAGGTGAGTAGGCCCCTATTTTTCAGCATGGACTCCCCAGCTTCAGTACTGTTGTATCTTCCCCCATCCAGGTTTTGCAGGACTTGCCTATATCCAGGCGTCAGAGTGAGCCCAGGGAAGGTTGGCCATGATTTGGGGTCTTCAGAGAGAGCCAGATGGAAATAGGAGAGGAAGCTGCTGTCACAGGGGTCACACTTGGCTCACCAGAGAAAGTCGCTTGGCATCAGCAGCTGGTATGATGGATTTACCATGCCTGCCTTGCCCACAATGGAGTCCCAAAAGGTGGCCATCATCAAATGACTGCACCCATAGTCTTCTGTGCTTCACCCTCTTCTGTGGGCTTCCCTGGCCTAGCATGCTCCCTACACCGCTGGACTCTTCTCCATCTAAGTCATGTCATGGAAACCCCTCCAGAGCTGCAGACAGACAGATCTGGCTCTGAGTCTCTCTACTATCCCTTCTTAGATGTGGGGCAGGAAACTAGCCTCTGAGATTCTTTTTTTTTTTTTTTAACCTGTAAAGGAGGCTCTTACACTAATTACCTGAACAAATTTATTGTGAGTTTCACATGAGATAATGACTAATATTTTCAAAGCATAACCATATAGCGTCCCATTCTTTCAATATCCTTCTCTCCACTAGAGGTCAGCGGGGCAGGAAATCTGACAAAATCATCCATTTATGAGGCATAAAGATAATAATAGTGTTAATAGCTAAAATTCAGTGGACGTATACTGTGTGCCAGGTACCATTCTAAGCACCTTATTTATATTGGCTCAAAGAGACTCAAGTATTATCTCCATTTTACAGATGAGGAAACCGAGGTTAATTTGCCTACAGTAATACAGGTATGAGAGGGCAGAGCTGGGCTTTGACCCCAGGCAGTCTGGCTCCAGAGCCTGTGCATTTACCCGCTGTGCTGCCTCAGAGCTACCAATGGTGTTTGAGGATGGTACCGACCCCAGTCGAGAGGCTTCTGTAGAGGCAGGTAGTATAGGGTAGTCAGGGGGCAAAGGCCTGGCAAGTTGTCAGAACTGGCTTCAAGTCCAGGGCTACTTCTTCCTAACTGTGTAACATTGGGCAAGTTAGTTAACCTCTCTGAGCATTGGTTTACTCACTAGAAGTGGTAAGGTTTGAATTAAATTAAAAAACAAAAAAACCCAACCCTGACACAAATCCTGGTCCTAAGAGGCTGTCCTCAAAGGACTCCACTCCACCCCCTCTTCCCCCATTCATGGCTGGGTGGTTGAGGGGGGCTGGGAAGGGTCCACAAGGATCCATAAGGGAAGACCATCCAATCAGAGGAGGCATGTGAGCTCCCTGAGAGCAGGGGCTTGACTTGCCATCTAGAAGGCTCCTCGCATGCCTCTGACATATGAATGTGTGAAAGAGTGAAATAATACATGGAAAAAAGAATGAGTAGGAGGGCTAGAAAGAGAGGGAAATTTCACCCACAGAAAAAAACCCGAAGGAGGGTTTTGTACAATTCCAGTGATCAATACCCAGGATGCAAGATGACAGGTCAGTCAGGATAAGCTAGGTAATGCTGTGGTAACAAACTCCAGTCCCAGCGGATTTCCAACAAACATGTTTATTTCTTGTTTATGCACTATAAGGCAGGTTACCAGGGTGTTCTGTTCTTCCAAGTTACTCGAAGATCCAGCTGAAGGAAGCTCCACGTTGACATACTTTTATAATGGCAGCGGCAGAAAAAAGAGGATGTGACAAACCCCACACTGGTTCTGAAATTTCTGCCCAGAAATGTCTTACATCCCTTCTGCTCATCCTTTCTGCTCATATTTCATTGGTCAAAACAAGTTATATGGTCACACTTCAAGTGGATGGAGAAAAGTTCAAGTGGATGGAGAAGTACAGTCCTTACAGAAATGACAGGACTGGCTGTTTTCTTTATTATTATTATTATTTTTTGAGATGGAGTCTCACTCTGTTGCCAGGCTGGAGTACGGTGGTGCGATCTCGGCTCACTACAACCTCCACCTCCCGAGTTCAAGTGATTCTCCTGCCTCGGCCTCCCGAGTAGCTGGGAGTACAGGTGTGCACCACCATGCCCAGCTAGTTTTTGTATTTTTAGTAGAGACAGGGTTTCACCATGTTGGCCAGGATGGTCTCAATGTCTTGACTCGTGATCTGCCCACCTTGGCCTCCCAAAGTGCTGGGATTACAGGCGTGAGCCACCGCGCCCGGGGAAGGACTGGCTGTTTTTTGTTTGTTTGTTTGCTTTTTGTGTTTTGTTTGTTTGTTTGTTTCAGATGGACTCTCGCTCTGTCGCCCAGGCTGGAGCGCAGTGGTGCGGTCTCTGCTCACTGGAAGCTCCGCCTCCCGGGTTCACGCCATTCTCCTGCCTCTGCCTCCTGAGTAGCTGGGACTACAGGCGCCTGCCACCACGCCTGGCTAATTTTTGTATTATTAGTAGAGACGGGCTTTCAAGGGTGGTCTTGATCTCCTGACCTCGTGATCCACCTGCCTCGGCCTCCCAAAGTGCTGGGATTACAGGTGTGAGCCACCACGCCAGACCCAGGGCTGGCTGTTTATAACAGGCCTAATCACCACCATTCGTGGTATAGGCCAGAGGGCCACTTGGGCTGAATGCAGCTCACAGACATGGTTTGTTTGGCCTGGTCAGTATTTTAAATATTTTTATGTGGTTTCTAACATTTATGACATCATAGTATGTCACATTCAAATCTGTATACCTGACTAGGTTTGAAATTTGGACTATTAGGTGACAGTGAGTATCTTAGTCCATTCAGGTTGCTATAATAAAATACCATAGACGAGGTGGTTTATAAACAGCAGAAATTTATTTCTCACAGATCTGGGAAGTCCAAGATCAAGGCACTAGCAGATTCAGTGTCTGGTGAGGTCCTTCCTGGTTCACAGATGGCTGTCTTTTTGCTGTGTCCTTACTTGACAGAAGGTGGAGGGAGGTCTCTGGAGCTTCCTTTATAAGGTCACTAATCCCATTCAAGAGGGCTCTACCCTCGTGTCCTAATCACCTCCCAATGCCCCACCTCCTAATATCATCACATTGGTGATTAGGTTTCAGCATGTGAGTTTTGCAGGGACACAAACATTCAGTCCATTGCAGTGAGCCCAGTTACTTTGACATGGATTAAGTTGGGCCAATTATAACAGAAAAACTCAAAATAGCAATAGCTTAAATGAGATGGATGCTTCTTTCTCATATAAAAGAAGTCAGAAGATTTCAGAAGATTAATAGACAGCTCAGGCCTGGCATGGGAGACTCAAAAAGCCATCAGGGACTTATGCTCCTCTCTCTTTCTGTTCTTCCATCCTCAGCGTATGGCTTCCTTTTTTTTTTTTTTTTTTGAGATGGAGTCTCACTGTGTCACCCAGGCATGATCTCGGCTCACTGCAACCTCCACCTCCCGGGTTCAAGCAATTCTCCTGTCTCAGCCTCCTGAGTAGCTGGGATTACAGGCATGTGCCACCACACCCAGCTAATTTTTGCATTTTTAGTCGAGATGGGGTTTCGCCATGTTGCCTAGGATGGTCTCGAACTCCTGATCTCAGGTAATCCACCCGCCTTGGCCTCCCAAAGTGCTGGGATTACAGGCGTGAGCCACCGTGCCTGGTCCAGTGTATGACTTTTCTCTGCAAAGGTTGCTTCATGTTCCATGATGACTTCCAGGGCTCCAGCCATCACATCTATAACCTAGGCCAAAGAAGGAAAGGTTGAAGTCAAAAAAAAGGTGCTTCTCGGCTGACTCAGCAGCCTTTATGCAGTCTTTCCAGAAGTCTCACACGATGCTTCTATTTACATCTTATTGGCCAGAAATAGTCACATGGCTACACTGAGTGCAAGGGAGGGAGTAGGGGTAGTCATGTGACTGTGCTCAGGCCAGGGTAGTCTTTTTTTTCCAGGACAAAATTTGCCCAGTTAAAAATAATTTAAATAAGAATAATCATTCTGCTATTAAGAAGAAAGGGGAGAATTGAGGTTGTCAATTGAGGTTGTCTCTGCTTTGGGCCTGAAGTTCTGATTGTGGAGAAGCAGATGCTTCACTAACACTGGGTCTGAGCTCACCAAGTTGCCACAGACCCCACCATGGTTTAATACCTTTCTTTTTCTTTTTTTTTTTTTCTTTGAGACAGAGTCTCGCTGTGTCGGCCAGGCCGAAGTGCAGTGGCGCGATCTCGGCTCACTGCAAGCTCCGCCTCCCAGGTTCACGCCATTCTTCTGCCTCAGCCTCCTGAGTAACTGGGACTACAGGCGCCTGCCACCGCGCCCTGCTAATTTTTTGTATTTTTTTTAGTAGTGACGGTGTTTCACCATGCTAGCCAGGATGGTCTCGATCTCCTGACCTCGTGATCCGCCCACCTCAGTCTCCCAAAGTGCTGGGATTACAGGCGTGAGCCACTGCGCCCAGCTGGCTTAATACATTTCTAGTACTCAGTGTCAGTTACGATTCATCTTTGGGCTTATGTTGGCTTTTTTTTTTTTTTAAGTGAAACTAAGGAGAAAGAATTATTTCCTATTCTTATGTCTCTGTTAAAAATCAAAAGAGCAAAAGATATACCAAGAGAGTCATATATTTCAGGAAAAGCAAAAAAGGAAGCCTATTTCTTTGGGGAAGGGAAAAATATTCCTAGCTGTGTAACATACAAACAAGGTGCATTGAAAATATGCAACTTATCACATTATCATGAAACGGCTGACTTGCTTTACTGACCACTCTGGCCTGGCAGGCACTTTACTGGGTGGGTAGCTCCCTGGAAAGACAGGGGGCCTCAGCCTCCCTGGCTCTGCACAGTGCATCCCTCTTCCTGGGAGGAGGACAGCCCTGTTTTGTCTAACCCCTCTTACCCCTCATTTGGAATTATCTCACCCTTCTTTGTATTCAGGGCTTATTTTGAGCAAGTTCAAAACTGCCTTGCAAAGTTCAAGATCATTATGGCAGGCAAAAATGCAGTGAAATAGCACACCACTGTCAGTTAATTACTAAAAATCCTTTAATAGCTGACATTATTATAAATTATATACCCATGATGACAGGGACAATTGGGCTCTCTGTTTCTCTTGCCCTGCATTGGAACCCCAAACAATGCTGTCTTGTTGGGGAGAATGACCTGGATGCACTTGCAGGCAAGTTGGGAGTTTACATAGGCTACCTTTGCTGACCACACAGGCCCTGGTCCTCTGAGGACACCCTGCTCCTGGGTAGGGATGAGGCAGCTGCCTGACAAGGCCTTAGAACCAACTCTCCCTCCATTTCCACCCCCTTTCTCCACTGCTATTGCTACAAGAGTCTCTTCTTCTTGGACCTCCCAACTCCCTCTGTTCTGCTGCCTGCTTTTCTGCCCATCTAGGCCCAGCTCAAAGAGCCCCTCTTCCAGGCAGCCTCCCCTGATTCTCCTTCCCAAAGCTGCAGACTCATGGTAGGTAGATTCTCTTTTGTCTTTTGAGTCAGGTGTGTAAAGCATACATCTTAAGTGTAAACCTTGATGATTTTTTACGTATGTATATACCATTTAACCTTTTTCCAGATCGAAATGTACATCCTTTCCTAACTCAAAAATGTTACTGTGTGTAGAGGATGTGGAGAAATAGGAATACTTTTACACTGTTGGTGGGACTGTAAACTAGTTCAACCACCGTGGAAGACAGTGTGGCGATTCCTCAAGGATCCAGAACTAGAAATACCATTTGACCCAGCCATCCCATTACTGGGTATATACCCAAAGGATTATAAATCACGCTGCTATAAAGACACATGCACACGTATGTTTACTGCGGCACTATTCACAATAGCAAAGACTTGGAACCAACCCAAGTGTCCATCAGTGATAGACTGGATTAAGAAAATGTGGCACAAATACACCATGGAATACTATACAGCCATAAAAAAGGATGAGTTCATGTCTTTTGTAGGGACATGGGTGAAGCTGGAAACCATCATTCTCAGCAGCAAACTATCGCAGGACAAAAAACCAAACACTGCATGTTCTCCTAGGTGGGAATTGAACAATGAGAACACTTGGACACAGGAAAGGGAACATCACACACCGGGGCCTGTCGTGGGGTCAGGGGAGGAGGAGGGATAGCATTAGGAGATATACCTAACGTAAATGATGAGTTAATGGGTGCAGCACACCAACATGGCACATGTATACATATGTAACAAACCTGCATGTTGTGCACATGTACCCTAGAACTTAAAGTATAAACAACAACAAAAAAAAGTTTAAGAAAATACATAATAAAGGCCCAAGTAAGCAAATAGAAAAAAAAAAATGTTACTGTGTGTAAGAATCCCTTCAGGAGAGGGTAAAAAATGCAGCCTCTGGCCTAACCCAGAGATGCTGATTCGGTGGGCCTGGGATGGCCTAGGAGTCTACAGGTTAGCTACACCCAGGCCTTCAGGTAGAGGGGCCTGCGGTCCACCCTTGCAGAAACCACCCAGTGCTTCCTGGGATAAGTCCTGTGTCTTCTTAGTTACTCCCCTGTTGGTGGGGGGGTGGGGCATGCTCTGGTCCCTTTTATCTGGGGGCCCAGAAAGGTTTTGGGTTGAAAGCAGCACCTGCAGGGGTGGATCCAGGCTGGATGCAGCCTGAAGCTACAATTTGGGAAGCTGTCTTTGAGAAAAGAACACTTTGTTGGGTACAGGGTCCTGTAAGGGCCTCCTACAACTGATGTTTTCCCACTTTCAATCCACCCAGGCAGCCAGCAAGAATTCACAGTCTTAGAAGTTGTTGAGGTGAGAAGTTGTTTGCTAGACAAGACAGATCACTCCCCAGCTGACCCCTTCCATCCACAGGTATAGCCATGGAGATCTTGGGCCCTGCCCCATACTAGAATCACCTCAGGGAGCTAAAAAAGCAAAAATAACCAACACACTTGGGCCCCACACCAAATATTCTGATTAAATTGGTTTGGGGTGGGGATTGGGCTTTAGCGGTTTTTTAAAACTCCCAGGTGACTCTAATACACAGCCAAAGCTGAGACCCGCTGAGCAGAGACTTGATTCTGGATTTTAATCTTTCCTTATCTGCTCCAGACTTACACTAAGAGAATGTCAAGCGAATGCACCTCCCACCACTACCTTCCGCCTCTCCCTCTGAAGGGGCTGGGACTCCTGGCTGTGGTCAGTGTTCTCAATGCCAACCATGTACCTGGCCCACCTCCAGTGCACCCCTTCCATTTTGGGGACAAATCAACCAGTAGTAATGGGCGTTTATTAAGCATCATACATTATTTCCAATCCTCAGGGCAGCCCTGTGTTTTAGCAGGGAGGACACTGAGCTCAAGAAGCCTTAGTGATTGCTTTACAGTGGTCTAGTGGGTAAGTGCTGGAGCTGGGATCAAATCCAGGTCTTCACGGCTCCAAAGCCAATGTGTCTTTCCCTGAGCCAGGTTGCTCCTAGAAGCAGTGCCTGTTTACTGAATAGCAGTCATGCCCGAGGTACAGGCCCAGGGCTGACTTATCCATTAGGTACAGCAAGTCCAGGGCCTAGGGCCCATGATATTTCAGGGGGCCTACAAAATGTTTCAATTTCAATTTTCTTTAAAGCAATAATAATAATTGTAATAATAAATATATAACAACAAATCCAGCCTGGATTTCATTTGTCTTGATGCCAATACACTTGTAAAATATACTTTTAAAAAATGGTATGGGAGAAGGGGCCTGTGAAGGCAGTGTCTAAGGCCCATGAAAGTCATAATACCCTGGAGGGCACTGGTGACTGTGTCCTTCAGCCCCTTCCAGAGCATGGCTCAGGCTAGTAGGAATTAAGCAAGGAATGTTTATTACACACTTTCTGTACGCCTCACTCTGGGAAGTAAATAAGAGCATAAAGCCTGTCCTGGTCTGCCTAGGAAGAGGAGATGTACACACAGGAAACTAAAAGCAAGACAAGACAGGATGCACGCTCTGACTGTCGGCAGTTCTTACTTAGATCTCTTCTTGTTTTTGTCGTTTCATTTGTCATTTAGTCAGTGTTCTGCTTTGCAGGTTACTGAACTGTTTCATGTACTTAATGATTTAATCAACAATTCTTTTGTTGATTTCTTCCTTCCTTCAACAAATATTTACTATTTTAATAATATATTTATTATTTTAAAATACTTGAGTGTGTGTGCGTGTGTGTGTGTGAGACAGGATCTCACTATGTTGCCAGGCTGGAGTGCAGTGGTTATTCACAGGCATGATCAGAGCACATTTTGGCCTCAAACTCCTGGCTTTAAGCAATCCTCATGCCTCAGCCTCCCGAGTAGCAGGGATTACCACTGTACCTGGCCCTGATATAATAGTTTTTGAATGGATAATTCAGCTCATGGTGCAAAAATTCAGGAGGTACTGTAGGATATACACAAAGAAGGCTGAGGGCAGGAGAGAGAGAGAGAGGCCTCTTTTGTACTGAATCTTTGGTACTGCTTATATTTTGTACCAAGCTCAAGTATTACCTATTTATTAGAATAAAAATAACCAAGCAAACAAAAAACCAGATGGGTATGGGTTGAAGAGTTTATTCACCCAGCTTTCTAGCCTTCTGGTTTCCTTCCCCAGAAGCAACCATTTATACCAGCTTATCATGTATCTTTCCAACATTTACGTGTCTACAAGCATATAGGCTTTTAAAAATTTCATGCAAATTGTAGCACACTGTACACATTGTTGTTAGCTAATGCCTTGATTTTTTTTTTTTTTTTTTTTGAGATGGAGTTTCACTCTTGTCACCCAGGATGGAGTACAATGGTGTGATCTTGGCTCACTGCAACCTCCGCCTCCTGGGTTCAAGCGATTCTCCTGCCCCAGCCTCCCGAGTAGCTGGGATTACAGGCATGCGCCACCATGCCCAGCTAATTTTTGTATTTTTGGTAGAGATGGGGTTTCACCATGTTGGCCAGGCTGGTCTTGAACTCCTGACCTCAGGTGATCTGCCCACCTCAGCCTCCCACAGTGCTGGGATTACAGGCGTGAGCTACCACGCCCGGCCTGTGTTGAACTTTTTATACAGGAGGCCCCCTCCTTCATCTTCAACAGCTGGATGATATACCTTAATTTCTTTAACTACTGCTAATTTCTTTATCTTGTATCGATAAAGTTAAGGTTGTTTCCAATCTCTTTCTTTTTGCTATAAAGTAACCTTATGGAGCCTAACTCCCCCCTTTCAGTTATACAATACACGACCATATACATGTGTCGTTTCACTCATATGCAAGTACATCTGTATGGTGTATGTATAAACTGGAATTGCAGGGTCAACGTATGGGCATTGCTGCAGGGAGGGGAAATTGGCACAATTTCTCTGGGGTACCCAGTTTGGCTATATCTATCAAAAGTTAAGATCTGTCTCCTCTCCCTAAAAGAGAGCACCTCCTGGGTGCTGGGTTAGGGGTGCAGAGATGAGGAGGGCTCAGGCTTTGCTCTTGAGGGTCTCTCCAATGTGGACAAATCATCTCCAGCCCTAGGAAGTAGGAATGTAAAATGCCAGGGCAGTGCAAGGAAGATAGCCTTGGGGAGAAAGGGGGAAAAAATTTGCCCAGAGGAAAAGGAGTAAGGACATTCCAGGCAGATGGACCAGCAAGTGCAAAATTTGGGATATTAGAAAGCAGGTGGGGCACTTTGGGGTGTTCCAGAGAGCAGCCCTCTCTTGTTCAGGATTCATGTAGTGGAGCGGTGGGGAGATGAAGTGGGACCTGCTCCTAACAGGGCTGGGAGGTTACTCTTTAGCTTGTTAGCCACGGGGATCCACTAAAGTGTTCTCAATCAGGAAATCTGATAGTCAGAGAGGACTGCTAGAAGGCTCTCTCTGGCCATGTTATAAAAGAGTGATTGAATACAGACATTTCTTTAAATAAACTCCTAGTACCTGAAGGGCAGGGCTCCCTGCACTAAATGCCTTTGGCCCATAGTAAGTGCCCAGTAGAAATGCTCTGTTGAATTTTAGCCAGGCACCAAAATGTGACACATCTCTGGTTATCATTTCTCAACTGAGGGCTTCTACAATCCCCTAAAGGTTAGAAGAGTGAACCTCCTCCAGGAGGGCCGAGGTCAGGTCTGTGATCAGTCTGGGGTCAGGGTCTGATGCTGCTTACAGTGACCGTGACACGCTTTAGAAGTCTTCCATCTCTGTTCAGAACTCATGAGAATTGTGCATTCTATTCCCTGATATATCTGGGTTAGCTTGAATATTAAAGATCAAATATACTACAAATGTAATACAAAAATAAATTTTCAGGCGGGGCGTGGTGGCTCACGCCTGTAATCCCAGCACTTTGGAAGGCCAAGGCCAGTGGTTCACCTGACATCAGGAGTTCGAGACCAGCCTGGCCAACATGGTAAAACCCCGTCTCTAGTAAAAATACAAAAAATTAGCTGGGCATGGTGGGGGCACCTGTAATCCCAGCTACTCAAGAGGCTGAGGTGGGAGAATCACTTGAACCCAGGAGGTGGATGCTGCAGTGAGCTGAGATCATGCCATTGCACTCCAGCCTGGGCGACAAGAGCAAAACTCCGTCTCAAAAATAAAATAAAACAAAACAAAATAAAATAAATAAATAAATTCCCCCAACATCTGTGAATGAAATAAGCTCTGCAGAAAAATCCCTTGATTCCAAAAGTCCCCACATTAGCCCAGTTTGAGGAGGATGGATTTAGGTAATGCAGGCTCACAGTCCTCACCCTGGCCTCTGTACAACTGCCTCCATCCCTTTTAACAACCATGAAACTCACTGCACTTTGCTCACTCATGTTTCCATTCATTCATTCATTCATTCATCCATGCAATATTTTTGAAGGCTGATAATGTCCAGGGCATTGCCCTCCCCTATGGGTACACAAGGAGCAGAATAACAGTGGCAGCTCTAAATGCTTTGCACGTATTATCTCAGTCAACTCTCACAATGACCATATGAGATAGGTACCGAAGCTTAGTAACTTTATTAATCAGATTATTGAGCTGCTGAGTCCTATAGTGTGCCAGAACTTTATTCATTTAACTCCCACCTTGGTCCAGTTGGTCCACTTTACAGGCGAGGGAAGTGAGGGTCACAGAGGTTAAATAGTTTGCAGGGTTGCTGTTAGTTCAGTGGCTTAACTTGAAAATGACTGACTCCATGCTCATTTCACTAATAAAAACTACTTTTGATTGAGCCCTTACTAGATGCCAGACACTGCGCTAAGCATTTTGATCTTCAAAACAACCTCCTAATATTATTATTACTATTACCAGCAAAAGATTAAGCATCAATGACATGAGTATACTGTTCAGATGTTCTTTTATACTTTCAAAGATGTGACAGCAAATCATGCTGGCTCTATCTTTAGGATATATAAAATGTCCAGGATCCAACTTCTGCTCCCCCACGTCCACTGCTCTCACCCTGGTCCAAGCCACCATGGCCTCTGGCCTGGACCACTGCCACAGCCTCCTACCAGGTCCTGCTCCCACCCCACCATTGCAGTCAGTTCACAAGGCAGTTCAAGGGAGCCTCTTGAAACAGAAGGGAGATCCTGTTCCTTTTCTGCTCAGAACCTCCAGGGGCTCCCAAGTCACTCAGATGACTAGCCAAAGACCCAACAATAGCCTATACGAACTTACAATCTGCCCCCAATATTACTCCGATCTCATCACTTTTTTGATGGTCCTGGAACGTGCCAGGTCTGCTCCTATTTCAGGGCCCTTGCACTTGCTGTTCTCTGTGGCTGTGACATTCTTCCCCTAGATAGCATCATAGCTAATTTCCTCCCCACTCTATCCCCACCAGCAAGACCTAGCTCAAATGTCACCTTCTCAGGGAAGCCTTCCCTGATCACTTCCTTTAAACCACAACCTGCCGTCTCCCAACATTCCTTTCTCTTCTTCTCTGCTTTATTTTTGACCTTGGCACCTTTACCTTCAATACACTGGCTACCAGGTTATTTTGCTATGATTTCCCCCTTAGACTCCTTGAGCTAGGAATTTTTGTGTTTTGCTTACTGCAGGATGGCCAGCATCTATAGGAGGGCCTAGCACCTATAGGAGGGCCTGGCACCCAGTAGGAGCTCCGTAATTTGTGTTAAATGAATGAACACAAAGTTCCATTCATTCACATATGCATTTTCCAAGGTAGAGAGGGTCTAGAGCATTCATCAGAGCTTCAAAAGGGTTGTTTACCACTGCCCAAGGGTGCCCAACTCTCCCATTTGGGGCAATGTTGACCAAGCAGATTTACCCTCCAAAGGGGGAGACAATACCACTTAGCCACTTGGGCCTACAGATAGTCTAAAAAATTTGGGCCATAAGAGTTAATAAGTGGGACCCTGGTTTATCCATCAGTCTCTTATGAAGTGGGTCATGATGACTCAGTCTCCCTGCCAATCCACCTGCCTATAGCGAGAGGTGGCCCAGATCCCCTCTGTGATGTCTCTGTTCATAAGCGGTAGCCCGTAAATACTGCTCCTTTTCCACCACCCAGAAGCAACCTTTCCCTTGCATGATTTCTACTGTTTCATGCCTTGTGCCTTCCCAGTAGTGTGAGACATTTCCCAGGGGCAAGGGACTGGTTTTCTTTTCTAGGACTAGGTGTTAAGAAGATGCACACACATCTCACGCAGCTCTGGGTTCAACTCTCAACTCTGCTACCTACTTGGTGTGTGATCTGTAACAAATTACTTAACCTCTCTGTTTCCTCCTCTAAAAATATGGGTCTAGGAAGAATAAAACCTTCTTCACTGTGTTGTTGGGGGGATATGATGAAATACTGATGTGCTTGGCACAGGGATAAGTATGGAGTTCAGTTAAGTGGGGGATTTTATTTCAACCACTCTACAAATATTTATTGAGTGCCCACTATGTGACAGGCATTGAATTAGGGACCAGGAAGAAGAAATGGGGCAAGTGCTGTCTTATGTGATTTAGCTTTTCAATGGCACAGGCAGAATGGCATCAAATGGCCTGTTTCTGACTCCACTGCCTCCACGCTGCTGTGGGTGGCCTGGGCCTGCTACTTTCACCATCTCATCCCTTGTGGAGCTTACATCCCAAAGGTAGAGGGGAACAGATAAAAGATTGTACGGTTTTGAATTGGGACAAGCCCAGTAAAGAGGAAGCATAGAGTGCTTTGGGGAAAATACTGGAATAAGAGAGTGGGGACACATTTGAATCTGAGGGGGTCAGAGTTACTTGTGAGTTACTTTGTGAGTAACTCGGGTGCAGAGACCTGTGGATAAGCATCAGGGACCCCACCTTCTTCCTTTCCTCTCTTTTCTCTACATCCCTAGGGATTTGGAGCTTGCTCTCCAGTCTGGCAGCCTCGAGGGAGGGTGTACTTAGGTCATAGCATAGCCCTGCCCTGCTGGGCCCCGCCATACACACCCTCTAGTGGCCACAGCGCATGCCAGGCACTAGGCTGGATGGGCCCTAGGAATCCAAGGACAGCAGGACTGTCACTGCTCTTCCCATCCTGACATTATCTCCACTCAGATGCAGTGGCCCTGTAAGGAGGGCTGCTTCTAGGTCCTCTTGTCACTTAATTTTGTCAGCCACCTCCAGCATGATTCTTATTTCCACTGCACAGATGAGAATCCCAAGGCTCATAAAGTTGAGGGAGGTAAGTAGGGTCAGTACTGAATTTAGGCCCACTGGACTCTGGTTTCAGTGAGCTTCAGGTGGCATCGTTCCTGAGCACATCAGGAACGATGCCACATCTCCCAGTGAGCAAGAGATGATGCCAGATTTTGCCATTACTGCCCAGCAAAGAAGGCAGATCCCCCCAGAAAGGTCACTGCTTCAATCTCTCCTTGGTCTGAGGCTGTTGGGGCATCTCTCAGGGCACTTCCCCAGGAACTCTGCAGATTGGGATGCCATGGTACCTCAGAGAGGCATGGGGGTGGAAGTGGGAAGAAGGGAGCCCCTAGGGGTACGTGCTGAGCATCTGTAGAAGCACACACATCCCTGCCCTCAGGAGGTCCTGCAGGTTACCTGCTGGTAATCCTTCCTGCCCGGCCCATTTCCTTTGCTTCCCATTACACAAGCATACCCCTTCTTCAGCCAAACTGGCTGGGTTTTAATCCGGCATCGGCTACTAATTATAAGCTTGTGCAAGTTACTTTTGGCAAGCCTTTGTGCCTCAGTGTCTTTATCTATAAAATGGTGATAATAGGCCGGACGTGGTGGCTCACACCTATAATCCCAACACTTTGGGAGGCTAGGGCCGGCAGATCTCTTCAGGCAGGTCAGGAGTTCGAGACCAGCCTGGTCAACATGGTAAAGCCCCGTCTCTACTAAAAATACAAAAATTTGCTGGGCATGGTGGCGCATGCCTGTAGTTCCAGCTACTTGGCGGGGCTGAGGCAGGAGAATCACTTGAACCCGGGAGGTGGAGGTTGCAGTGAGCCAAGATCGCACCACTGCACTCCAGGCTGGGGATAGAGTGAGACTCCGTCTCAAAAAATAAGCAAAAAATGGTGGTAACAGGCCGGGCGTGGTGGCTCACGCTTATAATCCCAACACTTTGGGAGGCCGAGGCAGGCGGATCACTTCAGGCAGGTCAGGAGTTCGAGACCAGCCTGGCCAACATGGTGAAACCACGTCTCTACTAAAAATACAAAAATTAGCCGGGCATAGTGGTGCATGCCTATAGTTCCAGCTATTTGGGAGGCTGAGGCACGAGAATCACTTGAGTGCAGAGCTGAGATCCCACCACTGCACTCCAGTCTGGGGACAGAGCAAGGCTCTGTCTCAAAAAAATAAATACATTAAATAAAAAATAAAAATAAAATGGTGTTAACAACCACAGCTATCCCCAAAACGTTGTATTCTGGGGCCTCAACCCCTGACACTTTGATTCAGCAGGTGGACCTTTGAACCACATTTTGGAAATCCCTGCCTAAAGAGTATAGTCTGGCATCACAGACCTACACACCACTTCCAGCCAGAGGATGAGCAGGCGTGCTGGTTCATGCCTCTCTGGTTTTAGCATGTTAGCATTGTCAATGTCATCCTCGTTTTAGTGGCAAGTTACATGAGTGAGCTCCTGTGCCTCAGTTTTCCTCATCTGTAACTGGAGATAATAATAGTAACTATGTTAAGTCCTTATATATTAATAATAATAGTACCTATGTTAAGTGTTGTGAGCGTTAACTAAGTCCTGGAACATTGCCTTGCCCATAGTAACGACTCAATACGCACGAACTATTATTATTGTAATACACAGTCAAAGATAATCCACAAAGAGCATACACGGGGATAAAAGAAAATACACTGAGTTTCTGTTTGTATTTTAAGATGTATTAATTTCCCCATGGGCGAAAAGTGACTGAAAGGGGCCACAAGACAGGCTTCTGGGGTGCAGGTCAGGTTGCTTTTTGGGTGCTGGTGACATCATGTGTGTTTGTTCACGTGTGAAAATTCATCCTGCTGTTCGCTTGCGATTTGTGCATTTAACGTGCACTATCTCCAGGGACCTTCGTGGTTCTGTGAAGCACGAAGGGCAAGCATCCTCATCCGCGGTTTCAAACAAGAAACTGAGGCTAGGACCGCTACTTTAATTTGGCCAAAGTAGTAGGGGATGGGTGTGAGGAAGTGTCTCAGTCCGATCTTTCTTTCGGGGAGCAACGGCCACTCTCAGAGAGCGCAGCGCGAACAGTACCTGGTTCCAGGTAAAGCTCAGCAAAGGGTTCTGAATCCTCCTTGCAAATGCCACCCTTCCCCCAGCGCACACAGACTCTGGGCACGGCCGGGGGTTCGCACCGCCGCGCACTCCCCAGGCTAGCTCCACGCGTGGTCACTCTCCAGGGAGACCCGCCCGCCGGCGCCCCGCGGTCACCGCGGGGGAATGGCGCCCAGCCCCGGGCCAATGAGAGTAGCGGAATTTCTTTCATTCAGCGCGGGGCCAGGCTCCTGCCCGGAAAGGGGCGGGGCGCCGCGCCGGGGGTGGGGCCGCCGCGCGCGGGGGGAGAGGGCGGGGCCGGCCCCTCTGCCTGGCCAATCGGCGCCGCGCCCGGGGGGGGAGGGGGGCCCAGGCCTTTTTTCCCCTCCGCGCGGGACCAATCCCGACTTTACAAGCTTGAACTTTTGCCACCCTCGGACTAGCGAGCGCGCCCGAGGAGGTACCCCGCCGCGCCGGCTCCAGGGGCAGGAGCGGCCTTAACCCTTCCCGCGCCGGGCGTCAGGCTGCTGCCGCCGCGCCCCCGATCCCGCCCCCAACCCACCCCCATTTTCGCGTGGAAACCTCTCTAGGGAAAGCGTGATCCCTCACCTACAGCCCTCTCCGAGGTGCGGAGAGTAAACTTGAGAAGGGAGAGGAAGCACCCGGCCTGGAGGGGGCCCGGCCGGCCGGCGGCCCGCCTCGCTCCAAGGGAGGGCCGTGGCGACCGAGAGGAGCCAGCGAGTAGACACTCCCCGCCTCTACCCCACCCTCTCCATCTCCCCACTCCGGGCGAGCCTGGAGCCACCGTACGCAAAGCGTCCTGAGCTCCCTGTTTGGCCCGGCAGAGCGACCCCCGACTTTGTGCAAGGAGCGTAGAGCCCCTAGTGCAGTCACGGAAGATCCGCTACCCCAACATATCCGCCGCCCCCTGCTCCTCAGAGGCTCAACCCTGGAAGGCACACATGCACACCCATTTTTATTAGCCTACCCTAGGATGGGGGTTTGGAACAACTTTAAAGTGCAAAGTGTGTTTGTAAGTTTGTGCACAAGCCAGGGAGAGGCAAAGCGCCCCGTTTGCGTCCGAGTCTCAGTGGGTCCGCCGAGCCTTGCGCGCCTGCTCGTGGCTCGTGTAACCCTGTGTGTGTGTGTGTGTGTGTCCGCGCGCGCGTGTGTGCTCGCTCGCATCCGTGCTCTGGGCGCAACGCGAGGCAGAAAGCGGGCCGCGGGCGCTGTCAGGCCCTGGGCGGGGGTGCCGGGGTGGTGTGGGGCGGGGGCCCGAGCTCGGCCCGCCCCGGGAGCCGGCCCCTTGGAGCCTCCGGCCCTGCAATGGGACGTGTTCTCCTTTAAGAGTTAAGAAACTTGAAACCTTGTTTGCGCAACAATCAGCGCCGCGGAGCCGCCAAAGTGTCTAGACTGGCATATGATGGGAGGCAGCCAATGACTCCGCGGCGCTCCTCCGGGGGCCCTCAGTGTGCGTTTGAGGAGAACAAAAAAGAGAGAGAGAGCCGAGCGGGGGAGCGATCGAGGGAGCTGAGCCGAGAGAAAGAGCCGCCGGGCGCTGCCTCGCCAGACCTCGCTGGGACCCCGGGGCCACCGGGAGGCACTTTTGTGGAGGGGGGAGGGGGGGCGACCTCGGCAGCCTCGGCGCACGAAGCGTCCGAGGGCAGCGTGGGGCGGGCTGCGACCTCTGCATCGGTGGACTGCATTTTTAATTAAGGATTCCCAGCAGCTCTTTGGGATTTTTACAGCTTCCACTCATGTGTTGACACCCGCGTCCAGGAGAAACTCGCTCCAAGTGCATCTAGCGCCTGGGACCTGAGACGGCGTTGGCCTTTCGTGCATGCAAATCCAGGGATTTAGGTTTTGTTTGGGATTTCCTTTTCTTTCTTTCCTTTTTTTTTTCTTTTTGCAGGGAGTAAGAAGGGAGCTGGGGGTATCAACAAGCCTGCCTTTCGGATCCTGCGGGAAAAGCCCATGTAGTTAAGCGCTTTGGTTTAAAAAAAAGGCAAGGTAAAGGCAGGGCTTTCCAGACACATTTAGGGGTTCGCGCGAGCGCTTTGTGCTCATGGACCAGCCGCACAACTTTTGAAGGCTCGCCGGCCCATGTGGGGTCTTTCTGGCGGCGCGCCGCCTGCAGCCCCCCTAAAGCGCGGGGGCTGGAGTTGTTGAGCAGCCCCGCCGCTGTGGTCCATGTAGCCGCTGGCCGCGCGCGGACTGCGGCTCGGCGTGCGCGTGTTCCCGGCCGTCCCGCCTCGGCGAGCTCCCTCATGTTGTCGCCCTGCGGCGCCCCTTCGACGACAGGCTGTGCGCGGTCTGCACGGCGCTCCGCGGCGGAGCTTCATGTGGGGCTGCGACCCGCGCAGCCGGCGCCTCGCTGAGGGAACGGACCCCCGGTAACCGGAGACCGCCTCCCCCCCACCCCTGGCGCCAAAGGATATCGTATGTTCAGGTCCAAACGCTCGGGGCTGGTGCGGCGACTTTGGCGAAGTCGTGTGGTCCCCGACCGGGAGGAAGGCGGCAGCGGCGGCGGCGGTGGCGGCGACGAGGATGGGAGCTTGGGCAGCCGAGCTGAGCCGGCCCCGCGGGCAAGAGAGGGCGGAGGCTGCGGCCGCTCCGAAGTCCGCCCGGTAGCCCCGCGGCGGCCCCGGGACGCAGTGGGACAGCGAGGCGCCCAGGGCGCGGGGAGGCGCCGGCGCGCAGGGGGCCCCCCGAGGCCCATGTCGGAGCCAGGGGCCGGCGCTGGGAGCTCCCTGCTGGACGTGGCGGAGCCGGGAGGCCCGGGCTGGCTGCCCGAGAGTGACTGCGAGACGGTGACCTGCTGTCTCTTTTCGGAGCGGGACGCCGCCGGCGCGCCCCGGGACGCCAGCGACCCCCTGGCCGGGGCGGCCCTGGAGCCGGCGGGCGGCGGGCGGAGTCGCGAAGCGCGCTCGCGGCTGCTGCTGCTGGAGCAGGAACTCAAAACCGTCACGTACTCGCTGCTGAAGCGGCTCAAGGAGCGCTCGCTGGACACGCTGCTGGAGGCGGTGGAGTCCCGCGGCGGCGTGCCGGGCGGCTGCGTGCTGGTGCCGCGCGCCGACCTCCGCCTGGGCGGCCAGCCCGCGCCGCCGCAGCTGCTGCTCGGCCGCCTCTTTCGCTGGCCCGACCTGCAGCACGCCGTGGAGCTGAAGCCCCTGTGCGGCTGCCACAGCTTCGCCGCCGCCGCCGACGGCCCTACCGTGTGCTGCAACCCCTACCACTTCAGCCGGCTCTGCGGGCCCGGTGAGCGCGCTGCGCCGGCCGGGGGGGCCCCGGGTCCCCGTCCCCATCCCCTTCCGTGCCCTTCTCTCTGTGACACTGCGGGTCGGCGCAGCTGCGGGTGCTCCCCCGGGTGCCCTTGGAGCGTGGGAGCCACCAGGGGAGGCGCCTCAGACCGGCCGAGGGGAGTGGGTGTCCCAGCACACACATCAAGTGGCAACTTTATCTCAAGGCTCCGGTAAACTTAAAAGGGTACATGTCGTAGTTTTCTCTGTGCAGTTTCAGGGACATGATGTAGGCTCCAACTTCATAGGCAGTGAAAGGGGAGGGCAGGCCAAGGAGAGACCAAAGAAGTAGGTGCTATTTCCTCCTACCTCAATTCCGGAATCTACCCCAGTCTGTGCCCAGGCTTCTAGCATTTGTATGCACGTGCCCTTACCCACACTGTGCTTTTCTATGTCCAAGTAGCTGTAAGTTGTGAAATTGGGTGTACACAAATCATAGCTAGAATCAAAAGTGTTCGTCAAATGTCCAATTTGTGCCTTTGCATACTTTCGACAAAGCTTTGCAGGGTAACCCCTCTCTGGAGTAAAGAGCACCCTCTTTATTCCCCACATAATATCATTCCCCACATCCCTTGGGTGTCAAGTGCCAGGGTCTTCCATAGTCCTTCTCAAGTTTTGTGTTCAGCTTTTGTATAGAGTTTAGGGTCTTGGAGGCATCCGTGAGTAGATGAAGAAGCCAGATACTGGATTACCTCTGAGAACTGCCCCCCTTCTTTGTTCTCCTCTTGGGATTTCCTGCACACGCCCCACCCTCAGCCTTGCTTACCTGGCCAGGCCCTGGTGCTCAGGTGCAGACAGGCAGAGGCCCCAGCAGGTCAGGAGGCTCCAGCAGGCCAGGAGCTTGCAGCTGCCTTGCTCTGACCTCTGTCTTGTGGGGAACACACACTTTAGCCTGTAGCTAGCCTCTGAGGGATGTATGGGAATCCATTAGCTGGCACTGGGGTTTTGCAGGGGTGGGACTGGCAGGGAGTCACAGGCTCTTGAGCCTGGGAGGGCTCTGAATCCCTCCATTCTGGCTTCCCTGGGGAGAGTCAGCACCCAGGCTGGGAGCACAGAGAGGGTCAGGTTGTAGGTCTCCTGACTCTGTGTGGAAGGGGAAAGTGGGTCTAGGATGGTGCATTTGTCCTAGGTGTTTTGTTTGAGTGTGGAGTAGTGTCTGGAGAGGAAAGGAAGTTTCCCCTCAGTGATGATTCCTGCATAGAGGGCATTGATGGGGGCAGGTGGGGAGGGGAAGTGTTGATGAGGCACCCTACTCCCCTCATGGTCACTCCAGTCCCAATTTAGGAGCTATGAGCAGCCCCTGATCTGTGGCTCATGCCAGGCTTTCTATGTACTCTTTTCCCCTTACTGACAGCTTTCCCTGGAAGTGACTTTCTCCCCTCTGCCAACTGACTCCCCACTGCCTCTGGGGAAGGAGACCAGTATTTATGGTTGTCTTGTTCCTGGTGATTTTTTTTTTTTTAAAGTAGGTCCCTTCCACTCTCGTAGAAGCCCCTGGCAGGTGTATTCTCTTTCGCCACTTCAGTGTGCAGCAGATGTTTGTTGAGCAATTACTTTGGGCCAGGCACTGTGCTGGGTGCTGTGGCTAACAGAGTGGAAATATGAGTAGGATCTATGCCCTCAAGAAACATAATCCCACCAGGGATTTATGGGGGAGAGATGGGGGAAGAAGGGAAGTGTGCAGGGCCAGGTCATTGGGTGTGAACTACCAGAAGGCTGTGGGTGTGTATGTAATAGGATGGCATGCAGGAGCTCCACAGCTCCAACCTGGAGCCGGACCTTGGAGGATGGGTCAGAGGAGAGGGAGCCAGCCGGGTCAGAGGAGAGGGAGCCAGCCAGCTCAGAGTCAAGGTGCCAGGCACGTTCAGGTGGTTGGGCAGGGAGGGGAGGAGTGAAAAAGTTGGAGACGATGGACAGGACCACTCCTGCTACTACTCCTGGGACTAGGAGTTGGCTTGGGTGTTGGTTTGCATTTGGTAGGTTTGGAGAGGTACAGGTCAAGAGATACCTGGCAAGCTGCAGTAGAACAGTTCTTGACCATGGACCTGGTCCCAGGCTCTGCCCAGCTAGTAACGTGCAGCTTGACTTTGGATGAGTTACCTCCCTTCTCAGCCACCGTGCTGGTCAGTGGGGGTGGCTCTAGGAATATTCTCCCCATCTAAATCTGGACTAAGCCTTGGGACTTGATTCCCCTCCTTCTCCCAGAAGGAGGCGCTGTTGCCAGGGCTGCAGCACCCCAAGTCTCCTCCCTTTTCTTTGCTAGCTGCTAGCCTGTGGGGCCCCCATTCAGCCACCCTGGGGACAGCTGGGAGGACCGATGGTCCGGGAAGAGTTTCCAGTATGTGCCAGGTTGATCCTCTTGCCCCTGGCCTGAGAGCTGGGGGAGCCCTGGGCTGCCCACCCGCCTCCACCGCTTGGCCGCCAGCTTGGCTCCCGTAACTGGGCGGGCGCATAGCTGGGGCTCAGCGGTGCGCGTCCTGATAAGGAGACTGCGCCTTCCAGGGCTCTGGGAAGAGGGCCGGGGCACCGGGCAGACAGATGCGCGCACACACATAGCGCAGGCACACCGCTAGCGAGCAAAGTACACTGGAACACCGGCACTGAGGGACTCCCACCTGGCAGCAGTCACCTCCGCACCTTCACCGACCACTGCAGGGAGCCCCGGTGACAGAAGACCCCTTCCTGGGCAGTGTGGACCCCTGCTGTTCAGAGCCCACTCTCCATCAACTTGAGTTGTGGCCTTGGGGCTAGTTTCCTCTTTGGGCTTCTTTTCCTATATCTAAAGTAAAGGGTTGGAGGGAATCTGCACAATCTGAGGGCTGATGTGCAGATTCCAGGCCACACAGGCCTCCGTCCCCTCCCCCACTCTGCCCCAGGCTTGTCTCGGAAACTGGGGTCCTCAGGAGGGGACCCACCTCTTCTGGGCATGGGCTAGGGGCCTCCTGGCCTCCCAGCCCGTGGGAGTCAGGCCCAACTCTGCCTCCCCCTTGGGTGTCTTTCTGTCCCAGGAAAAGCCAGTTCGCTGAGCTCGGTGGGTGCCTATGTGGACGGAAATGTGGAGAAATACTTTAATCACAGCTCTAACCTGTGTTTATAGAGCTCCTTTCTCCTGAAAGTATCCATTAACTTCGGAATAAATCTCCTGCTCTTTGCTTCCCCACTTTTTTTTTTTCTGTAATTATATTCAGTAAATTACTATTATCCAAATTGCGCCCGGGGAAGAGAGACAGAGCGAGAGAGAGAGAACTTCTAAACGACTGGAGGAGGCCGCCTAGGAAAACACAGGGTTCCCAGGCCAGGACTATAGGAATTAGAATGGGCTAGAAAGTTTTCCTTTTATTTGGCCTGGCATTATCCCTTTGAAATGAGATCAATTTCAAGTTGGGCTTCCAAGCCCCCGCCCTGCCCGGCTCAGCGGCCCCTAGCCCTGCTTGTCTGCTCCTCCTAGCTCCTCCTGGAGGTGAGGAAGGGGTGATAATGTGCAGTTTGCCTCTTGCTGGCGCCAGCCGGCCGCGCTGTTTATCTGGCTGCCAGGGGAATCTGGGCAATTAGGCTCAGGCGGCCTTAAAGTGCCAGGAGCTCCTTTTCTGCGTCTCCCATCATGGGGCTTAGGGTTGAGTCTTCAGGTTCTGGGGGCAGGAAGGACGGGCACTCAGGAGGCCCCCTCCCCATCCACAGCCCCTCTTTGGGAGGGGGGAAACTTGGCAACCCGGGAGGCATGTGGATCTTTTCCTAAGCAAGATGCTGAGCTGGAAAGATGGGGGTGTAAGGTAATGTCCCAAACTGAAACTTTGCCAGGCACTGGGAGAGGCTGTGAACTCTTTTCTGGCTTTAGAATTTAGGTCTAGATCCCAAAAGGCTAAGTACCCCCTGGGGGCTAACCAGAGGCATGCCTGGGCTGAGCTGAACCTTCTGGTGCACTGGCCCCTGGCTGACTGCTCTTCTGCAGGAAGTTGGAGGAGATTCCTGAAGTTGATTCCTCAGGCTGGATGTCCAAGGGGGTTGGAGTTTCTGATGTCTTTCTGTCTCCCTCTCTTTTCTTTCTCTCCCTACCAGGTCCACTTCTTTCAGAGGGGCCTGCGGTGCTCTAAAAGTTCTCCTGTTAAAGTTTAGAGCAAATTGGTTATTATTTTAAAATCAATAAAACTTTTAAAAGTACTAAGACAACTTCTAAGAGGGGAGTGGACAGAGGGCCTGGTGGCAGCTCACAGTTTCTTTTCTGACCTTTGGTCTCACCCACCAAGTGTCCCACCTGAGTGCCCACCTTGCCCACCTGAGGTAATGCCCTGGGGCTCCACCAGTCCAGATCCACAGGGCGCAGCCATGTGGGAGTGGCGGCTGATTGTTACCCAGTAGTGTTGATAGCACATTATTCATAACAGCCAAAGAGAGGAAGCAACCCAAATGTCCATTAGCTGATAAATGGATAAATGAAATATGGTACGTCCGAAGAATGGAATATCATTCACCCATGAAAAAGAACGAAGTCCAGCACCAAAACGTGCTACAACATGGATGAACTTCGATGACTTTGTGCCACATGAAAGAAGAAGCCAGCCACAAAAGGCCATATATTGTATGAAATGAAATGTCCAGAATGGGCAAACCCATAGAGACACAAAGTAAGTTAGTGGTTGCCCAGGGTTTTGGGGTTGGGGTCTAGAAAGTGACTGCCAATGGGGATGGTGTTTCTTTTTGCGATAAAAAAAATGTCTTGTGTTTAGATGGTGGTTGATGGTTGCACAACACTGTGAATATACTCAAAAACCACTGAATGGTATATTTTTAAAAAGGATGAATCTTAGGGTATGTGAATTATATCTCAATTTTTGGAAAGGGTCACCTGATATTGGTCTGTAACTGGCCTCCCCTGTAACACCTGCAGCTACCTTCATGTGTGGCCTTGGGCAGGTCCTTCAGCAAGTGGGACCTTAGTTTCATATCAGTGAAAAGAAGGAATTGAGTTGGGTGAACCCCAAGGCCTCTTCTGTCTTTGACACTCTAAATCCTTGTGTTGTGGGGTGGAGTCTAAAGCCTTCATACTTTTTTAGTTGCCTACAATGGAATTTAGTGATTAGCTTTCAGTCCCTGCAGTTGTTAAACAGTTGTGTGCATACTATTTTGCCAGAGCTAATGGGAGCCTGGTGAGGTCCCTCCTGAACGGTTTGTAGTGCTCCACTAGCTGGCATGTCTCATGGTTCAGGTTCATAGATTTTCTTTCTATCTCACAACATTGGAACTCCCAACTCAGCTATGGCCATGGGTAGCAGGTGTCACAACTCAAGGCCCAGGTAGCTCTTCCAGGTGGGACTTCATGAGCCTTTCCTGCCTTCCACCTTTTGAGTCCCAGGTAAGCAGCCCCTGGAAGAGATGCTGGCATTGGTTACAGAGGCTTGACTCCAGCCACTACTGCCCATAGTTGTCAAGATTCACCTTTGGGGACAAATCTTGGGGGCAGATGTTCAGAGCTCCATGCCATGTGTGGCCTAGACCTCAGCCAGTCAGATTTTTGCAAAAGTAACCCTAAGGAATTGCAGGCTTTCTGATAAGTTCATGGGGGTGGTGGAAAGGGCATGGAGGTCAGAGACCTGGCTTTGGTTCTGGCTCGATACCTAGCTCCTGAGGGAGTCACTTCCACTCACCAGGCCACAGTCTCCTTCTCTGTACAGTGGAAACACTGGCCTCAATTCTCTTTTCCTGTGGAACTCCAGCCCTTCCTATGCCCTGCCTCTTATCCTGAGAGGCTGGTCCTCACTCAAGGCTGGCCTCTAGGCCTGAGAGCCCCCTAGATCCTCTTTCTGCACATCTTTGGCCACAGATGCATTCAACTTTACCATTATCCTCATCCCAGTTGTCTGTGTCCACATTTAGTGAGCGCGTTCTGTGCAGGTGGTGTCCCAGACCCAGCGGGGATGAAGGGGTGTAAGACAGGGCATCTCTTGATTCCACCTTATTGGGTGGCAGAGCAGAGTCAGGCCTGGACTGGAATCCCAGCTCCACCATGACTGGCTCGGGGAACATGCGCAAGTCAGTTTTCTCATCTGTAAAATGGGGATAATAATGTCATCTCATTTAATTTTTGTATTTTGAGAAAGGATTAAATAAAAATAGGTGCCTGATGAGCATAATTAACTACTCTGTACCTGAGGTCTAAAATAGTAAAATTGAAAGTGATTGGCATGGAGTGAGACACAACGTAGACACCGAGCAAATGTTCGCGTCTCTCTCAGTGGCTACTCTGTGATTCACTTTTCCTTCTCCCTAATTTCTGTCCACAGAAAGTCTCTGTTTCTAAACCTCAGAGCTTTGACTTTGTTGGAAGTAACTTTGAGCTGGAAAAGCCGGGGTGGGGAAGAGGTGAGGCCTCATTGGGTGTATGGAGCAAAACAAATGCTCCTGTAACTAATTGTGGCTTATTACAATTGTGAAAAACACTTATTACCCCTTGTGTCATTACTGATACCCGCTTAATAATAGTTATTACCACTGAGAGTTTGTTTTAGTTTGCGATTTGATTGTGTTTAGTTTCATTTACCGAAAATGAAGGGTCATTTCATTCATGCAAATTGTTACTTAGTTTAGCAAATTGTTACTTCCCATAAAGCAAGAAGCTAAGGAATTCTTCTGAAAGCAAAGTATATGTTTTTAAGGAGAAGTATTTTAGGCAAATGAAACCCAAAGAAAAATATCATAGACAATAAGGAATCATAGCATCTGAGCTGTAGAGAGCTTGTGTTCCACCCCTGTCCTTTACAAAAGGGGAGACTGAGGCCAACAGCTGGAAGTGACTGGCTTAAGGCCTATTGAGATAGCTGGGTTTGGCCTTTTGGGTCCTAACCCTTTCTACTGTCCTCCCCTGCACCTAGGAATGCTAGCTCTAATGCAGCTTGTTTGGACACGAGTTTCTGTGTCTGGGCCTTTGCACTCACACTAGGCTTGCCAAATTTAGCAAATAAAATGCAGGATGCCCAGTTAAATTCGAGTATCAGATAAACAACACACCATATTTTAGTATAAGTACACCCCCAATATTGAAAGGGACACACTTATACTACAAAATGATGCCATGTTTATCCAAAACTCAAATGTAACTGAGCATCCGGTATTTTATCCAGCAACCCTGGCTCTGACTTTCCCTGCACTCACGTTTCTCTTGTTAAAGTAGTAACAGTTACTGTTTATGGAGGTGTTTTTGGACAGGGCCAAGAGCTGCACTAAGCATTTTACATACATTATCCCAGCAAACCTGGGAGGTCTAGATGATTATTATCCTCATTTTAGAGCTGAGGAAACAGGCTCAGAGAGGTGAAGTAAGTTGCTTGAGGTCACACAGCCAAAGGTGGCAGAGCTGGGATTGAGCCCATATCTGTCTGTGCCCCAAGCCTGCGGCTTTAACTGTTGAGGGGATTTGGGCAGCAGAGGAGGTGGGACAAAGGGAGGGCTTCCTGGAGGCTGAGTTTATTATTTGGGAAACCAGTAATTAAAAGCATGTAGAACCTGAGGTGTGAGCTCCCCAACCCTGGCAGTGACATGCTGTCTCCTGTCTTCCAGAATCTCCGCCACCTCCCTACTCTCGGCTGTCTCCTCGCGACGAGTACAAGCCACTGGGTAAGTGTGCCCTCCTTCCTACCCTTGCAGAGGTGTGTCCCGAACTGGGTCCTCTTCAGCCCAGTGTCTGTCCAGCCTCAGGGCTGGAGGGCTGGAGGGCTGGAGGGGAGGGGTGAAAGCCGGACTGGTTGCTGTGAAATGGGGTGAAGTTGTACAAACACTCCCACAGTTGGGCCAAAGCAGACCCAGCTTCTGCAGCAGGCTATTTACATCTCGAAATTCCGCGGCTCATCATTAACCTCTCTGTGACCTTTTTAAACATGGGCCTGTCGAAGATGAATGGGTTTTGACTTATGCATCTCACCGGAGGTGGGTTGGCATTTCTGTGTCTCTTTCCTCTCTCTTGGGCCCCCCAGCCTTGGGTTATTCTCCTTTAGAGTGTATTAATTAGTAGTATGACAAATAGGTTGGGCATGAAGTCTTTGTTGAGAGGAGCTGTACATTTTCCCCCTTTTTAAGCCAAGATGTTCACTTGAGCAGAAACAACAATTGGAGTGTTAAAAAGGAATGTATATTGGTACACAAAGCCCCTGGCATGGACTGTCCCCTAGGTGAGCTTAGTGGAGTTGGTAATTTTAGACAACTCCCATTCAGAGGCAGAACATGTTTTCTGTAAAACCTTGAGCCTAGATGATCAGCCCATATTCTGGGGTAGATGTAAGTGGTTTCAAAAGTAGAGATTGTTGGCTCACGCCTGTAATCCCAGCACTTTGGGAGGCCAAGGAGGACAGATCACTTGAGGTTAGGAGGTTGAGATCAGCCTAGCCAACATGGTGAAACCCTGTCTCTACTAAAAATACAAAAATTAGCCGGGTGTTGTGGTACACATGCTCCCGAGTAGCTATAATTCCAGCTACTCAGGAGGCTGAGGCAGGAGAATTGCTTGAACCTGGGAGGTTGCAGTGAGCTGAGGTCACGCCACTGCACTCCAGCCTGGGCGACAGAGTGAGTGAAATTCTGTCTCAAAAAAAAAAAAAAAAAAAAAAAGAGTAGAGGTTGTGGTTGGGAACGATGGCTCATGCCTATAATCCCAGCATTTTAGGAGGCTAAGGTGGGAGGATTGCTTGAAGCCAGAAGTTCCAGACCAGCCTGGGCAACATAGCAAGACCCCATCTCTATAAAAAATATGAAAATTAGCTGGGTGTGGTGGCTCAGGCCTGTAATCCTAGCTACTTAGGAGGCTGAGGTGGGAGGATCCCTTAAGCCCAGGAGTTAGAGGCTGCAGTGAGGTATGATTGTGCCACTACACTCCAGTCTGGGGGACAGAACAAGACCCCATCTCTAAAACAAAATAAAAGTGGAGATTGCTTGGATCTCTGTTTCCTCTAGTGGGGTTTCAGAGCATGGGTTCTAAGGCAGAGAAGTGATGGAATCTGTGGGATCCTGATTGTGGCACAAGTTAGTTTGGCCCTGACAGTACCAGGAGAGCAACTTTGTGACCCAAGCAGTTCCCGTGGGACTCAAGCTTTAAAAGTCAGATGGCGTGGCAACGATGCTGCAACATTCCACCAAGTGACCACAAAAAGTGGGTTTTGTTTGGTTTTTGGTAAAGGCCTCCTCCCAGTAGTGTGTGTCAGCATCATCTGGGAGGTCACTTCTTTTTTTCTTTGTTTGAGATGGAGTCTCGCTCTGTCACCCAGGCTGGAGTGCAGTGGCGTGAATTCGGCCCACTGCAACCTCCGCATCCCGGGTTCAAGCGATTCTTCTGCCTCAGCCTCCCAAGTAGCTGGGACTGCAGGCACGCGCCACCACGCCTGGCTAATTTTTGTATTTTTAGTAGAGATGGAGTTTTACCATATTGGCCAGGCTGGTCTCGATCTCCTGACCTTGTGATCTGCCCTCCTTGGCCTCCCAAAGTGCTGGGATTACAGGCGTGAGCCACTGCGCCTGGCTGGGCAAGTCACTTCTTAGTGTCGTAGACACTCAGGCATATCCACCCCAGTTTTCTTTCCAGACCCCTCTCCTGCTGTGAAGTCAGAAGTGCCCACCAGGTCCCTTCAGGAGTGTGACCTTCTCAGGCTGGGTGGGCAGAGGCTGTTCCACGAGGGTGTGGGAGTCAGCCACCAAACCATGGTGGCCACCCTATTGTTGTTCCAGAAGTAGGATTGTCCCATGAATGGGGGAGCCTTAGTTCTCTCGGAAACTGGAGAGATCATGTGGTGGAAGCTTGTCACTTAAGAGATGAAGAATCAAACTGAGTGAGGGCGAGGAGCTTCCCAGCTAATGAGCTGCAGGGTTGAGGTACAAACTCAGAGCAGCCCCCACTCAGGTGGGTGGCTCACTGTCCTTCCCTCGGAGGCCTGTCTCAGCATTTCCTAAGTCAGCATAATTGCACTAGTTGCTTGTAGGACCCCTAGTTCCATTAGAGAAAAAAACCCTCAAAAGTTCTTAGTGAAAGTTCTTAGCACCTCAGTTTGAATGTCAAGGATCATCGCCCTGAGGTTTTGTCAGTTAGCCTGTGATAAAGCAGCAAAAATCAGGACACTGCCCAGCCCTGCAGAGTGACCATGTGGAAACCAACAGTTGTCCCCATGGTTTTACAAATGAGATGACTGAGGCCCAGAAAGAGGAAGTGACACTTGCCGGTGGTCAAATAGCTCAGCCCACCACCTGTTTTTATATGGTTTGCAAGCTACGAATGGCCTTTATTTTTGAAGTGGTTAAAAAAAAAATCCAAAGAAGCATAATATTTTGTGACACCTGAAAATTACGTGAAATTCAGATTTTGGTGTCCGGAAGTGGAGTTTTACTTGGAACACAGCCAGGCTTGTCCATTTCCATTTTGTCCATGGCTGAGGCAGAGTTGAGTAGTTGCAGCAGAGGCCGTATAGTTCACAAAGCTGAAAATATTAACCTCTGGCCCTTTATAGAAAAAGCTGGTGAGCCCTGATGTTGCTTGACTCATAGTGGAGGCGGGACCTGAACCTGGAGCTCCAACTTGCAGATGGAGTTCTTCCTCCTTGAGGCTTGAGCAGTGATGGAGGCTGGGAACATTCTTTTGCACAGCAGCCATTGAGACACTGTCCAGGGCCTCACTAGAAACACTAGATGTGAGGGTTTGGCAAGGGCGTGATAGGGACTTACTAGCTGTGAAAGGTGGAAACCGCTTGTCGTTTCCACTCTTCTGGAAACCTCACAATGCTGTCTGTGTTGGCTGTAAGGCAGTTCACTAAGAAATAGGACTCGGCTTGTGATGTTGCTACTTCAGATGAGAAGTGGCAGCAGGGCTCTGGGCACTGAGCACTTTGGGAACATTAGGTATTAAAAGCAAAACCCTTTTAAGAACTTCCCACTTGAGCACTGAGCTTTTTTTTTTTTTTTTTTTAAAGATTTTTCTGTGTGTACTTATTTTTCTCCTAACATATTTTTCCAGCAGATAACTTTTTCATTCCCTGATAAATAGTCCCGCGTTATTTTTTGGTATTATTTTCTCTTCCTTGCATTGTTGCTTTTTCATAAACAAAAAGCCAGTTCACTTCTAAGCCTCTGTGATCACATGAGACCAAAAAACAAAATAAAACCTAGAACACTCAGTCAGCATCTGGCAAGTGGAAAACGAGAGAGGAAAAAAAAAAAAAAGGCCAAATTGGTTAATGTTTTATCTTCCTGCTCCCCAAGCCATGTGGTAAAAGGATAAAAAGTTCCTGCAGGATCAAATGGAATTCTAGCTAGTGAGGGCCTGGGCAAACGGTTTTATCCCAGGAATCCTTTGCCTGGAGTAGCTGTGCTGGGCCGGCTGGGGCCAGGTGGAGCCACCCGAGCCAGTCCTGGATTGTGCCAGGTGAGAAGATGTGTGTGCTGCAGGCCTTCCAACTCCTGGACAGGCCTGTCCCTTAACGGGGACAACACCCATTGCTGGTAGCAGAGGCACAGGCCCAGGAAAAATTTTCCAAGTCGGCCTGTCCCAAAAGGCATCGGCTTGTCAAACTAGCAGCTCAGTGTTCTATAGAAAATGTGCAAAAGAATTTCTCTTTCTCATCTAACTGCTCGGCAGACAGAAGAAAACCAATAATGTACATATGAAGTACTTAAAACTACTTAAAAAAAAAAAAAAAAAGAACGCCTTAAAAAAAAACAGTCCAGGCATTAAAAGTTGCTCTTGTGAGCAGGTTTGGATGTTAGGGAGTGGGGGAGGGGAGAGAAAAAACAAAGTTAATCTGGGAGCAAATGCTTGAGCCCTTAATTAGAGGGGTGTAAGCGGGACAGAGTGAGGACGGCTGGTGACTTGTTAAAACAGTTTCCCCAGCCCTAGCGGGAGGGAGGAAGGAAGGAAGGAAGAAAGGAAGGAAGGAAGCAAGAAGGAACAACTTCAAGAATTTTAATGGTTGTAATTAAGTACAGCAACTATGAATTGTTTAGGGGCTTAATTTAACCTTACCCACGGAGGCTCCAAGTTGCTACTTGCTCGGTCCCCTGAACTTGGGTTATTTCTGTGGTCAGGGCAATGGCAGCGTTTTCAGGTACCAGCTTCACCACAGTCAGCACTTTCCAGAAGAGTTCCTGGGCTGGCTGGTCTGGTCTGGGGTGATCCTGAGATGGGGTTACAGGGTGACATCAGAAAGTTGGGAGGGACATGCTGCCCTTTGCAAGCACACACATCCACACACGTGCACATGTACAGAGATGCATGAGAAAGAAGAAAAAAGAGAGCGCTGCCCCACGGCCAACTAAGTTCTCTTTTTCTTTCCTCCCACAGATCTGTCCGATTCCACATTGTCTTACACTGAAACGGAGGCTACCAACTCCCTCATCACTGCTCCGGGTGAATTCTCAGGTCAGCATTTTTTCTTGTGCATTGCTGTTGTGTTGAAATTTATCGAAGGGGACAGCTGCGGAGGGGGCTTGGTGGAAGACTTTTTGACTTCCCCTCTTCTTTTTGTTTCCCTTTTCCTCCAATCCTTGGATGGGAAGGTTGCCAATGTTTCAGTCCCTGGTGTTTTTGGGGTTAAGAACAGTCTGTATGAGTGAAACCTGAAGATAACTTTTAAAGCACCTGTCTACCACGTTTTAACCAGTTGTCTCTCTCTTGTCTCACTTGGAAATGATAAAAGCTCAGCACAGCTCTCCCTTTCGTGTTTAGAAAGAGATCCTCTTCCCCCAGCTGCGAGAGGCAGCAAAGTGGATGTGGTATACATTTGTCTTCCTCCTGTCCTCACTCCAGGGGAGGGACCAATGTGAAGGGTCAGAAGATTGGGGGAATTGGAGCCGGTTGAATGAGCTTGCAGGGAGGATCTGGCAAGTGAGGAGTTTGGCAAAGCCAGTGGTTTCTGTGTCTCTCCCTGAGCAGCAGATGCTGGGATAGGAAGCCGAGGGAACCGTGGTTTGGAGTCCTCTGTCCCCTGCAGTTAGAAGCTGGTCATAGGGACCCCTACATCCGGAGGAATACCTGAATCAAACTTTCCTTGAGAAATGAGAGGTTGGTGTTGGACTGGGGACATCGAGGGCCAGGACCAAGGTCTGTGGGGCCCTTTGGGAGCATGGCTGGTGGCATGGTGGCCTGGTGGCATGCTGGCTGGGACTGACAGCCCCTCAGGCTGGGGCTGCATACCTTGTGGGCATGTCTGGATGGCTGTGTGTCTCCATCTGAGACATTCTTCCCTCACCCCACATCCATGCCATGGTAGCAGTCGCCAAAATCATAGCCATTTATTGAGTGTATGCTATGGCCGGCACTCCACTTGGCCGCTTTATATGCATTCTCTTGGGACAGCCATGGGCTGTTTGTCTCCAGGGTTTGTGCTCTTCATCACTGTTTTGTCCCCCACTTTTCTGCAAGGGCCAAATGTACCTTCAATAAATGTATTTCCCCTAAAGTCCTGTCGTTCTTGATGTAGTCTCTCTGCAACTCTAAGGATAATGCAGCACTGGCTGCTCATGGCTGCCTGGCCATTTCCCCAGCCCAGAGCCTTTGCCTATCCATTCCCTTCTCACCAAGGCATGGGAGCTTACAAGAGTATGACTGTTGCAGAGATGGGGAGGCTAGAAGCGGAAGCAGGAATGTGACTTGCCATACAGGGTCCCACAATGGGCAACCTGGTCCTGGGCTGCGGTGGTCCTGGGGTCCAGGTCTTCTGGGTCCTATTCCTGAGTGCCTTCTGGTCTTTGGTGGCTCCCTTCGTTAGGGTACTTCCTTCTCTAATAATTTATTTCCCTCAAAGGCCCAACCAGATGAACGCAAGTTAAAATTTCAATCCTTTCTTTTTTCCTCTGCACCTACATGAGTGAAAGCCACATATAATTTTGAAGCAAGGGGCTTAAAAGTATTTCTGAATTTGCGATTTTGTGTCACTGCCAGCCCTCAGATGGATTCCATTGGCGTTGGTTGTCTGGACAGATGGGTAATTTTTTGGCATCCTCTTTCTCCCTATTGTTAATGATGGAAAGTCCGTGTGTGTGTGTGTGTGTGTGTGTGTGTGTGTGTGTGTGTCTGTGCATGTGCATACCTTACAGTTTTAAGGTGTTTGCAGATGTAATCTCATTTGATCCCAGCCATTCCAGAGGGGGCCTGGTGTGGCTCAGGCTGAAAGGACCAGACCCCCAAGCACTGTCAGGAGGCCTCTCCCTCAATCCAGAGGCTGGGAAGTCTCAGGAGATCCCAAGGCCATTAGTTTTGTTGCCTTTGGGCCTCACTGGGCCTGTGTCTGAGATTTCCGACCGGATATCCCAGAGCAGTCTTTGGTACTGGGTGGTGAGAAGGTCCCTGCTACTCATGACTGTGCAAAAGGACTGTGTTGGAAAATGTGTCCAATGCTTTAGAATTCTAAGGAGCGGAAGGATTTGGGGAGGAAATTGGGGATTTCCTATGCCAAGGACATTGAGTGAGGTCTTGAAGGACTTTGGTGTGAGTTCTGGGTGGCCTCAGTAGGTGAATGGAGTGTTTCCCTTTGTGTCATCCTGGTCCCTTCCAGGGATGCCATGCGTGGAATGTTCCCCGCTGAGGGCCCACTGTTAGCTTTTCCAGCTTGCTCTGTGCTGTAGGGATCTGAGGTCCTGTGGGTTAAGCTGCCCGCCTGCCTACTGGGAGCCCAAAGACATGGGGCTGTGCTGGCTGTCACACTGGAGGACATATTCAGGGAGGGAAATGGCCTAGGGGGTGACAGGTCTTGGTGGATGGTGAAGGCACGAGTCATTCTGCAAGATGGAATGCAAGGTTGTGTGGGAGGGCAGGACTGGAGGTGAAGTCAGAAAGGTGAGGGGCAGAGGTGGGCACAATGTGTTGGGCCAGGCCGGGGCATTTGATGTCTAAGGACAAATAATGATGATGGTGCTGATGATGACAGCAGTTGACATTTATCGACACTCACTACATGTCAGGCACTTTGCTAAGCGCCAGCATTCTCCATTTCATTGACTCCTTACCACAACCCTGTGAGACAGGTGTGATTCTCCCCATTTCATAGAGGAGGAAACTGAGGCTCATTGCTGGGCCAACTGCCCATAATGTAAGTGGAAGGCTTGGAACATGAGCCTGGACAGTGTGACTGCCTAGCTCACACCCTGAGGGCCCTGCCCAGTGTTCTACAACAAGTATCCCTGTTCCCTTCCCCAAGCCAGACCCTGGCAGGAGCAAAGTAAAATGATCCAAAGGAGCCTGGTGGGCACCTGTCCTGATTTAAGTACCGGGGAAGGGGATGAGGGGCTAGCGAGGGTGCAGGGCGGCTCCGTGCCCTTCCAGGCCACTACTGGACAAACCTTGGGGACCACCCAGAGATCACACCACTCGCTGGCCTGGCCTTCCATCTCCCGGAGTTCTGGGGGTCTGCCGATCCCGAGAGCCTTGTTACCCTCAGTGTCCTGGGATGTACGTCATCCCCAAACAGGGTGTCTGCAGCCCCAGGATGGAGACTGCCCTAGTTTGTCTCGCACAATGACAATCCCAGCGCTGGGCCTGGGACTCTTATCTGTTTTATCCAGCTCCATGGTCTCTGCTTTACTTCCCTGTCCTGTTGTTGAGGCCACTTGGGGGAAGGATGGGCCTCTTGAGGCTTAGTCCCAGGCCCAGGCAGGCAAGGAGGCATGAGTGGGCAGGGCGAGGGGCCGCAGGAAAGGAGACGCAGTTGCTTCAGCTCTCTGCCGAGTAGTTGTTGGAAAACCTTCATTTGATCTCTACATCAGCTCCCAATTTGGATACGTGATTCCCACTAAACAGTGTAGAGGGGGCAAGTGGCTTCACCAAGGTCACTGGGGAGGGGGGTGGTGGAGGGAGGCTAGAATGCAGAGCTTTAAGCAGATCTGGAGACCTTACACCTGGAGTCTTTGATGGGATTTGGGAAGAATGGAAAGCCTAGAACTTTTGGGGTACCTTCAGAACTTTGGCACTCTGGTTTCCTCGCCTAATTCAGGGCGTGGGGTGCTGTCACCTGACTGTCCAAGGCCCCTGTCAGGCTGTCCTCTTCTCTGCTGTATTTCCTTTCCTCTTCCATTTGCTTGATTTCAGTTTAGTTTGGGGAGGAAAGGAAGAGAAGCTAGTTAAATAAATTCATACTAAGGTGTGAGTGGCTGGTAGGCAAACTTTTTTTTTTTTTTCAACTTTAAAGTAGAACATGCCATAATTCTCAGAATTGCAGGATGAAGAAATGGCAGTTCCGAGAAAGGCTGGTGGCAGAGGGCAGGGTTCTCTCAGCATCTCTGACTCCAGCCTAGAAAAACAATGAACATGTCATAAGGAGCTTTAAGCCCTGGGTGAGGGAAGGAGCCCTGGCCAGGCCGGGCTGGGTGAGCTCTGAGTCACTTAGCGGGAGCCTGAAGTGGCAGGGCTGCTTAAGCACCCGGGCCTGCCTGACTCCATGCTGTGGGGCTGGAGGCGGCACACTGGGCAAGCTTCTTTAGGACCAGTAGCTCCCCTCTGCTGTCTTATTCTAGTGCCTGTAAGATAACCATTCAAGTGCTTTATTAAGCATCCTGTCCCTCCATTTTCTCACTTGTAAAATGAGGATGATAATAACAACAAACATATCCTTAATGGTGAGGGTTAAATGAGATACTTTACCCCTGCCAGGGTCTAGCACGGGGAAGGGGATGGGGACGCTTGTTATGGAACACTGGGCAGGGCCCTCAGGGTGGGAGCTGGGCAGTCACTGTCCAGCTATGTGTAAGGCATGGTCTAAGCTGCCCATCACTGGGATCGCGCAGTCCTTGCTGGAACCTTGGCCCTCTGTGCCTGGTATCTCAGTCCTCACAGCATGTGGGTTTCTTTAGAGCTGTGTTAGTGAGAGCAGGCCCTTCAGTTTAGAAAGGAGGATGCCAGGGGAAGGAAGGGAGCAACAGTAGGCTACATGGAGAGTTGGGGGCTGAGCTGGATGTGGGTATCTTTCCTCCACCAACCAGACTGTAAGCTCCTTGAGGGCGCAGATCATTTTGTAGATTGTTGCATTGTGTAAGTTGGCAGAGTTTGGGAACAGAGGCTCAGGGAGGTTGGGAGACTGGCTCAGAGCCATACAGCAAGCAGAGCAGCGTGGACCCACCTAGGGTTGCAACCCAAGGTGGATCCACACTGCTTACCCACCTGCCACTCGGTAGCACCTGTGCCTGCCGTTTGCCCATTTCCGGGGTCCGTTGGGGTTGGTGCTGTCTGGTGTTATCGTCAGTGCCTACTGAAGCTGGGAGAGGAGTGTGTGTGTGTGGTGTCATTTCCTGCTGTTTTCTTGATTACAGGGACCAAGTGTGTTCTCGTCCAACAACACCCTCATCTAACAGACTCTGAGAGTTCCGTGTTCCAGGGTGTGTGGTTCAGTCCATTCAGTGTGTTCTGAGTCCCTGTAGCTGTGGTGGGCTGAAGAGCATGGGCTCTGCACCAGTGGGCCCTGCAATCAAGCCCTGAGTCGGCCATCTATTAGTTGTGTGACCTTGGGAGAGCCACTCAGCTGCTTTGTCCCTCAGTTTTCTCACTTGTAAAATGGGGTTGATAATAACAACATATCCCTAGTGGTGAGGGTTAAATGAGATGATGCCTGTGAGTCAGCCAAGGCCTGTCACACTGCATGTGGTGGGTGTGGCCATCACAGTGTTCCAGGCACTGTGCATAGGGCTAGGGGCACAGAGATAAAAGTTACATTGTTTCTGCCCTCAAGGTATTCACAGATAGGTAAAGACACAAACAATAACAAGAGGCGGTCCAGAGGAAGAAGGGATTAGTGATCAACTCTCAACTCTTGGCGTGGTAGGGAGGTAGCTGGGGAAGGCTTCCTGGAAGAGGCGATGTCTTTTAAAAAATGAATGGAAGTCAGAAAGACAGGATTTGGAGCATTCCAGGTATAGCAGATGCAAAGACCTGGAGGTGTGAAAAGAACTTGATGTTGAGAAACCAAAGGAGTTTCGAGGGACTGGGAAGCAAAGCTCCAGATGTTGGTGGGAGAAAAGATGGGCAGAGACCAGGACCTGGGAAAGATTTTTTTAAAAAACTTCTATCCAAACATGCCGAGTGGACATATAAGTGCCAGCTCCGTGAATTTTCACAGACTGATCACACCTGACCAATAGCAGGGCCTGCGGAAAGTTGCTATCACATGACGATGCTCAAGCCTGTCACGTGAGAGTGCTCATTGCCTGTGGGTCTGGGGTGCTGTATGCAGAGTGGTTTCAAAGGGAAAGCAGGAGGGCAGGGGATATGTTTTAGCTGAAAAGAACATTTCATTGAGTTTTGGAGAGCAGGAAGGGCATTTCATCTGGGTGAATGGTGCTCTGAAACAATCAGACTTGAACCTAGCCCGGTCCCTTTGGGTTTAAGAGGTGGCCCTCAGGCATGACCCATGCCCACTCTGCCTATCCCCAGGGGTCAGGCTCCAGCCTAGAGGCAGTGGACAGGTTGCCAGACTGATACCAATTGTGGCCAGCACCACCCTGCCATTTCCAACTCAGAAATGGGTGGGGGAGAAGGAGCATTCAGCTCCAGTTCCAAACGGATGGTATTTACTACTCACATCAATCCCTCGCCATGTGTCTTTTTAGCTTTGACCAACCAAAGGGAAAAGAAATGCCTTCCTTTCCTAACACCTCCTGAGTATCTTACAGAAGGACCCATTCTTCCTGGGCTGGGTAGAGGTGTGAGGGGGGGTCGGCAGGAGTGATGGGGGTGACTAGAGCAGTCCTGGGGGAACAGACAGCTGAAGGAGGGCCCAGCCAACCTGTGTCTGCCAAGAAGCAATGCGGGATGGTGGGCAGTGTGCCAGAGTGGTTTCTAGGCTCAGCTGTGCCCTTTTCCTGCCATGTGACCACAGGCAAATTCCTCACCTCTCTAGTCTCAGTTTGCTCAGCTGTATATTGGGTCCACTGGGTCACTGATCTCAGGGGCTCCTTGGTGCTAATGTGTTCCAGGCTGTAAGTACCAGCTCCCAGGCCTTGGGGTGGGGAGTAGTCAAAGAGCTAGGGCTTCTCTCCTGGGGCATCTTAGCTTCTCCCGTCGTTGGCCAAAAGCAAAACTGTGGCATGGAACAAAGTCATGAGGAGGGAGGGGATGGGTGTCTTGGACCTCCACCCCTCCATCCCAAGGCACTAAAGCTTGGGGGCTGCAGTGGGGATATACTTGCAAAGTCCAGAGAGGGCAACTGACTCATCAGAGGTAACAGAGCTTTTAGACTCCCCATGGCCTCAGACAAAGGACTTCAGGGCTATTGTGTTTCCTGAGTGTGGGCTTTTGAATGACAAGTCAATGTACTGAACATTTATTATTCAGAACTTACTGCAGCTGGGTGTGGTGGCTTGTGCCTGTAATCCCAGGCTGAGGCAGGAGGATTGCTTGAACCTGGGAGTTTGAGACCAGCCGGGGGCAACATAGCAAGACCCCTACCTCTTAAAAAAATTTAAAAATTGGCTGGCCATGGTGGCACACACCTGTAGTCCCAGCCACTGAGGTAGGAGGATCACTTGAGCTCAGGAGTTGGAGGCTATAGTGAGCTGTGATCGCACCACTGCACTCTGATCCAACCTGAGCAACAGAACAAGACCCTGTCTCTAAAAAAGTAAGAAACATAAAAATTAAAAACAAAGAAGAATTTATTATAAAAAGGGGGAAAAAAGAATCTACTACATGCCAGTGGCAGATGATAGAAAATGGAGAAAGACTGGACCTTCCCCTCTAGGAGCTGCTGGTCTAGAGGAGAGGCAGACAGCAAACAGACAGTGGTGACTGATCATGCTGAGTGCTGCCCTAGAGATGTGCTCAAAGCAGGGAACTCTGTTGGGGTGGGGATGGAGTATTCAGGGGGCATTCACCTTCACAGAGAAGGTGATTCTGAGTTGGGTTTTGTAGGATGACTAAGAGTTCACCAAGAGGACAACAGGCTATAGATAACCTTTCAAGTAGGAGGAACAGCTTGTGCAAAAGCAAGGAGGCATGCAGTTAATACCATATGTTCTAAGAGTTTGTGGCTAGAAAGTAAATAAGCGAGAGATGGAGGAATGGGGAAAGATGAATCCAGAGAGGCTGTCCTGAACACTAGAGGAATGAGCTGAAACAGCTGATCATGGTCATGGATACCAGGGAACCCTGGGATATACTTGGTCCTGAAGGACCTCATCTGGCTTCTAATACTGGGCCTAGCTCACAGCCAGGGAGTCATTGTGGAATGAATGAATGAATGAATGAATGAAAATGAATGAATGAATTTTTGCCTGGGGTAAAGAGATCCAGAGAGAGCCCTTAAAGACAGAAAGATCATCACACATATTTAATGATCACAGCTAACACAGAGTACCTGTGCCAGGTACTCTCTAAGTGCCATAAATATATTTATTCATGGGCTACTCCCAACCACTCTGAGGTAGCCACTTTTATTAGCCATATTAAAGGAAGAAGTAACAGGCTCAGAGAGGTTAAGTAACTTGCCCAAGGTCACCCAGCAAGAAAGCAATAGAGCTGAGATTGGAACCCAGGCAGTCTGTTGGGTTCCTCAGTGTCTGATAAGGCACCCTTGCTGGCCCTGGAAGATTCAGGACACAAACATGATTCTTGAGCTTCTGGGGCTTCTGTGTCCCTGGGTACCTGAGACTCAGCATGAACAATGATCACCCCAAGCCCCCCAGTGGCTCTGCTCATTGGGTGGTTGCTGAGTGGATAAATGAATGACGAGTGAGATGGCAGGTGGGTGGGTTTCTGAGGGGAGGCTGCTGGCGAGGCAGGGTGTCGGGTGCCTGTCCAGGGCTGGCTGCAGATGGCCCCTACCCCTCACTATACATTGGCGGCCTGCATCATCAGGGGAACCGGCAGGTTGTCTGAGGAGACCTTAAATTCCAGAAAATGTACTTGGTTGCGTCCAGCCTAATCACAACCATCTGCCTGCCGGGCTCTAGGGTCCCCCTCCTCCTATCCCCACTGGCATGCTTTCCCTGGGCGTCTGTAACAATCGGGAACTGCGCTCGAAAGTTTCCTTGTCAGGGTAGAGTGGCTGTTGCCAAGAGCTACTTCTTTGATGCAGAAAATATATCCTGAAGGCACTTTGTCAGATGTTTTTATATTAAACATTTTTCCTCCATGGCCCTTGGCTGCCAAGGGAAGCAGAGATGCATTGCTTTCCCAGTTGTCCTTTGTGGAAGGAATTCCTGATATTCATGGCCCGTTTCCCCATGCCCCCCAGTCAGGACCTGGCACCCCCTGCCAGAAAGGGTAAGACCTCGGGGCTGGCATCTCTGCAAAGCAGGAGCTGCTCTGGCCCCAGGGAGGGACCCTACCCTCACCATTTGGTAGCAGTTTCTAGATTTGGAAAAACAGAGGTCTCATGTCTGGAGCGGACATCAAAGCCACCATCCAGACTGCAAGGTGAATCATTGCCAAGACTTTAATTGATCTTTAAAAGGAGAGATGGGAGCTCACAGATAGGGATCTGGAAGTCATTTTGATCTCTTTGAGTTGTCCAGGGTAGTGCCAGTGCTGGACAGAGCAGGGAGAAGCTGGGCTGGGAGGCCTTCCATGCCAGGTGGGGAAGAAGGAGGGGAGGCCAGCTCTGTCACATGGGCTGAAATTGGGAGGGGCAGGGCACCATTTGGCTCCTCAGCAGCCATGGGAGACAGCTAAGGTGAGGGGCTTTGCTGGGCAGATGTCATCAGTGGGGAGCATTGGGAGAGGGGTTGGAGTGGGTACAGCTGTCTGACTCCAGCTTCCTTGGAGAAATGAGGTGAAATGGGGCACCCAGCAGGCACCGCTGCAGAACAGGTGGCCATGCTAGCCCCTCAGGGCCTGTGTCCTCCGAGTGTCCCAGGACTGGTTCTCCCCCACCTGCCACCCCTTCACTTACCTTCCTCAGTCCTCCTGCCCACTGCCTTATGTATGACATTCAGGGGAAATGTCCCTGGCCCTGCCACCCAGTGGCTGTGTGGTCTGCAAACCACACATCCACTCTGGACCTCAGGTTTGGCCCCTGAGGAGGCTACTGGGCCCGAGGGATGTGCAGGGTCACTCCCAGGCCCCTTCTCTGCACCTGCCCCCCACCCTGGGATCACTGGGGAGGAGGAGACACTGTTTCCAAAGTGAGGACTCTAGGCTGCTCCCTGAGGGCAGATGTTGGGAATGAGGCTTGGGGGACTTGGCTCTGAGGGCAGAGTCTGGTGTGTAGTAGGCGTTGGGGTTATGTTTGTGATTCACAGAGGGGTCCACTGCCCCTTCCCTCTGAGGGTTCAAAATAAAACAGGACAGACTGCACAGAGAGGCCAAGGCATCTCCACACCACCAGACTCTCTCAGCTGGGATTGTCTGTCTCAGGCCCAGGGAGACTCTGACTGGGGTTGGGGGGCTAGGTGATGAAATCTCTGGGGCTTCCTGTGCTGTTTGACTGAGAGGGAAGCCGAGGAGGGTGGAGAGAGGGCCCAGGCTCTTAAGTAGGCAGACCCTGTCTCCTGCTACCTGGCTGCCCAGCTGTCTTAGCTGCATTCTCCCTCACAGGGCGAAGGCCAGAGAGAGCTCAGAGGTTTCCTCTGAGTCTAAAGGTAGCACCACCCCTACCTGGGGGCCAGGAGGCCCAGCTCCTAGTCCTGACTCTGTTCCCTGTTTCTTGGTGGCCTCAAACTACTTCCACTTGGGCTTGTTCATGTATAAATGGGTCAGTTGGTCCAAATCATTGGTTCTCCACCCTCTTTGCACATCAATCCTGTGAAGAGTTTTGGAAAAGCTTAGACCCCATTCCAAAAATGGTTGGGGCTAGACTGGGCATTGGGATTTTTTTTTTTTTAAATTCCCCAGGTGACTCTAATGCGCAGCCTGGGCTAAGAACCCAAATCTAGATGGACCTGGAAGGATCGCAGAGCCCCCAGACTGTCTCCCACTCAAGGCAGGAGTCCTTTCTGTATCAGAGCCCCTGGCCGGTGCCTGATTACTTCTGGGCATAAGCATACATGGGATAAACAGCCTGTTCTTTTGTGAACTGTGCTGGCTCTTTTTTCTTCTTCTTCTTTTTTTTTTTTTTGAGACAGAGTCTCACTCACCATGTCACCCAGGCTGGAGTGCAGTGGCATGATCTCGGCTCACTGCAACCTCTGCCTGCCAGGTTCAAGTGATTCTCCTCTCTCAGCCTCCCGAGTAGCTGGGACTACAAGCGTGCGCCACCATGCCCGGCTAACTTTTGTATTTTTAGTAGAGATGGGGTTTCACCATGTTGGCCAGGCTGGTCTCGAACTCCTGGCCTCAAGTGATCCGCCTGGCTTGGCCTCCCAAAATGCTGAGATTACAGGTGTGAGCCACTGTGCCCAGCCATAAATGCTGTTTCTCCAATAAGTAGTGTGCCAGGGCGGCTGCCAGGGAGGCTGGGGTCAGAGCTGGGTTTGAAGGTGCAAGGTTTCACCAGGCTTAAGCAGGGAAAGGGCATCCCAGCTTAGGAAACTGTTGGGCAAAGGCAGGAAGATGTGAGGACACTTGTTCTGGGAATGGGGAGTGATTCTGGCAGGGCAGTAAGGAATGAGCCCCACAGGGAGAGGGCCTTGAATGCCACTTCAGGGAGGGCTGGACTTCTATCTGGTAGGTTAGGGATGGGCATCCCAGAAATCCTTTTAATTGATACACGGATGACTGTGGGCTTAGCGAATGGATTTATATGGCCCCAAAGTGTAGAGTTTTTTTGTTTGTTTAATGTAAACTTTTTACCAATACATAATACATGCAGAAAAGTGCAGATGTCACATGTGAACAATTTTCACAAAGTGAGCATTCTTTTTTTTTTTTAGAGATAGAGTGTTGCTCTTGTTGCCCAGGCTGGAGTGCAATGGCGCGATCTCCGCTCGCGGTAACCTCCGCCTCCTGGGTTCAAGCAATTCTCCTGCCTCAGCCTCCCCAAGTAGCTGGGATTACAGGCATGCACCACCACGCCCAGCTAATTTTGTATTTTTAGTAGAGATGGGGTTTCTCCATGTTGGTCAGGCTGGTCTTAAACTCCCGAACTCAGGTGATCCACCTGCCTTGGCCTCCCAAAGTGCTGGGATTACTGGCGTGAGCCACACCACGCCTGGCCAAAGTGAGCTTTCTTGTGTCACTATAGCCCAGATGAAGCAACAGACCATGACCTCAAAAGCCCCCTCTCATGTCCCCTTTCAGCCACTCCTCACTCCCCAAGTGTACCTCAGCTCTATCCTGACTTCTAACCCCATCGTGTAGTTTTCTGGTTTTTGAACCCGATGCACACAGAGGCATACCTTGTTGGCTTTTTGGAATATAGCTTCTTTAACTCAACAGAATATTCGTGGGATTCATCCTTTTGTTTTTTTTTTGTTTTTTGTTTTTTGAGGTGGAGTCTGGTTCTGTCGCCCAGGCTGGAATGCAGTGATGTGATCTCGGCTCACTGCAACCTCTGCCTCCCAGGTTCAAGCGATTCTCCTGCCTCAGCCTCCTGAGTAGCTGAGATTACAGGAGCATGCCACCACACCCAGCTAATTTTTGTATTTTTAGTAGAGATGGGGTTTCCCCATGTTGGTCAGGCTGGTCTCGAACTCCTGACCTCGTGATCTGCCCGCCTCGGCCTCGCAAAGCGCTGGGATTACAGGTGTGAGCCACTACACCTGGCCTCATCCATATTGTTGTTGTGTATTGCCGATTGCTCATTCTCACTGCCAGATAATATTCTGTGGGAATGGACTGTGATTCTACTAGTCTAACATATCCATTCTATTACTGATGGTTTCCAGTTATTGATAGTGCCCAGCTTTTGGTTTCTACCCATGATGTTACAATCAATACCTTATACCAGCCTTTTTGAGGACACAAGGTCATACTTCTCTTGGGTACATACCTGGGAGTGGAATTGCTGAGCTCTACATTATATGTGTGGTCAGCCTTATTAGATACTGTGCCAGACTGTTTTCCAAGACCACAGCGTTTTAGTCAGAAGCCCCTCTAGAGGGGATTTGGTTCATTTACCCTCTTACAGATGGGGCCCTGAGAGGGGCAGTGCCTGTGCTTGGTCCCCAGTTCCCAAGTGGCAGAGCTCGGCCTAGAGCAGGATCTCCCCTCTCTGCGTCCAGGACCTCTGCCCACACGGAGGTGGTGGCCATCCTGCTACTCAGACAAAACTGAGTCCTGTCCCCCTGCGTCTCCCTGCATCTCCCTGCATCCCCCGGCACCCCTGAGGCCGGATTTTAAGCTCCATAATGTCCTTTCCTAAGGCCCTGGGCAGTGCACTCTGGGAAAAACAAAAAGGAGAAAAGAGTGAAAGGAAACTAAACATTGGAAAAGAAGTGTGTTTCCAATAAACTGGGCCTTTCACCGGTAGCCAAAACATTACATTCCTGTACCCCGGGAGCAGCCGGCCGGGTCTGCCTCTCTGGGCTGTAAATCTTGCTGGGAGTTGGGTCAAGATTGTCCCCAGGACACACAGACGGGCAGTGTCCTTTGGGGCTTTGGATCCTTGGATTTCAGGGTGACAGCGTGGTGTTTTCAGCCGGTTGGCTGGGCCCCAGGCGAGGGGGCGCCGGGCCCCTCTGACAGCGTGGACTCCCAGGCCCTTCTGAGGGAGCACTGTGTGAGTTACCGTAAGGGATTTTCTTCCCTGGCCCGCCCCCTCCCTTTCTTGGGTGCTTTGATGGGTTTGAGGTGTTTATAGGCTTGATTCACGACCGAGTTACCAGGGTTTTCCACGGAAATAACTTATTAAAGGGGCCGTGCACACAGCGACATTGAAGTCTGGAGAGTGGTGTGCATCAAAGGCGGCACCGCGGCCGGGCCAGTCAGCATTTCGCTGAGCCCTCTGCTCCAGACGAGGGCCTGGGCCCGCAGAAGGGGCGGGGAGGGGGTGGGCCTGGGCTGCAGGAAAAACACTTGGGCTTAAGAAAACACTCGCCAGACAAACTCAAATTCAGGTCCATGGAAAAAGAAGGTGGGGAGGGAGTTAAAGCCCGAGATCCCAGACCAGCCCTCCGTCAGACCCTCTTGCCCAGATGCGGGGACACATGTGGGTGCCCCGCTGATGCATGGTGTGCGGATTCTCTGTTTTCACTCCTGCACCTCTCCTTGGTGCAGGGCTGTTCCTTGGAAGGAAATGCCAAGGATGCGGATTGCCCACTGTCTTTTGACAGGGATGGATGGAGGGATAGGCTGGGTCATTGGGGAGAAGTTGGGGTAGAGGGATTTGCTGGTTCCTCTCTTTCTGACAGCTTCTTTTCTTTGATTTTGTTACATCTGATTTGTCGGTAAGGTTCATGAAAAGCCTTCCTTCTCCAGGAAGCCTTCAGGGATTGCACAGCCCACAGTGGCCTCTCTCTTCTGAACCTTCAGTGGCTTTCATCTCTATACTGCTCCCTTGTAGTGCATTGAATTTGCATTGAGTTTATCTGCTGGCCCAGTCAGACTGTGAGTGACTTTTGGGCAGGACCTTGGTCTGCATTTGTGTCTTGAGGTTGTAACCAGGAAACTGGTGGCCCTGGCGCCTAGCATGGCCCACCTCATGCAGGAGGACATGGTGTGGAGTCATTACCCATGAGTCAGTCCTGGCTTTTTCATAGTAATAATGACAACAGCAGTAGGAGTAGTAATAACAGTGGCTAAAAGATGAGTACAAAACAGATGGCAGACACTGTGCTGTTTCTTGTTCCTTAAGCTTATTTAGTCCTACCAACAAGACGAGTTCTATTGTAACTTATCTCCACTTGATAGATGAAAAAACTGAGGCTCAGAGGGGAGAGGTAATTTGCCCAGTGGCACCAAGCTGGTAAATACAGAGCTGGGGTTTGAACCCAGGCCTGCCTGCCTCCAGAGCTTGTGTCCTTGGATGAGTCACTTTATTTTCTGGGCCAGAATGGTTGTCACATTCTATCAGTGAGCTCAGAGACTGGGTGGAGAAATGAGAAGCCCTCATGAGGCTGTGTAGAGCTTGTTGTTTTTGTTTTGGTTTATTAAGATAAAATCAACATACAGTAAAATTTTGTGGAAGTGTATTATTATATGAATTTTTATAATTATGTAACCATTATTGCACAATCAAGATAGAGAACATTTCTATTACCCTTAAAAGTTCCTTGGTGAGGCCGGGCGCGGTGGCTCATGCCTGTTATCCCAGCACTTTGGGAGGCCGAGGCGGGCGGATCACGAGGTCAGGAGATCGAGACCACCCCGGCTAAAACGGTGAAACCCCGTCTCTACTAAAAATACAAAAAATTAGCCGGGCGTAGTGGCGGGCGCCTGTAGTCCCAGCTACTTGGGAGGCTGAGGCAGGAGAATGGCGTGAACCCGGGAGGCGGAGCTTGCAGTGAGCCGAGATCCCGCCACTGCACTCCAGCCTGGGCAACAGAGCGAGACTCCGTCTCAAAAAAAAAAAAAAAAAGTTCCTTGGTGAGTCTTTGTAGTCAGCCCAACCCCAACCCTGAGCTGCTGGCATTCAGCCATCTGATTTCTGTCTCTATAGTTTTGCTTTTTCCAGACCATCTTCCAAATGTAATTATATAGCAAATAGCCCTTTGTACCTTTTTTAAAACTAGTATACTGCTTTGAGATTCATCCATGTTGTTTCTTGGATGGACATTTGGGTTATTTCCAGTTTTTTTGGCTACAAAGGTTTGTGTTCAGATTTTTGTGTGAACATGGATTTCAGTTCACTTGAGTAAACGCCTAGGAGTAGGATTGCTGGGTATATGGTTGAAAGTACATATAACTTTACAACAGGCACTGCTTTCCGAAGTGGTTGTACCATTTTGCAATCCCAACAGCAGTATATGAGAATTCTAGTTACTCCATATCCTCCCCAGCACTTGATATGATCAGTTTGTTTTTATTTGAGTTATTCTAATCATAAGCGGTAGTATCTCATTGTGACTTTTTTTTTTTTTTTTTTGAGACAGAGTCTCGTGCCATCACCCAGGCTAGAGTGCAGTGGTGTGATCTTGGCTCACTGTAACCTCTGCCTCCCGGGTTCAAGTGATTCTTGTGTCTCAGCCTCTCGAGTAGCTGGGACTGCAGGCATGCGCCACCACACCCAGCTAATTTTTTGTATTTTTTGTAGAGGTGGGGTTTTACCATGTTGGCCAGGCTGGTCTTGAACTCTTGGTTTCAAGCGATCTGCCCACCTCAGCCAAAGTGCTGGGATTACAGACATGAGCCACCATGCCTGGCCTTGTGGTTTTAAATCACCTTCCTAATGATGAATGATGTTGGACATGTTTTCATGTGCTAACTTGCCATCTGTATATCTTCTTTGGTGAAGTGTCTGTTCAAATCTTTGCACTTCCCCTCCTCCCCCAAAGAAACAGCGTCTCACTCTGTCACCCAGGCTGGAGTACAGTGGTACAGCCATGGCTCACTGTAACCCTGAACTCCTGGCTCAAGTGATCCTCATGTCTCAGCCTCCCAAGTAGATGTGACTACAGCTGTGTCCCACTGTATCTGGCCAAGTTTTATTTTATTTTATATATTTTTCTAGAGACAGAGTCTTGCTATGTTGCCGAGGCTGGTCTCGAACTCCTGGCCTCAGATGATCCTCCTGTCTTGGCCTCCCATGGTGCTGGGATTGCAGGTGTGAGCCATCTCACCTGGCCAATTTTTAAATATTGGGTTGTTTGTTTTCTTATTATTGAATTTTGAGGGTTCTTTACATATTCTAGTTAGCAGCCATTTAAAATATATGTGTTTTGCAAGTATTTCCTCTCAGTCTGTGTCTTGTCTTTTTTTAAATGAAGTCTTTTGAAGGTTTTAATTTTGCTGAAATTCAATTTATCAGTTGTTTCTTTTCATGCTTTTTATGTCAGTTATATGAATAATTCTGCCAAACCCAAGGACAGAAATTTTTTTTTTATGTTTTCTTCTAGAAGTTTTATAGTTTTAGGTTTTACATTTAGGTTTATAATCCATGTTGAGTTAATTTTTTATAAGGTATAAATATGAGTCTAGGTTCTTTTTTTTCATATAGAGGTTGTTCTATTATTGTATCATTTGTTGAAACGACTACTCTTTTCTTTTTGAATTAACTTTGTCTAAAATAGTTGATATATATGTGTGGTTCTCTTTCTGGATTCTTAACTTTGTCCCATGGTCTACGTGTCTATCCTTTTACCAATACTGCACTGTCTTGGTTGCTGTAGCTTATTATAGTAAGTTTTGAAATCAGGTCATGTGAGTCTTTTGTCTTTTTCAAAGTTGTTTTGGCTAGTCTAGGCATTTGCATATGTATATAAATTTTAGAATTAGCTGTTGATTTCTACAAAAAAGGCCTGCTAGGGTTTTGATTGGGATTGCATTGAATCTGTTGATGAATTTGAGCATCATTGTCATTTTGACAATATTGGTTCTTATAGTCAATGAACATAATATATCTCTCCATATATTTAGGTCTTTGATTTTTCTCATCAATGATTTGTAGTTTTCAACACACAGATCTTGCACATTATTGTTAAACTTGTACTTAGGTAATTCATGTTTCTTGGTGTTATTGTAAATGTTACTTTTAAACATTCTCCAGTTATTTATTGCTAGTGTATAGAAATATAATTGATTTTTATATACTGACCATATATGCATAGGACTTTCATGGCTTGGATGCTTGGTGTTGAGTGTGTTTTTTCAGGGGAAGAGTTGTAAAGTGAAGAATTTATTTATTTCTTCTGGATTCCCAGAAACAAATGTGACACTTTGGGCAAGTTGCCTCAGCCTTTGGGTGTGAGTTTCTTGTCTGTAAAATGGAAGGCAATGGAGAAAACTGGATTCAAAGACCTGGTGAGGTCCCATCCCGCTTGGGCACTGATGTTCACATAAACTGCAGGATGGGAGATTTGGAGGAGAGCCGAGTCCTTGTCATGGGGAATCCTTTCCTCATTTTACAGAACTGACAGGGCAGGGCACTTGGCCTGCAGTTGCACAGAGGCTGATGAAAGGACAGGTCTCCTGTGCCCGAGCTGGGGTCCTGCACCCTGATTTGGACTGGGAAAGGCAACCCAGCATGGTGACTGGGAGGCGACTCCACAGCCGGGAGGGAGGGAGAGGCCGGAGAGGCGGCCATCAGTGCTTGCAGCCAGGAGGCCCAAGGCTCTTCCGGGAGCTCTGACCCTCAGGAGTGGCCAGTTCACATTTGGCTGTTTTCAGAGTAGAAAAGCACTGTGCTTGGAAATTCGGGTTTTGGCTGACCTCACCCCGCGGTACTGAGTGTGGAGTTTAAAGGCCTTTGTAACTCTTTGGTTTGGAACTGGGTTCTGGGCATGGCAAGGGGAAAACACTGGAACGCATTAATGCTCATTCCATTCGCCCTGCCTCTGGGAGAGGGAAGCAACCTCCTCTCCCTTGGTCACTGCAGACAGCTCGGGAAACTGAAGGGGGAACAGAGCAGGGAGCGGAGGTCGAGGGAGGGGAAGAGCCTTTTTAGTCGGAGAGGCCCTAGCCTGGCATTTATTTAACAGTGCCAGGAGCTGCTCTAAGTACTTGGCACTACCCTTTAGCTTTGACTTTTATGACACCCTATAAGTTATTTCATTTTACAGATAAAGAAACTGAGGCTCAGAGAGGTTTCACTTACTTACCAGAGTCACACAGATAGCAAGTGAAAGAGCTGCGATGAGAACCCAATTTTTCCCCAAACTCAAAAGCTGGTGTGATGGGAAGTGACTGTTTATTAGGTAGACGGCTTCCATTTAGGATGATGAAAAAGCTCTGGAACTAGATAGGGTGGTGGTTGTACAACATTGTGAATGTACTTAATGCCACTGAACTATGCACATTAAAACTATGTATGTTAAGTTGGTAAGTTTTATGTTATGTGTATTTTACCATATTTTTAAATAAAAGCTGTTGTGCCTTCCATGCTGCCTCCTGCCGTAGCAGGTTCCATGGCATGGTAGAGTGTGGACCCTCATGGCTGTGTCTCCCAGCAGGTAGGACCGCCCAGGGTCCCAGCAGAAGGGTGTGCGGGGGCTGTGGCCAGCAGAATAGCCACGGCCAGCTCGGCCTTTTCATGCCATCCCCTGCTTTTAGGATACAGAGAAACTCAGGCCCTGGCAGCGTCATGATGAGGATGCCAGGACACCATCCCAGAGCTCTTGGTCCACACAAAAGAGGTGGGACCTGAGGTGACCATGGCCTGCTGGCCACCAAAGCCACACCATAGTCCAGGGCTGGGTGGGAGCCAGAGTGGATGGCCGGGTGCCTGCCTATTTGGCCTCTGGTCTCTGTCCCTTGGCACTGTTGGGAGTTATGACTCTTTCCCCAACAAGAGCCTTCTCCTTTGGGAGGGCAATCAGGGAAGGAAGTCAAAACTTAACTGCCTGTATTTTTTTAGAGATGCATCATGAAGGATGTAGGGGGAAATGATGTGAGGTCCTTCAGCCAAAACAAACAAGCCAAACACCAAATAAAAGGGGCTAGATGAAGCAAGTGTGGCAAAAATCTTGATAACTGTTGAATCTGGGTGAGAGGTAGTTTAGGTTGGGTTCTTAGAAGCACAGCCTGAGATGGGATTCAGATGCACAAAGTTTATTGGGGGGCGTGTTCTCAGAAGAAAGGAATGAGGGGAGCATGATGGGGCAGCAAGAATGTGGTCTCCACTGGAGTCCAGCTCAGCCTGATCCCTGGGGACGTGGAGAGGGAACTGCTCCTCTGAATGGTCACACTTTGAGGTGTGGGGCCCAGCCCTTTGTTCCATGTCAGTTGGTCATTGGCTGTAGGCAGACAAGCAGGCACGTGTGCATGCACACACACATACACACACCCCACATTGGAGGGAGGCATCATTGCCTGACCCAGGACAATTCTCCCGATAAAGGGACATCTGTGAGCCATTGCCCCAAAACTCCCAGTAGCTAGAGGCGAAGAGGACCTGGACAGGGTGTGTCACGGTATCCGCGACATGGGTGTATGGGGGTTTATTGTTACTATTCTTTCACTTTTGGTGATGCTTGAAATTTTTCCTAAAAAATAAAAAACCTCTACTAGAACAAAGTTCTGAGGAGGATGGAAGCAAAGCCACCCACGGAGTGCTGGCCGTATGCCAAGCATCTTGCTGCCTTCTTCCATCTCGGTGATTTCACCGATACCAATGGGGAAATTAAACTCAGGAAAGTTAAAGGACCAGCTCTAGGTGTAGGGTTGCCAGATTTAGCAAAAACAAACAAAAAACAGGATGCCCATTTATATTTGAATTTCAGAATACAATGAAAAAAGTTTCACATGAGTTGTAGCGTGATGTGTCCCATCCAATACTGGGGACATACGCATACTAAAAAGTGATTTGCTGTTTATCAGAAACTCAGATTTTAACTGGGCGTCCTATATTTTGTCTGATAACACTACCTAGGTTACACATCTTGTAAATGGTGGAGCTAAGATTCGTAGTGAGGTGGGGCTGACCCCGAAGCTTATGTTTTTCACCCCTGATGGGTACAGCACTAACAAAAGGTTTTTGGAGGCATTCTCTCACCAGGGCCTCATGAGGGTGCTGCCTGACAGCAGAGCCTATTAGGATCATTCGGACAGCTTTGAAAAAATATTGATGCCTGGGCTCCACCCCAGACCAGTTACATCAGAGTCCCTGTTAGACACTCTCCCCTTCCCCCTCAGTTCCTTCTCTTTTTTTTTTTTGAGATGGAATCTCGCTCTGGCACCAGAGCGGAGTGTAGTGGTGTGATCTTGGCTCACTGCAACCTCTGCCCCACCCTGGGTTCAAGTGATTCTCCTGCCTCAGCCTCCTGAGTAGTTGGGATTACAGGCATCCGCCACCACGCCCAGCTAATTTTTGTATTTTTAGTAGAGACGGGGTTTCACCATGTTGGCCAGGATGGTCTCAATCTCTCGACCTCATGATCCACCCACCTCGGCCTCCCAAAGTGCTGGGATTACAGGCATGAGCCGCTGCACCTGGCTCCCTCAGTTCCTTTTTAAAGCTCTGCAGGTGAATCTAACATGCACCCAGGGCCAAGGATCATCGGCCTGGGCCTCCAGCTCTCATTGTTCATGAATTTGGGAAGGAATAAACCAAGGGGGAAGGCAGAGAGCACAGGTCTCCGGAGGAGCTGGCATCACTTCTCTTTTCAGCATCCTCCCCGGGTCCCTGCCTCCAGCAGGCCCAGGGTCAGCCTGGCACACAGGCTCTGCCCCAAACTGCCTGCATGCTAGGCTTCTTCACAGCCTTTGCCAGTCCCTCTACTTGGAATGCCCTGCCAGGCTGGTTTTACCCATCTGGCTGGCTCCTCCTGTTCCTTCTGAAGGTCCCACACATATCACCTCTCTCTGGAGCCTGACCCCACAGCAGAGCTGGCCACCCCATCCTTCATTGACTCATGGCACAGGCTTCAGGAGTAGCACTCTGCTAGCAGAAGTGAGCGCGGGTCGGCTCACCCACTTTGCTGCTAGCTCAGTACTTCTCCACCTCCGACGGTAGTGCCTGGCATGGTGTAGGCACTTGGCACATGGGTGTTGAATTGGAGGAAGGAGGAAGGGTTTTGTTGGGTGAGTGGGGTCCCGTCTTTCCTCCTCACCCCATTGGCCCTGGAGAGATCCCCCTTTCCCACCACTTCCTCCTTGGCATATAAGTTCTGTTTGCCTGGAGCCTAGGCCCTTTGCAGCCCAAAGGTAAACAGGTTTATAACGACTTTAGAGAAAAAGGAAAAAAAAAAAAGCAAGTGAGCCAGGAAGTCATGCAATTCCAGCTTCAGGCCTGGGGAGGTGGAAAAAGGCCCGTGTGGCAAACCCAGAGCCTGGGACCCAAGCCCCAGTGACGCGGAGCTGAGCCTCCACTTCCCAGAACTTCACTCTGGATAAACATGGAAGTGAGGAGTGCCGCCTCCTCCCTTCTGAAATAGGGTTGGGAGGAGGAGAAGGGTGAGGACCCTGGTTAGGAGAGGGAACCCTGGGGTACCTGCTCTATGGTAATAATAAAAAGGCTGATACAATTGACTCTCTGGACTATTTTTGAGTGTTCAGTTCAGTGGCGTCAAGGACATTTACATTGCTATGCTACCATCACCACCATCTATCCACAGAACTCTTTGAATCTTGCAAAGGGAGAATGGCTTTGTAAAGCCTCATATTTTATCCTGTGGAAAATGTACACTGAGAGGCTATTTTTATACCAATAGCTGGGGACACAGATGAAGAAAACAGCCCCCTGCCCGTGGGAAGCTCCTACGCTTGTGGGCCAGGCAATCCCAGGACAGACAGGCCCATGGAGCCAGGGAAGGCTGCTCGAGGGAGGATGGTGAAGCACAGCTGGAGGTGTGCAGCGGGTGCATACTCCAGGCTTAGCTCCGAACAGGACACTGGGGCTGTGCACACGTGCCACTCTCATACACGAATCTGTTCGTGTCACTGTGGACATGGCAGGGGGTTGTGAGAGGAGTGTCAACGATCCTCCAGGAAGTTTGGAAAATAGAAAAATATTGCCTGTTCCACAACCGCCATGCCCAGTTTCCTTTCTGTCCTTCAATTTCTTGTCTCATGCACATATTTCCACTTGATCACAGCCCAGTGGCAGAGAAGATAACATTTTCCTCTCTGCCCTCCTCACCTTACGTCACATTAAACACTTTTCCATGTTGCACCCAGGCTTCCAAATGTCTACGAATAACCCTGCTTTGTCCAGGGAGCGTGTCTGCCATGAATTCCCCTCCAAGCGACAGGGTGGGTGTGGGAGTGGCTGTGTCGGGGGCCAGAGAGCGGGTTCTGATGGGTGGGCTGAAATGGAGGAGGGATGCTTTGGCAGTTTGAGGGCATCTATCTGGAGCAAGGTCATGGATGGTGGAGGCCGAGACTGTGTAGGTGGTATCTTTGAGTCACTGCAGTGCATTCACAGGCGTCCTTCTCTGGGTCCTGTATCACCTGAGAGTAGCTAAGGCCCTCATCTGGCTGCAAATGGGACCCGGGTGTGGATCGTGCTGTCCTGCAGCCTTTTGGACACTAGAGGTGACCAGTGAATGTTTAGCATTATGTGTCCATCTTCCCAGGGCTCTAAGAGAGGAACCTTACCCAGGCCTTCTTTTTCTTCTTCTTTTTTTTTTTTTTTTATTGAGACGGAGTCTTGCCCTGTCACCCAGGCTGGAGTGCAATAGTGCAGTCTCGGCTCACTGCAACCTCCGCCTCCCAGGTTCAAGTGATTCTCCTGCCTCAGCCTCCCAAGTAGCTAGGATTACAGGCACCTGCCATCACGCCTGGCTAATTTTTGTATTTTTAGTAGAGACGGGGTTTTACCATGTTGGCCAGGCTGATCTAGAACTCCTGACCTCGTGATCTGCCCACCTTGGCCTCCCAAAGTGCTGGGATTACAGATGTGAGCCACCGTGCCTGGCCTTACCCAGGCCTTCTAACTGCCAACACAGAGCCCCTTCTGTCCCACATGGAGCACGGGTGGGCAGGCAGGCCGTCAAGAGCCACTCAGGGACTGCAGGTGTGCATTGTTAAGAGCCCTTGGTGAGGGGTGCAGAAGGTGTTGGCGGAGGGGAGGGGGCACGGGGCTGGCAGTGGCATCTTTGTGGTTTGCTTTAAATATACCTATTTGCTCTTGTTTTGCAAAGAAGCATGTGGCATATTAGGGAAAACTTGTACCTATTTGCTCTTGTTTTGCAAAGAAGCATGTGGCATATTAGGGAAAACTTGGAAAGCTGAGAAAAGTGCAAAGAGATGCGGGGAGGGAAATCCCATAATCTGACTGTCCAGAGATAACCACTGTTAACATTTTGCTGTATTCTGTTTAAATTAAAAGAAAAATTTTAATTAGTTTTTTTAAGAGATGGGCCTCGCTTTGTTGCCCAGGGTAGCCTCGAACTATGAGGCTCCAGCGCTCCTCCCACCTCAGCCTTCCGAGTAGCTGGGACCACAGGAACGCACCACTGCACCTGGCTGTTATGTTAAAAAATACAGTTTTGCGTCCTGCCTTTTCTCCTCAGCATTACGTAAATATTTTCCTGTGTCATTAACATTCTTCATAAACATTGTTTTTGATGGCTGCGTTCTATTCTGGTCTATGGATCTACTAGGGCTGAGTTCTTAGCTTGTGAGTTGGACACCTGGTCTCCCAGGTGGGAGAAAGAGCCCCAGCTGGGAGGTGGGGTCTGCCCACATGGCAGGCCGTGGCACTCACCCTGGCAGTCCTCCCCTGTGCATTCCTGGCTATGCTACATCCTGCCCAGTCCTGTGGACATCCAGCATTATCCATTCCCCTCTTTGAGCTTCTGCAGCCCTGGGCATGAATTGAAGGCTCTTTCAGGAAGCCTTCTCTAGTCACCCAGCTTGGTGTGGCCAGTGGGTATTTGCCATCCTCTCTGAACTCCCGAGAAGGAGACACATCTGATCCTTAGTACATGCTGGCGAGATGGCATGGTGGGATCGATCCTGCCATGTTTGGCCTCTTTTTCTTGATTTCTTTGCAGAGCCTGGCTTTAGAGTAACACTTTGCCATTCACTAGCTGTGTGACCTTGGGCAAATTCTTCAACCTCTCTGAGTCTTGGTGTTTCTTCTGTAAAATAAGGGTTGTAAAATAGTGGACCGTTTGCCTGGTTCTTGTGAAAACCAAGAGATTATATGCCAGGTGCTGAGTACTGTGCTAGGGACATGTTGGGTGCTTGATAAGGGATGGGGGTTATTCTGAGTGTCAGCGGTGGGACTGTTTTATCCTGCCATCTCCCCTTTCACCCACAGGAATGAGCAGCCCAGTGGGTAAAGGTTGGCCAGAACTATAGTTGACTCAACTACAGTTGAGTGAATGATCTTTGCTTGCTTTTCTTCCTCCCACACTTTGGTTGGGGAAACTGAGGCCACCCTGAAGTTCCCACCTACACCTCATGACTTTCTGAGATCCCTGGAGGGTGGCTTAGGAAATGTCTTTGGAGATTTGGGAACACACTGGATACATCAGTTGGTGAGCCAGGGAAATTAGCAGGAACGAGCTCATTTCGATAGCAATGAGCTGAGTCTCCCTCCAGCTGCCAGACATTTACGAGGCTGGCTGGGTGCCGGCGGCCGGAGGCCTCCAATGGCCCTCATCCCTCTGCCTTCCGGCTGGAAATAATTCGTGTTTAAAAAATAACAATAATAAAAAAAAAATCTCCATCTTCTCTGGCCTTCTGGTTTCTTTGGGCCCAGGTGGGGAGATGGTGGATGCCTTTGCCCTGTAAGCAGCTCTCTGTTCAGGGCAACCAGACAAGAAAGGCCATCCCTGGCCCTCCCCAACCCTCCCTCATCTGCCAGAAGATTGGGCTACTATACCCCATTTGAGGTGGTTTGCCTCAAACCCCACCCTCAAATCCATCACGTTTGAGGTGGATTGCCGAGGGGCTTCGCCTCTGTAGCAGACCCTGCTCTTAGGTGGGGAAGGTTTGTGTTTCATTAGGCTCCTACAGGAACTTTGGGTCCTTTTCCTGCTCCTGGCCTCAGTTTCTCCATCTGTAAAATGAGGAGGAGGTGGGTGGGAGGACATATAACTTGTAGACCCAATGTTATATGGAAACTAGGGTCCTGGGATTGAGAGTTTTTAACCCTGACTGGGAACCATCATCCCTGCAGCATGTGTTAAATGCAGGTTCCTGGGCTCAGGCTCACTAATCAGAGAATCTCTAGGGTAGGGCCTCTGAGTGTACATTTTTGGGGCAATTTAGAAAAGGGAGATTAAATGCACAGAACTCCATTTTGAAGTACACAGTTCAGTGGTTTTTAGTATATTTGCAACATTCTGCAGCTGTCACCACTCCCTCACTCAAATGCCCCGAGAGATTCCAATTGCTGCCGGTCCCTCCGGGCAGCCCTACAGGTGCATGTCCTGAGGCATTGACTTGGACCCTTATGTACAGAGGCTACTGAGGCTGCAAGGCCGCTCTCCTGGTTGGGGTTCCCTGCTGACAGCATCAGGTTTTCAGGCCCTTTATGAGTGAAGATGAGAACTTTCTGAGAGGAGGAAGCCAGACTGGGGGAGAGATTGCCCTGTTTCCCTGCAACTTTCCAGGGCAGCGGAGGTCTTGCTGCCTTTCCCTGTCCCCAGTGCCCCACACACTGTGAGCAGGCGGGTAGTCACTTACTCAGAGCTAGTGACCTTTTAAGCCTCAGCATATGGAATTCTTGTGGCAATTTGAGCATCTTACAGCCACGACACAGGTACAGTGGTGGCTCCGCACCCTGGAGAAGCCCCTCTCCCCTTTCTCAGCCTACTTCTCATGGGAGTCAGCATCCCCTCACCGCCCTGAGCGCGTGCCCTCTGGTCCTTATAATCCCACCAATGTCTGGTTTCCCTCAGAGCAACTTGGGGTACCTGGAAGCTTCACCCCTAACAGACAGGCCTCTGTGAGGGTCACAGTCTTAGGGCGCGGGAACAAGTTACTTTCATTCCACCTTGTCAATGAAAGGGATGGGCTTCTTCCCAGTGCGCCTGCCCTGGCTGAGGGTGTGTCTGGTGGTCTTGGCCAGGACACTCACCCTTGGGTCTCCCTGGCAGTGAGACCCTGTACAAGATCCTCTGCAGCCTCAATGTTTGTGGTCTTGAGGCCCCATGAGGTCTAGCCAGCCCCTCTGGACCGTAATTGGTCGCTCTGAAAATGGGATTCAGCCACAATTGACCCCATTTTTGGGAAGGAGTAGCTGATTGGCTACGTACTCCCTCATAATGAAGCTCATGGCTCTCAGGGTCACCACCAGCATTTCTGACCCTGTCCACAATCAGCACCCATTCCCAGGCCCCGAGCTGTCCTTAAGGAAGCCAGGGAGGTTGGTGGACGTTGCCTTTGCTTAGACTGCCCGCTGCGCTCCCTGGCCTGAGGCCTGGCTTTGTTTCTGGGCTTGGGTGCTCTTACTGGGTTCTTCCCTTAATCTTCAGCCCCAAAATCTTCTCCCTAGAGTCCCCCACCTGGAGTCCAGCATTCCAGAACAGCTGCCCTTCCACAGTTAGCATGTGGTGGTGGTCCGTGCCCTGACCGTGTGACCGTTCCCTCTGTGGGCCTCAGTTTCCCCCTCTGTCAAATAACAGGTCCTTTATAGCCCCGCCCTGCCATGTGTCACCCTGCCCTTGATGTGGCAGCTGCCCAGGGAAGGTGTAGTGAATGGATGGATGCTCCCACCAGCCAGAGACCCCTCCGGTACCTTTTTCCTCGTGGGATCCTGAGAGCTCCCTGCAGTTTGCAGTGAGAGTGGCAGCTGAGTTTTCTTTCTAAGAAGAAGGGTGGCTCTGGGCTGGGTAGTTATCTCCCAGGGCACCCCCCAATAAGCCAGTCTCACAAGGCTGACTCGGACTGCATTCTCTTGGAGTAGCTGAGCTTGAATGGTGAGGAGGGCCCTCTGGGCTGGCATGGAGTCGGTTTCTGCATCTGTAAAATGGGTACATACCTGAAAAAGCTTTTGTGAGTGTAAAATGAGATCACGTATGCCCATACCTCGTCACTGATGCCCTCATTATATAGAAAAGAGGCTCTCAGAGATATTAAATGGCTTGTTCATCCAGCCAGTTAGTGAAGGAGCTGGGCCCAAGCCCTACCTCAATAGCATTTCCTCTTTCCTTTTTTTTTTTAAAAAGCAGTACGTGATTCATGTGGATCATTTAGAAAACAAGAAAAGCACAAAGGAAAAACAAATTACCCTTAATGCTACCACCCTAAAAGAAAATAATTATATTATTCTTCTTAAAATTATTTGGATGTTATTTTTCCTGTCATCCTTTTTCTTTGCAAAATATGGGAAGTAGAAATGGTCTCTATGCAGCCAAATGAAAAAGTTCATATAGCTGTTTTGTAGCTCTTTTCTCTTAGCAATACTGAAAACATTGTCTTCAATTCAACACATAGTCTGTGATTTTTGATGGCTGCTTAGTATTCCATGCCATATTTACTTAACCAATCCCCCAGGGCTGGATATTTAGGTTGTTGCAGTGACTTTTTTTTTTTAAAAGAAACTATCATAAAACATTGCCGCTTGGTGAGCATCTTATGTCTTTGTGCACATCATTGGTGACTTCCTTAGGATATGTTCCTAGAAGTGGGATTGCCAGGTCAAAGGCCACACACATTTAAGGTCAGAGTGCCCTCCGGAAAGGCTGTATCCGTTTTCTCTCTCAGCTGCCCTGGAGGAGAGGGCCGGGATCCTGTAACTCACAACCCTTTGCTATTTCCAAACCACGAGCCCAGAAAGAGTCGAAAAAACAAAAACCGCGGCTCTGGGAGCGACTTCCTGCCAGAGGAAGGGAGGCATTTGGTAAATAGTCCACTCCCAGTTTTTGAGTGAATGCTGTGTGGCCTGCCTCGGGCCAGGCCATCTGGGAATGCACTAAAGAGTAGAGACCAGGTCTGTGTCCTCAGGCGGCTTCCATGTGCCTCAAGGGGGAAGATAACACGTGTCAGGACACCTGGCAAACACCTGGAAGGCCACCGGATCCCAAGTCCAGGCTGAGGGTGGGGCCATGGCCACCACTTCCACTCCATCCACCTCCGTCTCTGGCACCTGCTCAGGGCCACGTGGACTAGACGTGCAGTGAATATTTGTTGAACAACAAAAAGCAGTGTGTTACCCACAGAAGCTGATTGTGAACTCCTTAAAGTAAGGTTTGAGTCTTGTTCATGGCTGGCTACACCCCCTAAGCCTAGAGCCGTGTTGTCATAAATACTTGGCCAAATGAACAAAGGCTCTGTGGGACCAATGAATCCAAGAACGTTGGTAGAGTGGTCTAGATCCCAGCAGGAAAGTGGGATAAGCCAGTGTGCTGCCCACAGCCCTCATCGCCAGTCCCTCTAGTGGGTGCTAGGAAGAACTGGGTGGGGAGTCTGGGCTGATTTCCTGTCCCCAGCTCCTATGGGACCTGGGCAATTGCCTGACTGAGCCTCAGTTTTCTTAAGGGACTAGACTTTGTTCTTGGGGGCTCCTTTCTGGTTCTTGCCAAGAATCTGGGTGCCTGTGGTCAAGATGGGGACTGGGAGAGGGTCAATTGCCAAGAATTTAGCCCTATGGGTCCAACAAGCCTGCCCCCCACCAGGTGACCTCTGGCCAGAGGGTGGCTGCTTTCCAGCCCAGGACCCTGCCCTCCCCAAAACCTCTTAGCAGGACCCTCCAAGGTGGCTGGTGGCACCCCCAGGGGGTATGGAAATAAGGTGATCCAACTCTTCCCTGGCTGCCCCTCTGTTTTGAATAAGGTTGTGGATTGTTTATTTGAAAGAAGAGAGGCCCCAGCCACACATCCTGCTTTTAAAATCCGGAGTTCTAGCTGAGCCCTCTAGGCCCTGAGCCCCCTACCCGCACTCCTACCCCAGGTCCCTCTTTCACAGCACCCCCACCCCAGCTGGCATGTCTTCTGCCTGGCAGCTCCAGATGCCCCTCCCCCAAGAGAGGACTCTCCTCACCCCGACCTGGCTTCCTGGGCCCCACTTTTAAACAGCTCTCAGTGGTCTTCTCGCTCCTGTTCTCTTCTACTCCTTTCCCTAAACTCCCCTTCCCCACGGGTCAAGGGGAAAAGGGCTTCCTACTCCAGGAGGACACTTTTACATTGGCACAAACACCCATCTTAGATGTTCTTTGTATTTTGGTGATCAGACTACTGAATCTATTTTGTTGATGAGGACACCAAGTGTTAGAAAAGTGATGCTGCTTGTGCAGGGTACGTGGCACAGCAGTGGCCTGGCATAAGACCCAGAGTCAGGCTCCCCCCCAAGCTCTGCCTCCGGCTTGCTGTGTGACCTTGGACAAGTCCCTTTCCCTCTCCGGGCCTCAGCTTGCTCACCCACAGAGTGAATGGGTGGGTGGTAGATGCTCTTTGAGTTCTTTCCACCTCTGTTTCTCTTTCTAGATAAGAACCACATGGTGTGAAGTGAGGAGGACCTTTCAATTCCTCTGTTTTCCCCTGAAGTCCTGTGGTACCCCCTCCCTCCCTTGTCCCCACTTCCCACAGCCAGTTCAGAGCCAGAGACAAAGGCCTGTTGCAGGCAGGTGTGGCCATTAGGGATGTGTACTAGTGCCTCGCTGGTGGGCCCGGATAAGAGGCCGAGGCTCCCCAAGCATCAGCCAGAGGGTGCTGGGGTTGGGGGAGATGGAGCAGGCTGGCACTGGGCTCACCAGCCTCTGCCCACCCCTTCTGGAGCTTCCCCAAGCCCTCCGATACAGGTGAGGGAAGGTTTCGTGATAAATGCTAGACTTGCTGAAAGGGACATGGCAGCTGTGCAACTTCGGTGACTCCTGTCCTATTAATCCTTTGTGAAGCGGGAGTTTTCTGGCCCCAGCAAAGCTGGAACCCTCAAAAGGCTGCATGACCCATAGGCTCTCCTCCTCCCTCCTGTGGGGCATGTGGGACGTGTGGGCTGGGACGTGTGGTTTAAAGGTCTGGAAGTTAAAGGTCTCCCTCCCTGGCGAGCCAGCTCTTTGTTCCACATCCTCAAGGACCCTGACTTCAGCCTATTGTTCCCCCTGCTGACACAGAGGCTCCAAGTTCCTCTCTGGATTTGCTCTAGGGGGGTGGGGGGTCCTGGTGTTGGCCGTGGAGGCTGGGGATTTGTGCATACCTGCTTATTAAAAGTCACTCACTCATTCAGAGAAAAATGCTGTTTTGAGACACCCTCTTGCATGTGGGAGGCTGAGACAGTGACTGCTGAGGTTTTTGTATCCTGAGTTTTGTCAAGCTGAGGCCTGGACACTTTTGGCTGTGGCTGATTTTGTGTCCCTGGTGGGCACGATAATCAAACTGCTCAGGTGACCAGGTAGGGTGAGGTTTGATTTGACAGCAGCTGGCAGAGGTAGTGCAGAGGGCTCGCTTCTGGACTTGAAGTTACAGTGACCCACAAGTGAATCCAGCAAGTCTCCCAGCTTCATGTGATTCACAGACCCTTCAAATCAGAGTTGACCATGGGGGAATAATTGAATCCCCCAGAGTTGGGGGCATGATCCAGGGCTCCAAAGGGTTAATCTTGTTTTGAAGTATTAATAAGGGAAGAGTATGTTTGAGTGACTTTCTGGGATATTGTGCTTTTGGACATTTAGTATGTCAGTTCTTGCTAGAATAGCACTAATACATAAATTTCTTCTGGCTTGATTTTCATTTTACAAAAATAATCCAACTAATCTAATTGATCCAGTTGATCTTCCCTGAGAGGATCCAGCCAGGAGGACAGAAATTCTTATCTCCACATGGCAAGTGGGGAAAATGAGGCTTGGCCAGAGGTTGCGTGGTTTGCTGTGTTTGCATGGCCAGGCCAGCGGGATATGGATGGGCCATGGGCCTCTGGCTGCCAAGGCCTGGCCTTCCCACCACACCTGCCCTTCCCCATGAGCGCCTTACCTGCCGGTGCTAAGGAGCCTGGCTTTGATTTGGACTGCCTCCGTCAGCAGGAGGCTCTGGCCAGACTCTGCTTCCCCGTGGGGAACTAAGCCTGCTCCTCCCGGCTGGTCTTTGTGGGCCCTGGCCCCCTTCTCTTCTGGGTGTTCCCTCAGGGCGTTCAGGGGCTTCATGGTCAGGAGGCTGGGAGATGCTGATTGCAGAGCCCGCCTGGCATTGGCACCACCCCATCTGCCTACTGGCATTGCTGCTTCTCACCTGAAGCTAATTCCCAGGTAGTTTTTAAGACTAGGTTAGCCTTCCTCGGACACTGACTCCACGGTTTCCCCCTTAGTCATACCTACCTAGGATAATTGGAAAATGAGGAGTGTAAATTTGATAGAGGTTGAACGAAACACCTGCCTTAGAATGCAGGGCCAATGCAAATGACTTGGGGATCACTGGACATCAGGGATTGTCTGTGGTGGTTACTTATGCTCTGGCCACCATTTCGTCAGGACTGACAGCAGCCATCTGTCCCTCGTAGGAACCCTTAATCCTTCCCATTCTCACCCCTGCAGAGATGGCCTAAAGTCTTCCCTGAGAGCCCTTTGCACCCCACTTCTCTTTCTCCGGCATGAGGCAGTGGCTGGGGGCGCACACAGCCACCCCCACGCCCTAACTTGCCCCATTGTAGCCAGACCACTCCTTCCAATCATGAGCCTCCCTGGGCTCCATAAATCATCCTAAGAGCACATTCCTTGGGGGATTTGTAAAATAATCAAAATATTTGGGGAAAAGACCTTAAGATTACTTATGGCTATTAGTGGGATCCATATATTTTGGCACCAAGCATGGCTTAATTGAAAAAATATGTGTGCTTGGTGATTTCTTCCCATTTTTTTTTTTTTTTAAATAAGGAGTAGCCCCAGAGAGAAGAGTGGTTAGGCAAAAAAATAGGGAGGAATTAAATATCAGAAGAGTTTGTGTGGAGGAGCTGTTTACAGAATTGTGGAAAATATAATGCTAAATGGAAAGTAAGCCGTGCCTGTATAGTCCGGGATTATTAATAGAGCCTAGTTACCACGCACATAATGAACCTTTTAAGAGACCTGGGACAACTTTCCCCTTTGCAAAACAAGTTTCCTTCAAATAGCACCATTCACGCAGCTAAGGGCATTGGGTTACAACAATAAATAAAAATGAACAGTGCCCTGAGAAATTCAAGGAATGCACAAACGTTTCAGTGATTTAGTATGAGAAAACACTATTTAAACATTTAATTGAATTGCATACTTTCATCTTTAAAACGTTAGCGTTTGAACTGCCACCTGAATCTCCCTCTCTTCACTTCATTAGATTGCAAGGCCCTTTCAGGGGAGGGAGTTCCTACTCTCCTGCCCTTCCCCAGGCTTTTCCCCTTCCCTGCTGTTCCCTAACTTGCTTTTGCCCAAGACTATCAGGAAAAGGAGACTCGACGGGAGTTTCCTTTTAAAGCTATAGGGAGAGACTTGGATGAGATGTGCTCTTCCAAATATTTTATTTGCCAGGACTTGATATGAGCTGTAGATTCCTGGATCAATCACCACCCCTGGGGACTCAGTTTCTCCTCAGTTAAATCAGGAATTCAGATTAGAGAACTTTGTCATAATACACATGCCCGGTGCCCAGTCTAATTCAATTGGTTCCCCAGGTGCTTCTGTTGTGCCTTCTTGGTTCAAAATTACCAGAGTGGGCTGGGTGTGGTGGTTCATGCCTGTAATCTCAGCACTTTGGGGAGACTGAGATGGGCAGATTGCTTGAGCACAGGAGTTCAAGACTAGCCTGGGCAACATGGCAAAACCCCGTCTCTACAAAAAATACAAAAACTGGCCAGGTGCAGTGGCTCAGGCCTGTAATCCTAGCACTTTTGGAGACCAAGGCAGGCGGATCATGAGGTCAGGAGTTTGAGACCAGCCTGGCCAACATGGTGAAACTCTGTCTCTACTAAAAATACAAAAATTAGCCAGGCATGGTGGTGGGTGCCTGTAATCCTAGCTACTTGGGAGGGTAAGGCAAGAGAATCGATTGAACCTTGCTGGCAGAGGTTGCAGTGAGCTGAGATCACGCCATTGCACTCCAGCCTGGACAACAAGAGCAAAACTCCATCTCAAAAGAAACAAACAAACAAAAATTAGGCAGGCGTCGTGGCATGCACCTACCCAGGAGGCTGAGATGGGAGCAAAGTTGAGCCCGGAAGGTTGGAGGCTGCAGTGAGACATGATAGCTCCACTGTACTCCAGCCTGGGTAACAGAGATCCTACCTCAAAAAAACAAAAAAATTTAATGGAGTGGAAGCTCCAGAGGGCCCTTGCAGGTCTAGGAAACTAGGGGGCAGAGACACAGCGATCATTGGGCACTTCCTGTGTCCAGTGAGCTCAATGCATGGTGGAAGGTGCCTGGTTGAATCCTCCTGGGTCCAGGGACTCTGTGATTCTAATCTCGGCTGATACCTACCCAAGGAGGACTGACCCCAGGTGGCACCCCCTTTTGTGTGCCAGAATCGAGTCTTTGGGCATGGACAGTTGTTCAGAGTTGCTGGGACAGTGGAGCCTGCTGCAGATTGGATTTGGCTCTGAAGAGAGAAAGGGAAAATCATGTGTCCTCAGCACGTTTTCCAGCCCTGGCGAGGTTTTGTCCTTCCAGATTAATGTGTACACATGGGAAGCACACACAGCCCTCACACACGTGTTCTTTCCTCAGAGATTAACCAGTGGCCCTGTATCGATTGCCAGCTTACCTTGTGGGCTGCTGTGGGGGACGCAGGGGGCCTTCTTTGCAACCCTGCCCTGGAATGGTTTGAAGTCTCTTTTTACAGATAGATAGCAGAGCAATGTGACCTTGGGCCAGTCACCACTGAGTAAGACAGAGACATCAAATCTAGACACCTAAGAAAACCCCCTTGGTACCAAACCCCTCTTTCTTTGTGGGTATCTTCATAAACTGTTGCATATCTTAGCTCCGAGTTAGACTGGGGGTGCCTTGAGGACAAGGACAAGTGTCCTTCTGTATGCTCAGAAGATTGGGACATTCCATGTGGCCAGTGAATGCTCATTGAATGACTCATCCGAATTTCATTTTGCTCCATTTAAGGGAACATCCTCTGAGCCCAGCCCTGTACCTGGTGTGGGGTACAAAGCAGACCCAAGCCTTGTTCTCACAGTGCTTCCCATCTTTTGAGGGACTTGGACTTGGCTATGGTATGATTTATTTGGTGCCAAGGGGCAGTTTTCCCAGGAGCAGACCTCGCACCAAAAATTCAAGTGCCCGGTTTATTGAGGCGGGGGGTTGACCAGGAAACAGCAGTTAGGAGAGTGCTGGGAAGGGAAGAGAAGGGGCCAGTGTAGGTGGCATTATCAAGCCAGCTACTTCTGTGGGCAGTCGGAGCCGAATCCCGCTGGGAACTTAGGGAAGCAATACAGAACTCACCCCTGCTATCCTCCTTATGGGGTGAGGGAGCTGGGATATTAATCCCCCACTCCTGGTGCATCTGTTCCTGGCACTTCCCAGCACTCAGGCAGAGCAAGCCCCTAGCAGGCAGGGCGAGTCCTAGGACAAAAGCAGGTGTTGGCATTTGCATGGAATTGGGGGCTGAGGGGATGTGAGCAGAGCGCCGGCAGAGGTGTTTGCTGGGCCTCCACGTGCTAGGCCATGAGTAACCCAGAGACACCCCCACCCCCTGCACTGGTCTCCTAGAGCAGTAGTTTGTTCTAAGGAAAGGAGAGCCCAGCAAGCCCCTGCCTTTTGGAGAACAAATACTGAGAACGCCCCGTGCCTGAGATTCTCTGAGTAAAAGCACTTTGCAAAATGTTGAGCCTTATTCTGCAGGAAGTCAGAGGGTGGTGGTGGTGGTGATCATCTTTGCTCTGCAGAGAGGGCTCAGACCTGCAGGCTTTACCTCCTACTCCAGAATCCGAAGGTGGGGCCAGTCCCAGCTCGGCCTCTTGGTAGCCCGTGGCTCTGGTGAAGCTGCTGAACCTACTCGCCCACCAATTGTGAGCCTTGAATGGTAGTCCATGAACAGTGCCTAGTGCTTAGTGCATAGTGGATGTTCAGGACTATTCATTCCCACTCCCTTCCCTTCCAGGCTGATAGTGCATGCCCTCCCATGGACCTCCCATCAGGCTGTGAGGTGGCACGCTGGGTGGGTCTATTGCTGCCTCTTCCACAATGGGAAACTGAGGCCCACAGGAACTAAGACCCAAAGCCCTGGCCTCCTGAGCCCCTAGTCTACACTGCTTTCCTGACGTGGCAGGCCTGTGTCAAGGTCAATGCAAAGTGTGAAGCCAGTGGTGGGGAGGAGGTGACTGGCCATGCTCTGGCTGTGGCCCTCACCCCGTCTTCAGTGGGTCATTGTGCCAGATGTTTGACTCACCAGAGCTTGGATGTCTGAGTTGTCCATTCTACCCCCCACACCTGCATGGTGCCAGGCACAGAGCAGGATGTCAGAGCTGGAGGGACTTTGGCGATCAGCCAGACCAAACCTTTGTTTTGTTGAGAAGAGGAAACAGTCTCAGAGACACCAGTGACTTCTCCGAGTCACACGGTGACTTAGTGACAGCCAGAATTGGAGTCGGGCCTTGGAGGGCCAGCCTGCCTTTCCTCCTACTCCTTCCGTAGGAAGCTGCTATGTAAGGTATGTTTTATTATAGTTGCTTATAAACATAATAAAACCCCCTTCATTTAATGGCACCTTTTTTTTTTTTTTTTTTTCAGGCAGTTAATAATCCAGCTTTTCAGTTGCTCCTCAGGGAAACCATTGAGGGAGGTGGAATGAGAATTGCCCACTTTCAAGCTGAAGTCATTGAGGCCTAGGAAGCTTTTCTGGGTCTCAGGATTCCCAGGACTCTGGGACTCTCATAGGTCAGGACGGCTGAGGCCAGTGCTGGCAGCTTTGCCTCTGTGGGGGGCCCTCCCCACTTTCTGACAGACCACAGATACAGGAGGAGATCCTCAGGGGAGAGCCCCGGGCTCATGCTCAGAAGATTCAGGTTCAAGGCCAGGTCTTGTGTTGGCTCTCTGTGTAACTTTGGGGGGTGTTTTGAGTTCTTCCACTAGGATAGATGGTCTTGTGTCACTCTACCAGCTCTTGCCTCTGTTTTCAAAATGCTCACAGTTGAATGGAAGCAGACTCACAATTTAAAAATACATACATAGGGCTGGGTGCAGTGGCTTGTACCTTTAATCCCAGCACTTTGGGAGGCTGAGGCAGGAGGATTACTGAGGCTGGGAGTTCGAGACCAGACTGGGCAACATAGTGAGGCCCTGTCTCTACAAAAAAAAAATAATAATTAAAAATTAGCTGGGCGTGGTGGCACATGCCTGTAGTCCCAGCTACTTAGGAGGCTGAGGTGGGAGGATTGCTTGAGCCCAGGAGTTTGAGGCTACAGTGAGCTATGACTGCATCATTCGCTCCAGCCTGGGCAGCAGAGTGAGTCCCCATCTCTTTAAAAAAATAATAATAAAAAAATACAGAAAGCTTTTATAAAAATCTGAATATTTTGCTGTGGGAACTCAGCAGAATTGCCTAGGTAAGTGTGGGAAGGCTTCGCTGAGGAGGTGATGTTTGGCACAGGAGACAGCAAGGGGCATCCATGGAGAAGGTACAGGGGGACAAGGGTAACATTTGCTAAAGGCATACATGTGCTGCATGCTTTCAGTGTGCTGTCTTACTGAATTCTCATGACATACAGCTCTTGGAAGGTTGTTTCATTATTGCCATTTTGCAGGTGAAGTTGAAGGGCCCCAGAGAGGGGAGGAGGCTTGTTTGGGGTCTTGCAGCCCAGGTTTTAAAGTCCCTTGTCTTCCTTCCTCTTCTCCACAGCCTCCCATGCATTTCCCACAAAGGTCCCTGAGGCCTGATGAGACCCTCCCAGTACTTTTAGGATCTGGGATGTGGGAAAGGTGATGGGTCCTGTAAGAGGGTGTGCCCAGGGAGGGGTGGGGACATCCCAGTGCCCATCCCAGCCTGCCCTCCTGTCACCCCAGTCGCAGGGATCTGGGCAGATGTGGGTCCTTGTGCGTTGGGCCATCTCCAAGGAGCCCCAGTGGCACCTCCTTGTTCCTGTAACGCTCAGCACTGCTGCTCTAGGCACCATCTGTTCTGTTCCCTCCTGCCTCGGCTCCCTTGGGTGGCCTTTTGTAAGGGTCTTATTTCTGGGCCTGAGTCCATTCCATAGATGGAGAAACCAAGGCTTTGAGAAGGGAAGCGACTTACTCAAAGTCGTACGTACCATACTAGGAACTAAGCAGAACTAGGAGTGAGCCTTGTGGCTCCTCTAGCCTTCTGCCATGGTAGGAGGGCCAACGGGATCTAATACTTGCTCCCCACCTTGCGCACCTCAGGCCTCCCTTCCTCAAAGATCCTCATTGAACTTGAAGAGGAAATTTACATTTTTTTTTCTTCCTCTTCTTGCCGGACTTCATCACTCTTTTGGAGATTTAGGTCTGAGGGAAACAGCCCCAGACAGGGAGCCAGGACTCCTCGGTCCTGGCTCAGGGGTGCCCCAGCTGGATGACTCGGGTTTCATTTCCTTGCCAGCTTCCTGGCATTGCCTGCCCTCGGAGGCCCCAAGGGGCAGTGTGCAGGGTGCCTGGGAGCTCAAGTTCAGATGTCACCTCTACAGGAGTGACATGTAGGTGGGTGGTCATGGGCTCATCTGCCCTGCTTTGTAAAAGTAAAAATCCCATCTCAGGATTGAGTTAAGAATATACATAGTAAGTGCTCCATGAATGGGTGCTATGGCTGCCTGGTCTTCAAAAACAGGGGCATATTTCTCATTCCTCCGGTCTCTCCACCTGACTCTGTTGTATTCTCTGGACTCCTTCAACCTCTGCCACTCTCAGTAAGTGGGCCAACCTCTTGCTTGTGCTCTCAAATTAAAGCCAGGGGTCAAGCTGAAACTTATCCTTGCAGAAAGGTCAGACCTTTGCCTGGCTCTGGGTGTCACTGCCTGGGGAATGGGCAGGCTCTTCCTGTGCTGCAGAAGACTGGACCGAGCTTTGCGGTATTCAGGGGTTCATACTTGCATCTTCTAAACAGCCTCCTCCGACCACCTTCCACTTGCACGTGGACATACACTGTTCACCCAGGTCCCTTGTGTGAATTACAGCCAGTGGTACCGGGCAGGAGCTCAGTGAATGCGTGTGCCCATTTTATTTTCTGTCCCTCAGCATTGATACTATGCGGTGGATAGGATTCATTTATTCTCATTTTCATACCATTTAGTGATTTCTCTGAGTGCCTTCTATGCTGGGCTTTGTAGGGTTATGCAGAATGAATGCCTACTAGCTGTTCAGCACAGAGTTGGGCATTTTACGTAGAGTGTCTCCCAGAATCCTTATAACCATCCTGAGGATGGGATATGATTAATTATAATCCCCATTTTACAGATGGATTCACTGCAGCTCAGAGGAAAGTTACCCCAACAGGGTGGGAGCTAAAAGTCCATTTAAGGCAACAGTGAAAAGGACAGAATGAGGCTTTGTGGCTCCTAGCAGAGGTAGCAGAGGGGTGCTAGGTAAGGGGAGGCTGTGTGGGCTGGGGGTGCTAATGTGTCTCAGCTCACCAAGCAGATAAGATTCCAGTAGGGGCTGAGGGATAGGCTGCTTTATTCTTATCTGTAATCCCCTCCTCTACTGCTTATTTGCTGTGTGACCTTAGGCAAACACCTTACCTTCTCTGGGCCTGTAAATTACTGCACACTCTCATACGGTCCATATTTGTTTTTTTTCTAGAAACTAGCAGCAGATCAGTTGTGTGCAGAAAAAAAGCTGTTTATTGGTTCCAGTGCTGTCTTTACCCTTCAAAGCCTTCCTAAGGGTATGGGGGTGATGGGGAGGAGTCATGGCCCACTACGAAGGGCCACTGCCGTGTTGAAGAATCACCACCAGTTTGAGGATCCAGCAGAAATTTCTGTTTGTTCACAGGACGGTGCCAGGCAGGTTCTCATGGACTCACAGGCCCAGCCAGCGTGGTAGGCTGGCTTTACATTGATCTTTTTTAGATGTGGGGGTTAACAGTAAGATTCTTTATGGGAAGAGAGAAGTGAGTGTGTGCACCATTGCCAAATAAGAAAACAGATTTTTTAACAGCCAAGTAGATGATTCCTTCTGCTCAAGTTTCTTTTATGAGAGGCACATTCCAGGTATTGAACCATCCTTGAATGACACCACAGGGACTGATGGAGGGAACCCTGGATTTTAGCTATGAAGGGAGAGGTTGCGGTGCTCAGGGTCAGGATCTTCAGTGTTGAAGGCTGTGTCTGCAATTGCTTACGGGTTCATGAAATCGCCACTGCAGCTATCTGCTTACCTGGGCTCCAGGTGGAAGAGCCCCTAGCTTGTCCCAGGAGTTTCAGGTTCTCTGGGTTTTACAAAGGGCTTTCCTGTCCTCCTCTCCACTGCTCTGCTGGTACTCCAGGGTCTGGGCAGTGGCTGCTGTTGTCACCTTATTCCAGGGCTGAGGACCTGAGGCTCAGGGAGCGAGGAGCCTGCCCGAGGTGAGCAGCAGGGTCATCCCAGCAAGTGAAGGGGCAATCTCCTCTTCTCTGGGCTGAGCTGGGTTTGGCCCCCACCACTGTATGGGGCTTCATGCCGGGGGAACCCACAGTGGGGTTAAACAGAAAGGCCTCCTGGAGGAAGGAAAAGATTCCCAGAGTTCTATGCTTCAAGTCATTTTGGTTAAAAAAAAAAAAAACTAATTAGAGGTGACAATGGTGACTTTGTCTGTGTGTTCACTTTTTCCTCCTTCTTCCCCACACCTCCCCCTTCTCCCTGTCCCTCATTTGTTGTATCCATGGGAAAACTAGGTAACATTATAATTACTGAAAATATTGTGGGTACGTGGAAGCTAGGAGTGGGGGGTGCCTGGGAGTGCAGGAGGCCCTTTAAAAAAATTTTTTTTTTTTAGGTTTTATTTTATTTTTTTCCTTTCGTTTGGAAACGGAGCCCTTTGCAGTCATGCTGTCACAGTTAAAATAAGGTTTAAATTACAGGCCAGCCCGTGGCTTTTCCCCTTTCTTTCAGAATTTTTGCCAACTTGCAATTTACTTAATGAAATCCTGCTATTCCGTTTAACAGGGATATTTTTTGCAGATGTTGATTTAACTTAGCTTTGCAAAATATGTGAACTGTACCGTTTCTTTTCCTATTTTTAACGGTTTCAGGATTCTAGTTCAGCAGCTCCACTGGCGCTGCCATGCCAACAGTGGTGTTTACTCCCATCCCTTGAAAATATTTGTTTTCCATCGTTCTGTCTGCCCTCCCCTCCATCCCACATACCCACAAAGGGGAGGGTCCCATACACATGGCAGAATCTGCCAGTGGAGATTGGGGCCAGAAGGGACACCAGAGTTTCCGATAGTCCATCCTCTTAGGTTTGAGGAAACCAAAGCCCAGGGCTTAACTTGCCTAAAATCACAAAGTGAATTCGGGCAGAGTGGTTTGCAGCATGAGCTGTGTCCTCTGGACAGAGGTGAGGGTGGAGGATGGGAGGGAGATGCTCCCCTTGTGTCTGTTTTGGCTGTTTCTTCTCCCTGGGAAGATTCCTTCCTCCTCCCCTACAGGGAGCTTTGGGCCCGATACTCATATGTTGGGAGGGAAGTTCTGCCTCATGTCTACCTGAGACGGTTGTGGTGTAGTGGAAAAAACCCTGACTGGGAGTCCTTAGACTTTGGGTTAGCGATGGGGGGCTTCTGCTGCTGACTAGCTCTGGTGTCCTGAGGACATGGCTTAATCTCCCTGAGCCTCAGTTTCCCCATCTGTAGTGTACGTGATAGTCCTCGTCTCCCGTTCATGCCATAAGGATCTAATAGAGCGGGCTGGTGTGAGACACGCAAAACACAGCAGACGTCCAGGGAACAAAACTTCCTCACCAACTGCCAACTCCAATACGCAGGGTACGGGAGGAGGCGTGGTGTGCAGCCCCGACGTCTCCCTCTGAAGGAGTGAACCTGGTGTCTAGGGGGTGTCAGACATAGCAAGAAATGCCGCTTTCCTTTCAGCTTGGGGATCCCCTCCAGCCACCCTTTCCTTAAGGAGGAGTCCCCCACAATGACAGAGGTTCATGTGGACTCAGGAGACAGCGGACACATTATTTAGCCCAGGGGAGTGAGCAGAGGCCCAGAGATGGTGTGGGGCTGGCTGGAGGCAGAGCTGAACCCAGGCTCACTCCTGAGGGGTGTCCAGCAGGACCCTCAGGCTGGGTCTCCCAGGCCGGGGGCTGGTCTGCCTTGATGCCGGCCCCTTCTGGCCCTTGTCCCACAGTCTCTTGGAGGTCCTGCTTAGCTCTGACACTCTGGGGAGGGATGAAGAGAATTCTGAAGGTGGGGCCCCCTGGCAGAGGCATGAGGGCAGTAGTTCAGTGCCTGGAGGGGGTCTGGCCAGGGCTGCCCTGAGCGCCGCATTCTGCTCACACAGCCTGGATGCCAGAATGTCCACCGAGCCGCGAAGGAAGTGCTGGCAGGACAACAGAGTGGCATGGAATGCGCTGGGCATCCTGGGCACCGGGGTAGGCTCTGCAGACGTGGTGGTGGTGGCCTGACTAGGGGCAGTAGGGACAGCTCTCAGGCACGTGTGCCTACCTCAGACAGCACTTTCCCGTGGCCACCAGCAGAGCCCAGAGGGGCCAGCTTCTTGTTAGTCTGATGGAGTGGGCGTGGGACCCTCCTTCAAGCGAATTCCACATTTACTCCATGGATAGAAAGTTGTTGTCATTGTGTGTCTGCGGGTGGACGCAGTGGCAGGAAAGTGTGACTGGAACTTTTGCTGACCTGAGAATTAACCACAGAGATCCCTGTATATTCACAACTCTTGGTTCTTGAAAACTCTTTTTTATTATTAATATGAAGTAATACATGATTAAGCAAGAAATATAGTGACATTCTCTCTATATAGAATTTAAACACTGCTAAAGCAGAATCCTCTCTTTCTTCCCCATCCCAGTCTTCTCTTGAGAGGGAATTCCAAAGCTTGGCAGGATGGAAACAACAACAAAACATGATAAATTTCAAAAAACAGAACAGCATGGCAGGTCCAAATACTCATAACAGTAAATACGAATGTGTTAAAATAATCTATTAAAAGATAAACACTCTCAGGGCCAGGTGTGGTGGCTTATGCCCGTAATCCCAGCACTTTGGGAGGCCGAGGTGGACGGATCATCTGAGGTCAGGAGTTTGAGACAAGCCTGACCAACATGGTGAAACCCCGTCTCTGCTAAAAATACAAAAATTAGCCTGGCACGGTTGCAGGCATGTATAGTCCCAGGTACTCGGGAGGCTGAGGCAGGAAAATCACTTGAACCTGGGAGGCAGAGTTTGTAGTGAGCTGAGATCGTGCCGTTGCATTCCAGCCTGGGTGACAGAGTGAGACTCTGTCTCCAGAAGAAAAAAAAAAAAGATAAATGCTCTCAGATTTTGTCTTTATGCATCCAGCTACATGCTAATCTAGAAGAGACACACCTTAACAAAATTATGGAGAAAGGTTGAATCTAAAGGGAATGGGAAAAGACATAGAAGTCAATGCTAAAGAAAAAGAAAGCAAGAGGAGCAATATTAATATGAAGTAATAATATTTCAGGCAAAAAAGCAGGAACCAAGAGGTTCAGAGCAAACTTTTTCTGTAAAATGGATAGTAAACACTTTAGGCTTTGCAGGGCACACAGTCTCTGTTGCAACAATTCAACTCTGCCACTGTAGCCCGAGGACATCTATAGATAATACATAAAACAATGAGTAAGCCTACGTTCCAACAAAACTCGGTAAAAACAGCTGGCAGGCCAAATTTCTCTTTTGCTGATTCCTTATTTATATCAAAGCCAAAATGATCTGTAAGGTATAATAATCAATAATCTTTGTACACCTGACAACATGTCTTTGAAATACCTAAATCAAAAATGGACAGAAATAAGAGAATTTGATAAATCCCCAGAAAAGTGGGGCTTTATAATCATGCTTTCAGAAGTGCACAGACCTACTGGACAGAGAGGAAGAGAGAGAGAGAGAGAGAGAGAAATATTCATGAACAACACAGCAAACTTTTTTTGTTTCAACAGCTTTTGGGGTACAAGTAGCTTTTGGTTACATGGATGAATTCTATAGCGATGAATTCTGAGATTTTAGTACACCTGTCACCTGAGCAGTGTACACTGTACCCAGTATGTATGGGCACTTAGGTCAGTTCCATATCTTTGTGACTATGGATTGCAGCACAGTAAACTTGATGATCTACATATGTATATCTTTATAGATGCTCATCCCACCGTGCTTTGTTGGATCTTCGTTTACTCCTTTTATTTTTTAAACTAGAGTGATCTGTCCTACCTCTAAATAGGCTTCACAAATAAAGACCAGGAACAAAAGCTCTGAATCTTCACTGCTTTGTACAGTCCTAGAGTTTGCACTTGTAGAATCCACTTGTCTTCTAGTATTATTCACATTCACTTGTCGGCACCAGGTTGGATCCTGAGATCCAGAGGTAGTGTGAGCAGGGTCCCTGCCCTCTGTTGGGGTGTGCATACCTGAGATTGGGAACTGTTTGGGTTCTGGCTCTCCTTGCCCAACACAGGTGCTTACTCCTGACCAGATAGTCAAGGCCCGGCATGGTCTGGTCCCCAGGCGGCCTCTGCAGACTTTTCACTAGCCCTTCTGCAATCTGGTCAAACGAGACCTTTCTGGCCTTGTCTCCTGCCCGTGTGCCTCTGCCCATGCCGTTCCCCAAACCTGGAATGCCGCTTTTCCTCCCCATCCCTCCCACCCTCCCCGCCACTGCACTCAGCCTTCAAATCCTTGATTGTTAACCTTCCTTTTCTAGATGGTTGTGATGTCTCTGTGTTCCTTGCCTCACTGCCCCTCATTTATAATGCTCTTTTGCGATCACACCCTTTCTTCCTGTTGGACTTGGAGCTTTGCAGGCAGAGATGTGTCTCGGTCTCCTGGTGCCCCATGCAGAGCAGTGCCCATCATGGGTGCTAGGCAGTGCCTGTGGAATCCAGAGAAGGGAAGGAAGGCAGCATGGGGGGAAGACTCCCTGCGTGCCAGAGCAGAACAGTCAGAAACCTGTACCGCCGGTGACTTTGAAAATTAAGAACATCTATGTTGTAGGGTTGTTGTGAGAACTAGGTGTGCCTGGCACATGGCGGGCTCGAAGGACTCGTCAGTGATTAGTACTTTAGTCCCTTTCCAGTGATTCATCCTCATGGCTGCTCCTGATCTCATGTCACAGTTGGGGAACCTGAGGCCCAGAGAGGCTGAGGCATTCATCCCAGACACACAGCTAGGAAGTGGCAGAGCTAGGATTTGAACTGAGGTCCTTGATTCCAAATCCCACAGGGAGGTGCACACTGTCCCAAGGGCCTGTCCTCAAACACACCCAGACACACTAGTCAGGGCCATCCGTGACGGCTCCAGAGTGTCGCCTTCCCAGCCAGTCTCCCAGGCCTGGCGCTGGGACCAACCACGTCCGTCTCATGCTAGGAAGTTGACTTGGTTTGGTCTCCTTCCTGCCCTTGTCATCCCTCCCTGGAGGAAGCTAACTCCCTCCCCACCATGCCAGGCTGTTGAACCCTCCTCTCGAGGGATCATGACATATCAGAGTCAGAAAAGGGGCCTCCTAAATCTTGTTAAAAACATAGATTCCCGGGCTCCACCCAGGACCCATGAATGAGAACCTCCAGGGGCGGGGCCTGGGAATCTGGACACGAGGGCAGGAGAAACACTGCCTCTTTAACCCTTTTATTTTTCAGTTGAGGAAGCTGGAACTCAGATGGGGCGTCTGGATTGCCACGAGGTCCAGTGAGCCTGAGAGCCGGGAAAACCCCTCTCTGGACTCTTACCTGGTCTGTGGCTTCTGTCACTTCCTAGCACTGTCCCTGTCCCTCCTGCCCCACCCCCAGCCTCAGAATCTCTAGCAGCCCCGTACAATGGAAGGGGTTGCGAACGGGTGTGCAGAGACTTTCTGGAAACCAAGCTCTGCTCTCAGACTTCCTGTGTCTTACAATGTTATCTTCAGAATAGGAAACTTTGCCCCATTTTTGCAACGCACATCCTTTGCCTGAGAGTTGGTGGTGGTGCTGGCCAGCCAGGGCGGGTCACTTTGCAGGCACAGGCAGGGAGTTGTTCCGACAGCGATGTGAGGAAGGACTCTCTCCCTTCTACCCACAAGAACAAATAAACAGACCATTTTGCAAAAATAATTCATGTTGGCTGGACTCACCAGGATTATTTGTCTCCGTTCCTTGGGCCTGGTGGTATCTAGGACGGGGGGCCCTTCCTCCGAGGCAGCAGCCCTAGCTATAAGGCCCTACCCTCCTGGATGACCTTGGATGAGTGATCTCTGCTCTCTGGGCCTTAGTTCCCTCTTCTGTAAAGGGAGGAGGTCAGGCTGAATAATCTCTAGCCCAGACATTCCCAAGGAATCCTTTAGATTCCCCTGGCTTCCTCCACGTTTCTTTGAAATACACACGCCCTTGCTGCTAGACGGTACATTCCACGGCACCCTGTACTTTTCAGAGCTTTTACCAACCCAAGAATGGCATGCCCACCTCACCCCATGACATTCACATGGCCCACTGGGGTGGTGTGTGGATTCCCCAGACACCAGAGTCCATTTTGAATTGGGAGCAAGGAAGTGACGCTCAGAACTCCCAGGCTGCGGCGTCTTCAGGCTTGCAGTCAGCTTAGCCCTAGGCGACTGCTCACCTCCTGCAGGCCAGCAGCAAAGAATGTTTGTGTTCTTCTTCCAGTCTGAGGGAGGGCTATTTTGATGTGAGAGAAAAAAATAATGCGTGTATAGCCCACTAAAGAACTTGGAACTGACCAGAAGGAAGGAATGATGTTTACAAAAACAAGAGTCTCCCTGATTTCCTTGGACTCCCCCGTTATTTTCTCCTCACTTCCACCTCCAGTGCCTCCCTTGCCGCACCATCAATCATTCCTCCAGTATGCCTGCGTGGGTGCATCCTTGCACACAGTAGGCGCTTAGCAAGCGGGTGAGAGGGGCCCTGTCTCAAGGAAACGCCTCTCTGGCATCTCAGTGGCACTTCTGCTGGCTGAAACCCAAACCCACAATGAGTGGTTCTTGAAAACATCCTACCCACTCTTTCCCCTCAGGGAATTTGCTTCCAGGGTTTCTGGGTGGAGCTCCCTGTGTTCAAGGCCTGGGCAGCCCTCCGTGGTGGGGTGGGAGCACTGTCGGGAGGGGGCACTTTGGGGGAGGCAGAGGTGGTCAGACTCCAGCAAGAAGGACCTGCTGGAAGTGGTTCTTGGTGGGTCTTCACAAATAAGTGAGTTGGTCTGCCTGTTTTAGAGTAAACGCCATGAGAGGAAAGAGGGCTGAACTCAGTGGATGCTCAGATTCCAGAGATATAGATAAAGAATCCCTTCCATCAACTGTACCGTTGATTAAGGGTCAGCTTCAGAACCCATGGTGTCTGTGGAAGAATGTCCATCTGGTGGTAGGATGCTTGCACAGTGCCAAGCCCCAACTGTGGTGTTTTTGTTGGTCTTACAATAGCAATTTTTGAAGCCCAAGGGGAAGATGCAGAGGAGTTGGTAGAGGGAGAGAGAAAAAGGAGTTCACCAATATACCTGGCTTCCCTGTCCCAAAGGAGGAGTTGTCCCCAAAGGACACAGCAGAGAGGTCCCTGCCAGTCTTGGGATCCCCTTCTGAGGCTGCTTCCTTCACGCAGTGGGTACAGTCAGGGTCTTGCTGAACCAGAAGATGTCCAAAGTGCCCTCAAGGCAAGCAGCAGCAGGGACCCCTTGCACAGTGGGCTCAGTGAGATCTGCTGAGCACCTCCAGAACTAGGAGATGGAAGGTGGAGGGGAAAAGAGCAATCTTCCAGTCTGGTGGCCAGGCCTGACTCCCTGCCCAAGGTCAGCATGCCACTTGGAGGTGCTCTGCACTCCTCAGGGTTCCTCAGGCTGGTGGGCTGCAGGGTAGCGCCAGGACAGGGGCACCCTGGGGAGACTGGCGGCTCTGGGTCTCCCTGGCATGGCTCCAGCCCCCACGTGCCCAGAGACACAGGCAGTTGCTCCTGACTTGGTGCCCTTGGGGACTGGCCCAGCCGGAACCTGCCATTCTCTCGTCAGTGCCGCCTCCCCGACTTGGCAGGGCCGTCTCCTTGAGCTGGAGCAGCCCTCGGTATTTCCAGCTTGGCCCCCTGCCCACCTCTCTGGGGCCTTGCAGTCTGTCCCTCTCGGGCCAGGACCGACGCACCCTCTCCACGCGATGGCTTCACAGCCTCGCCCAGGGCCTCTTCCTGCCACTCCACACTCCCCAGCTTATCTGGGGCCCCTCACCTCTGTCCTCTCCAGGGTTGAAAATGCTGCTTCCTCCCAGGGAGAGAACCTGGGGCCCAGCTAACATGTAAATCACCAAGGAAGCCACAAACAGGCTGTCCTTGGTTTACCTACTGCAGTTAACGCCTGAGGGGTTCCACACAGGGGTGGGGCCCCACCCTGCCCATTTGGAAAAGCCCGAGTTGGCAGAGCCCCCTGGCCAAACGCCCTAGGCAACGCTGCTTCTTGAAGATGGGCATGGAGATAACTGGGTGGCATGTTGGCATGCCAGAGCCAAGGGCTGCCACTCCTTCCTGGGCAGCCACTGACTACCAGAGCAGGGCTGAGGCGCCTCGGCCATCCACGGGACTTCCCTTCCAGATACACAGAGAAAGAACGCTGACAGCTCAGGGGCTCCTCACCAGTTCAGGCTGAGTGAGTGGTGGGTGATTGGAAAGGATACTGTCTAAGAAACCAGGTTTTGTGATTTCCAAATACTGTAGACTGTGATACTAACTGGATAATATTTCCCGTTAGAGGTCATGCAGAGATCTGCTTTCGAGAGCAGATAAGAGCGATTTGTAATTGGTATGCCAGTTGTTTATATAGTGCTAATAGGATAAACAGTTCTCCTGAACCTTATTTATATTTTGCATTTGTTTATCAAAACTTTTTTTTTTTTACTTCGACCCAGCTGCTTTCGGAATTATTACAAACTCTGGATTTATGAGTCCTAATTAATGGTACTTTATTGTATGTGCACAATAATTTATCTTGGTGGGATGCGTGCTTTATCCGAAAGCCTCAGTATTTAGGGAAGAGAAGCCAAGAGACAAAAGCGTCCCTTCCTCCCTAGAGTATATGAAGATATGGGGCCAAGTCATCTGTCTTGTCACATCAAAAGCAGATATAACATGGAATGCAGAAAGCATGAGATTTAAAGATCTTTCCTAGACTATATATCCTAAGGTGCTGAGTCCTTGGAACTCACAGTTGACAGCTCGGTGGATACTGTGGGTAAGGTTGACATACTGTAAGCTGTGTATGGGCCCAGAGGAGGGAAATGACCAAAAGGATACTAGGATACTCGATGGCATTTACCACGTAAGTGTTCGTCCTTGCTATGATAGGTTGCTGCCATCATTTTTGTCCTTCTTTGATCTCACGGCTTCATTTTGTCTTCCATCCAGCTAGCAGCAAAGGTTCAGCATTGTTGCTGACATCAAGTACCCATTCTAACTTGTAACTTAAAAGGAGGGAAAGACCTTTATTACTTTTAGGAATTAAAGACACTGCTCAGATTCCACCCCTGGGTTTCACCGCCATAGGGCTCCATTTCACGCCAAGGCTGGTCCCCTTGTTTCTCGGGGTGTTTGTCCATGCAAAGGCCTCCTGAAAACTTGACCCAGCAAAGAGGGATCACACTCCCATCCTCTCCCTCACCACCCCTGAAGATGCTTGAATGACTTTAATAAGGCTGAGTTGCAGCCCTCACCCCTGTTATCCCCACTACCCCAGTCACCTGGCACTTTCCTTCAGCCAGCGAGGAGAAAGCGAGTGGATGAGGTGAGAAGCAGCACCTGCTGTGGCTCAGGCTCAGGACTTCTTTTTTTTTTGAGACAGAGTCTGGCTCTGTCGCCCAGGCTGGAGTGCAGTGGCGCAATCTGGCTCACTGCAACCTCTGCCTCCTGGGTTCAAGTGATTCTCCTGCCTCAGCCTCCCGAGCAGCTGGGACTACAGGTGCCCGCCACCATGCCCGGCTACTTTTTTGTATTTTTAATAGAGACGGGGTTTCACCATGTTAGCCAGGATGGTCTCTATCTCCTGACCTCGTGATCTGCCTGCCTTGGCCTCCCAAAATGTTGGCATTACAGGCGTGAGCCACCATGCCTGGCCAGGATTGCTTCTTAACTTTAAGTCTTGGTGTATCCCTTTCCAGCTAGTAAGAATTACCAGAGGGGAGAGCTCATTGATTTCACTGATTACTCCCTTCCTACACAAACACACAGACCACTGCCTTACTTGATGGGGGAAGATCTCCCCATTTCACAGACAAGAGAAACCGAGTCACATTGTGGCTTTATGATGATGGGGGCATGCAGGTTGGGTTGGTGCTATGGGATAGAGTTGGGAAAAGCGACTTCTGGGTATTCGGGTTTTCTGCTGTTATTTTTAACTCTGGTGTTAGACGTCCTTTCTTGCAGCAGTAGCCACAACACAGGGCTGGGATGTTGTGCGACACTTGATGTAACTCAAAAGTCCCGGCCTGCAAGTTCCCCACTGAGGAGGAAGTGGTTAGGTGGCCAGGAATGCAACCTGCGCCTCCCAGATTAATTAATAATTGAGAGCTGGCCCCCAGCCAGACGGAGCTGAGAGAGATACAGTGAACAAAGAGTGGTTAACTACAGTGGGGGAAGGAAAAGTTTGACTTTGCCTGTGGCTAAAAGGGAAATTCACAATGGCCATGATTTATGGGCTGAATTACTCAGGATCCTCCTTAGTGGGCATGTGCTCTAGGAATGCAGACGCTGGCAGCCTGCAGGGCCATTTGTGCCCATAGGGAAGGGAGGTGGAAGGGATGGGGGGCAGGGGGCAGGCGCCAGCCTCGTAGAGGAGGTGCAAGTCACAACCGTGGGAGATGTCAGGGAGAGGGACTGTGCTGACTGCCTGTTGGAACTAGGTACAGGCTAGAAGTTGAGCACCGTCCAGGACGCACTCTGTGAAGAAAAATGGCAGGAAGAATGTCTGAGGGTCTGGCTGCCCTGGGTTTGGATTGGGGCTTGTCAGCTGTGTGACTTAGGCTGGGGGTTTAACCTCCCTGAGCCTTCATTTCCTCCTCTGTAAAATGATACCTGCTTCCTAGGATTGTTCTCAGCATTAAATGAGATGGGATACGTGGACATAGATGCTCAGTAGCCACTGGATTCCCACAGGAGACCCAGTGAGAACAGAGGGTGTCTGAAGCAACCTAAACAGGGTCCCTATTAGTGAATCTCTGCCAATGTTTGCTGGGCCCATGCATGTAAGTTGCCTGCTGGGTAGACCCCAGCAAGGCTTCTGTGTGATTCAGGAAAGGCACCCCCTCCTCTCACCTATCACACAGGTCCCTGTAGCTGCAAACAGCCCTCCGGAGGGGGAAACAGTTCTAGAAGGCACTTGGGCATTGCCATCATCGAGTTCAGCCCAGATGTCTCCCTGGGACTCTTGTCTTTTCTAGAAGAAATCCAGAATTATGAACTGGATCATGGAAAACATAGCATGCCCATCTTCACTGAAAAGTTAACCTTGGCAATAAAAGACCAAATAGAAGCCGGCTGACAGTTGTGATCACTGCCCTCATGTTATTGCTGTGTTGGTGTTAGTCACACAGTGTGTGCTCTTATCCAGACACAGGCTAAAGAATTACTCTGAGAAATATGAAACTCTTACTGAGATAATGATTCAACTTCTTCAAGATGCTGGGCGGGAGGCAGTGGCATTGGAAGGAGCATCTGATCCTGCTTTGTCATTAACCTTGTGGGCCATGGGGTAGTCACCAAACCTCTGTGAGCTTTATATTCCATAAGCTAAAACAAGGTCATTTATGAATGGGCTTGTAGAATTGGGAAACCTTCCACAGTTCAAAAGAACATCCCACCATCACCATCAATGAGGATAGAACTGCCTTCTTGGCATGGGCTGTGGGAACCAAGCTTGGCCTCCTTCTGCCTTGGAAACCAGTCTTGGACTTGGGATAGAGGTGTGGGTCCTGGGGTCTCTGTGGGGCTGTGTCTGCCTATTAGCCTGGTGGGATGGATATACTGGTTAGCTCCCTCCCTCCTTTGCACCCTTCACCCCTGATCATTGTAACAAGCCAGCTCTTTCCTGGCAGCTTGGGAGCTTGGGCATGGATGCGTCAAGCAGCTTCAACTTGCCTGCACAGTAGCACAGTCACAGAGAATAGACGGGTGGCCATGGCAGAGCCATGTACTTCTGCCAAGCCAGTAGGGCATTTTGCAACATTTTTGTTGGGAACGCTTAAGTCTCATGTTACTGCATTCTGTGCAGCAAATATTAGTATTTAATTGTGGATTAATAATCTCTCTAGTCAATATTAGCTTTTTGTTAATTATAAAGCATTCCGGTTTGTTCCAGAAACACACAAGAATGATCGAGGCAATCCTCACTTTAAGAAAATTCAGTATATAGGCCTCTGCATTCACCAGAGAGGTGTGGATCATGTATTTTTGTATAACAAAAGGCTATTTTAAAGGAAAGGATTTAATGCAGGAATTATTATCTAATGTCCCACCTTTGTACTTTTAATTTTGGAGTGATTATCCCAAGCTGCATCTTTTTTTTTTTTTTTTTTTTTTTTTTTGGAGACAGGGTCTTGTTCTGTTGGCCAGGCTGGAGTGCAGTGGTGCCACCACGGTTCACTGCAGCCTCGGCTTCCGAGGCTCAAGCAATCCTCCCACCTCAACCTCTAGAGTAGCTGGGGGACTACAGGTGCATGCCATCATGTCTGGATAATTTTTTATTTTTTTGTAGAGATGGGGACTTGCTATGTTGCCAGGGCACATCTTGAACTCCTGGGCGCAAGTGAACCTCTCACCTTGGCCTCCCAGAGTGCTGGGATTATAGGCATGAGCCACCATATCCAGCCTACATCTTTAGTGTAAATCGAGGCAGGTATATTTGATTTGCAAAGGTCACCTGATTCTGTCTAGTTGGTAAATTAACAACCAACTGGTGTTAGATATGAAGCTTACGTTTGAGAGCTTTGCAAATAAGAAAACCAGCTTCTCCACCCATTCTTTGGCTCTTCCATTCAAAGCTATGTTCCCTGTTCCATTTACTTTCATAGACTTAGCAAGCCAGAGAAATTAAATCCACCCCCATGGCCAGGTAAGATGACTTGTAGACTTTAGGTGATTTTATTTTATTTCATTTTATTTCGAGCCACTGAAACAAGGCTCACACATAGTAAGCTCATTTGCCATTCTGTTAACCAGGCTGCATCAGGAGGATCAGCAAATGGGGACAATGGTTCTCCTCACCTACCTAACATCCTGACCTCTGAGCATCAGTAGTACTCTCTGTTAAATGGCAACAATAATTGCCACAGTGCCTTTTTCAAACCTGGGGCTGGGTTTGAAAGGAGGCAGATGACTTTTCAAAAGCCCTTCCAGCCTTTGAGTTTTCATATTCAGCTCTGCATTGCCGAGAGCACCTCTGTTAGGCGACATAGTACCAGGTCCTTGGGGAGGAGAGGGGAGAGCAAGCCAGCTGAATCCCAGGCCAGCCTGCTGGTGGATGAATTGGATGGAGACACGTACCCTTCTGTTGACAGCATAAATTTGAGTGTCACAGAAGAGGGGTGTGTGATTCAGACCCAGGGGCTGAGGAAGGCTTTCCAAAGGAAGTGACAGTGGTGTCTGGATGGTTAAGCAAGTTTCTGACAAGTATTAGGGAATGGGGAAAGAAACTCCTGGTCATCGAGTGCCGGGTACTGTTGTCAAGCCCTTCTCGAAAACCCCTTAACCTGTGAGTTAGGTAATCACCTAGAGGAAACCAGCCCCTGGCAGGGCCGACTCCGCGGGTGTTGGATGTGTGGGGTAACTGAGGGCTGCTGCTCACAGAGGTCTCTGCTTAACGTAATGCTGTGCTTTCACCATCTTGAAAATCTTCCTAATTTTGGGACAAGGGGCCCTGCGTTTTCATTTTTCACTGGGCCCTCAAAAGTAGGTAGCTGGTCCTGGTTCTCAGAGATGTGGTCACCTGCCCACGGTAACATAGCTGTGAAGATTTGCACCAGTTCACCTCTCCATCATCTGTAGTCTCAGGAAGCATTCCAGATCAAGAGAGTGGATGGATGAAATTCACACTGGGTGGGGTGTTCAAAGCCCAGGGAGCTAAGCGGCCTGGTGGCAGGAGATGGTGAGGCCAAGGATTTGAGGGAGCTGGGCTGTGGGTACCTTACCTGGTTACCCCCTGGGACATTTCTACACCAGTGTGGGTGCCTGTTCCTGAGAGCTGAGACAGGCTAATTGAGGGCAATTTTTAGGTACTTTGCTTTTATGGCTTTATATTAGGTCCAAGAAGAAGTTTAAGGCAGGAGGTTTGCCAATAAAACACATTGTATTTGGGAAATAAAAGACAATTAGAGGTGCCTCAAGTTCTCTCAGCTCTGGGAACCTGCAAGATGAAGTATGTGCCCAAAGAAGGGCTTTTTTTCTTTTTTTGAGATGGAGTCTTGCTCTGTTGCCCAGTGTGCAGTGGCGCAATCTTGGCTCACTACAACCTCTACCTCCCGGGTTCAAGCGGTTCTCCTGCCTCAGCCTCCCAAGTAGCTGGGATTACAGGCATCCGCCACCACGCCCAGCTGATTTTTGTATTTTTAGTAGAGACAGGGTTTCACCATGTTGGCCAGGCTGGTTTCGAACTCCTGACCTCAGGCAATCCACCTGCCTTGGCCTCCCAAAGTGCCGGGATTGCAGCCGTGAGCCACTGCGCCCGGCCGAGAAGGGCTTTCTTGAAGCCTACCATCATCTGCTACAAACTAGCATCCCTGCACCTCTGATGCACACCCAGGCTGTCCCTATCTGAACCCCCAAAGGGCCAATTTTGTCTCTGTGGTCTCAGATTAACCAGGGACTTCAGGGTTGGGTTCAGTTGGTGAACTTGGGCATTTAATGCCTGAGATGAGAACTCAGGCCCAGCCTGATGTAAGAACCGGCGCGGCCTGATGTAAGGCCGGTGCGGGCACTGGTTTATATGTGATCCCAGCAGTTTGGCCATAAGCAGTGCAGACCCATGGAGCTGGGAGGATTTGGGGGCCCCTTCCCATTTCACAACTGCCACCTGGGGACCGAGGTACCCAGCTTCATTGTCTTGCACACTGTTATTTTAGAACCTTTCCAGGGGCAATAATGAAAGCAAGGCTTTCCCACCCCAGGTGGTCTCTGAGTAAGAAAACAAACAAACACACTCCAGAGTCCGACTTTATGATAAAACAAAAGAGGACTTGGAATGGGAGCAAAGTTCAGAGGCTTTGTTACAGAAACTGGTTCCTTCTCAAAACGTGGGCTGATTTTATAATCTGCTTATCTTGCCCTGGCTCTCCCTTTCCACCCTCCTTCCCTCTAGGACACAGGGAACCAGAGTTCCCTCACCTGGGCTCCTTTCCTCCCCAAGGGCCTGAGGGGGTTCCCTGCCTTGCTTGCCAGGTGGTCTTCTCCTTTTCAGGCTTAAGTAGTTGCAGTTTCTTTTAAGAGGGCAGCACCACTGTTTCTGGCACAGAGTCTGATGGATGAGTCCTCTGATGGAGGAGATAGCTCTACCACCAGCCTCCGCGTGGCTCTTCGAAGCTATAGCTGCCTGCGGAGAGTGTAGTGAAGGGAGCTTGTACCACAGAGCCCCGGGACCTGGAGAGAAAAGCCATGCTGTCTGGGCCCAGGGAACCTGGAACAGTCTTAGCGGGTGGGAGACGATCTCTTTGGCATGGCCAGACCGGTGAGCTGCAGGTGGAGGGCAGGTAGAGGCGTGCTGATGGGAGTGGGGCCTCCGGTTTCATCCTCTGGTGGGTCCCCTTGCCCGTTGGAGTGGTAAGGCCTAATATCTCCTGGGGAAACGGTCTATGGAGGAGACACTGAGCAGGCCTGTGTAGTAGGAGGACCTGGGTGAATAAAAAGCTTGTTTTGTGTCAGGGTTGCAAGATGAGTTCATCTGTTCAGGATTTGTTTGAATACTGCAAGAGATAAAAGAATGGAAACCTTACCCATCACAGCCCAGGCCGCCACTTTGTTCTGCCAGAGAGGTGGGGCCAAGCAGGCTGCAGTCAGGGCGCTGAGGCTGAAAGAAAGGCCTTTCTGCAGAGAAAAGCCGGCAGAAAACCCTTGGCCTCCAGAGGGCTGGGTACAGCCCAGCTAGGTGGCCACCGACAGGATACCCCAGATCACTCCTAAACCCCTCCTGCGACTGGGGGACTCTGAGGACCACCCAAGAGAGCTAAGGGAGCATATGAGGCAGCACCAAGGTGGGCTCAGGGTCGGGATTCCTGCGCTGCACTCTGACTTTGGGTCTGTCCTGAGGATGGGGATGATTCTGCCTCCTGGACTTGCACAGTTCAAAAAGGATCATGAATGAAGCGTGTAGAGCGCCTCCCACTTCCCTGGGACTAGCCGGGGCTAGCAGCCCTTTCCCAAGATCAATTATTATGATTGTAGCCCATCTACAAAATACTCATTTTTGTATTTTAGAAGGGTAGAATGCTTGAGTGTGGGGGAGAAACTACACTCAAAAGCCAAAAAGTGTGTTTCCAGGGCTGCATAGGGTACCAGAAACAGCTGTTAAGGTGTGATATTTGAAAAGCCCACCGCCCTCCTAGGAAGATGGGCAGCATGTCGTGGGGCAGTGTCGTTAGCACTGTCACCTTCGAGGATCCCTCTTCACGTCCAGTGTTTGCAGAACCCCCACGTGGCTTGGAGTGGATGTGGCTAGCTTCTTATAGCATGGTCTCTGTGCCATTGCCCTGAAGTCTTCTGGGATTTTGCAGCCCACAGGTTGCAGCCACAGGAGTAATGCAAAGAGTCCACATCTCTAAGCCTAGATAGATGGAAGCTCAAATCCCAATTCTGCAGCTTCCTGGCTGAGAGGTTGGGGTATGTTTCCGGACTTTCAGGCCTCAGCTCCCTCATCTTAAGATGGGAGAATTAACATATGTTCAGGTAGTGCATTTAAAGGGTTTCAGACACTGCCTGGTATTTGGTAAAGGTTTCTTAAATGTGAGCTAGTTTATTATATTATTATCGTGACTATTATTATTTCCCCTTGATTCTCAACTCCACTGGCACATATTATGTTTGCAGGTGTTACTACTGAATATGAATACCCTTATGAACTATACAGGCTGAGTCAATCTATCATATAATTTATATACACATGTAGATAAGGCTGCATGATAGTAATAATATTAGTAATCATAATAGCTGTTAACTTATGCAGTGCCTATTTTGAGCCAGGCATTATTTGACACACTTGAAATTAATCCCAGCACTCTGATGAAGTAACCACTGATTGCATCCCTGTGTTACAGGTTAGGAAACTGAGGCCTAAAAGGGTGAAGTCACTCGTCCAAGATTTCACAGCTGCTGAGTGGCAGAGCTGGGATTCACATGCAGGCACCTTTGCTCCCTAGTCCATTCTTTTAACCCTGTGCAGGAGACATCCTGGTCCCAGCTGTGTCGCTCATTTCCACTGTGATCTTGGCAAGTCACTTCACCTCTTTGAGCCTGTTTTTGCGCCTTGGCCATGTGGACGGCATGTTCCTCAGTCTCCCTCCTCCTGGTTCTGTCATGCTGCCCTCCTGTTCCCATCACACTCCCTGTCTTAGGGGCATCCCTCCACCCCCAGCCGACTAGCTGAGCAGCTGCCTGGAGGGTGGTGGCCAGTGTAGAGACCAGCCGCCAAAAGAGCCCCTGAGGTGGGCCCTGTGCAGGCAGGCTGCGGTGGTGGCCAGACCGCCCGTGATGTAATGACCGATTAGGAACTTCCCCTTGGAAGCCCGGCTTCCTCTAGGAGCCAAAGGTGCTGGAGCTGAGGTGGGGGGTGGGGAGGGGTGGGTGGGAGCGAGTAAGAGGAAACTCCTGTCAGCTGGGCCCAGCGTTTGGAAAGAGTTCAGCAGAGAGGCTCGTTCTAAGCTGTTGACCATTAACATGGCCCTGTACACATTCCTTCTCTGCTTTTACTGCCGGAGCCCGGTGGATAAAGAACTGGTCTTCCCCTCCCTTCACAAAGAAAAGAAAAAGAGCCTCTAATTAATGCTGCATCTCTAGACTTGCTGCAAAACCTGAAGCCATTTCTGCAGCTTAAAATGACAAAGGAGAGTTAAGTGGAAACTCCTTTTTCCCTCTAAGTTTGATAACAAAAACTACTTATCTAATGGGCAAACAAGGCTTTAAAAGGGGTGTTAGGTTAACCAGATGCAGGGCCACGTAATTACTCCCAGGCCTGGGAGCCACAGATGAAAAGCTGCCGGTTGGACTGGAACTTGAAGCCACAGGCATGACACGGGACAGAAGAAAGGAGTTTTCCAGGAGGGCAGGAGGCCTCAGTGCAGCCCTGTGCAAAGGGGATTGGAAAAGCCAGCCCTGGGCCCCTTTTCAGCTCTGCCACCAACTTGCTGGGTGACCCTGGGCAAGTCACTTAACTTCTCTGGGCTTCTGAGACTTTGAATATCTCTTCTTCGCTCTTGGTAGGGTCTGGGCCTGTCTGCCCTTGTTTCAGGCCCATCAATGAGGGGCTGAGCAGGCCCTTTTGGTCCAGCCCTGGGAGAGCCAGGGAGGTTGCTATGGCCCAGGTGGGTGTGAAGCAGCAGCAAAGACTTGGAAGGTGAAGGAGTAGGGACCGCCTGCTCCCCTGCTGACCTAGACCCCTGAAGACCCAGAGGACTCGGGCTGAGCCTCCCACGAATGCCCTGAACCTTTGAGTCTAAGCTGGGCACAACGCTGGTTCCTTCAGGGGTGGCTGAGTCCAAGGCAGTCTGGCCAAAAGGAAAGCGGGGAGCCGGAGGAAAGCAGGCTGCAGTTTATGCTCAGGCTCTTGGAGCATGCAGCCCACGGGGGAGCACACAGGAACGTTCCTGCCCTTTGTTTTGACAGAGAACTGCTGATTCGAAGAAGCGAAAAGGCTTTTCTTGGGATTTCAGCACTCCCCGCCTCCCTCAGACTGCAGTCAGCTCCCTTGGTGTCCCTGCACCCCCACAAAATTACATGTTGGGCTCGCAGCACCCTCCCTGGGCAGAGAGGCGTAGAGAAAAGAATGCCAGCCATCAGAGGGGCCGATTTCTGTGCAGGGGAGAAGGCCTATTGTTGGGACCAGTCACCACCTCCTCCTCGGCGCAGACAGCCACCACCCTCTGGTGGCAGGAATGTGGGTGCCACCGGGAGGGAACAGGGCTTGTCCCCTGGGCCACTGTGGAGCCCTGCTGGGGCCGCTCTAGGACAGCCACAGGACATTGCCACTTTCTTCTTTTTAATTTTTTCAAGGTATCATACCTAAAATGAAATCCACCGTTCTTTAAGTATCCAGGGTGTGGCTTTTTACAGCACAGATGCCCAAGTTCCCATGGTTCCAGTCAAGAAATAAGATATTTCCATCATGCTGGAAAGTTCTCTTGTGCCTCTTCCCAGCTGTCTCCCTCTCCCCAGGGGTAACCACTATTCTGATTTATTTTATTTTATTTTATTTTATTTTATTTTATTTTATTTTTTGAGACGGAGTTTCGCTCTTGTTGCCCAGGCTGGAGTGCAGTGGTGCAATCTTGGCTCACTGCAGCGTCCGCCTCCCGGGTTCTAGCGATTCTCTGCCTCAGCCTCCCGAATAGTTGGGATTAAGGCGCCCGCCACCACACCCGGGTGATTTTTTTGTATTTTTAATAGAGATGGGGTTCTGCCATGTTGGCCAGGCTGGTCTCGAACTCCTGACCTCAGGTGATCCACCCACCTCAGCCTCCCAAAGTGCTGAGATTACAGGCATGAGCCACCATGCCTGGCCACTGTTCTGATTTACGTCGCCGTAGATTAGTTTGCCTTTTCAAGAGTTTTGTCTTGGTGGAAACACACCGCGAACCCTGTGTCTGGCCTCTCGTGCTCAATGGGATGCCCTTCAGATTCATGCACCTTGTTGCAGGTTTCGGTAGCTTGTTCCTTTTTCTTGGTGAGTAGTGTTCCATTGGCTGGATGTGCCTAGTTTTTGTTTATTGGTTTTCTGTTGATAGATATCTGAGCTGGTTTCTGGGTTTGGGTGGTTAGGACTAGAGCTACTAGTCCTAGCAACATTAACTAAATCACGGAAATTTAGAGCTGGGGAGAGTAATGATCTCATTGTTCGGATGGGAAGACTGAGGCCAGAGGAGGGAGATGACCTGCTGGATCAGGGCCAGGAGGCAGGACTCCTCCCAGGCTAGTGCCACTCTGCCAGATCCACCCCAGACACAGCTCCTCTCCTCCTCCCCCTGGAACCCTCCCAGCAGGACCCAGAGTCTGGCTGGGAACTAGGCCAGGCCCTGAGCAGGGGGTAGTGAGCGGGAGTTTCGGTCAGAGCTCGGTCATCTTTGATGTTGTTCACTCGTGTCTGACTCCTTGGTATTTATTTGCAATTAAAGAGCTGGTTCCTAATTAGGCTGATGGCCGTGGGAGATGGCAGTACCACAGCCTAGGAACCACGAGGAGAAAAAGATCCTTCTGTAAGAGACTGTCCCCTCACCTGAGTGGCAGCCCAGGCTTGTGACTGAGAGGCACAGGGGGAGGGGGCTGTGCAGCTGTGGGAAGTACAGAGTGGGGACCATGGGTTAGGGGGTGCCCACCTTCTCACTCATAGTGTTGCAGAGCACGTCAGCTTGTGTTGGACACACCGCATGAAATCTGAATGCACGTATGTGTGTGAGAGAATGGAGCTAAAGCAGGGCTCATTCTAGACATTCAGACATTTGTTGCTTCATTCTTCCATTCCTTCACTCACTGGGCACCTCTTTCACCGCAGGTGCCAGGCTAGGGGCTAACCCCTAACATTTGTAAAGTGCTTTGCGGTTTGCAAAGGGCCTTGTCATCCACAGTCCTATTGAGACCTTCCATGGCAGTGACCCTGGGCCATGACCCCCAACCCCACTAAAGATCCCTGGCCTCTGAAGGGTAAGGCCAACACTGGAGCCCGTAAACAAGGCACCTCCTTCCTTCTGCACCCACTTGATTTTGCCAGAGTTTCCAGAAAATTCAGAGATGGACTGTGGTGAGTGGGGTACTTAATTATTGAATCAGTCCTTTTACAAATACAGAGACTGAGGCTTGGAGACGTTTAGCAGTTTATCGATGGCCACATATCCAGTCAGTGGTGGCAGCCTTAGGTCATTCTCACTGTGAAACCTTTTGGACCATGTGGCATGGATTAGAGTAGAATTCTGGGCTCTCAAGTTCTGGCCCTAGGTCTGCCACCTGCTGCTGTGTGTACTTGGGCAAGTCCCTTGACGCCCCCCAGGATGCTATCTTTGGGGCACCAGATTATTAGACTCCATTAGTGGTCCCAACAGGCCAGTCTCAGGACCAAGTTTTCATTGGTCCATGGTGACAGAAATAAAAATAAGTTAGAAAATAAGTCTGTACATGGCAAAATAAAGCGGTGGTAGTCTGGGTGAGCAGTGGCTCATGCCTGTAATTCCAACACTTTGGGAAACCAAGACAGGCAGATTGCTTGAGCCCAGGAGTTTGAGACCACCCTGGGTAACATGGCAAAACCCGGTGGTGTGTGCCTCTAATGCCAACTACTTGGGAAGCTGAGGAGGGAGAATCGCTTGAGCCTGGGAGGTCGAGGCCGCAGTGAGCCATGACTGCACCACAGTACTTCTGCCTGAGTGACAGAGTGAGACCATTGCTCAAACAAAAACAAAAACGAAGCAGTGGTCGCCCTGTGTCATTCCCAACTCCCCTGTTAAAAACATGTGTTGGTTTGTGGAAGCCTGAAGTGTTGGGTCTCACTGGATAAGATAATGTCAGCGGATACTCGAGCTCTGACGCCCTGGGACTGAGAGTTGAGTGGGGACAGGGAGGCTGAGTGGGTGGCTTACCCTCTGGATCAGACAAGAGACCCCAGTTTTTGCCCACCACGCTTCAGTGCCCTAGGGCCTGAGCCCAGCAGCCTACCTGCTGGGCAGGATTCCCCGTGGGGTGTGGGGTGGGGGCAATGTCTAGGCACTGGGACATATTTTATTTCCTGTCCCCTTCCCTTTTATTAGGTTGGTGCAAAAGTAATTGAGGCAGGAGGGTCACTTGAGCCCAGGAGTTTAAGCCCAGCCTGGGCAACAAAGCAAGACCTCATCTCTACAAAAAAGCTTTTGAAAATTAGCTGGGCATGATGATGTACATCGCAGTCCCAGCTATTCAGGAAGCTAAGACAGGAGGATTGCTTGAGCTCAAGGAATATATGCAGCCCTGGGATAGATGGAGACCCACCCCTCCCCTTACCAGTCAGAGAGTGTAGACCAACTGGGGGGCACTGACCAGGAGCGCAGACACCTGTTAAGGCCAAGGGAGGGGCTGCAGTTCAGGTGCCCCAGGAAGGAGAGGTCAGAGAGGGCTTCCCAGAGTGGCAGTCTGTCTCCCTGAATTTGGGAGACATGGCCAGGAGCGCAGGCCTGATGATGTGTAACCCAGTCTGTTCAACCAAGGAAGCCGCAGGGGATGGGGCCTGGCTCAAGCCCAGGGTGTCCCTTAGCTGGATGGCTGGGGCAGGCAAGGCCTGAAGGCGGCTCTATGGGTTCATCCCCAGTCATAGGGTACCATAAGGTGTGCTGGGGCTAGGCTGGGGACATGGGTTTTGATTGGGGGGATGGAAGGAGTTTGGCCTGGCTGGGGTGGAGGGAACTGAGAGGAGGGGGATAGGAAGTCCCACCTGTCCTTGAATTGAAAAACTTTCTTTTCTTTTCCTTTTTTTTTTTTTTTGAGACAAGGTCTCACTCTGTCATCCAGATTGGAATGCAGTAGCACAATGACTGTTCCCGGTAGCTTCAAACTTGGGCTCAAGCAATCCTCCTGTCTCAGCTTCCCAAGTAGCTGGGACTACAGATGTACACCATCATACCCACCTAATTTTTAAAAGTTTTTTTAGAGATGAGGTCTTGCTTTGTTGCCCATGCTGGGCTTAAACTCCTGAGCTCAAATGAGCCTCCTGCCTCAGCCTCCCAGAGTTCCCAGCCAGAAACCTTTTGGAAGCTGGGAAAGAGAAAGTCGCTTCCCCTGCCCCCTGTGCCCCTGTCCTTCCCCAGCTAGACTCTCCCTTTTTCCATGGGTGGGGCAGAGCTGTCACTCTGTGGCTGGGCAGCTGTCTCAGAGCCTTGTCTGTGAAGAGGTGCAGCAGTGACCCCTCCCTTAGTGAGACAGTAAAGTGAGTCCTCCAAGAGTGGGGATAGTGACACCTCAGCTTGTAAATAGTAACCTCTAGGGCTCATGGACCATGAGAGCAGTCATGCTTACATATAGGGAAACTGAGGCTTAGGGAGGTAGAGGGACTTGCTCAGTGTGCAGGTTTTAGGAAGGAGCCAGGACAGAACTCTATCTGGAGTGTGGAGAAGAGCTCCCCTCTAGAGTGTGGCCTAGCACCAAGGCGGCCCCAGCATTCACTGGTGTATACCCTGGGCCTCAGTTTCCTCACCTGTGGAATGGGCTGCTAGTAGAGGTGAGATGAGGCTGTTGTGAAGAACGGGCCCAGCTCGTAGAAGGCACTCATGGATGCCGTTGCCCGTCCTGTCTCCCAGCATACTCCAGGCATCGCTTCTTTGCATCCCCACCTTGCTGTGCCTGACACACTCGTGGAATTCTTGTTGGTTGGTGGGCAGTGTGGGTGCTGCAGTTTCGTGGCTAGGCTGGCATGGTGCTGCTTTTCTGGCCCTTGGGGACTCCCAGACCTGTGCCAGGTAGATGGCTGGGGAGAGGGGCACTGGAGTGGGGTGGCTGGGGAGAGGGGCACTGGAGTGGGGTGGCTGGAGCTCAGAGTCTGGCTGTTCCCAGCTGCCCACCTGCTGGGACTGGCCTGATGCTTGCAGCCTAGTGACCTCCCAAGGGCTTGAGCTGTCTCTGTCACTATTGCCCACTGGCTAAGGGGCAGTTCTGTCGAGGGCAGGATGCAGGACCTCTTCCTCCTCTCCTGACCATCAGCTGGAAGCATCAGAGGCCTCACTGGAGACTCTGAGGCAAAATGATCCAAGCTGCGGGCTGGTGTGAGGACTTGGATTACCCCCCAGCAGACTTGGGGACCTGTGTCTGGGACCTCAGTGCCAGGCCCAGGACAAGGGGCACACTCATGAAACCTGTATCCAGCCCAAAGCCACAGCAGAGCAGTCAGCCTCCAGGAGGCCCCTGAGGCAGACAGCCTCCTGCTGGGTGGCTGGGCGGGCCTCCCAGTGTGTAAGGGGATGTCAGGGGCCCTGCCACCCTGTTCTTCTGGGGCTTCTAGGCAGGGGCAAGACCAAGGCAAAGGCGTCCAGAGCTGGCCTCACTCAGGCTCCCAGGTGAAGCTGTTAGAAGTGTTGTCCTCTGGGATTTGGTTGGACTTTGATCAGTTTTCCTCAGAAAAAGAGCCATGAATTGCTTTGCTTTGCTCTGTCAAGCCTCCAGCAGAACGCCTCCCTCTGCACAGGCCCAGGCCAGAGACCTGTGTGGAAGCAGGCATGGCAGGCAAATCATGTCACCTCACTGGGCAGTTATAGGTGCCTGCCTGCTTCTCAGAGCTGTGAGCTCAAAGGAAAGGCCAGATGTCAGAATCTGAGAAGCTGGCCACATGAGAGCAGGGAGCACCCTGGCCTGTGTTGGTCTGAACTTTGGTCTCAGAAAATTGTTAAACTCCTCCAGACACACAGACGGCCCGAGTCAGTGACAAGGGATTTCAGTAACATCTTAGCTACCCCTTTGCTATACAGTGGGGAAACTGAGGCCCAGAGAGGAGCAGCACACACCTTCAATTGCTGGGCAGCTCCAGAGCCCTTAAGGAGCCATTTTCTTTGTCATTTAGGGACCCTCAGCTCCTCTGCCATGCAGAAGTAGCTGCAGTTCTGGTACAAACCTGCATTTCCTGCCAAGAAAGCCAACTCAGGTGGGCGGTACCAGGAGGCTAAGGCTGAGTCAGGGAGCAGTCAAGCAGTCATATTTATAACAAGGCCACCACAGGAATCCCACTGCTCCAGGCCGGAAGGGATCCTGGGGGCAACTCCTCCCACCCCCAGCCCGCCTCCCTGTGCTTGAGTCCTCTAATGTGATTTCAACCTCCCCCGCCATCCCCCAATAGCCTAACCCTACTCTGTCAGGTTGAGACTTGGACTAGTGGGTTCAAATTCTGGCGGGGTGCCCTCCTCTGTAGAACGAGGAGAAGGTGGCGTCCTTGCAGAGTGATCGTGAGGACCAAGTGAGTCCTGTGTGCTGTGAAGAGTAAGAAGTACAGTGCTCCACGCCGGGTCCGTGATGGTTGCTCCACAGTCAGCCCCTCCTTTGGGGGCGTGCAGGCAGTTGTCTGTCTCTCCTGCTAGCATGAAGAGGCAGGGGCAGGGTGTGCATGGTTCATGTCTGCGTCCGCAGCATCTAGCACACAACAGGTGCTCTCTGGCTTGCACTCTGTGGCTCATAACCTTTGTTTTCTCCTTTGTGTGAGCTTGTGTGTGTGAAAGAGATGTCCCGTTGTGCGCCATATTTCCTGAGGACAACCTGGCACACGGTGCCCACATGACTGCTGAATGCTGGAAACCTTACCCAGCTCCCACTGTGCAGACAGCAGTGCCCACCTCCGCTCCTCGGTGCCTCCCACCTCCCCACCCAGAATAACGCGGCGGTCCCTGTGCTTGTCCCGCAGACGCCAGCATGTCTCCGGACGCCACCAAGCCGAGCCACTGGTGCAGCGTGGCGTACTGGGAGCACCGGACGCGCGTGGGCCGCCTCTATGCGGTGTACGACCAGGCCGTCAGCATCTTCTACGACCTACCTCAGGGCAGCGGCTTCTGCCTGGGCCAGCTCAACCTGGAGCAGCGCAGCGAGTCGGTGCGGCGAACGCGCAGCAAGATCGGCTTCGGCATCCTGCTCAGCAAGGAGCCCGACGGCGTGTGGGCCTACAACCGCGGCGAGCACCCCATCTTCGTCAACTCCCCGACGCTGGACGCGCCCGGCGGCCGCGCCCTGGTCGTGCGCAAGGTGCCCCCCGGCTACTCCATCAAGGTGTTCGACTTCGAGCGCTCGGGCCTGCAGCACGCGCCCGAGCCCGACGCCGCCGACGGCCCCTACGACCCCAACAGCGTCCGCATCAGCTTCGCCAAGGGCTGGGGGCCCTGCTACTCCCGGCAGTTCATCACCTCCTGCCCCTGCTGGCTGGAGATCCTCCTCAACAACCCCAGATAGTGGCGGCCCCGGCGGGAGGGGCGGGTGGGAGGCCGCGGCCACCGCCACCTGCCGGCCTCGAGAGGGGCCGATGCCCAGAGACACAGCCCCCACGGACAAAACCCCCCAGATATCATCTACCTAGATTTAATATAAAGTTTTATATATTATATGGAAATATATATTATACTTGTAATTATGGAGTCATTTTTACAATGTAATTATTTATGTATGGTGCAATGTGTGTATATGGACAAAACAAGAAAGACGCACTTTGGCTTATAATTCTTTCAATACAGATATATTTTCTTTCTCTTCCTCCTTCCTCTTCCTTACTTTTTATATATATATATAAAGAAAATGATACAGCAGAGCTAGGTGGAAAAGCCTGGGTTTGGTGTATGGTTTTTGAGATATTAATGCCCAGACAAAAAGCTAATACCAGTCACTCGATAATAAAGTATTCGCATTATAGTTTTTTTTAAACTGTCTTCTTTTTACAAAGAGGGGCAGGTAGGGCTTCAGCGGATTTCTGACCCATCATGTACCTTGAAACTTGACCTCAGTTTTCAAGTTTTACTTTTATTGGATAAAGACAGAACAAATTGAAAAGGGAGGAAAGTCACATTTACTCTTAAGTAAACCAGAGAAAGTTCTGTTGTTCCTTCCTGCCCATGGCTATGGGGTGTCCAGTGGATAGGGATGGCGGTGGGGAAAAGAATACACTGGCCATTTATCCTGGACAAGCTCTTCCAGTCTGATGGAGGAGGTTCATGCCCTAGCCTAGAAAGGCCCAGGTCCATGCCCCCCATCTTTGAGTTATGAGCAAGCTAAAAGAAGACACTATTTCTCACCATTTTGTGGAAATGGCCTGGGGAACAAAGACTGAAATGGGCCTTGAGCCCACCTGCTACCTTGCAGAGAACCATCTCGAGCCCCGTAGATCTTTTTAGGACCTCCACAGGCTATTTCCCACCCCCCAGCCAAAAATAGCTCAGAATCTGCCCATCCAGGGCTGTATTAATGATTTATGTAAAGGCAGATGGTTTATTTCTACTTTGTGAAAGGGAAAAGTTGAGGTTCTGGAAGGTTAAATGATTTGCTCATGAGACAAAATCAAGGTTAGAAGTTACATGGAATTGTAGGACCAGAGCCATATCATTAGATCAGCTTTCTGAAGAATATTCTCAAAAAAAGAAAGTCTCCTTGGCCAGATAACTAAGAGGAATGTTTCATTGTATATCTTTTTTCTTGGAGATTTATATTAACATATTAAGTGCTCTGAGAAGTCCTGTGTATTATCTCTTGCTGCATAATAAATTATCCCCAAACTTAGCAGCTTAAAATAACTAACATTTATTATCTCCCACAGTTTCTGCAGGTCAGGAATCTGGGAGCAGCTTAGCCAAGTGGTTCTGGCTCGGGGTCTCTGGTGAGGTTGCCATCAAGCTGTCGGCCAGGGCTGCAGTCATCTGAGTCTTGACTGGGTCTGGGGGACCTGCTCCAAGCTCGCTCATGTAGCTGCTGGCAGGAGCCCTCAGTTCCCTGCCATGTGGGCATCTCCACTGGACTACTTATAACATGGCTTCCCCAGAACAAATGATCCAAAAGAGCAAGGGTGAAGTTGCTGGGGTTTTTTTCTTTCTTTCTTTCTTTCTTTTTTTTTTTTGAGACGGGGTCTTACTGTGTCACCCAGGCTGGAATGCAGTGGCCCCATCATGACTCACTGCAGCCTCAAACTCCCTGGGCTCAGGTGATCCTCCTGCATCAGCCCCTGAGTAGCTGGGACTACAGGTGCACACCATCATGTCTGGCTAAGTTTTGTATTTTTGGTAGAGATGGGATTTCACCATGTTGCCTAGGCTGGTCTTGAAATCCTGAGCTCAAATGATCCTCCCACTTCGGCCCCACAAAGTGTTGTGATTATAGACATGAGCCACCATGCCCAACCTAAGCTGCTGTCTTCTGTAACTAGATCTCAGTAGTGACATACCATCGCTTCTGCCATACTTATTGGTCATACAAACCATCTCTGTTACAAAGTGGGAGAGACTACACAAGGACATGAATACCAGGAGACAGGATTCATGGCCACCACATCCTCCAAGAAGAAAAACCATTTAACTTTGTTTCCCAAAGTTATTTATGAATAGACTGTCCCCACTCCTGTAATTCTGTCCTCATACCGAGGCACGCCGGTGCTTCTGGGCTGACCACAGCTGGCCATGCCAGGGTGCTGTGCACTGAGACCCTGGCCTGAAGACACTCAGCAGAGATGGCTGTCTCACTGGAATAGTCAGAGAGCTCTTGTTGTAGGGGCAGGACGGGAGGCACCTCAGGCTCACAGGCAGTTTGTGGGTGCACAGCCAAAAGGAATAAGCAACCACTCCATGGGAGTGCCGAGGAGGAGTAATCGGGAGGCCTCCTAGGAGGCTCAGTGCCTTGACCTCCGGTCCTCACAGGACAAATGAGCGGGAAGCTGGCAGGCTAAGGGTGGCAGAGGGTGCAGGAGCAAAGAGTTTGGGGGTGGCAGAGACCATGAAGCAGGAGGGGAGTTTCCAGACACTCGTGCTCTGGAGCCAGGCTACCCGAGTTCAAATCCCAGTTCTGCCACTCAGAGTGACTTCAGTGACTTAATAACTTCTTTACGTGCTTTGGTGTTCCCATCTGTAAGATGGGAATAAGATTGTCCCCACCTCAGAAGTAGGTACGAATCGGGAGAGTGAAGCACGCCACGCACTACCTGGTCTGTCACCAGGACACAGCTGCCATTATTCACACAGGGCCAGAGCTGGAAAGGGCTGGGCAGCCCTCAAACACCAAGTTGAGGAGCTGGGGTGATCTTCAGGGGGCAGTGGGGAAGGTGGGCTGCTTCTCAGTGGGCCAGGGAGACAAGCAGACCTGGGCAGCTTAAGGATCATTGCTGGGTCCCCTGAGCCCTGAACCCATCCTGGCTCCCCTTGAGCCTGGTACCTACCAATGCCAGTCTCCTAAGAGGGGCTTCTTGCCATTAGAGGAAGCAGCCAGTCACCCTGCAATGCCTGGATGTGGAAGTGATCATTATAATCTGCCATCATCATGGGTTCACAGCCCCATTTTATTGGTGAGGAAACAGGCCCGGAGCAGAGAGGTGCTCATCTCAAGCCTGTAGTCAAGGAATGCTGGAGTGTGACCCAGGTTTCCTGCCTCCTACCCTAGAGACTATTGCATGCAGATTGAAAGTTGACATCTTCTCCCTGTCTCCCAGATTCTCAGAGGGCGACCAGCCAGGCAGATGACATTGCTATTTATTTATTTATTTTTTGAGACGGAGTCACGCTCTGTCGCCCAGGCTGGAGTGCAATGGTATGATCTCAGCTCTCTGCAACCTCTGCCTCCCAGGTTCAAGAATTCTCCCGCCTCAGACTACCGAGTAGCTGGGATTACAGGTGCTCACCACCACACCTGGCTAATTTTTGTATTTTTAGTAGAGACAGGGTTTCACCATGTTATCCAGGCTGGTCTCGAACTCCTGACCTCAGGTGATCCGCCCACCTCGGCCTCCCAAAGTGCTGGGATTACAGGCATGAGCCACTGTGCCTGGCCGACATTTGCTTCTTAGAGCTAAGCCTCACTGGCCCCACCCTGGCCTTCAAGGAAAACTCTCCTAGTTCTGCTGCCAACCCAAACTCCTACACCCCTTCCCATTGCAACCCCCAGGCCCGAACTGAGCGTGGGAGTCCCCATGCCTCCCTACCCAGTCTGTTGCCCTGCACTGCTCAGGCCTTGGCCCTTCTGTCTGAACTCTGCAGGCTCATAGCAGGCTGCTCTGTGAGGATGTGCTTGGAGCAATGACTAGTGACACTAACTCACTGCCTGTGAGTCCTTACAGGTAAAGAAGCCGATGCTTACATTAATGGTCATTTGTCCAACCTCTCTGGAGGAAGGAACAAGCCCCCGTCTCAAATGCCAGTCTGGAGCTCTCCCCATGCCCTGGTTGTGATGGGCTTTGCTGGAGTGGGCTTGTCCCTTGGGGGACAATATGCATGCCTGAAAGACTGAATTCTGGGGACCCAGGGATCTCAACCTTGAAACTATCTCCTGTTCCGAAGCTGAGGACTTTCCTGAGGTCCTCGGGTGGCCTCAAGTGTCAGGGAGAGGCCCTGTGGCTGCCTTCTCGGGGGTCTGAGAGTCCAGTTCCAACTCCTCAATTTACAAATGGGGAAACCAAGTTCTGGGAGTTGGCCTAGCTGCTGAGTTCAGCGGTGGCAGGACCTGCCGTCCTGCCTCCTCTCCTAGTCTTGTTGCTTCGCAGTAACTTTGTGGTTTCCCCTAGACCACCCAGGGATCTGGTGACTCAGGCTCCAATGGAGACACTTTCTAAACAAGTCCTGGGTCTCTGCAGACTGCTGAGGGGAGCCTGGTCCCAGCAGGCCCTGGGAGGCAAGATTGGTAGGACTTACTGCCCCCCAAATCCAAGGGATGCCCCAGGGGGATTTCTGCAATTGACTAGGTTTTTGGGGAAGGGTTAGTCCCCACGTTCTCCTCTCCCCTCTATTCCATACCCCACTCCGATCTCCAGCACCTCCCCTGCCTTAGTCTCTGGGTGTGTATGTTGAGGGTAGGAATGGAAGGGTTGACCTAAGGAATGAGAGGAACAGATGGGAAGAGAGAAGGGAACCTGGAGATTTTGGGTTCTTGTCTCAGATGAGAAAACCTGAGGCCTTGAGAGGGGTTGTGAGTGGCCCAAGGTCACACAGCATGCACACACATTATTCATCTCTGGGGACTTCCTGGTGCTCCAAACTTCCATAGTCCACTTCCTGCCCATCTGTCCCCTCCGGCAAACTCCCATCCCACACATTGCAAGAGGCATAAAAGCCCTAACTGCCTATGGCTGCAGCTGCCTTGTTCTAATCCCGACCCTGCCACTTAGCAGCTGTGTGACCTTGGGCAAGTTACTTGAGTTCTCTGTCTCAGTTTCCTCATCCGTAAAAGTGAGGAATAATAATATAAGAGTATCTACCTCCTAGGGTTGTTGGGAGGATTAGATGAACTCGTGCCTGTCAGGCACTCAGACCTGGCCTGTATTAAGCACTCATCAGGTGTTCACAGGTATGACTTGGGGGCCTGGAAGGCAGCTCAGGGAGGTAAGTAAAGGTTTGGTGTGGGGACTCCTCAAGTGTGAGGACTCAGATCCAGATCCCTGAACTTACTGGTGGCCTTAGGCAGTCACCTGACCTGTGTGAACCCGTTTCCTCAGCTGGGGAGTAGAATCAATGATCCATGGTCACGTCCCTCCCCTAACAGCTGCTGCCCCTCTCCTGCCACCTCCAATCCATCCTCCACCTGCAGGGATGATCTGCACCCAAATCTGACCCGCTTCTCCTCCAAGTGCCAGGATGACTCCCTGTACCCTCAGGATGTACACCTGCCTCTGAGAGTGGCCTGTGAGGCCCTGATGGAATGTGGTTCTGCCCCATCTCAAACCCAGACAACCCCCTTCAAACACCGCACTCCAGACTTCTCTCTCTGTCTGTCTGTGTCTTCCAGGCCTTTGCCCACGTTGTCCCCTCCTCTCAATCATCTCCCAGCCTACCCCATCCAGGCTCTGACCACACTGCTGTCTACTCTTTCTTCCCCTGGAGACTCCTGAGAGCCAGAGATATCTCATATCCCACTGGCCCCCGTGGCCATGGGCCAGCCCAGTGGCAGATACAAAGGATGGACTCCCTGGATGTTTGTGGAATGAAAAGACCATGGAGGTAGTGGATGTGGGCGAGTTATATAAACTCTAAAGGACCAAACATGCATGTAGAGGGGGTTATGTTTATTAGCATCATGTGTCTCCACGACAACCCCCAGCTGGCTTCTCCCTACAGGCCCCTAAGATCACTCACCCCTCCCCCACCTTCAGGCCCAGGCTCTGGGGGCTCATGGCCTGCAGCCTTATTCTACCCTCTTGAGAGTGTGGTGGCAAGAATTGCTGTTTGCATCTGTTAAAGTACAGGAGAAAAAAAAGAATTCCTGGTTTGTGGTGGGAGGTGGGCGGGGTGGGGGGACAGTCCATTGGATGAATTAGAACCACAGACTCAGGGAACATCTGAACTGGGAAAGGCCTCAGAGTGTGTCTAGTGCCATGGCTATCCCTGAACTGAGGCCCAGAGAGGGCAGGGTGCTAACTAGGGTCACACAGCAAGGCAGTAGCAAAGGGAGGCCAATACATGACTTGAAGCTCCTTCCAGAGCCAGCCTCAGCAATGCAGCAAAGGCTTCTGGGAAGCCAGCATTGGCCTGAGCAAAGCAGTTGAGAGGCAAGAAGAGTTGGGGTGCAGATCATGTGTTTCATTTTGTTTTAATTGTGGTGAAATAGAGATAGATATATATATATCATAAAATTTCCCATTTTAACCATTTTTAAGTGAACAGTTCAGCAGCATTAAATACATTCATACTGTTGTGGAGTCATCACCTCCATCCATCTCCAGAACTTTTTCTATCTTCCCCATGTTTTTTACATTTTACTGTGGTAAAATATATATACCATAAAATTTGCCGTTTTAACCATTTTTAAGTGCACAGTCCTGTGGCATGAAGCATATTCTCATTGTTGCATTCCCTATGCTTTTTAATGAAGGGCAAATGAAGACAAGGTTTTTAAATCCTTTACCCTGGGATTTTGAGCCCTTGAGGACTTCCAGCAGCCCTGAGAACCTAGAGGAGGGTGCATGTCACTCTGGCCCATTTGGAGGTTTGGAGGAGGCTGTTGGGGGGTTGGGGAGGGGGTGTTCAGGCTAGGCTGATCACCACTAGCGACATAGACTGAAACAGCCTTGTAGCCTCTCTAACCTATTTATTTATTTATTTTGAGATGGAGTTTCACTCTTGTTGCCCAGGCTGGAGTGCAATGGCATGATCTCGGCTCACCGCAACCTCTGCCTCCCGGGTTCAAGCGATTCTCCTGCCTCAGCCTCCCGAGTAGCTGGGACTACAGGCATGCATCACCATGCCCAGCTAATTTTGTATTTTTAGTAGAGACGGGGTTTCTCCATGTTGGTCAAGCTGGTCTCGAACTCCTGATCTCAGGCGATCTGCCTGCCTTGGCCTCCCAAAGTGCTGGGTTTACATGCATGAACCATCGCGCCCAGCCCTCTCTAACCATTTTTAAAACAACTATCAATCGGGCTAGTGGAGTGTAGATAAAGTGCCCAGGATTTCTGAGCCTGAGACTGGAAGTCCATGATCTGAGCAAAGGAGAGATGGTTTTCAACTTGACCTCCTTGGACTCTCTGGGGTACTATGTGAGACCTGGGTAAGTGATGCTGGGAGAGTTCCCCCTCTTCCCAGGCCTCAATTGCCCTTCAAATGAAAAGTCTGAGCCAGATGGCTTCTGGGGGAATTCAGGGGCTCAAGAGAACCCCCGCCCTCACCCAAAAGTCTTATGTTCCAAGAGAGGCAGATAAGGTGGACTTTCACGTTGAAACTGCCGAGAGGAGCTGGGACCATTGCTAGTAACAGAACTCTTACTTTGCTTAGTGATAATAATAGCAGTTATCATTTACTGAGGGGCTTGTTATGTACTTGTTATGTTTATATTATGTCATGTAATCCTTATCCCATTTTATAGATGAGTCTCAGAGAAGTTAAACAAGTTTGCCAAGGTCACACAGCTGGTAAGTATCAGAGCTGGGTCTCACACTCAGATCTCTCTTTCCAGAGCTGGTGTTCCTACCCCCACACCCCTGCTGGTGGCAGCACTTCTGAACTTGACTTTCCACAGCTGCTGAGCACACAGGCTTTGCAGCCAACTTCTGGGGCTGCAGGCCCAGCTTTTCCTCGAGCTAAGAGATGTTACTTGTAGTCTCTGAGCCTCAGTTTTCTCACCTGTTAAAATGGGCATAGTTAGTAGTTAGGGAAATTACATTAAATGAGTTAATATTTGTGAAGTAGTTAAGCAGGGCCTGGCCCATCGTGAGTGACATTTAGTATTTGTTGAATTTTTTTAAATAATCATGTTTGAGCCAGGCATGATGATGTGCGCCTGTAGTCCCAGCTACTTAGCAGGCTGAGGTGGGAGGATCACTTGGGCCTAGGAGTTTGAGTCCAGCCTGGGACACATAGTGAGACTATGTCTCTATAATTTAAAAAAATTAAAAATTAAATACATAAAATATTATGTCTGTTGCCAGTTTTTTGGGTCAGTTCTGCTTGAACCAGCAAATTGGAAATGTTTATTTTTAAAATAGTTTTGCTTTCTATTTCTCATCATTGAGCAATGAACAAAATGGAGTTTTTGGAATGCCTAGGAAAACATGCACATAAACACCACTGCATATATGCGTTCAGTCCAAAATGCATTTTCGTTAACATTTTAACAGAAACACAACTATTCATGAGTCTTTGTAGAGCAGAAAAAAAAAATATCTTCCAAAATAGGCCATTCAGTGTTGGCCAAGTTCCTTAAGTTGCCTAAAATGGGCAGCATTTTGGTGTTTTCCAAGTACAGTGTGTGTATTAGAAGCTGATCTTTTGAAAGTGGTGACTCCCCACTGGCCCCTTATTTCCTTTCCTTCTCTACCAATGGGGCAAAGATGTTTGCCATTCCTGGCCCTGATGACAGCTATTTTGACCCTTTAAAAATTCTCTGCTTTGTGCTGCCCCAAATATAACATCAATGAATGTCAAAAGCCACATCAGGTCCCCAGAAAGCTGAGTGGCACTGGGTCTGTCCTGGTGGCTCCTGAACCCTCTTCACTCTAGGGCCCAGGGGCTCTGAGGTCTAGCTCCTAGGACCCCTTGGCACCATCTGAGCCCACACCTAGGATCCCTGCTCTGCCCTGGCCATGATGAGAGGTGTCCTTGTCACAGCTTGCAGAAAAGAACCAGACTTGAGCTACGCAGATTTTTAAATTGAGAAATTGTCAGTCCATATGTCTAGGAAGCTTTGTTCTGTCTGAGTCTGAGCCTGAGTGCTCTGCTAGGTGAGGGCTGGCCCGGGCCTAGAGGAAGCAGGAGATGTCATCAAACATCTTCTGTGACAGTTTCTAAGCCTTGGGGGTGGACTCCCAAATGACCAGGAGAAACCAAAGACCTCTGAAGTAAGTTTGTTCTTGAATTTTCCATGGTTGGGGAAAGAGGAGGCACTAGGTACCTGAAGTCCAAAAAGCCAATGAAAACCATCCTTGAACAGAGAGATTTCTCTACCTTCTTCATCAAGCCTTATGCCTGAGCTACTGATGATGATGGAGGGGCCAGCTTCAGAGAGAAGTGAAAGCGGACACAGGTTTGAATCCCGGCTCCATCATTTTCCAGTTTGTGTGAATTTAGGCATTTCATGTTTCCCCTGAGCCTTGGTTTTCTCATAAGTAAAATGGGGATGATGTCCTCTACCATGTAGGAATCAAATGAGAAAGCATATCACATTCAGAGACAATTCTCCATAGGTCTCTCTGAAAATATTGCAAGCAGAAGCACTGATGGCCTTTGTTCTGGACTATATTTTCAAGGATATATGATAGCTACAAGCATTAGAAAATACAGTATCTCCCTTTGGTGCACGGGCAGGCATGTTTACTGCTCATTATAAAAGATTTGGGTTCCCTAAGTCCAGGGTTCATCTCCTGTAAGGCACCTCCACTGAGTGTGCAGGTATCACCTGTCTCTCTTGGCATCACAAGGGAAGCTATGATGATGCTCATTCTGTGTCATGATGAACAGAAAGAAGTCCTTTGTCTCTGACCCAGGAGTCTTGTGTCTTCTCATGTCTTTCATGAAACAGTGACAAGCTAACTTCTTACCTTATTGAAAAAATGGATAAAATCTCAGATTATTCACAGTTCTTGACAGTTTTGGTGATCAGGATGGGGTGCTGACAGAGAAATAGCTTTCTTGAAGAGGAAAGATGAGGGCCTCACAAGCCAATTCATGCAATTTGAGGGAAACCCCATCTCTACAAAAATACAAAAATTAACTGTGTGTAGTGGTATGTGTGTGTGGTCCCAGCTACTCAGGAGGGTGGAGGCAGGAGGATCGCTTGAGCCTGGGAGGTCAAGGCTGCAGTGAACCTCTTGGCCAAACTATCAACTGTAGGTTGTACCAACTAGGCTGGCCATTCAGGAGAAGTAAGAAGTACAAGGCCCAGGAATTGTTAGAGCAGAATCTCAAATTTTCAAAATTGATTTTTTTTTCTTTTTTTTTTGAAGCCAAGGTCCTCACCTTGGTGCCCAGGCTAGAATGCAGTGGAAATCAGCACCAAACATATTGATCAAATTGTATGGTCACATGGGCAATAAGTGGCCTTCTATTTTATTTTAATGCTTGTTAATGAGAAGGATTGGAGAGGTGGTTGCAGGCTGAGTACTGGGAAGTAGATTCAAAGACAGCTGCCAAAACAGTGCCTTGGTGGTTGTTAACTCTTCTCTGGGCTTCCTCACCAATCTAATGGCCAGCCTCAATCCCTCCCCACTGAAACAAAGAAGCACTAAGCTTTGTTCTAGGTGGGCAGGAGGTGGCACTGCCTTTCAGATAGCAATTACAGACATGGCCACATGCACAGAGTGAAGGGAGGGAAACTCACTCTTGCTGTGGGCAGAGACCAGAAGGGTTGTTACAACTTAGGCAGGTTCACTCGAGAGATAAGGGAGTGGGCACATGATGCTTGTGAAGGAAGAAGGACAACACTCAGCCCCTCCTGCCCTCTACCATGCCAACTGGAGATGCCATCCATTTGGAGATGAGAGCAATAGGTCTCAGCTTTTTTGCTGTTTATTTGTTGTTGTTGTTTTTACAATGGACCCTGGCTGCTCTAAGGGAATATATGGGAGTTTTGGTCTGCTTGGGGGGATTTCTCTGAGATAGACAAACACCTGGAGGAAACCACAGATGAAGAATTGGTTGGTATTAGTTTTGTTTTTTTTTTTTTTTTTTTTGACAGAGTCTCGCTCTGTTGCCTAGGCTGGAGGGCAGTGGCGCGATCTCGGCTCACTGCAACCTCTGCCTCCTGGGTTCAAGCAATTCCTCAGCCTCCTGAGTAGCTGGAATTACAGGCATGTGCCACCGCATCCAGCTAATTTCTGAATTTTTAGTAGAGACGAGGTTTCACCATGTTGGCCAGGCTGGTCTCAAACTCCTGACCTCAGATGATCTGCCCACCTCAGCCTCCCAAAATGCTAAGATTACGGGCATGAGCCATTGTGCCTGACTGGTATTAGGGCTCTTAATCCTTCATGTTGGGTTTGCAATACCAATGGTGACCCACTAGAGAACGAGAAATTGACCTAAATAAATCTAGATAAATTTTTGCTCTCAACCCTACCACCCTGGAAAACTCCCCTAGTCCTTATTTTGAAACCACATAAGAAGTTGAAAGATCTTATATTCGGGGCGGCAGAGGCCCTGGGTTCAGGCGATCTCCTTTAACAGGTTGCTGCACTGTCTGCAGGTGCAGGTCAGGCCCAACTTAGTCTTTGGGCATAAATCCCATGGCCCCAGCCAGAAAATAATGTGGCTGCAGCTGCTGAGTCAAGGTATCACTAAAATTAAGCTAGAGGTGTCAACAATGATGACTGTATAATATAGTTTGGATATTTGCCCCCGCCCAAATCTCATGTTGAATTGTAATCTCCAGTCCTGGAGATGCAGCCTGGTGGGAGGCGTTTGGATTGTGGCGGCGGATCCCTCATGGCTTGGTGCTGTCTTTGTGAGAGTGGGTGAGACCTAGTTGTTTAAAAGTGTGTGGCACCTCTCTCTTACTCTTTCCTCCTGCTTTCACCATGTGACAGGCTTGCTCCCCCTTTGCCTTCTGCCATGAGTAGAAGCTTCCTGAGGACTCCCCAGAGGCAGATGCAGGCCCCATGTTTTGCTGTCCAGCCCGCAGAACCATGAGCCAGTTAAACATCTTTTCTCATAAATTACCTGGTCTTACATATTCAGGTATTTCTTTAAAGCAATGCAAGAATGTCCTAACATATTAACATTAGAATGTCCCAATATAGGGCTTTGAGTGGACTGTTTAGCTGGGCCATAAGCAACCACCATGCTGGTTGAAGCCAAAAGTGAATGCACCTTGCTTCCTGGCACTGAAGCACTCTCTCCCTTCATACCTCTGATTGCTCCCTCCTCTGCTACCCCAACCTCAACTGATCTAAGGAGTAAGATGATTGGGGTGGGGCCGGGCGTGGTGGCTCACATCTAATCCTAGCACTTTGGGAGGCTGAGGCAGGCAGATCACGAGGCCAAGAGATCAAGACCATCCTGGCCAACATGGTGAAACCCTGTCTCTACTAAAAATACAAAAATTAGCTGGGTGTGGTGGTGTGTGCCTGTAGTCCCAGCTACTCAGGAGGCTGAGGCAGGAGAATTGCTTGAACCTGGGAGGTGGAGGTTGCAGTGAGCCGAGATCACACCACTGCACTCCAGCCTGGCAACAGAGCGAGACTCCGTCTCAAAAAAAAAAAAAAAGATTGGGGTGGGGCTAAAGTCTTCTTGTTCCCAAGGGGGCTAAAGTTGCTCTCATTCAAGCACACCAAGGAACTTTAGAGAGGAGAAGAACTCAAACCTTTATGGGTTTGCGGGAGACAGGCAGCCAAATCAACATCCTACCCATGGCGGGAGGGTAGCCTGGGTTCAGCTAATGTACTTGAGTAGGGTTCATTGAGGGAAAGGGAAACTAACATGATACTTTGGGCCATGTCAATATACTGCTACTGTGGCTTCTACATCTAAATGGCTGGCAGGAATTGGTGATTCGATGCTTGTGCTTCCCTGTCCCATAAGGGCCATTGAGATTATCTCAATGGGGAAAGTTCATACACAGAGAAGTGCTGATACCTTCTGGGCCCCACAATCCTAACGACCCCTTTGAGCTATAAGAGCAAAGAGTGACAGGTGATTTTGCTGATTGAAGCTTCCGGCTAAAGGGAGAAGCTTTGTATGATTTATACTCCTTTATAAATTGTCTGTTAGCTTGCTACTGGGCTTAGCGAAATTGAACACCTAACCAAACAGGAGCCTTGTGACTGCATGGTCTGATATTCCCAGTTGGGGTGGGTCAACTCAGATTCAATGACTAACAAGGTGGGAAGGGCCCAACAAGTTCTATTCATCCAATGGGAATGGTAGACTCAACAACATAGTTCACCTGGCCCCAGTAGTATCTCAGCTTTACATCCCTGTGTCCATCTCAAAAAAAAAAAAGTGTATGTTTGATTGCGGAAAGCACCCAACAATGGGCAGACCACCAAGGTATTTGATGGCCTTCCGTGCTTCCTGCCATCCACTGGCATCCGATACTGCTGAGTGATGGGACAACCTCCTCAAAACTCGGGTCGAGGTTTCCAACTCTGTCTCACCATCTCCTAGCCTACACACCTGAGTAAGGCAGTTTGGTCATTGATTCTGGCTGTCCAGAAAGGGATCATTTACTCTTGGCCACTTTCTGGGTAATGACCAGGATGAAAGAGGTGGGGGGTTTATAAAGACCAATTTTGAGACTGGGCATGGTGGCTCATGCCTGCAATCCCAGCATTTTGGGAGGCCAAGGTGGGTGGATCGCTTGAGCACAGGAGTTCAAGACCAGCCTGGGCAACATAGCAAAACTCCATCTCTACAAAAATACAAGAATTAGCCAGGCGCGATGGTACTTGCCTATGTTCCCTGCTACTCGGGAGAGCCTGGGAGGTTGAGGCTGCAGTGAGCTAAGATTGCACCACTGCATTCTAGCCTGGGCACCAAGGTGAGGACCTTGGCTTCAAAAAAAAAAAAGAAAAAAAAATCAATTTTGAAAATTTGAGATTCTGCTCTAACAATTCCTGGGCCTTGTACTTCTTACTTCTCCTGAATGGCCAGCCTAGTTGGTACAACCTACAGTTGATAGTTTGGCCAAGAGGTTCACTGCAGCCTTGACCTCCCAGGCTCAAGCGATCCTCCTGCCTCCACCCTCCTGAGTAGCTGGGACCACACACACATACCACTACACACAGTTAATTTTTGTATTTTTGTAGAGATGGGGTTTTGCCATGTTGCCCATGCTGGTCTCTTGGGGATTCAAACTGAATTCTGGTTAAATTTTATAAAATATCCTGTTGCTCTTGTACCTGACCCTTCTGGAAGAAAAATCTGGATACAAGTAAGGCACAATTGGAAAAAAGGTGAAGTTACAGCTACTGCAATGGAACACACTGCTTTTGGGTTAGTGGCAGGAAAGCAACACCCCAGCACCTGGGAAGGGGTGGACACTTTAGATCTCAGGAGCCTTTCTCACAATGGAAGATGCCCTGGTGCAGCTCTCCCAAACTGTTGCAAGGGCCTTAAATTTAATAGACTGCTGGGTTGATCATCCTCCACCAGACGGCTCTAACCATTATCTGATTGCCATTTCCCTTAACCTTACTGAAAAACTAAGAAGTTTTAGGACATAGCATGAGATAGCCCAGCTCCTGCACCTCCCATGCAAAACACCTGTCAGCACTTACGGATGTCTGCCCGCCCCACACGCATTGTTCGTTGGACGCCTTAGAAGGCGGGGCGGGGTGGGGCATGCATCATTCCGTGGAGTGCTGAATGGTACCCAACTGGTGGTGTAGACAAACAGGACAGATTGGACCGACTGCCCTTAGGCAGTCTCTTCAAAGACACATAATTTGTTACACAGGTAAGAGATAACTCTTGCACCATCAGGCCTCTTGTTTTATGCTCACAGTAATGCTTCAGTTTCTGTGGGATAGTGCCTGCTTTGCAGGGGAGAAGCGAAAGATCAGAGAAGTCAAGCCATTGCTTAAGGTCACACGGCCAAATGTTGGCACTGGGTTGTGACCAGGTCTGCCTGACTTCAGTTCCAGTGCTCCCTAAATTCAGCCTCAGCAGTTTTTTCCCTCATACAAAGGGCTGGGATTCTTTCATGTGCCCCACAGACCCTGGCCTGTGGCATTTCATGTCTCTTGGTTCTTGATACCACCAGATCTAAGCCCTGAGAGGCTTAGAAGGCTGGGGGCATGGAGCAGCCAGTGGGCTCCCTAGTGCCCCCTACTCACAGGGGAATCTCCATTGCCTCATCTGTGAAATGGGTCTAAGACATGGTTAGGTCTTGTGGTGAGGACAAAATGAGCTCAGGAGCAGGAAAGTGCTTTGGAAAATGGGAGGTACCGATGTGGACAGTGATGTGGTCTGAGACATGGCCCAGGAGAGAATGAAAGGCTTGCCAGAGGGCCTGGGATGGACAGAGCAGAGTGGAAAGGGCTAATCAGAGTATGGGCTGGGGTTTTCTCATGAGCTGCCTTCTTGTGCCTGAAATCCCAGATATGGCTTTGAGTTAAGCAGTGCGTCTTCTAGATTCTCCTTTTTTTTTTTTTTTTTTTTTTGAGATGGAGTCTCGCTCTGTCGCCCAGGCTGGAGTGCAGTGGCGCGATCTTGGCTCACTGCAAGCTCCGCCTGCCGGGTTCACACCATTCTCCTGCCTCAGCCTCCCGAGTAGCTGGGACTACAGGTGCCCACCACCACGCCTGGCTAATTTTTTTTTTGTGCTTTTAGTAGAGACAGGGTTTCACCGTGTTAGCCAGGATGGTCTCGATCTCCTGACCTCGTGATCCACCTGCCTCAGCCTCCCAAAGTGCTGGGATTACAGGCGTGAGCCACCGCGCCCAGCTTTTTTTTTTTTTTAAGACGACGTTTCCCTCTTGTTTTCCAGGCTGGAGTGCAGTGATGCGACCTTGGCTTACTGCAACCTCCGCCTCCCGGGCTCAAGCCATTCTCGTGCCTCAGCCTCCCGAGTAGCTGGGATTACAGGCGTGTGTCACCACAACCAGCTAATTTTTTTGTATTTTTAGTAGAGACAGGGTTTCGCCACGTTGGCCAAGCTAGTCTCAAACTCCTGACCAAAGGTGATCCACCCACCTTGGCCTCCCAAAGTGCTGGGATCACAGGCATAAGCCACCACGCCTGGCCTAGACTCCCCTTTTAAAGTACTCCCCCTCTTTAGAACAGTGGTATTATACTTTACATATAACATAACAGGAGCCCATGCACATGGAACCTTATATACATTCTCTAATGGGATACTTACCACTGGGTACTCACACTAACCCCTTTGTCCTATTGTGCAGATATAGAAAAATGAGGATGGCAGGATCTCAGTAATTTAAGTTCTCATGAGAAATAAGAGACAGAGTCAGGGTTTGGACTGAGATCTTTCTTGCTACAGAGACTAGTTGTTTTGGGGCTCCTCAGCTTTTCTAGCCCCCTAACTCTCACCCCGAGAGAAGCCAAGCACACTGAGGCTGGGGCCGGGGCAGAGCAGACCCAGAATCCTCCCCCATGGTAGGATCCCAAAGTGACTAAATGCCAGGTGTCCACATGTTCACCTTCTTCCAGGCTGGAAGAGGCAGCCCCAGACCACCATGGCTCTGAGTACATGATCATCTCTCTGTGACATCACCATAGCTGTCTCATCCTGCGTCCCTCCGCTTATCCCAGGAGTGGCTTTTGTTCTTCTTTCTGTGATGCAGCCAGATGGATCTTTCTAAAATGCAGCCTTGGCCAAGTCAATGCTCGTGCAAAGCCTTCCATGGCTGCCCGTCCAAGCCCGAGCTCTTCCCGGGGAATAGAAGGCCCTTCCTAGTCTGCAGCTTCTCACCCTCCCTAGGCTGAGCTGTCATGCCTTCCTGGCTGGTGACTCCAAGCCCTTGCTTATGCTCTTCCTAGAAGGCCCTTCACCAACTCCACTGCTGAATTGCGGAACAGAAATTCTTTTCTGTTCATTTAAAATGGTGATTCTTGTGAACATTTAATGTTTTTATTAGGAGATACATGCATGTGGACCAAATGGCATATAGTGACAATTGTCTCCTCCCACCCAAGTCCAGCCACTGTGATCCCCTGGAGCTGCCTGTTGGTTGTGTGCCTTGGAGTCTTTTACTATTTTGGCTTCTCAATGCTCTTGCTTACCTGTCCCTTCCTCAGGGACGCATCCCCTTACGGCTCTCCCTGCACTTGGCACAGGTAAACCCTGAGTCCTCTCCGAGAGCTCGCACAGCCCCCAGACACCCATCGTTATTCCAGACTTTGGCACATGCTATTGTGACTGTCTGTTTACAGGCCTACTGTCTCCCTAGCCTAGGAGCTGCCTGAGAGTGGCAACTGTGTTGTGTTGGGGTCTGTGTCCCCAGGAGGAGGCGAGGGCCGTGGCACATGGTGGGCAAATGTAGGTGATGCTGGAGGACTGAGGGGTCTTCAGATGGTGACGGCACAGTGCCTGGAGCTGCTGCATTGCACAGAACTCCCCTGGAAAGGGAGCTTTGCTTAAGAAGTGGAGCTGGGGAAACCCAGGAGATGGTGGAGGGAGGTGGGGAGGGGAGCAAATAGCTCCATGTTCACCTCACACTACAGAGCAGAATAAATTCCAGATGGATGAGACTGCAAAATGTGAAAACAATGAAATCATAAAATAACTAACATAAAATGTTCGTGATTTTGATCTCTGGATGGGAAGGGCTTCTCTAAGCACAGCAGTAATGGAAGGAATTATAAAGGAAAAGATGCGTATATTTGAATACTTAAAATTGGAAACTTCTGTACATCAAAACACACCATAAATAGAATTAAAATAAAAAGAAATATGTAAAGAGCACTTACAAATCAAAAAGAAAAAATGTCTAAAACCCAGAATGAGAAAAAATGGGCAATGGATATAAAAACAAAATCAAAAGGGAAAATTTCAGTGGCTAAGTATTTGGAAAAATGCTTAATCTCAGTAGAAAACAAGATTCCATTAAAATAGGGAGATGTTGTTTTTCACTGATCACTTTGGCCAAAGTATTTTTTTTTTTAAAGTCACGCTCAGTGGGACTGAGATAAAATGAGATGGGCAAAAGGCATGGTCTCCTTCCATGCGGATGAGGCTATAATGGCAGCTGCTTTCAGGAAATCAGTTTCTCAATCTGGATCAAAAGCCTTAAAAATGTTTGTGCCCTTTGTTCCAGCAATGCTGCCTCGGGGGATCTTTGCTGAGAAATATTCATTTTTCTACAACAGAAAAAATTCTGAAGCAGTCTAAATGTCCCATAATAGGAAATTACAGAAATGATGGCACATCTATGTGTCAAAATATTATACGGCTTTTAAAAATTATGCTTAATTGTTAATGGCACTTGCATTTGGGGAATGGTAGGGGGGAGACGCAGATACAACTGGCTTTTTTTCTTTCTACTTTCTGTTTTTCTGGACTAGTTACCTTACCATACACCCATACACATGTATTATTGTTCTAAAGAAAAGTATCATGTTTTAGAATATTTTTTATTATATAGAAAAATTATCATTAAATAATGCTGAATGGAAAAAAAGCAGGTGATAAACATACATATATATAATGTGATACTTCATTTATACATATATACATAGATAATGTAGTAAGCAATGAATTCAGTCCCCAGCAGAATAAAATGGTATATATATGCATACAAATTTACAATAATGATATTAATGATATAAATGCATGCATATATGAATATAAAATAATAACCAGTGACTATATCTGGGTTCTGGAGTTAGGAATGATTTTGGTTTCCTTTTTCTTTTATAGTTTCCCACATTTTTGAAATTTCCTACACAGATCATATATCATTTTCATCCTATTAAACTTCATTATGAATTATAATTATAAAAAGTTTCTCCACAATAAATGTTGAACAGAAATAATTTGCCATTAAATCTCAATTAAACTTCTCTGGCTGCCAGTGCTCTGCTTAATTGAAGTTTGACTCTATTAAAAGACAATAAATAAATCCTCAGGCCAGGTGAGGTGACTCATGCCTGTAATCCCAGCACTTTGGGAGGCAGAGGCAGGCAGATCACGAGGTCAGGAGATCTAGACCATCCTGGCTAACGCGGTGAAGCCCTGTCTCTACTAAAAATACAAAAAATTAGCCGGGCGTGGTGGCAGGTGCCTGTAGTCCCAGCTACTTGGGAGGCTGAGGCAGGAGAATCGCTTGAACCCGGAAGGCGGAGCTTGCAGCGAGCCGAGACTGCATCACTGCACTCCAGCCTGGGCGACAGAGCGAGACTCCGTCTAAAAAATAAATAAATAAATAAGTAAATAAATCCTCACATTTGTATCATTTAATAGTGGACTTCCACACATGACCGCCTCCCTTGATCTCTGTAGCACCCCTGTGAGGTACTGAGATGAAGGGAGATCACACGACATATGGAAATAGCAGACACACACACACACACACACACACACACACACGTGCTGTGGCCTTGCGTGAATCACGGTCTTCAAGGGCTTCAGTCTCATACAAGCCCCATGGTGCAGCTTTTGATGAACAAGCCGTTGCACAGCTTTCTAACTGGGCCTCCTGGCCTCCCTGTGGTCCAGTGGGCACTGGTGGGATTTGGCAAGGCAGCAGGGGGGGAGAGGAGCACCCCAGGGTCCTTGTGAGGGGATGGGGGGCATCTCCTCTCTCATTTGGCTTTCAGAGAAGGCTTCCTGCTGCTGTCCCTGACTAATTTCTCCCCCTCTCTTGCCCCACAAACACGCCCTTCTCAGCCCAACAGTGGGTTTGGCAGTGCGGCAGCATTTCCTTGGAAGAACAAAAGAGAAGACTGTGTCCTGCAAATGCTTCCAGGGTAGCTGCCTTCGGTTCCTTCAGTCATTGAATTCATGTGTGATTTGTTTCCGGGGGAGAGAGGACACAGAGCGTTCTCTCAGCCTCAGGGCAGAAACCCCAGCTCACAGACAGACTGAAAAATTCTCGCTAAAGGAGCCAACACGACCAAGATTAAGGGGGAAGCATCACACTAGACGTGTTGGTCATATACACTGGAGGCCAGCCCACCGAAAAGCATTTAGGAAGCAATAATAATGATGAAATAACAACTATTGTTTATTGAACACCTTTTATGTGACATCCATTATCTCATTTAATTGTGCCATCATCCCTGTGTTGGGTAATGTTATGCCCATTTTACAGATGATGAAACTGAGACTCAGAAAGGTAAGATGAGAACCTGTTCCAATACTATGTGAGTATATGGCAGAGTTGGAATTCAAATCCCGGTTATTCTCCCTCCCAAATTAATGTCCAGAACTTAACCTAGCATATGGTATTCTCAATGGGGGTTGTTAGAAATAGATGGATTTAATGAGTACCTGTGAGTACCTACTGAATGCCAAGCCCTGGCTAAGGTGCTTTTCATGTGGCATCTCATTTAATCTTTAGAATAGCCCTTGTGAGATGCATGCAGTTCTCATTTTACAAATCAGAAAACCGAGGCTCAGAAGTTTGTCCAAGGTTACACAGAGCCAAATAACGGCCTTTTAAAGAAAAGCACCCAACAGGAAGAATGAATGAGGAATAACTTGGATGTAGGGATCAGAGTTCCAGAACTCAGAAGGATGGGAGGATGGGGTAGATACTGTCTCCACTCACAAGAGGCAGCAGAGGGTTGAGGGGTAACTGATTTTTGGACAAGCCACCGCCCTGGCCTCAATTTCCTCAGCAGAAAAATGGGGCCACCAATACCTACCATACTGGGTTGTCATGAGGATTAATGAGATGATGCACACGACATGCTTAGAGCAATACCTGCTTTCCCTTGCCCTGCTGCTCTCTGTCAGTTGCTCAGCACTCTCGGGGGTGGGTCCCGTAAAACCAGCCTGGCATCCCACCCTACCCCCATCCTGATCTAGCACCAGTGTGTACTAAGAATCTATGGAATGAGGACCAGCGGAGCTTGTGCAACTCACTTATCCTCTCTGGGCCTCAGTCTGGACCACCAGTGTGGCGGGGGGCAGGGGGATGCTGGATGGGACCATCTCTGGGAGCCTCACCAGACCCAACTAAGCCCCATTCCTGACTTTCTCCTACCCCTGGCTTCTATTACCTTTGCTCTGAGTCCGAGCACGGGCGGCACACACAGGCTCTGGGGGCTGAAGCAGCTGCCCACTGCCCCAGGAACTGTCCCTGAAGCCTTCTTCAAAGGGATCCCCTCAACATACTCTAAGTGACAGATTCAGCCTTCTTTCTCCCACAGCCCCTAGCAGAGGCCCTCCCATTCCAGCAGTGGACAGGAAAGTGACTCAGCCCCCACGGCCCCCTCCTCAGACTCACACACCCGCAGCCTTGCTTTGGAAAAAGGGTGGTTTTCATTTCTTTCCTTTTTTTCCCCTTCAAGCACTCTTACTTGTTCTGTCCCTGAGCTGTCTCTCCCACGAGCCTCTGTGGTCTGGGCCAGAGGTCTATGGCCAGCCCTTCTCCGTCCTCTCCTAGTGGAGGGTCCCAACATTGGAGCGGGCTGTGTGGCCCTACTGTGAGTAGGGGAAGAGGTGGGCCTCTGGAGGCCCCCACTGGCCCCCTATTATATTGGCTTCTATTAAATTGAAACACATAGCACATCTATTACACAATAAACCACAGCTATTTCATGGATCAAATTAAGTTTTATTTGGGCAAATTACAACCTTTCCTACAGTTGTGCCTTTGTGAGGCCATTCCTTTTTAATAAAAGCAAGCATTTCTGGGGCTGGCCCTCCTGGACCAAAGCACCATGGTGGGTTGGGGGCTCAGGCCGGGGCTGGCAATAGGGTGGGGGTGTGTGTGCGTGTGTGAGAGAGATGGGAATTCTTGGGGCCCCTCTTGGGAATAGATTTGGCCCCCTCCTCCCCCTGCCTCCCCATCCTGAGTTTGCCATGGAAGTCTGCAGAGAACTTCTCATTAAACAAGAAAAAAGCAGCAGCAGCAGGAAGGCATTTCCCGGAATCTGGGAGGAAGCATGAGTCACCGGCCTGCTAAGTGAGCCCTGAGTGGCCACTGCGGCCCCAGCCCAGGAGGCCTGGAGTGCGGGGCCAGCGATCAGAGCTGCACCAGGCCAGCCCGCATGGACACGCCCGCTGCCCAGGCTGACGCAGCCTCCAGGAATGCAAACAAAGCTGGGCGGAGGGGCCTTGAGAGGGCCAGGGCACTGGGCCAGGAAGGAGGCAGAAGCCTGCAGGAGAGGCCTGTGGAGGGGCTTCGGGCCTCAGACAAGCCCCTCTCTGGTGTCCTTGGAGCCCAGGATACCTGGCTGGTAAGGCTTCTAACTCTGGGTATGACCTGGCCTAGCGCTGCCAGCTCTGGCCTTCAGGCTCCTTGTGGGGCAGGGACAGGAGTTGCTCCTAGATCAGAGGTTCACAAAGTTGGTCCCTGAACCAGCAGCATCAGCAGCACCTGGGAACTTGAGAGAAGTGCAGATCCTTGGCTCCCCACTACAGATCTACTACGTCGGAAACCTTGGGGTGCAGCCCAGTGATCTGTGTTTAACAAGCCCTCCAGGCAATTCTGATGCATGCTCAAGTTTGAGGACCACTGCATGCAATAATCTGTGGGCCAATATCAAACCCATATCTTCTATAAAGAGTCATTCAACAAAGTGAGATCTAAGGCTTAAGTAGTGCTCACTGTGTGCCAGGTACTCAGCTGACTGCTTTGTGTATGCTAACTCATTTAATCCTCAAGCCAACCCATTGAGGTCAGGTTCTATGATCATTTCTCCATTTTACAGGTGATATAAATGCTGTTTTCACCAGAAGCCACAGTTCTGGGATCTCAGAAGTGATGGATGATCCTAGGCCCAACTCAGAGATTGGCCCATGCTGGCTAACTAGTATGGTAGCTGGCTGGACATTCCCTGGGTAATTTTCTTAAAATGCCCTTCAGAAGCTGTCCTGCCACCTAAAAGGTGGAGCAGTGGGGAGAACCCTCACTCCAGAACTAGAGAATCAGGCAAGTGGAGTGAGAGAAGCAAGAAGAGGCCTGAAGGAAGTGAGGCCTGAGAGGGATGCAGGGTCCCATAAAGAACTGTTTCTCCAAATGTGGTGCCTGGACCAGCAGCATCAACAATGCCTGGGAGCCTATTAGAAATGCAGAATCGTGGACCCTACTCAAGACTTACTGAATCTGAATCTGCATGTTAATAAGATCCCCAGGGATTTGTGAGCACATTCAAGTTCAAGAAGTCCTGGATGAGGCACACGGGTAGATCCCTGACCCCTTCCCACTACAGGATAATGGGGATCTGGGATCTGCACCATGCTCAGTCCAGCTCTGTGGGGGCTCTGGCTCTCTCATTGGCACAAGCATCCCCTCAGTTAACCCTGGAACTTGAGGTCACTGGAGGAGGCCTCCAGTCCTTAAAACCCCACAGCCAAACTAGTACAATGAGTGAGATGCTCTCACCCTGCTGAGTCGCCACTTCCCAAGGTGGAGGATCTTCACTTCCTTTGTTTCTTTTCCTAGAATGTGGGCTCTGCGTTCTAACCCAGGCTCCGCCACTTACTGACTGTGATCCTGGAAGTTGCTAAACTTCTCTGCACCTTGGTTTTCCTTTTCTGTAATATAGAGGTGACACATTTTCTAGATCATAGCTTTTTTTGGTGCATATATCTAAGCAAATATATACATCATGCTTAGAAGAGTGGTTGGCACACACCGCCATTAACATTCGTCACTTGCTATGAGCCTTCCATCTTTCCCTCTTCTGGGTGGCCCTTGGGCTGGGGTGGGATGAAGGGAAGGTGGTGCTTACCTGTGAGGAGTCAAGGAAAGCAGTGCAAAGGCAGGGATACTGGACTGGAGGTGACTCCTGTAGGGGGAAGAAGGAAATGTGTTTGTATGACACTGGGGTATGCCAGGCTCAGTGCCAGGCACTTTCTTCCCTTCCACAGTTACACCAGAATAGTGCTGTTATTTTATAATCCTACAGATGGGGACTGAAGTCCCAGAAGGGCAGTGACCAGGCCAAGGTATTGCAGTTAGTGAGGGGTGGAGCTAGTGCTTGATGGGTCTGCCTGGCCAGCTTAACCTCAGCCACCCTCATGTGCCCCATGCTTCCTCCTCCACTGCAACCCAACTCAAGCCCTAGAGGGGGATCCAGAAGGCCAGGGCTGGCAGAGGAACAGGGAGTCTGAGAGCTCTTGGGCATGAAGCTTGTGGCTCCTTCCCTAGGTCCTCGGTTTCCCCTGGTTGGGCCTCCTTTTTGCAGGACAGCGGGACAGGTCTACTGAATGGACCTATCATGGGTTTGGCTTCTCCTGGCTTTGCTTCCCCTGCACAGTTTTCTGTCCCCCTGTCCCATGACTGGGAGGCAGGCCTTTGGCAGATATGTTAAAACGCCAGCATGGGGTACTTCTGGTTTCAGCTCTGATGTATAAAGAGTTTGGAAGTTGTCACACCCATCCTCACACCATGAAATAAGTTGAACAAACTGAAAGTCAACAATGTTTCTTAATTCTCTTCAGAGAATTAAGGTCACAGGGCAAACTGCCACTCTGAAATCTGGGGAGATGAGTGAATACAGCCAAGATCAGCTTACTTGAAGCAGAAACCACTGGAGTCAGGAACTGTTGGGAACACTTGAATAGTAATTTTGATGAATTTCTGGAAATTAAGAATGAACTTGCTTGAAAATTAAAAACTTCTGGGGGCCTAGTTGTAGGTCTCCCTTCAATACGTAAGTGGGTTTTACCTCCAGGAACCCCTCCAGACTGACATTGGGAAGATCAGAGAAAAAAAACCCTTGTTCCAGACAAAAAGAGTGGAAAAATAACCATTTGAAATACCCCTAGAGCTTTCTCAGTAACAAAGACCAACCCTCCCGAGAAACTACTTTATCAGAGCCTCGTCTGACTTGAGCAATTAGACAACTCAACCCCCTCCATCCTTCCTGTCTCTCTTACTTAAGGAGAAGGGAAAAAAATAATGGGGCCAAAAAATGCTTCTGAGGGTCACAGCCCAGGGGCTCAGGCCAACTGAAAAAACTAAGATTTAATAATAAAAGTATAGAGTGCCTCCTCTCCCCAACATTTTATTTCCACCACCACAACAGGTCTTCAGTATAATAACAATGAATTACAAATGTAACAGCTGTAAGACACAGACTCTTTAAGAAGGAGTTCTTAGGGAAACCCAAAGTTAACCACGGAGAAAAAACAAACCAAGGAAATTAGAGGAAACCAAAGCCTTTGGCACCTATAACTATAGCAAACCTTAAACACAGCTCAGCTCTAGTAAGATTAAAATAAAAACTCAGGCTAAACATGGTGGCTCATGCCTGTAATCCCGCACTTTGGGAGGCCTAGGTGGGCGAATCACTTGAGGTCAGGAGTTCGAGACCAGCCTGGCCAACACAGCAAAACCTCATCTCTACTAAAAATACAAAAATTAGCCAGCTATAGTGGTGGGTGCCTGTAATCCCAGCTATCCAGGAGGCTGAGGCAGGAGGATCACTGGAACCCAGGAGGCAGAGGTTGCAGTGAGATGAGATTGCACCCCTGCACTCCAGCCTAGGTGACAAGAGTGAGACTCTGTCTAAAAAAAAACCAAAAACCAAAAAACGAACAAACAAAAAACACCAACACACACACACACACACACACACACACACAAAAAAAAAAAAAAAAAAAAAAAACAGAATTAGCTGGGCATGGTGCGTGCCTGTAATCCCAGCTACTTGGGAGGCTGAGGCAGAAGAATTGCTTGAACCTGGGAGACGGAGTTTGCAGTGAGCCGAGATTGCACCATGGCACACCAGCCTAGGCAACAAGAGTGAAACTCCATCTCAAAATAAATAAACAAATAAGAAACAAGTGCAGTGAATAGAAAACAATTATAAACACGATACATAATAATCCAACTATATCAATAATCACTTTAAATACGAATGCTTTAAATGTACCAATTAAAAATAGGCTGTCAGAGGAATAAAAAAAGCTCTCTGTTGTCTACAAGAAGCCACTTTAACTATAAAGGTGAAAAGTAAAGAGACAAAATCTAACACTTTTTCATGACAAAACTCCCAAGAAAGTAGGAACAAAGGAGAATTTCCTCAATTTGGTAAAGAATATTTGCAAAACCTTAGAGCTAACATCACGCTTAATAGTGAGAAATTAGATACTTTCCAGCAAAGGTCAGAAACAAGCCAAAGATGTCCCCTCTCACCAGTCCTATTCAACATCGTACTGAAATTTCTAGCTAATGCAATAAGGTAAGAAAAGGAAAGAAAAGGTCTATAGATTAGGAAGGAAGAAATAAAGCTGTCTTTGTTCACAGATAACATGATAGTTTATGGAGAAAATCCCAAATAACTTCAAAAAAATGACTAGAACAAATAGCAAAGTTGCAAGATGCAAAGTTAATGTACAGGGCTGGGCGTGGTGGCTCATGCCAGTAATCCCAGCACTTTGGGAGGCTGAGGTGGGTGAATCACCTGAGGCCAGGAGTTTAAGACCAGCCTGACCAATATGGTGAAACCCCATATCTACTAAAAATACAAAAATTAGCCAGGCGTGATGGCGGATGCCTGTAGACCCAGCTACTCAGGAGGCTGAGACAGGATAATTGCTTGAACCCTTTTGGCAGAGGTTGCAGTGAACCAAGATTGAGCCACTGCACTCCAGCCTGGGCAACAGAGCAAGACTCTGTCTCAAAAAAAAAAAAAGTTAATATACAGAAGTCCATTGCTTTCATAGATACCAGCAACGAACAACTACAATTTGACATTTAAAATGCAGTAACACTTAGCAAAAAAAAGGAAAAAAAGAAAAGAATTATTTAGGTATAAACATAACAAAATTGTGTACAGGATCTACACAAGGAAATGATAAAACTAATGAAAGAGATCAACCATCTAAAGAAACGGAGTGTGCAGGAGCGGAAGTGCCCATTGGTGAAGGCAACCCCGCCTCCCCTCCCTGTCCCTGCTCTGCTCACCTGGTCCCCGGAAGTCTGTGAGTGGCTTGGCCGCCTTTGATGCTGGGTCCTGGACCTGTTTTTTGGTCCACAGCCTTTGTCAGTTGTCCTTGCGGGCCAGGTTGAGGCGCAACATAGGCCCAGGAGCCTCAGAGGAGGAAGAGGAGGAGGAGGAAGCTGCTGCAGGAGGCCCATGTCATCCATCTTACTGAGGAGCTGTCAGGGCTGGATGGCCTCCCGCCTCCCACCATCCCACGTCGCTGCCCTGAGGGGTGACCTGGGGGATCGTGCTGATCTCCATTGGACAAACATTGCAGGGCTGACAAGCCACGTGAATGTTCCATTTAGCTGCTGCACCCCCGCCTACCCGGTGTACCTTCCTTCAGATGCCATCACCTCAGCGGTTGGCCTGTGAGGCCGGAGCGCTGGCACACAGTGGCTACGGTGGCACCATGTTTGGTGGTCATGGGACCTCAGGACCTTCCTGCACGCTGCTGGCACTCATCTCCCCACCTTGGCGACTACTCCATAGTCAAGTCCCACAACGACAAGAACAAGAAGCTGGAGGAAGGCAGCCCCGGGTACAACCCCCCTGAAGAGGCGCCAGTGAAGTCTGTGGGGCGGAGGGTCCTGGACGGGCTGAAGCACTGTTACCACAGCTTCAGCCTTCTCTGGATGGACACCAGGACAGCCACACACTCGCTCTGGGGGATTCTCAGTGGCCATATGCTGAACCACCGGGAGCACAGGCAGTTTGTCCGTGTCCGTGCTGACCTCTTTTGCCTGGTCCCGCTCCTCATCTTTGCAGTGGTGCTTTTCATGGAGTTGCTGTTGCCCATCATAGTGAAAATCTTTCCCAACATGTTGCTGTCCACATTTGAGACCCAGTCCATCAAGGAGGAGAGACCGAAGAAGCAGCTATGGGGGAGCTGGAACTGGCTACATTTCTCCAGGACACCATCGAGGAGAAAAGAAACCAAGGGGAGGACTGCCAAAGCCTTCTCCATGTTTTTCCAGAAGATCCGAGAGACAGGAAAGACCTAACAATGAAGAAATCATGCGCTTTCCCAAATTATTTGAGGATGAGCTGACCTTGGATAACCTCACCTGCCAGCAGCTGGTGGCATTTGTGTGAGCTGCTGGGTCTCCAGGCCATAGGCACCAACAACTTCCTATGCTTCCAGCTCACCATGAGGTTGAGGTCCATAAAGGCCAACAATGAGTTGATTGCTGAGGAAGGGGTGGACAGCCTGAATATCAAGGAATTGCTGTCGACATGTAGAACTCGAGGGATGTGGGCCCTCGGGGTCCCAGAAAACCATGTGAGGAGCCTGCTGAAGCGGTGGCTGGACCTGCATTTGCATCAAGAGATCCCCATATCACTGCTCTTATTGTCCTGAGCTATGTACCTCCCAGACACCCTCTCTCCTACTGACCAGCTCAAATCCACCTTGCAGACTCTTCCAGAGACAGTGGTGAAGGGAGCCCAGGTGAAAGTGGACAAGGTTAAGGGTGAGCAGGTGGACAACAAAGTAAAATTGGAGGCCATATTACAGGAGGAGACGGCCATCCAGCTGGAGCACAGGGATAATGAGCTGCAGAAGCTATCCCAAGAAACGAAGTGGAAGAAGCCACCCCTGAGAGGCCAGTGGCTGACCAGCAGCCAGAAGTGCCTGATGTTATCCTGCCCTCAGAGGCCCTGAAGGACACTGCCCCTGTGCTGGAGATCTTGAAGGAGGAGAAAATAACTAAAGAAGAAATGGGTGTACTTAGCGATGCGTGTTCTAAACTGAAGGAGCAAAATAAGTCCCTAACCAAGGAGAAGGAGGAGCTGGAGCTGCTGAAGGAGGATGTCCAGGACGATAGTGATGACTTGCAAGAGATCAAGAAGGAAGTTTCAAAGACCAGCAAAGAAAAATATGTGGAAAAATCTAAAGCCAGCAAGACACTGACAAAGAGAGTTCAGCAGATGATCTGGTGGATAGACAGCTTGATCGCACAGCTGGAGATGGATCAGAGGCCTGGCAAGCTGGGCCAGGCAGAGGACTCAGGGGGAGCGGGAGAGAAAGTCATCGGTATCACTGAGCTCATCAGTACCATGAAGCAAATCAAGAACATTCCAGAAAACAAGCTGATCAGCTTGGCCTCAACACTGGATAAAAGTAAGAATGGCAAGGTCAACATTGACAAGCTCATTAAGGTGATTGAGCTTGTGGACAAAGATGTTCACGTCTCTACCAGTCAGGTGGCTGAGATTGTAGCAATGCTGGAGAAGGAGGAGAGGTGGAGGAGAAGAAGAAGGCTAAGGGAAAGGCTGAGGAGGAGGCTGCAGAAGTGAAGAATTAGGGCTGGTTTTGGCTCTCAGGCATGTTGGTGGCCCGACAGGTGTCTGCCTCCATCCTGCTTCACTAGCTGTTGTGGTAATGACCATAATAATAATCGCTTTGAGGTGATTCTTTTTTTTTTTTTTTTCAGTACTAGAAGAAATAAATTTTATTTTATTTTATTTTTTTATTATTATACTGTAAGTTCTAGGGTACATGTGCACAACATGCAGGTTTGTTACATATGTATACATGTGCCGTGTTGGTTTGCTGCACCCATTAACTTGTCATTTACATTAAGTATTTCTCCTAATACTATCCCTCCCCCATCCCCCCACCCCATGACGGGCCCTGGTGTGTGATGTTCCCTGCCCTATGTCCAAGTGTTCTCATTGTTCAATTCCCACCTGTAAGTGAGAACATGCAGTGTTTGGTTTTCTGTCCTTGCAATAGTTTGCTCAGAATGATGGTTTCCAGCTTCATCCATGTTGCTACAAAGGACACGAACCCATCCTTTTTATGGCTGCATAGTATTCCATGGTGTATATGTGCCACATTTTCTTAATCCAGTCTATCACTTATGGACATTTGGGTTGGTTCCAAGTCTTTGCTATTGTGAATAGTGCCACAATAAACATACGTGTGCATGTGTCTTTATAGTAGCATGATTTATAATCCTTTGGATATATACCCAGTAATGGGATTGCTGGGTCAAATGGTATTTCTAGTTCTAGATCCTTGAGGAATCGCCACACTGTCTTCCACAATGGTTGAACTAGTTTACACTCCCACCAACAGCATAAAAGTGTTCCTATTTCTCCACATCCTCTCCAGCACCTTTTGTTTCCTGACTTTTTAATGCTTTACTTCCAACTATGTGGTCAATTTTGGAATAAATGTGATGAGAAGCTGAGAAGAATGTATATTCTGTTGATTTGGGGTGGAGAGTTCTGTAGATGTCCATTAGGTCTGCTTGGTGCTGAGTTCAAGTCCTGGATATCCTTGTTAACTTTCTGTCTCGTTGATCTGTCTAATGTTGACAGTGGGGTGTTAAAGTCTCCCATTATTATTATATGGGAGTCTAAGTCTCTTTTTTAGGTCTCTCAGGACTTGCTTTATGAATCTGGGTGCTCCTGTATTAGGTGCATATATATTTAGGATAGTTAGCTCTTCTTGTTGAATTGATCCCTTTACCATTATGTAATGGCCTTCTTTGTCTCTTTTGATCTTTGTTGGTTTAAAGTTTGTTTTATCAGAGACTAGGATTGCAATGCCTGCTTTTTTTTTGCTTTCCATCTGCTTGGTAGATCTTCCTCCATCCCTTTATTTTGAGCCTATCTGTGTCTCTGCATGTGAGATGGGTCTCCTGAATACAGCACACTGATGGGTCTTGACTCTATCCAATTTGCCAGTCTGTGTCTTTTAACTGGGACATTTAGCCCGTTTACATTTAAGGTTAATATTGTTATGTGTGAATTTGATCATGTCATTATGATGTTAGCTGGTTATTTTGCCCGTTAGTTGATGCAGTTTCTTCCTAGCATTGATGGTCTTTACAATTTGGCATGTTTTTGCAGTGGCTGGGACCAGTTGTTCCTTTCCATGTTTAGTGCTTCCTTCAGGAGCTCTTATAAGGCAGGCCTGGTGGTGACAAAATCTCTCAGCATTTGCCTGTCTGTAAAGGATTTTATTTCTCCTTCACTTATGAAGCTTAGTTTGGCTGGATATGAAATTCTGGGTTGAAAATTCTTTTCTTTAAGAATGTTGAATATTGGCCCCCACTCTCTTCTGGCTTGTAGAGTTTCTACTGAGAGATCCGCTGTTAGTCTGATGGGCTTCCCTTTGTGGGTAACCTGACCTTTCTCTCTGGCTGCCCTTAGCACTTTTTCCTTCATTTCAACCTTGGTGAATCTGACAATTATGTGTCTTGGGGTTGCTCTTCTCGAGGAGTATCTTTGTGGTGTTCTCTGTATTTCCTGAATTTGAATGTTGGCCTGCTTTGCTAGGTTGGGGAAGTTCTCCTGGATAATATCCTGAAGAGTGTTTTCCAGCTTGATTCCATTCTCCCTGTCACTTTCAGGTACACCAACCAAATGTAGATTTGGTCTTTTCACATAGTCCTATATTTCTTGGAGGCTTTGTTCGTTTCTTTTTACTTTTTTTTCTCTAAACTTCTCTTCTCTCTTCATTTCATTTATTTGATCTTCAATCACTGATACCCTTTCTTCCACTTGATCGAGTTGGCTACTGAAGCTTGTGCATGAGTCATGTAGTTCTTGTGCCATGGTTTTCAGCTCCATCAGGTCATTTAAGGTCTTCTTTACACTGTTTTTTCTAGTTAGCCGTTTGTCTAATCTTTTTTCAAGGTTTTTAGCTTCCTTGCGATGGGTTCGAACATCCTCCTTCAGCTTGGAGAAGTTTGTTATTACCGACTTTCTGAAGCCTACTTCTGTCAACTCGTCAAAGTCATTCTCCATCCTGCTTTGTTCCATTGCTGGCAAGGAGCTGCGATCCTTTGGAGGAGAAGGGGTGCTCTAGTTTTTATAATGTTCAGCTTTTCTGCTCTGGTTTCTCCCCATTGTGGTTTTATCTACCTTTGGTCTTGGATGATGGTGACCTACAGATGGGGTTTTGGTGTGGATGTCCTTTTTGTTGATGTTGGTGCTATTCCTTCCTGTTTGTTAGTTTTGCTTCTAACAGGTCCCTCAGCTGCAGGTCTGTTGGAGTTTGCTGGAGGTCCACTCCAGACCCTGTTTGCCTGGGTATCACCAGAGGAGGCTGTAGAACAGCAAATATTGCAGAACAGCAAATATTGCTGCCTGATCCTTCCTCTGGAAGCTTTGTCCCAGAGCGGCATCTGGCTGTATGAGGTGTCAGTCGGCCCCTACTGGGAGGTGTCTCCAAGTTAGGCTACATGGGGGTCAGGGACCCACTTGAGGAGGCAGTCTGTCTGTTCTCAGAGCTCAAACACTGTGCTGGGAGAACCACTGCTCTCTTCAGAGCTGTCAGACAGGGACGTTTAAGTCTGCAGAAGTTTCTGCTGCCTTTTGCTCAGCTATGCCCTACCCCCAGAGATGGAGTCTACAGAGGCAGGTGGGCCTCGTTGAGCTGTGGTGGGCTCCACCCAGTTGGAGCTTCCGGGCCACTTTGTTTACCTACTCAAGCCTCAGCAATGGTGGACGCCCCTCCCCCAGCCAGGGTTGCTGCCTCGCAGTTCGATCTTGGACTAGCAGTAAGCAAAGCTCTGTGGGCATGGGACCCACTGAGCCAGGCGCAGCATATAATCTCCTGGTGTGCCGTTTGCTAAGAGTGTTAGAAAAGTGCCGTGTTTAGGTGGCAGTGTCCCAGTTTTCCCAGTACAGTCTGTCATGGCTTCCCTTGGGTAGGAAAGGGAAATCCCCCAACCCCTTGCGCTTCCCGGGTGAGGCAATGCCCCGCCCTGCTTCAGCTTGCCCTCTGTGGGCTGCACCCACTTTCCGACCAGTCCCAATGAGATGAACCAGATACCTCAGTTAGAAATGCAGAAATCACCCGTCTTCTGTGTCAATCACGCTGGGAGCTGCAGACCAGAGCTGTTCTTATTTGGCCATCTTGGAATGCCCCTTGAGGTGATTCTTAATGGCAAGTCTAATACTTTGTCTGAAATAAGTCAGAAGCTTCCATTTAAAAAAAAAAAAAAGAAAGAAAGTGGAGAGTTATCCCATGCTCATGGATAGGAAAATTCACTATCATTAAGATGACTCTTCCCAACTTGTTCTATAGATTCAATGCAACCCCAATTAAAATCTCAGTGAATTATTTTTTGATATTAACAGAACAGTCAACATAATTACTGAAAAAGAAGTCAGATGACTGACACTACTTGGCTTCAAAGCTTACTATAAACCTATAGTAATGAAGACAGTGTGATATTCACGAAAGAATAGACAAACAGGTCAATGGAACAGAATAGAGGGCCCAGAAATAGAGCCATGTAAATATAGTCAACTGATCTTTGACAAGGGACCAAAGGTAATTCAATGGAGAAAAGATAGTCTTTTCAACAAATGGTGCTAGAACAACTGGGCATCCATATGCAAAACAAACAAACAAACAAACAAACAAACAAAAAGAGTTTAGACACAGACCTTTAAACCTTTCATAAAAGTTAACTCAAAATAGATCATAGAACTAAACGTAAAACATAAAACTATAAAATTTCCGTAAGATAAGAGAAAATCTAGGTAACTCTGGGTTGGCAATGAGTTTTCAGGAAAAAATGCCAAAACCATGAACCATGAAAGAAAAAATATTTAAATCGGACTTCATTAAAATTAAAAACTTTTGTTATGCAAAAGACACTGTTAAGAGAATGAAAAGACAAGCCACAGACTGGGAGAAAATATTTGCAAGACACATAGCTGATAAAAGACTTGTATTCAAAATATATGAAGCTAACCTCGGCAGCATGGTGAAACCCCGTCTCTACAAAAAAATACAAAAATTAGCTGGGCATGGTGGTGCATGCCTGTAGTCTCAGCTACTCTAGAAGGCTAAGGCAGGAGGATTGCTTGAGCCCAGGAGGTGGAGGCTGCATTGAGCTGTGATCACTGCCACTGCACTCCAGCCCGGGTGACAGAGTGAGACCCTGTCTCAAAATATATATATGAAGAACTCTTAAAATGTAACAATAAGCAGACAGTCCAATTTTTAAATGGCAGAAGATCTGAATAGGCACCTCGCCAAAGAAGATATACAGATGACAAACATACATATAAAAAGATGATCAACCTAAGTTATCAGTAAGGAATTGCTAATTGAAATAACAATGAGATACCACTGCAGATTTATTAGAATGGCCAAAATCCAAACTGAAAATACCACATGCTAGCCAGGATGTGGAGCAACAGGAACTCTCTTCATTGCTGGTGGTAATGCAAAATGATTCAGCCACTCTGGAAGTCAATTTGGCAGTGTCTCACAAAGCTAAACATGCTCTTACTACACAATCCAGCAATCACACTCCTGGGTACTTATCTGGTTGAGTTGAAAACGTATGTCCACATAAAAACCTTCACACATGAGTGTTTATAGAGCAGCTTTGTCCATAATTACCAAAAAGTGGAAGCAATCAAGATGTCCTTCAATAAGGGAGTGGATAAACTGTGGTACACCTCTGCAATGGAACGTTATTCAGCGGTAAACAGAAATGAAGTATTAAGCCATGAACAGACATGGGGGAAGCACAAATGCATGTTATTGCACTTCATCTCAGCCAGAGGCCAAGAAGCCGTTCACATGCCTGTTACTAAGTGAAAGAAGCCAGTCTGAAAAGGCTACATACTGTATGTTTCCAATTGTTCCAGAAAAGACAAAACTATAGGCTAAAAAATTTAATGATGTCCAGAGGTTTAGGGGTAGGGATGAATAGGTGAAGCAAAAGGATTTTGGGGGCAGTGAAACTATTCTGTTTCTAACAATATTCCATAGAACTGAACCACACACAAAGGGAACCCTAATGTAAACTATGGACTTCAGTTAATATGTATCAATATTGGTTCATTAGTTGCAAAAAATGTACCACACGCATGCAATATTTTAATATTGGAACTTTGTATTCTCTGCTTAATTATTCTCTAAAATTGTTACTAAAGAATAAAACCTATTAATTAAAAAAAAACACAGCAAGGCAGCTCTTCAGAGTTCCATGGCCTTAGACAGTGACCACTGGCTACGTGTACTTGGCATCCAGGCAACATCTGGAGGCTTTAGTATGTGACAGAGATCAAGTCATTGTTTAGGGAACAGGGCCTCTGGAGCCTGACAGACATGGGATATAATCCTGACTCTATCACTCACCTGCTGTGTGACCTTGGTTCAGTCACGTAACCTCTCTGAGCCTCAAGTCTAGGTCTCTCATCTGTAAAGTAGGGACAATAATCGTAACTATTTTGTGGGTAGGGTGTTACAAAGATGAAATAAGACATTCTATGGAAAGTGCTTCAAATACTCCCTGGCTAGGTAAGGCCTCAATAAATATTACCTACTCACATTATTAGTAAGAAAAAATGAACACAATACTGAGCTCTTGCAGTATATCACTTCCTGCTGGTCACTGGAGACTCAGAAGTTCAAACACTGGTCCCCCCCAGGGCTCACTGTCTATGAGACTTACACTTACCAACCTCCTAGGGCAGAAACAACTGACTCCCTGCAGGAGGAGTGCAATGTGAAGCAGGCTTAGCTGAGGGGTAAGGCTGGGAAGAGACTCTGAGATGGGATGTTTGAGATAAGCCCCAAAAGATGAGGCTTATTCCAAGGTGACAACTGAGCAACTTGCTCAGATGGCCTGAGCAAGCCTTGGAGGATGGCTAAAGCATGGTGTATTCCAGGACTGGCAAGCAGTTTGGTGCACATCATGGACCCTAGAGAGAATCAGGACTGGAAAGGGCAGGATGGAGAGGTCACCTGGCCCAACTATCTCACTTTAGAGATGAGGAAACTGACAGGCAGAGGGAGGGGAAAAGACCTCCTAATTGTCACATTGCTACATTTGTTTTCATCTTCGGACTTAATGAACTTAGAGAATGAGAGTTTTGATAAGGGAGAAGGGTAGTGTAATGATGGTGATAATGATGATAACATATTTAATAATGGATTAATATGTGCTAAGCACTATTCTCGGGGCTTTACAAAAGTTATTTTATCCACAACATAACCCTCTGAGGTGGGTACTATTTATTCCCATTTTGTAGATGGGGAAATGGAGGCACAGAGAAGTTAAGTAATGACTCCCCATTGCTTTCAGGATATTAGCAGACACTGCTCACTGCCCCTTCCTCATGCACTCCCAAATTTCTGCCTTACTGGCAGAGCAGTAGTATTGTTCCTTTATCCCCCTTATCCCACAACTGGAGCTTTAGGAGGGGCCAGCTCCAGGGTAGATGCTTTGTTGGTTTCAATCAATCATGTCAGTTCACTCTTCTTGCCAGAGATTGGTTCAAGTACAGGTTTTCCTGGCCTGTTAGAAGTGGAGGGAATTGGGAGGCCAAGGCGAGCGGATCACGAGGTCAGGAGATCGAGACCACGGTGAAACCTCGTCTCTACTGAAAATACAAAAAAATTAGCCGGGCGTGGTGGTGGCTGCCTGAAGTCCCAGCTACTCGGAGAGGCTGAGGCAGGAGAATAGCGTGAACCCAGGAGGCGGAGCTTGCAGTGAGCAGAGATCGCGCCAATGCACTCCAGCCTGGGCGACAGAGCGAGACTCCATCTCAAAAAAAAAAAAAAAAAGAAGCTGGGAGAATTATGGAAGTAGGTTGGTTTGTTTGTTTGTTTTTGAGGTAGGGTCTCGCTCTGTCACCCAGGCTGGAGTGCAGTGGCCTATCTTGACTCATTCCAGCCCCTACCTCCTAGGCTTGAGTGAGCCTCCTGAGCCTCCTGAGTAGCTGGGACTATAAGTGCATGCCACAACACCTGGTTAATTTTTGTATTTTTAGTAGAGATGGGGTTTTGCCATGTTGCCCAGGCTGGTCTTGAACTCCTGAGCTCAGGTGATCCGCCTACCTGGGCCTCCCAAAATGCTGGGATTACAGGTGTGTGCCACTATGCCTGGCTGGAAGTAGTTTTTTTTTTGAGACAGAGCCTGGCTCTGTCACCCATGCTAGAGTGCAGTGGTGCAATCTTGGCTCACTGCCAGCTCCACCTCCCAGGTTCATGCCATTCTCCTGCCTCAGCCTCCTGAGTAGCTGGGACTACAGGCACCTGCCACCATGCCCAGTTCATTTTTTGTGTTTTTAGTAGAGATGGGGTTTCACTGTGTTAGCCAGGATGGTCTCGATCTCCTGACCTCATGATCCGCCCGCCTCGGCCTCCCAAAGTGCTGGGATTACAGGTGTGTGCCACCACGCCCAGCCTGGAAATAGTTTTTTTAATTGTAAAAGAGAGCTGGAGGAGGAAGGGAAAGCCCCCAGGAACAGGCTATAGCCCTTCCTCCATCACTGGACATTGCATGTGTCTGCATGTGATGTCAGAGCTGTGACAGCCACCTTAGGTCCATGAGGGGACAAGTCTGAGCATAGTCTGACACACTGAAGATGGTGGGGTGGAGGCAGGGAATTAACTGAGTCCTTGAAGATGTGGTTGAATTTTGAATTAACCTGCTGAATTAACCAATTCTGGATGCCTCCTCTCATCTTGACATATGAGATCTTGTATCACTTACTTGCTATGCCAGTTGTATCAGAGTTTTCTGTTCCTTGCAGCTGAAAGCATTCTTGTTGGTGTGAAGATGAACCCCAAAGCCACATATCATTCAAGCCTAAACCCTGCAGCCCTGTTTCTTCTCAACATCGTTTGCTGTAGCCAGAGTCGAGGACTTGCTCTTCCCAGGAAGGGCCTCTGGGTCTCTGGGCATTGCCATTTGCTCTTCCATCTATTCAAAGTATCCTTCCATGTAGTTGTTTTACACATCTCCTCCTCCTCCTCTTTTCTGAGCTGGTTGCTCCATCACCTTCTCTGCAGAGTCTGCGTGGATTCCTAACTAAGGAGTCCCACAATACCCACCTATGTGACCACCATCACTCTTGTCACCCAAGATTGTCAGATTGTCACTTATTTGTTTATGTAACTGCCTTATTTCCTGCACTGAGGGCAAGGCCTGGTCATGCTCATCTCTGTGCCCTTGCCACCCAGTGCAGGGCTTGGCCCAGAGCACACACCCTCTGAGTGGCTATGGAATGAATGAGTGTAGAGGTCATCTTAGTCCCCTGGGGCTCACAAGTGGTACTAGAGAGGCAGCGTCTAGGATGACAGCATTAATAACTGCAATCATTAATGAACCACTTCCTCACTACGGGCCAGGCACTTCCCACACATTATCTCACATGCTCTTTATGGCATGATTGTTATCCCCATTTTATAGATGAGGAAACAGGCACAGAGGCACAAAGCAACTTGCCTGAAGTTGGGGTTTAAACAGAAGTCTGTTGGTCTGTCGCTAAGTGAAAAAAGAAATATACTAAATGTATATGTGTGTGTATGTGTGTTTGATTGCAATAATGGTAGGAATATTGGCAATTTACATTTCCAATGTTCTCAGTATTTCCAATTTTGTTTCAGAAGTATAATGGGGAAAAATAAAAAATCATATAGCCAAAGGTTTAGAGAATTAATGTCGGGCTGAGCCATGTGCCCTGAGGATGTCATTTTTTTTTTCCTTAAGAGACGGAGTCTCGCTCTGTCCCCGGGCTGGAGTGCAGTGGCACGATCTTGGTTCACTGCAAGCTCCGCCTCCTGGGTTCACGCCATTCTCCTGCCTCAGCCTCCAGAGTAGCTGGGACCACAGGCGCCCGCCACCATGTCCAGCTAATTTTTTGTATTTTTAGTAGAGACGGGGTTTCACCGTATTAGCCAGGATGGTCTCGATCTCCTGACCTCATGATCCGCCCGCCTTGGCCTCCCAAAGTGCTGGGATTACAGGCATGAGCCACCGCGCCTGGCCAGGATGTGACATTTTTAAAGGATCCTATAGTAGAGCAGGGGGCCCAAATAATTCTGCACTCCCAAGACGCAATCTGAACAGGGCAATATCAGCATTGCCTGATGTTCTTATTCTGTATTCTGTGCTCCCATGAGTTTTGGGAGGTTTTCATTTGGTTTTTATTTCCTTTCTTCCTTTTTCTTCCTCTCTCTCTTTCTTTTTTCTTTCTTCCTTTCTTTCTCTCTATTTCTTTGCCAGACATTGAGGATAATGAATGAGCACTGATTAAATTTTTCCAGCACTGCTTAAAGTTTTTGTACTTAAAAAGGTTAAATCATTAGGTTGTTGGGTGTGGATAGGGAGGTAGAAAACTCATCTCCAAAAATATACCCTCTTTCTTTCTTGTTTATATAAAATGTTGTCCTGAAGGCTTCGCAGGACTGGAGAGCAAGCACACAAACAAAATCAGGTCATAACCATTCTGCTGTCTGCTCCTCTCCCCACTGGGCCCTGGGTGGAGCCCCAGGACAAAGGTCTGGGGGGCACCAGGAAGCAAGGCCAGAAAACCCCAGGAGGGGACTTTTGCATGCCTTGGCTCAGGCTCAGAAGTGCAGGGAAGAAACTGAAATAAGTGGCTAGATCCTCACAGCCCAGGCCAGTGATGCTGGCTCCCCAGCCCAGCACAGGGTCCCTGCTCAGAGAGAGGCGGCCTCAGTTCTCTCATCTGTGAAATGGAGCTGTTGTGAAAACCCACCAGGATGACCCATGGGACTGGCGGGAGGGAAGACCAGGCTTGGGGCAGGAGCTCAGGAAGTGTGGGTTGAGCCCCATCTGTGAAGATGGGCTTGGGGTAAGGAGGAGCTTCTGCAGGTCAAAAAGCATGAGTTTTTAAGAAACTCTTTCTGTTCCTAGCTTGGGAAGCACATGTCTTCTGTGAATCATTTCTTCTTCCTGCAGCATGGGGGTGTTTTTTTCCCCACTTCATCTTGAAGTCATGTAAACCTCTAATGCCAATTTCTGCTTCCGCACAGGCTGGTTGCCAGCAGCCGCCTGCCTGTGCCATCTTGAGGCAGCGTGACTGGTGAGGAGGCTGCAGGGCAGTGTCCCCCTCCAGAGAGAAGGCCCTGCCCTGCACTTGCCATGTTTTAAGCATCTGGCATGGGGCAGTGGAAAGAACTCTTGATTAGCATCAGAAGCCCTGAGTGCCTCATGGTCCTGCCACAAAGCTGCTTCTGCCACCTCAGACTTCAGCTTCCACCCTGGGAAATGGGGCATCTGGTCGAAATATGCACAAAGGGCCTCCTCAGCTTTGTGGTCCCATGGAAAGGGCTGGGACAGCTGGAGGAAGGCTAGCAGGGAGCTGAGACCTCTCCTTCCAGGTCCTCCCTCCAGGTCCCCACTTGATCTGGGCCTCCATTCCCTGACAGGGTTCAAGGCAGCAGCAGCTACTGGATAACGCAGACCAGATGCAGCCCTTTCCCCAGACATGCTCAGGGGCCTTCCTCCTCGGAGGCCTTGGGGATATTTGAAACTCCTCGGAGTTTGGCTTCAGAGGCTGGAGTGGAAACCACAGCTCCATTATGTGAGCACACATGATCTCCCTGGGAGGAAAGGAATGGGCTGGCCTCAGAAAATGAGAGACAAGTTCGAGGCCACTGGGTCTATGGAGAACATGTTTTCATCTCTGAGTATGCCAGTGTCTGGGAACCTCAAGGAGGGCAGGTCCTACGTGCTCTGCCAGAACGGAGGGCCTGACCCCTGAAGGGGTGGGCTCTCTATGACCAGAGAATAGGAGCAAAGGCCAGGGGCTTTTACAGGGGAGACTTGAGCCTGGTATAAAGGCTGGACATCCACCAAGGAACCATTTCACTTCACCCCCAATGCCATCTCATATTTTGAAAGCTTTACATTTGCCAGACAAGTCCTTGAGGAAGAAAAATTCCATTAAAGGGGAATGACTCCCTCCCCTCCCCTATGGCAACCCAAGCAACTACATTTGCCCAAATAAGTGGAAGATGGTTCCAAAGCCACTGACAGTTAAGACACCCCAACTTCCATCACTGCCTAGTTGGGTAACTTTGGGCCAATAATTCAATATCTCCAGCCTCAGATTTCCCATTTGCCTAATGGAAATACTGAGCCTCACCTGACAGTGCTCTAAGGTGTGCAGGAAGGAGCCTAGCCGAGCCTCAGTAACGACAAGTCAGCGCACTCCCGAATAACAGGGATGAAACACTCATTCCCATTCCTAGGGATCCAAGACCCTCATAAGTTCCCAGCAGCACTTGTGGTTGGCAAAAATAACCAAGACATCCCCAGGGGTGGCTGTGGTCCAGGCTGAGGCAGTCAGCCTGCTCGGTGAGCGTATAGGCCTGAGTGATGGTGGGGGTGGAGGACTTTGAAAGCTGCAGAAAATGAGTCTCCATCACGTATACCCTTAAGGGCAGGAATCAGGGCTGAACCCATCTCTGCTGACGCTTCCAGCCTTAGATTCTTTCTCCCAAACACTCTCAGGGGTGAAGGCTCAGGCAGGCAATGGATCCCCAAGCTTGGTACTGCCCAACATCCATTCACCTGGGGTGCTCTGGGCTAGTTTCTTGGATATTTCTGTGAAGTGTGGGACAGACTTGTTTGGTAACTTAGGAACCTCAGTTTCCTCCTGTATGAAATGGAAGCAGTAGCCGTTTTAGCCCCCTGGCAGGTTGTTGTGAGGGTTAGGGAGAGTGGACAGTAAGCCCGATTGTGTGATCCTCCCCACGCGGTAGGGAGAGACCTCAGGCTTTAGGGCACCAAAGACTGGGGTTGCAGCCAGGGTGATCAACTCCTAGGAGAAGGGTCCATCCCCTGTACAGGGTCTGGGAGTGGGTGGGGCAGGTTCCTGTAAAATTTAAGATTTGTGGATAGAAAGAGATTAGACTTAGTGATGAACCTTGTAATAGTCAGGCCATGCTGGCCAAAGATAATGAAGGCTTTTCTACTCCTGCCAGACCCCTGACTGGGTCTCTGTCTGTGCCCTCCCTGGCCACAGTCCATCCTTCCTCTCATCCACCATTCATTCATGCCATCACTCATTCCACAAACACTTTTCAAGCCCCTTCTCTGTTCCCAGCACCGGGGATACAGCTGCAGATGAGGGTGAGTCTTGCCCTCCTAGGGCTTACAGGCCACACGGGGGAGAAAGGCCTTAAACAAATGGCGACACACATCAATACAAATAAATACAAAATTACAATTTTTTTAAAAGGTGGGGTCTTGTTCTGTCTTCCAGGCTGGAATGCAGTGGTGCGATCATAGCTCACTATAACCTTGAAATCCTGGGCTCAAGCAATTCTCCGGCCCAACTTGGGAGGCTCCTACTTGGGCAGCCTCCCAGGTAGCTAGGAGGACTACAGTCATGCATGCACCACCACACCTAGCTAAGTTTTTTATTTTTATTTTTGTAGAGACAGGGGTCTCACTATGTTGCCCTGGCTGGTCTTGAACTCCTGGCCTCAAGCAGTCCTCCCACCTCAGCTTCCCAAAGTGTTGGGATTCCAGGCATGAGCCACCATGCCTGACCAAAATTACAAAATTTAGCAAGTGAGTGGAAGGAAAAGAATGAGATGTTACAAGAGTGGATAATGAGAGCTGACTCTTCCTAAAGGCCAGGGCTTACTGTGAGGCTGCAGCATCCGAAACACTCGATATTTGATAACTGGATCCTCACCATGTTCCTGCAGGGTGGGTGCTGCTGCTCTCGCCATTTTCCAGGTAAGAAAACTGAGTCTCAATAGGTGGAAAGTCTTGTTCAAGATCCACGACTAGGAGAGTGGAGCCGTGGTGTGGCCCGGCTCTGGCCCAGAAGCTGCACTACCCCAGGAAGTGGGAGACCAAGAGCGGCTGCTCCAGGACCGGCCTTCTGCTGAGATGGGACAGGTGAGCCGAGTTGGCTTGAGAAAGAATAGGAAGGAGGACTTCTAGGAACAGCTTAGGCCTGTGTCCTATGGGCAGGAAAGAAAGGCAAGCAAGAGGGGATGAATGAAGAGAGAGAAGGAGAATGGAGGAATGGGGCATTCAGGGCCTTGAGGGCCATGGGGTATCTGCCACATCCTGAGCGAATGGAAGGCTGATTTGGGGTGGGAGCCTGGAACCATGATGAATCGCTAACTTGATGCAAAAACACACTTCCCAGGGCCAGGGCTGATCCCAGATCTCCGTCATTCCCTGTCATCCTGTGACATTGGAGGGCAGGCTTCCATCTTTCTTTTTTTTTACAAATGAGGAAACCAAGACTTGGAGCAAAAGTCAGATGTTTTTGCTTAAGGTCACAGAGATTGACATGGCGAGTTCCCTGCCTTTTATCCCCACACCCAAATCCAACCAACCTGAGCAGAAGTTTTAGTCCACTGAAGATCAGTCAGCCCTTCAGGAACAACTGCCTTGTCTAGTGGAGAAGATGGACATTGTGGCAGATCAGTTGCATGCAGGGCCCTGCAATTCTTCCCCACTGCCTGTAACCACGTCCTTTGCCAAGTAACTCTGCAATACCCTCCTGCCCTGGGTAAAAAGTTCTGCCAAACCTGGGCTCTGGGCTCACCTCTGCACTTTGCTTGGACTGATAGGATGGTAGCTGACTTGGCACAGCAGAGGCCTGACAAAGCACCCGCACATTTCCCCTTTTGCCTCTTCTCTTCTGCCATTGTCATGAGACCATGCTGGGCTAGCTTGCTGAAGGACCAGATGCGGCCTCAAGCCAAGTCCCCTCTGTCATCCCAGCTGAGCCATCACAGATCAACAAGCTGACCTACATGTGAGAGACCCCAACCCAGATCAGCCAAACCCCACAAACTCTGTGCTAAATAAATGTTCAAATCTGCAATTTTGGGTTGTTACGCAGCATTATTATGGTGATTGAGGACAGGTACAGACATGCATGTAACCAATTTAACTACAGATTGCAGATGATAGGGGCTCTGCCGGTCACCTGCATGGAGCAGGGGAGGAACAATTAATTCTGAACCCAGAGGTCAGGGAACGCATCATAGCGCAATGAACACAAGAGCTGAATCTTGAACAAGAAGGAAGAAGGCATCCCAGCCAGATGAGACAGACATAGGCCCTGATCCCTGGTTCCCATGGTTCCCAGTCAATTTGCAAGAGCTTGCCTTCTATTTTGTTCTTTCCAGCAAAGCCCTGGGTAGCTGTGTGCTTCCTCCACATCCCATTTGGTGGAACTCCTATGACTTGTTAACGGAGTTCCTATGACGAGAATGACAAGCTTGGACTCTGGGCTCGCACTACTGGGATTTCAGCCCCAGCTCTGCCCATTTCTAGCTGTGTGACCTTGGGCCAGTTACTTAAGCTCTCTGTTCTTCAGTTTCCTCATCAGTAAAATGAGGTTAATGCTCAGGCCTCAGGGGATCTTAGAGTGGGTAATGGAAAGCACAGCCCCCTCTCTCAGACCCCACTCTGGGCTTGGAGGCAGAAGAGTAGGAGAGGCACCTGGTGCAAGGCCTTGGCACAGAACTCCAGCTCTGCTTCCAACATGCTGGGTGACTTGAAGCTCCAGTTTTCCCATCTGTAAAGTGGCAATCTGCTTCTTCAGGACATAGTGAGGTTTCAAGATCTCAATGGGAAAGGCCTTTGTAAGAGCTCAGGTGCTGCACACATGTCTGTTACTGCAGAGACTTCTCTGAAAGAGAGCAGTGGAACAGGCCAACATCTCTTCAGCTCCTCATGGGCCTGGGCTCTCAACAAAGGTGCTCTTGCCTAGCCTACGAGGCCCAGCTGGGGCTCAGCTTCTCAGGGAGCCATCCTCGACACCCGTGCTTTCCCTCCTACACCTCCCAGCCTTTGATATCCCCTACTCTGGAAGGTGGCCCCAGTAGGCCCAGCACTCCCAGAGCCAACTCTAGCCAGCAGGAGGGCTGGGCCTGCCGGGGCCCACCTTGCAGGCAGATCTGACACTGCCCCTGCTACCAGGCCAGCACGCCATGAGCCTGGAAACGGGCTGAGGGGACCTGCATGGTTAGCAAGCCCAAGTGCCACCATGAATACTCACTCAGGCAGCTCCCACGGGGACCACACAGGGAATCAATGCATGATGTGGCCCAGGGAATGGAACCTCCCAGGGTGGGCAGCCTGTGCCAGACTAGAAAGTGTGTATCCCCCCATTCCAACAGAGTGTTTTAATACAGTGCACTCAAAGCACCGGAACAAAGAGCAGAACTACAGGACAGAGGCATCTTCGTTTCCCAGTCACAAATGTCTGCTCTGTATGTTTTTGGGGTGTCATGGGGTGGGGGAAAAGATGTGTTTTTCGTTTCTTTTCTTTTTTTTTTTTTTACAAACAGATAAAATCAGCCAACCTGGAAGGGAAGAGAAGTACCTGTCGTCTGCTCTGCTTCTGTGAAGGAGGGTGGGGTGGGGGTTCAGGGTCTAATTGGGTGGAGAACCTACTGTGCGCAAGAGCACAGGCCTTTGCTGGAGAGAACAAAACAGAAGGCAAGCTCTTGCCTATTGACTGGGAACCACGGGAACCAGGGATCAGGGCCTGTGTCTGTCTCATCTGGCTGGGATGCCTTCTTCCTTCTCATTCAAGATTCAGCTCTTGTGTTCACTGCTCTTATTTTGTCTGCCCAGCATTGCCCTTTGCAAGAACTGCTCCGCACTGTCATCAGCCACCAGTTTCCAGCAGGATTTGCCACGTTTGTTCAAAGTGACCCTCCTCCCCAGGTGGCAAGCACCTGACTCAGGCTGAGCCAATCAGTGCCTTCTGCAGAGAATTCGGAATTGGAAGCAGAGGACCTCAGTTGCCTCATGTCTGGAGGCCACATCAACCCAAGTGCTGTTGACAGCCATGCTTACTCCTGCTGACCAGAGGAGAGGGCAGAGCCAGGGGCTGGGAGAGGAGAGGGCAGAGACAGCAGGGAGAAGCCAGGTGAAAGAAGGAGAGGGATCCCAGCTGGGCCTTTGGTCAGGTATTCCAGGAGTTACCCCTGGCTCCTTTCTGTAATTTCCATATCCCTCCCCCTAACATTTTTCTTTTTCTTGCTATAGCAAGTTTAGGTGAGTTTTTGTTGCATACAAATAAAACAATCCCACGTGAGATAAAGAAAAGCATGGTGAGATCTCGCCTCATATGGCTACCTCTCTTTGAACCAGCTGCTTTGTTCACATTATTTCATTAGATTCTTTTGATGACTTCATAAGGTAGGGATTGTTACTGTCTCCATTTGACAGATGAGAAAATTTAGGCCCAGAGAGGTTAAACAGCTTGAGAAGAGTCACACAGCTGAAAGGAACTTGAGTCTGGGCTGGCTGCTTCTAGTCGCCGTGTGGTGCACTCTTCTTATGCACTTACCTGGCCTTGTGGAGAGGTTTGCATTTGAAAGGCTGAGGGATCTGTTGGGCCTCCTGTGGAGCCTGTGATTCTCTGGAGTATTTGACTGTGTTCTACTAAATAAATTTGTACATGTCGAGAAGGAGCCAAGCTGGCTGGCCTTTAAGTTTTCAGTGCTGAGCTGGAGGTGGCCCCCTTGGGGAACCCAGCCAAGGTCTGGCCAAGACCCCAGACCAGGCCGGTTGGCCAAGGAGGCCGACATCATGTCCTGCCACAGCAATGAGACCTGCTAGTGAGTCGTGGGCTCAGATGGGCCTGGGACAGATATGGCCCTCTCCCTGACCCTGAGCCTAAGCCACCCACTCAAGGAAGCATTTCAGGGCCCAGGTGGCTGTGACCTTCTTTCCTCTGTTCTCCTTGACACCCATTTTGCCATGGTCACCTCTCAGGGCTCTGGAACCCTTGGCTGAGTTCTGCTGAAGAGCCATGCAAGACAAGACTGAGACCAAAGGAGGCTTGGCCCTCGTCCCCTTCAGGCGCGGACGATTGTCCTTGGAAGGGCAGATGGAGAGAAGACGCAATACTGGCTGGGCCATGGGAAGCCACGGGACCCCAGAGGAAATAGCAGGGGACCCAGTAGCTCAGGGAAGATGCTCAGAGCCACAGCCATGTACAGACAGGTGACTTCTCCAGAGACAGAGGCCAGCCCACTCCTGTTCTTTAAAAGATTTAACATTTGCTCATTTGAATTCTATGAACATATAGTTTCAAAAGAAATGGAATGAGAAAAGAAAAGACCTTTTATGTGAGGAATGTGAGCCCTTTATCAGGCCCAGAGAGACATTAAAATGAGACAGCAATCACATCCTAGTTCCCCCTTGAGCCATGTCTTCAACTCTTGAAACTGCTGCAATTGCCGCAAGTGGTTATAAATTAACGTAACAATGTGGCACAGGACACTATCACCCATACCCTACAGGTTAACAATGTATACCAATCACTAATCAATGTTATTTCTGTAAACCAACACGAATTCCTGACAAACAACTTTGTATCAGGCAACTACCTGTCCCCCCTTTTTTGCCTTTAAAAATCCACTTGTAACTGCTGCTAATTGGAGTGTATATTCTGGGCAACTTAAATCTATGCTCCTGAGGTTGCAACCTCAAGCTTATTCCAGATAAACTCTCTATTTATATCTATTGTGCCTACCTTCTTCCTTTTAGGTCCTCAGGGACCATGCTATATGACATATATATATAATTTATGTATACTTATACATAAGTATAAATTATAGGCCAGGCGCGGTGGCTCACACCTGTAATCCTAGCACTTTGGGAGGCCGAGGCAGGCAGATCACAAGGTCAAGAGATCGAGACCATCCTGGCCAACATGGTGAAACTTTGTGTCTACTAAAAATACAAAAATTTGCTGGGTGTGGTGGCACATGCCTGTAATCCCAGCTACTCGGGAGGCTGAGGCAGGAGAATTGCTTGAACCAGGGAGTCGGAGTTTGCGTTGAGCAGAGATTGCGCCACTGCACTCCAGCCTGGCAACAAAGCAAGACTCTGTACCCCCTCCCTCGAAAAAAATTATATATGTATGCACATACAGTGCATACATTATTTTTTCCATGAATTAGATTATGGACCTCCTTCCAAACTGTCAGAGGTGTTCAAACCAGAGCGACTCCATCTTGAATAGGGACTGGGTAAAATAAGGCTGAGACCTACTGGGCTGCATTCCCAGGAGGTTAGGCATTCTAAGTCACAGGATGAGATAGGAGATTGGCACAAGGGACGGGTCACAAAGACCTTGCTGATAAAACAGAGTGTGGAAAAGAAGCCGGCCAAAACCCACCCAAACCAAGATGGTGACGAAAGTGACCTTTGGTCATCCTCACTGTTCATTATATACTAATTATAATGCATTGGCATGCTAAAAGACACCCAGCAGCGCCATGACAGTTCACAAATGCCATGGCAATGTCAGGAAGTTACCCTATATGGTCTAAAAGGGGGAGGAACCCTCAGTTCCAATAATTACCCACCCCTTTCCTGGAAAACTCATGAATAATCCACCCCTTGTTTAGCATATAATCAAGAAATAACTATTAAATATTCTTAGCCTAGCAGCCCAAGCCGCTGCTCTGCCTATGGAGTAGCCATTCTTTTATTCCTTTACTTACCTAATAAACTTGCTTTCGCTTTATGGATTTGCCTCAAATTCTTTCTTGTGCAAAATCCAAGAATCCTCTCTTGGAGGCTGGATTGGGACCACTTTCCGGCAACAAAATGAACGCACAGAGATCTATGTCATTCTTGTTCATAGTTGCCTAATAGTCCATAAAATGGACAGCCCAAAGAAAACTCAGGACAGGTTTCATTTTGAATCCAGACGCAAGAATACTAAGAAAAATATTAACAAAAGAAATCTACCACTGCACTAAATTAAAAGAATATTACCTCACAACCCAATAGGAGTTTATTTTAGGAATGTGAGGATGGTCAATATCAGGAACTCTGCCAACAGAGCCCATTAAATTGACAGATGGTGGAGGGAAACCATGCCATTCTCTCAATAGATAGTAAGAAGATTTATGTGCAGACTGGCAACCCTGCCTGATAAAGCAGTAGAAAGGAATCCCAAACATGGTCAGAAGTATTTACTAATACCCAACAGCAAACAGGGGGGAGATATACTAACCATATTCTCATTAAAGTCTGGAGGCAGACAAGGCTCCAGGGTCCAGCACCACTATTATTATTTCATGTTGTCCCAACTCAACGCCCAGGTAGAGTGAAGGTGAGTGGGGCCCAAGGACACAGTGGCGTCATGGGAGGAGCTGGCACCCAGTGGTCTGTGGGGAAAATTCCCCTGCTCTATGGGGGTCCCTCCTGCCAGAGGTAAATTTACCCTGAAGCTAAAGACATTTAAGCCTCAGAGTCTCTCATTTGCACCCACCCCTTTCCAAGACCCTGTAACCAATTCTGCATTCACAATTTGGTATCCTTTTCTGTACAAATAGCCTTCCAATGGTATAGACTTCAGACCCATACACCCTGCACCCTCCCCTGACTCCAGCTCTGCACTTTCCCCTGGATTTTAGTCACTGGGTTATTTGAATCCCCAGTGCCCTGCCACGGCCTGACTGTGGAGGGAATGAATGAGGAAGACAGGAACCTGACTCATTCAACATTTCTTCCCTGCCTTGGCAGAGCCTTACCCACCTCGCCAGGCAACAGCTTAGCCTGGTTTTTGCTCTCATGACACCCAGGAGGTGCTGAAAGCCCGAGGAGAGTTAATCGAGTTGTGACCTTGGGTAACAGGACAGAGTCCCAAATGAGAGGAAACCACCAGGTCAAAGTGCCTGGGGTTGTGTGGCTGCGGAGAGATAGAGGCTGCAGGGAGCTGGCACTGGTGTTTGTGACTCTCTATCCGCCTGCAGCCATGATATCTGCAACCAACTCTCCAATGGTTCAGAGAAAAACTAAATGTAGCAAAAATTAAATTAGATAGAATGCCCAGCATGGGATGGGTCTCAGTAACCACGAGTTACTCCTCCATCTGCCTGGAGCCTCCTCTGCCCCGCCTCCTTCCTAGAGGGCCCCTTTTCCTTCCAACTCCTTTTGCTGAGCCCCTTTCCTCATCTTGGAAGGGAAGACCTCTGGGTGAAGAGGAGGAATCAGGCCACACCCATCTCCTTGGAATTCAAAGCCTCCCTAGACTCAGCTCCACACATTCTCCTCCCCATCCCTCCCCGACCTGGATCCTCACATAGTACCTGAACTTGCCATTGGCTTTCCACCACTCCAATTTGCTCACATGGCTCCCTTGGGCTGGAATGCCATCCTTCCCTTTTCCTTACCTTTCTCCCAAACCAAGGACCCTTTCCTGGCATGACTGTTGTGCTGTTAGCCCACTCTGCCATCTACTAGTCACTCTGTTGCCTCCATGAGCCTGGGAGCTCCAATTCCCACGGACCAGGTTGCAATCCCTTCTGTATCTTGGGGATCTCCCAAGTGCCTAAGCCATAGTAGACACTCTACCCCTGTTTACTGTCGACATTTTAGCTGCCAGTATGAATCTGCTGCCATTTTGGGGACTAGTTAAGCACATGTTGGGACACTCATCCAATAGAATACTATGCAGCTGTCAAGAATGGCATGGATTGGTATGGAGTAATCCAAGATCTGATAATACGTGAAAGAAGCAAGGTACATGCCTGTAAATGCAGCAAGCTATTATTTGTGTAAAGAAAAAAACCATACATACTTGCACTAGCAAAGGTTACCTTGAGAGAGGGGAACTGGGGATCTGGAGGAATGCGGAAGAAAGGAGGGGTTTTGAGTTTGAGTATGTGCCATGTGTATGTGAACTTAGCAAATTACCTCAAGAGTTGGGTGCTGAGGAATGTGAGCAGAAGCAAGCAGGCATCAGGCCTGAGTGGAGGAGAAGCCTGGATTGCCCGTGTGGCTCTTCCTGGAGGACCCCGACACAGCCGCTGGCAGCGGAAGGGTGCAGCATCCCCCCAGAATCCTCAGCGCCGTGGGCATCTCCCACCTAGTCAATGTCCCAGCCTCTGGGTCCTGCCATGCCTCATGCCACCTGCTGCCCCACCTTTGCCGGGCTTGTGCCTTCAGCGAAGTGCCCTGCCTTTTTATTTCCACCAGCTCTGGTTTAGTTTTCAAGTCCTGACACAATTCCTGCCTCTTCCCTGGAGTACCCCTGGCCCCCGTCAGAGGCCTCCCTTCTGCCATCTCGCTCCCTCGGCCTGCGGTCCTCCCCTCTTCTGCCCTGCGGCAGAGGGCCATACACCTGCCTGCTGGGACACTGACATGCCTGAGTGTGTGTGTGTGTGTGTGTGTGTGCGTGTCTGTGTGTGTGTGTGAGGCCAGGTGGGATGTGTGTGTGAATGGGGTATGTATGTGTGTGAGTGTGTGGGTGGGTACAGGGTGTGTGTGTGTTAATGTATAGTGTGAGCGTGTGGGTGTGTACAGGGAGTGTGTGTGTTAAGGTATTTTGTGTGTGTGTGTGTGTGTGTGTGTGTGTGGTGAGAGGCAGGGCTCAGGGGGTCAACAAGGGCCCCAGGGAACTATTTTTTCTTTTTAGATTTCCTATATTTAAAACAAGGAAGAAATGTCAAAACAATATGCAAAATATCAATATACGTATTTAAAAATTTTTCATTTTAGAATCATTTCAAACCTATAGAAAATGTACCACGATCGTAGAGAGCTCCTGTATAGCCTTCACTCAAATAGTTTCTTACCCCACATTTTATCATATTCCCTACCTCTCTCTCTTCATAATACATCTTTGCATGCATACTACATCCACATTTCTTTCTGCACAAGAGTACAGTAAGTTGAAGATGACATGTCCCTTTAACCCTAAATGCTTCAGCGGGCATTTCCTAACAGTAGGATTTTTTTTTTTTACATAACAACAGTATAGTTACCAGAATCAGGAAATTTCACAATGATACATTGCTATTATCTCATCAAGGAGTCAGCAAACATTTTCTATAAAGAGCCGGATATTTTCAGTTTTGTGGGCCATATGGTCTCAATTGCAACTACTCAACTCCGCCCCACTGTGCAAAAGCAGCCATAGATAAGGTGAAACGGACCAGGCATGGATGTGTTCCAATAAAACTTTATTTATGAAAACAGGCAGCAGTTCAGGCCAGATTTGTCCTGAGGGCTGTAGCTTGCCAACTCCTGATGGTTCATATTCAAATTTGGCCAACTGTCCCAATAATAAAATCTTTTAGAGTGATATTGTTTCCTGATCTCTGTATAGATTTTAAATGTTTATCTTGAACAAATTAATGCTCTTAATCCTCCAAAATAGAACTGAAAATAACTGTGATATTCACATGGCGATCACAGGGTTTAAAAATGTCTGAATTCATGCTGCGGCCCTGACAGGCAGTGCAGTCCTGTGATGGGTGTGGGTTTCATCTGTGTCTTCTCCTTTGTCCGATCCTAAATGCAGCTCTGTGAAGTTCTGAATAACTTCATTTAAGGTTGCTCCACAAGTCTATGTTAGGGTTCTTTGTGGGGGTGACCCCTATACCAAATGACTCTGCTGGCCTCCCAGTGACCTTAGATCCTCCTTAAGGACAGCAACCAGGTTCTGTTCCTCACAGAGCATGGCCCTAGAGCCTGGCCCAGCAAGACCCATAGACCTGGGTCACGGTGAGGTGTGGCCTGGTGCAAGTCGTCTCTCCTCTGGGAGTTGCCATTTCCTGTTGCTTGTGAGGCTCACTCAAGCTCAGAATGAGAAGCACCTGGCTTAGCCCTGGGGCATAGTAGTGAAGGTTTAAATAAAAATGTCTCTAGCCGGGTGCGGTGGCTCACGTCTGTAATCCCAGCACTTTGGGAAGCTGAGGCGGGTGGATCACCTGAGGTCGCTAGTTCGAGACCAGACTGACCAACATGGAGAAACCCTGTTTCTACTAAAAATGCAAAATTAGCCGGGCGTGGTGGCAGGTGCCTGTAATCCCTTCCCTATGGGGGAGGCTGAGACAGGAGAATCGCTTGAACCCTGGAGGTGGAGGTTGCGGTGAGCCAAGATAGCACCACTGAACTCCAGCTTGGGCAACAAGAGTGAAACTCCATCTGAAAAAAAAAAAAAGTCTCCAAAAAACCAGTTGGGTAGCCAGATGAATCAAGGGCTGCTGAGTGTTTGCTCCAAAGGCCACAGAGGCTGAGTAGTAGGCGCAACTATGACAGCCAGAGAAGACAAGAAGGGCATCCGGAGACTTCTGGCCCCACTGGCCTTTCTCTCTCTCTCACTTTTTTTTTTCTTTAAACAAGAGACAGGGTCTTGCTCTGTTGCCTAAGCTGGAGTGCAGTGGTAAGATCACAGCTCGCTCCAGCCTTGAAATGCTGGGCTTAAGTGATCCTCCTACCTCAGCCTCCCAAGTAGCTGGGACTACAGGCACACACCACCATGCCTGGCTAATTACAAAATTTTTTTTTCTTAGGGAGATGAGGGTGTTGCTATGTTGCCTCAGCTGGTCTTGAACTCCTGGCCTCAAGTGGTCTTCCCACATTGGCCTCCTAAAATGCTGGTATTCCAGGTGTGAGCCAGCACATCCCCTCCAGGACCCTCACTGGTTTTCCCTTAAGGAAGACTTTATTTAGGACTATTGTGGTAGGTGTCAAGACTATCACAACAGGGGGAGACCTCATTCAACCCCAAATAACAGCACAGACAGCTGAGAGTTTACAGCCAACTAGCAGAATGAGGGGTGGGAGCATGCTGTCAGTGGATGGAAGTTACTAAGAGGAGACATCAAAGGTAGGGGGATTCTTTCTAAATCAATGCAACAGGATTCTTGCTAAAACTGGGCTAGGCAGGCTGAAGACAGGATCCAAGGATGAAGCCTAGTCAAAAAGAGGGCTCAGAGGAGCTGGTCTAAAGTTTGCTCAAGGACAGTCTTTGTCACATGCTATGTGATCTTAGAACCACGCCCCCTCCACTTTTACAGGTGAGGAAATAGAGGCTCAGAGAAACAGTCATTTGCCTGAGGTCTGCTTTAGTCCATCTCACCCCCAGGGGGCCCGGCCCCAAGGTTCTGACCACAGCTGCCCCCTGCCCACAAGCTAGAAGTAAAAGGACCTGAGCCCCAGCCCTGACTTTGCTAGTGGACTTATTGCTGTGTGACCCTGCTTAAGTCCAGTCCATCTCTGGGCCTCTCAGTGTCACCCAAAGCCACGAGGGAGTCCTCTGGCCGAGCCATGGGAACACAGGGGAGCCGGGTAGTCCAGGCCTGGGATGGGCAGGGTACTAATTAGCGAGAGCTCCTCTGGAATGTTAAGTACCCAGCCCTGGAATGCAGCTCCTGCTGGCTGCAAACCCGCCTGCCATCAAACAGGCCCTGCCATGGCGATAAAGATCAGGGTGGGCAGGCCCTGGGGGCCCTGTCTTGGGAAGCCCACCAGGCAACACATTTCTCTGGCCTCTCCCCACGATCTCCCTCCATTGAGCGCTCACTCTATCTTAGAGCTTGAGCTTGGCTCAGAGCAAGGCTTGGTGAGTGTCGTAGGGGCTTTCTAAGGTGGCCCCCAATGATCCCCACCTCCTGGTGTTAATGCCTTTGTGGAATGCCTTCTCCTTCAGTGTGGGCTGGGCCTAGTGAGTGGCTCCTGACAAAGAGAATACAGCAAAAGTGATGGCACATTCCCTCTGATAGTAGGTTACAAAAAGACCATGGCTTTTTTCTTGGGCACTCTTTTGCTGTCTCTGAGTGAAGCCAGCTGTCATGAGCTGCCCAGTGGAGAGGGCCATGTGGCAAGGATATGAGAACAGTCTCCAGCCAACAGCCAGTGAGGCCAGCCAGGCCAGAGAGGAACTGAGACTCACAGGCCTACAACTCACAGAAACAGAATCTTGCCAACAACCACATGAGTAGGCTTAAAGAGGATCCATCCCCACATGAGCCGTCAGATGACTGTTGACCTGACTGCAGCTTGATTGCAGCCTGAGAGAGACTATGAGGCAGAGGACCCAGCTAGGAACCTATGCCCAGATTCTTGACCCAGGAAACTGTGACATCATAAATACCTGTTGTTTTAAGTTGCTAACTTTTGGGGCAATTGTTATGTAGCAATGGATAACTAGTACAACACATATCAATCAAGCACTTACAGTGTGCCTAGCCCCCTTCCCATCACTCTTTCCCCTGCCACCCTTAGGAGGTCAGCCCATTTGATAGCCATGGAAAGTGAAGCAAGTGTGGAAGCCCAAGGCCAGGCTCTTTAATTTCAGCACCCATGGAAAACTCAAGATGTCCTACCTGAGTTTTGTTTTGTTTCATTTTGTTTTGAGACAGAGTCTCCCTCTGTCGCCCAGGCTGAAGTGCAGTAGTGTGATCTCAGCTCTCTGAAATCTCTGCCTCCTGGGTTCAAGCAATTCTCCTGCCTCAGCCTCCCAAGTAGCTGAGATTATAGGTATGTGCCACCACACCTGGCTAATTGTTGTATTTTTAGTAGAAATGGGATTTCGCCATATTGGCCAGCCTGGTCTCGAACTCCTGACCTCAAGTGATTCACCCACCTCGGCCTCCTGAAGTGCTAGGATTATAGGCATGAGCCCGGCCCTACCTTAGTTTTAACAAGGCATTTTCACCTGTCTGATTTCCTTGAGCTTCATAGTCAAGAATATATTCTGATTCCATTGGCCAGTTGAGGAAACTGAAGCCCAGAGGGGAGATGGATTTGTTCAAAGTCATACAGAGTGTTAGCTGCAAAGTCATGAGCCCTGACCCCAGGGTCCTGAGTTCTGAGCTCAGGATCTTTACTGCATACCAGGCTGCCTCCCCTGCCCAGCCTGGCTCACACAGAATCCCGTGGAACAGGGCTCAGAAGAAGGCAGATATTGGTGATTCTGAGGTCTACTGCCTGGTTTCCTTGGGGCTCAGAACTATGCATGTGTCCTTAAGGAGTGTCCCTTTGCCATCTAAGGCCTGTTTTTTGAGGTCTAAGACCTTAAGCCTGAACCCAGCCCCTAAAGGAGCCTAACGGTCTTGTGCTCAAGGGAGGGAGCTCCTGGCTCCTGCTGTTCAGGGTCAGCTCCGAGGTCCTTCATCCTCAGGACACAGCCTCACTGTTCTCAGACATCCCACGTGGAAGAGCTGTAAGTCCCCGCCTGGACAAGATGGGCAGAAGGTTTCCCCTGTATGGGGGGCCAGGGCAGATTTGGTGCCCTGCAGTCTCTGCCTCCACTTGGGACCTGGGACTGAAAGATATTTGAGGCTTGGGCCCAAGCAAAAAGTGGGCAACATAAACAACCTCCTGGAGCACTCACCAGACACAAACACAAACAAATCCAGGTCTGTACCAAGACTCCGCCGTCCTTCTCAGACTACAGAGAGCCCAGGGAAAGGCAGGAGGCACGGCATCTGCTAGGACCTCCGCCTAGACCGGGACACTCAAGGGAGTCCGACAGGACCCAAATTTCTACAGTCCTGCCACCAGAATGCTGCAGAATTAGAGAATCTCCCTCTAAAGGAGGGCGCATCCCTTGCTTCAAGGCCAAGGCCCTACTCCCAACAGTCAGGTGGAGAGATCATGGGCTGTCTGAGCTGAGAAAGATCTTAGGGACCATGGCCCACCCTCAGTCTCAGTCAGGACTGAACTTACCAGTTTACACCTAAGGACTCAGGCCAGTGGAAAGGGCCAGATTTGCCCAACATCACAGAGCCTGGAGTGCCAAGTCCAGTATGAGAATGAGGGTTTCTGACTCTCAGCCCAGTGCCCAGGGCTCTAGGTCAGCGGTCCTCAAACTTTGGCTTTCACTGGCATCAACTGAAGGGCTTGTTAAAACCCAGGGAGCTAGGCCCTGTGCCTGGAGTTTCTGATTCTGTAGGTCTGAGTGGGGCCTGAGAAGCTGCATTTCTGACAAGGTCCAGGTGGTGCTGATGCTGCCAGTCTAGGAACACACTTGCAGAACCAGCGCCCTGGGCATGCTGTCTTCCAGATCACTCTCCTGATGGTTCCCTAAAGCAGCGGTCCCCATCGTTTTTGGCACCAGGGACTGGTTTTGTGGAAGGCAATTCTTCAACATATCATGGTGGGGAGAGGGAGTATGGTTTGAGATGAAACTGTTCCACCTCAGATCATCAGGTATTAGTTAGATTCTCATAAAAAGCACGAAACCTAAATCCCTAGCACACGCAATTCACAAGAGGGTTCACGTTCCTATGAAAATCTAATGTGTTGTCTGGGCGTGGTAGCTCACGTCTGTAATCCCAGCACTTTCAGAGGCTGAGGCTGGTGTATCACCTGAGATCAGGAGTTTCAGACCAGCATGGCTAACATGGCGAAACCTCGTCTGTACTAAAAATACAAAAATTAGCCAGACGTGTTGGCATGTGCCTGTAATCCCAGCTACTAGGGAGACTGAGGCAGGAGAATTGCTTGAACCCAGGAGGCAGAGGTTGCAGTGAGCCAAGATTGCACCACCGCACTCCAGCCTGGTCGACAGACTTCATCTCCTCCCCTAAAAAAAGAGTCGAATGTGGCAGCTGATATGACAGGAGGCAGCACTCAGGCGGTAATGCTTGCTGGGCCGCTGCTCACCTCCTGCAGTGGAGCCCAGTTCCTAACAGGCTGTGGACCAGTATCAGTTTACAACCCAGAGGTTGGGGACCTCTGGCCTGCACAGACCGAGGGCAATTTGCAGAGTCCCTGAGTGCCTGTCTAGGTACAAACTCCTTTGAGGGAGTGGGATGTGTTGAAGAATCGTGAAGGGCAGCACCCTGTCTTGTTCATCTTTGCATCTATTGACCAAGCAGCTCCCCTATTAGCTGACCTATAAAACCCACAGATATACATGAAACACCCCAATTTTATAAGAAAACATATTTAGGAAAATTAATTTTTTTGTCATAACTACACTGAAAGTATTTTGTTGTTGTTGTTCAGGTAAATCAAGTATTATACGTGGGAATATTTTTATTAAGGAAACTTCCAGTAGGATGTCGACGGGAAGTGAAAGGATGGTCTCTGCTGTGAAGTTTTCTGTTTCCATGCTTTGCCACTAGGGGCTGGTTTCAGCCTTCACTTTACCATCAGTTCTCCCTATCTATGGGTTGAAAATATGTGAAAAAAAAAAAAAAAAAAAAAAGAATGGTTATGTCTGTACTACACATGTAAAAACTATTTTCTTGTCATTGTTCCATAAATAACACAGTATAACAACTATATACATAACATTTACATTGTATTAGGTATTGTAAGTAATCTAGAGATAATTTAAAGTATATGGGAGGATGTGTGTAGGTTACATGCAAATAATATACCATTTTATATAAGGACCTGAGCATCTGTGGATTTTCGTATGCATGGGGGTCCTGGAACCAATCCCCCATGGATACTGAGGGACTACTCTATTTTACCTTTTCGGCACTAAAGCTTCTATTCTTAAACTGATGTTTTGGATACTGGGTAAGTGGTGGCTCTATGGATGTAGATATAGATTCATATATGGATGTGGCCTTGGATACAAATACAGCTGCAGATGCAGAGACAAATGAGGATCTAGACAGAGATACATATACAGATACAGATAGAGATATAGTGTGTGTGTGTGTTTTGAGAAAAAGTGAAAGCATGTCTAACATGCTGGCCTGTATGGTATATTCCTCCTCTAGGACTTCATGTTGCTTATTGTGAGGGACACAGCTTTGTCTGTCTTCCCACCAAGAACTCATGTCCTCCTACACAGACAGTAAGGAGAGGCTACGTGATCCAAGGCCCATGGGGATTGCCACTAAAGGGCCCAGGCTAGAAAGAGATGGGTTTTAAGGAGATCAGAGCCAGCTTCTTGGAGGAACAGAGCCATATGAAATGACTCAAAATTAAGTTCATGGAGCACAGCTGTGATCACATGACTCCCCACCTCCCCAGTGCCCATAGGAAACAAAAAGCCTGCAGCCTGGCAGATGTGGATAAGGCTCATCATCATTCAGCTGGGCCCTCCCTCTCTATCCCTCAAACTGTGGGGTGGTCCAGCCATGCCTGACTTCTGTGCACCCAGCCTTTTCTCATCACTGTGCCCTCAGCCCAGATCACCTTTCTCCAACTTCTCTGTTATCAAAGTCCTACACATCCTCCACGCAGCCTCATTCTTTCTTCAAGTTCTCAGAGCCCAGGACTTATTTCTGGGGTGCTGGGAGCCCATATAGCCTCGTCTTATGCCTGATTACTGCGGCACAAGCTGCTGGTGGTCTGCTAATCTCCATCCTTCCCTTCTTCTATGGCAGGGGCCAGCAAGTTATAACTCGTAGGCCAAATCTGGCCTGCCACCTATTTTTGTGCTGCCTGCAAGCACAAAAGTATTCTTTTTTACTTTTTTTTTTTTTTTTTGAGACAGAGTCTCCCTTTGTCACTCACGCTGAGTGGAGTTGCACGGTCTCGGCTCACTGCAGCCTCGACCTCCTGGGCTCAAGCAATCCTCCCTCCTCAGCCTCCAGAGTAGCTGGGACTACAGGAGCAAGTCACCATGCTGGGCTTTTTTTTAATTATTATTTTTTTAATTTTAGTTTTTTGTAGAGACAGGGTCTTCCTATGTTGCCCAGGCTGGTCTCAAACTCCTAGACTCAAGCAATCTGCCTGCCTCAGCCTCCCACAGTGCCGGAATTACAGGTCTGAACCACTGGGCCTGGCCTTTTTTTACATTTTTAAGTGACTGAAAATAAAATATTTTGTGAATCATAGAAACTATATCATATTTAGATTTAATTGTCCATAAATAAAATATTATTGCAAGTGCAGACAGGCTGATTTGTTTCTATATCTATGACTGCTTTCACTCTTTTCTAGTAGGGTAGGCAATGCCACAGAGAATGTATGGCTTGCAAAGCCTGAAATATTTACTGTCTGGCCCTTTAAGAAAATGTTCACCAACCCCTGTTCTACAGTGTGAAAAGTTTGTTTGTTTCTGTTGGGCACTTGGGCTGCCTTATTAAAGACTGCATTGCCCAACTTCCCTTGCACCACCTAAGTGTGACATGGGACTAAGTTGTGCCAGTGGGTTGTAAGTAGAAGTGATGTTATCTAAGGAGAGAGGACATGTCCCTCTATCCCTTTCCTCTGCCCAGAATGTAGATGGGAGCCCACAGTGGATATCCCAAGAGGGCAGAACGGCAAGAGGGAAGGAGCCTGGGTTCCCGGATGACCCTGGAGTAGGATCGCCATCCCAGTCTTGGACAATCTACCCCTGGAGGGCCACACCAGAGAGCAGTCAACTCCACTCTGACATGACCCTGACTAAGGCACCTCACATTCATCTCCCCCAGCAGAAAACAGGTTCCTTGAGGGTAAGGGCAGAGCCTGTCTGTTTCACCAGAGCTCCCAGAACATGGCCCAGCACATTGGAGATCTGGGTGTGCCCCTTATTGGCAAGAGACGTGTGGCAAATGACCTCCCTGGCCTGTTTTCTCTTCTATGAAATGAGACTTAGCACCATACTCACAGGATTATTGTCAAGTTTACTAAAATGTATGTAAAATATCAGACCTGTCCTGTGCCAGCATGTAATAGGAGCCAAATAAATCGTGGCTATTGTGAGCTATTAAGTTTTCCGAAATCAGATCCTGTCCCCCACCTCCCTGCTGTAAACCATGGCTCCCTGGTTCTCTTAAGTCTGAAGTCGGTACCATAACCCGCAAGATCCTTTATACCCCGATGCTGTCCACCTTCCCAGTCTCACGGCTCATCCTCCAAATGACTCAGGCAGGTGCCCCTGTCCTGGCATCCTGTCCTTCACAGTGGGGGTTGTCTTAAGGTCGGAGTGAAGGAGATAAATGTGCTAAGTCCAGACGACCCCTTGAAAATGTCTTCAGTCACTCATAGGTACAGTACCCGGACTTAGTACCTCTCAGTAAGTCCAAAACAGTCTTCCTCCAATGTGGGAAAATGTGGCTATATCTTCAGTTGAGCACCAGATAAAGTCGCTGGCTTGCGTTTAGGGTCCTCATGGGATCAAAAATATGCGTCTTTAATCGTCAGAGTCACCCTGAGGATTGAAAGTTCATGCGATGCTTCTCTGCTGTGCTTTCAGTCCTTGCCGTGTGCCCTGTCTTCTCACCGCCAAGCCTTTGCACCTGCCGCTCCTTCTACCTGGAGTACCCAACCTGCCTCTCCCCACAACAAGGCCCATTCCTCTTTCAGGCCTCTGAGCAGGTGCCACTTCCTCCAGGAAGCCTTCCATAACTACCTGGCTCCCGTCCATATACCCTGAAACGCCTCTGCCTGTGCAGTGGCCTCCCACCGTGTGGTCACCGCCTGACTGCCTCTCTGTCTTTTTATCTTTTTCACCAGGTCCTTCCTTCTCTTTTGCTCACTGCTGAATTCCCAGCGCCTAGCATCGAATTTGGTGCACAAGAGGTGCACAGCAAACGCCTGTGGAATGAGTGAACGGTGGGGACGGTCAGGGCTGCCCCTGCTTGCACCCGCGGGAGGCTGGGGAGGGCAGGAAGGAGAGCGCTGCGGGGCCCTCCCCTCCCCGCCGTCCTCCCAAACCCTTTCCCTGCCCAACAGGGCGCCACTGGCCTGTCCCACACCCTCTCTGCCGCCTGCCCAGTGACCTAATTATTGTTTTTTCTTCCAGCCCCGCGGAGGGGAAAACAGAAATTCCTGGTGGATGACACAGGCCCGGCGGCCGCCTGCGAGCCGAGCACGGGACCGGCTGGGCCGGCTTCGCCCGCCCTGAACCCGCCACCCGCCCCGCCGAGGGCCGCGGAACCCGTCATCAGCTAAGTACAGAGCGGGCGGCGGGCGGGGCGGCGGCCGGGGAAATTGCCGGTTCCCGTGCCCCGCGGGGCCTGCGGGCGCCCCGAGTCTGGGGGCCCGGGGCGGGCGGGCCGGGGTCCGGGGGATCCCGGGGGGTCACGGGCGGCCCGGGTCCGAGTGCGCCGGTACTGAGCTCGAGAACGGCCCCCGCTGGGGAAGGAGCCGCTGGCAGCGCGGGGGCCGCGCGCAGGGCAGGGGGCGGCGGCGGCGCCGGCGCGGGCGGGGAGGGAGGGCGCGGCTCCGGGCGCGGGGCCAGGTCGGGCGGCCCGGGGCTCCGCGGGGGACGCGCGGCGAGGACGCGGGGCTCTCGGCACCCCTCTCCCGTAGCGGGGCCCTGCCCCGGCTCTTAGAAAGAGCATTGGGCTCCGGGCCAGAGCGCCGTGGGGCCAGCGCCCCAGCCCTTAGTGAATTGCTTCATCTGCCACTCATGTCCTGCGCCCTGGAAGCTGCAGAGAGAGCCTCGGCTCCCCGTGCAAGCGCTGGGCTGACAACTGACAGCGGCGACGCTTGGAATGAGACGTCCAAGGGTTCAAGGGTCAACTCTTTCCTCCAGGCCTAGCAGATCATAGATACTCCTTCTTCTTAAACTTATTAAGGAAAAAGGCAGTCACTCATGCCTTCCGCCAACAAATATTGACTGAGCACCTACTATGCGCTAGACATGCTGCTAGGCCTTGAGGATGGAGGGGTGAATGAGACAGGCAAAGCCTCATGTTCTTTTGGTGGAGACAAGCAATAAACACTTGAATACACATCTCAGACAAGATAGTGCTGCAGATGGTGATGGGTGTCAGGGAGACTCCTCATCACCTGAGGCAAGGGGAAAAGGCATTGTGGGAGACGGGGGAGCTGTTCTATTTGAGACTCAGTGGCCCCAGAGGAAGGGCTTCCTGGGACAGTGCCCTTTAAGCTGAGACCTGAGCAAAGCGTGAGATTTAGCAAGGCAATTTTCTAAGGGAAGGTTTTTTAGATAAAGCAGACTGCAGGTGCAAAGTTCCCAGCCCTTGCTGGTAGAATGATCTCTCAGGCTCCTGAGCCCCCAAAGCACAAGATTGCACCCCTTCCTCTGACAAGAGAGGAAGCGTGAAGCCCAGATCTGGAGTCAGGCAGACCTGGCTTTACATTCTGGCCCTGGTACTCACTAGCTGTGTGACCTTGCACACATCACTTAGCCTCTCTGAGTGGTAGTTCCTGCGTCTGTCACATGGGGAGAATAATGCTCTGTTCTTTACAGGTTTGTGTGAGGATTCAATGAAGTAACACCAAAATGTTGCAAGCCCAGACTTGGGCATCCTTATGTGCTCAAACAAATGATCTCTGGGTTCCCTAAGAAGACCTCACCTTCTGCATCTGAAAACTAGGTCTCTCTGACTCGGAGTGAAAAGCGAATTTACCTTTCCCCATCCTGGTGGCAACGAGGGGGCCCATGGTAGAACTGTGCGCAGCTTGGACAAACTCTGGGAGAGGGGTCCCAGCTGGGGTTTCCTGTTGGACGCCCTTTGGAACTCAGAGCCCCGTTGACAGGAGGAGAGAGGAGCAGTTGATTGGACAGCTCCCCACCCAGCCAGCCACACTATCCGAGTCTCAGGCATTTGGTGGAGTTCAGAGAGGAGGCCTCCAGCAAGCCCAGGTCAGGGCCAAGCTGTCACACTGGTGAGGTTCATACTTCACATTCTCACCCTCTTCCCCAGGCTTCCCCTCCCTGCCTCCTTTGCTAAACTTGCCCTTCCTTGAGAAAGGACGGGAGCTCAGTCGCTTTACAGCGACTAAGAGAGGATGTCAGTCTTTGGAGATACTCCTTCATTTGACATGTGGGGAATCTGAAGCCCAGAGATGGCAGGGCTTTGCCAGAGGCTACACAGCAGTCCTGAGGATGAGAATTCATGTCAGAGACCCTTGATCTAGGGCTGTTTCTCTATGGTACTTCATAGCCTAGTTCTGCCCATTTTACAGATGGAACAAACTGGGGCCCAAAACTGTGACATAAGCCAGCAAAGGCTTCCCAGGCCAACATTAGCAATGAGGAATGAGGAATGTACTTTAGGCAGGGGTTGGGGGGAATGGGATCCTTCCAGGACCCCTCCAATTATTCGTAGACCCACCTGCTTTGAAGATGATCTCTGCCTCCCCTCTCCGCCCAGGGAAAAGACATCTGGAGAGATCTGTAGCTATCAGCTCCCCTTTGTCACCCAGGAATCCTAAATCTCCCTATCCTGACAGATCAGCCCAGCTGGGGCCCAGATCCACATTGGTGCCCTTGTCTGTCTGGCTCCCGTGAGAGCTGGCTATGATGGTTGTGCACCTGGAGGCCACTAAGGTCAGGGTGGGCACCGCCTCACTCTGCTCCAGGGCTCTAGACCAATGCCTAGGTAGGAGCTTTTTCTCAAGACTCGGACATCAACAGCCAGGCCTGGCATCAAAAGCCTCTCCTCACCTGCATGTTTGCTGCCAGCTGCTCTGAGGGGTTGCGTTTCATTTGTTCATTAGCTCATTCATTCATTCTTTCTTGCATTCAATATCTCTAGAGAACCTGCAAGGTGCCAGGCACTGCCCCACACATTGAAGGTAGAGCAGCAAACAAGATGGTGGGGCCCTGCCTCCTGGAGCTCACTTTCTGGGGTGGGGAGACAGGCAGTAAATCAATATACACAAGACAGAAGGTCAGATGGAGGTATCAAGGTGAGGCGGTGGTGCATGATGGGGGTGTTCTTTTAGACCAGGTAGTTGAGCAGCGGCCATGAAAAAGTGGGGGTAGCGGGTCGGGGGTTCCTTGCTGATGTCTGGGGGAGAAATTTAGAAAGAGGGGCCTGTAAGTGTCAAGGCCATGAGGGAGAAACATGCCTGGTGTTTTGGGGGATAGCAAGGAACGCAGTGTGGCTGGAGTGAGGGGGACAGATGAGCGCGTGGGCAGGGATGAGACTGGAGAAGGGAGGGGCCGCACAGTGGGGGGGTGGGCGGATGGGGGACCCTCAAGGCACCGAGCTGCCCCACTTATTCCGTGTCAGCCTCTGTCCAGCCCCTGCCTTGGGTGGCACCGTGCTGTCCCAGGCAGCGTGGACATCAGGAGCTCATTACAGAGCAGGCTGTCTGAGGGGCTTCTCTGCTTCTGCCACATCCTCACACCCCTTTCACCTGTCCTAAAAGGCAGGATGAAAAGGATGAGAGAGGAAGCTGGCCTCCTGTGAGAAGATGCTGGACTCAGAAATCTTTGAATTCTAGGCTTCACCTCTGAGTGACTGCATGAACTTGGAAGAGCTACTTAAACGCTCTGAACTTCCGTTTCCATATCTGGCTAAATATACTGGCAGCACAAATAGCTATGAAAGCTAAGGGTCCACCACCCCCTGACCCAGCAGGTACACTCCTAGCTACAGACCCAAGAGAAATGAGCACACGTGTCCAAAAGGCACGGACAAGGTGTTCGTGGGGGTTGTTCACAATGGCCCCAAATGAGTCAACCCTGAGGCTCATCATCAGAAGAATGGCTGAAGCCGTGTGGGATAGTTGTAGAGTGGAATATTTCATAGCAACAACATAATGAAACTGCTGATAGATGCAGCAACGTGGAAGAATCTGACATTTTGTTGAGTGAAAGAAGCCAGACACACAAGAATAGGAGCTGTGTGATTCCATTAAGCCGAATTCAATAACAGGTGAGGCTAGTCTGTGGTGAGAAAGGTCAGGATAGTGGTTACCCTTGGGGGTGCTGACTGGGAGGGGGACTGAGGGAAGCTTCTGGCATGTTGGAAGTGGTTTATAGCCTTTTTTTTTTTTTTTTTTTGAAATGGAGTCTGGCTCTGTTGCCCAGGCTGGAGGGCAGTGACACCATCTCGGCTCACTGCAACCTCCGCCTCCCAGGTTCACGCAATTCTCCTGTCTCAGCCTCCCGAGTAGCTGGGACTACAGGCGCCCAGCACCATGCCCAGATAATATTTGTATTTTTAGTAGAGATGGGGTTTCACCATATTGGTGAGGCTGGTCTCGAACTCCTGATCTCAGGTGATCTGCCTGCCTCAGCCACCAAAAATTCTGGGATTACAGGTGTGAGCCACCACGCCTGGCTGGAAGTGGTTTATATCTTGATTCTAGTTGGTATCACATGGGTTTATACCTATGTGAAAATTCATTAAGCTTGAGCTCATCAAATAATTTGAGATTCATGCAAGTTGTACCAGACGTATGTTATATTTCAATAAAAAGGTGTTTCAAAATGCCTAGCGAGCTGGTGAAGGATAAATGGGATTGAGAATGTAGCTATGCCTGCCTCAAAATAGGGCCTTGTGAATGTTCCTGCCTCCCTAGTGCCACTCTGAGGGACAAGGGGTGCCCTCCAGCAGCCAGGCTTTGTCTAGACTGTTTTGACATCAACTGCCATCGACTGCTGTGACCACCGTGACAGAGCACCAGCCAGGGTCAGGTGATATTGTGCTGTGCTGTTGGGTTTTGTTTTGTTTTGTTTTGTATTTTTTTGTTTTTGCTTTATTTTTTCTGTTGCTTTGCTTTGTGATGAGAAAATTATTGTGCTTATCATCATTAATTTTATTTATTTATTTTTGAGACTACAGTCTCGCTCTGTCACCCAGGCTGGAGTGCCGTGGCGCAATCTCAGCTCACTGCAACCTCCGCCTCCCAGGTTCAAGCAATCTTCCTGTCTCAGTCTCCCAAGTAGCTGGGATTACAGGCACGCACCACCCATGCCCAGCTAATTTGTGTGTGTGTGTGTGTGTGTGTGTGTGTGTGTGTGTGTGTGTATTTTTAGTAGAGACAGGGTTTTGCCATGTTGACCAGTCTGGTCTCGAACTCCTGACCTCAGGTGATCCACCTGCCTTGGCCTCCCAAAATGCTGAGATTACAGGCATGAGCCACTATGCCCAGCTGCTGATTATCATCATTCAATGACGCAGCTTGCTAGCGTTCAGGTCCCCAGGCCTGGTGTGTGCAGCAGAGACCCTGGAGTGGGGAGCCATCCCCTCCCTTTACAGAGGGGCAAGGTCCACCAGAGATGAGCTTGGGAGCCTTGGGTTCACCCAACAATGGAGTGGCAATCCCCACCCCCAGCCTCCCTTGGCCCACATCCCCAGTGCCCCCAGGATCAACTGGCTGCACCACTTATGCCCTTCCACCCTGCCCCAAAGTCACTGCCCCAGGCCCAGAGTGGGGAGTGATGTCCCCAAGGCAATATGGGAAGTCTGCAGCAGAGCCAGGCTAGGCCAGGGGAGGCAGGGAGATGAGAGGCTGAAGGCCTGGGCCACCTAGGCCACCTTGGCACCAGCCAAGCTTCCCCCTCGAGCCCAGGTGGGGAGGCCCTTCCTGAGCAAAGGCTAGGGGTCTGTGTCCTCTCTCAGCTCTGAAGAAGTGGTACAGTTATAAGATTAACGAGAGGAGTACTTTTATCATCAGCTCAGCATCGGGTGGGCATCCATTGTACCCCTGTCTGCCAGGTACCATGTAGGGTAAACCCTGCCGCCTAAGCCTAAGCCCCTCCTATCTCAGGGTTACAATCTGGGGTCCCCACTCTTCTTTTGGCCACTCCTTCTCACTTACCATGGAAATACCCCAGACCCATGAGACGGGTGGCCCAAGGGAAAGATTCCAGAGGTGAACGTGACCCAGCCCAGGAACTGATCTTCCCTCCCTTCTCGCCAGCCTTCAGGTGTCATTTTCAATGTCACCTCCTCAGGAAGACCTCCCCTGGCTGGCCTCCCCTCCGACCCCTGCCTGATCCAGCCTGTGGCTCCTTCCTTCTTCACCGCCTTGATCACTCCCTGTGGTCTTCTAGTCATTGGCCTGATTCTTGGGCTAGAGTCTGCTCCCCTGCTTGAGTCTGGAAACTCCTTGGAGGCAGGAGCTGTGTCTATTTTATTCCCCACTGGGTGTCCAATGGCTGTATGAGGGATGAAGGCATGATGCTGAAGAACCGCTCTGAAAGGGATGCAGACACTGAGGGGAGCCACAGCCAGAGAAGGGAAGGAAGGGTTAGTTTTGGGGTGCGTGGTGTTTGGGGCTGAGCCTGTATGGTTGCAGAGGGTTCAGGGAAAGCTGGCTGGGATGGGGTTTACAGGAGAGGGCTGGAGGCCCTGCGAGAGTGTAACCTGGACACCTGGAGATGCCAGGCCCTTCCTCTATGAGCTGAAGGTCCCTGATCTTGGTGAGAGGCCCGGCTGAAACCTCTGGCCAGGGGCCCTGTGTAGGGGAAGGCAGTTCCTGGGTCCACAGGACCCAGCCTGGGTGCCTACTCTCTGCTGTCCATAGGACTCCCAGTCCAGCCGGGAGAGGCGCTTCTCCTCCCTGGGGAGGGTAGGCGGCCCAGGCCTTTTCCATCAGTCACACTGGCCCTCCCATTAGGGCTCTCCCTTGGTGCTTCTATTTCTAGGAGTTCCCTGTGAGCCTCCAGCCCTCTCCCTGGCTGTGTGACCCAGAGAAGCCCTCCAGCCCTTAGAGAGGGTCACACAGAGAGGGAGAGGCAGAGTTGGGACTAACTCTAGGCCAGGACCTCCAGCTCCACCTCCACCAGGTGCAAGGTCCTTATTCAGGCTGGCTGCCACAGGGTGGCCCCAGCAGCAGGTCCCACGTTCTCACTGTGGTTCAGCCAGGAGCCCAGCATTCCCACACTGCCCAGGGGGGACTGCCGTTGTCAGGGGCATCTTCCCTGGCAGTGCCCACGGCCCCACACCTGAACCTGAGTTCAGGGCGCTGAGAGTGCTGGCTTCAGGAAAGCCTATTCTCTGGGTGTCTGCAAGGGTCTCTTCTGACACCCCCATGAGACTGGGTCTTCCCCAGAGCAGGGCCTGTGCCTCCTCCATCAGACTGGAGACTCCTTATTCACAGGCCCCTCAAGCTTCAACTCTCCAGTCCTGTGGCACTGAATCTCACTCCAGGATCCCCCAACACCCTCAAGGCTGGCAAGATACATCCTCATGCACCTCCTACTCCAGGCCAGGCCTCTCCGCAGGCTGGGGGTGGAGGCCTGGCCTGGGTCAGGTCGGGGTGCGGGGGACAGATCTTCCAGCCCCCTCTCCCTGGAAGGTCCTTGTGATCATGGACCATATCTTATTTGTTCCTGCATCCCCTGTGCCTATTGCAGAGACTGGCATAGAGTGGGCTCTGGTGACATGAACAAGGAGGATGTATAGAAGGTGACTTGGGATGTTCTCTGAGGGGATCCAGAAAGAAGTTCCAGGCCTCCATATCCCCATCTCCGACAGCTCCCCAGGAGCCACAGTCTGGAATTCCACTGAGGGAGATATGTCTTTGACATTCTCTTCCTGGGAATAATTCAGAGGGTTCATTTACTGCACTCAGGCCCGGAGGCTTTAGGGACTTTTGAGTCAGGAAACCGGGGTGGAAACCTGGGTGCTGGGAGATCTGGGCAGGGACGGGTGTGCCAGCCTGCTCCTCAGCCTCCAGTGGGGAAGGGGTGAGCCCCCAGGGTGGGACTGATCTCCAGACAGGCTTGCGCTGCAGGAGCCCTTGGGGCCTGTGGGAATAGCGGGGCCTCTGACAGACGCTTTATCAGGCCCTGTCGCCAGCGTTATCTGCGGCTTCTCAGCAAAGAAGGAGCTACAGTCACTCAGACCACTCCAGGCCGGGAACAAAGCAGCCGAGTCAGCTGGCGTCCCATGGCTCTACTGCCAGACCCGTGGGCTCGGCAGCCTGTGCCCCAAGCTGGGTGTTCAAGGAGGTGGCTGGCCCAGCCAGGCGACAGCCCGTCTGCTGGGACTCCCCCGCCAAGAGCCCGCCGTCACTGGGACCACCTCCCTTGAGCCTATCTTCAGAAGGGGGATGGGGCATGGGGTCACTCCAGTCCTTCCAGGGCCCTGCTGAAATGTCAGCCACAAAGGATGGGACACAGAGGGGCCTGTCCAGGAACAAGGGCCAAGTGTCGGCGTGGGATGAGGGCTGGGGCAGGGCTGGTCAAATGTTTACTTGGAATGATTTGAGTGGGCACCCTCAGGCCACGGGGGCAGCTGGCGCCTGGCACGGAGCCCCTGTACCCACTCCCATGGGGCACTGCAAGGATTCAGGCCCACCCCAGATGGGGCCTGAATGAGAAAGCACCCAGAGAGGGCAGCCAGCCAAGTCCTGGGCATGGTCCTTCTCTGCCAGTCTTTGCCCTCTGTTGGGGAGAAGCAGGAGCTGGGAAGGCCAGCTCCTCTCATTCAGGAAGCACCTGCTTCTCTGGTCTGCAGGGCTGCCAGGAATGGTTGGGCAGGTCACGCACTGCAAAAGGGCACCTTGTCGCTGAAATAAGTGGATCTGAAATTTGTGCAATGCAGTAAGGGGCTGATTTAGCCCAGAGGCTGCTTTTTGGCAATTTTCTGCTAGGAGAGGGCGCCATTGCATACCGGGCACTGGGGATGACAACATGGTTCTTTTGGTAGGAGCTCACAGGGTTTTCGGGGGAGGGTTGCCAGATGTAATACAGGATGCCCAGTTGGATTTGGGTTTCAGATAAACAACGAATATACATATATAAAATATGGGATATTATAAACACTATATATGTAATGCTTTTAGTATAAGTCCCATGCATTATTGCAATGTCTGAAGTGTCATGAGGGACACCTCCCCCCAGTACGTAGGGTTAGGGCCCTGGGGCCATGCGGGAGGCTGAGCAGCCGGGCAGTGTGGCTGCAGAGGAGCCTGAGAGGCAACAGGGACAAGATGGAGTGTGGCCTTGAAGTGCCGGGAGTGAGCGGGGCCAGGCGGGGTTGTGAATGGGACGCGCACCGTGGCAGGCTCCCTCTGGCGGCCGTGTGGAGAACAGGCTGCAGGGCGCCGCGGAAGAGGCCACCCCGTGAGGAGCCCAGAGCGCTGGGCCCCGGGCAGGGAGCGTGGAGCTGGAGAGAAACGGCTGACTCTAGACATCTAAACTTTTTATGATGGAGAACGGTAAACGTATACAAATGTAGTGAGACGAGGCACGCCCATGTCCTCATGACCCGCGTCAACCATCATCAGCTCATGGCCAATTATGTTTCATATAAACCTCTCACCCCTCCCAGCAACGGGATTATTTTGAAGCAAATCCCAGACTTCATATTATTTCATCCATAAAAATGTCAGTATATATCACTAAAAGATAAGGCCTGGATGTATTTTGAAGCTGGAGCCACCAGGAATTTGCCCGGAGCCTTCAAGCAGCTATTAAGAGGGAGGGGCCCCCACCCCAGGAAGCTCCACACTGTGCAGTTAGTTCCCTGCTCTTCTGACCACCTCTCCTAAAGCTTTCTAGTTTTTTTCTCCCTGGGACAAGTCTTCCTAGGCCTGAGCCTCTTCTCTCCCTGCTCCTGACTGTGCACCCTCCTTAAGGATGCCCCTTGGGCTGTGGTCTTGGACTCTCCAGAGCCTCCTTCCCCGAGTTCAGAGCGCCCACAGCCCTTTCCACTTCGTAGTCCCTTGAAAACAGGATTGCCTCATGTCTAGGCCTTCAAAGATGACCCGTCCTGGGAACTCAGGACAGGCAGGCACCCTGGTGAATGAGAGGAGAGCTCACAGGAAGTCACAGAACGAGGGACAGGGACACAGATTCAAACGTGAAGATACTACTAAGTGCAGAGGAGGCTCTTTGCTCTCCAGAAGGCCACCTCCTCCAGGAAGCCGTCTGGCTCTGCCTCCCTGGGAGATTTTGAGTAGGTCACTTGCCCTCTCCCGGCCTGAGACAGGAACCGGTTCCTCACACAGAGCTTCTCCCTTCTCTCCCTCCTCTCAGATTCTGCACCTGTAAAGTCCCTGGGACGGGAGGAGCTGAGGGGCAAACTGGACTCGGAGAGAAACTGCCAGGCCTCTAACTTCCGACAGGCATAGTAACCCCACTTTACAGGAGAGGAAGGTGAGGTGGGAGAGGTAAAGTGACTTGAAGGGTCCGCCAGTGTGCAGGGCGCACAACCAGGATTTGAGGGCAAAGCCAAACCCTCAGCCCTGGGCCCCAGGTGCCAGCCAGCTTTCAAGGGCCCACATCTCTGGGCAGAATCCGGCTCCGCGGTCCAAATCCCGCAACCCCGCTACCTCCCAGCCTCCCCCAGCAGCTCTGGGAGGCCAGCGCCTCCCTCCTCATTTCATTTTACTCTGGCCCCCTTCTGTGGGCTGGGCACAGTGGGCACCAGACACACCACGCTTTTCTCTCATTCAATCCTCGCGGCAGCTCAGTGAGGGACCGTCCCCATTTCACAGAAGGGGAAACGGACACTCCGACAGGCTCCAGGAGCTGCCCAGGGCCACACAGCTCTGCAGTATAGGAGTCAGGATGGAGACCGGGTCCTTTGACGGCAGGTGCTCCTTCCACTGTGTCGCAAGAACCTGCTTAGAACAGTCACCCAGTCTGAGGACCCGAGACTGCGTGCTCGTCCTGGCTTCAGCCAGCATTTCTTGTTTTTTCTTTTCTTTTCTTTTCTTTTCCTTTTTTTTTTTTTTTTTTTTTTTAGATTGAGTCTCTCTCTGTTGACCAGGCTGGAGTGTAGTGGCGCGATCTCGGCTCACCGCAACCTCCCCCTCCCGGGTTCAAGCGATTCTCCTGCCTCAGCCTCTCGAGTAGCTCCGGGACTACAGGCACCCGCCACTACGCCCAGCTAATTTTTGTATTTTTAGTAGAGACGGGTTTCACCGCGTTAGCCAGGATGGTCTCGATCTCCTGACCTCTTGATCCGCCCGCCTTGGCCTCCCAAAGTGCTGGGATTACAGGCGTGAGCCACCGCGCCTGGCCTTCTTGTTTTTTCTTACAAATAACTCCTTTATCGTGTTTCACCCACGTGCTCACACTTGATCTTCCTAAAACCCACGCGAGGCAGGTCTGATGATAGTTCGACTTTTATGGGCGAAGTGCCACAAGAGACCAGCCAGGGTCGGGGACCTTGTTCTTAAACTTTCCAGATTGTCCCCAGGCTCGCGTCGCTCCCGGGAACGGCCAATGGACGCTTGTGTTCTTCCAGCGCCCCCTACAGCCTTGCAATGGCATTAAATCACCCTGCCGGACCAGTTACTTTTGCTTGAAAAGTTTTCTTTCTTCTCAATACTTCGCTGCTGACTCTGGGCTTTTCCCTTACAAGTTTGGTTTATTTATTTATTTATTTATTTTTGAGACGGAGTCTCGCTCTGTCGCCAGTCTGGAGTGCAGTGGCGCCATCTCATCTCACTGCAACCTCCGCCTCTCGGGTTCAAGCGATTCTTCCGCCTCAGCCTACAGAGTAGCTGGGACTACAGGCGCGCGCCACCACGCCCAGCTAATTTTTGTATTTTTAGCAGAGACGGGGTTCCACCATGTTGGCCAGGGTGGTCTCTATATCTTGACCTCGTGATCCGCCCACCTTGGCCTCCGAAAGTGCTGGGATTACAGGCGTGAGTCACCGCGCCCAGTCTTTTTTTTTTTTTTTTTTTAGAGACAGGGTCTTGCTCTGTCTCCAGGCTGGAGTGCAGTGGCACGATCATAGCTCGCTGCAGCTCAACCTCCCGGGCTCAGGCGATCCTCTTGTCCCAGCCTCCCAAGTAGCTGGGACTGCAGCCCCGTGCCACCATGCCCGGCTTCCCCTCACAAGTTTGGACCCACCTCGTCCCTCCTTGCTCAACATATTTAGCAATAGTTAAAGCATGTTTATTTTCTGTAACTTCGTCTTCAGGAAAGTAAGATATAATAAAGGCTTAACCAACTGGGGAGGTCGTCAGGCTTGAGAATCACAAGGCGTGTGGATCGCCACCAGCCTGGGAACTTTAAGGGGTGAGGTCTGTGTTCCCCCATCGTCCTAGACCAAGGCTGTCCCAGGAAAGGGACTGTGTCTCCCTCAGGCTCCCCTGCCCCCCACATCTCGATGAGGCTCTTCAGAGCAATGACAGGGGCAGTGAGTGGGGAAGAGGTGTCTTCTGGCCTCTGCTTACACCTTGCGGTGGGTGACACCCTGTGCCTGCAACAGAGGAGGGGAGTCCTGTGTTCCCTGAGGCTCGGGCGGAGATTAGAAAGAGCCAGAAAGACCTGGCAGGTGCAGCCTGGGGCTCTCTCTGCACATACAGGCCTTTCTCAGAGCCCAGAGGAACTTGAACCTGGGCAGCCGTGTGAGTGAATCTTTCTGAGGGGGGCATATTTGAGTGGAAGACTGCCGTTCCAGGAGGCAGGAGCCTGGGACGGCATTCACTGGGGAAGGGGGAGGGGCCAGGAGAGGAGAGCGGGAAAGGCCAGCCCATGTCAAAGGTCCCATGGTACCCAGGTCTCCACTCTGAATGTCCTGCCGCCCACTGGTCACCCCAACCCTGAGGTCCTGCAGGTTCCTCAACCCCCATCTCCAACATTCCCGCCCACACCTCCCCCTCCTTCTGGGTTACTCCTCTTGGTTCATTCATTCATCAGGCATTCGACTAACACCTAGCTGATCATTTATCAAGTGCCAGGTGTATTTTGTTTGTTTGTTTGGTGGGAGTTTATTGAAGTATAATTTACATATTGTAAAATTAACCCTTTTTTAACGTACAGTTATATGGGATCTGACAAATTTTTAACAGATGTGTAAACACTGCCACAATCAAGATATAGAATATTTCCATCAACCCAGAAAATTCTTTCCTGCTCCTTGTAGTCAACCCCTCCTCCCACCTCCAGCCTCAGACAACCTCTGATCTGTTTTCTGTCTCTATAGTTTTGCCTTTTCCAGAATGCCATGTACATGAAATCATACAGCACATAATCTTTTTAATCTGACTTCTTTTGCTGGGCATCAATGCTTTTGAGAGTCATCTATGTGGTTGCATGTATTCATAGTTGTTCCTTTTCATTGGTGAGATGGACTGCAGTGTATAGGTATATACTACAATATATTTTTCTATTCACCAGATGATGAGCATTGAGTTGTTTCTAGTTTTTGGCAATTAATAATGCTACAGTAAACATTCATGTGTAGGTTTTTGTGCAAACATAAATGTTCATTTTTCTGGGATAGACGCCTAGAAGTGGAATTGTGGGGTCTTATGTAAATGTATGTTTCACTTGATAGAAATCTGCCAAATTCTGGCCGGGCGCGGTGGCTCACGCATGTAATCCTAGCACTTTGGGAGGCTGAGGCAGGCAGATCACTTGAGGTCAGGAGTTCGAGACCAGCATTGCCAACATGGTGAAACCCTGTGTCTACCAAAAATAAAAAAATTAGCTGGGTGGTAGTGGCGCGCACCTGTAATCCCAGCTACTTGGGAGGCTGAGGCAGGAGAGTCTCTTGAACACAGTGGGGTTGGAGGTGGAGGTTGCAGTGAGCCGAGACTGCGCCACTGCACTCCAGCCTGGGTGACAGAGTAAGACTCTGCCAAAGGAAAAAAAAAAAAAAAGAAAGAAAGAAAGAAAAAAAGAAAAAGAAATATGCCAAATTCTTATTCAGAATGGCTGTACCATCTCCAAAGCCATAATAACCTCTGAAGTTTAAATTTTAATTTGAGTGTCTTGAAAAATACCAGGAAGAATCTTATTCCTAACTGGAAGCATCACTGTTTTGGGCAAATGAAAGTTTTCCCTTCACTAGGGTAGCTGCTGGGTGTGGAAGTGATGGCTTGTACATTAAGCATATTCTATAAAAACTGCCAAACCATTTTCCAAAGTGAAAGGAGGATTGCTTGAATTTAGGATTTCAAGTCCAGCCTAGGCAACATAGTGAGAGCCTCATCTCAAACAAAAAAAAAATGCAAAAGTAGGAATGCAAAAGTACTAGAGCTTTTGCATTCCTCTAGTAATGTTTGCATTTTGATTTTTCCACATCTTTATCAGGTGCTAGTCTTTAAAAATGTTTTATTATGAAAATTGGTAATATCTGCAAAAGTAGAAAGAATAGTATTAATATAATGGGTCTCCGTGTGCTCATCACCAGTTTCGTCAATTACCCTTTCATGGCTTATCTTTTTTTTTTTTTTTTTTTTTTTTTGAGGTGGAGTTTCACTCTTGTTGCCCTGGCTGGAGTGCAATGGTGCAATCCCGGCTCACAGCAACCTCCACCTCCCGGATTCAAGCGATTCTTCTGCCTCAGCCTCCTGAGTAGCTGGGATTACAGGCATGCGCCACCATGCCTGGCTAATTTTATATTTTTAGTAGAGACAGGGTTTTTCCATGTTGGTCAGGCTGGTGTCTAACTCTGGACCTCAGGTAATCTGCCCACCTCAGCCTCCCAAAGTGCTGAGTGCTGAGATTACAAGAGATTACAAGCATGAGCCACCGCACCCAGACTTTTTTTTTTTTTTTTTTTGACAGGGCCTCACTCTGTCACCCAGGCTGGAGTGCAGTGGCATGATATCAGCTCACTGCGGCCTCAACCTCCCAGGCTGAAAGGATCCTTCTGCCTCAGCCTCCGGAGTAGCTGGGACTACAGGTGCCACCACACCTGGCTTTTCATGGCTTATCTTGTTTCATCCCCTGCTCTCCCACAATGACCAAGTTACTTCTGAAGCGAATCCTAGATGTCGTATCATTTCATTCCTATTCAATATTATGTCTAAAAGACATGGATTCCTTTTCTTTGTTTGTTTTGCTTTTGAGATGGAGTTTCACTCTTGTTGCCCAGGCTGGAGTGCAATGGTGCGATCTTGATTCACCGCAAGCTCCACCTCCCGGGTTCAAGCCATTCTCCTGCCTCAGTCTCCCGAGTAGCTGGGATTACAGGCATGTGACACCACACCTGGGTAATTTTGTATTTTTAGTAGAGACAGGGTTTCTCCATGTTGGTCAGGCTGGTCTCGAACTCCCGACCTCAGGTGATCCACCTGCCTCGGCCTCCCAAAGTGCTGGGATTACAGGCGTGATCCACCATGCCCGGCCATGGATTCCTTTTTTAAAAAGCCACAATACCCTTATCACATATAAAATGTGTGCCATTATCACTCTTCCTATCATGAACTCTCCAGTCAGTGCTCACATTTCCCAGTGTCTCATGAATGTCATCATTTCTCTTTTTTCAACTTGTTTGTTTGAATCAGGATACAAATAAGGTCACTGTGTTCCAATTGGTTTATGTGTCTTTAAGTTACTTTGTTTGAAAGTCATTTGGAATAGTTTTTCTCTTTGTGGTATTAAAGTAAATTAAAATGAAGACCAGGCCTAAAGAATCCCTGAGCAAACAAAACCAGTTAGGCTCAGAAGTAGCCAACAAACTTATAATTATATAATGAGGGACTTTCCTATGGGATAGATTAAATAAGGCAACTGTATAACTGTAACCAATCAAATATTTTCTTTGCTTTACTTCTGTGTTCCTTGTATAAAAACCCATCCCTTGTGTTCCCTCACTTCTGGTTTGGAACTGCCCAATTCATGAATTGTTGTTTGCTCCTATAAATTCTTTAAAATTTTATTGTGCCTCAGTTTACTTTTTTCTTATTTTTAGAGACAGGGTCCAGATCTGTTACCCAGGCTGAAGTGCAGTAGCATGATCTTAGCTCACTGCAGCCTCAAATTCCTCAATCCTCCTGCATCAGCCTCCTGAGAAGCCAGGACTACAGGTGCACAGCAGCACACCTGGCTAATATATATATTAGAAACAGGGTCTTGCTATGTTCCCCAGGCTGGGCTAGAGCTCCCAGCCTCAAGTGATCCTCCTGCCTCAGCCTCCTAAAGTGCTGGCAGAGGTGAGCCACTGGGCCTGGCCTCAGTTTAATTTGAATGGTGGTTAAATAATTAATTCAATGTGTAGATTTATTTGCTTTATTTTACTTTAGGTTTTTAGAATTTTTAAAGCTTTTTATTTAGAAATTTATTTAAAGATTTTAAATTTTATTTCTGGTTCCAAAATCTATCATACAAATATATCCAGAAAGGTCTAGCTTTTATGCCCCTTTCAATCCTTTCCCTTCCCCATAACTATTAATTTTTAAACATTATTCTTTATTATTACATTAATTTAATATGTATCACATACATAATGCATATGTATTCGTATCCCTCCCTCCTTTTTTTTTTTTTTTGTTTGAGATGAGGATCTCACTATGTTGCCCAGGCTGGACTTGAAATCCTAAATTCAAGCAATCCTCCTGCCTCAACCTCGAGTAGCTGGGACTACAGGTATACGCCTCCACGTTTGGCTCTTCCTTCCTTTTAGGTAAGGATTAGCATGCAATGACACTTCTCTGCCTCTTGCTGTATTCACTGTCCATCCCACTCCAGCTGTCTCTCCCTAGTAGTTGGTCAAGATTGTCCTCAGTCCCCTTTACAGCCACAGAGTCCTCCATTGTGCTGATAACCACAGGCCTCTGCTGATGGACATTTTCCTTGCTCCCATTCTTTAGCGATTACAAATTGAATTGCAATAAAAAGCCTGTGCTTACACCTTTTGGTATTTTTGCTAGTGTCTCTCTACGGTAGATTCCCAGCAATGGGATTCTTGAGTCAAAGGTTGAACATACATGCAATTTTGCTATAGCTATTGCCAAATTCCCCTGCAGAAGGCCTGCATCATTTTGCATTCCCGTCAGCTCTGGCTAGGAGTGCCAGCAGAATGCATTGCCAAACTTTTGGATTTTTGACAATCTGATAGGTAGGAAATGGTATCTCTGAGTAGTTTTAATTTGCATTTCTTTTGTTTGAGCAATGTTGATCATATTTTCACAGGGTTATGAGCCATTTGCATTTCTTTGTCTGTGAATTGTGTGTTAATATTTTTGTTTTGTTTTTGAGACTGAGTCTTGCTCTGTCACCCAGGCTGGAGTGCAGTGGTGCGATCTCGACTCACTGCAAGCTCTGCCTCCCAGGTTCATGCTGTTCTGCTGCCTCAGCCTCCCCAGCAGCTGGGACTAGAGGTGCAGGCCACCACGCCCAGCTAATTTTTTTTTTTTTTTTTGTATTTTTAGTAGAGACGGGGTTTCACCGTGTTAGCCAGGATGGTCTCAATCTCCTGACCTCGTGATCTACCCGCCTCAGCCTCCCAAAGTGCTGGGATTACAGGCGTGAGCCACTGCGCCCGGCCATTGTCTGTTAATATTTTTAGCCCATTTGTCTAGGAAGTTGTTCGTTTTTCCCTTCTCTACTTTTAGAAGCCATTCACTAGAGACATTCATGCTTTGCCTGTGATACAGGTTGCAAGTGTTTTCTGCCGTTTGTCATTTGTCTTCTTTCTTTCTCTGTTTGTTTGTTCGCTTATTTATTCATTTATTCTGGGGATGTAGCCATGAACAGGGTGACCCTGAGGGGCTCCACTGACATGCACAGCCCAAGTCAGAACCTTGGATGGTCCTGTATGCGCCTCGTCCCAACCCTTCCCTGTGCTGTCCTTTCTGCCTCTGACCCCTCTCCTGCTGCCCAGTGACCACCCTGCCCCTGTCCTTCCCTGCCTGGGCCCTCAGCATCACCCAGTCTGAGCTCACAGAGGACTGGAAACAAGCCTGTTTGTCTCTGTATCCCCCCCACGACGTGCAGGGCAACTGATCAGTGAATGAGTGAATGAATGAATGAATGAATGAATGAATCCTGTGTGGCTAAAACAGCCTCTCCGCCCAGGAAGCCAAGTCAGAGAGGAGCTTGGAAGAGCACTTTCGAGATCAAGGTTTCTTCACCCCTTGCATTCTCTTCAGACCTAACTCAGGTCTGAGTTTCTACTCCCAAATGCCTCACAGGCAATATATGATGCCTGCTTCTTTTCATGATTTAAAAGAACACTCGCTTATTGTAGAAAATGTGGAAAATACAGCAGTACAAAAAAAGAATTAGAAATTCTCCATTAACTCATTGCCCAGAGGAAACGGCCGTGGGCATTTTGGTGTATTTTTATTCAACTTTGAAAGACATATTTTATTTTTACACATTTTATTTTATACAGTATAGACATACATATGCATACACGCCTCCTCTCATGACATTAAACTTTTGCACAACTTCACAATTGTAAATGATCACAGAAAAATGCCTCAAAATGAATGTATCATATCCTAGCCCCACCACTTAACCTCTCTGTGCCTCAGTTTTCTCCTCTGTAAAACGGGGATAATAATAGTATCTACTTTATAAGTTGCTTGTAAGGGTTCAATGTGATTATGGTGTGAATGTGGGAAGCGCTCAGAAAGTATCATTTTCATTATTATTAGAACTATTATTCCTTAATTGCAAACATTTAAATTCTAATTTTATTCTATTGCAAATGACACTGTAATGAATCTCTCTGCTCGGGAGGGTTGTGTGGGAACCTCAGGGAGCTTGCTTCACCCACCCCCGCCCCCCAAATTAAGCACAACAGGGACAGAGAGAGCGAGGTGTGCTGGGAGGCCCCGTGGCTAAAAGTTAGGAGACCAGATCTTGGCACTGGCAGCCTGGGGAAGGAGGGCAAAGGGGTGGGGGTGCAGGGAATGGCATCTGTGAAAGCTCAGAAGCTTCTAGAAGAGCATGGGAAGTTCTGATGTGGTTGCTGGGATGGCAGTTCTTGTCCCTATTTGACCTATGGGTAATTGAGGGCCAGGAAAGGGGTGACTTGTCTGATGACGTGGATGGGCACCAAGTCTGAGCTTCCTGGCTCTCCACATGCCTGAAAAACATCTGTGTTTGTTGGGAGAAGGAGATGAAGAAGAGGAGGAGGAGGAAGAATTTGGGGCTTTCGAAGCATGCATGCCTGTGTGCCCCTGCCCAATCAAGGTTCAGCTGTCCTGCAAAGCAACCCAGCGGGTCCTGTGAGCTGGAGGCCAGTTTGCCCTGTTTGTCTCCATGGGTCTTTTCCCTGATGTCTCCCAAACAGAGACCGTTGGGCTGGCAGCTGGCAGGTCTCCTGAGCTCCACCCTCACCTCCCATCCCTTCAACCCAGTAGCCTTGCAGACAAAGGCTGGAAAGCCAGGTCCCATTTCCAGTCATCATCCACAGTGCATAATTAGGCAGTGCTTGCCTTGTGTTTATTTAAAGAAGGAGTGTGAACTTGGCATCAGTGCTTCTGCCAAGAGGGAAGAGCCCCGGAAGGCCCAGAGAAAGCTGGGGGCTTGGGCAGCAGGGGTTTGAGGCCTGAGAGGCCAGGCCGGCCTGTGGTATAGACATCGACAAGCAAAGTTTGAGGACTCCTGAAAGTTCTCCAAAATCTTACCTGCTACCTGTCACCATTCTCAGTCCGTTATTAGAACTGTAGCTTCTCAACAGCTTTCTAAGTTCCAAAGAAAATGCAAATTAATACTTCTTGGGGCGCCTCTATCCTTTATGGTCTGAATTTGAGAACATTGCAATAGCAGCCTCATTGCTGCACTAGTCCAAACACTTCTGTGTAACCCTCTTCCACATGCAGTACTGAGGAGTTCTTGCTGCCTACTGTTTACAGAGGGTAGTCCAAGAAATAAGAAATGTCAGTCCCACATGGTGAAAACTCTGCACTCTAGGGCTTGGGAATTATCTGCTAATAAGACCTGACATTTCTGAAGGCCATTATGAGTTAAACCTCAGGCTCAGAATGTATAATGGGGAGAGATTCTAGATACTTCTAGACCACTCTTCTCATGGAGTAGAAAAAAATGTAGAGAAACCTCAGAGAGGGGAAGGGACTTACCTACACCAGTTAACGGTAGAGCTAGGACTAGAACACAGGTCTCCTGATTTCAGTCTCAACTCTCAGGCACCATGTTGCTTCCCTCCATTCAAAGATCAGTGAGGGGGCAGTCAGCACCAGCTGGAGTGTGGCAGTGAAGAGCTCACAGTCCCTGCCCAAGAGGAGCTCCCAGAGGCTGACAAGGGTATGGGAACAGGGACTCATCTGAATCAGAGTGGGTGGAGTTTAGACAGGGGTGGGTCTGAAGAACTGTGGGGAACAGGGTGGTGAGACAGACATCAGCAAATTTCCCAAGGGGGTTAGCACAGGAGGTTGAAGGATGAATGGGGCTTCTTTACCAGGAGACATAGGGAAAGGTGTTCCGGGAAAAGGGAAGGGCAAACTCATGGGAAAAGGAGGCTGATTTCTCCTGTTCCCAGGTTACAGTGGATTCCCTGCGGGCTTAACCAGGATCCCTAGCGCTCAGTGCAGACCCTCCCACGGCAGGGCCCGAGGCTGTAATCTGTAACCTTATTGTGACATATATAGTTACAAAGAGATTGGTTGGACAGGATGGATTTTAATCGAAAAGAGTTAGCCTCTACTGGTGGAAATGCGGACATTGTGGCAGGTGATGAGAAGAATCCTTTTTGGGGTAGCAGTGGTGAAAACGCTTGCATGGGTGCGCTGGCATGCGTGCAGGGACACCTCTTCCTTGTTCTCAATTCTGTTGACTTTCAAATTGCAGTTTAAGAGCCATCTTCCCATGTCCAACTGTTAAGGTGGCCACTACCCCCTCCCTCTTCTGGACCATGCCATCCCCTGCTCTGAGTCTCAGTTTCTCCACATGTAAAATGAGGCAGGTGGACTTGCTTGTCTTAAAGGCCCCTTCTGCCTGGGGCTGGTTCTTTAGCCCAGTCTCTGCTTCTCCCTCTGCGGGGATGTCAGAGGCGCCCTCTCGTGGTCAATATTGGCCATGCATCCTTGGACTTGGCGCAGGTTTTTGCTTGGCCTCTGAGGGTGTGTGCTTGTGTGTGCATGTGCGTGTGAGCGTGCCTGTGTACTGGGAGTGGTTACACAGCGGGTGCGTGACAGGCTCATGACACATAGAATGCAGAGCTTCGCTAACTCTCAGACCCTGATGAAAACACAGATAAGGAGGTGGGGGTCATTTAAAATAAGGGCAAAACCTGCTAAAAGCTTCCTGGGGCCCTTGCCTGGGACACCTAGAGTTCCAAAATGCCCTAGGCCACCCATCTTGCTAATATACTTTGAGAGCATCACTCCTCTGCTCAGAATCTCATCCTGCCACCCCTCTGCTGAACAGAGTAAACATCAAACTCCTGGCCCTCCAGAATACCTGTGGCCTCACTTCTCACTCTTCTTTCCTATACCACTCCAGGTGAACCACTCCATCCTTCCCATCCCCTATCCTCAGCTTATGCTGGGATTTTTTTTCCCAGAGTGTCCTACCCTCTCCTTTAGTCCCCCATAGCACCTTTCAAGATGTGGCTAAAATGCCACCTCCTCCAGGAAGACTCCCTGAATTTTCCCACTTGGATCTGTGCTCTCTTTCCTCTGAACCTCCTGGCAACTTTGTCTATAACTGTCTCCTGGGATGTAGACAGTTTTAGAGTTTACCCAGGTAATTTAGGTCGAAGATGTCCTGTTTTGTTCCCCCTACTCAAAAACTGGCTCCATGACTGCTTTATATCTGGGTCCTTCTAAATACTGAGCCTTCCCCATGGCATCCAGGCATCCCTCTGCAAGGCCCTGATTCCCACTCCTTCCCTCTGCCTCCTCCTTCAGTAGGGGCTGCTGTCATGCAAGGAGGTCTGGCAGTGGAGGAAGAAGACATGAGCCTTGGGCCAGACTCTTACTGGATTCCCACCCCACCTGCCCCGTCTTCAGCAGACAAGCTGGTACCCAGCACAAAGGCTCCAGCTGCTGAGCTGTGTGTGGGAGCCTGGTCTCTGGGTGCCCAGAATGAAGGGTCAGACCCAGGTCACTGCCTGACTCTTTCTTTCAAGGACCGAAGTAAGAACTACAGGCCTAACAGTAACATCCCTGGCTATTTGTAGAAGTCCGCTTGGTCGGTCCATGCTCTATAACATGAATTTCTCATACAACCCATTTTTAGATGGGGAAACAAGAGCTCAGAGAGGCTAGGTAACTTGTTCAAGATCACACAGCTCTGAGTGCAAGTGTTCAAACATAGTCCCCACTTTCCATCCGTCTCCAAATCCTGTGCAGTTTCTGGAATATTCTGCTGTCACTGTGCCTTGCACAAATCCAGGTTTTGATAAATTCCTGGATAATAAAAGGCAGACATGAGTCAACATATAACCAGCTCTTTCTCTTTGACTTCCATATTGCCCCAGGCCCACACGCGGACCTCTGCATGAGGGAAGAGTGACAGAACTGGGTTTGTCTGAGAGGGTGATGGCTCGGGGGGCCAAAGGGAGAGGTGAACCCTGCATCCCAGGAGGGGTGAATTCTCTGATGTGAATCATCTGGGTGGTAGGGAGTAATGGGTCCTGGGCATGGTGGGGACTGTCACACCCTGATGCGCTGTCCCAGTTAGGTTGGAGGAGGCTGGGAGGGCCATCTGACCACAATGCAGGTCTGTTGCGGACCTCAAGGAGCCTGCAGGGAGTGCAGCCACCTCAGGCACACACCTTGGTGATAGATTTTACTGCTCAGCTGCTGAAGCCATTGGTCAATGATGCTCCTCACAGTCAGAGATCTGAGAGGGGCATTTTCACAGCCACCACAGACCTTCTGCCTCCCAGGGCCTCCTCACTGGCCTGGCCTGGAGGACTGCCACTGGCACCCACAGTTAGAGGGAAGGAAGTTTCAGGCCTCTGTAACCCAGGAGAGAAGTCCACTAGTCCAGTCCAGGCCAGGTGTCCAGCTCTGGTGGGTGGAACCATTTGCCCAGCTGTCCTTTGGCTGAGGGTTGGGGCCTGACCTCTGAAGTGAAGGCACCCACAGAGCTGGCCATTGAGGCAAATGTCCAGAATCCTGGGGCATGGGCACCGGCAGGGGAGATGAGGTCATGTGAGATGTAGGTGCCACTCTCTTGCAGAACCCACCCTCGCACCTTGGCACACAGTGGCTCCACGAGGCCAAGAGCTGGTCTCTTGTTTATCTGGGTGTAGGGCGTGCACACTGCCTGGAACTGACAGTGTCAGGGACTTCTGCTGGCCAGGACAGACCCCATGCCTACTCAATGGCCATCAGCCCTAGGGCAGCAACATCAGGATCTGTCTTCCCCATTGGTCAGGGGGCTTGTGGTAGGTTCAAACCACTGATGGCAAGCAGTCCAGGCTCTAGTGTTGGTTTGGGGTCTGGCTCTCTCACTAACCTGAGCAAGTCCCTTACATCCCCAGGGCTCAGTTTCCTTATCTGTTGAGTAGAGATCATCACACTGATGGCGAAGAGGCCTTGTGGTATGGAGGGTTTGGGTTCAACTTTTTTTTTTTTGAGCTGATTTGAATCCCATTTCCCTGGTTATTTGCTATATGGCCTTAGGCAAGTTACTCAATCTCTTGAAGACTCAATTTCCCATCTACAAAATGGGAGTGAAGAAGAATCTCTTCTTCTTTCCAAGAAATGTACATGTGAGGATTCAATAAGGGAACGCTCAGGCAGCTCTGAGCACAGCATCTGGAGCGTCACTGCGATGTGGCAGCACGCTCTGCAGCATGCAGGACAGACACACTCCTTCCTCTCTCCTCCTTCACCTCTTCCCCAGCCCCACCCCTCACATCTCCTTGGCTAATGGGTCAAGCAGTGGTCAGTGTCTGGCCAACAGTGGAGACTCAACCATGCACAGAGAGTGAAAATGCAGTGCGCACCTCCTGTCCAGGTAGCCCCAACCTCATTCATTCACTTCCAGAATGGCAGGTGCTGTGCTGAATGCCTGGGAAGATGGCCCCAATGTTCCTCCCCAAGGGATTGCCAGTCACATCAGCACAGCACGGGATGGATCCTGCTGTGCCAACACTCTCTGCAGGCTTGTGGGGACCCTGGCTGAGATGTCTGGACACCTGGATTTCAATCCGGTCTTTGCCATCCACTCCCTGTGTGGCCCTCCCCCGCAAACTAAATAAAAATTTCATGAGTTGGGGAAGGAGACTCAAGGGGAAGTGAGACGAGAGGACGGAAGTGAGTTGAAGAGCAGGGAGGAGCCTGGAGCCTGGAGCCTGGGCCTCCCTGTGCTGTGATGTGTGCCAGAGTGGAAGCGGAAGTGGAAGCAGAAGCAGAAGTGGTCCTGCCGGTAGGTGTGACTGGCCTCACAGAGCTGCCAGGATGCACCTGAGTGCTCAAGAGGGTTTCCCACAGCCCCAGGTGGATTGGACTCAGAAGCATGTTTCTGATGTGCTCAAGAGTGTGGCCCAGACAAGGCACAGAGGACAGGAGTGTCAGAGGCATTCAAACAAGAGCGACTCCATCCTGAACGGGGGCTGGGTAAAATGACGCTGAGGCCTGCCAGGTTGCATTCCCAGGAGGTTAGGCATTCTTAAGTCACTGGATGAGATAGGAGAGGGGCACAAGATACTGGTTACAAAGACCCTGCTGATAAAACAGGTTGCAGTAAAGAAGCTCGCCCAAACCAAAATGGCAATGAAAGTAACCTCTGGTCATCCTCACTGCTCATTACACGCTAATTATAATGCATTAGGATGCTGAAAGACACTCCCACCAGCCCCATGACAGTTTACAAACGCCATAGCAACATCTGGAAGTTACTCTATATGACTTAAAAGGAAAAGGAACTCTCAGTTCTGGGAAATTCCCACCCCTTTCCTGGAAAATTCATGAATAAACCACTCCTTGTTTAGCATATGATCAAGAAATAACCATAAAAGTAGCCAACCAGCAGCCCTTCGTGCTGCTCTGCCTGTAGAGTAGCCGTTGTTTTATTCCTTTACTTTCTTCATAAACTTGCTTCTGCTTTACTCTGTTGACTCGCTGATTTTTCTTTCTTGAGACAGAGTCTGGCTCTATCGCCCGGGCTGGAGTGCAGTGGCGCAATCTCTGCTTATTGCAACCTTCACCTCCCAGGTTCAAGCGATTCTCCTGCCTCAGCCTCCCAAGTAGCTGGGATTACAGGCATGCACCACCACACCCGGCTAATTTTTGTATTTTTAGTAGAGACGGGGCTCTGCCATGTTGGCCAGGCTGGTCTCGAACTCCCCACCTCAGGTGATCTGCCCGCCTCAGCCTCCCAAAGTGCTGGGATTACAGGCGTGAGCCACCACGCCCGCCTGGAAGATACTCATTTTATGGGAAATAATTCCTGGGTCCAAGCAAAGTGGGAGGTAGGTTAGAAGACCCCTGCATAAAGCTGGGATCCCAAAGGGCTGCATCCTCAATAAAGTAGGGAAAAAATGTCCACAGAGACTTGTCTGCTTCTGTCTCAACTGCAGTTGGAGCACAGGAAAGATGGGTTTTCCCTGGAATCTCTGGGACAAGCCCAGTTTCGTTTCTTTTCTTTTTCTTTTCTTTCTTTCTTTCTTTCTTTCTTTCTTTCTTTCTTTCTTTCTTTCTTTTTCTTTCTTTTCTTTCTCTCTCTCTCTCTCTCTTTCTTTCTTTCTTTCTTTCCTTTCTTCCTTTCTTTTCTTTTCTTTCTTTTTTTTTTTTTTTGATGGAGTCTCACACTGTCGCCTAGGCTGGAGTGCAATGGCGTGATCTTGGCTCACTGCAACCTCTGCCTCCCAGGTTCAAGCGATTCTCCTGTGTCAGCCTCCCGAGTAGCTGGGATTACAGGCGACTGCCACCACACCCGGCTAATTTTTTTGTATTTTTAGTAGAGATGGGGTTTCACTATGTTGGCCAGGCTGGTCTTGAACTCCTGACCTCGTGATCCACCTGCCTTGGCCTCCCAAAGTGCTGGGATTACAGGCATGAGCCACCACGCTCGGCCTCGACAAGCTCAGTTTCAAGTGGATGTGGCATCGGAATTCACACTGCCTATATTGCTTCCCTCTCTGACGCCAGAAAAAAACTAACTGAAAATATAGTTTCAAGTGTTCCCCAGATGCCTGATGAAGCAATTGTGAAGACTCCCTAGAGGAACGCATTTTAAATCTAGGCTTCAAAGTATTCTCACAAATAAACTTCCAGGAACAGGAGGTTACACTAAAACATATATATTTTAATGCACATATATGTATATTAAACAGAAGAGAAAATAAGCTACATGACATGAGATTCAGCAGAAACAACATTGCTGAATCAGACCAACAACAACCAAAGATATCGGAATGATCTGTTGTATGTATAACATAAAATAATTATGTGTGGTTTGCATAAAGAAATTAAAGATGTGATCAAATGTATGACAAAAGAATGAGAGACTATCAAAAGTGATCAGGTGAAGTTGAAGCAGACCAAATAGAATTTCTAGAAATGACAAATAAGTTAAAATTTAAAACTTAAATTGAAATGAAAGCCCAACACATGAAGGGTCAATTCTGGAAAAGATGGAGTAAACACACTCTACATTATACCTACTGACTGTGATTCTAAACTACGGACAGGATGCATGGGCCAGCTAGCTGAGAACTTGGAAACTGCATAGTAGCCAATATATTGGAGAAGGAAACAAGAATTTGAAGTATGATTGAACTGGGGTTGAGTTTCCCATTTATTTTCCCCCCAGTTTTGCCTGACCTTGACTCACATGTAGCCCAAAACCTGGAAGAGTGCACCAGGTAGGGGCAGATAGAGCTCCAAGAGAATAGAAAGAACTCCTTTTCTGGTTTGAGGAGCAGGAAGGTGGCTCCTAAAGATCAGATGTGGGAAGTTTTCCTGTTTATGTGTTTTTTTCTCCATCGTCTCCCACTCAAGCTGCCAGGTAGTATTGCAATGGAGGCAGTGGCAATGGTGATAGCAGCATTAGCCAAGTAGATGCCTAAAATTCTTAGACAGAAAAAACTTCTCCTACCAGAAAAGCCGTGAGCCCAAGAGCATGGGGAAATTCCTGTTACTTCTGTCTCCACCCTCACACCCCAATCCCTCTGCCTTCTGTTCTCCTGCTGCTTGGCCCCAGACACAGATGCAGTTATAAGTACATAGCAGAGCTGGGAAATTAAAGTCCTAGATTTCTGGCTGAGGGACTGGAAAAGGAGGCCCCAAAGAGCCAAAAACTGATGAGGGAGATTGTAGAGAGGAGAGAGCATAAAAGAGTGATCCCATACTTTTGTGTATAAACTCCCAGAATCACCTCCAAACTGTGCAGCATGGATCTGATCCCAAACAAAACATCAAAGACCTTGAGAACTAGTCTACATATGAAACCCATCTGAAGAGTACTGCAAATGGCTTTGAAAACTGAATTGATATTGGTACCAGAACCCAGAGAAGGTAGGTGGAACTGGCAGCCTGGACCTAGCCTGGTCACTTGTCTGCTAAAATTAAAAAAAAAAAAAAATCAGCATTCTCTTTAGGATTTAAACAAGACCACTCACTGGTTCTGTGAGTTAAAAAAATAAAAATCGAGATCCAGAGTCTCATAACATACTATTCAAAATGTCCAGGATACAATCTAAAATTACTTTGGATATGAAAAACTAGAAAAAACTCAACTCACAATAAAAAGACAATCAAATAGATGCCAACCCTGAGACAACACAGATGTTGAAATTATCAAAGACTTTAAAGCAGCTATTATTACCTTACTCCAAGAAGTAAGGGTGAATACTCTGGAATGAATGAAAAATAGCAAGTCCCAACAAAGAAATAGAAGATATAAAAAATAACCAAACTGAAATTACAAAACTGAAAAATGCAATTTTAAAATAAAAAAACAATAACTGGAAAAACTAGCAGAATGGAGATGAGAGAACAAAGAGTCAGGGAACTTGAATATAGATCAATAGAAATTATCCAATCTGAACAACAAAGAGAAAAAAGATTGAAAAAATTGAACAGGGTCTCAGGGACGAGAGGGACAATACCAAAATGTCAACTGGTCATGTAATCAGAGTCCTGGAAGGAATGGAGCAACAGTGCAGTTCAGGAAATAATAATTGAAAAAAAATAACAGCTGGAAACTTCCCAGAATTACAGCTTCAAGAAATTCAGCAAACTTCAAACAGGGTAAACTCAAAGAAATGCACTCTCAGGGATATGGTGGTTGAACTTCTTTAAACTAAGGAGAAAGAAATCTTGAAAGTAATTAGAGAAAAATATAGCATTACTATCAGTATCTCATGAGCAACCATGGAGGCTAAAAGGAAATGAAACATTTTCAAAGTGCTAAAAGAAAAGAAACATCAACTCAGAGTTCTATATCCAGTGAAAATATCCTTTAGGAATGATGGTGAAATAAAGATATCCTCAGATAAAGGAAAACTAAGAGACTTTGTTGCTAACATACCTGTTCTAAAGTAAATGCTAAAGGAAGTTTTTCAGATGGAAGGGAGATAATACCATAGTGAAACTTGGAAACACAGGAATGAATGATGAACAACAGAAATGGTAGATTTCTGGGTAAATAGTCTATTCCCCTTCTCTTGAGTTATCTAAAATATGATTAATAGTTGAAAGCAAAAATTATAACATTGTTTGATGAGGTTTTCAAGGTAGACCTAATATATAATATATAAGATAGCCATAATGGAAAGGAAGGAGAGTAAAGGAACCTATTTGATGGGAAGGTTTCTATATTCCATTTAAAGTAGTAAAGTATTTCTTCTAAGTAGACATTTCTATTTAATCTGAAAAGTTAAATATGCATATAGTAATACCTAGAAAATCCACCAAATTTTTTTTACAAAAAATATAGTAAAAAATGCAATTTATAAAGTAGAATAGAATACTAAAAAATGTTTAAATAACCCAAATAAAAACAGGAAAGGGGAAACAGAGGAACAAAAACCAGAAGGAGCAAACAGAAATAATAAAATGACAGACCTAAATACAAACATAGCAATAATTACATTAAATATAAATGGTCTAAACACACCAATTAAAAGACAAAAATTGTCAGAATGGATTTAAAAAACAAGATATAACTATATGCTGCCTATAATTATATTGATATAAAGATATAGATACATTAAAAGACTAAGATACATACACAAAAAACCACTGAACAGCACTCTTCAAATAGGCAAATTTATGCTATGTGAATTATATCTCAATAAAATCATTTAAAAAAAGACTAAGATAAACCATTCAAACACCAATCAAAAGAAAGCTGGAGTGGCTATGTTAATATAAGATAAAGTAAAATTTAAACCAAAGAAAATTACTAGGGATAAAAGGAGACATTACATAATGATAACAGGACCAGTTCACCAAGACAACATAAAAATCCTAACTGTGTATACATTTAATAACAGGACTTCAAAATGCATGAAGCAAAAACTGAACTGAAAGGAGAAATGGAAAAATTCAATTACAGTTGTAAACTTTAATATTCTTCTTTCAATAATTAATAGAACAAGTAGATAGAAAACAGCGATGATACGGAAGATATGAACCATCACTGACCTGGATGTAATTGACATTTTATAGAACACTCCATCCAACAACAGCAGAAAATAAATTCTGCACAGTGTAAAAGAACCTTTGGCTAGGCACAGTGGCTCATGCCTGTAATCCCAGACTTTGGGAGGCCGAAGCAAGTGGATCACCTGAGGTCAGGAGTTCGAGGCCAGCCTGACCAACGTGGTGAAACCCCATGTCTACTAAAAATGCAAAAATTAGCCAGGGATGGTGGCCACATGCTTGTAGTCCTAGCTACTCCAGAGGCTGAGGCAGGAGAATTGCTAGAACCCGGGAGGCAGAGGTTGCAGTGAGCCGAGCTTACGCCTTTGCACTCCAGCCTGGGCAACAAGAGTGAAACTCCATCTCAAAAAAAAAAAAAAAGAATCTTCACCAAGAAAGACCCTATCTTGGGTTATAAAAGTAGTCTTCCAAATTTAAAATAACTGAAATCACACAAAGTATGTTATCTGATCACAATGAAATCAAACTAGAAACTGAAAACAGAGCAATAACTGGAAAGTCTCTAAACACTTTTAACACAATTTAAAATAATGGGTCAAAAAGAAAGTTCGTGGGAAATTAGAAAATATTTTGAACTGAATGAAAATGAAAAAACTTCGAAATTTGTGGGATGCAGCTCAAGCAATGCTTACAGGAAACCGACAGCATTAAATGCTTATATTAGAAAAGAAGAAAGACTTGAAATCAACAATCTAAGCTCTCATTTTTAGAAACTAAAAAAAAAAAAAAAGAGAGAGAGAGAGAGAGAAATATAAACCCAAAGCAAGCAGAAATAACAAAGTCAAGAGCAAAAATCAATGAAATTGAAAACAGAAAACAATAAAGAAAAATCAATGAAACAAAAGCTGGTTCTTTGAAAAGATAAATTAAAGTGATAAACCTCTAAAAAGACTAAGGAAAGAGCAAAGACACAAATTACCAAAATCAGGAATGAGAGATGACTTACTACATCAGACCTCACACACATTAAAAGGCTAATAAGGAACTACTATAAACAACTCCACAAAATGTGTTGACAACTTAGATAAATGGACCAATTCCTTTAAAGCCACAAACCACTAAAAACTCACCCAAGATAGATAACCTTAACAGTTCTGTATTTGTTAAAGAAATTAAATTTATGGTTAAATACCTTCTGAAAAAGACACTTCTAGGCTAGATAATTTCACTGGCAATTTCTACCAAATGTTTAAATAATAGATTAGACCAATTTTTTTCATGCATAATTTCTTCCAGAAAATATAAGAGAAGGAAACACTTTCCCATTTATTTTATGAAGTCAATTTTATCCTGATACCAAAACCAGGCAAGACAGTACAAGGAAAAAAACCCCTGCAAATCAACATTTTTCATGAATATAGATACAAAAATATTCAACAAAATAGTAACAAATTAAATCCAGTAATATATATTAAAAATAATAAGTGAAGCTTATCTCAGGAATTCAAGGCATTGAAAAACCAATCAGTGTAGTTCATTCTGTTAACAGACTAAAGAATAACAACCACAAAATCATACCATTTCATGCAGAAAAAGTATTTGACTAAATTCAATATGCAATAATGAATATCAATAAAACACTCCCAGAGCATCTATGAAAACTCTTCTAAACCAAGAGTAGGAGACTTCCCCTTAATCTGATAAAGGGACATAAAAAACATCTACATCGTACCTAACTGTAAAGACTGAACGCTTTCTCCCTAAGATTAGGAACAAGATAAATATGTTCATTCCCACCACTCCCATTGGACCTTATGCTGAAAGTTCTAGTCAGTGCGTTAAGACAATAAAAGGCATAGACATTGGAAAGGAAGAACTACAACTATCACTATTTGCAGATGACTTGATTCTATATAGGAAATCTGCCATGGTTTGAATGTTTGTTCCCTCCAAAACTTATGTTGAAACTTAATCCCCAATGTGACAGTATTGGGAGATGGCATCTTTAAGAGGAGACTGGGTCAGCTGGGCACGGCGGTGACTAATGCCTGTAATTCCAGCACTTTGGGAGGCCAAAGCAGGCAGATCACCTGAGGTCAGGAGCTCAAGACCAGCCTGACCAACATGGTGAAACCCTGTCTCTACTAAAAATACAAAAATGAGCCAGATGTGGTGGTGGGTGCCTGTAGTCCCAGCTACTTGGCAGGCTGAGGCAGGAGAATCGCTTGAACCCAGGAGGCGGAGGTTGCAGGGAGGCGGAGTTTGCAATGAGCCGGGATCGCGCCACTGCACTCCAGTCTGGATGACACAGCAAGACTCTGTCTCTAAAAACAAAACAAAACAAAACAAAACAAAACAAAACAAAACAACAACAAACTTATACTGAACCTGAAAGATGCACAGCCGCAAACCTAGGCCACTTTTCTCTCTGCTTTCCTCCTTTCCCAGGGCAAGGAGAGCTTTAGAGGCAAACTCCCCATGAGCACAGGCCTAAGCAAAGGAACGGATCTCTGGTCATGGTCACCCAGGCATTCTCTTCCCAGGCATGTACCCGGGAAGCAGTATGGGTTACCTGTAGGAGGCTTCTGGAGCCACACAGGCCTGCACTCAAATGCTGGCTTCCTATCCACTTGCTACAGGACGGTGGGCAAGTCACTTCACCTCTCTCTGAGCTTCAGACTCCTCATTCTAAAATTCAGATCCAATAATACCCCCGTTGGGGGCCAGCGTGAGGATTGAAGGATATACTGTGTGTAGGTATATCCTACAATATAGGATCATTTGAGGTCAGGAGTTCAAGACCAGCCTGGCCAACATGGTGAAATCCCATCTCTACTAAAAACACAAAAACTAGCCAGGTGGTAGTGACACACGCCTATAATCCCAGCTACTCAGAAGGCTAAGGCAGGAGAATCGCTTGAGCCTGGGAGGCAGAGGTTGCGGTGAGCCAAGATCATGCCACTGTACTCCAGGCTGGGTGACAGAGCGAGACCCTGTCTCAAAAAAAAAAAAAAAAATACTACAATGAAAACTAAACTGTTACTAGGTCCCAGCTAGACACACCAACCTGCTGGAGGCTCTGAGTCTGGGGGCTGAGCTTTCTTTACTAAAAGTGGAATTAGCAGGGGGAGTTTGAGAGGCATTAAAGACCTATGGGCACCAAGCCCAGGGTTTCACTTGCATTCTCTCACCAGGATTGAAAGACAGATGAAAAAGAAAGAACTTCAGATAATGCTATTCAATGCCAAGTCTGTGTACCTCGTCCCCTACACTTGTGTCCCAGGCCACCAGCATTTATCTCATTTCTCATGAAGGTGTGTGTCTGTGTGTGTGTTGAGGGGGTTGATTCCTTTCCTAAGAGAACCTGCAACTCACTAGCTGTGCAAGCCCAGGTGGGTGACTTAACCCCTCTGTGCCATAGTTTCTTCAGTGGCAAAGGAGGAAAATCGATTCTCTCTCTCTCTCTCTCTCTTTTTTTTTTTTTTCTGAGACGGAGTCTCGCTCTGTTGCTCAGGCTGGAGTGCAGTGGCGCGATCTCGGCTCACTGCAACCTCTGCCTCCTGGGTTCAAGCGATTCTCCTGCCTCAGCCTCCTGAGTAGCTGGGATTGCAGGCGCGTGCCACCATGCGTGGCTAATTTTTGTATTTTTAGTAGAGACGGGGTTTCACCATGTTGGTCAGTATGGTCTACAATTGATTCTTATTTGCAGTAAGTATGTTCTATAAAGTCACCAAGAACGCTGAATTAGCAATACTGAACCTTTGCTCCTAGAGGAAAAATACAGAGTTAGATTTCTGTGAACCCCTGGTCACATTTTCATCAACTGATCAGTACATCACCTTGTTTCATGTGTGTTTCTGTTTAAAGACACCTTATTTAATACTGTTGATTCATTAACGCTGAACCTGCAGCCACAGCGCTGTAACTCATGGCTGAATGAAGCTGACATAACACACCATTTTCTCTGTAAGGCATATTACAGCCTTCTTGTATTTAAGAATGCCAGACAGCACCTTGCACTCCGCATGGGGGCAGTTTGAAATAGTGAAATCACCAACAAAGTGCGCAAATATGTGAAGAGCGGGACACTAAATAGACCACACAAAGGACACCTGTTTGCCAAATGAGAGCTGGGACAAGAAGGCAGAGTGTCATCTTGTTCTCCTTCAGCTGGTATCAGGTTATATCAGGTGACTCAAAATTTTTGCCACTTTGTATATGTCCACGAGTCACCCTGAAAGCAGTGTGAGTACTGATTGGAGGATGAAAGTGAATTTTTGTGAGTAGGCGAACTCACAAATAGGGAGTCCATGAATCATGAGGGTCTAATGTAGGCTCATCCCTCGGGTTGTCACACAGGTGACGGTGACAGCCAGAGCCCTTTAGCACAGTGGGTCGTAGCAGATCCTCACTCCATGTGGGTCATTACTGTGGTCGTTTCCCTCCTTGCAGGTTCTCTGACTTCAGGCGATTAGACTTGGGGCGTTGAGGCACCTGCTTTCAAAACCACTCTGTGAGGCCAAGCGGCAGGTTGTGCGAAGAATGGCCCAGCATCAAGCTGGCACTCAGAGCCTTTGTTGATTCTGAGTTAAACTTCCTGCAGCACCTTCAAGTTCAATTCTCAGGACGATATGCCCACTCCTCTGCCAGTGGAGGCGGGGATGCCGAGGTGGGGAGACCGAGGCTGGACCCTGAGAGTGAGGGCCTTCAGAAGCTTTGCAGTCTAGGCTTCTCTCCCCACAACCTGGTCTCTGCCCTGGCACCTACCTTGAAGGGTGTCTGGGCGGCAGATTGGGGCCAGGTGGTGGAGGATAGCTGGGCACAGAAGTTGGGTTGTGTGTTTAGGGTAGAAGGGAACCATGGAAGTTTGTGGGGCAGGACTGTGATCAGGATGGCGTGGGCTTTCAGAAGGCAACTTGGGCGGGAGCAAGGAGGGGTGGGGCTAGAAATAGGGTTGGGAGGAGCCTATGGCCCTGCCCCTGGGATGGGGAAGGCTGAGAGAAGCCAGCCAAGGAGGCCTCCCGAGGTCTCCTGGGTCTTGAGAAGCCTCATATTTCCCCCTGTGTGGTGGCTGCGGTTCACCCCGAGAGAGTGCTGGGGGGCTGCTCCTCTTCCTGGGGCTTCATCTGCCTAAGCTACTCAATGTAAAGGACTCCCCAGTGCTCAGCCACCATTCCTCTTCTCGTTAAATTTTTCATTAAGAAAAATGGTCACCAAAGAGTGGCGAGGTAGTTTCACCAGCGCTTTTGTGGGAGATGAACGAGCCAGAAGCAAGTGTGCCAGCACCTCCCTCAGTCTTCCACAGCAAGCAGTGTGCTACCCTGCCTACACGCATGCGCGCATAACACCCCTGGGGACACACGTGTGTCCACAGACATGCATGCATGTGCACACCTACATCAACACCATCAGGTGGACACAGTGCGTAACACACACAGTACACTGTGCACCACACTCACAGGCACACACATGACACGGCACAACCCGGGGCTAGGAGCAGGGGCGTGGGAGTCAGGCGACCTGGGTTTGTATCCCAGCTCTGCAACTTGCTAGGTAAATTACTTAACCTTCCCAGCCCTGATTTCTCATCTGCAAAATGAGGGTTGATAAGAGATCCTCCTCCGGATGGTATTGGGGGGTTGAGGGAGTTCACAATGCATAATGCCTGGCACGAGGGCTGGCACACATAGCCTCCTTCAGTGTTGGGTATCACCGTTTCTCATCATTCATAGAAAGGACATACATCACACAGCACAGCTCCAGAGGCTCCTCCTCCACCAATTCTTCCATCTCTAACTCCCAACACCTTCGTAACCGCCTGAGGGGTAGGGGCCTTAAGGCTATCCGAGCGATGCTGACCGCTTGCTTATATGTTGTACACTGTGGGCTGTTCACTTGTCACTTTGCTAATGGCCTATCTATCATTTTAGGGGCTCAGCAAAAACTTCCACTTTAAAATCCTGCAGAGACAGGAGAAAGAAGCAGGGATGAGAGATGAAGGGGAAGTGTGGAGTGCGTCCCCTTTCTGGCTCCAGCCCTTCCTGAGGCCAGCTGCATCTTCTTGGCTCCTCTTAAACCACATTCATGGCCTTCCAGCAAACTCCTCTTTTTGATTAAGGAGTATTAGTTGGTTTGTGTTCCTTGCAGCCAAAACCAATCCAGAGCCAGGTGAATGAGGCACAGCTCCTCCCTTCCTGGAGCCCAGTCCAGCACAGGACAGGCAGGTGGGCAGCCCATGGCAGTCCCCTGCGAGCTGTGCTGGGACAGGGAGGGTGGGCAGCATGGAGCACAGAGCAGGGGCTGACCCAAGCCCAGGTGGAAGGAAAGGGGCTTTTTCCAAGGTCAAACGGGATGGGAAGGAAGATGGCAGCCAGGGCAGGGAAGCAGCCTGCCAGACCCCACCAAGCCAAGAGCCTGGCATATTTACACATCAGCACTGATTATGTTACACCCATCACAAGCGTTAACGATCCCTGCTGCTGGACGAGCTCACAGCCCCCATGCCTTTCCCCTCACATGGTCTTGGTGCACACAGTATTATTCCTCCATTCCCAGGGGAGGAAGCTGAGGCTCAGACAGCCCTACCTTTTCCTTCCAGCAGATTCCAGGAAGTAACCCCAGGCTGAGGTCGCGCTGGAACATCCATCTGAGGCCACAGAGAGAAGAGGAGAAGGAGGGGCCTGAGGCCTCCACAGAGCCAATGAGGGCCAAAGGGACCCCCCGTTCTGGAAGCAGCAAATGCTTCCCAGGGGAGGGTGCTGAGGGGAGGACTGGGGGCTGACAGGGGGGAGCAGGCCGTGGGCACCCAAGCAGAGGACAGCAGGGACTGCCCACAGGCCAGGCAAAGTCTAGGGGGTCTGGGTGGAGCCCTTCTGGGCACTCTGGGTCTCAGAGAGGATATATTAAACTGGGGATGCAAGGAAGGCACTGGGAGCTAGGGGAACTTTGATGGCTGACTGCATTTATCCCACATCTGTGCACCTTACCCTAATTTAAAAATATTTATATTTAGATCTATTTATATATAGAGAGAGGCAGAGACAAAGCAGAAGGCGGGTGATTACTTTTTGCAAGGCAGGTGTGTAGCACCATCTAATTTCATTGTTTCAGCCATCCTGTGAGATAAGCATCCTTATTCTCCTTTTTCAGATGAGGAGATCAAAGCCAGGCAAGGTGGCTCAAGCCTGTAATTCCAGCACTTTGGAAGGCCGAGGCAGGTGGATTGCTTGAGCCCAGGAGTTCGAGACTAGTCTGGGCGACAGAGTGAGACCCTGTCTCACACAAACACAACAAGAATAAGAGATCAAGGCTCTGAGAATAGTGCTGCTGCCCAAGGTCACACAGCTAGTAAGTGACTACAGAGCTGCCAGGCTACAGTAAACCACTCTAGGCCAGTGCAGGTCTTGCCAGCTGACCCACTGCCTGCAGCTGCACCTGTGAGCAGCCAGGAGAGGCGTCATGGGGCCCACTCAGCACAGCTCAAGGGCTTCACTCATGTGCGTGCCATCCTTGCAACAACTCTGTATGTCATGAACCTCACTCTTCCCCACCTCCCTTCTGAGTCCTGCTTTTCTCTCTCTCAGAACTTATTCACTCTTGGTTTACACACACTTCTAACAAGTGATAGGGAGTAAAGAGCACTGATCCGTTAGAGTCCCAGGGCAAGTGTGTTAGTATTTGTTTCTCTTCCCCTATCTGGAAAATTGAGATAAAAATAAGTGCTTAGGGCTGAGGGTCTCTCCCAGGGTAGAGAATCTCAAAGTCACAGTATCCTTCATAGAACGCTATGACATTTTACAAAATTAATACCATAGTTTAAAAAAGAACAAATTTGTGGAAGAAAATATGACTACATATCATATCTGTGGGGTATCTTATTTAAAAATTACACACAGAAATCAAGAAAATGCTTCCCTTTCACTTTAATTTTTTCTCTATAAACTGGGTGAAATCTCACCAAATGATGCTCCAGGCAGGACACCCAGGGGCAATGTGTTCCACGGGTGCCCAGTTTGAGAACTCCTGGGCCGGAGATAGGAAACTAGGGTTCCAGCCCCTGCTTGGCCATTACCCTGCTGTGTGACTTTGGACAAGTCACTCACCTGCTCTGGGCTTCTGTTTCTCCCTAGACACAGTGAGGGGTGGGAGTGGCTAGAGATCATCTGAGGTCCTTTTCAGTTCCAGCCTTCAAGGATGGACTTGACGCCTGCACCTCCGTGTCACATCCAGGATCCCCATGGGCTAGGGTCAGGTTGGAACTCATCCTTCCCTCAGGTTGCCACTGTGCCTCCACCCCCACCCATGGGGAACCATAAAAGGGATCTCTTGGGCCAAGGAAATGCTGCGCCCCTCCCTCAGCGGAGACCCCCATCTCCCTCTGGCTCCCCAGTCTCAGGCCTCAAGCCCCTAAACAATTGTCTGAGGGGGATCCAGGCTATTAAAATAATTTACATAGTAATTAACAAGGTTCCATTAGCTGATTCCTGGAGCCAGAATACTCTGCCTCCATTTCCCTTTAGGGGTCCACCGTCCCAGGATGGGACTGGGGTTTGGCTGGGGTTTGACTGCAAAGCAGGGAAAGAAGGAATTTTCCATGCTGGCATGTGGCAGCTCCACACCCAGGGAAGAGGAACAATGACTGTATGAGGGCCCAGCTGGCTGGGTAATGAGGTCTGGGGCAAGGAGGTGCCTCATGAGCACTCAGGGCCTGAAACCCTGAGAAGAAAGACAGTCAAGAGGCAGCAGCATGTGTTCCGCAGCCCCGAGCCTGGTGCCTCCAAGAAGTCCTGGTTCAAGAGGACATAAAATGTCTCATGTCCTTCTGGGCCTCCTGATGATAAAATCTATGTTTGACCATAAAAAGGTACAACCTTGGTCATCACCTTTGAGCCTGGGAGGGAGAGCCTGTCTTCTCCACTGTGAGGATGAGGAAACTGAGGCCCAGACAAGTGAGGTTTCCAAGGTTACACAGCCTGGAAGTAGCAGAGGGAAACTAGAACCTGGATCCCCAGACAGAATCCAGCTTCTCCCCACTTGGCCAGGGGTTTCTAAACAGCTCCGTGGAACCCCAGGGGACTCCCAGTGTGGTTTGAATAAGGGGTTGTTGAGAAAGCCTGAAAGCTTTCCCCCATAGTTCCTCACATCAACTACGACAATATTTCCATATCGAACTTTTAAGAAGGATTTCATTTGCATCCCATTGGCTAGAAAAGCTTTTAAAAGGACTGTACTCCTACAAAGCTGTCCCAAGAAGGTCTCTGTCACGGGGCCACTTCATCGCATGCCTCTACTCATGAATGGAGGCCCCTGAGACTACACAACCCAGCAGAATAGAGACCCCATCCGCACTGGGGTCCCATATTTCTGGCCTTGGTCTCCCTGCAGACTCCCTGCCGGTTAAGTCTGTGCTCTCCTGTCCGCTGGGCACCTGCCCTGGTGGTGGGACCGCTGCTTCTCCCACTGGGCCTGGCTGGGTGGGCCCTTCTCTTGTTCACTGTATTGTCTCTGTGGAGACTGGCGAAGGAAAAGGAGACAACAAGGGTGGGGAATGACAGTGATGCTGGGGTCTCAATAAGAGTTGAGTCATTTTCCTGCACGTCTTCATTGAACAAACATTTCCAGGGCTATATAAGCTAGGATCTGAGGATAAAAAGATAAATGAGGCTGAGTACTGCCCTCGGAGAGCTTTGGGTCACCTGTGGGAGACAGACTCCTCGACAATGGTCCCCCATAGACTATGTCCTGGGGGCAGTGCTGGGGGTCTTCTGGAGCTCAGGAAGGGACAGGAGGAGGTGAGTTGGTCCTGATGGGGACGGCAGGGGAGATGTCGGGGTAGGCCATGCAGAACGGAAGAAGCCAGAGCTCCTTTTTGAAGGAGTTTGTGAGGGGAGGGGCGGGAGCACACCCCAGCTAGAGGGAATGGCATGAGCAGGAGAGCAGAAGGCAGTTGATGGCTTAGCCCTAGTATGTGATGCGCATGGCAGGAGTGGGGCAGGGGAAGGCGGGTGGCAGCCAGGCCAAGTGAAGGCTCTTTGGCCCTCAGGCCCCACTGGCTTCCTGCTCTCCTCTGCGGTTCCCCTCCAAAGCCCCTCACCTTGGGGCATCTGAGAGGCCAGTTAAGCTTTGGGTAGGGGTCAACAGGGCATTCAGAGCCCAGAGCACCCCATGTTGGTGCTCCACAATCTATGCTTTCCTGTCCCCTGGGCACCTGCCCTGAGCCTTGCCCCTGGCTGGAGGTGGGGGCAGTGGGGCTCTGCGCTGCTCTCCTGGAGGCCTGGGGACAGGGTGGAGAGAGTCACAATAAGGGAGTCAGCAGTTTCTCCTTTCTGGGCCTCCGTCGTGCTTTCTAGACAATAATGGGGTGGTAGCTGGAGATGGCTGAAGCCCCTTCCAGACTGGACTCCCCATTACAGACAAATAAATAACTTGGCTCCCCAAATGAGTGTGGCTCCCCAAGAAGCAGAGCCTGAAACAAGGATCTGAGTGCAAGGAGTTCATTTGGGAGGGGTCCCAGGAAGCCCCAGTAGGGATGTGAGCGAGGGATGGCAAGGAGAGAATGCAGGGTGCCCCAGGAGCAGGTGCCACCATGAGCAGCTGGGGCTCGTGCCTCCAGGGAGCCCCGGGACGCGTGGAACACATGTCTTCAGAGTCATCCTGTCCCAGGGAGAGGAGGCCGGGGTCTTCAGCCCCCAATTCTTATCTGTCTTTTGTTGAGGGTTGCTCTGGGGAGCTTGAACTTTCCAGCATTTCTGGCCAGCCCCACCTTGGGGGCAGCCTCCTCCTGCAGCCAGGAAAGGTGCTCAGGCAGAGTGGCAGGGGCTTGCCATTGGCATGAGGGCAGCTGTGCATAGGAAACAGCGCTTCCAAAGGGAGGCCGGCCTGGCATGGAGAGTGTATTCCCCACACACTAAGACCCGAAGGGGCACCAGTGGCATTTCCTGGGTTGCACTACCAGTTAGCAACAGGCCACACTGAGAAGCCAGGTCCCCTGACTCATCAGCCAGGGCTCCTCCTGCCACCATGTTTCTCTTCTTGTCTCCTTTCCCCTGGGAGAGTCCAGGCTCTGCATCCTCCTTGCCTGTCCTCCCTCACATGGCTTAGTAATAGCACTTTGGCAGCAGATACGAATGTCTTGAGAATAAAAAAAAAACACCAAATGGTTCAAATCTGTGAAACTTTCAGCTCTTCACAGAAAAAGGCCTTGTCATCTCCATGTTTCCACCCCAGTCCTTGACCCAGTGCCCAGCACAAGGTAGGCCCTCAACACGCAGATGAACTGACATCTTGGCCAGTTGCTGTGTGGCATGGGGCAATTCCTACACCTTCTTAACCGTTCCCTCATTTGAAAAATGGGTGCAGGGTCAGCCTCGGTGGCTCACACCTGTAATTCCAGCAGTTTGAGAGGCCGAGGCAGGCAGATCACTTGAAGTCAGGAGTTCGAGATCAGCCTGGCCAACATGGCGAAACCCCGTCTCTACCAAAAATACAAAAATTAGCCGGGCGTGGTGACATGTGCCTGTAATCCCAGCAACTGGGGAGGCTGAGGCAGGAGAATCGCTTGAACCCAGGAGGCGGAGGTTGCAGTGAGCTGAGATTGCACCACTGCACTCCAGCCTGGGCGACTGAGCCAGACTCTGTCTCAAAAAAAAAGAAAAAAGAAAAGAAAAGAAAAAGAAAAATGGGTACAAATGTCCACTCTGCCAAGTTCTTTGGGTTGTTGTCTCAGATATTCAGCAGGACGCATGGAAGGCACTTAGTAGGTGCTCAGCAAGTGTTTGCACCTATGAAGAACATTTGGGAAACTGCACAGGGCTTTCACTCCAGAGGGAGTGGGGGCAGTCGCTGAGATTAGCAGCAAGAATGCATTCTGAGTCAAAAGATCCACCTCTTTCCTGGCTGGTCGCCTCTCGCCCTCCTCCCATCTCCCCCACAACCCACATTCCCAAGTCCCCAAAGATCATGAGTCAGGTTTTCCACCTCCTGCAATTTCAAAGCTCCCTGCCAGCCAAGCTGTTTTGCAGACTCAAGTCGATAATGACAAATTCTTCCCTCCTCGCCCGCCACTGGCAAAACCACGGAAAGTATTTGAAACACGCAGCCTGGGAATGTGCAAACTTCCATTCGCCCGGCTTGGCAGGGGCCAGCAATTTCTCAGCCAGCATTTTTGACTAAGACTTCTGCAGCTCAGGTTTCCAATGAGCTCATCAGCCCAGTCCTCCAACAGTGTTTATACCTTTTTTTTTCCTTCAGAAAATTAACCCTACAACAGATTCTGAATCATACACTCCTTAGGAGCACAGCTCCCTTGTTGAGATGGAGGCAGGGTTTCAGACCCACCTCAGGAGGGCTGGCCTTGGCTTGCCCAACAGAGCTCCTCTGAGCACCCATCAGGGGCCTATGTGGCCTGAATCAGAGGATTCTCTGCTGAAAAAGACATCCAGAGGTCTTCCCATCCATCTTTTGCCTCCATAAAGATCTAGTTAACCCATTTCAGGTCTCTGCAACTCTGTTTTAAAAATATCCTCCCAGGGGATGAAGGAAGGGAGAAAGGATGAAAAGACTGGAGACTCTGAACCTAGGTACACCTGGATGTCAATTGCACTTCTGTCTCCACTCAGTTTCTTCATCTGCAAATGGCAATAGTAATCCCCACCTCCAGGTTATTTGGCGGTTTAAGTGGCCCCCTATGAACGCATCTAATATGATTTCTGCCTACAGTAGATGCACGCTAGTTTTCTCTCTTCCTTATTTCTTGGTCACAAATTCTACTCTCTCATCACAACGTTATTTGGTGAATGAATGAAGGAAGGTCTTTACATACCCAAATCCTCCCTGCTCTTGATGATCCCCTACTTCTCTCAAGTCGACAGTTCAAGTGCCTGCATCGAATAGCCACTGAGCATCACTCTGGGCAGAGAGCAGAGCTAGGCCTCACAGACTCCCTGATGACCACAGTCCCTGTTGCAAAGGATTTTCTGGTCTAATGAGGGAACAGGCACCGTGAGAGAAACAAGAGGATGGATAAAATGTTGTCAGCTGGAGAGATGTTCAGAATTATTTTGCTCACCCACTTACACATTTTCCTTCATTTCCGAAGTAAGCATTTACTGCAGGAAGAGGACATGGCCACCCCTCACCCCTGGTGATGGGTCTGGGGACTTCTAAAGGAAGCCCTTTTTGTTTGACATCCTTGTTTCTATTTGCTGTGAAGTGATCTATAAAAGCGCTTTGGAAATTAAAAGACATGATTTTCCCTCTTCCTCGAACACTCTTCCCACCTCATCCACCTTGAGCACGCAGGGCCCAGCAGAGAGAAGATGGGCTATGGGGGATTCCAAAGAAGGTGGTTTACTGAGGATGGCTTCTCGGGGTAACGGAGTGAGGGGAGCTAGATGGGGAGTGAGGATGTGCTCTCAGCTGGAGTCCAGCTCAGCCTGACCCCACGGGATGCTGGGACAGGAACTACCCCTCCGAGCTTGAACCCCAGGTCCCTTCAGTCAAGGGGGCTGGCCTCTGTACCCCTGTGTCACTGAGTCAGAGAGGGCAGGGAGGGGTACCTTTCCAGGTGAGGTGGCTTCTCTTTGGCCAAAGGCAGTTTTCTGCAGAAAAGCATGGCTGTGAACTTTAGCAACCAACACTCGCAGCAGTGGAGAGATGGGTGTCCTGGCCATGTCATGTATAGGGGGCCTGGGTGGGGCACTCACAGCATCCACTACGGGAAGGGGGCAAGGAAAGATTAGGAAGGAGCATCAAGAACTCCACCAATTTTTTCCCAAGCTGTATACAAGGTTCTGTGAATTTGTCCCCATCTTTCTGTCTTTTGCTGAGCATACTGAGAAGGACCAAGGAACATAGCAGAAGCCACATACCTGTGGGTGGGGCAGGGCCACTGTCCAGGGAAGATGGACTGAGTGGGCTTTAGGGAGATGGGTGCAGGTCTGAGGGGGCAGCATGGAGGGGGCCTGGCCCTTCCCCATTCAGCACCTAGAGTGTCTTGCTGTCATTTACCCTCCGGGTGAAACTGACCTCCCTGCCCCTCCCAGGCCCAGCACATCTTTCCCTCTGTCTTAGTTGGTTCAGGCTGTGGTAACAAAATACCACAGGCAGTGCAGCTAATAAATGGCAGAAGTTCATTTCTCACAGTTCTGGAGGCTGGGAAGTCCAAATCTGCACTGGCAGATTTGGCGTCTGGTGAGGACCCGCATCCTTGTAGACAGCTGTCTTCTCACTGTAACCTCAAATGAAGGAAGGGGCAAGGGGTCTCCCTTGGGCCTGTTTTATGAGGCACTAAATCCCATTAATGAGGGCTCCATCTTCATGACCTAATCACCTCCTGATGCCTTCACCTTGAAGCTTCGGATTTCAATATATAAATTTGGGGAACACACGTGCACACCACAGCACCCTCCTCTGAGTGCCTTCTGCATTTGGAAGGCACAGACCCACCTGGCTGCAAGGATGTGCTCTGCCTCCCTGAGCTGACTGGGAACTATTAAAACAAGAACTTCATTTTTTTTTTTGGTAGAGTGGTTTCGAAGTTGTAGCTCAGTGCCTTGGCTTACAATAGATGTCCGATATATATTATTGAGGAAGTAAAATAATAGATTCCTTAGTTTTTCTATGGAATGGGGAAAGACCCTCTCTGATGTCCCCCATTCATCAAGGGCTGCACTCATATTCTTGTAGGGCCTGGGCTGTCCTTGCCCTCTGTGCCAACACCACCAGCCTCAGCCCAGCCAGGGCTGAAGCCTCCCCTGGCCCCACAGAATCCTGCATGGAAGCCTCAGGCTAGGGTGGCCAGTGGGATGTAGCAGGACAAAGGGCTCCCGCTGGTGTACTGACTCCACAGCCTTCATTTATATGAAATGTGACTACATCACTCAAAACCTAGTGCCTGGCCTTGGTTGGTGCAGGTAATGATGATATAGGCTCATTTATGCAAGATTATCCTTTTATCACATTTCCAGACTCATTTATGAGGCTCATGTTTCTCCCCGAGGGCGTCATCAAGCAAGTTAAGTTGTACTATTTCCCTCCCGCAGCGAACTGGCGGGAGCCTCCCTCATTGACGGATGAGGCCCACTGCCTTTGCCAAATAGGGTCGGCGTGATGGATCTTTTACTTGTGAATATTATAGCTGGAAATTAGCATGTTTATTGAGGTAGAATGTGTTTGTTTACATTCCACTACCCATGGCATTACCTCTTATGACCTGACTTATTTAGTTGAGGATAAGCACAAATGATCTGCATTTTGGCACCCACAAAAAATTAATGAACTTCCAGATATAGAATTCAGCCTTAAGTAAACACACTAGCGAGGTGAGTGGGGGCAGAAGGGCTGGGAAGGGGGCTGGGGAGCTGAGTGCTAAGCAGGTTAGCCCTCCTGGTGCTCTGCTCTGACTTGGAAGGGGCAGGAGGTTGGGGGTGGATGAAGGTGGGACTGTGTGATCTAGCATCCCCGAGCAGTGCCCAGGGCCAGCGCCCCACATGTCAGTTGAGTTGAGGTGGCTTCTGGGTGATGGAGGAGGGAGGTGAGAGAGGACCCGGGTTGTGAACTCCTTTCCTGGGGATTCTCCTCGGCTACCTGTGTCTTTGATCAGGAATGAGAAGCCTGGTCCAGGCTACAGACCTAGGGTGGGGAGGGAGGACGTGTGGACAAGGACGATGAAGATTCAGGTGAGGGATCACAGCACTTGAGAGTCCAAGCTGCCACCTGAGCCTGCTCCTCTCCTAAGCCTTCCATCTGCTGTGTCTGTGAAACCCAGCTTTTCTCCCCACCCCATTTGCTTATAGGCACCATGATCTGGGGTGAAAACACTCACTAACTCAACATTTTCTTGTTTAATTTATTTTTTTTATTTTATTTAAAAAAATTTTTTTTTGAGATGGAATCTCGCTGTGTTGCCCAGGCTGGGGTGCAGTGGCACAATCTCGGCTCACTGCAATCTCTGCCTCCTGGATTCCAGAGATTCTCCTGCCTCAGCCTCCTGAGTAGCTGGGACTACAGGCATGTGCCACCACGCCCAGCTAATTTTTTTGTATTTTTAGTAGAGACGGGGTTTCACCGTGTTCACAGGATGGTCTCCATCTCCTGACCTCGTGATCCACCCGCCTTGGCCTCCCAAAGTGCAGGATCACAGGTGTGAGCCACCGCGCCCAGCCAACATTTTCTTATTTTAGAAGAGGAAACTGAGGTTCAGAGAAGTAGAAGGATTTGGCCAAGGTCTTGGAGGTGGAGGCAAACCAGAAGCCTGGCTCCCGAGTCTCCTGCTGCCCACCTGATGTAACCACCCAAGGGGTTCACCTTGCCACTGCCTAGACAGAGCCGATTCATCAAGACAGGGGAATTGCAATAGAGAAAGAGTAATTCATGCAGAGCCTGCTGTGTGAGAGACTGGAGTTTTATTATTACTCAAATCAGTCTCCCTGAGCATTTGGGGAGCAGAGTTTTCAAGGATAACTTGGTGGGTGGGGTGAGCCAGTGAGCCAGGAGTGGTGACTGGTCAGGGATGAAATCATAGGGAGTTGATGCTGTCTTCTTGTGCTGACTCAGTTCCTGGGTGGAGGCCACAAGATCAGAAGAGCCAGTTTATTGATCTGGGCAGTGCCAGCTGATCCATCAAGTGCAGGGTCTGCAAAATATCTCAAGCGCTGATCTTAGGAGTAGTTTAGGGAGGGTCAGAATCTTGAGGCCTCCAGCTGCATGACTCCTAAATCATAATTTCGAATCTTGTGGCTGTTAGTCCTACAAAGGCAATCTAGTCCCCAGGCAAGAAGGAGATCTGCTTTGGGAAAGGGTTGTGACTGTTTTTGTTTAAACTATAAACTAAGTTTCTCCCAAAGTTAGTTCTGTCTATGCCCAGGAATGAACAAGGACAGCTTGGAGGTTAGAAGCAAGATGGAGTCGATTTTGCAAAGGTGGTTTCAATCCTTCCCTTTGGGGTTTATAACACCTTAATCTTAAGGTGTAGGCTATAAGGATGAGAAAAGGCCGTCGATCACTCTGGCTTCTTCCTGCTGATAGGGGACGTAGTGGGAATGGGAGTGAATGCCAAGGTGAGAAAAGTGGAACCGCTTTCTAACTGTCTGAGTGTACTCATGCAGGCCTGGCTGGGCTTCCAAGGCTTGTGTGGGAAAAACATTAGTGCTCTCATCTATAGTTTTACTACAATGTTTAAGTGAACAGCCTACTATAAGGTAATAATGAGTCCTAGGATTAGAAGTACAATTCCCAATTTTAAAAGCAAAGATTTGAAAGCATTAGTTTGGGGACTTCTAAACCACAAAGAATTTAGAATTTAGTCTATACTGCAGAAAAAACCTCAAGAACAGTTAACGACAATGCACTATAGTTTTCTTTTGAAGCATAATTTTTCTCTCTCCAGTCTCCATTTTTATTAAAGACAAATCATGATAGAACTGATTTGTTTACAAAATAATACTGTACTTGGCTTGACTATTTGCATAAAGTACAGCAAGAATAATTATTTTTCACTTAGGCTTTTTAAGTTGGCTTTGATAGAACTCTGTTCCATGAAGAATCTCAGATAAGACTTTTTAAAAGCTGAGCCTAGCCATGGGTTTGTACCCTCAAATACCTATGAGTTTGGCAAATTCCTCTCCTTTTGAGGTTCCAAGGTAACTTGGGATTTCTGGGCCTGTTAGAAAGTGACATTCTTTACTTACCACAGGTCAGAAATCTTGTACAGGTACTCTGTGTGGACAAGGTATGAGGCCAGATGCCCCAATGGGCTTTAATTGGTGCTATAAGTCAACTTTGATTCTTTAAAGGAAGCATGCCATTCCAGTCAAAGCCTTGGTAAAACAACCAATTTCTCCAATTGTGTCCTGTTACAAAAGAAAACTGATTCTTATTGCACTTATGCAATTAACTATACTGCCATAAATTGAGAATACTCACAAATAGTTTCCAAATTCTGGAGAAATCAGGTAGAGAGGAACAAATATGCTTCAAATTTTGTTCATAGGAGTGTATTTTACTCACTTGTTAAAAGTTGCAAATAGCTCTAAAGAAATAAGTTCTCTTGACTCCAAAAACAAAAGGTTTAGCAGTGTTTAACACATTAGCTCTCCATGAGAATCCTAGAAGTTTGGTTTTTTTCCTCTATTCCAACAGCACAATTTTTAAAGTTATCTGAGAGCTGCACTCAGAGTCTTATATCTGATTATAAATTGCCTTTTGAAAAGGACCAAAGCAAGGCAAAATGTCTGTGGGTGACAAAAGTCTATAGGCACTATTAAAGCTACAATTGACTAGGAAATTTGGTTACTTCTGTGGAATACAACAATTTTACATAACAATTATAATTATTGATAATGTACACTAAATTATATCAACATTATAGAAGTTTCCTATAGTTGTGGACCACATACCAATAACATATTTATACAAATACAGTCCAAGAAAACCAAACACCATTCACTCTTCTATTTGAAAGTTTTTTTTCTATCCTAATGTCACAAACTCCCAGAGTTATTTATCAGAAACCCGTATTTAAGAGCACCTGGGCCAGGTGCAGTGGCTCATGCTTGTAATCCCAGCACTTTGGGAGGCCGAGGCAGGCAGATCACCTGAGGTTAGGAGTTTGAAACCAGCCTGGCCAACATGGTGAAACCCTGTCTCTACTAAAACTACAAAATTAGCCAGATGTGGTGGTGCATGCCTGTAATCCCAGTTACTTGGGAGGCTGAGGAAGGAGAATCACTTGAACCTGAGAGGTGGAGATTGCAGTGAGCTGAGATCGTGCCATTGCACTCCAGCCTGGGCAACAAGAGAGAAACTCCATCTCAAAGAGCACCTGTTAAATTTTATAGCTGATTATAAAATGATCCTTTAAAGAGGAGCAAAGTGAGACAACAATTGTCTGTGGATGACAAAAACATTTTAGGGTAGCCACAGTTAAAGGCACAATTGACAAGGAAATTTACCTCTGTGGCACACAGTCATTTAACATAATAATTATAATTATTACAGATAACATATACTAAGTCATATTAGAATTATAGCAATTTCACATAATTTTGGAACATATACCAATAACACATTTACACAAATATAGACCAAAGAAAGCCAAACACCTTTTCATACTTGACAATGCTTCCTGCATGATTTTTGTACCAAATAAGCCAAATGTCATTTTTGGACTTTAGAGGACCTAATATTTCAAATATTAGGTTAGAAAGAGACAAAATTTATAATTTGATTTGGGAAAGTTTGTCATATATCAAAGGTTTAAAACACTGGATATCACAAAATAGAATCCCAAGTCTCCATAAGTCATTCATCTGGCCAAAATGATAACTCCAAAAAAATTAAAAAAAAAAAACCTTTACTCTGATAGAGGAGACTTAGCTTTCCAAACAAGACCCAGTAATGATAGCATGAGGCTAACTGCATTTGTCTCTTCTCTCTCCTCCCTTTTTTCCCTGCCATTTACCCAAAGGAGAAAACAAAGCCCTTTCATTATCTTTTAACATTACATAAAAATCATCTTCAAAAGATAAAACCAAATTTCATTTTTGCATTAGTACATCTTTAATGTTAAAGGTAGTTTTTTAAATAAAATTTTATATCTTTATCGAGTATTTTTTTTTTTGAGACGGAATCTCTCTCTGTTGCCCAGGCTGGAGTGCAGTTGTGCGATCTTGGCTCACTGCAACCTCCGCCTTCTGGGTTCACGCCATTCTCCTGCCTCAGCCTCCCGAGTAGCTGGGACTATGGGTGCCCACCACCACACGTGGCTAATTTTTTGTATTTTTAGTAGAGATGGGGTTTCACCTTGTTAGCCAGGTTGGTCTTGATCTCCTGACCTCATGATCTACCCGCCTTGGCCTCCCGAAGTGCTGGGATTACAGGCGTGAGCCACCACACCCCACCAAGAAGTTCATAAACTTTTTAGAACCCTTTACAATTTTCCATCAAACAGCAGATCAGTTTTCTAAGAACACCCTGTCATTAGGACAGATGGGCCCAGATTCTGGCCCCACAACAGTATCATTTTAATGTTTTAACCTACAGAAAAAAGCTAAATAATTTCTTTTAAATCTTAGCCAACTTGTGTATACTCACAGAATTTTTTAATAAGATTAACCCTTTACAAACCCTTTTCCCTTTGCTTAAACCTTCAGTTTTGTTCCATTACTCTTTTAGGTTAAGACAATCTTGAAAACCCCCTAAACTACACAAAATTACATTCCCTTTAACAAAAGCCATATTCCCATGCCTTCTTATCATCTTTTACCAAAAACACACTCCCCACAAACCTTGTATGTAAAACTGTTTCTCCAGTGGTCTCAACTACATGTTACAATGTTAAATCTTAGCAACTTTTATTTTTAGTGAAAAACCTGGTAAGTGATTTTAATTATGTACTGGGGTGGAGCCTATGACATCTGACGGAAGTGAAGATAAGGTCTGGCTGTTAGCATAGCTGGAGGGCCTGGCTCTCCATATGTCCCCAGGCCTTATCTATCACCTAATGCTCCAAAGTAGTAAATCAAACAATTTTCAAAAGTCAAAGAAACAGTTGGACCTTAAAGCATTTAGCAAATCTGATATCTGACCTTAATTTAGACCAAATGTCTACGTTTTCAAGACATTTTATTTTACTGGTAATTTTTAAAACTGTCTTTATTTCTGAAAGATTACTAAAGTCACATGAACCAAAAGGCATTAGTTTCTATTTTTCTGACAAAATATTTAAGTGCTTATTTTTCTAAGCCAATTAACCAGAGCTCTTTTATACAAACATCTCACACACACACACACACACACACACACACACACACAACACATATGAATACAAACAGACAGAAGATTCAGCACTTGTAAGATTTTTCCTCTGCCAGTTTCTTAATTGGGTGACTGGCTTTAGGGTGGAGCCCTTGGAGGAACAGGGCCGGGAAAGCATGCATTTCTAGAGCCAAATAAGCAGCAAATAAGCAGTTGAAGGCAAAGACAGATCTCCAAAATTAAGGGTGCCATTTTATACTGGATCCTGGATCCCCAGCAGGAGGGCAATACTGCGGGAGAAGACCGTGCAGTGCTTCTACCCTGCATTCCATTCAAGGCAACCCAAAGCCAATCAGCCCATTTTGTAAACGGCCCATCTCTCACAGGAGTCTCATCTCCCAGTAGGGGGTGGGGATGCCTCCTTATCTTCCAGGTGGCCGAGAGCGTGCGTCTCTGATCCAGGTGTGCAGAGTCAAGTATCCCTCCACAACTACTATTAGCCACCCCCTAAGGTATATTTCCTACCTAGTTATCATAATGTGAAATAATTTCTGATACCTCCAAAACTCAAAACCATCGGATAACACAATGCAAAACAGAACAGAGCCTTTGATTTTGAGAGGTATCTATCCACTTTTAATTCCTGGGGTTTCGTGAGGAAAACAGAGGGTGTTTTTTCCTCCAAAATGGGGTCTGTGGCACCTCCTCTGTTTTTCCCAAGGAGTCCCAGGCTACCAGAAGTTATCGTAGGGCCTCTCATGTGTGCATTAAGAGAGGCAAGACAAAAAAAAATAGAGAAAAATAATACAGTCGACTGAGAAGGAAAAATCTTGTTCCAGAAAAACAAATTCCAAGAAGAGAAATACATAAGGGCCTTTTAAAGATACCTATAGCTTGTTTATCCGCTTTAAATTCAGCTGATTTTTAACCATAGCACTCTTAAAAAATATCCTTTACAATTTTTTTATTACCAGAATTTAGCCACACTAAGCGATCAATTTTTGGCTTTTGAATTCTACCACAGGTAACTTCCCACATGAAATTAATCAGTTTTAACTAAGGTTATAAATTAACCATGGACACATAGATGTCTCAAGGAGATGGTAAGCAGTTTCTTTTTTTTACAAGATTTAGAATCTCCCCCAAGGTAGTTTAGAGAAAGGAAAATTCAAGACAGGAAATCAGAAGCTATCCATGGTGGGGCGGCGGAGGGCGGGGGAACCTCAATAAATGGCAAAGTTATATAAATAAAAAACCAGAAAGGAATTATTCCGGAAGCCAAGAATAGAACTCAGGCTGCCATTGTCAAAAAGCAAAGCCTCAGCTACTGAGTTACAGCATTGAGCAGTTTCTATTGCTCTTCTCAGAAGGAGCCTAGAGAAGCCAATTTCAAGCTTGCAAAGGCTTTTAACTGCTCAAGATAATTTTTAGGGCTAACATGAATCTCAAAATTCCTGTCCTCTGGATGGTGGAAACCAAGAGAAAGTATCCACACATGGTCATAAGGTTAAACTCTTAAGGACACAAAACAAGACAAAGAAATTTCATCCGGTATGGGTTTCAGAGACCTGCAGCAAAGTTTGTAACTGAGCAGCCTGCCAGGCTGGCTTGAAAAGTGGGCTTATAGGGGTCCTAAACCCACATTCTATCCTGTGATACCCCTCTCTCCATTACAGTACCAGAAAGACAAATTCTTAGCACAAAGTACACCAGATTTGCTACTGCCTAAGACTAGTCTCACAAATCCTTTTTCTATTAATCAAATCCTTGCAGAGAGACAAATAGTGACATTTACTGTTTACCCAGACACAGAAAGAGATAGAGAGACTAGAAACTTGGCTGGTAAGAATTTCTTACCCTTTTTGGTGGCATATTAGGTTTCCGGGTTCCCTTTCTCTGCAACTTCTAGAAGAACGGAGTGGCTTCTGATGACCCTGCTTGCTCGTGCTATAGCTGTGGGGTTCAAGCCACTTTACAAGAGAAAATCACCCTTTACCATTTTATGGAACCATAGGCAAGATTCTTAATTTGCAAGATGCTGCCCAACGGGCTGCATGGGGACCAAATTAACATTTTCCATCCCAGCAAAACACACATAACAAAACAAACATTAGTCACCTCATTCAGCACCCAATATCAGCCTGGGAAAGCTCAAATTTTTTCCCTTTGGTCCCTGTTGTCTTTGATCTACTCCAGGTGGGGGGAGGTGACTTCTGAAAAGTAATTCACAATGGGGTCTCTGGGCAAGGCGAAAAGCAGATAGTCACCCCAAGAGACAGGCCTTTAGGGCTTATCGAATGTGAGCAGACAAATAAGGAGCGTTCTCTGAGTTAGACCTGCTGGACTTCCATCAGCAACCCCTCTGAGATCCCTTCCACATACACAAACACACACAAAGATGAGACAGACAGAAGGCCTTCCAAATCAGATCCCTAACCAAGAACTCCAAGAGTATCCCTTCCAAACTATCGTCCTATTCTCCGTCTGAGAAAGCGCCTTGAAATCTTCCTGTTGAGAAGTCTCCCAAACCAAGACTCTACCAGTTAGAACCAACCAAGACACCCCCAGGAGTCAAACAAATACCCCACAATGGGGCTACAGACACAGACACCCCATGGTGGAGCTACAAACAGACAACCCTCAATGGGGCTACAGACACCACACCACAGGGCTATAGAACCAGTTGGGGAAGAAAGGAGGCATTGGCAGCACCTAGGATACTCACCAATCTAGACATCCCATAATGGGGCTACAGACAGACACCCCACCATGGGGCTACAGACAGACATCCTGTGATAGGGCTACAGTTAAGGGACATCTCCCCAGGACTATTCCTCCTCTGCAATTAAATCCATGAACATTGGGTCAGCAGTGCCCTGCCAGTAGAGCGAGTATCAGAGTCAGCCCCTAGTCCAAGAGAACTAGGTGGCCACTTGGGCTGGCTTCTGGATCCATTGCTGAAGAGGGGCCACTGAACCAGGGGCAGGTAGCCACAAGGGCAATCCTGGAAGAGCCCCAAAATTTGCAACTGCCCAAGGGGTTCACCTTGCCAGCTGCCTAGACAGAGCCAATTCATCAAGACAGGGAAATTGCAATGGAGAAAGAGTTATTCACACAGAGCTGGCTGTGCAGGAGACTGGAGTTTTATTATTACTCAAATCAGTCTTCCCAAGCATTTGGGAAGCAGAGTTTTTAAGGATAACTTGGTGGGTGGGGGGAAGCCAGCGAGCCAGGAGTGTTGATTGGTCAGGGATGAAATCATAGGGAGTTGATGCTGTCTTCTTGTGCTGAGTCAGTTCCTGGGTGGGGCCCACAAGATTAAAGGAGCCAGTTGATTGATCTGGGCGGTGCCAGCTGATCCATCAAGTGCAGGGTCTGCAAAATATTCCAAGCACTGATCTTAGAGCAGTTCGGGGAGGGGGTCAGAATCTTGTAGCCACCAGCTGCATGGCTCCTAAACCATAATTTCTAATCTTGTGGCTAATGTTAGTCCTATAAAGGCAAACTAGTCCCCAGGAAAGAAGGAGGTCTGCTTTGGGAAAGGGTTGTTACCATCTTTGTTTAAACTATAAACTAAGTTTCTCCCAAAGTTAGTTCTGTCTATGCCCAGGAATGATCAAGGACAGCTTGGAGGTTAGAAGCAAGATGGAGTCAGTTAGATCTCTTTCACTGTCTCAGCCATAATTTTGCAAAAGTGGTTTCACTGACAGCTTTAAGCCTGAGGCCTATCTTATAAGAAGGTACGGGGGTGGACCTTCTGGGATACTGCTTCAGGGACCCATAAAGGCCTTGTCGCCTGTGTCTGGCAGGCAGATGCCTTTAGAGGCAATTAACTGCAAATGTATCTCACTACAGGTGAGGAAACCAAGGCCCAGAGAGATCTGGAGATTTTCCACAATGTTCCACAGTCACACAATGAAACGAAGGGACAGATATTTCAGGAGCGCATTCTTGCGTTTCCGACACACCAGAGCTTTCATATACAAATCTCCTCCCCAGTCTGTCGGCACTGCTGTGGGCATCAGAAAATGGACTGGCTGTGCAGACACTGGAGAAGCAGGCAGATCTAGGGCCTAATATCTGTGAGAAGGGGCTAGGAACATGGGGTCTTGGATCTTAGTGAAGACCCTGAGCTGAGGGGGTAGATCGGGGCCGGAGACAGATAGGAGTGGGAGAACATTGCTGCAGGCTGAGGGATCCCTCCTGGTGCAGAAAGGAGATGAGCAGGTAGCTCTGACCAGCTCAGAGATCAAGTTTTTAATACTCTGATAGAGCAGGCAAGCCAGTACTATCAGTTATGGATAGTATTCAGCAGCAGGTAACCAAGACTCAAAAAGCTAAGACTTAACAAAAACAAAACACAAAAGATGAGGCATATCTTTCTGTCTTGCACTGTGAAATCCAGGGGTGATCAGAACTGGGGCCACAACTCCAAGGTACCGCCAAAGACTCTAGCGTCTCCTAGCTTTCTTCTCTGCCAAGTGCCTCTGCTAGTGGCTTTCACCCTCAAGGTCACCTTCTAATCACAAGGTGGCCATTGGCTCTCCAAACATCAGGGCCACATTCTAGGTAGGAGAAAGGAGGAGGGGGAAGGGTGCCTGGCAGCGGAGTCAGCTTCCTTTCGAAGGAGGCTTCTTGGAACCCCACCCAAGAAGGGAACAACTTTGGCTTTTGCCTCATTGATCAGAATTGGTCATGCGGCCAGCCATAGCTATAAGGGAGGTTGGGAAATGCAGATTTTGTAGCTAGTTCATGGCTCCCCCAATCAGGGCTGTGTGAGTAAGGAAGAAGGAAATCACAGATATGGGGTGAACAGACCACAGTCTCTGCTTCCTTCCCATAATTTGCAGGTGAATAAACAGGCTCAGGGAAGGAAGCAATTTGTCAAAGATTGCAGATAGTCAAGGGCGTACCTGAGACCAGACTCCAAAATTGCTGCCTCTGAGACTGGTGCTTCTTCCACTGTCTATACCTCTTCACTCTGTAGCCACACATCTGGCCCCAAGCAATAAAGTTATTCTTTATTAAGCATTAACTGTGCACCAGGTACTATGATAAAGGCTTTTGAAGCTTGTTTTCATTTAATCTCATCACACCATTTAAGGTGAGCATTATACAATTCCCATTTAAAGAGGAAGCAACTGAGGCTCAGCTAAATTAGGTGACTGCTGCAGGTCACAGAACTGGTAAGAGCAGAAGCAAACTTCAAACCCAGGTTCCCGACCCAGGCTGTGAGCAGTTAGTGCTTGTGATTAAAATGATCCAGGGACACCCCCAGTAAGCTGCTGAGTGGAGGTGGGTCTCTCTCAGTGACTCTGTAGTGTCAGGAGTGCCTTTAGTCGGCCCCGAATAGTTGGGCAACAAGCCTGGCATCAACTGAGGGAGCTTCCAGCCCCCGCCCACCTGACCAGCCTCCCTCTCCACAGTTCCCCATTCCAGCCAATTACTCCTAATGGAGTGATATGAAATGTAACTAACTCAGGGAAATATCTGTATACTTTAATTAAATCAGTTTGCAATTAGCCATCTGAGTAATGAGGCTAAGGTATTTTATCTCCCTGTGAGCCAGCGGGCTAGAGGAACCATAGGCAGAGGTACTTTGTGTGAATAGCGTGGTCCTGGGGGCTGAACTCCTCAGGGATATAGACGCAGGTGTTGGAAGCCCCAGGAGAGGGTTTGGCCCAAATCTACTATGATTAAATAAATATGGCACTTTAGAGAGGCGCTACTAATTTGTGGGACTAAATTTTTAATGGCTACAGCATGTTGTCTTATTAAAGAAATAGCGGGGACTTTCATCCGAACACTTCATGGCAAAGGGCTAAAAATTGCACATGTCCACTGGGTGTCCCTGATATCCCCAGACATGGCAAATGCCTGGCTGGGCAGGTTGACCAGTGTGCAGCAAGGGGCTTTCCCAGGAGGCCTGCAGCTGGGATGGAGGCCAGGACTAGTGCAAGGTGGGTGAGGCGACTGAGAGCAAATGGGATGGAGGCCAGAACTAGGGCAAGGTGGGTGAAACGACTGCATTGAGAGCAAAATTTAAGGAGGCCTCCAAATACTCAGTAATCAAACAATACTTTAATTTGATATGTATTTTAATGATAATAAGCAAAATTTTAGAATTTTAAATAAAGACAAGGTCAGCAACATTGCCACACATCACAACCGTATTGGAGCCTCAGGCCAAAGGAAAAGTTGGTAAGTAATACTAATCTTGTCGTTACTTAAAGTTTTAATATTTTGTTCATCATGGATTTTGTGCATTAATTTTGATTTTAAAAAAGACTGCATTAAAATACAGTGTATCTTGATTAATGAGCCTTAGCTGTGTTTCTGGGGGGTGAGGCCTCACTCACTCCACCCCCGCCCCACACCTGCCACTGGGCTGCCCCTCAGTATTTGTGTCTTTTTCGGGAAAGTGCTCATTCTGTGTGCCCCTCCAAGACCCAGCTGGGTTCTTAGGGCTCTAAATGTTAAAACTTCATGGTGGCTGAAAGGGAGGTGGCACTTGGAACTCGAGACCCTTCAAGCAGACAGCAGTCTCATGATGGCTCCAGCATGGCCCAGAGACCAGAGGCATCTGGCCTGAGGTCACACAGTGGGTTTGCAGCACAGCTCAAGCTGGAGCTGGAGTTTCCTGTTTCCCTACAGGGCTCTTTCTCATGGGAGGAGGGGCAGGCCTTTCAGGTGATCCAGGGTGAGCGTCCCCACAGAGCCACCCTGCATACTGGAAGGCTCTAATAAGATGACCCAGGGCACAGAGTGTTGATTGGCTGTCCTGCCTACCCCCAGCGAAACCCTCTTCTCCCTTCCAGTGACTGGGCAGAGGCTGCCAAGTGACCCAGCTCTGGCCATTAAGACATAAGCAGAAGTTGCTGAGTGTGGCTAATGGAGACAGACTCAGCTTATGTCTCTCTGGCCCTTTGTTTACTCTCTGCTTCATTCAGGTCTTTGCTCTCTGTCACCTCCTCAGAGAAACCTTCCCTGACCGTCTTATCTGAAATAGCAACTCCATCACTCTCCACCCCTTTTTCTTTTTTCTTTTTCTTTCTTTCTTTTTTTTCTTTTTGAGATGGAGTCTTACTCTTTCACCCAAGCTGGAGTGAAGTGATGTGATCTCAGCTCACTGCAACCTCCGCTCCCCCAGATCAAGCAATTCTCCTGCCTCAGCCTCCTAAGTAGCTGGGATTACAGGCACCCGCCACGACACCCAGCTAATTTTTGTATTTTTAGTAGAGATGGGGTTTCGCCATCTTGCCCAGGCTGGTCTCCAACTCCTGACTTCAGGTCATCCACCTGCCTTGGCCTCCCAAAGTGCTGGGATTACAGATGTGAGCCACCATGCCTGGCCTCCATTTCTTTTTCTTGCCTTATATTTTATGGCCCTTATCAATTCCTCCCTGCCATTATGTTACGTAATTAATTGTACTTGCCTCCTCCACAAGAATGAGCTCCACGTGGGCAGGGCTCTCCTGTCTGGTTTCAGGCCATATCCCCAGGGTCTAGAATGGTGCTTGGCACATTGTAGGTCTTTAATAAATATTTCTTGAATGAATGGACATACTCTGAGCCACTGGGTGCCTGAACCTTTACTCCTGCCTCTGACATCTGCCAGCTCTCTGTGGTGGCCGGTTAACTTTGTCCCTGGAATTAGAATTTCTGCCTCCTCTGGCACAAGCTCTCAGTACCTAAATGTGAATTCCCATTGTTGGCCCCTGTGCTCCCCTGCAAGGGACGTCTGGACACCTCAGATCCCAGCCAGTTTGCCCTCGGGCTCTGCCGCCACCAGCTCTGTCTCACCAGACACCCAGCCATCTCTATCCCCAGTTATGGCTGGGGACCCTCCGCCAGGGGCATCCTTTCCCATCCTTCTTCATTCTTATCCTCAGTGTCATCATCCTTGTGGGATCCCAGGCAGTGATGACACTGCATGAGGACTTTCCTCCTCCCTCGTTGGCAATACTTCAAAAGCCATTACCTCCTCATTCTGATTTCCAAAATGGAGCCTGCCTCTAAGAAAACAAAATGAATGGGTTTGGTGTGCCAGCCTCCATTAACTGGCTACCCGAACAAATCAACAGCAGAAATTCAAGGAAGTTGCTGGAGCAAATTGAGAAGCCAGATTATTTGGGTTTCTTGATTGAGATTGGAAGAATAATTATTTGAGGGTTCCATTTAATAAGCTTTGTTTACTAACCCCAGGTCCTGTTTTGATACTTCCACCTCGATTATTGGGGGTGGGGCCCCCTAAGATAAATAATTTTGACATTATTGCTGATAGGGGCCTCAGAACTCATTTAACTCAATCCTTTCATTGTATACATGGAGAAAATGAGGCTCAGAGAGGAAAAGGAGCTGCTCAAGGTTCCCAGGGATTAGAGACTCCAAGCCAGGGTGCTTCTACTTGTAAGAAAACCAGCAAGAGGGTCAAGGAGCCCACGGGCGTCCTTCTGAGATGAGACATCGGTGCATCCTGAAGAAGGCTACAGACCCCAGTGTTCTCACCAGGCAAGGAAACACTGAGACAATTACCCTGGCAGGGAGAGCGTGCCATCATCTCCAGGGACCTGAGTCTTCCTAGGAAGGTAAAAATGGCTGCCACATAGGTGCCCCCTTCTGCTTGGGATCCCCGTCTTTACCTCGTAATCACTGACAATGCCGCAAGTCCCAGTACTTCAGAGAATTACTGAGTGCGAGCGGTAGTCTGGGGAAGCTACCATGAGGCCCGGGGAGGGGACTGGAATTGCCCAGTTCCGGAGCAGCCAGGGCTACAGTCCAGGTCTCCAGAGTCCGCAAAAAGGGTACCGCTCCCCACTCCACACTGCCCCAGTCCAGTTCACAGCACTGAGATGTTGACCTGGGAGGCAGTGAGGCCAGACCTGGATGGCCAGCCCTGGCAGATGTCCTCTGTTCCTTCACGTGAGCTGGGAAACAGGGTGAGAATGGATAGTAAGTGATCTGGGGAACCAGAAGAGGCAGGGTGTGGCCAGGGAGGCTTCCTGATGGGAGAGTGGAGTCTCTGTGCCTGAAGGAGGAAAAGATTTTGGTGGGCCAAGGGATGTTTGTCAACAGTAATACTGAGTGGGGAATCAGGGTGCATTAGAGGGGTCAGAGGAAACTCATTCCTTCTACACATTTTCTGATCCTTTATTAGGTGCTGGGTTCCTGCATCTGCCATTTATTTTAATCCTCACAGCAACCCTCTAAGGAGGCAGTTGTTGTATTTTCACTTGGCAGTTAAGGGAAGTGGCCCAGAGAAGTGACATCATTGCCTGTTCACACAGGAAATGGTAGAGAAGGAATTTGAACCAGGAATAGATGTCTCTTTCCACTCTAAGATGTACAAACTGCTCATAGTGGATTCCTAGGAATAGGCTTTCAGGGAAGGCTCATAGGTGGGCCCATAGGAAAGGGGGTTCAGAGGGCCAATTATATTCTGGGCCACTGCCACTGTTGGGCCTGGCTCCCTCTTTGAAATATTCACAGAAAGTCACCTGACCCCTCTAATTATTCATATGTTTGTTCTTCCCACAAACGCAGCCAGCACCTTCTCTGCGTCAGGAGCTACAGTGACTATTGGGGGTGTAGAGGTGCCTGCTTCCTTCTGCAGCTCAAGCGTCATTCATATGAAATGACTGCAGGATCCCTGACCAGCTCAGCACAGCAACCCAGCTTCCCTGGGTGGCAGGGCTGCTTCCCCAGAGGTGCCATGTGTCTGATGGGCACCATGACAGTGGGTCTGGCACCAACACCATCTTTACCCCGCACTTGCATCAATACGATCCAAGCTGACGTTAATTCTCTTAACAGCTATATGACATCTTTATTTTTTAAATTTCTGTTTTAGTTCTCTTCCTTGCAAGATATACCACATCTTTAGTTAGAAATTCATTTATGGATTACTAAAACCTTAGGGATTTTTTTTTTTTTTTTTTTTTGAGATGGAGTCTCGCTCTGTCACCCAGGCTGGAGTGCAGTGGCGCCATCCTGGCTCACTGCAAGCTCTGCCTCCTGGGTTCATGCCATTCTCCTGCCTCAGCCTCCCGAGTAGCTGGGACTACAGGCGCCCACCACCACGACTGGCTAATTTTTTGTATTTTTAGTAGGGACAGGGTTTCACCACGTTAGCCAGGATGGTCTCGATCTCCTGACCTCATGATATAAGAACCTGCTATATCACATCAAGTGTCCGCCATCCCATGCTCATGCTCCGGCAATTGATTGTTTGAACCTAAATGGGAAATGTCACATTTTTTGTCGTTCGATTTCACTTTATTGCATTCAGCCCATTTTTTGTAGCCTATTAAACACTTTTCTAATCCAGATTTTGTCACTCAAGTGCTTCTGCCCCATGCCTGGAGATGCAGAAAGTCTGCCTTTAGAGTCTTCATAAAAGGGAGTAAAAAGCGGAATAGAACAGAGATAAGGATGGGCCTACACAGTTTCACCAGAGACCTCCCTCTAATCAATTGCTCCATATTCTGTGTGCAGGGTTGATTAACCAGCTGTGTATCTGCATGTTTAAACTCTCTTCTTGCCTCACCTCTCCACTTTGTTCACCAGTCTAACAAGAGAGACTTACAAAATGCTTGGCAAAAATAAAAATGCATTAGGCCTAAAGCGTCTCATCAGAAGGGAAGCCAGGTGAGTTTGGGGTAACTTTTCTTAGTGAATCCCCACTGACTTTTAGCAGTCACCATTTCTTTTCTAACGACTTGTAAACTAGGAGAACACTATCAATTGCAAAAGAAATTTCTCCAAAGGGCAGCAACCCCTTTGCAGGTCAAGGATGACATGATTCCATTGCAGCTGGAGACCCAGCTTCCTCCAGATGCAGGAGGTGCAGATCTGGAAGAAACTCGCAAAGAAGGCTGCACCGGGGAGGGTGTGCCAGGAACAAAGCCACAATAACATTCTGGGAGAGGACAATTAAAAACCCAAATCTGGGAAAGATGGTAGAAACAGAATGAGCTGGGACCTTTGGTCCCACCTCAAGATTGAAGCCATGGAAGAGAATGGTCCATTGAGTACAGCTATGGCTGAAGCCTAAAAGCCCTGGACCAGAAGCAGGTTAGACACAAGACATGGGCGCACTGGGAGCTAAAGGCACCAAAGGGTGTGACAGCAGCTGGAGCTGGGTGGTCATTTTCAGAGCCATTAGACTTGCAATCACGCAAAGAGGCTGGCTTTCTTTTTTTTTTCTTTTTTTGAGATGGAGTCTTGCTCTGTCACCCAGGCACCTCCTGGGTTCAAGCAGTTCTCTGCCTCAGCCTCCCGAGTAGCTGAGGTTACAGGCGCCCACCACCATGCCCAGCTAATTTTTGTATTTTTAGTAGAGACAGGGTTTCACCATCTTGGCCAAGCTGGTCTTGAACTCTTGACCTCATGATCCACCCGCCTTGGCCTCCCAAAGTGCTGGGATTACAGGCGTGAGCCACCACGCCCGGCCAAGGCTGGCTTTTTAATACAGATATGTGCCGTCAAATCCTGGTTAATTGCCCCCTAGGCATCGTGCCTGCAAATCTCAATACGACCACCAGAGGCGGCATTTGCCATATTTGATATAGGTAGAGTTTTCCAAAACTTGCCACCTGGTGGCTGCTATTGGAACCACAGGACCGATGCTTACAGGAGACACATCTGTTAGTATGACGCACAGGATAATGCTTAGGATAAATCATTCAATTTGCATAAGAGTGTGCCAACTTATTTAATGTTTGTAAATTCACAGTAGCCATAACAATTCTGAGTGGTGAGAAAACCACTTATGGAGGAGAAACAAAGAAAAAATACCAATGGAAAGAAATTAAATAGGAGTATTTATGTGTTGGGGATAGATGGAAGGGGCTGTTCAGACAAGACAGATGACAAAAGGCAGAAATTTAGAAGGAAAAGAAAATGGGTCAGCTTAACGAGATTAGAGGAGTTTCTGATCCATGCATCAGACCCAGCTAATCCCGTCACTCCTAGGGGCCTCCCTCACTTTGCCACTTAATTTAGTTCAACAAGCTTGTATTGAATACAGAAGTGTTTCTCAAGAGGTGGCCAGGCCTGAGCAATCCAAGAGTCTGTTCTTCATCAAGCCTCTCAGAGAGTTTGTCTCCTGACTTCTGTGACATGCTTTGGGTAGGAAAGATGTCTTTCTACCTCATGCATTTTAAAAACATTATTTTTAATTGTAGTAAAATATACAGAACATAAAAGGTACCATTTTAGCCATTTTTAAGAGTACAGATCAATAGTAGTTTTTTTTCTGTTTTGTTTTTTGTATTTTGTTTTTGTTTTTTGTTTTTTTGAGACAGAGTCTCACTCTGTCACCCAGGCTGGAGTGCAGTGGCATGATCTCGGCTCACTGCAACCTCCACCTCTTGAGTTCAAGCAATTCTCTGCCTCAGCCTTCTGAGTAGCTGGGATTACAGGCATGTGCCACCATGCCCGGCTAATTTTTGTATTTTTAGTAGAGAAGGGGTTTCACCATGTTGGCCAGGACGGTCTCGAACTCCTGACCTCATGATCCACCCGCTTCAGCCTCCTAAAAAGCTGGGATTACAGGCATGAGTCACTGCACCTGGCCCAGATCAGCAGCATTAAATACATTTACATTATTGTACAGCTGCACCACTATCCACCTTCAGAACTTTTCATCTTCCCAGACAGAAACTTTGAACTCATTAAACCTTAACTCCACACCCCCTTTCTCTGCAGCCCCTAGTAATGACCATTCTACTTTGTCTCTATGAATTTGACTCCCAGGTACATTGTATAATTGGAACCATACAGCATTTGTCATTTTTTTTTAAGAGACATGGTCTCACTCTGTCGCCCAGGCTAGAGTACAGTGGCGTGATCATGGCTCACTGCAGCCTTGAACTCCTGGGCTCAAGAGATCCTTTCACCACAGCCTCCCAAGTAGATAGGACTACAGGCACAGGCCACCACACCTGGATTTTTTTTTTTTTTTTTTCTTGTAGAGGCAGAGTCTTGCTATGTTGCTCAGGCTGGAGTATTTATCTTTTTGTGACTGGCTTATTTCACTTAGCGTATTGTCCTCAAAGTTCATCCATGTTGTGGCATGTGACAGAATTTTCTTCCTTTTCCAGGCTGAATAATATTCCATTGTATGGCTAGACCACATTCTGTTTACACATTCATCTGTTGGTAGACATGTGGGTTGCTTCTACCTTTTGGCCCCTGTGAGTATGGCGGCTACAAACATTGCTGTGCAAATATCTCTTTGAGACCCAGCTTTCATCTCTTTTGGGTATATACCCAGGAGTAGAATTGTTGAACCACATGGTAATTCTATTTTTAATTTTTGAGGAACTGCCACACTGTTTTCCAAGGCTACCTTATGCCTCCTTGTGAGGAAATGCCACCCCCACTTAAGCCAAACACAAAGTCCTCCAAGGAATAAGAGGCAGAGCATTCCCGAGGTGGAATTCCATCTCCAGCTGGAAAGGAAGGGCTTGTATTTTCCAGTTGTACCTTTTGCTTCTCCCCCTCATAGCCCCCACCCTGAACACAAGTAGAACCCATATATTTAAGCCAAATTTTAAATACTCCAAGGCTGGAGTGAATAGCCTCCGTTTCCTAGTGGGATTGGAGGAGGCTGAGGCCAGATAGTGAGTTGGGGGGCCACTGTTCTCCGTCCACGGGAAGCCTAGTCCTCTTGACCCTGGAGGAACCTGGGATCCAATTGAAGACTGATCAGATATGGAAGGAGAATACAAGCCAAGAGGTAATGGAAAGACACAAAACCAGTCTCTCCTTCTAAACATTTGGCCTTGCCTCACTGCAGACAGGACAGCTAGCTCCTCTCAGAGCAAAAAGGACAATGGAACCCAGTCCTGCCATTACTTTATGCCACCTGCAGGGGACAGCCTGGTACAGAGGAAAGTGCAGCTTTGGAATCAGAGAGAGCTGGGTTTAAATCCTTCCTCTGCTACTTACTGGTCCTGTGATCTCAAGTGTTCCTCCACTTCGAGACCCATTTCATAGTCCTCAAGGCCAGTGATGATCATGTCGAGTTCTTCACTTTGTTGTAAAGAAAGGTGACATGACATAGCAGATGGACAGCGTCAAGCACAGTGCTGAGAACATAGGTATTCCATGGACATTCCCTTTCTTCCTTCCTCTCCAATCCTTCCTCAGTTATTGACTTAGATCATCTTCTCCAAGTTTTCTTCTCTCCAGGCTGCCAGGTGCAGACTTGGGCACTGATCTTAGCAACAGTGGCTCCACTTTTGATTATTTCATGTCGGTTTCTGGGTCCCCATGTATAGCTCAGACTCATCCTTCTCACTCCTCCCTATCCAAAGTGTGACTGGGGATGGGGGGCTGAAACCACCCCACCCCTCCCAGAGCCAATTCCAAGGCCAGGCAAGCCAAGTGCTCTCTACTCTACTCTTTCTTCTGGGTGCAGACCCTGTGAGGGGAGTTTTGGTTTTGCCAGCCACGACCAGGCCAGCCCCTCCCTTGTCTGGCTTTTGTTAGATTGTGTTACAACCTTACTGTTACTTAACTGTAGAGGACTTGGGGATGTGCGTGCTGTGTGTGTGAGAGAGAGAGTCTGTGTGTTAATAGTAACTTGTGATAGATGCCTTTGGCGCCCACACATTCAATAACACCCACACTCACAAAAAAAGAAGTGGGGAGGGGAGTCGTTTTATGGGAGATAACATAACTGCTTGCAATTTGGCTATTCATTGTATCTTTGGCATTTTATGTACTGCATTAGCGGAGGCAATTTCATGCATATGGATATAATGCATTAAGTGGAGGCATTTAAATATAGTGAAACTAATTTTATGATGATTAGTTGAAGGAAAACATTGCATTCGTATCATCTATATAGAAGCCAATTTGCATGAAAATGCCCAAAGTTGCTATGCCAACATTTTCTGTGCTGCTGGTCGGGGTCGCCTCCGAGTCAAGACTTTGTATTAAAAATCGGTCTCCAGTGCCCATGTCTTTTAATTCATTGCAAGCTGTAGGCCATTTGCTCACAAAGCGCTCGCAGTAAAACAAATGAATAGCTAAAATACTCATTTGCATGATTCCCATTTGAAAACGATTCCCCTGAAATTAAAAAAGCGTGTTACTCGGTTGTGAAGATGGATGGGCCAGTGAGGCGGGCAATTAATATTTTCAGCGTTCTCTTTAAAGCCCTCCCAAGACTGAGAACAGCACATGCTAGACAAATTGGGCCCCACAACAGTTTCAGGGCCTCAGCGGCAGCAGCTTGCTTCCACTGTCTCTCCTTTATTGTCTCACTTACATTATGCAGTAATTAAAACTATTTACCATTCCTACTTATCTGCCATCTGCCACCACGGAAGGTTCCTCTTCTTTAGAAAGCCTTCTTAAAGAGCGGCAAGAACAGGAGAAGAGTTGGCACTGACTCTGGAAGGGGCCTCGGGGGTCTTTTCCTGCCCCTGCCATGCCCACCCATCCCTCCATGAAGCGAAGGTGTCAGGAGGTCATGGTATGTGAAGCTGAGTTTCTGAGTGAGCTGGTTGTATGTGGGGTGGGGGTGTTAGAGCACAGCTTCCTCCACCTTTGGGAAGGAATCTCAACTTAGATCTGGGGTTATCTTTATGTCAAGGGAGAGCCTAGGCCTGGATCCTCCCACAGGTGACAGCTGAAAGGGGTCTGGGAGCTTTGGCCATGCAGCTGGCCATCAAAGCCACCAATTACAGTTGTACAGGTTGTTCACTGCACAAGCATAGCCAACCCAGGGCACTGTGAAGGCTGAAGTCTATCCTGTGATCTGTTCATCCATCTGAGGTCCTTGTGGCGTATGTCTGCCCCAAGGGGCCACCTTCAAATGCACACAGAAGGCATTCTATGACCTAGCTGGAGCCTTGTTTGAGGGAAGCCATTTTGAAAGCAAACAAGTCTCTGCCCCCTTTTCTGTGGCAAATGATACCTCCCAGAGTGGTCATTCTACAATGGGACCTAGCTTTGCACAGGCTTAGCATTTGCTTGCAGAGGCTGAGCTAGGCTGTCCAAAGAGCAGCCTCCTCTGTGGGCGTTTCTACTACCTCCTGCACCCAGCCCCCAAAGCCAGCACAGACCGTGTAAGGAGAAGCCAAACGCAGTCAGAAACGGGAACTAGCTCTCTCACCAGGACACAGTTGCCAGCCTGGAGCCTGCAGACTTGTAGCAGCTGGCAGGCTCTGGGAGGACAGGGCCTGTTTCGAGAGTGGTTTCTGCTTCCTCTTCTTTTCAGAGCCCACCCCAGTCCTGGGCACACAGCACGTTTCTCAAAGTAATTGTTGAATGAAGTGGTCAGCAAAGTTTGCAGCCTTCCCTTCACTGCCTAGCTTTGAAGCCTCCTCTGAAACTTTATCGAGTAGACACTCTCAGCTCACATCTTCCCGTTTTAGTGATCCTTTCCTGGTACACAGCCAAAGGATTTGTATTTGCCTAGAACTGATCCTTTTAGCTGTGAGCTTTCTGGCTGCATTCCTCAGCCCATGCCTAAAAGACATGCACAGCAATAGGTGCTGTGTCTGCCCAAGGCCTGGAACGCCCCTTCCCTGTCTTCTCATCTCTGACACTTCATATCTGTTTCTCCATCCTCCTAGGAAATGGGACCTTGCTTGCCCAGGCCCACAGACTCAGCTCTCTTGGCCTCAGCTAACTTATGTGGGTTTGAGTTGGTGCTTGGTATGACTGTCACAGCCTCCATCACCAGGGGGCTCTGGAACATCCTGGCCTTGGGCAGATCAGGGAGGATGTCTGGCCATTCATAATGAAGTGATAATGCTTTATTGAAGATACTGGCTTGGGTTCCACACCGGGAAAGGTGAATTTCAAACAAGAGCTTTGTCCATCAATGGTGAGGACTCCATCTCTGGAATGAGTTAGTGAGTTCCATGTTGTTGTCACTAAGGATGTGGTAGCATCTGAGAGTCACACAGAAGATTCTCCATCCCTAACTAACACAAAGGCCCCTGCTGAGCACTGAGGGCTCTCCTGCTGCCTAGGCGAACCAGAAACTCATTCTCACTAATGGGACAGAGAAGGAACATTCGTGGAGCATGCGGGTCATAGAATTAAAATAGATAAGTATATACGTGGGGAAAAGGCAAGACTTAACTTAGAGAACAGTCCTCTCTAAGGCCTGGCTATAGGCACGGAGGGATCAGGGGTACCCGTGTAGCATTTCAAATGCTGTCACATCAGCAGCTGCTTATACCACCATCAGGAAACACGCTTCCCACACAAACCTCACCACCGTCCACCCAGGCTCCTGCAGACTGGCCAGGGCACCAGATGCTACCAGTTCACTGGAAAGTACACTGACCTTGGAGTCCATAGCCCTGGGTTGGAGTCTCCCCTCTGCCATCGACTATCTGTCTGATTCTAGGTCAGTCATTGAAACTCTATGCTACTCTCAGTTTTCTCATCCATGAAATGGGCTTCCATGCCTGCCCATCTTGAGACAGGTTGTCATGTGTCCATGAGTTAATAAATATATAGAATTCCAGAGTCCACCCTGTATCCCCAGAGCAGGTGTATGTCCCCCCGGAGCAGATGGAAACACGTTTGTATGCTGAGAGAGTCTGCAGATTTAAGATGACAGTTGCTCTTAGCCTGCACCTGAGTATATTCCAGCTCTGCAATTCGGAGTTGGGCACTTGAAAAGCTAGGCCTGCCCTTGCTGAGGAAGGGCAAGACAATGAAAGCCATATCCAACATTGCTTAACAGCCACTGTATACCGAGCCCTGTGCTAAACTCCCAGCAGCAACTCTTAAGGTCCTTGTTCTACTGATGAGAAAATTGGGTCTCAGAGGATCCCAGAGGAGGAAAACTGGGGCTTAGAGAATCCCAGAGGATCTCAGAGGAGTCCTGGAGTCCAGTGTACTTCCTAACTCACTGTGTGACCTCAGGCAAGTCGCTTGCCCTCTCTGAGCCTCCATCTCCTCATTTCCACCCATCTGTTGCAATTCCCCAAACCACACTGCCTTCCAAATCCTCTACTGGCTGTTAAGCTTGCCTCTCCTGGCAAAGCGTTATAATAATTATTATGAAGCTTTGTTATTAAGACATGAGCGAGAGAGAAACATTCCTAGTTGCTGAGGAAGACATTAGTAAAAATAAACCAGGAAGCAGAAATCTGAAATGGAAGGGAAAGAATGAGCAGAAAATTCAAAATCACCCCCACGAAAACCTGCACCTGCTTTGTATTGGGAAGGAATTGGCTACAGGAAAAGAAGGGTGAAAAAGCCAACAACCCACTTAGCAACTACCACTAAAGATCAATACTGGACCAAAATAGAATCCCATGTAGGAAGCGATCTTGCTTCACAGCCCCAGAAAGAAAAAAAAAAAGTTAACATAGAGAAGCCATTTAAAGCAGAAAAAATATTTGTATGTAAAAGGAAATATTTTAGGTAGGAGTTGAATACCAAATGATTTTGGGTCTCTGTGGGGAGTAATGAGGCATGGCAAACACACAATTCTATATGCATGTAATATTATCATCTCACGCCTCGGAAAGCTTTTAAATCACAGAAATGCAGTTAGGGACCATTGTACAAAATAAACATCCCACTTGGTGTCTTGCTTGCCCTAAGTTCCTTGATCTAGAGCGGCACTGCCAGATTTTTACAGCCCCGTAAATTAACGTGGTGCTGATTTGATTGAGCTAAATTAATAAGACTTGTGCTTTGTTGCAAAATAACTATTACAGTATGTTGTGGGGACGCACTGCCGATAAGGAAATTGGTGCCTTTAACAATCCCACTGAAGTTTCATGGAGGATTTCAAAACCAATTTTAATTAAAACAAAAGCCAATGTGTGGCAATAATGTGGGTGTTAAGGAGAGAAAATGCAAAATGTCTTTTTAAATCCATTTTAATATGTCTTAAGGACTGGATGATCGATGTGGTGAGAGCCAGCGGCTGACACTGAGCTGGGAGGCTGCCTGTGCGCCTCTCTCCAGTGACAATGGCACCGCAGGCTCACCCGGTGGGCCTCTGCGCTGGCTCTCGATTTCCAGACCTGGGGTCATCTCCCAGGTTGAAGCTCCGGGGAAGGACCCCTTTTCTGGTGCTTTCTCAGTCCAGGGGACTGTGGCAGAAGCTGAGCTTCGTCCTCCTGGCCACACAGGCTGGAGCAGAGGTAGACAGAGCCTCAGCCTCCAGGCCTGGCTCCAGCCTCAAAGACAGGTTCTCCCCAGCTCCCCACCCACTTGGCTCCCTGGCCGCTGCCAACACTTAAGGCACCTTCTGGGAAGCCTGGGGATGGGGAGGATATTGAATAAGAAACATCTGGAGTGCACTAGCAAGAGGAAGGGCTGGTGCCCTGAGGAAAGCGAGGCAGAGCAGTGAGGATGGAAAACCTGCAGACCAGGCAGAGGAGACCCTAGACCTGCAGTGAGTGAGGGCCCCGGAGGCTCGAAGCTGGAGCCGCTGGGGGCCTGGGGGCCAGAGAAGTCCCCAGAGCTGGGCAGGGAGTGCTGCTGGGTGCCGGGGCAGGAGTGTGAGTTTGGTTGAGACTTAAGAAACTCACTCTTAAGTCTCAACCTCCCTCACCTCGGTTTCCTCAGCTGTAAAATGGAAACAGTGATAGAATTTACATCACATAGCTGCTGTGAGGATTAAATGAGGTTGGTACCTGACACACAAATGCCTAAAAACGATAGTTATTGATATAAAAAGAACAACCATAATATGACCTTCTTTTTACCTGTCATGTTTTCAATCAGGGACAGCTCTTATTTGAGGTCTTGCCATGTGATATGGACAACGATAACATGAACAGGTACCAATATTTAGAGGTCCTAGGATGTCTCAGGTGCTGTTCTGCGCATCTTGTTCACAAGCACTGTCTCATCAGTCCTCACAGCAGCCTGTGAGGGGAAGGAAGTGTTGCACGATGTAGGAAGTGGTGGAGCTGGGATTCAAACCAAACATGCGTGACTTCAAATGCTTGCTCTTGACCACGTGGAACGTCAGCAGCCTTCAAAATTCTTTGAACTGAACCCACAGTAAAAAAAAAAACAACTTTTCCACAAGACCTGGCATCATACACACACACACACACACACACACACACACGAGTTATTAGTAGGTTCCACAAAATGATACTCTTGTTACATATGATGCATATAATATTTTTATTCTGTTCTATTTCCTTTTACAAAGAAATTATTCATGACCCACTCCATTGTAACCGAGCTTTGAGACTCCCGTTTTGGAAAACGCTGTCTGTACCCACTGCCATGTGAGAAAGTCTCTGTCTGCCTTCTCATTTGACCATCCCCCCGGCCCCAGAAGGCAGTTAGTGGTGTGCCATTGTACAGATGAGGAACTGAGATTCTGGATGGATTAGCGATTTGGCCCTGGCCCCTGCACATCCCCATGCCAGCACTGACCATGCAGCTTGTGAATGCTCAGGTCTCAGCTGTCCCTCTGCCCCGATAAGCTCCATGAGGGGAAGCCCCATGTTGGCCTCGGCTCTTCATGACAGGGTGACCTTAGGCAAGTTATTTCAGTGCTCTGAGCCTTAGTTTACCTGTCTATAAAATGTGATAATTCAGGTTGTCCCCTTCTTCTTGCTGCAGCCCAGAGGGGTCCAGAGGGCGGAGAGTGGGAGTGCCCTCACCAGGGGCTCTCAGTCCTTGCAGGAGCCCTTGGGAGTCTTCTTTGTGGCCTGATATTGACTGCATTTTTCCTCTTTGTTCCCTAATGTTGTCTTAAAATCACCTCTCTCCTTCTCTCCTCCTCTCTCTCTCTCTCTTTTTTTTTTTTTTTTAAGATGGAGTCTCGCACTGTCCCCGGGCTGGAGTTCAGTGGCACGATCTCAGCCCACTGCAACCTCCGCCTCCCTGGTTCAAGTGATTCTCCTGCCTCAGCCTCCCAAGTAGCTGGGGTTACAGGCACGTGCCACCACACCCAGCTAATTTTTTGTATTTTTAGTAGGGACGGGGTTTCACTATGTTGGCCAGGCTGGTCTCAAACTCCTGACCTCGTGGTCCACCCACCTTGGCCTCCCAAAGTGCTGGGATTACAGGCATGAGCCACTGTACCTGGCCTCTTCCTCTTATTTTTAGGTTTTTATTATCTACCTATTTTTTTTTAATCTCACATTCCTATTTGGATCCCTTTTAATCAATCCTCCCATTTTTATACTTTAAAAAATTATTTTATTATCATTTTAACATTTTGAATGGGAGAAACCCTTTTAGTTACTTCAAGTGACTCCTTCTCACTTTACATATTTTTATGTAAAACTAGCTTGGGGATGTTTGGGGGCTGAGGCCAAATCACTACTTCAATTCCTCATCTGTACAATGGCTTCCTCATCTGTACAATGGCACTATCCACCTTCTGGGGCAGGTGGGATGGTCAAATGAGAAGGCACACAGAGACTTTCTCACATGGTGGTGTGAACAGGCAGTGTTTTCCAAAACAGAGATTGAGTCTCAAAAATGGGTTACAATTTAGTGGGTCATGAATAATTTCTTTTAAAAAGGAAATAGAACAGAATAAAAATATTATAGGCCGGGCACAGTGGCTCACGCCTGTAATCCTGGCACTTTGGGAGGCTGAAGCAGGTGGATCACTTGAGTCCAGGAGGTCGAGACCAGCCTGGGCAACATGGTGAAACCCCATCTCTACTAAAAATACAAAAATTAGCCAGGCATGCTGGTGCACGCCTGTTAATTCCAGCTACTTGGGAGCCTGAGGCATGAGAATCACTTAAACCCGGGAGGCAGAGGTTGCAGTGAGCTGAGATCGCACCACTGTACTCCAGCCTGGGTGACAGAGTGAGACTCTGTCTCAGAAAAAAAAAAGAATAAAAATATATGCATCATATATAAGGGTGTTATTTTGTAAAACCTAATAATAACTGTGTATTTTTATTTCACAGTTTCTTTTTTTAGATTAAATTGATTTTATTATTTATAAACTCACTATTTTCTACTCTTGAATTCTTTGTAATGTGTTTTTTGAACAATGTTTCATCTTATTCTCATTCTTTATTTTGACCTTTTACAATTATCTTATCCTACCTTTGTCATCTGACCCTGCTCTCTTTTTTTAAGAGATGTTGTCTTGCTGTGTTGCCCAGGCTGAAGGGTCTTGGCACAATCATGGCTCACTGCAGCCTTGAACCCCTGGGCTCAAATGTTCCTGTGCCTCAGCCTCCTGAACAGCTGGGACTACAGGTGCATGCCACTATGCCCAGCCATCTGACTCTGTTCTTTATTTTCCCTTTCTCTTATTCCCTTTTTGTGATTCTTTCCACCTGGGAGTGGGCATTTACCACAAGAAAAAGGATGAAAGGATGCAAAGGAAGTCATAAGAAGGGCCCCATTCATACCTCGGGATAATGGGGCACCTTGGCCCCCTATATTTGTAGTTGTCAATCTGGCATGCCCATTTAAGGAAGGGGCTTCAAATCCCTTGCCCAGGCAGTCTCACAGTGAGCTCTTCCCAAGCCACAGTTCTCAGTGTGGCCACAGGACTGATCCATTGGACTGGAGTTACCTCCCGGCCATTTATGTCAACTGAGCCTCAAGAAGACCTGACCTCTTAAACCTGCAATCTTCACTGTATCAAGCTCATGGATCTGGAGTGACCATGTCAACAAGGTGATGCTTGTTGGTGTCACTTCCTAACGTCATTCAATTTGCCCACTTCTTTCCCCCTCCCAGTTTCCAGTTCAAGTTCACCTTGACTGAGATTCAGGATGGAGTGGTGATTTGGCCCCAGCCCCGAGACATTGCAATGCTAGCACTGACTACGCCACTTGTGAAGGCTTGTGTCGCAGCTGACCTGAGCAACAGCTTCTGAACTTTTCCACCCAAGTCCACTGTCTTCAATTTCTCTTCATTCAGCAGCCGGAGCCATTTTTTTTGGAGTACCATCTGATTTCATTTGCCTGCTTAAAGCCTCCAATGACTTTGGCCTTAAGCCCTTCTCCGCTCCTCCCTCCAACTTCATGCTGTTTCCTCCCATGATGTCTCCTGCTGTGTCCCTCTCAGGACCCTCTGAGTGCCTGGCACTGAGCTGAGCATTGGAAATGCAATGAACACTCAAGGAGACTGCTCAGAGCCAAGCCCAGAGTTGGGCACTGCAAGGCCAGAGAGGAATCAGACTGAAGCCACACCTTCAAGGGGCCCCACAGTCCCAGGGAAAGATGTACCCTCCTCCATAGCCTCCAGGGACAAGGAGAAGAGATGAGGAGCACCCTGCTGCCAACTGGCAGCTCCATGGTGCTAAGGACTCCCAAGGTGCTAAGGGCTCAGGGCCATGCACACAGCAGAATAACTCTAACTAGAGATGGAGACCTGAGGCCAGACATGTGCTGGAAGCTGACATCAGAGTACAGGGTAGGAACAGGGGCCAGGAAGAGGAATGAGGATGGAGAAAAGTGAGGCAAGTGGCCACTAAGCCAAGATGAGTGAGGCCAGGCAAAACAACTGGAGGTCAGGACAGTCAGGACCATCCTCCCTGGAGAACGCGGACCAATTACATAGGTGTATGGGCAAGGCTCATGTGCACTGGGTAAGGCCCCACCATCCTCAGCAGGAGGTTTTGCCCAACAACCACCTCTCCATTACTCACTGTATCCAAGAGACTGGACTGTACCACCTCCTGTTTTAGTTTCTCCAACAGAGGAACACTCTAACCTCGGGTTATGGAAAAAGCATTCAGCAGACTGCCATTTCCAGTAATATGGCAAATTGGGTTACTTAGACCAACCTTCATGGTAGAGACAACAGACATGGTAAATAAAAGTTAAAATATCTTCTTAAAAGCATTCAGGGGCTACAAGATAGTAAGAAGTTACCAGTCCAAAAGCTAAGTGAAAGTAGGGACTCTGAGAGCACTGAAGTGAAAGTAGGGACTTGTGCCCTGTGGGCATTTGCTCAACCAGCAAACTTGAGCTTCAGTTTTGATACCATGGAGGGCTTTGGGGAAGAGAAGATGAAGCTCAGTGCTCAGCAAAGATGAGGAATCTAATAGGACATCCTCCTTCATAAAGGTGAGACTTGCAAAGGTACATCCTCAGGTAAGTGTGAACCAGAAGGAAGACTACCTCACCCCTCCCACACCCAGGGGCTTCAAGAAAAGTTATGAGAAGAGCAGGAAGGAAAACAGCCATTCATGAAAATTAGATTTATAGCCCAAATTTACATCACCTCAATGGTCAGAATAACCATTATGATAAATTTAATTTAAAGTAGTCTTGAACTGTCTTTAGGGTACCTGGCAGAAGCTACTCAGATCTTTTCCTCCCAAACCTCAAAGAAGTACCAAAAATAATTTTCCTGAGGAAAATGAACAAATAACTCAGGCCAAAAATAACCAAGAACTTGAGTACACAAGGAAAGAAGGCTCCAAGCGAGAATAGCAGAAACAGATCTGCAAGATTTCAGATATTGGAATTATCAGGTGCAGAATATAAAGCAATGATGCTTACTATTCAGAAGGAGGAAAAAGGCAAGATTGATAATATCTACAGGGAACAGGAAAACCTTTAAAAGAGAGAGAGAGACTTAGCAGATTCTAAAAAGAAGGAAACATCACATCTAGAAATGATAAATAATCAAAGGAAACACTCAATGGATAAGTAAAACAGCGTATTAGATATAGCTGAAGAGAGAGTCAGTGGACTAGATGAATCCAACAAAGAAAGAAAAGGAGATAGGGAATATGAAAAAACGTTAAGAGATATGGGAGATAAAAATGAAAAGATATAAAATACATCAAATTAGAACTCCAGAAGGAGAAGAGTGAGAGAACTGGACAGAGCCAATAATTCAGAAAATAATGGCTAAGAATTTCCAGATCTGAAAAAAGAAACCAATTTATAATTTTAAGATCAATAAATCCTATAAAGGTTAAATAAATGAAATACACAGGTAGATTTGTCAGAGTGAAACTGGAGAACACCAAACACAAACAGAAATTTTGTTTTCTACAAGAAAGTGATTTGTTTCTACAGGATATATAACAGTGTATATAGGACTCACATTTTTTTCTTAATATATAAGACTAAGAAGATTCAAATATTTTTAAAGCTGTCAGTGAAGGGGAAAAACTAGATTACAACATATTCAAAAGATAAAAGCTAGATTAGAAGGTTACTTTCAAAAGCAACAGTTGGGAGCCAGAAGACAAAATTTTAGCATGTGTTGAGCAAAAATAACCACTGACCTAGAATTCTGTAGCCAGTGATAGTGTCTCTCAAGAACAAAGTAAAATTAAGGTTCTCAGATAAGAAGGAAGAAGAAAATTCCCACTGGAAGTGCCTCACTAAAGGCAATGCCAAAGTTTGGACTAAGGGGAAAAGGAAAATGATTCCAGGATGAGGAGCTGAAGTATAAAAGCAAACAAACAGCAGAACTGGGAACTATGTAGAAAAGACTAAGTAACCATTAACTGCTTTAAGCACTAATAACGTTATGTGGAATTAAAAGAAAAGACAGAATCTAAAGTATGAAAACATCAACACATAAGTCAGGGGTTAAATGGATTTAAAGTGTTCTAAGTCCTTTTTATAGTTTAGGAGAAAGACAAGGGTATGGATTTATATTAGCTATTGGTAAGTTTTGAATACATGTGTTGTAATTTCTAGGTGAACTATTAAAATAATAGAAATAGAAAATATATCTTTCAAATTGAGGACGACATTTTGAATTGTCAAAAATATTTCATTAATATAAAAAAGGCAAGAAAGGAGAGTAAAAGAAACATAGGCAAGGTGAGGCATGTAGAAAGCACAAAATAATGTAGAAGAAATAAATGCAAATATACCAGGAATTACATTAAATGTAAGTGGATTAAATGTTCCTGTTTAAAAGACTCCAGATTGTTGAACTGGGGGCGGAGGATCTTTTTCCAGGGAAATTCACCCTCTTAGCTGTTGGCTGGAGGCCTAAGTTCCTCATCCCATGAGCCTCTCCATTGGCTAATTGAGTGTCCTAAGACATGGCTTCCCTCAGAGCAAGAGATCAAGAGAAAAGAATGAGGAAGTCACAGTGCCTTTTATAGATGTTGGCATTTCCTCTCTGAGTCTCAGTTTTCTCACCTGCATAGTGGATAAGTTGGACAAATTATGAATGGCAAATGGGCTTCACCTTACCATAGAAATGCATTGGTGCAGTGAGAAGGGTTCTTAGACTGAACCTAAAGTCAGGGCTATATAGTGCCGCAATTGATTAGCGGGGGAGCAGGAGCCTGGCAGCTTACTTCCCATGTGTATTTTACCCAGACTGAAGGAAGGATCATGAAACCCAGGGGAAAGCATCTCAGTTTCCCTCCTTGACTGGATAGAATTCTTCTGTCAACTCAAGCTCCTTACCTTATCAGTGACAAAAGCAGCCACTCTCCTAATACAGAGGCCTTGTCGTCCCAAGCCCTCATGTTTGGCATCACTTAATTAAGAAGCATTGGCCAGGGCTCTAGGGATAAACCTGGGTTCAGATCTTGTTTGTCACTTCACATCTGTGTGACCTCCAGCAATGTACTCCTCTTTAAGCCTCAGCTTTCTCAGCTATAACATGGAGATTTCTCCAGTTGAATGAAACATGGCAACTAGCCAACCAGTGCATCAAGAGTCATTGGCTCACACACCATGAGCCCGTCCTTGAGCTAATGGTGTTTTGGAGGATACAAAGAAATGGCCTAGAGTCCCTGCCCTTGAGGAACTTGCTGTCTATTTGCGGAGACAAGCTACATGACACTATCAGAGAACATTTCAAGCAAGTACAAGTAACAAGCACAGTGCCTAATGATCTGAGGTGACTGGATATGCTCTAGGGGTTCTGAAAGTGGGGTCCTCAGATCAGCATCACCTGGGAACCGGTGAGATATGCAAATTTTCAGCCCCCACACAAGACCTCTGAATCTACCACTCTAGGACTGTGTCATAACATGCCCTCTCAGAGACTTGATGCATGTTCAAGTTTGGGAAGCACTACTTTGGGAATTCAGGACACAGAGGGACCAGGAGAGGCCTACTGGAGGATCTGGAATTTGATTCATAAAGAATGCCTGGTTGGATGGACAGAAGAAAGAGCAAAGGCAATTTCAGGGAAAGGCAACAGCCTGAGCAGGGGCAAGGAGGCAGGACAACTCGGCGTGTGCCGGACGCAGCTAGGGAACCAGCTGGATGGAACAGAGCACAAATGTCAGGAAAAGTAGCAGCTCACACTGAATAGGGAGGCCCTCAAATGCCCAGTAAGGAGCTTGGCCTTGGCAGGGCAAGCCACGAGGAGTCACTGCAGGTTTTTCAGGAGGAGAGTGACAACACAATCTAGTACCTCTTCGAGAGCCAGCAGCCACAGTCCTTTCCCAGCTCTCACTGCATTCCTAACTCAGACAAACACCTCTATTCACTGGCATCCTCCCAAGAGATCCCAGCCACGAGGCAAGGAGACTGCCAGTCAGGAAGGTAGGGAGGAAGGCTAAACCGGCCTCTCTCTCCCGCAGAAAACCTCTGAAGCCCCAGCCCAGCACGGGCCTGAGCTGCTCCAGCAACCACGGGCCGTGAGCAGGTATTGAATTATGAATGGATGTTGCCCAGAAATAATTGCAAACATTATTGCCCCCCATACATGTGTGTCCTCCGCGGGGCTACAGCAATAGATTTTGTTGCTTTAACACTCCAGGTTCATTATAAATTAGAGCTAACACATTAACAGTGGGTCAGGGTACATGGGGAGAGGGAATCCCGTTTGCAAGCTCTAAAAGGGACAGATCCCTCAACGGCACACGTTGGTTACTCTCAACTGTTCCTTTCTTTTGATCTATTCCACCCATCCCTATTAAATAACTAATTATTTAACATCTTTTAAAGCTTTGTTATATATTAGAACAGGCAGGACACAAATGAGTGCTTTTAATAATATAAAAGCCCATTAGCTTCATTTACTGTTAATGTTAAAATAAACATGAGGCAATTTAGATATACTATTCCAATTTCACGGAAACTTTGATGTTTTTCTTCTCTAGTCACATAATTAAGGGAAAAACTACTAATGATATTAAGTTTGTACAGTGTTAATGACAGAAACAGGCACAAGCTGAAATTGCAGCCATTAATATGAAAAAATAAAATATTTAACAGGGGAGATAGATGAGTGCAATTTTAATAAACCAAAATGAAGAAAATTAATTTTAGAGAGTTCCACAGTCTTTCACATGCTACCATTACACCAGCTGTCTAATGTATTATTTTTGTGGTCTGGATTATTTATTGATGGTCTGGAGGAATGCCCTGGTTTTTGCATATTGTTCTGTGGATGGTGAAGATTTTGCCTTTGTTTGTTTAATTCTCTTCCTATTTCCTTCACTCTACCACCAGTCCCCAAACTGCAATGGCTTTCTTACAGTGTGTGCTTTGACAGAGGGCCCTTGCCAACAACACGTAGCTGAGACGCAAGGGGTGGGGCACAGTAACCTCCTGAGGGGGCCCAACAGGGACCCCTGGCCACCAGGGGCTGAAATGTTGGGGTTGCCTCAGAGGTGACAGTGGCTCCCCTGAGTCCGAATGGGGACAGCCACTGCTTTGTCTTCAGCTTGTCTTTATGGATCATCAAGGACTCTCTTGAGAGGCAGGGTCCTGTTCTCCAGCTTGCCACGTGTTATGTGTTAACAGTGTTTGCTGAAAATGTATGTCCACCGAGGACCTCAGAATGTGATCTTATTTGGACACAAGGTCTTTGCAGGTACAATGCAGGTAAGAATTGAGATGTGATCATATTGGATGAGGGTGGGCCCTAAGTCCAATGAGAGCGTCCTCATCAGAGATAGAAAAGACACCCAGAGACGCAGAGGGAAGATGGACGCAGAGACTGAAGTGATGCTGCCACAAGCCAAGGAGATTTCCCGAGGCCGCCAGACGCTGGCACAGGCAAGGAAACATTCTTCCCTAGAGCCTTCAGAGGGAGCATGGCCCTACTGACACCTCGATGCCAGACTTCTGGCCTCCAGAACTGTGAGAGAGTACATTTGTATTGTTTTAAGCCATCAAGTTACAGCAGCCACAGGAAAAGAATGTCTGCTGCAGAGTAGCCCCACAGAAATGAGCGTCCTTGGCTATCTCATGAAGGCCATGGAAGGGCTCAAGGAGCAGGCAGAGGGACAAGACTGTTGAAAAGGGAGAGAATGCAGAAGCAGAACTCGAGCCAGCTGCAAGAAAAGGAAGTCCAGCTGGCAGCAGGACATGGCACCCGTAGCAGGCATAGCATGAGGCTACAAAGCCGTAGCAACAGGAAATTATTCAGGCAATCCAAAGACATCATGAACGACCAACCCAGAGAAACAGGGAGGAGCTGTGGGGCCTGGGAGTAGGTACTAAGCAGGTTATCGAGCTGTTGGCTTGAGCCCAGGGAGGTAAGGTGCAGAGCCTGGCTCTCTCTGTGAGGCACAGAGCACAGCTGGGTTTTTTTGGGTGGAGCATTCAAAGCCTGTTTGTCAGAAAAGCAGCATGCAAGTTGATGGCCAATAACAGTAGCTAAAAGAATGCTTACTGTGTGTGAAGCAGGCCTAGCATCAGCACAACCCAATGAGACAACTGGTTTTTGTTTGTTTTTGTTTGTTTGTTTTTTTGTCAAGACAGGATCTCACTCTATCACCCAGGCTGGAGTGCAGTGGCATGATCTTGGCTCACTGCAGCCTCAAACTCCTGAGCTCAAGGGATTCTCCTGACTTGGCCTCCTGAGAAGCTGGAAATACAGGCACATGCCACCATGCCCAACTAATTTTTTTATTTTTATTTTTTATAGAGACGAGGTCTCCCTGTTTTGCCCAGGATGATCTTGAAATCCTGTACTCAAGCTATCCTTCTGCCTCAGCCCCCCAACGTGCTGGGATTACAGGCATGAGCCACCATGTCTGGCCCAGATAACTGGTTTTGATACCCTCATTTTGTAGATGAGGAAACGGAGGATAGGAGAGGTGAAAACTGGCCTGAATTAGCATGCTGAGGGAGGGAGCAGATACTTACGCCCAGGAATCTGAGCCGCGGTCCCAGTCCCTCAAGACCACACTAGCTGTGAGGGGGGCTTCAGTTCAATCTGATTAATGTTGACCAATGTAGCAGCCCTGTGCAAGGCACTGTGGAGGACAAGAGCTGAATAAGACAAGGCTGTGTCAGTACAGAGGCTGGTTCATAGCAGAAAAGCAGACCAGGAACAAGCAGCTCACACAGGGAGATATCTACTTTCTCCCATGCCAAGAAACCAAAGTCAGGCAGCTCCATGCGTTTTTAGTTCAATGCTTAGTGATGACTTCCATGATTCAGGCGCTCTCTGTCTGTGTCGGTTACTGGGCTGTTATCTCAGTTCCAAACTCACCCTTCTACCCTGCTTTGTGACACAAGGACTGGGACTCCACAAACCACATTTCTGCTTTGACAAATGCTCCATGTTAAACCCTGGCAATACGGGGAGCTGGATCCCTCCAGCTGGGCTGGAGGAGGGAGAGGGACTTCCTGTGCCTTCCCAAGGGCTTTACTCTTCCTGTCAGCATTGCTCTAGCAATGCTTCTTCACCTCGGCAGAAGCAGTTCCTCCTGATAGAAGGCTGAATCTAATTTGCTGCTTTTTCAACACACAGCCTCATTGCACACTGCCTCAGAGTCTGGTCTGCCCTGCTGGGCTCATCCTCTAAGCTCAGGGACACCCACACCAACCATGCTGCACCTCCTTCTCAGAGGTCTCCTTCTCTAAGTACGTGTTAGTGACTCCCACCCCTTTCCTGTTTCTCCCAGCCCTGCAAGTAGCATCTGCTTCTTGCAGTTGCTACCTCCCTTTTCACCCATCCAGTTACCCAGTTGACGTGATTCATAACAAATTCTCCTTGTTAACATAACTGGTATGGCTTCTGACCCCTGCCTGGTTCTGCCCTCCCCAATATGCTGGTGACATCACACCTCATGGTCACATGGTGGCTGCAGCAATCCCAATGGACAAATGTTGAACAGGTCCAGAGGCAGAAAATTACCTCTTTCCTCTTGCCCCATGTCTTTTTAAGCACAAAAGAAACACTCCTGCAAGTTCTCCTAGCAAATTTCCCCTCTCATTTCACCAGACAGAGTCAGATCTCATGCCCTCTCCTCAGTCAATCCCTAGCAAGGGGAATGAGAAACTGTGATCAGCTTAGACAAATCAGGATCCATCTCTGGGGCTGGGGCTGTGGTCACTCCCATGGCCAGGCAGAAGGGGACCAGCTGAACAAAAGTCAGGCTTTGCAAGAAAGGAAGAAAGATCGAGGATGGGGACGGGTCTTATCTGCTGTGACTGCTCCACCATCCCGCCCTCTAGTGGGAGACGTTGGCACATACAGATCCTGGTGTTAGGTGCTAGGATGGGCTAGGCGCAGAGGATGGGGCGTGATCTCTGCAGGAGATCAGGGGAGGTCTCACAGAGCAGGTGGGGTGTGAACTGACACTCCAAGCCTGGGTGGACTTTCTCAGGCAACAGGTGAAGTAAGACTTTCCAGATAAAAGATAAGGCCTGTGTGAAGTCACAGGTAGGTGGTGAGAATGTGACACAACTGGGAACAGAAAGTGGTTGAGTGTGATTTGAGCACGGTGGGACACAGGGGATGTGGCCTTCCAGGTCAGCAGGGATGGAACAAGGAAGGCCCCGTAGGGCATGTGGAGGCCTCGGTGGGTGGCTACAGTGCCTGCTTCAGGTCTGTAGAGGATGGAGCCAGGGCAGCAGGTCTGGAAGAAGGGCCTATGGGAGGTGAGCACCTTGGGGGCAGAGAACATAAGGACCCTACAGCCCCCATCTCTGATCCTATCCCTTCCTTCCTCCTTCCCTCCCCTTCTCTTCACAAAGGCATTGCCTTTGTTGATATCACCGAACAGAAACTAAAGATGTAGGAAGTATAGGCTCTGCCCACAAGGAGCTTAACGCCTTTTTTCCCCTTCTTTTTTTTTCATTATGGTAAAAAATACATATGACACTTCATCATAATCATTTTTAGGTGTTCATTTCATTGATATTAAGCATGTTCACGTTATTGTTCAACCGTCACCACCGTACATCTCCAAAACTTTTTCATCATCCCAAACTGAAACTCAGTACCCATTAAGCACAAACTCCCCATCCCCTCTTCCCCATCCTCTGGCAACAACCACCATCCTACGTCCTGCTCTCTGAGTTTGACTACTTTATGGACCTAATATGAATGGAACCATACTGTATTTATCCTCTTGCGTTTGGCTCGTTTCACTTAGCGTAATGCCCTCAAGGTTCACCCATGTTGCAGCCTGTGTCAGAATTTCCTCCTTTTTAAGGCTGAATAATATTCCACTGTACGGATATGCCACATCTCGTTCACTAATCCATCTGTGGACACTAGGGTTTCTTCCACCTTTTGACTGTTGTGAATAACGCTGCTATGAACATGGGTGTACATATACCTGTTTGAGTCCCTGCTATCCATTCTTTTGTGTACATACTAAGAAGTGGAATTGCTGGATTGTATGGAAATTCCATGTTTAATTTCTTGAGGAACCGACATCCTGTTCTCCACAGCAGCCACAGCATTTCACAAGGGTTCCAATTTCTCCACATCCTCAACATTTATCTTCCGTTATTTTGACAATAGCCATCTTAATGGGCATGTGCGGTACAGCCTAGCTTTTGAGCCAAGGCAAACCCATGGGAAAATGAACCAATAATAAAGCAGTTGAAATATCAACAACCATGACAGGGAGACAAGGACTGAGCAGATAATGGAAAAGAGGCGTGTGGGAGGGGTGAAGGATGCCTCAGATCCTGGAGGACATGGTATCCCATGGCAACCTTGGGGGAAAGCCCAGCTTTGGTCACTGCCTGGTAGAAGGGGACATGTGGCCAAGAAAGGGGAGGGCAGGTCATGGGTGTTGCGTGCCAGTAGGGAAGGCCATGAATTCACAGATGGAGCCTGGCCCCAGGGCTTGTCAAAATGGAACAATATTCCCAACCAACTCTTGCCCAACCTGCAGACCCTCTCCAATGTCTTGCTTTCCAGGGCCTCTTCCACATCCTTCCTTCTCTCTCTTCCTCAGTTACAGTCCCAGGGCCTCCATCAGAGTCTGGCACACATCAGGACCTTAGGGAATCGTTATTAATGGAAGGAAGAAAGATACATGAAAGATGGTGTTAGCCCCCATTTCACAGACAGGGAAACTGAGGGTGGAGCTGATCTCATTCCATGGAATTGCCGCCCAGCCTGGGTTTCCATGATGCTCCCCGAGCTCTGAGCTCGCTGCTGGCTACACAGGAGGAGGCATCCCCTTCAGATGTCTGCTGCACAAATGCTGCTCACAGGTAGTGCCCCAAACCATTCTACTCCCCCCTCTGCCCACTCTCTCCCTGGGCCATGCCAACTGGTTGCAATCTTTCAAAGGAAACTCCCCATGCAGAGAGGATGCTATGATTTTCCACCTACTCACCCATTACAGAATATACTTAATTACAGAATTAATTAAATAGTTACAGGAATTAATTGAATAAATTCCTTTCACTTGCATGGAACCACTTGTTTTGGGGGCTCCACATATGCATACATGTGTGAGAGTGTGAGAGAGAGCCCCCAGCAGGTCAAATGGTGGACACAGTCATCTGTTGGCTTCCTCGGCTCTGCTGGCCAGGAATCAAGTCCTTACCTGGAGAGCAGGATTCCACTGGCCTCACCCAGGTATTTAGGCTGTAATGTATAACAGGGCATGCATGATGTCCCCGACTGCCACTGAAATGGATCCACAGGCCAAAGGGAAATGCATGAACTACTTTAGCTGTCCGGGAATCCAGCGTAATGAACATCCAAAGGTGTTTTATTCCTAGCTCACTAATTCTTTATTCCTAGCTCACTAATTTTTTTCTTACATTAATTCTTGGGTGGGAATGTTTCCATAATTTCAGGTCCGAGGAAAGGGCTAAGTCTGTCTGTCAGCAAAGGGCTCAAAGTTTCGTAGATCTGAGCCAGGCACAGTGGCTCACACCTGTAATCCTAGTGCTTTGGGAGTCTGAGACTGGAGGATCACTTGAGCCCAGAAGTTTGAGGCTGCAATGAAGTATGATCATGCCACAGCACTCCAGCCTGGGATAACAAAGCAAGACTCTATCAGCAAAAAAAAAAAAAAAAAAGATTGGAACCATTTGGTATTTTCATGACATGTTCACTTCTGCTTATTAAACCATGTCAAGGCAGATGGGCAAGGATAATTTTGAGACTTGACAACATGGGTGGTGAGATATGAGGGGCATGGTGGCAGAAAGAGCCCTAGTTGATGAGTCCAAAAATCCAGCTTCCCTTTTCCAGCTGTTGCTAGCTCTTGGTGTGACCCAGACAGAGTCACTTCACCCACTGATATGGTTTGGCTGTGTCCCCACCCAAATCTCATCTTGAATTGTAGCTCCCATAATTCCTACATGTTGTGGGAGGGACCCCGTGGGAGATAATTGAATCACGGGGACAGTTTCCCCCATACTGTTCTTGTGGTAGCGAATAAGTCACATGAGATCTGATGGCTTTATAAGGGGAAACACCTTTCACTTTGCTCTCATCTTCTCTCATCTGCCGCCATGTAAGACATGCCTTTACCTTCCACTATGATTGTGAGGCCTCCCCAGCCACGTGGAACTGTGAGTCTATTAAACCCCTTTTTCTTTATAAATTACCCAGTCTCAGGTATGTCTTTATCAGCAGTGTGAAAACATTAATACACCCACTTTGGGTCCTGGTTTTTGTAGCAGACGTTATCAGTGCCCCATGAATATCCCCTGTGTTTCTCAACCCAGGCACTATTGACACCAGGGGCTGGATAATCCTTTGTTGTGGCCCTTTCTTGTAAACTGGAGGATATTTAGCAGCATCTGTGGCCTCCAGATGCCAGCCAGACCCCTGTCCTTGCCATGTCCTCAACTTAGCTCCATGGCAAGGCTAAAACTACTTGAGTGCAATTGAGTGCTATCACCCTCTCAATGCATGGCCAGAGCCAAGCTCAGCAAGGGTTTGTTCACTCACCAATTGCCTGACCAGGGACAGCAAAGCAACAGGGGCAGGGAGTATCTGACCCAGTGACCCAGGGGAGCACCCAGTGGGTATAGCAAAGTGGAGAATGGAAACCAACACTTACTGAGAATTAAACTTACATTAGGCACATAACATATATTATCCAACTTCATCCTCAGGATAACTTTTTGGGACCTCTGTTTATAATCTCATCTGACAGACAGGGAGTAGTGACTCAGAGATATTAAGCAATTACCCAAGGTCACACAGATAGTAAGGCACTGAGCTGGGATTTGAACATTCATCTGTCTGGCTTCAAGATCCATGTTTGTTCAACTATGCCACCAATCGGTCTCAGAAAATCTGTACTTGTGATTGTGTGATATAAGTCAATGTGAGGTTAAGATTTATCAAGCTAAAGATAATTTCAAAGTCATCTAATCCAGCTACTCATTTTTACTGTTAGTAAACTGAAGCCCACAGCAGAAAAATGACTTGCCCAAGGTTGCGGCAGAGCCAAGACAAGCCCCTGGCTCTGGGTGACAGCATGGCCCAACCCCTTTCCTCTGTACCATTCTCCAGGGACAAGAAAGCTCCTGGGCTTGGGAAATCAGGGAAGCTCATCCAGAAGGGAAGAACTCTGGCCTAGTTAGAGAAGGGAAGGGAAGGGAATTTTCCAGGATATAAACTTTGTTGGGGCACAGAGAACAATACGACAACGCATGACTTTTTGGCATGCTGAGCACTTTGAAGTAAGAAAAATTGGAAGGCCTTAATAGCTGCTTAACTTTCTAACCTTCTCTTGTTTCTCTTCCCACAACCCCAGTGCAGAGGGAGGCTGTTTCTGAAATTTTCTTATCTGACTAAGGAAACTTATTTCCAAAAGAAATGCAATTGTCTTAAGACCCCCTCCTCAGGAATCTCATCAAATAACCAGGAAAGGTTAACCACTGGAGAAGAAACTAAAAGTCATCACCATGCCCAAACAGGATTTTTATCTATTCTTCTGAGGGCACCTCCAAAAGTCTACCTGGGAGCCTTTATCTGCATGATAAGATAATCTTTGCTGACAGTGAAGACCTGCCCCCCACCTTCCTGTCACCTCCCTCAGAGCTCAGATGAACTTTGCCTTAGGCCATTGTCCTTTGGGCTCATCCATTTTCCTCTGAAAATCATTCACCATCCCTCACAATCTCCTATGTTCCCCCCATTTCTTTCTACCCTATCAAGAGGGTATTGAAGCCTCAAGCATCTGGGCCTTCTTTGAATCTCACATTTTCAGGACTGTCATGTTTACATATACGTAAATAAATTTTTAAGCCTTTTTCTCCTATTAATCTGTCTACTGTCAGTCATTTCAGCAAAACATCAGAGAAGACAGAAAGAAGCTTTCCTTCTGTCCCATGACTTCATGCCAGGTAATAAGCATATGCTATCTCATTTAACCTTCTCACAGGCTCTTTGGATTGCCCCTATTGTACAATTGGTACAATTGTAGGAAAAGATGTGAAGGTTTTTGAAATGGGAAAGAAGAAAGAGAGAAAGAAAGAAAGAGAGAGAGAGAGAAAGAAAGAAAGAAAAAGAAAGAAAGAAAGAAAAGAATAAAGAAAGAGGAAAGAAGAGGGGCGGGAGGGAGGGAGGGAAGGAAGGAAGGAAAGAAGGAAGGAAGGAAGGAAGGAAAAGGCAGGAAGGAAAGAAAGAAGAGAGAGAAAAAGAAAGAAAAGAGAGAAAGAGAAAGAAAGAAGAGAGAAAGAGAAAGAAAGAAGAGAGAAAGAAAGGAAGGAAGGAAGGAAGGAAAGGACTTTTCTGGGTTATCTGTGCCTTTTTGTCTTTGAGCCATTTTACAACTCTATACATTGTAGAAAACTAATGATAATACAAATGATCTTGTCCACAGAGAAGAAAATAAATGTTGTTTGTTGTAATGCAATTGATTATCATCCTAAGGATACTGGCCAATTTTGCAATTATTTATGGATTCATTTCAAATTTCCTATATGTGTGTATGTGTGCTCTTTTGAATTCTCCTTTGGACTAGTTTTTAACATGTTACTGGTTCCTGCATTAATTAGTGAGTTAAATAAAATCTTTTTAACACTTATTCATCTTTGTATTAAAGTGACTTCTTTACCATATTAGACTATTCTCACGCTGCTGTAAAGGACTGCCTGAAACTATAAAGGTAATTTACAAAGGAAAGAAGTTTGATTGACTCACAGTTCTACATGGCTGGGGAGGCCTCAGGAAACTTACAATCATGGTGGAAGGGGAAGCAAGCACATCTTTCTTCACATGGCAGCAGCAAGGAGAAGTGCTGAGCAAAGGGGAGAAAAGTTCCTTATAAAACCATCAGATCTCATGAGAACTAACTCATTATCATGAGAAGAGGATGGGAGAAACCGCCCCCATGATTCAATTATCTCCACGTGGTCCCTCCCACAACATGTGGGGATTATGGGAACTATAATCAAGATGGGGTTTGGGTGCAGACACAATTATCCTTTAACATAGATGTCAAAACTTAAAATTTAAGCCAGGTGCAGTGGCTCATGCCTATACTCCAAGCTACTCAAGAAGCTGAGGCAAAAGGATTCCTTGAGCTCCAGAGTTTGAGGTCAACCTGGACAACATAGCGAGACTCCCTTAAAAAAAAAAAAAAAACCTTAGTATTTAAGTACCTTGCCCAGAGTCATAGCTTGTAAAAGCTACAGACTAAGTCCAAACCTCCTGTTCTTTCTGCTATCTGCTCCCATACCCAGCTTTACAGCTTTCCTTCTTATAGCCTCTGATTTGCAAGAGTTATGGCTGTGTGGTCATAACTCACTAATTAGGGAAGGAACCAGTAAGGTGTTAAAAGCTAGTTCAAAGGAGAATTTAAAACAGTCTTGGTTTCCTCAGTTTTCAACTGAGGACTCAAAGCTTAACCCTGCTTAGCTCAGTTATTCATGTAGAGTCCTGTATATGGACATATTTTGAGAAGAGTGAAAACCCCATGCATGAATAAGTGTATTATGATAAGGGAGGCCCACGGGGCTGTGGACTTGGAATTAGAAGATCTGAGGCCAAATTCTGGCTCCACCACTTAGCAGCCCTGTGACCTTCATGAAATCACTCAATCCTGTCTTGGACCCTCAGTCTCCTTTTGCTGTCAAACAGGGACCCCATCTGACAGTTATGCTGCCAATATCCCAGAGATATTTTAAGGACGGAGCAAGATAATGGATGTGCAAGTGCATTATAGACTGTAGAGCGCAATAGTGAGGTTAAGCATTAGTGTGATTTTTACTGTTGTTAATGTCCTCGCTCCAACTGCTGCAGAGGGGAGGGGTGAGGAAGTTTGAATGCAGGAGCACCTGGACCCTCTCCCTGTGGCCTACGTCTCTGGGGACAAACCAGGGCTGCTAAGAACAGGGGCTCCCACCTTGAGCTCCCTGCCCCTCACCCTTCTCTCCACAGCCCTCAGCCAAGCCAGCCGCAGTGGTCAAGTCCACCTTCATCTGGAGGTGTTTTCCCAATGAAACCTGGGCCAGGGATACATTTTCGCAGGTCCCGCAGACACTGCTAAGCCAGTACAGATGTTCCATGAGAAGACCATTCACAAAACCCTCACATCAGCTCATCCGTGCTTCCCAGTTACTCATAGCTGCATGATTTCCAAGCCCTGTCCACCTGGATATTTTCCTAAGATGACTTTTCCAGGTGTGAGCTCACTCAAGCCCAGCCAGCTGGGCAAGTGTGGAGTTCCTACCCAGTGCTGGTAAGAACAGTGGGAGGAGGCCTGGCCTCCCACCCTCACCCTCCATCAGGAGACAGCATCACAGAACTTCAGGGGCAAAGACAGGCAGAGGTGATCAAGGCCAAAGGACTCCAGCTCCAGCTGCTAGGTATCAAAATTACCTGCGGGAGCTTTCAAAAATTCAGATTAGGTCAGGCACGGTGACTCATGTCTGTAACCCAGCTCTCTGAGAGGCCAAGGTGGACGGATCACTTGAGGTCAGGAGTTCATGATCAGCCTGGCTAACATGGTGAAACCCCGTCTCTACTAAAAATACAAAAATTAGTTAGGTGTGGTGGTGCATGCCTGTAATTCCAGCTACTCGGGAGGCTGAGGCAGGAGAATCGCTTGAAACTGGGAGGTGGAGGTTGCAGTGAGCCGAGATCGCGCCACTGCACTCCAGCCTGGGCAAAAGAGTAAGACTCTGTCTCAAAAACAAAAACAAAAACAGAAAAAAACACAATCAGATTAGAGAGCCCACACCCTCTAAGTCAGAATGTGAAATGGTGAGGCCAATAAGATTTATTTTTCAAATCTTCCCAAGGCTTCTAGTGCCCAGCAGACTGGTTTGCAAACCAGTCTTCTAAAGCAATCTTCTTTCTATCATTAAGGAGCCCATGACACAGAGGTGTTAAGTTCAAGGTCTCTTGGGTCAGCTTTTGGATCCACTGTTCCAAAGGGACAGGTTCTTAGGGGGCTGGCATTTTCTTGGAGTGAAGCAGGAGCTGCTGCAGGGGCTGAGAAAGCAGGAAGGAGCTCTTTGCTGCATTCCAGAGCAGATCTGGCTGTGAATAAACGAGAAAGAGCTTTAGTGTAAGCTGGGCTGAATGGATAATTAAACAGATAGCAAAATGGAATGCAGTTGCACACACCTCCCGGGAGCTGGCTGGGGGGAGATAATATGCCTTCCTGTCGTCAGAAGGCACAGGAGGAAAAACAACTGGGCCTGGCCGTTGGCCATTTAACAATATTGCTTTTGTAAACAAGTTGAAAAATCCAATAACTGTAAAACTTATGGCATGTCCTTAAAAGCCTGTTGCTGTTTTCCCTATAAATGGATGAGCGTTTCCGACTGAAGGTGTTCTAATTAAACAGTCCGCATCCCCAAGGACTGCGAGGTCATCCTAGGGAAGGAGGGTCTGATCCCTCCTCTTGGCGTCAGGACCACAGGTGGGGGTGGCGAGCTCGGGGTGCAGCCAGGCAGTGTTTTGTTTGTTTTGTTAGTCACTGTGCTGGATTGTAGCTGAACAGCTCTCTTCCTTCCTGTTGTCTACAAGGACTCCAAAGAGCAATCCAGCACAAACTCAAAGAAACAAACTCTTAGGATAGAAGCACGGCAGTGAGTGCCCACCAAAGAGGCAGCCCTTCAGGCTGGGAAGAGAGAGAAGTCTGGATCCGTTCATCAGGAAACACTTTGGTGGTGCAAGCAACAGAAAGGTAGAAAGTCTAGTTCTAGGCCTAGAGGAGCTCACAGTCCTGATGGGAAGAGAATGCACTCACACATGCACACTCACGCACACTCTCACACATACACACTCATGCACATGCTCACATGCTCACACTCACACATGCACTCATGCACATGCTCGCACATGCTCACACACACATGCACAGGCTCACAAACTCACATGCACACTCATGCACTCGCTCACACATGCTCACACTTGCACACATGCACAGGCTCACATACACATGCACACTCATGCGCATGCTCACACATGCATATGCTCACATACTCACACATGCACACTCATGCACACGCTCACACACGCTCACACACATGCATATGCTCACACATGCTCACACACATGCATTCACACACATGGTCACACACACCCACATGCATTCACACACACGGTCACACACACCCACATGCACACTCATGTACATGGTCACACACACTCATGCAGGCACACACACGCTCACATACAGTCACACACATGCACAGGATCACACATGCTCCCACTCACACACACTCATGTTCTCTCACACACTCACATGTTCACTCACACACACTCATGCTCACACACACACTCACACTCATACACACACACATCCTAAAAAAGGAATCAAAGGGAAGGAGCCCAGCACTGGTAAGTGGAACCGATAGGTGGTGGTGGGCAGGGGGCAGTGCTCCGGAGCTGGGGGTCTTTGTAAAGGAATCACAGAAAGGGCTGGGTGGGATTCCAAAAGCCACTTGGTGCAAAAGTCAGCTCTCACTTTCTTCCTCCCCTTTTCTCATCTACGTGGAGTGCGGCCACACTTCACAGGTAATGGGCACAGTCCTCTGCAAGACTGTCCTCACTCCAGACATCAGCTGCAAGCTCACGGGTTCCCCAGGCCACCCGCCCTCTAACCAGTTGGCTACAAATTTAGGAGTTCCCATGATCACCCTCAGGTTTGATAATTTGCTAGAAAGACTCACAGGACTCAGAAAGGCACTATATTTAAGATTATAATTTTTTAAACTGTAGTAACATACACATAGCATAAAATTTACCATCTTAGCCATTTTTCGGTGTCCAGTTCAGCAGTGCTAAGCACACTGGCATTGCTGTGCAGCTAATCGTGGGAATGCTTGTCACCTTCCAAAATCGAAACTCTGTACCCATCAAACAACCATTCCCCATCCCTCCTTCCAGCTCCTGGCAACCACCCTGGAACTGTTTCAGTGTCCATAAATTTGACCCCCTAGGTGCCTTGTATAAGTGGAATCCTACAGCATTTGTCTTTTTGGCCATTATAGTTTTATTATAGCAGAAGGTTACAAATCAGAGCCAACCAGAGAGAGAGAGACATGTATGCAAGGTATGGGTGGATTTCAAATGCAAAGCCCCCACTACCCTCAGGGACACATCACCCTCTCAGCTTTGAATGTGGCCAACTCAGAGGACTGCCAACCAGGGCAGCTCACCCAAGCTTCAGTGTCCAGAGTTTTTATTGGAGTTTCATATAGCCATAATTGATGCAATTATTGCCCACATGATGGAATTCAATCTCCAACCCACCTCCCCTCCCCAGAGGTCAGGCTGATGTACTATGACTCAAAGCCCCAGCTCTCTAATGCCATGACTGCTTTTCCTGACATAGACAGTCCTTATCCTGAATTATCTTGTTAGTGTAAATGATGGAGGGGCCCACCTTGAGTCACCTCATCAGCAGAAGCTACTAAGTGTAGTCTAAGAGGCTCACAGTGAATAGAAACAATGGGGCCCTATAACCCTCAAGGGGGGATCAGGGATGTTTTTCTAACAGCTCATAGGCCCTACTGCCTTGGTCGAAGGGTGACCCCCAAATATATTCCCACATCCAGGAACCTGTGAATGTGAGTTTATTTGGAACAAAAGGTCTTTTCAGATGTAATTAAGTTGAGGATCATGCACACACTCACACATACTCACACTAGCACACATGCACAGGCTGACATGCTCACACACACACATGCACTCATGTACATGCTCGCACATGCTCACACTCACACATGCACAGGCTCACACACTCTCACATGCACACTCATGCACACGCTCACACATGCTCTCACACACACACGCACAGACTCACATGCTCACACCATGGGAAGACAGAGGCAGAGACAGGAGTGATGCTGCCAAAAGCCAAGATGCCCGGGGCCACCAGAAGCTGGCGGAGTGAAGGAAGGATTCTCCCCTAGAGCCTTCAGAGGGATCCCAGCCCTGCTGGCCTTGATTTGGGTCTTCTGGCCTCCGGAACTGTGAGGGAATTGATTTCTGTTGCTTTCAGCCACCCAGTTTGTGGCGATTTGTTACAGCAGCCACAGGAAATGAACACAGAGAGCCTAAATGATACCCCTCACAGGCCATGGCCTCCCCTCAAGACAGACCGAAAGAGGGACTAAAGGGACACTGAGGCAGGCACCCAGGCAGAAGGGATATGAGAGGCTGGGGCAGATGGTGGCAGTGGGGCCCACAGGCTTCTCCATCTTCTCCTTGGCAAGAGAAGCCCCCGGCCTCTGTTGCCCACTCTCCTCTGCACAGCCATCTGCTGTGGGAAGAGCTCCATTCTGGTTAGTGAAAGCCATTCATGGTAAACCTGCCTCCTTTGCCAGTGACAAGTTAAGGGGTGGGCATGTGTCCTGGCCAGTAAAATGTGAGAGGAAAGATTTCCTGGTTTTTACAAAGGGGTGTCAGGGAGGAGACAGTTCCTACTCTCTTGGACCTGTCAGGGTGGATGGAGCCACAGCACCCACCTTGTGACCATGAGGGCAGAAAGCTGGCTCACTGAGGAGGGCCAAGGGCAAAACAGGAAAGAACCTGACTCCCTGATGATATTGTCCAGCCCCTGATTCACCAGCCCCGCCCCCTGGGCTTCTTATAGTGGTGATAATTAATTCCTTCTTTTGGGGCCTTTTGGGTCAGACTTTTCTGCTACTTGTGGCCAAAGCACTTTTACTCAATGGTTTTCAAACATTTTTAAATCAAATCTCATTGTGAAAATATTTTACATTGGAATCCAGATCCATACAGAGAACTGAAACAAATAATTCACAAAATAGTGTGTACAACACATTCGGATATTTTCTATCCTTTTTTTTTTTCCTTTTTTAAGTTACTGGTCACAACCTAGCATTTATTGATTGATTTCATGATCCATCAGTGGTCATGACACACAACTGGAAAAGCACTATCTGAAAAAAAAAAAAAAAAAAGAAAGAAAGAAAAAAGAAATATTCACCAAGGAGAGAGAAAAGTAAGTTGCCCCAGTGGAGGCAAAATCATACGGATCCTGCCCCAGACACCAAGATGGTGTCTTGGGGCACCGGTTGGGCACAAAGAAAGACAGGTGTGGAGAGGGACACAGCGGGTGAGTCAGAGAAACAGTGAGACAGAGATGGAGGAAGAGCCCCGCTCAGCCGCAGCTGCACACCCACAGATGCTGGCATGGTCCCCCGAGAAGGGCAGAGTGGGAGGCAGGCAGAATCAAGTGGAAAACACAGAAGACCCGGGTTGGGAAGGAAGAGACAAACAGATACAGGAAATTAAAAGTGAGATGCAGAGACAGAAGTGCAAGCAAGCTGGAAAGTGGAGATTCTAAGGCTGAGACCCAAAGGAGACACACCCCAGACTAAGCCAGAGCATGAGGGGCCTGTGCACCGGCCAGAGTCTTAGTGACCAGAGTCCAGCTGCAGGGCTGGGCTCAGCCACTGATGAGCCTGTGGCCTTGGTCAAGTCACTTCACCTTTCAGCCTCTGCTTCCTTCTCTGGGAAACCCAGCTAGCAGTCCTTCCTTCACACGAGTGTGGAGAAAGTCAGCCTGCAAGGCGAGCACCAGGACTTGACAGTCTCTAAAGGATGGACGGATGTCCGTCCGGAAGGGCAGTCCACGCAGACCCCCGCCCTTGGCCGGACAGAGAGTCTTTCGCTGCCACCCACCCACGGCGTCCCCAGTGTCCCTCTCCCGACAGTCCCCTCCCCCACTTCTCTGCCCATAGGAGGGAAACCCATTTCCCTGGGAACAGCTGTGTTTCCTCAACAAACAAATGTTCTCTTAAAACGTTTTTGAGGAAGAGCGGATGGTAATGAGCAGACATCTGGCCGAGCGGCACACTTTCGTTTTTGGCAGCTCCGGAGCCCGCCAAGTGACTATTCCCTAATGTTCACCACATCCCAGCCCCTGCTATTCCCAATCAGGCTTGTACCACTACGCCTCAATTAAGAGCAGATGTGGGGCTGAGCGAACAAGGAGGAAAAAACACCCTTCCCCAGCGTCCCTCTGCACTGCTCAAAATCCAAGGAAGTGGTCTGAGAACTCGCAGCGGCTCCAGCTTCTGCCTTTCTAATTCATCCATCCATCCATCTGTCCATCTGTCCGTCCGTCTATCCATCCGGCTGCCCCTGCCATGGCCTTTGGGGATACAGATCTGAACGACAGATCCTTTCCCCCTGTCTCCTCGACAGACATTCTTCTTCCCTATAATACAGGCATTGGCAAACAGGCTCTAGGAAGGGCCAGATAAAAAATATCTGGCTTGGCAGCCCACATGGTCTTTGTCACGTCTTCAACTCCACTGTTGCAGTGTGAAAGCAGCCACGGACAATACATAAACAGATGAGCATAGCTGTGTTCCAATAAAACCTTACTTGCCAAAATGGTGGCAGGCTGGATTTAGCCCATGGGTCATCATCTGCTGACCCCTGCTATATGACAACATCTGAAGTTGAGGTAGTCACATCTTGGTGTATCTGCTTTAACTGTCCCTCACCTGCTGCACTGCATGAGCCCTACTACCTCCTCCCCACCCCACTCTCGTGGACTCAATTGATTGGCCCACCCTGGGAAGACACAGGTGGTGATACCTGACCCAAGTTGGGCTACTCAGAGTCTTTCCCCAGGCTAAGGAATTGGACCAAGTGGGTCAGTTGGGTCTGGAGCTAATTTACACTGGGAACCCAGGGACCACCATCTTCTTCCTGCCTCCTAGACAGAGATGCAGAGAAAAATGGGCTGTAGACAGTGCAAAACTGCTTTGGTCTGAATATTTGCCTGTCCCCTAAATTCATGTGTTGAAACCCTCACCCGCAAAGTGATGGTTTCAGGAGGTGGGGCCCGTGGCTAGATCATGAGGGTGGAGCCTTTATAAATGGGATTAGTGCCCTTATAAAGAGACCCCAGAAAGACCCTTGCGCCTTTCATCATGTGAAAATACAGTGAGAAGGTGCCATCTCTGAACCAGAAAGCAGGCCATCATCACCAGATACATAATCTGCCAGCAGCTTGGTCTTGGACTTCCCAGCCTCCAGAACCATGAGAAATAGATCTCTGTTGCTTATAAGCCACCCAGTTTATGGCATTTTGTTATAGCAGCCCCAAGGTTCTAAGACAGGAATGAAATAACCCATGTGGAGAGAGGCTGCCTGGCATCCTAATGCCCTTTCAGACTGTCCCCATCCTGTCCTGAGCCCTGCCTACATTCTGGCCCTGTGTTCCCCAAAGCCCTCTGGATCCTTCTTAAAGAGTCTGCTTTTCTGTTTATACTGGCTTAAGTTGGTGCTTGCTTCAATTAACCAAGCAAGGCTTTCTGAACCACTTTCTGCCTATTCATTCCATTCATACAATTAATTGGCTTTTGTGCCAGGGCTTGCCCTGCAGTAGATACCAATGCAAGTAAGATATGTCCTTGCCCTCCAGCAGCAGATAGGTAACAAAATAGGGGAGCTGGACTTCCGTATTCCTCACTCCTACACAACCCACAATGTACTGATAAGGAGTGCACCAACTGCCAAGGAGGAAGGGGTATGAAGTAGGAGGTAGGGGAAATCTGAGAGCCTTGGCAGAGGAGGGACCATTTGTAGGCCTTGGAAAGTGAGTTGACTTCAGGCAGAAAAATAAAGGGGAGGGGGTGGTGCTTGAGTATAGAGCAACATATTCCAAATTAGGTTCACAGAACACTAATCCCAGAAGGGGTTTTGTGGTATCCATCCTCCCCTTCTTTCTTACGCATAGACCTCAGATTCCATTCAACTGATAATGTACTCCTTAGAAATACTCACTCTCCCAGGCTCCTTTGCAGCTAGAGTGATCAAGTGACATACTTCTGGCCAATGAGATGTAAGCAGAAGTCAGCTGGAGGATGCTTCCAGGATATAAAGGTTCAAACTCACCTTTGCACCTTGCCTTCTCCTTCTTCCTGCCTGGAATGTAGCTGTGGTGCCTGAAAGGGCTGTGGTCGTTTTGCAACCATCAGGATGAAAGCTACATGTTAAGGAGGGCAGAGCAGGAAGCTGGAAGAGTCTGGTTTCCCAGTACCATGACTGAGCCACCACATCAGCCCTGGACTGCTTATTTCTGTACTGGTTCCTGGCCACTACTGAGGGAGGTGGTTCTCTTATTTGCAACTCAACACATTTCTAACCAATGCAATGTTTAATGATAAAAGAGTTCTAAGGACCAAATCAGTTTGTGTATACCAATTTCCACTGCCAGAGATTCATGAAATAGATTATTACAGGTTCTGAGAAACCTTAACATGAAGATCACTGTCTAACCCAATGTTTCCCAAAATGTTTGTTCACCAACACCTCCACTGCCAGGATGCCAATGGGCATGACATGGAACACACTTCAGGAAACAAGCTATAGAGAAAGGAGTATGGGCTTCTGAGTCAAGAAAGATCTGGGTTATAATGCTGTGTGGCTTCAGGCATCTCACATAACCTCTCTGAGCCTGAGGTTCCTACTCCATAAAATGAGGGAGGGACATTACAGGTTACAGGTAATCCAGGTAAAGTGCTCGGCACTGTCTGTGGCTCCTAGTCAGTCGTCAACGATTCTTATTAGCTGCTAGGATCATGTTTTGGAAGGAAGATAGCATCAGAGACAGAAGACCCTGGTTTGAGTGATGGTTTGCCACTTCCTTTCTCTGTGACCCTGGGCCAGTGACTGCACTTCTCCGAACCTCCGTGTTCTGAATGGCAGAGGAGGAATTATAATGTCTACTTGGGCAAGAGGAGATATGTGGAAAAGCCTGGCCCTGGGAGGACATTCCCCTAGTGCAGGAGCCCAGAGCTCTGCCACCAGACCCTGCCTCCAGTCCCTGCAGGCCACCCCTCTGCCCCAAAAAAGGCTACAACATTTGGCTTCTGCCTTTTCATTTGTAAGGCGTCTGCCTCGCCTCCCTGCCCACTTGTCTATCTTCCCTCAGGGATCGCCACTGAACCCTCCTGGTTGCTCCCCAGTGCAGAGCCTCCACTTCAGCCAGCTCTGTCTCCTCAACAGTCACACCTGCAGTGCCCAGTGCAGCCTCCCAGCCTTGGCTCAGGCCAGGGTCCCCTCCAGCCCTCCCAGGCAGCCACATTAAGAGGCTCAAACAAAAGCACAGGTGCGTGGCCTGAAGACCCAGACTGCATCTTCACGCTGTGTGCGAGGCCTTGGGGAAATGGCTTCCCCTCTGAGCCTCAGTTTCCTCCTCTATAAAAAGAAGGGGTTGCAACAAATAGAATTGAAAATGAAGATGATGAGACTTGCTTCACAGAGTTATGAGGAAGATTAAATGAGGAAAAAAAGCATATCTATACGTGCATTGATGATAACATATAATATTCATTGGTTACTATTATTTACATTTTATTTTATCAGCCTTACTTTTGAGGCCTTTCACTCTCCTTAGTTATCCTCTCCCCTCTTCAGAGTGAGCTTGACTTTTTATTTGACATGTGCTGAGTGTTCACTGTGTGCTGGGTACACTGTTTGTATTATCTTATTTCATCTTCCCCCAAATTCTATGAGGTAAATCTTCTGTTTATTCCTATGTTCCAGTTAAGGAAACAAGCTCGGAGAGGCTAAGTCATTGGCTTGGGTCAGATGGCATATATATAGCAGATCTGAGGCTCGAATCCAGGTATTCTGGTGTTAAAGCTTATGCTTCTAACTACAGCACTATCCTGCTTCCCTACTGGCTGTCAAAACCTGTCTATCAATCCTGACTCCAGGCAAATGAGGCAGATATTAACTTGCTCTTCTGTCTCAGGAACAGATCTCATGCCATGTTAGTCATTGACATGTTAGTGTGAACTGAAACCTACTTTCTGAAGTTCTTTTCTGACTCATCACAGGCAGAGGTCCCTGCTGCCTCCTTTGTGCCCCCAAATGTCATGTAATTCCCCAGCATAGCCTTGCCGTGCTGCATGGGACTGGTACCTGTCTGTCCCTCTGAACTGAATTTGTGGATTGGTCAAGGATTATATGTATTCATCTCAGTGTCCCCAGTGACCAACACAGCACCTGCCACTAAGCAGACACCCAATTAAATCTGAAGAATGAACAAATGAAGTGAGTTAATCATACCTCCTAATGAAAGCCATATGCATACGTGAATCTTGAGGCAGTTTTCATTTTAGTGAAATGACAGTGATATGTACTTAGAGTCAGGGCTGGTCCTACCAGGAAGGGGCTATAAATTAGGGAGCCCCCAAAGTTCCCTTCTATTCCCAGAAACGCTCCCTCACCTCATTGCTGCTCACTGTTCTAGCTTTCCTTTCACTGTGGGCAGACTTTCCTTCCCCTGGAAAGCCCTCTCCCTTCCTTTAAACTTCTGTTCAAGTCCCACCTCCTTCCAGAAGTCCTCCACCCAAATCCTGATCCATCCCCCTTGTCTCTGAACTCCCGGATTCGACTGCAGCTCATTTTGTAGCCAGACACTAACAGAAACTAACCATGTATTAAACAGGGAACACATCGGAAGGCTCTTGAGCAGCACTCAGAGCTGACGCGAAGGCGGGAGACCCAGGCATAGGAAGTGCACAGGGGTGAGGGAAGCCAGGCGTTCCGTCCCCAGCTGGATCCACACTGCAGGGATTACCTGGTGAGGTTGCCAGCACTGGCCCTGGGCCTTGCTGCGAGGATGAGTACAGAACTGCCCTTACTTCTTCTCATCACTCACTTATAATCCGCCTCCAGCTTGGAAGAAGCAAAGGGGCCAAGCTTAGATCAGATGTCCACGTCCTCGGCGCAGCAAGGTGGGGCTATGTTCTGTACTGGGCCACACGCCAGGGTGTGTTGCACGAATGCAGCAAGGGCTTGGGACCACTGCTGTCCAACCCTCTGGCTGCCCAGCCTTCATGCCCATCCCTCTGCTGTTCTCATGGTTTGCCGGGGCATGAGAAGTGAGCACATGCAAGAGCTTTTTAGGAGGCAAACTCAGCAAGGCTTGCAGATGAATTGGATATGGGATGAGGGGAAGTACGAAAGCTGCCCGCTGGGTTTCTGGCCTGCAGAGCTAAGGGGATGGAGATGTCATCAGAGGTGGGACCACTCAAAGAGGACTTAGTGTTGGAAACAGGTCAATAGCTCACTCTCCGTACACCCCCTCCAAAGCTCCCAGACTCACCTCTTCACCCAGAACAGTTTCTCCTGGCTGTGCTCCATGCTGTCCTCTGGCCACACCTCTTTACCAGGCCGCTATTTCCCATTTTTGGTTCCCTTTTCCTCAGCAAGGTCTCTCTAGCTTCAGCCATTGGTGCTTTTTCTTTCTTTAGCAATATATAGCCTGTAATCCCAGCACTTTGGGAGGCCAGGGCAGGTGGATCACTTGAGTCCAGGAGTTCAAGACCAGCATGGGCAACCTGGCGAAATCCCACCTCTACAACAACAACAACAAAAAATTAGCCAGGCATGGTGGTGTGAGCCTGTAATCCCAGCTGTTTGGTGAGGCTGAGGTAGGAGGATCGCTTGAGCCTGGGAGGTCAAGGCTGCAGTGAGCCAAGATCGCACCACTGCATTCCAGCCTGGGTAACAGAGCGAGACCACGTCCCAAACAAACAAGCAAACAAAAAACAATACATATAGGCCGGGCACAGTGGCTCACACCTGTAATTCCAGAGCTTTGGGAGGCTGAGGTGGGAGGATTGCTTGAAGCCAGGGGTTGGAGGTTGCAGTGAGTTGCAATCGTGCCACTGCACTCCAGCCTGGGCAACAGAGTGATACTGTCTCAAAAAAAAAAAAAAAAAAAAAAGTCCAGGCATGGTGGTGCAAGCCTGTAATCCCAGCACTTTGGGAGGCCCAGGCAGGTGGATCATGCGGTCAGGAGTTCGAGAGCAGCCTGGACAACATGGTGAAACCCTGTCTCTACTAAAAATACAAAAAGCTGGGCACAGTGGTGCGTGCCTGTAATCCCAGCTACTTGGGAGGCTGAGGGAGGAGAATCACTTGAACCCGGGAGGTAGAGGTTGCAGTGAGCCGAGATTGTGCCACTGCACTCCAGCCTGGGCAACAGAGCAAGACTCCATCTCTGGGAAAAAAAAAAATCCCACATTGTACTTTATTGCGTGTCTACCATGCGCCTGGCACTGTGCTGGGGGCTGAACTCACCTCCCACCCATCCTGCTTATGGGCTGGTGAGGCAGGCGCGAGCTTGCTCATCACAGGCAGAAACTCAGGTCCAAAGCTTAGAAAGAAACTCACCCAAAGGTTCACAGCCAGCCCACAGCAGGGGCCGGACTCAGCCTCACATCTTTGTCCCTTGTCCCAACACAGCCCATCCCACTTGGGGCTGCCTCTCTACAGGCCCTGGGAAGAGAAGCTTTTTCTAATTGGCTAATTCTGTGGAGAAAGTTGAAGGGGTGTTTGGCAGGTAGGGATTGGCGTGAGAGAGGGGTGATGGAGTTTGGCTTCATTCTGGGACCCCCAGGCCAGGCTTCCTTCTGGTGGTGCTTCCCCCGCAGGAAGAGAAAGCATGAGGTCACTTGCACAAAGCCCTCTCTGAAAGCAGCTGCCCAGGCTACCAGAGCCTGCTCTAGAGACAGGCGCCTGAACCCCCAGCAGGGCCAGCTCTGGGGGGCAGGGAAAGGGCCCTGCTCTCCCTCTCTCATCCCCACATCTTAATGCCAGAGCAGGGGCCATAGGGAGAAAGGGGGACTCTGTAACCTGTACAGCATTGAGGGCCCCTTAGGATGGTCAGAGAGGAGAGGGGAGGATGGGGAGAGGAAACCAGAGAGGGATGGAAGTGGCTCCCCACCTCCCTGTCCTGTCTCCCTCCCTCCCTCCCTCTTCTTTCCCTTCAGAATGTAGGAGCCCAGGGCCCCCTGCGGGGTCACAGTGCTAAGCCACGCTACCTGGCTCCAGGCTGCGGCAGGGGGCCTGGTGGGGCTGGTTTGTGTCCATGTCCAGTGTGTGTCAGGGGCAGGGGCAGGGGCAGGGGCAGCTGCCAAGCTGTCTTCCCAACTGCAGCTTCCCCCAGAGCCCGCACCTGCCCTGAGAGACCTGACAGTTCCCTCGGGACACTGAAGAGCCTGAAGATGCAGCTGCTACCTTGATACGAAGCTCTCCCAGCCCACAGCGTCACCATGTGTTCTCTGTAAGTTATGTTTTAAGGTAAGACCTTCTATTTGGACTCAGTGATGTGTGTTAAGCACAAAGCAGCTGCCAGGCTCCCTGCACACACCCATTTGTGGAGTCTGCCAAGGAGGCCAGGGCTGGCGAAGGATTTTCCCTTGCAAAGGAGGACTCTGCACCCGGAGCAACAAGGCCAGGCCCCAGAGGCACTGTGCTGGGCCGGGTGTCACTTGGCACCTTTGCTCTCCCCTGAGGTTCAGAACTGCTTTTCCCAGAACCCCCCTCTCTGTAGGGTTCAAGTTGGCAAGATCTGCAAGGTGGAAGTGAAGTGCAGGGCTTGGGGCCAGGCCAGGGACATGCACAGAGCAGTCCCGGGGCCCTGGCTTGTCCCCGCCCCGGCAGCAAACAGCTCCTGTTTCTGACTGCTGACCCTACCACCCATCAACAACCCCCCGGCTACCACCAGGTGCCTCCACAGGGTCGCGGTCTTCCAGGACTCCTCACGAGCTCTCCCACCACAGCTCCAAAGGCCAGGGCCTGAAACCCAAAGAGGCCCAGGGAATGAGCAGCCGAGCTGGAGTACGGCGCAGGCAGGTCGTGGGGTGTAGTGGCCACAACACAGACAGACAAATCCCAGCCCCGTCACTTACCTGCCTGTAAGAGCTCAGCGGGGTCACGGCTCCCCATGGAGCCTCAGTTTCCCCATCTGAAAAATGCGGGTAATAGTCTCTGTCTACAGAGTGGATGTGAGGGTCTGAGATCCTGTCCCAAAGCACCTGGCCATGGAAGGTACCCCACTCAATGGCACACTTCACAATGACCTCCTGTCATAGAAACACTCATATTTCCTGTTTTCTAGAACATATGCCCTTTGCACATGAATGTACATTTAAAAAATAATAATGAAGAAAAATGAAACTTGAACTCCAAGTCTCTGCTGCGCCCCAAGCCCAGCTTCCTGAAAGCCTGCTCCCTCTCAGAGGAACTCATTGAGTTCCTACAGTTGGTCTGAAGCCTTCTTTACACTTGGGTCTAAGAAATGTCCCAGTCCTTCAGTTTTCTAAATCAAGCTCACCTGTATCCCCATGCCTTCCATCATACCCTCTTTACAAGGGCCAATTTCTTTCTTCTTCTTGGTTTTTTTTTTTTTTTTTTTTTTTTTGGAGACAAGTCTCACTCTGTCGCCCAGGCTGGAGTACAGTGGCATGATCTTGGCTCACTGCAACCTCCACCTCCCAGTTTCAAGTGATTCTCCTGCCTCAGCCTCCCAAGTAGCTGGGATTACAGGCGTCCACCACCATACCTGGCTAATTTTTGTGTTTTTAGTAGAGACGGGGTTTCACCATGTTGGCCAGGCTGATCTCGAACTCCTGACCTCAAGTGATCTGCCCGCCTCAGCCTCCCAAAGTGCTAGGGTTACAGGCGTGAGCCACCGCGCCCGGCCCACAAGGGCCAATTTCTAGAGCATTTCTGCAGCACTCTATATCCCCACCCCTTCTTCAGTCCTATAAGAAGTTGCTCATGGACATGGTGTCCCCGGACATGGGGCAGGGCCGAGCCCATAGCCCAGGCTGTGACATTGACGTTGATGCTGCCCCTTCCTCTGCAAATGTCTGCTACAGGACCTCTGGCCCCTGCAGCATGGAGCCAGCTACTGATATGCTCCAGTCTGCTGGCTATGCCCAGAGCCACCAAAGACCCCTGTCCAGTCCCCTGACCCCCACCACCAGCCCAACAAAGCCCTGCCAGCACTGGGAAGCAGGCACAGGACCCCATCTCTGGAACTCACAACCTCCTCATCTCCTCTCCCAGCAGAGCATCCAGAGCCACCATCTTCTTCCAGGTACTTTTTCACCCTCTCCCTGATCCTGAGGGCACCCTATCCCCCCAGGCCTGCCCGCACCCCAGGAAAAGCCAGATCCACCCTAAGATGACCAAATCTGGTGGCAGCCCCCAAAACACAAACGCTGTCACTCTTGCTCACCCCTCACCCACCTCTGCCCCACCCTAGCACTCAAAGGCTTGGATTTCCCTTTCCAAAAAGAGGGACTGAGATGCTGCTTTCATTTTCCTCCATCACAAAACTAAACTATGATCTTAAATATCTTTTTCAACAATTCACTTTGTAACCTACACGCTCAGGCCCCTGGGGCCCAGCTGCCTGCCCAAGATCCTGGAGTTTCAGAGAAAGAGCTGCTGCCCTGCTAGCTGGCCACCAAGTGCCCAGCCCCCAAAGGTGGACTTAGCTCCCCTCTCAGATCGGACTCACTCTCTGTGATTTGTTAACGGTGACACTAACATGAGTTTGCATTCATTGCTCTGACAAGGGTCATGTCCAAAGTGGAATGGGTGGGAATAAACGATTCAAAAATCCATTAGGAAGTGAGCCCACAGGTGGCAGAGTGACTGTGTGATTTCTCATTCACCCGGGATATCGTCTATACTTGGTAGGGTGACCGGATGATGTATTTTCTGAACAGAGACAGTTGTGAGCAAGAACGAGGGGTCATTAGTAATTACGCCGGGCAGCAGGTGTAAATCAGGCTTTCCCCAGGTGCCTCGGACATGTGGTCACCCATTAATTGGAAACTGGGACCCATTTTTTTCCTCTCATTAGCTCCCGTGAAAGTCTGGGCAAGTCTCATGGTTTCCAATGCAGAAATGAAGAAACGGAAGTTACAAGCAGGGAGGTGATGTGCCCAAGGCTGGGCAGAGGTTAGGGCCCTTCCCGCTGGGCTCCGTCCTCTGCAGCCCTTGTGGCTGGCCCAGCCCCTCATCACCGTGGCTCACAGCTTACTTCATGTCCAGAGAACCTACAAGGGGTATACCCCTCAGGGCAGTTCCCAGCGGCAGGGCCAGAAAGGGATTCTGGAACTCTGGAGGCTGAAGACACAGGTATCTTTATGATCTAGGTGAGGAGAAACCCTGGCCAGAGACAAGGGGTTGGATGAGATGACCTCTGAGGACATCTACAGCTGTAGAAGAGGAACCAGGTGTCAGACCCCACTTGGACCTTCGTGCTGCATTGTGCCTGAATAACCACACGAGGGCGCCCTCGCACCAACAAAGAAACATGCCTTCAAACGTTCTCCCAAAGCTAGAGCGAAGGCCCTTTCACTTTTTGTTACCTGTTAAGTTTTAATTATTTTTCATTTTGAAATAATGTCATACATGCAGAAAAGTTGTAAGTACAGTACAAGTAATTCTCCCCCTCTCCCCGAACCATTAAGAGTAACTTGCTGAAATCACTCCCCAGGTTCACCAAATTCTTTTTTTTTTTAGATGGAGTCTCGCTCTGTCGCCCAGGCTAGAGTGCAATGCCACAATCTTGGCTCACTGCAACCTCTGCCTCCTAGGTTCAAGTAATTCTCCTGCCTCAGCCTCCCAAGTAGCTGGGATTACAGGTGCCCACCACCACGCCCTGCTAATTTTTGTATTTTTAGTAGAGACAGGGTTTCACCATGTTGGACAGGCTGGTCTCAAACTCCTGACCCCAGGTGATCCACCCGCCTCGGTGTCCCAAAGTGCTGGGATTACAGACGTGAGCCACCACGCCTGGCCACCAAATTCTTTAGTGCCTGTTTCCTGTAAATAAAGTTATCTTCTAACTAACCTCTCTATAGCCACCAAAATCAGCAAATAAACAGTGAAGCATCACTGCCACGTAATCTCCAGGTGCCGCACTGTTTTGCCATTTTCCCCATGATGTTCTTTGTAGCAAAGAATGCAGGTCAGAATCATGCTTCTCGTAGTTGTCAAGTCCCCAGTCGGCTTCTGTTTACAACAGCTCCTTGGCATTTCCTTGACGTTCCCACCACCGCGCTATTGTGGGATGTCCCTCAGTCTGGGGTTGTCTGATGTTTCTCATGACTAGATTCAGGTCCTGCATCTCTGGCGGGAATTCCGCAGGGCTGTTCTGTGATGCTGTCTCTTTGCTGCAACCCACAGGCGGGGCAGGGTTTCCATGTGTTCCATTCCTGTTGATGTCCATCCCGATCACTCGATGAGGGTGGCATCTGCCAGACTTCTCCCTGAGACTTATTCTTTCGCTCTTTGTAATTGGTATGTATTTTCGTGGGAGGCCCTTTGATACTATGTAACTATCCTGTTCAATTTATTCCTTTATTTATTCATGCGAATATGGACTCATGGTTTCTTATTTTACTCAATGGATTAAAACCTGTTACCGACATTACATATTTTGGTGCTACCAATGGGAGCCCCTTTGGGGTGGTGCCTGTGCCCTTTTGACATGTCCCCATCATTCTGTGAGCACTTCCTTGCTTTCTGGCCCCACAAGATGCTCCAAACTCATCTTGCACTTTCTCTGCCCCAGTTCTGAATCAGTCGTTTCTCCAGGGAGTCCTGGTCTACAAGGCATTTCAGAGATCTTCAAGGGAAGCTCAGACCTAGACGCCGAAGTATCCAGAGAGGCGCCTGTGGGACCTCTGCACTTGCTGCCCAGGGCTGCCTCAGGACTCCGCTCCTTGTATTCTGGTGCAGTGCCCCTTGGCTGTCCCAGCAATGACTCAACCAGGCCCAGTGGCAGCTCGTGCTGCAGCTCTGAAAGGCACAGTAACCCTTGGAAGCAACCACATCATGCTGACTCTGCAGATGCATGGAGTGCATGAGCTGTGGGGCCCTGGAGGCCTCCATCTAGATTTCAGAAGATGTCATGTGATAGCCTGAGGGCCTAGATAGAAACCTGCCACAGGGGCAGAGCTGCCACAGCCACCACAGAAAGTCCCACTAGTGCAATGCCTACTGGAGCCATGAGGGTGGAGCCACTCCTGAGACCCAGAATGACAGAGCTACCAGTGTGCATCACATTCCCAGGAGGGCTGCAGGCACAAAACTCCAATCCATAGAGCCGCATTGTAGGCTGAGCCCAGCAAAGCATAAGAGTGGGGCTGCCCAAGGCCTTGGGGGCCCAACCCTACTCCAGTATGCTCAGAAGTTGGGACATGGAGTCAAAGATTATTTTCCACTTTAAGATTTAACATGCCCCTTGTTGGGTAGTGGACTTACCTGGGACCAGTTACCTCTCTTTTCTTGCCTATTTCTCCCTCTTGGAATGGCAATGTCTACCCTATGTCTGTCCTACCATTGTATTTTCGAAGCACATAACTTGTCTAATCTCATAGGCTCACAGCTGGAGAAGAACTTGTTTCAGAATTCATCATGCCTTTAGTTTTACCCATATCTGATTTAGATGAGACTCTGGACTTTTGGGGCTATTGTGATGGAATGAAATTTGTATGTGAGGACATGAATTTTGGAAGCCAGGGGCAGAATTCCGTGGTTTGAATGTGTCTCCCAAATTTCACGTGTTGGAAAGTTAATCCTCAGTGCAACAGTGTTAAGAGGTGAGACCTTTAAGAGGTGATTAGGCTGTGAGGGCTCTGTTGTCATGAATGGATTAATGTTGTTATCATGGGATTGGGTTTATTATCGTAGGAGTGGTATCCTTATTAAAAAATCAGCTCAGCCCCCTTCCTTCTCTTTCTCAAGCGCTCTCTCACCCGTGTGCTGCCTCCCACCATGTTATATCAAGGCAAGAAGCCCCTTACTAGATGCATACCCTTGATTTTAGATCTCCCAGCTTCCAGAACCATGAGCCTTTTTTTCTTTTTTGGGGACGGAGTCTTGCTCTGTCACCCAGGCTGGAGTGCAGTGGCGCAATCTCGGCTCACTGCAAGTTCCGCCTCCCAGGTTCATGCCATTCTTCTGCCTCACACTCCAGAGTAGCTGGGACTACAAGCGCCCGCCACCACGCCCGGCTAAATTTTTTTTTGTATTTTTTAGTAGAGATGGGGTTTCACCGTGTTAGCCAGGATGGTCTCTATCTCCTGACCTTGTGATCTGCCCGCCTCGGCCTCCCAAAGTGGTGGGATTACAGGCGTGAGCCACCGCGCCCGGCCAATAAATTTTTATTCATTATAAATTGCCCAGTCTCAGGTATTCTGTTAAAGCAACAAAACATAGACTCAGACACTGGACCACCCCAGACCCCCAGCTCTAAGAACACACCTACCTACGTTATGCTGCTCCACCTAATGGCTTTTGAACCATTGAGAGGAAGAAAGGAAGTGAAAAGAAAGAGCTATTTTTATAATTTTTTCATAGGATCCTGTTCTTATTTCATGATTATAATCTCATCTGTTAAATTAAGTGTATCCTAAAGGCATCTTCTTACATATTTTAAGTTTGACCTACAGGTTTCTCTGTACATAGTAAACTGCAGCCTAATTGGATGTGTAAACAGACTGTAACCTACTCTTGTGCCAATCACCAAGTTTTGGCCAATTAAAGATGGCCAACTGTTCAAACCATGTTTATATAAGGCAAATGCCAAGCTGTAACCAATCCAGCTGTTTCTGTACCTCACTTCCATTTTCTGTACATCTCTTTCCTTTTTCTGTCCATAAATCTTCTTTGACCAAAAGATGATGCTGGAGCCTCTCTAAACCTATTCTGGTTCCAGGGCTGCCTGATTCATGAATTGTTCCTTGCTTGATTGAACTCTGTTAAGTTTAATTTGTTGAAGGTTTTTCTCATAGCACATCTCATCTATTTCTGGAGTAATAACAAGTTTTCCTTGTTTATTTTGTAATTTCTTCCCTTGCAGAGCCTTATTCCTCCAAATTGCTCTATGTGTCTACATAGAGATCTTTCATGTTAGAGGCTGTCTTCAGCTGCCTGTGAATCTCTGGCTGTGGGCTCATGTGTGACGATGAGGAACGAGCCAGCTAGCTGGAAGTGGGTTGTCAACTGCCGGTGCCCCTGTAAGGAGGTCTGCCGGGTCACCTAGTTGGGGAGCTCCTAAGTCAGCATCCCTTTCTTTTTGAGGTGCTCAAATTCTTCAGGAAGGACTATTCCAGTCTCCTGCCTGAAAGGAGAAGCCTGGCTGCCAGGGCTTGGGTGGAGAATAGGGGTGGAGGGCTAGGAGGGAGGTGGTGTCAGCACCAACACGATACACTCACTCAATTCTCCAGCAGGTGATATGGGACCTCTGCCCTCAACTTTTGCTGGTACCCATCTGTCAAGAGACCCTCCTATATTACCCCTTCAAGAAAATAACCCTCCAATCTTTGAGGGGAGTGAGAGATCTAGCTGTAGACATCAATTTATTTAGAGGTAGAGAATCTGAGATCTGTCTTTTTCTTAAACAGACTTTCAGTCAGTTCCCTTATTTAGCCCCTCTTCATTTCCACTTCCAGAGGCATCTGGAGCCTCCAGTTTCTGAGCCTTCTAAAAATTCTGAATGTAAGCCTGGTTGACTCTTGCTTTTCCCACTACTGGGTAAGTATTCAATTTTCTTGGGTTTCATTTACAGTGGCCCATCTGCTTTCCATCTTCCAATATTTTGTTGCTGTTGTTTCTTCTGCTTCCCAATCTTTACAGATATATAGATATATTTTAAGCCACTATTTACTGTTTTTCTAGTGAGTTCTGAGAGGCAGCAAAAGTAGATGTGGTTGTTCAGTCATCTACTTTTCTAGTCCTAAGGACAGACTGACTCTTTAAAAAAATTTTTTTCCTTTTATTTTTACTTGACACATAATAACTGCACGTATCTATGGGACACAGAATGATATTTCAATACATACATACAATGTGTAATGATCAAATCAGAGTAATTAGCATATGCATCACTTTAAACATTTAGTCTTTCTTTGTGTTGTGAACATTCAAAATCCTCTCTTCTAGTTTTTTGAAAATATACACTAAATTATTGTTAACTGTGTTCACCCTACAGTGCTACAGAACCTTAGAAGGTATTCCTCTCTAGTAGTTGTAACTTTGTATCCATTAACCAACCTCTCCTCTACTCTTCCCAGCCTCTAGTAACCACAGTTCTACTCTCGACTTCTACCAGCTCATTTTTAAACTCCCACATATGAATGAGAACTTGCAGTATTTATTTTTCCATGCATGACTTATTTCACGTAATGTAATGTCCTCCAGGTTAATCCATGTTGCTGCAACAGAAAGGATTCTATTCTTTCGTAGTTCAATATATTCCATTGTGTGTGCCACATTTATCCATTTATCTGTCCATGGACATTTAGGTTGATCCCATATCTTTGCTATTGCGAAAAGTGCTTCAATCCAGTAAACATGAGGGTGCAGATATCTCTTCAATATAGTGATTTATTTTCCTTTGGATAAATGCCCACTAGTGAGATTGCTGGATCATATGGTAGTTCTATTTGTAGGTTTTTGAGGAAGCTCCATACTGTTCTCCATTGTGGCTTTACTAATTTATATTCCCACGAACAGTGTGTAAGAGTTCCCTTTTCTCCACATCCTTGCCAGTATTCATTATTTTTTGTCTTTTGTTAGCATGATAGCCATTCTAACTTGGTGAAGTAATATCTCATTGTGGTTTTGATTTGCATTTCCCTGAGGATTAGTGATGCTGAGCATATTTTCATATACTTCTTGGCCATTTGCGTATCTTCTTTTGAGAAATATCTATGCAGGTTCTCTGATCATTTTAAAATCAGATTTTTTTTTGCTGTTGTGTTGTTTGAGTGCCTTGTATATTTGGTATATGAGTCCCTTACTGGATGAATAGTTTGCAAATGTTTTCTCCCATTCTACAGGTTGTCTCTTCACTGTGGATTATTTCCTTTGCTATACAGAAGCTTTTTTGTCTGATATATTCCCTCTTGTCAATTTTTGTTTTGGTTGCCTGTGCTTTTGAAATCTTACTCATAAAATCTTTGCCTGGACCAATGTCCTAAAGCATTTCTTCTATGTTTTATTCTAGTAGTTTTGTAGTTGTGGGTCTTACATATAAGTCTTTAATCCATTTTGATTTGATTTTTGTATATGGTGAGATAGGAGTCTAGTTTCCTTCCCTTACATGTGGCTATCCAGTTTTCCCAGCACCATTTATTGAAGAGGGTGTTCTTTCCCCAATGTGTGTTCTTTGTGCCTTTCAGACTGACTTTTTGATTGCCATTTGTGTTCATCCCAGCTCCTCAGCTGGACTGTAAGGCTTTGGCTAGACATCTGGGAGAAACTTGGTACCTGTTTGTTGAACAGAAGTGTCCTTTCCACAAAGGATTTGGCCAGGAAGGGTCCTCCCAGCTCAGTGCCACCTCCTCCAGGAAGGCTTCCCTGACCACACCACCTGGAAACACTTTGTCATTTAATCATTCCTTTAACATGCCACAAATTAAAGTGGCCCTAGCCAGGACATCCATCCCAAAGGCCTGCTGACGTCATCCTGTCCCTGGAGACCCTATAACCATCCCCAGGCTGCTTCTGAGCCCCGGGCAGCCTTCTTCAGGGTCATGATGTTGCCAAAGAATGGGCTGAGCTTTGGGGCAACCATGACTGCATTAGCTCCCAGCGTGACTACTCCCTTGTGTGCCCATGGGCAGGCTTCCAACTGCCATGCCCACAAATGTAAGATGGGAATAATAAGTGCTGTTCTTCCCCTGCTCCTGTTTCCAAGTGTTTCTCAGCACCTGAGTGATTGCACGGGGGTCACGTGACTCATTCTGGCCAATGGCTTCTGAGCAAAAATGATGTATGTCATTTCTGGGCTGGCTCATGTAATCACTGATGCAAGGCCCTCCAAGCCTTTTCTCTGCCATGGGGACCAGCCGTGTCTCTGATGGCAGCTGCTCTGCCAGTCTGGGTTGCAGAGTAAGAACAAAGAGGACATGGAACAGAAGTCCCCGCCAGCCTTCAAAAGTCATAAGTGAGAGACAAACCTGGTAGAGGCCATGGAAATGAGAGGTTGCTGGAGCATAACTTAGCTTCCTTCACTGACACACCTGGTGGAGCTGTAAGGAGTCAGTGGTGACCTACGTGAACCCGCACAGGGCTCTGCCTGGCACTACGCAGGTATTCAAGAAATGTTATCTTGTTGGTGGCTCCAGGAGACCTGAGAGGCAGAGACTGTGTGACTCAGGCAGATGTTCCACATCCAGACACAAGAGTCAAAGGTCACTGAGGGGATCGACAGTGGCTCCTCAGGGACAAATAAATACACACTTATTCTGCTCCCAACTCTGGGCTGGGCTTAACCAATGGGTACTGTGCAACCGCCTCTCCGAGGAAGGGAGACTCTCACTGAGTTGATTGATGGGCAGGGGAAAGGCGTGTGATGGGAAGAGAGGGCACGTGATGGCACAGGGGAGACTATGGGGATTGCAGGCTTGCCCCATCCCCACAGCAGAAGGGCAGTGGCGGAGACCTGGGTGAGTGGCAGTGCCCTTTCTGGCTTTTTAACACCTGACTGGAGCTCTCAGATGGGGTGTCCCCACCACTCCCTCACCCAACAGGCTGAGCACAGGCACCTGAAATTAGCCCCATCATCACCGTTAACTGGCAGTTTGACCCTGGGCCTCAATTTTCTCATCTGTAAAATGAGGATCATATACACGCTTGCCCTGTATACCCCACAGGAGCCCTGTGAGACTCAAATATGAAAATGGGTATGACAGGCCTTTTAAAACATGGCAGTTCTTTGAGAATGCAAGTTTATCTCAGAGAGTTAAATCTTACCCTTCCCACGGAGCTGAGCAGAGCAGATCATTTTATCCCCATTTCAGAGACAAGGAAACAGAGGCACAGAGGTTAAGTGACTTGCTCAAGGTCCCACAACCGGTGGGTGGCAGAGCTGGGGTCACGATCTGGGTCCTGTGAGTCTGAATCTAGTCTCTGCTTCCCCAAGTCATCTCCCTACAAAAACCCCCATGGAAAGAAAATCTCTGTGGATCTGAGCCCACTGGAAACGACTTCCCCAGACCTCAGGATCCATTCTTCTGGAAGCAGGTGAGGAGACACGACCCACAGGTACAGATAGGAGTCCTGCCTGTGGCTAACCTGACGCCATGGTGTTCAGGGGACAGAGTGAAGCCCATCATGGCCCGAGGCTGGAGTTGAACAATATGGAGCAGAAACAGCTCACTGGCTGCACCTTCTCACAGTGTCAGGCTCTTTCTGATCATGAAAGTGGCCTTGCCCTCAATTCCAGATGCCGAGGAGCTGGGCGACTCACGGAGCCCTCAATCTACAGTTGTTAAACATGTCAGACCTCCATCTGCTTCCCAGTCTCAGCCTCTGTGCAGCCACCTGTGACTACACCTTCCTTAGTCAAAAAGCAAGTCAATATACTGGGGACATTTGGTGGGTAAAAGCTGTTGAAGATGTTGGGGGGCTGTGTGCTTTTTCTGGCATCAGGATCAAGGTGACTAACGCAGGCATGCATAATCATGGGAACAACCCCTCCTACTTAGGCAGCCTTGATAGTCTTCAAACATTTTTGCACACATGATCTTGTTGATCTCTGCAAGTATTTTATAAGGTGGGGAAGACAGAAATATTCACCCTGGGGCACAGAGAGGCTTATGGGGGCAGAGACAACAAACAGGTGGAGCTCAAGCCATTCCTCAATTCCTTTGCTAGTGGCAGACATCATTAATCAATCATGCCATTCTTTCCAGTTCATCTGGGATGAGGCCTCAGAACGACTCAATACAACCCTTCAGGCAGCCACTACCAATCGATTAAGGATTGCTATCCTAGGTGTAGTAGATGTCAACTACGTGATCAGCTGGGTGACCTTGGGCAATTCTTACTGGTCTTCCCAATGGAAAAACAGGAAGATGGACTAGAAGTCCTGTGTTTCTGTGGAATGGCCTGTTGATAAGTCCTGTTTCATCCTTCTTTGCTTCTTTCCACACAGTGGTAGCTCAGTATCTTGCTACCTCTTGCATGGAATCCCTTGGTGGCCTCCTTTCTGGGCTCTAGTGCATTGTGGAAACTGTTGCCCGTTTACCCTTCTTAACATTGTCTGCTCAAGAACTTCCACAGGGAGGGGAACATCACATGCCGGGGCCTCTCAGGGGGTGGGGGGTAAGGGGAGGTAAAGCATTAGGACAAATACCTAATGCATGAGGGGCTTAAAACCTAGATGACGGGTTGATGGGTGCAGCAAACCACCACGGCACATGCATGCCTATATAACAAACCTGCAAGTTCTGCACACGTATCCCAGAATTTAAAGTAAAATAATAATAATAAAAAAGAACTTCCAAAGGCTCTCCATGCCCTTCCCAAGAGAGTCCCACTGCAGAGTGGCCATGCTCTGGCCCTTCTCCTCATCTCCAAGGAGATGCCAACTTGGCAACTCAATACCAAGACTCCTCTTTACCCATCTCAGCTTTCAGCCAAAGGGCACATCCATTTGTTCCTGTGTGTGGCCCACACTATCCCCATCCCACCCCCGGGCCTTTGCCCATGCTGTTCCCTGTGCCTGGGGGGGCCTGCCCTCACCACCATTCCTCATGTCTGCTTCTCAAAGCCTCCTCCATCTTAAAGGCTGTCTTAGCCAATGCTACCACCTGCTTGACAACTTCAATGAATTTTCCACAACAGGGGGTACCCACTCCCTCCTCTAAAATATTAGTGCATTTTTTTTCTCTTTCCACATGCCTGTTCCTGCCCCTCCCTCAACCTTCTGACTTACTCACCTAGGAAACTCCAGGTGACTCACAGCCAGCACTCTGGGCAACAAACAGGAGATTGGCCTTCCTTTCCAATAGCAGTCATGATGGAGGCATTTCCCGAGATCTACTATGCACAAGATGCCAGGGTGGTGGGGAGGAGCATCTGGCAGGGGCTCTTGGCAGCCACTGGAGTTCTTTCTCCCTAGGAGGGATGCAGCTATCAGAGGGGTGGCTTTAGTTCTGAAGGGAGATGGGCTTTGCAATGTCTGCACTTCTGAGGGGTATGAGGAGAGGGAAGAGAAAGACTGAGGCCAATGAGGGAACACAGCTCCTTTCTTCTCTCTAGAAAGCCCACGTCTTCCTCCTCTCCAGGAGCCGTCACTAACCATGCACTCTTACAGAGAACTTGCTGGAGAGAGTGAGGACCCAGACCCTGCCTTAACCATAGGAACAAAAGTGACAGACACTCACAGGCCTTAGTGCCCGTGCTCAGGCTATTCCTACTATCAGGGCTGTACTTCCACTCCCTCTCCTCAACCCCTTCTAGGTCCTCCCAGCTCAGTGCCACCTCCTCCAGGAAGGCTTCCCTGACCACCCCACCTGGAAATGGCCTGTGCGCGTGCACTTCCTTAGCCCTTTCACTAAGCCTCTGGTAGAGTATTCAGCCAGTCCCACCTCCCTGTCGTCACTTATGTTCAAGTGACACTGCCATCACCTAGTTCCATAAGGCCTTTGAGGCTAAGGTCTGTTTCTGAGCCTCCCTGACTCCCCTGGGCCTAGACATGCTGACACATTGGGCACCCAGAAAAGTCTGCCGTGCAGAATGAACAGTGAGCACCAGGCGTGAGGCAGAGGCTCTGGAGGATGTCTCACGGTGTCCTTTCTGGGAATTTGCCTAACCCTTGCCCTACCTTCCAGGGGAAATGGCCTGGAAAAGCCAGCTGGGCCTCAGAGAGCAGGAGAAAAAGATTTTGGCATCCTCCGCTGCCCCTCCTGGCTGAATACCTTCATGCTGAATCCAAGGGAGTGATCATAAAAACTGGAGCCTCCTTGACTTATTTCTAGGCCAAATCCAGGTGTCTGGGCTTCCCTTCATACCTGCTCTCACACCTGTGACACCAGTGGGCCTCAGGCTATTTCACCTGGAGTAGGGAGGGACCCAAGAAGATGCCAGCTGTGTGGCAGCCCTGGGTTAAATCCTAGCTGTCACTAACCAGCTGGTGACTGTGGGCAAGGGGCTTAGTCTTTCTGAGCCTCCATTTCCTTCCTTTATTTTTTACTTTCATTTTTTGAGACAGGGTTTGGCTCTGTCACCCAGGCTGGAGTGCAGTGGCACAGTCACGGCTCATTGCAGCCTCCACCTGCTGGGCTCAAGCAATCCTCCCACCTCAGCCTCCCAAGTAGCTGGGACTACAGGTGTGCACCAGCACACCTGTCTAAATGTTGTATTTTTTGTAGATATGGGGTCTCACTATGTTGTCTAGGCTGGTCTTGAAATCCTGAGCTGAAACGATCCACCCACTTCAGCCTCCCAAAGTGCTGGGATTACAGGCATGAGCCACCGCGCCAGGCCCCATTTCCTTCCTTCCTTCCTTTATATTTTTATTATTTATTTATTTATTTTATTTTTGAGACAGTCTTACACTGTCACCCAGGCTGGAGTGCAGTGGCGCCGTCTCTGCTCACTGCAACTTCCGCCCTCCCAGGTTCAAGTGATTTTCCTGCCTCAGCCTCCTGAGTAGCTGGAATTACAGGCACCTGCCACCACGCCTGGCTAATTTCTTGTAGTTTTAGTAGAGACGGGGTTTCACCATGTTGGCCAGGCTGATCTTGAACTCCTGACCTCATGATCTGCCTGCTTCGGCCTCCCAAAGTGCTGGGACTACAGGCATGAGCCACCATGCCCAGCCTCCTTCTTTTAAAATGGAGCTAATAATCACAAGAAGACAAACACTGTAGGATTCTACCCACGTGAGGTTCCAAGAGTAATAAATTCATAGAGACAGAAAATAGGATAGTTACTAGGAGCTGGCGGAAGAGAGGATGGGGAGTTGGTGTTTAGTGGGCCCTGAGTTTCAGTTTTTGCGATGATGGAAAGTTCTGCAGATGGAGGGTGGTGATGGTTGTATGGCAATGTGAATGCTCTTTCTACTGAACTGTACGCTTAGAAATGGTTATGAGGGGCTGGGCGCGGTGGCTCATGCATGTAATCCCCAGCACTTCGGAGGCTGAGGTGGGCGGATCACGAGTTCAGGAGATCGAGACCTTCCTGGCCAACACAGTGAAACCCCGTCTCTACTAAAAATACAAAGAATTAGCCGGGCGTGGTGGCATGCACCTATAATCCCAGCTACTCAGGAGGCTGAGGCAGGAGAATCGCTTGAACCGCAGAGGTGGAGGTTGCAATGAGCTGAAATTGCGCCATTGCACTCCAGGCTGGGCGAAAGAGCGAGACTTTGTCTCAAAAAAAAAAAAAAAAAAGAAAAGAAATGGTTATGAAGATAAATTCTTGGTTACATGTATTTTATCCCAATTAAACATTTTCAAAAATCTTTTAAAAAGAGGAGCCAGTGAGAGCGCTTATCTTTACCTCATGGGGTTGTGGTGGGAATCAATGAGCAGATCCCACCATCACTGGGTCCAGTGTCTGGAATGGAAAGGACACTTAATAAGTCCTGTTCCCTGCCTCCCAGTCCCTTCTCTCGGGAGGGGAGGCCAGGGTCCCTGTGGCTGAGGCTGCAGCGTGTGTCACAAGGCAGTGGCAGTGGCCCAGCTGCTCGCAGTGGAAGTAGTGAGCTCCCCGACAGAGGCAGTGTGCGAGTGGTAGAGGCCAGGCAACTACACGCGGTGGTGGATGTGGGCTCTGAGCTCCCTTCTCACCTGAGAGTTCAGACAGTTTCTCAGCTCGACCTGTCTTGCCCTACCCCGCCACCATCTTCAGTGGCTGCACTAGGGTGTCCTGGTCATTCTGTCCTCTGCCAACCAGACCACGTCCGGGAGAACTCACAACACACCTCCCTGGGCCAGGCAGGCTGTAGGGACTACAACCAGCCTCCAGGAGCCTATGGTCAGGTGGAGGTGAGCGAGGGAAGGAACAGGGGCAGAAGCAATCAAGACAGGTGGCACCTCCTAGGTCCTGGGTTGGGGACAGAGCAGGGACAGGAGGAGCAAGGTGAAAAGAATGGCTAAAACCACAGGGCAGACAGGCATGGGCTCCATCCAGCCCTCTAGTCTCTGAGCTGGTCTCTTCCTCTGGAAAGGGACCTGATCATAGCACCTCTTCCATAGGGCTGTGACAATAGACGACACAATGCAGAAAGCGCTCAGAGAACAGCAGACCCTCAACAAATGGTGATGGATGTCGATTGTTAGTTTTTGAGTGTTGAGTGATGTGTGTGTGTGTGTGTGTGTGTGTGTGTGTGTGATTTGTTTTTGACAGACAGAGTCAGAGAGAAGAGCCCAGTCCTCACCTCAGGAAGCTGGCATCCCTCTTGGGGCAAGATGTCTTCCAAACTGCCCTCCCCACAGCTCAGCCACCACCACTGTCCCCTCCCTTCTTCGGAGCAGGATAAGAAGCCCAGAGACCCAGATCCCCAGAACTTCTGTGAGCCCCTAAAGAAGTCCCCACTTCAACAGTCCTCCTTCCCTGCACAGTCCTCCTTCCCTCTTCTCAGCCCAAGAAGAGCCCCCTCCCTGCCCATTCACCACAGAGGGTCTTTGGCTCTGCTGGCCTGCCAGATGTAAATGGAAAGCTCGCTCCATTTTCTTTGTCCCAGGGGAATTTACTCAATCATAGAAAGCTCTCAGTCAAGAGGAAACCTCTGCTCGTTGTCAGAAAGCAATTCAGAAGTGACAAATTCCCAGGAGTAGTATTGGAAACCCACCCCAGGACAGCCCCTGGCAGGTGACAGTGGAGAGTACAGTGGTAATCAATTCTCTATTTAACTTTCTGTGAACACCCCCCAGTTCCCAGTCAGAAGCCAGGAGGGTATGGTTTAGGTGAGGTTAGGGTTCAAATGAGACTGGCCCCTACAGTTTCCCACTGGCATGGTGACAATCATCGCAATGATTGTACAGTAACACCGACAATAAGAAAGTTTATATCTTTCACCCACTTTTTGATTAGCTGGTTTGTCTTCTTGTTACTGAGTTGTAAGAGTTCATTGTAAATTCTGAATATAAGTACTTTCCTGGGCATATGTTTCACAAAAAAAAACAAAAAAACAAAAAAACAAAAAAACAAACCTAACACATATTGTGTACTTGCTGTGGGTTGCAACAGTGTTCTTAGTGCTTTGGCCTCAGTTAGCTCCCTCAATCTTTACCATGATGAATGAAATAGACACTATTATTACTCCCATTTTACAGAGGAGGAAACTGAGGCTCAGAGGAGGGAAACCCAAGCTACATAGCTGGCACATGGAGCGTGAGATTCCAGAGCCCACCTCACAGCCCCCCAGGTACAGTGGATAAAGGAGACAATCCCCTGCCTCAGACACCTGTGGGGGTCAAATGAACCAGTGTGTACAATGGTACTTAGTAAACTGTGAGTGTGAGTTCGGAATAAAATAACGGGTTCCTGGACAGGCGTGGTGGCTCATGCCTGTAATCCCAGCACTTTGGGAGGCCAAGGCAGGTGGATCACGAGGTCAGGAGTTCGAGACCAGCCTGACCAATATGGTGAACCCCCCTACTAAAATTACAAAAAGTAGCCAGGCATGGTGGCACATGCCTGTAATCCCAACTATTTGGGAGGCTGAAGCGGGAAAATCACTTGAACCTGGGATGCGGAGGTTGCAGTAAGCCAAGATCATGCCACTGCACTCCAGCCTGGGTGACAGAGCAAGACTCTGTCTCAAAAATAAATAAATAACAACAAAAAAATAACGGGATCCCTCTCTAGAGGGCTCCCCCAAACCAAACACATAACCCACCTTTTCCTTCATGAACAGTCAGCAAGGTCAAAGGAGGCCAAGAAAGGAGTGGGCTGAGTTGGAACCGGGCTGGACTTATTAAAACCAGTCAGCATTGCTTTGATCTGAACAGAACTGGTTTGATCCAGTTAGATTTAGCCAGAACCCCTTAGAACCAGTCAGAATTTGTTTTAAAAGGTCCAAATTGGTGTGATCCAGTCATATCATGTTAGAACCAGTTTACATCCTGAGATGATTGATGTTGGAACTGGCTTGGACTCGTTAGAAGCAGATTGAGCTGCTTTTGTGACTGGCTAGAAGCAGCCACTGGCTCTGGTTTTACACCAGCATGCTTCAGTAATGTATTTATTCAAAGCTGGGTTGCAGTGGGATGAGATGTGAGTAGGAAGAGGGAAGCGGCTGTGGAAGGTTAGGGAGTTACAGCCAAGCTTGGCTCTGCCTGGGGAGGGCCTTGAATGCCGAGCTGAAGTGCATATGATGTCACGTCCATATTCAAGCCATACATAACCCTGTGGGGTGCTGCACGGGCCACATGCTGTAAATCAATTCAACTCTCACCCAGTGATTAATGGGAAGGAAGCTTTCATCACTTGTTCTGGGTAAGTTATTGCATATGGAAGCACATCTTTGATTTTATGAGTTCTTGCTGGAGCATGAAGTTTCTTGGAGGCGGTTCCCTGAGGAACGTGGAGCCCCGACAGTCCCTGTTCTCCATCCCCTCCCCCCTCACAGATCCCACTCCCCACTTTCTCCTTGCCCACTCCTCCTCCTGCCCGGCTTTGTCTCTCCAGGAGCCTCTGCCGCACCTCTCCAGGCCAAAGGGCTCACCAGGGCTTGGAGGAAGGGCTGGGGGAGGCGGTGCTTGCTGCCACCTTCCGCTTAGGAGAACAAGGACTGATGGTGCTTTGTAGACAACAGGTGCGAGGAAGGAGGGAGGAATGGCACAGGGCAGAGACCAACTTGCTATCCTGGACAAGATAGAATCCAGATAGTCCAAGCCAACCTACTGAGGGCAGGGACCCGAGGAGTGGAGCGGGGCCAGGACACCCAAGGGGCTTCCTGCAGTAGCTGCTCTACAATGCCATGGTGGCTCCAGATGTGAGTCCAGTTAGAAATCCAGACAGTTAGAAATTCTAGAGAAGATCCTTTGAAATGCACATAGGTCAGACCCTCATTTTTCCCAGAGTCCCTGAGTGGGAGGGACTTGCCAGGCTACACGACCCAGACGAGAAGCTGCTCCAACCCCCAGTCCAGAGGGCTGCCTCCCTGAGGAAGTGATGTCTGTCTTTTGGGCTGTTTCATCCACCCTGCCTGCACCTGCAGGACTAGGCTGACACTTCTCAGAGTCCCTTGGAGACCTTGTGAGCTCAGATCACCATGACATTGAAGCACACGGGGCCTACAGGCTCTGGAGCCAGACAGACCTGAGTCTATGACCCTGCTTTACTAGCTGTGTGACCTTGGACAAGAGTCTTTGCCTCTCTGAGTCTTAGCTTACTTGGCCACAAAATGGGATCATACTAGAAGTCAGCTCATGGCATGGTTGAGAAGTTTAAATGAACTCATATGCACAGTTGATGATATTGCATGTTCACCTAATGGTGGAATCAATAATATGTATTGTTAGCATTTATGATAATAATTATAACTATCATTGAGCCTTTGCCCTTGGTCATGGAGGCACTAGATGAGGACTCTGAAGACTTGTGTTAGAGTCCCTGCTCAGGCACTATCTCACTCGCTGTGTACCCTCAGTTTCCCCATCTTGAAAGTGGGGGTAAGTCCTTCTGCTCTGACTGCCAAAGTAGCTATGAGAATCCAGAGATGTGAATGGACTTTGAAAGCTGAAGAGTGTCAAATACACAGTCTGTTCTGCTGGACACAGAGAATGACTGCCCACCCCCCTCCAGGATGCTGCCGGCAGTGTGATCGGTGGGCACAGACGGCCCCAGCTGTCAGACCTTTCAGGGTCTGCCTGAGCTGCAGAGACCCACCTTGCCTGAGGTCATGCCTTTCCTGGGGCAGCCTACAGCTGGGGATTGAGCAAGGCCGAGGATAAAGACTCAGCCATTTGGGTCCTCCATGGGACATTCTGATGGGCACTCGCTGAGGCTTTGCCAGGCCTGCCTTGAGGTTCAGCTTGTCCCTGTGCCCATCCTCCCCCACCCTTCCTCATGTGTAATGAACTCCTGTGTGTTCATCCCTCATATACATCTTCCACCCCAAATGTCACCTCAGTGTCTGCTTTGGGGGAACCCAATCTGCAAAAGCTATATAATAAAAAGGCTGCCTCTTGCTGACACAGCTATGCTTACCACACAGAGAAGGCAGCCCCAGGGCCTGAACGCCCCTCCTCTAAAATGGGCTCTTTAACACCTGGCTCAGAATCCTACAAATCTGGAAATACAGTTTGCCAGCGCTTAGACAGTTTAGATGGAGACTCTCCAAGTGAGTTTTGTTAGAGTTGCAGGGAAAGCTCAAAGGCAGAGTGGAAGGTGAGGAGAGCTGCAGTCTTAACGCACCCCTCTTACTAGAAGCCCCTACAGAGGGACCCTCAGCAGTGAGTGTTTTTTGCACAGCAATGACCTGATACTCATTGGTCTACCAAGGCCACTGGTCAAACCACTGACCTCTGTGGGTGGAAATAGAGTTTGCCAATTCACCATGAAATGAGGGAAGTTGTGATGATGTCATGAATTTCAGGGAATTAACTATACTCATCATAATTTTTTGCTGTTAAGAGAACTGTGTAATGCTGATTATAGATTGCAGGGAGTTTCATTTTGTTTTGTTTTTAAGGTCCTCATTTGGCAAAAGAATGAAGAAAAGGAGCACTGTGTCTTAGAAATCCAGGTCTGGGATGCACCGAATAGTTCCGAATCACCTGGACGAGGCTCCTCACGGTGCTGAGGTGGAGAGCAGGGCTCTTTAGCCATGGACATTTCTGGGGCAGCCAATGGTTTGCAACTGCCCTTCTTGGGGCCTCACCCTGTTCATAGCTTGGACTGTAGGCAGGGAGACCTCAGTGCCCTTCCAACTCCAAGATGTCTGCGGGGAGACTCAGTGCTCTGCATAAGGTGGTGTGCTGTGACACTAAGCAGGCCTTAGGCACCTGCCCCTCTGCCCCCTTCACACAGGTCCTCCACACCTGGAAGGGGTCATGAGGGCCAGGATGGTTCAACAGCACCCCTCAGTGAACTGTGGGCCTTCCCACCATCACTCCTGAGCTAATTGCCACCTGCTCGCCTGCCAGGTGCCTACCCGTGTGTCCCCAGCTCTGGGCCGCTATTAATGACATGTTGCAGCAGTTTTACGAAGCATGGCTCAGCACAATTTTACACCTCATTTGATTTATGTTCTGGGATTTCTTCCTCTCTCAGAGGTTCCCTCCTTCTGGAGAGACAGCATGTGTCACCCACCCTAGTTCCCCTGTGCTCCCACAGAGCAGACAGACCCCAGGTCCTGAGCAAATAGCACCATGACCTCCCTCCCAGGCTTTCTCTCCAGGTGACATCCTTGAGCCAGGACATCTGTGACTGAGGCCTTCTCAAGTGGCTCAGTAATGACCAAGAGAATCCCAGAGCAAGGAACAACCTCAGAGATGGGTAACCAAACCCCAATCTACAAGCGAGGAAACCGAGGGTTGGAGAGAGGCCTCGGGTCCCTTGGGACACTTCTGAAGGTCACAGAGCCAGTCTATGTCTGGCACGTGCCTCCTCTCTCTGCGGCAGAGGACAGGGTCTGCACTGGGAGTTGAGGCCAGCCACGAGCCGACCTTCCAGGCAGCAGAACCACTAGACTAGACTCTCCACGGGGCAGTGATCTTGCTGAGGCAGAGGAATGGGCAAGCTAAAGGATCGCTTGTCTACCTCCCTCATTGCAGAGGAGGGAAGGGAGGCATAGAGAGGGAGAGTGACTTGCCTCAAGACACACAGCCAGTAAGGTGCAGAGTCAGGGTTAGAACACTGGCTTCTAGAGCTCCAGGATTTCATCACCTTCTCCCTAAGAGGCAAGATCATTTCCACGGCTGGATCCTCTCCTTCACTCATTTTTGGTGGCCTCCCAGGAGCCAGGCATGGTGTCAGGCTGGGAGGATATGGTGAGGACATGGCAGGCCCAGTGGCTGCCCTCACAGCCTGCAGCTCCGCGGTGGAGGTCAATAAGCACTTGGGCTATGACGGTGCAGGGTGGTGAGGCTGTGAAGGCAGAGTGTGGATCCCAGAAGCAGATCTTTTCCCCTCTGCATTTCGGGAACTCACCTCACAATGACTCCTGGTTGAAGGCCAAGCCCATCTCCCACTATAGAAGTTGTCACGGCCAGAAACTCACCATCCCAGCCTTCCTGAGGTATGTGACCAAGGTTCATCCAACTAGAAGTACCTGTCCCAGTTTAGACTCAGGAGCTGATGACATGAGGAAAGAGAGGGCAAGGGTGTTCTCTGTGGCCAAGGGGCAGTTATGGTGAGGTCGAGGGCCCAGGGACGGAGGCAATGCAGATGGCATTGGTGGTGCAGACCACAGTGTCCTGGGTTCAGCACCATTCTGGAGGTGACCAGTCGTGGAGCTTGACATGGATGATGTTCCTGCTGTGTAGCTCTAGGATAATGATGCCCCAGACCACCTAGAGGACACATGAGGCTCCGATATCTTTAAGAACTTTACCTTTTGGTCTGGAAACTATCAAACATGCACCAAGATAGAATAGTACAAAGACGGTTACCCTCAGGTAGCCACCACAGAGCTTCAACAATCATCATCCGCCATTATTGTTCATTTTCCGTCTATGCCTCTCTACACACAATTTTTTCTCAAAATAATTTTAGTTAATAGACTTCATTTTTTCAGAGCAGTTTTACAAAAAATGGAGCAGACTGAACCAAAACTTCCCATATACCATATCTCCCACCCCACACATAATTGCCCCTATCATTAACATCTTGCATCGGTAGGGTACATGTGTTACAGGTGATGAACCAATAGCAATGCATTTATTGTTATTATTAATTATTATCAACAAAAGTCTATGCTTTATTCAGATTTCCTTAGCTTTTATTTAATGTCCCTTTGCTCTTCCAAGATTCCATCCAGGATCCCATATTGCGCTTAGCCTCTATGTCACCATAGGCTCCTCTTGGCTGTGACAGTTTCACAGACTTCCCTTGTTTTTAATGACCTTGACAGTTTTGAGGTGTATTGCTCAGGTATATTGTGGGATGCCCTCTACTGGACATTATTTTTCCTCAAGATTAAACTGGGGTGATGAGTTTTTGGAAGGAAGATCACAGAGGTAAAGTGCTATTTTCATCACATCGTATTCAAGGTACATACTATCAATCATGATTAATTGCTGTTGATGTTGACCTTGATCCCCTGGATGAAGTAGTGCTTGTTAGCTTTCTTCACTGTAAAGTTTCTCTTTTTTCCCTGCTTTCCCATACGACTCTTTGGAAGGACGTCACTATGCATAGCACACACCTAAAGAGTGGGGAGTTGTGCTCCCCTCCTTTAAGAGTGGAATATCTACATTTTTATTTTATTTTATTTTATTTTGAGACAAGTTCTCACTCTGTTGCCCAGGCTAGAGTGCAGTGGCATGATCTCAGCTCACTGCAACCTCCGCCTCCCAGGCTCAAGCAAGTCTCCTCCCTCAGCCTCTCAAGTAGCTGGGATTACAGGAATACACCACCATGCCCAGCTAATTTTTATATTTTTTGTAGAGATGGGGTTTCACCACGTTGCCCAGGTTGCTTTCGAACTCCTGGGCTCAAGCGATCCGCCCATCTTGGCCTCCCAAAGTGCTGGGATTACAGGTGTGAGCCACCAAACCTGGTCATAATTTATTTTAAAGCAACTTCCAGACAACCCATCATTTCATTCATAAATACTTCGGTATATATCTGTAACAGATACAGACTTAACCCACACACACAACTATGTTAGTATATTCACCCAACACCATCAGCAATAATTCTTTAATATCATTTACTATCCATGTTCAGTTTTCCCTAATTGTCTCCAACATGTATTTCTATGGTTGGTTGTTTCATGTCAGGGTTTTCATTTTGATTAGAGTCATTTCTCCTAGAGAACTTCAAACATTCTGGTCTTGGCTGGTTGCTGTATTATGGTTTTATTTAACATCTCCTCTATCCTCTGTATTTCCTGGAAACTGGTAGTTATGTCAGAGGCATGATCAAATTCAGGTTCATTATTCTGGTAAGAATCTATCGTAGTGATGCATTCAATGTCAGATGTCCCTCTTTTCGTGTTGCTACGATTGATCAGGGGTTGAGACTTATCAACATTTCTCCTCATGGATTTAGCAGCTGCTGATAATTGATGCCTAGACTCATGGCCTCTTAATAAATTCCTTTCCTTCTTAAAGTAAGAAGTCGGCCAGGCGTGGCTCATGCCTGTAATCCCAGCACTTTGGGAGGCTGAGGTGGGCGGATCACTTGAGGTCAGGAGTTTGAGACCAGCCTGGCCAACATGGTGAAATCTCGTCTCTACTAATAATACAAAAATTGGCCAGGCATGGTGGCGCATGCCTGTAACCCCAGCCACTTGGGAGGCTGAGGTAGGAGAATTGCTGGAACCTGGGAGGTGAAGGTTGCAGTGAGCCTAGATTGCACCACTGCACTCCAGCCTGGGCGACAGAGTGAGACTCCAAAGCAAAGGAAAAGAAGAGAAGAGAAGACAAGAGAGGAGAGGAGAGGAGAGGAGAGAGGAGGAGAGGAGAGAAGAGAGAAGAGAAAATAAGAGAAAAGAAAAGATCTATTTCTTGTGACAAAAAATATGACGGGTAAATCCTGGATGCCCAGTCTGGTGCTTTTCATACTCCACCTGGCAGATGTCTGCCTAAGTGCTTGCTCCTGAAACAGGTATAGCATGGAGGTTTAGAGTGAGGATGGTGGAGCCAGAACTGCCTGAATTGAGGTCCCACCTCTACCACTTATTAAATGTATGCTCTGGACAGCTTTCCTCGGTTTCCTCATCTGTAAAATGGAGATGCTGCTGATAATATCAATGCCTAGCTCATAAGATTATAATCAGAATTAAAGTACTTAATATATACAAAGCCCTTAGGCCACTGTCTAGCACACAATTAAGCACCAATAATTGTTAACTGATAGGATAATAACACTAATAACTTTTTTTTGAGACAGAGTCACACCTGTCACCCAGGCTGGAGTGCAATGGCACGATCTCAGCTCACTGCAACCTCCGCCCCCAGGGTTCAAATGATTCTCCTGCCTCAGCCTCCCTCGTAGCTAGGATTACAGGCACCCACCACCAGCCCAGCTAATTTTTGTATTTTTAGTAGAGACAGTGTTTTACCATGTTGGGCAGGCTGGTATCAAACTCCTGATCTCGTGATCCACCCGCCTCAGCCTCTCAAAGTGCTGGGATTAAGGCGTGAGCCACCATGCCCAGCCAACAATAGTAATTTTAAATTTTATTTTGATTTCCTCATTCTCCTCTGACTCCACATCTTCTCCTTGGGTAATTCCACCCATTCCTGTGACGTTGACTATCATCGTCCCTGATACCTCAATGCCAAGAACTGACTTGACTGAAAGATACCCCGTCGATATAGTAAATTTATTATGAGGGGTGGGGACAATCTAGCAGACTTTTGGTTGTGGCCCTTCCTAGTCATACGGTTTGATTTGCATACATGCCCTAGGGAAAAGGACATGTGAAGAAAAACTTGGGCCTTGGCCCAAGGCTCTGGGTGGTGGAAACTCTATTACCAGGACAATTAGATAGATTTGTCTCTGCTACACTTTGGGGGTGGCCCTGGGCAGAGGGAGAAGAACTCACTCTTAGATAAAAGGTGTCAGTAGCCATGGTGACCCACCAGGACGAGCCTGAGAAAGTGGTCCAGTGTCTGGGTTATTGAGTGGCTATTCCCAGACACAAAGTTAAGAGATCTGGACATTCTTTTTCTTTCTTTTTTTTTTTTTTTTTTTTTGCCGTTACAAGATTTAAGAGAGTGAAAACAGATCTCCCATACAAAGGGAGGGGACCCAAAGAGGGTAGCCGTTGCCGGCTTGAATGCCTGGGTTTATATCCCGATCATTGTCCCTCCCCCATGCCCTCAGACGATAGATGATTGGCTATTTCTTAACCTCCTGTTTTTGCCTAATTAGCATTTTAGTGAGCTCTCTTTACTACCTGATTGGTTGGATGTGAGCTAAGTTACAAGCCCCATGTTTAAAGGTGGATACGGTCACCTTCCCAGCTAGGCTTAGGGATACTTAGTCAGCCTAGGAAATCCAGCTAGTCCTGTCTGTCAGTCCCCCCTCTCAACAGGAAAACCCAAGTGCTGTTGGGGAGGTTGGCCGATATCCACTCTAACTGCTTCCTGCTGAATTGGGGCATAGTAGGGGTTATGCAGTTGAGATTTCCTCGGGAGGGATGCCTTTGATGTCATTAACACCAGAGCATGGGCTCCAGGCTGGTCCAGGGGTCCGCAGTAGATCTTAGTCATGGACTGCTTCTGGGGCTCCAATTGAAGAACCATTTGTAGTTTTACAGCTTTGATTCTGGAAGAAGCAAACTTAACAAGGAGGTTAAAGATACAGGCATTGAAATGTATGGCCTGCAGTGTAGGGGATTATTTCTTTGGCACACTTCACAGGCCCTGACTATCTGCTTGACAGTTTTGAAAAGACCTAGTCCAGTAAATAATGATTTGGCCATCTGATGGGTGCTATCAATGCCTAAGTGAAAGGTTTGGTGAAGGGTTTTAAGTAAGGTTCCATTGGTTAGCTGCAGGCAAAAGTATTTTTCCTTCTTCGGTGGCTAGCCATCCTGAGGGGAGGAAACTACGTCCTCATGAGGTTCCCCATTCTATTTATTCTGCTGAGTACTGGGGCTTGGTTTCCCAGAGGGGATTACCCCATACTAGGGGTCCTTCTATAAACATTTCTAATGGAGGGTCCCACTTTGTGGCTCTTTTGGCAGTTCCCTTCTATTTCCCTTTCCTTTCCTTTCTGATGACCCCAGCAGTGTAAGACTGCCTCCTCTTTAGGTTTCTATACAGCCAATAATAATAACCTCCTAATGGCTTCCTGATGTTTGATAGGTGTTCCCTCGGAAGTTAGGAGTTCCCTTTCTCTCCATATTGCTGCGTGGACGTGGAGGACTAGGTAAGCATACTCAGAGTCTGTATATATACTTACCTTTTTTCCTTCTAATTCTAGTGCCCGAGTGAGGGCTATTAGTTCTGCCAGCTGAGCGCTAGTTCCTGGAGTGAGAGGATTACTTTCAAGTATTCCATTATTACTGACCACTGCATACCCCACTTTTCCAAGTCCTTTTTCTACAAAGGAACTCCCATCAGTATACAAGTTGAGGTCAGGATCAGTCAAGGGAACCTCTAGAAGTTCCCCTCGAGTGGTGTAGGTTTGAGCAATCACCTGTTGACAGTTATGTTCTATCTTTTCTTCATTGTCTGGAAGAAATGTTCCTGGGTTAAGAGTTGCACAAGTGCAGGCCACGCACAGTCGCTTATGCCTGTAATCCCAGCACTTTGGGAGGCAAAGGCAGGCAGATCACAAGGTCAGGAGATCTAGACCATCCTGGCTAACACGGTGAAATCCCGTCTCTACTAAAAATACGAAAAATTAGCCAGGCATGGTGGCGGGCGCGTGTAGTCCCGGCTACTTGGGAGGCTGAGGCAGGAGAATGGCGTGAACCTGGGAGGCGGAGCTTGCAGTGAGCCAAGATCGTGTCACTGCGCTCCAGCCTGGGTGACAGAGCTAGATTCTGTCTCAAAAAAAAAAAAAAAAGAGTTGCACAAGTGCACAGTCGCAGCACTGGCCCTTCAAGTAATAGAGCCTGATATTTAAGCAAATGGTTGTCTGACAGCCACAAGTCTCCTTTAGCAGTGAGTATATCATTTACATCATGCGATGTCCACACAGTAAGATCTCTTCCCTGTATTATTTTAACTGCTTCGGATACTAAGATTGCTACTGCTGCCACTACCCAAAAACAGTGAGGCCAACTCTTTGCCACTCCATCAATTTCCTTACTCAGGTGTGCCATGGGTTGCAAGCTGGTCCCTCGGACCTGTGTAAGGACTCCTAGAGCTATTCCTGTTTTTTCTGTGACATATAAAGAAAAGTCTTGCCCCATTGGCAAGCTTAATGCTAGGGCTTGGGTTAGGGCCTGGAAAGCCGCTTCTGCTTCAGGTGTCCATCTTACTAAATGGGTATAGGTTGTCTGAGTTTCCATAATTAGTGTATATAATGGCCTGGCTATTTCACTGTGCCTGGGAATCCATATTCGGCAGAAGCCTGTTATGCCAAGGAACCCTCTTAGTTGCTTTAGGGTTTTGGGATGAGGATAAGCCAGTATAGGCTGGAAACGTTCCTCACTGAGGGCCCTGGTGCCTTTGGATAATTTTAGCCCTAAGTATTTAACCTGCTGTGAGCAGAGCTGAGCCTTTGGTTTGGAAACCTTGTGGCCACAGGTAGCGAGGAAATTTAAGAGCGCTTGGGTGGCTTGATGGCACAAGGTTTTTGAACGGGCAGCTAAAAATAAATCATCCATGTACCGAAGGACAAGAGTGTCCAGGTATGAGAACTGGCTCAAGTCTTGGGCTAGTGCCTGGCCAAATAGATGGGGGCTATCCCTGAACCCTTGGGGTAAAACAGTCCAGGTGAGTTGAGACATTAGGTTCGAAGGATCTTCAAAGGCAAACAAGAATTGAGAGTCAGGATGTACAGGGATGCAGAAAAAGGTATCCTTAAGGTCCAGGACTGTAAACCACTCTGCTTCCTCTGGTATTTAGGAAAGCAGAGTATAAGGGTTAGGTACAACTGGGTATAGAGGGACAATGGCCTCATTGATAATCCTGAGATCTTGCACTAACCTCCACTGTCCATTGGGTTTCTGTACTCCTAAAACTGGAGTATTGCAGGAGGTATTCCATGGTTTTACTAGGCCTTGGGCTTTTAGGTCCTTAACAATCTTTTGGAGTCCTTGTTGGGCCTCGGGTCTAAGGGGGTACTGCCTTTGGTAGGGAAAGGAGGTGGAATTATTTAACTTGAACAGGATGGGCATTCTTTGCTCATCCACATTGCCCTTCTGTTGCCCAGACTTCAGGATTAATTCCTTCCTCAAGCAGGGGACAACAAATGGGTGTTCCTTCTCCTATATTCAGGTGTATAATGGCCCCTGCTTTTGCTAGAATGTCTCTCCCTAACAAGGGAGTGGGGCTTTCAGGCATAATTAGAAAAGCATGTGAAAAGAATAAAGTTTCCCCAGTCACAACTTAGTGGCTGGGAGAAGTATCTAGTGACTGGCTGTCCTAGGACCCCTTGGATAGTGACAGATCTGGAGGACAGTTGTCCGGGACAGGAGAGTAAGACTGAGAAGGCCGGTTCAGTGTCCAGGAGACAGTTAACCTCCTGGCCCTCAATGATCAAGCATACCCAGGGCTCTGTGAGGGTGATGGCATGGGCTGGTGCTTGCCCCGGGCACCCTCTGTCCTGCTGCTGGATCATCTGGTTAGTGGCTTCTGACTCAGAGGACCTTCGTCCCCTGGGACAGTGGGCCTTCCAGTGATTCCCTTGACATAAGGGGCATGGACGAGGGGGCAGATTATTTCTATTCGGACAATCTTTTTTAAAGTGTCCTTGTAGACCACACTGGAAGCAAGCCCTATTAGGCATTTGATTTGCCCAGCTTTTCCCTTTCCCAGAGCCTCCAAAGTCCGCTTGCCTGAGGGTCATGACTAAAGTGGTGGCCTTTTGTTTTAATCCTGTTTGTCCCATTCCGCCTGCTCCTCCTGATCTCTATTATAAAAAACCAAGGTTGCCAAGTGCAATAGGGTTTCTAAGTTTTGCTCCGGGCCTAAGGCGGACTTTTGAAGTTTTTTTCTAATGTCTGTAGCTGACTGAGTGATACACTTATCCTTTAGGATTAGTTGGCCTTCAGTAGAGTCAGGTGACAGAGAGGTATGCTTCCTCAGTGCCTCCCTTAGTCTCTCCAGAAAGGCAGTAGGATTTTCTTCCTTTCTCTGTGTTATAATGGACATCATTGAATAATTCATAGGCTTCTTCCTAGTTTTCCTTAGTCCTTCTAGCACGCAAGTTAGCAAATGTCTGAGGCACCAATCTCCATGTTCTGATTTTGCATCCCAGTGAGGGTCTACACTGAGAACTGCCTGCTGGCCTGTGGGGAATTTTTCTCTTTCTTCTGTTGTCATCCTATCATTGACCTGGCTGAGATACCAGAGATCGCCAAACTCTCAGGCTGCAGTTATGGCGGCACTTCTCTCATTTGGAGCTAGTGTCTGATTTAGCAGTAACATTATATCTCTCCATGTCAGATCAAAGGACTGTCTTAACCCTCGTAAAATATCAATATAGCCATCAGGGTTATCAGAGAATTTACCTAGGTCTATTTTAATTTGCTTCAAGTCTGAGAAGGAAAAAGGTACATGCATTCTGGCTGGGCTGAATTCTCCTCCTTCCACTGCTTGGAGGGGGCATAATTGGGGAATATTGGTACTCTTTGGTTTGTTGTTTACCCCTTTGTCTATCTCCTTTTGGACCGTTTGGGTTGAAGGGGGATTCTTATTAGTTGGGAAAGGAGTCGGGGTGGGGGGCCACTGGGGTAGGGAGGTAGACTCTGAGGGCTTCCTGTAGGGCATAAATCACACTTTTTACATAATTGCGAGTTGTCTCTTAATGAAAAGAAAGTTTGTACATACAGCACTTCACTCCATTTGCCTTCTTTTCTACAAAACAGGTCTAGCTGTAAGATGGTGTTGTAATTTATACTTCCCTCAGGAGGCCAGGCTTCCCCCCTTGAAGCGGATATCTGACCAGGCGGTACTGCAGAAGAATATAAGTCGTTTCTTAGCATCTGAGGGTCAAATTGGTCCCAATTCTCCAGAATACATCTTAGGGGCGTTTTTGCCTTAGGGGGAATGTTTCCCATCTGAAAAAAGAACATAGGAATGCCAGCAGCCCTAGTCATTTTCTGATGAGCATTAGTCCTAGAGCGTCCTCTGTGGTCCTAATGTTTATTCCTTTCCAGGGTGCGTAACCACCCGTGGACTTCTGCTTGTCGGATTAGTTACGCTCACCGATGTAGCAGTCCTGCACCTGTTTTCCCGCCTTTCTTGACCACAAAGAAAGGGGTGCGGGCTGCTGGATTCTAGTGGTCCTTTACCAGCATACCCGACATTGCCTTTGTGCTCAGAGGTGAGTTCTAGAGCTGGGCTGGGTTCTTGAATATTTCATAGCAACCCAGTTGCCCCATCAAGATGCATTCCCATAAACAACAGTTGTTATGCAAATTCACTTCAGAGAGGGTGTAGGTAACCTTTTGAGTCAGGATTGAGATAGAGTTTTTTGATTCTGTAAGTACTTTAAGGCTTGGCTGAGTCCAAACAACTCTCACGTTTGAGCAGAAAAATTATTAGGCAATTCTCCTAACTCTGCTTCCACAAGAGTCTCCCTATCAGTTACTGAATACCCATTGTGAGTTTTTTTTCAATCACCTGGGAGGAACCATCTATCATCCTGTCCTGAAGGGAGTTCCTCCTAGGTCTGGTCGGATCTTTGTATGGTAATTAAGATTTAAATCCCCTGTTAGGAAATTTGCTGGGTTAAGGGAATTTTCAGTGGTTAACGTTAAATCAACTTTTTCTAACAGAAGAGCCCGATACTTTAAGCTTTTAGTTAGTAAGCTACCTTTTTGCTTTTTTGACTTAGGATAATTCTGAACTGGTGAGGTGTGCTCACAATGAGGTTTCCTCTAAAGGTTATTTTTCTACTTTCTTCTGTTAGCAAAGCAGTTGCTGCTACAGATTGAACGCATTTGGGCCATCCATTGGTTACTGAGTTAAGGATTTTTGATAGGAAGGCTACAGGTGGTCAGTGGTCTCAGTGTTTTCAGGCTACACCCTTGTTTACACTGACAACAAGGTAGTATTGGAGTATTATAGGGTCACGGAGAAGACCTTCAATTATCAATTATAGGTTTTAAATTTACCCTGGCTTTTAAAGGATTAGGGCACACTGTTTTTTCTTTACTACTTCTATCTTTCTCTTTCTCTCTTTGACTCCCTCTTTGTCTCTCTCTCTCTTTCTCTCCCCTCTGTCTCTCCCCTCTGTCTCTCTCTGTTTCTCTGTCTTTTCTCCTAGCCCTTTACAAACTTGGGGCCCTGGCAAGGGTAGAAGGGAATGGGTCCCACATAACTGCCCATGTCGAGAGCTGTATGCCTAAATTGGGAGAGACACCAGAGACAAGATTCTCTGGGTCCATAGCCTAGGGGCCTAAGGACTCAGCGTAGAGCTTCCTTAGATCCCTTTGGAGATACAACTTGCTAGAGGAAATGAAAGTCTGAACCATTAGTACCCAGGAGGCAGGGATCGGAGGAAGTAGATTCAGAGGTAAGGAGAATTTTGGGGCTACACTTTCAAGAACGTCATGGTCGGATCCAGGAATTATGGGTCAGAAGGAAAGGTAGGGGTGAACGCATGGGCGACTGTTGAGTAGAGACTTCTGGCTGCACCATGATCTCAACCAGCTAACATCGGGAGTTTGGGACGACAGCTTTTTACCTCTAGTCGGCCCTCTGCTTCCCCGGGAGAATTGAAAGCGGAAGCTGCTTCAAGGCAGACCAACATACCCAACCCAGAAGGGTTGGGGGGTTGTTAGAAAGCCCTTTCCCAGACAGCCTCACACCTGAGTCTTAATTCTGGCGGCCACGCTAATCATTTTTAACCGGCCAACAGGTGCCCAGTATTTTCCTCCAATTCTAAGGAAGGATAAGACAGAATAGCAAGCAAAAGTGGTCCAATATTACTCAGTGCTTTGGAGATCCCTTCGTGGTTGCCAAAATGTTACGGGGAGGTCCTTGCTCCCAGAGGTCCCAAGATGGTGGCGGGCCGCTTCCAAGATGGCGGCAAGCCTCTTGTTCCCTGACCCGGGGTTCTTGGCCTCATGGATTCCAAGGAATGGAACCTTGGGCCATGCAGTGAGTGTTATAGCTCTATTAGAAGCCGTGGGTCATGGAAGAGAACCGTGGAACCCAGCGACTAGTGTTCGGCTCGATTAGGATGAACCCAGGTACTTAGCCGTGCAGGAACAATGGCAAGCTTTTAGCCCAATCAGGAGCGGCAATGGGCGCCTTGCTGGATCAGGAGCACAGCGGACGCCCTGCTGGATCCGGAGGGGTGGAAGTCAGTGGTGGGTCTGCAACAGTGGCAAACAGCAGTGGTGGATGGTGAGAAAAGCTCAGCTTGAGCAGTAACAAACATGGACCAGAAGAGTGTGCAGTTGCAAGATTTAATAGATTGAAAACAGAGCTCCCATACAAAGGGAGGGGACCCAAAGAGGGTAGCCCGACATTTTCTTTTAACAGAGTTCTGCAGCAGTATAACTGCTCTTAGGGAGCTCACTAGGAATCCCACTATAAGTGCATGTGGAGAGAGACCTGTGGACAAGGGATGTGAGTTGTGCTGACAGGTAGGCATGTCAACACTATTGCTGGAGGCAGCTCTTCAGCACTGTAGTTCCACTCAGGATGCCCCCTGAAGGGCAGGGGGTGAAGGGAAACCCTCCCAGGGACAGAACTTTGAGCAGGGCACCTGGTGTTTATCTTGCCTGGAAGAAAAGATAACTAAAGGATTGGATTAGGTCTATGTTGATTTATGGACAGAGGCTAATAATTGTTTGGTCAGGGACTTGGAGGAAATGCAACTGGAAATTTGATGACAGGGAGGTATGGAAAGGAGATATTTAGACGGACCTCTCCAAATGGACTCAAAGGTGAAGATATTTGTATTCCAAGTGAATGCTTAGCAAAGAGCAATCTCAGCAAGCATGATCTTAATAATCAAGTGGGCAAGATGACCCATTCTGTAAATGTCGGTGGACTCATAAACAGCATTCAAAACCTCAATTCATGCTATTGTGCCTACAGCTCATATCCAGCATGGAATGAGGTTTTGCATGGGCCCAGCAACATGGACTTCCATTTATCAAAAGCAATCTGGTTACAATCACTGCCGAATACCCAACCTACCTACGAATAGCAGAGACCAACATGGAGCCCCCAACATAGCACTACTCTCTAAAGGGACCAGCCAACACCTGGTGGCAGGTTGACTAGGTTGGACCACTTCTAGTGGAGGCAGTAGCCCTTTTTATCACTGGACTAGATATGTTTTATGGATGTGAGTTTGCCTTCCCTGCCCACAATGCCCCTGCCCCCATCACCATCCATGGACAGAATATCTTATTTACTGTCATGGTATTCCACACAGCATTGCTTCTGACCAGGGAACTCATTTCACAGCTAATGAGGTGCATCCATGGGCTTGTGCTCATGTAAGTCACTGGCCTTAAGCATCCACCTAATAGAACAGAGGAACGGCCATTTGAAGACTTCGTTATGGTGCCAGTTGCGGGGAGCTTTTTGCAGGACTTGGGTAATGTCTTTTGAGGTGCAATACGTTTACTGAATCTCAGTATATGGTGCAGTTTCCTCTGTGGTCAAAACTCAGAGGGTGCAGACAGACTTCAAGAGGTAGAAATGGCAGTGGCTCCCCTCACTGCTATTCCTAATGACCCACATTTTTTTCCTGCCCCTGCAACTTTGGGATTCTCTGGTTTGGAGGTCTTAGTTCTCATGGAATTTACAGAAAGAGAAATACAAATGGGTAAGACACATGTGCAAAAATGATCAACTCACAAGTAATCAAATAAATGCAAGTTAAAACAATAAATATCACTTTACCTCTTACATTCGTAATGATAAATGGTAATATCTAATGTTGATATTGGTGAGGATAAACAGATTTTCTTGTATGCTCTTTCTAGAGAAAAATATATTCCAAAGGTCTTAAAATGTGCATCTCTTTGATCAAGTGATTCTACCTTTGGGAATTTAGTTTAGTGGCTCCAGTCTGGTTTAAAGCCCAGTTTTTGGAACCAGACCAACCTGGGTATGAGTTCTGTCTCTGACAAATACAGCTGTGTTCATTGGGTAAGCTGGATCTCTTCCAGATAAAGTAGAATACACACCAAATATATGGTAGCTATTATCATCACCTTTAGCAAAAAATTATCGGTGTTCCCAAAGAATTAGCCACATGGATGTTCATCATAGTATTGTTTTTAATAGTAAAAACTTGGAAACCAGCTGGGCATGGTGGCTCACGCCTGTAATCTCAGCACTTTGGGAAGCTAAGGCAGGTAGATCACTTGAGGTCAGGTGTTTGAGACCAGCCTGGCCAATATAGTGAAACCCTGTCTTTACTAAAAATACAAAAATTAACCAGGCTACTACAAAAATCAGTCCCTGTAGTCCCAGCTACTTAGGAGGCTGAGGCATGAGAATCACTTGAACCTAAGAGGCGAAGGCTGCAGTGAGCTGAAATCATACCACTGCTTTCTAGCCTGGGTGACAGAGCAAGACTCTGTCTCAAAAAAAAATAAAAAAAATTGGAAGCCACCTAAATATTCATTAATTGAAGATCACCTAAAAAATTACAATGCATTGGTTGAATAAAATACTATATATCAGCCAGGTGCAGTGGCTCATGCTTGTAATCCCAGCACTTTGGGAGGCCGAGGCGGGTGGATCATCTGAGGTCAGGAGTTCGAGACCAGCCTGGCCAACATGGCGAAACCGCATCTCCACTAAAAATACGAAACATTAGCCAGGTGTGGTGGCAGGCACCTGTAATCCCACCTACTTGGGAGGTTGAGGCAGGAGAATTGCTTGAACCCAGGAGGCGGAGGTTGCAGTGAGCTGAGATCATGCCATTGTACTCCAGCCTGGGTGACAGAGCGAGATTCTGTCTCAAGGAAAAAAAAAAAAAAACCTATATATTGATTAAAAATATTTATAGGAGTATTTAATGAAATGAAATGGAAAGATATTAACAATACACTATTAGATGAAAAAGCAAGTTTTAAAATATATACTATATAATGTCATTTTAATGTTTTTTAAAAGTTATATGTTATGCATAAAACTAATGCTTGCATGATGTAAAATATAGTGGACATAGTTATTATTCTGTTTGAGAGACAGGAAATTAGATGATTTTCATTTTCTCCTTCGACTACTCCATATTCTCCACATTTATTTTGGAAATAACTACGTATTGCATTTGTAATGTTAAAAAAAAAAACTCCCCCCTCAAACCAGTGTGGGTTTAAAGATGTCAACGTTTATTTTAGATTCAGTGGGTACATGTGCAGGATTGTTACAAGCATATATTGCATGGTGCTGAGATTTGGGGTATGACCAAACCATCACCCAGCCTTCCCCTTCCTCCCTCCCCTTTCTCATAGCCCCCAGTGTCTATTGCTCCCATTTTTTTTTTTTTTTGAGATGGAGTCTCACTGTGTTGCCCAGGCTGGAGTGCAGTGGCACAGTCTCAGCTCACTGCAACCTCTGCCTCCCGGGTTCCAGTGATTCTCCTGCCTCAGCCTCCCAAGTACAGGCACGCGCAACCACGTCCGGCTAATTTTTGTATTTTTAGTAGAGATGGGGTTTCAACATATTGGCCAGGCTGGTCTCGAACTCCTGATCTCGTGATCCACCCGCCTCGGCCTCCCAAAGTGCTGGGATTACAGACGTGAGCCACTGTGCCCAGCCTATTGCTCCCATCTTTATGTCCATGTGTACCTAATGTTTAGCTCCCACTTACAAGTGAGAACATGCAGTATTGGGTTTTCTGTTTCTGCGTTAATTTCCTTAGGATAATGGCCTCCAGCTATACCCATGTTGTAGCAAAAGACATGATTTCATTCATTCTTTTTTTTTTTTCCCCCGAGACAGAGTCTCGCTCTGTCACCCAGGCTGGAGTACAATGGCATGATCTCAGCTCACTGCAACCTCCGCCTCTTGGGTTCAAGAATAGTATTCCACGGTGTATATGCACCATATTTTCTTTATCCAATCCACTGTTGATGGACACCTAGGTTGATTCTATGTCTTTGCTATTGTGAATAGTGCTGTGATAAACATACAAGTGCATGTATCTTTTTGGTAGAATAATTTATTTTCCTTTGGCTATATACCCGGTAATGGGATTGCTGGGTTGAATGGTAATTCTATTTTTAGTTCTTTGAGAAATCTCCAAACTGCTTTCCACAGTGGCTGAACTAATTTACACTCCCACCAACAGTGTATAAACATTTTCTTTTCTCCACAGCCTCGTCAACATTTATTTTTTGACTGTTTAATAGTAGCCATCCTGTCTGGTGTGAGATGGTATCTCGTTGTGGTTTTGATTTGCATTTTTCTGATGATTAGCGGTGTTGAGCCTTTTTCCACATGTTTGTTGATCACTTGTATGTCTCCTTTTATGAGGTATCTGTTCATATCCTTTGCCCACTTTTTAATGGCATTGTTTTTTGCTTGTTGATTTAAGTTCCTTATAGGTTCTATATATTAGACCTTTGTCAGATGCATAGTTTGTGAATATTTTCTCCCATTCTGTAGGTTGTCTGTTTACTCTGTTGACAGTTTCTTTTACTGAGCAGAAGCTCTTTGGTTTAATTAGCTCTTACTTGTCAATTTTTGGTTTTGTTGCAATTGCTTTTGAGGACGTAGTCATAAATTCTTTGCCAAGGCCAGTGTCAGAAGAGTATTTCCTAGGTCTCATCTAGGATTTTTTAGTTTTAGGTATTTCATTAAAATATTTAATCCATCTTGAGTTAATTTTTGAATATGGTGATAGGTATGGGTCCAGCTTCAATCTTCTGCATATGGTTAACAAGTTAACCCAGTGCTGTTTATTGAATAGTGAGTCCTTTCCCTATTGCTTATTTTTGTTAACTTTGTCAAAGATCAGATGGCTGTAGGTGTGCAGCTTGATTTCTTGGTTCTCTGTTCTGTTCCATTGGACTATATGTCTGTTTTTGTACCATGCTGTTGTGATTACTATAACCTTGTAGGACAGTTTGAAGTTGGGTAATGTGTCTCCAGCTTTGTTCTTTTTGCTTAGGATTGCTTTGGCTATTCAGGCATTGTTTTGGTTCCATATGAATTTTATAATAGTTTTCTCTAATTCTCCAAAAAATGACATTGGTAGTTTGATAATAATGGCATTGAATTTATAGATTGCTTTTGGCAGTATGGCCATTTAAACAATATTGATTATTCCAATCTATGAGCATAAAATGTTTTTCCATTTGTTTGTGTCATCTATGATTTCTTTCAGCAGTGTCTTGCAGTTCTCCTTTTATTGATCTTTCACCTCCTTGAATAAATGTATTCCTTGGTATTTTTTGGTATGGCTATCGTAAATGAGATTGAATTCTTGATTCAGCTCTCAGCTTGAACATTATTGGTATATAGAAATGCTACCAAGTTTTGTACATTGATTTTGTATCTTGAAACTTTACTGAAGTTACCCAGTCTAGGCAAACCAATGTTTTAAATTCAGGCAGATAGAGAGGGGAACAGGTGAACTCTGCATACCTGATCCCAGGCAGGATGCATTCTCCTGCATCTGGGAGGAGGCTGGCTGGCCAGAAAGGGGATTTAACTACATTAATTCTGTGACTTTCAGTTCACAGCCCCTCCTTGGCATGATCCCATCCCTATTCCAGCTGTCCCCAGGATGCTGGGTCTGTAATGGCAGGGAGAGAATTCCCTGGCTCTGCTCACTCACGGGATGGGAGAATGTCCCAGCAGCTGCCTCCATACCCGAGACCAGACATGCCATATTCAGGGCATCTGACAGGAATGTGGCTGCCTGGGAGAAACAGGCCCTGACCCAACACCCCGGGCCTGTGTGTATTGGCTGAGGTTCACAAAGACGCTGGCCTTCAGTCCGGCAGATTGAAAATATTTTTCAATGAAGCCCCAGTATTTGACTGGAGAAACAATAATATTCCTTCTCTGGATGTCAAACATCCGGATAAACAGAAGCCCTTTTTTTCCGCCTCCTCTCTTCCCCAAGTGTTACAAAGGATGCTCTGACATAGGGTTTTGGAAGAGAATTCACCCAGCCAGGGTGAGGGCCAACCTGAGCCACAAAGAGTGCTTATTTTTTTAAAAAAGGGGGAAATATGTGGCCCATTGCAGGTTTGCTCAAATGGCCTGGTTTCTTCAGGAGCAAGAGTGCGAGACCTGCCTCTTGAGATCGGATGACTCAGAGTGGTGTGGTGGCTGCCACTGCCACTTGTGGCCTGGGGGTCCAAGCCCTATCCCCAGCAGAAGGCTGGGACGTGGGAGAGGTTATCTTACCCAGAGGTAGGGTTGTGGTGCAGCCAGAGGCAGGGTGCGTATGGGGTCAGGAGTAGAGAGGGAGGTGGAAGGCAGACATTAATTGAAGAACTCCTATTATTTGCATTGAGCTGGAACCCAAGGATTACCAAGCCACAGAAAGTCAATCTCACCCAACAGATGGACAAATCCAGTGGATGCGGCTAAGCCCAGAGGTTAAATGAAGGCATTCCTAACAAGTCCTTTACGAAATAGAACACATTCAGGAGATCCATTGGAGAATTTCTGGGAAAGAAAGGAGAGGGGATAATGACCCCAACCCTTCTCAAGTCTCACAAGGGATCATGAAAACTTTCCCAATTTCTTGGGTTCCTTTGAGCACCATCTTAGCCCAGTTTAGCCAGTGACCCCTCAACTGGGCTTTTTTTCCCATAACTCATTGGCTAGCTCCATATCACTGGCACATTCTGCTTCCTGACACATGGGCCCTGGAGCCCTTCCCAGAGCCAGGGCCAAAACACCTCCTTCCAATGCTTCATCCTGGTGTCTCATCCTGAGACAGCTGAAAGCCCTTGGGGCCAGACCCACTGACCTGTCTTCCCTTTGGTGAGACATGTTGGCTTTCCCATCTTTGTGTCAAACCTTAACTCTGTAATAATCACATTCTCACAGGCAGAACTAGTATTCACTCAAGTATCCTTCCATCAAAGATGCTCAAATGGAAGACTTAAGTGCTCTCATGTGATGGGATAAACTTGAACCTCTTCATCAGAACTTCTTGGAAAACCTAGTACAGAGTCCTCCATGTTTATACGGACTGGATTTAGCCCAACCCCTGGCAATGTGTAGAAATCCTGACTCCTTTGCAGACTTCATCACTGAGCCCTGTTGATTCCACTATGAAACACCATCGCCAATCTGTCCCTTACTCTCTACCTTCATTGCCTCTCCTCTGGTTCAAGCCACCTTTATCTCTTTGCCTGAGTTATTGCCATAACCTCCTGCCTGCTTCCACTCTGGTACACATCAAATCCCTTTGCTGCACAAGCAGTTCCCCTGCTTAAACTCTTCCCTGGTCTGCCATTGCCCTGAGAATATGATGCAGGATCCTCATCCAGTGGCCCTACCATCTGTTCATTGCTTGCAGCTCACCTCCATTCATGGTTCTCTTCCCACCAGCCCCAGCCACAATGGCTTTCTCTCTGCCTTTCTATATGCCCACCATGTTCTTGCTCTAGTACTGTTCTTACTCCAGTACTGTTACCACTGCCTGGAACAGCCTCCATCCCCAGGCTGGCTCTTTGTTACACTTTATCCTATAAGTTCAAGCTTCAGAAAGGCTTTCTCTGACCATTCAAGACAAGAAAATTCCTCACGGTGTTCTCCTCTTTCCCCTGTGGCACTTACCAGACATTAAGTTGTGCATCTAACCAGACTTTCACTTGTTCAATATCTATCTTGACTGCTGGCCCATGAGCTCTTTTACAGCAAAGATGATGTCTGCATTGTTCATCCTTTTGTGGTGTAATCCACATAATAGATGCTCAAAAATATTTCCTGAGTTAGTAAGTAAGTAGGTAAACTGTCTTTGTCTGTTTTGTTTTGCTATAACAGAATACTTGAGGCTGGGTAATTCATAAAGAAAAGAGGTTTATTTGGCTCATGATTCTGGTCACTGGAAAGTCCAAGACTGGGCAGTTGCATCTGGTGAGGGACTCACATTGCTTTGACTCATGGTGGACAGGGGACGGGGAGCCAGCATCTGCAAAGAGATCACATGATGAGAGAGAAACAGAGAAAGCAACCGAGGAAGCCAAACTCTTTGTAACAACCTGTTCTCAGGGTAACTAATCCATTCCTGTAAGACTGAGAACATGCTCACCCTCACAAGATGGCATTAATCTATTCATGAGGGATCTGCCCCGATGACACAAACACCTCCCACCCAACCCCACCTCCCAACACTGCTACATGGGGGATCAAATTTCAACATGAGTTTTGGTGGGGGACAAACCACATCCAAACCATAGTATAAACAAAAGAGAGAGAGTAGGCTACAGTAAGGCAAAGGACACCAGGAGGCAGCTGATTTAACCAGCTGAGCTCTGAGCGTCCTTGATTGGCATCTGAGATCAACCACATTCTAGCTGCGTGACATTGGGCCAATAACTTAACCTCACTAAGCCTCAGTTTCCTCATCTATAAAATAGTAATTATAAGACTTTCCTCACTAGGTGATTTTGAAAATTAAAGGTAATGTATATTGACAGTCAGACCCAATGCCTGGCACTAAATAGATCTCTTCATTTATGCTAAAAACACATATTGAAAGCATCCATGGGCTGGACCTGAGCTGGGGTCTAGGGGCCACACAGGACCTGCACTCAAGGAGGATACCAGTTAGAGGCTCTGTAAATTGCAGCTATTCATAGTAATGGAACTACTAGTAGTATTAATAAACAAAATGTTAGGAAATTCTCTAGCCAGAGTGAATGAGCCAAGCCCTGTGGAAGCCCGCCTGGGAAAACCAAGGACATGAGAAAAGGGAACACAGTGTGAAGCAAAATACAGGAGCAAGGGTGTGTTTTACTATAAATTGTCCTTTGATCTTTTTTTCATGGGTGGCTTCGATTTTCCATTTAACCGAATTCAAGAATCCTCTGACGAAAGTTTTCATTCATAGAATGGATATTTACGTGTAGGTTGCTTTCAGCAGAAGGAGGTTCAGAGGTGACTGCAACATGCTCTCTGCCCTCAAGAAACTTATAGGGGAACAAGACACACACAAAAATCCAATCACAAGTCAAACCTAAAAGACACACAGGTGAAGGGGATGGAGATTCAGAGGTGGGAGCCACAGGCTTCATGGCATGTGGCATTTGAGTAGACTGTAGGACACACAGGAAGAGAGAGTGTGGCAATGGGAGAGGTTTGGGATATGGAATCGGATGACCTAGCTTAAAATTTACCCTTAGAAAATCCACAGTTTCTCTGAGCCTTGGTTTTCTCACCTGTAAAATGTGAATAATAATAGTAATAAAACTTCTCTGCATTGTTATGATTATTTTATGTCATCATCATCATACACACACACACACACACACACACACACACTCACACACTAAGATTTCCTGAGAAATGTCAGAGCCATGGGACTGAGAAACATCTCTTGAGATTCTGGTGAGCTCCCTAGCATCTCGTCCTCACTCATTTCGTCCCCTAGCAGTGGCAAGGTAGACTTTTTAGGCCTGGAGGGCATGTGCTTAGTGACGGGTGACAATGGTTGATGACAGTTGTGCCGCCTCGTGCCTGGTTCACTGCTCCACATCCTTCTACTTAATCCATCTGAGATAGAAATAACACTTCTCAAACTCTCAAACCACTCCCATCCAGTCGGAGGACTTTCAGGAACACTTGGGTGGGTCCAGCATCTGAGCCCGGGTGGGCCATCAGCCCAGGCTGCCAGAGATGCCAGTGGGCTAAAGTGGGGCAGGGCAGACACTGGCCAGCTGTCCACCCAACCCATTTCCAGTTCATCCTGAGCACACGGCTAGACTGCATTCTTGCAGCTGAGTGTGGCCAAGCAACCTAATTCTGATCAATGAAAAGTGATAGACGTGTGCTCTTCTCAGGCCTGATGGATAAAACCCTTCCACACTCCTTCTCCTTCTGGTTAACTCCTTCTGGTTAACGGTGCTCTCCAGCATGACTTTGGAGGCCAATTTAAAGTTGGCATGCCTGCCATCAGCCAAAATCTCTGAACCACTGCATGGAGAAGGATGCCCTCACGCTCACCATGTCTGACCCCAAACTAGAACAGCCCTGCAGTGTTAAATGAGGCATGACATAAACTTGCATTATGTTTGGGTCTGTTTGTTACAACAGCAATACTCACTAATATAGAAGAGCAGGGATCCCCTGCCTGAGGAGGACCAATGCAGGAAAGGCCAAAGAGCAGTTAGAAATCAGCATCCCGAGAGAATGCAAGATGTTGTGACCAAGGTGTCTAAATATCAAACGCAAGTCTGTTGGGAGTATAAATGGAGTTGAGGGTTAGCGTCTAGGCAAGGCAAGGTCAGAAATACAAGGAGATGGGTTACAGGTGGCTGTTGAAAGCAGCGCTGTTGTGCCCAGCTTGTTCTCCTGGGTTAAGCAGATTTGAAGGTTGAGGTCAATACTCTTGTTGTTGGGCCTGTCCCACATCTCAGCTTTTACCTTCTGTACTCAATCTGTTGCCTGAAACCCTAGGGCCTGGTAACTAGGACCCCGTGACCCTCCCCTGGGCCCTGGGACAAGATTGATAGCTGATATTTTGTCTGATGGTCCAACACTATTTTACAGATGAGGAAAAGCAGACCCAGAATAAATGAAGGGGCTAATTCATAAAGCCCAAATTGATCTTTCCACCTGGTCTTGGCCAGGGCACACTGTTTCCAGCAAAATCCTGCCTTTTTAATGCCCTGGCCAGAGCCTCCCCAAAAGGACCGCTTCTCTCCTCCCTCCCATTCTTCTGGCAAGCTAGGTTTCCAAGCCTGGCCATTGAGATTTAAAAGAGCTGGTTTCTTCTGGTCCCAAAGAAAAACAAGCTGGCCAATTTTCTGTTAGTCCCAAGGCAGCTCCTCACTGCCCTGGAGCCAAGCAGACACTGGCCAGTCTGTGTAGAGGGCTGAGGCTGCAGTACCCACCAGGCGGTAATGACTTCTCGGAGGGAGCTGGCTTCGGCTCAGGCCATTCCGGGTGGGGGGAGAGGAAACTGAAGACAAAACTGTGCTTCTCGTAAAGGTCTAATTCTAAAAATAAAGACAGAGTTAGCCTAGTGAGTGTCTGCAGGGATGCTTGTCTGAGTAGAGAAGTAACAGAGCCATGCCGAGGTTCTTGAGTTAGGCAACCAGACTAAGAAAAGCGTGCAAAGTAAGCCTTCTCCTGACACGATCCGCATCCCAACAAGATCAGAGCTTTCAGCTTCTGATAAATCTGTTAGGAAGAGGAAGAGTCTGAGAAACTTAAAGCTTGTCTCAAATCTAGTAAAACAATAAAGAGGAAGTATTTGTTCTTGTATCTGGAAATTTCAGAAATGTGAGCTTCAGGCAAGGTTTGATCCAGTGAGTCAAAGATGTCACCAAGTATCCGTTTCTTTATGTCCTTCTTTCTGCTTTCCATGGAATCACTGGGTTGCTAGAAAAAGGAAGAAAAAAATACAGGATGTCTATTTAAATTTCACTTTCATATAGACAATTTTTTTTAGTATGAGTATGTCCCATGCAGTATTTGGGACATAATTATACTAAAAAATTACTTGCTATTTATATGAAATTCAAGTTTCATAGAGTGTCTAGTATTTTATCTGACAGTCTTATCCTAAGATGAGCACATATTCTCTCTCTCTCTCTTTCTCTCTCTCTCTCTTTCTCTCTCTCTCTCATAGTTCCTTCTGGTTGGAGATGAGAGAAGACAGTTCTCTTTCAAAACCTCAAGCAGACACCTCCTTGTATCTTCTTGGACTGAAATGGCTATTTCTGAACAAGTGTCTATAGCTGGAGAATAAGATAAACTGATTGGATTAAGGAAAGGAGACAGACTGAAATGGCCAAATAGAAGCCTCCACTGATCATCCTCCTTGCAGGAACACCAAATTGAACAACTACTATCCACACAAAAACACCTTCTTAAGAACCAAAAATCAGCGTAGGTACTAGCTTGGTCACAGTGGGGTAGAGCACCAACTATGCTGTTGGGGTCCCAAATTCCAGGCCTCAGCTCTTGGATGGCATTTCTGGACCTGCCCTGGGCCAGAGGGGAGCCCACTGCCTTGAAGGGAGAGTCCCAGGTTTGGCAGCATTCACCACAAGCTGGCTGAAGAGCCCTTGGGCCTTGAATGAGCATTAGCAGTAACCAGGCAGTACTTGCTGAGGCCTAGGGTGGTGATGGACATGGGGAAAGGCTCCTCTGCTTGTAGAAGAAGAAGGGAAGAGTAGAAAGGACTTTGTCTTGCCTGGGTGCCAATTCAGCTGTAGTAGAAATAAAGTACCAGGTGGTTTCCTAAGGTTTCCGACTCTAGGCCCTGGCTCCTGGATGGCATCTCTGGACCCATCAGAACCAGGGGAAACTCACCACCCTGAAAAGAAGGATCCAAGTCTGGCTGGCTTTGCCACCTGCCGATTGTAAAGCCCTAGAGACTTGAGTGAACGTAGGTGGTAGCCAGGCAGTGGTTATGGCAGGCCTTGGATAAGACATAGTGCTGTGCTGGCTTCATGTCTGACCCAGTGCAGTCCTAGTGGTGGTGGTCAAAGAGATGCTTGTGTTACCCCTCCTGCAGCTCTAGGAAGCTCAACACAGAGAGACTCTGTTTGGGAGAAAATAAGGAAAAAGAACAAGAGCTCTGCCTGGTAATCTATATAATGCTTCTGGATCTTATCCATGACCACCAAGGCAGTACCTCTATGAGTCTGCAAGAGCCACAGCATTACTGGGTTTGGAGTATCCCTAATGCAGATATAGCTGCAGTGACCAAAAACTTAGATCACAGCACCCAAGCCCTTTTGAATACTTGGAAATCCTTCCCAAGAAGGATGAGTACAAACAAGCCCAGATTGCCAGACTTTGAAGACTACAATAAATACCTAACTCTTCAATATCCAGACCTCAATGAACATCCGCAAGCATCAAGACCATCCAGGAAAACATGAGCTCCCCAAACAAACTACATAAGACATCAGTGACCAATCCTGGAGAGATAGAGATAAGTGACCTTTCAGACAGAAAATTCAAAATAGCTATTTTGAGGAAAATTAAATTCAAGATAACGCAGAGGAGGAATTCAGAATCCTATCAGATAAATTTAACAAAGAAATTGAAATAATTAAAAAGACTCAAGCAGAAATTCCGGAGCTGAAAAGTACAACTGGCAAACTGAAGAATGTATCAGAGTCTCTTAACAGCAGAATTGATCAAGCAGAAGAAAGAATTAGTGAGCCTGAAAACAGGCTATTTGAAAATATACAATCAGAGGAGACCAGAGAAAAAAGAATGAAGCATGCCTACAAGATCTAGAAAATAGCCTCAAAGGAACAAATATAAGAGTTATTGGCCTTAAAGAGGAGGCAGAGAGGGAGATAGGGGTAGAAAGTTTATTCAAAGGGATAGTAACAGAGAACTTCCCAAACCTAGAGAAGGATATCAACATTCAAGTACAAGAAGGTTATAGAAGAACATCAAGCAGATTTAACCCAAATAAGATGACCTCAAGACATGTAATAATCAAACTCCCAAAGGTCAAGGATGAAGAAATGACCCTGAAAGCAGCAAGAGAAAAAAAACAAATAACATACAACAGAGCTCCAATGTGTCCAGCAGCAGATTTCTAGGTGGAAACTTTATAGGCTAGGAGAGAATGTCATTACATATTTAATGTGCTGAAGGGAAAAAAAAAAACCTTTTACCTTAGAGTAGTATATCCAGCTAAAATATCCTTTAAACATGAAGGAGACACACTTTTCCAGACAAACAAAAGCTGAGGGATTTCATTAACACCAGACCTGTCCTACGAGAAATGCTAAAGGGAGTTCTTTAACCTGAAAGAAAAGGATGTTAATGAGCAGTAAGAAATCATATGAAGGTACAAAATTCACTGGTAATTGTATGTACACTGAAAAACACAGAATATAACACTGTAATTGGTGTGGAAATCTCTCATATCTTGAGTAGAAAGCCTAAAAGGTGAAACTGATAAAAAATAATAACTACAGTAACTTTTCAAGACATGGACAGTACAATAAGATATTAATATAAATAGAAACGACAAAAAGTTAAAAAGCAGAGGGATGAAGTTAAAGTATAGAGTTTTTATTAGTTTTCCCTTTGCTTGTTTGTGAGTTTGTCTATGCAGTCAGTGTTAACTTGTCATCTATTTAAAATAATAGATTATAAAATATTATTTGCAAGCCTAATGGTAACCTGAAATCAAAAAACATACAACAGATACACAAAAAATAAAACACAAAAATTAAAACATACCACCAGAGAAAATAACCCTTACTAAAAGGAAGACAGGAAGGAGGGAAAGAAGGAAGAAAAGACCACAAAACAACCAGAAAGCAACAAAATGCAGGAGTCAGTTCTTACTTCTTAATAATAACATTGAGTGTAAATGGAGAAACTCTCCAATCAAAAGACATAGAGTGGCTGAATGGAAACAAGAACAGGACCCAGTGACCTGTTACCTATAAAAAACACATTTCATCTATAAAAACACACATAGACTGAAAATAAAGGGATGGAAAAAGACAGCCCATGCAAATGGAAACCAAAAGAGATCAGGGGTAGCTATATTCATATGAGACAAAATAGATTTCAAGATGAAAACTATAAAAATAGACAAAGAAAGTCATTATATAATGATAAAGGGATTAATTCAGCAAGAGGATATAACAATTGTAAATATATATGCACCCAACACTGGAGCACACAGATATTTAAAGCAAATATTAGAACTAAAGAGAGAGGCAGACGCCAATACAAAAAGAGCTGAAGACTTTAACACCTCACTTTCAGCATTGGGCAGATCATCCAGACAGAAAATCAACAAAGAAACATTAGACTTGATCTGGACTATGGACCAAATGGACATAATGGTTATTTACAGAACATTTCATCCAATGGCTGCAGAATACATATTATTCTTGTCCGGGCACAGTGGCTCAAGCCTATAATCCCACCACTTTGGGAGGCCGAGGCTGGCGGATCACGAGGTCAGGAGATCGAGACCATCCTGGCTAACACGGTGAAACCCCGACTCTACTAAAAATACAAAAAAATTGGTTAGGCATGGTGGCGGGCACCTGTAGTCCCAGATACTCAGGAGGCTGAGGCAGGAGAATGGCGTGAACCCGGGAGGCAGAGCTTGCAGTGAGCTGAGATCACGCCACTGCACTCCAGCATGGGCGACAGAGCAAGATTCCATCTCAAAAAAAAAAAAAAAAAAAAAAAGACATATTATTCTCCTCAGCATGTGGATCATTCTCAAGAATAGACCATATGTTAGGCCACAAAACAAGTCTTTAAAAATTCAAAAAAATTGAAATTGTATTGAGTATCTTCTCTAACCACAAAGGAATAAAACTAGAAATCAATAACAAGAGGAAATTTGGAAACTATACAAACACATGGAAATTAAACAGTATGCTCCTGAATAACCAGTGGGCCAATAAAGAAATTAAGAAGATATTGAAAAATTTCTTGAAACAAAAGATAATGGAAACACAACATACCAAAACCTATGGGATACAGCGAAGACAGTACTAAGAGGAACATTTGTAGCTATGAGCATCTACATCAAAAAAGCAGAAAAACTTCAAATAAGCAACCTAACTATGCATCTTAAAGAACTAGAAAAATAAGAGCAAACCAAACCCAAAATTAGTAGAAAAAAAAAGAAATCATGAAGATCAGAACAGAAATAAATGAAATTGAAATGAAGAAAACAATAAAAAAGATTATTAAAACGAAAAGTTGGGTTTTTTGTTTGTTTGTTTGTTTGTTTTGTGACAGAATCTCACTCTGTCGCCAGGTTGGAATACAGTGGCGTGATCTCTGCTCACTGCAACCTCCGCCTCCCAGGTTCAAGCGATTATCCTGCATCAGCCTCCAAAGTAGCTGGGATTACAGGCACGTGCCACCACGCCCAGCTAATTTTTGTATTTTTAATAGAGACGGGATTTCACCATGTTGGCCAGGATGGTCTCGATCTCTTGACCTTGTGATCTGCCCACCTCAGCCTCCCAAAGTGCCGGGATTACAGGTGTGAGCCACTGCACCCAGCCGAAAAGTTGGTTTTTTGAAAAGATAAACTGATTGGCTTGGTAAGAAGAAAGAGGAAAGACAATGGATGTTTGAAAGTGCCCAACATATATATACTACGGTGGACTTCCCAGTATCAGTCACAGAATCCAAGTTCCCCAAGGTTAGATGGGGCCCTAAAGATCACTAGAGGATTAGTTCAAACTGCCATATGAATGACAATTTGAACTACAATATAGTTCAAATTTATAATATCTATATAGTTATAGTTCAAGTTTATAATATCTCAGCCTTTATGTTCATCTCTCTACTATCAGGGATGTTCCTTCCAAAAAGCTCATTCCATCTTTGGTTGTCCCTGGCTGTTGGACATCTAGTTGAAATCTTCTTTTCTTGTATCTTCCACTCATTGGTTCCAATGCTAACAAGAGGGATCTCTCTATAGGGCAGTTTCTAAACCAACTCCAGATGAATAATCACCTACTAGGCACAAGGTCCTAGGCTATCTGCTTTAACATTGTCCACCTTATTTAATCTTCCCAACACCTTTGAATTAAGCAAGCCCCTTTTTATGGAAACACAAACTTGGGAGTTAAGCCACTCATCCCCAGAATACACAACTAGTGGCAGAGCTGGATTTGAACACACATCAGACTAGATCCAAAGCCAACCCTCTTACCCCTTCATCACGATGAGGAATCAACAGCTTTCAAATATCGGATGGCAGGGTCCCAGCTCCCTTCCTCTCCAGACTGAGCATTCCAGAGACTCTAGTCCCTTAAGTTTGTGCCCCAGATAGAGCATGCTGCTCAGATGTGCTCAGAAAAACAGAACGTAGCCAGGGATAAAAGAACTATGGGGATGGAGAAGAAAGCAGCCCTGAGAGCTTCACATACAAGTTACTCATCACTTGATTTCATCCACTTGTTGACATCAAGTTGAGTGCCTGTTATGTGCAGACACCATGTGAGGCAATGAGGATGAAGAGAGAAAGAGGGAGAGTGAACAAATGAGTGAAGAACAGAGAGAGGAAGGGAAAGAGAGAGAAAGAGAAGGGAGGGAAGGAGGGAGGAAGGAAGGAGGGAAGGAAGGAAGGAAGGAAAGAAGGAAGGAAGGAAAGAAGGAAGGAAGGGGAAGGGAAGAAAGGGAGGGAGGAAGGGGGCCCAGTGTGGTGGCTCATGCCTGTAATCCCGTGTAATTCCAGCAGCACTTTGGGAGGCTGAGGCGGGAGGATCGCTTGAGCCCAGGAGTCTGAAGCTGCAGTGAGCTATGATTGCACCACTGCACTCCAGCCTGGGTGACAGAGAGACCCTGTCTCTATTAGAAAAATAAAATAAAATAACAATTTTAAAAAGGAAAAGAAAGAAAGGAAGAGCCTAAAGCATGAGGGAGCTCGTGGCCCAGAAAAGAAAACAGATGTAAAATCAATAATTACTGTAAAATGTTATATATGTGTGTATTTATATCTATATATCAATATAGATATATGTTGATATATGTTTACTTATATATATCAATATAGATATATGTTGATATGTTTACTTATATATACATCTATATTTATATTGATGTATATATAAATACACATATGTAGAAACATATACAGAAACATTTGAATATTTAAATAACAGCATAACTAGGGTGCCGTGAGTCTGGTCATGGGGCAGTCCATGGGGAGATGGCAGGCAGGCCAGGCAGGAGGAAAAGCCTAGGCATGGCACAGAGGGGCAGACATAGCTTTCAGACAGCTGAGGATTCAAGAAGAACCTAGATGGAAAAGTATTCCATTCAAAGACTGCCGTACACCAACGGGACTATTCTTACCTTAGTGTTGGAATGACAGGACCTTTGCTCCCAAGGCACCCCTGAACTGGGCCTGCCTTCCTGAAACCCCAGGCTGTTTCTGCAGAAAACATTCTCTCCATACATTTAAAAAATTGATGATTCATTCCCACAGAGAGGAAACTTATTTTGGCATTTGAAAACATAAATGGGCAAAGGACACAGGCGGCTCACATAAAAGGAAGCATGGTTAGTAAACAGACTGTGAGGAAACACAGTCAACCTGGCCAGTAATCAAAGAAATGCAAATTAAAACAACTGAGGCGCACATTTCCACCTATTAAATTAACAGCCATAACAAAAAGGTTGAGATGATTATATTCCATTCTGGTGAGGTCTGGGGGAAAGCAGTAGCTCTGACGTTGTTGGAGGTAGGACCAGCCCCGTGATCTGCAGAGTCCAGTGCAAACTGAAAATGTAGCGCCTCTTTTTCAAAAATCATTAAGAATTTCAAACGGCCAGGCTCAGTGGCTCATGCCTGTAGTCCCAGCACTTTGGGAGGCCAAGGCGGGCAGATCGCTTGAGCTCAGGAGTTCAAGACCGGCCTGGGCAACATGGCAAAACCCCATCTCTACAAAAAATACAAAAATTAGCTGGGTGTGGTGGCATACATGTGCCTGGAGTCCCAGCTACTCAGGAGGCTGAGGCAGGAGGATCATTTCAGCCCAGGGAGGTTGAAGCTGCAGTGAGCCGTGATCGTGCTATTGCACTCCAGCCTAGGCAATAGAGCCCTGTATCAAAAAAAAAAAAAAAAAAAAAAAAAAAGAAAGAAAGAAAAAGAAAAGAAAAGAAAATTCAAGATGGCAACAACATAGAATTAAACCAAATGCTCTTCTAAGTCCTCACTGGAAGTCCTATAAATGAGTGCAAGCCTGTTATGGGAAAGGCATCCCTTCCCCTAACAAAGTGGTCTCTTCGCCTGAAAGAAGATGTCATCCTCTCCCACCTCTGTGGAGACTTTATCATCAACTGTCACTTCTCCCTTTACATTTACCCTGCTGCTCTCGACTCAGATTTTCCCATCAGCATTCAACATACACACAAGTCCTCCTTTCTGAAAAAATATATGAAACCAAAACTCCTTCCTCAAGCCCTCACTCTGCCTTCTATCCTCCCACTCTGCCGTCTCAGTCACATTCTGGAAAGGTTGCATAAACACACTACTCCCATCCCCCTATTTCTCATTCATTTTCCCACCCTGTTTGTTCATCATTATGTCTTGCCAAGGTCACCATGGATTGACTTCCATTTGCTGAGGCCTCTCAGCAGCATTTGACACTAGCAACCACTCTCTCCTTCCTGTCACACTCTTCTCTTGGCTTCTGTGACATCATGTCCTCCTGATTTTCCTCCCACATCTCCTGCAGGCTCTTTGGCCAGCTGTCTGTATACTGACGACTCATAAGTTCACGGCTCTTACCTAAACTCTGCTCTGAGTTTCAGACACACAGTCCAGTTGCCCACTTGCTGGTTCATCCTGTCTATTTCAAAGACACTTGAATTCCTTATGTACAAAACTACCCCAATCGCGTCCTCTTCCATTGATCCTTATGTCTGCGGATGGTGCTATCATTCCTCTTTCTTACACCAGGAATCATCCTTCAGATTCCCTTCTCTCCTCTCCTTCCCACTACATCTTAAGTCAAAGCCACTACCAAGTTTTGCCAATTTTACCTCCTCAGTACTTCCTAAATGCATCCCCTTATCCCCATCTCTATCCCCATGCTCATCGTCTAAGCAACTAGCATCCTTCATCTGGACAACTGCAAAGCTCTCCATTGGTACCCCCATCCTTTCTCAAGCTCCCTCCCACTACACAACAGCCAGAGTGTTTTGAAGCACACGTCCTGTTCAGTAGGATCCCGTTGCTCCCAGGATAAAGACCAAAGCTCTTCACATGGCCCACAGCCCATGCATGGTCTTGCCCCATGCTCCCCCACCCATTTGGCTCCAGCTATTGCGGTCTTCTTCCGGTTCCATGTGCTTTACCAAAAGGCATATGCACATGCTACTCCCTGTGTCTAGAATTTTGTTCCTTTCCACCTTTGGTCTAGTTAGCTCCTAGTCATCCTTAAGCCCCAAGCACAATCACTTTTTCCTTAGGAAATCCTTCCATTAACCAACAGGCAAAGGAGAGTTCCACCATCAAATACTCTTACAGCTCCATGCCTCTCTCCTTACTAATACTTAGCATGGTTATAATTGCATCCATCTGTGCGATGACCTGATGGAGTCTCTCTCTGCAACTAGACAGCGGGATCTATGAGAATGGGCTGTATGTTTTTCCTCACCATTGTAACCCTAACACTTATTCAGTGTCTGGCAAGAAGAAAGTGTTCAATAAATATTTGGTGAATGAATGAATGGAAATCCCTTTGACAATATATTTTGAGAGTTATAGAAATTACAGCTATAGTTATGTTTTGATTCAATAATACAACTCCTAGAAATTTATCCCAAGGAAGTAATCCAAAAGAAAGAAAATATTAAATATATTTATATATATGGAAATATTAAGTACGAACTTTTTCTAATAGCAACATTTTAAAAAACACGTGGATATGTTGAAGTGTGGTAAATCCACAGAATAAATAACGTGGTCATTAAAAATAATTGTGAAGACTAAGTAGCAATGTGAAAAACAGATTACAATATTACAATTGTTTTTCAAAAGCTGAATGCAAAATTGGATTTCTACAACTACGTAACAATGTTTTATGCATGCAGACAAGTACCAGATGGGAACAAGGAAAAATAAATGAGTTGAATTGTCCAAAGAGTACATTATGGTTGAATTTTCCATTTCATTTTGATTTCTCTTTGTGTAGTTATAATATTGTTTTTATATAAATAGTACTTTAGTGTAATCTATACATTTTATCTAGCAATAGGTTGAATAAAACAGCAATGTTAAACTAAGAAGCCATCAAAACATAGCTAATTACAATTGATTCACTGCTCAGCGGAGTCACAAATGCCTAATAAATAATGTTATTTGCGAACAACCTTATTAGCCACTTTTAAAATAGATCTCATAACCATATATATATATACATATATATAAACCCTATGTTTATAATGTTTTATGAACATTCATGTACATGTCTTTGTGTGGACATATGTTTTTGTTTCCCTCGGGTAAATACCTAAGAATAGAATGGGTGAACTATATGGTAGGTATGTGTTTAACTTTTTAAATAACTATCAAACGGTTTTCCAAAGTGATTGTGCCATTTTACAACCCTACTAGCAGTGCATGAATGCTAGTGGAATGCAAATGTTCCACATTCTTACCAACATGTGGTATGATGGTCGGCCTTTTTAATTTTAGCCAGTCTAGTGGGTGTGTATTGTGGTTTGGATTTGTATTTTTCTAATGATTCATAATGTCAAAAATATTTTATATTCTTATTTGATATCTGTATCTAATGTTTGGGGAAGTATTCATTCAAATCTTTTGCCCATTTTTAAATTGAGTTATTTTTCTTTTAACTGTTGAGTTATAAGATATATTTATATATTCCAAATACAAGTTCTTTATTAGATATATTTTGCAAATATTTTCTCCAGTCTATAGTTTGCCTTTTCACTTTCTTAACATAACCTGGTCTTTCGGAGAGAAAATTTCAAAATATTTATGAAGCATAACTCAGCAACTTTTACTTTTATAGCCTGTGCTTAGCCCATGATCACTAGATTTTTTTCCTTCTGTTTACAGAAACTTTATAGTTTTAGGTCTTACATTTAGGTTGGGGGCCCATTTAGAGCCAGGTTTTGTACTTGGTGTGAAGTAAGCATCAAGGCTCACATTTTTGCATATGGATATCCAATTGTTCCAACACTATTTGGTGGAAATATTAACCTTTCCTCATTGAACTGCCTTAACATCTTTGTCAAAAATCAATTAACCTGGGGAAAGAATACTTTTTTCAACAAATGATGCTGGAACAACTAGATATCCAGGTGCCAAAGAATGAAGTTTAAACCCTACCTCATACCATGTACAATAATAAACTCAAAATGGATCAGAAACCTCTAAGTAAGTGCTAAAACTATAAAACTCTTAGAAGACAACATAGCAGTAAATTATTACCTTGAGCTAGACCATAGTTTCTTAAATATAAAAATTAAAGTGCAAGCAACAAAAGGAAAAGTAGATAAGTTGAAACACATCAAAATTTAATTGTTTTGCAAATATTAATAATAGCATCAAAAAAGTGAAAAGCAATAGCAAAGACATGGAATCAACCTAAATGTTCATCAATGGCAGATTGGATAAAGAAAATGTGGTACATATACACCGTGAAATACTATGCAGCCATAAAAAAGAATGAGATCATGTCCTTTGCAGGAACATGGATAGAGATGAAGTCCATTCCCCTTAGCAAACTAACCTAGGAACAGAAAATCAAATTCTGCACATTCTCACTTATAAGTGGAGCTAAATGATGAGAACACATAGAACATGGATAGAGATGAAGTCCATTCCCCTTAGCAAACTAACCTGGGAACAGAAAATCAAATTTTGCACATTCTGACTTATAAGTGGAGTTAAATGATGAGAACACATAGACACAAAGAGGAGAACAATGGACACTGGAGCCTATTTGAGGGTGGAGGGTGGAAGAAGGGAAAAGATCAGAAAAAATAACTATTGGATACTAGGCCTAGTACCTGGGTGATGAAATAATCTGTAAAACAAACCCCCATGACACGAATTTACCTATATAACAAACCTACACATGTACCCCTGAACCTAAAATAAAAGTTTAAAATATTTTTAAAATAGTAAAAATTATATTTTTTAAAAAGTGAAAAGACTATCCACAGAATGAGAGGAAACATTTGATCACATATCTGATAAGGAACTCGTGTCCAGAATACATTTTTTTAAAAACCAATCTCTTACAACCTAATAATAAACAGACAAATAACCCAATTTAAAAATAGGCAAAGGCTTTGTAGACATTTCTCCAAAGAAGGTCTACAAATAGCCATGAATAACATGAAAAAGTGCTCAGCATCATTACTCATTAGGGAAATGCAAACCAAAGCCACAATTAGGTACCACTCCACACTCAGTAAGATGACTACAATAAAAAAAAAAAAAAGGATAATAACAAGTGTTGGTGAGGATGTGGAGAGAGTGGAACTCTCATCCATTGCTGGTGGGACTGTAAAATGGTGCAGCTGCTTTGGGAAACAGTTGGGTAGTTCTTCAAAAGTTAAATATACAGTTACCATATGACTCAGCAATTCTACTCCTATCTACCCGAGAGAAATAAAAACATATGTCCACACAAAAATCTGTACATGAATAGTCACAGATGTATTATTCATAATAGCCAAAAAGGGGAAACAACCCAAATGCCCATCAATGATGAATGAATAAACATGATGTGATATATTCATGCAATGGGACATTATTTATCAATAAAATGGAATAAAATATGGATATGTATACAATATGGTTGATCCTTAATACATTATGCTAAGTGAAAGAAGTCTACATATTGTATGATTCTATTTTTTTAAATGTCCATTTATATCAAAAATATGAGGCAGAATGGGCAAATATATGAGACAGAAAGTAGACTAGTGATTGCTTAGGGCTAAGGGTTGAGAGTTGGTGGAGGAAAATGGGGAATGACAGCTAATGAATATGGGTTTTGTTCTTAGAGTAGATGAAAATATTCTATAATTAGATTTGTTGATGATTGCACAACACTGTGAATATATTAAAACCATTGAGTTGTGACTTAAATGGGTGAATTATGTGATGTAAATTATCTATCAATAAGATTGTTAAAAAACCAATTGATCATATATGTGTGGATCTATTTCTGGATTCTATTCTGTTCCATTGAGTGATTTGTCTATCTTTTTTTTTCCCCAAGCCAAACTGTATCCAGCTTTATGAAAGATATTTTCCATAAACAATCATGGTATTTCAGGCAGGACATGGGCAGACAATTGTTAACAGTGCATGACAACTTTCAAATTCCCTTCTTCAATGGACTACCAAAAATCAGAAAGCCACTATAAAACCCAAGAAGTCTTCATCTGATGCTCTGAACAGGGAAAGTTCAGAGGGAATGTTGACATTTCACATTTAGCATGTTGTTTAACAGCTTTTCACAAGCTGACCCTGACTTTCAGGAAGTGAAATAAAAATGGCAGAATTTATCTGAAGATCCACAATCTAGAAATGGAACCACTGCTTTTTTGAGGGGTTCCATTTCAGTGGCATCACTGGAAAGTCCAGAGTGCCTGACACACCAGTAACCAATAATTGAGGGTCATTCTCCAACAGGTGTCTGGGCTTAAGGGAGTTAAGTCTATGCTGAAAGGTGGAAAGGGAGAAGAGGACATAAAAACGAATTTGTTTTTCCGTCCCACGAGGCTTTTGTGCCAAGGGACCTTGTGTGTCAAAGTCAGGGAATCCCTCCTCCTGGGAGCCAAGAGCAAGTCTCTCAAAACTAGAAGGGAAAGGGGTTTTCACCACGTCAACCTAGCTTCGGAGACATTCTGTTAGTGACATATGCCCCTTCCCCAAAAAAACACAATGAAGTGTTCTGTGTGCTAACAACATAGCTTAAAAAAAAGGTAAAACAAAATTCTGCATTTTTATAAAACTTGATAAAAAATAGCATTTCTAACTGTACAGTCACCAGAAGTACACAGTTATCAAAAATGCACACACTTCACTTGGCATCTGCAGCACCTTCAGCTTTCTGTGTCTGGTCTGTTTGGGCATCTCCATTTTCTGCAGGGTTATTCCCCTCCTGGCCAGCCTCAGCTTTTCCCTTTTCCCTTTTGGTACCTTCTCTCCCTTCTTTGCAGGGGCCTTTTTAGGTTTGGGCTCCGGCTTTGGAGGAGCAGGTTTAGTAGAAAACCTCGTGGATCTTCTCTGTGGTTTGTCCTTCATCTTGGCTCTATCTGCTTTAGCATCACCTTCAGCCTTTCTCTTGGGCACTGTGGTGGCGGCAACGGCGGGGGGACATAGGCGCTGGGTGCGGGATGCAGCGCGGCACGCAGGTGTTGGTCTGTCCAGGGGTCGTTCTCGCCTCTTGTTCTTCACCCTGCTCCGATTTGTCTATCTTGACACCAATACCACGCTATCTTGATCATTGGAGCTTTTTAGATGTGGAAATTTGTGCAATTTCAACAACTTTCTTCTTCTTTTACAAAATTGTTTGGGCTGTCATACGTTGTTTTTAGAATCAATTTGTTATTTTTACGAAAAACAGCATGCTGGGTTTTTTATTGGGATAGTACTGAGTCTGTAGATCAACTTTAACAGAATTAACAGCTTAATATTACTGAGTCATCTGATCCATGAGGATATATATCTCTTCACTTATTTAGGTCATCTTTGATTTCTCTCAGCAATATTTTCAGTGCATGGGTCTTACACATCTTTTGCCACATTTGTCCCTAAGGATTTCATATTTTTGATGACCCACAGAGTTTTAAAAGAAATATATTGGCAGAAATACTGCTAGATTAGACTGAAAGGGACAGAGACAGTACAAAATGAACAGAGGCTCTTTGAACCCCTCAAATTCTACTGGCAGGGAGCAGACTGAGAAAGCTGCTCAGTTGTGAACATGTGCAACTTTTCCTTTAAAAATATTTTTGGTTTTTTAAAATTTTAATTTCCAATTCTTTGTTGCTTGTGTATAAGAATACAATTGATCATCCAAAAAAAATTGATCTGTATCCTATACATTTCTTTTCTTTTTTTTTTTTTTTTTTTTTTTGAGAGGGAGTCTCACTCTGTTGCTCAGGCTGGAGTGCAGTGGCGTGATCTAGGCTCACTGCAACCTCCACCTCTTGGGTTCAAGTGATTCTCCTGCCTCAAGCTCCCAAGTAACTGAGATTAGCCATGCCTGGCTAATTTTTATATTTTAGTAGAGACTGGGTTTCACCACGTTTGTCAGGCTGGATTACAGGTGTGGCCACCACGCCCGGCCTGTATCCCATAAATTTCTTAAATTCACTTATTAGTTCTAGCGGCTTTTTTGTAGACTCCTTATAATTTTCTACCTAGACAATTGTGTCATCTGCAAATTAAGAGTTTTATTTCTTCCTTTCTAATTTGAATGCATTTTATTTTTTGCTTTATTGCACTGGCTAGAACTCCCACTAGAATGTTGGGTTAAAGTGGTGAGAGTACACATCACTGTCTTATTCTAGGTGTTAGGTGAAAGCATTCAGTGTCTTACTGTTGTGGTAGCCAGCCTCCAAGATGGTACTGATGATCTTCATCTGCTGGTGTTCATATCCTTGTTAGTCCCTGTGTGTCTGGATTGGTTTGTATGACCAATAGAATAAAGAAGAAGTGATCATGTGTGAATACAGAGACTAGATCATAAAAGGCATTGTTACTTCCCTCTTGGTCACTCTCTTTAGAATAGTTTCTTTTGAGGGAAGCCAGCTGTTATGCCAAGTAGCCTTCTGGAGTCTCTTGTGACAAGGAACTGTGGCCTCCTGACAATAGTCAGTGAGGAACTGAGCCTCTAGCCAACAGCCACATGAAAGATGCCATGTTAGAGGTGAATCCTCCATCCCCAGTCAAATCATAACTGCAGCCCTGGCCAGCAACTTGGCTACAACCTATGGAAGGCCCTAAGCCAGAACCACCCAGGTTCCTGGCCCTCAGAAACTGCACGGAGGAAAAAAAAAAAAGTTTAAGCTGCTAAGCGTTGGGTAATTCTTTATAAAGCAATAGATAACTAATAAAGACTTCGGTATTTAGAAGTGGGAGGCTGCCATAATAAAAACTTAAAATTTAGGAATGGTTTTGGAACTGAGCAATTGGTAGGAGCTGGAAGGACATTGAAGAGACTGCTGGTGAGGACTTAAAAGTAAATGAGGAGCATGTTATTGGAAACTGGAGGAAGGAAGATTCTTACTATGTAGTTACTATGTAATTCTTATTATATATTCTTATTATGTAGTTAGCAACACTGTCAGCTGTGGTTTTGTGGAAACTAGAGAATGTCACTAGTGAACTAGGTAATTGGGCTAAGGACTGTTAGCCAAGACTGTTGAGGGTACTGCCTCATAGCTTGCTGCTTATAGTAAAATGCTAGAGGAAAGATTGTTTGTTTGTTTGTTTGTTTTTAAAAAGGAGCCGGGCACAGTGCCTCACACCTGTAATCCCAGCATTTTGGGAGGCTGAGGTGAACAGATCACTAGGGCCCAGGAGTTTGAGACCAGCCTGGGCAATGTGGCAAAACCTCATCTCTACAAAAAATTCAAAATTTAGCTAGGTGTAGTGTTGCATGTCTGTAGTCCCAACTACTCAGGAGGCTTAGGTGGGAGGATCGCTTGAGCCCAGGAGATCGAGGTTGCAGTGAGCCATGTTCACGCCACTGCACTCCAACCTGAGTGACAGAGCAAGACCTTGTCTCAAAAAAAAAAAAAAGGAGACAGGGCTTGCTATTTATGAAGATTCCCACCTCTCTAGATAGCAAGCAATGCTAACATTAAGAAATAGCTTCTGGGGCAAATATTAAACCCAGGGGCCTCTCAGGAAATTGTGTTCTTAGGATGAAGCTGAGGGAAGAGTGTGACTGTGAAGTCCTTTGTTAAAACCTAAGGAAGATTCAAAAGGCAGTGTTTCACAGTACCATTCAGTCACACTGCAATTCTGAAGATTTCACGGCGTGACTCACTAGAAGTGAATCGCTAACTGGGACAAGATTCCAGAGCCAAATAACTGGATGAGCAAGAGGACACCGAGAGGGATATGTGGAACAGGTAATCCTTTCCAGGAACTGCTAAGAGAGTAGAGGTTGTGGCCATGAACATGGCTCAGGTTCGAATCCCAGTTCTGCCGCTTATTGGCTACGTGATCTTGGGTAAGACAGAAGGTTTCCTTAGCAGTAAAATGGGCATTAAATTACATACTTTCTAGAGTTGTTGTGAAGGTTAAATGGCTTAATATACATAAGCACCCAGAACAATGCCTGACATCTAGGTTATGGTAAAGAAGTAATAGTTGTCATCATTATTTAGGAAGGTGAAGTGAAAAAAACCTATATTTCTTATAGCGAAGCTGGATGTGGCCCAGCTGTTAGAATTCGAGCAACAAAAGGAATTATGGTCTCATGTGTTGTCACAGGCTATGGAGGCTCTCAGAAGCTATCAAAATAGAGCAGTCAACCAAGGGACAAATGTGAGACCAGGTCCCAGAGGTTTAATTTGCATCTGGCAATTGAGTGACACAAAGAGCTGGGAAGTGAAAAGGAGAAATTGCTGTGGTCTGAGAATACTTAGAGTCAACTAGAGCTGGAAGGGGTTTTTTCTTTGTTTGTTTGTTTCGGAGTTGGAGTCTTGCTCTGTCACCCAGGCTGGAGTGCAGTGGAGTGATCTCAGCTCACTGCAACATCTGCCTCCTGGGTTCAAGCCATTCTCCTGCCTTAGCCTCCTGAGTAGCTGGGATTACGGGCACCCACGACCACTCCCGACTAATTTTTGTGCTTTTAGTGGAGACAGGGGTTTCACCATGTTGACCAGGCTGATCTCGAACTCCTGACCTCAGTTGATTCACCCACCTCAGCCTCCTAAAGTGCTGGGATTACAGGCTTGAGCCACCGTGCCTAGCCCGGGAGGGGTTTTTATATAAGCATGTCCAATATGATCATTTCTGTCAGAGAAAGGAGCTTAGAGGGGAAGTGACTCTGCTAGTGGTGGCGTAGCTGGGCCTGGCGCTGAGGAGTCCATGGTCTCCTGGTGCCTGCAGCACTGAAGCGGACATCAGCACCCCCTTTCCTCTGTGATAACCAGCCTTGGCAAGGCCTGCTCAAAAATGGCTGGTACTTACTGTCAGAGAAGAGCTGAGACAATAACAAATGCTAATATAATTTTCTATGCCTTTAGCTTGCATTTGTTAAGCACTTACTATGTACTAGTCACAATCGTATTAGAATAAACCATTTGGGGCCTATAAAAATGACAGTTTCACCGGGCGTGGTGGCTCATGCCTGTAATCCCAGCACTTTGGGAGGCTGAGGTGGGAGGATCACAAAGTCAGGAGTTCGAGACCAGCCTGGCCAATATGGTGAAACCCCGTCTCTACTAAAAATACAAAAATTAGCTGGGCGTGGTGGCGGGCGCCTATAATCCCAGCTACTTGGGAGGCTGAGGCAGGAGAATCGCTTGAACCCAGGAGGTGGAGGTTGCAGTGAGCCAAGATGGCGCCATTGCACTCTAGACTGGACGACAAAGTGAGACTCTATCTCAAAAAAAAAAAAAAAGACAATTTCATATAGGTCAACCTAATATTTTACTTCATTTAATCCTGATAAAACTCTATGTGGTATATACTATAATTATCTCCATTTTACAGATGGAGAGACTGAGGCACAGAGAGGTTAAGTGTCTTACCCAAGGTCACACAGCTGGTAAGTAGTGGAGATAGTTTACCAATCCAGGAGGTCTGACTGTAGAGCCTATACTTGCAAACCCCTTCTTTATACACTAAGGTGGCTCTGCCCACAGTCTTAAGGGGCTGGCCCTGACACCTGTCCCCTACCCCAGCCCTCAAAGCCTGGTAACCAGCTTTCCTCAGGGAGTTAGACCAGCCCTAACCCTCCTGGAGCCTTATCAGAAAGAACTGGTGCTAGATCAGCCCTGTGATCTCTTGCTGGCTGGGCTGCAAGACAATGGAACGACTCGTGCACATCATGCGTTGCGGTGGAGACAATGCATTTCTCCAAACACAAGCCACCAGAATAACAAACACTGCTGACTTCCATAGCACCAAAGTCTAAATATTGAAGTGGAGCATCCGTGCCTCGCCACGTGTGGTAATATTCCAGTGGAAAAAAGCCGGCAGTTGCTATTGTCTGGATTCCCCAGAGGGAAGATCTGAGGCTGTTTCTCTGGTCTTGTGAGACTTCTGCTGCCTCTCCCAAGGCCCCAGCCTGAAAGAGGGATTGTTTGATGTCAGACAAACTTGGGGACCCCAAACATCCCCCTGCAATCTGCACTGGTCTATAGCAAAACAAGCAAATAATGACAATGTGGAGAGGTTTTCCTAAAACAAAATGTATTCCATTTAAAGAGTCCTATTCATGATGCACAGCTTCCTTCTCACAGTGGCCCCTGCACTCTGTGTCAGCTCCATTCCCCTCTCTGTACTTAGCAGTTTCCTCCTCTGACACATACCCTCTGCATTGCACAAGGGCCGTCGCCAGCCCTAACTATACTTCTTGACTTGTCAGTCTCAATTTCCATTGCTCACAGCCTCAGTCTCTACATATTGCTTTGCTCATATTCTCTTGAGAGAATCTGACTGGCCTATGTGCCTCTTTTTAAAATTTTTTCAAATTTTGTAGAGTTAGGATCTTGCTATGTTGCCCAGGCTGGTCTCAAACTCCTCACCTCAAGCAATCCTCCCAGCTAGGCCTCCCAAAGTGCTGGGGTTACAGGTGTGAGCCACCACACCCAGCCCTAGCATGCCTCTTTAACACCAGACCACGTTATATGTTGTCGGCCAGCCAATCAACCACCTGCCTTGGGGCCAGGTGGCCACGATGGGTCCAATAAGCTGGCAGGGTTATATGGCCCTAAACAGGGTTCCCTTTTGCAGCAGGTAGTGGCAGCAGGCCAGCTCCCCTCAGAAGGGATGTAAAAGGCAAGTGCTATGATTGACATGGCTGGTACAAAAGTCCGGTTCTAAGGTTTCATGCCAACACTGTATTGGTATTTCTCAGCCCAGGAAGGTCAGAGTCGTGGCTCAGGAAGATCCACCCGAGACACACAAGGGATACCAGAGCACTGGGCTTGTGGGGAGAGGCAGCCAAGGGTCAGACACATGCTAAATGGACAGGATTCAGCCCAGGGGGGTGGTTGCAGAGTCAGAGAAGAAGACACAGATTTAGACCTGTCTAGGAAGAAATCAGGAAGCCTTGGTGAATAATAGATCGATGGTGGCATCGTTCACAGAGAAAAAGGACAGGAGAAGAGCAGATTTGGGAGATGAAGGAGACATGGGCGTTCCCTTCTGGCATGAGATATGAGACATTCTACTACATTTACCATCAGAAAGTAGGCTGTTCAAGTGCCAACTTTAGGAAAGAAGTCAGGGTTGGAAGGACAGATGTGACAGATGTGGGTGGACGAAACCATGGAGTGGGTGATGTCGCCCTGGGAGAAGTGGAGCATGTGACCGACAGCGAGTGAATGAATGACCTGGTCAAGACTTGGGACTTGCTCATGTTTCATTCTTCCCCAAGTGACAAGCACTCACTGAGACCCTGCTCTCAGATAAGGCAGAGTGGTGAATGGAAAGAATAAGGATATGGGCTCTGAACACAATGCCAAGTTCAATGGTGGGCTCTGAAATGTACTAGCAATTGGTCTTTGGGCTTTGACCTTAACCTCTTGCAGCCTTAGTTTCCACATCTCAAAACGGGTGTAATGATATGTACCTCGTCAGGCTGTAGTGAGGATTTAAAAAGGTAGCAATGGTAGAGTTCCAAGCAGAGGATTTGGTGTGTGTAGTAGGCATTTAACAGAACTTACAGGGCCAGGCACAGTGGCTCACCCTGTGATTCTAGCACTTTGGGAGGCCGAGGCGGGCAGATCACCTTAGGTTGGGAGTTTGAGATCAGCCTGACCAACATGGAGAAACCCCATCTCTACTAAAAATACAAAATTAGCTGGGTGTGCTGGTGCATCCCTGTAATCCCAGCTACTCGGGAGGCTAAGGCAGGAGAATAGCTTGAATCCAGGAGGCAGAGGTTGAGGTGAGCTGAGATCATGCCATTGCACTCCAGCCTTGGCAACAAGAGCAAAACTCCATCTCAAAAAAAAACAAAAACAAAAACAAAAAACAGAACTTACAGACTCCTGCCTCCTGCTGAACGCAGTTGTGAAATACTCACAGCATATTCTGGTAAAGAGCAGAACAGAGATTCTGAGGATGCCATACCCCTATAGCCAATGGCCTCTCCGAGGGACCCACTGACTGTCAATAATCTCATCTGGAGATGTCAGTAGTCTACATTTGAGGCCTGGGCCAAATAGTACTCCTGCTCCCCACCCACATGCCTGGCACATGCCCTCTGTGCCAGGCCGTGCCCAATCATGTGGGCTCACTCCCCAGTGGGGGCTTCCCTCTTGCAGAACTCCCTCAGGCCCCCAAATCTGCATACCCCTGGCCCCATCCTCCCCCTGCCTGCAGCTACCCAGGTACTGGCCACTCTCCAAGGGTAGTAACCAGTTTCCAAGTCTTCCAAACTTCCCATGAGCCAAGAGCTTCCATTCTGATGTGTATACTAGTGTCATGCAGATAGAAGTCACACAGGAAAAAGTATTCCCTTTAGTTAATGTCAAACATTCAACACTTGAACATTAGTTTACTTCATGTCATAAGATTTCTTCAAAGAAGTTCATAGAACTCTCTTGGGAGAAATAAATGAAGATGAAAATAAGAGGAAGGTATGCCCATTCCAGCATAGAAGACTAGAAATAGCAAAGGCAACAATTTACCTTAAGTTTCTGTATAGATTTATTTATTTATTTATTCATTTATTCATTAATCTTGTTAGTATTGTTTTTGGAAACGGAGTTTCATTCTTGTTGCCCAGGCTGGAGTGCAATGGCACAATTTCAGCTCACTGCAACCTCTGCCTCCCCAGTTCAAGTGATTCTCCTGCCTCAGCCTCCCAAGTAGCTAGGATTACAGGCATGCGCCACCACACCTGGCTAATTATGTATTTTTAGTAGAGACAGGGTTTCATCATGTTGGTCACTCTGGTCTCGAACTCCTGACCTCAGGTGATCTGCCCACCTCAGCCCCCCGAAGTGCTGGGATTACAGACATGAGCCACTGCTCCCAGCCAGATTTAATGTACTACCTATCAAAGCCCCTAAAGGATACTTTATAAGACCTTGATTAAATGAATAGTGATGTCGTTACCAGATTAAATGGTTAAAAAGACTAAAGCTTCTCTTGAAAGGGTATGATAGTATATTTAGCCTACCAGATTTCATAACATATTACAAAGTGACAATTATCCAAACTATATGGTAACAATGGGGAAAAAATGATCAATGGAAAAGATTAAACTATCCCAAATTAATCCAATATATAGTAAAACTAAAAATAGTTCAACAATCCAGTGAAGAAAATAATTATCATATAATAAATGATTTGGAGAGAATTGTAATGTGGAGAAGAGTTACTCACACTTTGTACCATTTTCTGCAATAAATTGCATGAGATTATGTTCCTGTCTGAAAAACAAACCATAAAAAAGACTTGAACATGCAATCCCACATTGATCGTATTGGAAGAAAATCCATAATCAGAGACAAAAAAAATCAATTAAAAAATAGGAAACTTTTATTGAATAAAATATAGGACAGTCACAAGAGGAAAATAACAGCCTGGAAGAAATAACCAACCAGCGATACATCTAAAATTTATTAATTTTTGCTTTTTTACAAAAAGCTAAAATCAGTGCCCAGATTCCACTCCGTAAGCAACAAAGGAGGTGAACAGACAGTTTACACAGGAAGCACAGATGGTAAATCAAAACATGAAAAAGTACATAGTTCTACCAGAAACAAGAGGAATGCAAACACACAAGCTCTGGGTATCAGTGCATGCTTACCAAACTAGTGAAAAGAAAATGAAATCATCAAACCCTGAATGGGTGGGGCTGTGGGAAACAGGCAGGATGGTATAGAGAGGCTCAGGGCTGACCTGCAGCCAGACAGCTGGATTAAACATGGGCTACACCGTGTGCCACTTCTGAGACCTTGGGCGACTTATCTCTCTATGCCTTGGCTTCCTCACCTGTCAAATGAGGTGTAAATGAGTTGACATATATAAAGTGCTTGGAACAGTGCTTAGCATTTAGTCAGTACTCTATAAGTGCCAGCTATTATTAATATTTGTGTGGGGTGGTGGTTTTCTCTCAACTGTAGTAACAGGGCATGGACTTTGGAGCCAGAAAGATCATTCTTTCAACAAATATTTACCAAATGCCAGATCCAGGTGCAAATCCCAATTCCATTAATTACTAGTAATGTCGCCTTGTGAAAACTGCTTAGAAATCCTGAATCTCAGTTTCCTCCATCAGTAAAATGGAATCATAAAATCTACTACCTAGTGCTGTTTGAAGTGTAATGAGATACTACATATAAATTCCTAGGATGGGACAGGCACGTAGACATCCTTAACACATATTGGATTCTTCACTCCTCCTCCTAGAACGTCAGCTCAGCCCAGGTGTCCAGCCCAGATCTGTGATCATGCAATTTGCCCTCCACTGCCTGCCAGCTCAACCCAGCTAAGATCTTTAGAGCCCCAACCCCTGAAGGCCCATTATGCCATCTACCTCCAACATATGTAAATCAAAAGAATAACATCACCAATTCATAAAATAAATGTTGGTGCTTTTTCTTGTTGTCGTTTGTTTGTTTGTTTTTGAGACAGAGTCTCACTCCATCACCCAGGCTAGAGTGCAGTGGTGCAATCTCGGCGCACTGCAACCTCTTCCTCCTAGGCTCAAGCAATTCTCCTGTCTCAGCCTCCCCAGTAGTTGGGATTATAGGCGGCTGCCACCACACCTGGCTAACTTTTTGTATTTTTAGTAGAGACAGGGTTTCACCATGTTGGCTAGACTGGTCTCGAACACCTGACCTCAAGTGATCCGCGCCTGCCTTGGCCTCCCAAAGTGCTGGGATTATAGGTGTAAACCACCGTGCCTGGCCTAAATGTTGGTGTTTTGATGTGCCATGCAACTTACACATGTGCTGAAATACAGTTGTTTATTTCTGTATTATCTTTCTCCCTCTCGATTACTTCTTTTGGTCTGCCTGTTTGTTGCTGACCTTTTGCAGGTGGCTAAGCCAGCCCAGTGGGTCATCCCTGCCACTACCAAATCACCCCCATGGCATGCAGGCCATACCAACTTCAGATTCCTCCCTCCCCAGGGGAATTTACATTTTAGGTGGTGGGGAACAAGAGCTCCTGGGGGCCAAAAGCCTGTCACAGAATCGGCACCCAGTAAATATTTGTGGAATGAAGGGGTGAGTGGATACATGAAATGTTTCTGAACAGTAGAATTTGAGCTGCCATGGGAGGCAGAGGGGAAGGATAGCAATGCTATTTTTGCTATATTTTAAAATCCCCACTTCTCTTTAATGGAGAGACAAAGTAACCAGAACTCTTCAAATCACACTAGGTAAATTCAAGGCTGATATTTAACAGGTCGAGTGGCACAGATACTGACCAATCAGAATAGACCTGGAGAGCCGTGCTGGACTCAGCACAACCCCTTTGCTTGTGGATAATGGAAGCCCGGGGGTTCTGAAGGCTGGGGCTACAGAGGAGGGGACACTAAGGGCTTGAGGCAGCTGCTAGTCATCAACTGGTATGAAAACATTTCAGTACTCAAACAGCAAGCACAGCAGTGTCACACACATGATAATTAAACGTCAGCTCGGGTTAGGTAGCTGCATGAGAATCAAGAAACTTCTGCCATTTCCCCTCCCTAGGCCCCAATTTCTCGTCTACAAAACAATAAAACTTACTAGTCTTCAGGTTCACTCTAGTTCTGACTACCTGTGATTTTAATATAATAATAAGGAGAACAATTTATAAAAGCCAGCCTGGTATGGCAGAAAAGGCACATGCTCTGAAGCCGGTAGACCCAGTTCAAAGTCCAGCTGTTACTTACTGTGAGGCTCGGGTCCAAATCAATTAACTTCTCGGAACCTCCACTTTTTATTAATTCAACTAACATTTATGGAGCCCTTTTTATGTACCAGGTCCTAAGGACACTTTAGTGAACAAGACCCAGTCCCTTGCCATCATGGAACTCGCTGTTCTACCGAGGACTCTTTGGATGCAAGTGACAGAAACTGGCTCAAGCTAGCTTAGGCAAAACCAGAATGCATCATAAGAATGTAGCAAGCCTGGAGGGGCCCAGGAGGGAAAGCAACCAGACTTTGCTTAGAACCTGGACAGGAAGGCCACCAGCCTCTCTACCACCCTCAGCTACCTGCTGCATTACTCTCTTCTCCCCCTCAACCCCTCAGTTCTGATAAGCCTCAGTTAATATGACATCTCAATTCTAAACTCTCCACAAAGAATCCCAGCACTTGGCTGGGCGCAGTGGCTCATGTCTGTAAGCCCAGCACTTTGGGAGGCTGAGGTGGGTGGATCACCCGAAGTCAGGAGTTTGAGACGAGCCTGACCGACATGGCAAAACCCCATCTCTACTAAAAATACAAAAAGTAGCTGAGTGTGGTGGCTACTCCGCACCCGAGATCCTCCACACACACACTCTGCCTCCCGGGAATCTCTTGAACCCAGGAGGCAGAGGTTGCAGTGAGCCCAGATCGCACCACTGCACTCCAGCCTGGGTGACAGACTGAGACTTCATCTCAAAAAAAAAAAAAAAAAAAAAAAAGAATCCCAGCACTTTGGGAAACCAAGGCGGGTGGATCACTTGAGGTCAGGAGTTCAAGACTGGTCTGGCCAACATGGCAAAACCCTGTCTCTACTAAAAATATAAAAATTAGCAGGGCGTGGTGAGGCACTCCTGTAGGCCCAGCTACTAGGGAGGCTGAGGCCGAAGAATTGCTTGAACCCGGGAGGCAGGGGTTGCAGTGAGCCGAGATCACGCCACTGCACTCCAGCCTGGGTGACAGAGTGAGATTCCATCTCCATAAATAAATAAATTCTCCACAAAGAGAACCTGATTGGCCCAGCTTGAGCCACATGCCCACTCCTAATCTAATCACCTATGACCATAAGGCGGGACCACTAGGTACAAACGTGGCCTCAGGGACTCACCCATGTGATGGGGGAGGGGTCCAAATTCCCAAAAAAGGGAGCTTGTAGATCCTGGTGTCCACTTCACCACCTCATAGGGTGGATGTAAAGATGAAATGAAATTCCATGTAAAGTGACTGGCACATAGCCTGGCAGACATAGCTGGAGCACTGTGCCTCTGTGCCTTGCTAATAATTGGTGCTTGACTAAAACATGTGCTGAACAGGGGAACAATATTATTAACAATGATACCTTTCATGTATCCACCAACTTTATGTCCATTCCATTCGTTACTTCCTCTGTTGCCTGGATCTCGAGCCCCACCTTGCTGAATGGACTTAAAACAAGTTAGTTGGGCACATGTGGCTCCCAGGCTGGATGGCATCCACATGGTGGGTGCCTGATGTGCTGAATGGATGAATGAGTGAATGTTCTTCCACCCAGCCCTCAGTGCTCTGCTGAGGCAGGATGGGTGGCTGGAAAAATGGGGTCTTTGGAATTTGTCTCCTTTTCACCTAGATCTTTGTTAGATCTTTTTCCTCCTTTGTTTAGTAACCAAAGAACCGAGAACTCAGGAAGAGATCAAGGACTGGGTTCAAGTCCTCCCACTCCCCCCACCCCCCATCTAATTTGATGACTATCATTGAGATACTGACCACCCCTCTCTGGACTTGGTTTCTTTACTGGCAAATGGATATGGGCGCACTGATGATGGCTGCTTGGCTCTACGCGTTTGGGAGGATTGGCCAAAGTCAGAGGTGGGAAAGGACTTTGACAAGGCCTGGCCTCAGCCCTTCCCCACCACCATCCACAGGGGAATCTTGGGTCTCTCTGATCAGACCCCTGCAGCCTGGCGGGAAGAGATCTCCAGGCCTTCCGCCCAGCTGCTCCGTGCCCTTGGGAGCCCCTGCGTCGCCAGCCCACGACCAGCCGATGACTTTACCAGCTGTGTGGTTGAAACCCGAGCTCTCTTGCCAGGACTTGAACAGGAAGTTTTTTCCTGTGGTGGAAGCTTTTGTTCTCCAAGTCGAATTTCCCTCAGCTGACGTCAGCCCCAACTTAGGCCCAAGCCCATTGAACCTGCAGTGGGGCTGAGGGAGGGCTGCCTTGCAGGACAGAAGGTGCAGGTTTCAGGCACCGATGGCTGTCTCCACCTTCCTCTTCTTCCTGCATTAGCCCACCATGGCCTGGGGTCAGCTCCCTGTCCATTGGCTCCGAAGGAAAGTTGCAGGAAGCTCATTCATTCTGAGAGGGGTTAGAAAGGTGGGTGGAACGTGTTTTCTAATTTTGGTCCAGTCACTTACTGTTAGCTGAGTGACTTGGGCTGGACACGTAACCTCACTGGGACACGTAACCTCAGTGGGACTCAGTTTCCTCATCTGTAAAATAGGAATAATAGTCCCTCATACCTCCTAGTAGTGGGTATCAAATGTAAATCATTAAAAACTGCCTGGTACATAGTAAATGCTCAGTGAATATGAGCATTAATTTTTGTCCTTATTATGTATCCCTCTGGTGAAGAGGAAATTAGATGTTGTGTGTGAGTTACCTACAGAGGGTCCAGCTCAAAGACAGAGGCAGAAATAATCCCTTTACTAAGGGAAGATCATGCTTTTCTGCTGTAGGAATCTGGCTGTGCTTTCCTTCCCAGAAGCACAAGGCTTCACAAAGATGACTCTGTTTGTTTGTTAAGACTGCCATAACAAAGTACCACAAACTGAGTAGTTTAAATAACAGAAATGCATCCTTTCATAGTTCTGGAGGCTAAAAGTGTGAAATTAAGTTATCCAGCAGGGTTAGTTCCTTTCGAGGGTTGTGAGGGAAGGATCTGTCCAGGTCTCTCTTTTTGGCTTGTAGATGGCCGTCTTTTCCCTCACACCATCTTTCTTCCTTCTATGTGTATCTCTGTGTCCAAATCTCCTCTTCTTTTTTTTTTTGCGGGAGGCCAGTGGGGAAGGGCAGGGTCTCGCTTCATCACCCAGGCTGGAGTGCAGAGGTGCGATAATGGCTCACTGCAACCTCAAACTCCAGGGCTCAGGTGATCCTCCTGTCTCAGACTCCTGAGTAGCTGGGACCACAAGCACATGCCACCACACCTGGCTAATTTTTTTTTTTTTATTTGTAGAGATGGGGTCTTACTATGTTGCCCAGGCTGGTCTCAAATTCCTGGGCTCAACCAATCCTCCCACCTCCCAAAGTGCTAGGATTACAGATGTGAGCCGCTGTGCCCGGCCCAAATCTCCACTTTTTTTTTTTTTTTTTGAGATGGAGTTTAGCTCTTGTTGCCCAGGCTGGAGTGCAATGGCGTGATCTCAGCTCACCACAACCTCCGCCTCCCGGGTTCAAGCGATTCTCCTGCCTCAGCCTCCCGAGTAGCTGGGATTACAGGCATGTGCCACCATGCCCAGCTAATTTTGTATTTTTAGTAGAGACTGGGTTTCTCCATGTTGGTCAGGTTGGTCTGGAACTCCTGACCTCAGGTGATCTGCCTGCCTTGGCCTCCCAAAATGCTGGGATTACAGGTGTAAGCCACCGCGCCCGGCCTCCACTTCTTATAAGGACACCAGTGTTTTTGGATTAGGGCCCACCCAAATGACCTCATTTTGATTTGGTTACCTCTGTGAAGGCCCTGTCTCCAAATGATGTGACATACTGAGGGTTAAGACTTCAACATATGAATTTCAGAGGGACTAACTCAACCCATAGCAATGACCTGGGGGAAAGGACAATGCTTAACTTGAAGGTGGATTTCAAGTCTTAACACCAGAATAGAGAAGATAATTTGGAGGAGAAAGGCCTCCTTGAGGCCTGTCAAATCCTCCCTCGAGCATGGCTATTTACATAAATACAATAGTGTCATGTTTTCAAAGCATCAGAACCTAGTTATGGGACCCAAATAATTAAATTACTTGTTTTCCACTCTAAACCTCTGTTCCCCATTCCTAATTTCATCTGCCAATATCAAACAGGAAATCTGAGATTCCCCAGTAAAAACTATGCCATCCTCAATTCCTTGGCAATGGAGTTGCAAAGAAGGAGCAATGGATAGGGAGTTAATGGAGCTAGACCCACGCGCTTGCTGTGTGATCTTGGCCATGTGACCACCTCTCTGGACCTCAGTCTCAATTGTAGTTTGTGTGATTGTGTATGTGTGTATGCACAGGTGTAAGAAAGGTGGAGGGATGGGCCGGGTGTGGTGGCTCACGCCTGTAATCTGAGCATTTTGGGAGGCCAAGGCAGGCAGATCACGAGGTCAGGAGTTTGAGACCAGCCTGGCCAATATTTTGAAACCCCATTTCCACTAAAAATACTAAAATTAGCCAGGCATGGTGGCGCACCTCTGTAGTCCCAGCTACTCAGGAGGCTGAGGCAGGAGAATTGCTTGAACCTGGGAGGTGGAAGTTGCAGTGAGCTGAGATTGCACCACTGCACTCCAGCCTAAGCAACACAGCAAGACTCCTTCAAAAAAAAAAAAAAAGAAAGAAAGAAAAGAAAAGAAAGAAAGAGAGAGAGAGGGAGGGAGCGAGGGAAGGAAAGAAAGAAAGGTGGAGGGAGACGATCTGACTTCTGACTGCTGCTCTAACGGGAGGGTCATGGGACAAAGCTGGTGCACCTTCTTTGAGTGTCAATTTCATATGAAGGTAAGCAATTCCAAATATAATTTTAAAACCCCAAAGCACCCAAGTATGTCAGAGTAGGATGCAACACTGCATGCGCTTTTATGCTAAAACATGAGGTTTTAGAGAAATTAGAGATACACTAGGCTTTTAGTGGCTGCCGCATACTTCATTTCATAACCCTGATCCCTGGTGTCTGAGCTGTTTCCTGTGTGCCAGTAGGGGCTCTTCATTGGAAAAATCTGAAATGCTTTGGACTAGATAATGGCAAAGACATTCCAGTTCAGAAACCAGAAAGCTTGGACCTGAACTCACTTCTGACACTGACAATCGCCTCCCTTTGTTCAGCCACATTTTCACTATGCATGCAACAGCCAGGCCAATTGGGAGGTCTGCACCAATCAGAAAAGATGCAGCTGCACTTTGGGAGGACAAGGTGGGCGGATCACCTGAGGTCAGGAGTTCGAGACCAGCCTGGCCAACATAGTGAAACCCTGTCTCTACTAAAAATACAAAAAATTAGCCAGCCATGGTGGTGGGCGCCTGTAAACCCAGCTACTCGGGAGGCTGAGGCAGGAGAATCGCTTGAACCCAGGAGGCGGAGGTTGCAGTGAGCTGAGATCCTGCCATTGTACTTCAGCCTGGGCAACAGTGTGAGACTCCATCTCAAATAATAATAATGATAATAATAAATACAAAAATTAGCCGGGCATGGTGGTGTGCACCTGTAATCCCAGCTACTTGGGAGGCTGAGGCAGGAGAATTGCTTGAACCCCGGAGGCAGAAGCTGCGGTGAGCCAAGACTGTGCCATTGCACTCCAGCCTGGGCAACAATAGCAAAACTCCATCTCCAAAAAAAAGAAAAAAGAAAAGATGCAGCTGGGAGAAGAGGTGCACAGATGGTGGGCGTGGAAGCAGAGGAAGTGGAATCAACCACTGGAGGAAGCAGGCTTTGGCAGTTTTGTGGGGAAATGTCTCGGGGCTTCCCCAATCTTCCAGTTCCTCTGATGGTCAAAATGATAGGAATTTGAAAGTGAGAGCTGGCTGGGCGTGGTGGCTCATGCCTATAATCCCAGCACTTTGTGAGGCCAAGGTGGGAGGATTGGTTGAGCACAAGAGTTCAAGACCCCCCTGGGAAACACAGAAGGACCTTGTCTCTATAGAAAATAAAAATAAATTTAAAAATTAGCCAGGCATGATTGTGCATGCTTGTAATCCCAGCACTTTGGGAGGCTGAGGCAGGAGGATCACTTGAGCCCAGGAATTCGAGGCTGCACTGAGCTAAGATCACACCATTGCACTCCAGTCTGGGTGACAGAGTGAGGCCCTGTCTAAAAAAAAAAACAAAAAAAAAAAAGAAAGAAGAAAAGAAAAAGATAAAAGAAAGTCAGAGCCCACCTTTCTCTCAAGCTCCAGCCCTCTCTTCTCTCCTTCACAGCCAAGCTTCTTGAAGGTGATGTGTATCCTTCTCCACTTGCTGTACTCTGGCTTCTGTCCCCCAGCACCCACTTAAACTTGATCTCCATAATGTCCTGAGCACCCACCTCCTTGCTGCTAATGACAGTGAGTCCTCTTCAGTCCTCATCTCACTGGCCCTCTGGCAGACTCTCTGGCTTAACAGTTACTGCCTGCCCTTGGATTTCCTCCTTACTCTCCAGCTGCTCCTTCTCAGCCACACAGAAGCTTCTCCTTCCCCTGGCAGCTCTTCCTTCTGCACATCCTCACCTGCTCTCCCAGATCAACCTGTCTCTTTACAGTGATGGTCCCCAGTGTCCATCCCAGGCCTAGAGCTCTGCTGGACCTTCCAGCCTGGCCACCTGACTTTCCCCTGGACATCCCACAGTCCTTTCAAACTCAGCAAGGATCAAGGGGCGTCAAGGCCTTCCCCTGGACCCCATCCTTCTTCCATCTGTGTTCCCAGGCACTGAAACCAACTGCAGAGCTACCCATGGTGCCTCCCTCCCCTTTGCCCTCCTCTCGTTTTGTCTATAGATTAATTGGTTAGCTTCAGTCTCATTCTGTGAATTGCACCTCTTAGCATTCTTAATTTTCATGTTTCAGCTGTTCTTGACCACATTTGGGCTCCCTCCAGCTGCTCCAAATCCCGCAGCTGCCACTTAGCAATGCTCGTTCTCTTTCCTGCAGTGCCTGCCTCGGTCAGGCCTAGGTGCATCTCTAGGTGCTGATTTCAAGACAGCTGAGTTCCCTTTAGCCGGGCACGGTGGCTCACGCCTGTAATCCTAACACTTTGGGAGGCCGAGGCGGGCGGATTGCCTGACCTCAGGAGTTCAAGACCAGCCTGGGTAACATGGTGAAACCCTGTCTCTACTAAAAATACAAAAAATTAGCCAGGTGTGGTGGCACGAGCCTGTAATCCCAGCTACACGGGAGGCTGAGGCAGGAGAATAGCTTGAACCTGGGAGGTGGAAGTTGCAGCGAGCTGAGATCATGCCACTGCACTCTAGCCTGGGCGACAGAGTAAGACTCTGTCTCAAAAAAAAAAAAAAAAAGACAGCTGACACAGGGTCCCTGAGCCCATGAGACGGGCACAACAGCACACAGAGCAAGGCAGGAACAAGGCAAGCCCCTGACAGATCTCATGAATAAAAACCAGGAACCAGCCCAGGACTCAGGACTAGACATAGCAAAGAAATCTCGCTCCTCATCCAAGCTCTCCCACTGCAATAGATTTTGGTCACCTGCCCATGAATGTCCTGTGTGGTCAGCCGGTCAATAAACCTATCTCCACCTCTCCTCTGTAACACATAAGCAAGAATTGGATTTAAGGAACTGGCCGGCAAGCTGAGCTGGGATGAATTTGTTTGCCCAGGCCAGATTGATTCTAGATGACTGATACATAGGATTTTTAAATCTAAAGGCCAAGGACCCTAATGAAGATCTCCTTGGGAGAGCTGGTATGAGCAGCACTCTCGAGTCTCCCTTCCAGATGTCTTGAAAATATCCTGTCTGAGGCCATCAAGTCCAGCTCTGCTTGGCAGGGCTTAGCGGTGAACAACCATGGTGGTTCTCAACAGTGGTTCTCCACAGGGGCATATTTGGCAACTTCTGAAGACACCTATGGCTGTCACATCTTGAGTCAGGGAGAGGTGCCACTGGCATCTAGTGGGTAGAGGCCAGGACTGCTGCTAAACATCCTACAATGCACAGGAGAGTCCTCAACAAAGGATGACCTGTCCCAACAGGTGATCAGCGCCAAGGTTAAGAAACCCTACTATGAAGTCAGACAGCTTGGCTTCATACCCCAGATCCACCTGGAGCAACTCACCTACTTTCCACTGGCTTTGGTTTTCTCCACTTTTAAAGGGCTGGATATTTATATCTACCCATAGGGTTGTTGTAAAGAAAAAAATGAGATAACTTGTGAAAGGTACTTGGAAACATTCTTGTTATACAATAAAGCACTCAAGAAAGTATCCTTTTTGCTGCTAACTGCAGCACAGCGAAGACACGGATCTTCACTGCCAATGCATTCAGATATACATGAAGATTTCCATCTTGTCATCACATTTGGCAGAATCAGGAAGTCCCCATCTCACTGTGGAGGCTTCACTTCACTCTAGATTGAGCTGTGCCTCTGAGACCCACAGGGACAAGGCACACAAGCCTCCACCTGGATGGAGTTAGCAGCTCCCCTCCTCGCTCCCTGGGCTTGCTTCCTTGTCAGTCTCTGCAGACTCTGACCCAGACTCAACCCCAGACTCCATGGCTGGGCTCTTCCCCACCAGCAGCTGAGTCCCAAGCTGCTCCAACTCAGCTGTTCTTGACCACGTTTGGGCTCCCTGACCACCCTCTGGCTGGTGCTGTGGCCTCAGCTCACCCCATTATTGATGCTGACCGCCTGAGTGGCCTCAGCTGGCTTCCCATCCAGCTAGGGCACTAACAAACACTGGAGAGTGGTACATTTCTGTTTTTCTAGCTTTTAGTTATACCTGATCTGTACTTGGAATTCTTTTTTTTTTATTATTATACTTTAAGTTCTAGGGTACATGTGCACAACGTGCAGGTTTGTTACATATGTATACATGTGCCATGTTGCTGTGCTGCACCCATTAACTCGTCATTTAACATTAGGTATATCTCCTAATGCTGTCCCTCCCCCCTCCCCCCACCCCACAACAGGTCCCAGTGTGTGATGTTCCCCTTCCTGTGTCCATGTGTTCTCATTGTTCAATTCCCACCTATGAGTGAGAACATGCGGTGTTTGGTGTTTTGTCCTTGCAATAGTTTGCTGAGAATGATGGTTTCCAGCTTCATCCATGTCCCTACAAAGGACATGAACTCATCATTTTTTATGGCTGCATAGTATTCCATGGTGTATATGTGCCACATTTCCTTAATCCAGTCTATCATTGTTGGACATTTGGGTTGGTTCCAAGTCTTTGCTATTGTGAATAGTGCTGCAATAAACATACGTGTACATGTGTCTTTATAGCAGCATGATTTATAATCCTTTGGGTATGTATATACCCAGTAATGGGATGGCTGGGTCAAATGGTATTTCTAGTTCTAGATCCTTGAAGAATCGCCACACTGACTTCCACAATGGTTGAACTAATTTACAGTCCACTTGGAATTCTTTAAAACACTCAACAAAAGAAAAAAAGATAACAGTAGTGGAAAGTTTGTAAGAAGGAAAAAAGAGGTGAAAAGCATTTTAAAACATTTTTGAATTACAAATATACCTACCTTACTTTTCACATGTACTGTATATAAAAAAGCATTGTGGCTAAGTGTATTGGTTTCCAAAACACACCCCGCCCGCTGCCAAACATGCTTTAATTATTTAGGTAGTAGAGTTGGGAGGGGAGGCAGAGGGAGAGAGAAGGAGAATATTAAAAATCCTAGAATTTGTATAAAAGGAGAACCAACACTTTCATGGGTTAAGTAATGAAAAAAAAAATAGCTAACCTTTTATTTTAAGGAAAAGTCAGTCTCCCAAAGGCAGAGATTGAAATGCACTATCACTTAGGGAACAATCAGCTTGACCAAGCCTCCCCAGCAACTCCCTCCTAGGACTCTTGCAGTCTGAGGGGTCAGGCTGCATTCTCCTAGTGGCAGCACAGCAGGCTCTGAAGTGCCTGACAGTGAAGTTGAAGGAGCAGAGTGAGGCAAATTCCTGCTCCAAACCTGCTCTTCCATTCTACAGACAGACAGGAAGAGGAGTGACACAGCTTGCCAACTCAGCCAGTCATAAAAGATTGATCCATTTCTTCCAAACTGATGGTTCCTCCCTTTAGGAAACTGGGCACTTGAAGAAGCTTCTCCCATCCCAGTTGATTCTTCTGTGCCCATTTTGTCAGTAGCAAGCCATTAGCATGATGTTCAAGGAACAATCATCTACCACATGATGTACTGACGCTCTGTTTGATCAAACTGGGGCTTAAGAATAGCTGTGAAGGGCCAGGTGCGGTGGCTCATGCCTGTAATCCCAGCACTTTGGGAGGCCGAGGTGGGTGGATCACCTGAGGTCAGGAGTTCGAGTCCCAGCCTGGCCAACATGGTGAAACCCTGTCTGTACAAAAATTAGCCAGGCCTGGTGGCAGGCGCCTGTAATCCCAGCTACTTGGGAGGCTAAGGCAGGAGAACCACTTGAACGTGGGAGGCAAAGGTTGCATGCAGTGAGCCGAGATCGCGCCACTGCACTGCAGCCTGGGCGACAGAGAGAGACTCCATCTCTAAATAAATAAATAAATAAAATAAAAAGAATAGCTGTGAGATGGAAGAGGTTGCAAGTTTCCCTGGGAGCTTGTGGCACACAGAAGACCCCAGGACCTTGGCCTTAATGGGGTTAGGTTGCTGGGACGGGGGCTGGCTACTTCCACTCTAGAATAATAGTACTGAAGACCCCTTTGTTCATTTACTACTTCATTCATTCAGAGAATATTTATTGAGCATCTACTATGTGTTTCCAGGCACTATTCTAGGCACTGGAGTTACAGTAGAGAACAAAACAGAAAAAGTCCTGCCCTCATGGAGCTAATATTTTAGTGGAGTGAGACAGATAATAAATAAAGTAAGTAAGATATATACTCTGTGAGGGTGTTAAGAGCCATAGAGAAAAATTAAGTAGTGGAGGGGGCAGGGTGTGTGGGGAAGAGGTGTTGCCATTTCAGAGAGTTCTTGGAAAGCCTCACTCAAAGCTGATGTTTCAGTGAAGACCTGGGAGGTGAGAGGTGCTGTACTGACACCTGGGAAAAGAGTGCCCAAGGCAAAGCAAACAGTCAGTGCAAAGGCCCTGAGGTGGGCATGATGCTGGTGTATTTGGAAGACCAGGGATGACATCAGATCAGAGGAGAAGTGGGGGTAGAGGTAGATCATGCAGGACTTCACAGGCTGCTGCAAGCCCTTTGGGTTTTTCTCCAACTGAAATGGAAAGTCACTGGAGGGTTTTATGTGGAAGAGTGACACCAAATGTTTTATGAATCACTGTTAGCTCATTTCTCAATTATATTATTACCACCATTTTAAAGGCAGGGAAACTGAGGTTCAGAAGGGTTAGGAGAGTTTCCCATAGGCACACAGCATGAGCTGCCAGAACTTCTCTCCTTTACTTATTTATTTATTTTGAGATGGAGCCTCGCTCTGCAGAGTGCAGTGGCGTGATCTCGGCTTACTGCAACCTCCGCTTCCCGGGTTCAAGCGATTCTCCTGCCTCAGCCTTCTGAGTAGCTGGGACTACAGGCGTGCGCCACCACGCCTGGCTAATATTTGCATTTTTAGTAGAGACGGGGTTTCACCATGTTGGCCAGGATAGTCTCGATCTCTTGATCTCATGATCCGCCCGCCTCGGACTCCGAAAGTGCTGGGATTACAGGGGTGAGCCACCACGCCTGGCCAACTCCTCTCCCTTCTAATCCAGGACTCTCGGTGCTCCTGCATGTGGTTTCCAAATGTTCTCAACTCTTCTCCTGCTTGCGAAGGGGAGACCAGAGCCTTGGAGCTGGGAAAGGAGCAGGCAGGGCTGACTCTTCTCGAACCTGGATTGCTGGGCACCTGTTGTCCAGCATCATTTGAGGGCATGTATGGAAAGTGCTCTGGAAATTTATCAAGTATGGCACACATGGTGAGTGTTATGAGAGACTATCAAGATGCTCTCAATGATTCCTGCTGAACTCAGGTCCCGAGTGCCCAACAGGCCTCCATTTGAGCAATGGGTTGGCCATTGCTTGTAGCTGCTATTCATCTAGGAAGGTCCCAGCACCGGCCCCTGTTTCCACCTCCCGCAGCCCTCACATGTGGATCCACTGGTTTCACCTACAGCTCCAACCTTGGCCTGGTTCACTGATCGATCAGCCTGAGGCTAGAAGCACTTACACAGCTGGAGAGCAAGTCACTCTTTCTACTGGCACCCAGCACTATGCCTGCAGCACACACGTTGTCACACACCTGTCATCCCCTTGGGCACTGGGCCTTTCCCTCCTGTGTAGCCCTCAGCTGGGTCAGCCTGGCTCCTCCTGTGGGGGCGGGGGGCTGGCCCCAGAGCTGCCCTGGCTAAGGCCACAGGGTCATACTGGAAGTGAAGAGACCAGCCTCAACAAATCCAGGAAACAGACCCAGGTAGGAGTGTGAAGGGCATGGCTGTAGTGTGGGGTGTGGAAGCCCAATTCTGGGCTTCCCAGAATTTCCCAGCAGGCTTGGGGGAGGGGTGGTGGCAGCTGGCCCAGTGGAAGGGAACCTCCATCCACCCTAGAAAGATTGTCCCACTTTCCTTATGGGTCAGCACCTCACAATGTCATCACCAGAAGGGCTTTCTTCCCCACGTGGATTACATAGCAGGTAGATGGATTTGTGCTTGCAGACACAGAGGGGCCAGAGTTTTAAAGGCCGTCAGTACCCTATGGCCCATCTCAAAGAAAAAGACAAGGATAAGCAAAATTAGAAGGAAAGAAAGAAAGACTGTAAAAGTTAAACAAAACCACCCACAAATAGCTTGAGGCAGAAAAAAGATTGTACCATATCATGGCAATCGTGGACAGTTTGGCAGCTGAGGGAAAGATGACTCATTCCCAGGCTCCGCTTGCATAATCCTCCCCAGCCCAGGCAGGAGAATGAAACTAGGAAAGTAATGCAATGACATTTAGTAGCAAAAAGGAAGCCCACACAACATTTGTGCAAGGCCATCCAAAAATAGCAGGCTCCTCCATGCTTGGGTTTTGAAACTATGCATTTTGCTTGAAATGCCTGAGTCGTGGCACATTTTTCTTGGGCCACCCACACCCTAATTCAGTTCATTTCAATTTAGCAGACATTTAATGCAGGCCTACTGTGCTCCAGGCTCTGTGCTAAGGATTTGGGAGTGGCAAATACAAGGATAGGGGAGACACTAAAAGGAAAGTGTGAAGGGAAGAATGAATGGAGTCAAACCCCACCACGAACCCTTACCAGGTCTGAACCTCAGTTTTTCTGTCTATAAAGTGGGAACAATGCCCACCTCATGAAATTGGGTGAGAGTTAAATGAGAAGAGCAAAGCCACAGGGGCTCATGAAAGGAGTCCTCAAATCTGCTCAGGGTGATCAGGAGGGCCAGCATGGAAGAAGAGGTCTTTGAAATGAGCCTTGACTCGTTTTAACTGAACCGAACTGCCAGACTGAATAGTGGCAAGTATTTCTTCTGTGCCTGCTGGGTGTCAGGCCTGGTGCCAGGTCCTGAGAATGTAAGGACAAAGGAGAGAAACCCATCATCAAGCAGTAATAATCCTAACAGTAGAAACAGTAAAAATAACACAGGGAAGCAGCTAGGCATAACGGTTGTGGGTGCTAGTTCTGAAAACAGACTCTCTGTGTACAAATCCTAGTTCTTTTACTCTCAGCTGTGTGGCTTGAGCAAGTTCTTTAACCACTCATTCTATGCTCCTGTTTCCTTTTCTATAAAATTAGTATACAAATAGCAATTCCTTATAGGATTGCTGTAAAAATTAATTGGAACAGTGCTTGCAAAGCACTTACCCTAGTGCCTGGTAAGTGGTCTGTCAGGGTAAGCTGCCACTATTTTCATTGCTACCATCACCATTATCTTCATCACCATTATCACCATCACACATCACAGAAGAGAGGGAGGTACAGAGTCCTCCAAGCAGAGGAGAACTTGGAGAGTCTGGGAATGCCAGAGGAAGGAATGGTTATTCTTGAAGTGAGTTTTGAAAGACAAGGAGAAGTTTGCCAGTAGGATTCTGGAAGAAAGAGGTATTCCAGGCCGGGGGACAATATGAGAAAAAAGCATGAATGTGCAGAAGATAAATGTTCAGGAAACAGGAAATGGCTCAGGCCGACAGCCAGGCTGAAAGGATGGCCTGACCAGGGAGAGAGAGGGCAAGCGGGAAGGGAGTGAAAGTCCTTCCTTTCCTGGCCTTTTGCACACACCCTCCTGGCACATGCCAGGCAGTTAGGAAGCCCTGGGCCTGGACATGAGCACTAGCTCTCTCACAGAGCCCCTTTCTGACCTTGGCTTCCTTCCAGGAGACGTTAAGACACAGCCTTACTGAGAATGCAGCCACGGTTACTATCACATTTATTGAGAAAACTATCCCTTATGTTACTCAGAGCTCTTTGCATACAGATGCTCAAGATAAATTCAACTTAGAATTCAGCCAGGAAAAAACATTGATAAAAATAATTTATAACTTTCATTCAGAGTTTACAACATGCCAGTCTCTAAGTGCTTTACATTATTAGCTCATTTAATTCTCACAACAACCCTATGAAGTAGGCACTATGATTGTTCCTGTTTTACAAATAGAGGAACTGAATGATAAAGAGGTTAACTCATTTGCCAAAGCAACATAGCTAGTAACTGGCAGAGCAAGGGCTCACGTTCTGGGAGTCAGGCTTTAGAGCATGTATTTTTTTTTTTTTTTTGAGACAGGGTCTTACTCTGTTGCCCAGGCTGGAGTGTAGTGGCACAATCTCAGCTCACTGTAATCTCCACCTCTCGGGTTCAAACAATCCTCCCCCTCAGCCTCCCCAGTAGCTGGGACTACAGGCACACGTCACCACGCCCAGCTAATTTTTGTATATTTTGGTAGAGGTGGTGTTTCCCCATGTTGGCAAGGCTGGTCTTGAACTCCTGACCTCAGGTGATCTGCCCACCTCAGCCTCCCAAAGTGTTGGGATTAATGTGTGATCCACCGCGCCTGGCCAACATGTGCTCTTTCTTAACTCCTTTGTAATAAACAGAACTCTTGTCCTTTCTGTGTTTCCCTTTTTGTTTTGGCCACTGTCAGGGTTGACACTTCCCACTACATTCTTCCTTGCAATTTGTGCTCCAGCTGCTCTGGGCGCCTCACTTTTTCCAGAATTCCTTTGCATTATCGTACCTCTATGCCTTTGCTCATGCCAGTCCTCCTACCTGATATGACTTGCCCTTTTTTTTTTCTTTTTTTAAACTTAATGACATGGAAAATTTATCATTTTGTAAGTGGAAGAAGTAAGTTACAAAACTGCATATATACAAATACAGGCTGGGCACAGTGGCTCACGTCTGTAATCCCAGCAGTTTGGGAGGCCGAGGCAGGCAGATTGCTTGCGGCCAGGAGTTCGAGACCAGCCTGGCCAACACGGCGAAACCCTGTCTCTACTAAAAATATAAAAATTAGCTGGGCATGATGGTAGGCACCTGTAATCCCAGCTACTCGAGAGACTAAGGCAGGAAAATTGCTTGAACCTGGGAGGCAGAGGTTGCAGTGAGCAGAGATCACGCCATTGCACTCCAGCCTGGGCCACAGAGTGAGACTATGTCTCAAAAAAAACAAACAAACATAAATAAATAAATAAACTTCCATTGTTGGTAAATAATATTTGAAGTGAATATATGAAAAAACCTCTGAAGATTTAAGCACCAAAATAACATTGTTTAGATCTGAATGGCAGAATAACAAATTATTTTATTTATTTTTTTCTTGGTGATTTCTATTTCTTGAATGTTCACAGAAAATACATATCATTAAATTGTTACTTTTAAGAAAAATGTAAGTTAATTTTTTTTTCATTAAACAATTTTTTTAAAAATGACTTATTACCCAACCAGGCGCAGGAGCACTTTGGGAGGCTGAGGCGGGCAGATCACGAGGTCAGGAGATTGAGACCATCCTGGCTAACATGGTGAAACCCTGTATCTACTACAAATATGAAAATTAGCCGGGCATGGTGGTGGGTGCCTGTAGTCCCAGTCACTCAGGAGGCTGAGGCAGGAGAATGGTGTGAACCCGGGAGGTGGAGCTTGCAGTGAGCTGAGATTGCACCACTGCACTCCAGCCTGGGCGACAGAGCGAAACTCCATCTCAAAATAAATAAATAAATAAATAAATAATGACTTTTACCATTTTGACCCTTTTTAAGTATGCAGTTTTATGACATTAACTACATGTGCATTGTTATGCAACCATCTAGGATGACGTTCTAACCTCATTTCAAGCTTAGCCGCATTCACTATCTTTCCAGGACTAGGGTAGTTTTCACCTTCTGTTTAAAACTTTCTCTGTCTCCTCCCACACCCCCAGCAGAAATGATGGCTCATCTCTCTCCACTCTCCTGTTTTGGGGAGTGTGTCATTATGTGTCACTCATATCATTCTGCAATAGTGGTCAAGTGAGCAGCCCCTAGAGCCTTCATTTCCTGTATTTGATACCTACCATTTGTGTCCTAGCATAGCTGGGGCAAGTCACTTAATCTATCCGTGCCTCAGTTTCTTCAACTTTAAAAATAGACATTTTCAGAATGGCTATTACTACAACATCAAAAAATAGCAGATGCTGGCAAGATTGCAGAGAAAAGTGAACTCTTATGCACTGAAAGTGGGAATGTAAATTAGTTTAGCTGCTTTCAGTGGAAAGCAGTCTGGAGATTTCTCAAATAACTAAAAATAGAACTACCATTTGACCCAGCAATCCCATTTCTAGGTATATTCCCAAAGGAATATAAATCGTTCTATTATAAAGACACATGCACACATATGTTTATCTCGGCAGTATTCACAACAGCAAAGACATGGAATCAACCTAGAGGCCCATCAGTGGTGGACTGAATAAAGAAAATGTGGTACATACACACCATGGAATACTATGCAGCCATAAAAAAGAATGAAATCATGTCGATTATCCTAAGTGAATTAATGCAGGAACAGTAAACCAAATACCACATATTCTCACTTATAAGTAGGAGCTAAACATTGAGTACACAGGGACACAAAGAAGAGAATGATAGACACCAGGGCCTACTTGAGAGTAAAGGGTGGGAGGAGGGTGAGGACTGAAAAACTACCTATCAGGTACCATGCTGATTACTTGGGTGATAAAATTACACCAAACCCCTATGACATGCAATTTACCTATGTAACAAACCTGCACATATATCCCTTGAACCTAAAAGTTGGAAAGGAAAAAATAGACATTATTAGTTTTATTTCACAGATAAGGACACCAAGGCTTACAAAGGTTAAGTTTGCCCAAGATCCCAAAGAGGGTAAGTAATGAAACACTTTTAAAGCAAGTTATCTGTTCCTAGAATGCACATGTTTAATCTGTGCCCCTCTAAATAATAACAACGCTGCCATTTATTGATCACTTATTATGTGGCAGGCTGTCAGCAAGGTATGTGGTGCAATAACCTATTTAATCCTCATAAGTAGCCCCATAAAAATGGTTATTCGTAGCCTTTCTTTTTTTGTTTTTTTTTTTTTTTTTTTTGAGATGGAGTCTCGCTCTGTCGCCTAGGCTGGAGTGTAGTGGCGCGATCTTGGCTCACTGCAACCTTCTCCTCCCAGGTTCAAGTGATTCTCCTGCCTCAGCCTCCTGAGTAGCTGGGATTACAGGCATCCACCACCATGCCGGGCTAATTTTTTTGTATTTTTAGTAGAGACATAGTTTCACCATCCTGGCCAGGCTGGTCTTGAACTCCTGAACTTGTGATCCACCCGCCTCAGCCTCCCAAAGTGCTGGGATTACAGGCATGAGCCACCGCGCCCTGCCCCGTAGCCCATTTTACAGATGCAGAAACTGAGGCCCAGAGAGGTGAAGTCATTTGCCCTAAATTCCTCAGCAGAATCAGAATTTGGTGACTATAAAGAATGCCTTCTTATTCACTACACTATGCAAAAACGGTTTGATTTCTCAAGTCTGTAACTGAGGACTCAATTGATGACTACAGATCGTTCTTATGACAGAGAAGGGCAAGGCTTTAGAGTTCAAAGACAGGGATTCAGCAAGGACTCAAAAGTATGGAGAAGCCTTCACAGAAGAGGCTGCACTGAGCCCTGCAGACTGGCGGTGGCAGACCCATCCTACCTGGGGCTGGCAGTGAAGGTGGGACTCCTCAGAAGCTGTCAGTTCTCAGTTAAGATTAATGAGACAGAAGTGGGATCTGGGCCAGGGCTATTGCCCAGGAGATACCACTGGAAGCCAAAGCCCCGCTAGAGATGACCAGTGTTAAAGATGAGCTCAATTCGGGAGATGCCCAATTAGAGCAGGGAGAACACTAGAGTTCACAGGTGCACTCAGCAGGTGTCTGAGCAGATGGCTGGGTGTGGGAAGGGGAGAGTGTGGGAAGACTCCAAATGGGCCTCTCATGGGGCCTCCTTTCCACAGTTACAGGCTTCTCTCCTGGAAGCCAAAGCCCTCCCCGCCATGGGTGCCCCTCTGTCAGCCTTAATGACAACTCAGGCCTCCAACAGGGCAAGATAACAGGAAGCATTCCAGGGAGCCAAAGGATAAGACATGCGCAGGGTGTGATGTGGAAGAGTGAAAGGTGGAGATAGAGGGGAGGAGACAGGCAGAGCACAGAAAGTGGGAGGGAAAGGGCACTTTGGAAGCAGCTGTTTATTTACAGTTGAGGCCTTCCTGGGAAATCAAGGTCACCTCTTCCTAAAGCCAGTTCTCCAAGCTCTGCTTGTCAAAGCTTTGCTAGTTGTGTTCAGGCTGTGTGCTTGAAAGTAACATTGCTGCCCTTTGGAGGAAATGCTAGTTAACTCAGGCCTTCTGCAGACAAAGCCTGGCCTTCCCACCTGCTGACCCCTTTCTTTTCTGGTGATCACCTGCTGGGTTCCCCCATTATGTCCACTCTACAATGTGCACGTGATGTGTGTGTGTGTGTGTGTGTGTCTGTGCGTGTGTGTGTTTCCAAAGGAAAGAGGGCTGAGCACGAATAACAGCAATACATCTATCATCCTTTAAGCTTTACCCTGATCCAAGATTGCTCTCAACAAATTCTCACAATGATCCCTCAAAGTAGATCTTTTTATTAACTCTTTTTACAGGTACAGAATCGTGGGTCACACAGCTAAGAACTAGCTGAGCTGGAACTTGAGCCCAGGCCTGCCTGATTCCAAGACAATTAGTCAAAAAGTCCTCTCTGGGGGTGCGCTGAGGTGGGAGCTTCATCTTTTCTGGTTTCATCCTGAAACACTACCACGTGTGGTTTACTTCATCATCCCCTTTGAACCATTAACTCTACCCTCTACCCAGCCCTGGAGATGTACAAAAGCTAAAAAAAATAGACAAAACATGGTAACAGGGTATCAACAGAGACTCTGAGGAGCAGTACTTGGTCCAGATTGAGGGGAGGCTTTTAGGGACTATTTCTTGAAGGATGAAACATCTAAGCTGAAACTTGAAGGGTGAGTAGGAACAGACAGGGATAGTGGAAAGGTATTTAGGCAGAGATGAGAGTCTGTGCGAAGGTCTGGAGGCGTGGAATACCAGGGCTTCTTCAGGAAACTCACTGGTCATTTGGTATGGGCGGATCCCTGGGAGTAGCAGAAATGCAGTTGGTGAAGGTAGCAAGTACGTACCTATCCTCCTAAGGAACTTGGACTTCATCACAAGGAGATGACAGGGAGGCACTGAAGGATTTCAGACAGGAGAACAATGAGTTCAGACCCCTGTTTGAGTTGAGCACTGCTCTTTTTACTTTCAGAAAGGCAGCTGTGACATTGTGGACAGCACCTGGAGCCCTGATGTTTAATTCCAAATTGGACCTTAAGCAAGTCACTTCCTCTCTTGGAACTCAGTTTCCTTATTTGTAAAAACTGAAGAGGTTGACCAGATGGCCACTTGGATCATTTCCAGCTCTTATATTCTAAGACAAAAAACTATGACCTCTCCAGGGGAAACAATGAGGATACCAGATCTCTTTCTGGTTTTTTGATTCCTCTAGAGTATACTATAGAACTGAAGAAGGCAGTTGGATGTAAGAGTTTAGAGTTCAAGACAGAGGTCTAGTGGGAGAGAAGCATTTAGGAGCCCTCGGTATACACAACATTTGAAACCCTAGGTCATCTCACCCAGTCCCAAGGCTTCGAACATCATCTATACCAAGAGATCTCAAATTTCTCTCTCCAATCATACCTCTCTTCCAAACTCCAAATCACACATCCCACTGCCTTCGAGGCACATCCACTTGGATGTCCAATAGGCACCACCAACAAAACATGTCCAAAATGGAACTCCTGATCTTCCCGCTCTACTACCCTAACCTGCGTCACCCTCACCTTTCCCTATGTCAGCTCATGGCAACTCTATCCTTCCAGTTGTTCAGGTAAAAAATGTACACATCAGCCAGGAGCGGTGGCTCATGCCTGTAATCCCAGCACTTTGGGAGGCCGATGGGGGTGGATCACGAGGTCAGGAGATCGAGACTACCCTGGCTAAAACGGTGTAACCCTGTCTCTACTAAAAAATACAAAAAAAATTAGCCGGGCATAGTGGCAGACGCCTGTAGTCCCAGCTACTTGGGAGGCTGAGGCAGGAGAATGGCGTGAACCCAGGTGGCAGAGCTTGCAGTGAGCCGAGATTGTGCCACTGCACTCCAGCCTGGGTGACAGAGCGAGACTCTGTCTCAACAACAACAACAACAACAACAACAACAAAGTACACAATATTCTCAGTTCCTCTATAGCTCTTATACTCCCTATTCAATCCAACCTGAAATATATCCAGAATCTACCTCCATCACTACCACCAGGTTCCAGCCAACATTATTGTTTACCTGGATTAGTGAAACCATCTCCTTATTCCCCTCATGGTCTACCCTTAATGCTGCTTTTTAGAATATCAGCTAGGTCATGTTAGGACTCCCCAATGACTTTCTTTCTCATCAGAACAAAATTCAAAACCCTTACCCTGACCTACACGGCCCCACGAAATATGCACCCTTCACTTCCTCTCTGACCTCATCCCCTACCACTGTCCCCTTCACTCTGCACCCTCCAGTTCTTTGAACTCCTGCCTCAGGGCCTTTGCACTTGCTGTTCCCTCTGCCTGGAAAGCTCTCACTTGGAGCACTACAGCTCCATCACTTGCTTTGGGTCTCTGCCCAATGTCAGCTTGTGAGAGAGGCCTTCCCTGATTACTCTCACTAAAATAGCACGCCTCTGCCACACTTTGTCCCTTCACTCTGCTACAGTCTTCATTTTAACACTTATCACCATCTAATGAAGATATTTATGTATTGTCTGCCTCCCCACCTACAATGGAAGTTCCGTCACCACCTGGACCTTTTGTTCACTGCTTTGTCTGCGATGCCAAGAAAGCTGTCTGGTAAGTTCTCAGTAGGCTTTTCATACGAATATGAATAAAACAACGTGACAAGGTCACATGTCTAGAAAGCATAGGGCAGAGATTTGAATCCAGACACAACCTGCTTGAGGGCTTCAAGCCCAACCACTGTGCGGTTCTTCCTGTTGATGACGGGGCGGGCTGGGGAAATCTGAGGTCCCTCAGCAATTCAGTCCTATACTTAGGGGAAGAGCCGCGGGGCTGGGGGGTGGGTAGGTAAGGACAAGAACACAGTGTGGCTTTTCCCAGCCCTTCCTCTACTCGCTGCGGGGTGTGCTTGGTTTTAACAGCACTGGCCATGGGGTCGTGTGGGCGCAGGGGCAGTCTTCAGGGAAGACAGGATGGGGGTACATACGGAGGGACACTTCTGTCCCCTCAGGGCAGCAGAAAGCACGGACTCTCCGAAGGAGAAAGGCCAGGTGGGAAGGAGGCGCCAGACCTTCGCCGAATTACCTCCCCGGAGAAAATCCACGCGGGGACCTTGGGCAGCAGAACCCTAATGAAGGGACCCTGGCAGGAGGCAGGACCACAGAAATTCAGAAGAAAGAGCGAGACGGCACGGTGGGGCCTCCCGGGACGTTCTTCGCGAAGGACGCGCACATTGCAGGGCGCAAGCGTGCCCGGGACGCTGCTGGAGGCGCCGTCGCTCCGCGGCGGAGGCGACCCAGTTTCCCAGCTCTCGTCCTCGCCACTTCCTCTGCATGGGCTTCCAGGAGACTCGGCCTCCGTCGGCGACGCTGGCCCACGCGCCCACCGTCCCCCGCCGCGGCCGCGCTCTCCCCTTGCACGCGCGCCGCCCGCCCACCCCGTGCGCCGCCGCTCACCCACCCACCTGTGCACACCCTGGCTGGTCGTGGAACGCATCTCCCAGGAGTCCCCAGCAGACTCCAAGACTCTGGGGTCTCGCTCTTGGCTGCAGCGTCAAGACTGGCTGCACAGATGGCCTTGCTGCACATGAAAAAAAGCCATCGGCAGGCTGGGGACCCTGAGCCCTCTGATCTCTTGGCGAAACGGGATTCTCTGTCCACGAGAATCTAAAGGGCCTGGTTTCTTTGCCCTCTACCTCCTCCTCCGTGCATGTGGAGCTGGGGAAAGGCTGAAGTCTGGAAGTTGGGTCACCCGGCTTCCTGTCTCACTGCTGTCTCTCGCTTGCTGTAAGACCTTAGACCAGTGACTCCCGGCTCAGATTCCCTAACTTTAAAGCCAGCAGTGTAGATAAGATGGTCTCTCCCGTTCCTCCAGGACAGGGATTGGGTCCTATTTTTTCTCATGATCCCCGTATTGAAAAGTGGGAGAGTACATTCGGTTTAAGAATGATTGTTCCTATTGTAATGTATTCCTGTTGGGATGTGTGTGTGTGTGTGTGTGTGTGTGTGTGTGTGTGTGTGTGTGTGTGTTATTTGAACCAGATGTTTTCATCCCATGTGCAAAGTCCTAAATGGCCCCCATTGTCCTGCAGCTGGGGACACAGAGCAGAGATTTCACACACATGCCAAATTCATCTTAAGGTTCAGTTAAACCCCGAGCTCAAGGGACCAAACCACAACCCACCTGGCCAAAGTTTTCTGTTTCCCGAAAACTCCCCTGCACCTTTGAAGAGGGATGATGTCCCAGAGTTGTGGCTCTGTCCCAACCCCCTCCTGAGAACAGATGAGCCTCAAGGTGGAAGCCTGGGGGAGTGGAGAGCAAGCTGTGTGGGAATCAGGGTGAACCTAAAGTGAGGCCCCAGTTGGAAAGACCGGGTCTGCTCAGTGGCAGGTACTCAGGAGGGGACAGGTTTTTAGAGCTTCAGATGGAAGCCATCTAGAAAATTATACCTTACAACTGCAGCCATACCTGGCACTTTTGTAAGCACCTCTCCAGTGCCAGCATCGTCCAAAATAAGGGTGTAATGTTGAGGTCATTACTGTGGGCAAAAGGGGGCTCACCTCAGCTGGAACCTCCTGAGAAGCGTACAGAAGTCCTCCCTGACAAGTATGAAACTGGGGTTCAGAGAATTTAAATCGCCTGCCCAAGGTCACACCGCTGGGGAGTAAGGCATTGGCCAGCAGGGATTAGAACCTTCTGTTGTCAGAGCTCGTGATTTTCCCATAATACTACAGACCAGGGTCTAGTTAGGCTCTGACTCGTGGGGGACTTTGGGCCCATCACCTGACCTCCCTCTGGAGGTGGCTCAGTTTCTCACCTGGGCGGGGGATGATGAAGGACCTAGGGAGAGAAATCACAGAAACAGGGGAGGTGCTCACAGCATAGCAGAGCATGAGCAGGGCACAGGGTTGGGGCTGTCATCCTAGGCATGGGGTGTGGGTGGGGGTGTCATCCTGGGCATGGGGTGGGGGTGGGGTGTCCTCCTGGGTGTGGGGTGGGGAGGGGTATCATCCCAAGCACCGGATTGTGGTGGGGTGTCATCCTAGGCATGGGGTGTGGGTGGGGGTGTCATCCTGGGCATGGGGTGGGGGTGAGTGTCATCATGGGCATGGGGTGGGGATGGGGGTGTCATCATGGCACGGGGTGGGGGTGGGGTGTCCTCCTGGGTGTGAGGTGGTGAGGGGTATCATCCTGGGCACAGGGTGGTGGTGGGGTGTCATCCTGGGCATGGGGTGGGGGTGGGGCTGTCATCCTGGGCACCGAATGGGGTGGAGGTGTCATCCTGGCCACGGGGTGGGGGTGGGGCTGTTATCCTGGGCACAGGGTGGGGGTGGGGGTGCCATCTTGGGCATGGGATGGGGTGGAGGTGTCATCCTGGGCTTGGAGTGGGGGTTTCATCCTGGGCACAGGGTGGGAGTGGAGGTGTCACCCTGGGCAGCGAGTAGGGGTGTGGGTGGGGGTGTCATCCTGCTGTGTACGGGCACCAAGGAAGAATGAGGAGCCATGTATGAAGGGAGACTCTGGGAAGCCAGGCTGCCCACCTCACTTCCCTTCTCCTCGCCCTCCCCCAGCCACAGTCTCCCCAGGCTGGGAGACCTCAAGTCTGATTGCACCAACACCTGGTTTGCATTAAGAAGTTCCTGACTGCTGAAGGAAGCCTCCCATAGAGACTTACTCTTCCCGATTACATAGGGCTTTACAACTTACCAAGTATTTCCAATCATTTTTAATTTTTATCTTCCCACACCTCTTTGAGGTGAGCAGAGAAGGCGTTGTTATTATCCCAATTTTACAGCTCCATGGAAGGGAACTTGCAGACCCCAGCCCAGCCCCCTCCCTTTATAGACACATTAATGTGGCCCAGAGAGGAGAGGCTACTTGTCCAAGGCCACACAGGTAATGCATGGCAGAGTCAGGACAAGAAATGAACTCTCTTGGCTGACAGGCCGATGTTCTTGCTAATGCACTCACCCAGGACGTCCAGACTCCCGGGATTTCCCTGGGAAGTTGCTTAGGCTGGGCGCAGTGGCTCATGCCTGTAATCCCAGCACTTTGGGAGGCCAAGACAAGTGGATTGCTTGAGGCCAGGAATTCGAGACCAGCCTGGCCAATATGGTGAAACCTTGTCTCTACTAAAAATATAAAAATTAGCCGGGCGCGCCTGTAATCCCAGCTACTCAGGTGGCTGAGGCAGGAGAAGTGCTTGAACCTGGGAGGTGGAGGTTGCAGTGAGCCGAGACTGTGCCACTACATTCCAGCCTGGGCAACAGAGCAAGACTATTTCAAAAAAAAAAAAAAAAATCCCCTCGACTGGGCATGGTGGCTCATGTCTGTAATCCCAACACTTGGAGAGACCGAGTCGGGAGGATCACTTGAGCCTAGGAGTCAAGAGCAGTCTGGGCAACATAGGAAGCCCCCATCTCTAAAAGAAAAATAAACAAATTTAAGCTGGGCATGGTGGTGCATGCCTGTGGTCCCAGCTACTTGGCAGGGCTGAGGTGGGAGGATCGCTTGAGCCCAGGAGGTTGAGGTTGCAATGAGCTAAGATCACGCCATAGCACTCCAGCCTGGGCAACAGAGCAAGACACTGTCTCAAAAACAAAACAAAACAAAACAAAAAACAAGTCCCCTTAACAGCATTTTCCCCAATGTCTGCCTTTTCTTCATGAAAGTTGGGTGAAGATTAGGGAAGAAAAAAGATTGTGTCTTGACTTTGGCCCTGCCTTCCTGTTCTGGGTTAGGTGAGGGGAGGGGGCTGGTGAAGGGTGAGTGAAGGGTGTGGTGGCAGCCAGCCGGGGTTCCCATGGTGCCCTGCAGCCACACAGTCAGTGGTGGCTAACCCCTACCCTTCTCCTTTTCCATCCTATTTTCCAACCCTGGCCTGTGGTTATTGATGACCACACCGCTCCTCTGTGGCCTACAAGAACCCTCTTCAGCAAGGATTCACTTAATCACAACCAGAGGGCAGAAAAAGTGGACTCGGGCATTTTTTTAATAACCAGCAGCTACAAAGAGGACTGAAACAAATTGAGTTTTATTAAAAGAATCCTCCATTAGACAGAAAATGTTATTACCTTGCATCCTCTCCTCCCTGAGCTTTCTGCTTAATAGAGTATTGATTGAAACATACATTTCCAAAGTCTGGTCTCAGAGGAGTGGAAGGGGAAAAACCCAAATAATTCAGAAATGAAGAGACCTCTTGCAGAAATGCAAGAGACCTAGCTGAAGTATTATTCTCTGATAGATTTTGGAGGGATGCTGGAAAGAAAAACAATTAATTAAGCAAGTAACAGGCTGAGGTCTGGCCTGAAGCAAAAGTTTTGTGGCTGAGCTATAAAAAGGTTAAGTGTCTAAGGGAAAACCCAGAAGCATTCTAACCAGCTGCTCAAATGGGTGCTGCTATAATTCCATAGTTTGCACCTGACCTGGGCAACAGCTGGCTCTTGGCTCCCAGCAGGGAGAGTGTGTCCCTACTGATTGATCCAATTGAGAAATTCCTCTTCCACTTTGTACTTTGAAATCCAATAACTTACCTCCTTTCTTCCTCCCCCAACCCCAAAGACAGAAAATTAGCCAGTTGGGTGAATGGACTTCATAAGTGATTCATCATATCAATATCATATCAGGGATGCTAAAGACTGCCCTTTGAGGGTAAGTAGGCAACCATCTTGAGCTCAATTTTCCTCCCCCAATATGATCCTGAACATCCAATGGCTCCCTGCTACCTTTAGGATAAAGCCTAGGCTTCTTTGCATGCATCTCAAGTCCTCCAAACTGAAACTCACATTATCTTTCCAACTTAATCTAACAATTCTACATCATATGCCATCTGCCCCAGCCAAGCTACTAAGTCTTTCTTACCTATTCATTCGGATTCTTCCCAAAAAATGTGAGGGCCAGAGAAAAAAGATAATCTCAATGAAATCTTCCCTTTCCTTCCCCAGGATAGACTACAGACTTTCTGACCTTCCTCTCCCATTGCTTCCAGGATATGCCCCACCCTCCCCAGCCTGACTTCCCAAGCTTTTTTCAGCTTTGCTTCCCTGCCCTGCCTTCAGCATGGATGCTCTGGGTCCTGTTTTTGACCTTACACAATTACAAGTGTGACCAATTTAGTCCATTATCTGCATGTATTGTATTTGTCCAACCACACAGTAAAAATACCGAACTTCTGAATGACGGAACAAATGAATTTGCAATTAGCCCTTCACAAATACTTCATGGCAAGGCAAGGATAGAATGATTTGCTCAAGGGATCTTCAGTCTAGGGATTTGCTCAAGGGAACTTCATACACAGAGAGGTGAACTATGATAATAATCCATTAGTAGCCTAAAGGTTAGTTCATTTAAGTGACCAGTTTAGTTAGGGGTTGTTGGCACATCAAAGCAATGTTTATTAAACCTGGCAAAGTGTCACTTTGTGCTTGGGTACCTCAAACTTTTCTAGAGCTAGATGATAACATCTGCTTTCTTTTCAAGAGAAAAATAGTTTCCTTTCCCTGAGCATACAACATCTTTGTTTCCTCTGTTAACTAAGATGTCAGGCTGCCTTGAGTTATTTAAAGAGACAGAAAATGCCTTTGTTTCTCAGCAATATTCCCCTTGGATTCCTTTCACTGACAGCAAACAGCTACCTTGTTATAAGATGTATTTGCTTGCTTTAAAAAGGATATCACTCTATCTATCTAAACTCCACTTGCTGGTTTCCATCTTTACTTAGGATTTCTCTGGTCCCCTAAAGTCATTTCTGTGTATATTGCACTTCTTCGACATTGATATGGAAAGACCCCAAGCTTCATCTTCCTTTTCCTGAGAAAAAAACCCTCCTCCTCCTTTTTAAGGGCTAATAACTCCATTTTGCAAACATACCATTTCAACCCCAGCAGTTGAAACCAAAGGATGCGGCTGCTTTGCTAAAACCAGATAAATGGGGCGGCTGCCCTGGTTACCGCAGAGACAAAAGCCCACTTTCCAGGAGAATGAGGGCCACATCTGGGAGCCTCAGGCCTCGCCCCTTCCCCCTTGCTGAGGCCCCTTGCTTTCTGCTCAAATAGGAGTGGAGGAAGAATAGTTTCTGCTGCTGACTTGTGACTTTGTGGCGCCTCAGCGGGGGAGCAGAGGGGAGGGAGCACTAATCTAAGACTTGTCTGGTCTAGCGGGAGGGCCCTGGGCTGGGGGCCTGGAGGCCCAGGCTCTCGCCTAAGCCAGCTGTTTGGTGACCTTAAGCAAATCATCTTCTCCTCTCTGGGCCTCAGTTTCCCCAGCCATATAATGAGGGACATTTATGAATTATTTTGGTTTCAGTTTCCCCAGAAGCTTGAGTCAAGGATTCAAGTGTGAGTAATAGGTCATTTAGAAGGTGATCCCTAGAAACTCAGGTGAAGGGTGTGGAAGTGAGACAGAGAACGGAAGGAAGCCAGTGTGAGGCATGCTGCTGAGCAGGTTGTCACCACAGGCAACTGGTGTTGGAAACACTCTGGGAGACAGAGTTGGAAAACACACCTCAGAGTTCATCTGCCCAAGGGGTAAGGAAACTGGGGATTTATCCACCAAATGCTCGTCCCTCATTCATAGAGGGCTGTTCGCCAGGGATATCAATTCTTGGGCACTTTGGGCTTTGCCCCACGCTGGCCACAGTGCTCATGGGTATTAGATGTGAGCGACCTGAATTCAGTGTGGAGGTGAGTGCTGAGGAGATGGGTCAGGGCACCGACAGCATCCGCTCTAATAATTGACCTTTACAGCCCTGAAAAGCTGTGAATTTGCACTTGGGCAAAGTAAGCAAACCTAGGGCTTTGGTATGATAGGCAGGGCAAAAGAACTGTATTCTGTGCAATCAATGACAGTCCCCTACTTCCTTCCCCATGGTTCTAGACCTCTAGGCTGTTCCCAGGGAGAACAGAACAGAAATAAAGTTCATCTCTAACTATTTAGAATGGTGAATTTACCCACTGGCCAGAGAAGATGATGAAACTATAGAGACTCCATCCCACCTTCCTTTCCCATTGCTTCCAGGATATGCCCCACCCTCCCCAGCCTGGCTTCCAAAGCATTTCTCAGTCTGATTCCAAGATATCTTTTCTTTTTTTTTTTTTTTTCGTTTTTTGCTTCCCAACACAAACCACCCACCACTGTTAGGTTTTCTCTCTCCTCACTTCTACGTAGGCCATTCCTACAGATACCCCTACAGTATCTTTCATCTTATTGACTGGTCAGAATTCTAAATGTCTTTCAAGGACCAGTGCTATTTCACCTTCTCCAGGAAGTGCTTCATGACCGTTCTCGGGTTAGAAATATCCCTCTTGGCCAAGCACAGCGGCTCACTCCTGTAATCCCAGCATTTTGGGAGGCTGAGATGGGAGGATCACTTGAGTCCAGGAGTTCAAAACCAGCCTGGGCAACATAGTGAGACCCCCATGTCTCTACAAAAAATTTAAAAATCTGCCTAAAAGCAGCCACCAATTAAGAAAGCGTTTATGCTCAACATCTGACTATCTTTAATTCCAACCAGTAGTCCCAGCTACTCAGAAGGCTGAACAGAGAGGATCACTTGAGACCACGGCTGCGGTAAGCCAAGATCATGCCACTGCACTCCAGCATGGGCAACAGAGAGAGATCCTGTCTCAGAAAAAAACAAAAACAAAACAAAAAGAAAGAAAGAAAGAAAGAAAAAGGGAGAAGGAAGGAAGGAAGGAAAAGGGGAGAGAAGGTAGAGAAGGAAGGAAGGAAAAGGGAAGGGAAGGTAGAGAAGGAAGGAAAAGGGAAGGGAAGGTAGAGAAGGAAGGAAAAGGGAAGGGAAGGTAGAGAAGGAAGGAAAAGGGAAGGGAAGGTAGAGAAGGAAGGAAAAGGGAAGGGAAGGTAGAGAAGGAAGGGAAAGAAGGGAAGAAGGAAAGAAGGGAAGAAAGAAAGATCCTTCTTCTCTGAGTATCTATTGCCTCCAGCACGCATCCAGCCTATGCACACTAGACTCTGTCATTTCTCAGAGGCATGCCTGGCCTCCCTCAAATGGGAGACAACTTCTTTATACTACTTGGGTGCCTATCTCCCAGTCCCTAGCAAGTATCCTAGAGACAGGAAATGTTGAAATAAAGAACAGTTTGGCAAGTATTTATTGAGCACCTGAGTATACAGACACTGTACAAGGAGCAATGGGGTAACTCAAAGGTAAGTAAGATCCCACCATGGCCATAAAGAATTTCAGAGTCAAAGTTGTCCTAGGTAATAGAAAGTCAGGATTTGCAAGAATGGCTCTTGGGGATCATCAGCTCTAAGTGCCTCCCTTCATAGATGCGGAATCACAGAAGAAAATGACTCACCTAAGGTCACATAGCTAGTGAGTAGTTCTACATTAATTTGTTGCTAACAGAGGGCCCCAGGCTGTCCTTTTTTTTTTTTTTTTTGATCATTTGTGCAAGTTCAGAAACAATCTTCTTTCTTTTCCTTTGTCTTTTTTTCCACTTTAAAGGAAAATGAAATTTACTGGCTTCTCTTTCTAAAGAGAAGGGGCAAGGAATAAAAATACCAGTTATGTAATAGTCATTTGCCTTAGTCATGCAGCCCTGCCGGAGTGCTGTTCGAACAGAAAGATGATTAAGTTAAACACTGCATATTTATTCCCCTGCGGTCACCCTAATTGGTTCTGCCGCTGTAATTGATTTGACAGGTTATTTTTACTCAGAATGAGCTGGGTTCCTCTGCTGGCTTGCAGATTTGCTCTTGCTCTTCGAGTCCAGGCCGGCAATTGTCCAGATGGCCAGATGTGGCTGATTTCTACCTGAGGAGGGGGAGGGGGGTCCTCAACCTAGCCTGGGGAGAACTGAGCTTGCAGTGTGAATGTGTGAAGGTATGAGTGCTTGTGTGTGCGTGTGTGTGTGTGTGTGTGTGTGTGTGTGTGTGTGTAGGGGTTGATGGGGGAAGAAGGATAGAGAAGCTCAATGTCATGCTTCAAGGGATCAAACTGGGAAGGAGCTAGGAAAAAATTCAACATGACATGAAACTATGTTAAGGATTTTATTCTGAGGGCAGAGAAAGTCTTATATGGTTTGGAACAGAGGAATGGAAGACCATGTGGGGGAGAGCTTTTTGCCTACAGAGGCTTCTGTACTTTTTGTCTATTCCAAGCAGCCACCTCTTCCCACCACTGCAAACTGCTCCCCAGAGTACAAAGTACATAGAACCAGTGTTCTCGGGTAGCCTGCAGCACCAGCCACCTACACATCCTTCCTCATCTTTGCACGCAGCTCAGTGCCTCCCGCTTTGCCTGCTATGAGGGGAGAGTGTGCTGGCAAATGCTCAGAAACCCATGGGAGACCTCTAGAAGTTGGCAGGGACCCCTTGAGGGAGCTGGCCCCCTGCAGAGAGCCAGGCCATGGGTTATTAGAACCATCTCAGTGATAATGTGTGACTTCGAATATCAACTAACCTTTGAACTTCAGAGTCTTAATCATGTATCAATGTGGGATAACCATAGGCTCTGTCCCATCCCCTCACTAGGTTATGACAACAGTAACCACAAGTAATAATCACAGTATGTCAAGGTCTGAATCAAATGCTTCCTGCCGTGCACGATCACATGCTATCTTCACAGTGTGATCGAGAAGGAGTTATTATTATCCTTCCTTACAGATAAGGAAGCTGAGGTTCAGAGAGTTGAAAAACTCTACTATGGGAATACAGCTCATGAGTGTTAGAATTCAGGCAGGCTGGCCCCAGCCCTTGTCTCTCTCTCTCTCTCTCTCTCTCTTTTTCCTTTAAGTCAGGGTCTCGCTCTGTCACTCAGGCTGGAGTGCAGTGGTGTGACCTCAGCTCATTGCAGCCTCTATCTCCCAGGCTCAAGTGATCCTCCCACTTCAGCCTCTCAAGTAGCTGGGACTACAGGTGCATACCACCATGCCCAGCTAATTTTTGTATTTTTTGTGGCGATGGGGTTTCACCATGTAGCCCAGGCTAGTCCCAAATCTCTGAGCTCAAGTGATCCATCCACCTGAGGCTCCCAAAGTGCTGGGATTACAGGTGTGAGGCGCCACGCCCTGCCCAGCTACTGTCTCTTAACACTACAGTACTTCATTCAATATATGCCAGAAAAAAAAAATTGAAACTTGCTGAATGGTCAACTGCTATGAAGCATGTTAACATGAAATTGTTACCATATCCAGAGTACTAGAATGCTGTGGAGACAATGTGTGGGAAGAGCAGCCCCAGTATCTGCTAGTTTTCTAACTTCTCAGACATTATCCTTCTCATGTGTAAAATGGGAAAAATAATATCCATCTCACATAGTCATTCTTTTTTTTTTTTTTTTTTTTTTTTAAGACAGAGTTTCGCTCTTGTTGCCCAGGCTGGAGAGCAATGGCGCGATCTCTGCTCACCACAACCTCCACCTCCCAGGTTCAAGGGATTCTCCTTCCTCACCCTCCTGAGTAGCTGGGATTACAGGCATGCACCACCACACCCGGCTAATTTTTGTATTTTTAGTAGAGATGGGGTTTCTCCATGTTGGTCAGGCTGGTCTCGAACTCCCAACCTCAGGTGATCTGCCCACCTCAGCCTCCCAAAGAGCTGGGATTACAGGCGTGAGTCACTGCATCTGGCCTCACACAGTCATTCTGAAGAGTGTAAGCCTAGCACAGGGCCTGGTATAGAGTAAGCACTCAAGAAACACAACTCCTTTCCTCCCTTCGACTCATCAAGAAAGCTGAGCCGAGGGAGCATCCACTTCCCCCAAGCCTCCCAGAACAGGGAATTTCCTCTGCGCATTTAACTTTGAGCAAGGGTATTGGGGTTTGACTCTCCAAAATGGGAAATGATCCACGGCAGTAACCTGGCCAAGCCCTGCTCAGTGGCCTGCCATGATCTGGTCCAGGCCCACGCTGTTGCCCTCCTGCCCACCGAACATTCAGGACTGGAGAGGAGGCTCACCCTGGAGCGGGCTAAGGAAGTGAGGTCATAGCCTGTGACAGCAATTTGGGAGTTGGGAGAGGCCTGCCAGCCCCTGCCAGTTCCTGGACCTTCACAGAGCAGTTGTTTCCTATGGTTCGGCTGGAATTTCAGGCAGGAATGTTGAGCAGACGGCAGTGGGGTAAGTGTAAATTCCAGAGGCTGAGGCAACATTTTGCAGAGGAGTTTTTTTTCCCTGCCAGCCTCTGGCCTCAAGCAAGCCCTTCCTGGGAGTGGGAGGAATTCGTTGGGCTTGGATCGCCTGGGATGCAGCTTCTCCTATGGTGAAGGGGAAATGATGGGTGCACTACTATGAGCCAGGCACTTTACATGGATGTAACCCTTATATGGTCAATGGGATTTAACCTGCAAACTGAAGTCAACATTATTTTCTTTTTCTGTCCTTTTCAGCTTGCTTGCTTTCTTCTTATCCCTAAATAAAATCTCAGGCAGGTCTTGTAGGTTTTCTGGGCCCCTTCAGTTTCCAAGACAGTCTTAACCTTGTTTTTGTTTTTTGTTTTTTTTGTTTTTGAGACAGGGTCTCACTCTGTTCCCCAGGCTGGAGTGCAGTGGTGCAGTCAGAGCTCACTGCAGCCTCCACCTTCTAAGCTCAAGTGATCCCCTGATGTCAGCCTCCCACTACAGGTGCATGCCACCATGCCTGACTATTTATTTATTTATTTATTTATTTATTTATGAGACAGAGTCTCATTCTGTCACCAGGCTGGAGTGCAGTGGCATGACCTCAGCTCACTACAACCTCCACCTCCCGAGTTCAAGCGATTCTCCTGCCTCAGCCTTCCGAGTAGCTGGGACTACAGGCACGCACCACCATGCCCAGCTAATTTTTGTATTTTTAGTAGAGACAGGGTTTCACCACATTGGCCAAGATAGTCTCGATCTCTTGACCTCATGATCCACCTGCCTCGGCCTCCCAAAGTGCTGGGATTACAGGCATGAGCCACCACGCCCGGCCAATTTTTTGTATTTTTTATAGAGACAAAGTCTCACCATGTTGCCCAGGCTGGTCTTGAACTTAAGTGATCCACCTGCCTCAGCCTCCCAAAGTATTGGGATTACAGGTGCGGGCCATGGCACCAGGCACAGTCTCACTTTGGTAAACGGGAACATCTGGGTTGTTTTATATCACAACTCACAACTCCAAGGTGATTTCTCCCTCCCCACATAAGGAACGGTGCTGAATGTAGTGTTTGCCCTGAACTTTGTAATTTTCATTCCCATACATATCTTTTCATTTTGTAAGTTTTTAATCAAAGTATCACTTGCATTAGGTGCACAAATCTTAAATGTACAACTTGATGGATTTTACCAATGAATATGTCTGTCTGTGCAACCACCACTTGGATCAAGCTAGGAAACATGTCCAGAACTCCAGAAAGCTTCCTCAGGAAGTACCAGTTCAGTGTACCACTGGTCTGACCTCTACCACACGGATGAGTTTCGCCAGCTTTTGGCCTTCCTAAGTGTGAAATCATACACATGATTCTCTTTTGTGTCTGGCTTATTTCACCTGTAAGAGTCACCCTGTTGTTTTGCACAGCAGTAGTTCATTTGTTGTTACTGCTGTGTAGAATTCTTGTGTGACTATACCATAATTTATCCATCCTACTAATGATGGACATTTGTGTTATTTCCAGTTTAAGGTTATTATGAATATATAAGCATTCTTATACATGTCTTTTGATGGACTTAATGGCTTATTTCTCCTGGGTATGTAACTAGGAGTAGAATTTGGGAGGATGTTTACATGTGTTCAATAGTGAATGCTGTCAAACCGTTGTCCAAAGTGGTTGCACCAATTTACTTTCCCACCAGCAATGGATGAGAGCTCTGATTAATCCGCATCCTTGACAGTACTGGTGTTGTTAATCTTTTAAATTTTAGCCATCCTAATGGGTATGTGGTGTATGGCATTATGTTTTAATTTGCATTTTCCAGGTAATTAGTAAGGATGAACACCCTTTTATATGCTTAGCAGCCTTTGAATATTCTCTTTTATAAAGAGCTGTTCAAGTTTCATTTTTAAAAAATTGACCTCCTTTCCTTTTCATATTGATCTACAGTTCATTGTGTAACTTGGAGGAGTTCCTTCAATATATATTGCAAATCTCGTTTCCTATTTTTTGTATTCCTTTTCAGTATTTCTTCAATGTCTCTTTTCATGAACAGTTCTTAATTTTTTTTTTTTTTTTTTTTTTTGAGACAGAGTCTCACTGCCTCCCAGGCTGGAGTGCAGTGGCGCAATCTCGGCTCATTGCAACCTCCACCTCCTGGGTTCAAGCGATTCTCCTGTCTCAGCCTTCTGAGTTGCTGGGCCTACAGGTGCACCCCACCACGGCCAGCTAATTTTTGTATTTTTAGTAGAGACTAGAGACTGAGTTTCACCATACTGGTCAGGCTAGTCTCAAACTCCTGACCTCAGGTGATCCCCCCCGCCTTGGCCCCCCAAAGTGCTGGGATTACAGGCGTGAGCCACTGCACCCGGCCACAGTTCTTAATTTTAATGAAAATCGAATGTATCAGTTCTTTATGGTTAATGCTTTGTGCCCTATTTAAGAAATCTTTGCCTATCCCAAAGTCATAAAGATATTCTCCTATGTTTTCTTCTAGAAGCTTTATTTCCCATGCACATCTTCATACTCTAACTATGTGTATATGTATCACTAAGTATATATAATTTTTTTAGTTTTAGATTCGATACAATGTAGCACATATTCTGCAACTTATTCTTTGCACTCAGTAGTGTATTTGAGAGCTTAATCTTTGTTGATACATGTAGCTCACATTCATTCACTTTCACTGTAGCAAAGTTAATTACACTGTGTACATAGATCATGATGTATTTACCCTTTTTCTTGCTGATGGACATTTAGGTTGTTTCCAATGATCATCACCATAAGTAATGCTTCTATGAACATGCATGCACGTGCCTCCTGGTGTGAGAGTGTCTCTGGGATACATGCTTCACAGACCAGGAGGCTGTGATTTGGAAGCTGTAGAAACTCTGCACTTGGAGGGGGTGCCTCTGGGGCTGTTGAGGAGTAGGACTGGTGAGATAGACCAGTGAGTGGGTGGAGTGGGGGTGCTACATAGTCCTGGCTCTGGGCCCAGACCCCTGTTTCATCCAGAGCAGATTTGCTTTCATGCTTTATAACCTGGGGTTCTGTTTAACTCTTTGTTTGAAAAATCAGTTCTGCTTTAAAAAAAATAGATTTCTTTTAAACAAGTGACTGTGTTAAGACATTGTTCCCAAAGGGTTATAGGTTAAAAAAAAAAAAAAAAAGGAGTCTAGGTTTGGTGGCTCATACCTGTAATCCCAGCACTTTGGGAGGCCGAGGCAGGCAGATTGCTTGAGCTCAGGAGTTCAAGACCAGCTTGGTCAACATGACGAAACCCCACCTCTACAAAAAATACAAAAAATTAGCTGGGCATGGTGGTGCGCACCTGTAGTCCCAGTTACTTGGGAGGCTGAGATGGGAGGATTGCTTGAGCCTGGGAGGTGGAGACTACAATGAGCCATGATTGTGCCACTGTACTCAGCCTGGGTGACTGGGTGACAATGCAGGACCTTGTTTCAAAATTTAAAAAGGATGAGCCCTTCAGCCTTCAGCCTAAAAGTCTGCTCACCACTATCACTCTACATTGTGAATTAACCCTTCACGTGCAGCCCTCCCTCTTCTCATCCCCAGCTAGACGGCTTATTGGTGTATCCTCAACTGTCCAGCTAATAGGCTTGTTGATACGTTGATTCACTGATGAATGACCCTTTGAATAACTTGGCAGCATCATCTCATATTTGTACATTGTACAGTTCACAAAACAGGTTCATAGCTATCCTTTGCTTCAAAACTGCCAACACAGAGCCTCAAGGATTATGTGGTGGAAGAATCACTATCCTCACTTCACAGAGGTGATCCTAGGTCTCGGGGAGATGAGGAGGCTTGAGGTCTTGTGACTGGGTGCTGGCAGATTGGAACTTGGACCCAGGCCTTTGAATCCCGGCATTGTGCCAACTCCACTGTTGAGTGTGGCCTGAAAACACGGCCTTAATCCAGCCGTTAATTAATAACTAACTTGTGTGTTGGCCTCTGCAGTTTACAAAGTCTCTCCCTTAGGTCATTTCTTTTAATCTCCACAATCCTTTGGTGGCTGGATGTTGTTATTATTTTCCCCCAACCTGTCCCTTTGCAAAGAGGGGAAACTAGTGCTCAGAGGGTTGAAGTGTCTTACCCAAGGGCACACAACTATGGCTACAGAGCTACACTCAATACCCAGCTTCCAGCTTCCCTGTCCTCTGTTCCCCATCCTCTGTTCCATCCCTCACTTTTCTTCCCATGGGCAGGCCCTGGAGATGTCTGAGCATGTGGGCTTTTCAGCCACCCTCCAGCAGCCTGAAGGCCTGGCTCTCCTGGGCAGGCCCAGGAAACGCCTGGCTCAGTGGTGCTGAGCAGCCCCTCCCATGAGGCCTCGAGTTGTTTTTCTTATCTAAATAAACTCTACACAAACATGGGCACATTACTCATGTGTGAGTTATTTGCGATAGCATAGCCCAGAGATGGGGAAATCAGTTCACACTGGAACTATGTCTCAACCTGGTCAAAAAACAAATGGGGAAATGGAGTTCTAGGCCCAGGGCAGCAAAACTCAAACCCACACCCCATCTCAAGCCCAGGGAAAACTTCTGCCCCTGGTCACATGCTCTGTGGACCCCACTGGAGGGAAGACAGAACCCACCTGTGCCTAGGGAAGGACATGAGGGAGCTCCAAGGGGTGGGCTCTCGCTTCCAAGGCCAGCCTCTCTTCCCACAGGCCATCTTGAGGAAAGACAGAGACACACCCGCAGAGCAGGAGATCTCTGCTTTATCCTCTAAGCATTTTGCAAAATGAGTGCTGGAATCCATACCTGGTCCTTCTCCCCACATGTAATTAGATTCCTTCAACTTTTGGACTTGGATCTTTCACCAGAAGGCCTTGAGATCAGGGGAGGGGCTTAAGGAGCTGCTATATAAATGAAGACGTGTAACTTAGCTCAGTGCCTGGCAGGGACCGGCTGCTTTCATTACGGTTGAGGGGCAGTTGTTTGTGTGTGTGATGGGAAAGAGAGATGATGCTAAAAGCTGTTTATCTTGGCCCACCATCACATACCTTCCCAAAGGCTTACACACCCACTCTCTCAGGCATGTTTATTACCTCATCATTTAGGTGAGGGCCTCTCAGAGAAGTTCTATGATGTGCTGGAGGTACCCACGGGATGTCAGTCATAAACCATGGAATGTGGGTTTTGTGTTTGCAAAGGGCTCTTGGACACAGGATCTCAAAGGAATTCTTGACAGAGCTAGAAAAAGAGCCTTAGCCCCCTGACCCCTAGATCAGCAGATTTTGCTTCCAGAAAATGTTTCTAGGATGCCCAGCTCTCTGGATATGACTCATATTGGTCCCAAGGAATGACAGCCCTGCACATGGCTTCTGCCCCAGGGCTCTGGAACTGTGCTGCCTGGCCCCTGTGGTCACAGGGATTCCTTGCTCCTCTTTACCAGCTTCAGACCAAGGGACTCGAGCTTGGAGAGGCTGTGGTTACTGTGCTGCGTGGGTCTTGTCCTGGAGACCTTGTGTGATTCATCTTCGTGTTCCCACAGGGACTGTCACTAAGACAGGGCTGGGTTAAGACCCTTAGATATCCTGAAAGATCAGTCCTCCCTCATATGAAATTCAAAGAAAAACAATTCTAAATCTGAAAAAAATGCCACCCATCCATGTGGGCTGAGCTCAAAATAGCTTCCTTCTAGAGATTTTGATTGCAAAATCCTGGATGAATGCAATAAAGCTGAACTTTTTTCCTTGGCCTAGGAGTGGGGCAAGGAAGGGAGGGGTTTTGCCATTGGTCTAAGCACCTACTTGCTCTGCTTCCTGAGTCACCCAGATTGCCAAGGGGGTCTTGTACGTGGTAGATGTCAGCCCACGTCTTCTAAATTGAATGACGTGTGCCTGTTTCCCAGAAGAGGAATAAATCCAAGCAATAATGTGTCAAAGTATGGGCACAGAGTCTGAGCCAGCAAACACACACACACACACCCATGTGCACCCGTGCACACACAAACACAAGCCCATGCAGGTACACAGAGGGGAAGGGGAGCGGGGGGAGGGGGGAGGAGGGAGGAGGAAGATAATGTGTGGGGACCCAGCAACCTTTCTCAGTTCCAGTTTAAATGAACAGCAAAATAAAAACATGTTGTTCTCTCTCATAATTAATAGATGTGCTTGGAGTTTCACCTCTTGCCAGGCCCCTCCCCTGGTGCTAACTGACCCTTTATGGACAAGGTTTCCACAGAAGTATCAGCTACTAACCCTGAACCACGTGGCTGGAAGGCTGGGCCTGGAACCTTTAACTTCACGGAAGATGCACCTCCACAAAGGGTTTTTAGAATTTCCTGTTGCAGCCCCAAGAAGAGGAATGCATTTCTACCTAAAACGGGCTTAGATCTGCTTAAAAAAATAACAACAACGGTAAAAATACACTTAATGAATGTGTAACAAACCACAAAAACCACAGAAAGTGGGGTTTGAGTTTGAGGGGGAGTGCATAATTGTGTGTATTTTAGACATTAAATTAAGGTAACATGGCCTCATTTGGAAAAATCTGAGGGGAGGAAGGAAAGCACCATGAAAATGTGAGTTCCATGCTGGCTGGGAGTTCAACTCTACGGTACCCAGTGAAGCGTCAAGGGTGGAGAGTGTTCCTTTGTCAGTGTGTGTGTACATTTGTTTTTCATTCATTCATTCAAATATTTACTGAGAGACTACTTTGTGCCAGGCACTGTCCTGGACACTTGACAACAGAGCCATTAATTAGATATACAAGTTCCCACTCTGGCTACTCACGTCATTGGGAACAGAAATGATATTTTCTGGCTCTTGTATTAAACTAACTGCATGCTACTCAAGGGCAGCAGGCCAGGCTCTTCTCTTGTGGCATTTCTTCTACAAAGCACCCTGAAGTGTGTGCCCACAATGGATGCTCAGGCAATAGGCCCAATGTGTGCCCTGATGCCCTGGTAGGCACTAGACTTCCTTTTCTTCTATCACCTCCTCTCCTGCTCTTATCTCCTAGGCCTCCTGGGTGGCCTTGGCAGAATAAGGCCCTGAGAGTTTAGCAGTTGATTAAAGCTGGCAAGAACTTGAGGTGTTACTCTCTCATGGTCATTTGCATCTAGTTATGGGAATTAGGTCAGAGCTAGGAGAGTCTCAAAGGCAAAAAGCTTTCAGCTAGAAGAATGACAGCTCCATGGCAGGGTGGAAAGAAGAATTCCAAGGCAGAGAAGAACCCAGAGAAGAACTAAGTAGCAGTGTCTGCAGTGGGTAATGAAAGGAGGGCACTGAGTCATGTATTTGCAGCTTGCAATGCCAGTCGGCTCCCTTCATCTTACAGATGAGGAAGCCAAAACTAGGAGTGTAAACAGCTTGCAAGCTGGGAGCAGGTCCATTGCTAGGACCAGGCCCTCCAGACCCCTGGGCACTCCAGTTGGTCCATTAATCAGGTCCTTAACTAGGCTTCAAGAACTTCAGATAGGGCCAGGTGCAGTGGCTCACGCCTGTAATCCCAGCACTTTGGGAAGCCGAGGCAGGTGGATCACCTGAGGTCAGGAGCTCGAGACCAGCCTGGCCAACATGGTGAAACCCCATCTCTACTAAAAATAAAAAAATTGGCCAGGCTCGGTGGCTCACACCTGCAATCCCAGCACTTTGAAAGGCTGAGGCGGGTGGATCACAAGGTCGGGAGTTTGAGACCAGCCTGGCCGGCATGATGAAACCCCGTCTCTACTAAAAACACAAAAAAATTAGCTGGGCATGGTGGTGCGTGCCTGTAGTCCCAGCTACTCGGGAGGCTAAGGCAGGCGAATTGCTTGAACCTGGGAGGTGGTGGTTGCAGTGCGCTAAGATTGCACTAAAAAAGAACTTCAGATAGTTTTCAGGCAAAGAGACTCTTTCCCCAGGTTGCAGCCATCCTCTTCATCTGTAAGTGAAGTCAGCTCTGATAAAGGGCTGTGTATCATCCTGTACTATGTGCCTATGTTTCTTCTGGTCCCTGTCATTTCCTAGTAATTATTTGAAGGCAGTGAAATATAGTGCAACTAAAACTGAAAAGAAACCATACAAGAAACAGCAGGATTGTGATCCAAGTCACCTAAATTTTAGCAGTTGGCACCTCAAACCAATCTTCACTTATATCTTTCCATGTGTACACTACAGATTAGACCTAGGACATCACCTAACCTAGTGGCAGGATGAACACGGGACTGAGAGTCTGCAATGTAAGTCCAGAGGCTGTGTGTCAGTTATGAGACCTTTGGGCAAGTCACTTCATCTTTCTAGGCCTCAGTTTCTTTTTCTCTTTCTTTCTTTCTTTCTTTCTTTGTTTCTTTCTCTTTTTCTTTCTTTTTTTTTTTTTTTGAGACGGAGTCTCTCTGTCTCCCAGGCTGGAGTGCAGTGGCACAATCTCGGCTCACTGCAAGCTCTGCCTCCCGGGTTCACGCCATTCTCCTGCCTCAGCCTCCCCAGTAGCTGGGACTACAGGCGCCCGCCACCAAGCCTGGCTAATTTTTTGTATTTTTAGTGGAGATGGGGTTTCACCATGTTAGCCAGGATGGTCTCGATCTCCTGACCTCGTGATCCGCCCGCTTCGGCCTCCCAAAGTGCTGGGATTACAGGCATGAGCCACCACGCCCAGCCGTCTTTCTTTCTTTCTTTTTTGGAGTCTGGCTCTGTTGCTCAGGCTGGAGTGCAGTGGCATGATCTCAGCCCACCTCCCGGGTTCAAGTGATTCTGCTGCCTCATCCTCAGTAGCTGGGATTACAGGTGCCCACCACCACACTCGGCTAATTTTTGTATTTTTACTAAAGACAGAGTTTCACCATGTTGGCCAGGCTGGTCTTGAACTCCTGACCTCAAGCGATCTGCCCTCCTGGGCCTCCCAAAGTCCTGGGATTACAGGTGTGAGCCACCATGCCTGGCCCTCAGTTTCTTGATGATTAGTCAATTCATCTGCCAAACATTGGTTCATCATCTTTGATGTACTTAGGTACAGGCGCTGAGGGGAAAAAAAAGGCAAGACAAGGTCCTTGACCTTAAGGGGCTTAAAATCTAGTGTGATGGATCAGTTCAGTAAACAAATAAATGCACTGACGGGTATAGGTATTAGTTGGAATAGAAGTCTGAACAGGGCAGAGTGGGGCTCAGTCCCTCCCTGGGAGTCAGAGAGGAAAAGGCTTCAGGAAGTGGGTGATGCTCAAACTAGTCTTGAGCAGAGGAGGAAGTGTTCATCTGGCTGAAGAGGTGGGATGTGAGGACTGAAGGGATGGACAGACCCCAGAAGGCAAGATAGGAGGGGCCTAAGCAAAGGTACAATGGATGAAAGACTCGGGAGTATTTGTGATTTGCCTGGAGAGAAGATGTGATGTGGGGCATAACAAGAGGGATGAGGCCAGAGGTAGGGCAGGTCGCATCACCCAGTGCCTTCTATTCCATATGAAGGACTAGGGCTCTAGTCTCTGAATCTGTGCTGTCCACCAAGGTAGCCATTAGCCACATGTGGCTACAGAGCACCTAAAACGTGGTCAGGCCAGTTTGAGATGTACACGTGAAATACACAATGGATTGCAAAGACTTCATATGAAAAATAATATAAAACAGAGATAATTTTATATTGATTACATGTGGAAATGATAACGTACTAGATAAACTGAGTTAAATAAATATATTATTGCCGGGCACAGTGTCTCACGCCTGTAATCCCAGCACTTTGGGAGGCTGAGGTGGGTGGATCATGAGGTCAGGAGTTTGAGACCAGCCTGACCAAGATGGTGAAACCCCGTCTCTACTAAAAATACAAAAATTAGCCAGGCGCAGTGGCAGGCGCCTGTAATCCCAGCTACTCTGGAGGCTGAGGCAGGAGAACTGCTTGAACCCGGGAGGTGGAGGTTGCCTTGAGCCGAGATCACGCCACTGCACTGTAGCCTGGGCAACAGAGCAAGACTTCGTCTCAAAAAAAAAAAAAAAAAAATATATATATATATATATATATATATATATATATATATATATATATATACATGTAATTAAAATTAACTTCACCTTGTTTTTTCTTTTTTAAATGTGGTCTCAAAAAATTTTTAAATTACATACATCACCCCTATTATATTTCTATTAGACAGCACTGCTGTAAATAATGGCAAATCGCTAAAAGCATACTTTATTTTAAAGCAAGAGAGATGCAAATTCGACTTGTGCTTTAGAATGCTCACTCTGGCAGCAAGTAGAGAATGGAGACAATTAGAAAATTATTGTAACAATTGGTAGCAAGCAGTGATGGGGGCCTGAATTAAGATGAAGGCTGGGTGTTGGGGCGGTGGATTCCATGGTGCTTGAGGTGTGAGAAAGGTGGAGTCCCCAGGCTGCTGGCTTCTGTGACTGTAAATTATGGTGGAGTCCCTAGAGGAGGGAAGGTGGAGGAGGAGGTTCATGGAGAAAGATGACAAACTCAGTTCCGAACCAACTTTGAGTTGACTGTGGGCCACCAAACGGGAGGTCCAGGTGATTTGGTCTGATGTCTGAGCCTGTGGCTCTTGAGAGGAGTCTGGGCCGGATACTTGGATATGGGAGTCAGTTTATAAGGTTAGGTGAGACTCAAGGATGAGTGAGATCACTCAGGGAGAGGACAGAAAAGAAAAGAGGCAAGTACTTGGCTCTGAGGAACACCAATACCTACAGGAGGGCAGGTGAAGAGGTCTGAAAAATAGAGCCTTCTACTTCCTGACAACAATGACATCCTATGATCCCTCACCTTAGGGCAGGTAACTCTCTGCTTCGTGCTGGGAGGTCCTTCAGTGGAGCCTGGTTTTCATTTGTTGATTTCAGAAAAACGACAAAAAAGTCACAGCTAAAGCTGAAGCTTTCCGGTCCCCTTGAATGCAGCTATTGATGATGAAGTGAGGCAGTGAGAAAATAATCTGCCCCAGGTGCAATGTCACTTTTTAAAGCTGATGTGGCAAGACTAAGCTGGGGCAATCACTTTTCAGAGGGCCATTTGGTAATGGCATAAAAAGTAGAATTCTCCTTCTAGGGAATTATTCTTAAAAAAGTAATCAGGGATGTACACAAACGTGTATACACAAGAATGTTTAAAACAGCACTTTTAATAATACCAAATAAAATTGGAAAAAACCTCACTGTCCAAGTGTGGGAAACTGATTTAATAAGTTATGGTAGGCTGGATGCAGTGGCTCATGCCTCTAATCTTAGCACTTTGGGAGGCCAAGGTAGGCAGATTGCTTGAGCCCAGGAGTTGGAGACCAGACTGGGCAACAGGGCAAAACCCTGTCATAAGTTAAAAATATAAAAGATTAGCTGGGTGTGGTGGTGCATGCCTGTAGTCCCAGTTACTTGGGAGGCTGAAATGGGAGGATCACCTGAGCCCAGGGAATTCAAGGCTGCAGTGAGCTGAGATTGCACTACTGCACTTCAGCCTGGGCAACAGGAGTGAGACTCTGTCTCAAAAAAAAAAAAAAAATTATGGGAGATCCATGTGACAAAAAGCTCTACAGACTTTCAAAACAATGTAGGAAATACGTATGTATTGACATAGAAAGATATTCACAATATGTTAAAAGAAAATGCAGGTGAGTGCAATATGATTATTTCTAGTTAGTGGCTGTTTTTTGTCTTCATTGTGGTTAAGAGCAAGGACTTAGGTGTAGCAGGCTGCCTGGATTGACTGGGCACAGCCACTCCCTGGTCTGACCTTACCATGCTCAGTGCCCTCTTCTGAAAAGGGCATGATAATAACAAGAACCACAAGCAGTCGTGAAAACCAAACAAGTGAATCTAATCCATAGAAGTGTTGAAAATAGGGCCTAGCACTTGTAAGACTTCAATAGGTGCTAACCTTCATTATTTTTTAAAATGTCATTAGTGAGATATAATTTACATACCATGCACTTCAACCATGTCAATCAGTGGCAGGAAGTTCTCATGGGCTGCAGATGCTGGGCTGTAAGTAAGGTGCAGACTATTCCAGATGCGATGTTATTTTACGAGGTCAGGATTCCACTCTTTCTCCTGTCACACACCCAGGGCCTGACTACACTGAAGCACTAACAGGCCCTCTCTGAAGGCCAGTAACACGTTCACGCCTGACCCGAAAGTGCAAATCACCATTGTCTCCTTCTGTGCCACTCTACAACCCATGTTTCACACACTGGAGACACCTGACACTGCTTTTGCCCTACACATTTTTTTCTTCTCTCTCTTTTTTTTTTTTTTTCAGATGAAGTCTTGCTCTGTCACCAGGCTGGAGTGCAGTGGTGTGATCTCATCTCAATGCAACCTCTGCCTCCCGGGTTCAAGGGATTCTCCTGCCTCAGCCTCCCAAGTAGCTGGGACTACAGGCACCCACCACCACACCCAGCAAATTTTTGTATTTTTAGTAGAGACAGGGTTTCACCATGTTGGCCAGGGTGGTCTCGATCTCCTGACTTTGTGATCTGCCTGCCTCAGCCTCCCAAAGTGCTGGGATTACAGGTGTGAGCCATCGTGCCTGACCTCCTTCTCTTTTTAAAATCTGTTTTTTCACTGAGTTATAACTTTTATACAGTATACCCTATTTCCTTTTAAAATTTATTTTTTTTAAAGTGTGGCCCAATATACATAATAAAATTTACCATGTTAACCATTATGAAGTATACAGTACAGTGACATTATGTATATTCATCCTTGTTCTGCTCTCATCACACCATCCACCTCTGGAACTCTTTTCGTCTTGCAGAAGTTCTGTACGCATTAAATACTAACTCTCATCGCCTCTTACCCAACCCTCTGGAAACCACCATTCTACTTTTTGTCTCTATGAATTTGTTTATTTATTCATTTATTTTGAGATGGAGTCTCGCTCTGTCTCCCAGGCTGGAGTGCAGTGGTGTGATCTCCACTCACTGCAGCCTCCACCTCCAGGGTTCAAGCTATCCTTCCGAGTAGTAGCTGGGATTACAGGCATGCACTACTACACCCGGCTAATTTTTGTATTGTTAATAGAGACGGGGTTTCTCCATGTTGGCCAGGTTGATCTCAAACTCCCAACCTCAGGTGATCCTCCCGCCTTGGCCTCCCAAAGTGCTATAATCCAAAGGGATTATAGGCATGAGCCAGCACGCCTAGCCTGTATTTGACTACTCTACATATCTCATATAAGTGGATTCATAGAACATTTGCTCTTTTGTGACTGATTTATTTCACTTAACATGGTCTCAAAGTTCATTCACACTGTAGTATGTGTAAGAATTTCAACCCTTTTGCTGGGCGCGGTGGCTCACGCCTGTAATCCCAGCATTTTGGGAGGCCGAGGCGGGTGGATCACGAGGTCAGGAGATCGAGACCACGGTGAAACCCCGTCTCTACTAAAAATATAAAAAATTAGCCGGGCGCAGTGGCGGGTGCCTGTAGTCCCAGCTACTCCGTGGGCTGAGGCAGGAGAATGGCGTGAACCCGGGAGGCGGCGCTTGCAGTGAGCCGAGATTGCGCCACTGCACTCCAGCCTGGGCGACACAGCAAGACTCCGTCACAAAAAAAAAAAAAAGAATTTCAACCCTTTTGAAGGCTGAACAATCCTCTATTGTATGTCTATATCATATTTTGCTTCTCCATCTGTTGACAGATGCTTGGGTTGCTCCCGCCTTGTGGCTACTATGAATAATGCTGCTATGAACAGGGGCATACAAATATCTGTTTAAGCCCCTGCTTTTAGTTCCTTTGGGTATATGCCTCTGTTGATTTTATTTATTTAATTTTTTGAGATGGAGTTTCGTTCTTGTTGCCCAGGCTGGAGTACAGTGGTGCTATCTCAGCTTACTGAAACCTCTGCCTCCCGGGTTCAAGCAATTCTCCTGCCTCAGCCTCCTGAGTAGCTGGTATTACAGACATGCACCACCACGCCCGGCTAATTTTGTATTTTTAGTAGAGGCAGGGGTTTCACCATGTTGGTCAGGCTGGTCTCAAACTCCTGACATCAGGTGATCCACCTGCCTTGGCCTCCCAAAGTGCTGGAATTACAGGAGTAAGCCACTGTGCCGGACCTCTATACCTCTGTTGTTTTTAATGTAAAAATAACATGCCTCTATTATTTTTAATGTAAAAAAATAAAAATAATTTAAGGTCATACACTCTCACTGCATTTGTAGAACTCTATTTTCATTTCAATGCATCCTCTCTGGTGGCTGTTCATATGCAGGTATTTTTAAAAGTAAATGCTACTATAATGGACCAACAATTTTCCAACTACTCTTTTTTATGTCCACATTGCTAACAGAACCATAGACCATGGGCCTGAGCCAAGACTGATTTGTGACTTTATTATCTTGGAAAATAGGAAACGGAAAACACAGTGACCTCTATAAACATATATACGTACATACAAGATGTACGCAAGGACAAAAACATATGAATTCAGAGAGGAAACTCACACAACATGTACCCGTTTCACTTAAATAACTGGGGCTGGACTTTGAAAGAATGAGATGTGAACAAGACCTCAGAGGCACAGGCAGAGACATCTTACATGCACACACATGTGAATCTCCACAACACCCCTGTATGCATAGAGAGTGCAACACACCAGGACACACATAAATGGTAAAAAATAAACTCATACACACACAACCTCACACTTACCAGGATCTTCTCCTTGCCCCCAACTCCCAGACCGGCAATTTCTGAAGGCTGGGAAGGAGATCCTGCAAGAGAACTGAAAATAGCTCTGTGAACCCTGCCCTGGGCTCCAAGTGCCCGCCCACAGCCCTGTCCCATGCTCCCAGCTCAGCCTTGGCCCCATGCCTCGGTCTGCACACAGCCCCAAGTCCAACCCCCTGCCCCAAATCTTTCTGAGTCAGACCTGCTCTCTCTCAATACTTTCCTTGGACAGTACCTGTATCCAGCTCCTTCTGTCATAGTCATTCTCCCAAGGACACTCTGTAATCCACGCCAGAAATTCTGCTGTGGGCTTTGGGGACATAGGGACCCACGCTGGGCTAGCAGTAAGGGGCTGGTATTCCACGGCCAGTCAAGCTTGGGCCAACAACAGCTGAACTGCCTGCCTCTCTGGTCCCTCCTCCATAAAGCAGCAATGCAACAATCATCTTGTAGACACTGAGAACTTTAAACATGACCACATCCTTGAAGTCCCAAGCCCAGTCCTGGCATAGGGCAGCCCCACAAATGGTGTTAATCTCCTGCCCTCTGTTCCCTAAGCTGTCAGATAGGGCAACGCCTAAGCCTGCATGTTTTAGGGGTTGCTGTGAGACAGGAATTTTTAATAATTTTGACTAAGTTCTCCACATGTAAGATATCATGACCACCGAACTGAACAGTGCTGGAAGCCAAAGGTTCTATCTTTCGAACAAACTAGAGAGCAATTGGTCTATTGACTAATGTATGTTGAACACTACGTTAGAGCAGTAGGGTAAAGTTAGCCACACTCCTCAGTTACACACATCAGTCATACACACCTGAATGCACTTATTTATTTTCCCTCTTTAGCCTTATCCTCTATTCTCCCATACACCCACACTCAAACATCTATTCTACTCTGTTCAATATTTACCATTTTATTCCCACTTTATTTATTTATTTAGAGATGGAGTCTCGCTCTGTCACCAGGTTGGAGTGCAGCGGCGTGATCTCTGCTCACTGCAACCTCTGCCTCCTGGGTTCAAGTGACCCTCCTGCCTCAGACTCCCAAGTAGCTGGTATTACAGGCTCCTGCCATCGTGCCTGGCTAATTTTTGTATTTTTAGTAGAGACAAGGTTTCACCATGTTGGCCAGGATGGTTTCGAACTTCTGACCTCAGGTGATCTACCCGCCTTGGCCTCCCAAAGTGCTAGGATTACAGGCATGAGCTACCGCACCTGGCCTATTCCTACTCTTTTATTATGGTAAAATGTACATAACAAAATTGACTATTTTAACCATTTTAAGTGTACAGTTCCATGGCACTGACTGCATTCACATTGTTGTACAACCAACTCCACCATCCATCTCCAGAGTTTTTTCATCTTCTTCACCTGAAACTCCATATCCAGTAAACAATAATTCTCCATTCCCTCTCCCTTTGGCCCTTGGCAACCACTATCTCCTTCCTGTCTCTAAGAATTTAACTATGCTAGGTACTTCTGTAAGTGGAATCACACAATTTTTGTTCCTCTGTGGCTGGTTTATTTCACTTAGCATAATATTCTCAAGGTTCATCCACAATGTATCATGTGTCAGCATTTCCTTCCTTTTAAAGCTAAATAATATTCCATTGTATGGGCCAGGAACAGCGGCTCATGCCTGTAATCCCAGCACTTTGGGAGGCCGAGGCGGGCAGATCACCTGAGGTCAGGAGTTCAAGACCACCCTGGCCAACATGGTGAAACCCCATCTCTACTAAAAATACAAAATTAGCTGGGTGTGGTGGCACATACCTGTAATCCCAGCTACGAGGGAGGATGAGGCAGGAGAATCACTTGAACCTGGGAGGTGGAGGTTGCAGTGAGCCAAGATCGCGCCACTGCACTCCAGCCAGGGCAATAAGAGCGAAACTCTGTCTCTAAATAAATAAATAAATAAAATTTAAAAATTCCATTGTGTGACTACAATACATCTTGTTTTTCCACCCATCCATTGATGGACACTTGAGTTACTTCTACCTTTTGACTGTTGTGAATAAGGCTGCTACGGACATGGGTGTGGAAATACTCGTAGTCCCTGCTTTCAATTCTTTTGGGTATATCCCCAGAAACAGAATGACCGGATCATATGGTAATTCTGCTCAGTTTTTTGAGGAACTGCCATACATACACCACAGCATTTTCCTCAGAGGCAGCACTACTTCACATCTTCACCAGCAATGTGCAAGGATTCTAATTTCTTCACATCCTTTCCAACATGTTATTTTCTGTTTTTTAAAAGCGAATAGCTGGCCAGGCGCGGTGGCTCACGCCTGTAATCCCAGCACTTTGGGATGCCAAGGTGGGAGGAATCAGCTGAGATCAGGAGTTTGAGACCAGCCTGACCAACATGGATAAATCCCGTCTCTACTAAAAATACAAAATTAGCCAGGCGTGGGTGGCACATGCCTGTAATCTCAGCTACTCAGGCGGTTGAGGCAGGAGAATTGCTTGAACCCGGGAGGCGGAGGTTGCAGTGAGCCAAGATGGCACCATTGCACTCCAGCCTGGGCAACAAGAGCGAAACTCCATCTCAAAAACAAAGAAAAAAAGATAATAGCCATCCTAATGGATGTGAAGTGGTTCAATGTATATCTTTTTATTTGTATAACTTCTTTCAAAATGTATATAATTATTTTGTGTATATGTAATTTGTTTTACATAGTAGCATTATGCTATTCCTTTCCCTCTGTGTCTTACTATTTTCTGTTGGAACTGTGTTTAAAATCTATACATTTGTTTTATGTACATGGAATTCATTGCTTCTCACTTTTGCATAGCACTTTATAGTATGCATGAATCACATCCATGTATATTGAGAACCTACTATGTGCTTGTACCAAGCTTTCTATATGATTTAATCTGATTCCATACAGCAATCCTAAGAAGGTGTTGTAATTATCACATTTTATGGATGAGAAAACTGACACACACAGAGTTAAGGAACGTGCCCAGAGTCACACAGCCGGAAGTGGAAGAGGTAGAAGTTTAACCCAGGTCATTCTGGTGCCACAGAAGAGCTCACACGTGTAAGGTGTTACAAAGAGCTATAGGTAGAGATCTGACTGTAGACAGAGGCTCTCTCTTAGGTGAGGGCACTCTGATAAAAGTTCTAGTCCTGATTTGGCTACTTATCTTCACAGTGCAAATCACCTTCCCTTACAGACATCACTTTCTGTCTGTGTAAGATGAAGATGATTTTAATGCTTTTTCTAGATTCACTACTTGTTGATTAAATACCCTTAAGCTAATGGGAAAATAATCAGAATTGAAGTCAGGTGTTTGTTTCTTTCGTGTATTTGGAGTGGCTGGCCTACCTGGGAGCCACTCCAAATACACGAAAACCCTCTGATGTGTCTATTCACGAGGTGAACTGTTCATAGGATGGACTATTCCCAGGGAAACAGTTGCTGTCTCCACTTCCATCCCACCTCTCCTGAACTTTGCACTTACCATGGTGAAAAATTAACTGGGCTAATGTTTCCCTCCCAAGGACAACCTCTGCAAAAGCAGGTATGGCTGGGCCCCAAAAGACCAGGTGCCAGAACAGAGTTGTACCCATCCAGAGCAGCCCACCCATTCACTGCCCAAAGTCAAGATCAAGAGAACATGCAGGGTCTTCTCAGCACTGGAAGAATCAGTTCCTCAGCCCTCCTCAGAGCTTTCTGAAACTGGACTTAGTCCCCCAGTGGAGGGACTTCTCTTGGAGAAACAGGCCTGAGGAGAAAGAACTAGCCCAGAAATGGCACTTATTAGACTTGTAGGTGGGTCCAGCACTATTTTTCTGCATGCACAGCTGTTCTTGTCACACGGATGCCAGCAGGGAAGCATGGTTCTGCCACACTAACTAGCTGGCTGCCTAGTTATTTCCTCCCCTCAGGAAAATGAGAGGGCTGAATGAGGGCCCCTTCCCATACCATGATTTTACAGGGTGAAGTACCTGTCAGGTCCTTCTACTACATGTAATCCTCAAATCTCTCTGACGCTCTTCCTCTACAGTGCAAATCACTCTCCTTCAGCAGACATTGCTCTCTCTGTAACATAAAGGACTTGAACTACAGGAGGACAGTTACAATGCTCTTTCTGGATCCACCACTCTGCACAGTGAGAACCGCTTGCTCCATTCTTACAGCGGAGAGAACGGACGCTGCCCAAGGGGAAGAAGAGAAAGAGCCGGGATTGGAAGCCAGGCCAGTCACTGATGGATCCTGAGCCCCTCTTACTTTCTTTGGCTACCTCTCAATGGTTGGACTTGTTCAGGTTAAGATTAACACTTTACTGGACGATGATGACTGCAAGGCCCCTGCCCATCTTTGCCCACTCAGTCACATCATCCTCATCCCCACCCTTTGATGCTTCTCTAGGCTGTGAACGCCTTGAAAACCTTAGTCTTTTATTTTGGAAGTTCAGGAACTGAATAGGAGGGCTGCAACTCAGAGCTGCTCCGTCAATGTGTGTTAAACTTATTTGACCTCCCTCCACCACTTTTCATGGCATTAGCAATGCAAACCTTTTCACATGAGCTTCCCACAGCCACCCTAGGAGATCGCGAGGGAAGCTACCTCTAGCCCCATTTTACAGGTGAGCAAATAATCCTTGCAGTGTTACAACAGTGTGCCCGTGTAGAGAACTGTTTTGCAAAGAGCTCGATCAATGATGTCATCTTTGCCTTCCGTGACCCAGGCAGCTGGGTGCAGTCTCAAGATCGGAGACTGAGGCTTCAACAAAGTATTGGGTTCAAATTCCAGCTCTGCCACTTGGAACCCTGAGTAAGTAATGTAATCTCTCTGTGCCTCCGTAAACGTGAGGCACAGGAACATCTACCTCACCAACCACTGTTAAGACTGAATCAAAGGGCAGCAGGCGGACTACCCGGAATGAAGAAAGCAATCAATAAATGTGGATTGTGTCATCCTTGTCTCTCTTGACGGACGGGAAGAGGAGAGTGAAACCTAAGACCACAGCGGCAGCGCGTTAACAGGAGGACCAGCAAGGAACGGAAGCCAGGTTGTCAAGCCTCAGTTGGCTTTCACGTATTCTCCTTTTCAGGCGGGTATTTAGGAAGAGAGGAGGGTGAGGAGCACAGCGCACTTCTGCAGCAGCAGCTGCGGATTGGCTTGTGGGAGGCGGTTCTCCGGAGCAAGGCAAGGGCCCCTGCCGCTTCTGGGCTGACTGTGGATTCCGCCACACCTCACAGGGCTTTGTAACTCCCCACCCACTTGAGGGTTCCAGATAACTTTTTTTTTTTAACAAAGCAGGGGTGGGGGTGGGAGATTCCTGCTGTTAAAAACAAACAAAGGGCTTAGACACCGGCTAGTCGGCTGCGGGAGGCAGCAAGAGAAAGGCCGAGGGGCCTGGAGTAGCTCCTGAAAACCGCCGAGGGCCCTGCGGGCAGACGCCCCTGAATTCTTTTGGTGGGGAGAAAAGCCGCGGAGCTCCCCAATGTGCCAATTGGTTTGTTGTTGTTTTGCTTTTTTTGAATACACAAACTCTCCGAAAACTCCTGTCTTGCCCCACTTTTTTGTGAGTTCATTGCTTTGGAAACAAAACTCTCTTCCATTTATTGGCAATTATCAAATTTCCGATCCTTCTCTATCAGGAGATCCAGCAACAAACACCCTGTTATGTAAATTTCTTTCAAAGATAAATTCGAAAGCCCCTCCATTCATTCCTTCAAGAACTCAACAGATGTCCTTGAGGCTCATTTTCTGCCGGGCACTCGGTTCACAAGGCTCAAGAGACCCCTGGCTCCAGCCATTGTCCAGGTTGTCACTGGTGTCCCCAGCTCTCCACTTCTGAGGACCCACTTCTCACCCCCTCCTCCTCCGCACACGTTCCCGAGGCTCTCGGCCGGTGTGATCTCACCGACTAGAGAATAAAAACAGCCCAGGGGCGCCGGCGCCGGCCAAGGGCCTTGACGGGGATCAGCAAGCGCGAGGCCAAGTGCGGGCCCCAACTTCCTGGGCCCGGGCCTTCCGCGCGCCCCCTCTCGGGCTCGGGTCCTCTCCAGGGTGCACTCGCGTCCGGACGACGCTTACTTGCTGCGAGTCCAACCCTCTCCGGCCCGCAACTCCAACCGAGCCGCCCGAGTGTGGACTCCGAGAGCGGACGCCACGGGCCGCGCTCAGCCCTCCCGCCCGAGGCCCCTCTCGCCGTGTTTCCCAGGACTTCCTCCCCGCGCCCGCCCGACTTCAGGTCGGGGCCGCGCAGGGTCCCGCGCGCTCCAGCCAGGACTGCCGCCGCCCGGGTCGCCCACGTGGGCGTGCTGGGCGCGGGGTGGTGGCCGGCCGGGCGCCCTCCCCGGAGCAGGGGGCGGGCAGGGCGCCCGCGGGAGGAGGTGGCGGGGCGCGGGGGAGGAGGCGGGGAGCCCCGGCGGCGAGGGGGCGGTGACAGCACTTGGAAAGGAGGCTGCACGCGGATTTGCATGAAACACAGACTGGGAGCGGGCGGGAGCGGGAGCGCGGCGCACGCCCCGGGCCGGCCCAGCCAGCGAGCGAGCGAGCGGCGAGCCGGGAGGAGGAGGGTGGCGGGGCGGTGAGGCCGCAGAGGCGGAGGGATCTGCGCATCAAAGCTAGCGAGGCGAGCGAAGTTTGGCCGGGGGTTGGACTTTCCTTCCCGGAGGCGGCACCCAAACAGCTACCCCGTGCGGAAACCCAAACTTCTGCTGCCACTTGGAGTCTCGCGGCCGCCGCCTCCGCCCCGCGTTCGGGGCCTTCCCGACCCTGCACTGCTGCCGTCCGCCCGCCCGGCCGCTCTTCTCTTCGCCGTGGGAGCCGCTCCGGGCGCAGGGCCGCGCGCCGAGCCCCGCAGGCTGCAGCGCCGCGGCCCGGCCCGGCGCCCCGGCAACTTCGCCGAGAGTTGAGGCGAAGTTTGGGCGACCGCGGCAGGCCCCGGCCGAGCTCCCCTCTGCGCCCCCGGCGTCCCGTCGAGCCCAGCCCCGCCGGGGGCGCTCCTCGCCGCCCGCGCGCCCTCCCCAGCCATGTCGTCCATCCTGCCTTTCACTCCCCCGATCGTGAAGCGCCTGCTGGGCTGGAAGAAGGGCGAGCAGAACGGGCAGGAGGAGAAATGGTGCGAGAAGGCGGTCAAGAGCCTGGTCAAGAAACTCAAGAAGACGGGGCAGCTGGACGAGCTGGAGAAGGCCATCACCACGCAGAACGTCAACACCAAGTGCATCACCATCCCCAGGTGGGGGCCCGCCCGGGGGGGACCCGGGGTCACGCCGGCCCAGCCCCCTGGCACTGCGGGGCCGACCCAGTGGGGCTGGAGATGGGAAGAGGGAGAGAGAGGGAGGGAGTGAGACTGTGTGGGTGCGTGTGTGTGAGAGTGGGAGAGCGCGGGCAGGAAGGGGGTGGGGGGACCCCAAACAAAACCATCTCTGATTTGCAAAGATCAGAGCCCGAGGCTTCCACGCGGCACTCTGGCTTCCACACCTCACATTCCCTTTCCACCTCCGGGAGGGGAGAGCGGGTTGCTGCGGGACTCGGCCGCCCCCACTCCGGGGAGCTGGGGCTGGAAGTTGAGGCCCGCTTTGTTCGGCTCCGCGGGCCGGAGCCCCTCCTCCGCCGCCGCCTCCCGCCCCCGCGGCCCGCGCTCGTGGAGGTGGTGGTGTCTTTGCGTTTCTTTTCTTCAGTCGGGTCTCCCCACTTTCCTCTACAGGAATGCGGTCCGTACAGCTGGGGCTGTGGGTGAGGAGCGGGAGCCTAGTGATTGACAGATTCCTTCTTCGTTCTTTCTTTGCCTTCGGGATTAGCATTTTTATCGAGTATTTTTAGACTCGGTTGTGCCAGTCTCCCGCCCCCTGAGCATGCACGCACTTTGGTTGCAGTGCAATGCTCTGACTTCCAAATGGGAGAGACAAGTGGCGGAAAATAGGGTCTTCTCCCACCTCCCACCCCCCCATCCCGACTCTTTTGCCCTTCTTTTGGTCCAAGAGATTTTGAAACCGTGCAGAACGAGGGAGAGGGGCAGGCTGCAGCCGGGCAGATAACAAAACACACCCCAAAGTGGGCCTCGCATCGGCCCTCGCATTCCTGTAGAGCCTTCCTTCCCAAAGCGCGCTGCCATCTGTCTGGATCTCCTTTATCCTTCCCGTTGCGCGCTAGCTAGGTCGGGCGGGAGCCCACAGATGGCTGATAGAAGGGGTCAGTGACTTCACTCCCCCAGGGCCTTCCTTAGCTTAGATGTGCCTGGCTGGGAACTGGGGGTGCGGGTACCTTGGCTTCCTGTCTCTACCTCTCAGCCTCCTTTGATGCTGAACCAAGGGAGAGAGCGTGTGTGTTGGGGGCTGGCTCTTTTGGGGGTCCCAGGCTGCCGAGGAATGAGTAGAAAGCACCAGGGACTGTCAGCCGCAAAGGGATTGTCATCCCTGCTCCTGGGCCAGGGTGGACTCCATCCTTGGCCACCTGCTTGGGGCAGTTGTACAGGGGCTGCCAGGCGAGTCAGGCAGGCACAAAGCAACATCTGTCCACGGGAACCGAGGGCAGGCCTCCCCTGGAAATAAATGCCACATATGGTGGGAGTGCGGACTTAAATTTTTTTTAACTGGGTGGATCCAGTCAATAAAGGGGGAGGGAAGGCGGTGTGCTGTCTGGGGAAGTCTCTGGGCGTGTGATCGGGAGCCAGAATTGACTTCAGAGGAGGTGGTGTGATGTGATGGTCAGAGAGACCTGGGATTTGGTTCCAGCTCTGGTTGTTAATTCTTCTGTATTCCTTCCGTGGGGGTGGCTAGGGTAGAGTGGGTGAGTATGCTACTTCTCTTTCTGGGGAGGGGTCTGCCAAACCTACCTTCTCCTTATCTGCCTGGGTGCATTGAAGACAAGTGCTTTATGTATTGAAACAGAAGAAAAAAAGTGGTATCAATTGTAAAACAGGCAGCTGTGAAAAGTGTTTCACAGTTTACAAAGCACTTTCACATGGTTTTCTGAGGTCCTCAAAAAAAGACAGAAAGCAAGCAAGCAACCAGCCATGGAAAGTAGATAAGGTTGTTAGGCTTAAGATTATCACATTTTTAAAGCAGAGGAAACCTTAAAAGAGAGAGGTGAAAAGGCTTGAGTCATAGACATGGGGTTCTGCCTGAATGTGCTCTTTCTGCTGCCCCATGCTGCTTTATACTTTGAAGATCCTGAATACATTCTTTGCTGAATGCTAAAGCTGTGTTAGCTTGGGGAGGGCCCTGTGGATCTTTGTATGTGCGGTTGCTTCTTTAATCTTTGGGCTGGTGATAGCTTGGCAGAGAGGCCTTGCTTTCCCTTGCCTTGGTAGGAGTTTGTCCTCTGTGGGGCCATACCTTTGGCCTGCCTTTTCCTCTTCCAAAGTCCTGCTGAGACTTTGGAAGCCTAAGACGTGTGAACGCTTTGGATGATTCTGAGAGTTCAAGCCAACCTGCCCTGTGGCCTTCTCGTGACTTTGTTAGGACTGAGGCATCTTCTGCCTGCCTGGATAGGACTGAATACAAAAGTAGATTTTTTTTTTCATCTTTTTTTTCAGTTAGGGAAACCCAGTTGCTTGGGTGGATCCAGACAAAATGGATTTTCATCCTTGGATTTTGTGCCCACGCCTCTGGGTCACCTTGTGTCCCTTGGCAACAGCTGCTGCTGTTTTGGTCGTGGGCAGAAAACTAAAGGCCACGTCTTGGGGAGGTGGCTGGTTTGGCCCTGTGCTGGTGATATCAATGTGTCTGCTAAGCCCCATAGATTGCAGTGTTGCTTGTCAAATTGTCTGCTTTCACCACAACTGCCTTTTAGTTTGGAAAGTAGAGAAAGGAAAATGTTTAACTTAGTCATTCCCCCTGTGTGTGGGGGGTTGGTCACTGGGTGCTTAAAAACACTCTGCAAGATCTGGACTCCGGGGTTTAAGGAGCCCTCAGTCTAAGGAGATTAAGCCAAGTGTGTTTTGGCTAATATATAATCATGAGCAGCAACAGCAACATTTGGCAATTAGAGCTGTATACTAGGGACTTCCAGACCACAGGCTTGCTTCTCTGTGACACCAGCTCTGACTTGTTTCAATTATCAGGGGAGCTGGCGTGATACACACTTATCGACATAAAGAAGGTGAAAGAGATTGGTGCCAAGGAAGTGGTAAGAGCTTCATTTAGATACACCAACAAAGGGGCTGTCAGGATACTCTGAGGTCTGGCAGGATTGGCAGAATTTACACAAGTTTTATAACAGCCTCTCATGCCTCACCTGCTTGAGTACCTGAGTAAAGCTGCAGGTATCTTCCTTGCCAGTTTATAAGAATGGAATCAAAGCATTTGCCGCTGAATGAGAGTTGGTGTGTGAGCGTTATATGAGGAATAAGGAGCTCGGCACACTTAAAACTTAGTTTTCTGGTAGACACTGGTAGCTTGTACTTCCACCAGGGAATCCATGCCTTGGCCTCGTTGTTGGGAGCTAGACCAAGCTTAAAGCATTGCTTGTTTGGAAGGGAATTTGGGCTTTCTTGTGTCAGAGCACCCAGTCCAGTGGAAAATTGGAGAATTGAAGCAAACACTAGGTCTGACACACAGCATCTACTCCCTCCCTGTGAATCTGATGTTTTTTTTTTGGAGACAGAGTCTTGCCTTGTTGCCCAGGCTGGAGCGCAGTGGCATGATCTTAGCTCACTGCAACCTCTGCCTCCCGGTTCAAGCGATTCTTGTGCCTCAGCCTCCCGAGTAGCTGGGATTACAGGCGCCCGCCACCACGCCCAGCTAATTTTTGTATTTTTAGTAGAGACGGGGTTTCACCATGTTGGTCAGGCTGGTGTTGAACTCCTGACCTTGTGATCTGCCCGCCTTGGCCTGCCAAAGTGCTGGGATTACAGGCGTGAGCCACCGCGCCTCACCGAATCTGATCTTTTACTGTAGCCTCCTCTTATTATCTCCTTGACTTTTGCCAGGGTACTCTCACTTTGAGAAAGGAAAAAGATCCTAGTCTTTAACATGCCTTTTCCAGATTTCTGGGGATAGACCTATTACTAAGGCTGTAGAGGCCTCCCTTTTCTCTTGGCTGCACTTCAGAGCACCATGCCCGTGTGGCCCATTGGAAGCAAGCCCCCTTCCAGCTGCTAGGGAGGTGGTCCATTATCTCTTTGCTCTTGTTAAGTTTGATTAGGGGAGTTCCACGTAGGGCCTGAGAAGAGGAGGTGCCTGCAGGACAATAGGTAGCTGATGAGGGATCTGACTCAGCTGCAGCTGAACCTAGGCGCCACTTGACGTTCCCTGGGAACATTTAGAACCTTGGAACATGCTGCTTGCACCTGGGAGTGGAATGTTTGCAGACAGCCCCTCTGTTGTTACAGGGCTGGATTTTGTTGATTTATTGATATTTATTGGACCCTCCCATGTCTGAGTCAATTTTTTAGGTACCAGAGGAGGATGCAGAGACACGTTTGAGAAGCTCCCAGCCTGTGAGAAGCTTACACATCAGTAAGGGAAACATGAATAGGGCATTATTTGAGTATCTAACTGCTATCTCTTTCTCATTCCCAGCTACCAGTAGAAATATGAGATCTAGTATGGATGATTTTTGATGGGGGCGGGCGTTGATGTGCCTTTTAAATATTGTAGAATTCACTATGTTAGGAAATAAAATAATGACAGGCATCTGTTTTTTTCTGAAAAAAACACAAAATTCAGGTCCTGTACCTGCCATTTTACCACCTGCAAGGATTTGGGAATCCATTTAAGTTTCACAGCTTTTATATCTGCACCTGTCAAGTCAGGATGAGATAAGTTCTGTGGAAGTGTTTTGTGAACCAGAGAATTTGACAGGTATGTTACGTTTATACTTCATTCTGCATCATTCATTCATTATTGAATTATTCAGTCCTTCGTTGAGAACATACTACAATGACCACAGCAGGGTCCCTGTACTCAAAGAGCTCCCTGTCTAGAGCGGGAGACAGACTTGCCCAAAGGTATGAGGCATGAGCTGCAGCTGAGGAATGTGCTAAGTGCCCAGCAATGTGGAAACACAGTTAATTCTGTGGGAGGAGGTGTAGAGAGGAGGAGAACCCATGAGAGGTGGAAAACTAAGAAGGGGACAAGGGTTATCCAAAGGAAGCTTTTTGGACTGCAGTATGATGTTGGGAACTTTTTGGTACATGGGGATAGTTCCCTATAAGAATGAGGACGTCTTTATCCTCTTTTACTAAACTGAGTGCTGCTATAAATATGTTACCTTGTAACTGGCACTGAACAGCTAGTGACTTGGGTGCTATATTTTACTCCACTGTAAAGCATTTTCTCTTTGAAGTAAAAAGTAAGTTAGTACTGCAAACTGAAATTCAGGTTTCCTTGGTGGGAACAGGGACTTTAGATGTATCAGCTCAGAATATGACAGGGAGTGTTAATAAAAAGTGGACAACTTGGCTGGGCACGGTGGCTCACACCTGTAATCCCAAGCACTTTGGGAGGCCGAGGCAGGCGGATCACGAGGTCAGGAGATCACAACCATTCTGGCTAACACGGTGAAACCCTGTCTCTACTAAAAATACAAAAAAATTAGCCGAGCTTGGTGGCAGGCGCCTGTAGTCCCAGCTACTCGGGAGGCTGAGGCAAGAGAATGGCGTGAACCCAGGAGGCGGAGCTTGCAGTGAGCCGAGATCGCGCCACTGCACTCCAGCCTGGGCGACAGAGCGAGACTCTGTCTCAAAATAAATAAATAAATAAATGAAAAGTGGACAACTTGCAGATGGTTGTTTTGAAATTCAAAGCTTCGGTGTGACCTAGCTTCTCATTTCTCTAGTTAACACTTGCTGAGAATAAATCCTAGACGCCTGAGTTTCTGAATGAACATAGGTGCTTTTAGTGGTATATTTTTTAAAAAGTCTTTGCAAGGGTGAAGTTTTAAATGACAATTTTAATAACAGAAAAATATGAATACAGTCGCATTTAATTCTGATGAGAAATGCAAGAAGTTGATGAAATTGAAAGAATTTGTTTCAAGCTTATCACATCAGGAATCCAACTAAATGAGTTAAAAAATAAATATTGGTTTAATAATGTAAACATGTGATTGCTGTATTATTATAATGGAATAAAATTAACACGATTTAATGAACTGAGCGACCATTAATTTTTACTTGTTAATTTATTAGGAGATTTTAATGCCATTTGATGCACAGTACAGCCATTATTCTGCGTGAGCTCCTTAATGAAATAAATAAGACCAAGCAGGGCTTGCTTCAAATTGGAATCAGCTTTCATTCCTGTTAACCTTATTCTCCCACCTTTATTCACCTCTCCTTCAGCTTCCTGTAATTGCAATTAAGTTCTCTAAGATTGGAATGCAGTTTTCTTAATCAGCAAGTCTCATCAATAGTCCTAATTGACTTTTGCCCTTTTCTCCTTTGCCATATTGACTGATTAAAACAAAAGCAAAACTTAAAGACTCCATTCCCTCCCCCAAATCCCCATCTCATAGTGTTGGTTGGCTGGCAAGAGAACTGCCCAAGAAGGCTGCTCATGATGGCAGCCTGCTGAATGTGCAGGGGGTGGAAGTTCACCAGCCATGTGCAGACGTGAATGGCTGGTGCAGTGTTGGATGGGACTAACTCCTCCCTAAGGAGGGGTATGACCTTCTGTTGGCCTCTGACAAGTCCCTGAGCCATGGAGCCTTCAGTCTTCCCATCTTCAAGCACAATGGTTCCTGGAAACAGTGGGAAGTTGCCATCCTAAGCCCACCCTACAGAAGTTTGGTTTCTAATTTTACTGTGTTCTAAGCTTTAGAACCGAGACAATTCCAAGAGAACTTGTCCAGTTCATTTTTATGCCTTCCTTTAATGCCGTACCAGGTGCTAATTTCTGTGCCAGATAATGCGGACAAAATAGTGAATAAGGCAGATACTGTCCCTGGTGCCTTCTGTAGCTTCTAGTCCACTGGCTGTGAAACACAGGTTCTTTGGAGTTGTAAGAATGCTGTATGTGTTCACTCTTTAGCTAATTTGTAAATACTGTTTTTTTGGTGCCAAACCACATCCCCCAAGCTCTGCAGTTTATTGACTTGACAAGGATCTCTCTCTCTCTTTCTCTTTCTCTCTGTATAACATAATCCTTTGTTTCGACTTAACAGTTTGAGAAATAAACAAATCTATAGCATACTATCCACTGTTGGTTATCTAAGACCCTTCCTATAAACAGCAGCCTGCCACAGTGGCAACTGCTGTAGAATGTTTTGGCAGAGACTCAGTTTAAAATGAAAACACAGTAGAAGCCTATTAATTAAGAAGTTTGGCTAATTCTGGACTAGGCAAAAGTTTGTTTAGCAGGCCTTTTTGCCCCATAAATGCTGTCAAAGAAAAATTAATAAACAAGAGTTTGGGGATTATTTTGGAGGTAGGAGTCAGCAGACCTTGGTAGGTTCTAGACGTGGCTCTGTTTCTGATTAGCTGTGTGACCTGGGACAAGTCACCTTCTTTGGGCCTCGAATGTTCTCAACTGGAAAATAGGCTAGATAAACTCTATTGGAGGGCCTTTCTAACTTGGAATTGGTATTCATACAAGCATTTTATTTTATTTTATTTTATTTTTTGAGATGGAGTTTCGCTCTTGTTGCCCAGGCTAAAGTGCAATGGCGCGGTCTTGCCTCACTGCAACCTCCGCTTCCCAGGTTCAAGTGATTGTCCTGCCTCAGCCTTCTGAGTAGCTGGGATTACAGGCATGTGCCACCACACCCGGCTAATTTTGTATTTTTATCAGAGACCAGTTTCGCCATGTTGGCCAGGCTGGTCTCCAACTCCTGGCCTCAAGTGATCTGCCCGCCTCGGCCTCCCAAAGTGCTGGGATTCCAGGCCTGAGCCACCGCGCCCGGCCACATACAAACATTTTAAAAGCTCCCAGTTGCACGCATCTAGTTGATCAGTGAATGACAGATCTTTCTTAATTATTGATGTTCCAAGACTCTATCAGCCTGGTGTCAATTAATTTACATAAGTAAAAATAATAAAATTGTAATTCAGCCTTTAATTTTGGTGATTTCCCTCCCTCTTCCTTGCCTCTTCCTTACTCTGTGAGTCTAAATCAGTGAAATTTAACTACAAAGGAATATGAAAATAATGCTAGGATGAAGATGTGGAGGCTGTGCCTCTTGAGATGCAGTGAACAGTTTTTCTTCTTTTGTTGCTATTTTTGACTATTCTAAGAACAGGAAGTTTACTTAAACTAATGACCACAGATGCCTAAAAATGGTTAAATGTAAGAGGTAGGCATTATAGAGGATACCTGTGGAAAATGTTTGCTCATATGTCAAAGTTTACCCAGGAAGCTTCCTTTATTTATTTCCAAGCATCTATATAAAGAAAGGCTGCACTTGATTGCGTAAGCATGAGCCTTTTGTTAGGCAGCGTGGATGTTGCAAGTTTAAACCCCAACTAGGAAATGAAAAGTGAGTTTCCTCCTAAATAGTTCTTTTTCAGTATCACATGGCTCTCCCAGCTTACATCTGGCAAGTTTTTCTCTTGAGTGCTTTGCCGGTAGTTTAGGACTCCAGTATTGTATTGTATTGTTTGTTTGTTTCTTTATCTCTGTCTCTCTCTTTTTTTGTTTTTTGAGACGGAGTCTTGCTGTGTCGCCCAGGCTGGAGTGCAGTGGCGTGATCTCAGCTCACTGCAACCTCCGCCTCCCAGGTTCAAGCAGTTCTCCTGCCTCAGCCTCCCATGTAGCTGGGACTACAGGCGCCCGCCACCATGCCCAGCTAATTTTTGTATTTTTAGTAGAGATGGGGTAGGACTCCAGTATTAAGAAACACTGTGTATGGCTTTGCCTTTGAAACCTACAGAGTTATGAATCTGGTCCCTTTTGCTGCTAAGTGTTGCATCACAAACTGCCAAGCCAAGTTGTAACTCTGAGGTGTCACCATTTTTTTTTTCTTTTCAACTGGACATTTGAAAATAGTAATGCTTTTTGGGTGTGTGTTTTTTAAAGGTCTGTTTTTACGCTGTCACTGCTCAAAAATGCCAAAAGGCATTTTTTCCTTAAAAAATCACCTCTGGGCTAAGCCCAAATGTGGAGTAATGAATCCAGAAAGGACTTTTTGAGTAGTTACAAGTGGCTGAAAGCAGGCACTGGTGATGGAAATTGGGTTTTTCCTTTTGCTTCAAATCTTCCTGGTTGTAAACTTTTTCTTACCCTTATTGAAGTCAGACTCAAGGTGGGTCTAATTTCTCCCAGCCCATGGGAAGGCAGAGTGAATTACTGCTTGTTGTGCCAACCCTTTACATTTTGTGTGTGGCTGTTTGTCTCTACCCAGACAGGTTCTTCACATATTACCTGGGGAGCAGGAGAGGGGGAGGACAGGAAGAGCACAGTTGGGCAGAAAGAGCAAAGCCTCTCAAGTCTGATGGGTTTGGGTTTGAGTCTGACAGTTATTAGCTATGTGGTGACCTTGGGTACTTTGCTTCAACTTATTGAGCCCCAGTTTCTGCATCTGTAAAATGAGGATGAAACTACCTACTTCATAGAAATCAACCCAAGTGGCCGGGCACGGTGGCTCATGCCTATAATCCCAGCACTTTGGGAGGCCAAGGTGGATGGATCACCTGAGGTCAAGAGTTTGAGACCAGCCTGACCAATATGGTGAAACCTCGGCTCTACTAAAAATATAAAAATTAGCCGGGCATGGTAGCGGGCGCCTGTAATTTCAGCTACTCAGGAGGCTGAGACAGGAGAATTGCTTGAACCTGGGAGCCAGAGCTTGCCGTGAGCCAAGATCGCACCATTGTACTCCAGCCTGGGCAACAGAGTGAGACTCTGTCTCAAAAAAAAAAAAAATCAACGCAAGTGAGATAAGATGTATCAAGTACTTTGCCAGTATCGATCATAATACATAGTAGATGCTTAGTAAACGCTCATTTTTCCTTTCCAAGGGGAAATTTGGCAGATGATGTCCGTCGACTCCAATAGGTGATCCCCTTCCCATCCCGACACACTTGCTCACAGAGCATTCTCCTTTGGAGAGTCTCAGTTGATATAGGAAAAGGATCTACTTCAACACACACAGAGAACATACAGACATGCCACTTGTTGATGTAAGGCTTGGCAGGCTATTGAAAGAGAAACAATTCATATTCTTAGGCGGTTCTGCCCTCCCCCATCACCTTCTCTATCATTATTCTTAAAAATTTGTTTGGTCGACTAAAAATAATAGTACTAAAAACAAACTTCGATGAATCAGGTCTCCTGGGGCGGGGGATGGGTAAGATCCTGAAGCAGAAACGCAGTGACTCACGCGCCTGTCACTGATAGCTGCCCGTAAGTGCATGGAAGTGCATGATGTTTATTGTTGCTGGTGTTTTTTTGAGGCCCAAGTTGGAATGCACTTCCGGCTCCCCCTCAAGTACTAGCTTACTGGTTAGGTGGGCTGTTGAGTGAGAATGGTCAGGTCCAGAAACTCATGGCTCTGAAATGACCCAGACGTGGTGGCTATACCCTTGACTGCCCTCAGATACGTGCAAGAGGGAGCTCACGCTTCAAGAGTCATGCTTTGGCCCTCCACCTGGCTGTGCTCCTCTTACTGGGGCAAGGAGACTGTAGGGCCAAGGGACAGGCCCATCTAGAGCAAGCACTTCCTTTTTCCAGATCATGCTCAGAGGCCTGACCCTTCCAGTTCCCTGCATCAGTGTCTTGAGCCTGTTTCCAAGTCCTGCGTGGGCCTCTTCCCCAGGTCTGTTTTACTTGAGGGCAGACTGTGTTGGCCATGGACAGCATGTGTACCTGTGGGACCAATGGCTGGGCAAGGGGTGCAGGGGCATGAAGGAATTGGCTAGAGCTTGGACTTGTGGCCTGGGGACTCTACTTGGGTGTGCACAAGGCCTCTGAAAGTTATGGGTGGTGCTAGGGGTGGGCTGAGATCTTGGGCTGGGTCTCTCTGAGCTTCCACATTCCATTGTGAAACCAAGAGGTCAGGGAATCCTAAACTCAAACCTGGACTTATTAAAGTATTGGTCAAGGCAGGATGATAGAACGCATTCTGTGTAACCGTTTGTTACCTTGATTTGTCTTTAAATACTACATATGGTGTGTAGGCCTTCCTCTGTATTTTTGCTCTTAGGGCAGGCATTTCTGTATGTATGTATGTATGTACGTATGTATGTATGTATGTATTTATTTTTGTAGCATCCGCTCAGTTGCGTGGCCACAACTGAATCCCAGTCCAGGTGGCACCATTATATGGGTAGCATTTTGGAGATGTTCACAGGAATTGATTTCCCTCACCCTCAACCCAGGCCAGAGTGAATTTAATGCAGATGAGGGAGAAGGTGCTACATATTATAGCTGCTCATTCAAAAAGTGGAGCAGAGAGCTGGACCACTGAATGTGCCTTTGTTTGCTGGAAATCTTTATTAAGTACCAGAGATATAGAGATGAAGTTGTGTCTCTGAACTGCTCAGAGGCAAAAAAGGGACACCAGTAACCACAGTTATGGTGGGCCTGTGGAAGAGACACTATAGTGAAGGTCAAACAAAATATTTGGGAGCCTAGAGGAAGAACAGGTCTATTTCTGGAGGTATCAGAAGGCTTCACAGAGGAGGCAATACTCAATTGGGGCCTTGAAGGATGGATAGGAGTGTAGGAGTGGAGTGGGAGGCAGCACAGAGCACAGACCAGACTGCGGAAGGGCCTGACATCTAGGGAAGGCAAGACAGTTTAGGGTGGCCAGAGTGTGGATGAGGGAGTGGCCAGAGAGGAGTTGGAGAAGGATGTTGTCAAGGGCTTTGGCTTGCCAAACTTCGTACTTTGTGTTTGGACCTTGCTCTGTAAGTGTCCAGGAGATTTTAAAGCAGGGGAGTGGCACGGTGAAAGCCACCACTCTATCGTTTCTTGTTTCATTTCCTCCTCTTACCCAGTGGCTGTTAACAGCAGGTTTTCTGCCCGAGTTATCCAGGTCAGAGTCATAATCCCTTACAGTACCATGTGGACAGCTTTAGGCTATGTCTGGAGCAGGTTGAAGATAGTGTTTTGTTCACTGTCAGGAGAGAAGACATGTTGTTCAGCCAGGAGGGCTCAGGGACCCCAGGCGTTCAGGTAATTAGCCAGTGAGTCATGTCAGGCTTTTGATATGGATACCTTGGGAAACTAAGTGGGGTGTTGCTGGCCTCCATGCAGATGCCTGGTCTACCCAAGCACAGGCCCCCAAATTAGATCTCGGCCTCTGCTGGGTCTTCCCTGTGCCTGACACAGTGCCTTCATATGGACCGTCTCTGGTCAGTGTTTTCAATTTCTTTGTTGATGATCATCAATCAAGGCCAGGCTTTCCAATTCCAGACCACACTGCAATCAGTGGAAACTACCTAAATTCAGTACTGCAGACCCATAGCAGGATGTATGTTTATTGAAAACAGATTATATTCCTTAATGAGAGACTAAAACAGCATGTTTAAATCAGTATTCTTCATTCCTTTTATCATTGAGAGATTGGTTATTATTTACCTCGCCTTTAGAGGGTCAGCTTGGTGGTGGTGGTGGTGGTTTAAGTTGCTGGGTTTTTAAAAGATTGAGTTTCATGTCCAAGGACTGATTCTACTTCATGGGCTGTTTTTGAAAACATTGCTAGAAACCTCTTAACTGAAGGCAAGACCAGGGGCAGCCTATTGCTGCGGAGTGCCCTGGGTTCAAATCCCTGCTCCCCAACTTACTGCGGTGGTGACTGTGGACATGTTGTTTAACTTATTTGAGCTTCCTTTTCCTCATCAGTAAAATGGGAAAAACAATGACCTCCCTCAAGGAGGGATGTTATTGAAGTTATTTACTTAAATCAGATTAGATTTATTTTAGATTAAAAGCTTCTTGCAAGCTGTGAAATGTTTTGCAATGTCACATATTATTATTTTTTTTTTTTGAGACGGAGTTTCGCTCTTGTTGCCCAGGCTGGAGTGCAAAGGCGTGATCTTGGCTCACGGCAACCTCTGCTTCCCGGATTCAGGCTATTCTCCTGCCTCAGCCTCCCGAGTAGCTGGGATTACAGGCATGCACCACCATGCCTGGCTAATTTTGTATTTTTAGTAAAGACGGGGTTTTTCTATGTTGGTCAGGCTGGTCTCGAACTCCCGACCTCAGGTGATCTGCCCGCGTCAGCCTCCCAAATTGCTGGGATTGCAGGTGTAAGCCACCGCACCTCGCCCCCCGCATATTATTTCTTTATGGTGTAGAACTCACTAATACTGCTAAAAACCCTTTCTGACAGAGATGGGAGTTAAGGCTTCTAAGTTCACACCCAGATTTCCACAGAGACCTTAGAGACAATCATAAATATTGCACAAAATTATATTGGAATATGAGCTCGGGGCACATAGGCTCTGGTGCCTTGTACTAGAAGCTTAGGTGAGCTGTTACTCTTGGCCATGTCCAAGCATTTGACTCAGAAGATGGTCGAGTCAGCAGTGTTGACTGTTAGCAAATCACCTAAGCCCACTCACATGGGGTGATCCTGGTACGTGTTGCATGGACTGAGTGTCAACTGCATGCTGAGTGTATGCCAGAGGGGGTGATCTCCTTGATCTTATTTACTTACCTACAGTACTCTGGGTACTTATGTATTTATGTTTACAGAGGAGGAGGCTGAAGCATTGAGGGGTCAGTGGCAGAACAGGAATCTTAACTCTGGTCTCTGGTTCCTAGTTCTCTGAGCTCTACCCCATAGCCCCTCAAGAAAGGATGGCCATTGTTGTCCTCATACAAAAAGCTATGACACTGCTATCATTATTCTCATTTGGTAAATGACAGAAACAAGGTTCAGATTACTTAGGTAAGTTGCTTTAAGTCTCAGGCTAAGGGCTGGAGCTGGATTTGCCACTGAAGCTCTACACCTTCTAGAATCTAGGGTGACTACATAATTTATCAAACAAACCAGGATGTTTCCAAGAGTGAAAAGGGGCAGCATTATTAATTATGGCCACTATTAATTACGGTCCTTGGCCATAAATCAGGACCGTCCAGGCAAACCTGGGTAATAGTCACCCTGCCTCTGGTCTTGATACCTGACCAAGGTAATGGAGAATTGGATCCGCCAGCTCATGTGCTGTTGCTTAAGTGGAAGGGAATGTGCAAATTATGTCCTGCTATTCTAAGTGAAAGGACTTGCCCAAGGTCATGCAACAAGTTGGCAATGTAATATTTTAAAACTGGACGAGATGTTGAAAACATGGTAAAGTTAGCACTAGAGCTTAATTAACTGGAGTATGAGTTAGGGAACATTTGGCTATGCTGATGTCTACTACTGAAGGGAAAGGAGGTGGAGGTCAAGGTCAGGTGTGTATGGAGCAGGTGGGGGTGGCAGTGGCAGGGCATTCACGTGGCTCTACTATGTCGGCACCATCATCAGGCCCTGTCCCTTTGAAGTCCGGGAGATGCCACTAGGCCCAGTGCAACTTGGATGATATTTAATGGCCAAGAGCAGAGACTTCTGGGACCTGACTTTTCCTGCTCTCCACTTTACTTTAGCTCTGGGCTTCAAAGGGACTATTGGCTGGGAGTGGTGAAAGTTTAGTGGATAATCCTGCTGAAGAATTTTGGAAGGCCTTGAGGAAGGAATTAAAAATAACAGTAAGCATGCCTTTTCTTTCTCTTTGATTGTGGTCAGTGCATGGAATGTGCCAGGGCCGCTGCGGAGCAAGCACGTGGCCCCGAATAACCCCTCCCTGCCAACGGAATTCTGCAGAGAACATGTAAGGGCTGTGCTGTTTCACTCCTGCTTTGGGCTCTCAGGGTTTGTTTCCGCGATCATCCAAACCTCATCCTCCTTCTCTTGCCCCAGATAATTTATTGGAAGTCTGGAGAGGGACTTGAGTTCTCTCAACTCTCCAACCAGACTGTTGCTGTGGGCGAGGCCATGTCGGGTGAGCTCCAAGGAGAGCAGTTGGAATGACAGAGAGGAACGGTTTCAGCCTGAGAAATGTGAAATATAAATTCAAACCAAACTTGGCACCTGTTTGGAGAGCTTCAGCTGATACTACAGTGCCCCTGTCGTTAGCCTTTGTGGCTCAGCTGGGTCTTATAAATAGAACACGATGCATTTCCCCTTTTGCTACCCCACAGACACGCGGAGGCATGTGTGGGGGTGGCATGGACAGAGAGTATTCATTACTTATGCTCCAGTGCATCAGATAGTCATCGTGGGAACTGAGCCCTGGTGTCATGGGGATGACTAGGCCATCTTGTGGGTAAGGCTGGAAGCGGCTTTTGAGTCTCCTGAGTTACAGCTCTTCTTACCCTTGCCAGCCTCCCTTCCCCAGCTGAGGCCCTCAGTCCTTCATGCCTGTGTGCCGCAGTAAGCCAGTTGGCCCCTTCCGTCGTGAGTCCATCCCACATTCTGTATCGGAGCCCAGCATTGCTGTATCAGGATGCTTTTGGCCAAAAGTGACTTGAAACCCAACAAATAGCTTCAATCATAAGAGGGCTTATTACTTCCACTAAGAAGGCTAGAAGCAGGAAAGTCAGGCATCAGAAGGTCTCAGGAGCCTTACATCTTTCCTCCTGGCCATATTCTCTTCAAGCTTGTCTCCTGTTGGTCCAAGGGTGGCCACAACTGTTGCAGATATTACCGTCTATAAACGTTGCATCCAAGGGCAGAAAAGGGCTCCTATTCCTTGGGGGTCTCTTTAGGAAGAAAACCTTCCCCGGGAGCCTCCTGGTATCTTGTTGGTCAGTATTGTATCACATGCAGTCAATGACAGAAATAATGGACCCTCAGAAGCCTCTCGAGGTCAAGGGCCCAGGCTATTCCTTTGACTCATCAGGGTGATTAGTATGGAGGTAGGTGCTTAGTAAATTTTATTTGGGTTAGTGCAAAAGTAATGGCAGTTTTTGCCATTGAAAATAATGGCAAAAACTGCCATTACTTAGGCACCAACTTACTGATTAATGTTTGTTGGTTGCTGGTTTCCTTCGCTAAGTGAGACTCCTGAACACTTACTGATGATGTCTTGCTGACTTCTGAGGACATGATGGTAAGTCTGCCCTCATGGAGCTTGCAGTCAGGTGGAGAGATAGTGCTATAATTGTGTTTGGAGTATCTCCTGAGTAGATTGTGGCAGTCTGGTAGCTTTGGAAGAGGTGTTAAATTGAGGCCCAAGGAGACAAAAGGACCTGAGAAACAGAGCAGGGGGACTGTCTGGGCCTCTGAATGCCATGCCCAGGGCCACACATTTTGTGATGCAAGCCAGGTTGTTTCAGGTTTCAAGCAGTTGCGATTTCTGTCTCCACCCCTCCACCAGTCTTATTTTCCTGTTGACAAAATGATAACAACTTGCCCTAGGGTTTGAAGTGGGGGCAGGGCACAGCGCTGAGAGCCTCCTCCCTCAGGGGAAATTTTCTAAAGTTTCTCACTGTGTTCTAGCTTCAAAACCATATGCAGTTTAATTGCATGTTTAGTATCTTTGTGCATCTCTCTTGTTTTGAATCTGCTGGAAACTTTCTCTGAAAGCATATATATAGGAAGACATAAAAATTCTATAAATGTTTAGTGGTTAAAAACAAAGTCCTGTCCAAATTATATAAAGTTTTGCCGTCGTCGGACGGAACTTTCTGCAGATAGGGAATACCCTTGAGTCTTCAGTCGCAAAGAGCTAATCACTAACTTCAAGTGTGCAAGTGCCCTTTCATTCCAATTCAGAGAAAACAGAGCCTGTCCCAAGGCCTCGTGTTTTGTTTTCCTATTGATCTAGGAGCTGGGATAACTTGGAACCCCAGGGAACATCTCAGAGTTAATTAGTTTTTTGAGGTCTTCTTGTTTTTCTTGCTTGATTAAAAGAGTTACAGTTTTTGCTCTGATTGTTTAAAAAAAGAATCTATCACTGCTACTGATCCAAGAGGTGAGGGTTGGCATGGGGTGGGCACTCCAGTAAATACGTAAGTTGTCTTCCTGCCGTCTTGTCCTGGTGGAGCAGAGAGAGGTGCCTTTGAGCATGGGCCTGGAACCAACAGCTACTTTCCTGGAAAATTCTTCAGTTTCCAGAAGCAGTGGCCAGGTGAGCCGGGGCATGAAACCAGACGAAGTTGCCGCAGTGCGAGGCTGGTTCTGTTTGCCTCAGTTCTGAAGTTAATGGTCCAAGTTCACCACTCATAGAGCGTCAGCCTGTTGGGGAGACGGAGGCCCTGACGGCCATGCCAGGGTGCCCCCAACCCTTTGTTTAACCACGGCTGTGGACCAGTGGTCTCAGATGTTTACCATCGCCTGTTTATAAGAGGGAAGTGTGGTCATATTTCTATCTCTCTTGTGGGCTGCACGGTTGCCTTACTGGGGTTCATGTGGGAAGTGGTTACCGTTAGGAGGAGGATGAAATAACAGTACTCACAAAAAGGCTTTGATCCAGGGATCTTTTTAAATGTCATCTTTTGGCCACTGTGTTTTTTTATTTTTATTTTTTGCTATCTGCTTTAACTTCAACGATGAGAAAATCAAACCATATGCTGGACATCATTCTGCCCAGCTGGGCTGAGTCAGAATTGCAGTTCAAACTACTTCTGCTCTCCCTGGGTTTCGTGTGCTTTCAATGTGGGGATATCTTCCAGATCTGCAGTTCTCCAGAGCTAGGGACCCCTCAGCTCCAGCTGCTCTCTGGACAATACCTGAACATCCCTACAATATCTGAAATTGAATGTTTGCCATTTCTTCTTCTTTCTCCTCACACAACCTACTCTGATGTTCATGATTACTGGAGCCCCCAGGTTCTAAAAAGTGTTGAATTAGCAAGTGAACAAATAAAATGAGACCCAAAGAAACTGTGATCTTAGCATCCTGTTTTCTGGGTGAGGTTGAGGGTCCTTGGCCTCTCTTGCTGGTGGAGATGGGCTTTATGACTTTGGGGAAGTCAACTTGACTTCCTGGGTGTTGGTCTTCTCTTCTACAAAATGACAAGCTTGAAGGGAGAATCTGAAAGAATCTGTGTATCCGTTCTCAGATTTTCTTTTTTTTTCTTTTTTTTTTTTTTTTTTTTTTTGAGATGGAGTCTCGCTCTGTCGCCCAGGCTGGAGTGCAGTGATGCGATCTCGGCTCACTGCAAGCTCTGCCTCCGGGGTTCATGCTATTCTCCTGCCTCAGCCTCCCGAGTAGCTGGCACTACAGGCGTCTGCCACCACACCTGGCTAATTTTTTTTTTTTGTATTTTTAGTAGAGACGGGGTTTCTTTGTGTTAGCCAGGATGGTCTCCATCTCCTGACCTCGTGATCTGCCTGCCTCGGCCTCCCAAAGTGCTGGGATTACAGGCATGAGCCACCGTGCCTGGCCAGTCTCAGATTTTCATGATAGCCCTCTGAACTCTCCTTGGCTTCTTGCCTTTGGCTGTTTTCTCAATGCATATATTTTCCTGGGGGACAAATCTAAGTTTTCATCTGATGCTCTGCCTTCAGAGGGGAACCATTCCTTAATGACCTATTTAATTGTATTATCATTGTTGTTTAATTCATCACATATTTACTGAGCTTCTTTTGTTGGTGGTGGTGCCATCAGACACAGTGGTCCAGGAGCTGCAATGCGTTGCTGATGAGGATGGTCACACATAGCTCTGCCCTCATGGAGCGTCCCAGGGTGAAATGAGACCTCCCCTGAGAACCGACTCCCAGGGTAGGGGAAATCAGTCTGCAGGCAAAGAGGAATTCAAATTTAGCCTGAAGCACAGGTTTTCTGTGCTTCTAGGCACCGGCTGCATTCCAACCGTAGTGCCATAAAAATACAGGAAGGAAGGGAAACGTGTTCACAGGTTGGTTAGAGATGTGGAAACCAACAATCAGCTCTCTCTTATCCGTAAGAAACTAGAATCTACTGCTGGCTTCAGTCCCTCAGACCTGCTGCTCAACAGAGTGCCCTTTCAAACCTGGGTTAGACTCTGTGCTAATGGCTTTTTTCATGAACCTCAGACAGCCGGAAAGTATATTCTTTGAGGATTATGATCGACTAGGATGCTCGGGAATCTTTAAAGAGAAGCACTATCTTGGCTATATTTGCCCTCAGTTGTTTTAAGGCCAGTGAGGAGACTGAGCATTTCAGAGGTGAAGCATTTAGAGGATGGCCTCTGAAAGCATACGGCTCAGTAAACAACTGACCCATCCTTTGTCACCGTTTTTGTCCAGCGGCTGTCACCATAGGGGCTCCTCTGGTGTGGAGGAGAGAGAATTAGAGGCAGCAGGCCTGGGTTCTAGGTCTGCCTCATTGTGAACCAGCTTCAGGACCTTGGGTGAGTCACTTTTCTGCCCTGGCCCCTGGCTTCCTCTTCTATAAACTGAAGGTGTTGGCTTAGCAGGATTTTAAAGTTTCTTCCACCTTAAAAACTCTGATTCCTGCACTTGCATTCAAAGAAATGACTCTATTACTCATTTGAATAGTTTCAGAATCACTGTATAGTCAACTCTGGACTAGAAATGGGGGCCTGCAGTTGAGGACAGGATGGAAAGAGGTTTGGGGTTCAGGGTGGGCTGTGAGGGCTAGGATTCTTGATTCCTCATGATTTGCAATTGGTTGTTGGTGTTACCATGGAAGGTTCTCAACCATGGCTGCTTTTAAAAATTTTGATGCTCAGACCACCCCTGGAGACCAGTGAATTTCAAATTTCTACAGGCCGGCCTGGGGAAATCCATGTTTTTTAACTTTCCTAGGTGATTCCGGTATGTGGCCGGGATTGAGAATCACAGCCATAGATGCTTATGTAAAGCTGTGTTCAGTGTTACAGGCATCTGTTCTGGGTGGAAAGTGATAGTGGTTGGTCAAAAAAAAAGCGTGCACACACACACACACACACACACACACACACATACACAGAGAACAGCTCTAGGTTCTGGAAGTGTGTTGATTTGGTCACCACAAGTGCTGGTGGTGAGTAGTTGCCCTGAGGTTTGGAGTTCCAGTTCCCTCCTATCTCTGGGTCAGTGGTTTCTCAACATCTTTGAAGTAGTGAAACCATCTGTAGTTGGTTATTTCTGCTCAGAAACTCACAGTACAAAGTGGGGGGTGGTGCAGGGGGGTGGAGCTGGAATGGATTAAACAGGCCCTTACAAATGCCCACACTTTTTTCATGAAACTAAGTTAGAGGCCTTAGCCAACTCCAGCATACCTTAGTGTCAGTTCTTTGGCATTGCCCCGGTGGATTCTAGGGGCTGTGAAGGCTGTAGGGGTGTGTGTTACTCCCTGCTGCTTTGGTGAGAGAGTGTCCCTGTCTTTGGCTGAGAGCATCCTGTCCTGCCACTTCATCAGCAGTAGCATCTAAACAGCCCTTGAAGGGAATCAGTATCTACAGCCTAAGAAATCTGATGGGACACATCTCTCTGCATTAAAATATTAACAGAAAAGGTCAAACTGGGAAGGGGCAGCTAAGTTGGAATATCTCATTCAGGTAAAGGGATGGGCTTGTGGATCCTTAATTGGTGTGAAATGCGCCCTAGGAGGGGAGACTATATCAGTGCTGAAAGCCCTTGAGGGCTTTCACAGATGAAGGGGGATGGTATGAGAAGCTTTACAAATAACAAGGTTTGAGATGCAGTTGTAGACACATGCCAGATGTAGGTTGCTATTTTCTCAGCTCAATGAGGAATCTGTCAAGGCACTCTTAGAAATGGAAAATATAGTTCCTGCCCTCAGGAACTATAGTGTCACGTGATAGCAGTGAAGACCTTCTATGTCCTGGCCACACAGTGAGGATCAGAAGACAGAGCATGGAGAGTGGAATGGGACACATGGATCAAGGAACGTGGACCTGAGCAAGCAAAAGCAAGTCACTCGGGTCCCACTATCACATTGCATATCTTCTCCTTTTTTTTTTTTTTTTCTGAGACGGAGTTTCGCTCTTGTTGCCCAGGCTGGAGTGCAGTGGTGCGATCTCAGCTCACTACAACCTCCACCTCCCAGGTTCAAGCGATTCTCGTGCCTCAGACTCCCAAGTAGCTGGTATTACAGGCGCCTGCCACCACACCTGGCTAATTTTTAGTAGAGATGGGGTTTCACTATGTTGGCCAGATTGGTCTTGAACTCCTGACTTCAGGTGATCTGCCCACCTCAGCCTCCCAGAGTGCTGGGGTTACAGGCATGAGCCACAGCACCAGCCTCTTCTCCTTTCTAACGTGATGTCAGTGTCTCTGGGAAGCAGCCTTAGTTGGCACCTCACTGGCAGCAAGAATGACTTCATGTTCTTGCTCCCATGAAAATTCTCTGCTTTCAGGAATACACTTTCCTCTAGGTTTTTTCTTTGTCTGCAAGTGGGGGGGTGTTCTTTGCCAGATCCCTGCTTTGATGATTACCATCTGCCCACCTGAGTTTCCTGCATAGTTTCAGTTGGAAACTCTTTTCTCTTTGGACCCTAAGATACCGTGTAATAGGATTGTTCTTGGTTTCAGTAGGCACCTGGCACCCTCTCAGCTGTGGCTGCATTTCAGGTATGGATGGGAGTGATTATCTGTGCATCAGAAAACTCAAGATTGTCATGTGAGCAAGTTGTGTGATCATCAGTAAATGCAGAGCTGGCTTTGTTAGGCCCTGGTTGTGGCCAAGGCTTTCCTTTCCCGGCGGGTGATTATTCCAGATTTCATGGTCACTAGCTGAGTGTAATCAGGAGCAGATAAGAAAGCCCTGTATAGAGCAAAGTATGCATTTCTTAAGGTGGTGGGGGAGGTGGCAGAGGCATTATATAGACGTGTGTGTTTGTGCATGTGTTTAAAAAAAGACTTATATTTTCTGGGCAGCAGAACTTAAGTTTCCAGTAAACATCTCCTCCCTTTTTACTTTACCTTTTAATTTTGTGTTTATGGTCTCTGTGCTTTGAAATTGTTTTTGCTGTGATGCCAGCCCTGCCTGAAATGGGTGGAGCAAGCCAAGCCCTTTGGAAGCCATGGTTTAGATCAGAGTTCTTGTACTGACATGGCCCAGCTGATTGACAGCTCAGATGTGATCACTCCGTCTCAACTAGAAGAATAAAAATAAAAACCTTGAGCTGGAGCGGAGAGGGGTCACACATTTGTTAGTTTATCCCCTACTCTCACCTTTATCGCAGGAGGAGTGATAAAGTGCTGCTGTGTGTAATTCTGGTCTGGGGTTGGTTTTCTGTAGTCCCAAACCTGGGACTAATTCTCCCTGGAGCCCGTGGCCCAGAAGATGGGTGCACAGTAGGGTTACTTGATGCTAAACGGCTTTCCCGATAGACTTGGGATCTCACTGTTCTTGTCTTAGCTTTACTTGTTGGGTTGGAGGAGGTGAGGTGGGTGGGCAGGGGCCTAGGGAAGCCCACTATAGAAACACTGGGACAGAGAATCCAGCCCAGGCTAGGTGAGAGCATCTGCCAGTGTGAAAACACGTGGAAGCGGGGGAGGCAGGCGAGAAAAGCTGTGGGAGAAAACCTCACAAATGCAGCAAAGCTGCCCAGGGCCCAAGCGGTGGGGCGGTAGCGAGGGAAACACAGTGGTGTTTGGCTGCTGCTTCACACCACTTTTAATTCAGCGCTGCTAGGAAGGCTATTTCAGAATGCTCCCGAGTGGGAGGGGGCAGCTGCTCTAGGGTGGGAAGGGGATGCTAAGGCCGGGTGCGGTGGCTCACGCCTGTAATCCCAGCACTTTGGGAGCCGAGGTGGGCGAATCACGAGGTCAGGAGTTCGAGACCAGCCCGACCAATATGGTGAAACCCTGCCTCTACTAAAAATACAAAAATGAGCCAGGTGTGGTGGCGGGTGCCTGTAGTCCCAGCTACTCAGGAGGCTGAGGCAGGAGAATCACTTGAACCCAGGAGGCAGAGGTTGCAGTGAGCTGAGATCACGCCACTGCACTTGAGCCTGGGCAACAGAGCCAGACTCTGTCTTAAAAAAAAGGGGGTGCTGGAGAGCATGTGGGGTGGATAGGGCTGACTAGAGACCTTTGTCAGGGTGACCTTTCTCCAGAGAGCCCAGTAGGCTCAGAAGGAAGGTCCCTCAGCACCCTGGCCCACACAGTTCCAGGGAGACCCCAAATAAAGCATTTGCACAAACAGTCCTGAGTGGAGCACACCTAGCCGCCTTCTCTTGCAAAGTGGGCCTTTAAAAAAGGGGTGTATGGCTGCTTAGTTCTGAAGAGGCCAGGCTAGGAGACCCCAGAGGGACACCCAGAAATCCCAGATATACCTCCTCCATCTGCTCTGCCTGCCAGATGACCCTTGCTACTTTACTGTTTTTTCTTTGAGCCTCTTGGTGATCTTGAATAGCAGAAAAATGAGCCAAATTTCCTTCAATCTATGCCAGTCTTCGTCCTCAGCCTCCCGGTGGGGTGATGAGTCACACCAGTGGGAAAGTGCACTGTATACTTGGTCATGTGCAGAGCACCTTCCCATTGGTTTATCTTTACAACTGCCCTGGGTGGAGACATGGCAAGGTGGTCCTATCCCTATTTTGCAGGTGATCAGGCACAACTTACAGTTAGCGCAGGAACAGGGACTGAGGCCAGCCCTCAGTTCTTTGACAGAGTTCTTTGTCTACACTGTGTTGCCTCAGAAAAAAATGCCCATGGGGAGTGTGTGTGCGTGGGCATGTGTGCTCTCCTCGTGTCCCTCAGAAAAGAATGAATTCTTTTCCAACTGATGTCACTGGGAAAGGGGGACACCACTACTTTCCTGCGTACTGCACTTTACAGTTTACAAAGCACTTTCCCACACGTCATTTCGTTTCATCTCCCTGACAGTCCCTGGAAGTGGGTGCTAGTCTGGATGAGCAGGCGCAGACTTGGAGAGGCTGAGGGACTTGGCCCAGGGCATATAGCTAGGAAGCGGCCAGGCAGTAAGTGGGTAGCACCACTGCATGTTGGGGGTGGGGAAGCATGAGCTGGATGGAGCATTCGGTGGTCTAACCAGTGGCCAGCAGTAGTGTTGGGGTTTGCTGCCCTCACCTCTGAAGCCACACAGGCTCCTGCTTCCTGAGGTCACCCTCTCCTGGAGGGCTGCCCCCGCATGGGAGTGTGGACAAGTGTGCACGAGGGGGAGGCACACCCAGGCCGAGTGGAACACCACCCTAAGGGGGTGGTGACAGGTGGCACTGGGAGTGGCTGGAGTCGGGGTTCACCTTACTCAGGGTCAGGGCTTCCCATTTTGCAGGACTGAGAGGTGGACTCTGAAGGAATGCAGTGCTTAGAATCTTGGTGCCTCTCCTGGGGTGGTGGGAAGAGCAGGGAGTCTCGAGTCCGATTTTGCCAAAAATCCCAACTTTCCTGCTGAGTAGCTCATGAGACAGGCATTTCACCTCTCTGAACTTCAACTTGGGGGTACTCAGATTTCCTTCAGAGGCTGTGAAAGAGTCCCCTGCCACAAGTTACTCCTCTGTTCAGAAGTGACTTGACTGATCATCTAGCCCAACCCCATCATTGACAGCTGGGGGAAACTGAGCTCCTGAGCGGGGCAGTGACTTGCGCAAGTCATTTGTTGGGAAGAATGGGGCAGGATGATGATGATGTCCACTTCTTGGGGACGATGGGGCAGGGTGGTAAACACTTCTCAATGCTTGCTTATGGGCTCTGATGTGAACCACTCACTATAGGCTGAATCCTGGTTTTCCAAGTGTTTAGAGGCTGAGCTGTTGTCCCCTGGGATTTTGGAAGGTAGACTCACATTTCACTGAAAGCCCTAGATGCTTCTCCTTACTGCAGTTCCCCTCCCCAGCACTCCCATCTCCCTGTTTTCTGGGGATTTAAATCAGCTTTGACTTGGGTCTGAAAGTAACCCGTGACAGCAGTAAGCCTCTCGATCTGTTGTTTGCAGTGTTTCAGCTAAAATATTATAAACAGACCACCAAACTGTGTTTGGTCCAAGGCCAAGCCCCTCCCTCCCTACTTGAACACTTGATTACCTGCTGCAGGGTTGCGTCTTGAGCTCCGAGGAGGAAACTGTTTATTTCAGGGCTGTTAGAGTGCAGTGCAGGAATCCAGGAGAATTTATTGTATTGTTACCATCTGGTTTCATGGAGTCTGTTTCTTTTGATTTTAATTGTGCCCTCTGGAGAGAAAGATCCTCGAAATGGTGGAAAAAGAAGATACCACCTTCCTCCCTGCCCTGCCCATGCCCTGGCACACACATTGCTATGGTGCATGGTGGGCATGGCTGAACCAAGTCCCCTTATTCTTTGAACATCTTTGCGTATTATTCCTGCTCCCCCAGCCGTCTCCAGGCCCCAGTCTCCTCTGGAGGGATTTCCCAGATGGCTTCCAGGCCAGAGCCTGACAGGAGAGATAGGACCTGCCTCCACGGTAACAAATGGCTGAAGGCGGTTTGGGGTGTTGCCAGTAGCCTGCCCTTCCGCAGTGGCTAAGGATCCGGTGTTGCGGTGATACATGATGTGACCTCTTCAACCAGTGAGTCACTCACCCCCAGATAACCACCCGGTACTTTCAGGGGAAACCGTTGTATCATTGTGGCTGTGGCCATGGTTTCTCCAAAATAAGGTGTTTTTAGAAATGAAAGTACAGGGATTGGTTTCCTTAGATTCATTGTCATGGATTCATAGTTCCCCAACCTTTTTCACGTAAAGACTCACCTCTGTTTCCTCTTAAATTGTACATTTGGTGTCTGTTTTATATATTAATAATAACTGACACTCTTCTAAAGTTTTTTGGGGAAAGAAAACATAAGTTTACCAAGCTCTCAATTCTAGAAGGTAATAGCCTTCTAGAATTGTCCATTTGCATAAGCATTTTTATGCTTATTGCTGTAATCAGTGTGTCAGTCAAACGGGAAGGAGGAACTACATCAGGTATTTAGCACAAAGGGAATTTAATACGGGACCTTGGTTACACAGGTGATAAAGCAGCTGAGAAGCCACAATGGGAAGGTGAGGTGACCCAGAACTTGGAGGAAGCCGCTGCCTTTAGGCTGGAGGGACAAAGGGAACAGGTGGTGTTCCCAGAGCCCAGGGTTGGGGTCACCAGTGGGCCTGTCTAGAGCAGTTGCAGCTGCTTCTAAAATTGCCGACCCAAGGTAGAAAAGGAGAGAGGGGAGAAACACTGTGGCCTCTCCCTCCCTCCTACCCACTACTTGCTGTGAGAGCCTCCTATTATTTAAACCCTGCTGGAGGCCTCCTGATCTGGAGCCTGGAAAGTCAGGGCTCAGCCCCAGGGAGGACACAGCAGAGCACAGGAAGATGAGGGATGGATCAGAGGGCAAACTGGACTTGGACCAGCACAGGGTGCAAGCCTGATGCTCTAATTTTATATTTTATCAGCATTTTCTTATATGTGGCTTTCATAATTACACATATTTTATCAAGTAGATGAACCGCATTTAACCATTCCCCAGCTGTTAGGTGAACACTTTAAATTACTATAAATCAGCAGTTCTCAAAGTGTGGCCCTGGGCCAGCAGCGTCAGCATCACCAGGGAACTTACTAGGAATGCAGAGTCTCAGGCCCCGCCCCCAGGCCTCTTGGATCAGAAACCCTGAGGGCGGTCCCAGCAGTCTGAATTTTGTACACTCTCCGAGGGCTGCTGATGTGCATTTGAGCTTGACAATCATGATTATAGGCAATGATGCACCGTGTGGAAGCTGGGGGCAGGATACTGAGGAGGGTGCTGGGGGTAGGAGTGGTGGAGGGAGTTTGTCCAGGGGAATGTGGTGTAGCGGAAAAGGCACAGGACTGGTAGGGCTGTGCCCCTTTAGGCCCAAGCCTGCCCTTGCTCTTAACCTCTTAATGGGTTTCTTCTTTCTTCTGTTAAACAGCTAAAAATATCAAATCATGGGGTTGCTGTGACGGTTAAATGTAATAACAGGCACGATGTTCCATATATGTTGGGTCTTCTGGAGCTTTGGGGAAGGAGGTGTGGCAATAACAGCCAGCTTCTGCATCATGGAAAATGGCCCCCATGCCCATCCCTGAGTTGTGTGGTCTGAAAATCAATGATGAACACTTAGGAGGCTTGTAGCCTGCTTTGAGTCAACAGGAAGACTGGACTTGAGAGTTTGGAATCTATAGTCTAACTTCCCTTCCTCACCCTGTCTTTGTAAATGGTGCTCATCTAACCCTACAGTTACTATCTTTTCACTCATGTCTAGCCACTTGTTAGAGGGGAAGGAACCCTGGTGTCAGGACAGGACTCCTGGCTCCCTGAGCTTGCTGTGTATTCCGGGGCATATCCTTAACCTCTCTGAGATGTACTTTTCTTATCTGTAAAACCTCTATGTTGATGCAAATCAGGTGCGATGATGGACGCAAAAACTGCCTTGAACACCTTAGCGGGCCTGTGAATATAAAGCCTTCAGGATCCACACCTCTGCCAGGGCCCACACCAGCCTCGCCACCTCGGTGAGCCTCTCATTCCACTGCCAGTGCAGGGGTGCATAATCAGGATTTGCCAGTGGAGGTAGGAAGGGTGGCTGGATTGTGACTGTCACGCTCCTGGCATCAGATGATACTGGTAGCAAGCTAGGGTCGTCTGTGCACTTTGCTCTCTCTCAGTCTTCCCAGCAGCCCTGTCAAGCGGGGAGTCTAGCAAGAAGTGGCCAAGGCGCAGATCATTTAAGAGGAAGGATGTGAGCAAACTGGATCCCAAGGGGACAGACAGAGGCCCACTTTGCCTCAGAGTCCAGAGAGCTGCTGCTGCTAAGAAGGGAAAGAGGAACTGGGTCGGGGTGCCTGCTGACTTGCAGCGCTGTGTTGGCATGCGAGGTAGCACTGGTTGGGAGGCGGTTACCTGAAGGAAGCAAAGGCAGCTGGTGGTTCCTATCTTCTTGCCTCTGGCAGCACCTAAAAGAAGCCTCTTGGGCCAATGAGAGGATGGACTGTCCCCCACCTGCAGAGTTCTGTGAAGTGGTGCGGACGTCTTTGTTGATCTCATTTGGTGCCTCCCCCTGTTGATGGCTGAGGAAGCCAAGGCTCTGAGAAGGCACATGGTTTACCCGAGGGGACACAGGCAAGGAATCTGAACCCGGATTGCATTTTCTGTTTTAGGGCTCTTTGTGTGACCACGGTGCTTCCCAGGCCCACACTTCCAGTGTTCCAGGCCCTTGACCACCAATCCTGTGGAGGGGTCCTCAGGGCAGGCAGTGGGACCACCTGAGGCCTGCGTGGGGTGGCCTGTGGTGTGAGGGACCCAGGAAGTCAGCCTGCACCTCGGCGAGTCAGAAGATGTGGCCATCCACCAACCATCAGATGTTCCCCTACGCTTAGGGCTGTGACCAGAAGTGGCATCAAGATGGGAGGCGAAGCTTCTGGGACCAGAGAACCAGCTGCTCCTGTTCATCCTGCTTTTGGGTGAATAGCTGATGCTCTGGGCCCCTCATCCCACCATCCCACCCCGTGGCTCCTCCTGAGCAGGGCTGAGGGCATTTACCTGGCTGCCTTCTAAAGCAGACTTGGCACGAGACAATCTTATTCAAACTCTGCTCAAAATTGCTACCCTGAGGAGAGGGCTGTGACCAGGCAGGACGGGGTGTGATAACATGGAACGCAGGGCCTGCTGGAGCAGGCCCTGATGAGTGTAAATAACTGTGTTAGAGGCAGGACCTGAGCTTTTCACTCCATAAATATATATTACTTCTAATGTGGCCAGGGCCGAGCTGAAGATCATAATTATGTGAGATCTGCTTTACAGGCATTTAGGGAAATGCGTGGGGCTGCACTGATGTAGGCAAAGATGTGGCCACATACATTTAACGTGTCTCAGAGGAGCCTTTGCTTTAACCCTTTAATCAGACCCTTCCAGGGTGCTCCTGACTTGATGTTCCAGAGCGTTTGGAGTCAAGAGTTGCACTCTTTTTTCTTGCATTAAATGCACTTGAGTTTTAACCCAGTCTCTGGGCGGATGGCAGGGCTGCATGAGGGGGTCTCCGTGGATGTGGATAAGTCCAGAGAAGTCAGCTGAGCTGACTGGGCAGGTCTTGGGTAAGTCACGCCACTTCCCTGAGCCTCAGTTTCTCCAGCAGTAAAATGTTACCTGTCTGTTAGGGTTGTAAGATTGAGTCAACATATGTACAAGGCATTGCTTAGTGTTTACCACCTTGCTGTGAGCTGGTAAATGGTTGGTTGGTCCCTTCCTCTCCCCTTGGTGTTAAGCATATCAAAAGATGGCTGCGTGCTCACCTCCCCTGCTTTACTGGGTGGACAAAGGAGCTGTCACACAGTGTGGCAGCCTTAGAAAGGTTAAAGAAGGCCAGTGAAGTCTTCTGGCTCATCTGGTCCTGAGGTGGGTGAGCATTAAACCCAGATCCTTTTTGTGTTTCAGTATTGGATCCTTTGGCCGTCATATCTGAGACCCAGGGCCTCAGAGTGTGGGGTCCTAACCTAATTTGGCTTTGGGTGAACTGGCCAGCAAATGGAAGGATGGCTGTGGAAGTGTGTCTTGAGCCTGTCCTTACACAGGTGTGGCTGTCATCAAGGCCATCTTCATGGGCACGTGACGAGTACAGTCACATAGAGTTCATGCTCAGGAGGGCCCTATGCTTGGTTTAATGCTCTGCTGTCACCAGCTTGAAATCCTTTTTTTTTTTGTTATTGTTGCCCAAGCTGGAGTGCAATGGCTCAATATCGGCTCTCTGTAACCTCTGCCTGCGGGTTCAAGTGATTCTCCTGCTTCAGCCTCCCGAGTAGCTGGGATTACAGGCACCTGCCACCACACCCAGCTAATTTTTGTATTTCTTTTAGTAGACGTGGGGTTTCACCATGTTGGCGAGGCTGGTCTCGAACTCCTGACCTCAGGTGATCCAGCCTTGGGCTCCCAAAGTGCTGGGATTACAGGTGTAAACCACTGCATCCGGCCCATCTTGAAATTCTTAATAATTTTCTCTTTGACCTAGTGTTTTGGAGCATGAGCATGGATAGAGGAGATGTGGGCAGCATGTGCCCATTGAGCCTTCTGCCCCATTCACATGTAGCATTTGAGCACAGACTTCTGCCGGACCTACAATGTGGGGGAGTTGAGTGAGAGTCAAAGTGAGTGTGAGATGTCACATCTGCGACTGAGTAGCAGGGGCCCTGACAGTCCTGATGCTTTCCATCTAACTGGAACTTGTCTTGGTTGTAGAAAGAAGGCGATGACATTCTAAGAAACATCAACGACCAAAGAACCCCATCATATCCTTTATTACTCACGTCACTTCCCTGACACCAACCACTTATATTGAAAATGATGACGGAAGAAGGGAAAGGAAAGATAGGGCACCCATATTGCCTTTTCCTTTCAGATCTTCCTTACTCCTCAGGCAGCATAAAGAGTGAGGTAGAATGGACACATAGCGAGAAGTGAAGTAAAAACGATTGAGTTAGCTTTATGGATGTTTCTCTGGTTCTGGTACATCACAAAATGCACATCCAAGTCCTAAAATACAATTCATGTAATGTTGGTGATTCCACATACTAGTTAAAGGCTTTTTATATTTGCAGTTAAAACTGGCATCACACAATATAAATAGGAGTGGTAAAATTCATGCTAATTCATGTAATTTAAAATTTTAATGTTGCTTTACTTAGAATAATATTAAATAGCAAATTAAAAATACCATGACACATCAAGAGAGAGACTGTGGAGGAAAGAGAAAAAGCTTTCTATTTTAGTACCATGATTGATACTTTTTTTTTTTTTGCCTTTTGCACAAAGGGTTCCATATTTTCATTTTGCACTGGGCCCCACAAATTATGCAGCCAACCCTGACTGGCATCCTGGGGCTGGAGGTCTCAGGCTGGTCTTGCACGTGCAGCCTCTAGATCCCTGGTCTGCTCACATTGTCTCCTGGGTTGCGGAGCTAAGAAGCATCATATAGGCAAGTGAGCATGTGTGCTTGCTCTGAAGATTCCAAGCTTCCAGGTGGTGGTGGCTCTGTTGATAGAGATAAAAAGTTGAGGAATTTCAGAGGCTACAAACATACTCTTGTTGAAGGTGCTTTGGGGGTCTCCTGAGCATTTACTTTTGTGAATTTTTGGGCAGCCTAGTATAGAGGTGATCCAGCAGTAAGCTGAGAGAGAGGCCCTAGTTTGACTCTTAACTCAGGCATGGTCTCCTTGGGTGAGTCATTTCTTCATCAGGCAGTCCTCAGTCTTTTGGTTGCAGTGTAGTTGTTAAAAATGTGGGTACTTGGAGGCTGAATTCTTGGGTCAAATCTTATCTCCATCTCTCTGTCCTTTTTTTGTGGTTTTTTTTGTTTGTTTGTTTTTTGTTTTTGTAGGGGACAGGTTCTTCCTCCACCACTCAGGCTGGAAGGCAGTGGTATGATATTGGCACACTGCAGCCTTGACCTCCCAGCTCAAGCGATCTTCCCACCTCAGCCTCCTGAGTAGCTTGGGACTACAGGCACACATCTCTATGCTGGGCTAATTTTCATGTTTTTTTTGTTGTTGTTTTTTGTTGTTGTTTTTTGTAGAAACAGAGTTTCACTATGTTGCCCCAGGCTAGTCTCAAACTTGTGAGCTCAGGCTATCTGCCTGCCTCAGCCTCCCAAAGTGCCGGGATTACAGGTGTGAGCCACTGCGCCCGGCCTTATCTCCATCTCTTAACTAGTTGTTTGATGTTGGGCAGGTTGTTCAAGCCTCCTGGAGCCTTGGTTTACCCATCTATAAAATGGGTATAATGGTAATTATCTTATAGCATGGTCATGAGCGTGAAATGAGAGCAGGGGGAGGAGTAATCATTGTGTCTGGTCCATGGGACTGAATCAATGCTAGCAATGGTCATGATGGTGAAGAATGAGGGGAGGAGGAAGAAACAATTCCTGTGGGTGCTAGGACCAAAAGTAGTATCCTCTAGGAATCCTGGCCTTCAAGGTCTAACTTCCAAGATTCTGTGAGTACGATTCTAGGGAGCCTCTGCCTCAGACTTCTAAGTAGTTCTTCAGGCTGTGCTCTAGAAGTTACTGGAATGAAAGAAAAATTGTAGTGTTTGAAGGTCTTCAAGGATCCTGGTCCTCTCACACTGTCACTCTTAGTCACATGACCTTTGACTGTCCATTCCCTACTAAGCCTTGGTTTACGCATCTGTCAAATGGAGCATTCGTGGGTGTGCCTGCCTTAGAGGATGAGACCCAGCTGAGATGACATATGGAGAAATCGTTTATAAACTTAAGTACTGGTGTTAGGAAGAGCTAACACGGTGAGTCTTCAGTGTTTCTTTAAGTGCTGCTCACTACTGTCCTGAGAGACTCCAAGAAGCAGTTACTTTGTTTGGGCCTCAGTTCATCATCTGTGAGATGAGAGGATTGGGCTTTGTGCCTAAACTGCCCCCCCACCCCACCACCCAAGACAGATTAAAAAAGAAGGAAGGAGGGAGGGAGGGAGGGAGGGAGGGAGAGAGCGAGCGAGCAAGCAAGCAAGCAAGCCAGCAGGATTTGGAATCGTCCCCTAATTGGAACCACAATCGCAGGTTTCAGGGACTCAGGAAAGGGTGCAGCCCAGCTTGTGGTTGAGAAATGAATGTCAGATGTTAGGAAGAAAAAGGCCTATCTCAACATAGCAGGGGTTTCTTACTGCCCCTGCCTCCTCAGCCCCGGTAGCCTGTCACTCCCTGGCGAACAGCTTGGCAGCACAGAGGCAAACCACAGAGTACATTTGAGGCCCAGATCTGCTTATTTCGAGGGTGGGGCCGCGTTTTTCTCCTGCCACAGTGAGCTAATTAAAGAAAACAAGCTTCGGGAGTTGGGAGAGAACTGTCCACAGGACACTTGGGGAGGCTTGCTTTGGTTGTGGAGGCCTCCACAGCCCCCGGAAGGCAGGTGGAAGTGGGCATGGAGGGTCCTACGCATCCCCAGCGGGGGTCTGAGGGCCCACTGTTGCTCAGCTGGGGGATTTGGGGACGGTGGGAGGGCATACATGGATGGGAGGGTGGACTCCGTTCCTGAGGGGGCCAGTGTGGAGGAGGGTCAGGCAGCCCATGGAGATGGGACAGTGTTCTGAAATGCTTCACAAATGTGGACTTTTGCCCCAAACTGTGGACAGAGCGTATGTCCTGAGCGAGGATCAACTCTGTGAGTACCCATGATAATTCTCCTTTCTGTGGTTGCCGCCCTGTTGATTCATGTGTCAGCCTTAGAGAAAGTGGCTGTGACTTCTGCATTCCTGGGAATACACTGACATGAGAAGAAGTAGCCGCTCTTGTTCACAGTCACAGGGCTGGAAAGTGGGATAAGGACTAAGGACTTCTGTCTCTGGATTCAGCATGCTGATTATGGGGAAAAGCAGACATCAATTCCTCATGTCTTGTAAGCATCACTGTCCTCCAAAGTTGGAGCCCAGCTCAGACAGCTGCATAGTATTTTATAGAGAAGGTGTGTTGTTGAAATGTTGATTATGCAAATTGAATTGTGTTTTAAGACTACTGGGAAAACCATTTAAAGGAATCCTGTTGTAAGTCATTTTGAAAAATGGAGAATTACACCACCTCCCCAAGGATTTTCTGTTTTGGTAAATTTCATGTGGCAAGATTACTTGAAGAAGGGTTCCAGTGTTTTGCTAGCTTATAATGGTTACTGCATAAGGAAGGTTTACTCGCCAGAGGTCCGCATACATTGGAGAACTGGGGGAATATGTAATACTTGTGCAGAAATGTTTTGATTCATGTACTCAGAAGATGGGATCTGGATGACACCTCCAGCCTATTGATTCCCAAGTAAGGTGTGATGACACCACCACCAGCGAGGTGTGCTATGAGGAATTTTTGTTGATGATGAAAAGTGAATGCTAACTGATTGCACACCACGTGCCCCATACCTTACATAGATTATCTTATTTAATTGTTGCTAATAATAGTACTACAGTCTGTGAATGATTTACTTAGCAATTAATTCAAAAGCATATTCCACTCTACAATGGAATATTTTTTGAGCCAAGAAATGAAGTACGTGGCCGGGCGCAGTGGCTTGCGCCTGTAATCCCAGCACTTTGGGAGACCAAGGTGGGTGGGTCATTTGAGGTCAGGAGTTCAAGACCATCCTGACCAACATGGTGAAACCCCATCTCTACTAAAAATACAAAATTAGCCGGGCATGGTGCCACATGCCTGTAATCCCAGCTACTTGGGAGGCTGAGGCAGGAGAATTGCTTGAACCCAGGAGGCAGAGGTTGCAGTGAGCCGAGATCGCACCCTTGCACTCCAGCCTGGGCAACAAGAGCGAAACTCCATCTAAAAAAAAAAAAAAAAAAAAGGAATGAAGTATGTGCCACAACATGGGTGAATCTTGAAAACATTGTGCTGAGTTGAAGAATTCAGACATCAAAAGCCACATATCACATGATTCCATTCCCATGCAGTATCCCCATAGGCAAATTCACAGAGACAGAAAGCAGATTAGTAGTTGCCAGGGATGGAGGAGAGGGGAATGGGGAGTGACTGCTTCATGGATACAGGGTTTCCTTGAGGGATGTTCTGGAACAAAATAGTTGCGGTGGTTGTACAATATTGTGAATGAACTCAATGCCACCAAATTATACACATTAAAATGGCTAACATGGTAGATTTTTGCTGCATGTATTAATATATTAATGTATTAATAAATGTATTAATTACAATATTAATATATTGTGATATACTGTGATATATTGTGATAAATATATCAATATATTGTGATAAACATATAAATTGATTTTAATATATATTAAAATCAAATGTATTCCTCTAATGGTGTCCATGTCACTGACTTAGTTTCTGATAGGTTTGTATTGGGTAGGAAAGAAAGGAATGGGACATTTACGTGTACACTGAGGCAGAAGAAAGAATGGGACTTTCCAATCCAGGCTCTACCTTTATGAGGAACCAGAGACCCAGAGAGTGCTAGTGACTTGCTCAAGGGCACAGAGCAGCGTACCAGAGTTGAGCTTTGGCTTCTAGCCTCCTCACTTTCTATTGGGGAAGTCACAGTGGAAAAGGGGGTTTTGGCTCCTTTATGTCTTTGGGTATGTTCTGGGTCACTGAGGATCAGCTCTATTCCACCTGGCATTTTGTGCTTTCCATGGGTGCTCAGGAAACTGTCTGTCTCACCCTGAGGTGAGGCTCAGGAGGCTCTGGGGCTTTGTAGTAGAAATAGAAATATCCCAAGTCCTGGGTTGTGTCCTTGTGGATGTGTCTAGAACAATTCCTGTTGTGCTACTCGCTTTGGGCAGTTAGCGAAAGGGACTAATTGTGTGCAAATACATACGTTTGGTGTTTGTTGGGAGACTTGCCATGTGACACTGCTTCTTCTTTTCTTCTCTTTTTGACTATGAACACCTGACACTACAGGAAATAAGAAACTTTCCAGTACCTAATTTATGCTTACTCTACTTTCAAACCCTGTTGGCCCCAGCACAGGGTAAATGAAACTGTAGCTTATAGTAATATTTACGTATGGGAGTCAATGAGCTGTTTAAATACTTGGATGTCAGAAAAAGGTTTCAAATTTAGCAAGCCCCCTGACTCTCCCACCCTCTGGCATGTACTGGGTAGGCCTGCCTGCTCTCTGAGGTCGAGCTCTTGTATCCTGTCCTGGTCGGTGCCAGTATAGCAATGATGATGACAGTGATGATGATGCCACTGGAACAGGCTGAGCTGTAATTGAATTAAATATCTGTGTAATCCCTAGGAGAAGCTGAATAAGGTTTGAGGATCTTGGAAGTTCAGTTATACTCTCAGTAACTGAGGTGAGATCCGTAGGCAAGGAATGACAAGATCGAGATTGATTAGCTACATGACCTTAGGAAAGTGACCTAAAGGTTGTTCACATTCAGAGTCCTCATCTTTGAATGTGAATGATATTTCTGGCCTCTCCTATCTTATGGAGTTGGTGTAAGCATCTGCATGAGATGATGGACGTTAAAGTGCTTTGTTAGCTGTTGAGACTCTTACTGAAATGAAACCCAAGGATGGGTGCCACTGAAAGAAACAAGAATGAATGCAAACTAGTTTGTGTTGGGAGTTGTACTTGACACAGCTGAATTTGCCTTTGTCTTTAGGAGAGCCTTAGCTGTGGGAAGCAGGGCTTGGAATGCGCTGATATTTATTTCTTCCATCAAATCGGATTATGAGGCACCTGATCTGTTTAAGGCTGTGTGAGTAGAACCAGGTCCTGCCTTCCGGAAGTTCATGGTTAAATTGTGTTTTCATGGGTCACCTGGAAGGCGAGCTTGTTCAGAATGAGGATAATTGACCCAGTGAATCCTTCCTGCCTCGAGGCCCACCATGTTATTCAGATCAGTCTTGGGGGAAATGCTGTGAAAGTGTGTGTGTGTGTGTGTGTGCGGTGTGTGTGTGCATGCTCGCGTGCATGAGTTTGTGTTGAGAGAAAGAAAAAAGCCAGGAGAGTAGGATGAGTCAGATTTAACCACTGTTTTTTCCCTTTTGAAACTTGTTATGTTCATACACATACAGCAGTCATGCACTTGCTCAGAAATGTGTGAAAACCACTTAAAATGTGTGAAATGCAGCCCTTTAGAAAGTGTGCCTTCCACCACATTCTTTTGAGCAGTGGAGTGGATTTGTGAGTGTTCATATCTGTCCTCATCTGTGGGAATTGTATGTCCAAGGTGCTAATTCAGGGCCATACTGGGATGACCTGTGTGTATAGACTTGTCCTGGGTGAGATGGGAGCAAGACCATCCAATGTATGATGGGGAATTCTGTTAAACAGGTAGAATTCTGAACCTCTTGGTGGTCCTGGCTGGTCAGTTGCAGGGAGTGACGTTGAATGGACTGGGAAGATCTGGATATACCATGTTTCTGTAGGCATGATACGTGGTCCCTTAGCTTGGTATTTAAAGTTCTTTGGAAGTGACCGCTTTCTGGATTTACCTCTGTGCAGCCCCTCTGCTCCTCCCAGGTGAGGCTCATCATAGCTCCTCTTCAATGTGCTTTGTCCACAACTGCTGCCATGTTTTAGCTCCCCATTACGTTTCCTGGGATGCTCTCCTAGACTCCTCTGTACCTTTCTTCTTTCAAACCCAAAACAGGTCCCATCTCCTTAGTCTTAACTGTCTATGAATGGTCTGTTGCCTCACTTCCCAGCTCTGGTATGTAGTACGTGCTCAGTACACATTTTTGAATGCATTAATTTGGCTCTTTTCTGTGAAGGCAGCTTGTCTGTGTGTCATTCATCTGCCCAAATTTGATTGTCAACTTCCTTTGTATGGAGCTGTACTGTTCTTTTTGTTGTTTTTCTTAACTCCTTGCCCCTGCCTCCCATCACCCCAGTGGAAGAGTTATAGTCAAGGTAGTGTAGTCAAGGTCGTGCAAAAGCTACACACTTGAACCTGTTCCGTGTGGTTTCACACAAGGCACATGGCCTCCTTGGGACTCACTTCACATCACTCGACAAGGGGATAGCAGGACCCACCTTGACTGTATTGAAGACTGCATGATGATCAGGAGAGAGTGAGGGATGAGAAAGAGTTTGGAAAACAGCAGAACACGATGCAAACATGAGTTATTCATGGTTTTGTGTCCAGGCTAACTGTGCCCTGACATTAAGGCTGGGTGGGTCTGGCCCAGGGCTTCTGGGGTAGGCGCTGTGCTGGTGTGTGCTACTGACCTGGAGTCCAGGATCCCTGAGTCCCACTCACCCTCCCTGGGCTGCAGTTTCCTCAGCCCAGCTACCCTTTCCAGCTGTGACTGCTGGTTGTGGAGCTGAATGTGTGTGGGGTGTGGGCCTGTGTGTGGACTCCCCACCCCTGTGCGGTTTTCCTAAGCACATAGCACAACAAGGAGCTGGAACAGAGCTGCAACAATGAGGAGGGTTTCCTCCAACTGTCAGTGCTTCTGGATCCACCGTTTCGGCTTTGACATTACCGTGAGTGACCACCCTGGACCTCTTTCTTTGTGCCAAACTCGTTGCTGGATTGCCATAAACACTTACTTGGATTGATTAGAGAGGCTATTTGCCGTATTGAAGGTGGCAGAATTATTTCACCTTTTCCAGAGGTGTTGACGTTCAAGGGTAGTTGGTGGTGACTGTACAGAAGGGAGACAGGAAGCCTGGAGGAAGGAAAGGGGTGCGTAGCCGAGAAAGTGCACAACGGGCCCTATTTTTAAAAGTGCCTGCCTCTGCTGGTTTTGTTGTGGCAGCGCTCAAAGGCAGGAAGACAGATAAGATCGGATTTCAGGATTTTCGTCTGCCCCCCATCTCCGCCCCCAACTTTTGACAACCAAGAACTTTTCCCCACCAGGAGTGGGTATATTTCAACTTCTGTAATCCCTGCGTCTCGCACAATGCTTGGTATTACAAGGTGCTCACTGAGTGTTTGAATGAATGAATGCCTTCCCAGTTCTCATCACAGCTATAGGGTGTCACTGTATACATCAAGTCATGGTTAGCCGCAGGTTTGATCGGGGAAGAGACACTAATCAATGTATCTGATTCTAGAAGAAGATGGAGCTTCTAGGAAGGGCCTGCCCTCAGGCTGTCCTCTGTGTTCCCCGGCATTCTGCATTTTGCAGTCACCCCTCATTATCCCTGAGTCCAGGAACACCTGAGATTGGAAAGGATTCCAGCCCCATAGGGCCTTTATCGTGGCCCCCAGTAAGTGATAAATATTCGTACTAATTTGGGGCAGTGTCCTTTTTCCAGCTGTTTTCCCATGAGTGCCCTCTGTTCCGTCAGGTGGCCGAAGACGGATAACTTTGGCAAAGGGCTTGGCACAAATGGCCAAGTTTACACTGGATCACTATACTCCGTGTTATCTTGTTTCCCCGATGGTCATTGCCACACAAGAAAGTACTTCCTCTGTGGGCTTTGCCCACCCTCTTCTCTTGACAGAGACCTCTGGGCCTAGATAAATGTATAAACTGCATTGCAGGAATGAAGCCGTTTCCATTAAGAACTGGGGTCTATGTCCTGGGATCCAGTTCTTCTCCCCCTTTTAGTACTGAAAGCTGCTTCCCATCTGAAAGCTGTCTGGGGACAGACACCGTGCAGCTGCGTGCAGACTTCTTTCAGAGTTTGATCTTGCAGGCTTCCCAGTGGCTCTGCTCTTCCTTGTCTGCTTCCTGGGGGTCTCTCAGTATCAAAGCCACCTGTGGCTCCATCTCACCTCCCTGAACAGGAGGCACTGTTTGTCAGGAGGCCTTGCCACCTTTGGCCCTTTCTTTCCAAAGAAAGATCCCTGGCCTGGAGTTTTTGTCTCAGCTCTGTTGTGTGACCTTAGGCAAGTCAGTTGACTTCTCTGAGCCTCAGTTTACTCCTTAGTAAACAAAAAGGTTGGATGAGGCGCTCTCCAAAGTTCTTGCCCTCTGTGTCCTTCCTCTGCGTTCTACAGGGAGGGAGTAGCTGCCTCTGTTTGGTGGTGGGGACTCAGGCAGGATGGGTAGGGAGGGGTAGGGGAACAAGATCATGGCGCACCTCCACGGCCACAGTGGAAACCTTGAACCTTGAGCTGTATGCGGTGAGTCCAGGATGCTGAGAAGATGCCGGGCTGTTGGGTAAGCAGAGCCCCTACGGGAAGCAAAGAGTATTATTCAGCCCTGTGGAATGCTGAGGCAGGGCTGAGCTTGGGCAGGGTGGCTGAGAGAATTGTGGCTCTAGCTGTGGGCAGAAATTCATGGCCTTGAAGAATGGCTACTGTATATACCAGTGATAAATATTAGTCACTCTGGCAGCAGAATGAGTTTCCTGTGCTGCATTTTTGGCACTTCCAGAAAAGGGAAAGCCTTTCTCTCTGACAGGGCACAGGAGGGAGAAACAGGAATGTGTCTCTTACCCTGATGCCCTGGCTGGAGATCCCGTGGGGTTTTCAACCTGCCTGAAGCAACGCAGGGCCTGCTAATGCCTCCTGTTGCCCTAGGTCAGGCCAGGGCCCATTGTTGACATCTGTGCTGTGCTGCCTCTGAAGGTCTTGCTTGAGCATGTCCTGAATGGAAGGCTTCATCTGCATTCATTCCCCGGCCCTCCCTGCCGTCTGCACAGCCTCCTCCAGGCCTCCCCTTCCCAGTGAAAAGCACCACCATCCAGACCTCAGGAAGCAATCATTTTAGCCTCTTCTCCTTCTCCCTCACCATCCAGGACATCACTGAGCCCTGTCAGTTCTGCCCCCAGAATATCTAAGTTCATCCAATGCCCCATTTCCACTGCTGCTTCCTCACCCAAATCAGGATGTTTCTGGCCCCGTCTCCCTCCTACCTGGTCTCCCTGCCTGTACCCTCCTCTCCACTGGGCCCATTCTCCACCGGCAGCCAGCATGATCTCTAAGAAATGTACATCTGTCATCTGTCATATCTGCTGAAAATTGTTCAGGGCTTCCTGCTGCCTTGAGAATGAGGGTCTGAATCCCAAACAAGGGTTCAAATCTCAACCTCTCAGGCCTACCCTGACCTTACGTATCTTTCCTCAGGGCCTGTGCACATGCTGTTCCTTCTTCCTGGAATGCTTGTCCCCATAGTTTTCAGCTGGCGAATGTGAGTCAGGTCTCCCCTTAAATGTCATCTAAGAGAGCCCTTTCTAATTCCTCCCCTTCATCTTAACTCTATCCCCAATACACTCTCTCACAGAGACTGTTCTTTTCCTTCTGAGACCCTACTCCAGCTTGTAGTTCTAAATCTGTGATTATGCACTGTCTGTCTTCCTCTTGAGGTCAGGGGCCATTTCTTTTGTTCTCTGCTATGCTCAGGACCCAGATCAAAGGAGCTCAGTAACTATTTACAGGCGTACATCATATGTGGAGGACACTTATGCTGTGATGGCCCCACACACAGCTTCCTTTGGGGTCTGTCCCCTGCTCTCCGTTACCCGCGTGGTAGCCACTGAGCACTGGCTCTTCCTGGCTTCACTCTCTGGCATCAAAACTTATCAGTCCTACATCTCAGTCTTTTGCAAGGTGACACTTATCTGATTACCTAATTCACACGAAGGTGTTAATGGTGGTAATGGCATAGTATTTATTACCCCAGGGGACCCAGAACGGTGGTATCAAAACATATCATTCCCCAGTGGTTTAAAACTCTGGTAGCTTTCCAGGGAGTCCAAGTGGAGTCCAGTCTCCTTAGCTGAGTTCACAGGGCCCCGTCTGCACGACTTGGCTTCTGTCGGCTTCCCTAGCCCTGACTTCCCAAGCCTTAGTCATCACCCTCTCTCCCACCCAGGGCTCAGCACAGTACCTGGAACAGTCAAGCCCTCAATAAATGTTTACTGAGTGCATTAAAAAAAAAAAAAAGATTTTAATGAGTCATGCTTTAACTGAAGATTTTAGTGTAGTCAGTCATTGGGCCTTGGATGCCAAAGGAATGACAAATGGTGGGAATTTCAGGCACAGTGACTGTGATAGCCCCAAGGAAACCAAGAGAGAAGTAGCTTTATCTGGGTGGAGGGGAGTGGGCCTTTCAGAGCCTCGAAATCTTCCCACCTGCTGCGCCACTCCCACCACATAAGCACCCCACCCTTCTTCCCAGGGTGAGATTTCTCAGCTCTGCTTTCTGGGGTGCCAGACAAGGGGAGAGCCTTGTTGCCATGCCCTCCTGCCCTCCTGCCCTCCTGATGCAGTCTGTGGTCACCTGCAGGCAGAGACAGATGAAGTCCGTCATTCGGCTGCGAGTAATTTCTGATGGGAGAGGGGCTTCCCCCGGCCCTTCCCGCCTCTCTGAGCCTTGCCACGGTCACTTGGTTTGCCCAGCCTAAGTCACTGCCTGTCGCTGTGGTTATTGCATGGACAGGGCCTCCCTCTGTCCCTCCACTTCCCTTCCCTGCCCCATACTGTTGCCCTCACCCACCCCAAAGCCTCACCCTTCCCTTCCATAGGGATATGGCCTGATAGAGGAGGAGCCATTTGATTTTGACTATTGTTGAAATTGAGTGGGGAATTTTGGGTTTGTTTTAGGTTTTGGAAGGGAGGATTATCTGAGGCTTGAGGCTTCTGTGATACTGACATCTGGTGTGGAAAGTCATCCTCCCTCACCTAGGTGACTGGGCCTCCAGGTCATCTCCCCGAGCAGCCTCCCTGGATCTGCTCTCCTCTCCCCCCCACCCCCCCACCACCTCCCGCGCTGTGCCCAGGGTGATCTTTCTAAAGGACAGATCTTGCTTCAGCACCTCCCTGGTTAGAACCCTTCCGTCCAGTGGTTCCTAGTGCTTCGGGGATAACTCGCCTTGTCCCTTGGGGTCTGCACAGCGTCCTCCATCTCCTCTCACTTGGCCTTGCCCTCGGGGGCTCCGGTAAGAAGCTTTCCAACCTGGCAGCTGCAGACTCTGTGCGGTTGTATTATTGCTGTAAATGGGCAGGGATTACGCATTTGTGGAGTGACTGATTTCAAGTACAACTGCCACCATGGGAGAGGTCTGTGAAAATCACTGGAATTGAAAATGACCATGCTTTGCCCAAAAAGGTTGAGAATCCCCACTCTGATGATACTAGAAGCCTGCTTGCCTCCCCACCCTGTGCCAAGCCATTTCTTGCCTCCTTGCTTTGCCCATACCAGCCTGGAATGTCCCAAGCCTATTCAACTTACTTCCTCCAAAACGTAGTCCCATCTTGATCTCCAGGAAGCAGCCTTCAGATGCCCCCTCCTCCTGGCCACTGCAAATGTGTCCCCCCAGCTGCTGAGCATGCCTAGGTCTGACACACACCACGATATGTTGAAATCATTGGTTTCTGGGTTATTCTTCTCACAGTCCCAGGCAGTGAGCCCTCAAGGACAGGGGCTCCATGGGACTGGTCTCTGGGTCGGAGGCCAGGACCCAGGTCACTAAGGGCATGTCACTCATCTGGACCACAGCTCCCTGCCTTGTGGTGTGGACTCTGTTCTCTGCACTGGGCTCGTTCTAAAACGGAGCATTTGGTCCTTGCAGCCTGCCTTGTGGTTTATGACTTAGTAGATTGAAAATGACAGTTGTGCTCTATTTTCATTTGGAAAGAAAAAAAAAAGTGGAAAACCAGAGATTGCACTGATCTGGAGGTAGAGAGAAAACTGTGGAGATCAAAGAAGATATTATGTATTATGAATGTTACACAGATCAAGGCATGTTTGAAATAGGCTTAATTTTCCTCAAGTTGGCTTTTGTCTCACAATTGAGTTCTTGTTGACGAAGACCAGTTATTATTCGTCTTCGTGTCTCTGGAGTCTAGCACCTAGCACGGTGCCTGATAAAGCATGGTCACTTCACAAATACTTGTCGAAGAATGCATGGGATGAATATGCATTTGGGTATTTTTAATGCTTGATGATTAGAACATTCTCATGGCTTGTTAACTTGTAAGACATAATTTTCATTGTAAGTTCTTTGTGTGTGCAAATGCTTTTTGTGTGGAATGCTTGCCATGCACTGAAAAATGCTTTGTGATAGCAGTTTTGAAAAATTGAGTCATTTTGCCCTGATTGAAGCTGGGTGACCTTGTGCAAGTCACTTTAACCCTCTGGGACTTGTGGCCCTCATCTGTAAAATGGGTAGAAGGTCAGAGTGGACCTCGTGGCCTGAGAGGCTAGTACCCCATGCTGCATGTAAGTCTTACATCCTCCTCTTTGGTGATTGGATACTGACCCTCTCCCCAGGGGTTCCTGCACAGAGCTGGAATTCTCTCTGGTGTCTTTGCATTCTAGTGGGTGGAATGCCTTGTTTCTCAGTAGCAATGAGAAATGTTAATGTGAGGTTATGAAAGCAAGCCAAGAGCCATGGAATAATTAAAACACACACGCACACAAAGAAGGAAAAGCGAGAGGGGGAAACACACTTAATGGACAAGGGATGAGTAAAACCCAATGGACTGAGAAAACCCCAGAGCTGAACTTCACATGACCCCGCGTGCTGCCTGCAGTTGCGACACCCGCGTGCCCCTTACGCTCCGCCGGCCTCTCAGTGATGTCAGTGGGCCATGGGCCCCACAGGAAGCAGGGGCTGCCATCAGCCTGGTGGAGCGTGCCAGCCCGCTCCTCCTCCACGGCCCACTTCCCACCCACCCGGGTCTCCAGATAACATGAAGCCATAGCTCCCAGGCTCGTCAGCGGGGGAAACCAACTCAGTGCTTCTCAGAAAATAGAACCCCAGCCCATTAGTGATGTCCACGCAGGCAAGAGATGACCAAGAAGAATGTTTGCCTTTTAGGAGTTCTCTGCCTGAAACCAGCAGGTTTCCTTTAGGGATAGGGTGACTGTGCTTGCTGAACACCTCTAGGTCGTCAGTGAATGAAATAATTCATTCTGTGCTTGAGTGTCTAAGACCCAGGGGGTTTAGGAATAATTAGGATACTGGCTGTACCCTTGGAGTTCTGTGCTGCTTGGGGGATACGACTCAAACTCACAGACATCTGTGGCTCAAATCAAGGCATATAGATGCAGTGACTCTTGGAACATTCGAGGGAGAATCACCACCTCTGCTGGTGGAGGAAAGGCCAGGAACTGCCCACCTAGTTTTCCCATGACCCCAGCCTGTAGCGGGATATGTCAGAAGATTTGGATTTAGAGGAACTTGGGTTTGACAAAATAGAAGTGTATGTATATAAACAGAGTTGGGAGTGATGGGGGATAGGATGCTGACAGCACCTTGGTAGTCCCTCCCCCTACGTGACAGTATTGACTTCATAGTGTTGTTGTGAGGCTTGAAGAAGATACAAGAGGGAAGAGGAGCGTTCCTTGCCGTGCAGATGCAAATGCTCATTGTTACTTGTTCTGCCTCTCTGTGTCTGTGACATCCAGCCCTGTGTGGGCTACCCTGGTTGCAAAGTGGGCCTCCTGCCGTTGAGCAGCTATGGTCCAGTGGGCAGGTACACCACAGTCATGGAAGCCTAGTTAAATCATTACATAATAGTTAGCTCTGTATGACCAATCTTTTCTTTAAAGAAATTCTTCCTTTTGGAATAATCGTAGATACACAGAAAAACTGTACACAGATAATACAGAAAGTTCCAGTGTACCCCTGACCCAGATGTCCGTAATGTTAACATCTTGTATTACCATGGTACACATGTCAAAACTCAGAAACAACATTGGTACATTACTAGTAACACAAGTCCAGACTTTATTCAGTAAACCTTTTGAAAAATAATAGCTTTATTGGCATATAATTCATACACCATAAATCTGCTCTTTTAAGGGATATGATTTAGTGGTTTTTAGTGTATTAATGGAGTTGTACAACCATCATCACTATCTAATTTTAGAACATTTTCAACACCACAAAAAGAAACCTCATACCCATTAACAGTCACTTCCTGCCCATCCCCCTTAGCCCTGGCAACTTAGTCTACTTTCTGGTTCTCTGGATTTGCCTCTTTTGGACATTTCATGTAGATGAAATCATACAATTTGTGGACTTTTGTGTTTGACTTCTTTCACTTAACATATTTTCAGGGTTCATCCATTTGTAGCATGTGTCAGTACTTCATTCCTTTTTATGGCCAAATAGTATTCCAGTGTATGGATATACCACATTTTGTTTGTCCTTTCTTCAGTTGATAGACATTTGGGTTGTTTTCACTTCTTGGCTATTGTAAATAATGCTGCTACGAATATTTGTGTACAAGCTTTTTTTGTGGAAATGTGTTTTCATTTATCTTGAGTAGATACCTAGAAGTAGAATTATGGGGTCATTTGGTAGCTTTGTTTACCTTTTTGAGAAACTGCCAAATTGTTTTCCAAAGTGGTTGTGTGGTTGTACCATTTTACAGTCTCACCACCAATGTATGAGGGTTCCAGTTCTCCCCATCCTTGTCAACACTTGTTATTGTCTGTTTTATTTTAGCCATTCTAGTGGATGTGAGGTGGTATCTCATTATAGTTTTGATTTGCATTTCCCTATTGGCTAATGATATTGATCATCTCTCCTTGTGCTTTTTGGCATTTGTGTTTTTTGTTTGTTTGTTTTTGAGATTGAGTCTTGCTGGGATGTCCAGGCTGGAGTGCAATGGTGCCATCTCGGCTCACTGCAGCCTCTGCTTCCTGGGTTCAAGTGATTCTCCTGCCTCAGCCTCCTGAGTCACTGGGATTACGGGTGTGTGCCACCACACCTGGCTAATTTTTGTATTTTTAGTAGAGACAGGGTTTCACCATGATGGCCAGGTTGGTCTTGAACTCCTGACCTCAGATGATCCACCTGCCTCAGCCTCCCAAAGTGTTGGGATTACGGGCATAGCCACCGCACCTGGCCTTCCATTTGTATATCTTGTTTGGAGGAACATCTACAAATCCTTTAGCCATTTCTTTTTTTTTCTTTCCTTTTTTTTTTTTGAGACAGAGTTTTGCTCTTGTTGCCCAGGCTGGAGTGCAATGGCGCCATCTCAGCTCACTGCAACCTCCGCCACCTAGGTTCAAGCAATTCTCCTGCCTTAGCCTCCCAAGTAGCTGGGATTACAGGCGCCCGCCACCACTCCTGGCTAATTTTTTGTATTTTTTTTTTTTTTTAGTAGAGATGAGGTTTCACCGTGTTGGTCAAGCTGGTCTTGAACTCCTGACCTCAGGTGATCCACACGCCTTGGCCTCCCAAAGTGCTGGGATGATAGGCGTGAGCCACCACACCCGGCTAGCCATTTCTAATTGGGTTGTCTTTCTACTGTTGAATTATAAGAGTTCCTTATATATTCTGGATATAAATTCCTTTATCAGATACATGGTTTGCAAATATTTTCTTCCATTTTATTTCTTTCAATTCTGTGGGTTGTTTTTTCACTCTCTTGATGGTGTTTTTTGAAGCACAAAAGTTTTTAATTCTGATGAAGCTAAATTTGTTTTACTTTCGTCACTTTTGCTTTTTGTGTTGTATCTAAGAAACTGTTGCTTAATCCAGGGTCACAAAAATTTACTCCCTTGCATTCTTCTAAGAGTTTTATAATTTTAGCTCTTATATTTAGGTCTTTGATCCATCTTGACCTGATTTTTGTATAAGATGTGAGGTAGGGGTTCAACTTCATTCTTTTGCATGTGAATATCCAGATGTCCATGCACTGTTTGTTGAGAAGAATGTGCTTTCCCCAGTGAATTGTCTTGGCACCCTTGTAGAAAATCATTTGACTGTAAATGTAAAGGTTTCTTTTTGGACTCTTAAGATTCTCTTTTATTGATCCATACATCTATCCTCATGACAGTCTTGACTACTATAGCTTTGTAGTATTAATCAACTTTTAAAATATATATATATGTGTATATATATATATATATATTTTTTTGAGACAGAGTCTTGCTCTGTCACCCAGGCTGGAGTGCAGTAGTGCGATCTTGGCTCACTGCAAACTCTGCCTCCCGGGTTCACGTCATTCTCCTGCCTCAGCAGCCTCCCGAGTAGCTGGGACTACAGGCGCCTGCCACCACGCCCGGCCAATTTTTTTTTTGTATTTTTAGTAGAGACGAGGTTTCACCGTGTTAGCCAGGATGGTCTCGATCTCTTGACCTCGTGATCCACCCATGTGGGCCTCCCAAAGTGCTGGGATTACAGGCATAAGCCACTGCGCCCGGCCTTAAAATATATTTTTCAAAATCTACATTGTTCAAAAAAAGAATCTGTGGTAACTCTCAGAAATCCAATAATTACAATAGTAAATACAAGTAAAGATAGACAAGGAAATTAGGGGAGAAGACAAGAAAATAGGAAAATAAGATGACATAAGAGTTAATGTTAGTACAACAACTAATATGTTGTAAGGTTTGTGAGATTGTTGGAAGTAGCCTGCACATTTGGCCTTGAGCTTTCTAGCAGCCAAGGGTAAAATGGAAATGTGACTAATGACAAGATTAACACAGATGTCTGAAAGATTGTTTAAAAAAATGTCCCCACCTCCAATATTTTCAGGGACTGAAATATAAGCATATTTCTCCCATAGATCCTAGGAACCTGAGCTTCTCACGCACAGGATCATTTCATTTGTGTTAGTTCTTTCCCTTTAGACGAATAGCTCTTTGAGGACAGTAACTGTGTCTTATTTCCCTCACATCTCCCTGTAGTGCTTAGGACAAAGCATGGGAGATGCTTACAAAATCTTGATTGAATTCTTTTTCAAATTGGGAATGTTTATTACATTCTTTGGCAGCATTTCTGCCACCAGGTTGAGGTTAGTTGGGACCAATTTGGCGGTGGAGAAGTGGCAGGGGCTGCCCTCCTGGATGCATTTTAGAAGTGTTTTCTTGCATCATGCTTCCTGAGTGCTGGCTAAGCAGTGGAAACATTGGGCAGGTGGGGTTGTGTGCCCTTGCCCTGAGAGATGGCCGTCACTTTGGAGTGAAGGTAAGCAGCATTGCTTCACTCATGTGGAACCCACCCGCCTTCCCACCTCCTCAGCGCTGGAGGGTCCTCTCTCTCGCCCACTCCCTCTGACATGCCTCTGAGACTGCCTGCCCGATGGAAATATCCAGCATGTATGAGGGAGGTCCTGGCCAAAACTGAACAGCTTCTCATGGAATTGGGCCCCTCATCACCTACGGTTATGTGTGGCGCACAGATGGCCACTCTGCAAAGAGGCCCACCCAGATAGCTCCCTCACCGGGGGCAAGGAACAAGCCACCTTCAACTGATTACATGTCATATTGGGTGGACCTCTTCGTCCCACACCCAATAAAGGGCTTTACCATTTTTCAGTAGCATCCTTTCTTAAGAGAAACAAAAAATAGATTTGAATACCAGTCTTTAAAGGGGTAGTTGTCATTACTTCGCAGTTGACAGATGGGGAAATGGAGGTTCAGGGTGCGTTACCTGCCTGCTCTAAGTCATATGGTGAGTGGGTTGCGAAGACCTGACTCCAACCCAGAGAATCTTGACTTTGACTTCATCCTCCCCTCCTTCCACCTGCCAGTACCCAGTCTTTATCTAAATTTAGGGGGCTTGAGAGGCCATTCTTTCTATTTTGGGTACCTTCAAACAGGTAAGCACAGTTTTCTTTGAAGTTACCTCTGCCTCCATGTGGGAGAGTATCAACAAACAGTTCCCCCTTCCCCCTCCAAAAGCACTCTCTGCACAGTCACCCCTAGGCCAGGAGCAGCCTTGTAATATGCCACACATGTTGTTACTGCCTGTGGCTTTTCACACCTCCTGTCTCAAATATTGGAGCTTTTTTGGCTACAGCCCTGTGATGAAGGCAGTGTGGGTGCTGTTGACCCTATCTTACCCATATGGACACTACATCATCTAGGGTCACCCTGTTGGTTGGGATCTGGAGTAAGCCCAGAGGCCAGGATTCTGACTTCTGGTCCAGTGCTCTGCCCTAGGCCTTGAGCAAATGTGTATCAAGTTGCACTGACAATCTTTGAATTCCTGGAACTCATGCCATGAGCACTTCCAGGAGCACCTTAGTGCTTCATTACAAAGATGATGAGACGTAGGAAAGTCTTTTTTTTTTTCCCACGGAAGCAGAATCTCACCCACACCCGCAGATTTTGTTGTGTCCCTTCAGCACTGAGCTGTGTTCTCAGAACAGAACAGGTAGAATAGAGTCAAAATGCAAACAGAATGGCCTCCCTCCACAGTCTGCTTTGATGGAAATGTGATGCCAAGCAAACAGAAAAGTTGTTTTGGCTCCATCTCTGAGGTCATTTAGTTGCTATTTCCATCTACTTTGAATCCACATCTGCTGTGTGCTCAGAGCCGTGCTGGTTGCCAAAGAATCCAACAAGAAAAAGGCATGGCCCCCTTTGGGGCGCTTGGGTCCTCTCGCAGTGCCCCAAGCCCAGGTGAGAGACATGCCCTCTGGGCCGTGATTCCCTCATCAGTAAAGCAAGGAAGATAATGTCTGGTTAACCACCCTCCTGGAGTCATGGCAAGGCTGATACAGATTCAGTGGCATTAACTCATTTGTTCATTCAGCACATTTTACTGGCAACTTATGCTGTGCTGGGCTCTGGATATAGTAGTGAGCAAAGAGGAAGCACTCACAAGGGTAACACTGCAAATGCTAGGAGTCATGCATGAGAAGTCCAGGGAGCCTGATTCCATTTGAGCAAGGGGTGGTGGTCTGGGAAGGTTCCCCCAAGGAAAAGACATAGGAGCCAAGACCAAAGGGTGGGTAGGAGTAATCAGAAGAGCATGTCTCTCATCTCTGGACTTCTGTAGAGAGACTTCTGTAACCACTGTACCCTCTGGAAGTGGGTACAGAAGTCCAGAGATGAGAGAGATGTTTAACAACAGAGAGAAATCCACCCGAAGGACTTTTTACATCTCTCTAACATCTCCTGTTCAGTTTATCTCAGCTGGCCTTTGCTGAGCACCAGTTAGTTGCCTTGTGCATCCTTGGGTGATGGATTATGGAGATGGCAGTGGTTGACACTGTCTGAGAGCAGCTCCCAGATAAACCAGCGCACTGTGGTTGATGGGCTGCCTCCAGGTAGAGAGTGAGGCCCTCCAAGCACATCCTGGCCATCCACATCTTCACATTTGCAGTGCCTAGCACACAGTGGACAAAAGGGATATACTGGACACGTTGTCCTAGGATGCAGATTCCTACCAGGCCTTCAAGGCTTGTAGAAATCTTCCCTAAAACTGATCATGTGGCCTCCGGTAAGGAATCTAAGCTTTTGAATCTTGGATCCATCTCGGGCACAGGGATAACGGTGGCGCCCATCTCACGGGGTGTGTGGACGTTGTCTCAATAATGACTGACGTGCTGAGCAAGTACCTGGCTGGAGAAGCGTGTGGTAAAGGGGAGCAGCTGTGATTATTATGGGTATCATTCCTAGTGGTTCTGCAATTAGTCTTGACAGTAAGTGCTGCAGGACTTCAGACAAGGAGAGGCTACAGGTGTGGAAGTGCTCCTCAAAGCCTGTGGGACCTAAATGGGCACAGTGAAGGAGAGTCTTAGGTGGAAGCAAGAAAACTGAGCATCAGGAAGGGAGCAAGACCCTTGGTGATGGGGGTATCTGTTCTGCATGGAGGATAGATGACTTCTCAGCCATTGGGAAACCAGCTAACCAGCTTTCTGCTTGATGGTTGTAGTAAAATCCCATGATTAGTGACAATGGCATGCCAGGTTTGAAGAGCAAAGGTCAGGAGGTGAGAAAGCAGATAAATGCAATGTTTATCTTGAAAGAAGTTGTCAACTACTTGGAAATCCCCAAGCTTACTTCCTCCAGGAAGCCATTCTGGACTACTTCACCCAGTTCTCATAGCTCCCGGGCCCTCCATCTTCCCAGCACTGAAACACACACTGAAAAGGGCATTTTTCTAAATATGTCTCTGCCTCCCCTTGTGGAGGGATGTGGCTCCTTGAGATCTGGGGTCACGGCTGGCGTGTTTCGTGGAGTAGCTAGAAAGAGTAATAATCCTTTTTGAATGCACAGCATTTACAGAGGCCTCACAGGCTGAAAATGGTAATTAGGATACACAATTGGGTCTTTTGACCTCAAATCCAGGCATTTTCCCACCTTGTGGGCCTCACTCAAATGATGACCCCAGGTTCTGCCTGTGATGAATGAGCAGGCATGGTTTTGTTCTGTTAGGATATGACGGTAGAAGAGAGCTGTTTGTCAGAACCAGCAGTGGCTTCAGATCTTGAAAGTCCAACTCCTTCATTTTACAGAGGAGGAAACCTGTGCCCCAAAGCAGGTCCCCCCAAGTTCCAGCCCAGTGCCACCCCACTGCACAGAGCAGCTGTCTCCTTTTGATCATGAGGAAGCCACCAGGTCCCTGGTGGAGTTCAGCAGATGTGCCGGGTGGGCGACTCTGGTGGGTGTGAGGATGTTTCCTTTCCTGCTGGGAAGTCCTCCAAGCTCTTGTGAAAGAGATGTGGTTTGTCGAGCATGGATTTTCAAACTTTCTTTATAGAGAGCTGTTGTTAGCTTAAAAATGCCTGGAAACATGATCAAGTGTAATGTTTTAATGATAACATAGAAGCACATAGTACTAAGCACATGTAATGAGAATGTACAGAACTCTCTAGTAAGAGTCTGAAATTTGGCCGGGTGCAGTGGCTCATGCCTGTAATCCCAGCACTTTGGGAGGCCGAGGCGGGTGGATCACCTGAGGTCAGGAGTTCAAGACCAGCCTGGCCAACGTGGCAAAACCCCGTCTCTGCCCAAAATACAAAAATTAGCCGGGCGTGGTGACGGGTGCCTGTAATCCCAGCTACTCAGGAGGCTAAGACAGGAGAATTGCTTGAACCTTGGAGGTGGAGGTTGCAGTGGGCTGAGATCGCACCGTTGCATTCCAGCCTGGGCAACAGAGTGAGACAATGTCTCAAAAAATAAAAAAGAGAGAGTCTGAAATTCATTCTTTCAACATGCTTGTGTTGGGTGCTGCCTGGCACAGCAATTGGTGCCCACTAACTCACAGCGTCGGGGAAGATAGGCACGGAACAAGTCATCTGGTGTGGTCCCTGCAGTGGGGGAGCCCAGTGAGGGCCTGTCCAGCCCAGCTGAGAGGAGACTGAGAGAAGGCTAGGTGGCATAAGTAAAGATATGGATAGCGCTTTCCTCTTCAGAGTGTTTATTACCAGGGTTAGATAAAGCAGATCTCATGTATTTTCTGCTACTAAGTAGAAGTTCTTGTTTTGTTTGATTTCTGGTGGGCTTTGATATTTTCCAAAAAGATAATAACTCATTGTAGAGTAAGATCAGGACTGGGGCCAGCAGACTTGGGTCCAAAGGTGTGTCATTTTTATACCAGACTAGAATCGGGTGAGGGGAGATGTAAAGAGATCACTATTGTCACGGAAGGCGCTGGAAGGAGCTCTGCTTAGAAAAAATGCCTTTCTCTAGGAGGTTTTCATCCAGCATGGGAACACAAAACACCAGTTTAAAATAGCTAGGTAAGGCTTCACAGTCTCTCAATGTGATGTGGGTGTCCTGAGTCGTGAACATCCCATTGTGCAGGATAAAATGCTGGTTTCTGAGCTGTCTTTCAAGACACAACCCAAATGCTGTCTTTGCCATGGTGCCTTCCTTGGGAACCCAAGCCAGGTGAGGTCTGCCTTTTCTCTGATGTTGCCTAACTTTTCCTCTTTGTGTCCCTTGAGCTCAGGGACATGCATCCCCTGTTGTACCTAGCACAGAATCATGCACAAGCAGGTGCTTGTTAACTGTTGGTGTGTACCAACAAACATTTACGGAGCACCTATTAGCAGGAGCACAGGCCAAGGAGCTGGATAGATGAGCGTGGAGTTTGGGGGAGAGGTCTGAGCTGAGATATACATTTGTGAGTCATCATTGTATGGATGAGGCCGGGCTGGGGAGGATATGAGCGTAGAATGAGAAGGTCCAGACCTGCACCTGAAGAACAGCCCCATTTAGGGAATGCAGGGAGAGACAGAGGAAAAGCAAGATGGTGCACAGTGACATTGAAGGTGAGTGACGAGACCCTGCAGCAAGAGGAAAGGAGCAGCAGTGCTAGATGTTGCAGAGAACCCAGAATGGTAAGGCCTGAAAACCATGTGTTTTAGATTCTGTAACCTGGAGGCCACTAGGTGACCTTAGCAAGGGCAGTCATGATGGAGTGTTGGGGCTGAAGCCCATTGCAGGGAGGCCCATAGTCAATGGGAGGTGGGCAGTAGACACAGAGAGCTGGGTTATTCTTGCCACACAGCTGTGCTGGGGCCATGGCGGGGGTGGGGGTGCCACAGAGTGGGAGCCAGAGAGGGACCTGGGTAAGGGCTGACCGTGGGTGGGGAGCGCATGGAGTGCTTTCAGAGGCCAAGTGAGTGGAACTGTCTATGAAGCAGATGGATGGAACCCTGGCTGAATTATCTCAGACTTGCCAAAGACATTCATAAAATTCAGACCCGCACACACTCGGGAATGGGAAAAATGAATTATTTTGTAAGAAGCTTATAGTCCAAAGGTAGAATTGCCCAAGAGAGCTTCTGAAAGGAAAAAGTCATAGCAAGTTGATATTTTTAAAGTGAAATAACATAGGTTGGATTTTTCTAGTAACTTCAAGGGGTAAAGACTTTGAATTTTTTTTTTGGAGACAGAGTCTCGCTTTGTCACCCAAGCTGGAGTGCAGTGGTGCGATCACAGCTCACTGCAGCCTTGACCTCCCAGGCTCAAGCAATCCTCCTGCCTCAGCCCCTCAGGTAGCTGGGATTATAGGCACACGCTACCACGCCTGGCTATTTTTTGTATATTTTGTGGAGGTGGGGTTTCACCGTGTTGCCCAGGCTGGTCTCAAACTCCTGAGCTCAAGCGATCTGCCCACCTTGGCCTCCCAAAGTGCTGGGATTAAAGGCGTGAGCCACTGTCCCTGGCCAAGACTCTGGGTTTAGTAAGCCTCTTGCAACTCACTAGGAGTGGATTTCTAGGACCTCCCCACTTTCTTGCTTGTTGTTTCTTTTGCTAGCCGTAAGTCCCTGGAGTACACTGGGTACTTTATGGGAAAAAGAGGAACAGTGTGGGACAGACTTTGCCCTGGGCTGCTTAACGTGATGTGGGGAACAGAGGTGATAAGAGCCTGTGGCAGCTCAGGCAGCCCTGCCATGACCTGGAGTTGGGGAGGGGTATCAAGGATAACAAGTCTTATACACATGCCATGCTGTTTCTTTGGATCAATAGATGGATAATTTTTAAAACCCCCTGTATGTATCAAACTCACTTTGGAGATGTAAGGCATGGCCTCTGTCCTGGTGACAGTATCTGAGTGGGAGGCCTGGTAAAATGTCTGTGTTTAGGATGATGAACGCCATAATCTAAGACTGCTAAGTGCTGTGGGGTGGTCTAGAAGGGCAGATGGGCTAGCTGCGAGGAGGGCAGAGGCACTGTGCAATGGTGTTGCCTGGGAACACTCCGTGGAGAGTGTGGGAATCTCACCCTGGCCCTACCAGGTAAGAAATTGGGCCTGGGAAATTGGGAAGGGAATTTTTCAAGCTTCATGGCTGCTCCAGGACTTGAACTAAGACTTTCCTTTAGAGCAAGCTTGTCCACCCTCTGGCCCGTGGGCCGCATGTAGCCCAGGAGAGCTTTGAATGCAGCCCAACACAAATTCATAAACTTTCTGAAAACATTGTAAGATTTTTTTTTTGCGATTATTTTTTAGCTCATCAGCTATCGTTAGTTAGCGTATTTTATGTGTGGCCCAAGATGACGACTCTTCCATCGTGGCCCAGGGAAGCCAAAACACCGGACACCCCTGCTTAGAGAAAGTGCGTTTTCTGTTATAAAAGGACCTTGAATCCCCATCTCATATGTTGGGACTTTGTCTTGCATGTTTTCAGGCAGGGCATGATTGTATCTGTAACATAATAATATGTAAGAATGTGTACTTCTTAGCCTTTGCAGAGAGGCGGGAGGCCTGTTTCCTGCAGCCCCCGCCCTGTCCTGGCTGAGGGGTGGGAGGCAGCTTGCTGGCCAGCCCCGCTGAGTCACCCTCCGGCGTGGAGCCCAGTGGGGATTTCCACGCGGCCCCAGTGTTCTCTTCTCCTCGTTTCCTGTTGGGCTGTGACGCAGGCTGGCTGCCAGCGGGTGCCGGTGGGCACTCCTGACACAGGCCACTGCCAGCCGGCCTTGTGGGTCCTGAGGGCATCGTGGGTGGCTCTCCCCCCACGAGTGACTGTGCCTGGCAGGGTGTGCCCCACATGTCAGTTGCACTCCGTTCTGGGTGGGCAGCTCCCAGAGGCCCCGGGGAGGGCTGCAGATGGGCGGGGGGTGGCTGCCTGGGAGGACGGGAGGTTTTGTTGAAGAGAGAGCTTGCTCTTGGGGCAGTTTGTACTGGGCGTTTAGGGTTATAAAAACCTAGATTTGCTGAAAACGGCTCTCTTTTATCTTCTGACAAGAACATTTGTGAAGAAAACAAAACAGACCTTCAGCCATTTAGTCTATACACCGAGAGAATGGTTTCTACAGTATGCCTGATTTCTCTGGGTCTTTCTAACACATCCATGTATGTGCTTGTCAGCTTCTAGTGCCTCCATTTCTTGATATGAGGAAATTTTGCTTAAAAAAAAATCTCTACTGATAGGACCTCTGCATATTCATGCATGTTTTTCCTCCAGAACTTTGTGTCCCACCACTGTGCTAGGCAGTTTACAAATGCCATCTGATTTCATTCCTGCCACTACAGTCTAAGGCTATATTGTCCGATACCTATCCACCACCCTCATGTGGCTATTTAAATGTTGGGTCATTAAAATTAAATACAATTACAAATGCTGTCCCTCAGTCACACCAGCCGCATTTCAAGTGCACGGGTAGGCTAGTGGCCATCAGATCAGCTCATATAGAGCAGCACGTTTTCATCACCACCAAAAATTCTATTGGGTAGCACTGGTCTAAGGTCCGGACATATGTCCCCATTTTGTAGATGAGGAAGCTGAGTCCTACAGAGGTTAAGTTGACCACTTAGAAGAATGAACAGATGAAACCTTTTCATTTTACACATGAGGAAACTGAAGGTTATACTCCCCTTTCCTTCTTAGAAAAGAGAAATTGATCTGTAGGCTTCAGGGACTCTTCAGTTAGCCTGGGGGTACTGTGCGGGTCAGCTCTTTTGCTGTTCCCCCCAGACCCTGTCAGCTGTGGGTGGTGGCTGGTTTCTCTTGGTTTCCTCACCAGAGTTTGGGAATGAGCAAGTCAGGACTGCTTTCCGTACGGTAATCCTTTGGCCCATTTCCTATCGGGGGATTTATGGAGCTGGTGATCTCTTGGGTTTTTTGGCCATTTGTTAGAGCCAAAAGAGGTCACAGGAAATGATATACTAGTTTCATTGCCCAAAATACTGAGGTCCAGAGAGGTGAGGGGATGCTGAGGGTCTTGCATCTAGCTAAGAGCTGAGCTGGCTCTTAAACTTGTTTTCAAGCCAGGACTTACCTGACTTTCTTAGGAAAGTAATCACTCCATAGACAAGGATAGGTTTTTTTCACAGAGCAATGATGTTCCCTGTGGTCCCTATGTAGGGTGGTAAGGAATAGGGCTTTGGGATCCTACAGACCAGGGTTCAAATCCTGGCCCCACCACTTGTAAGTTATGGGACTTCAGACAAGGACTTAAACATTCTAAGTCCTCAGTTTCTTCATCTGTAAAACAGGGATAAAATATCTCAGTGAATTTGTTTTAAATACTTGCGTCCGGGCATGGTGGCTCATGCCTGTAATCCCAGTACTTTGGGAGGCTGAGGTGGGAGGATCGCTTGAGGCCAGAAGTTTGAGACCAGACTGGCCAGCATAACAAGAACATAACAAGATCTCATCTCTACAAAAAATTAAAAATATTAGCTGGGCATGGTGGTGTGAGCCTGTGGTCTCAGCTACTCGGGAGGCTGCAGTGTAAGGTTGCTTGAGCCAGGAGTTAAAGTCTGCAGTGAACTCGCCACTGTACTCTAGCCTGGGCAACAGAGTGAGACCCTGTCTCAAAAAAAAAAAAAAAAAAAAAAATCAGCCAGGCGCAGTGGCTCACACCTGTAATCCCAGCACTTTGGGAGGCCGAGGCGGGTGGATCACCTGAGGTCAGGAGTTTGAGACCAGCCTAGCTAAAACATGGTGAAATTCCGTTTCTACTGAAAATACAAAAAATTAGTCAGGTGTGGTGGCACACGCCCGTAATCCCAGCTACTCGGGAGGCTAAGGCAGGAGAATCGCTTGAACCCAGGAGGAGGAGTTTGCAGTGAGCCAAGATTGTGCCATCGCACTCCAGCTTGGGCAACAAGAGCAAAACTCCGTCTCAAAAAAAAGGAAAAAAGAATTCTAACATGTTTGAGATTGACTGCAATTCCTAGCATATTACAAGTGTTAGTAAATAGTAGCCATTAATATTATGAGCTTATCATCACCTTCAGCCAGCATTCTAATTTTACAGTATAGAATCCAGTACATAGGAGGCACTCAGATAGACGGGATGCCCCAAAATTGGGAGACGGACAAACTTATTTTGAAATAGTCTTTTTTTGACATTTCCAAAGAATATACTCAATGTTTTTCTGCAACCCTTTGCCTTCTTTTTAGGTGAAGGACCTCTACATTTAAAGCAGTGGGTTCAACTGCTAACCTGAAAAGCTATAATAAAACATCCCAGAGTATCCAAAAAGCCTGGAAACAAAGGGAAAATAGTGTGTCCTGCTTTCCAACTTTCGGATATGCTGTAGAATAGACTGAAACAAATCACTGGAAAATAGGTTGTTGTCGATTTTATTTAGAAGCTTTTGTTCCTTTGGATTTTCGTCTCTTATTTTTAGACAGAGTCTCCCTCTGTCACCCAGGCTGGAGTGCCGTGGTGCAATGATAGCTTACTGCAGCCTCAAACTCCTGGGCTCAAATGATCCTCTAGCCTTGACCTCCTGATTAGCTGGGACTACAGAAGCAGGCCACCACGTCTGGCTAATTTTTGTATTTTTCTGTTGAGAAGAGGTCTTGCTATCATGGGCAGGCTGGTCTTGAACTCCTGGCCTCAAGTGATCCTCCCGCCTCAGCTTCCTGAAGTGGTAAGATTACAGGCATATGCCACCACACCCAGCTTTTTTGTTCCTTTGAAAGAAGGCATTGCTAATGATTGCCCTGAGGTGTCTAGATGACCCGGCCAGCCATCCACCTCTGCAGTTTACACAGCTTGTTGATCTCCACAGTGAGAATTAACTTCACAACCTGGGTCCAAGAGGCTGGAGGATTGTCAGTCTTTAGAAAAAAAAAAATCTATTATCTTTAGAGAAGATGGACTTGTTGAGGAAGAAGAGTAGACAAATACTTTCTGGAAATATTTTCAAAGGGAATTAGAAAAAGAAAAAGATTTTGGTTGTCCTTTGGTGAATGAGAATATTCATCAGCAGAATGCCTCATTACCACGTCACACAGCTGACCAAGGCCTCATCTGAGACTGTGTTTGAATAGAAATTAAACAGGGCTGACAGTGAAGTTTCTGCTTTTAATTAGCTTTCAAAGGTACACCTCTACCTGTGATGTTGAAACATCTTGAAAAACCTCTCTGCTCTGTGCCTGAATGAGGGGCATCTAGAGGGCTTGGAAGAGAAGATGTGGCACAGGGCAGCCGGGGAGAGGCTGGTGGCCAGAAGATGGACCTGAGCTTGGTGAATTTACCTGGCATCTGAGCCTGGCCTGAACAATTCAGAAACCTCATTTCATCAGTCTTGGAGTCAGGGCTCCTGTCTCTTAGCAAAAAGCTAAAGCATACATCAAGCATATTTATTGACAAGCGTAACCACTGTGAGGTTATAACCAGGGTGCTCTGTCTGCTTATGGGCACCCCACCCGACCAGCCAAATGGTCAGAGAGCTGGGTGGGTCGGGGAAAGGGAGGGAGGGAGTCATGGGAAGCAGTTGTGTTGAATGGCTACAGGCCCTGGTGGCTGGGTGCATCCCCGTATGCCATCCAGGCCCACCCACTGCTGGGCCGGACCTTCCCCTCTGGACAGTTCTTGCTTGGGCACTGACTGGGTTTGCTGCTGAACCTCCTGGCCTGGCAGCTCTGGTTGCTGATCCACCCGCTTCTTTCTTTATAGAGATTAAGAGCGGCTCCAGTGTGTGTACGGAGAGCCTCTTTGAAGCGCTGTTGCCTTTCTGTGGCTAGATCCACGATCTTCTCTCTGGGATCACCCCATAGGACATTTGCTTTCCACCTTCTCCAGTCCCAGTGAATGCATGGACCTCTGTCCTCATTGTTACTGGCTGAGCCAGATGTCAGTCCTGTGACCTGGCCTCAGGACCACTCTTGTAGCCCACCGTGGGTGGATGAAGCCGGTGGGAACAGAATGATAGGAGTTAACCACTTTTTAGGCGTTATTGGGCCTTTTCACTTTAATAGCTTAACAGAGACATCTGTGATGGCTTGCATCCAGAGTGCGTGGTGTTTATTTTTGATTTGAAATATGAAAAGCATTTTTTTAAGACAACTGACTCCTCTGAGTCATGCCCAGGGGAGCAAACGGCCTGAAATATGAGCTTGTGCTTGCTGGAGGAGGATGACAGAGGAGCCTGCTGCTGAGTTCACTGGTGCTGGGGTTAGGTCACTGCTGGGCTGAAGCGCACTGACCATAAGAGCAACATGTGGGCAAGAGCCGCGGCACTGGGGTAATTTATTGCCGCCGCTCGCTTCACCAGGAACCCCACACGCTGGGTTCCCACAGGATGCGACATTCCCACAGGATGGGACAACTGCATGGAAACCCACACTCGGGCCTGTGTTGAGCAACCACGTTTGAGTAAGAGTTATCTTATTTGGCAGGGTGGGTTAGGTGTGGGGTATTTGTCACTGAGAAGCAGAAACTGTATGCTCGACACACACTCCCTGAGTCCTTAGGGAATTGCGTAGTTTTTTTCTTTTCTTTTCTGGGTTCATCTTACCAGCAGTCGTGTTTGAGAATGTGCACAGCTCACCTTCGTTCAGCCCTTTACAGTTTACCTCCATAGCCTTCTTTGCGTCTTGGCACCATCTTGCGAGGTGTCAGGCCAGGTGTTAGGATGCTCTGTTTACAGATGAGGAGATTGAGGCATGAGTTGTGATTGCTCACAATTGCCTCCTGAGTGGTGGGGCCATGCTGGGGCACTGTGCCCAGACTCTAGACTTCCAGGGGTCCGGGACCTCCTGCTGCCAGTCTCCTAGCCCGTTACCACAGCTGTCTGTTTCTTGGCCTCTCCCTAGATTTCTAATGGAACTCTTGGGGTACAGTCTGGAAATAGGTATTTTAAACATGCTTTGCAGTGATTGTTACAGATCTTCATGTTCAGGTGGCCCAGGGGCTGACCCTGCTCCAACTTCCCCCTCAGACATTAAACCTGTACCACCCACTGAGATGGTTTTGATTTTCTATTCTGCGTTTAAGGCCCATCTTCACCCCATAAATGCCAGCTCCCCAAGGACAGAGCCCTTTCCTGTCTTGTCCACACCATGTTCCAGGGCCCTGGACGGTGGTTGGCACACAGTAGGCCCTTGGTAAATGTTTGTCGGATGAGTATGTCTCTTCCTCAGCTCTGTGGTTAGCTGGGAGAGCTCCGACAGTAGAGTCTGGCAGGTCTGGTTCAAGCATCCCTTTGGTGTAACATGGTGTGAATGGTGGGGCCTCACTGAATTGTGGAGTGGGGGGCAGTGTGTCTCCCTACGACCTCCTGGTGAGGAGAAGATAGTCACCACCCACACAGGCACACTCTTGAATATTCCAGGACGAGGTGGGCACTCATTAGAGGGCAGCTCTTACGGCCACTGCCTGGTATGTTTTGGCGTGAGCAGTAGGGTCATCGTGGTGGTCAGTTTTTCCACTGCCATCAAATGGGATCCATTTAGCTCTCAGACAGACAAGGTATAGGGCTGGACTCTGTGCCGTGGGCTAAATACCGGCCACCTCGAGCCTCAAATCAAGCCCAGACACCGGCATAAACCCAGGTGGCCCAAGCCGAGGTCGCTCCCCAGGGCCAGGCTCATGAATGGATAAGTAAATATTTACCCTGTCTGAGGTCGAATGTGAACTGTCTACCAGGTGTTTTGTTTTTCTGTCTCCTCCCTCTGTTTCTGCAGTGCCTCCCCCTGTAAAAAAGGAAACCAAGAGGCTGACAGGTTAAGTGACAGGCTTGACACAGCTAGCCATCAGAACGTCCTCCAGTCCCATCTGAGTCCTGTTCCTCCTCAGGCACCTCCTCCAGGAAGCATTCCCAGATGACTGGCCCATCCTGCCCTTTCCCTCCTCTGAGCCGCACCCTGCAGACGGCCCTCTACCTGTGAATCCATACAGGATGTAGGCAAAGGGGAAGAGGTTTGCTCATCCTCTCTCCTTCACCCTTGTGCATATTAATACTCACCTGGCAATTAGTCATATGCAACTCTTATATTGACCTTACATGTTCCGTGTCTTCTGTGCCCGTCTCTGGAGTTCCTGAAGATGAAGGGCTGTGTCTGCTGCACCTTCAGACTTTTTGAAATTGATTGGTTGGTTTGTACATCCATTTATTCACCCCACCCCTCATCCTACTGTACACGCTTATGGTCAGTCTATTCTGTGTCGGGCTCAGGGCCTTTCTCCCCAAAGTGCGTTCATGTCCAAGGCTAGAGTGGATGGCTAGAGGCCAGAGGACAGCTTAGGCTGAAAGTGGTAGGGAGACTATCAATGAAGCTGGGGGGAGCTGAGCTTCTGAAACTTGGGAATAAATTTTCAGCCTTGCTAATGTGTTCCTCTGAAAAAATATCTTATCAGGCCCTCAGATATCCACCAGTTCTCCCTTTCCAACTTGCAGCCTGCACCCTTGGCCAGGAAGTTCATAGGCAACAAAATAGAATCCACCTTCCCTATCACTCACCCCTTTTAAAATGTGACTAACTCTGAGCTAACCAAGCCTTGGCCAGACGTGGATATGGTTATGCACGGACTCCGTTTTGTGGTTTGTCATTTCTGACTTGCTGGGAAATCCTTTGTTGGGGGTGGGGATGGGAAGTAGAGCATCTCTGGGGCTGGAGTTTTTCTAAGATGTGTAAGATTTAGAGGCTGTCATACTGCAAACAGGGAGAGCGGGCTGTCTGCTTGGCTTCATGGTCAGTGGAGAACAGCCTGGACTTGGAGTAAGAACAGCTAGGTTCAGATCCCTGCTTTTACTCCTGACCACTTAGTAACCTTGGCCGAGTCCCTCAACCTTTTTGCCTCAGCTTCCTTATCTGTAAAACATGGGGTTCTTGAAGGATTAAAAGAGCTGGTGTGTGTAAAACCCAGGAACATAGTTCCTGGTGTATAGTGACTTATAATTTCGAAAACCTTAAGATTTTATTCATAAGATTTTTTTTTTCAAGGCCAACTTAAGATTTCTAAGAGTTTGTTTTTCAAAGAGCTGGGGTCTTGCTTTGTCGCCCAGGCTGGAGTGCAGTGGTATGATCATAGCTCACTGCAGCCTCAAACCTCTGGGCTCAAGAGATCGTCCCACCTCAGACTCCTAAGTAGCTGGGACTGCAGGTGCACGCCACCACACCCAGCTAGTTTTTAAATATATTTTTTAGTAGAGTGAACCTCGCCATTTTGCCAAGCCTGGTCTGGAACTCCTGGCCTCAAGCGATCCTCCCACCTCTGCCTCCAAAAGTGCCAGGATTACAGGCCTGAGCCACCACGCTCAGCCTTCTAAAAGTATTTTGGTGTGCACCATTAGCACTGTGTCTTAAAGGCGATGTGCACCTTGAGCACAGAGTGTTGAGTGCGTGGTGGATGGATGTCATTTGCGTTTTACAGATGCGGCAACAGAAACTCAGGCCCAGCCACTTACCCGAGGCCACATAGTCCCAGGTAGAGTTGGAATTTGGAATAAAGCCTGCTGACTCCAATCCTAGATGCCTTCCACACTCCTGTCCCCCTACCTCTACACCAGGCGTCCCCAACCCCTGGGACCCCTGGGAAGTGATGTGCACTTAGCACCTCACTATGGGAAACATAAAGCAGGAACTAACAGGACTCCTCTCTCAAGAAGGAATTTCAGTCTACTTGGGGAAAGAATAATAGCCAAGCAGTAACTCAGGTTTGTTTAGCCTTCTAGAGCAGTGTTGCCGGATATCACTGTAGTGTGAGCTACAGTGTATGGTAGCCCCCACTTGTTCTTGGTTTTGCCTTATGAGGTTTCAGTCAGCTACAGTCTGGAAATAGGTGAATATAGTACAGTCAGATGTGTTGAGAGAAAGAGACCACATTTATATAACTTTTATGATAGTATATTGTTATAATTGTTAATTTCATTATTAGTTATTGTTGTTAATCTCTTACTGTGCCTAATTTATAAATTAAACTTTGTCTTGGGTGTACATGCACAGGAAAAAACACAGTGTCTATAGAGTTTGGTACTGTCTCTGGTTTCAGGCATCCACTGGTGGTCTTGGAACGTATTCCCCTCGGATAATTGCAATTACTTCTAAAATCTAAAATCTTCTGGCCATGTTAAAATGTAAAGAGAGGGTGAAATTAATTTTAAATACTATATCTTGTTTAATACAGTGTATCCCAAACCATCATCACTTTAGCATATACTCAAATATAAAGATTGTTAACGAGCTATATTACATTCTTCTTTATCATACTGAGTCTGAAGTTGATGTGTCCTTTATACTTGTGGCACATCTCAGTTTGCACTGTCCACATTTCAAGTGCTGCCATGTGGCTGGTGGCCACCATATTGGACACCACAGCTACAGGATTTCTTCGTTAGGTCAGTTGATGTCACCTGCATTTTGGAGTGGAGTCATTGAGCTCACTGGCTGAGTTACACAGCTAGTGAGGAGCCGGGTGGGACCAGAGCTTGGTCTTCTTCCCATTAAGGAAGAAGGGAAACTTGCATTTGCTGAATGTCTACTATGTCCCAAGTGCTGTGCTAGATACTCTACCTTTGTCATTCCATTTAGTTCTCACAGCAGCCTTGCATGGTGGATGAATATCATGTGCATTTTACAGATGAGGCAACAGAAACTCAGAGAGGCCCAGCAACTTACCCAAGGCCACGTAGTCCCAGGTAGAGTTAGAATTTGGAATAGGGCCTGCTGACTCCGGTACTAGGTGCCTTCCACTCACCTGACCTCCTTCTCTTACACCAGGGGTCCCCAACCCCGGGGCCGTGGACTGATACCCGTGTGCGGCCTGTTAGGAACCGGGTCTCGTAGTAGTAGGTGAGTGGTGGGCAAGTGAGCATTACGGCCAGAGCTCCGCCTCCTGTCAGATAAGCGGCTGCATTAGATTCTCATAGGAGCGTGAACCCTATTGTGAACTGCATATTGGAGGGATCTAGGTTGCACACTCCATATCAGAATCTAATGCCTGATGATCTGAGGTGGAACAGTTTCGTCCTGAAACATCCCCCCCAACCCTCATCTCTGGTGCCAAAAAGATTGGGGACCACTGCCCTACACAGAGAAAGAGAATTTGCACGTAGCAACTTAGGCAAAGTATTCAAGGAAAGTGCCAGGGGACAGGAAGGACACCATGGGCTGGTGGCCTGTTCAGTAACAGCTTCAGGGTATCAGTTCAGAAGGCCTAGGCCTGCTTTGGTTGGGGTGGTGTATGTGTAAAAGCAGCATTCTGTCTAATCACAGGTTCTGCCTGAAAGGCAGACACTTTTAACCCTTCGGTGGACAGGGTTGGTGATAGCTAGTGGGGGGTATGAGGTGGGGGTGAGGAGGTGGTGGTGGGCAGCAATTGCAGAGGCCAGAGATCTTGGCTGTGTTCTACCTGCCACGCTGGGAATGCTAAGTACTTCTCAAGCCTTCAAGCAACTGAGACTTTCTGCTCGGGGAATCCCCAAGGATTTGGGGAGGCTGGAATTGAGCAAGCTCTTGAATGCATGCATGGATTCATGCAGTCACTCACTCCACAAATATTCACGTGCTTTGGGCCAGAATGATTTCGGCAGGAATATCTTGTCCTACATGCTATTGCCATGTTCTCTGAGGACCCGCGGCTTCGCATGTGTAAATCTCCCTCCAGAGTACTCGGCAGATTCCCGAAGCTGACTGAGGCTCAGGGAGTGTCAGTCCCTTGCCACAGGTCACATAGTACTGAATGGAAGATATGGGACCTCAGAACCAAGAGGCTTTGACTCATTTGTCCCTCTTTCTGTCTGTTTTGCCATCAGCCAGGAGATAGTCGTTGAGTTGTTTCTATTTGCCAGGCATCGAGCTGTGTTCTCGGGTTTCATTGTTGTTGTTTTCATTTTGAGTGTGTTTGTTTTGTTTTACTTTTAGGAGCAATCACAGTGCTCCTGTTGCTGAATGGTGGCTGATGTCTGTTGCATGCCAAGCACTGCGCAGGGTGCTGGTCACAGTTTGCTCCAGGGATTCCTCCCAGTCCCGCTGTAAAGAGGAGGAAACTGATGCTCAGAGACTTGGACCTTTCTGAACATCATGAAGCTAGGGATTTCAGTCCCAGCCTCTCTCTCGAGAGCCCTAACTTAGCCACTATACCTCACTGCCTCTCTGTGACCAGGGTTGAGTCCTGGTCCTCAAATGAAGCCCGATTTGCCAGAACCTTCTTTTGAGGCCTTACCTGGTCTTCAGTTTTACCACGTGTTAATTGGGGGCAGGGCAGCCAGTCCATCCTCTTCTGCAGAAATCACCCTGTCCAGGAGATGGGTGCTTCTTCAGGACACTACCTGGCTAAGAACACTGCATTAACAGGAGATAGAGATCCAGTGTGTGTGAACCTTGTGAAAACATCTCTGTCTGTTCCTCCAATCTCCCCCTTCTGTCTTATCATGCAGGGCAAGCTCAGGTTGTTGTCCTGTCTCTGTTGGGAGGACCCTTGAGTGGTATCTCCTATGCCCAAGCAGACCTGCAGAGAACCCTGTCCAAACTGATGGTCATCTGAGACATGGAACTTCATGATAGGAAGGTGTCTTGGAGGATAACTAGCAAGTCTTTCACTTTATAGAGGGGGAAACTGAGTCCTCAGCGATCAGCCACATAGATTCTGTGTTGTAGAGACCTGAGGATGTGTCTCATCTCCTTATCTGAACAGCAAGTTCCCATGCTGCGAACGTCTCACCCTGACCCTCACCGTATTTTTTAGGAAGTGAATGGGGCTTTGAGAAGGACAACCTCACTGTTTTGCCCATTTCTGAGATGGAAAATCAAGGAACATTGCCCCATCTCCACCCCGGGAATCTATATGCCCCTCCCATAGGCAAGATGGAAGCTAGACCAGAATGTGCAGCTTGTGCTTCTTGCGGGAATGGTGAGGACAGATGAGGGCAGGGAGACAGCATTCCTAAACCCAGCCTTTTGACCCAAGAGGCAGGGACTCCAAGGCTGTAGAATGGGAGGAATTGTGGGAGGAAAAGCACTGGGCAGAAGGTCTCAGTCAAATGCACCTGCAGTTATTAGCTATGTGACTTGGGCATAATGCCACCTGTGAGCCCCCATTTTCCTCACTAGGACAGTGAACTCACCAATAGGTTTGAGTTGTTGCCCTCCCAGAACTGTTGCATGAATTGAATGAGGTGCCTTGCTTAACTGTACTGAATACTGGGGAAGCCTGCTTAAATGGATGACAGGCTTTTTATCATTAGCAAGCTGCCGCACTCCCCACTCATCACTCCAAGGCAGACCATTGCATTTTCTTTCATTCTGATAAACTCCTTGAGTTGAACAGAAATCAGACTCCCCGTAACTTCTGCTCCACAGTTTAAAACAGCCCACCATGAAGCCTTATGTCCTTCAGGACATTCTGCCCTGTTCACTTGGATTTCTCTCCTCCCTGCAAAGCATCATCAGCTTCCTCCTCTGACCCATGTTTTGCACTTCCTTGCTTGTCACTCCTCTTTAAACACTTGTCCAAACTGTTTGTGGCCCGTCCTGTATTACGCCCAGGGCAGATGCAGTAGCCCAGCCCAAGCAGCAGAGACCATGGCCTCCCTGATGTGGGGTCTGTGCCTCTTCTCCAGGCAAGTGGCTGTGACAGTCTAACTTTATGGAAGGGTGAACTCAATGACATTGGCTGAACTGCTGGTGAACACGGGAAAAGCCCTTCTGGACCTCTTATCTCTCTCTCCTGGCCAGAGGAAAACCATGTCCCATTTGTCCTGTTTGAGCACTATCAGGCCTATAGCCATAATCTTTTACACCGTAACATAACTTTGCCAATGCCAATATTATATGCCCTTTTTTTTTTTCTAGAAAAACTTAATTGGGATTTTAAATGCATTTGGGGGATGGGCTGCGTTTCTGTTTGCCTCTAAAAACAATGAGAAGGCAAACAAAGTATGATCCTATCGCCAGAAAAATGGAGCCAAATCTGAAATTAATTTACAAAGTCATTAGTATTTTCCATTTGTGACCCCCAAAATGAATGTAGGTGTAGTTCCTTGCAATTAACTGCAAATTAGGAAAGGGTTGGGAGGATGTTTCAGGGACCAACACACAGAACTGTAGCAGAAGCAGATGGGGGAATGGAACCAAGAATTGCCTTGGTTTTCACTCAAGGCCGTGGTTTGGGAGAGTAGTGCCGACTCAAATATTCCCCAGAAGAGAGCACTTTTTCAACAGTCTGAAAAGTGGCAGGGACCTTTGGAATGATCTGTTTTAACCTTTTCATTTTCTGAATGAGGCAACTGAGAGATTCAGGAAGGGTAAGCGACTTGCCTAAAGTCACATAGCCAGGAAGGTCAGAACCAGGACCAGAGCTCTGCTTCTGACTCCCTGGCCAGTGCTCCAGCTGCCACTGCCCCCCTCTCTCCTGGGTGCTTGTCTGCTTGTGCCTTTAATGTTCAGCACTTGAGATATTTTCACGTTTAGCACCTTCACGTTTAGCAGTACTCCTCATTAGAGGAAAATGGGATGATGTGGGCAGAGTCACCCACAGAGTCACTCCAGGTTTCAGATGTGCTGGTGCTTACCGAGTGCCACAGGGAGAAAGTGGTGGTTTCTCCCTTCCCTTAAGAAACCTGGTTATTTCCAAGGCTCAACCCCTGCAACGCCCCACCAAGCCAGTCACCCACCACTGCACATTGAGAATCTGCTGCTCTGTGAATGAAATTGGCCTGGGGTTAATGAGTGGTGAATGTGTGTCAGTGTTTGGTATTTGCAGCAGGAGCTCTTCTGCGATTCCCTAAGCTCAGATGAACGGGGCCTTTAAGATGCCATCCAGCCATCGGAGAGATGCAGGAAAGGCCTTTTGAAATGCTGTTTCCCCTGACCTATTTGAGGTGAGGCCCTGTGATGTCATTTCCCCAGTGGTGTGTGTGAGAGAGCAAGCAGCACTAAGAAAAGCCACTGCTGAGAGTTCACAGTCCTTGCTTCAGTGTTGTCTTACGCTCGGGGTGCCTTAAAGGGCTTACAGCGACCCTACCTCCAGCTTCTCCAGCTCCCTTTCCTTGGCAAACACTTGACCCATCCCAGCCCCTTGGGCTTTCTTTCCTCCTCCTCTGCTACCACATACTGTGGGTGTTGGGAAATTACTAAAGGCGCGACTCTGGCTCTCAAAGACTCTGAAGTCCAGGATCGAGAAGAACTGTGTTTACACGGAGTTGTCAAGGATCATTCTGCCAATGATAACCTATTATCGTGCAACTCTGTGCCAGGTCCTGCTCTGGGAGCTTTATGTGTGCTGTTGCCCCTCACACTCACGGCAGAGGTGAGACAGAATGCTGAGAGATTTCTGCAGACAAGGAATCTGAGGTTTAAAGAGGCAATGTTTGATGAGCCACTGAGGGGTGGGGCTGGGATTGGAACCGAAGCTGGCTGCCCTTCAGCCCCCAGGGTCCTGCTGGGGAGATGTACCCAGGGGGTCCTGTGCTGGGAGAGTGGAAGCAGGGGTGTCACTGGGGGCTTTGTCCTGGGAGCTGGGCAGGTGCTAGGGACAGAGCTGGCCTGGTTTTGGAGCCACAGGAGAGAAGATGGCCGGGAAGAGCTGTGTTTGGAAGGTTCCTTTCTGTGCCAGGGGTCAGCAATCTGGGTTCTAGCACTGAGAGGGGCAAAACGTGGGTTTGTAGGGGAGAGAGGGTGACCCCCAGTGAGGGTAAGAAAGATAAGCTCCAGTGAGCTCTTCTCACCCTGGGTCCCAGCCTGTACCAAAAATCCAGGGGCAGCCCCCGGGCCCAGCCTGCCCCCTTCACAGTCCCCTGACTGCTTGAGGCTGTGGGCCAGTGGCTTTGCCCCTTGGAAGCTTGGTTTCCTCATCTGGGACAGAAAGGGGTCAAAACACCCTTTTTCATTGTTAAGATTAGATAATTTGAGAGCCAAAACTTCTTGCAGGGTGCCTGGTACCAAGTAGGCCCTCTCTAAATAAATAAATGATAGTTTTCATTTTCCCTTCCACTTAATTGTTTTTTTTTAAAAAAAACTTTTCTTCCCTGTAATAACAAATTTCAGAAGACAAGTTAATACATTGCTGTGTATACTCTCAGGCCAAGAATTTCCTCAGTGTTTACATACCAGAGCAGTACTTTGAACTTTGATTTTCTCCTCTGCCTCTGTGCTGGTTCAGACACCCTCTCTAAGATGCCAGAAGCATTGCCCTGCCTTGGCCTGTTGGTGGTGGGGTATGTGTGTGTGTTTTCATCGTATTATAAAAACGTGAAACATTTGAATTACGGGCAAGTGGTATTCTACCAGATTTAATAAACGTTAATATTTTCCATATTCACATCAGGTATTTGTAACATCTCTTTCTTTACTAAAAATAAAAACCTTCTGCTGAAGACCTCCTGTTACTCCAACCCCTTCCCCCTTCTTCTCGCTCCCGTTTCACAGGTGTTTACTCTCTTTTAAATTGGTGTGTGTCCTTCCCAGCTAGAATTTTGTAGTGTATTATTTGTAAAGCCAAATAACCCCACTGCAATGTGTTTGAACCACCAAAGCAAATGATCACCTTTTGGGAAAAGAAGGCTGAATATCCAAGGCCAGATCAGTGATTCAAGATCACAGAACAAACCTAACTGCTCTCAAATTGAAATCTCAAAATTATAAATTCATTGCCTTTGACTTAAAACTTGGAACTTTCAACCCTGCATAATTGCAGATACATTAAAGATTGTGCCATCTTGAGCTCCCAGGGTCATCTGAACCTTTCATGTGAGGAAACACATCCCAGAGTCAGTCATTCTTTTTTTTTTTTTTTTCTTTTCGAGTTGGAGTCTTGCTCTGTCACCCAGGCTGGAGTGCAGTGGTGCAATCTCGGCTCACTGCAACCTCCGCCTTCCGGATTCAAGCAATTCTGCTTCAGCCTCCTGAGTAGCTGGTATTACAGGCGTGCACCACCACACCTGGCTAATTTTTGTATTTTTTAGTAGAGACAGGGTTTCGCCATGTTGGCCAGGCTGGTCTCGAACTCCTGACCTCAGGTGATCTGCCCACCTCAGCCTCCCAAAGTACTGGGATTATAGGCATGAGCCACTGCACCCGGCCCAGAGTCAGTTATTCTTAGAGCAGGTGTTTTGGCTTTTGTCTTTAATGCTTCCCTCCCCACTTTAACATAACTGTAATATATAATTATTGTGGAAAATTTAGAACACATGGAGAAGTAAAGAGTGAAATTGCTGACTGCCCTATTACCCCAACCTCCACCCTATAGAGATATTTTCTCCCCATCCCCCCAAGGGCAGAGGATGGAGATCCCTGGGCTTCTCCAGGTGGGGAGTGGTACCATGGTCTCTTCAGGTTTCGTAGCAGACAGGCCCCATTGACCATAGGATATGTGTCCCCAAGGTGGTTAGAGGCCATCACCTGCCTGAGGTCAGCTCAATGGGCAGGGCTGGGCATCTCCTGGTGGTCTACCCACCATGCCAGTTCATCAGGCTGGGGTCTGACCTCTTTCTGGTGTCTGGTGCTGATCTAGGCAAGGTGACAAGTGCTCAACAGAGGAGTCCTGGTTCCTTCAAGGAAGCTGGGAAGTGTAAGACGGAGCAGGCTGCGTTTGTGGTTTTTGCCAAGGCTTGACTTTTGACCACTTTTCTGAAAAAGGACAAGGGTGTTTTTTTGTTTTGTCATTTTTTTTCCCAGTAGATGTTCCTATTTGGTTCACAGATATAAACACTTGAACCAGGTGATATCAGCACTGCAAGTTGATTTAGTACCACAGCCATTTTCTGTGTACCAATATGAAGCTGTTCCTTCATAAGTTCTTCCTTTTCGCTTTTTTAAACTGAAATTATTTTCATTAGGATCACTACCTTCCCATGTGCATTTTACCACAAAATTTGGTTCTGATTCTGTTGGCTTGCTTGCTGTTAGTACTCATGTTAGCTTCTGCCATTCTTTCCACCATTGTCCTGGGTAAAATTTTGCATATCTGAGTTGTTGGATTCTTTCATCAGTTTTTGGTTAGTGACTTTCATGGTCTGCAGTTTTAGTTGCTTTCAGTTTTATTTTGTGTTGAAGTTTTTTCTATGAGGTTTGATTTTTTCAGGGTCAGTTTTTAAATGTAGCAAGGAGTGTGCTTTTTCAGTTTGCTTATTATTTTCAACAAATGTTTTTGGTGGGTAATTTTACCTTTGTTGATCACCAGCTTTGTTTGGGGTGCATCATTTCTCTCAAGCCGAATTTTCTCTGGTAATCTGGCCAGAAGGCCCATAGGGTCAGAATGGCAGGTCAAAATGTCTTGGTGCTTTCTTGAAGAGTTTGAAACAAGCTTGCAAAGTACTGTCCTCCCTTTGGATTTCTTCTGTCTGGGTGTTGCCAGGGCTCTTCTGTTAGCGACAGAGAAAATAGGAGGTACTAGAATTCGGACTTCTAGGAAGGGCTGTATTGTCCTTATCATCAGAATCCCTCCCTCCCGTCCCTGTGACCTCCCAACTTCACAAACATGTCTTGCCTGCACCCTAGGCAAACGTGGAAAGGCGCAGCTCTGGTACACCGGAAAGCATGGTGGATGGGGAGGTAGGAGCCCCGTGCCGGGACATGTCTTTTCTCTTTCTTGAACTCGTCTCCCCACCCGTCCACAGGGTTGCTGGCCAGAGATCTGTCAGAGTTTCTCCGGGCTTCTCTTTCTCTGGGTGGGGATGTGGACTCTTAGGATGTCAGGAAGCAACTGTAGGAAACCCCCTGTGTGGGTGAAGCAGAGGCGTCGCTCAGGGCCCTCTGCCTGGTTCTGGGCTCTGGGACCCTGCTCCCCTCCCCTGAACCCCCCCTCCCCCGGCCCCAGGATGGAGCTTGCTTGCCATCGCAGTGGATTTGCGGAAGAGGGTTCCAGAGTGTGGGGAGAGCGTGCTGGGGAGGGGAGCTATTTGTTCCTTTCCAGTCATCGCTGTACTGAGCGGTTCCCTGGGACAGTTGAACCCAGGGGAACTGAATTCATCTGTGTAAGTAAACATCCATCTCCCCTTAAAGGAAAAGCCCCTGCTCAGCCTCTCTGGGCAGCTGGAATGCTGCTCTGTGGGTCTGGGCATTTGTTCCTTCTTTCTTTCTTCCTTTGATTTCTTGCTGTCTCCTTCAATTAGGCCTGTGACTGTTTTCACATGGCTATTTGTATATACAAGCCATGCCAGGCATCATAATTTGTGTTTGTCTAGATCAATAAGAGCAGCTTTAACCAAAAAGTCCAGCTGAGAATTTATAAATACCCCTCACCTCCTCCCCTCCCTGGAAGATGTGAAAACACCATCCCATTAACCCTCCAAAGCAGTTGGTTGACTTGATCAGGGAAGATATGAAATATAATTTCTTTGAATGTGCTTTCTCTTTACTCTTTTAGTGGAATTTGATCAGTGTTTAAGGAACTGTAGCCGATTCCCAGCCCACTTCAAAGCAAAAGCCCTTCACTGTGCCTATTTGCAAAATTACCTTTGAGAGACTGAAGTGTCGGAAATGCATTTAGACACAGATTGTGCCTTATATTAGCTCTCCGTTGCCCCATAAAATGGGCTTGGGCATATCTGAGGCAGCTACCAAAGGAAACTTAAAAACAGATTCTGGCGGCAGCGATTCTTGTGTTCTGTGCTCACTGTGGAAAAGAAGGGGGCTAGAGGGATTTAAGTTTACGTGGATCTTGAGGATTTTAAGAACCAGATTTCTTCTCTTTGCTCACATTAGGGGAAAAAAAATAAACCTCAGATGCCCCGTGATATCTCGTTGCGTCAGGTTTTCCTATAAAATGTCAAGACGGCAATATTAGGTTTCCTGGCTTGCTTTTCCCCACTGTGTCTGCTCTTGCCAGAATTTTTATTAGGGGGAGGGGAGCATTCTCTACCCCTCCTCCCTCAATGAAATCATTTCTTCCCTAGCCTTTAACCCTTTAAAGTTTGGGAAGGGAATACTTTGATTTTAGGGTTAAATAGAAAACTTCCTTAATGACTGTGGCTGGAATTAAGGTGTACTTAAAGCTGTAGCAGCCCTGGTGGGTCCTGGGCTGACTGGGTGCTAGGGTTTGGTATGGAAAGCAGCTTGCATCACCTGCTTTTCTTCCCATGCCTGTGCCTTCCCCAAGCTCCCCCTCCTAAGCCAGGTACGATTCCAGCTATGTTAAAAGGCCCTGGGAAATGTTAACTGATCAAAAATGCTGGGTAAGTAGAATTATTATTTCACCCTGACCAACTTCAGTCAGATTAGCATATCTGCTGTCACCAGGTATGGCACAGGCATGGGTGGAAGCTGTGCTTGGAAAGTGAATGTGTTTAGGCCAGGTGTGGTGGTTCATGCCTGTAATCCCAGCACTTTGGGAGGCCGAGGTGGGTGGATTACTTGAGGTCAGGAGTTCAAGACCAGCCTGACCAACATGACGAAACCCCGTCTCTACTAAAAAAAAATACAGAATTAGCCAGGTGTGGTGGCACATGCCTGTAATCCTAGCTACTTGGGAGGCTGAGGCAGGAGAGTCACTTGAATCTGGGAGGCAGAGGTTGCAGTAAACCGAGATGGCACCATTGCATCCTAGCCTGGGCAACAAGAGTGAAACTCTGTCTCAAAAAAAAAAAGAGAAAGAAAAGTGAATGTGTTTGCTGGAAGCTGTGCTTGATTAAGTGAATGTGTTTGATCCAAGAGGGCAGGGGATTCTGGAAGAGACATTAAGTACAGATTGATGAGTGTCTTGTCTCACCGCAAAAACCTCCTTTCTCTCTTCCTTCCTAGTCCCCACTGAAAATGGAGTGGTGATAGCTTAGTTCTCACTTTGGTTTCAGGCAAGAGAAATGGTACCCAGGAGGTAGAGTTGAGTAGAGACTCCTTTAGCTCTCTTCTTTTTTCTAACTTCTCTTTATTCCACCGTTCTCTCTTTACTTCTGCCTACCTTAGCAGCATGCTGCAGAATAAACTCTGCTAGGAGGAAGTTTGAAATCTCCAGGCTGAGAAACTATGCAGAGAGCAAATGACCTTCTGAGGGCTCTGGGTACAGAATCCTTGGTATGACAGGTGGGTCTAGAGCCGGCAGAGACTCAAGGCAGCCTGACAGGACAGTGAGAGTGAAAGGGAACGCTATTAATAATGACACCAGGTCAACACATGCGAACCCAACTGTCCTGAACAAACGGGGGTTTGTGGTTGCGCTACAAAACCCAGGCTTCAGTCTCTTCGAGTTCTGTTTTGATTTGGAAGGAGTGACGCCTTCCCCTTTGGAAGCTTAGGCTAGGGTTGCAAGCTGAGGTGTTCACAGGGACAGACAGAGTGTGGGAAATGGGGCCAGGTGTAAGGAAACGGAGCAGAACTTGGGGTTCATTCATAGTCTAAAGGGGGCATTGGCAAGTCGGCATCAGACAGTAGCAACTTGTTGCCAGATCTTCTGAGTTTTTTTCAAGAGAAGCCAAAAATCAAGATTTACACACAAAATCTCCCAGTTTGTAAAAGTTGGCAACCATTTAAAAATTTTAAAAACGCTCTGCAGGCCAAGCACAACATCTGTGGGCAGTGGGCAGCTGCCTGTTTTTGACCTCCAGCCCAGACCGATCAATTGATGGCTGTCTTCTGGGTCTCCCAATTCCGGCAACGGGAAGTTTCTTAAGGAAGTTGCCTGGGCTGACCGCAAGTGAGGTGGGGAAGTGGAAAGGGAGCTTGACTTGGCTTCGATTGATCATTTGCACAATAAATATTTATTGAGCACCTGTTATGTTCAACGTACTATCTGTGTTGTGCCATGTTTCCTAGTCTACATTTTGGGATGAGCTGTGTCTTCCTCATGCAGGTGGACTCTTTATGCCCTGCACAGGGATGGTTCCATGCTTCTCCCTGAGATTATGGCCAAGATGGATGCAGTGGGAGGAACTTCAGTGGGGGAATGTTGGGGAAAGACCTGGGTCCGATTCTCAGACCCTGTAAAGTTCATTGTATTTCAGCTTAACCCAGCAGTAGTCCCCAGGATGAGACAGTCTTCAGCTGAGGAAAGCCCTGGGGATTTGGAAGCTAGAGCAGAGAGAGTCCAGCCAGGGACCCTTGTCTGGCAGTCCCTGAAGGCTGTACCAGGACCAGGCGGCAAAAATCACAGAACAGCCTCCATTCAGCTCCATACATGGCAGAACTTTCTAACAGAGCTCTGTACCTTGTGGTTGTTGGACTAGATGATCTGTGAGCTGTTTTTCATTACCTGGAAAGTCCGATACCTTGAGTCCACCCCCCATACACCCATTAGACTCCTGAGTCTTAAATCTGCTCTGGTTCATGGCTTACCTCCTGCAGCTGAACTTGGGGTTGAGTGCCCCAGAAAAGCCGATACAAACTCTAAGTTGAGGCCAACTCAGTTTGCCTGGGGATGAGGTGGGGTGGTATGGGGGAATAAAGGCTTCTCTAATGCTGTGAGGTGTCATTCATGTTTTCCATTCTCCTGCTCTCCGAATTTAAATTAGGGTCAATCATACAAACCTCACAGGCTTGTTCAGTCAACAAAGGCACAGAGAGCTTAAGTCACTTGCTCAAGGCCACGTAGCGAGGCAGTGAAGAGCTGGGGCCTGGACCAGCTCATCTGTCATCCCCCGCTCTTTTACCCCCTTTCCTAAACTGTTAGATTTTAATTTCCTTTTGGTATATTCATTCTTTTGTGTGTCTCCTCCCCACACCCCCCCCACCATTGTTTCTAGAACTGTCAGTGTTCAAATGTTTAATAGCTAGGTTTTTTTTTTCCCCCGTACACTTGGCCAGAAGTAGGAATTCATCACCATGTGTGAACATTTACTGTACCTCCATGGTTTGCGTGGAATTGTACTAGAAACACTCAACCCCGGGGCTTTGTTGGCAATAAACTAGGTCTTTCTGCAGAACTTTTGAGGACAAATCACCAATGGGTTGGAAAGCATTTCCTTCAGGAATGGCGAAACTCTATTTTTCACCTTGTTAATGCTGCTCCCACCTTTGTTTCTCCCCTAGTGTCAGTCTTAAGTGTGTTAAGTGCTTTTTTCTGCTCAGTGTCCTAGATAAGAGGTTTCCAAATGATGTCCCCTGATCTGTACCCCACCCCCAATTCTCAGGCTTCTGGATAGACAGAGAATGGACATCTGGTTTGTTTTGGAATGACAGGCTAGACTAGAGGCGTCCAGAGGCCTGGTAACGGCAGAGGCTGCTGGCATCTTAAGACATTCAAAAACCACTGTGCTAAGTAACAGTGGAGATATATTGATCTCAACATTTCAAGGAGAAAAGAGCTTGTGAAATAGGCTTGTGATGTTTGTGATAAGGGCCCTGTGGGGCAGCTGGTGGGCACCCCATGTAGAGCTGGAACACAGGGACATGATCCCATGTGCAGGAGACAGCTCCAGCCTCTGCATACCCGTCGGCTCACTCCTGGGTTGGAACATCCTCCTCATTTTCTCTGGCATGTCCTTTTGCTCAATGAATCATTCCCGGCCAGGCCAGACGTCCTTGCTGGAGAGCCAGCTCTCCGTGCACCAGCCCTGTGATTCTCTAATGCCAGCTTGAAATTCGGTGACCCACCTTGGGATGCTTTGCCTGTCAAGGTTTTTCAATGATGAATAGTTGTTATGAGCATGTCAGCCAGAATGGTACTTTTCAAGTCATTCAGTAATGGATCTGTATGATTATTTTTTGCACAAAGAACTAAATAGCTAAGATACTATTGTGGCAGATATGCCATAAGTACCTTTTCAGTGAAATCTTTAGTGTACATATTTGTCACACTGTATTAGAACATATTAAGGCAGCTCATTAATGTTTTAGTATTTAGAGTTTGTCATACAGTGAGCAAAGGCAGACACCTTTGACACAGTCTATTGGAGCAAAATATGTCTAGGCTTTTGCTTGCTTTTTTCATTTTCAAATCCATATTTCCATCAGAATTTTAGAGTTGTTTGTTTGGAGGCAGAGTCTCACCCTGTAGCCCAGGCTGGAGTACAGTGGCCTGATCTCAGCTCACTGGAACCTCCGCCTCCCAGGTTCAAGTGATTCTCATGCCTCAGCCTCCCAAGTAGCTGGGACTACAGGCATACACCACTACGCCTGGCTCATTTTTGTCTTTTTAGTAGAAACCATTTTCACCATGTTGACCAGGCTGGTCTTGAACTCCTGGCCTCAAGTGATCCACCCACCTCGACCTCCCAAAGTGGTGGGATTACAGGCATTAGCCACTGTGCCCAGCCTAGGGAGTTTTTTTGTTTTTGTTTTTTGAGATGGAGTCTCGCACTGTCGCCTGGGCTAGAGTGCATAGTGTGATCTCGGCTCCTGCCGCCACACACAGATCATAATGTGATCTGCAACCTCCGCCTCCTGGGTTCACATGATTCTCCTGCCTCAGCCTCCTGAGTAGCTGGGAGTACAGCCTGCTTTGGCCTCCCAGAGTGCTGGGATTACTGGTATGAGCCACTGTGCCCTGCCTTTTTTTTTTTTCTTTAATGTTTGTATTGAGGTGTAATATGCAATAAAAGGCACATATTTAATGTGTACAATTTGATGAGTTTGATATTTGTATATGCCCATGAAACCATCACCAGTCAAGATAATGAACATGTCCATCACTCCTCTAAAACTTTCCTCCTGCCTCTTTGCAATTTCACCATCTTGTTTGCCTGCTGCCCCCATCCCTAGGCATCCACTGATCTGCTGTTATTATACATTAGTTTGCATTTCCTAAAATTTTATATAAATGGAATCATACTATATGTATGACTTTTGTCTGATTTTTTTTAATGCAGCATAATTATTTTCAGATTCATCCATCTTTTTGCATGTTTTAGTAGTGACTTTTTGTGGTTGGGTGATATTTCTTTTTGTGGATATAAAGGGAGGGTTGTTGATCTTCAGGGATTATTTATTTTCATTTTAAAAGTTTCTCCTGAAGTAGTATTTTGTTTTTGAAAATGTGCTTTGAAAGAAATTTGTTTAGAATTCATTTGGCCCTAAAATCCACGTAATTAATGATTTAATGAGTTAAATAGTGATTTAACTATATAAATATAGTTTGCTACCATGTTTGCTATGTGCCAGGCTTGATGGTGCTTGTAGGGCACAGAAGAGGTTCCTGTCCTAGCCAGTGGTTGATGTGTTCAGGAGGGCCTATCAGTAGTGCACTAGTGCACCATATCCTACATGTGATAGAGCTGCCGTGTTCTTAGACACAAAGACAGCTGTTATGCTGTCTTTGCAAAAATGTTGAGGTCTTGCTTTCCACAGGCTTGTGGCCTGATGCACGTTTCCAGTTTTGCACAATGTCACAGCAGATATGCCTTCCACGCCCTTGGTTTTTCACAGCCAGGCATGGGGCTGGAATCTCAGAGCTGCGGTTGCTGTGGTTCTCTGATTCCTGCTCAGAGGATTGCGTGATGGGGGCTGGAGTGCAGGCAGGAAGTTAGCCTTGTGGATTCCCTCATCCTCACAAAGCCAGGCGCACAGGGAGGGGTTGGGGGTAGGGGGTTGCCATGGGAATTTCTTCCCCAGCCAGAGAGCCAGGGTGGAGTGTGTTGCTGGGGAGTTGGAAATGTACCCTCTTTTCCATATCCATTGTTCAGTCACGTTCTCCTGAAAGAAGTCTTCTTACTGTGTGTAAGAAAAATCAGTAAGCCTCTGATAAATAGTCAAAGACTGTCAGAAAAGGGACCTTGGAAATATCTGGTCCAGCCTGCCCATTTTATAGGTGAGGAAGCTGAGGCTCAGCAAGCAGGAGTGACTCAGGAATAAGCACTCATAGCACAGCTGGGACTTGGGAAACCCAGGCACTGCTTTAGACCTTCATTTTCACAATCCACGAAGGGGGGAGTTTGAAGAAGGCTTGGCAAAATTTGATAGACCTGGGAAAGAGATTGTTAATCTCTCATTCTGTGCTCAAGGATGCTGTGCCATTTAAAAAACAAAAACAAAAAACAGAAAAGAAAGACAAAATAATTCTCCCAGATGATGTTTCTAGAATGTTCTGACATCTTACAGTGTCCTGACCTTGCACAAGCTTGTTCCAGTAATAACGTTAAAATTCAGGAGTGGATGTTCGGCAACATCATTGGGCAGGATTTTCTGGTTCGTGAATGAAAGGTTATGGGTGACACTGTATGTCAGTGTGGCGCTTACCGGTTTATGAAGGGCCTACATGTGCAATCTCTACAGGAACCACTTCCCACATGGCCCCTTTATACCAATGAGGAAATGGGCCCCCGGAGATGAGGCACTTGACCTGAGGTGGCCCAGGTGGTAAGGAGAGGAGCCAGCTTTCCAATGCAAGTCCCAATTTCCAGTCTCCTGTTGTTTCCACCGTGTCTCCCTGCAAGGCGGCTGGGGCACGCAGAACAACAGCTTGACACAGTGGGAAGAAGCTGGGCTTTAATGTTTAGAGTTCAGAGTTCAGCTCTGCTCCCCTGCCTGCTGGGTGACCTTGTGGAATACTCCTAACCTCTCTGAGCTTCATTGTCATCTTTTGGAAGATGAGGCCCTGTCCTACAGGATTAAAGTATTTAAATATAGAGTGCTTACCATAAAACTTGCTTCTAGGAAGCAACTGGTCAGTGTTAACTCCTTAATGAGGCTGAAGTAGACATGGTAAAACTAGTTGTGGAAAGAGATCCTATAAAGCAAAACTGAGGACACATTTACATATACCAAGGGGTGCCCAGCCCTGTTCTTCCTGCACATAGAATCTTAAATGTTTCCTAGATTGAGCCATTAATCTTCGATTTTTTGCAAAGGAAGTTAAGACAGAGATACCAAGTGCCTTGCACATAGTAGGCCTGTAGTAAACACAGACTGGATGATCAACTGCTCTTTGGAGGAGCAGAGAGTATGCCTACACATCATTTGAATAAAATGTGACAGCCTGCCAGAGACCAGACTTTGAAGGTTATAGACCCAGGGCACGTGGCCAGAGCAGCTGTCAGTGGAGGTGCGGCCTAGAGCGGGTAGTGTGGAGGCTGGAGGGGGCTGTTCCATGGCACCAGGGTTGAGTGGGAGTCAGTGCAGACTTAGGAGAGGGAATGTGTGTTCGGGGATGGGGAGCGGGGAGGGACTTCTCTCAGACACTTATATGGAATCTCAGGTCATACAGAGACATTGTCTCTGTGTTTTATATTTTCCTTTGAGGACATCTCCATTTAAGTAGCTGATGCCTGAGCGGGGAGAGAAGAATGAGCCTTTTCCTTCTGTTAGAGCCTGTAGCTGCCTCTTCAGGGTCAGACTTTAAGGTGTATGGGGACAAAGTTGGGTCAGTGTTTGTAGAAAAAAGGCTCTTTCTCCATTTCTCCCTCCTGCTTAATCCAAGGAGCAGAGAACACCAGGGAAACTCGGAAGTAGCGGGGTTGATTTGGGAGCTAGATGGGGCCTGACATATGAAGCTGCTACCTGGTTACAGCCAGGCAGAGTTGAAAGGGTGTCCTTTGGCGGGGTGAGAAGAGAGCAGCCTCCAAAGATTCCCCTGCACCCCGCCAGGCCCTGCCAGGGGCCCCTCCCACAGTTCTTTGCTCCTTCCACGGAGCCTGTTTGAGAATTCAGTGATTCACTTCCCGTCGTCAACTCTTGTTTAACGTTCCCCTCCATTGTTACCAAACAATCCAGGCCCCAGTGATGTGTGGTGTTCTGAGAGTAGAGGAGGGAAGAGAGAGAGAGAGCCAGAACTGTTTACAGAGCCCGGGAGATGGGCCCAGGCTTGACAGCCGGGCCGACTTGAAAGACAGGCTGCAGTGGACTGTGGCCCCAACAGCTGGGTGTGTGCAGGGTGGGAAATGCCAGGCACAGCCGCTCCTCCACAGAAACCACTCTGTTCTTTCTGCTCTTGATGGAAGCTCCTGCCCTTTATTGTGGTGTTAGCTTCTTTGTTCAGTTACACCGACAGCTGAGTTTTCTATTTGGGGCCATAGTTTTGGGGTCATGATTCCTGGAGTAGAAAAAAAACAACATAGGAGCTCACTCAGAAGGATCCCTGGGTAAATGCCATCCTTTCCTGGGCCCCAGTTTCCTCACGTGTTCAGGGGGAAAAGAAGGTGGTGGTGAAATGCCCCCCACCAGCTCCAAAGTCCTGTGGTTCTGAGGCTGGAATATTCTGCAAAAGGACATTTGCACACCACCCTTCCACTGCCCCCGCCCCAGTGTCGTGTCCAGGTCCAGTTCTACCAGCCACAGATGTGAGCATGTCTGGAACCTGTCTACCTGTCTCATTCATTCCATGACCTCTGATTTTTGAGGTCAGTAATTCTGCAGCCTCCCTCACCTTTCTGGTTTAAAGCAACCTCCTCTCTCAGGAAGTTGTTTGAAATCAATTTAATTCCTTTATATCCCACATGACAGCTACGACTGCCACTGTTTAGTTGATGTTGGCGTCGGGTTTGGGGCTTACTTGGCTTTTGTGTTTGCTTCTAACCTGCAGAAAGAGTCAAAGTTCTGAAGTTTTCTCTCTCATCCTTTCTGTTTGTTGCTCCATGTACAGTAGGGAAGAGGAATTTTTGTTGGTAGTCCACATTTTTGATTACTTATTTGCTCTGCTGCTATATTATGATTCAGGTTTTCTCCAAGGCCCTAGGTGCCTAAAAGCATTGAAGGAATGAGAAGTGTAGACACAGAACACCTTTAAGCCACTTCCCCCTGCAAATTAGTGTATTTCACAGGTATTTGGAATGCTAGAAGGTACTAGAAGGTGAGAAGACACTAGAGATCCGTTGAACCCATCATTTTTTAAATGAGATAATCCATACCTAAAGACTCCTCCATGAGTCGGTAGCACAGCCAGAGGGAGGGCCACACACACCCCTGTCATCTAATGAGCAGCCAGGGCTCCAGTCCATCCCCAGTGTGGGCCATATATCTGTGTGCTTTCTCCTCTATTAAATCCAACACTTGATAAAAATCTCCAGTTAACAAATATTTGTTGAGCAAGTTTATTGCAAATCGCTGTATTTAATGTCTGCCTACAACCTTAGCCACAGATGACTCTCTCTCCCTGGTATGGCAAGTGGGCAGAGCTTCCTCATTCAAAAACATTTTAGCTTCCTGCACTTCCCCGCTGGTTGCTTTCGCCTAACTGGCACCTGTGGCTGTCATTCCCCTGCTGTTTTTAATTGCACCTCTCAAGACCAGCTGATTGCTTAAAGAACATTTCTGGTATTGGGCCCATGGCAGTAATGTGCGTCTGTGGATCCCTTTGCTATGAGGCTTGACTTCTTGATCGGGTTCACAAGGCTGGTGGGCAGCCTGAGATCTTTGCTTATTTCCTACGTCTTCTGAAAGGTACTATGAAGCTTACCAGTTGCTGATGCACGCTATCAGCTAATAATTCCATTACCATTACTATTTTCTGAGCAAATGTGACCTGCAAGCCCCTCGCTCCATCCAGGATGCAGGCAAAGTTAAGCTAGGTTTCCTTTCCCTCAAGGAGCTCCTGGCACAGTTGGGAAGGGAAGTCAGAAACACACAGAAGTCACTTCATCATACCAGGCCTTTGGTGCTAAATGATGATGAATTTGAAGAGTGTGGGACAGTGGGGATGGTGGACTGTAAGAGTTCGAGGAGGGGAGGATGGAGAGAGGTCATTCTTAGCAGAGAGCCACAGAGTGGGTTACTGTTTGAGCTGGAAGATAATTGGACCTCCAAGGGCTCTGTCCCCACCTGCACCTCAGCGCACTATGCTGGTGGCCAAGAGTGCAGGAGCCTCACATTCAGATACTGTGGCTGCAACATTTTACCTCCACTACTTGGGCCTGTTCAGCATTTTGAGTTTCTATGCCTGTAAATTAGGCCTGTCTAGGAAGTGGGGGTGAGGTGGTGGGTGGGCAGGTGCTCTGAATCTCAGCTGGGACTGGGTGGGCTGATACCGGGGAGAGTTGTAAGTATCTAGGACCCAGCGGGAGGACGCCTCACCTGGAACCCTTTGCTTGTTCCTGATTGTAGCTGTTTTAGGGATGCAGCTTTCAGACAAGGGCCACTTAGTTGATGAGGCCGGCTTAATCGAGGAGGGCTGTTGCCACCCTGACATTGTTAAGTGTGGGCCTGGCTTCTCTGAAGTCCTCCTTTCTTGCTTGTGTGGAATTCCTGTTTTCCTGCCCATAGGGGTTCTTTGCTGTCTTAGGTGAATTGCCCCAATGAACCAGAACCTTTTTTTTTTTAGGTACAATAGGAGGTCTGTACCCTTAGACAGAAAGGAATGCTAATTGGCCACTTAACTGTCCTCAGGGTACAGATGCCAGAATATACAGGGCACCCATTCTTTGTTACCATTTGGGATGGAAACTGCTTATATAAGCTTGTAAAGCTTTGGTTCAGAAAGCAAGAGAATGTGTATGGAACGTTAGCAATTGCTGTCATGCAAATGCTGCATTTTTTGCATGTAAAGGTACCTCTTTACCTCCATGGTCCTTAAACTAACTTTTTCAAGAAACATGGTCATTTCCCACCCTTCCTTTACTTCCAGCTCCCCATTCATACCCAACAGTGGCTAACTGAAAGGTTTGCAAATCCTGAAGGCTTTGGGGCTTCTTTTAAAAAGAAGAGACTGAGTTGTAAATGTCATAAGACTGAGATGGTTGTAAATGTCCCAACCATACTGTGTGACATTTGCTAGGAATTGTTGTAAAATCACTGGAGTGAGCGCTTGTCCTGAGGCACTGCCTCTCCGCGTGAATGTCACTGAGTCGCCCGGTTGACCCGTTGCATGTTATGCAGCACTTGTGACATTGTTTTATCTCTCTAGCCGGTGACTCATAATTAAGGAAGTCAAAACTGTGCAATTAACACAAAACCTCCTCATTTGCCCTCTTCACCTCTCCCCAACCCCCGCCCCCAGTCAGGAATGCCCGCCTGACATTTTCTCTAAGTCTTTGGAAACTTTAAGATTTGTTTTGATAGAACAAGGCCGCCAGTTATCATCGCCTGGTTCCACTTGTTTTACCCCAAAAGTCTGTGAGAATCTTTTCCAGGAAAAAAAAGAAAGAAAGAAAGAAAGTAAATCCCACCCCCAAGCGTGCAGTCTGCCCACAGGAAGTGATTCATGGTGCTCCGATTCGGGCAGACCTGACTGCAGGAGGCGGGAGGCTGGGAACCAGGTCTGGGAAAAGAGGGCAGAGAGAGGATACCCAGACCTAATGGCTTCTGCTCTGTGGAAGAAAGTGAAAAACAGAATGACTAAGAGTCCTGTAATAAGAATTGTTTGTTTTGTGAAGTTGAACTAATAGTGAGGTTTGCCGGCAGATAAGACTTGAGAAATTGCAGTTGTCAGGGGAGGGGACTTTTCCATGTCCTGCTTTTTTTTTTTTTTTTTTTTTATTAAGAGAGCAAAGCTATTTCTCAGTCTTTTTTTTTTTTTTTTTTTTTTTTTTGAGATGGAGTCTCTCTCTGTCGCCCAGGCTAGAGTGCAGTGGCACAATCTCGGCTCACTGCAACCTCCACCTCCCAGGTTCAAGTGATTCTCTTGCCTCAGCCTCCCCAGTAGCTGGGATTACAGGTGCCCACCACCATGCCTGGCTAATTTTTTTGTATTTTTAGTAGAGACGGGGTTTCACCATGTTGGCCAGGTTGGTCTTGGAACTCCTGACCTCAGGTGATCTGCCCACCTTGGCTACCCAGAGTGCTGGGATTACAGACGTGAGCCACCACGCCAGGCCTTATATCTCAGTCTTAAGACATTCATATATTAGTGGAAGGCCCAGATTTGTGTTTCAGTTCTACCTTGCCACCTCTAAGCCTGTTTTCTTTTCTTTGGAGAAGAGGGTCTAAGATGAGACCATTATCTCACAGTCTCCAATAGCTCTTTCTCCCCATTTTCCCTTTTATTTATTTATTTATTTATTTATTTTGAGACGGAGTCTCTCTCTGTTGCCCAGGCTGGAGTGCAGTGGCACAATCTCGGCTCACTGCAACCTCCACCTCCTGGGTTCAAGCGATTCTCCTGCCTCAGCCTCCTGAGTAGCTGGGACTACAGGCTTGCGCCACCATGCCCGGCTAATTTTTGTATTTTTAGTAGAGACAGGGTTTCACTATGTTGGCCAGGCTGGTCTCGAACTCCTGACCTTGTAATCCACCCACCTCAGCCTCGCAAAGTGCTGGGATTACAAGCATGAGCCATTGCACCCAGGCTATTTTCCCTTTTTCCTTTCCCTCTAAAGTTAGAGTTTTTGAAAAATATTTGATTTTTTTAAATTGACAAATAATTGTCCATATTCATGGGATACATAGTGATGTTTTGATACATATTAATGTCATTATGGTGATCACATCAGGTTAATTAGCATCTCCATCCTGTCAAGCATTTATCATTTCTTTGGGTTGGAAGCATTCAATATCCTCCTTCTATTTGAAACTATGTAATATATGAATGTTACTATGTATGTTACTATATAAGCATTCAATATTCTCCTATTTGAAACTATGTAATATATGATTATACATAGTAACAATCATATATTACATAATAATTGTAAACTATGTAATAATAATATTGTAATATATGATTGCTAGATATTTGAAGCTATATAATATATTATTGTTAAGTATAATCATCTTACAGTGGTTTAGGACACTAGAACTGATTTTTCCTCTTTAGCTGTAATTTTGAGACCTTTAACAAATTTCTCCCCATCCCTCTGTTCCCTTTACACTTTTCAGCCTCTAGTATCTTCTATTCTGTTTTTACAAAGTTAGAGTTTTGGGGCTGATAAATGTTTTTACCTAAATACTCATTTTTGTTTCCACCAAATGGAACATCATGTTGTCGTAGAATGAAGGAATCCTTTCTGTCCTATGGGTTATTTTCTTCTCCCTCAAACTGACAATGCAAATTAATTTGATTCCCCAAAGTAGTTTGGAAACAGAGAAGACTCTAAGTGTTGGCTACATGAACAGGCCTGCTGCCGAGCGAGAGGCCCAGATCACCCAGAATGAGAAGATGGGTCTAAACACACCTGGCTTTGTGACTTACTCCATTTCAAGCTTCCTGTATTGTTGGAGGTCAGCTTTTGGGGGTGAGGGATTTTAATGAAAGCTGAGGTGAAGTCCACTGTTGCCTTAAGCCCATCAGAACGTTGCCAAGGGCTGTGAGTATGCTGAATGGGTCCATGAGTGATCTCTTAAAAAAACATAAACCATTGTCAGGCCTAATTTTCAGCAGAGTGAAATGGCCACCCAGAAGATTCTGTGAAGCCTGGCAACTTTTCCCTTTCTTCCAGTAGTCACAGACCAACCCAGATCTTTGTAGCATCTTTTATTTGTGACTTGAAAGTTCTATGATCCTGCTGACACTCAAGAAAAAGCAATCCCCATCAACTTGGTGCTTGGAGAAAAAAGTTTGTGAAGACCAAAGCTATTAAATAGAAAAGCCCTAAACACTCTCCTCCTCCTCCTCCTTCAATATTTAACCGTCTTCTTTGCATGGGGGAAGGGAGGGGCTCTCACCACAGCCAAAAGAGAATCTCTGCTGATTTAAACCCAGTGTGCTTTGTAGTCATAGAGAACTGAGTTTGGAGTGTAACATCTAGGTTCAAGCCCAGGCACTGTTCCTTGCTGGGTGACTTTGGGCAAGTCACTCAGCATCAAAAATTTTTCATCTGTAAAATGGGAGTGATGAGATACTCAGCCTGCAGGATCCCTTTATCCAGTGAGTTACTGAGTGAGAAGTGCTGGGTAAACGCTTGCTCTGAGGTGTAAATTGCTTCTGTTTGGCCAGGTGCAGTGGCTCACGCCTGTAATCCAAGCACTTTGGGAGGCTGGGGCAGGTGGATCACCTGAGGTCAGGCGTTTGAGACCAGCCTGGCCAATATTGTGAAACCCCGTCTCTACTAAACATGCAAAAATTAGCCAGGCGTGGTGGTGCATGCCTGTAATCCCAGCTACGCAGAAGGCTGAGGCAGGAGAATCACCTGAACTGGAGGTTGCAGTGAGCCAAGATCACTCCGCTGTACTCCAGCCTGGGCAACAAGAGCAAAACTCCGTCTTGGGGGGCGGGCGGGGGGGATTCCTTCTGTTTTCCCGCATCTTGCTCATCTCAGAGCATTTCCTTAGCCCAGGGGGATCTCAAGGGGAGGGAAGAGAGCAGATTTGCCCCCCAGGGGACATTTGGCAATGTTTAGAGGTATTTTTTTTCAGTTGTCACAGCTGCAGGTGGGTCACAGCTACCGGCATCCAGTGTGAGGGAGCCAGACATGCTGTTAAGCATTCTATATCTGTCTCTACACAGGACAGCCCCCTAGCCCCAACAAAGATTAGCCCAAAACATCAGTAGTGCCAACGTTGAGAAACTCTGGGCCTCGCCAAATCCATAGCCTGATGTTGAAAAGTTCTTGGTGTCTGCGTGCTTTACAGATAATTATCATCAGGCTGAACTTTCTCCAGTAACCAACCTTCTTCTTTTCCAGAAAGTACAAATTCTGTGCCCACCCATGGCCCTTGGGAGGTGGGATAGCCCAAGGTCTAGGCGATCTTTGTGTGTTTCCAGTGGAGTCCAGCCCTCCCAAGGATAAGGCAAGGTGTTTCTTGGCTTCCCCCTCCAAGGATCTGCCCAGGAGCCTTCTGCAACCTCTGTGGCTCCTGCCCAGGTTGCCCCATCTGCCTGGGGCACTTGTCATGGACCTGAGCCGGCTGCTCTGGAGAACTAGCAGAGGGAAAGAGAGGACTAAATATAATGGGAAGAAGTGAAGAAGAGGCCAGCTGCTGGTCTGGAGGATGGCATAGGGGGCTGCAGCCTGGCATTTTATTTGGTTTCCCCCTAGACTGGCAGCATTCATGCCCAAAGCACTAGATATTGTCCATTTATAAGTTCAGATGAAAATTGAGTTGTTCTTGGTGGAAATGTTTTAGTGACTGGTATCAAGGGTTATGAAATCCTGTTTTCAGCTCTTCATGTCCAATCTAAACTGGAACATTCAAAAACATGCTTAGCACACTTACAGAACTTGTTGGGAACACTCAGGAAACTCAGCTACAGGCAGAGCACATGGTCACTGTGGTAGAACTTGCAGTGAGACCTCAATTATCTAGAACCTGGCCAACCACATACTTGACCTCACTAGATGTCTTTGTGGCACCAAATGAAAAGAACAGGCTAATGTTGGAAATGGAGTTTAAATAAACAACAACAGTTTTAAAAATCTTTGAAAATGCCAGGGTGTAGTATATTCAGTGTACATCCTGAGTTCTGTTTGTAACTCTTTGATTCCAAGCTTCAGAAAATTACAATTATAGGCTAATTTTTTATACTACTACTAATCGTAATATAATCAAATTATATGTCTTTCAACCAGAGTCAACAACTGCTCAGTCCCTTTTTTTAAAAAAAAATTAAAAACACTTGTCATCTTAAAGACCTTCAGACAACTTAAGATTCAATACAACAAAGAAAAAATTGTCTTGCTGTTCTTAACCTACCAAAGCAGGCAAGTAGACGCACATGTGTTTTACACACGTCATTGGAAGAAGGCTGGCAATACCAGCTTGGTTGCAAGGAAAGAGGCAATTGTGAGGACTCCTTCTCACACTGCAGTAATTTGCTGAGTGACCTTGAACAAGGATCTTAATGCATCAGAGTCTGTTTCCTCAACCCCAAAATGAAGGGATTGGACCAGATGCCCTCAAGGTTCCTCAAGGGTCAGCTGTCACAGTTCTCCAAAGTGAGTTTTCAGGCAGACATAGAGTTAGCCAGTGTCGCCTCACCAGGACATTTTGTTTTCTGAACATTGGGCCTCTGTGGTTTGTCACATACACCCAGGGGACTGGGCTCATAACTCCCTGAAGAACCTCTGCCCAGAACAAAGGATGCTTTGGATTTGACTGTGTGTACCAAAGGGAATAAGTGAACCCCCAAATCAAACATCCCTCTTGGCAGATGGTGTTTTCAGGGCTTTCTTATTTGTTCCTTTATTAAGCAGTTGTCCTGGGGCGGTCCATTGCATGGAAGAAATAAAGGCATGTTCTAATACTTGCGTATTAAAGAGCAGCAGAAAGAGAGCTCTCAGGGTGAGCTTATAGTTCAAAGGCCAAATGGAACCGATGCAAGGAGACTTTCAAGCCACAAGCAGAATTTTTTTCTGCCTTCCCAGAAGGTCCGATGGAATGAGCACTTCACCCAAACTTGAAGTCACTCAAGTCTTGCTTTTATTTTGAACCAGAAAAAAAGAAAAGGAAAACCCACGTAGAATGCAAAATTTAAGTAAAGATTTTTGGGCCAGTCGCGGTGGCTCACGCCTGTAATCCCAGCACTTTGGGAGGCTGAGTTGGGTTGATCACAGGTCAGGAGTTCAAGACCAGCCTGGCCAACACGGTGAAACCCCATCTCTACTAAAAATACAAAAATTTAGCCGGGTGTGGTGGTGCGCACCTATAATCCCAGCTACTCAGGAGGCTGAGGCAGGAGAATCGCTTGAACCCGGGGGCAGAGGTTGCAGTGAGCCAAGATCGTGCCATTGCACTCCAGCTTGGGTGACAAGAGCGAAACTCCATCTCAAAAAAAAAAAAAAATGTAATTGCAGGTGAGTGAACACGGGGATAGTAGGGTAGCTTGATTGCTGTTCAAAGGGAAAGAGATGGGGAGGATATGAAACTCTGAGGGCAGATGGGCATATATCTGCTGCAGCATGTATGTTCTGGGAACATGTGTGTATGTACCAGTGTGGGTTCAGGGCATTCATTGGCAACCCCAAGATCTAAAACAGCTCCTTTTTGTCCATTAAACATAGCAGATGGGAAATGTAAAGATACAGAATAAATGGAGGTGAAATGTATGCCGTAGGTTTGGTTTTTGAGTTATTAATGTGCTACTTGGGGCTACTTCAAAAAATGAATATTAGAGGAGTATTTGGGGGTAAGTTCACATTTTATGCAAATTGACTCTAAGGCCTCTAGGTAGGTTGTCCTTCTGAAATGGTTAAGTCTTATCCAGCTTCAAGATCTGGGCATAGGGGTATGCCCCATTTAGAATTAGGGAAAAGAATCTGAGTCATGCAGCCTAGCTTCACTTTATATTAACTCTGGGAAAAGTTAGGAAAGTTGGGTAACCTCTCAGGTGCTCTGTTTCTCAATCCATGTATGGAGATAATGATACCTGCAAGTTAATTGGGAAAACTGGTGGTGGAGTCAGTGCATCAGTCAGCTAGTGTTGCGTAACAAAGCACTCTAAAAACCCAGCAGCTTAAATCCATTGTTTATGCTCACTCATGCTTCTGTGGTGGCTTACCTGGGCTTGGTTCCTTGCTACAGATTTGGTTTAGGTCTGCTCCACATGTTTTCATTTCTGGGCCCAGCCTATGGGGCAGTAGCTGCCTGGGGGTGGGCGGGTGGGAGAGGGAAGTCCCATGATGATGGCAGAGGTACGAGAGGACAGGCAGAGACATACAATGGCAGTCTGTCCCTTCTGCTCACATTCCACTGGCCAATGCAAGTCAATAGTCTACCCCAAAGTCACGGGACAAGAAAATACATGCCACTCATGGTAGGAGGAGTGGCAGAGCCACAGAGCAAAAAGTGTGGCTGCAGAGAGGGGTGACTAATTCACTCTGTCACAGTCATCAAGTGGCCAACACAGTACCTGGCACATAGCAGCAGTCACTTCCACCTCTGTTGTTACTATTACTACTCAATGGGCAAGTTGAAAAAGAAAGTTTGTCTGAAAGTGACTAGAAAGTTCGGTATTAAGAGCATGTGTGTGTATTCAATAAAATAGGTTTCAACTGAAGTGTGATAATGTTAACAAATTTACTCTTTGTTCACTTCTATGGCCCAGTTAACTGGCACAGTTCTTGGGATATGGTAGGTATTCAATAACTATGCTGTGATTGATGAATGGTCACTTTTAATAATGGTGATGCAGCATGGGATGACAGAAAAAGCGCTGTTCATCCAACCTGCCCCTATCTCCCATGTATCAGCCCTGGTCTGGGTTTGAATCCTGGCTCTGCCATTTACAAGTTATATGACCTTGGGCAAGCCTCCTGAGTTCTCTGAGCTGGGCGAGGGTCCTGGGGGTGTTGCCGTTTCTGCGTGCTCACATAGCAGTCGTGTGCCTGGCACGTAGTTCATGCTGAATGGATCTTGGCATGTTTCTGGAACTTATGTGCTGTGCTCCTCACCTTCTCCCCAGCCTCTGTGTTGTCCCACAGATGGCTGTGAGTGGCTGATCGGTGGAAGTGCAGACGTGAGTAGCACTTGGCATGAGGTGGGCCCCAGCCCCACCCTCTCTCCTTGGGGTACACTCTGGCAGGCTTCACCTTCACCATCGGCTTTGGGCTCTGCCATGGCCACATCCTTGGCTGTGGCTCTCACCACCATTTTGGGACACTTTACGGGTCCCGCTTGAAGCCAATGGGAGGAAACCTAATTTCCTGCCACAGGAAATTGTTCTGCTAGGGAAGAATATATTTAAGGATTAAAACCTTCTGTCAGAGGAACTTGAGGGAGTTGCTAGAGAAAGACCTTTGGGGGTCTCTCATCAGGAAGCCAGTGGGTGTGGGAGAGATCTCAGTCATAAATGGGGAGGAGGCCCAACGGCAGGTTCCTGAGACTGTACTCCTAATGCTAGCAGCTGGTCTTGGGCTGGGAGGAAGGGCTGGGCCAGGGAGAAGAGTGGGTCATAAATAGACCATTTTCTGCAACCAAGTATATTTATGGTAACATCAGCTCAGAATTAAGACTTATTTATTGGATTTACTTAATGGGCCCAGTGCCCTATAAGGCCTGGGAGAGTGTGTTCTGGACACATCAGCTATATTAAATCCAGCAGCTGAAACTCCCAATTCACTCTTATTACTTTGGTAAGGATTGCTACATATTTTGAGTGGGGCAGAGGGAGAAAGAAAGAACAATGCCAGGGCTCTGGGCAGCCCAGACTCCGAACCAAGAGGTGTTGTTGCTGATGCGTAAGAAGTGAATGAGATGTCTTCCCTGTCGTGAGTTTGGGAATTGCATGGCACAGAGAAGCAGGGGCATGGTCCAGATGACTTTTAGAAAATACTGCCAAGCCAGACTGGCGGTCGTGTGCTCACAAGCTGGAGAGTGAGAGGTGCCTGTCTCCTTGCTATCAGAACCCAGCCTGACAGCCAGGAGTCCTGGCCACTTGGCATGGCCCTGATACAGACTGCTGTGTGATCCTGCGACATGCACTTTGCCTCTCCAAGGTATGGGTGTATGGTGAGGTGGGACCATTGTAAGATGTGCCTTATTATCCACACGGCATTGTGGTGAGAATGATCTGAGATAAGGAACACAGAAGCCTTGTGAACATTCAAAGCACCAGACAGACATGAGGACTCACTGTGACCCTCCTGACTGTGCACCCAGATGGCCAAGGCAGGGAAAGAGATGTGTTGTTGAGGACCTACCGTGTTCCTTACTTTGCCGGCCACTATCATAGTAAGCAGGCAGTAATAGTTACATGACAATACTGACAATAGATTCCTGCCACTTTCTGGAATATCTTTCTGGGTAGTGTCTGTTCAAATCATATATCTCTTTTTTTAAAAAAATTGGATTGTTAATACTGAGTGTTCTTACTAATATTTCATTAAAAAAATTTTTTTAATCCCTCTGGGGGAAAAGAATTTTTTTTTTTTTGAGACAGATTCTCACTCTGTCACCCAGGCTGGAGTGCTCTGGTGCAATCACAGCTCACTGCAGCCTCAACCTGCTGGGTTCAAGCAATCCTCCCATCTCAGCCTCCCGAGTTGCTGGGACTATAGGCATGGGTCACCACGCCCAGCTAATTTTTATATTTTTTGTAGAGATGGGGTTTCACCATGTTGGCCAGGCTGGTCTTGAATTCCTGGGATCAAGTGATCCACCTGCCTTGGCTTCTCAAAATGCTGGGATTACAAGTGTGAGCCACCACGTCCAGTCAGTGTTTTAGATGAAAAATATTAAGACCAAGACACTAAGTGATTTTTTTCAACTTTGTACAGTTAGCAAGTACTGAACCATTATTTAAACTGAGGCTTATTAAGTCCATTGCCTTTTTTTGGAATGGTGGTATAATTTATAAATAATAAGCCTTGCATATTTAAAGTGTGCAGTATGACAAATGATGATATATGTATATACCTATGAAACCACCATAGCAGTAAGAGAATATACATAACCTTTACCCCCAAAAAAGTTTCCAAGTGCACCTTGGTAATTGCTCCCTCCAATCCCTACTCCCTCCCTGTAACTCCCTCTGTCCCCAGGCAATGACTGATCCCTGCTTTCTGTCACTAGATTAAGATTAGTGTGCCTTTTACTTTAGTTTAAATTACCTTATAATTTTACACGAACAGAATCATGCCTGGCTTCTTTCACGCAGCATCATTAATTTAGATTCATTCATAGCGTTGCATGTATCAGTAGTTGATCCTTTTTTGTTACTGAGTTGTATTTCTTTGTATGGATATGTTATGGCTCATTCATCTGTTAATACATGTGGAGTAGTTTTCAATTTGGGGCTATTACATTCATGCACAAGTCTTTGGACATAGGCTTTTATTTCTCTTGGGTAAATACTTTGAAGTGGAATGGTGGATCATATGGTAGGCTTATGGTTTTTTAGCTTTTTAAGAAACTTCCAAATGTTTGAGGGATGAATATCCCAATTACCCAGATTTGATCATTACACATTGTATGCTTGTATCAAAATATCGCAAGTACCCTATAAATATGTATAGCTACTGTGTATCCCCCAAAATAAAATATTTTAGAAAGGAACTTCCAAGCTGTTTTCCAAAATAGTTGTACCATTTTACATTTGCACCAGCAGTGGAAGGGAGTTCCAGTTGTTCCACATCCTTGCCAATACATGGCATGATCAGGCTTTTTAATTGTAGCCATTCTAATAAGTATGTAGTCCTATCTCATTGTAGTTTTAATTTGTGCTTCTCTAATGATCAACATTGTCAAGCATCTTTTCATATGCTTGTTGTCTTCATATCTTTCTGGGTAGTGTCTGTTCAAATCATGTATCTCTTTTTTAAAAGATTGAATTGTTGGCTGGGCGCAGTGGCTCACGCCTGTAATCCCAGTACTTTGGGAGGCCGAGGCAGGCGGATCACGAGGTCAGGAGTTCGAGACCATCCTGGTTAACACATGAAACCCCGTCTCTACTAAAAATACGAAAAATTAGCCGGGCGCGGTGCCAGGCGCCTGTAGTCCCAGTTGCTCGGGAGGCTGAGGCAGGAGAATGGCGTGACCCCAGGAGGTGGAGCTTGCAGTAAGCCAAGGTTGTGCCACTGCACTCCAGCCTGGGCGACAGAGCGAGACTCCATCTCAAAAAAAAAAAAAAAAAAAAAAAAAAAAAAAAAAAAAAAAAAGAAGATTGAATTGTTAATATTGAGTTTTCAGAGTTCTAGAAACAGGTCTATTATCAAATATACGCTTTGCAAATATTTTCTCTTAGTTAGTGCTTGCCTTTTTATTCCTTTAACAGTGTCTTTCAAAGACCAGAGGCTTAAATCTTGATGCGGTCTGATTTTTTTTTTATTATTATTAAGTGCTTTTTGGTGTGGTATCTGAGAAATCATTGTCTATCCCAAAAAGTCACAAAGATTTTCTCCTGTTTTCTTCTAGACATTTTAGAGTTTAAGTTTCACTTCAGTTTGTTTTTGTATAGGGTTACAATGTGTAGTTTGAAGATTATCTTTTTTACATATCCAGTTGTTACATCACCATTTGTTGAAGACTGTCCTTGCTCCACTAAATTGTCTTTGGACCTTTGTTGAAGCCAGTCGTCCATATATATGTAACTATTTCTGGACTCTGTTAGGTTCCATTGATCCGTTTGTCAGTCCTTGTGCCATTACCATACTGCCTTGATTATTGTAGCTCCCTTGTTTTTAAAAGTTTAATTAATATCCAAGTGATTCATGTATGATTAATATTACTACTAAGGCAAGAGGGCCACCCACTTCTATCACCTAGATGGAGCTTACCTCCACAGCCCCATTCTCCCCCGCTGCTGGCATGAGCTTTTCTCCAAGGCCTTCTCTTGCAGAGGAGGCTATGATGTCCAGCTGGCCCTTTTTTGGGAGTTTTGTCAAACACCGAAGAGCAAATACGGCCACTTCCCTAATCTGTGGGCACCCAGTGGCTTTGCAGGAGAAGGAGAACAGCTGAATAATTCTCTATTCCCACTCACCACTTCCCACTCTCCCTTTTACTCCTGTTCAACCTCCAGCTCACCCTACTTATCCAGGGCTGGGTTTGGGGAGTATCTGCTGTGATAGAGAATAATAACGCTAATTTGTGGGTGTTTATGAAGCACTTTCAAATGGAAACCAAGCTTCAGGAGGTCGGGGGGCAGAATACCCCATTTTATAGATGAGAAAACTGAGTGTCCTAGGAAGCTCATGAGCTGCCCAGTGTCTCCCAGCTAGGAGAGTAGAACCCTCCTTTACCCCAGGTCTTATGGCTCCACATCCGCCAGTCCTCCTTTTATACCTCAGGGACGAGTCCCAGGCTGTCTTCTCGATCTGCCTGGTAATTACTGTTTTTCAGCTGTAGGGCTTCCTTGTTCTGGGGCCCCAAGGGAGGAAGGTAATTACATCCTTCAAGATGCCCTTAGTCAGCAGCTCCAGGTCAGTTCCTGTGACCAAGCCCAGCTATGACCTTTGTCTGTCCTTTCCCCTTCCCAGGCCAGTGGCTTGGAGAGTGTGATTGGATCCCTCTGTTTCTCTCTTTGGTTGGTGCTGTTGGTGGCATCTGGCCAGCCCTTCCTTCACAGAGTGCCCATGAATTCTCTGTATTCAGGCAAATGGGTGCCCTCGGTCATAAGAAGGCACAGAGGGAAAGCTTGCAAATGTCTCACTGCCAGCCCTGCCAGCTATTAGAAAAATTATGGCACTGACTGGCAGGGTCCTAGGATGGGCCTCCTTGAAGAAAAAGCAGTCCTGCCTCTTAATAGGGTACCTGTGACTCATGAGCATCCATCTCATCTGCTCCCCACTTCTATCCCTGCTACCCGCAATCTGTTGGTCACACGTAGCCAGAGTTCCACAGGGCCTGTCTCTTTCACACGTATGCACAGCCCACTTACACATCTCAGAGGCTACATACTGCTTTTAGAAAACAGGAGAAGCCTTTATCATGGCCTTTGGGGCCCTGCAGAGTACCCCTGCCTGCCTCCCCGGCCTCGTCTCAAGCCAGCTCTCTCTCATGATCCCCTCTCCAGTCCTTCTGGCCTTCATTCTGTTCTTCCGACCTCACCATGTTTTCCACTTTCCACAGGGCCTTTGTGTGTGCCTTTCCCTCTGCTTGTACTGCCCTTCTCCCGCACCCCTTTGCCTGGTTAGTTCTTACTTACCCTTTAGGCCTTCAGGTCAACCATCACCTCCTCTGAGATGCCCTGTCCAGTCCTTCAGCAAAGTGGGGTGCCATGGTCATACACTCTTGGGGTTCCTTGTTATTTTCGTTCAGGACACTTTCATTGTGTGTAATTGTAGGTTTCTGTGATGATGATGATGATGATGATGATGATGATGATGATGATGATTTGAAACGGAGTCTTGCTCTGTCGCCCAGGCTGGAGTGCAGTGGCACAATCTTGGCTCACTGCAACCTCCCCCTCCCAGGTTCAAGTGATTCTCCTGCCTCAGCCTCCTGAGTAGCTGGGATTACAGGCGCCCGCCACCATGCCTGGCTGATTTTTGTACTTTTAGTAGAGACAGGGTTTCACCATGTTGGCCAGGCTGGTTTTGAACTCCTGGCCTCAAGCGATCCACCCGCCTCGGCCTCCCAAAGTGGTTTTGGTGATTATTTGATTAATGCCGGTCTTGCCCAGTGGAATGGAGGGTCCCTGCAGACAGGGACCACTTTGCTGGCCTTTTCTCATAGTGAAGTCTCTTTCCTTACCACTGTATCCTTAGTGTCACACATAATAGGTGCTCATTAAATATGTGTTAAATAAGGGACTCCATTTTAGTGGCACCTCCTCACCTGTCTAATACCAGACACTATCTGAAGTTTTACGTCCCTCCAGAAGCCTTCTGCCTCCCAGCCTTGCCTGTAGCTGACAATGCTTTTGCCGCCCCAAGCTCCCCAGTCCTTTCCTGTAAGCCACCCAGACTCTCATCATCCAGATCACCTGGGGATTTCACAAAGGGAAAGATTCTGATTTAGTAGGTTGGGGTAGGCGCTGAGAATGTACATTTTTAACAAACTTCCCTGAACCTCTGCTGCTGGTCAGGGACCACACTTTGGCCTGGCTTGAGAGGTAAGGGCACCGGGTCATAGCTGCTTGGCCAAATCACCATAGAAGACATGGTTCACACAGGGTCATGGCACTGGCCAATTGTAAGTAGGCACAGTAGTGTGCCCCTGCAGTCCCAGCTACTTGGGAAGCTGAGCTGGGAGGATCACTTGAGCCTGGGAGGCGGAGGTTGCAGTGAGCCGAGATCATGCCACTGCACTCCAGCCTGAGTGACAGAGCAACACCCTGTATCAAAAGTAAAAAAAAAAAAAAAAAAAAAAAAATCCCTTTAATTTCCGTCTTTCACTCCCTGCTCACCACAAATAACTAAAAAAGAAAGGAGGGGCCAGGCACGGTGGTTCACGCCTGAAATCCCAGCACTTTGGGAGGCTGAGGCGGGCAGATCACGAGGTTAGGAGATCGAGACCATCCTGGCTCACACAGTGAAACCACGTCTCTACTAAAAATACAAAAACAAAATTAGCTGGGCGTAGTGGCGGGTGCCTGTGGTCCCAGCTACTCAGGAGGCTGAGGCGGGAGAATGGCATGAACCCGGGAGGCAGAGCTTGCAGTGAGCCGAGATGGCGCCACTACACTCCAGCCTGGGCAACAGAGCGAGACTCCGTCTCAGAAAAAAAAAAAAAAAAAAAAAAAAAAAAAGAGGAGGAAAGGCAAGTTTTCTTTTTTTCCCCTGACTTTCTAATGTGCAAGGGAAGACCTGAGTGAATGAGGGGAGACAGCCTTTGTACTTTGTCACTCTTCTTTGGATCACTGTAGTCCTCATATCTGTGCCTAAAGAACTCTCATTGTCTTCCCCAGCCCTGTCCCCTCTCCACACCTCTGGGCTGAGTAGGAAGCCGATGAGTGGCTCCTGGACCTTTTCCAAGCACAACTGAAGTGACTGAAGTGCGGGCCCTTCCCATGGAATGCCACTCCCTGAAGAGCAGTACAAAGTTGGGGAACCCACCGGGGACTGGTGGGTGAGGCCCGCTCTGCCAGCTGGGAGTCCTCACGGGGCCTTTGTTGTCTTCTCCTGAGATCCCTCCCAGCACTCTCAGCTAGCAGTGCTCTGATCTCCTGGACCTCTGGATCTGGGAGAAATGAGGGGAGAGAGAGCTTTCCAAGTGTCTGAAAGTAGGAGGCCGGACTCTGCAGAAAGCAAGCACAATCCACATTTCCCTCTCTTTCTGCCCCTCCCCGTCCTGGCAGGTCCCTGGATGGCCGGTTGCAGGTGTCCCATCGGAAGGGGCTCCCTCATGTCATCTACTGCCGCCTGTGGCGATGGCCAGACCTGCACAGCCACCACGAGCTACGGGCCATGGAGCTGTGTGAGTTCGCCTTCAATATGAAGAAGGACGAGGTCTGCGTGAATCCCTACCACTACCAGAGAGTAGAGACACCAGGTATGCTGCCTGGCCTGCCTGTGGGGACAGCAGGTGCCAGGGGTCATCACCTCTCCCCGGCTCCCCATCCCCCCGAGGGTCTGCGGTGCACTTGGGGGTGCGGGGACTTTGGTGCTGGTCTGGCATCGACACTGAGCCACCTCTGCTCTGTCTCCCCCGGACAGTTCTACCTCCTGTGTTGGTGCCACGCCACACAGAGATCCCGGCCGAGTTCCCCCCACTGGACGACTACAGCCATTCCATCCCCGAAAACACTAACTTCCCCGCAGGCATCGAGCCCCAGAGCAATATTCCAGGTAGGCACGTGGGCGGCACAGGCTGGCCTGGGAGGCAGGGGCAGCGGTCAGCCCCGACATCAGTCCTGTGGCCCCAATCTCTGCCCCCTGGCCGTCCCCCGCTCACCCCCTCTTTGCGCACAGCTCTGGCCTGAGGGCCCCTGACTCAGAACCGCATCCCTGTTGGGAGAGGACCCATGACCTCAGCTCCCCCCTCACTAGTGATGCTTTTCTTGGCATAGAGGAGCAGCGTGACCCTTCCGCCCGGCCTTGGTGCAGTCATTTATTTTGGAAGCGGAAATAGCAACACTGTTTCTCTCACCGCCCTTGAGGCCCGGACTGGTGTTCAGTCCCAATAGACTGGGGGTCTGCAGAGGCGGGGAGTGAGCTGAGGGCCAGGCAGCAAGTGCGGAGAGCTGGCTCTGTAAATTCGCCTGGGCATCAGGCCTCGGTGAGGGGCTCCAACCTGGGTGGGAATTGAAGTGACTTTGAGTTTTCACTCTGCAGGGAGAAATGGGCTTTGCCGTCAAAGACTGCAAATGTTTTTAGAAGCCCCTCATTTACATGCAAATAACGTGTGAATCACCAGCACTTTCAGACTCCAGGAAAGCTGTGCTTGGCAGCACTTGGGCTAGTCACTTTTGCTTGCTGGGGCAGTAATCCTGCTGCGTTCCTCTTAGAGCATTCTAATTTGGACGTGACGTTCATCCTGGGTTAGTTTACTGGGCTGAGATTGGCTACAGGCCTGTGTGCTTGGGTCAGAGTGTTAAGGAGGAGACCCACTGTCCAACCTTCTCAGATCCTTTGCGGGTAGCCCTGGCGTCCCGCGGGTAAGTCAACTACTCCCTGTTCAAAGAGCAAATCTTGGAGGGCTTCAGTCAGGGTCTGGGGGAGGTTTCAGAGAAATAGATCACACTGTCTTTGCCGTCATTGAACTTGCAACCTAACTGCTGAGTGAGGACACGTCCCTTAGAGACAACAAATAATAACACCTGGTCTGCACAGAAGAAGATAGTAGGGACCAAAGGGTGGGTCTGAGCCTGCAGATCTTCAGAGGACAGAAAGGGGTGAGGCGGAGGCAAGTCTGGACGCCTCCCTGGAGGGGGTGGGGCTTAACCCTCACCTTGAAGGACCAGGATAAGTTAGCCTGGCAGAGGCTCTAGGAGTACACATTTCAGACTTGGGAGTTGATCCGGTCCTGCGTGAGCAAAGGCAGTTATGATCCAAGCGGGAGTCAGAGGTGGACAGGGGCGAGGACAACAGAACCAAGAGCTGGAACCTCTACTCCAAGACCTGGAGCTCCTACAGCCACGGATGCTAGCATCATGGTGTGCATGTGTGATGTCTTTGCAAAAGGTGTCTCAGAGCCAAGCTGTGAAGGCCTTTTAACAGACCACCTTCCTTCTGATTCCCAGAGACCCCACCCCCTGGCTACCTGAGTGAAGATGGAGAAACCAGTGACCACCAGATGAACCACAGCATGGACGCAGGTCAGTCATGCAGGGTCATGCTCTTATTCTTAACTGATTAGCAGCTGGTGGGTTCATCCCTTCCATCCCTTCCTCTTCGCCCTCTCCCTCCCTCCCTTCTATCTCTCTCTCCAGTATTTGTAGAGCAACCGCGATGTGCAAGGGGCAGGGCATAGAAGAGGGTCCGAGCTGCTCACAGATGATGGGGGAGATTGACAGGACAGTCAGTAGTCACTGGGCCATCTCGTGTATGCCCTGATGGAAGATGCCGCATGGCACCAGGCACACAGCAGGGCCACTTCACCCGGTCTGGGGAGGAGCAGCACCTTGCAGTCCAGGTTTTTCCCCAGGTTGAGTCTTGGTGATGTGTAAGTGTTAGCCAAGCTGTTAGAGTGGGCAAGGGGTGTGCCAGGCAGAGTCATGGGGGTTGGGCAGGACAGCCTGGTGCATTCTGGGGACAGTAAGAGCTCAGTGTGTCTGGAGTCCAGAGAGTGTCTAGCCCAGGGAGCTCAGCGTGGCTGGAGGATACACTCTCTCCAGTGGGGAGAAGATGGGAGGGCCTGCCACACAGGGGTCCCAGTGTGGTGGACCTTCAAGCTAGCCAGACCACTTGGCATTTAGTCAGGGCTGATGGGAACCGCTGCAGGCTGTAAGCAGGGCCTGTGCCTTAGTGAGATGTCACCAGCAGCAGGGTAGAGAGTGGCCTTGATCACCTCAAGCAGTCACATGGGAGGCAAGGAGAGGCTGAATGGAACTAATGCCTCTTCTGATGACCAGTGGAGACCCCTGAAGCCAGTATTTTTGTGTGACAACCACATGTGATGTGTGTGCTCCTGCCGTGAGGGGCAGGGCTTATTTCTCTCCTGCTACATCTCCAGATGTTTCCCATATCATTTGTTATAGGACCAAATTGGCTCCAGACCAGCAGCTTCTTGAATTGAACCCCAGCTGCCACATAGAATGTGTACTGAGTTGTGTGTGGTTGGGAGAGGAGGAGAAGGGGAGAGGGAACCACGCAGATGTTCCATTCCGATGGTGGTGGGCATGCCTCGTACACACAGAGCCGCTAGACACAGCAGAGCCACCTGCCCTCGCACACAGCCCAGAAGAGATTGTGCAATTCCTTCCCCCACCTTTCCCAGACAGAGTCTCCCTCTGTTGCCCAGGCTGGCGTGTAGTAGCGCGATCTCAGCTTACTGCAACCTCTGCCTCCTGGGTTCAAGCTATTATCCTGCCTCAGCCTCCCAAGTAGCTGGGATTACAGGCAATGCAGCACCACGCCCGGCTCATTTGTGTATTTTTAGTAGAGACAGGGTTTCGCCATGTTGGCTAGGCTGGTCTCAAACTCCTGACCTCAGGTGATCTGCCCGCTTCGACCTCCCAAAGTGCTGGGATTACACCGCACCTGGCTGAGGTTGTGCAATTCCTGAGAGACCGAAAGAGACTCGCATGTACATTGTAGTTGCTGAAATCCAGCCTGGACATCGTGGCACTTTTGGGTTGAGCACACCCGGTGAAACACACCCACCCGGCGGAGTGACTAGTAGCGCGAACCAGCTGGAATGCATCGAAGACCTTCCTGTATCCGATGCCAAGTGACCGCTGCAAGCTTGCAGCTATTCAGTGCAGGCGTGGGAAGCAGGCCAGCGGAGCAGCATGTCTCCAGCTGCTGTGTTTCTTCCCACTCTGCGCTCCCTCTTCCCTTTCTGCTGCTCTCCATATTTGCACAATGATTATTGTTACAAACAAACATGGACCAGAGGGGCTGGAGATTGGAAAGAGCAGCCCAGATTTCACCCTGTCAGCTCTTGTTTCTTCTCCCTCCTCTTCCTCCTTGTGCCTCCCTTTACTCTGTCCCCTCTCCCTTCTTCCTTTCTTCTCATTAAGTGTGCCTGCAGGGTCCTGTTGTGAACATGAGTGATTTATCTACAGTAGAGACAGACCAGACTTGCGGACCCCAGCCAGTGTGTGGGTGGGGGCTCTCCTGTTTTAGTCTCTGTTCTTCAGAGTTGCCTGCTTGGATAGTCCAGTTGCTCACGGGCTTGGCTTCCCTGCCCCCCAGGGTGTGGTAGTGTCTCGGGCCAGAGGGTCACGTTGTTCCCCATGTCCCTTCACCTACATATGCGCCCTTTTAGACTTGTGAGAAGGCCCCTTGGACTTCCTAGGTCTTTGTGGTTCAGGCCAGCACAAAACAGGGGACAAGCATTTATCCAGTGCCTACCATGTAGCGGTCATGGTGTAAGCATTTTTATATGCACAGTCTTACTTAATTTTTACATGTCACACAGTAGATGATATTATCCTCATTTTATACCTGAGGAAAAAATTAAGGCTCATAGAAGTTAAACGGCTTAGCCAAACTCACGTAGCTGATTCGTGGGGTTGTCTAGACCCTGTGACTGATTCTGTAACTTAGTTCTCTCGGTGAATATTCCACATCCCCCTTTGCATTTGGGGTTACAGGGGAGAAGGAGAAATCCGTGGTTCTTCCCTTGCCCTCAAGGAGGTTACAGCTGAGTTGGGGCAAAAGAAGAGATTCCCACAAACAGCGCAAGGCAGCATTCACTTGAGGCCAGATGCTGGACCCAGTCTCAGGACTGATAGATTTCATGGGGTGGAATTAGACCCCATAGGGTGGTTAACAAATAGTCTCCTTTTTTATTTTTATTTTTTGAAACAGTCTCACTGCTGCCCAGGCTGGTGTGCAGTGGTGCAAACACAGCTCGCTGCAGCCTCCATCTCCTAGGCTCAAGTAATTGTCCAGCCTCAGCCTTCACCACTTACGGCTTATTTTTTTTTTTTTTTTTTTCTGTAGAGACAGGGTCTCCCTATATCACCCAGGCTGGTCTCAAACTCCTGGGCTCAAGTGATCCCCCAGTCTCAGCCTCTCAAAGTGCTGGGATTACAGATGTGAGCCATTGCACCCGGCCTCCGCAGCCTTCTTGATAGAGGAACAGAGGAGCGGGGACGAGCAGGATGCTGCTCTGGAAAAGTGTCCACTGTTTTATTTTTGAAGGCTGATACCATGTGAGTTCTTTTTTTCTGGAGGTGAGAGGTGTAGAGAACATAATAGAGTAAGAATTGGGTAGATTGAGACTTTTTCCCACGTGCATCATCATCTTTTGCATAAAGTGTTTGTCTGGTTGCTGAGTTGCAGGGTTTCTGAGGCAGGTTTGTGAGTTTCCTGAAATTGATCTTTCCAGCACCTGAGCTGCTGCAGCCTCTGACCAAGGTCGGTGGCTGGTGATGCTGGGGAGGCCTCAAGCCCTGCCTGTGTGGGAGGGCTGGCCTCCTGCTTCCTGGGTCTTTGCAGCTTGGGAGAAGGGCTTCCCTGCTCCTCTCATTTTCCTGAGGGCATAGTTAATAGGGCAGGTGGTGTAAGCTAAAGAAAAAATGTGTCACTTATTCTAGTTGAGAATTTAGCAGCCCTGAGCTGGGAGTCTTGGTTAGGATCATAAAACTATCTGAGACCTCTGAGATCATAATCATAAGAGACCTCTGAGATCATCCACTCAATGCATTCATTCCAGACAAGAAATTGGGGCCCAGGGAGGGAAAGTAGAGGCAAGGGTATGGGCTAGGCCTTCTCCTGGGACCCCTCAGTCCAGGGTTTTCTTTCTGCTGTGTTGGGCTACCCCTCCTTGATATGTAAGTGTTTAGTAACTTGGCTCTCCAGGCCAAGAATCTTTTGTGAAGTCTCACAACTTGTCTCACCTCGCAGGTTCTCCAAACCTATCCCCGAATCCGATGTCCCCAGCACATAATAACTTGGGTGAGTATCTCCTTGTGCACACAACTGGAACCCCCTCTAGCTGCAGCCCTGGCGAGTCGCCAGTGTGGGGAGGGGGCCCTGAAGGTAAGGCTCTCCCCCGACCCCTACCATCAGCCCAGCTCAGCCCATCAGGTTTCTGGTTACGGTGATGTTGAGGTCACCACGGAATGGGGAAACTTGAGAACAGTGGTGGCAGGAAAGACAACCATATGCCAGGTTTGTATTTCCCCTGGGGGGCGGGTAGACGTGAGTGAATGAAAATTCCCCCAAACTTTATGCCCAGGAGAACGAGGGTCTGTGGTCAGCTAAGCATACGTGTGCAGTTTGGTGCAAAGCCACGGACAGCCATGCAGACTCCAGCCCCCTGACATTTATAGACCTGTTTCAGATATACTTATTTGAGTGTTTCATCTTATAATTGTGTAATTTTTCTTAAAATAGCAACATATACGGAATTTGAAAATAAAGTCAAAGTGCCCATAATCCCACCACCCTAACATAACTGTCTATGTGTGATTACAGTCCTGATGTTTGTGCATCAGGCATATATATCTCTGTGCCTTGCCACTGAGATCATAGTGCATATCTGGTGTTTTCATTCTCTTTTCTCCTTATGTTATTTTGTAAACACGTTTCCGTATTTAGGTGTCTTGTTTATCGTTGTGTGTTATCTCATGATGTTTTGGAGTGGAGGGTCCATTGTTTCCGCAACATCCCTCCATGGTTAGACTGCTGGGTCAGTTTTTCCAAGACTCAATTTTCTAACCCAGTAGGGTCCTTCAGTTCTCCAGCTTGGGATAGGCTTTGGCATGGAACCTGCCAAAGGGCTTCAAACAAATGAAATATCCATTTAGTTTTTATTGAGGGGAGATTTTTATATTCTGGTCTGGTAGTTTTAGAAAATGTAAGTTGGATTTTGTTTGGAACTTTATTGCTGAGGCTTAATTTGTGGCTCAGGAAAAGAAATAGTTAATATTTCTTGGCGAATCAAAGTGGATTGGACTGGTTTTTGTGCCCATTTGCTTCCAGACCTTGACTGACAGCGTCAGATGAAGAAACTCATCATTTGGAATATTAGGAGATGCTTGAAACCCTTTAGAACAGGCTGACCTGGGCAGTGTGGGATGTGACTTTGGGAGATCTGTTTTAACATTTTTGTAAAATAATATCACCATGAGTGCCGGGCTTTGCAGAGGGAAGGTCAGATTCCTGATATGAAAGGACTGAGTTATTAAAAACAAACTGAAGGCTAGAAGCGAAGTTAACACTTGAGAAATTAAAGGCCATGATGGTGAACTTGACTCCGGGCTTTCAGCTTTTGAGATTGGCTGCTTTAGATTTATTTTCTATGGCATTTAAAAACCCTCCTGGGGCCAAGGTAGCACTTTTAGTCAACAGCCTTCCAAGCAGACACTTGCCTTTGAAACCATAGCAGTCCCAGGGCAGGTTGGAGGTGGCTGATGCCGGACACGGTGCTCCAGACTGAAAGGTGGTCATTTGCTGTGAACTTCCCTCTAGATTGTGTAGACTAGGATGAGGATGATGGGATGTTTCTTGAGCTCTGACCCAAGGCAGCATCCTCTGTTGACATAATTCTCCCTCCCTACTGCCCCTTCCTCGGGCAGCTTGCCTGAAAGTTGAGAATTCTTAGGTTATTTCTTCCAAAGGGAGGACCCTCCCCGAGCCTGGCCAGCAGAGAATGAGTGCCACTTTGCACTGGCCTAGTTGCACCTCTGCTGGGAAGATGTGAATCGGGGGCGAGTCGCCCAGTGAGTCAGGGTTAGGCTTCTGGGTAAGACACCGTGCTGACAGGCCTGGCTTCCCCTCTGCTTCATGAGCCCCTGTGCTCCCCTTCACCCATTCAAACCATTGACTTCATCCCTACCCAGAAGGTCACCTGGACTCCCAGTGTCATAGCTGGAAGGGGGTGAGATGGTGATGATGATGGGAAACATTTCTTGAGAGTTTGCTGTTTACTGTTATTCGGAGTGCTTCCTGCATGTTAACCTGATCTTTATAACTTTATAAGGCAGAAGCGTTGTGATTTTTCATTTTACAGATTAGGAAACCGGGGAACACATTGGTGAACTCATGTGTCCCAGATTCACAGCTAGTGAATGGAGAAGGTGGCTTTGAACTCAGGCCCTCTCACTCCAGAGCGTGCACTCCCATTGTGGCATGACACTGCCTTGCTGGGCCGTTTAGACCACCTGTCCCCACCTTCCTCACTTGGAGGAACAAGGCTCAGACAAGGCATTTGCTGACTTTTACGTTGGAGACGTAAAAGTCTGTGGCTGTGGCTCCCGGGGGGAAGCCCTGCCTGCTTGTATGCCTCTTCCTCACTCCCTCATTCCCAGATACTTCTTGTCTGCCTGCCGTTCAGGTGGGGGATTGGAAGAGGGACCACAGACATAGCCATCGAGGGGCTACGGCCTTGTTGGGATCAATAAGGCAGGACCAAAAATGATTCTAAAACAAGAAGGAGGTGCAGATGAAGTACTCTGAGGGTTCGAGGGATGGAGCGATGGGATTCCAGGCTGGCCAGGCGTCTCCTCTGTATCCATGCGCTCAGTCAACATTGGCTGAGTTCCCACTATGTACTGATGCTGGGGGCCAGAGCTGGGAGAGCACTACACATTTGCAGCCTGGGGGCGGGGAGGGGGGCAGCTGGAGGTGTCCATGTCCACCTGTAATGCGTTGTGCCAGGTGCCCAGGGAGAAAGTCCAGAAGAGGGAGGAATAGTATATGCCAAGGAGGAAAGTGTGGATGGAGTGGGGAGACATGGGAGAGGTTGTGCCATGTGTGAGCGGGCCCTTGAAGGACAGATGGGACCCTGTGAGGCAGAGAAGGATGGAAGGACATTGCAGGTCCAAGGGCATTATGTGGTCTGAGGACAGCTGGCATGGTGGTTGGTTGTTGTCTCAAGAGGGACAAGGTGGGAAAAGGAGGCTGAAATGGCAGGTGGGGCACTGGGAAAAGACCCCTGAGTGTCTGCTTAGCGCCCTCTTGCCTATAGAATAAAGTTGTTTGTGGGTTTTGATTGGGGAGGTTTTCTGATGACAGCTTCATAAAGATTAATCTGGCCACTGTGTGGAATCTAAATTCTAGGGGAAATTACTGGAGGCAAAACAAAACAAAACAAAACAAAAACCCACTTAGACAGCTCTTCCTCTGGAGGAGGCTGAGATAAATGCTTTCGAGAAATGGTAGCAGAGCTGGGAGAATGCATTTGAGAGGGAATCATGGGCCTGAATGAGCAGGGTTTGTTGACCAGCGTTAAGTGGGATGATGGTGATGCCCCCATCGAGGCTGGACACCCAGGAAGTGGAATGGGTTGGGGGTGAAAGATGGTGGTGGGTTGCCTGTGCTTAACTATGTCCAGGAAGCAGTTGGAAAGTCAGGAAAGCGGCTGGCGCTGGAGGCGCAGATTTGGAAACCATGAACACATGTGGCAGCCTTTCCCATAGCGGGGCCTGAGAGAAGGGGTTTGGTGGTTGAATGAGTGTGGAAAGCCTGTATTGTGGCCTCTCCTCCAGCCCCCACTCAGGAGGGACTCACATGGCCACGCTCTGAGGAGCCTGCAGAAGGAGGCCTGTCTGACCCAGCCTTCCTCCCATGCACTGATCACTGTTCCTGTACTTCTGTCTTACCGCCCCATTACCCATCCATAGATCTGACTCTGGAAACACCGATGAAGTTTGGCTGAAGTCATGCCAGTGGATGGATTTAGTGGAGAGGCCGACCCAGCTCAAGATGGAAAGACAGCCAGAGATGCGCTCGGGTGGTGGGGGTTCCTTGGAGAAGGCTGAGGTCAGGGGGATGATGGGGTCACAGCAGCTCAGAGGGGAGGCAAGCCCTGAAGGACAGTGGCTACAAGCGGGCCCTGCAGAGATGCAAAATGAGATTTAAGAAGAGGCCTTGGATTTGGCATCAGGGTTTCAAGGGGGAGCTTTTAGGGAGCAGTGTGTAGGAGGGGAGGGGCTGCAGTCAGTCAGCAGTGCACTGAAGGGCAAGTACCAGGTGGGGAGGTGGAGGCACCCAGCAGCGCAGCCTTTGTGCTGACTCACAGTCAGTGCGTCCCAAACCCTAGGATGGAGGCAAGCACACAGGGAGCTCTTCCTAGGAAAAAATGGGGACATCTCAGGACATCTGATTATTTCCTTTAAAGAGATTATTATGAAATTACTGTACAAAAAGAAAGAAAGCAGAGGACATCTGGTTTCTCCTTTCATTTCCTCCCCACTCCAGGTGTTAGCCCCAGGGCTCAGGTCTGGGGAAGGTTGAGCCTCCTTGCCCCAGCAAAGCCACTTCTGGTAAGGGGCAGGGACTCCTGGTTGAGACCTGGCTCAGCATCCTGCCCCAGGCAGGCTCTCGGAGACCCTGGGACCTGGGACCGTTGTTTGCAGGGCAGGAGATATGAGCAGGTGATGTTCCTGTTATTACACAGCGTGCTGGGTGAGTCACCGGGAATTTCCTAGGCATTTAAGGCGGAAGGATTGGGGTAAATGGAGGGGAAGGAGGAGGCAGGTGGAGAGAGGAAAAAGGTAGTGAGCTGGCTTCTGCCTGGTGAGTAAGTTGTTCCCTGCTTTAAAGTGAGATGATTAGGGCGGAGCCATGACTGAGGAAAATAATGTACCAGGGAGAGCCCTGAGGGAGCAGTTGAGCTGGAGTTAAAGGAGGTGATGGCTTCCAGAGTGCCAGTGGCAGGAGTGAGAGGCAGGGATGGGGCAGCTTGGAGTGAGAGGGATAGGGCAGCTTGGAGGTGGCTGATGCCGGATGCAGTGCTTCAGACTGAAAGGTGGTCGTTTGCTGTGAATTGCCCTCTAGATTGTGTAGACTAGGATGATGGGATGTTTCTTGAGCTTGGACCCAAGGCAGCATCTCCTGTTGACATAGTTCTCCCTCCCTACTGACGCTTCCTCAGGCACCTTGCCTGAGAGTTGAGAATTCTTAGGTTATTTCTTCCAAAGGGAGGACCCTCCCCCCAGGGTGCCACTTTGCACTGGCCTAGTTGCACCTCTGCTGGGAAGGTGTGAATCGGGGGCAAGTTGCCCCGTGAGTCAGGGTTAGGATTCTGGGTGAGACTCCACGCTGACAGGCCCGGCTTCCCCTCTGCTTCATGAGCCCCTGTGCCCATGTGTGAGCACAGGTGTGGTGGCAGGGCGGCCCGAAGACCACCAGCCCTGAGTGTGGACGGCGGCCCAGGGCAGAGGCCCAACCCAGTTCCAGGCATCTTCATGCTGCTGCCCAAGGCTCTTTTACAATGCAGCCTCTGGCTCCGGTCTTCCCCACACTTGTGAAATCACAGGCAGGGTCTTCCCCACACTTGTGAAATCACAGGCAGGCAACATAATGACAGGAAGTCAGCTGTCGGCTCTGTCTTCATACTCCTGAGGGCCCGGTTTTTAGACTTTGCCACTGTTCCTGGTTGCAGTATGCTGGTCATAAGCTAAAAGGGCATGGGGGTCTCTGTGCAGCTTGGTTTGGTATTTTAGTCCGCAGATACATAGGTTGGAATTAGTACCCTGGGTGCTGGGACACAGCTGGCGTGGGCTCACAGAGACCTCATCCTCTAGCATAGGAGACTCAGGTACACAGTTTCTGGGACACAAGGTTAATTCTGCACTGAGGCAGTGAGGGAGTGTTTCACAGCCGTGTGAGCTGGGCCTTAAAGATCGAGTCCCTGCAGAGGAGGGGGATGGGCAGTCCAGGCAGAGGACCCAGGCAGGACTGAGAAGTGGTGGATGAGGAACATGGGAACTGGAGTGTGGAATCTCCTAGATTGAGGAAGAGCTGCCTTCCGCAGGTGAGGTGGGCCCAGCAGAAACCAGCCCATTTCTGTTTTGACCTTTCGTCTTGCAGCAGCAGTGCTCCTGGCCTTTGCCCGTTCCTTGCTTTCGATTTATAGGAGAAAGTTAATTTCCCCCCTTGCCTCCCCACCTCTTCCTTTACGGGATTTGAATCTCTTGCACATGTTTTTAATAGGCATCCCTTAATCCAAGTGTTGCCTTCTGGGTTTTATTCTGTTTTCTTTTTCTTAAACATAATGGAACGTCTGTGCCAGCTTGGAACAGGACTGAAAACTGAGGCCAGCCAATGCGTTAGGCTGGCAGGGGGCCAGCCATGGATTAAGTGCCCTATGGCACTTGAGAAGTCTGGCCGACACCACACTGGTGGGGGAGGGGGATCCACAAAGGCTGGAGCTGGAGGTTCCTGCGTCTCCAACACCTCTGCACTGGGAGGAGAGATTAGCACAGACTCAGAAATCTGGCCAGGAGCAGGGCTGTTTGAAGGGAAGGCCGTGGGCACGTGCCATCGTCTACCACCCCAGCTGTGCAAAATGCTCAGCCTAGAGGTGAAACTGCTCTTCAATGGGGTGTGTCACCTTACCCCCCGTAGTCATTCTCCTAGAGGAGCCTTCTATAGAACTGCTTCTGCATTTGTTGGTAAATCCTTGAAACCAGATCTTAATTTGCTTGCTTGCTTGATCAGTTGATTGATTGGTCAGGGGAGGGGTTGCCACCTCCCCCTGAGAGATTTCTTTTAAGATTTAATGCCAGGACAAACTTTGTTTTCCCTGAGGAACTAGTAAGCATTGCCCATCCACCAACCAGAGCCATAGACCATGTCATGTTCCCTTTTTGTCTTGTCTACTAGGAAGCTCAGAGCCAAACTGGATGCTTTTGCAGTAACTATAACCTCATGGTTATCCCATTTATAGCCGCCTTCTTTCCAGAGTCCTTTTTGTTTCTCTGGTACTAACCAGGGTAAGGATAAGTACTTTGGGAAAGAAATGAGGGCATATTTAGTGTTTTGGGTTTTTTTTTTTTTGGTGTGTGGCAGAGTCTTGCTCTATCCCCCAGGCTGGAGTGCAGTGGCGTGATCTTGGCTCACTGCAACCTCTGCCTCCTGGGTTCAAGTGATTCTCCTGCCTCAGCCTCCAGAGTAGCTGGGATTACAGGCACCCGTCACCACACCCAGCTAATTTTTGTATTTTTAGTAGAGACGGGGTTTCGCCAGGTTGGCCAGGCTGGTCTCGAAATCCTGACCTCAAGTGATCTGCCTGCCTTGGCCTCCCAAAGTGCTTGGGATTACAGGTATGAACCACTGCATATGGTCTGTTTTTTTGTTTTTTTTTTTGTTAAGGAAAAATGTGCCATTGAAGGCAGAACCCACAGGTGGTGACCATACTTTCTGGTCTGCCACTCCTCTTGCACAAGTTCTGGGAGGAAGCAGCTGAGGCATGGTGGGCGGGAGGGACCTAGAAAGGAGGGAAATCACGGCTGGCTTTTAGTTGTTTGCAGAGAATAGAAAGCGCATGGCTGGGGTGCTGCTCTGGCTCAGTCCCGCTTCTGAACACAGGGCAGCTTGTCCAAACAGCACTCTCTGAAATGGCAGCCTGCAGACTTTGCCACTGGCCTGATTTCACTGCTCCCTCAAACAAGCATCTTCTTAATGATGTGTCAGGTTCCTAGTGTCCGGGGTTTTCCACAACACTGTCCGGTGTGTGTCTGTGAGTTGCAGGGCTGTTTGGATAAGGGCTCAGATCTGCTTGGGAGGGCCTCTCGGCCTATGACCCCAGGCCTGTCTTTGATTCTGAGGGTCCTTGAAGCCCACCCTTCCCCAGAGCATGGTTCTAGCACCATGCGACACAATGGGTGGCCTGCCAGCTTTTTCTTTTTTTGAATGGTGGGCTGGGTTGCCGTTCCTGGGAGCCTAGCTCTTTCTCTTCTGCCTGGACTAAACCCAGAGAATGCTGGGCAGGGCTTTATGATTTTGGGGTGAGGACCCTGTTCTGTTCTACACATTGCTGAGTAAGTCAGGGCCAGTCAAAGCTATATGTTCAAGCTGACCCGTGCCAGAGAATGATCTAGGTGGTCAGCTTTATTGTAGCTTTATTGTCTTCTAGTGTACCACAGTGATTGTACGGACTACAAAACTGAGGTTACAGAAGGAGGTCATGTCCCCAAGGTCACACAGCAGGATCAGCAGAGCCTGCGCTTGGGCAGTGGTGGCCAGCAGCACTGATACATTGCTTGACCACTCTGAATGCTTGGGTTGCACTTGGATTTTTTTTTTTTAAGTTTCCAAATCAACATAGCTCACATTTTAGTGACCACATTGTTTAGAATATAGCTTATCTCATTGGAATGTTGAAGCATCAAGCAAAGCCAGAGCCAGACGTGGCTGACGTGGCTCAGCCTCACCTCAGGGGCCAGGGCACAAGCCGCAGCTGCTCCTGGCCCTGTCATTCCTCCCTTCCCCATTAAGTACTTTTGATGCCTTCATCCTTATCTTCCTTTGCTCCACCCCAGGAAGAGAGAAAACGACAAGAATGCTTTGCCTCTCCATCTTGATGGTGATCAAGATAGGACCAGGCTATTTTCAAGTTCACAGAATCGGGCTATTATCATTGTTGTTAACACCATGTGCTGAGTGTTTGATGCGCGCCCTGCACCTCACATGAGTTATCTCTGTCTGTCCAGAAACAGCGCCGAGAGTAAAGAGGATGAGGCCCACAGAGTGTAGCTGGTTTGCTCGCAGTTGCATGTCTAGTCTGTGCCTGAGCCAAGATTGACCTCCAGTCTGTCTGGAGGATGGCTTTATAGCTTGTGCCCCATGATCCAGTTAAATATCTAGGGCAATGGTTTTCAACTGGAGGCCGTTTTGCCCCCTAGAAGACATCTGGCAATATCCGCAGCCTTTTTTTATTGCCACAACTTGAGAGGGTGTTATGGATGTATACTACTAGCACCTAGTGGGTAGGGGCCAGGATGCTGCTAAACATCCTGCAATCTGCAGATCCTCCCTCCCACCCATCCACCCACCCAACAAAGAATTATCTGGCCCCAGATGTCAGTAGTGCTGAAGTTGAAAAACCTGACCTAGGGTGTCCTAATCCTCCAGCTGACACTTCCTGGGTGTGTGTGGAGTGCAGGGGTGTTACTGGCCTGCCCCTTCGCCATTCGTGATAGTGTTCTCCTTGCTCTTAGAAAGGATCATGCACCTAGACTCCAAAAGGGGATTGGGACACTCTGTCCTGCAGGGGCAACCAGACCCCTTCCAGTGGGCAGAACAGCTTCTGACTTTTCTCTCTTGGGCTTTACACACCTTCAGAAGGTCTGATGAGCAGGGATCCTCCCAGTGGGTTCCCCCTCCTAGACGTTGCCTGGCATCCAGTGAGCAGGGTTCTCAGGCCAGGGCTGAGACGTGGGCATGGGGAGCGTCTCCTGTTCCTCCCTGAGGAGGAACCCTCAGCCCCATGCTGAGGGTTAAAGCGAGGGAGGAGAGATGTCAGCCTGGGCCCTGGGACCTCATGGTCAAGTTGGACAGTCAGGATGCTCACAGAGAGGCACACCCTTAGTAACTGCGTCGCTTCGGGTATATTTAAGAGCCAGAGGGACTTCAGAGGCAGGCTGAAGCTTTGAGATGGAAGAGCGAGAATGAGCAGGGGACTCCCTAATTCTTCAGCAGATGGATGGAATTCAGGTAGGCATCAAGCAGAGTGTCGTAGGCTAAGGGCTCGCGCCCAGCAGTCAGTGCAGTGCAGAGAAGCAGTTGGAAGAGGTTGGCCCAGGGCGCAGGGCAGTCCTGGTCCAGAGGCTGTGGCATCGGTGTGAGTGGGAATTCCGAGGGCCCGGCCAAGGGCTGAGAGAATGGGCCTGGAGATGCTGCAGAGGCGTGCAGTAGGAGGGCACAGTGCCAGGGCCACTGGGCCGGGGCAAGAGGAGGGCGAGGAGGCCCCAGGAAATGGAAGGCTGGGATCCATTTCTAGTGTGAGGAGAAGCTGCCATTTACTCTTCTGAGAAAGAGAACCAGCCCCTTGTAGAATGGCAGTTTTGCTTTGAGGAGCCCCTAATGGAGACTGTACAGACAACTGGGACAAATACAGATTTTCTTTCAGAAGGGTTTGTGTCCGAGCCACCCCAACAGCCGGCATCTAGATAAGTGTGGAAAATAGTTTCTGTGATAGGAGGCATGGCCCCAGGCTCAGTCTGCAGATGATGCCTGGTGTGTCCACTGCGCCAACATGGGGCGCTGTTGGGAACCCACTCGGCTGCTGCAGGCTTGGAAGCTGCTGCTCCACAGGCTGGGAGTTTTTGCCCCCAAGGCTGTGCAGAGCCAAAATCTGAAAGCCCTTTTAGGGGCAGGGATTAATGTGGGTTACTCTGGGGACCTTGCAACAGAGGCTGAGAGGTGACTGTGCAGGAGGTGTGGCCTGCCCCACAGTGAGTACACGCAGTGGCTGTCCCAGGTTCATCCAGGTACTGGGTGGCCCCTGGTCCTCTTCAGGTTTGGCCCAGCCCCTCCTTGAAGACTCCTTCCATCCAGTCAAGGCCAAGCAGGCGGGGCAGGGCCTTTATGAGCTAAATAAATAAATAAATAAATAAATAAATAAATAAAAAGAGAAATCAATGGCCCTTTACACACAAGGCTGATGGAATCTCCTCCAGACACCTGAGCATCTTGTTCTGGTGGCTCTTGCCAGTTTTATACGATAAAAGGCATGGGGTAGGGAGATTATAATCCCTCTGAAATGCGGGGAAATGGTTTTCCAGAGTGTCCATGGGACCCCATCGAGGGAGCATGGGGCTTGGGACACCCAATGACCCAGTAGCCCACCCTGTGTCCACAGACCTGCAGCCAGTTACCTACTGCGAGCCGGCCTTCTGGTGCTCCATCTCCTACTACGAGCTGAACCAGCGCGTCGGGGAGACATTCCACGCCTCGCAGCCATCCATGACTGTGGATGGCTTCACCGACCCCTCCAATTCGGAGCGCTTCTGCCTAGGGCTGCTCTCCAATGTCAACAGGAATGCAGCAGTGGAGCTGACACGGAGACACATCGGTATGGGGTGGCTCCATTCCCCGCCCCCCCACCCTGCCCCTGCCACTCTATCCCACCCCCAGCCCCAGGCCTGAACACACAGCCTCTGAAGGGAACCTTGCGTCCATCCTTAGCTGTGCTCTGCCTCCTGCTGGGCATGGGGGAAGACTCACTGCCCCAGCAAGTCCCCTACACTCTCTGTTGCCCTGTTTAGGGGCCAGACAGGTAGTGTTCAGGCCACTTGATCATTCCCACTCAAAGATATAATCTCAGAAAATCTGGAAGCCACAGAGGAAAATAGTTCATCTAAGGGATCAAGAAGGGAACGTCTATGAGAAAGGCAACATATGAAATCTATTTTTTTTTTTTTTTTGGAGACAGAGTCTTGCTTTATCCAGGCTGGAGTGCAATGGCACAATCTTGCCTCACTGCAACCTCTGCCTCCTGGGTTCAAGCGATTCTCCTGCCTCAGCTTCCCAAGTAGCTGGGATTACAGGCACCCAACCACCACGCCCAGCTAATTTTTGTGTTTTTAGTAGAGACGGGGTTTCTCCATGTTGGCCAGGCTGGTCTCGAACTCCTGACCTCAGGTGATCCACCTGCCTTGGCCTCCCAAAGTGCTGGGATTACAGGCGTGAGCCACCGTGCCTGGCTGAAATCCTCTAAATAAAAATACTCTGAAAGTACAGATGGATAGGTTGATAAGTAGGCAGTCATTGTTGGAAGAGTGATCTTCTCTTATTTTCATGTATCATTATTCTAAACAATTTAGAAAAGGTAGAAAAGAATTGTCCACTATCCAAACACCACTACTGTGAACCTTCTGCCTTCTAGCCCCCAGAACATAAGTAAAAGATGACTTTGTGAGTTTAAGGAAGATGAAGCTGTGTTACGCATCACTTGGTTTGCTTATGAAGTTATCAAGCTTAGAGGATTTTACGATCCAGAATCACAACTGTCAGAACTTAGAAGGGCTGTAGAGAGATGGCAGAGTGAGGTTTTCTCAGACCTTGTCCTGGAGCCCCAAGGGTTGGCAAAGGGTTCCTGCGGCAAACTCAGGAGGTGGGCAGGTTAGCAAAGGGAAGCCTGGTCCCACGTGAACCAGGGCACCTCTGCACTCGCTTGCTTTATATCTCGGGCTCTCACAGAAGACTTCATTTGAAGAGAGGATTGATTCTGTAGTGAAGAGAAGAAAAGTTTGGAGGCCATGGGCCTAGGTCTGTGCTCTCATTTTCTAGGAAAGGGACCTGATGTCTAGGGGGTTGGGGAGGGTAGGGAACGGCTCTGCAGAGACCTCATTGTCAGTGACAGACAGCCACCACTACCAGACCTGTTGTTCCCATTTCGCTTTTTGTTTTTTACTTCAAAAAAGATACTTATTCTGGGTGGCATACCACTGTTTGATTGATTGATTGATTTAGAGATAGGGTCTTGCTATGTTGCCCAGGCCCAGTCGCAAACTCTTGGGCTCAAGCTATCCTCCCATCTCAGCCTCCTGATTAGCTGGGACAATAGGCATATACCACTGCAACTGGCTTTTTTCTATATTTTATTAAAAAAAAAAAAAAATATATATATATATATATATATATATATATATTTTTTTTTTTTTTTTTTTTGGAGCGGGGAGACCAAGTCTCGCTCTTGTCTCCCAGGCTGGAGTGCGATGGCACAATCTTGGCTCACTGCAACCTCCACCTCCCAGGTTCAAGTGATTCTCCTGCTTCAGCCTCCTGAGTAGCTGGGATTACAGGCATGTGCCACCACACCTGGCTAATTTTTTGTATTTTTAGTAGATATGGGGATTCACCACGTTGGCCAGGCTAGTCTCGAACTCCTGACCTCAGGTGATCTGCCCGCCTCAGCCTCCCAAGGTACTGGGATTACAGGTGTGAGCCACCATGCCCGGCCTATTTTTTTAAGTTACTGAAACGAAACAAACATTTTTGGTCTGGGTCTTCGCATCCCCACCTCTGCCTTCTGCTCTTACTGACATGATACAGTTGTGGACAGCCAGGAAGTCATCCCTCCTGTGGACTCTGAGCCACCAGCACCCTGCAGAACTAAAGCCAGAAAAAATGGGGAGTGGTTGGAGGAAGGGGACAGTAGTGGGAATAGGAGGCAGGACAGGGGACATCCAGTGATGCATGGGTCGGTCACCTCGTGTTCATCCTACCGGATGCTGGGCCTGTAATATCTGGCTCCGTGTTCTGACCTCTGAGCTTCTTCCCCAGGAATGGAGCAGAGACTTTGCCATGCAGGAGAAGGGACCATCCCCTGGCCGAGCAAAGAGCTCATTGTCAGAGTTTACGCAACTGTTTGAGTTGCAGAGCCAATTTAAAAATAATTTCTGTCCATCTGGAGTGGATTTAAGAGATGAAAGAAAAGTAAATGATATAAACCTCTGGAATGTTTTAGAAAAATGCATTGAGGGAAGAAAAAAATAAGGGCATAGCGTTAAACCATCCCTGCAATAAAGGGCTCCTTGGGGTGTCTGCTGCATCAGAAGGAGCCCTGCAGGTTTACTGAATGAATCTCTGAATCTTGGAGTGTGAAGAGACCAAATAATAGTGGGGTAGTAGTAGCAGTAGCAGCAAGAAAAGCTGACACCAGGCACTTACTGTGTGTCTCACAGTAATCCTGCAAGGGTAGAGGTTATCATCATTCCCTTTTTTTTTTTTTTTTTGGAGTTAGGGTCTCACTCTGTCTCCCAGGCTGGAGTGCAGTGGTGTGATGGGAGCTCACGGCAGTCTTGAACCCCTGGGCTCAAGCAATCCACTCACCTCAGCCTCCCAAGCAGCTAGGACTACAAGGATATGCCACTATGCCCAGTTAATTAAAAAAAAAATGTTTTTGTAGAGATGAAGTCTCATTACATTGCCCAGGCTGGCCTTGAACTCCTGGCCTCAAGTGATCCTCCCACCTTGCCCTCCTAAAGCTCTGGGATTATTGGTGTGAGCCACCGCGCCTGGCCCCCATCCCTATCGTAGAGACAAACGAAGACTCAGAGGGTGAATAACTTGACTGAGGCCCATGCCTACTCAGTGGCAAAGGCTGTCACTGAGACCTATCCTGTGTGCCCATCTCTTGTCATCTGCCTCCCTTGGCTTTAGGAATCCGGCAGTGCCCATTTCCCCTACTTTAGGCTTGGGCTTTGGGGCCCGTTTGCCTGGGGAAGCTGGCAGTCACTGGGAGCAGCTCTGCTGTTCTGCCTCCTTTGCGAGCCTCAGGTGGCCCCAGGGCCATTGTGTGTGAGCAAAGGCACCCTGTCCAGTCTAACCTGAATCTCTGTAGGAAGAGGCGTGCGGCTCTACTACATCGGAGGGGAGGTCTTCGCAGAGTGCCTCAGTGACAGCGCTATTTTTGTCCAGTCTCCCAACTGTAACCAGCGCTATGGCTGGCACCCGGCCACCGTCTGCAAGATCCCACCAGGTAAACGAGCCGCACAGGCACCCCTGCCTTGAGGTCCCTCTCCGAGTGCATGCCTAGGATGCTGGAGAGAGTCCACCTTTCTCACCTTTTCTGCTCACTCATGATTGCGTTGTCAATCTGGAGGTGATTGGATTAGGTTTTCTCTATGCCCACAGATCTAACTGTGCTTTCCCTGAACTTCCAGGGAGCAGATGTAGCATCTGATAGGTCTGCCTTTAACCTGTGGGTACCTGCCTGTTGCCCTGTGCGTAGATGCTCAGGCAGTATGGCTTCCTTTCTTCACTCATTCATTGCACAAACAGCATGCAGGGCTCTGTGCCAGGTGCTGTAGGGGATGAAGAGGTAGATGCGGCCCTGCTCTGCCCCCGCAGACCTTACAGGCCTGCAGAGCACAGAAGACAAAGACACGGATGAGTTCAATATAAGGGACGGGTGCCAAGCACCAAGCCAGCAGCCCAGGTAGAGAGAAGGCCCATTTAGCTGTTGGGATGGATCAGGGAAGTCTTCATGGAGGAGAAACATCCGGATCCTGAAGGATAGGTAGGCACTAGGCACAGGGAGGGCATTCTAGACAGGGGGAGCAGCCCAGGCAAAGGGCCTGAGGTAATGGAGGGCAGGACATGGATGGGTAGCTCTCTGGCTGGAGGAGGGTCATGTATGAGACCGTCAGGGGAAATGTTTCAAAAGCACAACAGCATGAGGCCGTGGAAGGACACCAGAGAGTTTGACTCTAGGGAACTGCTGAGGGTTTTCTGAGTGAGCCTGAAAAATCCCACCTGTACCCCAAGAAGAGGTGTCAGGCTGCACCCCCGAGAGTGGTTTGGACAGGGCCACGCCTGGACAGCAAGATCAGGCAGGTGGCTGATCCCATCTAAGGCCTCTTTCCTCAGGAAACCAAGGCAGAAAGCCCCAGCCAAAGTCCACTTTTCACAGGACGTGCAGCCACTGTGTAGGCAGCCCACAGAACATGGCCTGTGACAGACTAGTGGAGCAGGTAACCTGGCCAGGCCATTGCCTGTGGCACGTGTGTGGCATGCCCCTTCCTGCCCACTGAGTAGCAGATGGTAGTGGAGAAGTGGTAGACCACAGGCAGGGGAAACTTTAGAATGCAGAAAGTCTGAAATGATAATAGCACACCAGGTTTCCAGAGCATTTTGTGGTTGCATTTATAGAGTACATTCCGATCGTTGACCTCATTTAGTCCTCACCAGTTATTCTCTGGCTCTATAAGTAAGGAGACGCTTTGAGAGACAAGTTCAGAGAGTTTCAGCCACCTGCCCAAGCGCACACAGCTAGTAAGTGGCCAAGCCGGGATGGGGCCTAGGGCTGATGGACTCTCAAGTTTGGTGCTCTTCTGCTTCTTGGCTCTGCTGGGGGTCAGGGCCCAGGTTCAGCCCTGTTCCACCACCCTTGTCCTTGGAGAGAATGAAGAAGAGGAAGCTCAGTGACGCTCTTGGCCTTCTGCCTCTTCCATTCCCCGGCCCCACCCCCATCTTTTGGGTGAGGGCTGAGTTGGCTGTGGTGTTGTTTGTCAGCTCATAGAATGTCAGAGCTGGAAGGACCTCTGAGGCCAGCCCTTCATTATACAGAGACACAGGGTCCCCAAGAGAAAGCGACCAGCTCAGAGTCACACAGCAAGAACAGGAGCCTGCTGTTGGCTCATTCATAAGCGTCACCCCGGCTCACCTTTTGGCTATTTCCAGCATGTGCTTTTGTCTTTATTTTTCTGGTTGACACATTCCTGGCACTCAGGCAGTAAGACTTCAAACGACATTTATTTTAAACTTTATTTGTGACTGTCTTTAGTTTTACTGTCTGGAGAATCAGATGCACACCTTCACTTAGCTGTGAATGTCACCTCCACCCAGCCCAGTGCCCAGAGGCCAAAATTTGGCCCAGATCTCTCCTTACCTCCTAGCCCCAGCACCAGGTGTATTCATCAGAGGAGCCCAGGTGGAGGGTGCACTGGGCCCTCTGCCAAGCTTCCTGTGGGGACGGCAGGCCCAGTAGCCTTTCGGCCAGCCCGTCTCTGGGGGCACTGCCTGCTGTGGAACGGCCAGAGCTCCTGTTCCTAGGTGGGTGACCAGACCCCACACAGCATGGGCAACCTGGCCCAGGTCCCTTATCTCTCTGTCCCCTGGTCCCTTTGCCCAAGGAAAGGCCCCCCTCTCCACACCATCTCCCTATTTTTGGAAGCCCTCTTTGCAGACTTCTCCCTGCTCTGGGAGTCGGAGCTTGTGGGCCAGCCTTCCATCTCCCCTTGCAGGTATGTCAGTGGCACCTCCCAGTGAGGAGATGGGTTCAAGGGGAGGGACTGGGTTGGCCTTCCCTTTGCATGGTACTGAGTGTGGAGTGTGTGGCAAATGCATCACACACCATGTGTCCCTGGAGCTGTATAAATGAGGCTGGTCTAGGGGGTCCAGGACTTGCTTTATCCAGGAGGGGAGCAACGGACCTGGCCACTTCCATCCCCACAGCCCTGTTTCTGTGTTTTTGGCAGGATGCAACCTGAAGATCTTCAACAACCAGGAGTTCGCTGCCCTCCTGGCCCAGTCGGTCAACCAGGGCTTTGAGGCTGTCTACCAGTTGACCCGAATGTGCACCATCCGCATGAGCTTCGTCAAAGGCTGGGGAGCGGAGTACAGGTCAGTTATGGGTGCTGCCTACATCAGGGGACCCAACTCCAGGTGACTCTGGACAGCAGAGCAGGCAGGGCTCCTCAGAGATGAGCTAGGCCAGCCCTAGCGTCAAGAGCAGAAAGACCAAAGATCAGAGAGAGGCCAAGGCCTGGCAGGCAGGAGGGGCCGGGCCAACAGCAGATGATGAGGAATTGCAGAACGATGTTTGCTGGCACCGAACAGCTGTAGGCACTGTAAACACACGCTCCATCTTATCCTCATCCCAGCCCTGGGTGGGGATGCCAGCATCATCCGTACAGATGAGAGAACTAAGGCCCAGGGAGGGAGAGTGACTTGCCTGCAGTCACACTGGTAGAAGAGCTGTGTCTAGAACTCTGCCCTCTTGGCTTCTTCCTTAGTCTCATTTTAGGCAGATGGCTTTAGGATGACCCTCTTCAGGAAGTTAGGTCTTCAGCTCATTGTTCCTCTCCTCCTCTGTTGCTCCATTTCTGACTCAGGGACCCTGGTGATGCTGAGGAGCCCAGGATATTAAAACTGAGAGTCCGGGAAGGGAGGAGGAGATTTGGGTAGTTATAAAGGAACAAAATTTTCTCGCTGAGAAATGACTTTTTTAGAGTCCTACATACTGGTTTCTTTTTCTTTTTCTTTTTTTTTTTTTTTTTTTTTGAGATGGAGTCTCACTCTGTCATCCAAGCTGAAGTGAGTGGCACCATCTTGGCTTACTGCAATCTCTGCCTCCAGGACGTGCCTCAGCCTCCCAAGTAGCTGGGACTACAGGTGCGTGCTACCACGCCTGGCTAATTTTTTGTATTTTAGTAGAGAGGGGGTTTCACCATGTTGCCCAGGGTGGTCTCGAACTCCTGAGCTCAGGTGACCCACCTGCCTCAGCCTCCCAAAGTGCTGGGATTACAGGCGTGAACCACCATGCCCGGCCCTAGATACTGGTTTAAACATGGCCCTGATATAGTCAGGTCTACCTGGTCTGCTTGGTTGAATCTCTCAGGCCATCCTGCTTTGGGTTTAGAGAATCCAGTCCCTTTTCTTTCCACTCACGGACCAAAGTTTGCGGAGAGGCAGGGCTGTGTGCCCCCGCCTTCTGCTCCACACTCCCCCCTGCCAGCCGCCAGCTCCTGCGGCAGATGCAGAGGTGCCCACATGTCAGCTAGAGCCAGCGCCTTGCAAGCTACTCTCCCTTTCTCTTCATTTTTCCAGATGTTTGGAATCCATTTTGTTTTGCAGTCATGCTGCACTCAGGCCAAACCCATTTCAATATTGGCCTTGGGCCACCGTTTGTAATGAAATCCAGATGAGCATGACTTATGGAAAGTCAGATTCTCATTAGAGGATTTCATCCTGTAAAATCCTCCTCTTCCACTTACCGTATTTTAGCTGCTGTTCTTCTGTGTCTGCCCCAGGGTGTCAGGGAACACAGCCCCTTGGTTTCTTGGGTGTCTCTGAAATCCAGGAGTGACCAGTGGAGCAATCAAAGTGGTCAGACCTCAAAAGAACTTACAACTATGTTATGGCCTGAAGAGATCAGCCCAGGCCCAAAGGTCTAGCCAGAGAAATGTTTTAAGCAATCTTTTAGCCCTGGCTTAGCTCATTTAGGGAACAGGAGTGAAAGGTTAGAAAATTAATCTTTTTTTAGTGAAGAAGGGAAATATTTAAAGATGGACTGCAGTGGAAAAGAGTAAGGGGATGTCCATTTGCTCTTCTTATACCAGACTGTAGTCTGGAGGGCCACACTCAGGTACCCTCGCTCGTGCAGACACCCCAGGGTCTGTCTGCAGGCCCATTTCTCAACCTCCCTGCTACACAAGCAAAGTAGAGGCCAAGCAAGGAGGGTGGTGCCTTCAAGACAGCAACACTGTTCCTGGTGTGGCATTGCAGCTCTCCCGCTCCAAGTGCTAGGAAGAGGCTCTTTGGTGGCAGAGCCTTTCCCTGGGGACACTATCACCACGCGGGATGTCCTGCCAGCACACCCAGTCCTCTGTGGCCCACCGCGTCACCGCTGCCTGGCAGCACTGCACAGCAGCCTGACGGGCGGGCGCGGCCCCTTCCCAGAACAGCCTTGTCGTCCTCCTGCCTCTTGGGCCAAGGAGAGTAAGGTTTCAGCTCTTCTCTCTGTGAGGTGGCTGAAAGCAGGGCCCAGGGCCCACACCTCTCACCTCCAGCTGGCACCAGCGACTCCAGCCTCAGCAGATAGCCTTTGCTCAGTGGAGGCCTTTGGGAGCCTGCCTGCAAGCTGCGTCATCAACCAGCCTGAATTTAGACAAAGTGCTTTGGGGAAAAGAAACGTGTGGTGTGCCTTGTTTTTTTCCAGTAATTGTTCCATGGCTCGTTCTGCTTGTAAGATTTTCCAAAATAAGGCCGTAGATGAGAATTATATCAGCACATTGGGAACCGAAGGCATGCGGACACTGTTGGCGCTTTGTAAAAAACACCCCTCAATCAGACAGACACACGTCATCGTCGCCTGCTGGGGCTGGGCCCAGATTTCGAGATAGGGGAGCGGCACGTGCCCGTTTGGTACAGATGGGAGCCAGGAAGCCCTTTGCTCAGGATGGAGGTCTCCTCTATTAGGGGGCCTGTTACAGTAACTGGTGGGCCTCTGGGGTACCCTGCAATTGACTTTACATATTTAACTCTTTGCCATTGACTTTACATGTTTAACTCTTTAAAGTCGACTTCCTTCCCCCTCAAGAGAACTTAATTTACTCAAAGTCCTCCCTGGGTAGAGGAGTTTGGCCGGGTAGTTTCAGCAAGTTACTGGTACCGCTTCTAGGACAGCGTCTAACAGCATCTTTGGGAAGATGACTGTCACCAAAGCAGAAAAAGCTTTCTGACTTGTGTAACCCCCTGGAGATTTTTTAAGTCCCCCACCCCACCCCTTTCCCTATTTCTTACAGGAGACAGACTGTGACCAGTACCCCCTGCTGGATTGAGCTGCACCTGAATGGGCCTTTGCAGTGGCTTGACAAGGTCCTCACCCAGATGGGCTCCCCAAGCATCCGCTGTTCCAGTGTGTCTTAGAGACATCAAGTATGGTAGGGGAGGGCAGGCTTGGGGAAAATGGCCATGCAGGAGGTGGAGAAAATTGGAACTCTACTCAACCCATTGTTGTCAAGGAAGAAGAAATCTTTCTCCCTCAACTGAAGGGGTGCACCCACCTGTTTTCTGAAACACACGAGCAAACCCAGAGGTGGATGTTATGAACAGCTGTGTCTGCCAAACACATTTACCCTTTGGCCCCACTTTGAAGGGCAAGAAATGGCGTCTGCTCTGGTGGCTTAAGTGAGCAGAACAGGTAGTATTACACCACCGGCCCCCTCCCCCCAGACTCTTTTTTTGAGTGACAGCTTTCTGGGATGTCACAGTCCAACCAGAAACACCCCTCTGTCTAGGACTGCAGTGTGGAGTTCACCTTGGAAGGGCGTTCTAGGTAGGAAGAGCCCGCAGGGCCATGCAGACCTCATGCCCAGCTCTCTGACGCTTGTGACAGTGCCTCTTCCAGTGAACATTCCCAGCCCAGCCCCGCCCCGCCCCGCCCCACCACTCCAGCAGACCTTGCCCCTTGTGAGCTGGATAGACTTGGGATGGGGAGGGAGGGAGTTTTGTCTGTCTCCCTCCCCTCTCAGAACATACTGATTGGGAGGTGCGTGTTCAGCAGAACCTGCACACAGGACAGCGGGAAAAATCGATGAGCGCCACCTCTTTAAAAACTCACTTACGTTTGTCCTTTTTCACTTTGAAAAGTTGGAAGGATCTGCTGAGGCCCAGTGCATATGCAATGTATAGTGTCTATTATCACATTAATCTCAAAGAGATTCGAATGACGGTAAGTGTTCTCATGAAGCAGGAGGCCCTTGTCGTGGGATGGCATTTGGTCTCAGGCAGCACCACACTGGGTGCGTCTCCAGTCATCTGTAAGAGCTTGCTCCAGATTCTGATGCATACGGCTATATTGGTTTATGTAGTCAGTTGCATTCATTAAATCAACTTTATCATATGCTCTTTTAAATGTTTGGTTTATATATTTTCTTTAAAAATCCTGGGCTGGCACATTGACTGGGAAACCTGAGTGAGACCCAGCAACTGCTTCTCTCCCTTCTCTCTCCTGAGGTGAAGCTTTTCCAGGTTTTGTTGAAGAGATACCTGCCAGCACTTCTGCAAGCTGAAATTTACAGAAGCAAATTCACCAGAAGGGAAACATCTCAGGCCAACATAGGCAAATGAAAAGGGCTATTAAAATATTTTTACACCTTTGAAAATTGCAGGCTTGGTACAAAGAGGTCTGTCATCTTCCCCCTGGGATATAAGATGATCTAGCTCCCGGTAGAGGATCACCGGTGACAACTATAGCAGTTGTATTGTGTAACAAGTACTGCTCCCAGCAGCAATTAGGGAGAAAACTAGTCTAAATTATTTCAACTGGAAAAAAGAAAAAAGAGTCCTCTTCTTTTCCCAGCCTTTTGCAGAACACAGTAGACAGAACTGCCACCTTCAATTGGTACTTTATTCTTTGCTGCTGTTTTTGTATAAAATGACCTATCCCACGTTTTTGCATGAATTTATAGCAGGAAAAATCAAGGGATTTCCTATGGAAGTCCTGCTTTATTCCAGGTGAAGGGAAGGAAGTGTATATACTTTTGGCAAGTCATACAGCTCAAATGTGATGAGATTTCTGATGTTAGAGGGAGATGGAGAGGCTTCCTGATGCCTCATCTGCAGGGTCCTGTGCCTCTGAAGTTCTAGCCATGAGGTTTCCAGGTAGGACAGCTGCTCCCCAAGCCTCCTGAGGACACAGGAAGAGACGGAAGGAGCACCTTGACAGACTTGTGTGAGTCTTCTCGAAGGAGGGTTGACTCAGAACCCAGAGACAATACAAAACCCCTCACTTCCTCTGAGAGGGCCAAATGCTGTGAGTCTGAAGTATGTGCCTGGTGTGAAATGATCTATGGCCTGTTTCTTACACAGGAAGCCCCCTGAACCTCCTGTACATGTGTTCATGTTCCCAGCCAGCTCTGAGACCCAGGAACCAAATATTCCATTTTGGCTTCTGCTAGAGCAGTCATGGTTCCTCTCCTAAAAGCCATGGGCAGCAGTTTCCGAGGGCCTGCATGATCCACCTGCTGCACGATCCTATGAGGGCTTCCTGTGGCACACAGCCCTCTGGGTGCTTGGGAACTAGCTTCAGGCACAGCCTGATTCTGGTGATCCAGTGATCTATGGAAGTCGTGTCTTACTCCAGGTGAAGGGGGAAAAAAAAAGCCTATACTTTGGCAGGTTATGAACTTTGAATGTGATGAAATGACACGTTTGGCTGCATTTGGATGGTGTCTTAGAACCCTCATTGCTCAGACCTGAAGGCTACTTCTAGGAGCATGAAGTTTGAGTTTTGTGTTTTTCCAAAGGATACTTCCTTGGCCCTTTTTCTTTATTGACTAGACCACCAGAGGAGGATGTGTGGGATTGTAGGCAAACCCACCTGTGGCATCACTGAAAATAAATTTGATCATACCTAAGAGGTTAGGAAATGGTGCCATTCCCACCTTAGAGTGCTACATAGGTGCTTTGGGCGTATGTAACATTAGTGTCCTTCCTTGAAGCCACAAGCTAGTTTTCTTAGTTTTAAAATCCTGTTGTATGAATGGCATTTGTATATTAAAACACTTTTTTAAAGGACAGTTGAAAAGGGCAAGAGGAAACCAGGGCAGTTCTAGAGGAGTGCTGGTGACTGGATAGCAGTTTTAAGTGGCGTTCACCTAGTCAACACGACCGCGTGTGTTGCCCCTGCCCTGGGCTCCCCGCCATGACATCTTCACCTTGCAGCTTGTGCTGAGACTGACCCAAGTGCAGCTAGCACTGGGACACAGATCCTTGTCTTCAGCACCTTCCAAGGAGCCAACTTTTATTCCCTTTCCTCTCTCCCCTCCCCACCTCGCTTCTTCCCAATTTAGTAACTTAGATGCTTCCAGCACATACGTAGGTAGCTACCCCAGCCGGTTTGGATTACAGGCCTGTGCTGGAACATCATCTCAGTTGGCCACCTTCCTGGCAGGCTGTAGACCTGACATTTTGAGACAAGCCTAGAGGAGTCAGGAGCAGGGACTTTGACTCTTAGGAAGAGCACACATGAGGGCAAGGCTGCTGGCAGACGTCTCCATTGTCCTTATGTTGTCTGTGTTGTATTTTTTTTTTTTTATTGACCATGGTGATTATTTTTTTAAACCATCGTTAATATACTGAAGTGAGCTATAGCACATATCATGTGCTTAGTTTGTTTATTTTTCTCCATCTCCCCTTGGCTTCCTAGAGTTTGGACATATTCCAGGCTAAATGCTTTTACTCAAGACTACAGAAAGGTTTGAAGTAGTGTGTGCATGGCATGCACGTATGTAAGTAATCTGGGGAAGAAGCAAAGATCTGTTTCATTCTTAGCCTCAGGCCTCATGAGGGTCTCCACAGGGCCGGAGCTCAGGTTACACCACTCCTTCGTCCTTACAGGAGATGTAGGGAGAAGAATCTGCAGGCTGCTTGTAGGACTGTTCACCAAGGGGGATACCAGCAGCAAGAGAGTGCACCCGTTTAGCCCTGGACCCTGTTTCTTACTGTGTGACTTGGCTAGAGTTGGGAGTTCCCCCAAAATAAACGTGTCCCCATTTTACCAGAACCAAACCTCAACACAGCGAAGCTGTACTGTCTTTGTGTGGCAAAGATGTTCCCTTGTAGGCCCCTTTCAGGTAACCGTCTTCACAATGTATTTTCATCACAGTTTAAGGAGCATCAGCCGCTTCTCAAGTGGGTAGGGAAAGCAGAAAAACGTACGCAAGAGGACATGGATCCAAAATGATGATGAAGCATCTCCCATGGGGAGGTGATGGTGGGGAGATGATGGGCTAAACAGGCAACTTTTCAAAAACACAGCTATCATAGAAAAGAAACTTGCCTCATGTAAACTGGATTGAGAAATTCTCAGTGATTCTGCAATGGATTTTTTTTTAATGCAGAAGTAATGTATACTCTAGTATTCTGGTGTTTTTATATTTATGTAATAATTTCTTAAAACCATTCAGACAGATAACTATTTAATTTTTTTTAAGAAAGTTGGAAAGGTCTCTCCTCCCAAGGACAGTGGCTGGAAGAGTTGGGGCACAGCCAGTTCTGAATGTTGGTGGAGGGTGTAGTGGCTTTTTGGCTCAGCATCCAGAAACACCAAACCAGGCTGGCTAAACAAGTGGCCGCGTGTAAAAACAGACAGCTCTGAGTCAAATCTGGGCCCTTCCACAAGGGTCCTCTGAACCAAGCCCCACTCCCTTGCTAGGGGTGAAAGCATTACAGAGAGATGGAGCCATCTATCCAAGAAGCCTTCACTCACCTTCACTGCTGCTGTTGCAACTCGGCTGTTCTGGACTCTGATGTGTGTGGAGGGATGGGGAATAGAACATTGACTGTGTTGATTACCTTCACTATTCGGCCAGCCTGACCTTTTAATAACTTTGTAAAAAGCATGTATGTATTTATAGTGTTTTAGATTTTTCTAACTTTTATATCTTAAAAGCAGAGCACCTGTTTAAGCATTGTACCCCTATTGTTAAAGATTTGTGTCCTCTCATTCCCTCTCTTCCTCTTGTAAGTGCCCTTCTAATAAACTTTTCATGGAAAAGCTCCTGTGCCAGGAGCTCAGTCTGATTCTTGCTGCTGTCTCTGGGTGGAGAGAAGATTTAAAAGGGAGCCGAGGCGGGGGTCCCAGGGACTTCAGGGCTCAGGAGGACCAGAGGAAAATGTCTGTAAGCCCAGATATACCTTGACCAATGATGTACCAGGCCACATTCTGCTGTGGTCCTCATGTAATACCCAGCTGCCCTCATTCACTCACCAAGGGCAACATGCAGTGCCAGCAGAAGCCCCTGGGCCATCTGCACAAAGGTCAAAAGTTTCTCAATGGGTGTATCTCGCTATTCCGCAAACCTAAACACCATGTGTCCCACTGATGCTATCTCTGCAGTGCCATTTTATATTTTACTTCCTCTGTACCCCGAGGCCTTTGGCAAATGAATGACACCAACCCAACCTCAAGCCCTGCCACCTCTTGCCTCTGCTAGTCCCTCCTAGCCTGATTCCTCCATATTGTCAGGGTGTCTTAAATGCCACCAGATTTGTCTTCCCACAGGCATGGAGGTTCACAAGTAACTAACTTGGTTTCCACATCTGCCAGCTCAGATGACTGTTAGCACCTGTGAAAATTCATTTTGAATTCAAAACACCCAAGGAGAAAGGGACTTCAAAGTTGTTTCCTTGGCTAGATCTTACACTGACCCCAGAAGATGTGGATAAAGAATGGATAAAGAAAAACGCTGATTAAAATGTAAACTGTTGGCCAGGCGTGGTGGCTCAACACCTGTAATTCCAGCACTTTGGGAGGCAGAGACAGGCAGATCACTCGAGGTCAGGAGTTTGAGACCAGCCTAGCCAACATGGCGAAACCCCGTCTCTACCAAAAAATACAAAAATTAGCTGGGTGTGGTGGTGCACGCCTGTAGTCCCAGCTACTTGGGAGGCTGAGATGGGAGAATCGCTTGAACCCAGGAGGTGGAGGTTGCAGTGCTCATACCACTGCACTCCAGCCTGGGCAACAGAGTGAGACACTGTCTGTCTCAAAAAAAAAAAAAAAAAAAAAAAAAAAAAGAAGTAAAATGCCTTTTGGTTTTTAAGAGTCTGAATAAGCAGAGTTCGGGGGAGAAGGATGAAATGGGTTGGAGTAATCATCTGGTGTGACCACATCTGCAGCAGTCCTCCTAAGGACCTCCCCAGCATCATCTAAACACCTCCCTTACCAAGAGGAGGCAGGTTGCACCGTAAGGGCCTATAGATTTGGCCTCTGAGAACTGCAACAAATTCCTGCCTTTATGATGATTTGGTTGGTTCTTCCACCTTCCTACCCCCTTAACAGCTTTCCTCAAGGGTTTATGTAGCTGTTTGGGTCAACAGCTGACCCAAACCCGTCCTTTTAACCCAACCTGTTCCTTGAGATGCACGATTTTAAAATTCCAGCTATTTGTTAGACGTGATCCAAAACACAGCGCCCCCAAACTGAATCATCTTCCCACCTCACTTGAGCCAGCTCCCTTTTATGCTTCCCCAGATTTTATCAGTAGCCTCTTCACTCCCATTTTCCAAGCCCAGAGCAGCTTGACGCATTTCTTTTCCTTGCCCTCCATCACCTCTCTGCTGCTGCCATCTCCCTTTTGGAAAGGTCCTACTCCCTGAACTTCCCGGTTCTCCCTGGCCCTCTCGTACAATCTGCTCTTTTTCTTGGGCCTACACCTCTTCTGCCTGCTTCCTTGTTGGTATTCCCAGACCACTGTTCTGCTGACTCCTCCCTAAGTGATCTCATCTACCCTGATGATTTCAAGCCACATAAACGCTAATGACTCCCAAATCAGTACTTACAGCCCAGACTTTAATCCCGAGCTTCAGACTCATGTCCAGCTGACTGCTGGCTGCTGGCACACGGAGGGGCCACAAGTACCTCAAACTCACAATCAAATAAACAGAATTCATGGTTTCTCTTAAAACCATCCTCTGGCCTTCAGCCCTGTTTTAGACATGACCATTGACCCAACCTACATCCACAGAAGCCACAGCAGTCCACCAGTCCTCTGCTCCCCACCTCCACACAGTCCCGCTTCTCCAATCTCTCTGCTCTAGTCCCACTTGCACCGCCCTAAACTGCAGGTCTTCTAGTGCCTGGACAACTGCACCAGCATCATAACAGGTCTCCTAGCCTCCAGATGGCTTTCCTATAAAGGCACCCTTCATACTGCCCCCAGTAACCAATCTGACCATAGATGCTTCCCCTAGTCCACTGCACACATTCTAAGGTCTTTGCCCTGGAGCATTTGGCCCTCCTTTGCCCTTACCTAGCATTCACTGCTCCCTGCCTTAACCTCTACAATCCGGCAACTTGCAGTCCTCATGGATCATCCTTGTCTTCATGGCTGCTTGTGCTTAGAACATCAACTTCTCCCTGGCCCAGCCCCTGCTCCCCAGCACACCACCAGTTCGCCTGGCTAACTTTTACTAATGCTTTGTGCCTCCATTCAGACATCTCCTCCAGGAAGCCTCTCATAAACATCTATCTCTGTTGCCACAGTCCCCTCTCTAGGCTGTGAGTTCCTTGAGAGCAGAGTTTACATTTTATTCTCTTATCCCTGGCTTCTTTTTGGCCACCACATATTTTTGCCGAGTAAATGAATCAGTGTCCATATCTAGTAAATTCTATCTTAGCAGTATATTTTATATACATTTCCACAGTGCTTACAGCAAGTCCTTATATATGACTGAAGGAATATAGTTCCTGATTACCTGCTATCACAGCTATTCCAAAATTCTAATCTGTGTCTCTGCAGTCCAGGGATAGCAAATATATGGCAAAATTCCCCTCTTCTCTATTTCTATCCATGGCAAAAACCACTCGTCACCGGGTTGGGTCCATCCTCAGCCTCAGACTCTTTCTCAACACAGCTAATTGGTTAGACAGAAAAACTGCTAATACTGCTGCCACGTTTTCCTGGAATGTAATTATGGTTAGATGCCTTTTCTGCTCAAAACCTTTGGCTCCTCACTTACCTCCAGAGTAGGCACAGACTCTACAAGGTCCCCTCCAGCATCACCCCATCCTCATCTGCCACCATTTCTCTATGTGGACTCCTTGCATTTTCCCAGCACATCCCCTCACTCTTCTTTCCGTACCTTTGTTCAAGCCATAACTCCAACAACTTTGCTGCCTCCACTCACCTATCTGTCCCAATCCTTTATCCTTCTAGCTCGACCCAAGCAGCATTATTTCCCCTAAGTCAGCGGTTCTCAAAGTGGGTCCCAGGACCGAACCAGCAGCATCGGTTATCACACAGATGTTAAAGATGCAAATTCTCAGGCCCCACGCCAGGCCTACTGAAGCCGCAACTCTGGAGTGGGGCCCTCCAGGTGACTGTGACATAGCTCACTTCTGAGAACCATTGCTCTAAGATACACTTCCTGTTCTCCCCAACCCACTGTGTTCTCTCCTTCCCACAGCCATTAGGGCTGGTCACAGCACTCTTCACATGCTGTCTTGGCATTGTCTTTTGTGACCTTGTCTGGTTTGCCCCCTGCTCCCACCTGAGTTGGACTCTGAGCTCATGGAAAGGAGAAACTACATCCTGACTCAAGTCTGTGTCCTCTGCCACACCTAGCTCAGATTCTGGCACCAACGACGTTCACAGTCAGTGTTGGCTGGACCCTGGGTTCTTGTTTCTGCTCTCACCAGGGTAGAAGGAACAAATTTAAGGCCGTCTAACTTCACCATTAATGACTTCCTGAGAATTTCCTGGGGAAGCATGATTGTTGCAGGCCATGTCCTTGGAATTCAGATTAAAAGAATCTTTTCTCTCCTAAACTATGCTGTTGTTTCCATAAAGTTCCTACCCTAGGCCTTAGTCCACATTTTTGTGTAATAGCATTAAAGCCACCTGGCTGATAATAGCAAGGGCAGGAGCAATGATTGGACACTTCATTAGAGAGAACCCAAGAGGCTTCCTAGTCAGTAAACTGGGCATAAGCAAGCAGCTTGGGGTGCCTGGTTATGCCTCCCAGATCTGTAGTTGTGCGGAGGAAGTGTTTGGGCATAACAATGGATACACAGAAAGGGGTTTTAAAAGTTTTTTTTTTTCTTTTCACCCCCAGGCCTGTGTTCCAAAGATGCAGTAATAACCATTAGGGCCAGGTTTTGAATCACAATGTTTTCAAAAGGAAACAAAGTAGAACTGTAAATCCCTAAGAGTGGGAATACGCTATTGCTGTTACCTTTTTTGTTAATTCTTCTGCAAACCAGAGGAACAACTTAGGATAGAGCAAGATACTTCCTATGCTAGAACCTAATTCTGAGTAAGGATACCTACATTAAGAGCAAGCTTTGTGATGTTAACAACAGGCATATGTAATGCCAAAGTATGAACTTTACAGGATCTCTAAGACGTTTTCTGTAAGAGCTTACATGCCAAAGATGCCAGGATGGATCACTAAACCCTGAGTGGAATCGAAAATACTAGAATTATGCCGCACAGTCAGCATTCTACTTTCATGAGACATACAAATTATGGGAAAGTTAACGGGGTTGTTTTCAAACTAACCTTGTACTAACATAGTACTGGGTTCAGTACACATGACCAGATTTTTTTACACTTACTCCACCTATAGTCCTCTAATAAGATTTGGTACTTAATGACATAATGCTGTAGCTAAATTGTCTATTGTAAAATTAACAGGGGCAGCAGAGAGTGAAGAGCAAATCTAATGCATTAGAACATTCACTGAAACTCTTGTCTCCATCAATCAGAACGTTCAATGAATCAGAACCCCTAATGAATCAGAACCTCTGACCACACTGGACACGTTTGCTAAATTTAGCTTTGTATCGGCAAACGCTGAAGCTCAGAATAGTTTACAGAGCTCTCATCTTACCCTTAGACAGTGATTCTTCTAAGACTGCTTTTCCATGGCAGGCCAAGGCAAGGCAAGGGGCATTCCACATGCTCTCTCAACGCCCATTGTTAAGAGACTGGCCCAAGGTTAAATGAATCTGACAAGCCATGGCAAAAATGTTGATCCCGACCTCTCCACAGTGGGACCAGGAAATTAGCCATATATCACATTTCACGTGTTAGAAGTAGTTTGCAGGAATGGCCTAACATGCTCTATGGTCCTTGAACCACATCCCATATTACTCAACCATCTAAGTCTAGCTTCCCTGAATCTCTAGCTTCTCTGAATTAGACGTGGCCAAGTTCTATAAATAGAGAGCAAGCAAACTGGTTCTGTCAATCTTCTCATACTCTGGCAAGATGGCATATTTTAAAATTATAAAAATATCTATGTCTTCATCACTCTAAAATTATTACATAACACATGATTTTCTCAGGGGAAAAATGTTTATTCTTGTCTTCCCTTACCTTCCAGCACTTATGTATGGACCTTCAAACTTTGTGATCATATTCATCAAACACAAACCATACTTTACAACCAAAACTAAGGGCCTACTATGTGCCAAACACTATGTGCCAAACACTATGTTATGCAAATCAAGAAATGTTTAAGGAAAAAACAACCAAAAACCAAGTCTCTTATTTTAAATTCCAGCTGGCAATTCTGTAACAACTTGTGGTAGCATGAACATAGGTCACTTTAGATAGACTGCAGCTATTACTGTAGTGTTAGCTCATGATCACTATTCTAACATGGGCTTTTAGTAGATTTCACTAGAGACCTTCATCCCATATGTCCCTAGAAGAGGCCAATATCCCTGCATAGCTGAGGTCTTAAAAACATGACATTACATATGCAGGGTAAATTCTAAAATAGTGAGCTTGACAGACTCTTCCACTATTCACTATATATGTCTAATCCAATGAAGGATATAGGGCTTCCCTCACTCATACCCCCTAATAAAAAACCACAAAATCATAATAATAGACATTAGCACAGTTTATAAATAAATCACATTTTAATCATCTGGCTTTGTTTAATCTACAAAATCAAATTCACAGCTTTTTCTAGTCTGGTCTGTTTTTTCTAACCAGATGGCCTAGTATATTTTCTAAAACCTTCCATCTTTTAAGGAAAACATGTTCCACCTTTTTTTTTTTTTTGCAATCCCAGAGCCAACTTCCCTAATGCAATCACCTCAAAGAAACACTGATGGGCTGGTGGTGAACCACAGACTCAAAGTCTTTCAGAACAGTAAAAGAAAAAAAAAAAAAAAGGAACAAAAGGTCACTAAGCAATGTCCAGTGTTCCCTGGAAAGCCTCTTCCTGAATGCTCCAGTCACTGAGCTGTCCCCTCCCTGTGGTCACTCCTGCTGGCCCCTGTAGCATTCCATTCCTTCTGCCATCTGTTTCAGGTTCTGCAGTGCTTATAAGGTAGTGTCTGGAGGGGTGTGAGCCTTATTTCTTTCTGCTCCTAACCCAACCTGTTTCTTTCATGCTGTGTAAATGGTTCTAGAGCCCACCTAGGCCAGAACCAGTTCTCAGCTGGTGTGCGGGCACCTTCCATCCACTGTACTATGTGCCAGTTCAGAGCCACAGCAGTAATGATCACAGTGAGGGCTAATGATATGCATTACAAAGTCTACAAAAACAAATAAGGATTTTTATTTGCAGTACTTTCCACTCTTCCTTTAAAAACTTGCCATTTGCTTATCAGTTCCTCTGGGGCTGACCCACTCAAACAAGACAAAGGATAAAGAACAAAAGATAGTCCTCCGAGGTTACAGGCTTGGAAGGGCAGAGAGGAGCTACGAACCTTGGAAGAAAAACAAGGTGCTCAGGAATTCATCGCCTAACATTTCACTTCCCCACCCACCCCTTAGTGCTCCCACTTTGGCAGTGATCTCTCTTTGGCTTTAAAGAGAAAGGGGGAAATGTGCCTTGTTTTGCAGGTGTGCAACAACACAGCTCTGGCATCTCAAGCAGCAGGGGAGAACTCTAAGACAGAAGAATTTCTTCATGAAAATCACGGTATGTTATCACATACTGTCTCCATGGCCCATACAAGGACTCCTTAAGGTTCTCTCTAACATACAACATATCCCCCACAACTCAGTAGAGAGGTTTTCTTCCCACTGGAATAGAAATCCTTTGCCTCATTTATTACAGTCTAAAAATCCACACTGGCTTTTTGATTCTTTCTAGCATGAGCTCAGACACTATACTTCAAAAGAATGCCCAGAGGCATTTTCTTAGGTAGAGACTTAGCTGCGGGCTGAGACTTCGGCCCCACATAGCTCACATCAATTCTGCAGCTGCCTCCTTTCCTCCCAATAAAAGCATCATAGCTCAGAGCTACAAGCTCCTTGAATGGAGAAAACCCAAATCACCCAGGAAAGGTGACACAACTCCTGATGTGCAGTATCAAGTGTGAATGCTGGAAATGCTACTTAAAAGGTTGACCAGGAATGGCCTGGAGGTTGTCTTCAACTTGAGTAAATCACACAGACCTCTGAGATTTATCCTACCCTCATTCCTAGAACAAAAAAAAAGTATATTTAAGAAATCCTCACTCATTACTATCACTGTATTCCTCACTCTCTTACAATATACTGAGGAAAAAAAAGATTTCTCCTTAACCTCCTACTAAAAACTAAAATTAAGGGGACCCTATAAACAAGTCAGGCAGCCAACATGATAAGGGCAATTTTGGCAAAATATGACTGGGCTGAGTAGAGAGGTATCTCAGAGACAGCTAGCATCTTTGTTGGTCAAACCCTAGTATGAATAATTCAGTGCTCTTCATCAGATGAAAGGCCTTCAATTTCATCTCTGTCTCCCCCGATTGCCATCCAGAATGCTTTGGCCACCTGTGGAGAGAAGCATGCAACAAATTTTAGGCAACAGCTACATTTCAGCTTGTTTCATATGTCATACCTTAAACTGACTGAGACCTAAAATTCTGCACTTTGCCCTCCAGTCCTCTGGCAACACATATCAGAACCCTTGAATACCATTTGACCCATGATCGCCACATCTAGAAATTTATACCAAGGATATATTTAGAGTTGTATACAAAGATGATGTGTAAAGACATGCACAGCTTTGTTATTTATAGAAGCAAAAAATGCACATGACCTAAATGTCCAAAAGGGAACAGGATAAATTATGACACATATCAGGGAACACCATCAACCATACAAGTTTCCTGCCAATAGCATGTGTTGTGTTGGTAATAATAAAACAAAACAACTAAGAGTTTTCTGGCCCAATAGTTAGAAAGGCAAACATCCTGAGTCTCAATAAAGGTTCCACATCACTCACCATCCAGGTGAAAAATCTTGGTTTGACTGCAGCAACTATACTATTACTGTATAAATATTTAATTAGTTAGAAGTTAATATTCAATGAAAAGCTCACACTAAGACCCTTCAGAAATACACAAGTGTGATATATAATTATAATAATAGCACTGGACCTTTTATAGGTATTCAATAAATACCTGGCTGATTGTCTCACCTTTTCTGCATGCACTTTTCTTTGCTCATGAGGAAGCGTCGCAGCCTTGTCTAGGGGGAAAATATATCTTAAGAAATTTGTCTAATAGCACAGGATAACCTGGAGTATATGAATAACACTAGAAGATGGGAGACGGGTTTCAAAGACATGTTTATGATGTAGTCATTACATGTATTAGGAAGTTTTTAAGTCTTCCAAATTTTCCAGATGGGAATGATGTGAGTAAATTGGTAGGGATCTTACAGTTTCCACCTTATGTAACACATTGAAAGAAACAAGGCAAAAGCAGGAAAAGTAAAAAGAAAGAGAACGAAGATGGAAAAATTTTCCCCAGGGAATTTTTTTTTTTTACCAAGTCCCAGGAGTAGCTAAGTTTCTCAAGACAGCTGAGACCAGAACAAGGAATCCAATCCAGCAGTTAACAAAATAAAATGCTACTACGTAAAACAGACAAGCATCAACATGGGAACATATTAGACACAATGGATCTGATTACCTTTCATTTCCTTTAACTTTGAAAAGAGTCTTTCAAAATTCTCCACATCTCCTCCTCCAGTGGTAAGACTGGCTAATTCTTGAATATCCAGATCTAACATGGGATCTGAAATAGGGATTTGTCACATTATCTGTCACGTTATTTGCATATGTGCTACACTCAGAGAATCCTAAGGCAAATGCTAACCTTGATGAAGTCACCAATGATCGAAGGCCCAGTGTATACCAGCTTTACAGCTCATGGCTCACCCTGCTTGGCTGCTAGTGGGCCCTCACAAATGAAGAGTAACTATTTTATCCTCACAACATCGTCATGAGGTAAGGAGTACTATTTCCATTTTAAAGATGAGAAAACCACATCTCAGAGTTGAAGTGACTTGCCGAGGTGACAGCTAGTAAGTTGATTCAGACGCAGGTGTTTCCAACTCGGAAAGCATACTCACTCCACTAAGGTACACTGATTCACCAATAATGACTAAAGTTTATGCCATATTTTACTGTACAACAAATATTTTCACATCTATTACCGACAACCACTATAAAAGGTGATTAGAACAGATAACATTATCTGAGAATAACAGAAATGATATGAAAAAAAAACCTGTATCTAAAAATGAACTCATCTAAAATTACAGCTATTCAGAGGTAGAGCTGATTTAAATTCATATTTTCTTACTACAAATCTTTTACTGTTTCTACCTTGGCACACTGCTTCTTTATTAAAGTTTGTTTTTAATCAGAATTTTAACTCCTTCTCCACTCCAGGCCCACTATGTTTAGAATGTCTTCCCTGCCCATCCCACTTTCACAGGTCTCCTTCCTTAGAATTCTTTCTACACTTATTGTTTCCAGAACTGTCTTAGCACTTGCATATATTACCTTGTATTCTAACATTTCTCCACCACTACTTTAATAAGTACTACTACCATAAGAGAGAATTTGCTTTGGATCTGCACCACTGAATGCTTTAACTTACATGGTTCCACTGCATCTTTGCAACAGCCCTATGAGGAAAGATTTATCACCGTTATTTTACAGAAGAGGAAACTAATGCCAACAGAGGTTAATTTATTCAAGGTAAGGCCATTACTAGCGATAAAGCCATGATTTGAACCCAGCTGTACAGGACTCCAATGACTATGACCTTAACCATTACATTATAGGTCCTATCTCTATATTTTTAGACTAAGCTCCATGAAGATAGGATGATGACTTATAATTATTTGCATCTATCACAATGCCATATAGACAATTTGGTGTTAAAAACGCATCTTGGTTAATATATTTGCTTTCGTTCAATGGACATGTCATGTAGGAAGTTGGTATATAGGGCTGAAGATAAAAGTTTGTGATTTATCTGTGTATACATAGTAATTGAGCTGTTAATGTAGACAGAATCACTCCATGCCTAAATATAGATTTGGAAGAGTTTAAATGCAGCAATGAAGAATGACAATATTTAAAGGCTGGGTAAAGAAGGGTATCTACCAAAGAAAGAGAAGGAATAATCAGAGAAGTAGGAAGAAAACCAGGCGACACCGTGTTGGGTGAGGCATGGGAAGAAAATGTTTCAAAGAGGAATTGATCTGTAACACTGAATGCTGCCACGAGGTCAAGATGAGGACTGGAAAATATCTACCCGATTTAGCGGCATGGAGGTCATTGCTGGCCTTTGCACAGAGCTGTTGTAGTGGCATACCAGGGGCAAAAGACAGACATGAGTGAGGTGAGGAGCAAATGGGAGGTGAGGAATGGAAACAAGTTTAGTAAAGAGATAAGGAGGAAGATGTGGAAATGTTTGGTTTTTGTTGATTTGGTTTTGCCTTAAATCTTTTTCTTAATTTACTCTTAAAAAAAAACTTGCAAAAATAGTACACAGAGTTTCTATATGCTCTTCACCCACTTTCCCCTAGTGTTAACATCGTTTATGACCATGGTACAATTATAAAAATCAAGAAGTTAATATTGGTATAATGCCATTAACCATGCCATAGACTTCATCGGTTTTTCCACTAATATCCTTTTTCTGTTCCAAGATCCTACATGGAATTTAGTTGTCAAATCTCCTTAGTCTTCTCCAATTTGTGACAGTTCCTCAGTCTTTCACGACTTTAACACTTGTATGTCAGTTATTTTGTATAATGTCCCTTAATTGGGTTTGTCAGATTGTTTTCTTATTATTAGATTGCAGTTATGCATTTTTGGTGAGATTACCTTCTCACTGCATCCTATCAGGAGGGCTATTATGTCAATATGTCTTATTACCAGTGATGTTAACCTTCATTACATAATTAAAGTGGCTGGCATCTGATGAGTTTCTCCAGTGTAAAGTTACTATTTTCCCCTTTGTAATAAATAAACATCTTGAGAGAGATACTTTTAGACTATGCAGATATACTACTTCTCCTCAAACTTTCACCTATGCTACCAAGAACTATTACTGTGTTTTGTGCCTAATGATGGCTTTCTATTTTCCTCATTCCTTCTATATTTATTACTTGGGATTCTTCTGGAAGGAGATGCTGTCCTTTCTTTCTCATTTGTTTATTCAATTATTTATTTATATTAGTATGAACTCATGGATACTTAGCTTACTCTATGGGTTATAACCCAATACTATATTAATCTACTTTGCTGGTCAAATTGTTCCAGATTTAGCCACTGGAAGCTCTTTCAGGTTGGTCCCTATGCCCTTTCAACATGTCCCCATTCTTTTTTGAGAATTTTCTTAATTTCTGGTACCAAGAGATGCTCCAGGGTCATCCTGTATTTTTCTTGCCCAAGTCCTGGAATCAACCACTTCTCCAAGGAGCCCTAGTTCCTTTTATTGGAGAATGGTATTTAGAAAGCAAGATCTGGCCAGGCGCAGTGGCTCACGCCTGTAATCCAAGCACTTTGGGAGGTCGAGGCAGGTGGATCACCTGAGGTCGGGAGTTTGAGACCAGCCTGACCAACACGCAGAAACCCCGTCTCTACTAAAAAACAACACAAAACAAAATTAGCTGGGCGTGGTGGCACATGCCTGTAATCCCAGCCACTCAGGAGGCTGAGGCAGGAGAATCGCTTGAACCCAGGAAGCGAGATTGCGGTGAGCCGAGATCGTGCCACTGCACTCCACCCTGGGCAACAAGAGCGAAACTCCATCTCAAACAAAAACAAAAACAAAAACACAACAACACACACACACAAAAAGAAAGCAAGATCTGAGTGCTAAGTGTGTCCACTGCTATGGTGGTATTGTTGCTTCTAGGCCTCTCAGTGGACAGAACTAGGAAATATATGTGTGTATACTAATACACGCATATACACACACATCTGTATTTATTTTCTTAACTGTAAGTATATTTTTAAAGCCATGAGTTCATACTGATACATTAGATTCCAATCCAGTACCAAAGGGTACATCTTGGCCTTCCCTTTTCCTTATTTGTAACCTTTTTCCTCTGGCAGTGAGAAACCTAACTCTCACTATCTATATTTTTTATTTTCTATATGTCAGTATATGTGTGGTGTATAAAATATCTATATATAAAATTTCAGAATTGCTGAGCCATGCTCCTATAAGAAACAAATTTACTAAGTAGAGTTCAGTATCTGTGTTCAGTTATTTTTGTTTTTAGCCTTACGGTATCTAGTCCAATTACTGTTTTCTAAAGTTACTTAGGTTAGTGCTTCAAGTCCCCACCCACTTCAGTGTGATTACTAGTTTGTTTTAATGGCAGAGACTCTGGCAGGTTTAAAAGCCAATGGGAAGGATTCAATTGAGAGGCTAAGGATGAATAAACTGGAAAGAAAAAAAATTATACATAATTTTTTCTTCTTCTTCATATGTTTCTATAACCAATCACTTGAGTTTTCTACATGAATTATCTCATAAGAAAAAAGAGTTTTAAAAATTTATTACTGCACATGAGCCGTCTGTAGCATAAAGATAAAGTAGGAATATCAGTAGTTCCCCAGCGAAAGAAGATTTATAGTTATTGTCAAGTAAGCTCCTTGGTTTTCTGGCTTTTGGACAGCATACTGGATTCCAGCTTCAGCTCCAGGCCCTTCTTGCTAGATGTCCTTGGACAAGTTATTAAACTTCTCTGCAAAACTTCATTACCAAATGAGAAAGGGGATATAAAATAACTTTAAAAGCATATGGAAGGGCTTATAAATATAAAGTTGTATTATTCTTGTCACCATCGATTCTGACTTCTGTTAAATATTATGAAAAAACTACGTGATACAGAGCTAGCTGTTTCGCCACCTGGTTCGGTCTGCCTTGGCTAAGATTATCTGAATCAAGATCCTGCTAGGAGAATTAAAGAGAAAATGGTACCCACATATTTGTTATATATTTATTCTTCTTCCTTTTTCTGATAGCCACTGGCAAGGCTCACATTCATGTGTGGTATACTACCAATTTTTTTCCCTTCTCTGTGTTTAAAGTCAATTTCCCCCTCAACAATTTCTGCCCAGATACCTATTCCAAGTTGCACAAAGCTCTCTCTTGGCAGCCAAAGGAGGAACTTACCCACAATGCTATCAACCTGGGCATCTGTTGTGTTAGATGCACCACCCCGATGATCAGAGAGGGATTCAGTACTATCTGCTGCTGGCAAATGGGGTTGCTGTTGAGGAAAATACACATAAGCAACAATTTAATCGTAGTCTATTTCAGAACTAAATCCAAAAAAGCTCACACTTTCAGTCCTTGGTTGGCTTGAGAAAAGAGTAATAGGAACTGGAGGCAAAGAAAGAAGAGCAAGATCACATTAAAAAAATAAAAGGCTAAAACTTAACTAACCCAGAAGTACTTTCCCCCAAGGAAGAACTAGAAAGCGTTGATTTTGCTTTAGACTACTAAAACATGTTTTTTGTTTGTCTCATTTAAGATCCATGTTATATTCAAAATGTGAAAATGTAACACAATCGTAACACAAATAGCTCAGAGGCTGTTGAAAAAGATCCCTGGAAAGACAATGTGGCACTGTATAATTTGCTCTTGGCTCCAGCTGCTGACCAAGGTAAACCTGGAACAAAGTTCTTAAGGATGCAGGGTTGAAACTGGACTACAAGCTCATTGAGGACAGGGACCTTGCCTCAGATTTGCCAAGGTCTTTTACACAGGAAGTACTAAAAAAGCACCATGAATTTTATTTTCTATTTAAAGATCTGAAGGCAAATTAATGCCTCAGGGAAATCCTAGCATATTTTAGAAAGCACCCTAGTAAAAATAAAACCAAAGCTGTAAACATCTTGAAAGGGCTTACTGCTTTAGCAAGGGCTGTTTTAGACCTTCCTTTCATCTATTTTTAACATTCTCTGTCACCTTTTAAATGGAAAGGAAAACAATGGTGAATGTGTCAAGATTCATAATGACAAGGAGAAATTAAAGCCAAAGAGGGAAAAAAGATCCAAGAAAAACCTTTACCTCTGGGTGACAGGGATCTGCTGACCCAATGCTATGGTTTGTTCCAGTCAATGAGTTGAGAAGGCTAAAGCCTTGGTTCCTATCTGAAAAGGAAAAATACACTTAGTGAAATTTGTCATTTACATTTTAAACTGTTCAAATGGCTATGATGATGAAACAAAGGCTACTTATTTGTTACCAAAGTTCTAACTACATATATATATATTTTTGAGACAGGGTCTCACTCTGTAGCCCAGGCTAGAGTGCAGTGGCACAATCACAGCTCAGTGCAACCTTGAAGTCCTGGGCTCAAGTGATCCTCCTTCCTCAGCCTCCTGAGTAGGTGGGAATACAGGTGCCTGCCACTGTGCCTGGCTATTTTTTTTTAAAATTATTTCTTGTTTTTTGTAGAGACAGGGTCTCACTATGTTGCCCAGGCTGGTCTTGAACTCCTGGCCTCAAGCCATCTCCTGAATCAGCCCCCGAAACTGCCAGGATTACAGGCCTGAGCCACACCCCTGGCCCTGAATACATTTTTTTTAAGTACATTTTTTAAAAAAATCACAGACTATTAGTCCAGGTGGAAAATAATAGCAGGGCCATTATGACAAACAAAAGGCCAGTGGTTCTATTTGCAAAGATTAACAGCACTAATGCTTTCATAGCCACTATGAACTAATATTCCATTGTTTTAAATAATCAAAAACATTTAAAAAATCAACACCAAGGCATTCATATCAGGTGAAGGCACTCAGGTGAAAAGGAATATGAATGCTTTTTGAAAAAAGTTCTAGGGCTGGGAGCGGTGGCTCACGCCTGTAATCCCAGCACTTTGGGAGGCCGAGGCCGGCGGATCACAAGGTCAGGAGTTCAAGACCAGCCTGATCAACATGGTGAAGCCTTGTCTCTACTAAAATTACAAAAAATTAGCCAGGCATGGTGGTGGGCACCTGTAATCTCAGCTACTCGGGAGGCTGAGGCAGGAGAATCGCTTGAACCCAGGAGGCAGAGGTTGCAGTGATCTGAGATCGCACCACTGCACTCCAGGCTAGGCAACAGTGTGAGGCTCCGTCTCAAAAAAAAAAAAAAGAAAAGAAAAAAACTCTAATTCAGATATGAATGAAGCATCTACAGTTAAGACTCCCAGTATGCTGTTTGTATTTACAACGGAGGACAAATCTGGAGCAAAACATCTAGCACTGTTCAAAGTATAAGGGCCAGCCTTGATCCAGCAGTGTTCCCCAGAATGACCTGGAACACTTTATTAAAACTATCCTAGTATTCAAGGACGCTATCTGAGATTCACTGAGTCAGCATCTTTAGGACAGAGATCATGGAATCTCAACTTTTAGCAAGTGCTCCAGGAGGGTCTTATGAACACAGTAGTTCGAAAAACACTGCCTTAGAGTAGAACATGAGACTGTAACCCAAGAGTAACAGTACAGAAGTCAAAGACTTTCTCTCTCAAAAAGACAACTTTCTCCCACCTTGCCTTTCCTCTCTATCTCTTCCCTGACCTACTCGCATCTCTCTTTCTCTAAACTACCTATAAATTCCCTATACCCTTTCCCCTGCCAGATACCTGGTCATACAGAGATATCAAAAGAGAGAAACTTCGCAGTGTCCTTCCTTCTTCCTTTCACTTGGGAAGATCTGCCTTTTAAACTGGGATGAAGCCTCAAATGTGGCCTGCTAGGCTGTAGCCTGCAGATTTCTGGAGCCTGACTCTCGCCACGGAGGCAGTCATATGTAGCTATCAACCCAGTACCTCTGCATTAAAGGCTACCTTGGTCTGGGCAAAACTAAGAGGCTGCTGCTGCCCTACTGCTTTTCATTCTGTACAACCTCAACAGTGGCAGCATGGTCAGAGGTTCATGTGTACTCCTGGAGCCCCCCTTATCTCCTCATCCAAAGGCCTAGGTGCCCAATCCAAAGACAGGGGACCAAAGTTTCAGCAGGGTAGGACATGGAGGCTCAGAGGCCCGAGAGAAGCAGATCCATGCAGTGTCCTACGATGACAGTTTCAGAGGCTAAGTATGTTTATTCAAACATCAGCATGGTTCTTTCTTTTGGCCAATGTGTTATTGATTTTAAAGTAGCTGTATGTAGTTATGTAATACTCAGACACGGATTTTACCTGTCATTAAGATACATGAGTGCTCTTATAATATACTTTAAGCTATTTGTACAAAAGGCAATATCTGAGTAATAAACTACTTCTGCAAGAGAGCCCTCACTTCTATTACTGGAAATAACTTGGACCTTGGGTAATTTTCAAATTCAGTTCATAAATCTCTCCATATTCTAATTCCACAGCTTATATTTTTCCTCTGTTAGGCGTCCCCTAAACTTGGCAGGCCAGAGTGCAACTCAAAGAATAATGCAATACAATGTCAGTTTATGCATGTTATGAAACCAAAGCAGTCTATTTGAAATGCCTAATTCTTTTTTTTTTTTGAGACAGAGTCTCACTCTTTCGCCCAGGCTGGAGTGCAGTGGTGCGATCTCGGCTCACTGCAAGCTCCGCCTCCTGGGTTCACACCATTCTCCTGCCTCAGCCTCCCGAGTAGCCGGGACTACAGGCGCCCGCCACCACGCCCGACTAATTTTTTTTGTATTTTTATTGGAGACGGGGTTTCACCGTGTTAGCCAGGATGGTCTCGATCTCCTGACCTCGTGATGCGCCCGCCTTGGCCTTCCAAAGTGCTGGGATTATAGGCGTGAGCTACGGCACCCGGCCGAAATGCTTAATTCTTTACAGTGGCTGCCTGCAAAGAGAACTGGGAGGGACGGGAGTTAGGAGTAGGAGCTAGACTCATCACTGTATACTGTAAACCTTTAATTTTTGTTACATGTTCATGTATTATTTACCTATTCGAAGAGATTTTTTGAAATTTAATAATTTTATGCTGTGTATCGCAATTAAAACTTTGAAAAAAAAATTAATGCCCCAATTAGAATGGATAAAATTATGAAAAAGTCAAAATAGTAGGAAGAAAACTGAACTAGTGGTCAGAAAACTTGTCTTTCATTCCTGGCTCTGCCTACCTGTATGACCTTAGACAAATTAATCAGGTTCACAATTGACTAAGAGTTTACAATCAGGTTTCAGGCTAATTATAATAAGCCAGAAGGACTTTTGCTCATATTATAAACAATGAAGAATTTAGTCAACTAACAAGAGAGTTCATTATGTTCCGCTGCTTATATTTTAAGGAACTTAGAAACATACAAATTGACACAACGAGAAAAACAATTCATTTTTGTTTACCCAAAGTAGACTGCTCGCATATTAACATTGCTCAAAAAACTTAGATGATATTTTATATACCTATGGCTTTTAAAAAAATTCTGTTCTGCCTGGTTCAATGTTTATTAAAATTCCATCCACATGCACTCACTGTACAACTATTCTTCTCATAGAAAAGAATTACATAAATCTTTTCGTGCTTGCTAGATTTTTCTCCCCAGGATTCAGGGCATGGAAATGTCATCCCTATTAAGAAGGATTTATGCCTTTAGCAGGTAGTTGCTGAAACTGGCTCTAGCATCTATGGTTTTATTGATGCCACAAAACTCTAGACTAGGAAAGAATAAATAAAATTCACCTCCTCAGCTGATTCTTATGGAACTTCAGGGATGCAGAAAGGGGCAGCTGTTAAGTGATGTAAAATAAATTATTCTGGAAGGCACAATTAGTATGTTAAACTGTGGTCCTAAAAACATCTGATTCAGTTTTAGTACTCTAGTAAGTTGACACCAGTGGATGCATGGATAAAAATGAAAATATCATGAAAAAATCTGGCGGTGCTGGTCATTAGCATAGATTCTTCCAGAAAGTGTCAGAAACAAAACTATAGCCTCTAGAATAAAGATTTTAAATTGGAAATTCTTAAGCCTTGGGATGATTTTTTTTAACAATAAGAAGTTAAAAAAACTTGAAATATATGAAATTATTTGCCACCTCTTTACAAATCTGAGGGCACACTTAACTTTAGAAGCATAAAATGCATCTCTCATAGCAATTTTGACTTACATGAAACATTTAGAGAATTCAAAACCTAGGCAAAGAGGGAAATTTCAGTATGGGGGAAGGGGAAAAGTTGCTTTTTAAAAAGTATTTTTTTCCTTTTTTCTGATTTTTTCCCTTCTCCATTATTTACCAGGCAATATGACAAGCATATGAATTTGGAAATAAGGCATGGATATGAATCCTACTTCTACTATTTACTGTGTGGTTTTATACAAGCTATGCCTTCTCTGTACCTCAGTTTCTACATTTACGCAGTAGGTATAACAATATTTACCTTGCAAAATTTTCCTAAGGGTTAGTAATAGATAACATTTACTAAGTGCTAAATATGTGCAAGGTAATATTTTAGGTACTTACAATGTTTCTTTAATCCTCACAACAATCAAAGTATGCCTTCTACACACAATAGAAATAAACATATATCTTCTTTATTGTATTATCCTCTTTTACAGAAGATTTATTTTATTATTCTCTTTTACAGAACAAACTATAACTGAGAGAGATTAGGTAACTTATCCAAAGTCACATAGCTGGAACCAGAACTTGAAATCTAGGACTCTCTGATTCTAAAGTCTATACTCTTTCCATTAAGGCCAGAGGTCTTGATAACATGTAAAGAGTTGAGACATGGACAATGTTTTGATGCACAACTACTGGCTTACTGGATATGACACAAACTTGGGTCAAGTACAAAAAGATGATGTTTCATTCATATATAGTTCTCTTTTGTCAGTAATCCTTTATTAAGTCCCTGGTTTAGACTGTGATTTTCACTGAAGTACGCTGAATAACTCAGGACTGAATAATTAATCATATGCCACTTACTAACTGTTCACAGCCCAGCCCTATAACTCCTTGAGGCATTGGTCACATAAAACAAATGGTAGACAGGTGGCTAGGCTCCATTATCTCTTCACTGTTCCTCAAGCACATGTAGACCAGGGGTTTTGAATCTCAGTATTATTGACATTTCCAGCTGGAGAATTCTTTGGTGTGTGGGTAGGTGGGAAAGAGGGGTGTCCTGTGCATCCCCTGCCTCTATCCACCAGATGCCTATAAGACTGCCAAATGTCCCCTGGGGGGCAAAATCACTTCCAATTGAGAACCACTGACATAGGTCTAATTAGAACAGGAAAATTCTGGCTAAAATCCTCAGGTTTTTAAGTCCTTACTTTTTTTTTTTTTGAGACGGAGTCTCGCTCTGTCACCCAGGCTGGAGTGCAGTGGCGCGATCTCGGCTCACTGCAAGCTCCGCCTCCCGGGTTCAGGCCGTTCTCCTGCCTCAGCCTCCTGAGTAGCTGGGACTCCAGGCGTCCGCCACCGCGCCTGGCTAATTTTGTGTATTTTTAGTGGAGATGGGGTTTCACCGTGTTAGCCAGGATGGTCTCAATCTCCTGACCTCGTGATCTGCCCGCCTTGGCCTCCCAAAGTGCTGGGATTACAGGTGTGAGCCACGGCACCCGGCAGTCCTTACTTTTAAGTAAGGACTATAACAAAGATTTTCAATGAAAAAAAAAAGGAAAAAAAGCATTAAAAAGACTCAATCATTCTCTCTTGTCGGCAGTGAAAATATCCTCCCTCATATTCTGAGAAACTTCTCTAGATGATTTCAGCCCCTAATTACCTCTGCCTGTGTGCCATTTGTCCTTGTTGTCCTTACTATTCAAGTGGCCCTTCAGAGAACATGCTAGTATTAATACTCATCTCGAGTCAAAATGCCATCCTCAACTATACTATAAACTCCTTGCAGACATGGACAATCGCTAATGGTTCTTCTACACCGCACAGCCTCCAGCATAGTGCTAAGTATACAGGAGAGATGCTGAAATATCCGCTGAATGTCTAATAGAACTGTCAGGCAGAGGCTGCAAGCATTAGCTATGTAAATAAGTTTTTATTTTACATTTTTATATACGACTCAAATATTAAGAATTTCCATGACCACACCCCCCAACACGCCTAACAGACCTCCTAGATATTTTCTGTGTTCATATTTCAGTTTTTATTTCCTTAATGTAGCAATTATTTGGCATCATCTTAAGAAGTTTTTTCCATATTTAAAGTTTTCTTTACATCCCCTTCCCTGCACAAAATGTTTTTCCTGTATTATAAACATGTTCTTTTCCATCTGAGTAATAAGCATGACCAAACTTACTAAAACTAAGATACTTCAATTTGCATAGAGAAGTTGTACCTATTTTTGAATGATATTCTTAAATCAAACCACACTGTTTGAATAAAAAATTCTTTTAAGAAAGAAATGATTTCACTAGCATCAGAGAAATAAACTTACACTTTGATATTACAATCCACTTCTTGGCAAACTGAAATAAAATGTTTTTTGAAATCACAAAATAATTACGAGAATCAATTTATTCTTTTTCACTAAACTGCTTGAAAAGGGCAAACTTTGAAATCCATTATTAAAAATAGTACTTATTAAAGAAACAGGCCTAAGCACCGTACCTGGTTCTACCACCTGGCTTTAGATTCAGGAAAGTGAATCTGCTCTCCCTTGACACCTGGGACACCTGCTCACATATCAAGAATGGTTTCTACTAATATTTGAACATATAATGAACATGACCAGAAAATAATAATACTATTTTTTCTCTTTTTCTTGATTATAAATAATATATTCATTGTAGAAAATTTGGAAAAAAGAGAAAAGTATAAAGAAGAAAATTAGGCCAGGCACGGTGGCTCACACCTGTAATCCCAGCACTTTGGGAGGCCGAGGCAGGAGGATCACGAGGCCAAGAGCTCGAAACCAGCGTGGCCAACGTGGTAAAACCCCGTCTCTACTAAAAATACAAAAATTAGCTGGGCGTGGTGGCGTGTGCCTGTAGTCCCAGCTACTGGGGAGGCTGACGCAGGAGAACTGCTTGAACCCGGGAGGTGGAGGTTGCAGTGAGCCAAGATCATGCCACTGTACTCCAGCCTGGGTGACAGAGCAAGACTCACTCTTGAAAAAAAAAAAAAAAAAAAAAAAAAACAAGAAGAAAATTAAATCACCAAAGATACGAATCAATACTCTGGTATTTTGTCTTCCTAGTTGTTGTTTTTTTTTTTCCCTATGCACACATACACACAAATTCTTAATAAACTGAACTAAACATCAGAGTGAGTGCTATCCTCTCCAATGTTGTAAAGGAAAGCTTTATTCTAATTCCAATAATAGTTCCATTGTAAAGTCCTATCTCCAGAACCTTAAGCACACTCTTGAAAATCCTAAAAGGAATGTTCAGAATCAAATCAAAAATCGTTCAGAACCAGTACAAGACTTTACCATGAAAAAAAAAAATAAAGATGACTTAAGTGGTTCATACCCAGGTCTAAAAATAATTCCAAAGAAAGTACTAAAAAAGTTTTTTCAAGATGGCAAGATGGCAGAAGAGCAGTGCCTCCAGGGTAACTAATTTGAAGAGATTTCCCATGATTCATTTGCTTACAGTTAATTTTAAGGGTGAACTTTTAAAACAAAGTCTCATCATTTTTCTCATACTCTTATTCCTTATTTTTTTCCTCTTCCCCTTTTTCTCTTACAAGACAATCTCCTCCATCAAATTATGCCTTCTATACACACATACACCCACACACACAGATAGAGATCAACACATATTTATTTAATTTTTGACCACAACATTCACATTTAGACAACTGTCAGAGTATCCATTTTTTTGGCTCTACAATATTAGGTCCTGGGTTAAAAAGAGAAGCAAGTAAGTCTGACTCAAGGAACTCAATTTCATAGAAAGTAATGTTAATATAATTCTACATTATCCTAGAGTTCTACCCATCCTAGAGGTTAGGAAACTGGGGTCCAGAAACATGAAGCCATTTTCCAAGAGAACACGGGTAAAGACAGACCTGATTAGAACTGTCTTCATTAACGATTCTCCTCTAACAAATTTGATATTGTTTTATTTTCTGTAACATTAGAGTCAAATTTGTATTTAATCATCATTTAGTTTAGAAAAACAATTTTATTTAAGGCATTAGCCATCTGCTTTCTCAGGAGAGCAGCCCAAGTATCACAGATAGACCTTGTGTTTAGGTACACATTTCTTTTTTTATTTTTTTGAAATGGAGTCTCGCTCTATCACCAGGCTGGAGTGCAGTGCTGTGATCTTGGCTCACTGCAACCTCCGCCTCCCGGGTTCAAGCAATTCTCTTGCCTCAGCCTCCTGAGTAGCTGGGACTACAGGTGCCCACCACCACGCCCAGCTAATTTTTGTATTTTTAGTAGAGATGGGGTTTCACCATGTTGGCCAGGCTGGTCTCGAACTCCTGACCTCGTGATCCACCCGCCTTGGCCTCCCAACATGCTGGAATCACAGGTGTGAGCCACCACACCCAGCAGGTACACATTTCTTAGCCACTGCTCTGTACAGCAGGTGCAAATGATTCCTTGAATTGGAATCTGAGATTTCTGCCATGGAATCCTGTTACAAGTAACAAGGGGGATACATGTTAATAAATGATCAATTCTTTACATTTATAATGGGAAAACAGAAAACTACAACAGAAAGAATTATTGTTTCTACTATTAAGATTCCACTAATCCTCCTCCATCTGCATTACTGGGGATTGAACTATAATAGATAGATTGAAAATAAACTCTCAGGGCTTTTGAAATCCAGTCTCTACAATTATTGCTTACCACTGGGGGATCAAAGTCACAACTCTGTAACATTTGTTTAATCTAATCCCTCTTTCACTAATTAAAAACAGTAAAAGATCACAGCATTTCTCTTCCTTGCTCTCTCCTCCACGGTGGTAATTGTTAAAAGACCCACTGAATACTCAAGAGTTACCAGCATGGACTGAACTCCACACAGCACTTGTTAGTGCTCAGGTGATAAAGCTGGGGCAGGGCCTTAGTGGTAACATTAAACTGACACTTTAAACAAGGTCACTGTACATAATACTACCTTCTCATGTGAAACAGTGACAACCTAGCCTGAAACAAACAAACAAACAAACAAACAAAAAACAACTCATCAGGCTTCTACTTACCATCTTCTTTTCCTTGCCCTTAAAACCAACTCTTACTTACCCAGTGCCTCTCAATTTAAGGCACAGTCCTGAGTATGATGCCTAGATCATCTAGGCTTGCAATTAGGTTATTTGATGTACCAGACAAATTGAAAGAGAAGACAATCTCACTGGAGACCAAAGAGGAGGTGTGGCAGGAGCAATCAACTTTCAAAATTTGTCACATTTGGCAAAAAGCATTGACCCAGTTTCTCCTTTCATGATGACAATAAAGGGACATTATCAAATTATAAATGACACATCCAAATGGATGATTTCCACAGCCACAAACCAGACTCTGATAGGACTGTGGGTAACTCAACTAAGCAGCTGAGGTTTTATCTACATCCCTTTCCTTGAGCTACAGCCAAACTTTGAGGTTAAGGAAATTTAAGAAAAGACGGTATAGACAAGGAAAATTTCTATGACTGGAGATATCTAAAAAGCGCCACCCAAATGTAAAGGCAGTCCTAACCACTTCATTTCCTGGCCCATGAGAAGTCGTACCTTTAATGCATAGCGGAAACTGTGACTTCCCTAGAAGTTTGACCATCACAATGAATCCAATGGTATCTGGGAATTTCCTCTAGGGTAGAGCTTAGCACATGCAACCAGATCCTTCAGCTCAGTGTTTCTCAACCATTTTCAGTACAGCCGCCCCACCAGGAACCTTTTAAGACATTTTCCCCCTAATTTTGACACACCATCCCACTGAAATATTAATACTACAGATACACTGTATATGTGTTTATGTATTGCACATTTATTTGTGCCTTATAGATAAAAAGAGTAAAGATTTTTTGCCCCTCAAGAATTAATGTTCACCCCTTTGGAGCAATAATGTCCCTGTTTCTTCTGCATGCTTTGCACCATTCACAATAGCAAAGATGGGGAATCAACCCAGGTGCCTATCAACGGTGGATTAGACAAAGAAAACATGGTACATGTACACCATGGAATACTACACAGCCATAAAAAAGAACAAAATCATGTCCTTTACAGCAGCATGGGTGCAGCTGGAGGCCATTATCCTAAGTGAATTAAGGCAGGAACAGAAAACCAAACACGATATGTTCTCACAAGTGGGAGCTAAACACTGAGTGCACATGGACAAAAAGATTGGAACAGTAGACACTGAGACTTCAAAGTGGGAGGGAGGGGGGCAAGGATTGAAAAACGATCTATGGGGCAATGGAATAATTAGACTTCCTGTACATGTACCCCCAATTCTAAAATAAAAATAAAAATTTTTTTAAATGCACACTTTGGCTTAATGAAACAAGACACTGGTGGAGCCAAGGATATAAAACTAAGTTCTAAGTTAATATAGAAGTTATATCTATCAGGAAAATTTAAAAATCTCTTTCTAGAATAATAATTTGCCTATACTATAGTTATAGTACTGTAATTTAACCTGTTTGCCTTAAATCTGATATTAAGTAACAAAAAGACATTAACAGCACCTACTATTCTTACAAATAAGAATTAAAATTCAAACCGAAGAGAATAATAACCTGTTGTGACTCCAAGGAAAATAATTAAAAATAAATATAAATTATCTTTCATTTATAAGGAATGCACGAGTTTTAAATTAACTATCTATCCTTAGCTGTACTTTGTTAAGTGCAAAGACCGTGGGATAAAGCATCTCCATCATTCCAGATGATCTAAATTATTTAAAAAGATCTATTTAAAAGAAATAAGCCAGAAAGCCCAAAATCTCAGCTATCATCATCATTTCCACACAGTCTCATTAAAATCTTACTCACGTCAGAGAGCACCTAGGCTAAGGGAGTTCTGTAGCCAATGAACTCATCTGGCTTGGCCAGTGATTTCCCATGCAACTTAGGTAAATTAACACTCTGTGCTCATTTCTCCAACTGCCCAGTAATATAAACCAACACACTGTCATGGAAAAACATATAACAGTCTTAATCAGGAGACCTATCATGTGGTCTCACGTTGGCTACAAACTCACTGTGTGAATATGAGCATGTTACTCTTCCTCTTTGGGTCCTGTTTTTCCCCACCTGTAAAAGGAAGAAGCCAAACCAGATGCATGCATGGAGATTCTATGTTCTAAATGCTTTCATCAGGCTAATCACATACACTATCATGCCAAACAAAATAATGCTCCTTATTAAGTTTCATAAAACACAAGAACATGTAATCTGGGTGAACCTAACTAGTAGAGGACCTAGTAAAAATATTATATAGATAAATACTGGGAAGAAAAACATGATTGCTTTTCAAAATAACAGACTCAAAAGTTTAGGCCAAGTACTTCTCAACTTGAATTAGGTACAACTGTCATTAATGAGAATTCACTGTAGGCTTTTTGAATCATATCTACTTTTTGCCTAGATCATCTCTTAATATAAAGTACTCCATAGATTACTGCCTGCTCTGTTCAGTAAGGCCTTCATTTTATTTGTAAATGGTAAAACCATTTTAAGATTTAGGGAATGTCTCTGAGTTATAGCAATCTGGAATTTGGGAAATCAGGTCCATATCTGCCTTATACATACCCTGTAATACAGATTCCAGCTAAATCTCTTCTCAGCTCTGGTTTGTCCACACTTATTTATTATATTAGACAATTCCCATTCTTCCCATCCCCTTGGTCATTTCAGTCTCCCTGAGGTAAACCTTTCCCAATTCTGTTGGAACTTTCTTCACCTCCTAGGGAGACTAGGAAAAAGAGTCATCAAAATGAAAGCTAGTAACAAGGTAGAAGCAAGGGAAAATACATCATTGACAGATAAAATTTTCACCACTGTTCTCAGCATTATGACACAAAGTAAAATACATATCCTTTCCTTGTTTAAGTGCTTAAGCTACCAGCATAAAAATATATTCTATCTGCTAAGAATGAACAAAACAGTTCTTGGATTTCTCTATGCAATTAATTGCTTCTAGGACTGCTTCACAAGGTGCTGTTATTTAAAGCATTCCGCCAAAAAGGGTGGATGATCCTGGCAAGGATGCTATAGAAGCCATTCCTGTACTGGATGAATAGACTAGCTCAAAAGTTCCTAACAGTTTCTACCCAGTGCAGTTGAGGGCACATCTACCAACCACTTAGCAATAGCACTTAATAGTTAAGTGATTCTCAATGGGAGCCAGGCAATCAACGTCTTCAGAGGGCTTGTATAGCATGTGATATGTATTTCCATACCCCCCTGGGTCTCAGTTGAGAATCACTAGATTAAATCATTCCTAAAATCTCTGAATATAGGAGCCTACTGATATTCTCACACAAACTATTTGAAGGCAAGTGTCTTAATTTTTAGCAAGTTCAATATATAGACAACCATTCCAGCAATCTGAGTCTCAGTTTATTGAATTCCTCCATTTTATGGATGTTGTCCTCTACATTGCTGCAGCCATGTACTCCCAGGGTCATACCCAGACCTTATTATTACCAATAACCACAACCCCTCCATCATCTCAACTTCATGCATCACCTATTTTTCCAAGTCCCTCTCAGTTCCTATAGTACCTTAACCCAATTATCCTTCAACTGCACCAGGACTCAAAACTACCATCTTTTTACTGACCCACTCCAATTGACTTCCACTCTCCTCTTTTTAGCTTAAATTCCATGGTCAATCATTATAATTAATCTCTTATATATACTACTGAATCCCTTGCCTCTCTCTTGCTGTGATACATTTGCTTAGCAAAAGCAGAACTGATTACTACATGCATGCACGCGCACGCGCGCGCGCGCACACACACACACACACACACACACACACACACACACACACCCTCCACCCATGCTGCCTGACTTTAGTTTTATAATACCAAATTTCAAGTTGGGTCCCTTAATGCTGCCTGGCAAATCATACTTCACATCTCTAGGTTCATTTACTCTTTCTCTCTCCCCTAAATGACTGTTTCACATTTTCTCCTCTCTCCTCAAATCCTAACGCTACCTCCTCCCTTCTGCCCTCTCAACTGACATCCTGGCCTCCTACTTCACTGAGAAAATTTATGCAATCAGAAGAAACTTCCACAGATTCTCATGACACATCTCCCCACTGAGCCACATTTGCATCCACAAACCCCCTTTCCCATGTCTTTCTAGGTTTATTTTCCTCCTCCTGTGCAAAGCCAGTCCCTCCACTTGTACACTGGAGCCCATCCCTTCTACCTACTCAAGGAAGTCACTCTGGCAAGTTTCCCTTCTCTCTCCTACTTCATCCATTTTTCACCCTCTATTGGAACTTTTCCAACAGCTTATGAACGCGCTGCTCTTGTTCTCATCTCAAACAATAAAAATCTCCACCACATTTTTCTCTCCAGCTCTCACCTATTTCTTTGCTCCCCTTTCCTGCAAAATTTTCAAGAGTGTTTTATAATCACTATCTTCAATTTTTCTCTTTCAACCTATTTCACTGAAACTGCTCTTCAAGGTCACTAATGCTAAATCCAAGGGTCAACTCTCTGTTCTCATCCTACTTGACCTATGAGCAGCATTGGCATAGCTGACCACTCCTTCCACCTTGAAACACTCTTCACTTTTGCTTCCCGAATAAGACTCCACTATCTTGGTTTTCCTACCTCATTGACCTTTCTTCCTCAGTCTCCTTTACTGGTTCCTTCTCTTCTCTCTGTCTCTTGATGTTGCAATGTCCCTGGGCTGAGTCCTTGGTCTTCTTTAAGTACTGCATTCACTCCCTTGGTGATCTCATCAAGGCTCAAGGTTTTAAATGCCTTTCTCCCCAAACTCCAAAATCTCTCCAACTGGCTACCTGCTATCTCCACTTGGAAGACTAACAGCCACTTGGAGGTCTCAGTAGCCATGTCAAACTCAACATGTCCAAAAATGAACTACTGATAGGTGACCCTGTTAGCTTCATCTTGTAGCTGCCTCATTTCAGTTGATGGCAACTAATCTTTCAAGTGTTCAGGCCCAAATCCTGTTGTCTTCCTTGACTGATCTCTTTTTCTCATATCTCATATCTAAACTATCAGGAAACCATGCTGGCTCTACCTCACAATATACCTAGAATTCGACCTTTTCTTACCCCTTTCATTGCCCCAGCCCCAATCTGAGCCATCACTCTCTTTCATTTGGAATATTGTAATAGGCCCCTAAGAGATCTTGGTTGCTCTTCACCCTCATCATCTACTCTCCACAGAGCAGCCAGAGTGATCTTTTTAGACTTTGTCAGATCATGTCACTTTCCCATTCAACAACCTGCAACAGTCCCCTAGTTTACTCTGAGTAAATGTCAAAGTTATTATGATGGCCTTCAAAGCCCCAAATAATCTAGCCCTTCGTTACCTCTCTGACCTCTCCTGCTCAGCCAGCAAGCGTCCTGATATCCTTCAAATGCACCAGGCGTGCTCTCACCTTAGGGCCTTTGCTATAGCTGTTCCCTGTCCCTGGTATGTTCTTCTCCCAGATATCCACATGGTGAAACACCTCATCTCCTTGCTCAAATCTCAAGAAGACCTACCTTGAACCACCTTATTTAACATTGCAATCTACAAAGCAATCTCAATGTCCCTAACTCTGCTTTATTATTTTCCCAAATCACTTATCATCTCCTAATACACTATATAACATACTAATTGCTTGTATTGTTTATTGACTATAGTCTCCCACCAGAATGAAAGCTCCTAAGGACAGACATTTTTGTTTAATTTGTTCACTGATATATCCCAAACACACAGACCAATACTTTGCACAGAGCAAGTACTTAAGAAATATTTTTTGTATGAATGAATCAACACTTGAAACCGGAGCCTAAATTATGGACTAGAGAGATCTGAGGCCAGCAGAAGAAAACTCAAATGGCCCAGATACACTCAGCACCTAAATTATGCTCCCAGATAATCAGGTACTTATAAAAGCTGTATTATTTCTTTCAGATCTTAAGAAGGACTGTCACAGCACTGCTGACCTTTGCGAGATACTAGACCATACTAGAAACAAGTACAGAGGAGTTATGAGAAGGAACGTCCACTATTTTCACCTTTCCCTATAGATGACTCCATATTAAACATAGTCCTTCCTGTCTTCTTTCTCTGACTTGAAAAGTCACTTTTCTTTTTCTTTTCTTTTTTTTTTTTTTTTGAGCAGTCTCACTCTGTTGCCCAGGCTGGAGTGCAGTGGCGCGATCTCAGCTCACTGCAGCCTCTGCCTTCTGAATTAAAGTGATTCTTGTGCCTCAGCCTCCCAAGTAGCTGGGATTACAGTCATGCACCACCACGCCTAGCTAACTTTTGTATTTTTTGTAGAGATGAGGTTTCACCATGTTGGCCAGACTGGTCTCAAACTCCTGGCCTCTACTGATCTGCCCAACTTGGCCTCCGAAAGTGCTGGGATTACAGGCATGAGCCACCGCACCTGGCCAAAAGTCACTTTTCAATACTACATAATTTAGGAATTAGAGAAAGCAAGGTCAGGCAAGGGGCTAATGTGGCTTTCAAAATGCTGAATTTATTCCCATGGATTAAACACAGACTCTTACAAGTTAGAACTAGAAGACTATCATTTATGTCAGTGGTTGTCAACCATGGCTGTATATTTGAATCCCGGAGGCACTTAAAAAATACTGTAGCTGACACTCCCTTGGGTGAGGCTCAGGTAGCATAGGTTTTAAAAGCTTCCCAGGTGACTAAAGTTCCCAGGTGATTCCAATGTGCAAACACGTTTGAGAACTGATGAGCTATATGACCTTGGGCAAATTACTTGGCTCCACTGAGCCTAACTCATATGGCTTTTGTGAGGATTAAATAAGATTTTGCACGTATACTATCAGCTGCTATTAGTATCACTGCCACTTCTCCCTTTTCTATCATCACCACCACCTTTTCTACTATTACCATTATTATCATCATTGGTGGTATCATTTCCTTCTTTTCTTTCTTTTTATTGAGATTTAATTTACATATCATAAAATCCAGCCTTTTAAAAATGTATGATTCAGTGGTTTTTAGTATATTCACAAAGTTGTGCAACCATCATCACCATTTAATTCCAGAACATTTTCACCACCCCAGAAAGAAATACCATACCCATGAGCAACCTCTCCTCCCATACCCTGGGAACCACTAATCTACTTTCTATCTTTATGAATTTAACTATTCTGGATATTTCATATGAATGAAATCCTATAATATGTAGCCTCTCGTGTCGGGCTTTTTTCACTTAGCATAATGTTTTTGAAGTTGATCCACATTGTAGCATATATTCATGCTTCATTTTTATGATTGAATAACAGTCCATTGTATGGATATACCACATTTTGTTTTCAGCAGTTTTTCTCACTTTTTGGCATTTATGAATAATACTGCTATGAACACTTATACACACTATTTTGTGTGCCCATGTTTCCAGTTCTCTTCGGTATATAGCTAGGAGTGGAACTGCTGGGTCATATGGTAATTCTATGTTTAACTTTTTGAGCAACTACTAAACTCTCTAAAGTGGCTGCAGCACCATTTTATATTCCCACCATCAGTGCACAAGGTTTCTAATTTCTCCATATCCTCACCAACATTTGTTATTATCTTTCTGACCCTAGCCATCCTAGTAAGTGTGAAGTGGTATTTCATTGTTGTGATTTGCATTTTCCTGGTGACTAATGATGACAAGCATCTTTTCTTTTTTTTTTTAATACGAATTGGGGTCTCACTCTGTTGCCCAGGCTGGAGTACAGTGGCACAATCTTAGATCATCACAGCACTGAACTCTAGGCTCAAGTGATCCTTCCTGCTTCAGCCTCCCCAATAGCTGGGACTACAGGTCCGGTTGATTTTTAGAATTTTTTTGTAGAGACAGAGTTCTCACTATGTTGCCCAGGTTGGTTTTGAATGCCTGACCTCAAACAATCCTCCTGCCTCAACCTCCCAAAGTGCTGGGATTTCGGGCGTGAGACACCATGCCTGGCCAACGTTAAGCATCTATTCATGTTCTTACTGGCCATTTGTGTATTTTCTTGCCTATCCAAATTCTTTACCATTTTTATACTGGATTAGTTGTCTTTTTATTATTAAGTTGTAAGAGTTCTTTATATATTCTAGATATATTCTGCTGATCCTCATAAGATACATGTTTTACAAATATTTTCCCTCATTTTGAGGGTTATCTTTTATCCTTCACTTTCCTGACAGTGTCCTTTGAAGTATGAACATTTTTAATTTTGATGAAGTCCAATTTATCTATTTTTTTCCTTTGGTTGCTTGTGTATTACTAACTTTTAAGAAGACACTAAAGGAAAAAAGTTATGAAGATATCCTATAACCAAGTAAGTTGTTCAGACTTATAATAATCACATATTAAATCATGAATTCCCATATAGATAACACATCCAATTTATCTGGGTGGAGGGCAGGAAGGAATGCAATTCATCTCTTACGTTTTTAATTACCTAGATTTTCAGATTAAATATTTGACCTTTGAATATCAATGTCCAAGAAACTGCAAAGAAATAAAACCTGAGTTAGATTTGTGTGTTTTCAGGGCCATTTGTTGCAACAGCTAGATGTTCATAATCCTTACAAGAGCTGGAATTGTTTTTTCAAATTGAGCATATTTAAATATTTTTAAAAGAGTTTCAAACAAATATTTTTCTGCAACTGTACAAAATTAGTGGCATGACATAACGTAAATGTTCTATTACTGCTCAATAAATACTAACTAGACAATACATAATCCCAAATAATCAACTGGCATTATATAATTTCCCAATATAATAATCCCAAAGAATCAATTGTGATTACAGTAATTTTTCGAACCAAAACAACAACAAAAATTGGTCATTATTAATGTCTTGAAAAAGGTAACCAATACCTCTATTTTTTTTTTTACTTTGTCAACCAACTTTTTAATTAAAAAAACTTTTTGGTTTAAAAATTTTTATTAGTGGCAACAGTTGTACAACAATGTGAATGCACTTACTGCCACTGAAATGCATATTTTAAATGGTAAATCTTATGTATATTTAACCACATCTTATGTATATTTAACCACAATTTTAAAAAGAGAAAAGGGGAGAAAATAAAAAAGAAAAAAGAGTAGGAAAAACACAGACCCCTAAAACAAATAAACCAGTCTGAGCACCTGCTGGCAGACAACACTTGGACATTCAAGAAAAGCAGGCTGAGGAAGGCACAGTTCACTGGGCACACAGACGGATCACCAGCAAAGCAGGCTCTAAAAACAGCATAGGAGGTAGGTTACCCTGGAAGAGTAGTATGACCCACCATATATCCATAGAAAGCTTTGTCTCTAAAATAAGATGCAGGGCTCTAAAAGGATATCCTTCACACTTCCTAAGACCTGGGTTGCATCAAAATGTCATTCATTGTATCTTCATACCACATACACCAGGATCCTCTTAAACATGAAATTAAGCTAATTAATGGCAGTATTTTGTTTTTTGGTTAACAGCAAACTAATGCACCAGTACTGTCAAGAAAAAAAAAGAAAGCGAGGAAACCTCAGGGCAAAGAACCATGAAAAAATCCACAATGTACCTCCTTGCTTTGCAGTTCTTTTAAGAATATTGTTTAGTGTCTAAAACAAGTAAAATGGCATTTTTTCAGGAAACACATTTGACCACACTTCCAAAGTAATAAAGCATGTTTAGTCCAGCTTCTCAATTTACAACCATAAGTGTATATTACAAGGCAATAGTTCTTTAATATATGAACTTGGGACACAGATTTTTCAAAAAGTGAATAAAGCCAAAGAAAATTTTGTGAAAATAGTTCTCATAAATATAACAAGCACCATTGAATATAATTTTATTCTAAATTGATCCAGTTTATGTTCCAAATCTTATTTTTATAGCCTTCCTATGGTAAATGCTCAACAAGGATTTGCTAAATAGATGAATGAGAAGGACCAAGCCTTAATTTGAATTTGTTCTGGTAACAGAGAGATAACCACATAAATGAAAATCTCCTTATTGTGGCTATGATTAAAAAGTCAGAAAATAACGGATGTTGGTGAGGTTGCAGAGGAAAGGGAAGTACTTATACACTGCTGGTGGGACTGTAAATTAGTTCAGCCACTGTGGAAAGCAGTTTGGAGACTTCTCAAAGAACTTAAAATAGAATTACTATTCAACCCAGCAATCCCATTACTCAGTATACACCCAAAGGAATGTAAATCATTCCACCAAAAAGACACATGAATGTGTATGTTCATCACAGCACTATTCACAATAGCAAAGACACAGAATCAACCTACATGCCCATCAACAGTGGACTGGATTAAAAAAATGTGGTACACATACACCACGGAATACTACATAGGCATAAAAACGAACAAAGTCATCTCCTTTGCAGCAACATGGACACAGCTGGAGGCCATAATCCTAAGTGAATTAAAAGCAGCAACAACAAAAAACAAATTAACACATGCTCCCACTTATAAGTGGGAGCTAAACACTGAATACACATGGAGATAAAAAGAGGCCCAACAGACACTGGGGCCTTACTTGAGGGGAGACAGTAGGAGGAGGGTGAGGGTTGAAAAACTACCTATCAGGTACTATGCTCACTACCTGTGAGCTGGGTGACAAAATCATTTGCACACCAAACCCCAGCAACACACAATTTACCCATGTAACAAACCTGCACGTGTGCTCCTTGAACCTAAAATAAAGGTTGGAGGGCCAGGCGGGGTGGCTCACGCCTGTAATCCCAGCACTTTGGGAGGCCAAGGTGGGCAGATCACGAGGTCAAGAGTTCAAGACCAGCCTGGCCAACATGGTGAAACCCCCGTCTCTACTAAAAATACAAAAATTAGCTGGGAGTGGTGGTGCGCGCCTGTAATCCTGGCTACTCAGGAGGCTGAGGCAGGAGAATTGCTTGAACCCGGGAGGCAGAGGTTGCAGTGAGCCAAGATCGTGCCACTGCACTCCAGCCTGGGCAACAGAGCGAGAGTCCGTCTTAAAAAAAAAAAAAAAAGAGTTGGAGAAGGAAAAAAAAAACCCAAAAAAACTCCTTGTTCTTTCTAGATCTATCTAGATTGCTACATCAATAAAATAGAATCTAGCACCCTTGCAATTCAATTTAACAGACACAATAAGATTCCTCCTAGAAAGAAAAAAGGAGGAAGGAGGATGGAGAGAGGGGAAGAAAAGGAGAGGAAGGAGTACCTTATTATGCCAGAAGGAGCTTCTCTAATGACGACAAGGGTTAGATCAGACCTCAGGAAAGCTAAAGGGTGCCAATCTCACTTAACACTCAAGGGTCTACCAAAAATTGAAGTGAAATATTCTATTTTTATAAAACCGGTCTTCTACTTGACCTTTATCACGGAAGATGGGGTAAGCTCACTGTAAAACATGATTTTTCATTTTGTGTGGTTTTGTTTGTTTGTTTGAAATGGAGTCTTGCTCTGTCGCCAGACTGGAGTGCAGTGGCGCGATCTCGGCTCACTGCAACCTCTGACTCCCTGGTTCAAGTGATTCTCCTGCCTCAGCCTCCTGAGTAGCTGGGATTACAGGCACGTGCCATCACACCCAGCTAATTTTTGTATTTTTTTTTTTTAGCAGAGACGGGGTAGCACAATGTTGGCCAGGATGGTCTTGATCTCCTGACCTTGTGATCTGCCCACCTCAGGCTCCCAAAGTGCTGGGATTACAGGTGTGAGCCACCTCACCTGGCTGTAAAATATGATTTTTCTCATTCCCTTCTGTAGTGTCTCACTCAGCATACTTGTTGAGGCAGCCAAGAGATGTAAGACAGAAAAACCCTATACAGGAAGCAATTCCTAAAAGACTGTGTTAATGGACTGAATTGTATCCCCCACCAAATTCGTATGCTGAAGTCCTAACCTCCAGTATCTTAGAATGTGACCCTATTTGGAGACAGGTTGACTGCAGATATATTAAGATGAGGTCATACTGCAGTAGGTAGATCCCTACTTCAATGTGACTGTTGTGCTTATAAAAAGGGGAAAATGTGGACACAGACAGGCACCCAGGGAAAACTTCATGTGAAGGATGGAGTTATGCTGCCACAAGCTAAGGAACTACCAGAAGCTAGAAGAGAGGCCTGAAACAGATCCTTCCCCGGCACCTTCAGAGGGACCATGGCCCTGCCAACACCCTGATTTTGGACTTCTGGCTTTCAGAACTATGAGACAATGCATTCATGCTGTTCTATGTCATATGGTTTGTGGTACTTTGTTACCATAGCCCTAGGGAACCAATACAGACAGTAAGAGGCCAGTGTGCACTACCCTCTTCAGATTGCACTCCAGATCCAGCCTTTTGTCTCATGGCCACTGCCACTACATTACCCCGGGCCCCAGCACCTCACTCTTGAACTGCTGCAAAAGCTCTGGTCTCCCTTAACTTCAGACTCTATGTTGACTTTCTTCAATTGCCAAACCTCCCTGCACACCACCTTCTTTGCATCAACCCCTTATTTAAAAATCTCCAGTGACTCACCAATTTTTACAGGAAAAAGCCAAAACTCTCCTGACTGGCATTCAGGCCTCTCTCTAAGCTAGCTCCAAATGCTAGGTGATATTCTCTTAGTGACCCTAGAATACACAACTTTTTTTTTTGAGACAGGGTCTTTCTCTGTTGCCCAGGCTGGTGTGCAGTGGCATGACCACAGCTCACTGCAGCCTTGACTTCTTGGGCTCAAGCAATTCTCCCTCCTCAGTTTCCCAAGTAGCAGGGACCACAGGCACATACCACCATGCCCAGCTAATTTTTATGGAGATGGGCTCTTACCATGTTGTCCAGGCTGGTCAGAACATAGAACTGTTATTCTCTATGTCATGCTTCCTTCTCCACTTGCCGTTCTCCCCTTTCATTAGTCCAAATCTTGAGCTTCCTGTGAAAACTACTGTCAGGACACACTTTCTCCTTGAAGCTCTCTCTCTATACTTAAGCCTAACACAACAGCCATGTTTCTGATTTTATGCACTTTACTGCCTGCATCAGTCATCTGTACTCATCACAGATTGCCTTGCATAGTTCCCTGGCATTTGAAAAGTACAGGCTTGAATTTCACAGCTGGACTAGGAGCTCCTTAATAATAGGGTCTACGTCTTATAATTTTGGAGGTACTTCTCAAAGCCAAAGACAATGCTGGGTGTATTACAAGCAACCTCTAAATTCTTACTGAATTAACTATTAAACGTATATGAAAAATTCCTAGAAATGCTACTTTTGGCGCTTCCTTCAATCAGCGAACTGAAATTGGAACAAATCTACAGATTTCATATAGCACTAATGGTTCCACATATATCTCAATAATTTAAAACTTACAAGGAACAAGAGGAAAAAAATGACTTGAGTCCCAAGTTACTTACCATTCTTCATCACTACATTGGACCACACATTGGCATTCAGGGCTTGGACAATTCGCTTTACTCCTGTAGATTCTGGGAAGTCATCTAATCAGGGAGGGGAAATATATATATTTATATGCAACACTCACACAGATATACATATACATTCACAAAAATGTGGCCAGGCACGGTGGCTCATGCCTGTAATCCCAGCACTTTGGGAGGCCAAGGAGGGCAGATTACCTGAGGTCGGGAGTTCAAGACCAGCCTGACCAACATAGAGAAACCCCATCTCTACTAAAAAATACAAAATTAGCCAGGCGTGGTGGCGCATGCATGTAATTCCAGCTACTCGGGAGGCTGAGGCAGGAGAACTGCTTGAACCCAGGAGGTAGAGGTTGTGGTGAGCCGAGATGGCACCATTCCAGCCTGGGCAACAGGAGCAAAACTCCATCTCAAAAAAAAAAAAAAAAAGTTACGTATATATCCTCCAAGCCATATTTTCAAATGACTGTGGTTTTGTTATCTTGTTTATTTAGTTGTTAGTTCACATCATACAAGGAAAAAAATCAAATACAGAGCTTGGAGCTCTCAATAAGAATATTCTAGAGAAACTCTTTTCTTCCTCGGCTGTCTGAGGATTGACCACCATCATGAATGACATGGTAACTATCCAAACTGGAAAGTTCATGACCAACCAACTACTTCAGTGAAAACAAATGGTCATTGATGTCCTTCACCCCGGGAAGGCAACACTACCTAAGAGAGAAATTCGGGAAAAAGTAGCCAAAATGTACAAGACCACACCAGATGTCATCTTTGAGTTCAGAACTCATTTTGGTGGTGGCAAGACTACTGGCTTTGGCATAATTTACGATTCCTTGGATTATGCAAACAAAAATGAACACAAACATAGACTTACAAGACATGGCCTGTGTGAGAAGAAAAAGACCTTGAGAAAGCAATGAAAGGAATGTAAGAACGGCATGAAGAAGGTAGGCAGACAGCAAAGGCCAGTGTTAGTGCTGGCAAAAAGCCAAAGGAGCAAAGGTGCTGCAAGGATGTTATCAGTGGCCACTGTGGCTTTTTCATGAGAAGATTAATAAACTAAAAACTTTCATGCGGAAAAAAAAGAATATTCTAGAAACTAAAGCAATTAAACACACAATATAAGGCAGTTATATAATAAAGTTATCCTCACCAATGGAATCTATTTATATTCTGAAAATGTTAGATTCCACTTATTACACACATTCCTGGCACAGTACTAGAGATACCAATCTACACAGAATGAGTTTCCTGAAGGCAGGAACAGTCCTCTTATTAACAGTATGTTATAAAATCATGTAAATGCTCTATCCTGTGCTGGAAACCATAGAATAATAAGTGTTATTTTTGATCGATACCTATAGAAGAACTTCTTGATCAGAGAAAGATAGTTTGAGTGAGAAGTGAAATGACTAGAAGTGTAAGAGACAGGCAAAGGGTCATTACGACAACTTAGTTTAGTTTATTATTAGTACTATCCTGCTTCTGGAATTTGACTGATACTACTCAAAATAATGGGATTGTAATCCCATAGTGTACCAAAAAAGGTGGTATTCTTAACTACAACACAGGAATGATCGTGTACAAAGGAAATGGGGATCCTGCAGATGTTGAGGATTGTAAGGCTGCGTCTGGAAAATAATGACAGAAATAGTTTTCATGTGGTTAAAAAAGGAAAGTTTCCCGAGTTTACAGAACATAATCCACACAGACCCTGTCTCTAGTGGCCAGCCTAGCCCTGGGTGGTTTAACAAGAAGAGCACAGAGTTACATGTCAGAATATCTGAATTTGAACCCAGGCTCTGCCACTTACTAGCTATTTGATCAAGGGCAAATCACTTACACCATTCTCACAGAAAGTGGAAACAATACCACTCTATGCACATCTCTCCTAGAGGAAAGATGCACTGCAATTGATGATTTACTAATGTAACCTTCCCCCTACACTGAAAACTCCTTGACGGCAGGAATCTTGTCTTACTGAGTTCATATGCCCATTGCCTACCACAGTGCCTGAAAAACAGCAGGCACTCAGCAACTGTTTAATGGATCAATGAATCATTTAAAGAATACCAACCTGCCAACCTAACAGAAATATAGTGATTAAATTGAAAATACTCTGCTGGGCGCGGTGGCTCATGCCTGTAATCCCAGCACTTTGGGAGGCCGAGGCAGGTGGATCACGAGGTCAGGAGATTGAGACCATCCTGGCTAACATGGTGAAACACCGTCTCTACTAAAAATACAAAAAAAAAAAAAAAAATTACCCAGGCGTGGTGGCGGGCGCCTGCAGTCCCAGCTACTTGGGAGGCTGAGGCAGGAGAATGGCGTGAATCTAGGAGGTGGAGCTTGCAGTGAGCAGAGATCGTGCCACTGCACTCCAGCCTGGGCAACAGAGAGAGACTCTGTCTCAAATAAATAAATAAATAAATAAAAATAAAGAAAGAAAATACTCTACCAAGATAAGTTTATCACCACCAATGTCTGGATGAAGACCTAAAAGTCATGTTTATCTTAATTGTGAATGACTTAATTCTCAAAAGAATAACTAATACTTTAGATGATATAACCAGGAACCAAAAATGTGGTCTGAAATGAAGAGCTAGTACCAGTAAGAGGAAAATTAATACAAACTAGCATAAAGTCCTATATTCATGTTTGAATAATACATGCAAGTAAAAGATGAGGAAATATGGCTTAGGAATAATTTGTATTTTAAAAGTCTAGGAAGGTTTTCATTACCTTACCTAAAGATGACATATCAAAAAACCCATTTTAAGATTAAGCTGAATGAATACAAGAACATTATTCAGACAAAGGGCTACGAGAAATAAAGTAGTATAAAGGAGCAGAGATTCCAAAATGATAACAGTCAAATACTGACTCCCAAGGACAAGAGAAAGAGAAAATTCTAGTGCCAGAAATCACACAGGCTCACATACACAAAACAGGGCACAAGTTTCAGGGACCTAGAAAAACACAGAAAAAGATGTACATGCTAATTTTCAACACTCTTTAAAATGAGCAAGGAGAAAAACCAGAGTTTTTATTTCAGTTTTGTTCTCTTCTTCTCCAGCAGGTTTTATTCTCAAAGGTAACAGCATTTTGGAAAAATTATAAATAAAACCAGAATATAGAAAAATATTTCTTAATTCCTTGAAGAAAAATACAAGTTTCTTGAAATGACTGCTTATGTCTTATCTATGTACTTTAATTCACGTTGGTTGCCCCTGCCCAGAATGTCTTTTGGAACAACTGGCATATTCACAATGCCACCTCTCCAGCAGTCCTCTCACTACAAGCCCAGGACCTTTTCTAACTTCTTCCCCATGGAGCAGCTGACATGTGAGAGGTCACAATGCCAACACGTTCTCTGCACTTTTAAACAAAAATAAGCTCTCCGGTCTCTAAAATACCACAGCACTACTATTTCTTCTATAATACTTATGACATTCCACTTGGTAATTCAATTATCTGTAAGTTTCATCTCTTGTACCAGATTATAAGGTTTTGGTGAACCAAAAACCCTCTTATCCTGGTAGATACCAAAACAGGTGTACTTCAAAGGAGAAAAGATGAGAAAAGAAATGGGGAAGGGGAGTAGAAGAGGGGAAGAAATAGAAGGTCCAGCAATAGCGGAGGACAGCGATTGCAGAGCTACCTGGGGTGGAGGTGGGGGATTAAATTTGGGGTCTATCTTTTGGCTTCAAATGTCCAAAAGACATTCAAATGGATTTGAAATGTCCCCTGCGATTCTTGGGAATTCAGCCTTAGGTTACTATGAATTCAAAATAAGAAACATCAACTTTAACTACTACGAAGGTCTAACTCTCCTTCTTCAGCAGTAGGGAAAGGAAAAAGGATTATGGAAATGACAAAGATTTTAGAAAGCAGCCCTATACCTTTATCCATAAGAAAAACACACATTTTCAAAAGTTCTAAAACAGGTGGTAAAACCAAAAAAATGAATTATTACACTAAGTGTAAGATTATAAGATTACATCAATGGATTTTGCTTAAATCCTTGAAACAGCTGGGGAAAAAAGTTTCTTGAATTTTGCTGTGATTCTTCTTCCCTGAATTAAAATAATCTCTCATATCTAAGTGCCATATTTTCTCCTAACACATAAACACTTACCATCCTCCTCAGGCAACTCCTCTGGACTAAGTTCTACCAATTCAAAGCCATGTTTGATGCACCATTCTTGAGCTTTTTGTCGGTTTATACCTAAAATAATATGCAAAAGAATCTTCATAAGTAAAAAGAAAATAAAACATGACTATTCCTGCAATATTCTTCACAAATCTCAATGTGTTTCCCTTAATGTCAATGTTATTCTAAAGGCATCTAAAATAATAAAAAGAAAATGACTTCTCAGCCCCGAAGTATCCATTCTTAAAAAAAAAGTAAGTATTACAAGATTCCAAAGAAAAATAGCTGAAAATATTTTCATAAAGCCATAAAGTCACATGGGATGTATGTCCTAAGTTAAAGAAACAGATGTACTCTGTTTATCAAGGAATGGCAAATGCATGTACCAACTACTGTCCCATCCACAGGCCTTACCATCTTCAGACACTCTATCGCAGACCAAGATCATCACCTCAGGTAACCATGCTTTTGCCAGTGGAAGCCATGAGGAGACACTATCAAGGCCCGATTTCTAGAGGGAACAAAAAATATAAACAAACAAAAACAGAAAAGAGATAGTCAGACAAAATGTAATGGGAAAAAAAGAAGGCATGCAATAATTTCTTATTCAAGCCTTCATAGAAAACAAAGTCTTACTTGTGTGCTGTCAAAGTAAACCACAAATGCTTGGACAGATTCTGCAATCTCTGCAGTAACAAGAAATTTGTTTGGCACCACACATAGATTGATGTCTGCTGAATAGTATTTATTATCAATGGTCCAGGGATAAAATCTCACAGCATCATTGGAAGTCACTTCCACAATAAGATCTTCTGTTCCAAGGATATCTAAAAATAAATGACAACATTACCATGTAAAGTGCAAAACCAATATACATTGGTTGATTTTCTCAGTCAGATACCAGATAAAGCTGGTACTTTTGCTGTTTCCTTTTATGTGAGGATTTCAAAGGACCCTGCATTTATTAGCTTTAATCCTATATTCTCTGATCATCTGATTATAAAAGTTATGGTGATATAATTTAAGTCATTGACATTTTCTCTTTAAGAACACAAAAATCATTGTGAACTAGATTAGACAGTAGTAAAGGAAAAAACAGTCATATAACCAAATATCCAGAAAAGAGCAAGTAGAAGACAAAGAATGACAGCTCTATTTATTGTATTGCTTAAGTACTTCATAGGAGGTAGACAATAACAATCTTCTAGAATTTGTAACTATTTTGTACTTATTGCAAACTAAAAGGAAGATAGGATTAAGGCTAAACCATTAATAAAATAGAAGAGCTACATATATTTCTTGGACTGAATGCTTAGACATTAATTCAGCTAATGAAATAAAAGAATGGATACTGATAAATGACCCCAATCCTATTTATATTCAGCCTTGTTCACATTCTTTGAAAGCCAACCTAAATTCTTGTTTGATCAAGACACTTCCGATAAATTTTAAATGTGTAATAGCCAAGCAAATTACTATAAATGTTTTAGATTATAACTGAATCTTTTGGAAATCTATGTGCAGCATGTATATAACAGGAAATCCCCACAGTAAGAGACAAGTCAATGGTGAACAAATGAATATAGACATGGTTATGGAGCCATGGAAGCATTTTGCTTCCATTATGTTATACAGTATTTACAACTGGAAGAGAAGTTAGAAGTTGTTCCAACCTAAACTCCCGTCTCTCACACCCATACCCATAACCTCCACTTTATACAAATGTGGAAAATCAGCTTATAGAAGTAAAATGACATGCCATTAATTGACTTATCAGAAGAATATAATGAAAAACAGTCACAAACTCCTCGTCAATGCATACTAAGATGAACACGTATTAATGAAATGTGCCTCAAACTCATAATTAGCAAGACACTGAAAACTAGAAATTAAATTTTAACTCCCAGAGCTAACATTATATATTTGAAAAGTTGCCATCATTTTTGCTCAACATAAAGTTATGGGGAAATTATTTAGTCCAAAAGACTGCTAGGCATTATGTATAAAGTGTGTGTGTATGAATATATACATGCATGAATTCTTTTTATTAGTAAAGTTTCATCATGCAGTTAAGAGGAACGAATCTTCTGAAGAATAAAAGGTCGGCCCTTTTTTTAGCAAAAAAATTAAATTTAAAATAAATTTAAGGTTTTATTTTTGATATAAAGCATATCATGAAATTAACTTTTAAAATTTTTTCACCAAAACCAGAATTGTTACTCTTAAATTAACAGAAGGTCTATGTCAATATTTGACAATCTGAGTGCATCCCATCTCTTTAAGAAATCAGCAGTTCTTTCTACTTAATTTCTACCCGAAGTCATAATCTTTTACTTAGTGTCAGTCAATTCCATCGCAACCAGCTGCTATGTCCCTTATGGAGCATTAAGACAATTTCAGGGGAAATAAACAGGAGAAACAGGTAAGTTATTAAAATCAAAGATGTTGTTTTCATGTAAATGTCTCACAGAAAAACAAAAACTAGATCAAAGTCTACACTGTTACACTCCAAACTTCAAGAAGGTGGCATAGTAACACGTGGCTGTGTTTCTAAGAGCTGAATACTGGCACAGCTAACACACATACCACAATATGCTGATAAATACACATATAAAAGAAAGAAACTAAAACAAGGAGCAAAGCAAAAAAATGTATAAACTAACTTTTTAATGGTGAAAGGAGCCACCACATAAAATCAGTCTTAATTTTTTTTTTTTTTTGAGACGGAGTCTCGCTCTGTTGCGCAGGCTGGAGTGCAGTGGCGTGATCTCGGCTGACTGCAACCTCCACCTCCCGGGTTCACACCATTCTCCTGCCTCAGCCTCCCCAGTAGCTGGGACTACAGGCACCCGCCACCATGCCCAGCTAATGTTCTGTATTTTTAGTACAGACAGGGTTTCACCATGTTAGCCAGGATGGTCTCGATCTCCTGACCTCGTGATCCGCCCGCCTCGGCCTTCCAAAGTGCTGGGATTACAGGCATGAGCCACCATGCCCACCCATTCTTGGGTAATTTTTAAAAATAGCAAACTGAGTATTTTTTAAAGGAGAGAAGCACAAATAAGAAAATACAGTAATGAATTCACTTGTTGCTAAGGGGCAAAGTACAAAGGCAGGGGGACTAATATTCCTGTCATTGCTATAATCAGTTCTTGATATTTCCTAAATTGGTTGTATTGTTAAAAACTGATATCAAAAAATTGGGGTTATGCTTTCTTTGCTCCTCGACATGAGAAATATAAAATCACTTAAAATGGCATTACTAACTGCAATTTAAAATTACTAACTGCAATTTAAAATATTTAGATCCATTAATGATGGCTAATTTTATTAATGTTTAGAACACAAAAGAACAAAACAATGTTTGTTACTCAGAGTGCTTACAATTTCAATTTTATACTTTCATTTTCAAATGATTAAGACATTTACTTAACATGGAGAAAGAAGCTGTTTCTTTCTCTTTTCTCCAAACCTAGACAGGAATGGAACCAATAAGTTGGGAAAATGAATTTCACATTTCAGTGTTTCAGTAGCTAGTGGGCTTTGGTTTTTGTTTTATTCTCTGTGCTGCCTAAAACAAGTTGATAGCTCAATTTACTTATCAGATTTTTTTTTAACATTTTATGTCTAATCAAACACTTTCTTCAAGGCTGCATATGGACTTTATTATCACATCTGTGCCATATTAGAGCTAGGGAGAGAATAGTAAAGACTGTCTCATTCTAATTCTTATTACCAATATCATAATGTAGAGTTTAATTTAAAAAATGTAAATGTCTACACTAAATATAGCTTTCTTCCCTCATGTTTTCTATTTGATTTTCAAATGCTTAACAAGTTTATTCTTTTCCAAATTAAAATGAAATTATTCAAACTGTGCACATGGCTAAAGGTTTCTGGAGAGCAGCTAATATAATTCACTCATTTTACAGATGAGGAAACTGAGGCCCAGGAAAAAAGAAGCCACTTGCCTAATAGGAGCAGAGCCTAAAACTGGATTCAATTCGCCAACATTCTTTCCTACTACACCGTGATGTTACAATACTTAGCACCTGAGCTGGATCACACTTGAGTCTCTAATAATCACAAGCCAAAACTAGTCTATAGACCTAAAGGATCCTCTGCCCTTTTAGGAACACCAAAAATAATAGCCAGAATAGGGGCACAATTATATACGGATCTGCAGCACAATTAACCCATCAGAAAACTGTCTATGACATTCAGGTATTTATATGTCAAAGATGAGTCACAGTGATCTTGAGGTTTTTTTGTTGTTGTTTTTTTGTTTTTTGCCAGACTTCCTAGAAAAACCTGCAGTGGGCTCCCTTCTTTGTCCTTCACTAAATTATTATGTTGTAGACTCCGATATGCACAAAGAAAATCAAGAGCAGCTTTCCCCTCCTCCTGGTCGATGCCAGCCTGTCTCATTCACACTGTTGGCAGCCACCTGGTGGAGCTGTAATACATCATTTTTTAAGAGACAAACACTAGGTGTTTACTTGCCAGGTCTGTTACTACAAACTCCATTTCACAGCTTACAATAGTTAATTTGTAGTGCTTTTACAAAGGAAGTTAGATGCCAACCCAGTTCTAGTAGCAAACATAAACCTTTCCTTCAGTATTAAGTGCAAGTATAAACCTCTATCCCGATTTGAGAAACTTTTTACAAAGCCATCAATTCTCCAGTAACTCCCATTTACTTTCTCACATCCTTGGTCAACTTCTTTTCCCTATAATCTCATATGGTAAGTTACAGGAAATAAGATTCAAGAGCTTTGAAGGAAGCCATGTGCCAAGGCAACATTTCAGTTCAGTAATCCAACATCTTCCTCTTTTTAATCAGCTTTCTACTGTTCCCTGCATATCCTAATAATGATCCTTCCCTCAGAGAAAGTACAAATGTGGTAACCAATCAAATGAAAGAAAAGAGGCAGCTGGCTTTCTATGGTTCAGAATCAATAACAGGTGATACTCTCTTTAGCATGAATTAGAAGGCAACATGAAGTTCAAGGTGAATTCCCCAAACACCACAAATATCTGTTCTCCTACACACACACACACACACACACACACACACATTTTATCTATATATAAACATGCACACACACAACCCTTACCTTATGTCCTCACCTATCCACCTCAGCCAAAAAAGACAAATGCATTCTAAACTAGGCATGTTGATACTGTTATGGATTTTTTGTGTCTCCTTCAGTAGTAGGGTAATTAAGTACACTTTTAATATCAGTAGTAGTGCACTTAACCAATCATGACATTCTTTGTGAAGCAAAGTTGTCCAGTGGTTAAATCATATTTTCTATGCCCTGAGGGAAGTGACAGCTGCCACCTCAAATCAAGATGATCCTTCCGGAAACCAGCACTCTTCTCAGAATGCAAAGTTGGTTTTATTCTTTCTCATAAACTGAAACTGCCTTGACAGCCAAGCATCATAACCTCTCACCCCAGATATGAGTGTCTTTCATGGGATCCACTCTTCTGGAGACCCAACATTCTTCTTTCTTCCCTTTGTGAAGCCAGTACTAACGAGAAGGGAGAAGAGCATGGAAAATAGACAGCACAGACCTGGGGTCGGACAGGCCTGCATTTGCATGCTGGCTCTCTGCAAAGCCTTGGGCAGATTAACCTCTCGGTGTCTCATTTCCTTACCTGCAAATGGGGATGAGAACACTCCTCAAAAGGCTTAAATGAATTCAATGAAACTATGTCTAAGAAAGTGCAGGCACTGGGCACAGTAAATATTCATTTCCTTCTTCCCATCTCACTTTTTTTCACATTTGTGACAGCACTCCTGACTAGAGGTAGGTTACAGATGCACTGAGGAGTTAGTAAGATACATTACAATCAGGAAATAACCATCTCCTTTAAGCTGCTCTAGCCTTGCCCTTCCACCCCAGACCACCCCCTAAAATAAAGTTGAAATTTTTCTTTTCCACTGCTAAGGCATATGCTGAGACAGAAGAGAAGGCAATTAGGAAAATTATAGGAGGCAGCAGAGTCTGACGTCAGCTGAAAGGAAAAGTAGCTATTATGAAAGAAAAGAACTGAGCAAAATATGACTTAGGAAAAATTCAAAACCTAGAGTTTTCATTAACCAGCAAGCGAAAAGACAGACTTTTAAAAATCATATCGGGGCCGGGCGCGGTGGCTCACGCCTGTAATCCCAGCACTTTGGGAGGCCGAGGCGGGTGGATCATGAGGTCAGGAGATCGAGACCATCCTGGCTAACAAGGTGAAACCCCGTCTCTACTAAAAATACAAAAAATTAGCCGGGCGCGGTGGCGGGCGCCTGTAGTCCCAGCTACTCGGGAGGCTGAGGCAGGAGAATGGCGTGAACCCGGGAAGTGGAGCTTGCAGTGAGCCGAGATTGCGCCACTGCAGTCCGCAGTCCGGCCTGGGCGACAGAGCGAGACTCCGTCTCAAAAAAAAAAAAAAAAAAAAAAAAAAAAAAAAAAAAATCATATCGGATTCATACTGTTGCAAGCAATTACAATTTCTTACCCACAACTTCATGAGAATGTCATACAAGGTGGGTGCTGCTCTGTCAAATATTTTGCAGTAGTTGTGAAAAGGTTAGTCCCTAAATACTGAAAGTAGATTATACTGCTCCAGTGGAAAGGGACTTTGTAGCATGGTAGTATTTAAAGGTTAAAACTGTGCAACATTAGAGTTGACTTTACAGACAAATGTCAGGAAACTCATATCTGAGATTCCCTGTGTAATCATACCCCAGTCTTCTGGTGCAAGTTTATGCAGTATTTGTTGCAGTTTATATGACAGGTCGATCACTGGAGTAGTATGGACTTGCTGAGGTAAGAGTCACTGGAGTAGCATAGACTTGCTGAGGGAAGAGTAACTGGATTGACTTAAAGCAACATACTGCTTTAACAATAGTACAGAGATTCTGGGTTGCTTACAACATTTAATTACCTCTTCCTGACACACCCCTTTTCTCTGGTTACACTCTAAATTCGCATTTCCACATGCTCGTAAGCTTTTTATATCACAGTGGAAACATTTTAAAGCTGAAGCAGAGGAAATCCAACCCAGTCTTCCTCTTTTTCCTCAAGTTTACTTTCTCCCAATAGTCATCTGGAATTGGTCACCACAGCTTCATCTTAAAATAATTGGGGAAAGTCAGTGGGCAGGGGGGTTGTGGGGGGGTCTCTGCTTGCTTTTAGAAGACCTTACAATGCAGTCAGACACACACACAAGAACATAAAGAAGCCATCAGGAAAGGGAGAGAGAATATGGAGAAGGGTTTTATAAAGATTAAGCAGGAAACATCAGCCTCTAAGTTTTATGGGCTGCATGCAAAGACCACTTTGTCAATCCTAGTGTCACATCTGATGGACAATTCCTACCTATATTTTAGAGGGGTAGGGCACTTCTCTGAATTCCATTGCTAGTTCTAAATATACCCCTAAAGCAGTGGTTCTCTATGGGGATGTGATTCTCCCCAATCCTGCCAAGGGGACAAAGGTCAACACCTTTAGACATTTTTGGTCATCACAATAGGGGGATGCCACTAGCATCTAGTGAGTAGAGGTCAAAAATACTGCTAAACATCCATCCTACAACGCACAAGACAGCCCCACAAGACAAGGAATTGTCTGGGCCAAAAGATCAACAGTGCCGAAGCTGAGATACCCTGATCTACAGCAAAGAAACCTTATGGAATTTACTTAGCTGTATTCATGAAACAAAATAAAAGTTCTGGAATGCAAAATTGGTTTTATTCTTTCTTGAAGAGCTGAAACTAGTCATTACAGTCAGGCATCACAACCTCCTACCCCAGATAAAAATATCTTCCATTTATATCTAATAAAATCTATCTCTGATAAAGTCTATCTCAAGTGTCTTCTTTGATTATTAACCATAAAAATTATTGACAATTAACCTTAGAAACTTTGAAAATAATCTATGAATGGTAGATTTCTAGAAGAATTCATAAGCCTAAACAGGACAATTACGAGATAAAAATAATTTTCATATTCAAATGGTAATTTTTCATAAACAAATTAGCATGAAGTAATAAAACCTTACAAGAAATGTCAATGCTCAGGATGACAACATCTGCAGTAGATGCTAATTTACTCTAAAAAAAGACAAACATGTTTGAGATGAATTTCCCAAAACAGAATAAGTTTGATGAATAATGAAGAACATTCATTCTGTAGCCCCTGTACTCAAGTATTGAAAATAAGCTTGATCTGTTAGAAAATATCAGAAAGCTAACAGATCCAACGTCCCAGCATCCAAAGGAGGGTAAAATCATTATTGGGCAACAGATGGTCAACGAATCATGGAAAACAAAAACACTAATAAGTAAGACATTATTGAAAGTAAACATTGTGTTTCAAGACACCATCAAGAAAAACAAAACCCAAGCCACAGAATAGGAGAAAATGTTTGCAAATTATATATCAATAAGGGACTTGTAACCAGAATATATAAGAACTTTTTCATTAATAAGAAGACCAGAAAACCAATTTAAAAGCGGGCAAAAAAGAGCCAGGCACGGTGGCTCATACCTGTAATCCCAGCACTTTGAGAGGCCAAAGTGGGCAGATTGCTTGAATCCAGGAATGTGAGACAAGGCTGCCCAGCATGGTGAAACCCTGTCTCTACCAAAAATACAAAAAATTAGCTGGGTGTGGTGGCACACACCTGTAATGCCAGCTTCTTGGGAGGCTGAGGCACAAGAATTGCTTGAACCCCAGAGGCGGAGGCTGCAGTGAGCCGAGATCACACCACTGCACTCCAGCCTGGGCAAGAGAGTGAGACTCCGTCTTAAAAAAATAAAATAGTTAAAAAAAAAAAGTGGGCAAAAAAGATTTGAATAGACATTTCACCAAAGAAGATATTAAAATGGACTATATGAACATGAAAAGATACTCAACATCATGAGTTATTAAGGAAATGCAAATCAAAACCACAATGAGATACTACTTCACATCCACTAGAATGGCTATAACAAAAAATACTGACAATAACAAGTATTGTTATTGTCCAAAGATACGGAGAAATTAGAATCCTCACTTATGGGAATATAAAATGGTGCAGCCACTCTGGAAGAAAACAGTTTGGCAGTTTCTTAAAATACCAAATATAAATTTACCATATGACCCAGCAATTCCACTCCCAGGCATCCACCCAAGAGAAATGAAAACAGATGTCCCATGAAAACTTGCACAAGAATGTTCATAACAGCATTATTCACAATAGCCAAAAAGTGGAAACAATCCAAATGTCCATCAACTGATGAATGGATAAACAAAATGTGGTATATCCATACAATGGAATATGAAGTACATGCTACAATATAGATGAACTTCAAAAACATTATGCTACGTGAAAGAAGCCAGACACAAAAGACCACATATTATGATTCCATTTATATAAAATGTGTAGAAAAGGCAAATCTATAATGACAAAAAGTACATTAGTGGTTTCACGGAGCTGAGGAGTGACTGCAAATAGTCACAAAGTTCCTTCTGGGATGACGGAAATGTTCTACAATCAGATTGTAATGATGGTTGCACAAATCCGTAAATGTATTAAAAAACACTGAATTATACAATTAAAACAGGCAGATTGTATACTACTTATATTCCAAAAAGCTGCTAAAAACCACAGAAACTGGGAGATACTGACCCCATTACTAATAAGGTAGGTGAGTGAGACACATAATATTTTAGGTACTTAGAACAATGGATGGCACATGTGAACAAATCTGGTCAATATTCATGGAATGAAGTTAACTTGTTTAAAGTCAGATCGCTTAAAAAAGGATAGAATTCAGTACTCAATCCACAGATTTTTTTTCCCCCACAGAAATCCTATACAACCCCAGGAAAATTCAGACAGAACAGCCACCCTGTTACATCAAGATCACAGTGTTGTTTATTACCAAATGATCAAACATTTTCCTGATCTCAGCAGGCTGGAGTTTGATCCAAATACAGTGACACTTTTTTCCACTTCTGTGTCAAACCAGCCATCAGGTCTGTATGGAAAATTAAACTCTAAATAGGTTTTTGTTACTGAACCTAAAATATCATAAAGCCTCTTTAATAGTTTCACAACAGGCCAGGTGCGCTGGCTCACACCTGTAACCCCAGCACTTTGGGAGGCCAAGGTGAGCGGATCAGCTGAGCTCAGGAGTTCAAGACCAGCCTGAGCAACACGGCAAAACCCCTTCTCTACAAAAAATACAAATATTAGCCAGATGTGGTGGCATGAGCCTGTAGTCCCAGCTACTTGCGGTGGGGTCGGGGGGCTGAGGCAGGAGAATCACTTGAGCCCGGGAGGCGAAGGCTGCAGTGAGCCGAGATTGCACCACTGCACTCCAGCCTGCGTGACAGAGGAAGATCCTGTCTCAAAAAAAAAAAAAAAAATGAAAAAACAGTTTCACAACTGTCCTGGTCCATCTTAATCTATATCAATATTGACTCCTGAATAAGAATTATTAGAAACGTATTTGTGGTATCTGTGTGTACTGGCTCCAACATAAATACAATGTTATGTCCAAATTTAAAACAATTTTCATACCTTTGAGAGATGAAGCCTGCTAGACTTCCTGGGTCGAGTGGGGACTAGCTAAAGGATTGTAAACACACCAATCAGCACTCTGTAAAAACACACCAATCAGCACTCTGTGTCTAGCTAAAGGATTGTAAATGTACCAATCAGCACTCTGTAAAAACACACCAATCAGCACTCTGTGTCTAGCTAAAGGATTGTAAATGCACCAATCAGCACTCTGCAAAAACGCACCAATCAGCACTCTGTGTCTAGCTAAAGGATTGTAAATGCACCAATCAGCATTCTGTAAAATGGACCAATCAGCAGGATGTGGGCGGGGCCAAATAAGGGAATAAAAGCTGGCCACCCAAGCCAGCAGCAGCAACCCGTTCGGGTCCCCTTCCACGCTGTGGAAGCTTTGTTCTTTTGCTCTTTACAATAAATCTTGCTGCTGCTCACTCTTTGGGTCCGTACTACCTTTATGAGTTGTAACACTCACCGTGAGGGTCTGCAGCTTCATTCCTGAAGTCAGCAAGACCAAGAACCCACTGGGAGGAACAAACAACTCCGGACACACCACCTTTAAGAGCTGTAACACTCACGGCGAAGGTCTGCAGCTTCACTCCTGAAGTCAGCGAGACCACGAACCCACCAGAAGGAAGAAACTCCGGACACTCACAACGAGGGTTCACGGCTTCATTCTTGAAGTCAATGAGACCAAGAACCCACTGGAAGGAACCAATTCCAGACACACCTTGACCTTACAAAAAATGATTTTATATCAGATTGCATTATTTGTTGAGTATCATTATTTGTTGAGGAATTACTGGGGCATATTCCTAAAGAGAAAAGGCAGTAAGTTGTTTAAACCAAATGACCACTGCATACTTTCTAGATTTTTACCTTTTGCCATACAAAAACAAAGCAGTTAAATGGTCCAGAAATAAAAGTCTGATTCTAAACATGCTCAGAACCCTCCAGGATGATAAAATATTTTCTGTATCATAAGTGGTTTTGTACAATATGGGCTGATGTGTAATACTTTTCCACTGGTATTTCTCCTCCTACTCTCCGCCACCCCCTCATTTACGGTATGCCATTTAATGAAAGGACACCTTATAATCATTTCACACATCAACAATATCTAAAAGACTAGTCTAAAACTTCGCACGAAAAGTCAAATTCTCTACTCTACAAGTAAGGAAACAAACTGTATACCAATAGAGTCATTTTCATTTATTATTTAACTTATCACACTTTATCTACTAAGGCTTCAACTACCATCAAAAAATAAACTAATTGTAAACTGATTTTGAGAGCCATAGTTTTCATTTTAATAGTAAAATCACCTACTGCAATTTCTCCTACTGCTTGCTACCTGCACTCTGAATCCACACAGTCTAGTTGCTAAGTTGACCATATTTTACATGTATAGAACTGGAATTGAATCTTAGCTCCCCAGCTTTTGGGAACTGAACAACTTTGGGAAACCACAGCTTTACTGAACTTTAACTTCACATACACACATACTGGAATGTAATGTGGACATGTTTTTTTTAAGTCCCTTTGGGTCTGGAGAAAGTATGAACATTTATGCTTCTCCTCCTCTTTAGATTGATGACAACCTCCCTCTTTTAATAAACATAAAAATCAATCCTTCTTTTAATGTTGGTTGAAAAAATGTAAATATATTAAGTATCATAGCTAAAAACAATCAGTTCCCTCACCCCAGTCATCAGTTGAAATCACTGCCCTCATCTGACCATCTACTGAATCACTCTGTGATGACAACTCTAGGCCCTTGTGGTACATCTTGCTGGCCCAATCTTCCATTCTTTGAAGAAAATAAAGACATGGAAATATACAATCCAATCAAAGGCAGAATCCTCTTACCACAACAAAATAAGTAACTTTGCTTAAGTAAAAATTACTTATTCCCAGAGTAAACCAAAGAGTGCACTCAAAATACTTAAAGAAGCTACAGAAAAACACACATTTGAAGACTCAAGCTTTTATCCCCATTCTGTTGCTAGACAATGGTGTCAAAGCAGCACAATAGCCTCTACCTTTGAAATAACAATGTTCTCTTTAGTAAATTACTTCAAGATACTTTTGCAAGTATAGGAGTCTGACAGACCTAGAAACAAATTCCCAATCTTGCAGAAGAATGCATGTTTTCCAAAGAAGCAATGTCATGAATATGGCTGGCTTTCCTGTGTAACTCTCCAAGGCCTAGTTTACCCATTATATAATTGTGCTTTCTGGTTTTGCAGTTTCAGAAACCTGAGGACCGGAGGGTTATTTCTATGGGTAAATGCATGTGAATTTCAAACACAAAAGGTTAAATTTTCTACTCCATAACTAAATTTTCTACTCCATCTACTGCAACCTTAAAATAAGGCTTGATTCCTAAGTTTTCAAAAACTAAAAGAGAAAAAACATTAAGTCAAGTTAAGAAGCATTATATAAATCTTGCATAAAAATAAGTAACATAATAACCCAGAAATTTTTTTTTTTAAGACCGGGTCTCACTCTGTCACCCATGCTGGAGTGCAGTGGCGTGATCTGAGCTTACTAGAACCTCCACCTCCCGGGTTCAAGGAATCCTCCTGCCTCAGCCTCCCGAGTAGCTCAGATTACAGGTGTGCACCACCACACCCGGCTAATTTCTGCATTTTTAGTAGAGATGGGGTTTCACTATGTTGGCCAGGCTGCTCTCGAACTCCTGACCTCAGGTGATCAGCCCCCCTCGGACTCCCAAAGTGCTGGGATTACAGGCGTGAGCCACCATGCCTGGCCAATAACACAGAATTTTACATCTAGAAGAGATGTTAGAAATGATCTCAAATAACCCTTTATTTTTAATGTTAATCCTGTACGGTAAGAATCACCAATACATAGCATCTCTGAGTTCACTCAATTGAGAAAATAAAAATCCAGACACTGTTAGACTACCTATCAGGTATGCATAATGCTCTTTTTTAATATGTATTTAATTTAATACACATATTAAATAATGCTCCATTTATTGGTTTCGATGGCAACAATTTTTTTCCCCTCCATTCAGAATTAAGACTTTAATCATCCGAAGTGGCAATGTGAGCATATTTTAAAACCGTTTAGGGGTTAATCGTCTCTCTCATTGCTTACACCAGTGCCACCACCTTAAATTAAAATAGTTCTGACTGCTAAGGAATCTCAACACATTACATTCACACATTCCTATGCATATAAATCCTGAATTTGAACATATGCTCCAGCACCTGGGCAAGTCATTTAGTATTTCCAAAGCACAGTTTCTTCATCTGCAAAATGGACACAACCTACCTTCACAGGGATACAAAGACCAAACTAAATGTGAAAACATGTTTGGGAAGAGTACAGATATACATATAAATGCTTGCTATGATTATAAGAGCTCTAAATTTCTACATTTCACTAAAAGGAAGAATTTTGTTCAGATGTAGAAACTGAATGAACTACAGTTGCTGAGTTGGCATTACACACTTTAAAACCAAACAAGTTTCCAGGGACTTTTCTATCTAAAGTTCCTTCTAGGGAAGTAGAGTAAGATGTTAAAACTTACATATCTTCATTTTAATATTTTCACAGGTGGACCATACACTTTCTTTCTTTCTTTTTTTTCTTTACTGGAGACTTTGAGGCAGGGTCCCACTGTCACCCAGGGTGGTGTGCAGTGGCATGATCTCGGCTCACTGCAACCTCTGCCTGCTGGGTTCAAGTGACCCTCCTGCCTCAGCCACCTGAGTAGCTAGGATTATAGGCACGCACCACCGTGCCCAGCTAATTTTTGAATTTTTAGTAGAGACGGGGTTTCTCCATGTTGGCCAGGCTGGTTTTGAACTCCTGACCTCAAGTGATTTGCCTGCCTTAACCTCCCAAAGTGCTGGGATTACAGGCGTGAGCCACCATGCCTGGCACATGGAGGATACACTTTCTACATTCCTCTCAAGGGCAGGAACAGTATCTTAGGCATTATTTTAGCTGCAGTAACTGGAACAGAGACTGTCTCTGTGTTTAATAAATATTCATCAGAATATACTTTTCCAGAATAAAGTAAAACTTTTGTAAAATATATGTGAGGTGGAAAGAGCTCTGGCCATGGAGTAGATATTTGCTCTCATATCGTGTATTACAAGTCCCTCAAGCATCCTGAGGCTTCATTTCCCTTTAAAAAATCTACCCTGTCGCCGGGTGCGGTGGCTCATGCTTGTAATCCCAGCACTTTGGGAGGCTGAGGCGGGCAGATCACGAGGTCAAGAGATGGAGACCATCCTGGCTAACACAGTGAAACCCCGTCTCTACTAAAAAATACAAAAAATTACCCGAGCTTGGTGGTGGGCGCCTGTAGTCCCAGCTACTCAGGAGGCTGAGGCAGGAGAATGGCGCGAGCCCAGGAGGCGGAGCTTGCAGTGAGCCGAGATCGTGCCACTGCACTCCAGCCCAGGCAACAGAGTGAGACTCCGTCTCAATAATTAAAATAAAATAAAATAAAATAAAAAATCTACCCCGTCAGTAATGCCCCTTTTATCCGATGTCAGACATCCACCCAGAATACTGCAAATAAGGCCTTTGAGTGACAAAAAGAAAAAGTTTCTAATGAAGTCCATGCATGCACTTTATGCATAGTAGAGGCCTACTGATTCTTATTTTAAGTGCGTGTGTGTGTGTGTGTGTGTCTGTGTGTGTGTGTGTGTGTGTATTTGAGACAGGGTCTCACTCTGTCACCTAGGCTGGAGGGCAGTAGCACCATCACAACTCACTACAGCCTCGATCTCCCAGGCTCAAGCAATCCTCCCACCTCAGCCTCCCAAGGAGCTAGGACGAAAGGCACATACCACTATGCCCGGCTAATTTGTTAACATTTTTATTTTTATTTTGTAGAGACTAGGTCTCCCTATGTTGCCCAGGCTGGTCTTGAACTCCTGTGCTCAAGTGATCCTCCCGTCCTGGCCTCCCACAGTGTTGGAATTCCAAGCATGCACCACTGCATTTGGACTGTTTTAAGAATAATTCTAATAAGCTGTTACTTGGTTATATTTCCCACTGGTGGTTAAAAGCACTAAGATAGATCAGATGTCCAAAGAAAGAGAAATTGGAGAACCCTAAAGGTTTCTCTCGCTGATACATGAAGTAGAACCAAACTTTCCCAAAAAGGTAGATCCAATTCAATCCAAAACTATTCCACGGCCTAATATCACCGAACACTTGACAAAATATTATGCGGGCTCCATCTCTTACCTCAAAATTAGAGTCAACCTGTGATTAATTTAATCCCAGCTTTAATTATAGTCAAAGAATGAATGCTCAGCAAATACTTCATTTTAACGCTATCCACTGCTACCCTATTCACAACCTTGGAAGAAATTATAAGCCCTCTTTTATGGTTCACTTTTCCTTATTCAAGTAATCTGCTCACTAGCTGTTCTTCTTTTATTTTTTACTACACGACAGTAACGAGTTGCAATGGAAAGGTCATCTGATCTTAACCCGAACTGGAATTATCTAAGAGCATTTTATATACAGAGATAAAATGGATTATTTTACAGAATTAATTTTACCCCCAATAATGCTAATACACTTTACAGAAGTACAATGTTACTATTTGCTAACTACAGGTAATCAGCTACTTCAAGGCAGGGACCATGTTTGCCGATTGGGATCATTAAAGCACACAACAGAGCACCATAGCATTTAGAATAATTAATATTCCTGAGATTGTCTTGAAAAGACTTCCATGTATCGCTAATAGGATTCCTAATGCATGTAAGTCTTTTGGAAAGTTAGTTACATCTTTAAGAATCTTGAGCAAATTCTGGTTTATTCACTAGATGGATATATGTGAGAAACTAATTTTTGATAAATCTGAGGATAAGAACTGTGTATTTAAAAAATTTTTAAAAACAGAAAAAATTGTGTATTAAATGTAATTACAATTATTTCTTTTTAAGAAACTGCAATGGAAAAAAAGACTGGAAAGAAATGTTAGCAGTATTTGTAGTTGGGTAATGAGACTATGGCTATTTTCTTTTCTCTGTATGCTAAATTTTACTTAGTATGCACTAGTTTTACAATGAAACAATTAAAGAAAAAAGAGGAAGGAAGGAAGAAAAGAAGGAAGAAAGGAGGGAAGGGAGAAAATAGGAAGGAGCACTGCTTAAAGGTAAGAAAATGGCCTAATTAGACCAGTTAGTAACCACTTAGTTAAATGCTATAATTAAGCTTTTACCCTAGCAAGGAACTTTCTAAGTGATCACAAATGATAACTAAGTCATATAATATCTGCACTGAAGGGACATCTTACCTAATTCTGTCATTTGACAGGTGTAGCAAAGAAATTATAATTATACAATGCTTTACAGTTTACAAAGTGTGTTCAAAATGTCACATCATCTGTCCTTCAAATACTCCTGAAATAGGCTCATATGCCCCATTTTAAGGATCAGGAAATTGAGGGTTACAGAGATAGTAATGTGCCTTAATAATAATGTCTATGATTTATCAAATGTTTACTATGTGCCAGACTCGGGGATAAGCACAATCTTGCGAAAATTATCCCTATTTTATAGATAGAAGGTGAAGGGGCCGGGCGCGGTGGTGACTCACACCTGTAATCCCAGCACTTTGGGTGGCAAAGGCAGGCAGATCACTTGAGCCCGGGAGTTCCAGACCAGCCTGGGCAACATGGCCAAACCCCGTATGACGGGGGGGGGGGGGGGCAATTAGCCGGGCGTGGTGGCACACACCTGTAGTCCCAGATACTTGGGAGGCTGAGGTAGGGGGATGGCTTGAGCCCAGGAGGCAGAGGTTGCAGTGAGCCGAGATAACGCCACTGCACTACAGCCTGGGCAGCAGAGTGAGACCCTATCTCAAAACAAAAATAAAAAAAAGGAGAGAAAAGAGAAAGTGAAGGGTAGCCAGGCACAGTGGCTCACGCCTGTAATCTCAGCACTTAGGGCGGCCAAGACAGGAGGATCACTTGAAACCACGAGTTGGAGACCAGCCTGAGCAACATAGCAAGACTCTGGCTCTACAAAAAATAAAAAAATTAGCCAGGGTTCGTGGTGTGAGCCTGCAGTCCCAGTTGCTCGGGAGACTGAGGCAGGAGGATCGCTTGAGCCCAGGAGTTCGAGGCTGAAGTGAGCTATGATCGCATCACTGCACTCCAGCCCGGGCGACAGAGCAAGTTCCCGTCTCTTTAAAAAAAAAAAAAGAAAAGAAGGAAGGAATGTAGGTAGGTTAGGTGACTTGCTCGAGATCATACAGCTAAGTCACTGCTCTGATTCTAAGCCATACACTTAAAACAGAAGTCTTGAGTTACCTATAATTCAACTTCACAGAGCCCTTTAGTAGAGTTGGCTTATTATCCAGTCCCATGTTCTCTCTTTTAAGAGTTAGTAAGTCTGACAGCCATTATGAGGGTCTACAAGCAAAAGCACTAGCCCAATCATACCCAAAAACTCATGTTGGCGGAGAGCCCATGCCTCAGATGAAAGGCGTGAATAACTAGAGTGGAGCGGACAAAGCTAACAAGTCTTATAATGTACACATTAAGAAGCAGAATAAACTTCAGAGTAAATACGCAGAATAAACTTCAGAATTCAGAGTAAACACTCTCTCCCGGAGCAGCAAGGATAACAACATCACGATATCAACAATTCCAGCACCTTACACTCCTGTAACCTAGCGCAATTTCCGGAGAGCCTTCAGGTTCATCTCAACGGATCCTCGCAAAAACCTGTGGCCTGGGCTGAGCAGAGCGGGAAATCAGTCTCACTTTACACAGGAAGCCGAAAGGAACGCCGAAGAAGGCCGAGTGGGCAGAAAAGCACGAGATTAAGAGATAGGGGCAGCCACCTGGGGAGACTGGGCGCCTCCACTGACTGGAGGAAGAACGCAGGGCCCGCTGCGGGGACAAGGCCCAGAGAGGCCGTGGTGCTGGGTCCGTCGCCCGCTGAGGCTCAGGGGCCTTGGAGGTCGGCCCAGGCGCCTATCTACTCACGTTGGACCAGCTGGTCTCCTGAGAAGACGGAGGAGCAGCTGGTGACTAACGCACAGGGTACGCCAGCAGCCATAGCTGCGCTCGCGAGCCGGTTCCGTCAGGCAGCCGCTTCCGCCTTGGGCTGCACCACGGCCGCCGGCGCGAGGGGGAGACAGGCCGGAGAGGGCGTTCTCGGAATGACCAGGCTGGCCTGACCCCGCCCCTAGACCCCCTTCCGCTCCCAGCGTGGAACAGGCCAGGTCGCGCGCGGTGTTGCCATGGGGACGAGCGGCTCCGGCTGAAGGTTTCCGTGCTTGGAAACCGCGCCTCCGCGGAGGTAGCCGTTCCCTGACCTAGCCATGGCACAGAACACTGAAAACCACGACCCTGTCGGATCCATCTTAATCCAGGTGGGAAACGGGCTTCCCCCGGCCCTGCCCTGCCCAGCCGCGCCACTTCCGAGCGAGGTCCCGCGCGCCGATTCACCGACGCTCACCCATTTGGTGCGCCGCCCCTAGACTCCCTCCAACTCGCGAGAGGCTCCCAAAAATGCCCACCCAGACCTTCCCCCACGGCCCAGCACACTCCCGGTGACTTACCCTGTAGGTTACGCCCCAGAAGCAGGACTTTCTGCCTCTGGGAAAACTCTAAAACCGTTCACCCGGAACCTTTACTTCAGAAAAATTAACCTCACGCTGAGGCATCATTTTTAAATGTTATATTCTGAAAAATTTGAACCCATGACGTCGGGAGTGGAGGAGAGACAAATCGGACACTCTAGGAGGTGATAAGAAATTTGGAGACAAATTGAAATATGTGAATTGCTTTTCTTAAACACCCCAGTTTTTTAGATCTAAATGTTCCTCATTGGAGAACACACAGAAAAATCAAGATAACTTGGAATGAAAAAATGTGACATTTAAAAACTTAGTGAAAGACCTTTTTAATTTGAGAGGGGAAATGTCAAGAAAGTCTTGTCCAATACAGCTCAATTTGTAATAGTTGCACTCAGATGTTTCTGAAATGATCATGGCATTTTGTTTTCACATTTATGTGAGGTAACTTTAAGATATTTCCACATATATCATCGGTTTTAACTATCACATATATAATAGCTGCATTTGACTAAGTCTTGAAGTCATTTGTCTAAGGTCACTCTGTCAGGACTGTCACTCAGTTGGTCTGAAGTGGGTCTTACTCGTCAAAGGGATCTAATTTTTCTGGCAGAATTTTGATCTCTTACCTCCCATCTAGGAGAGACTTCCCTAAATGTACCTTTTCCCAAATACAAGCCCCTGAACTCACCAATTTCATAGACTTCCCCATTAAGAATCATACCTAATCTTACCTGATCTTTTCTCACCCTCACTTTCACCATCACGCAGCAATGAGTTTAGCCAAACTGCGAAGTCTGAGGGAACGGTCCACAAAAAACTGCCCTAACTTCAACACTCACTACCTGCAAGTTCAGGGGTCCCCAGAACCACCTCACTTCAGACCAGCTGGGTACAAACTTAGGGGCCCCATCACCACCCTCACATTCAATGATTCACTAGAACTATTCGCAGAGCTCAGGGAAGTGCTGTGCTCACATCTCCAATTTTATTATAGTGAAGGCATACAAATTAATCAGCCAAGGAAAGAGATGAATAGGACAGAGTCCAGGAGGGGTACAAACATAGAGCTTTTGGTCATCTTATCCCTGTGGAGTCATTGACGTCATTACCTGCATTACTTCCTCCCAGCCATGATATGTGACAATATGCATAGAATATTGCAACTAGAGAAGCTTATCTGAGGCTTTGATGTCCAGAGTTTTTACTGGGGCTCAATCTCACACTGCCCTTGTGGTTGACCATTAATCTCCAGCCCCTCCTGAATACTTTTAGTTTCCCGCTGCTCCAGAGGTCTGAGCTGATACAGCGTGGATCAAAACACCCATTATAAATCATGTTGATAGACTGTCTGGTGGCCAAAGCCCACAGACAAAGACACTTCTATCAGGCAGGACATCCCAGGCGCCTAGAGATCACCTCCCAGTAGCCAGGAGCGAAGACTGGACCCCTCTTTGGGTAAGGTTAATTCTTTGCTGCACATACCCACTCTTTTTATAGATTCCAAATAATTAGAACAATAATGGAGACTCTTACCTAGGATACAACATTATAGTAATAGATAACTGTTGACACTGACTTGTGAGATGGGTCAGAAGAGCTAATAGTCATATCCATGTTGATCTGCACCCCTACTTATTTAAAAGGATTCCTGTGGACATATCAAGTAAAGGGCTGTGTAGAGGAAGAGAGCCTACCTGTTAACCAGATTATTAAGACTGATTCCTGTATAGTATAAAATTCTATTCTCTACATGTAGAATATGTATAGTGAGGAAATTTGGAAGACTTTCCCTACTTTCTCAGTGAATCCTGAGAATGTGTGAGTATGTAGCACCACCCAACTGTGCCAACGTGGATTCCACTTCTATTTGGGGCTATGATTTATTTCCCTCAGACAGGCTACCAATAATTAGTGTGTCTAGTGGAAAGCACTTGATAGGGAGTCAGAATACTGAGATCTGACCATGACTTTGACAGTCTCACAAGTAGTGACTTTGAGTTAGGCACTCATCTCTCTGGACCTCACTTTCCTCTTCCATAGGACATATAGTTTGGATTAGGTTCACTTCTGACTTTAAATTGTCCCAATTTCCCCAGGCTACATCATTTACTGTAAAAGTAGACTTCCTTTGTTGTTAGCCTAGGCAATCAAATTGTTTCTGGCAAGTCAGTGACTGAGTGAGTGTGTGTGTGCAATAGACTGTAAAGCAGAGGTACTTTAAATTTCTACTTGCTTCACCCTAATATGGTCAGTTACGTCTGTGTATCAGTCAGATATATTAAACAGCTTTTTAGACCAGTGGTTCTCAAAGGTGTTGTAAGTATTATTTTTTAGCTCCAGTTTACAGAAGACACTTAGGTACAAAGAAGTAAAGCATCTTGCCCATTGTAATACATCCAGTATGTATTGATCCTTAAATAGGCTATGGCATGTTCATGAAGTAATCTTGAAGAAGTGTGATAGTGACTCTGGGAAGTTTCCAATCATGCTTTGTAAATCTTAGAAGCTTTGTTTTTATGCTTCATTAAAATGTGGTATATTCTTAATATATCTTTATAAATACTTGCTTGACCCAAATATTAAATGTTTGTGTAACAAATATTACCTGATCTTATGATTCAAAATTAGCTTTTTAATTAAAATCCAACAATTGTGTGTTAACACAAAAATCCAACAATTGTATGTTAACAATGATCTTGGAAATATGGGAGCTCAATTGACAGTTTGCTATTTTCATTCTTTCTGATTGTGTCTGATTTGTCAGGTGCATACAATATAAAAATGAATGAAGTTGGCCAGGCGTGGTGGCTCATGCCTGTAATCCCAGCATTTTGGGAGGCTGAGGCGGATGAATCACTTGAGGTCAGGAATTCAAGACCAGCCTGGCCAACATGGCAAAACCCCGTCTCTACTAAAAAATACAAAAATTAGCTAGGTGTGGTGGCAGGCACCTGTAATCCCAGCTACTTGGGAGGCTGAGGCAAGGAGAATTACTTGAACCTGGGAGGTGGAGGGTGCAGTGAGCCGAGATTGCACCAGTACACTCCAACACAGCAAGCAGCACAGCGAGACTCTGTGTCAAAAAAAAAAAAAGGCCAAGCGCGGTGGCTCATGCCTGTAATCCCAGCACTTTAGGAGGCCGAGGCGGGAGAATCACCTGAGGTCAGAAGTTCGTACACCAGCCTGGACAACCTGGTGAAACCCCGTCTCTACTAAAAATACAAAAATTAGCCGAGCGTGGTGGCATGCTCTTATAATCCCAGCTACTCAGGAGACTGAGGCAGGAGAATCACTTGAACCCGGGAGGTGGAGGTTGCAGTGAGCCAAGATCGCGCCATTGCACTCCAGCCTGGGGGACAAGAGTGAGACTTCATCTCAAAAAAAAAAAAAAGAATGAAGTTAAAGATAATTGAGGTGATGAGAATGACTCAGCCAAACTCTAGCAGAGATGAAGAAAATGGAATTTTATATTGCTTTTGACAATATAGAGTCTGGTTTCATGGCTCTTGTAAAGTCTAGAGCAAATCTTTGCTGCATTAAATCTTTCAAGGGCTTCTTATTAAGTAGCTCTGTCTCCAAATTGTCAAAATAATAATCTTTCTCCAAGTAGAAAATTTATGGAAAACAAGGTGTTTGATGATCACAGAGATGATGGATGATATGTAAAATTTCAATATGGTAGATTGGATCTATCTGAAGAAAGAGATTTAGAACTCAAATCTCTTTTTCTACCCAAGTCTGGTTAACTTTTTCTATAGTATTTGTCTCTATTGCAATTATACAAACAGATGAGTGGTTGTTAAGAGGGGAGGAGAAAATATCTAGCAAGAAAAGGAAAAACTCTTGAGAAAGATTAGGGAGCAAGTTATTCAATTAACATTTACGTAAATTCAATTAACATTTACAGGGTATTACTTATAGTGTAAGGAGTTTCACTAGGTTTTATAATTCAGAAGAGAATTAACATTTGTTCAGTGCCCTCCTATGTGCTTAACACTATACAAAGTACTTATATTTTTACTCATTTTATTCTTGCCACTGTTCTGAGATAGCTATTATTATTCCCATTTTACAGATGAGAACACTAAGCCTCTAAGAGGCTACATAACTTTCCCAAGTTCAGTTTAGTAAAGAAGGAAGAAGGATTCCAGTTCATATCTGTCAGCACCAAAGCCTATATTGATTCATTTTCATACATATTACCTCATTTTCATTCAACAGTTTTAAGTAGGGTAATTCTTTTTTATCCTGGACAAAGAAATTAGAAATTCAGAAAATTTAGATGTATATGGAAATTGTGTGACTAATAAGTGATAGAGCTAGACATTATATTCAGCTGCCTTTTATTGAGTTCTTGCTATGTACCAAGCCTATTACATACTATCTCACAACACTATGATGAAATATCATTGTCCACACAAGGCAGGTGAAAAGAAAACAAACCTTTGGTACAGTTTTTACTCCCTCCAGTAGTTGATAGACATAATTACAGAAAGATACATGGAGCTACAGATACTAGAAGAGGGAAAGTCAGTACATTCAAAGGAGGAACCAAAAAATGCAGGCCTAGAGAGGGCCTTGCCCTTGAACTGCCTCTCTGTACTTTCCAAATGTCTTCAGACAATAGATGGCAAATCAGCTTGCAGCAGTAATTTGGACAAAACAATAGAAAGAAGTATATCTTTATCTTTAGTGCTTACAAGCAAGCAGTAGGTGTATTCAGATTTCAATCTGTGAGCTCTGAAGGCCTTACATGACAATTTGTGAAGAGTACAAATGACCAGATGTGTCTGCCAGACTGTGATGCCCATCAGTGAAAAGGTGTAAATTCTGATCTTTTGAATAATTGGCTCCATGTGAACATTTGAGATTAATCAGTAATGCAGGCTGGATCAGTGTTCAGTCCAGTTATACTAACAGAGAAAAAGTAACTTCTTCAAAATGCCTTTAGCAACCCAATTTGCAGATTGTTATTGGTGTGACTATTGCTGAAACAGGTGTTGGGTTCATAAATTTGCATAACAAAATGTTTTTCTTGTGGCAGCAGCCCATACAATAATTGGTGCCATCTGTATTTATCTGAAGTTTGGTTTCTAATATGAATGCAGAGAATCTTGTGCTTTCAAATTTCATAGGGCCCATTTTATTCTGAGGGTGCCTGATGTTGGAGAGAAATCCATCATTTCCAAGGAAAATACAAATTGAAGGAAAAATGTTAAAGTAATAATATATGTTCCTTTTTCTTCAGGGATTATTTTCATTTCTCACTACATAAAACAAAATCAAGGTCAAACACCTACCAAACTCCTTCTTCAGAGCAGTAAGTGGGGAAGACCCAGCCTGGAATGGAAAACCAACAGGCACTGACAACACATTTACAATAGTCTTTTCAAAGACATTGCTTCTGCTACAACTTCTTTGCTGGAAGTTTTTTGTTTTCTTTCCTCTTAACCAATCTGTAGAAATTGGAGTCTGGCACAAACCTCTTATCATCTCTGACTGAACTCTTACCACTTAAGAAAGTAGAAACTATTTGAGTTGCAGTGTTATCTTAAATCTATTTCTCATGGGAGAAGGAAAAACAAATAATATGAAAGAATAATTTTTCACAATCTGAGAGACAATAATAGAGCATTCTCAATAAAGAATGCCTTAGAACCAGGCCAGGCATGGTGGCTCATGCCTGTAATCCCAGCACTTTGGGAGGCCGAGGTGGGAAGATCATGAGGACAGTAGTTTGAGACCAGCCTGACCAACATGGTGAAAGCCCGTCTCTACTAAAAATACAAAAATTAGCCGGGTGTGGTGGCAGGCACCTGTAATCCCAGCTACTCAGGAGGCTGAGGCAGGAGAATCGCTTGAACCTGGGAGGCAGAGGTTGCAGTGAGCCTAGATCACACCATTGCATTCCAGTCTGAGCAAGAGTGAAATTCCATCTCAAAAAAAAAAAAAAAAGAATGCCTTACAACCGTAAAAGTGGTCCTTTTCAATGAATACCATAAAATCAGCTTTGTGTCTCTACCAATTCAAGTACATTGCAAACCTTTAAGATAAATAACTGCTATAGGTGGACTATGTGTGGATTATTTCAATATTTTTCATTTTTTATACCTATAGATCCATGAAGACCTTTATCAGTTAAAGGAGAAATTAACAAAATTCTCACCTGAGGAAAAAGGAGAGACTCTAGACATTCAGAGTCTTGAAACAGCAATCAAAAGGACTGAAGTGGGGTTAAGAGTAAGTAGAGCTTTAGATATTAAAATACTGGAAGGAGACAAAGCATCCTCTAGAAGAAAGGAATTGCAGTTCTCATAGAGTCCTGCATAATTCTGTAACAAAGCTGAATTTAGGGCAGTCGTCAGCATTCTTGTTTTGTTATTTGTTCTCATAATTATTAACTGATTGATTTATATTCTGTCATATTTCACAAAGAATTTAAGTAGGTTAAATATAAGATTATGCAGTGACAACTCCTAAAATGTGGTTTTATAAAAATAACTTGGAGTATGAAAAATAATTACTATTACTTGATCTTAGCCAAAAGGCCAAGAAGCGATGAAAAATAATTACTGTCAATCCAACAATATGCCTGACCAATATATTGCAGATTTTCTGGAATTTACTGAGATTCTAAAAGAGAAGAGTTGGCTGGGCACAGTAGTGCAGGCCTGTAATCCAAGCACTTTGGGAGGCCAAGGCAGGCAGGTCACTTGAGCCCAGGAGTTTGAGATCAGCCTGGGCAACATGGCGAAACCCTGTCTCTACAAAAATTTTTTAAAAAATTAGCCAGGCATGGTGGCACACGCCTGTAGTCCCAGCTACTCAGGAGGCTGAGGTGGGAGGATTGCTTGAGCCCAGGAAGTTGAGGCTGCAGTAAGCCTTGATTTCCCCACTGCATTTCAGCCTGGGCTACAGAGTGAGACTCTGTCTCAAAAAAAAAAAGTATATAAAAAATAAGAGTTGACTTTCCCCTAATAGCCTAAATATTTTGAGCTATTCGTTTTTGTAACGTTATAATCAAATGGGTAAAACTAAAGAAATATACCAATATTGGGCCAGAGAAATAAAGTAAATAGGAACTTCATCATTACAAAGAGATCTAAGGTCGGGGAGAATCCAGTCTTTGGACCAGGATAATATTCATTTATGAAACAAGCTAATGGGGTCCATCTTCCATCAATCTCCACCTTCTATACCTCTTATTTTCAGTGTCTCTGCTCTTGATTCAGACTTTTAATCTACTATGTTATCTGCTTCATCTCTCAGCTCCCAAGGCTGTGAGAAATGTGGTATATTTTGTAGCACATCATTGTCATATTACCTAATGGTGAGAGGGATGGACCCAGCTGGAGTCTTTGGGTTGGCTCATTTAAATAATGTTTCCTAAAGACCAAATGCTTTCTTTGGATGCTTGCTTGAAGTCCCTGTAAAAAAAAGACATTACTCAATGTCTGTATTGCCTAGTAGATTTACCTGGCTAAAAATGCATTGACTATTGTGCACAATTTTATTTGTAAAGAGTGCCATACAGGCTGGGCAATATAGGGAAACCCTGTCTTTTTACAAAAAATAAAAAAATTAGCCAGGTGTGGTGGCATGTGCCTGTGGTCCCAGCTGCTCAGGAGGCTGAGGTGGAAGGATTGCTTAAGCCTTGGAGGCTGAGGCTGCAGTGAGACATCACTCCACTGCCCTTCAGCCTGGGCAACAGAGCAAGACCCTACTAAAAAAAAAACAAAAAAGAGTGTACCACAGGTCACTCAAGCTTTGAGTCTCAGTTTATTATGCTGGGATGGTTGAAGTAATTTGGCCTTGAGATGCCTAATGATACCTTAGGCACGTAATAATACATAGCATGTTGTGGTTTTGGCTTAATTACAGGATTCAGAGTATTAACCTAATGAAGTAAATTAGCTGAGTATCTTAAGTCCACAATAATTGCCTAAACTTTGACATTTCTGTAACAGATTCACATTGAGAAGTATTTAAATGTTGTAAACCAGAATGTATTAACGACTTCTGTTAATGATGAGAGCTTATATACTCCCCAGGCTTCCAAATGGTAAGTAAAATAGCCATTTAGAGCCCAAAGTAAATAAAATTGAGAAATAACTTTTCTCACTCAAGTGAGATGACTATAAAATATAGGCAACATTTTCTTGGCTTTCTTAACATCCTTTCTATTAATTCTAGTAGAGATTTTGCATAAGAAGTTAATGGTAGATCAAGTACAGTGAACATTGTTCAGGTGAGGGATACATTAAAACCAAGACTACACCATCAACAGTAGATACATGGAACAGAATTGTACTTGTACCCCTCAAGTTTATGCAGATTAAAAAAAAATAAGTTAATGGTAGAATTTGGACTTCAATGAAGTGATTATAGATTATTTCTATTGAGTTCTAATGCTTGACACCATAATAATTATTTCAATGTCCTGGGCTTTGCTGTTACTCTTTGTTGTTGTTATTTTATAGTGAAAGGTATCTAAAATTTAACTTTTAAAGGAAACATTTTAATGCAAATCAGTTTTCACACTTTTAGATCACCTGGTACTTTATGGTTTTTAGAATGTCTTATGTGCTTGATTATACAGATAATTTTGGTATCCAGGGTAAACAAAACAAAAATAAAACTTGCTTGAAATATCTATTATGTGCATCCTAAGAGATGATTTATTAAAATTAGAATTGAGTTAAAAATAAGTGACCTTGCCTTATCTTTGGACTTTTTACACACAGGCCTCCTGAATTTGAATGAGTGTAGATTAAGCTTTTGTACTAAACTTAAAAATCCTGTAGCCCTTATTTGTGTTTTATATATGCACCCAGCATAAATGAAAAATATTAGGCAGTGAAGTAAAGTTTCATAAACAGTGCACAAGTCAAGGAAAGCTGTAGACATAGCCAAGTCAGTACTAGGGAGCAGAGCTTTGGGTGTACATTGGACCTGTCTCCCTTTCCCTACATGAAGGCAGTGCCACAGGCATCCATCATCCTTTGGTAGAGGCAGCCCTTTCCTGGTCTTCCTATTGTTACCTGGACCTCCTTGCAGACATAAACATCTGTCATCTTTGTATTCAACACAGTTTCATCCCTACTGCCTGCAAGGCACTTGTATTAGTTATCTGTTGTTTAAGAAATCACTCATGTAGTAGTTTAGAACAACAAATACTTACAGTTTTTATGGGTCAGGAATCTGGGCACAGGTGAGCTAAGTGCATCTGCCTCAGGGTCTCTCACAGGCTGCAATATAAGTATTGACTGGGGCAATCTCATCTGAAAACTTGACAATGGGTGGAAGGACAGGGAAAGATCTGCTTCCAAGCTCACTCATATAGTTACTGGCAGGCCTTTGTTCCTCACTATGTGGGTCTCTCTTAAGCTGCCTGAGTATTTCTACAGCATGGCAGCTGGTGACCCAAAAGAGATCCAGAGAGTGGAAAAGAGTGCCCTAGATGGAAGCCACAGTCATTTTGTAACCTAATCTCAGAACTGGTATCACATCTACTCTGTTCTGTTGTTAGAAGTGAGCCAGTAGGTTTAGCCCACATTCAAAGAGAAGGGATTATACAAGGGCATGAATACCAGGGGGTGGGGATCATTGGGGGCCATCTAGGAGGCCAAATACCACTGTACTCCTCTATTTATCTTCATGATCCAGCTATGTTAGCTCACTCGCTCTCTCTCTCTCTCCCTCCTCCTTCTCTCCCTTTCTCTCTCCCTCCCCTACCATATGTATATATATATACAAGAGAGCCTACCAAGGCAAAGTTCAGTGCCTATATAGTTGGCAGCCAAGAGGCCTATAGCAGATAGAGAAGGTGTGTCATCAAAGGATCAAGCATACAAGCAGCAAGTAAGAAAGCCTCAGAATGGAAGGGGTGGGGAAAAGCAAACAGGAGAAGAGCTGTCACCAATTCTAATGAAAGAATCCAATACTCAAGTTCTACTGTCTCTGTCTTCCTCTTTATCCTTTCATCTTGACAGAGAACCAGGAGTCTGGACTGTAGATTTTCAGGTTATGATAGCTGAAAAGAGCTACCTAGGTAGCAATTGCAGCTACAGAGAACAAAACAGAAAGTATCTGGCAGAAATCTTTTCTTACACAGTTCTCTTTTGCCAAGGAGTGCCTTTGCTCCTTACTAAGGTCTGGAAGAGTGAAGGAAGACATTGACTGGGGCACGGAGTTAGTTCCCAGAAGTGGTACTTGGATCATATCTTTCCTATTCAGTACAGTAGTATAATCATTGGCCTTCTTACCAGGAAGATGGGGAGCCTGTCAAGTTTGTATGGGCCCTATAAACCTGGAGGAGTGGCATGAGCATCTCTCAGTCCTAGCTGTGAATGTGTAGGGCTAAAGTGGCATGCCATCAGAAATGAAATGAGATGGGACAAGGTTAAACGAAAAAACTGGAGAAAAATCCAAACTGGGTCTTCAAAGTAAACAAGCAGGTCCTGAGAGTCAAAATGAAAGTCACAGCGTGTGACTCAGTAGATGGGAATATATAGAAACAAGAGAATCCCAGAGATGGGAGACTATGGCCCGTGACTGACATTTTCTCTGCTCCCAATCATACCTGGTTCTGCACTTGCCCCAAGACGCTGTCATGAATAGACTTGGCTTCAGAGTCTGGCATGGACTGCTAGGAGATTATATCCAAAGCAGGTTACAGAGCCCAGAATTTCTTCAAGTTCTCATGCCTAGAAGGAGGAGATGGGACAATTCATTGCATTTTTCTTCTAAGGTTCCTTAACAAAGTCCTTAGAATATCCAAGTAGGAAGGTGTTTTTCATTTACCAATGGCACAACTCACTGAAGAGTGGGCTGCTTAATCACAATCTTGATCAGGGGGTCAAAGAGGAGACTTAACTTTCCTTAAGTTTTGAATTGGGACAGAAGCAGGACCTGGCCTTTTATTGACATAGCCATTGGTCAAAGGATTTGGGCATATATTCATAATATGTGTATAATTATTTATAAATTATATATTTTTATTATATATAGTGAATACATTATAAAATGTACCAACATATAAATTTTTAGTAAGATAAAGATAAAATAAGTATTTTTAAAAATTTTTAAAATTGTATGAATAGCACAAACCTTTTAGTTCTTGCTAACAGTGTTCATTAACTATAATGTTCTGGTTGCTTAATCTTGTTAATTATGATGGCTTTATACTGGCTGTAATTAATATCTCAAGACATCATACTCCGCTGGGTGCGGTGACTCACACCTGTAATCCCAGCATTTTGGGAGGCCAAGGCGGGCGGATCACGAGGTCAGGAGATCAAGACCATCCTGGGTAACACAGTGAAACCCCGTCTCTATTAAAATACAAAAAAAATTAGCCAGGCGTGGTGGCAGGCGCCTGTAGTCCCAGCTACTCAGGAGGCTGAGGCAGGAGAATGGCGTGAACCCGGGAGGCAGAGCTTGCAGTGAGCCGAGATTGTGCCACTGCACTCCAGCCTGGGCGACAGAGCGAGACTCCGTCTAAAAAAATAAATAAATAAAAAAGACATCATACTCTATACTTAGGTGAGGTTCAGCATTGATGATAGGTATAAGTCCATAATTTCAGTTAGTCTTCTAGATAATTTTTAAGTTTTGGGATTTTTTTGGCTGACTTTTCTTAAGTTGGATTGGATCATCATCATTTTTACTTTCTAATATGGGTGAAAAAAAAGCTCATGCTAAGAGTAAAAATGTCAACTCTCATTTTCTTGTTCATGGATGCTTATTATCTTGAAAATACAGTGTGCTTTTTGCAGAAAGCCTTAAGACACGTACGTTTTTTCAGTCTTAGCACACTTGAAATTAAATGACACAATTCATAAACCCACTGCATGAGTAAACTGCAGTCCATTCTAATGCGCTGAGAGCAGACGCACCAGTGCTGTTCCACTGTTTTGTGGTTTGGAGCCTCCACTCTCAGGTTGCCTCCAAAGCTGCAAGGGACGTTACCACATGAGGGATCGAGTGACAGGCTGAATATTGAATGGTAGTACAGAGTAATTTCTTATTTATTTCTTTTTTAATATAAACAGAAGTTCTTATACTTTCCTCACATGACCAATGGCATCATCTTATGTGTCACCTGGGATGTGGGTACTCTATTTGAGAGACAACAGGTCTAGAGTGATGGTTCTCAAACTTTTATTTGCAGTTTTCTTTCACTGGCTCTCAGGGGGGCATCCTAGCATCTGCATTTTAGCAAACATTCTTGGTATTTCTAATGCAGATGATTTGTCCTTGGAATCTCTGGGATGAGCATGACTGCCTGGAACCAATATATTTTTGGACATGTAGAGGGCCTTTCTCTGTATGATTGAGAGCTTGGTCCTGGAAATTCTACTACCCGGTTGCTATGAACGATTGGAGTGCCTCTTGCACTGGGATTGAGCCAGGACTGGAACCCGGCAGTCAGGCTAGCAGGAACTGCCAATGCCTGCTCAAACTGTGAGGCTGATTGAGTATCAGAGGCCAAAAGTCCCAGGGCAGCAACTCCTTCTGAGAGGGGAGGCATATAATGACTGCAGATCTCTGTTTGTTCCTTTGACAGCAGAGCACAGTTCCTATGAGTAACTGAGAATCAACATTGTTTAGATATGGGGCTTCACTTTATCTATGGAAACCCAGGAAATAGAGTTAATTCCAAATGAATACTATCCCTGGTCACACCTTTAAAAAAGATTTTAGAACAGATATGCAATAATGATCATTTTCATTGTCATCCTTATCAAGATCTTCATCATCATCATTAATATTTTCATAACACCCTTGACAGTTTGCAAAGGACTTTCTTTAAACTTACGAGGTAAATGTTTACTCTTTCCCTTTAAAGATGAGGAAACTGAGGCTCAGAGAGGTTATGTAAACCAGTCCTAGATCACATGCATAATCACTGATGAGGCTCAAGTCCTAATCAGATATCTACAACCTAGCACTCTTTTGCTCCATAACTGCCTGAAAATCAGAAAGCCTAATTGTCACAAAAGATAATTTTCCTTTTTAGCCAGCATTGCTTAAGGGAAAATCTGGTCGTTTTGTCTGGTAGAGACAAACCAGTAGGTACACAAAGTGGTGATAACGAATGCCAGCAAATGCAAGATTCTCCTAGCAGTAATCTTAAAACAACGATAAGGACGTTGTCAAAAGAGCTCAAAGTGCTTTTGTATTGTTTTCAAAATAGGTTTCACTGTTATCCACACTTTGGCAATGATTTTTCTTTTATGTCAAAGGATAGTTCCTCCTCTTACCATTGCTGGCTTTCACAAATTTTATTGCTTGTGATATCTGCTCACACTGTTCTTAATGACCATGATTTGCTTATTGACACTGGGAGGGTGACTGCCATCTGTACCAGCACTATCAGAACTGCACAGAAATCTTCATTTTATGTTCGCTCTGTTGTGCTACTATTTAGGAAAAGAAAAGAAAAGAAACAAGAACAAAGCAAGTAATAGTGAGAAAAAGTGAGGGGAAGAGGTTTTTTGTTCAATGGTGAGTGTAGATTAGAAGGTGCATTGTCATTCAATTATTGAAACACCATGGATCCTATCTATTCTGGGCTGTTCCAGTGCAGTTATATACGATATGACTACATTCTAGTCACAGAGAGAGAGGAGAGAGGAGAGAGGGAGAAAGCATGCATAACAAGATGTTAACACGTGGTAATCTATGTGAGGGGCATTCGCATGCTCACTGTTCTTTCCATTTTTCTTTGGGTTTGAAACTTTTTAAAACAAAAAAACAAACTTTTAAAACAGAATTATAAAATAAAACATAACAAACTGGAAAAACATTTGCAACAGATATGACACAAAAATTGCTAAGATTCTTAAATACAAAGTACACTTGCTAAAAAAAAAAAAACCAACACTTGATATAGACAGAAGGGCATCAACAGACCACTCACAGAGATGGAAATGCAAGTAACCAGTAAGCATGTGGAAAGTGTTTAATGCCACTGGTAACTGATGAAACACAAATGAAACAAAAATATCTCATCTTACAGATAAACCAGAGAAATGCAAATCAAACAATATATTACTATTTTTTCTTTAAAAATAAGGAAAACAAATTAAACCACTATAATACTCAGTGCTAATGAAGGTACAGCAAAATGGGCATACTTTTATCCTGCTGGTAGAAGTGTAAATTAGCACAAAGTTTTCTTCATTCAGCTTATTATTTCATTGATACATAATACTTGTATATATTTTCAAGGTACATGGGATAATTTGATACCTTCTTCTAATGTGTAAAGATCAAATCAAGGTAATTGGATTTTCCATTACCTTAAATACTTATTTTTTCTTTAAGCTAGAAACATGCAAATTATCTTCTAGCTATTTTGAAATGTACAGTAGAGTAGTGTTAACTATAGTCACCCTATTGATCTGTAAAACCTAGGTTTTATTTCTTCTCTCTAACTGTATATTAAACCCATTAATCAACCTCTCTTCAACCACCCCTCATCCCTCTCCTCCTTGCCTCTGGTAACCACCAATCTACTCTCCATATTCATGAGATCCACTTTTTTTTTTTTAGCTCCCACATGTGAGAACGTGAGATATATTTGTCTTTCTGTACTTATTTCACTCAACATAATAACCTCTAGTTCCATCCATGTTGCTGTGAATGACAGGATTCCTTTGTTTTTTATGGTTAAATAATATTCCATTGTGTATATATACCACATTTTCTTTATCCATTCATCCATTGATGGGCACTTAGGTTGATTCCAAGTTTTGTTCATTGTGTATAATGTTGCAGTAAACATGGGACTGGAAATCTCTCTTCAATATACTGGTTTCCTTTCTTTTGGATATATACCCAGTAGTGGGATGGCTGGGTCTTATGGTAGTTCTATTTTTAGTTTTTTGAGGCACCTCCATACTGTTTTCCATAGTGGGTATACTTTGCTGAATTCATTAATCAGTTCTAACAGTTTTTGGTGGTGTCTTTAGGTTTTTCTGAATATAAGATCATGTTGTCTATGAACAAAGCTAATTTGACTTCTTCCTTTCCAATTTGGATGCCTTTATTTCTTTCTCTTGCCTAATTGCTCTGGCCAGGATTTCCAGTATTATACGGAATAAACGTTGTGAAAGTGGGCATCCTTGTCTTATTCCAGATCCTAGAGGAAAGGCATCCAGTTTCTCCCTGTTTAGTATGATGTTGGCTATGGGTTTGTCATATATGGCATTTATTATTTTCAGGTATGTTCCTTCTATATCCAGTTTGCTGAAGGTTTTTTATCATGAAGGGATACTGTGGTTTGTATGGCTCCACCAAGTCCCATGTTGAAAGTTGATCCCCAATGTTAGAGGTGGAACCTGATGGAAGGTGTTTGGGTTGTGGGGGTGGATCTCTCATGAATGGATTGGTGCCATTCTCATGGGAGTGAGTGAATTCTACTCTTAGTCTCCATGGGAACTGGTTGAAAAGAGACAGGCACCTCTTCCTCTCTCTTGCTGCTTCTCTCACCATGTGATCTCTATGTCCTGGCTCCCCTTACCTTCTACCATGAATGGAAGTAGCTTGAAGCCCTGACCAGAAGCAGATGCTAGCACTATGTTTCTTTTACAGTCTGCAGAACCATGAGCCAAATAAATCTGTTTTTAAAAAAATTACCCAGCTTCAGGCATTCCTTTATAGCAACACAAACAGAATAAGACAAGGGATGCTGAATTTTATCAGATGCCTTTTAGCATCTATTGGAATGATCATATGGTTTTTTGTTCTTGATTCTGTTAAAGTGATGTATCACATTGATTGATTTGACTGTGTTATATCATCCTTGTATCCCTGAGATGAATCTCACTTGAAGTCTCGCTCTGTTGCCCAGGCTGGAGTGCAGTCGTGCAATCTTGGCTCCCTGCAACCTCCACCTTCTGGATTCAAGCAATTCTCCTGCCTCAGCCTCCCAAGTAGCTGGGACTACAGGCACACACCACCGTGCCCGGCTAATTTTTTGTATTTTTAGTAGAGACAGGGTTTCACCATGCTGGGCAGGCTGGTCTCGAACTCCTGACGTTGTGATCCGCCCAGCTTGGCCTCCCAAAGTGCTGAGATTACAGGTGTGAGCCACCACGCCCAGCCTATGGTGAATGATCTTTTAAATGTATTGTTGAATTTGGTTTGCTAGGATTTCGTTGAAGATTTTTGCATCTATATTTATGAGTGGTATTGGCCTATAGTTTTCTTTTTTGTTGTTGTTGTATCCTCATCTGGTTTTGGTATCAGCATAATGCTGGCCTCATACAATGAGTTTGAAATTTCCTTCTCTTCATTTTTTTTGAAGAGTTTGAGTAGAATTGGTGTTAGTTATTCTTTAAATGGTTGATAGGTAGAAATTAGCAGTGAAGCCATCAAATCATTGGTTTTTCTTAGATAGGAAACTTTTTGTCATGGCTTTGATCTCTTTACTCCTTATTGGTTTGTTGAGGCTTTCTATTTCTTTATGGTTCAATCTTGGTAGGTTGTAAGTGTCCAGGAATTTATCTGTTCCTTCTAGATTTTCCAAATTGTAAATTGTTGGGATATAGTTGTTCATAATAGTCTGTGATAATTCTTTGTATTTCTGTGGTCTCAATTGTTATGTCTCCTTTTTTGTTTCTGATTTTATTTATTTGGGTTTTATCTCTTTTTTTCTTAGTCTAGCTAAAGGTTTGTTGATTGTCTTTATCTTTTCAAAAAACCACCTTTTAATTTTGTTGATCTTCTGTATGTTTTTGTCTCAATTTCATTTATTTCTGCTCTAGTCTTTATTATTTTTTACCTTTTATTAATTTGGGGTTTGGTGTGTTCTTGCTTTTCTAATTCCTGGAGGTGCATCATTAGGTTGTGTATTTGAAGTTTTTATACTTTTTGATATAGGCATTTATTGTTGTAAACTTTCCTCTTAGGACTGCTTTTTCACTGCCCCATAATTTTGGTATGTTGTATTTCCATTTTCATTTGTTTCAAGAAATTTAAATTTCCTTTTTAATTTCTTTATTGACTGTCATTCAGAAGCATATTGTTTAGTTTCCATGTGTTTCTGTAGTTTCCAAGGTTCCTCTTGTTATTGATTTCTAGTTTTATCTCATTGTAGTTAGAAAAAAATACTTAATATGGTTTCTACTTTTTAAAATTTGTTGAGATGTGTTTTGTGGCCTAAGACATGATTTCTAAGAATGTTCTCTATTCTGGAGAACGTTCCATGTGCTGATAAAAAAGAATGTGTATTCTATAGCAGTTGGGTGAAATGTCCTTTAAATGTCAGTTAGACCTGTCTGGTCTAGTATGTAGTTTAACCTGAAAGTTATTGCTGATTTTCTGACTGGATGATCTGTCCCTTACTGAAAGTGGGGTGCTAAAGTCCCTTACTATTATTGTGTTGCAATCTATCTCTCTCTTTTGGCTCTGTTACAATGTTTGCCTTATATACTTGGGTGCTCCAATGTTGCGTGCATAGACACTTACACTTGTTCTATCTACTTGCTGAATTGACTCCTTTAATGATATAATGACCTTCTTTGACTCTTTTTACAGTCTTTGACTTGTAGTCCATTTTATCTATGTATAATTACTCCTCTTTTTGAGTTTCCAGTTGCATAGAATATCAACTCCATGTCTTTACTTTCAGTCTGTGTCTTTATAGCTGAGGTGGGTTTCTTGCAGGCAGCATATAGTTGGGTCTTGTTTCTTTTATCCATTCAGCCACACTGTGTTTTTTAATTGGAGAACTAAATCCATTTACATTCAGTCTTATTATTGCTGAGTAAAGACTTACCATTTTTATTGCTTGTTTTCTGGTTGTTTTGTAAATTCTCTCTTCCTTTCTTACTGTCTTTCATTGTGGTTAAATTATTTTTCTCTGGTAGTATGTTTTAATTCATTGCTTTTTTATTTATTTTTAATTAATTAATTTATTTTTTGGAGACAGGGTCTCTCTCTGTCGCCCAGGCTGGAGTGCAGTGTTGCAATCTCGGCTCACTGCAACCTCTGCCTCCCAGGTTCAGGCAATTCTCCTACCTCAGCCTGCTGAGTGGCTGGGATTACAGGCGCCTGCCACCATGCCTGGCTAATTTTTGTATTTTTAGTAGAGACAGGGTTTCACCATGTTGCCAGGCTGGTCTCAAACTCCTGACCTCAAGTGATTTGCCTGCCTCAGCCTCCCAAAGTGCTGAGATTATAGGCACGAGCCACCATGCCTGGCCTGAGCCACCATGCCCAGCCCATTGCTTTTTATTTCTAATGTATCTGTTATAGTTTTTTGCATTGTGGTTCCCATGAAGCTTATAAAAACATCTTCTAGATATAATAAGTTATTTTAAAGAGATAATGTTATCTTAGATCACTAAAAAATAATAGAAACAAAGAAAAAACTTTAAAAAAACTCTACACTTTAAGTCCATTCCCCATACATTTTGACTTTTTTTGGTCTCACCTTACATAGTTTTATATTGCCTATCTTTTAACAGGTTGCTGTAGCTATTACTGTTTTTAATAGATTTATATTATAGGCTTCATACTTGAGTTTGAGTAGGTGTTACACCACAGAGTATTAGTGTATTCTGAGGTTGTTTATGTACTTAATTTTACCAGTGAGTTTTTTTACCTTCCAATGTTTTCTCTTTGCACATTAGTGACTTTTTTCTTTCAGACTGAATAACTCCCATTAGCATTTGATGTAACATGGGTCTGGTGGTGGTGAATTCACTCAGCTTTTGTCCGTCTGGGAAAGACTTTATCTTAGCATATTTGAAGGATACCTCTGATGGATACAGTATTCTTCGAAGGCAGCTTTTTTCTTTTAGCACTTTGAAAATGTTTTCACATTCTCTCTTGGCTTATATCGTTTCCATTGAGAAGTCGTTTGCCAGATTAATTAGAGCTCCTTTATGTGCTATTTGCTTCTTCTCTCTTGCTGTTTTCAGGATCTTCTCTTTGTCCTTGACCTTTGAGAGTTTGATTAGTATATGTTGGGATGGTCTTATTTGGGTTGAATCTATTTGGTGTTCTCTGCCCTTCCTGTACCTGGATATTTCTGTCTTTCTAAAGTTTTCAAAAGTTTTCTGTTATTGTTTCTTTAAATAAGCTTTCTACCCCTTACTCTTCTTCAACTCTCTCTTGAACATCAATAATTTTTAGATTTGGTCTTCTGAGAGAATTTTCTATATCTTGTAGGTGATCTTCATTCCTTTTTATATTTTTCTTCTCTGACTGTGTGTTCTCAAATAGCCTGTCCTGAAGCTCACTGATTCTTTCTTCTGCTTTAACCATTCTGCTGTTGAGAGCCTCTAGTGAATTTTTTAGTTCAGCAAATGTATTTCAACATTTCTGTTTGGTTTTATTTTTATTATTTCAATCTCTTTGTTAAATTTCTTTGATAAATTTCTTAATTGATTTTCTGTGTTATCTTGGTGATCACTGAGTTTCCTTATAATTGCTATTTTGTTCTTGGTCAGAGATCTCGCATATCAACATCTCACTAAGGTCAGTCACTGGTTCCTTGCTTTGTTCATTTTGGGGAAGTCATGGTTCCTTGTTTGCTGTTGATGTGCCTGTATGTCTGTTTCTTTGCATTAAAGGATTAGTTATTTATTCCAGTCTTCTCTCTCTGGCTTGTTTTGGTTTTTAATGGATATGCTTGCTTTTTTCTTTGTAATTTTTGAATATCTTTTTTTCCCCCACTAGGTTGCTGTCTCCTTTTTGGCACTAGATGGCAACTTAAGCCCGGATTTGTGTCAAATCTAATAAAGGATCAGAATGCTGCCTGTCCCAAATGGAAGAGGTCCCAAAGGGGATATTCTGGCAATGTGGGTCAGCTGGCCAAGGGTTTGTGCCAAGGGGACCTGTGGAACATACTTTCTACAGCATGGTACTGCCACTCTGATTTGGTGTCTCCTTTGGCCTAGTTACAGAGCAGAATATCTAGGGTTGGGATGGTTGTCTCACCTCCCTACTTTGTCTCTGGCTGTCCTCAGGGATATTTGTCCCTTCAAGTACTCCTGATACTTTCCATGGGTTGAGGTAGGGACAGGTCTTTTGTCAGGAACCCAAGGTGATAGGGAAGCTGGTTGTCAACCTTGATCTCACTTTAGAATTCTAGTGAAGAAACCATGAGTTGGGAGAAATATTTTCACATGCTTGGTGCAAGGCAGATTGTGGAGAGAGGAGTCACGGATATAGAAATCTGATTTCCTTTCCATCTGCTTGGAGTTTTTTCCCTTCTCCATGACCTGGGAACTGTCTCATCCTCATCTTTGGGTTCTGGGTTATTGCTGGTAATAATCTCAGTAATGTATGTTTGTTTTTAGTTTTCTGTTATGGGAGCATGAAGCCAGCTTGCTTCTATGCTGGCATTTTGGAACTGGAAGACAGCATGAAGTTCTTAAAAGCAATTTTTCAACATATATGAAAAAATTTAAATTATTATTTTTGGCCAAATGTGGTGGCTCATGCCTGTAATCTCAGCACTTTGGGAGGCTGAGATGGGAGGCTCACTTGAGTCCAGGTGTTTGAGACCAGCCTGGGCAACATAGTGAAACCCTGTCTCTACAAAAAAAATTTTTAAATTTGCTGAGTGTGGTGGCATGTGCCTGTAGTCCCAGCTACTCTGGAGGCTGAGGCAGGAGAATCACCTAAGCCTAGGATATTGAGGCTGCAGTGAGCCGTGATTGTGCCACTGCACTCCAGCCTGAGTGACAGAGTGAGATCTTGTTTCAAATAAATAAATATGTTTAAATTTAGTAATTGTAGCTCTAAGAATTATCTTAGGAACTAAAGAGAGATATACATTAATGTCTGTATAAGTATGTTCATTTTAGCATTGTATTTAATAGCAATAACTTTGGATATACCTTAAGTATCAACAGTAAAAGAATTATTAAATTCATTTTAACACATCTATATGTATGTTATATAGCTATTAAAACTGATATTGAAGAAATTTTACTGACATGGAAAATTTCTCAAGCATATGCTGAGGGGGAGAAAAGCAGTGTACAAAATTATATCTCAATTCAATTATCAATATCTAAATTCACTTCTAAACACACCATCCATAGAAGTAAAAGGATTTAAGAAATACACCAAGATACTTTCACTTCTGGGAAGGTGGTGACATACTGTCTTTTATGCCTCCTGCTAAGTACAACTAAAAACTTTGGACATTATATTTAAAACAAACTTTAAAAGACTCTGAAAGACGGAGAGAAGAAGGCAGACCAGCTGAGGGCCTTGAGACACAAGGAACAGCATGGTGGTGAGTTTCCTGGGTTTTCTTTTTGCCTCATATATCCCATAGCAAACATATATAATTTTCCTTCCCTCCAAAGAATTTCCTTTAATGGTTCTTGCAAGACAGATCTCAGGCAACAAATTCTCTTAGTTGTTATTTGTCTCAAAACATCTTTATTTCCTCTTCACTTTTGAAGGATAATTTTTGCAGGTTAGTGGGTTTTTTCTTTCCACATTTTAAATATTTCAATTCATTGTCTTCTTACTTGCATAGTTTCTGAAAAAAAAAGTTCAATATAATTATTATCAATAGGTAAGGTAATTTTTTTTCTCCCTGGCTTCTTGCAAGATTTTCTCTGTCTTTTGTTTTTCATAGTTTAAATATGATATGTATAGGTGTAGGGTTTTGTTTTGTTTTTTGCATTTATTCTGGTCAGTGTTCTCTGAAATTCCTGAATCTGTAGCTTGGTGTCTGTCATTAATTTTGGGAAATTCTCAGCCATTATTACTCAAATATTTCTTTGGTTCCTTTGTCCCTTCTCTTGTATTCCTATAAGTATGTCACACTGTTTATAACTGAATATTCTGTACTGTTTTGTTCATTCTCTTTTCATCTTTGCGTTTCACTTTGAGGAGTTTATATTGACATTTCTTCAAGATCACTGATTTTGTTTCATTGGCCATATTCAATATATTGATAAGCCTATCAAAGACATTCTTCACTTCTTAAAACAATGCTTTTTATTTCTAGCATTTTCTCTTGATTCTTTCTTAAAGTTTAAATCTCTCTGCTTACATTACCCATCTTGTCTTGCATGTTGTCCACTTTTTTCATTAGTGCCCTTAGCCTATTAATCAGAGTTACTTTAAATTTCTGGTCTGATAATTCCAAAATCTCTGGCATAGCTGAATCTGGTTCTGATATTCGCTTTGTCTCTTCAGACTGTTTTTTTTCTTGCCTTTTAGCATGCCTCATCATTTTTTATCGAAGCCTAGATACCATCATTATATCATTGGGTAATAGCATTTAAGATAAATAGGCCTTCAGTGTGAGGGTTTATGTTTATCTGACTAGGAGTTACACTGTGTTTACTGTTTGCTATTAATGTTGGCATCTGAGAGTTTCCTCCAGTATCTTTTTTTTTTTTTTTTTTTTTTAGACGGAGTCTCGCTCTGTCACCCAGGCTGGAGTGCAGTGGCGCAATCTCGGCTCACTGCAAGCTCCGCCTTCCGGGTTCATGCCACTCTCCTGCTTCAGCCTCCTGAGTAGCTGGAACAACAGGCACATGCCACCACGCCTGGCTAATTTTTTGTATTTTTAGTACAGACGGGGTTTCACCGTGTTAGCCAGGATGGTCTCGATCTCCTGACCTCATGATCCACCCGCCTCAGCCTCCCAAAGTGCTGGGATTACAGGCTTGAGCCACCGCGCCTGGCCCAGTATCTTTGTTTTTATCACCCCTTTTGTCTCTTGTTTTGTCTTTGGGTTTCCTTAGAAACCCCTTCTTAAAAAGAGTCTGAGCTTTGCAGTCTTTCATCTATAATCTTCTGTTATTCAGGGGCTCTGTAAATGTGGTGGTAAAGTGTGTGTAGAAGGAAGCATTCTATACTCTATAATTAGGTGTCAGTCTTTTGGTGGGTCTTTGCCCTGGGCTATTACCTTGACAAGTTTTTCTCAGCATTTCCTCCCCTTAAGTGAGAGAGGAAGGTTAGAGTGGGCTGAAGTTGTCTAATTGCCCTTCTCCAGCTCAGATAAGGCTTTGGTTAGACATTTTCTTGAGAGCTTACCTTCATTACAGAGAACGGAACGAAGAACAGAACGAAGAACAGAACTCTCTGGGAATATTCCAAAATAGCTATTTCCTTCTCTCCCTGCTGGAAGCAGAAGCGGATTCTCTGATCTTCACAGTGAGAACATGTTGGGGCTCTTGGAGGCAAAACTCACAAAAGTGTGGGACCCTCTAAGATTCTCCTCCCTGCCCCCAAGAATTTTTAACTCTCAAGCTAGTCCACACTGAGCCTCGAGAAATTTGTCAATTAGAGCTGAAGCGTTCTTGTCAGTGTAGGTTCCAACAGCTGACTTCTGCTCTCAGGCTTCTGCTCCCTGCAAGCTGTGATGCTTTATAATACTCCTCTCTCCAGTTTTCAGGACAGCAGTTTACCCTGTGATCTCAATTCTCTGATAGATATAAGAAGAGTTGTTTTCATTTAGCTTTTTTCTTGTTGTGAGAATAGGAATGACAACTTCCAAGCTCATTACATGTTGGAGTGAAACTAGAACTCCGTAAGTTGCTTTTTAATGATAATTTTGCAAAAGTGGGTATCACAATAGAATCAAGTTATTGAGTTGTATTGAGTTATTGGTGGGTGAGTTTTGTTAGTCCTAATTATATTGATAATCTTAAAGATCTTGAACTTGCTTTCAAATTAAAAATTTTAAGACATAACATGACACACAAGTACTCATTCTTACAATTTTATTTTTTTTACATTGCTCTCCCATGGAACTATCCACTGCTTAATAAGGAAAATGTTTAACCACCTTTGATATTTAAATCTTTACAACTATATAAAATAGCAGAGATTTCAAGAATATAAGTATTAATCACTTAGGGACCATCATTTTGTATATATTTAACGTTGGTTATACTGTAATTTGATTTTATTAAACAAAATACAACATTATGTATTTTCTTTTACCAAGAATGTTTTATAGTGCAATAATTCTGTCAGTTGTTAATCATATAAACTCAGCCAGAAATAGAGCTTTTTATTCATGCTATAATGGTCTTTATCAGACTTGGAAATTCTTATGCTTAATAAAACAACTGCAGTTTTACAGTGGCAAAAATAATAAAGATTGGTTTAATTTATTGTAATTACCAATAGAATATTTCCTATAAAATATAAGCTTAATTAGGAAGCATTGTTTTAAAATTACAATTTGAAAAGCTTTTAAAATAGCAAATTTGATTTTAAATTCCATTTCTTCTTACTTAGGTTACTTCCAACTGTAATTGATCAGAAATCATTTATTTTCCCTCAGGAATCTGAGGGTACATTTTGGCAACCCCAAAGACAGCACAGTTCATCTCTGCCTGTCTTTCCAAGAGCAAAGGTAGGTATAGAGAAATTCATAGAGACAGAAAGTAGTTTAGTGATTGCCAGGGGCTGGGAGGAGCAGAGACTAGGAGTGACTTTTAATGGGTATGAAGTTTCTTTGGGGGACAATGAACATGTTCTAGAATTATATAGTGGTGATGATTGCACTACTCTGTGAATATAGTAAACACCATTGAATTATATACTTTAAAAATGTGAATTTTGGCTGGGTGCAGTGGCTCACGCCTGTAATTCCAGCACTTTGGGAGGCCGAGGTGGGTGGATCACAAGGTCAGGAGATCAAGACCATCCTGGCTAACATGGTAAAACCCCGTCTCTACTAAAAATACAAAAAATTATCCGGGCGTGGTGGTGGGCGCCTGGTACTCGCCTGGTACTGGTGGTGGTACTCGGGAGGCTGAGGCAGGAGAATGGCGTGAACCCGGGAGGCGGAACTTTCAGTGAGCCGAGATTGTGCCACTGCACTCCAGCCAGGGCGACAGAGCGAGACTCCGTCTAAAAAAAAAAAATGTGAATTTTATGGTATATTAATTACATCTCAATGAAGCTGTTAAAAACTTTTTAAAAGAGTAAAGTAAGAAATTTGCTTTGTGTTCTAAGTTAGAAAACATAATGTATAGGTCTGTTTCTAGAATTTCATTTTATAGTTGTTTCAGATATGTTCATGGCATGGTCAATTTCTACAACAAAAGAGCTTTCTTCAGAAGAAAATAAATCAAGACATAATACCTTCACATTTTTTAACAGAGCCAGGTGGCAAAGAATAGAGCTCAAGAAGTTTCTGACTTTGCCTCCATTGAGTGTTCTCTCAATTCTGTTTTGTCCCTGTCTTAGCTCAGGCTGCTGTAACAGAATACCATAAACTGAGTGGCTTAAACAACAGAATTCTATTTCTTACAGCTCTAGAGGCTGGAATTCAAAGGTCAAGGTGCCGGCAGATCCGGTGTCTGGTGAGGTCTTTCTTCCTAGTTTGCAGACAGTTTTCTTCATTTGTTTCTTCACATGGCAGAGAGAGACAGAGAGAAAACCAGCAAGCTCTTGTGTGTCTTTTTATAAGGACATTGATCTCATTCATTAGGGTTCTACCCTCATGAGCTAATTATCTCCCAAAAACCTCACCTGCTAATACCATTACATTGGGTTAGGATTTCAACATATGGGTTTTGGTGGGCGGGGGGAGGCGGGGCACAAACATTCAGTCCATAGCATGCCCTGACTTAAAAGTAATACTAGCTCACCTCTTTTGGGTAGCAGGAACTGTTAGCAGTACTTTGAAAATACTAACTTGTTTGAACTTCAGAACAATCCTAGAAGGAGGTGTTATTATTATTATTATTATTATTATTAAGATGGAGTTTCACTCTTGTCACCCAGGCTGGAGTGCAGTGGCACAATCTCGGCTCACTGCAACCTCTGCCCCTCAGGTTCAAGCAATTCTTTGCCTCAGCCTCCCAAGTAGTTGGGATTATAGGCACCCACCACCACGCCCGGCTAATTTTTATATTTTTAGTAGAGATGGGGTTTCACCATCTTGGCCGGGCTGGTCTTGAACTCCCGACCTCTTGATCCACCCGCCTTGGCCTCCCAAAGTGCTGGGATTACAGGCATGAGCCACCGCGCGTGGCCAGTTGTATGACTTTTTAAATGTCTGTCTTCCCACTAGATTATAAGCTTAATGAGGGCAGTAACTGTATTAGTTTGTTCATTACTATATTATGCCTAGGGTGTGGGCCATAGGCTCTTGACCTCCTAAAAGTTTGCTCAAAATCACTAACATGAGGCAGATTGATTAATTAGGAGAAAAGGCATACAAGTTTATTTAACATGTATACACAGGAGCCTTCAGTATGAAGACCCAACATCCTAATAAGTTACAGAAGCTTATATATCATCTTGAGGTTACAGAAATAATGGGGGTCAGGGCATGGCCAAAACCAGGTTATGTTTATAAATCAGGTTCAGTGGCAAAACAGGTTATAAGAGGGAGAAAGGAAGAAGCTTGGCTAGCAAAGATGGCCTTGTGTGTAGATGCAGCCTCCTTCAGAGAGAATAGATGGCAAATGTTTCTTTTCAGTCGTTTAAAGGTATCAGACTCAATCTCTCCCAGATCCAGGAAATGACTGGAAAGGGGAGGCCTTGGCAGCATTGGTGGAGATTCTCTACAGAAGCAAAATTTCCCCACAAAAGACAGCTTTGCAAGACCACTTCTGTTTGCTGGCCCTGTGGCAACTATTTCAAAATATGTCAAAGTACATATTTTGGGGTAAAATATTTTTATTTCCTTCACAGAGGATTCTGCATAAATGTTTGTTGAATGGATAAACAAAACCACCACAGTGATCTCTAAGAGTGTGCTCATCTGCATGTAAAATATCAGTTCAGGCTCCTGTGAACTCCCAAAGCAGCCCTCTCCTATCTCTGTCCTTGCACTTGTTACATTGGGTCTGTCAGCCACTCTCTGAGGAGTGCTTACTGTGTGCCCAGGATTATTAGAGGCACGCTGGGCTGAATAAGACAGATCAGATCCCTGACATCAGAGAGCTTATATTCTAGTGGGGAAAGACAGACCATCAATAAGATACCACCAGATAATGATAAAAGCTCTGATAAAAATAAAACAGAATGCTGTGATAAAGGGAGCTTAAACTTCTCATCTTCCTTACTGTTAAATCACTTCTTCAGTCATTTTTTTACCTGTTTGCCAAGAATCTCAGAAGGTCCATAGTTGGTCCCCCAGACCAGAGATTAGATGGAGGTATCTGATTTATAAGAGCAATGAAATAAAATATATGAAATTAGGCTATTTTAGAATGTATAATTGCTATTATTGTTCTGGGAAAAAAAAAAACAACTATGGCCAGAAATTTATTTGCCCCAAAGAGCTCTGAATCCTGGCTAATGTTCATGAAGATGCACTGTGTTCTTTTAAATGCTATGAGGATGGGTGAGCTTCACTTAAAAAGTGGCATGGACTATTTCCTACCCTGACTTTGCCTCCAGAGCCTGGATTACTATTGTTGTTGTATATCTAATATGTGTGACGTCTGCTTAAAAATGCATATCCTCTGACACAAAAGATAGCCCTAATTTTGCACTGTAAAGTCAAAGACAGACAATGCTGTCTTACCAGCTGTTACACATGCCTACTACACCAACATAAAAGCTTATATTATTAAGTAGTTATGAAATCCAACTGGGATATTACTACCTTTAATTGCCCACTTCCAACCTTTTAAACCAGGTAAACCCCAGTCACTTCTTTAAGCTCTCTCTCACCAAAAGTGGATAGCTGTTTTTGAAATTCACATCAAAAAGCTTAAATGACAAACAGTTAGGAGTTGCTCAATTGTAATTAAGAATCGTAATTTAGAATTGTTTATTAAGCCTCTTTTAATTTGAAAAAGCATACTCAGAAACATTTACAATTTAAAAAAGAAAGGTTACACTAACCTTTCACTTTCTGAGGTTTTCTCTTGAAAAAAATAGAATCAGTGATGAAATATCAGTAAGTAGTATTGGAATATAAAGTCTAATTTTCAGAATTTGCTGATAACTGGCGAAATCAATATGGACTCCATTTTTGCTTATTAAAATACTAATTTTTAATTTTTTCCTCCAAATTTATCAGTAATACATGCTTGTTGTTGTGACAAACATAATATGAAGATGTAAAGGCAAAGCCAGTTGTTGAACCCCCACTCTCTACCAAACTACCCAATCCCATGAGGCAACCAGTGTTAACAGCGGGTTGTATTTGTCCACTCATTCCCCTTTGTAATAATGTATATACAGTACAAGTACGTATGCAGATATGTAGGGTTTGTGTTGGTTATGAATTTTTTTGCTTTTACTGAAACAGATAACATTTTGAGTCATACAAATAAAGACCATTTTTGTTCACAAATGCTATATATGAAGTTATGTTCATACAATTATTCACATAAAATATATGCTATTTTATGTTTATCAAATGGGATAAAAATGTAACATGGTGTGATATTTCTGAGTTTTTTTTTTCTATTGACTATCCGTGACAGCAAAAGAGGGAAAGTGGGACCATGTACGTTCTGGGGTTGAGTCTAAAGAGTCCAAAGTAAGTGGGAAATATCTTTGATAGCTCATGCTTTGGCATATAAATTATAGCAATTTTTCACTCCATTTCATTATATATCCATTTTTGTTTCGATATAAAAGTAATGGATTTTACTTCAAAATATTTAGATAAAACTCATGCCCCAAATAATATATCTCTTGTTTATTATGTTCCTATCATACTACCACATACTCCCAGTAGTGCCCCAATTTGAGATGCAGAGGATTGTACAGCATCAGTTTATTCATTTACCAAACATTTTCAAATTTTTATTTATTTCATTTATTTTATTTTTTATTTTTGTGAGTACATAGTGGGTGTACATATGTATGGGGTACATGAGCTATTCTGGTATAGGCATGCAATGCATGATAATCACATCAGGGTAAATGGGGTAGCCATCACCTCAAGATTGCATTTATCCTTTGTGTTACAAACAATCCAATTATACTCTTTAGTTATTTTTAATGTACAGTAAATTATTACTGACTATAGTTGCTCTGTTTTACTATCAAATACTAGTTCTTATTCATTCTTTCTATTTTTTGTACCCATTAACCATCCCCACTTCCCCCTAACCCACACTACCCTTCCCAGACTCTAGTAACTATCCTTCTACTTTCCATCTTCATGAGTTCAACTATTTTAATTTTTAGCTCCCACAAATAAATAAAAACACGTGAATCATGTCCTTGTTTGCCTGGCTTATTTCACTTAACATAATGAAGTCCAGTTCCATCCCTGTTGTAGTAAATGACAAGATCTCATTCTCTTTTGTGGCTGAATAGTACTTCACTGTGTATATGTACCACTTTTTCTTTATCCATTCATCTGGGTTTTTTGTTTGCTTGTTTGTTTTAAACTTTTAAGTTCAGGGGTACATGTGCAGATTTGTTACATAGGTAAACTTGTGTCATGGGGATTTGTTGTGCAGATTATTTCATCACCCAGGTATTAAGCCTAGTACCCATTAGTTATTTTTCCTGATCCTCTCCCTTCTTCCACCCTCCTCCCTCCAATAGGACCCAGTGTGTGTTGTTCCTCTCTATGTGTCCATGTGTTCTTATCACTTAGCTCCCATTTATAAATGAGAACATGTGGTATTTTCTGTTCCTGCATTAGCTTGCTAAGGATAATGGCCTCCAGCTCCATTCATGTCCCTGCAAAATACATGGTCTCATTCCTTTTATGGCTGCATAGTATTCCATGGTGTATATCTACCACATTTTCTTTATCCAGTCTATTATTGATGGATATTTGGGTTGATTCCATGTCTTTGCTACTGTGAATAGTGCTACAGTGAACATATGTGTGCATGTATCTTTGTAATAGAATGATTTATATTCCTTTGGGCGTATACCCAGTAGTGGGATTGCTGGGTCAAATGCTATTTCTGGTTCTAGATCTTTGAGGAATTGCCACACTGTCTTCCACAATGGTTGAACTATTTTACATTCCCACCAACAGTGTAAAAGCATTCCTATTTCTCTGCAACCTCGCCAGCATCTGTTGTTTCTTCACTTTTAAATAATCACCATTCTGACTGGTGTGAGATGGTATCTCATTGTGGTTTTGATTTGCATTTCTCTAATAATCAGTGATGTTGACCTTTTTTTCACATGATCATTGGCCGCATGTATGTCATCTTTTGAAAAGTATCCATTCATGTCCTTTGCCCACTTTTTAATGTTTTTTTTTTCTCAGAAATTTGTTTAAGTTCCTTACAGATGCATCCTTTGTCGGTTACATAGTTTGCGAAAATTTTCTCCCATTCTGTAGGTTGTCTGTTTATTTTGTTGATAGTTTCTTTTGCTGTTCTGGAGCTCTTTAGTTTAATTAGATCCCATTTGTCAATTTTTGTTGACAAAAATTTTGTTACAGTTGCTTTTGGCATCTTTGTCATGAAATCTGTGCCCATGCCTATGTCCTGAGTGGTATTGCCTGGGTATTCTTCTAGGGTTTTTATAGTTTGGGGTTTTACATTTAAGTCTTTAATCCATCTTGAGTTAATGTTTGTGTGTGGTGTAAGGAAGGGGTCCAGTTTCAGTCTTCTGCATATGGCTAACCAGTTATCCCAGCATCATTTATTGAATAGGGAATCCTTTCCCTGTTGCCTTTTTTTGTCAGGTTTGTCAAAGATCAGAGAGTTGTAGGTGTGCAGTCTTATTTCTGGGTTCTCTATTCTGTTCTGTTGGTCTACCAGTACCATGCTGTTTTGGTTACTATAGCTTTGTAGTATAATTTGAAATCAGGTAATGTGATTCTTCCAGTTTTATCCTCTTTGCTCAGGATAGCTTTGGCTATTCTGGCTCTTTTGTGGCTCCATATAAATTTTAAGATTGTTTTTTCTAATTTTATGAAGAATGTCATTGGTACTTTGATAGGGATTGCATTGAATCTGTAGATTGCTTTGGGTACTATGGATATTTTGACAATATTGATTCTTCCAATCCATGAACATGGAATATCTTTCCCTTTTTTGATATCCTTTTCAATTTCTTCCATTAATGTTTTGTAGTATTCATTGTAGAGATTTTTTACATCTTTTATTAATTCCTGGATATTTAATTTTACTTGTAGCTATTGTAAATGGGATTACTGTCTTGATTTCTTTTTCACATTGTTCGCTGTGGGCTTATAGAAATGCTACTGATGTTTGTATGCTTATTTTGAATGCTGCAACTTTACTGAACATGTTTATTAGTTCTAATAGTTTTTTGGTGGAGTCTTTAGGTTTTTCCAAATATAAGATCATATCATCTGCAAACAAGGATAATTTGACTTCTTCATTTCCAATTTGGATGCCCTTTATTTCTTTCTCTTTTCTGATTGCTCTAGCCAGGACTTCCCATTCTGTGTTGAATAACAGTGGTGAAAGTGGGCGTCCTTGTCATGTTCCCAAACTTAGGAGAAAGGCTTTCAGTTTTTCCCCATTCAGTATGATACTAGCTGTGGGTCTGTCATATATGGCTTTTATTTATTTATTTATTTATTTATTTATTTATGTATTTATTTATTGAGTAGAGTCTCGTTCTGTCGCCCAGGCTGGAGTGCCATGGTGCAGTTCGGGCTTACTGTCACCTCTGCTTCCCAGGTTCAAATGGGAACCTGCCTCAGCCTCCCAAGTATCTGGGATTACAGGCGCAGGCCACCACACCCGGCTAATTTTTTTTTGTATTTTTAGTAGAGATGGGGTTTCACCATGTTGGTCAGGCTGGTCTCAAACTCCTGACCTCAAATGATCCACCCACCTTGGCCTCCCAAAGTGCTGGGATTACAGGTGTGAGCCACCACGCCCGGCCTATATATGGCTTTTATTATGTTGAAATATGTTCCTTCTATACCCAGTTTCCTGAAGGTTTTTCTTGTGAAACGTTGTTGAATTTTATCAAATACTTTTTCAGCACCAATTGAAATGATCATATGGTTTTGTCCTCTATTCTGTTGATATGATGTATCACATTGATTGATTTGCATATGTTGAACCCTCCTTCCATTTCTGGGATAAATCCCACTGGTCATGATGAATTATCTTCTTAATGTGTTGTTGAATTCAGTTTGCTAATTTTTTTGAGATTTTTGCATTAATATTCATCAGGGATATTGGCCCATAGTTTTTTCTCTTTTTAATGTGTTTGGTCTGGCTTTGGTATCAGGGTAATACTGGCCTTGTAGAATGAGTTTGGAAGTATTTCCTCTTCTTCTGTTTATTGGAATAGTTTGAGTAGGATTGGTATTAGTTCTTTTTTAAATATTTGGTAGAATTCAACAGTGAGGTCATCGGGTACTGGGCTTTTCTTTGCTGGAAGATGTTTTATTATGGCTTCAGTCTCGCTACTTGTTATTGGTTTGTTCAGATTTTGGATTTCTTCATGGTTTAGACATAGTAGGGTGTATATGTCTAGAAATTTATACATTTCTTCTAGATTTTCCAATTTATTGGCATATAATTCCTCATAGAAGCCACTAATGATCTTTTGAATTTCTGCATTGTATTATCTCCTTTGTCATCTCTGATTTTATTTATTTGGGACTTCTTTTTTTCTTAGTCTGGTTAAAGGTTTATCAGTTTGTTTATCTTTTCAAAACAATTTTTGTTTCATTGATATTTTGTACTTTATTTCATTTATTTCTGCTCTGATCTTTATTATTTCTTTTCTTCTGCTAATTTTGGGTTTGGTTTTCTCTTGATTTTCTAGTTCTTTAAGATGTATTGTTAGGTTATTTATTTGAAGCTTTCCTTTTTTTGGATGTAGTTGCTTATAGCTAGCTATAAACTTCCCTCTTAGCATTGCCTTCACTATATCCCACAGGTTTTGGTATGTTGTTGTGTTTCTATTATCTTTTGTTTCAAGAAATTTTTCAGTTTTCTTAATTTCTTCATTGACCCACTGGTCATTCAGGAGCATATTGTTTACTTTCCATGTATTTATGTAGTTTCCAAAATTATTTTTGTTATTGATCTCTAGTTTTATTCCATTGTGGTCAGAGAAAAAGCTTGATGTTATTTCAATTTATTTTGAATGTTTTAAGACCTCTTTTTTGACCTAACATTTGGTCTGTCCTTGAGAATGATCCATGTGCTGATCTGCACATAGAGCCTTCTGCAGCCATGGGATGAAATGTTCTGTAAATATCTATTAAGTCCATTTGATCTGTAGTGCAGATCAAGTCTGATGTTCCTTTGCTGATTTTTCTGTCTGGAAGATCTGTTTAATGCTGAAAGTGGGGTGTTGAAGTCTCCAGCTCTTACTGTATTTGGGTCTATCTTTCTCTTTAGCTCTAATAATATTTGCTTTATATATTTCGATGATCCAGTATTGGGTGCATATATATATTTATTTGCAATTGTTACACGTTTTTGCTGAATTAACCCATTTATCATTATATAGTGACATTTGTCTCTTCTTATAGTTTTTGTCTTGAAATCTATTTTGTCTGGTATAGCTACTCCTGCTCTTTTTTGGTTTCCATTTACATGGAATATCTTTTTCCATTCTTTTATTTTTAGTCTATGTGTGTCTTTATAGGTAAAATGCATTTCTTGTAGGCAACATATCATTGGGTCTTGTTTTTGCATCCATCCAGCCACTCTGTGTCTTTTGATTGGAGAGTTTAGTCCATTTACATTCAAAGTTATTACTGATAACTACGTTAGGTACTCTTCTAAGCACTGGAGGACTTGTCTTTGAGAATATGTTGAGGGAGATAGACAAATAAACATCATCTGAGACAGAAAGAAGCACTGTGGGCTACAGAATCAAAGAGAAAGGGTGGGCTTATGCAAACTTGGTCAGGGATGCGAGAGGCTTTACAAAGGCAATGATGCCTGGGCTGAGTCTCAGCCAGCTAAGATGAGAGAGGAGAGGTGCTCACAGTGGAGGAAATATGCAAATACATGGCCATAAACAAGAGCATGGCTTATCTGGGGGGAACCCAATGAGTTCCTCATGGTTAAAATGTAGACAGTATTGTTTGAAGACAATCAAGAGATGAGGTTGAAGAAGAGATAAAGGAAGGCTAGATAATGATGCAGCTTGCTAAGATTCTATAATGTGAAAGAGTTTGAATTTACATTAGTGACAAAGAGAACTATTTATAATTTTTAAATAGTGAATTAGAGAATGACATGATCATAATAGTGATTTGAAAAGATTGTTTTGTCAGCAGTATGGAAAAAGAGATTGGAGTAGGAGGTAGACTCTGGGAACTTCATCAACCAATTTGTGGTAATCCAGGTAAGAGATGATGAAGGTCTGAATTATTGCAGTGATCATGGGCCTAAAGAAAAAAAGACAGTGATTAGTAGTAGAACTAACACGACTTGATCATGGGGGATTAAAAAGAGAATGAGAGAGTAAGTGATAACCCACAAGTATCCAGCTTGGAGACTGGGTGCTAGTTACACCATTCATTGAGATGGGAGACATAGGAGAAGGAGCAGATATGTTGAGGTGATGATTGGAGTAGGCAAATAAGATTAATTCAGTTTCATACAGTGTTGAATCTGAGATGCTTGTGGACCCTTCCAAGAGGAAATGCCTAACAGGCAGCTGAATGTACCTACACGTAGTATGGAGGTCAGAAGAAATATCTGAGAATAAGCTATAGATTTGCTCTTATCAACATTTAGGGGTGGTACAAGTCAGAGAAGATGGGATCTCTCAAAGAGAACATCAAGTGAAAATGATGAGTAATGTAGTTGAAGTTTCTGTATCACAAATCAGTAAGAGATTTTCAGGTTTAAAAACATAATTTTTAAAACCAAACAATATATATTACACAAACTTTCATGTAACAAAGTTTGAGTCTAAGCCTTTTTATTCACAGTCTAGATTCTTCCAAATCACTTTTGGCCATTTGACATCACGTGCAGCATCATGATGACAGACTGTTTTTTAACAACTCTGACTTGTGAAGTTGAATCTTTTGTCTTCATTCGACTGGTAATATAATTCTGGGGCATAGTGAAAAATAATAGGGTTTCTTTTCATTGTCTTATTTGGTCCACGTCATAATTTCATATTTTCCGTAACTTAATTCCCAGCCCTGAAAGTTAAACACCTTCTCCTGAAAATCAGTGGAAGGCTTCTGTCAGAGCTTTTCAGTACCTGAATGATTATATAAATTGGTGACACCAGCTCTCCATAGCTTTGAAAATCCTAGAGTCTATTCCATGAGATTTACTATGCTGGTTTATATCATAATTTCTGCATCTGTAATAACTTTTTTATTTTAATGCTGCATCAAAATGTAATCTTTTAAAAGGTGTTTTAAGCAAAAATCTCTGCTTAAATTTTAAGCACCTCTGGTACTTCTAGGACACAAAATTCAATTGTGGTGATGATGTTATGAACATATTCTTATTCATGGCTAGTCTGAGTTGCACAATTGCATCACAGCTTACTCCTGTGGGTAGTGACTGGCAAGATTCTTGGCAAGATTCTTTTGACATCACATGTAAGAAAGGCTGATTTCAGAAATGTTAAAACTTGAAAACATTTTTTTGAATAGAAGAAATACAGCACATATCATACAAGGCTTTACGCTTAACCTAATAATTTCAGTGTTGAAAGAATTCTTGGAGATTTTATTTTGTAATTTTGAAGGCAATTAAATTGTGAAGGCAGTTTGTGAGACAGTTCAGATTATTCAACAAACTTTGAGTGTCAAATTTGTGCCATTCACTGTGCCCAGCTCTGGAATGCAGAGATATATAATACAGCATGATCCCTTTCCACGTGGAATTTAATATAGTGGCCTTCCTTGGGAGCCTTGGGGAATGCAGAGAGACTTCTGGGTTTGTTACAATGTTTTTGGAGCACTGCTGGCCTTTATGGGCCAGGAACACTAAACTTTCTATAGTCCATAGGATTTTCTGCACAAGAAGAGCTATATCTCTCGCAGTGTTCATAGAATCCACTCTGGAAAACACTGCAGAAGACAGAAACACAATCATTATTCATGCAAGTCCAACCACTAGGGAAGGGACATACTATCACTGTGTTGTAACTGTCTCATTCTAGACAATACCTATTGTTCAGCTTGGATACCTACCTTGTTTGCCAGATGTAACTCAGAATAATTTTTGGCAAAAGCAAAAAGGTGAAGCCATTCTAAAGAATGTGATGTAGGCAGTCTAAAAAACGAGTTCCAAAAATTGGAATAAATGCATAGTTTCCCAAATAGCACAATACCTGGCACATGGTAAAGTGCTCAATTATGGGTATTATTATGATTATTAACCTAATTCTAGAATTTCCTGGAATCTCACATTTTGAAGGGACTTCAACAGTCATCTAATTCTAGCCAGGATAAACACCAGCTCACCCCAAGTTCCTTAAAATTGATGCCTTAACAATCAAACATAAAAAAAATACTGTGCTCTAGTATGATACAGCAATGTACATTTGTATCTAACCTGGAAAGAATCTTTAATTTTGTGAATTTTGATCTAATTAAGAAAGGTGATTTTCAAAATTTCACCCAAACGAAAGTTTTGAGGATTTTTGACATTATGTGGCATAATATGGTAAAAGATCAAAAATGGAAAATATCAGAGCAGGCAAAGGTTCCTTCAGAAATTTTCACTGTAAGTTATACCTCTATCAGGGTAAAAATTTTACTGATGAGATGGCAAGTTGGATTTTATAGAATAGATTGGAGAGAAGAGAATGCCTACAAGGATCCACTGTGAGTTCTGCCCTCTCATTAGAATGTAAGCTCCATGAGAGCAGCGACTTTTTGAAAATATTTGTTTCCTTTTCCATGGCTTCTAAAAACCCTTTTTGTATGAAAATATTCAAATATACTTTCTATAGACTGAATGTGTGTGTATGTCCCCAAAATTCATGTTATTAAATAAAACCTAATGCACAGTGTGATGACATTTTGACGTATGGACTTTGGGGAGTGCTTAGCTCATGAGAGTGAAGCCCTCATGAGGGGGATTAGTGCTCTTATAAAAGAGGCCCTAGGGAGCTTCCTTGGCCCCTCTTCCATGTGCAGACACAGTGAAAAGATGGCCATCTATGAACTGGGAAGCAGGCCCTCACCAAACACTGAATCTACCAGTGTCTTGATCTTGAACTTCCCAGGCTCCAGAACTGTAAGAAATAAATGTTGTTGTTGTTTATAAGCCATCCAGACTCTTTTTTTGAGACAGGGTATTGCTCTGTTGCCCTGGCTAGAATGCAGTATACAATCATGGCTCATCATGCAGCCGCAATCTCCTGGGCTCAAGCAGTCCTCCTGCCTCAGCCTCCCGAGTAGCTGAGACTGGGACTAGAGCTGCATGCCACCATACCTGGCTAATTTTTAAATTTTTAGTAGTAGCAAGGTTTTGTTGCCCAGGCTGGTCTCAAACTTCTGAGCTCAAGTGATCCTCCTGCCTTGGCCTCCCAAAATGCTGGGATTACAGGGGTAAGCCAGCTCCCAGGCTTCATTATAGCAGCCCAAAAAGACTAAAACAGTATGAAAAAATAACATAAATAACCACTTCTCCATCACTTAGATTGAACAATTGTTAACCTTTACCATTTTTGCTTCATCTATTTTTATTGAAGTGTTTTAAAATAAAATAAAAACCTAATGACATTTCACCCCTTAATGCTTTTAACATGAATCTTCAAAAATGAACTGTTTCTCTTTCACTCACAATATCTTTATCTCACCTAATAAAATCAACAGTAATTCTTGAATATAATAAATTTCCAGTTCATATTTAGATTGCCCCAGTTATTCCCCAAATGACTTTTACTCCTCTCTTTCCAGTCCTGGATCTGTTATCCATTGCATCTGATTATTTTATTTCTAAAGCAGAGGGACTCTGCTTAGTTCATTGCTGTAACTAGGGCCTAGACAGTGCCTAGCCTGGAGTAGGCTCTCAGTAGATGACAGCATAGTGGTTAGAACTATGGGTTAACATCCTGGCTCTATCACTTACTAGCTATACTTGGGCAAGTCACTTAACCTCTCCATGCCTCAATTCCTCATCTGCAAAATGGGTTTAACAGTAGTATCTGTTGTACAGTGAGTGTTGTATAAGTATTATTGTTCTTATTTGTTGATAAGTACTAATCAACCTCTATTATGTACCTAATACATGTTGGGCCCTATTTTAGGCATCAGCCACATTTCTCTGCTCTCATGGAGCTTACATTCTAATTGAGGCTGAGTAGTCATTAGGAAAACAAAAAACAATTTGAAAAGTAAACATCCAGTTGTCCCTCACTATTCGTGGGGGATTGGTCCCATGATCTCCCTTGGATACTAAAATCTGTGTATGCTCAAAACCCTGATATAAAATAGTGTAATATTTGCATATAACCTATGTACATCCTCCTGTACACTTTAAATAATCGCTAGATTATTTGTAATACTTAATACCATGTAAATGTTCTGTAAATAGTTTTTATACTGCATTGTTTAGAAAATAATGACAAGAAAAAGAGTCTGTATATGTTTGGTACAGATACATTTTTTAAAAAATATTTCGAATTCACCGTTGATTGAATTCATGAATGCAGAACCCATGGATATGGAGGGCCAGAGTGAATAGCATGTTAGTTGGTGAGAGAAAAGCTGGGAAAGGAACATAGGGACTATTGGGATGGTCTAACTTGTAAGGTGACATGTGAGCACAAATTTGATGGCTCTGAAGGAGCAAGTCATGTGCCTCCTTGGAGGAAATGCATCCTAGACAGAAGAAAGACCCTAAATTATGAGTGTGAATAGCAAAGAAGGGGAGGGTGCAAGGAAGAGTGAAGTGGGAAAAGTAGGAGGGGCCAGATCTTGTAGACCATTGTGAGACTTTGGATATTACCGAGGGAGATCGAAAGTTATTGGAGGCTTTCACCAGAGAATATGACTTGCAATTTGAAAGGTCCCCTATAGATACAGTAGTGAATGGTATAATAGAGTTTTGGAAAACATGCTCTTGTAGAGCCAGAGGGTATGCCTAATGCCTGGGCTTTGATGTAACCATTAAGGGCATCATCTTGAAAATCTTTTTCAAGCACAGCAGTGTGACCTCTGCATCCTAGACTGCCAGCTCACATATAGTATGTTCTTCCAACAATTTTTCAACACTATGAGGACCTTCAACCCATTGACCTCTCATTATTTCACTATTTATCACTTTTGTCTTATTGTCTTTTCCTTCTCAGCTAGATTAGATGCCATGGTTGTGGCAGAAATTGTTAGTTCTCTGCCCAATATCTATTTCCTTGCCTATATTACTAACAACTGATTTTGCTCAGGATGGCGTTATATCATAAGGAATAAGATTCCTCATTTCTGAGCCTTCCTCAAAGCAAAATATTTCCACGTGTCCCAGTTCTGTCCAGTTAGTACCAAGCAGCAGTCTACTGGGGGTTAGTTCCAGGGAATATTTTGCTTTTCTAATAAAGGGGATAGTCACAGCTGGCATGTTCCTTTGCCCCTATTTCCCTTTCTCCTTTCTTCCTCCCTTAAACACAGATATGACATCTGGAGCTGCAGCAATCATCTTGCAACCATGGGATGACAAGCATGGACAAAAGGCAACACCCTGATGATTGTAGAGCAGAAAGAGAGAAAGGAACTGGGCCCCCAGTGGCTTCTCTGAGCAGCTGAACTAATGCTAGCAATTGACTACCTCTGCCATGTGAGAATAGACCCCAGTAGGGTTTTCTGTTATAGAATGTCAGATCTAACTGATTCAGTGGTTCAGCACCATGGTCTCTTTCTTGCAAACATCCTTATCCATCTTCCCCTCCATCATGCCTGGGAGACAAAACACAAGTCTGGTTAAACCTAACCAACTGCTCTGTGTTTGCATCTGAGTAGCTAAATATAGCTGCAGTACATCTCACAATGGTGCTTAGGGGTCTGACTTTAATTTTATGACCCCAAATTTCAGGTGGGCACTAAACTCAGCTGATAAGTGCTATCACTTTTCTGTAGCAAAATCACTTTCTTATCCCTTGAGACGGCTATTTTAAACTTTCTCCTCTTTCTTCATACCTCCAGCACCCTTGTCTCCCCTTACTTTCAGCTGATGATCTCTCTTCATACTCGCTGAAAAAAATAAATGAAATCAGATGAGTGCCACCTCATTTTTTGTGTCAGAGTCTGCTAGTATCCCCAGTATTCCTCTCCCTCTTTCTTTGTAATAACACCTTTGATCTTTTTAGCTAGAAATATGGCTGTCTCATGTAAAGACCATATTTTCCAGCTTCCTTTGCAGTTGATTATAGCTATATGGCCAAGTACTGGCTAATGAAATGTAAGGGGGAGTATTATGAGTAGCTTTCAGGAAATGTTCTAAAAACATAGAACTGGCTTGTGCCCTTTGATCGTTTTCTTCTCCCTCCTCTCTTTTGCTATGTGGGATGAGTCTATGATGCTGGAACTCTATCTAGCAGCCATCTTAGACCAGGAAGGGTAGGTCCACATATTGGGATAGAAGAGTACTGAGCTAGGAGGCGTCTGCTCCTTAAGAATTTTATGACTTCCAAATCAACCCTGAACAACCTACCTCTGGACTTCAGGTACATGAGAGGACTAAATTCTGTCTTATTTAAACAATATTCTTCTAGTTTTTGGTCACATATAGACAAATGAATCCTAACTAAATGCATCAGTCTTTCTAGGTCAAGATGTATATTCTGTGCCTTCTCTCTAATCATAATGGAAGTGTCCCTTTCCTATTAAGGCCAGCCTCTTATTAAGGCCTTAGTTTCTACAGTTATTTCCTCTCATGAATCGTCAGTTTCTCACTCCTCAGTCATTTAGAGATCTTTGCATAACTAGCTCAGTTTCATCACTCTGGTCTTAGTCTAATTGTTGTCTCCTCAGAGAGGCTGTTCTTGACCACCATATCTAAGGTAGTTTCCTCTTATTCTCTATCCCATTATCCTAGTGTATTTTATTTAGAGCATTTAGGGCAATCTGAAATTAATTTTATATCTGTTTATGTGCTTATTGTCTGATTCCTCACATACCTTCAAGAAAGTAAGATCCACATGGGCAGGGACTTCGTCTGTCCTGTTTCTAAAACCTACTAGGCTCTCAAGAAATGTTTGAATGAATGAATGAATTCTGTTAAAGAAAGAGAGATAGAGGTTGGAGGAGACCTCCCAGAGTAATTTGGGCCTGACTGAAGTTCAAGTTTGAATAAAAGTGTGACCAGAAGACACTGAAGAGGGAAGAGGAAGACATTCGCAGAAGAGGGAACAGCATGCTCACTTGCAGAGGTGGAGAGAGCGTGTTGTATGTGGTCATTGGTCATTCAGCATGAAAAGTCCTCAGAGCTGTTAGGAAGGAATGGCAGGAGGCGGAGCTGGAAGGAATGGGTCAGATTACGCCACCCTAAGGGAAACTGGTGGAGGATTTTAAAGGTGAGAGACGTATTGGATTCAGTGATTAGAGGCAGGCCATCATGCAGAAGATGGATTGGAAGCAAAGAGACCCATCTGAGGGACCATTAAGGAGGTCTGTGTAATAATCAGTGAAGCATGGACCAAGCAGTGCCTGTGGGGACTAGAGAGGGTAAAGAATCTGATAGGATGATAGGAAGTTGAATCAAGAGTCCATCACCTAACATTTCTTTATAATGTGGCAGTATGTTGTGATGAAATGAGGCTTTGGATTCAGAGATGTAAATCAAATCCTGTCTCCTCAATTCCAGATTGTGTGACCTTGAGAAGTCACTTAACCAATTATCCTCACTGGCAAAGTAGTGACAATATCATATACTTCCTCTTGTTATTTTTAGGACTCAAATCAGTTGACTGTGACCACACTCACCTGTTCTGGTGCTTGGCACAAAATGGGACCTGAATAAATGTTAGCTCTCTCCCCTAACCCTTCTCTTATTCTCCAATTCAACTCCTGTAGGAATGAGAAAACGGATTGGCCACATCTGAATAGAAGTAGGTAAGCCTTTAGGTTTTGTGAACCTGAGGCAGTTAGGCAGCAGCTGGGCTGTTTAGGAGCAGCATGGAGTTAAGTGATGCTGTGATTGTGGAGGGCTTCTACTTTGTTGATCCTTCTAGCCCTAACAGGGAGATAAGAGGGGAGGTAATAGAGCATAGAATGTTAGAGCTGAATTAATAATAAAATAATGAACAATTACATTTTAATTACCTCTTAATTTTAGTTGACATTTTATTAAGAAAATGTATTTTTGAATAGACGCAAAAATCCATATAGCCATCTCCCAGCTTTAGCAGTTAACATAATTTTTCCATTCTAATTTCATCTATTCCCTCTACTATTTTTGGCAAAGTCTTTGAAAGCAAATCCCAGACATCATATCATTTCACTTTATCGTATATTATTTGGTAAAGATTTTTTAAAATAACCATTATCACCTGTAACTAGTGAGAATAGACCCCAGTAGCATTTTCTGTTATATAATCTCAAATCTCTTCTGATTCAATGGTTCAGCACCATAGTCTTTCTCTTGCAAACATCCTTGTCCATCTTTCCCTCCATCATGCCGAAAACTTAACAACAATTCACTAATATTGTATAATTCCCAGTCCATGCGCAATTTTCCCCAATTGTCTTTAAATTGTCATTCTACTATTGTTTGCATGAAACAGGATGCAAACAAGGTCCACACATTATAATTGTATTTCATTTTACCTAAACAGTTTCCCTCGTTTAAAAAATGTCATTTAAAGATTTCTTGAGTAATACCCTACAAGCACAGGCAAACAAAGCAAAAATGGACAAATGGGATCACATCAAGTTAAAAAGCTTCTGCACAGCAAAAAGAAACCATCAACAAAGAGACAACCCACAGAATGGGAGAAAATATTTGCAAACTACCCATCTGACAAGGGATTAATAACCAGAATATATTAGGAGCTCAAGCTACTCTAGGAAAAAAAAATTCTAATAATCTGTTTTTAAAATGGGCAAAAGAGGCTGGGCACAGTGGCTCACACCTGTTATCCCAGCACTTTGGGAGGCCGAGGCGGGTGGATCTTCTGAGGTCAGGAGTTCCAGACCAGCCTGGCTAATATGGTGAAACCCCGTCTCTACTAAAAATACAAAAATTAGCCAGGTGTGGTGTCGTAGCCTGTAATCCCAGCTACTTGGGAGGCTGAGGCAGGAGAATTGCTTGAACCCAGGAGGCGGAGGTTGCAGTAAGCCGATATCACATCACTTGCACTCTCAGCCTGGGTGACAGAGCAAGACTCGGTCTAAAAAAAAAAAAAGATCTGAATTGGCATTTCTCAAAATAAGACATACAAATGACAAACAGGTGGCTTAACATCACTGATCATCAGAGAAAGGCAAATCAAAACTACAATGAGATATCATCTGACCCACTAAAATGACTTTTATCTAAAGACAGGCAATAACAAATGCTGGCAAGTATGTGGAGAAAACAGAAACCTCCTACACAGTTGGTAGGAATGTAAATTAATACAACCACTATGGAGAACGGTTTGGAAGTTCCTCAGAAAACTAAAAATAGGCCAGGTGTGGTGTCTTACTCCTGTAATTCCAGCACGTTGGGAGGCCGAGGTGGGCAGATCATTTGAGGCCAGGAGTTCAAGACCAGCCTGGCCAACATGATGAAACCCGTTTCTACTAAAAATTACAAAAATTAGCTGGGTGTGTTGGTGCATGCCTGTAATCTCAGCTACTTGGGAGGCTGAGGCACAAGAATCACATGAACCCGGGAGGCAGAGGTTGCAGTGAGCAGAGATTGTGCCACTGTGCTCCAGCCTGGGTGACAGAGCAATAATCTGTCTGAACAACAACAACAACAACTAAAAATAAAGCTACCATATGATCCAGCAATCCCATTTCCGAAAGAAAGGAAATCAGTGTATCAAAGAGGTAGCTGCACTCCCATGTTTATTGTAGCACTATTCCCAATAGCCAAGATTTAGAAGCAACCTAAGTGTCCATCAACAGATGAATAAAGAAAATGTGGCACTTACACACAATGGAATATATTCAGCCAAAAAAAAAAAAAAACAATGAGATCCTGTCATTTGCAACAACATGGATAGAACTGGAGATCATTATGTTAAGTGAAATAAGCCAGGCATAGAAGGGCAGGATTCACATGTTCTCACTTATTTGTGGAAGCTAAAAATTAAAACAATTGAATTCACTGAGATAGAGAGTAGAAGGATGGTTACCAGAGGCTGGGAAGGGTAGTGCGGGGCTTGGGGAGAAGGGGGGATAGTTAATGAGCACAAAAATATAGTTAAATAGAATGAATAAGATCTAGTATATCACAACAAGGTGACGCTGGCTGGTCACTCTGTTATACTCAACAATAATTTATTGTACATTTAAAAATAAAAGTGTATAACTGGATTGTTTGTAATACAAAGAAAGGATAAATGCTTGAGGTGATGGATATCCCATTTCCCCTGATGTGATGTAATTATTACTCATTATATGCTTGTATGAAAATAGCTCATATACCTCATAAATATATATACCTACTAGGTATCCACAAAAATTAAAAATAAAAAAATTTTAATGTCAATTATTTGTTGAAGAAACCAGGTCATTTGTCATATAGGTTCTTCCCACAGTCTGGATTTATCTGATTGCAATCCCATGATGCCATTTTACATGTTCCTGTCTCCCTAGTAGCTCTTCTAAACTGTTAGTTTTATCTGGAAGCTTGATTGTATTCAGATTCTGTCTTTTTGGCAGGACTACTTCATATTTTACAATGGTGCTGTACCCAGTGCCTGTGTACTTTCTTTTATAGCATATCAAGACGCAATTTCTTTTTTTGTCTTTTAATAATATTAAGACTGATAAATGACTCCAAGGATTTTCAGCTGAATTTGTCTTTTATAAAATTCTCTACAACCTTTCACTTAATGATATTAGCAACCATTGATGTTTACTTTAATACGTTATTTCATTAGGAATTACAAAGTAGTGATTTTTATATTTCTATCATTCCTTTGCATTTTTTTAGCCTCTATGAGGAAGTTTTCCTTAGCAACTCTTTGGTGACTCTGAAAACCAGTTTTAATTACTTACTTTTGCTTAATTCTTTTATTTATCAATTTTTAGGTTAATTTATCAATTTTATCAACTAGGTTTTTGAGGGGAAGGGAGTATTATTAAGAACTCATGGATTTTTATATGTTTGAAGTGTTTCAATCCACAGTAATCATTATTTTGGGGCCAGTGGGAGCCTCTTTCACATTGGCTCCAGAATAGTACTTTATAATTTACAAGATACTTACCATACATTAGTCATTTGAACTTCACAAACAACCCTATGAAGCTAAGGGTTACTACCCAGTTTTACAAATGAGAAATCTAGATCATACAGCTCAAATCAGGACTTGACGTCTATTGTTCTTCATATTACCTAAGACAGTGGTTGAGAGAATGAGTGTTAAAAGTGACTAAATTCTTTGTATTTTTCTTTTCTCTGCATTTGAGACTAAACAGCAGCTGTCTTTAACCAGTGGGAATATGATATTAAGCAATATCCACTTTAGAAGACACTACTTGCAGGAAACACTGTCGATAATACTGTAACTTAGTAAATAGCCTCTCTCAACTTTGTTTGTGAAGCATTTCAATTTTGATTACTCTGTGTGGGATCTACTGCTCAGATGTGTGTCATTTTATGGTCTACCCATGTCTGGGGAGCTGGCATTACACACTGCCTAGTGTTTTTAATTCAGAAGTTGTTCTAAAAGAAACCTTAGCCTCCTATATTCCAACCCTAGTTTTAATAGCATAAGCTATTTCCTTCTTATATAGCTTTGTGGGCATAATAATGAAATAAATACCACAGAATCACTGATGAGATGAAAATTGAGCTCCCTGCTTCTGTGCAGCCATGTAGGTAAAACAGTAATTGGCTCTGATAATAACTTTTGTTCTTACAAACCAGAGTCTAAATGAGAGTCACATTTGATATATCTGCTTGTAATTACCATCAAAAGGAAAGAATACAAAGTTTAGATTGTCTAGTGACTCAAGATGGATTACATAAATTGGTATCTTTTCTTGACCAATTTACTAAAAATTTCTGAAGTTATTTCTGATATTTATCTTACTGTTGGTAAAAAATGATCATCTTCCAGAGCATACTTTCCTGCTTAATGGAATGATTAATTTTATTTTTGTTTTTGAAGTCTGTAATTCATTTTCTTGAAAACCTTATTATTGAGTCTCATAATACAGCTATGCTTATAAGTATTTTCCCATACATCACTATAGATGGTTCGTAAGACAAATTTAGGTTTTGAATGTACTTGGTAGTGAATTTCAGTGAAACATTTGTTATGTTAAGTTTTTTTTTTTTTTTTTTTTTTTTTTGAAACCGAGTCTCATTCTGTTGCCCAGGCTAGAGTGCAGTGGCATGATCTCACCTCACTGCAACCTCCACCTCCTGGGTTCAAGCAATTCTCATGCCTCAGCCTCTCAAGTAGCTGGGACCACAGGCGCACGCTACTACACCTGGCTAATTTTTGTATTTTTAGTAGAGACGGGGTTTCACCATGTTGGCCAGGCTGGTCTCGAACTCCTGACCTCAAATGATCCACCCACCTCGGCCTCCCAAAGTGCTGGGATTACAGGAGTGAGCCACCATGCCTGTATGATTATGTGAATATTCTTTAAACATAGATTCCTTTTAAGTGTTTTTGAAAAGAGCAATTAAATCATGTGTGCTACATATTACTATTTTGGTATACACATGCATTGGGACCAAAATAGTAAATATGAGAATATTAATATTTTAAAATTATCTTTTAACCTCAAATGATTGCTTTCGAACCCAACAATAAAGAATTGATAGTACACCTATCATTTCTGTTGGATTTCTATTTACATACTGATTTCTTTTCAGAAATAACTATGTGTAGTGCTACAGAATTTAACAATAGGCAGAACACTACAGGATTTTAAGGCCAGTTTTAACAGTGATTCTGTATTTGGCCATTTCCTCCCTACACCAGACCTATAACCACACAAACTTGATGGAGCATGATAAAACTAAGAAAACTGCTATGAGCCAATAATCCCATAATTAAAATGTTCTAACAAAGCTTAGACGTGATAGATGAAGCTATTACCATCAATTCTGTATCCAGAATACACACATTTTAAAAACACCCTAATTACAGAAACCCACATCCAGTCAATACAATACATATTAGCAATTTCCCAATCCTTGGTAGAATAGAAATTATTCTGAAAGTTTAAGAAGGAAAAAATTATGTTCAGGTATTAATTTCAATAGAAGAGGCAATCTGCTTCCATGCAAAAACCCTGGAGTAGTGCTGTGAGTGTTACCCACAGAAGAAAAGCCATTTATAATTAGGTACGACATTACTTTTGTGACCACGTGTACCTCAAGGAGAAGGAAATAGACATGCCTTGTTTGCATCCTGTATCCTTGCCCAGATTAAATAAAGTGGACAGTTGAGGGCAGTTATTTGGAGATTTGGTTTAAGAAATGCTATTGGTCGACTACAGTGGCTCATGCCTGTAATCCCAGCACTTTGGGAGGCTAAGGCAGGTGGATCACGAGGTCAGGAGTTCGAGACCAGCCTGACCAACATGGTGAAACCCTGTCTCTACTAAAAATACAAAAATTAGCCGGGTGTGGTAGTGCACACCTGTAATCCCAGCTACTCAGGAGGCTGAGGCAGGAGAATCACTTGAACCTGGGAGGCGGAGGTTTCAGTGAACCGAGATTGTGTCACTGCACTCCAGCCTGGGTGACAGAGCGAGACTCCGTCTCAAAACAACAACAACAACAACAACAAAAAACCATGCTATTAAAAAGTAAAAGGAAGATTTGGGATATCTGTTAAAGACCTTACCTAAACGTATCTATGCTTATCTAGCATACATTCTGTAGATATTTTTGTAGCCTTCTTCACTTTGACCTTAGGCACAGACCCTTTATAAATGCTTATGTCAAAGAAATAGATGGATCATGAACAAATCTGTCCAATTCCTACAACATTTTAACAACTGCATCAGATCACCCTCAAAACTAAGACACTTAATTGAAAGGAAAACAGTTAGGTTGCTCACAATACTTCTAACCTCCTTTTTAAAAAGTTGCGAAGCCTACATATTTTGACTCCATTTTTATGAAATGTCCAGAATAGATACATCAGGAGAGACAGAAAGTAGATTACTGGTTGCCTGGAACTAGTGGGAAGAGGGAATGGGGAGCAATTGCTAATGGGTATGAGGTCTCATTTTCGGGGGATGCACATGTTCTGGAATTAGATAGTGGTGATGGTTGTGAATATACTGAAAACCACTGAATTGTACACTTTAAAGGGGTGAATTTTATGGTATATGCATTATATTACAATTTTTAAAATCACAAAAGACTAGAAATTATTAGTAATACCATATTCCCTACGTGCCAAATTATTTTTTAGCCTCAAATCATAGAATCCCAAAGCTTGGGCATGGTTCCTCAAGAGACCATTAAGTCTAACATGCATTTTGTGAATAGAGAAACTGACTTCCATAGAGGTGAAGTGACTTACCCAAGGTCACACACAGCAGTCGAGAGGAGAGCTGGCACCTAGGTGTCCTGACAACTATCTAGTGCCCCTTGCCACCACCACTATGTGGCCCACTCTCATGGTTTATCAAGCATGTCAACAATAACTAATTTGAATTATTTAAAATGAGGAATAAGTGGTTCAGACAAGAGGCTTTTATTTTTTTCTAATGAAAGCATAAATTATTCTTACAGATAAGAGAATCTCTGTGAAGGAGTAGATAAATTTGTTGTGGTAAATTTACCAGGCCCAAACTGAGATTTACCTGTAAATGTCCCTAGAGGAAAGTGGCCACATTAACAGACCAAGGGAGCCCTCTACCTGTGTATTTGTAGTATAGATTTCATTGACAAAATCCTTGACCTGGAAAGCTAAAAAGAAATTAAGACCAGGTATTCTATCTAGTCCTTTGCCCACCTTGGTTGGCTTCCAGCATTATTTTTAAGAAAATGTGTCTGAGGATGTATTTGTGGGAGCAATGGGATACACGGAGGAAAATCTACACAAAGTTCCTTTTCTGTGAATAAAAGGGACTGATTAGCAGCCTAAATAAAAGATCCAAATATATTTTTTTCCAGTGAGAATTTCATTAAAATAATTATTTCCAAAGAACTTTAAACTCCTTTGAGGATATAAAATGTTAGTAAGCATTTTTGTTCATCCAGCATGAAAGTTTCATTGTTTCTTTGTTTCAGCGAAAGATAGGGTTGAATGTAAAAATCTTGCAGGATCCTGAAAACATCCACCACAGAGCTGCTGTAAATGCGAACTATGGAATCAGTTTGCCATATATTAATCAGAGAAAAGCATGTGTAAGTAATGAGTTGTTTTAATGAGCTCTTATTTTTTTAAGAAATAAAAGTCATTTATTAGTAGTGTAAGATGTAATGTAGATGTTAAGTAAAGATTGTGATCCTTTTGTCTTTGGAATTTTTTGGAGATGAAATGGCTCTCATTCTGTTTATAATTAGCAATGATTAAGAAAATGTAAGCCTGTTTTTGAAGACTTATTTGTAGCTCATTCAGATTTCTCTATTTTATTTGATATTCCTAAATAATCTAGTACCATAATTTTAACGAGGAAATAATTTACCAGCAAAAAGAATTAATAGAGAAATTTTAAATATTGTATTTCTTTGATAGTAGGCTTACCACTAGAAAAATCCAAATAAAACAACAGCACAGAATCCTCTTCCATTGTGTATACTGTCATAATATGCAAATATTTGAGAATATTATTCTAAATCTGAGGCAAGCAGGGACTAAGCCTTTATGTCAGCAAAATAGTGAGAGGGAAAAATAGTCAAATGTAGATCTGCAGTAAGAGATCTCAGAGTCAATGCCATTTTTGCCATTGACTAGATGCTACCTTGTCCTAAAGCAAGGATTGTACTCTATGTTGTGGAGTTTTCTTAGGAGAATTAAGAGTAGTGCTTCATTTTAGCTGGGAAATTATTTAATTTGAGATCATTTCTAACACTGAAAACAATTACTGAGGTAACATCTCTATTTTTTTAAATACATTTTTAACCTTTGGCTTCTTTCAAAAGCTCTTAAATGTATGCCTTGGTGAAATCAAAACTAAAAACAAGATTAATGTTAGGATTAAATTGCAAAGCCATTTCTAACTAGCATAATAGTCTCTTAGGTTAATCTTCCAAATTTCCTACACAGACATTTTCAACTGCCTACTTCATTCGTGTAACCCTGAAATATATTTTCAGTTTCTTTATATGTGCTTTATGTTATTCTAACAGGTTTGGTTTAAGAGCACTTTATCTTACAAATACTTCTATAGCCTAAGAAATAACCAGAAAGTTAGATATTTTTATTCCTGCTGAAACTTTATTTAAAATGTCACTGTGAATAATGTGAAAGGGTTTTTATCTGCTTCCCATGAGCCCAAAGCCCCTGAAATACAAATATTATTTCTCTGGCAACACAGACAGAAGCAGATTTCTCTTTTGTTGTTGGTTTTCCTCTTCCATCTAGAATTAATATTGGCTTAGCTGGAGGAGTACTGAGGCTTTGTAGCCCGAGGCAACTGCTGTGTTTCATGTGAACTTTTTCTGATGAGTACTGGAGTTTTAAAAGGCATACCTCTAGATTTAAAAAGGATTATGCTTTGCTTTATGAATCTGAATGAAGATTCAGACTTAAGCAAATAGAGATTTCAAAATTATATCCAAAACTTGGGGCAGATTCTTAGTCATTAATTGTGTATTTTTCCAATTTCCAAATAGAATGAGTGCCTTGGATGTTGTATCTACATACTTTGAGCAAAGAGAATTTGGGAAAGCACTTCCCTTTTATGACATATAGCTAATAGATATTCATTTACTGTATTAAATCTCCTTTTTCCATCAAACTTGATGCCATAAAAATCTACACCAGAGCAATTTAAAATTGGATATACATTGTGTATATTTTTTTCAAACTGTTGGCCTTTTGATCAAATAGTTAGTTGACCCTATCATTTTATGTTGATATAGTTGTATGGTAATACTAACTGAAAAACAGTATTTTCATTTTGGATTTATAAAACAGAAGCATTGTGCAAAAAGTACTGTGAGAGAAGTGTGTTCAGGTATTTGGTTTTAAACAGTCATATAAAGCATTTGGGGATAAATGCAGTTGTGATTTACCACTTATAAAAATCATTTCAAAAGCACTTACCCAAACTAGAGTAATGTGTCTAGCATTGGGATGTATAGTTAATTAGAAAGGCATCATCAAAGCTAATCATTTTAGAACTAAACACTCAAACGGGATTATTATTTGGCTGCCGAGGGCCATGTGTTTCGTTACTTCTTATGAAACTTGATCAGCTTGTCAAAAGCTTGTAAATAACCTTAGACATTTTTGACAGAGCAAATGTGAATATGTAGCCAATTTCCATTATTTGTTCCTAGAAGCTGGTATCTTCTCCATCTTATGAAGTGGTGTATTCCTCCTGATAATAAGAGGCTGATGCCAGGATTTTAGTGCATTGAAAACACATATACCCCCTGCCACACACACATACTCATATTGCAAAACTATCTTCAGAATTTTATATCCTGTGACTCTGTTATGTAAAATCAATTTACCAAAAACATATTAAAAGTGAGACTCACTGGTGATTTTTTCAATATCTTCAATCTGCCAAATAGTAACAAACAACCTTCTAACATTTTTTCTAGTAGGTCCTCAAAGGTATGTGGAAACAAGAAGAAATCCCTGGTACTGTTCATGTTCCCTCACTGACATCCAGTTCCAGTTAGACTTTATAATACAACACATTAAGAAATCTACAGAAAATTTGACTTTGATTTATTCCTTTTAAATAAAAAGTGTTTCTTAAAAGGCTTGAAACATGTATCTGTTAACATGAATTTTAAAAGAACAATTATGAATGCATAACAAAATAGCCAAACCAAACATTGCTTTGAATTGCTGCACAAATAACTGATTATAACTGTTATGACCTAGAAAAAAATCATAAAAACATTTTTCTTTTTGGCAAGATGTGAGTTGCTGTAGAATTATACCAGTTCTTTGGTTCTACTTTCCAAATAAATATATATATAATGCAATGTAAACTTAGAATCTTTTATTTATTCATGAGGTTGAATTTAATACTATTATGATTTCTAGATTTTATGAGTCATATGTTATGCAGTGTTTTCCACTAACTTAGTTGGGTAGCAACCACACTTCACAAATCATAGTTTCATTCTTTACTGTTTCACTTGGGGTGTACATAGTAATCTCTCTCTCACTGAAAGCATATTCATTTCTGAAATGATAAAGTAATAGAAAGTGAGGCAATTGTGTTAATGTCAAATGATTAGAAGAAGCACTAGAAGTAAGGGGTGGGGTGGGGGTGGGGGTAGGGAGTGGGAGTGGAGAAAGAAGGGCGATTTCAAAACATGATTGTGTTTTAAGCCCATGCATATGGCCACAATTACAGTCACAACATAATTTGGCAACGGTAGCAGAATTAGATTTAAACAAATTGATGTTACACTGCAGTAATTCAGAATGAGCTTGTTGCATTTATAAACCATAACAAGAAGCAGAGTGAATTAATAAACCTTTCTTGTCACTAAAAATAAAAAAAGGGAATAATTGCTGAGATGGAGTTAACTTAACAGATGACTGTAGTCAGCATCCTTTCAGGCTAGATATGGGAAAGTGAAGGTCACCCCCATCTCAGATGACAAAGAGGGAACATTTTGTTGGTAAACAAATTAATCTTTTGAAAGGTCGCCATTTGTTTTAAGTTTTTATCCAGTTCTTGTCATCTGGAATCAGAGATTGACTGTCATTTCACCAGGTAGGGGTGCAGTTGAGGCAGACAAAGCTGCTTCTGTACGTATCAGCATTCCTTGACAAAACTCAGTGCCTGATTGTGATGCTATGGGCTGCTGGTTTACAGCTGTCTCCGGACAAGAATGGAGGCCCACCCTTGAATTCCAATAAGATGGGCCTGCATATTCCGCCTGCTGTAAGCTGGCCCTCTGCCCACAAGTAAAATGTATTGTAGTTCAAGCCAGCAATTATCTCTTTTACTTCCTTCTGTGCTGCTTCTGTTCTCTTTTTCCAAAAACAGATGTGGGTATTCACTCAAGTTCTGCATCTATTCTTTCTCACACCTGCTGGGGCAGAATTTTGACAGAGGTAGAGTTTGAGGGAGCCAGCAGACAACAATCAGATGCAATTTCTTTGAGAGCAGTTTAAAAAGAAAATGTTGATTTTTCAGGAAATGTGGAGTCAGCATCTTGGTCCCCCTCCCTTTTCCCAGGAGCATTTGGTAAATTAAATTAGTTGAACAAAAGGAAATAGCTTTAAAGACATTCTGAAATGCCATATCCTATTTATGACACAAAGTCATCACCCAAGGACTGTGGTGGCATGCACAACATCCCACTCCTATCATTTAAAGTGAGCTTTCTCTTCAGGTTGCTTAGAAAGAGTTTTTGACAAAGGAGTGACTTTTCATGTCCTTCCTGATTCACAGCCTATAAAATATATTCCACTAATATGGCAGTGAAGGTGGTGGTGGTGGTGGTGGAGGTGGTAGTGTATTGCCTTTGTATGTTGTTGCTATTCAGAATGTCAATTCTGCATTGGTTTGGAATAATGGGAAAGCTGAGGAAAGTGATGGAATGTTGGCTGGTGGATGGCTGTCTCACTAAAGCCCATTGCTCTGGGAGCAGGGAGAGGCAATGAGAGGCTATAGCCTTGTCAGATAACATTCATAAAAAAAAATCTAGCTGTAGTGAGTTCTTTTAATTTATTTATAGTGGTATGTTTCTTGAGCTTCTCTGCCATGATCCTGTATGCATTCCCAAACCAACCCTATGCTGAACTGAAACCACTTTTTAGCTCTTAGAATAGTGATTCTGGGTCAGACTGCCTGGTGTGAATCCTTACTAGACCGGGATCTCCCAGAAACAGTCTCCCTTTCCTCATGTAAAATGTCCACAATAAAAGTATCTATCTCATAGGATTGTATTGAGTTTTTAATGAGATAATTCAAAGCACTTAACAAAGGTCCTGGTACAAAGAAGTGTTCTGAAAAATATTAGTTATTACTATTGGCAAGTCTCATATATTGTATTGTGCCATTGTTTTATACTGTCATTTAAAACATATTATTGTAGGGGTCCAGGGAGGGAACCAGAATATTGCTGAGGTCTCCTCCAGGGATGCTATTTAATATTTTACATGATTATGCTTTCTTTCCCACACAGATATGAGGACAGGGACCTTGTTGTCTGTTCTGTTTGTCTGTTTTTCAAATCCTCCCCTGCACCAAGCAGTGTTTTACACATATTAGGTATTAAGGACAGGACTGATTTGTCCCCTCCTCTGTCTAGTCTCTGCTCTGAAGCTATATAGACTGATGTTGAGTTTTGAAGTGAAGTAATGATTTTGCTGGCTCCTAGTAGGCCTAGTTGCACAGGATACCCTCTCCATGGGCCATCTGATAGGATTTACCTAGTGAAATGCTGGTACTACTGGATTCCTGTTGCAGCCTTGCCACTAACTAACTAGTGTTTCCAAGAGCAGGTTACTCTGTCTCACTCATTCTCATTTTTCTGTTTTATGAATGGGGGAAGCAAGATGGAGAGGCAATCTGGTGTGCTGGGAGGGGCTTGGAGCTGAGTAGATCAAAGTTTGGGTCCTATCTGCTATTTTGCAGTTACTGAACCCTAGGTAAGCAAATTACATTTCAGATCCGGTGTTCCCTCTTTTGTCAAGTCAAGATAATGATGCCTACTAGATAAGGGTGCTATGGAGAATACAGATAATATATTAACATTGCTGGCACATAATGGGTACCTAATAAGGTTCTTACCTTCCTGAAAAATGAATTAGTGTTAAAAATCTCTCATTTCCTTCTTCACACTTATGCTTTTAGAAAAGAATCTGATTTGGCTCCTTTTACATCCTAGTGTAAGTGAGTAATAGGATTTAATGTTCATTTTCAAATTGGAGAACTCCAGTGAGTTTCAGAGGGGTTCTAAGCATTTAATTTGCATTTGATTTTTAATGATAAATATTTAAGCATTTTAAGTATAATAAAGAAGAATACCTACATATTTCAATTGATGCCAAATTTTAATGCATTTGATCATTTGATCGTCAGTGGGTTAATTTGTGCTTTCAGGCTTACTCTGAGTGTGTGTGTGTACATTTGAATTTCCCATAAAGGTGTTTTTTATTAGATAGGGTGTAGCTTTGTACTAGTCATATTTTGAAATTCAGATCTGCTCATATACACTCCTGTAATAATCATACAAATAAATAAGCAAAGATTAAATAAGCTAATATGTGTGAAGGTCATAAAGCAGTGCCTGACTCCTCGTAATCATTCAAGAAACATTAATTGGTATTAGTATTAGAACACATGTGTGCTACTATCAATTAAAAGCCAGGAAAGTTCTCTGGTGCATACTTTTGGCACAGCATAATAGTCAAGTATACAATTACAATAATATAGCCATATCATGATAGTGTAGCATCACAGATTGTTTCACTGCTTGATTTAAGTTTGGGTTGGTTCTTACATGATTTGAAATGAGCTATACAATCTTTGACAGTGCAAGGTTGCAATGTTATTCTGTTTACAACTGCAGATAAAAGTCAACAATGAAGCATAATGTCAAAATTTGGACTCAACATGCAAAACAAAATTAGATTTTTTTGAAACTCAGTGACTGTCTGAAAGAGAAGGGTGGCGAGATATCTGAAAAGAAATTTAAATGGGATGTGATAGAACATCCTAAAATGTTACATGACACATTTGAAAAATATTTTTGGTAATTTAGCTCTTCAATTGTAGTAGCATTTATTAAGTTTGCCAGACACAGTGTTTTATGTACACTATCTTATTTAACCCTTACACCTCTAAGTAGGTGCCATTTTTATAATCATTTTATAGATAAGGAAACTGAGACTAAGATTAAGCTACTTGCCTGAGGTTGTGTGGTAAGCAAGGGGAGTCAGGATTCAAATTAATTATGAAATCTATTTGTCAAATATCCCCCAATTGACTACTTACCAACTAATCCTTAATTATTAAGGAATGTAAGCAGTTGGTAGATATTGTTAGTCATTCTATTTTGAAACAAAAAATTTCTACTATTTTAAAGTTTCTGGATCATTTTAATTGAACTAAATTCTGAGATTATAACTACCATAACAAATTGTTAGCTATTTGAAATTACTTATTTGTTAACATCTGGATTTTCTACATCTTGTGCAGGCAAAATAAAATATATAAACAAATTGTATTCTGTGATAGATGTAAGACTGCAGTTATTTATAACTCTTGATTTCATAATTTGTCTTCATCAAAACAGCCTTATTGTTTCCAGTGTTGGTTTATATTGCTATAACCAGAAATATATAATATAAATACATATATAGTAAATATATAATATAAATATTTATATAATATATAATGTAAGCACATACTATATTTAAGTAACAATTATATACATATAGGTACATAATACTATATGCAATTGTTACTTATATATGTTTTGACATACACAATTATACTAAATTCTTATAAAATTTGCATTTACTTATTTATCAGCATCTATTTAAGGTTGCATTTGAAAAACTTGTTCTACTGCTGAAAATAAATTTGCAAATCTTTGGCATCAAGTATTACCTCTCCCATGGGTATTTATTTTTTAACAAGAGCAAATCCGCTACTTAATTAAAACAAAGGAGTTAGGCTCTATTAAGGGATTTCAAGCATGAGTGGACAGAGAGAAGAGGGATTTGGGGGAATCCAGGAAGAGAGCCTTTGCACTGCTCTGAAATCATTCCAGGTCAGCAGCCACCTGCTAACAGGACTAGGCCTGCTCCCCTATGATATACTTTTACTTTGTGCCTTTTCACTTTATGACTTGGGCCTTGAACTTGAGTATTTGTTTGATTACATACTGAGAGATAGTGTTTCTAACCTCAAAATTAATTCCACTTTGAAAAGCCAAATTTAGGTAGGCACAGAGACCTGTGTCACATCTATGGTAGGTTTAGGGTACAGGGGTCCATGGGTAGAACTGTATTTCAATAGACAGAGGGAACTGTGTCACACCTATGATAGGTTTAGGGTACAGGGGTCTATGGGTAGAACTGTATTTCAGTATAATAGGTTCCCATGTATTTTATTTAATCCATTTATAAAACATTATTCTGAGAAGGGGTCTGTAGGCTTCACCAGATTGCCAAAGGGGTTCACGACGTCCCAAAAGTTAGAGCCGTGATAGATCTTTTCTTTCACGCAAAAATCCAGTGTGGGACAAAGTATGCATCAGAACAGAGAAATATCCTAAAAACCCTGTATTCTTTATGGGTGAAATATCCACTTCTCTTAGTTGATGGTGCCAAAAATCTATGGAAAAGTGGATACGTCTAGACTACCAGCCCAGATTTTTATAAGAATTACATCTTCTTGAGTTAAAATATAAAATTTATGCTTTTGCCTAATTACTGTTGCTTTTCTGTTGCAAGGAGGAAAATAGAGCAGCTACGAAAGTGGTAATGCTTGCAATAATATAGTAAGTGTTCTGTTTAAAATGAAGCAAAGGAAAAATACTTCAGCAAGTAGTGTGATAGCATTAGCCACAAGAGAAATGGGACTAATAGGATTGTTTTTATCATGGTCCAGGTTAATTATCTACTGAGAGGTTCTTGAGATGAATAAATACTATTGCTGTGTTCTCCAGTATTCTAACCCATTGTACCTTAAACTGTACTTGAATTCAAGTATACATTCCTAGACTTTTAAAACCTCCTTGGTAGAATAGAAGTAAGTACCCATAGACTAGAGTGATTCGCCCTACATTTTCTTTAAAAGCATTGCCTCTGAATTATACTACAGAATGTGTAAAGTAAACCCAGAAGATACTTACTTAGAGGAGATTCCTCTCATTAGGCCATAAAGTTTGGGCAATATGACCTGAAAATACCAGATTTATATAATTGATTATTTATATTAAAAGATTATATAATCTTCACAATAGCCTGAAAAATAAATCAGTTTATGGTTGGCAACTAAGAGGTCTGAAAACAGCCATGCATGCTTTAGTAGAAAGAGCCGTAGATGGAGAATCAGAGGACTTGGGTTTTCAATCCTGCTCTCAATTCTGGTGCTGTAAACCAAGTTAACATAGGTATACCACTTAGTCTCTAAAGACAAATTCTTTATCTACATACTGAAAAGATAAATTGGCTACTTCAGAATCATCGTCAGGGCCACAGTCCTGGTTATGTGACTCCCAGATTAATGCTCATTTGGTTCCTTGTGGAACCACTAGTCTCTCAAGGATCAATGTAATTGATGGATGGAGGCAAGCCTTAAGATAGGCCTTAGAGGAACTGATGGGCAAGACTAAAGGAGAGGTGTTGTGCATTTTAAGTACCAGAAGCAATACAAGCAAAGGCAGAGGTAGAGAATAGTGAGAGTAACAGAGGATGGCTTAGAGCTTTGCCTAATCAAGTTGTAGAAACCAAAAGATGTGGTTGGCTGTGGAGGCCAGTTGATGGATGGCCTTGAATGGGCCACTGAAATCCAACTGTGTGATTTTCAGTCAGGATCATAGAAGGCAGGGCTTAATGCAGACAGCTTCTGAAATTAGATCACTTCTCCAGCTGCTTTAACTGAAGGGCAACTTTAGAATTCTTTAGAATGATCTCTATCCCTTGATGTCCTCATTAGTTATTAAACTTTATTTCCTCTCCCTTTGGCTATAAAGCAATAGTACTTTTTTGAATAACATTATCTCCTGAACTTGTTAGATGATCATAAAACTGCCTAAGTAGAGTTCTGCAGGCAGCACCTTCCCCTGACCATTTACATACAACTCTCTGTCCCTTTCATATAAATGGCCACTCAGAACTGGCCAATCTAACTGGATGGCTGGGATTTCCTCTCAGTCGCTCTTACTTTCTGTCCTAATGCTGTATGCCCCACTACTACTTACAATTCTGCCTGTAACCTCATCCCTGATCCCTACTTCTCACCCCTCTCTCCAACATTAGATAAAAGCAGGACTTGTTGGGCAAGAGAAGTGGTGGCAAGAGAAAAGGATAGAGAGTAGGAATGGTTGATTCCTCACACTTTCTGACCCCCATCCCCCACCCAACTCTCCTATTGCCACTTCCCAGCCTCAGCACTGGACAGTATGAGCCTCCTCTCCCACTCTCACCCTCTCCCCAACTCCCTTGTCTTCCCAATCTAATAATGCACAGAAATGCCCAAGAGACTATCTTAATCCAAATGTTTTCTGAAAGATGGGTGTGTTTCCAAACTTATCATCTCTTTGTGCTAAATGAAAAAAAAAAAAAAAAAGGAAAAGTGGTGTTCATGGAACAGGCTTTTTACTTCCTGACATTTTTTTCTTTTATATAAGCAGTAAAAACCCTTAGAAAATGTCCAAATTGTTCTTATTTAAAATAGGAGTCACAACATAGTTGTATTGGGTCAGGCAGATAATAAGTTACTGAAATGACTGAGTGTAAAGGCTAGGTCCACATTACTGGAGTGCTGAACTGAGGACACAGGCCTTCCCTCCAGGAGGTAGCCACCTTAGCTCTAGCCTTTTGTGGCTGGGTTTCCAAAAGAAGCTGGAAAGTCATGCTTATATTTTTTGTGAAATCTAATTTTTAAATGTGTGATCAGATAATTTTCTTAAACCCTGTGTAGTTCGAAGAAAATATTCTTTAGGCTATTCCTGTCTTGCAAGTCAACAATTTAAATCCTCTGGTTCAGAAACAGGAAGAGGTATGGTTTTAGGTATGATAATATTGATGTCTTATAGGCAGCTGGCTGGCAACTTAGAGCCCATTAGTCTGCTAATACCTTAGTGAAGCCCAAGATCTAACCCTTGACTTTATAGGATTAGAGATTTGATTTTGTTAGAGTCAGTCAATCTCTTGGGTACAGCTGAACTCATAAGAGACTGATGTACAAACTGAAATGCCACTTTATGTATTCTGAGGAGAGCTATCATGGTCAAACAGACCTGAATGTTCAAATCAGCCTGATCTGATGAGCATATTTTCTCCTTATTAGAAAGCTACACAGAATCCAGTTAGAAGGCTGCTTAGTGAACAGGGAAACCGACTAAGGTAATTAGTTGGACAGTCTTCTTGGTGAGCAGCAGAATCACACTTTTATAGTCTGATGCACCCATATGTGAAGCTACATTTGCCAAAAGGATATGAATACATCCCTGTAAAGTGAGTGTTTTATGGATACTGAGAAATTCTGACTCTCCAATTCAACTTTTTATAATAAATATTAATAGCTACTATCTGCTTGGGGTTGACTATGTGCATTATGTTATATCACATTAATCCCCGTGGAATGAGTGATATTATCTCCATCTTACTGGTAACGAAACTTCAGTATAGAGAAATTAAGTTACTTTCTCCAGTCATTCAATTAGTAAGTGATAGAACTCAGAATCAGGCTCTATCTGATATTAGAGCCTGTGTTCTTAATCATTGCCTTCCTTTTTACTACTTTCCTGCTATGAAATACCACTCGCCTTCAGCTGATGTCTTATGTCTTTGATAACACCAATTAGACTACATTCCCTTTTTGAATCTTTTAAGTCAGCTTCTGCATGGATCTGTCCACATTGATCATGTATCTGTTTTTCTAGTTTAACACTCCCATTTGGGGTAAGGGGTGGCACATCTCCTTGTCACTAGTTTATACGTCCTATCTGAGTAATTATACTATCCAGAGGATGAGAGAAACCCTGCCTGGAACAAACAGAATGTATCAGGAGGAGAAAGAGAAAAATAAGGAGATTCCTTATCTCCTCATCTTCCCAAAGCCACCAGGAGTTACTTTTAGAGAAAAATAATTCTCCTTTCTCCTTGTGTAGCTGGTGAGAGGCCCAGATACGTCTAATGGTTGGGCTCAGATGTACTAATACGTTATATGAGCTTGCCTGGGGACCTAACCACTTTAAGATTGTTCCTAAGAAAACTCAATTTTCTGAGTTCCAAAATGCCCTTTTCCATTTCTCACTTAAGATGGGGCTGACCCTTATAGAAGATTATCAGGAGGAGTTGTATAGTGAAAACAGTGACCCAAGAGAGCAGTAGCATTGTCTTCTCCACTCATTTAAAAGTTTACTCCATATCTAATACTGGGTTAGTTTAACATAACCATAATTTTGGGCAGGAGGTTTTACTTTTTAAGATAAGGATTTTCAAACTGTAACCATTTTACTTGTGGAATTATGTCATCTAATTTATGGAATTAGCATTTAATCTAAACATTTACATCCCAGGGAAAGTACCTATCACCAACTTTCTACCATCTTGGGTTTAGTATTCCATTTATCCATAGTTTAAAGTGTAGATACTGGACTTTAATAGAAGGGAATATAAATTAAAATTTAGCTATAAAGCAATAGCTAACATTTCTGAGGGCTTCTCTGAGTTGGGCATGGTGTTAAGTACACTTTACATGGATCATCTCATGTAATCTTCACAGTAACCCTAAGAGGTAAGTACTATTCCTACTTTCATTTTACATTTGGGGAAACTGAGGCAAAAAAGCAGTTAAATAAAATTCACCCAAAGTCATACAAGCTAAAAGTCAAAGGATCATAATTCAAACTCAACCAGTCGGACTTTCAACGTAGCATTCTTTATCCTTTTCTATACTACCTTCCAGGTAGCTTTGAGGGTGGTGATTTTGACCTGCATTTGAGGGACAGATCTGGGCCCAGTCAAAGATTGCTTTCTTAATGACCAAGGAATTCAATGAGGAAATTTCTCTGCCCCAATCTGAGGCAGAAGTAAAAGATCAGAGTATTTAATAAAAGGCTGTGTTAACTCAAGGACTAGAACAAGAAGATGAGCTAGTACTTTTAAGATGAAAACTTCCCCAACTACGTTCATATCTCTAACTTCAGATGTAATGTCCAACCTTGTCAGAATGCCATATAAATTTGCATTTATTTGTGTGTGACTTTGAATAATACCTTGTTAAAGACCTGTATAATTGAGTGAGAACTATGTTAAGTTTTTCTTTTTCTTTTTTATTTTTATTTTTTTGAGATGGAGTCTCACTCTGTAGCCCAGGCTGGCGTGATCTCAGCTTGCTGCAACCTCCACCTCCTAGGTTCAAGTGATTCTCCTGCCTCAGCCTCCCGGGTAGCTGGGATTACAGGTGCACACCACCATGCCCAGCTAATTTCTGTATTTTTTAAGTAGAGATAGGGTTTCACCATGTTGGCCAGGCTGGTCTCGAACTCCTGACCTCAAATGATCTGCCTGCCTCAGCCTCCCAAAGTGCTGGTATTACAAGTGTGACCATCACACCTGGCCAGCCCTCTTTTTGTCCATGATAATGTCTATCCAGCTCTTTTAAGGTAGAATTAATTTTCTCTTGCCTAGGCCATCATAGCATGCTTTTAAAGCATTCATATGGTATACCTTGAATTGAAAAGGGACTTCGTATCTTTTCCTCTTGTTAGATCTCCTGGAAGGCAAGAGCCATATTTTTTTCACTTAAATATCTTCTAGGGTACCTTACAAAATGCATTATGCATAGAAGGTACTCAATAAATGATTAATTTAATTCAATAAAATGTAATTGAATGAAGAGGAAGGATTCTGTAGAGAAGTGACAGGGCAGGGAGGGTCTGTCTAGTTTCATGGGCATGGTTTTGAGCCATATTTCTCTCATCTCTCCATCTCCTTCTTCCCACCCCCAAGCCCTACACACGGCTTCCCTTAGGTGATTGTAGCACAATCCTAGGACTTATGTTTTGGAAGTGAACCCAAGGCCCAGGTAGTCAACATAGCAGCTGGCTTTAGGAAGCAAACATGAAGCTTTGTTCACCCCCATGCCCAATTTTCTGATTGTAACACTTTTTTCACATTCTCATTGAAGAAAACTTGGAAAATACAAGGGTTGAAAGATAAAAAATTATGTAACCTCAGTCCCTCCACCTAGAGATAATTATTATGAACTTTTAAATGGATTTGTTTTCCATGTTTGGATGTATGATCTTTCTCCCTTCGTCCTTCTTGCCTTCCTTTCCTTCCTTCTCCCTTCCCTCCTTTTTGTTTCTCTCTTTCTCTTTCTTTCTCTTCTCCCTCTCCACAGTCCCCTCTCTAATGAGGAACACATGTACCTAGTAATAATCTTCACATAAAAAATGGGGGACCTATGTGAAGAAAACTCCAAAACTTTAATGAACAACATCAGAGAACACTTGAATAAATGGAAAGACATATCATATTCCTGAGAAGGAAAATGTTTATAAGTATGCCAGTTCTTCCCACATTAATCTTTATGTCCAATGTAATTCCAATCAAAATTCCTATGGGTTTTATTTGGTTTGCATGGAATATTAATTTTTTCAACTTGCTAGTATTCATCATCTTGAAGAATAGGCAAAAGGCCTCTTTTTTTCCCCCTAAAGAAGATTAATGAAGGTGAACTTTTCATACCACTTATTAAAACATATAATAAAATTACAATAATTATTTCCATGGGTAGAAAAATTGATAGATCAATGGAATAAAAAACTCAGCGTAGATATTGCCCTTAGTGTAAGAAATAACTTGGAATGTAATAAAGGTGACACTGTAAGTCAATGGGAAAGGGAGGACTTGTTAGATGAATGGTGCCAAGTCACTTGGCTAATGATTTAGGGGAAGAAAATTAGATTAAATCCTATCCTTGCACTCTATACGAAGAAAACTCCGGATGGGTTAGGCTGAAGTAAGATGTTTGAAAAAGAAGAAATAAAGAAATTAGGGCCGGGTGTGGAGGCTCACGCCTGTAATCCCAGCACTTTGGGAGGCCGAGGCAGGCAGTATCACGAGGTCAGGAGCTCGAGACCATCCTGGCGAACATGGTGAAACCCCATCTCTACTAAAAATACAAAAAATTAACCAGGCGTGGTGGCGGGTGCCTGTAGTCCCAGTTACTAGGGAGGCTGAGGCAGGAGAATGGCATGAATCCGGGAGGCGGAGCTTGCAGTGAGCCGAGATGGGGCCACTGCACTCCAGCCTGGTGACAGAGTGAGACTCTGTTGAAAGAAAGAAAGAGAAAGAGAGAAAGAAATCCTTAACATCATAACCTCATATAATATTGACAATCCTCATTACAAGAAAAGTCCATGTTTATATTACGCTCCAATCCTAGATCTGGCACTAATTCCTAGGTGATATTCTTGGGGCAAATCACTTATATTTCATGGGCTTTAGTGTGTTTATTTGCCAATTTGAGATACTGGATCAAATCATCTCTAAGATCTCTTCTAGTTCTCACCATCCATAATTCTGATCGAAGTCTGTTTCCTTTGGTTTCCTTCCTTCCTCATTTATGAACACCAACACGTGACATGTGAGACTGAAAAGTAGACCAGGTGAAACTGTTTTCTGTACTGATTGTGGAAATAAAGTTCACAGAAGGTATTGTTTTTTCAATTTATGCATTCAACAGAGCATTTGTTGAGTGCTTTCTATATATGCAACAAAATATGCAACCTGTCCTCATCACTTTTACTTGTTACTACTTTTAATACTCAGAGCATATTAGAGACATTGTCACTCCCAATTTCCGAGTCATATAATTTACATATGGCTCTTTCAGAATTTGAAGATATATTTTATTTTGACAATCTGATTCAGAATCTAGACAAATTATTTGAAGAGAAATTGTGAAAAAGGATAAACTCTTACACACATACATACACATACAATATTTAAATGATCGAATGAATATTCCTTAAAAATTGGCTTCATTACTAAATGAGTTAAATTTTTTTAATGGACCGTATTTGAGGTTAATCTCTTCATTGACTTCGGCAAAAATACCTGAACTGTAAGCGCTCCTAGCCTCCTTTCAGGTTTGCTTAGGCATCTCTTCCACAGACTTTACTGATACAGCATAGAAATTATGGCAAAGCCCAGTGGAGTCATTGAAGTAAAAGTCTCAATACTGCTCAGGAAGGGATGCCAAATTAAATAAAAAGAGCCCCAGCAGTTCTGCAGCTGCCTGCCAACCCAACTGCTGGGATGAGGTAAATGAGGACCAAACTTTATTTCACTTATGACCCCAGCCAGTATTTAAACAAAAATGCCTAGAGACTGGCACACTGCTCTGTAATAAGGAATAAAAAGCAATAGCAAAAATAATTATAATAAATGATAAACTCATTCCCAAAGTCTTTCTTAGATCTTAACTGAAACGACTACCATTTAAACTCATTTCTTCTCATGTGGTATCAAGTATACACATTTTTTCTTATGAAATGTAATAGTCATGTAAGTGAAATGGACAGTACTTTATTCTCTAGTAATTACTTTTCCAGATTAAAATTTCTGTTGGAATGCCACAAATAAATATTATTAAATATAGTGAGAAAAAATAGCAACAAAGAATCATTACATTTTTGTCAACCTGAATTCCTCAGAAAATTCTGGGTCCAGTGTGTCTCAAGCTCCTTCGAAGAAAAGTTTTATGTAAAATCAAGTTATCATTTGTCTTTTATTAATAGCTTTACAGAATGGGCTCCTATTAACAAATTATAGCTATATCATTGTTAGCTATGTGTTAATCCTTGGATCATTTTTTTCCCTAAAATGTAGCCCAAAGAATGCTGGTTCTTTGGAATGTTAATAGGTATTCCATGCAAAAAGAGTATTGTGGTCCCATAAAATTGGGAAACATGAGGTTAAAGATAGTCAGACTGATTTTTATACCATTAAGCCACCTGGAGTCACTAACACGCTGATGTGCCTTATGAATCTTTAAGAAGGGGGAATGCAGTTAGCAATGTTTCCCAAACTTCCTCAGAACCCCTTTCTGCAGAATAGCTCACAGAACTATATTCGGAGGAACACACTTTAGGAAATTTTGCTTAAGTGCTGGATTTCATAACAATTTTAATGGAAAATTTTCTAGACTATATTACATACTTTCCTTCATTAGTCACATTTTACCATAAGTTACTGTTTTTTGTGGGGGATTGGGACATCATAATAGCTCTACTTTATGTGATGCGCTGTATGGGGTCTGTGAGACATGCAGATGCCCACGCTTCAGATAGCTGCTATGTGTTCAAAATAGTATTTCTGCTGCAGTTTCCTCCAGTCATTTCTATTCACCACATTCTTTAAGTCTGTGTTCACAATCCCCCTTGTCACTGCTGCTGCTAGAACTACCCTTTTATCATCCTAAAACCCCTTCCAGCTCTGCAAATTATGATCCCATGTATGCCTTTTCTTCCTTCCTTCCTTCTTTTCTTTTCTTTCTTTCCTTCCTTTCCTTCCTTCCTTCCTTTCTTTCTTTCTTTTTCTTTCTTTTTTCTTTCTTTCTTTTTCTTTCTTTCTTTCTTTCCTTCCTTCCTTCCTTTCTTTCCTTTCTTTCTCTCCCTTTCTTCCTCTCCCTTTCTTCCCCTCTCTCTCTTTCCTTTCCCTCTCTTCTCTTTCTTTTTCTTCTGTGTTCTCTCTTTTTCCTTAGGCCCTGCCTGTCCTGAGCTTTGGCAGCAGGGTGCCTTGGCTTTTATCAGAAGCCAAATGGCTACACTGTTTTCTCCAGGTTATTGAATCAACCAATCTCAGCTTTGCTTCCACTCACACTTGGAAACTTTTCATTTAGTTCCCTTTCCATATTCATATCTGTCCTGTACAATATACTCTGTACAGTTTCAATCTTTTGAAATTGATTGAAACTTATTTTATGGCCTAGGACATCATTTATGTTGGTGAATGTTACATGTGCATTTGAAAAGAATGTATATCCTACAATTGTTGGTTTGTGGTGTTCTATAAATGTTAGGCCCAGGTAGCGGATGATGATTTTCAGCACATACTGATTTTTTAAAAATTAATTGTTCTACCAATTACTGAGAAGAGGCTTTTAAAATCATCAACTCTAATTGAAGATTTGTCTATTTTTTCCTTTAGTTCTGACAATTTTTGTTTTACATATTTTGTGTTAATATTATTAGAGACATTCACATTTATTATTGTTGTGTTTTCCTGGTTATAAGAAACTTTCATCTGTTTAAGACTCTTTCATCAGTTTCATCTGTTTAAGAAAAATCTCTTTTCCTCTCTCATAGTTCTTTTTGTCTTAAAGTCTACTTTGATATTAATATAATTACTTCATCTCTATTTTGCTTACTGTTTGCATGGTATATCAGTCTTTTCTGTTGTTACTTTCAACCTGTGTCTTTAAAATTAAAATGCATTTCTTAGAGTAGCATTTAGTCATGTCCTGTTTTTTAAGTTCAGTCTGATAATCTCCGCTTTTTGAGTGTTTAGTTCATTTCCATTTAATGAAATTTAGATATGGTTTGATTTAGAACAACTGACACAGGACTTTCCTTGTCTACTTTGCCAACTGGGGACCTCCACAACTGGCGACATACACCCTGGGCCTTGCTCAGCCCTGGGCCCTGACGCTGGAGGTGCCCTGCCCACTCAGCCCGCCTAGGTTACATACAGCTTTTGCCTGTGTTCAGTTGTTCCTGAGCTCTTGTCCTGCGTCCAAGAAGAATGAGATCATGCTAACAATTTGAAGGTTGAGGAGGGCAGAGAAGAATTTTATTGAGCAACAGAACAGCTCTCAGTGGACAGGGGATGTGGGGGGTGGTTCCCCACCACCAGTTGGGTGGTTTATCTTCCAGTCTTGCTGGGTCTAGGGCTTTTTATGGACTCAGAATGGGGAGTGTGTGCTGATTGGTTTGTGATTATGCAAAAGAGGTTAAAGGGAAAACACCACTCAAAGGTGGGCATGACAATGTAAAAAACCAATTAGGAAAGGGTAGGTGTATGTAAAATAGGTGAACAGTGGGTTCAATCAGAGGAAAGCACACCAAATGGGAAGAAAGGTTCTCAATCTGGTCCAAGGATTTACCTGAGACTTGTAGCTAGGCTTTAAATTGTCTCAGCCTTCGTCAGTTTTCACTGGGGACCTGCCCCTATCTGCCTAATTATTTATCTGCCTCCTGCCACTATCACAACTATCTTTCTATTTGTTTTCTATTTATCCCATCCATTTTTTGTTCCTTATTCTTTGTTTTCTGACTTAGGGTTACATTTTTTTTTTTTTTTTTTTTTGAGACGGAGTCTTGCTCTGTCGTCCAGGCTGGAGTGCAGTGGTGCGATCTCGGCTCACTGCAAGCTCTGCCTCCCAGGTTCACGCCATTCTCCTGCCCCAGCCTCCCGAGTAGCTGGGACTACAGGAACCCACCACCATGCCTGGCTAATTTTTTGTATTTTTAGTGAAGACGGGGTTTCACCGTGTTAGCCAGGATGGTCTCAATCTCCTGACCTCGTGATCTGCCTGCCTCAGCCTCCCAAAGTGCTGGGATTACAGGTGTGAGCCACCGTGCCCAGCCAGGGTTACATATTTTAAAATAATTTTTAACATTCCATTTTAAATCTTTTATGGCTTTTAAACTATACCTCTTCATATTATTTTTAGTGGTTGCTCTAGGAATTACAATATTCATCCTTAAGTTACCAGAGTTTCTTTGGAGTTAATATTGCACCAGTTCACATAAAATGTAAGGAATTTGCAACTATTGACCTCCCAATTTTTTGTGCTATCGTTATCATCTACTTTACATATATTATAAAATGCACACTGTATAATAATTTTTGTTTTAAATAGCCAATTGTCTTTGAGAGAAATTAAGAGAAGAAAAAGATATTATCTTTTATATTTGCCATATATATCTGAGTTGTCATCTGAAGTCATTTTCTGTCAGCTCGAAGAATGTTTTTTAAGCATTTCTTTTTTTTTTTTTTTTTTTTTTGAGATGGAGTCTTGCTCTGTTACCCCGGCTGGAATGCAATGGCGTGATCTCGGCTCACTGCAACCTCCACCTCCCGGGCTCAAGTGGTTCTCCTGTCTCAGCCTCCCAAGCAGCTGGGATTACAGGTACCCACCACCAGGCCTGGCTAATTTTTGTATTTTTAGTAGAGATGGGGTTTCACCATGTTGGCCAGGCTGCTGGTCTCGAACTCCTCACCTTGTGATCCATCCACCTCAGCCTCCCAAAGTGCTGGGATTACAGGCGTGAGCTACCACGCCCAGCCTCAAGCATTTCTTAAAAGAAAGCTCATGCCTGCTGGTAACACTTGCCTGTCTTTTGTCCAAAAAAAAAAAAAAAGTCTTTAGATTGGCCAAGCACAGTGGCTCACACTTATAATCCCAGCACTTTGGGAGGCCAAGGCGGGCGATCATTGAGGTCCAGAGTTCGAGACCAACCTGGCCAACATGACAAAACCCCGCCTCTACTGAAAATATAAAAATTAGCCAGGCGTGGTGGCACATGCCTGTTATCTCAGCTACTCAGGAGGCTGAGACAGGAGAATTGCTTGAACCCAGGAGGCGGAGGTTGCAGTGAGCAAAGATAGCTCCATTGCACTCCAGCCTGGGCAACAGCAGTGAGACTCTGTCTAAAAAAAAAAAAAAAAAAAGAAGTCAAAAAAATATTTAGATCACCTTTATTTTGAAAGATTTTTCACTGGGTATAGAATTTGGGGTAGCCATGTTTTTTGTTTTTTGTTTTTTCCTTATTCAGTGCTTTAAAGTTCCATTGTTTCTGATGAGAAGTCAACCATTATTCACATAATTGATCCTCTGTGGGTATAATGGATCTTTTTTTCTTTTCTGGCTGCTTTCAAGATTTTCTTGCCTTTGACTTCCAGGGGTTTGATTATCATATGCTTGAATGTAGTTTTCTTTGTGTTTATTCTGCTTGGGGTTCATCGTATGAGTTTCTAGGATCTGTAAGCTTCTGTTTTTTTAACAAATTGAGCAAGATTTTGGCCATTGTTTCTTTAAATATTTTTCTCTATGATTCTCTCCCTCCTCTCCTTCTGGGGCTTCAATTACATGCAGATTATACCACATGACTTTGTCCTACAGGTCACTGAAGAACCATTATGTAAAATTTTTTTTCTTGTTATTCGGATTAGGTAATAGCTATTGATTGCTCTTCAAGTTCCCTACCCTTTCTTCTGCCTACTCAAATTTGCTGTCAAACCTATTTGATTAATTTTTTATTTGAAATATTTTACTTTCAGTTTTAGAATTTCCATTTAGTCCTCTTTTATATACATTTAATTTCTCTGCCAAGATTTTCCACGTGTTCATTTAGTATTATTATTTTTTAAGGTCCTTAAAATATGTATAACACATATATCTAAACATCATCTTGTATGCTTTAAATATATGCAATTTTCATTTGTCAATTATGCCTTAATAAAGTTGGGGAAAAAGCTACCTTTGTCAATTGTTTATGTATAGCATTAATAATACAGAGGTTAAAAGAATAGTACAATGGATAACAATATAACTATTATCTAAAATGAAAATACACTCACTTTTGAAGTATGTACATATAATTATTTATAATCATATATGTATTGTTTGCTAAGTGTCTGCAAGTACATTATACTTACGATACTTTATCCTAAATAGTGCATCATGAGTCTCTTCAAAACAAGAAATATTCTGCATAACCAAAATGCCATTATAACACCTAAGAAAATAAACAATAACTTACTAATATAATCAAATAGCAACTTAATATTTAATATGTTTATATTTTATTTTTGATTTAAAATTATAATTTTCATTTGATGCTTTATTACAGAATGTCCTTTGATAATCTGGGTTTTATAAATTCTAAGTATGTGCCATAGACTTTTATCATTTTTGGCATAAAATCTCTTCAAAATTTCTTTCCTCAAAATATTTAATATTAATTAGAGATTTAGAATATTTTAGAAATAGGAGGTTGTTTACATTAATCTTTTTTTTATTATTACACTTTAAGTTCTAGGGTACATGTGCACAACGTGCAGGTTTGTTGCATGTGTGTGCGTGTGCCATGTTGGTGTGCTGCACCCATTAACTCGTCATTTACATTGGGTGTATCTCCTAATGCTGTCCCTCCCCACTACCCCCACCCCACAACAGGCCCTGGTGTGTGATGTTCCCCTTCCTGTGTCCAAGTGTTCTCATTGTTCAATTCCCACCTGTGAGTGAGAACATGTGGTGTTTGGTTTTTTTGTCCTTGCGATAGTTTGCTCAGAATCATGGTTTCCAGCTTCATCCATGTCCCTACAAAGGACATGAGCTCATCCTTTTTATGGATGCATAGTATTCCATGGTATATATGTGCCTCATTTTCTTAATCCAGTCTATCATTGATGGACATTTGGGTTGGTTCCAAGTCTTTGCTATTGTGAATAGTGCTGCAATAAACATATGTGTGCATGTGTCTTTATAGCAGCATGATTTATAATCCTTTGGGTATACACCCAGTAATGGGATGGCTGGGTCAAATGGTATTTCTAGTTCTGGATCCTTCAGGAGTCGCCACACTGTCTTCCACAATGGTTGAACTAGTTTGCTGTCCCACCAGCGGTGTAAGGGTGTTCCTATTTCTCCACATCCTCTCCAGCCCCTGTTGTTTCCTGACTTTTTAATGATCGTCATTCTAACTGGTGTGAAGTTTTCAATTAAAAAAATCCCCTGAAATCCACAGGGAAACATTTTTTATTAATTCTACAAGCAGCTTATAGAAAACAACAATTTTCAGATGAATATATAAACATATTTCAATATCAAATCAGCCTATTATTTTAATTAACCTAAATTGTTAATATGCACTGAGTTTCACTACAATATTTTAATGCTTTCTATATTTCAGTAAATTGATTTCAGATTTTAGTTTACCTTGCAAGCATTGTTTTTGAACATCGTTGTCAAAATGTGAAGATTTACTAAAGGTTTCTGTTAATTTTAAGGACTGATCAATATGAATATATTTACTTAAAGCATTGAAAATTTTACTTAAAATATAAACAGAAATTCTTAATCTAGAATATCCTATGTATTTTTCAGATTTCTATTTACATTTGTTAAATGGAGGCTCGCTGTAGGAAAGAGAAGTATAATTCAATTTATAATTTAGGTATATTGTATTAGCAGAGAGTATATTAGAAGTGGTTATATTAGAAGTGAGTACAAGTCATAAGGAAATTCAGAGACAAAATCAAGTAAATATGATTTCTTTTTTCAATTACAAGCTTTCTGAGTTTGTGAATCACCATAGCTTAAGTGTTACCCATTATGCAAAATTATTGGTATTTCTTTTGGTCATCTATTTAAAAACCTAAAATATTTAGAAGCATGGACATGCAATGTCTGAATATTTTGATACTCCATGATTTGATGATACATTGCTGCATAATAAATCACATCAAATCTTAAAAAAAAATGTATAACAGCAGCTCTAGAGTCCTTATCTGCTCATTCTGATATCAGAGTCATCTTAGGATCTGTTTTTATTGCCTACTTTTTCTTTTTACTGTGGACTACATCTTCCTATTTCTTTGTATGTACAAGAACTTTTATTGTTATGAACATTATAAATGATACGTTCTAGAGACTTGGAATTGTTATCTTGCTTCCTAAAGTGCTGATTCTTATTCAAGTAGGCAGTTAATTTGGCTAGATTCAAACTCCAGACTCTATGCTTGCTGTGGTTGGTAGCAGCTGAAATCTCTGCTCAGCTTTTAAAAATCTTTAACAGTTCCATCCTGGCTGGGCTCCTTTAAAACCTCTTTCAGATACATGGAGCTCAGAGGTCAGCCAAGGATTTATATGTCATTTATTTGCAAATTTTGGAATCTCCTGTCCTTCTTGCAATTTCCTCATTTCTATTATTTCCCCCTATTTTCAGCTTTTATGACAGCACTAAACTCCATCCTCTGACTTTCAAGCCAGTAAGACTGTGTTTTTCTTCTTGAATTATAGCCACTCTGCCTCTCATAGTCTGAGAAGTACTTCCAGGCCAGAAATTACACACACATAAATCTCAACTGTTGAAGTTCCCTTCTTTCAAGATCAGCTACCCTCTAGCTTCTGCCTGCTTTCATTCTCAGTGCCTTCAAATAGTTGGAGTTTTGTGGGGGTTTTTTGTTTGTTTGTTTTTAGTTTTTTTTTTACATTTTGTCCAGAGTTTGTTATTATTGTCTTCAGGAGAGAGAGTCTTTTATAAGCTGCTCCACCATTACCATAAAAGTAATACTTGCTATTATATTACCTTTATCAAAATAGAAAATATTTGCTACTAATATGTTCATTTTAATTGCTCCTTCCCGGAAAGTCTTAAGTGATTATTTTTTAAAACATTCTTTGCTCTTTTTCTTCTTCAGTTGAGATAATAAGACAGAATTAAATGAGTTTTGAATTGCATAATGCCTTCAGAATAGTATACAAATAATTACAATATATGTTATAAATGTAACAAGATAAGTAAAAAGAAAAACTATAGAAAATCAGAGGAAGAAGAGATCAGAAGTGATTTCCTACAGGAGATTACGTTTTAGCTAGTTGTTAAAGGGTGACAAGAATTTAATAGCAGAGCCTAGAGGAGGAGAATATTCTAGAAGGAACATTGTAAGAAATGCAAAAAAGTGCTAGGTGAGGCTCAGGTCTTACTGATAATATGTATAATTTATGACTTAAAATCAATACTTAAAAGTTCATGGCATGAACATACTGCTGTACACAATAACATGGTGAATCTCACAACCAGTTTTGAAAGAAAAAAGCCAGATACAAAAGAATACATACTGTAATAATCTATATAAAGTTTGAAAACAAAAACAATAGGTGGCAATAGAATTCAGAATGCTGGCTGCCTTTGAGTTGTGGTAGTGACTGGGAGGGAGCACACAAGGGGCTTCTGGTGTCTGTAATGCTCTACTCCTTCCTCTGGATACTAGTTACCCACAGTGGTCACATGATAACAATTGATCACTTGTGCCTTTTAAAAAATGAATATTGTGGCTGGGCATGGTGGCTCACACTTGTAATCCCAGCACTTTGGAAGGCTGAGATGGGAGGATCACTTGAGCCTAGGAGTTTAAGACTAGCCTGGACACCATGGTGAAACCTAATCTCTACACAAAATACAAAAATTACCCAGGCCTGGTGGTGTGCACCTGTAGTTCCAGCTGCTCAAGAGGCTGAGGTAGGAGGATTGCTTGAGCCCAGGAGGTCGAGGCTGTAGTGAGCTGTGATTACACCACTGCACCCCAGCCTGGGCAACAGAGCAAGACCTTGTCTCAAAAAAAAAAAAAAATGTTGTACTTCAATAAAATGTTTACATGGAAAAAAACCCATTCCTGGTGTGAAAAATAATTTATGGAGTGCATCTCCATATATTAATTCATTAATTCCTCACAATAGCCTTATGGAAGAACAGTGATGGTGAATTTTATGTAAAATAGGATTTTATAAATTCAAAGTATCATGATATAGAAACCAGGTCTGTCTGTCACTCAGGCTGGAATGTAGTGGCATAATCATAGCTCACTGTAGCCTTAAACTCCTGGGCTCAAGCAATCCTCTCACCTCACTCAGCCTCCCAAGTAGCTGAGATTACAGGTGCATGCCCAGATAATTTTTTTTATTTTTTGTGGAGCCTGGATCTCACTATGTGGCTTAGTCTGGTCTCGAACTCCTGGCCTTAAGCAATCCTCCCACATCACCCTCCCAAAGCACTGGGATTGCAGGCATGAGCCGCTGCACCTAGCCAAATTCTGGCTTTATACATAAAGTTTGAAATAATTCAAATTTGAGTGAATTATACACACACACACACACACACACACATATACACATATATAGTGAATTATATATGTGTGTGTGTGTGTCCTGTATTATTTAGGATATGAGCTCTGAAAATGTAGAAAATAACAATAGATTAAATACAACCATAATTAACAGTTTGAGCATAGAAGTTTGTGGCTCGTCTGGCAGTTCCACAATGTCAGGTCCATACACACTTTCCATCTGACTGCTCTGACCTCCTGGACAGGCATCTTGTGATCTCCGGTGGCTACTCGGCTCCCACCATCATGTCTTTATTTCAGTCAGTAGAGTCAGTAGGTTCCTATACCACTGGCCAGAACCTTGTCTGAAAGCCACAGAAAGCTGCAAGGCAGTCTGGGAGATGTAATTTCTGGATGTCAGCCAGCAGTCTTTGCCATACCTGCCATTCTTTGCCTGTCTTGAATTATGTGAGTTCAGAATTATGAAATGCTTCCAGAAGCAGATCCTTTACATAAAAATTACTTGCCCTGTGGATAAGAGGATTCCTATTTTACAGAAGATAAAACTGAGACTCAGAGAAGTTAAATAACATACACTCTGCACATTGCTAATTAAGTGACAGAGCTAGGAATCCAGTCCAGTGCTCCAAGCCCAAGATTCTTGCCTTTATTATAGATGCCTCCCCAGGGAATTTTCTTCTGTCTCCAAGAATGCTGGTAAACCTGACCAAGAGGAAGTGAGACTCCTACTGTATTTAAGTGGCACCAAGAAAGACCTGAGAAAGCTGGCAGAGTGGTAGGACATAGGGTAGAGCCGGTGACCTAAGCTGTGCTTGGTGAAAGCATCAGAAACTAAGAAAGTGCAGTAAAAAAACAACAAAAAACAAACAAAAAAGCCCCACTGGGCCATGAAGCAGTGACATGCATTTTTCATTCTGCCTCTGAAATTGATAAACTGTATGCTTTGGCTATTTTTCCTTTCTGCTTCTTAGTTTTCCTCTTCCATAACATGGGGTTGAAGGTAGGGAGGGATGGCCTTATCTTCAACTAAGTAAGCAAGCCCTGATGGAGGATATTTCTCAAGATCTCAAGACAGGCAGGAGAGCCTAAAAACTTTAACAAGGACTGCATACCTCAACAGAGGCTTACCCCCATCCAAGCCCTCAGGTAACAGAAAGGTAGAAAAAAACCCAGAATGCCCAGTTCTCACATGTTGCTGGGAGAGATCACACACTGGTACCAGATAATGGGAGAGGAGATTCTACATCACAGCAAGTAGAATGTCTGGACAGAGCTACCCAAGTATGCACAAGAGAAAAAGAAATGATATGGTCACTATATGGATTTCCTGTGGTCTTTGTATTTTCTCCAAGTCAGTATTTCACCCACAGCTAACGAAAGCAAGGGAGGGGAAATGGAAGGGAGAATTAGGGGCTGCAAAAGACAAAGCCTAACCTAGAAAAAACATAAATGAAGGAGCAGAAGGAATTTTCTCACAATTACTTCACATTATACTACAACTTAAAGAGAACATAAATTAATTTAAACTAGAGCTCAAACATGAGATGATAAAATAGAAGAATAAAAAAGGGATATAAGGGATATATATCCTTGCAGATATAAGGAAACAAATTGAATACCAGAATACTTTATGGAACTCATAAATAAACTATAAATACAATGAACATAACAAACACTGCTGAATATTAAAATACTGACATAGAGAAAAGACTTTAAGTACAGTAAATGCAGAAGAAAAAGACAAAGGAGGTTAATTAGAAGCTAATAGATATACCTATTAGTTTGGTACAAACTATAAGAAAGAAATCCAAAAATATAATGACTTAAATAAATTAGTGTATTTCTCATTCTCAAAACAGTCCACAAGTGAGAAGTCCAAGGCTGGCAGGACAGCTCTGCTCTACACAGTCATTCAAGATACGATTTCTTTCATCTTGATCTCCATCAGCTCCTCATTACAGTAGTTACAGGACATTCTAATCCCAGTGGTGGAAGCTGGCTCCTCTCCACACCCACATTTCAGCCCTTAGGAAGGATGATGATAGTACTGCCAAGCACTCTGAGGACATGACCCAGAGGTTACACAGATCACTTCTGCTTACAACTTATTGGCTGGAATTTGGTCACTGGTCCACATTTAGCCACAGGGGATGCTGGGAAATGTATTCTGTAAGTGGACAGACATGTACTCAGCTAAAACTCAGGATGTCCTATTCTAAAAGGAACCAAGTACCACAATATGAAAGATAAGGATGAGCCAACATTTAAGGATATTTGGTGTCCCTAAACCAGAGAACCCAGAAAATGAAAGAGAAAGGGTATTCGATAATATAATGTAAGAAAATTTTCTCAAAGTCAAGGAAGAACTGAGTCTACAGGTAAAAAGAAAACATCAAATCCCAGGAAAATTTGATTTTGAATATTTAACATACAAATATATTTTAGTTAAATATTTGGATTTCAAAGACAAAGAATGCTTCAGACATCCAGATGAGAAGAAAGTAAATCACCAACCAGGGGTGGAAAAGCAGATGGCTGTCAGACTTCACAATAATTATCATTGTGGAAGAAAATGGTGCAATGTCTACAAAATTTGGAGAAAAGAAAGGATGACCCCAGATGTAATTCAAGTATGACTTGCTTTAATTCTAGTAAAGTACACATGAACACTTGTTGGGAAAAACTACTTGATAACCAAAGCTAGCCAATTAAGAGATCAATAAAAGAGCTCAAGCAGAGAAGCCATGACAAATGAACTATATGTGAGCACTGGACCCATTTATATGTAGAGCTAATACTAAACAATTATAGAATCATGGTACCAAAACAGAATGTGAACATTATAAATCTGGATGGTGCAAAAATTAAGATACAATCAAGATTGGGGAGGTGAGGGAGTGGAGATCAGGACATCAAGAGAGTTCTAATTTTCTCACCATTTGAAGCTAAGATATAGTATTCAAAATAAAATCGTGGTAAATAGATCTAAACATTTTTCAGAGTCAACTTTAACTCTAGAGCAGGGGTACACAAACTACTGCTTGAGGGCAGGCCACCTGTTTTTGTAAATAAAGTTTTTGTCCATTTGGGCTGCTATAACAAAAATACGATAAACTGGGTGGTTTATAAATAACAGAAATTTATTTCTCACAGTTTTGGAAGCTGAGAAGTCCAAAATCAAGCTGCTGGCAGATTTGGTGTCTGGTGAGGACCTGTTTCCTGGTTCATAGATGGCGCCTTTTCTCTGTGTCCTCACATGGTGGAGGGGACATAGCAGCTCTCTGGGGTCTCTTTTTATAATCCCATTCATGACGATTCCATCCTCATGATCAAACCACCTTCCAAAGGCCCCATCTCTTAAAAGTATCACATTGGTGATTAAGTTTCAACATGTGAATTTAGGAGGGACACTAACTTTCAGACCACAGCTTCACTCATTTATTTACAAATTGTCTGCCTGCTGCTTTTAACTACAAAACAACAAATCTGAACAGAGCCTTCATGCCTAAAATGTTTGTTATTTGGCCCTTTAAGGAAAAATTTGCCAGCCCTTGCAGAGGAATCATTTTTAATTCAGAGAAATCTTGTGGTAAAGAAATATTTATTTGAAGTTTAATAATGTGTTAGGTTTAATTCAGCCTTTTTTCCTCATGTAAAATTAATAACATAAGTCCTATTTTTTATACAAGGATATATCATTCTAAAGATGTCAGGGACGATGGATCACCTGATGATATTTGGCATGATCTCTTAAACTTTTGTCTTTTGTATTTCTACACTGCTTGAAATCTTTATAATGGGCATACATCATTTTTACCAAAATAATAAAATAGAATGGTTTTTCTATTTGAAAACACTGGAAGCAAATATGCCAAAATATTAACAATAGTTAATTCTGGCTGATGGGAATATGATTGCTGTTTTCTTCTTTAAGCTTTTCTATATTTTTTACATTTTCAAAAATTTTTGGCAGGGTGCAGTGGTTCACACCTGTAATCCCAACACTTTGGGAGGCCAAGGCAGTAGGATGGCTTGAGCTCAGGAGTTCAAGACTAGCCTGGGCAACATAGCGAAACCCTGTCTCTACAAAAAATACAAAAAATTAACCAGGTGTGTTGGTGCACACCTGTGGTCCCAGCTACCTGGGAGGCTGAGGTGGGAGGATCATCTGAGCTCAGGAGGTGAAGGCTGCAATGAGCTGTGATCGTGCCACTGAACTCCAGCCTGGGTGACAGAGTAAGGCCCTGTCTGAAAAAAAAATTTTAAGCTATTATAGAAGATTTAGCATCAAGTGATAAAGTTCTGAATTCCAGTTGAGGAAATAATAATGAGAAACTAGCTAGAAGGGACATTGTTCTATTTATAATATGATTTATATTATATCATATTATACAAACTACAAAGTGTGGTTGCAGAATAAAATATAATAAAAAACATGACAAAAAGAAGAAGCCACAGCAGATGATACTTGAATCCTTTCAGGCGATCAGCACATTCATAAAGCTGGTTTCTTTAATTTGCATCAGTCTCAATCTACCTTTCCAGTCTCATTCCCCCATCCTACCCTCCTTCTCATACCCATACCCTATACTCCAGTCACATAGAGCTCCTTCTCGTCAGTGAAATCTTCATGCATGAAATATGCTGTTTTGCACCATTGCTACCACTTTTACTACCTATAACTGCATCCTCTTCTCCACCTGATATAATTTAGTGCTTTATTTAAGATGCAATTTAAATGTCACTTACTGCAGTACATCTTAACTTTGGCTACGCATCAGAATCACCTGGGGAGCTTTCTAGAAATACTGAGGCCCAGGCCCCAGCCTACCTATTCTGAGTTAATTGCCCAGGGTTGGGTCCCAGGGTTGGGGCCCAGGCGGCAGTATTTTTAAAAAGCTCCCTGAGCGATTCTAATATACAGCCAGGGCTGAGAGTCGCTGCAAAGCCTTCTGCAATACAAGCAGGCAGAGTTAATTACTCCCTCTTCTATACTCCTACAGCCCTTAGCTTTTCCATTGCTCATGAAATTTAATGCTCAGCGTGTTAAAGTTAGTGTTATATAGTAAGTGCTCAGTAAATGCTGAAGGTTGTTTCATTCCTTCACCCTCCAACCAAGCATACGCAGAAGTGATTATCCTTACCATGGAAGAGGACAGCAGAGTGGACAGATGTTTCCTATCCAGTGACACTATCTGAGGGATTTATTTCTGTCAACGAAAACACCACCTTCCATTCTCCAACACATACACACACACACACGTGCACACACACACACTACACACACAGTCACCTCACTGCCTTTTCAGCATAGTTCTTCGGTCTGGTTTTTACATTGTTTAGATTGATGCAATTGAAAGAATTAAAGCAGTGTGATGAATGTGCTGATTGCCTGACAGAGTCTGAACATCACTTGCCTACTGTCCTCTCCTTTGTGTCATCCTTTATGTTGTGTTTTATGTTCGATCCTGCTACTTTAGCTTGTCAGAGCAGGTTGTCAGGTGTTCTTTGTCAAAGGCTTTGAGAAAATCCGGATAAATTATCCTCTTTGTCCTGAAACTGCCAAACCTATATTTTACATCATCACAGTGCTTGACAGTTTTATTTAAGTTGAATCTTTCTCTCTTCCTCCGATTTACCTTTGTCTCACTGACCTTTATATCAATCAGACAAGTGGAGACCCTGCCGCTTTTGATATTGAATATTCTCAGCTATGTACATGCCTGCTAGAGCACAGTGCATTGGATATCTCAGCCTTACTGATTAGGAGGAGATCCTGGAAGCTACTCATGTCTGGAGATGAGGTGGGGAGAGGAGAGCTGAGGATAAGGGCAAGAAACCAATGTGGATCAGGAAGACCAGAGTCTCATAATAAATAAATCTTCTTATGAGTCCTGCACTCTCATTAAGGCGAGGCTGGTAGCACCTCCCTTTCCCCTTCTGACTCACCTGGGGAGAAACAGATTGCACTAACAGTCTACTCTTTCCTATTCAAAATACTATTTTTATTTATTTACCAAACATCATCAAAGTGTTTGATGTTCATGGTGTTACCACATCCTGGCAGTGGGGGCCCTAACCCTTTGTCCAGACATTTCTCAGCTAATAGATACTTATTTTGTAAAGTGATTTTCTCCCTCTGGTCTTGATGAAGCTTTCCCTTTCTTTTTCCTTAAAGTCACTATGACCTTAATGGCAATAAGGTATTGTGCAACCGAGTCCAATGGCAAATTTTACCAATGTAAAATCAGATTAATTTCAGAATTGAATAATCTGTGCATATCTAGTATACTGCATGGCCTGAAACAAATTTCTAATCTTTCTGTCTTGAGTTCTTTATTAGTTAAATAGCAAACTGTTACCTAGTTCCCTTGGAAGTTATGTAAATTAATTAATGTTTGGAAAATGACTTGAAAATTCAGTCTATAAATACCAAACTATAAATACCAAAGTTGCATTTTCCCTGCTGAGAGAACCCAGGTAATTCATAAACTCCTACGATAAAGGTAAAAATAGTATAGTTGGACTATACAATCAAATGTGATTTATATGCAATATATGTAATCTTTAAAATCTAGAAACCATTTAATAGAAACAATTCATATTTTGTAACTGTAATAAAAGCATTTTATGACTTTAGGAAAAGTAATTATCTTCTCTAACTGATCTAGATATTGTGTCTTTGTAACCATCTCTGAGATCTGCAAAAGAATCTACCCAGAATTAATATTGATTGACATGTTTATCTTTTAAGTCTTCCAGGTTTTTTGTTTTAACATTAACACTCTAACATTTATTTCCTGGGAAATTTTTTGGTACAAAACTTTGCTGTATTCAAAACCTCCTCTGTCAAGATTTAGCATTTGTATATTGTAGTCATTAAAATTGAACAAAATCTTAATAGTTCTTTTATTAACTACTATGTTGACTTTATATAGTGGAAATCACAACTTGTTAATTGGATTTAATTAACTATTTTAAATTACACAAACTCCTGATGGTAGTAGACAATAGCACAGGGTATTCATGAGCAATAAAATTGGAGCTGATATTGCTACTTTATTAAAACTTAATGCAACTATTCATAACTTTATTTATTGTTTACAAGAAGAAAACTGTTCACTGTGAAGGCAAAAATGTTTGCTGAAACAAATTTTTTATTATCTAGATAAAGGTTTCGAAGTTAATCAAAGGGTCTAACATATCCAGCCTCACGGTTCTGCCATCTTCTCATTGCACAGATCCCTATTTCACTCCTATACCAGTCTTACAAGCAGATGCCCACAAAGGTTAGTGATTCAATAGCCATTTTACGTGTTTAGGAACGGAAAAGAAAGAGCATTGAGGTAGGATCGGAGGCCTGAATTTGGACTCTGGCTCAGCCACTAATTCTCCTGGGTGGCCTCAGACAAGTCAGGTCCTCACTCTGGTCTGAGTTTCCTGCTCTGTAAATTAAAAGGTTGGACAAGACGATCACTAGAGTCCCTTCCACCTGTAAAATTCATCATTCTATGGATTTAATATTGATTTAGATGGTGTTATTACCTATTAAAATGATCATTGTGTTTATGTGATAGCATTAGAATTTATTAAGTTTCTGAGCAGATCATTTTTGATATATTATTCTGGTAGCATTTTAAAAATTTATTTCAATACCCTATTATAAGGAAATATGAAGCCAGAATTAATGTAATTAGTGTTTAAACTATGCATGTTTTAGTCTAAACTCTAGTCTTGTGAAACCAGTGGATTTTGTTTTTAAGCAAAGGATTTCATCTTTATCTCAGTATCTCTAGCACCTAGAACCATATCCAGCATTTTGTAGATACTAAGTGTAGATTGAGTGAATAAGAAAATGAAAGAATAAGCAAGCGAGTGACCAAATACTGAATGTCCTAAGTGTAACCATCTCTACTGTTCCCTGCTATTTAATTTAATTGACCAAAGTGTTAAAAAATGCCTAAGTGGATCCCTTTCCTATCTCAAATATAACTTAGTGAGACGGTCTTTAATTATTCCTTATCTCGCCTTCTATCTGTTGTCTGGAATTTTTAGGACCCAAAGCTGGTTCCCAAAGGTTCTTCTGCCACCTGGAAATTCAAAGTCCTCCAGCTTCTAGCTACTGCATCTTCTGTCTGCTGGTGGTAGATAACCTGAGATCATTATAAATCTCTGGATTTGTTAAGCTTCTCACAACTTTCCTGGTTATAAACCATTGTTCAGCAATCTTTGTGACATATGCTTTCTAGTTAGCTTATGTAATATTTACTTCCTGGGAATACTGAATAACACCAGCAGAGTGTTCCCATTTCTTGCTTTAATACCATCTTATATTCTTCCTGAACCAAATTAGGATGAATGAAATAGTGAATGAATGAATGAATCGATATATCTGTCTGTCTATCTATCTATCTATCTATCTATCTATCTATCTATCTATCTGTCTGCTCTGCTTTAGCAATAGAGACAATAAAAAAATGCCACAAAATAAAAGTAAATGTAGAATTTTGGCAACTTCATCCAGAAAAAAAATCACATTTTCATTTCTAAATTATCTTCATGAGAACACATGGCCTACTGTCATATTAGGGATTAATAAATTAATCGGCATATATTTATTGAGTACTTGCAATATGTCTGGTATTGTGCAAGATACTATGAATGTCAGGAAGCCACAAGCCACAGAAATATAAATACAGTGTCTATATTTTTTTAGGTGTTTCTGATGCCCTTAAATGTTGTTTTAGCCTCACCCCAGATCTACACAGGTCCAGAATGAGGTGAAAGACTAATAACATGCAGAAGAGAGAATCATTTTGAAAAATGAACTTCAAACTTTCCTACTTTTTCTTGAATACCTGGCTAAATCCAAAAAAGAAAGCTTTGCCCCACCCCTCCAAATGGTTAAGAATACAAGTTTTACATTACATAGACCAAATTTCAGTTTGGCTCTGTGACTTGAGGCAAATTGCTCTCTGATCTTAGAAGAAACTCTGAACTCTATGAACAAGGTGTGCTTGATCTGGCCCTCACCTACATCTCCATTTCTCATCTCACTCAGCTCTCTCTATACTTAGCCACCTAGGCCTTCGCTCTCATCTCTCATCTTTATCAGGCCAAGCACATTTGCAGATCAGGCTTTCACAAGTGCCTTTTCCTCTGCCAGTAAAGGTCACTTCCTCAAGCACCTGCCCTTTTCCTTCAGAGATTATCACAATTTATCATAATATATTTATTTTAAATCTATTTAATATCTTCTTTACCAGTTGAGGCTCCATGAGGTCTTTTTGGTTCACCACTGCATCCCCAGCCCCCAGAATAGTTGTTGACACATAATAGGCACTTTATTAGTTAAACGAATGACAGAATGAATGAACTTCCAATTCTTAATCTATTCAACAGGAAAGTAAGGGTGGATTTAATAAAACATGGTGTTTTATTAAACATGGATGAGGATTTAATAAAACAATGGTGTTAAAGGATAACTTTCAAAAACAGCTAAAATCATGACTCTCATACAAACATAAAATGAACACAGGTCAAAGATTTTTATTTAATTCATCAGTTAACAACCAGTTCAAAAGAAAATCCAAAGAATGGACACATTTGTAGATCAAGAATACTGAAGTAAATTTGCAAATAAATGCAAAATTGGATTTCCCATGAGGAGAATTCCCCTTCACCAGACAGAATTTATTTTCATGTCTATAGATAAGAATTATTTGCATTATGATCAGTTATTTACAAAGTAACCTCAATATCTACAGAGTTGTAAGTAGCCTAATCAAAGGCTAGGCTCAGATATTCACTGGAGACTTCAGGACTCTATTAAAAGGATATCCAGTGATCCCATTTGCTTATTCTAAAACTTAAAAAAATTCTTACAATCTTCTCCCCTTTTGACGAAAACAATCTCAAAAACCAAAAATTCACAGAATAAGGCTGGTCTCAGTAGGTTTGGCCTGATAATTTACATAGGTGGGGCAAGAATGTTCATTTACCATATAAGCCACCTTACATTTGCTTTGTTGGAAGTTTTTGTAGAGAATCTCAGCCTGAATAAAATCCCCTATTATTTGCTATCCCAAGACTAGAAAATCAAGCCCAAGAAACTCTGTTCATCAGATTTCAACTGCAGGACCTATAAATTTGGGTAAATTTCTCTCTTCTAGAAGTCCTCCAAATATCCTAAAGTTCTTAGGGCTATAGCATGTGACCTTCCTTACCACCTATAAGGCTGAAAATCATGTAAGCCATATACCAGGCTAGTTTTTCTGGGAGGACCTTGTAAGCATTGGCTCTATAACGCATCAACCTTGATTCTTTAAAAGTGACTCGTCGGCCAGCACATTGGTTCACACCTGTAATCCCAGCACTTTGGGAGGCCAAGGCGAGCAGATCACCTGAGGTGAGGAGTTCAAAACCAGCCTGGCCAACATGGCAAAACCTCATCTCTACTAAAAATACAAAAATTAGCCAGGTGTGATGGCGGGCACCTGTAATCCCAGCTACTCTGGAGGCTGAGGCATGAGAATTGCTTGAACCCGGGAGGCAGAGGTACAGTGAATCAAGATCGTGACACTGCACTCCAGCCTGGGCAACAGAGAGATACTCCATCTCAAAAAAAAAAAAAAAAAAAAAAAAAAAAAAAAAAAAAACAGTAACTTGTCATACCTGATTAAATAAACATTATTCTCAAATATAAAATTCTAGGCAAGGCCTTGGTTGAATAGTGATTTTTCTAGTTATGTCTTAGTACAAAGAGAGCAGCACTGAAACTATGTAAATTACTATATTGCCATGAAAAGTAGAGACTCAATCAGAGTTTCTGAATTTGGGAGGTCCAGGGAGCACATTCAAAGTATTACAAGTTTGATTTCTTTATTTTCTGGTAATTTTATGAATATTCAATTTATATAAACACTTATTTATCTCTACAAGCCAATCAGAACAGAATTCCTTTATGATCTAATTTATTAATGCCATCTGGAGACAGGAAAACATTCTGCACTCACAATGGGAGATAAGGAACTTCCTGAATTACAGATACAAAGACATACAGATAGAGTGTATATCCTCAATTCTACCATTTCAGCCACAGATAGAGAATAAACACAAGTGGCCAGGCGCAGCGGCTCATGCCTCTAATCCCAGCACTTTGGGAGGCTGTGAAGGTAGACGGATTGCTGGAGTCCGGGAGTTTGAGACCAGCCTGGGCAAAATGGCAAAACCGCAACCCCGACAAAAAAATACAAAAATGAGCCGGGTATGGTGGTGAACCTGTAGTCCCAGCTACTCAGAAGGCTGAGGCGAGAGGATGGCTTGAGCCCTAGAGGCGGAGGTTGCAGTGAACTGAGATCATGCCACTATACTCTAGCCTGGGCTACAGAGTGTCTAAAAAAAATAAAAATAAAGAAAGAAAGAAAAAGAGAGAGAAAATAAACACAGAAACACAAAAAAGCTTACCAGTCCAGATATCAAAGAGTTGTTCTCCTTCCTTGTGAACAAGAAATTCCTAATTTGAGCTCAAAATAGACAGATGGACAAAAACTAACAAACTGTATTCTCTATAAGACATTAGATCATTTCCAGAGATCACCAAATTCCCAATCATGGCAGCTGCCAACAGGGAATAACTTGCCATCCATAAATGAACTAAAAAGAAAAACAAATTAATAGAGAGTAAAATTAAAATTAGAAAAACAAGAAACTTTAAATTAACCTGTGGGGGCCAAGAAAAATCATGCCTGGGCTTGGCTTCCTGTGAGATACATCATTTCTGATTACTTCAGGTGACCGTTTTGCTCATCTCAGTGGGATCTCCAAAATGTTAAAGGATGATTTTTTTTAAAAGTAAAGTTATGACTCTTATATAAATATAAAATGAACACATGTCAAAGATTTTATTAGCTTATTAATTAAGTGAGGGAGCTAGTAAGATGTTACAGTAAATTCAAAGGACAATCCAAATAGACACATTTATAAATCGAGAATATTTAAATAAATTTGCAAATGGATGCAAAACTGGCTTTTCAGGGAGTGGTCCTTCCATGTGTAAGAATTTAAATTTGCATGTGTATAAACAATAATTAGTGACATTCTTATCAGATTTCTACAAATGAACCTTAATCTTTACAGAATTATAAAATGGACAATTAAAAACAAAGATGCAGAGTGGCTCACACCTGGCACAGTGGCTCACACCTATAATCTCAGCACCTTGGGAGGCCAAGGCAGGAAGATTGCTTGAAACCGGGAGTTCAAGACTAGCCTGGACAATATAGCAAGACCTAGTCTCTACATTAAAAAAAAAAAAGCCAGACATGATGGTGCTATTCCAATAGTTTAAGCTACCAAGGATAAGGCAGGAGGATCACTTTAGCCCAGGTATTCAAGGGTGCAGTGAGCTATGATGGTGCCACTGCACTCCAACCTGATCAACAGAATGAGACCCTGTCTCTAAAAAAGCAAAACAAAACAAAGATGCATACAGAGTCCTGTAGGACTGTAGGTCAGATAATCTTCAGAGATTCCAGCATTTCAATGAAAAGATACTCAGTAATCTCTTCTGCTTGTTCGAAAATCTTAATTTTTTCCTTCCAATAGTAGATGGGCACACATATGTGTTTGTCTGAAATTAGGATAATTGCTTCAACCAGCACTAAAGCAAGGGTTGAAATCGTGCTTATAGTCTTCAGAATTCTCAGAAAATGAAACTGACTCTTGAAATGAAAAATATATTAAATTATAAGGAGACCTGTTTTTCACATCTGCAAAACAGAGTTCTTGGAAATGAAATTTGATATTTATAGGTGGAAAATATTTGTGAGGACAAAGAATTAGTCTTACAAGATTTTTAAAGTAGTTCAATCTAGTGTTATAAAAATTAAAACCTGAAGTACTAATTTCAAAAAGGTCCTAAAGTGTTATACTCTGGATCAGTAATTCTTAAGTGTTAAGAGTACAAAAGATTAACCTGGAGTGCTTATTTAACATGTATGTTACTGGGCCCCAATTCTAGTGGTTCTCTAACTTCAGCGCACATGAATATCTCCTGGAGCCTTCAATAATGCAGATTCCCAGGCCCTGTCCTCAGAAGTTTGGACAGGTTGAGTTGGGGCCCAGGCATCTCCGCTTTTAATAACAAATTCTTCTCCTAAATGATTCTTCAGTAAGTAAACTGAAGATTTCTCTTTGAAATCAGTGTTTTACAAGTGAACTATTTTTCAGCTCTCCAACCCTTCAGTGATCATTCTACTGAATTCCTATAACACTAGACTAACATTCTTAATAGTAATATAGTATAGAGGTCATAAGGTAAATAGAAATAGCATTGGTCCCTCTTAGAAGGGACCAAGTTGTGTGCCAAATTCTTCAACTTAGGCCAACTTGAATACACAGTTTGTATTCTAGGATTTTGTTGAGACCCAGAGCTCTTTACTTACTTTCTATTATGTAAAAGAGCAACAAGAAACTGAAGCCCTACCACAAATTTATTGCAAGTAGTCCCCAAGTTTTAGGTTTCTGGCTTCAACACAGTAGATCCACCTTAACAAAAGTTTTCCCTCTAACAGCAGGCTTGGGTCAATCATTCATTGACTTATTCATTTGTTTATTTATTTAATGATGTCTCTTATCCTTCAAAAGATTTGGCACCAGCCATGCTAACACAGTATGAATGCTAGGAATTGTAAATTAGTTACATTAATACTAACCATTTTGCCCAGTTGTATTAAAATAACCTATCTGAGCATTAATGTTTCTGGTGATATGAGAAATGTCTAAAAATAACTCCTTATTTGATAAAGCATGACTGATTATACAACAGGGGCATGGTTTCAAGTACACAGATTTCCTTCTTTTGGAACAAAGGATCTCCTTAGTTATTAAGAATCTGTGCCTGATTTCTCTGAATTTTAAAAAGAGTAATAATATTACCAATGATTGAAAATATCATAAGTATAAAGAAGTTTTAGTTTGCCTTGAAATTATATTTCCACCTTAAAATGAAATTACTTTAGTGCAATTTTATTTCATATTACTGCCATTGGAAATGACATTTTTCCTTGGGTTAGAATATTACATTTAAATGAATGTGTACTGTAGCTATTTTTTTATGCAAAGGATTAAGGCACTAGATGTACCCTCACAAATAAGATGATGAATGGAGTAAGTTACACTTGTGAAATTTATAGAGCTCAGACTTTGTGGAATTGCTTGGAATTAAACTCACATTTTATTAATGTTTCTTTTTAGGGATTTTAAGTATGATAGAACGAGGGCTGATTCCACCAACAGCAAGGATTACCTTTCAGAATCCACCCATTACACCCAGAGCAGCTCCTCTGCATAGTTTTGATGAAGCACGTAAGATTCCAACTGTAGGTAAGATACTCATGCATCTCAGTTCAGTTGGGGACACACAGAAATTATCTCTGCCCCAGATCTAGCCTTCTAGTAGCCAACTTTTGTCCTCAATAATAGGACAAGATGAAAGTTGTAATCATCCTGAGTTTCACTACATTCCCACAGTCAGCTATTTCTTCTATAATTCTATTTACAATATATTTCCATTTCACTTTGAGCACTATCAGTTTTCATTCTTCTGGCGTACTTTTAACCTCCTTAACCAACTCTGTCTTTCATTTGTACATTTTTTGTGAAAAAAAGATGATGTGGATTTATCACTGGGAGTCAAAGAGGCAATACTACTACATTCTTTAGTCTGTATGCAAACTCAAAAACAGATGCACAGTGACCAATGACTGACAGACTTTGAATGGAATGACTTGAATGGTCACTGACCTTGATATGCATCTGTCACTTATGTAGTGATTTGTGGAATAGAGTTCTAGCAGCAAATTTATATTTTATGCAATTACAATTTTATGGTAACTGGAATTTGAACTATGTTGGGGTACTGATGTTATTTAACTAAACTGTAATACTAGAATTTGTACATACTGGAACAGTCCAAAGTGAAGGCTATCTTTACATTAAGTGTGAATGTTCTAAATACACCAATTAAAAGACAGAGATTGTCAGATTGGATAAATAAGCAAGACCCAACTGTATGTGGTCTCTAAGAATTGCAATTTAAATGTCAAGACAGATAGGTTAAAATAGGAGTAGGGTGAGAAGTGACAAATCTTTCTATAGAAGAATTCCAAATAATGTATTTATTTTTATTTATTTGTTTTGAGATGGAGTTTCACTCTTGTTGCCCAGACTAGAGTGCAATGGCGCAATCTTGGCTCACTGCAACCTCTGCCTCCTGGATTCAAGCGATTCTCCTGCCTCAGCCTCCCAAGTACCTGTGATTACAGGCACCCATCACCACGCCTGATTAATTTTTTGTATTTTTAGTAGAGATGAGGTTTCACCGTGTTGGCCAGGCTGGTCTCAAACTCCTGACCTCAGGTGATCCACCCGCCTTGGCCTACCAAAGTGCTGGGATTACAGCCATGAGCCAGCGCGCCCAGCCCCAAATAATTTAAACAGTTACCTCCTCCTCCAGGAAATGAAGCTTATTTATCCACCCCTCCCTTCTCTTTGAATGTGAGTTGGATTTAGTGATTCACATCCAAAATAGAGTACGGAAAGAAGAAAAACAGAAAATTCGCAATGGAGAAACCTGCAAACCCTGCCTTAACCAAATGACCAAGGATAATATCATTAGTCATAATTCATGTTGATATCATGTGCCCCCTAATATGACACGATGAGGAAGGACTTCACCTTTATGTTATTCTGCCCCAACAACCTATAACTACAGAAAAACTATGAGAAAAACATCAGACAAACCCAAATTTCAGGCATTCTACAAAATACCTGACCATACTCCTCAATACTGTCACGGTCATGAAAACAGGGAAAGACTGACAAACTGTCACAGACCAGAGGAGCCTAAGGAGACATGATGACTAAATACAATGAGATATCCTGGAAAAGATCCTGGAACAGTAAGAAGACAAGAGTGTAAAAACTAGTAAAATCTGAATGAAGTCTTGAGTTTAGTTAATAATAATGTATCAATGATGGTTTCTTGCTTTTGACAAATGGACCGTGGTAATGGAATATGTTAACATTAAGGGAAACTGAATGAAGGTATACAGGACCGTTCTAGATCATCTTTGCAACTTTTCTGTATCTAAAATTATTCCAAAATAAGAAGTTTATATATTTTTAATTCAAAAATAAATTATAGGACTAGACACAAATTAAATGTAAATTAAAAATTAATAAAAAGGAGAAAGATGGAAAAAGATACCATACAAACAATAATGAAAAGAAAGCTGGAATGGCTCTATTACTATCAGATGAAGACACATTAACAGGAATAAAGAGGCACATTAATGATAAAAGGATCAATCCAGCAAGAAGACATACATTCCTAAATGTGTATTTACTTAAAAACAGAAATATAAAATACATGAAGCAAAAATTAATAAAACAGAAATAATAAATCCAGAATTATATCTCACAATAATCAATAGAACTAGTAACCCCCCCCCAAAAAAATACTATAGAACAGTGGTCCCCAACCTTTTTGACACCAGGGACCAGTTTTCTGGGAAATAATTTTTCCACAGACAAGAGGTGGGGAGGAATAGTTTCAGGATGGAACTGTTCCACCTCAGATAATCAGGCATTCGATTCTCATAAGGAGCATGCAGCCTAGATCCCTCATATGTGCAGTTCACAATAGGGTTCTTGCTCCTATGAAAATCTAATGCTGCTGCTGATCTGACAGGAGGCATGAACTCAGATGGTAATGCTTGCTCACCTGCCACTTGCCTCCTGTTGTGTAGCTCAGTTCCTAATGGGCCACAGTACCCAGTCTGTGGCTTGTGGGTTAGGGACCCCTGCTATAGAAGACTATGATAGAACGGTATTATAGGCCATGTAGACCATTATAGAGCATTAAAACACAACAGAACATGCATTTACTTCAAATGCACATGGAACATTCACCAAAATAGACCATATTCTGGACCATAAAACAAATATTAACCAATTTAAAATAGTTAAAATCTTACACATTATGTTCTCTGACCTTAACAGAATTAAACTAAAAAGTAGAAAATCCCCCAAATGCAAAAACACACTTCTAAATAACCCGTGGATCAAAGAGGAAGTCACAAGGATATTAAAAAAATATTTTGAATTAAATGGGAATGACCACACAACATATTGAAGTTTGTAAGATGCAGCTAAAGTAGTGCTTAAGAAAAATTTTTAGCATTAAATACTTTTATTAGAAAAGAAGAAATATCTCAGATTAATGATCTAAGCTCCCACTCTAAAAAACCAGAAAAAGAAAAGCAAATTATACCCAAGCAAGCAGCAGATGGAAATAATAGAGACAAAAGTAGAAGTCAGTGAAATGGAAAATAGAAAAAAAAAAAAAAGGAATTCAGTGAAACCAAACTGTGTTTCATGGAACATTTTTATAAAATTGGTAAGCCTCTAGGCAGACTAACCAAGATTAAAAGAGAGAAGGCACAAATGACCAGTATCAGGAACAAAAGAAGAGACATCATTACAGATCCTATAGACATTTAAAAGATGATAAGAGAACATTATAAACAACTTTATGCCTATAATGTTGACAGTTTATATTGATGGACAAATTCTTTGAAAGACAGATACTACCTAAGCTCACTCCAGAAGAAATAGATAACCTGATTAGTCCTACATTTATTAAAGAAATTGACTTAGTACTTAAAAACATTGTAAGAAAAAAAATGATACCATATGGCATCACTGGTGAATTCTACCAAACAATTAAGAAAGAAATATTATCAATGTTGCAGAAATTCTTCCTGAAAAATAGAATAGAAAGAAACACTTCCCAGATAATTTTATGAAGCTATCATCACCCTGACACCACAACCAAAGACTTTAGAAAAAAACTACAGCCCAGTATTCTTTATGAAAATAGATACAAAAGTCCTTCACAAAATATAGCAAATTGAATCTAGTGCTCTGTCTATATATATATATAGATATATATTTATATATAGATATATAGATATTTTTATATATTTATATATCTATATATTTATATATAGATATATATGTTTATATATATAGAGAGAGATTATGTATTTTATATATATTACATCATGACCATGTGGGGTTTATCCTAGGAATGCAAGGCTGTTTCAACATTTAAATATCAATCATTGTAAGTCACCATATGAATAGACTGAAGAAGAAAAACTATATAACCATCTCAATTTAAAAAAAATCAACATCCATTTGTATCAAAAGCTCTAAGAAAATTAAGAATCAAGGGAACTTCCTCAAACGGATAAAAGATGTCTACAACTAATATCACAATAGTGTTTGAATGAATGCTTTTCACCTAAGATCAGGAACAAGACATGGTTGTGCACTCTCACCACTTCTATTCAACATTGTACTGAAGTTCCTAGCCAATGCAGTGAGGTAAGAAAAAGAAACAAAAGACATGCAGATTGGAAAGGAAGAAATAAAACTCTCTTTGCAAACAGCACAATTACTGCATAGAAATTCGCAAGCCATCACACACACACACACACACACACACGCACACACAAAAGCTACTAGAACTAACAAGGAAGTTCAGCAAGGTTTGAGGACACAAGATTAACATACAAAAATAAATTGAATTTCAATTTGTTAGAAATGAACAATTGGAAATCGAATATTAAAAAAATACCATTAACATAACAACAAATATTAAATACTTAGGTATAAAGCTAACAAATATTTGCAAACCTATGGATGCTGGATGCTATAAAACACTAATGAAAAAATTAAAAGAAGACCTAAGTAAATTAGAAAGATTAGCCATGTTCATAGATTAGAAGACTAAATATTTTTGTAATTAATTTTCCCCAAATTGATCTATAAATTCAATGCAGTCCCAATCAGGATCTCAGTAAGATTTTTTGTAGAGATTGAAAAGCTGATTCTAAAGTTTGTGGAAAGGGCAAGGAGCTACAATAGCTAGTACAATTGTGAAAAAGGAAAACAGCATTGGAGGACTCTTGTTATCTGAGTTAATATAAAGCTACAGTAATCAGGACCGTGTGGTATTGGCAAAAGGATAAACACAGAGATCAATGGAACAGAATAAAGAGTACAGAAATAGAACCACACATACTTGGTCAATTCATTTTTGACAAAGATGCAAAGGCAATTCAATGGAGAAGGCATAATTTTTTCAACAAATTGTGCTGGAAGAACTGGACATGTATATAAAAGGGAAAAAAAGAACCTTAACCCATTCCTTGCACCATGTACAAAAATTAACCCAAAATGGTTTATAAAATTAAATATACAGCCTAAGCTATAAAACTTTTGGAAGAAAACAAAGGGGAAAATTTTTTGTGTTCTTGAGTTAGGCAAAGGTTTCTTACGTACCACACCAAAGGCAAAATCCATAAAATGAAAAACTGGATACATTGGACTTCATCAAAATTAAACATTTATACTCTTTGGAACACAGTGTTAAGAAAATGAAAAGAAAAGCTATAGATTGGCCAGGCACAGTGGCTTATGCCTGTAATCCCACCACTTTGGGAGGCCAAGTTGGGTGGATCACTTGAGGTCAGGAGTTTGAGACCAACCTGGCCAACATGGTGAAACCCCGTCTCTACTAAAAATACAAAAATTAGCCAGGCGTGGTGGTGGGTACCTATAATCCCAGCTACTTGGGAGACTGAGGCTTGAGTCCAGGAGGCAGAGGTTGCAGTGAGCCGAGATTGCGCCATTGCTCCAGCCTGGGCAACAAGAGCAAGACTCCATCTCAAAAAAAAAAAAAAAAGGAAAGAAAGAAAAGCTATAGATTGAGAGTTAATATTTTAAAACAATAACTGATCATGTATTTTTATCCAGAACATATAAAGACTCTTAAAACTCAGTGATAAGAAACAAACAACCCAATAACATAACAGACAAAAGACATGAGCAGACACTTTACCAAAGGAGATATATGGATAGTAAATAGATACATGAAAGCATGCTTAACATCATTAGTCATTAGAGAAATGCAAATTAAAACCACAGTGGGATACCACTACATGAGGATATGGAACAATTGCAACTCTCATTCCTTGTTGGTAGGGATGCAAAATGGTACAAACACTTTGGAAAACAGTTTGGCAGTTATTTATAAAGTTAAACATGCATTTACTGTATGACCCAACAATCTCACTCCTAGTTATCTATTTACCCAAGATAAATGAAAACATATTTACACAAAAACCTGTATATGAAGGTTTGTAATATATGAATGTTGCTTTATTCATAATCACCAAAAACTGGAAACCACTCAGATGTCTCAGCTGATGAATTGAGGTACATCCATACAATGGAGTACAGCTTGCTCTAAAAAGGAACTAATTGCTGATACATGCACAATACAGATGAATCCCAAATGCATTATGCGAAGTGAAAGAAGCCAAACTCAACAGGCTACACACCATATGATTCTATTTACATGACATTTTTAGAAAATGAAACAATGAAGACAGAAAACAGATCAAGAGTTGCCTGGGGATGGGGAGAGTAGTTGACTGTAAAAGGGGCATGCAGGAATTTTGGCAGGTATTGGAATTGTTTTTGTTTTTTTGTTTTTGTTTTTTTGAGAATGGAGTCTCGCTCTGTTGCCCAGGTTGGAGTGCAGTGGTGTGATCTCGGTTCACTACAACCTCCGCCTCCCAGGTTCAAGCAATTCTCCTGCCTCAGCCTCCCAAGTAGCTGGGACTACAGGCGCCCGCAACCACACCCAGCCAATTTTTCGTATTTTCAGTAGAGATGGGGTTTCGCCATGTTGGCCAGGATGGTCTCAATCTCCTGACCTCGTGATCCACTCGCCTAGGCCTCCCACAGTGCTGGGATTACAGGTGTGAGCCACCGTGCCTAGCCTGGAATTATTTTATATCTTGATTGTGGTGATGGTTATATGACTTACACATTTGCCAAAACTTATAAAAGTATACACTAAAAAAGGGTGAATTTTACTGTATGTAAGTAGTAACTCAGTAAGTCTGACTTTTAGAAAGAATAATGGGGGAGGGACACCTGCTTGACATGAAAGGAAAGCATAGGGAGCTGTACGCAAAGCTGGAGAAGTGGAATTCTAAGGAGATGGCCTGTATGCATCAAACTAGAGATGCCAGGGCCCTCCCTGAAATACTGAATTAGAGTCTTGAAGTAGATATGCTGCACATCACTGAATTCATTTCTTTTGGCTGCTGTAGAATATTCCATTTTGTTTGTTTGTTTATTTTACTTTAAGTTCTGAGATACATGTGCTGAACGTGCAGGTTTGTTACATAGGTATTTATGTGCCATGGTGGTTTGCTGCACCTATCAACCCATCATTTAGGTTTTAAGATCTGCACGCATTAGGTATTTGTCCTAATGCTCTCCCTCCTGCTTCCCCCCACCCCCCAACAGTCCCTGGTGTGTAATGTTCCCCTCCCTAAGTCTGTGTGTTCTCATTGTTCAGCTCCCATTTATGAGTGAGAACATACAGTGTTTGGTTTTCTGTTCCTGTGTTAGTTTGCTGAAGGTGATGGTTTGAATAGACCATAGTTAATTTATCCAGTCTTCTGTTGATGGACTTTTGGGTTGATTTCATCCTTTGGTATTGTGAACAGTGCTGCCGTGCATTCCTTCACGTTTCCTACTGAGTATGCACAAGCGTTTTTCTTGGTCAATATGAGTGGAAATGTTGGTCATGGGGTAGGCGAACATTCAACTTTAGAAAGTAATGCCAAACTGTCTTTTAAAGTCATTGCATCAATTTACATTTCTACCTTCAGTGTGTAAGATACTCTGTGGATTCACATCCTTGCCAACTCTTACTATAGTTATTATATCTTACTAGTAAATGGGAACTTTTATCATTGCACACTGTCCTTCATTATCTCTATAATTGCTTTTTAGCATAAATAGCATTTTGTCTGTTAATATAGCCACATCAGCTTCCTTTTGGTTATTGTTTGCCTGGCATATCTTTTCTCATTTTTTTACTTTTAATCTTTCTGTAGCAATATGTTTTAAGTCTGTCTTTTATAAATAGTATATAGCTGAATTTAAAAAAAAATCATTCTGACCATCGTTATCCATTTAGCATTTACTGTATTTACAGTTATTCTAATTACTAATATATTTTGATAATATTTCTTCCATCTAGACTGTTTCTGTTTGTGCCTTGCCCTGTTTTGTTGCTATTTCATTTTCTTTCCTTTATTGTCTTCTTTTGAATAGATTATTTTTCCTCATTATACTTTTATTCCTCTATTATTTTGGAATTGATACATTCCTTTTATATTCTTATTGTGATTAGCTTCTTATTTTCACATGCATATATTACTTATCAAAGTCTAAAGTTAATAAATATCTGTACTTTTCCCTTTAACAGTATAAAAACCTCAGAACATTTTAACTCCATCTCCCTCCTGATGTAACATCTATTTTTCTTATGTATTTTAGTTGTATCTTTTTAAAAAAACCCACAAGACATTATTGTTAATGTTTTTTATGTAATCAGAATTTGTTATATTAGCCAACAGATTTGTCACTGTCTTTGCTCTTCATTCCTTGTTGCATCTCTGACTTTCAATACTGCATTCACTTCCATCTCCCTAAATTATATTCTTTCAATTTCCACTAGTACAAGCCTGTTTCTGCTGGTGGTAAACTCTTTCAACTTTTATTTGCCTCAAAATGTGTTTATGTCCTGACTTTTGAAAGTTATCTTGTCAGCACATTCAATATATTATTTCATTGTTTTCTAGCAATTATATCTGCTATTGAGGAGCCTGTGGACTATTGAGGAGTCAGTGGTAGATAGTGGCTAAAATTGTGGATGAAAACAATTTGTCTTTTGTTTCCTCTCTAGTTGAAATAAGTTCTTTTTGTCTTTTGTGTTCTACAGGTTCATTGTGATGCATCTAGGCATATAGGTCTTTTTATTTATCCTGCTTTGTATTTATTGGGATTCTTGAATCTGTAGACCAATGTCTTTCATCACTTCTGAGCAACCTCATCCATTGTTTATATGCATTTAGTAGAAAACAGGAACATTCCAGTACTTTGGGAGGCTAAGGTGGGTGGATCACGAGGTCAAGTGTTCAAGACCAGCCTGACTAAAATGGTGAAACCCCGTCTTTACTAAAAATACAAAAATTAGCCAGGCGTGGTGGTGCGCACCTGTAATCTCAGCTACTCAGGAGGCTGAGGCAGGAGAATTGCTTGAACCCAGGAGGCAGAGGTTTCAGTGAGCCAAGATTGCTCCACTGCAATCCAGCCTGAGTGACAGAGCGAGACTCAGTCTCAAAAAAAAAAATAAAGAAAAAAGAAAACAAGAACAATTGATAATAAGTGACGTAAGCCTAATTAAACACAAGAAGACAGAAAAAGAAAAGCAGTAAACTGGGAAAAAAAATGAAAGGAAATAATGAAAATAAAAGCAGACATTAAGAAAGTAAAAACAAAAATGACCCAAAATAATTAAAAATTGGCTTCTTTATTTTTTTATTTTATATTTATTTATTTTTTTTTTTTTTTGAGACAGAGTCTCACTCTGTAGCACAAGCTGGAGTGCAATGGCGTGATCTCAGCTCACTGCAACCTCTGCCTCCAGGGCTCAAGCAGTTCTCATGCCTCAGCCTCCCGAGTAGCTGGGACTACAGGTGCGCGCCACCACGCCCGGCTAATTTTTTGTATTTTAGTAGAGAGAGGGTTTCACCATGTTGCCCAGGGTGGTCTCAAACTCCTGAGCTCAGGCAATCCGCCCACCTTGCCCTCCCAAAATGTGGGATTACAGGCCTGAGCCACTGCGCCGTCAAAAATTGGCTTCTTTAAAAGAACATAAAACAGGCAGATCTCTGACAATAATGATAAAGAAAGGAAAATAGAAGGCACACGTAAACACTACTAAAATGAAAAAAGGTCACTTAACTATAGATACAGTAGAATTTTTAAAAAATCATAGTATGGTAACTTTGTGCCAATATATTTTAAAATATGAAATGAAAAATTTCCTAGAAAAATGTGAACTACCAAAAATAACTTGAGAAAAAATAACAAACTTAAAACAATATTATTAGATAATTTGAAATGGTAGTCAAAAATATCTCTCTGTCTTTTAAACACACACACACAGACACACACTCACATACTCTAATATGCCAGAGGGGAGAAGGCCTCAGGCCTTTTATAGGCAAGTTTTACCAACCTTAACAGGTCAGTTAATTCTTTTTATACTATTCCATAGGGGAAAAAAAGAGGAAAAGCTTATCAACTGATTTTATGGAGCTATTGTAACTTTGCTACCAAAATTGAAAAAGCACAGTACAAGAAAAAATATACATAGATCAATCTTATTTAGGAACATAGAGGCAAAGATTCTAAAAAACATTAACATTTTTTAAATGTTCATCATAATCAAGGAAAAATGTAAGGAAAGTTCAACATCAGAAAAATTTAGCAATATAATTCACCATATTAACATATTTAAAAAGAAAAAACCTCATGGTCTCAATATATACCAAAAGAAAAAAAAATCATTCAATACTATTCAACATTAATGATAAGGGAAAATCCTCTGGATGGAGCAGAATAGAAGAGAATTTTCTGAACCTGATTGTTGTTATCAACCAAAGCCCTAGAGCAAAAAATACTCTTAGTAGGGGAAATTTTGAAGCATTCCTTTTCTACTTCTCGATTAAAAGCAGAGACAAGTCAAGGATGATCATTGTTGCCACCATTTTTGTACTGAGGTCCTAGCACATGCAATAAGACAAAGTATGGAAGGAAGAGAAGAGGGAAGGAGGGAGAGACGGGAACAGGTAGTACCACTCAGGAATGCATGTGACTATAAATATCAGAAAAATACCAGTGGCCTAAACAATGAAGAATTTGTCTCGTACACAAGAAATTGGGAAGTGAGGAGCCTAGGGATGGTGGCATTGATCAGCAGGTTGTCATGGTGTTCTTTCTACTTTACCCTCTTTGGTATGTTTGATTTAATCTTCATGCTTGCCACCTCTTGGTCATAAGATGGCTTCTGCAGCCCTGGGCCTTACATACACATTCCAGGCCAGATGAAGGGGAAAATAGTGGTGTCAGTCTCTTCCCAGAAGCCTTGGGGTGGACTTTCCCTTACATCTCACTGCTCACTGCTAGCTATGAGAAAGGCTGGGAAAGTGGATGTCCAGGGATAGGGTTAGAGCTAACATTAGGATTATAGACATACTTATACTAAATAAATTCTTAGAATGATGTTATGCTTATTCTAATCCATTCATGGAAATTCTGTTATTCTTTGTTGGATAAGTATATTTAATATTTGAGACATACTAAAAACTTATTTATTGTTTATCTTAAGTTAAAATTTAACTGCATGTTCTTAAAAAAATTTTTTTTCTAATTTGCTAGGAGTTGGGCATATTGTCACTCTGAAAAAACTGGGGCTCTAAAATTAGTAATAACTGGCCGGGCGCGGTGGCTCACGCCTGTAATGCCAGCACTTTGGGAGGCTGAGGTGGGTGGATCACGAGATCAGGAGATTGAGACCAGCCTGTCGAACACAGTGAAACCCCGTCTCTACCAAAAAATACAAAAAAAAATTAGCTGGGCGTGGTGGTGGGCACCTGTAGTCTCAGCTATTCTGGAGGCCGAAGCAGGAGAATGGTGTGAACCTGGGAGGTGGAGCTTGCAGTGAGCCGAGATTGTGCCACTGCACTCCAGCCCGGGCGACAGAGCAAGTCTCCATCTCAAAAAAAAAAAAAAATTAGTAATAACTACCACAAAAGCATACAAGTTTGTCCAGAAAGACAAGGATTTTTTCCTCTCCATTAACTCTGGCAAAATTTACCAAACAGATTTTTCCAGCAGGGAAATTGAGTAGCAAAATAGGCAGTGCATTAGGATACGGTTTTGTAAAAATGCAGACACATTCCTCAAATGCATGTGTCTCATAAAATCCAAGGCCACATGAAATAATAATTTAGTGATAGCATTTCTGCAGACAGCTAAGAAAATTCTTATTGATATCATTAACTGTGGATTAGCCATGTGAAATTACTTATCCTTGAGATCTTTGTCCTACCAAATTGTATTACAATTTTACTAAAATCCTTTAAAAGTTATGCCCACTTGAAAATTTCTCAGCTGCTATTTTGTTTGAACATGGGAATTTAGCCATAAATCTCACTTTTCTGCAAGAACCTGAAAGTTAAACAAAAATTGTACTGAGTCTGCAGACAATAGGAATAACAAATTTTACTGGTGAATCTGTGGATTCAAAGCAGGCTGAACACAGAATGTGGACTTACCTTCAGAAGTGGGAGAGCAAACTCCAAAGTGGACACCAGGGAAGGAGAGCATAGAACTGAAGGCAAAAACTATACCCTTAAAATGGGGTCTTCATACACTACTGGCCAGGGGATAGTGAGGACTACAAGTCACAGGGAAGCTTGCCGGAAGCCAGGGAAACCAGAGGGTTGTAAAAATGGGTTGATCAAATGCAACAAAGAAATCCCTTTTGTGAAGGTGAGTTTCACTGAAAAGGCTCTGCTATTTTTCCTACTCTTTAAAAAAGAGCTGAAGATATTCCTTGCAGCTCAGTTGAGGCAATCTAAGAGAACCAAGTCCTCAAAGTGAGATTCTAAATTATATATTGATATCCTTTACTAGCATGCTGTTTTTGATCAATATCTGTCAATTCCTTCTAAGATTGTTGTTATAGAAAACTAACAGAAAAGGGGGTTGAGCTGAAGGAATTGAGCTGAAAGAAGCCTCACTTCTTTTATTCAATTAACCATTTAAATAAATTTTTTGTTCTCTTTCTTGGGCTGAGTAGTATAAGGATTTTTCTCCCCTGAGAATGTCAGACTTGGGCTTTTGGTAAAGGGCAGTCAGGTTTGCTGCTAGGCAGTAGGAGAGATGTGATTGAGAGCATTATCTAGCATGTGGGCCCATTCTTCCTCGACCATGGGCTAGGTGTGTTCTCTAAAAGTTGTTGCTTATAGACTTAACTAATTTCAAAAATAATCTTTATGGTGCTTTTCACTTGTGTCACTTCCCTCAGTCATTTAAATTTTTTAGAATCTTTTTTTTTACACAATAGAATAGTCCATATGTAGCTATGTTAAATCACATTTTACATGAACCTGGGAATCTGGCTATTTAAAGAAATCTTCTAACAAAGCATTTTATAAGACAGATATTACTCTCTAATTTGCCTGCTTTTAAAATGTGCCTGCTTTTAAAATTTGCCTTTTTATCTAGGCAGTTTGCATAAGGCGGGCTGACTTTGTATTCTAATAGAACTGTTGCCCTCTCATGCTCTTGGCTTCCTTTTGAAGTCAGTGATCATAGCTGTTTCATTGAATGAATACAGAAAGAAAGGTAGTGAGCGCACAGTGGGTGACAGAGCCATTTGACTTTCAAGGTGCAAACCCAATAGCATCCAACCAGTGACTCAGCCTCTTCTTCTGGAAAAGGTAACATGTACTATCTTCATCCACAGCCACTTTCACTATACCTCGGGAACCACCTCCATCTCCAGCAGAAGTGAAGTTCTTTCCCAAGAAACAAAGATCAAAGGTATTTATATTCCTCACTATAGAAAGAAAATTATTCTTATTTACAGCACTTTCTGTGAGATATTTGGTGATTTACACGTTATTGAGTTGTACCTTCAACATAGAAATAAGTGCTATTTCAGCTGCTGCTGGTATGCATTTGACTTTCAAAAGGGGAATTGTACAAGTCAACTCTAGCATAATGTTATTGGTGGGGTCTAAAAAATTCAATCATGTTGCATCATTGCAAGATTAACTAAATGACTGGCTCAGCCTCTAATACTAACTGGTCAGGAGTCCAGTAGCTATTGCTTTGTATCCAAATTTGTATGGTATAGGATGTCTTATTGTGAGGTTCTACTGTATTTCATTTGTCTTTAAATACAGGCTAAAAAGGCAAGATCTCCAAACATAGAATACCTTAATGAAGCAGGGGAAAGAATTCTGTATTATCATTATTATTATTATTATTTCAAGACAGAGTCTCACTTACTCTGTTGCCCAGGCTGGAGTGCAGTGCACTATGTCGACTCACTGCAACCTCTGCCTCCTGGGTTCAAGCGATTCTCACGTCTCAGCCTCCCAGGTAGCTGGGATTACAGGTGCCTACCACCATGCCCGGCTAATTTTTGTATTTTTAGTAGAGACGGGGTTTCACCATTTTGGCCAGGCTGGTCTCGAACTCCTGACCTCAAGTGACCCACCTGCCTCGGCCTCCCAAAGCGCTGGGATTATAGGCATGAGCCACCACGCCTGGCCTTTTTTTTTTTTTTTTTCTTTTTTAACCATCATGAGGCACTTTCTTTTCTTTTTTTTTTTTTTTGAGATGGAGTCTTGCTCTGTCACCCAGGCTGGCACAGTCTCGGCTCACTGCAACCTCTGGCTCCGAGATTCAAGTGATTCTCATGCCTTAGCCTCCCGAGTAGCTGAGATTACAGGGATGTACCACCACTCCTGGCTAATTTTTTGTATTTTTAGTAAAAACAAGGTTTCGCTATGTTGGCCAGGCTGGTCTCGAACTGCTGGCCTCAAGTGGTCCACCTGCCTCGGCCTCCCAAAATGCTGGGATTGTAGGCATAAGCCACCACACCGGGCCAAATTCTGTATTCTTTAACATTAACTCCTCACAGTACAATGTAATTCATTCTTATGGAGATTCCCCCAGTTTAAATGTGCTGGACTTTTGTACCTTGCTTTCTTAGGTTTATGGACTGCAGACAGACTTGTGATTTTTGAAACTTTTCACCACAGAAAGGAGACAGCTGGCACTGTCTTTTTCTGGCTTACCTTATGTGGAAAGTGGTCATGTTTACAGCTGCTCTCATAAGAAAAGAAAGAAAGAGAAATTGAAGAGCGGAACAAGAGAAATTAATCCTACTGCCTCTCCATAGTAGACTGCTACCTGCTCTTCCCAGACTTTTATCTTTCAATATTGAAATCATCAAGAGGTTTCACTGTAATATCAGCACTGGTGGGCTGTGTCCCCTTAAGAGATTTCCAAGCTATTTATGTAGCAGCATGTCATGTGACACCCCAGTTGCCATGGCAAATATTTGTGTTTCATGAAAAATGTGGGTAAAGAAAATCAATGTAAATGGCCAAATCCCAAGACAGACAGGCCTTCAGGCGAGTGTTTGGCCTGCACCATTATTGTTTCAAATTCAGCTGTTTAACAGGCTGTGAGAAGGCCATGGGCTAATATGCATAATAGGAACAGGCGGAGGCACCTGTTTTGATTCTCACCCTGTTGGAGCGCTCAGGTCCCACAGTTTTATAGATAACAGATCTACAGGTAATACAAATATTATGACTAGGTTTTAGCCAGTAAATGGTTTACCACGAAAAAAATAGTTTTAAATAATGACATATTTTCTGAATGCTAATGAGCCCTGGCTTTAATTTTCTCTGTTGACTTCACAAAGCTCTCCCCAACTGCTGGAAACAGTAATATTTAATGACTTTTTCCTGTGGTCCCAGATTGGTACAGCATTTCTAAATTGACTCTTCAATGGTAAATGTAATTTTTCACATATTTTGTGGGAAGTGTCCTGGGCATGGAAGTTAAAAGGCTAAGAGAAGGACTTCAGTATGCCAAGCCTCGTGATAGAGCCAGTACAGACCTTTGATCAGACACCACCACAAAGCAGTGTGGTGCCACGCTAGTGTCCCCTAGAAGTGGGACTTGGCATCTGATTATAGTTGTTTTTGTAAATATTTACTTAATCAAACTCTTTCTTCAAAGCAAACGGGGCTTGGCAAACAGAGCATCGTTGTCAGTGTGGGAAAGGTCTTTCTAATTATTAGCTCCTGCCTGCGTGGAAAGAGAGAACAGGCTGGCCCAGCGGGTAAAATGGGGAAGGGGGTGAGGCTCTGAGCCTTCTATTTGTTTTGTAAAATTGCCCATGAGAGTCGTTTTGATTTAAACTGTGTCTCATTCTTCATTGTAGGGGAAAAGCAGAAGGTCAAGAGGACATCATGATAGGAAGGTCTGTAATTTGTGTGACTAGTTGAAATTTAGGGTCTGTCACCTGATGTCCCTTCCTTTTGCTGCAGGGCAAGAGTATGGGTGACTGCTTGACAGCTGGAGATGGCAACAAAAGTTCGTGCTTCCTTTGTAAAAGAAATTAGATCATGGTTTCAGGAAAAAAAAAAAAACATGGTTCATTTAAAGTGAAAACCCTTTTTTGCCTCCTTTTGGGACTGAATTACTTCTCAGGCTTCAGTCCAAACAAATGACTTAGCGTCCTTAAAATTTGGCTGAATCACATCAATCTTCAAATTCAATCAAAGATTTTCATCTTTTAAAAGTACACTTAAAAAGAAATAAAATGTGAAAAATAAATGCGGTTGTCCCCCAGCACGTGCTTATATGTGTGCATGCATATAGGATGCACACACACATGCAACATACTGCATGTATGCTGTAGTACAGATGGGATTTAGAGTTAAGCTAATCCTAACAACTAAGGTTATAAAAACATTGGAAAAATGAAATAGCCCCCACAATATGGCAAGTACATGCCAGCAAGGAACATTCCACAAGGCCATGCATGGGTAATAAAAGTCCTGAACTTGAAGTAGGAATGCACCTGATTCTCCTTTGAGCAAGTCACTTGACTTCTCTGCTCTTCACTTTCCTCCTCTGACAAATGAGGATAAAGCTTCCTTCACGTAGAGTTGCTGCAAGGATCAGATGCATTAATGTGTGTGAAAGTGTTTTGGAAAAGTACTTGTTATCATAACTCATTGGTCCATTATTAAGAGCATCTTCTAGGCCTCCCTTTCTTGGGGATCTCTTATCAGTAAGAATTTTACAGGGATCTTAGCCATCTGCTTTCAAGGAAAAAGAGCCCGCCTTTGGGGTCACATTTTATTCCTGCAGAGCTGTGCCTAGATAGAGCTGTATTTACATCAATGATTACATACAGTCCCTCTGTACCTAGACAGATTGCTCCTTGGTAAACTAATCCGTGCAATTAGATCCTTCCTCTTACGTCCCTTGACGTCTTACTGTGAGAAAAGTGTGAGCTTGATTCTGCAGGTTAAAAATAGGATGTGTTTACGAACAGTAAGGCATTATTTATCTGGAATATTTGTAACTGCTAATGTTGACTGAGCATGTCCTGCATGCATGGCACTAAGCATCTTTCGTACCCACTGAACCGTCATAGCAGGCAGAACCTATGTGCTGCAGTTGTCCCCAGGCCCACTCAGTTGGTAAAAGGGTGCAAAGGATCCAGCTGACAGAGTGAAGCTCCGGAGTTTGTGCTCTCTGCCTGTTCCAGGTTATGAATGCTTCCACATGGGTCAGCTTTTCAAATAGTACTACTACTGCTCCTGTTACTACTGCTGCTGTTGCTGCTGCGACTGCTACTTGCAGCTAACATATACTGAGTGCTTACTCTTTGCCAGGCTCTGTTCCTAATGTCTTAAGTGGATTATCTCACTTCATTTTCACAGGATTTCTGTGCAATAGGCACTATTATCATTCAGTTAGTCATCCAATTAGTAAATGACAGAGCCAACATACAAAACTGGACTATGTAACTACCAGAGCCCCAAAGCATTAGAAATTTTTATAAATATCAATCATTTTTATGGAAACATATTACATTTATTGCATTTCTAAAATATATTACACTTCTGCCTAACTAATATAATTTAATCTTTTCTCTATTCAATATCATGTATACAGGTAATCAGTTTCTGTGTCTTTTACTGTTTTCTTCAATAACAGACAGCAGTTACCACCCTTGCTGTTGTGTCTGCTTTCATCGGCTCCGACTTTAACAGCCTTTTCTATCTTATAGCTCAGTTAACCAAACCCAATTTAAGAAGTTGAATAAGTTTAAGTCAGTCAGGCTTTGCACAGGATCCGAAGAATAAAAAATGATAGTAGAGTTTGTAATAGTTATTTCAATAAATCTGAGGCATCCTTATTTTCAAGAATCTAGTTCAAAGGTTTGAGGTTGTTAAAATTGCCTGTCAGGAAATAAATCTTTTTATTATCTTAAGGCAAGCATAAAAACTATGTTAAGATTCACTCAATTTTAATTAATATTTTGATAATAAAAATCTATTTTATGGATAAAACAAGCAAACAAACAAATATTTATTCTACTATAGGAGTACAGACCAACTTCATGAGTGTGTTTGCTTCTGGGAACAGGAAGAAAGAGGAAGGAGAATGAAAAGAAATACAGAGAGGATGTTAACTTTATATATATATAACATACATATACGCACACACCACACACACACACACACACACATACACACGTATATTTACAGCAAAGACGACAAAAAATTAAACAAAAATGTGTCCGTGGTAGTTTTTTATATTATTCTCTATACTTCTCTGTGTGTTTAAAACTTTTCCAAAACATCTCCAAATTTAAAAAAAAAATCCAAATTGAAGAAAAATATAAAAGAAAATCCTGTTTCCTAAGCCATCCTTGTGTTGTAAAATTTATATTGGTGTAGAAAGAATGGGTTTGGGTGATAACATTGTAATCTCAAATTTGGGGTCTCACTTCTCTTAGTCATTCTTTTCAATTGTTACTTTCTTTAGTATTTTCCCACCATATACTTCTGATCCTGTCATTTAGAAAACTGTAATTATTTTATGGGTGAGTCAGCTGAACTGTTTTAATCAGGCAATATGTGTGACATTAAACATATCACTGCCCCTATCTGCTCTCATTTCCTTCTATCTGTATAAAAAGGAGATTGGATCAAATCAGTGTTTTTAAGGGGCTTCCATATCCTCACCCTACAGCCCCAGGAAATCCTCACCCCATAGCCCCAGGGAAAGAAGAGAAGCAAAAGCTCCTAGCAATAGGGGGCTGTAGGCCCCTATATCCACAACACTTGGGTTTTCTATTTTACCTCTTTGCTATCAAACTATATGGTATTTGAACAAAGTGTTCGAGGCTTTAAAATGTATACTTTCAAAACCACTAGATGATATCTAGCAGCAGTTTTGGCTTTAACATGTCAAATCTGGTGGGGGAATAAGCCTACTTCTTAAAAGGCACAGGGTGCCTCCCTGGCTGACTTTGCTCCCAGCACAATTTAGTCTCCTTTCTTGTCTTGCCCTAAAGGGCTGGAGAGAGGGCAGTTCTTAAGAGAATCAGAGCTCTGCAACCTGGAGATACAAAACAAGATTCAAAAGCAAGTCCAAAGCTATTTTTTTCTCTTTTAGACTCATTCTCTCTCATAAAACTTCATTTAACTTACCATCTTAAAGGAAGAAGAGAAAAGAAAAATCCAGACACGGAAAAAAAAACAAACAAACAACCCCTGTGGAATCTTTTTTAAAAAACACAAATCTTGATTTTTTTTTTTTTTTTTTTAGATGGAGTCTTGCTCTCTCACCCAGGTGGGAGTGCAGTGGCATGATCTCGGCTCACTGCCACCTCTGCCTCCCTAGTTCAAGCGATTCTCCTGCCTCAGCCTCCCAAGTAAGTGGGACTAGAGGCGTGCACCACCACACCCAGCTAAATTTTTTTTTTTTTTGTATTTTTAGTAGAGATGGGGTTTCACCATGTTGGTCAGGCTGGTCTCAAACTCCTGACCTCAAATGATCTGCCCACCTCAACCTCCCAAAGTGCTGGGATTACAGGCGTGAGCCACCATTCCCAGCCTAATTTTTATTTTTTCAACTTTTAGGTTCAGAAATACATTTGCAGATTTGTTACATAGGTATTAATAAGCTGTGTGTCATGGGGATTTGGTGTACAGATTATTTCATCACCCAGGTAATAAGCATAGTACCCAATAGCTCATTTTTGGATCCTCACCCTCTTCCTACCCTCCACCCTCAAGTAGGCCCCTGTGTCATTCCCTTCTTTGTGTCCATGTGTACTCAATGTTTAGCTCCTACTTATAAGTGAGAACATGCAGTATTTGGTTTTCTGTTCCTGTGTTATTTTGCTTAGGATAATAGCCTCCAGCTCTATCCATGTTGCTTCAAATAACATGACCTCTTTCTTTTCCATGGCTGCATAGTATTCCATGGTATATATGTACCACATTGTCTTTATCCAGTCTACTATTGATGGTAATTTAGGTTGATTCCATGTCTTTGCTATTGTGAATAGTGCTGCAGTGAACATAACACATGCATGTGTCTTTATGGTAGAATGATTTATAGTCCTTTGGGTATATACCCAATAAGGGGATTGCTGGGTCGAGTGGTAATTCTGTTTTAAGTTCTTTGAGAAGTCACTAAACTGCTTTCTATAATGGCTGAACTAATTTACATTCCCACTGGCAGTGTATAAGCATTCCCTTTTCTCTGCAACCTCACCAGCATCTGTTATTTTTTGACCTTTTTATAATAGTCATTCTGACTGGTATGAGATGGTATCTCATTGTGGTTTTGATTTGCATGTAGAATCTTTTAAAAAGAGTTACCATTTTCTCTAATTCATTAGAAATTGCCATCCTCACCTATGCGTTTTCATCATTAAACTTTCCAAATGAATTGAAATTATATAGTTTTATTTGCCAAACAATTTTTTTGAAATTCTTGTGGAACAATTTTTCTTGTAATTACCGAGAAAAACTACAAGGACTGTTTTTACTACTTTTCATAGCATTGTCTAACTGAACATTTTTATTACATGTGATTAATAATTTTGCTTATATACAACAGAAAAAAGGTTAAATTATCAGCCAACAAGATAATCTGTATTTTTTCACTTTATCTCTTTCATTGATCAATTGTGACCTGATCATTCATAGAAAATTTGGAAAATTCAGAAAAGAGAAAAAAAGTATAGAAGGATTTTTTTCCCCATATCACAATCCTTTGGTACTATTTAAACTTTGGCATATTCTTTTATTGGTATTATACTGTATATTCAACTCTGGTTTTACTCTTTTCATCTAATAGTTTATCATAAACCTTTACATATATGATTTAAAATTCATAAAACATTTTTAGTGGCTTTATAATATCTTTATTAAAGATATACCATAATTTTCATCCTATTGCTTGACATTAAATTATAAATGTTACATTATTAATAAATAATTGTTTTTGTTCTTGTTTTGAGATGCGGTCTCTCTCTGTCACCTAGTCTGCAGTGCAGTGGCACGATTGTGGCTCACTGCAGCCTTGACCTGCCGGGGCTCAAGCAGTCCTCCCACCTCACAGTCCTGAGTAGCTGGGACTACAGGCATATGCCACCACGCCCAGCTAATTTTTCTGGCATTTCTTTGTCGAGATGGGGTTTTACCATGTTGCCCAGGCTGGTCTGGAACTCGTGGACTCAAGTGATCTGCCTGCCTTGACCTCCCAAAGTGCTGGGATTATAGGCATGAGCCACCACACCTAGCCTGTGGAACTTCTTGATCAAAGGGTATGGACATTTTTGTATCTCAGTAGCCAAACTTTGCATTAGTGCTCCAAAACTCAAGCTATAAGTTTGCAAATAACTTGTATGATCATAGAACAGCTTTGTGCTGTGAACCCAGTCCAACTGGCTATAAGCTTAAATTTTAGTATTCACACTTTCATACATTCATTCATTCAACTAATCCTTTTTGACCTTTACCGTGTGCCAGGCAGTGTACTAGATAGGCACTGGGGACACAACAATGAATGAAGCAAACCTAGTCCTTGTCCTCTTGGGGTTTATATTTTAGTGAGAGAGGCAATAATCAGATATTTAATATAATATCAAAGAGTGAGATAAGTGCTATGAAGAAAAATAAACCAGAATACATATGTAGGTATAGAAGCCACGCACGGTGGCTCACGCCTGTAATCCCAGCACTTTGGGAGGTCATGGCATGCAGATCACTTGAGGTCAGGAGTTCAAGACCAGCCTGGACAACATGGTGAAACCCTATCTCTACTAAAAATATAAAAGTTAGCCGGGTGTGGTGGCGCGTGCCTGTAATCCTGGCTGCTCAGGAAGCTGAGGCAGGAGAATCACTTGAACCTGGGAGGTGGAGGTTGCAGTGAGCTGAGATTGCACCACTGCACACTAGCCTGGGCAGCAGAGGAAGACTCTGTCTCAAAAACAAAAAAAGAATACATATGTAGGTATAGAGAATATGACAAGGTGGAGCTCTGTAGGAATTTTGCAAGTGTTCTTTAGTGATTTGGATCAAGGAACGTACTAGATCCACATTTTTCTCAGGAAACATGGAATGTCAAGCTTTACTTTGGTGATAATAGCAGTCCTTTTTGAGGCTTGCTCTTTTTCCCATACGTGTAGAGAAAATTATGATGTGTCTTTGCTCAGAGATCTGGGAATCCAGGCTGCTTTTGATTCCCATCCTGTCAGGCTTCCTGTCCACATCCCCAGCAGGTTCAACCCATCCATCATAATTGTCCCCAGTGGTCCTTAACTATGTCACATTTTCTCAGAGAATATTAGAGGTATAACAGAAAAGATGAAATCAATGCAGCAGTAAAATGAAATGTGTCTCTAGAAGGAAATTTCACATTTGACTGAAAATAGACCATCTATTTACAAAATCTTCTTGATTCTATTCTGTTTGATCTTCAACCAGATTTTGATCCATCGTGTGTTTTTGTTCCATGAGAATGCATCAAAGGATGGGGATTTTTCTCCTCAGGAAGTGTTTCAGAGTTCAGGAAGACTCATTTGAATAAAGATACCTTTCAAAGCAATTGCAGAAATTATTCCTAGAAAATTGCTGCTGATCTGAGTGGCCTTTACGCTCAAGTCTCTTCTTTTATATATCTCTGCTCGATGAGTTCTGTTTTTGCCTTTTATTCTCTTTGTAAAGGTTAAGGACTCTGACTTCCACTTTTAATTGGCACTTAAGGATTACTTAGACAGTTTCTAGATATTATGAACTGAGAGCCATTGACTTGCAGGCCCCAGAATACTGGAACACTACTCTTTGGGGTTCTCTCCCCATGACCACCTTTACCATTAGGTGGTGTGGGCAGTCGTTCATCTATTTTGATTTCAGAGTTACTAGAAAGAGTTTTCTATCTGAAAAATAGAATACGAAAAAAATCCCCCAGGTTTTTTTCATGGTGCATAAAGTGATGCCATTGGAGATAGTTGCCTTTGATTTGATGGCTTTACTGGCTCCAGAAGTTTATTAAAAAGCCAATACCCCTGCAGGGGTGACACATTAAGTCAGAGAGGCGTAGGGTATCAAAATTAGAAGTGCCCTGAGTGATCTCTTAATGGAAACTGAAACCCACAGAAGTGGCTTCCCAAGGCCACAGAGGAAGGTGGTAACAGACTAGATTCTGGGTCTTGTTGCTTCTGATACACCACACTATGTTATGTTCATTAGCACAGTGATAGGAATTAGTTTGACAAATTGCTTTCCAGCCTGTCAAATAAGAAAAAATGAGCTGAGTGCAGTGGGTCATGCCTGTAACCCCAACACTTTGGGAGGCTGGGGTGGGTGGATCGCTTGAGGCCAGGAGTTCAAGACCAGCTTGGGCAAGATAGTGAGACCCTTATCTCTACAAAAAAATTACAAAAATTAGATGGGCGTCATGACATGTGCCAGTAGTTCCACCTACTCGGGAAGCTGAGGTGAGAGGATCACTTGTGCCCAGGAGTTTGAGGCTGCAGCAAGCTATGATCACGCAACTGCACTCCAGCCTGGATGACAGAGGGAGACCCTGTCTCTAAAAATAATAATTATCGTTCAGTTTTTTTAAAAGAAAAAGAAAAAAACAGCAGATCAAGGCCAGGTTGGCTCTGATGTACAAGGTGGTAGAAGGAAGACTAAGAAGAGCAAAGCTTAGTAAGGAGCCATATGGAGAGTTCTAGACAGTTTAGGCTGTGGGCACTGGTGGTACGGGGGTAGGGGTCAGCATGAGGTAGGGTGGGGAAGAGAAAACACCCGATGGGAAGGAAGAGGGGCTGATGAAAGGAAATGGAAGAGTAGCAAAGACACACTTCTTATAGTACTTATTCTCCTTCCTTTGGTTATATATGGATTTGGGTTGTTTAGGAACAGAATTTTGTCTTATAGTAACAAAAATACTGTCTTAGAAATTAAGAAGATCTGCCAACTAGCTTTGTGATCTTGGGCAAGTCATTTAACCTCTCTGAGCCTCAGTTTCCTTCTCTATAGTAAAAACCACATTGACTAGGGCTAAGGCACTGTTAAAGGTTCTTGACACATACTGTAATCATCATAGCAACTCTGCAGGGACCTCTCATTTTTACAGATAAGGAAATTTAGGTTCAGAGGGTGTAGTAACTTGCCCAAGAGTATGTAGCAGATATTGGCAAAGCTTGGATTTGAACCCAGGTTAGCTGGACTTAAGGCCAAGGCTAATTTCTCTGGGCCCGTAATAGCCTATTGAGCAAAAGGCAAGGGCAGTGACCTTCAAGTTCCCTTGTCCTCTAAAATTCAGGCCTGTGACTATGCTGAATTCCGGACCGCTGATTAGGTCAGCTAGTCTCTCTGAATATCATGTACATCTTTTGAACAATTCTAGCCAGCTGAGGTCCTGATGTTTATTCTATAGAAAGCTCAACACATTGTGGACCCTTAACACAATTTAAAAGCAGAGTCAGACAAATAGCATCCCTGGTCTTTGAGAAAGAATAAGGACTCCATCTCTGAGGGACATTCCATTCATATTCTAAATGCAAACTCTCATTTAGAGCCATAAGGTGCAGAAAGAACTTACTCTTTTTCACACAGTGCAATTGCCTGGGCTAATTACTAATGGATATGTTTGGGTATTTGAGAAACTGAACATTGGCTTTTAGTTTCAGAAGGAATTTAGTCTATCCTTCTAGGCAATGGAATGATTATCATTCTCTAAAGATGATATCCATGTGGTATTATCCCAAATACTTGGCCATTTGCCACTATGAGATCCTGCTTGTATCTGATTATGGATCCAGTTTAATGCCACACCCACATACTGTCCACATACATGAAAAGAACATTTTTCATAAAGACATTTGTCTTAGAAATGTGATTTTCTTTGTGGTAGTTATTTCTAAATTTTATTTATTTATTTATTTATTTGAGAGACAGGGTTTCACTCTGTCACCCAGGCTGGAGTGCAGTGGTGTGATTATAGCTCACTGCAGCCTCGAACTCCTGGGCTCAAGCAATCCTCTCACCTCAGCCTACTGGGTAGCTAGGACTACAGCTGCACACCACCACACCCAGCTAGTATTTCTAAATTTTAGAATGCAACACTGGGTCTATCTTTTTTGCTTAACATCTGTGACTTACTAACATATGTAATCATCATCCTGCTTTCCTGTTTTTTGTTTTGGATTTAGAATTTTGCCTAAATAACTGCTCCAGAAACTCTCAAAGTTATCTAATTAGCGATTACACTTTGCAAACAAAGAACATTTCCCAGCTAATTAGTTAGAGCAAGATGCTAATAATTAGGCCACAGGTTTGGGCTTCATGTGGGCCAATTAGTGAATACAGGCATCTCGCAAAGGTATGATTGTGACCCAAGAAGCACCAGGTGAGAATACAATGTTTTGACAGAAATCCTTCTTGGCTAGAAGGAAAAAAAAATTGCCGTCAAGTCAGTAATATCATATTGGGAGTACAGCACATCTTAAAAAAGGAGGGAAAGAGAGAGGAAGGAAGAGAAAAAGAAAAAAGAGAAAGAAGAGAGGGAAGGGGAAAGAAGGGAAGGAGGGAGGGAGGAAGGAAGAAAAGGAAGGAGGGAGGAAAGAAGGCAGAGGAAAAGAAAAAGAAGGAAAGAAAGAAGAAAGAAAGCCAACAAATAATAGTAGATAAGTTCACAGAGATAATAAAGAATAACAGAATGAGCCAGAACCTGAAGCATGGCATGACCTTTAATCAGGGCTCTTATTCCTAGCAGGCTGTGAAGCAGCTTTGTCTTTACCTGCTCAATGGATCTCACAATGCTGATGCACTGCTTTAATTTGGGAAGCCTTTCTCTTGAGAGGCATGTCTTTTCTTGCTCCAAGTCTAAAGTGCTCCCAAGTGTGGCATTCTCTGTGACAGATGTACTACAGTTATGCTTTAGCTGACTCCAAACCGATAGCTTCCCAGTGCCTGAGTGGTCTGTTTGATGTCCAGGAGTATGTTTCCTTTGAGAGCAGGTCTTTGCTGGAATATCATCCAAGAAGGTAGAAAGGTGTAATCCCTTTGTTCTAAAACAGCCACTGATAAATTTTGCTCCCACTGCCACCCAAGGCTGTTCTTTCAGAAGGTCTAAAATACATTTGCTGATGTACGTAAAAACCCTAGACCCACCCCATGGAAAGGCACTGTCTGAGAGAGACGTGAGTTCTCTCCTTTCTCAACTTCTGCCAAGGTTGTCCCATTTTCATAGATGGTCCTAATTCCACATGTCTCGCTGTGAAGATAAGAAGTTTCAGAATATTGCCAAGAAGACAAGATTCTCTGGCAAATCTCCCATCGATAGCTTTGCTTCTTATAGGTCTCAGAGTCCTGTTGACTGAATCACACGTGACTGGCAGGACCAGCCAGCTCCATACATGTCCATCTGTGATTATTTTGCATGTCTGTTTCTCACTGATGAAGCACTGTCATTCTTCTCTGAATTCTAATTCCTAGTATCAGAGACCGTTCCTGAAGGGAGGGAGCAATGTGGCCATAGAGGCCATTTCTGTTGGAACATGTGCCACTTGTCTTCTACCAGGAGTGGCAGCCTCTCCTGCCAGCACTGGTGGCTGCTGAAGGGGGCATTACTTCTCCAACTTTCTCTTGCCCATCCAAGAAGAAGGAATTTATTTTCATCTACCAAGTAGCTTGCATTCTCTTCTGGCACCCTGATTAGATCAGAAAGGGATAGAAGCTTGGAAGGAAGATTTTTTCCCTCATTTTTATGCCTTATAACAACTCAAGTTAAAAGTACACAAAAAGCTCACTGCTGTTTAAAGTCTGCTTCTAAAGTGAAAGGAAATTTGCACTTTTGGACTTAACACTTGTTTTTCAGCATTTTTACTTGAGATGGCAGTCTAATTAATTATTGTGCGGCCCAGGACCGGAGAAAAGAAAACGCGTGAATAATCTGATATAGTAATACTCAACACAGTGCTGTGGCGTAATCATTATGGATAAATTGCTGGGGGGGGTTTTCTTTGAGTTTTTTGAAAACTCTTCAAAATGCGAAGAGTAATAATAACCCCACAGTTTGGTAAAGATGGGCTTATACATCTGAGAACGCTGACATGTTGAAAACAATCTATTCCTCACATACCTAAGCAAGAAGAAACAATTATTACAGTAAGTTAATACCGGGTTTACTGACGAGAACTCAGGGCCTGAAAATCTGTACCCTCCCTCTCCCCCAGCCCCTCCAAGCCATCAGGAACATTTAGATCTTGGGCAGAGTGTCTGTTTTCAGTAGAATAGGTTCTGAGAATTGAAATGTAGTGGTTTAACATAGAAAGTGTAAAGAACAAAAAAAATTGCTCAGCATCCGAGTCTTAGAAATTTACCAATTATAAATAAAAGTATTTTCATAGCTTAAAATGTCAATACAGGTGGGAACAAAATGAAAAGCAAATGCTCCCTTGGTTTTGTTATCAGATTTGTGATCCTAATCCACCTGGGACAGCCCCAGATATGTTCCTAAGAAGAAACCAGACTTAAGAATAAAAGAACACGTGTCAAGAGAAACCTAAGAATGACAAAGGTGATAACATATAACATAATGTTCCTTGTAAAAATGACCTCTGGATATTAAGAGAAGATGGCAGAAGAACTATAAAATGCTAAAAAGTGATGATCTTTTATGAAGTCAGAAACAATTTTTAACGGGCACATTTGAAGTTATCCTAAGGAATGCGAAGAAAGGCTTCGCCCTGTTTTTCAGACTGGTGGATAAGTTGTGATCAAGGAATCAGCAACATGCTTCTCAGACCATGCGTGCATGTGTAAAAACTAAATCACAGAGATTGGGGGTCAGGTGATTGTATCAAAGTAAACTAAATGCATAATTTTTTATGACTGGTTTCCTTGAACAATTTTATAACACTTTTATAAAAATGTTAATAGATTTGAGTGATCTCTAAGATATCCATCTGGTAATGAGTTTTAATGATATATACTAGCTAGACTTTCGTATTATGACGTGTGTGTTAAATCAGTGCTAGGATTCATATCTTCCCACCATTGAATGCTAAATGATAATGTAGTGTGTGTCTTGACCACTCATTTAAAGGAGATCATAATATCTTTCACTTCTAAAATATATTTCTTTTTTTCCACAGGCCATGAAAGTCAAAACACCTTTGAGAGCCCTGAAATCACTGTGGGATTATGACTTTTTAATTTATGATGGTGTCATAGACAATACAGCCCCAGACTTCTTAGCATTCAAGGAACATTTTAGCTTAGCTTGGGGAGGTATTTTTTCTCTCTTGGAACACGTCGAGAAGTTTCTCAGGAACTATGCTATACCAGAAGTCAAAATAAAAGGGAATAATTTGGTGGCCCTCCTTCCAGAGTTTGAGCTGACGAATAAACTTACCAGATATGACCTTCTCTCAGTGTTAGAGGACCCAGCTCATGTCCAAATGCTGATAAATCTTCCAGGGCAAAGGTACAAGGGCCAAGATGGAAATTCGGAGGCCGCCATGAAGATCCAAGCCACATGGAAATGCTACAAAGCAAGAAAATTCTTCCTCTTTTATCGCCAGCAGAAGTGGGCATCAGGTGTGATTGCCATTGCTTGGCTGTTATATTGCCATAAGACTCGACTAAAGAAGATACTAAAGGAATCACGTCAGAGACACCTGGAGAATTTTCGCATTCGAGCCAAGGTGCACAAGGCTGCCAGCTGTTAAGGCAGACCTCTTTTTCTAAACATTTCGTGCTTGAGCGGTTGTAATAAGTTGTCTCTATCTTCCCTTTCTCTTTCCAACTACTCTCCTTGCCTCAGACTCCCACGCCTTTCACTCCCCTCAATGTATGATGCACAAACCCCACATTTGTTTGTGCATCATAGTTTAGCCCTAATCAAGAATCTGGCTTTCGTGCCTGCAAAATCTGTTGCAATTTTTCTATAGAAAAAAAAAAAGTCCCTTCACTTTGACTATGGTAGTTCTGTCAGAAAATCAATGTTTTAACTGCATTACTTTTTCTCCCTATATATACCTTCTGGCACTTTAATTTGCTCAGAAAAAAAAAATCCTCTCTTGTCTACATTGCTGTCACCACTTTGTCAGAAAGTATTTAAGTTTGCAGACAGCCTTTTAATTAGTGCTCACAATTTCATTTATGTTTGCTTTCTCTTTTTTTCATTCATATTCTGTTAATTAAGTGAGCTGCCTCTAATCTTCCCCTGCCAGTAGCATCATGTAGCCACCTAATTAAATTAATTGGGGAAGATGTTTTAAGTATGTAATTAAATCAATTAATATAATTTATGCCTGGCTTAACTGTACAGTGGAAAAACAGCTGAAGTTTGACTAGATGAATCCACTACAGCTTCCTGTCACTGATCAATGCTCTTCTTGATTTTTAGCATCTGGCAGCCAACTGGAATCGCATCAGGACCTCCAGGAGGACTATTATCCATATCCCATCATTAGGTATAACACTTTTGCCTGCAAATCTATCAGCAACCTCTATTACCCACCACATTATGGCTCCTTGATTGAGTTCAAGGAAGGCCCCTTGTTTTATTCAAATTGGTCTCGGCAGGAAAATGTTCTCGACATGATGAGAGTAATAACACAGGACCCTCGCTTGAAACGGCGTTTAATTTGGGGATTAAGCAAATAAAGTCATTATGTGGGGGCTGCTATTCAGTGGAGAGGTGATTTGCTGTAATTCGCTTTCATCTGTATGAAATGAACTAAAAAGTTGTATTTTTCCCCGAAATAACAGATAATGTTTTCGATCTTCTTTAATGATAGAAGAACACAGGCTTGTATGTGTTGTTGCTGTTACGCCAATAAGCCAGGATATTGCTTGTACACTGTTTTTAATCAAATGTGCAGTCAAAATGATAAGCTACATTCTCTGAAATTATTTAGTTCTAATTACGAGCAGATGGGATGCTTTATTTGCACCTAGGGCGCCTGAGCAAAAGGAAATGCTGTGTGAACAAGAATAATTAAGAAGTTGAATAGTGTTTTTTGCACTTAAATAATCTGCAGTTTCATGTTAATTAGCACTAATGTAATTATTTAATTACATTTATGAATTGGGGAACTTAAAAGCTGTTGTCTGAAACACACTGGTAAAAAAGGTATGCCAAAATGACATTGGGAATTTCAGAAATTTGCATTGGAGTTTCTTTTAAGACATGAGCTACTGTCAACATGTTTGGGATTTGTTTGCTTCCTTATTTTGTTTTGTTTTGTTTTGCATCTCACTAGTGTGTTAAATTTCCTTGGTGAGGTCAGATTTCCTAAGCTGACTTGGTAGAGTTTTGACAAGCAGCACAACCCATTGAATCTCTTTGTTACATACATATTAGCTCTTTGTTAAAGTCTTTTAAGTAGAGCAATGCATTAAGTGATCTGTTGTAACAGAATGCTGGATTGCAGTTTATTCATATTCATATGTGAGCATAACCAGTTTGTGTACTTACATGTAGTGTAGAAACATAACACATTTAAACAGTAATATGAAAAGAAAAAACATTTAAATCATTATACAATATAATTATTTTTAAATTAGTAAAATATCAATAATAAAATAAGGCAATCTTTTCTAGACTCTGGAGTACTTAGATCTAAGTACTTACAGAAGGTTAAGAAAATACTTGCATTGCACAGAGCCTTTTAGTTTTGGTCTACCTCATGGCTCATGAAAGAAATTTGTTTCTTCTTAGGATCTAAGTGAGGTATAGGATCTGAATTTCATTCTAAGTTAGGCTTTTGTTTTGATGAGACTACTTTTACACACAAAATTAGTTCACACACAGAAATTGCACTTGTAGTTGATTGCAACCAAAGAGGCTAATTGCAGACCTCATTAGTTGACTTGAGTCCTTCGAATAAGGTGCAGGAGGCTTTGCTTCTGCAACTAATTGTGGACCAGACCTGATATTATATGGGAAATTTTGTTTTGCTTTCTCTATACAGGGCCCCCCACTTTGCAAAGTTGCTTAGCACAAAGGTGTGATAGACACAAACTTCTTTACTCCTATACTCCCACCTCTGACCCTCCTAAAAACTTCCATGCAGTCTGCTCTGCAGAGAAGCTTGATACAAAGGAGTTTCCAAAGAAGTAAAAATTTGAAAGTAATCGTTATGTAAACTAGGTAATAAAAAAATTTGAGTGAAAGTGTCTTAAAATTTCAAAAGGGCTTACTGAATAAAAATTATGTGGGAGTTCCCAGCACTTTGGGAGGATTGCTTGAGGCCAGGAGTTCAAGACTAGGCTGAACAACATAGTGAGACCCTGTTTTAGAAAGTTTCAAAAATTAGCGAGGCATGGTGGCGCAGGCCTGTAGTCCTTCTACTGGGAAGGCTAAGGAGGGAAGATCACTTGAGCCCAGGAGTTTGAGATTACAGTGAGCTATGATCATCCCACTGCATTCCAGCCTGGATGACAGAGACACTGTGTCTAAAAAAATTAATAAAATAAAATAAATTAAGTGGGAGAATAATCTGGTCAAAGAAGCTAGAAATAGAAAACGTTATTTTAAATATGATATTAAAACTAGTTTTCTTCTGGATTACACATATTCAGTTTAAATAAATACATAATAAATATGAAAGTCTTCCCTAATGTAGCAATTTTTGTTTGTTAACAACATGATACCCATTTTAAAGAAAAACTGCTAATTATGTAATTTCTAAGAGATAAGAACAAGCTCAGATTTCTTCTCAATTGAGCATTTTAAAAGATTAATTGCACACTTTCAAAAGAGAATAATACCTGGGCTTTGATCATATAGTATTTGTTTCTACAATCTTTGTTTTGGATTTTTTTTTTTTTTTTTTTTTTGAGACAGAGTCTCACTCTGTCACCCAGGCTGGAGTGCAGTGGTGCGATCTCGGCTCAGTGCATTCTCCGCCTCCCGGGTTCAAGCAATTCTCCTGCCTCAGCCTCCTAAGTAGCTGGGATTATAGGCATGTACCACCATGCCTGGCTAATTTTTGTATTTTCAGTAGAGACGGGGTTTCACCATGTTGGCCAGGCTGGTCTGGAACCCCTGACCTCAAGTGATCCACCAGCCTCGGCCTCCCAAAGTGCTGGGATTATAGGTGTGAGCCACCGCATCCGGCCGTGCTTTGGATTTTATACAAATGACTTGTGAACATTAAATTAAGTAACAACAAGCTGTCATCTCCTACCTATTCCACAGATAGAATTCTCAAACGATGTATATATTTTTAAGGATATAGGGTACCCTTTTTTTGTGTACCACATCCCTGGGAGTCCTTAAAGAAGATTTCAGCTAGATGCCACAAACTTCTTTGTCTCATGCACCAGGGACTTACCTATACAATTCATAAAAATAGAAGTGGATGAAAGTGAAGCAAATTTTTTCTCTAAATGTACTGGAAGAAAACTAATCTATTCAATCTAGTAATTTCATTTCCAAAGTTGAGACAGATTCACTAGTCAAAATCAGTTGGTAGGATTGTCTGGTTCAGGTAGGCATTTAACACAAGTTGCAGCCTTGTCCTCTTTTTCTCTTGCCATAGGAAATTTGCTGTAGAATTAGCTCTACAAATAATTACACCATGCTGCTAGCCAATTGGGGCTGCACTAACTTGTTTGAACCCTTCAAATGAAAGCTAAGTAGTTGATAACTGCATAATATATTGTAGTTGTAAGCATTTGGTTATTTATGCAGTTTTGCACACATGGGAATAATTGCATTTTCCAAACTGGTGATCACAGAAAGGATGGCCTTTCAGTAATGTTTTTGACCACAAAATATTTATAAAGTATTTTAAAATCTGTGGCTTGGTAATATGAACAGTAAGACAATTAAACATTGTGGAGTAACCTCTTTGAAAGGAGGACTTAGGCCAGGTGTGATGGCTCACGCCTGTAATCCCAATCCTTCAAGAGGCCAAGGTGGGCAGATCACGAGGTCAAGAGATCGAGACCATCCTGGCCAACATGGTGAAACCCCGTCTCTACTAAAAATACAAAAATTAGCTGGGTGTGGTGGCACGCACCTGTAGTCCCAGCTACTCAGGAGGCTGAAGCAGGAGAATCGCTTGAACCTGGGAGGCGGAGGTTGCAGTGAGCCGAGATCACGCCACTGCACTCTAGCCTGGGGACACAGCGAGACTCCATCTCAAAAAAAAAAAAAAAAGAAAAAAAGAAAAAAAGAAAGGAGGACTTATGAAACTTGATTGATTGTTATATATTTCAGATAGTATTCCTAGATATAACAAAAATTTTAGCTATTTTTAACCCACAAGAGAAGTGGAATGCTGCTGTCAAAAAAACCTGATTTGCCTTGTAATTTTATAAGATGATAAAGAAACATTTTTCAGAGTTTATAGGCTGATCTCTTAATTGGATATTACATATTTTATCATTTTTATTAATATAATTATAACAAAATAATCTACAGTGGTTCATAACAGGAATAAAATATTAGGGTCTATTTTAAGCAAAATCTATCAATCAAATGAGAAAGAACCTGAAGAATCCTAATTCCTCTAGAAAAACCAGATGTCTAAATAAAACCTACAGACTAATTTTGCTCCCAGTTTCTTTGGCCAAGTATTTCCTCCACTTTTAATTTAACCCCTGTGCTTCTTTACTGCAGCACATCACTTGGTGCTACGTATAAACTCAGTTGCTTTTTAAAATATATTGACATTAAATGAGACGTGCCAAATATGGGGCTCTGCTGCTGTGAGCAGTATATGAAGCCACTGCCAGCCAATTAAACCCCCAGGGATGAGTTTTCACTCTCACTTCTCCTCCTCCTTTAAAGTAAAAATAGAGGTGGGATTTTTTTTTCTTTTCTCCATGTAATCTTTTATTTCACTGCCAATTGACTTGATGACTAAAAAGAATGTATATAGTTCAGTTCCATATTTTCCCTCTGTGCCCTATTTTAGCAAGTTATTCTTGGGGTTAAAACAAGTAGTGGTCTTCAAATTCTTCTTTCCATAAAAATTATGGATCCTGTTATTATGAAGTTCATGAAATACAGCATTTTCCAGCTCATGTGTACTTTCACAGAAGCCTACGAGAAAGGATAGGGAAACTTACTTTTGTGTGCAACCGATCATATGCTGAACTGAGAAAGTCCCAAATGCTTATGAGACTCTTGCTTCCTAACTCTGTGCTCTTCTGCCAAGAGATAAAAGCTTGAACTCACCTACATTTGTGAACAGGGGCAGAGTGGAGGATGGCAGCCAACGGCGTTAGATCTGCAATCACTTTTTACTATGCCTCCACGCACACTGGCACCTTTCTGCTTTCTCTACTATGAGCTGGAGTCACCTGATACCCAGTTCAATGCTGCTTTTTACTTTTGAGTTGACAGCTCAAAGACAAGATGGATGTTGTTCCTTCCACCTCAGGCTAGGAAATCTGGACTTTCAATAAAATCTTTGCAGTCTTCAACATATATTTTGGCAAGTAGTATAGAATCCATAGTTTAGCTATGGTGTTGCCATACTAGATCCTTGGGATAGGTGTACTGCCAAGACTTCCCAGACAGCATTTCCCAGAAATATCCAGATCTTTCAGGATCAGGAACAAAGTACACTTAAACTTTAAAAATGCTTTATAGCCCAAACACACACATATTTGTATTCACCCATGTAATCGAAATCAACACTCATTTATACTGGTTAGATCAGAGTTGGTCCCGTGATCTTATAATATGAAATTATCCAATTGGTCTTGAGCTATATGATGTTGTACCATGAAATACAGAAACAGCATTGAACTGGGTGTCAGGTGACTCCAGCTCATAGGCTTTTCATGAGATCTATTAATATTAGGATATGCTGTAGAAGGAATTTTTCACTATAAAAGATAACATCCTTTACACTCATAAAAAATATTAAAAGGCTCGTTCAGTGGTTCTCAGGACCCCTTTACACTCATCATGATTATTGAAGACCGTAAAGAACATTGGTTTAAGTGGATTATATCTGTCATTATTAACTGTATTTGAAATTAAAACAGTAATTTTTAAAATGTTTATTAACTTCTTTTAAAATAACAATAATAAGCCCACTACCAACACTAATCTAAATAACATATTTTTGAAACATAATTGTTTTCTAAAACAAAAAAAAATTTAGTGAGAAGGGTAGGATTGTCTGACAGGTCTGAAAAATTAATGGAACATGGTTGGATTCTCATATCTGCTTCTGTATTCAATCTGTTGCAATATGTTGTTTTGGTTGACACACATGAAGAAAATCTAGCCCTACACAGATAAGTATTTGGAAAATGAAAGAATAATTTGTATGTTTTATAGCCTTTTCAGATAGTTGTGTATATTCTTCTTTGACTTTATACTAAACTCCACAATGGTAATTCTAAGTGTTAGTTGCAATGTGGAATCTACAATCATATTAATAAACTTTTTGTCTTTTGTAACTTGTAAGAGAACAAGATTGAAAAAGGCAAAGAACATCTTAGTATAATTTTGAAAATAGTTTTTACCTTGCAGACTCCCTGAAAGGTTCTCAGTATCCCCTTGGGTTCCCAGATCACAATTTGAGAATCATTGGTAATATGGTTTGGTTCTGTGTCCCCACCCAAATCTTATTTTGAATTGTAATCCCCACATGTTGGAGGAGGGGCCTGGTGGGAGACGATTGGATTACAGGGGCAGGTTTCCCCCTTGCTTTTCTTGTGGTAGGGAGTGAGTTCTCACAAGAGCCGACAGTTTTAAAGTGTGGCACTTCCCCCCTCATTCACTGTCTCTCTCCTGCCACCATGTGAAGAAGGTCTTTGTTTCCCCTTCACCTTCCGCCATGATTGTAAGTCTTCTGAAGCCTCCCCAGTCATGTGGAACTGTGAGTCAAATAAACCTTTTTTCTTCATAAATTACTCAGTTCTTTCTTTTTTTTTGAGATGGAATTTCACTCTTGTTGCCCAGGCTGGAGTGCAATGGTGCAATCTCAGCTCACCGCAACCTCCGCCTCCTGGGTTCAAGCAATTCTCCTGCCTCAGCCTCCCAAGTAGCTGAAATTACAGGCATGTGCCACCACGCCCAGCTAATTTTGTATTTTTAGTAGAGATGGGGTTTCTCCATGTTGGTCAGGCTGGTCTCGAACTCCCAACCTCAGTTAATCTGCCCACCTCGGCCTCCCAAAGTGTTGGGATTACAGGTGTGAGCCACTGTGCCCAGCCAGGTAGTTCTTTATAGCAGTGTGAAAATGTACTAATACAACTGGCTTTAGTTGCATGCAATGCTGTGCTAACCACTGAGAAAAGTTTAAACAAGAGAACTTCCTTAATTTTTTGAAGGTGAATCCATTTGGCCCATTTGGTTTGAGGATGTTTTCAAAACTCAACAAATGTATTTCCATGTTTTCTACATCTTTATACCAAAATTCCCTAATCCCCTTCAATAGCCCCCCAAAAAACCAACTATTAGTTTTATTTTAATCTAACTGGCAATTGATATACTATATAAATAACCCAGATAGAGCTGTTTCTTGCCATCTTTTGGGAACCCACCTTCTTGCTTTCTAGTATCTTGTGCTTTCACACTTGCATAAGTAATTAAAGCCTGGTTACAACCACAGTGTCTAGATCATAGTTCTCTATTATTATAAGATGCTGATATGCAATCATTTGTGAGTATATCATGTGTCTTCTTATTTTTCTACCATTAGAATACCAAAGTTTTCTTATGAATTGGAGCAATTCCAGATTATCTCTGTATCAATGTCACTCTTCTTCACCTTTCTTCCAGTGTGCTCTCTTGATTAGGAGAGAAAGGGATGGAGTAAGCTTGAGTATGCTGCTGGGAGGATGTGATGCATTGAACATCACTGATCATGAGTTTCAAAATGAGGAAAAGGTTGAGAACTATTCCTCCAGATCACCAAACTGAGGCATGAATGACTACCATCCCAGGCTAGAGCGATGAGATAAACAACTACTACTTGGTAATCAGGAGTCTGTTGTTAACCTCTTCTCTGCCTTGAATACCATTATAAGAAATAGGACTTGGGAGACAAAAGAAACTAGGAGTCACCCACTGGGTAAGAAGCTGAGTTTTCAAGAACGTGTGATCTGCTGCAACAACAGGGGCCTGTCACAGAGACATGCACCAGTGCCAAGGGGGCTCAGTCACTCAGTGTGGCCTTGCTCATGTTCTTGGGTTTCTGTGGTTACTGTGAAAGAAAAGCCAATCCTAGCAGAGCTAGTTTGCTGGATGCAAAGAGGCAATTAGTGTCATCTGATAGATGTTTATGCAGAAAGGGACTGGGAAAGGCTGTGAAGGTAGAAGTGAAGATGGAGAAATGATTGCCAGTAACCCTTGATGAGCAACCTTGGTTCAGTGGGGGACCAGAAGTAGTAGATGAGTAACTTCAGAGAGGCAGCTCTCAGGTAAGCTTCTTTGATGTAGAGACAATAATATTTCACAACTGCTTATTTGAGAAAAGACGGAACTCTCTATCAAACTAGGAATATTTTGCGGGAAATGAGAATGGCCATAAGAAAAGAGGCTGTGATCCTTTCTATAGTGATGAGGAAGAGAGAGTGCCTCTTTCTGCTAGTGTTGTATTGTTCTGTGCTAATGAGGACCTGGAAAAAGCTACAAATCCCACTTACCATTCTTTGAATTCTCCAGAAGTTCTCCAGCTTAGAGACCCAATTTTAGAAGAGTTGAAAGAAGGGGGAGTGATCAGAACACACAGGAGAAAGGGCTAAGAATTTAAAAGACAGGCCGGACATGGTGGCTCATGCCTATAATACCAGCACTTTGGGAGGCTGAGGTGGGTGGATCACTTTAGCCCAGGAATTTGAGATCAGCCTGGGCAACATGGCGAAACCCTGGCTCTACAAAAATTACAAAAATTAGCCAGGTGTGGTAGTGTGCACCAGTAGTCTCACCTAATTGAGAGGCTGAGGTGGGAGGATCACTTGAGCCCAGGAGGTTGAGGCTGCAGTGAGTCGAGATTGCACCACTGCATTGCCAGCCTGGGCAACAGAGTGATACCCTGTCAAAAAAAAAAAAAGAATTAAAAGATTTTTTGAGTACGGGCTTCACACGTGTTTCATTCGTTTATTTGACTGGAGATTTCACAAGTGCCTGCTCTAACATAGCTAAGAGTCTGGTTACAGGAGCTAGAGTGATGCAGGGGAAAGAAGAAATGGACAACAAAGTAAACAACCAAGCAAAGAAATATGTAACGACAAAATGAGAAAAGGGTGGTGAAGAACAGGTGCAAGAGAATGACAGTGAAGGGAGACTAAGAACTTTAGAAAAGGGTGGTCAGGCATACCCCATGATGATGAGGACCTTATTGCCTCAAGAGAGACCTAGCAACTCTTCTCTTCTGCTTCCCTCTCCCACTTCTAAGGACTCTGACAATTACACCTGGCCCAGCCAGATAATCCAGGATAATCTCTTGATTTTAAGGTCAGTTGATAGCAACCTTAATTCCATTAGCAACTTTATTTCTCCTTTGTCATGTAACCCAATATATTCACTGGTTGTGGGTATTGGAACTTGGACGTTTTTGAAGGGCCATTATTCTGCCTACTACAACAACTGAAAATAAAAGTGAGAAAAGAGGCCAAAGCTCTTTGTCCCTTCTGGACTTCTTCTCTGCTCACACTTGGAGAGTCTTTTATTTTATATAACTAAATTTCTCACAAGAGCTAATATGTAGTATCTAAACCGTATAATAATTGGTAGGTTTATGTGACCTTGGACAAGAGACAAGACACTTACCTTGAGTTTCCTTACCTATAATATGACAGGATTGAGGTTGATAGTCTCTCAGAACTCCCCCAGTGTTCCTAATTGATACCCTTGAAGAAATCATATCATTGTAGATTATATCCCAAAGTGCAATGTCTCATCGCCACTGGGCCTGTCTACTGAACTCCCACAAACCATGACATCCTTGTTGATAGTTTCGTGGTTAAGTCACTGTTATATTTAGCATGTACTACCAGCATAGATGAAATCTTTTCACCTGTCAACACATATACTTTATGGATGTATAAAACAAAACAAGTCTGACTTAAAAAAATATATTGACTCCCAACTTCTGCTCTGCTGATGTCATTGTACATTGCGTTGTATCTTGTCCATGTAGAATGGTCTGTTGCTTGTCACAGAGTTTGTTGTTGTTGTTGTTGTTATATGTTTTGGAAACATCCATACCTTGTAACATTAAAATACCTTGTGTTTATAAAGCACTTTGCAGCTTACAAGGTGTTTTCATGTCTGTAACTGCATGTGATTTTCTACAACAATGTTCCAAGATTAGCATACACTTCTTTAAAATGGGTGTATTCTATGTAGACATTTTATATGCATTCTTGATCAGTGGTAACAGAGGTCCCAAGTAATTTGTTGGAAAACTGACTTCAAACACTGGAATGGAACACAGACTTATTCACTCACATGCTGCGTATGTGGCAACAAAGTGATCAGACATCTTTTATATTTTAAATTGGACATCATCTTAATGAGACATATTATACTGCTTTTATCTTTACTTTTGAAAGGCAATGCAGTCATGGAATGCTCTCAGGCACTTTTCTTAATCACACTTTATTCTTTAGGCATTTTCCTGCCTTTTTATACTCTTGCTATATGTTATCCACAATACATCTTTCTAAACATTTATTTGAATATAGATAAAATTATACATATGCAAAATCCCAAGTTACAATATTGCAGTCACACATAAAGACATTGGAGTTGTAACTGCCTATATTAGCTTTTATATGTGGAATGGTTCTCTAAATTATTTGAAAGATTAGTAATTTTTCAAAAATGATTCGAACAGCTCATTTGTCCTTCTGCCTCTCTCTTTAATTCTTAAGTCCAGATGCAAAGCAAAGAGAGACTTTTAGATGATTGTAAAGTCATTTAATTTCCAGACATTGTCTAGTGTTTAAACACTGACATCAAAGCAAAGAGCCAATTATCAGAGTTCATTTGGTCTGAAGCCCCATTGCCTGAATTGCTATAGTTTTCCTTAGGCTGAAAAGGAAATGTGTGTCACATCTTGAAGATGTAGTATATAAAATCACTTTATCTAGAGCAGTTTAACTTGAAATGTGTGTTTGGGCTCACTAACCACAAGGAGGCATTGAAGCATCTCTTCAAAATGTGAAAAGCAATTTTAATGAAGAAAAAAAAAGTTACACCTACAGTTGTTGAATTTCATATAAGCAGTTATACCTGCTTGTGAGTATGCATGCTTTTTAAGTTTATGTTTTGATTCACTTTTTTTAATGACCTGAAATATCAGCAGAAAGTATTTCCGCTGTTGTTTCTTTTGTGAGAGATTTTTGGACAATAGTAATTCATATGTGTTTTCCCTTCTGCTACGTTTCCAGTGGAAATGAAGGCAAACTGCAGGACTTTTATTAGTACTGACAAAGTAACTGCATTAGCTCTTCTTGCCCTTTGAAAGTTAAAAGTTCTTGTGACCGTGAGCAGAAGCTGATTTCTTTAGTATTTGAATTATTTAAATACATATTCCTGACAGCAAGGGATTTATCTGAAATCTATGTGTCACTTTAGAATGATTCTGGAACACATCTTCAAAATACCACATAAGAAGCTCACATTAAGAAGCCAAAACGATATTTTTTTTAACCTGAGCATAATTTTCTTACACATCCTTGTAAACATTCATATTGCATGTCAGAAATTTTCTCCATGTTTTGTCATCTTGATTCTTAGCAGCCTTGTTGGTACTGAAAAATGTGAACCCCTCTGTTACAGAGTATGTTGCTTAGCACATCTTCCAGAATAATGTTTAATTCCCCCGAGAAACAAGCACCTCATTCTTCGGGATTGGGTTGTTTCTGTAAGATGCTTCAGAGAAAATTTTTTCCTGGAAATATGGACTGTGACATTTTGAAATTCTCTTGTGCCATTTTGCTATATCGACTTGCTCTTTCTGTGTTTTGACACCTTGTTTGCCTTTTAGGGTATTCCCAGCCTGTGAGAGAACATATTGCCGATTTCAACACACAGCAGAACATGCAGCTGGGGAGGCTGTGTGACATCTTAGGTACAGTAAATAGTTTTACACAAATGACTCTTTGGAATGTTTATCAGTGGATGTTGATAGAATGTGTTGTTTTGTTTGTTTGTTTTTTGCTTATTTTTTTCCTCTACAAGGAAAAAGCTCAGATGTTTAATCTACTTACAGGGCAATTAAATGTTTTATTTTAAAAAACATATTTGTAGTAAAATCAACTTGAATAAAAAATGACATTTTAACCAATTTACTTGGGCAGTTTTCTAGATTATCTTTGCTGCAGGTTTGGATCAGAATTTCTCTCCTATAAACCGAAATCTTTATTTACTGAATCTTACAGTGAGTGAAGTCAAAGTTTTACATTTGTGTCAGTCTTGTCTCTTATAGTATCTGGGGAATGTGTGAAAGGTGGTATCAGAAATGAAGCATTGTGTTTTCATAAGAAGAAAAAGGGGAAAATTAAGATAGATTTTTAAAAGAAGCTTTTATTTAAATATAGAGCATCTTATTATTAGAAAACGTGAAGTGCTTAATGGAGGGAATTTTTAGAAATACAGACCTTGATTCAGTGATGTATACATCTTTGTAAAAGTCAGGTTCTGATACTGGTTTGGTCAGTTCTTAATCAGACACCCATCTGGAGCCAGGAGAGAAGGATGCCTGAATGTGATAGCTTTGGTTGACACTGTTCAAGGCCCGGGTTCCGATTAGGCTCTAAGAATATAGGTTGCAAAAGCTAAGCAATAACATTGAATCTGTTTGTGAGATACTTGCCAAAAATTCAAGGTTACACAAAAATTAGATTTGTATTAGTTACCAAATAAGAACTTCTTTGCTTTGTTAAAATACAATTTCTTTGGCCCTTATTTAAGAAAAACAAGGAAGAATTTTAAATGATCAAGGACCAACTTAACTGGCTCCCTGGAATGACATGCTTTACATGATTCATATATATTTCAGCATCATTATTATTTTATAAATGCTATTTGGTATCAAAAAATACATCAGTACTAGAAATTTACAGTGTCCTAAAATAATAATCATAATTGCTTTAATCTATTATCTAGGCACTCAGATTGTTTTTCAGCATTACAAAAAAAATTTTTAATGACTTAAGATTGATTTGTTAGTGCTAAGCTATTTCAACTAAAAACCTGACTGGATGGAAACCACTGAAGTGCAGCAGAGGGCAGACTTTCCTCTAATTTATTTGAATTAATTTTTTTCTTCAGCTTTTTATATCTCTTTCTATATATAGTATAAGCCATCACGAAATAATTTCTTTATAAAAGATTCTCATTATTGGAAAAGACTTGAAAGTATTAGGCTTCTATTTTAAACAACTCAATAATTCAGTCTGTCTCTACCTGCAATGGAATATTTTGCTTATATGAACATTTCTGAGAGATTATGAACCAAATGCTTTTTTCTTGGTATATAGTCTTCATGATATAGCAAGGCAATCATAAAAAGTCTTCAAGAGGAGTAATGAAAGTTTAGAAATAGTAGTTAGATGAAGAAAAAGTACTTTTTTGTGAAATAAAAATGTGAAGAAAATAGAAAAATAAGTAATAATTTTATGGAAGAATACATTATTATCCCCTATGGTTTTTCTTCTTATTCGGGGGAAACAAAGATAATCCAGTCACACTGGTAAGGCTTGTCACTAGATATTGGCTGTGAATTCATGGTTCTCAGGTGCAGACCCCAATGGCTAGTATTTTCAGTTCCTAGATGAGTTCAGCAAGGAAGTGACTGATTACTGACCAGCAATCAAAGAAAGTTTCATCTTCGTATCAATTCCTTTCCAAAATTACCTGTCAGTTAATTTTGAACATGTGTAAAATTAACACATGATAAAACCCACTAATACTGAATCTTAGAGTTAGTGATACGTATTCCTTTGCCAGAAATTAACAGGAAAGGTGAAATTGGCAACATGATTCCTTTTATCATTTGTAACCTAGAAATTTTCTTCCCAAGAAAAAAATTATTTTTCATCTGTTACAGTCTGTAAGCTATTTTTGTTGTTTTTCTGCCCTATTCTTTCATACTTAAAAAAAACTCATTAGTTTGATTTTTAAAACCTCTACTGTAATTTGGTTAGACGCTAGTCTCTTCTTCAAAATACAAGACTTAAGATGACTAATTTGATGATTCAGCAATTGGATGCAAGTTATTTACTTACTGCCTCCTCAGTTAATTTATTTTGAGGTTTATGCTTCAAAATTAAATGGGAGCCACTTAAATATTCACATGTATGGAGCACCTGCTCTGGGCCTAGCTAGGTCACTTCAGAAAACACCCCCTCTAGGTCTCTAGAGAGATTTCTCTATGTATGTATGCCCTGCGTCTAGGTGTAAAAGACCTTCCCAACTTTGCGAATCTCTCCATCATCCCTTCAGTCAGTCCAGAAGTGTTTATTGAGTGACTCCTACATACTCCACACTGTGCCAGGGCTTAGGGGAATATAAGAAATAGTACAAACATTGCCTTTAAGGAGCTTGGAAAGACAAGATTAATAGATTGGAAACAATAGGATAGAACCACAGAGAACACTACTTCATGTTAAATCTTGCACTGATCAAAAGGAATGTAGGTGTGGGGGCAGCTGGGGAATCACTGTTGGCCAGCCTAGTCAGGGTGGGCCAGGAGCACATTCACACACCTGTGCTGTTTCTTGAGCACTTACTATGTGCCAGATGCTGCACCAGATACTTTCTATATCTTCACTCATTTAATAGTGTCTAAAACTCTATGCCCCAGGTGGTTTTGTTCCCCTTTTTACAGATGAAGAAATGAATGCTTAGAAAGGTTAAATAACTAGAATTTAATTCAGTCTATGCTCTGTATATATACTCTGCCAAACTGATCAGAGGAGTCTGAAGATCCTCTCTTTGCCCTGCTTGCCTAAGAAAACGTTTACAGTGCTCCCTCCTCTGAACTTCTCTAAGTACCTGGTCTGCATGCTTCATCGTGCCCACAATGATTACTGTATTTCCCTCCACATTTAGCCAAGGGCTTTGCCCCTACAGATCAGTCAGCTATTTTGTGAATGAATGGATGAACAAATGAATGACTTCATTGACTGCTGATTTCCTATTCATACTCCCTGAAATATTCTGCAGCATGGAGTGGATACTCTCATTTCACTATTCCATTTGGATGGGATATTTAATTAGGGTTTCTTGCTATGTTACATGTAAGAAGCACATCTTAAGAAGGAGAAAAGTTAAATTAAGATGGTGTTTCCTTTAAACCAAGAATCACTAGACCTGCTATTTAAGTAATGTACTCCTCTTTGGGAATCAAGCAAGGGAAAGGCTGGTTTCCTGAAATAATTATTGCTGTGGTTATAATCAGACCATTTATTTCAACAGGACATTCCCTGAATTGACCCTGTCAAGTCCATACAGAATAAGAAATTGCAATTTCATCAGCTTTGTAAAGTTAGTAGCTCTGTTTTATAATTTACTGAAGTTAATGGAATAAATTTTTAAAGCAGTATGTGATTCCCATTGATGTTAATGGGAGTTGTGTGGCTAAATCCCTATGTATTATTTGAAAGTACATTTCCAAGGTATCTCACAGCCCTCCTTCTGAAGGAATCATTGCATCTATTTCGTTGGTGGTGGTGTTATTTATATTTTCTTTAGAGAAATGCCGAACTGTAAAAAAGCCAGTTAGATTGCTCAGATAGTACAAAACCAAACTAAATTAACCTTAACCTGGGTTTTGGATATGCTCTTTATTTTAAACTGCACAACACCAATCGGATGCCAGAGTTCATAATGTCATTTACCTTCACACCAGTAATTAACATTGTGCCTGTTGTTTTTAGATGCCAATGTGAATGTCATCTACATCTGCTCCCATCATATGAATGACGAGTTAGTGCTGTATTACAAAAAAATCCTAAGTCTACATGCAGCCGTCAAATCTGGGAACCTTGAGGACAGAAGTGACCTGCAGGACAGGTTCAAAATTATCACACCTGAAGCTGTAAACATCTTCCCTGTGAGTTTGTGTTCTAATTACTATGGTTTCAGGGATGCAGTAAAATTAAATTGGAAATTTTAATAACTTGCAACGCTCTGGTACACATCAGTGAAATATTATTGCAAGTTTAACAGCTTTACTGATTAGACTACTAGTTGGTCTGTAGGAAATAAATATTCCAGTTTAACTTTCAGACTTAGTGGAGCTACCCCTGCCCAGTTTCTCTGTAGTTGTAGCCTAATTCCAGTTACTAGGTGGTACCATCAAGTAGGTGGATTTATAACATGTACCATTCCTTTTTCTTAATTTTGTGTGGAGGACACTAAGGCAGAGAAAGGCTGGGCCTGTCCACAGTCACAAAACTAGTTAGGAGCAGAACTAGACCAGGCCCTCTCTTTGCTGATCCACACAGGTACTCCGTGTTTTTTCCCCTGAGGGGAATTTGGCTCGATTTACCATATCAGATGGTTCCTAATGAACAATGTTCAGGTTTTTTTTTTTTAATTGGGCTGATTTTTTAGTGAATGGAATGAATTCTGAGTGGAATCCTATTCCTAGACAAGAACCATTGGGAAATTCATGGAATGATAAAGGCAGCATTCTAGAATAAGGCAGTACAAAAGATGGCTTAAAACGAATTTCCCTACACTTTAACAAGAATTTAAACCTTCCATGTTAACCAGCCAACAGTTTAATACCTAATGGACTATGCATTTTTGAGGAGACTTTTTTTGGTATAATTAAAGATAGCTGTGTTCATTTACAATTGAAATGCACCAAAGTCAACTGTCTCTCTATCGCCAACGTGATTGCATGCTATACATAGGGAACATCTATGTGTTGGGTGACTACCCATTAACACTTCAGATGTACCATGATTTGACCAAAAAAAAAAAAAAATGGGGGTGGGGGAGGGACCTAAGGAAAGGCCTGCCAGGACTGGGGGAGTTTCTATAGCATTTCTACTTTGCTGGTATACTCAGTCAATTGTTGTCAGGGTTTATTCTTTTCTACCAAAATGAAGATTTTATTTTTTCATAACTGGATGCCTCAGTATTCCCCTAAAAACCCTCTGCTCAGTTTTGTTTCATTGGCACTTCTGACTGTGAAAGAGGAAGGTAAGGACAGGGGCTGGGGAAGCAAAAGAAAGGACAAGTGACAAATCACTGCCGTTTATGTACATTCTTGGGAACCTTCCAATATCCTCCACCAATGTAAGAATTTCTTTGGTGCTTCCTAGTTATTGCTTGGCCTCAATGACATAGTTACTATGGACATTAGGGTGCAAGGAAGAAAAAGAACTACCATTAGTGTTTAGTTAAATTCCTGATTTTCTCCAGCCAGAAAATTGATCTAATGGCTGCTAACTGCTAGTAAGGAGTTTCTGCACATCTGAAATGCCCATATACATTAAAGAGGCATAGAATGGGGAAGGGGCACTAGATTGGGGAGAAAAAAAGTGAGAAAACTAACATTTTTCAAATTCTTAGCATACAGTTTCTTTTTTTCTTTTTTTTTGAGACAGAGTCTCACTCTGTTGCCCAGGCTGGAATGCAGTGGTGTGATCTCAGCTGACTGCAACCTCTGCCTCCCAGGTTCAAGCGATTCTCCTGCCTCAGCCTCCTGAGTAGCTGGGATTACAGGTGTGTGCCACCACACCCAGCTAATTTTTGTATTTTTAGTAGAGACAGGGTTTCATTATGTTGGCCAGGCTGGTCTCGAACTCCTGACCTCAAGTGATCCGCCTGCCTTGGCCTCCCAAAGTGCTGGGGTTACAGGTGTGAGCCACCGCGCCCAGCCCAGTTTCTCATTTGATTCTCAGAAGAATGCATCAAGATGGAAAGATAGCTCTTTTTACCTATCTCCGTTTATGGCTGAGGAAACCAAGACTCATTTTCTAGTCCAAGGTTACTAGTAAGGCCAGAGTGTGAACCAAAATCTCTCTACCGCAGAGCAGTATCATGAGTTGGAATGACTGCCTTGCTCCTGGATGACCTGTGGCCTTGGGCAAGCCCCCTTACTTCTCTGGTCCTCTGGTCCTCATCTATAAAATGAGATCCTGGATTAGATCATTTCAGAGTCATCTTCAACTCTATCATCCTATTACCTGAGAACCATACCCTTGCTAGTCCACTCTGGCTTCTAGTGGACTAGAAGCCAGGAGACAGGCACTCACAGATGCACATAGTATAGGTTTACATCTTTGTGAGTAGAAACAAGTAGGCAAGGTTTTAAGTACTTAATAGTTCTCATAGCTCAAGTTTAAATTATTTGAGTAATTACTCATAAGCAATCAACTTTTTAAAAATACAAAAATTAAATTCTCACTTTCAAATCAGTTCTTGTTCATGTTTGGTAGTTGCTTTATTTGTTGTTAATGGGTTTGAGAGATTGTATCAGTGCTGATTTTCATTTAAATGGATGGCTATGAGATTTTTTAAAGCATGCCAAAAATCTGTTTGTACATCTCTCCAAGTTACTATATGATTCTTGAATTTGTAATGGTAAAATGTGCTCTTTATAAAAGTCATTATGTCTATTTTTAGACATTTCAGTGTTTATGAAGACATCCTAAACAACTACCTTTTATCTCAGGTCAAAAAAAAAATCAGTGGTGATAAATTAAATGTAGCCATAATTCAATGGAACTAGACACATTTTAGATTTTGTCATCTGTGTTAATCCACTGCCTGGATCTGATGATACTGATGTTCTCCAAATGGTCATACAAGACCTGTGATTAGTGATACATCCTTTGCCATCACTTATTCACATTTAAATCTTTATTAAACACATATTGAACACAATACTGTGGCAGCATCTTGCCTGGAGTCTAGGGCATGCCCGCAGATGACTATAATACAGAGTTGGGTAGAGTACTTGCCAATAGAAACACGCAAACCTAGAGGAGACAGAACTCCATCCTGGCTGGAAATATGCTCAGAATGTTAACATTAGGTTCTATTGCTGCATCTGCCATCCCCCTTCACATCTCAAAAACCCACCAGATCTTTACTACTCACTCGATAAAATGGGGAACTTGTGGCAGCAGTGGCATGCCAACTGTGTTAACGGGGTTTGAATCCTGCCTCTGCTGTTTACTAGCTGTGTGACTTTGAGCAAATCACTTGAGGCTCAATTTCCCCATCTCCAAAATAGGGATAGTTAATTGATTCAGTGACATGTGGATCAAATGAGAGATCACATGTCAAAGGCTTTGATCTTGTGAACTTACCATGATTGCTGCCTTGGAATCCTCTTCTGGGTGCCCTGAAAGGCTCACCAAGGACATCGTAACTCAAGTCACCCATTCAGTTCGTTTTCTTTTACATGTCTTCATTGGAATAATTTATGGGAAAAAGAAAAGAGTGAAACAAGGAAGAAAGACAGTGACTAACCAGATGGGAAAGACAAACCTGCCAGGTGTTATCACTGGCCATTGTCAAATGGAACATTGAGTTTCCTAGAACTGCATCCTCAGAAGTATGTTTTTTAAATGGATTTAAGGCCAGGTGCAGTGGCTCACACCTGTAATCTCAGCATTTTGGGAGGCCAAGGCAGGTGGATCGCTTGAGCTCAGGAGTTTGCGACCAGCCTGGGCAACATGACAGAACTCGGTCTCTACAAAAAATACAAAAATTAGCTGGGCATGGTGGCATGCACCTATAGTCCCAGCTGCTTGAGGGGCTAAGATGGGAGGATCGCTTGAGCTTGGGAGGTCAAGGCTGCAGGGAGCTGTGTTTGCACCACTGCACTCCAGCCTGGGTGACAGAGTGAGACTCTGTCCCTGCTTCCACAAAAAAAAAAAAAAAAAAGGATTTCAAATTATGGTAGAAAAGGCATATCGCATAGATCTAAGGAACTTGGAATAGAACACCTAATCTGGAGGAAGGGCCCAATAGGGGAAATCATGTAAATCCTCTTCTCAGAGGAGCTCTGTTTTTTGCCTTTTAAAATTGTGGTAAAATATATATAACACAAAATTTACCATTTTAACCATTTTTAAGTGTACAGTTTAGTGGCATTAAGTACATTCACATTGTTGTACAACCATTACCACTATCAATTTCAGAACTTTTTATCATCCCAAGAAGAAACTCTGTACCCATTAAGCAATAAGTCCAAAAGAGCTCTTGTTTTAAAGGGAAAGTTATTTCAGAGCTGAAAGGACCCTAGAGACTTCTAATCCAACCCCTCATTTGAATATGAGAAATTGAGACTCAGAAAGGTTGAGTTTTCTAAATCACCTAGCAAATTACAAATTCAGGACTGAAATGCAGGTGTTCTCCCCAGTCTAGTTCTCTTTCTCCCATACTCAGGAGTTATACTCTCCGACAATTTGCAAACTGGTGCATCTGATATTCCTTGAAACAATCACTTAGCATTTCTCCATATTTTTATGCTGCAGTGAGTAGATAATTTTTCACTAGAATTGGGGTAGTAGATGCTAGTCTATAAAAATCCTTTCAACTCCCTTGAGACCCTGGCACTTTTACATTATATTATTTGCATAACATTTTAATGACTTTATTTTTATTTTTTATTTTTTTGAGACAGGGTCTTATTGTGTCACCCAGGCTGGAGTGCAGTGGCATGATCTCGGTTCACTGCAGCCTTGACCTCCCTGGCTCAAGCAATTCTCCTGCCTCAGGCTTTTAGTAGCTGGGACCACAGGTGTGTACCACCACATACCTGGCTAATTTTTTTGTAGATAGGGGGTTTTGCCACGTTGCCCAGGCTGGTCTGAAAGTCCTGGGCTCAAGTGATCTGCCTGCCATGGCCTCCCCTAAAGTACTGGGATTACAGGTATGAGCCACGGTGCCTAGCCTGACTTTATTTTTAAGAGGGTTTTCTCTGTAATAATAACTATTACCATTTGTTGAGTATCAATGCTGTGTATTATACTAGGTATTTTACATTTGTGATCTTATTTTAAAAGCCTTAGAGCAACCCCAGCAAATGGGTAATTTTTATTCTTATCTAACAGGTGAAGAAATAGGCTCAGGGGGTCTAAGTTACTTGCCTACATTAATGGAGCCTTATAAGTGATAGAGCTGAATTCAAAGCCAGACCTGTTTCACTCCAAAGCCCCATCACTTTCCTGTGTGCCATGCTGCCCTCTTCTCTAGAGGGAGGAAAACAATCTTGGATTATTTTATTCTATCCTTAGGTAATGTCTTTCCCATGCCCATCTTCACCTGATAAAATCCCACCCATCCTTCAGAATTCACCTCAACCCCAACCTCTTTCATAATAATAGTACTAGCTAACATTCATTAAGTCTTTATTGTATCCAAGGCACTATTATAAGTGCTTTACATACATTATCTCATTTAATCCTTACAGCATCCTTATGAGGTAGATACTGTTATTACACTCATTTTACAGATGAGGAAACAGGCACAAGGAGAATGTGTATTTGCCTTTTCAGCATTCCCCACCAGCAGGCCTCTTGAGTACTCGGCAGATCCTTATGGCCCTTCTCTGCCCCATCTCAGTTATGTGTTAACTGTTATTTGTGTCCCCACCCCTCAAAAACAGAAACATGGTTGTGTTAGTTTTGGTGTATGCTGTTTTCTCTGCCCCCATTAGACTAGCTAGAATTATTTATTTAATTGAATGAGACAGTCACATGTATTGCTGAGCTGGGACTAACTAGTCAAAAATAAAACAAAAAGAGTTTTTCACTGAAAAATGAATTTGAGTCTTGCTGAAATTTTCAATTATTTTCTATTTGTGAATCCTTTCCAGAGTTGTTGCCTAGAACCATGATAATCATTATAAAAGTGCATATTATCTGAAGCAGATTTAGTGGTAGAATTTTGGAAGGAGGGTGTCGGGTCAAGTGCCTTTTTCCTACTCAAGCATTTAAAGAGTTGCCGTGGTAGGAATTTATAAAGTAAAGAATGTTATGAGGCTTTTTTCTTCATTTTTTGTATTGATTTTCCAGACACTTTAATGTTAAACCATGCCAGAAGTGTTGCAGAGATGACTTGCTATTACCCAAAGGCCGCCAGCCTCTTTTCCTTCTGACAGAAGGATAATTCCACGTGGATCAAATAAATACAGACGTGTAGTAATTAGTTCTATTCCCAGTGAGCCTATTTCCAACACACTAAAGATGTGAGCGATTATGGAACCTCACCCCAACAGCTTTTATCAATTTAAACTGCTAAACAACAGGATAGGTCATAACCCAGCCTGCTATTAATAATGTATTTATTATGTGCAACATTATAAATTAGGTGTATGGACTAGAAAAAAGGACACCTTTTAACAAGAATAATATGATCTTCCCCCAGAAGCATCATATGTGCCTGGCCACTCACCTGATGTACAGTCCCAAGGCAATCAAAAGAATAAAAAATCTCATCCGAGGAACAGAGGCCTACATCGTCAGCGGGCTCCTCCACAGAGATGATTTAGCTGTGGCCGATATGTTAGACATACCCATCCTGGGCTCTGAGCCTGAACTAGCTCATCTTTATAGTACCAAATCTGGAGGCAAACGTGTCTTTGACAGTGCCAATGTGGCAGTTCCTCCTGGAATATATGATATTTATAGTCAGCAACAGGTATGTGGGGTGGACAAGTGAAGCTCTGTTCAAATATTTGAAACATCCTCTTGATCTTGGACAATTTCCAAGTCTTCTGGAGCCAGACCTACCCAATGAAGAATAGGTGGAATATTTGAGTTGATTTGAGGGAATCTACTTTATTTATTTATTTATTTATTTATTTATTTATTTTTGAGATGGAGTCTCACTCTGTCATCCAGGCTGGAGGGCAGTGGTGTGATCTTGGCTCACTGCAACCTCCACCTCCCAGTTTCTGTGACTTCCAGCTAATTTTTGTATTTTTAGTAGAGATGGGGTTTCACCATGTTGGCCAGGCTGGTCTCGAACTCCTGACCTCTAGTGATCTGCCCACCTCAGCCTCCCAAAGTGCTGGGATTACCAGCGTGAGCCACTACGCCCAGCCTGAGGGAATCTACTTTAGAACTTTGTGTTTTAAAGTATTTTCCTGTTAGTCTTGCAGAAATTGCTGGAATTTCCAAACTATTTACTCATTTGGAATAAGCACTGTTAAAATGTATATATCATTTGGACTAATCTGCTATCAATATTTAATGCTTTAACATGGATTAATTCATCATCATATCAGCTTGCCAGTCATTAAATAGGATCCTAAGAAATAGGAGAGTCAGTTTTCGCTAAAAGCAGTGGGTTTGGAAAACTCCAGTGAGTGAGCCTCCCCACTGGGTCAGATTGCAGAGGGCCTGTGAACAGAGGGCTGCAGACTTCCTTCGCTCTTCAGGAAGCGATCGAAATGGAGGAGGGGAAAGATCTCAGAAGGGGGAAGTAAGACAGCTCCAGGAATAAAACTGGGGAAGTAAGACAGCTCCAGGAATAAAACTGTCTGTTTTCGTTTTGCCTTGGACCAAGTGTGTGGCTATGCATTCTTCCAGCAGATAGTCAGGGTCTAAAACATGGGGAGAAATGTATTAGCCACTAGAAATGTTTTCTCTTTGAGTTAGCCCTGGCAGATGTTCTCCCATTTAACTGCCATCTGTTTTCATAATAGAGAAAATTAAAAGACAAATGGCTGTTAACATTTCCTAACCTCTGTTTCAGTACACCTCTTGACCATTACTCTGAGCCAATCACAAATTATCCCCCCTACCCACTTGTTGGGAAACCAGAGAACAGTGCACAGTGAGTCAGTTTGTGAGGGACAATATTTAGGGATCCCCTCCTACTCTCAGTTGCCTGATCATGATGCTCTGCACCTCACAGCCACTGAGCTCAAAAATCTAGCCTTTCAACAAATCATACTTTGCAGAGATTAGTTTGAAGATACTATTAGCTTATTAAATTGCCAGCAAGTATTTCACTCTTGTTAGAGTATTCTTGGGCAATGTTCATGGGCTTATGAAGGAGGTTTCTCTTAACGGTATCACAACCTAGGACAGTCGCAGGCAATTTTAGTAGGAGTGGAATAGAGAGGCTCCTCCTGAGCTGTTATGTCACTTCCATTGTCATTAGCCACCACTGGAATTTGAAGATAACAAGGTAGATTGCTTGACTCTGCTTCACAGCAGAATATCTGGCTGTTATACTTATTACAAGCAAAATAAAATTTTAAATTATATTATTACACACATGTACTATACATTAAACAACCTTCAAAGCTTTAACATGTATGTGCAATGTTTATATTGAGTCTTGCCTTCATCTTCACTGAGGAAATCTCAGGCAATCTTTGCTATGAAATATTTCAGAACCGCATATGTTGATTGTAGTTAAAGATGCAGGCACATTTAATGCAGTAAAATCTCCCTCTAGTGCTAGTATTCAGAAGTATGACTAAAAACCTCCTTAGAGACACATCAGATTTGAGAGATGTCATTTGACCTATGGTATGTGCAAATTGTATAACAATAAACCAATATTTCACTGAGTTCTACTCTACTTGTTTGGAAAACATACATCTGAGGTCATCAAGAATTAAAATACTCCACTGAGATTTTTCCAGATAGTGACTACCCTATCTATTCTATCTGAGCATGTCAGCATTTTGAATCTGCAGATGGGGATGAATCAATAACACTGACTTTTTACCGATGTGCATCATAAACTTAAAGCTGGTGAAAGAAAGCTGCGATTATTTTAACTTAGGTTATTATTTCTGACTTTCAGTTGGACTTTAGCAGTATTTTTCTGCTCTTTACCAGGATAAAACAAATCACAGCTAAAAAAATTTATTACATCTTTTGAACAGATAGACTCAAACAAAAATGATAAACATTTGGAAATAGCATAAAGTCATTTTGTTTAGGATTAATTTGTTTAAATCTAGCATGAACACAGTGAGCATTTCCTGTTTTGATCCATAAAGTAACTGTGAAAGTTCTCTTTCTGGAACATGCTCCATGGGAAATATTGACAGCTTTGGTTAAATAATCAAAAATGGAGATGCTATTTTAAAGCACTGTTCAATTTTCACTTAAAGATAGCACATAATTCTTTCCAGTGGTGCAATCTTTACAATACTATTGATCCTTTTCATTACTGTAGGGGATCCATCAACAGATGCCCATTTATAGGATTCTCAGAAGCAACAAATAATAGGATTTGGAAGAAATAGATAATAATTCTGTTAGTAGTCGAAACCTGCAAATATATAATATATCTAAATATGTAATTTTTAAAAAATCTATGCCAGAACACCTTTCCTTACACTAGCAAAAGAATTTTATCTGATGTTAACAGGCCAAAGACCATTTCTACTTCTGCAAAGTGTGATCATAATACAGCAAAATATTATTAAATATAAAATCTATATTCTCAACACATTAGAGAAATAAGGAAACAACTTTGGAAGGCATATTTAAAAAACCTTCCTAGGCTGTGTTCATCACCATATGGTTTGTAGACCAGAGTTCTGTCATTTAAACACCCAAATCATCAATAAACACTACTTGATAATTAGGGAGCTAAGACAATTTTAATTTTCACCCTCACTGAATACCCCATAGTTGTATGAGGTTTCCAGAGAACCCAAGTATGGCCATTTTGCTGTCTCTTCCACACTGCCATGTAGTATAGTATCCCCAGGAAGATTTGCTGGACAGATACAACCCAGAAGAACAGATCAGGCCTTTAATCAAAATAACTTTAATCTGGTAGCTCCAAACCTCAACAGAACTGTAAATCATGAGTCCTTTCACACTCTTTAGTTAAAAAAAAAAAAAATTGTGGGCAAAGAGATCTGATCAAAAAAGAGGATAAGAGTGTCACAGAATCCTTCCGTACAGAAAACCATAGCCAAGAACAGCATGGGAAGGCTCTGGAGACAAAAAGCTTAGTGTTATTTTGTTGCTTTCTGGGAAGTATAGACTGGAAAGTCTGATAAGAAGACAAGACAGAAAAATCGTTTTGTGAGTTAATGAGGTATTTTTCTCCCAGGCTCTGCCAGGTGAGTATTACTTATAATTAAGTCATCTTGCTATAGACTTTTATCTGATTCAAACTCACCCCAAATGGCTTATTGAGTGTAAGGAAAGTGGCTTCTCTTGCTCCTCTTCTGACTTCTTTCTCTACTTCACCCTTCTCCACCTCTCTGTGGGTTGGGATAGGCAGCACAGTAAAGAGGGAATGAGCATAGGTTTTGGAGTCAAAGCAACTTGAATGGAATTCCTACTCTGCTACTCAATGCTGTGTGATTGTGGGAAAGTTATTTAAATTAGCAGAACCTCAGTTTATTTACATATAAAAGAAAACTAGTAATTGTGTCCACCTCATAGATTATGGTATTAAATGAGAAAATTCATGCAAAGAACTGACATGAGCCAAGGCCTGTCTCCTACTGAGAGTTCAGTTATCTTAGAGACCATTATCATCATTATTATGATACTAGAGCTTGGAGTACTGTTCTATCCCTTAAGCTCCCATGTGTTTGAGCCCAGTTCTTGAGGAAATGTTTCAAATAAAATGTCAAGTAGGTGTGTATTCCAGGAAGTTTGCTTTCACAAATGTTTTATCTCCTTTATCTGTCTTGTTCTAAAATATATGTGTTTATATCACACATATACTAAACTTGGCCAATTGGCCAGCCAAACAAATGTATTTCATGTACATTAATGAGGAAAAAATTAAATGTTTTATAGTTTATAGCAGTAAAAAGCTCAACAAAGCCCCAAACAGTTAAAGTTTTCAAGACTGTAACTCTTTCTAGTCTTGAAACAATTAAAACATCATTTGAGGAATCAATAAGTAAATGCATAATTCTCTGAAAAAGAAAGAAAACAATATCAAGATTCAATTACAGGCATTCAAGGATTCTTTCTTTTGCCTTCAGAAGCCAGCAAAATGATAATTTCAGAATTTCTCAAATAAGACTGTGCTTTTAAACATGTCTTTGGTCTCATTGGTTAATGGTTTCTTCGCATCATATTTATATCACTTTAAACTTCTTTAATCTGTCTTAATAACTAGAAGATAACCAAATGAACAGACCATTAGAAGTAAAGACACATGAGAAGTACAGCAACTAAGTTGTTACGATAAAAAGGAATCCCAGGAAATGAACTGTATTAAATGCAGCTGTGTCTTTGGCCTCACAGATGATAGAGCAGCTGAGTCAGCTGATAACTGATCACCTGCAAATACAGCGTTGGCTCTTTAAAATGGACTCTGAGTTCCGAGGAAATGGGACTGCATTTTGTGATATTCCTTCCTACCTAAAGTGCTACAAATGGGTGCTAAAGGAGAGTAGCAGATATGGCCTTGAAGACTGGAGAAAGAAATGGGCACAAGTGAGTATTCAATGGTGACTTAAACCCGCAGGGTCTGTGAACAGTTAGGGGACGAAGCAAAAAGTTCAGCTAAGAGATGAAAGTACTTTCCTCTCTACTTAGCTCTGTCACCTGCCAGCAGTGCCTTTCTTGGGACCTTTTTCCTTATATACACAATGAATGGGATTGACTGAGTTCTTTTTTTTCTTTTTTTTTTTGAGATGGGGCCTCACTCTGTTGCCCAGGCTGGAGTGCAGTGGTACAATCAGGGCTCACTGTAACCTCTGCCTCCCTGGCTCAAGGGATCCTTCCACCTCAGCCTTCTGAGTAGTGGGGACTACAGGCATGCGCCACCATGCCTGGCTAAATTTTTCTTTTTTCTTTTTTTTTTATTGGGACGGGGAGGGTCTCCTTATGTTGCTCAGGCTGGTCTCGAACTCCTGAGCTCAAACGATACACCCATCTTAGCCTCCCAAAGTGCTGGGATTACAAGTATGAGCCACAATTTGGGTTATTTTCAGTGTTTCTTCTCTGGGCCCTAAAAGTCCTTATTCACATCTTGAAATTGATTATGATAATTAGGAAGTAATTTTTTTTATCACATTCAGGTAACATTACAAATCTTATAATTTGCCCTAAGTGGTTCTTGATCATGTGCTTCTAACAACTGTTGTTGTTAAGCTAGCTGTATTTTATTATGAGATAGAAATTCTATTAGTGAATTGTTGTCACCTGGAAGCTAATGTATAATAGCATTCTGTCAGCAGTCATGTGTTTTTGAAGACAATTCAAGGAAATTTATGTAAGTGCTGGTCCCTGTGAGATGCTGAGAAAATAGTACATTCCAGCCAGAAAATCTCCCAGCAAAAGCTGAGCTGTAGGTAAGAAGTCTTAGCATGAATGGACGTGTATAGATTTTTTCCATGCACATTTGTGAAGGGATGAATCGTACAACCTTTTAGTCCCTTCCAAATTTGCTTAATTAAAGTAATTTTATATGGTTTAATATATAAATTAAACCTGCCATTCTAAAACTATCTTGCTTTTCATCCAGAAATCCCCAGTCTTGCCTGGCTTCTCTTAATCCCAAATATCTGTTTTGGCTGACCTGCTGGTTAAAGCATAACCGATTAGGAAAATCACAATGCAAATTCCCTTAACTGGTTCCTTCCCTACCAGCATACATAGCAGTGGGCTATGCAAAGTGATTTGCGTCTGCTTTGAGCATCCCGCTACGGAAGTATATGAATCAAGACACAAGTGATAGAGAGGGAGGGGCACACTTGAGGGAACCACATTATTCTTGGAAAGTGGAGTGATGAATAAATCTATTGAACAGTCAGGAGAGAGAGTTCCCTTTGACAAATGTGACTGGTTTCCCCATGATCTATTCTGGGCTTCGTTTCTCCCCTCCATCAGTAAATGGACTAAATGCAGTACCTGTCATGGCCAGCTTTTTACATATTATTTAAAAGACACCAAAATGAATTACTCTTCTAGATAAAGATAAAAACAAAGAAAATGTATTTAATTTTGAGGCCCATAGAGATTTCCCTTATATTCTCTTTGAACTGGATTTTATTTCGTATTGTATAGATTTTTTTTAAAGCAACACTGTTAAGATTAAACCATAAAAATATGGTTTTTTAATTTAAAACATTGAAGTGTTAATGTGCAAAGTATTTGTTGGCTTCAGTATTTCAAACCAATAATTTTTAAAGAATTCTCTTGACATTACACTATGATAAATTTGAAATGTTTGACTTTAAAAAATATTTAAAATACTGACATTTGGCTGAATTGTATTTAGAAGCCTCATTGTGCATTATTTAAATTTCAGTTATTTTAAACCGTAGCATTTTTAATTGGCACCAAATACATTTGGCACTGTTGTTAATGTTATTAAATGCAAAGCTCTTGAATAATTAATAATCTAACTAAATCATTTTTTAAAACTTAACAAGGAAAATATAATTATTCAGAAATCTCCTTACAGTCTGAGGCCAGTGCTTAGCCATGATCTGAAGCCAAAAATAAAAATAAAGTAGTTCTGAAAAGGTGCCTCTTTTTTTGTAGGAGCCTATTGACATTCTTTTGCCTTCAAAGTGAAATCATATTCGGAGTGGAGGTGAGCTGCAGTCTCCATTGAGTGTAGCTATTGAGAATTTAGGATTAGAATTCTCCTTTGTTCCAGAAGACCATCGTAATGGTGCACATTTAGACATCAAAGCATTACTTTACGAGCACAGGCATGTTTTAATGTCCTATTACAGTTTGTAGACCTGTTTCTTTTGATAATGAAGATGTTGTGTCATCAAGCCTAGCCTGGCACATACAAAACATATGCTGGCAGGTTATTAAAAATTTCAGCTTCTTGATGAAAGACTATCCTGCAGGCTAAGAGTCCAGAGAAAGACTCCATTCTGGGAGAATTATTAGAAAGGAGAATATGACTGTAAGCACTAAATTATGTTAATACTTACAAATAGCATCACTTGCATAGCAGTTTATGATACGATACCGTGATTTTTCTCATTGGTATGTTGTAGGCAACAGATTAAAAACAGTGCTGTTTATGGGAGCTTGAACTCTTGAGATTCTCTTGCATCTTATGCAGATATTGGTTTTAGATGTAGACAAGATTCAGTGCAGACTCAAGTATCTAATATAAAGATCATCTGGGCCGGGCATGGTGGCTCATGCCTGTAATCCTAGCACTCTGGGAGGCCAAGGCGGGTGAATCACCTGAGGTCAGGAGTTCCAGGCCAGCCTGGCCAACATAGTGAAACCTCGTCTCTACTAAAAATACAAAAAAATTAGTCGGGGCTGGTGGTGCATGCCTGTAGTACCAGCTACTTGGGAGGCTGAGGCAGGAGAATTGCTTGAACCCAGGAGACAGAGGTTGCAGTGAGCCGAGATCACACCACTGCACTCCAGCCTGGGCGACAGAGTGAGACACTGTCTCAAAAAAAAAAAAAAGTCATCTCTTTTTTCACCTATGTAATTTGGAACCAGAGTTATCTGGCTGGTTATAGTTGAGAATTAAAATAGTCCTGAAGTCAGCAGATGCTGAAAAGTTGTAGTCACGGTTAAAAAAAAATCAGTAGAGACATGTAGGTGATTTTTAGGAAAAGCAGAATGTTACATGATGGCCAAAATGAAAACAGAACACACTCTATCATTTTTTTCTTGGTGACTTGGTACCAAGCCTATTCTCTTCATCCTACCAGCTAACAAAACCTACTTCCCCCAACAAGTTCCAGTAAACTCATTCACTTAAGTACTCTGCTCGTTAAGTTTTAATGAATCCACACTCTTGCACACACTCCAAACTCCACGTTCCCCAGTCGGGGGTATTTATTTTCATTTAGGAGGAATAAAGGCTTAAACAAAGGAAGGCAAACATGTAGGGGAGAAACATTCCTGGGTAAGCTCACCTAAGACAGTTTAGGGAGACCCAGGCAGACATTTACTGTGGTACCAGTCCTTGTGGCTTTTTTCCATTTTTTTCTTTAAGGGTGTCTTCCTTTCCTCAATTCCTGGGACATTGGCTTAGTGGCAGTGATGCTACTGGTGACACTGCTTTGCAAGAGATCTTTGTAGAACAATTTCTGTGTGTAAAGAACTAAGCCAGTTTACTTTCAAGTTTCTCTGCAGCCCTTCGTTGGGCCTCTGTTACCCTGGAGATTCTGGGATGTGGTCTTGGCATTACTATTTTACCACTTAATGAGAAATAGGAAATTGAACTGGCTCTTGAATGCTTCTAGTAAACATTGCTATTTTAGCCCTTTGCAAGAGCAGTTTTACCTTTATTTGTACTTTGATTTACTTTGTCTGACATTTGATATTAATTTGGGGATCACCAATGGAGAAAAAAACTAATTAGACATTTGATATTAATTTGGGGATCACAAAGGTAGGAGAAGAACTATGCCTGGAAAAGGTAGAATAAACCACAGTTGTTTTGCCTCCTTTTAGAACTAAGGCAGCAAACAGAAAACACAATTACAAAAGAGAATCATTAACCATTTCATGCCATAGAGCTCCCTGCATCTCCACCTCCATTGTGAAGACCTCTGTCCATTCAGAATGGCCCTGGAACTAGGTCACAGGAGCCATTGCAGGATGGCAGAGCTCGTTGTCCCGTCTAGAATTTAGTAGGTATTTATTAGGTGATCCCAAAGAGCCATTGCTTGTAATCACATCATTTTTAGAAAAGTTTAAAGATAACAAGATTAAAAAAAATTTAAAAGTACATAATCACTGTCCCCAAACATAGTTGTTTTCATTTTTGTATATTAATTTCTAAATATGCAGTATTTCTTTCTCATAGCTACAATAATAGTGTATATGCTAGTTAAACATCAGATCTTAAATATTTTCCATGTTTATACATAGTCGTCACAATTATTAGATGCATAATATTCTCTCATATTGATGAACTCTAATATATTGAACAATTCAACTAAGTTGGAAATTTAGGCTATTCCCAGCTTTCATTTTTTGGCAGTGGGAGGAAAGAGGGAGGAAAGATTTGTTTGTTTTTATATTTGGTTTTTGTATACACCTCTTTTTGCTTCTGTTGAGTTACTTCCCGAGGAGAAAGACCCAGGAGTAGAATATTTTATGGCTTTTGTTACATATTGCCATATTCCTAAAAAGATAGTACCAATTTCCAAAGCAACTGGCAGAGAATAAGAATACTAGTTTTACCACAACCTTACCACCAATGGATATTATGAACTATTTGCACTTTTATTTTAGATATAAGAATCCAGCTTCTCATTGCTATTATTTGATTACTAGCAAGGGATATTCTTTTTTCATGTCCTTATTATTTGTGTTTTATATCAAAAATGCAAGATCTTTATTTTTTAATCTAGATTTTCTAGGTTAAGAAAAAATCTAGGTTATTATTTTTTCCAGTCATGAAACTACATATAAATGATTATTGTTCACTTGTTTTTATATTTATTTTTATATGTTGAAATCTTGATGTCTTAGATTATCTTTATGTATTTAGTGGTTGCCAGAACACTGAGATTAAGCATTTTGTAGATCTATGAATGCACTGTTAAGGTGTTGACATTTCCTTGTATTTCTTTGTCATCATCATCATCATCATCATCATCATCATCATCATCAATAAATACTGCAGAGTACCTACTGGGTACCAGGTATTGTGCTAAGCACGTTACATGAATTGTCTCATTTAAACTCAGAAAAACCCTGAGGTTTTTACTCATTTACTTCCACACCAATTTAAGATATAAGGAAGGTATTACTTCTGTTTACAGATGAAGAAACTTATTCTCAAGAAGTGACTTGCCCAAATTTATAGCTAATAAATGATTGTGCCTTGCTTTGAACCCACATCTGACTGCTGCTAGCCCAGTGCTTTTGCCACACTGAGCCAAGTACATTTAGGAAAGACCTTATTTGAAAGTCCTGGGAAGTGTTCTCCCTCAGGTCCTTGCCTTTGTGACTCATACCGTGTGCTGCCCTTGTGGCAAGCTTTCTGCTTTCCAGAGATTTGTGGGAAACGCAAATATTCCTGGAACACAGAGGCCACTGCTCTCAAATTTCTTCCCTTTCCTAGATAACAGAAGAGCTGGTCTCCTTTTCCCACAAGGCAGCAAACTGGGAGGTGTAGGGGGCCATCAATACACACACCTCAGAGCTGGAGAGGAGGAGCCCTGCCTAGGAGTTTCTAGGATTCAGCTCTTGCAACCCAACTGCCTCATATACCTGGTTATGTGCATGGGTGATGAGAGAGAATTTTAGACATCACCCTTTGGTTGTTCATGGGAATGACAGATTTTCAATGCCTTTCTCAATTTAATACACTATCGTGATCATTTTAGTGAGCCTGTAAATTCCCAAAAAGCTTTGAGTAGCCCACCTTCACAATCAGATGTAGCATTAAAAATATGGTAAGCATTTAAAACCCTTGTTTTTAGCCCAGTGCAGTCGATCACTCCTGTAATATTTTGTAATCCCAACACTTTGGAAGGCTGAGGTGGGAGTTGGCTTGAGGCCAGGAGTTCAAGACCAGCCTGGGCAATATAGTGAGACCCTATCTCTACAAAAAATTTAAAAATTAGGTGTGTGCCTGTAGTTCCAGCTACTTAGGAGCCTGAAGAAAGAGGATCACTCGAGCCCAGGAGTTTGAGGCTGCAATGAGTCATGACTGCACCACCACTCTCCAGCCTGGGTGACAGAACAAGACTCCTATCTCTAAAAGCAGAAACACCCTGTTTTTTAAAAAAATAAGCAACCAAATATTTTGTTTTTGTTTTAATTTTTTTAGTCTCCTATTCCAGGTTGACATAGTAAACTGCCTTTTAAGCAGAATGAGTGTTGGAACAGGCTAGTCATTCAGGGTAACTAAGAGGTAGTTTGGCTTCCTGGGGTTCCATAGCCAGGGACACCTAGGTTAGACTCCCATGCTCCCTGGGGGATAACTATAGGCAAATTACTTCAGCTCTCCAAGTCTCCCTTTCTCTATCTGTAAAGAGAGATTAGTACCTGTCTCATGGGGAAGTGGTGACAAGTAAATGAGATAATTCTATGAATTGGCTAGCAGTGTGCTTAGCACATAATAAGACTTTAAGAAATGCTACCTATTATTATTGTTGTTATTATTACCATAAAATTGTATTATAACAAAATACAGGTAACATTGAACAAGTACATACAACTTAATCTTTCTTTGGTGATTCAGAAGGTTCTTTAGGCTCTGGTAGGCTTCCAGGATATTGCTGTCTATGTCCATCAGCCATCATTATATGGGGTTGTGGCTGTTGAAGATACAGAATGTTGGTTGATCCAGTTGTTCCCAGCCTATGCTTTACCCAGACAGTGCCTTGGAAAGAATAAGTCTTCATAGCAGCCTGCTTTCTTATCATTTAGAAATATAAAACAGTTCCATTTATTTGAACTTTCTATGAGTTGAATAAAGAGGCTTGACAAAGTAGAGATTATTCTGACCGGAAGATTGCAACCCAGTGGCTTTATTTTCTGGTTCCAGTTGGTGTATTTTCTAATTAGTGTAGCAGCACGTCACCACAATCATTGGAAAGTCTTAATCATTTACATATTTGTCTTCATCTCTGAGAATGACTTAGAATGTTTTCTTCCAGTTCAGTGGTTATTTTCATGAAGCTGCCAGGGTTGAGTTTGAGGTGTTTCTCTGTGCCTGAGGAAGATGACAGGAGAAGGAAAATTGCCTCCCCAAGTGAAATGAAAGCCAGGGTACCCCTTCTGAGGACCTATAATAATCAGCTACCCAAGCTGTTGGTTTGTGTGTCCTATTGATTTAATATGCTTCTAATCAGTACATAAAGCTATGGGCCTGCAGTGTTAATTTTTAATATGCTTACAAAGTACCCTTTGATTTTCTGTCACACGTTAATTACAGCGTTTTGCCATTAAATAGGAAGCTTTGTGTAAACTAATTACTAGGTAATCATTGTCTACTGCAAGCGTGCTGTTTGTACCTTTTATTTTATTCTAAAAATGCACAGATCCCACAGTCTGGAAACACTCTACCTTCCAGCCATTAGCTCTCACTAATTCATAGCATTATTGTGGTGAGAGTGTAGGAGTTGTAATTGTTGTGGTATCAGAGCTGTTAATTACCGGAGTAAACAGTTGAAATGGTGCCAAGGTCTATTGTACAAGGCAGAGAAAAGGAGGTTTAAATGTTACTCCCACCATCTGGGGACTGGAGGAGAGGCAAATGCTTGAAAACAGCAGTGAGGCGCTATCGCCGCTTCAGCTCCAGGGTTGGCGGCCATATGGATCCCGAATATTTTGAATCAATTGAATTTAACTACCAGTTTTTCGCAATAACAGCATGGAAGGAAGGAATAAAGCAAAAGATGAGAGGAACGAGAATTGGTTAGTGTTCTCACATCCAGGAAGTCCCTGTTGGAGGTCTTTTGGAAAGGTCCGCTTTGCTGAAAACCACAGAGCAGGCATGGGCATTTGGAACCGTTTCAGAATGAGTTTTACTCTCCTCTGACGGTGACTGCGCCATTTGCTTCTGGTCGTCTGTCCTTGGTGCCCCTCGGTGAGACAGGGATGCCCTTGAGAAAACTCAGACTTTCCTGTGACTGTGCCAGATCCAACAAAAATCCTGACTTTGGAATTCACTAATTTACCGTCCTGGTATTTTCACAAGCATGGTCTGTGGAAAGAAAACAATCAATATATAATGCTACTACATCTGCCTCAAGTGTATGCATCTGTATGTGTGGAAATATCAAACAAGGCACAGCTCTTCACTCTGATTAACTAAAGTCACTGCTTGCCCATTCCTTTTGCATAAAATTAAAATATAAATTCTCCTGATAGTCTCTCATTTCATTCCACAAACTTACTCCTCTCCCCCACTACTTGAATGAAAAATCAAGTTCAAAGGGCACATGTGTTTCCTTTTGTTTTTAATTTTCAATTAAAGAGCTTTCATCAGCATATGCAATTTTCTCAACCAGCGATATTTCTCTAACTGGAAAGAAAGACCCTATTACCAGTAATGATAATTATGGCTACTTCTACTTATGGCTGATTTTAAAACCACATGGTTTCTGCTTTAAAATATTGCATGATCTTAGAACAGTCATATGTATTTACTTGATATCACTCTTATATTTTAATATAATTTCCTTAAAACCATTTTCCAATGTTAAAAACGTTTCTAAAACACCAGTCACTTGCTGCTGTAACTACTTTTTAATATCATTCCCCAAACATGAACATATTCTTCTTTTTTTAAACCACCCTGGATTATTTATCTTTAATTGTTCCTTTAGCAGATGTTGAAGTAATTCTGGGAGTAGTGTAAACAACTCCCTGAAAGAAAAGGATCGCAGGCCCTCACATACACCATGAACCAAGGACAGGGCTTGTCGGGGCTTTGATGATGGCAATTTTGTCCCAGGGAAAAATTTTCCTGCCTTTGTGTATGTGCAAATTTCAATTAAGAATTTCAAGAAGCATTTAATCTTTATCTATTGAAACCCCCAGCATGCAGCGCGCACAGGGTGAGCCTAGAAAGAAAACCACAGCCCCCTGTGGTGAGAGGAAAAAAGATACAGCAATTTAAGTGCTGGAAAGTTGAAAGGGAATGAACCTCTCTAGTGTTTGTGGTCGGGGGCAAAGCAGTTGTGCTGAGCTTTGGAATGGAGGCACAACATATGTGCCTCAGTTGGACAAAACGCTTCTCGAGTCAAATCAACTGCTAGGCCTGCATGTTGGTGCAAGGTGGAGGCCTAGATAATGAGGGACAGACTCCTCGAGAAGCAGCGAGTGGATAATGCTACATAAGTATGGAATTATATACCGCATTTTCACCATTCTGTTTAATGAGAGCCGCCACCACAGCGAATCACTTGCCACACAGCCGAAATGGGCCATTAGCTATCGAGGGAAAATTGTCTTTGCCGCTTTCAGCAGATGGAGCAAATATTTTACAAAGCAATTTTACATACCAAAAACATTTGTGTGCCTTGGTAATGTTGGCTGTTTTACATTATGTTACCTTCTACAGCAGCATAATTTTCCATCTCATCGAAGGCAAAGTTGGCATTTTTGATTTTTAAATTCTCAATTAACAATTAAACATGGAGTATTAAAGCAGTCCTTAAACTTTAAGTAGGTGTGGGAAGTAGTTTATGACTTGCCAAAGACATTTTCATTTTTTCTTCATCCTCTCAGCATATTTTTGCACTCTAAAGAGGGACTATTTCTAATAATCTTGATGGAAAGGAATGAGTGGAAACTCCACTGCTGATTGCAGAATGAGAGTTACCAGTGCACACAGTGATCAGAGCATTTGCTGGCTTAAAACACCCATCATGGGTTGTGGATACACAGGTTGATTCCCCCATTTGCATCAGTTTAAAATGTTTTAAGTTTCAAGTAACAGAAAACCCAACTCAAAATGGCTTTTTAAATGATGAGAATGTATTATCTCAAAATGGCTTTAAAAATAAAGAGAATTTATTATGTCAGCTAACTAAAAATTCAAACATTGGTCTGGCTTCAGACAAGGCTCAATGATGTCACCAAGGACCCAGTTACTTTCCACTTCTGTATACTACACTCCATTCTAAGGCTGGCCATCCTTACGGTTACAAGATGGCTGCCAGTAGCTCCTGCAGTTTGTCCCTGCTCAAGGCAATAGGAAGAGAGAACATCTCATCTGGTAGCATTCTCAGAAGAGCATAAAGCTGCTTTCTCAGAAGCCCCAGGAAGTGCTTCCTAATATTTGATTGGTCTAATTGGGTCATTTGCCCATCCTGAACCAATCACTGTAGCCAGGATGTGGCTTTGCTCATCAGGGCCAATCCTTGCAGCTGAGTTGGGGGGCAACAATCTCAATCAACTCACATAGTTAGGCATGGGGAAAGTATTGGTCCTGAAAGAAGTTTGGAATATTATTACCCTGAAAGAGGGGACATAGATGCTGGGCAGCCAGTGACAAAGGCCCATGCTACCATATTTTCATACATTTGACAGCACTGACTTAGCATCACCTGTGGATGATATAATCCAGCCCAGACTGAGCACTTGTGCCTTGATGGCAGTTACCAGCACAGATTCCACTGCATCATGGCACACTGGTAGCAATTGGGTTTGAATCCCTGTTTTGCTACTTTATGGCAGTGTGACATGAAAAGGGGATGACACTGTCTACCTCAGAGAGTGGCTGAGATAATAAATGTAAACCACCCCCACCCCACCCCTGCACATGCCTACCATATGGTGAGCTTTTAATTATTAAAAGCTTTTAGGATTTTAATAAAGCCTAAAAAGTGACTAAAATGTATCCTGTGCACACGGAGGCAGCCCTTCTAAATTCACCCTCAAATTTGGAACCCCTCCCTTCTCTCAATCTGTACCACTAGCTGATTCAAATCCGGAGCACCTTTCATGGTGCTCCCCACTTTACACTCTGAAGAGGCAGCAGGGCCGGTGGGGAGCACTTACCCAGGAGTCAGAGGCAGCCAGAGAGCACCTGCGGCCTCCCAGTGTGACTGGAGAAGCCCTCGTTCCCTCTTTTGTGACATGAGGCATTTGTCCTAGATAGTCCACATGGCTCCTTTCAACACTGACAGTCTTGCTTACTTTTTCAGGTCATTGTCTTGCCCTTTTCACTCTCCAGTCCTTCATGTAGGGATGTCAGAAAGCATCTAGAAATCAGAACCATGTAGGCAGGTCCCTTGATTTTCTTTTGAACACCATCAGTGTCTGATATGGGAGATTTGAGGTGATTAACCAAAAAGTTATTAATTCACCACTGCAGATTGGCACATGACCCAATTACACCAATGTGTGTCTGTATGTGTGTATGTGTGTGTAATACACACACACAGAGGCACTCTTGGAATTTACTTGGTTGGGGAAGCTAACTCTGTAGAGTTTGAAGTAGCTTTAGTCATTGAGTGCAGTATTAAGCTTTAGTCACTAGCTTTAGTCATTGAGTGCAATGGAGAGTCTACTGGCTTCCCCTAAGATATCCTGAATTTCATTCATTCAGACATCTCTTCCTTCAAATTTACACTTTCTTGATAGAAAAAGAGAGAGCAAGAGGCAAGTTACATACTTGGTAGACAAGAATCTCTGGGGTGCATCGGCCAGGCTGGTGGAGCCCCATGCTTTCTGCAGATGTCTTGGAACCTTCCAACGTCCTGACGATTGTTGATGCACTCTGAGAGGTAAATGTGGGCACTGGAAAAAGTGGAGGCAAGCCTGTGCAGTGGCAAAGATGGGGCTGAAGTTTCTTCTGATGGGAATTGCCCTAGAGCTATCAGCCCCACAAAGCTAGCCGCTAATTGCATTCCCAGAGCCAGTGCAATCATGATGGAATGAAAATCTGGAATTCTGACTTTTTTCAAAAGTCAAGTGTATTTTTTCTAGCACTTGTTTATTATCAACAAGGTATATATTTTTATTTCCACACTTCCCAAGTCATTAGCTCTAAATGATCTGTTCAAAATGGATAATAGCCTCTCTGAAACACTGATGTGGTCGCCCATCGTCCATCACCTTGTTGTTACTCAATGCAAAGCAAAAAAAACTTCCTAACTACTCATTTCACAAGTTGTTGTTGTCTTTTTTTTTGTTTGTTTCTTAAGAGACAGAGTTTTGGTTTTGTTGCCCAGGCTGGAGTGCAATGACGCTATCTCAATTTACTCTAACCCCTGCCTCCTGGATTCAAGCCTCAGCCTCCCAAGTACCTGGGATTACAGGTGCCCACCACCACGCCCGGCTAATTTTTGTATTTTTAGTATAGACAGGGTTTCACCATGTTGGTCAAGCTGGTCATGAACTCCTGACCTCAAGTGATCCACCCACCTCGGCCTCCCAAAGTGTTGGGATTACAGGCATGAGCCACCGCGCCCGGCCTCATTTCACAAGTTTTTGAGATAAAGAAGATGTGCCCCTGTTGCTGGCTTATAACAGATATTCAATATATATACACTTTGGGAAGATAGAAAAGGGAGGAAGAAAGCAAGCTAGCAATGGTTCCCCTAACTCTGTTATTTTCTGTCTTTCATCATTTGTTGAAGCTCACTGAGTGATCTTACACAAGCCTCTTCATTCTAAGTGCCTCAGCTCCCATTTTAAAGCAAGAGAAATAACATGGTAGTGGCCACTGCAGAGTGTTGCTGAAAGTACTGAATGAGATCATGAATGTGAACCTGTGATGAGACAAAGTATTTTACAAATAGTATTCTAATGATTCACATGAATTGGAGTGTTTGTCTGTTATGGAAGGTGTGTGTGTGTGTGTGTGTGTGTGTGTGTCTGTGTGTACATAAGTTTGTTTTGAACAAAATAAACTTGAATAGCTACAGATCTTCCCTTACCAGCATCTGCCCTTAAAGTTGTGGCAATTATGTTTGAACTATGCAAAATGACAAAAACCAGAGAACAGAAAGCCCCCCAAAAACTGAGAGCTTGCATCTGACGTCGATAGACCCATTGTGGCTGTTGGGACCTTGTTGCTTCTTGGGAAAACAGTGTTCTTAGCTTGTTAAACCACTGCTGCGATGGAGTCCTTTGCTCCTGGATTTGAGCTCTGGCCTAACCCACCAGTTCACAAGCAGCTTCTGAGTACCAGCAGAAACCAGACTGTAAAGGGTTGTTTTGTTGGGGGGATAAAATAAAATGAAGCTTTTACCAAGAATGTCATTTTTCTGACCTTACTTGAATATATGAGCTGCAGGTCCTGCTGTATTTTTTTGGTTTGTTTTGTAGGGATAGGAAGACAATTTTCATTGGTGCTGAGGCCATTCTTAGTATAATCCTTGTTTTTCCCATCAGACACTTTCAAAATAAAGAAATAAATTAAACAGTTAATACCCCTCTCCTCTTACCTCGCATTATTCCTCTCCATGCCTTTTTTCTTAGAGAATGAATCATGGCCCCAAGCTGCCTCTGTGTGCCCCAGCATCCCTACTGAATGTCACCCCGCCAGTGCCTTCAGCTGTGTACCTCTCATGGTAGGACACGATTACTCCTCCAGATTCCAGCAGCCGACTTTCCTCTAGGAAATTTACCTCCTTACTGGGGCTTTGTGCACAGTGAAAACTCCAAGCGTCAAAGCAGAATGGCTGGCTTTGTGATCAGAGGCGGTGGCAGAAGCCTGGCACAGTGTCCAGATGCCACACACAAGCAGCAGGCTGATGAGTTACTTATTGGCCCTCACATAGTATGTTGCATCTGAGGTGACACTTCATAAATGTGACCTCGTTTATCTTCCCGATGCCCTTCAGAGGCAGGGAATCCCATAAAGTCCGCCCAGGAAGAATTTGTGGTTCTTTAGCAGCCTTCCCTCCAGCTGCTTCCTGAGCAGCAAGGAGGAACCCATTGAGAGGTTTCACGTTTTATCTTATTCTGTAACTTCAGCTTTAAGGACTACGTCCTATGTTTACCACCATCGTGACTCATTCTGCAGACATTTAGTGTTCCCTGTGCTGGGCACTGGGAGACTGACCTCAAAGCCAGTGGCCATGCCATTAAGCAGCCCCAAGAGAGCTGGAGAGCACGGAGAAAGCTTTCTCTCCCAATTGAAGAGAAGGCTTCCTGGAGGAGCTGTGGCTGGAACGACCTCAGGAAGGATGAGGAGGAGTCAGCAAGGGGAGGCAGAGGAGGGCAGGTTAGGGGGAGGCTGGGAGCTGAGCAGGAAAGTGAGGCCACATTAGGAGCCAGAGGCCATATCACAGAGGACCTTCCTCATCTGTCATGTTGAGGAGTTTGGACTTGATCCTCAAGTTGAAGGAGATCTCCTTTCAAGATTTACGTGGCAAGGGTTTTACCTGCTCCTTCACTGCCTTTTCTCCCTCTCTCCCCAACACCAAAAAAAAAATATATATATATATAATATAATATATATATGTGTATATATATCACTTTTTTACTAGTTCAGTTGCTTAAAAGGCCTGACATTCTGTAATTTTTGCTATATAGATGAATGAATGAATGATTTATCTTTGGACTGTCTTGGTATGAATGACCACATGTGTATAACTGAGTAGATGATTTCACATTCCCCAGCAGTGGGGCAGAAAAGGCCATTTAATCAAGGCAGAACAAAGCAATTCCCACTTGTCTGAGAGAGGGCCCAGGCTGTGAGACTTCCTTTCCTTGCCATTCCATTTTCCAGAGAAGAGTGGGATTCTAACGCCGTGTTTCATTGTCCCAGCTTTGGGGCACTTCATAAATCAGAGACAGTTGGTCTTCCTTGATAAAATGGAATGGTTTTAACTGAAACAAGTGTAAAACAAAAGAAAGATGGATTTGGGGGACTGTTCAGAGAAGGAACAAAGAAGGGGTCCGGGTTGCTGGAGCTGTGCATTTCACATGCTTGTTTATAATTTAGATGCAGGGCTTTGGGGCGATCAGGTAATTCACAGTAAAGATCAGAGAAAATGTGCACAGCGTATAGGATATGAAGGGAGGGAAAAGGCCCATTGCTTTGACAGCAGTTTCCTTGTCTCTGCATCACAAGACAGAGCTCTCTGCATGAACGCTTCCCCAGCCCTTCTTAACAGACCTCCTCCCACTGTGCAGGGAGTCGTCCTGAGCTGAGTGTGAGCCAGGGCACTCTCCGCTTCTCAGGGCAGTTCTGTTTTGTATGTCAAGCACTTACTAAGATAACTAATGAAACTCTCCCACCAAGATTTTCTGGATATTTCGGAAGTTATTCAGATTTTTTGAACCCGCTGAGGGCATAGTGTCAGATGTTTGTCTTCTACTGTGGGTTGTCAGTGGGCACTGGACCTAGAATCAACCAGCTGTTCCAAGGAGTTGGGGTGAGCAGTGCATAGAGGACAATCACTTTTTAATGGTAGGGAAATTGGAAATAAGTGTGTGTGATTTCTAATATTCCAATCCCACCCCCAAAGCTGATCCCTTCAAATTACTGCACCATCACTCAGATTCAGAAGTTCCCCTGCAACCTAAAGTAAATCTGAGTTTTTCTTGTCAGTGCTCCATATTTTGAATATGAATATTGTCTATCATATGAGTTTCGATCCAGTACCCTGTCTCACTTCTGGCAGAAATAAAATCTGAAGAATAAAATCAAATCTAAAAAAAATAAAATTTTTTTAGAATTAGCCATGCATGGTGGTGTGTACATGTAGTCCCAGCCATTTGGGAGGCTAAGGCAGGAGGATCATTTGAACCCAGGAGACTGAGGCTGCAGTGAGCTATGATCACACCACTGTACTCTAGCCTAGGTGACACAGCAAGACCCTGTCTCAAAAAATTTTTTTTAAAAATTAAAAAATATATGGAGGTGTCCAGGTGCGGTGGCTCACACCTGTAATCCCAACACTTTGGGAGGCCAAGGCGGGTGGATCACCTGAGGTCAGGAGTTCGAGATCAGTATGACCAACATGGTGAAACCCTATCTCTACTAAAAATACAAAATTAGGCTGGGCACAGTGGCTCATGCCTGTAATCCCAGCACTTTGGGAGGCCGAGGCGGGCGGATCACCTGAGGTCGGGAGTTTGAGACCAGCCTGACCAACATGGAGAAACCCCGTCACTACTAAAAATACAAAATTAGCCAGGTGTGGTGACGCATGCCTGTAGTCCCAGCTACTCGGGAGGCTGAGGCAGGAGAATCACTTGAACCCGGGAGGCAGAGGTTGCAGTGAGCCAAGATCACGCCATTGCACTCCAGCCTGGGCAACAAGAGCAAAACTGCGTCTCAAAAAAAAAAAGAAAAAACAAAAAACAAAAACAAAAAAAACAGTTAACCCCACATTTTATATAAAGGGAAACTGAGGCCCAGAATGAGAAAAGATATTGCCCAAGGACACTCTGCTGGTCAGGCTGCCAGCTGCAGTGGGTCTGAAACCTCGTTTCCTGATGCCCAGAGAGAAGGGTGCCTTTCAGAGACAACAGGAACAATTAAGAATTTTTAGGGCGCCAAATCACTTTTGAAATATGAAAACTGAAATGGCTGAAAAAAGAGAGAACATTTTCAAAATGGCTTTCTGACTCTGGGTAAACAGTAACCACATTTTTTTTGCCTGTTGGAGGCCTGGTTTTTAATCACTCCACAAGCAGTTTTCATTTCTGTAGTAAAATTGCTTGTGGTTCTATTTAATTTGTTTCTGCAGGAGCCAGCTTTGGTGAAGATCTCTGAGGAGCTGGCGGGCATTTTAGCACAGCACGCACAGCCAGTCAATGAGAAACGGTTCCCGACGTGGAGGAAATTCCTCCAAACATTTCTCAGTCAAGGTAAATAAGACTGTAAAGTTTCTATTGAGGATTAGTCTACACAACCTTGGATTCTAGTTTTGGGTCAACTGGGGCCAATTTAAATACTTTGCATCTCCTGTGTTGGTTTAGAAAAGTGCTCCTACGGTTTTCTTTTTCAAATGTTGCCTAAATATTTATCTTACACCCAGCCTCTTAAGTAAATAAGAACCTAGCATGCCAAGCATGGCATGGGAAGCTCAAGATTCTGGGCCTTTTTTTACACTACAAACTTCTCCTGAGAGGTGGGCTTTGGAATCAGATTACCTGGGTCTGGACCCCATCCATGACCTTGAGCAAGGTTCTTAAACCCACCAAGGCTCGTTTCCTCACTTACCTACCTTACAGGGTCATTGGGTGGATTCAATGAAATACAGATATGAAAGTTTCTACCACAGAACCTTACACAAAATCATCTTTAATAAGTGTTAGTTTCTCCTTCTGTTTTCTAGGAGAGCAAAAATGGTCTCGCTTCCAGTTCTGAATATAGCATTTCCAAACAAGGGTTTTCTACAATCCAGGAACAAAGCGAGCCTCCATTCCTTTCATCCTCCTCCTCCTACTTCATCCTCATTTCCTAACAACATTGGGTGGTCTATGAATGAGGGAATGAATGGAGTGAATGATGCCTGTCTACCGTCTCAGAGGTCCCTGTCAGATGTTACACAGAGGCACACCTATGCAACGGCCCTCAGTCTCTAGGAGGTTACAGTGCAAGACATCTTACATGCTTACCCACATGCACAAGAAGAAAGGGTTAGTATAACAGGCCAGAGAAGGTATCTTTCCACTGCTGTCAAGTGATAATAATAATCTCAGCAATAATCAATAATGATAAGATAATGTCATGTCAGATGATAACAGCAGCAGCAATAGCACAGTGATGATAATAATAGTGAGCTTAGATAGTGCTTATTATGGGCCAGGCACTCTTCTAAGTATATCTATGTTAACTTTTCAAAGCTTCCTACCCATCCTATGAGGTGGGCACCATTATCACCCTCATTTTATAGAGGTGGAAAACTGAAGTACAAAAGATTAACCCCAAATCACTCTGCTAACACGTAGAAGAGCCCATGAAAAGCTACCTCCGTGCTGCTCCAGGAGTCTTGGGCAGAGCCAGTAGTTACATTTATCAGGGCTTATTGTAGCTCAATGTATGAGAGTGTATGAAAGGACAGATCTGTTGGTTATTGGAATATACTGGCTGGGCAGGGTGTATTGGATACCCTGATAATGAATTATTTAAGCAAGGGGTTGAATGGCAGCCATCTAACAAGATTGCTGGAAAGAGATTCTTTGCAGGGGACAGTTGTGCTAGACAAGTTCCAATGTCCTTTCAACTCTAAAATTTTGTGATTCTGTAAATTTCCACATGTACCCACTGATAGACAAGTAAGGAAAGTCAACCCCATGCATAAATGGAAGAAAATCAAGTGGCTACCACACACACACACACACACACACACACACACACACACACAAGATCAATAATAGGGTGTTTTTACTTTTTTTTTTTTTTTTTTGAGATGGAGTTTCACTCTTGTTGCCCAGGCTGGAGTGCAATGGTGCGATCTCGGCTCACTGCAACCTCCGCCTCCTAGGTTCAAGTGATTCTCCTGCCTCAGCCTCCTGATAGCTGGGATTACAGGTGCATGCCACCATGCCCAGCTAATTTTTGTATTTTTAGTAGAGACAGGGTTTCACCATGTTGGCCAGGCTGGTCTCAAACTCCTGACCTAAGGTGATCCGCCCGCCTCGGCCTCCCGAAGTGCTGGGATTACAGGCGTGAGCCACTACGCCCAGCCTAATAAGGTTTTTTTTTTTTTTAAGTTATCGGGGGAAGACCATGATGATCTCCAGGCCCGTCCAGGTCATTAGGAAATTTCCAGATCTTCCAGCATCTGCCTGCAAAAGCCTCCCTCTAAACTATTTCTTTTCATGTGAGTTTTGTAGATGAGAAAGGCTTTCCCAGCGACTGTCTCATCTGAGCTGTATAACCACAAGCTAAGGCTTCACCTCTACCTCCTGTTCATCTTTATCCTGCTTTCTCAGCCATGCTTATTTATGGAGAGCAGTACAAGCCTTGTTAACTTAATTTTCTTCATGAAGACACTGAAGCTCAGAGATTGGAGGGGACTTGGGGAAAATCACACCACAAATAAGTGGTAAATGGAACACAAAGTTAGATCCTACAATTTTAGTACATTTAAAAAACCTGGTTCTTGAAAGTCATGTGTTTTCAAAGCTTCTGCCTTTCTCTCGACCCAGTGCATACAGCAGGCCCTGCATCAATGGTCCCTAACTGAGCCAGGGTGTCTCCCAGGTTTCCCAACTCTAAGGTCACCATCTCCCTCCCTCCAGCTTCCACCATTGCCTGTTTCATTCCATTTATGTTCTCTCCAGTGTGCTTATGGCCACAAAATGTGCTAGGGTTTGATTTCTAAATTGTCATAGGATTATATCAGAAGCAATACTTTTTCATTTTAATTTTTATTTTTTGAGATAGGGTCTCGCTCTATCACCCAGACTGGAGTGCAGTGGCACAATTATAGCTCACTGCAGCCTTGGCCTCCCAGGCTCAAGCAATACTCCCATCTCAGCCTTCTGAGTAGCTGGTACTACAGGCGCACACCCCCACGCCCAGCTAATTTATTGTTTACAATTCACAATTTTTTTGTAGAGACAGGGTCTAACTTTGTGGCAATACCTTTTTCAGAGGAGGAATTAATTGCTTTGAGTGGAAAAAAAGTAACAGTGAAAAGGTTGTGGTCATGATGCTGAGAAGATAGTGCAAGTAAGCTACTTTGAAATAAAATACCCAAGTAATCTTGTAAGTTATGAATGATAGTGTGTTTCCACTGAAGCACTATCTTTCAAAACATAGGTGACGGCTAAAGGCACAAAGTTAACCAAAGCATAGAGACTCACTAGGTTTTTTACTTCTGTAGATTTTTGTCATTGTTGTTTTGTTGCATTTACCTTGCTAAATCCCCAGCAACTGGTATTTAGGTGTAGCACACACGAGTAGGCCTCATTTGAAGAAAAGCATGTCTCAAACAAACCAAATAGAAAAATTAGGATTTGAATATGTACACTCCAAAATCGGTTTTCCTTTTGAAACTTGGTGTTTGTTAGGACTACCTCTGACCAAATTTATAGACATTTAAGGAAAGTGCTTTTTAGATGAAGTAACAGATGACTGCATTTGAAAACTGCTCATTTTTTTCTTTGTATGCTATTCAAAGTCTGTGGCTTACACCTGTAGGCAGAGGTCACACTTCTCCCAGCCCCCAGCAAATTTGTGAAATACAGGCCAAGTTTCTCTTAGTGCTGTCAGGTTCTAGACGGCACCCTATCTATGGAACACTTTGTTGTTTTTACTTTTAAATTATTTAACTCTTTACAAATAATATCTTAAAGTTTTTCTCTACAAAGAGGACATATACAGTAAGATTTGTAAGTTGGGCCTAAAAACAGAAGATTGGGGCTATGTAATTTTTGTGGACACCACTGAGATAGCCCACAAATTAGCCAGAAAGATGTTATTGCTGTGCTTGAACACCAGACTTGCCTCTATGATTTTTGGCATTCAAAGCAAAGGGTAAAATGTAATAAATTATAAAGCTCTCATTATCAGCAGAGAGAGCATATGTGTTCTTCAAACACGGCAATATCTCTTGGTTCTATATTTTTAAAAATGTTTTATAACTGGCTTTATATAGAAGTCCTTTGGCTGACATGATGGTCAATGTTCTCTCTGCCCACAAAAAGCCCAAACCTGTCAAACCTTCAAAAAGCAGTGAAGTTTACCAAAAAGAGCACACTGGTAATCAAGATGTCAACTGTGGACTATGGGCCGTTAATTCCCCATGAGGGATTTGACCATAATTCTTGGGTTCCCTGTTTAATAAGTGGGCATAGACCCAGTGATCCTCACAGTGTCTTCAAATTATAATCAGAATCAAAATTACCATTCATTGAGCCCTACAATATACCAAGCGCTGGGCTGAATACTATAGATAGATACAGTATCTCCAAGATGCACAACAATCTAATGAGGTAGGCTTTATTATGCCCATATTACGGATAAAGAAAAATAAGTTCAGAGAATGTAAGCTACTTGCCCAAAGTCTTTCAAGACATGGCAGATGCAGAATCTGAGCCCAAGTCAAACAAAATGCATGTGTCCTTTCACCTACTCCATGTTTTTCCCACCAGGGGGTGTGATCGAAGCATTCCCACCTGCAGACAATGTCACCAACCTCACAGTGGACATGCTGATAGAGCCCAACGGGAAAATCAGCGTGCTGTCGACAGGGGACCAGCTTCATGCTGAAAGCCCCTTCATCTCCTCTGGTACCACCGTGCCTCAGACCTCAGTGGATCCCCAAGTTCTCACTTATTTGTGCCTCCAAATTGGAAAAGCCTGCAGAATGAGAGATGTGGTTGGTTACTTTTCGATAGATCTGGTGACTTTTATAGATCCAAGCACCTTGGAACAACAGGTAAGTTGAATGGATGCCATACGAAATGCTAAAATATGTAATGACTCCGCACCCTACACACCTACAGTACAACAGGGCATATGAGGGCTCTTCTAAAATGCACTGATTCTCTGATGAACTTGCTCTAAATTCAACACCTATATGGCCCATGCGAATCCAAGTGGGACCAGGCTTTATGTCTGGAAATACAGGGCCAGGGTTGTCTCGTTCAGGTACAGTTGGAGTTAAAGAGTGACTGAGGCCAGGCACAGTGGCTTACACCTGTAATCCCAGCACTTTGGGAGGCCGAGGTGGGCAGATGCCTTGAGCTCAGAAGTTCAAGAGCAGCGTAGGCAACATGGAGAAACCCTGTCTCTACTAAAAATACAAAAATTAGCTGGGCCTGGTGGCATGCACCTGTAATTCCAGCTACTTGGGAGGCTGAGGCAGGAGAATCACTTGAACCCGGGAGGCAGAGGTTGCAATGAGCCGAGATCATGCTACTACACTCCAGCCTGGGTGACAGAGTGAAACTCCATCTCAAAAAAAAAAAAAAATAGTGACTGAATCTCACCCCTCACAGTTCACAGCTCTTTTGATTAGGCCCTCAATTCTGTCCATTAGTGTTATCCCTATGTATCATGAAACTATTTTATGCCATCCAGGGAGTGGAACCGGTCTAGAGCCTGTTTTATATAGAAAATCAATCACTAGAAAGGAGTTAAGAGTTCACATTTCTGTTCCTTTTCTTATCAGACAACTTAGATTGTCTCATTTTTTTCTTTAAAAAACGTACTGAGAGATACCTCATAAATATAAAAAGGTCTAAATAATAATATAATCAATATCATGTGCCCCTGCCCAGCTTAAGAAACAAAGTGGTGTCAGTGCCACCTGCAGTCCTGTGTACTCCTTGCCAAGCACATGGCTCTTCCTCCTCCTAGAGGCCAGGAGGAAGCTACTGTCTCATACCTGGGGTTTTAATTCCCTTTCATCTCTATGCTTTCATCACACATGGATACACCCAAAAATAATGTAGAGTTTTATTTTGCATGTTTTTAAGAATTTTGTAGATCATAACATTCTATCTATTATTATTTTACTGTATGCTTTTGTTTAATATTCCATTTGTGAGATTCTTCATGTGCATAGGTATGGTGCTGAGATATACTATTCAGGATAAATCATCTTTAACCTTTTTCACTTTGCTTTTCCCACCTAAAAGTATAATGTTAAAGTTCACTACTATTTCACAGGACTCGTGTTTTAAAATGTCCGGTTGCTCCTCTCTTAGTGCTGCATGTCCAGACCTCTGTCTAAAGGGCGAAATGACCTCCTGGCCTTCCTCTCTCGATATCGCGATATCCTCTGGTCATCCGCATTGTACATATACTTTGGTTGTTTTAGGATCATTATTCTCAGTTTTACAGTTCTCCATTTCAGTCAGATGATGGTTTCAAAGTGAGAGTTTATGTTTTTTGGCAGTTTTCAGCTTGTTCAATAATCATTTTCCATTTGCCTTCCTGGGCCCTCCATTGGTTTTACATTCTGTTCTCAGGCCTGTACATTGAGAGGGAAAAGAACAAACTGAAGGTCATTCAGAACTCTCCCTGTGGTGGAGGCAGGACAGAAACAATGCTCCCTGGGGAAATCTGGATGGCAGGGATGCAGGGGGAGGAGGAGCCAGGGGAGGCTGCCCTCCCCAAGTATTTGTTGTAAGAAAGATTGGCTGGGTGTGGTGGCTCATGCCTGTAATCCCAGCACTTTGGGAGGCCGAAGCAGGCAGATCACTTGACCCCAGGAGTTCAGGACCAGCCTGGGCAACATAATGGGACCCCATGTCTACAAAAAAATACAAAAAAATTAGCCGGGCATAGTGGCATGTACCTGTAGTCCCAGCTACTCAGGAGGCTGAAGTGGGAGGATCACTTGATCCCAGCTCACTGTAGCCTCAACCTCCCACCTCCTCTGCAGTGAGCCAGGATCGCATCACTGCACTCCAGTCTGGGTGACAGAGTGAGAACCTGTCTCAAAAAAAAAAAAAAAAGAAAGAAAAGAAAAAAAGGCTGGGCACGGTAGCTCACGCCTGTAATACCAGCATTTTGGGAGGCGCAGGCGGGTGGATTGCTTGAGGTCAGGAGTTCGAGATCAGCCAGGCGTGATGGTGGATGCCTATAATCCCAGCTGCTCGGGAGGCTGAGGCAATAGAATTGCTTGAACCCAGGAGGCAGAGGTTGCAGTGAACCGAGATGATGCCACTGCACTCCAGCCTGGGTGACAGAGCCAGATTTCATCTAAAAAAAAAAAAAAAGAAAAGAAAAAAGGAAGAAGGAGAGTGAGAAAGAGAAAGGTAAAACTGTGGTCCCTGGGACAATAGGAAGGATGGAACTATGGAGACAGTTGACTTGTGGCTTTTATTTATTTGAGTTTGGTATAAGGAAACTTGCACACAGCAGTCAAAAGGATCTTCTCCAAACACGATGCCAGTCCTTCCTTGGGCTTACCACCCTTCTGGGCTTCTGGCTGAAAGGTCCCACCCTTCACTTGGCTGGTTCCATGTACCTGGCCAGTCTTGTCTCACCCTAACTTGCCCTCTGTTTTGTTCTGGTCCATCCACACACCCTGTCTCATTCCCTCTTACTCATCATATTCCCTCTACCACAGGGCCTAAACATGCTGTTCCTCCACCTTAAATGCTCTTGCCTTTTCTTTTGACCTAGTTAGCCCCTTTTCCAGCCATCACATTTCAGCTCAAGCCACATTGACTGAAGCGCTTCCTGACCTTCCTGACAAAGTCAAATTCTCCTTTTTTAGGTTTTCATATCATTGTGTAGCTGTGTGTGAGCATTCCTCGTACCACTTATCTCAGTTACAAATTTAAACTTATTTACATGACTATCTGATTAATATTTTTCTCCTCCTATTAATTGTAAGCTCTTTTAAGCGATGTGCTGTGTTTCTTTTTGCTCCCCCACTGTATTCTCAGCACTTACTTCTGTCCTGGCACAAAGTAGGTATTCAGTAAATATTTGTTGACTGAATGAATGAACAATGGAGGAGTTCTAGCAGATGCTGGATGGTATTGCAAGGCTTTTGAAGAAGGAGCTCAAACATTCATTGGATGAATGGGATAGATAGATATTAGATTCTCTGATTTTATCATACTATGAATTTTCCTTGTCCCTTCCCATAAATACTTCAGTATATGATCATTTGTGTTATAGTTATCAACAGAATATTGGAAGAAGTTCTCAGTGACCACACCAAAGGGTGTTTCTGCATTAGCAAGAGAAGTATGTTTGTTCTCTGTATATAATAAATTATTTACAAATCACTGGCATATTTTCTAGCCATTTTGCAAGTGGTATCACTTCAGAAAACATCTTAATTTTTTTTCTAATTGACATGCCTTGTGATGCCATTGAAGCGACTGGCAGGCATATTATCAACCTCTCATTTTTTGTCAGTCTAACAGGTTAAAAATTTTTTGTTTTATTCAGCATTTCTTTGATTATTAGTGAAGATCCACACCTCTTCATATGTTTGTTTGCCCATTTATATATCTTTTCTTAATTGCCTAATCATATCTTTTGCCCCAGTTAAATTGGACTATAACACAAATGTTGATTTGCTGGAGCTCTTTGTATATTGGAAACTGTCATTCTTTGACTATTATACATCTTGTAAATACCTTCTCTCAGATTGTCATTTGTGGCTTTCCTCTCTCTCTTTTTATTTTTGGCCATGTTTCTCCACCATAAAAATTACTATTTCTGGCCAGGTGCGGTGGCTCACGCCTGTAATCCCAGCACTTTGGGTGGCCGAGGTGGGTGGATCACGAGGTCAGGAGTTCAAGACCAGCTTGGCCAATATGGTGAAACCCCATCTCTACTAAAAATACAAAAATTAGCTGGGCGTGGTGGCATGTGCCTGTAGTCCCAGCTGCCCGGGAGGCTAAGGCAGGAGAATCACTTGAACCCAGGAGGTGGAGGTTGCAGTGAGCCAAGATCGCGCCACTGCACTCCAGCCTGGGCGACAGAGCAAGACTCTGTCTCAAAAAACAAATTACTATTTCCTCCCTTGTAATTGATTAGTAATATTTTGTAGAAATGTGTTCCAAGAGTACCACAATAGTGTATTGCTTATCAAATTCCACCCAGAAAACTTAGCATCCATTGGCAACTTTTTCCACTACCACTACGATAGTGGTAATTTTGTATTTCTGTGGAAAATTTTCTGGTAAAATTTTGTGTAGAAATTTCTGGCAATCTACTGCAAGAAACAATTTTCCTTCTCCACCTCTCATTTATGCCTGTAGGTCTGTATGTATTTATGTCAGTATGAAGTCATGGGTTTCTATTTTATTTAATGGGTTGTATTTTGATACTTTCATTGTTTTGATGCTCAGTTGTTCCAGATTTGGCCAGTGAGAGACCCTTCAGGGTGTGTCTTGTGTCCTTTTGACATGTCCTCATCATTCTTTGAGCATGTCTTACTTTCTGACACAATAAGATGTTCCAGGCTCATTTTCTATTTTCCTTGCCCTGGACCTAGGATCGACTCAGAAGCCCTGTAAGATCTGGGCTCTTAGTGCTGCCATTGCTACTGGAGTGTCACCCCTTCTGAGACCTCTCAGTGGACAGAGCTAGCAAGTACATGTATTACGTAGGTACAATACATACACACAGTTATACACACATATATGCATATAAACACACATATGTACATATACATACATCTGTGCATCTATAACTATTTCTATATCTATCAAGTGTTTATATTATAAAACCATGAGTTCCTGCCAGCATCTCCAATTTCAATCCAGCACCTCAAGGTTCTTTCTAGAATTCCCCTTTTCCACACTTAAAAGTAAATATCTTGATGGATATCCTGCTTACTCTGATTTGGGGTACAATTACAATGTATCCACATTGTATGCATGTATCAAAATAGCACATGTATGGCCAAAATATATATAACTATTACATATCAATAAAAAATACCAAAAAAAAACCCAACCTCATACTCATTATTTAAACTTACAAACTAAAAAAAAATAAAAATAAAAATAAAAATGAAAAGCTAAATAGAACTTGGAACATAGTAACTGTGTATATTTACAAAATAAAATCCCAGGCCAGATGTGGTGGCTCATGCCTGTAATCCCAGCACTTTGGGAGGCTGAGGCAGGAGAATTGCTTGAGCTCAGGAGTTCAATACCAGCCTGGGCAACATAGAAAGGTCCAGTCTCTACCAAAAAAATTTTTAAAATAAACAAAATTAGCCAAGCATAATGGCACTCATCTGTGATTCCAGCTATTTGAGAGGCTGAGGTAGGAGGATTGCTTGGGCCCGGGAGGTCAATGCTGCAATAAGCTGTGATTGTACCACTGTACTCCAGCCTGGGCAACAGAGACCCAGTATCCAAAAAAAAAAAAGAAGAAGAAAATCCCAGAAACAGGAGGATCAAGATAGTCTAGAGCAGGAGTTGGTAAACAATGGCCTACAGGCTAAATCTGACCCAGCATTCATTTTATGTAAATAAAGTTTTATTGGAACACTAAAAAATAAATAACTTCTCCAACAATGAGAAACTTGAGTCTTTATCCCTCAATATAGTTACTTCTTTGCTTAGTCAGTTTACTTATTTGTTTAATGTAACTAATCTCCCAACCACTCCTGCCATCTTCTTTGCCTACTCTATCTGTGCCCTACCCCTCCATGCCTCATGTGCTTGGATCCCAATCCTGTCATTTGTGTTTTATTTGTAATACTCTTCATCATACTAAAGTTTCATATAGTCAAATCCAGCTGTTTTTCTTTTTTCTTTTCTTTTTTTTGTAGAGATAGGGTCTCACTATGTTGCCCAGGCTGGTTTTGAACTCCTGGCCTTGAGCCATCCTCCTGCCTTGGCCTCCCAAAGTGCTTGGATTACAGGTGTGAACCACTGTGCCTGGCCTCCAGCTCTTCTTCTAAATTGCTATATTACCTTGAACTTATCACTTTCCCTCATTTTCAGTTTTCTCAGCTATAAAATGAGGAGGTTAGCTTATTTTGCATCTGAGGTAACCTACAGTTCAAAACAGTCTTTATTTCAATAACATTTTAAAGCACTTATTTTCTGTATCAGCAAATTCAAATGTTAATAATAATCATCCACTTTAAAAAAATTATCACCAGGAAATAATCACAAAGATTTAAATACACATATATTAATCACATCATTATTAAGAATAGCAAAATATTTCAAGTAGTCTAAATTCCAATAATAGATTTTTTTTTTTTTTTTTGAAGCAGAATCTCCCTGTGTTGCCCAGGCTGGAGTGCAGTGGCATGATCTTGCTTCACTGTAATCTTTGCCTCCCAGGCTCAAGTGATTCTTGTGCCTTAGCCTCCTGAGTAGCTGGGATTACAGGCACACACCACACCTGACTAACTTTTGTATTTTTAGTAGAGACGGGGTTTCGCCATGTTGGCCAGGCTGGTCTTGAACTCCTGGCCTCAAGTGATCCACCTGCCTTGGCCTCCCAAAGTGCTGGGATTACAGGCGTGAGCCACTGCACCTGATCTCCAACTATAGAGAATATTTAGAGCAAATTATGATAGTTCAATGAAATTGCATACTATGAAGACATTAAAACTAATGTTTTTAAAGAATATTTAACAGGAAACTTTATAGAATAGATAAAGGTAAAAAGCAGATCACAAGCAATATATGCAATATGATAATTTTATAAAAAGAAAAAAATATATAAATGCAGAGTTAAAAGAACCTAAAGATATATACTAAGATGTTACAAGTCATTATTTCTGGACAGCAAGATTGAAGGTGGCAGAGTAATGGTCCGCTAAAGATATCCACACCCTAATTCCCCAAATCTGTGAACATTATGTTGCATGGCAAAAGGACTTTGCATATGTGATTAAGTTAAGGATCTTGAGTTGGGAAGAGTAGCTTGCATTATCCAGGTGGCCCCAATATAATCACCAGGGTCCTTTTAAAAGAGAGGCAGGCCGGGTGCGGTGACTCACACCTGTAATCCCAACACTTTGGGAGACCGAGGCGGGTGGATCACGAGGTCAGGAGTTTGAGACAAGCCTGACCAATATGGTGAAACCCCATCTCTACTAAAAATACAAAAATTAGCTGGGCATGGTGGCACGTGCCTGTAATCCCAGCTACTCAGGAGGCTGAGGCAGGAGAATCGCTTGAACCCGGGTGGTGGAGGTTGCAGTGAACTGAGACCATGCCACTGCACTCCAGCCTGGTGACAGAGTGAGACTCTGTCTCAAAAAAAAAAAAAAAAGAGAGAGAGAGAGGCAGGGGGATCATAGAAAGAGAAGGATTTGAAGATGCTGTGCTGCTGGCCTTGAACAAGGAGGAAGGGACCATGAGCCAATGGCATGAGCCAATGAAGGCACATGGCCTCTAGAAGCCAGAAAAGGCAAGGAAACAGATTCTCCTCTAGAGTCTCCAGGAGGAACAAAGCCCTGCCCACATCTTAATTTTTAGCCCAGTAAGACTTCTGACCCACAGAGCTGAAAAATAATAAATCTGTGTTGTTTTAAGCCAGGAAGTTTGTGGCAATTTGTTGCAGCAGCAATAGGATACTAATATAGAGGGTGGTTGCTATTTTGTTCTTTGTGTTTTCTGCAAAAGTAAACATGTATTATAGTCTAGGCTCAGTGGCTCATGTGTATAAACCCAGCACTTTGGAAAGCTGAGATGGGAGGATCACTTGAGTTCAGGAGTTTGAGATCAGCATAGGCAACATAGCAAAACCCTTGTCTCTACAAAAAATTTTTTAAAAATTAGCTGGACATGATGATGTGCACCTATAGTCCCAGCTACTCAGGAGACTGAGGTAGGAGGATAATTTGAGCCTGGAAGATTGAGGCTGCAGTGAGCCATGATCGTGCCACTGCACTCCAGCTTGAGCAACAGAACGAGACCCTGTCTCAAAAAAATAAAAAGCAAACATGTATTATATTTCTAATCAGAAAAAAATACATGAATAACGATAACAAAAATTTGTATAGAATGTTATTGTTTGCAAAGCACTTTCACATACATGATCTTACTCACATACACACAGGTCTTACAATAAGACATGGGAAACAGAAAACTGAGGTGACTGCATCCATTTCAAATTCATGCCCATTGGCCCCAGCTGGGCCCCATAATTTACCATGCTGACGCAGGAGGGGCAAAGGGGACTGGGGGCCAAGGCAAAATAGATAAAATGACAGCAATGCCTCAAGGACAGTCCCACAATTGTGAATCAACTCCAGAAAAGAAAGTGGAGAATTCTTTCTAGACCTAAGGAGATGAGAATGAGGTTCTAGCAGAATAGAAGAAGTTGTGGAAATGTAAGACTTAAATATTGGAAGCATCAAGTAGAACACACGGTCATTTTGTAATCAAGGAAGAAGGGGCTGGTCCCTGGGAAATGGAGATGGTGGAGCATGGTCTAAGATTACTCCTGCCAGTGGATTTAGGTCCAGGATTTTGGTACCCTAGAAATGGGGAAATTCTAGGCCTTCAGAGATGGCACGCAGAGTACATGGCACTCCAGAATACACAGAGCTACAAGGCAGCCATGTTGGAGATCTGGCCTTCCCACATAAGGATAATATTATGTAAGGGGATCCAAGCAGTAAACAAATAGCAGCAAAAGCTATTTCCAAATCCTGATGGGTCCTGGAGCCAGGATCAATGATAAACAGTATCTAGTAGGTTCTAGGAGGGATATGAAGTACTTACTAAAGGCTTTAAGTTGAGGAGGATGACAAGTTCATTGAACAAACACCTTCAGAGGACCTACTCTGGCTTCCTGTTAGGTGCTGTGGAAATAAACAAGACATCTTCTGTATCATGACAAAGCTTATTTCATATCCATCGTCCCATTTTATTTGCTATACATGCACACAATTGTTTTATACTTGTATTGATTCATAGGTATAAATATTGCCTCCATGAGATTTTTTTAATCCTTTAGAAAATGTACTAGGCCTTGAATTTTTTTTACCTCTTCATAATGTCTAACACAATGATGGTCATATTTGGCCAGCCACCTGATTATTATTTGTTGATTTATGGACTTTTGGAACTTCTAGATGATCCAGATCTTTTGTAGTTAATTACTCACTTTGGGGAAACTCTAAAAAAAACAAGTGTTTATTGAGCATCTATTATGTATAAGCCATAATGCTAGGTGCTAGAGAAGCTACAAAGATGCAAAAGACATGGAAGTGCCTGCCCTTAGGGAGTTCACATTCTAGTTGGGAAGATAGGCTTGAAAAATGAGTAGCAAGGAAAGGCTTAAGTGACAACTACGTAGAACAATAAAAGAGACATCAAAAAGGTAATATCAGTTTAACGGCCAAATGATTTTTCTACATGCATTCAGACAAGAGAAAGATCCCTTCTGTTGGGAGCAATCAAGAAAGGTTTTGCAGAGAAGGTGGGATTTGAGCCGAAAGAAAATTAGGATATGAGGAGGGTAAGAAAGAGTGTATTCCAAGTGAGAAACAGGCTCACTTGGTGGGAAAGAGTGGTGGGAAAAAGCACAGAACACATATGGATAAAAATGATGATCTAAGTCTTACAAATATCATGTTGGATTCACCTCAAGTAAATATACATTTATATAGCAATTCTCCCATTCCTGTTCCTCATATAAAAGTCTCTAAACAAATAGATTGGCAAAGATGCTCTATATGAAAATTCCCAAATTAAAAAATTCTTTCAGAACAAGATCATGTCCTGCATTTGCAGGGACATGGATGTAGCTGGAGGTCATTATCCTTAGTAAACTAACACAGGAACAGAAAACCAAATACTGCATGTTCCCACTTATAAGTGGGAGCTAAATGATGAGAATACAGGGACACATAGAGGGGAACACCACGCACTGAGGCCTATCAAAGGGTGGAGGGTGGGAGGAGGGAGAGAATCAGGAAAAATAACTCCTGGGTACTAGGCTTAATACCTGGGTGATGAAATAATGTGTACAACAAACCCCCATGGCACAAGTTTACCTGTGTAGCAAACCTGCACACGTACCCCGAACTTAAAAGTTAAAAAAAAACACACATTGTTCTTTATATTTCACAGGAAATTGAATAGATATAAGGTTCATTAATTATCATAGAATTTAGTTGAACATTTCCTACCAATATCAATAGTTTTTTAGATTGTAGCCTCTTGTTTCTTGAGGAGCATGGTGATCTGGCTTTTACCAAATAAAAGCTTCAGGTGATGGAAAAAGGAAAAAAAGTTCTTTTAGCCTGGGCATCAAGACTCATCTCTAAAATTAAAAATAAAAAATTAGTTGGGCATGGTGGCACACATCTGTAATCCTACCTACATGGGAGGCTGAGGCAGGAGGATCACTTAAGCCCAGGAGTTGGAGGCTGGCTGCAATAAGCTAGGATCTCGCCACTGCACTCCAGCCTGGATGACAGAGCAAGACCCTGTCTCAAAAATAAATAAATAAATTAACTCTTATTTTAGATAATTGTGAACTTTGAAACAACAATCTGTATTATAAGCATTGATAGTTAATACTTTTTTTGAAAAAGGAAATTAAAGAAAATCCAAGCTTTAAGAAGAATTGATATGAAAACTAGCTATTGGAGAGTAGTAATGGCCCTTCCAAAACATAAAGTTAGCTACAGAAAGGAAATAAGACTTGTCACAAAGTACAGATTGTGAGGAAAGATGAAAATGGAGGCCCTGATATATACCGCAGTATATCCCATAAAGTCTGAAAACGATTTTTAAGAGTTTCTAAATACAGAATATCAGCCTAGAATAAAAAAAAATCTGAAAATATTTTCATTGCAATGGCAATGGGTTCTGGCCCCAGTCTTTCCACTAACTAGTGTGATACTGTAGACAATTCACTTGACCAATCTGAGCCTTGTTTTTTTGTTATCAACTGGTAAATTCCTGCCCTCTTCCTCACAGTATGTTCTGAGAGGCTAAGCAGATATAAGGTGATGTTCTTATTAAATCAAATGGCATAACCACATGTAAAACTGTCACAGGAGCCCTCAGCAGGTGCTCAAACTGTGAGTTGAATCAGAATTGAATTAGCATTATTTTTAAAAGTCACTGAGCATTATCATCATCTCAAAGTGATATATAAGCATCAAAAATGAATACATTTATTTCAGAGAATGGAAAAACCAAAGTCTACAGAAATATCATAATTCCTTCTTGTTCACTGCTGTATACCCAGCACCTAGCACCCTGTCTAGCATATAATAGATGTTCAATAAATATTTATTTAATGAATGAATGAATACTTCTCTAAATCCCCCTCTAGTACTCTCATTTGCAAGATCTCCCCTATCTCTGTTTTCAAGATATACAAGGTATTCACCAAGGAAGCTCAATGAGATTTACTTTTTCTCTTTAGGGAAAGTATTTTATTTATATGGAAGAAGGCTAACAGAGTATATCTAAATTAAAATGTAATACGCCTTTGGTATTAACAGAAGTACCTATTATTCAGTGTTTTAAAGTGCTATAGTGGGCAGATTGTTAATCACAAGTTAATGCCTAGTGAAGGGAAAATACATCCCAAAGGACTTGGAAGCATTAAAGTAAAAGACCTTCTCCCTTTAAAAGGGCTGTATCTTTGTGTCAATGAAAGAGACCTATAATATGCAAGTAATAGTAATGATGATGGCAATGATGATGACTTCTACAATAAGCACATGGGCAATGATGACAAATTTTTCCAGTGAAAATTACAATTCTGTTTCTTAACACTGATAGTGCAGGTAAACTAGTGGCCAACTTTGCTATGTATATATTACCATTTGTGACTGTCCTTAAATGTTTGGTTAACCCCCCTTACACTGTAAACCTTCACACTGAGAAATATTGAACCCAAGCCTAAATATCAGCTCTTGGGTAGGATTTTGGTTGATCTGCATATAACGGACCTAATTCCTCTGTTTACATCAGCTGTTCCCCCAGGACTTCCTCAAAAGATGCCCATTCTCATCATGGAGCTCTTTGCTTCCTTTCAAATGAAACCAAGACACCTCTCTGCACTTAGGGATCTTTAACTTGAATCACCAGAAACATGGCCAGGGCGAGGAAAATCTGGACACTCACACTGCACCCTGCTGTCTCCAGCAGGTACTACATTTCTGCAGGACTCAGGAGGGCAGGAGGTAGGAAAAAAGGAAAAGGCTCCCTACTAATGCCAAGAAAGACCATAAGATTCTTCACCTATGAGCATTTATAGCTTGCCCCAGCATCCCAAAACAAAGCTGAAAGTTGTTTCTAGTTCCAGCTGTCACCTGTGGTCAAGACTTTTTATGTGATAAATTTTCTCTTACAAAATTGTCCTTCTCCGATCCCAGCTTTATTGAGGTATAACTAACCCAAAAAAAGTATTTTTATTTAAGGTGTACAACATGATATTTCAATATAATATACCTTGTGAAATGATTACCACAATCAAGCTAATTAACATATCCATCATCTCACTTGGATGTGTGTGTGTGTGTGGTCAGAAGTTAAGATCTACTCTCTTAGCAAATTTCAGGTATATAATATGTGGTTATTAACTATAGTCACCATGCTATACGTTAGGTCTCCAGAATTCATTCATCTTATAACTGAAGGTTTGTACACTTTAACCAGCATCTCCCCATTTCCCCCACCTTCCGACCCCTGGTAATCACTCATCTACTTTCTGTTGCTATAAGTTTGACTTTTTTGGATTCCACATGTAAGTGAGATCATGCAGTATTTGTCTTTCTGTGTCTGGCTTATTTCACTTAGCATATTATCCTCCAGGTTCATTCATATTGTCATGAATGACAGAATTTCCTTCTTTTTTAAGGCTAAATAATATTCCAATGTGTATATACATGCATACATATATACACACACACCACAATTTCTTCATCCTTTCATCTGTCATCAACTGACACTTAGGTTGTTTCCACGTCTTGGCTATTATGAATAATGCTGCAATGGACACGGCAGTGCAGATATCTCTTCAAGATTTTATTTTCTTTGGCTACGCACTCAGAAGTGGGATTGGTGGATCATATGGTAGTTCTGTGTTTAAGTTTTTGAGGAACCTCCATACAGTTTTCCACAGTGGCTGTACTAATTTACATTCCCACTAACAGTGTATAAGGGTTCCCTTTCTCCACATTCTCACCAATACTTATCTTTTGTCTTTTCTTTTCTTTTCTTTTTTTTTTTTTTTTGAGACGGAGTCTGACTCTGTTGCCCAGGCCAGAGTGCAGTGGCGTGGCTCACTGCAACCTCTGCCTCTAGGGTTTAGCGATTCTCCTGCCTCACCTACTGAGTAGCTGGGACTACAAGCGCGTCACCACGCCTGTATTTTTGTATTTTTTTTTAATTTTTTTGTATTTTTGTATTTTGTATCTTTGTTTTTTTTTTAATTTTTTTTAATTTTTTTAAGCTAATTTTTGTATTTTTAGTAGAGATGGGGTTTCACCATGTTAGCCAGGGTGGTCTCGAACTCCTGACCTCGTGATCCACCCGCCTCTGCCTCCCAAAGTGCTGGCATTACAGATGTGAGCCACTGCACCCAGCCTTCTTTTGTCTTTTTGATAATAGCCATCTGAAGAGGTGTGAAGTGATATCTCACTGTGGGTTTGATTTGCATTTCCCTGATAATCAGTGATGCTGAGCACCTTTTATATACCTGTTGGCCATTCGTATGTCTTTAAAAAAAAGTCTATATGTAGGCAGGGTGTGTAATGCCTGTAATCTTAGCACCTCAGGAGGCTGAGGTGGGCAGATCACTTTAGGCCAGGAGTTTGAGACCAGCCTGGCCAACACGGTGAAACCCTGTCTCTATTAAAAATAGAAAAATTGTCGGGTGTGGTGGTTCAAACCTGTAATCCCAGCTACTGGGGAGGCTAAGGCACGAGAATTGCTTGAACCAGGGAGGCAGAGGTTGCAGTGAGCCAAGACTGCACCACTGCACTCCAGCCTTAGTGAGATTCTGTCTCAAAAAAATAAAAGTTGGCTGGGTGTGGTGGCTCACACCTGTAATCCCAGCACTTTGGGAGGCTGAGGCAGGTGGATCACTTGAGGTCAGGAGTTCGGGATCAGCCTGGCCAACATGGTGAAACCCCATCTCTACTAAAAATATAAAAATTAGCCAGGCATAGTGGTGCACGCCTGTAATCCCAGCTACTTGGAGGCTGAGGCACGAGAATCTCTTGAACCCAGGAGGCAGAGGTTGTAGTGAGCCAAGATGGCATCACTGCACTCAACCTGGGTGACAGAGCAAGACCCTGTCTAAAAAAAAAAAAAAGTCTATTCAGATCCTTTGCCCATGTTTTAATCAGGTTATCTGGGGGTCTTTGCTATTGAGTTGTAAGAGTTCTGCAAAATTATCCTTAATATTCAGTTTAACTTAATTTTACCTGTAATGTAAATGTTGCGGTGGAAAAGTACATTTGCTTTAGGCTTTACCTATTTCTTAAGACAATACTCAATCACCCCCTCCCAGCATATGGCACCACTGGTTGCTTCTCTCATTGATCATGTCCACAAGACTCTCCAGAACACACAAGCTTGATGGCTCCATATTCAATAAATGTATTATCGAGACCCACTGAAGGAAGCCGACTGCTCCTGCAGGACCCAGGAGACACCCCAAATACTGTGAGTGCCCCAACTGCGGAAGTAGGAAAGGGAGACCCTCCTCTCTCAAACACACACCCCCGCACTGGAGAAGCTGAAGGTCTGTTTGCTGGAGAAGTTTCTCACTTTACCCGGAGCTGAGTCAATTTAGAGAGCCAAGGGAAATACAGGGGTAGAGGAAGAAGCAGAAAGGCCCTAGGAGCTCACTGCATCCCCTAGCAGCCCATTTCTGCCTGGCACCACAGGGATCCATCAGGACGGTGGCCAGAGAAGCAGGCGGTAAATCTCCACAGGGAGAAGGAATTCTCTAGCTAAAGTTTGTAACAACTTGAACAGGGTGAGAAGCCTCCTGGCGAGAACTCAGGGGAGGGCACAAATCCGGTGTGCAGACTCCATAGGCAGGGGAAGAACCAAGCCCTTTTCTTTCTAGCCTGCAACAAGTTTTCAAGCCCGTCTTGCCCTCTGCCTGGAAAGAGACTCGGGGCTGTTGTGGAGAGGCATGGTGGGAGTGAGACCGGCCCTTTGGTTTGCATGGGAGCTGGGTGAGGCCTGTGACTGCTGGCTTTCCCCCACTTCCCTGACAACCTGCATGACTCAGCAGAGGCAGCCATAATCCTCCTAGGTACACAACTCCAGTGACCTGGGAACCTCACCCTCATCCCCCACAACAGCTGCAGCAAGATCTGCCCAAGGGGAGTCTGAGCTCAGACACGCGTAGCCCCACCCCCACCTGATGGTCCTTCCCTATCCACCCTGGTAGCAGAAGACAAAGGGCATATAATCTTGGGAGTTCTAGGGCCCCACCCACTGCCAGTCCCTCTCCACACTACTATAGCTGATGCTTTCTGGAAAGCGCCACGTCCTGGCAGGCGGCCAACCAGCACAAAAATAGAGCATTAAACTACCAAAGCTAAGAACCCTTATGGAATCCATTGCATCCCCCGCCACCTCCATCAGAACAGGCACTGGTATCCACTGCTGAGAAACCCATATAATATATGGTTCACATCACAGGACTCTATGCAGACAACACTCAGTGCCAATCCAGAGCCAGGTAGACTTGATGGGTGGCTAGACCCAGAAGAGAGACAACAATCACTGCATTTCAGCTCACAGGAAGCTGCATCCATAGGAAAAGGGGGAGAGTACTACATCAAGGGAACAACCCGTGGGACAAAAGAATCTGAACAACAGGCTGCAGCCCTAGACCTTCCCTCTGACAGAGCCTACCCAAATGAGAAGGAACCAGAAAACCAACCCTGGTAATATGACAAAACAAGGCTCTTCAACACCCCTAAAAAATCACACTAGTTCACCAGCAATGGATCTAAACCAAGAAATCCCTGATTTACATGAAAAAGAATTCAGGAGGTTATTAAGCTAATCAGGGAGAGACCAGAGAAAGGTGAAGCCCAATGCAAGGAAATCCAAAAAATGATACAAGAAATGAAGGGATACATATTCAAGGAAATAGCTTAAAGAAAAAACAATCAAGAATACAGGAAACATTGGACACACTTTTAGAAATGCAAAATGCTCTGGAAAGTCTCAGCAATAGAATTGAACAAGTAGAAGAAAGAAATTCAGAGCTTGAAGACAGGTCTTCGAATTAATGCAATCTGACAAAGACAAAGAAAAAAGAATAAGAAAATATGAACAAAGCCTCCAAGAAGTCTGGGATTATGTTAAATGACCAAACCGGAGAATAATCAGTGTTACTGAGGAAGAAGAGAATTCTAAAAGCTTGGAAAACATATTTGGGGGAATAATCGAGGAAAACTTCCCCGGCCTTGTGAGAGACCTAGACATTCAAATACAAGAAGCACAAAGAACAACTGGAAATTTTATTGCAAAAAGATCTTTACCTAGGCACATTGTCATCAGGTTATCCAAATTTAAGACGAAGGAAAGAATCTTTAAGAGCTGTGAGAGAGAAGCACCAGGTAACCTATAAAGGAAAACCTATCAGGTTAACAGCAGATTTCTCAGCAGAAACCCTACAAGCTAGAAGGGATTGGGGACCTATCTTCAGCCTCCTCAAACAAAACAATTATCAGCCAAGAATTTTGTATCCAGTGAAACTAAGCATCATATATGAAGGAAAGATACAGTCATTTTCAGACAAACAAATGCTGAGAGAATTCGCCATTACCACGCCACCACTACAAGAACTGCTAAAAGGAGCTCTAAATCTTGAATCAAATCCTGGAAAAACATCAAAACAGAACCTCTTTAAAGCATAAATCACACAGGACCTATAAAACAAAAATACAAGTTAAAAAGCAAAAACAAAATCAAAGTACACAGGCAACGAAGAGCAGGATGAATGAAACAGTACCTCATATTTCAATACTAACATTGAATGTAAATAGCCTAAATGCTCCACTTAAAAGATACAGAACTGTAGAATGGATAAGAACTCACCAACCAACTATCTGCTCCTTCAGGAGACTCATCTAACACATAAGGACTCACATAAACTTAAAGGGGTGAAAAAAGGCATTTCATGCAACCGGACACCAAAAGCGAGCAGGGGTAGCTATTCTTATATCACACAAAACAAACTTTAAAGCAACAGCAGTTAAGAGACAAAGAGGGATGTTATATAATGGTAAAGGACCTTGTCCAACAGGAAAATATCACAATCCTAAACATATATGCATGTAACACTGGAGCTCCCAAATTTCTAAAACAATTACTAATAGACCAAAGAAATAAGATAGACAGCAAAGCAATAATAGTTGGGGACTTCAATACTCCACTGACACCACTGGACAGGTCATCAAGACAGAAAGTCAACAAATAAATAATGGATTTAAACTATACCTTGGAACAAATGGACTTAACAGATATATACAGAACATTTCATCCAACAACTGCAGAATACACATTCTATTCAACAGCGCATGGAACTTTCTCCAAGATAGACCTTATGATAGGCCATAAAACGAGCCTCAATCAGTTTAAGAAAATTGAAATTATATCAAGCACTCTCTCAGACCACAGTACAATAAAACTGGAAATCAACTTGAAAAGGAATCTGCAAAACCATGCAAATACATGGAAATTAAATAACCTGCTCCTGAATGAGCACTGGGTCAAAACAAAATCAAGATGGAAATCAAACAATTATTTGAACTGAATGACAATAATGACACAACCTGTCAAAACCTCTGGGATACAGCAAAGGCAGTGCTAAGAGGAAAATTTATAGCCGTAAATGCCTACCTTAACAAGACTGCAAGAGCACAAACTGACATTCTAAGGTCACACCTCAAGGAGCTAGAGACACAAGAAAGGAAATTACCCAGCAGAAGAAAGGAAATTACCAAGATCAGAGCAGAACTACATGAAATTTGAAACAAACAAACAAAAAATACAAACAATAGGCCAGGCGCAGTGGCTCATGCCTGTAATCCCAGCACTTTGGAAGGCCGAGGTGGGCGGATCACCTGAGGTCAAGAGTTTGAGACCAGCGTGACCAACATGGAGAAACCCCATCTCTACTAAAAATACAAAAAAAATAGCTGGGCGTGATGATGCATGCCTGTAGTCCCAGCTACTTGGGAGGCTGAGGCAGGAGAATCACTTGAACCCGGGAGGCAGAGGTTGTGGTGAGCCGAGATCACGCCATTGCACTCCATCCTGGGCAACAAGAGCAAAACTCCGTCTCAAAAAAAAAAAAAAAAAATACAAACGATAAATGAAACTAAAACTGGTTCTTTGAAAAGATAAATAAAATTGATAGACCATTAGCAAGATTAACCAAGAAAAGAAAAGAGAAAATCCAAATAACCTCACTAAGAAACGAAACAGGAGATATTACAACTGACACCGCAGAAAGACAAAAGATCATTGAAGGCTACTATGACCACCTTTACACACATAAACTAGAAAACCTAGAAGAAATGGATAAATTCCTGGAAAAATACAACCCTCCTAGCTTAAATCAGGAAGAATTAGATACCCTGAACAGAACTATAACAAGCAAAGAGATTGAAGTGGTAATTTAAAAGTTACCAACCAAAAAAGTCCAAGACCAGACGTATTCACAGCAGAGTTGTACCAGACATTCAGAGAAGAATTGGTACCAATCCTTTTGACACTATTCCACAAGATAGAGAAAGAAGAAACCTTCCCTAATTCATTTTATGAAGTCAGCATCGCCCTAATACCAAAACCAGGAAAGGACACAACCAAAAAAGAAAACTACAAACCAATATCCTTGATGAACATTGATGCTAAAATCTTTAACAAAATACTAGCTAACCAGATCCAACAACATATCAAAAAGATAATCCACCATGATCATGTGGGTTTTATACCAGGGATGCAGGGATGGTTTAACATACGCAAGTCAATAAATGTGATACACTACATAAACAATTAAAAACAAAAGTCACATGATCATCTCAATAGATGCAGAAAAAGCATTCGACAAAATCCAGCATTCCTTTATGATTAAAACTGTCAGCAAAATCGGCATACAAGGGACATAACTTAATGTAGTACAAGCCATCTATGACAAACCCACAGCCAACATAATACTGAATGGGGAAAAGTTGAAAGCATTCCCTCTGAGGACTGGAACAAGACAAAGATGCCCACTCTCACCACTCCTCTTTAACAGTACTGGAAGTCCTAGCCAGAGCAATCAGACAAGAGAAAGAAATAAAGGGCATCCAAATCGGTAAAGAGGAAGTCAAACTGTCACTGTTTGCTGACGATATAATCATTTACCTTGAAAACCCTAAGGACTCCTCCAGAAAGCTCCTAGAACTGATAAAAGAATTCAGCAAAGTTTCCAGATACAAGATTAATGTACACAAATCAGTAGCTCTTCTATATACCAACAGCGACCAAGTGGAGAATCAAATCAAGAACTCAACTCCTTTTGCAATAGCTGCAAAAAAAAAAAAAAAAAAAAAAAAAAAAAAAGAGTACTTAGGAATATACCTAACCAAGGAGTCAAAAGACCTCTGCAAGGAAAACTACAAAATACTGCTGAAAGAAATCACAGACGACACAAACAAATGGAAACACATCCCATACTCATGGATGGGTAGAATCAATATTGTGAAAATGACCATACTGCCAAAAGCAATCTACAAATTCAATGCAATCCCCATCAAAATACCACCATCCTTCATCACAGAATTAGAAAAAACAATTCTAAAATTCATATGGAACCAAAAAAGAGCCCAGATGGCCAAAGCAAGGCTAAGCAAAAAGAACAAATCTGGAGGCATCACACTACCTGATTTCAAACTATACTGTAAGTCCATAGTCACCAAAACAGCATGGTACTGGTATAAAAATAGGCACATAGACCAATGGAACTAAATAGAGAACCCAGAAATAAACCCAAATACTTACAGCCAACTAATCTTTGACAAAGCAAACAAAAACATAAAGTTGGGAAATGACACCCTTTTCAACAAATGGTGCTGGGATAATTGACTAGCCACATTTAGGAGAGTGAAACTGGATTGTCATCTCTCACCTTATACAAAAATCAACTCAAGATAGATTAAGGACTTAAACCTTAGAACTAAAACTGTAAAAATTCTAGAAGATAACATTGGAAAACCCCTTCTAGACATTGGCTTAGGCAAGGAGTTCATGATCAAGAACCCAAAAGAAAATATAATAAAAACAAAGATAAATAGCTGGGACCTAATTAAATGAAAGGGCTTTTTTGCACAGCAACAGTCAGCAGAGTAAACAGACAACCCACAGAGTGGGAGAAAGTCTTTGCCATCTATACATCTGACAAAGGACTAATATCCAGAATCTACAACGAACTCAAACAAATTAGTAAGAAAAAAACAATCCCATCAAAAAATGGGCTACGGACATGAATAGACAGTTCTCAAAAGAAGATATACAAGTGGCCAATAAACATATGAAAAAGGCCAGGCATGGTGGCTCATGCCTGTAATCCCAGCACTTCGGGAGGCCAAGGTGGTCAGGTCACCTGAGGTCAGGAGTTGGAGACCAGCCTGACCGACATGGAGAAACCCCATGTCTACTAAATATACACAATTAGCCAGGCATGGTGGTGCGTGCCTGTAATCCCAGCTACTCGGGAGGCTGAGGCAGGAGAATCACTTGAATCCAGGAGGCGGAGGTTGTGGTGAGCCAAGATCACGCCATTGCACTCCAGCGTGGGCAACAGGAGCGAAACTCCATCTAAAAAAAAAAAAGAAAAAATGCTCAACATCACTAATGTTCAGGGAAATGCAAATCAAAACCACAATGCAATACCACCTTACTCCTGCAAGAATGGCCATAATCAAAAAATCAAAAAACAGTGGATGTTGGCTTGGATGCAGGTTACAGGGAACGCTTCTACACTGCTGGTGGGAATGTAAACTAGTACAGCCACTATGGAAGACAGTGTGGAGATTCCTTAAAGAACTAAAAGTAGAACTACCATTTGATCCAGCAGTCCCATTACTGGATATCTACCCAGAGGAAAAGAAGTCATTATTCAAAAGAGATACTTGCACATGCATATTTATAGCAGCACAATTCACAATTGCAAAATCATGGAACCAACCCAAATGCCCATCAATCAACAAGTGGATAAAGAAACTGTGAGATAGATAGATAGATAGATAGATAGATAGATAGATAGATAGATAGATATACATATATATATATATAAAATACATATAGATATACATACACACATATATATGATGGAATACTATGCAGCCATAAAAAGGAATGAATTAACAGCATTTGTAGTCACCTGGATGAGACTGGAGACTGTTATTCTTTTTTTTTTTTGAGATGGAGTCTTGCTGTTTCGCCCAGTCCAGAGTGCAGTGGTGCGATCTCGGCTCACTGCAAGCTCCGCCTCCCGGGTTCACACCATTTTCCTGCCTCAGCCTCCTGAGTAGCTGGGACTACAGGCGCCCGCCACAGCGCCCGGCTAATTTTTTGTATTTTTAGTAGAGACGGGGTTTCACCGTGTTAACCAGGATGGTCTCGATCTCCTGAACTCGTCATCCACCCGCCTCGGCCTCCCAAAGTGCTGGGATTACAGGCGTGAGCCACTGCGCCCAGCCTGGAGACTGTTATTCTAAGTGAAGTAACTCAGGAATGGAAAACCGGACATCGTATGTTCTCACTGATATGTGGGAGCTAAGCTATGAGGATTCAAAGGCATAAGAATGATACAATCGACTTTGGGGACTTGGGGGAAAGAGTGGGAGGGGGTGAGGGACAAAAGACCACAAATATGGTGGAGTGTATACTGCTTGGGTGATGGGTGCAGCAAATTTTCACAAATCACCACAAAAGAACTTACTCATGTAACCAAATACCACCTGTACCCCAGTAACTTATGGACTAAAATAAAATAAATAAATGCATTATCGTCCTACCTCCCACATATTACCTTCAGTCCTACAATTTGCTTTTCCTTTTTTCTCTGCTGATATACAACTTCGCTTCCTTTGAAACATATTTCAAAGTCCAGCTCATCATGGATTCCCCCTTAAAGTGCCACTTCATCCTCTAGCCCTAGCTCAGATCTGAAGTATAGCACTGATGGCCAGAGTAATTACGAATGATAATATTAACTACTTACTGTATTTGTATCATGTGCCAAGCACTCTGTTATGTATTTTACATGTAGTAACCCTAATCTTCACATCCTGAGAAGTATTATTATCCCTAATTTACAAATGAGGAAACTGAGGCTGGAGTGACATGTTCAAGGCCACATGAACAGCTATTATGTGGCAAATCCAGGGTTCAGACTGTGACTTATTTGGCTGCCAAGCCTGTGTTCTTTCTCTCACAACAAATACTGTGGCACTGCACTGGATTGATAGTGACTTGCTTTGTAAGTATCTCCCCCCACAACCACTATCACCAAAGAAAACGTATGTTTCTCTTATATGTCCTCAATATGCTTGTTGAATTGAGTTGAACAGCTTAAAGCCAGAAAACACATCTCCTATTTTTTTAATATATTCCATCCTTGTGCTCAGCACATAAGGTAATCATTAAATGTTAATGACTAAGTGAAATGGAATAAAATCAGTGTTGTGGTAGCCATTTTTAAACTTTAAGAGTTTAAATGTGCAGCCCATAGACAGCACCACAGCTGGGAGTGCCATATTGCCATTAAGCCAGAAGGTGGATTCACGGGATGGAAACATTGAAAACAGACACCACAAGAATGGTTAAGTCAGTTTTCCAAACCACTTTCTACAAGTAGCTACTCCTTTCTCCCCCATAATAATTTCACAATGATTAGCCTGCTAGGTGAGAAATACCAGGCAAAAACCTGCATCTCAGCAGAGTTTAGGGCAACCACTTAAGTATTGGGTCAAGGTGGGAGGTGATGGGGACAACAGGTAGAGTCATTCCCATCTAGCTGGTCAAAAGTGCAAGATAAATGCCATCTAGATATCTATTATGGGTTTTATCTTTCTAGATAAATGCCTTTATTCTTATAATTAGCTTGATAAAATGCCATCTCACATTCCAACACATATGGATATCAAAATGCATATTTGGGGAGGAATGGTGTCTTATGTTACCAATTTCTGCTTCCTTTGCTTTCTTTGCTCATAGCACAAAATTTCAAACTTTTTTGCCAAAACCTTACTATGTAGCTTTTTAACTTAATTAAATATATAGGCAATTACTGACACCATCTGTCTTCATAGAAAAAGAACAAGAAGTGACACAAAAGCCTGGGATTCTGAAGGGGATGTTTAGCAAACAAAATCTTCTAGTTCCACTATAGTAATATTTATTTTTAAGAGCCCTTCTGTCATTTTAAATTATTTATGTTTCTTAGAAATAATGAATTTGAATTATACTTGGAAAGTGGTGGCTTTGGTATGATTTTTTTTAAAGGAAATATCAGATAATCCATTGCTTTTTCAGTAAAACAAAAACTTAAACACGTCGTTGAACATCTGTTACTAGTACAGTCTAACACAGCACTTAAAATCCTTTAAAATCCCTGAAAACCTTTATCAAGTTACATGAATCTTTTGCATAAATGGAACTGTTTTAGCAATATGTATATTCCTTTAAACATATATTTTGCTTTCTTAAACATAAGATTCATTGTGTCCCCTATTGTTCTGAGCCCTTATAAATAAATAAATGAAATTGCTTCTTTTCTTAAAGACTTTATCTTCCCCTGTCATGTTACATTCCTATCCCACCCCAGAGTACCTACCTCATGTCTGGTTTTTTTGTTTGTTTTTGAGATGGAGTCTTGCTCTGTCGCCAGGCTGGATTGCAGTGGTGCAATCTCAGCTCACTGCAACCTCTGCCTCCTGGGTTCAAGCAATTCTTCTGCCTCAGCCTCCCAAGTAGCTGGGGTTGCAGGTGTGTGCCACCACACCAGGCTAATTTTTATATTTTTAGTAGAGACAGGGTTTCACCATGTTGGCCAGGCTGGTCTCGAACTCCTGACCTGGTGATCCATCTGCCGTGGCCTCCCAAAGTGCTGGGATAACAGGCGTGAGCCACCGCACCTGGCCTGTTTTTTAATCTTTGTAGATGTCTCCACAAATGTCTTAATATGTAAATGCTATTAAACCAACCCACTGGAGCTTGATCAGGTAGTCAGGAACCAATAGAAGTCCAAATAATGCAACAAAATTCACCTCCCATACAGAGGACACAGGTAGGAAATATAAAGAAGAACATGGAGTTTCCCTATCATTGGCAGTTACCACCAAGGAGGACAACTGTGTTCCCCTGCAGCTTTTCCCCAGAATTGGAGGGACCGTGTTTCAAATGCCACGTGGCAGCAACTAAGTTCCGAAGTCAAATAGAAGTGTGCAGGACACAAGGACATTTCTAAAGAGGCTCAATAGAAAGACATTTCTCAAAGAAATGGCACTGTGAAACTTCTATTCATATGAAAGACTTATGGCATACCAAAGAATATGTTATCCCAGATTTTGAGGGAAAGCACCAATGTATATATTTTATATTTTTTATTCACTTGTTAAAGAAAGAAATTTGAAGAAAGTAATTTCATGATGATTTTCTACAAATTGCCTCAAAGATCCTGTATTTAATGCTTAGCAGATAACAGGTAGAGCTAAAACTAAGAATTTACACTTATCTGCCATGACTCAATAGCATTCTAGTGTATTCTCCTGAGAGGAAGCTATACATTAAGAAATAGTGCATTGAATTTTAGAAGAGGTAAAGGAGAAAGAGGGGGAAAAGAGGAAGAGAGGAAGAAAATACCACCCTTAATGCCATTTCTTTCATTTGCTAGAAAATGAACCCAGGGACAAATGGCATCAAAGGGGGCCTGTTTGTTAAAAGCAGCCTCTGGGGTGGAGCTCAGCAGAGCAGAGGCCTACCATAGCAGCAGAGCCTGGACAGGTCAGCCGGGATGTAGAACATTTACTCAGGTGGAACTCCAGGGTGCCTTTCAGCCAGCAGCTACTCAATTGAAATTTTTCCCAGGGCCCTAAAGCTCCACCCACGTTTCTGGAAAGTGCCATAGGACTTTGATTGATCACAGGTGGGAACCTTGCCTTTTTGCCTATACTGAAGGACTGTATTTCTTTGTCCTTATACAGCTCCTATACATAGGCTCTCAAAGTGCTTTAGAGACAAATAATGGGAAAGGTGAGACAGAAAGGTGTTAAGTGACTTGCCCGAAGTCCCACGGTAAATCACAAGCCTTCCCTGGCTTCACAGCTCTCTGGCAATTGGGGGAGCTTCTTGCTGTGGCTGCCAGCATCACAGTGCCCTCTCACATTCTGCCAAGCATTTGTTTCCCTCGCCAGGCTGAGAGCAATCAACAGGGTCAAGCACAGTAGAGAAAACCTGGCCTTTTGGGTTAGGCAAACCTGGATCTTTGTCCTCGCCCTGCCGCTGAGCTGTGGAACTTGGCACGTTCTTGGGTTCTTTGAGCCTCAATTTTCCCTTCATAAAATGGGAGTATGAATACCAAACCCATAAAGTTGTTCGGAGGATGATATGAGCAAATACCACAGTGCCTTGCACTTAATAGGCCCTTAATCTACATCAGTGTCCCTTCCTCTTTCCTTTCCCAAGTCTCCCTCCTTGAGTCTGTCCTACATGGTAGCTGCAAGGCAGCTTTCTAAAGATTGCTGCCATCCAAAAGGATGTCCTATTAGCCTGACAGGGTGCTGAATCTTTCCTACAAACACGAGTCTGTAGGAAACAGTGGCAAAGTCATGGAATCCAGATTCATCTCTCAGATAACTGAATCCAAAAGGTTCCCTTATGATAAGCATGTAGTACCTGGGACTCAACCCTCTACCATCACCAAATTAGTCAGGATGTATTGGATTACTGGGTTAACTTGATGGGGTTGAGGGAGTGTCCCCGTGGAGGGCATAGAGCTTGCAGGGAGCCCCACACCACAGAAGGAGGCTAGAGTGCTTGGAGTCCCCTGGGGTGAGCAACTGGAGGACAGGAGAAGGTGGAAACATCTGGGACAAAGCTTTTCTGAGCCACCGGCCCACTACCTGAGCAGCCCCTTCTCTTCTGGGTTTGACCATGTCCAGTCCCTCTCAGTCCAGGAGCTGATACAAAGTAAAAGCCTGCTGTGGTGAGTCCAAGCAACAGCTTGCGTTTTAGAAAGTGGCACTGTCCTCAGAGCTGAGTCTTTATGCTGATGGAGCCAGATTTATGCTAATATATATTCTTTCTTCCAGATCATGACTGCTTATGGTGGCCCATATATTAACCCTCACTGGGCATTAATTTGCTTTCGTGTCTGTAGCAGGTATTTTCTACCCATACATGGCAAAGCTTTTTAAGGTTTAGACTAATACCTATAATAAACTCAGAAGGCGGTTTGGGAGGTGGCTTATCACAGGCTCCCACACTTAGTCATCATTCACACACTCAACTAGATTCAAACAAGTGACCATATACATTGTACAGGTATCCATCCTAAGTGACTCTGTGTGTGTGTGTGTGTGTGTGTAACAGCTTTAGTGAGATACCATATACCATAAAATTCACACTTTTTAAAATTTTATTATTATACTTTAAGTTTTAGGGTACATGTGCACAACATGCAGGTTTGTTACATATGTATACATGTGCCATGTTGGTGTGCTGCACCCATTAACTCATCATTTAGCATTAAGTATATCTCCTAATGCTATCCCTCCCCCCGCCCCCCACCCCACAATAGTCCCCGATGTGTAATGTTCCCCTTCCTGTGTCCATGTGTTCTCATTGTTCAATTCCCACCTATGAGTGAGAACATGCAGTGTTTGGTTTTTTGTCCTTGCGATAGTTTGATGAGAATGATGGTTTCCAGTTTCATCCATGTCCCTACAAAGGACATGAACTCATCATTTTTTATGGCTGCATAGTATTCCATGGTGTATATGTGCCACATTTTCTTAATCCAGTCTATCGTTGTTGGACATTTAGGTTGGTTCCAAGTCTTTGCTATTGTGAGTAGTGCCGCAATAAACATATGTGTGCATGTGTCTTTATAGCAGCATGATTTATAATCCTTTGGGTATGATATACCCAATAATGGGATGGCTGGGTCAAATGGTATTTCTAGTTGTAGATCCCTGAGGAATCGCCACACTGACTTCCACAATGGTTGAACTAGTTTACAGTCCCACCAACAGTGTAAAAGTGTTCCTATTTCTCCACATCCTCTCCAGCACCTGTTGTTTCCTGACTAATGATCGCCATTCTAACTGGTGTGAGATGGTATCTCATTGTGGTTTTCATTTGCATTTCTCTGATGGCCAGTGATGATGAGCATTTTTTCATGTGTGTTTTGGCTGCATAAATGTCTTCTTTTGAGAAGTGTCTGTTCATATCCTTCGCCCACTTTTTGATGGGGTTGTTTGTTTTTTTCTTGTAAATTTGTTTGAGTTCATTGTAGATTCTGGATATTAGCCCTTTGTCAGATGAGTAGGTTGCAAAAATTTTCTCCCATTCTGTAGGTTGCCTGTTCACTCTGATGGTAGTTTCTTTTGCTGTGCAGAAGCTCCTGAGTTTAATTAGATCCCATTTGTCAATTTTGGCTTTTGTTGCCATTGCTTTTGGGGTTTTAGACATGAGGTCCTTGCTCATGCCTATGTCCTGAATGGTATTGCCTAGGTTTTCTTCTAGGGTTTTTATGGTTTTAGGTCTAACATTTAAGTCTTTAATCCATCTTGAATTAATTTTTGTATAAGGTATAAGGAAGGGATCCAGTTTCAGCTTTCTACATATGGCTAGCCAGTTTTCCCAGCACCATTTATTAAATAGGGAATCCTTTCCCCATTGCTTGTTTTTGTCAGGTTTGTCATAGATCAGATAGTTGTAGATATGCGGCATTATTTCTGAGGGTTCTGTTCTGTTCCATTGGTCTATATCTCTGTTTTGGTAGCAGTACCATGCTGTTTTGGTTACTGTAGCCTTGTAGTATAGTTTGAAGTCAGGTAGCGTGATGCCTCCAGCTTCGTTCTTTTGGCTTAGGATTGACTTGGCCATGTGGGCTCTTTTTGGGTTCTATATGAACTTTAAAGTAGTTTTTTCCAATTCTGTGAAGAAAGTCATTGGTAGCTTGATGGGGATGGCATTGACTCTATAAATTACCTTGGGCAGTATGGCCATTTTCATGATATTGATTCTTCCTACCCATGAGCATGGAATGTTCTTCCATTTGTTTGTATCCTCTTTTATTTCATTGAACAGTGGTTTGTAGTTCTCCTTGAAGAGGTCCTTCACATCCCTTGTAAGTTGGATTCCTAGGTATTTTATTCTCTTTGAAGCAATTGTGAATGGGAGTTTACTCATGATTTGCCTCTCTGTTTGTCTGTTATTGGTGTATAAGAATGCTTCTGATTTTTGCACATTGATTTTGTAACCTGAGACTTTGCTGAAGTTGCTTATCAGCTTGAGATTTTGGGCTGAGATGAAGGGGTTTTCTAGATATACAATCATGTCATCTACAAACAGGGACAATTTGACTTCCTCTTTTCCTAATTGAATACCCTTTATTTCCTTCTCCTGCCTGATTGCCCTGGCCAGAACTTCCAACACTATGTTGAATAGGAGTGGTGAGAGGGGGCATCCCTGTCTTGTGCCTGTTTTCAAAGGGAATGCTTCCAGTTTTTGCCCATTCAGTATGATATTGGCTGTGGGTTTGTCACAGATAGCTCTTATTATTTTGAGATACGACCCATCAATACCTAATTTATTGAGAATTTTTAGCATGAAAGGTTGTTGAATTTTGTCAAAGGCCTTTTCTGCATCTATTGAGATAATCATGTGGTTTTTGTCTTTGGTTCTGTTTATATGCTGGATTGCATTTATTGATTTGCGTATGTTGAACCAGCCTTGCATCCCAGGGATGAAGCCCACTTGATCATGGTGGATAAGCTTTTTGATGTGCTACTGGATTCGGTTTGCCAGTATTTTATTGAGGATTTTTGCATCAATGTTCATCAAGGATATTGGTCTAAAATTCTCTTTTTTGGTTGTGTCTCTGCCAGGCTTTGGTATCAGGATGATGCTGGCCTCATAAAATGAGTTAGGGAGGATTCCCTCTTTTTCTATTGATTGGAATAGTTTCAGAAGGAATGGTACCAGCTCCTCTTTGTACCGCTGGTAGAATTCGGCTGTGAATCCATCTGGTCCTGGACTTTTTTTGGTTGGTAAGCTATTGATTATTGCCTCAATTTCAGAGCCTGTTATTGGTCTATTCAGAGATTCAGCTTCTTCCTGGTTTAGTCTTGGGAGGATGTATGTGTCGAGGAATTTGTCCATTTCTTCTAGATTTTCTAGTTTATTTGTGTAGAGGTGTTTATAGTATTCTCTGATGGTAGTTTGTATTTCTGTGGGATCGGTGGTGATATCCCCTTTATCATTTTTTATTGCGTCCATTTGATTCTTCTCTCTCTTCTTCTTTATTAGTCTTGCTAGCAGTCTATCAATTTTGTTGATCTTTTCAAAAAACCAGCTCCTGGACTCATTGATTTTTTGAAGGGTTTCTTGTGTCTCTATTTCCTTCAGTTCTGCTCTGCTCTTAGTTATTTCTTGCCTTCTGCTAGCTTTTGAATGTGTTTGCTCTTGCTTTTCTAGTTCTTTTAATTGTGATGTTAGGGTGTCAATTTTAGATCTTTCCTGCTTTCTCTTGTGGGCATTTAGTGCTATAAATTTCCCTCTACACACTGCTTTGAATGTGTCCCAGAGATTCTGGTATGTTGTGTCTTTGTTCTCGTTGGTTTCAAAGAACATCTTTATTTCTGCCTTCATTTCATTATTTACCCAGTAGTCATTCAGGAGCAGGTTGTTCAGTTTCCATGTAGTTGAGTGGTTTTGAGTGAGTTTCTTAATCCTGAGTTCTAGTTTGATTGCACTGTGGTCTGAGAGACAGTTTGTTATAATTTCTGTTATTTTACATTTGCTGAGGAGTGCTTTACTTCCAACTGTGTGGTCAATTTTGGAGTAGGTGTGGTGTGGTGCTGAAAAGAATGTATATTCTGTTGATTTGGGGTGGAGAGTTCTGTAGATGTCTATTAGGTCTGCTTGGTGCAGAGCTGAGTTCAATTCCTGGGTGTCCTTGTTAACTTTCTGTCTCGTCGATCTGTCTAATGTTGACAGTGGGGTGTTAAAGTCTCCCATTATTATTGTGTGGGAGTCTAAGTCTCTTTGTAGGTCACTAAGGACTTGCTTTATGCATCTGGGTGCTCCTGTATTGGGTGCATATATATTTAGGATAGTTAGCTCTTCTTGTTGAATTGATCCCTTTACCATTATGTAATGGCCTTCTTTGTCTCTTTAGATCTTTGTTGGTTTAAAGTCTGTTTTTTCAGAGACTAGGATTGCAACCCCTGCCTTTTTTTGTTTTCCATCTGCTTGGTAGATCTTCCTCCATCCTTTTATTTTGAGCCTATGTGTGTGCCTGCACGTGAGATGGGTTTCCTGAATACAGCACACTGATGGGTCTTGACTCTTTATCCAATTTGCCAGTCTGTGTCTTTTAATTGGAGCATTTAGCCCATTTACATTTAAAGTTAATATTGTTAGGTGTGAATTCAATCCTGTCATTATGATGTTAGCTGGTTATTTTGCTCGTTAGTTGATGCAGTTTCTTCCTGGCCTTGATGGTCTTTACGATTTGGCATGTTTTTGCAGTGGCTGGTACTGGTTGTTCCTTTCCATGTTTAGTGCTTCCTTCAGGAGCTCTTTTAGGGCTGGCCTGGTGGTGACAGAATCTCTCAGCATTTGCTTGTCTGTAAAGGATTTTATTTCTCTTTCACTTATGAAGCTTAGTTTGGCTGGATATGAAATTCTGGGTTGAAAATTCTTTTCTTTAAGAATGTTGAATATTGGTCCCCACTCTCTTCTGGCTTGTAGAGTTTCTGCCGAGAGATCAGCTGTTAGTCTGATGGGCTTCCCTTTGTGGGTAACCCGACCTTTCTCTCTGGCTGCCCTTAACATTTTTTCCTTCATTTCAACTTTGGTGAATCTGACAATTATGTGTCTTGGAGTTGCTCTTCTCGAGGAGTATCTTTGTGGCATTCTCTGTATTTCCTGAATTTGAATGTTGGCCTGCCTTGCTAGATTGGGGAAGTTCTCCTGGATAATATCCTGAAGAGTGTTTTCCAACTTGGTTCCATTCTCCCCATCACTTTCAGGTACACCAATCAGACGTAGATTTGGTCTTTTCACATAGTCCCATATTTTTTGGAGGCTTTGTTCATTTCTTTTTATTCTTTTTTCTCTAAACTCCTCTTCTCGCTTCATTTCATTCATTTCATCTTCTATCACTGATACCCTTTCTTCCAGTTGATCACGTCGGCTAATAAGGCTTCTGCATTCGTCACGTAGCTCTCGTGCCTTGGTTTTCAGCTCCATCAGGTCCTTTAAGGACTTCTCTGCATTGGTTATTCTAGTTATCCATTCGTCTAATTTTTTTTCAAAGCTTTTAACTTCTTTGCCATTGGTTCGAATTTCCTCCTGTAGCTCAGAGTAGTTTGATCATCTGAAGCCTTCTTCTCTCAACTCGTCAAAGTCATTCTCCATCCAGCTTTGTTCCGTTGCTGGTGAGGAGCTGCGTTCCTTTGGAGGAGGAGAGGCGCTCTGCTTTTTAGAGTTTCCAGTTTTTCTGCTCTGTTTTTTTCCCATCTTTGTGGTTTTATCTACCTTTGGTCTTTGATGATGGTGACGTACAGATGGGTTTTTGGTGTAGATGTCCTTTCTGTTTGTTAGTTTTCCTTCTAACAGACAGGAACCTCAGCTGCAAGTCTGTTGGAGTTTGCTAGAAGTCCACTCCAGACACTGTTTGCCTGGGTATCAGCAGCGGTGGCTGCAGAACAGTGGATTTTGGTGAACCGCAAATGCTGCTGCCTGATCATTCCTCTGCAAGTTTTGTCTCAGAGGAGTACCCGGCCATGTAAGGTGTCAGTCCGCCCCTACTGGGGGGTGCCTCCCAGTTAGGCTACTCAGGGGTCAGGGACCCACTTGAGGAGGCAGTCTGCCCGTTCTCAGATCTCAAGCTGCATGCTGGGAGAACCACTACTCTTCAAAGCTGTCAGAGAGGGACATTTAAGTCTGCAGAGGTTACTGCTGTCTTTTTGTTTGTCTGTGCCCTGCCCCCAGAGGTGGCGCCTACAGAGGCAGGCAGGCCTCCTTGAGCTGTGATGGGCTCCACCCAGTTCAAGCTTCCCGGCCGCTTTGTTTACGTAATCAAACAACTAACTCGGCAATGGCGGGCACCCCTCCCCCAGCCTCGCTGCCGCCTTGCAGTTCGATCTGGGACTGCTGTGCTAGCAATGAGCAAGACTCCTTGGGTGTAGGACCCTCTGAGCCATGTGAGGGATATAATCTCCTGGTGTGCTGTTTTTTAAGCCCGTTGGAAAAGCGCAGTATTAGGGTGGGAGTGACCCGATTTTCCAGGTGCCATCTGTCACTCCTTTCTTTGACTAGGAAAGGGAATTCCCTGACCCCTTGCGCTTCCCAGGTGGGGCGATGCCTTGCCCTGCTTTGGCTCATGCATGGTGTGCTGCACCCACCATCCTGCGCCTACTGTCTGGCACTCCCCAGTGAGATGAACCCGGTACCTCAGTTGGAAATGCAGAAATCACCCGTCTTCTGCGTCGCTCACGCTGGGAGCTGTAGACCGGAGCTGTTCGTATTCGGCCATCTTGGCTCTGGTCTTGATCTCTTGACCTTGTGATCCGCCCGCCTCGGCCTCCCAAAGTATTCAAAATTCACACTTTTAAAATATACATTACAATGGTTTTTAGTATATTCACAGAGTTGTGCAACCATCACCATTATCTAATTTTACAACATTTTCCTCAACCCCAAAAAAGAATGCTGTACACATTAGAAGTCACTCCCCATACCTCCTTCCTCACAGCCACTGGAAAACATTTTCCATCTCCATGGATTTCCCTATTCTAGGCATTTTATATAAATGAGATCATACAATAGGTGGGCTTTTGTGACTGGTTTCTTTCAGTTTCTATAATGTTTTCAAGGTTCCATCATGTTGTAGCATATATCAATGCTTTGTTCCTTTTCATGGCTTAATAATATCCCATTGTACGGCTATACCACATTTTGTTAATTTATTCATCAGTGAATGGGTATTTGGGTTGTGTCCACTTTTTGACTGTTATGAATAATGTTGCAATGGACATTCATATAAAAGTGTTCGCATAAACATGTGTTTTCATTTGTCTTGGTTATATACCTAAGAGCAGAACTGATGGGTCAAATGGTAACTCAAAGTTTAACTTTTTTAGGAACTGTCAAAGTGTTTTCCAAAGCAGCTGTACCATTTTGCCACCTCACTAGCAGTATATAAGGGTCCCAATTTCTCCATATCTTTGCCAACACTTGTTATTGGTTTTTTATTTCAACCATCCTTGTGGGTGTGAAGGAGCATCTCTTATCTGTGTTTTCAAGGAAGATTTTTTTCCCCTTGTGTTATTTTATTGAATCACCCAGCAAAGATTGATTGGGCACTACTAATATCAGGAGTGCTGTGCTGAGTGTTGTACAGGATGTAGGTATGAAAAAGAGAGGTTCTTGCTCTCAGTCTCATTCTCCTCTCTAGGAATTTCCCAAAAGTAAACAAACTTGCCTTGAATTTGAAATCAAGGGCTCTGAACTCTGGTCTGAACTCTACTCCTGACCAAGTCTCTTCCCCTTGTGAGCCGCATGCCTGGGGTTTGAGGGGACTGGACTAGACCAACTCTAAGGCCATAGCTCAGACAGTCCATATTTCTTGCCTATATATTCTGCAACCAAGGTTGTTCTTTATTTAAAAATTCTGGTTTCCTGGAAATGTCAAAGAAACTGGGAAGGAAAGGGGAACTCTGCAGCCAACTCACTGCACTGATTAGGGCCAATGCCACATGCTCATCCTTACCGAGAGAGGATTTTGCTTTGCACGATGGTCATCGAAGGCTGTTCATAGGAATCTTCCCCAATGGGATCCACAGAACAAGAGCTCTTCTGCTTTGAAAATCCTCACAGAAGACTTTTGGAGATCATTTGAAGTGACAGTAAAGGAGCACTTCTCAACTAAGAGAATCCTTCACCAGCCCTGCCATTTATAGCATGGAAATTAAAGAGGGAGAATAACTATCTACAGTATGGGATTACTATATTGAATTGCCGTGGAAGGCGCATATACAATTACTAGTCCTAGAAACCTGAAATAGCTTATAAAAATTGTGTTTTCATGTTTATTATAAATTAGTGCTTAATGTCAAAATAAAAAAGTAGCATTCCAAAAATTCATAAGAAAAAAGCAAAGAAATGCTTAAAAAGAAATGAGTATATTCTGTATCTTTATAAATAATAGTTGGGCCATTGGTCTTGAAAGTAATAGAGGGAGGGTCATAAATGCATGGAGGCTGCAGAAGAAACTCAGAAAAGGAAGCAGAGAAAGCAAGAGTATATTAAAAGATTTGTGATTTTTTTTTACAAAGGTGAAAAGTATAAATACAGCTGCCGATGATGAAAGTTTAAGTTTCAAGATTTTCCATTTTTGATCCTCAAATTAATTTTAGATATAGTTTCTGCATATCATGAACGAATTTCCAAAGTCACAGAGAAACTTGGCACTCTGAAGAAATTGATCTACTAATGCTGGCAATGAAGTGTCATAGAAAGAACTAGCCTGGAAGTCAGGAACTTGGGCTTTGATTCTAGTTCCTCCCCTAAATGTGGGACCTGAGAAGTCATTTCACCCTCAGAGTCCTCACCCATAAAATGAAGAGATGAGAAGGATGGAGGTCATTCTCAGTCAGCCAGGACAGTGCTGGTTAAGACCTCCCTAAGCCCTGAGTATTTTTAGTTTTAGAGATTCCATCCTACATCGTATCAAATGTATTAAAAATCCATTTCATCTATTCCATGAGGATAATCATGGAATATGATTTAGACATAACTGTATTAGTATTGTGTTGTATCTGACCGACATGTTCTATTTGGTTGATATTTTTAAAACATTGTTATTTTGCTGTTTTCTTTTCATATTTGGGAGCCAGGAACTCCCAAATATGGATTTTGGATTTTTTTCAGAATCCAAAAGTTTTGAAGGCCTTTGAAAATCACGGAAGTCTTAGGTACGCCTGGCCCTGAGTGCTAAGTGGTGGGGCACAGATGGTTTGCAGCCTCTTACCCCACCCACTCCAAACACCCCATAGAAGGCAGTGTCCAAGGGGATTGGTACAGAGATGGAAGCTCTAGTTGCTCAAAGATAGCTTCGTGGAGCTGTGATTTAAGTCATGCCCAAAAAGATGAGTAGGATTAACAGAGACAGAGGGGAAGGCCTCTAAGCTGAAAACCAAGAGGCTCAATTGCTGACCGGGGTGACTGCCCTGTACAGCGACAACTGCCGTTCTTCACTTCTCCAAGAGACTGGGCTATCCCAACAGCTGCCACCAGGTGGCAACAAGCCAAGCGGCTGCTCTCCCCTCTGCCTATTGATTTAGGCAGAGGGCCTATTGCATTTTAATGTTATGCAAACAACTCTTACCAAATACCATAATCACATTAGTATTTTACTAATTGAAAATTCTTACAGTGGGGTGTACCAACTCCTTTAAAATTAAGCATGAGGTGTGTTGTTTACCACAATGGAGAGCTCCATGCTGTCTGGAGATTCAGTGATCCAAGTGGGGAAAAAATATGTCATTTAGTAACTGCCTAAGAAAACGTGTTCTGTTTATAATAGCTGGGATTCTGAGGCCTGTATTTAAATAGCATCTGCAAAGAGTTAAATGTGCTCCCTGTCTCTGAGAAGCAGGCAAGAACACAGAAGTCAAGAACCAAGTGAATTCTTACACCTGCTCAAACTCTGCTCCCAACAGTCAGATGGGGAAGAAGTGGTCAGGACCCAAAACAGATTTATGTCTGCCAGGCCTCTGTAGTAATAGTCTCACACACTATCTCATTTAGCCACTGAATCCACACATATCCCTCAGGGATAGATCCCATCAGGCCTATATTAATAGACAAGGAAATAGGCCCAGAGAGGGGAAAGAAGTTGCTTAAGACCACAAGGCCAGCACTCCCAGCGAGGTCCTGTGACTCTGGTCCAGGGCACTCTCTGTCCTGAGAAAGCCATCCACCTCTCCCAAGCCACGGTCCCCTCCAATCCCATTACTCTCAAGCTGTTGTCACTTTTCCCCTACCAAGCTGCCCCTGTCCTTCTCCACCTTACTGCATCTTAGCCTAAACGTGATGAGAAGTGGACTGAGCTGCCTCTGCCTTGTCCCCTGGGGAAGGCCTCAGGTCCTATAGACCTCACTTCTCACCAATCCAGGAGAATCTTGAGCCCCAGGCCCAGAAGTGAGAGCAGAGAAAAAGCTTCTTCCCTCCCAGGAACTGATTCTGTTTTATCCCTAGAGCCTAGCCATGCACATCCTCCTGATTTTACAGCTGCAAAAGGAGAAAAAGTGCCTGAGATTTCAACCCACCCTCTATAACATGCTGTAACAAAGGCATCTCAAACTTAACTGATCTGAAATCTTGATTTTACCCTCCAAGGTATTTCTCTGGCATTCTGCCCCAGTGGGAAATGGTAATGCTATTCTTCCATTTTCTTCAGGGTGGAAGTTTTGGAGACACCTTTGGCTCCTTTTTCTCATACTGCACATCCAATCCATCAATAAGTCCTTTTAGTTCTACTTTTGAAAAATATCTATAATACAACCACTTCTCCCACCTTCCAGTTACCAGTGTGGTCCAGCCACCATCATCTCTCACCTCAATTACTGCAAGTCTTCCTAACTGGACTCCCTGTTTCCATCCTTGCCCCCTCAGGGCCTCTTGTCAATGCAATTAGAGTCACATTAGTTAGCTCACATCACTCCTCCACTCAACACTCTCCAGTGCATTCCCAGCCTCCACAGCTGTAAAAAGGAAATAAGCCCTTGGCTCTGTACCTAGCCAAACCAGTAAAACAGAGGGAACCATGGCCTACCCATGGCTGTATTCTCTACCAACCAGAGGAGCTGGGCAGGTGACCGAGCACTTGGTCTTACTCTAGAAAAAATCAAGTGGTCCAATGCTGGATTTTCTGTCGAACTGGGGCTGTGAATGCTGTGAACATGGGCAGAGAGGTGACTCACACATCCCTTTGGCCAACCAGCTACTGAGCATGATGGGCCGTGTATCACAGTTCACCCTGAAGGCTGGATGCCATTTCTGGCGTGGGTGAATTCTCAGTACTGCATGTCTCAGAGTTGGCTTATTTGGAGTGCCTGTCTTTTTAAAAATTTTCGGCAATATGATAAATATACACAATTCCCTGTTAGCCTCATAGATACATCTGGAGGCAACAGAGGGAGGATTCACCCAGACTACTATCCCCAGTGAGTGATTAGTTAAGGAAAGTGTGGCCCGGAGAGGCAACTTCTTTTGGGTCACAGATATTTGTCTCAGACCCTGATACCAAAAGCTGGGGCCTTTAGTGGGTCATTTATCCTGTCTGAAATCTCTGGTTCTTCTTACAAAAAGAAAAAGAGGAAGAAGACGATAAGAAAACTTAGAGATGAGTCTGCAGAGCATCTTTGGATTCATAAAGCTCTGAAATCCTGATTCTTCAGTGAGTGTTATTTGATCTATAAATTAGTCTCTGAGTCCCATACGTGCCCTGATGCCCATAGGAGAAGGGTGGCAAGAGGCAACACTAAACCCTTTGCTGAGAACTTTATTTGCACAGAATGTAGGGCCTGAGCACATCTGCCCACATCTGCGTGCTCTGCCACCCATTCATCCCGCCTGTCACCAGAAAGAGGCAGAAGCAGCAGGGGTGAGCAGGCAGCCTCCATCTGCTGAGAACACCTCAGGCAAAAAGGGCTCAAGACCAGGCTTCTCTCCCACCCCTCCCCACACAGAAGCATGTTGCTACATTGTCATCTCAAAGCTTGCGGTCCAGATCCTTGGACCAGAACAATCTGGGCAAGCTGACCTTTGCCTGACTCCTGCCCTGTCTGCTGGCTCTCACCTGCCCAAGGCCTCCAGATGCAGCTGTGGTTCACACGGCATCCAGCACAGTAGCAGTCAGGGCAGTGGAGAGCAGGGGCCTCTGTAGCACTTCTGCCCTCTCCACCCCACTGGCCCTGCTCCTTTGCAGGCTACAATGCACTTCTTTACAACCAATCCAATAGAAATAGAATTCAGCCAGGCATAGTAGCTCAGGTCTGCAATCCCAACACTTTTGGAGGCCAAGGCGAGAGTATCATTTGAACGCAGGAGTTTGAGACCAGCCTGGGCAACAAGATCTTGTCTCTACAAAAAAGGAAAGAAAAAAAAATTAGCAGGGTTTGGTGGTGCAAACCTATTAGTCCTAGCTACTCAGGAGGCTGAGGCAGGAGGATCGCTTGAGCCCAGGAAGTCAAGGCAGCAGTGGTTTTATTATTATCTTATTATTAATACTTTCTTATTAATGAGATACTTTGCATTCTTTTTTACATCCTCAGTCCTCAAAATCTGGTGTGCATTTGTACCATTTCAAGTGCTCAATAGCCACATGAGGCTAGTGGCTACCATATTTGATAGTGCAGATCTAGAATATACATGGAAGTCTATATACAGTTGCAGTTATCGTGATTCTGCTAATGTTAACACTGGCTGGTAACATTTTGTTATATTCTCATCTAGTCTTTTCTACATATATTAGTTTTGCAAAGCTGAAGTCATGTTGCTTGTGTAACTTTCTATCCTCCTTTTGCTGTTTTGTGCATCTTCCTAAATCATCAAAAGTTCCTCACAACCACTGTCTCTAATTATATCAGACTATCCCATCACTTGGATGTGTCATAGTCTTTTTAGCCACTGCCAAAACGTTGGACAGCAAGTGTTTCAGTAATATAGGTAATACTGAGATAATTATTTTTTGTATTCCTTGTGCTCTTAAGACCTTAATATAAATCTCTCTAGCATTCTAACCATTTTTAACAAAGTGACCTTTAATCAGTCAAACAACTGGCAACAAGTGATTTCTGACTGACAGCTGAGACACCTTATGTTCTCATTACTCACCTCTGACACCTGGTTCTGCAACCTAGGGCAACCACTTCACTTTTCACACCACAGTCGCTCCATTTATAAACTGACTGTATTAGGTGATTTTTAAGGGTCTTTCCAGCCCTAACCTTCAGTGATATTTTTCCCCCACCCTCACATCTAATCAATTAACCTGTCAAGCCAGTTATTATAAGTCATCATAAGTCATGTCAAAGCCACCACATAAACATTTTAAATTCATCCAAGTCTCCCATGCCCACTCATAGTACTTTGTTCAGGCCCCCATCATTGCTCACCTAAAGTGGGACAAGAGTACCTAGTGCTGAGAGATTAGATTCTAAAGTTACCATCAGAGTCCCAAATCAAGAATAGGATTAAATGGGCTGGGCTCAGTGCTCATGCCTGTAATCCCAGCACTTTGGGAGGTCGAGGTGGGTGGATCACTTGAGGTCAGGAGTTGGAGACCAGTCTGGCCAACATGTTGAAACCCCGTCCCTACTAAAAATACAAGAATAGGATTAAATGAGAGGTGTGAGAACACATGGGCCTGGCACGGAGGAGGTGCTCAGTGAATATTTGCTGCATTTGAATCTGAAACCAGCCTCAAGTGACCCACCTGGATCTCATTTCCTAAAAGTTACGGAAGAGGAGTTCACAGTGAAACACTGGAATTGCGAATGCACCCTGCTGCGTGCCCTGCCCCAGACACGAGGTGCTGCAGGAAGACAAAGACTTGGCAGCATCCCCTAAAGGGCTGACAGTCTAGAAGGGGAGATAGGAACCCCTGTGCACAAAACAAGCATGCCTCAGGCGGTGTCTTCAATGGAAAGACCAGATGGAGAACAGAACAATTATCTGAGCAAATCAGGCAAGCCTGCTGTTGAGGAAAAGGCTGAAGAAAATTTGTCCTCCTGTTTCCTTTGAGAACCAAGGGGTTAGGGCAGCCAGAGGAAGCAAAAGCATTTCAGCTCTAGAAACAGAGTTCTGGTTTGTACTATATGATCTTAGGCAAACTATGAGGCTGCTTTTTTATCTCAGTGTCTTCATCTGTAAAATGGAGACAGAGTAATACCAACCTTGCACAAACCTACCTGCCTACTGGATTGAGTTGTGAGGTTGAATAGAACAATTACGTATGGGGACAACAGTTATTAAATGGGTGACCTAATAGCTAACATAGACAACGGACAATGTGCCTTCTAAGAATCTGCTCTGAAAGGAAATGTTTAGTCATCATAAAAAGCATCTGTAATGAACTTTATTTGTTTAATTTTATTTATTTCCCTATTTTTATTAAATAGAGTTGGGGTCTCGTTATGTTGCCCAGGATCGTCTTGAACTCCTGGCCTCAAGTGGCTTCCTGCCTTGGCCTCCCAAAGTGCTGAAGTTACAGGCATGAGCCACTGCGCCCGGCCTACCTTATAAAGTTCAGTAAAGGTTGGGCGCGGTGGCTCATGTCTGTAATTTCAGCACTTTGGGAGGCCGAGAGTGGATCACAAGGTCAGGAGTTCCAGACCAGCCTGGCCAAGACGGTGAAACCCCGTCTCTACTAAAAATACAAAAAAATTAGCTGGGCGTGGTGGCAGGCACCTATAATCCCAGCTACTCCGGAGGCTGAGGCAGAGAATTGCTTGAACCCGGGAGGCAGAGGTTGCAGTGAGCCAAGTTCGCACCACTGCACTCCAGCCTGGGCGACAGAGTGAGACTCCATCTCAAAAAAAAAAAAAAGAAAGAAATTATAAGGCAATTTCACGTGCATTTATTTTGTTTCTAAAACCCTGTCAGTATTATCATTTGCTCCTTTTACACTTAAGGATACTGAGATTTTGCTCCTTTTACACTTAAGGATACTGAGATTGAGAAAGCTTAACCAACCCATTGCAGTTCCCACTGTGAGGTCCAGATTTAAGCTCTCTGACTCCGTGGTTCTCACTCTTTCCCCTACACTGTGCTGCCTCCTATTAAAATCCTTATTACCAAAGCATTAATATTATTAACATAAATATTAATAATGTTTGTTATGTATGTTTCCCTTTGATCAAGGACACTAAAACCTCAAAATAGAAACTCTGAAAAAAAAAAGTCTGACCTGCTAGAATAGCAAGCTCACTTTCTCATATTAAGGGAAAGTAGCTGTCCCCATCTGATTTACATTTCATGCCATACAGCAGGAAATATTTAAGTTGACAAATAGGATATTTACAACTGCAACAGATACTTGGCAGTTAGTTTTTAACAATTGTTGCAATGTGATTTATTTGCTATTATAAAAGGGCATTACTGTGCGAATATGACTCCTGAAATTAGCTTTAGTTTAGCAAGGGGCCTTGACAGCTTGACCTCTTAATATCCTTATAATGACGCCATTTACATTCAATGCTTACTCAAGTCACTCACTGCTAGATTTGTTTGACAGGAGTCCACTCTAGGGCAGATGTATTATGTATTTTAACACACAGAGTTGGTGAGCGGGGTAAATACAGGCCTTCTAGGAGGAAAAACTGTTTAATCAAGTCTTCATGAAAATGTGTTAGTTTCCAACTTCCTACAGTGAAAATGCATTATGCTAATTACAGCATACTCCAGAAATACTTCATGTTTTCTCCACAAGACATTTTCATGGCATGTCTTATATTAAACACAAACATGTTCTGATCCTCTGCAACTTTAGTTTTTAATTTCACTGGAGAACTGTTACATAGGATAAGGATTGGCTGGGCCAGAATCAGGGAATGGGAAGAAGGTAGACTTGGAGCCAGGTAGAATTGGATTCAGATCCCAACACCACCACTTCCTAACTCAGTGGATTTGGGTACCTCCCTGAACCTCAGTTTCTTCATCTGTGACATGGGGTTGTTATTTTTTAGGCTACCACAGAGATCTGAGATATTTATGATTCACCCAGCTTCATAAAAACTGCAGGTACTTGATACATGGGACCAGTTGTGTTTTTGTTGCTTGTTTAAAGCTCAAAGGTCACCTTCATGATGCAGCCCTGATTTCATTAGACAAACCCAGTCTGTCCTTTCTTTCTGCTTCAGTAGTACTTTGTTCCACCCCATTATTTTATCACATATAAAATTCTATTGTTTAATTGGATATGTATGTATCTGTCTTCACCTTCTTATTTTTATTTTTTATTTTTTTGAGACAGAGTCTCACTCTGCCACCCAGGCTGGACTGTAGTGGTCTGATCTCGGCTCACTGAAACCTCTGCCTCCTGGGTTCAAGCGATTCTCGTGCCTCAGCCTCCCAAGTATCTGAGATTACAGGCGCACGCCACCTTGCCCAGCTAACTTTTGTATTTTTAGTAGAGATGACATTTCGCCATGTTGGCCAGGCTGGTCTCAGGTGATCCTCCCACCTCGGCCTCCCAAAGTGCTGGGATTACAGGTATAAGCCACCGTGCCCAGCCTGTCTTCACCTTCTTGATGGCAGGGCCTATGCCTATTTACCTTTGACTCTCCAGTGACTAGGACGATGATATGCCTTGAACATTGAACTGAGGAGGATGCCAGGGATGCTTCTGGATTCAGTGTGGGGATGGGGGATGACAAGGGCAATTAAGGTTGATCTGCCACAGGAGAGGGAAGAAGTAACACATGACCTACTTTTATCATTGCCAGTTTAGCACATAGTAGATGCTCAGTAAATATTTGTCAAACGAATTAGTGGACATTACTCAGTTACCTAGCAGTTGACATTAACTTATAACCAATGTCTATTTTTTAAAGCATTTTTATTTTTATTTTTATTGCATCATAATATTCTTCTAATAACACTGTGATACAGCTAGGATAAGGTGTTATCACCAATTGACAATTGAGAATACTGTGACATTGTAGGACTGGTAAAATAAGATTACCCTTCACTCTCATGAGAAAATGGGGGTAGACCTAAGACTTAGAGGCCAACCATTAGTTTCCCTTAAATATCATATTGAGGCTCCCAGAGGGGCTGTCACTGCTTTTTCCAAAATCAGGGCAAACTGCCCTTTCTCATATTCATCACTCTTTTCCCGTCTTTCTGCTCTACTGTAGTTCCCCACCCTCCAAAGCTTCAGTCTCATTTTCTCAGTAGAAAACCTGGCACTGACCACCTGCACTGACCTGCAGGCCATAGGCAGAAAAATCAAAGTCAACATGAGCTTTGCAAGACTCGGCATCTCTGTCAGATTGTCTTGGCCAAGTATTTCTGTAACTTCCCACAAGAACCTTGAATCTTCTGATTAGAATCAGACTCCATCTCTCAGTTGAACAATGTACAAACAGAAGGAAAAACATCTACTCCATTAAGACACATGGTCACTGGTTTCACTTAGTCTGATGTAGTTTGGTCTGGTTAGGCAGAGGTGGGGCCTTCGCTGCTGTTTGCTGATTTCACCCTCACTTCTACGGCTCCTGTTTTAATCAGGTGTGGGCAACCGGCCTTAACCTCGCATATAGTGACCAGCTGGCCCTGACTCAACTCACCTTATACCTGACAAACGGCCATCTGGATTGCAGTTTGAGCACCCTGGAAGTGCCCCGCTTTGTTCCAAAGGAAAGGAAGAAAACCAAATGCATGAGTGCGCTGTCAATGCCGGTAAGCAAGAGGTGCTTCCTGAAGGTTCTCGGTGTTCAGCAACACCCACTGCCACTGCCTGAGCTCTGTCTAGGAGCCAGGATCTTTGAGTACAGGAAGAAGAAAGAGCCTAAGGCAAGTCATTGGACTTGTCTGAGCAGGGTCTGGAAATGCGAATGTGTTGGTCAGAGGAAAGGGAGAAGCCATTCCCGAATGAACCTGCCATCTGTGGAAATGCGAAAGAGCATGGGGCTCTCCTCCCCTTTTTCTAGGCAGGTACACCTACACCCATTGCCTCAACTACAAGCTGTTTCACACAAAACCCATATTTTTCTAGCCCCACTCTCTTTTGTGAGCTTCAGATTCATGGGTCCAAAATTCTATAGAACATCTCTGCTTCGAATCCTCAGAGTCAAGCTATCCAAAACTGCATCACATTTGTCTTTCTTCCTCCTGTACTTCCTGTTAGTGGATCAGGCCAGAGGCTGATAAGATAACCCCCAGCCCCACATCCAGTCAGCAAGCAGGGCGTGTTGAGTCTAGCTACGAAAATGCCACTAACCTGACCCCTCCTCTCTCTCCACAAAGATAGTGTCTTAGTGTCGGCTTCCACCATCTCACACCTGTATTCCTCCTAAGATTCCCTGTCCCTGCCTGTGCCCTCAGCCTAAACAGACACGGCAGCCAAGGTGGCAAGGTGAAAAGCCAGTCTGAGCATGTTGTTCCCCTGTGTGTGATTTTGAATGGACTCCTGTGATCTTCAGGAAAATCCCATTTCCCAGCTTGGTTAAGGAGCCCCATCATGTTCCACCTCTTCCCACAGCTGCCGCCTCCTCCCTTCTTATTGCTAGCTCCATCAGTGAGGGGGCTGGGGCCAGAGTCCTGGGGCTGGCTGCGGGTTACCAACCTCAGCACCCTGAGTAACAAAGGGCATAGCCCCATGGGGACAGTGGGTGCTTGATTGAGTAGGCTAGGTTGGTCATGGAGAGAGAGAACAAAGGCCAAGGGGACCAGATGCCCTTTGTGCAAGAGTGTATTGGGGACTCTCTGGCCACGGTGCTCTCACAGCTGCCAGAGGGTTTCTTTGGCCTTTCCTTACAACAGTGGGCTTCATACTTTTTTGCAAATGAAGCTCTACTTGAAATCCAAATATATCAAACAGATAAAAGAGGAACTCTAGTGATTAATGGGACCCAACATGAGTGTCCCAGAGATACCTTTTCCAAGCGGTCTCCTGCCTCTCTGTGAACCCCTTTGGGTCCAGTCTGGATTTGAATAACCTTTGACTCTTCCCAGGATCTCTGCAGTCACCATAAGGAGGGCACCTGATGTCTTGGGGGGCTCAGGCAGCTTTTTCCTTTCCCTCTTCTTCATCCAGTTGCCCAATCAGGTACCAGGAAGAACCTTGCTCACAAGAATCCCCTTGATCTCTTTCCTTAGTAAGAAGAGAAGCAGAGTTGAGCTGGAGAGGAGAAACAGACCTCTTTTAATTATGACCCAGGACCTTGCTAAGAGGCTTTCAGGTCCATCTCCACCTGTGGCCTCCATCCTCACCAAAGAGACCTGAGAGACCCTATGTTCAGTGCTAGAGGGAGAAACAGCAGTGACACTTGAGCCCTTCTGGCCAGTGAACCTAAGTCTATGCCATTTCTGCAAGAAGCTGGGGGTCAGGTGTGGTGGCTCACGCCTGTAATCCCAGCACTTTGGGAGGCCGAGGCGGGCAGATCATTTGAGCCTAGGAGTTCTAGACCAGCCTAGGCAACATGGCAAAACCCTGTCTCTACAAAAATACAAAAATTAGCCGGGCATGGTGGTGCATGCCTATAATCCTAGCTACTGGGAAGGCTGAGGCAGGAGGATCACTTGAGCCCTGGAGGTCGAGGCTGCAGTGAGTCATGATCGCGCCATTGTACTCCAGCCTAGTTGACAGAGTGAGACTCTGTCTCAAAAAATAAAAATAAAAATAAAGCTGGAAGCAGAGTGGTATTCAGCACAAGACTTCCAAAGACAATTGCAGCTTTGAAGTATGTTGCTTCAGAAGGCTATCAGCAGAAGTTGTGCTTTGAGTGAGAAGCACTCTTCCATTTTCCCCATGTTGCCTATAGGTTTCATTCCTAGCTATAGGCAACATTCTCCTGTGATCAAGTCTTAAACATTTTTAGGAAGTGCATGCACACAAAAGGGAGGCATTATGATCTTCAATAAGGCCAATACCTCTTAAATCACTAGAGAAAAGCTATGCAGGTTTTCTGGTGTAGGAATAAATTGAAAGGGCTTTTCATTTTAGAAAGATACAGATGTTCCCACCCTTGTGCCACTATGCTTGGGTTGTGCACACACCCTCCTGTGCATGTGTACACATATGATCAGCGATTTTTTTAAAAAGAAGCATGTGCACATGCACACGCGGTACAACTCACAAGCAAATCGAAGCTTCCTGAACAAGTGTGAACAGACTATGATGCCGTCAAGTTTATGATCAGGCAGTTGACAGCCCCCTTTGAAGACTGAAGGAGAAGAAAATGCACAGATGAAACCACAATGATAATGAGAGCGCATTCAAAACTAATGCCTATAAAATGCTTCCAGTGTGGGCCCTTTTCTTTAATAATATGCTATATAGAAGGAAAGCAAACACCTTCCTGGGCTCTCAGAAGAGCTGTTGTCTCATCTCAGAAACAGGTGGGAGAACTGTCACTCAGACCCATTTAGACCAGGTGAATGGGTTTCTGATTCACTGACCTCCACAAAGAACCACTTGAAGGTGTAAACAAGGCCTGATAAATCCCAGACGTGCGTGTTTTAGAAATGAAAAGGAATCGCCTAACAGTGTTTTAACTTTCAATTAATGTTCTGTCCAAACCGGCATCAATCATTACCCTTTTCTGTCAGTTTTTCACTCTTCCTCGCTCTTTCTGGACCCTCCATACCATGGTTGGTGAGTGTCCAAAAGGGAACATCTTTGCAAACATCTTAACACAACCCAAGTCATTTATACACATTTTAGCAGCACATGATCTGTAATGAATGATTAAGTAAAACCTTTTGTGTTAAATTATGATGTTAATAATGATTCTGTCTCCTGTAATTTATTATAAATTCTCAAATGCTTCGGGTTTGATTTTGATAGAATGCAACAACAGCAGAGTTTATGTGATGACTTTATTTTTAGAACTCCTTCTTTGAAGGCACACATTTCCCTGCTACTGCTGCTACTGTAATTATGTACAAAACCAATCACTCATTAGAGTTAGGATACATTATCTTCTAGACAGATGAGGCTAAATAAGCAACACATTAATAATTCAGAGAGCAGTTCATTATGCATGTGGATGCCTGCTTCGTAACTGAAATAAGAACCTCATCAGCCTCTGCCAACCCTTAAACAATAGTTCTGTGTTATTGCAGCCACATTCAAGTTTACGCTTGTTAAACTGCTACTTGGATTATTTTATCAAACATTCATTTATTTGTGGTCCCTTACTGCCGAGAACAGATTTTGGAAGCTCCTTTTTTAAGTTAATGATTTGAGCAATGGGTGTTATTAATTCTCAGAATATTATAAACATGATTAATTTTCAGGCAGAGATTTATTACATAAGGATTTCAACTATGTCAACTGAAATGCATCACTGTCAAAACAAGTATCATGGCGAAAATACAATATGTTCCACACTTCAAGTGCTGGAGCTCAGAACTAAATCAATTTAAATTGTGGCTGAAGCAAAATTATATTATCCAGTGAAAAGGAGTATTTTGAGCTTCCTTTATTTAGCTTGAAGCATTCTTGTTAAATTGTGATTTAGAAAGGTAGTTTAATAAGACTAGACTTCTACCAAGAATATTTTGTCTTTTTTTTTCTCCTGTTTTACTAGAAAAGGCTAACCTCTGAAATTCCCACCTATTCCAAATGTGGTCACTGGACATTTGGAGTGAAGAGTACTGGTCTGGGAGTTAGGGATCATGAGTTCTGATCTTCTCTTCTGGCCTCAGTTTCCTCATTTCTAAAATAAAGGAGGGCTACATGATCCCCAGGGTCACTTGGGGGATTTGATCTTACGGGGCCTACAGAAAGGGACTCTGCACCAAGCCTGGCCCAGGCAGCCTCATGTGTTGCGGATGGCTGAAGGAAGGGACATCTCCTGTACGGGGACACAGGAAGGGCCCATCCCTCTATACTACAGCCTTCGCTTAAAAGGTCTTTTTCTTGCAGGATCTTTTAGAAAGGAGTAATATTGTGACAGGTCATATCCTAAGTTCTCATCAGCCTTTACCTTAACCATCAGTTACTACTTTCAGCAAGAATCAACTAGAAGTAAATTCTGCAGATACTTACCCAATGCCTATTTTGTGCCAGGCACTCTACTAAGCACAGAGGATATAAGGGTGAGTAGCAAAGCCCTCCAGTTTACCAAAGGACACAGAGCCTTTACTCCACCCCGAGTACTTTACTAAGTGCTTTCCATGAATCTTTTTGCAGTCCAATATATTAGGCAGGTGCTGTTATTATGCCCATTTTTAGATAGGAAGACAAGGTTAAGAGATGTTAAGCAATTTGTTAAAGGTCAGTAGGCAAGCAAGTAGGGAAGCCAAGATTTAACCTCGGCCTGTGTTTAACTGTGACACATTCCAACCTGCCTTGCATCAGCTGAGAATCAGTGATCCAGCCCCAGAGTGGAGCTTGTGCTCATCCCTAAAGAAGTCCCTTGTTGAGGCCATAGAGAAAGCTCTTCTTTGAAAAGAGGATGTACTTCCCTGTGTGACGAGGTTGTCTCCAGGAATATTGCCATTATCCATTGGCTTCTCGTCTGCTCTGAGCTCAGCCTCAGCTTCTGAGTCTCACACAGAAGCACTAAATGGACCGGATGTTCATAGAGGAGTCTTAGGGTTTTTTTGTTTGTTTGTTTGTTTTGAGACGGAGTCTCGCTCTGTCGCCCAGGCTGGAGTGCAGTGGCACGATCTTGGCTCACTGCAAGTTCCGCCTCACAGGTTCACGCCCAGGTTCATACTCCTGCCTCAGCCTCCCGAGTAGCTGGGACTACAGGCGCCCGCGACCATGCCTGGCTAATTTTTTTGTATTTTTAGTAGAGACGGGGTTTCACCATGTTGACCAGGATGGTCTCGATCTCCTGACCTCATGATCCGCCCCCATCAGCCTCCCAAAGTGCTGGGATTACAGGCGTGAGCCACTGCGCCTGGCTGGAGTCTTAGATTTTAAAAAGAACATGTAACTGGACATGGTTTCCTATACATAGCACAGATTTCCAAGCAAATAACACGGCATGGAAAAGAGCATGTCACTTATACTATGAACCATCTAGAAAAGCTTGACTATGTTTTTTAAAAAATAAACAGTTCACACACTAAAAATATGCATGAAATATACATCTTCAACTCTTGTCTTCAAAATCAAGTTTAATGGGGTTCTCATTTAATTCTTTGAAATACATAATATATTCACATGGTTCAAAAGGCAAAAGGTGGAAACAGTCACACATGGACAAACCTCCTTTCCATTGATCAGTTCCCACCTCATCCTACAAAGGTAACCACCATTCTGTGTCTATATATCCTTTCAGAGCATCTTTTTACATATACAAGTAAATACACATACAGGTGATCCTTTTCCCCCTTTTATACCCAAAATGTAGCCTATAATACATATTGTTCTGAATCTCACTTTTTTCTTTGGAGAGCTTTCTCTAACACTTCATTAAAAATGTTCTCATTTCTTTTTTTTCAGATTCAGACACCTGAGCAGTATCATTTCTTTTTTACAGCAACATGTTATTTCATTGCATGGATGTGCCATAATTTATGTACCCTTCCCCCATCGGTAGATTTTTGGGTTGTTTTCAGTTTTTTCATATTACAGTGCTGCAATGAATAACTTTGTGTATATATCATTTGGCACATTTAAGGTATATCTTAGAATACATACCATAAAGTGGAATTTTGGCTCAAAGGACATAACCCATAAAAATTAAAATTTTTAATTTCAATAGATATTTCCAAATCATTATTTCTTTTTTGATCCTTATCAAACCTACATAAATTGTACAGCATCAGAAGAGACTAGTTTTTACAAGTCAACCTTTTAATAGAAAATAATGTTTTCTATTTGTATAATGCTTTATACTTTAACTATACATGAGCTTATTTGATCCCCATGATAACCCCAAGAAATCGATGTTAAGGATTATTATATACATTTTACAGAATAGGAAACTGAGGCTAAGCAAAGTTAAGTGAGCTGCCCAAGTCATAAAGGTGGTACATAGCAAAGCCCAGGTCTTCTGATTCAAGTCACCTTCTGATGAAAAGGTTTATTGGTTAGTTGGTCAGTTTTAATTTGAAATAATTGACCTTATCTTTGAAACTATTTAGTTTAATATGTGAAAATAATTGCTAACATTTATTGAGAGCTTACTGTGTGCCAGACACTATTCCAAGGTCTTTACATTCTCATCTAATCCTCCTCTCAATACTCCTATGCTATTCACTTGTGCTATCAGGCTGGACATAAGACAATCCTAGGTGATTGATAGTTTCTTCCTGTAGAAACTGTGCAGTTGGCTAGGTCTTCTAAAAAGTAGTTGTATCTTGTAAGTATTATTCTAATGCATTTATTTAGCACTTAATATGTGCCAGGACTTTCACCAAGCATCAGGAGACAAAGATAATTGACAAAGTCCCTATCCTTGAGGAGCTGAAAAGAAAGGCCATAGAGAGAGAGAGATGTTGCTATTAAAATAGATAACATACACATGGATAAATGCCATTTGAGTGACAGACCCTCAGCTTGCTGCCAGAGTTCTCAGGGGAAATGACCATGGACTGACAGGGACAGGGAACACTTTAATGAAAACACAGAACTTTATCCTGCCTTAAAGACTAGAACAGTCACTAACTGGCGAGGAGGGGAGGACGTCCCCTAGCAGATGGGACAGAGTCCAAAGAAACCTGTGGTCTGCTAGGAAAAGGCAGTGAACCAGTCAGACTGGAGCACAGAACTGGGGAAGTGGGAAGCAGGAGAAGTAGTTGGAAGGGTGCACTGAGCAAGTTTGGGGAGGTCTACCCACCACACCAGGGTCTAGATTTCACCGTGAAGGCAAAAAGGCCTGAATATTTCTGAATAGGAGGATGACACAGACCAACCTGTGTTAGGGGGAAATGATTAATCCGGTGATACTGTTCAGAATCCCAGGAGATGGGGGAAGAGTAGGGGAAAAAACAGCCTGGGAAGTTACATTTATTGTAGATCCAAAATCCTTTCAAAGGAATGACAACAAAAATAGTAGCTACCATTTATCAGGTTCCAGGCACTGCAGTAGGTGCTTATTTAATCATCAGAAGACAGAATTTCAATGATCTGTTCAAGATCACATACACAGTAAGTGGCCTTGTCAGGTTCTGAACTTCTTTCTCACTCCATATAACCTTTCCACTGCAGAATTCTGCTTGTATCCTCACCTCTGACTCTCCAGGCAATAAAGGTCTGGACTAGGATGGTGATGGTTATGGAAAAGAAGGTTGGGAGACATGTACCAAATATCCTGGCTCTTCCTTCAGATTCTTTATGCATCACAAACCCCAGTCTGGGAGGAAGGGGAGTTGCACTCTGCATCTGTAGTGAAGAAGAAACCTCAGGGTAGCCTGCCCTTACATGTTGTCTAGTAATCATGTACTACTGGACAGTAAGCTCTTCTGCTGTGCTTTGGAGCCAAGATACATAGTATTGCTAGATTGTGCTACCACATGCCTGCCTGCCTACCTCTCTTGCTGGCTGGGGTCTGGTCTTGGTTTTTCTTGTTTATATACTATGGCAGCATCAGACAAGTTTAGAAGACAAAAATAACCTTGGAATTATCTTGTGAATTCATGGCAATTACCATGCAATTACATGCTCAGTAACCACAATGGAATTTGAGAGTGTTTACAGTTCACTTCCATGTGCAAAAGCCCATGCTTCTGGGCTTTTCAGTGTGAAGGTGAGAGCATGGCCAGCCCAGTATGGCAGGGCGAGCAGGCCTTGTGGCCATGCCCTTCCAGACAGACTAGCTAGCTGGGCCAGAACTTCTCCAAGCCAGTTCTTTTTACCCCACCAATTATTCCTGCTTAGTCCACCAGAGCCATGCTGTCCTCCAGCAGGCAAGGCCCGGAGCAACTGCCCTGAGTTGTCCTTCTCTAAGGATGGTGTGACTGTCCCCTGTGCCATGTAATAATCACCTGCTTTTGCTCCAAAGCATTTATCAATGGGCAGTGTCTTTCTTAAATTACATACTTTGAAGAGTCTCTTAAGTCAGAGGGAAGAGCTATCCACCTAATCTATTTCATGTATTCATTCTCTTTTATTTAATAAACACCAAGTGCCTGTTCTGTGCTGGTATCATGCCCAAACTGGAGATTCAGAAACCAAACAGCGCCTGCCCTCAGAAAACTCCCAGTCATGGAGGGCAGATGACCAAGGGAACAACTCATGATAGGTCAGGGTGACAGAGTACAGTAGTGAGGCATATGAGGATCAAATCAATTTTCTGTTGTTAGAAAAATCCCAATGGCTACAAATGGGACGCTACAAGTGGGGTAAACAACTCAAGATGTATTAGCCTGTGGGGGCCTAACTCGTCTGTAGATGTGGACTCCACTTGCATTTAGGATGAGCAGCCTTAACTGGTGGCACTGATGATGTGACCTTCGGACACAGGACTTGATGTAAATGTTGAAGAAAAACATGCTCCCCCCATCATGTGTGAGGGGAGCATGTCACCAAAAGTGCCACGAAATCTGAGTGTGTGTGTGTGTGTGTGTGTGTGTGTGTGTGTGTGGAGAGGGAGAGAGGGATGCAGGAGAGGAAAGGAGGTCTATTCTCTGCAGAGCACTCAGTCAGCCCCAGTTCCCTTGCGTTATCTCAGAGACAGGAGGCGAGCCAGAGGCCTGATTATAATGCATGTCAGGTCACTACGATTCCTTACGGCCAGCTCCAGACCAGCAGCACCTCCTTTGCCTACTCCTTTTCCAGGTCACTGCATAAGTCTGGGTACCTAGTTGCCCAGCACCTGTGCGTCACCACAGTTCAAGAGCCAAGCCAGGCACCTTTATCTTCTATGCCCTAAGGTTGGCCATGGCCCTATATGCAGTTCTCCAAATTTCCAGCTATCTAGAGAAAAACAGCTGATTGACTAAGGCAAATATCACATCTCAAAAAGAACATGCTATAAAACTGCCAGGATCCAGTTCTTTATCTGGTACATATTAAATTTTAAATGTTTTCAGGAAATACATAATGACAGCACTTTGGGCCTACTATCACCAATCTCTTTGGCATGGCTTTCACTGATAGACAAGCAAGATAAAGAAGAGCCGTTTCCCCAAAGAAAGCAGCATCAAATTTCTAATGTTGGCCACCTCAAGGAGGTGGTCCATGCCCAGTGACTTGCTGCCAAAGGTTAAAGTATGGGAAGAGTGGGAAAATATCTTTACAGCAGAGAAATCTGTAAAGTTTTTTCACAAGCTTCAAAAGCCACTGTAGCCAGGTGATAAAGGTTAACATCATCAGTGATAAGTCACACTGATACCATCTATCTACCCTTGATATGAAGTGAGGAAAATGGCAGTTTGCCCACGTGGTCTTCCTCTCAAAAACACATTACTACAGTCTAATCAGGAGAAAAACATCAGACAAACTGAAATTGAGAGAGATTTCACAAAATGCTTGCCCATTACTCCTCGGAACTGTTAAGATCATCAAACCACAGGGAAAGTCTGTGAAGCCGTCACAGGCCAGAGAAGCCTAAGGAGATATGACAGCTAGTTACGGTGCAGTGTCTCAGATGGGGTCCTGAAACAGAAAAAAGGAATTAGGGAAAAACTAATGAAATAGAAATAAAGTATGGATTTATGTTAATAGTAATGTAGGGCCAGGTGTGGTGGCTCACGCCGGTAATTCCAGCATTTTGGGAGGCCGAGGCTGGCAGATCGCTTGAGCTAGGAGTTCAAGACCAGCCTGGGCAACATAGTGAGACCCCTGTCTCTACAAAAAAATAATAAAGTTAACCAGGTGTGGTGGCATGCACCTGTAGTCCCAGCTACTTGGGAGGCTGAAGCAGGAGGATCACTTAAGCCCAGGAGGCAGAGGTTGCAGTGAGCCCAGATTGTGCCACTGCACTCCAGCCTGGGTGACAAAGTGAGACCCTGTCTCAAAAAATAAAATAAAAATAAAAAGTAATGTAGCAATTTGTTCCCTTAGTTGTGACAAATGTACCACAGCAATGTAAGATGTTAACAATAGGAGAACTGGGTGTGGGGGATATAGGAACTCTCAGAATTATCTTCGCAATTTTCCTGTTAATCTCAAGTATTCCAAAATTACAAGTTTATTTAAATATCTGTTTAATATTCAGTTGTGCTCCTTTCCAGATGCTGGCAACCAGTCGCTATGCAGTGATGACCACCCAGCTAAGACACAGCAATCTCTCACTGGTTTTCCACTATGTTTTTCTCCAGATCTGTAGGGCCCATGGCATTGGCTATGATGTTGAGGTATGAAGGGTTACAGTTGGCCAGGGGCGGCCAAAGACATGCCTGTGGGTGATCTAGGTAGCTAATAATTTGGTGCCCCTTCAGATAGATATTCTTTAAATACCGGTTTGACGTGTCTGTAGAGGAAGGCTGATTGCTGCTTGGGGAAGAGCAGATACGCAACTCCACAGAAAGTAGCACATAGTCCTGGAAAGTTCTACTTCGTCTCCAATCTTACACACCCACTTTGCTAAAGCAGAAGCCATGCAAGCTCTCCAGACTTAGGAGGCATTTTGGGGACCACCTCATGATCCTGAAGCAGGCCCTGAGCTTCCTGATCCCACCCAAAGCTGCTTATCAATGAATAGCTTCTGTCTTAGTCTGCTGGGGCTGCCATAACAATATAGCACAAGCTAAATGGCTTGAGCCACAGAAGCGTATTTTCTCACTGTCTGGCAGCTGGTACATCCAAGGACAAGGCACTAGCAGATTTGGTTCCTGGTGAGGGCCTGCTTCCTGGCTTGTAAATGGCTGCCTCCTTGCGGTGTCCTCACATATGGAAGGAGAGAGAGAGAGATCTCTGTTGTCTCTTTTACAAGGTACCAGTTCCGTCAATCAAAGCATCACACCTACAGCCTCATTTAACCTTAATCACTTCCTTAGAGGCCCTAGCTCCAATACAGTCACTTGGAAGGTCAGGACACAATTCAGTCCATAGCATCCTCCTACTGATATTTGATAATTTATTTCTGAAGGGAGTTCTGATAAAAACCATTTTCTCTACTTTTGGTCTATTTCCAATGATACCGGGGGCCCCTGCATAGCTGCTTTATCCTGATGTAGCTGACTAGAGGCAAGTGCAATGCAACGTCTCCTGCCAAAAATAGAACCTCTGTTTTATGCCTAGAGACTCATGTTACTCCAGAAAAATAGTTTCATGTTTTTCTACTTTGATTCAGATTTTCAAGTCTCTCACACGCAGGGCCATTCTAAGACCCTGAGTAACCCTGTACACTCTTACTTATGGAAGACCCACTTTACAGCACCTCAAACATCTTAAAATATATTCATCTCCCACATTAAATATAAGGTATATATAATGACATAAGAATTGAGTAGTAACCAGTTGATCAGATGTTTTGATTTGTAGATATTCAGTTCTACATTTATTAACTTATATTCTTTATACTTGAGACCAGTACAATTTTCAAGGATCAAATTTTATACATTCTATTTTCTTTTTCTTCTTTTTTTTTTTTTTTTTTTTTTTTTGAGACAGAGTCTCATTCTGTCACCAGGCTGGAGTGCAGTGGTGCAATCTTGGCTCATTGCAACCTCCGCCTCCTGGGTTCAAGTGATTCTCCTGCCTCAGCCTCCCGAGTAGCTGCGATTACGGGCACGTGCAACCATGCCTGGCTAATTTTTGTATTTTTAGTAGAGACAGGGTTTCACCATGTTGGCCAGGATGGTCTTGATCTCGACCTCATGATCCGCCCGCCTCGGCTTCCCAAAGTATTGGGATTACAGGCATGAGCCACCGCGCCCAGCCCCAAATTTTATACGTTCTTAAAAAGCATGCAGACCTTCAGCACGAGGCCAAATGAATAGAATGGTCTGGCTGACACTTGGCAATCCCCAGCAGGCTGCCAGGCACTGTCAGGGCACATGAGACTCTTTGGTTAGATGAATTCGTGCTGTTTGCAGACACATAAAGTGGAGCTTGGATCCCCTTGCAAATTACATTAAAATTGATAAAGAGAGAATGAAGAAGCCAGATTGAACTGATTTACCTGAAATTAATTGTTGCATCTGCTACACACAATCCCTTTGGAATTAAATAGATTTTAACCCCAAACTGATGAGATAAAACACTTCCACATTCCAGAAAGTGGCTAAATCTAACTCTAGGTTTATCTGAATTTATTTATTTTATTTTATTCTAAAATATCAAAGTAGAACAACTCTGTAAAAAGGCATATTTGGCAGGGACAGTCTCCTGCCCTTCCCCCCACACAAAAGTGCTTCATTACTTTCTATTGCCTGAAATTATTATTAGAGATTTATTTCTTGGGCTTAAGACTTTGTATTTGACTGAAGTTCAAGTACCCTTGGGGTAAGTAAAGCACCAAACTTTATAAGTTATTTACTCCTTTGTCTCTGAGTTGATCGGATCTATTTCCAAGAGCAGATTTTATAGGGGAAACAGATGGCTAACGCCGAGGGAAGCAGGTGGATGGCGCAGAGGAGAAGGTTCTACTGAGGGTCAGGGAGCTCACTGAAGACAGCTACAGAAAAGGCAGACAGAGGCTGGGCACGGTGGCTCATGCCTGTAATCCCAGCACTTTGGGAGGCCGAGGTGGGTGGATCACCTGAGGTCAGGAGTTCGAGTCCAGCCTGGCCAACATGGTGAAACTCCGTCTCTACTGAAAATACAAAAATTAGCTGGGCGTGGTGGCATGCACCTATAATCCCAGCTACTCAGGAGGCTGAGGCAGAAGAATCGCTTGAACCTAGGAGGCAGAGGTTGCAGTGAGTCAAGATCGTGCCACTGCACTCCAGCCTGGGCCACAGAGCGAGACTCTGTCTCAAAAAAAGAAAAGGCAGACAGAGGGGCACCGAAGACACTTCCAGCAGAGTTCCATAGACTCACCTCCAGGCCATCCATGCACAACTTAAAAAAAGATGAAAGATAAAATGAGAGAGAAGAAGAAATATAGATTGGGGCAACAGATGATGAAACAATGCAAAGAAGAAAAAGATAAGAGAAGAGAGAGGAGAAAATCCAGAGACTGAGAGAATCCACTAAAAGAGGAGGAGGGGATAATCAGAAAGAAAAGGAACAGATAGGCTGGGCACGGTGGCTCATGCCTGTAATCCCAGCACTTTGGGAGGCCAGGGCGGGCAGATCACGAGGTCAGGAGATCGAGACCATCCTGGCCAACATGGTGAAACCCCGTCTGTACTAAAAATACAAAAATTAGCTGGGTGTGTTGGCAGGCGCCTGTAATCCTAGCTACTCGGGAGGCTGAGGCAGGAGAATGGCTTGAACCCAAGAGGCAGAGGTTGCAGTGAGCCGAGATTGCGCCACTGCACTCCAGCCTGGTGACAGAGCAAGACTCTGTCTCAAAAAAAAAAGAAAGAAATGAAAAAAGAAAAGGCGCAGATAATAAACAGAAGTACAAGAAAAGAGGGAAGAAGTTGAGTCACAAAAATTCTCCAGCAGTATCCTTGCTTTATTTTTCCTGAGATGAGTTTTCATCTTTTCAGACCCTGGTGTCCATCCCTGGTCAGGACTCTTCACTTGCTGTCTTAATTGCCTTTTCTTGGATGGGAGGTTGGTAAGTGGTGAACCAGCATTTATGGAGTGCCTACTGCGTACTGGCCTCTGAGCTGAGCACTTTACTTCATTATCTCATTTATTCTTCATGCCTGTCCTATAAGAAGGTGTTATTTCTACCATATTACAGTGAGGACTTTAGGCTTAAAGATTTTAAGCATTTTCCCAGGGTCATACAGCCAGGAATTTTGTGGAACTGACATTTGAACCCGTAATTGTCTACAAAGTCAAGCATGATTCTTCGTCTTACACAAGGTGTCCCCTATATAAGCCCTTTTCCCCCTAAGGACTGTTTCCCACCAACTGTCTCTATTTCTAAAATATTACCAACCCAGTCAAGAAGAATTCTGGAATCCATTTCCAATATATCCCCTCTAGGTACCTCTTATGTATTCTTCAGCTGGAGAAACACAGACTTCTTTTCATAGCCCCTATGACTATCTCTACATTAAAAAGGAGAAAAAAAAGTTTAACAATTAATTTCCCTAAAATTTTATTGCCTGTTTGGGTTATGCTGAGTCTAAAAACAAGATCATTTACCTAAATTCCAGAGTAACCTGCTCCCACTCTTGGTTGAATTTAACATGGGTGCTCGTTCCAGAAAAAGAAAGCAACATTAATAACACATCATTGTCAGTGCTACCAAAAGAAGAATCCTCAAAAGTCCTTATTCTCAGCACTGTTTTCCCATTATGATCACAGACTTTTCAAATGATGTTCTTGTCCAAAGTCCCAGGGGGAAAAAAGGGAAATGAGATCACTCTATGAGTTTATTTTTCCTTGACACATATGGGAAGGGAGCATTGCTGAGTTTGTAAGCAACTTGGTGGGTCTCATTCCGGGTATTTCTCTAATGCTACAGAATACCCCCACTGACTTCCTAATGAAATGAAGTTGTAATGAAAGCCATATGGAGAAAGGCGTCATGTTTACTGCCTGCACCAGTGTGGGGCAGGGCTAGTGTCACACATACATAGGCAATGTGCCACCATCCTAAATAGCTCCACAGTCACCAGCAATCATTTCCTCTGGCCAGGGTATTGCCATGGTGGGAATCATCTGAGCTGCTCACAAATATTCTGATTCTCCTCCTTCCAGGCACATAACGAAACTGTATTTCCTCAGCCCTCCTCCTGAAGTTGGGCATGGCCACATAACTTGCTTTGGCCAGTGAAATATAAGCAGAGGTAATACGTGTCCTTGTTATGCAGAAGCCTGTAGGAGCCACTTCCTGAGTTGCCATATCCTTTTTCCTGCCTTAGAAATCATGGAAACACATTGAGACAGAGCCTCCTTCAGCCTGGGTCCCTGCGTGTACTCACAGTGATCAAAGACCCATACCAACTCATGTGGGAAATGGAGCAGGACCAAGAACTGCAACTTTCATTGTTAGAAACAACCAGTAATTTTGTTGAATTACTGCAACATAACCCAGCCTAATCAGGTTATACTGAAATTAGTATCAAAAGAAGATGCTCCTAAAACAGAAACCTAAAATTTTGGTACTGGCTTGGTAGTCAGGCAATGAGTGGCTGGGAAACTATTAACGGAAAGCAGAAGGATGACAATTCATGAAGTGAATTTATGAAATTATGAAGTGAAATTATGAAGTGGTGAAATATTTGGCAAAACTAATACCTGCAATTACTTGGAAGGCAAATAATATACCTAATGTACCTACAGCTCTAGGAGAAACAGTTGGAAATTTTAGTGTTAATGGTGTATATTAGGCATTGCCGACTGCATTTGGCAAGGTATTATACAAAAAATATGAGCTTCTGAATGAATCAGACATCTTGCAAGCAGAAAGGAAAGGGAATAGAGAGATCTCAGAAATTTGGCACTTTGCAAAATGGGAAAAGCTGAACTGATTTTAAACCTCAAAAATGAGACTTTTAAAAATTGAAGAGGCATTTATTTACACAACCAAAGCCAATTAAAACTCAGCCTTGCAATATGAGTCAAATTAAATGTATGACTATAACCTACTATTAAAACCTCTGAATTAAAGTATCTCAGAGTATGAATCCAACAAAGATTATGGCATCCAGTACTGTATTAGTCTGTTCTCATGCTGCTATAAAGAAATACCCAAGACTGGGTAATTTATAAAAGAAAGAGGTTTAATTGACTCCCAGTTCTGCATGCCTGGGGAGGTCTCAGGAAACTTACAATCATGGCGAAAGGGGAAGCAAACACATTCTTCTTCACAAAATGGCAGGAGAGAGAAGTGCCGAGCAAAGGGGGAACATCCCCTTATAAAATCATCAGATTGAGTGAGAACTCACTCACTATCATGAGAACAGTGTAAGGGTAACCACCCCCATGGTTCAGTTACCTCCCACTGCGTTCCTCCCATGACACGTGGGGATTATGAGAACTACATTAAAAATAAAATTTGGGTGGGGACACAGCCAAACCATATCAAGTACATATTTGCATTCAGAGAGACTCTCTCAGGAAAAAGAGAACAGAACAAAAGGGTAAAAAGAAAAAGGGTATAGCTCTCCTACTGAAGCCTCATAGGCTTAAGATAACTGAAATTAAGAGAGAGGCATAGAAGCAAGAAAGCAAAGAAATATAGAAAATTTAAGAAGTATCTAGAAAAGAACTCCATGTTGTAGCTATTGCTACTTGTAGCTGATTGAAATCAAACAGATTAGAAACCAACTAAGTTCTTGAAAGAACTCAACATCAAGAGAAATCTCAGTCTGGATTAAAAGAGACTGTTGCTGCTTAAGACTTAAAACAACCCTTGGGCCCTCAACTATCTACAGGCAGGAAGTGGGTGAGAAAGTTTTAAAATTGCTAAGGATGGCTTGTGCCTGTAATCCTAGCTGCTCACGAGGTTGAGGCAGGAGGACCGCTCACTTGAGGCCAGGAGTTCAAGACCAGCCTGGGCAACATGGCAAGATCCCATCTCTTAAAAAATTGCTGAGGAAAATATAATCTCTAATATCCACTTCAGATGTGGCCCAAGGACAATTATGGAAAAGAAATAAAATCTCAGAAGGCAGAGTCAAGGACCACAAAGAATAGCGTCTATGCTCATGAAGCAATTGGGATCAGAACTAATCAAGGAACATTTCCCACCAAAGGATAGGGGCCCTGGAAATGTCTGCCCAGTGGGATTTCAGAATTACTACAAAGCCCTGTCTTCTGTTTCTCTCTCATTGTTTCTCTTTCCAAATGGAAGTATTTATTGCAGTTACCCAGTCCTGTTCCACCAGTTTTTGAATAGTGAGGACTGAATAGATAATTTTGTTTTTTTTCTTTATAGTTCATGGCTTTTCAGATCAAGAGAGCCAGACCTGATCTAGAAGATATCATGGATCACCCATAGTTATTTCTATTTGATAGCATTTTATACCTTGTTAAATATTTTCACACATTTTGTTTCATTCTTGCAATAACTTTGAAAGGTAGACATTTTCATTCTGATATTGTAAATGAGGAAGCTGAGACTTAAAATGTTAAATCACTTTGCAAGTTTACTAGCAAAAAAGTTATTTATTATGGTGCTTTCTAATAACTAGCTTGAAAAGAATTTTACACAGAAGTAAAATTTTAAATATCGTCGAGTGGGGAGAAAGATGGATAAACACGAACAAAAAGATCTATAACCTAAGATGCTACGTGGGAAACGGGCCTGAGTAGGGCAGTAATGGGGAATCTGATAGCCAGGGAGTAACACATGAGCATATTGTCAAGGGAGATTCTGGGGTACATAAGTAGACTGCAGTTGCCTGGGGAAAATGTTGTTAACATTGAGGTTTACTTTGGTGAGCTGCCTAAGGGTAGACTCTTACATCTCTCACATATAAAATAAAATACGGAATTGTTTTATGGGATAAGAAAAAACAGCTTTGTGTAAGCCTTTCATTTCTGTTGTTTCCTCTGGATAAGGGCTAAGAACACTCCTGGTCACCTTTCTTAGAAAGTTATAAATGTCCTGCCAAACCTAGACATTCTGACCATGACAAGGTAGCTTGTAACCAACTAACTGTCACTAAAAATGATTATAAAGGCTGGTTTGAGATATATATAAAACAACTGCTTGAAGGCATTGAAGGGCAACTAAAACAGTCCTTAAAAGAACAGAAGGGCCAGGCACAGTGGCTCACGCCTGTAATCCCAACACTTTGGGAGGTTGAGGTGGATCACTTGAGGCCAGGAGTTTGAGACCACCCTAACCAACATAGCGAAACCCCATCTCTACTAAAAATACAAAAATTATCTGGGCGTGATGGCCCATCCCTGTAATCCCAGATACTCTGGTGGCTGAGGCACAAGAATCATTTGAACCCAGAAGTTGGAGGTTGCAGTGAGCCAAGATCGCGCTACTGCGCTCCAGCCTGGGTGAGAAAGCAAGACTCCATCTCTAAAAAAATTAAAGAAAGAAAGAACAGAAGCATCTAAGGTGAGTGTCATATTCCCCCAAGTTTTAAAGGACATTTACAAATGTGTTAGGAAATAAATCTAAACAGATTTTTTTCTTGACCTCATGACCTTGATCTCTTGACCTCGTGATCCGCCCGCCTCGGCCTCCCAAAGTGCTGGGAGGCAACAAAGCCTGGAGTTCAAAACTGTCAAACTGTTTGAGACTTGAGATCCAAAATCCTAGAACAAGGGTGATCAAAGGGAAGTGAGCCCCAAAAATTTGTGTGTGGATGCCGTTTAAATCCCTAATTGACTCATACCTGGTGGAATGAACAGCTTAAGACTCCAAGAAATCCAGAGGAAAAATATAACAGTAGCTGGGAGGCTAAAGATCTGGCAGATATTTCAAAAGTCACATAATCTTAGGAGTTCATGTCCTGCTAAATTGAAAGGGTACTAATAAACACCTCAAGCTTCCAGTGGAGACTTCAAAAGGACCAAACTCTAGGAGTAAGGACACTTCCCTAGGAGAAAAAACTAAACACAAAGCATGAAGGAAAACCTTTAAATAGACCAGGTCCAGCAACAGCTAAAATCAACTCTTAGTCCAGGCATAGTGGTTTATGCCTGTAATCCCAGGCATGGGATTGGGAGGCTGAGGTAGGTAGATTACTTGAGCCCAGGAGTTCGAGACCAGCCCGGGCAACATGGCAAAACCCTGTCTCCACAAAAAATACAAAAATTAGCAGGGCACGGTGGCACACACCTGTAGTCTTGACTACTTGGAAGGCTGAGGTGGGAGAATCTCTTAGGCCTGGGAAGTCGAGGCTACAGTGAGCTGTGATCATGCCACTGCATCCCAGCCTGGGCAACAGAGTGAGACCCAGTCTCAAAAAAAAAAAACTTTTAAATACAAAAATAAAATAAAATCAGGGGCTGGGCGCTGTGGCTCATCCCTGTAATCCCAGCACTTTGGGAGGCCAAGGCAGGTGAATCACAAGGTCAGGAGTTTGAGACCAGCCTGGTTAGCATGGTGAAACCCTGTCTCTACTAAAAATACAAAAAAAAAAAAAAAAAATAGCTAGGGATGGTGGTGCGCACCTGTAGTCCCAGCTACTTGGGAGGCTGAGGTAGGAGAATTGCTTGAACTCAGCAGGCGGAGGTTGCAGTGAGCCGAGATCATGCCATTGCACTCCAGCCTGGGTGACAGAGTGAGACTCCATCTCAAAAAAAAAAATTAATAAAATAAAATAAAATCAACCCTTGATATATCAAGATGAGCTGTCAGTACTCTACTGGTCTGCCAAAAACAAAAATTTAACCCTCTTTGAAGGAAGATATTATCTAGAGCTGCTACAATTTTCCATCTTTAATGACCATCATCCAATTAAAAAAAGGTATACTAAAAGAAGGACCAAATCATTGAAAACAAAGGGGAAAAAAAGAAAAAGATCCACAGGTGATTCATATATTGGAGTTATGAGACAGGGACTCATAACTCCACCGATCCCAGCCACTCTTCAACATAATCTATGAAAGCTAGAAGACAATGGGAACATAATTTTAAAGTATTGAAAGAAAAGTCTCTGCCTACCAAGCATTCTATTTCCAGCAGGAATAGAGTTTAAAGACAGGGACTTTAAAATAGCTAGGACTAATATGTTCAAGAAAACATATATGTTTGTAATATGTTCATGTCACCAAAGACCTAGAATCAGTTTTTTAACCCAAATGGAAATTCTGGAACCAAAAATTAGTGTGACAAAATAAATAATTTAATATATGAATTTAATAGGTTATCAGAACAAATGACTAGCGAACTAGAAAACAAGCCAGTAGAAAAAAATTCCAACTTACACACAGAGGGAGAAAATGATGAAAATGTAGAAAAAGTCTTCAGAGATACATGCAACATGGAGGAAACAATCTAACTTTCCTGCAATTAGTGTCCCACAAGGAGAAGAGGGAGTGATTTTAAATAAATACTGGCTGAGAATTTCCTACAACTAGTGAAAGACATCACAAACACATATCCAACCTCATTCAAAAGCACTAAAAACCTCAGGCAAGATAAATATAAGGAAAATCACACCTGGGAACATCATGATTTTGCTCCTGAAAATTGAAGAGCAATAGAAAATCTTTTTTTTTATTTTTATTTTTGAGATGGAGTCTCACTCTGTCACCAGGCTGGAGTTCAGTGGCGTGATCTTGGCTCACTGCAACCTCCGCCTTCCGGGTTCAAGCAGTTCTCCTGCCTCAGCTTCCTGAGTAGCTGGGACTACAGGCACGCGCCACCATGCCCAGCTAGTTTTTGTATTTTTGGTAGAATTGGGGTTTCACCGTGTTGGTCAGGATGGTCTCGATCTCTTTACCTCATGATCGGCCCGCCTCAGCCTCCCAAAGTGCTGGGATTACAGGCATGAGCCACTGCGCCCGACCAAGAAACAGAAAATCTTAAAAGTAGCTAGAAAAAAAATTACTTTACCTTCAAATGAGCAATAAGACTGCTAGCTAAGTTTTCTTTTTTTTTTTTTTTTTTTTGAGATAGAGTCTTGCACTATCTCCCGGGCTGGCGTGATCTCGGCTCACTGCAACCTCCATCTGCCAAGTTCAAGCAATTCTCCTACCTCAGCCTCCTGAGTAGCTGGGACTACAGGTGCGTGCCACCATGCCTGGCTAATTTTTTTTCTTTTTGTATTTTTAATAGAGACAGCATTTCACCATGCTGGCCAGGCTGGTCTCAAACTCCTGACCTCATGATCCGCCCGCCTCGGCCTCCCAAAGTGCTGGGATTACAGGCGTGAGCCACCTATCCTGGCCACTTTTCAACATAATCTATGAAAGCTAGAAGACAATGGGAACATAATTTTAAAGTATTGAAAGGAAAGTCTCTGCCAACCAAGCATTCTATTCCTAGCAGGAAAAAAAAAATCCAATAAATATCCCACATATCCCTGGATATGAAACCTCTGTGAACTTGTTCTGCATATGGGGAGTTGATGCCCGATCATTACTAATGCTCCTTCTCAATATGGAACTATTTTTAAAAGGGGGATATAAAATTATGAAATGGGAACCACTTACTAGAAAGGATTTGTTATATTTGTGTTAACCATAGGTCCCTAGAATAGCACTGTCCAATAGAAATATAATGAAAACCACTAATGTAAACCACAGAGATAATTCAAAATTTTCTTGGAGCAACGTTTTTTAAAAGTAAAAGAAATAGGTGAGGTTAATTTTTAAAATATATTTTATTTAATCCAGTATATTGAAAATATTGTCATTTCAGCATGTAATCAGTATGAAAATTATTGAGATAGTCCTACTTTTTTTGTACTAAGTCTTTGAAAGCTATGACACATCTCAATTTGTACCACTAGCATTTCAACTTCTCAGTTGCCCCATGTGGCTATTGGCTACCATATTGGACAGCACAGTAAGGGATGCAAGAGATGTACTAGGCAGTGGTTCTCAACCCTAGATGCCCATGAGAGTGACCTCAGTGAGGAGCTTTAAAGAATGCAGATGATGGCCAGGCACAGTGGCTCACGCCTGTAATCCCAGCACTTTGGGAGGCCAAGGCGGGTGGATCACCTGAGGTCAGGAGTTTGAGACTAGCCTGACCAACATGGTGAAACCTCATCTCTACTAAAAATACAAAAATTAGCCAGACGTGGTGCCATGCGCCTGTAGTCCCAGCTACTTGGGAGGCTGAGAAAGGAGAATTGCTTGAACCCAGGAGGTAGAGGTTGCAGTGAGCCAAGATCGTGCCACTGCACTCCAGCCTGGGTGACCGAGTGAGACTCTGTCTCAAAAACAACAACAAAAAAAGAATGTAGATGCCCATGCAGGGCTGCGATTAGGGTAAGGCAAGTGAGGCACTCTTCCTGAGCACAAAACTTAAGGAAAACACACACACACACACACACACACACACAACCCTCATTAATATAAGTAATATTTTAGTGCAATATTTTAACAATCAAAATTACTGCAAAAAATTCATTAGGAATAAAATATCAAAATTTTTAATGAAAACAGGACCAGATTACTGATTTTTTCCTTTGCCTTGGGCTCCAATATGACTCAGCATGGCCCTACGCCCATGGCCCACCCGAGACCAAGTAAATCAGCATTTCTGGAAGTAGAGCCCAGGTATTAGACGACTCTAATGTGCAGCCAGCGTTGGCAGCCACTGTTTAGCCACTGTCTGTACTAAAGCTCAGATTTCTTGATAAAGTGGGAAGTTGATGAGTGGTCCTAATTCTGGCATGTGATTTCTTTTACCAAAGCCCCAAAATATAGTTTCCTTTTTTGAGCTTCCAGTGATGGGAAGTTCACAACTTCACAGGGCAGGCATTTCCACTGTTGGACAACTCCAGGGTTACCTCTTATTTATTTGGAGAAAACGGTTACAAGATAATTTTCAAAGGAAAAAAAAAAGGTAAAGCCATGCCTCTCCTACAGATGTAAAAATAAACACATGATAAAGATTTTATTTAACAGAACTGCCAGGCACAGTGGCTCATGCCTGTAATCCCAGCACTTTGGGAGGCTGAGGCTGGGAGGATCACTTGAGCCCAGCAGTTCGAGACCAGCCTAAGCAACAAGGCAAAACCCTATCTCTACCAAAAAACATATACAAAACTTAGCTGGGTGTGGTGGCACATGCCTGTGGTCCCAACTACTCAGGAAGCTGAGGTGGGAGGATCACCTGAACTTGGGGACATCGAGGCTGCAGTGAGCTGTGATTGAGCCACTGAACTCCAACCTGGGTGACAGAGTGAGACCCTGTCTCCAAAACACAAAACAAACAAAAAGAGGGAACTAGGCAGATATTATAACGGGTTCAAAAGAGAATCCCAAAACAGACATCTTTATAGATCAGGAATATTGAAATTTGCACATGGAGGCAAAATAGGTTTTTCCACAAGGGGAACAGGAAAGGGAAATCAACTGAGCCTTTATCAGACTAGACAGAATTTGCTTGTCTATCAGTTACCTATACTTTACAAAATTGTAAAATATCTCCCATAGAATCAATCTGATAAGGCAGCAGGGAGTGCTATAGACCAGCAATCCCCAACCTTTTTGGCACCAGGGACTGGTTTCATGGAAGACAATTTTTCCATGGACGTGGAGGTGGGTAGAGGGAGTATGGTTTCAGAATGAAACTGTTCCACCTCAGATCATCAGGCATCAGTTAGATTCTCATAAGGAGCATGCAACCTAGATCCCTTGTTTGTACAGTTAACAATAGGTTTCCCGCTCCTAGGAGAATCTAATGCCACCGCTGATCTGACAGGAGACGGAGCTCTGGTGGTAATGCTTGCTTGCCTGCTGCTTACCTCCTGCTGTGTGGCCCGGTTCCTAACAGGCCACAGACCTGTCTGAGACAGATCTGGTACCAGTCCACAGCCCAGGGATTCAAGACCCCTGCTATAGACAACACAGTTTCCCACTGAAGTACAAATTATTTTCCACATAACAAATTGCTACCATATATACATATATAATTTTTTTTTTTTTTTTAGACGGAGTCTCGCTCTGTTGCCCAGGCTGGAATGCAGTGGCGTGATCTCGGCTCACTGCAAGCTCCGCCTCCCAGGTTCACGCCATTTTCCTGCCTCAGCCTCCCCAGTAGCTGGGACTACAGGCGCCCGCCACCACACCCGGCTAATTTTTTGTATTTTTAGTAGAGATGGGGTTTCACTGTGTTAGCCAGGATGGTCTCGATCTCCTGACCTCGTGATCCGCCTGCCTCGGCCTCCTGAAGTGCTGGGATTACAGGTGTGAGCCACCGCGCCCGGCCAATTTTTTTTGAGATGGAATTTTGCTCTTGTTGCCCAGGCTGGAGTGCAATGGCGTGACCTCGGCTCACTGAAACCTCTGCCTCCCAGGTTCAAGCGATTCTCCTGCCTCAGCCTCTGAAGTAGCTGGACCACCATGCTACTTTTCACCATACAACATTTCACCATGTTGGCCAGGCTGGCCTCCTGGGCTCACTGCAACCTCCGCCTTCCGGGTTCAAGCGATTCTCCCGCCTCAGTCTCCCAAAGTGCTGGAATTACAGGCGTGAGTCACCGTGCCCAGCCTCCCCTATATTTTTTTAACCCATCACTCTTAGAACAGTGGTTTTCATATTTTGATGTACACAAGAATCATCCAAGAAGTAAGGTAAAAGACAGAGTGCCTGCCAAGTCTTCTGAGCTTGCATGATGCCCATGAAAATGCCTTTTTAACAAGCACACTAGATGATTCTGATGCAGGTGTTGAGGATCATACTCAAAAAGCACAGTTCTAGAACATATTTACTCCAAATTCTAGAGGCAGCCTTTCCAAATGTGTTCTCATAATATCTGAAGGTAGCTCTAGATTTCAAATCAAATCAATCTTAGTAGTCTTTCTGTGCCAGTAACATTTTCTGTACTTTGTTTCTGAGATAATATACTATTTCTTTTCTCCCCATTCAAATTTTACAGGAAAGGCAAGGAACTGTTTTTATATTATATGAGCACCTGAAGAGACACAAGTTGGGAATGTTGTGAGTATGAAGTGTATCTGTGAGTTGCAATAAGCTAAGGAAATAGACAATCACAACTAACAAGAATGATGCTTCTCATGCATTTTAATCAGCATGCTGATTTATTAGAAGTCTATCTTTATTTAGATCTTCAGGTATTTTATTTTATTCTATTTTTTTGAGACGGAGCCTCACTCTGTCACCCAGGCTGGAGTGCAGTGGCGCGATCTCAGCTCACTGCAACCTCCACCTCCCGGGTTCAAGCGATTCTCCTGCCTCAGCCTCCCAAGTAGCTGGGATTACAGGTGCGTGCCACCATGCCCAGCTAATTTTTGTATTTTTAGTAGAGACGGGGTTTCATCATGTTGGCCAGGATGGTCTCGATCTCTTGACCTCGTGATGCACCCACCTGGGCCTCTCAAAGTGCTGGGATTACAGGCCTGAGCCACTGCGCCCAGCCTAGGTATTTTATAAAATGACTTTAGATGTGTCAATGGGGGTTTATAAATATAATTGATTAATTACCTAAAATTAATGGGTAAGATTTAGATTTAACAACATATTATACCCAAATGCATACACAGATAAGGCACATCAGATCTCACTGATGGGGACCCAGCTCAGTTGTCCTGCCTGTGGAAGGCAGTTGTCATTCTGGCATACTTAGAAAAGTGCTCTGTGCTCTGGTGACTTCACACGATGTCCCCCTAACAGGCAGGATCTGTAGCTCCTCCTCAGATCCAGTTTCAACCCGGGCGCAGTCTTCTCAAGGTACGCATGCACTGAGCACAGGCTGCTGGCAACACTCGGAGGCTTCCGCACTTCTCCCAGATTTCCCTCTGGGATATTTTGGAGCCTAGCAAAGCCTCCTATCTAGGACTCAGAATTTTAGAGCTACAACCTTGAGTCATCTCTTATTTCATATCTTGGCACATGGTTACTTGGTACCTTTAAGTCATCCTACCTAATTGGGAAACTGTCTCTGCCCTCTATTTCTCTTCCTTGTAACCTCTACAGCAGTGTAGACATTGTGGCCTCACACTGAAACACACAGAAACATATACACAAAGATCTGGTCTCATAAAAACTAACCAAATAAGAGCCAATTCCTCTACGAAGCACTGATGTTCCTATGTGGCCTCAGTCCCTCCCTCCCCAACCTCCCCTACACCCTACTATGGTCAGTCTCCCGGAAACTGATCCAAAGAGGTGCACACTACAAGCAAATGGCTGCATAGGACAGGCCTCAACTTCCCTATCCAAAGCATAGTCCTTTGTTCTACCAAAGCATTATCAGTTAGACCATTATCAATACAGTGATATTCACCCTCATCGATCCTTTTGAACTTAGGCAAATGTTCTGGTTTCTTCTCCCTTGCAACTAGAATGTGGCTACAATTTAATCTGGCACTTACAGTCTCAGATGCTTCCCATCACCTGGGAAGGGAAGCTGGCTGTTTTGAGTCCTCCCCTCCAGTTTCAGTCTTCCCCCAAGATCCCATAAACATGCAAAACTTATTGGGTCTTGTTAAGAAAGTCACTTCCCTAGGGACTCTTCACCCATTTGTCACACTGCCCTGATAGCAACAGAAATGAGACCTCAATCCATAACATCCCAACAAGCTTGCCTTCATCTTCTCCACCTAGGCCTTCACATCCAGAATGATAACAGAGCCAGGGACACCTCTGGGCATGTGCAGGGAAGGATCAGCCCCTTGCTTCCCAGTAACATTCTGCCCCTCAGCTCCCTCCCTGCCCCACCCTTCCTTACCAGAAAATTTGAAAGCATTTTATCAACTGTGCCAGGCACAGTTCTAGGTGCTGGGGAAACAACAATGAGCCCTGCCCTCAGGAAGCTGCCACTCTAGAGGGGTGGGCATACAGTAAACAAGTAAACAGGTAAACGTGGTCTAGTATGTCAACTGCTGACAAGCCATGAAAGGGGAGCAGCAGTTCACTAGTAGCCAGAAGATCAGAGATTAAATACTTCCCATTTCACTCTCCCCAAACTTGACACGGTGATGTCAGGGCTGGGCAGAACATAGGCCACCGGGAATTACCGGGACTAGGAGAACCAAGCAGTCATCTGGATTTGAAGTTGGCATGCATGGGAATAAGAAATTTGTATTTTCCCAACTTATGAATCGAGTTAAGCAGGCAACATTCAAGGTCCAAGTATATTTCTAAGCCCAGGAATTCAGACAGATGGGTTAGTTAGGTACAAAGAACTAGAAATCAGAACCTAGAGATATGAACTGTGTCTTACTGGGCACCAGCTGGCATGAAAGATTAACTACAAAGGAGAAGCTGGGACACGACTGGAACCAGACAAACCCTTTTGTACATAGGATGAGGCTGGGAGAGGTGAGCTCCCTTCGGGTGATGGGAGAAGAGCAATCAGACAGGCCAAACACTGGACCCAGGATTCAGATGCGTGGAGGTCATCCTGAGAAGCAACCAGCTCATACCATCAGGAAAAGTTCCAACCGCAAAGAGTAAAGGGACAACCTGAGAGCTAGGTCGTGGGGAGCTTGACCAGAGGCACTCAGAGAGGAGGCCACTTTTGGAGACCCAGGCTGGTAGGGGGTGGCATGAGGAAAGCCTTTCAGCAGGCAGCAGAGCCCAGCAGAGGCTGACACTCAGGAGCAGGACGTGTGTCCTGGAATTGATGGGATGAGACAGGGGTAGTATCACCCAGGCAGAGGCAGGGTTCCTGAAGTGTGGGCCACAGGAAGAGCAGTGCAGGTGGGTACTCGGGCATAGAGGAACCAGGCAAGAGGAAAACCATCACAGAAAGTAGGAGATAGAGGAAGAGCCTGTTTCATGAACAGAGAAACTCCCAGTCATCAAACTGACCTAGCAGCAAGGTGGATCTGATGCTGAAGCCTACAGAATTAATAATTAGACTGGTAACCAAGAGGAACTTGCCCAGCTGTCCCTACACCTGTACCTGAGATTTCAGGCAAGGATGCCTTGACCTGCAGGCTAGTTTCAATGGCAGAAATAGTCCTATTGGTGTACCTTCTAGATGGTTATTGCTATTCACACATCCTTCAGGGAGGGCACAGTTGACATGGACCTCTCGAAAGCCTTTAGTCCTTTTCTACTGTTTTCTGCCCATCTTAATCTCATCCCTAACTGCAGTCATAGAACCACAGAATGTTAGAACAGGGAAGGGCCTCAGAATTAACTGATCCTCATAGATGGGAAACTGAGGCTTAGAGAGGGGCAATGATTTGCCTGGGTCACACAGTAGGTGGTCTGTCTCCTGATCCTGAACTTGGTGTTCCTTTCACTATACCACAAAGCCTACACTGAGTGACCACCTTATATAGGGAGCCCTATAATGCTACAGGATAGTTTGCAAGCTATCTCCGAAATCTTAAAGTGGATGTTCAGGTTTATAAAGACGGCTGTTCATGAACAGGGCACATTCTCCTCTGAACATAGGCAGGACACTCTCATTAAGTGATAGGAATCACTTGTACCTGTGAAATAGAAAATAAACCCTAGACAAAAGACTCCAGAATACTGAGATGCAAATGTCTCCATAGACAAGGAAATCATTCGGCAAGGATCACACTTAGCGACAGTTCTCCTAAAGTAACTTAAACCATTTTTTTTAATTATTATACTTTAAGTTATAGGGTACATGTGCACAACGTGCAGGTTTGTTACATATGTATCCATGTGCCATGTTAGTGTCCTGCACCCATTAACTCGTCATTTACATTAGGTATATCTCCTAATGCTATTCCTCTCCCCTCCCCTCACCCCACGACAGGCCCCGGTGTGTGATGTTCCCTACCCTGTGTCCAAGTGTTCTCACTGTTCAGTTCCCACCTATGAGTGAGAACATGCGGTGTTTGGTTTTCTGTCCTTGCGATAGTTTGCTGAGAATGATGGGCTTAAACCATTTTTAAAATGAACTCGTACAACATCCTAGCTCAGTGGTAGACTTTCGCTAGAAATGACCTACCCTATTGGTATATTCTGCTAAGTTGATTAATAAAAAATATTTATTACGCAAATCCTTTTTGTTGACAAGTTAAAATGGAGTCTCATCTTTCATATCTCCCTGAAGATTGCCACCTTGTGAGATTGAAAATACTCATTAAATTCCATCACCAGACAGGCACAAATGAGAGGGCGATTGTTTTTAAGCATGTGAAGGGAATCGTTGGTAAACTCATTTGTTTGGATATCATTAACAGAACAATCGGCGAGGATCTCCAGGGGGTCCTCATGACCTTTGCTCGCCATCTCTTCATCATCCATCAAGAAATATCAGCACCTAATATGCAAGGCGAGACCAATTTTAAGGTGAGGTGTTAATTAACTAACGATTCTGGTTAATTTCTATACAAGGGCTGAAAATACCTCATGCTGTATTGTAAACAAGTGCTAAACCATCTTTTTTTTATTGTAAGCAGTACATATTTTACAGTGTGCAGGGTCAATACTGTAAGGTTCCCACTGAGGCTGTTAGTTAAATTTAATAGTTTGAAACTTTTTCTTTGAAATAGAGTTGACTTTTAACTTGCTGCCATTTTCAAACTCCAGCTCCTAAGATAGCAGATCTTTCTGATGTTGGACGTGAGTCTGAAATGTCACAATGGAACCAAAACAGAGATCGTCACAACCAAAAATTGCGAATGTTATCTATCTATATTCCAGATAATACAAGGTCTGACTAGTGATTCCTGGGAAGCCCTAGTTTCTAGAGCCAGAGAAGTTCTAAGACCCGAGAAAGCAATGTGTGTTAGGGAGAAGCAGAAAATATAGCATGTATGTGGGCCATCTACCCCACCCGTTTCTCCACCGTGGGTTGGATTATTTCACTACTAACCTTTAGAAGCCTTCTTATGACCTTTAAAGATGTTGGTCTATCAAATCCAGTTGTGTATAATTGACTAGAAGTCTCCAAACTGTAAACTACAGGAACAAGGTCTGTACGGGAGTTTCTGAAATACTGTCTGAACAGAGATGATCACGTGGTATTGAACAGCAAGGTATGAATCTGATTCCCAGCCTAGGCCTTCATTAATTCAAAGGACACAATCAGAAACCACATGTAGTTTTTCTCCTAAATGGAAAGTCCAACAAAAGCTTAATAGAAATGTAATTTTAATTACATTTTTGATTCAAGCTAGGGCCTAACTCCTTTAGTAACAGTAACAATAACAATGTGATTTTATGAGCTGGAAGAATGACCACTGCTTTCCCTACAACATGATTGAGAAGATTCAAGAAAAGACAGACCAAATGTTACATCAGTGTTCACTGGTCCTAAAGGATCTATGCTCATTATTTACTGGTTTTTGTTTTGTTTTGTTTTAAAGAGACAGGATATCTCACTGTCTTGCCTAGGCTGGTCTCAAGCTCCTGAGCTCAAGGGATCTTGTCTTGGCCTCTCAAAGTGCTGGGATTACAGGCATGAGCCACCTTGCCCAGCCTATCATTTACATTTTAAGTTCCTGCTAGCTAGTAGCATCATCTTATCTGTTAGTGCCATGTGCAAAACTTTGAGCCTCTCTGCATTTCATCCATTCAGCCTGTCCAAATATAGCTAATAATCAGAATCAGATGCTTTAACCTCAAATGCATTCAGACTAAGTTGATTCTGGGCTTGTCTCGCTGTGGGCAGAGTCAACCACCTTTGACAAAATGAAAGCTATTTCTCTGCCCTTTCTCTGACTTTCAAAATCATAAAAAGTCAGATATTCTTAGGTAGCTTTTAATTATGTCATGGTTTCTAGCCTTCTGATATGAATGTTTGTTTTCTTGATTTTTACTCATGTTAGGTCTAAAGGCAAAAACTTTCAATCTCAGTAATATAGGTACAATAACAAAAACTTGAAGCAGTGGAATAGATTCATCTTTGCTAGTATTTTCTGTCTCCTACTTAGTGGCATTGTGGTAGGTATTTTCAGTTTTTAAACAAGGATTTACCAGCAAAGTAAAGGCTAAATAAAAATGGAAGGTGATTGAGGCTGGGCACAATGGCTCATGCCTGTAATTCCAGCACTTTGAAAAGCTGAGGTGGGCAGATTGCTTGATCCCAGGAGTTCAAGACCAGCCTGGGCAACATGGTGAAACCCCATCTCTACAAAAATTACAAAAATTAGCCAGGTGTGGTGGCTCATGCCTGTAGTCCCAGCTACTTGGGGGGCTGAGGTGGGAGAATCATTTGAGCCTGGGAGGTTGAGGCTGCAGTGAGTCTGGGTGATGGGAGTAAGAATAAAAAAAAGGAAGATAATGCAGAAAATGCATTTAACAAAATGTAACATTCTTTTCTGATAAAAACATTCAACAAAGTAAAAATAGAAGGTAACTTCCTCAACCTTATAAGGACATCTACCAAAAAACCCACAGCTGACATCATAGTTAACATTGCAAGACCAAAAGCCTTCTCGCCAAGATTAGGAACAAGACAAGGGTGTCTGCTCTTGCCACCTCTATTCATCATTGTACTGGAGTTCTGGACAGAGAAATTAGGCAAGAAAAGGAAATAAAAGGCGCTGGGTGCAGTGGCCCCCACCTGTAATCCCAGCACTTTGGGAGGCCAAGGTGGGAGGATTACTTGCACTCAGGAGTTTGAGACCAGCCTGGGCAACATAGCAAGACCTCATCTCTACTAAGAAGAAGAAGAAGGAGAAGGAGAAAAGAAGAAGAAATAAAAGTAAAAGTATCGGCCGGGCACGGTGGCTCACGCCTGTAATCCCAGCACTTTGGGAGGCCGAGGCTGGTGGATCATGAGGTCAGGAGATCGAGACCATCCTGGCTAACAAGGTGAAACCCCGTCTCTACTAAAAATACAAAAAATTAGCCGGGCACGGTGGCGGGCGCCTGTAGTCCCAGCTACTCGGGAGGCTGAGGCAGGAGAATGGCGTGAACCCGGGAAGCGGAGCTTGCAGTGAGCCGAGATTGCGCCACTGCAGTCCGCAGTCCGGCCTGGGCGACAGAGCGAGACTCCGTCTCAAAAAAAAAAAAAAAAAAAAAAAAGTAAAAGTATCTCTGTTTGCAAGTGGCAAATTCTTGTAAATAGAAAATCCTATGAAGCAAGAGGACTGCTTGAACCCAGGAGTTTGAAACCAGCCTAGGCAACATAGGCAGACCCTATCTAAAAATTAAAAAATTAGCCAGGTGTGGTGGCACACACCTGTGGTTCCAGCTACTCAGGAGGCTGAGATGGGCGGATGGCCTGAGTCAGGTAGGTTGAGGCTGCAGTGAGCCATGATCTGCACTCCAGCCTGGGTGACAGAGTAAGACCTAGTCTCAAAAAAAAAGAAAGAAAGAAAAGAAAATCCTAAAGAACCCATCAACAAGTTTATAAGACATAAAATCAGTATACAAAAGACAATTATATTTGTGTAATGAATAATGCAAAAATAAGTTTTCAAAAAATTCAAGTTACAATAGCATCAAAAAGAATAAAACACTTAAGAATAATTTTTTTTTCTTTTTTGAGACAGAGTCTCACTCTGTCGCCCAGGTTGGAGTGCATTGATGCAATCTCGGCTCACTGCAACCTCTGCCTTCTGGGTTCAAGCAATTCGGCTGCCTCAGCCTCCTGAGTAGCTGGGATTACAAGCACGCACCACCATGCCTGGCTAATTTTTTATATTTTTAGTACAGATGGAGTTTCATGTTGGTCAGGCTGACCTCGAACTCCTGACCTCGTGATCCGCCCGCCTCGGCCTCCCAAAGTGCTGGGATTACAGCCGTGAACCACCGCGCCTGGCCAGGAATAAATTTAACAGAAGTGCAAGATTTTTGCAGTGAAAACTATAAGACATGGGTGAAAGAAATTAAAGAAGACCTAAATAAACAGAAAGACAGTCTGTATTCATCCAATAGAAGACAATAAGGCTAAGATGCTGACATTCCCAAATTGATCTATAGATTCAATGTAATTCTTATCAGAATCCCAGCTGGCTTTTTTGCAGAAATTGACAAGATGATCCTAAAATTCATGTGGAAACATAGGAGACCCAGAATAACCAAAATAATCTCAAAAAGAACGAAGTTGGAGAAGTCACACTTCTCAATTTAAAAACTTACTACAAAGCTACAGTAATCAAGACAGTGTGGTACTGGCATAAGAATAGAGATATAGATCAATGGCATAAAATTGAGTCTGAAATAAACCCATACATAATGGCCAATAATTTTTGGCAAGGGTGCTGAAACAATTCAATGGAGAAAAAATATTTTTTAAATAAATGGCACATGCAAATATTAAGTTGGACCTCTGCCTCACATCATATATAAAAATTAAGTTAAAATGGGCCGGGCGCGGTGGCTCACACCTGTAATCCCAGCACTTTGGGAGGCCGAGGCAGGTGGATCACCTGAGGTCAGGAGTTCGAGACCAGCCTGGCCAACATGGTGAAAACCCCGTCTTTACTAAAAATATAAAAATTACCCAGGCATGTGGCATGCACCTGTAATCCCAGCTACTCAGGAGGCTGAGGCAGGAGAATCACTTGAACTCAGGAGGCAAAGGTTGCAGTGAGCCGAGATTGCACCACTGCACTCCAGCCTGGGCGACAGAGCGAGATTCCGTCTCAAAAAAAAAAAAATAAGTTAAAATGGATCAAATATTTAAATGTAAGAGCTAATACTGTAAAACTCTCAGGAAAAAACATACGTATAAACCTTCATGACCTTGGGTTAGCAATAGTTTCTTAGACATGGTGCCTAAAGCACAAGCAACCAAAATAAAAATAGATAAATCAGACCTCATCAAAATTTAAAACTTCGTGCATCAAAGAACACTATCAAGAAAGTAAAAAGTCAGACCACAGAAAGGGAAATAATATTTGCAAATCATATATCTGGTAAGGCATAGTATTCACAATATACAAAGTACTCTTGTACTCTTACAACTCAACTACAGAAGGACAAATAACCCAATTTTAAAAGGGAGCAAAGGATTTGAATAGACATTTCTTCAGAGGAGATATGCAGGCCAACTGCAGTGCTCACACCTGTAATCCCAGCACTTTGGGAGGCTGAAGCGAAAGGATCACTTGAGGCCAGGAGTTTGAGACTAGCCCAGGAAACAGAGTGAGACCTCATCTCCACGAAAACTTATTTTTAGCTAGCCAGGCATGGTGGCACACACCTGTAGTTCTAGCTGCTCAGGAGGCTGAGTGGGGAGAATTGCTTGAGCCCAGAAGGTCAAAGCTGAAGTGAGTCATAATCACACCACTGCACTCCAGCTTTGGTGATAGAGCAAGACCTGTCCCAAAAAAAAAAAAAAAAAAAAAAAAAGATGTACAAATGGCCAATAAGTATATGAAAGAATGCTCAACATCATAAGTTATTAGGGAAATACAAATCAAAGCTACAATGAAACATTTCATACCTAATAAGATGGCTACAGTTAAATAAAAAGGCAATAACAAGTGTTGGTGAGGATACGGAGAAACCAGAACCCTCATATATTGCTGGTAAGAATTTAAAATGGTATCACAGATATGTAAAGCTTAGCAGTTTATAAAAAAAATTAAGTATAAAATTACCATATGACCCGGCAATTCCATTTCTAGGTATATGTCTAAGTATATTGAAAACATGTTCACACAAAAATGTGTACATTAATGTTAATAGAAGGAATATTCATAATAGCCAAAAATTAGAAACAACCCAAGTGTCCATCGACTAAGAAATAACTGAATTTTATTATATTCTATGGATAATATTTTATATAATGGGATATTATTCACCTCTATAAAAGGAATAATAAAGTACTGATCCATGCTGCAACATGGACGAACCTTGAAAACATTATGCTAGGTAAAAAGCCATTCACAAAAGGTCACATATTGTATGGTTTCATTTATATGAAATGTGCAGAAGAGGTAGATCCATAGAGACAGAAATAGATTAGTGGTTGCCAGGGGCTGAGGGAGTGGGATGAAATGGGGAGTGACAGCTAATGGGGACAGAGTTTCTATTTGGGGTGATGAAAATGTTCTGGAATTATATAGTAGCGATGGTTACTTGCAAATATACTAAAAACCACTGAATTGTATACTTTATAAGGGTGAATTTTATGGTATGGGAATTGTACTTCAATAAAATATAAACAAAGTAAATGGGAATGTGTCATTTTTTTCTTCCCAGCAACCAATGGAAAGAAACCTTCCCATCAGCCTATTAGCCCTCATTTTAGGGTGACTAGACCAATGCTTCTCAAATTATCCATAATAAGGAAACTATTTGTTTTGTTTTGATTTTATCTGACTATCATGGATCAACATTTTTAACAAAATAGAAGAAAATTTAATTACTAGAAAAATACGATTAAAAAAATTAAAGATGTACAATTTAGAAGCCCAATGTTATTATTAGACATAATAGGCATAAAAATTCTAAAAAGTTTTCCAAATTCTTACTCTCAATTTTTTTACTCATTTCAGCAAGACTGGTAAGCCATAATCTGTAGACAAATGCCAGTTGGTAGAATACATTCTGAATAGAACTGGTCTAAACCATGGTGAACTCCCAAAAGGACCAGATGCTTGGGGGAGAGGGATTGTAAGAGGTCTTTAAGTAATAAATATTGTCTTTATTTACAGACCACCATTGCTGATATTGAAACTATTCTAAGAGTAACAAAGGAAAACAAAATGAGATTTGAAGAGGAGCAACAGTCCAAAGATGATAAAAACCTCTCTAAACCCAAGAAATGATCCTGGAATACAGTACATAACAATTTGGATCCCAGTCTGGAATAAAAAGGGCAATTTTTTTTTCTGTTAGAAATAAAAGCCAGGGGAAATTGGTTTGCTTTGTGTGCTAGGAGGTGAATCAGAACAGATTATAATGAAATGCTCTTTTTAAAACATTGTTTATTAAGTGATCTTATTTTATTTATTAAACCAAAACTTATTTGTGTTTTCATTTGAGAGTGTTGAACAATCCCTTCTTCTTCTCAAACTCAGAAAAAAGTAATCTGATAAAAGAAGAAAGTTAAAAGTCTTACTGATATCACCTCCGCATTTACTTCCTCATAGGCCTCAGGATTATGTAGCTTTTATTTTTTATGTTTTATAAAGTTTTCTCCTATTTCTAATAGTCCATCGATCTTCTGCATTTATAGGTTTGAATAAAGGCTTAAGAATTGCTATTTGTCAAAACACAAATGCCTTTTTTTCAAAGCTTCAAATTATATTGAAATTATATTTATATGAATTTTTAAGTGACTATCATTCATCGTGTTTTTGTTATACCAAGCCACTATTGTCTGCTATTGTTGCCATTTTTCAAAAAGTAGGATAAGCCAGCATCTAGTTAACCAAAGCATCAGAATGTATCTAGGTGGCAGTATCTGCTCTTAGTTTAAGATGGAGTGTAGCTCGAGCTCTGTAGCTTGAATAAACATTTGTATTCTCTAGTTCTCCATTTAATACAGCAGTAGGATTTTTTCAAGTTTAGTTCAACATTATACTACCTTTAAAAAGGCAGACTGTTAAGATTGTAGTAGTGCTGACTCTAACTTTCAGCATTCACTTCATAATTGTCCAAAAATATTTCCACATCAGTGAGCTTTACTGAAGGGTGAAATAAAAGCAAATTACAACACCAAAACCATTATTGTTTTAAAGAATGACCTTTATGTCTATAAAAATATTTTAGTGTATTGGGGAAAGGAATAGGATTTTTACCTGTGGAATTTCAATAATTTGTTAACTGTGATTCAGCCACAGGCTAAGAGTTTCTGTAATAAAATTAACATTTGTGTGTGTCAGCTTTTGTTTTGCTATAGTTGGAAATACATTAATTAGCCAGGTTTCCTGCCTGTGCTAGGTACAACACTGACCTCTTTTTCTTGCCAGATCTCTCTAATCCATTCGAGGGGCCCATTGTTCAGACACTTGACAGATAGGAAGTCCTACATGCCCATTAGAGCCGCGCCTCGACTGAAGCCAGAGCAACATAAGGTCCAAGAGACTCATTAGTTCACTGGCACAATCGTGTCCTGAGAGTAAATGAAACCCTCTGTCTCCTTATGGCTCTCATCTGCTCTGGACTTTAAAAGAAAACTGTCTCCGTTTTGTTCGGCACAGTAGTGGATCATTCACATGGTGAGAGCCCCTGCTTAACAGTACAAAACTGTTAAATCTATCGGAAAGTTTTGCATGTGAATTTTGATTAGCACTCCCGAAGCTCAAGCTGCTGGCAATAGCGAAACGATTTCGCCATCCTACACCATTGTTTTACCCACTTGATTGGTTTCTCAAACAATGCCACTTTCCTCCTTTGCAGCTATCATTTGCATATACCACAGAATTCAGACCTGTGAAAGTGATTGGGAGCAGGGTTCTCTACGTAAACATCTACAGCTTCAAAATTAAAGGAGAAAAATTGGTATAATAAAACAATCACTTCAAGTAATTAAGTGGAAGAAGCCAGAGGACCAGATTAAATTAGTGACATGTTTTAATTACAGAACATTTGAAAAGAAGCAATAGTCCATTATCTTTTAACACATATATGTTACATAGATACTGTGCTCTTGGTAAACTAAGGCACGTTTCAAAAAAGAATCATTTATATGTGTACAATATCTAAAGTATCCTAAATATAATTTAGTCACGATGAATTAATTACTGAGCTTTTGCTCTTCTAAATAGGAAACCGAAATATTTGGTGGCAAGAGGATTTTGGGGAAATGATATACCGTTTTCCAGGAAGTTTTTGGGAGAAGCACACATTAAACAATAGAGGTGTCTTTGTATGAGAAATGACCCATTATTTAATGTTGAATGTTTGCAGTGGTTGGAGAGCATTATTGGATATAAGTATCTCCCTTAATATATTACCTATTTTATATGGACTTTAAAGAAACCAATGAGATTATAATATTAAATGTGCTACTGCCCACCTGTGCTGCCTACCTATTTAGTGACCTTTCCGTAAGCTACTTACAGTTACCTATAGAACAAACTGGGGGCTGGGGATGTACTGTGCTGGAAGCTTCATATACATTATTTGATTGCATCTTTCCAAAAACTCCACGCATGTAGGTACAACAACTGTTCTCATTTTATATATGAGGAAATTGAGACAGAGTGTCTCACCCTATGTCTCAGGCTAAATGAAATTTGGGATTTGCTGTCTTTTACCACAAATTCCAGCATGTTGTACAAAGTAGAGGGTTTAGTTTCACTTGTCCCAGATCATCCAAGGGATTTGCACATTTTTAGAATAACAAATTCTGGTGTGTTGCTTAAAACATAGAAAAAAACAGATTAACTTATGCATACTTCCTGCTAATGAAATGAGCTTGTACAACTGACAGCATGGCAAGGCACTGCAATTATGTGATCAAAGTCAGAAGAAAAAAATGGTGTCAGTGGAATTCTCCTATGGTGATGGATCTGTAAGACTGGTGGAGAATGATGTTGGAAAGGCGTAGAATTTGGAAGCTGGGAAGTCATGCCCTGAAGTTTCGAGAGATGGGTATAAGGTTAAGAAATCGTAGAAGCATTGGGAAAGGCTTCCAACAAAATGTAGAATAGCCTGGAAGGAGTTTGGGGAGAATTATTTCAGCTATGTCATCCTAAGAATTGTAAGCGTCCTATTTTTTAAGTATAAAAATACGTATTTTATCACAAGTAATATGTTAGTAACCATCTGATAGCTTTAACAATTAATAATCATTTGTATTCATTTGGCACCTTTCTTCCAAAGAGCTCAAAGCACTTTACATTTGTTATCTCATTAATTCCCAACACTGTCCCTGTGGGAAGGTAATAAGTATTTTAACATTTAAATGTTTATCTTTCAGAATTTCTCAAGCATACATTAATTATATTTCCAAAAATGTAAATGTTCATTAGTTTTATTTTACTGTTCCTCTGGCTTTAATGTGCATAACAAATTTGTGCAACTCTTTAAATGTACTAATCATGGTAAATCCCATCTGGAAAACCGTAAATGAAGTTGCCAAGATAATGTGAGGGTGGCAGCTGGGGGACGGGGGAAGCATTCGACTACACTTTTCTCGCTGGAAGAAGTTTGGATCAACCCATCGCAATGGGCTCTTCTGAATCTTCTCCACATATCATTCCTTCCAAGAGGTGTGCCACAGGAAGCTCAGGACTGCATCTAAGAGCTTGAAGCCGATAGAGCTACTATTTATACCATTGTTTTATTAATGACTTCATCAGTGGGGAACAGAAACTTGAGGCATGCTGTTAGGAATTACATCCCAAAGAGTCACAGAATAATAAGGGCCAGGAACTGGTCTCCCCAGCCCTCTCTGTCTCGGGCCTGGTCATACTTTCCTCAATTTTCTAAGTAGAAAAATGGCAGAGCATATAGTACCTGCTCCTCAGGGAAGCAGTCGAGATGAATTGGCCAATGTTGGGAGAGTGTTTCAAAGATGAAGCGTTCTATATAAATGTTTAAGTATTATTATTACATGGCTACTTCAAATGGAAGTTCTAACTTTGAAATGTGATTATACACTTTCCAAAAAAAAACCCTTCATAACTACATATATAGGTTTATTTTTCACTCTAACAGTCTAACTCATGGTTGTGAAACTTTATTGCAGTTGATGGAGGGCCTTGGCTTTTATTAGTTTTAAACTGCTGGTTTCTGGGGTATTTATGTAAATGAGGGAAAGACAACAAAACAGTAAATAATAAGCATGTCCCTGCTGTTTAAAAATCTGTTGGTGAAAACAACTTTTGTTATAAGAAGACCCTAAATATAGCACAGAAAAATATAGCTTTGCCATTAACATTTTGTTTCACTTTTACAATTGTCACCATATACATGTGCATCACCACACATGCACACACATACACACACACACACAGGCAGAAAGGAGAGAGAGAAGTGAGCAAAATGCTACATTTTAAGATTTTTTTATTTAACAAACTGTTATAAAGTATACCAGATGGCTAATTATAGCTCCCAGAAACAAAAGGCCACACCCAAGTTTACTGCAATCGCCTCATAAGGAATGTTAGGATGAAATCATGGTCCCATAAACTCGACAGCAAAACCGCAGACCCTCCATTGGTTGCGAAATAAACTCCAAATCAAAATTAAAATTTTGATTCATTTAAAGATTCATGCCACTTTGTTTCCCAGGAGAGGACACAAAATACTTTGCGATCATTGAAAAACTCAAAATGATTTAGGAACATGCTCTTTGTTTCCAGATTCCCTTTCCACGCTTTTCATTTTCTTGGGCTTTATTTTTCCAAGTTGAATATCTATAAACACATTGCTAAGCCAAAAAATTAGATCGTTTGCAACAATAGTGAAGAATCTAAAGGTCTAAATGTTCAATAATAGGGTATTGTTTTAAAAATATGAAATATCTACATTAAAGACTTCTATACAGCCATTCAAAAATCATGTTTCTACACCAACCATACAACCCAGCCATTCCACTCCTAGGTATTTGCCCAAGAGAAAAGAAAGCATATGTCCATACAAAGACTTGTACAGGAATGACCAAAGCAACTTGGTTTACAATACCCCAAGGCTGGAAACAACCCAAATGTCCATCAGCAGATGAGTGAATTAAAAAATACTGGGATATCCATAAAATGGAACACCATTGAGCAATGAAAAGAAATAAACTATTAATAAATCAACAGCATAGAAGAATCTCTATGTTGAATGAAAAAAATCAGACAAAAAACGTACATACCTATTTAACATTCTAGAACATAAAAACTATAGTTAAGTAGTAACCTGAGGATGGGAGATGGGGTGGGAATAGGGTGAGGAGGAGGAGGAGGAAGAAGATTACAAAGAGGCAGAAGGAAAATGCTGGGTGATGGGTATTTTCACTATACTGACATACAAATGATTTATTGGATATATATAGATGTCAAAACTTATCTTGTACACGTTAAATACTGTCAAAGATAAATAAGACTGGACACTAGTAAAAGTGGTAAGGACAGATTTTAATCAGTAATACACTATTGCAATAGGGAAAAGGGTCCAGTGTAAACTGAATTCAACTTCAATTTCTAGAGAGGTGACTGGGCATTGTAAGGGGAGAATGAGGGAATAGAAGAGGGGACAGTGGCTGCTCGGTAGAGTAGGGAAGTGAGAAATAAAAACCAGGAAGCAGGGTTGGTTCATGTGAAACTCATCTGGTTTTGCTAACTGACACAGAAGTTAGGCTCCTATCCTCCCACAGAGACTGGGAGACGGGGGCCCTAATTTAGGATTGGCTACAAGAAAGTATTCTTTTTGCAGCCTGGAGTTTTCTCAGGCAGGTATTTTAAGAGGGTGCTAGGGTCATCTTAGGCTTGCAGCCTTGAGCTATTAGAAACTATGTTAATGTTTGTTCAAGTCTTCATAGGCCAAGGTTAAGGCCTGGTCAAGAAGAGGGCTGGGAGGAGCCTGGCTGGAGTTTAGTCAAGGAGAGAATCTTTGTCAATATGTGCAGTTTATGAATGTCAATAATACCTCAAAAAGCTGTTTTTTAAAAATCGTGTATTAGGAGAATATGTTATAAGTGAAATTATATTCATTAAAATAAAATGTTATTACTAAATAAACATATTTTAAAATGTTTTCAATAGCATGAAAACTATTGTTTTTATTCTAAGCGTAATGCCCTTTGTCTAAATACTCTAGAATTCACATCCAGACCATGTCTTTGTTGCCATACCTAATCAACTCTGTGCCATACCACAGAGAATGCATAAAAGGGCAAATGCCTCCACTCACCTGCAAATATTTGGAAGGACAGAGTAGTGATTATGTGGCATCTGTAGGTATTCTAAATGGGTATGGAATATGTATGACATCTATTTCAGATTTAAATGTCTTAATGGGTTTTAGTTTCAGCTCTTTCCTTAATAAACAAATAATTTCTCTTCCTTAGTTCTCAGGTTTCTGATACATAAAATAGGAAAGAGGAACTGATATTTAAGCTTCCTTCCAGCTCTGATGTTCTACAATTCTATGCCACCGTCATCGATGTATATAAAAGAGACAGAATTGCTGTTGTTGTTGCTGTTGTTTAATTTCTTATTTTTTTAAGATGGAGTCTCACTCTATCACCCAGGCTGGAGTGCAGTGGCGTGAGCTCAGCTCACTGCAACCTCTGACTCCTGGGTTCATGTGATTCTTCTGCCTCAGCTTCCTGAGTAGCTGGGACTACAGGCGCCCACCACCACACCCAGCTAATTTTTCTATTTTTAGTAGAGATGGGGTTTCACCATGTTGGCCAGGCTGGTCTCAAACTCCTGAACTCAGGCGATCCACCCGCCTCGGCCTCCCAAAGTGCTGGGATCACAGGCAGGAGCCACCGCGCCCAGCCAAAATTTTATATATCATGCAAGGAGGTGGTTTCTTCTTCCAGCTTTCTTCCATTTATTGGAAACAATGGATGAAAATATTTTGAAAATACTTTGCCCCTTAAACGCCCCCATCTACTATCCAAAAGGCCTATGATTTTAAATGGTTGCAAAATATTGCATCATTTTAGAATAGTTCATTGCAACACATTTTTCTTATGGAAGGGAGCCATATGAAGCCAAGTATAACACGTCCTTTACACTGGGATCATGTCCTTCATTTTTTGGGTTTCATTCTTGGCACTGAGCTCTCAGTTATTGTTAATCAACAAAACTGATGGAAACACCTTATTTTGAAAGCATTTTTATTTGAACTGATGTCATGTATACCTTCTGCACTAGAAGATCTTGATGGAAAAAGATGAAATAGAAATGAGAATAAGAGGCTGGGCACAGTGGCTCACGCCTGCAATCCCAGCACCTTGGGAGGCCAAGGCGGGTGGATCACAAAGTCAGGAGTTCAAGACCAGCCTGGCCAACATGGTGAAACCCCGTCTCTACTAAAAATTCAAAAATTAGCTGGGCGTGGTGGCGGTCACCTGTAGCCCCAGCTACTCGGGAGGCTGTGGCAAGAGAATCGCTTGAACCCAGGAGGCAGAGGTTGCAGTGAGCCGAGACTGTGCCACTGCACTCCAGTCTGGGTGATAGAGCAAGACTCCATCTCAAAAAAAAAAAAAAAATTAAAAAAAGAAATGAGAATAAGAAACTTTAACTGGGCATTTTTGTCCCTGTACAAACCAGAGCATCTCTGGGTAGCTGCAGTGCTGTCTCTGAGCTTTAATATTTGCCTGTACCCAAAAAAAGATGGAAGATGCATTTCCTAATATTCCATCTTGCAATATAATCCCTGGTGAACTGCATACATTAGATATAATAAAATGGTGAAACTATTTCTACCTGACACCTTTAATCCCATCTTCTAAAGACATCCTAAAATGCCACCATGTTTCCTGGGCACCATCAACCAGCCGGCAGGCACAGCCTTTTTAGGAAGTATTCTGACATTCATGCAGCAAGGTCTGGACAAGGAGCTGAAAGCAAGATGATTCTATATCCCTCTACAAAGACCACACTTGTTATTATGACCAAAACTTATGTGTAAACACTTCTTTGAACTTCATCGCCAAGGCAGAAACCTCTCTGCTGCTTTTATTCTCACTACGGCTCATAAGATCTTGGCACTAACACATGAAAACAAAAACTTATAGATGACATAAGCTTTCAAAAATACTCATAAACATTCTTCTTAAGATGACTTTGTCTTTCAGGATGCCTGTAGAGTTTTTTATTTTTCTAATTATGGAAACGTACCCTCATTCCAGAAAACAAATAGTGTAACATAGCTTCTTCAAAAACATATAAAAAATAAAAAATTTAAAAAAAACTTTGTAAAACAGGAAAGCATAAGAAAAAAAAATTAAATCAATTTTTATTCCACCACCTGGAGATAACCACTGTCAAGGTTTTGGAGTGTATCTGCCATGATTCCTGCCTAGGTCCTCTGTGTTTGCCATTCCCTCTCCCTGGGACACTCTTCCCTCCGCAGCTTGCCTGGCTCACTCACTTGCTGCATTCTGGTCTCTGCCCAGCTCTCACCAGACCAGAGGGGCCTCCCTGACCACCCTCATAAAGTAGTAGCACCATTACTCTCTATTCTCTTACTCTGCTTTATTTTTCTTCAAAGCCAATTAACAATGTGTGGTATTATGTAATATCACATAATAGATATGTTACTTAATTATCTGTCTCACTCAACGGATTGTAAATGTAAAGATATATGTATGTTGGCCAGGTACAGTGGCTCACGCCTGTAATCCCGGCACTTTGGGAGGCCGAGGCAGGTGGATCACCTGAGGTCAGGAGTTCCAGACCAGCCTGGCCAACATGGAGAAACCCCATCTCTGCTAAAAATACAAAATTAGCTGGGTGTGGTGGTGCATGCCTGTAATCCCAGTTACTAGGGAGGCTGAGGCAGGAGGATCACTTGAATCTGGGAGGCAGAGGTTGCAGTGAGCCAAGATCACGCCACTGCACTCCAGCCTGGGAGACAGTGAGACTCCATCTCAAAAGAAAAAAACAAGTATGTATATAAACAAATGTACATATATAAACACACATATATACACGTACATATCTCCTAGAACATTCTCTCTCAGTAGTAACAGTTGCTTGCTTAATATATATTGCATTTATTCTTTTATCATTTTGAGTTTCTATTATATAGATTCTTTTTTCTTTGCATATATAAACTTAGAAATAGGATCATCCCAGACATATTGTACAGACTGTGTTTTTTACTTAGCAGTAAATTATCAAGATACACTGGAAATTCTTACCCAGTGAGATTTTAATAATGGCATAAAGGATGTTAAAAATTCCCTATTGTTAGACCGGTACATGGGCATTTTGATACATCCACCAGATATATATCATGTTAGCATCAACCAGTTAAGAAAGTTAATATTAATAACACATATTCATATGGTACTTTATAAAGTATTTTCATATCTTGTTTGATCCTACAATAAACTCAAGTAAACAGAGCAGAAACTCAGGTTAAATAATTTCCTTGAAATAATATAACTAGTGGTAGGGAGTCCAGACTCAAAGGTAGGTCTACCTGTCTCTTCACCATACCTCATAGTCCCTGGTTGAAGCCTTCATTTTATAGATAAGTGATCCATGCTTAGAGAAGGGGGAAGTGATGTGACCACAGTCACATGGCTTCTTCAAGAAAGAACAGAGATAAGAACCCAAGACTCCTGACTCCCTGTCCATAGCTCTTGCAACTACTCCGTCTCTCCACTGCATGCTGGCTCAATAAATTAGAATGAAATTCGTAACTTGCTGCACAGTTAAAATGGCGACCGATGCATGCTGTTATCCTTCTCTGAAGATTACTCAGTATATTTGCTTGGTGCTGCAAAGTGCCAACCTGATGACACTTGCAATCCTGAGCTTATTTGATGTGGTTGGGAAGCAAATGAGATTCCAGTGCCCCTGTTGCACATAGGTGCTCAATGAGCATTTCCTGCATGGTGGGGAAGTGCCCTATATTTGCAGTATTTGATCCAGTTTAACAGCAAGATCCCGTGATAAAATTAGCCTTGTAAAAGTTTTCACCCTAGTTCACACAAAAATAAGATTCTGTGATTATGACTAGCAATTTTTCATGAGTTGATTTATCTGAAGAAAACCTAAAAGGTTTTGAACCATTAAGCATTCGATTTAGGAAAAAACAAAAACAAAAAAAACTTCGTGTACAGAAGAATAAACTGAGAAATGAAACAGACTTGTTTCTTGTAATAATTATGAGCAATATCTGAAACTCAGCATCCTTAGACCATTGAGCTGTGTAGGATGAATGTGCTAATTAATCAATTACTACCCAACAATGTACCCTGTTTATTTACTGAAATGCACCAGAAACGTGCACAGAACTGGTAATTATTAATCATCTTCAGTAACAAATATGACTCAAGTTCACCTTCATATAATTAATAGAGCACGTAGTTAGCTTTAACATCTTGCTTTATTAGGAATAACGATGAGAAATAAAAAAAGAAGCTGAACCCCAAGTTGTGGTTCACGGAGATGCTGGCTTGGACTAATGTGCATATTATCCATAGCAGCAGCATTACTCATACCCACCCCAATTGCAGCCAGATGCTCTCTAAGTTAAAACCTAACTTTTAAAAACTAAACATTTTTGTTTGAATAAAATTTTAGGCTTATAGAAAAGTTGTAAAAACAGTCCAAAGAATCCACATATACGCTTTCCTCAGGTTCCCCAAATCAAACCCAAGTTTTAGAGTGTGATAATTTACTTACATTTGGGACCTTTGTTGGGGGTGTCCAAACTTATTAGCACATGGCTTTCCATTTTAAAGATAATCTAAAAGTACTTTTCAATATACATAGAAATAGTTGTTTTACATCAATTTTTAAAAGTAATCTAGTTTTGAAAGTCACTCTTTTGACCGGGTGCAGTGCCTCACGCCTGTAATCTCAGCACTTTGGGAGCCCCAGGCGGGTGGATTACCTCAGGTAAGGAGTTTGAGACCAGCCTGACCAACATGGTGAAACCCCATCTCTACTAAAAATATGTAAAAATACATAAATTAGCTGAGTGTGGTGGCACATGCCTGTAATCATCTACTCCAGAGGCTGACACAGGAGAACTGCTTGAACCTGGGAGGTGGAGGTTACAGTGAGCCGAAATTGTGCCATTGCACTCCAGCCTGGACAAGAGCGAAACTCCATCTCAAAAAAAAAAAAAAAAAAAAAAAAAAAAAAAGTCATTCTTTTTGAGTCATCATGCATGCCCCCAAATTTCCTTTCAGCCAGACAGATTTCTGGTTAAGAGGGTTGTATTTTGGGTCTAGAATGCTATTTCCTGAGTCTTTGTGTTCAAAGCATGGGTTTTTGAGTCCAGCTCTTACAGGTTCAAATCCCAGCTCCACCACCTGCCTGCTTTGTGACTGTGAATAACCACATCACCCTCTCCGACCTCTGACATTTCATTTCCTCAGCCTGAAAATGAAGAAAATGAAACTTTGCTTTGAGTGTTGTTTAAATGAGACAGTAGCTATAAAGCACCTAGAATAACATAAACACCCAGAAACTGGTAGATATCATTACATGGAGATTAATACCCTCTGTAGCTACTTTTTGCTTAAGAAACTGAAATGTGCACACACAAAGTGGTATTTCACACAATGGAAGCTGCAAAGGCAGGTTAACGTTTTTGAAAGTTTTCTCCTGAAAGAAAAAATTAGAGAAAGTCTAGTGTTATTGTGCAGTAAATTAAAAACCTCCACCATCTGAAAATACCAGTGGAACTTCACTTCAAAAACCTAAACTGACAAATCATAAATCAGCTGGTGGACTACTGTATTTCCATTATCACATGATTCAACGACTGTTTAAATGGAGGGCCCCCTTAGGGCATTTCAGTATTTGTTTATAGATCATTAACTACTTGACAGTGAGATGGGGTATGGGAGGGGGCAGAGACACTTAAACCTAAAGGGCTAAGAGCCACTGTCATTGAAGATCAGCAATGAAGCCAAAACGTTTTTAGGATTAGATGTGAAAATATTATTCATGTTACCAAAATGTCACATGCTTTTCATGAATGTATCTGTTGATAAAACAAGGCTCACTTTATGAAGATGGAATCATAACTACGACCCATGTGATAAGGTGAATTTATTTGGCTATGTTTTCAAATACTTCCACAATACTTCCCCCAACATATGAGGATTTGTGATATTGGAAACATGCCCATAAAATGGACTGTTACTATCAGCATATGTCATTATCAGGTTTTAAAAGTCACAAATATAGGCTGGGCAGGGTGGCCCACGCCCAAAATCTCAGCATCTTGGGAGGCAGGAGGATCGCTTGAGCCCAGGAGTTCAAGACTAGCATGGGCAACATATGGAAATTCCATCTCTATAAAAAATAAAAAACTTAGCTGGGTGTGGTGGCATGTGCCTGTAGTCCCATCTACTCAGGAGGCTGAGGTGGGAGGATCATCTGAGTCTAGGAGATTGAGGCTGCAGTGAGTTGAGATCGCGCCACTGAACTCCAGCCTGGGTGACAGAGCAAGACCCTAACTCGAAAAAGAAAAAAAAAAGTCATGAATATGTTTCCTTGCCTCCAGATTCCAGAGCATCAGCACTCACAGCAGGAGATGGGAGTATAACCATAATTGTTTCACTGCCTGATGTGCACAGCAAGGTAATACACCAAGACACCAGGGTGTAGCAGAGAAAGAATGAGATGGGAGGAAATCTCAAATTTGTCTCACCTAGGAGGTCGTGGCTGGGCTGGGTTTTTAAGGGTTTTAGGGCAGACCAAAGTGTGGAGAACATTGATTGGTCAAAGAGTGCAGGGCGAAGCCATGAGACAGAAAGATGAAGAAAGTGGATTCTCATGGTGATTCCGTTCCTCTGTGGAGGTTCAAACTGGTTGGTGTCAGCTGTTTCACTGGAATTTGAGATCTGAAAAACATCTTAAGCAATTCTTAAAGAAAAGCCTTACGATTCTGAAGTCAGAAATCCCATCTATGGGAACAGTGGGGATGCAAGTGGTCAGTACGTAGTGCTGTGTGACTTTCAGTCACAAGGAAGTGGGCCAAAGAGCAGCCTGATTAATGCTTAATTGTAGCTCTATTTCTGTCCAGAACTCTTGCTAAACCTAAGAGGACAGCTTCAGGAGTAGAACTGTTTCCTAACAAAAAGCACACTGAAAGCCAGGAGGACAGGATTTTTAGTCTTGATTCTGATATATGACCTTGGATACGTTTTTTACCTATTCTGTAGTTTAATTTCTCCAACGATCAAAATTAAAATTTTAGTTAAAACCACTGACCCTACATATTGTAATTTCCCTTCTCTGACATCTTTCAAATGTACTAATTGTATTCACTTTACCCACTTTCCCCCATACCCCTCATTTATTCAACAAGTAGAGTGCCTTCCATATGCCAAGTACTGTTTTAGGCGCTGGGATCACAAAAGTTAATAAAACAGACATAAATCCCTAGCCTTAGGAAGTCTACATTCCAGTGAAGACAGACACCGACAGTAGTTGAGATACAAGATGCTTTTGGATGAAGTCTGTACCCACTATGTTAACAGTGAAGTGCTTTACTAGAGTAATTCTTCTTGCCACTCTGTAACAGCAGCCCGAGCTGCCAGCCTGCTCCTTGGGGGTTTTCAGAACATCAATCAGTTCCACAGAAGGACTCAAGAAGATCTAGAAAAGAATACAGCAGCTCCTTCCTTTCCTAATGACTTCTGCCATAACTCAGTACTTCCATGAGGATAATTCTGCATAAAGCCAATGTATATTGTCTTTGCCAGGGCAACACAAGGATACAGGAGCGGAGCAGTGAGTGGCATTTGCCACTGGTGGGAGGGGGGAGAATTAATGAACATTCATCCAGCTGCAAGGGTCTCTCAAGCCATCTCTTCTGGTGCTGAGCATGGCTTAGAGGGCACTGAGCCATTAAGCAGATTTGGGTTTCTCGAAAACCCATGTCTGTGGCTCCTGTGAGTATCTGTTTTTAAGTTCTAAAGCATTCTGGAATATGAATGGGACAGCATCCTCTCCATGGTCCTTCTTTCCTGGAACCAAAGGTCCTTAGGCCTCAAAGTAGAAATTTAAAATAAAATCCTAAATGTAAACATTTCTATCTCTTTTTCATAGTTCCTTTATCTTTTACCAACATGCTGACATAGGCACCCAGTAACTGTCCTATACTTCTCCCTCTGGGAAAAGCAGTGAGTTGAATACTACATCCCCACTCTACTCTGTTTTAAATCACACTTAGAAATATATGAGTAAATCAGGATCTCACAGTAAGATCAGAAAAGCAACATGAGAATAACTATTCGGTACATGTACAGGATCAGATCTGGGTCAAGTCCACAGTGACATGTTCTCTGCACATACTTAATGAACGCTAACAATAGGATGTGTTAATATACAGTACTACCTGTAGAACTCATTTTCTGTTTCAAACTTTTTATTGAAGTGTAATATACCTATAGAAAAGTATACATATCAGCTGGGCGCCGCAACTCACGCCTGTAATCCCAACACATTGGGAGGCCGAGGTGGGAGGATCGCTTGAGCCCAGGAGTTCAAGATCAGCCTGCAAAACAAAGTGAGACCATGTCTCTACAAAAAATACAAAATACAAAAAATTAGCTGGGCATAGTGGTATGCGTCTGTAGTCCCAGCTACTTGGGAGGCTGAGCTGGGAGGAGCTCTTGAGCCTGGGAGGTAGAGGCTGCAGTGAGCCATGATCATGCCATGGCACTCCAGCCTGGGTGACACAGCAAAATCCTGCCTCAAAAGAGAAAAAGAGAAAAGAAGAGAAAAGAAAAGAAAAAGAAAGGAGGAAAGAAAGAGAAAGATACACATATCAAATGTGCACAGTTAAAATAATTTTCACAAAGTGAATACACTCATTCAACCAGGATCCAGATCAAGAAAGGATCAAGTCCTCATGTTCCTTCTAATCACGGGCTTCCCCCTAGCCCCACTCCGCTAAGGGTAACTAATCACTGTCTTGCCTTCTAACACTAACAGCATAGATGAGTTTTTGCCTGCTTTTACACCATATATAAATGAAACATAGTGAGACCCCCATCTCTACAAAAAAAATAAAAAAATAAAAATAGCTGAGCATGGTGGTGTGTGCCTGTAGTCCCAGCTACTCAGGAGTGTGAGGTAGGAGAATCTTAGAAGTTCCAGGCTGCAGTGAGCTATGATGGTGCCACTGCACGCCAGGGCGAACAGAATGAGACTCTGTCTCAAAACCATAAATAAATAAATAAATAAATAAATAAATAAATAAATAGGAAGAGACAGCAGAGCTCTCTCTCCACCATGCAAGGACAGACACAGTGAGAAAGCAGCCATGTACAAGCCAGGAAGAGAACCCTCATTAGGAACCCAATTGGCCAGCACCTTGATCTTGGACCTCCTAGCCTCCAGAACTGTGAGAAATAAATTTCTGTTAAGCTACCCAATCTGTGGTATTTTGTTATGGCAGCCCAAGCAGACAAATACCAATACAGACCTAGGTGTGTTATGCCTGGGTCATAAGGCACGCCTATATTCAGCTATTATATATATAGTACTACACTGTCAAAAATTTTTCCTAAATGGGGGCCAGCAATGTATAAGAGTTCCAATTATTCCAAACCCTAACCAACACTTAGTATTTTGTCTCTTCTACTTTAGCCATTCTAGTAGGTGTGTAATGGTATTGCATTGAGGTTTTTAATTTCTATTTCTCAGATAATTATTGAAATCAAGCACTTTTCACCTGTTTATTGGACCACTGATTATTCTCCTTTATAAAATGTCCATTAAAATATTTGTTCATTTTTCTATTGAATCGTCTTTTTCTTAATGATTTGTATGAGTGTGTTCTAGATACCCAAATGCTTTCTCAGATATATGTATTGCAAATACTTCTTCCACTCTAACAATTACCTTTTGATTCTCTTAATATGCCTTTTGATGAATAAAAAATTTTAATTTTAATATATCCCAATTTATCAATTTTATAAAATTCTTTTCTTTTTTTTTTTGAGATGGAGTTTCGCTCTTGCTGCCCAGACTGGAGTGCAATGGTGCAATCTCGGCTCACCGCAACCTCTGCCTCCTGGGTTCAAGCGATTCTCCTGCCTAAGCCTCCCGAGTAGCTGGGATTATGGGCATGTGCCACCACACCTGGCTAATCTTGTATTTTTAGTAGAGATGGGGTTTTTCCATGTTTGTCAGGCTGGTCTCAAATTCCCAACCTCAGGTGATCTGTCTGCCTCGGCCTCCCAAAGTGCTGGGATTACAGGCAAGAGCCACCACGCCCGGCCTAAAATTCATTTTTAATATGTTCTAAGCACCTACAATGTTCTACATGCCTTTAAAACAAAAACAGGAGTGCAAAGTCCCTTCTAGGAGCAGCATGAAGTATTTGTGCACATGCTAAATGCTGTACACAGTATCGGTCTTTATAATCATTTTAAGGGGTTCCTTCTAAGAGATATGCCATTTCTCTATGCTATGTGGAAAAACGTATTTAATGCTTTCTTAATTATAGGATACAATTTTTTTAAAAACATAGACTTAGTCTTTTGAGTGTCAACCTTCGCACACATCCCTAGGCCTCTTTGTTTCACAGCCATGAAGAATTGGAACTGAAAAGAAAATCAAGCATATGATCTGAGTTGCGGGTTGGTTTTTGTTGTTGTTTTGAGAAATTATCTTATTTCAATTATGGAAGTGGCACCATATAATCTTAAAGTCAGAAGAGATGTTATTTTCTCCATCTCTGTATCTTTAGGTAGGGGAATGTTTCATTCAAACACTCTTAAATATGGGGTGTGGCCCACCATTTTCGTCTCTCTTTGGGGGAACTTTCTACCTTAGAATAGAAAAGAAAGGGAGATAGTGAAAGAGCCTCAGGTTAAGAGAAACCCTCACTGCTGACGAGGTCTAGCCAAGAGAGCTGCTCCCAACAGAAGTCCTTCAGTTTGCTAGCCCTTTTCCCAAGCCTTCTTGATGTGAAAATGCAGTGAACATATGTAATATCTGGTTCTCTTTGTCAGTGGTTTTCATCTCATATGCCACAGAACCTAGGGTTTCTCAGACATACTTCAGGGGTTCTGCACATGTTCAATTCAAATGTCATGTTTTTTAAAAAAAGATTTTTATATTGCCAAAAGAGAGATAATGCCAAAATTTAACATATTGCAAACTGCCCACACATTAATTTTAGGTTAAGTCATTTCAGTGTAGATCTCATAATTAATCTCCTGCTGCCATTTTTGTAATTGAAGCACATGGCCAGATTTCAAGGTGCATAATTTAAAAATCACTCTTATTTGTATCTAATTCTCTGAAGAAATCGGAATTTTCTTGATAGTATACAACCAAAACAGAAGATGCAGAAATAAACTGGATACTGAGTCTGCTGTAACTGCAACTATGTTGAAGTTAAAATAAAGATATAGAGATTAATCTCTAAATTTAACAGCTTTCTGCGGAAAAAAATTGCAATTTGGTATATACACACAGACCAGGTGGTCTTCAATATGTCTGAAGAGCAAAGAGAAGGTTGGAGCTTTTATAAAACAGAAAAATGTTACATAGTGCTCTTTGAGAAAGTTCATTGGCACTAGTAAGGTTCTGAGGGGCTGGCAAGCTCCAATAGGTGAGGGATGGCAGTGGGAAGAATTAGTCCTAGAGTTGCAGCAAGTTATCTCAGCAGTTACAGATAAAACTGGTCTCAGGTCACAACAGGCAGTTTCAGCAGGGGGACTTGCAAAGAATCACATTTCTTTTTTTTTTTTTCTTTTTTTTTTTTGAGACGGAGTCTCGCTCTGTCGCCCAGGCTGGAGTGCAGTGGCGCGATCTCGGCTCACTGCAAGCTCCGCCTCCCGGGTTCACGCCATTCTCCTGCCTCAGCCTCCCGAGTAGCTGGGGCTACAGGCGCCCGCTACCACGCCCGGCTAATTTTTTGTATTTTTAGTAGAGACAGGGTTTCACCGTGTTAGCCAGGATGGTCTTGATCTCCTGACCTCGTGATCCGCCCGCCTCAGCCTCCCAAAGTGCTAGGATTACAGGCGTGAGTCACTGGACCCGGCCGAGAACTACATTTCTAAAGTAATGTCATATGTCCTGAGTGCTTTCTCCCCCTGGCTTTTCCACTGTTTTAGCTGGGGATAAGAACAACTCAATTCAAAGGATCCACTTTCACAACCACAACCCCCAGCTTCAACATTTTGCAAGCAACAGGATCAAGAGTCCTGTGGCAGTGGGGCCAGCAATGGCATGCTCGCCAGACTAGTTCCTGTTGGTCTTATCTATGTCTTTGCTGTTCGGACTCTCCTCGTTCCTTCCCATTTTCTGAGCCTGGTTCTCTAGACTTCTTGTTTACTATTTGGGCTACCTAATTTTCCTCCAATGAATCCCCTTTCTGCTCAAAACAAAAGAAAATCCAAGACAACAACACACTGAAGTTTCATTGTTTTGTTTTTTATCTATAAAGTTAATATAAAAAATTTGAACTTACAGTTGGACATGGTGGCTTCTGTAATCCCAACGACTCAAGAGGCTGAAGTGAGAGACTGGCTTGAGTTCTGGACCAGCTTAAGCAACATAGTGAGAACCCACGCCTAAAAAATAAGTAAAATAAAAAGTTAAAAAAAGTTTGAACTTATGCTTAGTAATAAAGCATAAGTTATTTTTGTTTTTTTTGTTTTTTTTTGAGACGGAGTCTCGCTCTGTCGCTCAGGCTGGAGTGCAGTGGCACGATCTCAGCTCACTGCAACCTCTGCCTCCTGGGTTTAAGTGATTCTCCTGCCTCAGCCTCCCGAGTAGCTGGGACTACAGGCATGTGCCACCACGCCCGGCTAATTTTTCTATTTTTAGCAGACACAGGGTTTCGCCATGTTGGCCAGGCTGGTCTCGGACTCCTGACCTCAGATGATCCACTGGCCTCGGCCTCCCAAAGTGCTGGGATTACAGGCGTGAGCCACCGTGCCCGGCCTAAAGCATAAGTTTTAACCAACTTTATATGTTGGGGACCTTCAACAGATTTCGTTTGAAAAAGGACTCCACTCTTTTTCAAAATTTAATTTGGTCAGGTGCAGAAGCTCACACCTGTAATCCCACCACTTTGGGAGGCCGAGGCGGGCGGATCACTTGAGCCCAAGTGTTCAAGACCAGCCTGGGCAACATGGCAAAATTCCACCTCTACAAAAAATACCAAAAAAAGCAGCCGAGTGTAGGTGGCACACACCTGCAGTCCCAGCTACTTGGGAGGCTGAGGGTGGGAGGATCTCTTGAGCCCAGGAGGCAGAAGTTGCAGTGAGCCGAGATCGAGCAGCTGCACTCCAGCCTAGACAACAGTGAGATCCTTTCTAAAAAAAAGAAAAGAAAAAGAAATTCTATAAAGTTCAAGTTCTATAAGGTAAAGTTCAACTTCAAATTCTGTAAGGTAAAGTTCAAGATTCGGCATATGTTGGTGGGTGCTCAATGTTCAATAAAAACTGGGGAATAGGCCTGGTGCAGTGGCTCACGCCTGTAATCCCAGCACTTTGGGAGGCCGAGGCAGGTGGATCACGAGGTCATGAGTTTGAGACCAGCCTGGCCAACATGGTGAAACCCCGTCTCTATTAAAAATACAAAAATTAGCCAGGCGTGGTGGTGCACGCCTGTAATCCCAGCCACTCGGGAGGCTGAGGCAGGAAAATCACTTGAACCTGGGAGGCAGAGGTTGCAGTGAGCTGAGATTGCACCACTGCACTCCAGCCTGGGCAACAGAGTGAGACTCCGTCTCAAAAAAACAAAACAAAACAAAACAAAAAACTGGGGAATATAAAATTTCGCCATACTATCCTACATCCCCCTTGAGTTTTTAGCAACGATAGTAATTGTTATATGATGCTTAACGCGTAATTACTGTACCTCATTTACATAAGGTGGTTTCAGACACATCATCTTGTTTATGTATGGCCTCTCCAAACAAAATGAGTTTAGGACAAAAGAGGAAATCCTTTTCTAAAAGCAGTTTTGTCCGTAAGTTACTGCCTCAAGAGGCCGCAAAGTTTGAGCAAAGCTTTTCCGAAAGTAATGGATTGGTAATGGGTGACTGAGGTCCACAAAGCTCGATAAGAGGCTCCTGGTCCGTCTACCAGGTTCTTAGAGGGAGGTGCCTTTGTGTGTTCGGACGCTGCACTGAGACACGTGAGGTTTTTAAATAAACTTTTGATTTTGAAATCTCTGGGACTAATTTTAAACAGTGAACCCGACAGCGAGGACCTACACACAAAAGTGCTCCCGGCCTTACCAAACAACGCAGACCCGGGGTCACGCCTCGTCCTGTTTCAACAACAACACCCAAGGGCTTCCCTGGAGCCCAGGGCGTGGGAGGGAGACTTGGGTTTGAGTTCTGCACCTTGCGGAGGTGGTTAGTTATTTAATTGTCTTCCACCTGAATTTTCCTCAGGCCCAAATTGATGAGACCTCCCCGAATCCCTCCCCTGCCCGAGTTACTAATGACGGCGTGAGGTCACACCTGGCCACTCAAAACCAGCTCCTTGACGCAGGTGACCCTCCGCCTCGCGCAGCTCACGCTTCCCATCCCCCGGACTCCACCCCCAGCGGGAGGCCACGGGGCCGCTGTGCGCACGCGCCGCCGCACACCGGGGGCTCTCGGGCACCCGCGCGGCGCCGGTTGGCCTTCCCGGCGCTCGCCCGGGGGCGCGCTTGCGCGCCAGCGGCTGCGGACACCAGCCTGCGTCCCCGGCGCGGCGGGCCATGGAGGCCCTGAGGAGGGCCCACGAGGTCGCGCTCCGCCTGCTGCTGTGTAGGCCGTGGGCCTCGCGCGCCGCCGCCCGCCCCAAGCCCAGCGCCTCGGAGGTGCTGACGCGGCATCTGCTGCAGCGGCGCCTGCCGCACTGGACCTCCTTCTGCGTGCCCTACAGCGCCGTCCGCAACGACCAGTTCGGCCTCTCGCACTTCAACTGGCCGGTGCAGGGCGCCAACTACCACGTCCTGCGCACCGGCTGCTTCCCCTTCATCAAGTACCACTGCTCCAAGGCTCCCTGGCAGGACCTGGCCCGGCAGAACCGCTTCTTCACGGCGCTCAAGGTCGTCAACCTCGGTGAGTGGCGACTGCCGCGCCCACGCGGTGAAGCCCGCCCGGCCGGGACGGCCCCTCAGCCACCGAGCACGTGACGAACGCTCGCAGGCCGGTAGAGTCCCGCGGGAGTCAGCTCTGCCTCCCGGCGCCGGCTTCGCCTGGGGTCCTTTGTACTCCTCGCCCAGGGGGTCCCCAGCTTGCTGAGCTCCTGGCACCCGAAGCCGTTCGCCTGCTGCGGGCGCGTCCTCGGGCCTAGGGAGGGGCGGGTCGCCCTCCTGTCCTGCCCATGTTAACCAGAGTAGACCCCTGGCCTGGGCAGTAAGCCAGGGGGCGTCAGGAAACGCCCCCTAGAAAGTGGCTCTGAAGTTGACATCCGTCCTACTGCATGGCAGGACTCATTCCCGTGAACATCACTTTGCAGCTGCGTTTATGTTGCAATAACTGGAACTACTCTTTTAAGTTTCTTTTGTTTTCTTTGTATGAATTCCCGGCAAGTTCGTTTTACTAAAAGCACCAAAGGTTTTCACCAGACATAACAGCTTCCTGAGGTGCTAGGCCTAAAAGATTTTTAAAGATCTTTAATATTTGTATATTTTCATGGAGACGCCCTGAGGATGTTTACTGTCACTAGGTGTTTATTTTCTTTTGGTTTAATGACAGAAGAGGGAGGTACGAACATGGACATGGGTGTATCTTTTATAGGTCAGGGGAAAACAGAAGGCCTCAAGATGTTTTGAACTTACTAATAGCTGGCATAAAATCAATCTAGATTTCAGTGATTCAAAATCTAGCCATGGAGCTGAATGAACCATGTTACCCAGCCAGGTTTTTAAAGCCAGGATTAAAACTAAACCCTGCGCAGCCGTACTACTAATACTATTACATAATCTGATCGTCCATTAAGGTTAAAAATAGTCTGTGTATTTGTGCTTATAATAACACATATGTCAGTCGTGGGCTTTTTGAGCCGTTACTCCACTGGACTGTCCTGTAAGGAGATAATTGTTTAGCAACGTGTTATCCTTTAAAAATGCCTCTTATTATTTGGCTGATGGACTGTATAGAGCATGCCCACTACTTTGGAGGTTGGTTGAAGTTGAAGGGTGAGGTGACTTAGGAAATTCAATTCGAAATTATTTGGAAAGACTGGAGTGTTAACTAGATTCGAGAAGTATAAGTTTATTTTAGCATTTTTCATAAGTAAGAAATCATTCTTCCCTAAAGAATAATAGGTTAGGAAAAGCATAACGGGAGAGTTATAGGTAAACCATGAGCCAAATGCCTTTTTTTCCTTTAAAGTCACATTTTTAGTGTTGACATTTTGTTTAAGAGCACCTTAATGATTAGGGGCCTCTCTTTTAGATTTAGAGATTAAGACATCCAAAAAAAGTGGATACTCAGAACATTCCACACATAGAAAAGTAAAACCTTTTAAAGTTGAAAGAAACAACAGTTGTAGTGTTTTTTGTTTTGTTTTGTTTATTAATGTGGGAGAGTGATTTAATGGTCTGTATGGTCTTTTGGACATTCTAAAAATCCTGCTAAAATGGGAGTAAGAGTTCTAAGTTAAGCAAAAAGGACAACTTTTTGCTCATGCATGCTTTAATACAAATTGGGATATACTGATAAAGGGAATTAAAAAATATTTTAAAGTGGTGAACACATCTGGTAACGTTTATTTTTAATTTTTGTCTGAAGGTAGAGGGGATGTGAATTAGATAATAGGTCCTTTCCTATTCTGTGAGGTACAATCGTCTCTCTGGGTGATAAAGTACATATCCTATTAATATTATACTTAGGATTTTGTTCCTCTTCTTCCCTTCCAAATTCATTTTTCCATTTTGTAAATAATAAAGATTTCTGTTTACCCATTTGCTCCTTTTCTCCTCCGTCTTCCCTTCAATGGAAGCTGACATTTTACTGATGGTTTACCAGTCTAGGTATCCTGCTGAGAAGTAGATTGAGATTTAAGAAAAGCAACTTACCATTGGAATGAATGAGATTTACTGAGGAATTCTAATTTTTTAAAGTGCTTAATTTGACAGTGGTTTACCTACTGTTCAGCTGACTCAAAGTGAATTATTATGCAAAGAACTGATTTGGAGGTTCTTTTGATGTTACATGTTTCAGATATAAATTTAATTTTTCAGAAAAAATTGAATTTTTCATAGAATCTTATAGACTTCAAAGCATGTGTGCTACAAAGATTTTGTAATATATAAGTTATATAGGTGGCAAACCTTCCCATTTTGAGTATTAGTCTGACTGCATTAAATAAACAGACAGCAAGGGGAAAAAAATACAGAATTTCTGACTCAGATCATAACTCCATCTCCTGTCAAACAGCATCACTGCTAATGGTTGCTGGTTATTTTTTAATAAGACATAATATAGTTATTAAGCTAGTAATCTTTGATCAGCCCTTGATTTTAGCTGAAAATATATTGACCGTTTATTTCTGTATTTGTGATTTTTCAAAAGTATGAATTTTTTAAATCAATATGTTAACTGAAAACTATGATAAATACTATAAAAGAAAATTGTCAGTGTCACCAGGTATTCCTTAAATTTATATACTTAGCCTTGGTTTAAGAGGCCTATTTTATGTATTTTAGTCTCAGTATGCTTAGAAAATTAGTAATTGCTTCTAGAGCCTATTTTTTTTCTTCCTCACTCCATTGATTTTCAGCTTTGAAGTTGTGATATTGCATTTTAAATTTATTTTTTATTTCAACTACTCCCTATACTTCACTCTCATTTCTGCCTAGCTTGTTCATATTCTTCTTTTTCTACCTCCCACCCCTGAGCCACTTGCCTTTTTTTTTCTTTGTGGTTAAATGATTTATAAGTAGCTTTATTATTCTAGTTTTTGTGGATTTTTTTATGACATTCCCTTGAGGTATTCAGAGATTCTTTTGGACATTATCAGGGCAAAGAAGGTGATACACTATAAAAGGTTTCATGGGAGTTCCAGGGAACCCTGTGATGGTGACAAACTGTGACCCAGTATATTCCTAAAAATAGAGAGATGCCAGCCTGAATGGGCATTTTTTTCCCCTTCTCATTACCAGCTAGTGATGTGATGCTTCTCCTGATTAATCTCTGGCATCACAGTGGCTGGAATGAAGCTTCAGGGAGTAAGCACAAAGTGGTTCAGCAAACACACTCAAAAAGAGCTTAACACAGCAAATATATTCTTGCAGAAAAATAAGACCAAAATTTAGCAATATGATTAGTCCAGAGCATGTGTTGCTTTTTTGTTTGTTTTTTTTTTTTTTTTTTGAGATGGAGTCTCCCTCTGTCGCCAGGCTGGAGTGCAGTGGTGTGATCTCGGCTCAGTGCAACCTCTGCCTCCTGGGCTCAAGCAATTCTCCTGCCTCAGCCTCCTGAGTGGCTGGGATTATAGGCATGCGCCATCACGCCCAGCTAATTTTGTATTTTTTGTAGAGACGGGGTTTCTCCATGTTGGTCAGGCTGGTCTCGAACTCCCAACCTCAGGTGATCCGCCTGCTTCGGCCTCCCAAAGTGCTGGGATTACAGGCGTGAGCCACAGTGCCCAGCCGCGTTCTTTATTACTAGAAAGAAAGTGATTTTCCAAATGTACAGCTATCCTTTTAAAGTGTCACTTTCTGCCCATTTCCCACATAAGAGCATAAAATTAATGCTTGTCCAGAGCATACAGTATTTGTTATTGATTCATGTGCCTATGGTTTTATTACATATGTTTTTAATATGTTAGTAGTCATTAATTTTAAATAAGTACCTTTAAAAAGATAGGAATTGTGAAAGTTTGTTTTGTGCCAACAGTCTTATATGCATGTGAGTGCTTAATACATATCTCTGGATAGTGTGTTTAGTTTCATGTATCACAAATGGCAACTAATCTCAAAGCAGCAAAATCTTATCAATTCCAAAGAAGAAACACATGTTGGAGTCTACTATATATCTATTTCAAATTGGTTGAAATGAGGTTGTTTTCAGATCAATTGAAAAAATGCTAATAATAGTTTTTTTTCTCATGCCTGTTGTACTGAAATCTTACTTGGAGTTAGGTTTTGCTTTAGATTTTAAAGACAGCTCTTTGACCGAGCTTCTTTTAAGTTGTACAAAAATTACTTCAACCATTAGTGTTACTACTAACTTAAAGAACAGTAATGTTGGCCGGGCGCGGTGGCTCACACCTGTAATCCCAGCACTTTCGGAGGCCTAGGCCCAGGATCACAAGGTCAAGAGATCGAGACCATCCTGGCCAACATGGTGAAACCCCATCTCTACTAAAAAAGTACAAAAATTATCTGAGCGTGGTGGCGCGCGCCTGTAGTCCCAGCTACTCAGGAGGCTGAGGCAGGAGAATCGCTTGAACCCAGGAGGCGGAGGTGGCAGCGAGCCGAGATCGCGCCACTGCACTCCAACCTGCCAACAGAGTGAGACTCCATCTCACAAACAAACAAACAAACAGTAGTGTTAACTTAGTAATTTTAGCTCAAGGCTAATAATCAGGAGCGTCTACAACTAAATTAATGAGTATTCTTCTCCATTTTCTTATTTATGAAAAGAATATAGCATTACTTCATGATTATTTGAGGGTAATGAATTTATGAAGTACTCGAATTAACATTTATACCCGCCTTGTCTATAGTATGAAAACCTCTGGACTCACGTGATTGCCATCATGTGCCACGTTGATGAAATTGAGCTCTTAGATAATCAGAGTCAATGTTGATTAATATTTTTATATTTTATCACATTGTAATTTGTTAACATTGCTGAAGAGTGTTATACGTGATCAGTAACTTGCATGATTAATAAGCATTGATGTTTATACATATTCGTTTGTTTTCTAGGTATTCCAACTTTATTATATGGACTTGGCTCCTGGTTATTTGCCAGAGTCACAGAGACTGTGCATACCAGTTATGGACCCATAACAGTTTATTTTCTCAATAAAGAAGATGAAGGTGCCATGTATTGAAAGTGTGCGTCAAAGAACATAAATATCAGTGGATTTTCTCTGTGTATATGTGCAGTATTTATTTTTGATCCTTTAAAATAAAACTTTTGCAAATACTTTTTTCTTTCTACAGTATCTGCTTCTTTAAGATGAATCATTGCCCTCAAGAGGTGAAGCTTTTTATACATCGTTATATATTACATACTCTGTTTAGCTGATGTGAACTACAAACACATGAAGCTTCACACCATTTTTTCCCTAGAACTAGGTTAACCTACAGATAAAAAATGATTACAATGTAATAGATTCTATAGTTAATTAACAATTTAAATCAACTCTGAAGAGAAAATATAGATGCCCACACAAAAGAGAAGGGGGGAAAATCTTTTATGTAACAATGGAAAAAGAAGTAGAAGACATTAGGATGTATGATGGAAATATTACATCATTGGCAAATCCAAAATTGATGAGAATCTAATTGTAATCTCAAGTCTAAACCATTCAGCTGCCAGGATTGTAAATAGAAACGTTTTAAAGGCCTTGTGCCATTTACCTGGAGGAGGGGTTGGAGTGTAATGTTGAAACTTCTTGTTGCTTAAAGAGTCCAAAACCATATCGTTTGTAAAATGTAATAATAACTGGTTAATATAAGTGTAGCAAGGTGAATGAAACTCAGACTTATTAAAAGTTAAAACAGCTTTCCTATAAAGCTGTAAGAACAATTAAGATCTTCTAGAAAGATGCAGAAAAATAAATTTGGTAACTGTTTATAAAAGCAATTAACTGAAATGGTACATATCCATAGACTTATTGGCAATAAGGAGTGGGCTGAAATTTTAAAGACCTAATGGCACTTTTGCATTTGAATTTTATTAACTTAATTGCATTTTTGAAAGCCAAGTCATTTAAAAAAATGTATCCTTGGGGTAGTCACAAAATACCCAGATGAATGGTAAATTTCAGACATTTGGAGTAATTTAGGGAGAACTAAGTAGAACTATTTAATTTCTAAACCAATGGGTGTTTAAGATTTATGATCTCTCCCATAATTACAAACATACATTATATATCATTTTATGTTAATGTGTTGCTGATACTCTGCAACACTTACACATTTTTGTAGCAAAACATTTTATAAAATTCAACATTTGGATGCTTATGTCAAGTCAGTAGAGAAAGTGAGTGGAAGTGACTGAGGTGAAGGCACCAGAATAATGAAGTAATACAAACTAGCTTCGTTAAAGGTAGTCATTTTAAATGATCTACAGAGTGAACTGTTCTTCAAATATATGTGGTGTTCACTTGTCTAAAAGCAATTCTAAGTAACACTTTAATCAAAGAAGTACTTATGCCAATATATTTAGTCCAGAAGAATATACTTGACACTAGTTAAATGAATGGCTTACACAAAGGAGATAGTGTTACATTAAGCTTCATTAATAATAAAACAACTGGCTATTAGCATTTTGCAGGGAAGGCTAGAACTGATTTCCTCTGTAATGGGCAAAGTTAAATAACTATAGCTCATAAGTTTTAAGTCAAATACTGCTCATTCATTGCTGCTGGTCTTGTCAATAGTGGCTGTAAAGGTTTGGTCCCAACACAAGGCTGATAAAATGGTCTTTAATTACCAGACTATAAATACAGCTTTTCAGTAGAGTTGCACCTCTTTTCACACTGGCCTGTTTGATTTCTGATAATTTGTACTGCTGACTCTGCTTACCTGTTTTTCAATAGCTATAGTCAGTGTGACTTCTTGCCCATATGTGATAGGTAAGTGTCCTTGGAGAACATCTTTGACAAACTACCCTATTGATCTCTGTAATTCTCTGCTGCTTGCAGCATTAAACAGGGCCTTGATTTCTTGTCTGATGTGCTCACTGTATAACAAGTAAATGTAATATTTTCTTGTATTACATGAAAATCAATAGACCTCTTGCTCTTACGGAGTTGATCATGGTGAAGGATGAACTAACTCAACAATGGGTAAAGGCGTGGTTTAAAAATTTAAATATCATTCATTGGATTTATTAAGTCTTGTAAACTTGTAGTCTGAAAACAATACTTCCCATTGAACAGCAATGGTTTAAGTTTTTTCTTTAAAGCTGCATATTACACCAAAGTATTATGGCCTGAAAGGGAGAAAGTATAAATGTGTAAGTCAGGAGACTGAGTCTATTTTTAGTATTGGTGCTGTCTTACTTTTTGACCTCAGGCTAATAACTCTCCTCCTTTGTGTCTTGGTTTTTCCACCTGTAATCTGAGAAGAACGAAACAAGAGACATTTCTACCCGAAAATGTACATCAATTTTACTTTTGTCTCTGCAAAAGCTCTGTTTTTATAATCCACATTCTTCTGCTCCATTATACTTAAAGGACTTCATTAATTAAAAAATTTCAAAAATAAGGTGATGGAGAAAGAAGGAGAGATGCATTGATAGCACATGCCCACTAACCCTGAAGTGGCATGTGGGGAGCTGAAGAGGCCCTTCTCTTCTGCATATCAGTAGTTTTCTTAATTGGTGAAACCACTGATTAGCTTTTCTGTCATATTTCTTTGACAGGATTTTTATCTTTAATCCAACCAAAACTGTTTTAATAAAGGTGTACTTTTAGTACAAAACCTTGCATCTCTTCTATTGTTATTTCTATACAAATGAATTATCACGTATTGGAATAAATTTCTAGGCAAATTCCTAGGCAAAATTCTTAGTTCCTGTGTAAGTTGTGAGCCACTATAAAGATGCAGTAACCTATTTGGGAGCGTGAGAGAGGCTGCTAATACAAAAATCTCTATTTTCTTAGTGTTGATGTCCTAAAATGCCAAATTGTAGAAACAGTTATAGTTTACCACACATTTTGGGGCATTAATATTTTTCTAACGTTGACTTCCGTAAAAATTCAAACTTTTCTTTTTGAGAAGGAGTTTCAGTCTTGTTGTCTAGGCTGGAGTGCAATGGTGCGACCTTGGCTCACTGCAACCTCCACCTCCCAGGTCCAAGCGATTCTCCTGTCTCAGCCTCCTGAGTAGCTGGGATTACAGGTATGCACCACCACGCCGGCTAATTTTGTATTTTCTGTACAGACGGTTTCACCATGTTGGTCAGGCTGGTCTTGAACTCCTGATCTCAGGTGATCTGCCGGCCTCGGCCTCCCAAAGTGCTGGGATTACAGGCATGAGCCACCAGGCCTAGCTGAAACATTTGTAATTATTAAAACCGTGTATCTTTTAAAGTACATTTTACTTCATGTCATTTATATTCACCCAAAACTGTAAGCATAGAACATCTATAGTTCTTCATGAAATATCTTTTAACTCTGTTAAAGAATGATGTTTGAATAAGTGGGATGACATAAAAGGCAAAGATCTTGGTTTCACTGCACTGAAAAGCTAATGCAGATAACAGAAACCTTATCCTAAAGCTAGTGGATTAAGTATCTACTGTTACTCAAACAATAATGACATTTGGGGGCATCTTAACCTAAACAAGTACTTAGCATTACATCTCACCTGGGTCAACAGTCTAGAGTATCAGAGTTAAACTCTGTTACTGTAAATTAATGGAAAATGTAACTGCACTTTGCTGAAAGATCAATGTCCAATAAAGGCTGCACGATCAAATCTTGTTGCAATGATTGAGGTCTTTAATCGCCTTTCAAAGATAAGGTGGTAATCAACACAGCTTTAACTGATCTTTTTTACTAGTTCAATTACATGCTAATGACTAGTGCCAAGTCAGAATCTTTAACTACGTATTAAATCTTATGTTAGTAATGAAAAATTACTTAAGCTACACAATCAATAGAACACAAATCTTAATTACTATATTTCACTTTCATATCATTTTCTGTACTTGACAAATGTTTCACCAGGGCTTTCCCAACAATAAGAAGTGTTATTAGTAGTGACCACAGTCCACAGAGTAGTTTTCTAATACAAATTGGAGATCAGATGTGGAATTTTTTTCTCTTTTAATGAAAATGTGGCTAAAACAGTTTCCACAAACACAAGCTTGGCCATTAAAAAAAAAAAAAAAAGGTGGCCGGTCGTGGTGGCTCATGCCTGTAATCCCAGCACTTTCGGAGGCCAAGGTGGGCAGATCATGAGGTTAGGAGATTGAGACCATCCTGGCTAACACGGTGAAACCCCGTCTCTACTAAAAATAAAAAATAAAAAAATTAGCCGGGCATGGTGGCAGGCACCTGTAGTCCCAGCTACTCAGGAGGCTGAGGCAGGAGAATGGCGTGAACTTGGAAGGCGGAGCTTGCAGTGAGCTGCGATCGCGCCACTGCACTCCAGCCTGGGCAATAGAGCGAGACTCTGTCTCAAAAAAAAAAAAAAAAGGCAAAACCACAATTACTTTTGCACCAACCTACAATATTTCAGAAAAGGATAAAGGCAGATGACAAAAGAAAAAATAGACAAATACAACTTCATCAAAATGTAAAATGTTTGTTCTTCAAAGGTCTCTATTAAGAAAATGAAAGACAACCCACAGAATGGGAGAAAATATGTACAAATCATGTATCTGATAAGGGACTTATATCCAGAATATATAAATAACTCTTAAAGCTCAACAACCCAATTGAAAATTTGATTTGAACACATATTTCTCCAAGAAGATATATAAATGGCTAACAAGCACATGAAAAGATGTTCAACTAATCATTAGGAAAATGCAAAGCAAACCCACAACGAGATACCACTTCATATCCACTAGGATGACTGTGATCAAAAAGACAATAGTAAGTGTGGATGAGAATGTGGAGAAAGTGAAAAACTCCTGCATGGCTGGAGGAAATGTAAATTGGTGCAGCTGCTTTGGAAAAGTTTGGCAGCTGCTCAAAATATTAAATACGGAATTACTATATGACCCAGCAATTCTGCTCCTAGGTATAGACCCTAGGGAACTGAAAACATATGTCCACACAAAAACTTGTACATGATTGTTCATATCAGCATTATTCATACTAGCAAAAAGTGGAAACAAAAATATTCATCAGTTGATGAACAGATAACGTAGCACAGTGACACAATGGAATATTACTCATTCAAAAAAGGGATGAAATACTGATACAAGCTATAGCAATGATGAAGCTTAAAAATATTACACTAAGTGAAATAAGCCAGTCATAAAAGATCTCATAAAATTCCATTTATATGAAGTGTTCAGAATAGGCAAATCTACAGAGACAGAAAGTAGATTAGTGGTTGCCTAGGGCTGAAGAGGTTGGGGAGAAATGGGGAGTCACCACTAAGGGGCATGGAGTTTCTTTTGCTGCTGATGAAACTGTTCTAAAATTGATTGTGATATGGTTGCCCAATTCTGATTGTGATATGGTTGCCCAATTCTGATATCGTTGCCCAATTCTGACTATATGCAAACCACTGAATTGTACACTTTAAATGAAAGAAGTGTATGGCATGGGAATTATATCTTAATAAGGCTGTTAAGATTATTAAAGAGAAGAGGACAGGCTGGGCACAGTTGCTCACACCTGTAATCCCAACACTTTGGGAGGCTGAGGGGGGTGGATCGCCTGAGGTTAGGAGTTTGAGACCAGCCTGGCTAACATGGTGAAACCCTATTTCTACTAAAAATACAAAAAATTAGCCGGGCGTGGTGGCACATGCCTGTAATCCCAGCTACTCTGGAGGCTGAGGCAGGAGAATCACTTGAACCTGGGAGCCAGAGGTTTCAGTGAGCCGAGATCATGCCATTGCACTCCAGCTTGGGCAACAACAGTGAAACTCCATCTCAAAAAAAAAAAAAAAAAAGAAAGAAAGAAGAGGACAATGCACAATTAGTGTTTAATTGGTACAGAGTTTGGGTTCTGCAATATGCAAAACGTTCTGTAGATGGATGGTATTGACGGTTGTAGAATAACATCAATGTACATACAACCACTGAATGGTACAGTTAATGGGAGGTTGAGGCAGGAGTATCACTTGTGCCCAAGAGTTCAAAGGCTGCAATGTGGCATGATTGTGCCTGTTAACAGCCACTGCACTCCAGCCTGGGCAACACAGCAAGACCTTGTCTCTAAAAAGAAGAAAAAAAAAAGGTTAAGATAGTAAATATTAGTATTTTACCACAATTAAAAACAATTTTTAAAAATTAGTAAAGGATTCGATGTGAGTATGATAAAATATGACTGCAGGAGGTTAAAAAATATTAGAGATTAAAATAGTTAAAGCAATGTTGACATTTTGTATGTTGCAGTCTTAGAATTTAAAAAATTTTAATTTTGAAACCTAGTTTTATGAAATTTCATTTGGGATCATTTTTAGTAGCATTATGAAAAGGATACATTTGGTTCAAGATTATTTCAGATAAGACCAACGTAAGGCACGTAAAGTGTTAGTAAATGAAAATATCCTTTCTTAGATCCTAGTTGCTGGATAAAGAATATCAGCTACTACTAGTAAGTGGTTTTATGTAGTATTGCTTATGGCTATTTTAGTTGCACTTATATCATTTTAAATACAGTTTATGAACATTGTACTACTCCATTATATTATTAATTTATCTTCGATGATATTTATAGTATCAATTTAAAAGCTGTAAAACTTCATGAAAAGTAGCTTAAACAAGGATTTTGATAAACAAAAGCTTTCAGTTTTAAAAGCAAATCATGGAAACAACTTCTTAAAGAAGATTTGAAGTTTTTGTTGTTGCTGTTGATAGAATTATGAACCTTATAAACTCAGTATTTTTTAGTTAACCTAAATACATAAATCTATTTGAATTCATCTTATGAAAAGAGATATGTCACTAGATATATGATCATTATATGCTTTAGTGATTCATGGACCTTGTTACATCCATGCTTTGTAATGTATGAATTATTTAGCAAGAAAAATCACAATAATTTTGTTGTTACTCAAAAATTTATGGGTTAGCAGAAACAATTACGCAGCCCCTGAAGCTGGTATGTTAAGGTAACATCATTAACACTACGTAGTATAATTTTTTTAGTACTTATTTGACATAACCTTTACTGCTTCTGCAAGAATATATCAGTAATTTTATAACAATCTGTCTGTAAACAGAACATTGAATTTATTAACCACAAAGTGATTCATTTTACTCTATTTTCATATTAGTTCATAATTTAAAATCAGACTTAAAAAGTTGTCTACTCAAACCCTAACGGAAGAATAAAAATATACAAAATAAAAAATTAATACTCTAGCAAATAGATATAAATGTAAAACTCCACTTAAAGTGGATATTTTTATTTCAGAAGATATAGATGTGTAAGAACGAGATGAAAATAGATACCTTTGTTACCTTTTTACACATTGTATCAAGACCCTTGCTATGAGATGACCACCAAAATTTTAGTTTCTTATGTTTTCAAATCTCTAAATTTACAAAATGAAGGAAGCAAGAATTTGAAAGTTTGAATAAAAATCTAGTGTCACTTAATTTTAGATCACATTTCAAAATCAACAGTCATTTATTCATCCAAGAAATACTTTTGCCTTGACGGTGTTGAAGGCACTTGTCAATGTTCCCTTGACAGTGTGGAAATCCTAGTAACTTTCCCTGCCAACAAAATCTAGCAGTTCTAAATCTATTTACAGAGTCCATTCAAGCCATACTGAAAAGACTGCTGTCCACAACTGGGTGAGAAACATGTGTTATGAAGTTTTCTTTCCAGCACTTGTCATATAATAAAGGCTCAATGTTTAATAAATATGTGATGATTCAAAATTAAAAGGAAAACTTGCCTTTGTTTTTAATAGCTTTTTAGAAAACAGGATACTTTAATTGGAGATCATATGGATTCTTTACAAGAACAGCAATAAGTTTTGAAATATTATCTCAGATGTAATGAATTAACTATGTATGCTGAAAGATAAGAGATTGTAATCTTGTTGAATTTCCTTTTGAGGTATTTCAAATGGTGCCACCTGTTTTCTCATACAATAATTTTGCTATTTTAAAATCAAATTTAGAATGATGTGTAGAAGTAAATGAAGTGAAACATGAAACAGAAAGTCCTAGAATCAGTTAGACTTACTCTTTTAAAACAGAACTAGAAGTAATGTGTTAGTAACTAGAAGACAAAAAGAGTGTTTTAATCCTCAGAAAATGGAATGGGTTACCTCCTGAGACAGTGAGTCTTCTGTTGTTGGAGCTGTTCAGAAGCTACATGTCAATTCCTTAGTGAGATGGGTAGGGGGCGGGTAAAATTCTTGAATGGGAAGGGGATTAGATTGGTGATTTTTTAAGTCCACTTTAACTCAGAAATTTTATAATCATTGCTGCATGTCTATGTCTGGTTCCCAACCATGCTATTTAGTTTGGTACTTACCGCTTTTCCAGTATATGTGGAATACAAAGAACCCTGCTTTGAAGAGAAAAGATATGGTTTCAGTTCTTGCTCTACCACTGCTGGTAGAGTAACTTTGAGAAAACTTAGAGCTTTCTAAGTCTTAATGTCTTCATATATACAATAAGAAATGTATCTAACACTTACACAGCATTTACTTGTGCCAGGTCCTCATCTAAGGACCTGGCACATATGAACTCACTTAATCCTCTCATAACGACCCCATGAATTAGGTACGGTTTTTATGTTTATTTTTCAGTTGTGGAAACCAAAGGGTCTTGCCCAAGGCCACGCATGGTAAGTGTTCTTCCCATCTGTCTACAGAGTCCACATTCTCAGCCTCTCCTCTACACTTGTCGTAAGATGCACAAGATAATTTTGTCAGACAATGGATGCGGAAGTGCTTTGTTATTATGATTAGGACTACATATAAAGAAAGTAATATAGATAAGTTTAAACAACAAGAAGAGAGAAAAAATAAAGTTTAAGTGATTTGTAGGAACACCAGTCTACTCTACTGAAAGAAAAACGTGCGGCCGGGCGCAGTGGCTCACGCCTGTAATCCCAACACTTTGGGAGGCCGAGGTGGGCGGATTACGAGGTTAGGAGATCGAGACCATCCTGGCTAACACGGTGAAACCCCGTCTCTACTAAAAAATACAAAAAAATTAGCTGGGCATGGTGGTGACGGGCGCCTGTAGTCCCAGCTACTTGGGAGGCTGAGGCAGGAGAATGGCGTGAACCCGGGAGGCAGAGCTTGCAGTGAGCCTAGATCCCGCCACTGCACGCCAGCCTGGGCGACAGAGCAAGACTCCATCTCAAAAAAAAAAAAAAAGAAGAAGAAGAAAGAAAAATGTGTTATGTAGAAATTATGTCTAATAAAATTTTAAATTAATAAATTAATTCATTTTCGAGTATTTAAAATCCACAGGCTTAGCATATAGTGGTGGTCCATGAATGACCTGTGGAACTGTAATTTCTGCCTCTGTGTGAGTGTACTTTCATTTCCATTCCTGCCGAAACAGAACAGGGCAACTCTCCTGTTACACTTTTGGGAGTTTGTGTTCATTTTTTGTCTGTCTCTTCATAGCCTTTAAAAAAAATTAAAAGGGCTGGGGGCAGTGGCTGACTCCTGTAATCCCAGCACTTTGGGAGGCCGAGGCAGGCAGATCACTTGAAGTCAGGAGTTCCAGACCAGCCTGGCCAATATGGTAAAAACCCATCTCTACTAAAAATACAAAAATTAGCCAGACGTGATGGTGTATGCCTGTAATCCCAGCTACTCAGGAGGCTGAGGCACAAGAATCACTTGAACCTGTGAGCCGGAGGTTGCAGTGAGCGGAGATTGTGCCACTGCATTCCATCTTGGATGACAGAGTGAGACTCCATCTCAAAATTAATAGATATCACGCAACATGAGAATAATTATGTTTATTGTTTTGTTATTGCTATTATACATTATTTTTTCAATCAAAATTTCAAAGACATTGCTGGTGTGTAGAAGGGCAACTTTTTTTTTTTTTGAGACAGGGTGTCACTCTGTCACCCAGGCTGGAGTGCAGTAGTGCAATCATAGCTCACCGTAACCTTGACCTCCCAGGCTCAGGCAGTCCTCCCACCTCACCCTCCTGAGTAGCTGAGACTACAGGCATGTGCCACCATGCCTGGGTAATTTTTGTTTTTTTTGTAGAGACAGGGTTTCACCATGTTGCCCAGGCTGGTCTCGAACCTCTAGGCTTAAGCGATTGGTCTGCCTCGGCCTCCCAAAGTGCTGGGATTACAGGTGTGAGTCACTGCACCTGGCCTATATTCTTTTAAATCAAGATTAATCGACATATATTGGAGTGTCATCTGCAAGGGCCCATACTGGGTGCTGAAGGAGACAGGTGAATTTCCTCTTTTTTTTTTTTTTTTTTTTGAGATGTAGTCTCGCTCTGTTGCCCAGGCTGGAGTGCAGTGGCATGATTTCGGCTTACTGCAATGTCCGCCTCCCGGGTTCAAGTGATTCTCATGCCTCAGCCTCCCGAGTAGCTGGGACTACAGTTGCATGCCACCACGCCTGGCAAATTTTTTGTATTTTTAGTAGAGATGGGGTTTTACCATGTTAGCCAGGATGGTTTCGATCTCCTGACCTTGTGATCCACCTGCCTTGCCCTCCCAAAGTGCTGGGATTACAGGCGTGAGCCACCATGACCGGCCAGGTGAATTTCTTAAACATAGGAGGCAATCAATATTTTAAATAAAATGTACTGTTTAATGGGAGTCTATAATTGTTACTGTGGCAGTCTTGGTAGTGGTGGTGGTGGAAAGGCAAGGGGGCAAGTGATTGATGTTCAAGGCAGGCAGGGGATGCAACATGCAATGGAAGTTGCATTCCTATTACTCAACCTACTCTGCGTTCAAAACTCCCTGTTCAGTCAGCAAATATTATTAAAGTGCCCACTACGTTCCAGATACTCTCTTAGGTACTAGGGATATGGAAGTGAATAAAACACACAATTTCATCCCTTCATGAGTAAAACATGTGGTATGTTAAATAGTGATAAATGGGCAGGGTGTAGTGGTTCACGCCTGTAATCCCAGCACTTTGAGAGACATGCAGATCACTTGAGCCCAGGAATTCAAGACCAACTTGGCCAACATGGTGAAACCCCGTCTCTACTAAGAATACAAAAAAAACAAAAATAGCTGGGCATGGTGGTGCACGCCTGTGGTCCTAGCTACTCAGGGAGTTGAGGTAGGAGGATCGCTTGAGCCCAGGTGGTGGAGGTTGCATTGAGCTGAGATCACACCACTGCACTCCAGCCTGGGTGACAGAGCCAGACCCTGTCTCAAAAACAGAAAGAAAAAAAAAATAGCAATAAGTGCCAGGAGAAAAACACTAGGGAAGAGGATTAGGAATTGTGCATGCCTTCATGCTTGTATCTATGGGTTTGAGGATGGCCTGCAATCTCAATAATGTGCCAAGGGAGAGCCTCAGCAAGAAGGTGACCTTTGAGTCAAGACCTACAGAATGTGAGGTAATGACCCATGCAGATATCTAGGTTAAGAGCAATCCAAGCAGAGGAAATGGCAAATGCAAAGGCCCTGAGGTGGGATGCGGGACATGTTCAAGGCACAGTGAGGAGGAGGCTGGTAGGAGTGAGGGAGATTAGTAGGAAATGAAGTTTGAGAGTTTAGATGGGATGAGGGGCAGAATGTGTAGAGTTTTGTAGGCCAAGAAAAGGATTTTGGCCTTTTTCCTGCACAAGATAAGAAGCTGTTTGGAGAGTTTTAGTCAAACAAGTGACTTGATCTAACTGTGGCAACTGGGTAGATAATACTGTTGGTAGTAGGGGCAAGGGCGAAAACAGAAGATGAAAGAATAGTTTGGACTGGGGTAGTAGCAGTGAAGGTGGTGAGAAAGGCTCAGATTCTGGATTAAGGATTCGATACTGGGATCAGGGTAATAAGAGATGAAAGAAAACCTCTCTGAATTTATAACAGCAAAATGTAATTTTTCTCCTTAAAAAAATAAATCACAACAACAAAATAACCCTATTAAAATGGGCAAAAAAAAAAAAAAAAAAAGCCAGGTGCGGTGGCTTATGCCTGTAATCCCAGCACTTTGGGAGGCCGAGGTGGGCAGATCGCCTGAGGTCAGGAGTTCGAGACCAGCTTGGCCAACATGGTGAAACCCCATCTTTACTAAAAATACAAAAATTAGCTGGGTGTGGTAGTGCACGTCTGTAGTCCCAGCTACTCGAGAGGCTGAGGGAGGAGAATCCCTTGAACCTGGGAGGCGGACGTTGCAGTGAGCTGAGATTGTGCCTCTGTACTCCAGTTTGGGAGATAGAGCAAGACTCTGTCTCAAAAATAAATAAATAAATACACAAAATGGGCAAAAAACTTCAATAGGTATTTCTCCAAAGAAGATATACAAATGAGCAACAAGAATAGGTAAAGATGTTCAACATCACTAATCATTAGAGAAATACAAATTAAAACTACAGTAAGATATCACATTATACCCAACAGGATAGCTACTATAAACAAATATAGAAAATAACCAGTGGTGGTGAAAACATGGAGAAATTGGAACTCTTATGCACTTTTGGTGAGAATGTAAAATGGTACAGCCACTCTGGAAAACAGTATGGTGATTCCTCAAAAAATTAAACATAGAAAATATGATCCAGCAATTCCACTTTTGAGTATACATCCCAAAAAGTCGAAAGGAGAGACAGGAACAGATATTTGTACCCCCATGTTCATATCAGCATTATTCACAATAGCCAAAAGGTGGAAACAACTTAAATGTTCATTGATAGATGAATGGATACACACAATGTGTTATATACACACAACAGAATTTTGTTCAGCTTTGAAAAGGAAGGAAATGGCCAGGGGTGGTGGCTCATGCCTGTAACCCCAGCACTTTGGGAGGCCAAGGTGGGTGGATCACCTGAGGTCAGGAGTTCGAGACCAATCTGGCCAACATGGTGAAACCCTGTCTCTACTAAAAATACAAAAATTAGCCTTGTGTGGTGGTGGGCACCTGTAATCCCAGCTACTTGGGAGGCTGAAGTGGGAGAATTGCTTGAACCCAGGAGGTGGAGCCTAGATCATGCCACTACACTCCAGTGTTGATGACACAGCAAGAGTACATCTTAAAAAAAAAAAAAAAAGTAAGGAAATGCTGACACATGTTACAACATGATGGACCCTGAAGGCATTATACCAAGTGAAATAAGCCAGTCACAAAAAGGCAGATACTGGATGATTCTATTTATATGAGGTATCTAGAGTAGTCAAATTCATAGAAATAGAAAGTTGATTGGTGGTTGCCAGGGGCTGGAGGGAAGGGGAAGTGGGCAGTTGTTTAATGAATATAGAGTTTCAGTTTTGCAAGATGAAAATCTGGAGATTGGCTGTACAACAGGATGAATGAATGTATGTAACACTACTGATCTGCACACTTCAAAATGAGTACAATGGTAAATTTTATGTGTATTTTATCACAAGGAAAAAAATCACTAGACATCTAACTTTTCAGTAATGTGTCTATTTTCAGTTAAATTTGCCAGTTAACTGAAGCCAATATAGGCCAGTTTTCATATTCCTTAGTGTTATCACACTGGTGCACTTACTGTTTTACCATTTTCCCTTCTGATTTCATTTTTCTGTTAGCATTTACTACTATCTAACATATATTTTACTCATTTGTCTGTGTTCCCCATCAGAATATAACTTCATGAGGGGAGGGATTTTCTATTACACTTAGTGAAAAGTAAATCCCTCAAGTAGGAACACTACAAGTAAGCACAGTTTTTTTTTTACAGTAAGTTTGCTTAATGGCTAGTAAACTATCTCAGCCAGTACCTGAGTGACTATTCTGACTTGTATCATTTAACAAGAAAAAAGGCCTGGCGCGCTGTCTCACGCCTGTATTCCTAGCACTTTGGGAGGCCGAGACGGGTGGATCACTTGAGGTCAGGAGTTCCAGACCAGCCTGGCCAACATGGTGAAACCTCGTCTCTACTAAAAGTACAACAATTAGCTGGGCGTGGTGGCACATACCTATAGTCCTAGTTACTTGGGAGGCTGAGGCAGGAGAATCGCTTGAACCTGGGAGGTGGAGGTTGCAATGAGCCGAGACTGCGCCAGTGCACTACAGTCTGGGTGACAGAGTAAGACTCCGTCTCAAAATAAATAAATAAAATAAAATAAAATGAAAAAAAGTACTAAATGCAAACTTCTTAAGATCACATGCAACTTCGATGTTAAATACTAAATATTCCTTAAATTTAGACAGTATTCAATTTGGTAAAGATCAGAAAGTTATATTTTGTCATTTATGATATCAAGTGGAATGTATTATCAGTGATTATGATGCTTCTCGCAATGAGAGTTATAACTTTCTGGAAAAATCCTTGCTCAAATCATCAAAGTTAAGATTTCTTACTACATAAAGGCTATGAAGAGCTGACGTGTAATTATATTGGCTCTGCAAATATTGGAACAGAAATATGAGTTTGCCATTAGTGTAAGAAAAGCTTCAGAATATGTATGCAAATTTGGCAAATTGAGTTGGTTTTCCCCACGGTACTTCGAATAAAAGAGACATTTTAACAAATCACAGGTTCATAGAAAATCTCTAGTTTCGTGGTCTATTTTCTAAAATAATAGGAAATGAACTTTTAATAAAAGTACATGAGGACTTTTGATGAACGGTTTATTTTTCACAGAAGTGAAGTGCAGGTGAAAAGGGGAAATTCCTAGAATATCTGAAGGATCTGACTAAATGAATTTCTACCTAAGCTATTGATTTACAGTAACTTAAAATGTGATAATTTATCTCCTACAATGGCCTTTCAAATTAAATATAAAAGTAACTCAGAGTAAAGTATGCAGAAAAAATTTTGGTATTGTAACTGAAAATGACCAACATTAATTTTTTTCTCTCACATTAATCAAGCACCTTACTGTTAGAAGGGAAACTGACAAGCCTCCTCAACCGAGTTTATACAAAATTCAACCCCAGAAAGTAAAGCCAATTCGTGCACCTTCATAAGAAAGAAATAAAGGACGAACCTACACATTACAATTTGTAAAGAAACTTCTGTAGAGGCACCATCGTTCTACAACCTTATGCACTTTAAAATCTGAGGTAACAAGGCATTTGAAGATAACCAAGGTTGGCCGGGCGCGGTGGCTCACACCTGTAATCCCCCCAGCACTTTGGGAGGCTGAGGTGGGCGGATCACGAGGTCAGGAGTTTGAGACCAGCCTGGCCAACATAGTGAAACCCAGTCTCTACTGAAAATACAAAAATGAGCGGGCACGGATGGCGCACGCCTGTAGTCCCAGTTACTCGGCAGGGGTTGGGGGCTGGTGGGGGTGGTAGTGCTGAGGCAGGAGAATCGCTTGAATCCGGGAGGCTGAGGTTGTGGTGAGTAGAGGTCGCGCCGTTGCACTCCAGCCTGGGCGACGGAGCGAGACTCCGTCTCAAAAAAAAAAAAAAAAAAGATAACCAAGGTTTATTGCTACTTCCGTGATATCACCATATCACCAACTGCGTAAGCAGTGCTATTTAGTTGAAAATACATGGACTAGACCGAATATTTCTGCAACAGTTTAATAAGAGACGATGATGCGACTACTGCAGCTGTCCCCAGGCAATTAAACTCTTCGGCGAATTTCTTTACTATTGCTTTTGAACAGGGAACTGTTTGCTATTTTAGGGCACTCGTGCGGTAAAGAACTTCACTGAAAAATGCAAATATGTTTTGCTAATGTGGGAGAAAGATGATGATCCTCTGAACCTGTGACTTGGAAGGGGGGATAAAAAAGAACTATTTCTTGAATTCTTGCCTTGCTCTTGCTGATTCGATGCACACAACCCCACGAACATTCAGATTCATGGCTTGACAAAGTGGGGATAACCGGGAGCTGCAGCCCCGTCTTTGAAGCTTTTGTAAAGACAAACGGTCTGCAATGTTAAGCCTTAAATTGGCTTTTGGCGGACTCCAGCCTTTTACCCTTCGTTTGGTAGATGTTTTCACCTCGCTGTCATTAAGCAGGGTCAGGAAATGGAAGGGCCGTGACCGGGTCGCCGCGGGCGCTCTGTGGGCGATGAGGGTCTCCTGAGCGAGCAAGACCAGTCTCTCCCCGACTCGCCACGCGCCACGCGCCGCGCGCCGCGCGCCGGTTCCTCGGCTTCCCACGCCGGGGGCGCATCCTCCCGGGAGCTGCTGCCCTTTTCCAACATGGCGCCGCGGGAGGCGGGTCCCGCTCGTCGGCTCCCGGGGTTCCGGCGCCGCGCGTTTTGGTTCCGGAGTAACAGTGTCGCCGCCGCCTTCCTCCTCCTCCTCTCGCCGCTACCGCCGTCGCCGCCGCCGCAGCCGCCGCCAGTCCGCGCGGCCTCGGGTGGCCGGAGCTCAGCCTGCGCGCGCCGCGCCCTGTGTCTCCGGGTGGGGCAGAAGACTCGCCCCTTGAACCTCCCGCGGGGACTCTCCGTGGTGTGGCGGCCCTGGGGCTCTTTCTTAATAGCCCCGGACTGAGTCCCCTCCAGTCGAGGACCCTCTCCTAGTCCACTGACGAGCGGTGGACACCTGCCGCTGTATCTCCCCCAAACCGAGTCCTTGCCCTGCTGCCTCCTCATACCCACACGGCGGCAGAGACCTTCACCATAGCGTTCGCTCAACTCCAGAACCTTCCGACCTCCGCTAGTTCCTGCGGGCCTTTGCCCGCTTCCCGGTGCACCCTCCCCGGGAGACACCTCAGACCCCCGACAGCCTGGGCAGGCTCGGTGCCTGCGGGTGCGTTCCTGATCACCCCTCCCCTCTTCCCTCCCCCTCATCCTCCATTCCCTTGTTTTCACCCTCTGTCCTCTGCCCGTCACTCCCCTTGTCACCTCTTGGAGCCCCCTCCTAACCAGCGGCCAGTGGGTTTCCCATACCCCAGGATGTGAGCCTCTTTAACCTGTAATGCTGTGGCTAGCCCTTGGCCCCTTTCCTGCCATGGAGAACCAGGTGCTGGTAATTCGCATCAAGATCCCAAATAGTGGCGCGGTGGACTGGACAGTGCACTCCGGGCCGCAGTTACTCTTCAGGGATGTGCTGGTGAGTGGTAATCTCAGTGTCCGGATGCCAGCAAGGGGGACTCAGGGACTTGAGTAGTCAGCACCTTGACCACTGGTGACCTGAGCCAGTGGCAATGGCTACTGCTGGCTTCCTGTGGAGGCAGTTTTATTGCTTCAGGCACAGCATTGATAAATTGCAACCACTAAAACCTGGCAAATGTCTAGGACCCTGGGGAGATAGATCAATCTGACTGAACCCCTGCCCTCAGAGAGCTCATGGCCCGGGCTGGGACACACATATAGACACAACCACGCAAATGCAAACTGCTGAATCTAGAAGAGAGGTTTTTTCCCCCCAAGTGTTTCGGGGAATGTCCTTGGACAGATTCCAGCCTTGTTTTTCTACTGAGTTCTCTGAACTTGGTGACCAGCTGAGAAAGGGAAAAAGGACAACTTTAACTTACCATGTTTGAGCACACTGTTTCATTAATTTATTTTGAGACAGGGCCTCACTCTGTCGCTCAGGCTGCAGTGCTGTGGCACGATCTCGGCTCACTGCAGCCTCTGCCTCCTGGGCTCAAGCGATTCTCCTACCTCAGCCTCCCAAGTAGCTGGCACATGCCATCACACCTGGATAATTTTTGTATCTTGTAGAGACGAGGTATTGCCATGTTGCCCAGGCTGGTCTTGAACTCCTGCGATTTGCTTGCCTCGGCCTTCCCAAAGTGCTGAGATTACAGGTGTGAGTTACTGTGCCCAGCCTGAGCAAACTTAAAGCATCATTGAATGTAAGACATTTTACTTAGAAAAAAATGCTAACCATGACAGTATGACACATCATCCGTTATTAAAATGAGTCCAGTTTCAGAGACGGTAAAAGTAAGGGAAAATGTGCATCTTAGAATTGGTGATATTTTACATTCAGATTTTTCAGAATATATTTCAAATAAAATGATGGAATTTTAGAGCAGAGTGTAACACTGTAGGTGGCCTGTTCAGCTGATGTTTCTTTTTTGCAGATAGTTACTGAGGAGCAGTGAGGTGAAATGGCTTTTCCAAAGCTGTGAGCTCCTGAGTGGGAGAGTCAGTACCAGAACTAAAATTTTGTTTCATTGACTTAGTAGGTTTCTTTCCCTACATGTTGCAGCCGCTTCTAATCTTTCTGGTATTCATTTGAGATAGACAGGGTGCCTTGTGCCCATTCTACATGCAGAATAACTGAGGCATGGAAGACAGAAGCGGACATTCCGAAAAGCACATCACTACCTGCAAGTTAAGAGTGGGCAAGGTGGCAGGATCTTGGGAAGAGGAAGATTTGTGATGTGATTTTTCATTGTCTTGGGTAACTTAATCAAAATTTGATTTCTATAACTTCATTTTGAGTTCTAGATGTTACTGACTGCCCAGGCCATGCAGATTTTTGGGTGCCTTGACCAGGAGCTTTCCATATTGTGCATCAAATGCCATCCTTCTCTTTGTATCCGGAGTTCTCCACACAGTCATGCACATACAGATTTCCCCTCATGATAAGGCCCAGGCTCCTTCATGTGGTCCTCTGGGCACATCTGGATTGGCCCCTGTCTGCCTGGCACCTGTGTCATCTCTCTTCACGGCCCCATAAACTTCTGTGCCTCACTTACATAGGTTGATTTTCATTTCTCCCAGGTGTCCAGGCTGTCTGCACTCTGCTCTTCACCGGTCAATTCCCACCTGTCCTTCCAAGCCAAGTTGTGCTTTTTCTCTGTGTCATTCTTGGTTATGTGCCCCACCTCTGTGTCGTCACAGCTTTGTGTGGGTCCCCCAGCAAAGCACATGTTTGATCATGATTCTTTGTCTCCTCCACTAGATGGTAAACTTCTGGAGGAGATAGATATGTTTGTTTTTGTTTCTTCATAGGACCCCAAAATACTTGTTTAAGAAGGGAGCTTAAAAGAGGATGCATGCAATTATGGTTCTGTGGACAGAACACTAGGTTTAGAGTCAAGGAATTTGGGTTTAATTGCAAGCTGTCCCACTGACTAGGCAAGTCAGTCTACCTCTCTGAGCCTTAGTTTCCTTATTTGTAAAACAGGGAAACTTGTACCTTCCTCAAAGACTTGGAAAGATTATGTGAGATTGTGACTGTGATGAGAAAGATGGGTTTTCTCTTACTCATTTAAAACAATGGAAGGTTGATTATTATGTGATTATATTATTTGGTTATGTGATTATTTCAAGAATAGCCCAGTGTTTAAGACCACAAACTCTGGAGCCAGGTTGTTTAACTTGCAAGTTGTACTACTGGGGCAAGTATCTTCTGTATCTCAGTTTCTTTATTTGTGAAAAAAAAGTTGGGGAGGGGTGAAAGTAATGCCTACCTCCTAGAGTTCTGAGGACTCCTTGAGTTGATACATGTAAAGCACTCAGAACAACTTAGCACATAGTAAGCGCTCCATTAGTGTTGTTATTATTGATGGGATTGTTATTATAAGGGATTGGACTTGGGTCTTCTGTTTCTTGAGCATCTCTAAGTTGTACCTGGCTCAAGGCTGACTGGCTTAACAGGAAACACGAGTGGCCCCACCACTAGAGCTCAGCATGCCAGGTGTCTGCACACTTTTGGCTAGGTAAGCCCAGGTGGAGCATGTTTTGTCAGAAAGGCCTGACGAAGGACCTGTGGCAGTGGGTGTTCAGTGCTATCTCCTAGTGCTCCATTTTAGCAAATGTTCAAGCCCAGATCATGGCAGACTCCTGTGATCTGTTCTCCAGGTTTACTTCATCTCTTCATCAAGAAAAGGCAAGAACCAAGAGACACGTCAGCATCTCTGGCTTGGAACCTTAAACTTTAAAGTCACGTGGAACCTGGAAGAATCCCCTCATCTAATTCAGACTCATTTCGAATGAAGAGGCATGAACCCCACAGGGGGAAAATACCTTGCTAAAGCCACCCAGCTAATTTTTGGCAGAACCTGACACAGATGCCAGAAGCAGGTTGTAGTCACCGAGTCAGCCATAACTGAGTGTCTCGGACCTGAAGTCAGCAGTTGAGGGCTCCAGTCACTGTGCATCAAATAGCTGGGAGACCCTGGGCAAGTCAGTCGGTCTCTCTGGGCCTTGTCTTTTGTCTGAATCATCAGGGACTGGCTGAACTATGGAGGCTGACCTGACCCTCAAAGGTAGAGACATTTGGGTCTTCTGTTTTGCAGCTTTCTGTGTTTCTCTTTTTCCCTGGAGACTGAGTTCCTAGTTTTGGGAAAACTATACAAGAGGTCTGGTTAGTGTGTGATGAGAGAGAATGCCCAACCCTCTCCCCTCTTCTTTTTGTATTCTGTGGTCTCCAAGCTCAGATTTCCCCTCATCTATAAGACTTCTGGGCCAGGAGTGGTGGCTTAGGCCTGTAATGCCAACACTTTGGGAGGCCGAGGTGGGTAGATCGCTTAAACTCAGGAGTTCGAGACCAGCCTGGGCAACATGGCAAAACCCCATCTCTACAAAAAATGCAAAAATTAGTGGGGGCTTGGTGACACTCACCTGTGGTCCCAGCTATTAGGGAGGCTGAGGTGGGAGAATCTCTTGAACCTAGAGGTCGAGGCTATAGGGAGCTGTGATTGCACCACTGCACTCTAGCTTGGGTCACAGAGCGAGACCCTATCTCAAAAAAGAAGAAAACACACACACACACACACACACACACACACAGATTTCTGTCTAAACTGAGTCTGTGATTTTTTCCTTTCTCCTGAGTTACCAAATACTATTGGCTGTTTATGTCTTTTGTTTGGTGCTTATACTCTTAAGTGTTTTATATTACTAGTCTTTCAGGTTTGTCTTTATCTCTGTAACCAGTTTATAATCTTCCTAAAGTCAAGGATCAAGTTTTATTGTCCTGTAGCCTACAGCTTTGTGATCTTTATGCTCGTGGCATGTTGTAGATGCTCAATGATGTTTTGGATCTGTCAGATATTTGTCTGATTTATTGAAAGGAAGAAGAAAAGTATCAAAAAATGGTCATCATCAAAATATGTAAACTTCGGTTTTCTTTTTTCTTTTTTTTTTTTTTTTTTGAGACAGAGTCTCGCTTTGTTGCCCAGGCTGGAATGCAGTGGCGTGATCTCGGCTCACTGCAACCTCTGCCTCCCAGGTTCAGGTGATTCTCCTGCTTTAGCCTCCTGAGCAGCTGGGATTACAGATACACACCACACATCCAGCTAATTTTGTTGTATTTTTAGTAGAGACAGGGTTTCACCATGTTGGCCAGGCTGGTCTTGAACTCCTGACCTCAAGTGATCCACCCACTTCGGCCCCCCAAAGTGCTGGGATTATAGGTGTGAGCCACTGCGCCCATCCCGGTTTTCTTTTGAAACCTTCTTTAGGTTAGTTAGGTACATGTTATATTGTCAAGAGCAGAAGAAGGCCGCTTGGAAATAAGTCACTTTAGCTGGAAAATGTATATAAAATCATCAAATGTACCCTGCTTTAAAATGACTAGTAGATATTACTGATGTTTAAACTTCTTACCTCTTTGTCATTATGATTGCCCCACTTTATTTGCTTTAAAGAACAAAATGGTTGGTTGTGTTCACATGATTCTCTCACTCAAGTTTGCTTTGTTCTTTCTCCCTTTTCCTCGTATCAGGTGAGGAGCATGTGCAGTGCCTTGTTTATGTCGATGGGCTAAGGCATGCCATTGCCACTGAGCAGGTTTTCAGTTGGTTGTTAGAACTCTGCACTTTGATGGGGTCTGCTATTCCTAAGTAGGAAGGAGCCTAAATTAATTTGCTAACACTATAGAGGTACAGTTCACATCTCAAGATCGGAGTTTCCTGGAAATAACTGGTGATAACCTAGACTTAGAGAGTTGGGGATGAAGCAGTTGTTTTCCCCTCGTTTTTTTAAACCTACACTGGCTAGAATGAGTGTTCAATAAGTACTGCTGAAGGATGAAGTCAGTGAGTGAATCACCATCCTCCACTGATTGTAGGGTGCTGGAATTTCAAAGTTTATTACGAAGTAAGCTTTGTAATATTCCAGTTATTGGTGTTTTGTTTTATTTATTTGACACTAATATGGCACTTGCCATGTGCTAGACACTCTTCTGAGTACTTTACAAATACTAACTCATTTGTTAGGTACAGCTAAGATCTGATATTACACATGAGGAAAGTGAGGCACAGAGAGATTTTGTGCACTCAGCTGTGCCAGAGAGCTAGCATCCAGCTGTAGCTGTTTGGCTGCAATTTCATGTTTTCAGGCTTTCCACTGGATTGCCTGTGTGCTTTATTCTGTACTCCCTTTACAGTTTCCTGTCAATAAATACTTTCTAACTATGAGAGTGTAGAAATAATTTTTTAACACTAAAATCTTTTATAGATGCTTCCTCAAAAAGTTGATGTTTCATTTGTGAGGACTAGACTCAGAAAAAAAAATCTCTTTTGGCTGTAATGAGCAAGGACTGCCTAAGATAGTCCTCTTTGATCAGTTTTATATGCACAGATTTATTTTTGAAAAAAAAAAAAAGCACTATAGAGGCAAGACTATTATGCAAATTGCCACTGCAGCAAAAGCTTCTAAAGAATTGCCTTTAGAAGGAAGTTGCAGCCACTCTGCTAAGTGCCCTGCTTGGAAAGGCTGTGGGCTCCCTGCTGAGAAATACTGCGAGCGGCTTTGTCAGCCGGCTGCCTGGTGCCAGTTCTGCTGCAGCCTGGGAGGGACACTGTGGCAGAGCTCCTGGAGAGAAATGAGGTTTGCAGGCCATTGGAGTTGGACTGGACATGATGGAGGGTCACTTTCCCCAGAGCGTAGGTGTTCTATGCTTATTCAATTAAGCTGTCTCAGTATACTAATTTTCATGTGTTTTCAACTTTATAGATTTATTTAAGCATTGATGTCAGATTATATACCCTTTTTAGATTTTTGTTGTAGGCTAGATTAACTTTATTTCGGTGTCATTAAGTATGTTTTCTGTTGCTTAAGAGTAAAGGTTGATAAGAACTGTTTGTGTTAAATGTGGCATAATGGGTTTATATCGTCATGGAAACTTGGGTGTCGAACTCCTACCATGATGAGTGCGAGGCACAGTGTTGCTTGTTGTATATCAGGAACTACATTTGTTGAATGTCTTCAATGTGCTAGGTCTAAGTTTATGTTTATTAGATTAATTTTTAAGCTACATCTATAAGTATTACCAGACCCATTTTGGAGGGTAATCAAATTGAAGCTCAGAGAGGTTAGGTGATTTTTTTCCCAGAGATTCAGACCTACGTCAGTCTGACTCTCAAAACCCCTCTCTCTTTCAACTGTAGTATATTCCACAGCCTCCCATAGAAGAAACCAAGTTTTTGTAAATACATGACGGTTTATTTGTATATAGACTGTTGAACTGAGAATAAAATATGTTATTAATAAAATGTGGAAAAGTTTCCTTAAATATTTTTCTTCCTGGAATAGAGCTTTAAACTCTGGGTTTACGTTGCTGGGCTAAGTGTGATTATGAGCTAATGTTTTTATAGTTTATGCTAACGTTTCAAAAATCTTTCCCAGGTTCTCATATTTCCTGTAGGATTTGCCACATGTTAGCAATAAAGAAGATGGCTAATTGTGTTTCTTTATTCTTTCTTTGTTTAGGATGTGATAGGCCAGGTTCTGCCTGAAGCAACAACTACAGCATTTGAATGTAAGTCTGGCTTGTATACTTTCTTGACTATTCCTTTCTGCAGTCATTTTTTAAAGGGTTTATGGGTGGCATTACTTTAGAAACTGACAAAAACAGATTATTTATGACCATCATATGGTACATTTAAATATTTATAAATTGATATAAGTTTAATGATGATACTGAACTGAGTAATATTTTCTTATTTAATCATATCTTGGGTGAGCATATTTCTACAATATAGCTTTAATTACCAGCATGACCTTTATCTGCTCTTGCTCCTGATTGTGATAATATTGCAGGACAAAATGAAACGTGTAAACTACCTGTAGGCCAGTGATTATTGATTAAGAGATTTTAATCCATTGCTGCTTTAAAACATAGCAACAAAGTAGAGCTTTTACCATGAGCATTACATGGAATAATTCTGTTTTAGTGGGGCTTAGCAGGGATGCTAGATGGTGACAGGAACACTTCAGGTCTTTAGTCCTTCCTTTTTCCCCACAGTTGGCCTGGGGACAGGGCCAGGGTGACCTGGGGACTAGAAAACTGTTTTGTCATGAACCAGGTCATTGCAGAGGACATCATGGAATGAGTCATGCTACGATGAGATAGTCAGTAGCATAAGGGCCCGGATGCTGAGAGGGATGAAGTAAGAACTGTAGTTTTTTTTTTTTAAGATGAGGGCTACTTTTTTCTTTTCTTTTTCTTTTTTCTTTTTTTTTTTTGCCGCAGACTCTCACTGTGTTGCCCAGGCTGGAGGGCAGTGGTGCGATCTTAGCTCACTGCAACCTCTGCCTCCTGGGTTCAAGCAGTTCTCATGCCTCAGCCTCCTGAGTAGTTGAGATTACAGGTGTGCACCACCATGCCCAAGTAATCTTTGTATTTTTAGTAGAGACAGGGTTTTGCCATGTTGGCCAGGCTGGTCTTGAACTCCTGACCTCAAGTGATCCACCCACCTCAGCCTCCCAAAGTGCTGGGATTATAAGTGTGAGCCACTGCACCTGGCCAGAGGGTCACTTCTTAATGTAGAAAAATTTCAGTTTTTCCACAATAGGATACTTTTTTGTTTCTGTTTTTTATGAAGATGGTTACTTACAGAGAATACAATGAGTACTTCCTTTTTGGAGGATAATTAGGCATTTCTTATCAACATATAAAATGTGCAAAACCTTTGACTTAGCAGATCCACTGTCAGGAAGCAGTTCAACAGAAATAGCTACACATTTGTTGAATGCCCATCAAACAAAGTGTTCATTGTGAGATCATGATGATAATTATTGTTATTTTTAGAGACAGGATCTTGCCTTGGTGCCTAGACTGGAATGCTGTGGCATGATAGCTCACTGTAACCTTGAACTCCTGGGCTTACACAATCCTCCCACCTCAGCCTCCCAAGTAACTGGGACTACACGCATGCACCACTATGCTTGGCTAATTTTTAAATTTTATGTGGAGATGGGGTCTTGCTATGTTGTCCAGGCTAGTCTTGAACTCCTTGCCTCAAGTGAGCCTCCTGCCTTGACCTCCCTAAGTGTTGGGATTATAGATGTCAGCCACTGTGCCTGGCCCACTGTGGGATTATTTATTTATTTTGGAGATAGGGTCTCACTCTTTTGCCCAAGCTGGAGTGCAGTAGTGAGATCACAGCTTGCTGTAGCCTTGACCTCCTGGCTCAGGCTTGTGGGATTATTTTCAATAGCAAAAAATTAGAGGTAAACTAAATGCCTATTATAATGGATTAATAAATTACTATTTGTCTATAATTCAAAGCATTCAACAGTGACTAAAAAGAATGAGTTAGGATTTTTTACATTTGTACGGAAAGATATCTGTGAAATATTGTTGAATAAACAAATAATGCATATAGTATGATCCCATTTTGTAAAATATCCAACCACGCTTCCCCAACTTTATGTGTGTATTGAAAGATAGGATCTGAAGAGTGCCTACTACAGTACTTTCCAGTGACTTACCCTGTAAAGTGGACTTGGGGCCTGAGGCTTGGGTTGGTGGGGGCGGGAGGGGGTGGATGAATGATCACACTTTTTACTTTGTATGTTTCTCTATTGTTTGAACATTTTTCAACAATCATTGCCTGTTTTTAAAAGCTATAATGAGTAGAACTCAATGTAATTAGTATTTTATTAGTCACATTGAACTCTGTACTATAGAAAAATAGTACATCTGTCTGAAATACATACTAGTGTTGCAAGCTTTATTCAGACTCTTTGCAGTAACTCCTTGCAGGTTCCACGGGTTTCATGGACAGTCTGATAGTTAACATTCGGAGTACTTACTGTTGACAGATGCTTTGCTAAGAGCATTCCATGGGTTATCTTATTTCTTTTAACCATCACAAGATCCCCACGAAGTACTCGTTATTTTTTTGAGACAGAGTATTGCTCTGTTGCCCAGGCTGGAGTGCAGTGACATGATGATAGCTCACTGCAGCCTTAAACTCCTGGGCTCAAGTGATCTTCCTGCCTCAGCCTCCCGAGTAGCTGGGACTACAGGCACCCACCTCCACACCTAGCTAATTAAAAAAATTTTTTTGTAGAAACGGGGTCTTGCTGTGTTGCTCAGGCTGGTCTTGAACTCCTGGCCTCAAGTGATAGTCCCATCTTGGCCTTTCAAAGTGCTGGGATTACAGGTGTGAGCCACTGTACCCACGAAGTACTTAAAAGGACATTATTAGCTCTGTTTTTTGGTTGAGGAAAGGAAATCTTTAAGCAACTTGCTGAAAGTCTCTCAGCTGTTAAGTGGTAAAGTGGAATTTCTGGAGTAGTTTCCAGAGTGTATATTCTCAACCACTGTACTGGACTTGTTTTGAGAGTTGTCATAATTATTGAAATCATATATTCTGGTTGTTCTTAAGCATGGTAAAAAGAAGTTTACTTTGTACTTTTTACTTGCTTTTCGGATCCCCAAAGTGGCTTGATGTGCCTGTGCCTGCCTCATTGGCTTCCAGTTAGGGTTCATAATAATAATAATACTGATTATTTTAACTATCATTCATTGATAGCTTGCTCTGTGCCAGGCAGTGTACTAGATGACTTGCCTAAGTTGTTAGTAATCTTTATACTGAGTCTGTGAAATAGGAAAATTATACCTGTGAGGAAACGAAGCTTAGAGGCCTGAAATGATTGCTGAATGTGATTGCTTGGAACGGTGAAGCCCAGGTTCAAACACACATCTTTTTGACTATAAAACTTGCACTCTTTATCCCCAAGTGTGTCAAAAGCCTGTTAAGTGTAAATATAGATAAACCTCTACTACTCCAGGTTTACGTTCTGTGATATCATGCTCTTTCTTTTGCCCCATCAATGGCAGCAGCTCTGTGCCCATCTTCATGTGGGCCAGTTTTAAATGAAAAACAATAAATACAAAACATACCCACAGACAAAATAATGACAGTTCTTAGTTGTTTTGTGTTTGGATTATCATGTACTTTCCACTATAGACTTGAAATCCTAGGCTGGCTTTTTTCATGATTATTTTGTGGTGACTTTTTTTTCTGAACCAGAAATCCGAACCAATAAATGGAATCTATGTTTAAGAAATAGTTGAGGCCGGGCGTGGTGGCTCACGCCTGTAATCCCAGCACTTTGGGAGGCCGAGGCAGGTGGATCATGAGGTCAGGAGATCGAGACCATCCTGGCTAACAAGGTGAAACCCCGTCTCTACTAAAAATACAAAAAATTAGCCGGGCGCGGTGGCGGGCGCCTGTAGTCCCAGCTACTCGGGAGGCTGAGGCAGGAGAATGGCGTGAACCCGGGAAGCGGAGCTTGCAGTGAGCCGAGATTGCGCCACTGCAGTCCGCAGTCCGGCCTGGGCGACAGAGCGAGACTCCATCTCAAAAAAAAAAAAAAAAAAAAAAAGAAATAGTTGAGAAGATATAGCTTATAAGGAATTTTGGAAATATTTCAGTGGCTTATGGGTATAATGGAACAACCCTTGAATAAATACAACTTTAATAAAAGAAATACTTATAGTAATACATTTTTGGTTTTTTTGAAATGGTCTGGCTCTGTCACCCAGGCTGGAGAGTGCAGTGGTGCGATCTCAGCTCACTGCAACCTCTGCCTCCCAGACTCAAGCAATCCTCCCACCTCAGCCTCCTGAGTAGCTGGGACTACAGGTGCATGCCACTACACTGGCTAACTTTTGTATATTTTGTAGAGATGGGCTTTGGCCATGTTGCCCAACCTGGTCTTGAACTCCTGGGCTCAAGCAATCCATGCTCCTCAGCCTCTCAAAGTGTTGGGATTACAGGTGTGAGCCACCGCACCTGGCCTTATAGTAATACATTTAATACTGAAAATATACCTAACACTAATTGATATCTTATATAAAAGAAATGGTGTTATAGTTAGTGATATGAATTAAGCAACAAGAGATAGGGTAGCTGTCAAATGTACCTGTTTTGTATAAATGTAGAGAAAAAGAGTTGAGTGAGTGGAAAAGAGGGGAAAGGTCAGGTAATGTTACAGATTCTCCAGTTCTGAGAAATGGCGTCTCTTCAATGAAACCTCCGGTGATTCCAGATGGCATTAATCTCTCTGCACCTTTACTAGAGCAGGGAACCCCTTCAACCTGCCTTCTGGTGTGTGTGTGCATGTTAACTTCCCTCATTACATTTTGAGTCACTTAGTGATAGGTACGATGTTTTATTCCACTCTTTCTCTCTTCTTAGTAATGAGCTTGCTGCCTTAGAGGAACACACTTGTTGAATGAGTGGAACGTTATGTGTGTCCATATTCAAATGAAAATTATAAAATGTATATGGTCTAAATCTAAATGAGTAATTTGCGTTTTTGGATTATTTGTGTTATAGCCTGAGCATGGGATATAATTGGTTGGTGGTGGACAGTTCAGGCCTCCAAATCAAATTCCCACATTTGACTGACCCAAGGGGGTCAAACCTGAGGAGCTGTATTCTTTCTGATTTCTTTTTCTGGGTGTGGTGTTTCCAAGGGGAGTTAGGGCTGGATGAGGAGAGGGACATCTGTCTGCAGAACTCACCTTTTGGGCTGATGGTCCTAAACCTTGTTTTCTTATTAAAAGGACCTCTTTTAGGTCCTTATTCTCCATTACATCTAGAGCTCACAGTTCTACAGGCTGTACAAGCATGGCACTAGCATCTGCTTGCATTCTGCTGAGGAAGCTTTTACTTATGGCAGAAAGTGAAGGGGCAGCAGGCGTGTCACATGGCGAGAGAGAGTGGAGGAGGTGCCAGGCTCCTTCAACCAACCAGTTTCTCACATGAACCAACAGAGTGAGAACCCACTACCATAGAGAGGGCACTGAGTCATTCATGGGGGATCCACCCCCACGACAAAAACACCTCCTTCCAGGCCCCGCCTGCAACATTGGGGATCACTTTGGAGGGGACAAATATTCAAACCATATCATTGTGGAAATAAATTTGTAAGATAAATTCTTAGAGTTGGAACTACTGAGACAAAGAATACCCATATTTAAATTTCAATATCTATTACTGTGTTTGCTCACCAAAAGGTAGAACCAATCTACACTCACACCAACAAGGTATGAGAAGGCCCATTTCCCTCCAACCCCATCAACTCTGGATATTAGCAAACCTTTTAGTCAATGTCAGTTTGATAGGTGAAAATATTACTGTGTTACTGTTTTATTTTATATTTTTTAAATTGTAAATGAGCTTGAATATCTTCTCATTTGTATTTGGCTATTTGTATTTAATTTCCTTTTTTTTTTTGAGACGCAGTCTCACTCTGTCGCCCAGGCTGGAGTGCAGTGGTGTGATCTCGGCTCACTGCAACCTCCACCTCAGGGGTTCAAGCGATTCTCCTGCCTCAGCCTCCCAAGTAGCTAGGACTACAGGCATGCGCCACCACACCCGGCTAATTTTTTTGTATTTTTAGTAGATACGGGGTTTCACCATGTTGACCAGACTGGTCTCAAACTCCTGACCTCAGGTGATCTGCCTGTCTCAGCCTCCCAAAATGCTAGGATTACAGGCATGAGCCACCGTACCTGGCCAGCTATTTGTATTTCATTTCTATAAACTATTTGTCGTCTTTGCCTGTTTTTCTATTTGGTTATTTATCTTTTTCTAATTGATTTAAGGGTTTTCCAATATTAAGGTTGGCCCTTTGTCTTGTGTGTTACAAATGTTTTTGTTCAGCTTATTGCTCTTTTCGGTTTGTTCTGGTCTTCTTATTCTCTCTTCTTTTTTCCGTGGAGAAGTTTAAAATTTTTACATGGTCAAACTTACTTATTTTCCTTTGTAACTTCTGGGTTTATGTCATGCTTAGAAAGGTCTTCTACAGTCCAGGATATTGAAGAAACATTCATTGATATTCTTTTTTCCTTCTACTTTAATGAGGTTAGACACACACACACAGTTATTTATATAAATTTGTATGTGTCGTATTGTGGGTTTTTATAAAAAGCATGTATTTTTATTACAAAGTTCAGAATTTGTTTATTTTTCTTTTTCTTTTCTTTCTTTTTTTTTTTTTTTGAGATGGAGTCTTGCTCTGTCGCCTAGGCTGGAGTGCAATGGCATGATCTCAGCTCACTGCAACCTCCGCCCCCTGGATTCAAGTGATTCTTCTGCCTCAGCCTCCCTAGTAGCTGGGATTACAGGTGCCCACCACCATGCCCAGCTAATTTTTCTATTTTTTAGTAGAGACAGGGTTTCACCATGTTGGTCAGGCTGGTCTCGAACTCCTGACCTCAGGTAATCCACCTGCCTCGGCCTCCCAAAGTGCTGGCATTACAGGTATGAGCCACTGCTCCCAGCCCTTGTTTTTCTTAATTCTTGCACCATCTTCAGTTTATTTTGGTGAAATAAATCAGGTGGGGATCCAACTTTATTTTTCAAGCAGATAGTTGATTCCACACCAGTTATGGAATAGTTTTTCTTTTCCCAGATGTGAGAACCTTTCTGAGATGAAGGTAAATTCCATAACCATAAAAAATCCTGTGTGTTTGCATTTCTGGGTCCTACATATGCTGTAAGAGCTTGACATTCATATAGGCCCAGAGACCCCTGCTGATTTTCACAGTTTCATTAGCAGATTAATGAGTACACCAACACATGAGGTGATAAAAATCAACCGTGCCCACTAATGCATTTCCTGTGCATATCTGTTACTTGTGTTCCTCTGCCAGCATTTTCTCTAGAGAAGTAACTGCTATAAAATGACTGTTGGATTGGTGTTCGTGGACAGTAAAATCTCACTGGTGACTTGAAACATGCATTTTAAGTCCATGTAGACAAATGCTGTCTTAAACCTATAAAAACCATGTGGTTTCACTTTTCTATTACACTCATGTATTCTAATCTGTAGCTCTCAGAAGTATCTTCACACTTGTCAAACCGTGTGTCTGAGTTTGGTTCAGAAAACATGGTTATAGAATAAATATTTATTGAATTTGTGCCTTTCTTCAACCCCATTTTATACTCTCTCCTTATTGCACAGAATCATTTTCAGCTGTTTTATGAACTGCTGGAAGATTATTTTGTATTTAGGGTGGAAATCTTTAAACCAACACATTATGTCTCATTTTAAATTTGGCATAGTATGACCATTTAAAGCTAAATTGCAATTCTGGAAGTTGTAAATTCTCAGAGTATAGGAAACAACTATAGCTGATAACTGGAGTGACACCTGTAGGAGATACTCTTGTGTTCAGCTAGCCATGACAATCTTGTTAAGAATAGTTGGGTGGGAGCCTCTTTTTGCTTCAGAGAAGAGTCTAAATCATAAAATATTTGGAAGAAATGAAGTTTCATTTCCTTAAACTATTGTATATGTAAAAATATAAAGGGTCATTTTTAAGTAAAACTAGGTAAGTTAGTGAAAAATGGTCACAACAAACCTACACTGAGCCTGAAAATTATTTAACATGTAAGAGTTAATTATGCATCCTAGAATTTGGGGCAAAATAAGAGAGCTTTAATTTGTTGAAATTTTGGCTGGAAATATTACTGATGCAAAAAGTCCAAATCCCTTTTAGTCTTATGAGAGTAGTCATTTCTTATTAATAGTCTTGCTAATTTGTATGAAAATTAAGAAGTTTGAGTCCTTTACTCAAGCACCAGACTAGTTGTTCCTTAAGGTCAGTGGACAGTGCAGCTTATTTTTGAATCCCTACCATAATGGTACCTGGCACGTAATAGGCACTCTATGTGTGTTTCTGGAATGCATGGATGGTTGAAGAGTGAAGTAATAAGGATAAGCTTTCTATATCCCATTCATCAGCAAGTCCTGTTGGCTCTATCTTCAAATTTATCCAGCATGTGATGACTTCTTAAAACCTCAGCTTGGTTTAGGCCACCATCATCTCTCACCGGGATTAGGACAGTGGCCTCCAAACTGGTCTCCCTGTTCTACTTTTGCCTCTATACAGCCTCTTTTCCACATGGCAGCCAGAGTGATTCTTTTAGAAGTCAGGTGACACCACCACGCTCACAACCCTCCAGTGATTTCCATCTCACTCCAAAGTAAAAGACCAAGTCCTTAAAATGCCCTCCAAGGCTCTGCATTTTCGCATCTGGCCTCAACCTGTCCCACCATTGTTTCTCTGAACCCGTGTGTTTCTCCCCAAACCTCTCATTCTGTTCTAGCCACTCTGGCTTCCTTTCGGTCTGTCAAACATGCCAGGCATTCCTCTGACCCAGGGCCTTTGTATTAGCTGCTGCCTCTGCCTGGAACAGTCTTTCCCCAGATATCAGCAAGGCCCACTCCCTCACCTCCTTCAGTCTCTTTCCACTAGAGTGTATGTTCCATGAAGGCAGGATTTTGTTTGTTTTTTCTTTTTTCACTGTTACTGTCCCAGTGCCCAGAACAGTGCCCACCACATAGTGGGTACTTTTATTTGCTGGAAGGAGGAAGAAAGCAAAGAAGTAAGGAAGGAATCAGGAAGAGGGAAGCAAGAAGCTAAATTAAAACTCATGGATATGAAGATGTGGCCATGGAAAGTACGGCCTCTGGTCCTGCCCACGTCATTAACTCCGTGCCTGAGAAGGGCTTTAAACATGACATCTTTTCCGGTAGTTTCCTGTTGATGTCTTTCTAACTTCTATAATTATGTTTTCATTTCTTTTCTCTTACCTGGGAAAAGTGCCTTTGCAGTAGTTCTAATTGCCACCTGGCACAGAAGGAGTGTGACAAATGACATATAATATATTGCCTTAACTTTCTGTAGCTCTTTGTAGAAGCTAGATTGTTTCTCTTGAAAGCCTTCTTGAGCCCCTGTCACTGCAGTGGGTGCTGTTTGGCTGAGAGCTCCCTGGAGTCTGCTGTTTATCTGCTGTTTACTCAGTAGGCCATTGTGACCGCCCCTTACCTGAGGCTGCTTCTCCTCTCTATTGGGCCTTTATGTTTCTCTTCTTGGTTTTTCTTTTGGATTGCATGTTGCCTCAAATAAAATTGCTAACAACATATGGCCTGTTATGATTCTCTTTTCCCAAACTCTGCCATTTTGTATATTTGTGACACACTGCAGATTTTGTGAAGATTGCTTCATAATATTGGTTTACCATCTGCTGCACTCTATTTGGTATCTTGCTAGGATTTTTTCCTCCATTTTAAGTGACATTAACAAAATCTAGCCAGTACATAGGCTTTCTGGTTCTACTTTTGCTTCCCTAATGTGCTGGAAAATCATATTACTATGCTCCAGGCAACTAGAGAAGCCTGGAATTCTCATTGTGAACCAATGTATCAGATCTGTCTGCTCCCCTACCCCCACCCCTTTTGTTGGTCATATCCGGTAACGTTTTTTTGGTCAGATGGCAAAGAACCTCCATGTATAAGATAGAAAAAGCTCAAATTATTTTCTTGCTTCTTAGTACCACTACTTTCTAGTGTTGTTCTCTAACATATTTGTACCTCTGAAACTTTGTGGCAGTTTAGTAAGTTTTTATGATTTATGGTTCCAGCTAGTGTAATTTTTACAGCTTATCCAGCTTGATAGGCAGCTAGCCTGAATCTTGGCTAGATGGGCTGTATATATCCAAGTTTTTGTTCAGAAAAGTATTTTAGGCTACTGTCATAGTAATTTGCTTAGTATGTATTTCTGCTTTCTTACCCTTCACTAACTTTTCGTAGCTGTCAATTCACTGTCTTTAGAGAGAAGTGCATTTTTGCTTTACAGGTTAAGGTGAGTGGTTTGCTCTTGGGCTGCCATCAAGGGGTCAGAGACAGCTCAGCTTTTGCCTTTTGGCTGGAGCCACCAGTCTTCTCATGGGTATGGTTACTTTTCTAACTCAGTTTCCTCTTGGACAAAAACAAGGAGTCTTTAATAAAACGACTAAGCATAGATATTAAAGAGCAAATCAGACAGTCTCCCAAAGAGCAGTTTGTAAAGAAAACCAATACCTATATAAAGCTAGGTATCCTATTAACCCACAACAACTATTCATCAGTATGCCATATAAGCCTGATTTTATCCCCAGCCTTTATTAGAATGCCTCTTTCAACTTATCTGAAATCTTCTTTTGGAGTCAGACCCCCTAAGGGGAGAGTTCCAACATTTTATCACTGGGTTGATGTCAAAAGCTATTCTAACCTTTTGGCTTCAGTTTTCTGTCCACTTAAGCAAATGCTCTTGTAATGTTTCATAGCTACTTTTTATGCAACTTCTCTTCAAGAAATTATTCTGGTAGCTGACTTCTTTCACAGATCTTTTTCTTCTGAAATAATCCCTCAAGAGATTTCTTAGAAATTTAGAATTCCAAAATATTTTGGTTTAAGTAGCCTTAAAGGTTCAAGCTCTAGCTTTGAGAAGTTGAAGAACTCTCCTTTTGTTCTTGATTGTGATTTAAATGATTTTTATGTAATCGGTGCCCCCCCCTTTTTTTAAATAAATTATAAGAAGGGTTTTCACTCGTTTTACCAAAATATAAGCACTTGCCCATCCTATGTGAACAATACCTTATTCAGGTCTTGGGTATATTGAAATTCAAATATAAGCAGTCTCTTTTTAACCATAATCTCTATAGCTAGCTTAGTTGCAGAAATGAGATTTATTTTAAAAAAACTACTTTATTCAGGCTGGAATTTGTTTTTATGCCAAGTTCAGAACTTCATAAAGAACAAATCAGTTTAGCCTACATTTAAAGAGAATTTGACCTGGTTTTAAAGCAAAAATGTAAAGTGCTTTCATGTGTGGTGATATGTAACATTACATCATTTGTACTTTGTTTTTTCCTGTCTCCTGCATTTTTAAGAAAACTTTCGCCTTAACCTTGAAAATATTAGTTTCTAGAACTTATATATAGACAGACTCCTTTCTTCTCTCTCTACAGCTGGAATGGCATTTCTCCCCCAATTTGGCTCTAGAGATTCTATATCTAAAGCGAATGAAAGAATCTTTATGTGTGTAACATCTCTCAGGACTGTGCCTTCTTCATTACTGCAAGTGACCAGTGTATGCCTTTTACTCTGAAAACAGGCAACTCTTGATAGCAGAATACTGGTAGTGACTCTCCTAGATTTAGACAGTGTGATCTTGATGATACCGATTCACACTGAGTTGGGGAACTCTGCAGCAGTGAACCAGGATCCAGAAACAAGTGCTTGGAAAGAAAACAAGTGCTTGGAAAGAGTGAGAGCTATGGGTCACTGAACAGGACTGGTCCAAGTGCTGGTTTCGATCATGCTATCAGATTGCTGTTGGCCACTGAAGAGATAAAGGGAGAAAGTATTTTGCTTGAAATTAGGCTAATTGTGAAAGAACACAAGCTTCCTCCTAGGGTCCCCATAGCCTAGTCACCAAGCAGGGGGATATCCTTGGAACTACAGCCAGACAGGAGGGAAGACCCACTGACTTGTGGTAGGGGAAGATCCCTGTGTTGAACTGAACTCCCTCTGTACTTTCAGTAAGCATCCCCTGACCATGTTGGGCAAGCTTATTCTCTTCATGATGAGAGATTTGTCTGAGGTTCTCCAGGCTTGGGATCAGAACAGTCTTTCTATATGATCAAATCAGCAATTATATGCCCAAGAGTGAACAAAAATAATAATTCCGATTGTTAACACCAGAACTGAGGCATCCTGCTGAGAGCCTGCCCCTTCCAAGTTGTCCCCTTGGGAGGCTCTGTACGTTGCTCCAGACGTTTTTGGCATTTCTTTCAACTGTGCATTTACAGTCTACTACATAGGCTGTCCTCACTGTTGACAAATCTTTATAGAAGGATGAAGAGTTAACTATATATTTGGAAATAGCCATAAGTCATTCTTAGACATGCTTGGCAGATGATGTGGGTAAGTGATCAGGCCAACAATTTCATTTTGGGTTAAAAATGAGATTTAATATTCTCACATAGTCTATCTTCAGGTTTTTAAAGCAGTTTTGAAGAGATATTTCAAAAACTACTTTGAATAAGAGAAGTATCATGAAATAAATACATTATTTCTAGATGTGGCCTCTGATGATACTTACTCAAATTTACACATTCTGGTTATGTAGTTTGTGAAGTCTTGTCCTCCAGCCTTAAGACTTAAATTATTTCAAAATAGCATGAATAGCATTTGAAGCTTTCTATGGCTGGAGAGTATGCAAAACAAGTGAAACTGTTCGGAAAAAGAGCTGCTAAATAGAATGGGGGAGACCTGTATTAGAGCTGCTTTACAAGTTAACCTTGCACTAGGCCTAGGTTCTCCTGTGGAAAGAGAATAATAATAATGATGTTCATGTCGCAGGTTTGTTATGAGGTTTTCAAGGAGGTATTGCATATGAAGCATAGATCACAGTGCCTCATGTATTGTAGTGTTCAGTAAGTGTTAGCCATTTTTATCATGCTGTTGTGAGATGATAGATTGCCTGGGAGAGAGGAAGAATGGAGAAATCGGGGTATGGTGCTGTTTGGGAGATTTAAAAAGTGTGGATAGTAGAACAAGACTGGCCTCTCGTTGGTTTTTAGTTCCGCTAACCAAACCTGTTTTGTCATACTCCAGTTATATTTACTTTAACCTAGAGATATGTTGTGAATGACATGAGCAATATTTTAATTTTCTGCTATCCCTAAAAGAAAGTTTTATATTGAGATTCTGATCATATTCCAAATGGAAAACAAAACAACAAACTAATAATGTCAACATACCCCCAAAATGTGGTGTTGAGGGTTAGAATATCACATTGTAATAAACCGTTTATATTATGTTCCCTTTGTGCATTAAACAAATGCACACCTTATCATTTGCATTATGTGCTTTTAAACAGATGAAGATGAAGATGGTGATCGAATTACAGTGAGAAGTGATGAGGAAATGAAGGCAATGCTGTCATATGTAAGTATACGACAAATGAAGACTATTTTTTAAAATCTTAACGTGATTGAGGATGCTGTTTCTTGGGCATAGTGAAGACGAGTAAATAAATCACAGTTGTCATACATTTTTCTATATAATAGGTAAAGGTTTCAAGGATTTCCGTATGTGAAAGTTAAGGGCATTATTTTCAAAAGACACTTACTGATCATATCATAAACATTAAGAATAATGCATCTTAATGACTTTTGCATTAGGTATGATGCAGACTAAATGGACTATCAATTTCCTGTATTTTTTATGCAGTACTTAAAGTAACGGCTCATTAAAAATGAACCCCTGGGCTCTAAAAAATTTTTCAAAATCTACTTTCAACTGGAGATCTCTCTCACCCTTCCAGACTATAGTTTACAATGTAGCTGCAGGCTTAATATGGATACACGATTTAAAGATGTACTGTTGGTTATTTATGCACTACCCATAATACTCCCACCGAAAATGAACTACAGGGCTACTTACTGAATCAAAGTGATCTGAATATATTCTGAAACGACTTTTCTTTTGTGTTTAAAATTTTACTGAAAATCTGCGTTAACAGTTATCTGATACTGAAGTAAACAAGAGAAAAGGGCATATTTCTAAAGCTTCAATACTAAGCTTGAAAAATTCAGCTATCATGAGGAGACATAGGTTACCTGAGTCTTGATTTGTGCCTTCCTCTCAAGTTTTGTTTTGTTATATCTGAGTCTGTAATCTGTTTACAAAACCTTTTCCCGTGGCCTGGTAGAAAGAGCATTGGACTGGAAGTCAGGAGACCTTAGCTCTACTGTGGTTTCTTGGCCCTAGGCAAATCACTTAACCTTTCAGTGCTGTAGTTGCCTCATCTGTCAATTGTGGATAATAATACTTGTCCTTTATACTGCACAGGGCCATTGTAATGATCAAATAGAAGAATAGATGTGAAAGCCCTTTGAAAAGTTAAAAGTTCTATACAAATGCAAATGATGGAATCATTTGGAATCATGTGGAAATGATGGAATCAGGGCTCTTGCTTTTCACTGAGACCCTAATCTTAGTCAACAGTTAGGTTGTAGGTTTTTGATAGACTTCAGCTTCAGCCAGGATATTGTTTCATTGTAATGAAAACTGTAAACTGTCTGTATGGGTTTCTGCCAATAGTTTTAATTTAGGGTAGGAGAATAGAGAACAAGAAGGATAGGATGATTAACAGAGCATTGCATTCCAACCAGCACAGAATAGGAAAAGTCAATTTCCCATTGACTTCGCATTAACTTATGTGAGAGTCTTTGTGTACTGAGAATTTAGAGCTGGGCTCATCAGTACCTTGAAAGGCAGAGTAGGATTGTCTGCTGAAAAGGTCTACCACTGGTATTGATAGATTGGCTAACTCTCCTGAGAATGTGACATGCTTATTTTTAGAAAACCCACACACACAGATGGGTTCTAATTTTCTCACATATGTCCATTGCAGAGAACTGACATCAATATACTTTCATTATGTATTCAACTTAACCACATGCAAAAGATATGTACTTTTGGGTATGATCTTACAAATTGTGCTTTTTGAAAATGTTAGTGGGTGTGGTCACAGTGATAATGATGATTTCCATTTCTAAGTTACTGCTATATACAAAATGCTTGAGGTATTTAATTTTTTTAGTTTTAATAATCACTCTGTAAGACAGATATTATCATCCTTATTTTTTAGATGAGGAAGCTGTGGTTAAGAGATAAGCCCAAGGTCTTAGAGCTAGTATGAATGTGAATATGGAATTTAAGTTCAGTTTCTTTTCATGCCCAAGCTGTTGCTCATTTACTGTTTTACACTGTCTCTCCCCCACCTTCCTCTTTGCAGGATTTTTTTTATGTCATCACTGTTATTTATTTTTTTTTCTCCGAGATGGAGTCTTGCTCTGTCACCGAGGCTGGAGTGCAGTGGTGCCATCTTGGCTCACTGCAACCTCTGTCTCCCGGGTTTAAGCAATTCTCCTGCCTCAGCCTCCTGAGTAGCTGGGATTACAGGCACCCACCACCATGCCTGGCTAATTTTTGTATTTTTAGTAGAGACGGGGTTTCATCATGTTGGCCAGGCTGGTCTCAAACTCCTGACCCCGTGATCCACCCGCCTCGGCCTCCCAAAGTGCTGGGATTACAGGCATGAGCCACTGTGCCCGGCCTGTCATCATCATTATTAAATTCTGAATAATTTGGGTTTATATAATACCTTAGTTGTGATTTCTGCACCATGTATTCCTTACAGCATATGCTTATTTTCTCAAATTCAGTGTTTAATTATTTTTGTGTTGTAGGAAAATATGATTACATAATCTTACATTACATGTCCTTAGTTTAAAAGTTTCTGAGATTACTTGGGTCCACTTTTTTTTATCTGAATAGAAGTCATCTATCTCATTGATGAGATAATTTAAAAAAATTTTTTGTAGAGATAGGGTCTTGCTTTGTTGCCCAGGTTGGCCTCAAACTCCTGGCCTCAAGTGGTCCTCCTGCCTCAGCCTCCCAAGGTGCTGGAATTACAGGCGTGAGCCAAGGTGCCTGGCCAGGTTGGCTGTCATTTTGATCTGTCTTGGTTCTTATGATTGAAATTTAAGGAGAACCATTTGGACGTAACCTTACAGTAGGTTTTGATTGGTAGTCCTCATGATTACCAGCATGTTCCTACAAATTTGCATTGGTCTTTATTTTGTAGGTTCAATTTGGCTCTGAAGTTTGAGTCCAGGATTTCGTATAAAGGCATAGGGAAGATACTGACAGATTACCACATTTTTATTGTTTTTTGCAAAAAGCTGTTTTTTTCTTTTGTTTTTGGTCTTGTTTTGTTTTTGAGATGAAGTCTCATTCTGTTGCCTAGGGTGGAGTGCAGTAGCCTGATCTCGGCTCACTGCAACCTCCGCCTCCTGGGTTCAAGTGATTCTCATGCCTCAGCCTCCCGGGTAGCTGGGATTACAGGTGCCCGCCACCACGCACGGCTAATTTTTGTACTTTTTGGTAGAGATGGGATTTCTCGATATTGGCCAGGCTGGTCTCGAACTCCTGATCTCAAGTGATCCGCACACCTTGGCCTCCCAAAATGCTGGGATTACAGGCATGAGCCACCATACCCGGCCAAAAGAGCTTAGTTTTTCATATAGAATTCAGTACACCTGTGGTCATCTTAGTATTTCTTTAAAAGCCATATGTGGGAAAGCAAAAATAGAGGCACTTTTACCATTAGTCCTTTAATCATTCTTTTTCATTGATTACAAAGGTTAAGTAAATAAACAGCCTATATCTCTGCATAAGAATAAAAACAAATTTGCAACCTCTGAGTTGAAACTTGAAGAATTACTTTTTCCCCCTCTTGGATGCAGGCATTTTCTGGCTTTGGGCCAGTACAAGTGTACATTTTTATTAGTAATTTAAATAGATTTTTGTATTAGACCTGAAAATGTTGCCTTTTTAATTGAAAACTTATCAATTATTTAAATCACTAGCAGCCTGAGGCTGTTAATTTTATGAGTGCCATAATAATGGCATACAGTGGTTTTTGATACATGTGACACGTGGAATATTGTATTATGGTAAGGATTTGTCATGACAATAGGTTGTTGTGTGCTGTTAAATAATAACCAACATATTAAACCAAAGTCTGTTGTCACACATTAGTACCATTTTATGTAAGTTATTTAGAAGTTGTATTCTTTTCTTCATTAGAGATATTTTTAAGAGATAAAGAGAAGAAAACAAAGCTATAATAAATTGTCTTTTAAGAAAATGTAAAGTAATTTGGTCTCCAAGGAGATATTTAATGTATTGAAAGAATTCAGCAGCCAAGTGTTATTACAGCACCATTGTGATAGCTGCTCTGCATTTTGTTATGAGTTTGTGTTAATCAACAATCTGTTTTTATAGCATAGTTTCTTGTAAGTTATGTTGTTAGAATATTCCACTTCTGGGATCACGGCTTTTCCTCTGACACTATTGCATCTTTTTAATTCCTCCATAAAGTTTTTTTTTTTTTTTTTTTTGAGACAGAGTCTCGCTCTGTCGCCCAGGCCGGACTGCGGACTGCAGTGGCGCAATCTCGGCTCACTGCAAGCTCCGCTTCCCGGGTTCACGCCATTCTCCTGCCTCAGCCTCCCGAGTAGCTGGGACTACAGGCGCCCGCCACCGCGCCCGGCTAATTTTTTGTATTTTTAGTAGAGATGGGGTTTCACCTTGTTAGCCGGGATGGTCTCGATCTCCTGACCTCATGATCCACCCGCCTCGGCCTCCCAAAGTGCTGAGATTACAGGCGTGAGCCACCGCGCCCGGCCTAAAGTATTTTTTTAATTAGAATTTGAAATGCTTTATTAGAAAAAAAATACACACAACCTACATATTCTGAAAACTAAATACCTGATCATTGCTAATTAAATATTCCCTTAATGTAGTTTAAATTTTGTTGTTGTTGTTCTCATTTCCTCCTCTCATTTTCTAGAAAGATTGAAAATAGCGTGCTGCTTTTTTCCTTCCATTTTTTTGTGTTTGTTGTCTGGTAGTTCTATGGAGGCCCAGTTCTAGGAGGGGATTATTTTACTGTTAACCTCTTCTTTTGGGTGACCTTTCATTAAGAAATTCAGCCAATACATCTTGCTTTTGTAAGTAGATTTATATTTGTTTCTGCTAAATCCTGTGTCTAGGGATTTATTACACCTGGTTCTCTTAATATTGAGAGGCTTGTGTGAGTAGAACACAGTATTAACAAAAATAATTTTCATCATTTTGTCTATTCTCACTCTTTATATCATTTTTTCCCACATTGCCAGGAGAGTATGGCATACATTTTACTGTAGTGCCTCCCATTATGAGACCTTGTATTATATTTAGTACAAGAGTCCTTATATTTAAGTGAAGTGTAAGTATTCCCTTTGGTGTATTTGACCACAGTGTACCCTGTCAGACGTTGAGTACTATGAGGGAAAAATACTTTTTGACCTGTGGAGCACCTTATAAATTGGGATATGATTGGCTTTATCCTAATATACATAACTTGGACATTGCCTCTAAAATCATGCAGTTACTCAAGTAGAGTTGGAAGGTAACCACAGAGGTTTTGTTCAACTCTTTCATTTTACAAATAAGGACATTGAGGCCCACAGAGAATAGAAGATTCAGATATCAGTTGGAAGTCACATGGCTAATTAAAGGCAAGGCCTGGATACAGACTCTCAGTCTCTTTGCTCCTGGTTGTTTTAAATAAGGTTTTTGTTTTGCTCTCTATTATAGTCCTGCTCAGCTTTGCAAATACTGCTTTTTCCTGAGTGTAAAAAATAATACTTATTACCAAAATGTCACTGTACTTGAGTTTGTAGAGAAATGTAAAAAATACTCTGTTGGCTGGGCGCGGTGGCTCACTCCTGTAATCCCAGCACTTTGGGAGGCTGAGGCGGGCGGATCATGAGGTCAAGAGATCGTGACCATCCTGACTAACACTGTGAAACCCCATTTCTACTAAAAATACTAAAAATTAGCCGGGCGTGGTGGCATGCGCCTGTAGTCCCAGCTACTCGGGAGGCTGAGGCAGGAGAATTGCTTGAACCCGGGAGGCAGAGGTTGCAGTCAGCCGAGATCACACCACTGCACTCCAGCCTGGGCGACAGAGCAAGACTCCATCTCAAAAAAAAAAAAAACAAAAAAAAAAAACAAAACTCTGTGGGCGTCTGAAGGTTTAAAAGTTTTGTCCTTACCTACAAGGCTGTGTTTTACCTTGTTTACCAAATTCATTGTCCATTTAGAAGTTGAATATTTAATAGCATCAGGGCCTTAGCTATTAGGAAGTTTTCTTTAAAGAACAAAGAGGTTAGAAGCTCATTTTCCACATGGTGCTTTCAAATATGCCACATATTAAATAGGTTCTACTTTGAACTTAACTTTGCAGGTGGCAAAATCAGTTCAGCTTTCAATGAGTTGTTAGTCCCCTAATTCAATGCAATTTATCCAAACAACTGATTACACAGTATATTCTTCAGAGAAGGTGGAGAAACGGTGAAAAGAATGAGAAAGGGAAACTGAAGGAAATAAATTGTTTTGGGGATTTGTTTATTTACTCAAATAATGACATGCTGCAAGCTGTAAGTAAGGTTTTTGTTTTGTTTTCTTATCCTAGTCAAAAAAGAAAACTTTTTTCCAGAGACAGATTATTTTAATTCTCTTCTCTGTTTGGAACACTTGGATGCCTTTGAAATAGTGATAAAAGTGTAGTGACCCCTTTTAGCCCCTGTTGTGATCTATGTTGGAGCCTGTTTGGTAGCAAGGAGCAGAAGCATATTCAAGTTTGCATCAGAACGAGGGATTTATTATGTGGCTCTTGGAAGCAAAGGAAAAGATAAGCACGAGTAGGCCTCAGTCTTGGTGGCACCAGGGCACTCTGGGGACCACTGGAATAGGAGGTTTGGACCACCAACATTTTGTCATTTATATGGCTCTGCTCCCAGTTCAGTTCCATCTCTGTGGAGGGTTCCGCTTAGCCTATTTATAACAAAATGTCTCATTTGGCTTGCTGTCTGCATGGCCTGATAGTCCTGTTTTATTTAAGTGGCAGGTTCCCTGAAGCTGCTATTAAAACTTCTACTTTAAGAGGAATAGCAGAATTGCTACAGCCTAAAAATCAGGTGAAAGGTCAGTGTGGACACTACCCCAAGCTAACCAAGGTAATAACTCTGAAAGTTTCAGCTGAGAGGATCCCATAAATTTTGGGCCTGTTGCTGAATACAAATTTAAACTCCTTCTGCCAACACATATTACCTTAAACATAGCCAATTTGAATTTCATCTGCTATTGGCTGCCCAAACTTCTATGAAGGCCATCTGGGGCTCCTTAAAGTCCTTTATGGTTTTAACCAAATGGTGTTATCATTAAACTTGGCCAACTTGCTGTCATTTTCACTTTCAAGTCATTAATAAATACATCTGTCCAATAACATGAGCCTATAAATAGGGCCCAGAGTTGGTCCCTGTTGACCTTCACATTGTGATTTTCTTTCTCATCATCTAATCAATCTGTGACCATATGTGGACCCTCGGTCAAGTCTTTTAAGGAAAAGCTTGTACACATTGTAGTCTCCTCATGACAGGAGCAATGAGTTATTGAGGAGTCAGAGCCTGAAGCCAGGTAAGTAAATGTAGCTATTAATTTGATATTCAAAATAGATTGGCTTCATATGTTATTTTTGACCACTGGGGCAGTTGTGTGCTCTGTGAGAGGTCAGCATCATAAAGGAAAAGCCTCTTAATGTAAAGTATGAGAAATAATTGAAAGAAGGTGTAACTAATGACACATCTGAGTAGCGTTATAATTGAATTTGTAGCCATTTGATAGAGTTAAGATTGTTGAGTTCTTCACTGGGAAAACTAACAAATTAACTATGGACTGCAAATAGTTGGTTAGTTTATTGATTATTGCTGTAATTACTGACTGAGCTACATATAATAGGGTATGCTTGCAGTATTGACAACAGGAATTTGAAAATTTTATCATTAGTATGAAAAAAACAGCATGAGTATTCCTTATAAGTGAAATACTGTACCAATTATGTTGTCTGTTAGGCATGCTAAGGAGAGATTTGAGAAACTCTCCTGTTACAGATGTATGGAAGAATAATAAGTAGGCCTGGTATCTCCTCTGTACGTGAGACTTGCTGCTGAATAAGTTGGAAGGTATGACCAATGAGAGTCGTTACTATGTCTATATCAGTTCCTCTCTGGATTCTTCCTGTAAACATTTGTGCCCTGTCTGTAATGTGCTAGGCACTATATGGCAGTGATTTCTCAGGTTTTTGAAGGCATAGTCCTTTTTGAAAATCTGTAGGAAGTTGTTTATTTTTTTCCCCCAGAAAATTCACATAATGCAGCATTTCACCAGCTTCAAGGATCTCCTAAAGCCCATATAGATCCCAGGTTAATACCTCTGGCATAAGAGGAAATAAAATATACAAGGCATGGTTCCTGCCCTTGTTGAGCTTCCAAAAGAGAAACAGTGTTCCCCACAATACCTGTTTACTTTATTATTTATAGTACTGTAGTAATTGAGGGGAAGGGAGGGGATACTGACTCAACCTCAATAAACCAGTTAAATTCTACCACTGTACTTTGTCCAGATATCTCAGTCGCCTTGTTTTATGGTTTCTGTGTCACCCTATTGTTGCGAACATGTTTCTTCTATGTACTCTTACTTGGAAATGAGAGATTCAAGGCACCATTTCCTATTTCAAGATTTTTTTTTTCAAGTACTTTTTAAGAAGGTTTCCCATATACCAGCTCCTTTAATTTTGATCTTCTTAACATCTTTATAAGATCAGCAAGGCAGGTTTTTTCCCCATTTTTACAGCAGAGGATACAGAGGCATAAACAATTGTGTGCCTTTCTTGAGGTCACACAGCTAGTCAATAGAGAGCTGGGGCCTGAGGTCACTCACTCGCTGGTTTGTTTCCTCATTCATCCAATCAGTTTTTCATGCAGCAAATGTTTATTGGATAGCAGTTCTCTGGCCAAGCACTATGCAAGGTGGTGGGGGTGCAGTGAGCGTACAGTTCATGCCCTCCAGGAGCTCATGGTCCAGTCAGGGAGATTAACAAAAAAGGAAACAGAGTTCAGTGTGGGAAGACAAGAAAAACTCATAATTACCAAGCGGAGTGATAAATGATATAATACACCTAAGCATTAGGTGCTCCATGAGCACAAGAAGTGTCTAATCTAGCTTTGGGGACCAAAAAGGCTTCCTGAAGAGGGCAGTGTCCAGGTGGAGTAAGTTAGGACAAGGGGACTAGGAAGGATGTTTGGGGCAGAAAGAACAGTGTGTTTAAAGAATGCCTGGTGAGTCAGTAGGAGCTGCCTGTGATTCAGTCTGTATGGACAGTGACGGGGGAGAGGGTGGGAGATGGGGCTTGGAGGAAGGTGGGTTAGACCATGGAGGGCCTTAGCCCAGGGAAGTGACATGATCATATCTCATATTGTCAGAGGCATTTGAGCCATAGCAACTCTGTTAGTCTGTTTTCATACTGTTATCGGAAAGGGGTCCCAATCCAGACCCTAAGAGAGAGTTCTTGGATCTTGTGCAAGAAAGAATTCAGAGTGAGTCCACAGTGCAAAGTGAAAGTAAGTTTATTAAGAAAGTAAAGTGGTGAAAGAATAGCTACTCACTCCATAGAGTAGGACGTTCCCGAAAGTAGGAGGATGAATGTGCCCACCCTACGTATGATGTTTGTTTATGTATAGGATAAAAAAGGATCATGGGGAGATGTGCTCTGCTACAAGGGTTTGTGATAAAGGATTCATTTTCTTAATTACTATATTTTGCAAGAATTGATATTATTATTATTATTTTTTTTTTTGAGATGGAGTCTTGCTCTGTTGCCCAGGCTGGAGTGCAGTGGTTCGATCTTGGCTCACTGCAAACTCACCTCTCGGGTTCAAGTGATTCTCCTGCCTCAACCTCCTGAGTAGCTGGGACTACAGGCACCTGCTACCACGCCCAGCTAAGTTTTGTATTTTTAGTAGAGACGGGTTTTCACGTATTGGCCAGGCTGGTCTCAAACTCCTGACCTTGTGATCTGCCTGCCTCGGCCTGCCAAAGTGCTGGGATTACAGGCGTGAGCCACCGTGCCTGGCCTGATATTATTTTGTTTAAAGCAAAATTAGGAATGCTTCTGTTTTCAAGATATTAGGGTATCAGGACATTCCTGAACCTGGGTATGTTTAGTAAACGTTATCAATCTGTTCCCTTAATCATAAATAGCTAGAGCCTAGGAATACCTAACTTCCTGGGAATGTAGCCCGGGAAGTCCCAGCCTCATTTTTCCTAGCCCTCACTCAAGATGGAGTTGCTCTGGTTCAAATGCCTCTAACAACATTGCTATAAAGAGCTATTTGAGACTGGGTAATTTATAAAGAAAAGAGGTTTAATTGACACAGTTCTGCATGGCTGGGGAGGCCTCAGGAAACTTATAATCATGGCAGAAGACAAAGGGGAAGCAAGTACTTTCTTCACAGGGTGGCAGGAGAGACAGTTGGGTAGAGGGTGGGGCGGGAGTTGCCACACACTTTTAAACCATCAGATCTCGTGAGAATCCACTCACTATCATGAGAACAGCAAGGGGGAAATCCACCCCCATGATCCAGTCATCTCTCACAGGACCCCTCCTCCAATTAAACATGAGATTTGTGGGCGGGTACACAAATCCAAACCATATCAGACTCCATCTTGAATAGAAGCTGGGTAAAATGAGGCTGCGACCTGCTGGGCCGCAGCCCCAGGAAGTCAGGCATTCTTAGTTACAGGATGTTTAGAGTTAAGGGAACAGGTTAATAGCATTTACCAAACAGATTCAGGACTTAACAGACCAAGGAAATGTCCTGATGTCCTGATATCTTAAGAACAAAAGCATTCTGAGTTTTGCTTTAAAGATAATATCTTTAAATAATAATATCTTCTTGTGGAAGACAGTAGTTACACAAAGATGAATAATCCTGTGTCACCAGCCTTGTAGTGCAGCGCATCTCCTCCATATGGTTTTTTGCTTTGTTATTTTACATATAAACAAACATTGTACATAAGGTAGATGTGTTCCTCCTCTTGCTTTTGGGAACACCCAGCTCTGACTGGGTTTATTGGTGGAGCCATTCTTTTATTCCTTTACTTTCTTAATAAACTTGCTTTCACTTTACTCTGTAGAATTACCCCAAATTCTTTCTGGCACGACATCCAAGAACCATCTCTTGGGGTATGGATAAGGATCCCTTTCTGATAACAGTATTTCTCAAGAGTGGCTTGGGGTAGAGAATTTATGAAGCGTGGAAGCCACTTAGGGGGCTGTTCCTTGTGAAAGACAATGGTGGTCACTGGACTGGTGAGAAGTTAACAGATTTGAGAAGTGGGGAGGATGTCAAGTTAATAAAATTTAGTAGGCTGGGCATAGTGGTTCATGCCTGTAATCCCAGCACTTTGGGAGGCCAAGGTGGGTGGATCACGTGAGGTCAGGAGTTTGAGACCAGCTTGGCCAACATGGTGAAACCCCATCTCTACTAAAAATACAAAAATTAGCTGGGCATGGTGGTGGGCGCCTGTAGTATCAGCTACTCGGGAGGCTGAGGCAGGAGAATCACTTGAACCCAGGAGGCGGAAGTTGTATTGAGCCAGGATCGCACCATTGCACTCCAGCCTGGGTGACAGAGCAAGACTCCATCTCAAAAAAACAAAATAAGGCCAGGTGCTGTGGCTCACATCTGTAATCCCAGCACTTTGGGAGGCCGAGGTGGGCGAATCACGAAGTAAAGAGATCGAGACCATTCTGGCCAACATGGGGAAACCCCGTCTCTACTAAAAATACAAAAATTAGCTGGGCGTGGTGTCGGGCGCCTGTAGTCCCAGCTACTCAGGAGGCTGAGACAGGAGAATCATTTGAACCTGGGAGGCGGATGTTGCACTGAGCCGAGATCGTACCGCTGCACTCCAGCCTGGGCGACAGAGTGAGACTCCATCTCAAAAAATAATAATAAAAATAAAACAAAATAAAATAAAATTTAGTGGTTAAATACGGGGGAGAAGAGAAGAGAGATGGTTTGGATTACTTCCAGATTTCTGGTTTGGGAAACAGGGTCATAGTGATGGTATTTCCTGAGACCATAAACCCAGGCAGCAGAAGACAGGTCTAGGGTCTGATAGGGGATAGGAGAGGAAATCAGTTTTGGACCTGTTGAATTGGAGGAGGCTCTGCACAATCAACTGGTTATGTTTCAGAACTTAGGAGAGAAATCTGGGCTGGAAATAAAGATTTGTGATTCATCAGCTCCTAATTAGTCTCAGTGATTCCTCTGGTAGTTGAAACTTTGAAGTGGCTAAAGTAACTCAAGGAGAGTGTAAAATGAGAAGGCTAATGAAAAACAGTGGGGGAAATCCTGCATTTAAAGGAGAGATGGGGTAATAACCACTTACAGGAAACCGAATGGAGTGGTTGGAGAAGTAGGAAAACCCATGGAGGTGGCGGGGCGGGGGAGGGCAGTGGGGGAGTGGTTGTTGCCAAAGAAAGAGCCAGAGGTCACCTAGGTCACCCATCAGCACAGATGTCTTCACACTGCTTCGCCAGCCTCTGAAAGATCAGAGGATATAACCTAACCTGCACAGGGTGTGAGCGAAGCCACAGCTCTCCACCAGCTCAGCAGTCTACCAGGTAACCCTACCTATTTAGGTAAATGTTTTGAGGTATGAGAAATATGAGATAACCTACTTCTTAACTTGTAAGCAATAAATATACGTTTTATGCCCTGAGTGCATGGCATGGCCTAGAATGAAAGGAGTAATTTTTTTGTTTGTTTGTTTACTGATAAACCATTTGCTTCATCTGTTAAATAGAGGTGATGATACTTATAGAATAGGATAGGATTGTAAAAAACTAAGTGAATAAATGTAGATATGTAGTGCTGAGCCTAACACACATAGGTATCCAATGAGTGAGGGTTAGTTCTCTCCCTCTATCTCTATCTCTCTATCTCTGTCTCTGTTTTCTCTTCTTTTTTTCTTTCTTTCTTTCTTTCTTTTTTTTTTTTTTTTTTTTTAAGATGGAGTCTTGCTGTGTCGCCCAGGCTGGAGTGCAATGGCACGATCTCGGCTCACTGCAACCTCTGCCTCCTGGGTTCAAGCAATTCTGTCTCAGCCTCCTGAGTAGCTGGGATTACAGGTGCACACCACCACGCCTGGCTAATTTTTATATTTTTAGTAGAGACAGGATTTAACCATGTTGGCCAGGCTGGTCTTGAACTCCTGATCTCAGGTGATCTGCCTGCCTTGGCCTTCCAAAGTGCTGGGATTACAGGCATGAGCCACTGCTTCCATCCTTCTCTCTTTCTTAATAGAAAATTTGTGCCTCATAAACTTAAACTGTGCTGTTTTGGAACTCAAGTTTTTTAAAAAATATGGCAGATTTCCATGAAGAAAAAAATGTAATTATTGATTGAATTGTGCCATTAGCATTAGAATTAGATTTATAACAAATATGAACACTGTAGTAAACTTGCAAACAAAACAAAGCAAAAAATTGTACTTGTTATCCCCTTGTTGAATCTGGCCCTCTGTTTCAAATTAATTAGATTTTTGGTAACTATGCTAAACTTTGTCACATCCTTATTAAAATGACTGAAGAATTTTGAAGAACAGCTCAGAGGGACTCTGAAACTAATCTGAGTCTAGTACTGGAGATTCCATTAGCAATTGCAAAGCTGATTGATCTTTTACCCAGTTAGCTTATTGATTATCGCTGCAGTTACTGCATGTAACGGATTATGCAAGGGGTAACAGGAGAAAACATATTTTATAATTGCTGCTGATGTATTCAGTTTGGACACAATATTTCATACTCTATATAATTATTTCTGCATTTTTAAATGCTGCAACACTTCTAAGATAGAAAGTTTGCTTAATATTGTTTCAATATGAGGAGGTGTACTTTTAAATTTCTTAACTAATAATGCATTACAGTTTACCAAGTGCCTTCACTAATTTTATTGCTGCAGTTTAATTTTTGAGCCTCACAGTAACCCTATATATATATTTTTTTTTTTTTTTTTTGAGACGGAGTCTCGCTCTGTCGCCCAGGCCGGACTGCGGACTGCAGTGGCGCAATCTCGGCTCACTGCAAGCTCCGCTTCCCGGGTTCACGCCATTCTCCTGCCTCAGCCTCCCGAGTAGCTGGGACTACAGGCGCCCGCCACCGTGCCCGGCTAATTTTTTGTATTTTTAGTAGAGACGGGGTTTCACCTTGTTAGCCGGGATGGTCTCGATCTCCTGACCTCATGATCCACCCGCCTCGGCCTCCCAAAGTGCTGGGATTACAGGCGTGAGCCACCGTGCCCGGCCAGTAACCCTATATATTAGGGTAAATATTTTTATGCTCATTTGGAGGAAACTGATGTTTAATAAAGTTAAATGTCTTCCTGAAGGCTACACAAGTTAATGAGTGGCAGACTTAGAATTCAACCCCATTTCAATCAGTAAATGTTTATTAAACACCTACTATGTGCAGAGCTTTGTGTTAGGGCTAATAAATGCCAGGATAAGATTATAGACCTGAAGATGAAGTTATTTGGATAACTTGAAGTAATATTATGAAGGTTACTTTGTTACATTTCTGTCCAAGCTATTATGTTCAGTATCTTAGTGTACAAAGTTTAGGGGTGTTTTTTTGGTCGTTGCTGTTTGTTTCTTTGTTTTTTTCTTTTCTTTTGGTTTTGGTCATTTCTGCTTATTTTATCACTATTTAGAACAAAATTGGAGAGAATCCCTTTAAAGGAAGAGTATATAGAAATGACACTAATAGATCCAGATCTAAAAACAATTTGCTGGCCGTGTGCAGTGGCTCACGCCTGTAATCCCAGCACTTTGGGAGGCCAAGGCAGGTGGATCACCTGAGGTCAGGAGTTTGAGACCAGCCTGGCCAACATGGTGAAACCCCATCTCTACTAAAAATACAAAAATTAGCCGGGCCAGTGGTGGGTGCCTGTAATCCCAGCTACTTGGGAGGCTGAGGCAGGAGAATTGCTTGAACCTGGGAGGTGTAGGTTGCAGTGGGCCAAGATTGTGCCACTGTACTCTAGCCTGGGTGACAGAGCAAGACTCTGTCTCAAAAAAAAAGAAAACCCCAATTTGTTTTGCAGTTTATTACTTGCTGTCTTCTCTGTTTTCCCATGTGAGCCTCACAGCTATCCTCTGGGTAGAGCCCGTCTTGATTTTACAAATGAGTAACATGAGGCACAGTGAGCATTTTGTCATGGAGGTCACATGCTTGGAGACAACAGTTAGTGATGGAGCTCCTGGGTTTGAGCCCTCTGATTCATTCATGTGCCTTGCTCATCTCACTGAGCAGCATGGACCTGGTGGCCGGTCAGGACTGCTCTGTGCTAAGAGGTACCATGCATGGCCCTGCATTTTATCCTTATCCCATGGGGAATGCTCCGTAGGCAGTAGCCTGAGTTTCTAGGCCTAGTGCCTTGTTGGTGGCTGTTCCTCAGGGGCCAGTTGTGTAGGGCCCACACTGTGGTTTTGATTACCTCCCTTTACAGCATGTCCTTGATGGTGAATTACTTTGCTATGTGGAACATAAGCTTCTCTATTAATACAGACACAGATCAAATGCAGTAGTCCAGCAGGAGAAAATATACTTGGATTTAGAGGAAATATAAAAAACAAAAAACACAACCTAACTACTCGCTTTAGAGAAACTGTTAAGTGGCATACTTGATATCATTACTGTGACTGTGTTAGTCGTAGTACAGAGAGATGTTTATAGATGGCTTAAAAATTCTCACAATGATTATAAAAGTGTATATAGTTTGCCAGTTGATTTGGCACAGACCTAAAATGAAAGGAAAACCATTTTTATTTATTTATTCTGTGAGGTAAATAAATAAAGCTGGAAAACAGGTCAATTTCATGCATGCGAGGTTTTATAGTAGGAAAAAAAAGCATTGCACCTGTTCTGACCCTTTACATTTGAGGTTATTTGTTTTCAAACTTGACCCCAAGCACCAGTTTTAGACATCTCTATAATTAACTTGTTAGATAAAGCATAAGGATATTTTATTTGTCTTTATTTCTAGGATAATGGCAAAGTAGTAACTGAAATTACTAGCCTATTGTACATAGCAGTTAATTAAAGAAAAGCATTAACTATAGGAGAACACCACCACTGCTGTTGTCTTGTATCAGTACAAAAAGGCAGTAATTTTTTTGACAGCCACTGATTGGAAAGTTGCTTGCAGCCTTCCAGAAGCAAGGGGGTACATGCTGTGGATCAATAACCGGCAAATTTCCCATTAAAAAGAATACCTGAGCAATGTTCCAAATAGCCACTGGCATCTTAATTTTCCATGGAAACCTCAAATACTTGTGTGCCGAGGACAAGTCATTTTCGGACAATTTTTCCAGACTACTTGTTAACAGTTATTGCTGTCCCAAAAGGTTGACAGCCTACATGATTGATATTTCATTTACTTGTCATCACTGTTTGAGTAATGGCGAGTGCTGTATTTCTGTGGTTTTAAGGAACAGAATCTCCTGAAAGACATTTGCCTTAGTATGTATTCCAGAGAGTGTTTCACATGTTTATGCCGTATGTATATAAGTTTTTATGTCTGTAGAAGGAGAGAATCACTTTCTTTACAGTTTGAAACCCTTTGGAGAGCTGGGTACACTTTTATCAGTGTGTAGCTATCCAACATCCACCTTCACTTTATTTGTTATTAGTGCGAACAGCCTTAGATGTATTAACTTGTGATTCCCAAAATGATGTGGCATTTTATAGCTCCCCTTTATTTTCAAGAGGAAAAAAAAAACCCTTGCTCTTGTAATAATTTTAATGTACATAAAAGCAATAGGAAGATATATGTGATATCTTCTAAAAAAAAACTTTTAAAGAATGTCAGCAAACAATAGTAATCAAGGAGGGATTTCCTAAACATATCGTATTTAAATAATATGCACATGTTTTTAATATAGAAACAGTGAGGATGAAAAGGATGTTCTGCTCTTTGACAGCCCCTCAAAACATAAAATCAGCAGTTTTCATTGTGGATATTTTTCCACTAGGAGCATCACTTTGTTATTTGTCGAGCATTATAAGATGTGAGAGCACAGAAGCCATCTCCAAGTTAGGTGGACATATGCTTACAAATTAGCGGAGTGGTAATCAAACCACAGTACCACCTACTGAATAATTTGTGTTTACTAAGGAGTGTGAAAGCTTTTTCACTTAGAACTTTATTTTTTGTGTGCAGAATTTTACAGTGCAATTTGATCCGTACTAAAGTGTTTATAAGGCTAAAGCATAAAAGGTATGTTTGTTTGAAACTAGGCTACCTTTTTATCATGTTAATCCTGTCATCTTTGGATGGGTCATATTTTGTTTGCTATTTCCACAGTCTCTGTGATTTCGATTTCCATTATCTGTGCATTTTATACACAAATTGAATAATGTTTGATTAACTGGCATGTAGGTCCAAGCCCAATGTGAAGCTTCTTCATTTTGCTTTGCAAAATCCAGGGAAAAAGAGCAAGAGGCAATTTGGGAAATTCCACTAAAATGCTTTATGTGTCGTCTAAATATATATCATTTTCAAATATTTCTTAAATACTAATATAAAGTCTTAATCAACACTTTTACTCTTAAAGATAAATGCCAGGGTGAAGGCTAACACACTGGACTTTCAATCCTAAATATTCACTATAGTCATTTTGATGTGCCAGTAGGGGAAAAGTATTCTCAAGGCTGATATGTATATACCAGCAATTTACAAAAGTACTGTGAATTAAACAACCCATAAGTGTCTGTTCCAGTATTCATACATTACTGAGTGATCTCTTTCTATAATCTCTTTGCAGTATTATTCCACAGTAATGGAACAGCAAGTAAATGGACAGTTAATAGAGCCTCTGCAGATATTTCCAAGAGGTAATGTTGAGCAAATTCTAATCAACAATGATTATTTCAGTAAACTGTTTCATCAACAGTTATGTTTCCAAAGGTTTAAATGCACATAACATGATGTTTAGCTCTTAATTCGAAAAACAAAAGAAGTATTCATTATCGTGGGGATTGCAGGCTATATTATAGTTATGGCAGATAAAATATCTAATTTACTAGAGTAAATTAAACTAACTAGATTGTTTTTTGTTTTTGAAGTACATACTTACATTAGCTTAAAGAACTCTTTTGGGGGTCCACATGGTTTCTAAAGCAAGGCAAATGAATGACTTTAATTCTGGATATTTATAAATTGTGGCTCATGATGGTGGCCAAAGCTGCTATTGAGGAGAAAGCTTTCAGTTAGCACAGAAGCGAAGATTTACTGAGGTGTTAGGAGAGAAATTTTGGTGGAATGTTTGGTATCTGGTTTTTTGAGGAGGTATTTTCTAAATAATTGAAATTCTTCATAAATGGAAATTTGATTATCTCCAAAAATATGAGCTGATGAGAGTAAGTTTCAGTGAATCACTTGGTCAGATAATTTTCTTTTTCCCTTTTAGGTTTGGCAGTACTATCCTTGTATCAGATATGATTGTTCAACCGTGTATAAATGTTCCCTCAAAATTTGAATAATGGTGAACAAGAACAGTTTAATTATATAAACCATTAAGTCTTTCACCCGTTATACATTGCCCCACTTGGAATCCATGTTTTCTAACTAATGGAACAGATAAGGAAATTCTCTAAGTAACCCTTCTAGAAATAACTTAATTGAAATAATTAAAAGTTAAACTTACCTTCGTTAACTGATACTGTACAAATAATCATGGTATGAGTTTTCCAATTAAACATTCTAGACTTTCATTACCTGTAACTCTCTGAAGTTTGAATGGCTCAATTAACCAGTAGGCTCCTATTTGCACTGATAAAGTCTCCAAAGGCAGCTGTCTTGGCCAACCCACAAGAAGATCTGGGTTCAAGAATAATACTGCTCTTCCAGCATATGTGTGGGCAGCAGAATCAGGAGTGCTTAGTATATTACTAGTAACTTATTGAAGTGCTAAGTAAGTACAGTTGGGCTATTTAAGGCCAGTGATAGTCCAAAACAAGGATTGTGATTAATCCACTTCTGTTGTACTTGAAGATTAAGCACCAAAACAGAAAAAAAGAAATGTTGCTATTTCTGTTTATTAGTCCAATGATTAGGATGTAGATGATTTCTTTTTTTTTTTTTTTTTTTTCGAGACAGAGTCTCGCTCTGCCACCAGGCTGGAGTGCAGTGGTGCAATCTCAGCTCACCGCAACCTCTGACTCCCTGGTTCAAGTGATTCTCCTGCCTCAGCCTCCTGAGTAGCTGGGATTACAGGCTCGTGTCACCACACCCAGCTAATTTTTGTATTTTTAGCAGAGACAGGGTTTTACCATGTTGGCCAGGATGGTCTTGATCTCCTGACCTCATGATCCACTCCCCTCGGCCTCCCAAAGTGCTGGGATTACAGGCGTGAGCCACCACGCCCAGCCAGGAGGCAGATTATTTCTTAATGTTTGCAGTGACTGGAGAATTTGGGCAAGTTTCAAAATTCTTTCTTCACAAGGAGTAGTATTTTACAAACTGAAAATTTCCATTAATTTCTCTATTGACATTATAGCTCTGCCATAGAAAACCCTAATTGCAGTATCCTGGAGAAATATACTTCCAGGCAGGGCACAGTGGTTCATGCCTGTAATCTCAGCACTTTGGGAAGCTGAGGCAGGTGGATTGCTTGAGCTCAAGAGTTTGAGACCAGCTTGGGCAACATGTCAAAACCCTGTCTCTACCAAAAAAATACAAAAATTAGCCGGGCGTGGTGCACACTCCTGTTGTCCCAGCTACTTGGTGGGCTGAGGTGGGAGGATGGCTTGAGCCCAAGAGGTTGAGGCTACAGTGAGCCATGTTTGTGCCACTGTACTCCAGCCTGAGTGACAGAGCAATACATTGTCTCAAAACACACACACACACACACACACACACACACACTTCCAATGTTGTGGGTCTTCATTTGTCTCTAAAAAATTTTTTTTAGTTATCTTCATCCAAATTCTTTCAAGTTTTGTTTGTTTTCTTTCCTTTTGTGAGCAGTCCTGTCATTCTCACTGTTCATCGCATTATGCTTCTTCCCATGATAATCACAACCATTTTTAGATGTCTGCTCTGTTAAGGCATTAATATTGCTTTACGCATCATCATCTGTAATCCTCCTGATAGTTCTGCCTATTAGGTATTACTGTTTCCAATTTATAGATGAGAATATTGAGATTCAGAGAGGTTAAGTAACTTCAGAGTCACACAGCTTATAAGTGCTTACTATGCCCTTTGAGTAAGAATTTCATTTAAATTATAATATGATTAAAATGGAAAGGCATATATATTAAAATATAATTAGAGTGTGCATGGGAGTAGTTTGGAGGGCTTGTTTTGGAGTGGAGAGGAGTATGTTATGGGGAGAGGATACTTAAAGGAGGAAATTATATGAGATGTCATTGTCATATGTAGTCTTAGCATAAAACCCACTAGGCTGCAATAAATTGTTAAACATAGTCTTTCTAAGCCAAATTTAAATATTTCAGAATATGAGACTGTCTTTTTATTTCTGTGTTTTTTTAATATGCTATGGTGTAATTGTTTCTAGTTTTTGGTAGTCTTTTGCTTTTTGCTACCTGTCTACATCGAATGTACATTTTATCATATGTAGATAAGTGAAATTATGCAAATTTACATAATCGACATGTAGACATACTGGGTATATTTCCTGTGTCTACCTAGTTGGTTAGAGGCCCTCAGATCTTAAATTTTATGGTTAGGCCCCATGTTAAAAAGAATCTTTAGACTGAACAAGTAGGAAGGATAGGAGAAAATGATTGTTTCCTTATTTATTTATTTATTTATTTATTTTGGAGACAGAGTCTCACTCTATCACCCAGGCTGGAGTGCAGTGTGTGCTCACTGCAGCCTTTATGTCCCCAGGCTGGAGCAGTTCTCTCGCCTCAGCTCCTGAGTAGCTGGGGCTACAGGCATGTGCCACCACGCTGGGCATTTTTTTTTAATTTTTTAATAGCGACAAGGTATCACAGTGTTGCCCAGGCTGGTGTCAAACTCCTGAGCTCAAGCAATCCTCCCACCACCACTTCTCCAAGTGCTGGGATGAAAGGCATGAGCCACCATGCCTGGCCATAATTCTGATGTAATAACATGTTCTCCTCATTCCAAGTAGCACAGTTGCCTTGGATAGTAACTCCCAGGTCATGGCTAAGTCCTCTACATTGTTAAAAGATATGTTAAATATTAATAAGTGTGAACATTGACTAGCTTTATAGTAATTCCTGACCCGATAACTTTAGGAAATATGAGGTTACTGGGTTTTTTGACTGCTGTTTACATCTCCAGTTATAAAAGTTTGAGAAGTCAATTGAGGAGTGAGGCAGATGTTAAGGTTAGAGATAAGAGTTGATGTTTGTCTCTGATTCCTTGGCTAGCCACTTTGTTTAAATGAAATTTATGAATGCACTGCTTACTTCAGTGGAAATATTTTGAAGTGTTGTCTTAGGAAGTATTGATGGTCCCTCAAGGACCAGACGTCAAATGCATGTGACTGTAGTTCAAAAGGTTAATTTCCATTTTAAGGAAAGAAGATTTTGAGTCTTAATTTTAATGCATTTTAGAAAGGCAAGTAAAAACATTTTGTTATGGTTTAGATATATTTTCTAGGAAAAATAACATAATAAATTTGAGTATATTTGGAATATACAAAATGAAAGCAACTGCAGTGTTTTGTAATTATTACCCATATCTTCTCCTTTTTTTTTTTTTTTTTTTTTTTTGACACAGAGTCTCGCTCTGTCGCCCAGGCTGGAGTGCAGTGGCGTGATCTCAGCTCACTGCAAGCTCTGCCTCCTGGGTTCACAACATTCTCCTGCCTCACGACATTCTCCTGCCTCAGCCTCCCGAGTAGCTGGGACTACAGGCGCCCGCCACCATGCCCAGCTAATTTTTTGTATTTTAGGTAGAGACAGCGTTTCACCATATTGGCCAGGTTGGTCTTGATCTCTTGACCTCATGATCAGCCCACCTCAGCCTCCCAAAGTGCTGGGATTACAGGCTTGAGCCACTGCACCCAGTCATTACCCACATCTTATTATTAAACAGCTCTATTTCTTGTTGTCAGAAACAGGAAAACGACATGTACATCTGAGAGAGGAGCAAAAAAAAAAAAAAAAAAATCAAATTAATTCGTCCCCAAACAATCAATCAAAATTGATGGCCCCTTAACATACAATTTGTAGGGCACTATAGTTTTCAAATAGAAGCAGTCTATAACATGGGCAGGAGGCTTTTGTATTTTTAACATTTGTTGAAGAAGCATTTGCTGAATTGGAAAAGTACTAACCTGTAACTCAAGATGGTGTCAGGAAATTAATATTCTTTTTTCCTGGCACTGCCTTATCTCTAGGACTAAATCTTAGCATATGTCAAGATTTGCAAGAAATGTAATAAAATTAGTTATATATCTGTATTTTAATACATTTGACTGCTTATGGCTGTGCAAAGTAGTATTCAAACTAGAATGTTCCATCGTAGAATCCCTAGCAATCTTTTTGGCATTAAAACATCCTTTTCTCACCCCGCTTGCTCACAAAAAAATCCCTTAGCTCTTTTCAAAGTAGTTTAAGTGATAGCAGATATACAATGTAATAGAATGAGGACAGATTGCAGAAATTTGAATTATGAAAGGAATCTAATCATTTTAGCTCAGTTAACTTGATTTTTATATGTTTTAAGCAGAAATTGGAATTTATATGAGGTGGTGTCAGAAAGCTCTTTGCATTTATAAATGCTCACTCCTGCAAGTTAAAACCCTGGTTCATAATTCCCACTTTGGGTCTTGGGAGCCACTTTTCAATCATTTCTCTCTGCTAATTTTGGTGTCACCCTCATTTCTTTTTAAACGATTCATTTTGAGCAAATTTGTAAATGGCCCTGATGTGTTCTACAATTTAGTCAATTACTGTTTCAGCCTGCAAGCCTCCTGGGGAACGGAACATACATGGCCTGAAGGTACGAATTTCAATAATTGTTTCAGTAAAGTTAGATGGATTTGTAATGCTGTGTTCCACTTATTGAAATGTCAAATAAAACTGCACTTTCTCAAGCTCTGACAAGCGATCCTTTTATTTTTTTTAAATGGGAGGTGGAGGGGGATTCATCTGTAGTATTTGCTCAGTATGTGTATATATTTGCATACTGGGGGTTTGGTACTGTATTTTCAATTATTTGGAATTGTTTTGTTGGTCAGTGTCTTCAGGATAATCCTAGGTGCTGGTATCTACAAAGATTTTAGTAAGAATATAGACTTCATTTCAGTGATTAATTAAGCACATAAGCATATTGCACATGGAATACCCTCTCTTGACATATTTATGCTAGAAACATATATCTAGTTAATGTCTTTTCATTCTGTGTATTTTGAATTCTGGATTTCTGTTTAGGGCTTCACATCTGAAAGAAAAGCTGGCTTTTGTATTAGGCTCAAATATTTCATAATTAATTATTTGGACCTCATTTTTTAGTGAATAAGAAACATTCTACATACAGTGTTCTGCTTGGTTGCAGAGCTGGAAGGATATAACTTGAGGTTCACTACTAACCCCTGGGTATATTCTTAATGTACTTTTTGAACATACTGTTTTTATATGTATTCTAGACAGTGAGTTGGATTTTCACACTGTTTATGTCTCCTTTTTCATCACTGTTTAAGTATTTAATGGAATAATGACAGGAATAGAATATTATGTAATGTATGGGTTATACGGTTTTGTAACCTATATACTGAATAGACTCCAACTGTGGGTTTGTCTAGCAACAAGCTAATTAACCTTCATAGTGAAATGAGAAATTTGTGGCAAATTATAGGTTAATTAGAACTGTGTCCTCAGAACACAAGACTGATCAAGATTCTTTCTTTACTTATAGGTGAATACTCGGGCCGGACCCTCTCAACACAGCAGCCCAGCAGTCTCAGATTCACTTCCAAGCAATAGGTGCGAGCGAGCAAGTAAAGTGTGCCCTTGATGTGATTTATCTACAGAGTTGGGGTGGGGTGGGGAAGAAGCTAGAAAGAAATTTGACCAGTTAGATAACCTAGCTACGTATTGACCAAAGAGAAAGGACCTCATATGGAAAGATGAATGTTTAGATTTAGACTGGGTGCTGAGAAGGCTCTCTGGGGAGAGTGACGTTTCTGTTTTGACCTGAAGAAGCAGAGAAGGGCGTTTCAGACGGAGGGAAGAGGGTAGGTGAAGGCCCTGAGGTGGAGAAGGAGCTCAGCATGTTTGTGAGTAGGCCAGTTTGGCACAGGGAGGGGTGCTGGGTTGGGGAAGGGATTTGGAGAGAGGAGATGAGAGAGCAATAGGAGTGATAGGAGCTAAGGAGGTAGACAGGACTTATCATGCGGGGCCTCGTAGGCCCTGTAATGTTTGAATTTTCCTTTTGGTGCACTGGCTAGCAGTTAGAGGGCTTTTAGTAGGAGAGGGACATGGCCAGCCCTGTGTTTTTAAAAGATCCTCTGCCTGTGGTGTGGCGAATGAGCAGAAGCTCCCATCTAATCCTGCCCTCCTTTAATGTTTGACTTCCTACTCCTTGCCAAATGGTCATCAAATCTCTTACTGAACATCCCTGTCGGAGGAATGCACTTTATCAGCCAACGCAGCTCCTTCCCTTTTTTACTTGGCTACATCTCAGAAGGCTCTTTTTTGTGAGCTGAGATTTGTCTTTCTATAGCGCCCACTCATAACGTTTTAGTTAAGCCCTCAGAACGTGGTTGTTCCCTCTTCCAGGTCAACAGCTCTTCCAGTTGTCTTCCCTCCAAACACAGTTCTAGATTTTCTGTCTCAGTAAATTCTCCCACATCCAGTCCATTGCTAACTCCAGATAACTTGTCAGTCCTCCTTCACTGCTTCCTAGGCCTCCCTCAGTGCCACACCCTGTCAGTCCCCACACTTGTGGGTTCTACCTTCTGAGTAGCTCTGCGTCTTTCTACTCGCCAGCATCCCTGCTGCTGTGTGGGTGGTTCCAGCTCTCCAGATCACTGCCACAGCCTCCTGAGAGTCTACTCCCTCCGTTCTTGGCCCATTCAGCCCCTCCTCCACCCTGCAGCTGGAGCCATCTTGCCAGTGTACAGTCCTGAGCTGCAGTCATTCCCTGCTTTAAAACCTTCACTGCTCTTCATGCTTTCAAGATGAAGTGTAACCTCCATAGCAGGTGAGCAGTGAAGAGCCCTTCACATATGGGTGCTCTGTGTACTCCAGCTTGCTGGCCCACCTCTGTACCCCATCCCACCTGACATTCCAGCTTTGCTGATGAACACATAGTGCCCTGAATGGATCACTTTCTTCTCTCTACTGGGCCTGCACATTTTCCCGTTTTCCTGTTTCTTTTCATCCCCACCTTGACCTTCAGTCTGGCTAACCTTGGTTATCTTTGAGGACTAAATTATCTTCTGAGAACTGTCCCTGATTACTACCCATCCCCAGTGCACACCAGGGACCTCTCTAGGAATTCCTATGATACTCCCTTCTTCCTTGTATTGTAGTAGTGAGCACATTGTATTATAATCACCCCTGTCCTCCAGTAGATTCTATACTATTTGAGGGCAGTGACTGTAGCATATTCATTGACAAAGTTCCAATTCCCAGCATGATGCTTGCCACATAGATTATAGTCAATCATGTTTGAATGAATGAATGCATGAATGTATGTATGAATTACTTGTATTTCTTTTACATCTTACCTCTGGACTAAATTCTCCCAGCTCTTTCATCTTTTCTGATATGACATTATTTCTAGTCCCCTCATCCTTTTCTCTTCTTTGGATATCTCAGTGTCTCTCTTCAGGTGTTGTACTCAAGTTACAGTTGTAACACATTTAAATTTTAAAATGTTTTTATTTTATTACTTTTTTAGAGATGGGATCTCCCTCTGTTGTCCAAGTTAGAGTGCAGTGGCACAATCACAGCTCGCTGCAGCCTTGACCTCCTGGGCTCAAGTGGTCCTTCCACCTCAGCCTCCCAAGTAGCTGGGACTACAGGCTTGCACCACAATCCCTGATTAAGTGTTTTTTTTTTATTTTTTTAAATTTTTTTAATTTTTAGTTTGTAGAGACGGGGTCTCACTGTGCTGCCTAGGCTAGTCTCAAACTCCTGGCTCAAGCAATTTTCTCACTTTGGCCTCCCAAAGGGTTGTGATTACAGTCATGAACCACCACAGCTGGCCTTTAAATGTTTTTAAAAGTGATTTTTGGATAGCTTAGGTCACCGTGAACATGCAGATGAATGAAATATTGAGTAAAGTGAGTCACAGAGAAATTGCCAGGATACAATTTTTTCTTTTTTTTTTCTTTTTAACCAGACAAAGTTGATAGCCAGATACTAGCATAATGAATGAAACAGTATTTTCCTCTATTACTCTCAAAGCATGGGTTGTTTTTTCTTTTGCCTTAGGTGAATAACTGTTTATTAAACTGGGTTTACTAATGCACATGGTGTTCCTAGGCCATAATTACTGAATTCAAGTCCCATTGCCAAGGCAAGGCCTTTCCTAAACTACTTAGCTTTCTCCTTCTGTAAATTAGGATGATTAAACTTTCCATCTATCTACTGCTGGTGTTAGAAAGATTGATGAAGCTGTATTAGGAATCACGTTTTATTTCTTGGATGAAAGGCATTCTATAAATGCAATGAATCAAAATGTTATTAATTCAAGTTTATAACATAATGGAATATCTATGTAGAAACCTTGCCTGGGCTTTGTTTGGTTATTTGCATCTTTACAATAATTGGAACTATCAACTGGGAGTCATTTGTGGGAAAACTAGGATCTGAATGTTTCCCAGAAAAAAATGTGTGTGTGTGTATGTGTGTGTGTGTGTGTGTGTGTGTGTGTGTGTATAAGAGATAGATGGACTTCGAGCAAGATCTGTACCTTAGAGGTCTGTATTTTAGTATCCTTTATAAATTAGGGATAATAACTATACCTAAAGTATAGTTATTATAAGGATTAAATTAGGATAATAAGCATTTAGCACAATGCCTAGCACATGGTCATCACTTGATAAATAGCAGCTGCTATTATTATGTTAACTGGACTGATTTTAGGCAGCTGTGTATTTTTTCCATATATGTTTCAGCTTTCATCCTATTCTACAAAATTGTTAATTGCCACTTTAGTGCATCGATTCTTAGATGTGGTGGGACATTAAAGTCAAGAACCCTTGGATGAAGACATGCTTTATAAAATCTAGGAAAATAGGGACTCAGTCTCCATAGTTTACATTTGACCATAGCAAAAGTTTAAGATGTATTTAGAAAGAAGAGTAATTATAACTTGAAGTGGTAAAATGTGATCAAACTTGAAGTCTGAGATTCTCTCAAATGTAACCTATTAAAGGTGCCAAATGGAATATGTGTATTTCATATTAGGTCTTGAGTCCTTTCTCTTTTTTTCCTTTTCATTTCTTCCTTTCTTGCTCCTTCCTTCCTCCCTCTCTCCCTCCCTCCCTCTCTCTCTCCCTCCCTCCCTCTCTCTCTCTCTCTCTCTCTCTCTCTCTTTGTTTCTTTTTGAGACAGGGTCTCATTGCTGTCACCCCCCCATTCTGGAGTGCACAATTACGGGTCACCACAGCTTCGACCTCCTGGCCTCAAGTGACCCGAGTAGCTAGGATTACAGGCACATGCCGCCATGCCTGGCTAAGTTTTTAATTTTTTTTAGAGATGGGGCCCTACTATGTTGCCCAGGCTTGTTCTTGAACTCCTGGGCTCAAGCGATCCTCCTTCCTTGGCATCCCAAAGTGCTGGGATTACAGGCTTGAGACGCTGTGCTTGGCCCCTTTTGTTTTCTGATGTATTTATGATCTTAATGTCTTACTGCATTACTACTACTGCCACCACAGTATAATAATAACCAGAGCAGCGACCACCATTTATGGAACCCTTAGCATATGCCAAGTCATTGGGCTATATTTAAGGGTGAGAAGAGAGTGGAGTATATAGAATACGTAAGATGTGTCTGTGTTCTCAGGGAGCTCCCAGACTCTCCCCTGTTGGGGGAGGGTATGGTAGGAAGAAAGACATCTATACTGACAACTAGCATGGGTAGGTAGGTAAAGGGCTAAAGTGGATAGGTTAAGAATAGAGTTGGCTGGGTGTGGTGGCTCATGCCTGTAATCCCAGCACTTTGGGAGGCCAAGGTGGGCAGATCACGAGGTCAGGAGTTTGAGACCAGCCTGGCCAACATGGTGAAACCCTGTCTTCGCTAAAAATACAAAAATTAGCCAGGCGTGATGGCATGCACCTGTAGTCCCAGCTACTTGGGAGACTGAGGCAGAAGAATCGCTTGAACCCAGGAGGCGGAGGTTGCAGTGAGCTGAGCTCACACCACTGCACTCCAGCCTGGGTGACAAAGCGAGACTCTGTCTCAAAAAAAAAAAAGTAGAGTTAACAGGCTTTATTATTATTATTATTATTGAGATGGAGTCTCGCTCTGTAGCCCAGGCTGGTGTGCAGTGGTGCGATCTTGGCTCACTGCAAGCTCTGCCTCCTGGGTTCACACCATTCTCCTGCCCCAGCCTCCAGCTGGGACTACAGGCGCCGGCCACCACACCCGGCTAATTTTTTGTATTTTTAGTAGAGACAGGGTTTCACCGTGTTAGCCAGGATGGTCTCAATCTCCTGACCTCGTGATCCACCTGCACCAGCCTCCCAAAGTGCTGGGATTACAGGCATGAGCCACCGCGCCGGCCCCTTAACAGGCTTTAAATCTCAAATAGAACATTGCTGGGGGAAGGTGCTATTTTAAATGCTACTCTACTAGTCAGGTAGATATTCACGGGTATAACTCATTATAAAGCTAGATGACTTAAGAGCTCCCCTTGACTACCATTTTTCTTCAATAAGGACTTTCACGCCAGGGGTGGTGGCTCCCGCCTGTAATCCCAGCACTTTGGGAGGCCGAGGCGGGCAGATCACCTGAGGTCGGGAGTTTGAGACCAGCCTGACCAACATGGAGAAACCCCCAGCTTACTAAAAATACAAAATTAGCCAGGCATGGTGGCACATGCCTATAATCCCAGGTACTCTGGAGACTGAGGCAGGAGAATCGCTTGAACCTGGGAGGTGGAGGTTGTGGTGAGCCGAGATCGCACCATTGTACTTTGCACTCCAGTCTGGGCAACAAGAGTGAAACTATGTCTCAAAAAAAAAAAAAAAAAGGACTTTCACTAAATTCATCCATATGAGTGTTAACATAGTCATATATGTTCAGAAAACACTTTAATACTTCCTAAATAACTCTGGGAGCTGAGTCTCATACCCATAGGAAAGGAAAACCAGCTAAAATTTATTAATTTTATTTGTAAAAACACACCTGCTATGGACAAGACACAGTGCTAGATTTTTTGTAATATTTAATTTTTCTGGTTACCCTATAAAATTGGTATTTTCCCCATTTTACAGAAAGAGGAAATTGAGGTTCAGAGAGGATAAGTAACTTGTCCCAGATCACACAGCTAGTGAATACCAGGATTTATTTGTACTACATATTTGCTTCCCAGGAAGCTGAATTATAACTTTTAACTGTGTAAGAGACCAGGACTTAAATTATCTATTTTGTCTTTTGAAGTTCTATAATCTTTATTTGCTGTGAATATTAGTGCTTAGCAGATGACATTGTCCACATGAAATTGCCTCTGAAAGGCTATCTAAAGGCAGTAGAACTAATGACCATAAAAATGTCACTGAAGTAGTTCATAAGATATTGTAGCTTCATCTTGACTGTAGGCTTCTTTATTGCTTTTGATTACTAACAGGGTTTTAGTCTCTTTATTTGATACCTTTTGCATTTGGCCAGTTACTTTTGAAAAAAATTTACATTGGGAGAAGGATGTGAAGAATATGCTCAATCCCTATATGTAAAAGCAAAGGTGTATTTCAGTCTGGAATTTTCAGTGGTGTTCAGAGGTGTTGATGATCTTGCCACTAAAAATTATCTTTCCTTTTCAGCTTAAAGAAGTCTTCTGCTGAACTGAAAAAAATACTAGCCAATGGCCAGGTAGGTATTATTATATATTAAGATTTTCACATAATAATAACATATTACCGTCCAGTTTTTGTATCCATAAGCTTATTAAACAGATAAAGAGTCTGTGAGTTTCCTGTCATAAATGAATAACATGGCTTAATTTGATTGGCAGAACAATTTGCAGCCCGTTTTTCAAACTGTGCTAATGGGTTTCACTCCCAGCAGATTGAAGTACCATGCACACACCCTGCTGCCATCTCAGTTTTTAAAAAGTTAATCAGTTCTGAACAAGTGTGTCAACTCGTGGGCTGTTGAAATGGCCCTGCATTCTGAGGTGACTGTTTCTTTCATTATCTTTGGGGAGAAAAGGAAAAACCATTACTTTCTCACCTTAGCTCCTTCTTTTGTCCTGAAACTAACACTGGCTTTTTAGGGAGGCAGAGTGACAGCAGACCTTTGGCATATAAAATTCCTGGCCTTCAGGAGACCTTAGTTTGCCTAGTAGACTGGCCATCTAAAGCTGAATGACCTAACCCAGCCAGTGAGGGACAAACAAGCCTTCAGGCCAGTTATTTCTTACTAATTTTGATTCAAGTAAATGGACACATCTGAAATAGTAGAGTGCTTTTAAACATACACTGGTAAATTAAGCTACCTACAGGGTCCTCGATTCTTCAGTAGCAACATAAATGCGTTTTAATGTTTGTTATAGTGGAAGCCCTTTGATAGCCTTGGAGGCAGGCGCCTGTCCATTGCGATCAAGCCTGCCTATTAGGCTGTATTGACTGAGACATCTGTGTCACTGCAAATAAAAGACTCTTATTGATTTTCTTAACTGCTGTTCACTTCCCGTCCATGTTTCGAAGGCTGAAATCTTAATTATCTCAGATGCTTATTCAGTGCCTTCACACACTGACCTCTCCAAGCCTCACTGGCATTTCATGAATCAAGTACTTGTAGTGGAGCATGTCAAGAAGACAAAGCCAGGTCCTCATGCCTGTCCTTTAATATCACCTGTAACATTGTGGCCTAATAGATGTGCATGCCTTAAAACAGTGCTGTATGGTAGTGCTTCTGGAGGCCTTGCTTATTTAGCACACAATTCCTTGAATACAGTTAGAAGAAATGAAGTTGATCTGCTTCTGACATCTGATTGCCATCCAGAGTATGTGAATTCTAGTCCTTAAATATCCTATATACAGCTAAGGAGAATCTAGTGTGGTGTATGTATAATCTTTGTAGTCTCAACATTTTAGATAGTATTTATCGAATACCTTTAACTTTCAGCAGCCAAAGGTTTGTTTAGATTGAGGTCCACATCTGTATCACCTCAGTGCCTTATATTTTGTTAGAACCAGCATATATAAACAAAATCTGACTAAAAGCAAAAATATTGAGCCTAGGATATTTATGTATCTTCAACATGCTTGCATTCTAGTTACTAATTGTAATTTATGTATGAGTCACTGTGTTCTTCAGCTGGAAAATATATTTCAAAATTGACATAAATTAAGAAGCTTTAACTACATTTGTCCAGCCCAGACAATGGAAAATAACCTGTCATAGACTCTTCTTTCAAAAATGAAAAACAGTTTTTTCCACTGCAAAAAATAAGCATTTTCATAATGTTTTGACAAAAATAAGCAGTCTCATAATGTTTTGACAGTAAGCCTAGTACCATAGATATCTTAGTGGCTTCAGTTATGAGGTTCTCTATATGGTGGGAGGTTGTCCTGGCAAGGATTTTTGACACTTAAATGTTTATTGCTTTCCCTTGGGAATGTGATAACCTCATATTAAATAATATGGCTTTTTTTTTCTTTATAAGGATTAGCCTTTCTTACATTTACTTGCACTCAAAAAATTCCCTCAAAAACCAAAAAAACCCACCTTTGGAAGCTTTCAAAATGTCTCCTTCTAATTCCTTAATTCCTCAGTGCTATAGGATAACTAAACAGTGAGTGAAATTGCATTGCAGTGAGGTACTGTGCACAGTTGTAGGCATCAATAAATTTCTGGGCTGAACACTGACACCACTTGATAGGGAAGATAAAAGTCACATTTAATGATACTTTAACACTTGAGCATAGTTTTTTATTTTAGTGGTTTATGCTCTCAAGCATTAATAATGATTTGCCTTTCCACTAGCCTCCACTTAGATTTAATAAGGAATTCATATTAATCATTAAAAGAAAGGGACATGATTCTTCAAGATAATCAAATATTGACAAGTTAGAAATAGCTTTCTGCCTGGGTTCATTGATATAGGTTATGTGATATAAATATTTATTTCTTTTCTGTCACTCAGAGTAAATGCCACCAATTGATTCAGCATTGATATAGTGTCAACAGTTCATAAGAAACATTTGACTGGCCTGTGTTTTCCGATTAGTCTCTGCTCTATAAAGTGGGATTTACTAAATCTCTCCAATTGTCTGCTCATAGAGTGTGACTGCTTTCTGAAACCATTATTGCTTCGATTTGTGAAGCAAAGGTCTAGTGATGGGACTAGTTTCTGTCAGACCTTTACATATAAAATAAGGATTAATTGAGCATTTTTATTTTAATGATTTATAAGCGATAGGTACTGATTCTTCTTAACACAGACAATAAACAAAGAATATTTTCTGTGTTGATCCATAATTGAATTCCATTTCATTTTTTCCATTAATTTCATTAATATATTAAATCAAGCACTTTAAAAAAAGTTTAACACTTAGTCTTTGGAATGGAGACATTGTTTTCCTGTTATCACTTTATGTTGGAGTAATTCCATTTTTCCAGCTTAAAAAAATAAATCAGAAGATATTTTTGGCAAGTTTTATTGAGAGCTATAAATCAGTCTCACTGATGTGTTTTCTGGATTTGTTTTTCCTACTTCAGTTATAGTGTGGCATCATCTGTTTAACATTGGCCCTTGATTTGAAACTCATTAGAAATAGCCCAAAGTGTCAATTTGAAGAATTTAAAAAGTGCACAGTTACTCCAAAGATATGTGAGTTTGGCCTTTGCATCTCTAAAGTTATTTTTTCTTTTTTTTTTTTTGTTTTTTAGATTTTATAGGAGAGGGTGGCAGTATTTTCCTATTCCTGATAAATCAAGTATAAATCTACTCAGATCAGATCTAGAACTAATTCTGGTCCAGCTGCATCTTTTGGCTGTTATTTTGATAACTTCAAAAAGCCTCTAGAAAAACTTTTTGTATTTGGCTGGGCGTGGTGGCTCATGCCTGTAATCCCAGCACTTTAGGAGGCCCACTTGAGGCCAGGAGTTTGAGACCAGCCTGGCCAACATGGTGAAACCTCTTCTCTACTAAAAATACAAAAAATTTGCTGGGTGTGGCGGCCCATGCCCAGCTACTTAGGTGGCTGAGGCATAAGAATAGCTTGAACCCAGGAGGCAGAGGTTGCGGTGAGCCAAGACTGCACCACTGCACTCCAGCCTGGGCAACAGAGCAAGACTCTGTCTCAAAAAAAACTCAACAACAACAGGAAAACCTTTTTGTATATAGAAAAAAAAGGGAGGGGGAATATATATCTACTGTAAAATTTAAAAAGTTTAAAAACTGTATCATTACTAGTATATGTAACTCTTAGATTCTTACAGTTCATCTTGGATTGCATATGAAGAGTGAAACATAAATGAGGCTGTGTATGTAAGTCCAAACTACACAACAGCCCTCCTTTACCCACACAAACCCAACCTGACTCTGCCCATGGGTTGTTGCTGTCTCTGTTTCTTTTATGGCCCCTGCCTCTCTTTCAGCAGGAGCAGAGCTCAGTGCCAGTCATTTCTCTAAGGTCATTTGCTATCTTGGCAGTTGACATGTAATTGTAACTCCTGTGGCTTTTTCTTCCTCCTCCTTCACATCTATTATTCTGCCTTTTATTTACTTTTTTAGTCAAAACAAGGAACCTGGACTGTATTTAAAAACTACTTGGAATTGGCCGGGCATGGTGGCTCACGCCTGTAATCCCAGCACTTTGGGAGGCCGAGTCGGGCGGATCACGAGGTCAGGAGATCAAGACCATCCTGGCTAACATGGTGAAACCCCATCTCTATTAAAAAAATACAATTAGCTGGGCATGGTGGTGGGCGCCTGTAGTCCCAGCTACTCAGGAGGCTAAGGCAGGAGAATGGCGTGAACCCGGGAGGCGGAGCTTGCAGTGAGCCGAGATCACGTCACTGCACTCCAGCCTGGGCCACAGTGTGAGATCTGTCTCAAAAAAAGAAAAAAAAAAGAAAAAAAAAAACTACTTGGTATTGTTGTTGAATAAAAAGCTCTCCTTCACCTCTTTTCAATTTAAAGAGCTGTGTGATTTTAAAAACATTTTTCTTCTTAAAAACTAACATCGTAGCTAATGAAATTTCTTTTAACTTGTGTCTTTCAGTTGATTGTTTACCATCCTGTGGGCCAGTGGCCATTGATAGGAATGTCCCTCCATACTTAATACCGGAGACAAACTGCTGAGCTATGATGTTGAACTGGAGTATACTGAAAGACTGAGTTTTTGACTAGCTATGTAACTTAAGTAAAGTGGACTAAATGGTCTTAGAATGCTGTAAATTTCTGTGATTTTTTAAATGATACTTGATCCCAACTATAATATTTAAATACAATATTCCATAAGCTTCTAAATAGCACTTTCTTATATAATGAACACTCTTCCTATGCTTCATTTTGAAAAGTCGAATTAATATCCTTATCTAAATGAAAAAAGCAGAAATACTACTGGTTGATTGTAGATCCCTTTAATGATTTTTTCATAGTTAAGATCAATTAAATTAGCCCATTTGATAAGAGATATGAAGTTCTAAAAATATTTTTTGTAATCAATTCTTGGGCTCTGCTTTGTTTTTCCCATCCCCCCCAAATTTTTTTACATGAGGAGTATTTGTACAGCATATAAAAATTAGAAAATACAAATAAGCAAAAAGAAAAAGAATCTGATATTTTTTAATATTAAAACACAGTCAGGCCGGGCGTGGTCGCTCATGCTTGTAATCCTAGCACTTTTGGGAGGCTGAGGCAGGCTGATCACCTGAGGTCAGGAGTTCGAGACCAGCCCGGATATCATGGTGAAACCCCATCTCTACTAAAAGTACAAAAATTAGCCGGGCATGGTGGCGTGTGCCTGTAATCCCAGCTGCTCGGGAGGCTGAGGCAGGAGAATCATTTGAACTTGAGATGTGGAGTTTGCAGTGAGCCAAGTTCACACCACTATACTTCAGCCTGGGTGACAGAGTGAGACTTCATCTCCAAAAAAAAAAAACTAAAACTAAAACTAAAAAACTGTCAATCAGTTCACAGGCCAAAGGTTTGCATAACTTTAAAACATTGTAGAAAGACATTATAGGAACACGTTGCTCACTTTTTATAGATACTAAGTGACATGGTTCCAGAACTTGCTCTTCAAAACCATTTTTATCTTTATGAGACTCTTGCAATCCTCCTGGTTATCTGAAGGATTCCATATTTGTCTTGATTTTTTCCATTCTTGAATTTGTTTAGACAGTGTTAATTAATGCACATGCACATACACTTGAAATAAACATTCTCCCTCTCCCCTCCTCCTCCCTGCACTCCTTCCCCGCCTGTGCCCTGACAGTGTTGGATGCTTACTACTCCTTGTTAGGTTGGAGTGCTGGGAATGTGGATTGGGTAGCTTCTTCCCTTCTCTTTTCCCTGTAGTGGATGTAAGTGGTAAAAAGACTATGATGTCAGAATTATACCATTTGAACATGCTCAGAGACATGCCATACCTACCCCTTTGCCTATGAAGTGGTGGAGGGGATATGACTGCAGACTGTGGCCCCTCCAGAGTGTAGACTCTATCTACTACATAGCAACTTCCTGCTTACTCTTAAACCTTAGTGCCACAAATGCAGAATTTGTGTACTTGAGTGAGTGAAATGTCTCTCGTAGAAATTTATGTCAAGCCATGATGAGAGTGTAGCTTGTTAGTTAATAGTACAAATCAGGTTGTTACGGACATGTTTAGATTACTTAGAGAAATGTTCTAAGGGAATTAGCCCCAGTGGCCTATTTGTGCCCACCAATGGATACTGCTATTTACGTTTCCTTCATTGATCAAAGTAAACCAAACAGCAACTCTGCTAGTTTAGCATCTCGTCACTTTATGTGCTACTTTTCTTCATGCTGCTTTAAAATTTATCATTCGGTCCAGAATAATGAGATTTTATTTTGTTTATGCCACACCTTTTATACAGCTTAAAATATTTTTTTTCTGTATTAGTAGTATAAAGGTAGTGATGAACAGAATTCCCCTCAAATAGGAAAATAGTTGCCAATTGTTCTGGCATGTCTTTCATTACTTCACTGACCCTAAATATAATAATTAGCTGATTGTAAAGGGCATCAGTCTGGTTGTACTACAATTAAATTGGGTGCTGGATTGGCCTTTACACATTAATCTGTCAATATTCTTTTAAGGATTGGTAAAATGGCTTGGAAAAGAAGCTGTTTCTGTTACCTGCATTGTACTCCTAATTATCACAGCTCTCTGAAGCTTCAACTTCAGAAATGTGTAGAAGGAAAATATTTCCCTTGGTAAATGAACCCTTGCTTTATTCAATTGGTGGAAGTTTAGAGTAGAGCAAAATATTTAAAGCTTTGCTATACTGGTCTGAGAGCAAACTATTTTTTTTCCAAGTGATATTGAATTAAAAACTCCATCCATTTTCTGCCCATGCAAGGCAGTGCAATTCCCTGGAAATTGATTTTTTTTTTTTTCAGGGCTTGCAGTGGCTTTCCCCAAGCTTTAGCTATATGGAAAAGAACACCTTTATTAAATCCACTTAGTGAATAAAGTTGGCAGTTAATTTTTAAGCATCTGGACCAGTGTGTAGAAAATTACTGAATGCATCAAATAAAGTCTGACTAGTCTTAAAGTCATTTGATAAATAATTGTATAGGGAGCTCTCTAAACTCTAAAACATTATTTTATGGGCACCTACTATTCATAATACAAATGAGAGTAGTTATTTGTGGTATAATAGGTTTTATAGAACCTTGAAAAACATGCAAACTTATATATAAAGTTACGAAAATGACTTTAATAAAAATTACATGCCTATGTATTTTTCCTTTATGTATTATAATATTCGACTATATGTGCATCTTAAGTGCATTGATTTCGTGCTTTTCCATCTTCATAATATGATTTCTGCCTAATTATTGCTGTATACTAGTTTGTTATTTGCAAAGAAAAGCTATATCTACTCTAGGAAAATCATAAACATTATTTAGTTTGTTAAATGTTAATTATGGGGGTCATCTGAGGAGTTTTCTAGGGCTGATTTATTTACAGATCATGCATTAGATTACTGAGTGTGTGTGTGTATTGTCTTCCTAAGTTTGACTTTGGTTATGTGCAGTGCTCTTTGGCATTGGTTATATGCAGTACTGGAGACTGTTTTCTTATCAGTATCTCTGACCTGACCCTTTTGAGCTATGTTGTATCATTCCATTTTGACACCTTTTATCAAACTTTAATGAAATGACCCAGGCAAACAAATTGTCATTAAACTTTCCATCACTTCGTCCCTTGGTATCGTCTTTTATAAATTGGACAGCAAACGTTGTATTGATCTTCTCGTTTTTGCAGCTGAACTTGAAATGACCCAGACTGCTTGTTGTTTATGGCCCAGAGTTGCTTTTCCTTGACATTTCCATCCACAGCATGACACCCTTTTTGTTTTTCTTTCTTTCTTGTGGAGATGAATGAACAAGACATACGATATCGGGACACTCTTGGTCATGGCAACGGAGGCACAGTCTACAAGTGAGTAGTCAATTTTGTTTAAACTTTCTATCCGCTTTTCCAAATACTGAGTATCCAAGTTCTCTGTGGCAAAGATTTTTAAATGACCACTAACACTTAGATTTTATTTCCATATTTGACTCCAAAATTCTGCAAGACATCTATTTTCTCAAGAATTGCCTGGAAAGTGCATTTATATTGCCTTTTTAATATTTCCGAGTCTGCAACTCTCCTGGGTGTGTAGTTAATAGTCCACCATTAGTAAGTGTACCTTTAACTGGCCTGAAGTTTAATGCATTTTTTTCCTTTGCTTTTTAACACTATTATTATTATTTTTTAACTTGCTAGTACCCTACGCTAGTCCCCTGCCTGTTTACAGTTATGCCCAGTGGAAGCCAGACCTTATAAATACCATTGCTTTGCCCTGTGTCAACACTATAAGTTATTAAAAAGCCTTCTTCCTGTTGTATTTTCTTCTCTCCTCACCCTACTCCCCTGAGATAATTTCTACACATTGATGAATATGTTAAGTTATAAAGTTCTCCCAAATTCCAGTTGCAGTGATCTTACCCCAAAGGAATGTTCATTTTCATCTTAAAAAATGCTAGCCATAAAAAATAGTTCTCCGACAGGGAGGTCTTCTCATGCAGTAGTGCAAAGTTTAAACTACATAATGTAATATCTGGTACTTAATAGTCTGCAATGGTGTATGAAAAATATTCCACTAGGAATTAAAAAATCCATACTCTGTAAGAAAGCCCTGAGGGAATAATAAAACTTTCCTCCAGAGAGCTGGTTTTCCATGTATACACTAATCCTGCATCACATTATGGTTGTGATATTAGATCACAACCACAGATACTTTAACATTGATATTAATATGTATTTCCAGAGTTGTAAAATAATTAACTTATTTTCTAATTGGTTACCCATGTTCTTAGAATTTTAAGTTCTGACTAACCACATGAATACACATAAAAATTGCCCTATTCTATGACCATGAAGGTTCACATCCTAAAAATCCCAGAACATCCCCTACTCATTGATGCAGCCTTGGTATAGAATTTGATTTCTCAGGCTTAGAAGCTCTTTTGAAGTAATCTGATCCAGTCACCCATTCAGGGCTTCAGTGCCCTTTGCAGATACAGCCAAGATGTGAGTCCTTTCTCCTGAATATAGTCCTTTAAGAACTTATGTTCACATGTTTGGATTGTTTTTTCCTGCAGATGACTGAGTATTGTGAACAGTTGGTCTGAAAATGAAGTTCTTCCACTATGATAATTCAGAGAAATAAATAATAACATGTTTCTTACATGTTCCTTGGGCCTTGGGCCTGGCCCTTAAAATTGAGGTCCAATGTGTCTAATGATTTTTGCGGCTACTATTCTCTTTCCCTGGATCATACTAGCGTTCCTTCCCACGCAACCTCCACTATAAACGGTATCTTTTCATCTTAGTCTTCTCTTCCTTACGATCTGACTTAGATTTTTCCTGTGTTCTGAAGGTACTTAAGTTCAGGTACCCATAGAAAGGAAAGAGGAAGAAGGAACATGTATACTCTGATTTGCTTCTATTGAGTTCCCTGGAGGGAGCACTTTTCAAAGCTTGAACCTTTCTTCTTAATGCCTTTATGCTGATAGCCAAATATAATAAAACAGGAAAGATTTCTGGCAACTCTTTGTATTCCTTTTATTTGCTTCAAATGGAATTTAAAAATGTTTATTTAGACTCCTAACCTACTTATCTGTGTTATTTCACCAAACCTTTAGTTTTATATTAATTGAAGGTCTATTGTGAATTTATTTTCCTAGCTTATTTCTAGAAGGGAAGAAGCATAAGACCATGAAACCCCAGCAGAATTTTTACGAGACATAATATTCTAGATGTTGACATTTTAATCCTTTATTTTAAAACATAGGCTTGTTTGTTTGTTGGTTGGTTTGTTTATTTTGAGATGGAGTCTCGCTCTGTTGCCCAGGCTGGAGTGCAGTGGCACGATCTCAGCTCAGTGCAACCTCTGCCTCCCAGGATTCTCCTGCCTCAGCCTCCCAAGCAGTTGGGATTACAGGCGTACGCCACCATGCCCAGCTAATTTTTGTATTTTTAGTAGAGATGGGGTTTCACTATATTGGCCAGACTGGTCTCGAGCTCCTGACCTCGTGATTCACCTGCCTTGGCCTCCCAAAGTGCTGGGATTACAGGAGTGAGCCACCAGACCTGGCCAGGTTTATTTTTTAAAAGAGGGAGTATACAGAGAAGTGGAAAAAACATGCCCATCCCCCAAGGGAAAATTACAACATGAAATTATGTTAATGTTGTTTTTAAAATTGTTATTTTAAATTGTGGTGAAATACACATAACTCAAGTTAACATTTTAACCATATTTAAGTGTATAGTTAGTGGCATTAAGTACATTCACATTGTTGGCAACTGTTAACACCATTCATCCACAGAACTCTTCGTCTTGTGTAATCGAAACTCTGCACCCATTAAACAGTAACTCCCCCATCACTCTGTTAATGTTGTTTTTAGCTAAGAAGCATGGCTAGAACTTCTCCTTTAATTAGGGCTACTATGTCAAAGGGACCATTCTTCTATATGTCCTTGCCACAAGTTTTTTAATTTGCTAGAATGCTGTGTGTAACGTTAGGAATTTATCCTAAGAGCTCATTTAGCTACCGTTGCTAATGCTCACTGTGAGTGTTGTAAGATGTAATGTTTTTGACAGGATTGCTTATAGATGGTGAATGACAGTATCCTGATAATTTTCATTCTTATATAGTAGATTTCTTATAAAAAGAAATTTCATTTACCTTATTGCCTGTGTGATTCTTGAGAGGGGCGGTGAAGATACCAAATTGCATAACCGCTTGTCATTGATCATTGGGCATCATTTTTGCTCAGGCTTCAGCTTGTATTATTGTTCTTATATCCCTGGCTTTTAGTACAGTGCAAAGAAATGATATAATCATTGATAAATGAGGATCCACTTTACTAAAGTCTCTATAAAACTAAGTGTTTGATGTGTTATGATTGAGTTTCTTCTACACTAAGTTCACCTTAATGGTGTTGATGATAAAAAATATGGTTTTTCAAACAGCATGATTACATTATAGGCTATGCTACATAAACTAGATGAAGAAAATATTGGAAAATCCACTCATTGGTAACAAAACTGCCTAATAGGCTTATTCCATTTTTTTCTTTAAAGTGTAATAAAGCTAATAAGTGCAAAGCAAAAGTTTAATAATGCAGTCTTATTCACTTCACTTGATGGAATTTTGGGAATTTCAAGGGATATTATAATCGTGTAATTACAATGTATATGATTTAACAGTTGATACATTTTCCTCCTTTAAGTGTAGATATCCTTCACAGTTGTACAATATGAAATTCTGGCCCCAGACATTTAAACCAAATGGTAATGTGAATTCTGTGTGCTGTCTCCTGACGAGCTGTGCTCTATATTATGAGAGTGACTTAGGCAGGTAATTTTAAGTTGGTATTTCTTGGATTACTAATTTGGGCTACATGGAACATAAAGGAAATACCTTAAAGTATGGCCCAAGCCTAGGAAGAAGAAAAGTTTAGGAAAAGATAATGAATGTATTTTCCTTGTTGCCTCATTTCCTAAAGTGCTGCAAGTTGCTCCAAAAAAATAAATTCAGGAAAGACACATGTTCTATTTCCCTCTGAGAGATTCATAATGAATTTCAAAAACTTTGAGAAAGTAGAGAATAGTATGTGTTGTGGTTAAGTGTGAGGGCTCTAAGTTTGAATCCTGCCTCTGTCACTAATTAGCTACGTAACCTTTGGCAAGTTATATAATGTCTTATGCCTCAGTTTTCCCATCTGCAAGATGGGGATAATAATAGTATCTAGGTTGGGCGGGGTGCGGTGGCTCACGTCTGTAATCCCAGCACTTTGGGAGGCCGAGGCAGGTGGATCACGAGGTCAAGAGATTGAGACCATCCTGGCCAACATAGTGAAACCCCGACTCTACTAAAAATATAAAAATTAGCTGGGCATGGTGGTGGGCGCCTGTAGTCCCAGCTACTCGGGAGGCTGGGGCAGGAGAATAGCTTGAACCCGGGAGGTGGAGGTTGCAGTGAGCCGAGATTGTGGCACTGTACTCTAGCCTGGCAACAGAACAAGAAAAAAAAATTAATAGTATCTAGGTTGTTGTGAGGTTAAATGAGAAGATCCGTAAAAGGCTTAGCGCTATGACTGACACTTATTAAATGTTAACTACTGGTAATGGTAGTACTAATAATAGAAAAATTATTTACATTTTGTACTTCCTACCTTGACTTGGCCATGGGACTCTTTTCTTTTTTTTTTTTGAGACAGAGTCTCGCTCTGTCGCCAGGCTGGAGTGCAGTGGAAAGATCTCGTCTCACTGCAACCTCTGCCTCCCGGGTTCAAGTGATTCTCCTGCCTCAGCCTCCCTAGAGTAGCTGGGATTACAGGCATGTACCACCATGCCCAGCTAATTTTCTGTATTTTAGTAGGGATGGGGTTTCACCATGTTGGCCAGGATGGTCTGGATCTCCTGACGTCATGATCCACCTGCCTTGGCCTCCCAAAGTGCTGGGATTATAGGCGTGAATCACCACCCCCAGCCAGCCATGGGACTCTTTTTGATAAACATCTCACAGAATTATAGTTGTGTTGAACTAACTTTGAGAAATTCTGCCTTTATATTATACACATTATACTTCTGTATTTTCTTCTATTCTGTAGTTGCTTAATGAATCATGATATCTTATGTATTATCTTAAATACAATGATTTTTTAAAGTTTCAAAGTATTTTTAATCCTAATTTATTTTCAGATTGCTATAGGACAGCTGGGTTAAGCCCATTTTACCACTGAAAAAACTGGGGCTTATCATGTGGCCATTCAGCAGCAAAGCCAGATTTCTATACAGCATTTCTTTTCTTTTTGCTTGGTGTTCTTCCCCCAGGCAGTGTTGTCTCAAGGTCAAGCAGAGTCCATTTTGTTTTCTTGTGTTTTCTCATGTACCCAGCACAGTTTTAAGGATAAAATAGACCCTTGGTACGTCTTGGCTAAAATGAGAATGAGGCAAGTGGAGGTTTTAGTGGGGCTCTTTCATTGGATCTTCCTCATATCTAGCTACTTTGCGAGGCTGTACAATTGTTGTAGAACATTCACCTAGAAGAAAAAGAATATCCACACTGAGGAGATTGATATTCGAATGATTAACTTTCTTTAAAATGTTAAAACCTTCAGTGCTTAGTATCTGTTGACTCACTAGTTACTGTCTCTTTTTCTTGGGTAGTATGTCATATGGAAATAAAAGTAATTAACAGGCATAGTTACTTTGGAAACATTGTTTGATTCCAAAGCCAGTCTCTCAGACTCTGCTTCCTTGGCATATCATTTGATGGAGTCACTCAAACTTTGGATCTAGAAATGAAGTAATATTTAACTTTTAGGATTAAATCATAGTAAGTCAGTTAGCCAGCAATCACTGAAAGATTATCTTTTATATTATTTTTTCCTTAATGCCAGTTATTCAAGCCAAGACTCATATTTTCAGCTTTGGGGCCAGATAATCTAGTCTCAAGATGTTTGAAAACTGAATTTTCTATCTCCAGCTCCTTCCCACAGGATAGAGTAAGAGTCTGATCTGGACTTGAGGTAGAATTTTCTCAGTGATACAATGGGTAGTATATATACTGCCTTCATGGTGTTTTGAAGGTTGAATGTATACCATTACTTAGGAATTAATTTGAACCTATCTAGAGACAATAAGAGGAGGGAAGGAATTGTCATTCTCAAAGATGCTGGTCTCTCCTCCTTTCTGTTGCCTTATCTAAAAAGAGGTATTTGCTGGGCAGTGGGCTGGGGATGGTCCTTGGAGGTGGTAACTGAGATCCTGTGGCCTATTAGGTTGTGTTTTGCACTTGTGATTTGACTGTAGAGGCCAACTAAAACATTAAATTACTGTTTGGGAGCTGGAATCATATTAGCTCATTATAGTAATATGATTTATTTAATGAAAATTAGAAGGACTGATGGTCATTTGTATAAAATGAGAAAATACATAAATTGTCTAGTTAAATGCTATTTAGTAAACAGAATATTTCAAAACATGGAATTCCTTAGGGGAAACAGAATGAAAAGAGTCCTTGGTGGTGAAAATATTGGGAACCACATAGTACCCAGAAAACCTTGACTTCCTCTTTCACCAACCAACCTGAAGGTGTGAAACTTAAAGAGGGAGCAAGAGGTCTGGACCCAGCTTCGCTTGTGGCTGTGTTAGTGGCCCTACTCCTTTATATATTTTTGCATGATGTGTATCTTGTAAATTAAGAGTAGTTTTTAAATGGTTTTAAAATTGACCTGAGAGCTAGAATGATGGTTTGATTTATTTTGACTTTAAATTTCTAATCACTTAAGGAGTCTTTTCCTTGCAGCCAAGATCATATTTTAAAGAAGCAAACAAGACATCATCCTAATGCAAAATTAAATATTTGTATATGACTGGATTGCATTATAGTATCGTGACAAGCAAGGATATTAATGTTTTCAGAAAATCAATGAATATTTGTCAAATAAAATTAATTATGTATGTTTCCTTCTCTCCTTCTCTCAGCATTCATTGTTACAGGTTTGTTTCATACGATAATGTATATTTTATTGATTCGAATCTAAGGAATGAACCTGAGCTCATGGTTCTCTGTACCTTTCCCACCTTTGCTTTTCCCCACCTCTCCATGTTCCTGTAACTTCATACATGCTCATATCCATTATGGCAATGATGTATTATTGGCATCCAGCCAACATGACAGGATGTCACAGGTCGCTGAGCAGAGATTTTCAGACTCAGTTTCCACCCGAATTAACTATTATTGAAATAGTTTATTGAGATTGAAGTATTGATCATTTTCTGCTAACCTTGGCTTAAGGGAAGGAAGAAGAGGCAGTAGTGTTTTTGAAAGACACTAAATTTCATTTTTAAAAATCTCATTTATTTAGCCTTTTTTTCTTTCTGTTTTATAGCCTTTATTGTTTTATTGCTTGGAAAAGGGTATCTTGGTTTTATTTTTTATGATAGTATAATTATACTTCAGAAATGCACTTGATTACTATGGGTAACAAAATTGTTCTAGTATATTGGTTTGGCCAATATTGCTATACAAACAACTTTTCAGTCAATTGAGTCTGGTAAAAATCAATACGTTATGGTAATATTTCAAGTAAGAATTTGCTGAATCTAAGTGTTTCAACTTCATCTCCTCTCAGAGAAAAAAATAGTTTTGAAGTGGCAAGACTTCTTTCTAATATTTTAGTAACAATTTTTTATTTATAAAGACGTTTAAAGTCCCCAGCAAAAGTGGTTGTGATCAGGTAAACATTACATTAGCGCACTTCTGTGTTGTAGGGTGTAAGAGATCTAATTTCCATTTGAATCTATTCCCTGCCACACCAAGAAGGCATAACATCAGGGACTGACATAGTGTCTGTCACTTTTGGATTCTGGATTCCTGTATGTAGTTCTGGGTGCTGAGTTTACAGACATATGGACAGTTCAGAGAGCACCCAGAGGAGCAATGGAGAGAATAATGAGGGATTGGGGAATTGTGTCTGTTCAGTCCTCCTTCATTCATCTGTCCAGCAGCCAAGTTCTGAGCATGTGCTGTGTGGAGGGCGTGTCAGATGTTGGGGACAGCCTAGCCTCATAAAACTTGTGTCTGGATAGATGAGGAAGTTCTGTTCTCAGGTATGCACAGGACCCCACAGTCTGGGGCCACCTGTCTGTGTGTATGGTGCACAGATCTGGGGGGCTGAGGAAGAACTGATGGCTTTTAGCTTTTTCCTCAGGAAGGATCAGGAAAGGCCTCATGGAGGAACTGGCATTTGAGCTGAGAAGTGTTTGAAAGGAATTGGCTAACTTTTCTCTGAGAAAGAGAAGATTAAAGGGCTCCATGACAGCTGACTTAAAGTCTGAAGGGCATTTCTGTAGATGAGGAGCAGGTTTGCTTTGTGTTCTTCTGAATACTAGACACAAAGGGCCTGTCTTGAATGTCTCTGTGACAGTCGGCCTTTGGTTAGAGTGATTAATGTACTCTTTCTACTCTTGTTCCCACTGGGTTGTGTTCCCTGGAGGAGAGTCATGTCTAGGTTACCTTGGTGGGAGTCCTCACAGGGCCAGCACGGTGCCTTACCTACTGTAGGCACTTAGTGAGTGTTTCAGGAATTTACCTGCAGAGGCAGATTCTTCACAGCCTAAGGATGGACACAATGTGTTGTTCATTGCTGGGTGACTCTGGGAAGTGGTGAACTCCTCTACCTTAAGCAGAATGATGTGGCTGTTGTTCAGAACTGCTGAGAAAAGAATTCCCACTTTGACCTGGACATGAGATGACTGCACAGGTGTCTCCCAAGCCTAAAGTCCCAGAACTAAATTCAGCATTCAGTTACCATAAAAACCTTATGTCAGGTGTTGCTTGGTTTTGTTTAGTCTATATTCATTTTTCACTGAACATCCTGTCACTGTGCCAAGGACTATTCCAAGCATGTACAGTCCAGTTGTGAACAAGATAGGCAAGGTCCCTATCCAGAACTCACACTAGTGGGGCAAACAATAATCAAGACAATAAACACTGAAGTAAGATTATAGAATCTATAGGTCTATAGATTCTATAGACCTATTCTATAGACCTATTCTATAGGTCTATAGATTCTGTAGACCTATTCTATAGGTCTATAGATTCTGTAGACCTATTCTATAGGTCTATAGATTCTGTAGACCTATTCTATAGGTCTGTAGATTCTGTAGACCTATTCTATAGGTCTGTAGATTCTGTAGACCTATTCTATAGGTCTGTAGATTCTGTAGACCTATTCTATAGGTCTGTAGATTCTGTAGACCTATTCTATAGGTCTGTAGATTCTGTAGACCTATTCTATAGGTCTGTAGATTCTGTAGACCTATTCTATAGGTCTATAGAATAGACTTTGCATATTCTATAAAAAATGTAGAAGAGGTGCTCAGGAAGACCTATCTGAGGAGGTGCTGTTTGAGCTGAGACCTAAAGACAGGATGGAATCAGTATGGGAAAATCTGGGAGAAGAACCTTATAGGCAGAAGTAACCACTCAGGCGGAAGCCCTAAGATTAAGATAGGCATGAACTTGTGTAATTGGAGTAGAATAAGCTCTGGGGAAGGTGTAGAGATGGACAGGGCTTGATCATGCTGGGTCTTTTAGTCCTTAGTAAATCCTTGCTAAGAAGGTATGTTACCCTCTTTTTACTTATGAGAAAGATAACGTTTGGAAGGGCTAAGTGGCATGCCCAAGATCAAGTCAAGAATAAAACTTAGGTCTTCTGACACCTGCTTCCCAAGCCAAGGTTTTTCTGTTTGCCATTCACTCTCTGAATTTCCTAACTATTAACCCAAGTTATTTTTGGATGTAAGATATAAAATTAGTGTATAAATTTGAAAGTCAATGATGTATCATCTCTAGGTGTTAATTTTAGAGGCTTTTTAGTAGATGTTAAAACGTCCACTTCTTGGCTGACAGTTATGACAACATAACTTGTTATTTGGTCTACCCTTTGGGTGTCCTTATTTACCAAAAACTTATAATTTAATAATTGAATCCCTGGATTAAATGTATGGTTGTGCTAGCAGGGGTGGTCTATTTCTTGATTTATAAGACACGTTTCTTTTTTATAGCTATTTTACAGTATTTGATGTGTTCGAAAATCGTAGTCTCTTGGTTGGCATATTGCACAAGCAAATATTTGTGTACCATAGCATCTAGGGTATTTACTTAAATTGCTTTTTTGGAAAATAATTCACTGGAAAGTCCAAAAGGCATTTACCGCGTATAACTTTCTGCCACAGTTTTTTTTTCTTTGCTCTGTCATTGGTTACTTTGATGTAGGGGACCATGTTTCTGTTAAATTGCTGTCTTACTAGAGTGAAATATGTTTAGGTTCTGATTTGTACACTAACGTTGAATTGGAGGAGCAGTTTGCAAAATTTGAGGGGGAATAGCAGTAGAGATTTAGGTTGTGGGTATTAAGCATTAAATTTTTTTAAAAAAACATTAATTTGCTTTTTAAATGTGACTTTATATCATGTTGTCTTCTTGACCCTAAAATTTCCTTACTTTTCCTTGTCAGTATGGCAAAAAGAAAGAGAGAGTACAGTGGTATTGCTGAAAGCAGTTAATGGTTTTTGTCTTGTGAATTTAAATAATAAAATGAAAAATGTTCACACAAAATTAGAACTTGCTTTAGGGCACAATCAATATAGCATTTTAACAAGCTTAATGTATTTGGAAGATATGTATTGTGTGAGGTTCTCAAACATACTGATTCTATTACGACGGTTAACTGTAGCAGCAAAATGTATCAATATACTTAGCCAATAAACATAAAACTTATTAAATCATAATTAAATTTTCAGAAAAGTTATCTAAAAATTATGAATAAAATATATTTTACATGGCCTCAGCAACAAAATATATAGCCAATGAAACTTTATAAGTGGTGGGGTAAAATACATGGGATAAAATTATAGAATGAATTTTTACCATAGACACATGTACCGAGTTAAGTTTGTGTACACCATTTGTTTCTCCTCTCTTTTAACTTCTTTTGGAGGTAATTCTTAGTGAGTATTTGCAGAGCACAACAGCTGGGGTAACTGACCGAAGGGGCAAATGAGAAGTTTCCCTGCTCCTTTGGAGTCTCAAGTGAAATGTTTCAAAGCCCTACCTGCCCTTATACGTGGAAGATGCCAAGAGGTACTCAGAGTCACTGTGGTTGCATTTACATTTCTACAGTGGGCGCCAATCACAAGCTTCATGTTATGGCCCCAGCTGTGTGGGAATGTAGCTGAGCACACTAGGTATCGTCATCCTCATTTGATTTATGAAGAAATGGAAACACAGATAAATGAATGGATTTCCCTGAGGATTCAGACCAAGTCAAGGATAAGATCACCACTGAAACCCAGGCTTTTTTAATTCTTAGTCCTTTCCCAATGCCATTCCTGGTAAATAATTACATTTTGGCTCTAAGAGGAGCTAGAATAAACAGAATATATGCAAACCTAAGAATTTCTGCCAGCAATCTCTAGCAGATATACTTCAGCTGTACTTTGAATTTTTATTTTGTGCACCAGGCACATGTATCTTGTAGATGACCAATATGAACAAACAGCTGTCTCCCTTCCTCCCTCCTTCCTTGGAACGTGTAATCTCTGAATAACTGATTAGCTCAATGTCAGAAATGTTTGTGCTGATCTCTGAACCTCAGTCAGTTCAACACATGACTCCCTGGAAATTTTATCTTTGGTTTTCTTTTTTTTTTTTTTTTTTCACTGCCATGATTTTGTGAGTTAGTTTATGAGTGTATTTAAATCATTTCTGGAATCTAAATATTTTGGACTTGCTGGTCTTTATAAGGAAGTTAGTTTCCCTCCTCTCACATAGACCTCTTTCTGCTTTCTCCTATCTATCATATTTTAAGAGTATATGTGACACCGTTAAGTTTTAATCTTCTAAATGGATTGGAGAATAACACCTTCCCTTGACTAACCTCAAAGGATTTTTAAAAACAGAATGTTGCCTAATTTTTGAGGGAGAATGTTCTAACACAGTTTATATATTTTTGTAACTCAACAAAGGTATCTCATAAAGAACATTGGTGGAATTGGGTTTTAAAGTCCAAATACTTTCCTTCTGTTGTCCAGAACATAGCTCCTCAACCTAGAGGCATAGTGTCATGTGCAGTGAAGTCACTCAAATTCCTTCTTATTATTGGTTTGAAGATGACTGTCCCTGGATGGTATAAGATATGATGGTAGTTTGTGTCGTTCAGTTTTTACGTTAAAGGAAAAAGTCTCTCCTGGTTTCTTTTGACCCTAGTCATGATATGCCCATTTCATGAAGTCTTTTATGCACAAAAGTGCACAAAATGAAGATAAAGTGCCTCTCTCCAGCCTGACAAAAGCCATTTCTTTGCAGAATGGTAGCTGCAGCGAAAGTAAATAAATGAATGGACAGCAATCACAGCCTAGTTGATGAAACTGTTCAATTAAAGCACAGGCATTTACATGGTGTAATTTCCCTAAATTGCCAATGAGCCCCTTTAGACACAACCAGTGTTCAAATTGATTTCAGCATTGATTTTGGCTGAAGCTGATAAATTTCTGCTTGTTAGTTAAAGTAATTTTGCAGAAGACTTTGTACTGCAGTATTGAAGTGTTCATTTAGCTGATAGTTAAAAGAGGAGTTATTTACAGAGGCCTCTACTGTTGTTCTGAGATGGGACAATTCCCCAATCATCTTTTACTTTTAATTTTTCAGGCTTCAGTATACCAATCAATAGGTGATTGAAACTGATTAAAACTTATCCAACCAGCTGCCTATGGCAGTTTAATTAGAAGCTGGATGATTCTTAAATTAAAGTTGTCTTATTTTCATTGCAAAGCCATCTTCCAGAAGAGTAAGGCAAGAACAGTGCAGAAAACTTAAAAGACTGGCTTTGCTAAGGTATCTTGCAAATGTTAAATCACTCAATAGCTATTCCTAAGACAATTCAAAAATGTATCAGAGAGTTTGCTTTTATGGAGATTAGAAGTAATAACATGCTTACTTGCCAGCCAAGGAATGTTTGTTTCATTCGGTCAGAGAGATTACCTATTGTATAATGATACATGTGAAAGACCAGCTGTTTGGGATATATCTATTATCTCATAAGCAAGATGAATGCTTGAGCTTAGTTTTAAACACTGTAATGCAGGATGAAACTAGCCATGATGATATCCTCTGCATCTGCCCCCTGGAAACCATCAGCTTTGAATTTATATTTTTATTCTGTTTTGAGGTCTTGATTAAAATAAATCTCCATTGAATGAAAAACAAATATTTTTATATAAGTTCATGTTGACTTGTCAACAGTATTGTGGGCAGGATTATAGAAGAGAGATTTTTGCTCCTCTTCAGCTCCCTAGGGAAGCTTCTCCATACTCATTTTATCTAGTGTGGACAATTTCTTGAGTTTTTAATGGAAACGGGTTAATATTTTTGTCATAGGGGACATATTACATCTGATATTACGGGGAAGAAGGGAAGAAATGGCTCACTTTTCAGAGGTGCATTTACTCTTTGACCCACTAGGGTACTATTTAGTGTTCTAGAAGAGGTAATTTAGTAAATTGTACCCCAGTGGCCTGAAAAAGTTAATGCAACTCTGAAAAGTGAGCCATTCAATCGATTTTCCCTATTGCTTTTAAAAAATCAACACTGACCATATCCAGAGAATGTTGAAGACAACTGAAATTAGAGGATCTAGAAGCAACCAGTTTATTTTCACACAAAGCTTGTTGGGACATGCACTGGATTTGGCTTCAGAGGACCCAGATCTACTTCCCACTCCAGTACTTACAGATAGGAATCGTGAAGCATTCAGTAACCTCACCAAGCCTTGGTTTCCTTGTCTATAAAGTGGTGATAATAATAATATTTACCTCACAAATTTTTGTGGAAATCAAATAGCTTTACTATATGTAAAATGTTTTATAAACTATAAAGCACAATAGAATATTAATTATTAGAATAAGGAGGTTTTCTGAAGTAGCCATTTATGTATCTGATTTTGGAAAGTAATTTATTGTTAGTTTTCCCAGAAACTGTGAGCAAAGATTAGATGGTTATCACGTTGTTTCAAGAGAGAGTTTCCTAGCTAGTCAATCCTCAGGGTATTTCTATTTTCCCCCACATATATTGCCTAACAATTCCAGTTCTTTCATTCCTTCTCATCATTAGGCTTTATATCTCTTGCTTCTCTGTTTGCCCACTACATTATTTCAGAATCCTTGATCAAGAGATCAGAATGACTGTAGTTTCCTTGATCTCAGAGGTATTTAGACCATATATTAAAAGACATTACTCTAGTTGATGTGGAGAGTGTTAAAAGCTTGAATCAGGCCACATCAACTTGTGGAAGAAATATGGAGGTAGTGATGACCACATTAACTCTGAGGCAGGTATGGGAGTAAAAAGGGGTATATAGCCGGAGTAAACAGAAAGAAGAAATGGCAAATGTAGAGTTACAGTAGCTTTCTCTTATTGAAAATCTTTCTAATCTAGCCAAGTTCCCTATATCATTCATTAGGTTGATTTATGAGCCCTATGTACAATCAGTTATCTTGAAATTAATATCTGTGACCTCATAACATATTTGACTTGAGACCTAAACAGTATGAGGGGCTCTGTTTTTTTTTCTTTCTTTCTTTCTGAGACAGAGTTTTGCTCTTGTTGCCCAGGCTGGAGTGCAATGGTGTGATCTTGGCTCACTGTAACCTCTGCCTGCCTGGTTCAAGTGATTCTCCTGCCTCAGCCTCCTGAGTACCTGGGATTACAGGCACGTGCCACCACGCCCTGCTAATTTTTGTATTTTTAGTAGAAACAGGGTTTCACCATGTTGGCCAGGCTAATCTCGAACTCCTGACCTCAGGTAATCTGCCCGCATCGGCCTCCCAAAGTGCTGGAATTATAGGTGTGAGCCACTGTGCCCGGCCTGTTTCTTAACCACAAATTATTTTGTAATCAGTAGTCAAGCATCTGTAATAGGTTTTTAGGCAGAAAGAAGGTTGGCAAAGACTGCTATTTGAACTAGTATAGTTTACATAAAAGCTTCTTTTTACAACTGCTGTTTACTTTGGATTTCCTGTTTTAACAGCTAGAGCCTGGCTAATGTGTTTATCTATTATGGAAGGCAACAACTGTCAGTGTTGATTTCCCTGAAACTATTTGAAGTATTTCTGTGGATGGCTACTTTAGTATGTGACAGAATACTAAAATTTCGAAGCTTGGCCATTAGTCCTAAACGTGTTAATAAAATCTACCTTCAAATAAACCTAAAAAGACCAAGAAATTAGAGGATTAAATTTTAATTTAAAAATTTAAATTTATTTAATTTAAAATTTAAAAATTATATTTTTCATTAGCTGAACCACAGCTGGTTTACATTTAGTTACTGAAACCATATCATTGCATTAAAAGGTGACATCTAGAGGGTTTTAAAATTAATCTCGCAAGGTACTAAAAGATTTTTGTTTGTGTCAGTATTTGTGTACTCATGAGCTTTATACAGCAGAGAAGCGTTCTGCATGTTTTGTATTGGCTTCAGAGTTGTTCAGCCTTATAATCTTTTGGGAAAATGTAATACAATCAACTCTCAGATTCCTTGTTTTAAGTAGGAGACTTATAGTCTCATGTGGGTATCTCCTAATAGTTTAACCCCCTCGATTTCTACCATCTTCTTTCTTTTTGTTTTAGTTTTCCTTTGTGCCAATGCTATAAAGTCTTTGAAATGGAAACTTCTAAGTTGAGGAAAGACTTGTATCTTGTTATTCTAAATTTACATAAAAGCAGGGGCTTTTTTGGTTAATAAATAAAATGTCACACAGAGCAAAGAAGCATCATCTGTAAGAATAGAAGCATCATCTGTAAGTATAGAAACTGATGATCCTACAGTATATTAGCTTTAACCAATGCCATGTTTTAATAAGGAAGTAGATTTAATAATTGAACCTGAGTGAGACCAACTCTTAACTTTCTGTGCCAATGAGGAGAATTAAGAATTGCGTTTTAGACAATGATTTATTTGTCTTGTCTCGATCAAACTTTTTCATAATGAATCAGATCTCAGAGAGCTTTCTTTTCCTTTGTCTTTTTACCTCTGCCATGTCTCTGATGGACGTCCTATAAATCCCTAGGGCATTCAGAGAATAGAGAATCAGGGAATACAGGATATCTCACAAGCTGTGAAATCTTTGCATGGAAAACAAAGAACTGATGTTATTATTTGAGAGAGTGAACTATCTCTGCAATGAGCTAATAACAAATACATTTGTAACTTTTATTTATTTTAAAATAGCCTTTGTTCACCGTTTTTCTTGTCTTCTACCTGTTCTCTGAGAGACATAGGGAGCAAAATAACCATCACTTTCTTTCTTGCTTACCTAGAATAAGACCATCTCTTTTTAATTACTGGTTATTTCTTGAGCCAAATCCTAACCATTGCTTTCACTATTTTAGTGACTGGATTATTTTCTTAGGTTTCCTATCCATTTGGAGAACCTTTCAACAATTGATAACACTCTATAAATAATTCACAGAGTAATTGTGTCCCTCTTTTCACTAACCTTCTTTGAAGTACGTTATGTGAGAAGTAGAATTTAAGTCAGTAGCATTTAGTTCATGTGGTTAATGAAGGAAGTGCCCTGTGTCCTTCATAGAACAGTGGCAATACTATCATTTCAGTGTCCCTGTGTTGCCATTATGAATAAAAGTCATTATACATGCAATTACGCTCCAGGTCTTTTCTCCAAGAGGCAAAAAAGGGGTATTTCCGTGCTCATTTTGATAACTATTTTGCTAATAAATTGACATTTATGACATAGGATATTGTCAGTTATGCTGAAATCTGAAATATTTATAGTAAGATTATAGGCCAGCCTCCCCCATTCTTTCTTTAATTATATCCTACCTCACAATCACTAGGAAAGCACATATGCTCCCTATTATAAATTCTTTCTGCTCATAATTTAAAATAATTTGATTGGAATATGTTTAGAACTTAATATGCAGAATAGTACCATAGAAAATAGATGCCTACTTTAATTGTATGAGATTGTACCAGCTTTATCAGAAAATGTATGATCAGCTCTAGGTTATTTATTTTGTGAACAAGAGTCAGCTGGGATGATTCATATTTTTTGGTTCTCCTAGAATTTGAAATTCTAGGCATAAATAATTTTAGTAAACATGGTAAAATCCAGATGCAGTTGATCTTATGCATGGCATAAATTTGTGTGGGAGTCCAGATGTTGGAATGTGAACACAGGTTGTTTCTCCCTTCTGTCTTGTGTGGACTTTTTAACATGTTATTTTCACATATTTATTTTCCTTACTTTTATTTATTTTTTGATACAGGGCCTCACTCTGTCACCTAGGCTGGAGTGCAGTGATACGATCATGGCTTACTGTAGCATCAACCTCCCAGGCTCAAGTGATCCTCTCACCTCACGTCCCAAGTAGCTGGGACCACAGGCATGTGCCACCATGCCCAGCTAATTTTTTTAAATTTTTTGTTGAGATGAGGTATCATCTATGTTGCCCAGGCTGGTCTTGAACTCTTGGACTCAAGCAATCCTCCCACCTCAGCCTCCCAAAGTGTTGGGATTACAGGTGTGAGCCACTGTGCCCTGCCTATTTTCCTTACCTTTAAAGATTATTCTAGAAATTCAGTTTATTCTTTGTAATGATGTATCTTTTAATAAATTCGCATTAACAGTTTAGATGAAGGTGAGCACACCTCTAACCTTTTATGTATTGTACTAGACTCATCTTTAACATTTCAAGGAGTAAATAATATAATCAGTTGGATTTATCCCTAAGTATTGCTTTTGAAATCAGTCACATGTTTTCTGAACACTTTGTGCAAAGTACTTCGCTTGGCAGTGGGGGAGATATAACATCAACTTTCATGGCCTCAGGGACCCCATTCTTTGGGGTCTGTTGTTAGCTTACTGTTTGTACCTTCTCGTCTCCTTTACTGTTTTCTTCTCATCTTTCTGACCTCTGAATTTAGAGAGCCTCAGTTCCAGTCCTTACACCTCTTCTCTGTTTAATTCACTTCCTAAGTGAGCGTGTGTAGTTCCATGGCTTTACATATCATCTGTATGCTGAGGAAGTCCAGATGTATGTCTGTAGCCCTGGCCTGTGTCCTGAACTTCAGACTCATATCTGATTACCAGTTGGATGTCCTCTAGGCATTTCAAAATTATCTAAAACCGAGCTCTTTATTTCTTTGGAAACCTGCTTCATTTACAGCTTCTCCCATCTCCGTAATTGGAAACTCTATTCTATAGGATGCTAAGGACAAAAACTTTGCAGTCTTTCTTCCTCCTTCTTTTTCTCTCAGATTATGTATACCTTTACCCACAAATCTTGTGGGTTCTTCCTCAAAAATATTTCAAGAAGCTGACCACCTTTCATCACTGTTTTCTTGCTACCCTATTCAAAACCACTATTACTGCTTGCTAGGATTTTACTGCAAAAGCCTCCCAACTAGCCTCCCAGTTTCTATCCTTGCTTTCCTGTAATGTGTTCTCTTCACTCAGCAGCCAAAGTGATCTTTCTGAAATATTAGGTCTCCCCCTCTGCTCATGACCTCTTATATCACTTGGAATAAAAGTCAGAGTCCTCACCATGGCCTAAATGGTGCTACACAGTCTGTTTTCCTTACCTCTCTGACCTCATCTCCCCCAGCTAGCCCTCTTGCTTATTCTACTTCTGCATACATGTCAAGCACACATTTCCACCTTGGGCTTTTGAACTTGCTGTTTCCTCTACCTGGAATCCCCTTCCCCTAGATGTCCGAATGGTGTGCCCCCATACTGCTCACATGTAACCTGAAAAGAGAGGCATTTCCTGACTTCCTCCCCAACCCTAATATCAAATAGCATGTCCCTAATGTTGATCAGTCTCTATATCCTTACCTTTATTTTTTTCAATGCACTTACCCCCACCTCACATATTGTATATTTATTTGATTATTGTCAGTCAGCCCCTATTAGAAGGTAAACTTCACAAGGGCAGGGACTTGGTCTCATTTGTTCTCTGCTGTATCCACACTGCCTAGCTTATTGCCTGGCAATCAGAGACATGCATTAAGTATTAAATATAAAAAGAGGATCTAGGAGGAGAATATATCATATACTGTGGAAGAGGTCAAGCATATAGTAATGAACAAAATGGACCCTGACCTTCCCCTTGAAACTTACAATAAAGTAGAACATAACATAGACCCTATATTAAGAATTTACAGCATAGTTAGGTAATTAGAGTCTACAATATAGTTAAATAAAGTGAACACCATTTCTGTAATCCCAGCACTTTGGGAGGCCAAGGCAGGAGGATCACTTGAGGCCAGGAGTTCAAGACCAGCCTGGGCAACATAGTGAGAACCTTGTTCTACAAAAAATAAAAATAAAAATTAGCCAGCCATGGCGGTACTCTCCTGTAGTCTCAACTACTCAGGAGGCTGAGGCAGGAGGATCATTTGAGGCCAGGAGTTCAAGACCAGCCTGGGCAACATAGTGAGACCTCCGTTCTGCAAAAAATAAAAGTAAAATTTAGCTAGGCATGGTGGTTCGCTCCTGTAGACTCAACTACTCAGGAAGCTGAAGCAGGAGGATCACTTGAGCCCAAGAGTTCAAGTCTGCATCGAGCTATGATTGTCACACTGTACTCCAGCCTGAGTGATAGAGTAAGACCCTGTTGCTTAAAAAAAATATACTAGTAGGCCATGTGCAGCGGCTAACGCCTGTAATCCCGCACTTTGGGAGGTTGAGGCGGGTAGATCACCTGAGGTCAGGAGTTCGAGACCAGCTTGACCAACATGGTCAAATGCCATCTCTACTAAAAATACAAAAATTAGCCAGGTGTGATGGTGGGCACCTGTAGACCCAGCTATTCGGGAGGCTGAGGCAGGAGAATCGCTTGAACCTGGGAGGCAGAGGTTTCATTGAGCCGAGACTGCACCACTGCACTCTAGCCTGGGTGACAGAGCGAGACTCTGTCTCAGAACAGAAACAAAAACAAAAAACCACTACTGATAAAGTATATACCTGTGAATTTAAATAACTGTTGAAGAGAAATAGTAATTTATAACACGAACATATAAGGCAATAGAGTAGTTGATGCCAATAGATAAATGAAACCACAGGGTAGGAAATCTAGTAGGTAGGGAAGTAAGTAGAAATAAAAGAATGGAATCCAATTGAATTCAGGAAGGAATAACATGAAAGAAGAAATGGTGACCATTTAAGTAAATCTGACTGTATAAGACAACGATAGTAATAATTCAAAATGAAGTTAAAAAGACTGGAGAAAATAATATGTTAAGATGAGAAGGGCTTGATTGAAGTTAAAACATTCTAAGATTTTTATATTGTTTAGGAGAAGGATATAGATAACAATTAACTTTATGTTTTGTTAAGTCAGGTATGATTGTTAAAAATTATACGGGTAACTAAAACAGTGAATAGAATGTGTAACTTCAAAACAAATAGATGGAATAAAGGGAGAATAATTCAGTATAATAGAGGAAGAGAAGTCGATAGGTGTAAAGTAAATGAATTAGGTGGTAGAAATAAATCCAAATATATCAATAATTACAAAAAATATAAGTAGAGTAATATTAGCAGCTAATAGGTTAGGTTGCATTTTTTAAAATACAGTTATGTGCTATTTTAGACTGTATTGGGAGAAAATTTAAAATACCAAGACACAGCAAAATTGAAAGGAAAAGGGTAGGGGAAGATACCTGGCAAAAACTAATCAAAAGAATGCTGCTACTGTGGTTATATTAACATAAGACAAAATAGACTTTAAGGCAAAAAGTATTACTAGAGAAATGTTATGAAAATACAAATATTTACAACTGAACCACAAATACCATGTATTAATATGAAAACTCCTGAGATGCACCAAAGTAATTCTTAAAGGATAGGTTTATATACACACCTTAGTAAAGAATAACTGGGTATGATATGCTTAGAATCTAACTCAAGAAAATCAAGAAGGTGGGACAGGGAATAAACCCAAAGAAAGTGGAAGGAAAGAAATACTAATGAACAAAAGTTTGAAAAAAAAAAAAAAAGAACAAAAGTTAATTAAGTGAAAATTCAAGAAACAATTCAACAAAACCAAAAGCTGGTTCTTTGGAAAAACTTAATAAAATATAGCAGTGAGAAGCAGAAATAACAAAATTAGGAATAAAAAGGGAACATAATTCTATACATAACAGTGATTTTAAAAATAATAGGATCCAGTGAATAACTTTATGACAATAAATTTGAAAACACAAAATGGCCAGTTTCTTAGAAAAACTTAATGAAATTGTCTTAAAAATAAAAACCAAAATAGACCTAGAGCAATCAAATGATTATTTGTAAAATGTGCCTGATGTAGTTTTAGGCACTGGAAATAATAGCAGTGAACAAAAAAAACGAAAGTGTGTGTTTTCATGGAGCTTCCTTTGTTGTGGAGGGAGACATAATAAATTAATAAATTTTATCAGGTGTTGCTAACTCTGTGAAGAATAAAGAAAGTGGCCGGGTGCGGTGGCTTACGCCTGTAATCCCAGCATTTTGGGAGGCCAAGGTGGGTGGATCACCTGAGATCAGGAGTTCGAGATCAGCCTGGACAACATGGTGAAACACCGCCTCTACTAAAAATACAAAAATTAGCCGGGCATGGTGGCACACACCTGTAATCCCTGCTACCCAGAGGTGGCAGTGAGCCGAGATCACGCCACTGCACTCCAGCCTGGGCAACAGAGTGAGGCTCCATCTCAAAAAAAAAAAAAAAAAAAAGAAGATGAAGGGAGAATGTGCTGAAGGGAGAATGTGCTGTTTTATGTAGGAAAGTCAAAGAAACAATATAGGACCTGAAGGAAGCAATGGAGCAAACCAGGTATATATTGGAGAAAGTGGCCCAGCCCTCAGGAGTAGGTGCAAAGGCCCCGAGGCAGGAGCACGTTTGATGGAACAGAGTTGAGTATTGTGCATAAGGGAGACTGGAAGAAGCAGAGATCAGTGAGGTAACTAACCAGGGCCCAGATGTTGAAATCCTTATAAAGACTTTTAATTCAGCAGTTAGAAATCTACCCATGAAATGGAGATGAGTATAATAACTTCTACTCATAAGATTATGAAGTTAATGAATTAAATGCATGTGGATTTTTTTTTTTGTAAAACACTATCCAGGTGATTATTTTTTTCATCCAGAAGTAGTAATTTGTCAAACATTTATGAAGTGAGGAGCACCTACCATGGGCCAGGACATGTGCTAAGCATAAAGAATAGAAAGATGATTAAAACATGGCAGCGCTCACTGCCCAGTACTGGGGACAGACACATAAATACTTTTCTGTAGTGTGCCAAGGGCAATAATAGAGCATGTAACATTTGAAGAGTAGGAGAAGCATCAAAGTTTAACTTTATAGCGTTTATAAGAAAGTGTATGGGCTGGGCGTGGTGGCTTACGCCTGTAATCCCAGCACTTTGGGAGGTCGAGGCAGGTGGATCATGAGGTCAGGAGATTGAGACCATCCTGGCTAACACAGTGAAAGCCCATCTCTACTAAAAATACAAAAACAAAATTAGCCGGGCATGGTGGTGGGCGCCTGTAGTCCCAGCTACTCGGGAGGCTGAGGTGGGAGTATGGCGTGAACCCGGGATTTGGAGCTTGCAGTGAGCCAAGATCATGCCACTGCACTCCAGCCTGGGCGACAGAGCGAGACTCCGTCTCAAAAAAAAAGAAAGCATATTAAAGGGAGGTATATAGGTATTTTTAGGGTAGCTTATGCCTCATATTTTCCTGTTAACCCAAGGAGAATGAAAACTTGGCCTTCTCATGATTGTTTAGTGACGTTTCTGCTGAGATTAACACCTGAATGGCGTACTTACCACACCTATCTGTAGTGTGAATAAACTTATAGTAGTGGGCAAGAGATAAACATGGTAAGAAATCTAGAAGTTGGAACATGGTATATCCATACCAGATGGCTCTTTTAATTGTCTCCAAAGTTGGTTCAACATGAAGTAATACTACGTGTTTAAGTTTTTCTTAACAATAAATGATATATTGCAAACTTTTGCCAGTTCTTTGTTGTTAAAGCTTTATTAGAGGGTCATTTGTAGAGCATATAGTCTAACTAGCACGTAGAGACACTACTGCTCTTTAAGTCTGTTTTGGCAGCTTTCATTCTGAAATCACTCAGCCAGTTTGAAAACTTACTATCTTCCTTTTTTTTTTTTTTAGACGGAGTTTTGCTCTTGTTGTCCAGGAGGCTAGAGTGCAATGGTGTGATCTCGGCTCATCGTAACCTCCACCTCCTGGGTTCAAATGATTCTCCTGTCTCAGCCTCCTGAGTAGCTGGGATTACAGGCACCCACCACCACACTGGGCTAATTTTGTATTTTTAATAGAGACGGGGTTTCTCCATGTTGGTCAGGCTGGTCTCGAACTCCCAACCTCAGGTGATACGCCCACCTGGGCCTCCCAAAGTGCTGGGATTACAGGTGTGAGCCACCGCCCCCGGCTACTTCCTACCTTCCTAACATTTAATTCATTAGTCTTATCTCATTGGATCCTCACAACTCTATAAGGGAGAGACTGCTTTCCCTATTCCAGACTAGAGATAACTGAGACTTGGTGGGGCTTACTGACAGTCAGGTTCACATGTTTAAGACGTGGGAGAGCTAGGCCGGGCGCAGTGGCTCACACCTGTAATCCCAGCACTTTGGGAGGCCAAGGAGGGCTGATCACAAGGTCAGGAGATCGAGACCATCCTGGCTAACACAGTGAAACCCCGTCTCTACTAAAAATACAAAATATTAGCCAGGCGTGCTGGCGGGTACCTGTAGTCTTAGCTACTCGGGAGGCTGAGGCAGGAGAATGGTGTGAACCCGGGAAGCGGAGCTGGCAGTGAGCCGAGATCGCGCTGCTGCACTCCAGCCTGGGCGACAGAGCAAGACTCCGTCTCAAAAAAAAAAAAAAAAAAAAAGAAGTGGCACAGCTGGGATTTGAGCTGGCAGTGACTTCAGAGCCTGTCCCATTTGCTCTTCTGCCTCCCAGGATAGATTGGCACTGATTGCAGAATGCTTCCTTGCCTGGAGCAATTTGGATATAATGGTCTTTGGCCTGATTGAAATAGGTCAGTACCTTTGTAAGTTTTGAATTATATGTTTCCCTGCCCTAGAATACAGGTAAAAAAATTAAACATCACGATCTCTTTGTGTGTGTGTGTGTGTGTGTGTGTGTGTGTGTGTGTGTGTGTGTGTGTGAGTGTGTTTGACGGAGTTTCGCTCTTGTTTCCCAGGCTGGAGTGCAGTGGTGCAATCTCAGCTCATTGCACCGTCTGCCTCCTGGGTTCAAGCAATTCTCCTGCCTCAGCCTCCCGAGTAGCTGGGATTACAGGCATCCGCCACCAGGCCTGGTTAATTTTTTGTATTTTTAGTAGAGATGGGGTTTCACTATGTTGGCCAGGCTGGTCTTGAACTCCTGACCTCAGGTGATCCACCTGGCTTGGCCTCCCAAAGTGCTGGGATTACAGGCACGAGCCACTGTGCCCAGCCAAACATCACCATCTATTTCCTTTAGGTCCTAAAATATGCATATTCTGTCGCGGCTCGTCTTGGCTTTGCCACTGACTGTGTGAGCTTGGATAAGTTATTTAACCTGGCTTTTGGGTGCTTCTGCTGTGAAAGAAGGGGATTAGGTTAAATAATTTTCTCTGTTTTCTACTAGCTCAATAAATTATCTGATTCTGTACCAAGATTACAAGTTAAGACCAACTTCTTTGTCTGGTCATCTATAACCTATTGTTACAAATGAAATAAGAAAGTATGGATAGAAAGTATTCGCTTGCACTGGGCTCTTTGTTATTTTAAATATTTGAAAAACTTACACCAGGCGACTAACTTTTGCCATGGTAAAGTGTATGTGTGTGTGCTCAATTTTAAGGGCTGAGACTGTTCCCAGAAGGCCTGTGCTGGTCACAAACAAAATGGAACACTCAAGGACCAAGCACTAAAAATATCTCATAAAAATGCTTCCTCCATGCAGTCATTGAATCAGGTAATTACTGTGGCAACAACAAACTAATTTGAAGTGTTAGCTGTTAATTAAAACATTGCAGAGGTGTATAGTTGTCTTTTGGTGTAAGCAGAGCCTCCATTCAAACTTCATTAATCACTTTACAATTAATGTGTTGAGGAAGGTCAAGACAATTGAGATGTAGTATCTGTTGAAAGTAAACAAATTCCTTTTCTCTAAGTAAATACCATTTGGAAAGTTAAGGGACACACTCGACTCATGCCTGGCATTGCCTTTGTCATCCAGTTCTCCTTGATGATTAAATGTTAAATTGGTACTGTCATTGCACTGTAAACCAAACCACATAGCATCTTTATTCCTCGAAATCGAACCCAAACTTCCACGGATGAATTAGCGTGCATCATAATTAAATTATCAAGCCTCTCCTTTTAATTCACTTGGAAATAGGACACCTTTCTTTTAGAAAAGAGATCAGCTTTCTTGACAAGCTAATTAAGTTGCCAAACTGTCCAGTATGGTATGTATATTAGACTATCTGCTAATCATTTTCTTATCGCTGCTGCTGGTCTCAAACGTCCAGGTGTTGCTTATTCGAAGTAACAACACTGATCTTTTTACAACTTTTGAATCCTGTGTATATATTTAATTATTTGTCTTTATATTTCAGTTCTTGATTAGTGATTCGAATATATAATATTTTTAAAAGTTGGAATTGGAAGAATCTGTGATGTGGAGGGGGAAAAATAATATATCACAAAGTCTTACGTATTATGTTACTTGGATTTACGTGGAATAAACTTACTAATTTCCTTTAAATCACATTTCAGGCCAAGTGTGGTGGCTCACACCTGTAGTAGTCTCAGCAGTTTGGGAGGCCGAGGCTGGTAGATCACTTGAGGTCAGAAGTTTGAGACCAGCCTGGCCAACATGGTGAAACCTTGTCTCTATGAAAAATACAAAAAAAAATTAGCCAGGTGTGGTGGTGGGCTCCTGTAATCCCAGCTCCTTGGGAGGCTGAGGCAGGAGAATTGCTTGAACCTGGGTTTCGGAGGATGCAGTGAGCCGAGATTGTGCCACTGCACTCTAGTCTGGGCGACAGAGCAAGGCTCCATCTTAAACAAGCAAACAAACAAAAAACATAATATAGGGGATAGGGTTCCACTTATAAAATGTGTATCACTTTGTACAAAGTATAAAAAATTATTTTGCTGGCACAGTGGCTCATACCTGTAATCCCAGTGCTTTGGGAGGTCAAGGTGGGAGGATCGCTTGAGGCTTGGAGTTTGAGACCAACTTGGGCAACATGGCAAGACTTCATCTCTTAAAAACTTAAAAAAAATTAGCCAGGCATGGTGGTATACTCCTGTAGTACCAGCGGTTTGGGAGGCTGAGGTGGGAGGATCGCTTGAGCCCGGGAGTTCAAGGTCACAATGAACTAATAAGATCACAGCAGTGCACTCCAGCCTGGGAGACAGAATGAGACCTGTCTCTGAAGAAAATAATAATTGATTAAGTTTTATTATTATTTTCTATATCTTTGAGACAGAGTCTCGCTCTGTCACCCGGGCTGTAGTGGAGTGGTGAGATCATAGCTCACTGCAGCCTGACCTCCTGGACTCAAGCGACCCTCTTGCCTCAGCCTCCCTGTAGTCCCTACAGGGGGACTATAGAGGACTACAGGCACGCACCACGATGCCAGGTAATTATTTTATTTTTTTTAAAAGACAGTGTCTCCCTATGTTGCCCAGGCTGGTCTTGATCTCCTGGGTTCAAGTGATCCTCCTGCGTTGGCTTCCCAAAGTGCTGAGATTACAGGAATGAGCCACTGTGCCCAACCTGATTAAAGTTTTATAAGTAGTATTTAGAAATAACCAATGAGGTTGTTATTTGAGAATATCTTTAGACACTTTCAAAGGTTAAATAATTCTTTGGTAAAGTAAACAGTTGTCACCCGGTTTTTGTAATCTTGCTTTTTCTTTAAATGAAATATACTTGAATTTCTGTATAATTAATTGATATAATAAAAGTTAAGTTTACCTTCCATGACTGGCTTGACCTTTGTCCACTCAAGTAGGAAAAGCAAAATGAGTAAGTTCTTATAACACTCATATATTTGGATAAGTATATACATATGCTTTATATATGTAGTTTCCTAGTCTTGCCTGAATTTGTAACATTTTACTTGTAAACGATATTACAAATACCTATATGCTCTTAATAACTAAATCATTTCTATAAGTCAGTCACCTTCAAAAAACTCTTGTCAGTGATTGTTCAACTCTGTAAATTTACTAAAAAGTAGAATGTACCCTTAAAACAAGTGAATGTTATCATATGTAAATTATATCTCAATAAAGCTGTTAAAAAATTTTGTCAGTCCTTTCTGCTCGTGGACGCCACAGAGGAAACATCATTAAAGTCTCTGTTCTCCCTGCTGTCATGTCTAAGTCAGAGTCTCCTAAAGAGCCTGAACAGCTGAGGAAGCTCTTCATTGGAGGGCTGAACTTTGAAACAACCGATGAGAGCCTGAGGAGCCATTTTAAGCAATGGGGAACACTCACAGACTGTGGTAATGAGAGATCCAAGCACCAAGTGCTCCTGGGGCTTTGGGTTTGTCACATATGCCCCTGTGGAGGCAGTGGATGCAGCCATGAATGCAAGGCCACGCAAGGTGGACGGAAGAGCTGTGGGAACAAAGAGAGCTGTCTCAAGAGGAGATTCTCAAAGACCCGGTGCCCACTTAACTGTGAAAAAGATATTTGTTGGTGGCATTAAAGAAGATACTGAAGGCTGGGTGCAGTGGCCCATGCCTGTAATCCCAACACTTTGGGAGGCTGAGGTGGGCAGATCACGAGGTCAGGGATTTGAGACCAGCCTGGCCAACATGGTGAAACCCCGTCTCTACTAAAAATACAAAAATTAGCTGGTCGTGGTGGCAGGCACCTGTAATCCCAGCTACTCGGGAGGCTGAGGCAGGAGCATTGCTTGAACCCAGGAGGCAGTGGCTGTGGTGAGCCAAGATCGTGCCACTGCTCTCCAGCCTGGGCGACAGAGCGAGACTCCATCTAAAAAAAAATAAAAATAAAAAATAAAAAAAAGACACTGAGGAATATCACCTAAGAGATTATTTTGAATAATATGGAAAAATTGAAGTGATTGAAATCATGACTGACCAAGGCAGTGGCAAGAAAAGGGGCTTTGCCTTTATAACCTTTGACGACCATGACTCTGTGGATAAGACTGTCATTCAGAAATAACCATACTGTGAATGGCCACAACGGTGAAGTTAGGAAAGCCCTGTTAAAGCAAGAGATGGCTAATGCTTCAGCCAGCCAAAGAGGTCGAAGTGGCTCTGGAAACTTTGGTGGTGGTTGTGGAGGTGTTTTTAGTGGGAATGACAATTTTGGTCATGGACGAAACTTCAGTGGTCATGGTGGCTTTGATGGCAGCCGTGGTGATGGTGGATATGGCGGCAGTGGGGATGGATGGCTATAATGGATTTAGTAATAATGGAAGCAATTTTGGAGGTGGTGGAAGCTACAATGATTTTGGCAATTTCAACAATCAGTCTTCAAATTTCAGACCCGTGAAGGGAGGAAACTTTGGAGGCAGAAGCTCTGGCCCCTATGGTGGTGGAGGCCAATACTTTGCCAAACCATGAAACCAAGGTGGCCATGGCGGTTCCAGTAGCAGCAGTAGCTACGGCAGTGGCAGAAGATTTTAATTATTGCCAGGAAACAAAGCGTAGCAAAAGAGGAGAGCTAGAGAAGTGACGGGGAAGCTACAGGTTACAACAGATTTGTGAACTCAGCCAAGCACGGTGGTGGCAGGGCCTAGCTGCTACAAAGAAGACATGTTTTAGACAAATACTCATGTGAATGGGCAAAAACTTGAGGACTGTATTTGTCTAATTGTATAACAGGTTATTTTAGTTCCTGTTCCATGGAAAGTTTAAAGCATTCCAACAAAGTGATCTAATGTAGATTTTTTTTTTTGCACCATGCTGTTGATTGCTAAATGCAATAGTCTGATCATGATGCTGAATAAATGTCTTTTTTAAAAAAATATTTGTCAGAGCAACCAAATTTTCTGCTAAACAGCAGAAAATGATGTTTCCATGTTGGCAGTAGTGGATTATGTAAATTTTGGTTTTATTTTTGTTTTAAGAAAGGGGAAGTTTAGGGGCTCATTAAATATGTTTTACAACTGGGCAGGTGAAGATGAGGAATTCCTGAGGCACTGACTTCTGTTCCCCATTTTCCCTATGCCATTCCTATCCTAACACTTACCAGATGAGAGGAAGAGCCGTCTGATCTTAGCTAGTGTATAAAATCCTCTATAGGGCAAGATTTTTAGTTCTTCGAAACTTACTTACTTCCTTATATTAATATTTTTATGGGCTTGCAATAACAATGCTTGTTTATGTTATGTGGTTTATTTTGAAATTTTTATTGTATAAAAATGTGTTGCAGATTGCTTCTAAATAATGTTCAGAATATCTAGTCCCCACAGTATATGTGTAAAGGCCACATTTCATTTAAACATAAAAGGTACGGTGGCTCACTCCTGTAATCCTAGCACTTTCGTAGACTGAGGTGGGAGCATCACTTGAGGCCAGCAGTTCCAGGCCAGCCTGAGCAACATCCAGAGACCCTGTCTCTACAAAAAAAAGTAAAAAGTAGCATGGTGGCATGTGCCTATAGTCCTAGCTACTCAGGAGGCTGAAGTGAGAGGATCGCTTGAGCTGAGGAGTTTGAGGCTGCAGTGATCTGTGATTATGCCACTGTGTTCCAGCCTAGGTGTCAGAGAGAGCCCCTGTCTGAATCAGTCAGTCACTCAATCAGATAAACACAAAAGGTCTTGATGGATAGTAATGGTATTTCATTTCTGTAAACCCTATTCTCATTCTTTTTCATAAATGGATACATTTATATTTATTGATTTAAGTTGTAGTTATTTCACTATATCTGTTACTTTGAGCTTGTTTTGATGAACTGTTATGATATAGTTTATCTGCATGTGTAATTAAAAAAATAAGCAAAAAAAATGGGAAAAAAAAAGCAAAATGGCTCTGTACACTGCTTAACATAGAGCTATAGAGAACCCACATGCACAGTGACAGTCATAAGGGATCTGGAGCCAAAAGACCTAGGTTTGAGGTCTCATTCTGCTGCTAGTTACTTTGTGCCATTGGGCAAACTGTTTAACTTCTCTGTGCTTCAGAATTCTCATCTATAAAAGGAGGATAATAATGTATCAGTATTACCTCAGATAGTTATTTTAAGGTAATGTATAGTAAATCACTTTGTAAACCATTAAGCTCCATATAAATGTAAATTACTAATGTTGTTAGTGTTCTTTGAAAGTACCATGTATCCCACTGCTGCAGAAATGTTTGGATTTACATTTATGTCCTTAACCATTTTGTAGGTTGTTTAGTGATCCCAAATGATTTTGTTTTTTTTTCTTCCCATAGAGCATATCATGTCCCGAGTGGGAAAATATTAGCTGTAAAGGTAAGTACTGGATACATTTTATGAAATTCTTGATGTTCACCTCTTTCCTTTCCTCTGTTAGCTTGAGTCACAGATATTGTCAAAGAGGAGATGAAATGGCTTAAGGTTTAGATGGTAGGTAGGGGAAGCTGTGGCTCTCTGGTGACATTCAGACACCTGAAGATCTTTTAAGTATGCCTTAAAATAGTCAGTTGTAAGCTCCGTGTATTGTGATTCTTCTTGCCAAGAAGAGAAAATTTCTTTCTGTGTCCCCTGCTAAGTGGCATCACCATCTTCCTTGTCATGCAGCTCAAAACCTTACTGGTAATGTATTCCTTTTCCTTCTTTAAATATGCCACATCCTGTGAATTGCTGTATCCCGTTAGAATTTTTCCCTGAAATATATCCATTTGCTACTTTCTTTCTATTCCCATCCCCATTGCCATGGTCTTGGATCGGGCTCACATTACCTCCTACCTGGACTTTTGAAATAACTTCCTCACTGTACTTTCGGTCTTTTCTTTTCCTATGCACCTTTTACTCTGCCACAGATTTGAGAAGTCAAATCACAGATCTGACCGTGTCTTGCTGACTGCCTTCCTCAATCATGTACAACGTAAAGCCTAAGATGTCTGCTTTGCTTCTGACTCCCTCGGCATACTGAAATACCCAAGCACAACACCTGCCAATAGAGTCAGGCTACACACAACTCAGGGATGTTCCAGGCAGTTACCTAGGATGCTCCTCACTTGTTCCCATGCAATTCATAATTCATACTTCATCTCTGCCAAACTCCAGCATCCCAGTCCTGCCATGCCACTTTGGATTTAATCTCTGCCACTGCTGGCGCTTGATCTTCCCATCATCTTAAATCTCAGATTTCCTTAATGGACTCTGTCTTGAATTGCGCTTCTGACTGAACCCTTTGCTAATTAAGTCCTAACCCCACAGAACCCCATTTCCAATTTTGGGCTCTTAGCTAACAAACTGGTCAGGCTTGCCTTGCCCCCAACCTTCCCCACAAATTGTTCAGACCCTCTACATATTGGCCCCCACCTACCTTTATAAACATGCACTCTGCTTTACCAATCTGTTACTTCCCGTCATGCCCTTTATCTCCAGTCTCCTGGCCTTTAGTAATGAAAGTTCTTATTTTTTGAGTGACTACTATATGCCAAGTATTATGCTAGATTTTTTTTTTTTTTTTGATTGAGACAGGGTCTTGCTCTGTCATCCAGGCTGGAGTGCAGTGGCGTGATCTAGGCTCACTACAGCCTCCACCTCACAGGTCCAAGAGATCCTCCTACTTCAGCCCCTTGAGTGGTTGGACCAGAGGTGTGCATCACCATGCCTTGCTAATTTTCTTTATTTTTTGTAGAGACAGGGTTTCACTATGTTTCCCAAGCTGGTCATGAACTCCTGGGCTTAAGCGATCCTCCTGTCTCAGCCACCCGAAGTCCTGGGATTATAGGCATGAGCCACCACGCCCAGCTATGCTAGATGTTTTATAACTATTATATTTAATCCTTAAAATTACATAGTAAGCCTGTCTACTTTAGATTAGGAGACTGAAACTCAGAAAGCTGAATTGTCAAAGATCACAGAGTTGGAAGGGGTAAGGCCAGGATGTGAAATGTTCATCTGCCTCCAAAGCTCATCTCCTCTGTTACACCATGCAGCTTTTATACAACTTACTAACATTGCTCATCCCTCTGATCTTCATCTATCTTTTCATGGTTCATCTCCAATATGCCTTTTTAGCTATCCACAGTGAGAAATTGATCTCTTTCTCTAACAGTTGCATAGTATATATTTCTGCATCTTTTTTCTCATCTAGAAAACTAAGAATCAGAGCAATTACATTAGAATTGCTTATACCTTTTAGTAAGTTGAAACCAAAACTAAGGCTCAGATCCTCTGACTGCTAATGAAATCCAGAGTTCTTCTTCCATATCACATCTAGTACAGCACCTAGAATGTGTTACGTGGCATTATCAAGTTTAGTTTTAATAAGTTAAATAGCTTGTGAGGGGGTACAACAGAGCTTCCTTTGAGATATTTTCTTTGACAGTTCAGCCATTTAGGGTCCATAGAATTGTAGAACTGGAAGAGACCTTGGAGATCACCTGTTACAGCCCCCACATTTTACAGAGGCACTGAGCTCACTGAATGCAGCTGTGTCATACCACCTTGGTGCTCACCGAGCGCGGCCCAGTCGTACCACCTTGGTTCTCACTGAGTGTGGCTCTGTTGTACACCTTGGCATTGGTTTAACCTTTCTGTACCTCCTGAGCTCCCTTTTCACTAAGAGAAAACTTCCACTAAAACTTGAGCACTATTTTCCCATCCATTGAGTTACTTTTTTGTTCCTTTTATGTCAGAAGTCTTAGATTGTTGCTGATGATATATTTAAAGATAGCCAACTCTAGGTTATTTACTCCAGGAGAGGGGAACACTGTTATAAATCGTCTAGAAATCTATGATTATTTGGCCTTGCAAAGTACATTATACATTTTTCGTAATTTCATACATTTTGAATTATGTTTATATAGACTAATATTAAAAGTATTGTGCATTAGTTGGGTGTGGCAAGGGGCCAACAGCTTTTTCTGGAAAAGAGTAAAAGCAATTTTAAAGAAAGGACATATTTACAGAATAGCTGTTAGGAAAGTAGAGACTGTCAGTAAATGAAAATAGTTGGGATTTACAAATATACTGTTCACTAGACCTGATCATTAAACTGGGCTTTACAACAAGAACTGTACTGTATTCACTTTGTATCTCTAGATTCTATAAAATATAGTAGATACTCACACTGAATTGAATGAATGGATGATTTAAGAGCAGATATGATTATTGTGATTAAACATTTGTGTAGCCCTGAGCTTGTTGGTAGTTTAGGCAAAAACCATGTAACTTGTATAATAGTCATAATCTAAGAAAAATTTACCATTTCTTCAAAACAGGCAGAATTTTTAATTCTTAGAAGTGTGTTATTTAGTTTCCAAATATTTGGAGATTTTCCATCTTTCTATTACTGATTTCTGATTTAATTCCATTGTGGTTCCAGAACACCCTTCCTATAACTTAAATTGTTTTAAATTTGTTGAGACTTATATTATGGCTCAGAATATGACCTATTTTGGTAAACAGTCCTTGTACACATGAAAAGAATGTATAGCCTGCTTGTGCCTGTAATCCCAGCACTTTGGGAGGCTGAGGTAGGTGGATGACTTGAGCTCAGGAGTACGAGACCAGCCTGGGAAACGTGGCAAAACCCTGTCTCTACAAAAAATAAAAAATAAAAAATAAATTAGCTGGGCATGGTGGTGTGTGCCTGTAGTCCCAGCTACTTGGGAGGCTAAGGTGGGAGGATCGCTGAGCTGAGGAAGTTGAGACTTCAGTGAGCCATGATTGCACCACTGCATTCTAGTCTGGGTGACAGAGTAAGACCTCATCTCAAAAAAAAAAAAAAAAAAAAAAAAAAAAAAAAAAAAAAAAAAGAATGTATAATCCACTGTATAGGGTATTGTATAATGTCAATTAGATCAAGTTGGCTGATAGTGTTATTCAGATATTTGTTATTAGATATTTGATTTTTATCTAGTACTATCAATTACTGAAAGAGGGGTGTTGAAATACTCAACAATAATTGTGGCCTACAGTTCTGTTATTTTTTACTTAATGTTTTTTGAAGATATATTCTTAGGTGCATTTATGTTTGTTATGTCCTCTTGATAAATCGGCCTCATTGACATTATGAAGTAACCTTCTTTGTCTGTGATCATATTCTTTGCTCTGAAATTTATAGTCTGATATTAAATTCTAGGCTTCATTTTGACAAGTGTTAGCATGATATTTTTTTTTTTACTTTTAACCTATTGTGTCATTATTTTTGAAATGTATTTCATGTAGGCAGCATACAGTTGGGTCTTATTTTTTAATCCAGTTGGATGATCTCTGCTTTTTAAGTGAGAGTATTGAGACTATTTACATTTCATATGATTATTGATATGTTTGGATTCAAATCTGTCATTTTGCTCTTTGTTTTCTATTTGTTCTGCCTGTATGCCCCCTTTTTTAAGTGATTGCTTTAGAATTCATAACTTAACATAGTCTTCCTATGTAAATAGTATTGTACCACTTTATAGTCTACAAATCTTACAGTGGTGTATTTTCATTTCCCTCATCCCAGCCTTTGTTTTATTATCATCCATTTTACATCATCATATGCGATAAACCCCAAAATGCATTGTCACTACTTTTGCTTTAGATATTTATCTTTTTTTTTTTTTTTGAGACAGAGTCTCGCTCTGTCGCCTAGGCTGGAGTGCAGTGGTGCGATCTCGGCTCCGCCTCCTGGGTTCACACCATTCTTCTGCCTCAGCCTCCCGAGTAGCTGGGACTACAGGCGCCTGCCACCACGCCCGGCTAATTTTTTTCTACTTTTAGTAGAGATGGGGTTTCACCATGTTAGGCAGGATGGTCTCGAACTCCTGACCTTGTGATCTGCCCACCTCGGCCTCCCAAAGTGCAGGGATTACAGGTGTGAGTCACCGTGCCCGGCCTGGAAATATTTATCTTTTAAAGACATTTAAAAAGTAAGAAAAATAGTATTCTATTTTTATTCCTGTATTTACCAATGCCAGTGCTCTTCATTCCTTTGTGTGGTTCAGATTTCCATCTAGTAGTATTTTCCTTCTGTCTGAATGACTTCTTCCTTTACATTTCATATAGTGTGGGTCTTTTGGTATTCTTTCAGCTTTTGTATGTCTAAAAATGTATATTTCACTTTCATTTTTGGGAGGCATTTTAATTTTTGCTAAATGTAGAATTCTAGGTTGGCTGCTGTTTTCTTTCAGTTTTTTAAAGATTTTGTTTCACTGTTTTCTTTCTTTCCAGTGAGAAGTTTACTGTCATTTTAAATCTTTGTTCCTCTGTATATTAGAATTGGCTTCATTCTGGCTGCTTTCAAGACTTTTTCTTTATCACTGGTATTGAGCTGGTGTTTACATCTTTAATGTCTCTACTTAACATGTTTAAAACTTCCTCTGCTTTCTTTTTTTTTGTTTTTATAAATAAAGATGGGGTTTTGCCACATTGTCCAGGCTTGTCTTGAATTCATGGGCTCAAGCAATCCACCCGCCTCCACCTATCAAAGTGCTGGGATTACAGGTGTGAGCCAGGGCACCTGGCCTCCTCTGCTTTCTTGAAAGTATGAAATGACCGGGCGCCGTGGCTCATGCCTGTAATCCCAGCACTTTGAAAGGCTGAGGTGGGCGGATCATGAGGTCAGGAGATCGAGACCATCCTAACACGGTGAAACCCCATTTCTACTAAAAATACAAAAAATTAGCTGGCCGTGGTGTCGGGCGCTTGTAGTCCCAGCTACTCAGGAGGCTGAAGCAGGAGAATGGCGTGAACCTGGGAAGTGGAGCTTGCAGTGAGCCAAGATTGCGCCACTGCACTCCAGCCTGGGCAACAGAATAAGACTCCGTCTCAAAAAAAAAAAAAAAGTATGAAATATAGTTATAATAACTGAATTAGTGGCCTTATCTATTTATTCCATCATATGTGTCATATCTGGATCAGTTTTGACTGATTCCTCTTCTCCTCACTTTGGGTTGTATTTTTCACTTTTTTTTCATATCTTATAATTTTTTTTAAGTGAAAAGCAAGTTTATTAAGAAAGTAAAGGAATAAGAGAATAGCTACTCTGCTTGAGCAGAGCAGCTATGCCTTATAATTTTTTATTGGATACCAGACATGTGGCATGGGTGCTATTTTTGCTCTGCTATAAATATTTTTGAACTTTATTCTGAGATTGTGGTGGGTAATATTGAGTGTTAACTCGATTGGGTTGAAGGATGCAAAGTATTGTTTCGGGGTGTGTCTGTGAAGGTGTTAATATTCAGAGAGATTAACATTTGAGTTAATGTTAACGTAAGAGATTAACATTTGAGTCAGTGGGCTGGGAGAGGCAGACCCACCTGCAATCTGGGTGGGCACCATCTAATCAGCTGCCAGTGTGGCTAGGATAAAAGCAGGCAGAAGTTGGAAGGACTTGACTTGCTGAGTCTTCCCGCCTTCATCTTTCTTCCATGCTGGATGCTTCCTGACCTTGAACATCAGACTCCAAGTTCTTCAGCTTTTGGACTCTTGGACCTACACCAGTGATTTGCCGGGGGCTTTCAGGCCTTCAGCTACAGACTGAAGGCTGCACTGTTGGCTTCCCTACTTTTGAGGTTTTCAGACTTGGACTGGCTTCCTTGCTCCTCAGCTTGCAGATGGCCTATTGTGGGACTTCACCTTGTCATCCTGTGAGTCAATACTCCTTAATAAATTCCCCTTCATATATACATCTATCCTATTAGTTCTGTCCCTCTAGAGAACCCTGACTAATACAGAGATGGTATTTAGTTACTTTTGAATAATTTGATTCTTTCAAGGCTTGCTTTTAAGTTTTATTAGACAGTACCAGCCCAGTGGTTAGTCTAGAACTAATTTTCCCCGTGCAGCAGAGGTAGTACTCTTCTGAGTACTCTACCTGGTGCCTTGCAAATTGCAAGGTTTTTCCACACTGACTGGTGGGAATACAAACTTTTCTTGCCCAGTATTAATCTGGAGATCGTTTCTTCTGAGCCTTTCTAGTGGTTCTCTCCCTGGCCTCAGGTGATCTCCTGACATCTATGTACAGATCATTCATTACTCAGCTGAAGACTCCAGGACCCCCTCGGCAGACCTCTGGAGCTCTCTCCCTCAGGTCCTCTGCCAGCTCTCTGCCCTCTGCTTCTCTAGCTTCCTTGGCCTCCTCAGACTCTCAGTTTTGTCTTCTCATCTTAGGGAGATGGCTTATCTCTGCCTGGTTTCCCCTCCCTGCACTGAGGCCTGGGAACTCTCTGGTCAGCAAGCTGGGCAATCATAGGGCTCATCTCATTTGTTTTCCATCTTTCAGGGATCACTGCCCCATTCTGGCTAATGTCCAATGTCTGGAAGCCTGTTGATGTGTGTGTGAGTGTGTGTGTATGTGTGTTTTAGTACCTCTTCCTTTCTTTTTTTTAATTTAACTTTTAACTTTTTTAACTTTTAATTTAACTTTTTTTAACTTTTTTTTACTTTTAATTTTTTAAAAATTAAAAAAGTTAATTTTTTTAACTTTTAATTTAACTTTTTTAATTTAACTTTTAAGGGGTACATGTGCAGGTTTGTTATATAAGTATACTTGTGCCATGGGGGTTTGTTGTACAGATTATTTTGTCACCCAGGTATTAAGCCTAGTACCTATTAGTTATTTTTCCTGATCATCTCCCCACTTCACCCTCCACCTTCTGATAGGCCACAGTGTGTGGTGTTTCCCTCTATGTGTCCATGTGTTCTCATAAGTTAGCTCCCACTTATAAGTGAGAACATGTGGTATTCGGTTTCCTGTTCTTGTGTTAGTTTGCTAAAGATGATGACCTCCAGCTCCATCCATGTTCCTGCAGAGGACATGATCTCATTGTTTTTTATGACTGCATAGTATTCCATGGTGTGTATGTACCACATTTTCTTTATCCAGTCTACCAGTGATGGGCATTTAGGTTGATTCCATGTCTTTGCTATTGCGAATAGTGCTGCAATGACCATTTGCATGCGTGTGTCTTTATAATAGAATGCTTTATATTCATTTGGGTATATACCCAGTAATGGGATTGCTGGGTCAAATGGTATTTCTGTTTTTAGGACTTTGAGGAATCACTGCACTGTCTTCCACAATGGTTGAACTAATTTACACTCCTTCCAACAGTATATAAGCATTCCTTTTTCTCCACAACCTTGCCAGCATCTGTTATTTTTTGACTTTTTAGTAATAGCCATTCTGACTGATGTGAGATGGTATCTCATTGTGGTTTTGATTTACGTTTCTCAAATGATCAGTGATGTTGAGCGTTTTTCCATAGGATTGTTGGCCTCGTGTATATCTTCTTTTGAGAAGTGTCTGTTCGTGTCCTTTGCCCACTTTTTAATGGGGTTGTCTTTTTCTTACAAATTTGTATAGACCCCTTCCTTATACCCCTTTACTGCAAAAATTAACTCAAAATTAAAGACTTAAATGTAAAACCCAAAGTACAAAAACCCTGGAAGGCAACCTAGGAAATACCATTCTGGACATAGGAGTGGGATAAAGATTTCATGATGAAGACACCAAAAGCGATTGCAACAAAAGCAAAAATTGACAAATGGGATCTAATTAAACTAAAGAGCTGCACAGCAAAGGAAATTATCAACAGGGTGAACAGACAGCCTACAGAATGGGAGAAAAATTTTGCGAACTATGCATCTGACAGAGTTCTAATATCCCTTTCTTTTCCTTACACCACTCTAATCCAGATGCTTGGCTTCTTTCTTGTCAGACATGTATACCAGCTTTTGAATTGTTCTCAGTAAATAGAAGCTACCATTTATTGATGATTTATACAATGCTAAGCATTTTGCATGCATTTTTTAAATTAATGCTCACAACATTTTGTAACTCTTACTGATTCCTGTTTTACAAAAGCTGAGGCACAGAGAAGTTAAATAACTTGCCCAAGGTCCCACAACTGATAAGTAGTGGAGCCAGGATTTAAACATAGGTAGTCTTGTTCTAAGTGCCGGTGACCCCCCTGCCGGCGCTGCTCACTGCTCTCAGATTTGGCTTGCCAAGGGTCATCCTGGTCACATTTATTTCCCTCTCAAAAGTCTTCAGAGGCTTCACGTCACTTCCCAGATAAACTAAAGACTTTAGAGGATGGAATTCAAGATCCTCCACGACATGTCGTCAGTCTGCTTTTATAGCATTATCTTACATGTTTGAATCCTGTGTGTCTTTTAAGTTGAACTCGTTGCCTTATCTGAACTCAGGCACTTTCTCACTTCAACACTTTGATTCACGTATTCCTCTCTAATTAGAATGCTTTCACCCGTTATCTCTACCTATCAAAATCTTTAACACCTTTCAAGGATCAGCTGAAAAGCCTGCTCCTTCATTGAACTTTTCTGGATAAGCCCTGTCACATATGGTCTATCTCTCACTCACTCATTTTCTTCTTTGAACCTCTCTAGAATTCCCTGTATATGTCTTTTAAGGGTGTTATCACCAACTGCCTTGTATTTTGCTGTTAGTATACCTGTACATTTCCCATATTATATTGAAAACTCTGTAAGTGGGGAACAGATCTTATTTATCTTCTTGCCTTACTCCGTGATTCCTGCAGATCCTTGCATATAGGGTATAGTACAAAGCATTACACATAACGAGTAAGTGTTCAATACATAATTTGTTGAGTGACTGAGTGAATAAATTTTTGTTCTTCTGTTTGTTCTTTAGTTCATTCATCTTTTAAAGTAACATCTTGAAAGCAGGTTCAGCTCACATACAAAATATCTCATAGCGTTCTTTATATGGACCATTGCTCTCACCCAGAATATTTCTTAGCTTTTTTTATATTAAAGGGTGAAATGGAAGGTTAAGAGTTAGAAGCGTATTTGATCTTTTCCTGACCCTCTCCTGACTTTTGTGTGACTTCAAGCATGTCACTTGAACCTCCCAGTGACCTCAGCTGTGAAACGGGGCTGCCTGATGTCACAGAGGATTGTGAAGAGCAGCAAATCACAGTCCTTGTCCAAACTGAATCACCTGCAGGGTCTGACGCCTGCATGGAATGATGAGGGAAATTTAATTTTCCAAGCAAAGTGGTCAGTTGGACCCACACTTTGAATGTCTATGGGCACAATTAGATGAGTCCTTGAAAATCTGTTGCTTTTCCTACTCAAAATGTTTCTCATGTTATGCTTCTAAATGTTCTTATTTTTTAGACAAAAAAGCATATTGTAAATGTTTCCCTTTTTAGACTTCTGAGGTAGGAATATATTACAAGATATTTTTAAAAGAAGTTGAATTTTGGAAAGAATAATGTACCATGAATTTCTATTTTATACTATTGAATTTAGAAAATGTTCTGCCTCAAAGAGAACATTTTGAAAATGATGCTAATCACATTTTAAAGATAACTATTTCATAATGACCATGTGTAATTCATGAAACGTGTTTCTACCTTTTTGTCTGTTTGTTTGGTGCAGGTAGTCAAGACAATTGCAGATAAGTAGAGCAGAAAACAAATAAAAATACTGTTAGCCATCTTGTAAACAGAACCTTTTTATACCATTAATGTATTCTATAAAATCTTTCAAGTAGTAATGCTTGGAGGATTTAATAGATTTCCCACTATTGTTTGTTTTCTAAGTGGGAAAAATCCATCTAACAGGAAATTTCTTAGCATTGTATATTGCATGTGCCAATTATCATTCTTTGACTGCTTTGGGTTTCTGCTGCTTTTAAACTAGCATTTAAATGGACCATTTGATTAATCATTTGTATACTGACTATAATCCTCCCAAATTTCCTTTCTGAGTTGTACATACTGTAAAAGACAATTATGTCGCCATAGATTAAATAAGTGAATTAAAACAGAATAGCAGCTTAATTTGACCTGTGATTTTGCTCTCTTTCCCTTTAGTGAAGTGTGTGCCACTCCAGCAAATAAACGAAGTCATCCATGACAGCTTGTGATGAATTGCCGTATTTATACTGTATATTTTAATAGCCTCACACTAATTTAAATTGAGCACAGAGTAAATTATAATTCAGTCACTTGACTGCTTATATTTAACTTGACAACTCATCCTTATTTGTCCTGGAGGTGTAGTGGAGAGCAGTGGAAATGCACCAAGGTATTTCAGTTTCTCACTTAACCCTTTCTCCATGGAATGCTTCATATTCAAATTCTTTCCAGTTTGAAACATTTAGCACTTCCTAAGGAGAAAAAAATAATGAAGAATCAGGGAGTCCGTACTTTCCTTGGACTCCAAAAAGAAAATTAGTCTTTGCCATGCTTTTTGCCATTGCCTTCAAATAAGGAATTGGATTTGTTTATTTTTAGCAGTTTTAAAGCTCACTCACAAGAATACACAGGGGAAGGAGAATTAACCTTCCACCCAGAGTGCCAAGTCTCCCAGAAAATAGAGAGCATTTGAATAGAGTTATTTTAAGGTGGGTTCTACTTTCCCTCTCAAGTTCTCAGAAATTACTTTATTTGTTTTTTCCATCATTTTGGAATCTCCTCTATTCTAGACTAAAGCAAATACCAACAATGATCAAAACGAATTAGAGTACAGCAGATTAGCTCCACAAATACAGTATTCCTTACTACATTTTAGGTCAGTGTGGCATTTTTATTTGTTTGGTGGTGTACATTTTTAGTTTTAAATTCAGTTTAAAATCAAGCAATCTATTTCTTCTGTCTAGAAACAGTTTCTTATAAAGAGGATTATAGTTGTAAAGACTTGAGTTAAATCCTACATCACTTACTAGGCACTACTGTGAGTTAGACCCTGTGTGGAGTGCTGGGGGGGATAGAAAAATGTACAAGACTCAGCCCTTGCCCTTGAGAGGCGCATAGCCACTCTAATCTTGAGGCTTCTGTTTTTAGGAGATGAGGGATGCATGCTCAAGGCAGAATGTACATATTGAGGGCCAGAGCTAGAGATGAATTTTGATGGAGGACTTTGAGGTGAGCTTCATGGAGACAATGGTGGCATTCAAGCTGGGTCTAAAAGATAGAACAGGTTTTTTCAATCAGTGCCTGGAGAAGAGAGAGGAAGCACACCCCAAGTACAGGAAACAGCAGGAGCAAAGGCTGTAAGTAGGGAAAGCACAGGATATGTGTGTACACCAGGAAATGTCATCTGATTTCACATGAAGGGTGGGTTTGTGGTGGGAGTAGTGGGAAGAGGAGTTAGAATAAGTTGTCTATATTGTGGAAGAATTCCTTGAATGTCATGCTAGAGTTTTAACTTTATTGTAGGCGATGGGAACACATTAAGGTTCTTGATCAAGGGAATGATATATTCACAGCCAGTAGTTTGGGGTTAATTCCAGGAGGGTGGCTAGCAATGTGGAATCATGTCATTTCTGGGTTGTTGGTGGCCTGGAGATGCAATATATCTTAATAGTCATATATCTTAGCACTGAATAAATGGCTTTTGAAACCTTAAATAAGTGATTCTCAACCTTACTTTGGGTTAGGAATTACCTGGGGAGCTTTACAAAATAACAAAGATGTGGGCCCAACCCAAGGGATTCTCATTCCATTGTTTTGGGGTAAAGCCTGCACCTTGGGATTTTTTTCAAGTGCCCTAGGTATTACGATATGAGGCCAGGGTTGAGAACCATTGATTTAAGGTTAATAATAACTTCATTCCTTTTATCAGACTTTTTTAGAGTGAGAGATTCCTGGTACTTGTCATCATAGTAGGAATAGCTGTAGTATTTTATGCTATAGGATTGAACTGATGCTAGATGAATTAATTTTGTTGGTAAGTTTTACACAAAAACAAAAATGTAAGTGAATATTGTTGGCAAGTGACTATTGATCAGGAGAAGTGTTTAAATGTTTCTTGGCAGTTTTGTATTACACTTACAGTCTAGTTTACTGAGATCTTATAAATAACCCCAAAGCAAACTCTTTTATTTTTTTTGAGACAGAGTCTCGCTCTGTTGCCCAGACTGGTGTGCAGTGGCGTGATCTCAGCTCACTGGAAGCTCCGCCTCCTGGGTTCACGCCATTCTTCTGCCTTAGCCTCCCAAGTAGCTGGGACTACAGGTGCCCGCCACCACACCTGGCTAATTTTTTGTATTTTTAGTAGAGATGGGGTTTCACCGTGTTAGCCAGGATGGTCTCGATCTCCTGACCTCGTGATCTGCCCGCCTCAGCCTCCTCCCAAAGTGCTGGGATTACAGGCGTGAGCCACCGCGCCCAGCTGCAAACTCTTGATAGAAACCACCTATGCCTTTTTTTTCCCCACCTTCCGCTTCCCCAAATCAACGCCTGGCCAATGTCAGGACTATAAAATGTACTTTAGAATTGTCCTTTTCTTTCCTTGCTCTATTAGCAGTTTATAATGCATAACTTATGCTTTTTTCTTCAGTATGATTGTATATATATTCTTCAGTTGTAATACAAAATGTAATTCAAAGTTGAATGCTACATAACTACACTATCATAGTAATTCTGAATGTTAAGTTTTTATCTAGAAATGTCTAGAGCCAGAAACTCTGCCACAAATCATAAAAATTGTTTTCCACCTATTCTATTCTCATCACTGCCTTTTAAAAGTAAAAAACAAGCTGGGCACGGTGGCTCACGCCTGTAATCCCAGCACTTTGGGAGGCTGAGGCAGGTGGATCACCTGAGGTCAGGAATTCGAGACCAGCCTGGCCAACATGGTGAAACCCTGTCTGCGCTAAAAATAGAAAAATCAACCGGGTGTGGTGGCAGGTGCCTGTAATCCCAGCTACTTGGGAGGCTGAGGCAGGAGAATGGCTTGAACCCGGGAGGCGGAGGTTGCAGTGAGCCAAGATCGCGCCACTACACTCCAGCCTGGGTGACAGGGCAGGACTCCATCTCTAAATAAATAAATAAATAAATAAAACAATTACTCTTGAATTAGTTTCACTGACATGCTTAGTAGAATTTGAACAGTATGGTCTTCTTTCTTAAAAAAATATGTGTTTGAAATAAACTAGAATTTATTCTAGATAAGTTTATAAATATTTTATATTTATGGGTTATAAATCACTGTGGGTAATATCACTCAGTGATTGATATTTTAAATAAACCATAAAGTACTGAAAAGCCCATGAGACTGAGTCCAGAGGAGGGGGTCCTACCATTCCCAGGCTCTGTGGCTCCCAGGAGGGAAACGTGGTTTCCTCCTCACTCAAAAGAAGGGAGTTAATGAAATAAGATTTCTTCAAGCTTTAACTTTCTGTAACAGGATTAGCAAAGAACATTACCTGACTGGAAAAAAAAAAGATGATATATTTTTAAAATTCCTTATTTCTCTCATAACTAAAAACCCCACTTAAAATGTTATTTTTGGCTGGGCATGGTGGCTTACGCTTGTAATCCCAGAACTTTGGGAGGCTGAGGTGAGCGGATCATTGAGGTCAGGAGTTCAAGACCAGCCTGGCCAACATGGTGAAACCCCATCTCTACTAAAAATACAAAAATTAGCCAGGTGTGGTGGCAGACACCTGTAATCCCAGCTACTCAGGAGGCTGAGACACGAGAATCGCTTGAGCCCATGAGACAGAGGTTGCTTGAACCCAGGAGACAGAGGTTGCAGTAAGCCGAGATCATGCCACTGCACTCCAGCCTGGGTAACAGAGCAAGACTCTGTCTCAAGAAAAGAAAAAAGTTATTTTTTGGCCAGTTGTGATGGCTCATGCCTGTAATCCCAGTGCTTTGGGAGGCTGAGGTGGGCAGATTGCTTGAGCTCAGGAGTTCGAGACCAGCCTGAGCAACATAGTGAAACCCCCATCTCTACCAAAAATGCAAAAAATTAGCTGGGTATGGTGGCACACCTGTGGTCCCAGCTACTTGGGTGGCTGAGGTGGGAGGTTTGTTTAAGTCTGGGAGGCAGAGATTGCAGTGAACCAAGATCGCCCCACTGCACTCCAGCCTGGGTGACAGCATGAGACTGTGTCTCTAAATAAATAAATAAAATGTCATTTTTATTCATCATCCTCTCTGCTTATTGCCTAGTGTCTGATCACAAACCACAAGATAGTTCTTTTTTTTAAGAGACAGGATTTCTCTCTTTCACCCAGGTGGGAGTGCAGAGGTGCAGTCATGGCTCACTTCAGCCTCAAATTCCTGAGCTCAAGTGATCCTCCCACCTCAGCCTCCCAAGTAGATTGGGACCACCCGATCATACTACACACAGGTAATTTTTTTTTTTTTTTGTAGAGATGGGTTCTCGCTATGGTGCTTAGACTGGCCATATACCCCTGGCCTTCAGGTACCCTTCCACCTCAGCCTCCCTTCCAGAGTGCTGGGATTACAGGTGTGTGCCACTGCACGTAGCCAACATAATTCTTTTATATTGGTTTGAGGGTCATTCCTATGCTCCTCTTTTGAAAATAGCCAATGTGGCTAAAATAGAGTGCATAAATTAAGAGTGTTATAACTTAACTGACTTTTAAAGCCATTACTATTGACCTTTGAGACCTGGCTTTTTTCTTTGGTCCCATCAATCACTTCTGTACCACCTCCCCCAGTATAGAAGGACAAAAGGTTAGACAGATGCAGATACAGCTTGTATTACTGGGAATTATAGTGGTAAGAAGAAGGAGGTGGGGAAGAATAAAGGAACTACCATGTTTTTAGTTCTTATATTTCATAGTGATTATAACTAATATAATTAGAAGATTAAAAAATATTAATACCTTTCTATATTTAGGTCATACTACTAGATATTACACTGGAACTTCAGAAGCAAATTATGTCTGAATTGGAAATTCTTTATAAGGTAATTTTTTCATAATTTTTATTTGTAAAGCATGCCTATGGTATTGACTTGCAGGTTTATAACTACTTTTGTCTTATTTTTGTTACAGTGCGATTCATCATATATCATTGGATTTTATGGAGCATTTTTTGTAGAAAACAGGATTTCAATATGTACAGAATTCATGGATGGTGAGTTTTCCCTTTTATAATACTTTTAAAATGATTTTTAGAGTATATAGTGCTTTAAAACCTGGTTTTGATATAGATATCAAATAGAATTAAAGATAATAAAATATGCTAATAATTACCTCATTTATACTCTAAGATTATTTCAGTGTTAGGGGTTCCTGGGGTTAAATATTTATAGCCGAACTGTAATTTTAAGAATTGAACTTCACTTTTATTGAAAATTTAAATAGAACAGATTAAATGCTAGTCTAATTGGTGGTTTGATATTTGATTCTTTTGCACAATCTGTCTTTACTTGCAAAACAGATGTTCTGTTCTTTTAATGTTTCAATAGCCAAAACAGATTTTCTTTTAAAGAAATCTATTAACCCAATGTCCTGTGTCTTTCAGAAAGAAATCGGTTCTTAATTGCAAGATAAGAAATTGTTTTTCAACACAGCTGTTTAGCCAAGATGTGTTTAATTTTCTTTGGACTTTAGCCCTTTCCTTCCCTCTCTATTTTTTTATTCATTTCTATTTTGGTAGTTCTTTCTTGACCTGAATATTACGGCAAAATACAGATTTCTAGGGACATATCAGTGAAATGATGTCATCATTATTATTATTTACCAATTTTAAATCTAAGCAGTCTTTAAATTTTACATATTCAGTTTTCCATAGTCTAGTCCATTAAAACACAACTTAAGAAAATATTGTTAGTTCCTTGTGGAGATTCTCAGTACATTACTAAAGCAATTAGTTTGTGCCCTGCAAAACTTTAATGAGCCAACATTGGTACCTTGATACTGTCATAAGGTGTACAACATGCTCTAAATTAGTTATAGTAGAATGTCAAAAATTAAAAATCTTACAGCCATATAGGTAAGTATGGTAACTGTGGAGACTGACCAGAAAAAGTGGATTCATTGAGCCAGTACATGTTACTGTGTTGTAACTTTTATCATTCTTTCTTTGAAGTCTTCAATTTTTCAGTTCTACTCAAACATTTTTGTTGAAACAGGGCACGGTGGTTCACGCATGTAATCCCAGCACTTTGGGAGACTAAGGTGGGAAGATTGCTTGAGCCCAGGAGTTTGAGACCAGCATAAGCAATATAGTGAGATCTCATCTTTACAAAAAAATTTTTAAAAATATGGCCGGGCACGGTGGCTTACTCCTGTAATCCTAGCACTTTGGGAGGCCGAGGCAAGCGGAGTTTGAGACCAGCCTAACCAACATGGCGAAAACCCGTCTCTATAGAAAATACAAAAATTAGCCAGGTGTGGTAGCGCATACCTGTAGTCTCAGCTACTTGGGAGGCTGAGACTGAGAATTGCTTGAACCTGGGAGGTGGAGGTTGCAGTGAACCAAGATCGCGCCACTGCACTCCACCCTGGGTGACAAAGTGAGACTCTGTCTTAAAAAAAATAAAAAAAGGAAAATTAGCTAAGCATGGTGGTACGGGCCTGTAGTCTCAGTTACTCTGGGGGCTGAGGTGGGAGGATTGCTTGAGCCCAGGAGATTAAGCCTGTAGTGAGCTGTGATCGTGCCACTGCACTCCAGTCTAGGCAACAGAGTGAGACCCTGTATCAAAAAACAAATAAATTAAAATTTTTTATTGAAATATAACTCAGATACCATAAAATTCACCCTTTAAAAGTGTACAATTCCATGGTTTTTGATATACTCACAAGGTTGTGTAGTCATCACCACTGTATAATTCCAAAACACTTTTTACCACCCCCAGAAAGAGACTTCCTACCTATTAGTACTCACTCTCTACTTTCTCTTTCCTCAAGTCCTTGGCAACCACTGATTTATCTTCTGTCTCTATGGATTTACCTATTCTGGACATTCCATATAAATGGAATCTGATAATATATGGCCTTTGTGTCTGGCTTCCTTTACTTAGTATAATGTTTTCAGTGTTCATCCATACTATTGCATATATGAGAACTTCATTCCTTTTTATTGCTGAATAACATTTCGTTGTATGGCTATACTACATTTTGTTTATTCTTTCATTAGTTGATGGACATTTGGGATAGTTCTACTTTATGCATAATTATGAATAATGCTACTCTATATATTTGTGTACAAGTTTTTGTGTGGACATACGTTTTCAGTTCTTTTTTTTTTTTTGAAACAGAGTCTCGCTCTGTCGCCTAGGCTGGAGTGCAGTGGGGTGATCTCGGCTCACTGCAACCTCCACTGCAACCTCCACCTCCTGGGTTCAAGCGATTCTCCTGCCTCAGCCTCCCGAGTAGCTGGGACTACAGGCGCGTGCCACCATGCCCAGCTAAGTTTTGTATTTTCAGTAGAGACAGAGTTTCACTGTGTTAGGATGGTCTCGATCTCCTGACCTCGTGATCTCCCCGCCTTGGCCTCCCGAGGTGCTGGGATTACAGGTGTGAGCCACTGCACCCGGTCAGTGTTTTCAGTTCTTTTGGGTATATACCTAGGAGTAAAGTTGCTAGGTCATATGGTAGCTTTATGTTTAACTTTTTAATAAACTACCAAACTTTTCCAATCTGTTTTACACCACTTTGCATTCATACCAGCACTGTATAAGGTTCCATTTTCTTCATATTTTTGCCAATACTTGTCATTTTGTGTCTTTTTAAAATTGTGGGCTTGTAGTGTGACATGGTATCCCATTTTGGTTTTGATTTAGGTTTCTCTAATGACTAATGATGTTGAGCATCTTTTCATGTGCTTATTGGCCATTTGTATACCTTCTTTTGAGAAATATGTTTTCAAATCCTTTGTCTATTTTTTAAATGAGTTATTGGGCTTTTATTGTTGAGTTGTGAGAATTCTTTATGTATTCTAATACTTGGCTCTTATCAGATATGGGATTTCCAAATATTTTCACTTATTGTTTATCTTTTCACTTTCTTTTTTCTTTTCTTTTCCTTTTTTTGAGCTGCGGTCTCATTATGTTGCCCAGGCTAGTTTTGAACTCCTGGGCTCAAGTGATCCTCCCACCTCAGCCTCAAGTTTTATTGTTTTAGCTTTTATATTTAAGCCTTTGATTTATTTTTGAGTTAATTTTTATATATGGTATGAGATAGGGGTCCAAATTTATTCGTTTGCATGTAGATATACATTTGTTCCAGTACCGTTTGTTAAAGACTGTTTTTCCCATTGAATTTTCTTGTTATACTTGTTGAAAATTGACCATAACATATATTTCTGTACTTTCAGATCAATGCGTATACATCTCGCATTGATCTAGTTGTCTATCTTTGTACCAGTACCACACCATATTTGATTACTTGTACTTGAAAACTCTGGATTATTATAGTTTTTAAGTTTCAAATCGAGAAGTGTAAGTGCTCCAACTTTGTTCTTTTCAAGATTGTTTTGGCCATTTTGAATACCTAGCATTTTCATTTGAATTTTAGAATCAGCTTGGCAATTTCTCCAAAAAAATCCAGCTGGGATTTTGATAAGAATTGAATTGAATTTTTAGATCAACTTGGGGAATATTGCTGTCTTAACATTATTTAATCTTCCACTCCGTGAACACAGATGTCTTTCAACTTACTTAGGTCTTCTTTAATTGTTTTTCAATGATTTAAAAATAATTTTTAGGGTATAAGTGGTAACTATTTGTTAAATTTGCTTCTAAGTTTTTTTAATGCTGTTTTTCTTAATTTCATTTTTGGATTGTTCATTGCCAGTGTATAGAACTGTAATTGATTTTTGTATATTGATCTTGTATTCTGCAACCTTGCTGAACTTGTTTACTAATGTTAATAGCTTTTTGTGGATTCCTTAGGGTTCTCTATATACAAGATAATGCCATCTGCAAATAGAGGTAGTTTTAGTGCTTTCTTTTCAATTCTGAATGTCTTTTATTTCCTTTTCTTGCTTAATTACCCTGGCTAGAACCTTCAGTACAATGTTGAATAGACTGATGAGAGCAGACATCCTTCTCTTGTTCCTGACCTTAGAGGGAGAGCTTTCAGTCTTTCACCATTAAATATGATGTTAGCCATGGGTTTGGAATAGTTGTCCTTTGTCAGGTTGAGGAAATTCCTTTCTATTTCTAGTTTGTTGAGTTTTTTTTTTTTTTAATTATGAAAGGGTATTAAATTTTGTCAAATGCCTGTTTTATATCTATTGAAATAATCGTGCATATTTGGTCCTTTATTCTATTAATATATGGTATACTATATTAATTGATTTTTGCAAAATGAACCAGTCTTGCAGTGTTGGAATTATTCCACTTAGTCATGATGTGTAATTCTTTTTATATGTTCCTGGGTTCAGTTTGCTAGTATTTTCTTGATGATTTTTGTATTCATATTTATGAGGGACATTGGTCTAGTTTTCTTTTTTTGTGATGTCAGTGTCTGATTTTGGTATCAGGATAATTCTGGCCTTATAGAATGAGTTTGGAAGTGTTGCCACCTCTTCCATTTTTTGAAAGAGTTTATGAAGGATTCATGTTAATTCTTTTTTTAAAACATTTTAGGGGCTGGACAGGGTGGCTCACGCCTGTAATCCCAGCATTTTGGAAGGCCAAGGCAGGTGGATCACTGGAGGTCAGGAGTTCAAGACCAGCCTGGCCAACATGGTGAAACCCCATCTCTACTAAAAGTACCAAAAAAATTAGCTGGGCATGGTGGCACATGCCTGTAATCCCAGCTACTTGAGAGGCTGAGGCAGGAGAATCACTTGAACCTGGAAGCTGGAGGTTGCAGTGAGCCAAGATCATGCCACTGCACTCCAGCCTGGGTGACAGAGACTCTGTCTCAAAATAAATAAATCAATCAAAATTTTTATGGATCCATAATATTGTACATATTTATGGAGTACATGCATAATAATATTTTGACACAAGCATACAATGTGTAGTAATCAACTCAAAGTAATGGAGATATGTATGACCACAAACATTTATCATTTCTTTGTGTTAGGAGCATTGCAATTCCACTTGTGTAGTTATTTTGAAATATACAATAAATTATTAATTGTGATCACTCTGTTGTGGTGCCAAACACTGGATCTTATTCTTTCTATCTGACTGTACTTTTTTACCCATTAACCAACCCCTCTTTGTCCTTCCTTTCTCACTACCCTTCTCAGTCTCTGGTAATCATCACTCTACTATGTCTCCATAATCATTTGTTTTTGGCTCCCACATGTGAGTGAGAACATATATGTCTTTCTGTGTCCAGATTATTTCATTTAAAATAATATCCACCCATATTCTTGCAAATAATAGGATTTCATTCTTTTTATGGCTGAATAATATTTCATTGTGTTTATGTACCACATTTTCTTTATCTTTATTTTTTCTTCGATGGACACTCAGATTGATTTCATATCTTGGCTATTGTGAATAGTGCTGCAGTAAACATTAGAGTGCACATATCTCTTCAATTTACTGATTTCCTTTCTTTTGGATATATACCCAATGGTGAAATTACTGGATCATAATAAGGTAGTTCTATTTTTAGTTTTTTTGAGGAATTTCCATACTGTTTTCCATGGTAGCTGTACTAGTTTACATTCCCATCAATAGTGTATGAAGGTTCCCCTTTCTCCACATCCTTGCCAGCATCTATTATTCCCTGTCTTTTTGATAAAAGCCATTTCAGCTGGAGTGAGAGGATATCTCACTGTGGTTTTGATTTGCATTTCCCTGGTGATTAGTGATGTCAAACATTTTTTCAAATGCCTTACGTTGATTCTTCTTTAAACATTTGATAGAATTCACCAGTGAAATCATCTGGTTCTGAGGTTTTCGGGGTGTGTCATTAGTGCGTGTTTTTTTTAAATTATGATATAATACTCATACAAAAATTTTAACCTTATTAGCCATGATATTAGTCCATCTTGTGTTGCTATAAAGGAATACCTGAGACTGGGTAATTTATAAAGAAAAGTGGTTTATTTGGCTTATTATTTTGCAGGCTGTATAAGAAACATGGTGCCCAGCACCTGTTTCTGGTCTGGGTCTCAGGAAGCTTCCATTCGTGGAGCAAGAGAGAGAGGAGGGAGGTCCCAGACACTTTTTAACAACCAAATCTTGCAGGAACTTAGAGTGAGAGTTCACTTAATTTTGTGAGAATGACACCAAGTCTTTCATGAGGGATCCACTCCTTTGACCCAAACACCTCTCACGAGGCCCCATCTTCAACATTGGGAGTGAGATTTCAACATGAGTTTTGAAGGGGACAAATATTCAAACTGTATCAGCCATTTTAAGTATATAATTCAGCAGCATGAAGTACATTAACATGGTTGTGCAACTGTCACCACCATCCATCTGCAGAACTCTTTTTGTCTTGCAAAACTGAAACTCTATACCTATTAAATAAGAACTCCTCATTCACCCCCGCTCCCAGCCCCTGGCAAACAGCATTATACTCTGTCTCTATGTGACTACTCTAGGTACCTCATATAATTGGAATCACACAGTATTTGTCTTATTGTGTCTGGCTTATTTCATTTTGCATTATGTCCTTAAGAGTCATCCATGTTGTAGCATGTGTCAGAATTTTCTTCCTTTTAAAAGCTGAATAATATTTGTGATTAGTTTTTTTATTACCAACTCAATCTCTTTATATACTGGTTTAGTCAGATTTTTTATTTTTTCTTGAGTCAGTTTTGGTAGTTTGTGTTTTTCTCAGAATTAATCTGTTTCATCTAGGTTATCTAATTTATTGATACACAGTTCTGAAAAATCTCTTATAATCCTTTTTATTTCTGCAAAGTTGGTAGTAATGTTCCCTCTTCCATTCCAGATTTTAGTTACTTGAGTCTCCTCACTTATTTTCTTGGTCAGTGTAGCTAAAAGTTTGTCAGTTTCTCTGTTTAAAATATTTTTTTTTTTTTTTGAGACGGAGTTCTGCTCTTGTTGCCCAGGCTAGAGTACAATGGCACAATGTCAGCTCACAGCAACCTCTGCCTCCTGGGTTCAAGCCGTTCTCCTGCCTCAGCCTCCAGAGTAGCTGGGATTACAAGCACCCAGCTACTCTGTGCCACCATGCCCTGCTAATTTTGTATTTTTAGTAGAGACAGGGTTTCTCCATGTTGGTCAGGCTGGTCTCGAACTCCTGACCTCAGGTGATCCACCCACCTTGGCCTCCCAAAGTGCTGGGATTACAGGTGTGAGCCACCACACCCAGCTAAAAAAAATTTTTTCATTTAAAATGAAACCGACTTTTGGTTTCTTTGATTTTCTCTATTTTTTTTTCTATTCTCTGTTTTGTTTATTTCTGCTTAAATTTTATTATTTTCTTTTTTTCTGCTTTCTTTGAGTTTAGTTTTAGCTTGATGTTCTCCTTCTGTTTAAGGTAGCAAGTTAGGATATTGATTTGAGATCTTTCTTCTTATTTAATGTAGGTTATAAATTTTCCTCTAAGCACGGCTTTAGTTGCATCCTAGAAGTTTTGGTATGTTGTGTTTTTATTTTCATTAATCTCAAAGTATTTTCCATTTTTCTATGATAGAAATCTCTTGCGATTTCTTTTTGACCCATTTTTATTTAGGTATGTGCTGTTTAATTTCCACATATGCGTACTTGAGAAGAATATATTCTACTGTGGTTAAGTGAAGTATCCTTTACATGTCAGTTAATTCTGATTGGTTTATAATACTGTTCAGTATTTTCTTATTAATCTTCTGTATAGTTTTGTCCATTTTTGAAAGTGAGATATTGAAGTCTCAAAAACTAATATTTTTGAGTTGTCTATTTCTCCTTTCAGTTCTTTCAGTTTATGTTTCATATATTTTGGCACTCCGTTGTTAGGTCCATGCATGTTTATAATTGTTATATCTTCTTGGTTGATTGATCCTTTTATCATTAGAAAATGTCTTTGTCTCTAGTAACAATATTTAACAATAGTTATCTAAAAGTCTATTTTTTCCACTAGTATAGTCACTGCAGCTCCCTTTTGATTACTATTTGAATAGTATATCTTTTTTCACCATTTTTCAACCTGTTGGTGTCTTTAAATATAAAATACCTTTGTTGTAGACAGCATATAGTTGGATCATTTTTTTAAAAATCAATTCTGCCAATCTCTTATTTAATTAGAGTGCTTAAACCTTTTACATTAATTACTAACAAGGTGAGATGTATCTATCCCATTCTATTTGTTTTCTATAAGTCATGTCTTTCATGTTCTGTTGTTGCTTTCTTTTATATCAAGTAGATATTTTCAAAGGTACCATTTAAATTCCCCATGGTTGCTTTTACTCTGTGTTTTTGAGTTATATTCTTAATGTTGCTCTAGGGATTACAATTAACTTCTTAACTTATAACAATTTAGTTCAGATTAACACTGACTTTATTTTAATAGTATACAAAAGGCCAGGCATGGTGGCTCACACCTGTAATCCCAGCACTTTGGGAGGCCGAGGTGCGCGGATCACCTGAGGTCAGGAGTTCAAGATTAGCCTGGCCGAGTTGGTGAAACCTCGTCTCTCCTAAAAAAAAATACAAAAATTAGCTGGACTCAGTGGTGCATGCCTGTAATCCCAGCTACTCGGGAGGCTGAGGCTGGAGAATAGCTTGAATCCAGGAGGCAGAGGTTGCAGTGAGCCGAGATTGTGCCACTGCACTCCAGACTGGGTGACAGAGTGAGACTCCATCTCAAAAAAAAAAAAAAATAGTATACAAAAACTTTGCTTCTGTATAGCTCAATTTCTTCTCATCTTTTTTATGCTATTATTGTCATATAAGTTACATTCCTATACATTGTGTGTCCAACACAAATTTAAAATTATGCCATTGTCTCTTAAGTCATAGAACAAAAGAGATACAAACAAAACATACATTTATCCTGTCTTTTATATTTGCCTATGCAGTTACCTTTACCAGTGTTCCTTATTTCTTCATGTGGATCTGAGTTACTGTCTTTTAACTTCAATCTAAAGTTCTTTCAGTCTGAAAGACTGTATTTTATTTCTTGTAGGGTAGGTTAACTAATGATTAATTCTCAGTATTCTGAGATAAATTTCCCAGTTTATTTGAGAGTATCTTAATTTCTCCTTCAGTTTCGTAGAATAGTTTTTGCTGGATATAGAATTTTTGGTTTATAATCTTTTTCTTTCATGTTCAAATGTCATTCCCCTGCCTCTGACCTCTGGTTTCTGATGAGTAATCAGCTCTTGTTCTTTTGAGGATTATTTGTAATTGAAATGTCACTTCTCTTGCTGCTTTCAAGATTTTCTTTTTGTCTTTGGCTATGGATAGTTTGATAATAATGTGTATAGATGTAGATCTCTTTGAGTTTATCCTATATGAAGTATACTGAACTTCTTGGATGTGTAGATTCACTTTTTAAAATCAAATTTAGGAAGTTTGGGGTCATTGTTTTCTGAAATATTCTTTCCACTCCTTACCTTTTCTCCTCTCTTTCTGATCTCCCATTAAGCATATGTCCGTATGCTGGATGGTATTTTACAGGTCTCCGAGAATGTGTTCATTTTTCTTCATTTTCTTTTCTTTTCATCATTACACTGGATAATTTCCATTGACCTATCTTTACCTCCCTTGATTCTTTCTTCTGCTGTCTCAAATATGCTGTTGATCCTCTCCAAAAATTTTCATTTCAGTTATTATACTTTTCAACTTCAGAATTTCTATTTGGTTACATATGACTTCAGGGAACAAAGAAAAGTGACAGATCACAGAGAACAAACCAGTAACTTTGGAATCACGAGCAAAAAGTTCAAACCTACCGAGCCACAGATGAATGAGTTTCTAAATGCCTTGGATACCACCATCTCAGCTAAAATTAAATTCTGTCAATTTGCATCATAGTAGTATCACATTGCATGAGACTTTTTAAACTGCAAAAAGTTCACATGTGATTCTCAAGCCATATATGTCACGTCATGGGGAAACCTTTTAATTTTTTTTTTTTTTTTGAGACAGGGTCTTACTCTGTCACCCAGGATGTAGTGCAGTGGCGCAGTCTCTGCTCACTGCAACCTTCACCTCCCGGGTTCAAGCAATTCTCCTGCCTCAGCCTCCTGAGTAGCCGGGACTACAGAGTAGTGTACACCACTTTGCCCATCTAATTTTTATATTTTTGGTAGAGATGGGGTTTTGCCGTGTCTCCTAGGCTGGTCTCAAACTCCTGACCTCAAGTGATCCTCCCTCCTTGGCCTCCCAAAGTGCTGGGATTACAGGTGTGAGCCATCGTGCCTGGCCACCTTTTAAATCTTTAACTTCTGAAACTTCAAAGGTTCAGGTCCTCTCTGAGCTCTGCCATCAGCTGACTCATGGCTTTAGCTAGAACATTCACATCACTGGGACTGTTTTTCCCACCTGTCAAGTAAAGTTGCTGGACTGATCTTTAATGTCCTTTCCTGCCCTAATGTTTGATAGGTCTAACAGTTGCCATTTTTGATAGATCTGTAGAATAGAAATGATAATAAAAGAGAAAAATTAAACCAACCCCTTCTGCCATTTTTAACCTGATAAGAATTACTGAATTGCAGAAAAAGAACTCATCAAACTTAACAGGAACTCTTAATCCTGAGTGGATCTGCTACATCATTTTTTCACCTATGACGTTTATCTCTAACGGACATGAAAAGGACAAAATGAATCAGTGATGGCACAGAGCCAGCTGTGTAAAGATTTAGCCATATGGATAGTTAAGGAAAGCGGGTCTAACTGAGGTTAAAAACCAGTGAACCACCTCAAAATTAGATTCCTTTTTGGCTTCTTCTACTGATAATGGTGGTAAGGTAATCTTTGTTTTTTAGGTTTAGCTTGTTGAAACCATTGTCCATTTAGTTAATTAGGCCCTGATTTATATCCTTGGTAAAAGTAAATCTCCTCTTAGAAGTTGTTACTGGTACATGTGGATGGGTTTTCACCTCCTAGTTTTGAGTCATTCAGGTCATTCACTTCATAAGGGATTGGTCCAGTAAGCTGCATTTGTCAGTCTTCCAAATACCAGCATGTAAAGCTTGATCTTTTTTATTCTGTTTATCCTTGGTACTGCCAATTTATCTGAAAGATCAATGAGAACATAAAACGTTTTTCTGCTGTATTCTCACTTTTATTACATCTATAATAAAAATGTAATTTTGGTAAATAAGGGTGGTTCAGTTCATATCAGAAGTGTCTTTTTTTCATTATCTTCCCAGTAGCACCGAGAGCCAAAGTGTAATGTTTAGTTACACAGTGGTTTCCCAGTTTCTTGTTCCAATCTGCAAACTACAAGCAAAGTTTAACTAAGAGTGATCATTTTTCTCTATCTGCTTTAAATGGGATAAATATAAAGCCAGTAGCCATATATATATATATATGCATGTGTCTATATGCATATATATGTATACTTGCATACATATGTTTGTATATGAATACACGATTTTTTTACAGATAAAAATATTTTCTCTGATGTTTAGCTTTATGAAAATTTGACATATGAAAATATTCACATTTGCATTTCGGAAGAATGACATACTTCATGTTTAGTACCTTATGAGGCATACTTATGAATCATCCAGTAATAAAGCATTAAATAAGAATTTTTAGCCTCTGATAGGAAAAAATATTTGTCAAATACTCTGGAATACAATTTTTTTATAGAACTGAAAGACTATATACCTCAATTTGACTCTTAAAGAAAGGTTATTACATATTGTTAAAATAGATCTCATAATCATATCATTAATGAGCAACGTAGTGGTTCTCTGCATATATTCCAGCTTTTGTTGGATTAATGTGAAAATTCTAAGATATTACCCTGGTTTACATTTGAGAAAAGCTGTTACAAAAGACAGGCAACTAAATGTTTAATAGTCATATTGATCTTTATAATTTTGTGTATGTATTTAAGTTTACATAAAGTATAGTTTCTTAGCTTGCCCTTGACTAGTTTCTTTCAGTTTTTCATGTATGTGACTATACACTTCAGAATAAAATGGAAATATCTAGTTATACTTCATCAGGAAGTATGATTATGTTTTAGATAACATTGGACTAAAAAGTTTTATACTACACATCCAATGCATGCTGTAGGAAGTGTAAAAATGTATTCTCACAGTGAACACACAGGAGAAGCCCAGTGCATTGTTCTGGTAATTTCATTTGTAGTAACATGGCATGTTTATCTCTACAGGGGGATCTTTGGATGTATATAGGAAAATGCCAGAACATGTCCTTGGAAGAATTGCAGTAGCAGTAAGTATATGGCTTCAGTGTTAGGAAATTTGAGTGATTTAATCCTTCTAATCAAGCTCATTCTTCTTATATTCTCAATGTTTTTTCTTGTTCTTCAATCCCAGTTGGCTCCTAAGACCTTCTTGATTTTCTCCTGTTTTGTTCTTCTTTTCATAGACCAGCCCACCCAACATCACAACATAGTCACACGCTTATGTGCTCCAACCTGTTCTAGTTTCATGTGTTTGCAGGGACCTTGGTATTCTTGTTGACTCGTAAAATTTCCAACTTCTTCTGAAAAAAAAATGCTGTTTTTTGTTTTGTTTTTACATTTTGTAGTTATGATTAGCATATGATTAGCAAATACTTAAAAAGTCTGAGTTGTTAAAGCAGTCTATGAGAAAATATTAATTTATTAAGAACAAAGTAGTATTAGTAAAGATTTTTTGCAGTCTTTTTATGTTCTTGGTTTTTAATTTTTTCATCAACTACATCTAGAAATTTATTCCCTTTGTGATTTAAAGCAGTTTTCCCATATTCTTGTATTTTCTATATGCACTAATATACTGATGAAATATATAAACTAAACTAACATTACTATAATGTTCTCATAAGTTCCATATTTCACATTTATAATAATGTAGGTTAAACAGTGTCTAAGAGAAGTCATGGGGTGGTGTGATAGTAAACAATTGCTAAACTAAAGGCACGATGATAACTTCAGTGGTTTAATGCAGAACAAAGTGATTGTACCATGTACCATTTAATTAAATGGCTGATTTTCACATTCATTATACATCAAACTGACAACTCAAATTCTTTAATCGAACATGGACACTTATTTAGTCTTAGTTCATTGTAATTCACAGCTTTCCTTTTTTCTTTCTAATTATTAGTGTGAAGTGCCCTGGGTGATGAGAACTTTCTTTTCTGATGCTATTGCTCCTAAGTAGCTTCTCATCTACATGTGCAGGTAGATTAGTATGAAATTTGAGTACTTAAATCACTATTTTAGATGAAAATAAAAATGTTTCATTTCCTGTTCTAATCCCAGGAGAGAATGAATGCTTTGTGGCTTTTGGCAGTTCTTGGCTGTAAAGTTTAATAACATGTATAATAAAGGGCAAAAAAAGGCAAGGATACCAATTGAAAAAGAAAAAAGTATACAACTTCTATATATTCAGTTATCTATGGAACTTGGCAAAAATAGAAATCTGCCATCTTCAGTAGAGAAGCATGTTCTTCCTGAACTTCATAAATCTTACTTCCCTCTTGTTTAGGGCATCCACACAAGGCCACCTATCTTTTCAGTTCTACTGGAGTAGGAAGACTGTTGAAGTGAATAGAGTCAGCAGAAAAAATAATTCAGCATCAAATACAGGGCTTGCCTATTAAGTGAATGAAAATGTGACACAAATTATTTTAGTGAAAGGCATTAAAGTAAGAGCTACTCTGAAGGATTGTTTATATTTGCCTTTACATTTTTTTTAATTAGGGGTTTTCCCCCCTAAATATGTGTCCAATTTTTCCAGCTTTTATGGCTCATCAGGTCATAGTAATGAAAACTACTTACAGCTGGAGTAGAAGAAATGTTTTTTAATAATTTTGCTCTTTGTCTGCCACGGAAATGATCACCTCCATGCTAAATTCTGCAGGAGCCTGGGTTTGTATAATGCCTCCAAAATGTAGTGTTTTTTTTGTATGTTTCCTGAGTAGGCTACAAATTTGGATTATCATTTGTTGCAGCTGACAAACACCAGATTGGCCCATGGCTAATACCTGGCACCAGGAGGGTTGTACTAGTCAAAATAAGACTAGCAAATTGATGGGCTGTGGGCTGTGGTGTGTAAACTAAATATTCCCATAGTCTGATTGTGATCCCAGTATCCTTGGTCATTTCTCTGAAAGTGTACTGAAGATGGCATCAACATCTTTCCCTTGAGTTCCCTCATGGAGGCCAAGAAAACACAAGGGTGCCATTGCCAAGTCAAAAGCAACAGAATCAGAAACAGAGAGTAGGGAAATAGGTGTATATTGAATACTTCCTGTGCCAATCACTGTTGCATGCTTTCTATACAAATATTATGTCATTTAGCCTTTACAGCCACCTTGTAAAGTGTGGATTATTGAACATACTCTGTGCACATGCAAGATGAGGTTTGGAAAAGTTAACCAGCTTGCCCAGAGTTATCATCTAATTAGTCAGTACAAATTTGAACACAGGGCTGTCTGACACCAGACCTCTTGCTTTCTCAGTGTGTTTTCCTAACAGAATGAGAAAAAAAAAAAATAGAGGCAGGAGTGGAAGAAAGAGCTAGGCTAAAAAATAAAAAGAGAGACTTATGAATGAGAGAATAGTGGAGCAACACAATTGCTTCAGATTCTTTTCATGTCTTTAGGTATCTCTCTTTTCCCAAATTAACTTTATTTTCCAGGGTCTAATAATCTGGCCATGCAAGGCAGGTTCATAGGTCCAAGGTTCATTACAGCATGGACCTCTGTTGACCTCTGTGATATGTTATTCAAATTTTTTCTTGTAAAATGTATGGCAAGAGAGTTTTTTTTTTCCCCCAAAGGAATTTATATATACCTGATTTCAGCCTTCCAGCTTACTCAGTGGCTCAGTGGTTTTTCTCTACTATCCATTTGAATCTGGTCTTCTATAAAGAGGAATGCCTTTCTGCCTTTCCCTGCCACCTAACACATTCTATTTTTCTTCTCATTTCTGAAGCAGTGACATTGTGTACTGTATTTTGAGTGCTAATGTTGATTGAAGTTGTCCCTGAAAGGAGGTGCACTTGACATGTCAAGGAGCGAGTGATTGACAACAGATATAAGTACTTTTAGTGTCAAGGCTTTGTCAAGTCATCGTTGTGAAACCCAGCCTACTGAATACCAATAATATCCTTTAGATTTTCAGTTCACAGATTTCTAGCTCCTTTTTCACCAGAATTTACATGTTTCTAAAGGAAAATGTAGTGTATTTTGACAAAGAATAAGAATATTTTCTTTTTAAATCTCTAACAAAATGAATAATTTTAGCAAATATTATAAAATCAGTATTTGTTTTACTTTTTTCTACCTAACTATCAGAATATATTGGATTGCCTTCCCCTACATGTTTTCTGAAAATTCATTTTGTATGGAACCAATTTTTAGTGGTGAGCTATCTTTAATGGATAGTTTTTATAACATGCAGCTAAGCTTCTAAGTTGAAAATTTTAACCCTTCTTCCTCAGAATGGAGATGATCACCTCCATGCTAAATAAGATGACCTCCTCCTATTACTCAAAGAGAAAATTGTTATCGTTATGGATGTTAATTTTTATAAACATTTAAAGAAATATTTTTGTTATATTTCCTTCTGTGATAAACTTATCATTATTAATATTTTGATATTTTCTTTCTGTATTGTCTTCCTGTCCAGAATACATGTGTTTTATTGTAATGCCAGTTATTTCCAAACTGTGGAACAAGTCATTTGCTATAAAAATGTATGCTGTTCTCTTAGAATAGACAAACATATACTAGAATTGATGAATCTATGTTAGCAAATCTTTCAGGAGCACATTGCACCCTTTGAGAACAATTAAAATATGTTAACTTCTGCTCAGTATTAATTGATATAGATTTTGTCTTCTAGATCTTTAGTATTTGGGAATTGGCTTTCTCCCATTGCATTTCTTATTTCACAGTTGCTCTTAGGCTTCCTTGATCAACTAGAATTCTTGCATATTTAGCCCCTAACCTTTTCTTACCATTTTCAAGATATGTAAACGACTCATTTACTTCTCATGGGTAATGATAGGTTTTCTTGTTCTTATAGTCCTGACTTACCCAGAATTCTCTATAGTGATGAATACTTGTAAATCTTACAGTAAATTTTGACCAATAGTGATTTGTTCAGTGTATCTGGTGTCTAATTATGAATAGTCAACCTTGAAATTGGTAAGTTCACGCTCATGTGCATATAGGATCAGTGGTTATGAATAAAACATGTACATTTCCTTTTATAGCAATTTATACATAAAGATTTTTTAAGTTTTTAATGGTGACCACTGATTAAATTTTCCACATAGAAGGTAGTACTTGTCACCCATATACTTAGGGTCATGGAAACATCTTTTTTTCAGTATCTCATTCAACTAATTACTCTTAACTCAGGCTATGAGAGTGAAAAATGCAAATCTAATTCAGATGTTTGTATTTTCTCATTTTATTTCCTTGACCTGCCCTTTTAATACCTTGCCTTGTCAACATATATGCTTTGCACCAGCCAGACTGGCTTATGAGGACCATCTTGATATACTTCATTCTTTCCTGCCCCAATATACTTTATAAATTTGGGGGGAGCTTTTTATTTTGAGATTATTTTAAACTTACAGAAAAGTTGTGAGACTAATGCAAAAAATTCCCACAGATGCTTCACCCATATTCCCCAGTTGTTAAAAGTTTACCATATTGGGTTAAAAATCTATAAACATGTTTTTTCCTGAAACATTTGAGAATAAGTTACAGATATCACAGCCTTTATCCCCAAATATGTTAGGTATCTATTTCCTAAGAACAAACACATTATCTTACATAATCACTGATTAAAATCAGGAAACTAGTATCGATACAATACTGTTATCTACTCAACAGCCCTTATTCAAATTTCACCAATTGTCCAATAATACCCTGTATAGACAAAAGAAAAAAAATTCTGGTCCTACTCCAGTCTAGGATTATTCATTGCATTTGGTTGTCATGTCTCTCTAATGCCTCAGTGTTTGTCTTTCCTTACTTTGATATTTTGGAAGAGTACATTGCCCAGTACTTTGATTATATATTTTTACCTTGACCTAAACACTTCCTTTTCTTTTTTTCATTCAAGTTAAATCCGTTACTCAAGATGTAACACCTTAGTAAGCCTTTCTGACTCCTGATGGGAAAAGCAGTTTCTATTCTACCCACTGCCTTATTTCATTAGTTAACTTTTTAAAAATGTCTCTCCAGGCCAGGCATGGTGACTCCCACCTGTAGTCCCAGGGATTTGGGAGGCCGAGGCAGGAGGATCCCTTGAGGTCAGGAGTTCAAGACCAGCCTTGACAACAAAACAAGATCACATCTCTACAAAAAATATTTTAAAATTAGCAGGGTATGGTGGTGTGCACCTGTAGTCCCACCTACTCAGGAGGCTGAGGTGGGAGGATTGTTTGATCCCAGGAATTTGAGGTTACAGTGTGCTATGATTGCACCACTGCACTCCAGCCTGGGCAACAGAGTGAGATCCTGTCTCAGAAGAAAAGTTTCTCCTTGGTCATAAGTGTCATGACTTCAAAAAAAGTTTTACACACAGAAGTATAGAAAATTAAGAAAGCCATTTTCCCTTTTTCCTGTGTCTCTCCTTCCCTGGCTTAGCATCATTATGAATTCAGCATAGGTACTTCCAGATTATTTTATATACACATGCACTTATTTCTTTCATTTGGAGTACCTTATCTTCAGAAGATTATAAGCTCATTAAAGGTAGGAACCTGTGGCTTTTGCATTTGGTTTTCCCACAAAGCCTCACACAGAAATGGGAGGTGTTCAGTAAATGCTTATTGATTGACAGAGTTTTAAGGGAAGAGTTAGGCCAGGTGTGGTGGCTTACGCCTGTAATCCTAGCACTTTGGGAGGCTGAGGCAGGAGGATCACTTAAGCCCAGGACTTCAAGACCAGCTTAGGCAACATTAGTGAGATCCCTGTTTCTACCAAAAAAAAAAAAAAAAAAAAAGCTAGGCATGATGGTGCACACCTGTGGTCCCAGCTACTCAGGCAGCTGAGGTGGAAGGATTGCTTGAGCCCAGGAGGTCAAGGCTACAGTGAGCAGTGATTGTACCCCACAGCACTTCAGCCTAGGTGACAGGGTGACACCCTGTCTCAAAAAAAAAAAAATGTTGAATGTATTTAAATATGGAAAGTTCCTTTTAAAAACCATAATTGATAATTGTACTGTTTTCTTTTTCCTAAATTTAGGTTGTTAAAGGCCTTACTTATTTGTGGAGTTTAAAGATTTTACATAGAGGTATGTGCTGGGCTTATAAGCTTGGATTTAATTTGGGGTGGGGTTGGGTCTCTCCAGATACCTTGATTTTTAAAGTAAGTGTTCTGACATTTAAGCCAGCTGATACATCTGGTACTCAAAAAGATGGCTGCTCTATAAATGTTATTTTTCTTGTTTTCTCCATCAACTTCTCTCATTTAGATTATAAACTTGGTAGTGTGTTTTTGTGAATCACCTTTGTCAAACTTGTAAAAAGATATTTCATAGTATTTGAAAATAACAGGATCTTGTTTGTCTTACTTAACTATTGTTAATGCAAAACCTTTGCTTTCTGTACAATTACATCCTTCCTTCTATTAACATTTCAGATAGCATCACACACTGTTCCTTAAGAGATTGCTTCACATACTGGAAAGAAAAACTTTATTTTTAATTTTTTTAAAGATGGGGTCTTGCTCTGTTGGCCAGGTTGTTGTTAAACCCCTAGCCTCAAGCAGTCCTCCTACCTTGGCCTCCCAGAGTGCTAGGATTCAGGCGGGAGCCACCGCGCCTGGCCAAAAGTAAAACTTTAAATAAGTTATTGGTGAAAGCATCAGGAATAGTCCCCTTGTCTAGTAACAGAACACATGAGAGAATAATCAGATGAGTGTTGAATATTGCAAAAGGAATCTCCTTTTGTTTTTTTAATGTTCCCAAAATATCTGAATTCATTTGGAGCAAATTATTAAGTGAGAAAGAGACTATAACAAAGCAACTTCAAGGCCTAGTGTTACTAACAGTGCTGTTTAATTTTACACATCTGCTCATCTTAGCTGTATGTACATTTGGGGAATGGAACAGCATACACATTAGATGTGACTAAAGGAAAGTTTTTTCTTTTAAGGATATAAACTGTGAGATGGAGAAAACAACTGATATTTTCAACTGTGATGTCATATCTGTCACTAAGGGTTGTTTTCTTTTGTGGTGGTTTTAATATCCTAGTGATTCCACATTTCTTCTGAAATCCTCCTTTTTAATGAGGGTATCTAGATTTTGACAAATCAAATAGTCAGGTTTTTGAAGGTATTTAACTGACTAAATGGAATCATAAACTAGATTTATTTTTAAAGCCAGTCCACTCCATTTCTAGAGTATAGTTGGTGCGAAAGGTAGGTGTAGGGAGAGTGAGTTTTGTTAGTGTTACTTTCTCTGAGTATAAATAAGTGTGTAAACAAATTTGGTGGATGAAAAAAAATTGAACATTTTTGACTACCAAGAGTAAGAGATAACAGTATTCAACATGATATAACTTATATTGTTTCTATTCCCTGTACTCCTACCTCCGCACACCCAGCTACCGGTAAAGTGGTGATAGCCATTTTAATAAGAATTAACCCAATGGTCAGTTCTCAAAATTTTATTGATTCTTTAAAAAATGGACATCTATCCATTTGACAAAAGAACTAAAGGAAAAACATCCATTCTTAATAGTAAAGCTTTCTTTAAAAGGGCAGTGCCATGGAAATTCGAGTGTTGTTAGAAAGTGAGTGTTAGGATCATCCTGTCTCTGGGCATACAGGTTAATTCTGGCTTGTAATGAAATCCCTCTCTAGCTATAACTTTGTGCAAGGAATCTTAGTAGCACAAAGAACTATAGTGGATAGGGAAATATGTTTTAGTTATTCTGCCATTATCTTGATTTTTCTTCTTTAAAATTAGAAATCATGCTGATAAGTTGATGTACCTTTTGTATTCCTGTATCTAAATTTTTTTATTTTAATTTTTACTCTGGGTTTGGGAGAAATAACTAAATTTTTCATTTGAAATGGGATCTTGATAGACATGTTTCAGATGGATTTGTCTGGATCTAAAAATAATGTCTAGGGTCAGATTCTCACTATAAACCACTTCATGATCACTGTGGCCAAGCTTGGTTGACCAGAGACTCTCAGAAGCCAGTAGGTCCTTCTTTTCATCCCTGGTTGCAACTTGGGCTAAGAAAGGGCTTTTTCGTTAGTGACGGACAAGGGCTGCAGTGGTTTGACTGATGGAGAGCATAGAGGTTTCAAGAGGGAATCCTGGGCCTGTACTTACTTTTTCAGTTGGTGCTGGCCAGCCCAATTCCTACAGAGAGTAGCCTGCTATAAAATGCCACCTGTTGTGAGAAGAAGATATCTGTTGGGGACACAGTAGGAACAGTGGTAGAGGGCTGACAAGTCCTTTCAAGGAATTTCAGTGAATGAGTGTGCACCTACATCTGTCTCAATGGAAAGACTAACGAATTGCAGTGCAGATGAACAGTTATGTCCCAGTAGTTATGGCCACTCAACTACAGAAATAAATATCCTGTGGTAATACACCTCATTAAATATATTCATATTTAGCTTTTGAGTTTCCCAGCTATTCATGGAAACTTTTACCTTCTGGACTTAAAAGCATGTGTTTTTACTGAAGCGTCAAAGAAGCCAGGTGTCCCTGAAGACTTTTGTAAAGCATTGTAATGAGAAATTTACCTTAGATTGAGTAGTTGTTAACTTAATATTTTAGAGGTTTTGTCCATATTTAATAACTTGGATTCCATAAAAATAAGATTAAAGATGCCTTTTTATTTACCAAAAAGCTATTTAATTTTCTTCTTGATTAAAAAATTGTAGCTTTTTAGATCAGTTCAATCAGGCAATTAAAGATCAGAGCTTTTAAGTTCAGCTAAGGCAATTAAATAGGTAATATACTTGTTTATGCACTTTTGCTATATAAGCTCATTGCTGTTCCTTCTTAAAAGCACATGTACTCATTTTTGCTTTCTCTAAATGAATGATGATGGGAATTCTAGCTGAACATGTGTCACATTGTCAAATCAAAAACAGGGGTCCTTCTGCAGGGGCTGGGGGAGCCTGGTTTAGGCATTGTGAGAGGACAGTGAAAAGAAGATGGTGAAAGAGAAATACTAATGAGTGATCTATACCTCTTCCTCCTTTGTCTTGGTCTAAGTACCTGTGTTGTCCTCTGATCATCATTTTCTAATGCCGTTCTTAAAAACCAGAGTAAAAAAAAAAAGAAATTGCTTTGTACTTATGGGCACAAATTTCAAAAGATTAAGAAATGGAGATGTGTTCAGTATCTAATGAGAAAAGAGAACAAACTATTTCTCGCATTTATATGGCTTCCTTGGAATACGGTGGTCCAGATTTTAGCTATAGAAAGTGTATAAATAAGTAGTATATTACAGAATTTATTAAACGTAGTTAATGGCTTCCAAACAAACTCTTGAAAACCTGGAGTCTCTCCCGTAGTTTATATCCAGTGAGGACTGTAGAGTAGAATGAAATCTGAGCAATAAGCAGCGGCAAACCACTCATCCCATGAGGCTTGTTAGTCTGGTAAAAGTTAGTTTATTTGATAGTATATTATGTTAACTGGAAATTGTTTTGGAAATTGAAGCACAGCAGTTGCTATTCATAATGGATCATCAAATGTTATATTCAGTCAGGTGTTACTATTGTTTATTTTGCTCTTTTTAAGATTTGGTTGAGATATATGTGCAGGGACTTTATAAACTATTGAATGCTAAGAATGTGGCATGTTTTTATTATAACCATGAATTAATCACTTTATTCAGTTAATAAGAATACACCACTCCAAAACCAAGCCAGGGAGAGAGTTTATTATACTTTATATTACTGAGTCAAAAATTATGAAAATCTTTTCTCTAAAATAAACCAAACGTGTGATAATTCCACATGAGGACATAATCATTAAAAATGTTTGAAATGCCCACCAAATTAACTACTGTGGAAAAGTTGTCTTTATTAAAAGGCATATGTGAGAGCACTATAAGCATAGCATGTGCTGACTATGGGTAAAAACAAAGAAAATGAACAGTGAGAAAATCTGTTAGGCCAGATCCGACATTACAGGAAACATCGCAGCTTCACTTCAAAACATACATCGCCACTAATGAGGTGAGAGCCCTGCATATTAATAAACCTACAGCTCCAGTCATAGCCATCATTACCCACATCAAACATAAATACAAGATTAACACCTATGCCATTTCTTGGGAAGATGTGAGAATGCCCTGGTAGTAACTGCTGTCTCTTTCCCTGAGGATAAAAAATAGAAATGCAAGGGTAATGAGAATAGAATTTAGATTAAGAAAATAAAATTGGCAATCATTCTGGGGCCATCTTACACAGATGCAGAAGTTTATAGAAGAAAAAAAAAACCTATATAGTTGGTGTGCCAGGAGTTTTTTTGTATATATGAACCTGGTTAGTTTCATTTACTTTCTCCAATAGGAGAACTTTTTAAAAATACGTTTTTGCAGAAATTCTGTAGGAAAATGCTGGCCAGATAGATTTGTGTTTAAAGAAACTAAGCCTTGTAGTTTCAGTATACATGTTACAAATTTTATTTTCTACCCTTGGCTTTTCTCTTTTATAAATCTGGCCTCACACAGACTTTCCAATTAGTGCTACCTTAGATACCAAAGCCAGTGTTAGTTTGATCATTGAGCAACTATTTATTTTATACCTACTACGTTCTAGGCGCTTTCACAGTACTTGAAACACATCAATATGTGAAACAAAAGATTTCTATGATCATAGAACTCATATTCTAGCAGTGATAGAGTGGGTTAGGAAACATTTCTTAAACAATAACATACATAATAAGTAAGTAAAATACGGAGTGTGTTAGAGGGTTGTTAATAATAGAAAAGAAAAAGTAGATTGAGGTTAGGGGAAGCAAAGGGTAGGTTGCGTATTAATCAAAGAAACCTCATAGGGAAGATGAGTTTGGGAGGAAGGCTTGAAAGGGGAGAGTTACTAGTCAAGTAGATATATGAGAAACAGTTAGAGTAGACACCACAGGATGTGCCCGGAGTGTTAGTGGAACAGCAAAGAGGCCAGTGTGTCTGTATCTGAGTGTGGGAGACAAGAGTAGAATCAGCTGTTAGGAAAATGTTTTGGTAATTCAGGTAAGTTTCAGGGGCCCAGATCAGGGAGATAGTTATAAAGATGGGGAGAAGTGGTGATTCTGGATATATTTTAAATGTATAGTTGATAGAATTTGCTGATGGATTGCTTGTGACTTTTAAGAGAAAGGCGTCAAGGTTGCTTAAATTGTTAACAGTTTAGTATGCTAAAAATACTTCTTGCTACTTTCTTTCCCTGAAAAGAGATAACAACAAAAAACCTGATAATATGAAGTGCTGACTAGAATACAGAGCAATTAGAATTCTCATACATTGCTGGTAGAAATATAAAATGGTACAGCTGCTTTGAAAAATAGTTTGACAATTTCTTGCAACATGATTCAGCAATCCCCTTCCTAGATATTTACCTAAGAGAAAGGAAAACATATGTCCACACAAAAACTTTAGGCAACTCTTTATAGTGGCTTTATTCATAATAGCTCCAAACTGGAAACAACCCAAGTGTCTTTCAGCTGGTAAATGGAAAAACAGACTGTAATACATCCACAGAGTGGAATATTACTCAGCAATAAAACAAGCTACTGTTACATGTAACAACATGGGTGAATATCAGATACTTCATGTTAAATGAAGGAGGTGACTCAAAGGGTTACCAGCTGTGTGATTCCACTTATATGACATTCTGGAAAAGGCAGAATACATACATGGAAAAAGCAAAATACAATTTTCCATCCTATGGGATGGAACATCAGCATCACTGGTTGACAAACAGTGGAGGAGGAGTTGACTGTAAAGGCATGAAGGAACATTTTGGTATGTTGGAAATGTTCTGTAGCTTGATTTTTGTGGTAGTTACATGGTTATATGTGTTTTTTAGCAAACAAAGACCTGTGCACCTGAAAAGGGTGAGTGAATTTTACTGTGTATAAATTATGCCTCAGTAAACCAAATTTTAAAATTAAAAAGTAAACCAGATTTACAGAGAAAAGCTCTTCTTACATCTTAGCAGTGCAGTAGACACTCTAGAAAGAAGTTTTCCCTGCCAAAAGGACAAACCATTCTTTCAAAGGGTCTTGGTGATTCTGTTATTGTTTCTGTATCTTCATGGTTCCTGACAAATCCTACCTAGGTTTGATCTAGTAACTCAGTAGCTTAAAAAACAGCCAGCCAACCCCCCCACCCCAAGAAAAAAAACCAACCCTTGTGATTTAAAGGATATCTACAATGCCAGAAAGAGAGAGACAGGGTCAGGGAAGGAAGGATAGTGGGAAGAGAAACAGAAACTTAGAAGTTGCTGTTATCATTGGCACAATTTGAAACATCTGGAAATTGGACAGTTCTTTCTGTAGTTAAGCCGATTTTTTTCCCCAGAGATATTACCAAGAACTGCGTATCTGCAGAGCTGACTTAACCTGTTGGACAATTTTAAAAGCTCAGTTTCTAAGAAGGAATAAGGCTTTATCTGACATTCCCAATTCAGTCCTACTGACTGACTGCCTCACTGGGTGACCCCAGAAAGGCAGATCACTCCTGTTCTCTTTGCCTCTGTTCCCTCATGTATACTATGAAAGAGTAGCTGGATGATCACTCAGATTTCTTCAAGAGCTAAGGTTCTGGGTTCTGTGATTTCCTGACTGAAGGAAGTGTGACCTGTTGATAAGGTGGGGAACAAAGAAAATCAGAGAGACATAAAAGAAAAGAAAGAGAAAAGGGAGGGGAGAATTTCCAAGAGTAGATTTTGTGATGAAAATAATAACAATAATGACTATTAAGCATGTACTCTGTACCAGGCACTGTTCTAGGTGCTTAATGTATATAAATTATTTAAGGTATTCCTTCAAAGTGGGAAATTCTAGGAAATATGAAATGTTTTAAAACTGAAGATAAGAGACTAAAGTATAAAACAAATAATTGAAAATTAAAGCTGTGTGCCTTAGCTAAGAAAATGTTGCTTTCTAAACCAGACTCATGTTATCAAATCAAAAGGCATCTTTAAGGGAAACTGTTTTTAAAGTATCAGGGACACTGAAAATGAAGTATTATAATTAATAAGGAATTATAATAAGGACATGTAAAGTCACAACTTGGATGGAAAGCAAGAACACGTTTTTTTTTCTTTTATTTTTATTATCATTATACTTTAAGTTTTAGGGTACGTGTGCACAATGTGCAGGTTAGTTGCATATGTATACATGTGCCATGCTGGTGTGCTGCACCCATTAACTCGTCATTTAGCATTAGGTATATCTCCTAATGCTATCCCTCCCCCCTCCCCCCACCCCACAACAGTCCCCAGAGTGTGATGTTCCCCTTCCTGTGTCCATGTGTTCTCATTGTTCAGTTCCCACCTATGAGTGAAAACATGTGGTGTTTGGTTTTTTGTCCTCATGATAGTTTACTGAGAATGATGATTTCCAGTTTCATCCATGTCCCTACAAAGGACATGAACTCATCATTTTGTATGGCTGCATAGTATTCCATGGTATATATGTGCCACATTTTCTTAATCCAGTCTGTCATTGTTGGACATTTGGGTTGGTTCCAAGTCTTTGCTATTGTGAATAGTGCTGCAATAAACATATGTGTGCATGTGTCTTTATAGCAGCATGATTTATAGTCCTTTGGGTATATACCCAGTAATGGGATGGCTGGGTCAAATGGTATTTCTAGTTCTAGATCCCTGAGGAATCGCCACACTGACTTCCACAATGGTTGAACTAGTTTACAGTCCCACCAACAGTGTAAAAGTGTTCCTATTTCTCTACATCCTCTCCAGCACCTGTTGTTTCCTGACTTTTTAATGATCGCCATTCTAACTGGTGTGAGATGGTATCTCATTGTGGTTTTGATTTGCATTTCTCTGATGGCCAGTGATGATGAGCATTTTTTCATGTTTTTTGGCTGCATAAATGTCTTCTTTTGAGAAGTGTCTGTTCATGTCCTTCGCCCACTTTTTGATGGGGTTGTTTGTTTTTTTCTTGTAAATTTGTTTGAGTTCATTGTAGATTCTGGATATTAGCCCTTTGTCAGATGAGTAGGTTGTGAAAATTTTCTCACATTTTGTAGGTTGCCTGTTCACTCTGATGGTAGTTTCTTTTGCTGTGCAGAAGCTCTTTAGTTTAATTAGATCCCATTTGTCAATTTTGGCTTTTGTTGCCATTGCTTTTGGTGTTTTAGACATGAAGTCCTTGCCCATGCCTATGTCCTGAATGGTAATGCCTAGGTTTTCTTCTAGGGTTTTTATGGTTTTAAGTCTAACGTTTAAGTCTTTAATCCATCTTGAATTAATTTTTGTATAAGGTGTAAGGAAGGGATCCAGTTTCAGTTTTCTACATATGGCTAGCCAGTTTTCCCAGCACCATTTATTAAATAGGGAATCCTTTCCCTATTGCTTGTTTTTGTCAGGTTTGTCAAAGATCAGATAGTTGTAGATATGCGGTGTTATTTCTGAGGGCTCTGTTCTGTTCCATTGATCTATATCTCTGTTTTGGTACCAGTACCATGCTGTTTTGTTTACTGTAGCCTTGTAGTATAGTTTGAAGTCAGGTAGCATGATTCCTCCAGCTTTGTTCTTTTGGCTTAGGATTGACTTGGCAATGCGGTCTCTTTTTTGGTTCCATATGAACTTTAAAGTAGTTTTTTCCAATTCTGGAACACTTTTTTTTTTAATCTTTTTGTTGTGAAACAATGGTAGATCCACCGGAAGTTGCAAAAAAATGCACAAGACAGTCCCATCTAAGGGCATCCTTTTTAAGGAAGGAATTTTGAAGAAAATGGGAAGGTGAGAGGGTAACAGTTCAAAATAGTGTAGGCAGGTAAATGTTATATATTTGATATTGTCCTTTAAGTGAAATCAGTATAAATTTTAAGATTAAAAATGTTATAAGAATATTTGTATTATATTCCAAAATTATTTTGTTATATTTATTAAATGGGAAAAGAGAAATGGTTTGGTAGAGGTAAAACGTTTGAATTCCTTAGGAAAGAAATTTTGATGTCAAGGTGGTAGTTAAAATAGTATGTTAGTGTGTGTAAAAGTTGGGATTTGGGGCAAAAATAAATTAGGGAATGATTATTTTCTGGATAAAGTGATTCTTAAACAAAAGAATTCTTGGAAAGTATTGCTATCAATAGAAAACTAACCTGATTAATTTTTAATGATTTATTAAAAGATAATTTGCATAAAGCTTTGTAACAATCTGTTTTTTTGCAGAGATCTACATAGTTTGTGATTAACTATATACATTATAGTGAATTTTTAAATAACCTATGACATATTTTTGCTTTCTGGAGGATCAGTTTTTGTTTGTTTGTTTATTTTTTTGAAACAGAGTCTCACTCTGCCGCCCAGGCTGGAGTGCAGTGGCACAATCTCGGCTCACTGCAACCTCCACCTCCCAGGTTCAAACGATTCTCCTGCCCCAGCCTTCCAAGTAGCTGGGAGTACACACACGTGCCTCCATGCCCGGCTAATTTTTGTATTTTTAGTAGAGACAGGGTTTCACCATGTTAGCCAGGCTGGTCTCGATCTCCTGACCTTGTGATCCACCCGTCTCGGCCTCCCAAAGTGCTGAGATTACAGGCATGAGCCACCGTGCCCGGCCCCAAACACTTTTTTAAAAGAACTGGTTAGTGCTTGAGTAACCCAAGTAAATTTAAAAGGAGTCATTCCCAGTAGGTTTTATGTTGCCATGTGTAATGATGAGAGAGCTAGTATGTGCGTTCTTCCTTCCCTGAGCTCTCAGGCTGTTTAATCAGATGGGTCTGGAAGGAGGCATTTATGTTATACAAGTGCTAGTGTTGAGAGCACAGTTAACATCCTATCTCCTGTGTAAAAATCATTTCCATATTGTCCTTTAAATATAATAAATATTAATCACATCCAGCGCTATAGTAGATTATAACTTGTGAATGTGTATGTTTTTGAAAAGAAAAAAAAAGACTTAGCCCATTAACAGGGTAAACAAACTCTGACTCTAGGTTGTTGGTTTTTCTCCAGCTCTGACACTATCCACACAAATGAACATCTCGAGAAATTAAGCCTCTTTCCCCATATTGGTCATTCATTCTATTTACCTTGGGTGATCACAGGGTATTTCTGTATTTGCAGTATGTTGTGATTTTCAAGAGATCAGAAACGCTACATGTCTTAAAAGTATTCTTTTAAAAGAATATGTGCCTAGAATATATAAAGAACTCTCAAAACTCAATGGTAGAAAAACAAACAATCCAATTAGAAAATGGGCAAAGACATGAAGAGACATTCCACTGAAGAGTATACACAGATGGCAAATAAGCACATGAAAAAGATGTTCAATATCATTAGGCTTTAGGGAAATGCAAATTAAAACCACCATGAGATATTACTATATACCTATCAGAATGGCTAAAATAAAAAATAGTAACAATAGCAAATGAGGATGCAGAAAATTGGATCACTAATACATTGCTGGTAGGAATGTAAAATGATACAGCCCCACTGCTGACATTTAAAAAAAAGAGAAAGAAAGCTAGACATGCCACTACCGTATGACCCAGCAATTGCATTCCTGGGCATTTATCCCAGAGAAATGAAGACTTCTGTTCACACAAAAACCTGTACGCAAGTGTTTATTGCAGCTCTATTCATCATAGCCAAAAACTGGAAACAACTCAGATGTCCTTCAACAGGTGAATGGTTAAGCAAGCTGTGGGCATTCATACCATGGATTACTGCTCAGCAATAGAAAGGAGCGAACTGTTGATGCCCACAACCTAGATGAACCTCCAGATCATTATACTGAGTGAAAAAGCCAGTCACAAAGGTTACATAGTGTATGATTCCATTTGTATAATATTCTTGAGATGACAAAATTATAGAAATGGAGAGAGCACATTAGTGGTTACCAGGGGCTGAGAGGATGGGAGACAGAGGGAATGTTTACAATGGAGCAAGATGAGGAATCCTCATGGTGATGGAAATGTTCTCCATCTTGACTATCAGTGTCAATACCCTGGTTGTGATACTATACTACAGTTTTATAAGATGTTACCATTAGGGGAAACTGGGTGGAGTGTACACAGGATGTCTCTGTATTATTTCTTACCATTGTAAATGTAAACTTTGAGATAACTGTGTAAATCTATAGTTATCTCAAAATTAAAAGCTTAATGTAAACAACAAAAAAAGAATATATCATCTTTCTGTAGTTACCTGTATTCAGAAGGTCAGCTTAATCAGAGAAGGTTGTCCTGGACTTAGTTTTTCTCTCTCCCATGCTTCTGTGGTAGGATTTGATCATAGGCAGAGTCATCCCTTTTAGGAAATCAGTAAGAGGGAAATTACCCTCTTCCATTCTGAAAATGAGTATCAATGGAAGCCTTAGAGGAGAAATAAGGAAAGACGTCGTGTGTCATTCAAGGAACAAATGCAAATGGAAGAGGATAGTTATTTCCCCAGTCCCCACCTCTAAAAGCCTTCTGACTTGCAGGGGATTGGGATTTGAAGCAGACTGTGTGATCGTTGTGTGTTTTGGCTCACCAGTCTCTATAGTATCCATTAGGGTAAGCTTCTATCCAACCACCCAGCAAGATGCCCCCAGTGTGTGGATGAGTGTTTGATTCACCAAGCCCCGCAGTTAGCTCTGATCATTGCTTTGTCTCTGACACAAACCTGAAGTTTAGGAGCTTATCAGAGGGAGAGAGAGAGCACCTGTATGATGAATGACAGGGTCATTTCTGTTGGTAGAGGAGTTTATGGCATTGATTGTATGCCAGTGGATATTTGTTGGATGAATACATTGAATCATAATTTTCTGAGGGCAGTGTTTTTCTCCTGGAACTTTTTATAATGTGGCTAAATTGGAAGTCATCTTTTGTTCCCCTTTCTCGTATTAAAGTAAGAGATTTATCCTTGGGACATTTTGCCAAGCAGAATGGACAGACAGCTTTAGCAGTTGGAAGAGCTCTCCATGTCTCTTCCTTTCTCTAAAGGCATGGTTGAAGGTGATCAGCACCATGGAAATCAAATCTACTCTTTTGCTGGTGGAAGATTAAGTTCCTTCTGGATTGGGTACAATCATAATGATAACAATATTAATCATTTTCCTAATATCATTTATTGAGTACCTTGTATGTGCTACAGTGTTAGCTCTCTTGTATGTATAATTTTATTTAATTGTTATAATAACCTTGTGAGGAGGTATCATTGTATCTCCATTCTTAGGTGAAGCAATCAAGGCTCAAGCAGCCTAAAAAACTTGCTTAGTTATAGGAAAAGTCATAGGAAAAAGTCATAGGAAAGTGGTTGGTGGCCTAATGGAAAAGCTCTAGTATGAGGGTCAGACCCAGGTTTAAGTTCTGGTTCTTCCTCTTAATTCATCTTAGCTATGTGACCTTGGGTCAGCTTCTTAACTTCTTTGAGGTCATAGCATTGTACCTGGCATATAACAGCTATTATTATGTCAAATAATTATTTCTCAAGAAAAGAAGCAAGAGGTTAAATGAGAGGGAATAGTTAGAACGTTCCTCACACTTTCCTGTTAACATCTCCTTTTCTTAGAAAATTAGCCTGTGAGTATAAAGAACTTAAAACATCTGGGCTATTTTCTTTGTGAACTTCCCAAGATCACCCAACTATTCACTGCCAAAGCTGGGATAATCCATCCTATTAGTTCCAATAAGATTTAGCTCATAAATATAATGCAGTTTGTTAAGGCTTAAGAGCTTTACTAGTCGAAGCCTCTAGTTTTGTGTCCTTGGGCAAGTAATTTCATTAATTTGAACCTCAATTTCCTCCTCTGTAAAATGGGGTTAATAATAGTACCTATCTCAAGGGTTACAATGAGAATTAAATGAGGTAATGCATATGATAATAATGCACTTAGCCCAGTTCCTGGTATATATTAAGTGCCAAGTAAGTGTTATCTACCATAATTTTTTGTTATTTCTTTAAAACAAATTACCAGGATTAGTCTTCGGGACACACCGCTCCAAGTCAAGTCTGCTGTCTTACATCTTATTTATGCATATAATGTGGTATTCCTTTGTTTTCTTTCCTTTTTCCCCAAAAATGTTTTATAGTCAAGAGGAGTCTTAACAGTCAGTGGTATCTTAGACTTGGGGAAGTAGGTTGTGCAGGAACACATTCCTCCAGACCTGGCTTTTCCTAAACACTGACCAGAATATGTACACATCACAGGTAGGAATCTAAGATTCACCACTTTAGAAGGAAATCTCTTTTACTTACTATGAAAGGATTAAGAGAGGGAGAATTGAGAAGCTCAGGCCTTTTTGCCCTTGTTATTAATCTTGTAAGTGTCCCAGGTACCCTGCCTTTATTGAAGAAGGAAAGGGCACGTTTGTTGCCTCCATTCTGAACCGAATCATGAGACTCCAGGCAATAACTGCCATTGAGGATGGCTAATTATGCTGTTTAATTTTATTTAAGGCCTTTGCAAGAATATTTGGATGACCTACCCTTTCTTATGTGATGGAGTCATTAGAATAACTTTTATATTGCAATGTGGTTTTCTCTTAAGTATGTTCCCGTTGTGCACAGATGAATTTGTAATGCAGAACGTCAGCATAGTCTATACTTAATTGTACCTGCTGTTCTCATTCATTAGAATGCAGTCCCCAATAAATAACTAGATAGATATATTGTTTTTTTTCTTTTCATAAGACAATTAAACATAATGAAAGAGCATTGCTGAAGATCCCAGGCACAGTGCTAGGAGAGGTTGCTAGGAGTGGAGACCGGCTAATGTGCCCTCTGGCTCCTGGTAAACTGAGAGTGGCTTCCTGGTATTCACACAGTGTAATTGCTTTATAGGGGGAAAAAGTTGAAGAGAAGTTTATTTCTGCCTCCATTGTCATCCCACAACAGCCACATGCCACATTTAAAAATGTTTCTGTAACAATTGTACCATGCCTGTTTCTAAGAGCATTCAGTGAGACATGTAAAAGTTCAGAGCAAATTAAATGTTTAAATATGAAACAAAGACCAAAAGGAAGTAGAAGTTGGAGATACCAACAGCACCTGATGTGAATAGGTCACAACAAAAAGGGAATCCTCAATTGGTATGGTTTTTCTTTTCTGGCAAAAGAAAGCATATAGCTGATACAAAAATCACAATTTTCTTTAGAACTGATCTTACCAGACACCGGGCACAGTGGCTCACGCCTGTAATCCCAACACTTTGGGAAGCCGAGGCGGTAGGATCATGAGGTCAGTAGTTTGAGACCAGCCTGGCCAATATGGAGAAACCCCATCTCTACTAAAAATACAAAAATTAGCGGGGCATGGTGGTGAGCACCTGTAGTCCCAGCTACTCAGGAGGCTGAGGCAGGAGAATTGCTTGCACCTGAGAGTCGGAGGTTGCAGTGAGGTGAGATCGTGCCACTGCACTCCAGCCTGGCAACCGAGTGACACTGCATCTCAAAAAAAAAAAAAAAAAAGAACTAATCTTACAAGGAAATTACCGTTTGGGTCCCTATACAAAGCACATTAAGTAACTCCAACTGTAGTTTTGTGAAGGAGCTTTTATTTGTTTTGAACAGCCCCCTCGGCACCCAGCCAGATCCTAGCCAAGGGTAACCTCCCACCCTGACCCCTGATTGTGCTGGGGGCAGGGGCTGGGCAGTGGGCGGAGGAGCCCTTTTGTGAAGATGTTGGGAAAGCACATGCTCTTGAGGCTCTGGCCTTTATTAGCAAGCTTCTGCTTGATGCTGTTTATGTGGATTGTTTAATGGCTAATTGATGCAGAATGTGTAAAGATACAGTTTCCTGCGTGAGGCAGTTATGGGTGGCAACATGGGTTGTCTCAACACGATACCAATTTCCACAGTCAATTTGGCCAATTCAGTGGGGGGAAAAAATCAGTCCAGCCTGAAAATCAGAGCAGCTACTTGCGGTTATTGAGGCAACTATGGTTGGTGGACCAAATTTTTCATGTTTGAATCAGTTGTTTTTACATTTTATAGACATAGCCTTACTCATTTCTTGAAATAATCTTAAATACACAAAAGTAACATTTTAAAATTAATATCTTTCTTTAAATATTTGTAATTGCGGTTTATCAGGCCTAGAGCATATCAGTTCTAAGAGGAAATAACCATTTTACCATTGATATATAGTATATGTAATTAACTGATCTTTCATACTTTGTTATAGGGTAAGAGAGTGACCACAGTGACCACAAAAGCACCTGCAGAAACTATGGATTATCAATTTATTTATTAGTAATTAGTCATGGTAATGAGAAATCAAGTTGTGTTTTGAGGTTGATTTTTTAAAACAGCTTTATTGATATATAATTTGCATGCCATAAAATTCATCTACTCAATTCAGTGATTTTTAGTAAGTTTATAAAGTTGTGCAACCATAACCATAATCCAGTTTTAGAACATTTTCATCACCCCAAAAAAGTGTCCTCATGTTCATTGGCAATCACTCCCTGCTCCTGTCCTCAGCCCCAGGGAACCACTGATTTACTTTCTGACTTTTACAGATTTGCCTTTTCTGGACATTTTATATAAGCAGAAACATACCACATGAAATCTTTGTGCCTGACTTCTTTCACTTAGCATGATGTTTTTGAGATGTGTCTGTATTATAGCATGTGTCTATAGTTCATTCCTTTTTATTGTTGAATAGTATTCCATTGTATGGATATATCACATTTTGTCTGCTTATTTACTAGTAGAGGGATATTTGGCATTGTATCCACTTTGGGACGATTATGAATAATACTACTTTTCATACACAAGTCTTTATGTGGTTCTGTATTTTCATTTCTCTTGAGTAAATACCTAGGAGTGGAATTGGTATATTTCTTTAGATATTTGTAAATCATAGTTTATCAGGCCATCTAGCACATATCAGATTTGAGAAGAAATAATTATTTTACCATTGGTATATATTATATGATTAGTATAATGAACCAATGTTTCATACTTTGTTAAAGAGTGACCACATAGTGACTACAAAGGTCATATGATAGCTTTATGTTTAAGTTTTAAAGACACTTTGAGGCTGATTTTTATTTACCTAAAACCACCTACTATTATCCTTAGCATGACAGAAGGCTCTTTTAGTAAACTCTTCCATTCTTTCTGCTCACTGATATTTTTCTAATAATCTTCTAAGCATTTCAAGTTATTGGATGGAACTGCATCATAACCACCTATTATCTACTTGGGCTGTCACTGCTGCAACTCAAAGATTTATTGCATCATCGTTAAAAAGCCCAGCTTACTGTGAAATCTCACTGAAGGAGTGAGACAGTATTGTGACAGGAGACACATGTTGTGATTGGATAATGTTAACTCGTCTGTGATCCCAGCTGAACACACTTGCTACCCTAGAAGAAGCCTGCCTTCAGGTGGAGCTGGTATAATGAAAGTTAACCTCATTTAGCATTTGGATATGAGCCAATGTATTAAATGATCCACATCCTGATTTCCTAGAGTGGAAGTCATCATTACTGATTCTACAAAGCAGTAGCTTTATAGTATATTTGGTACATTCAAGTTTACAAAATGTTTTTCCCATTCATCTGATTCATTCAACATTTCACTGACCTCTAGCTCTGTGCCAGCAGTGCTAAGCACACAGGCCCACTTCATTCTCTTAACAGCCTTGTCAATGTAGGAAGATCAGATATCAAGATATCAGATATCAGGATATCATATACAGGATATGATGTACAAGATCAGGGATGATATCTGATCTTCCAACACTGGCAAGGTTGTCAGTGAGAATTCAGGATTGTTATGAGAATTAAGTGAAATTGTGTGCTCAACACTGAGCATGTGAGTGTTGTGAGTACACACACCCACACGTACATGTATGCTCAGAGAGGTTTAAATGATTCGTCCAGTCTCACAGTCAGTATGCAGCGGCACCTTCCAGGGCATCACTCTGCTTCCTTTAAGGGAATCTGACCCACAGGAATCTATTTTGATGCCTATAAAAGCCTACTGCATAAAATGACTAAATCTTTTAAAATGAAAAAAGGAGTATTGGATATTAAAAATGAGCCACTTTACATTGTGCCTTTATCTTACTATTTCCAAAATGATAGTCATCTCTTGGCCAAGATAGCTTAAACCCAAACCTTAAATTAGGAAACACCTAAACTTGATATTTTTAATGCAAAAGGAGAATAAGTTAGTTTGCTTTTTCACTAAAGGTTTATGTGTTGCGGTAGAAGAAACTTATTTCTCTTTAGTGGTATGAAAAGGACCCATAATTCCAGGCTTCAACACACCTCATTTGTATTTTCTTTGAGAAAATGTCTCAGTTAAAATCAATGCCCTAGTATTCATTTGAGCTCCCTTGCCTTCAATAAAACTAATTGATAAACCCTAATAATTAATGCCCTGATTAAACCAAAATGACTTACATCTGCCCTGATGATTGCCATTTATAATCAATCACTTTAATGACTCATCTTTTCTGTGCTTTGCTTACAGAAGAAAGGCTGTGATGTTTTTAAGTGAACTGAATGAAAAGCTGTATGCCTTCAATTGCTGTTTGTTTTCCATAACTTGATATTGCATTAAAATAAGCATAAATATAACTACCTCCTTAAAAGTAATCTTTCTGCCTAATCTGTTGTGCTGTTGTCTATGGCTTCGAGTGAAGCTGAAAACAAACAAGAAAAAAAAATCAAATCATTTCAGTGTTTCTAGAGCTATTTTTTTTTTTTTAAGATAGAGTCTTGTTCTATTGCCACAATGGAGTGCAGTGGTGTGATCTCAGCTCACTGCAACCTCCGCCTCCTGGGTTCAAGCGATTCTCCTGCCTCAGCCCTCAGCCTCCCAAGTAGCTGGGACTACAGGCACACGCCACCACACCCAGCTAATTTTTTGTATTTTTAGTAAAGACAGGGTTTTGCCACGTTGGCCAGGCTCATTTCGATCTCCTGATCTCATGTTTCACCCGCCTTGGCCTCCCAAAGTGCTGGGATTACAGGTGTGAGCCACTGCGCCTGGCCCCTGGAGCTATTCTTAAGAGCTGTAGGTTGGCTGGATGTGGTGGCTTACACCTGTAATCCCAGCACTTTGGGAGGCCAAGGCAGGCAGATCATGAGGTCAGGAGATCAAGACCATCCTGGCTAATATGGTGAAACCCCATCTCTACTAAAAATACAAAAAATTAGCCGGGCATGGTGGCAGGTGCCTGTAGTCCCAGCTACTTGGGAGGCTGAGGTAGGAGAATGGTGTGAACCCAGGAGGCAGAGCTTGCAGTGAGGTGAGATCCCACCACTGCACTCCAGCCTGGGTGACAGAGCAAGACTCCATCTCAAAAAATAAAAAAAAAAGAGTTGTAGGCTGGGTGCAGTGGCTCATGCTTATAATCCCAGCACTTTGGGAGGCTGAGGCAGGTGGATCACCTGAGGTCAGGAGTTCGAGACCAGCCTGGCCAACACAGCAAAACCCCATCTCTACTAAAAATAACAAAAACTAGCTGGGCATGGTGGCAGTCTCCTGTAATCTCAGAGACTCGGGAGGCTGAGGAAGGAGAATCGCTTGAACCCGGGAGGCGGAGGTTGCAGTGCGCTGAGATTGGGCCATTGCACTCCAGCCTGGGCAACAAGAGCAAAAACTCTGTCTCAAAAAAAAAAAGTTGTAGAACTTGCATGTTTTAAATGAAACCTTGAAGTAATAAGTTCAGTGGCTATATACTAGGATTGTTGATACTTTGGATATAAGGTAGAATATTTTATGCAAGAGATAACAAAATTTAAATTAGGGGAGCTGTCCTTAACCCAAGATTTAAAGGGATTCTATTTGCTTCAAATTCTGCCACATGAATTCAGATTTAACCTAGTTTAATAAAGTCCTAAGATTATTTATATCTACATTACCTTAAAAAAGGATTCAAGGTGGTTTATGATATAAGGTCAATACAATGAACAAAAGACAAAAGCAAACATTTTAAAAGAAAGGGAGGCGGGGTGTGGTGGCTCATGCCTGTAGTCCCAGCACTTTGGGAGGCTGAGGCAGGTAGATCACTTGAGGTCAGGAGTTCGAGACCAGCTTGGCCAACATGGCGAAACCCCATCACTACTAAAAGTACAAAAATTAACTGGGCTTGTTGGTGGGCGCCTGTAATCCTAGCTACTCAGGAGGCTGAGGCAGGAGAAGCTTGAACCTGGGCATTGGAGGTGGCAGTGAGCCGAGATCGCGCCATTGCACTTTAGCCTGGGTGACATGAGCAAGACTCTGTCTCAAAAACAAAACAAAACAAACAAACAAACAGATACTTCTACTTCTGCCCATGGAGTCACTGCTGTGGGATTTGCCCTCCACCAAAAATAATTAGGAAACTGGACAAAATAGTGAAACAGTTATCTTCAAACTTTAGACAACAGGCAATGTGAGACAGTGATCCCTGAGAGAACAGAAACAAATGAAGTAAGTCCTACTATCACCCAAGCTGTCTGCACAGAAACCCAAACAAAGCTCAAAGGTCTTACTGAGCTGAAAAGACAGAATTTGGAGTTCAAGGAGACCAAAATGGCTAGAATTCACAGAACAGAGTCCTAGAAAGGCAAGAACATGCAGAGAAAGAGCTCTAGAAATTGCATAGGAGTTCCCTTGCGTCTGGCCTAACATCAGCCTCTGCATTTATAGAGTGAAATCCTACAAAGCTAGACAACCAACTACTGTTTAGAAAAGAAAATTTCTGGGGAACTATAAGCCAAACAATTCCCAAAACTTATACAAAGTTGGGAATATTTTAAATTCCAATAATCCAGTGTAGAGAGGCCTCATTAAACACATTGGAGAATTCAAGAAAGAGATTAGAAGGATTATGCTTTAGCAGTGGGGCTAAACTAGCCCTGTAGTAGTGGTTACTCTCAACTCTCCTAAAATAAAAGGTCTAAAATCAGCCTCAAAATGATTCAGCTATCAGTGTTCAGCAGATATATTACTTGCCAGTATCAAGTCCAACACTCTGGATTACAATAAAATCCAGCATTCAACGACACAAGATTCACAATGTTGACAATCCAAATAAAAAGTTGACAAGCAAAGAATTTTTCTTCTGATTATGGATGAAAGACTATAACCGGGAAAAAATCAATCTGTAGAAATAGATGCCCCCCTCCCACACACACACCAGAAATAATGTACTTTGCAGACAGGACTTTAGAATAGTTATTATAAAAACTATATATGTCCAAGGAATTCATAGGAAACATGAGCATAATGAGAGAAATGGAAGACAAACAAGTTGAACATTTATTTTTCAATTATGAAAAATATCTGAAATAAAAATTTCATTGATGGAATTAACTGAATTAGACACTACAGAAGAAATTGTGATATTGAGGTTAAAGATCTGGAAATTATCCAAAATTACTCATTTCTACTACTAGAAAAAATATTTTTTTAAATGAGCACAACCTTAATGATCTTTGAGACACTATCAAGAAGTCTAAGATATATGTGTTAAGTGGAGTCTCAAAAGAAGAGGAAAGAGAAAAGGAAACAAAAAATAATTTGAAGAAATAATGGCTGAAAACTTTCCAAATTTGGTGAAGCCTGTAAGTCCACAGATCTAAGAACTCAATGAACCCTAACCAGGATGAACACAGAGCCACACCAAAGCACATCAAAATAAAAATTTTGATAACCAGTGAGTAAAAAGAAAATCTTAAAAATATTCACAGAAAACAGAGCACATTAAGTAGAGAAACAAAGATAAGATTGACAGCCGACTTCATGTCACAAGCTATGCAAGCCAGAAGATAATGGAAAGACGTCTTTAAAATGTTGAAAGAAAGAAATTATTCCAGAATTCTGTGCCCAGCAAATACATTTTCCAAAAATAAACAGCTAAATAAAGACTTTTTCAGATGAATATGAGAGAATTCATTGCCAGTAGACCAGCATTACAAAAAAATGTTAAGCTATTTAGGATGAAGGAAACTGATGATGGATGGTTAGATCTACACAAAGGAATAAATAGTTTCACAAATCGTGGATAAATAAAAAGATGTTTTCTCACTTCTAAATGTCTTTAAAATATAATTATTTAAAGGAAAAATAAAGACATTATATTATGGAGCTTATAGTGTACATAGAAGAAAGATGTATGAAAATAAAAGATGAGAAGAAGAAAATGGAAATATATTATTGTAAGGTTTGTACATTATAAATGAAATACCCTAATATTACTTGAAGGTAGACTGTAAGAAATTAAAGCAGCATATTGTAAATTCTAGAACAGCCATAAATAAATAAAGCTTCAAACAGACTGGCAAAATTCAACCCATGGGCAAAAATTGGGCCTTCGCCTGTTTTTACAAACACAATGGAATTGGAACACAGTCATGGCCGTTCATTTACATGTGGCCTATCATTGCATTTGCACTACATCAGCAGAATTTGAGTAGTTACAACAAAAAGCTTATAGCTCTCAAAGCCTGAGATATCCACTTATGACTCTTTACAGGAAAAGTTTGCCAACCTCTGGCTTAGAAGCAAATAGTAGAGATTAGTGGAATGCTAAGAACTAGCCCAGCTAACCCAAAAGAAAGCAGGAAAAGAAGAGAAAAAGGAACAAAGGACAGATGGGGCAAATAGATGGTAGAGTTGAACCCAGCCATATCAATAATTACGTTAAGTGTGAATGGTCTAAACAGTCCAATTAAAAGCACAAATGTCAAACTGTATAAAAGAACAAGACACAACTGTACAGTGTTTGCAGGACACCTATTTCAATTATAATGACAGATATATCATCCAACAATAATCAGCAGATTGTTTAAAGAAAAATAATTACATGGCCAGGCGCGATGGCTCACACCTGTAATCCCAGCACTTTGGGAGGCCAAGGCAAGCAGATCACGTGAGTTCAGGAGTTCGAGACCAGCCTGGGCAACATGGTGAAACCCCCGTCTCACTAAAAATACAAAAACTAGCTGGGGGTGGTGGCAGGCGCCTGTAATCCTGGCTACTCAGGAGGCTGAAGAGAATCACTTGAACCCAGGAGGCAGAGGTTGCAGTGAGCCAAGATCACATCACTGCACTCCAGCCTGGGCAACAGAGTGAGACTGTGTCTCAAATAATAATAATAATAATAATAATAATAATAATAATAATAACATGTTGTAGGGTTTATAATTTATGAGAAGAAGCAAAACTAATGTATAATGACAAAACCACTCAGTGATTTACCAAAGGCTGGGGGTCAGGGTAGAACTGACTGTAAAGTTTTTAAACTTTTACACAGCAAACTTTTTGGATGAGTTTAAAAACTTTGAGGTGAGCTTAAAAACTTTAAAGTTTAAAGGTTTCTAAACCTGGGGGTAGGAGGGAGATGGTGAAAACAGAATGAACAAAGGTTTAATGATTTTTTTTTGAGACAGTGGTTAAAACAGTCCAGGTGGAATGCAAAGATTGGTTTGAGGATGACTGGATGTCTAGTACTTTAAAGTTTTTAAACTTTAAACACAGCAAACTTTTGAGGTGATGGAAATGTTCTGTATCTTGATCATGGTGTGGTTGCATGGATGTAGACATTCATCAGACTCATCAAACTACATTCAAAATGGCTGCAGTAAAATTGATTTTTTTAATGAGATTTATTTCAAAAAGTAAAGTGAAATGAGAAGAAATTTCTCTTCAGATATTCTGAACTTTTTAGAAGTTAAATCAGAGGGAAATGCAGTAAGTTATGTTGGTCTTTTAAATGCTGGCCTGAAAACCAGGCTGTATTGGATTGGTTTCTGGTTCAATAAGTCTGGAGTAGAACACAAAAAGCTGTATTTTTTAAATATGCACAGCCAAGCTTAGGAGCTATTTATTTGCATAACTTTCATTGTCTTTATTAAAAGAAACATCCCTATTGTTCAGAAAGAAACCCCCACTTAGAATATACATAAACAACATTGTTATCCTAAAATCGCATGAACAGTATTTTTGTTCAGAGAATATACCAAACTGCTTCTTGGTCTACATGCTCCTGGAGGCCAGAGACAGGGTCTTACTCATGTTTCTCTCCACAGCACCTAGTACCATATCTGGCACATGGTAAGGTGTCAGTAAATATTTGTGAGTGAGTACTTTTAAATGACTATGGATTCTTCTCAGAATGAAGTGTCATTTTGAAATGTATTCATTCTGAACTGTAGTCCATTAAATGGGAAAAGATGGAGCTCCTTCTCAGGCCAAATTCATGCTCTTCTGGATCGGCATGTTAGTTCACCTGTTTAGTAGAGACACCATTTATTCACCATTTGCTCAACAAATATTGTTTCCTGTATGTACCAGACACCATTCTAGATGTGGTAGTGAACAAAACAGACCAAGTATGCATTCATGGAGCTTCCCTTGAAGAGGGGAGTACTGAGAATTAACAGATCTATGTGTAGAAATGGAGCGTGTTGATGGAGGTAAATGTTAAGAAGAACACTGAAGCAGAAGAAAAGGGAAAGGAAGTATCTGAGCTGGGGGGTATTGCTACTGCATACTACGTGGTTAGGAAAGGCTTCCCCTAAAAAGGTAAGAATCTAAAGCAAAGGAGAAAAATTCAGGCAAAAATCTAAAGCAAAGGAGCAAGCCAGGGACAATTTGTGGAAGCATAGTAGTATTCCAGGGACACAGAGCCACAGCGCAAGAGCATACCTGGCAGGTAGGCCAGTGAGCTGAAGCAGAGTGGGCATGGAAAAGAGTGGCAAGGTGAGAGTATGGGGCAGCTCACAAGGGCCTTGGGGACCTCTGGGAGGACTTTCCATTTTTGCACTGAGTTGGAAAGGCTTTGGAGGTTTTAGGCAAAGAAGTGACGTGGTCTGACTTAGGTTTTAAAGGGATCATTTTAGCTGCTGTGTTGAACACAAACTATAATAGAGCAAGTGTAAAACTAGGGAAACCAGCTTAGTAGCATTGTTGAGGAAGGGGTGCATATAGTCTGGCAAAAATGTTTCCTTGTAAACATCACATTGGTTTTACAGTCCTACTTACTGAGCTTTGGAAATTATTTTCTTTGAGCTAGTATTTTACCCAAATACAGCTTTAATTGCCACAGTAGCAATAGAAATTATTTTCTAAATATAATGAAATATACAACTTTTTCTAGCTTGGTTGATTACCAATTGATAATGATAATACACTTAAAGAATGTTGGACAGTTTAAAAAGCAATTTTACATTCATTATCTCATCTAATCCTCACAGTTCTCTAATATTGACAAGGTAACTGTTATCTCCCTACAGAGTTGGAAACTAAAACATCACATGCCAAGGCCAAAGTCATGTGCCAAATTTGTGACAGGATCAAAAAGACTAAAACCCAGGTCATATGTCTCCTAGCCCAGATTCATTGACTTTGTTAAAGGGGGTTGTTAGGTTCAAATTATGTCTCAAGGTTGCTGGTAAAGGGGACATTTATATTAGCAAATTTAATGTATCATTTAAAAAGCTATCAACCAGTGAGCAAGATACTGTGCTCGGAAGGGATACATTTAAAGATGTATAAAGTATACTCCTACCCTATGAACTTATTTCTTTTGGTGATGATACTGATAACAGCAAAAACATTAAGTAACTCTTAGTATAAAATGTCGTTAAAGCTGAGTGCAGTGGCAAACATCTGTAGTCCCTTTGACTCGGGAGGCTGAGGCAGAAGGATCACTTGAGCCCAAAAGTTTGAGGTCAGCCTGGGCAACATAGCAAGACCCTGTCTCTGAAATACATACATGCATACATACATTACATACATAAATCATATGCTTTGTCCCATATGTTACATACATAAATCATATGCTTTGTCCCAAACAAATGGTACAGACAGATGCTACAGAAATTCAAAGAAGATAGTGACTTTGATGGCCTGAGATTAAGGATGGGCAGGATTCAGATAGTTGGAAAATATGGAGGAAAGGTTTCTAAACCTGGGGGTGGGAAGGAGATAATGAAAACAGAATGAACAAAGCCTTAATGATGAGGTTTTTTTTTCTTTTGAGACAGTGATTAAAACAGTCTTGTTGGAATGCAAAGATTGATTTGAGGATGACTGGATGTCTACTACTTTCACACATAAAGTACTTCTGAAAACCAGATTGAGGGGAGAATATGGAAAAGTCATACAGTAGGCTTACATATATGTTAAAAAGATGTTGGAAAGCTGGAAAAATGCAGTCAGGTTCTTATTTACACCTTGTCTTTTGGAATATAGTTTAGCAGTTTTGTTGTTTTATTATTTTGTCTTTCCATTGATCCACTTAAGTCAGATGTATCTGATTGAAACTAAAGATTTGCTGCTTTTAGCATACCTCTTAATTTCCAGGCAGCACCTTCTTCCAGGAGTTCAAAATATTTGTTCATTAACTGTCTCCATCTGATATGGTAGCTTAAGAATGGTTTAGGGCAAACTTGTCCAACCCATGCTCCACGGGCCACATGAGCCACAGGACGGCTTTGAGTAGTGCAGCCCAGCGCAAATTTGTAAACTTTGTTAAAACATTATGGGATTTTTGTGTGTGTGCCATTTTTTTTAAATCTCTTCAGCTATTGTTAGTGTATTTTATATGTGGTCCAAGACAGTTCTTCTTCCAATGTGGCCCAGGGAAGCCAAAAGATTGTACACCCCTAGTTTAGGACATCAATATGTAAAAGAACAAATTGTCCAAAAGAAAAATATTTAAAACTGAGGGCCCATGATAAGAACTAGATTTGAAAAATAAGACCAAACTATGTAGAATCTAACATTTGTTTCAGTTCAGCAAACATTTAAGTGTCTACTGTGGCTATGATGTGTTGTGCTAACTACTGGGGCACACTTGAAAGCACAACCCTGTTCTTAAGGAATTCATGTTCTGGTTGGTGGGGGGCATGTCAGAGAATACTTAACCTCCTCCTTAAGGAGACAAGTGATGTAGTGAAAGTGGTATATTTAAGGTTTAATATGATGATGGTATAAGAATTATGTTGAAAAATTAGAGAAAACTAGACGCCAAGAGACCAGGGACTTGCTGGTAAAGGGGACATTTGTCTTAGCAATTTTTTTTTTTTTTGAGACAAGTCTCGCTCTGATACCCAGGCTACAGTGCAGTGGCACCATCTCAGCTCACTGCAACCTCTGTTTCCCAGGTTGAAGCAATTCTCCTCCCTCAGCCTCCCGAGTAGCTGAGATTACAGGTGTCCGCCACCACGCCCGGCTAATTTTTGTATTTTTAGTAGAGATGAGGTTTTGCCATGTTGGCCAGGCTGGTCTTGAACTCCTGACCCCCAGTGATCTGCCTGCCTCAGCCTCCCAAAGTGTTGGGATTACATGCGTGAGCCACTGCTCCCGGCCATGTATTAGTAAATTTAATGTATCATATAAAAAGCCATTAATCAGTGAGCAAGATACTGTGCTTGGAAGGGATACATTTAAAGATGTTTTAAGTATGCTCCTACCCTGTGAACTTATTTATTTCTTGGGGCGATGATACCGATAAAAAGAGCTTACACCTGCCTGTGCATACCAACTTGAATTCATAGAGCCTCCCAATAGAGGTTATAGTGTGTGGTATCTGAAGGGCTTGCTACAGAGACAGGCTCTACAGTTCACCCCTCATCACTGAAACAGAATCATCAACCACAATGTGTACTTGTGGTTTCCATTCTTTATTCACTCATCCATTCAACAAATGTTTATCGAGCACTTGAAATATATCTGGCACTCTTTCAGGGGCTGGGAGTACAGTAGTCAAGAAAAGAGACAAAGTCCTTGCCTTCATGGAATTTACATTCAAATGTCAGTTATCAGGCTAACTGAGGCTGATAATATTTAGCAGGCTAAATGAGCTAATGTATAAGAAAATGCCAAGCACATTGCCTGTCACATAAGTATGATTCAGTAATAGTTACTGTGTGTGAACTTGAAATTTGAATTAAGTATCTACTCTTGGCAAGATACTTTGTTGTGGTACCCTTTTGCCGGATGGAAGGTCAGGAGAAGATTAACCCATTTACAGTTTTTAAAAAAATGTTACACCAAAAAATTGAGTCTCCTGTTCAGTGTCAGTGTAGTTGAGATTATATGCTGTTTTAAATATAACCAGTTGTCTCTGCTGGACTACACTTTTGCCATAAAAGACGCATTGAAGCAGATGCTGCTCTATACCATCAAAAGTGGTATGCTCTTGTCCTCCTTGGGTGGCTTTTTTGGGCTCCCTGAATTCCTGAAAAGGCTCATTGTTGTCACTGACGATGCTTCACAGAAATCCTTTGTGTCATTACTTAGCGACTGACTGCTTTGGTGAAATCTATGTCAATTCTTTTGTTAACTATAACAGCAGCCAAAAATAATGTAAGGGAAGAGAAGGATAAATGAAACAAAGACTAATAAGCACATGCATGTACACATATATACACATCTTTTAGATAAATTTCTAAGTATTATCTGAAGTAGCATTTGCCTTGTAAAACATGTGAAATAGCAGTACTACATTAATTTCCTCATCGGTTTCATTCAAATATGACCTGTTACCCGTAGCATATGAATGCTTTTTCCTTGTTGCCTCCCTTTGGCATTACTATTACTTAGATAGGAGGACTAGCTTGATAATTACACATATAGAGCAAAACTCATCCTTTTTGTGCAAATTCTTTGCAAGAAGATTACATTTTCTTATCTACCTACTTTTCCTGAAAAACTAGGGATAGGATGATGGGTGTATTTACTGTTGTTGTAAGCCAAGGTTTGATTTCACTGTCACTTAAAATAAACTCTTTCTTCTGTAGAAACCAGAAATCGTTGAACGTGGAGGAGTTAAGACCTTACATTTTACCTTCGGTTAAAAAAAAATGCTTTTCATTAAATTTGTGATTTGAATTTCGGATTGAGCAGATGATGTCATTTCTGCAACTTGGTGTGGTGTGCATGTGTGCTTTTAAAGAACAAACGCTGTAGATACATGGAATTAGTTACATGGCCTTTTCTGGTCCCTTTTTAGACGTGAAGCCCTCCAATATGCTAGTAAACACAAGAGGACAGGTTAAGCTGTGTGATTTTGGAGTTAGCACTCAGGTATGTCTCTTTTCCTCCCAGTGTACTGTTTTCTCTGCAACAACCCCTTTATATTTTCATTCTGTTCTCTGGATTGAAAAATCACCTAGCTGCCAGACAAACAGAAACTCTGCATCTTTTCCTCATCTGGGAGTGTGTTATTCATTTTTAATCTCTGAGCGAGTTTCCTTCATCAGAATATGATTGTTCATTGTTTAATGACAGTAAAAACTGCTGATATTGTAATTACTACTTACGAATAGCAAACTTCATTGATATGCAGCTTTGATATGAAAGCGTTTTGGCCAGACAAAAGGGAGGGCAGAGTGGGAGCTGTGCCTGGGGAGCCCAACTGGCCCACAATAAAAATTAATATTGGGAGCAACAATGGTGGAGGGCCATTACAATGTGCAGCACAAATTTTAATTAATTTCCATTTTGGACCTCCCCTGAGAAACCCAGTGATAGTGACCCATGAGCATGCTGTGATGTTGATTTGAATTGCAGCCACCTTTACTCCCAGCCAAACACGAAGACCAAAGCGAAGGTCATCGTTGTATTATGAGTTGTCAAAGTCTGTTATCCCTCCAGCGTATTTAGTGTTCATTTCATTCTAGTAATGCATGGGGCTTCATTCACATCTTGAGCCATCTGACTAAAAATTGAGTGTGTTCAAATTCTGCTTTAAATTGACTTTTTATATCAGGCGGGTTTGGGATACTAAAGCGATAAGTATCCTGCTTAAGTGAATTGTTTAAGGTTATCTGCTATAAACTGTAATGCTGTGCTTGTTTAAACTGGAAATCACATTCAAAAGAAAAGAGAGATTTAATCATTTTTATTGCCTTTGTAGATAAATTTGTTCCCTTTTACATAATTTTTAGTTGATTTATATGAATGATGATTGTAGGTTAAATGAGGAATAATTGCCCATTTTATTTCCACATTATCTTTATATTGTTCTAACAGACTGTTTTGTCTCATAGCTGGTGAATTCTATAGCCAAGACGTATGTTGGAACAAATGCTTATATGGCGGTAAGTAAACTTATGCAAAAATAATGTTTAAAACCAACATCTTTATCTTTATGTACTTGGTAATGTATAATTCTTGAATTAATTCCACAGCTTTAGCCTAGCAGATCATAAATTGCAAAGTCAATCTAGTCATGATCTGATTTTTAAATCTTTCTAAAAGACATTAGAGTTTTTACAGGAGCTATCAACTTATCTGACTTTGTTGACTTAACTGGTTGGTTCAAGTGTGAAATCGCTGAGTTTCGAAGTTTAATCCTACAGAGAGATTTCACCTTGTAGCATACTGGCCACTTTTCCACATTTCTTATTTAATTAACCCTCAAGTATCCCCAAATGTCAGTCAATAAAATTGTTTTTTTTTTTTCTTGGAATATGAACATGCTTTGTCACCAGATCAAAATTAAATTACTGTGTAGCCAAATTTTATTTATGGATCTCTGAATGTAAAGGTTTAGGGGGCAGTTTTCTATAGAACTTGTACCTCTATATTTTGTTTAGTTGTTATTCATGCCTATTGTAAGATTATTTAGTTGCACTGAAATAAACTTACCAACAATAACAAGTAGAATCATAAGGCTGTTTCAAAGACCAGTGCAGACTTGGCTTTTGAGTAAGGGAAGTTATTTGTTTTCATAAAAATACTTTAGTTTATGGGTTTTCATAATCACCTTGAGAGTCAAAGGGAAAAAAAATTAAACAGGAAACTTATCTAGTATTAATTTTGGAGCAAAGTTTTGTCTTCCTCTAACAAAGATAATTTTTTATAATGAAAGCTCTAAATTTATTTAGGTAGTCCCTTTCATCTCTAATAGCCTTTGTTAATATGTCATGAAATTAAATGATGTTAGTATGGATAAAACCGTGGGTCTTAGTCTCAGTATTCTTTCTGTATATATTATCTTGATTAAAGATTTAGGGATGGAAAAAACACATGAAAAAATGCTCATCATCACTGGCCACCAGAGAAATACAAATCAAAACCACAATGAGATACCATCTCACACCAGTTAGAATGGCGATCATTAAAAAGTCAGGAAACAACAGGTGCTGGAGAGGATGTAGAGAAATAGGAACACTTTTACACTGTTGGTGGGACTGTAAACTAGTTCAACCATTGTGGAAGTCAGTGTGGCGATTCCTCAGGGATCTACAACTAGAAATACCATTTGACCCAGCCATCCCATTACCAGGTATATACCCAAAGGATTATAAATCATGCTGCTATAAAGACACATGCACACGTATGTTTATTGTGGCATTATTCACAATAGCAAAGACTTGGAACCAACCCAAATGTCCAACAATGATAGACAGGATTAAAAAAATGTGGCACATATACACCATGGAATACTATGCAGCCATACAAAATGATGAGTTCATGTCCTTTGTAGGGACATGGATGAAATTGGAAATCATCATTCTCAGTAAACTATTGCAAGAACAAAAAACCAAACACCACATATTCTCACTCATAGGTGGGAATTGAACAATGAGAACACATGGACACAGGAATGGGAACATCACACTCTGGGGACTGTTGTGGGTTGGGGGGAGGGGGGAGGGATGGCATTGGGAGATATACCTAATGCTAGATGACGAGTTAGTGGGTGCAGTGCACCAGCATGGCACATGTATACATATGCAACTAACCTGTACATTGTGCACATGTACCCTAAAACTTAAAGTATAATGATAATAAATTTAAAAAAAAAAGATTTAGGGATGGAACCTTATTCTAAACCTAATTCTAAACCTAAACCTTCTTCTCAGAACAATACAAAACATTTTGTTTTCATTCAGATACCAGAATAGCTCATTTTTGTCTTGCATGGTTTTTAAAGAAAGTTTATACTTTCTTGTATAATAATAGGAAAAATAATAAATTAACCTCTGAAGTCTTCATATCTGTTTTTATAAAATGTAATTACCTTCCTTCCTCTACCAAGTTAGGTGAGATTGGTGAGCCACCTTTATAGCCTTGCTGAATGCTAAGGTTTAAGTCTTTGAAAGAATATGAAACACTGTAATTTTTTAAAAGTTGGGGGGACATGACTATAAATGAAACAATTGCTCAACTACCCAGCATGTTCTTAGTAGCTTTAAATTCCTCTGATAATTAAATTGCATTATATTTGAATGTACAAATCCAGATTACAGTTGTCTTTCCCAGGTGTACATTAAAGAAATTAGTTTTTTATTTTTGTTTATGGATGAATGTGATGCATCCATCTGTTAATTGAAAATGTGAGGATTAAAATTATGAAATGTTAGCTTGGATTGACAAAACTAAAATTGCTTTGCTTCTTAGGTGAGTGAATTCTAGTCGTCAGCTTTGTAGTTCAAGCTATAAAAAGCATAAGATACCTAGAAAAGGAGCAATGATAGCTTGAGAGTGAGTGCTTTGCTCAGGTCAGTAGGAGGCTCTTATTGGCCAAGTGCTCACCTACATGGTGTAAGGTTGGGGGTGGGGGGAGGTGGAAATAACCTATATTATTATAGTACAGGTATGAATCCCTGACTTTTATCTGCTGACAGTCTCTTGAGAGAAAAGAGCTGAGCTTTTTTTTTTTTTTTTTTAACCACAACTAGTTCTCATTTTAGCTGTTATATTTTATAATTTTGAGTTCTACATGAGCCCTATGCCAAATATCCATGAACTACAGTTCTCAGGCCAAATTCAATTTACTGGAACAATGTACTGATCACTCTTCCAAGCTCTTACTGCCTATTTTTGTAAATAAAGTTTTATTGGAACATGACCACACCCATTTGCTTATATATTATGCATGGCCCCTTTAGCACTACAGTGGCAGAGTTGAGTAGTTGTGACATTTGCAGCAGAAAGTATATGGCTCATAACATGAAAAATATTTACTAGCTGACCCTTTACCGAAAAAGTTTGCCAGCCCCTGATCTATGCCAGTGAAAGTTGTATCTGAAACTGAGCACCTTCAATAATCAACCAGCATTTACTGAGCATCTTCTATGCTGTTAGGTACAGTGGAACCACTCTATAATGTAGATAAGACTTGGGTGAAACAGGGAACACGACATTATATGTAGCAGCATTATGTGTGACATAATAAAGACTTAAGTTGTACCAAACATACATTTAGAAAATAAGACAGGCCAGGCACAGTGGCTCATGCCTGTAATCCCAGCACTTTGGGAGGCCAAGGCAGGCAGATCACCTGAGGTCAGGAGTTTGAGACCAGGCTGACCAACATGGAGAAACCCCATCTCTACTAAAAATACAAAAAATCAGCTGGGCGTGGTGGTGCATGCCTGTAATCCCAGCTACTCAGGAGGCTGAGGCAGGAGAATCACTTGAACCCGGGAGGCGGAGGTTGCGGTGAGCTGAGATCGCACCATTGCACTCCAGCCTGGGCAACAAGAGTGAAACTCAGTCTCAAAAAGAAAAAAGAAAAGAAAATGAGACTTACAGTGTACAAACTTGATGATTCAAACAGTATGTGAAAAGGATGCTTGCATAAGAGAAAGATCACTGTGAATGGATGAGCAAATACTCAGAAATAGAAGGCATGGGTGAGGGTGAAGAAGTGGGGAAGAGGACAAATAAAAAATTGCAGGAATACATAATTAGAAGTCATTTGATACCCTCATTTTATGTATTTCCCTCACTTTATATTCATGCATACTTCTGTATAGTGATAATAACATCAGTAATAATAATAGCTTACACTTAGGTAGCTTTATGTGCCAATCACTCTTCTTACATATATTAACTTTTAAATCCTCACAACACTATGACATAGGTAATATTATTATTCTCATTTTAGAGATAAAGAAACTGAAGCAAGAGAAGCTAAGTGACTTACCCAAGTTCACAAAGCTCATAAGTGTCAATCAGAACTCAAAATTAAGTGATCTGCCTTCAGAGACTAAATTCTTAATTGCTGTGCCTCTCATTATACCCATATTATTTATGCATCTCCCCCAATCTAGATTATGACTTTCACAGTGGCAAGATTTATTCTGCTCACTCTATATATCCAGTACCTCACACAGTGCCAGATGAATGAATTAGTTCACGAAAGCTGCATTCCAAAAGTGTCTTGTTCTCTAATTATAAGCACAGCATTTAACTTTTCGTATTAAGAATCTTGCTTGTGTTTCAAGGTATAGACAGCCCAAAATTACCCAAATACAGCCAGCTAAGCTACTCAAATATGAAAAAGAAAATATATCAGAATGAAATAGCCCTGTATATGTGAATAATCTCACTTAATCTGTAATCGAAAGCGTAAAATATAGAAAAGATAATTAGGAAAAAGACAGGGAGGTTTTTGTAACATCATTAGTCATTTAGAAAAACCAAGTATGGGCACATTAAGCAGCAATGTGCTTGTAGGAGACTTGAAAAGTCATCTTGATCCAACCTCCCCATTGACCAGTGAGGAGACTGAGACCTGGAAAAGTGAAGTGTCATGCTCAAGGAAATACTGTTTTTTAGGGGCAGATAATTAATAGGTTCAATAGATACCTTCATCCAAACCATGAAAGATTTTCAACCACATTTTGATAGGATTTTATCCATAAGAATTATAAAAGGGGTCTGGAAACTTGGAGCTTATATTAAATTAACCATTTTTCAGAAATTCTTTATTTTTTTTTTCTTGAGATGAAGTCTCACCCTGTCCCCCAGGCTGGAGTGCAGTGGCGATTGCAGCTCACCGCAACCTCTGTCCCCTGGGTTCAAGCGATTCTCCTGCCTCAGCCTCCAGAGTAGCTGGGATTACAGGCGTGCACCACCACGCCCGGCTAATTTTTGTATTTTTAGTAGAGATGGGGGGTTGCGCCATGTTGGCCATGCTGGTCTCGAACTCCTGGCCTCAAGTGATCCACCCTCCTTGGCCTCCCAAAGTGCTGGGATTACAGGTGTGAGCCACCACGCTCAGCCCAGAAATTCTAATTACTAAAAATTTTATTATGTTTTTAAGATAGAAGTTCCTAAAACTTTAACCAACTATTCAGTCTTCCTGGCTTACTATCATTTTAAAAATCAAATATAAAAATTGACACTATTGCTATGATTAACTGAAGTTTTAAAATGAAAAAATCTTACTCAAATACTTGGGATCAGAAAGTCAATCTAAATAACCATTCTTATCTCTAGAACATTTTTTTCTGCCCAAGCTATTCCAGTTCTTGGTAATTGTCTTTACTCGGAATAAAACACATACACATTGCATGATCCAACTCAATTGGCTATGCTCATGCGATGGTAGTAATGGTAGTGGTGGTGACTGGAAGGAGGCTAACATTAACTGAGCATTCCCATGTGGCACGTACTGAAGCACATTACGGGATTCATTTAATCTTCACACAACCCCAGGAGGTATACGTATTACTACTATTATTTATTATTACTCTCTTCATTTTACAGATGAGGAAACCAAAGGTAAAAATATCTTTAACCCAAGGTCTCAGAGTTGGCACATAGTAAAAGGCAATTTAATGAGGACATCAGCTTCTAGTTTCTGCTAATAGCAGACTAAGTTATTTAGATCAACTCTTCTGTTTAAATATGCTAGCTAAGTTTTTTTTTTTTTTTAAACCATCTCAAATGCACCGAAGAGCTAAAAAGACAGTGGGCTACTCCCAGGACAATTTTTGAATGAAATCCTACCACAGAGAGGAAAGTAGAATGGGAGCCCCATCACTGCTTATTCCTGAGGGCATTTGCCTGAATCACAGTCAGGCAAGAGGGGCAGCAGCCAAGCTTCAGGGCCCACCTAAGTCAGAAGGTCTCAGAGGAGATTTTCTGTTCCCTGCTAGAAGCCTAAATGGCTAACCTCAGTGTAAGAGTAAACTAGATCTAAAACTGCTCCTCTTCCCCCAGTCCCGGGAAACTGAAGAGGAGGCATCTGGAACTAAGCAGAGAAGCAGAAGAAATAGGAAAAGTGGAACAAACTATGACCATAGCCTAGCCCTAGTATAGATTTACACCCTGGGTATATGCATACGTGTCCTAGGTTGGACAAGGCACATCATGCTGAGAAGTGGTTTGAGGTGGTCTCCACCTTAGGCCTCAGAGAACCTCTCCAAAATTTTTCTTTCAAGGGGAAAAACTAGCAAGCAAAGAGAACCAGGCACACAAGAAAACAAAGCCACCTGAACAAGATCAGCAGGAACAGCAGGCAGCAGAATCAGATGCATACAGACTTAAGATCACACATTTTTTAAGTGACATAGTAGATTTTTAAAGTCCTAAACAAAACTTCTAGATTAAAATTTAAAACTCACTGTATTTGACAGCATATTGGACACAGCAGAAGAGAGAATTGGTGAACTGGAAGACAGATCTGAATTCAAGCAGTCTAACTCCAGAGCCCTGTTTAACCAGTGTTCTGTCTGCCTACACAGGGATCTTGCCAATGTAAAAAAAAAAAAAAAAAATCCTCATCACTTGTGATACATATTTTGACTATACACTAGCCTGAAGTTTTCTTGCCTACTTTGTTAATTTTCTAGGTAGCCTGAGTCTGAACAGAAATTCCTTTTTTGGAAGAGATAAGGGATATACCTTGGTATCTTCCTGCTTTTGACAAATATCGTTGTAAACAGACGGTTCTGGAGTTAGTTAACTAAATGTGGATTCTTGTCAAGGCTGAGTCACAGAGGGCATCTGGAGGGAGTATAGTGTGGGTGCCAGAAGGACTGCCCTTTAAGATCTTCCATAAATTCTACTTATTAGATCATCACTACTCTTTACTGTTCTTATTAAGAACAGGTCAGGGTTTTTTGTTTCATTTTGTTTGCTTGTCATTTAACCTCACTACAAAGATGTTTTAGACAAGAGTCATGTTTTTCCTATTATTTAGCTTTTCACACTGATGACAGCTGTCATGTGAGAGAGTAACCTCAGTTTTAGCTTTTTAACTGCTAAATATCCATCATAGATATTCTGTCAACAACATGGTACCTGGTAGTTGGTTTTGTTTTGTTTTGTTTTTCAGGGGAGAGGACAGGGCAGGCCACCTTGGCTTCAAGTGTGAGAACAGCTTTGAATTGTGCAGCCTTGGGCCATCAAATCCTGGCTCCATAAATTCAGAATGTTTTGCTGCTCATCTTGTGTCTAAATCACTTCCAGGGGCCTGAGCACATTTCCCAATCCCTATCCACCTTAAGAGTTGTTTAGGATAGACACGTGGAGCTTGCTGTTGGCTTTTGCTGAAAATTTTTGCTCAAACACTGCATCACAGCAGTAATCTTGTTTCATTAGCTTATTGCAAGAATAATTTCCCCAACAAGAGGTCATCAGAATCTGACCCTTAAAAGAGTTCTCTTATTTGCCATCTAGTATCTGTGAACATTATCACTTTTTCTATTTTTTCTTCTTAAATTTAATTTAATTTTTCTATGCTTTATTATCAGCTTACAGTTTGCATTTGTTTTGATATTTCAGTGGGCAAATGTAATAAGTGTGTTTAACCTCCTTTTTGATCCTGCCCAAATATTTTGTATGTGGGTTCCACTTTTGTGTGTGTGCGTGTTTTTTCTGTATTCTGGGTGAAATACTTGGTACCTGTTAATCAGTAGAATGAAGAAATGGAGAGAGGAAGGAAAAAAGGACAGGGGTTAGGGCAGCATTTAGTTATTTCTTTAATAATTCTAGAGGATTTTAGGATTTTCATGTTTGTTAGAAGTTCTTGACAGACATGAATAGCAATGTATGAGGAAGTTATATAAGAACTCTCTAAGGAACTTATTTGTTCATGCAGTAAACATGTATTACATTCCTTCAGTCAGCATGCATTGACTGCATACCTGTTATGTGTCAGGTAAGGTATTAGGTATGTCTGCCTAGTACTCTCTTTGCCTCTTAGGAAAAATAGACTAGAAAACAGATGATTTTACAACACAGTGTGATAAATAATAAGATATGAACAGCATTTTAATGAAGTACAGAAGCAGGAATTTATAATTCTGCTGTAGGAGTAGAGAAAGGTTTCACCCTCAAACAGGATCTGTGTGAGACATGGTCATTAAGCAGAGAAGAGGAAGGCAGGGAGATGTAAAAGGTCATTGTCTCTCCAGGGAACATGGAAATATTTAGTGACTGGAGCTAAGTGTACCAAAGAATCACCCAGAGAAATTATTTTTTAAGTGAGGATCTCTAGCCCCACCCCTAGAGATTCTTATTCTGGAGGTTCATTTGTATTAACAGTGAGCACCTCAGGCAGTTCTGCGATGGCTGCTCCAAAAACTGCACATTGAGAAATACTGACCAGCTCAAGGCTGTGCTTGGCTCTTCTGACTTCTAGTTGTGGGGTCAGTTTGACTCACTGGAAAGAACTCTAATTTTGCAGTCAGACATAACTGGCTTTGAATCCTGGCTCCGCTCCTGGACAGTGCATTTAATGCTAACCCATAGCTCTAGACTTTGAACAAGTCACTTACTAAGCCTCAGTTTTTACATTTGTAAACTGAGGGCAATAATACCTACTTTTGCAAAATCATTATGAAGTAGAAGACCCAAAGTACCTAGCCCAGTGTCTGACACTAGTAAGTGGTCATTAAATGATAGCTATTACTATCCTTCTTTTATAGTGGATACAGCACTCATAATGGTTAGTAATGTAAACTACTCTGTGCCTCATTTTCCTCATCTGTTAAATGGTGATGATAAAATAGTACCAATATTACATGGATGTTTATGAATCTGAAATGAGATATGCATGAAAAACACTAAAACAAGGCCTGGTGTATAGAAATTCTTTAATAAATGCACACATAATTGTGTTGTTGATGATAGTAATGATGGTGACAATAATGTTATTCCTGTAGCCGGCTAGCCAGTTCCATATGAATACATCCTGGTATCTATTGAATTGGATATTGGGGTGTAAGTTATGATCTCAGCCTTGCCATGATTAGCCTGTAACCTTTAGCAATCATTCCACCTTTGTGAGACCTCCGTTTCTCTTATTCATTTGTTCACGTGTTCATTCCAAAGCCATCTATGAAGTACTGTACTGAATGCTAAATCCTAGAGGGATAGATAGATCAGGAAGCATCCACTCAGTATGAAATTATTCCTTTTGAAGTTGAGAGTGTTTATGTAGCCTCTTTTAGACCGGGTATTTGCTATACATCTTGAGTGGAGGACCAAGAGTCCCAAATGGACCTTTCAGACTGTTCCTTGGTTCATATACAAAGAAACTCTGATCAATGGAATGAAATGTTGAACAGCAGATGAATCTGGGTAAAGGAAATAGGAATGTGTATTGCTCTGATCTCATTTTTTCAAATTTCCTATAAGTTTGAAATTATTTTCAAATAAAAAATTAAAAGAAACCCTCCTGTTCCAGACCAATCTATCAAAATGCAAATAAGTGATAATATCATATAATGTTGTGTAATTTGTTACTCCACAACAAAGACCACTGGATTTGGAGGGAGAGGATCTGGGTTCAAGTCTCAGCTCATTCACTACTTAGGACCTGGCCTAAATTACCTCACTACTCTGAGCCTCCATTTTCTTCATCTGTGAAATGACTTCCAAAGTCTTCCTCACAGGGACTTGGTGAGGATTCAGTAAGAATATATCTATATATAATTTCTATAGATCATCTATATACTGTATGCACAAATACATATATACACACATGTAAAATTGTTTTGTCATCCGTAAAATACTATGCAGATGTTGGTGGCTCCTCACCTTAGCTGAGCTTATTTTGGTGTATGTGTTTTCCTGAGTAGCATCCGTCCACTCACAGGCTCCCTTCTGATTTCTTGCAGCCTGAAAGGATTTCAGGGGAGCAGTATGGAATTCATTCTGATGTCTGGAGCTTAGGAATCTCTTTTATGGAGGTACGTTGTTTGCACATAGACGCTTCTGTGCATATCTGTACTAATATATTCAATCAGGAAAAGTGAAGATTTTGAAAGAATAAGCTAAAATAAACCTTCAGCATGTTATATAGATGTATACAGAGTTTGACCATAAAGTCTTTGATTCCTTGTGTGGCTTGTGAACTGACTCTGGAGGTTATTTTAAAGCACTGTTTATTACAGATCACCTGTGTAAGACCTGCCTGGAGCGCTTGTTAAAAATACAGATTCTTCAACCCCGTTCAAGACCAATTAAATCCACACCTCTAAGAATCTGCATTGTTAACCTGTTCCCTGGGTGATTCTTATACATACTAAATCTGGAGAACCCGTGATGTAAAATAGGGACTCCAGAAAAATTCTGTGCCCTGTTGGAATGCATATGTAACTTCCAACGGTGATTAGTTTAAAAGATACAGCACTACTCATTTAGATATATAAGTTATATATGTTTGTTTTAAAAGAAAAAAAAATCACCTCATTCCAGTATAGTCTTATCACATGTGTATGTGGGTTAAGGGGTGGTGTGATATGATGGAGAGGGAAGGGGGAAGAGGATGTATGTATTTAGCACAATTGCAATATCAACTCTTTATAGCTGTATTTAGAATGGACTTTATGTTAGTGTTCTAGATGTAGCTCCATTAGAACTCTATGCTATGTTTTTTTTAATAAAATGATGATTGATCTACAAAAAAATGCATGTAACTTATATTAGAAGGACATATGGCTCAGTTTGAATTATGGTAGTATAGAACCTGTATACTGACCAGTGCTTCAAAAATTCTCATTTAAATTGATTCAGATAAAGAAGGACTTGTATTTTCTTTATTTTTTCTTAATAGAGATAGGGTCTTGCCATATTGCCTGGGCTGGTCTTGAACTCTTGGGCTCAAGCAGTCCTCCTGCCTGGACTTCCCAAAGTGCTGGGATTGTAGGCAGGAGCCACTGTGCCTGGCCAGGACTTTTTATAATAGAAAAGTAGAAAGGACTCTTTAAATAATATCATAGATAGAGTTGCAATCATGATTTTGTAACCTTTTTTTTTAGTCAAATACTTTTTCTGTGAGTTTTGTAATGCATGAATGCAATTGTATTTGTAAGGAAATAATCTTCAAACTCAATTCACCTGCACAGTAGAAAGAAAGCAAAAATAAAGTGTTGAACGTTTATTAAATCATATTCTTCTGCTTCTTCTTAAAAGGGAATCTAAGAGGAAATACAATATGTATGCATCAGCTGAGAGGTTAGCGATAATGGTGGTCAGATCTCAGAACTGAGTCTCCCAACAGAATCCACAAGGGCTTATTCTATTAGCCTGTTTCAGGGGAAACTAGTGTTTTTGATTTGTGGGACTCAGTATTGCTGTTATACAATTTCCTTTTGCATATTTTAAATTGTTATCATTTATTTTATAAATGACTGGATATAGTGTAAGACAATTGAGAAGTTACATGGTGTAGAGATAAGAATCCTAGATTGGGAATGGAAGACCTGGATTACAGTTCCAGGTTTGCTACTAGTTTTTTAGGTGACCCTGTGGAAGCCACTGTTCTTCACTGGGCCTCAGTTTCTTCATTTGTAAAATATTGATCTCTAAGCCCCTTTCCAGACTAACATTCTATGACTGTGCTACTGCTCATGGTGTTGTTTTCTTTCCTTAGCTTTCACACAGCAACTCTAGAGTTGTGTGACTGAGACAGTGATAAAATGACATAAAATGCAGAGGCATGGCACTACTATAAGAGAGCATAACTATTAGATTTAAGATTTAGAGCACATATAAATGTTCACTATTCATCCTTTCTACATTCATTTATGCATTCATGTGTTGAACTCCTGCTATGCCTGCTGTATAGGCAATGGGGATAGAGTAAGGAAAAGACACTCAAGTCTTGGCTGTCATGGAGTTCCATTTGGCAAGGGCTGGGGCATGAGGGGAAGGACAGAGAACAAAGGGATAACTAAATATGTAATTTGTCAGGTGGGGATAAGTCCCATGGAGGAAAAAAAAAGCAGACTAGGCTGGGCTCAGTGGCTCATGCCCATAATCCCAACACTTTGGGAGGCTGAGGTGGGCAGATCACCTGAAGTCAGGAGTTCGAGACAAGCCTGACCAACATGGAGAAACCCTGTCTCAACTAAAAATACAAACAATTAGCTGGGTGTGGTGGTGTACACCTGTAATCCCAGCTACTCGGGAGGCTGAGGCAGGAGAATCACTTGAACCCAGGAGGCGGAGGTTGTGGTGAGCCAAGATCGTGCCATTGTGCTCCAGCCTGTGTAACAAGAGCGAAACTCCATCTCAAAAAAAAAAAGAAAGAAAGCAGACTAGACTAGTCCTCTCTGGTAAAGTACCACTTGAGCAGATACTTGAATGCTGTGAGAGAAGGAAGCCACCTGATAACAAGCTCAAAGGCACCAAGATAGAGTACACTCTCAGCGTATTTAAGGAAGAGAGAGACCAGTGTGACTTGACTGGAGTTAACAAGGGGAAAAGTGGGAAAAAATAAATTTAGAGAGGTAGCCAGGGGCCAGGGCAAATATAGCCTTGTAGGCCATGCTAAGGACTTTAGGTATTACTCTTAGAAGAAATGATCTGACTTAAATTTTCACAGTATCACTGAGTGCTCTGTGGAGCATGACTATAGACAGGCAGGTGTGGAAACAGGGAGATCCGTTTAAGTAGGTAGGAGGACAGGTGCTCAATAAATATATTTATGTTGCATATTGAAATATGTGTCTGTCTGCCAGTATTTTGCTGGGTGCTAGGGGTACAAAGATTAATAAAAAGAGACTCTTTGTAGTGTAAGGAAGGAGATTGCCATTGATATATTTGGGTTCTGTTGATGATATTCATTTATCCTGGAGATAAACTATTGAATATTCTGTGGAGGACTGAAGAAAACAGACTCATTGAATTTTCAGGATCGAAGAGGATTAGGTATAGAGAACTCTGTGAAAAAGTGTCAGCATTGAGTGTGGGACACCTGAATGCTGTAAGGACTGTGTTGGCTCGTGTGGTAGAGAGCAGATAACCAGATGGTCAGGAGTGAGGGCCAGGAAGAGCTAGGCCTTTTGATGCTCCTTGTATTTTAAAATGGATGGTAAGGAGCCGGGTGTTACAGCAGGAGGAAGAGATGTTGTTAGAGGTTGTAAAGAGGAATCAGATTATGATCATCAGAGAGGGTTGTTGAGCACCTCTGTACATGATGCTTAACTAAATGCCTTCAGAAGGAACTATAGGATTGTAGCCCCTGACCTCTAGGGGCTTATTACCCCCACACAACATGTTACCAACACAAGTAATAGACCAGTAAGTCATTAGAGAATAGTGTAAGGCCCCTGGCATGTTTTATATACCTAATCTATTTGGGGTCCAGGGTAAAGAAAAATATGTGATAGGGAAGAGAAGTAGGAGGTTATGAGTCCATACATGAGAAATTGTGGGGATTCAGTAGTGAAGGTTACAAGAGAAACCCAAGGTTCTTGTGTTTTCTTTTTGAGACGGAGTCTTGCTCTGTCGCCCAGGCTGCAGTGCAGTGGCACAATCTCGGCTCACTGCAACCTCCGCCTCCCAGGTTCAAGTGATTCTCCTGCCTCAGCCTCCCGAGTAGCTGGGACTACAAGCGCGTGCCACCATGCCCGGATAATTTTTTGTATTTTTAGTAGAGACAGGGTTTCACCATGTTAGCCAGGATGGCCTCGATCTCCTGACCTTGTGATCTGCCCGTCTTGGCCTCCCAAAGTGCTGGGATTACAGGCGTGAGCCACCATGACCAGCTGGTTCTTGTTTTTTCTTAAGGGTCAATATAATGAGAACATTACCTGAAGGGATTAGGAAGTTAGTCCAAAAGAAGTACTTGAAGACCAAGATTCTTATTTGTTTTTACCGTAGTATGTTAGGAATAGATGTAGCAAATCCAATTTAAAATCACTATAGACAGAAGTGTGAATCTCAATAGCATTTTAGAATCTGAGGAACAAAGTGCATTCTGTAACATAGTCAACACTTTCTAAGAATTACTCCTCTTCTGTTTATTCTCACTTGTAAAAACAAAATTCTCTTTCTAGTAGAAACTTTCCTTTCTTCAATAATTCTTACTTAAGCACTTGCCCTGTGCCAGGCCCTGGAGAGTGGGGCACACAGAGCTGAGGAGAGCCCACCTCTGGTAGAAAAGAAAGATACCCAAAGCCCAGAATGGTGTGATGAGTCTTCAGTAGAGATGTTTACAAAGGACTCTGAGCCACAAGGGGAAGGGGGTGGGGTTTCACACAAAGGAATTGACATTTAAGGGAGATTGGTCTTGAACAGACTTTGCCACTAGGAGAAAGAGGGAAAAGATAGAGGATCTCTTCCCCATTTCCCAGCACACTCTAAGGTATGGATCCCTGTAAACACTTAAGGAGAGATCAAATGTCAAAGTATGCAAGGTCTCCCCTGGTGTAGTTTCACTACTTTTTTGTGTGCATGCCTTCTTCAAAGTATTTTAAGTTAACCAGTTTATTCTCCTAGGGTACCTGTGGTAAAGAAAAAAAAACTGATAAAAATGTAGGAAACCGAGCAAAGGAATTTCCCTGAAATTACACAGGAATCAAATACAGGCTAGGCCTGGCGGCTCATTCCTGTAATACCAGCACTTTGAGAGGCTGAGGCAGGAGGATTGCTTGAGGCCAGGAGTTCAACACTAGTCTGGGCAACATAGCAAGACTCCATCTCTAAAAAAACAATTTTTTTTTTCATTTAGCCAGGAATGGTGGTGTGTGCCTATAGTCCTTGCTATGTGGCAGGCTGAGGCAGGAAAATTGCTAGAGCCTAGGAGTTTGAGGCTGCAGTGAGCTATGATTGCACCACCACACTCCAGCCTAGTCAACAGAGCAAGATGCTGTCTTAAAAAAAAAAAAAATCAGATAGAGACAAAATGGGCATGAGAGTTTTCTGTCTCCTTTACATCTCCCTAGCACCCTTTCCTCCAGTTCCATAAACTGTCATCTCTGAGGTTTGGTGATGCCAGAAGCAGAAAGTTCAATTTACAGCTGTCAGACTTGAAGCCTGCCCCCTGCCTCCCACTTTTTTTTTCTAGAGACGTGGTCTTGATATGTTGCCCAGTGTTGCCTCGAATTCCTGGGGTCAAGTGATCCTCCTGCCTCAGCCTCTTGAGTAGCTAGGACTACAGGTGTACCACTGCACCTGGCTGAACGCCTTCATTGTTTTAAACCCCTGAAGTGACAGGGTTCCTCCTTGCCTGCCTTCTTCCTCCTGCCCATTGCCTTGTTAATATGCTGTCACAGCCCCCATGGGGAGTCATAAAAAGGCCTCTTGCCACACTCTTTCATAAAAGATGATGCTACATGCTGCTAAAATGTGCCATTAAAAAAAAAAACTCACTGACAGGTACATTTATGCCTTAAGCAAAGAAACTTTAATATCAGACTATCTTTTATCCAGGGACAGAATCGCTTCTCTCTCCTTTCAGTACAGTATCCCTCTGTTGGTGGGGTAAAGGACATCTCTTCCAGGTTTTTGTCAACTGAATGTAGTATTTGGAGTTGGCAGATGTAACAAAAAGATGGAAGTTATCCTTAGGAAGGGAAAAAAAGATTATTCACCTTGACTGATGTATGGCAGTTTGACTTGATGGGAAGAATTTGGCCTGTTTCTCCATTGTTTGTTTGTGGTTTTTAACTCACATCTTTAAATGTGTTGTAGTTCCCCTCCTGTGGATTAGTTATGGAATCATTAAAGGTCATTGCCACATATGGGATTTGTGTGGGCTCACTCTGTATTGGGGAAGAGAACCCGTGTGGAACTGTAGTTCTTTCTCCTTGAAACTTTGTTAGCAAGAATCAATGTGGAAATGCAAAAAGAAAATAAAAAAGAAGTGAGACCCACTAACAAGGTTGTAAAATTCCTGAACTAGGACAAACTAGGAGGGTAATCCTTCCCTGGAATATTTGTTTACCTCTTCTAGAAAGCTCATACTGATTCAGTTGCCTAGGAGATTTTTAGGATTATTAACCTTGTAGTCTCTGTTCAAGACTTCAGGGCAAAAAAAAAAAAAAAACTACAGGGCTAAACTTTAAAATGAAAATGAGTTTGTTATATAATAAGGGCTTTACCAAGTTTGATAGTTTTATTAGGGGTGGCTAAAACATTTTAGAGCATAATTTCTGAATTTCACAGGCAGTTCAGTGCTTATCTCTTCTAAAGAATGGCTTAAGGAGAAAGTCCCACTCTCATTTTTTACTAAGTAATTATTCCATTTATATTCTTGTGTCATTTGAGTTCACAACATAAATCTGTAGTTGGGAAGTAAACAGTCATATCTGCAAAAGTGAATTTTAAGTGGGTCCTTCTTGAGTCAAAAAATAAGTCAACATACATTCTCCGCTAGCCTTGCAATTTGCAGTATTTAGGATGATGCATCTACATTAAAAAGGCACCAAGCCAGTCCTGTAATATTCTTATTTTCACTGAGTATGCTGTACAAATACATGTTCTGGTTTGGGATTCTATGTGGTGGGTTATTATAAACTTTATTAAGGTTGATGGTGAATAATCTGACAGACTTTTCTATAGGAGTCAGACTGAAAGCCTGCCCCCCACCCTTTTTTAGAGGCAGAGTCTTGCTAGGTTGCCCAGGCTTGCCTTGAATTCCTGGGTTCAAGCGATCCTCCCTCCTCAGCCTCCTGAGTAGCTAGGACTACAGGTGCACCACCGCACCCATCTGAAAGCCCCATCTTTAGCATATGCATAGCATACGCATTTTGCTCTTTTCACTTGGATCTTCATTCTTTCTGCCTGTTTGCCACCCCTCTAACCAGTCTCCTGAGTCTGAGGCATAGAACAGTCTGGCTCAATGTGCTTGGTTAATTGGTGCGTCATCTAGTCCTCGGAGACCCCTCTTCATCATGACCAGTGTTTTATTGAAGTGGTTTGAATGATGTGCTGAATGATGAAAGCAAGGACCATGGCTTAGAAAAATGTCTCAACATAGGTAAAGAACATAGTCAGAGAACAACACAAGGTCATTGTCACTGTCATCCAAGTAACATCATCTTCTGAAGTTTTTTTTTTTTTTTTTTTTTTTTGAGATAGAGTCTCGCTCTGTCACCCAGGCTGGAGTGCAGTGGCACAGTCTTAACTCATTGCAACCTCCGCCTCCCAGGTTCAAGCAATTCTCCTGTCTTAGCCTCCTGAGTAGCTGGGATCACAGGCATGCGCCACCACGCCCGGCTGATTTTTGTATTTTTAGTAGAGATGGGGTTTCGCCATGTTGGCCAGGCTGGTCTTGAACTCCTGACCTCAGGTGATCCACCCGCCTTGGCCTCCCAAAGTGCTGGGATTACAGGCATGAGCCACGGCACCTGGCCATCTTCTGAAGATTTTTTGGGCTCTATTATTTTGACAAAAAGAATTGTGAGTTTTAGAATTACCTTTACCAAGTTAAAAATAAACCCATGGAATAATAAATACGCTGTTCTCTGTACATGTAATATCATTTTTCTTCATCTCCCCAAGATACAGTTTAAATAACCATCCTTCATGATACCAACTCTGATATCTCCAGCTGAAGGTAATATCTTCTTCTTCTGACCTTCACCTGCATCTTCCTTGTGGCATGTAAATTGTCCACTTTGTATTACAGTAATTTATAGGCATGTCATAGTTCCTTATGACAGGATTCAAATATGATTCTCTCATAATCTTCTATGCTGTTTAGTACAATTCCATTGCCCTAGTGGGCACTCAGTAAATCTTTTTGACTCAAATTTTTCCTACTTTTGTAATGGTTTTTTTAAAGCAGTTTCAGAAAATAAAGATCAGAGTTTAAAGTGTGATGGAGTCTTTAATATAAATGCCCGTAAGTGTTTGGAGAATAGATCACAGTGTTGTGCTTGTGAAGAAGAGCTTTCAGTTTACCAAGGTATCAGATCCAGATTTGAATTCCACTTCAGCCAGCCTAAGCTATAGAACCTTCGGTAAATTACTTAACTTCTCTGAGCCTCAGTTTCCTCCTCTTTAGATGGGAGATCTATTTCAGAGCTTTTGGACAAAGTTCACAAGGGAAAAAAGCCATTATCCCCTCTCTTTAAAAGGAATTACCGTTTGAAATGTTTACATTTGAATCAGACTGCTAATTTGGTTAAAGATGGTGCAAGCTTTAGCTTACAGTTTCACCTCAACCTCCACTAAAAATAGCCATAACGTGATTTACACACGCACACACAGGCGTGCACGCACACACACACACACACACACAAAAGGATAATACCATAAAGAGAAAGGGAAAAGAGACAACAGCACTCAAGTTTTGAATATGAGACAACAGTAAACAACTGAGCAGGGCTGAGAATACAAGCAAGCAGGCAATCTGATATATTGTAAACACCCAAAGGGTCAGGAATTGGTGGGACGAGATATGTGGAGCCAGGAGTCAAGGTGGGACCAAGAGAGGAGAATTGCTTTAAAGTCAGTTTGACAATTATGATAAGACTAGTTAATCTTTCATTTATTACAAACTAATATGAATTGCTCATGAAAACCCAATAGAAAACAATTGTTAATGTACTGGAGTAAACACCATGGGTGGACACTCAATCTAACAAAACTGAGTGGAGCGTTTTCTGGAGCAAATAAAATAAGTGATACCTGGCACCATAGAAGTCTGGGTCCCATTACTACGTTCAGAGGCATTAAGTGAAGGTTTAGATTCTGAATGTTGAGACCTCCCACCCTGTTCCTAGGACACTCGTGATTACTTTACACTCAAAGATTACTTTTCAGGCAGGAGATAGCAGAGACTTTCTCTAGGGAAATCTGACTAGGAAGACTTAAAGATCCAGACGTTTGGAGTTCCCCCAAGGAAACAGCCTAGCTAAATCATGCTCCCAGGAGAGCCCTTAGTCTACAAGCCCCATCCATGAGCACAGTTTCCAGTGAGATTTTCAGTGCCTTACTCTTACAGAGACATTTGAGAAAGGCCTTTAGGGTCAGAACAGAGGCCTACAACAACTAAAAAGAAAAGCAATTTGGATGGCCAGAAAACTGTGCAGAGGGTAAAAAGTTCAAATAAACTACCAGTTGTATCCTCAGAGGACTAAAGAGAAAATAGTGCACTCAGAATATAAGAACAGGCTGCTGTAACAAAAGGAACTTTCAGAGAACAGCAAGAAATAGGAGAGAAATGAAAAAAGAACCAAGTCGGCCAGGTGCAGTGGCTCAAGCCTGTAATCCCAACACTTTAGGAGGCCGAGGCAGGCGGATCACGAGGTCAGGAGATCAAGACCATCCTGGTTAACATGGTGAAACTCCATCTCTACTAAAAATACAAAAAATTAGCTGGGTGTGGTGGCAGGTGTCTGTAGTCCCAGCTACTCAGGAGGCTGAGGCAGGAGAATGGTGTGAATCTGGGAGGCAGAGCTTGCAGTGAGCTGAGATCATGCCATTGCACTCCGCCTGGGCGACAGAGCAGGCTGTCTCAAAAAAAAAAAAAGAACCAAGTCATGAAGTTCATGACAACTTCTCATTAAAGAACCAAGTCAAGAAGTAACATGAAAAATAGAAGTTCCAGGAAGAAAGAACAGAGGAAACAAAGGGGAAGAAATCATCAAAGAAAAATTTTAAATTTTAATGTTATAACATGGGAAAAATATATGTTTGTACAAGATTGCCCTTCTCTTAGTATTCCTATAGAAAAAAAATCATTTTTTTTCCCCAAATGACATATGGCAGTGTTTTTTCTCAGAAAAAGTGAGTTTTTGTTGAGGATTAGTAATAGAAATTTTCCCAAGGAAAATTTACTATAAAAAATACAAATAATTGGATATAACTACCTTTTGTCTCATTGGAATGTACAAGCTTAACACATCTAATTTTTACATACACATATTGTTTAATGGATGCCAGATAAGACTCATTAGATATCAAGAAAATGAATTGTGATCTTCTATACGTATAAGTAAACACATAAACCATGTAGAGCTGTGTAAATGTAAATAAAAGTATTTAAAAGGTGGCATGGGCCATGTGTGGTAGCTCACACCTGTAATCCCAGCACTTTGGAAGGCCGAGGCGGGTTGATCACCTGAGGTCGGGAGTTTGAGACCAGCCTGGCCAACATGGCAAAACCCCGTCTCTACTAAAAATACAAAAATTAGCTGGGCATGGTGGCAGGCGCCTGTAATCCCAGTTACTTGGGAGGCTGAGGCAGGACAATTGCTTGAACCCAGGAGGCAGAGGTTGCAGTGAGCCGAGATCACGCCACTGCACTCCAGCCTGGGTGACAGAGTGAGACTCCGTCTCAAAAAAAAAAAAAAGTGGCATGGATCACCCAGCCCAGTACCCTTGACAGAAGCTTCTGGAGAAATTTGATGGCGAGTTTGTCATTTTGTCATTTTCTTTCCAATATCATTTTTAGATTCAAGGGCTGTTATCCTAATTTTTGAACTGTTAAAGAGCTTAGACTGGATTAACCAGAATTCAGTTCACATATTGGCACCAACACTTATAATCAGTGTGATCTTAGCCAGTTCAGTTTGTCACTCCAAGTGTCAGTTTCTTATGTATAAGTTGAAGGTAACATTAGAATTCATTCATTCCTTAAATATTTATTGAACACCTTTTACATGTCAAACACGTTATTAAGTGCTGGGATACATTGGCAAACAAAATAGGCATATTCCCTTTCCTTGTTGAGCCTACAATGTATTAAGGGAGGCAGAAGATAAACAATAATAAACACTTATGTTTTTTGAAAGGAAGATTAGAAATATATTCAATATTCTAGGCTTTTTCATGAACACTTTTATTTAACATTAGCAACCACATAAAGTTACTTGAAGAAGTAAGCCTTTTGAAATAGCATCTTATATGTATTGAGTGCTTACCAAGTAATAAGAATTATGAAACATTATCTAGCCTTGGCTCTTGCCTCTAAATATACAGAACTCATTTTCCCCCCACCCCTACCCAGCTGCCAGGGAAAAAAAAAAAAAAAAAAAAAAAAAAAAAAAAAAAAAAAAACCACCACCCTGACACAGCTGTTTCTAATGGGTGTGTGGTTGTGGCTTTGTTTGCTTTTCTAGCCCTTGGTGATTGTGAACTGGTCCGAGGGGTGACGGATGGCTCTGTATGCTCTGTAAGCAGCTGCCGTCAACTTTTCCACACCATAAAAATTTGCCATTTGGTGTGTTTCACTCAAATACTGATATTTTCTCTTCTTCTTTTTAAATATTTAGTTTCAAGAATGTGAGTGAAATCTTACTACATGTTGAATATTCCTAACCTGAAAGCCCAAAATTTGAAGTACTCCCAAATTCGAAATTTTTTGAGCACTAACTTGAACCTCAAAGGTCACACTAATGGGAGCATTTAGGATTTCAGGTTTTTGGATTGGGGATGCTGGTAAGTATAATGCAAACATTTCAAAATCCGAAAAAGGCCAATATCTGAAATATTTCTGGTCCCAGGTAGTTCAGATAAAGTATACACTCAACGTGGATCATGTTCAGTCTCCTGATCCAACTAGTGAAACATTTTACCTGTTGACCAAAGTTTTTGCTGAGGACCATCAAAAGGTGAAAGGATCTGAAGGGCCCAAAGACAAAGGAAATTTCCATGGAAGATTTTATAGGAAAGTGGGGAGGATGTAATTCTGGAATCCTTGTCATGGGTCCTCCCCTCCCACTGAAGGATGCTGAGGAAAAGAACATGTAACAGTTTCTGTCACTCATTCCCCTGCTCTTACTCCCTTTTCTGTAATTCTGTCTTGATTTTTTTCCACTGTCTTTTTTTTGGGCGGGGAGGGGGGGGGTCTAAAATTGTGTGTAACTTAATGCAAAAGGAGCTGTTAAAATGACCTTTGGCAGATGATGGATTGACTAGTTCAGTCCTTTGCAAGGTCTGTGAAGGGATCCAGCTGTCTCATATTACCATGCCTAAATGTGCATTTTCCAAGGTTGTCAGTGATTGTAGTGAATGTGAAACTGGCAGACAAAGTGAAGTGTTTCCCACTGAATAAAGCATTGTTGAGTTTGCTTTGTGTTCAGAGCTGTCGGGAACAACCATGAGATTGACAAAACAAGATGGAACAGGTGCTAGCAGTCCCAGCTAAGCATTTTGTTATTTTGATGGATTTCAGACTGATTTTAAAGTTTTTCCAACAGCACATACTCATATCATGTATACACACAAATACACAGAATTTGAAATTTAAAAAAAAGCAAAGTCTTGATATGAAGAATAAAGAAAGACAAAGCAGGCATTTGACAACCCATTTTCAGATGTTTGAAGGATTGTCAGTGGAGAAGCAGCAAGCTGATCTTTTATGACAAGAAGGCTGAACCTCCTGAAGCTAAAACAAAAGCCAAAAAAATAATAAACTCCCATGACTTTCTATTCAGTATAAAGAAGGATTTTCTGATGGATAGAACTCTACACTTTCCTCCTCAACAGTGAAATCATTTGCCTTTAGAGGTAAAAATGTCCCATCCCTGGGGACACATAAGTAGGGACTGAAGGACTGTTTGTCTCAGATTTTTTTCTGTAGAAGACACAGATATAAGGTTAGACAAGATGCAGTCATATATTCATTTGGTCACTCAGCAAATATTTTTTTGAGTGCCTAGTATGTGGCAGGCCCTGTGCTAGTCACTGGGGACACTGCTGAGAACAAAACTGACAAAATCCCTGCTTTAATGGAGCCTACATTTTAAAAAAGAATACTTGATCATTGTACCTTTTTAGACAAATAAGCGAGTTAAGCTGCACATGGTGACGCACACCAGTAGTCCCAGCTACTCGGGAGGCTGAGGCAGGAGGATCCCTTGAGCCCAGGAGTTTGAGGCTGCAGTAAGCTATGATCATGCCATTGCACTCCAGCAACCGAGCAAGACTCTGACTCTAAAAATAAAAAAGAAAATAAATAAACAAACAGGATGATATGCTAGGAGTAACTGAGTGGTATTGGATTACTTTTGAGTTGAGATCTGAAAGATAAGAAGGAACCAGTCTTCTGGTGACATGTCTCAACACTAAAATTCTGAGTCTATGATAATTTTGGGAACCATGTCTGCCAACTTTGAGATATCCAGTGGTAAAAACCACTGCTCCTAGAAAATTCTCTTATATGCCTTATGTTGTATTTAGAAACTAGAATTTTTTTTAACCTAAAGGGAGACTTTAACTTAAAGAGAGACTTCAGAGCTTGTTAAATCAGACCACTTCTCTTAGCAGTGAGGAAGCTGGTCTCCAGGGAACTGTGCAGAAGAGGACTGGAATCTGGGTCTTCTGATGTGAAATGTAGTGCTCTTTCCTCTCTTCCAAGCTCTTGACATCCTCTTGCTCAGTGTCATTCTAACAAGAAGGGTGACAACATCACACTTTTTTTTAATGTAACACTTAACAAAGCTATTTGGTATTCATTATCTCTTTCAAGCTTCTCCCCACTCTGAAAAATCAGCAACTTGAGGCACCAAATATTGTTTCACTTTATAAGCATCAAAGTTCCCATTTTGCAAATGAGGAAACTTAGATCCAGATAAGTTAAAGGACTTTTCTAGAAAGGTTAAGTGAATAGCTCAGGCAGCAGCAGTCAAGTATTCTGACTCATGGATTCAAGTCTGCTTCTTCCATTATGCTTTAGGAAAGTAGATCAAGTAGTTTGAAAAAAGAAGAGATGAATGGTAAATGGAACTGAGCAGGAAATCAGATAAAGGAAAAGACAGGTTAACTGTGACTCTGCTGGTCAGTTAAGACTGCTTTTCATAGGATTATACCTTACACTATCCCTGTAGCTGGTTTAGTTTCACCATATTTCAAAATGTGCTAGTTACCTTTCAGAAACTAAGGCCTAGTTTATTTATTAAAAAGAAACACAAATATTAACCTAATCTCCAGTATGTCTACTGTAATAGGAAGTAGGTAGGTAAGGATCTCATCTAATTAGTAAATATTTATCAAGTACTACCCAGTGTTGGCAGTAAGGGTACATACTTTGCCCTCAGTGACTCCTTGACTAATAGGTAGAAAGAAAAGTAAAAGTGCAATGGAAACATGTAGAACTGGGCACATGAGAGTGTGGGCTGACATGAGTGTCAGAGAAAGCATTTCAGTTATTGATTACTGCTTAATAACCTACCCAAAATTAGTGGCTTAAAATAACCATTTATTTACTCAGGATTCTGTGGGTCAGGAATCCTAGCAAGGCCCAGCCATTCTATGTAGCATCAAAAGCCTCTCATGAGGTTGCAGTTGGGTAGTGGTTAAGGATGGAAGATCCAAGATGACTTCATATGCGTGTATGATGCTTTGGTGGGGATGGCCAGGAGTGGCTGGGACCCTCCTCTCCCATCTCCCCTTCATGGCTAGCTTAGACTTCCTTTGTGGTGCCTGGTGTTCTAAGCTGTGATTGCAAAAGCTACAGATCTGTTAAGGCCCAACCTCAGAAATTACACAGGATTGTTCCTGCCACATTCTGTTGATCACAGTGTAGGTTCTTGATGATGAAACAACAGGGTCACATTCCAAAAGAGCATCTTGGGCTGTAGATTCTTTTAAGGCCATCACTGGAAGCACGGCACATTTCAGAAAGCTTCCTAGAAGTGCTGGTATCTAAGTTAAGTTTTGATGAATGGGTTAGATTTGGAGGGCAGTGTTCCAACAGGAGCAGCAGCATGTACAGAGGCCAGAAGTATGAGAATATCAGCTGTTTATGACTCCCTTGACTTTGAAATGTCTAGAAATAGAAATGTGAGTGAAGTTGAGCTCAATAGACTAGACCCCAGCCCTGATGTTTTCTCAAATACCCACAGCTGCATGATTTCAGAGAATGGTTTAGAACTGGAAGCCCCCAAAGCTAGGTCTCTAAGAGACCATTGTCATGATTAGGGGTGCCTGCTGTCAGAGGACACAGGTCAGCGTTACACAAACTTTTTAAAAGGGTGTTATTTCTTAATTCTTATTATGAGGATTCAAATGGCTGTTGAAGTAAACACGTGAGATGGGGTTTGGGGCAGTTAACTCTAATCATTTTTAAAAAATTTTTATGGGGGCTGGGTGCAGTGTCTCATGCCTGTAATCCCAGCACTTTGGGAGGCTGAGGTGGGTGGATCACTTGAAGTCAGGAGTTTGAGACCAGCCTGGCCAACATGATGAATCCCCGTCTCTACTAAAAATACAAAAATTAGCCAGGCGTGGTGGTATGCACCTGTAATCCAAGCTACTTGGGAGGCTGAGGCAGGAGAATCGCTTGAACCTGAGAGGTGGAGGTTGCAGTGAGCCGAGATCATGCTACTGCACTCCAGCTTGGGTGACAGAGCGAGACTCCATCTCAAAAAATATTTTTTATGGGTACATAGTAAGTGTACATGTGTATGGGGTACATGAGATATTTTGATACAGGCATACAATGTGTAATAATCACATCAGGGTAAATGGGGTATTCACCTCAAGCATTTATCATTTCTTTTTGTTACAAACATTCCAATTATACTTTTAGTTATTTTTAAATGTACAGTAAATTTTTGTTGACTGTAATCACCTGTTGTGCCATGAATTACTAGAATTTTATTCATTCTAACTTTATTTTTGTACCCATTAATCATCCCCACTCTTCTCCTTGCCAACTACCCTTCCCAGCCTCTGGTAACCATCATTCTACTGTCTATCTCCATGAGTTCAATTCATTTAATTCTAATCTTTTTCTTCCTTGGCAACCTTTTAATCTTTAATAAGAAATAAGTCATCTAAATTCATCATAATGGTTAAATATGTGAAAATGGTAGCTACTGATCAGTCTAAGCAGTGATACGTAAGAGGGCCTTGTCGGTTAAGACCATCAGATCCTAATACTAAAGAGTTTGTGTACCATGTTCATTAAGGTACTGTGGCATAGAAACAAGCAAACCAGGCACCTCCAGGTTGACCAGTCTCCAGGAGAGATCAGCATCAGGGGATATATCATAATCAACAAATGCTTATTGTCAACCTACTGCAAAATGCTATTTCTGATGTCATGGAGAACATAAAAGTTTATGATTTATACTTTGCCCTTAAACAAGTTAAAATTTATAAGGCACTAGAAACACAGGAAGATGTAGAACACTGGGAACTGTCACCAGGAAGGATGTGATACACACTGCCCAGTGAAGGGTATGGGCAGAGAGTGGTATGAAGTTTGTCTACAAAATTGTGGGTAGAGTCTTCTAGGATTAACTCCTGACAGAAGAGGAGAAAAGGAGGAACAATTTGAATCAAGTCCTGAAAGAATAGGTAGGCTGGAAATCTATCTACTCATCTGTTGCAACATCTCAGATTCCAGATAGGAAAACTGCCCTCAGTGTTGCATTTTGAGCTATGCAAACATTTGAAGAACATTCATTTTTCAATTAGAAAAGTAAAATGGTTGCTCTCATTAATCATGACTAAACTTTATGTCTCTTTAACTCAGAGTCTCTCACGAATTTCCTCTCAGTGCACAGAATACCATGGAAAAAGACCTTTGCCATTGTTTTTAACTGACTTTTAGAGATTTAGTTATATACCCAGATATTTTCATTAGTATTCTGTGAGTAGAGCTGTTGATGGAAATCAACATGGAACGGTTAAAGTGTCTGTAAAGCTACAAAAGTGGGCATTTTTAAATTGAGGGTTTTTTCCCCTTTTTTATTTATCAATTAGCTGCCTTATACTTACTATGGCCTAGTTAAAATTGTATATTCCATTTAAACACAGTATCTAACCAAAAAGTTACTCAGCTAGGGTTTTTGGTTTAATGTAGTATAGACAGATTAATATACACATACACAAACATAAACACACGCATATATATACACACACATATGCTTATATATACATAAGTATACACATACATACACACACATATGCTTATACATACATAAGTATATACATATATATCTATATATATACACACTTACACACACACAAGGAAAAAAAGAAAATGATGTAAGTGAAATAGCGTATGGGAGAGGAAGGAGAATTATGTGTTTTGGGACAGCAGGGTTAGAAAGACCAAGAAACATTTAAAGATTCAAAACAATAGCATTTAGCCTGAAATCTACTTTTTATCATCTTTACCCAGCCATCAGAATGAAGAAAGACAGTGTCCAGCTGTAGCAGTAGTTTGGTAGCAGGAGAATTAGACGTAAAGGTACTAATGCCTGAGGGGTGGGTCATGAATTAATAATTGCTATGTGGCGGATGAGCCCCGTCAGAAGAGCTGAAAATGAGGAAGTTGCCTTGCAGAGCGCTATCAATCACTCAGTGACCATAACTTCCAGTAATTAGTGTATTTTATGGGCCTTTGCTTCAGTGGCTCGAAAGCACATATGCTCCAGTCACAGCTAAACTTTGCTGGAGTAATATTCCAGGATGATTTATCCTCCTGCTGCACTGGGATATAACCCTATATTAGGTGAAGATTGTGAACTAAGCTGCAATAAAGTGTAAGTTTAGGTACAGTTTGCCCAGGTTGAGACCTCAATGTATCACGCTTTTCAGCATTCATGGTTAGGCTATAGCAGGCAATCATTTTTAACAGTGAAACAAATAAAGCAATTAAAGGAACAGCATTAGGATATTGTACTTGTGAATTACTGTTGCCCTCTTCCTGTTTAAGTGTCTACTGTAATAAGCCCATTTCTTTTTATTTTTTTAAAAACGTACTCTGTTAGAAACATTTGTTCGTTTTTTGTTTTTTTTAAGTTCCAGGGTACATGTGCAGGATGTGCAGGTTTGTTAAGAAGTATTTATCTGTAATGCTGTCTTTTCTCCCTTATTATTAATAATCTGGGACAGAATGCAGAACCTTCTGAATGGTAGATAAGTGCTTGATTTATTTATTTGTGCTACTGTTTGGGCTCCTTAAGTAAGTTTATATCAGTGGACTTTGGTGAGGACAAGTAGTTGTTGTTTTTTGTTTTGGTTTTAATATTGGCACCCGTTAAGGCGCACTCCTGATGGGACCCTCACATTTAGGCTCTTTCTACACAAAGAAAAAACATTAGTTACAAGCTCTCAGACTACTTGGCACTTTTCGTATAGGCATAATGAGTTATTTGCTGTGGCTCACCCACTGCACTAGAAGTCTATGAGGTCTTTGCAGACAGGGTCCTTTGCCATTGCCAAAACATTTGTAGAGCCCAGTGTTCCTAGGCTCTTAACAAGCTTTGCCACCAACTTACAGTATGACCTTGAGCAAATTAATTAAGCTGCTGGTGCCTCCATTGGGCCATAATTCTGTTTGCGCTGAAGAAATCCTTAGAGTTTGTAGGAAAGAGTTTGTGAAAATAAGCATAAATTGAAATAGGAAAAAATACGTGTGGGTTCACTATATTCTCTTGAGAGTAAAGTATTTCTTCATCACTTTTAATGATGGTGTCTTTGAATTTCCTTAAATAGACACCAGTGATAAGCTAATTTCACAAATGTAGATGGAAGGGTGTACACAGTTTGATGCTTTCGTTACATTTATTATCCCATCTTTAATTTGCAGTGTATTATGATATCATACAAGTTAATAATAATAAAACAAACTAATTGTCTTTAATTAAAGTGAATTAGATTTTGATTTTAATATATTTGCTGTAGTGAGTACTGATAATGTGGAGGGTCCCAAAGGTTATTAGGGCATGTTTCTGTTAGGCCTGATGGTGTTAGTAATAATCCTCTTCCTCATAGTTCTAGACATGAACAAATATGTCACTTCATCAGTCTCTGTTACTCGCACTTATGCCCCTCCACAGGGGTTGCAGATTCCACAAGTTATCAGCTAATGGCGTTATACATTAAAAATTGAAGCTTTCCTCACTCTGAGGCCTTTCAAGGCTTTGTTCTTAAGCCCCAGACACTTTGGAGTGCAGCTGCAAACTATAGGCAGAAGATTAAATTAATTTGTAACTCTTTTTTTTTTTTTTTGGTCCTGCATTACTAAATCCTCCACATTTAATTGAAACCCTACTTCAAGACGCTTTGTGTTTCTGTGTTCTTTGTTGTCAGTTTAACCTCCAAAGCACTTTAACACCGGTAAATTGCTGTTATATCCTTTGGATTGTTTTTAAACCATTCAGTAAGAGAACAGTGAAATTGATACATGGGGAAAAAAGTAAAATCTTAGAGTAGATTTTGAGGTATTTAATATTTATTATGGTTCTTCACCAGCATAGTTTCAGATGATTTAAACTCTTTCTCTAGGACTGTGTAAATTGGTCTTGGGATGAAATCTCACCTAGGGAATTTTATGTAATCCAGTAGTTAAGTCTGATTTTTTAAAGTTTCCCTGTGTCTGAGTGTTCCAAAGTGGCTGCTGCATTTCTATAAAATGAAGATTTAACTGCAGCGCACAATCTAAATGCAAAATCCTTAGATGGAAATTTAATTGTGTAAAATGTACACAAGGTAATTAAGAACAAATTTTAGAACATTTCAGACTATAAAGTTGTCATTCAGCTAGATCACTGGCTATATTGAAAATGCTTATTTTCAATTTGTAGTTATGCCGAGAAACATAGAATATGTCTAAATTAAGAATAAAAAAATCCAGTGCTCTTCAGTAGAACTGTAAATTTAAAACTACTCCCACAACATAGTTGATATTCTGAGTAGGAGACTTGATTACTAAAAACATGTCTTGAATTTGTGTCCTGCACTTGTTTTCTGGCTACAATGTTTGTTTTCTCTTTATCATTTATGATTCTATGACAATAATTATTTTTATTATCAACAAAAGCCATTCTGTTGCTTTGTCAATAAATAACTTCTTTTTGTTAAAATACAAAGATTTTTATCGTGTTATATATTTGGCAATTGTTATGATCTCTCTTTCACGCACAGGCACACATACAAATATATTTGTTATTTAAATTATAAAATCCAACATATTCAAATGCTGCTAACTGAAGAGCATTTTATAGATTGTGGTTGGCCAAGTCAAAGGTCAATAAGATGACACTAAGGAACGTCCTGTTTTTAGAGTGAGATGTTAGTTGTTTACTGCTATTTAAGTGTATCCCCAACTGGTAACACTTCAGACCATTCTTTTTCAGCCTTTTACATAATAAACGTCCCGCAAGAGAGTCTTCAGCAGTTTGCTAAATCTTAAGTATTTGGAATTAAAGTGTACTTTTTAATTTAACATTAAATAGAATCCCTTATCTCTACCTCCACCCCCTGGCCCCAAATAAATAAAGCTTTTCCAAATCTTTTACGATGTGAGCTGCTCCCCTCCTGGGAATGAAAAGGATATGAGACCCATTTGATGAATTGCTGGCACTTATATGTGTCTACATTTTTCAGTACACTTTTTAAAAAAAAAAACTAGACTTAAGCTGCCTATATTACATGCTTCTTTTGTAAAGATGATAAAGAGAGCAAAGATTTCTATTGGCATAGGCCTAATCTATTTGCTTTGTTGTGATTCTTTTTTTTTCTTTCCTTTAACTGTTAACCTATTTATAAATCTAAATCTACATACAAAGGTCATTGGTTGGCTGAACTTAAACCATTTTACTCAGTAAATTTAATTAAGAAAATACAGTGCAACTCATAAGCAAATGAGTTTTTTCCTAGTTTTAAACCAAACCACCCTCTTGAGTGCTGATTGCCTTGCCCGACCCCTAGTGATACAGAAACAGGCAAAATTAAAAAGGACATTAAAGCTTCATTAAATCTGAAACACATTTAGTACAGTGACATATCTGCAGGCCATTTCAGAGAAGATTACATACTCTCTTTTGTAAGTTTCCTAATTTATAATACCTTGACAATAAAAACTAGGGAAATGCAAGTAGATTAATAGACCAGTAGGGGTAAAAGATACAGAATGGCCCCAGGTCTGCCTGTGTGTGAAATATTCACTTGGAGCATATGTGCTCCTTCTTCCCCATAAGGGTCCCATGTTTATTTTGACTTTTGACAGCCTCGTGGAGAACTCGTTCTTTTTTATTTATTTATTTATTTATTTTTTGAGTTAGGGTCTCACTCTTGCTCAGTCTGGAATGCAATGGCATGGTCAAGGCTCACTGCAGTCTCTACCTCCCCGGGCTCAGGTGATCCTCCCACACTAGCCTCCCAAGCAGCTGTGACTACAGACACGTGCCACCACACGCCTCTCATTTTTGTAGAGAACTCGTTCTTCATGCAGCCATATCTACTAAGAAACCATTTTCTTTTTTACCTCCTCCCAATAGAACTTGATAAAAAGAGTTCTAGAGCCTGGCTATATGTTTCCTTCTACTTTTCTATAAGACAAATAGTGTGGAACATAAACACTGTAGCTGCATTAGACCTAGAGGGATAGAGGCATACATAGAAGGCAGCGGTCCTCTCCTGGGGCCTTAAAATGACTGCTTTCAGTGCCAGCCTAATAGTGCACTTGCCAGTTTTCACTGGCATAGATTCCCAAGTCTTTCAACAGCCCAGTGGTGACACTCTGTAAGAGAGGAAGTGATTGTCATCATGCTGCAATTGCAGCGGTACCTACTAGTTAAGATCAAAGAACCATTCTCTGTCTTCTAACTCTAAAGAGGTCAGACCTGCAAGATGTCTTACAAGCAGTCCTCCCAGGAACATAGTTAAAAGGTAGGACTGAGGTTCCACAAGATGTCAGGAAATAACACTGAAAGCAAAGCCAGACCCATGAATGATGAGTTCACCAGTTCAAGCACTGGCACCTGTTCCCAAGCAGACTGGTACAGAGAGGCTCCCAGCTGACCAAACTGCACTAAATTTTCTCTCTGTTGTCTTGCATGGCATTGTCTTACAGAGCAAACAAATAACATCAGCCATCCTTTTTTACCTTGTACAGTCATGACAGAGAGGGCCAAGTAGATGAATGCACATTCCCAAGTTGGCTGGAGCCTGGCCTCTCTGTAGAACCATGACCACTTGCAACCGGAAGCTTTGTGTTGAATCGGGAAGAATTCACATTTTTTGCTGTATCTCACTCCGTTTTAAGCCGTCCATTTACCATTGCTTAATTCTTTAAATTGCAAGAACCAATGGTCAGTGTTGGCACCTGCCAGCTAGTTTAGATCTTGACTATATGTGTGGTGGGCAAGTTTCCTCTGTCTTTAAGCCATGTGAACAGAATTATTCCATGGTCCCTGATGACATGCTGAGCATATACCCAAGTGAATGGCGCAATGCCTGTGGAAGGTCTTGAGCTAGAATGTTCTAAGTGCTTTGTAGTAGTTATTAAGCTATTAGCTTTTTTAGGTGTGAGACTCTCCTCTTGCTGGTTTTCTAACTCCAAATGGAAGTATATGCAAAAGTCATAATCCACAGATCACTGTGATACCTGTTAAGACACTGCAGACTGTTGCAAATGCCTAGTTCACCCACCACAGTAGACCATAGTAATTCCTCCTGAATCAGTGTGCACACTCTGATTGGCCAGAAACAAACTATTTTCAAAATGTAGGGCAAACCTACGAACCTGTATTGAAAGGAGGTGGGGTGGGGACAGAGGATGGGAGAACTGAGTCTCTCCCTTTTCCCTCCCCGTACATAGACAACAAACATAATCACACAAAACTTCGAAAGGGAGTTTGGCAAACATCTACACTCTCTTTCTTTCACCCCATCTTGTGATGTTTTTGTTATGTACAGTGGAAGAGATTAATGATATCCATCAAATGAAATGATGATAGTATACCTATATCTTGAAAATCCATACACATATCAGTGTATATTTTGTGTACAAGATATGAGTACAAGGTAATGAAACTAGGTATTCTAAGACATACATATATACACATACACACAAGCATATGTGCAAATGAGTGTGGGCCTTTTCAAAGTAGTCACTTTACGAGGTCATAATGTTTATTCCTGTTACATGGCTATTGTTCATATTGGTTTTAGAACTTTGATAACTTCAGCATATTCATGTCTAAGCAACAAAATATTTAGTTTTTGTATGTGGCTTTGGGTTTTGGTAATATCCATAGGCTATTCAAACCTTAGTCTACAAATAATTTACATGATGAACAAGCTGAGGGGTATAATTTTAAATCCAAGATAAGGTGCATACTAATAAAATGAAATAGGTATTCTGTTAATTGAAATAATTCTAAAACAATTACAAAAGGAGAATTCAGAAATGTTTGAGCAGTGTCAGTGTCTTTGAAATAAGCGCAGAACTTCTCAAGATCTAGAAAGGCAGTTTCATATGCAGGAAGGAACACTGGATTAAGTTGCAAATCTTAGGGTCAGTTCCTAGGCTTCCACTTATTAACTGTTTGGGAGCTACTTCAGTGGGACTCTGGGTTTTAATCTTTGAAGTGGGTTGATGCTCTCTTAGATCCATTAGCGTTAAAGTCCCTGATGTTGCGATTCTGCTTTGAAAGTAATTACAAATACATGTAAATGATGTCAGGACTGAGGATTGGCCACATTATAAAATTGCAAAGTTTTGCCACTATTTTCTTTAAATAGGTTTTTGTATGTTTGTTAAATTTTATCTTTTTGGCCAGGTTCAATGGCTTAGCCCTGTAATCCCAGCACTTTGGGAGGCCAAGCCAGGCAGATCACTTGAGGTCAGGAGCTCAAGACCAGCCTGGCCAACATGGTGAAACCCCATCTCTACTAAAAATACAAAAATTAGCTGGGCATGATGGTGTGCGCCTGTAATCCCAGCTACCTTGGGAGGCTGAGACAAGAGAATCACTTGAACCCAGGAGGCAGAGGTTGCAGTGAGCCGAGATCACGCCACTGCACTCCAGTCTGGGTGACAGAGCAAGACTCTGGCTCAAAAAACAGTTTATATCTTTTTGCTTTATATCAAGCCTATTCCTGGTTGGATCATTTTGTTTTTACAGGTGAGGATTCAAGGATCAAAATTAAGTGACTGGCTCAGAAACAGAGCAGTTTACAAATCAAGTTAGATTGGAAGCTTTCAGACTTAGACCTACAGTTCTGACTTCACAACCTTGAAATGGCCATTTTTCCCACTAGTGGGTAGAAAATGGATGAAAAAACTTTAACAAATGGATGAAAATAATGGCGCAGTTTTCAATTTCATAATAATGTCCATTCCCCACTTCCTACTACCCTCCATTTATACTTGTAACTGAAAATTTTGTGGGTTAGTAACAATTAGATGTTCCCATTTTACAAGACTAAAAGCAAAGAGTTTTTACATCTCTGTCTAGAAGAAACTGTCACACACACGTAAATGTGAATAATGCCCATATAGCTGAGAATATTACTAAGGGAAACCACATAAGGATAATGTTTTGTTATTAAAATTAAAATATTTTATCAGGGGTGCAACATCGTCCATTGAAAATGTCCATTCTAAATACAGCTCTTAATGTAATTACAGCAATAATTTAGTTTGTACATTCAAGGTTGTGAACTTTTTTATATTTGCTGGATGCAGTTCTGAAATTTAGTACTTGTCTGTCTTAAGGAGATCTGCCCTGCATGCAAATCTATAACTAGACAAATATTATTTCCTTTCCCAGCTTGCTCTTGGGAGGTTTCCATATCCTCAGGTAAGATTGTTCATTACTGCTGTTTGCCACTGTGACATTCATTCCTATGTATGAAGGTGCAGGGAGCAATTGTGAACATTTGAGCCACATACAAATAAATCTGTCCTGTTAAATTGAAAAGTGGTATCTTAAAGGGTTCATTTAGAAATCTCTATTGATTTTTGATTTTTTTAAACTCCTGATTTTTTCTTCTTGTTAAAGGTTGAGAGTGATCATTGTGCTTTTCCTTTGTGTGACATTCGGGATTGTTTTTTTTCCTGGTCCAATACCATGTACTCATTTTGAGGTTGGAGGAGAGAGCCAGCTTTTTCTTGATACACTTTTTAAGCTCTTAAATTCACTTAAAATTTTTTGAGTTAAAAGATTAAGACAAAGGGTGAAAGCATCTAATCTAGGTCATTATTTTTGCTAGGCAAATATATAGGCCCCCAATTTTATGAGTGTAATTTTGAACATATTATTTAAAAATATTTTGCTCCCTCCTGTCTACATTTGTAAGGAAACAAAACAGTCCATTATAGTAGCATTGCTGACTCTAATCTTTATTAAAATTTCTTTAAGATTTTTATTATAGAAGGGTACCAGCACTAAAATAGAAAGCTATTTTGTGGTTTGAAAATGATTCCCCAGTTTGTGGGGGAAATAAGTGAAATGTCTAGAGGGATGAAAAATGAATGGTTTGACTGTTTTCCTCTGGTTGATGTTCACTGTTTTTCTGGCATCTTGGTCTGTACAGGCCAAAGTGCCTAGAGGCATGTCTGATTTAAAGGTGGTGTTGGTCTCTGCTCTTTAAGCATCTATTAACTTGCTATTATTATGCAAATAAGTGTTGTATTACACATACTAATTTATGCATGGTTAGATTATGCAGATGCATCACAAACATGGTTATTGAATAATAGGATGGGGCTCATTCTCTCTACCATCTTTATAAGCAGTTTTAAGCAAATTCTCCTGGTACCAATGTGGACATTTAAAGACCCTTTACTCAATGAAATGTCTCTTTCGTATTCTTTTGCTTTCATAGTTAAAGCCATCAGATAAGTGGAAGAGAAATCGTCCAAGTTGTTAGGTTCAAGAGTGTTAGTCTCACTTTTCAAATTCATAGACTTTTTTGTTTAAATGTAATCTTTTCCTTATAGAGAAAATCTAAAATGCAGTTGCTTGGCATGAATGCTGGCATTTAGTGAGATTTTAGTGTATATAGCCTTGCTGCTTAGCTCTAGGTAACCCATCAAATTAAAATTACATTTTCAGGATTTATAGCTCATTAGAATATTTATCTTGGTAAGCTTCTTATTCTGTCAGTAATTTCTAAACAATTCAGCTTGGCCAATTTGTGAAATCCCCTAAAATTTTGAAAGTGAACTCACAAGCCCTATGCAGTATATTTCTCAAACAAATCTTAGTAGAAAACTTATAAGCCATCCAGTAAAAATTCCAAAGGTTGAGAATGTAGCAATATTCTTGAGATTCCTAATGTCTAGAGTAGTTAATCAGTGAGATTTGATGGGTGATGAGTCTAAGAAATGGATTTTGCCATGGCCAGGTGCAGTGGCTTACGCCTGTAATCCCAGCACTTTGGGAGGCCGAGGTGGGCGGATCACGAGGTCAGGAGATTGAGACCATCCTGGCTAACATGGTGAAACCCCGTCTCTACTAAAAATACAAAAAAAAAAAATTAGCCGGGCGTGGTGGCGGGCACCTGTAGTCCCTGCTGAGGCAGGAGAATGGCTTGAACCCGGGAGGTGGAGCTTGCAGTGAGCCGAGATCACGCCACTGCACTCCAGCCTGGGCAACAGAGCAAGATTCCGTCTCAAAAACAAAAAAAAGAAATGGATTACTGCCACATTTGACAAGTGAAGCACATGAAAGCTGTGGTCAAATTTGAGAAGAGGCTATTTACCTTTGCAGTATGGTTTTCCTGAATGTCTAAATATATCTTTACTTGATCAGTCAAGTGGAAGTTGGAAAATTCTAATACTATGCTGAACTCCCTAGTTAGCAACAACCTTTATACCAGAGTTGGGGCGGGAAACAACTGTATTCCTTGAATCATGATAGAATGTTGTCACCAAATTGTTACTTCTATCTGAAATAATAGAAGCAGCTTTGATGCCGTTAGGCCTATTTCCTAAGTTTTTCAACAGAAGTTGGGGTGCGTCGTTGCTAGAACCACTAATGACTTTTGGTGGAGTTGGCATTTATTTTACAGGCTTTGTACTATAAGCTGAAGATTGGGAAAGGATACTTTATAAATGCCTTTCCTACCCCTCCCTTATGCCCTCAAAAAAAGCACATGAAGAAAAATGTGTATTTTTATAGTGTCACTGAGGCTGAGTTATGGAATAACACCTTCTCTTTGGCCCACGTTATGTCATTTGAACTCCTACCACTCTGTGAAATAGCCTCCCCTCATAAATTGGACAAACAGAATGGCTGATTTGCTCACTGTTAAAACTGTGACTGGTTTGGTTTCTTTGAATCCCAAGTGCAGTAGGCAGGAGTGAATCATAGACTCTTAGAGTTGGAAGGGATCTTAGACATCATCAAATCAAACTTCTCTACAATGTCTCTGAAAAGCAAACATCCACACTGCTTGAACACTTCCAGTGACAAGAAACTCACTATCTTACAAAGCATCCACAGGGTCAAAGCAGTGTTCTATTTATCAAGCTGAGAACTATCTCATCCTAAGTGTCACTCACTAGTCTGATCCTAGAACACATGAGAGCCTTTCATATATCCTTAAGATCACATTGGTTTGATTGTTCCTAGGACTAGGGACAGTGCCAGGGAATTGCTGCTGTGAACCTAAAGTCTAATCAGGGCACCAGACCTGAGTTGTCTTCACTAGTGGCAAATTGAGAGGAGTGGCCTATTGGAAGGAGCCCTGGACCATGAGCCAGAGTATTAGAATTAGAATTAGGTGCTACCACAGTCTCACTGCAGGTCTTAATTGTTGCTTTGTAACTCTGAGGTGTCAGTTTCCTCATCTCTAAAATGAGGATTCTAATGCCTACCTCTTCTATCTGATTAAAGGAGGTATGCTGATCAAATGAGACTATGGATATGAAACCACTCTGAAAAGTACAAAGGGCCACCCATCTGGATCAGATGTTGGGCTGCAGCACAAAACAGAATTTCCCAGCTATCAATCATAGGTTGTAAAAGGATGTTCTTAGCAACATGCCAGCCACAATTGGAGCAGAGTATAAAATGAGCAGAGGGTAAAGTGGGGAGGAGGGGCCGGCTTCAAGACTTGTCTTTCCCCCAGCTCAGTGTCAGTGCTGCTGACAGCATCATTAGCAGCCCCTCTTCCTGCTGGTGACACAGTGTGTACCCAGTGAGGTCGCAGAGAGGGAGGAGTGTTGGGAAGATACTAGGGACAGTCAGTGCCCTGGGAGCAACATAAAGGTTAAAGGGCTGGGTTTTTGTTGAGATAGCCATTCTGTATGAGTTTCATTGTTTTGTGGGTTGGGTCTTTGTTATTTGAAAGCACTGTTTTAGTTTCCTTTAGGCCTTTGGGTTGCATAACTTCCTTGGCATGCAGTTTAGGGTTCTAAAGAAAAAAAACATGAGGAGCACAGTCTTATTACTACTGCCTATAACAGGAAAAACAATAGTGTCTTGGCTTCACCTGGCACCTTTCCCACATAGGGTTCCAGTCTCAGGCTGTTACCTGACTCAGGCTGTGCATTCTACCTGCAGGGACTTATTTCCAGCCTCTAGGTGAGCCAACTCAGGCTCAGAGAGGCAAAGTACCTTGCTTTAGGCAGGAATGGGTACAGTTAGGTCTAGGACTTGCAGACAAATAAGCCAACTCCCTGGCTCTTTAACTTCTTAATTCGTTTGGCTATTCATACCCCTGTTCTCCTTTCCACTCTGCCCCACAACCCTTCTTCTAGTTTGCCCTCTCTGCCCTAGGGAGGCCTCTTGTATAGATGAGAAATGCTGAGCATTGGAGGGTTGTGCCATTGTGGATGGTGACAAGACCATTCCCCAGATCCCACTTGCTTTTCTTACCATGTATTTAGCAGAGTAACGGGAGATCCAGAGGGACCCAGAGCCCTCACTGACCCCAGTGCCATTAAATTCTGGGTGCTTGTGAAGCATATTCTGCAATAGGATAATGAAAAATTGCATTTTTAAATATCTTGCGAACAGTTTCTCAATTTCTGGAACAATTTAGCTTTAATAGTAATCTGGAAAGATGTGAAGGTCTAGACAAGGACTGGAGCTGCCTATAGTTAATCATGTAGATCCAAATTCAGTTGACTTAAAAAACATAATGGTGGGCAATGGTTTGTTTAATGACACCATAATTTAGGAGAAATGAAAAGGATTGCCTGCTAAAAATTGTCATCCTTCATTCAAACTTTACAACAGTGCCCTGCATTAGGATGATAGCAAATCCATTAAGGAGACTTCTCAGGGGATGCATCAGCTCTGGCATTGGGAAATTTGGCAAGCAAGATGCCACAGGAAAGTGAAGATAATACAGACACAAATGTATTTAAAGTACTTTTGCATGTATAAAAATACTGTTCTTCTTTTGGCTGCAGTTCCTGATCTTGGTTAATAAATTACATCAAAATGACCTGAAGTTAAAAAAAGGAAAAAAATCTGAGCAAATAGTGCCCCTGGTATTGTAAAGCTTTGAATGTTTTCACACCCCATTAATTTATTACTTCTCTTTCTTCATCTTTAAATTTCATTTTTTTTTTCAAAAATTCCGACTCCCCGCTGCTGCAGTGATTTTCATCTTGTTGTTAATTTTCCCTGCTCCATATGGAGCTCCAGACATTTCACCTGGAGGCTGTACTAGATTTTGCTGTAGTGATCGTACTTCCGGAGGCCAAAACTGTCATTTAGGGTTCCTGGTGCATCTGTCTGCGCCAGGCTTTTCACTGGCATGGGAGAGTGTGAATAACAAATTGGATGCACCTGAGATTCGGATGATTAGTGTGTTTTGTGAATCTCCACGACTTGTAAGCAGATAGCTCTGTGGGGAGGGGGGGCTTAACAGCGACTGTGGGCGAATCTGTACTCACACCTTACATTTGGGGCTTTGCAAGGGAAGTGCAAACATCCTAGGCAGTCTGAGTGCAGAGAGAGTAACAAATATTTCATCCTGCCTTGTCATTGATTAGAAAAGAGCCTTTAATTTCATTTCACCCCATGTTGTGATTAATTTGCATTCTTTGTCAGAAGTTAATGGAGTTTTTTATGGTTCACTCTGAAATCCTTGAAGACATCAGACTTGATCTGATGTTTATACAACCGCCAGCGGAATTTTTTCGTTTGATTGATGGCAAGCTTGATGTTATTCCAAACGGCTTTTTAAGCTGTTTTTAAGAATTATTTGAATAAAATGCAAGCAAGATATTCTTGTAACGATCCAGTTTATCTGTTAAAAATCTGTTTCAAATAAGATGATAAGTAGTAAAAAAGGATCAAAAAGATAAGAGAAATAGTGAATAGTGATGTTATTTGTTAAAAACACATAAGAATGGCATTCAAATAAATTATTGCAGTATATGGAGAAGATCACTTTTATTGGGAAAAAAAAATACCATCATCTGGCCAAATAGAATAATTTGGACTAGGGTAAAAGGAAGGTCTGAATCTTTGGGATCAGAAACTTTTACTACCAATTGGCTAATTCTCATTTATTCTGCCAGCTTTTGCCACCAGTGTACAAAATAGAGATCTACTTTACTTAACTCAAGGAGACAGGGCTGTCAGGCCTGTTAGCTGAACAAAATGATGACATATTGCTTGTCTCAAAGAGGCATTCTTAAATCCCAATACAAGTTAAACATAGGTAGATAATAAGTGAAAAATATGCATTCTTAATGATATAACGACTGGCACCTTCCATAGATAGTTCAGAAATGAAAATATCCTGTTGTTAAAACCAAGATACTTCTGTCATCCTTGGGTAAGAGAAATGTGTGTTCAACCCCTATATACTACATATCAAAGTATGAGAGGAGCTGTAGGTGGCATTTGCTTCAGAACCTCCTGCTATTAACCAAGGAAATACGTTTTGCAAATGCTTTTTGATTACCAATAACATTTGTTTGATTTGGGAGCTTTGCCTTGCTTCAGCAGATTCTTGCTGTGCTGTGACTGCTGCTAGTGAGACTTACTCATAGGTCAAAAAGCTACTTATCTGAGCACTTTCATTTAAAACCGATTAATTTATTTGCTGCATCTGAAAGTTTGCTAAATAATTGGGTAGTTTTAATTGAAATTACTGCTTTCTGATCCTTGTATTAACATGATCTAAGGTCCTTTTTATTATATGCAATCCATATTATTGACCAGATTTGCCCTGTTTTCATTTAAATGTAAGCAGCTTGTCAAGGAGAAAATATTTTGTTTAACTTGGCTTGGAAACGTGCTATTTTAATGTGTTTTGTTTTTTTCAATTGACAGACTGTCTTTTAAACATTCATTTATTTTGTAGTAATAAATTGTGCTCTGGATAGAGTATGTGTTTCAGAATAGAGTAGAAAGCATATGTTCTTAAAACTATTTAAAAACATTGAGCACTTTTCAAATGCTAATGTTGAAGTACTAGAGTTTTTACACTTAATTTTATTTGTGTTTTAAAAGCCTTTGACTAGTATATTGTTACTAATTCTAATGTTGATTGTTTACTGATGTCTTATATTCTATGTTAAATTTAGACCACAGATATCATTATCTTATTTATGTTTACTGATCACTCCTGGAATTGCAAAATACCTAAAAAGTTTGCACTCTTTGAAAAGAGGTATTAGAATCTATCCTTTGTTGCATAAACTTTTTGAAGTTTGGAACATGAAGGATTTAAGTAAATTTTTAAATATACAGTTTTTTGTATGTGAGGTCTTTAATCAAGGAAAAAATAGCAATGAGTAATCACCCCAAACTTCAAGTACTCACCTTTAATTTGCAAGAGTTTAAAGGGGCACTATGCATGCAATTTTTTTTCTAAACAGATGTCTAGCCTATATGTTTTAATTCATTTTACTTTTGTCCTCACTATTTAGGATATAGACATTTAAAATATCCTGATATTTCAAGCATAAAATCAGATTTATATTCCATAAAATGCAGAGACGAAATTTAAGTGACATGAAGATGTTCACTTATACACATTTGCTTCTTCCTAGGAATTTTTAAATTGCCAGTGTCAAATTCTTCTCCATATCTATTGTGTACTTATCAAGAAGTCTCATTATTTTATTTGCTTAGCCTATGCCAGAAACAGGAGGTGGGTTCCTAGTATGTCCTTAAAATAGAGCAGAAATGGAAGAGACATCATCCCCAATGTGTGGGTAGCTTAGAAATGTGAAATTCTTCATTAAAGATAAATTATTTGTTAATACTTCAATTGAGATATCTGTATTTGGCCAGTTAGGTTCGTGATTCCTGTGTTGTTTGAAAGCACTAACCTCATGTTGGTTTGATTCTGTAGTACCTTCTACACTATTGTATGACATACATCTCAATTCAACATTATTTGTCACTGAGCACCTACTCTGTGCCTGACTAAGCACTAGGAGCACAAAAATGAAACAGATGTGGTCTCTGCTCTCAAAAGAGTGCAGTCCAGTTGGAAGAAAAACATAAAACCAATGGCAGTTGATATAAAAGGAATCCTCCAGGAGATGGGATGCTCTGACCTCAAGAGGAAAAGGGAGTGGTCAGCTCACTTCAGGAAACCAAGAGGGTTTCACAGAGTAGATAGCTGACGCTTGAGCCGAGGCTCTGAGGCAAGAAGGATGGGACCATGATTCCTTTGTAATTTTTAAATAATCAGTTTAGCCCAGAAATAGAATAGAAGGTTAAAGTAATGAACTTGGACACCAAGTCATAATAATAAACTTGGTGTCCAGTCTGGCTTTCACGTGGCAGCTTTGCTATTATCTCTCCCTCCTAGGCTCTGTGGTCCAGGAGGCCTTCTACTTCTCTCCCTTTGCAAGAAGCATGGGAAAGGATGTGCTAGGTACTCAAGTCCAAAGGAGGTTCATCTGGTAAAAGATAAAGGTCTAAAACAGCATATTATATTTGGTGTTGTTCCGGTACTTTAACAGTACTACCATTGTTACTTTCATTTCCCTAACAGCTTAGCAATTCTCCTAGGTAACTTTTAAAGTCACCGTGGGAAGGAAGTAAGAAAAGGGAGGGGAGCATGGTAGAGGAGGGAGGTAATGTGTCAGGATGGAGATGGCAAGTGTAGCAGGGACCAGATAAAGAAATTGGGTTTGAGAATTTTGTACATCCCCTTGACATGACTGGGGCTGATCTGAGGTTGGAAGTCATTGCATTTTAAGGTCTCTGCCCTTGAGGACAGTTGGCACATGCCCCTGAGGGGTTCCCTGCCACCCTTTATGAATTTGGCTTGGTATATCACGGCATTTTCTAGACTGCTGGGGAGGAATTGTCATGATCAAATGGACTAATGCCTAAGAGAGCACTTTGAAAAATATAAGGTGGTAAACAAGAGCTAGGTAATATTAGTATTATTTATATTTCCAGAAAGTTCTTCAGGGATTTACCTATGTAACTCTGAAAATATATGACCATGTCTCACACCAGGTAGGACTAAAATGAATTATTTTTCTGATCCCACAAGAGCCTTCCTTTACAGACTTTCTTTTTTGAGTTATAATTTATCATTCACAATCACCATATAATATATAGAATTATATACAGAATCTCGTCATTTTTAGTTCAGTTACTGGGGACCATGATTCCCTTACAATTTTTAAATAATCAATTTAGCCCCCAGAAATAGAATTGAAAGTTAATGAACTTGGTGTTCAGTCTGGCTTTCATGTGGCAGCTTTGCTATTATCTCTCCCTCTTAAGCTCTGCGGTCCACTAGGCCTTCCACTTCTCTCCCTTTGCTTTTATTGATGCAGTCTGCTACTTTATGGAATCATAGGATTTCAGCATGTGAAGAGATCTTACAATGATCTAGTCCAACTCTTAGATTACAGATGAGGAAATAGGAGTCCACAGCCATTAAATGACTCACTCATGATTACCAGGTATTCAGCAACAGGGCCAGACTGTCTCCCACTCACAGTGCAGTGGTCTTTTTACTTTAGAGGGATGGTGGGGGAGAAAGTGAGATAAGGCATCCAGAGACTGTGAGTCTAAATGGCCGTCCTTATTTTACACACATATCCACTCAAGTACTGCCTCCAACTGGTGTGTCTGCAGAGATGAAAATTACTGTCCCAGGATGCTCTGTGCCTGCCAGGTAATTGCTGACTGGCTATGGATCCCTGGGGGGAGAATGGTCCTCAACAGCAGTAGTAGCAGCAGCAACAGACAAAGACATCAACTTTTATTATACTCCAGTGTTTTACTTATCACCATTCAGTATGGAAAACTTGGGTAGATTTGGGGATAGGGGCTCATTGGCTTCCAAGTTAAAAAGGGGACAGACCTGGCCGAGCTTTGTTTGAGCATAGATTACTTTTTAGATGTTTAACAGTTATGGATTAATGCGTGGGAGGTTTGGGAATTCTTCCTCAACTAAAATGTTAATGATGCTAAGAACCCAACCCTCTTCAGTGCCAATAAAACAGACGAGCTAAGTTCATTGAAAAAATCAATGAGTTGCCTAAAAGGAGCAAAGAGCTGATTCGATTTAGGGCTGGAGATTGCCAGGACACACCAGGTGGAAAGAGGGTCCCAGAGACCACGAGGAGCTAGGAAAGGAGGCAGTTGTCTGTTTATGCACAGAGCCAAGGTGTCATCTCCAAGGAATTTTGGGAAACCAAGGCAGCCAATTGGAACCAAGTGTGGACTGTTAGGCTGCACCCATCAATGTCTGCAGATGGTGACCACCACGGGGAGAAGGAAAGAACAGCTTGGGGAATAGAATAGTCTTTTTTTTTTTTTTTTTTTTTTTTTGAGACAGAGTGTCACTCTGTCACCCAGGCTGGAGTGGAGTGGCATGATCTTGGCTCACTGCAACCTCCACCTCCCAGGTTCAAGTGATTCTCCTGCCTCAGCCTCCCGAGTAGCTGGGATTATAGGAGTGCATCACCATACCCGGCTAATTTTTGTATTTTTAATAGAGATGAGATTTCGCCATGTTGGCCAGGCTGGTCTCGAACTCCCGACCTCAGGTGACCTGCCTGCCTCAGCCTCCCAGAGTACTGGGATTACAGGCGTGAGCCACTGCACTTGGCCTAGAATAGTCTTATGAGAGAAGAAGCTATTGGCCTACAGGTTCAGAGGAGGAGAGACCAAAGGGGTAATGAAGCTTGTCTTGTTTTGTTTTCTGTTCAGAAACAAGTTGCAGAGAGCACTCTTCTGGGCATAAGGCATGAGGCGACCTGGACTCCAGGCCTAGTTGGTAAAATCCTTTAATCAAAAGAAAGTTCCTGGCCAAAGGCCTCCTTCCAGGCCCTGCTCTTTGGATAGCCCTATGCCTTCTTGGTAGCCAGGCAGCTGGAAACACTCAGTGATTCAGGGTAGAGGGCATAGGAGGCAGCAAATGACACACCCGACAAGTGACAAATTAAGTCACTGACAGTATATGATTTCTACCCAAACATACGCACAGAGCTAACCTGAGTTCTGGTCTTGGCTTTTCTTATTAGTTGCTTGACCTTCTTTCTTTTTGGACTTCAGCCTCCTCACCTGGAAAATGATGGAAATGCCCTAGGTTAGTAATTTACAGAATTGTGGGTAGACAGTGTATAGAGGAGATGGGGATCCACCCACATACACATGTACACACAACCACACGAGCAGCTCTGCTTCTATCTGGTAATTTTTAAATGCATCTAAGTAATACCTTATTTGAACTAGAGTTATTTCGTAAACAGAGTCTGAAAAATGCTGGACAGGATATTTCTATGGTCTGCTTTCACCTTAGATGAGCAGCTTCCTCCTCCTGTCCACACCTTCAGCCCTCTTGCTCATCACCATCTCCCTCCGATTACTTCCTTGAAGTTTACTGAAACCTGATTGTACCTATATCAAAATATGGGAGGTGTGAAGTAAAACTCTGAATCAAATATCAAACATTGGAGCCAGGTGTGCTAGCTCAAACCTGTAATCCTAGCACTTTGGGAGCCCAAGGCAGGAGACTCACGTGAGCCCAGGAGTTTGAGACCAGCCTGGGCAACACAGGGAGACCCCGTCTCTACAAAAAATTTAAAAACCAGCTAGGTGTGGTGGCATATGCCTATAGTCCCAGCTATTCAGGAGGCTGAGGAGGGAGGATCACTTGTGCCCAGGAGGTCCAGTCTGTAATGAGCCATGATCGTGCCACTGCATTCCAGCCTGGGCAACAGAGTGAGACCCTGTCTCAAAAAAAAAAAAAAAAAGATAAAGTAAGTCAAACTTTATCCAGTTCATTCTTGATCCATGACTTATTTTGTTTAAATCTATTTTGAATTTCATTTACAGTCAAGCCAGTAAGACACATGTTAATTCACAAGATTGTGTGTGACTATATATATATATATATATATATATATATATATATATATATTTTTTTTTTTTTTTTTTTTTTTTTTTTTTTTTTTTGAGATGGAGTCTCACTCTGTTGCCCAGGCTGGAGTGCAGTGGTGCAATCTCAGCTCACTGCAACCTCCTCCTCCCGGGTTGAAGCAATTCTCCTGCCTCAGCCGCCCTAGTAGCTGGGATTGCAGGCATGTGCCACCACACCTGGCTAATTTTTGTATTTTTAGTAGAGATGGGGTTTCGCCATGTTGGGCAGGCTGATCTCAAACTCCTGACCTCAGGTGATCCACCCACCTCGGCCACCCAAAGTGCTAGGATTACAGGCATGAGCCACTGCACCTGGCCAATTTTAAGATTATTTCCCTCCTTATCCCATATGAACCATGTATTGGCTGCAATACAACTGATCTCAAAATCTCAGTAGGCCACATCCAAATATATCATGGTAAAAAAATGTTCAGTGATATGTGGAACCAAAACTAATGCAGCAACCTTTCTTACAATGCCTAGAAACATTACCATGTGGTAGGGAGCTTTAGGGGTTGGAAGGATGGGGGGAAGCTGTCTTAGAAATCTATAGAACCCTGAGGGAAGAAAGCAAAACTCCAGAGACTTGTATTTTGTCCAAATACTGAGTGACTTTTAGAGGAGAGTCCAAGCCCTGTGCTTAATTAAATCTTAGCCCTGCTACTAGGTTTCAGGAACCTTTAATAAGTCACTCATTTCTGTGGGCCAGCAATTGTATTCTATCCATCTTTTGGGTCCTAGAGTCTAGTATAGCGCCTGGCATAGCATAAGGACTTAATAAACATATATGAAATCGATAAAGTAATTATGTAGCCCAAGTTTACTTTTTACATGTTTGCAATCAGAGGGAACCAAGAACAGAAATCCTGAGGCTCTAAATCAATTGTTTTGGCCCCTTTCTTTTCTTCCATGTCCCATCCTCCCACTCTATCCAGCCAGCATGAATACCTGAGCATAACACCTTCTGAGGATATGTGACAACTTGTCTTCACATGGGCACACACCTGTAGTCCCAGCTACTCAGGAGGCGGAGGTGGGAGGATCACTTGAGTCCAGGGAGGTCAAGGCTGCAGTGAGCTATGATTGCACCACTGCACCCCATCTTGAGCAATAGAGTGAGACCCTGTCTCAACAAAAAAAAAAGTGTTTCCTTTTCAGTCTCAGATTTCTTTTTCAGTATATAAAAAAGATTTATATACTTCTTTCAGTAAGATTTATATACTTCTCGGTCTTCTCTCATTTGAGCCAACTGTGTGATAAGGCTATCAGAAATGTGAATGCATGGCCTGGCGTGGTGGCTCATGCCTATAATCCCAGCACTTTGGGAGGCTGAGACAGGCAGATCGCTTGAGGCCAAGAGTTCAAGACCAGCCTGGCCAACATGGCGAAACCCCGTCTCTACTAAAAATACAAAAATTAGCCAGACATGGTGGCATGCATCTGTAATCTCAGGTACTCAGGAGGCTGAGGTAGGAGAATTGCTTGAACTGGGGAGGTGGAGGTTGCAGTGAGCTGAGATCGTGCCACTGCCCTCCAGTGTGGGTGACAAAGTGAGACTCCGTCTCAAAAAAAAAAAAAAAAAAAAAGTGAATGCACTTTTAGCCTCCTTGAGTCTCGGCTGTCTGGTGTATCAGGTCCAAAACATAGTGATCTAAGCCCGTCAATCCGAGGTCTGTGTTCAGGTGTGGGTGTCATACTTTATGAGGAACATACACATATGGAAACAAATTCAGAGAAAGGTGACTGTGGTGGTGGAGAATAGGAAATCATGCCTGGGTTCTTCAGGCAGCTTTCATGTCCAGGTAACAGAAAACTCAACTCAAAGGAGCCCTAATCACAAGGGGAAATAACTGGACTGCATGACTGTAAAGCCTAGTCTTCCTTGCTGGTTTTAGCTGGGACTTGACTCAGCAATTCATATTCGGTTCTCTCCTTAGTAGGCTTCTTCCTTCACAGACCAAGAATGGTTATTGGGGTTCCTGGAGCAACCCACTTCCTGTCTGAGAGGGGAACAGCAGGTCTCTTTTCCTCAGAAGCAACCAAAGGCCTTAGGCTGCAGTTTCATTGGACCAGTTCAACTCCCTGTGCCCAGGGGATTTAGATGTTGCTGACTAATGTAGGTCTGAACCACCTACCATACCCTAGAGCTGGGGGTGAAGTCATCTTCCCATGGAACACACGGGCTTCTTGGGGGTGGGGGAGTGTTGTTGGAGTATCCTTAGTAATAAAGGGGAGAAGGATAGAGGGCAACCAAAATACCAACTGATCATAAGGAAGAAAACAGGGATGTTCATTCAAGAAAGACAACATTGTGGAGACATGACTGCTATCTTCAAATATATGAAGAGCTGTCATTAAACTTATATGCCATAGCTCCAGATCATGGGCACATCTTACAGAAAGACATACTTCTTGGATTCAAAATAAGAAAGAACTTTTTTTTTTTTTTTGAGAGGGAGTCTTGCTCTGTCGCTCAGGCTGGAGTGCAGTGGCACGATCTCAGCTCACTGCAAACTCTGCCTCCCAGGTTCATGCCATTCTCCTGCCTCAGCCTCCCGAGTAGCTGGGACTACAGGTGTCTGCCACCACACCCGGCTAATTTTTTGTATCTTTAGTAGAGATGGGGTTTTACCATGTTAGCCAGGATGGTCATGATCTGCCCTCGTGATCCGCCCGCCTCAGCCTCCCAAAGTGCTGGGATTGCAGGCGTGAGCCACTGCGCCCGGCCAAGAAAGAACTTTGTTAACAGTTTAATCTGCCCAAAAGAGAATCATTGGAATCTCATCATTAGAAGTCTTGTAGCAAAGACAGAATACCTATATGTTTGGAATATTATAAAGTGAATTTCTACATTAGGCAAAGAATTGTACTAGGTGACTTCCAACATCATGTAGAGGATTTAAGCTAAGAGAGGTGCAAACTAAATGAAAGCTCCGGAAAAACCCTCTCAGACATTTTGAAACATTAAAATGTTGCTGTAGCAGATTTATTTCACCATAAAGAGTAGAGTAGTCTAAAGGACCGTTCTCAGAAAAAGCAACACCTCCTTCCCCCAGCTGCCCCTTTCCCATGTCTCCACACACAATTAATATTCTTAAACTGGATTCTAAAATAAGGCCACCCTTCTTTTGGGACAAAGAAAGGAGAAAAGACTGATATGGCAAATGTCTAAAATCTTCAAAACTTAGGTACTTAATGGACTCTGTGGACAGACCTCATACCATCAGGAAAAAGATTTTATAATTCACATTAATCATTTTAAATTACAATTCTAAGCCCCTGCTTTCCTTGCAAAATTCAAGTCTAAACATTAAAATGTGCAATTACCAACAGGAAGATTTACTTTGGCTCTTATACACCTATGTGGTGTGGGACATGAGCTATGTCAATTTTAAATACACAAAGGATAAAACAGTATGAACTGGCAGCCAGGTCCTTTTTTTTCCTCCTCACTGACTGGCAGACCCAGCAAATGAATAATGTTTTGCTGTACCTCAATGCTCCAGCTGTTGTATTTTGTGTGAAAATGCATTGTCCTTGATACTCAGGAAGCAGTGAGGCCAAGTAAACTAATTTATGGCTGTGATGATTTTCTGTCTGGTCCCATCAGAGCTGTGCCCTCCTGTAGGCATCTTAAAGCCTTTCTGTCCTACCTAGCTGCTTGCTAAATTCAGGGATATGTAGTTTTTGCTTTTCAAAACTGGTCACTCCTGAATACAGCACCCCAGCTGGAGTCTGAGATTTGCGCCAGAGAGAAGGTGCCAGTGAGTAGATCTTAGAATGCGAGAATCGTTGGTTCCTTCTTATAACCTACTGAGTAGCTGCCTGCTAAATCTTCCTGTGACTTTTTTAGGTCCTGTGAAAATATACTAATAGACCCACAGACATGATAAGAACTTGAGCAAGGACAGAGGCTGATGAACAGGGGAGATAGGATTGCACAAGTGAATTATACGTGTTCACCTGAAATTATTGGAAGTAGTATATATTATCCATTTATTTTGTTTCTGAATGCATTTAGTATCTTCACATATCAGTTTGCTAAAAGTCCCATTTGTAGTTAGCCAGAGTAAATTTTGTTCTCTTCCTTTATTTAAAAGTGATTTGTTTGGGAACTCTTTAAGTTAGTGGTACTAGGCAATGTATATAAAGCTTATCATGGAGCAGTGGTTTTGTTTTTCTCATTGAAGGCTTTCTGAGATATGGACACTTTGTTTTTGCAAGTTATAATGGATTGGAGGTTGTATGTCCCTAAGTTTTAATATCCAGCACAGTGCCAGATAAAATTAGATTGATTGCTGGTACCTACCCTTGGGTAGGAAAAATAAACATGGCTCCTGAATGGGAAGCTCTGGCTTCAAGGAATCTTTGGACTTCTCTAGCTCATTCCTTCACTTTGTAGATGACAGCTCTAAGCCCCACTGAAGGGAGGGGGCTTCTGGGGACCATGGGCATCTGACTAGAATCCCAGGGGTCTTTCTTACTCCAAAGTTCATGCGTTTTCCTCACAGTGGACAGTCTCCTAACCCAGCCGTCAGGGTCAGGCCAGGCACTATCTATGACTTTGAGCGCTGCTCCCCTCTGAGCCTCAGCTTCCCTAAAGCAAAGTGAGTAGATTGAACTAGATCATCTCTGGGGTTCCTTCCTTTCATAAATACTTTGGATCATAATTCTTCATTTAGAATATGAATGTCTCAGTTTCCCATAATCCCTGTTTATATTTAGCCAGGGTTATAGCTTAATGCATCTGATTTGAAAAGAGAGTCCTTGCAAAATAGCCACAGCTCCTAAAATTTGAAGTTTTAAAAAAAAGAATAAAGAGCTCAACATTGAAAGCTAGAATGTGATGCCAGTAGCACAACAAATGAAAATGCTATTCTTTAAAAATTCCAACCATATGATTTAATTTTATATTTCTTCTTTCTATTTAAGAGAAAATAATACAAGCTTGAAAAGCAGTAAATATGTAAAGAGAAAATTTGTCAACTGATATTGGAAGATCTGACCTAGGTCACACATAAATCTTCCAGACAAGAGCTGCAGGGCAAGCCATAATTTCAGAGAGTAAAAGAGAAAATGAAAGCTATAGCTGGTGTCTTCTCTAAGTTACATAGGTAGATTCATTTTAGTTTTCTGATTGTGCCTCTGAATATAATGTAAAAGGGGCTGGTAGCAAGATCTGTTTTACCACTTATGTAAAAAGCTCCTCTACAGAGAGCAAAGCATAAAGTGAGACTTCCAAAATTGCTTTTTATCACCAGAGCCATTGGCTAAATAGTTGAGGACCCACAAGCAAACTTCTACATTGGCAATTTCCTTTCTAGCATCATTTTTCACAGTCATAAGTCATGTTATAAGAATTTTCTAATTGCTAATGATGGTCCTTGTAAGGAAATATATGATAAATGTTACTATAATAATACCAAGACCTAACTGGTACTTGTGGCTGCCTTCTATGAAGTCATTCTTCCCCATTTAAACACATAAGAGTCTGCCTTACATCAGAATGAGACGTAACTATCCCCTGTTAGTGTGGTTTTAAATCTTGAATCTAACAGCTAATGAAAGAAAAAAAAAAATCTATGCCCAGAAAAGGGAAGAGGTTCATCTATCAAAATGCAACTAGTTCTAGAGACTGATTAACAAAGTGTGTGACTGGAACAATTACTGTTCTCTCATTGTCCCAAAGTACTAGTTAGACATAGAAAACACTCAACACACGCAAAATGTATAAGCAGGAATGAGGGCTTGGACAAGTTAGTTATAAACAGCATTTCATATGTTGTGAGGTGCAGGCAGTACATCAGCCCTAACAATATTATTGCGTTCCTCTGAACTCTGCTCTCACAGCTAAGCATTTGGAAGGCAGACCCAGAATAAAGATAGGCATTCACAAAGCCAACATTTTATATTGAGGACCCTTGGTTCCACTTTTAATGTGCTATAAACTAGGGGCTTCACTTTTTCATGAACTGTGTGCAAAAGCAGAGGCAATGACTGGAGGTTGACTGTTTGGATCTGTTTTATGGTTGCTGTGCCTATACAGTAATGTGATCTTGAAAAAGGTAAACAACAAAGAGTTTAGCAGTGAAAAATATGCCTAATATAAATACAGCCGAGTACATGGCAGTTCAGAATTTTAAAAATATGACTGTGGCATTAAATTTTCTGGTGGAATTAACAGAGGAACATAATACAGCCTTTATGGCAATATATCTGAGACAGAAAAAGGAGATAATACATCTAACTCTATGGTCTATGTGGCATTCATATAAAGAAAAGCACAGTAGCTTTATTTAATTGAGAAAATGAATCAATTACAATGATGTTGCATCATCAAATTCTTGTGAAATAGAAGATATAAGTCACTGCATTGTGTAACTGTTAAAAAGTAATTGAGTATCTTAAGCATTTTGAATCAATTTCAGGTACTGGCACTGTTACCTTAATACAAAATTTATGAAGATGATTTCATATAATATGTTGCTATCAAAACTGTATAATAAAACCTGATAACGTCTCTCTTTAAAAACCTGGGCAAAACAGTATAGTTATAAGATTATAAAAAAAGACTTTGATATTGCTGTTTTTCTCTTTCTTTTAATGAAGAGCAAGCATAAATAGTACAGTTTTAAGTTGACTTAGACTAAGCTTTTAACCTGCAAAATAGGGCAAACTAGAGACTTTAAGACCTCAGTTCATGAGGAAGTTTCCTCCCCTCAGTTAATCTGATTCACACAACTCATATGTTTCTGGGGACAGTGTTTCATAATCCATTTCTGAATTCATTTCAAAACCTCTCACTTAGAATGTTTGCTGCATGTTCTCCTCAGAGAATGTTGTCATCCCCCTGACTCTTGGAAATTTGTGAAACACATTCTCTTTGATGTCAGAAATGGATTTCTGATTCTTTATTCATTACAAATAACTCCGTTGTTGAAGCAGATATATCTTACTAGGAATGTAGGGGTGGGGGGAGTATCAGTGTGTGCTTGAAAAAAAAATAAAAGCAAACTCCATAGATATCTCATGTCATAGGAGAGGTTATCCAGGCTTTTCAGTATTTTTTTAAAGGTAGTTTGGCTTGTTACTGAAATTCTTAACCACTTCCGGGTGGTGGTTACAGCTCCGCCTTCCCTTGTAATGTAAATCTTTACCTGCAGAATCTTGTCTGGAAATACTCATGGACTGGAGAAACCAGAAGAAGCAGTAATTCAGGACAACATCAAGCAGGGACTATCAACATAGACTAAGCCAGTCAACCTGGGACAGAGGTTTCTGAAAGTAGTGATTGGGGAGGAAGTGATGAAAAGCCAATAAGAGCAATGAGTGGGCGCCGTGTTCATTTGACAAATATATGGGAAAACACTTTTTAAAACACTCAGGCAGTAGGAAGAAGGGTGTGCTGATCAGCCACATGGATGCAAAAGAAATGCATAAACATAGCTGCAGCTCTTGAGAAACTCACAGTCTAGGTGAGAGGAACCAACATGTCAAAATGGATAATTTATCAACAATACCATACCAAGTATAAATGTATACAAATACAGTTGTTTTCAAATAACTCTATGATCATAGGCAAGTGTAATACAGATGCTGGAAGGAAAGGAGCTCTGGAGGAGCCCCAGCACCACCACACCCTGGCGCTGAGGCCTCAGGCCCGGACACTGTCCTCTGATAGGCCCAGCTTTCCCATCATAGAATAAAGATGATCATCCCTGCCAAACTCAGGGTGGTTGTACAGATCAAATGAGTTTGTATATGGGAAAGAATTTTTTAAAACACCTTTAAAAACATATAAGGGATTATTACTAGTTTCCCTGTATTTTACCGGCTGGTTGGAGCCCAGTTATCTCAGAAAACAGTTGACCCATCAGTATTTGGTTCCTGAAAAGTTCTCTGTTAGAAAATGTAGTACCTGGAGTTTCATTTTCATTGAGTTTATAATAACTGTAAGCTTTATTTTTCCTGGATGGGGAGGCACTGAAGTGTTTAGTACTTTAATGACTAAGTGGATGTTTTATTAATTTTTATGTCACGTTTTAGTAGCTTTGTAAGAAATGCAGTTTATCAGTGTTAAATGTGTGAGCAGCCTGCCTTCAGAATGTTGATCAGAAATGCGCTCTTACTGGACTCTGCATTTATTCCCTAAAAATCAGTGTGAAACTTCCATGAATTTGATTTTCCCAGAGAGCATTGCTGCCCTGGAAACAGGCAGAAGGAACTTTGGAAAAGGTGGAGTTGTTACCCCACTCCTAAGTTAGGTGCAAATACTTCAACTACATAATTAAAGTTTTCCTCACAAAATAGGGGATTGTGAGCAGACACTGGCAGGAATCCAAAATTCTAATTTCTGACTATGATTTAATTTCAATTTTAAATAAATCGGTTTTTAATTTAAAAAGAGTGAGCTTCGTAACATTAGCAATGATTGCAACATTAAGCCCAGTGTTCACAATCTAGCAATATAAAACATTATTTATATCTGAATCGTAAACAGCCTTTTGAAATGGATTATGGTTTTTCTCCCTATTCTAATACAACCTGGAGGGTACTAAAAAGTGTTGTGTGAAATTAACATTCTGCTGACTTTCGCCTATAAATGAGAAGCGAGCTATTAACATTTGTGTATTTTCATTATGTAAATTGTGTTAACACATGCCCACAAATTGCCACCAGCAATGCAATAATTTTCTCTCAGTGATCATAATGTGTCCAAGTGAGTCATTTTGATTATGACATGCTAATTACATATTGCCTTTTTTCAGATTCAGAAAAACCAGGGATCTTTAATGGTAAGCTTTATGAGTTCAGAAAAAAATTCACTTTTCTTTTTCCTGATGGCTGCTTCCTTTGCATGCTTGAATGCCTTGTTTTAAACTTAGCAAATTGCATTTTGAAGAAAATGCAAACCTTTAACTGCCTGTATTAGATTAGGTACCATTAGAAATAATAGAACCTCCTGAGCATCAATGTTTTTATAAGAGTTTGCTGTTGTTGATTAATCTTGCTATATTTTATTGCATTAATGATTTTTTCTTTCCACTCCACTGTAAAGATATTGCATAGAGGCTAATACTTTTTCCTCTCTTCTTTTCCATTGCAGCCTCTCCAGCTTCTGCAGTGCATTGTTGATGAGGTGAGGCATCGTCTTATGTGCTTTCACTCCTAAAGTCATTCCTAATGGTGTGGAAAGCTTATATTTTGTTTCCTAATGAAGCACAATGCCCAACATCCTTGGAGCAAGTTGTGTTGTATGGCTCTGAGCTATGTTACGTGAACTGGCCTTGTCCTGAATCCCACTCTTCTGATTCTGGCCAAGAAACCCTGCAAAAACAGACTATCCCGCAGGCTGGTCCTCAGGGGCATCAGATGCCCTAAAGACAAAACACAATAATATTAATTGACCCTCTCCCTGGCCAGATGGGGATGGAACTGGAAATTAAAATGATATCATTTTTTTCTGCAACAGTTATTTAAAGTCATTCAGTAGGCAAGGGTCAGAGTTGAAGAGCAAGCATAAGCTGGATGAAATTTGCCTGCCTTGAGTTATTTACCCAAAGCATATCAGAGTGATAAAAGGGCTCAAAAACTCTAGGTCAACAGTTCAGCGTTAATTTCCTAATTAGGCATTTTTCTCAGAATATGTCCCTAACATCTTGTGTATTCTAGTAGCTGGAAACCTGTATTCTCACATTTTAATTGAGCTTACTTCTGATCATCCTTATCCATTGAATTCCACTGTTCCTTTGCCTTCATGGTGCTAATCTACCTGCCTTTCTCTCTCAATCGACTTTGTCTACTTCTTATTCTGACTTTAAATTCCTTTTCTGTAAACCATCAATCTTATAATACACAAGGCTTTCAAGAAACATTAACATTTTCTTTAAAAACTGAGATTTTTGGGGCTTGGGTTTGCCTACTAGCAATGTTTATTTTTTAAACTTTAATTTTATAATATTTAAAACAGTTGTAATTAGAGAGGGAAGGCAGTAAATGATTCAGATAGGAAAGTTTGAAAGAAAAAAATTGTAATTCATAATTATTCCTCTCAATTAAACATCTGCATAACCAGTTATGAAATTTGGGAGAAAAAATAAAGATCCTCCTAGGAAAAAAATAAACACACACACACATATCACAATAATAGTAAGAGTGGGGCTCTAACATCCTTAATGGTTGCATCAGTCAGTCCATATATCCCCTGCAAGCCATAATCCATGTTGATGTAAAAATGAAGGCATCGTCCTGAAACAAATGGAGGCTCCATTATCTCAAATATCAGACAGACCTCCTGGATCTAATAGCTCATCAATATCCTCTATTATCTTAGATTCCAAAAGCCTACTATCCCCATCAGAATCCTCCCAATTTAACTGGTTTTCCTGAGGTCCCCCTCCAGTTTTGCTTGAGGAAGTGTCTGGGGAAACTTGCCTACCCAGTTTCGTGCACAGCCTTCTGTGTTTCCTGGGCTCTACCGTTGGTCTGCCAGGCTCCTAGGCATCAGAACATCCAGGTAAAGGCATTCCTCACCAATACTATGTGTGTTTCTCATTTGAATGTTTTCTGCATCAAATAGATATTTTCATTCCTTATTTAAAGTAACAGTTATTGCTGTTCAATTTAAAATATCTTACTTGTTTAATTTGGGCAAAATCATGAGACTTTTGAAATTACCATGGGGAGATGTTCTATTTAAGGGATGAAGATTGATGAAGAACAATAATGTGTAACTTAAATGATATATTTTTCTTCATAGCATTTCTTTCTTAGTCAAGAGAAAAATGTAACTTAGACATATATTCCTGTTTACTCTAAAACCATCTTCCTTGTGGAAACTTGGGAAATGAACATTGCCTTTGCTAAAACCAGGTTGATCTTGGAACTGAGCTGATATTCTGCAATAAAAGTATTAGGAAAGGATTGGCCAGATGACCTGCCTTAGACAAGATGAATCATAGCATCTCGGAAAGGAAGGATTGGTGGGGTCCTGTACTTACTGCACTTGTCCTATGTGTCTGTCAGAGTTCTCATTGCTGTGATGCAGTGTTCCTCATAGGGTGGACCAAGGACTGATTGCATCAGAATTACCTAAGGCTCTTGTTGTAATGCAAATTCCTGAGCCCAGATCGCTGAATTAGACTTTCTAGGGATCGTGCCTAGAATCTACTAGTTTCTCGGGTAACTCTCTGCACATTATAAGTTTGAAAACCACTTCTCAAACTTCCCTAACTGCTTGCCAGGGCTAAGTCTTCCCCTTTAGTTCCCACAGGGCAATTAGCTAGCTATCTTCATTTGCATCTGACTTTTAGACCTTTTATTTGTGAATGAATATGCCCAGTTGGGATTTGAGCCGTTTTACTGCTTGGGAGTGGGATTTACCCCGTTGTGAAGTGGGTATCTGTTGCTAGTATATACTATTTCCTGTTAGAGAAAAGTCAGATCAAAAATTACTTCCCCTGAGGGAAGTTCAGACAAGATGGGTATATTTGGCGTCACATACAAAATAGCTATCGCAAAGCCCAGTGTAACATATTTTCTTATTATGTGGATTCAGCTTAACCTGTTATGGCCTGGCAAAGAGTGAAGATGTAGTAAAACACCACTAAGGTGGGCAAGAGCCAGTCCTGGAATGGCCAAAGATGAATGTTAGAGCCACTCTGGGAGTCAGGAGGTGGAATCATGGAACAAAGCCAGAGTTAGCTACCAGATGTCCAAACAGAAGACACCAAAAACTAAATAGGAATAAGAACCATGACCATGAAACTCAGACCACAGATCAGGACCTGGGAGGGTGGCCAAAGTAACAGGAGAATTGAGCTCCAATCAGAAATCTTGGTGGTCCAAGTAAATTTTGGTGGGTGGCATTTCTCTGAATTGTCGCTGGCTAGCTCAGGTATAAGTGACAGCTTGAAGACATCATCTGGTGCCTCAGAGTTGCTTCTCAACAGAACTTCTTACCTTAAGGTCCTTATGTAATCAGGTCCTCCCTAAGTCCCTGAATACCTGCGTTGTAAAGTGCTTTGGTTCTTTATAAGTGATGTGTGTCTATGTGTACCTGAAGCCTTAGCCATCTGATATCTTTGGGGAATAAGTCGGCCCCTATTGTCTAGATAACTGAAATTTATGACTGTAAGCTCTGACAGCTATGAGAAATTTGCATTTTTAGAAAGAAATGTTTCTAACATCTATTTGTTCTTGGCAGCCTGTTGACGGAGTGTGGTGAATATCATTTAACCTTTTCTCAATGACTTAGTCCCTTGTTCTGAACATGGTACTGAACGTAAACTTTGATGTATTGATGCCCTCCAGGGCTGTAAAATTGTGTGGGGTTTACCTTATTCTTTCACTGAATTTTACCAACCATTTTGCCAGAGTGTTTGGCGCTGACATTGATATTCTCGGGCCTCTTGAAGTGTATAGAGCCCTTTGCCCCCAGGCTAACATGCCTTACATGGCTGTACTGCTCTGCATAGTGCTTTTCCTGTGCCCTCTTGTGATTGCCTCTGTTCTCTATGGGCACTCCTCATTCTTGTTGGTGGCTACCTTTTGTCCCAACAACCTGACCGTCTGTCTTCGGTGTTTTTTGTTTGTTTGTTTGTTTGTTTTGTTTTGTTTTTGAGATGGAGTTTTGCTCTTGTTGCCCAGGCTGGAGTGGAGTGGCACAACCTCCGCTCACGGCAACCTCTGCCTTCTGGGTTCAAGCGATTCTCCTGTCCCAGCCTCCCGAGTAGCTGGGACTACAGGCACACGCCACCACACCTGGCCAATTTTTTGTATTATTAGTAGAGACAGGGTTTCACCATGTTGGCCAGGCTGTTCTCGAACTCCTGACCTCAAGTGATCCGCCTACCTTGGCCTCCCAAAGTGCTGATTTCATATGGTACTTTTTAGTTTTGCTAAGGTCACTATCAGGAGTACAAAGACTGAAGACAGGCTGGGCACGGTGGCTCACGCCTGTAATTCCAGCACTTTGGGAGGCCAAAGCGGGTGGATCACAAGGTCAGGGGTTCGAGGCCAGCCTAACCAACATGGTGAAACCCCATCTCTACTAAAAATACAAAAATGAGCCGAGCCGGCTGGCAGGCACCTGTAATCCCCACTATTCGGGAGGCTGAGGCAGGAGAATCACTTGAACCCAGGAGGTGGAGGTTGCAGTGAGCCAAGATAAGAGCACTGCACTCCAGCCTGGGTGACAGAGCAAGACACCCTCTCAAAAAAAAAAAAAGAAAAAGAAAGAAAGAAATGGAAAGACATTTTGTGTTCATGAAGTGGGAGGCTTAATATTGTTACGATGGAAATACTCTCAAAATTGATCTACAGATTCAATGTAATCATGTTAAAATCCCAGTAGGCTTTTTTGCAGAAATGGATAAACTAATCCTAAAATTCCCATGGAAATACAAGGGACTCAGAATAGCCAAAACAATCATTGAAAAAAAAAAAAAGAAAACAATGTTGCAAGATTTATACTTTCTGATTTCAAAACTTACTACAAAATTACACTGATCAAGATAGTATGGTAGTGGTATAGGATAGACATACGGAATAGAATTCAAAGTCCAGAAATAAACTTATATATGCATAGTCAGTTGTTTTCTGATGAGGATGCCAAGACCATTCTGTGGCGAAAGAATAGTCTTTTCAACAAATGGTGCTGGGACCACTGGATATCCATATGTATGTGAATAAATTTGGACCCCTACCTTTCATCATACACAAAAATTAACTCAAAAAATGGATCAAAGACTTAAATGTAAGAGTAAAAACTACAAAATTCTCAAAAGGAAACATAGATGTAAATCTCCATGACCTTAGGTTAGCAATGGTTTCTTAGCTATGACACCAAGAGCACAAGCAAACAAAAACAAAAGAAGGGCTTTATCAAAATCAAAAACTTTTGTGTGTCAAAGGACACTATCAAGACAGTGAAAAGACAACCCACAGAATGGGAGAAAATATTTGCAAATCATATATCTGATAAAGTCCTGGTATTCAGAATATATAAAGAGCTCTTACAACTCAATGATAAATAAAAAGACAAATAGCCAATTTAAAAATGGGGAGAGGATTTAAATAGACATTTCTCTGAAGAAGATAAACAAATGGTCAATAAGCACATGAAAATATGCTCAACAATTAATTAAGGAAATGCAAATCAAAACCACAATGAGAGACTACTTCATGCCCACTAGGATGGCTGTAATTAAAAAAAAAAGAAAAGAAAAACAGAAAATAACAATTGGTGACAAGAATGTGGGGAAATTGGAACCCACATAAATTGCTAGTGGGAATGTAAAATGGTTCCACAGTTGCTGTGGAATACAGCTTGGCCATTCATCAAAAAGCTAAAATAGAACAATTAAATGACCCAGCAGTTCCACCTCTAGGTATATATCCAAGAGAATAGAAAACATATGTCCGCATAAAAACTTATACATGAACATTCATAGCGGCATTATTCATAATAGCCCAAACGTAGAAAGAATCCAGAAGTTCACATTGGACTATAAATAGGAATGAAGTACTGATAAATGCTGCAGTACGGATGTACCTTGAAAACATGCTAAATGAAAGAAACCAGACACAAAAAGCCACATATTCTATGAAATGTCCACAATAGGGAAGTCTATAGAGACAGGAAGTCAATGACTTAGTGATTGCCAGGGACTGGAGGGGAGAAGGGAATTGAGAATGACTGTCACAGGTACAAGGTTTCTTTTTAGGGTGGTAGAAATATTTTGGAACTGGTTTGTTACTTTAAAAGGGTGAATTTTATTTTTTGTGAATTTTATCTAAATTTTAAATGTCAAAGAGAAAAATAGAAAGCAAAGAGTTTCTCTGTGATGGCCTGTGTTTAGTTGCTTGGCTGGATAGGATGGGCTTCAGCAGAAGAAAAGAGAAGACACACTTAAACCACATTCCATTTCGTAGAAGACTACCACAGCTAGAAAAATTTGTATTTTTATTTACTTCAAGGGACATTTATTGAGCTCCTCCTTGGGCTGTGATCTCTGCCAGGTGCCGAGATAAATCCCTGTGCTGGATGACTTCATGATCTAGTGGAAGACAAACTCATGAATTAGATTTGATTCATTATGTTAAAAACTATAATAAAGCTATGTAAACAGTGCTGTGCAAGGTTGGATGATGTGGGAAGCTAACAAACCATCAGAGAGGAGATGATATTTGAGCTGGGCTTTGGAAATACCTTGATATTCACAAAATGAAAGTGGGGAGAAGATTGTCCCAGCAGAGGGAGGGACACCACCATAGGTATCTAAGTGTGAGGCAGCTTTGAAGACTAATGGTTGGCCCAAAGTGAAGCTAGAAAAAAATACAGGGAGCATCTCAAATGCATGCCAAAAAGCGTAGGTGTTACCCTGTAGCCAAGGGATATGCTTGGAAGGTTTGACATGTTGAAATCTGTATTTTTTTCTAAGACAGTTCTGTTGAGGTGGGTAGTAGGAGAAATGAGACTGAGGGAGAAGCTTAGAAGCTAGCTATTAAGTATTGATTGATTGATTGAGATGGAGTCTTGCTCTGTTTGCCCAGGCTAGAGTGTGCAGTGGCACAATCTTGGCTCACTGCAACCTCCGCCTCCTGGGTTCATGCAATCCTCCCACCTCAGCCTCCCAAGTAACTAGGATTACAGGTGTGCACCACCACGCCCAGCTAATTTTTTTGTGTGTTTTTAGTAGAGATGGGGTTTCACCATGTTGGCCAGGCTGGTCTCAAACTCCTGACCTCAAGTGATCGCCCGCCTCAGCCTCCCAAAGTGCTAAGATTACAGGTGTGAGCCACCACTCCTGGCTTTTAGAAGCTTTTTAGTAACATTGTTATAAAGTAGGCTCTTCCCTTATTTTTCTCCTCCCTTTCCCAGTCCTCCATTTTCTCATCCCCCTTTGTTCAGTGTCACCCTCTTCTAGAACAGAAATATTAGCTGCCCCTTAGTCTGCCTGACTCACATAGGTAGAAGTGTCTAGCTATGTGGTTAACCTCCATCCTCTTCACTGAGCATCCGGCCTGGGCTGGCATCAAACAGTGCCTCCTTCCACCACTGGTCATCTTCACTAGCATTTCTAGAAAGCATCAGGGGAGCCATGTCCAAGTGAAGAGTCCATGTGAGGCCTCTTGTGAGTCCAGATGTTTGGTGGGGTAGATGATTGTCCCTATTCATAATGATTCTTTTTAGTACCACCATAATGATGTGCATATGCCAGCCAGACAGATAAGTAAACAGTAGAGGCTGTCTTATGTCTTCATTAAGTTTTATGGTTAAATAGAGTCATAAGAACTTGCAGAAGACATAGACTTTTATAAGTGGGATTTTGTAATGATGAGCTGTTGAATTCAGGGCTTTTTGCCAAGAAAGTCTGTTTCCATCTTAAGCAAATCCACTTTAGTCCTTCTTATCATCAGGGACCCCAGGCCAGGCCCCACAGCAAGGATGCCCCTTCCTTGTCTTCTTGCTCATGACTCAATTGTCCACCCTCTTTCCATTGTCCTCCCCACATCCTCACTGTGGCATTCCCGTTGATCCCCATTTTTCAGCTACAAACCTAATGGAGAAAGCCAGCATCTCTCCCCCACACTAGGGCACAAAGGCCCTTTTCCTAGAGCTGTGGCTTGCCACAGTCCTATCTCTCTATTGGCCCAGAACCCTGGCATTGTTACAGTGCTCCTACAAGGGACACTGTGTTTTAAGTATCATATGCATTCCAAATGAACTCTAGGATAAACCACCTGTTCCTGATTGAAGGAGACTGCCCCTATATGGCAACATTTTCTCTCTCTCACCATCTTCTTATGCTGCTTTCTTTGATCAAGAACAGGAAGAAAGAAATAAGAGACAAAGTAAAGATACACATAAGTTTTGAATACAGTTGTGCCTTGTAGAATGTGAAAGTTATATTTTTCCCCAGCTTTACTGAGGTACAATTAACAAATAGAAAGTATATATAAGGTGTACAATGTGATGTTTTGATAAACATATACATTGTGAAAGGATTACCACAATCAAGCTAATATATCTAACCCCACACACAGTTACTGTGTGTGTGTGTGTGTGTGTGTGTGTGTGTGTGTGTGTGTGTGTGTTGATAACACTTACGATCTACTCCCTTGGCAAATTTTAAATACATAATACAGGATTATTAATTATACTCACCATGCTATATTTATCTTATAAAAGTAAGTTTGTCCCCTTTGACGAACACCTCCTCATTTCCCCCACCCTCCAAGCCCCTGGTAACTACTCTTCTACTTTGCTACTATGAGTTCAGCTATTTTAGATTCTACATATTAAGTGAGATCATGCAGTTTTTGTGTTTCTGTGTCTGACTTACTTCACTTAGCATATTCATCTGTCTGAACCTTCAGGTTCATATGCTGTTGCAAATGACAGGATTTCCTTTTTTAAGGCTGAATAAGATTCCATTTTGGTGTGTGTATCGATACCACATTTTCTTTATTCATCTATTGACTGATCCTTGGGTTGTCTTCCTATCTTGGCTATTGTGAATAATGCTGCAGTGAACATGGCAGTGCAGATATCTCTTCAGGATAGTGATTTATTTCCTTTAGATATACACCGAGAAGTTGGATTACTGAATCATAGCGTAGTTCTTTTTTTAGTTTTTTGAGGAACCTCCTCCATGCTGTTTTCCATAATGGCTATACCAATTTACATTCCCATGAACAGTGTATAAGGGTTCCCTTTTCTCCACATCCTCACCATCCCTAGTTACCTTTTGACTTTTTTGTAATAGCCATCCTAACAAAATGTGAGGTGACATTTCATTGTGGTTTTTATTTGCATAAAAATAGTATTTCTAGAAGACATTTGCAAATCAGATTATGTCTTCCCATTGATTCAATAGTTGATGTTCACACATTTCTAAAAGCCCTTGACCCCTTTATGTTGCTCAAAAACCCAACCTATAAAATAGATGAACATGAAGCTATTTTGGTTTGGTCAGAGTATGGGAGATTCAGATCTCCACCCCCTTTCCCACACACCTGCATAAAAGAACTGAGAGTTCCATAGATTATAGTTTGAAAACTACTGATGATAGCCCAAACAGTCATTCTGTAAACCTGTGTTAATCCCAGAGCTCGGTACCGGGGATAGAGAATGAATAAGATGCTCTTTCCACCATTAAAGAGCAGCTACCCTAGTCAGGGAGGCAGACAAGTAAACAGTCATATATGCAGATCACTAAACTGCAGGTAATGTAAGTGATACGAGACTTGATGGCCTGGGCTCTCGGAGGACCACAGTGACTATCATTTTAACCACTCACATAAATGGGTATTTACGATATGGTATTTAATGATGTTTGTAGCCATATAAATTCTATAATTAAAGTGTGGCCAAGGTGCTGGGGAAACACAGAGGAGAGAACTCAGTGGAGGAGATGGGGGCTACCAGGGAAGCTCTGCAGAGGAGAGGAGACTGAAGGATAGCCAATAAGAGTTAGCCTTGGAGAGATCTGAGGCCCCTGCAGGGAGTTCAGTATGGCTGGGGTGTTTGGGCAAGTATTATGAGATATAAACCAAGGGCCACATTTTGAAGGATCTTTATACCCCATGCTTAGAGGTATTTGTAGGGGAGGGAGGATGGGGAGACTGAAAGAGTTTTAAGCAAGAGGTCAACGTAGCCAGATTTGTGTTTTACACTGTGGCAGTGCTGTGGAAGATGGATTAGAAAGGACATTGAAGCTGTAGTTCTGATCAGAAATTGGAGGGGTTTAATCAGGACAGCCTTAGCATGTTTGAAGGGTATTTAGGAGATGGAGCTAACTGCATTTGGTAAATAACTAGATATAAGGGAGGGTAGGGAGGTAGGGTCAGGGATGAATCTCAGGGCTTGGGCAGTCAGGTGCATGGTGGTACTCTCCTGAGATGGGGCACACGGAAAGAGAGGCATTTTCAAGGGATGAGATGATTAGCATTCTGTTCTTGGGAGATCACCAAGCACCTCATTCAAAACTATATTCATTCCTGCTCCAGATTCAATTATGAGTTTAACAACTAGACTCTAAGTTCCTAGACATTTTATTTCTGTCTTCCTAGTACTGCACCTAACATCCTATAGGCTCTTGTAAATATTCATCAAATGACATTTATGCATAAATCTCAACACTTTTTTTTTCAAGACCTCAGAAATACAAATCCAAAAAGTGACAGAGAATATATGATGAGGAGATACTTAGCTAATAGATATGGTTCTCTACCAGAATTCAGAAGTCTAAGCCTTAACCTTTGTGGTTTACACAGTGTTTCCTGTCACATTCTTTCCCCACAACACTCTATTTTACAGACAAGGAAACTGAGTGACAATCAAAGGGTAAGGTTCCTTACATTATACTATCACTGATTTGAAGAAAGTACAAAGTGACCACTGAACATTTTGGCATCAAAGGAAGAGGTTTTTTATACAGCTGTGAAAGAAGACAACTTAGCATTGCAGACATGCTCAAAGGGCATACGTGTTTTGCAACTCAGTTCAGTTTTGCTGTCTATATGAATGACCGCACATCTTTCAGTTAATTGAATTCTATTCTGTGTACTCTGTTTAATTTGGCATGGAGGAGCGCGAATCCTTTTAGAAAGATTTCTATTGAAATACAATAAGTTTGGCTCTTAAATGTGTTATCTTAAAAAATTCATTCATGTAGAATCACTCACTCCTAGGCAGGGTGCCTGAGAAGCCACTGGGGTATGAAAATAGCCGGTGCTGGGGGGTGGGGGATGCTGATGGCAAGAATGATTGCCTAATAATACCTCCCAGAAATTCAAAAGCGGGGTTAGGCCAGGCACGGTGGCTCATGCCTGTAATCCTAGCATTTTGGGAGACCAAGGAAGGCAGATCACTTGAGCTCAGGAGTTCGAGACCAGACCTGGCAACATGGTGAGACCCGATCTCTACAAAAAAAAACAAAAATTAGCCAAGCATGGTGGCACGTGCCTGTAGTCCCAGCTACTCAGGAGGCTGAGGTGGGAGGATCTCTTGAACCTGGGAGGTGGAGGTTCCGGTGAGCCAAGATCACGCTACTGCACTCTAGCCTGGATGACAGAGCGAGACTGTGTCTCAAAAAAAAAAAAGAAAAGAAAAGAAAAAATGGGATTAACCAACTTCAGAGGAAATAATATCCACTCATCTTTTACCTTAGAGACTTTACCATGACTCTGGCTTCTGAAGTTAGCAAGAAGTAAAAGGAACACCATCCCACTCCTATTCCCAGCATCCCAAGGATGGCCTGTTCCTGTCACAGCACATAACTGCGGGTGGTTAAAGGGAGACAGGACCTGCAGACCCACAGTGTCTGACTATAGTGATTAACTCCAACCACTCCCACAAACAGGTTTTTGTGATGTGGGATTTCATGGTGCATGCAGCTTGTATTAGTTAATGACTGAGGCATTAGAAACTCAGTAAGTTAATACAAGCATATGCACACAATGGTCCTGTCCTTTCGGCGATATTGTCAACTAGACCTGTGTTTCAAAGTGTTGGGAATATATAGTTGAGATCCTGAAAACTGATATTCCTCTTTTATGTAAGGCAATCTTTAGAAATCTAATACCTTCTTTGAAAAGTCCAGTGTGTTTAAATTAATTCAGTTTGGCTGGTTTGAAAATTGAAAATAGGTTAGCATTAAGGCCAGGATTCCTTTAGTAATTACTTTTTCTATTGGTAATAACTGTTTCTTTAGAAATGACATTAACATTCTACCAAAACACAGCAGTAATCCAAAAGTTAATGTTCTGTTCACTTATAATTATATTTAATTCATATTTATGAGTTGTCAGAAGGGAGGAGTAAGAAAGAAGTGAATACAAAATGTTACAGAAGAAACAAGTTATAAGAAAATTTTTTCCTCATAGTCTGAAGGATGTACAAAGTCACTTGAAGTAAAAAAAAGTTTTTTTAAACACACAATTATATAAAATTAGATTTTATTAACTATTGCTGAAAAAAATCTATATTTTTATTATTTCCAAGTGGCACTGAGTGAATTCAGCCAATAGACCTTATCCATTTCTTCTTTTTTACTAACCAAAATATTAACATAAACATCCCCATAATTTTGATTTAGTAAGTCAATTAGATTTGTGGGGATTTTTTAACCAGGAAAAATTCTGCATCTTTAGGCAGTCATTGAACAAGTAGCTTTGTGTTATTTCCTTTGAATTGTCCATGAAGCCTGATGTATTATTAATGAATTAATTTCTTGGTGGTGGAGGCCTGTGAATAGCGGTCTGTGAATGGGCAGTTGCCTGGTGGGGCCAGTTTTGGCTGCTGTCATTTAACATGTGTTGCTGTATTGTGAAGTCTTACCCAGCCATAGGACAATGCTCATTTAATCCACCATGATGGGACCTACACACCCTGAGCCCAAGTTGGATGCCAGGGTCAGTTACCCAGCAGCTTGGGCTGGGGGCACTGCTCTGCTTCACTGCCGAGTTGCTGTAATCGTTTTGCCGGCTGTTAATTTTCTCTAAACCAGGGAAAATGTGTATGTGAGCAGTACAAATGTTCTCAAAAGAGATTCCAAACTGGTCGGCTGGGGTGTTGCCTCCATTCCAGAATGGAGGCAGCATTCCAGGGAGTGTAAGTTCCTTCCTTCCTCCTGGAAATGGAAGCGTCTGGGCCCACGAGATCCCTGATGTTTTGAGGTCCAGAGTAGCAGATGGCATTATGATTTTCCAAATCCTGATGAACATTCTAACTGAACTTGTTCATTTCACAGTATGTGGTTCTATTTTTTCATTTCCTCTTCTTCCCTCCCTCCCTCTTTCCCTTTGTTCCCCTCATAGTAACTAGTTTTAAACTGGTGTAGTGTCTCCTTAAACCAGCTTTAAATTCCCTTCTGTCTGTCTATTTTATGAAACCAACTATAGCACAGTTTCACGTATAATTCTCAGCCTTTGAATTGCAGCTGAAGCAGCCTTTGAATTTGTTTAAAAATGTGTAAGCAAATAAAGCCAACACTCATACACGCAGCCACTGGTAGTTCTGTTTCCCCCCTTATCTGTAGCTGGCAGTGCAGGTGGCAAATGGCAGTAATTATTTTAACTAACAGTCGAGTGAACATTCAGGAGGACATACAGTGTGGTGATGTGGACTTTGGATTTACAGTGAGTTCTCAGAGTCTGACTTGATAGTGTTATGGCTTGTTGGTTTTTCAGGACACGGACCTGCCAGGTTCCTGTACTTCAACAGTGTGTGGATGTGGTTCAGATGTTTCAATCTTAACTCTTTATCTATGAAAAGATCAATTTTTTTTCATTTAGGCACCTATTAAGGGTTTTTTTCTCTCCTAGATTTTTCTGTTTTGTTTTTAATATAATTTATGATCTACCTTTAAGAGTGCTTTTAATCAGCACTTCTGTAGAACCAGCTGAAATGCCAGTGTGTATATTAACATTATAATTTAGGTACTGGATCAAACATGTATAGCTGGACTTTTCCTGAGGAAAAAAGTTGACCTGACCAGTGTATGAAATTCAAACACTGTATAGGAACAAGGTAAAAGCACAGGTAGGAATTGCTGAATAATTACCTTTAGACCAGCCTGAGCAGGAGACTTCCCACGAGGGTGAGCTCATTTAATGGTTCCTAAAACTCAATCTTGTGGATGTCAGTGGTCATGCTTGATTATTTGCAGCAGTGTTTTATGAAAAGCAGTAGAAATGCATTGGGAGGCTGCAGAGAAAGAGGACAATAACGGGTTTTACTTTTGTAAATGAAATCCCTTCGGTATGAGACAAGTATGTTTTTTGCTGCTCTGCCTAAGCCACTGAAAAGGGAGATGTATGTGGATGTTAGTGTGTGAGTATGTGTGTACTGTTCATGTAGGCACATCTAAAAACTGCTGTGCACTATGGCTGATGACCAACAAGAGACCTAAAATAAAAAGAGAAAAAAGATGCTCATTGGCTTTGGAAAGGAAGCAATTATAAATACAGTTTAAAAGATTAACCTATTTTCCATTTCTCCACTCACCTATTTTCAAGAAATGTAATAAAACACCAAGCTCTTTACCATATGTTTACAACATTTCTAAGTAAATATAAGTCTTTTAAATGACAGACAAAAAAAAAAAAAAAAACAAGCAGACTAAATGAAGAATCCATTTTGACATTAATGACAAAGATCATTTCTATTCTCTTTTATCCCAATACTGAAGAACTTCCAAAACACTTTTAGGAGAAAAAGAAAATAGGAAAAAAAATCTCTATAATCTCAAACTTCAGTTACCCAGAGACAGATTCCTTTAGACCTGTTTGTTTATATTTTGTTTTTTATAAGCCATCTGGTAGTGATGTTCACTTGGCTAACAGCTGGTTCTCCTTGATTAAAGGGTTTATGGGTAGGATGGGCCTTTCAGTGGCAAAAATTCAGGCCTTTACCCCGTGGTTCCAGGCCCATCTGAGACAAGTTAAATGAGCTGCTACTGTCAGCCCAGACCCAGTGGACAGAACGTCACACCAAAATGCCCACACATGTAATTTGTCACGCCTGGCAGCCCAGAGCATGGGGTGAGCCAGTGTGGAAATTGAATCATCTTTCACTTTCTCTGCTCAAGACTTGATGTGGAGTAGGATGAGTAAAAGGCGGGCTTTCTGTTCTGCAGCTGAGCGGAGTTAGAGGCTTTCTTCTCTGGTATGTCATCTGCCAGCCTTCCTAAGTTCAAAGCCTCGCTTTCACCCTGATGTTTTCCCTTGTAACACACCGAGAAGTAGGTCAGTTCTATCTGCATCATGAAATCAAAAATAAACTTAGAGTCCAAATGCTGATTGTTCCTTCATGGAGTGGCCACATTTTAAAATAAACTCAATGTTTTAACAAGCATTGATTGAATTTGTACAAATCTGCTATGTAGTTATGGCTACTCACACTCTAAACGAGACTCATTCTCGGACCAGGAGCACCTATTCATCTCTTTCCCACCTTTCTCCTTCTGATAACATGTGACTGCTTTTTTCTCCCCTGTCTACATTCTGTTACAGCAGATATGTACATTGAGGACCTTTAAAATATTAAAATATAGCTGATTTCCCAGAATCTCACATTAGTTTGCACCTTGGACAGGTTGTTTTTGGTTTGAAGATTAGCTTCTATGGAGATCCTTGGAGGTGAGGGTCCAGTTTTTTTTCATTTTTTTGTTTTTTAGATTTTTTTTTTTAAACAAACTCGATTTTCTCCCCAAGCAAGTACAGATTTGCCCTATGGGTTCTGCCAGTTGTGTCATAAAGATGCTACTCTAAGGCAGTGAACAGTGGAGGATCAGAAACCAATTTAGGGTCTGACAGGCAACACGCTATCCTGCTGGGCATGAAGCCCCTAGAATTACAAATGACCTTTGATCCCAGCACTGAGGATAGAATGCAGTGATCCAATAGAGCTTTGCCAATTAGTATGAATCCCAGTGCCTAAGAGTAGACATTGTTGGGCCAGGGCAAAGGAACGTCAGACATGAATTAAAAGATTTACTTTTAAATTATAGAGTGTGACTCTCAATATTGGTCAGACTACAGGTGATTTTCTGGTGTTGAACACCTGTTGGCTTGGTGGCTTGACACCGTAAGTCTAGAAGTGGGCTATTAAAAAACAGTTAGAGGGCTGGCCATATTTCATTTAACTTGCCATGCTGGTTTAATCCAACCACAGTACAGCTGACCTCAGAATTCACCAGTGCAGCCAACACCTTGAGATATTTGAGAGGTTGTCCCATCTTCCTTTGCTTTACTGCCAGTATGCATAAGGTTTGAAGGAATGTCTGTTTTGTATAAGGAGAAGGGAACAGGACCCAGACTACAACATTCAAGGTCCCTCCCACCCTCAGGTGCTGTCTGGGAGAGAGGAAAGAAGAAAGTAGGAGAGCAAAGAAGGTATCTCACACGCTGCAGACTCTTTTACTTTATGCCCCATGACCCTCGTTTGTGAACTCGCGTCTGCCAGCCAAACTGAACCAAAACCTCAGTGCCCTCCTGTTCATCCTGAGTGCCCAGCTTTGGCAGTCTCACGTGGCCACTTCCTCCATCCTGCAGGGCTGGTTATTAGGGATGTACATCTTATCCCTCTGAACAATACACAAATTCTTTGAGGATATGGATTAAGTATCAGCCATTCCACAATGCCAGGCTCATTGCGTTCCACATGGTAGATGCCCACAAAAGCTGTTGAATGAATGAATGAATAATGAATGATTGTATCATTTTTACACAGTATTTTATGTTATGCCTTATCAGTGTCTGAATTAACCACCACATTATTGTCAGGTCCCCCTGTCACCTTTAATTATGAATTATAGGCAAAAATGTAGTCCTAAGGAATATTTTTTTAAGCAAAAGGCCCTTAACTTTTTTCCAGTTGAGTATTTATGCCAGCCTTCTCCCTTATACAAGCAGAGTTCTGCTAAGAATCTAGGCCTCATCTAATTGTTTAAAAATAGTCCCTATCCCTTACCTTTTCTTTTTAAACTTTCTATTTTGACGTAATTTTTAGATTTACATACAGTTGTAAGAAATAATACTGAGAGATCCTGTGTACCTTTCACCCAGTTTCCCTCAACAGTAATATCTCGTAAGTATAGTACAGTATTGGCTGGGTGCAGTGGCTCATGCCTGTAATCCCAGCACTTTGGGAGGCTGAAGCCAGTGGATCACGAGGTCAAGAGATGGGGATCATTCTGGCCAACATGGTGAAACCCCGTTTCTATTAAAAATTCAAAAATTAGCTGGGTGTGGTGGCGCACGCCTGTAGTCCCAGCTACTCGGGAGGCTAAGGCAGGAGAATCACTTGAACCCAGAAGGCAGAGGTTGCAGTGAGCCAAGATCGTGCCACTGCACTCCAGCCTGGTGACAGAGCGAGACTCCATCTAATAAAATTTTTTTAAAAAGTATAGTACAATATCTATACTGTAGATAGAAAATTGTCATAGATACAAGACACAAACCACTGATCTTATTCAGATTTTACCAGTTTTACATGCACTTGTATGGGGGCGGGGAGTTGCAGGGTGGAGGGTAGATTAATGACACAGATTATTCTAAAGCCAAGATACATTATAGTTTCAAAAAAAGAATATTCCTTGAATATTAAAAGCATTTTTCTCATTGATGCTTTCTGTCTTTGGAGTGTCCAGCTTACCTGCCTGCTCTCAAGGTCACTAAACGTATTTATTGGCACACTTACTCTGTAAGTGAACTAGTAGCAGCTGTGGTTGGAATTGGACCTCTTCCTGCCTTGTCTCCTCCACCAGCTCTTTGAGTGTGCAGGTACAGACACACACACACATTTTCTGCTACTTGCCTTTTTTTATGCCTGAGTACCTTGCTGACAAGTGCTAATAACAAAATACCCAGAGAGAGTCCAGTTGAAGTTAACATACATTAAGCATTCTGAACTTGTCCTTTTGCTCATAGATTGTGCATAATTAATAATTAAACAGTTTCAGTTGTAATGGGTTGACCTTCTTGAACCGTTCATTATTCACAAGGCAAAGGCATCACTCAAACTTTTTCCTATTGTCCTTCACTGTTCTCTAGCATGCTGCGTGCTTGTGTTCCAGTTGTTTAGCAAAAGGGGCTGACCAGGTAGTTACTGAAACCTCTGAGGCTTGGAAACTGTCCTCCTCGATGACCAGAATTGCCTACTAAAATGGTTTATGGCAGCTGTTTTTACATAACAGTTGCCTGCTTGATAACAAGACCCAGCTTGTGTCCCTTCAGCAGAACTCTAAAGTTGATTTGAGACTAGACTCTCCGATTGAGGCTTTTGGTTAAGGTTGTGTCCACTGCTTCGTTCTTTACCTCCGTGCTTAGAAGTTCAACGGAAAAGCATCTGGAAGAAAAGCCCTTAAGGTGAGGTATGGCACCCAAGGTCTTAAAGAGAGTGACTTTCATTAACAATTTAGAGTCAGTGTCAGCCAGTACTGAGAATTCAGTGTAACTGCTTCTTCAGCCCACATTTATATTTTTGAAATATATTTCTCCATCTTGCCAGAACCCATATTTCATAGAGGGCATTTTTGGGAAGTAGCAGCAACTGCTTTACTAGAGTCTCTGAACTCCTCGGGATGACTAGATACTTTCCCTTCCTGTGAGCTACAGTGAAACTGGAGCGCAAATTTACTGTATGCCTCCCTCCTCACAGATTTGAATTAGATAACAAAATAGGCAGGTTCTTGGAGATCTTTCACATCCTGATCAAAACTAACTTTGTAATTTTATTTGCTTTAAAAAGAGAAAAGTGTACTGTCAAGTCCTGCAGTGCAGAGAACACTCTCAGGTATATTCCTTTGCTTTCCTTTGGAGTGTTAACAGCTTGCATACTTCTGTGGAGTTGGAGGCTCTCAGAAAACGCCTTTGCCCAGTGTTTATGTGTGGCATTCTCACCATCCCCCTACCACTCAGTCTTCTGCATCTCAGAAAATTCTCCCTTGAGCGATGCAGGAGACATGGATTTTAAAACAAAAATAAATATCTGGCATTGTGCATGTGAGATTAGAATTTCCCCCATATCTTTAATGAGTGATTCTTTCCAGGGACCACTGAGATGAGAATCTGCTGGCTGTGGTTCTGCAAAGTCGACTTGGGCTGGCATTTTCAGAAGGGAAATAAATTATTCATGGGTACCACCCAGTGTTCCTTAGTCTTATAATATGAGGAACTTAACAGGCTACAATATCAGGTCTTAAATAAAATTAACTACCCATGCAAGATGTCACATTTCCTCATTTTGTTTCTCATCCGTTTTTAAATGGCCTCTTCATCAAGTTGCTAGTCTGTAATTCATTAATTTACTTTTGATATCATACTTTGAGAAGAGGCCCACATTAGCATCATGTTTTATACCAGATCTTTATAGAAAGCCAGTCCAGAATTTTAACCATCTTGGTAAATATTGAACGACATTAAGATAGCAGGCTTTTATTTTCCTAAATATTGCATTTTACAGCAACTACTACTCAGATACTTTCAGTACTACACCCTCAAAAAAAATCCATGAAGCGATGACTTAGAGAAGCTTCCTCACTGATCAGAGTCCATCATTTTTACACCTCAGACTTTGAACTATCTTTTTACTAATGGTTTTTGAGACAGTAAAATGTCATTTCTTGAACTGGGCCTTGTAGAATCTTACAGGCTTGGTGATATATATGGCTTTCCTAAAACAGGCTGCAGCTGAAATTGATATCATGTTTTATTTTTGCTCTTCAAACCGATGGGACTTCTGTGGCCATTTTATATACCTTTATTGAGGACTTGTCATGCTATTTTGTGTCTTGTTTCTTTTGAGTGGACTGTTTGATCAGCCACCCATCCACCTCCGTTTTTCATGTCGTCTCTGTGTAATGCCTGCGTGTAATCCTTTGAACTTGGCAAGATTTTATTTCACTCCCATTTTTCCTTTGTTTTCTTTTCCTCTTAACCCTTCTCTACTGATGAGAATTTTAATTTTAGAATTGCTAACCATCCCTTCTTCTGGATGAATAGATTAAATTTAAAGAGGACAGATATGCAAAAACCAAGAAACATTTTGTTCATGTTTCTTTTCTTGTAGCCTCTTCGGTGTTTTTTGTTGTCTGTTTTTTGTTGTTTTTGTTTGTTTTTTGGCTGCCTTGACCCCCTTAGTTCCTTTTGATTTAATTGTATTTTCCAGCACTTTCCAATTGTTTGAATTGGAAACAAAGCCTTAATAAGAGTTCTAGTTAATTTTCTGTCTTGTAATTACCGATCTCATTTTTCTGATAATTGGCCACAGCAATTATATGTATATTTACTAATCACATAGGAGGCTGTGCAATTGTATCTATCTGCCACCATTGATAATGACACGCATATTGCAGAGGTGCTTTTATCATCTTCTTTTTTCCACTACATCAAAGCTATTTCCTCTCGTTCTCAATAATGAATACATGCATGCATTTGACACAGTTGTGTGCTAGAGAAATTGTTTGGCTCCCACCAAATGCTGCATGCTCTGAGTTTCTTGCCTGCAGCGCTGGAAGGTTGTATGTAATGATATATTGCTCATCCAAATGGCCAAAGCACTCCAAAGCACAGTGAGATTAAAATAAGTCATTCCTTTGTTAATTTAAATAGGTGCATGTATCATACTTTGCAGGGCACTTTGTGTAGGGATGTCAGGGAGGAAAAAAGCCGCCGAAAGGTATTTTTAATAGCAAATGAGAATAGATGAGAATGGAGTCATTTGCAGCTGCCTACTTTATGTGGCTCTCTTGTTCCAACTGTAGGTCTAATGAGATGACTGTTAAAGTACTCTGCAGTGTAATTTTATTACATCCTGAGCTGTTACACTATAAACACAGTGGCGCTCTCTGTCATTCTTGGAAAAACTCCTAAATTCTTAAAGCCTTCCTTTGCAAACGGTAATGGGGTTTGCTCTTTGTATTATGTGGTGGTGGTTGTTTGTTGCTGTGTAGTTTTCTGCTTTTTTGACTGACTCCCACCTCCATCCTAGTTTTGGTTGGTGGTCAAGTTGGGAGTTTTTCATTGTATCCTTAATTCACTGGCTTTCTCATATGAGGAGTCTGCCTAGACTGGCAAATAGGCTGAAATTCCTTTTCAGGAAACAACTTCCCCTATAAAAGCCTTTCTATTAAAGTAAAAAAAAAAAATTGATCCAAATTATTCTGTTAGGGGCAAACAGTAAAGAGCAGTTGAATATACAAATAAATGTAAATAAAAAGGAAAGTGTAAATAAATAGCAAATCCAGTAAAAGAAACAAAGGTCAACACAAGAATAATTTCACAGCTCTTTGTTAATTACAAGACCATTTGTGTGTTACTTAAATAATCATTAATTTCTCATTTACACTTTCCCTACCTTCTCTCCTACCCTGTGGCTATCATTGTCCTTTTTTCACCTCCCCCTCTCTCAGCTCTCATGTTTCTCACCATTGTAAAATATGTGTGGCTTTAAATTTGGCATCTTTACCTAAATGTGTGGAATAAGGTAAAGACAGTCTTTTTAATTGGGTGAGGCCTTATTCTCATTGTATTCATCTTTATACTCATCCTTCACATGGGTGGGTGGGGAATATAAAGAAAGAGAAGGAACTGTTGTGACTTTTGGTGACATGTTTTTCCTCCATCACAGGATTCGCCCGTCCTTCCAGTTGGAGAGTTCTCGGAGCCATTTGTACATTTCATCACTCAGTGGTGAGCCCGTTTACAAACATGCCATGCCCTCAATGTAAATGATACATGCCATTAACTCGGCAGCTCCGTGAGACCTTATGGCTCTCCCTGCATCCTTTTGGAGACAGGAGGGACTTCGGGGCCTTGGGCAGATGGGGCAGCAAAGCTGAAGAAATTGTTTAAATTATGTAAACGTTATTTACACAAAGGGTCATAAGCATACTTCAGAGCCTTTTTCCTGATTTAATAAACTGCTGAAAGTCATGATACTTCTTTAAGCACAAATACTGTTGCCATCCTTTTTTAAAAAAAGAAATACACAATTTTATAGCCCCTACTGAACGGACGTACGAAGCTTATTTTTATTAATGTAACCTCAAGTTACCCATAAAACTGTCTTGTCACTTAGTGGAAGCAGCATAGTTTATTAATTCATCGGATTTTCAGTAAATAACTTTTATCTTTGGTTGTATTTTAAATACAATACTGGGGTACCATTTCAATGAATTTTGACATTTGGAAGACTATGAAAACAGTTCAGCCCACTTTAACCCTTAAAGAACTGAGAGGAGCCACAGGGGCCCTCAGAGCCTCTAGGCAATTCCTTGTCATTTTATATCTGAAGAAACAAGCATTTTACTGCCAAGGGTTCTTTGCCAGCCTTCTGCCTTTTTCCTCCTAGCAGAACGCAGATGTCTTTTATTACCCCTTTCACCATCATTCCCCTCTTCCCTCGTCCTGCAGGACTCATGTGGCCTTGGGAGGCCCAGGTATTCCTCTGCCCTCTCCCTCACTCCAGCACAGAGAATTACCTAGGAGAGAGGAGGAATTCAGGAACATAGGAATCATTGTCCTCAAAGCAGGAGACAAAACCAACCGCAACTCCTTCTTAACTACGTTGGTCTTCTTTCCCTCCTTCACCAAAGTCCAGAGTCATGTCCACTGGTGGAAAATGAATGGGCAGACCCTACCAGAAGAAACCCTTGGTTCTGTGGTGTGGCAAAGTAATGTTATCAGGATTCTTGCTAACCAAAATCGTTGTGTGCCATCCCCTTCCCCTCCCACTATGATCTGTCCGATGATTATGCTAAAGGGAAACCAAGAAATATTCCTTAATATAAATGTCAAGCTTTATCACCTTTTTGACTAAGTGTAACATGTTACCTCTTAATAAAAATGTCTCATGCAGTTTATATTCCATAGAAAATATATGTGAGGAAGAAATTTTTCTCCCCAATTAAAAAAATTTTATTAACACTGTTTCTATTTATTTAAAATACTTATATAATATTGTGTAGCTTTTAAAAACTATTTTTACTCTGAAAACATTTTATTTCCAAAGCATGCCATGTCGGAAAAAAGCATACATGTTGATTAAACACTGGAATCCTGAGCTGTTTTGAAGCTCCTTAATGATGTTAGAACCATTACCCAGAAATGTATATCCCTCTTAATTTCCTTTACATGGAATTCTTAAAACACATGGTAATGTGTACCATGTGTTTTACACATGGTAATGTGTACCATGTGTTTTACACATGGTAATGTGTACCATGTGTTTTACACATGGTAATGCCTCATTTTGAAATGCAAAAATTGAAACACAAACCATGCGATTCCTCTACTGCCTGGAGCGCCTGGTTTGGGCATCACCCTCTCTGCTCCGGAGGAGATGTTGGATTTGTGACAGGATCCCAGTGCTAATCTTATCTCGCTGTGTGGTCTGAGACCAACCTGGGGGTGGGGCTGGTCTGAGCAGCAGGGAGAAAAGTGGATAAGGCTTCACCTCCCTCCTGTCCAAAAAATTAATCAGCTGTTATTTAAAAGTTTTATGGAGACAGAGGGAGGGATAACCTGCATTCAAATTTCCACAGATGTCAAGCCAAAACAGAAATGATAGTGGGTAATAGCCTTGTTTTCCCAAGAGATACAGCTACTTTGGAATGTCAGATTAGGACTGTTACCAACTCCACTGGCGAGACAGCTTGAATTAGTTGCTAATGGATGCAGTGTTTGAGAGGTGCATATGGTTATTTATAGGGAAGGCAAATGTCCTCGATGTCATTAATGGTTCATAACTCCGATTCTTGTTTACCAAATGATCATTAAATCTATTTTTAAAAAAGTATTGTCAGCAAATGCAGAGATTATAAGAAGAGTTTTCTTCTTGCTTGTTAGAAGAGTGCCTTATAAAGAAAAAAGCATCCGTGTGATTTTTCCAAGTGATAGAAGCAGCAATCTCTTTTCATGACTATCCCATGGACACTCTGAGTTTAGAACAAATACAGCCATCAAGTAGGCAGCTGCCCACAGTCACCTCCATCCCATGTGTGAGTGCTTCATCACATAGCTAAGTACATGTTACAGCTACTAATTATATCTATTGCATGGAAGACAAGAAATATTTTGCATGAAGAATGTGATTCTTTAAGCAGCTTAAACAAATTTAGCTGTCCCACAGCGGTTTAATGAATTATCAACTTGCCTTGTTGCCAAAACAAATGCAAGTCAAGATAATCTATAGCAACACACTTCTAATTTTGTAGCATTATCTAGATTCCTGACCTGTTTTATATACTTCTTGTCATTCGGAGTAACAGTGAAAGAATGAGATGTATTCTCATTTGACTCTACAGTCATGTTTCTTTCCTTACTGTCTTATCCCAATTACCAAAAAAAAAGGTATATTCTCTAAATATAAGTTTGAAATAAATTGATAATTGAGTCAATAAGAGAATATTGCTGCTTTTTTCACATTCGCTTCAAAAGTAGAATTAGGATACATTTAATTTAAATTCATTCTTTATTTGTGTTGCAAAATATTTTTTAAGTGAAAAAGTAAGAAAAAGCTTTTTGTTTCTTACTCATAATGTCCCCCAGAAATCTGACTAAGTAAAGACCAAAATAAAAGAAAGGGAATATATGCTAATACTTTGGCCAAGAATTGAACATGATGTATTTTGAAAACATTCAAATTCCAGTACAAATAGCCATTGGTAGAAATTATAGCAAAAATATACAAATGACACAGATAACATAAGGGGTTTTTTTCTCTCCACTATAGTATGCGAAAACAGCCAAAAGAAAGGCCAGCACCTGAAGAATTGATGGTAAGTGAATGTTTTTAGTTACATTAGAATTCTCAGTTATATATTTATGTTTAACATTCTGTTTAAAAGTCCAGAATGGAATTTGAAACAGCCATAGGCTCTGAAAAGGCAACATTATTTACTTCATTTGGGTAGATGTTTTTGAAGCTCATATCCTCAGATAATAGTGTTTACTTTTTAAAAACCCACCACCTTTTTGAAAGTTAATGCAGAGCTCTTTTCATTTGCCTCATCAAGGGTCACAAACTTAATGTAGGTTACTCTTTATCCTCATTTGCTATTAAACCTTTTAGAATTCAGAGGATTGGTAACAGAAGATCATCAGTGCAATAAGTTTTTAGTGCAATTCTGCAGAAAATTTCTGAATATGGCATGGAGTCCTCTTAGATTCATGTAGAATGAAATTAAACTGGCTGCAAAAGATCAAGTTAATGTGAATCTTTGGTCTTTCCTCAGAAAGAGACAGCTACAAGGCTGCGAGTGCTGTGTTCTCAGCTCCAAGGCAGCTTTCTTTGATTGCAAATGACAGTTTTTAGTCAAGCAGGGAGAGGAACAGAGATGCTCCCTAACAATTCCCAAATGGTCATTTGTTTAGTGCAGATTGTTGATTTGACAATGCACAAGCTGTTAGAATAACGTTAGGATCGAGCATTAGTAAATAATAATTATAGTCTATTCTTTCTAATGTTTTGCATACCATTCCCTGCCTTTAGATTACTACAGTCAGAGCAAATTCCTACCAATTTTCTTTCACCTTCTTTAAACAATATGCATTTTACAGATACCAGTTTAGAGGTTTTCGTCCTTTGTATTCCAACCTAATAAACAGTTTCAGTGCCCCAACTTCTTTATAATATGGATTTCATCCTTGAATATAAAATAACAGTACGTTTCCTTTTTGCATCATGAATGCTTTCCAGGAAGGTACTTTCCTCCTTCATGTTCCCTGGAGCAAAATCTCAGTTTTCAGGGTAGTTTCAAGTTAAAGATCACCCCTAAAAACCTCTGCAATTTATAACTCTGCAGGTTTCATGTCTAGAATAAACTGGTCTCTTTTTTTGGTCTCTGTGATGGTTGGGAAATTCTTGCAGTTAGTCACATTTGAGAAAACTTGGAACAGGTTCTAGAGATGGAGACCCATTTACCTTGTGCATTATTATGCTATGGCTGGATAGCTCAGCTGTTAAAACAAAGGAATAGGGTTTCATAAAACAGATATTTGTTTGTAAATGCATGTTTCAATGCTGCAATGAGTTGGCCACTTATAAATAAAACATCTGCAGATCACACATACGCCCATAAATGTATATGGATGTATATGTTGGTAAGGAACACCACTCCAGGGTGGCACATCATAAAGACAAGGCTAAAGGGTGAGTACTTTCAGTGCCTTGAAAGCAAGTGATGTGTGTGTATGTGTGTGTGTGTGTGTGTGTGTGTGTGTGTGTGTGAGAGAACATAGGTATTTAGATATATCTCTTTACAACTCTATACCCTGTTGTGTGCTGTCCCACATTTTAAATTAATAAATATCAATAAATCAATAAAATACAATGAAAAATGTTGTCACAGGAAGCACCATTCCATACTTAATTTAACATTATTTCTAGTACTGCTCACTGTTTGATTTTAAATGAATGCATTCCCAGAGGTATAGCAGTGGTGAGGCACCACTGCTTTGGCAGGGCTCAGTGAGGAGGCAGGGAACAATAGACTATATGTGAAGCTGCTGTGGTCAGAGAGTGAGCCCTGCCTGGACTTTGGGCAAAAGATTGGGCCCAATAGGGGATGGGAAAGAAAGTGGGTTTTCCTTTATCTTAAGGAACTTAAGCCACATCCTAGGGGCCCAATCTAAAGGAACCAGCCTCTTTATTCCTTCCAGCATATTAATGGCTTTAATTTTTCCTTTTCTCTTCCCACCTACAACCTATTTGATGGTGCTCCCATCTGGAAGCCGAGAGACTCCTCTGGAATGCATGAACTATAGAGCCCATTTGTCACCTGGGTGGGGGCCTGTGCCTTTCACAAAAAGAGCAGTTTATCTCCCAAGCATGGTAACTCCAGCCAGCAGGGTACCAGCATGGGCTGCATGGGCCGCTTCAAATGTGAGGCCTGCAGGATTGTCAAGGTTTCCCTGTAGGCCTCCATTTCCAAATCAAAGAAAGAAAATTAGAGATGGGCAGCTGGAAATACTGGAAGTTATAGATTCACTATTTGGGAACTCTTATATGAACTCCAGGTGTGACCTTGACCAGCGAACACAGCAAGTCTCAGCCTAAGTAAATCAGAATGTAGGACTGGTGGGCTAGATCACCCTTACTCCTGGGTCTGGGCCATGCAGAGTGGGCACTTAGGTGGTGAGGTCACTGTTTATACCAGAATACCCCTTATCGAATCATAAAATCATCATCTTGGCAGTTTTTGACCATGTCAGTCTTAAAGATTAATGTAAAACTCAATGTTAGACTTTGGAGACCATTAAAATATCAGTGTTAGAACTCATTTAGTTGTTTAGATATTTTATCCCCTCTACTTTGTATGGTTGTTCTTATGATGGTTTTCGGTCTTTATATCCTAAGTGGAAGTATTTTAAAGTTGGACCAAGAAATTCCTTTACTGCTTACATTTTGGGGAGGCCAGGATACGTTTCAGCTGCTGTGGTTTTCTGGCATGTAGCCATGAAGCTACATCAGAAGTGCTCTCAAAAGTTTTATCAGCATCTGCATCATCCTAAGAGATTTCAGACCCCATTAAATAATTGAATTTGTTAGTTGATATACCATTGTGCACAGTCTTGTTCTAGACTCAGCAGAAGATATAAAGTAGAGGAAGCCACACAGATAATCTTTTGGAGCTATAGCAAGTATACAAATAACTAGAATGAAGTAACTAGTATAAAAGAACTGCAGGGTTCTGTGGAGATCCATCTGGGGAAATGAGGAAAAACTGGGTAGAGAAGGTAGCATTTGAAAAGGGCCTTTGGAGGATGAAGTGAATTTTAATAGAGAGCTTTGAAGGGGCCATTCCAGGCAAAGGAAACAGGATGGGCAAAGCATGAGTGTATCTCGGTTTCAGACATTTTCAGAGCAATGTGAAGCCTCTAGTGCCTGCTGGAACAGAAACCTCTTCAACATTGACCTGGTGGAGTTCAAACAGGCAACATATTCACCACCAGCTGGGCAATCTCTTAAGACATTCCACTTCTATACAAGGAACCCTGGGAACACCACACTTATCCACATGGATCTTTTTTCTTGAGTGAATTCTCTTGAATGGTCTCCTGTTCATGTATAGGGAGGTCCCTCATCCTTGGGAAAGGTGTGACTTTCAATTCTTTAAGAGCCTATTGCAGAAATCAGGAGTCAGCTTTAAACCCTGCTTTAAAGGTAAACTAAGCGTGCAGGCAGCCAAGAACATTCAGCATACCGACAGAAGACAGGTAGAACCCCACCCCCACCCCCACCTCCACTTCTGCCTCCAATTCTTTTCCTGGATAATGATTCCATTATTAAATAATCTGCTTTTAAATCACGCTGCTGCAACTCCCAGGAAAGACCTGTGTCAGTGCTGCCCCAGCTCTGTGAACTGGGACCAACAAACTTAGGGACAAATTTTCAGACAGTAGAGACCCTGAGGAGGTAGCAGACAGAATGTCCAGCAGGCCTTCAGAAAAATGCAGGGATTCCATGGCTTATGTGGGAAAAAGCCAGCCCCTTGCCAGTCAGAAAGGATTGGTGGGACTGCAGCAAGAGGGGAGACAGCGATAATGCAAAGATGGTAGAGAAATTTCCCTTAAATGTCAATAATCAAATGGAAGGATGCAAAAACATAAAAATCAGACCCTTAAATTCAGGGACAAAGACAACCTAAGATGAGAGCATTAAGATGGGGGTTCAGGTTGGTTTTGCTATTCAATTTCTGTGTTTAAATATTTTTAAATAAAAGGGGTATGTGAGATATTACTGTATAGACCATTTGCTTCTCTAAACCACAAGGAATTCCTTCTGAGGAATTAATCATCCTTCAGAGTTATTTGGTAGCTAAGGTCAGGATGTGACTTAGCCGGGAGAACCTCCATCACATCCCTTCACTGTGTAACCTCAGCCAACTCCCCATCCCCTCTCCACTTCAGTGTCTTTTCATCTGCAAAACCGAGGGGGCAGCCCTTGACCAATGGTCTGTGACTTTAGGAAGTCAGAACCCCAGAAATTACATCCGAAGTTATCTATGCATGTGGAGATGTTTCTTTTCATCCAAAAACAGGAATTCATGACTGCTACATTTTTCAAAGGGGACCCTGACCCTCAATGATTGTTAAGCTCCCTTGCTTCTGTCCTTTAGAGTTACTTGGCCAGGAGCTGACTGTAGGGAGGGAAGTGTTCACTCAGCGGGAGAGTGCTTGCTTGAGGGTGGGGTGGGGTGCTTTCTATGGGGTTCAGCAGGGCTTTGCACCAGCTGTCAGGCAGCCCTTTAACTTCCCTGCCTAGCCTGATTGTGGGCCTTAACTTGAACGGGGAAGGTGTGGGCTGTGGGCACCCACACAGTTACAATTTGGGCTCAGAGTACGGTAGATCTTTCTATGCATTTAGAGTGTTTCCAGAAGCTTTCAGTGTCTAAGCTCTATTTAATGGAATCTATGCATAGTAAGTAATCAGGTCAGAAGAAGCAGCATCCCGGTTTGAGATCAATCGCTGGCTAATACTTTATCTAGGCCACTTTATTATCTCATGCTGATCTGATTCCCATTCTCCCCCTCCTTTGTAGCATGCACTTCGGCTGTGGTAAAAGTACGTATCACATACATATTAAAAACATATACCCATTCTATCTGTATGTAAATGCGTGAGGCACAGCTGGATATTGCAGAGGAGTTTGATTTACTAATAGTTATTATCTGTTCTAGCTGTTCAGTGGCAGCGAGAATTTCAGAGAAACAAGCTGGCGAAGAAATTTTCTTTATGCTGTTACTATACTGCTTTAGTAATTGTTTAAAAACATGGGTTTTCTCCTTAGGTTCTAGTAATGCCTGTTATTTTGTGCATCTCCTTGTACATTCCAGAGTAGGACATCCTTTAAAGGCATTTAGCATTTCCTCAGGTTTGGTTTTCAATTTAGGCACCTAAAAAGAAACACAGGATGCAGTTTGCAATTGAAATTTGACATTTTGCTTAGACAGCAAGTAAATAGTGGCATTAGAAATACAACAAGTTGGCATGGGTCCTAGAAGGCGGGGTATCAGTTAAAATCAGAATAGCGCTCTTGGATTTTTTTCCTTCATGTCATCCCAGCAGCTGCAAACTTGAAGGCATCTCATTTCTCAGCTAAGGCTTTATGTATAAGAGGTGGTAATGTTTGGGGGCTAATAAACACCAAACTGCTCTAGAAAAATCTGTTTAAACATTTAATTACTTACTAAGAGATGTTAACTTGTTTAACTCCTCTAAATTAAATTGTCACTGGTAGCTTTTCTGCTTTTCCAAACCTGATTGTAATTACATTTTCAGATAGTATGGTTGGTTGTTCTCTCAATTAATCAAGGTATATGATAAATTGCACATCTGCGTGGTCCCTTTAAAAATCAGGGTAACCATGATGTTAGATTTTTGTCTCTCCAACACTCAAATTCCAGTGTGACTTTGGGCTTCACACCAAATGGCTTTGTTTCATTGTTAGACCCAAATCTTCTGATCACTGTGAAAGACAAAATGCACTGGACAATTAAGAAGATGATTTTATTTAGGGCTATTGCAGTAGGGAGAGTGTTTATTAATGAGGAATGGCTCAAAGAAAAGGGAGGGTTCTGAGGTCTTATGAAGGCAGGTAAACAAGGGGGTCACCAGCAAGTCTTAGAGAAGTCACGAGGAAAGATGGAAAAGGATCTTACCTCTGTGAGAGCAGGGTGATCCTTTGCGGTTAGCAGAAGGGTAGGGGGATTTCTTACCTGTTACTGTTTACTAGAAGCACGGGGCTCAGATCAATTCAAAATGATCACCACATTCTACTAAACATGCCAAAGATAAGTTTCGGTTTACTTTGATCCGGGGCTTACCTGTGCCCTGAGCGCAAATATGAAGAAAGGTGCATTTCCATAGCCCCCTTAGAGAGTGCTCATCCACCCTGTGCTTGCAAAAATCTAAGCTTTTTAAAATACTAATGATGGTTAATAAATTGTGAACTTGGATGTAGTTCACTACAGTTAGGTATTGCCTGTGTCATATAAAGTGTGTTTTAAAATGAACCTTTAGGGCCAGACTCCTAATGTGTCTGGCCACTCATTCTTGTAAACATCATTTTGTTTTCAGTTGTTCATTTGGAAGTAGCTCATTAGCTATGCCGCCCAGAATTTGCAGTGAGAAATACTGGCTGGGATTGTAACTTCAGCTGAGTATTTCCATCATGCACAAAAGTCATCACAACAGCAAGGGGGCCCCACGTAGGGTCCAGCTGACAACCATGGAATTTTTTTTTAAGTTCTGAAGGCCATTAAAATCATCTGTTTGTGTCTGCTTATAAAGAGGAACCCACTAGTAAAGAAGTTGATTTTAGCTTTTTAATTGCATATAATTACATCGGCAGAATCACTGTCTGGATACTTGAGATCGCACTAAATCAGACAGCTTTAATTTGAATTTTTGATGACACATTAGCACTTCAGCAAGAACAGAGAGATTATAACCCTAAGAAAACAGGCTTTGTTTTTCCATAGATGTGACCACTTAATCTTTTCACAAGACTTTAGCAGATAAATATGTGTGTGTATGTATATGTCTTTATATGCATGCGCATAGCAAGAGAGATATAGATAAAGTCTGTCATTCCTTGATCATGGTGATCTGACAGTTTTAATCTCCCAGTTAAGCATAGCTTTTTTCCTCCATCAGTCAAGTCAGATCTCTTAGTATGATGATGACTTGCCTGTTTAAGATTGTAGTTATTTGAACTCATGTCTCTAATGCCTCTTTCGTGTTTTATTGGACTGTCATCTTCCTAGTATCTTGTTTCAAGGCACAGTGAAGCTGTGTAGCATTCATTGAGCACAGGAAGAGTTTGGTTATCTTGGATGCAGTAAAGTGGATCAGTTGGGCTGCTCTTCAGTGCCGTGCCAGATTTGCGGCAGCGGGAGGCTAAGGTGGGTCTTTAAAGTATGTTACACTTTAGTTCCTCATTGGCCATGACTCAGCTCACTAGAACTTTCTGTTATTTGGGTGGTGCCCTCAGCCTAAAAGAGCCTCCTCTCCCCTCCCCTGGAAGGTCTTGGTCCTCCTCCCTGCGGCTTTTCCCTACTCTTCGACTTTACAGTTGCTTGCTTCCTTCTCTGAAGCCCTTCAGCATGTATTGTGTCTAGGTTGGAACAGCATTTAATTATATATTCATCTTATGGCCACAAGTTAGTCCATGTAGTACAGCGGCTCTCAACACTAGCAGCTCATCAGAGTTACCTCAGAGGTTTAAAAGGCTAAAGAAAAAAATGCCTGGATCCTAACCTAGATCAAAGAAGCTCTGGCCAGGGAGCAGATACTTTTTTTTTTTTTTAACCTTTAAAGTTCTCTAGGTGATTACAAGGACAGCCAGAGGGGAAACTCACTGGTTTAATACCTTTTTTCTTCCACTAGATTGTAAGTTCCTTGAAGGAGGATCATGATCTTATAATTCAGTGCCTATCCTAGTCTGCTGTCATTTAGGCAAAACAGTGTTGGTTGCACATGCTATTCTCTCTAATCCAATCCAGTAAAACACTGTGCAGATAAAGTAGACACTAAACAGATAGACAAACAAGACATGTATCTGGTTCTCCAGGAACTCAGAGTAAAGCTGAAGAAACTAATCCAAGAACAAGCAATCCCTGGACATTACAATATACAGTATAAATTAGGGTGGCCACGCTAGAATACATGGCCAGATAAAAAAGGTTTTTGTTTGACCTCCTGCTAGGAGAGGTCATCTAGGTTAGAAAATTTGGTGCCAAAATAATAAAATTTCTAGGATGTTCCAATATTTGCAGGGATAATATTCAAAACATTTAACAACCAGTATAGCATGAGGATTACCGTTCAGAACCAACACCAGGGTTTAGCCATCCCACCCTGGATGTATGGACAGAGCTAGGAGGTGCTGACCAGGTGGTGATCAGCAGCACATATGATCTTTGGTATGCATTCTGACCACTTGAGAATTTACCTCAAGCAAGTAACTCCACATCCAGAGGTTATTAGAGAGCCAAAACCTAGAGGAGACCTCCTGGCTAGCACCATCTTTGCCTGTTAGATTGATGACAGGGGACCCGAAGGTTTTTATCTGTCAGCACATCAGATGCATGCCACCCACTCCCCAGCTCTTGGGAATAATGGATTCAGTTGAAAAAGATCAGAGACATTCAGCCGTTTGTGGGAGAAATATAAAAGGATCCTAAAGCTAGTCCCTGGGATTTGGGAATTGCTGTTGAAGGTAGCAAAGTTGTTTTCCTGTGAGTACACACCGATAAATAGATGCAGTTCTTATCAATTATTAACCAGTCTAACCAGGAATTTTAAGAGCTGGGGAAAATATTAGAAAGCTCCTATTTACAGTTGTGCCAGCTGGATTTGTTTAATGGGTTGTTTGCTTTTTAATTTGTAGCAGTTTTGAGAGAGACCTTTGGGGATTGTGAGTCTTGTGGTTTCGGATACAGAGTTATTTGGGGGGCCAAATCTGCCTGCAGATAATTTGAGGTTCACTTGGCCATTTAGAGACTGCAGAAAGGCAGTAGAGACATTTGGGCCTACCGTCCTCTATTTAATTTTCAAGATTAGAATTAAACGTTAGGCCTTGGTCTACCGAGAGACATTTGCTGGAGTGTGGACTAGTTTCTTTCCAGTATCGTGGTTTACCGTTTCTCTGGTCTCTTCATATAAATGGTCACTGATTCTGAAGTAGGAGAATAGGTACCATTCATTTATTTGTGCAAAAGTTCCCTTGACACAAATGAAAATGGAATTTTCAAATGTAACCCGATTGACTCTTAATTGTTAGCCTGTGTGTGTCTTAGCTTCCTCAGAAGGCTTCTGAATGGCCTGCATCTCTTTCTAAATTTGAGGGGGAGGGGGATTCAATTAATAGCAGGACTTTCTAATTGTGGGATTGGTGTGGCATTGACAAAAATTTGTATAAATAGGGTACATTTTTTCCACTTAAGAGGGCTGTGCTGAAACATTTTTAATTGGATTTTCATGGTGATTGACAGCATTTGATTATGACAGTAACTTTATTTGGCTGGACTGCTTTAGCCTCTTGTTCAGATTTTTCCATCAAAGCTCTTTTTTAATCCTCTGAATCCCCAGTGGAGCAGCAGTCATTGTGGAAGAGCCTTTTAGCACCTTTGTTGTAGCCATCCCTGGTGATGATTGGGCCCAGCTGGTAGTAGATAAGAAAATGTTCCTTTCACAAAGAGGCAGTGTCTCCCGCCTCTGCGGTTTCAATAATTTTAAGAGCCCCCAAAACCTGTTGAGGATTAGAAGTAGCTTTAGATGTGAAATGAGTGTTAAGTATTAGTAATCGGGAGATTAGGGCCCCAGGGACAATGAGAGATAAACAACTGCAATTAAGGCAAATCTGCCGATGTAAACAAAATTTAGCAGAAACAGATGCCCTAACCATTTTGGGGGATTGATTTGAGGGCACCGAGGAATCGATTTTTGTCTTGTTTACACTTTCAAACCCCTGTGATATACTGGAAGGCTAAATATTTCATACAGCCTGATTTTAGTTAATTTTTTTTTCAGCGCCTCACAGTAGGCGCCTCTCTTCTCACAGTGACCAGGCCTGAGTTTATTCAGCATTCACAGGGAGCAGCTAATTGTCTATGAAGGGCCCCCGTGTTTAAACGGGCTTGACAGGAATTTAAATTTTGTTTCAATCAACCCCTGTGCTCACAGCCTGCTCCAGTTTCTAATTTTTAAATTAAACATGACTTTTTTTTTAAGCCACAGCTTTGCCTCTGGAATACTCTCGCTCTAACTCTGGGGAAGGCAGATCGGCAACCCTGGAATGCTGGTTTATGCAGGGCCTGTGGCACCAGCTCTGGACTGGAAAGTCCCTTCTCCAAAACAAGCTTTCCTCCCGTCAGGGAGGTCAGCAGAGCTTCGGCTGGGCGCTGTCTCCTTCCTGCCTTCAGAAACGGCCCCCTTTTCAGCTCTCCTGTGCAGGCAGCAGTGCTGCATCATCTGGAAAGTGGGTTAAGCACCGAAGGAAGGTGTAAGGATGGCTTTTAGGGGACTGGCTGAATTATAACCCACTGCACGTCTGGTGCAGATTTGTATTGCAGAAGCCTTTTCTACTGTTGTGAGACATGGAGAGAAGCCGATGTGGGAATCACAGATGTGCATTTCAGTCTGCACTCGCCATTTTTATGTCTTAGCATCTGCTCTGTGCCCAGCATCCTGCCTGACACCGAGGAGGCAGCATGTCAGCCCCAAGTCCTGACCCCCCAGCCAGCTCACAGTCCAGTGAGGAAGGTGAGGGTAGACACAGCCAAGCACAGGATAGAATGTGAGAATTGCCAGAGACCCCCGCTCACCTTCTCCTCCCACCCTCACCTACCCCTTCACCTCAGGCCACTCCTGTGGAGTCCTGTGCTCCAAACTTCTGGCAGTCCCCAGATGCGTGAGGCATCCTCACACAGTCATGTCTTTGCTTGTGCTGTTTTCTCACCGCCAGATGGTGAACTTCTCCACCTCCGAAACCCAACTGGCACAACCTCTGTGAAGCTTTGCTAAGCGTGCTTCAGTTGGGTTGAGGACTTCCTTTTGCCTGTCACCCTTCACCCTGGCTAATACTTCTGTTAGTGCACTCGTCACGCTTTGTGGCAGTAACTTGTGGTAACAGTCAATAAAAGAGACCACAACCCCTCGAGGAAGAGATCATGTCTTATCTTTGTATCCTTAGCATCTAGCCCAGTCTCCAGCCTGAGTAGAATGCTCAAATATATGGTCATTGAATTTAAATGATATGAATTTAACAAGTGAAATGAATTTCTGCTAGGGGTATCTGGGGAGGCTTTGAGAATGGAGTGACAGGTGAGCTGGGACCCACGGACATTTGGGTATTTATGTGAGTATATTACTTTTCTGCACACAGATGTGAAAGGCAGCTTATATCATAAGTAAAAGTACCAGAGCCTCTAATAGCCACACTAGCCAGTATTCATACTACAATTTATTTTCTCTAAACAAACTTGAAGAGATTGAAGTAACAATTGCACCTAACTTGGGGCTGAAGATGAATCCAGAAAGGATCCTGTTTTATAATCTTTAAAAAATTGATTTATTATATAGAGAGAAATGGATCTAAACATAAAACATTTTAAACACTTAAGTTAGAGCATTCTTTCATCTAAGTTATCTCATTTGACCTTCACATGAACACTATAAGGATTATTCTTATTCCCATTTTACTGATGCATAAACTGGGTCTCAGAGAGGTTAATTTCCTTGCCTAGAGTCACACAGCCAGGAAAAACACAGGACTGTCCTACTGCACAACATCAAAGCTACACCCGTTGTTGCATAGTAGGCAGAGGATTGTTATTGTGGTTTAGAGAATTTCCGCTAAGTCAAACTATTTCTTGCAGTTAGAAAAATAAAGCTAAATACAAATACAGGACCACACAAACAAACTTGTAGGATTTCAGCAGAGTGTGCTTGTGAAGCCAATGCCCCTGTAGGATGCTTTGCTCAACTCCCTCCCTATGGTCCCTTCCACCTTGATGCCACAGGCTGCATCTGCAGGGCCGTGGTCGAGGCAGAGAGCAGATGGCTGCACACACTCTCCACCCATCCCCAGGTGGCAGGGTGGCCTGGTTGAAGCCTGAGCCTCAGTAGAGACAAAACACAAAAGAGGAAGTAATTACCAACAGTTTGCACCTGGTCTGTTAGTTGGTTATCTGAGGGGAAGCTGTGAGAATTTATGTAATCATTGTTTCTTTGGTTTTGGCAAAAACTGAGGGCAGAGTGTGTCCTGACAGCTGTCTGGTCACAAACCTTTCTGCCTTTCCACTTCTGCCATCATGGGTATAGAAATGGGCAACTTCCAAGAGATGATGTTCCTCAAGTTTGGGAGAAATTACCTTTAACTCAACAAACTTTTTACTGAGCACATTCGTGTTTAGCTGAACTCGGAGTATGGGCTGTGCACCAGTGGTAGTATCTGAACTGTTTGTTGTTTTTTCCCTGAGACAGGGTCTTACTGTGTCACCTAGGCTGGAGTGCAGTGACACGATCTTGGCTCAGTGCAGCCTCAATCTCCCAGGCTCAGGTGATCCTCCTACCTCAGCACCCGCCCTTCCTTGAGTAGCTGAGACTACACATGAACAACACTATGGCTAATTTTTGTATTTTCAGTAGAGACGGGGTTTCCCCATGTTGCCCAGGCTGGTCTCAAACTCCTGACCTCAAGTGATCCGCCTGCCTGGGCCTCTCAGAGTGCTGGGATTACAGGTGTGAGCCACCGTGCCCGGCCCCGAACTGTTTCTTAAACACAGGAAGATAAGGAATTTGTGCCAGGATATAAATCAAGCCTGTCTGAAAGCATTCTGTTTAGTTCAGTTCAGCTTTTTGGAGCAAAACGTTGTGAGCGAAGAAAGCTGTTTGCGGTTCACATTGCAGCATGGCTACTTGTATCATTGCAGGCCAGCAGCAAGCAGTTCACAGGACGACTACTTGAGTGGCACAGCTGTAGGGAATACAGAGGGCTATCAGACACTAATCCAGCAAACACAAATCCATCATACATGCAAACAAAGTAGTCAGGTCACACAAACAGGAAGCCAAACAATCGGGGTCCATCTTGAAGGGAGAGGGGAAACAGCAAGGAGAAGACAACCCACAGATGTCCACACCAACACAGGTGCTGGAGGTGTGGAGGCAGCAGGGGACCTGGCATGGAGCCATGACCTCGCTCATCCTATGACCTTGATGGAAGGAGGGGAAAGGTAGAAGGGTTTGTGATCTGACAACTGGCAGGATGTGTTGTGCGTAAAGCCTGGAGAGGCTAAGGATGGTCTTTCAAAGCTTGCAAATCAGTCTATCGTGTGAATGTGAGCCAAGAAGCAACCTGGGAAACTGGAAAGAGATTGAATTGGATGTCAGAAAATATAGCTTCAAGTACAGGCACTACCTCTAGGAAACTGGGCAGGCAACAGCTGTTTACTTAGCCCATCTGAGCCTGAGCTGCTTCATCTGTAAAATGGGGTAATGATACCAACTTCACAGGGGGCTTTTAGCTGTTAGGTTGTTTTTTTTTTTTTAACTTACAGAAGATGGAGGTTATGAAAGTGTTTGTAAACTATGAAGTGCGAGACATACATGGGGCACGAGGTCATTCAGCCTCTTTGGGTCATGATTTTCTCATCTGTCTGATGTTCCTGGGTATTTCCAGCTTGTTGCCTCTTGGAAGATACATGTGTTTAGGGAAGTTTAATGTGACTTAGAATAAATTATATGTATGTCGGATGTTTGCAATTGGTGTACACTGAATTGGTAGTCTCTTGGGGTGGTCTCTGTGGTTGAAAATCCAAACAAGATGAAGCACATTCCTCCCCACTCACTGGAAGCCATAACTTTTCATGTCTGTCCTTTATTATTGGTAAAATGTAATGAGCATCTTGTTGGAGGGAATTATTGTAAACCAGTTAATCAACAAGTATTTGTTGTCCAGGTCTGTGAGGTGCCATGATGGGTTCAGAAAGAATATAAGAAAGACCTATGTCTCAGGAGCAGACTAGACATGCCCATTGGCAACATTTAGAGAAGGTAGATGAGTGCCAAGCTGCTGGCTTGGGTGGTGCGGGAGCTCGGAACAGTGGCCGAGGGGCCGTAGTAGTCAGTGAGGATGCCTGGCTCGGGCCTGAGTACAGAACTTGGAAAGTGGTGGTACAACAGAAAGCCAGCTTCTCCCCTCCCTCTCCCTTCCTCTCCTAGCTGTCCATCCTGCAACATGTTACTGAACGCTCTCCACCTCTAGTTGCTTATCTACAAAAATAGAGTATCGCAAAGCATGAAATTTAAGTGAGATAAAAATGTTAGACACTTAGCACAGTGTCTGGCATAAAATAAGTGTTCAATAAATGGTAACCATTTTTATCGTCATTGTCATCATCATCACTGCTAATAACAAGAGGGAAGACATTCCAGGGAGAGAAAATGGCACAGGCTGAGACCGGAGGGAACAAGGACAGTGAAGAACCCACCCTAGCCAAAGCAAAAAAGACCCTTGGAAATGATGGGGTAAAGTTAGCTGCATGGGGCCAGTGTGATCTGGAAGGGCTGTGCACACCAGAGAGTAGTGGGGCAGTTGGACGCACTTGTTGGTTCTTAAGCAGGGAAGTGGCTGTTCAATGATAGATAGGCAGGCAGGGCGGACAACAGGACTGATTCCGCCTGCCCCTGGTGGGCCAGACCCTCTGGCTGAAGCTGATTCGTGCATAGGAATGTCCTAACCCTTTGGCTGTTTCTCAAATTTTGCGAAGGTCTCTAGCCAAAAGGATGGGAAACCGAGTTCAGCGCTTGTAGCTGTTTGGCAGCATGTCACTTGTCTCTCTTTCTGCATCTTCTTTTCTGTGTCCTTTCTGTCACTATCAGGGAAAATCATTAGTATGCTAATCTAGCTAGCCGTCATTTTAACACTGACCTTTGCTAACCTGCCTTTGCAATTTCAGGAACTATGTTTGACTTCTCTAAAAGTAACCTTAAATTGTAGTCTTGTAAGAATTCCAGAGCTGTATCCTTCACTCCTTCTTCTAATGAGGTTATGACCAAATGCTCATTATAATTGCTTTAGACTCCTTTTAATTTTCAAGCTTATTAATCATAAGAAGAGTTATTTAAAATTGCATAAATTAATCTTAGATTAAAAGCCCATCAAAGCCTCGAAACAATTAAGAATAAGTAGGATTTCCCTGGGGCAGCAAGTTTTATTTTAATATTGTAGTCAGGTGGATATCAGAACCTTGAAGTATGGTAGTGATTAATGTATGCAAAATTTAAATGAGATTTTTTAAATGGCAAATCTAAATCACATGTTGACCTAACTGTAGGCTTTAACTGCATTGTCTGTCATATATTTAAACTGTTTACTAATCAACATTTTAATTACAGCATGTGCTGGCAGACCCTAGGACAAATAAAATCTAGCATTTAAAAATGTTACTGCAGTCTATTACCCAAAAATAATAAGGCTCTTAATAAAATTGGGAAAAAATGGAGGAATGAGAAAACAGTAAACTTTGTTGGCACAGCACCGTCCTAAGGTGTGGAGACTGTTCTGGATACTTCTCAGCCCCTGATCTCACCTTGAAATTCTGCTGGTCTGAGGCAGCTTCCTCTTCATGGACCTGCAAGTGTGTTGCCTTTGATGTTGATTTATATGTAATTAGGGAACTACTTTGCTTTATATATTTGAGTCCCTGGTTGCAAGCATTATTTACTTAAACAATGTATAGCTCTGGGGCCCCCAGGCCTTCTCCCCTTTTTTTTATATGGAGATAAGATGTTTCCAGAAATTTGATTTGGCCTCAGCCAGTCAGCAGCCTTTTGTCCTGCCTTCCACTCACCTCCTTGTATCACTGCTGGGTTATACAGGCTGTCCCCAGGAAGGTAGCCTCAGGCTGTCTTAAGTTTGGAAAGTATTTCTCTATTTTATAAATACTCTGCTTCATTATTGAAGGTAGATGGGTAAGAGAGTCACCTTGAGCAAGTTACTTCACCCCTGGAAACTTTAGTACCCACTGCATGGAAAGGGGATAATAGTGACCAATTTACTGTTACTGTTTTTGTAAAAAGGCAAATAAGGTGAAGCACATAAGCACTTAATATAGTAGTTGGAAAATAATAGGTTCATAAGCAATGTTTATTCCTGCCATCATCCATATTTATTTGCTAAAACTAGTTTTTAAATTATGATTAAAAATTTGGCCAGACATGGTGGATCATGCTTAATTCTAGCTCTTGGGGGGCTGAGGCAGGAGGATCACTTTCGCCCAGGAGTTCGAGACCCGCCTGGGCAACATAGTGAGACCCTGTCTCTACAAAAACTTAAAAACTAGTTGGACATGGTGGCACTGCCTGTAGTCCCAGCTTCTCAGGATGCTGAGGTGAGAGGATCACTTGAGCCCATGAGGTAGAGGATGCAGTGAGCCATGATTGTACCATTGCACTCCAGCATGGGTGACAGAGAGAGACCCTGTCTCAAAAAAAAAAAAAAAAAATTACACAGTACAGAAGGATATACAGTAAGAAGTTAGTCTCCTTCCAATCCTCCATATCTTCCAGCCCTAATCTCTAGAGATAAGCATTGTTAATAGTAGCTTGGGTATCCTTCTAGAATTTTTAATTCTTTTTATTCTGCACCTTGCTTTTTTACTTAGTGAGTCATTGAGGTCTTTCCATATAATATAAAGATCAACCTTATTCTTAATGGCTGTATAGTATTCCATACTATGGATGTATCATATTTATTTATCCAGGACCCTGTCATAGGATATTTTGACCATTTCCATATTTTTTTGTTATTAAGACAGTGACTGTGTCTCTATGTATACATCTTTGTATACTGGATATGAGAATGTTAGCTCTTCTTCTTCATCTCTTCTGATACTAAATTATCAGATTTTAATCTTTGCCAACCTAATCAGTGGCAAAATGGTATCTAGTTGGCCAGGCGTGGCGGCTTAACGCCTGTAATCCCAGCACTTTGGGAGGCCAGGTGGATCACCTGAGGTCAGGAGTTCGAGACCAGCCTGGCCAACATGGTGAAACACTGTCTCTACTAAAAATACAAAAATTAGCTGGGTGTGGTGGGGGGACCCTGTAATTCCAGCTACTCTGGAGACTGAGGCAGGAGAATTGCTTGAACCCGGGGAGGTGGAGGTTGCAGTGAGCCGAGATCGCACCATTGCACTCCAGCCTGAGCAACAAGAGCAAAACTCTGTTTCAAAAAAAAAAAAGGATCTAATCATTTTAATTTATGTTTATTTTATTAAGTATGAGGATTAACACTTCTTTCATATGTTTGTTGGTCACATTTTTTTTTTCACATTCTTTGCCTGTTTTTCTGTTGAATGTGTTGTCTCTTCCTTCATCTTGTTGAAGATTGATTTTTCCATCTAGACAGTGAAGGGGGTGGACACAATTTCCAAGGCCCCATCCCACTTCTGCAGTCTGTGGTCCAGGCCCGAGTGTCCTTTGGGCAGCTTTTACACTACCAAGGTGCTATTTGCTCATGACCTTGTCAAGCAACATTGAGGTTGAATAGCCAATAGCTGGGGGTAAACTACAAGAGAGTCGTTTTCTTTTCCCTTTGTTTGGTTGTGTATCTTTCTTCCACTCTTAAAAAAGCAGGCTTGGAAATTGCAAGGCAGAGCTGGATTGAACTTCCTTTAAAGCAGCCTGTAGACATCAGGAATATTTATTTTTTCTATTTGTTTTAAGCCTGGGAAGACTGTGTGGTTTTCTCAACACTGTCCTGATGGAGCCCTGACCAGCAAGCGTGCAATGCCCCTAGCCCTAATGTGCCATTAATGATAGGTTAATGTACAGTATAATGTTTTTGGGACTACGGGTTCATTACACTTCTGAGTGTGAGGTCTTTCCACAGAGCGCCCAAGGTCCCATTGCATTATATCATGCAATAAAAATACCCTTTTCATATCACACACTAATAAACTGTATTTGAAATGCTGTCTGAGGGCACTGCCGTCTTGTCTGTAGGCTGTGCACAAGTGCAACAGTTGGGATTCCTTTTTTCTATTTTGTGGTTTAGTTACATGGAATTCTAAACCCAGAAGTCTGCTCATTCTTGTTTTAAATGGGGAGCAAGTTGGGTCTTTAGGGCTGAGGCTCAGAGGAGGGGCTGCTTACTGAGTGGTGAGGGTCTTTAAGATGTGGAGAGCAGCCTTTAATTCTCTACTGCAGCTGTCAGGAGAGCCAGTCACATAAAAACAAACAAACAAAAAAAAAAAAACCTGTGTCCTAATGTCTGCCACACTTAGTGCTGAACATGTGTTAGGTGTTATAAAAGTTTCCTTAGAAAAGGAGTATGATAAGTACTGCAAAATTTAGGCCACTGATAGTTATGACTATGGAACTGCCTCTGGGCTGGGAATTTCACACACACTGTCCTGTGAGGTTGATGCTGTTCTCCATATTTTACAGAAGACGAGTCAGAGCTAGGGGGAATAAGCTGTGTTGTAGAGAATGAAATCCATAGGACTCCTGGAAACCACAGGTAAATTATTACCTGTCTACCCAGAGAGAGCTCCTCACGCCATGAATAGTCCACCTGTGAGACATCCGAGCTGCAGCTGGGCAGGAGCCAAGCATCTTCTTTTCAAATGCACATGGCCCTAGTGCCCTTCTTAAGTTATTCATACTTTCCTGTGAATTGGCTTAATGTCAGCAGTTAGCTGGCATAAGATGACTTTGAAGCTTTGGAAGAGGAGACTCTTCTGCATTAAACAGGAAAAGGGGCATTGGAGTTGAGGGATGAGGCAAAGACTGAAGGATCAAAGGGCTTCAAATCACCTGTTTCATATTTTCTCTAAGGCAGACTCTGACTTTGTTATGCAGGGGCTTGTTTTGACCACTTGTGGAGTGTGGGGAAAGACTGACCTGTGAAGGCCAAGAACCTCAAGAAACTTGGGCTCAGGCATCATTACCATCTTAGAGTGCAGTGTCCTTGTTTATAAAATAGGTTATCATTTACTTTCTGATAGGGCTTTTGGAGATCACATGAACTAATGTAAATGAAAGCACCTAGTGAGCACCTGGCACAGGGTAAGTGCTCACAACTGGCTGCTATTATATTGCACATCATCACAAAAGGCACAGGTTTGGGAGCTGACATCCAGTGCAAATCCCAGCTCTACCTTGGCCAAATCCACAAATTGAGGGAAGTAACAGTAATGCCATCCAGCTGCTTTATGGGGTTGTTGTGACACTGAAATAAGATAATGAGCTTGAAAGCCGGTTGTAGAATGAAAACCACTACTCAAATGCTGGTATCAGTAAATATAAGCATTTCTCTCTCCAAATCAACATATTCAAACTGGGTTGTCTTTAAATAAATATCCTTACAGCAAAGGCAGTAGGAGCAGCTATTAGGAAGATTCACTGATCTGTTCCCCTCACCACCAGGGAGAATGTCATGGCTGCAACAAAGACTTAAAATAGCACAAAGCATATAAAAGTCAGGGCAATTCTTACCTCCTACCTCTTCATAACGACAGAGCACCAGGCAGAGGAGGGGCAGGGCCAGGTCTCTGCTCACCTGCATTGGTGAGAAGAGAGCCAATACCTGCTCAATGTGGACAGTATTGCTTAGAACAGTGGTGGGAGGTCAGGTTTGCAAAAGGAGGTTAAGATCAAAGGAACTGTGTTGAAGGGTTGAGTTGGTCTGGTGGAAAGAAAAAAACTAGGACGTTGCTAAGACCCTCCTGCAAAAGACTGGACCTTCTGGCTCTAGGCAAAGTCCCCTTAATTGTTATGAGAAGAGTATTTAAATTTCAAGGATAATTAGTTTTTCTCTTAAGGGGTATAGGGTTAGACTAAACCTTTTATTTTTAGATGTGAGGTCTTTGAAACACTTGGATACACCTCTCAGGGGTTAAATCTGTCTTTGGGGCTACCAGGACTTGAAAAATGTTGCTCTGTATCAAGAAAACCAGAAGTGACAAGTTCATTTAAAAAGCCTGGTTTGTCATTGTTTATCTAATTTTCGGGGTTGACACAGAAAATTAAACCAGCTGACACTCACTCTCTGACCGTCTCTCTGGCTCATTTCCCTGGTCCTTTCCTACCTGACCTTGCAACTACAAAATGCTCCAGACCCTAAAATATAAAACTTCCCACTGAGTTTCTGAGTCACCCTGCAGTCATTCCAAGATTATGTCATTGGATGTCATCCCTAATGGTATTAAAAATCAAGATGAAGTTGTAAATCTGCTCTGTGAGATATTTCTTTTCCGCCCCCCGCTTTGACCATAAATCTTAAAAGTAATCAAACTCTCTGCAAAGAAGCCAAGGTAAACTTGGGCCCAAAGCGGCCCCGTATGTCTTTAATGAATTCAGAGGATCGGCAAGCTTGTCTGTCCCCGTGAGATCACATGGTGCTTCATGGCAAACTTTACAGAAAAGTGGGCAAAGTGAGAGCCTTCATTGTGTTTAATATGGATTTTCTAAAACTCACATGGCAACATCATAGGTGGATGAGCTGCTCCATGTAAGAAAATTATTCAGATAACTGTAGTGTATTCTTTATAAAATCAAACTTTAAAAAATTACAAGCAAGAGGTCTTAAATGTGTTATAACACTGCTCTATCCTCTTAAACAGATTACATGCATCAGGATTTAATTTTTTACAAAGTTAAATTTACTTCCAGCTACTCGGGAAACTGAAACAGGATCATCTGAGCCCAGGAGTTCAAAGGTGTAGTGCGGAATGATTGTGCTTGTGAATAGCCACTGTGCTCCAGTCAGGGCAACACTGTGAGACCTCATCTCTAAAAAAAAACAAAAAATTCTTTAGCTCATTATTATGGACATTGTCTATTTGCCATGTTCTATACCAGTATCTCCTGATATTGACACGAGTAGGGCCATTTGTCCCTAGGCTGGTTGACCCCAAGCTGGTTTTTTGTTTTTGTTGTATAGTTTTGCTAGTAGATGTCATTTCTTGCTGCTGTTCTTGTTCCTCCCTTTAACACACCTTCGTCTTCTCCTTCTATTTGGCTGTTTCTCTTGTGCTTTTAATTGGGAAATCAGATACTAAGCTTGTTAGAATCAAGTCTAAAATACAAGAAAGCTGGCTTAAGGAAAAGCTTGAGGCACTACCTAAAATTAAAATGTTCAAGTTCTAGTTTAACTTCCATATTCTTAGTCTGAGATAAGGGTGTCAAAGTATAGTGGTCTATAGATTGTAAAGTGCCCCTAGATTTGGAAACTGGCCATTTCACTGTATAGAAAATATACTCTTTGATCACGTTGTATATAAATGTCCAAGTTTGAAGCAATATGATTATTTTGATCTTGAATCAGTAATTAAGGTGGACTTCAAACTGTTGAGGTTTTATTTTCTGAGAGGACCAAAGAGTCATGAATGTGCCAGGGAAAGTCCTTAGGTTCTAAAACCAGACTTAGATCTAGGCACATAGAAACCGCTCCACACATCCATAGTGAATCTTATTGAATTAAAGACCCTTGGTAAAATAGACACAGCTACCATTAGAAGGAAGCTTGCAACTGAATAACTTGTCTTTCTTAACAGTGGAAATAGACTTTGGTTTCATGAGGCTCTGCAGTGAAGGTGGCCAGCTTATTTGTAACCAAAGTGTGCTCCCTCAGTCATTCATTCTGCCCATGACCAGTGACACCACCTTGGAAAATGCAGGTCACACCAGTCACCACCATCAAAAACGCATTTCAGGCTTCTGTACATTTAATTTTCTTCAACATTACCTTGGAAACCACAGTAAATCAATAACAGAATAGTTAAATACCACAGGTTCTTTGTGTTTTGTTTTAGAAAATATTGCTCAAGGCTAAGAGTGAGTTCTATTGATGATTTTTATTTGCTGCTGGGATGCAAAACAATCAGAATTTTCGAAGAGTTTGCTTCCTTTTTGTGCATTTCCTTTTTTAAAAAAGGAGGGGTCTGTTTCAGATGGAAAACATTGGTCGCTAATAGCAGAAACTTGAGAATAATTGGTAATTTTCAATCCTGTAGAAAACTAGACTAGGTCTGATGACTTTGACCTTTGTTACGCTCTTCTTCCAAATTTTCCCCAGCCAGCTCCCTGCACTCCTGACCCTCAGCAGCCCATTCCACTGAGGGTCGGGTAACTCTGGAACATCACAGCTGAAAAAAAAAAAAAAAAAAAGACGGTACTTCATTTAGCGTTATTTACATTTACCCAAAGTTTTGATGTTTTGATGTCCAGTGTCTAGCAATTTTTTCCTCTGTATTTTTTGTTGATTTGATAGCAGCAAAAATTTTCCACTTTGGCTCAGTCTTTGTGTAAATGGTTTGTTTCTCCCTGTTAAGGAACTAGAAAAACTGTTACTAAGATTTTAAAGGGGTAGCAGCCTTTACTTAATTGGCTGCTTCTTGAAATAAGATGAGACAATAGATATGAAATGCTTTGAAAAGTTAAAACTATGATGATAGGACTCTGAAACCTCTGACGCCCCCGCGGTGGGTGATGTTTTGTCAGTGCTCATTGGCACCTTGCCAGCCACCACCATTATCACTTCTCCACTTCTCATCATCTCACACTCCCTTTCTGCTGTTGTGAGTCGTCACTCTCAGCATTTTTCAAATGTTGGCTTCATATCATTCATATGGTAGGCCCTTATTTTTCAATTTTGACTGGATTTGTGGTTATGTATCTTTTTTCCCTTCTTGATATTTACTTGTTTTCTGTTTACCAATTTTGATCATCTTCATGACATCTTTCTATTTAATTCCTTCATGTTCTTTATTATTTGCCATCTTATGATTTCTTTAGCTATGCTTTTTGTTCTTTTTATAATGTATTAAACACTTAGCTCATAAATTTTCAATATTTTTTCCTAATATATGCCTATAAAGCTATGAACTTGCCTGCTAATATTGCTTTAGCTGCATCCAACAAGTATTTACATGCAGTGTTTTCATTGTCCTTCAATTCTAAGTAATTTTCAATTTCAATTAGGACTTTTTTACACCAAATTATTTAGAAGTATTTTTTATCTCCAAGTAGTGAAAGATGTTTTGTTATCTTGTGGTTATTACCTAATTTTAATCCACTGTGGTCAGAGAGCATGCTATGTATAACATCAGATCTTTGTTACTTGTTTAGACTCCCTTAGAACATGGTCATTTGGTTTTTCCCCCCAGTGTTCTCTCTTTGCTTGAAAAAAGTATATATTCTCTAATTGTTGAATGCAATGTCCTATAGACATCCTTTAGATCAACTTTATTGTGTTTCTCAAATATTTCGTGGCTGTACTAATTTCCTACCTGCATTATCTATCAATTTCTAAGAGAGGTATGCTAAAATCTCCCACTACTATTGTGTCTGTGTCTGTTTCTCCTTGCATTCCTGTCCATTTTTGCTTTATATGTTTTAAGGCAGTAATGTTAAGTTGCATATGTCAAAATATTGTGTCTTCATTTCAAAGTATTTCTTTTGTCTTTATGAGGTGATTCTATCTCTAATATATTTTCCTTTAAATTTTATTTTTTGTTGATATTAATATAGCTATGCCATCTTCTTTTGGTTAGTATTTGCTATGTTTGATTATCCTTTACTTCTGTGCTCTTTTACATGAATCTCTGCATTTTGTTGTTGATGTTTTAAATTTTAACTAAGGCTCTATTAATTGATTAATCATTTATATTTATTGTTTGTTGATATACTTGAGTTTTTTGTACAGTCCTATTTTGTACTTTCTCTCTACTTTTTTGATTTCTTTTTTCTTCTTTGTCCATTGTATTGCAGTAAGGTTTCTTTAGGCCATTCTTGCATTGCTACAAAGAAACACCTGAGACTGAGTAACCTGAAAAGTGATTTAGTTGGCTCACAGTTCTGCAGGCTGTACAGGAAGCATGGCTCAGGGCATCTGCTCAGCTTCTGATAAGGCCTCAGGAAGTTTAAAATCATGGCAGAAGGCAAGAGGGGAGCTGGCACATCACATGGCAAAAATATAGGCAAGAGAGACAGTGGGTAGTGGGGAGGTGCCACACACTTTTAAAGGATCAGATCTTGTGAGAACTCACTCCTTTCTTGAGAACTCCACCTCCTGTTCCAGTCACCTCCTACCAGGCCCCATCCCCAACATTGGTGATTACATTTCAACATGTGATTTGAGTGAGGTCAAATATCCAAACTATTTAACATATCCGGTTTTTTCCTTCACATTTAGTTTTACATTGGTTTGGAATCATATTCTGTTTCTGGCCTCTAATTGCTTATCCCTAAGTTAGCTTCAATTATATATAATAAAAAACAAATAGTAGCTTAAACAAGACAGGAGGGTGTTTCTCACTCATGTTAAAGCAGACAGGAAGTAGGGTGTCCAGACTGATCTGGCAGCTGCTTAAGGGACATTCAAGCTCCAGCCAGCAGGAAAGGAGGAAAGGGTGTGGAAATGCTTGCCTCTTCTTTTAAGGACAGAATTTCTAGGAACCGGCACACATTGTGTCTGTTCACATGGCGCTGGCCAAAACTGACCCCCAGGGAGGCTGGGAGTGCTGTTGCTCTGCTAGGTGACAGTGTTTCCTGCTAAAATCAGAACTCTTACCACAATGAAGAAAGGGAGAATGGATACCAGGGGGCAACTAGCAGTCCTTACCGCAGCCCCTTTTCCCCCAGACTTCAGGGTTTTAGAGTTTCTGATCACTCCCTTCTTACATGTTATCACAGTCCAGAATTTCATTGTCCCCTTGTTTTTAGATCTTAAAAATCATTACTGCAGTTGTGGCTTTATATATAGTTACTGCTTGTTCAGATTTATCCACATGCTTGCCAGTTACTCCTCATTGTGATTGTATTCCTTCGGAGGTTTCTTTTCCTTTCTGAAGTACATCAAGAGTTGTGTCAGTATGGTCTGTGAATGGTAAAACAGTCTGAGTTTTTGTTCTAGGATTGGCTTCCCTTTGCCCTAACTCTTGATTGTGAGTTTAATTGGATTTAGAAGCTTAAGTGGATAATTTCTCCTGAGTACCTTGGAGATATTCTGTTGCCCTCTAACTTCTACTGTTGGTGGTAAGAATCTCCTGACTGCCAAATTGCTACCCTTTCTAGGCAACATGTGTTTCTCTTTGGTGCTTGCATTTTCACTATAGTTTTTCTAGGTATAGATTTTATATTTATTTTACTTGGAAATCACTGGTTTTTTTTAAATTTGAGAATTCACATCTTTCATTGGTTCTTTTTTTTTGAGACAGAGTCTCACCCTGTGGCCCAGGCTGGAGTGCAGTGGCGTGATCTCGGCTCACTGCAACCTCTGCCTCCTGGGTTCAAGCAGTTCTCCAGCCTCAGCCTCTGGAGTAGCTAGGATTACAGGCATGCGCCACCACACCTGGATAATTTTTGTATTTTTAGTAGAGACAGGGTTTCACCGTATTGGTCAGGCTGGTCTCGAACTCCTGAGCTCAGGTGATCCACCCGCTTCAGCCTCCCAAAGTGCTGGGATTACAGGCATGAGCCACCATGCCCGGCCTAAAATGTTTTCTTACTCAAGAGGTAAGGAAAGCAGAGGACAAGGGAGAATCCATCCTTCTGAGCATTGTGTCTTTAAACCTCCATCACCACACAGCCATCAATCACCCCCAGAGACAAACCTTGAATATCTAGACACTTGTCACTGGCCCCATATTCACAGTGTGGACATGCTGCAGACTCCACCTTTCAGGGGTGAGTCCTCAGTATCATCTGGAGCAGATGTCCATTCTCCTCTGGCATCCTCCCTCCTGATCCCTCTGGGCATCTGCGTGGCCCAAAACTGCCGGAGGCAGCCAGCATATCCCCCACTGTACAGCCTGCCCAGTCCTATCCAAGGCCCCTGCCAGAGCAGCCACCACAGCCCCCTTTAAACAGGCCAGTGGCACAATTCTGCCATTCACAAGGATCAGCTTCCTCCGACAAACTCATGAGTGTCGGCACCCCAAGTGTCTAGCCACCTCACCATGGCCCACTGGAGTCATCCTGTGCCCCATCCAACACCGTACAACACTGGTCCTGCGGCTGCTCTGTAAGTACAGGCCCTAGAATGACTCACAGACACCTCTGGAAACATTTTTTTTCTCCCAGTGGTCCATTTCTGGCCTATTACTCTGTGTAGAAACACATAGATCTGCTCAGATGAAAAGTGGAGAGCTGCTTGACCCCCTTAGGTGCCTGCGTACTGTCTAGGATGGCTAGAGGTAAGCAATTTGCTGCTAATAATTGAATATTTGGGGAAAAACATCTATTTCTATAGCAATTATGAAGAATAAACTCAGGAAGGTTGATTGAAATGACATGTCACAGCTGCATACCACTTCCCAGGTCTTAAAAGGAAATGAAGGGCTGGCAAGGAACCCCCACCCCCAAATATGGAAAAGCTTTAGAAATCAGAGGCCAAGACAGCCGGGCACGGTGGCTCACGCCTGTAATCCCAGCACTTTGGGAGGCCAAAGCAGGTGCATCACGAGGTCAGGGGTTCAAGACCAGCCTGACCAACACGGTGAAACCCCATCTCTACTAAAAATACAAAAATTAGCTGGGCATGGTGGCGGACACCTGTAATCCCAGCTACTCAGGAGGCTGAGGCAGGAGAATTGCTTGAACCTGGGAGGCGGAGGTTGCAGTGAGCCGAGATCGCGCCACTGCCCTCCAGCCTGGGCGACAGAGCGAGACTCCGTCTCAAAATAAAAAAATAATAAAAATAATAAATCAGAGGCCAAGAAAGCATGTTCTCAGAACAAATGCCTTGTGTGGAAAACTCTGCATTCGTGGCATTTGCCCAGGTATGCTCGCTATGTGGACAGGAAGACTCCACATCTTTGGTGCAAGCACCTCCTCTCACCCCTGTGCCCTCAAGTGCAGGACCTGTGCTCTGTGTGGAGGAATAACCCTCACCTGCCCAGAGTATATCTGTGAAGCACCACCCCAGGGTCAGGTGACTTCATTTGGTCCTTACAACCCACTCCGGGAGGAAGAGAGAGCAGGTGGTATTTGGTGTGGGTGAGGAAGCTGCAGACAGCTGCCCTGTGTTCAAAACCAGCTGACAGATGAGACCCAGAAATGATGGAGAGAAAGTATCAGCTTTACTTCTATACAAATCTGGATTGGAGGATGTATTTACAAGTGTGGCCCCAGTGGCCTTGCTACGCAGAGGTGAACAACTGCAGGCCTCCTGCAGGCTTAGAGCCTGCCTGGAGGCTCAGCATGAGATGGCAGGCCAGACAGATCTGCCCAGTGGGCCCACCCACCCAATGTTGCCACTCCCTCCCTGGGGACAAGGCTCAGGAGTGTTACAACAGCAGCAGTACTTCCATATAGAATGAAGCCAGGAGAAGGGAGGCCCCCTCCACTCTTTGGTATTATCTCTTTTATAGGCGAGGCCCTAGTGGGATGGCCAGGGGAGGGCTGACCGACTCTTAGCCAGGGGCCCTTGCTGTCACTCCACGCAGAGTGGGGGGCGGTGGGGGGGATTGTTATTGTGATGCTTTGGCTTCCTCTTGCTGAGTCACTTATCAGGTCCTCTCCTTCCCTGGCCATTCCTGTTGATTAGCCTGGCCACGCCCAGCCTGGAAGGAAGAGTTGGCCCCAGGGATAGTTATGATTTATTATCTCATGTAATTAATATTATCAGGCTGCCCACTATCCTGCCACTTGTCAGCAATTCAGCAGACAGTGGAAATCTGTGCATCCTCCCATAAATTATTTAACGTCTCTAATCTGAAGTTTTCTCCGGGGATTAGATTGGTAGCTTTAAAACTTTAACAGTGGAACATGTTTTATTATGTAAAATTAATGCAAGACTTCAATATTAATGTAGAAGTGGGGTTTTTTTTTAGCATGAATGTATTAGTATCCATTGTAGACACTTCTTTTTAAAGTCATCCATGAGACTTAAAGGACAAAAAATTCTGAGAGCCAGGGTCACAAGGGCCAGTGGCAATCTCATACCTACACACAGCTTATTTCTGTATATTGTCTCAGCACAGTGTCAAGGAAATCCTCACTCACCTAAGTTGCCTTCCCAACTTAGGCATCCATCAAACCAATGTAGATGCTTAACAAAGGAATAGCAGAAATGTTTTATTTTACAGTTAGCCACTGACAGCAATGACCAATTGTTCATATGAATCGTTTATGGTAAATATATTGGTCAGACAAATGGTACTCAAACCTTATGGGAACTGACACCATCAGAAACTCAGAGCCATGGACCACACTGTATCCCCCACCCCGATGTACGTGATGGGGCTCAGTGTACCTGGGCTTTGGTGCACTCACACAGCTTTACACATGCATGTGTACGTCCTAAGTGGACGTCTTTTTTCAAATGACCAGTGCACCACAGCAGCCCTCCTAGCCCATGCTTGCCATGTAAGAAGTTGAATAATATGCACAGATCTAATAAGCGGACTCTAAAAGCTGCAAAAAGTAACACCACAGTACAAGGTAACAGATCACCAGTATTCAGTGTAACCCTTTGACCATAGTTGAGTGTATGTTATTTTTTTAAATCCGTTTTTAAAACTGTAGCTAAAAATTTTCTTAACAGAATTTGAAACCGCTGCAGAGCCCCCAAAGCACCTCACACCCTATGGCTCCGCTGGACTGTGAGATCCCATCTAGTCCTAACACTCCATTAGTGTGAGAAGGGACAGAAGTGTTATCACAGCCAAGCGGGCTGGAATCCTAAAGGGAGATGCATAGAGCCTTCAAGCAAGGCTCACAGGTCCAGCAATGAAAGGCAAAGGGATGGGCAGTGGGTTGGCATGTGGAGGTCCCTTCGGCCTCTCAAATCACCATTTACAGGGCAGTCACCTGATCACAGGGCTGCCCTGTCCCAACAGCAGCTTGTTGGAGTCTTTACTAGGCCAGGCTTACTGCTTCAACAGGTTCATGAGTCCTTGGCCTCCTATCCCATGCAGCATCCTTGGTGGGAGAGGATGTGCTTGGTGCTCACCCTGAGGCAGAGCAGTCCTGTGGTCCAGAGAGCCACCAAATGTCTAGAGCAGCCACAGCTTATGGAGCCATCTCCCCAGAGAGACACCACCAGTAGGCAGGCAGTGTGGTGTCTTCCATGGTAGAAGAGTGTCCTGGGTTTAAACTCTAACTCTGCCACTTTCTCCATGACCTTGCCACATAATATCAAGCTTCCTAGAGCTTTAGTTTCCTTTATAAAATGGGGGTGCCGGGAGGGTTCAGGAGAGCTGTGGTCAGATGTAAGGCATTCAGCCAATGCCTGTACACAGCAAGTGCTCAGTAAGTAGATGTATACATACAGAATATAGAAGTCACCTTTTCATGAGGGCCTACCACATGCAGGCATTGCACCAGGCCCTGCAGCCACACCAGCAAGTTATTAAATTATTCAAATGCATTATATTCTCTAGAAAGTTATAGAAAGAGATGAAAGTATGGGGACCCCAAATAGGTACATTCCTATTTCAGAAGAAGCTCAAAGCCCAACTAAGGGCAGACAGCGAGGTGTCATTAAATGAGCACTGGACTGGAAGTCCAGCCCCACAGGCCTCAGGCAGCACCCACACACTGCGGCAGGCTCGGAGCCTCCATTCTTGCCCACAAGATGAGCACACCAAGCCCTGCCCCCTGCCTCCACGTGGGAGGGGCCCGGGAGTGTCCTGCTGTCAGTCCATCAGGAAGGCATCTCAGCACAGTGGAACATGTGGCCAGGAATTAGGGACGTTAGTACAGAGGCAAAGAGTCAAACTAGTGACACACTGACTAAAGCCCAGGTGGAGGAGGGAGCGGTGAGCAACCACAATTCATCTTCATGAGAGGGAGCGGTGAGCAACCACAATTCATCTTCATGACTATGATATTTTCACCAATGTCCCTCATTGTGCTTCTCAGCCCTGTTGGTGAGGGTGTCTGCCCAGGTGATGCCGGCACCTCCCGACTCTCCCCTGTGTCCCACTTTTGGAGTCATCCTGCCTCTGGCAGCCCTGTTCTTTTCCCTTCATTGTGTCTCCAACTTCTGTGGCAAAGTCTGTGGACTATAATAACTTCAACCCTCGTCAGTTTAATTGTTGCAATTGGCCCTCAGAGAATCCAGGGAATGAGAGTGGCTCTCACTGCCTGGTGATGAGGCCAGCAAGATCTTTCAGCAGCTCCAGCCTGGCACTGCCAGGTTCCACAGACATGGCTGTGCAGAAATGGTGCTAACATGCTTTCCGCGTGAAGGACGGAGGCCTAGATGCCTGGGGCGGTCACCGTGGGTGGAAGATGCTCTTGACAAGCATCTGTATTGGTGCCTGGGTTCCAGGGAGCTGCACCATGCCGCGCTTCCATTGTTCCTTATAGCCTGATGGGGCTGCAAGAGCTTGCCTGCATCTGGATTCCTCTGCCTGGGAGGGATGTACATTTCACCCAAGCCCAGGGGAGGGACCAGCCGCAGGGGCTGGAGACTGCAAGGAGCCTCGAGGTTGGCTGTCTGATTGCAGGCACAGGAGAGCAAGGCGTTTGGAGTCGGAGACCCATGTTCTGGTTCTAGCCCAACTGCCTGGTTGGTTGCCCTTGGGCAAGTTCTGCACACTGAGTGTCAGTTTCCTCTTCAGCACAATGGAGATGCATAGCTGTGTGTGGGCCACAGTGAGCATGGGAGCCAGTGGGCACATCAGGACAAACCTTTGGCAAATGCCTAGCACACAGCACTCCTTGTCCAAGTCAGTCCCTTGCAGAGTGGTGTAAAGCATCACGGATACAATGTGCCTCATCAGTAATACGAAGGAGATGGGGTCACCTCCCAGCTGGACTTGGTATTATTCAGTGTGCTATCTCCATCCATCTTTAAGAGTCTGGCCTTGCCAAGATGCCTAGGGCATCTGGCTGTGTGGAACTCGGGCACCTCTGGGTGGCCAAGTGAGTTTTGTGCTTCCTCCCAAATTCTCCATCAGATTTTGTTTGCTTGCTAAACTCATGAGGAATGCCTGCATTGTGCATGTCACAGGGTTAAGGGCGTCAGTTACAGTCTAGGAGGAAGGAGAGAGCCACACCTGCCAGGGTCCCAGGGGAGCCAGGCCAGCCCCGAGAATACTCCAGAATAGAAACCAGGAGACATGAGCTCAGTGCCAGCTCCTAACCCCTGTCTTCCCTCCCTGGGCCTCAGTGTCCTCTCCTCTAACATGGGGGTCATGGTGTATTTTCCCTGAATCCCATGCAGGGCTGATGGGAGGAGGGGGAGTCAGTGACTCTCCCAGTGTGTCCAGGGGACAGTGCTGATAGAGGTCAAGACCTGGGATGGTCTAGGCTTACAGCCTGCAGCCCTGGTTGCACCTCTGGCTAGGCAGGCCTGAGTCGCCAAGGTAGAAACAAGATGAGGGGGAATTGCAATCTGAATATTGATTCTCCCTCCTCTATCCAGGAAGAGCCCAGGGCAGTGGGTTTGGGTTACAGACTTGTGGTTCAGTCCCATGTCTGGGAGCTCAGGCAGGTCAGCTGTGACCCTGCAGCCTCCATCAGTAAAGTGGAGGTGATTGTGCCCACCTGTGTGAGTTAACACTTCTTTGGCTGCAAATAACAGAAACCAGCCCCAGCCTGTGAGGTGCCTCACAGGATCCTGTGACCGTGTGGACCCTGCAGGCAGAGACGCTGCCAGGCTCTGGGTGTAATGGCCCCAGGGTCTCCAGTGCCGTCACGACCCCCCGCCTGCCTGCCTCTGGACAGCACCTCCTGCTCTCGGGTCCTACACACTGGCTTTCTCTGTTGTGTCCAGTCAAATGGTGGTGAACAGCTGCCAGCAGCTACCAAGTCCACAGTGCACAGCCTAGGACGCTGGGTCCCCTCCATGTCTGTCCCCTGTGATTCTCCCTGTCAGGCAACCACCCTAAACCAATCAACAGTGGCTTGGGACAAAGGCAGTGGGTCCAGGTCGCTTCCCTTGCAGGTGGGGTAAAGTATCGGGGATACAACATGCCTCAGCAGCAGCAGGAGACGAGGTCACCTCCCAGCTGAGGAGGGCAGGAGAGGCCGGCATCTCCACCGGAGCTGAGTATGGCTGCAGCTGAGCAGCCCTCTCCCCTCGCCTACCGGGGCACTTGGGCAAACTGCCTCCCTGCAGTGCGGCCATCCGCCCTTCTGGAATGTGGAGGAACGCCTCTACGCTCCCTCCTGCAGTTCCGCTCTGCTTGTTCCAGAACAGATGATAACAGAGATGGAGCATATGGGCCCCAAAGTCACCCGGCATTCTGGGAAAGTGACACTGTGTTACCCCGGGCGTGGGGGGAGGGGCCCGTCACTCGTGAGCACAGCTTCTCCCTTTGTTCTTTAGAAGGGCACGAGGTCGCCCCTCCTGAGCCTCCTGAGAGGAAGTGTGCACGCTTGGACTTTGGGAAGGATTTCCTCTGTCTAGGCAGCGATTTGGGAAAGCAGCCGTGGGGTGGGCATATATATGGGGAGGAGAACACTTGGAAGCCAAAATCCAGTCCTTCCTGGGCCTCTCCTGCTCAGGCCCCAGACCAAACCTCTGCCATCCACAGGGCCACACCCAGCCTGGCCTCCATGGCCCCTGTGCCCTTAGGGGTCCTGCAGGTGTGTCAGGAGCCTCCCAGAGTGCTATGAGCAGATTATGGGAAGTACCCAGCTGGGCTCCAGGCCTAGCTCCACCCCAGTCTCAGCGGGTCCCTGCCCGGGGTTGAGTGCCTTGGCATCTTCGAAGCCGAGTTTCCTCCTCCTCCTCGCAGCTCTGACAGTGCTCTGTGTGCCTCTGAGATAGACCCACGCAGGGTGTCCCCAGGGCAGGTTTCCCAACCTCGAATGAGAAGGTTGGGGGCGGGCACTGCATCAGCCTAGGATGAGGCGGCCTGAGCATTCTCCTGTCCCCCACAGTTCTGACCTGTGGTCCAGAGGGGCCATGCCGTCCCCTGCTCTACCCAGGCCTGGTCCTTGACAGCCCCTGCAGGCGCTGAGGTTGGGACAGCCAGGGTCCACATCCCTCCTGGCTTTGTGATGAGCTCGTGGCGAGGCCATGCGGCTCTTTAAGCAGCCTCTCTAGGGCTGCAGTCAAGGCTGGGGTGTGCTGGGAAAGCAACCCTGAAAGCCCAGCCTGTGCAGGTGGAGGACAGGCCCAAGAGGGGCTGAGGAAGCTGGAGGGAGGAGAGAGCTGGGGGGAGCGAGGAAGCGGCCGCTGGACAGGGAGGGAGAAGAGCTGGGGGCAGGCACATGGCGCCCTCATCTCCCCCATTCTCTGTCCTCGCTATGGCTCCCCGAGTCTCACCATGCAAGCTGCACAGTTTTGGGTAGGAGAGGAAGCCACTTGGTGTAAGTTCCTGGGCAAGAAGCCACTTGGTGAAGAGGAAGAAAAAGAAGGCTTTTCACTTTTCCTTTCACCTCTGACTGTGGCCTGGTAACCCTGGGGTTGTCCCTGCTTTTTTCTGACCTTCCCTGGGAATTCCCAGGAGGCCCTAAGATTGTGGATGTAAATCTTGGTGCTTCAGGACAGCAGAGAAGAGAACTGGCTAAATAGAATCTGGTCTGCCTGTGTGATAAGTGGGTTAGAACCAGAGGCAGGCCACAGGGCAACAGGGCCGGCCCCTCCAGAGTCCAGCCCCCAATGGAACTTCTCACCAGGAACCCAGAGATCCTGTGCACAGCCCAGCACATTCCTCCCCCTCCCCACTTCCCCTGACATGTTTGCCTTCCCTCCAATTGCAGGTGGTGACTTCTTTTTATAGGAGAGCTGTAGACAAAGGAGAAAGCTAAAAGGGATTGACATAGCCTCTGACGAGATGATTCTTTGGTCTCTGGGCACCAACTGAACCGGAAAGCTGGCAACACAGTGCCAGGCCTCGGCTGACTGGCCGTGCGAGTGATGCCGGGCAGAGGAAGGGCCAGGCAGAGTGTGCAGCGAAGACAGGCCCTCGCCCTTAAGCACCTTCCAGGCTAGTGCGAGCCTCAGGAAGAGGTGGCAGAGTCTGAGATGTGCCAGCCAGCACTCCACACGCTTGGTGCTGACTACCAGTATGTCACTGCTCGTCCCTGGGCCTCAATTATCTAGGCCGTGAAATGGAGCTGATAGCCTCCCTCGTTACCTCACAGGGTTACTGGGGAAAGAGATCAGATCCAGGCTGAGGGCAGGCCCTGGAAAGTACAATGAGCGCGGGAGTCCGAGGACTGCCTGTCACAGCCTCCTCCTCTTCCCCGCAGGGCCACCCGTTCATCGTGCAGTTCAATGATGGAAATGCCGCCGTGGTGTCCATGTGGGTGTGCCGGGCGCTGGAGGAGAGGCGGAGCCAGCAGGGGCCCCCGTGAGGCTGCCGCAGGGCACTGAAAGCCCAGGACCAGTAACCAAGGAGAACAACCCACCCGTCGCCCTTCTCCGTATGCTGCCTGCGCCAGAAGAGCTTTGCTGGGCCCTGGCTTCCCTGCCCTCGCCTTCACCTCTGTCAGCAGGTGGCCTTGCCTGGGGAGCCCCATGTGTGGCCCACCCCACCAGGCCATCCCCATACCTTCTGGTTTGAAGGCGCTGACACTGGCAGAGAGGTAAAGGGTGGGGCATTGAGAATGGAGGCTCCCAGGGTCCCTGCCCACTTCTGTTTTCCTAATGTTTTTCTCTATAAAGGGTCAGGCCCGTCAGCATCACTGATGGGAATAAAAGTATTAATGCTTTGTGACAGCCTCTGCCATAAGAGTTGTGTGGTCCAGGGGGTCTGTGACCCCCCCCAGGGCTGGGGGCAGGTGGGATCTCCACTTCAGCAGGGATGTGTGTGACAGTGCCTGCTGCCTGCCCAGGCACCTGCAAGCCTCCTGCTAGCTCCTCGCAGTTGTGCTGAGGCCCACAGCCCAGCTCCACTGTCAGATGAGAAACAGAAGCACGGAGGCATTGGGATGGGTCCCATGGCAAGGAGTAGGCCCGGATCTCAGGCCCCCGCCATGAGCTCCTTACTGGACTGCCAGACACATCCACCTGACCTGCGTGGCTGAGGAGGGAGTGGGCTGTTCTGAGAGGCCCTTCTCCACCCCAGCCCCACCCCTGCTCCTCACTGCCCTTGACCCCACACCTGCCACCTCTCACCTCTCAGGAAATCCCCTCAGCCACATGCCAGGTAAGCCTGGCTACCCCCATTTTGCAGGTGAGGAGCTGAGGCTCCAAGGGGCTCAGGATTCCACTTGAAGGTCTGAATAGCATCTCAACACGTCCAGAAGCAAATTCCTAATCCCCCACCCCACCCAGACCTCCTCCTACTGCTTTCCTGTGTCAGTAAATGGCATCTCCATCCTCCCAGTGCCCAAGCCATTTGGCACTCCCTAAAATGCCAGGACATGGCTTTGACTCCCTTTTCACACCCACATCCAGTCCTGCTGTCTTTGCCTTCAAAGAATATTGGTTCCATCACCCAAAATTCTCTCTTGACTCCAGCCAGTTGGTCTTCTTGCTGCTCCTTGAACATCCGGGCACATAACCACCCAGGGTCACAGCAGAGACGTCTAGCCATGGAAGGTTCACACTCCCTCCACAGGGTACCGCGTTGCTAGGGAGCCACTGCCCAGCTGGGCTTCCATCTCATGGGTGGGATTGGTGCTATTATAAAGGGTGAGTTTGGAGCCAGGCACAATGGCTCTCGCCTGTAACCCCAACACTTTGGGAGGTCGAGGGGGGAGGATTGCTTCAGCCCGAGTTCAAGACCAGCCTTAGCCAACATAGTGAGACCCTGTCTCTAACAAAACTTAAAAAATTAGCAGGGTGTGGTGGTGCATGCCTGTGGTCCCAGCTACTTGAGAGGCTGAGGTGGGAGGATCTCTTGAGCTCGGGAGGTTGAGGCTAAATGAGCCGTGATGGCACCACCGCACTCCAGCCTGAATGACAGTGAGACCCTGTCTCAAAAATAAATAAAAATAGTGAGCTAGGGATCAATTATTTTGATGGGGTTTTATATGTTACTAGCAGCTAGTATTATGCCAGCTAATGTAGGCCTTTGCATTTGGTACCTGGAGCATGCTTCCCTCATGCATCCACATGGCTCACCTCTATACCCTTCAGGTCTCAGCTCAAATGGCATCTCAGTGAAACCTACTTAACCACTCTAAAATCGCACCCCTCCCGCACCTGCCCTGGGGCCGCCTGTGCCCATTGCTTGCACCATTTTCCTCTACTGCATTCAGAACTGTGTGATACATCACTAATTTTACTTATTTTCTCTTCTGTCTCCTTCCTCTTCTGCCCTTCATTAGAATGGGGTCTCCACAAGGGCAGAAATTCTAGTCTTTTTCACACTGTATCCCCAGTACAAAGAACAAGGCCTCAGCTCTGCACAATAAATGTGTGTGGGTCAAATGGCCAAAATTGTGGAGCTGTGACTCCCAGCCCATGTGCAGTCCAGTGCCCCATGGAAGGGCACCCTATGTGAGGCATCATGTGCTTCCCAGGGCAGAGTCGGCTCATCATCTTTTTAGTAATGCTTTTCAAGGCACAGGCTCCCAGCTTTCTCTGAGCACCTGCCATTTCCCTGGGGTTAGATGGTCACAGAATTGGATGGGACCCCGGCCAGGAAGACCCTGGCCCAGTGCTCAGGGCAGGGAGAACTGCGGGCAGTGCACATGATGGACTTTCTCAGGAAGAGGCGCTCAGAGAGTGGGGAAAGCTTAGGGGCTCCCACACGGGGCTGACTACCTTGGAATGTGAATCAGCCACCACCCAGACTAAAGCGTATCCTTATTTTGAGAAGATTCATCCAGCAAACCTGTCAGCCCCAAATCCCAAGTCAAGGGCGGTAGGAAAAGTGAGCAGGTACCTTGCTGGGCAGTGTGCTTAGGGCTCACTGTATCAATTCGTTTAATCCCCACCATGATCCCAGGAGGTAGATGGTGATACGATTATTCTGCCCGTTTTACAGATGAAGAAACTGAAACACAGAGAGGCCAGATGACTTACCCAAGGTCACCCAACAAGTAGCAAAGCACTGTTTGGGACCCAGAGCCCTGCTCTTAGCCACAGCTCTGATAGTCAACTCCACACACACAGCACACATGTGCACATATGTACACACAGACACATGCCCTGTCCTCTAGCACAGAGGCTCCCAAACTCTGGTTTGCCAAGATAATGTTAGTACCTTTGGGAACGGGCCAAGGATCTCTTTGACCAGCTCCCCAGGGATACAGGTGCAGAGCGCCCCACAACAGCACTGAGAAACACTGCTCCAGACGCATGCTTTGGCCTGGAGACCAACTTTCAGGGTGATCTTGAACAAAGCACGTCTCCTGTCTGAGTCTGTTTCCTCATCTGTCAATGTAGGGGTTGACCTCACGGTGTCCTGGAGCTGCTCCCAGTCCTGATGTCCCAGAGCAGAGTTCTCACCATTTGGGTTCATCCTGTGAGCATCCTTGCCCCCAAATTACATCACCCACATGCATGCACGCACAGAATTTTGTTCACAACTCTAGGGTTTGTGGAGACCCTGGAGCTCACTCACTCATGACCCCCTGTCAAGGGCCCCTACTTTGGGGCAGCCCCCAACTATAAATTCCCCTCTGCCTTGAAGTCGAGAAGATGGGGAGCTGAGTGACCCCTGAGGGGTTCTCCTGCTAACACCCCTCTGGCCGGAGGCAGGTCCCTCTTTGGCCTGTTGAAGTGATTCCTCTAGTCACCGTTGGGGGCCAGAGGCCAAGCTGCCCCTGCCCTCAGAGGTCGCGGGAAGGCTAAGACCTAGAACACTGCAGTGCCTGAGACTGGCCTAGGCAGCATGAGCTCTTTCCCTGCTGGAAAGCCACCCCCGCCCACCCTCACCCCATCCATGTGGCTAATTCCTATTCTTCCTTTCAGGCCCCTCTCAAACAGCACCTCCTCTTTGCTGCCTTTTTTTTTTTTTTTTTTTTTTTTTGAGACAGAGTTTCGCTCTTGTTGTCCAGGCTGGAGTGCAATGGTGCACTCTCAGCTCACAACCTCTGCCTCCCAGGTTCAAGCGATTCTTCTCCCTCAGCCTCCCGAGTAGCTGGGATTACAGGCATGCACCACCATGCCCGGCTAATTTGTGTATTTTTAGTAGAGATGGGGTTTCACCATGTTGGTCAGGCTGGTCTTGAACACCTGACCTCAAGTGATCTGCCTGCCTCAGCCTCCCAAAGTGCTGGGATTACAGTCGTGAGCCACCACGCCTAGCTGGCAGCTTCTTTATTTCCTTCTCTGGATATAGACTGTGAGCCCTTTGAGGGCAGGGATGAGGCTAACTCACCTCTATCCCAGCACCTGGCCCAGGGCCTGCATAGGGAGGGTGCCTGTGGTGTGGGACGGTAGGAGGGAGGGAAGGTAGGGTGCAGAGATGGGGCCCTCAGACCTGAGGCCCTTGGGGCCTGTCACTGTCCTGCTCGAATCTCTTGCTCCAATCCTCAATATCGCCCACTCACTTTCTAACTGGAGCTTCTGAGAGACGAAACCCTCACTGGAGGCAGCCTCAGGCCTCTCAGACCTTCAGGGGAGCCTAGAAGGAAGTGTTTCCAGGACAGGAGGATCCTCACGGGGCCCCAGTTCACAATGACAGGCAGGTGCCTCCTCTGCTTCTAGGTCTCTGGCTTGAAGGCCAGGAGGCCCTCTCACACTCAGCCCATCGTCCTTGCTTCTGTCTTTGGTTTTCACATGTGGGGAATGCAGGATACAGAATCCCAGGGCTTTGGAGATGTTCCAACAGGTCCACTGGGGCAGAGGAAGGAGAGGTGGAACCCTCTTCTCCAGATGTGGCGGGGACCTTGTGGTCCAAAGTAGTGTGACCCAGAGCCCCTACCCAAGGCCCAGCCCAGTTAGGGGGTTGGTCAGGCCAGTGAGGTGAAATGGATGGTACAGCCTCACTGAGGGAAGCTGCGGGTGCCCTGCCTGAACAGACCTGCATCTTTGGGGAGGCATATGCTTCCAGGTGTCTGCACACTCAGGCCAGTGGAACCTCCAGGTGAAGCCTCGGGATGATGCTGGGTCTGCAGGCTGGCAGCCCCTGGGGCCCCACAGGGTGGTTCAGAAGGGACTGGACAGCGGCTTCCACATGGGATGGAGCCCAGAGAGGGCCATGATGCCACCTCAAAGATACCTTCTGTCCCCCTGACTGCTGCCCAAACTCCCCCTTGGAGCTTCAGCCTTTAGCTAAGTCTGGCCCCTATTAGAATGGGAGCCTGGCCGGGCACTGTGGCTCTCATCTGTAATCCCAGCACTTCGGGAGGCTGGGGCAGGCAGATCACTTGAGCTCAGGAGTTTGAGGCCAGCCTGGGCAACATGGCAAAACCCTGTCTCTACAAAAATTAGCCAGGCGTGGTGGCACATGCCTGTAGTCCCAGCTACTCAGGAGGCTGGGGTGGGAGGATCACCTGAGCCTGGGAGGGGGAGGGTGCAGTGAGCTGTGATCGCGCCACTGCAATGCAGCATGGGCGACAGAGTGAGACCCTGTCTCAAAAAAAAAAAAAAGGAAAACCAGAATGGGAACCGTGTTCTCAGTCACAGAAATGTCCATGAGAAAGAGGGGCATAGAGGGAGGATGGGGGGAGGGAAAGACGGCCCCAAGTCCCAGGGTGAGGGAGGGAGGTAGTGCCCAGCAGGTGGGCAGAAGGGCGTGGAGAGGGGAGCTGCACCAATGGCTCACAGCAGCCCAACTCCATTCCTGGGGCCAGGTGGACCCCCAGGACTGCACCTGGACCGGGTCCCAGCTCCTACTTTGGGGGATCGGGTGTTTTCACTTCATGAGGCCGGAGGAAGCAGTTCAATCAAAGCGCAGGTGAGAGGCCAAAGGAGGAGGCTGAGGCTGGCATCAGCTCCAAGGTGCTGTGGCAAAGGCAATAGGCGTGGTGATGTGGGGTCAGGAATAGGGAGGAGGAGCAAAGAGGTCTGCAGGGGGAGCCAGGCCAGGGGAAGCAGTAAACCGCTCAGGATGTCTGCCCTGAGCCTGGTCCTTGGTGGGTGCTGGCTGCTCATATAGGAAGTGGGACGAGGTCAGTGGCTTCCATGGCAGAGCAAGGCTGCCGTGGCGCTTGCCGGCTTTGTCATGACTCCTTTCCGCCTTGGCAGAAATCACATCCTCGACCCACCAGAGATGCTCTTCAACTAGTGGGCAGGCAGGGCGGGCTGTAGCTGGCAGTGGGTGGAGCCCCTGAGACAGCCTGGGCTGGCACGAGCCACAGGAGTGGATTATTATGCGGGGCAGGGAGGCAGCAGAGCCCAGACCTCATAATGACAAATTTTCTGCTGAACAACCACAAATATTCGCTGTGACTTTGGACAGAGTCTGAAAAAGACTTTGTTTCCTCCCTTGGCGGTATCATTTGTCTTGTTTTGAAGCCACGAGATTGCAGGCGCGAACTTATAGACTCAAGTTTGTCTTAATTGCTGTGGTGTCACCACCTCTCTGGCAGATAACAGCACAATGAACGAGTCGATGGGGCTGAGCCCTCCAGGTCCTTCTTCTAAAGTGAGACAAATGTCCCTCCTATAAGCCCAACAGTCCGTCGGCAGCTCTGTCATTTATTTATCTCCCTAACAGTTTGCATTAACTTGCAAGGGATAAAAAGTCTCTCCTGCCTGCAGACTTAGTTAAAAGCATCCAGTCAAACTGTGCTGCTGGTCCTTCCCAGGAATTTGCTCTTTTTATCTTTTCGTCCCGCTTTGGGGAAGAGGGGTTGTAGGGAGAGCAACAGGGCAAACACTGGGAGCAATAATGAGGGCAGAAGTATGGGAATAAAGTTTTGAGATAGAAAAGAAATCCTATTTGTCTTGTAATATGAGTTGCACGTGGCAAACTGCCTTCACACTGGTCTCATTGGTCTCCCAGCTCCCCTGCAAGGGCAGCAGGCAGCAGGGTCATCCCCACCTCTCTGTCTTCCAGTCCCTGTTCCCATCACAGGGGGTGACGCTCTGCTGCCTGAATGTCCAGAGCCCTCTCTGCCTCTGAGCCTCTGAGCCATAGCATAGGCTGTTCCCTCAGCCTGGGACACCTTCCTCCTGTCCTCTGCCTCCTGCCTAATTTCTGTTCATCCTCCAAGATTCAGCTGAAATGCAATTCCTATGGGGAGGCCTTTTCCAATACCCAACCTGATCTGGCCCACCCACAGGAGCCCAGCCCACAGGCTACTGTCTCCCTGGAGCTCCTCTGTCGCTGCCTGACTTCTCTATATTGTCCTTCTGTGTTTTCTTACATCATCTATCTGCCTCACCTCAGTGAGAGCCCCAGGAAGGCAGGAGCTGGCTCAGGGCCTGGCATTCAGGAGACGCTCGAGAAACAGTGGTTAAATAAATGAAGGGGAAGGCAGGGTGGGAGGGGCTTCAGGAAACTTCAGGGACCTGCCCCTGCCTGCCTCCAGCCATCTAGGTACAAGTTATTTACTTACTTATTTGTTTGAGATGGGGCCTCACTCTGTCACACATGCTGAGTGCAGTGGCGCGATCTCGGCTCACTGCAGCCTCAGCCTCCTGAGCTCAAGTGATCTTTCCCCTTCAGCCTCCCAAGTAGCTGGGACTACAGGCATGCACCACCATGCATGGCTTATTTTTAAAGTTTTTGTAGAGATGAGGGCTCACTGTGTTGTCCAGGTTGGTCTCAAACCCCTGGCCTCAAGCAATCCTCTCACTTGAGCCTCTCAAAGTGCTGGAATTACAGGCGTGAGCCATTGCACCCAGCTGGGAAGAAGATGTTTATAAAAACATCTGATGAGATTGTGGCTGCTCTTTCACTTTCTATTACTCTGTATTTTTCAAATGTAACTCAGTAAACATATATTATTTTGTAATAATAATAATTTGTTTTAGAAAATGTTAAATCTCTTGGTAAGAGTCCCAGCAAGGCAGTGGGAGAGGCGGGATTCAATGCAAGTCTCCTAATACCCAAATGGAACCCCTCTTTTCTACCCCACGGCCTCCTCGGTCCTTTTTGGCAATCCTGTGGGGGAGGCAGAAGAGTGTAGCTATGAAGGCTGGGTGCGGTGGCTCACGCTTGTAATGCCAGCACTTTGGGAGGCCAAGGCAGGCGGATCACCTGAGGTCGGGAGTTCGAGACCAGCCTGACCAACATGGAGAAACCCTGTCTCTACTAAAAATACAAAATTAGCCAGGCGTGGTGGTTTATGCCTGTAATCCCAGCTGCTCGGGAGGCTGAGGCAGGAGAATCACTCAAACCTGGGAGGCAGAGGTTGTGGTGAGCCAAGATCATGCCATTGCATTCCAGCCTGGGCAACAAGAGTGAAACTCTGTCTCAAAAAAAAAAAAAAAAGAGGAAAAAAAAAAAAAAAGAATGTAGCTATGAAGGGCATGGGCTTGGAGTTACACAGACCTGGGTTCAAGTCTTGGGTCCTCCATTGACTCACTGTGTGACCCTAGGCAAGATGCCTAACCTCTCTGAGCCTCAGTTTCCTCAGTGGCAGAGTGGGGTAATTATAGTAGTGGATGTTGTCGATGTCATTATTAAATCATCCCTGCTACTGACCGTGCTAAGCACAAAACACTTCTAAAGGGCTGGTTTCTGGCCCCTTCCTCCCACCAGGCACTGCTGCCCCACATACACACAGACCCGCATACAACCACTGAAGTCCTAGTGACTCCCCACTTCTTAAATATTCCTTCCTCAGGAGAAATGGGGCCTCCTTCGTCTGTGATGCAGTGGCAGCTCACGGTGATGCTCGGGGACCAACATTCTCCAGCAAATATTGTTGAGGCTTCTACCCTTCCTCCTCCCCCACCCAGTGGTGATTCACTTCGCCCTCTGCATTTTGATGCATGAGATTCATGGGGCATGTGCCACTGCTGCACACCAGCCTGGGTGGAGTGACTGCGAGGAGGTGTTCTGTCCCCCTTACTGGAGTGAGAGTCCTAGGAGAACACAGCCTGCATCTTACAGGGAGGCAGCTGTTGCTGAAGAAACAACTTGCACTTCAGGCAGGTCTGGATTTGAGTCTTAGGGCTACTACTTCCTGGCTGTGTGGCTTTGGGCAAATCACTTCACCTCTCTGAACCTCAGCTTTCTCAGCTGTGAAATGGGTATGTTGGCATCATAAGATTCTTAGGAAAACAAAATGAGATGAGAGATGCCAAGAGTGCAGCACAGTGTCTGGTGCACAGTGGGGACCCAAGTTCCTTAGCTGGTGTCAATAGAAATAGAAAAGTGGCCTCCTCCTACACCACTGCCACCCCCAGCCCTAATCCTGTCCCTCTCCAACCCTATACCCTGCTTTATTTCTTTTTCACAGCAATTGTCACCATTTGGAATTATAGTAATCTTTCTTGTCCATCTCCCTGCTGGAGTGTAAACTCTAGAGAGCAGGAACTAGCTTGCCTTAATCCCCTACTGTGTCCTCAGCTCCTGACACACAAGAGGTACTGAGTAAGTATTTGATGAATTCATGGTGTCTCTAGCACCTATGCTGGGCCTTGCTGAGGTTTCAGAGAAGTCCTGGGGAGTCTCCCTGCCCCAGTGGGGGCCGTCTGCTTGTTCACTAAAAATCCCAGCAAAGCTGGTACCATCACTCCTGGGGGAGGGAGGATACTCATTTCTCCAGACCAGAAAAACCAGCAAGGGGTCAAGACAATTTAAAGGAGAGAGAATAATCTTTCAGCAAATAGTGCTAAGGCAACTGGATGTCCACATGCAAAAGAATGAATTTGGATCCCTACCTCACATCATACACAAATGTTAGCTCCAAATAGATGTGTTAATCATAGACTAAAAGTAAAGAGCTAAAACTATAAAAATTCTTAGAGGAAAATATAGAAGTAACTCTCACAGCACAGCCTTCTTAGATATGAAGCCAAAGCACAAGCAGCCAAAAAAGAAACACAATAAATTGGATGCCATGAAACTTAAAAATGTGTGTGCTTCAAAGGACATCACTAAGAAAATACTATGAGTAAAAAGACAACTCCTAGAATGGGAGAAGTTACTTTCAAATCATGCATCTGATAAGGGACTTATACTAGAATATATAAAGAACGCTTACAACTCAATAATAAAATTACAAATAACCCAGTTGAAAAAATAGGGAAATGATATTAATAGACATTTCTCAGCGAATGACTAATAAGCACATAAAAGATGTTTAACATCATTTTATCAGGGAAATACAAATCAAAACCACAATAAAGTACTATTTCATACCCACCAGGATGGCTATAATAAGAAAGACAAATAATAACAAGTGTTTTTGAGAATGTGGAAAGATCAGAACCCTCATCCATTGCTGATGTGAATGTAAAATGGTGCTATTCTTTAGAAAAGTAATCTGGCATTTCTTTACAAGGTTAACTATAGAGTTGTGGTATCACCCAGCAATTCCACACTTCAGTATATACCCAAGAGAAATTAAAATATGCGACCACACAAAAATTTGTGCATGAATGCTTATAGCAGCATCATTCATAATCGCCAAAAAGAGGGAAGAACCCAAATATCTATTGATGGATGAATGGATAAACAACGTGGTATATCCATATGATGGAATAGTATTTGGCAATAAAAAGGAATGAAGTACCAATACATGCTACAACATGGGTGAACCCTGAAAACATTACACCAAGTGAAAGAAGCCAGTCACAAAAGACCAATATTATATTATTCCATTTATAAGAAATGTCCACAGGAAGCAAATCTGTAGAACAGAAAGTAGACTGGTAGCTGCCTAGGGCTGGAGGGAAGTAGGGAAATGAGGGGTGATAACTAATAAGTACAGAGTTTCTCTTTGGAGTGCTGGAAATATTCGAGCATTGATGGGGTGATGGTTGCACAACTCTGTGAATTACAAAAGAAAATCATTGAGTTGTAGACCATAAGTGGATGGAGTATATGGTATGTGCATGATATCTCAACTCAGGTTCCCTTGGGGTCGGTGGAGTCGGGGAGACTGTGGGGAATTGTGTGACATGCCCAGAATTCAAGTCCTTCCTCTGACTGATGTGGCATCCTATGGTTTTCCCACACCCCAGAACCTGGCCTCAGAAATGCCTCAAACTGTCCCAGCAAGAAGACCAGACTCCACCAATGTTTAGGCAGCCATCTTGAAGTGATTGGAGGCTGTCAGGGAAGGAGCAGCTCACATGTGCTGAGTGCCTACTCTGCCATGTGATTTGTGCAGGGCTGGGACTAGAGGGAGGACTTACGGGACCCCCGAGACTGAATGACTTCTTAAGTTTTTCACCCAAGATACCTTACTCTAGTTCCAGCCCTGGCTGTGTTCCATATTCCCAGCACCTTAGTTCATCATTGTGACATGAGGCCAGGCGCCATGGCTCATGCCTGTAATCCCAGCACTTTGAGAGGCCAAGTTGGGCGGATTGCTTGAGGCCAGGAGTTCGAGAACAGCCTGGCCAACATAGTGAAACTCCATCTCTACTAAAAATACAAAAATCAGCTCAGCATGGTGGAGGGCTCCTGTAATCCCAGCTACTTGGAAGGCTTGAGACAGGAAAATTGCTTGAACACAGGAGACAGAGGTTGCAGTGAGCCAGGATCATACCACTGCACTCCAGCCTGGGTGACAGAGTGAGTGAGATTCCATTTCAAAAAATAAAAATAAAAATTATGACATCCCCGTGTCCCTGTGAAGCCCATATGAATACGTTACAGTTGTGGGTTTGGAGACTCAAACAGTGCAAGTCTTGCTGGCTCCACAGCCTATTTTCTTTCCAGCCCTTTCTCCATGATGCTGATGGAGGAACCCCTGGGGAATCCCCTTGCAACCAGGGAAAGCTTGGCAAGCCTGCCAGCAGCTCCCCACCTCCCAAGAACAAGTGTTTTGGAGGTCTCTGCCTGGATGACTTTGAGTCTGTGTGGAGAGTGGGAATCCCAAGACCTAAACATCACTGGGGAGCAGAGAACCTTCTCTTGAAGAACCACATTGGCCACTAGACCCCAACAGGACCAATAACTGTGGCCAGCAAGTCAAGTGGGACCTGGTCTGGGGCTCACAACCCTCATTCTCAAATGCTCATTTCATTTGCCAAACATGCTGAGTACCTACTAAGTGCCAGGCCCTGGGTATGCAACTGCAGACACAACATTCCCGTGGGAGAGACAGAAACACAAAAAAGTGACCGGGAAATATTAACCCATGAACAATCCAGTGATGAAAATAAAACAGCCATGGACAGAGGGGGATGAGGGCTGGCATGAAGGCAAGCTTAGAGGAGGCTCAGGAGGGGTGTATGCAGGGAGGGAGGTAAGGCAGCCTGCTCTGTGGGGTGGAAGCCTCCGGTGACACTGAGTTTTCTCACTGTGTTTCCATGGGTTCATTGGAAACTTCTAAGTGTCCACACAGTCTCCCCCATGCTGAGAGAACCTTGGAAAGAGGCTGTGGCTAAGCTGAAGCTGATAGGAGGGGAGCCCCTCACCCCTGGGACCAGCCAGGATGCAGGCAGGGACCCAAGCTTGAGATTCGGGAGAGAAGGATACTCATGGGAAAACCTGGGGCCAGCTGGAGATGCTCAGCCACCCTCTTTTACTTTAAAAGATTTTTTTTCTACAGGCAGGCAGGGTCTCCTTCTCTTGCCTAGGCTGGAGTGCAGTGGTGCAATCATAGCTCACTGCAGCCTCCCTCTCCTGGGCTCAAGTGATCCTCCTGCCTCAGTCTCCCAAGTAGCTGGGGCCACAGCTGAGCACCACCATGCCCCAGCTCACTCTCTCTTTCTCTCTCTCTCTCTCTCTCTCTCTCTCTCTCTCTCTCTCTATATATATATATATATATATATATATATATATATATATATAATTTTTTTTTTTTGGTAGAGATGGGATCTATGTTGCCCCAGCTCTTCTTTTCCTAATACCTCTGCTCAGGCCTGGGAGGCTTCTCTGTCTGGTTGGAGCAAAGAAGGCTGGTCCAGGGTTCCCTCCTTAGTGTCTGCCAGCCTAACTTGCATCCCCAGGTGCAAGAGAGCCTCAGGAGGGCAGAGCCCGGCCCCAAGACCTTCAAACCATTCCCAAGGCCTCCTGGCTCTCCCTCTCCCCAGAAGCTTAAGCGTCCTAACCTAAGTAGGGCCACCAAGCTCTACCCATCTTCAGGACTCTAGAAGAGAGGTGTTCATGAGCCCCTGGACTCTGGATCAATCCTTCACTCGCCTTCACTCCTGCAAAGTGGGGGTCCATGTGCCCATCCTACAGATGCAGATATGCAGGCCCAGGCAAAGTCCATGGCCCTTCCTGGAGTCAGCAGCGGAACCGGGTCTGGGCCCACCAGGACCGCAATTGTTCTCCCTCCTTTTGATGTTCCCGAGAACAGGGAGTCCCCTGCCGTGAGGAGCGCTGGTCTCACCTATGATCCCAAAGAGCCTGGTCCAGGCAGCGGAAACCCAGAGGGTACGGCCTCCCACCAAATCCGGACCCTCTCCAGCCTCAGTCTCTGGTCCGCAACAGGAGTGAGGTGGGCCCGGAGCTCTGAGCACCTTCTCACCGGCTCCAAGGCCCCCGCCTTCTCCTCACTTTTGGTCTCGGGTTGGGGCCCGGCAGGCCCCGCCCAGCCTCCTTCACTTCCTTGGGCCAGGGCCGCCGCCGCGCCGGGCTCTGCCCTATGTGGCCGTTGGATTAATATCCAGATATTAAGTAAACACTAAATTAGCAAAACTACAAGAAAATTTTACAGCCCTTTGCATTTGGCAATCATTGAGTGTTAATTAGAAATTCATTACAATTAAAACCCTGCCTAAACAGGGCCTGCGCGCCTTAATTACATCTGATTTTTAATTCAGAATACGTGTTTACACAGTAAGCGCTACGTACCCCGTGATTATCCCCAATCCTCTTTATACTGTACTAATTATGTAAATTAAACCTAATTAACTGACGAAAACTGCCGTTAATTCAACTAGTAAAAGATATGTGCTTGCGGAGGAGGCGCGTCCGCGCAGCCTCAGCCCAAGCCGGAGCCCAAATGGACGCCAAACCCGGGGCACGGAGGCAGCGCGGGCTCGGCCAGTGGGAGGAGAAGCGCGCAAGGCGCAGCTCGCATCCAGAGTCCGGCTTTCCGACCCCTGGTGCCACCGGGAAGCGGATAAAAGAGAGAGAATCTTCAATAATGGGGGTCAGGAAGGCCAAGGGCAGCGACGCCTGCCCGCTCTGGACAGGGCCTCAGGACCCAGAGCCCCCACTGAGGAAGAGGAGTCCCGCCCATCCCTTCGGAGCCTGGGTTGCGGTCCCAGCTCTGCCACTCACTGCCTGCCTGAACCTGAGCAAGTGCCCTGGCTGTGCCAGGCCTTCCTCCTCTACATCGTCTAATGAGGGCGATACTGAAACGCAGCACTGCGCCCTCCTTACCGTCCCTTCTTCAAGCTAGGCTCTCTCTGCAGCGTGCCAAGCACCACTTTTTGAGTCTAGGAGATCAGCTTGCGTCCCTTGTGGGCTGAGGGCCTTGGCTAGGGAGAAGGGCAGGGGTTGGCTTCCACTGCCGGATCCTCAGTTTCCTGCCTGTAAAATGGGAATAAGTGGTTCCTATCTATTCCCAGGGCCCTTGTTGAGAATCGGCTCTGCAATCGGTAAAGTGCGGTCCGCGGTGATATTAACCCGCCGGACGCCGGCCCATAGTAGAGCCCCAGCTCCTACCCCCACGACCTGCTCCCCGGTGCCCAGCCCTGAGCAGCGGGGCTTCCCCAGCCTCTGTCCACGCGCCTTTCTCCAGCTCAGACCAGGGACAGGAGCTGGGTGGGTCTCCTGGCACTGGCCAGAGCGCGGGGAGCTGTCCGTAGCTTGGTGCTGAACGGGGACGCAGAGTCGACGCTGCACACCCCCTGGTGCGGGGCGGTACCCTTTGTCTAAGAGGTCCTGGGGGCCCCCCGCGGCCGGGCTGCTGGAAACGGAGGCGTCTTTGGCCCTCGCTGTACAACAGAGGCAGGACAGGCAGGTCCTGCTCAGGGGGACCCAGCCCATCCTCTCTTTCCTCCCACCCCCCGGCACCCTGGGGGCGTCCTGGCTCCAGGATCGTTGTCACCACCAGGCCGAATTCTGAGATGCCTTTTAAAAAATCATTAGGAGGCTAAGAATAATTACCGAACGAGATTGTAATTATGGGGTGGGGGAGCCTGGGCCGAGGGAGAGGGAATGAGCTGGCGGGGACTTGGGGGCAGCTCTCGGACTGGGAAGGAAAATAGGTTCCTGTGTTCTCCCCGGGGAAGGTGTGGGAGGAAAGACAGCGGGATAGTTGGAGCGGGACAGAGGCACAGCCTGGGAAAGACACCCGAATGGAGGGGCCAGAGGCAGAAAGAAAGGGGCCGAGCGGGTTCCAGGACTCCCCTGGGAGAAAAGGGAAAGGCAGGGAGATCCGAGACAGAAAGACCGGAACCGAGGAGGGGGAAGAGGGCAAGAACGCGATCTAAAAGAGACCCTCAGAGGAGACAGAGCCCACAAACTTGGGAGAGGTTTTCGGGGCCTAGGAGAACGGTAACCTACGTCAGCCAGGGTAGCCGGGAAGAAGGCAAAGGAGTCTGTGGGCTGGGCCTGCCCTCTCCTCAGTCCCTTCACCAGGCCTGAGCTATCGGTTCGCGCTTCCAGAGTCCCTTCCCAGGGTCTCTGCGAGCCAGGAGGGAAAGGAAGAGAGGGGAGAAGTGGAGGAAAAGGGGAGACACGCCCCAGAGGAGTTGGAACGCAGGAGGGAAAGGGGACCATACCCGGTAGCCCGAGGGAAAAACGAGGCGAGAGGGGAGAAGGCGACCCCGCGCTGCTACCCGCGGAAGATTTATGGCGCCTCCCGGGTTCCAAGGACAGGCTGCGTTCGTCGCTGCTGCCACCGCCGGTAGTCGCCGTGGCCGCTGCGCCCCCTGCCCAGGCGGCCCGTCGCGCCCCAGGCCATCCCTGCCATTATTAACTTCTGTTTGATTAGGGTAATTGTTCAAACTTGGGCCGGACAGTATGATTAATTACAGTTTAATTAACGTGTCCATTAAGGACACTTAATGCCAGGGGGGCAGGGAGGGAGGTGGTGGAAGCGGCCAACGGGGCGCCTGGGTGCGGGCTAAGAGGGGCGGGGTGCGACTAGTAACTCAAACGAAGAAGTAGAGACAGATTGAGAGAGGAAGAGAAGGGGACCCAGTGGGGCGTTAGGGGAAAGAATGGTGAAGACGGAGAGACCGACTGAGACAGGAAAGGGATGGAGAGAAACGGAGCTTTGAGGAGAGAGAGGAGGTACCCAGGGGCGTCTGTAGCATCAGAGGACTGGACCTCCCCCTTGGGGAAACTGGCTTAGCAGCGTTGAGAGCGTAGTTAACCTCAGATCACTCCCAACGATGACTTGGCTCCTGCCCTGGGCCTGTTGGTGATGGCGAAGGGAGGCATTCAAGGCCGAGGGCTCCCCAAACCTAGTTCCCAAGTCCCCTGCCCAGGGACGGAAACAGGAGAACGCCCCTCCTCAGGTTAGAGCTCTCTCTTGATACCTCCCACCGAAGTCAGGAGCATGGGAGAGGCAGATCTGCTCCTTCCCGGGTGCCATCCTCGCTGCCCTGCACCCAGGTCCCTGTCCCGGTCTCTGGTGACCCTACTGGTTCCCGAGGGCCACTCTAGGCTCCACCACCCTGGCCCTCGCCTGCGGCCGGAAAGTGAAGTACTCCTCCCTGCGCCCGTTCCTCTTGAGTCCCCCTTAGCCCCATCACCCGGTTTTGGCCCAGACCAAAACTGGCTCCTTGGCCGGGAGCACTGGGCCCTCCCCACTTCGTTCTTGGGGACAAACTTTATGGCCCCAGGGCCTTTCCTCCCTCCTGGCCTCTCCAGCTAGAGCGGGACGCAGGTGCAGGGTGCTGGACGCAGGTGTGCGGCCGCTTACCTGGGGCGTGCAGGCCTTGGGCTGCGGGGAGGCGGCGGGCGCCGCGCGTGGCCCGCGGGCGGGCGGACCCGGGGAGGGCGCTAGCGACTGCGCGGGCGGTGGGTGTGGCGCCCCGGCTCTCAGCTGTCAGGCGCGCCTGCCCCGCCACTCGGGCTGTGACCGCGCCGTCCCCGCCGCCGCGCCATGCGCTCCAGGCTTCGGCCTCTTCTTCCGGCCAGTCCCCGGCCTCGGGGTCAACGGCTCAGGGTTCGCATCTCCGCGCCCGGGGTCCCGGCGCCCCGTGCCCGCTGAGAGCGGGAGGGGCCGCGGGTGGGAGCGCGGAGAACCAGGGAGCACGGCTGTGCGCGCGCGCGGGGAGGGGCCGCGCCGTCACCCGGAGAGCCCGGCGGATCCCGGACTCCCGCCCGCCGCTCCTCCCGCCGCGCACCTCCGCTCACCGCTCGCCCGGCTCCAGCCGCCGCCGCACTGTGAGTACCCACGTCCGGTAGCCCGCCGCCCCCGCGCTCTGCTCCTGCAGCTTTTTTTTCGTTTAGTTCTGATTTGGGCTCCTGTGGCTGTTGTTTTTATGATTATACCTAAAGACACCACCGCCTCGCTCCCACCACTGCCAGTCTCCCGCTTCGCTGCCCTCCCCAAGCTCGTCCATCTAGCTCCGGGAGCCGACGGGGGTTCCTCAAGCTGCTCTGGCTGCTGCTCCTTGTCGCTGCATATGGCTCTTCGCCTGTGCTTTCCGCTTTGGCCCCCGAAATTCCGTTCCTTTCCTAGGGACCCCCTTCTTCTGACTCCGGGCCCGGACCCCCCTCCTCTCACTCAGGGAAAACCGCGCAGGGACCCAGGACCCTCAACTGGGGTACGCTCTCGGCTCGGGCGCTGTCTTCACTGTATGCGGGCCAGGCATAGTTGCCGATTTCGAGAAACCGAGAAGCTGTCATTTCCCAGCGCTGCGCGCCCTCCAGCCACCTCCAGGAGGGCGCGAGGCTTGTCAGCCGGGGAGTTAGGACAGTGTTTTTGCCTCCTACAATGATATAAAGGACTTCAACGCGAAATAAGGGTCAACTTATTTTAGTTCGATCCTCGGAGATAAAGATGAAACAGACAGATAATACATAAATAGCTTGATACTTGAAGAAGGTACAAAACAGATGAGAGAAAGAGGAACGAGCCGGCAGAGACAGCTCAGGGACAGATAAGATCGACAAATGAGGGTCTCCTAGACAAATAGAGAAGAAGGGAGAGAGACAGATAAACAGAAGATTCCAGTCTCCTTGCTGAAGGCTTTTGAACTGGGATCCCCTGTCTGGAGCTGCCCCTCTGAAAACGGAGTTACATTCAGGGCCGACTGCAGGGGAGGAGCCCTCAGGGTTGGGCTGCCCTGGCCGCAGGAGCGCCTGCAGCCTTGGGCCGGATGGGAGCCTGGCTTGTCTGAGGACATGTGGCTGGGTCAGGCGACCTAGAGGGCCCCAAACATCAGTCCCCAAGTACCCCCGCTGCTGAGGTCTGCCTGCACAGCTCCCTCCCTGCCTCAGCCAGAAAGCAAAGTGCAAGGACCAGCAGCAACTTGTGTGCCTGGAGCCTTGCAATGGCTACGAAGATGGCTGAGATTCCTTCTAGCCCATATGAGCCGGGACAGCGAGGCATGAAGGATACTCAGAGAGGTGATGCCCCTCAAAGAGGAAGCCCAGAGCCCCGAATCCTGCAGTTGGCCCGAGTGGGAAACGTATATCTGAAGGAGGAAAGCTCAAGGAGTGGGCGACTGGAAGCTAAGAAGTGGATCCCAACAAAGTTCCTTGAGAACCTCTCTGTCCCACACGTTGACCTCGGTGGAAACCAGCTTTGGTCTGGAATACAGCTAAAAATGCAGAAAATGTGGTTAGAACTGCAGGATCCTGGTCTCACTAATAGCTGGAAAGAAAACGGTTTATATATCCAGCCGAAATCTTTCTGCTCAACGAACGCGGGCGCCAGCCGTGAGAGGAGAAGCTCGGGTTTGTGGAAACTGGCAATGTTGTCCCCTGAAGCCGGCTCGGGCACCAAGCTGGGTGCGGTGGGGGCCGCGCTAGGTCCGGGTGCGCACCGAGCGCTTTGGAGAGGGTCAGGTTCAGCACCGCGAACAGCGGTAGCCTCCGCCTCTCTCCTTCCCTGGCAGACACGGTTCCCTCCTCCTTCTCCTCACCCCCCTCCTTCTCTTCACCCCCCTCTACCCCCTGCTGTCTGGAGATGGGCAGTGACCGCCCCTCCCCCCTCCCCACCCCTCCTTGCACTGCCCCCGCCCGCCCGCGTGCATGCGCGACTGAGCAGAGGGGCGGCCGATCCCCGAAGTCCGGGCTTCAGGACCCGGGCCGGCAGCACCGGCTGCGAGGGTTGCCGAAGGCGCACGGATCTGGGCGCTGAAAAAGCCAGGATTTGGCAATGGCTTTGCTGTGTGGCCTTGGGCAAGTCACTCTGCGTATCTGGGTTTCACTTCCTTCCCAATCCGAAAACGGGATTGGGTTCCTTGCAGCCCGGGCATTCCTGAGGTCTCCTTTACCCCTTCTCCTCCCCCAAGCCCCGGGGGCTGTTGTTAACGGCGCCAACATGGGTCTGAGTAACAAAAGACGCCTGTCCAGGGGGTGAATGAGTTTGGACTCCCCACTGCCAAGTATCCCCCGCGCGCCCAACTCGGAGCGCCCTGCTGGGCGGGCCCGAGCCTCGGCGGCGGCGCTGAAAATGGCTCATCTGCTCTCTGCTTTCTCTATTTCGCAGGAGCGGCGGCATGGAGGCTCTCACCACTCAGCTGGGGCCGGGGCGCGAGGGCAGTTCCTCGCCCAACTCCAAGCAGGAGCTGCAGCCGTACTCGGGCTCCAGCGCTCTCAAACCCAACCAGGTGGGCGAGACGTCGCTGTACGGGGTGCCCATTGTGTCGCTGGTCATCGACGGCCAGGAGCGCCTATGCCTGGCGCAGATCTCCAACACCCTCCTCAAGAACTACAGCTATAATGAGATCCACAACCGCCGCGTGGCCCTGGGCATCACGTGCGTGCAGTGCACGCCGGTACAGCTGGAGATTCTGCGTCGGGCCGGGGCCATGCCCATCTCGTCGCGCCGCTGCGGCATGATCACTAAGCGAGAGGCCGAACGCCTGTGCAAGTCGTTCCTGGGCGAGCACAAACCACCCAAGCTGCCCGAGAACTTCGCCTTCGATGTGGTGCACGAGTGCGCGTGGGGCTCGCGTGGTAGCTTCATCCCTGCGCGTTACAACAGCTCTCGTGCCAAGTGCATCAAGTGCGGCTACTGCAGCATGTACTTCTCGCCCAACAAGTTCATCTTCCACTCGCACCGAACACCCGACGCCAAGTACACGCAGCCCGATGCCGCCAACTTCAACTCCTGGCGTCGTCACCTCAAACTCAGTGACAAGTCGGCCACAGACGAACTGAGCCATGCTTGGGAGGACGTCAAGGCCATGTTTAATGGCGGCACGCGCAAGCGGACCTTCTCCCTACAAGGAGGCGGCGGAGGCGGTGCCAATGGCGGGTCGGGTGGGCAGGGGAAGGGTGGTGCTGGCGGCGGTGGCGGCGGTGGCCCAGGGTGCGGTGCAGAGATGGCCCCAGGCCCGCCGCCCCACAAAAGCCTGCGCTGTGGCGAAGATGAGGCTGCCGGGCCTCCGGGGCCACCTCCACCCCACCCGCAGCGCGGACTTGGCCTGGCGACTGGAGCTAGTGGCCCGGCGGGCCCAGGAGGGCCCGGTGGCGGCGCCGGCGTACGAAGCTACCCGGTGATCCCGGTGCCCAGCAAAGGCTTTGGGCTCCTGCAAAAGCTGCCCCCACCACTTTTCCCCCATCCTTACGGCTTCCCTACGGCCTTCGGCCTATGCCCCAAAAAGGACGACCCGGTTTTAGGCGCGGGCGAGCCAAAGGGCGGTCCTGGCACTGGGAGCGGCGGCGGCGGCGCGGGGACAGGCGGGGGTGCGGGGGGCCCGGGAGCCAGCCACTTGCCCCCGGGGGCAGGGGCGGGCCCGGGCGGCGGCGCCATGTTCTGGGGGCATCAACCCTCCGGGGCAGCCAAGGACGCAGCGGCAGTGGCTGCAGCGGCCGCCGCCGCCACTGTGTACCCGACGTTTCCCATGTTCTGGCCAGCAGCAGGCAGCCTCCCGGTACCGTCCTACCCCGCTGCTCAGAGCCAAGCCAAGGCCGTGGCGGCAGCCGTGGCGGCGGCAGCGGCGGCGGCAGCGGCAGCTGCTGGCAGCGGTGCCCCAGAGCCCCTGGACGGTGCCGAGCCAGCCAAAGAGAGTGGCCTCGGCGCGGAGGAGCGCTGCCCGAGCGCTCTGTCCCGCGGGCCCCTGGACGAAGACGGCACGGACGAGGCGCTGCCACCGCCCCTGGCCCCGTTGCCCCCGCCGCCCCCGCCGCCCGCACGCAAAGGCTCCTACGTGTCGGCCTTCCGGCCGGTGGTCAAGGACACCGAGAGCATCGCTAAGCTCTACGGGAGCGCCCGGGAGGCGTACGGCGCGGGGCCTGCTCGGGGGCCGGGACCCGGCGCTGGGAGCGGCGGCTACGTGAGCCCGGACTTTCTGAGCGAGGGCAGCTCCAGCTACAATTCCGCCTCGCCCGACGTGGACACCGCGGACGAGCCCGAGGTGGACGTGGAATCCAACCGCTTCCCCGACGACGAGGACGCCCAAGAGGAGACCGAGCCCAGCGCACCCAGCGCAGGGGGCGGCCCAGACGGTGAACAGCCCACTGGACCCCCTTCCGCCACCTCCTCTGGCGCGGACGGTCCCGCAAACTCTCCCGACGGCGGCAGCCCCCGCCCCCGGCGCCGCCTCGGGCCACCCCCAGCTGGCCGGCCCGCATTTGGGGACTTGGCAGCCGAAGACTTGGTGCGGAGACCTGAGAGGAGCCCGCCAAGCGGCGGCGGCGGCTACGAGCTGCGAGAGCCTTGCGGGCCCCTAGGAGGCCCCGCGCCGGCCAAGGTGAGCCCCGCGCCCGCCCCGCCAGTGGCGCCTTCCCACCTACCCTGTGCGCGGCAGGGCTGCGGGGCCGGGCGGAGAACGGGAATTTTGTTCCGCGCAGGCGTGGGAGCAGCAGGCCTCGGCCACTCTCCGCAGGCCCAGCCTTGGGCGCGCTGCGAAACTGGGCCCACCCGCACCCTCCAGTGAGGGTTTCGAAGGGAAGGGAAGCTGGGGGCGGCGGGAGGACTGGGGAACTTGTGTGCTTTGTTTTTGTTGATGGGAATGGGGAGGAGACCGGCTGAGACTGCCAGACACAGAGACAGAAAAGGGGTGTGGAGAAAGAAAGAGGAGGTAAGAAAGGAACCCAGAGCCAGAGAAAAGCGCTCGCCCGGGTGGGCATCAGAGCCCCAAGGAAGAGGAGAAGAGAGGACAGTGTGGCCTCTCCCTGAGTCGGGCCCCAGCAGTACCGGGTCCCCGGAATCTCCCACCACCCCAACTCGCAGTTTTCCGAGTCTCTTCGCACTCCCGCCTTGGGAACCACAGGGTTCGTTGCTGGGAAGCTGTCTCGGGACCGCGTGCGGAGCGGGAGGGGGGCTCTCAAGCTGGCAGGGCCGGGGCTTGAGGGGCAGGATGCAGCCAGGCTGGAGTCGTTGGCCATTTTGAAAGTGAGTGCGCATACCTGTACATTCGGTTCATTAAAACACGAATCATTAACCGGATGCGAAAGGCGTCATTTATGCCGCGGACGGGGCACTGGCGGGAGGGAAAATGCCTAAAAGGAGGCGGGTGCAGAGGGTGGAGGACACTTTGAACGCCCCTCGGCTTGGGAGCCGCTTTGTGTTTAGAGTAATTTTCCCGAGGGCGCTAACAATTACCCTGAATCTACAAGGGGGCAAGGGTGCGCCGCGTGCGTCACTGTGCCCGCTCAAGTCCAGCGGGCGCACCAACCTTTGCCACTCCGTCGGCTTTCCCTCTTGGCCGCGGGGTAGGGCTGGGCGTCTTTGGGCCGCCGCAGGGCGCCACCCTAATCGCCTGTCATTTCTCGGCCGTCGCAGGTGTTCGCGCCCGAGAGGGATGAGCACGTGAAGAGCGCGGCGGTGGCGCTGGGGCCCGCGGCCTCCTACGTCTGCACCCCCGAGGCCCACGGTAACGCCTGTCGCGGCCGCTGGCCACTGTAATGGGGGAACCGCAGACAGAGGGCCGGGGTCAAGGAAGGCCTGCGAAGGAAGACAAGGAGAGAGACGCAGAGAAAGAGGGAGAGGGAAAGAAAAATAATGAAAACAAGGAAGCTAAGCTAGTACTCCCAACAACTTCCAATCTTTAGTTACTTAAAAACAACAGTGACAACGCCCTCTCCACCACACGCACACACATGCTGCAGTACACCCAGACACGGCGTTAAACCCTTAACAAAATCACGCCCGACACGGCCTTCAAATCCTCTCATTTATTCAGCAAGTGTGTTTGGCCGCGGGGTCCCCTTTGGCTAGGCCGGATCGGGGCGGAGGATGGGGGCACATGGCCGCGCGCTTGGGTACCCCAGAAGCGCCAGGGTAGCTGAGGCCCATCGCGGGGTGGTGGGGGCCGCCCTGCACTTGCGCGCCTTACCAGGTTCCTCACAGAGGAGGGGTTGGGGGCAGCGGAAAATCGGGCAGGTCGAGGCAGCCGAACCCCGGACGATGTCCCCCCACCCACCCCGAAGGTCGCAGCCTGGGCCGCGTTCTCAGCAGGAGTCGGGCGGACAGACCCGGCGGCCACGCGCGCTCGCGGTGCCCCAGTATCTGCGCGCGATGTAGGTCGCTCGTCCCTGGTGGGCTCGGCTGCTCGCCTAGCTCTTTTCCAAGGGGCTGGGGCGGGGGCCTGAAGCCCGGAGATGAGCAGACCAGGCGCGGGGGTGGGGGGTGCCCGGCCCAAAGCCTCAGGGCGCGCTCCTGGGCGCACAGCCGGGAACCAGAGGCGGCCACGACGCTTTTAATTAGGGCTGGGGCGCCCCGACCGCGGCAGCTCCGGCAGTATCCGGGTCACGGTTTCTTTGCCTCTCTTGAAATTCGGTTTGTTGCCTTCAAGAGCCAGATAAGGAAGACAATCACTCGCCCGCCGATGATTTGGAAACGAGGAAATCCTATCCAGACCAAAGGAGTATCTCCCAGCCAAGTCCTGCAAATACAGACAGAGGTGAGCCAGCCCTTGAACCCATCGCTCTCCACCGCACCCAGGAGCTGGGACCCAGGTCGCCCAGGTTCCCAGAGGCTTGCGAGAAAGGCTTTTAATCAAGTGTAAGCGGCTGCCAGTCTTCTTCCTCGGCGAGCAGATAAATATTTAACGCGAGCAGGGTGCAGGCCAGGTTTTCTGAATTGCTGCCTCCTTGGTGGGTTTGAGGTTCTTTCAGGTAAGGGCAGAGGATGTACTAAAAGGAAATGGAGGGACGTCCTCACCCACATAAAATAGGTCAAAGGGCATTTCCTGCCCTTAGATGGCCCATCTTCCCTGGGCCGTCTCCTCCAGGGGTCACTCTCCTACTCTCTACTGTAATGTCCTAGAAGGTGGATAGTACTGGATTCCTGTAACTGTCTCCTCTAAAGGCAGAAGGTCTAGGGTAGGTCCCTGATTCGATGTGGTTCCTGGGAAGCTCACCCCTCCCCTCTCAAGGGCTTTCCTAGGACAGAACCCCTCTTACCTGCCCCTGTATCCCAGGCGAAGATGGGCTTACCTTGGATGTCACAGGAACTCATTTGGTGGAGAAAGATATCGAGAACCTGGCCAGAGGTGAGGATAAATTTGTGAAAAAGGTGTACGCTGTGCTTGAGAGTGATGGGTCATTCCTGTAGAGGGGTGTTATCCCTGTAGGGGGTGAGTGTGGAAAAGACACTCACCAAGGCCTTGGGGGCATGAGTTTTCCTTTCTTTGGGTGGAAAGTAAGATCCTCTGGACACATTACCCTGGCACAGAGGTATGTATGTGTGGGTAGAGCATGGGAGTAAAACAAACCCCCAGAAGTTTATTGGAAGTTTGGGTTCCCAAGGCCCGGGTCTGTCTGAATAGCCTTGCCAGAAAGAGAAATGAGTAACAATGATCAGAATTTTTGATGCCTGTGGACAATCAGACAGGACAGTCTGGGTCCGCTGAATTCAATGGAAAACAGGATTTCAATGCAGGATTGCAGGAAAGCATTTATTTTAGGAATGTGAGAGGTGTTTTCCTTTCTCCTGGCATTGAGGTATAACCACCTCCACCTTACCCTAAATGGAGTGTGGATGGAGCTTGTTTGCAGAATGGGGATCCCTGTGTTACTGCTCAGCCTGTAAGGAGGAGACTATGGCTTGGGGTGCAGAGTAGGGGAGTCCCTAGCCCCACTTTGCCCTTCTACCTTCCATTCTTGCATTTCAGAGGAGCCTCTCCTGGAGGAGGGCCCAGATACCAATGACCTCATGGTCAGGGCAGTTGCCACATCTATCCCTCTGGAGTTGGTTCTGAGGGCACTAACAGAGGCCTCTACACCTAGCTCCCTGCCCCTCAACTAGCCCATAGATGGTCTTGGGAATTTGTGGCAGGAGGAAGACAAGCATTGGTGGTCTTCCATTCTTCCTAGTTACAGATTTACAGAAAATGCCATTACCTTCAAAATCACTGGTGCTTTATAGTGAGGGTTCTTAGCATGGATTTGGCAGTCTTCAGACCTCCTGAAATTGCAGGCAAACTGTTGTATGTGTATTTTTCTGGGAAAGGTGTCCAAGGCTCTGACCAAAGCCTCCCTGATTTATATTGAAAGGGCGGCGGTGCGGGGGGGGGAGGTCGGGGCCGGGGCGGGGGCGGGGTCTGTCACTTGAAGTGGGAAATCAAGTTTCCGTGGGCCAGCCTCTTAGGTTAGGGAGTGAGGAACAACTTAAAGCAGTTGCCCAGCTGCATAGTTCCTGGAGCCAGGGCCTAGATTCCACCGTCCTGAATTTATTCTCCTGGGCATCCTACCCACAGCCCAGTTTCTTCACCCAAATCCTTTGAATGCAGTTGGTAAAGCCAGAGAGCGGAGGGCCTCCACCTACTGGTCATCCTTCTCAACTCTCCTTTCAGGGTTGTTGGCCAAGGCAGAACCTGAGCTCCAAATAACCCTGCTTTACCTCCCACTTTACCTCCCACTTTTCCCCTTTCACAGAGGAATTGCAAAAACTGCTCCTGGAACAAATGGAGCTCCGCAAGAAGCTGGAACGGGAATTTCAGAGTCTCAAAGGTACCCACTGCCATCCTGCCTCACCCCACCTCATCACCGAGCCTTCCACCAGGGTGCCCCGACCTACTCCGAAAGCCGGGTGCCAGGCAACTGGTACTAGGTGCCCTGCAGGAGACAAGAAACTGTCCTTTTCCAGGGCTGCAGGCGAATGGCTGGGTGGGAGTTGGGGGTAGGGGTGAAAGGGGGGGCCAGGAGTGAGAAAGTGGAGCCGGGAGAGGGGGCTGTGCGTAACAGCTCTCACTTAATCAATTTGCACAGATAATTTTCAGGATCAAATGAAGAGGGAATTGGCTTATCGAGAAGAAATGGTGCAACAGCTGCAAATTGTCAGAGGTAAGACGGGAGTCAGGTGAGCTCGTGCACGGGCCGTAACTGCCTCTCGTCTGGCAGGAGCCGCAATGTTGGCTCAGTCATTTGGATTTAAATTGAAGGTAATTTAACAATTATTTTTTTATTTAATATGCTTTGTATACTCTGATTAGCCTCAGAATGGCAAGCGAGCCCAGCAAACGGCTTGCAGGCATCATTACATGGAGTGATTGAACTTCTTATCGCGGCAATTTCCATGGTTTCTAAATTAAAAATCGAGGCGTAAAATTACCTGGGAAGTAATGCCTAAGTTTGCTTTAATTTTGGTTAGATCCATCTGCCTTTAAGCGCCATCCCAGGCCATTTCCTTCCTCCGCCAGTCTGCAGTTAGGAGCTCCGGTACCCCCTCCCCCATCCCTGGAGTTGTTTCTGCGCGGAGCTTAGCCCTGGGGAGAGGAGGAAGCCCGGGCTGTGACCCCGGCCTTTCGGAGGGTGGTCTGCGTTTCCTCACTGGCCCCTCCCCTTGTCTTCCAGATACCCTGTGTAACGAACTCGACCAGGAGCGGAAGGCGCGCTATGCCATCCAGCAGAAATTGAAAGGTGCGGAAGCCGGGAAACAAAGATAGGAGGGGTGCTGGGTGCCGGCCGTGCTGTCGACTGAATGAATGAATAGTGGGACTAGTGAGGAAGGCCACGATCCACGTGGATCAGGATCTGTGAGGGAGAAAAGTGGGAACTGATTTTAACGGGAAGATTATTCTAGGATGGTGGGGGTAAAAAGAAAGAGCCCCTTGGGCTTTGGACGTCAGAAAAATCTGCCTTCTATTACCAATTCTGGCTTTGAGCAGGTTGACTCCTCTCTTACTGTGCCTCAGTTTCCTTTTCTGTAAAATGGGGCTACTGAACCAGAGCAGTGGTTCTGAATCACCAGCTTTTGTCCTACCCTCCTGCCTCCTCCTGATCCGCTCGGTTGAGATTCCCTGACCCCAAAGGGTTGGTAAGGCCGGGGAGGGGAAAGGGTGGACTGCGCGGTGAGGTGAGCCTGGAGAGGCGCCCAGAGTGACCCTCGCGACTGTCTCCCCAGAAGCCCACGACGCCCTGCACCATTTCTCCTGCAAGATGCTGACGCCCCGCCACTGCACTGGCAACTGCTCCTTCAAGCCACCGCTGTTGCCCTAGGGCCGGCCTGGCCGCACCCCTGCGCCCTCAAGCCATGCTGCTCCTTGTAAATACCCGCTGCTGCGGTGGCCCTGAGCGAGGAACAAGCCATTCGGACCCGACCGATGTAAATACAGCCGCCCGTCCGCCCGCCTTCCTCCCGGGCTCCCCGGCCTTGCCCGCCCCCTCCCGGGCGTCCCTGTCCAGGGCCCCGGCTTGGTTTCCAAGTGTAAATACCGCCTCGCGCCTCAAATCCCCCTACCCCGTGTGAACTCTAGGGCATCGGACCTCAAGGGGTTAACTGGACAGACGGGGGGCGGGAGGGGAGAGCGCCCCCTCCCATTGTATAGCCTTGAACCCGATTGTGAATACAATGTAGCAACTTCGCTGGCGCCTGCCCCGCACTCCCCGTCCCGTCCACTTCTGAAACTCCTGTTCCTAATGACAAAGTGGCTATGTGCAATGGATATAAATGTACTGTGAGTCTCTCGGTTCAGTATTAGGTTCACTTTAATTTATTTATGCTGTAAGTTATTTTTGCTTCCTTCTCCTGGACCCACTTCCAGTCCCGTTTTGCATTCCCCTTTGGATTTTGCTTTGGCTATTTTTTGTTGTAACCTCTTGATGTAACAGCACTTTAAAAGGGCGACAACTGACTCACGAGATGGCAACCACCTGGAGCCTGTTTGGGGAGACCACCCTGTACCCGTGACTTTCGTTTTTAATAATAATAATAATAATAATAAAAGATGTCACTTCTGGGGCTACGGAGGTGGGAGTGCACCGGCGGAGCGGGGCGGCGGAACACCGTGCAACAGGTGGGGGTGGGAGCCGCCCCGCGGGTTCTGGGGCTCCCAGGGTCAGAATCGGGCCTGCTCAAGTGGGCAGCAGCGAGCACTCAACCTCTCCACTGTGCCCTCCAGACACACTCAGTTTTCCCCCACAGGGCACTCCCTCTCCGCGTTTAGGACCCTCCCTTGGGCCCGGAATGGAGGAGGGGCATTACGTCACGGTCCTTAGCGCAGCGGTCCCGGGCTCTTTCCTCAAGAGCTCGAAGGCGCCGAGGGTTCATCCATGCCCATTTCCACGCCTGCCACACCGGGGAAGTTACCTCCGGGGCGCTCACAGACAGGGCGCCCTGCCGGGAATCCCAGGTTCAACCAGAATTGTCCCTTTAGATGGCGCGGGCACCGCCGGCCTGGCCTGGCCTGGGAGCGCTGCGGCAGGGCGGAGGTCTCAGGGAGTAAGGTGGTCTCCGCCGGGCAGGCTTGGAAAGGAAGGCGGGACTTGGAGAGCTCGGTCACAGACGGCCTCCCGTCTGCCCCGCCGCTACCCGAAAGGAGGGAGCCCCGTCCGCATTTTCTGTTCGGTCCATTTTAGTTCGAGAGGGGCTAAGGACTCGCCGGGCCTCGGCTGGGGCGTCCGACGTCCGGGTCACGGTTGGCAAGGCCTCCCAGCGGCCTCAGTTTCCACAGCGCACCTCCTGCTTGGGCTACAGACGACGCTGCAAATTGCAGAACACTCTTTGCAGGGAGGAGAGTGTGGATGGAGTGGGAGAGAGCTCACGGCACAGGGAATCATTCAGCCTTGGCTTTCATTTCTCGCCCTCGGCTGGCTAGTGGGGGTCCCGGGTTGAGCCCTTCTTTTATCTTTCCTGGGTCTCCGTTTCGGCCTCTATGAAATAACACGCAGGCCTCCGTCCATGCGGCTCGTAGAAGGCGGGCGGCAGGCCCCGCGCCACCGGCCAGCAGCTCGGGACCGGGAGCCCTGGGCTGAGGGGGCCGGGAAGTTTCGTGGCGGGTTGTCTTGGTGGGCCTTGGACGGAGCCGGCTAGTAGGGGCGTGCTCTGGGCCTCCCCGAAGCTGTGCAGACGAGGAGTCCCGCTGCGCGGTACAGCCAGGAAGCCAGTCCCTAGAGTCCTTTGCGCTGGGGGTCGGAGCCTTGGAGTCCCAGGATGTTCCGACGGCTAAGACCAGAGCGGACACAAAGGAGATAACAATGAAGAGGGCGCCGGCAAATGGCGAAGCATCGCCTCCGGACAGGCCATCTCCGGGCAGGGCCCCTCTAGGGAGCGGGAACGTTTCATATGCATGGGACCCACCAGATCCGCTTTCCGCTGGACCGGTGGCGAAACTGAGGTCCAGAGAGGAAGAGACTGGAGTCTCCAGGCCGCGCCAGGGCCCGCGGAACTGCGACGGGGCGGGACAGCGCGGGTGTGGGAGTTTGCCGGCCCCTTTCCCCACCGCGGATTGCACCTTTGGAAGCTGCACTTTTCTTCTCTGTAAAATGGGCATCACCATTACCACCCAGGCAGGAAGTTCCGTGGCTGCGGCTCGACAGAGGAGCCAGGCAAATGCTCCTTCCCACCCTTCCTTCCCAACTCCCCCCAAAGTGGAAAAGCTCCTAGGCAGCTGGGGCCCTCCGGAAGGGACGCCCCATCTGGGCAGGAATCTCTGCGGACTGGAGTCGTAGGCGGATCCGACCCAGAAAGCTCAGTCGCAAAAACCCTCCCGGGCTTCGCGTCCCTTCAGAAGTGGTTTGTTCCCCCCAAAAATGTTAATAACCAAACGATTGGTATGGATGTAATTATCAATAATTATACTAATTATTGCTGATTGCGGGGCTCGTAGCTACTTTAATTAGTTTACCAGATTCTAATTAAGTTAAATGAAACATTAATAGGGAAAATATGCTTTGAAAAAAAAAACCCAGGATTTAAAAAAAGTCTATTTCTCGCCACAATGTTGCCACCTTGCGACAGATTTTAAGCATTACAGCCAACGCCCGAAGGCCCAGACCAGGGTGCCTGGGGTCCCAGGGAGAAAAAGTGGGGCCTGGAAGTTGGAGGAGGCAGTTGAACACAGAATATCCTGTGGGCTGTTCTCCTGGAGTGTTTGGTTTGGCCTGGTCCCCAGCGGTGCCTACAGGAGGTCTGGCTCTGGAGTCCCAGGTCTGGGGTAAGGGACAAGAGTGAACGGAAGCCGGGGCCCCTCTTGGGATCCGCAGTGGGAAGATGATCTCTATCCCCACCTGTTCTGGCAAATCCAGAGTGAGAGACTGAGCAAAGTTGGAGCCGCCGTTGGAGACAGCATCAAGTGGGTTTATTTTTCACCCCCACGGGAGAAAGCAGTAAGTCCCTTCCCATCTCCATTTCCTCTGCAAATCAGGGTAACCTGTGTGCAAAAGCACCACTTAGAAGACCCCTTAACTCCTGGAGCACAGGTGACTCTGTGTTCTAGTGGCACTCGGTTCATGAGGCTAGCAGGGCACTCACCTCCCTTTGTTATTCTTGGTTGTAAGTGTCTGTTGCCCTAAGACTGAAAGTAAGTCCACAGCAGGGGTCACACCTTGCTTTTCCTTGCAATCTTCAACACAGGGCCCAGGGCTCCACAGGCACACAACACATGTGTAGATGAAAGGCTTCCAACTTTGCGGTTCATCTAGGTGCTGAAAATGTCTGAGGGAAGGAATCCCTAGGTGCTTCTGGACAACAGCCACTGATAAGCAATTAAGCTCATTTGCATAAGGTTAATTAAACACAGGTTTACTGCTCAGAAAGAAGATCCTTCATCAATAGGATTCGTTTTGGGAGCAGGTATCAGGTAAGTGATTGTTAACCTAGAAAAGGAAAACTTTGTTCCTGTTCCAACTGTGTCCTAAAGGGGGTATTCCTTCACTCCGTCATACTTTTCCAGGTCACTGGCACACAGGTCCACCCATTCGTAGCTACCCTGCTCTAAAGCCTTGATCCGTTGCAAACATGTGACTCCTGCCTTGAATTCAGAACACCAACAAAAGCAGAACTGGATCTGCATGCTCTTCCCATGAATTCTAAACAGCCTCATCTCCTCTCTCCATCCTCAGATGCTTGGCTAAGAGCACAAACTCTGGAGCCAGATTTACTGAGGTCTCAATGCTGCCCTGTCATTGATGAGTGACATTGGGCAAGTTGTTGAATCTCTCTGTGCCTTAGCTTCCTCATCTATAACATAGGGAGATTAACAGTACCTACTTCATAGAACTGTTTTCTGTTAATATATGTAAAGCACTGAGAACAGCTCCTGGCATACAAGAAGTGCTATTGTATTGGTGTTTGCAAAGATTACAACTCCCTCTGAATTCACTTTCCTGAGACTCAAGCCAGGAATGCTTTTAGAGTCCCAAAATGTACCCCAGTCCATCACCCTCCTCTCCTCCAGGGGCCCAGAAAGGGGGCCCAGAAAGGAGGACAAACCGGTGCTTTTTCAAGCCTGGACTATTGAGCTTTCTGAAGACACATTCATAAGAATCTACAAGCACAGAGGTTGGAAGGGCATCCTGCAACGCCAATGCATGGACTATTGAGTTTCTGGAGACACATTCATAAGAATCTAGAAGCACAGAGGTTGGAAGGGCATCCTGCAACGCCAATGCATTGACTCTATGTGTCCAAAGAGGCGAAGACTTGCCCAAGTTCCCTCAGCAGGTTAGTGCAGAGGAAAGGAAGTCAGCCAGGTCTCTGGATTTTCTGGGGCTAGGAACTGCCTGTCTTTTTCCTAATTTCTGTTCTAATCTTTTCTTTTCTTTTAAGTAGCGACAGGGCTTCACCTTGTTGGCCAGACTGGTCTCGAACCCCTGACCTCGGTATCCTCCCAGCTCAGCCTCCCAAAGTACTAGGATTACAGGCGTGAGCCACTGCGCCCGACCAGTTTCTTTAGAACAATCTCAACAGTCCTTTTTGGGCCAAGTCCTTCACTCTTGGATTCTATTTTACTCCCCATAACACCCCCTTCCACATACGTAGACTAATAATATTCCAGTCTGATGGGTTGTCTGTGCTGAAAGAGAGGGAGCCACATCGACATTGGTCGTTTTCTTATTTGGCATCCCAAGGGAGACATTTAAAACTACTCACCCAATTGCCCAAGTGGCCTCCAAAGAACCAGATATCTCTAGGGGAAGAACAGAAATCCAGCCAACAAAGATTGTCCTCTAACGCCTTACATCGAAGGCCCAGAGCCAAGGAAGAGGCGGAGATGTCCCGCAGTCCCCTATGCTCGGCTGTTACCTGGAAAGGATCATTTCACTTCCACTGAAGAGAAAAGGAATGAGTCCTGAATGGAATGCTGCCCGGCAGCTCCCAGCGCCCGCTGGTAGAGTACCCGCCGCTGTCCCTGGGTGGCTCCGGGGCTTCGAGCCTAACAGTCCTCCTGCGGCGCGCCTGGAGGCTGGGAGCTGTGCGGCCGCTCCCGGCAGATCGACTGAGGTCCCAGTGGCCGCAGGGCCCACGTGCATGCTGAAGCACTAGCAAAGCAGTTGCACCATTTTTCTGTTGGAAAGATATTTCAGAAAACATTGCCTAAGTCATCGCAGGAAATCTGAACGTGGTTGGACTTTGTTTCCTCTTTGTCTTACCACTCGGGACTGTGTTTTTGTAACTCAATTACCTGAGACCTGGGTCCCGATCTTTTCAGGGTCTGTGCCTCTGTAAGTCTTATCAGGCTTTACCTCTCAGTGATTGGTGTAAAATGATGACAGTAAAACAGTAAAACCCACAGGGTGGGGCTGTCAGGAATTTTTTAAACATTATTTTATTTTTCTGCCCCCTCCCCCTTTTCTTTTTTTCTTTTATTATTTATTTATTTGGTCTGGAATATTTCAATGAAATATTGGTGAAGCCCTTGACATATGGTAGATACTCATTAAGTGGTGGCTTTTTTTTTTTTTTTGATTCAAAGGATTCTGTCACTCTTATTGCAAGTTCCTCATACGTTTATCGTTGCACTAGTTCCTGTTATGTTTCGGAGCTGAAATGGATCAACTTTGGCAAGACGAAATTTCCTTAAGTGTAAGGTACTGCAATACTCAGGATTGTGCAGAGGGAAGCAGAGGCAAGATGGGAAAGATCGCAAACTAGGGCCCGAGGGCCAGAGGCAAAATGCACCGCAGAGATGAATCTGCCTAGGCCCCACCTCCTTCTATTCCGTCTCCTAGGACTACTACATTTTATTTGTGTTAAAAGATATCACCTGTAGATGAAAGGTGTTTTCAGTGGTAAACCGTGCACCGGCGTATAAACGTGGTGTAAAAAAAAAACCAAACAGAAAAACAACCTGATGTAAAAACAGAAAAACAACCTGATGTAAAAATATGGAACGCTTCACGAATTTGCGTGTCATCCTTGCGCAGGGGCCATGCTAATCTTCTCTGTATCGTTCCAATTTTAGTATATGTGCTGCCGAAGCGAGCACGGTGTTTCGTCCTTTCCACAAGATATATAAAGCCAAGAAATCGAAATACTTTCAAGTTACGGTAAGCATATGATAGTCCATTTTAAAACATAATTTTAAAACTGCAAACTACCCAAGAAATTATTACTTTCTACGTCACGTATTTTGTACTAATATCTTTGTGTTTACAGTCAAATTAATTCTAATTATCTCTCTAACAGCCTTGTATCGTATATGCAAATATGAAGGAATCATGGGAAATAGGCCCTCTTCCTGCCCGACCTTGGCGCGCGCTCGGCGCGCGGTCACGCTCCGTCACGTGGTGCGTTTTGCCTGCGCGTCTTTCCACTGGGGCCGGGGCGGCGCGGAGGGTTCAGACGCGGGCTCTTACTCAAACGCTGATCCCCGAAACTACCGAGCAGTGTCTGCGCGACGCGAAAGCATTTTTGGAGCGAGGGGCCATGGTGCCCATGGGATTCCCACGGGTGTTGGACTCGGGACCCCGAAAAGGTTGCGAGTCGCTGGTTGGACCCTTCCCTGCGCGGGGACCCGAGAGACGTGACCCTAGCGAGGCCTGGGGCCACCCACTGTGGGCTGGAAGGGGCCGACAGGGGTTGCGGCGGGGGATCGTGGGGAGGGTTGGCCAGGGCGCGCCTTCAGCTTCCCCTCGGCTTCTCGGAACTAGCTCTCTGCATTCGGAGCCAAGGCGATGAGGGTGTCTGCTTTGGGACGCAAACTTCCAGTAGTGGTGGAAGTCTGGGAAGGGTCACCACCGTTTGAGCCAACATTTAGAAAGAGCCAGGCGCTTAACCTAAATGGTATCATTTCCCCCATTTTGCAGTTTAGCAAACAGGCTCTGGGAGGTTAAACCATCTGCTCCAGTGATCCTGCCACTGGTTAAAGTAGTTGGGATTTGGATGCGAGTCTGGTTTCAAAGACTTTTTTTTTTTTTTTTTTTTTTTTTTTTTACGCAGTGGAGTTTGGAAAAGATTTGAGACCACAAGTGCAGCCTCCGCTTTCCTTGTTAGAGTTACTCCAGAAGCCCTGACCAGCTCAGACTTTCCTTCCTACTTCCATTCCTTCAACAAATATTGAACATCTGTGGTGTCAGCACCCGGGCTTCAGGGATGCGTGAGTGGGCAGGGTTGCTATGGTCATGGAGCTCGGTTCCAGCAGGGGAGCCAGGCAGACATGAAAGAGCCCTCTGGATGCCGAGACGTGTGCTGTGAAAGTGTGGCATAGAAAGTGCCTGGGGGATGATGGCCACTTCAGTGGGGCAAGAGAGAAGGTGACATTGGAGCTGTCATTGATGATAACGGCGGCAGCGCTGAGGGGACGGGGACCGAGATCCAGGCAGAGGACCTTGCAACCACCTGACTCAGTGTCACCCATCTGGGCCAGCCCTTCCCGGGAGACCACTGTGGTGGTAGTTGCTGCTCCCAGCAGTGCTGTGGCTCAGTACTGAGAGAGGGGAGGGACCTGGGGAGCCACTGCCAGGGAGTTCGGGCTTTGGAGGCTTGAGTTCTCCCCACTCGGTACGCCTCTTAAGTGAAATGGAAGTCATTTGACTAGCTTCTCATCTGACCTTACTAAATAAGCAGTAGGCAAACGCAAACCTCAGAATGCTAATATGGCCTTTACTGAGTGAAAAGAGCTAATTTGGACAATGATGTTTACCTCAGATTTACAAAAGAGAATTGCAAATAACCAAAAAGCACATTAACATGGATGGGAGATGATGCTAATCTTCAATTAGCATCCACATTTTTATTCATTTATTTAGAACAGGTAGGGCTGGTGGTTTCATAAATGCCTTATTGTGGAAACTAGCATGAGATACACCTAGTTATTGGTTCAACATTTCTGGCTACATGAGCATGTGTTACTTTGAGCCAGAGGTAGATTTTTTGTTGTTGTTTGTTTTTTTGAGATGGAGTCTCGATCTGTCACCCAGGCTGGAGTGCAGTGGTGCAATCTCAGCTCACTGCAACCTCTGCCTCCTGGGTTCAAGCAATTCTCCTGCCTCAGCCACCATGCCAGGCTAATTTTTGTATTTTCAGTAGAGACGGGGTTTCACCATGTTAGCCAGGCTGGTCTGGAACTCCTGACCTCAGGTGATCCACCCACCTTGGCTTCCCAAAGTGCTGGGATTACAGGCGTGAGCCACCATGTCTGGACTCTTTTTTTTTGAGATGGAGTCTCACTTTGTCACCCAGGCTGGAGTGCGGTGGTGTGATCTTGGCTCACTGCAATCTCTGCTTCCTGGGTTCAAGAGATTCTCCTGCCTCCACCTCCCAAGTAGCTGGGACTACAGGCTCACTATCATGCTGGGCTAATTTTTTTTTTTTTTTTTTTTTTTGAGTCAGAGTCTCGCTCTCTTCAGCAGGCTGGAGTGCAGTGGCATCATCTTGGCTCACTGCAACCCCTCCTCCCAGGTTCAAGCGATTCCCCTGCCTCAGACTCCTGAGTAGCTGGAACTACAGGTGTGTGCCATCACCCCCGGCTAATATCTGTGTTTTCAGTAGAGACAGGGTTTCGCCATGTTGGCTAGGCTGGTCTCAAACTCCTGACCTCAAGTGATCTGCCTGCCTCAGCCTTCCAAAGTGCTGGGATTAAAGGCGTGAGCCACCGCGCCCCGCCAATTTTTTGTCTGTTTTTTCTTGTCGAGCAATTTTGCAGAGGAGAAAGATCTGAGTTCTAGTTCTCATTCCACCTGGAACTGTTTGTGACCTTGGCCTGCTCCCTGTACCTCTCTGTCTCTGGTTCTGTTTTAGCTTCTGCAAAGTGAGGAAACTACCCTAGAGATGATCCTTGACATTTTTCAGCATTGAAATGCTGGCATTCTTGCAGCTGGATAACTGAAGGACGTTTTTGGATAATTGTAATTTTCTGATATTCTGCATTCTCCCAGTACCATGAAAAAAAATAATAATTAGCAAGATGTAAAAATTCAAGAGGGTTTTTGTTTTCTCTTTGAGAAGGGCGAAGCAAACTGGTCATCCTGGAGCCATGGAGGGCCCCAGGATCAGCCCCCAGGGGCGGCTGTGGATCTAGGGCCTGGGACCTGCTGAACCGTATCACAACATGCCTCTGAGCTCCAAAGGCCAGTACAGACGAAGCGGGAGGCTGGTGAAGGGGAGGGGATACATTGAATGTAGCATGGAGGTGGAGGAGAGGAGGAAGCATGGAGGGGCTCAGGGAGGGGAGAGCCGAGTGGACCATGACTTCATGGGAAGTCCCAAGCCCCCACAGGCCTTGAGGGAATAGGCATTGCAGGCGAGGAGAGTGTGGGTGCCAGAGAGGACTGGACTGGTGGGCAGGCTTGGAGTTGCAGTGGGAGCCGGCTCCTGCCGCCTTCAGAGTTGTTGGCTTCTCTTCACTCTGCAGTCCTGAAAAGAACTGAGTCCTGGCAGTCTTCCCTGAATGTTCTGGACTACAGAACCCCAAGAGATGAGGAGTGGTCCCCCTATCCTGTTTGAGGTGGTACTTCCCACTACCTGAGTAGGAGAGAGCAGAGCCAACTTTATTTCGAACAATTAAGAAATGGGCTGTTTCATATGGAAAAAATGTCAGTGAAGACATGAACTCTTAGCATTCTCTAAAATTATGTAGTGTTTCTCTTACAGCCAGAGAGCATTGCATGTTTTCGTGTATCATTTTATTTGAAGCAGGAAGGGCTGGGGACTCCCAGCAGCCCCACCGGAGGGAAGGAGGGAGGAAGGAGCGGGGATGTGGAGAGAGGCCCCTGTGACCTTGTTTATGTGCAGGCCTGGGAGGAATGGCATTAGTGGTTTCAGGAGGTGTTGCCCTGGGACTGTAGCACAGGGACAATGCGCTGAGTTCACATGCCTGACCCTGAAGCTCCAAAGGCCTCAGACACAGAGCATGGCCAGAGCAGGGTTGGAGGAGGCCTGAGTGTGGGGGAGGACCCACTCCCCCAGGCTGCCAGAAATTCCTGTGAGCTGCTTATGCTCTGAGTTAAGCCTTGTTCTTATAACATCTCTTTTGAAGTGCACTCTGTCACCTAATTCACCTCAATGTGAATGAGTTTTTCCAAAGTTAAGCTGAAGGGGGGTGGAGTAGGCAAATCGGTCTGTGTGCCCACAGCTCAGAGGGTGGCCTGGGGGAAGAGACAGGGTCAGCTGTGGCCAGCTGACCTCTCAGAGGGAGTTTCTTTCAAGACTTGTAAGCCTGGTGTGCCCAGAGCCCTTGCTCTGCTGGGGTGGCCCCTGGTGTGTTGAGATCAGTTCTAATCCATCCCAGATGCCGGGCCTCAGTGGAGCCCTCTGGTCCCGCCCCTCCCCCTGCATAGCCCAGGCTGCCCCTTTTACTCTCCCCCAGATCTCATATTTGTGCCCAGAATGTCTTAAAAGATCTGTTTCCTCACCTGTGGGATGGTGATTGTGCTGCCTGCTTTGCAGGGTCATTTGAAGGTTAAATGCAGGATTGGGTGTGAAAGGCCCTAGCACATTGGATGAGCTGATTGATGCCAAGTGTTTACAATAGTCCTGGGCTATTCTAATGCTCAATACATAACCACTTACTTATTCTTCTTTTCCTTCGTCTTGCAACTATCTGCATGAAATAAACTTTCTTTAAGGTAAAAATAGCAGGGTAGGGAGGAGTCCCTAAGTTTTGCTCCTTTTAGCCACGACGGGGAGTATTTTTGCCCAGATGTCTTTAATCCTTTGGATTTGAGTTTCCAAAGGCCCTGGTTAAGATGCAGTTATGTTTTGAGACGGGACACTACATAGACTCAGTAATACCTGTTTACGTAGCTTAGTACGATTCCTTGCCCTTTAAGACCAACACAGGGTCTTCTGGCATCCTATTTCATGTGAGTATCTCTGAGACATAAGCATGGGGGTGCAGGGGTAGTGCTGGTTATTATTCCTCTTTTACTGATAGGGAAAGGCGAGGCCTACAGAGGTTAGGTGACCTATCTAAGGACACAGCTAGTTAGTGACGGTCCTGGAATTTGCTCTCGGATCTCTCTGACTCCGAGGGCTCACTTTACACCTACATGTAATATGGGAGTACAGTTTGAGGGGTTCTGGAGTGCTTTCTCCAAATAATCTCTTACTGCTCTTACTCTTGCCTTAAATCCTGCCACTGATGCGTCATTATTTTGAGCTGTTGCTGTATCGAGGGTTCACTGTAATTTATTTCATCAAGACCTTTTTTTCTGGCAGTCCCAGGATGGCCTAAGGGCATAAGGCGCTTAGGTTTAGGGTGTGGAGGACTTGCTCAGAAAGAAGGTGCAAAAAGAGGAATTGCCAAGTCTGAGCATGGGGTCTGCCAGCTTCTCTCTAGCTCTCAGTTTCCCTGTATGGGATTGCAAGGATGGGAGGAAAAGTGTCACACCTCCTCCAAATCCTGGCTGCCCTGGAGTCCAGACATCGCTCCCTGCCAAGGCTACAGTGACTGCAGCAGTGGTACAGGGGAAGACTGCAATGGCTTTCAGCCAAGAAGGTCCATATTTATGTCTCATCAACTGTGACTAGGTGGGTCACCAGTCTCTTCCAGTTGCTGACCCTGTTTTCTCGTCTCTAAAATGGAAGTGATGATTTTTCTACTTACCACACAGGGTTGTGAGGCTCCATTGAAATGCCACTGTAAATTGCTATACAACAAAAGACAGGAATATCAGTATTGTCAGACACCCATTGGAGCCTCAGGCAGCTCAGCATTCCCCTTACCTGGTGAGTGAGGCATTTGTGCATTAGGAACAGACCTACAAAATCAGAGCACCAAAATGAAACATCACACTGTATTAATATTTTCACACCACTTAGCTCTCATTAAAATGTACTTTGCTGAATTTAATATGTGATTTCAAATGACACAACATATTAAGTGCTTAATATACTAGAAATTATGAAACTATTATAGTTGATGCCATATGAAATAATTACACTGAATTAAACTTTAGCAGCCAAGTGAAGGAAAGACTTCAACTTAAAACGTCTTAAAGAAGCTTAAGCCACCACTGTAATCCCCAAAATAAATGTCCAGAAATTAGGATCTTTAAATAAAAACTGGAACTTAATCTGTACTTACACCGGGAAGCTCTTCTGGGCTTTGGTGATGTGCAGCATTGTTCCCTTGGGGAGGTGAGGGGCCCTGGGACCCACTGCAGGCCAGGGTGTTGGGATCAGGGCTTCAGTGGGCTCGCTCCATGGGCCTGGCTGGGGGTTGGCTCAAATGGCCTGGAGTAAAGCCTTCTACCGAAGTGACAGATTAGTCTTTGCTCGAGATTAGCCTATTGACAAGTTAAAAATAAAAACAAACCCACCTTATGGAACATCTATTCAGTGCTTCCTTTGTGCCAGCCATTTTATATGCATTTCCTCATTTAATCCTCACAATACATCTGTTTTAAGAGCCACTGTTTTTCAGATGAGGAAACAGGCTCAGAAAGATTAAATGAATAATCCAGGGCCTTAAATCAGAATCCATAGTGTTCACCCCTGCATCAGATTGCCTTTCTCTAAACTCTTCAACCTCCTCATTAGTGTATGTGTATGCATGCATGTATGTACTACCTCCTATTTTAATAATGATTCAGTGACTGATATGGTTTGGCTGTGTCTCCACCCAAAATCTCATCTTGAATTGTAGTCCCCATAATCCTCACGTGTCAAGAGAGAGACCAGGTGGAGGTAATTGAATCATGGGGGCAGTTTTCTCCATGCTGTTCTTGTGATAGTGAGTGAGTTCTCACGGGATCTGATGGCTTTATAAGTGTTTGGTAGTTTCTCCTGCATTCATTCTCCTTACTGCCGCCTTGTGAAGAAGGCGCTTGCTTCCCCTTTGCCTTCCACCATGATTGTAAGTTTCCTGAGGCCTCCCCAGCCATGCAGAACTGTGAGTCAATTAAACCTCTTTATAAATTACCTAATCTCGGGCAGTTCTTTATAGCAATGTGAAAATGGACTAACACAGTGACCAAACACATTAGCCTGCTATATGACAGTGACATTACCTATATCTTTATCTCATTCCAGTCATGGAGACTAGGGACCATGGCTTGAGAGTTTCACCTTAAACTGTCTCGATACACTCAGTCTGGCTAACTTAGACAGGAAGAGCTCTGTGGATACTTGCTGTTAATTCAATTAAAGAAAAATGAATTCATTACCTCCTCAGTATCCTGACATATTACCTTTGTGTGCTTGCTTAAATAAGATATCCTCTTATAAAGAGCAAGGATACTTTCTATCATAGGGAATACCAGTGTCTTAGCTACTTAAGGCCCTATGTCTCAATTACTTATATCACATGAAAATACCCAATGGGCTGTTTGAAAAATATAAATTTTAGTGTGGACATTTAAATGTATTATCATTTACTGACCAGCAAAAATGATTTTCATAGAGACAGGAAAATTTGGCTCAACCAAACACATGTTTGTAATGAACTGAAAACATGTATTTCTCGTTAAGAGTCAAGATTAGGCTCTGTTTTGTATCATAGAAAAGCAAATAACAGTGGCTTTAAGATGATAGAGGTTTATTTCTCTTTCACATGAAACAAGTTGTCTTTTAAGGACTTGTCTGGTAGCTCCATTGTGGCAGACAGCCAGGCTCGTTTATCCTTTAGGGCCACAATTCATGGTCCAAGATGCTTGCTAGAGCTCCAAGTTCCAAGCAGGAAAGGCAAGGGGGAGGCCATTACTGCCCCGAGTAAAATCCATAACTCAGCATACCACCTAACACTCAGGAGCACTCAGTACATGGTACTCTTGGCTGTTGCTCATCTTCCGTTCTGCACAACAACAAGAAGGAGGAAGGGAAGTCGTATTTACTAATACCATACAGGGTTCTCAGGACCATGCTGGACATTTACACATGATTGCATTCAACTTTCATAATCCAGTGAGGGTGGTGTAGCAGCAGGTTAAGTAGGAAGTGAGGCTGTATCCACATGTGGAGGTAGGAAATTGGAGGGGAAGGGTGGAATGTTTCCATAAGAAGCCGAAGGGCTTTCAAGAAGGAAGGGATGAAGCCTCCAACACTTGCTCTCTGAGATTCAAGTTAATACACATTTTCAGTGTGGATCAAATGGTCCTGACGAAGGTGCAGTGGCAGGAAAGTGTTAATTATGCTCTTAGAATAAAATTGCCATGAGCATAGAAAGTGAAGAGATTAACAAATTTTAAAAAGACATTAGAAAAGCTAGCAAAAGACTTGAACAGGTGCATCGCAAATTAGGAGCTCCAAATGGTGAATGTGAAAATGTCCTCAACATCTTTAATCATCAGGGGAATACAAAACCACCTCACAATTAACACTGAGAAGTCTGATAATGCTGTTAACTAAAAACTCAATCAATATATAAATTTGGAAAGGAGAGCTTTGTTTCTTATAAAGGGTTATAGCCAGCAAGGTGGCCATTCTGACAGGCTGGGAAGTGTTAGCCTTGGTCGAAGCCCAGAAACACACTTCAAGGGAGAGAGGGAAGGGTAAGACAGGAATTTAAGCTGAATGGTTGGCCAAGTATAGGTATTCAACAGGATACAGGAGGAGCTATGAATATTCATGGAGGTGGTCCTAATACATGCATACTTGAATAAACATGCATATTACATATGACCCATGTTCTCTTTGCAGTGGAGACTTTTAAATGTAACATTTAAATGTAGTACAGTTAGGTTCTATATGTCAAAAGGTCTTTTCAGGACACAAAGGCACTCAAGTGTGCAGTCTCTGTAAACCAGCCAGACCAGTCCATGGTTGGTGGTCTTCTCATCAGGAGAAAGTTAACTGAAATAACTCTTGTCCAATCAAAGCTGTAGTTATGTCTTGTGGAACAGGGGGTCAGTTAGGTAGCATCTGGCGATGGATTGAGTTGCAGATTATTTAATATGGCTTATTTCAAGGCCAGTGCTTGTTTAGCTGCTGGAGAAAAAGAAAAACATTGTGGCAGTTGGAACAGAGTTAATTTTTTAAGTGTAGGGGAGCGTAGTGACTTAACCCTTGCATTGCATGGCCTTAGGTGTTGTTTATAGTTTGATATAGTCATAAAGAGTCCATTCTATCAGTCTTATTATCTCTATTTTAACATTAAAGCTGATCAGTTGGGCTGGATGCAGTGGCTCACACTTGTAATCCCAGCACTTTGGGAGGCTGAGGTGAGAGGATCACTTGAGCCCAGGACTTGGAGGCTGCAAGGGAATTATGGTCATGCAACTTCACTCCAGACTGGGTGACAGAGTAAGACCCTGTCTCTAAAAAATAAATAAATAAATACAATGCTGCTCAGTTATTGTGTCCAGATTGCAATATGACCTCTTGTCTCGTCATGACCAGGAACTCAGTTTTTAAGTCCTGTTGGCCAAGAGTGGGGGCTCCATTCAGTCAGTTGGGGGGCTTAGAATTTTATTTTTAGTTTACAATGCCAAGTGCTGATGAGGAAGTAGAGCAACCAAGATATGAGAATATATGTCTGGGGAGTGGGGAGATTGGTGCAACCACTTTGGAAAATGGCATACTCCTAAAATTGAAGATAAGTATACCTTATGACTCAGTTGTTCCTTTCTAGTTACATGCCCTAGAGAAACTCATGCATATGAGCACCAAGTTACAGGTAAAAGAATGTTCAAGGTAGCATTGTCTGTAATGGTCCCAAACTGGAAACAACTCAAGTGCCCATCAACAGAAGAATGGATATCCACACTGTGGTATATTCATGCAATAGAATACTATGCAGTCATGAAAATGAATCAACTACAGTTATTAGGTTGGCGCAGAAGAAATTGTGTTTTTTTGCCATTGAAAGTAATGGCAAGAACCACAATTACTTTTGCACCAACCAATACCTCCAGTGTTAGGGGCTGAATTATATCCCCCACTTCTACCTCCAAATTTGTATGTTGAAATCCCAACCCCTAGTACTGTAAAGTGTGACCATATTTGGAGATTGGGTCTTTAAAGGGGTAATTAAATTAAAATGAGGTTATTGGATGGACCCTAATCCAATATGGCTGATGTCCTTATTAGAAGAGGAAATCTGGACACAGACATGCACAGAGAAAAGGCCATGTAAAAACAGAGAAAATGTAGCTGTTGACAAGCCAAGGAGAGGACCTTAGGGGAAACCAACCCTGCCAACACCTTGATCTTGGGCTTCTAGCTTCCAGAACTGTGAGAGAATTAATTTCTGCTGTTTAAGCCACCCAGTCTGTGGAACTTTGTTAGGCACCCCTAACCCCCCAGCAGACTAACACACCAGCAATGTGGACAGATCTTGTAAACATGATACTGAGTGGAAGAAGGCACTAATAACATATACAGAACTATACCATTTATATAAAGTTCAAAATTAGGCAAGACCAAACTATTGTTTAAGGTCGTATATACAAATGGTAAAATGATGAAAGCAAGGAAGTTACCAAAAATAAGAAAATGGGAGGCGACACATAAAGGCTTCTGGGAGTGGGGGGTTGGGGTCGCCTAACAGTTCCACAGACTGGGTGGCTTAAACAGCAGAAATTAATTTGCCTGTTTCTTCACTTGGGTGCTGGTTACTCAGGTGTTCTCCCTAGAGTTGTGCACTGAACTGAACATTTATGTGTTGTGCACGTTGCAGTATTTATAATAAAATGCTGTAAAAGGAAGACAGAAGCAGGTGGGGGAAGAGGAGAAGCAGAGAGAGAAGGAACGAGGAGGGGGAAAAGGAGGGAAAGGAGGAAGGACGAGAAGCGGGAGGGGAAGAAATAAATCAGTGGGCTGGCCTCTTACCAAGTGGTGTGGTCTAAGAGCTGTGAGACCACAGCTGTCAGTTAAAGGTGGGTCCCAAGCTCAGGTGCTGCCTCTGAGTGTGAACCTGAGCCCAGAATCTCTCCCCTAGAGAAGGGCTTAGAAACTTTGTAACCTTGGGAAAGCCAGAGTATTTTTCTGAGATTTGTTTCTACATCTTTAGACCGGGGAAGATAAACACCTCTCAATAAATGTAAGGCTCTTCCTTTTACTAATTCAGGTCTCTGCTCTCATGTCACCTCCTCCAGGAAGCCTTCCCTAATGATCTTTTGAAAATAGCACCTCTTGGCTGGGTGAGGTGGGTATGCACCTGTGGTCCCAGCTATTTGGGAGCCTGAGGCAGGAGAATCGCCTGAGCCCAGGAGGCTGGGGTTGCTATGAGTCATGATTGCACCACTGCACTCCAGCCTTGGCAGCAGAGCGAAATCCTGACAAAAAAAAAAAAAAAAAAAAAAAAAAAAGGAAAAATAGCACCTTGATGTGGCTTGGCTCTGTGTCCTCACCCAAATCTCATCTCAAATTGTAATCCCCACATGTTGTGAGAGGGGCCTGATTGGAGGTGATTGGATCATGGGCAGACATCCCCCTTGTTATTCTCCTAATAGTGAGTCAGTTCTCATGAGATCTGGTTGTTTGAAAGTGTGTGGCACTTCCCCCTTTGCTCTCGCTCTCTCTCCTGCTCTACCATGGTCAGATGTGCTTGCTTCCCCTTCGCCTTCCACCATGATTGTAAGTTTCCTGAGGCCTTCCAGTCTTGCTTCCTGTTAAGCCTGCAGAACTGTGAGTCAGTAAAACTTCTTTTCTTCATAAATTATCCAGTTTCAGATAGTTTTGTTTTGTTTTGAGACAGAGTTTCCCTCTGTCGCCCAAGCTGGGAGTGCAGTGGTGCAATCTTGGCTCACTGCAACCTCCACCTCCTGGGTTCAAGTGATTCTTCTGCCTCAGCCTCCTGAGTAGCTGGGATTACAGGCACCCACCACCATGCCTGGCTAATTTTTGTATTTTTAGTAGAGATGGGGTTTCACCATGTTGGCCAGACTGGTCTTGATCTCCTGACCTCAAGTGATCCACCCACCTTAGCCTCCCAAAGTGCTAAGATTACAGGCATGAGCCACTGTGTCTGGCCTCAGGTAGTTCTTTATAGCACTGTGAAATGGACTAAGTACCTCCTTTCATTCTTTTTCCATTTATTTTTCTTTACAGTACTTAATACTGTTGATAAGTATTTATCACTGAAATTATGTCAAGTATTTGTGCATGAGGAGGAGCAGGATTTTTGTTTTGCTCCCCATTGTATTCCTAGTGCCTGAAACAGTATCTGACACATAGTAGATGCTCAATACATATTTGCAGTTAGTTTGGGTGTGTTGGCTCACATCTGTAATCCTAGCACTTTGGGAGGCCAAAGCAGGAGAATCACTTGAGGTCAGAAGTTCGAGACCAGCCTGGCCAACATGGCAAAACCCTGTCTCTACTAAAATACAAAAATTAGCCAGTGTAGTGGCACACGCCTGTAATCCCAGCTACTCCAGAAGCTGAGGCATGAGAATTACCTGAACCTAGGAGGCAGAGGCTGCAGTGAGCCAAGATTGTGCCACTGCACTCCAGCCTGGAGGACAAGAGCAAGACTTCGTCTCAAAAAAAAAAAAAAAAAAGAAAAGAAAAGAAAAGAAAAAATTTGCTGTTACAAACATTAGATAATAATTTTGTGATGCCAGGCACCTGAGGCACTCAATAAATGCTCGTTCTCTCCTCCCCTTTTAGCTGAGAACCTCACCCTCATTTCCTGGAGCTGGCAGCCCCTTATCTTTTTCCTTCCCCCCTCCAACCTGGGACTGAGAAAGTGCCTACAACTGACGCCTCTGATCAGTAGCAACATTTCACCCCCTGGGGCCAATCTGGCCCATCATCTGTCCCCTCCCCACACCCTTGCCAAGGGTCACAGTCTCCCTGCCCCAGGGGAGGGTCCCTTTCCCTCAGAGGGGCCGAGCTGCCCCTGGGTGACCCAGGCTCCAAGTGCTTACAGCACTTTGGGTGCATGGACTGTTGCCTCCATTGATAATTTACTGTTGTGGGCTTAGAGTGAGGCCCTGAAAACCCGCCATAAAGGTTTCTCTCACTCCTTCACCCTCATTAATTGCTCCCGCCTCCCTGTTCTTCCCACTCAGATGCCTATATTTAGTGCTGATTTTCTTCTGCCTTGTTTAGAGTTAGTTGTTTACTTGTTTGCTTCCCCTGCCACCTCCCAGACCATGAACCCAGCTGTGAGGGGCCAGACTTTATTCATTGCTGTACTCCCAGTGAAGTGGCACCATTCGCCTGGGGGGATACCTGAGGTTCATTGTCTCATGCCAGGGAAATCAAGGACATGGACACACAAGGAGTGAGGTTGAGAGCGGAGGTTTAATAGAAGGAGGCCAGGCATGGTGGCTCACACTTGTAATCCTAGCACTTTGGGAAGCCAAGGTGGGTGGATCACGAAGTCAAAAAGATCGAAACCATCCTGGCCAACATGATGAAATCCCGTCTCTACTAAAAATACAAAAATTAGCTGGGTGTGGTGGTGCACGACTGTAGTGCCAGCTACAGGCTGAGGCAGGAGAATCACTTGAACACGGGAGGTGGAGGTTGTAGTGAGCTGAGATCACACGACTGCACTTCAGTCTGGTGACAAAGTGAGACTCCATCTCAAAAAAAAAAAAAAAAAAAGGCGAAAGAAAGAGAAAACCTTTCTCCTACAAGGAGAGGGGTCCTGAGCAGGTTTCCAGTCCACAGTGAAATGCAGGGTTTTATAGATGAGCTTGAGAAGGTAGCGTCTGATTTACATAGAGCACGAAAGAGTGCTTGGACCAGGTGTGCCATTTGCATAAGGCATGAAAAAGTGGTTAGGACTAGGTATGCTATTTGCATAGTGTGTAAAAGTCTGGCCACCCCCACCCTAATCTTTTATTATGCAGATGAGCTTTCTACCTGGCTGGCACCATGTTGCCTGTTCCTTTACTGTACACATGGTGACAAAAGGGAAGTTGAAGCCTCCATATTGAACATACCTGGCCCTCAGGTAACCCTTTTCTATTGGCACAGGTGCTGGCATTCGCCCGTGCAAGCTTCCAGCTTGCTTATCTGTTTGCAGCTCGATTTTTCAGGCTGCTCTTTGTTAGAAAAGCAATGATTTTGGGCTGCTTTTTGTTGAAAGGGAATTTCTGCCGAGGACTCTTACCCTCACGATCTGCCTGAATAATTTCTTTCTGTCTCCTGTATCACCAGCACCTGGCACAGCACCTGAATTTTAAATCTTATTTATTTATTTATTTATTTATAGAGACAAGTTCTTGCTCTGTCGCCTAGGCGACACTATAACATCAACCTCCTGGCCTCAAGTGATCCTCCCACTTTGGCCTCCCAAAGTGTTGGGATTATAGGTGTGAGCCACCACACCTGGCCTTAATAGACACATTTTTTTCTTTAAAGCTTCTGTTACAAAGGACAGATAAGAGGATTTCAAGAGTTAAGATGACCACAGATCAAACTTCCTTGATGTGCCATCTTCCAACTTAAATTCGAAAGCTACTTGAGACACAGAAAAAGACAAAAACTGAGAACCATTCAGAAAACTTAGTGGTCAGTTGTTGGCCAGAGTCCAAGATGGAAATTTCCCTAATAACCTGCCACTGGGGCTGGGGGAAGTCACATGGTAGGTGGCCTGTGCATACTTTGCCCTCTAAAGTGGCCCAGAACCTGCAGACAGGAAGCTTGCAGGGAGAAGCTTAGGCCCTCATTCACTGTACAGGGCTGCACTCACCAGCAAATGGGCAGCACACTCCTAACACTCAAGTATGGTTTTCTGAGGCAGTCACTTCTGTCCACCCTCACCCCTTCCGTTAGACTGTCTCTGCCTGTGTCTGTGGGGACACTGTGGCACTCAGTACCTCTGAGCAGGGAGCAGGGCAGGACTGATGAGGAGGTGGCCTAAAAGGCACGCTCGCCTAATGCAGGGACCCTACAGATGGAAAGAGTGCGGTTTTATTTCAAAATATCTGATACACAGTAATATAGATACCTTGTAGTACTTAAATCGTATTAACCCAGTTTGAAGGTCTTTGGCTTTTAGTATCATGCGTTTATTTTTATGTTGGCATGTTTGGTTTTATTTCTTTTATTTTGGTTTATGCCTTCTCTTTTTCATGTTTGTTTTTGTTTTTGCCTTCTATGATAAGCAAAATTGCATGATGATGTATTTTTTATTTATTTATTTTTTTTTTGAGATGGAGTCTAGCTCTGTTGCTCAGGCTGGAGTGCAGTAGCACAATCTCGGCTCACTGCAACCTCCACCTCCCGGGTTCAAGCGATTCTCCTGCCTTAGCCTCCCAAGTAGCTGGGATTACAGGCGCCCACCACCATGCCCAGCTAATTTTTGTATTTTTAGTAGAGACAGGGTTTCACTGTGTTGGCCAGGGTGGTCTCGAACTCCTGACCTGATGATCCGCCCACCTCGGCCTCCCAAAGTGCTGGGATTACAAGCGTGAGCCACCGCGCCTGGCCCTTTTTTTTTTTTTTTTTTAAGACAGAATCTCGCTATGTTGCCCAGGCTGGAGTGCAGTGGCGCGATCTCAGCTCACTGCAACCTCCGCCTCCTGGATTCAAGTGATTCTCCTGCCTCAGCCTCCTAAGTAGCTGGGATTACAGGCGCCTGCCACCGCGCCCTGCAATTTTTGTATTTTTAGTAGAGACAGGGTTTCACCATCTTGGCCAGGCTGGTCTTGAACTCCTGACCTTGTGATCCACCTGCCTCAGCCTCCCAAAGTGCTGGGATTACAGGCATGAGCCACCGTGCCCAGCCGATGATGTATTTTTTTAGAGTCATGGTCTCGCTATGTTGCCAGGCTGGACTTGAACTCCTGGTCTCAAATGATTCTCCAGTCTCAGCTTCCTGAGTAGCTAGGAGTACAGGTGCACCATTGTACCTGGCTGATGATTTGTTTTTATCTTCTGTAATTTGAAAAGTATATAGCTATATAGCCTATTGTTTTAATTCTGCCAACACCTTGAAGATTTTTAAAAACTTTTTTGAACCCATGTAGTATAGTTTGGACTTCCCCTCCAAATCTCATGTTGAGATGTAATCCCCAATGTTGGAGGTGGGGTCTGGTGGGAGGTGTTTGAGTCATGGGGGTAAATCCCTTGATGCTTTCCCGGAGATAGTGAGTTCTCATGAGATCTGGTTGTTGTAAAGTGTGGCACCTCCCCCACGCTCTCTCTTGCTCGTGCTCTGCCATGTGAAACAGCAGCTCTCCCTTTGCCATCTCCCAGGAGTAAAAGTTTCCTGAGACCTTCCCAGAAGCCAAACAGATGCCTAGCACCAGGCTTCCTGTACACTCTGTAGAACCATGAGCCATTTAAACCTCTTTTCTTTATAAATTACCCAGTCTCAGGTGTTTCTTTACACAATGCAAGAACATCCTAACACACCATGTTTCTCTATCAGATTGAAAATAAATCTACCATGTTTGCCTCCCTTCCAATATAAAGTGAGAAGTTTTTCAGGCCCTCCTTCCATATCTCTTCATTAGAGGCCTAGGTTATCACACCTCTCTTTTTTAAAATGATATAGGTCTTCTTTTTACAAAAAATTGGTTTTAAATTTGGGATCCAAATTTTAGCCATGTTTATCATTATTTATTTGATACTCTGTGTTTAAATGGTTTCCACATTTCCTGCAGGCTCCACTTACTATGGCTGTAAAACAAATTAGCCCCAAACAGTGGCCAGGTGCAATGGCTCGTGCCTGTAATCCCAGCACTTTAGAAGAGGCCGAGGAAGGCCAATCACTTGAGGCCAGGAGTTGGAGACCAGCCTGGCCAATATGGCGAAACCTCGTCTCTACTAAAAACACAAAAATTAGCCAGGCAAGGTGGTGTGTGCCTGTAGTCCCAGCTACTTGGGAGGCTGAGGCAGGAGAATTGCTTGAACCTGGAAAGCAGAGGTTGCAATGAGCCAAGATTGCGCCACTGCACTCCAGCCTGGGTGACAGAGAGAGACTGTTTCAAAAAATAAAATAGGCCAGGTGCAGCAGCTCATGCCTGTAATCTTAGCACCTTGGCAGCCCGAGGCAAGTGGATCACCTGAGATCAGGAGTTCAAGACCAGCCTGGCCAACATGGTGAAACCCTGTCTCTACTAAAAATACAAAAATTAGCTGGGTGTGGTGGCACATGCCTGTAATCCCAGCTACTTGGGAGGCTGAAACAGGAGAATTGCTTGAACCTGGGAGGCAGAGGTTGTAGTGAGCCGAGACCACACCACTGCACTCTAGCCTGGGTCACAGAGTGAGACTGTCTCAAAAAACATAAAATAAAAATTAAAATTAATTATCCTAAAGCTTAATGCTTAAAACAATAATCATTTATTACCTCTTGCTCTTTCTGTGCATTACAGTTTAGACAAGGTATAACAGGGATGGCTTATCTCTCCTCCAAAGGAGATGTGAAATGTCTGAGGCCTCGCAGTAAAACTCCAAAGTTGAGCCTCTAGCTTGTCTAGAATCATCTGAAGGCTTGCTTACCTGAAGTTGGTGCTGGCTGTCACTCAGCTGGAGGCCTCGCTGGGGCTATTGACCAGAACACCCACACATGGCCTCTGGTGTGCCTGGTCTCCCTCACAACATAGTGGCTGAGTTCCAAAGGCAAGCATCTAGAGAGAGCGAGCCAGGTGGAAGCCATTGCCTTTTATGACCTAGCCTCAGAAATCATTCAGTGTCACTTCTGCTGCATCCTGGTGGTTGGGACAGGTACAAAGTTCTGCCCAACTTCCATGGAAGTGTGTCAAGATCACTTTGTAAGATGAACATGTGCGGGTGCCCACATATGTACACACGTGTGTGCATGTATACACATGTACATGCATATGTATATGCTGATATGGTCATCTTTGAAAAAAGACCATCAGCCATACTGTATTTCCTTAAATTCTTGATTTTCAACTTATGTTTCAGGCAGTTGCAGAGTGTCTTTGAGTAACTTTCAGGAAGATTGCATGCTATGAGTCTCAATGTGCAGTATGTAAAACGGCCATCTTCTTTCTTATTTTAAAATTCATAGCCAGGTGCGGTAGCTCACCCCTGGAATCCCAGCACTTGGGAGGCCGAGGCAAGTAGATCACCTGAGGTCAGTCTCTACTAAAAATATAAAAATTAGCTAGGGGGTGGGGCGGGAGGAGTGTAGGAATGGCACATGCCTGTAGTCCTAGCTACTGGGAAGGTTGAGGCAGGAGAACTGCTTGAACCCAGCAGGTGGAGGTTGCAGTGAGCCGAGATCACATCACTGCACTTCAGCCTAGGCAACAGAGTGAGACTCTGTCTCAAAAAAAAAAAAAATCACAAGGCCAGCCATGGTGGTTCAAGCCTGTAATCCCAGCACTTTGGGAGGGCAAGGTGAGAGGATCCCTTGAAGCCAGTGGATGCTCAATGCACTTGCCTCCTGCACTGTGGAAGAAGCCAGTTTTGTCTCCATTTGCATATGCATTTCAATCTTCCTGATCTATATGTGTGTCTGTTCTTTGCATTCTCTTTTGAACTGGTTGTAGGCTCCTACTGGGTCCCTCATTAATAATGAGTTAAATAAAATCCAGAACACATGTATATTTTAAATCTGCATGAGAATCATAATCTTTTTTGAAATTATCCTTTAACATTCCTTTCCTGAAAAGTTGAGAAACGATGTATTCGACACTATCTATGACAATGTAACAGCCATGATTTAATGATACTGATGGACAGTAGAATGTACATATGCAGATATAGTGTAGTTAGAACTACATTTAATATTAAGAAAAAAACACTCGAAAAGATAAAATGTGTTGAATTGTTTAACATTTTTCTTTATTATATTTTCCAAAAATTTAAAAACAGGCTGATGCTACCTTGGTAGAGAAATCCAGTGAAGCTAAACTCTAAGCCTCTGTTTTATTGAGGGATTAGTAATTTTTTTTTTTTTTTTTTTGAGACAGAGTCTCACTCTGTCACCCAGGCTGGAGTGCAGTGGCGTGACCTTGGCTCACTGCAACCTCTGCCTCCTGGGTTCACACCATTCTCCTGACTCAGCCTCCCAGGTAGCTGGGACCACAGGCACCTGCCACCACGCCCGGCTAATTTTTTTTGTATTTTTAGTAGAGATGGGGAGTAATTGTTTTATGGTTCTTGAAGGGCTGGGAGGGGCTTCCTGGTCTCTGCATGTCACTGGGGTCAGTGGGAGTGCTGCTGGAAAGTGAGGGAACATATGATGATTAATAGTAATAATAATAATAAATCAGTACTTGTAATGTCCCAGGAATTGTGTCAAGCAGTATCTCATTTAACCCTTACAACAGCCCTTTGAAGTAGATACTGGTAGATGGTATTTCCATTGGCTAGGTGCGGTGGCTCACGCCTATAATCCCAGGACTTTGGGAGGCTGGGATGGGAGGATTGCTTGAGACCAGCCTGGCAACCTGGTCAGACCTTGTCTCTACAAAAAATAAAAAAAATTAACTGGGCATGGTGGCATGCACTCGTGTAATTGCAGCTGCTGGGGAGCCTGAGGCAGGAGGATCCTTTGAGCCCAGGAGGTCAAGATTGATGTGAGCTGTGATCCCACCACTGCACTCCAGCCTGGGTGACAGAGTGAGACCCTGTCTCAAAAAAAAAAAAAAAAAATGGTATGCCCATTTTACAGATGAGGAAACTAAGGTTAGGAAACTTAAGTGACTTGCCCAACTAGTATGTGGTGGAACCCAGACTGAGACATGGGCTCTTAACCCCCCTGCTACTGTGTGTCATGTGAGAAATGTTGGAGAGGAAGTCCTGGGATCTCCTCCTGAAGAAATTGTCCCCACTACTGGATCCAAGCCCTCAGAATCAATTCATCCGTGAAACATTCACTGAGCCTCCTCTGTGTTCCAGGCCCTGAGGATAAAACGTGATCTGAGTCTTCAAGTAACTCAGGAGCCAGGGTGAACAGCCAGGGACGGGAGTCGGCCAAAGGAGGGGCCTTGGCAGGGGTAGGGAGGGTGAGGAGGTGCTTCCAGGAGGTGGCGGCAACCTGCTTGAGTCTTAAAGGACAGGAAGAGCCAGGCTGGTAAAGGGGTGAGGGTTGGGAAAAGGGCATTGAGGGCAGAAGGGCTTGAGCACAGAGGGGAAAGAAACCCCTGAGAGACACCATCAGCACACTCATTTCAGCTCTGCGGCTCACCTGCCTCCACTGTCCCCGCTTCTGCCGCTGCCCTGGTTACCAGAAGTCGTTTTGTTCAGTGGGAAGGTGGGCACAGGTCACTGCTAGGGGTGGGTACCTGAACATGCCAACCAGAGCCTCCTTTTTCCAAGATGTTTGAACATGGGTCAGATGGTCTCTCTCCAGGGCCTGACGGTGAGAGGTGCAGCCTGCAGAAGGCCTTAGCAGTGGGTGTGCAGGGGGCACCGTGAGAGTGGGCAGACCAGGCTGTCTGAGCAAGGACTCAACACACCTCTGAGGTCCCGCTGCATGCTCAGCATGGGTCCCGGGACACATGCCAGGGCCTTCTTAACACATTTCTTGTTTCCTTTAGATTGTCCAAATTGGGTTTCTGTCACCTGTAACCAAAGATCCTTGCTGACACAGCCCCTGAGTTGGTCAGACTCAGGAGAGGGACATTTAAACTAAGAGAGGCTCACCTATAGATCAGGAAGCCAACTGACTCATTTCCCGTGAGAAGTGTCACGGCTCAGTGGGTCAGCCTTTCACATCATTACTGCCGGTGTCTCCTTTCCCTGGAGAAAAGCCATCTGGATTGACAACTGGCCTCTTGGAGCAGGCCCCAGGCCCAGCAAGGATCTATAGCTAGAGGCATCAAGCAAGGACTGCCCAAGGGTCCAAAAACTGTTTCTGTTAAGGTCCAGACAGTGAATATTGTAGACTTTGCAGTCTCTGTTGAAACCATTCAACTCTACCACTGCAGTGTGAAAACAGCCACAGACAGCACATAAATACATGAGCATAGCTGTGTTCCAATAAAACTTTACTTATAAACATTGAAATTTGAATTTCATACAGTTTTCATGTGTCCTGATGTATTACTCTCTCTTTTTTCTTTTTTGAGACGGAGTCTTGCTCTGTTGCCCAGGCTGGAGTGCAGTGGCGCAATCTCAGCTTACTGCAACCTCTGCCTCCTGAGTTCAAGTGATTCTCCTGCCTCAGCCTCCTGAATAGCTGGAATGACAGGCACACACCACCACACCTAGCTAATTTTTGTATTTTTAGTAGAGACAGGGTTTTGCCATGTTGGCCAGGCTGGTCTGGAACTACTGACCTCAGGTGATCCACCCGCCTCGGCCTCCCAAAGTGCTAGGATTACAGGCGTGGGCCACAATGCCTGGCCAATATATTACTCTTCTTTCAACTTTTTTAAGAACATTAAAGCCATTCTTAGCTCTCAGACCAAGCAGAAACCAGTGGTGAGGGACCAGATTTAGCTTTGCAGCCTGTAGTCTGCCTGCTGTTGGCCTAGGGCATGAACACGTATGCTGAGAAAGAAGATGGTTGACAAGGAGGCTGGACAACTGGGTCCATGGGCCAGGCCAGGGACACTTCTGGGGCTGCTATGCAGGCTTGTCACTCTAGCTGCTTCTTCTCTAGCCATTCAGATCACCCTCTTCAGTCTACACCCTCCTGAAGAAGAAGCTCAGGACCCATGAGTGGGCTTAAGTGCTTGGAAATGATGACATGTCTAGTCTTGCCTTCCAAAATTTAGCCTTGGACTGCCTTGATGCAGCCGCTCCTGACGCTTCTAGGGGCAGCTGTCCTGCCCCTATCCCCTGTGAAAAGCAGATTATGAAAGCCCACTCATCCCACCCCACACAACCCAGGACCCAGAGGCCAGGGAGAGAATAGGCTGGCTGCAGCCGCTGACTCATGCCCTGGCATGAAGGCATGAACTTGTTCGAGAGGGATCTTAAAAGATACAGTAGGAAGCTGCAGTTACAAGTGGGCTCTGTGGCTGGGTGTGGTAGCTCACACCTGTAATCTCAGCACTTTGGGAGGCCGAGGCAGGTGGATCACTTGAGGTCAGGAGTTCAAGACCAGCCTGGCCAATATGGTGAAAACCTATCTTTACTAAAAATACAAAAACCAGCAAGGTGTGGAGGCATGTGCCTGTAGTCCCAGCTACTCGGGAGACTGAGGCAGGAGAATTGCTTGAACCCGGGAGGTGGAGGTTGCAGTGAGCCGAGATTGTGCCACTGCACTCCAGCCTGGGGAACAGAGTGAGACTCTATCTCAAAAAAAAAAAAAAAAAAAAGTGAACTCTGTGACTGGAAGGTTGAGTAGATTCAGGGACCAGGGTAGTTGTAGGAGGCCAGATGTCAGTTGAAGTTGGGGGAATGGAGATTGGTGGAAGAGATAACAGTGGGTATCCTGGAGACAGAGATTGACCGACTGACTGGCTGAAAGAGAGACAGACACAGCAGGTGAATCCCAGACCTGCCTTGTTTCTGGCCCTTCCTGAGGCTTGACTAGGGGGTCTTCACTGTAACTTCATAGCCCCCTTCCCCTATACCTGGGGTAATCTGGGTAATCCCAATGCTTCTCCAATACGTTCTATCAAACCAGAAGCTGTGGAGCAGGTAATTTCTTTCTATTTATTTATTTTTGGATTGGTATAAATTTATGGGATACAAGTATAATTTTGTTACATGCACAGAATTCGTAGTGGTGATGTCAGGCTTTCAGGGTATCCATCACCCAAATAACATACATTGTACCCATTAAGTGAATTCTCATCATCCATCCCCACATCCCCTTCTCTGCGTCCACTATCATTCATACTCACACCCATATGTATACATTATTTAGTTCCCACTTATGAGTGAGAACATGAGTATTTGTCTTTCTGTGTCTGACTTTTTTCACCTAACAACCTCCAGTTCCATCCATGCTGCTGCAGAAGACACAATTTCATTCATTTTTGTGTCTGAACACGATTCCATTGGGTATACAGATCATATTTTATTTATCCAATCATCTGTTGATGGAGACGTAGGTTGATTCCATGTCTTGGAGGACGTCATTTCCGCTGTTGGCGGAACTCATCCTGAGCTTCTGATCTTACTCTCCAAGGGAACTCTGCACTTCATGTTGGGGACTTTTTGCTGTCTTGGTGTCTGCAGGTTGGAATCTTGCTTCAGCCACAAAATTTCAGTTGGGTGGTCTGGGTCTCACTTCCCTCACCTCTTAAATGGCTGTCCTGCATCATGCACCATTTACTATGACAATGTTGACCTTTATCTGAGCCCTGTGCCTCCAGAAGGCAGCGACGATAAAGTTCTCCAACCTCTTTAAGTTCCAAGGAAAGAGCTAAGCCACAAAGGACCACCTTAAGCTCGCATCCCAAGGAAATACGGATCTCCATCCTTTCTTACTATTCCCTAAGATTCGCTGATGACTCCATTGTTTACCTGCCTCTCTAAAACCCCAGTCCCCTTTGAGATGCTCCTCATTAATGAACGTTCTCCCTATTGCAATGGCCTGAATGAAATCTTAACTGTCTGGGGCTTTTGGCGTTCACAATGACCATAATTGTGCTATTGTAAGCGTCAATCGGGGGCGCAGCCGGAGTCCCAGGTCCCAGTCCTGGCTTCCCCATGTCAGGCTTCCCCTTCGGGCCGGTTTCAGGTCTCAATTGGGAGCTCCCTAAGGGCCCCTGGCTTAGAATATGTGTGAGTGGCAACCCAGTCCCTCAACCCCTGCGCGGGGAGCCGGGGCAGAGCGAACTGCTGTAACTTTCGCACGCCGCCACCAGAGGGCGGCGGCTCCGCGGAGGAGGGCCCCAGCCTCTGCGCCGGCTCGCGCCCGCAGTGCCTTTAAAACGTGCGTTGGAAGTAGACGCCACGCAGCCTGCTTTCCAGAGTCCCGGCGTTTCCCCTCTTCCACCGCTGCACTCCAGGGGCCTCCCTTACGCGTCCGCACGCGGCGAGTCCTTCCACTATGCAGGGCGCGCCGCAGGACTCTTGAGTGGGCGGGAAGGCTGGAAAGCCAGCCTGGAGCTTCTGGTCTCTAGTGCTGTGCAGGGCACAAGGTCCCTGCCCCTCCCGCGGCCGCTGGCCTCTCTTCTCCTTAAGCCAGGTCGAAGGATTCCTGAGGCAGCGGGAAATGGGGAGGAGGGACAGGAGTCCCAAGACCACTGTCTTGGGTGCGGGATTTAACCAGTCACACCCGTCAGCCCCTTGGAACGTCACAGTGTTCCCTTAAAGTGGGCAAGACAAGAACTGTTGCCCCGTCTGAAAGTGGGCAAACGGGCTCCCAAAGAAAAAAGTTGATTAGGAGAGCTAGTAAATGGCAGAATTAGGACAGGAACTCAGTTCTCCTAGGCCCAGACTTGGAGCTCTTGGGGTGGGGCAGCACAGAGATGGCTGTCTGCCTGGCGTAAGTAAACTGGTCCCTTCAGCAGAAACGGGCGCTGCACATCCTCTTCCCGCAGGACGGCGACCCCTGGACATCAAAATGCAGCCACTTTTGGACTCAAATTGTAGAGTTCTTTTTTGTTGTTGTTGTTATTTATGTATGTATTTATTTATTGACACGGAGTCTCGCTCTGTCACCCAGGCTGGAGTGCAGTGGCGCGATCTTGTGTCACTGCAACCTCCACCTCCCGGGTTCAAGCAATTCTCTTGCCTCAGCCTCCCGAGTAGCTGGGACTACAGGCGCCCGCCACCACGCCTGGCTAACTTTTGTATTTTTAGTCGAGACGGGGTTTCACCATGTTGATCAGGCTGGTCTCGGACTCCTGACCTCGTGATCCACCCGCTTCGGCCTCCCAAAGTGCTGGGATTACAGGCGTGAGCCACCGCACCCGGCCCAAATTGTAGAGTTCTATGTACAGCCACGTTTCCATGATCTTTTTTTGTTGTTTTTGTTTTGTTTTTGTTTGAGACACAGTCTCACTCTGTTGCTCAGGCTGGAGTGCAGTGATGCGATCTTGGCTCACCGCAACGTCCGCCTCCCAGGTTCAAGTGATTCTCTTGCCTCAGCCTCCTGAGTAGCTGGGATTACAGGCGCACACCACCACGCCTGGCTAATTTTTGTATTTTTAGTAGAGAGGAGGTTTCACCATGTTGGCCAGGCTGCTCTCGAACTCCCAGCCTCAAGCGATCCACCACCTCGGCCTTCCAAAGTGCTGGGATTACAGGTGTGAGCCACTGCGCCCGGCGTGTTTGCTTTTTAAAGTGCATATGTCTACATACACATTTTAGAGGCAAATAGAAATACAAAAGCCAAACTGTCCACAGTGGCTGTCTGTGGCAGTTGGAGTAGCAGTAATGGAAATTGCATTTTCTCTGTATTGTCCAAAATATTCACTACTAGCATATATAAATCAGAAAGAGGAGCAATGATTCAGGACTTCTGTTTGACAAAATGATAATAATAATAATTCCTCTTTAAATAATTGGAAAATACAGGCTGGATGCAGTGGCTCATGCCTGTAATCCTAGCACTTTCGGAGGCCGAGGTGGGAGGATCCCTTGAGCCCGGGAGTTTGAAACCAGCCTGGGCAACATGTCAAAACTCCATCTCTACAAAATAAAAAATAAAAATAAATAAAAATGGGAAAATAAAGAGAATGAAGAAAATAAAATTCATCAGTACCCCCTGCCAAATATTGGTATTTTTCTTTCTGGTTGGTTTCTTTCTCTACAAAATGTGAATAACGGTATTAACTGTACAGGAATGTTGTGAGGATTGAGTGAGAGAACGTATATAATAGTTAACATTCCAGAAGTGTTAGCTATTTTTATATGTAACAAAATCAGCACCAGACTGTATCTACTGTTTCTGTGCTGCCGTCTTCACAGCCAACATTGCTTCATGAACAGTTTCCCATTCAATTATGCTTTTTAAAATTGTATTTTTAGTGATAGTACAGTATTTTATTACATTTAAGTACAATTTATTTAAGTTATCCCCTATTGTTAAGCCTTTAGATTGTTTCCAATTTTTGCTGTTAAAATAACAGAGAGATTAACATCTTTAAACATCTACCTTTGTCAGCATTTCTGATTATTTCCTTAGATGAATTTTTTAGAGGTAGGATTACTGGGACAAAGGGTGCAAATATTTTTCAGGCTTTTGACTCAGGTTACCAAATTGCTTCCCAGAAAGATCTTGCCAATTTACATTCCCACCTGCAGTGCGTGAGAATGTCTGCCCCACAGCACACAAAGGAGGGATTTTATTTTGGGATGGGTGAGATTTGAGTCTGTTGCTGAACCGAGGAAAATGAGCCCCCCAAGCCCCATAGCGAGGTAGAGTTTAAACTTCGGGACAGAGAGGGGATGTCAAAACAGGCAAAGTCCATGGGAGAAAGGGAGGGGATTTGGAGCAGGTTTACAGAGATTGTCTTGGATTTAAGAAGGGACACCTTGTGTTTGGAGACTGATGGAAAGAGGTATGATTGGGTGTAGACAGAATCATTGTAAGGAGGTAGGTGGATTCAAGAGGCTAGTCCCTAGTGGCTACCTTTTCTCAGTCAAGTAGGAGGTTGGGTCATCTATCCAAAGGTAATAGGTGAGCCTGAGAAGGGGACTTGAGGAGAGAGGTGCGACCCTTTAACTTGAGGACAATAAAAGAGTTGACTGTCCAGTTGAGGGTGATGACTTTGAGTTTGTCATGGCACCATTCTGCAGAGCTGTGGGTACTTTCTCTACAGCACGCAGTCACCTGGGGAAAGAAAAAGTCATACATATTAATTTAAACCAAATCTTTCAAAATGTGGTCAACAGTAGAAAACTATTTTTGGGGAGCTGGAGGGATTCATGGTAATGAAAAACTTGTGGGTTTCTGGAGTTGTACCGAACTTTCAAGGATCAGTTAATTTCTATCTTATATAAGTTGTTCCAGAAAGTTAGAAAAGACCAAAGTTGCCCAGATCATTTTATGAAACCAATATAATCTTGATTCCAAAATCAGTAAGGACAAAGCAATAAATAAATGTATTAAGTTCATTTCACCTATGAATGCATGTATAAAAATCCTGGCCAGACACGGTGGCTTACACCTATAATCCCAGCACTCTGGGAGGCCAAGGCAGGCAGATCACTTGAGGTCGGGAGTTCAAGACCAGCCTGGCCAACATGGTGAAACCCCGTCTCTACTAAAAATACAAAAAATTAGCTGGGCATGGTGGCATGCACCTGTAATATTAGCTACTTAGGAGGCTGAGGCAGGAGAAACGCTTGAGCCTGGGAGGCAGAGGTTGTAGTGAGCCGAGATTGCTCCATTGCACTCCAGCCTGGGCAACAGAGCGAGACTCTGTTAAAAAAAAAAAAAGAATCTTAAATAAAATAGCAACTAATCTAGTTATATGTTTTTTGAAAGTAGGTTTATCCCAGGAATTCCAGCTCAACATTGAAAATCACCCCACTTTAATAAAGGACAAAAATCACATGAAAAAAATCACATGAGTATCTCAAATGGTGAAGAAAAAGCAGCATATTGATAAAGTTTTTCACCTATTTTTTATTTATGAATAACTCAGCATATGACTTCCTTGAACTTATGAAAATGAAAAAAAAAAAAAACTTAGCAAACTGGAAATAGGAAAGGTGTGTTTAATTTGATAAAGGTTATATAGGGCCAGGTGCAGTGGCTAACACTTGTAGTCCCAGCACTGTGGGAGGCCAAGGCAGGAGGATTGCTTGAGCCCAGGAGTTCGAGACTAGCTTGGACAACATAGTGAGACCCCATTTCTACCAAAAATACAATAATTAGCCAGGGGTGGTGGCACATGCCTATAGTCCTAACTACTTGGGAGGCTGAGGTGGGAGGATGGCTTGAGCCTCAGAGGTCGAGGCTGCAGTGAGCCATGATTACACCACTTCACTCCAGCCTGGGAGACACAGCACGACCCTGTCTCAGAAAAAACTGGTTATATAGCAAAAACTTAAAGCAAACACTACACTTAATGAAGAAACTAGGAGCATTCACTTTAACATCTGGAACAAAATAAGGCATCCAACTGTACTGCTATCATTTACTATATAATAATAGAAGTTCCAGACAAAGCTATGAATGAAGAAAAATGTAAGACATACAGGATGAGAAGAAATAAAATTGTCACTATGTGAAGATATTTTCATTTGTCTTGAAAAGCAAAGAGAATCAGCATAGACTTTTAAAATTAAGATAATTCAGTCATTTAGTAGATAGAAGATTGACCAAAAATAAATCCTTAACATTTGTCTTCACCACAAACAACATCTATTCACAACAGCAACGACAAAGTATAAAAAAATCTAGTAATGTACTTAATTAAAAATATCTATGGAGAAAACATGAAAATGCTAATTAAGGATGTAGAAAATAACCTGACTAAATGGAGAGAAATTTTATGTTCTTGGATGAAATGATTGAATATTATATAGGAATCAGATCTTTATGAGTTAATCTATAAGTTCAATGGAATCCCAATAAAAATTCTAGCTCTATTTTCCAGGAACTTGATAAACTCACTCTCAAATTTGTGTGGACAAACAGGACTAAGTCAACCTTAAAAAAATAAAGAGCTAGAATTTGTCCTACCAGATATTAAGCACACTACAAAGCTATGTCAAACCAAACCAAATCAAACAACATTGTTTTGGCACCAAAACAGACCAATAGACCATGGAATGGAATAGAAAACTGAAAGTCAGACCATTAGCATACAGGTGGGAGACATCACAAATCAATGAAGAAAGCAGATTAAACCCGTTCGCTATGTGGGGGGAAAATCTAGAATCCCTGCCTTACACCAAAGGGAAAGGTATATGCTGTGTGGTGTTCTGATATATATATTGGTTTTCGTCCATATATTGGCTCCTAACTCCCATAGCCCTTGTTACAGTCTTGTTAGAATGTTCAGTGTGTGAGGCCTCAGGAAACACAATCTCTCTTCTGCCCTCCTTTCACCTGCCCCAAGGCAGACATCTAATCTATCCCCACTTTTCTGATTGTGGGTCTTAAGACCCTCCCTGAGCGGATTCCACCTCATACCCTGAGGGGCAAGAATGTTTCCATAAAAATCCAAGAGGACTGGGTTCAGAGAGATCCAGATAGCTGAACACATGCAGGCTGACAGGAAGAACGCATTCATGGGCCTGGAGGGTGGTGTATCCCAACTCCATGGGGACAGAAGCTCCTGTGCTGGAGACCCTTCCAGAACTCGCTAGAGGTCTCTTCATCTGGCTGTTTATTTGTATCCTTTAAAATATCCTCCTTAGTAAACTGGTAAATGTGTTTCCCTGAGTTCCGTGAGCTGCTCTAGCAAATTAATCAAGCCTAAAGAGACGGGCGTGGGAACCCCAACTTGAAGTCAGTTGGTCCGAAGTTCTGAGGCCTAGAGTTGTGGCTGCGGGGAAGGAGGGAGAAGTCTTGGGAACTGAGCCCTCAACCTGTGGGATCTGACACTATCTCCAGGTAGATAGTATCAGATATGAATTGGAAGACACCAGCCAGGTGTCTGCTGCTTGGTGGTGGGGGAAACCCACACACATCTGGTCACAGGAGGTTCTGTGTTGATGATTGTTGCTGTGTGATGTAAAACACTAAGTGATGTAAAACTTTAAGGTGAGAAATAAAACCAAAGTTAATAGAAGAAAATATAAGGGACTATCTTTGAAACTTGGGCTGGGAGAGGGACTCATTAAACAGAACTTCAAAGGCACAAACCCAAAGGCAAAAAATGCATTAATTTGATGACATCCAAATTAACTATTTCCATACAAAAGAGGATACTATGGACAATAGGTGACAGAATAGGTGAAGATATCTGTAAATCTAAAAATGATAAGGGATTAATACACAGAATATGCAAGTACCATTGACACAGGCTTTTATTCTCAGTCACTTTGCAAGCCAGGAACCTCTGGCTGGCAATGCCCCACCCAGGCCTCCCTTGACCACACTACCTGTTGCAGGAGATGGCCTGCCCACTTGGCCCACCCATGCTGAGTATGGCTTGCACACCTGTTCCTGAGTTCTTGTCCTGTGCCCAAGAAGAATGAGGATGCACTGACAGTCAAAGAATGAGCAAGGCAGGGAATTTTATTGAGTGATGAAACAGCTTTCAGCAGAGAGGGGATGCAGGGGTGGTCCGCCTACCCGAAGGCTGGAAAGTCCCCATAATATGACTAAGTCCGGGGCTTTTTACAAGCTCAGAATGGGGGAGGGGCAGGCCACAGGTAGTATTGGAAAAAGCAACATTCTATTGGTTAAAAGGCATTCAGAAAGAATCAGTTGGGAAAGGGAGGCAAAAAGAACAGAAGTTCTCATTCTGGGTTGCAGTTTCATCCAGGACCAGCAGTCCAATCTTTCAGCCTTCAGGCTGTTTTTGGCTTTAGGTGGGGTTTCACCGGGGACCTGCCCCTGTCTGCCTAGGCTGCCCCCTGTTGCTGTCACTGTCATCCCTCCATATCCATTGGGGATGGGTTCTACGCTCCCCCTCAGGTACCAAAATCCAGGACTGCTCAAGTTCCTTATTAAAAATGGCGTAGTATTTGCACAAAACTTGTGCGCAACGTCCTGGATACTTTAAATCATCTCTAGATTGCTTATAGTATCTAATATAACGTAAATGCTATGTAAATAGTTGTTATACTGTGTGTTTTTTAAGTCATTGTATTGTTGTTGTTGAGACAAGGTCTCACTCTGTCCCTACAAGAAATTTAAAAATTAGCTGGGGCTGGGTGCAGTGGCTCACGCCTGTAATCCCAGCACTTTGGTAGGCTGAGGTGAGTGAATCATTTGAGATCAGGAGTTTGAGACCAGCCTGACCAACATGGTGAAACCCAAATTAGCCAGGTGTAGTGGTGGGCGCCTGTAATCCCAGGGACTCGGGAGGGTGAGGTATGAGAATTGCTTGAGCCTGGGAGGTGGAGGTTACAGTGATCTGAGATCATGCCAGTGCACTCCAGCCTGGTTGACAGAATGAGACTCCATCTCAAAGTAAATAAAAATTAGATGGGCATGGTGGTGTGTGCCTGTAGATCTAACTATTTGAGTGGCTGAGGTAGGAGGATTTCTTGAGCCCAGGAGATCAAGGCTGCAGTGAGCTGTGATTGAGCCACTGCACTCTAGCCTGGGTGACAGAGCAAGACCCTATCTCAGAAAAAAAAAAGACTCAATTATATTGTTGTGTAAAATATACCCACTTTAAATATAAAGATCCATATAGACTAAAAGTAAAGAGATGGAGAAGGATAAGAAAGATATACCATGCTAACACTAATCAAAGAAAGCTGGAGTAGGTATATTCAGACAGAGCAGACTTCAGAGCAAGCAAATTAAACAGGGATAGGAGGGGCATTACATAATGACAAAGGGGTTGATTCTCCAGGAAGACATAATCTTTAATGGGTATGCCCCTAACAACAGAGCATCAAAATACATGAGGCAAAAACTGATAGAACTGCAAGGAGAAATAGATGAATTCATTATTTTAGTTGGAGACTTCAATACCCCTTTGTTGAAAATGGACTGATCCAGCAGTCAGAAAATCAGTAAGGACATAGTTGAACTCAACAGCACCATCAATCAACAGGATATAATTGACATCTATAGACTACTTCATCCAAAACAGCATAATACACATTCCTCACATGTACCGTTCACCAAAGTAGACCACATTCTGGGCCACAACCTGCACCCTACCTAATTTAAAGGAACAGAAATATTACAATGTATGCTCTCAGACTACAATGGGATTAAACAGAAAGATAGCTGGAAAATCCCCCAAATACTTGGAGACTAAACAACATACTTCTAAATGACATATGGCTGAAAAAGAAATCTCAAGAGAAACCAAAAACTATTTGCAACTAAATGAAAATGAAAACTCAAATTATCAAAATTTGAGGGATGCAGTAAAAGTGCTTAGAGGGATATTTATGACATTGAATGCATATATTAGAAAAAAGTTCTAAAATTATAATTCAAGCTTTCATCTTAGAAAAAGAACAACAAATTAAATGCAAGGCAAGGAAAAGGTAGCAGATCCCATAGAAGAATGGACAGTTTATCAAGAGAAAACTTATAAAAGTGGTAACCCAAACAGGCAAGTTAAGGGAATTATTAAAAATTAAAATCATTAGTAATCAAAGAAATTCAATTTTAAACAACAATGAAATATCAGCCTTACACCTAGAAGACTGGCAAAAATTGGAAAGTTGGAAAATGTCAAGTGTTAGCAGGTAAGTGGAGATATAGTTTCCTTCACATGCTGCTGGTGGGAATGCAGATTGTCAACCATTCTGGAGAGCAGTCTGATACATTAGATATACTAGATAAATTAAATATATGCACAGCCTGGGACCCAGCAGATCTACTCCTGGGTGTATATACACTCAGGATAAGTAATCATACAGGTCCATCAGGGAATACAGATTAGAACATTGGCTGCTGTGTCAGTTCTGCTAGCAGGCAATTGGAGACAAGCAGTTGTCCATCTGGAGAGGAATAAATGGGTGAAATGTGAATGATGCATGTAGTAGAGTGCTTTAGTCTGTTTTATGCTGCTGTAACAGATACCACAGATTGGATGATTTGCAATGAGCCAAGATTTATTTCTTACATTTCTGGAGATGGGAAGTTCAAGATCATGGTGCCGGCATCTGGCAAGAGCCTTCTTGCTGCTGTATCATAAGATGGCAGAAAGCATCAGATGGCAGTAGAGCAAAGAGAGGGTTAGAGAGGGCCAAATTCACTCTTTATCTTTCATTTTTATTTTTTTGAGACAAGGTTTTGTTCTGTCACCCAGGCTAGAGTGCAGTGGCATGATAATAGCTGACTGCAGTCTTGAACTCCTAGGCTCAAGGGATCCTCCCACCTCAGCCTCCCGAGTAGCTGGGACCACAGGTGTACACCACCACACCCAGCTAATTTTTTTTTTTTTTTTTTTTTTTTGTAGAGATGGGGTCTCACAATGTTCCTCAGGCTGGTTTCGAACTCTTGGGCTCAAGCAATTCTCCCACCTCAGCCTCCCAGAGTGTTGAGATTATAGGCATGAGCCACTGTGCCTAGCCCCTAAACTTGAACTCTTGGGCTCAAGCAATTCTCCTGCCACAGCCTCCCAGAGTGTTGAGACTTTGGATTGTCTGTAATGCTCATGCATTACAGGCATGAGCCACTGTGCCTAGCCCCTAAACTCACTCTTTTATAATAGCACCAATCCCACTCATGAGATGGAAGCTGTCAAGTTCTTAAAAGTCCCACCTCTTAATACTGCTACAATAGCAATTAAATTTCAAAATAAGTTTTGGAGGGGACAAACTTTCAAACCATAGCAGATGTATACATAGCAACATGAATGAATCTTAAAAACAGCCCTCAGTGACAAAGGTAGGAAGCATAATGAGATAACTTGATACCATTTATAAATTAAAGTAGATGCACATATTTTTGTAATTTATTGTATATGTTACCAATTTTAAAAATGCATACACACAAAACTTGAAATGGATCATAAGCCTAAATCTGGAAGCTGAAACTGTAAAACTTCAAGGAGAAAACATGGGAAAATCTTATGATTTGAGGTTAGGCAAAGATTTTAGGATTAAAAAAGCATGAATGAAAAAAGAAAAATGAATGAATTGGCATCATCAAAATTAAAAGCATCTGCTTTTCAAAAGGCACCATCAAGAAAATGAAAAGACAAACTGTAGCTTGAGAAAAAATATTTGCAAAACACACAAATGATAAAGGGTTTTGTGACAGTCATCAACTTATTGCTTCTTGGCTCCAAATTCACCCTTCTTTACCTGCTCTGTGATAATGGAGGTGGGTTAAATAAATATTTTTCTTTGATACATGATGTTAAGCCAGTAGTAGGCATGGGAGGAGGAAGAAATTGTCTCTTACTCTTTCCCTTTTCCTGAAAAGGGCAGCTTCTCCAGCTCCCAGTTCTGGCAGTGCATGGTAACCTTCAGTGCCCAGCTGACAGAAGCTTCCCTCAGCATCTTCTCTAAGTGGTGTGCCACTGGCAAGGCACCTGACCATGAACGGCTTCCCCCAGCACCCCATCACCTGAAGAATTTGCAGCAAGTTTCAAGGTATGGCACTTCTCTGTGGACAACACCCCCTAGTACCCTAAAGGGAAGATTCCACTATTACACTGTGAGCCACTTCAGTGTCTTCTCCACCACCCAGGATGCCATGCTGTGCTCTCCCCAGCAGGGTCTGGAGTTCTTCCTTGGACACTCTATCCTGCTGGCAGCGGCTGTTCCCTGTATTTGCCATTCTTGCATTCATCAGAGTTCTCTATAACTCTTATGAGTCGATTTCCCATTACTCAAATCTCCTGTTATTTCTTTATGTTAAACTTTACCTGTTTTCCATTTCTTGATTGGACAGTGATACCAAATTCTATCCAGAATATATACAGAAACCTCCCAACTCAATAATAAATAAAAACACTGACTTAAAATTGAACAAAAGATTTAGAGCTGTTTACCAAATAAGATATAAAACAAACACTAACTTAAAAATAAGATATAAAACAAAAGATTTAAAGCTACTTCGCCAAATAAGATATAAGCACATAAAAAGATTCTCAACATAATTAGTCAATAGAGAATTGCATATTAAAACCACAATGAGATACCATTAACATCACAAAATGCTCAAATTTTAAAATCTTGACAATACAAGCTGAGGATGTAGAGCAACTGAAGCTCTTATTTCTTTTTCTTTTTACCTTTCCTTTTTTCTTCCCTGGGATGGATCCTGAGCAACTAGAACACTTATATATTGCTGATGGAAATGCAAAATGGGACATTGGTTTGGCAATTTCCGATAAAGTTAAATATATACTGATGTATATATCTCATTGTTTTAATATGCAATTCCTTAATGACAAATAATGTTGAGCATTTTGTTGTTGTTGTTGTTGTTGCTGTTTGACAGAGTCTTGCTCTGTTGCCCAGGTTAGTGCACTGGTGCAATCACAGCTCACTGCAGCCTCGATCTCCCAGGCTCAAGTGATCCTCCTGCCTCAGCCTCTCAAGTAACTGGGACTACAAGAGTTTGCTACCACACCAGCTAATTCTTAACTTTTTTGTAGAGACGGGGACTCGCTCTGTTGCCCAGGTGGGTCTCAAACTCCTGGGCTCAAGTGATCCTCCTCGGCCTCCCAAAGTGCTGAGATTACAGACGTGAGCCAACCCCACCCAGACATTTTTAAATGCTTATTTGCCATCTGTTTATCTTATTTGTTGAGATATCTGTTCAGATGATCCATTTTAAAATTGGTTTCTTTGTTTTTGTTGAGTTTTAAGAGTTCATTGTATGTTTTGGATACAAGTACTTTATCAGATACATGTTTTATAAATAATTTCTCTGGTCTGTGACTTTTTCATTCTCTTAACAGTGTCTTGTGCAGAGCAGAAGTTATTAATTTTAATAAAGTTTGACATCAATTTTTCTTTCATGAATCATGCTTTTGGTGTTGTATCTGAAAATTCATAGCCAAATCCAAAGTCATCTAGTCTTTCTCCTTTCTTCTTCTAGAAGTTTTATAGCTCTGCATTTTATATTAAGGCCTATGACCCATTTTGAATTAATTTTTGTGAAAGGTCTAAAGTTTGTTTCTGGATCCTTTTTTTTTTTTTTTTTTTTTTTTGCATATGGTGATTCCAGAGCAATTTGTTGAAAAGATTAACCTTTTCCTATTGAATTGCCTTTGCTCCTTTGTCAAAGATTGGTTGGCTATTACTGAATGTAAATTATACCTTAATAAATTAACATAAGAAATACATATTTTCCAAAAATACAAAAACATTTACTGTAAACATAGTAAAGTGGTTGCCAAGGTATATGAGAGAGTGTGTAATATGAATATAAAAGAGAATGGGCTGGGCTCACGCCTGTAATCTCAGTACTTTGGGAGGCCGAGGCGTCGAATCACCTGAGGTCAGGAGTTCGAGACTATCCTGGCCAACATGGTGAAATCCTGTCTCTACTAAAAATACAAAAATTAGCTGGGCATGGTGGCACATGCCTGTAGTCCCAGCTACTCGGGAGGCTGAGGCAGGAGAATCGCTTGAACCCAGGAGGCAGAGTTTGCAGAGAGCTGAGATCACACCACTTCACTCCAGCCTGGGTGACAGAATGAGACTCCATCTCAAAAAAAAAAAAAAAAAAGAATGAATACATGGATGGAAACAAGTGAGGGGCCTTGCACGCAATTATAATTTTTTTTTTTTTTTTTTTTTTTGAGACGGAGTCTCGCTCGTCACCCAGGCTGGAGTGCAGTGGCGCAATCTCGGTTCACTGCAAGCTCTGCCTCCCAGATTCACGCCATTCTCCTGCCTCAGCCTTCCAAGTAGCTGGGACTACAGGCGCCCGCCACCACGCGTGGCTAATTTTTTGTATTTTTAGTAGAGACGGGGTTTCACTGTGTTAGCCAGGATGATCTCGATCTCCTGACCTCACCTCATGATCTGCCCGCCTCGGCCTCCCAAAGTGCTGGGATTACAGGCGTGAGCCACTGCGCCCGGCCGTCTTTATTCTTAATCTAATCGGGCAACATGTAACCTAACGAAAATATCAGTGTTCCTCTAGGATACATATTTCTTTGTAGCTGTACCTTAGCAATCCATCTCCATGTGGGATAGTATAATTTTTTGTTTCTTTGCTTGTTTTGCTTGGGAGCAGTATGGTAAACATCTTGGACTTAGAGCAGAATAAATATGTAATTTATCACACATACTGTTACTCAGAAGTCCAGATTTGGTCTTCTTTAGTGTCCATTTTGAATTGCAGCTGATTCTATTACTAGTTTTATTAGAATTTGTTGATGATGTGCTGATTTTCTTTTGTTTATCGGCCCTTTTCACCCCAGCAACTTACATGGTGAATGACATTCATACACAAGGCACATTCTCCTGGCCATAACCATTTTTTTGTGGAATATTAAACATTTTATGGAGAAGTAAGGTGAATAGCCCCTCAGATTTTTTTTGGCATGAGATTTATCAAAGCATTTTATAAACATATTAGTGGTGTAAAATCAGCCCTTTAAAGAACTTTTAAAAGCTCTGTCATTTTATAAGAAAAAGTACACAAATATAACCAATCTAATTTTTTAAAACATAAAGCTTTATTTAAATTAAAATTTTTTAAACAAGTTTAACATTTTTCCATGTCTTTCTAATACAATAGATAACATCAGGAAAGGAACAAGTATGCACTGTTGCAGAATAAACATGAATTAATCTTATTTTACTATTTAAAACGATAACAGAATTTATGTATATATATCAATATGACTATGATTATGAGAAATAGCACTTAACCATCAGTTTCTCTCCTTTTGATTTGGTAATCATTGCTGTTGTGTGGTTTATAACAGAAATTATCCCTGGGTCATGCTCTCTCCTGTGTCTCCTAGACGTGGATGTAGTCTTTGTGTCTGAGTTGTCTCCCCTGCCTCTTTCCATATTAAGAATTCATCTATGGGTACGATTAACAAGAAAATTAAAGTAAGTATAAAAATCATGCTGGGCACAGTGCCTCACACCTGTAATCCCAGCACTTTGGGAGACCAAGCTGAGAGGATCAGGATTGCTTGAGTTCAGGAGTTTGAGACTAGCCTGGGCAACATAGTGAGACCTGGTCTCTACAAAAAAAAAAAAAAAAAAAAAAAAAATCAAAAAATTTGCTGGGCATGGTGGCATATGTATTTTTTAGTCCCAGCTAATCAGGAGGCTGAAGTGGGAGGATGGCTTGAACCCAGGAGATCGAGGCTGCAGAGAGCTGTGATTGTGCCACTGCACTCCAGCCTGGGTGACAGAGCAAAATATTGTCTCAAAAAATAAATACATAAATTTAAAAAAATAAAAATCATGACTCCCAGGCAGCAAGTTTTTAAATTTATTTGTGGTGCAACTGTCAGGGGTACTAGCCACTAGCTGAAGCAGAGATAAGTTGTGGGTCAGGTGAAAGTCTGGGTACCTCATTGTACCAGCCATATCTCTGCTTCTCCAGAAAGCAGATGGTAATTCAAGGGAGTGAGAGTGCCTTATTATATTTGAATGCACTCTAATTTTTCACAGTTAGTGATATGGTTTAGGTCTGTGTCCCTGCCCAAATCTCAAGTCCAATTGTAATCCCCAAAGTTGGAGATGGGGCATGGTAGGAGGTGATTGGATCATGGGGGTGGATTTCTTCTTTGGCGCTGTTCTCATGATAGTGAGTAAGTTAATGTGAGATCTGATTTTTTTTTTTTTTTTGAGACGGAGTCTTGCTCTGTCACCCAGGCTGGAGTGCAGTGGTGCAATCTCAGCTCACTGCAACCTCTGCCCCCTGGGTTCAAGTGATTCTCCTGCCTCAGCCTCCTGAGTAGCTGGCGTGCACCACTATGCCTGGCTAATTTTTTTGCATTTTTAGTAGAGACATGGTTTCACTATGTTGGTCAGGCTGGTTTTGAACTTTTGACTTCGTGATCTGCCCGCCTCAGCCTCCCAAAGTGCATCTACACTCCCAAAGTGCAAATTAGCCGGCCGTAGTGGAGCATGTCTGTGGTCCCAGCTACTTGGGAGGCTGAGGCAGGAGGATCCCCTGAGCTGGAGAAGTCAAGGCTGCAGTAAGCTGAGATCATACCACTGCACTCCAGCCTGAGTGACAGTGTGAGACCCCAACTCAAAAAAAAAAAACAGAAAAACCCATTACAGACACAGTGAAAATTTCCTTAAAACACATCCCCCCTCCATTATTGAGGTATAGCATAGATGGTTAATTTATTTTTAACAAATACTGTTCAAAATTCAGTTACTGAAGCACAATTTATGATTTATTTCTTGAGACAACTTTGCCTTTGATGATGACATAACAAGGTGTTGTTATGTCATCCAACAGCAGGACTGTTGGAAAATGTATTTCTCAAACCATCAAATTCATGAAGGAAACAGTCTCTTTTGATTTTCCCTATTGAAATATAACTTCACCAGACCAATCTGGTTCAATTGTAACAAAGGTTAAGTAACCTGAGCATACCCAGTGTGCATGAACCAAGCGTGCAATCACCAGAGGAACCTAAGTGCTCAAACCCAAGGAGCGGGGAGTGAATTAAGAAGTGGACACCACATGGCAGGATCCAGGATCCAATCAGATCAATCCCTGCTGTCACCTCATGGCAGGATCCAGTCAGATCATGCCTCCCAGCATCACTTCATTGCAAGATCCAATCAGATAACACCTTATTACCCTATACTTATAAAACCCAGCCCAGGCCCCCAGCTTGGGGGAGACAGATGAGCATTTTCCCATCTCCTTGCCAGTTGACTCAATAAACCTTTCTTGCTGCAAAAACTCAGTCCTTCAGTGTTTGCCTTTCCATTGCATGAGGGCAAATGGACCTGGTTTGGTGATGTAATATGTCATTTCCACACTTTTTTTGTTGAATATATAAATGTAAATTCAGCATTCAAAAATATAAAAGACTACAAATGAAAAGCAAGTTTCTTGTCCAGTGTTGTCCTGAAATCACTCATAATTTGTCCTCCCAGGAGGCAGCTAAGACTACAGTTTCTTGTGTGTACTTCCAGAGATATTTTATGTATTCAATGAATTTTCACAATATAAGTATCTCTCATAAAACAGAAACGCAACTATCCTGGCTTAACCAAGCAGGAGTTTGGATTTCTCTAATGAGAGGTCTGGGGTGGGTGTAGCGTCTCCACTGTATCATCAATGTCCCGGCTTCTATCCATGTTTCTACTCAGTTACGCTTAATGTAACTGAGTAGTTACGTTATCTTGCTTATTAAGTCTTACGGTCACGGTCACGAGTTGACTGCTCCACCTTCACTCTCACATCTGCGTCTCAGAAATGAAGAAGTAGCAGGGAAGAGGGAAAGGTGGTTCCTGTATTAAAGCAGAAATGTCCTCAGATCTCCAGCTGTCTCCCATTTATATCTCTGTGGCCACAGTGGTGTCACATAGCCACTTGGAGGGAGCCTGGGGAGTGAACTATTTTATCTAGGCCCATTCCACTCTCAACAAAATTTCTCTTAGTAAAGAATGACAGCAAATAATTGCATACTATATATTAATCCTACCTTGCTTTTTTCACTTACCTACTGTATGTGACTCAGCATACGTGTCCTTCTCAGATAACAATCAATGTCATTTATTTATTTATTTCAATTTGTCATTTATTTATTTATTTCAATGCCATTTATTTATTTATTTGAGATGTGGTCTCACTCTATCACCCAGGCTGGAGTGCAGTGACACGATCATGGCTCACTGCAGCCTCGACCTCCTGGGCTGAAGCAATCCTCCCACCTCATCCCCCCAAGTAGCTGAGATGACAGGCACATGCCACTAAGCCCAGCTAATTTTTGTATTTTTTGTGCAGACAGGGTTGTGTCATGTTGCCCAGGCTGGTCTCAAACTCCTGGGCTCAAGTGATCCACCTGCCTTGGCCTCCCAAAGTGTTGGGATTATAGGTGTGAGCCATAGTGTCTGGCCCCATTTATTTCTTCATTCATTTAACATAAGAATCTGTTGCTAATTTATGTAGTGGAGAGTAACTGCCTTATATCTGTTTCTGCTGGGTTTTTTTTTTTGTTTTAAGACAGGGTCTCGCTCTGTTGTCCAGGCTAGAGTGCAGTCACACAATCATGGCTCACTACAACCTTAACCTCCCAGGCTCAAGTGATCCTCCTGCCTCAGCCTCATGAGTAGCTGGGACTACAGGCATGCATCACCATTCTGGGCTATTTTTTTTTTTTTTTAAATCAAGACAGGGTCTCATTATGTTGCCCAGGCTGGTTTCAAACTCTGGAGCTCGAGTGATCCTCCCACCTTGGCCTCCCAAAGTATTGAGATTACAGGCAGGAGCTATCATGCCCAGCCTGTTTCTGCTGTTTTTAGAACACAGATTATTAACTGGACACAGGCACCCAGAATAAGACTAAATTTCCAAGCATGCTTCTGACTAGGTGTGGCCATGTGTCTAAGTTCTCGCCTATGGGATGAGAACAGAAGTAAAATGTGCCTTTGAAGAGGATGTGTGCCTTCTCCTTCCTCTTTTTTCCCTTCCTGCTGGCTGCATTGTGCACTTGGCATTGCTCCATCATGCAGATGAGAGGTTGTATGTAACAGCAGCCAAAACTACATCCTGACTAATACCTGTGTTAATGGGCCAGACACTGCACTAGGGGCTCAGGACACAAAAACCAATACAATTAAATTTCTACATTCCAGGAGCTCAAAATCTTGGGTAGAAGACCAAAGGGTAAGCAAACACTTTTGAAGTCAGCACTGTGGTAGCCCCAGGGCCTCTGGAGCACGGCATAGCCAATCACCTACCATGTCTATCTATCCATTTGTGCATCTCTTTAGCCATCCGTGCATTTCTTAATTTACCCACCTACCCATAGATCAGTTCCTCTCTCATCTATCTGTTCATGCTTGCATTTATTCATCCATCTCTCCCACATATCTCATGAGGATCCTGCAGGGTTTTTGTTGTTGTTGTTTTATGAGACAAGGTCTCACTCTGTCACCTAGGCTGGAGTGCAGTGGTGTGATCATGGCTCACTGCAGCCTTGACCTTCTGGGTTCAAGTGATCCTCCCATCTCAGCCCCCTGACTAGCTGGGACCACAGGTGCATGCCACTGCACGGGCCTAATTTTTAAAATGTTTTGTAGAGATCAGGACTCACCATGTTGCTCAGGCTGATCTTGAACTCCTGGCCTCAAGTAATCCTTCTGCCTCAGCCTCCCAAAGTGCTGGGATTACAGGCATGAGCCACCATACCAGGCCTCTGCAGTTATTTTTGTTGAGAATTATATAGGGCCCGTTCAATTGTATTTTTCTCAAATTCAAGCCAATCAGAATGGCACCTTTCACCTCAATTTTAACAGATACCAGGAACCAAGATCACCACACACACGCAATATAATGATGAAATTTCATGTTCAAATCACATAACTAAATGCTGATTTGTGAACATTTTTAGATTTTCCTAGGTGATAAAAATGATACAGTCATTAGTTTTTTTCAAGGACAGTCTCCCACTTCTCCTGAGTTGGATGTGCCACCAGCCCACCTTAGAGCCAGCCCTGGGGAAATGCAGAGGGAGACAGAGGGCAAATTCGGTGTTTGTTATAATCATGTGTGATGCTATGTAAGAGCTATCTTTAGCTGTGTACCTCCCTTATTCTTGAGGGGTAGAGTAAGGTGGGGTGACCACCAAAGGAAGCCAGCAGGCTTCGTTCGCCTCCAGGGAATGAGATTCCTTGTCTCCCTCTCTTTCTTACTTTGGCCACTGAAATTTCTCCAAAACTCTTCTTAGGAATAAAGAAAAAATCAAGGGTGCAGATTATGGCAAGAACATAGTTAAGGTATGCAGTTTTGTTTCATTTAATGAGAAAATATAGTGGTTGTGTTAAGAAATTAAATGGCTCACACATTGATCCTCATTGATATATATTGAATGTTGTTTATCAAAAACATTGTGAATTTATTTGGTTTAAAACAAATATCAAACTTCAAATCAAACTTAAGTAGTAAGTCTAATATTAATGGAGATGAACTAGGATTCGAACTGAGCAAGGAGGGGGAAGGGATGGAGGAAGGAGGACTTTTTCTGTTTAAAATCTAAGGAGCCCTGGAACTTACAGAAATTCAGCCCTGTTTTTGGTACTAGGGAGATACAAAGATCAGATCTCTTCTGCCCCTGCTTGTAAGGCAGGAAATTTTCTGTCTACTTAAGTAGATGAGACACAAATCTGCAAAGTCATATAGCAGAACAGGAAGCTACTGTCAAGAGATGTTACAAAGGGGCGGGGGAGAGTAGGGAGTTGAGGTGGCGGGTAAGGATATGCCAAGTGTCAAGTAGATAGTGCAGGAAAGAAATGCACATTTCTCCAAGGGGGTGGTATCCACAATGGGTTGGAATGGCCAGGGAAGCTATTCTCTCCCCTTCCCTTCCTTCCTTCCAGTTCTAGGCATTGGGGGATACAGTGGTGAAGAAAACAGAAAGAAATCCTGCCCTTCTGGAATTTACATTCTAATGGGGGCAAGACAGACAACAAATGAAATAAATACAAATAACAGTGTGTAAGACAGTGATACGTGCTATGGAAAAAATAAAACAGGGAAAAGGAATCAGGACTATTGGGAGAGTGTAATTTAAATATTATGGTCAGGGAAGGCCCCACAGAAAAGGCGACGTGAGTAAAAACTGAAGGAGATGAGGGAGGGAACCATGTCAGTATTCAGAGGAAGAACATTCGGAACAGAGGGAGCAAATATGCAAAGCACTTATTCGGCACCTACTGCATGCCCACATGACAGCAATAGCAATATGTGGCTATTTGCCAAACTGTCTTCATTCGTGAAACATTTAAGCTTACTACAGAAGATAAGAGTTTTTTTCTTTCCCATGAGGTTGAGAATATATGGAGGATGGGTTGCCCAGAAGCAGTGGCAACATTTGCATTAAAAGAAGGCAGCCTTTTAACCCGAGGAGGAGGCTGAGAATCCAATGACTTTTCTGTCATACGATTGAGGGGACAGGAGCCTAGTGATAATGGGACACGGAGCTTCGGCTGCAGAGCTCTCTTTTGTCCACAATTTAGGGCAACTGTCTTGCACTCTGCCTCCATCCTCTGGGTAGACTCAGTGGAGGAAACGTTTCCACAGGCACCAGGCAACCGGGCTCCTGGAAGCAGCAGACCCGGGAGAGGAGAGCAACTCCCCAGCTTGGTGTTAGATATCATCTGAGACTCCTTACACCCTCGCAGCTTAGAAGCTCCTCAGATTACCAGGCAAGGCAAAGTTGATTTTGACAATGTCTGGGGAAGGAAGGGCTGCTCTTCCTGGCTGGCTGGCATAATCAGACTCTGGAGGAGTCGGCCTGCCTATCAAAGGAGGTGAGAGCTAAGTTGTTGCTGCCTTTCCGCTTCAGGATGAATGGATTCCACCCCATTGAACTGGAGTGACCTGGCGCCTGGATTCTTTCATCTCTAAAATGGGAAAAATAATTGTTGCACATATATGGTGTTGAAATTATGGCCCTCAATTGGTGATAATTATCATTACTTAGTATTAATAATTATTATTTGTGAAACTTCTCCCAGAATTGCTGCATGGATTGCAATGTCCAAATAAGCTTATAATGGGGCTTCCAGACACTAGCAGTGAGGCAGTTTCTGTAGAGGTTGAGTGGCGGCTCTTCACCGACTAACTGGGTTTGCGTCCCCCGCCTTTTTGTTTTCCTTTTTTAAAATATATTTTTTAAATATCATGGAGTGTCACTATGTTGCCCAGGTTAGTGTCGAACTCCTGAGCTCAAGGGATCCTCCCACTTTGGCTTCCCAAAGTGCTGGGTTTGCATCCTGGATGGCCTCTTAGGAGCTGTGTGCCCTTGGGCAAGTTGTTTAACCTTCCTGAGCTCCTGCGTCCCTATCTTTAAAGTGAAAATAATAATAGCACGTTTTACTACTTGGAAGGAGGCTGGACCAGGTTTTCTACAGCCAGACCATCTACGCTTTCCAAAGGGCCTGGGCAGCAAGTGAGTATTAGTCTACTAAGAGTGTAATTATGTTATATTAACAGCACCTACCTCCAAAGGTTGCTGCGAGCAGAGAGCACCTCACAGTGCTTTACAGCAGTGCCCGGCTATAACCATCACAGCATTATTATTAATGTGATTAGCCTCATTTTGCAGATGAGGAAATATAGGCCCAGAGAGGTTAAGATACCCCACGCAGGGACCTGCAGCTAGTCGGTGGCAGGGATGGCGCTGGAATCCAGGGGTTCCCTCCAGAACCCCACAGCGGCCCATGCTGAAAACCAGACAACGCCCGCCCCCGCCAGAAGGCACCCTGGGAACGGAAAGCTGGCAGCCTTCCAAGTCCCAGGACGCGCTGGGGCCCAGCCCCCGCTCCGCCCTCCCCCATCCCTGGAACAAAGTACACTTCTGCCGCAGGAACATTCCAGCAAACTGAAGGCATCGCGGGCGCGGCCGCCGCCCCCGCCTCCCCACAGCTGCACGGAGCGTCCACGGCCCCAGGCCGAGCCCCACTGTGCCCCGCTTCCGACCCCGCCCGCCCTGCCGGCTCCCCGTCGCCCGCCGCGTGTGCAGACGCAATCGCACCGGAGGAATTCTCTGGTCTCTTTGCTAACCTCGGGACCCGCAGTTGCAAAGGCTGAGGGACGGGGTGGGCGGAGCAGACGCTGAGGACTGCGGTGCCCTTAGGGGCACGGAGTCGCTTGGCAGCAACCGCTCCTGGGCCCGCTGGTCCCCGGTCCTGGGCAGCCCCCACTGCCCCACTTTACTCCTTTACAGGATAAAGGCATGCTGTTGTTAATAACAAGTAGAACTAGGAGAAAGATCTCTATTAATCCCACCAGGCTGAGACAACTGCTATTAATTCTGGTTATGTCCTTCCTGACTTTTTGTGTACACAAAAAACACAGATGTACATTAACACGAAATATCCTGCGATGATACTGTTTGTTTCTAAATTAACGAACTTTAGTTGTTAGAGCAGTTTTCAGTTAACAGAAATTTGGGAAGCTAGTGCAGCGTTCCCATATAACCTCCCACCGCTCCCTCAGTTTCCCCTGTTATTAATATCTTGCATTTGTCACAATTGATAAACCAGTATTGATATATTAGTATTCACTACATTTCATGGCTTATATTAAGGCTCACTCTTTGTGGCGTGAAGTTCTTTGCGTTTTGACAAATGCATAATGTCGCATATCCACCATTACAGTATCATACAGAACAATTGGCCCAAAAAATCCCCTGTGATCCCCTTGTTCACCTCTCACCCTCTAATCCCATGCAGTCACTGATCTTTTTACTGTTTCTATGGTTTGGCCTTTTCCAGAATGTCATATAGTCGGAATCGTATAGTCTGTTGCCTTTTCAGGCTGGCTTCCTTCACAAAACAATATGCCTCTTAAGATTCCTTCATGTCTTTTTGTGGCTTGATGGCTCATTTCTTATTTATAGCTGAATAATATTCCATAGTACTGACGTACCACAATTTGTTTATCCATTCACCTTTTCAATTGCCTCCAGTTTTTGGCAATTATGCAAAAGATGCTATAAACATTTGTGTGCAGGTTTATTTTACTGCTTTCTGGCTTGCTTTTAAAAATTATTTCAGTCCAGGTGAGGTATGGAGTAAAGAAACAAACAAACAAGTCATGAATGTCATTCAATATAAATGTAGATCTATATCATCATTTTAATGGCTACATAAGATACTATCAGAGTTTATTTAACCAGCCCCAGTTGTACAACATAGATTGCTGTCTTCTTTGATTCTGACCTCATAAACCTGTAACAACTTGGTCTACACTTGATAGTATCTTGTAGTTGTTAAGGCTTAGTTGCTTGTGTCCTGTGTTCAAATCCCAGCCACTCCACTTAATTACTTGGTGTCCCTGGATAAAGTATTTAATTCCTTATGAGTCAGTTTCCTCTTTGTGAAGTGGGAATAATAATGGCACTTATTGTGAGGATTACATGAGCTGATACATGTAAGATGTTTAGAACAGTTTAGAACCTAGAGCAATACAAACTCATAATAAAATTTAGCTCTTTTTATTATTTATTTATTTTTTTAGAGACAGGATCTCACTCTTTTGCCCAGGCTGGAGTGCAGTGGGGCAATCATGGTTCCCTGCAACCTCAACCTCAAGCAATCGTCCTGCCTCAGCATCCTGCATACAGGTGCACACCACCACGCCTGGGGGTTTCGCCGTGTTCCCCAGGCTGGTCTTTAACTCCTGAGCTTAACAAAATGATCCACCCACCTCAGCCTCCCAAAGTGCTGGGATTATAGGCATGAGCCCCTGTGCCCAGCTAAATTTTTATTTTTATTTATTTATTTATTTATTTGAGACGGAGTTTTGCTCTTGTCGCTCAAGCTGGAGTGCAGTGGCGCGATCTTGGCTCACTGCAACCTCTGCCTCCTAGGTTCAAATGATTCTCCTGCCTCAGCCTCCTGAGTAGCTGGGACTACAGGGGCGTGCCATCACGCCTGGCTAATTTTTGTATTTTTCGTAGAGGTGGGGTTTAGCCAAGATGTTAGCCAAGATGTTCTGGATCTCCTGACCTTGTGATCCACCCGCCTCAGCCTCCCAAAGTGCTAGGATTGCAGGTGTGAGTCACTGTCCTCAGCCTATTTATTTTATTTTATTTATTGTTTTTGGAGACAGAGTTTCACTCTGTTGCCCAGGCTATAGTGCAGTGGTGCAATCTTGGCTCACTGCAACCTCCACCTCCTGGGCTCAAGTGGTTCTCATGCCTCAGCCTCCTGGAGTAGCTGGGATTACAGGTGTGTGCCACCACACCCAGCTAATTTTTTGTATTTTTAGTAGAGATGGGGTTTTGCCACGTTGCCCAAGCTGGTCTCGAACTGCTGAGCTCAGGCAATCTGCTGGCCTCGGCCTCCCAAAGTGCTAGGATTACAGGTGTGAGCCACAATGCCCGGCCTTTTTATTTTTTATTAGAGACAAGTCCTCACTGTATTGCCTAGGCTGATCTTGAACTCCTGGGCTCAAGGGATCCTCCCACCTTGGCCTCCCAAAGTGCTGGAATTACAGGCATGAGCCACTGCACTTAGCGCTCTTATTTATTGTCTATTGAGCATCTACTTTGTGTCCTGAGCTAGGCTTGGGGAAGTTATCAAATACTAAATCCTATGTATAGTTTTTTTAATTAAAAAAATATTAATTTATAGAGACAAGGTCTCACTATGTTGCCCAGATTGGTCTTGAACTCCCGAGCTCAAGCAATCCTCTTGCCTTGGCCTCCTAAAGTGCTAGGGTTACAAGCGTGAGCCACTGTGCCTGGTCATATGTGTAATGTTACCCTCAAAACACTTTAGTTTGGCTCCTGCTGGGGGATAATGCAAAGCACAGTAGTACTAACTCTTTATGTTGTTTTCTCTGTGCCAGGCACTGTTCTGGACCCTGGGAGTAGCAGGGTTGGAATTTGAATGCAGGGGTCTGGTTCTAACCACCCTGCCTCTCTGTACAAGTAATCCCAGTGCAAAAGACAAAGCAAGATGTGTTCTAATAAAGGGGAGATGAAGAACTATGAGAATTCAGAGGACCCAGTGATGGCTTCCAGCTGGGCATACCAGGGAAGGCTCTTTGTTAAACTTCACTTAGTGAACACCTATGGAGCTTTTATAGACAATACACATCCCTAAGCACTGGGGGAGTAAAGAAGCACATAAAACCAATGGGAAACATATAATTTGGTGGGAGAGAAAGAAAACAGACTCAACAAGCAAATGTCAAATGGCAGGTTGTGACACAAGCTACAAAGGAAACACAGGCTTCCTTGACGATAATACTCGGGGTGTGGTGGGGATTGGCACCTTGGTCAGGACAGCCTTGGAGGAGGCAGCTCTGAAACACTGAGCACTGTGAGACGAGGAGCCAGCCATGGGAGGAACTGTGGGGGATATTCTAGGTGCCAGAATGAGCAAAAGCCTGGAGGCAGAAGGGTGTCTTGGTATTATATGTTTTAAATACCATCGGAAGCTAATATGGAAGGGACACAGGGAGCAAGGAGCAAGTGGCTAAAGATGAAGTTGCAGAGTAGATACGGGCCAGTTTCTAAGAACTTTCTAACCTAAAAGAACTTCCTGAAAGTGGCTGAATAGCCTGGAGGTAAGGACAAGAACATCCACTCCACGTGCAGCTGTGATGGACCAGGCTCTATACATGCTCTTCACACAGTGTTGTATTCAAACTTGCCTACGACTCACTTGGCAAGATAGGGAGCTGAGGATTGGGTTTTATTCCCAGTGTGTAGGGAAGCCACTGAAGGGTTTTAAGCAAGGAAGTAGCATGGCTGGATTGATATTGTAGAAAGATCCTGTGGGCTGCTGTGGGAATGGAGTGAATGTTTGCAAGGGAGGAATGGGGGGACCAATTACCTGACTACTGCAGTCACCTGGGCAAGAGAGAGAATGGAGATTTGGCTAGAATGATGGCAGTGGACAGGAAGAGAGATGGATTTGAATTATATTTCAGAGGTGAGGCTGAGAGAAGATGTTGATGGATTAGATTAGGGTGGGGTAGGGAGAGGAAGGAAACGGATATATGCTCATTTTAAGTGACTCAAACAATTCAGAAAAGTATAATGAAGAAACCATTTAAAATCCTCTAAAATCCACTTGCCCAGAGAGTACTATTAACTTGATGGAGACACCCTGCTAGACAGCTTTCTATCCCCAAACATAGGGAATAAATGGGCTCCTTCAGTTGAAAACCACAGAGATCCACTGAAGCTGACTTATGTACCAGATACTTTGTTTCGAGGACTTAGGGGTGTCTCCTGGAACTGCACACCAGTCAGCTTCATGAAGAACTGGAAGCAGTGCAGAAAGCCGGGAATACAGGGGCCTCTTTTTTCTCTCTGGGGCTTACCATCTACTTCTCCCTGCCTCCTCTAGTCTTCTCTTCTTTGGCTGACTGACCTTGGTGTGCACACTCCATGTGGCTGCCCTCCCTTGCTTTGTATTACTCCCCAACTCCAGCATCTAACAAGATGTGCTGATGGCCTTGAGTCACAGATCCCATTTTCTGGGAGAGAAAATGGGATCCAGCACACTGACGATGAAGTGGTCCATTCTTTGTGTATTGGTCTGTTTTCACATTGCTATAAAAAACTATCTAAAACTAAGTAATTTATAAAGGAAAGAGGTTTAATTGACTCACAGTTCTGCATGGCAGGGGAGGCCTCAGGAAACTTACAGTCATGGTGGAAGGCAAAAGAGAAGCAAGGTATGTCTTACATGGTGGCAGGAGAGAGAAAACGAGCAGGGAACTGCCACACACTTTTAAACCATCAGATCCAGATCTCTTGAGAACTCAATCACTATCATGAGAACAGCATGGGGGAAACCACCCTCATGATGCAATCACCTCCCACCAGCTTCCTCCCCTGATTACAATTTGACATGAGATTTGGGTGGGGACACAGAGTCAAACCATATGACTTTGCAGGATGGAGAAAGGTCACTGGTACAGATGCAGGTAGGCTGTTTCCTTTGGTGGTGGGAAGATGAGGTGGCTCTCCTGGATGCTGCTTTTATTTCAAAGGAATGGGTGAGGTTGTCAGGTGTGAAGCTGAGAGTGGATTGGGGATGGGATGGGATGTTTTCTAAAAAACAAGAAGATATGAAATAATTTGTGTTTGAGAGTAGAGACATGAATGAGTGCTGATGGCCCACTTGAGGTTTGTGGTCATAAATGTAAAGAGAGATTAGTGGACAGAGTTGTTTTCTTCCAGTCACATCTAGCTGCTCAGGTGAAGGGAATTTGCTCTGGCCATTTTTCAGGACAATATAATGAGGAAGAGAGGGGCCAGGAGTGGTTATTGTGTTAGAATCTAAAGGGATAATTAAGAAAGTGAGAAGATAAGTGAAGGGATAGGTAGTGAAAACATTAGGAACTCTGGCTGGGGTTGAAGAGTTATTGAGTCAGGATACTAGAGTGAGAGAGCTGGAAATATTGGAAGGGTTGGCCAAAGAGTGAGGTGGGGTGCTAAAAATGATGATTTTAAGGTGGTGAAGCAGTCATTGCTGACAGTCCAGGGCCTGACCATGGCAGCAGGAGACTGAGGCCATAATGAGTACAAGACAGCTGGAGAGGAAGAGATCAGGAGTCTGGGCAGCCAGCCTCCTACCTGGCCCTAGTGGTTCTCATGAGGTGTATTCACTCCCCTTGACTAGTCCCTCCTGTGCTCATTGGGGCTGGCATGTGTAATAATAACTGTATGTCTTCTGAGGCTGTGTTCTAAAAGACATTGCAGCTTCTGTCTTTGTTCTCTTGGATTGTCTCAGGGAAGCCAGCCACCACGCCATGAGGACACTCAAGCAGCCCTGTGGAGAGACCTACCTAGTTAACCAACCAGCACGAATTTGTCAGGCATGTGAGGGAGCCACGTTGGAAGCTAATCCTCCAGCCCCAGTCAAGCCTTCGGATGATTGTGGCAGCCCCAGGAGATAGGCTACAGCAGCATCGGAGACTCTCAGCCAGAGTCATCTGTCTCTGGCTCCCCAAAGCCTGCCCATAGAAACTGTATGAGATCATAAGTGCTTATTGAGTTGTTTTGTTAATTTGGTTTTTGTTTGTTGTTGTCATTGTTGAAACAGAGTCTTGCTGTCATCCAGGCTGGAGTGCAGTGGTGCGACCTTAGCTTACTGCAACCTCCACTTCCTGGGTTCAAGCGATTCCCCTGCCTAAGCCTCCCTGCTTCAGCTGGGATTACAGGCATGCACCACCACACCCAGCTAATTTTTTTTGTTTTGTTTTGTATGTTTGTTTGTTTAGTACAGACAGGGTTTCATCATGTTGGCCAGGCTGGTCTCGTACTCCTAACCTCAAGTGATCAACCTGTCTTGGCCTCCCAAAGTGCTGGGATTACAGGCGTGAGCCACTGTTCCCAGCCTATTTTGTTAATTTGTGATTTGTTACACAATAGATAAGTAATACAGAACCTGAAAATCTAGGATGTTGGATGGGTTTTTGATACCGGAGTTGGTTGAAATCACAAAATGGTGAGTACTGCTGATGGTGAGAGAGGCTAAGAGCCAGCATCTAAAATCTTCAGGGAGTAAGGGAGATTATCCAGGAGGCTTCAATGAGAACAGTGAGTGGTATAGCCTAAGGACACGAACTTCAAGGGAACAGAATTTTGTAGAGAAAAGGAAGGATAATTAGTCTAGAAAAGGCAGTGTACAGCCAGGAGGGTACCTACCCCTCCTCCAGGTCTGTAGTATATGGGGTGTAGGAGAAAAACCAGCCCCTGCTTTAAAGGGCCACAAAAAAGCAACGTCCTCAGGCACAACCAGATTTTAGTGAAAGCAGGAAGGGGAAATGAATGTTTGGAGGAGAGGTTGAGGATTGAGGACATTTTCCTGAGGGTGGACCATGAATTTCAGGGTCACAGTGGAAGAATGGAGGAAGTAGGGAAGGGTGGGAAACTGGTTAGATTAAGGGATGTGATAAGAGTCTGGGTGATGATGGATTACCTCAGAGTCTTGGATATGGGGCGGCTATTGAGATAAATAGGGATGTGAGGCATGCGGGTGAGTCTGGAGGGTCTCAGAGAGGAAAATGGGTAATTAGTTTCTTCTCAGGGTTCATGCTTTATGCAGTTTCCAATGGTGAGACAAAAGAGAGCTGGTCTTCCCAGGAACACTAAAGACCTCTTTTCTTTTGACAGGGTCTTACTCTGTTGCCCAGGCTGGAGTCCAGTGGCATGATCTTGGCTCACTGCAGTCTCGACCTCCTGGGCTCAAGCGATCCTCCCATCTCAGCCTCCCAAGTAGCTGAGACTCCAGGCATATGCCATCATGCCAGGAGCCTTTAGCAGGCATGTCCTGCTAAAATTTTGGTTGTATTTTGTAGAGACGTGGTCCCACTATATTTCCCAGTGTGCGTCTTGAACTTCTGAGCTCAAGCAATCCTCCTGCCTTGGCCTCCCAAAGTACCGACCGGGATTAAAGGTGTGAGCCACCAAGCCCAGCCAAAGACCTCTTATAAATGCTGTTATAGGTAGTGTAGGGGCCATGAAAAGAGTTTTGCAAAAAGAAAAATTGTTCATATTTGAGAAGAAGTTCTTTGTCTTTTTTTTTTTTTTTTTTTTTTTTTTTTTTTTTTGAGACAGAGTCTTGCTCTGTTGCCCAGGCTGGAGTGCAGTGGCGTGATCTCGGCTCACTGCAACCTCCATCTCCCAGGTTCAAGCAATTCTCATGTCTCAGCCTCCTGAGTAGCTGGGATTACAGGCTGCACCACCACACCCAGCTAATTTTTGTATTTTTAGTAGAGAGAGGGTTTCACCATGTTGGCCAGGCTTGTCTCCAACTCCTGACCTCAAGTAATCTGCCTGCCTTGGCCTCCTAAAGTGCTGAGATTACAGGCCTGAGCCAATGCGCCTGGCCTGTTGGATCCTTTTATCTTTTTCTTATTGCTTTATAAATGATTTATATATTCTGGCTACAAGCCCTTTGTCAGTTCTATGTGTTGTAAATACCTTCTCCCATTTCATGACTTGCATTTTCACTATCTTAATGCTGTCTTGAAAAACAGAAGCTCCAATTTACCAATCTTTTCCTTTATAATTAGGGCTTTTGTATATCTTGACCAAGAAATCTTTCTTTACTCCAAAGTCTGAAAAACATTCTGGTATATTATATTCTAAAAGTTTTATTGGTTTGCCTTTCATATTTAGACTGTAATACATCTGGAATTTATTATTCTGTGTAGTGTGAAATAAAGGTAATTTTCATTTTTCCTATATAAATATCTAGTTGACCTAGTACCATGTACTGAAAAGACTTTCCTTTCCCTACTGCAGTACAGTGCCACCTTTGTGGTATATCATATGACAACAAGTTCATGTGTCTGATTCTGGGCTTTCAATCTGTTCTGTGGTCTATTTGTTTGTTCTTGTTCCAATACTACACTGTTTTAATTACCATGGCTTCATGAGTCTTGTTAATTGTTTGTAACTCCTCCCATTTTGTTCGTCTTCTTTAATAATGTCTTGATTATTTTAGGCTCTCTGAATTTTCAGATACATTTTAGAATCAGTTTGAAAATCTTGGCTTGGCGTGGAGGCTCATGCCTGTAATCCCAGCACGTTGGGAGGGTGAGGCGGGAAGATTGCTTGAACCCAGGAGATTGAGACCAGCCTGGGCAACATAGTGACACCCCATCTCTACAAAAAATATAACAATTAGCCAGGTGTGGTGGCACATGCCTGTGGTCCCAGCTACTCAGGAGGCTGAGGTGGGAGGATTACATGAGCCTGAAGGTCGAGGTTGCAATGAGCTGTGATTGGGCCACTGCACTCCAGCCTGGGTGACAGGGCAAGACCCTGTCTCAAAAAAGAAAAAAGAAAAAAAGAAAATCTCCACAATAACAGCCTATTAGGATTGGCACTGGGGTTGCATTGGCCCTGTAAATTGATTGGGGGAGAACTGACCTCTTTATGTTATTCAGTAGCCAATCCATGAATATCCAGTCCATAAACATCCTACATCTTTTTGTGTAGAAATGTAAGTGATGTTTGTAAATTGATTTTATACCTAGCGTCCTTGCTAAATTCACTTATTAATTCTAATAATGACAGTTTTGTTTCTTTCTATCCAGGCCTCATATCTCTCACATATATATATATATATATATATATATATATATATATATATATATATATATTTTTTTTTTTTTTTTTTTTTTTTTTTTTTGCCTTATTATACTAGCTATGACCTCTGGTACAATGTCTTAAGTAGCTTTATTCATGGTCGCAAAGGGAACACTTTCAACATTTCACTGGTAAGATTGATATTTGGAAGCCGAGGATAGCCTGTAGTCTCAGCTACTTGCAGCCACTTGGGAGGGTGAGATGGGAGAATTGCTTGAGCCCAGGAAGCAAAGGTTGCAGTGAGCCAAGATTGCCCTACTGTGCTCCAGCCTGGGGGACAGAGCGAGACAAAACAAAAAATTTATTGGCTGACATTTTTCTTACTTCCTGAGGTATATGCTTAGGTAATTGATTTTCAGCCTTTCTTGTTTTGGGATATATGTGTTTATAAGTCTATACATTTCTCTCTAAGCACAGGAAGTTCTGATATGTCATACTTTCATTATCATTCATCTCAAAATATTTTCTGATTTCCACCATAACTTGTTCTTTAACCATCCTGGTTCAATTAAGAAGCATTCTTAGGCCATGCGTAGTGGCTCATGCCTATAATCCCAGCACTTTGGGAGGCCAAGAATCACTTGAAGCCAGGAGTTTGAGACCAATCTGGTCAACATGGCGAAACCCTGTCTCCACCAAAAATACAAAAATTAGCTGGATGTGGTGGTGCAGCCTGTAATCCTAGCTACTCAGGAGGCTGAGGAATGAGGACTGTTTGAACCTGGAAGGCGGAGGTTGCAGTGAGCCGGGATTGCACCACTGCACTCCAGCCTGGGCCACAGAGCGAGACTCTGTCTCAAAAAAAAAAAAAAAGAAGAAGAAGCATTCTTAGTTTCCAGATACATGAGAGTATTCCAATTTCCTTTTTGTTATTAGTTTCTAGCTTAATTGAAGTGTAGTCAAATTTACTCCTTATGATTTCAATGTTTTAGAGGTTGTTAAGACTTATTTTATTGCGTAGCATGTAGTAAATTTTAATAAATGTTCTTTGTATTCAATTACATGATTCCATCTTGTTTATTGGGTGCAGTGTTCTACAGTTGTCAATAAGGTCAAGTTTGCTAATCATATGCAAATTTTCTATATCCTTCTAACTTTTGACAGCTTGTTCTATCACTTAAGGAGAGAAGTGTTTTAAAGTAAGCCTGTGTGAATATGTCTTTTCTCCTTTTTGTTTCTATTTTTGCTTTATGTACTTTGAGGCTAAATATTGAGTATAAATAAAGTTAGATGTACTTTATCTTTCTAGAATCAAATTTTTTTTCATTATGGAATGTTCCTCTTTATTTAGTAATGCTTTTTTGCTTTGAAGACAATTTTGTCAGTTTTAACTTTCAAACTTTCTGTATTCTTATATCTTACAGTTGTTTCTTGTAAACATACAGTAGGGCTTTGTTGTTTTTTATATAGCCTGACAATCTTTGTCATTTAATTGGAGCATTTAGTCCATTTACATTTAATATAATGTAAATGGTCATTGATTTTTCATCACTTTTTGTTAGTTATTATTTTTATTTAATTCTAACATTAATTATTTGCTTGCAACTTGTTCCTCTGTTTTATGTTCTTCCCCCCCATTCCTTCTTCTCTTCCTTTGAAATGGCTTTTAAAACTGTTAATAGAACTATAATGTATGTACAGAAAAAGGCCTAAATCTTAAGTGCATACCTTGATGAACTTCATCAAGTTAGCTTCATAAGCTGAGCAGACATAAAAGACCACATAAACTGAGCACATGTGTATAACTGAGGCAGGAGAATAGGGAATTAAGGTAGCCAAGGATTGGGTAATAAGCAAAGCAGTTAGGTTGGAGCATAAGCAAAGGAGTAGCAGGTGCAGCCAGTTCACAGAAGCAAGAAAACAGCAGGTGCAGCCAGTTCTAGGCAAGATTGGGCAGCATACAGGCCACCTCTTTACTCCTGTGATAAGACAGAAGTTTCCACTTCGGCCTCTGATTGACTGGTCCAAGCCTCCACTTTAGCCTCTGAATAGTCACAGGGCAATCCTTTATAGGTTGTAACCAATTGGAGGCCTCTAAAAGCACCTAGGGGTGTTGCCAAAGTCCTTTGGCTTCATAAAAACCCCGGGGAGCATTGCGGTGAAGAAGCGCTTGAGCTGCTTGTTTGAGCTTTCTCCCGCTCTGTGAGTTGTACTTTCGCTTCTTCGATAAATCTGTGCCTTTATTACTCTGTTCTTTTGTTGTTTTGTTTGTGCATTTGTTGCTTCTTTTGTTGCTTTGTGTGTTTTGTTTACTCTTTGCACAACACACCAAGAACCTGGACAACTCACAGTCAAGACCTTCTATCCAGTAACATACTTTGGTGGGCCAGCCAGAAGGTAAGCCCAAATTTTGGGATTTGTTTTTCCTTTTCTTTGTCAAAGCTGTCATTTGTGGGCATGAGTTGAACAGATAAAAGCCAGTAGGGTGCCCGTCGCTTGAAGTCTTCTGTGACAGGATAACTTGGTCATAGAACAGGACACTTAGGTCCTGCTGAGATCAAGACAAATTCGTGCAACAGACAGGTTTTTGTTTGTACGGCAAAATGTCTTTGAGGAGGTTAGACCCCTCAGGCCAGGCACGGTGGTTCATGCCTATAATCCCAGTACTTTGATAGGTCGAGGCGGGTGGATCACTTGAGGTCAGGAGTTCGAGACCAGCCTAGCTAACATGGTGAAACCTCATCTCTACTAAAAATTCAAAACTTAACCAGGTGTGGTGGCACATGTCTGTAGTCCCAGCTGCTTGGGAAGCTGAGGCAGAATAGCTTGAACCTGGGGGCAAAGGCTGCAGTGAGCTGAGATGGTGCCACTGCACTCCAAGCTGGGCGACAGAAAGAGACTCTGTCTCAAAAAAAAAAAAAAAAAAAAAAGGAGGTTAGACCCCTCATTTTCTGATTCCTATACTGGTCTTGTTGATGATTTGTCGGGAAGTAGTAGTGCAGAATTACTTTTCCACTTATTTATATTCCTCTTTAAGAGTGGGGAAAGAGACTGCTGTTTCATGAATTCTTTATATTTCTCTTAGAGTGGGGCAAAGGATTCCTGTTTTATGCAGAATTCTGCTTTCATGAGAACCCGGAATTTTTAATGGTTTGTAGGGATAAATCCGAGACTTTATTGTTAATGGTTTTAAGGTACATTGCAAGGTCTCTTGTTTCATGAGGGTTACAGGCTGAAGAAGGATCACATGAGTCCAGGAATTCAAGACCAGACTGGGCAACATGGTGAAACCCCATCTCTATTTTTTTTAAAAAAAGTAAATAATGTAATAAAATAATCATAGGCCAGGTGCGCTGGCTCACTCCTGTAATCCTAGCACTTTGGGAGGCTGAGGTGGGCAGATTACTTAAGGCCAGAAGTTTGAGACCAGCCTGGCTAATGTGGTGAAACCCCGTCTCTACTAAAAATGCAAAAATTAGGCAGGTGTGGTGGTGCATGCCTCTAGTCCCAGCTACTCAGGAGACTGAGGCAGGAGAATTGCTTGAACCTGGGAGGCAGAGGTTGCAGTGAGCCGAGATCATGCCACTGCACTCCATTCTGGGCAACAGAGCAAGACTCTGTCTCAAAAAACAACAAAATAAAATAATTAGAAACATGTTTGTGTCTGTCTCATTTTGCTCAAAATTATTTGTAAAATTAATCCATGTTTGTATTAGTCTGTAAATCTGCCATAGCAAAGTATTAGACTTGGGTGGCTTAAACAATAAAAATTAGTTGTTCTGTAGGCAAGAAGTCCAAAATCAAGGTCTATCAGGGTGGTTTCTGGTTAGGCTTCTCTTCCTGGCTTGCAGACAGCTGCCTTCTTGCTGTGTCCTCAAGTGACCTTTCCTTTGTGTGTGTGCAGAAAGAGATTTCTGGTCTCCTCCTCCTGTAAGGACACCCGTCCTATTGGATTAGGGCCCCATCCTTATGACTTCATTTAAACTTAATTACCTTATTCAGGGTCCTATCCCCAAATACAGTCACACTGGAGGTTAAGGCTTAAACACATACATTTTGGTGGTTGGGTAGTGGTGACATAATTCAGTCCAGTACAATATTATTGCATGTTTGTTACTTTTCATAGCTGTGTAGAAATTCTTCGTGTGCATATACTATACTATGTATATGTATACATGGTATGCATATACTATGTATATGTATGCATGGTATGCATATACTATGTATATGTATGCATGGTATGCATATACTATGTTTTATTTGTGCTACTATCAATGGGTATTTGATCGGTTTCCAGTTTGAGGTTATTATGAATAGTCTTCTGTGAACATTATATGTGTTTTGGGTGAATATTACAGATTTCTGTTTGGTATATACCTAAGAATTGCTAGGTTCATGGAATATTCTTGTTTTCGGCATTACTAGACACTAACAATTTTCCCATAAATCAATTTAGACTCCCACCAGCAGTTACGCAGAGTTCTTTTTCCTCTACATCTTTGTAAATATTTGTTATTACCTGACTTTATTTCTTCATTTTAATCAATTCTGGAGGTTGTGTGGAATATCTCATGATTTTAATTTATATTTCCTTCATAACTAATGAAGTTAATTACCTTTTCTGTGTTTATTGGCCATTTGGATATGATTTGTTGATTTATATTTAAATATAAATTATATTTTATGAGACAGGGTCTTGCTGTGTTGCCCAGGCTGGAGTGCAGTGGTGCAATCACAGCTCATTGCAGCCTTAACCTCTCTGGCACAAACAATTTTCCCACTTCAGCTTCCTGAGTAACTGGGACTACAGGCATGCACCACCATGCCTGGCTGATTTTTTTTCTTTTCTGTAAAGATGGGGATTCACTATATTGCCCAGGCTGATCTTGAACTCCTGGCCTCATGCAATCCTCCCACCTTGGCCTCCCAAAGTGCTGGGATTATAGGCTTCAGTCACCATGCCCGGCCTATTTAATAATTTATATGATTATTGTGAAGTGCTTGTTCAAATCTTTTGTCCAGTATTCCATTGTTTCGTCATTCTGTTATTGATTTGTGGGAGTTTTAAATGTATTCTTGCCACATGAATACAGACTTGTAACTGTAATAGATTTGTTGCCTGATGCATACAACAAGTCAATATGCCAAGACACTGGCTTGCAGCAGAGAAAGAGGTTTAATCATAAGGTCACCAAAGGGCTTGGCGCAGTGGCAGCAGCCTGTAATCCCAGCACTTTGCAAGGCCAAGGCAGGCTGATCACTTGAGGCCAGGAGTTTGATACCAGCCTGGTCTACATAGCGAAACCACCTTTCTACTAAAAATACAAAAATTACCCTGGTGCCATGGTACGTGCCTATCATCCCAGCTACTTGAGAGGCTGAGGCAGGAGAATTGCTTGAACTCAAGAGGCAGAGGTGGCACTGAAATCACACCACTGCGTGCAACTCCATCTCAAAAAAAAAAAAAGTTACCAAACGAGTTAACTTTGGGAGGAAACCTCAAATCCATCTCCCTGAAGGAGTTTGGGGGTAAAGTTTTTAAGGGTTTTGGAGTGGGCCAAAGTGTAGAGATTGTTGATTGGTCAAAGAGGCAGAGTGAAGACATACTGATCCCATTCCTCTGTGGGAGTCTTCTAACTGGTTGATATCAGCTGTTTTACTAGAACTTCAGGCAATCCTTAAACAAAAGCCTTATGATTCTAATGTCAGAGATCCTGTCATAGGAACAGTGGAGATGCAAATAAATTATTAAACAGTTTTATGACCCTACTGTCAGAAATCCTGTCTATAGGAAGAACGGGGATATAAATGGTCAGGAGCTAGTGCTACGTGACTTTTAGCAACAAGGAAGTGAACCAAAGGTCAGCCTGATTAATGCTTAATTAGAACTATATTTCTATCCAGAACCCAGCATTCAATTCTTGTCAACCCTGTGGGGCAGTTTCAGCCTCTGTTGTTGCAAATACCTTCTTATACTCGGTGGTTTTGTTATCGGAAAGGGGTCCTGATCCAGACCCCAAGAGAGGGTTCTTGGATCTTCTCCAAGAAAGAATTCAGGACGAGTCCATAGAGTAAAGTGAAAGCAAGTTAGAGAAGTAAGGAAACAAAAGAATGGGTACTCCATAGTCAGAGCAGCAGCATGGGCTGCTTGACTAAGTTATACTTACGGTTATTTCTTGATTTATTTACTTATTTATTGTTTTTTTTGAGACGTAGTCTTGCTCTTGTCCCCCAGGTTGGAGTGTGATGGCATGATCTCGGCTCACTGCAACCTCCACCTCCTGGGTTCAAGTGATTCTCCTGCCTCGGCCCCCCAAGTAGCTGGGATTACAGGTGCCTGCCACCATGCCCGGCTAATTTTTGTATATTTAGTAGAGATGGGGTTTCACCATGTTGGCCAGGCTGGTCTAGAACTCCTAACCTCAGGTGATCCACCTGCCTCAGCCTCCCAAAGTGCTGGGATTACAGGCGTGAGCCACCGCACCCGGCCTATTTCTTAATTCTTGTTTAGACAAGGGGTGGATTATTCATAAGTTTTCCAGAAAAAGGGCAGGGATTTCCTGGAACTGAGGGTTTCTCCTCTTTTAGATCGTATAGGGTAACTTCTGGACATTGCCATGGCATTTATAAACTGTCATGACGCTGGTGGGAGTGTCTTTTGGCATACTAATGTATTATCGTATAATGAGTAGTGAGGACAACCAGAGGTCACTTTTGCTACCATCTTGGTTTTGGTGGGTTTGGGCTGGCTTCTTTACCGCATTGTTTCATCAGCAGGTTCTTTATGACTTGTATCTTGTGATACCAGTCCTGACCTCCTACTCATCCTGTGACTAAGAATGCCTAACCTAGGAATGCAGCCCAATAGGCCTCATCCTCATTTTTATCTAGGCACTATTCAAGATGGAGTTGCTCTGGTTCCAGTGCTTCTAACAGTTTGGCATTTTACTGTCTTTCAATAAGCAGACATTGTAAATCTTAATAGAGTCCAATTTATTATTTTCCTTTATATAGTTGGCCCATTTTTGGGGTCTTGTTTAAGAAACTTTTGCATACTACAAAGTTGTGAAGATATTTTCTTATGTTTCCTTCAAAAAGCTCTATTGTTTTTTCATTCATATTTAGATCTACTGTCTGGTGGATTTATTTCTTATGTGTGGTGGGAGATAGGGACCAGAATTCTTTTTTTCATATGGACATTCATATAATCCAACACCATATATTTGTTTTTAAGAAACCCACAAAACCTTAGACAAATTTAATTTAACAGATTTTATTTATTTATTTTTTTGATAGAGTCTTGCTCTGCTGTCCAGGCTACAGTGCAGTGGTGCAGTCTCAGCTCACTGCAGCCTTGACCTCCCCAGACTCAGGTGATCCTCCCACCTCAGCCTCCAGAGTAACTGGAACTGCATGTGCTCTCCTCTACCACTAGCTAATTTTTGTATTTTTAGTAGAGATGGGGTTTCACTATGTCACCCAAGCTGCTCTCAAACTCCTGGGTTCAAGCGATCCACACACCTCAGCCTCCCAAAGTGCTGAGATTACAGGCGTGAGCCACCACACCTGGCTAATTTAACAGACTTTAATTGAGCAAAGAATGAGAACCTGGCAGCCTCTTAACAAGAATAACTCCAGAAAGGTTCCAGTGCGGCCTTGAGGTGGAAGATTTATGGACAGAGAAAGGAAAGTGACATATAGAAAACCGAAGTAGGGTACAGAAACAGCTGGATTGGTTACAGCTCAGTAAGTTTGCCTTAGTAGAGCATGGTTTGAACAGTTAGCCACCTTTGATTGGCCGAAACTTGGTTATTGGCACTGGAGTAGGTTACAGTTTATTTATTTATTTACACATCCAGTTAGGTTGCAGTTCACTATGTATGGAGAAGGCTTTAGGCAGAACTTAAAATATGAAAGGAGGCAGCTTTAGGTGAAACTTAATTGAACATATTAAAAGATCTTTTTTCCACATGGTATTAAAACATACCTATTTAGTCTTTGTCCCTAATTCCTGATACAGAGCTACTAAAACCCAAGGAATTTCCTGAGTGATAGGAATATCTTGTTATTCAGAACAAGCCCTTTCTATCACACCTAAGTTTACGCTACTAAGGTGACAGGGTGGAGCCTATAGATAGCATCAGAATGGGGCTGGTCACTAGAAAACCCAGTGATTAGAGTGTTGGAACTTTCAACCCCACCCATCAACCTCCAGGAATGAGGGGAGGTGGAGATTAAGCTATATAAAAACTTTGAGCAATGAGATTTGATAAGCTTCCAGGTTGGTGAATGAATCCACTTGCTGGAGAGTGGTGCACCCCAACTCTGAAACCACCATTGCAAAATTATAACTGAGACAGCAAAAGAGATCTGAGCTAACCAACTCTATCTTGCTTGTAACCTCCAAGCCATCCTTGTTTATTCCTGGGTATAGGTTGAACTAACTTTGGGAATAACTTAGTTTATAGTTTAAAACAAAGACAATAACAGCCCTTTCCCAAAACAAACCCTCTTCTTGCCTTGGGGATAGACTGCCTTTGTATGACTAACAAATTAGCTAAAAGATTAAAAATTACAGTTTAGGAGTCATGCAGCAGGAGGCTACAAGATTCTGACCTTCTCCTGGGGATAACATCTTTATTGTAAGACTAAGATCAGTGCTTGAGATATTTTGCAGACCTTGCACTTGATGGATCAGCTGGCACCACCCAGATCGATAAACTGGCTCATCCAATGTTGTGGCGGTCACACAGGAAGTGACTCAGCGAAAGTGGACAGCGTCTAATTTCTATAATTTCATCTCTGACCTGACCAATCAGCACTCCTGACTTACTGCCCCCACCACCCGACCCACCAAATGAACCTTAAAAACTCTGATCCCCCAGTGCTCGAGGAGACCGATTTGAGTAATAATAGGATTTGAGTAACAACAGCCGGCTGTGCATGAATTACTTTCTCTATTGCAAATCTCCTCTGTCTCTGCAGCAGGCAAGGTGAGCCAGCTGGGTGGTTACAAATCAAGGGTAAGCGCCTGAGGTCAGGACCCTTCCAGGCCTTGCCTGTGTGCTTCTTCATCTGTGATAATAAACCGGCAAACATAAGTAAAGTGTTTCCCTGAGTTCTGTGAGAAATACTAGCAAATTATCAAACCCAAGGAGGGGGCTCATGGAAACCCAAATTTATAGCCAGTCTGTCTGAAGCATGGGTCACAGCCTGGAATTTGTTCTTGGCATCTGAATTGGGGGCAGTCTTGTGGGAGTGAACCTTTCACCTGTGGGATCTGACGCTATCTCTAGGTAGATTATGTCAGAATTGAATTGAAATACAGGACACGAAGATGGTGTCTGCTGGAAAATTCCTTGGTGTGTGTGGGGAAAACCCTCACACATCTGGTACGAAAGTGTTCTGTGTTGTGAGAGTACAGCAAGAGAAAAAGTGTTTTTTTCACCCCAATGTATTGCAGTGTTAATTTTGTTATAAATTAGATGACTAAATATGGGTCTAACTTTATTGGTTTGTCTGTTAGGGTTGATATGTTTTGTTATTCTATTTCTACCCTATGACTTTTTTTTTTTTTTTTGAGATAGTGTCTTGCTCTGTCACCCAGCCTGGAGTGCAGTGGTGCCATTACAGTTCACCGCAGCCTCAGCCTCCCACACTCAAGCAATTCTCCCACCTCAGCCTCCTAAGTAGCTGGGACTACAGGCATGCACCAATGCACCCAGTTAGTTTTTTTGTTTTTTTTTGTAGAGACATTTCAAGAGCCATGTTTCCCAGGCTGGTCTTGAACTCCTGGGCTCAAGTGATCTACCTACCTTGGCCTCCCAAGGTGTTGGGATTGCAGATGTGAGCCACAGCATCAGGCCTGAATCTGTGACTTATTAAAGTCTAACATTATTTGGTAGTTTTACCTCCTTCCTAGGTGTAAGAGAGGAAAGAAACACAAACTGCAGCTCATCAGTAAAGACAGGTTTACTTTAGATAAAATATGAGAGGGGCTTCTAGCTGATTTTTTTTTTTTTTTTTAGTCAGGAGTGCTTTCTCTTACAGACTAAGAGTAGACATTGGTTTTAGGGTGAGGGGGCTTATCACAAGCTTGGAATGTTTCTATGTGAAGGAGAAGGGTTTTTTGTTTTGTTTTGTTTGAGACGGAGTCTAGCTCTGTCACTTTGGGCTGCAGTGCAGTGGAGTAATCTTGGCTCACTGCAACCTCCACCTCCAAGGCCCAAGCGACTCTCCTGCCTCAGCCTCTCATGTAGCTGGGATCACAGGCACCCTCCACCATGCCCAGCCAATTTCTGCATTTCTACCAGAGATGGGGTTTCACCATGTCAGCCAGGGTGGTCTCAAACTCCTGACCTCGTGATCCACCCACCTAGGCCTCTCAAAGTGCCAGGATTACAAGCATGTGTCATCGCGCCCAGTGAAGGAGAAGTTTTATGGCAGGGTTGGAATGTCTCTGGGAAGAGGGGAGTTCATCTTGGGGCAGACATCTTTCTGGTCAGAGGGGGTTATCTCGAGGCTGGCATCTTCCTGGCTGGAAGGGGGTTATCTCAGGGCTAGCATGTCTCTGGTTGGGGAGGAGTTTGGAACGTTTCTGGTTGGAGATGTTATTTGTGGTTTATGGTCATGTTGACCTTAGCCATTAGGCTGATGCCCTTTGGATTTAGGTGGTTTTTTATTAAGGTGAACTTTAGAATGAGGGGCTTGTCCAAGATGGCAATGCTCCTGCTCTGTCACCAGGAATGCAAGGAACTTGCATTCAACTAACTTCATTTATTAGCCTCCTCAACTTAGATGCAATTTTTAAAAATGTATTTTAGTTTTGTATATACTTTAAACCTCATGAGATATTGTTGTGGTGGTGGTTGTTTTAGCGGTTAAGAGTCAATTTGACTATTTGATTCATCCCTATATTTGCTTATATTGTTGCTCTTTAATCTTTCCTGTATCTCTGTGCTTTCATCTGGTATCTTTCCCCATTTGCCTGAAGAATACAAAATTTCCTTTGAATCAAATCTGCTATTAATTGATTCTTTTAAATTTATTCTTCTCTCTTTCTTTTTCTTTCTTTCTCTCTCCCTCTTTCTCTCTCCCTCTTTCTCTCTCTCCCTCTTTCTCTCTCTCCCTCTTTCTCTCTCTCCCTCTTTCTCTCTCTCCCTCTTTCTCTCTCTCCCTCTTTCTCTCTCTCCCTCTTTCTCTCTCTCCCTCTTTCTCTCTCTCCCTCTTTCTCTCTCTCCCTCTTTCTCTCTCTCCCTCTTTCTCTCTCTCCCTCTTTCTCTCTCTCCCTCTTTCTCTCTCTCCCTCTTTCTCTCTCTCCCTCTTTCTCTCTCTCCCTCTTTCTCTCTCTCCCTCTTTCTCTCTCTCCCTCTTTCTCTCTCTCCCTCTTTCTCTCTCTCCCTCTTTCTCTCTCTCCCTCTTTAAATAGAGACAGGGATCTTACTATGTTGCCCAGGATGGTCTTGAATTCCTGGTCCCAAGAAATCCTCCTGCCTCAGCCTCCCAAAGTGTTGGGGTTGCAGGTGTGAGCCATCACACCTGGCCAATTCTCTTAATTTTCATTTGTCTTTTTTTTTTTTAAGAGATGGGGTCTCACTATGTTGCCCAGACTCAATTTTGAAAATGTTTTTATTTTAAAAAAAGCTTTTTATTTCATCTTCCATCTTGAAGTGTATCTCTGCTGGGTGTAGGATTTCAGTGTTCTAATATTGTATTTTGAGCTCCATTGTTTTGTTCAGACTTTACATGTCATTCTAATTATTGCTCCTTTGAAGGAAATCTGCTTTCCTAAGATATTCATTGTGTTTGAGTTTATGATTTGTCTGGAAGTGGTTTTCTTTTTTTTTTTTTTTCATTCTGTTGGGCATTTGTAAGAATTATTGCATATGTGGCTTGATGTCTTTAATCAGTTTTGGAAAATTCTCAGGCATTATCTCTTCAAATATTGTTTCTGCACCAATTCTCTCTCCTCTCTGTGTGGGACTCCATTTACATATATGCCAGGCCTTCGCATTGTATTGCCTGCCTTCTATATTTTACTTATTTTTGACTCTCCATGCTTTATTCTGATTTTTTTTCAGATCTGTTTTTTAATGCATTTCTTCTCTCCTCAGCTTTGTCTAATCTGCTGTTAATTCCACACACTGAGTTCTTATTTGTTGGTTGTGGTGTTTTTTTATATCTAGAATTTCCATTTGGTTATTTTTTATGGTTTCCAGTTATTTGCTGAAGTTCTGGGGGAATACAAATACTTGCTCAGTGTATTCATGAGCAGGTAGACTCTTTTGCTCTGGGACTGGCTTTGGAACCACTTAAGGAGCTGCCGGAACCTATTGTAACATGGACGGTGCCCTATGAATGCTCTCTATTGATCAACAAAGAACTTCTTAGTTTATGGATGGCAGTTCGAAAGTGAACGGACAGCATTCTGCTCAAAAGGCTGCCACTCTGATTTAAAAAGTAAAAAGAAATTAACTCATCAAACTGAATTGCATACTGTTTGCCCCAGTGTTTTACTGACTCATGAGCAGTGGTCAATGTCCTGGCCTTATGGTCAGGCAGAAGAGCAATGGAAAAGTGGCCTCTTAAAGAGATGCCCATATGGGGCCCACCTCTATGGAAACCACTAGGGGGAACTTGAGGGATGCATTAAAGTAGAACATGTTGATGCCCATCTTAGTGTTTGGGTCATAATTTATAAAGGTGACTGAGTAACAGCACCTAGAGGCTAGTTTCACTGAAAGAAGATTTTTATTCACATTTCCTGAGAGGAGGGTCATGTTACACCATTCTGGACCACATAGGGAAGCACCAGTATTGATCAGGAGGCAGAAAGGAGTGAGGGGAAGGCATAGACCACAGGCAATATTGGGGTTTCCATGAGAAAGGCAAGACAGGGTAAAGTAAACAGCTTAGGATTGGCTAGTTTGAATAATTCCAGTGGGTTTTGGGGTATTTGGGATTTTCCTAGTTGTTTGGTACCTAGTTCAGTGTTGGTTTAGGATTGGGAAATATTGGCTTGGGGTGTGAGCATCAGATGAGGAGGATGATCAGCGTATGAATTCGTAAACAACTTGGCCATTAGTTTGGTCCTATAATTAATGAGTGCTAAATAGACAAATGTGGGATCTAAAAACACTCAGTGAGATGCGAAATATCAAAAGAAGTCCCTTCAGGATAAGAAGGTCATTGGTGTCAGTGAGTGGATATCTTGATATGTTCACTTGAGGTGATCACCTGGGTCATGAAACAAGTAGACATTGTGGGGTGGGGGCTGTAGCAATGCAAAGATGGGCTAAATTTAGGCATATTCCTTTTGCACCCTCTGAGGTGCAAAATGCCAGTAAGTACAGTTCTGTCTGCCAACAAGAGAGACAGACTCAGATGGCTATGGGACAGATTCCCTGGGGGGAAGGCCCAGCACATAGCTGGCAAGTGGGAGTGATGCTGGTAGCACTAGAGGCTATAAATGGGTCCTTAAAGTAATAGATGTACACGCTGGACTGGGTTTTGCATACCCAGTGGTAGATGCAAATGCTCAGATACTATAAAAGAACTGGAACAGAAGATACTACACCAATTTGGGTGGTTGAGTCACATTTATTCAGACCAAGGGACACAGTTTCAGCATGTAATGTCCAATAACGGACACAGAGATGTCCTCCTTAGAATAATAGTTTAATAGAGAATTGGAATGGGCATTTAAAACATTGGTTGGCCAAAATGGAGGGAGATATAGGCATGAAGGGCTGATTTACATGCCTTCATGAGTGTATGCTCACACCTAACATCAGAGTGCCAAGCCAGTGCCCCACTAGCTAGAATCCTCTGCTATTTTTGTGGATCTGAAGATGAGGGGGTGGGAGATATGCTGGTATAACTATGCAGTTCTTCCCACGAAAGGAATGTGCTGGTATGACTATACTTTTTTCTTTCTTCCCTATAGGATCTTAACTGCTTTTTTTATTTTTAATTTTTTAAAATAAAAATAGAGACAAGGTCTCACTATGTTGCCCAGGCTGGTCTTGAACTTCTGAGCTCAAGTGATCCGCCCACCTCAGTCTCCCAAACTGTTGGGATTATAGGCATGAGCCACCGTGCCCAGCCTCATCTCAACTTCTTTTTCCTACCTAATGCAGTGGTCCCAGGCACAGGGCTGTAACAAGTGCTGGAAGCAAAGATAATTCCTAAGCAAGAAACCATAACCATAATTTTAAACCTTTATGTCAGAATTCCTAAGGGCCTCAGGGAGCAGGTTGTATCTTGATCCCAGGTAGCAAAGCTGGGGTTAATAGTGGATGTAGCTACGTTGCTTAATGGTAGAAATAGCTGAGTTCTGTACCTTTTATAACCCTATCCTAGATGAGATGAGATGAATGACAGTGAACTGAGGAAGGCACTTGCTAGACTAGTATTGCTGCCTGCAATCTAAACCAGCACTGTAGCTAAAGCTAACCTCCCTTCCAAAGATGGAAAAGTTAGGGCATAAATAGAAGTAGGAATAGTAGCTGTGAGTAAAGGAATGGATAAATGTGTTATGCAATGAGGGAAGATTCAATATTTCATTAATACTTTGAAAGAAGCTCCAAGTAAGAGATGACGTTGTCTCTTAGCTCACTTATACAAGATGCCTGAAAGGGTGAAATCATATATTGCTGAGACCACCCCTCTTTATGGAACCATGCAAGATAAAATAGAAGCTTGCAAACCTGAGCAAACTTACCCTGGGAGACATTTGGTCATACAATATGATGACTGGACTAATCAGTAACTGAATGGGACTCTAGCAAAGTTCCAAATATCATTTTTTATTTTTCAGGTTGCATCTACCACAGTGTGATAATGATATAACACTGGTATTGTTCACAGGATTATAATACTGATGTTGATGGTCAAATGTATAAGGAAATTGAATTAAAAGCCTCCTATCCCTATCCTACACTGGTGCCTCCAAATGTTAGGCATATTCATGTTGGTACTGTGGCTGTGTAAGAGGCATTCAAACCAGAGTGACTCCATGTTGAATAGGGACTGGGTAAAATAAGGCTGAGACCGACTGGGCTGCATTCCCAGGAGGTTAGGCATTCTAAGTCACAGGATAAGATAGGAGGTTGGTACAAGGGACAGGTCACAAAGACCTTGCTGATAAAACAGGCTGTGGAAAAGAAGCCGGCTAAAACCCACCACAGACAAGGTGGCAATAAAAATGACCTCTGGTCGTTGTCACTGCTCATTTATGTGAATTATAATGCATTTGCATGCTAAAAGACACTCCCACGAGCACCATGACAGTTTACAAATGCCATGGTGACGTCAGGAACATACCTTATGTGGTTTAAAAAGGGGAGGAACCTTCGGTTCCGGAAATTGCCCACCCCTTTCCCAGTAAACTCATGAATAATCCACCCCTTTTTTAGCATATAATCAAGAAATCACCATAAAAATAGCCAATCAGCAGCCCTCAGGGCTACTATGCCTATAGAGTAGCCATTCTTTATTCTTCTACTTTAATAAACTTGCTTTCAATTTTCTCTGTGGACTGGCCTGAATTGTCTCTTGCACAAGATCCAAGAACCCTCTCTTGGGGTCTGGATCAGGACCCTTTTCTGGTAACAGTGGTATATGTTATATTAATGCTACACCAAATGTAGGTGCTCAGATAGGTTTGATGGTTTTGCTATAAGATAGCCATAACCAATGACCAGAGGGTAGCCTGTTGTATGATAAAGAATTTGTCTTTGTCCCAGGTTTCTGGCTTCTAAAACCCTGGGCATTTCCCAAGTGATCAGAGTGTCTTTGTTATTCATGGACCCCTTGGAGCACACCTGAGTTTATGCTAATGAGGTGACACGTGGTGGGCCTCTAGTTAGCTTCAGGACAGGGCCTGTCATGGTTTAAGCCATGTCATATGAGCCTGACCTCCCAACCTCCAGGAATGGAATAGAGCCTGGAGATTGAATTCGATCATGTGGCTAATGATTCAATCAATCATACCTATGTAATGAAACCCCAATAAAAACTCTGCTCACTGAGCTCTGAGGAACTTCCTGGTCAGTGAACACGTTGATGTGCCAGGAGGATGACACACTCTGACTCTGTGGGGAGAGGGCACAGAAGCTCTGTTTGGGACCCTCCCAGACCTCACTCTGTAAGTCTCTTCGTTTGGCTGATCGTGACTTGTATTCTTTATCATAAAATTGCAGCTATGACTATAGGGCTTTCCTGAGTTCTGTGAGTTGTTCTAGTGAATTGTCCAACATGAGGGGGTCATAGGAACCCCCAACTTTGTAGCCAGTTAATCAGAAGTGCAGGTGGCCCTTGAAGTGTGGCTGGCATCTGAGGTAAGGAAGGTCTTGTTGGGGAGCAACTGTGCCTTTAACCTGTAGAGTTTAAGGCTAATTCCATATTGTTAGCATCAGCATTGTACAGGTGCTTCTCAACTTACAATGGGGTTGTGTCCCAATAAACCCATTGTAAATTGAAAATATTATAAGTCAAAAATGCATTTTAAAAAATTAGCTGGGCATGGTGGTACATGCCTGTAGTCCCAGCTACTTGGGAGGCTGAGGTAGGAGAATTACTTGAGCTCAGGAGTTTAGGACTGCAGTGAGCCCTGATGGAGCCACTGGACTCTAGCCTGGGTGACAGAATGAGACCACCTCTTAAAAAAAAAAAAAAAGAGAATACATTTGACACACCTAACCTACCAAACATCATAGCTTAGTCTAGCCTACCTTAAACATGCTTGGAGCACTTACATTAGCCTACAGTTGGGCAAAATCATCCAACACAAAGCCTATTTTATAATGAGGTGTTGAATATCTCATGATATAATTTATTGAATCCTGTACTCAAAGTGAAAAATAAAATGGTTGTATGTACTCAAAGTGGGATTTCTACTGAATGTGTATTATCTTTGCACCATTGTGAAGTTGAAAAATTGTTAAGTTGAACCATAGAAGGTCAGGGACCATCTGTATTTTGGAACAATAACTGGTGTCAGAAAAGACTCCAATTATTTATCCTTAGCCCCAAAAGGCTGTCAAATACTCTGCTTAGCTTCTCAGTCTTTCTAATGCCTCTTCTAGACTCATCTGATGCCCGCTGGGGAAAGGTAACACTAAATACTGAGATTCATTCCCTAGGTTTTCTTCTGAATTTTGGTCCTATAATTTTTCACTGGCTTGTTAGCTCTTGAGTCCTTCAATCAGATGTTCTTCATATTCTGCCCAGATTTTCAAATTGTCCTTAGTAGAAAGTTTGGTCTGAGTTATCCAGTCTACTATTAATAGAAACACAAATCCCTCTTCTCAGTGACTTATTTTTCATTGTGGTTATATATACATAAAACATAAATTTTGTCATTTAAATCATTTTAAAGGCCAACATGGTGGCTCACACCTGTAATCTCAGCACTTTGGGAGGCCTAGGCAGGTAGAATGTTTGAGCCCAGAAATTCAAGGCCAGCCTAGGCAACATGATACCCTGTATCTACAAAAAATATAAAAATTAGCCAGGTATGGAGGTGTGCACCTGTAGTCCCAGCTACTCCCAACTACCTGGGAGGCTGAGGTGTGCTGTAGTGAGCTGTGATTACACTACTGCACTTCAGCCTGGGTGACAGAGTGAGCACCTGTCTCAAAAAAAAAATCATTTTAAAGTATACAGTTCGGTGGCATTTAATACATCCTCAGTGCTGTGCAACAACCACCACTCTCTATTTCCAGAACATTTTCATCACCCCAAAAGGAAACTCCATACTCATTAAGCAGTGACTTCCCATTCCCTCTCTCCTCAGCCCCTGGCAACCACTAATCTGTTTTCTGTCTTTATGGATTTGCCTATTCTGGGTATTCATATAAATGGAATCATATAGTGTATGGCCTTTTGTGTCTGGCTTCTTTCACTTAGCGTGTTTTCAAGGTCATTGATTTTTTTTTTTTTATATGTGCTGTTTTCTTTGTCTAAATATTCTACAGTTACTGTTTTGATTTCTTCTTTGACTCAAAGCATTTAGGAGATTGTTTTTACATGTTCTATTTTTATTACTTTCAGTTTTGGTGCACTGTAGTCAGAATATGACTGCTTCTGTTTCAATTTTTTGTAAATTTTCTTTGTGGCCTGTTGTACTATCAAATTTTGAAATATCTCATGGGAACTTGAGAATAAGATATAGTTTCTATATTCAGAATATAGACTTAAATACTCTTTACCTGTCCGGCAAGCTAGTTAACTAGCTATCATCTATTATCAATCTTATTAAAAATATCATTCAAAATCTCAATTATGTTTCCTCTATTTGATTCGCCATCGTCTGAGAGGTGAGTTAAAGCACCTTGTTGCAGTTGATTTCTGTGCTTAGTTGAGTATTGCATCCTGTAAATAAACCCTTATAATTTTTATATTTTTACTTTATGTATTTCAGTGCTATTAACTTATTGTAATATATATTTGCTTGCATGCAGCCTGTCATTGACAAAACTCTTGCCTACTTTTTGTTTGGATTTGCCTGGAATATGTTTACTCCTTCATTAATTTCAACCTTTGTGGGTTCTGTTGTTTTAGGTATATCTCTCATTGATAACATATCAATGCCTCCCATTTTACATTCAAAAGTGAGTTTATATCAGTTTTATTCAAGCCTATAACAGACAGGTTTAGTCTACTTCTGTCATATTTTTGTATTCTCAGCTTTGGTTTCTATGTGATCTGTTTTTGTTTGTTGCTTTCAAATATGGAACGTATTCAAGCTGTTTTTTAGTTCTACTGGTAGATATCTTTGTGATTGTAAATAATATGTTTAGGCCAGGCACAGTGGCTTATGCCTATAATTCCAGCACTTTGGGAGACCAAGGCAGGTGGATCACTTGAGTCCAGGAGTTCAAGACCAACCTGGGCAACCTAATAAGAATCCATTTCTACAAAAATTTAAAAATTATCTGGTTGTGATGGCATGTGCCTGTGGTGCCCAGCTACTCAGAAGGCTAAAGTAAGAGAACTGCTTGAGCCTGGGAGGTTGAGGCTGCAGTGAGCTATGATTGCATCACTGCACTCTAGCCTGTGTGACAGAGTTAGACCCTGTCTCCAGAAAACAAACAAATAAATAAAAATAATATATTCAATCAGTATTTCTCAATTTATAATCTTCAAAAAAGAAACAGTACCATTTATTCCCTCTTAAAAAAAAAAAAAAAAACGGAAATTGGCGATTTAAAAAAATCACCCTTGCAGCAGCCACTGTGGAAAACGGTGTGGTGATTCTTCAAGAAATTAAACATAGACCAGGCACAACAGTGCACGCCCGTAGTCCTAGCTACTCGGGAGGCTGTGGTGAGAGGATCACTTGAGCTCAGGAGTTCAAGGCTGCAGGGAGGTGTGATCGTAGCCAGGGCATTACACCTGGGTGACAGAGTGAGACCCCATCTCTAAATAAATAACTAAAATTTTAAAAAGGAGATTAAACATAGAATTATCATATGATTCAGCAATTCTACTCAAAAGAAGTGAAAGCAGGGACTTATGTATTTGCACACCCATGTTCATAGCAGCATTATTTACAACAGTCGAAAGATGGAAGCAACCCAAGTGCCCATTAACAGATGAGTGGATTAACAAATGCTGTGTGTGTGTGTGTGTGTGTGTGTATATATATATATATATATATATATATATATATATATATATGAAATGAAATACTCAGCCTTAAAAGAGGAGGAAATTCCCATAAATGCTACAACATGAATGAACCTTGAGGACGTTATGCTAAGTGAAATAAGACACACACACACACACACACACACATACACACACACACACACACTGTATGATTCCCCTTATTTGAGATATCTAGAATAGTCAAAAATCATAGAGACAAAAAGTAGAATGGTTGTTGCCAGGGGTTAAGGAAAGAGAATGGGGAGTTAGTGTTTAGTGGGTATAGAGTTTCAGTTTGGGAAGATAAAAGTTCTGGAGATAAATGGTGGTGATCATTGTGCAGCAGTGTGAATGTACTTAACACCACAGAACTGGTCAATTTGGCCAGGCATGTTGGCTCACACCTGTAACCCCAGCACTTTGGGAGGCCATAGTAGGAGGATTGCTTGAATCTAGGAGTTTGAGACCAGCCTGAGCAACATAGAAAGACCCAATCTCTACAAAAAATTTAAAAATTAGCTGGGCATAGTGGTGAACATCTGTAGTCCCAGCTACTTGGGAGGCTGAGGTGGGAGGATTGCTCAAGTCTGAGAGGTTGAGGCTGCAGTGAGCCGTGATTGCATCACTGCATTCCAGTCTAGGTGACAGAGCAAGACCCTATCTCCAAAAAAGAGTAAATCTGATGTTATATATATTTTGCTACCATAAAAACAAACAAGCAAACACCAATCTCCTTTTCCTTCCATTCCTTCTTTAATTATAGTTTTAGGAATTTCCCCCATATGTTCTATTATCAACAACAGCAATGATTAACAAAGAAACATTTTGTAGAGTGTTTTTTTTCCCACAATAACTATAACGATTATATTATTTTCCAGTAAATGTGATCATTACGGTTATATAGGCTTTCATGTTCAAACACATTTAATGCTTACCACCAGCCTGTTTATACCTCAGTTTTCTCCTATGTCAGTTCTAAATTTGGATTCATCATCTGTCTCTAACATGTCCTCAAGTAGAGTGATATATTTCCTGGTGAAATAATGATGAGAAGCTATGTCTTACGTAATGTCTTTAGAGGAAGACCTTCAGGTCTCAGTGGTAACAGCTCCTCCCCTGTGGCTGCAGGCTATGGGATTGTAGCACCATCCTCTTGGTTTCCCTTAACTCTTGCCTATACCTCGTCAATAATCCCTTTACTAAACTCTCTTCCATTACCAAGCTTGTGAGTGGCTTGTTTCCAGCTGGGACTATGACTGATACAGCCTCTGCCGCCTCTGCTCTCCAAGCACCCCTTCCTTCCTATCTCCTCTCCCTCTCTTTCTTTTCCTTTTTCCATCTTCCACTCTTATCCCTCCTTATTCTTTTCCTCCTCCTCCCTTTTGGAGTGAGGTGACATGTGGGCTATGTAGGTTAGCATATCACGCTCCGCATCTGGCCCCTGGCTGCCCTTGTCCCTGGGTGGTCAAGAACAGAGTATTCCTTCTTTCTGAGCTGCTCAGTGTTCTGGCTGCTTTTCAGAATGTGCAGCCCATCCCCCAGCCTCTCAGAAGCCCCACCCCAGCCAGCAGCCTGACAGAGCTCACAATTCTGTTTTAAGCTTACTCCCTTACAACTAGTTTTATTTCCTAGTCTGACATCTTGGGAGGATGGGTGAGACCAAATCTGTTACATCAGTGTCTAGATGGAGCATTCGCTAGTTCAGGCCAAGACATTATGAGTTTCATTTTTATGGCTCTCCCAATCCTTGTGTGTGCAGATTTTATTGTGTTAGGAGTTAAAAATGTAATAAGCAAGGAGAAAAAAAAAATTAAGTCACTTCAGCTAAAGACTACAGCCTAACAAAATCCTTAACAGACGCTTGTTAGTCCTGTTGCTGGGAAGTATTTGTCCAGCAGACCTGGAACAGTTTAAAAAAGGAGTGGGGGTTTGGTTAACATTAAAGAAACACAAAGATTTTTCATCTGGCTCTGGGGGAGACCAGAGCCACAGAGGGAACAAGAAAAGAAAGAGGGGATTGAACATTTTTGCAAACAAATGATAAAACTGCCTTTTAAAGAAGGAGGGGGGATCCCTTGTCCAAACAAGACTTCTGCCAGGGTAGGAAATCATTTCTGCAATTGTTTACAATGCTCAGGCAGCCGGTCCTAAGTCAACATGGCCTGGGAGCGTTGCCCTGGAGCCTCCTGCCTTTGCCAGCCGCCTGCCATCTCGAGCTCAGCTATTTCTGGGACTTAGCTCCCTCCCTTGAAAAACAAACCGTGGCCCTCACTGTCATACCCAATAAACCCCCCAGTTTGTGCAGCCTTAATCATGTTTTCCAGAAGAGTTCTCCAACTGACGGCCTGGATGCAATGTGTTGGGCTCAGGAGAGCCAGTATGTGTGGGGGAAGGGAAGCTCTCATTTGTGGATGCCAAGATGGAAATTTCCATTGCAGTACAAGATGGCTTCACCTGTGGCCAAGGAAACCTACTTCATCTCAAAGAGGAGAACTTGGCTAATGAACAGCCTGAAATTTATGTCCTTTCTTACAGTTTGTTCCATAAACCCAGAGCAAAGTTTGCTTTTACTAAAAAGCACCATAATTACTAGTCATAACCCTTCACATCTGGTTGTCACTTAGTGTAGAAGTCTTTTCACTTCTGTTATCTCATTTGTTCTCCACCATGAGAAAGGCATTATTAGTCCCATTTATTTACCTTTTTTGAAAAAAAAAAAAAAAAAAAAAAAAGATGAGATCTCACTATGTTTCTCAGGCTGGTCTTGAGCTCCTAAGCTCAAGTGATCCTCCTGTCTTGGCCTCTCAAAGTGCTAGGATTACAGGTGTGGACCACTGTACCCAGTCAATCCCATTTATTTAATTAATCCATCTATTTGTCTCCTTATTTGGTGTTAATAATACAGTCATGTGGCTTGAAAATTTTAAATTCCAGTGAAAAGATGTCTTCTCTTCTACTCTTCCACAATTCTTCTGGTCTCTATCTGCCCACAGGTAACCACTACTGTTCATTTTTCTGTGTATCTCTCCAGAGATGCTTTATGTATATCTAAGCAACTTGGGGTGGTACAAGGAGAAAGAGTATTGCAGAGAGACAGAAAAGTCCCAGGCACTAGGCCTAGCTCTGTCTCCAGTTGGCTGTTTGACATTGTGCATGCTACTTTCCCTCTCTGAACCTCACTTACCTCACTTACGTCATCTGTGAAAATGAGAATAAAAGCTAACATTCATTAGGCTTATATGTGCCTGCCACTGTGATAAGTGTTTTTATATGTGTTAGTTGAATTAAGCTCGCTACAGTCCTATAAGGAGGCACTGTAAGTCCCATTTATCCATGACAAACTGAGGCACAGAGAAATTAAATATCTTGCCCAGGTCCTAGTTAATTAGAGGGAGAGCCTGGGTTTTATGAAGCTAGGTAGTCTAACAGTAGAGCTCATTCACCACTTAAACCCCTGCGCTATATACGGCCACTCATTTATGATACTGGCACTACCAAATGATGGCTTGAAACAGGAGGCTGCCCCAGAGTGGTTCCTCCCAATTTAGGTATCTAAAATCCTATGTCCAGTTCCCATAAAACCCTGGCCAGGCAGCTCTGAGTCACTCAGCCCCATTCAGATGGGATGGTGACAGCTGGCAAAGAGCAGCAGACAGCAGGGCAAGGCTCAGGCATGAACCCTGATGTCAGACCAGTGCTTCCCCCTGTGTCCCTCCAGGGGAATCAGGACAACTCCTTAATAAGAATTTCTTATTTTTTATCAGAGGTAGTAACGCACGTAATTTAAAAAGCCAACTCATATTCAGAGACAAAAGACAGCAGCCCAGAACAAACACTTTTAACTCCTTTGGTTAGTTCTGTATATATTTATCTCCCTTATTCTTGTCAACCTTAAATAATATTCAGAAAGTATGATTAAATATAGAGTTCATTTGAGCCCAAAGCTTGAGGATGGCCACCCAGGAACATGGATTCAAGTTGCCCTGAATATACATTCTAATTAGCAGCACCTACAAATGGGTTTTTAAAGGGAAAAAAAGAAGAGGCAGTTCCTAAGTTGTTTAACAAGAATTTACATTAAAGTAACATAAGCTATTAATTGGTTATACATTGTTCTTTGTATCACAAATTCTAGGAACATGAAGATAATGGGTGAGGCCAGCTAGTCAGGAACAAAATGCCTTTAAACAATTGCCCCCAGGGCATGGGCGGGATGCAGAGGTGGGGGTGAGGGATGAGAGTAGGGGCCTGACTGAAGTCCCAGGTCTCTCTGAGCCAAGTAAATTTTGCATACCTCTCATAGCTTACAGCAGTCTGAGCTATTTTTCTTTTTTCATTCTAAACCTAGATAGTAAATATTTTCAGCTTTGTGAGCCATACAATCTTTGTTGCAATTTCTCAACTGCCTTATATCTAGAAAGCAGTCAGGCAATATATACATAAATGGACATGGCCATCTTCCAATACAACCTTATTTACAAAAACAGATTTTTAAAGCAAAAACAGATTTGACCTGTTGATGCGGGATTTTTCTCGGTCACTTTGCCAGCCAGAGACCTCCAGCCAGCAATACCCCTGGCCCAGGCCTTGCTCGGGCCTGGGTTCACCACAGGAGAGGCCCCATCTACTGCTGGGCTATGCCTGGCTTGCACTCCAGTGTGGGTGCTGTGTCTGCTGTGACTGTGCTGGCAGGAGGGGATGTGTGAGCCAGTGACAGCAGGGTCCAGCCAGCTGTTCTAAGAGCCGGCACAGGAGTGGGATCCATGCAGGGCTTGTGGCTGAACCAGGTGTGTCACAAGCGACTCCTGTGGTAGACTCTGGTGTCCAGACGAGGGGAATGTGGTGGCACCCAAGCAGCGGTGCCCTGGACCCTGAAGCCCAGAGGGTGTGTTACAGTGTGCTAATTAGCTCTTTTAGTCCCATTTTCCGTGGCCCAATGGATGGCAGTGTGTTAACAGCTCTGTCAGCCCCGTTGACCCGCTCCAGCCCGTGGCTCGGCCTTGCTGCTGCTTCCTATTGTTTAGGGCAGCTGCCTTCTGCTGGCAGAGGGCAGAAGGCCACAGTGTTACAGCCTTCTTTGTACCTGCATTCAGTGGGTCCTGAGTTCTTGTTTCACATCCAAGAATAATGAGGTTATGCTGACAAAGGGTGAGGAGGGCAGAGAAGAATTTTATTGAGCAATGAAAACAGCTCTCAGCAGAGCAGGGACACAAGGTTGGTCCCCCACTTGAAATCAGGTGGTCTTTCAATCAATGTGGCTGGGTCTGAGGCTTTTATGGGCCCAGAATGGGAGAGTGCATGCTGATTGGTTTGTGAGTACGCAAGAAAGCCTAAAACGAAGGTACCACTCAAAGGTGGGCATGACGGTGTAAAATCCCAATTGAGGAAGGGTAGATACATGTAAAATAGGTGAAGGGTAGGGATCAATCAGGGGAAAGCACACCAAATGGGAAGAGAGGTTCTCAATCTGGTCCAAGGATTTACCCAGGACTTGTAGCTAGGGTTCAAACAGTCTTTGGCTTGAAGGTCAGGTTTCACTGGGGACCCACCTCTGTCTGACTAGGATTTGTCTGCTTCCTGTTGCTAATCACTGTGGGATGTAGTTTACTGATATCTGTTGTAAATTCTTAAATTTCTGTTTCTTAATTTATAAATTTTAATTAATTTTCTATTGTGGTCAATAAAAATTTCTTTTTCTTCATTTCTATTTTTATTTTTTGAGACAGGGTCTCACTCTGTCACCCAGCTGGGTGACAATCATTACTGACTGCCTGGAGTGCAGTGGCACAATAATGGCTCACTGTGGCTTCAACATCCTGGGCTCAGGTGATCCTCCTACCTCAGCCTCCCGAGTAGCTGGGACTACAGGTGTGCACCACCACGCCTGGCTAATTTTTTGTATTTGTTTTTGTAGAGATAGGGTTTCACCATATTTCCCAGGCTGATCTCAAACTCTTGGGCTCAAGCAATTCTCCTGCCTCTATCTCCTGAAGTGCTAGAATTATAGGCATGAGCCATTGTGCCTGGCCCCCAAGAATTTACCTTTCTTAAACAGCTCTCCTCTCTGCAGTTGTTTACCCTCCCAACTCATCCTAATAGAGTTATATTGTAATTATCAGTTACATTAATATTCAATGTTTATATTATGACTAGGTAAATACTGTTCTCTGTTGAGCCAAACAATATACCATCTCCTTTCTCATACGGCCTTTGTTTTTACCTGGAGTTAACTATTTCATTCTTTTTTTTTTTTTTTCATTTGCATGGTGTATTTGACTTTCAACAGCCTCTCTCAGAATTTTCTACATGGTTTAACACCTCTTTTTTCCAGTGCTACTGTTTTGCTGGAGGAGGCCCTCCTACAGCCTTCCAGACTGCCACTCCAGTGTAGACTGGGATTCCCTGGGCCTGGGCTTATCTCTTATCCTAAAACTTTCTTTCTCCACTATCCTGGAAATCTACTGGATCTCTTCTCTATATTGGATCTCTTTTTCCTAGATCCCATGTCCTCCTCTGATTTACTTCCTCATTTTCCTTAATCCACTATCATTTTTTTTTTTTTTTTTATGGAGTCACACTCTGTCACCCAGGCTGGAGTGCAATGGCACGATCTCTGCTCATTGCAACCTCTGCCTCCTGGGTTCAAGTGATTCTCCTGCCTCAGCCTCCCAAGTAGCTGGGATTACAGGCATCTGCCACCACGCCCGGCTAACTTTTTGTATTTTTAGTAGAGATGGGGCTTCACCATGTTGGCCAGGCTGGTCTTAAACTCCTGACCTCAGGTGATCCACTTGCCTTGACCTCCCAAAGTGCTGGGATTAAAGGTGTGAACCACCGCACCCAGCCCACTATCACTCTTGAATGATAGTTTTGGAAGGGCTAGTATTCTAGACAGGAAATAATTTTTTCCCCAATATTTTGAAGCATATAAGTTGTTAGAAGTCTGATATGTTTTAAATTCTTAATCCTTTATATGCAATCTGTTTTTCTTCTCTAGAAGTTTTTATAATCTTCTCTTTATTCCTAATGTTCTGAAATTTCAGCATGATGTTGTCAGAGGCATTTGAACCAGAGCAACTCCATCTTGAATAGGGCTTGGGTAAAAGAAGTCTGAGACATATTGGGCTGCATTCCCAGGAGGTTAGGCATTCTAAGTCACAGGATGAGATAGGAGTTCGGCACAAGATACAGGTCATAAAGATCTTGCTGATAAAACAGGTTGTGTAAAGAAGTCGGCCAAAACCCACTGATACCAAGATGGCAATAAAAATGACCTCTTTTTTTTTAAGCCTCATATTCATTTTCTGTATTACCTTGTGCCTCTAGTTACTGAGCCTTTTTGAGTTTCTGCAGGGTAAGTTGACTTGCTTCACATGGTATCACCCATGCACAGTCTATTAAGAGTCAGCCGCTTCTAGTCTGATAAGACACCCTGGATGTCTATCGACTTTTCATCCTCCTAGCGCATGTTGACGACTCTTTCCCCCATTGTTTCCATTCTTGTCCTCTTTGTCCTTGTGAACTTAGTTTGTTCCTATTGCAGTGCCCCCAATTGGTCTTTGTTTCTATCCTTGTTCAATCTTTGTCCTTTTACAGTGTATTTTCCACAGAGAAGCAAAGGGGTCTTTAAAAATGTAAGTCACAAATTCAGAACATTTGTGGACATTCCATAGGACAACTGCACTAACCTCTTTAATAGTCAACAGCATGAAAACACAAGGCAAAGGGATAGGTAGGGACTCTCCTACTACATTAAAAAATATTTAGGAGGCAGGCCAGGTGTGGTGGCTTACACCTGCAATCCCAGCACTTTAGGGGGCCAAGGTGGGTGGATCACAAGGTCAGGAGATTGAGACCATCCTGTCTAACACTGTGAAACCCTGTCTCTACTAAAAATACAAAAATTAGCTCAGCCTGGTGGCATGCGCCCGTAGTCCTGAACCCGAGAGGCGGAGGTTGCAGTGAGCCGAGATCATGCCACTGCACTCCAGCCTGGGCAACAGAGTGAGACTGTCAAAAAAAAAAAAAAAAAAAAAACTAGGAGGCATATCAAAAGTTGTAATGTGTGGTCACGATATAAGCAAACCAATTGTAAAAAGACATTTGTGGACTATTGGGGAAATCTGAGTAAAGAAATTTAAAAATTATTAATTTTGTTAGGTGCAATAATAGCATTACGGTTATGTAGGAAATGTATTTTCTAGAGATTCATATTGAATTATAAAATATGATGTCTGAAAATTTGCTTTCAAAAGCTCAGCAAAAAGATGAAGCAAACATAACAAAATATTTATTTATTTATTTATTTTATTTTATTTTTTTGAGACAGAGTCTTGCTCTGTCACCCAGGCTGGAGTGCAGTGGCGTGGTCTCGGCTTACTGCAAGCTCCACCTGCCAGGTTCACGTAATTCTCCTGCCTCAGCCTCCTGTGTAGCTGGGACCTACAGGTGCCTGCCACCGTGCCCAGCTAATTTTTTTTGTATTTTTAGTGGAGACGGGGTTTTACCACGTTAGTCAGGATGGTCTCAATCTCCTGACATGGGGATCCGCCCACCTCGGCCTCCCAAAGTGCTGGGATTACAGGCGTAAGCCACTGCACCCGGCCTTTTTTTTTGTTTTTTAAAGACAGGACCTCATTCTCTTGCCCAGGTTGGAATGCAGTGGTGAGGTCATAGCTCACTGCAGCCTTAACCTCCCAGGCTTAGGAGATCCTCCCACCTCAGCCTCCCAAGTACCTGGGATTATAGGCATACACCACCATGGCTGGCTAATTCTTAAATTTTTTTGTAGATATGAGGTCTCCTTATGTTGCCCGGGCTGGTCTTTGTAGATATGAGGTCTCCTTATGTTGCCCAGGCTGGTCTTTGTAGATATGAGGTCTCCTTATGTTGCCCAGGCTGGTCCCCTGGGTTTCAGTGATCTGCCCATGTCAGTCTCCCAAAGTGCCTGGGTTACAGGCATGAGCCACCACACCTGGCCTCTTTATGGCACTTATTATCACTGGCTTTTACATTTTTGTGGTTAAATATATTTATCTTTTTAACCTTTTTTTTTTTTTTTCCTGAGATGGAGTCTCGCTCTGTCGCCCAGGCTGGAGTGCAGTGGTGCAATCTTGGCTCACTGTAACCTCTGCCTCCCAGGTTCAAGCAATTCTCCTGCCTCAGCCTCCTGAGTAGCTAGGATCACAGGTGTGTACCACCAGGCCCGGCTAATTTTTGTATTTTTTATAGAGACAGGGTTTCACCATGTTGGTCAGGCTGGTCTCAAACTCCTGACCTTGTGATCTGCCCACCTCGGCCTCCAAAAGTGCTGTTTAACCATTTTTAACTACACATTTAATTGGCACTAAGTGCATTTACATTGTTGTGCAACCACCACTATTATCTATTTCCAGAACTTTTTTGATCATCCCCTACTGAAACTCTGTACTCAATAAACAATAACAATATGTTCCTCTCCCCAGCCCCTGGCAACTATCATTCCACTTTTTGCTTCCATGTATTTGACTACTCTCAGTACCTCATATAAGTAGAATCATGTAATAGTTGTCCCTTTGTCTCTGGTTTATTTCACTTAGCATAATGAATGTCTTCAAGCTTCATCCATGTTGTAGCTGCATATCACCTGCCATTTTATACATTTGTTTGGTCATTCGCTTTTTATCGTCTGCTCTCCCGACTACCCAAAAGGTAAGGTCGTTGGGGGCAAGAGCTTTGTCTGTTTTGCTTGTTCATCTAGAACAGTGCCTGGGCACAGAATAAGTACTCAAATATTTGTTGAGTAATTTGCCTCCTGTTGGGACAATCTCCTTTTTTTGCATAGAGTTGGCCTTCTTTTCTGAACACGATGTGTCCATTTAGAAAGTAATTTTTAGCTCCCGCTGTGCAAAACACTTTGGGGGACAGGAAGATAAGGCAGCGAAGCGAGTTAGAGTGGTGCAGCTGACGGGGTTAGAGTGGTGGAGTAGACATCTGTTTTCATTGTTTTGTTTTGTTTTCCCTGCCCAACATTTACTCCCCTTCTTCTGATATTAGCAGTGGGATTTTCCTTTGGGATATCTCCCTTCCCCATTCTCAGTCTGTGTGGTTATAAAGGATCCATCTCATCCTCTGGCTTCAAGGCAAGATAAGTAACCCAGGCCTGCCAATAAGACCCAGGCATGAGACTTCTGTTGCAATCATTACACTGAGCCTACAAAACTGGGAGAATGTGAGCCTGGAGTTCTGATGCCTCACTACGTTGAAATCTTATATTTGAGAATGAAGACAACACAGAAGAAAATAGAGTTCAGAGATGGACAAAAGGGAATAAAGCCCTGATCACATTATTTGAGCTCCTGAAACCAGCCATGCCCGAAGTCAGAGATCCATTTCCTGGACTTTTCAGCTTTGTGAGCCAATAACTTCTCAACGTCTTCCCATTTATTTGTTTATTTCATCTTATTTTGATTTGAATTGGACTTCTGTCGCCTGCTGCCAAAATATTCCTAATATAAGGGAGACAGACAAAAAGGAAAGAAGGTAGAGAGACTCAACTTGTGGGGTTTGGAGGCTCAGCTGTTATCTAGGAAAAGCATAAAGGATTTAAGATGTTTACCTCAAAGAAGAGAAGCCTCTGGAAGACAGGGCTACATCTTTAGATATGTAAAGAGCTGTCATATGGGAGAAGAATTAAATTTGCTCTAGATAATGCAGCAGGAAATACCAGGACCAGCAGCTAAATATTTTTAGGAAAAAAAGTTAATTCAGGAGGGAGGAAAATGTAGAGGCCCCAGAAGCAGCCTAGAGGTACTGTAGTGAAGTGGAAGTGAATGAGCCCAAGGTGGGGAGACACAAATGGTATACACTGGTGAGAAAAAGGGTAGCCCTGCATGGGGCCTCATTGTAGATAACCCTTAAGGTCCCTGTCTTGGGAACTCCCCACTTGTGCTGACTGATGTAAGCAGAGATTGAGTTTGTCACCTGAAGGCATTAGACACATGGCCCCTCCTCCTCAACCCTGGGCCTCCTACTCATGCCAGAAGCTAACTACAAGGTTGCTCAAAAACACAGTTGATAGGGGCTGACCATTATGTTAACCCATGGAGTATAAGATATGTTAGTCTGTTCTTGTGCTGCTATAAAGGAATACCTGAGGCTCGGTAAATTATAAAGAAAAGAGGTTTATTTTGGCTCATGTTTCTGCAGGCTGTACAGGAAGTGTGGTGCCAGCATCTGCTTCTGGTGAGAGTTTCAGGAGGCTTACAATCATGGTGGAAGGTGAAGGGAGAGCAGGCTTGTCACAGGGTGAGAGAGAGAGAAGGAGGTGCCAGGTTCCTTTTAAACTATCAGAGATCAAGGTAACAGAGTGAGAACTCACTCATTACCATGGGGAGGGCACCAAGACATTCCTGAGGGGTCCACCCCCATGACCAAAGCAGCTCCCACTAGGCCCCCCTCCAACATTGGGGATTACATTTCAACTTGAGTTTTGGAGGGGACAAATATCCAAACTATATCATGGGAGAAGTGGGCTTTCTCAAGGAATTTGAAAAAAATTTTTCTTGTCAGCCTCTTCTGTAAAAGAATATCCAGCACCAAAGCATGTGCTGTGGTTTTGTTAAAAATTGTTTTGTAATTTGAAGAGTCTGGGTCACAGCCCCAGAGAGCTTCTGGATGGCAACTGCATCACAGTCCTGAAATAAAAGATGCTGTCAATATGCTGCCATCCAGTGCCCACGCCACCCTTTCCCGTGGCAATGTAGGAAGTCTACAAAGACTTCCTCGCCTGCCTCCCGTTCCGGGCCTTCCCTCTTCACCCACCGGATATCTTTTCCTTTCTTGCCTTTTCCTGTCCCCAGATCTTGCTCTTGGACCAGTGCCTAATTTTCAGAAGGTATTTCCAGATAAGAAAAGCTACAGTGACAAAGAAAACGCATCAGTCTAGGATCACTGTGGTGGCACAGGGAGAGTTTGGGCTTTGGGATCAGAAATGAGTTTTTTTACTTTTTAAAAATTATTTATTTTTTAAAAGCTTTTTTTTGGTTTGTTTTTAAATGAGATGTAGATATGCCTTAGAAGTCAACCAAGTTTAAGTTCTGACTCTACCTTACATGGAAAACTCAATTTTCCTGGGTTTCAATCCCCTCATGTATAAAGGAAGGATAATGATACTTTATTTTGGGGAGTCTCGCTCTGTCACCCAGGCTGGATTGCAGTGGTGCAATCTTGGCTCACTGCAACCCCTGCCTTCCAGGTTCAAGCGATTCTGGTGTCTCAGCCTCCTGAGTAGCTAGGATTACAGACGCGCATCACCATGTCTGGCTAAATTTTTTTTTTTTTTGTATTTTTAGTAGAGATGGGGTTTCACCATGTTGGCCAAGCTGGTCTCGAACTCCTGACCTCAAGTGATCTGCCTGCCTCAGCCTCCCAAAGTGCTGGTATTACAGGTGTGAGCCACCACGCCTGGTCCAATACTTTCTTAATAGGGTATTTTGAGAATTAAAGATGTTTCTGTTAGGTGCTTAGTACAGAGAATGGATAGTAATTGAAAAATGACAAATATTTAAATAATGATTGCTAAAAGACCAAAGGACCTTCAAAACAACCAAAGAATTTAAATGGTTGGTTTAAGTGGTTGGACCCTTAAATGGTTTTTAAGTACAAGGAGAGATTAGTGAGAGAGGTGTGTTTTTTTGTTGTTGTTTGTTTTTTGAGACGGAGTCTTGCTCTGTTGCCCAGGCTGGAGTACAGTGGCGTGATCTCAGCTCACTGCAACCTCCGCCTCCCGGGTTCAAGCAATTCTCCTGCCTCAGCCTCCCGAGTAGCTGGGACTAGAGGTGTGTGCCACCATGGCCGGCTAATTTTTGTATGTTTAGTAGAGGTGGGGTTTCACCATGTTGGTCAGGCTGGTCTCAAACTCCTGACCTCGTGATCCGCCTGCCTCGGCCTCCCAAAGTGCTGGGATTATAGGCATGAGCCACCGTGCCCGGCGAGAGGTGTTTTCTTAAGAGGAGGTCAAAGAGAGTATGAGGAATGCTTGGAGATTGTCAAGGCTTTGTGCCGGAGGTTCCGCTACTACCTACAACAGTCCATCTCCCTTCTTTCCTGGGCTTATAGCCAAGATTATATTTTCCAGCTCCCCTTTCAGTTAAGGGTGGCCATATGACCACATTCTCTCCAGTGAAGTGTAAGTGATGTAATGACATGTGGCATTTAAGGGGCTAGGGCTTAACATTCTCCTCCTCTTTTTCCTTCCCATTAGCAGCAACCCAGATATGGCTGCTAACCCGGCGTCAACCATGCAGTTGAGAACTGGGCTCTTGGAATGGCAGAACAATAACTTGGAAAGAGCCTGGGTCTTGAGGGACTATGGGCTGCAGAGCTGCCAGCCTTCAAGGACTATACTGTGTAGGAAAAATAAATTCCTTTGCTCCCTAAGCCATGGTTTAGTTGGATCTCTTTGTTATAGCAGATGAGCCTTATCCTAAATGATATGTCAGATATGGACCATCTTGGTATAGGGCATCCATTTCTCAAACTTGGGTTCCTTTTAATAAACAATAGGCAGTTGAGGTAGACTAGGAAAAGCCCTGGACTCAAAGTGAAGAAATTTGGCTGCTCAGTGAAAATAATTAACATTTTGTGCTTTGCATCATAGTTGACCAAGATTTCCTCTGAGAGACCTAGCTTCTTTTTTTTTTTTTTTTTTTTGAGATAGAGTCTCTCTGTCACCCAGGCTGGAATGCAGTGGTGTGATCTTGGCCCACTGCAACCTCCACTTTCCGGGCTCAAGCCATTCTCCTGCCTCAGCCTCCTGAGAAGCTGGGACTACATGTGTATGCCACCATGCCTGGCTAATTTTTGTATTTTTAGTAGAGACAGGGTTTTGCCGTGTTGACCGGGCTGGTCTCAAACTCCTAACCTCAAGTAAACCACCTACCTCAGCCTCCCAAAATGCTGGGATTACAGTTGTAATTTCTTTATAAAATAGCAACCACAGAGGTATGAGGAGTGTAAGTGAAACTTTTAAGTTGTCAAGTGTCATGCAAACATGCGGGCCTCTCAGCATCTGGGGCATTGGAGGGCACTAGACGTGTTCTGTCTCAGCTGAGAGGCAAGGTGGGGTCCTCTGAAGGAGGGGCCAGAGAGCAAAAGTGGGCACAGTCTGCTGCCTCGTCTCCTGGACAGATTGACATGCAAGAGGCCCACGGTGGAATATACTCCTAGCCAACTAATTGTAAAAATATGCAGAATTATAGATACAGAGAGAGCCTATATAATACCCCACATGACTAAGAGCAATCTCTGCAGAGGAGCACTGCATTAAAATAACAGCCGCGGCAGGCATGAGGCCGCCTTCAGAGATAAGTGCTGGAGTTTGGCTCTAAATGCCAACATCCTTAGCTAATCTAAGTAATGCATGAGCAGGAAGAATTCCGTGGCTGGGAGCCCAAGTGGAGTTGTTTAAAGAACTCTTAAGAACAGCTAGTAACCTCCAAGCAGTAGGCCCAAGTGCATGATGGGGAATTTAACATTTAATAGAATCTGAGGGGTGAGGGGCTGCCGAGAGGGCTGGGGGTGGGGACTTGGATCTCAATGAGAGGCACGCTGTTAAGGGGCTTCTGGCAGCGCCTCCACCATGCCATAGTTGGTTTCTGTCTCTGGTTCATTTGTTTTGTGCAAGATCAACTCGAATCAGGAATCCCAGGTTAGAAAGTCCACCATCCTCTCATTAAAGAGGCCAGGAAGGGCTTGACCAGAAAGTTAGGGGAAAAGATGTCACTCCTGTTGAGAAGGGAGGCAGCCTCCTACCTCTGACATTATGGCTCTATGATTTTTGGAACTGGAATATTCACCTAGAGATTGTCTCATATATTCTCCACCTCCCCACCCCCATCGCCAACTCTCATGTTATAGTTGGGGAAACTGAGGCCCAGCACAGGGGAGCAAAGCTCCCAAAAACACGCAGTGAGTCGGGGGCTGTGGAGATCACCTCCTCCAATCAGAACCACTGCCTACTTCCCACCCACCCCATTATTTCACAAATGCAGATAAGGAGGTGCAGAGGGAGAAAGTGACAATGTCAAGGTTTCATTCATTTCAGGGCAGAAGGGTGAGTGGCAGCTAGGCTACCTGGTTCAAAACCGTAAGATTTTGACCACCACGTTTCAGCATCTTATCAGCTGAGAGTGATGACTAGCAAAGGCCTCTCTCCTGGTCTGGCTCACCAGGACTTTCTGCAGCTGTTGCACTGGGATGGGCTTCCAAGCTCACCCCCGAGGTTGCTGGCAGAATTCAGGTCCTGGGGAGCTGTTGGACTGAGCAGGCTCCTCTCAGGTCCTTGCCTCATGGGCGTCTCCTACACGCTGATGGGGAAACAGAGCATGCAAGCCAAGTTGGATGTCCCTGGCTTTTATAATCTCTTCTCAGAAGAGACAGCCTATCACTTTTTTATTCTTTTTTGAGGCGAGGTCTCACTCTGTCACTCAGGTTGGAGTGCAGAGGTGCTATCACAGCTCACTGCAAACTCCACCTCTTGGGTTCAAGTGATCCTCCTGCCTCAGACCCCAAGTAGCTGGGTAGGTGAGACCACAGGTACATACCACTACACCTGGCTAATTGTTGTATTTTTTGTAGAGATGGTGTTTCTCCATGTTGCCCAGGCTGGTCTTGAACTCCTGGGATCAAGCGATCTGCCCTCCTCAGCCTCCCAAAGTGCTGTGATTACAGGCATGAGCCATTGCTCCCCACCCACTTTTGTTGTATTCTAGTTCTCAAAAGTCATTAGGTCCAGGTCCCCTACGCCATACACCTAACCATCACACAGATGTGCACGCACACATACACACACACATGGAGAGGTCTACACAGGGCATGAATACTAGGAGGTGGAGGTCACCAGGTGCTTTTCAGAAGCTGTTGACCGTAATTCTCTAGCAGTACATAAAAAGCATCCTGGTCTTGGCCGGGTGTGGTGGCACAGCCTGTAATCCCAGCACTTTGGGAGGCCGAGGCGGGTGGATCACAAGGACAGGAGATCAAGACCATCCCGGCTAACACGGTGAAACCCCGTCTCTACTAAAAATACAAAAATTAGCCAGGCCTGGTGGCGGGTGCCTGTAGTCCCAGCTACTTGGGAGGCTGAGGCAGGAGAATGGTGTGAACCCGGGAGGCGGAGTTTGCAGTGAGCCGAGATTGCGCCACTGCACTCCAGCCTGGGCGACAGAGCGAGACTCCGTCTCAAAAAAAAAAAAGCATCCTGGTCTTGTAGCAAACTCCCATCATATGGAGGACCCTTGTCCCTTCAACCAGGGCTCTCCTGGTAGGTTCATGACTTCATGTCTTTGACCTCCACTGGCTGGGAGGCTCATGGGGGCAGGGGAGTCATTGCCTATGGTGCATGCAGTAGATGCTCTGCTAATACTGTACTCTTTAGGGTAAGTGGAGGGTAGAGAAAGGTTTCTCAGTTCTGCCTTAATTCAAGAGTGCCCCAGGCAATAAACTGTTGCTTGTTCTTATAGAATGGCAGTTGCTTTGGACAAATGTTTTGGAAGATTTTTGGAACTCCAGAGTACTGCAGAGAGTACTTTCAGACAAGGTTGTCGATTGGAAAAGAAACTGAAAAGGGCCTGGACCAGGCTGGGCTGGACACATAATATATCCACAATATCCTGGACTGAACTTGAGCCATTGTGTATTTATGTAATTGTCCTGCTGTTGGCAAAGGGCAAGTCCAAGCCTGAGGAGTGGGGTAGATTCCACTGAAGAAATGTTCCCATGCCAGTCATCTTGGGAGGAAGTTTGTCCTGGGGTAGAAATTGAGAACTCAAGATGTGGACCTTTGGGGTGAGAAAGAAGTGTGTTCTCTCTCTCTCTCTCTCTCTCTCTCTCAACAAAGTTGGGTCTGCCCTACAAGGGAAGACATGTTCCAGGCAACCTGAGAGAAGGAGCTGGGCTGGACCCTGCTGATGGGGAACAAGCTGGGGCTGAACAGCTAGGTGGTCCTATGAGATTATCTGGGTACCAACCTGGGCTCTGATAAAATCCACATTGGTCACTGTGTTGAGTATGTATTTCTTTGTATTTTATTCTTCTTCCATGGTGCCCAAATTTAATCAGCTCCTGCTAGACACTGCATCTGGTTTCTGTTGAGTATGATGCACTGAGGGGAAGGCTCTGGCCATGCTTGGGGCTGAGTGGCCACCATACCTGGCCTGAACATTTTAATAGAACTTTTCACTTTACAAAACAATATCCCACTCAGAATGCTGGGCTCGGTGCAGGGACAGACAAGCTCAGCAGTGTGGGAAATCGCAGCAGGTGTGCAGACTAAGGAAGCTGGAGGGGGAGAACATAAGGGCAAGTTCTGGGGCAGTGGTAACTTAGCACCTGGGGCCTCTCCAAAATAGCTAGGGATGGTCCTGCAGGGACTGAGTTCCTATGTGGGCCAGTAGGGTTCAAAGGAAATTGTAGCTTGAGCATTAAATGGAGATAAGGCAGTTTATTTTCATTGGCTGGGGAGGCCTGAACATAGTTGTTCTATTAGATGTTGTGGTAGTAAAAATAGATAACAGCAATAATCTAGTATGTCAACATGTGAGGTTTTTTTGTTTTTTTGAGACAGGATCTTGCTCTGTTGCCCAGGCTTGAGTGCAGTGGTGCATTACAGCTCACATAATGCTTGAACTCCAAGGCTAAAAGCAATCCTCTCACCTCAGCCTCCTGAGTAGCTGGGACTACAAGTGTGCCCCATCATGCCCGGCTAATTTTTGTGTTTTTTGTACAGATGGGATCTCATAATGTTGCCTAAACTGGTCTTGAACTCCTGGGCTCAAGTGATCCTCCTACCTCTGCCTCCCAAAGTGCTGTGATTACAAGTGTGAGCCACCATGTCTGGCCTCAACATTTTAATAGAACGTTTCACTTTTACAAAACAGTTTCCTATATATCCATTTCTAGTTGATCCTCAAAATAATCTTATATGTAGAACAGGCATTAGATTGCTAATTGTTCTTATTAGTTACAAGGTTAAACTATATGAAATTGCCATATTAATAAGTCAAACACTGTTAAATGTAAGCAACTTTGTATGGTTTATCCTCATTACATAAATCATAACTATTATAAATAACAATAATAGTGTCTTAGTCCATTTTGTGTTGCTGTAACAGAATACCATAGACTGGGTAATTTATTTTAAAAAGAGATTTATTTCTTACAGTTCTAGAGGCTGGGAAGTCTAAGATCAAGGGACTTGCATCTGGCAAGGGCCTTCATGCTGTGTCATCCTGTGGCAGAAGATGGAAGGGCAAGAGAGCCTGAGAGAGCAAGAGGGGACGAAGGCCAAACTCATTCCTTTTATCAAAAAACAAACTCCTGAGATCATGAACCCACTCCTTCAATAGTGGCATTAATCCATTCATGAGGGCAGAGCCCACATGACATATCACCTCTTTTTCTTTTTTTCCTGGAGACATGACTCACTGTGTTGCCCAGACTGAAGTGCGGCGGTGCAATCATAGCTCACTGCAGGCTTGACCTCCCAGGCTCAAGTGATCCTCCCACCTCCTTAGTAGCTGGGACTTCAGGCATGCACCAGCACACCCAGCTGTTTTTTTTTAAATTATTTTTTGTAGATACAGGGTCTCCATATGTTGCCTAGGCTGGTCTTGAACTCCCAGGCTCTCAAGCAGTCCTCCCACCTTGGCCTCCCAAAGTGCTGGAATTACAGGCATGAGCTATCATGCCTGGCCACTAATCACCTCTTAAAGGTCTAACCTCTCAAAACTGCTGCATTGGGGATTGAGTTTTCAACACATGAACTTTGAGGGACACATTCAAGCCATATCATGTAGGAACTTAAAAAATATGTACCTGGCATATTGCTAAGCTCTCTTCACACATTTTATCTCATTCAGAGATGCATATTCTAGTGGATATAGCAATGTTCCTTTCAGATTCCTCTTCAGAGCCCACACACTCATTCCCAGCTGCTGGGAATATTGGCTACTTCCCTCACTGGGAATTGCCCTTGGCCACAAGTCACTGCTTCCACCAAGGTGATGCCCAGACCCCAAGGGTAGTCATTAGGCTGTGACTGGCTGACGTGAGGATATAAAGCCTGGGCCCCTTGCCTCAATTTGGGACCCTCTGAAGGGCCATGTGGCTCAGAGCTCCCTGTAGGATTGGCTCTTCCTGGTTGCAACCACATTGGGGGTCATCTTCTCCCTCTTCTCAATCCTGCCCTCTCACTTACGTACAGGTGTATCTCCCAAAATTACTGCCTAAGAAACCTTCTGCAGACAGAAACCACCTCCATCTCAGAGTCTGCTTCCAGGGAACCCAAACTTAGGACAGTTGGTGTCAGAGGGGTTCAAGGTGGCAGACTCTAAAGTGGGAGTTTGGAGAGGGATCACTTGCTAGTCAGCTCTCCATGAACTGGTATAGGAGTGGTAAGGATAGTCCCTGCCATGCTGTAACTGCATGATGGCTAAAACTTGCATTTCTGGTGAACTGGGGCGTGATGGGATGCAGAAAATGCTGCTTCAAATAATAACACCTTGGAAATTGAGAAAATAGTAGAAACAGGAAGGCTACTCTCACCTTCCCCTCTACCTTCTTCCCTGAAGCAAGGCCATAAAACTTAGGAAGGTGACAATCTGACCTTCTCCCACCCTTCTCTCCTGAAAACCCTCAGGTGACAGGTGTCCTGCCCTATACCTTGAGGGAATGTCACACAAGAACGGACAAGAGTCTAAACAAAGAGGCCTTGTGAAGATCCCCCTCTGCAGTTTATCACTATTAGATCATCTCCCCTTTGTCCCATTAGACTTCTGCAGGACTGTTCATTCTTCATCAAAGCCAAGCATAAGGATACACAGGTTTCCCTGTTTCTTTGAGTCTTCATTTCTGAAGGCTCCTGTGTCATGTAAAACTAATATTAAATACATATGTATGCTTTTCTCTTGTTAACCTGTCTTTTGCTACAGAGTCTCAGCCAAGAACCTAGCAATGAGTAGGAAGATAAATCTTTTCTCCCCTACATATGGTATATGGGTGGAAGGGGTCACACTCATTGGTGTAGTATCTCTGGCAACTGGGGGCCGTAGTGACTATAAGGACTATGGAAATGAATGACCATTGCTGAGTCCATTTACTTGCTAAAGAGACTTAATGATAGCCTCAGAGTGAATAATCACCAAGGTAAAATGTTAAAGCCAGATGGCCTCCTGGGCAACTGTTAAGGAAATCCCTCCTGCAAAGGGAGGATCAGGCATAGGATTTAATGTTAAAAATAGCAGAGCTTTGGAGAAGGTTTGATTTTTCAGCCCTGACAGGCCTCCAATGCCAGGGTCAGAGCCATAATAGGTGAGGACTGGGAACCTGAGACTTGGGTTGGGGATATATGAGTAGATGCAGTCAAGCACCTTGAATTCTCAGGTCCTTCTGAACCCACTGGGTTTGCAGAAGTGACACACTTCTTGTTGGCAAACAGTGGTGCCCCTTATTTGAAGATTGCACTAGTCTGTTCTCACATTGCTATAAAGAACTACCCAAGACTGGGTAATTTACGAAGAAAAGAGGTTTAATTGGCTCACAGTTCCACAGGCTGTACAGGTCTGGGAGGCCTCAGGAAACTTACAATCATGGCAGAAGGTGAAGGGGAAGCTGGCATGTCCTACATGACTGGAGCAGGAAGAAGAAAAAGACGGGGGAGGTGCTACACACTGTCAACCAGAACTCGTGAGAACTCACTCACTATCATGAGAACAGTAAGGGGAAATCTGCCCCCATGATCAAATCACCTCCCATTAGGCTCCTTCCCTAACACTGGGGATTACAATTCAACATGAGATTTGGGTGGGGATGCAGAGCCAAACTATATCAAAGATCATACAAGGTTTCCAGTGAGGCAGGTGCCCTACATGAGAATGCTTGTCCTCCTCAGAACCCAACTTTACTTCCTTCCTGGCGATCTAATAAAAGTTAAATCCCAGCTGTGCTGAGCATGCTAAGGGAGGAGAGGCACTATATGCTGCAGGAGCCACAGGATCTAGCTAATACATTTAAGCAAGCACTGTGCACAGAACAGGGTCCTGAGTAGGCTGGATCAAGAGGGGAGGAAGGTAAAGGTGGATAAGAGCAGGTGTTAATATGGGAGTACTCTCCATGATACAGAACTTAACACTCTGGCAAGGAACCCAGGGTAAGGGGGTGAACACACTTCAGAGATGGATTTTAGAAGCTTAGGAAAAGCAATGGTTCACACTAAGTAAAGTAGAAATATTAGAACTGCTGTGGCAGATAGGAGTTCAAGTCTTGGAGAAGTAGTCCAGGTATGGTGGCTCATGTCTGTAATCTCAGCACTTTGGGAGGCTGAGGTGGGCGGATCACTTGAGGACAGGAGTTGGAGACCAGCCTGGACAACATGGCAAAACCCGTCTCTACTAAAAAATACAAAAAAAAATTAGCCAGGTGGGGTGGCCTGTACCTGTAACCCCAACTACTCAGGAGTTTGAGGCAAGAGAATCACTTGAACCTGGGCCAGATTGTGCCACTGCACTCCAGTCTGGGCAACAGAGTGAGACTCTATCTCAAAAAAAAAAAAAAAAAAAAGAAAAAGTAAAAGTCTCAGACAAGTGGGCCTGCTAGAGTGTTTGCAGCACATAAAGCCAGAAAACCCATCAGCCAACTCTGTTCTGTGGGAGGCCCTGGAGAACACTCTATTTACTGAAGCAATAAGGAATGAGTCTGTGGGAGCTAGAGGTGGCACCAGCTTCACTGACAGTAGGAGGTGCTATTACAGAACTGGGCTCCCTGATGCCCATAGGTATGATAGAATCCCAAAATAACAGAGTTCAGGTGGTGGTGCTTGACCTTTAAACCAAGGTGACTGCAATTGCAATGAACAGCAAAATTGGATCCTGACCCACAGAGCACTATGGAGATGGCTAATAGAACACAGTGTTCCTAGAAGCAAGATAGATGGGTGGCCAACAGTGCATTGCTTAATTTAGACAGTCAAAAGAAATCAAGGATGGATGATCAGGGGGTTGAAAGCAGCCACCCCCAGTAATACATCATGATTTCTTATCCTGTTTCTGACCTGAGCCGTTGACTAAAGGAGAGGTTAGGTCTCTGTGAGGAAGGATCTGTAACATCATGGCAAATGTGTTCAGTAGTAATGCCCCAGTCCTTTCCTAAAACAATCTATGGCCATTTACTGTGTATCACCATGAGAAAGGGGGAATTCTGAGGGCTTTGAAGGACTATTAGCCATGGGGTCTAACTCAACACTGATATCTGGTGACCCAAAGTGCTTTTATATCCCTCCCTCCCATCAGAATGAGGGAGTATGGGTTCCAGGTGACAACGAAGCCGTGATCCTGCTCTAATTCACAGTGAGTCCAGTTGGGTGCGTCCACCAACCCACTGTGGTCCTATCCCTGATTCCTGAACGCTTCGGAATGGACATACATGGTAGTTGGTAGAACCCTAGCATTGATTCCTTGAGTCTCTAAAAGTGCCGACTCTCCTTTGCCATGATAGTAAATCAAATACAAGATTGTTTTTTATTCCAGGAGGAATGGCAGGAATTAGTTCCACCTTCAAAGATTAAGGAAATACAGGGATGGTGGTTTTTGTTGTATCCCCATTTAATTCACCAATCTGGTCCCTACAAAAATTGCATAATCATGGCGACTGAGAGTACACTCCCACAAACTTAACCAAGTAGTATCCCTACTTGTGGTTGTTGTGCTACACACGGCATCTTCCTGGAGCGGATGAATACACCCTCCAGATGCGGTACATGACCAATCATCTCCTTATTGCCTTCTTTTCTATCCCTATCAGAAAGGAGGATCAGAAGTAGCTCACATTCACACGGAGCAGACAATTAGATATATTTACATGTTGCCTCAGGGCCATGTTAATTTTGCTGCCTTTATCATAATGTCCAAAAGGACCTGGCCCATCTGGATTTTCCATGGAATATCTAATTAGTGCAGCATATCAATAACATCATGTTAATGAGACCAAATGAGCAAGAAATGACAAGTATATTAAAGACTGTGGCATGACACATTCACTCCAGAAGGTGGGAAATAACTCCTACCCAAATTTAGGGCCCAGACACATCACTGAAATGCATAAAGGTCTAGTGGTCTGGGCATAAAGGTAAAGGAGTGCTGGAGCTCTGAGGTAAAGAATGTAAAGAACAGGGCAACCCCCTCGGGTCCCCTTCCACGCTGTGGAAGCTTTGTTCTTTCACTCTCCACAATAAATCTTGCTGTTGCAAAACAAACAAACAAACAAAATGTAAAGAACAAATGGTGAGCCATCACATTTGTACATCAGTACAAGGATGGCATGAAATTTTCCTCCACAGCTGCAGCTGATACCACAGGGAGGCTGAGGGGATGTGATACAGGGCACTTGAAGTGTCTACTCTACCCCATTTTACAGATGAGAAACTAAGTCTCTGAGAGGTTAAATTGCTCAAAAACACAGTGCTGGCAAGTGGTCGATCTAAGGTTAAAATCCGGATCTGTCTGACTTGAAAGCCCATGTTCTTTAATACCTATATTGTACAGATAAGGAGGCTGGGAACAGAGAGATTAAGTGGCCTCTTGTTGCATCTTGGACTTTCTGGGAGGTAGATTCTGAGACAGATTGTCATGCAGGAAGTGTATTGGGAAGTGTTCCCAGGATCAACACCCTGAGGGGGAGTGGAGAAGGCAGGACTGGGCAGAGGGAGAGGCTGGGCTGTGATGCTATCACTATACCTCTGGAGTGCTCTGCAGAGGTGTCCCCTGTTGGCAGCAGGGGGCGGAGCCTTGATATTCCTGCACAGAGGCAGTCCTTGGGCTGCCCCAGGAAGAGGACATCACCTTGAGAGAGAAGCTCCTCTTCAGCCAAGGGCAGTTCCCCTGGGAGACTCTGCCTACCACTGTCAGCCTTTGATACTTCCGGCTGCTGGGGGGAATGACTGCTTCAGGCCTGGTAGAGGGGATCTGGGGTGATGTACCCCAGCATCCACTATCCCTCTTTAGGGTCCTTCAGCTAGTGGGCAACACAAAAGTAGGTCCTCTGACTCTAAAACTAACATAGTCCTGCTTTTCCAGCTCCATAATAGGTCCACTATCTCCGAGTGAACAACCAAGACTATGGGATCATTGATTGGAAAAGAACTGTAATCCACTCAAACTTGATCAAATTAGGAGAGAGTGTTGGTAATAGGAATCTTAGCTGAGGAGAGGGAAAAGATTTCATTCATTCAAAAATATGTATTGAGTGATTACCATACACCAAGCTCCATTCTCAGTGTTGGGGAGACAACAAGAATAATCAAAGCTCCTGCTCATGCAGAACCCTTTCTAATGGAGAAGGTGTCGGGGAAGGCCCAGTCCTCCTGGAGACCAGGAACAACCTGCCTCCTTAAGAGATGGAGGAGCCAAATCTGTGTCTCATCTTTTCGTAAATGTCTGTAGGAGAATAATACTGAGTTAATTTCTCATCTGTTTATCTGCCATATACAAGTAAATGCATAGGGAAAGGTTGGTAACAGTTGTTACCTCTGGGGTGGGAGTAAAATGGATGGAACACGGGAGTAAAGGAGAGCTTGACTTTTCTCTCTCTCTTTGCTGCCCCTCCTTTCTTTTCGCTAGTTCCTCATTTTGCTAGTGTACCCAGGTTCTAACTACTGCGTATAAAGGCAGTGTCAGAGACGGCCCCTGCTTTCTTCCCAGCTCTAGTTTCAGGCCTGAAACGGCAGCTGGAATTTCCCTGCCCTGTCTCCTCTTTTCTTCCTCTCTAGAGACTCCTCTTGCTGTCAGCTGAGAAGGGGGAAGCAGTCACCTGGAGATTCTGTAAAATAGGCCACACATTTGGGAGATTTGGGAAAATAGAAGAGAGTCATTTTGCAGGCTTTAGTCCTTTATATATTTCTGCATTACTTGAATGTTTCATAGCAAGTGTGATTTGTGCATTATACATTTAGCTGTTGCTGTTGTGGAGGTTTTTAGTTTTTTGGGGTTTTTTTTTTTTTTGAGACAGAGTCTCACTCTGTCACCCAGGCTGGAGTGTAGTGGCATGATCTCGGCTCACTGCAACCGCTGCCCCCTGGGTTCAAGCGATTTGCCTGCCTCAGCCTCCTGAGTAGTGGGAGGGATTACAGTGTGCACCACCACGGCTGGGTAACTTTTGTATTTTTAGTAGAGGGGTTTCACCATGTTGGCCAGGCTGGTCTCAAACTCCTGACCTCAGGTGATCCACGCGCCTCAGCCTCCCAAAGTGCTGGGATTACAGGCATGAGCCACCATGCCCAGCCAGTTGTAGAGGTTTTGTCTGTTTGCTTCTGCGTTTTGACGTTGCAGATGGAAGACTCTGGCTGACAAACCAGGCCTGGCTCGAGACTTTCTTTTTTTTTATTTATGTATTTTTTAATTATACTTTAAGTTCTAGGGTACATGTGCACAACGTGCAGGTTTGTTACATATGTATACATGTGCCATGTTGGTGTGCTGCACCCATTAACTCGTCATTTACATTAGGTATATCTCCTTACGCTATCCCTCCCCTTTCCCCCCACCCCACGACAGGCCCCGGGGTGTGATGTTCCCTACCCCGTATCCAAGTGTTCTCATTGTTCAATTCCCACCTATGAGTGAGAACATGGAGTGTTTGGTTTTCTGTCCTTGTGATAGTTTGCTGAGAATGATGGTTTCCAGCTTCATCCATGTCCCTACAAAGGACATGAACTCATCCTTTTTTATGGCTGTATAGTATTCCATGGTGTATATGTGTTACTTTTTCTTAATCCAGTCTATCATTGCTGGACATTTGGGTTGGTTCCAAGTCTTTGCTATTGTGAATAGTGCCGCAATAAACATACGTGTACATGTGTCTTTATAACAGCATGATTTATAATCCTTTGGGTATGTACCCAGTAATGGGATGGCTGGGTCAAATGGTATTTCTAGTTCTAGATCCTTGAGGAATCGCCACACTGTCTTCCACAATGGTTGAACTAGTTTACAGTCCCACCAACAGTGTAAAAGTGTTCCTATTTCTCCACATCCTCTCCAGCACCTGTTGTTTCCTGACTTTAATGATCACCATTCTAACTGGTATGAGACAGTATCTCATTGTGGTTTTGATTTGCATTTCTCTGATGGCCAATGATGATGAACATTTTTTCATGTGTCTGTTGGCTGTATAAATGTCTTCTTTTGAGAAGTGTCTGTTCATATCCTTCGCCCACTTTTTGATGGGGTTGTTTGATTTTTTTTCTTGTAAATTTGTTGAAGTTCTTTGTAGATTCTGGATATTAGCCCTTTGTCAGATGGGTAGATTGTAAAAATCTTCTCCCATTCTGTAGGTTGCCTGTTCACTGTGATGGTAGTTTCTTTTGCTGTACAGAAGCCCTTTAGTTTAATTAGATCCCATTTGTCAGTTTTGGCTTTCGGGACTTTCTATGGTAAAGACCTCTAGGCCTAGCACCTGCTTGTGGCGAAATTGTGAAAGTGGTCAGGCTACCTCTGGGAACCTTTTGTGGCCATACCCCCTCCTGTTCTCCTGAATGGTTCTAATTCTGATTGTGGGTTATCCCGCAGAGGTGAGGACTAAGCTCTGATTTTTTGATCTTGCCCAAATTCTTATCTAAGGGGTCTGGGGAATCATGCCCTACAAACCATACATTCTTATCAGATGAGTTTTATTTAACCCTGTATATCATGACTTACTTTCCAATCTGACTCTCATATAACAAGAAAGAAAATCAAAATATTTAACCCTAAATATGTTTCCTAGCCATTTCTTGAAATTGCCCTGCAAAGTCTCTTGTGGGAAAAATCCACATTCTATAAAGAATCTCTTTTCCCCTTTGTTTTCCTTCCTTCCTTTCCAGATCCAGGAGATAATCAGCTAGAACCAGACACCCTTTTAGGTCTGATAAGAAACATTTTACAACTTGCTCTCTCTGAAGTCTGCTATCTGAGAGCTTCCTCTATACAATAAAACTTGGTTTCCGCAATCCTTTATTTTAACCTGAACATTTCCTTTCTATTGATCCCAGATCTTCAGATAAACTCAACCAGTTGTCAACCAGAAAATGTTTATATTTACCTATAGCCTGGAAGCCCCCACCTTGACTTGTCCCTCCTTTCTGAACCAAACCAATGTATTTCTTAAATGTATTTGATTGATGTTTCATATCTCCCTAAAATATATAAAACCAAGCTCTACCCTGACCACCTTGGGCACATGTTCTCAGGACCTCTTGAGGGTTGTGTGACGGGCCATGGTCACACATATTTGGCTCAGAATAAATCTCTAAAAATGCTTTACAGAGTTTGACTCTTTTTGTCAACAGAGGACAAGTGTGTCTCCAGGTAGGCTTTCTTCCCTTGGGCTTTTGAACTTCACAGTGGACCTTCTTGCTTGGGGTGAGAGGCCTGTGTCCTGAGGAAGGAACATGCAGCAGCAGCTGGTGACGCTGGTGATTTGGTGATGGCACATTCTCCCTAGAGATGACCCGTGAGTCCCCTGGGGAGAGCGAGGCTGGCTTTGGAGAAAAGTCATGGGATCCATAGTGGATAGGCATGAACTGCTCTTGCTCAGCACTCAATGGCCACTTTTCTGGTGACAGCACTACAATTTTGCTTTAGTGATTGACCTGTCTTGCATTTAATACAGCCTTGGTAAGATTGCCATTCAAGGGACCCCACTACCCTGGGCCAGGAAATGGGCCATGTGACCTAAATTAGGTCAATCAGATGCTGTCTTCTAGGAACTTGAATTTTGAGGGACTGATACAAAAACAGAAAATGTTTGGGGCCAATTCATCCTAATTCTGGCAGTCCAAGGCAACAGACCACTGGTTGCTGCTTTCCAGATTCCTCAAACTGCCCTCCTGCCTGTCCTTCTGGAGCATGGAGCTTCAGCTTTTCCTTCATCTTTCTGTTGCCTCACTCTTCCAATAAAGAACTTTCAAAGTAAGTTACCCAGAATCGATTTCTGTTGCTTACTACCTAAGACCCCTGACTAATACAGCATCCATACCATCTAGGCCTTTGAAGACCTATCACCTCCCCAAAAAGCTCAGGCTTTTCAGGTGTGCTGTGTATGTTTCATGGTGTTTTATGTATGCTGTGGATATGGAGTGGTCAGGGGATGAGCAGGGCAGGTTGGGTGTTAGGGACTAAGAGAGATGTCAGTGTCAGCCAGGTTCATATCCCACATTCCTGAGCCATGCTGTCAGACTGGGAGGTGCAACACCCACGGGAGGGGTCCAGGGCTGAGTATAGGCAGAGCATGAAACCACAGGCTGAACACACTACGTTTTCTGGAGGTGCCAATTTGAAGATTTTATGGCAGGTGGGGAGACACAGGTTTTTTTTTTTTAATTTAAAATTGAATATGTATATATTTTGGCATAGAATACAAGAATCTGTGGGAATTTTTATGAGAACACAAGCATGCACTAAGAAATTTCCATCTGGCAGAAAGTCAATTCCATATACGTATCTAGACCTCTTGGCAGTACACATTTGCTCTGCAACTATAAAGGGTTCTTTGGTGGAAATTTAGAGAAACACAGACCTATGGTATTGAGAGCTTCAACTAAACCACAGACTGTTCTAATGTAGGTGCCTCCTCTGTCTGCCCTCAGATTCCTTTTAGGGTTGGACTAGAAGTGGGCCTCTCAGTCCTGTTAGCTTTGATATCTTTTCACAGACCCTAGTTACTGCTACTCTCATGTACAACCTTGTTAAAAATCATTCACCAAGGAAAGACATCCCCTATCTCTGTGGGTAAATGCAAGAAACTTAAAATCAGGGAAGTGGTTCTCATGATGGAGGAGAAGGAAGTCAGTAAAGAAAACTTGATCTCGCCAGGCGCGGTGGCTCACGCCTGTAATCCCAGCACTTTGGGAGGCCGAGGCAGGTGGATCACGAGGTCAGGAGATCGAGACCATCCTGGCTAACACGGTGAAGCCCTGTCTCTACTAAAAATACAAAAAATGAGATGGATGTATTGGCGGGCGCCTTGTAGTCCCAGCTACTCGGGAGGCTGAGGCAGGAGAATGGCGTGAACCTGGGAGGCAGAGCTTGCAGTGAGCTGAGATTGTGCCACTGCACTCCAGCCTGGGCGACAGAGCGAGACTCCATCTCAAAAAAAAAAAAAAAAAAGAAAAGAAAAGATAAAAGAAAACCTGATCTCTCTTTTGGCATGTGTGAGATTCCAAATATATGGATTTCTATTATGTGCTAGGTATTTGTAATGTTTCATCATTATAACCCCAAGCCAAAGATGGTATTATAATATCATGGTATGGATGATGATTGTTATGAGCTGAACACTTTTCATCTCCCCAAATTTTATGTGTAGAAATCTTAACCCCCAATGTGATGATATTAGGAAGTGGGGACTTTGGGAGATGATTAGGTCATGAGGGTAAAGCCCTCATGAATGGGATTAGTTCCCTTATAAAAGGGATCCCCAAAGAGCTCTCTGGATCTCTTTCTGCCACGTATGGATATAAGAGGTTGGCAGTCTGCAACCCTGAAGAGAGCCCTCACCAGAACCCAACAATGCTGGTACCCTGATTTCAGACTTCTGTTCTCCAGAACTGTGAGAAATAAATCTCTGTTGTTGATAAGCCACGCAGCTTATTGTGCTTTGTGATAGCAGCCTGAATTGACTAACACAACGATCCCAGGGCCCAGTGAGGTTGAATAACTCACCCAAAGTCACACAGGTATTTAGGCCACTTATTGTAGACATCATTCTTGTTCCAGGTCCCCTTTTGAGATTGCTCTCCTGACCTGAATACAGAATAAATCAGATCCACAAGACTCTAGTCCGAATAGGTTTATTGTCTGTGTCCCTTGTCCTAATGGGGAGGCCTCTGCTCACCAAGAGTGTCCTGACCACCTGGGGCTAGGGGTGCTGGAGAGGAGCACAGAGAGGAGGAAGGGCCTGAAGATGATTTCCCCAACAACTCTGTACTGTGGGGGTTAAGAGTGTGGGCTCTGAGGGTAAACAGAGCTGGATTTGAAGCCCACTCTCCTCCTACTCATGGTATAGATAAGAGGGAAGGAGGGGGTAGAGTGGGAGGGAAACCACCAACCTCAGCAAGCCACAGACTCCAGGAGGCCACCACTGGGTCCCGAACCATGCTCCTATTGTCTTTACAAAGGGGAATGGCAGCTGCTCCACCTCCCACAACATCCAATCAGGCATCCTGCAGACGGTGGCAAATCACAGAGAAGCAATGGCAAAGGGGCTGTGGATGGGCCTGACTGTCTGGACATGGCCAAATCTGCTGCCCAGCCACTTGCTCTTGTGACCTCATCCTGACCTGAAGCGTCTGCCTACAGGTGCTCCTGCCTCTCCCCTGGCCCAGCAAGGACCGCAGGATGCCCTTCCTTAACTCCTGGGTAGGAGCCCACAGTGGTGACTGATCCACGTGAGGTCCCTTAGGTGGTAAAAGCGTCTCCACCCCCAGCCTTCCCGGGACGTCCTGTGCAGCAGGAGTTGATAACGCTGTGTACAGGCTGATGGGGGTAGACACGCTCTTGTTGCCAGGCCCTGGACACTCTGAACCCCAGCCTGGGCTCCTGGCCTTAATGGGGCAGGGAGGGGACCATCGGGGCACAGAGCCAGGGATCCTGTTACTCTCTACATAGAGGTGCCAAGTAGGCTACTTTATTGCCAAGTTTTCTTTTTTAAAAAAACTTTCTTTCCATTCTATGACTCTTTAAGGGAAGAAATTCCATTGTGCACTGTAACACTGAGGACTTTTACACCAGAGAGTCTCACGGGGAATATTCAGGCCTTGGAGAAACCACTAGAGTTTCTGTTGCTGGAGGACAGGGGCCCTGTCTTAGATTCTCTTGCTCAGGCCTGGAAAGATACTTAGGGATGGTCTAGTTCAGTCTGAGTCAGTGTGAGCCTGGCCTCATCCCAGACAGACAACCATCTCCCTACAAACAGCACCAGGATGCCTTGTTGAGTTCATGGTCCCGCCTGCTCCAAGGCACTGCTGGATGATCAAAATAAAGGTCCTTCCTCTTACGTGCTGTGAGTCTTTAAGGGGGTGAAGAAGTCAGGCACTGAGTGGGAAGTACACCTGGAGGCGCAGTGTCCACTGGGCTGCATGTCAAAGTCTGTCATGTGTCTCCTGGGTGACGCTTAACAAATTGCTTAGCCTCTCTGGGCCTCTGATGGCTCATCTAGTGTTAATAAGAAAATAAGCCAGGCGTGGTGGCTCACACCTGTAATCCCAGCAATTTGGGAGGCTGAGGCAGAATGATTGCTTAAAGCCAGCAGTTCAAGACCAGCCTGGGCAACATAGGGAGACCCCATTTCTTTTTTTTTTTTTTTTGGGAGACCCCATTTCTACAAAACTTTTTTAAAAAAATTAGCCAGATGTAGGGGCGCATGCCTGTAGTCCTAGGTACTCAGGAGGCTGAGGTGGGAGGATGGATTGAGCCCAGGAGATCGAGGCTGCAGTGAGTTGTGATTGTACCACTACTACACTCTGGCCTGGGTGACAGAGTGAGACCCTGTCTCTAAAATAATAACAATAATGTTATAATACTACTAATAATACAGTAGTGTTAGGTCCTTGTGGCTGCAATACACTTTGTAGTTTACAAATCATGTTTGCATACCTGGAGTCTTAGAGCTTCCCTACAGACTACTCAAAGCAGATATTTTTAGCCCTATTTTTGAGTTGAAACTGAGCTCTAGAGAGGACTAGTGACTTTGTCAAGATCACAAGTGACCTTGTGCTGTTGCTGTTTCGAGAGAGTGTGTAATCCTGTTGCTGTTTAGAGAGAGTGTGTTTTAGATTTATGTGACCTAGAAGCACCAGCACGGGATCTTTATCCTGATGTTCTTGAGCCACCACCAGCTCTCCTCCAGGCCCAGGCTTTTGTGAATTACAGTGAAGAAAATGCAGACCAGGCGACTTGCTGAGTGACATGGTCACGTATGGTGGGGAATCATCCAATACCTTTAAAATATTTTTTTGAACCTTGGTGGAAAAGTGTGTTTCTTCATTCATTCATTTCTTCATTCATCTGTTCATCAAAGTTTTGCGAGGCTCTAAATGTGTGCTAGGCATGATGCAAGGAGTGGGGACAAAATGGAACCAGCCATGACTACTGCCCTTGAGGAAGTCACAGTAGGTAGGAAGATGGACATCGAGACATAAGTACAGCAGAAAGTCATTTATTTATTCCTGTCATTTGTGAATCCTCTTCCATCTTCCAGTAGTCCTTACGGAAAAAGCAAATACCCATAAAAAGATCTCTTAAGGCGACTGGGGGCACACACGGGGTGGGGGTGGGAGTTTGGGGACAAACTTCAGCACCTCACAGTCTTGTGGTGGGGCCTGCATGCATATGTGGGTGGGGCATGAGGAGGAGCACGTGTTCTTAGAGCTCAGTGTCCCTCCCACCACATTCCCCTGTGCGTTGCCCCAGGCACAGGAACTTTGTAATCACATCCAGCCTGGGATTATAACCAAACACAGCATTCCACCACCCTCTGCAACCTCTTTGTTTGATCTTCCCCCTGGAGACACAGGTCAAGAGGAAGAGAAGGGGAAGGGGGGCAAACTGCAGGGAGAGTGTGTGGGGAGCTTCCTTTGAATTGTCTTTTAATTCAGAAACAGAAAACAAAGATGCCATTTCCCAAGGCCTGAGATACCGCCGCTCTGCATTAAAGGGGTTCAGTCTCAGAATCCTGGAGCAGGGTCCACCTGGGAGGTCACTAGTCTGACCCACCTGGTTTACAGAGCCCAGGAAGGGACCATAACTTCTTTGATGTCACACGGCAGAGAGGGGCAGCATTGCAGTGTGATGTCACAGCAAAGAGGGGTAGCTACTCATGGAGAATGACTCAAGAAGCCTGGGGGAAAGCCTTCCCCACCAGTTGCTCAGTAACACCTAAACTGCCTTGCCTGTGGGACCCAGCCTTGTACTGCATCATCAGAGATTAGCCTGACAAGCAAATGCACCAGGGAGGAAGCCTGGTAATGGGGGCTCATTTATGCTAGGGCGTGGATGACTGATATCAGGGTCTTTCACACCAAGAGGCTTAGCCGGAGGCAGAGGAGAGGAGATCAGAAGGGCACTGGAGACTGCAAGGGCAAGAGGTGACTGGGGCTAAGCCTAGAGGGAAGAGGGCATGGAGCTGAGAGCTTCAGGCACAAAAGAGAAACTTAATACCTGCTTTGTAGGCCCCAGGTCCTGTGCCTGATTTTCTCTTTCCTCTGAGAAAGAAGCTGTGAGGTTTCTGAAGTGTCAAGTCACTCTTCATGTCTAATCCTGTTGCTGTTTAGAGAGAGTGTGTTTCAGATTTATGTCTGAACTGCATCTAAAGGTATCAGCAAAGTCGTTAATTTCAGCCACCTGAATCTGGTGGCTGCCTCTGCTTACGCACAGCAACACTTCCTTCCTCCAGTCCTGTGGGAAATAAGGTATTTCTTCGGGTGAGGTTTTTGTTTTGTCTTGTTTTTTAATAATTTAAGCTTCCTGTTTTATGTATCTAATCTCTTCATATTTTCAGTATGAGGGTACTACTAAGGGGCATTTTACATTCTCGAAGTATGCTGTAATTGTTGTTTATAATTTAAATTTAATCTTTTTCTTTAGTGTTTTTAATTACTTAAGAAATACATACTCATTGTAAAGGATTCAAAAGATAGAAAAGTACATGAAATAAAAAGCATCACTTTATCGCTTTCTACTGCTAAAGGTAGACACTTAACATTTTGGTTTTCTTTCTTTCTTTCTTTACTTTTTTCTTTTTTTTTCAGCAAAAAAGGTATTATATGCCACGTCAGCAGGTCTGTGAATTCATGAAGATCCCTGAGACCATTTCAGGGGTCCACAAGGCCAAAGCTATTTTTATAATAACACTAAGACAAAATTTGCTTTTTTTCCCACAGTGTTGACATTTGTACTGATGTTGCAAAAAGTAAAAGTGGGTAAAAACTGCTAGTGTCTTAGATCAAGGAGGTGGCTCCTTGAACTGTCCTGGTGGGTATTCTGTCCTTCACTACTACACTCTCAGAGGAGCCGAAATGCCAGTTTCTTAAAGAATGTCCTTAATGAAGTAGTAAAGATGATAAATTGTATTAAATTTCAACCCTGGCGTACCTGCCTTTTTAAGATTCTGCATGAAGAGATGAGAAGTATGCTTAAGCCCTGCTGCATTCCAAAGTCCACTGACCATCCGAGGAGACACTCGTGCAGCTGTTTGTGTTGCAAGCTGAATTCACTGTCCCCCAGTCGCCCTGTCCCCCACCAGGGAACATCATTTTTACTCGAAATAATGACTGACAAACTATGGTTGTTCAGATTTGGGAATTTTCAGACATTTTCTCAAAAAATGAATGAAATGAACCTGTCATTTCAAGGAAACTGACAGTATTTGTTACTAATGATGAAGTTTCAGCTTTCTTTTATTTTCTTTTTAACTTTTAAGTTCAGGGGTACCTGTGTAGGTTTGTTACATAGGTAAACTTGTATCATAGGGGTTTGTTGTACAGATTATTTTGTCACCCAGATATTAAGCAAAGGACCTACTAGGTATTTTTCCTGATCCTCTCCCTCCTGCCACCCTCCATCCTCCTACAGGCCCCAGTGTGTGGTATTCCCCTCTATGTGTCCATGTGTTCCCATCATTTAGCTCCCACTTATGAGTGAGAACACGTAGTATTTGGTTTTCTGTTCCTGTGTTAGTTTTCTAAAGATAATGACCTCCAGCTCCATCCATGTCCCTGCAAAGACATAATCCTGTGCTTTTTTATGGCTGCATAGTACTCCATGGTGTATATGTAACATGTTTTCTTTATCCAGACTATCGCTGATGGGAAAGTTTAAGCTTTCAAGCAAACATTAGAATTTCCAAAGACTTATATTTTCCACTGTGAGTTGGACAGCTTCCCAACACTTAAAGACTTTAGTGATGAAAGGGGTGGTGATAATAAATGTGATTTTTGATGCTGTTAATAAAATGTGTTAATATTAGAGCTACATAACTTAGTGAACCAATATTTTTCAAAGACTCATGCATAATGTTATAAAATCATTTGTGGAAGATAAACCAATGGATTTTAATGTAACGGTATAGATTGTTCATTGATATGATTTATTTTTTATTTTTATTTTATTTATTTATTTATTTTTGAGATGGAATCTCACTCTGCTGCCCAGGCTGGGGTACACTGGTGTGATCTTGGCCCGCTGCAACCCCTGCCTCCTGGGTTCGGGCAATTCTCCTGCCTCAGACTCCTGAGTAGCTGGGATTACAGGCACCTGCCACCACACCTGGCTAATTTTTGTATTTTTAGTGGAGACGGGGTTTTACCATGTTGGCTGGGCTGGTCACGAACTCCCGACCTCAAGTGATCTCCCCACGTTGGCTTCCCAAAGTGCTGAGATTACAGGCTTGAGCCACCGCACCCGGCCTCATTGATATGATTTAGAATCCACGTTGCCACTAACCTTTCAGAAACTACCACTTGTCAAATTTTGGTAAACAATCAAAGAACAATAGCCATAATAATCTGGAAAGACTATTAAAATAATCCTCCTTTTTCAACTACGTGTGTTTGTGAGACCAGATTTTCTTCATGTACTTCAACCAAAACAACATATCACAACAGATTTAATGCCAAAGCAGATATGAGAATGCAACTGTCTTATATTAAGCCAGATATTAAAACACATTTGAAAAAATGTGAGACAATGCCAGTCTTCTCACTAAATGTTTTGATATAGTTAACTTTCATAAAAAGGATATGATTTATAGTAACATGCAATGAGTTTATTACCATTATTTAAAATTAAGAAACTCATTTTTTGAAATTATCTTAATGTTTAATACAATAACTATTGATAGACATAGCCTACATAAGAAAATCTCCAGCCAGGCGTGGTGGCTCACACCTGTAATCCCAGCACTTTGGGAGGCCGAGACAGGCAGATCACGAGGTCAAGAGATCAAGACCATCCTGGCCAACATGGTGAAACCCCATCTCTACTAAAAATACAAAAATTAGCTGGGTGTGGTGGTGCGTGCCTGTAATCCCAACTACTCAGGAGGCTGAGGCAGGGGAATCACTTGAATCTGGGAGGCAGAGGTTGCAGTGAGCTGAGATTGTGCCACTGCACTCCACCCTGGTGACAGAGTGAGACTCCGTCTCAAAAAAAAAAAAAAGTCCCTTGGGATCCTCAATAATTTATAAGAGCATTAAGAGGGTACTGAGACCAAAAAGCTTGAGAACAGCAGCTCTACACATTATTCCATACTTAATCATTATTACAGCGCTACAGATTATTCTATACTTGATCACTCAAGTATGTAGGCCCCAGGTCCTCTGCATGCTTTTTTGAAAACTTAACCTTTCCCCTATTGATGGATATTTAGATTAGTTATAATTTTTCATTATTGTTTATAATGCACAACAAATATCTTTTGTACTTCTTACACAATTTTGCAAGTCTTTATGTCAGACAAATGACTAGAAGAACTATTGAATCAAAGACTATTCATATTTAAAAACTTAATACTTTCAAATTACATCCTAAAAAGGTGATATCATTTTAAACTTCTGCCAAAAATGTGTAAGAGGTTGGGCATGGCGGCTTGTGCCCATAATCCCAACGCTTTGGGAAGTCAAGGCGGGAGGATCCCTTGAGGCCAGGAGGAGTTTGAGACCAGCCTGGGCAACAGAGCAAGACCCTGTCTCTACAAAAAAATTTTTAAAAAATTAGCTGGGCATGATGGTGCATGCCTGCAGTCCTAGCTACTCAAGAGGCTGAGGAGGGAGGATCTCCTCAGCCCAGGAGGTTGAGCCTGCAGTGATCCATGATTTCACCACCTCACTCAAGCCTGGGCAACAGAGTAAGACCCTGTCTCTTAAAAAAGAAAAAAAGTGTAAGTGTCTATTTTCTCATCATCTTTTTTTCCTGTCTTCTTAAATTAAGTATTTTATGACTATTTTTTCTCTTCTTTTTTTTGACTCTTTTGCCTCAAAAAGCATTAGAGTGAGCTTAAAATGAAATTCGGGAACATAGACAAATTAACAAAAGCAGGTAAGGAGGGTTATACTAAAAATCTAGATGAATGGAAGACATGTAGCTAAGCACTACGTTTAACTCTGTGCTTTCAGGCAACTGAGGTGAAAAAGAAAAACAGTGATTTACATATCTATGACTATCTACTAGCAGGAAGTCAATGAGTACCCAAAAAGAGAGCAAAATCTATGATCTATCCCTTTTCTTTTTTTTAAGAGATGGGCTCTCACCATCTTGCCCAGGCTGGTGTCAAACTCCTGGATTCAAGCAATCCTCTCATCTTGGCCTCCCGAAGTACAGCGATTACAGGTGTGCACCACCACTTCCAGCTAATTTTTAAAATTTTTGTAGAGATGGAATCTTGCTAGGTTGCTCAGGCTTGTCTCAAAGTCCTGGCCTCAAGTGATTCCTCCCACCTTGGCCTCCCAAAGTGCTGGGATTACAGGCATGAGCCACCATGCCTGGCCTATATGAGATACTTAGTCAAATTTATAGAAATAACAAGTAGAATGGTGGTTACCAAGGACTTAGGGGAGGGGGAAAAGGGGAGGGGTTGTTTAATGGTGATATGGTTTGGCTGTGTCCCTACCCAAATCTCATCTTGGATTGTAGCTCCCACAATTCCCACGTCTCATGGGAGGGACCCTGTGGGAGGTAATTGAATCATGAGGAGTGTGGGTCTTTCCCGTGCTATTCCTGTGATAGTGAATAAGTCTCAGGAGATCTGATGGTTTTATAAAGGGGAGTTTCCCTGCACAAATTCTCTCTTGTCTGCAGTCATGTAAGACATGCCTTTCACTTTCTGCCATGATTGAGAGGCTTCCCCAGCCACGTGGATCTGTGAGTCCATTAAACCTCTTTTTCTTTATAAATTACCCAGTCTCAGGTATGTCTTTATCTGCAGTGTGAAAATGGACTAATAGAAATGGGTATAGAATTTCAGATTTGCAAGATGAAAAAGTTCAGAAGATCTGTTTCACAATAATGTGACTATACTTAACATTACTGAACTAGACACCTAAAAATGGCTAATTTTTTCAAAAAATGGTACTGGAACAACTGGACATCCACATGCAGAAAATGAATCTAGAAACAGACTTTACACTCTTCCCCAAAATTAATTCAAAATAGATCATAGACTGAAATGTAAAATGTGAAATGTAAAACTACACTACTCCTAGAAGATAACATAGGAGAAAACCTAGGTGGCCTGGGCTATGGTCATGACTTTTTAGATACAACACCAAAGGCACAATCCATGAAATAAATAATTGATTTGCTGGATTTCATTAAAGTTTAGAACTGCTCAGCAAAAGACAATGTCAAAAGAATGAGAATACAACCATAGACAGGGAGAAAATATATGCAAAAGATATAACTGATAAAGGACTGTTACCCAAAATATACAAAGAACTCTTAGAACTCAACAAGGAAACAAACAACTTGATTAAAAAATAGACAAAGACCTGAAAGATATCTCACCAAAGAAGATCTACAGATGGCAAGTAAAAGCACATGAAAATATATTAAGCATCATACATCATTAGGAAATTACAAATTAAAATAACAATGAGATACCATTACATACCTATTAGAATGTCCAAAATCCAAAATACTGACAACACCAAAAGCTGATGAGGGTCTGGAACAGCAGGAACTCTCATTCATTGCTGGTGGGAATACAAAATGGTACAGCCACTTTGGAAGACTTTTTGACAGTTTCTCACAAAACTATATATACTCTTACCGTATAATCAATCAATTACACTTCTTGTTATTTACCCAAATGATTTGAAAACTTACATCCACACAAAAACCTGCAACAGATGTTTATAGTAGTCGGCAGCTTTATTAATAATTGCTAAAACTTGGAAGCAATCAATATGTCCTTTCATAGGCAAATGGATAAATAAACTTTGGTATATGCAGACAATGTCAAGTGATTCAACACTAAAAAGAAATGAGCTATCATGCCATGAAAAGACATAGAGGAAATTTAAATGCATATTACTAATGCATTTTCCAATGTGAAAATGTTGCAGACTGTATAATACCAGCTATAGAGCATTCTGGAAAAGCCAAAACTATGGAGACAGTAAAAAGATTAGTGGCTGCCAGGGGTTAGAAGGGAGAGAGGTATGAATAGGCAGAGCATGAAGGATTTTTAGGTCAGTGAAACTATTCTGTGTGATGCATGTCATTATACATACGTCATTATACATGTATACAATGGTAGATACATGTCATTATATGTATGTCAAAATCCATAGAATGTATACCACCAAGAGTGAATCCTAATGTAAACTATGAACTTTGGGTAATAATGCTGTACCCATGAAGGTTCACTGCTTGTAACAAAGGTACCATTGTGGTATGGGATGTTGATAGTGGAAGGCTGTGCGTACGTGGGGACAGGAGTGGGGATGGGAACTCTCTGTACTTTCTACTCAGTTTTTTTGTGAACCCAAAACTGTCCTAAAAAGTAAAGTTTATTAATTTTATAAAATGGTTAAGATGGTAAATTTTATGTTATTTTTATTTATTTATTTATTTATTTATTTATTTTTAGCACAATTTAAAGAATCTAGAACTGGGCATGGTGGCTCACACCTGTAATTGCAGCATTTTGGGAGGCCAAGGCGGGAGAATCACTTGAGCCCAGGAGTTCAAGACCACCCTGGGCAACATGGTGAAAACTCCATCTCTACAAAAAAAAATACAAAACTTAGCCAGGCATGGTGGTGCATATGTCACCAGCTACTCAGGAGCTGAGGCCAGAGGAGCCTGGGAGGTTGAGGCTGCAGTGAGCTGTGACTGCACCACTGCACTCCAGCCTGAGTGACTAAGCAAGACCCTGTCTCAAAAAGAAAAAAAAAAAATGAAAAGGGAAATTAAAATAAAAAAAAAAACCACACACACTGCAAAGTCTCACTTTCATTCCATCCTGTTCTTGTCGAAGAGGCAACCATTTAAATTTATCCTTTCAGTGTTTTTATGCAACTTCCACAAATATAAGTAATGCATATGTTTTTCTCTTCCTTTCATTCACAGAAAGTAACATCCTATATACACTGGTCTACACTTCCTGTATATTGTGTTTTCACTTAACAATCTATCCTGGAGATCTGTATTAAGCAGTGCTGTCCAATAAAATAGTCACTACCCATATATGGCTATTAAGCAAAAATTAAATACAATTAAAATTTAGCTGGGTGCAGTGGCTCACGCCTGTAATCCCAGCACTGTGGGAGGCTGAGGCAGGTGGATCACTTGAGGCCAGGAGTTGGAGACCAGCCTGGCCAACATGGCAAAACCCCGTCTCTACTAAAAATACAAAAATTAGCCAAGTGTGGTGGCACGAACCTATAATCCCAGCGACTGGGGAGGCTGAGGCACAAGAATGGCTTGAACCCAGGAGGCAGCAGTTGCCGTGAGCCAAGATAGCACCACTGCACTCCAGCCTGGGTGACAGAGTGAGACTCTGTCTTAAAAAAAAACAAGATTAGTTCCTTAGCTGAACTATTCACATTTCAAGCAGTCAATAACCACATGCGGCTGATGGCTACCATTTGTCCAAGAATAGAATATGTCCATTATCACAGAAATTTCTTTCAGAAAGCACTGGTTATAAACATCTTCCTCCTCCTTTTTTACAGCCATATAATACTCCACTGTGTAACAGTTTATTCTACCAATCCCTTCCTGGAGACATTTGAGTTGTTTGCACTATTTTGCTGTCATAAACAGTGCCCTATCATCACATGAGTTTTTGTGGAATAGGTTCTGCACTAACAAAAGGCATGGTAAGATAAGGCTGTGACCTGAGGCAGTGATTGCTCTGCAGGCAGGCCATACCAGGGTGGGATTTCTACTTCCGTGGATCTACTCAGTCCTTAGCTATGCAAATCTGGAAATGTTCAGGCTGATGTCACATTAGCCACACTCATAAGACACTATTGGGCATCAAAAATGAGCAATTACTTGATATTAAATGGAGGTAGTTCTTTAGATTTAGTGAAATCCTCGTGTCTGCTGCCTAAGACATTGCCTTCCCAGAAGGTAAGCCTTGCCCAGGGGAAATGGATAATTCTGACACATATTTCATCCAGACATGACAGGTTCCTGTTCCTAAACCAAGTATGCCTCTCCTTTTATCGGAAAGCTTGTGTTCACTAGGATCACCATTTCCTGTGCAGCATTTTCCCCTGGGCCATCTTTGCACAGATGCCTGGGAAACTATTCCTCTTCTGCCAGCTCTTTCTTCAGGCAGTACACAGTGTGCTCGGGAGGTTTCACCTTGTTTGGTGATGGTCATGTTTCAGTGCAGTTTCAAGTCCTCCCCAAATTCTTCAGTTATATAACCACAATGTCTTCAATATTGCTATTGTGACATATGGTGGTTTTAAAATACGCCTAAAAATTCTTTACTACTCTGCTCTTCAAGTGATGAAATTAGCTGAGCATGGTGGCATGTACCTGTAGTCCTAGCTACTCAGGAGACTGAGGCAGGAGGATCACTTGAGTCCAGGAGTTCAAGTCTGCAGTAAGCTATGATCATGCCACTGCACTCCAGCCTGGGCCACAGAGCGAGACCTTGTCTCTTAAAAAGAAAAAAAGATGGAACTTAATTCCCTTCCTGTTGAGGGTGGACCGGACTTTGTGACGTACTTGTAATGAATAGCATGTGGCAGAAGTAACAGTGCGTGCAGCTTCTGTGATTAGGTCTTAAAAGGGAATGTGGCTTCCTCCCTGTCTGGCTTTCTTGAATTATTCATTCAGGGTAGGCCAACTGCCATTTCATGAAGACACTCAACTAGTCCTGTGGAGAGGTCCACGTGGTGGGAACTGAGGTTTCCTGCTAAAACCCAGCACTAACTTGCAGGGTGAGTGTCTTCATGCATTTTGTGCTGCTCTAACAGAATACCTGAGACCGGGTAATTTATAAAGAGCAGTAATTTATTTCTTCACAGTTCTACACACTAGGAAGTCCAAGATTAAGACAGCGGCATCTGGCAAGGGCCTTCTTGCTGTGTCATCACATGGCAGCAAGGCAAAGAGAGAGAAAAAGAGGGGATGAACTCATCCTTTTGTAACAGTATCAATCCCACCTCTGAGGGCAGAGCCATTACGACCTAATAACCTCTTAATGTTCCACCTCTTAATACTATGACAATGTCAGTTAAATTTAAAGACAGATATTCAAATCATGGTGCCAGGTGCAAGAGCCACCTAGGAAGTGGATTCTCCAGGCCTCATCCAGCATTCGGACGATTGCAGACCTGGTCAACTTCTTGAAAATCTCATGGGAGACCGAGTTAGAACCGCCCAGCCAAGCTGTTCCTGACCCACAGAGACTGTGTGAAATACTAAGTGTTTATTGTTTTATGCTACTAAATTTGGGGAAAATTCATTAGCAGCAACAGATAGCTAACATATCTAGATGGCTGAGATCATCCGTTTTTGTTTTGATCCTTATTAATTTCCCTCTTGCAGGGTTATCTTGACTTCTAATCTACAGGGACACTCGAGAACACTAACCTGTGAACCATCATTTTCTTATCTGTAAAATGCAAGATTGGTATGAAGGGCACAAAGCAGGGACTTAAATGGAAATGATTAATATTGTTGTCGATGCTCATTAATAATGGAAGCCTTGGGTATCTTCCATTTGCCCCTCCATATCCATGTCCATTTCCAATCTTTTCTCACCCTACTCTGTGCCCCAGGAGGGGCTGACTTCCATGGACTATGTCAGTGGCCTCTCTGGTTCTCAGCCTTCCGGTAGAGTTTGGCAAATGAGAAATACTGGCAGGAGATAGGAGGAGGGCCAGAGGAAAGGGATGTATTTCCTTGGTTTCTTCCTTTCCAAGTCACCATGCTTTATCTTCATTCCTCTACCTCAGGCCACCCTGTCTTGGTACTGGTAACTACTGTCTCCTCTCTCCCCTCCAGGCCTCTGAATGATAACTGCTCCCCTCTTTTGCTAGCCCCAGGGTGTGTCAGTGTCCTTTGGTGGGCTCCCTAAGCTCTGTCTGCACAACTTTGTAAATAGTCCCTGTATTAAACTCACCTCAAATTGTATAGATCCCCTGCAGGGATCCTAAATGAGAATGGCTAGTTTTAGTTGCTTTTAATAATGATCCTGGATTTTTTAAAAGAAACAAACATTCTATAACCAGAAAGATTTCTGAGAATCCAAATAGATACAAGATTGAGCTTAGAAAAATCTAAAGAAATGGTTGTTTAGAATATCCCAACTTGAATTATCTGGCAAATGTACGTATCACAGATATGAAAGGAACCTTGTTTCCCTCCTGAGAGCAAAACCCAGAACCTCCAAGCAAAACCCAGGACCTCCAAAGTCGTCTGTGGAAGGAGTATAGCTGGAGTAAGACAGCAGGGAGAGCCAGGCGCCATGGCTCACACCTGTAACCCCAGCACTTTGGGAGGCTGAGGTTGGCGGACCACTTGAGATCAGGAATTTGAGACCAGCCTGGCCAACATGGTGAAACCCCATCTCTACTAAAAACACAAAATTTGTTGGGTGTGATGGCGCATGCCTGTAATTCCAGCTACTCGGGAGGCTGAGGCAGGAGAATCACTTGAACCTCGGAGGCGGAGTTTGCAATGAGCCAAGATCTCGCCATTGCACTCCAGCCTGGGAGACAAGAGCAAGACTCCATCTCAAAAAGAGAGCAGTAAGACCAGTGGGAGAGGGCAGTTGGCCAGCCTTGACAGTGTTTCCTGAGAGGACACTTCTCACCCTGAATGCTACTGCCTCCTGCCCACAGGGTGTTGCTGCTTCTCTTTCATGCTTTCCCTAGAACTTCAACAACAGCAACAAAAGCTTTATAGATATTTAAGGAGACCAAAAAGGAGAAAGCCTGAGGAAGAGCCATCCACTTAGGCTGCTCCTCATCCTACTGGAATGAGGAAGTGTAGCTTGGATTCCCAGCCTGGCTGACTTCTCCAAGCGTTGACATCTGTCCCACCCCATGGGGCCAACACACCTTCCCAGGCACCTGCCTGAGTTTCTCATCTTCGAAGTGGGCATAATACTATATTGAGAGGGTTCATCTATGTAAAGTGCCTGGGACAGTGTTGACACCCTGTATGTGCTAATTTTAATAGCAGCAGCAGCAGCTGTAGTTATTAGTGAAGATAATGGGTGTGGAACATGAACATTTGTTTTGACATGTAGGGTTGAAATTTATGCCAAGAGCCTCTGCCTAAACCCAAGAGTCCCAAGAGTGTCTGGGATAGACTATGAAAAAGCATTAAAAGCCTGATGTCTGTACAGAGATCACACAAATTGGCCTGTAGATGATTTTTGTTGAAGGGGTGGTGACAGAGCAGTAATAAAAAACCTAAGTTGTTCTTATCCACTGAGTTGAGTCTTTAGAACCCAGCTTAATATTTTCATGGCTCAGATTTATTTTGAATCTTAGCTTTTATTTAGTGCTTTAAAATGGGAGCAGATTGGGCTTACGAAAGGATGCAAAACTTGCCCTGACATTAAATGGCCCCAATTGCTAGCCTCTTCAGTTCTTATATCTCAATTATAATTTTTTATATTATAATTGTTGGCCTGTTTCCTCACGCTATGCTTTTAGCAGCCAGATCTTATTGCTTAGAAAGTGATTAATAAATGTTGGTTCATTAGTAATGTTTGGTTAATGACTGTAAATGCTTTCTCATTTTCCATTTCCCCTCTTTATTGTTAATTGCTTCTAATCTATAAACTGGGAAGACAGATGTCAAATCTTGTAGTAGTGTATGCAGCTGGAACAAGTCAGTACTGGGAAACAGATTATTTTACTCTTGGAGCACCTGCCCATGTGGAGCTCCTTTTGAAGAAAGCCGATCATTTGACCCTGCCACCATGGAGCAGAGATGGACAGCAAACCCAACAACAGTTGGCTATAGACTGAAAGCCAAGGAGTCAGTCTCCAAAGAACATCAGAAACCAATGGAACCAATCAAATCCTCTCTTTTGGAGAGTTTGAATGTGAGTCTCAAGAGGACATCCCATGCTGAGGAGGTTGAGGCTAACCCATGCAGAGATAAGGCAGCAAGCAAGCCCTTAGGTAGAGCGAGGCTGTAGGAGGAGTAGCCGTGGAGGCAGAGTGGCTTTGTTGCCTGATGGTGAAACCTCAGAGTCAGGGGCCACTGGGCAATGCTGCCAGCATGGAGCTACAGTAATTCCAAATGACTCCTAACCATGTCCTGCTGACTTCCATGACTGTTAGAAGGAAAGTTGGTGCTGCCTAGTTGTTCCCTTGCATGTGGCTGTGTGGGCTGTTTTGGTTTATTTGTTTAAGAGGCAAACTGTGGAGAGGTAAAGAACTTTCACTTACTCTAACCAGAGTATCCTTATTTTCTAGAACACTTTTTAAAAATTTAAGCATTTGATATATGGAACCTGGTATAGATATTAAAATGCACTCAAGAGGAAACATGCTTTTGAGCTGAGGTCCTATTTTCCAGCTTCTTTTCCTTTTTTTTTTTTTTTTTGAGATGGAGTCTCACTCTGTCACCCAGGCTGGAGTGCAGTGGTGTGATCTCACCTCGCTGCAACCTCCGCCTCCCGGGTTCAAGTGATTCTCCTGCCTCAGCCTCCAGAGTAGCGGGGTTTACAGGCATGTGCCACCACATTCAGCTAACTTTTGTACTTTTAGTAGAGACGGGTTTTCACCATGTTGGTCAGGCTGGTCTCTAACTCCTGACCTCGTAATCTACCCGCCTCAGGTTCCCAAAGTGCTGGGATTACAGTCGTGAGCCACCATGCCTGGCCAGTTTCTTTTCCTTTTATTTTGGGTCTGGCAGGAGGCTTTTATATTGTCTCCCAGGTGTGAGGACTAGTCACTGTATCATGCTTGTAAAGAATGAAATGGGTTTGGAAAAAGAAAAAAAAAACAATTTCAAGTTGCTACTGGCTTTAAAAATCCTACTCAGAGTATCAGCTAGCACAGCTTTTAGATGCTCAGGTCAAGGTCATGGAATCTCTCTTTCCTCTTCTTTGCTTTCTCAACTCTTCAGGTACACACACCCCCATCCACTTCTTCCACTGACTTCTCAGACTGTCTTCCCTCCTTAACTCTTTCCATTCTCTGTGTTCTTCTGACACAATGTAATACTTCCCAGCACCAAACATTATTACACTGTGTTGATAGATAAAGAACCCAAGGTGCTGGCCTGAGAGACAGAGCCAGGCTCAGTGAGGACATTCATTGCCAGCTGTCATGGGAGAGTGGATGGAGATTGTAGCAGTGGGCTCAAGAAAGTCAGAAAACAAAGGCTTTCTAAACAAGTGGAGGAGAAATCTAGAAGTCATAAAGGAAAAATGAACACATCTGACTACATAAAATATCTTAAAACTATAAGTGGAAAAAGATACCATAAACAAAGTCAGAAGGCAAATGACAGAGTGGACAAAAATATTAGCAACACATGTAACAGATAAAAGGTAAATGTCCTTCCTATACAAAGAGTGCTCTACAGTTTAAAAAGGAAATATGAAAGGTCCAATAGAAAAATGGTTTGAGGTTTGAATAGACAATTCACAGAGGAGAAAATGCATACCTCCAGAAGACATAAAATTATGCTTAGCATTACTTTAGTCAAAGACGTATGACATAAAACAATCAGGTTTTTGTCTGTCAGATTGGATAAAACTAAAATGACAGATAAGAGTAAGAAAATGGCTGCATTGATATAGTTAGTGGAGGGTACATCACACAACCTTTTGGAATAGAGTTTGGCCATGTCAATTAACATTACCATGTGCCCTACTCAGTGATCCAGCAGATCTACTTCTAGAAATCTGGCATACAGAAAAACTCATGCACATGCATAAAGATACATGGATGAGATTTTCATTGTAGCTCTGGGATATAATAGCAAAAATGGAAAACTGAAATGTTAATAAGGGAATGTTTAAATAAACCATGCATGGTGCATGGTTAACCTAGGCAGTAGATAAAAAGAATGAGGTGGCTCTACAGACACTAACCTACAAAGATGTTCATCGTATATTAAGTGTAAAAAGCCTGTTGAAAAATTGGATAAACAGCATGAATCAATTTCTACACTTTTTTTAAAGTATGAAGAAATAGTGATTTATGGGTAGGTATGCAGGGATAAATACAGAGCAAATGGTTAACAGCAGTTTAATCTGAGAAGTGGAAAGTGGGGTCTTGTGAGACTTTGTATAGTTCTTTCTTTCTAAGCACAGTTGAGTTATGGGAGGTTTTGCTTTATGTGTTTTTCACTAACTTTCTAAAATATCTCAATGACAAAATATGGTACAATTGTAAGGACATTTGTGATAACTGATCGATCTGTTATATGCCTATTTTGCTTTAGGCACTGTACTAGAGTGATTCCACAAGCTAATTTTATCTTCATCACTCCCTATGCAATACATATTATTATTAGAACCATTTTGCAGGTGAAGAATATGAAACTTAAAGAGCTGAAGCTACTTGTACACAGACTCTGGCTGTGGTCATGGCTTATAGGCAATTTGAAGCAAAGATGTTGGCAATAATGTAACACCCAGGGTGCTATAAGGACTAGATTGAAAGTCTGCCATCTGAGGAACTCTCTTTAAAGCACATGAATAGTCCTTAAAAACTGGGTCTCAATACATCCTTCCCCAGCTGTGGTCAAGTCCCCCTTCTTTTGGCTTTTGATGTCCTGGCTTTGTAGGCTTGCTGTACTCTAGACAAGGAATGCAAATGAGTGTTGAATGAGAGTAGGGGTTTGAAGTCCCAAGCACTAGAAGGCAAATTTACCTTCCCCCACTTAATCCTGGGTAAGCAAAACTGAATGGTAGCCCAGGTATGTCAGCTGCCCTCATTCTCGGCAACACTTCCAACTCCTTTTCTGCCTCTTTCACAGGACAAATCTCCAGCTGCGAAGTCCCCAGAGACACCTTCCACAAAGCTGGCAGCCTTTGCCCAGGGCTGTGGCAATTACTCCAAATGTTGGGAGAGTCCAAACCTCCTCTTCTAACTTTGTGTATAGGGGATCTCTGTCTTCCATGCTGGGGGATGGGAGAAAGGGGTTGAGTCTGCATAGGGCTGAAGCTGCCAGCAAGAGCTGGGACCCAGGAGAGCAGGCGAGAAGGGAGGGGTCAGGGCAGCCAGAAAACTTGTGGTTCTGAAATGAATCTGCATGAGTCATTTGTTTAAAAAGGGCGGAGTTTCTGGAGCCCCCAGATAATCCTGGGGAATAGAGTAGACCAGAAAAGACAAAATACAATGAAAGGATCAAGGGACAGCTAAATGCCTGAGATAGGCCCTTGGCTTGTGCTTAAATGATCCGTGTAGGTGTGTGTGTGTGTGTGTGTGTGTGTGTGTGTGTGTGTGTGTGTTTAGTGAAGTCTGCCAAGCTCTCATGACTTGATTCAAGTATCAGGTCACCTGTCCCACCAATCAAATATCCTTATCTTTCGGTTGGAGAATCTTCCCTCCTCCCTGATTCCACTCCCCAGTGCAGGCTACCGTCCCAGCTTTGTTAGGGGATAGGCAAATTGCTCAAGATCATTCAGTCTCGCCTACCAAGTCAGGACTGCTTTCCTAGAGCAGTTAGCCCGCCTCAGCTCAGCTCAGGTGGCCTTTGGAAAATCCCTGGCTGTTACCAGATCACGGCCTTCAATTTTTTTTTTTTTAACTGCAACCCTTAGTAAGAAATACATGTTATATCATAACCCAGTTCATAGGTGTGCATGGCCACACATACACACAAACGGACACAGAAGTTTCAACAAACAGTACTTACTTAATACTTAGCCCAATTATCTGATTCTTTTCCATTCTATTCTTTAATTTTTCATTTAAAAAAAATGTTTGTAGGCCGGGTGAGGTGGCTCACGCCTGTAATCCCAGCACTTTGAGAGGCCAAGGTAGGTGGATCGCTTGAGCCCGGGAGTTTGAGATCAGCCTGGGCAACATGGTGAAACCCTGTTTCTACAAAAAAATACAAAAATTAGCCAGGTATGGCGGTGCGTGCTTGTAGTCCCAGCTCCCAGCTACTCAAGAAGCTGAGGTGGAAGGATTGCTTGAGCCCAGGAGGTTAAGGTTTTAGTGAGCCCTGATCACATCAGTGCACTCCAGCCTGGGCAACAGAGTGAGACTTTGTCTCAAACAAACAAACAAACAAACAAACAAAACGAACCAAACAAAAGTAACAACTTGCAATTCATTCAGTTAATTTCAATACCTATGGGTTAAGATGAGCGGATTGAAATACACATTCAAGCCTAATCTCTGAATTATGCAGAGATTTTGAGAATATTCCTTCATTAGCCACAGCCATGTGTGCCACACAGGAGAAACCAGGTTGACGGGCAAGTCGTGGTCCAAGGTCATCCATGGACCCTCATTGGTGAGAGATACTCCCTCACCAGAGAGTTGAGTGTATTGAGTCATATGATGAATGGGGCCACTGTAGTTTTAGAATAAAAATATGATTTATTTTCTTTCTTTCTTTCTTTTCTTTCTTTCTTTCTTTCTTTCTTTCTTTCTTTCTTTCTTTCTTTTTCTTTCTTTCTTCTTTCTTTCTTTCTTTCTTTTCTTTCTTTCTTTCTCTTTCTTTCTTCTTTCTTTCTTTCTTCCTTTTCTTTCTTTCTTCCTTTTCTTTCTTTCTTTCTTTCTTTCTTCTTTCTCTCTCTTTCTTTTTTTTCTTTTTATTTTTTTTGAGACAAAGTCTGGTTCTGTCACCTAGGCTGGAGTACAGTGGCACAATCACAGCTTAACTGCAGCCTCAACCCCTGGACTGAAGCGATCCTCCCATTTCAGCTTCCCGAATAGGTAGGACTGCAGACATGCACCAACACACCTGAATAATTTTTGTAATTTTTGTAGAGACGGGGGTCTCATCATTTGCCCAGGCTGGTCTGGAACTCTAAGGCTCAAGCGATCCACCCACCTCAGCCTCCCAAAGTTCTGGGATTACAGGCTTGAGCCACCCTGCCCAGCCAAGATTAGCTACTGAGAGCTTTCTATGTGCCAAGCATTGTTCTAAGCACTTTACACGAATTAACGTATTTAATCCTCACAATACCACCATGCCATATGTAGTATTATTAATCCCTGATGTATGGACAGTTCGGGAATTTAACATCCAGAAAATAGTTACTAAATATGGATCCAGGTATCAAAGCCAGGCAGACTGGCTCCAGAGCCCCCAGCTCTTCTGCATCACATGTACCTCCCCACTACAGCAGGCCTTCTCGGACCTTCCACGACTGGCTCACTTTGCCATCTTTTCCAAGGATAGTGTCCAGTGCTGAGCTCAGCAAGCTGTGGCCAGAATTCCACAGAGGACTTGGACTAGAGCTGGAGCTCCAGTGTGGTCACCAATCCAGGTGATCATTTCATTAGATCAGTCCAGCAGAGCATTCGTTCAACACCCACTTACTAAGCCTTCAAACCCAGAAGTTCAGGGCTGGAAGACACTCCAGAAATTTCCAACTACTTAGGGACTTTCATACAGGGTAAAAGGGACACAGGGATCTCTCTACTCCAAGACTTCCACTTTTATCTGTTTCAGAGATAGAGTTTCTGCATAAGCTTATACTTGAAAAAAAATAGTCTTGCTGTTAAAACAAGTTTATTTTGGGGGAGGTGAGAGAAAATTTTAAGGAATTAGCAGTCTTTTGGGAAATAATTGATGACACGTTTTTTAGAGTGGTAAAATACATATAATGTAAAATTTACCATGAATGACAGTGCAGTCACAGTATTGTACAATATTCACCACATTTTCATCTCCCCTACGGAAAATCCCATACCCGCTAGGCAGTGATTCCCCATTACCTTTTCTCCTCAGTTCCTGGAAACCACTAATTTACTTTCTGTGTCTGTAAAATTGCCTCTTCTGGACATTTCACATAAACAGAATCATATAAAATGTGGCCTTTTATGACTTGTTCTTTTACTTAGTATAATGTTTTTTATTTTCGAGACAGAGTCTCACTCTGTTACCCAGGAGGCTGCAGTATAGTGGCATGATCTTGGCTCACCACAACCTCCACCTCCCCAGTTCAAGCAATGCTCATGCCTCAGCTTCCCTAGTAGCTGGGATTACAGGTGCATGCCACCACACCCAGCCTCACTTAGAATAATGTTTTCAATGTTGTAGCATGTATCTGTACTTCATTCTTTGTTATGGCTGAATAATATTCCATTGTTTGAGTACATATTTGTTTATCTGTTTATCAGTTGATGGACGACTGAATTGTTTCCACCTTTTGGCTGTTGTGAATAATGCTGCTTGCTATGAGCATTTGTGGATGCATTTTTGCTCGAGCACCTGTTTCAATTCTTTCAGTTATATTATTTTTATTTATTTATTTCTTATTGAGACAGGGTCTCAATCCGTCACCCAGGCTGGAGTGCAATGGCATGATCTTGGCTCACTGCAACCTCAGCCTCCTGGGCTCAAGTAATCCTCCTGCCTCAGCCTCCTGAGTAGCTGGGACTACAGGCATAAACCACTATGCCTGGCTTATTTTTGTATTTTTTGCAGAAAGGGGTTTCACCATGTTGCCCAGGCTGGTCTTGTACTCCTGGGCTCAAGTGATCTGCCCTCCTCAGCTTCCCAAAGTGCTGGGATTAAAGGTGTGAGCCACCGGGTGTGGCTAATTCTTTCAGTTACATACCCAGGAGAGGAATGGCTGGATCACAGGGCAATTCTTGTTTAAGTTATTGAAGAAGTGCCAAATTGCTTTCTACAGTGGATGCACCATTTTACATTTCCACCAGCAACATATGAGGGTTCTAACTGCTCCACATCCTCAACAACACTTGTTATTTTCCTTTATAAAAAAAATTATAACCATTCTAGTGGGTGCAAAAATAGTGTCTTATTGTGTTTGTTTATTTGAATTTCCCTAATGACAATGATACTAAGCATCTTTTATGTGCTTCTTGGCCATTGTATAACTTCTTTACAGAAACGTCTATTCAAGTCCATTGCCCATTTAAAAATTGGTTGTCTTTTTGTTGTTGAGTTGTAGGAGATTTTCATATATTCTGGATACTACAAGTCCTTATCAGATATATGATTTGCAAATATTATCTTCCATTCTGTACATTGTCATTTCACTCTCTTAAAAGCATCTTTTGATGTTTTTGATTTTGATGAAATCCAATTTATCTAATTTTTTCTTTTTTTTTCCTTTTATTTATTTATTTATTTATTTATTTTTTGAGGCAGAGTCTTGCTCTGTTGCCCAGGCTGGAGTGCAATGGTGCAACTCTCGCTCACTGCAACCTCTGCCTTCTGGGTTCAAGTGATTTTCCCACCTCAGTCTCCTGAGTAGCTGGGTCTACAGGCACGCGCCACCACCCCCAGCTAATTTTTGTATTGTTAGTAGAGACAAGGTTTCACCATGTTGGCCAGGCTGGTCTTGAACTGCTGACCTCAAGTGATCTGCCCACCTCAGCCTCCCAAAGTGCTGGGATTACAGATCTGAGCCACCATGCCCAGCCTCTAATTTTTTCTTTTGTTGCTTGTGTTTTTTGTGTCATTTCTTAAGCCAATGCCAACTCTGAGGTCATGGACATTTACCTTTATATGTTCATGTAAGAGTTTTATGGTTTTAGCTCTTACATTTAGGTCTTTTGTCCATTTTGCATTAGTTTTTGTATATGGTGCAATGTAGGGTTCCAACTTCATTCTTTTGCGTGTAGATACCCAGTTTTCCCATCATAATTTGTTGAAGAGGCTCTTCTTTCCCTTTGAATGGTCATAGTAGTCTTTGAAAATCAGTTGACCATGGATGTATGAATTTATTTCTAGACTCTTAATTCTATTTCATTTATCTGTATGTCTGTCCTTATGCCAGTACATGTACCTGATGATTACTGTAGCTTTGTACGAAGTTTTGAAATCAGGAAGACTAAGTCCTCCAACTTAGTTCTTTTTCATGATTGTTTTGGCTATTCATGGTCCCTTACAATTCCGTATGAATTTTAGGATCATGTTGTCTATTTCTGCAAAAAGGCCTTTGGGATTTTGATAGAGATTGCATTGAATCTGTAGATTGCTTTGTGTAGTATTGCCATTTTAATATTAAGTCTTCAAATCCACAAACTCAGGATGTTTTTCCATTTATTTAGATCTTCTTTATTTTAACAATGTTTTCATTGTATTAGTCTCACATCTTCTTGATTAAATATATTGTTAAGTATTCTATTTTTTAAAATTGTTTAAAGTTTTTTTTGAGACAGGGTCTCATTTGCTTGAGACAGGGTCTCATTCTGTCACCCAGGCTAGAGTGCAATGGCACCATCTGGGATCACTGCAACCTCCACCTCCCAGGTTCAGGTGACCCTCCCACCTCAGCCTCCCGAGTAGCTGGGACCACTGGCATGCCCCAGCACGCCTGGCTAATTTTTGTATTTTTTTATAGAGACAGAGTTTCACCATGTTGGCCAGGTTGGTCTCAAATTCCTGGGTTCAAGCCATCCGCCTGCCTCAGCGTCCCAAAGTGCTGGGATTACAAGCATGTGCCAAGGTGCCTGGCATATTCTATTTTCCACCCCCCTACAAAGTAATAGACCTTATTTTGGGAGGGCAGTTTTAGGTTTACAGAAAAATTAAGCAGAAAGTTCCAGTATACATCTTTTAAAAAAATTTTTTTTTTGGTGATATTATACAACGAAATTGTTTTCTTAATTTTCTTTTTTGGATTGTTCATTGCCTTACATGTACAGAAATACAGCTGATTTTTGTGTGTTGATCTTGTACTCTGCAACTTTGCTGAATCCTTCTATTAGTTCTAATTGCTGTTAATATTTGACGCTTGCCCTAGTCCATATACCATCTCCCTGCCATTTAATTGTTGAAGAAACTAAGTGGCTAGGACTTGCCCAGGGTCCTGCTGCCTTTTATGGCTGAGCTTGGGACAGGCTTAGCACTTTTTCCCTTCAGAGCTCCAACTCACTCCTTAAATTGAACCCCAATTTTTCAGTGTAATTTGCAGGTACAAATTTCAGCCAGTTGCCTCTACAAAGCCCCTGTCCATTCCTTCCAAATCCCTGATCTCTTCCTATTCATTTGCCCCCATATGCCCATTATCATGAGCCCAGCGTGGACTCCCACGCGGACCCAGGCCCCCAGCCCTGGCCACAGGGTCACAGAGATAACTCCGTGGGAAATTATACCCCAGGGCCCTTTGCTCCTGACTCCCCACGTGGAGCAGAGAACCACTCAGATGCGTGCTTCCAGCCCCCACCTCGGACGACCCGCTGTCCCCCTCTCACGGCTGTTTGCCCGGGCGTTCTAGGATGCTCTGGTATTAGAGCACCCTGCCTGTTCCTGGCCCCCTGAGCACCAACAAGCCCGTCTCAGGCCTCCAAAGCTCTGCATACGTTGCCCTGGCAAGGTCAGACCCTTTGGCTGCAACACGTCCGTCAAGAAGCCAGGCAAATCTAGCATGCAAACTAGGATCATTTTCGGGCGTTGGGGCCCCCCCGCTTGAAATCTGGTTTCCATGTTCACAAAACGCAGCCCGACTGGTGGAACTCGCGACTCCAGACGCAGAGAAGCTGTGGGCAGAGGCGGAGGCAGAGGGTGGGAATGCAGCCTGGCGTTGGAGTGGGGAGAAAGGGGAGGGAGGAACCGCGCGCCCAGGCCCCGCCCGGTTGCCTAGGTGACGGGGAGCGAGAGGAAGAAGTGGGGGCTGAGCTGATCCGAGCATTTCAGATCTTAATACTGAACAGCTCAGCCCCCAAGAGGGAGTAGGATGGAAGCCCCAAGCCAAGGGAGTCATCTTCATTATTTTACCCTGGTACCTAGTGTTCTGCTGCTCATGGAGAAACAGAATGTCAGTCCTGGAAAAGAGCTTGCGAAGTCTCCTTGCCCAGTGGTTTTCAAGCAGGTTTGTAGCTAAAGATTCTCGTTTCAAAGAAAACCTTACCAAGAACCTCAGTTTGCGAAACAGACCTATAGGGAGCTAAGTCACCCCACTTCACCTTCCCAGATTGTGGAAAAACTCTGGTCTGGGCCCAAACCCTCCTTGTAGAGATGGGAAAACTGAGGTCCCCAGACAGGCACTGCATTGCCCAGGGACACCCAGGACATAAATTCGCTGCAGAACCAGGATTGGAAACGATCTCCCAGTGATCACCATAGAGCAAGCATGAAGAAGCGGATCCTTTGAAGTAGCTGGGAAGAGAAAAGGCACACAGGATGTTTTAGGAACCTGGAATTTCCAGACCTGCTGAGACAACACAATCCCCTTATTTTACAGACGAGGAAACTGAGGCCCAGAAAGGAGGCAGTGGCAAGTTAGTAGAGTGGTCCTAAGTGGAGTAATATTCCCTTAGAAAGAAGATGCATTTGAGCATTTGGCTTTTTGGCTAGCTCAAGCAATAAATCTTTGCTGAAATTCTGAGGTGCCAGATGGCGCAGGGGAGGAGCACTGGCCTGGGAGTTTCATCCCCCTCTGTTACTGACGAACCCCATGACCTTGGGAGATTTATTTTAAAGAGTCAAAGGGATCATCCCCAGGTTTGTAAGAGGTCCAGAAGAGTAATAGGATTAAATGGTGCTTCAGAGTGTTTTATATTGTTTCTAAATGTCAGGGCCTCTTTGGGGGAAGGGAAGTAAGCACACTGCTCTTTAAAGACTGAATTTGACAGTGGGTTTTTTAAACGCTCTTTATTTTTCTTTTTCATTTTTCATGGCTAATTATAAAGTAACACATGGCCATTTCAGAAAATGTGTAAAGTACAGAAAATGAAAGGAAAAAAAAGCAGAAAGGAAAATCACCCATAAACACATCACCCAGAGGCAACCATTGTTATACATTGTTGTACATTTCCTTTCAGTCTTTTTTCTCTAATTTTTTTCTTGTGCAGCGTAAATTGTATTTTTAATTATGTTGTAATTTTTAATAATTTCATTTAATTGTTTAATAATTAATATTAAACTTAGAATATTAAAGCTAAAGATCTGTCTGATCACCACCCACAGCCCTGGGTTCTTTGATGTATTAATTTTGCAGACCATTTAATTTTTTTCCCACTTATTTACACTCATTTTTCATTTATTTATACCTATTTCATTTATGTAGACCCACAGGAAATGTACAGTGTAATAATAAATGTATATATATATATTATATTGTATATGTGTTTTACACAATGGTATAATGTTTTCTCTGCAATTTGCTTTTTTCTTTTTTGCTCATTTGACACCTATATTATTCGATCTTATGTATAAGCCACTTTGTATCTACCCATTTTGTTCTTGATGAGCATATACATTGGTTCCAATTTTTTGCTACTGTGATAAATTCTACAATGAATAACCTTTGCATGTTCTTCTGCACAGGGGCTAGTGTTTCTCTGGTGGTAGATGCACGGAAGTAGAATTGCTGAATATGCATTTATTTACTTTTAATCCACACTGCCAAATTGCCCTCTAAAGCTACTGCGTATAATGAGCATCCTTGTTAGCTTATAACACTGCTTTGCTTGATTATAAGACTTCACTTTTTTAAAAAAACTTAAATTTTTTAGAATCTACTGAGTGAAAATAATTTATTTTTGTATGATTTTCCTGATTATTAGTATGATTAAGCATATTGTTTACTGGCTATTTAAAAAATTAGTTTATAGAGTTGCTTTATATATTTAGGCCACTATCTTTTTTTCTGTATCTATCACAAGCATTTTCCTCAGTCTGCTGATTATTTTTTAATCTTGTTTGCAATGTCTTTTGACATGCAGAATTTTAAATACTTAATATGGCAAAATTTATGTATTTTCCTTTATAGATTTTTGTTTTTTGTTCAAAAAGATTTGATCTACGTTTTTCACTAATAATTTTAAGTATCTATTTACTTATCTTTTTTTTAAACATTAAAACATTGACTCCATCTGGATTTATTTTGGTGTATGTATGTGATAGGAATCTAATTTTGTTGCTTTGCATATGGGTCGTTAATTGCTTTAATACCAATTATTGAATAGTCTTTTTTCCACTGATTTTGAATACCACCTCTATCATATACCAAATCCCCATATAAACGCAGATCTATTTCCTGACCCTTTACTCTTTTCCATTTATCCATTTATCTCCTTTTCTATTTTTATGCAAATACTACACTGTTTTGACTATTGATTTATAATGTATCTTAACAGCTGATGGGCAATTTACCCACTTTTTCTGTTTCATTGCCTTGGTTCTTCCTGTACATGTATTCTTCCATACGAATTCATTTATGAAGGTCTGTGAAAAGTCTTTTGAGTAATTTGATTGTTATTGCATCAAATTCATACCTAGATTTTGAGAAATGTATCTCGAATATAGCGTCTTTCTATCCAAGAATCTGACATGTTGATTTATTGGGTCTTTTAAAATGTGTTTTAGTCAAGTTTAAAATCACCTTCATAAAGATCTTTTACTAAAATTTTTCCTAAAGACTTTATAGTCTTTGTTACTATTGTTTTTTTCCAATTACATTTTCTCATAGCTTATACTTGTAAGTAGAAAGGCAATTAATTTTGGTACATTGGTACTATTAATTCTGACAGTTTGTTCATTGGTTCTTTTAGGTCTTCTAGAGAAGGCAACCAAATCTCATCTGTATATAATTAATGCTTTGCTTTGTCTTCTTCTCTTCTAATATTTATATGTCTATTTTGGAGGTAATCTTATTGCATGAAGTTGGGTATGATGAAGAAGGGGAATAGTGGGTATTCTAATCTTGCTCTTGACATTAATGAGAATACATCTAATGATGTACCTTGTTAGTAGGCTCAGTGCTGTAACAGAAAACTCCAATACCTCAATGGCCAAACACAACATACTGGATTAAGGTGGGCCCTAAATCCAATATGACTGGTGTTCTTATAAGAAAAGAGAAATTTGGACCCTGAGACAGACACACAGGGAGAATGCCATGTGATGACTGAAGCAGAGATTGGAGTGATGTGTCTATAAGCCAAGGATTGCTGGCAATCATCAGAAGACAGTAAGAGGCTAGGAAGCCACCTCCTTCAGTGAGAACATGGTGTCACCAACACTTTGATTTCAGTTCTAGCCTCCAAAACTATTAGACAATAAATGTCTATTGTGTTAAGCCACACAGTGTGTGGTAATTTGTTATGGCAGCCCTAGGGAACCAATGCAAAAGCTAAGTTAATTCATCATTAGTCTTTCTTGCTTTATAGTAAGTGCAAGTAAGTTTATATATTTCCCTGAAGACTACTTTAACGTCATCTTAAAGTAGTACTTCAGTTAATTCTAATTTTATTGTAGTTTTTTGTCAACTCATTAATTATTTAGACCTGTGTTTTAAAACTTCTCGGTGTATACAAATTTCTAGCCATCTTCCTGTTGTTGTTGACATAAAATTTTATCATTAAATGTTTTATATTATTTCACTTTACTTACTTACTTATTTTTTGAGATGGGGTCTTGCTATGTTGCTCAGGCTGGACTCAAACTCCTGGGCTCAAGCAATCATCCTACCTCCTCCTCCTAAGTAGCTGGGACTGTGCCCAGCTATATCACTTAAAAAATTTTTTTGGAACTTACTGTGCAGTTAAATACTTAGTCAATACTTAGTCAATTTTTATAAATGTTCCATTTGTATTTGTGAAGAATGTACATTTTCTATTCAAAGTTCTACATATATCCATTACATTGACAGGTCGTCTGTTCTTTGCTGTGTTAAAGACTAGCTAATTGATGAACAAACTTGTTCCCCTTCCTCCTGGGCACACAACTAGGCTACATTTCCTGGACTTTTTGCAATTAGATGTGGTCTTGTACTGAGTTTTGGCCAATGGAGCATGAGCAGAAATTATGTGTGCCACTTCCAGGCCCAGCTTACGTGTGTTTCTCCTTTCTGTCTGTCACTATGAATGCCAAGATCTCAACACACAGAGTGACCTTGGCAACTACATGTTGAAGGTGGCAGAGTTTCTATCAGCTTGAATTCCTGGCAGAGACCCTTCCTCCGTGCCCCACAACCAAACATTGAACTTTACGTGAAAAAGAAATTAACCTCGATTGTCTAAGTGTTCAGCTACTCTTAGTTAAAAGTTTATTTGCTACAGTTGCTAGTGTGACTTAAACTAATACTGTTTTGCTCTTTAGATACTCTATACTTTTTTGTCTTCTTGATTTGTCAGTGTCTGATGAATGTGTGTGAGTCTCTCAATATAAATATAGGTCTAGGCTGGGCACAGTGGCTCATGCCTGTAATCTCAGCATTTTGGGAGGCAGAGATGAGAGGATCACTTGAACCCAGGAGTTTGAGACCAGACTGGGTAACAAAGTGAGACCCCATCTTTACAAAAACTAAAAAATTAGCCAGGTGCAGTAGTCTGTGCTTGTAGTCCCATCTACTTGGGAGGCTAAGGCAGGAGGACCCCTTGAGCCCAGGAGTTCAAGGTTATAGTGAGGTATGATCATGCCACTGTACTCCAGCCTGGGTGACAGAGCAAGAATCTGTCTAAAAAAAAAAAAAAAAAAAAAAAGACCGGGCACGGTGGCTCACACCTGTAATCCCAGCACTTTGGGAGGCCGAGGTGGGTGGATCACCTCAGGTCAGGAGTTCAAGACCAGCCTGGCCAACATGGTGAAACCCCATCTCTACTAAAAATACAAAAATTATTCGGGCATGGTGGTGTGTGCCTGTAATCCCAGCTACTCAGGAGGCTGAGGCAGGATAATCGCTTGAACATGGGAGGCAGAGGTTGCAGTGAGCTGAGATTGCACCACTTTACTCCAGCCTGGGTGACAGAGTGAGACTCCATCTCAAAAAAAAAAAAAAATACACAGACACACACACACACACACACACACACACACACACACACACAGACACACACAGACACACACAGCTATATGATTCCAATTGTATACAAATTATAAATTATTTAGTAATTCATAAACTCTTGCTGTATATTTCAAAGCTATGTTGTTAGATATGTAAACTCGTGTTATAATTTTTTGGAAAAGTATTCCTTTTATCAGCATGAAAATTATTTTTGCTGATATTTGCCAGGTTTTAACCATTTTATTTATTCATGTTTTGGAAGCACCAGGGTCCACTAAGACATTTTATTTATAGGTATGTATTACACCCCTAGAAAAAGAATCCCAGGATTTTCCCTCAAATGTGTTATTGTCTTGCTTTTTCTTATGGTCCATGATGCCAGCTGAGGTTGTTAGTACAATGAATTGAAACTGGTGGGATGAAAGCAGGTTATTCTGCCGTTTTTCTAGATCTTTGAGTTGGACATTGATATGGTTTGGATGTGTGTCCCGCTCCAAATCTCATGTTGAAATGTGATCTGCAGTGTTGAAGGTGGGGCCCAGTGGGAGGTGTTTGAGTCATGGGGGCAGATGACTTAAGAATGGCTTGGTGCCCTCCTTGCCATAAGGAGTGAGTTCTGGCTCTGAGAGTTCATCGAGATGGGATTGTTTAAAGGAGTGTGGCCCCCTCCCTCCATCCCTTGCTTCCATTCTTGCCATGTGATGTGCCTGCTCCCACTTCACCTTGTGCCATGAGCGGAAGCTTCCTGAGGCCTTCACCAGAAGCAGATGCCGGTGCTATGCTTCTTGTACAGCTTGCAGAACTGTGAGCCAAAATAAATCTCTTTTCTTTATATATTACCCAGCCTCAAGTATTTCTTTATAGCAATATGAAACGGACCAACACACATCAAATCTGGGGCTGATCACTCCACACTTGTTTAACCTGCCTGTGAGGTTCACTATTTTCTCAGCTCTGTGATCATCAATGGTTTCAAATCACCAATGTAGCCATGCTTCATTATCACAGTTAGAAACTGGATGATGACTTTGGAGAACGGCCTAATAAGAACCTGGCATTTACTCCTCTTCTCAGCATTGTTGATGCTCTTGAGAGCATCAACCAGGACATTCATGTGCACCATTATGGCTGCTGGGTAGCCTCACCCTCCCAAGCTCCCAGTAAAGCCCCAGCAATGAGAAGCTGCACTGCCCACCTGGCCACAAATCCCCAGTGCTGCCTGCCCCAGGCCAAGGCACTGTCTTAGTTGCTAAGAGGAGCCAGGCACTGCAGTATAAGCCTGGGCTACCGCCTTTCTGGGCGGTTGAAAGTTCCAGCTCTCACCAGTGCTGCAGCCTGCACTTCATGGACCCGGGTCCCCAGAATGTGGAGCATGGGGTGTCTGGACATGGCTCTCCTCTATGCCTGTCTAGGGCCCTGCAAGGCCAGGATTCCTGCCCAGTGGGGCCCAGTGTCCTTGAAGAGCACTGAACCTGAGCCTTAGATTGCAGGATGGTGCCAATGACTGATGATCTTAACCATTTTGAAGTGTAAAGTTCAGTGGCATTAAATACATATGCATTGTTGCACAGCCATTACTACCATCCATTTCCAGAAAGTTTTCATCTTCCCCAACTGAAACTCTGTACCCATTGAACGCTAATTCCCCATTTTCCCCCTCCTGCCCTCCCAACTGCCATTTTACTTTTTGTCTCTATGAATTTCACTACCACATATAGATGGAATCATACAATATTTAGCCTTTGTGCCTGGCTTATTTCACTTCGCATAATGTCTTCAAGGTTCATTCATGTTGTAGCATGTGTCAGTTCTTCATTTTTTTTGCTGAATAATATTCTATTGTAACATTCTTTTCTTTAAAAAAACAACAGGTTGGGCTGGGCGCGGTGGCTCACACCTGTAATCCCAGCACTTTGGGAGGCCGAGGCAGGGGGATCACAAGGTCAGGAGTTTGAGACCAGCCTGACCAACATGGTGAAACCCCGTCTCTACTAAAAATACAAAAATTAGCCAGGCGTGGTGGTGCGTGCCTGTAATCTCAGCTACTCGGGAGGCTGAGGCAGGAGAATCACTTGACCCTGGGAGGTGGAGGTTGCAGTGAGTTGAGATCACACCACTGCACTCCAGCCTGGGCAACCGAGCGAGACTCCATCTCAAACAAAAAAAAGGTTTATTAAGATACAATTCACATACCATAAAATTCACCCTTTTAAAGTATCTAATGATGGCCAGGCACAATGGCTCACACCTGTAATCCCAGCACTTTAGGAGGCCGAGATGGGCAGATCACTTGAGCCCAGGAGTTTGAGACCCAGCAACATGGAGAAACCCCGTCTCTACCAAAAATACAAAAAAATTAGCTGGGTGTGGTGGTGTGCACCTGTAATCCCAGCTACTTGGGAGGCTGAGGTGGGAGGATTGCTTGAACCCATAAGGCAGAGGTTGCAATGAGCCTTGATTGAGCCACTGCACTCCAACCTGGATAACAGAGTGAAACCCTGTCTCAAAAAAATAAATAAAATTTAAAAATTAAGTATATATTGGGCATTTTTTCATACATTTACAGAGTTGTCCAACCATTACCACTATCTAATTTCAGGACATTTTCATCACCCCTGCAGCCATTAGCAGTCACTTCTCATTTTCCCCTCCCTCCAGGACCTGGCAATCATTAACGTATTTTCTGTCTCTGTGGATTTTCCCCTTCTGGACATTTCATGTAAATGGAATCATACACAGCTGGGCATGGTGGTGTGCACTGGTGGTCCCAGCTGAGGCAGGCAGATTCTTGGAGCCCCAGAATTTCCAGGCTGTAGAGCGTGATGATCATGCCTGTGAACAGCCACTGCACTCCAGCCTTGGCAACATGGTGAGACACTGTCTCTGAAATAAGTAAATAAATAGGGTCGTACAATATATGGCCTGTTGTGTTTAACTTGTTTTGCTTATAATATTCCCAAGGTTTACTTGTTATAGCATGTATCAGTACCTCATTCCTTTTTATTGTTGAATAATATTCCATTGTATGAGTATACCACATTTTGTATATCCATCTACCAGCCAACGGACATTTTAGTTGTTTCCAATTTTTAGCTATTATGAATAGTGCTGCTATGAACATTTGTATACAGATTTTTGTGTGAACATATGTTTTCACTTTTCTTGGGTATGTACCAGGAGTAGAATTGCTGGATTATATAGTAACTCTATGTTTAACATTTTGAGGAACCGCCAAATAGTTTTCCAAAGTGGCTGTACTATTTTACAATTCCATCAGCAATGTATGAGGGTTCCAATTTTTCCACATCCTTGCCAATACTTTTTATTGTCTATCTTTTTTATTATAGCAAGCCTGGTGGGTGTAGTGAGGTGCCTCATTGTGGTTTTTATTTGCATTTCCCTAATGACTAATGTTGAATTCTTTTCATGTGCTTATTAACATTCATTTTTAATGCACATATGCAAGTATATTTTAAAGAACTAATTGGTATCTATGTCTTCACTGTCAAAAGACAAAATTACAACAAATTTAGTTTAAACATCTTAATTGGCTTTATTCGCATTTCTAGAATCAGGCAACACTTTATTCCACAAAATAGAATAAGTATTCTGATGAGCTGAGCAGAAGAGGTTGGTTTTTATAGGCAGAGAAGAGCTGAAGAAACCAGAAACAAAGAATGAAAAGTGGACTGGTAATTTCACAAAGTTACTTTTTTTGTAAGGCAGGGACAGAGAGAAAGAATAGTGGAAAGGTAACTGATTGGTTAACTTCAGGTTACTTTTTTGGTAGGGATTAAAGTGGAGGGAACTTCATTATCAGCTGATTGTAACTGGCCTATTTGGGGAATTGGCTGTTATCTCTCTCCTCTTGTTACCAAAAGGTAACAGGTCTAGGTCCTTGGTCTAGGTCCTGCTGCTCACAGCACAGAAAGCCAATGACTGAGGCAAAAAGTGTTGCCAAGAAAGAAGGATTTAACTGAGAGCTTCAGCTGAGGAGAAAGGAGATCAGTCTCAAATCCATCTCCCTGATTGACTAAAATTAGGGGTTTATATAACAGGGAAGAAATGTAACCACAAGTGGGAAAACAGGAACTTGGGGTAAGGACACAATCATGATGAATGAGGGGCCTGTCATCTCATTGTCTGAATACTATGATCTCTTGAGTTTCATTTATTTGATACTTCTTGAGAAGCCAGGGGTTTCTTTCCTGAAGAAGGAACTAATAAAACAAATGTACGTTTCAAGCTTTAAGACCAGAAGTGTCCATTTCTATGTTTATCAAAAAAAATCTATGGGACTGTTGGGTCGGTTTCATCCTGATTTCTCAGAAGGTCCGATAACAACTTACTTTCTGTTTGGTGAGATGGAACTTTAGCATGGGTGACTCCATTTTGGTTTTTAGCCTGGCCTGTTGAGGCCTAGGGCAGGAGCTTTGTTCAAAACAATGGCCTCCCATCATTATGTTTTACCATCACCCAAACAAGGCAAAAATATTAACAGGAAGCTTAATTTCATTACCTCCACTTTTTGTGGAATGTTCCTATGCATACTCAGTATGCTAACCTCAAATTTTAGTTCCAGGTTGTTATAACTTTTCAGGAAGTTATTTAGATAAAAATAAGATTTATTCAATCATTTTAAGAAATTCACAGCTGAGTGTGGTGGCTCATGCCTATAATCTCAGCACTTTGGGAGGCTGAGGCAGGAGGATTGCTTGAGTCAGGGAGTTCAAGACCAGCCTGGACAACATGGTGAGACCCTGTTTCAACAAAAAATAAAAAATAGCTGGGCATGGTGGTGCACACCTGTGGTCCCAACTACTTGAAAGGCTCCCAGCTACACCCAGGATTGCTTGAGCCCAGGAGTTCAAGGTTGCAGTGAGCCATGTTTGTGCCACTATACTCTAGTCTGGGCCACAGAGAGAGACCTTGACTCAATAAAAGAAATTCACCTTTGGTTTTTGCATGCCACTGTTTCCTCTTGGGTTTTTTTCTTAACTAGAGTACAACATCTAATTGCTTTTCTTTTTCCCCAAAAAGGATCTGGAAGGGAAGGAGTGAGTAAATCTTCTGAGTATTTTTATGTTTGAAAATACCTGTATTTCATCCTCACATTTAAATATAATTTGGCTATAAAATAATAAACTGAAATATCCCTTACTTTAGCATTTTGAAGGTATTGAATTTATGTTGCTAAAAACATCTGATATTATTCTTTTCTAGTGGGTACATCTAATTTTTTTTTCTCTGAGCATTTAGAATTTTTTCTTTATCTTTGATGTTGTGCAGTTTCACTATGATGAGTCCAGATGTGGGTTAAAAAATTATTTTATTGGTACCTAGTGAAACCTTTCAATCTGAGAACCTACTTTTTAAAAAATACTGGAAAATCTCTAGTTATTATTTCTTTAAATGATACTTTCTCCCTGTTATCTCTGGCCTGTAATTCTAGAACTCTTATTAGATGAATATTGAATCTATTCGCTATATCTTTACCTTTTGTTTCTTTTTAAAATCCATCTCTCTTACTTCGTGTTGCATTCTGAAAGAATTCCCATACCACATCTTCCAGTTCCCTGATTCACCCTTTAACTGTGTTCATTCTGCTACTAGCCCATGTATTTTTTATTTCAATAATTATATATTTTATTACAAAATTTCTGTTTCTTGTTTACAACCAGCTATTCCTGTATCATGAATAAAATACTTTCTTATCTCTCTGATGATTTATAATCACATTTATTTTTAAGTCTAGTTCTGGTTTTCCCTATTAACTCTCTTTCTTCAGGTGTGCATTTGTCCATCTGCTGGATCTGTGATCTCTTTTTTATAGTATTGCACTCCTCATGCATTTGGTGATCCTTGACTGTGTGCATTTTTGAGTTGCAATGTCTTGTTAGGCTGACAGCTGCCTTTGGTTGAGCTGCCTGTGTATAGAGAAGAGCAAAACAGTTACTGAGCTTGTGCCTCCATACAATGTTGATAGGCAGGACCTGCTGCTAGGTGGGAAGCTCAGCAGCTGGTCTTTTAGGCTTGGATGTTTCTCATTCCTCCCAGATTTTGACAGCCACTCAATACATGACCCCTTCTCATTAATCCAAGTCCTTGCCCCCTAAACTCTTACATGCAGGGTAGGTGGAGAAATCCAAGGCTGATAGGCCTGGCTGCTCCTGCTACAGGTCCCCAGTTAATTCCCTTGTCAATTTCCCTGGAGTATCTTTTGTTCCAACTTTCTTCCATCACCTCTGGACATGGGACATCTTAGTGTTGCTCCTCCTTTTGAGGTGGTTCACTGCAGCTACTGTATCCTGGACTAGAAGAAAAAAATTTTCCTTTTGCTATAAAGCATATTATTAGGACAATAATGAGTTTATGTCTGTGGATTAAGTAATGGTGATATGGTGTCATATCATCATTAATTTCCTGATTTTGATTATTTTCAGGTTTAAAAAAATCTCTATTTTTAGAAAAAACACATTAAAATATTCAGGGATAAACAAACCAGAACACACACACACACACACATACATATTTTTATGCCATTAAAAACTCTTCCATAAACATCCATTGTAAGGCCTGCCTAAGACTCCACTGGCTGGGTACATTATAAATTGCTTAATTATGACCTTCATTTTGCCATTTCTATTATTTCTCATTTGTCTCTATGACAAGTAATCCTGAAATGAACACTCATATTTAATACTTTGTCTACATTTCAGATTTTCTTCCTTTGAATAAATCCATAGAAATGTTAACTACTGCCTAGGGGTATGAACATTTTAAGATTCTTGGGCCAGGTGTGGTGGCTCACACCTGTAATCCTAACACATTGGGAGGCCTAGGAGGGAGGATTGCTTAAGCCCAGGAATCCGAGACAGGCCTGGGCAACATGATGACACCTCACCTCCACAAAAAATACAAAAACTAGCCAGGTTTGGTGGTGTATGCCTGTGGTCCCAGCTACTCAGGAGGCTGAGGTAGTCGGACTGGTTGAGCCCAGGAGGTTGAGGCTGCAGTGAGCTGTCATCACACCACTGCATTCAAGCCTGGGTGACAGAGTGAGATTTGTCTCAAAAAAAAAAAAAAAAAAAAAATCCTTAATACATACTTGATTAATGTGAATTGGAATAACTCAATCATGTTCGTGCATATTCTCATTCATTTCATTTAAAAGTTTTGCTAATTTGAGGAGGAAAAGGGAAATTATATTTCATGTGGTTTTAATTGGCATTTCCTTTATCCCTAGAGGGGGTGATTTTTTTTCTCTTAAGGTAGTGGATTTTGTAAGTGTCTGCTCCTGGTTCCTGAGGGGATTTGTGACAGTCACATATTCCTCTCAGGGTTGGGAACAGCAAAGCTGTTTGTAACTTCTAAGAAGTAATACATGGTGATTATCATACTAGAACATGCAGTCAAATCACTTGTGACATATCCATATTACAGCACAAGATTAAATCGACAATTTATTTAGACTCCTAGAATGAGAAAACACAATGTCCCCAGGGAAGGATAAAGAGTGGGTGACAGAAGGAGGTAATTTCTTTGCCTGCTTGTTTACCTACTCCCCTCTTTTCTTCCTCCCATCTCTCTTCCTTATATTATATGCATATATAATATATTGTATATAGATATACATCTAATGTGTACATTCTCATATATATTATAATTATAATGGAATTATAAATAGTCCACGATAATATAATATATGCATGACGTTTCCAGGCATCAAGAAGATTTACAGCTATAAAGCCAGCTGTCTTTCCTCTGGGGCATATACTGTAGTGAAGGCAAGAAGACACATGCCTCAGGATTGCAATGCAAGGGGGCTAAGCTTGGCTTCAGCACCTTTACAAGCATTCTCACCTTACCTACCAACCTGAGCTCCACCTTTTCTCTGAAACCCTCCTTGCTTTTCTTGCTCAGCCCCTTGCTGTGCCTGGAATTCCCTTATCTTATTACCTCTCATCTAACCTAATCATCCTTCAAGGGCTGCTCAGATGCCACCTCCTCCAGGAAGCCTTCTCTGATCCCCCACTCTTAGATGCAAGGCTGTCTCTTTCTGCACGCTCCACCTCTCCAATGGGCTTGGCACTTTAAACTTGGCATTGTGGCTGTTGCTGTACTTGTCTTGTGTCCTCAATTAGTTCTAAACTCCTAGAGGGCAGGACCTGATCTGATGCAGCTCTGTATCCCCATGTTACATACCTCAGCTCCTAGCATAGAAAAGGCAAACTGTAAATCTTCTGATAAAGGAGAGAATGAACACATCTATACAGTGTCCTTCAATTTCACAGTTTTCCCACATTATCTGCAATGTGTGCCTTGTGTGTACCAAATGGGTAAATGTTAAATGAGCACCCCTCGGTGACTGCACAGAGGTTGGTCCATGGGCAAGTTCCCAAAATGAAAGCAGGAACTGGGCATGTGAGTGTAGAATGGGCACAGGACTGGGAATCAGGAAGGTGCCGGGTTTCTACCCCAGCTCGGCCTCTACCCAGCTGTGTGACCTTGGAAGTTCATTGCCTCCCCTCTAGGCTTTGGTCTACCCATCTGTAGAATGGGACTTGGGGGTGACCTCCAATGCAAGGGTCTTTCCTTCTTACACATTCACCCTTCTAGCACAGAGTGTGTGTCAACTGCCCTGGCAGCCCCTGAAGGCTCAGTATTCAGAAAAGAGAAAGTAGCTGGGAGATACCAGGGCTGACATGTGCTCTCTGTTTTCTAGAAGGCTATGGAGCTTCCATAAAGATATATTTCATGTGAAACCTTTCCCCTTTTAGATTTCATAAGTTATTTTATTTACATACACTTATATACATGTGGCCTGTCTTAAAAAGTTATCATGAATGAAAGGCAACCCTCAGGCACAGCCCAGAAGATTAACTGTCAAAATGTAAAGATGAGTTCATTTTCTATGGAAAAAAATGTAAATGCATAAGAAAGGACAGAGAAGTTTCCACACCTAACTAATAATAATGGTCTCCTTTGGGGAGGTGGGGAGGAAACTGAGGTTAGGGGCTCCAAAAAAACTTTAGTTTTATCAACATTCAATTTTTTAAGGAGGATATGCATATAATTTTATGATTAAAAATTAAATAATGAATAAGTTAAAAGGCCCAAGTGGTATTTAATGCTGCACTAATATAATTTTGAGTCTTGATACCTGTAAGGGTATTTATCTTTATTTTTATTTCCCCAGTTCCCTCTCTCTCTCTCTCCTGTCTAAATGTGAGGATTGGAAATCATTTCTAGCAAGAAGAGCTTGATTAAATAAAGGTGCTTGATATGGTTTGAGTCTGTGTCCCTACCTAAATCTCACGCCAAATTATAATCCCCAGTGTTGGAGGTGGGGCCTGGTAGGAGGTGTGACTGGACCATGGGGGTGGGTTTCCCATTTGGTGCTGTTCTTGTGATAGTGAGTTATAAGATCTGTTTTTTGTTGTTGTTGTTTGTTTGTTTATTTGACACAGGGTCTCACTCTGTCGCCCAGGCTGGAGTGCAGTGGCACGATCTTGGCTCACTGCAACATCCACCTCCCGGGTTCAAGTGATTCTCATGCCTCAGCTTCCCAAGTAGCTGGATTACAGGCGTGCGCCACCACACCCAGCTAATTTTTGTGTTTTCAGAAGAGATGGGGTCTTGCCATGTTGGCCAGGTTGGTCTCGAACTCCTGGCCTCAAGTGATCCCAAAGTGCTGCAATTAGAGGCATGAGTCATCATGCCCGGCCAAGATCTGGTTGTTTAAAAGTGTGTAGCATCTCTACCGTCTTTTTCTTTCTCCTGCTCCAGCCATGTAAGATGTGCCTGCTTCTCCTTCACCTTCCCTTATCATTGTAAGTTTCCTGAGGCCTCCCAAGCCATGCTTTCTGTACAGCCTGTGGAACCATGAGTCAATTAAACCTCTTTTCTTTATGAATTACCCAATTTCAGGTATCCCTTTATAGCAGCACGAGAATGGACTAATACACTGCTTTAATTTACAAGAACACTTTGCAAGAATTAGGACTCCTATCTCCTAAGATTATATATTTGCATGGAAAAGAAGCAGGTTGCTTGAAGAAAAGAATCAAGAATCAAAACTTTGCAATGAAGGATAAACTTGAAGTAAGAATAATAAAATAAAGAATGTGGCTGGGCACAGTGGCTCACACCTGTAATCCCAGCACTTTGGGAGGCCGAGGTGGGCGGATCACAAGGTCAGGAGATCGAGACCATCCTGGCTACCATGGTGAAACCCCGCCTCTACTAAAAATACAAAAACAAAATTAGCCAGGCGTGGTGGCAGGTGCCTGTGGTCCCAGCTACTTGGGAGTCTGAGGTGGGAGAATGGCGTAAACCTGGGAGGTGGAGCTTGCAGTGAGCCAAGATCGCACCACTGCACTCCAATTCCAGCCTGGGCAACAGAGCGAGGCTCCATCTCAAAAAAAAAAAAAAAAAAAAAAAAAAAAATGCAGTTCAGGAAGAGGAGGTTGCAGACATACTTACAGAAGAGGTACCATGTTTTCTGGGACTGGGCATCAAGCCTGCTTCTGAAAGTCCTGGCAGCCAGGGAGGGAGAAAGAAAAATGCGATTTCTTCCATAATGCTTCTCATCAGAAAGAAGAATGCATTATAATTATACTGAGGGGCAAAGCTTGCCATGATATGCTAAAAGAATTTTATGTAGGTATCATTATTATTGTCCCACGAAGAAACTGAGGCTCAGAATGATTTAGCATCTTGCCTAATATCCCCTAGACAGCAAGTGGGATGGCAAGATATTAACGTGGTGCTTTTCCGTTAATTATCTTTTTCAATCCTAGTGACAGCAGTAAGAAATAGGCATTATTGTCCCTGTTTTAGAGATAAGGACATGGTAGCTTCCAAAGGTTGATGTGCTCAAGGGCATATAGGGAAAAGGCAAACTTGGATGCAGGCCCACATCTTAGGACTTCAGTGCCAGGAGTTCACAAAAGGCCTCTGCAGCACCTCCTCTCCCATTATCATGCCCTCTCTACCCCTCCAAGCCCCTTTGTCCAAATACTCAACTGCTTGCTATTCTGCAGACACACAGTCCTTTTTGCCTACAATTCCCCATCACTGGAGTGCCCGTCATCACTGCCCTTCTTGGAAAAGCCTTCTCATTCTTCAACATCTCAATCAAATTTCATTCTTTCTTTGCTCTCCCTTGTATTCATGATCATAACATCATTTGAGCACTTCTCAGTATGCACTGTAGTTTTATATTTTAAAAGTATTGTTAGCTGGGGGAGGTAGCTTAGGCCTTGTAATCCCAGCATTTTGGAAGGCCAAGGTGGGAGGACTGTTTGAGCCTAGGAGTTCGAGGCTAGCCTGGGCAACGTAGCAAGATCATCCCCATCTTTACAAAACATTTAAAAATAAACCAGGTGTGGTGGTACATGCCTGTGGTCCCAGCTGCTCTGGAGGCTGAGGTGGGAGTATCACTTGAGCCTGGGAGGTAGGGGCTGTAGTGATCTGTGATCACACCACTGCACTCCAGCCTGGGTGACAGAGCGAGACCCTATCTCAAAACCATTGTGCTGCTTTTTGAGTTGCCATCTGCCATGGAACAATCACCGAAATGCATATTTTCATAAAAAGTTTTACAGAGAAGACCATCCACTCTTGAGGTTGAACCCTCAGATATGATGAAACATGCAAAGGTCAAGATCAGGAGAAGGAAGGAATTCCTCCTGATCAGCCTTTGCTGATCTTTGTTGGCAAGCACCTGGGAGATTGTATTCATCCGTTCTCATGCTGCTGTAAGGACATACCTGAGACTGGGTAATTTATAAATGAAAGAGGTTTAACTGACTCACAGTTCCACAGGGCTAGGGAGGCCCCAAGAAACTTACAATCATGGCAGAAGGGGAAGCAAACACGTCCTTCTTCAAATGGCGCAGCAAGGAGTACAGAGCAAAGGGTGGGAAAAGCCCCTTAAAAAACCATCAGATCTCGTGAGAGTTCACTATCATGAGAACGGCATGAAGTTAACCACCCCCATGATTCAGTTACCTCCCACTGGGTCCCTACTATGACACGTGGGGATTATCGAGACTACAGTTCAAGATGAGATTTGGGTGGGGTCACAGCCAAACCATATCAGAGATTAACATGCTTTGTCTGTCTACCACATTTGCAAAGAGTGCACTCTCCATCTTGTGTTGAGATTTCACAATGGTGTTAAGAAAATGAAGTCTTGTTGGCCGGGCACGGTGGCTCACGCCTGTAATCCCAGCACTTTGGGAGGCCGAGGCGGGCGGATCACGAGGTCAGGAGATCGAGATCATCCTGGCTAACACGGTGAAACCCCGTCTCTACTAAAAATACAACAGATTAGCTGAGTGTGGTGGTGGGTGCCTGTAGTCCCAGCTATTCGGGAGGCTGAGGCAGGAGAATGGCATGAACCCGGGAGGTGGAGCTTGCAGTGAGCTGACATCATGGGCCACTGCACTCCAGCCTGGGCGACAGAGCGAGACTCCCTCTCAAAAAAAAAAAAAAAAAAAAGAAAAGAAAATGAAGTCTTATGCAACTCCCATGGAGACCAAAGAGAAAGAAGGTTAAGCTGGCTGTCCTGAAATACCATAAGGTGGATGAGAATGGCAAAATTAGCTGTCTTTGTAGGGAGTCCCCTTCAGATAAATGTGGTGGTGACATTTTTAAGGCCAGTCACTTTGACAGACATTATTGTGGGAAATGTTGTCTGACTTATTGCTTCAACAAACCAGAAGACAAGTAATTGTGTATGAGTTAATAAAAGACATGAACTAAGAATAAAACAAAATAAATAACTCTTGTCCTCTCCAGATTCTGAGTTCTGTGAAGATCTGGATTTTATCTGAATCATCTTTATATGTCCAGTGCCTAGCATTGTGTCTGGCACATAGTAGGTATTCAATAAATGTTTGCTGAATAGATATGTAATATCAATGAAACTGCCCTTGTCCTGGATGGTGAAAGGCACACCATGACATTTGACAGTATGCCTATCCCAGAATAATTTATAATTTCATTGAAAATATGAGAAGTGACACCCATGAAGAAATTAGAGAACAAAATAGGTATAGTCAGATGCCATATTGTGTGGTTTAAATTCTGAGTGCTGAGGGGGAAAAGAAAGATGACATCTTTGGGGTGCTAGAGGGGGCTTTGGGGATGTGAACCCCCAAGGTGTGGGATGAAGTTCCCCCCTGTAGTAGGTTCCATGATAGCTATGCAACAGCATTAGTTGCTCAAATAAATTGAAGAAAGGCTGTTTCTTTGATACATTGATGGGCAGAGTGACTCTCAATGGGACCATGGAATCTTAGACCCTTTAGTAAGAAGGATAATAAAAATTGTTTTGCCAAACAAAAAAGGAAGGGGAAGCCCAGAGAAATTCACCTCTGTTGATTTCAACCAATGTTCTTTTTGTAAAATTTAATTTGTGTAAAATGTTTAAATGCATGATTTAATTTTTAATGCATGATTTAAGTTTTAATGCATGATTTAAATTTTAATAATTAATAACTTTAATGTCTATGATTGAAGGTTAAAATTTGATAAGCAATTTAATTTCTAAGCCTGATATTTCTATTTTCTCATAAAGTAAAATATGATGGGATTAAAGGCAGGACAGACTCACCCTTCCTGGTTTGTGATTGAGAAGGTCACCGATGGTCATAATTGCCTCCTTTTTTATGTGCTGTTGCCCTGCTAAGACATTTCTTGAAACACTTCATACTGTACTCACCCAAGGTTTCTAAAGCTGTCAATGTCAATTGCTTTTGTTCTTACCCTAACACATGTTGTCACATGAGAAACATAAAGCCTTTCTTGTGAAGATAAGGTGAGCTATTATGGGTGCCTAAAAAGACTTGGAGATTAAGGATACCCTCTATGACAGTCAGGTCATGGCAAGAAGCAGAATGCACCCTAGATGGATCAAATGAAGACACTTGAAAGAAAAAGATACTTACACATGAGCCGATAATAGGGCACCAACAGTGGATGTTAGGGCACTCAGAGACTAGCATCTGAGGGATGGGGGGAGGGAAGCTGTTATTACCCTTATATCTGAAGGAACAAGGAGAGTAAATAGTGTTACTGGAGCCCAGTATGAGCTGCACCAGGAAGAAAGGAACCACCCAAGAGGAGCTGTAGGTATGGGGGGTGGCAAATACTGCCAAAGACAGGCATGACATCAGGGAGACGGAGAGGGAGAAAAAGATTTGATCTCACTCTCTTCCTGTCCCCAGTCTCCTGCTAATGTCCCCTCTGGCCATACCCAACCAGAAATGAGCTGTCAAGGGAGGCCAGGAGGTGCATCCACAGAGGTCAGGCTTTGTGGCATGGAGCAGGGCAGAGAAGAGCAGAGAATAGATCTGAGTAGGGTGTGTGTGTGTGTTGCCAGGGAGCAGGGGGTGGCCAGCCAGGATGTTCTGAGAGCCCAACTAGAAAAAGCCGCACATGATGGATGCCATCAGCTACTCTGAAGCAACTCTAGTCAGGTAACCAAAGGTTGAGCAGACCCAGGATTCCACTCACAGTGCTTTGGATATTATTCTTGGGAAGCAGAACTGGAATATAATTTCAGTTAAGGAACTCTGATTGAAAATTAATTGCATTGTACCCAATCTGGGAGTTGTAAGAACTCTCGGAGTTTGGACAGCTGGGGTGAGAAGGCTCGGAGAGCAAGAATTTGGCCATGTGTCTCCAACACTATCCAGGGGAGAAGGTAGGCTCACTATAAATCCCCTTCAAGCCTTCCCCCAAAGGGGAGTGAATGCATTAGACTGTCATAGCTCAGTGATATCTGCCATGAAGACCATTCGTTTCTTCTCATGGCTCTGATTCCAGAGTCCCCAGAAGCCTTGTGTTTCGCATTTGACTTCTCATAAAGCTCTGTGCTGATTAGCCCACAAAGGGTTCTGATTCTCTTGACAGCTATAACTCATTGTAAATTAATAAATTGGCGTCTGGTGTATCTGATGAACTAGAGCATTCTGAATCAGGGCTTTACATCTCCTCAGTCACCTCCTGCTTCATCTTCAGGGAACAGTCACACCTAGAGTCAATAACTCAGTGTCTGAAGCTCTGATGAGGAGTACCACATTTTGAAGTGAGGACTTTGCCTTTCTGCACAACCTCGCCAGGCAGCCTCACCAGAACATGTCTTTACTTCACTTTTCCAGCTGTAGTGGGAAGCTCACAGTACATACTCCACCTGCCTTTTCGATGCTTGTTCCTAGGAAAGTTGAGAACCCAAGGTTGTAAGGGGACTGTGAGACTAGCCATTCCATTCCCCTCTATCCCCCCGCCCAGATCATTTTTTAGAATAGGAAGGAGCATGATGAGTGGATGAATGCACGCATGAACGGATGCCTGGATGGATACAGTGCATGGATGGAGATATGGCTGCGTGGCTGCGCAGATGAAGGCGTGGATGCACGGATGTATGGACGGTGCTGTGGCCAGGGCTGCTCTTCAACACACACTCTGTTCTTGTTGTGGCAGAGGCTTGGGTGCCCTGTGCCACTGCTGCAGCCATGTTGTTGTATATTTCCATGCATATTATTAGTGCCCCACCTCGGGCATCTCCTTTTTCTGCTTCAGGTCATTCTCCAAAGCTGCAGAAACTCAGCCTAAGTGCAGAGCAAGCAGGAAGTGCAGAGGGGTCAACATCCTCAGGGGTAACCCTCAACCCATGATGGATGAAAATCCATGCTTAAATGTTCCAGCCTCCCATCCTTCAAAGGAACAATTCTGAGATACATTCTATATGATTCCTCAGAGGTTCGCCAGCAGGACTGACCTGTCCACAACAGTAACCAACTCAGCATCACGCCCTTTACTGGCTTTTCCTCCTTCCCTGCCTCACTCTCCCCACTCCCTCACTCCTGCTTCCTGGGATCATCTCCCCCCAAATGCTCAAATCCTTGTCTAAGGCTCTGCTTCCAGGAGAAATGAAACACTGGTCAAACTGGTCTATTTCTCTTCCTCTGGAAGGAAGATGCTGGTATTTATTCATGCATATATGCATTCCTCCTTTCCAGATGAGCAAATCAAGGCTGAGAAAGATTAAGGAACTTTCCCAACTTCACAAGACAATAAGTGACATTGCTGAGCTAGGTGGATACCAACCTATAGGACAATCCTTAGTTATGGGCCTGCAGAATCTCACAGCTGGAAGGACTGAGGACTCAGAATCACCTAGTGCAATGTTTCTCAACCTATTATGACCTTCCCAAAGAGCCTTTTAAGACTTTTTTTTCCTAATTACCCCCATGACATTTTAATACTAAAACTGTATTGCATATCTAACTATGGACACTCTCTCTCTCTCTCTCTCTCTCTCTCTCTCTCTCTCTCTCTGTGTGTGTGTGTGTGTGTGCTTAGCTAGATATTCTTTGTAATGTTGACAATTTTAAATAATTTTCAGCAGTTGACATAATTACTGGTGGGTTGACTCACTTAGAAGAATGAAATAGTAAAATATAAATTATTTTTATTTATTTCTCAAGGCTTAAGTTACACACAAAAGCACTGAGGATCAAACATAAGCAACACCCACAAGGCAGCTAATGGCAGCCAATAGGCACACACAAACCAGCTGTCATGATGGAACTTTCTCATGCAGCAAGCAATGAAAAGAAAGTCCCCGCATCCCAACCATCTATTCACCATAGCTTTGCAGCACTGATCTTGCATGCATTTTGCGTATCTCCCATGAACTTAACATCGATGCTGTTCATTTAATACCCAAGAAAATCCAATTAGAGAAATAAGCACTAAGGAATAAGATTTTTTTGCCTGGTATGGTTGCACTTTGGCAGGCTGTAAACTATTGTAATATCTAAGATTTTTTTTGCCTCCACAAGAATCATGTTTTACCCCCTTGGGTGAGCTGAGAATATATGATTTAGTCCAACACCATCATTTTCCAGATTAGAGGGACACTGAAGGCTAAAGGTGCAGTCACATGATGAGACAAAGCCGAATGGAGTGAAAATCAGATCTTCAGACTCCAGGCACAGAGCTCATTTTAAATTACCCAAGAGGCGGAGTGTGGTGGCTCACGCCTGTAATCCCAGCACTTTGGGAGGCCTAGGCAGGCAGATCACCTGAGGTCAGGAGTACAAGACCAGCTTGGCCAACATGGTGAAACCCTGTCTCTACTAAAAATACAAAAAGTAGCCAGGCATGGTGGCGGGCGCCTGTAATCCCAGATACTTGGGAGGCTGAGGCAGGAGAATTGCTTGAACCTGGGAGGCAGAGGTTGCAGTGAGCTGAGATTGTGCCACTATCCCCAAGCCTGGGCGACAAGAGCAAAACTCCATCTCAAAATAAATAAATAACCCAAGAACCTTGCTCACCAGTCAATATGAATTAGGCCTAGGCTCAGCTAGTCTTGGTGCTTTCCGGCCCTCAATTTTTGTTGGGGAATAAAAAATCTTCATTTCACTGTGGAAGGTATGGTGAGTATTAAGCTGTGTTATGGTGTCTCCCTGACCCCATTTCCACTGGAGCATACAAAAGCAGAGAGCTAATTATATGATAGTAATTACCTGGAAGTTGTATGTTTATTGGTTTTCCATTAGTGGATACTATTTTCGAACTCTTCGTTGTTATGCTCTAGCGACAGGAGTCACACTGTCTCTACTCCAAATGTCCCCTCCAATCTCATGATTAGCAGGCTTTTTACATGGGGCCATTGCTGGCAGCATGAGACACCCCCAGGGTAGGGAAGGGAGGTTTGACTCAGTCCATACAGGAGGCCCCAGAGGTCTCCACCCACATTCACGGGCACCTCACTTGAAAAGAGCCTTTAATAATAAAGTACTCAACATCTGGTCTAAATGAAGCATATTCCTCCTTGCCCTTGGATACTGAGAATCGTATCCAATAGGAAGGGGCCTCCCCTGTCACCAGATATATTTATGTATCCTTCATTATGTGCCTTGGTTAATTGTCCCTTTCCTTTTTTTTTTTTTTTCCTTGAGAAGGGGTCTCATTCTGTCACCCAGGCTGGAGTGCAGTGGTGTGATCTTGGCTTACTGCAACCTCTGCCTCCCGGGTTCAAGCAATTCTTTTGCCTCAGCCTCCCAAGTAGCTGGGACTACAGGCGCGTCCCACCATGCCTGGCTAATTCTTGTATTTTTAGTAGAGACGAGGTTTCACCATGTTTGGCCAAGCTGGTCTCGAACTCCTGACCTTGTGATCCACCCACCTTGGCCTCCCAAAGTGCTGAGATTACCGGCATGAGCCCCTGCAGCCTGGCCTAATTGCCCCTTTTCTACCAGCTCTTCTTACAACAGAGAAATCCTGAGCCTCGCTTGTAATTATAGTGAGGAAATATTTCTATGAGCTTTTAAAAGGGAAGCCTAAACTGGGTCAAAATGTTGAAGGTGATAGGTCAGGGAGCAAGGGTCAATACTAGCTTTACTCTGATGAGTTGATTGCTAGGGGCTTTGAGTGTCTTTTGCCAAATTTGAGGGCCCTCTCCTAGAATTCCACTATCAGCACCTCATCCTATTGTTATTATTGTTACAACTGAGATTGATAGACATCTGTGGAGGATTTTACAGTCTGCAAAGTGCCTTTTACATGAAGTACATCACTTATCTTCACTGCAAATGCTGAGGGCAAGTTAGATTACTTGGCCCTACTTACTGCACTGTTAAAATGCATCTCTTCACTCCTCCAGAAGGGCCACAGGGCACTTGTTTCCAGTCATATTTATGTTTGTTGTGGGTAAAAAGCTAGCTTGGGCTGGGCATGGTGGCTCATGCCTGTAATCCCAGCATTTTGGGAGGCCAAGGCGAGAGGCCAGGAGTTTGAGACCAGCCTGATCCCATCTCTATTTACCAAAAAAAAAAAAAAAAAAAAAGCTAGCTTACAGTACTAGTAGCTCCTGCCTTGTTCATAGGAGGATCTCAGCACCTAGCAAAATGCCCAACACGTAGAATACAGGAAATGTTTATTGAGAGAAAGAATGCATGCATCTAGCCTAGGAGTTTTTTTCCTTTTTATTTTTTATTTCAATAGCACTTGGGGTACAAGAGGTTTTTGGTTACATGGATGAATTGCACAGTGGTGAAATCTGAGATTTTAGTAGCATAGGAATTCAAGTGACTATTGCTCATTTATAGGCCCTCTCCCTGTTCAGTACATTCTCACATCCATGCCTTTGCAGATTCCACGTACTTGAAACTCCCTCTAAAAATGTCCATCAGCTTTGGCGTGGATGCTACTAATTTAGAGACCCTCCCGGGGCTACGGACCCACAGTGATCCTTTCTTTTCTGAAATCCTTCAGCCCTCCTCACCCAAATCATCAGTGCCACTCAGCCTTGACATCAGATTGGAACCAATTAATTACCTGCTAAACTACCTCATGTAAGAAACAGGTCTAAAGATGTAAACAGCCTTGCCCAGTGAGTCAGTGGCAGGCAGGGTCAGACCCAGAATCCAGGTCTTTTATTAGCTGCCCAGTGTACTTCCCATTACATCAAGAACAGGAAATAGGTTTCACCATGACTATCACCTTTGATCAAGCTGTGGTGGCCGCCCAGAGTGATAGACTGAGAATGCCTGTGAGAGAGCAGCCCAGGATGGTGGGAAAGAGTGCTGCAATCGCTTGATCATGTCTGCCAGGCTGTGGAAATGAAGAGTTTGGTGTGGAGAGTGGCTCACATTGCAAAAGTTGGGACCCCCATTTAATCTGACCTGAATCCTCCACTGTAAGGATGTTGTTGGCTGTCCCTTCACTCTCCCAACTCCAAGAGAATTGATTCAGGGCAACTCCCTTTTGCTCACATTAAAAAGAAATAATAAGCTTTTTTTTCTTCTCAGACAGAGTCTCGCTCTGTCACCCAGGCTGGAGTGCAGTGGTGTGATCTTGGCTCAGTGCAACCTCTGCCCCCTGGGTTCAAGCAATTCTCCTGCCTCAGCCTCCCAAGTAACTGGGATTACAGGCACATGCCACCATGCCTGACTAATTTTTGTATTTTTAGTAGAGATGGGGTTTCACCATGTTGGCCAGGCTGGTCTCGAACTCCTGACCTCAAGTGATCTGCTTGCCTCAGCCTCCTAAAATGGTGGGATTACAAGCGTAAGCCACCACACCTGGCCAAGAAAGCATAATCTGAAGGTCAGTCCTGGGGTTAGGTCAGAACTTCCCTCCTACCCTGCTTGGAGTTAAGGATATAGTGCTTGTTACTTGTCCCCCAACTCCAGAGTCAGCTTCAAAGATTTGACTGTGTATTTGTACAATTAGAAGAGTAATCTCTAGGAAACAAGCAGCTCAGTAATGAAATGTTACAATCCCAGCAGGGCCAAGCAAGCCTATTGTGGTGCTTTCTAGGCAGAAGGAGGCTTAAGGAAAGGATCAAGCACATTGCTGCTAAGAATGTGCAATACCAACTCCACTGAGAGAGAAGCACGGTTGCAAACTAGGGGACAATTAGATGTTTTCCTTCTTTGTGGATTTGGAAGAGTGGTTGCAAACACAGATGCCTCTAAGGGCAACACAGATAATATAAATAAGTGAATCAGCCTGGGTGTAGGGCAGCAGGGAGCAGTGGGGACTGTGGCTGAGAGTGCCTGTCCTACCTAAAGGATTTCCAATTCTCAGGTATTTTTAAAAACGTAGTACTGGCCAGCCGGACGCGGTGGCTCACACCTGTAATCCCAGCACTTTGGGAGGCCGAGATAGGCGGATCATGAGGTCAGGAGATCGAGACCATCCCGGCTAACACGGTGAAACCCCGTCTCTACTAAAAATACAAAAAAATTAGCCGGGCCGTGGTGGCGGGCACCTGTAGTCCCAGCTACTCAGGAGGCTGAGGCAGGAGAATGGCATGAACCCAGGAGGTGGAGCTTGCAGTGAGCCGAGATCACGCCACTGCACTCCGGCCTGGGCGACAGAGCAAGACTCAGTCTCAAAAAAAACAAAACCAAAACCAAAAACAAAAAAAAACTCATAATACTGGCCAAATAGAAGATGTTTGCAGGCTTCGTTTGGTTTTAGGACTTTAGACTGAAAACATTACAGATATGTGTGTATCCAATCTATCTAATTTATCCATTACTTAATGGCAAAAACTGAAATTACTTTTGCACCAACCTAATAAAAGTTATGCACTGGTGGCCGGGCGTGGTGGCTCACACCTGTAATCCCAGCACTTTGGGAGGCCGAGGCAAGCAGATCACTTGAGGTCAGGAGTTCAAGACTAGTCTGGCCAACATGATGAAACCCTGTCTCTACTAAAAATACAAAAATTAGCCAGGTGTGCTGGCACACACCTGTAATCGCAGCTACTTGGGAGGCTGAGGCAGGAGAATCACTTGAACTCGGGAGGCAGCGCTTGCAGTGAGCTGTGATTGTGTCACTACACTCCAGACTGGGTGACAGAGCAAGACTCCATCTCAAAGTAAAATAAAATAAAATAAAAGTTATGCCCTGGTTAATCAGAAAAATAAAGAAGCATACCTGATCCTCCGGATGGTAGTTCTGTTTTATGGAACAGTGTGCCTCTGCTGACTGTGATCAGTCCTGCTGACCCTGGATATCATCCCAGACTCAATAACTCAGACTTAAAGAATGGTATTGAGGAGAAGGAGATGCTTTGGGGTAAGATCAAGCCCTAGACTTTGAAGGTGAGATTTCCTGAAAAGTGGGAGAAGATTTGCAAGCCAGAGTAAAAAGATGTGCAAGTCAGATCTGTAAGGCAGAAGCACAAAGGAGGAAGCTTTCTCAGAGAAGCCTGAGGCTGGGGCACAGGATTAGAGACTGGTAGGGCCCCAGGTAGGACTGAGTTGTGCAACATGGCAGCCCTGGGGAGGGTTTAACTTATTGATGTGCTCCGTCAAACTATGAAAAATTATATAGCACGCAAGCTTAAAATGTTTCCCACTACTACACAGAGATTCCCCTAGATATCTTATCCTCCTAGTTTCGCCTCATATGACATTGCTGTGGAGATAAAGAGGTCAGGCAGAGGAGGAGAGTGGCCTCTCCCTCCTGTGAGAAAAGGCACTTGCTCCCAACAGGATCAGGAGTGAGGACTCAGATGGTCCTCGCAAGCCATCAGGGGGAGCATGTGGTGTTGAAGAGACCCTGCCGTTCAAACCTCCTTGCTGGTAGTGACACTGAGGGACTGGAACCCCTTAAGGGGAAGCAGCTGAGGTTTGGGCCAGCTCAGGTGAAGCAGGCTGGCTGCCCTCTGCCCTAATCCTCTGAAGGAGCTGGAGGTAAGAAATGCTCTGACTCTCTCACAGGAGGGCTGGAAGACCCAGTTCAGTGGGAACTGTAAAATGCTTGGGAAAACAGAGACCCCTATTAATGCAAAATATTATTATGAACCCTCCCTCCCCACATACTTTTCAACCTCATGAGGTGTTGTCTTTAAGGCCCAGTCTGGTTTAAATTATAAGATGAATAAACTCACCTGACCTGACAAGCAAATGTTCTGCTGGACCCACAGAGCCTTGGAAAGAGCAGCCTTTGCTTCTCCGCCCGTTTAGGAGGAGCAACCCTGTGGGCCTGTGGGAAATGCATGGACTGGGTGTCTGGCAGGTCTGGGTTTGAAGCTCAGCTTCATGAGCAGTGGGCCTTGGCCTTGCTGCGCCTCATTTTCCCCCCCTCACAGGGCTGTCTTGAGGCTGGGTGGAGTAGTCCTCTGGAAGCCCTGAAGGTTTGACCGTTCTAAAGCAGTGTTTCAGGTGAATTTATACATTGATGGGAAGGAAAGAAAGTCTGTTGGATTTTTAGACGATGCTTATGCTTTGGATACAATCAAGCTCTTTCCCCAAGGGCCAGACCAGGGACAAATGAGCTGTATCCCTAGTAAGCTAGCTTTCTTTTAATATGAGGATGTATTATTTGCCACAAAGGACAAATGTGAAACTACCTCTTGATCAGTCACAGACTGTGGGCCTCTTGGGAGTCTGGGAGGTCACAGGTCAAGGCCTAGAGAAATGGCTGTGTCCTAGGATTAGGGACAGTGGAACTGCTTTCTCTCCTGAGGCCTCTTTGGTGTGGTCATGGGGTGCTGCTGATGTCTGCAGCCCTCTGGGCACTCTCTCAAAGCTGCCCTGTAGCTGGAACATCTATCTGCATCCCTACTCAGCGCAGAGGCAGTGAAATGGCAGCAAACAACTCCCTTCTATTTCCTGGTGGCTTGTTCTCTGGGACACGGAGAAGAGCATGGTGACTGCCAGGTTTCAGGCCTATCTAGCAGGGCAATGAGAGCTCCTGGGCACCTGAGGATTCAGAACCACTTCTTTCTTTCTTTTTAATTTTTTTTTTTTTTTTTTTTTTGAGACAAAGTCTTGCTCTGTCGCCAGGCTAGAGGGCAGTGGTGCGATCTTGGCTCATTGCAACCTCCGCTTCCCAGGTTCAAGCAATTCTCCTGCCTCAGCCTCCTGAGTAGTTGGGATTACAGACACACACAACCATGCCCAGCTAATTTTTGTATTTTTAGTAGAGACGGGGTTTCACCGTGTTGGCCGGGATTGTCTCGATCTCTTGACCTCATGATCCGCCTGCCTTGGCCTCCCAAAGTGCTGGGATTACAGGCATGAGCCACCGTGCCCGGCCCAGAACCACTTCTTAATTGAAGAGAACATCTTCCTTCTCTTTGTCTATGGGATAAAGTCCTATACCTGTAACCAAGGCCATACCCAAGGGTCCCCCAAATAGCTCAACTCAACTGGCTGATGCTCATGGGTAGCCATGACCCCTCCAGCCCATTGCCCAGCCTGTCACACGCTTCCTGCCTTTACACATGCCACTCCCTCACTTCCTATTTCTACCAGATGAACACCTGCCTGTTTATCAGTGTCTCTGAGAAAACATCCCCCTTTCCCCCCAAGAGCAAGGGCAAGGCTCTGCCTTCATTGCATCCTTAGCCCTCCAAGCTAGCTGATCTACTCTCACATCACTCCCCTGACCAGCATGTAGAAGCAATCCACACAGAAGCAGGCCTGGCATGAAGTGTGGTCCTGGGGCCCCTGTTGGGCCATCTTAACTCATTGGTTGCTTGATCATGAGGTGGGGCCCAAAGAAGTGACAGGGCTGCTGGGACTGAGGGAATTACTCAGGCAATTGATGCTGACTCTACCTTTTTGTGATCAATCTGGTCTCCTTGGTTCCAGGATTTGGAGCTCTGTGCTCCAGCAATGCAAGCTGCCTCTGAACCATTTGTCTTGTCCTCCTGCCCTAGGACTTTCCTTCTGCCTTTGACTTTAATTTTCTGCATGGATCCTGGACATGGTTCAAACTTCTGGTTCTAGTGGCCCAACTCTCTATGAAGAAGAATTCCCTGTCTCAGCCCCAGAATCTCAGGTTTTCACCCAGCTTGCTATCCTCAAGGGATAAATCAGACTCTTTCCTCTCTGCATCCCATCTTTTTGTTGTATAACTTATTTTGGGTTTTGCTTGTTTGTTTTTTGAGACAGGGTCTCGCTGTGTTGCCCATGCTGGGGTACAGTAGCATGATCACAGCTCACTGTAGGTTCAATTTTCTGGGCTTCAGTAATCCTTCTGCCTTAGCCTTCCCAGTAGCTGGGACCACAGGTGTGTGCCACCATACTCGGCTAATGTATTTTTATTTTTTGTAGAGGCAAGGTCTCACTATGTTGTCCAGGCTGGTCTTGAACTCCTGGGCTCAAGTGATCCACCTGCCTTGGCCTCCCAAAGGGCTGGGATTATAGGCATGAGTCATCATGCCTGACCTAACTTATCATTTTGTCTTCTAACTATTTGTTTTCATGACTAAGCCCCTCCCTGGACTGTGAGCTATTTAAGGGCAGAGTGGATGTCATAACATATTTCATAAATTAATGCATGAATCAATGATGATCAGTGTCTGTAGTATTACAATCACTTGTAATGCTACAGATGATATTATAGCCCTATGAATTACATAGAAAATCATTTTTATCATCCATGACTTCCATTTCAAGTCTCCCAAGAGGGAGGAAAAAGAATCTCTGCCTGTCTGGCCCCACGTGGAGTCCAAGGAATATTATAGTTCTTTTCCTTGTATTTTTCTAACGCCACTACATTTTGGGGGGCTTATCCACCTTAGTACCTACTAAGTTCAAATTTGGACTAAGTCTGTAGCTCGGTTGTGCATTTTGAACTTCATCTTAAATTGGTCATGGCCCATTGCTACTGCTTCACATTTCCTCCGTCGTGTTTTCTCTTTTATTGCTTCTATAGGTTGTGAGTTAGGATAATAAAGTCAAGATAAAATTGCTCCAAGCCATTTGCAGCTCTGGGAAGCTGGCACAGGGCTGCCAGGAGCTGGCTGGGTGCCACCAAGAGGAAAAAATATTCTTCCGTGTTGCCAGCCTTATCAGGACTCCTCACAGTTTCTTGCCAAAATTTTAGGAAAACGATGATCTACTCCCCTGCAGCTATTCTGTATGTTTCTATAGGTGGGGAGTCTTTCAACAAGGATTTTCACTAAAAATACCTCTCATGTTTTTCCCCTGGTTTAAGACTGTAACTTGAGCTCCATATTGTGAAATACTGACATTGAGATATTAATCACTGTGCATAGTTGAGGCATCATTGTCATCATCATCAGCCACTCACACTAACTGAAAGTTTATAAGCTATGGAATCCCACTCAGGACGTGCTCATGAAAGAATAATTGGAGATTATTTTTTAACTGTGAAAAATGTTCTTTTGGAGGAATGAGGAATTGGGAAAATAGGAACAGATTATAGAAAGCTGGTAGGAAATCACAATTCTATTCTTTTATTTTCTTTCTGTTTGTTTTTCCAAGATAAAGGGTCTCCTTATGGTGCCCATGCTGGCCTTGAACTGGGCTCAAGTGATCCTCCCACCTCAGCCTGCCAAAGTGCTGGGATTATAGGCATGAGCCACTCTGCCTAGCCTAAAATTTTCAATTTTTTTATGGAGGTGTGGTCTCACTATGTTGTCCAGGCTGTTCTTGAACTCCTCCCTCCTCGGCCTCCCAAAGTGTTGGGATTACAAGCATGGGCCACTGTGCCCAGCCCACACAACTCTACTCTTTTAAATATTTGCTCTACATCTGTTTGATGCCACAACAATGACTCAATTCCGACAATTCAATTTATTTATATGGGTGTGGCTTTTTTTTCTTATTCGATGGGGGAGTTTGTCTATCTGGCATAGACAGACAAGCCAAATTTCAAATTCTTGTTTAAGTGTTGAGAAGATATGGCCATAAGCATGTCTTTACTCAGTCAATCAATTGAACTTCAATCAACAGTGCCTACTGAGCACTAACTATGTGCATGCCCAGTCCTGTGTTTGGAAGGATACAGAGAATAAGGTACCATTTCTCCCTTTTCTTTATTAATTTATAGTCTAGTCAGAATTTATAGACTAGTCAGGCAGTCCTGGGCTCAAATCCCAATGCTATAACTTAGCAGCAAAGTGGAATTTTGGCAAATGATCTAATATCTCTGCACTTCTGTCTCCTCCTCTGTCAAATGGGGTGATGATAACACCTAATTCACAGGGCTGCTGTAGGAATCAAGGGAGATTGTGGGTGTATTCTGTGGGGTGTATCTATAAGTATTGGCTTTCTTCCCCTTCCCTTAGCCTTTAGCCTGGGGTAACCTCAGTGGAGAGGATTCCTAGAAGCCCTGTGTAAAAGCCTTCTTCTTAAGGCTAAGGGCAATTACCTCCATGGCCACGTGAAAATGGGCGCATAGTGGCTGGCTTTAAGTGAAGGCTGCAAACTGGCTGCCCACTGGCCAAAGCCAGAGTTAGACACTTCCAATTAGTCCTATATGATGTTAAAAAAAAAAAAAGTAATCTGCGGGCACAGTGGCTCATGCCTGTAATACCAGCACTTTGGGACGCTGAGCTGGGGGGATTACTTAAAGTCAGGAGTTTGAGACCAGCCTGATTAATGTGGTGAAGCCTCGTCTCCACTAAAAACACAAAAATTAGCAGGGCATGGTGGTGCACGCCTGTAATCCCAGTTACTCGGAAGGCTGAGGCAGGAGAATTGTTTGAATCTGGGAGGTGGAGGTTGCAGTGAGCCAAGATCTCGCCACTGCACTCCAGCCTGGGTGACTCAGTGAGACTCCAACTCAAGAAAAAGAAAAAGAAATCTGTTGCAAGCATTTAAATATCAAAAGCTATTCATTAAAACCCCAATTTGGGGATTCTCTTGAAAATCGGAAGATTCTGGCTTTTGACATTTGGATGGAGCTGACCACAAGCTACTTTCTTTGGATGGGTCAAGCACTCTCCAGAGTGCTTGTGACTTCCCACAGGGAGATCAGATGTGGTAAAAGGACACCATTAGTTCAGATCTAGCCAAAGTTCAAAGCTTAAGAAAAAGAACCAAGCCAAGAATGATGAGCCAGGGCAGCCCTGATAGGACCCACCAGAAGAGTAAAGGCTTAGTTCATTTAACAAATATTATTGAGCACCTTGATGTGCAAGTCACTGCATTGGGTGCAAGTGGGAAAGAGAAAGAACATGTGTTGGGAGCCTACTATGTGTCAGGCTCTGACATGAGCTCATCTAATCCATCAACTTCTTGAGGTAGGTATTAAGATTTTTTTTTTTTTTTTTTGTAAATGAGAAAGTAGGATTAAGTGGCTAAATGGATCAGCTGCTAAGTGCTGGAGTCAGGATCCCTGTACTCTGAGGGCCTAGGTTTGTCCTCTATACCTCAAGCCTGCGAGAGCAGGATGGAATGCGTCATATGTTCCTCTGTACTGTTCCATGTGCAAACTGGGCACATGACTGTGGATTGTGTGAATTTTCTGGTGAACGATAGGACAGTTTTTCCTCTGGCTCCTGCTCTCAAGAAGATTCTAGAAGCAAAGGAGACGATGATTGCCAGACAATGACCAACCAAAGGCTGTGGGGCTCAAGGCTCTGGGAGGAGGCAGCGTGTGAACTGGGCCTTAAAAGTCAGGAAGTTTTTGATAGGCGGAGGAGGCAGGAAAGGATATGCAAGGCATGGGGACAGCCCCAGCAGAGACACGAGGAGTAATCTGGAGTATGTGGGGCACAAGGTGGTGCATGGATGGGGCCCAAAAGTCAGGATGCAGTCAGGTCCTGGATGACCCTGGTGCAGCTAAACAATCCAGACTTCCTCCATTTCCTTCCTGGGGCCATTCCTCAGGCCCATCCTTTTCTCTGTCCCTCTTGTCCACCGGATCTTTCTGCTCCCTGCCATGGCTTCTGGAGCACAAGAGAGATGAGGGAACTCAAGCAAATGTATAAATGATTGAAGGCATTGAGAGCTCATGGTATCTAATAGGGATCTGTTTTAAAGAACTAAATAATATCATTATATAAAGCTGACCATCTCATACGAAATGACTCTGAAATGTTACCCCTGGATATATATTCCAGTCTAGAGAAACTCATGCTCAAAACTAATTATGGCAGCATGATTTGTAATAGCCAAAAAGTAAAAACAACCCGAATGCCCAACAATAGGAAACTGGATAAATAAATGGAGTATTGTCATAGAATGGTATGCTTAACAGCTGTGAAGATAAATGGATTCCAGTTACAGCAGTGGTTCTCAAACAGGGGTGATTTTATCCTCCACCCGGGGGACATTTGGCAGTGTCTGGAGACATTTTCAGTTGTTACAACTGGAGGGATGTTACTAGCACCTAATGAGTAAAGGCCAGGGATGCTGTTAAACATCCTACAATGTACTGCACAGCCCCTCATAACAAACGATTATCCAGCCCAAAATGTCATAGCATCCAGGTTAAGAAACCTTGAGTTACAGTCATTAAAATGGATGACCCTCATAATGTTGAGCACAGAAAGCAAGTTGCAGAAGAATATATATACAGTATAATACTATTTTTTAAAATTCAAAAGTAAGCAAAAAAGAAAGAATACATTGTTTAGGAATTACACATATACAGTAAAATTATGCTGTGATTTCAGAATCCACATTGCAACTATCCTTTAAGAAAGTATCACTTAATGAGTTTTAGTGTGATATCAAAGAGGAATATCCACAATTATTTGAAAAAGCTGTTAAAATACTCCTCCTTGTCCCTCTACAGATCTGTGTGAGGCTGGATTGTCTTCATGTACCTCAATCAAAACAATATAGGGTTGCAACAGATTGAATGCAGAAGCAGATAGGAGAATTCAGCTATCTTCTGTTAGCCAAACATTGAAGATATTTGCAAAAATCTAAAACAATGCCACTCTTCTATATTTTTGTGGAAAATATAGTTATTTTCCATAAAATATGTTATTTATGTTCAACATGTGATGAGTTTGTTGTTTTTAGAAGAATAAATAATAAATGTTCTGTTTTAATTTCTGATACTGTAAATGTTGACAGATATAGCCCACGTAAACAAAGTTTCTAGGATCCTCAATAAATTTTAAGAGCTTAAAAGGATCCTGAGACCAAAATTTTCAGAACAGTTGCCCTAGTCTAAGACAGATCTATTTCCTTTATCTCCTTTCCCATTTTGTACGCTGGAAGAGTTCCATTTAGTGAGCGCCATATTGAGTTTGCTTTCCATTAATAATACCTCAGTTATGGCTCATTTGTAAGTAACATGAAACAGTTATGAAATTCACATGGCTTGGTACCTCAGCCTTTGACTCCTGGGCTCTACCTCCAGTAAATAACTAAAAAGATTTTTTCCAAATTTATTTTCTTCCTCCTCCTTTCTTTGTATTTTTTTGTCATTCCATAAACATCATAGAACACCCTTTAATAATAGATAAAATTAGTTAATTTTAATCAAATATTTACCTTACCAAGACACTGTACTTTATATGAGTTATGTCATTTAAGCCCTCAAAAACCACATGAGGCAGATATTATTTCCACTATTTTTTTTTTAAGAGACATAATCTTGCTCTGTCACCCAAGGCTGGAATACGGTGGCGTAATCATAGCTCGCTGCAGCCTTGAACTCCAGGGCCCAAACAATCCTCCTGTCCCAGCCTTTTGAGTAGCTAGAGCTACAGGCATGCACCAGCATGCCCGGCTAATTTTTAACATTTTTTGGTAGAGGCAAGGTCCCGCTATATTGACCAAGCTGGTCTCAAACTCCTGGCCTCAAGCATTGCTCTCACCTCAGCTTTCCAAAATGCTAGGATTACAGGCATGAGCCACCACGCCCAGCATTTATTCTCATTTTGCAAGTGAAAAACTGAAAGTTAAATGAGTGAATTGACTTGCTCAAGGTTGTGCAGGTAGCAGTGATGGAATCAAGACGTGGCCCCTGGCATAGTGGACTGCAGACCTGGCGGGTTTAGCCCCTATCCCGCAATCATGATCATGCTTGAGAGGGATGTGAATACGTTCATAAGATATATTCACTGTTGTCAAGGAGCTTATAGTCTAGCAGCAAGGATTAAACAATTTTGCAAACATTTGGTAATTTAAAATTCATTTTTTATCCTGTCTTCTTCAATAAAAACAAATTTTTAATGAAACTGATCAGTACCAAAGGGAAAAACACATTTTTAAGAGCTTTAGTGATTTGTATTCACTAGGAGAATACTGTCTGATTCTCCCAAGGATTTGAGAATATTATCAATCATTCACTAAGGGTTGAGCAGAGCATTGGAGGAAAAAAAAAAAAACACAAAAATAGGCTTAGTACTCCAAGAGCCTATGGGTGGGAGGTGGTGAAGCTCACAAATAGCTACAATATTAGGGAGAATGAGGCGAATTCAATACAAGAGGCATACCGTCTTTACCAGATGGATAGAACACATCTGAATGCGGCAACTAGGAAAGGCTTCTCAGAAGAGGTGGTGTCTGAAGGGTGGGCTGGATTGGGGCAGAAAGAGATGGTAGGAGATGGGAAATCTAGGTGGGCAGAAGGATATGTTCAATTTCCTAAGCTTGGCCTCTCTGGAAGCAGACCATGAGGAAGAGTTTATTAGGGATCAACAGCCATGAAAGGAAGGAGAGAAAGGAGGATGAACAAAGGAAGAAGTAAAATTGCAATCCAGGCTTGATAAAGCCTGCCAACCAGGTGGGGAAATCTGTGGGAAGTAGTGCCTGGCAGAGTTGTTCCAGATCAGGTTAAAATGGTCAGGCCCTGATATAGTTTGGATATGTGTCCCCTCTAAATTTCATGCTAAATTGTAATCCCCAGTGTTGGAGGTGGGGCTTGGTGGGAAGTGATTGGATGATGGGGGTGGATTTCCCTGGAATGGTTTAGTACCATCCATTTGGTGCTGTCCGCATGGCGGTGAGTGAGGTTTCTGTTGTTGTTTTTTCTTTTTGGCTTTTTGTTTTTTTGTTTTTTGTTTTTTTTTTTTGAGACGGAGTCTTGCTCTGTTGCCCAGGCTGGAGTGCAGTGGCACAATCTCAGCTCACTGCAAGCTCTGCTTCCCGGGTTTACACCATTCTCCTGCCTCAGCCTCCCGAGTAGCTACGCCCACCACCACGCCTGGCTAGTTTTTTGTATTTTTATCTTTATTTATTTAATTTATTTTTTTAAATTTTTTGGTATTTTTAGTAGAGACAGGGTTTCACCATGTTAGCCAGGATGGTCTCGATCTCCTGACCTTGTGACCCGCCTGCCTCGGCCTCCCAAAGTCCTGGGATTACAGGTGTGAGCCCCCATGCCTGGCCAACAGTGAGTGAGTTCTTACAAGATCTGGTTGTTTAAAAGTGTGTGCCACCTTCCTCCCCAACTCTCTCTTGTTCCTGCTCTGCTGTGTGACATGCCTCCTCCTGTTTTGTCTTCTGCCATGAGAAAAAGCTCTTTGAGGCCTTCCCAGAAGCTGAGAAGCTGCTGGCATCATGCTTCCTGTATAGCCTGCAGAAGCATGAGCTGATGAAACTTCTTTTCTTTATAAGTTACCCAGTATCAGGTATTTCTTTATAGCAACGCAAGAATGGCCTAACACAGTATATTGATACTAAGGAGTAAGGTATTGCTATAAAGATACTTGAAAATGTAGAAGCAACTTTGGAACTGGGTATCAGGCAGAAGTTGGAAGAGTTTGGAGGGCTCAGAAGAAGACAGGAAGATGAAGGAAAATGAGGAACTTATTGGGAACAGGAGCAAAGGTCACCCTTGCTATGCCTCAGCAAAGAGATTGGCTGCATTCTATTCATGGCCTAGGGATCTGTGGAAGTTTGAGCTTCAGAGTGATGATTTAGGGTACCTGGTGGAAGAAATTTCTAAGCAACAAAGTGTTCAATATGTGGCACGGCTGCTTCTAACAACCTGTACTCAGATTCAGGAACAAAGAAATGACTTAAAGTTGGAATATATATATATATATTTTAAAGGGAAGCAGAGCATAAAAGTTTGGAAAATTTCTAGCCTGGCCATGTGGCAAAGTAAGAAAAAGCTCTTTTAGGGGAGGAGTTCAAGCAGGCTGTGGAACTACTTGCTAGAGATATTTGCCTAACTAAAAGGGAGTCAAGAGCTAATATCCAAGAAAATGGGGGAAAAGGCCTCAAAGGCATTTCAGAGATCTTCATGGCAGCCCCTCCTATTACAGGCCCAGAGACCTAGGAAGGAAGAATGCTTTCACGGACTAGGCCCAGGGCCCCACTGTCCTGCACAGCCTTGGAACACTGTTCCCCACCTTCAGCTCCAGCCATGGCTCAAAGGGGCCCAGGTACAGCTCAGGCTACCACTTTGAATAATGCAAGCTGTAAGCCTTGGTGGCTTCCAAGTGGTGTTAAGCCTGCAGTTGAACAGAGTGTGAGAGTGGTGGAGGCTTGGTGGCCTCTGCCTAGATTTCAGAGGATGTATGGAAAAGCTTGGGCATCCAGGAAGCAGCCTATTGCAGGAGTGGAGCCCTCACAGAGAACCTCTTCTAGGGCAGTGTCAAGAGGAAATATAGGATTGGAGGCCCCACACAAAGTCCCTGCTAGGGCACTGACTAGTGGAACTGTGGGAAGAGGGCCACAGTCTTCTAGACCCCAGAATGGTAGATCCACCCACAGCTTGCACTCTCAGCTTGGAAAAGCCACAGGCACTCAACTCTAGCCCATGAGAGCAGCCTCGGGGCTGAACCCTGCAAAGCCACAGGGGCAGAGTTGCCCAAGGCCTTGGGGGCTTACCCCTCATATCAGTGTGCCCTGTATGTAGTACATAGAGTCAAAAGAGATGAGTTTGGAGCTTTAAGATTTAATGACTGCCCTTCTGCGTTCTGGACTTGTGTGGGGCCTGTAGCCCTTTTCTTTTGACTGATTTCTCCCCTTTGGAATGGGAATGTGTTGCGGGAAGTCAGGGACCCCAAATGGAGGGACTGGCTGAAGCCATGGCAGAAGAACGTGGATTGTGAAGATTTCATGGACATTTATTAGTTCCCCAAATTAATACTTTTATAATTTCTTATGCCTGTCTTTACTGCAATCTCTAAACATAAATTGTAAAGATTTCATGGACACTTATCACTTCCCCAATCAATACCCTTCTGATTTCCTATGCCTGTCTTTACTTTAATCTCTTAATCCTGTCAGCTGAGGAAGATGTATGTCACCCCAGGACCATGTGATAATTGCATTAACTGCACAAATTGTATAGCATGTGTGTTTGAGCAATATGAAATCTGGGCACCTTGAAAAAAGAACACGATAACAGCAATTGTTCAGGGAATAAGAGAGATAAACTTAAACTCTGACCACCAGTGAGCCGGGCGGAACAGAGCCATATTTCTTTTCTTTCAAAAGCAAATGGGAGAAATATTGCTGAATTCTTTTTCTCAGCAAGGAACATCCCTGAGAAAGAATGCGCACCTTGGGGTAGGCCTATGAACGGCCCCCTTGGGCGTAGCCATCTCTTATGGTCGAGACTGCAGGGGTGAAATAGACCCGTCTCCCATAGTGCTCCCAGGCTTATTAGGAAGAGGAAATTCCTGCCTAATAAATTTTGGTCAGACCGGTTGCTCTCAAAACCTTGTCTCCTGATGTTATCAATGACAATGGTGCCCGAAACTTCATTAGCAATTTTAATTTCGCCTCGGTCCTGTGGTCCTGTGATCTCACCCTGCCTCCACTTGCCTTGTGATATTCTATTACCTTGTAGAGTACTTGATGTCTGTGACCCACACCTATTCGCACACTCTCTCCCTTTTTGAAAATCCCTAATAAAAACTTGCTGGTTTTTGCAGCTTGTGGGGCATCACAGAACCTACTGACATGTGATGTCTCCCCTGGATGTCCAGCTTTAAAATTTCTCTCTTTTGTACTCTGTCCCTTTATTTCTCAAGCTCGCTGACGTTTAAGGAAAATAGAAAAGAACCTATGTGAATATCGGGGCAGATTCCCCGATAGGAATGTTTACCCAATGCCTATATCCCCATTGTATCTTAGAAGTAAATAACTTGTTTTTTTTATTTTACTGGCTCATAGGTAGAAGGGACTTGCCTTGTCTCAGATGAGACTTTGGACTTTGGACTTTTGAGTTAATGCTGGAATGAGTTAAGACTTTGGGGGACTGTTGGGAAGGCATGACTGTATTTTACAACGTGAAAACAACATGAGATTTGAGGGGCCAGAGGTGGAGTGATATAATTTGAATATGTGTCCCTCTAAATTTCATATCAAACTGTAATCCCTAAGGTTGATGGTGGGCCTGATGGGAAGTGGTTGGATCACGAGGCCAGATTTCTCTTAAATGATTAACACCATCCCCTTGGTGCTGTCCTTCAGACAGTGAGTTCTCATGAGATCTGGTTGTTTAAAAGTGTGTGGCACCTTCTTCCCGACTCTGTCTCTTACTCCTGCTCTGGCATGTGAGGGTGCCTGTTCCCACTTCACCTTCCACCCTAAGTAAAAGCTCCTTGAGGCCTCCCCAGAAATGGAGCAGATGCTGACATCATTCTTCCTGTACAGCCTACAGAACTGTGAACCTATTAAATCCAGCCAAACCATATCAGTTACCCAGTCTCAGGTATTTCTTGATAGCAATGCAAGTATGGCCTAACACAGGCTCTTACCCCCATCTCGCTCAGTTTAACCATAGGGCACCTATAAGCCGCCACAGGGCATGCCCACAGTTGAGGTGACTCTCTGCAGCTGAGGCAAGGACTCTGCTTTGGGAAGAATAACCCTGTGGCAGCTTGTAGGAGAGATTTGAGGCCAAAGGTGTGTAGGTTTATCCTTGTTTTTTGTTTGGTTGGTTTTTTTTGTTTGTTTGTTTGTTTTTTTTTTTGTTTGTTTGTTTTTGTCTAGCTCCTCTTCTCTAAGAATGGCCCTACCTCTTCCACATGGCAATGATGCTCATACAGGGGTAGGGGACTGACACAACTGGGCAAGTCAGAGTTCCTTGCATGGGGATTTGTAATTGAGCCAAGGAGATTTCAGCCCCTATCAGGTCTGGTCTCTTGAATGCAGATGTAAAACTTTATGGAGTAATGGCCATGTTCTCTACCATGGGGTCTGAGTAACAGGAGAAAGAGGTACAGACTGAAATCACTGAGGACACAGAGAGATGCACCAAAAGAGCTGGAGTGACTTTCTTGTCCTTGACTCCAGCATTTTTTTTTGAAGTTTCATAGGTCATCCCTGAAATCTTTCAATAAATCTTTCTGGCCAGTCTTTTTTCTTTTTCTTTCTCTCTTTTAAAAAAATTTGTCCATTTCCATTACTGGCTTCTGTTTCCAAAAAGGTCCTGATTGAGAGATTAGTTGGGAACTATCAGACTAAGAAATGCCAGGTGCCTTAACATAGGGGCCAGCAATGGGAATGGAAGGAGGATTGATTTGAGAAGTATTTAGTTTAGCAGCAAATTGAATATGGAGGGAGCAAAAAAGAGAAAAGAGGAAGAGCTTTGGTGCCTTGTGAATGTGAGGATGGCAGTCCTAGAAACTGAAAGAGGGAAGTCCAGAAGAAGAGCTGGTTTGGAAGTGGGGCGGGGCATGGTGATTTCAGAGTAGCTTCTGCTGGTGGGTGCTCCACAAGTCCCTGGCATCACTCCAGCCTTCCTCCTGTCTGAATACAATGCTTCTTCTTCTTTTTTTTTTTTTTTTTTTTTTGAGGTGGAGTTTCACTCTTGTTGCCCAGGCTGGAGTGCAGTGGTGCAATCTTGGCTCACCGCAACCTCTGCCTCCTGGGTTCAAGCGATTCTCCTGCCTCAGCCTCCTGAGTAGCTGGGATTACAGGCATGCGCCACTGCACTGGGCTAATTTTTAAATACAATGCTTCTAAACAACCTCCCTACCTCCAATAGACTCTATACTGAATCCCAAACTTCCATAACTCCATTCTGGTATACCCAATCATCTAGCCCAAGGAAGGATCTTATAACCCTTACAGTCTGAGGGAATTGAAGACAATTCTTTCCATTCATGTATTTAATCATTTATTCCATAACATTCGACAAACATTTGTGTGCCAGATCCTGGGACACAAAGAAGATGAAGGAAATGTCCCTGGATCACAATCTAACAAGACAGATAAACCAGCTATGATAGAGTGATACACGAAGACTGGTTGGAACTCTCAGGAGGGACATCTAACTGGGAGGAATCAGGGCAGGCTTCATACAGAAAGTAAATTTTAAATCAGATTTTAAAGACTAGGAAAGATTTATCCAGTTGGAGAAGTAGGAAATGACATTCCAGATGGAAGGAAGCATGGAGGAAGCAGTTCAGTGTGGCTAGAGCTCAGGATAGATGAGAGGAGGGATGAGGCTGGAAAGGCTCTGTTGGGCTAAGGAGGCTGGCTTTGATCTTGTATGTGGTGGGAAAAAGCAAATGATTTTTTGATCTGGACTATATCGTGATCAGGGACACTTTCATTTTAAAGTAAACTTTTATTTAAATATACAGATGGAAAACTACACAAAGCATAACCTACATCTTGATGAATTTTCGCGAAGTCAACGTATCCACATACCCAAGAACCCAAATCAAGAAACAGAACAAGGCCAACCTCCCAGAAGCCCCTTTTGGTCGCTGCCCCTTCCCAAGGACACACATGTGTTTGCAAAAATCTTCTCTAGTAGCAGCACAAAAGATGGGTTGGAGAGGTCAGAACTAAAGACAGAAATGTTCTAGGAGGCAACAGCAATAGCCCACGTGAAAGAGGCTGAGGCCTGATCCCAGGCAGTGACGGCAGAAAAGGAGAACAAAGGGCTGTGAATGTGATAGAATGACAATATCCCCTCCCAGGAATTCACAATATGCATTTACTCCTCCAGGCAACTGTGATCTGACCCTGAGAATTTCCAGTAGCTTCCCTTGTAATTTAAAAATGCCCAGGACTTGGCCGGGCGTAGTGGCTCATGCCTGTAATCCCAGGACTTTGGGAAGCCGAGGTGGGCAGATCACCTGAGGTCAGGAGTTCGAGACCAGCCGGGCCAACATGGTGGAACCCCGTCTCTACTAAAAATACAAAAATTAGCTGAGCGTGGTGGTGCATTTGTGTAATCCCAGCTACTTGGGGGGCTGAGACAGGAGAACTGCTTGAATGCGGGAGGCAGAGGTTGCAGTGAGCCAAGATGCAGTCACTGCACTCCAGCCAGGGTGAAAGAGCAAGACTCCGTCTCAAAAAAAATAAAAATAAAAATGCCCAAGACTTGATATATACAGCCATGTATCACTGAGCCACCAAGATACATTCTGAGAAAGGTGTCAGTTAGATGACTTCGTCCTTGTGCAAACATCATAGACAAACCTAGATGGTATAGCCTACTACGCACCTAGATTAGATGGTCTAGCCTATTGCCCCTAGGCCACAAACCTGTACAGCATGTTACTGTACTGAATATTGTAGGCAACTGTAACACAATGATAAGTATTTGTGTATCTAAACATAGAAACAGGACTGTAAAAGTGTAGTTTTTTAATTTTAGGGGACCACCATTGTATAGGTGGTCCATTGTTGACTGAAACGTCATTATGCAGCATGTAACTATATAAGTAAGGGGAGCTGCATGTCACAGTGATGCCACTTTTAAAGGGAGTACTTTGGGCAACTTTCTGGCATTGTTTAAAAACAACAACAAAAACCCAACTGGACCTTGTAATGAGAGACTACAAATCCTTCCTGGGGATTGTTAGCCTGGAAGAGTCTTTTTGCAGGTTGGAACTGCTCACTGAGGCACACTGGCAGAGCTATGTGGCACCAACTCAAGTCGTTTAACTTCACGAACACCCACACAATATTAGAGGGAAAGAAATTTTAAAAGCAAAAAAAAAAAAAAATCCGGTTAATTGCCATACATGTTTTTGCAATCCTGACACAGTAATAACTTGCCTGTAAACACCTCCCTTGAAGAATTGGCTAATAGGATGTACAGTACATGGCAAAGGAAATTGTTTATTCAACGAAGACTTTCAAAAGGGGCTGTCGATTCTTCTTATGAATTTGTGATGACTCTGTAAGATTGGAGAGGATAAAGGGACAATTTTCTGTTTGTTTTTTGAGATATAGTCTTGCTCTATTGCCCAGGCTGGAGTGCAGTGGTGCGATCTCGCCTTACTGCAACTTCCGCCTCCCAGGTTCAAGTGATTATCCCGCCTCAGCCTCCTGAGTAGCTGGGATTACAGGCGAGTGCCACCACACCCAGCTAATTTTTGTATTTTTAGTAGAGATGGGGTTTCATCATGTTGGCCAGTCTGGTCTCGGACTCCTGACCTCAGGTGATCTGCCCACCTCAGCCTCCCAAAGTGCTGGGATTACAGGTGTGAGCCACCGTGCCTGGCCAAAGGGACAACTTTCTAAGGGTGTAGAGTGGAATAGATTTATGTGAAATAGAAATGTCCTGTGGCTTTGGTTGTTTTATCTGTAAAATGAAGGCACTGGGATAGACCTGTGGTTTTTTATTTTGTCCTGTAGAAGTGGGTCCCTAGACCTCTCTTGCCACTACATCCTCCCTGCTTTAACTAGAGTGCCTCTGCTCTCACCTGCTTTTTGGGTTGCCATGTAAGTTGTTGTTTGAAAAGAGGGATTGCATAACTGAAACAAGATTGGAAAACCACTGGATGAGATGACTTCCAAGGTGCCCTATTGCTCTAAAATTGTAGGAATTCATCTCTTGTCTGACTTGTGGAAGGTGCTGAAGATACAAAGATTTAAAAAATAACTCCTACCCACAACAAATTCATGAGTGTAAGATATGCATGTTGATTGGGTGGGGGGGGTGGGGGTGTGAAACAACATCTATAGTATCAGTGATAGTAACATGGCAAGACCTAAAATGAAGGTATGACTCAAACATTTGGGGGAGAAGATTTTGGAAGGTTTTTGGAGAAGGCGACATTTAAGTGGATATTAAATGAATAGTAGGAGCTCCCCAGGTATAGAAAGAGGGAGGAGGAGGTATTGGAGACAGAGAGATCAGCATAAGCAAAGTCACGGAGGCTATAAGATGGTGCATGGTTAGGGAATTAACTATATTCATTATGCTCATTATGTTCCCTGCATACCCATGGAGCGTAGTTAGAAGTGGCCAAGAGGGATGCTGAATGACACTGAATAGACTAGAGGAGCCCCTCCCGAACTCTTGCCTTCTAGGAGCTCTTTGGGGGTTGATGCTGGTTTCTGCAACTATGTGACCAACTAACAATAAGACTGTTTAATCATTGACTGCACCACACCTTACTTCTATTATTTTGTAACTCCACTGGGGTAAATAATCAAGGAATGTGTTGATAAGATGATGGGTGGGGCCTCAAGGAAAGCCTAGAATAAGAGGAGTCATAGCTACCTGCCCTGGTGGCCAGAGCCAGGGCCAGGACTCTCCTCTAGGCCAAGAGGACTGCTTCAGGCTACAGGCCAGGTGCCCTTCCACCAATAAGACTTTGTGTTTAGCTCTCAAGCCCATTGTCTGGGAGAGGGAAGACTTCCAGTGATGATGAGGGAGAGTCAGTTTCTCCAAGATAGGGAAGGGACTGAGTATTTAGAGGTAGTGGGTCCATGGGTGTTGGATTCCTGAACATCCATTGACACGCAATGCCCCAGACTGAGGGTAGCTACGTGCTGAGCCTAGGAAAACTGGACCTCAGACGCTGTGGAATGAAAGTGTGAATGAAAGATCTTTGGGCCCTGCTTGAGTTGGAGGGAATGGAGCTGCCTCACAAGTTGGACAAGGAGCATCTCGGCAGTGACCAACATGGACCCGGAGGGGCGTTTCCTAAACCTTCTGGGCTTTTTGTCTTCCTGGGATTCCTGTACAATTCTAGGAAGGAAAACCCTCAATAATCTGCTCTCCTGAAAAAATGGATGCTCAAAACCCATTTAATTTGATTTAGAAAGAGAATGAGATGTGATGTTTCCTGCATCTAAATATTGTGGAGCAAATGCTTGCCACTATAATGGCTTTTCAATGGGTGTCAGACACAACCAGACCTGTATTTTGGAAAGATCACTCTGGCAGCTGAAGGAGGATGTGCTGCGGGGCAGAGACTGACTGTGGGGAGACGAGCCACAAAGCCATTATGGCAGTGCAGGAGAGGCGGGGAAGGAGCAAGGGCAGTAGAGACGGAGATTCACAGTTGGTTGGGGACACATTTTGGAGGCAGAATGCACTGGTCTTGGCAACCAATTAAAATAATAAATGCTAAGAGGGAGCATTTATCTAGTCTATAACAGTGGTTTGCAACTTGACAGTGCATTAGAATTGCCTGGGAATCTTTTAAACCTCCCCTCCCCACAAAGCCCAGGCCACACCTCAGACCAATTAAGTCTGCATCACTGCCTGTGGTACCCAGCCACACATTTCCCTTCCCACATCCCCCTACTCTGTTGCTCAGGCTGGAGTGCAGCAGAGCAATCATGGCTCACTGCAGCCTCAACCTCCCAAGGTCAAGCAATCCTCCCACCTCAGCCTCCTGAGTAGCTGGGGATATATGCATGTGCCACTACACCTGGCTAATTTTTTTTTTTTTTTTGGTAGAGTCATGTTCTCACTATGTTGCCCAGGCTTGCATGTATTTTTGAATGAAGCCAAGATTGAGAACCACTGCACTAAGAGGTCAAACTTGGTAAGCAGAGTGAATTGGGATGCTATTAAATGAGATAGGGAACAAATAGTTCTTTGTGGTTAGGGTGTAAAATAGGTAGAGAAGCGGGAGGAAGAGCAAGTTCAGGCAGGAAATAATGAATTCAGTTTGGGATGTACTGACTGCAGTTAAAGGTCTGAGGTCCTGGAGGGGATAGCCAAGAGCCACAGATAGGGGGTTGGGGAGAAGGGGCTTGGAGAGGGTCCGGTCATCACTTCCTCTGAAGTAAGGATAGGTAAAGATTTGGAGCAGCTGCCATAGGGACTGAAATGGTTCTAAGTTAAGGACAATAGCATAGGAATGTATGCATCAAGGGCTAGCAATGAGGGGTTAGGTGAGATTGCTCTATATTAACTCTAGTATTAACCCTGTATTTGAATTTGACCAACAAACATTCATCTCAATCAGTGGTAGGCTGGAGCCAGCATGTACCAGTTTGCAAAAGCAGAGGATCAAATTTACAGGAATTTTGCCAGACAGTTATGAAACACAGTCATTATTAAAATTGAATTACACAAACGTAAATGTATTAAAAATAAAGGTAATAAATAATCCCTTATTTCTCATCCCCCCCTTCTTTCTTTTTTTCTGACTACATTCTGGCTTTCTTTGCTTCCCAGACAAGGTGGCAGAAATCACCATTCCCAGATCCTGAGTTTATGAGTTCTGTCTATTAACCAGCCACACTGAAACTGTAATCTCTCAGTCTTGATTCCAGATTCCCAGGGAAGGAGCTCATTGGCTCAGGTTGTTCTAGATACCCAGCTCTAGACTTATCAAAGATTTTTCTATAAAATAAAGATATGGGAGATATGGAAGCCAGACCAAAATAAAAAGCCTACATCTCTAGGTCCATTTTTTTCTTAGGGCAAAAGAATACATCATTTGTGCCCAGAATGCACTGGGTATTGAAGAGATGACAACTGTCTTCTGCCACCAGCCATCCAAAACTTTATAGGAGACCTCTTGTTCTTACTTCAGCCTAAGACAAAAACCAGATAGCGCTCGTCTCTGGCAGAGAGATGAACAGCTCCACAGAGTGTCAGGCAAACAATATACATTAGCCTAAGTGGCAATTTATAATTTTAATGGCCCAGCTGCTTGTCATGGTAGGGTGGGGTACATTTTAAGTTAGTACTGTTTACTGCGAATAAGGCTAAATTTCCCCCATCATTCATTGCAAAATGTCCATGGCCCAGAGGTCTCATCAATGTTTAGGGCAGTTGCTGGCTTAGGGCTTGGCTGACTTCTTAGTTCATTAACTTCTCATTGACCAGCTTGAGGTTAAAAAGGGGAGCACAACACAAATCTGTGGAATTGAGCAAAAGCGAGGGTTAGGATTAGGACTGGCACACTGTTTATTATTTCCCTTTTCTCTCTGTTTTTTTTTATTTTTTTAATTTTTATTTTTTAATAGAGACAGCATCTCACTATGTTGCCAAGGCTGGTCTTGAACTCAGGGGCTCAAGCAGTCCTCCTGTCTTGGCATCCCAAGATGTTGGGATTATGGGAGTGAAACACAAAACCTGACCCATTATTGCACATCATTAGACTGTGAGCAATTGAAGGCAGGGCTCTCTAGAATCTAGACTCCAGATTATCTTGGCCATCCCATAGCTCCAGGTATCAGGCCTCGGGATGTGGTTTGGATGTGTGTCCCTGTCAAATCTCATGTTGAAATGTAATCCCTGGCCGGGCACGGTGGCTCATGCCTGTAATCCCAGCACTTTAGGAGATGGAGGCAGGCTGATCACTTGCAGTCAGGAGTTCAAGACCAGCCTGGCCAACATGGCGAAACCCATCTCTACTGAAATACAAAAATTAGTTGGGGGTTGTGTGCACCTGTAATCCCAGCTACTTGGGAGGCTGAGGCAGGAGAATCGTTTGAACGCAAGAGGCAGAGGTTGCAGTGAGCCGAGATTATGCCACTACACTCCAGCCTGGGCGATAGAGCGAGACTCCATCTCCAGAAAAAGAAAAAGAGACATAATCCCAAATGTTGGAGGTGGGGCCTGGTGGGAGGTGATTGGATCATGGTGGGGGGGGGCTCTAATTATTTAACACCGTCCCCCTTGGTTCCCGTGAGATCTGGTTGTTTAAAACTGTGTAGCACTTCCTGCCTCTCTCTCTTCCTCCTGCTCTGGCCATGTCAAGTGCTGGCTCCTCCTTCACCTTTTGCCATGATTGTAAGCTCCCTGAGGCCTCCCAGGAGCAGATGCCACCATGTTTCCTATTCAGCCTGCAGAACCGTGGGCCAATTAAACATCTTTTCTTTATAAATTAGCCAGTCTCAGGTATTTTCTTATAGCAATGTGAGAACAGACTAATACACCTCACATAGACTGGTCCTTGATTTTTTTATTTTTTACTTTTTTAAAGTCAGGGTCTCACTCAGCCACCCAGGCTGGAGAGTAGTCATGAGATCATAGAACACTGTAACTTTGAACTCCTGGGTCCAAATCGTCCTCCTGCCTCAGCCTCTTGAGTAGCTCGGCCTACAGTTGTGTGTCCTAGCCAACTACATCTGGCTAGTTTTAAAATTTTTTTGTAGAAATAGGTCTCATTGTGTTGCCCAGGCTGATCTTGAACTCCTGGGCTCAAGTGATCCTCCTTCCTCAGCCTCCTGAGTAGCTAGGACCACAGTTGTGTGCTACCACACCCAGATAATTTTTTAAATTTTTGGTGGATACAGGAGTCTCACTATTTCCCAGGCTGGCCTCGAACTCCTAGCTGTAACAGACCACAGGCTCTTTGCCTCCCCAAGCAATGAAAGTTAACACGGAGCAAGCAGATTTTCCAGACAAGGCTTTTATTTCAGGGCTTGTGCTCAAGCACAAGGGAGACAGTGAAAGTGGAAAGGATCTGTCAGCTGACTACCAGAAAACGCTGGTGGGGATTTTTTTATTAGACCGAGAGTGGGAATCACATCAGGGGTAAGGTATGCAGGCTGGGCTGGGCAGTGCACATGATGGGTACGGTATGCAGGTCACCATATCTGATAGTGATGGTTATCTTGAGTAATGGGCCACCTGATCGTATGGCCAGAGGCAACAAGGCTGTAAATCAATTGTTCAGCATTCCTGCCCTAGGTGGGACTTGGCGCCACCTTGATGAGATATCTGGGTCTTCTGAGGCCAGTTTCTAGAATTCTTTAAGTAAAAGAAATGGTTAAACATGGAAGCACAGAAGAATGGCTATTTTCTTTGTATGACTAAAGCCTCAGGGTTAGGCGGTATATCATCAGTGAGATAGTGGTGTGGGTTTTGTGATCAGTGGGACAACAGAAGAAGGAAAAAGAAAAAAAGGAGGCTGAGGTGGGAGGATTGCTTGAGCTTGGGAGGCTGAGGCTGCAGTGAACCATGATCACTCCACTGCACTCCAGCCTGAGCAACAGAGCGAGACCCAATCTCAAAAAAAAAGGAAGAAAAAGAAACTAGCTGGGCGCCATGGCTCACGCCTGTAATCCCAACACTTTGGGGGCCAAGGCGGGTGGATCACAAGATCAGGAGTTCGAGACCAGCCTGGCCAATGTGGTGAAACCCCATCTCTACTAAAAATACAAAAAAAATTAGCTGGGCATGGAGGCGAGCGCCTGTAGTCCCAGCCACTCAAGAGGCTGAGGCAGAAGAATCCCTTGAACCTGGGAGGCAGAGGTTGCAGTGAGCCGAGATCACGCCACTGCACTCCAGCCTGGGTGACAGAGCAAGATACCATCTCAAAAAAGAAAAAAAGAAAGAAACTATTAGAGCCATGAATGAATCTGACTTTGATGACTCAGAGAGCATAAGAATATGTGAAGGAAGAACTCTGTCCCATTTCTACATGACATCAAGGGATCCTCCCCCCTCGGCCTTGCTACATGCTGGGATTACAGGCGTGAGCCACCATGCCTGGCCCTTGATATTTTTTCAAGAGGTAAAGACTTGTTCCTTATAAAATCCTATATTTTATTAAACAAATAAGACTTTAATGCAGTTAATTTCATCCCCACTCTGGTCAAGGAAATATATATTATGTTTACCAGTTACTCAGCAAATGTTTCTCAAGAACTGTCTTAGGCCCAGTGAAGCCAGTCAAAGAATTATCAAGCCCATTGAGGAGGGCTTGATCATTCAGTCATCTACTTGCAGGTGGTTGGTGCAAGCTATGTTATATTTAAGCTGTATTTGGATTACCAATTTTCAGGAAATTAAGACAGAATGAAATATACTTGGCATTGAAACTATTTTGAGCCAGGCATGGTAGCTCATACCTGTAATCCAAGCACTTTAGGAGGCCATGGTGGGAAGATTGCTTGAGCCTAGGCGTTCAAGACCAGCCTGGGCAACATGACAAGATCCTGTCTCTACAAAAAAAATGTTTTTCTAATTAGCCGGGAGTGGTGGTTTGTGCCTGTAGTCCTGGTTACTCAGGAGGCTGAGGTGGGAGGATTGCTGAGCCTGGGAAGTCGAGGCTACAGTGAACTACAATCACTCCACTGCACTCCAGGCTGAGCAACAGAGTGAGAAGTCCCTGTCGAAAGAAAGAGAAAGAAAGAAAGAAAGGAGGGAGGGAGGGAAGGAAGGAAAGGAAGGAAGGAAGGGGAGAGAAAGAAAGAGAGAAAGAAAGAGAAAGAGAAAGAAAAGGAAAGAAAAGAAAGAAAAGGAAAGAAAAAACTACTAGGGCCATAAATGAATCTGTCTTTGATGACTCAGAGGGCATATTTTTTCCTTTCTTCATTTAACAAATATTAAAATACTGAATGTCCCTTATGTGTGAGGTCCTGTTCTAGAGCTTAGAAATATAACCATAAACAAGACACAGCCCCCACCTTCAATGAGGTCTCTAGTGTAGTTGGGGGAAGCCCGTAGCGGGAGAGAAGTGGGCTGATGGGCTGGTGAGTGGGGATTTCAGTGCTCAAGGAGCAGTGCATGTCAGGATTGCCTAGAGAAGGGGTGTGTTACTCAGATGTTTGGGTGGGGCATGGCCCAAGAAGGCCCTCCAGAGGAGGTGACATCTTCTTTTGAGACCAGAAGATCAGTAGGAGTTTGCAAAGGGAAAGTAGGGAGGGGAGGGTGGGACAACATGTTCCAGGTAAGGGAACAGACTGTGCACAGGCTGGGACCAGAGAGCTTAGCCTCCAGGAACGAACCACACTCAAAGGTCCAACAGGGCCTCAGGGCTGTGGTTGAAGTGCTAGTTGTTACTGTTCTTCCTGACTGTATTGCTAAACTGGGACATTTGTACATTACAGTTTATTTCTTCTCCATCATCTGCCCACCATGAGCTCTATGAGGTGGGTAGGTGTTGCACCTCCATTTCACAGACAAGGAACCTGAGGCTTGGCATTGCTGTAAGGTTCTGTGAGTATGGGGAAGTCTTGGGGAGTTGGAGGTTTTGCCTGCCTACCCTGGCCTCTGTCACTCCACAGCTGCCTTAGATGAAAGATCACTTGAAAGGGTATCTGATCTACCTTCATACCTCTGGGCAAAAAAGTGTCATTTGCTCCTCTGGGAGCTGATGGAGGTACGAAGGCATAGAATTTCTGCAATCCTGCAGCGTAATTAAACACATGGATGCTAACACAGGCAGACCTGGCCTAGCTCTGCCACTTGTTAGTAGCCGTGTGCCTTGGGCAAATTACTTAACTGAGGCTCAGCGATGCCTCCATCCAGCTGAGACTTGATCTGAGTTCTTCCCCTCTTCAGCAGCAGGGGTGGTGCAACACAGCTCCAGGGTCTCACCTAGTGCCAATATCACTGTTGGGGAGAGGGATAGTGGGGAGTGGCAACGTGCTCCTCATCAGACATGTGGTACCACTGAGACAACCGTCGGCCCTGCCCACATGGTCCCTTTGGGCCCAGTAATGCTGTTATCTTCATGTCATGTTTGGGATTCAGGCACTGTTTGTGAGTCTGCTTGTAGTCACAAGCCAGCACCGATTCCTTCCTGGGGACGTGCCACCTCTCAGGAAGCAGAACCATGCTCCCTGCTGATCAGAGACCCTCAGGCCTCTCTCTTCTTTTTCCCCACCAAGATGCTCTATTTTTGTCCCTAAACACCACCAATACCTGCAAACCAGCTTCTTCCCTTCATTCCTTAGCAAACTCCCTAATTTTCCCTCAGGCTTCTTGGGTTTCCCGCAAACAAAAGCCAGAAAGCTTTGCCTCCTTCTGCCTTCTGCTCTGCCTGAGAGCTTTTTCAAGGTTTCATAGTTCAGAGATAACTCTCTGTTTAAATGAGAGGAATGGGGAGGAGCAAATGAGGGAGGGAGGCAACCTATTAAAATCTCAGTATATAAAATCTAGCTGCATAGGCAAGAGGCAACTGAGGTTCCCAAATTCGGGAAGCAAGGGGTACATAGAAGGGGATAGATCCAAGGGATGGGCAGAAGAGAGAATCATTGACACTTATAGACCAGTTCAATGTGGGAGTCTCACCATGCATGCCTGAATTAGCACTCTGACCCAGGTCAATCAAACAAAGCAATCAGGAATTGTCATTTTAAGTTGACCTTCAGTTACCTGCAAGTAAATGAGTTGATTTACCATCTGTTGACTCCTCTCAGTCAACTGAACACGGTAGAAATAAACACGTATGTTTTAGGTTGATTGGGCTGGATGAAGGGTATAAGGGGCTTCATATGATTTTGTGTGTAAATGTTTAAATTTTTGCATATTAAAAATGTTTAAGTAAATCCATTTAAAAGCCAACTTTTATGATCCATCAACTTTTACATTATAAAAAGAAATAGTTGGCTGGGCGCGGTGGCTCACGCCTGTAATCCCAGCACTTTGGGAGGCCGAGGTGGGCGGATCACGAGGTCAGGAGATCGAGACCATCCTGGCTAACACAGGGAAACCCTGTCTCTACTAAAAATGCAAAAACAAAATTAGCCAGGCGTGGTGGCGGGCACCTGTAGTCCCAGCTACTTGGGAGGCTGAGGCAGGAGAATGGCATGAACCTGGGAGGCGTAGCTTGCAGTGAGCCAAGTTAGTGCGGCTGCACTCCAGCCTGGGGGCAACAGAGCGAGACTCTGTCTCAAAAAAAAAAAAAGAAGTAGTTGAGCTAATATTTCAGACTCAATGTGAACACTTCATGCTACTACTGAGATGTTCTCTATAACCGTTAGTTCAGATCTAATGAATGTTTGAAACTTGAGAAGATTTCTTGCTAAAGAATAAAAGAAACATGCAGCGCAAGAGAGCAAGAAATGAGGGGAAAACCCTAAGGCCATAGGAGCCATGTCTGTATTTTCTCTTTTTTTCTTTCTTTTTTTATTTTTTTGAGACAGAGTTTTACTCTTGTTGCCCAGGCTGGAGTGCAATGTTGTGATCTCCGCTCACTGCAACCTCCACCTCCTGAGTTCAAGCAATTCTCCTGCCTCAGCCTCCCGAGTAGCTGGGATTACAGTCATGCGCCACCACACTTGGCTAATTTTGTATTTTTAGTAGAGATGGGGTTTCTCCATGTTGATCAAGCTGGTCTCGAACTTCTGACCTCAGGTGATCCACCCACCTCAGCCTCCCAAAGTGCTGGGATTACAAGTGTGAGCCACCGCGCTCGGCCCATGTCTGTATTTTCTTAGAGGAGAAACTAAAGCCAGAAAGGAAAAGGAGAGTATCACAACATGAGTGAATTTGGCCTTACCCTCAGCATCCTGGATTAACAGGGAGAGCAAGGGGGCTGGAGCCTGCGGGTACAGAGCAAGAGAAGATGACCCCACCTCAAACTACGCCCCAGGGCAGCCAGCAGAAGTCAAGACACAGTGTCCAAAGAACTTGTTGTACTTGGAGTCAGACAGGAGGAAGCACCTTTGTTCTAGGTCAATTTATTCGGAACAACGCTGCAGCCAGAAGTTGGCTGTTTAGAGAACGTTGGCCAGTTCCTCAAAGGGAGAGGCTGACAAATGTAGGCAGAGTGTCCCTGTCACTGGTCCAAGGGTCAAGGGAAGTGGAGGGACAAGACAGACACAAGGCAGATGCCCAGCTCTGGTGCCTGGCTGAGTGTGGTCCTGAGGCTCTTTCCAGTTGGCAGGAAGGAAAAACAACTTCTCGTTACTTCAGCTGATGTTCAGGATACGTTGAGAAAGTGACTTGACCCCGTCTACTTTTTTTTTCTCATTTTTAATCTGTGGCTCCTGACCTCGGAATGACTTCTGTGAGACCGTAGTGTCTGGTACCTCATGGCTTTTGCTCACCGTCTTCTCAGATGGTCTCCAGGCTTCAGCTTCCCTGTCTGCTACACACTGTCTTAGGATGAGGCGCCTCTGAGGCACCTATTTGTATGCTGGAAGTTTGCTGGGGAGAACTCTCAGGATCAATGCCTGTAAGGAGAGAGGGATGAGGGCCTCAGCCAACCTTGGGGGGAATTCTGGAGTTGGGATGGCTTTTCAGAGTTGCCTCCAATGAAGGTAACGTAATCACCTGATGGGTTCTTTTTTTTTTTTTTTTTTGAGACGGAGTCTTACTCTGTTGCCCAGGCTGGAGTGCAGTGGTGCAATCTCGCCTCACTGCAAGCTCCACCTCCCAGGTTCATGCCATTCTCCTGCCTCAGCCTCCCATGTAGCTGGGACTACAGGTGCCCGCCACCATGCCCGGCTAATTTTTTTGTATTTTTAATAGAGATGGGGTTTCACCGTGTTAGCCAGGACGGTCTCAATCTCCTGACCTCGTGATCTGCCCGCCTCAGCCTCCCAAAGTGCTGGGATTACAGGCATGAGCCACCGCGCCCGGCCCCACCTGATGGGTTCTACCTGCCCGCTGCACAAATAAAACCAATTCACTGAGACCATAGTATTGCAGTAAAGAAAGAGTTTAATTAATGCAAGACTGGCCAAGTGGAAGATGGAGTTATTACTCAAATCAGTCTCCCTGAAGACTTGGAGGTTAGGGTTTTTCACAGATGGTTGGGTGTGCCGGGGCCCAGGGAATGAGTGCTGCTGATTTGTTGAGGATGCGATCACAGGAGTGTGGAAAACGTCCTTGTGTGCTGAGTCCACCTCTGGGTGGGGGCCGCAGGACCGGTTGAGTCATGAGTCATGAGTTCAGGTAGGGTCAGTCACTTACCAGAATGCAAAAGTCTGAAAAACATCTCAAAAGACCAATCTTAGGTTCTATAACAGTGATGTTATCTATAGGAGCAGTTGGGGAAGTCACAAATCTTGTGACCTCTGGCCACATGACTCCTAAGCAGTAAAGGATGATCAAAACTATGCCTACACTTCAGCAGATTTCAGGCCCTTCTCATAGTCCTAATCTTACGGCCTTTCATGAGTCTTACAAAGGCTGTTTCAGCCTCCAAATGAGGAGGGGACCCGTTTTAGGGAGGCAGTGTTATCATCTTTGCTTCAAAGTTAAACCATAAATTAAATTCCTCCTGTGGTTAGCTTAGCCTATGCCCAGGAATGAGCAAGGACAGCCAGACTGTGAGGCTAGAAGCAAGATGGAGTCAGCCATGCTAGATTTCTCTTGTTTTCATAATCTTTGCAAAGTCTGTGACAATGATAGCAAGGAGCCAGGGCTTTGTCCTCCCGCTAGGCATTGGATACTATCTGCTTCTTGGAAAGGGGTGTAACTTGGCTGAGGGCAATCTTCAGAGACAGAGACTTAGCTATGGGTAGTCAATAGCCAATAATGCCAACAGCTGGGCAAATAGCACCTGCATCCTGAAAGGGATATGGTGGCACAACTCAGCATCCCTTACATCTTCTGTCTGACTCTTTTCTAAAGAGTGACTCTTGTGGGTCCCACTGGTCACTCTGCAATAGAGGAGGTGTCCATTTGTGAGTGTTTATCACGTCCGTTCACCCTACAGGCTTCCCTCATTTCCATCCTATAAAGATGGCCACCACTGGCCAGGCATGGTGGCTCACGCTTATAATCCCAGCACTTTGGGAGGCTGAGGCAGGCGGATCATCTAAGGTCAGGAGTTTGAGACCAGCCTGGTCATTATGGTGAAACCCCATTTCTATTAAAAATACAAAAATTAGCCAGGTGTCGTGGTGGGCGCCTGTAATCCCAGCTACTCTGAGAGGCTGAGGCAGTGAGCCCAGGAGGCGAAGGTTGCAATGAGCCAAGATCGCGTCACTGCACTCCAGCCTGGATGACAGAGTATGACTCCGTCTCAAAAAAAAAAGAAAAAACCGAACAAACAAAAAACATGGCCATCATTGACTTGGGCTTGATCCTCTGTCTAATCAGTTGGGGGATAGGTTGCAGAACCTACACCACTCAGAGCAAGACAACTTTTTCAGAAGGGCCTGTAAAAAGAATGCTGTCACATGATAGCTGTAACAAAGGTGTTGGGGAAATGTATGTCTGGTACCCAGAGGCCTCAGCAAGATTGCAGAAGCTCACTTAATTTCAAACCCAACTGCTTGAAGGATCTGTGGCTGTTAATACTCTCTCTACCAGTGTCAATATTGGCCTGGAGCCTGTGTGGAGTTGAGGCTGCCCATGGCTGGCTGGCTGGTCTCTAGCTGAGAGGGCCTAAGGAGGAGATAGGTGCTGACAGAGACAACATGGTCTTTGGCACATAAAATCTTCATTCTTCGGGAGATAGAGCTATCGTAGGAGTGAGGAGAACCTAGGCAACATTGAACTCAGGGTTAAGAGACTTGAATTTGAGTTCTGACTCTGGAACTTGCTAATTACAAGGAAGTCACTGGCCCAAGGTTAGTCAGTCAGCAAATGTTTAGTGAGCATCTGTGGCCAGGAACTGTGTTTAGCACTGGAGAGTCCCTCTCTGGCCTCATTGTTCTTCTTTGTAAAACAAAAGTGTGGAGGCTGAGTGCAATGGCTCATGTCTGTAATCCCAGCACTTTGGGAGGCCGAGGCGGGCAGATCACTTGAGGCCAGAAGTTTGAGACCAGCCTGGGAAACATGGTGAAACCTGGTCTCTATAAAAAAAAAACAAAAATTAGCTGGGTCTGGTGGTGCACCCTGTGATCCCAGCTAATTGGAAGGATGAGATGGGAGGATCACTTGAGCCTGGGAGGTGGAGGTTGCTGTGAGCCAAGATCACACCACTGCACTCTAGCCTAGGCAACAGAGTGAGACCCTGTCGTATACACACACACACACACAAATGGGTTTGGGAGATTATCTCAATGAATTAAAGTGATGGCAATACTTTCAGAAACGAAAATCCAAGGTGCGTACTCTGCCACTACCAGAATATTTGATATTGAGGATACCCCCAGGAAGCTCAGGATGTAGGATCTCATTATATACCTACAGAGACTCTATTTCCCAATCCCCCACAGTTGTTTCCCCCAGACATATTACATAGAGTGACTTAATCCTTAGAACCATGGTGAGAAGGGAGAGGTAGATGTTATATAAGTTATATAGTCTCCTATCTTGCTAATTTTTTTTTTTTTTGAGGTGGAGTCTCGCTCTGTCGCTCAGGCTGGAGTGCAGTGACACGATCTTGGCTCACTGCAACCTCCACCTCCTACGTTCAAGCGATTTTCCTGTCTCAGCCTCCTGAGTAGCTGGGACTACAGGTGCACACCCCCACACCTGGCTAATTTTTGTACTTTCAGTAGAGGTGGGGTTTCCCGTATTGGTCAGGCTGGTCTTGAAATCCTGACCTCAGGTGATCCACCTGCCTCAGCCTCCCAAAGTGCTGGGATTACAGGCCAGAGCCACCACACCCAGCCTTTTGCTAGTCTTTAAAATCCTCTAAGTGTTTGCCTTGATTTTTTGAATTCTTTAGAATTTAAATGGTCTGAGTTTAAATAGTCCTGAACACATTTCTCAAACACTGTTATGTAAACAAAGCCCAGCCATGGTGATTACACAGTCAGGTTTTTTCCAACCCCTGGAGACTTGTATCATAATCTTATCTTAGGGTCAAGCATCGGTACTGCTGAAGTGGTTTGCATTTGAACAGTCTTTCAGAAGTTGGTGCCAGATTCAGAGTTCTCTGGATAGCAGATCTGGTAAGGTAGGTGTATTAGTCTGTTTTCATGCTGCTGATAAAGACATATCCGAGACTGGGTAATTTATAAAGAAAAAGAGGTTTAATGGAATCACAGTTCCACGTGGCTGTGGAGGCCTCACAATCATGGTGGAAGGCGAAAGGCATGTCTTACCTGATGGCAGGCAAGAGAGAATGGAAGCTATACAAAAGGGAAAACCCCTTATAAAACCATCAGATCTCATGAGACTTATTCACTACCACGAGAACAGTATGGGGGAAAACATCCCCATGATTCAATTATCTCCCACTGGGCCCCTCCCACATCACATGGGATTTATGGGAGCTACAATTCAAGATGAGATTTGGGTGGGGGCACAAATCCTAACCATATCAGTGGGGTCACTAAGGTATATAGGTATATAGTGTAGTAAGATGGTGTCACCTTAATCACATTTACACTCTGCCCCGGCACAGAACCCTGGGAGCTGAATATTGAGGAGCAGAGAGGAACAGGGATCAGAGGCACAAAATTTGGCTTGCTCTTGTAGATAGCAATAGAGATGGGCACAAGGCTGAGTGAAATCTCATCAGAGTAGTGAGTGCTTAGCACATATAAGGCACTGTCCTTAGTGCCGTAAGAGATATCAAGAGAAGGTAAGATAGATTAAAATGTATTGTGTTTGTTTTATGTTACTCACTTTATACATACTAGCAGTCAATCAATAATAATAACAATGATAAGTGCTTTGAAGTACCTACTATGGGCCAGGCAATGTGCTTAATACTTCATATCTTCTTTTCTTTTATTTCATGCACTCATTCAACACATTTGTCTTAAGATCTACTAGGTAGTAAGTGCTGGGAGACACTGATGAATAAAAATCTCTGCCCTGGAGGACTTTTCATTCTGGGAAAGATAGGCCCATAGATGTAGTAAACAAGTGATTAAGTGGAGTGTTAGAAGATGACAATTACTGTGAAAAGAATAGATCTGGGTTAGGTGGATCAGGAGTGCCTACATCGGGGGAGCACAGAAACGGTTTACAATATTAAATAGATGGTCCAGGTGAAGCAGGACAGTTCCCTGACCCCTTCGTGGGTGGGAACTGGAGTGCACTGGCACTGGCAGGGGCGAACTCCACTCACTCTCTGCTCCACCCCACGTGGGAGTGGGAGCACAGGTGAGCAGGTGCAGGAGCCAGGGTGTGTGCTTTTAGGTGCCGGCAAGAGCGAACTCCGTACTGGCCCATGGCAGCATCTAAGGGAGGGTGCCGGAAGTCCCTGAAGCCACAGAGGAAGTGTTACAGTGCCCTTTACCTTTGCTGTCTGTAGACAGCTTAACAGCTCAGCAGAGGGTCAGTGTGACAGCCTTTTGTGCCCACACTTGAGGCACACGAGTTTTTGTCTGGAGTCCAGGAGGAATAAGGTCTCACAAACGAATTGAAGGTGGTAAATGTGGGGGATTTCATTGCCAATGAAAGTGGCTCTCAGTGAGAAAGGGAGCTGGAAAGGGGACGGAACAAGAAGGTAATCTTCACCTGAGATTCTCCAGCCATCCCTGCCAGACTCCTCTCTTCAGAGGATGATAAAAACTATATGCCTACATTTAGGATGAGTCTCTCTCTCCGACATCCAACCATACTCTCCAACATCCAGCTCCTTCTCGTCTCTCTCCCAGGTAAGCCTGGGGTTTTTATGCACACAGGATGCGGGTTAGGGCAGGCGCCATAGTGGTTTTGGAAAAGGCAACATTTGAGTGGGAAAACAGGGATGTAAGTTCTTGCTTTGGACCACTGTTCCAGGCTCAAGGGTGGGGTCCTCGCTGGGGACCTGCCCTCCCAGAATTTTTCTGCCTCCTGTCCCTATCACACATAGTGCTCTGTGGGAAGGTGACGTTTGAGCCAACATTCAATGGAAGGTGATGAAGGAGTTAGCTATGCAGATACATGGAGAAGAGCGTTCCAGGGTAAAGGAGCAGCCAGGGGAAAGGCCTGAGGCCAAGTGTAACTGGTATATGGACAGCAGGGAGGCCAGAGTGACTAACGAGGAGATGGCAAGATGATGAAGTGCTTTTGTCTTTTACTCTGAGAGAGATGGGAAGCCATCAGAATGCTTATTGTTTGTCCTGCTTTGTTAATCTGTGTTTCAGAGCAGTGCTTGGCAAACTTTTTCTGCAAAGGGCTAGATAGTAAATATTTCAGGCTTTGCTTGCCATGTGGTCTCTGTTGCAACTATGTAGTCCTGCCATTGTAACACAAGAGTAGCCATCGACAGTGCGTAAACAAAGAAGCATAGCTGTGTTCCAACAAAATTTACTTATGGACACTGTTTGAATTTCACATAATTTTCATGGGTCACAAAATATTGTTCCTCTTTTGTTTCTTTTTTTTAACCATCTGAAAGTGTGGGAATCATTCTGAGCTCATGGGCTGTAGTTATCCTGTGAGCCATAGTTTGTGGACTTCCATTTTAAAGGATAGTCATGATCCGACTAAGTTTCAACCAGAGCACCCTGGCTATTGCCTTGAGAAGAGTCTGGAGGCTGAAAGCAGGAAGGCCAGGCAGAAGCCGTTGCTGTAAGCCAAGTGAGAGATGATAATGATTGCTCTGACCAGAAAGACCACAGGATTACATTCTGATTGTATCTCCACCCAACCTTTGAAATAGGTGTCGTAATGATCCTTCACAAACAGGGGAGGAAATTCAGGCTCAGAGACGTAAAGTGACTCGCGTAAGAACACAGAGCACACAAATGGTGAAGTCTGGATATGAAGCCCAATCCAAACTTGAAGGCTTGTTCTCTTTTTTATTTTTTTCTTTTTTTTTCTAATTTTTTTTTTTGAGATGAAGTCTAGCTCTGTCACCCAGGCTGGGGTGCAGTGGAGCGATCTTGGCTCACTGCAGCCTTCACCTCCCACATTCAAGCGATTCTCCTGCCTCAGCCTCCAGAGTGGCTGGGATTACAGGCATGCACCACCACTCCTGGCTAATTTTTGTATTTCTAGTAGATACAGGGTTTCACCATGTTGGCCAGGCTGATCTCAAACTCCTGACCTCAGGTGAACCACCCACCTCAGCCTTCCAAAATGTTGGGATTACAGGTGTGAGCCACCACGCCCAGCTGAAGCCTTGTTCTTCAGTGTTATAACTCTGCAGTCATGTCACATGGGCCTTTTTATCCCAAATTACAGATGAGAACACTGGGGCTCCAAGAAGTCAAGGAACTTGCCCAAGATCAACAAGGTCTTGATGACTCCAAAGCAACTATCCCTATTACTAATCTAGGCTAATTCTCAATTTAAAATGGGATTACTGCCCACTAGGTGCTTCTATTCTAGGTAGCAGGATTCTTTATACAATCAGTGCCTCTGAGGTGTCAATAAAGAGCCTAGGGCATTCAGGCTGGGCGTGGTGGCTCATGCCTGTAATCCCAGCACTTTGGGAGGGCGACGGAGGTGGACCACCTGAGGTCAGGAGTTCGAGACCAGCTTGGCCAACATGGTGATATGCCATCTCTACTAAAAATACAAAAATTAGCTGGGCATGGTGGCATACTCCTGTAATCCCAGCTACTCGTGAGGTTGAGGCAGGATAATCGCTTGAACGCGAGAGGAGGAGGTTGCAGTAAGCTGAGATCACACCACTGCACTCCAGCCTGGGCAATAAGAGTGAAACTCCATCAAGGAAAAAAAAAAAAAAAAAAAAGCTTAGGGCTTTCAGAGAAGGTGGGGTGACATTCATCTGGAGGGACAAGGAGAGATTGTTTGCCATGGGCCTTAAAGAATAACTAGCTGCCTCTAGCTATTTTTGCTGACAGGCTGATTCTTACTGACATAGGATTGCTTGGTTCTTCTCTCAGATATTTTGTTCTATTTTGTCTTTGGTTTTTTTTTTTTAAGAAAATATTTTTATACATAGATAAAGCTATAGATTTTTTATTAGATATTTAATATTTTAATTATAAAGCTAATATATTTGTGACAAGCCAAACAATATAGAGATATATACAAAAAATTTAACAATCTCCTCATTACTGTCCTCCAGTTTCACCAGTCTGTGATAATTAAGGTGAATCAGGAAAACAGAAAATACATCGATATGTTAACAGAGATCATTTTATCTAGGATGGGGTGGAATATTAAGGACAGCTGCCAAATTCTACCCATTGCGTATTTTTGTAACTAAAGCTTTACCAGAATACTGCATGCTCATTCATTTCTATCTTGTCTATGGCTCCTTATACGTTACAACAGCAAAGTTGAGTGGTTGTGACAGACACTTTATGGCCCACGAAGCCTAAAATATTTACTGTCTGGTCCTTTACAGAAAAAGTTTCCCAAGTCCTGATCAAGGGGATTGGTGGGGTAGGGAGAATAATAATCTCCCAAAGATGTCCATGTCCTAATTCCTGGAACCTGTGAATGTGTTACCTTACATAGCTAAAGGGACTTTGCAGATGTGATTAAGATAAAGATCTTGAGATGAGAGATTATCCTGGATTACCCAGGCAGGACCAATGTAGTCACCCATTGTAGTCTGTAGTCACACTCTGTAGTCCTCAGAGGTGACAAAGAGAGGCATGAGAATCAGAGGGAGATTTGAAGGTGCTATGCTGCCGTCTTTAAAGGTGGAGGAAGAGGCCACAAACCAACGAATGCAGGCAATATTTAGAAGCCGGAAAAGACAAGGAAAAAGATTCTCCTCTAAAGCCTCCAGAAGGAATGAAGCTCTGCTGACACCTTGATTTTAATCTCAGTAAAGCCCGTTTTGGATTTATGACTTCAGAACTGGAAGATAATATGTTTGTGTTGTTTTAAGCCACTAAATTTGTGGCAATCTGTTATAGCAGTGACAGTAAATTTATACAGTTAGCTTACCGTTATTGAAAGATTGAGATGTCGAAAGGGGACACTGAGGTAAGGGAGGAGCTACAGGAGGTGGCTTCCACCCCTAGGGCTGGGAGAAAAGGGAATTAGCCAGGCTCATTTGAACCCAGAAACGTGGAGGACAGACCCTGTGGAACTGGGACCCAGACCTCTGAGGAGTGGGCACTGGCATACTGGTGCTCTGAGGAGCACCCTGAAGCTGATTCTGGGAATATGGAGAATACTGGAAACTGCAACCAGCTGCTGCTGCCGGGGTGAAAAATTACTGGAGCTACTCTGACAGGAACAGGAAGCCTTTAGGAAGCAAACAGGAGATCCCTCCTCCAACTTCCCTCTCTGCCTCCAGTACCCGCTATGAACAGAGTGTAACAACAGCTGACAAAGCAGAAATGAGGTTTGTGGAGTCTCAGCCCCAGCATCACAAAGCAGAATGCCAAGATTTGGAGCTGAGACTAGTAACAAGTATACAATGTTAACTATGTGTCTGCATCATTATGCTTTTTACTCTATGCTGACACAAATTTACATTTATTCTAGGCTTTCCCTTCTCTTTCCTATTTAGTAAAAATGTGGTCATATACACTTTACTCTGAAACTTATTTGTGTTATTAAACAATATATCATGCATACCTTTCCATGAAAGCATATTAGAGCAGTCTCATTTTAAAAAAATTACCCAGTAATATCCCATCCAGACATCAGAAAATTGATCCATTCATTTCCAGTGACAAAGATCCTTTGCTTGACCAAACTTTTAGTCAGGCTCCTGAACCTCCTCCTAAGCCCATCCATGCACTTTCTTGTACAATCCAGTTTCAGCAAAGAACCCTGCTAAGTCAATTTAGCAAGAACCCCCTACCCTATCCAGTCAACCTCAGTATCTGATCTGGTTTCGTTTCTTATCCTCTGAAGTCTGATCACCCTGGCCTGTCTTCAGATAGAATCATGTTAGGTTGGTTTCTCTAGAATCCTTCTACTCCTAATGCCACTTCTTAGTAATTTTCTCCTCACCTGCTTCCACCTGCTCCTTGGCTATAAATTCTTCTTGTCCATGCTGTATTCAGAGTTGAGCCCCATCTCTCTTCCCCACTGCAAAACCCTGTTGCAGTGGTCCCTATACCTATCATGATAGTCCTGAATAAAGCCTTCTTTAGGCCGGACGTGGTGGCTCATGCCTGTAATCTCAGCACTTTGGGAGGCCAAGGCAGGTGGCTCACTTGAGGTCAGGAGTTCAAGACCAGCCTGGCCAACATAGTGAAATCCCGTCTCTACTAAAAATATAAAAATTATCCGATTATGGTGGCACATGCCTGTAATCCCAGGTACTCCAGAGGCTGAGGCAAGAGAAGTGTTTGAACCCAGGGGGCGGGAGTTACAGTGAACCGAGATCGTGCCACTGCACTCCAGCCTGGGAGACAGAGCAAGACTCTGTCTCAAAATAAAGAAAGAAAGAAAGTTTTCTTTACTATGTTTTAACAAATGTTACAAATAATTTTTTTTTTCTTTAACATCAGACCCAGTGATTGGTTCAGGGCTTGGCATGTGACTTAATTCAGTCTGGGCACCCCCTAGAGCTGAGAGTGTGGTCAAACCTACACAAATCACATGCCTAAGAATGTGAGAAGGGCGTTCCCCTATGGGAAACCTAGGTGCTTTTGGCAGGAGAAGGAAAAACAATGGTAGAGAAGCAAGCAACCAATGTCCACCACAACTTCCTCATATTCTCTGCCCATTGTTTCTACTGGGTTATTAAATATTTGTTGTCAGTTTATTGATGGCCTTTATATATAGTCAGTGTTAACCCTTTGCATGTATATGTGTTACAAATGTTTTGCCCAGCATATAATTTCTTTTAAGTGTGTTTTACTATACAAAAATTAAAATTTGTATGTAATCTGATGTAAGTTTTTTTACTTTATGGTTTGTACATTTTTTCCCTGCCTAATAGTTTACTCTACAAAACAAAAATAATGTCTTACTCTACAAAGATTAAACATATTAGTCACTAGATTGATCAGAATAGGTGAGGGGTGGCAGAACACTCTACTGGCCATAGTCACTGAGGGACCCAGGTTGATGGGGACTCCACTTCAAGATGTGTTTCTATGGTCACCCAGACAGAGGGAAGAGGAGAAAAAGGAAATGATGAGTGAGCACTGGCTCTTAAAGCTTCTGCCCCAAAGTGACACACATAATTTCCTTTCACATTTTATTGACCAAATTCAGCCACATGGTCAGGATTAATTTCAAATGGAATAAGGAAGCACAATTTCACCATGTGCTTAGGAGAGAACAAATACACACATAAGGACTACTGTAATCCACACTTCTAGTCACCAAACATCTTTCCCACACTCAAAATACCTTCACCCACCCCTTCCTAAGGGAGTCAACCCCAAGGTCCCATTCTGGTTGGACCTTTATTCTGAGAACACCTCAGCCTGTTCAGAGATTTTGACCATGAATGTGATGGCAATAGCCTTGATTAGATCCTTGCTGTGAAGCTGAGTCTTTATTGTTTTATCTTTTAGCTAATCTGTATTGAGAAGAAACCTGCCTCCCAACCCTGCCAGTCTCTGAATTTCTGGTCTATCTTTTCCTTTCACTCCTACTTGCAAACTAGCTAGCCCTCCCCTGAACCCCTATTTATTGTCAAATATATTGGCTATCTACACCATTATGTTTTCTAGTTGCTTCTTCTAGAGCTACAAGTTTGCTAGGCACATCAACTACCTTCCAAGTGACTACCCAACAGCTTTACCAAATGTGTCACCATTGTGTAACATGGCTCACCATCCTTGTCAGTACCACCTGACCACTAAGCCAATGCCACTTTTTTAGGTTTTTGTGCTGGCAGCATCCCATATTAGAGATCGGTCAAGATAAGGTAGATTATGCTATAATAACAAACTCCAAAGTCTCAATGACTAAAAAATATGTCAGTTCATTTCTTGCCTATATTACATGTCCAGTGTGCATCAGCAAGGGCATCTGCTTGTTGTAGTCACTCAGGAACCTTGGTGATGAAAGCTGTACTTCAACATATGCTTCCACAGTTATCACAGCAGGAAGAGGACGGACATGGCACAAATCCATAGCTCTGCCTAGAAGTGTCACATCTTCCCCCTGCTAACGCTTTCTTATTTAAAGCAAAACCAATGGGTATGTCTAACTTCAAAAGTGGGGAAAGTGTCATCTTATCATATTCACAGAAAAGAGAACCTGGGTATTTGAGAACAAACTCAGTGACTATCACAGGCATTTTTGTTTTGAGGATATATTGCAGTGAAATAGAATGAAGGTAACAACAACAGTAACAACCTTGGATTATCCATATCCCAGGATCTATTTTTAACTCCAAGCAGGCTTCTGCTACCCTGATTTTATGGCCCTGAGGGTAGACCACCATATTTTGACCCCATTAATTGAAATTTAATGTTGCTTTAAAACTGAACAAAAAAATCTAATCCTTGAGATTGCATTCCTTCCACTAAGCCACACTCACAATAAGATATAATTGGAATATTTCCTTATTCTCTCCTCCTTCGTTACCTAATGTTTCTTATTTCTTTTCTTTCTTTCTTCTTTCCTTTCTTTTCTTTCTTTCCTTCTTTCTCTCTTTTCTTTCCTCTTTTCTCTCTCTTTCTTTCTCTTTCTTTTTCTCCCCTTCCTTCCTTCCTCTCTCTCTTCCTCCCTTTCTCCCTTTCCTTCCTCCCTCCCTCTCTCTTTCTCCCTTTCTGTCTCTCTCTTTCTCTCTTTCTTTCTCTCTCTCTTTCTCTCTCTCTCTCCTTTCTTTCTTTCTTTCTTTCTTTCCTTCTTTCTTTCTTTCTTTCTTTCTTTCTTTCCTTCTTTCTTTCTTTCTTTTTTTTGAGACAGGGTCTCTGTCACTCAAGCTGGAGGGCAATGGCACCATCTCAGCTCACTGTAGCCTTGCCTTCCCAGGCTCAAGCAGATCCTCCTACCTCAGCCTCCCAAGGAGCTGGGACTACAAGTGTCAGACACTGTGTTCAGCTATCATGTTTTAATTTTTTTGTAGAGACTGGATCTCCCTATGTTGCCCAGGCTGGCTGGGCTGAACCGATCCTCCCTCCTCTGTCTCCCAAAGTGCTGGGATTACAGGCATGAGCCACCATGCTCATGCCTGTAATCCCAGGCATATTTCATTCTACTATTCTACTGAAGACTGAAAACTACAGTTAATAATGTGGAGTTTTTTAATTTTTAAAAGTTACTCATTTGTGGGATTTTTTTTTTTTGAGACAGGGTCTCATTTTATTGCCCAGACTAGAGTGCAGCAGCATGATTATGGCTCACGGCAGCCTCAGCCTCCTGGGCTCAAGTGATCCTCCCACCTCAGTTTCCCAAGTAGCTAGGACTACAGCTGTGCACCATTACACTTGGATTTTTTTTTTTTTTGACACAGAGTCTCACTATGTTGCCCAGGCTTGCTTTGAACTCCTGACCTCAAGTGATCCTCCTGTCTCAGCCTCCGAAAGCATTGGGATTATTATCCAGGCATTAGCCATTGTGCCTGGATATGAATATTCTTAAAGTTATAATACCAAGAATGTTAGTGAGAAAGAAAATTGAACTGCTTTTTAATGACTAAAAAGTTAAGCTTTCATTCTGAAAATAGATCCTATCTTCAATCTAGCCTCACTAAATGGTGGTTTCTTAATCATTGGTTTAAAATGCCCTGACTAGGCAATCTGCCTAGTTAAACATTAAAGTGAAGATAGTGAGAGGCTTCAAGATGGCTGACTAGAGGCATCTTGTACTCGCCTCCTCCCCTAAGAAGAACCAAAATAGTGAGTAGATAATTACACTTCGAATAGATCATCCAAGAGAGAACACTGAAATTTTACAGAAACGTGACACGCAACGCTTAAACAAGGAAGGAAAGAGAAGCAAGACAGAGCGCAAGGAAAGGTGGCTTAGAGACCCCCAGCAGACCAAATTTCCACTGTGTACTTCTGCAATCCTAGCCTCGGGAGAGCCCCAGAGCCTTGAGGGCCCAGAAACTAACACAGGGAAGTGCCTGGAGAAGACGTGATGGTATTGATCCAGGGAGGGAGATTGCGCTGGGTCACACACTCCTCCTGAGTCCTAGGCAGCTACAGGAAGGTGCCATTTTGAGATCCCAGCCACAACAGACTGTGCACTGTCCTGGGGCCCCGTGGTACCAGGTCCGAGGCACAAGCAAGGAGCAGGCTGTTGCTGCCGGGGCTGAGGCACAAGTGAGGTATGGGCTGCTGCCACCGGGGCTGAGGAACAAGCAAGGCATGCATTCTCCATTTGCCAGCCTAGGTTGCCACCACTAAAAGCAACCATGCCCTCCCCAGTGGCAGGGCCAACGTGTGGCCACTGCCACTCCTAACCCAAGCATTCCACCAGAGGCCTGGAAGTTGCCCCATCTCTGCCTATCATGACAGACACCTGCACACACCACTGGGGAACCCTGAGGACAAACTCACATGGCACCAGCTTCACCTCACCCTTGCCAGAGCATGCAGTTCAGGGCACTGAAGATTACCCAGTCCACTACCATTGACACCTGACCACTCCTCCCAGGGGCCTACCCACCCTGCCACTACCACAACAGCTTGCAATTACCTGTGCATGTCACCTGCAGGCCTGGGGACTAGCTCACACAGCCCATCACAGCTACCACCAACACCAGTGTACACTGTTTATTTTTGAATAAAATACAAAATACATTTGAAAGCTTCAACAATAGGGTAGATCAAGGAGAAGAAAGAATCTCAGAACTTGAAGAATGGTCTTTTGAAATAAACCAGTTAGACAAAAATAAAAAAGAATGAGCAAACCCTAACTTGACACATAAAACACCATAAAGCAACCAAATATTCAAACTTTTGGAGTCCTAGAAGGCAAAGAGAAAAGAGTTAGAAAACCTATTTAATGAAATAACAGATAAAAATTTCCCAAGTCTGGCGAGAGATTTAGACATCCAGATACAAGAGGCTTAGAGATCCCCAAATAGATATAATGCAAAGTTCTTCTCCATGACATATTATAGTCAAACTGTCAAAAACAGAGAGAGAATTCTAAAAACAGCAAGAGAAAAACATCTGGTTCCCTATAAAGGGACCCATATCAGACTAATAGTGGACTTCTCAGCAGAAACTTTACAGGCCAGGAGAGTATAGTATATGCAAAGTGCTGAAAGAAAAAACTGCCAATTAAGGATGCTATACCCAGCAAGATTATCCTTTATAAATGAAGGAGAAATAAAGTCTTTCCCAGACAAGCAAAAACTGAGGAAATTCATCACCACCCAGAATCAAAGCCAACACATCCTATGCAACCAAACCATAGACACATATTCAGGATAAAGTCCTCCTCTCCCCTCTGCTCCCTACAAGAAATGCTTAAGGGAGTCCTACAGATGGAAGTGAAATAACAAAGAAATCAGTAAAACAATTCAAGATATGAATAAGGAATTTGCCAGAGAAAGAATGTTATTTACCATTATGAAACATGTAAGAATGTAAGAACAACTGGTAGAGCAAATGCACAAACAAGGAAGAGAAAAGACTCAAATGTTATCACTACAGAAGCCACCAAACCACAGTGTTAAACAATAATAAAGAAAAAAAATGACTAAAGGACTTACAAAACACCCAGGAATAATTTACTAAAATGATAAGAAAAAGCCATCACATATCAATAATAACTTTGCACGTAAATGAATTAAACTTTCCACTTAAAAGATGTAGACTGGCTGAATGGATTTTTTAAAAGACCCAATTATTTACTGCCTATAAGAAACAGATATCATGTGGAAAAACACATATAGACTGAAAGTAAAAAGATGGAAAAAGATATTCCAAGCAAACAAATCAAAAGTGAGCAGGAGTAGCTACACTTAGATAACATGAACTTGAAGTAAAAAACAATAAAAAGAGACAAGATATATTAGTCAGCATTCTCTAGAGGGACAGAACTAATAGGATATATAAAGGGGAGTTCCTTAAGTATTAACTCACAAGGGCCATCAATAGGACCCACAATAGGCCATCTGCAAGCTGAGGAGCAAGGAGAGACAGCATGAGTCCCAAAACTGAAGGACTTGGAGTCTGATGTTCAAGGGCAGGAAGCATCCAGCATGGGAGAAAGACGTAGGCTGGGAGGCTAGGCCAGTCTATTTACATTTTTTTTTCTGCCTGCCTTGTATTCTAGCTGTGCTGGCAGCTGATTAGATGGTGCCCAGATTAAGGGTGGGTCTGACTCAGTCCCACCCAGTCCACTGACTCAAATGTTAATCTCCTTTGGCGACACCCTCACAGACACATCCAGGATAAATACTTTCCATCCTTCAATTCAATCAAGTTTATACTCAGTATTAACCATCACAGAAGGTCATTGTATAATGATAAAGGGATCAATTTAGCAAGAGGATATAACAGTTCTAAATACATATGCACCCAACACTGGAGCACCCAGATATATAAAGCAAATTTTATTAGATTTAAAGGGAGAGACAGATTCCAATAAAATAATAGTTGGGGGCTTCAACAGCCCACTCTCAGCATTAAACAGATCATCTAGACAGAAAATTCACACAGAAACACTGGATATAAACTCCGCATTAGACCAAATGGGTCTGACAGACATTTATAGAACATTTCATCCAACAGCTACAGAACATACATTATTCTCATTGGCACACACAACATTCTCCAGGATAGACCATATATTGGGACACAAAATGTGTCTCAACAAGCTTTTGAAAATTGATATGTCACAATTTTATCAAACCACCAAAAACCAAGTCAATAACAAGAGGAACTGTGGAAACTGTACAAATACATGAAAATTAAACAACATGCTCCTGAATGACCTTGGGTCAAGGAAGAAATTAAGGAAGAAATGAAAAAAATTCTTGAAACAAATGAAAATCAAAACATAACATTCCAAAATCTACGGGATACAACAAAAGCAGTGCTGAGAAGGAAGTTTATAGAAATAAGTGCCTACATCAAAAAAGTAGAAAGATTTAAAGTAAATAATCTAATAATGCACTTCAAGGAACTTAAAAAGCAAGATCAAACCAAAACCAAAATTAGTAGAAGGAAAGAAATAATAAACATCAAGGCAGAACTAAATGAAATTGACACTAAAAAAACAATACAAAGGATTAGCCAGGTGCAGTGGCTCACACCTGTAATCCCAGCACTTTGGGAGGTCAAGGCAAGCAGATCACAAGGTCAGAAGATTGAGACCATCCTGGCTAACATGGTGAAAACCCGTCTCTACTAAAAATACAAAATATTAGCTGGGCGTGGTGGCATGCATCTGTAATCCCAGCTACTCAGGAGGCTGAGGCAGGAGAATCACTTGAACCTGGGAAGGGGAGGTTGCAGTGAGCTGAGACTACGCCACTACCCTCCAGCCTGGGCGACAGAGTGAGACTCCATCTCAAAATAAATAAATAAATAAATAATAAACAATACAGAGGATCAACAAAATGAAGAGTTGGCTTTTTGAAAAGAACCAAAATTGATAAACCACTTGCTAGACTAAGCAAAAAAAAAAGATCCAAATAAAATCAGAAACGAAAAAGGAGACATTATAACAGATACTCAGAAATACACAAGATCATCAGATACTATCATGAGCAACTATATACAGTAAACTGGAAAATCTAGAGAAAATGGAAAGATTCAATATATATAACCTACCAAGATTGAACCAGGAAGAGAGAAAACCTAAACAGTCCAGTAACAAGTAATGAGATCAAAGAAGTAATAAAAGTCTCCCAACAAAGAAAAGTCCAGGACTAGATGGCTTCACTACTGAATTCTACCAAACTTTCAAAGAAGAGCTAACACCAATTGCCAACAAACTTTTCCAAAAAATTGAAGAGGAGGAGATTCTCCCTAACTCATTCTATGAGGCCAGCATTACCCAGATGCCAAAACCAGACAAGGATGCAACAAAAAAGAAAACTACAGACCAATATACCTGATGAACATAGACACAAAAATCCTCAAAAATACTAGCAAATCAAATCCAACAGCATACCACAAAGATAATACACCATGATCAAGTGGGATTCATCCCAGGGATGCAAGGATGGTTTGACATACGCAAATCAGTAAACAGCATCCATCACATTAACAGAATGAAGGACCAAAACCATATGATCTCTCAACTCATGCAGAAAAAGTGTTTAATAAAACTCAACATCCCTTCCTGATAAAAACTCTCAACAAACTAGGCAGAGAAGGCATACCTCACCATAATAAAGGACATGTATGACAAACCCACAGCTAACACCATACTGAATGGGGAAAAGCTGAAAGCCTTTCCTCTAAGAACTGGAACAAGACAAAGATGCCCACTTTCATGACTCTTATTCAATATAATACTGGAAATCCTAGCCAGAGTGATTAGGCAAGAGAAAGAAATATATGGCATCCAAATTGGAAAAGAGGAACTCAAACTGTCCCTCTTTGCTGATGATATGATCTGTGATCTTATATCTAGAAAAACCTAAAGACTCCACCAAAAAACTCTTTGTTGAGAAAATAATTCAGTAAAGTTACAGGATACAAAATTAACATACAAAAATCAGTAGTGTTATTAATAATAAACTAGCCAAGAGAGAAATAAGAAAGGTAATTCCATTTACAATAGTGACAAAAAAATATACCTAGGAGTAATTTAACCAAGGAGGTGAAAGATCTCTGCAAGGAAAACTACAAAGTACTGATAAAAGAAATTGAAGAGTACACAACCAAATGGAAAGACATCGCATCTCATGACTGGAAGAATTAGTATCATTAAAATGACCATACTCTTTAAAGCAATCTACAAATGCAGTGCAATCTCTATTAAAATATCAACATCATTTTTTCACAGAATTAGACAAAGCAATTTTAAAATTTGTGTAGAACCAGGAAAAAAAAAAAACACCTGAATAGCCAAAGCAATCATGAGCAAAAAGAACAAAGCTAGACGCAGATATAGTAAACAAAACAGGATGGTATTTGTATAAAAACAAACACATAGACCAATGCAACAGAATAGAGAATCCAGAAATAAATTTGCATGTTTACAGACAACTGATTTTCAACAAAGGCACCAAGGTCATACATTGGGGAAAGGTCAGTCTCTCCAACAAATTGTACTAGTAAAATTGGAAATTCATATGCAGAAGAATGAAACTGGACCCCTATCTCTCACCATATAGAAAAATCAACTTAAAATAGATTAAAGACTTAAAGGTAAGATCTGAAACTATTAAAATACTAGAAAAAATATAGAGAAAACACTTCAGGACACTGGTCTAGGCAAAGATTTCATGGCTAAGACCTTGAAAGCACAGGCAACAAAAAGAAAAATAGACAAATGGGACTTTATTAGACTAAAAAACTTTGACACAGCAAAGAAAACTATCAACAGAGTGAAGAAACAGCCTGTTATAAGGGAAAAAATATTTGCAAACTATTCATTTTTCTAGAGACTAATATCCAGAATATACAAGGAACTCAAATAACAATCAATCCCATTAAAAAGTGGGCAAAGGCTGGGTGTGGTGGCTCATACCTGTAATCCCAGCACTTTGGGAGGCCGAGGCAGGTGGATCACAAGGCCAGGAGATTGAGACCATCCTGGCTAACACAGTGAAACCCCATCTGTACTGAAAATACAAAAAATTAGCTGGGCATGATGGCATGCACCTGTAGTCATGGCTACTCAGGAGGCTGAGGCAGAAGAATCACTTGAACCCAGGAGGCAGAGGTTGCAATAAGCTGAGATTGCACCACTGTACTCCAGCCTGGGCGACAGAGCAAGACTATGTCTCAAAAAAATAAAAAATAAGAAGTGGGCAAAGGACATGAAGAGCCACTTCTCAAAAGAAGACATACAAAATGCCCTCTGTCTCAAAAAAAAAAAAAAAAGTTACTTAAAGTCTGTGTCTAGTAAGTCTAACGTCTGTGCTGCCTCAGCGATGGTTTCTGTCAATTTATTTTTCCCACTGCTTTCCTATTTCTTTGTATGCTTTGTGGGTTTTTGTTGTTGTTGAAAACTGGACATTTGACTATTATAATGTGTTATCTCTGGAAAACAAATATTTACATTCCCTAGAGTTTGCTGTTCTTGATTGTTGATGGCTTAACTTTTGTACAGCCAGGGTTTTTACCGAAATTTCCCTGAACATGGGGAACTTAAAAAACAAACAAAAAACTTTTTCCAATCTTTGCATCTGAGTTTTTGCAGGAGCACCCCTTTAACACTTAATAAGGCCATTTGAAATTCTTCCTCAGCAGTCATTTCCTGGTTGCACTGAGTCTATATATCAACCAGTGGTGGAATCTTAGGCTGTTCTCAGTTCTCTGAACATGCATCCTGTCCCAGACATGTGTGTTGCTTTCTAAGTTGCCCTATATACAGAGCACTTTTGAATTTGAATGCCCTAATTTCCCAACAATTCTCTCTCCCTGGCTTTTACTCCCAGGCTTTAGGAAAGTTATTCTATGTACCAACTGTACTCTTCGGCCCCAGGCAGTTGCAGTTTGTTTGTTTGCCTTACAATGTTTAAACAACGCCTGCTGCTTTTCTACAGTGGGTTACAGTGTGAAAACAGAAATGAGCACTTTGTTTCAGTTTTTCAGGTAACACCCAGGCAGGTTAGAATAGACATACCTAATAATTGTGTATAAAGTTGGCTCTGCTCTCTATAAACAAGGACCGGAGTCCCACCCTGGGAAGGTGGGCTGCTGTCGCTAAGACTGCTATTGAGTCAGGGAAGGGTTCATAAAGTTTTCTTTCCATTTTCAAGTTGCCTTAGAAAAAAAATTGGCTGGGCGTGTTGGCTTACCCTATAATCAGAGCACTTTGGGAGGCTAAGGCAGGAGGATTACTTGAGCCCAGGAATTCAAGACCAGCCTGGGCAATGTGATGAAACCTTGTCTCTAAAAACATAAAAAATTTAAAAGGTAATAAATAATTTTTTAAAATGAGCATTTGCTTGGTTGCTGTAAATCTTTAACTATTTCCCAAAGTTCTGATAAAGTTGCTCTGACAATTTCTGGTTATTTGTTCAATATTTCTGTGGCGGTGTGAAAGTTTGTAGCTGCCTATTTCTCCATTTTGCTGATGTCCCTCTCTCCACAAATTCGGACATATTGCATCTTCATTATGCACACACACACACACACACACACACACACACACACCCCTAAAAAAGTAATAATAATGTAATTATAGAGATGGAGAACAGGCTAGTAGTTCTCTGGGAATTACGGATGGGTAGAGAGGATGGGTGTTATCGATGTCAATGTTTCAATATATGCAATATATGTATGTACATATATACATACACACATATATGTATACACACATAAACACATACACATATGTATACTTTTCATATATGTACACATACAGATGTTCCTCAGCTTAAGATGGGATTACGTTCAGACAAACCCATCATAAACTGAAACTATCTCAAATTGAAAATGTATTTAATCCACCTAATCTACCAAACATCATAGCCTACCCTAGCCTACCTTAAATGTGCTCAGAACACTTATATTAGCTTACAATTGGGCAAAGTTGCCTAACACAAGCCTATTTTATCATAAAGTGTTTAATATCTTATGTGTTAATTTATTGGATAGTTTTTGAAAGTGAAAACAGAATGGTTGTATAGGTACTTGAAGTATGGTTTCTACTGAATGTGTATTGCTTTTTTTTTTTTGAGATGGAGTCTTGCTCTGTCGCCTGGGCTGGAGTGCAGTGGTGTGATTTCAGCTCAGTGCAACCTCCACCTCCTGGGTTCAAGTAATTCTCCTGCCTCAGCCTCCCCAGTAGCTGGGATTACAGGCACATGCCACTGCGCCAAGCTGAATTTTGTATAAAAATACTACTAAAAAGTAGAGACGGGGTTTCACCATGTTGCCCAGGCTGGTCTTGAATTCCTTATCTCAGATGATCCACCCACCTCGGCCTCCCAAAGTGCTGGGATTACAGGCATGAGCCACTGCGCCTGGCCAAATGTGTATTGCTTTTGCACGGTGGTAAAGTTTTAAAATTGTAGATCAAACCATTGTAAGCTGGGGACAGTCTATATACACCTACTTTTTATTTTGAAATAATTGTAGAGTCACCTGCAAGAGAAATGTACAGGGAAGTCACATGTACCCTTCTCTCAGTCTCCTGCAATGTTAACATCCTATGCAACTATAATACAATATCACAACCAAAAAATTGGCATCAATATCACCCATCCTTTCTACCCTTCCCTAATCCCCAGAGAATGACTAGCCTGTTCTCTATCTCAATAATTATGTTATTATTATTATTATTTTTAGACACAGGGGTCTTGCTATGTCGCCCAGGTTGGTCTTGAACTCCTAGGCTCAAACGATCCACCTGACTCAGCCTCCCAAAGTGCAGGGAGTATGGGTGCAAGCCACCAAGCCCAGCCTATGTCTATAATTATGTTATTACATGATTGTTACATAAAGGCAATAATGTACTATGTATTCTTTTGAAATTATTTTTTTTAACCCAGCATAATTTCCTAGAGATTTATCCAAGGTGTTGTATTGTTTTTTCATTGCTGATTAGTAGTCCATGGTATGTATGTATCGCAGTTTTAGCCATTTATTCATCAAAGGAGATTTGGGTAGTTTCCAGTTTTGGACTCATAAATACAGCTGCTATGAACATTCTTCTACAAACTTCTGTGTGAAAATGTCATTTCTCTGTCTAAGGGTGCAAATGCTGAGTTGTACAATAAGTACATCTTGTTTTCAAAGGAAGTACCAAACTATTTTCCATAGTGGCTGTACCTTTCCTACCAACATGCATGTTGGTATTCATATCTAAGTGTGTGATCCATATCTAAGAAGACTATGTCTAACTCAATAACATAGGGATTTTCATCTAATAATTTTTTAATTTTAATTTTTAAATTCAGGTCTATGATTCATTTTGAGTTTTTTCATTTTTTTTTTTGTATTGGCTGAAGGCCACAATAATCTTAGGGTCCCATGAAAATGCTTTAAATCTTTTCAAATAATAAGAACAAATTAAGTGCAATTGATGGCAGCAGCGGGCTGTCCACGGCGGTCGCTGTCATCAGGTCAGCTGCTGTGGGGAGGGTGCCAGGAGGAGGCAGAGCTGGGCTGGAGTAATGCTGTGCTCCACAGAGCCAGCAGGAGCCAGGGTAAGCGAGAGCCCCCCCGCCAAGCCTGCCACGTTGGGTGCCACTGCAATGGGGCTGAGCTGAGCCACCTGCCAGCAGGGAGCAGCATGGTTGGGCACAGAGGGGTGGGCAGAGAGGGGCCCAGTAAGGACCTGGAGCTGCAAGGAGGCATGGCCAGGGCTGCCTGCATGCTGCTCCACAGAGTAGGCAGGCGGGAGTCCTACCCTCCCAGGCACAGGACCTGGGCATCTCTGCAGTCTGCACCCTTGGGGTCCTGGGAAAGTCCCCCTCCCCCCTCAGGCTTGGGGGGTGTCTGCTCCTGCTGCCTGGCCTCTCCCTGCCCCTGGTGCCTGCTCCAATCTCAGAGCAGGGTTGGGGCTGAGCCCAGGCACTGTTACAGTCTGGCCAGGTGTGTGCACACTTGGAGCAGAGCTGACACACCAGCCCCCTGCTGTCTTGGTCCTTTCCGGAATTTGGGCCCCAAGGAGCTCTGGGGGGAAGCCGAGGGGCGCCTGAGGGCAACCCAGCACTGGCCTACAGGTGCCCTTTTGCACAAGCAGCCTGGGCACCATGGATGGTGGCAGGAGGCAGATCGGCTCCTGGGTGGAAGAGGACAGGTTACTGGTGAAGCCCCACCTTCAGGCCAGGCTGCTAGTACTGCTGACTGGAGTGGGAACTTGTGGTGCCTTTTCCAGGCCCTCCCATGGCCGCCCACAGACCAATTGGCAGCACTTCCTCCCATCTGAGGCCCATAAAAGCCCTGGGCTCAGCCAGAGCACTGCAGATGATGAGACGTCCAGCTGCAGAGAGGAGCTACCCTCTCTGCTGATAGCTGAACACTTGTCAGGATGGCTAGCTGCAGAAGGAGCTACCCTCTTTGCTTCTAGAACTCAACACTTGTTGGGATGACTTGCCTAGCAGAGAGGAGCCATCCCCATCTCGCCACCTTGCAGGCGAAGAGGAGGAAAGAAGAGCTGTGGCCCTTCGGGGAGCTCAGACCTGGGAGCTCTTCAAGCCAGGGCTGTCACTCCCTCCTTGGAGCCCTTCGGTTCCTGGTGTCTCCAAGCTTCCAGGCACCACCATGTTCCCTGGTGCCAGGAATGGAAGCTGCTTGCATGTGCCTGGTCCAGCTGCAGCCTTGCAGAGAGCCAGCGTGCAAGCTGGCACCTAGAATTGCTCACCCTGCTGAGGCAGCCGGCATGTCTGACTGCACAGTTGGACTCCATGCTCACTCACACACCCCTCACCCCTCACCCCTCACCACTTCATGCAGTCTCCCTCGGCAGGGGAGGGATCCTGGTTGGTAGTGTGAGCCGAGCGCAGCCTGCAAAGCCAAGTGGGCAGAGTGAGCCCAGCGGGCCTGAGCAAAACTTGGACAAAGGTGCCACTGGCCACAGAGGTTTCCAGCCAAAAACCAACACCCCAAAGATCCACTAACATAATCAGTTGGGATTACATTTGTATTTATAGCAACACAGTTTTAAAACATAATTTTTTGGGCTTGGTGGCCTGTGCCTATAATCCCAGCTATTGGGAAGCTGAGGTGGGAGGATCACTTGAGGTCAGGAGGTCTAGACCAGCCTGGGCAACATATGGAGACCCTCTCTTTAAAAAAAAAGTGAAATATAGGCCAAGCACAGTGGCTCACGCCTGTAATCTCAGCACTTTGGGAAGCTGAGGCAGGCGGATCACCTGAGGTCAGGAGTTCGAGACCAGCCTGGCTAACATGGTGAAACCCTGTTTCTACTAAAAATACAAAAAATTAGCTGGGTGTGGTGGTGCGTGCCTGTAATCCCAGCTACTTGGGAGGCTGAGGCAGGAGAATCATTTGAACCTGGGAGGCAGAGGTTGCAGTGAGCCGAGATTGTGCCATTGCACTCCAGCTTGGGCAACAAGAGTGAAACTCTGTCTCAAAAGAAAAAAAAGAAATATAGTTTTTTTTTTGGCAGGATGTGGTGGCTCACGCCTGTAATCCCAGCACTTTGGGAGGCCGAGGCGGGCAGATCACTTGAGGTCAGGAGTTTGAGACATAACAAGCCTCTTTTCATAACAAGCCTCTTTCAATCACACCTAATGAGGTGACATGGAGTGGGGCCCCTAAATGGCTTTAGGATGGGTGCTGGTCCCCACAAAATTAGAAGGTGGGGCCGGGGATGGCAAGACCCTGTCTCTACTAAAAATACAAAAATTAGCCAGGCGTGGTAGTGCACACCTATAATCACAGCTACTAGGGAGGCTGAGGTAGGAGAATTGCTTGAACCCAGGGGACGCAGTTGCAGTGAGCCGAGATGGCACCACTGCACTCCAGCCTGGACGACAGAGTGAGACTCTGTCTCAACAAAAAACAAAGAAACAAAAAGAGCAAATATAATTAAATTTTTTAATAGAAGAATGTACCTCTGATGTTCTTCCTGACACTAAATACATGGTGACTTTCCACACCAATTCTTCAATTCTCTGTCAGCAACTGGGTGGCCTACAAGTCATTTCAATTCTGACGTCAACTCCAGGAGTTAGTTCAGATCCCACAAATTAATGGCTCAGTCCCACAAGGATACCCTCCTTCAGACACCAGTCACAAGTTCCTTAGGCCACCTGCACTCCGACTGACCAGCTGTGAAGTCAAGGCTTCCTATAATTCCTTCCTCATGGTGAATAATTCACTAGAATGACTCACAGAACTGAGGAAAATGTGTTTCTTACATTTACTAGTTTATTATGAAGGATGCCACTCAAATAACTGAATGGAAGAGATGCACAGGGCAATGTAAAGGGGGACTATGCAGAGCTTCCGTGCCCTGTTGCTCTTCCCCACAGTACTCTCGTGTGTTTGCCAGTGCAGAACCTCTTCTATCTCTTGTTGAAGAATTTATAACTCAATCACCAGCCCCTTCTTCTCCCTGGAGGTAGGGCATGGGGTGAGGCTGAAAGTTCCCACTTTTCAATTATTTTGGGGGTGGAAGGAGGAGGTCTCTCTCTGTTACCCAGCCTGGTGTTCAATGGTGTGAACACAGCCTACTGCAGCCCTGACTTCCTGTGCTCAAGCGATCCTCCCACCTTGGCCTCCCAAAGTACTGGGATTACAGGTGTGAGCCACCATACCCAGCCCCCTTCTAATTTTGTGGGGATCAGCACCCATCCTGAAGCCATCTAGGGGCCCCACTCCATGTCACCTCATTAGGTGTGATTGAAAGAGGCTTGTTATGAAAAACAAAAGATACTCCTGTTAGAAAATTCCATGTGTTTTAGGAGCTCTGTCTCAGGAACGAGGGACAAAGCCCAAATACAGTTGATCTTTGCACAACCAGGGGATTAGGGGAGCTGACCCTTCACACAATAGAAAATTTACGCATAACTTTCACTCCCCAAAAACTTAATTATTAATAGCTTACTGTTGACAAGAAGCCTTACCAATAACATAAACAATTAGTACATACATTGTATATTATATGTGTTATGTATTGCATTCTTAGAGTAAGCTAGAGAAAAGAAAATGTGATTACAAAAGTCATACGGAAGATTGTTCATTAAGCAGATGTGGATCATTATAAAGATCTTCATCCTTGTCTTCACATTGAGTAGGCTGAGATGGAGGAGAAAGACCAGGGGTTGGTCTTGCTGTTTCAGAGGTGTCACAGGCAGGGAAAAAAGCCACCTACGAGTGGATCTGCGCAGTTCAAACTCGTGTTGTTCAAGCGTCAACTGTATATACATTTACTGTAGCATAGAAACCAAGAAAGCAAAAGTGCCTAGGGCCATGGAAGTCATAACGTGGCCCTTTGAGTTAGGCAGTTTTACCAGCAGTTTTGAGACTATGGCAGCTTGGAATGGGTCCAAAAATAAGCATCAGTGGATGATGGTAGTGGAGATGCAGTGAAATGAACTGGCTTGGGCTTTGATTTAGAGTCAGTTGGACCGGCTGATGGATTCATTTGAGAGGTGAATGAAAGAGAAATCAGGATGTCTTTACAGCTTTTAAAATTTGAGGCCAGTTATGGTGGCTTACACTTGTAATCCCTGCACTTTGGGAGGCCAAGGTGGGTGGATCGCTTGAGCTCAGGAGTTCAAGACCAGCCTGGGCAAAATGATGAAACCCTGTCTCTACAAAATATACAAAAATTAGCTGGGCATGGTGGTGGACACCTGTAATCCCAGCTACTTAGGAGGCTGAGGCAAGAGAATCACTTGAACCCTGGAGGTGGAGGTTGCAGTGAGCCAAGATTGTGCCACTGCACTCCAGCCTGGGTAAAAGAACAAGACTGTGTCTCAAAAAAAAAAAAAGAAAGAAAAAGAAAAAAGAAAAATAAATAAAATTCGAAACCTTGCTGGCTCTCTTTTAATAGGTTTTCTTTTTCAATATTTAAGGAATTTTTTTTTTCTTTTAAGCTGCTGATAACTTACAGCAATTTGGTAAGGCATACTTTTGCAACCAAAAATTCAAAGATTTGCTTTTCCTTCCTACCTAATTCCTCCAAAATCTGGAAACTATTCATGAAGATTCTTATTTTTATGACAATATGGTTATTTGCATAAGTTCAATAAGAAGCTCTTCTCTTCAACAAAATACAACTGGAAATATTGGTTATATTACCAAAGCTTTGACTGCAATGTCATATTGTATTAATCTGTTCTCACCCTGCTATGAAGACATACCTGAGACTGGGTAATTTATAAAGAAAAGAGGTTTAATTGACTCACAGTTCCACATGACTGGGAATGCCTCAGGAAACTTACAATCATGGTGGAAGGTACCTCTTCACGGGGTGGCAGGAGAGAGAATGGTTGCCGAGCAAAGGGGGAAGCCCCTTATAAAACCATCAGATCTCGTGAGAACTCACTATTACAAGCACAGCATGGCGGAATTCCCTCCCACCCCACTGCCAGTGCTGTTCCTTCATTCATTCATTATCAATTGAATTGATGCCGATTCAATTATATCCACCTAGTCCTGCCCTTGACACTTGGGGATTATTACAATTCAAGGTGACATTTGGTTGGGGACACAGACCCAAACCATATCATATATATATATACGTATATATATATATTCATATATATATACATATATATTCATATATATACATATATATGAATATATATATTCATATATATATTCATATATATGAATATATATATGAATATATATATATATAGCAATGTCATATTTTAAAATGTGCATGGAATCATAGAATGCCAATTTTCAAGTGTTCTCAGCTTTATAGTGAATAAAAGTAGTCACTTCCAGGCAGGCCCAGAAGCCTCAAGATATTAGATATTGCAGGCAAAGTCTGATGTCTGCCTTGGTTTGACTTCCTAACATCAAGAGGTTTTTAAAAGTCCAGATTTGTTGTCACAATTTCCAGCAAAATAAATTTAAAAGAAGCCTATGTGGTTATTCTTGCCGCACTTATGTAAATAATCAGGTCAAGTTTGAAACTAAATTAATTTTAAAAATAAATTGGTCTTACCATGATTATCTTTGGTAGAAATGGGAATGACTGTAGAGAGAAAAATTATGTTTCTGAAGAAAACCATAGTACACCTGTTACTAGATTGCAGCTTTGTTCATTGTTTTTGAGTTTTTATCATCTATCTATAGACTAGCCTGGATCCTGAGTTCTTGTTGCCTTCAATATCTGACTGCAATTCTCCAACCATGAACAAAAACTGCTAAGCTGAACAACTCGATATAAATTTCAAGGGACAAGTCCCATGCTTGATGAGGGAGCCACATAGAGAGTTTAGCAGAACACCTGATGCCACAGCCAGAGACATTTAAACTGCAAACCAGGATGAGAAATTGCTGACATCATGTTGTGGACAGCGTTTTCCAAGACTGTCAGAATAAGACTCGCTACCATGATAAGACTCCTTCCCTTCTTAATTTTTTCTTGCTTATGCCCACCTCTTCCACTTGGCAGGATAATGCTGTAGTTAAAATTTCACAATTAGTAGTTTTTGTGGGTAAGTTGATAAAGGGTCAAACCCAAACATTTACAGGACCCAAGAGAGCTTTTATTCCACCTAGTGGGTAACTTTAGCAACATCCCTAATGCAACTGTTTGTTCAAATTTTACTAGTGGCCTCTTTTGTAGAGTTAGCACTCTTTGCTTTAATTTAACCCATTTCTGAGATGCTAGATGATAGAATTGCTGCGTACTAACCAAACGGGGAAATCTGTGCTGTTGCTGTCACTTCTTGTTGTACATAAATAATCTGGTATTGTAGAGACTCAGTTTCAAAAAGTTAGCAGGCTACTTGGTGAAAACAGGTAGATTTCTCATCTGGCTCATTCTTTGATCTATTTGATTTTAGTTGGTTTGGTTTATGGCAACCCTAGCTAAGAAGCATACTCCGAACTCTTGGCATTGTCCTCCTGATAGTCACAATTCTCAATTATGTTCTCTCAAAAAGTTTTACATATTTGCATACAGCCAATTGTTGAATGTCATATGGTCTCTCTTCAGCTGCAATGACAGAAATACAAAATCATGAGGACACTGTAATCTATAAATGATGTGTTGAGACTGGAAACACAGAATGATGTTAAATGAGGGTAGTGCTAATGCCCTCAGTCTTAGTCACAATTTCACCTAGGTTGTTAAATAAAAATCATGGGATGCCATTGTTTTCAACCAAATTCCTGCATCAGGCCTCCAGATCAGACTAAAAATCAAAATGGTGTCACCCATGTTCACCAAAACAAAACTGAGTTATCTGGTTTTCCAAAAAATGGTAAGAGAGATAGCCAATTTTCCAAACAGAAGTTTCAATCTTTAACAGGCATGATAATGAAATTTCCTGTTTTAATCCTTAAAATAGAATACCTGAAGTAACCCAATGTTAACCAATCAGTTTTCTTTCTACTGTTCTGTCTCCACGTCTCCACCTTAAAGAAAAGTGACTTTGATATAACCAATCTGCTTTTTGTTGTTTCTGCCTTCTTCAGTCTATTTTCTGTCTCTAAAGTTAACATCCTCTGCTTGATTCATTGCAACATTTATTCTATTTTGTGGAATGAAGTTTTGTCCAATTCTAGGAGTGCAATAATGCCAATGAGATCTTGAATCTCAATTTGTTTTACTTTTGTTTCTTGACAATGGAGAGGTTTAGGCTAGAGAGCATTTTCAAAGTCATGAGCATATAGACTTCAAGTCAACCAGTTAGATGAGATCACCTGGTGATAAAATAGAGAAGAATGCAAGGACCGAGCCCTGGAGCAGTCCAACATTTAAAGATTGAGCCAAAGAGGAGAAACCAGCATATCAAAAAGGAGGCCCAGTGAGGGAACAGGACTATCTGTGACGTGTAGGTAAGTTCAGGGGGAAAAGTGTTTCAAATCAAAGGAACCATGTCAATTATTCGCGATTCTACAGAGAGGTCAATTGAGATATGGATAGAGAATTGGCAATTGCCTTTGGAAACAAGATCATTAGTAATCTTGATAAGTGATACAGATGATGGAAGCCAAAGCTCGATCAGGGTAGACTGAGAAGTGAATGTGAAGTGAGAGGTAGGAACAAGCACTATTGGAGAGATCTTGAAAAACCTTTCTAAGAATTTATGAAGATAGCAGAAAAATAGGGCAGTTCCTAGAGGCGATTTTGGAGTCAAAGGAAGTTTATTTTAGATGGGAGAAATTTCAATATATTTATATGCTGATAGGAGCAATTCAATTGAGAGGGAAAAAACTAACGATGCTGGAGGGTAGGTAATTGTAAGAGTAAAATCCTTAGGAATGTGCGTGAAAAAAATCCGGTCACTGGTAAAGGGACTGGCCTTCCTAGGCGCAGGGACACTTCATTCATAGCAACCCAAATGTTACTATGCAGATAAGGGTGGTTTTGATGGTGAGAAGATAAGGGAGTTTATTTCTGATATCTTTCATTTTTTCCATGAGTTATGAGGCAAAGTTGATTAGTAAAAGTGGGGGTTGGGGAGGAGGTATATAGAAGGCTTTCAGTAGAGACGAAAAGGAATGAAATAATCCTTCCATCAAGTCTACTTAAATGTCAATTTAGTGGATAAAACCCTCCCAGAATTAAGTACATCTCCCAAACCCTTTCTCTCTCTCAATGACCTTTTGCTCCTTTCTGGTACTCACTAACATTTGCAATTGTATCTTTGTTCGTTCACTTCTCTGATTCCCCATTAGAGAACTACAGAAGGGCACGGACTTTGATTTCAAAATGTATATTTAGCCGTTAGCACAAGGCAAGCAGATGGTCACTAAATAAATACTTTTTTAAACAAAAATGTTAATGAACACCTTCAAAATTTTGTCTTACGCCACCTCGTTAAAATACTTGTTTGTGCAAGTCACTTTTCCTCTCTGAGCTTTCATTTCTGAATCTATACCATGGGAATTATCTCTTCCTTGCCTACCTCCCCTCGTTATCAAGAGGATCTGAGCCAATAATGATAGAAATGCTTCATTAAGGGCCCCTTAAATGTAATGGATTTCTATTTTTAGCCCACTGGTAGCCTCGCAGGTAGCAGGTGCTGAAAAAGCCTTGCTTATTGGGGGTTGGGGGACAGCATTGTTTCTGTGACCGTAGGCGTCGAAGCTATGCAGAAGCGTTCCGCGGACCGCAGAGAGATGGGGCTCAGGCCAGCATCCCTCTCGCTCCGGCCCTTCCCGGGAGGAGCTGGCCGAGCTAGGATGGGGGGCAGGGAGACCGAGGGGGCAGTAACTGTCAAACCTCGCCGCTTGGCGCCATTATTTAAATGGAACGTGCCTGTCTCGCAGCTGTACGTGCCCGGGGCGGGGCTTCGAGCGCCCTGAGCGGGGCGGAGGCTAGAGGCGGGCTGGGAAGGTGGAGGGGCGGGCCGGGGCGGGGCCAGGCCGGCTAGAGGGGCGGGTCTAGCGGCGGCCCCCGGCGAAGTTCACTGCGCTTGCGCTGACAGACGCAAGATGGCGGACAGTGCGGAACTAAAGGTAAAGCGCAGCTCGAATTCACTTCTAATATTCGGCCGCGGAGACGGCGCCGCTGCTGCCAGGGGGGATGGGTCCGACCCTGGGGGGCCTCTCGGGCCTGACTCCACCCGGGCCTGGAGTTGTAGGGAGAGAGGCGCGCCCGGTCTCAGCAGAGGGGGCCCGCCTGCGGCGGGCCGCGGGCCCCGGGTGCCTCGGGGGCGCTGACGGGTCGTCCCCGGCGTGTTATTGTTGTGGGCGCCTCTGGCGGGGGTGGCGGGGGAAGAGATAGGGAGTCCGGAGGTAGGGGCTGCAGCTGTCTCATGGGCTCGGCTTTTTCACCTTCCAGTTAGCCTCCCTGCCCCCCATGGGGAGCTGGGGCTGGGGGCAGGGTGCTCTCGTAGGGGGGATTGGGAAAGCTCCCCGTGGCCGCTTCCTCTTCCTCCTTTGCAGTCCCGGGCTCCTGTCAGGCGCTCTTCTCAGACCCCCGGGAACTTGGCTTCGGCCGCCCCGCCCCTCCGTGGATCCCAGTAGCCCCCGCCCCGGACTCGGCTTTCCCCGGCTGCTCGCTTGTCAGGAAGCGCCTGGGGTGCCCCGCTTGTGGGAAGCGCGATCCCGGGGCGATAGGGTGGGGATCTGGGGGAGAAGCTCTGGTAAAGTTTAGCGAGCCCCGGGCCGGCGTTGGGGTTCGGCTGAGAGGTAGTGAGCGGGACGTTACTCTTTCTCTCTGATTCCGGGCAGCCGAGGGGAGAAACCCCCTCGAAGAGTGTGTCTTTGGAAGCAGTGTTGGGAGGGGGGGATGCAGCTACCTCTCTCCCTTCTTTTGCCTTAGCTGGTGTGGAGGGTGAGAGGAGCCTTTGGGGGTCTCTGCACACACCATGATGGCGATGCTGTAGCTGATGGAGGTGAATGGTTCGTGTTTATATCCCCCCATTGCCTTTTGTTTGTAGGGACATCTTGCTGGCCATGTTGATTTGAACGAAATTCTCCCCTCATGCTACTCCAACCCCCGATAAATAGAACGTTCCTCTTAACAGTACCAATTACTCACGCCTCACGAAATTAGATGAAAGGGTGCCCCCTTTTCCCCGCTTTTCTCCCACCCCAATCTTTACCTGATGATGGCTTCTTTACCGTAGCAGATATACCACTACACAAGCAGTTGGGGGAGGGGGTGGTGGAACCCTTATGACTGGATTGTGACAAATGGGGCTCCGCTTGAATAATTTTGGTTTAGTAGCAGGCAGTTCTTAACTAACGCGTATTATTTCGAGGCTCTGAACGCGATCTTCTCTGTGGCTTCCTGTGTGTGTGAACCCAGCAGCTGGTTATGTCTCGACCCAGAGAACTGACATCTCTGTCAGAGAGGAGATGGGGATATACAATTGTAAATCTTTGGGGAGAGTCTTCTTTTTATAATAAATAAAAATTATTTAATTTTTTCCCCGTTATAATGAAACGACAACTTCTAGAACAACCAAATGCCAGATTTGATTCTGTAGAGTTTTTCCTGTGGAATATCCTCACCGAAAGAGCTTTTCTCCTAATAACTTCACAATGTTTACACTCCAAGATTCGTATGTTAAGGTATTGGCTTTGAGTGTCATTCTTTTAAAATGTACTTCTAATTACAAATTTACTGAAGGGAGAGCAGATTTACAATGGATGGTTTTGATTTTTCCCCAGTTTCAAACTATTGACTGAAATGAGAAAGCCTTAGGAATTTGAATATTTGGAGATAATTAACCCTTGAAATAAAAAAAAGCACACAACTTTAAGACATGTTTTCTATAATTTTTCTCTTAGAGTCACTATGTTGCTGTGATCTTTGCCTTGTAATATTTATTTTGTTAGGAGTTCTTTTGAATGATAGCTAATCAGTTGTTATACATGGACCATAGAATAAAGCTGAAAAGCATGTGCAGACTATATTGTCACTCTTGATGCTGTCCAAAGAAACTAGTATGGAAAGCACATGCTGAGAGATTTCCTTCTTTGTTCTTTCTCATTTTAAGAAAGTGCCTTTGGGGATAGATCAGATCCCTGGTGTGAGTCTTGTTAGGTAAAGTTTCTCTTTACGAAAATGAACCAGTATCAGATAAACACCAAACACTTGAAGAAATGTTATTTTTCTAAAATTAATCTCGTTTTTTGTGCTCTCCCAAATCTACTAGAGTTTTTCCAGAGGAAGTTTTTTTTTTCTACTCTTATGTTCCTGTTGTATAATTTTTCAAATTATAATAACTGTTTTGACATGTTGGTATGTCATTGTGTGTGTCTGAGACTTTGAGGAGCTGTGTGATAAATTGCTTAGCTGGTGATAGCGGCGTTAAAAAAATTTGGTTAATACTTTATTGTGGTTAGATTTGCTGTTCTTTTTTTGAGGGGTGGAGGAGGTGATCTCAGGAACGCCTACCATAGTTATTTGAGAATGTGTTAAAAAAAAGAGAATGTGTATATATAATTTTCTGTGCAGTAAGGTTTGGCAGATACTCCTTTTGGAAATGATATTTTCTGAAGGCTTTTTGTTTGTGATTTTTTGGAGGTAAATATCATACATTCCTAATATGATAGGAAAAATCAGAGTAAGAAGAAAAAAATCTAGATTTTTTGAAATTTTAAATGGGAATAGAGTACTTCAACTGTGAAGCTTTACATAAAACTCAGTGACTTTTCATTATTTTAGGTTTCAGCCCCATACTTCATTTTGCTGTGGATTGTATTCATAATTATTTTCCTCATGGCTTTTTTAGTGAGTCCTTTTAAATCTATAAGAAATGTGCAAAGATCAGATGGGAAAAACAGATAGATCTTTATCCCCTGTAGGAATTGTGCAAGCTGCAACACTTCAAGATATTGCCAATAAAAATTAGATTGTGAGTCATACATATCAAAATGAATTCTCTATGCACATTTGTTTATGAAAGGTTTAATTTTTCATTAGGGGAGTACCCATAAATGTCATTTTTAAGAATGTGGAGGGTATTTTGTCATCTTTAGGAACTTAGAAGCAGGAGGGTGTGATGGCCAGATGATCTTGGTAGTTAATAAGCTGACAGCTTCATGAAACTCCTCTTAAAGTAATTTAAAAAAAAATATGTGTTTTTTTGGAGTAAAACTCAAACCAAGTTATAGTGCCATTTTAATTTACAGGAAGAAGAGTGGGAGAGAAGAAGTCCATCAGCATTTTAGTGGAGTAAATAATGAAATTAAATGGGAAGAGAAACCATAATTATAAAAGTTACTATGAGTGTGTCAGTGAATTCTATTGTTATTTTCTGCCTCTTTATTTTCAAGAAATAGCTACTTAATTTTGATCCTTACGCTGTAATTTGTCTGCTTTTATTTCAGATAGAGTCAAGTACATCTGATAGTTTATTCATGGATTTGATTTGAATCTCTATAACTTGCTTTTGTCAAGTGCCACATTTAGATGGCTTTTGTTTTATGTCATTATTTTTATCAACAGTATTTTAAAAACTCTACAGTATAGTTTATAAAATACTACGTATAGTTTCTAAGTATTTCATATGATTGTTTTGAAATACCTCCTTCTTTTCATCCACCGTTTTCTCCTGGGCGATCCCATTGTCTTTTTCTTCAAAGAGTTTCTTGTAATCCCTGTTGATTGCGGTAGTGCTTAGTGGCGAGTCCATAGCTGATTAACCTTGGGTGTCTCCTGGTGAACTCCATCAGCATGCTGCTCCAGGGTTCTTGCTGAGGCTTTTGAGTTTAGTGTAATTTGTACCCTTTTTTGCTGGTAACCAGGGATAAGAAAATAAAATGGCCAATGGTTGTAGCGGGAACTGGGAAAAAGTATCCAAGTCTCAGAAAAACTGGGTGTTTATGATGAGATGTAGCCTTTCAAAACAACAACCAAAAACGGATTCATTACTTCATAGAATTGATTGTGGTGTTTTCTGAAGTGTTTGACTCTGGCATGAAGCATCTTGCTTTTTTAATGTTTGAATAATAATATCTTACTTATATAGTACTTTGCAGTTCATAATATATTGCATTATCTCTTTTGATCTTTCCAACAGTTCTTTGAGGTAGGAAAGGCAAGTAATAACTAAATCCTTTTTATAGATAGAGAAAGTGAGCCCAGAAAGGGTACGTGACTATTGCAAGGTCATACAAATAAAAGTGGCAGGGACTTGAGCCTAGGTCTTGTGTAGTCCTCCTTAAAGGTCCTACAGCAGACCTGGAGTCCTCTAGGGTGCCCAGTTCACAGATTTCTACTTATGTTGTTGCTGATACTTTCCCTTTTGGAAAAGCTCTATGCTAGGGTATTTTTGGATATTCTAGGGCATTTTGCAAGCTTCCTTGCAAAAAGTTTGGAGTTTGTTAGTTGGAATCATACACATTAATTTTTGTAAGTATCATTTTGCTTGAGAAAATTTCAGAGAATCTGAGAAGTAAGCAGAAAAATAAACAGTACCTGTAATCCCAACACTCAGAGATATCATGGTTAACATCTGGGTATTTATCCACTTAAGACTTTCTCTCTGTGAGCATATGTATATGTATATTCATCATAAAAAGATACAACACTGTTTTTTATTTATAATCTGCTATTTTCATGTCTATCCAGGTTAGTAAATACAGGTCTATATGATCATTTGAAACCTTACATTGTGTTTTATTAAACTAGTCCCTGTCAGATTATTCTACTTTTTTTTTTTTTTTTTTTTTTGAGACGGAGTCTTCCTCTGTTGCCCAGGCAGTAGTGCAGTGGCGCGATCTCGGCGCACTGCAAGCTCCGCCTCCCGGGTTAACACCATTCTCCTGCCTCAGCCTTCGGTGTAGCTGGGACTACAGGTGCCCGCCACTACGCCCCGCTAATTTTTTTGTACGTTTTTAGTAGAGACGGCGTTTCACCGTGTTGGTCAGGATGGTCTCGATCTCCTGACCTTGTGATTTGCCCGTCTCGGCCTCCCAAAGTGCTGAGATTACAGGCGTGAGCCACCACCGCGCCAGGCCCAGATTATTCTCCTTTTTTTGCAGTGTGTTTGCAGACATGTACCAAAGTTTGCAGATGTTTTATTTTAACTAAATATATTGATATGACAGATCTTTTTTGTGCTTTAGAAAGCAATGCAGGACCGGATGCCATGGCTCACACCTGTAATACCAGCACCTTGGGAGGCTGAGGTGGGCGGATCACGAGGTCAGGAGTTGAAGACCAGCCTGACCAAGATAGTGAAACCCCGTCTCTACTAAAAATACAAAAAATTAGCTGGGCGTGGTGGTGGGCGCCTGTAATCTCAGCTACTCAGGAGGCTGAGGCAGGAGAATCGCTTGAACCTGGGAGGCAGAGGTTGCAGCGAGATTGCGCCACCGGACTCCAGCCTGGGCTACAGTGTGAGATTCCGTCTCAAACAAAAAAAAAAAAAAAAAAAAAGAAAGCAATACAAATGTTTATTTTATTTTTGTAGAGTCAGGGGTCTCACTGTGTTGCCCAGGCTGGTCTCAAATTCCTGGCCTCAAACAGTGCTGCCTCGGTTTCCCAAAGTGTTGGGATTACAGGTGTGAGACACTGTGCCTCTGTGCTCGGTTTTTACAGGTGTGAGGTACTGTGCCACTGCACCCACTCTACAAAATTAGCTAAAATGTTGTCAGTGAAATAAATTAGTCATTCTTGGTTTGTTCATTGTCATACCTTTATTGTTTATGTTTCTGTAATATGTGAGATAAGATTATTAAATGATGGCAGATACAGGTTTTACAAAATGTAAGCAAACATTACTTCAGCATCAGAATGTTTGATAAAGTATGAAATCGATTATGAAGTAGTATTTTATAATCTATTCATACTATTCTATGAATAGTAGAATTTCAAGTAGGCAAGTATGTTTGATTTTGGAAATTATATCACAGTGACCACATATTGCAAGTTTTTGTACCTTATTTAGATGCTTATCAGTTTTTTTTGTTTTGCTGGGATTACAGGTGTGAGCCACCACGCCCAGCTGATGCTTATCAGTTTTTAACTGGCATTTTAAAACTATATTGAACATTGCCAGACGTGGTAATCCCAGCACTTTGGGAGCCAAGGTGGACAGATCACGAGGTCAGGAGTTCGAGACCAGCCTGACCAACATGGTGAAACCCTATCTCTACTAAAAATACAAAAATTAGCCGGGCGTGGTGGTGCGCACCTGTAATCTCAGCTACTCAGGAGGCTGAGGCAGGAGAATTGCTTGAACCTGGGAGGCGGAGGTTACAGAGAGCTGAGACCGTGCCACTGTACTCCAGGCTGGGCGACAGAGTGAGACTCCGTCTCAAAAACAAACAAACAAAAAATCCCCCAAAAAACAAACACTATACTGAACATTAATATAGAGAAAATGGAAATAAGACTTTACCATATTTTTAATCTCAAAACAAAGTGTTGCCATTTAAATTGGGAGGTAACATAGTTTCAAGGATCCACAATCTCTGCCTCCGGGGTTCAGGCAATTCTCCTGCCTCAGCCTCCCGAGTAGCTGGGATTACAGGCATGCGCCACTGCGCCCAGCTAATTTTTGTATTTTTAGTAGAGACAGGGTTTCACCATGTTGGCCAGGTTGGTCTCTATCTCTTGACCTCGTAATCTGCCCGCCTTGGCCTCCCAAAGTTCTGGGATTGTAGGCGTGAGCCACCGTGCCTGGCCCAGGATCTGGTTTTAGAAAGATAACATAGGCAATGAAAGCATTTTTATTTTTAGAAAAAACCTTTATGAGTTAAACCAATTAATAAATGCATATGTGAATTAAGAATGCTATTTGTGCAACATCTGAAAAGTAGTGCATGTAGAAGGAACTTGAAATTGATCGTACTCTAAATTTGATTCGTTCGACTTTGGTCTTCACCTAAATCTGTATTTATGTAACGTTTTATCATTAGGATTTCTTTGAAATAGGCAGTAGAGACAATTTTAAAGTACTTAGTTGTCTTTAACCATCAATTTCAGAAGTAGTATTAATTGCCACTGCACTTTTTGCTAGATGTTTATGACTATATTTCCCCTTCCATGTTAAAAATTGTGCAACTCCTGTTACTTTTGATTCCCTCTACTCTTGGTTTCAGTAGTGTCACATGAAAAGAAAATTCCCTAGAACCCTTCCTTCAGAGTTTTCTGGTAAGTCTTCATTCTTAGCTATGAACTTCTAAAATTCGTCAAAATGAAGAAACCACCTTTTTATTTTTCAGCTTTTCTTTAGATCAAGCAAACAAAACAAACATAAATCCTTTGAATATTAACTAATGATGGAGATATCAGTAACTCTCATAGGACTGTTGTAAACGTTCCTATTTTTGAAAACTTAATCTCTTTTTTACCTTTTTTGCTATTCACTGCTTTCAGTTTACCCGCTTTGGTTGCCGGGTTAATTTCACCAAAACACTCCTTTCATTCTGTCACTCCTATCTATAAAAACTTTGAATGGCTTTCTATCGAAAACTGGATAAAGACTTAGTTCTCAGTCTAGTATTCAAGATTTTCTATTGTCTGGCCCCATTCCACTTTGTGTGTGTGTTTTGTCTCTTCAGCTGTATAGCAAAAGCCCTTAACTTAAAGCCAGAGCTGTTAGTTTGCGTCTTTTTGTTGGCTGGTGTTCTGTTTGTACACCCCCCATTCTCCCATCCCTACCCTGTGGACACAATAGGTGTTTTTAATATACATGTGTCAGATGAACAAATTATGTTTAAGATTTGTTTCTGTCAGAGACTGGGGCCTGATACTCTTGTCTATAAGACAATCTAAATTGAAAATATTTTTAGGGTCATATCTTCGCTCTTTTTTCTTGCTGCTGCTTAGATGAACTTGAATAACATTAAATCCAGAATAATTTATCAAGGGCTGTTTTAGATTTACCTTTTACATTATTTTAAGTTATAGAGATAATAAGTGACTACACTTCTCATTGTAATGATCTAACAGTAAATAGGGTAAAAATGGAAAGACCTCATCATCTTCATTCTTAGAGGGAATCATTTTGGTGTATATCTGTGTATTCTTATTTGGGTGGGCAGGGGGAGGTGACAGCTTTATTGAGATAAAATTAACATATCCCATTACAGTTCACCTCGTTAAAGTGCACAGTCAGGTAGTTTTTGGTATATTCACAAAGTTGTGTAACCATTAACCACAATCAGTTCTAGAATATTTTTTCACCTCGAAAAGCAACCCTACATCCTTTTAGCATCATCCCCTTCCCAAACCTTACCTCACTCTTAGCCCTAGGCGACTGATAATCTATTTTGAGTCTCTGTAGACTTGCCTATTTTGGGCATTTAATATAAATGGAATAAAAATATGTCACTTTTTGTGTCTGGTCTTGTATTCATTTTTTTCTCTGCATGGGCATTTAAATGTGTATGTCTGTATAATATTTTTAATTTATTGTGTGTGTGTATGTCTAGATGAGAACAAAACTAGGCACATAGAAGGAACTTAAGTGAATGTACATGTACATAAATATCTTTTCTAAAACTGTGAGACCATACCATATGTAGCATCCTACAGTTTGCTTTTTTTTACAATAGATAGTGAAGATCTTTCCATGACATGTCCAGACAATGAGATGGTCTCATTCTTTTTAACAGTGTGTAATATTTCCTATGTATGTTTATAGAGATTTACCTCTTGAATTTATCAGTGTATATGGTTAAAAGTTCTTAACAACTTGTTTTGATGGTTTTGCTATACACTACTGGTTTTTTTAAAAAAATAATTGCCACATTTAATGTAACCTCTGTAGTATTAATGCTGGAGTTTCACTTAACAATAGGAATGAAAACATCACAGGTAAGGGTTGTATAGCTTGAGGAGAAATGGAATGCAGGGTCTTTATGCAGTTCTGGCAGTGCTCAGCCAAAGCAATTCATTTTGTATTTGGGTTTCTGAATGTGAGCAAGCCTGTTTTTAAAAAAGCTCATGGCATAGTGCTTAAAATAGAACTTAACATGCTATCTTGTGCTTTATGGTGAATTTTAAGACTTTTTCTTGCAGTCATGCAAGTCTAATCTTAAAGATTGGAAAGATTTCAGAGTAAATATTTTTTCTCATATGTTAAAATCATCATTCTGGTCTATGGGCTTCTGTAAGTTACCCAAGAAGGGGACTGAAGAGGCACAGAACTGGCTCAGAAACTGGCTTATAGTAGATTCTCAGTAATTGTTATTTATTAAAGAATTATTTATCACATTCTGTTATTTATTATATTTTTGGGTATCTGCTGTGTATGAGGTACCAGGTTATTGGTGATTTTAATATATTATCACATATGTGTGTATATTTATTTAAATATTTCTGTTATAGCGGAATGTTTACTAAAAATTATCTTTTTAAAAATTATACAAGTAATGCATCAGTTCTTACAGAGGTTTTCAAAGTCTATTTCTCAGGCCTCTGGTGGTTCCCCGAAGTTTTTCTGAGGGTTCTCCAGGTCAAAATGATTTTCCTAATAATAGGCATTATTTACGTGCTGACATTTGCAAAATCAGTGGTGGGTAAAACTGCCAGCACCTTGGCACAAATTAAGGCATTGGTACTAAATTGTACTAGTAGTTGTGTTCTTCATCACTGTGCACTTGGAATTAAAAAAAAAAATGCCAGTTAAACTTTATGTCCTTGATGAAGCAATAAAACTTACTAATTTTATTGTATCTCAATCCTTGAGTACATTTAAAAATATATTTTGTATGATGAAATGAAAAGTACCTGTAAAACACTTTTATTGAATATCAAATCTGATGGTTAACTCAAGGAAAAGAACTTGTGCAGTTGAGTTGTGAGCTTTTTAAATGGAATACCATTTTTACTTGAAAAAATGGCTGGCAAAGTATGGTTATACAGACTAGGGTATTTGGCATACATTTTCATGAAAATAAACAAAGTGTGCCTGTCACTACAGGGAAAACAACTGACAATATTTGTTACTAATGATAAAATTTAAGCTTTCAAATGAAAATAGAACTTTGGAAGACATGTATTTGCCACTGTGAGCTTGACAGTTTCCCAATACTTGACTTTTTTGATAAGATCAGTGTGATATTAATGAATGTGTTATGTTGAAGTTGCATAGTGAAATATGTCAACATTTGGAAGAACTGCATAACTCAGTGAACTAATATTTTCCAAATAACCAATGCATGATATTACAAAATCATGCCTGGATAAAAAGATCCATTGGAAATGGAAGATAGACCAATGAATTTCAGTTTATCAGAGTGGGAAATATTCATTGATACGGTTTCAGATTCCTGCGTTGCAGCAGCCTTTAAGAACCTGCCATTTGTTGTGTTTTGGTGAAGGATCAAAGAATATCGAAAGTTATCTGAAAAGGCTAGAGCATTTTAATAAAAATACTCTATTTTTTCCCAACTCTATAGAGCTTCATAAGGCTAGATTTCCTTTATATTCTTCATCCAAAACAATCTAATACACAGATTGAATGGAAAAGTAGATGTGAGAATCAAGATGTCTTTATTAAGCTAGATGTTAAAGAGATTTGCAAAAATGTAAAACCATGATAGTCTTCTAATTTTTATTAAAAATATTTTTTAAATATGAGATTTATGTTAACAAGTAATGGATTAATTAATTAATTTGTTTTTTGAGATGGGCTTTGCCATGTCGCCCAGGCTGGTCTCGAAGTCGGGGGCTCCAGTGATCGCCTGCCTCGGCCTCCCAAAGTGTTAGGATTACGGCGTGAGACACCATGCCCAGCTATTATTTTTTTTTAAATGACAAATCTTTTAAAGTTTTCTGCTTTAACTGCAAATACAGTAAATATTGATAGATTTAATCGACATAAAGTTTTTTTGCGGGGGGGATGGTCCTCCACTTTCAAGAGTCCCAAGAGCAAAAACTTTGAAAACTTGATCTTTTTTAAAATTTAAAATTTACAGTACAGCAGTGCCTAATTTAAAATGGGACGATCCCTTTCACCTTCCCACTCATGGTATTTTTTATAACTTAAAAGGAAAAATAAGGCTGGGGGCAGTGGCTCACACCTGTAATTCCAGTGCTTTGGGGGAGACCTAGGCAGGCAGAGTGCTTAAGCTCAGGGGTTCCAGACCAGCCTGGACAACATGGCAAAACCACATCTCTACCAAAAATACAAAAAATTAGCTGGGCATGTTGATGCGCACCTGTGGTTCCAGCTGCTTGGGAGGCTGAAGTGGTAGGATTTTTTGATCCTGGGAGACAGAGGTAGCAGTGAACTGAGATCCACTGCACTCCAACTGGGTGACAGAGTGAGACCCTGTCTCGAGAAAAAAAAAAAAAAAGAAAAAATTTATTTCTAGTGATCTCTTACAAGGCAGTTTGCTAAGCAGAGTTATTTAATTAAATCCTGCATCTCTGTAAGTAATGCTAAACGGTAGTAGCTTGCATTGCACTGAACGAATGTGCTTGAAGTACTTTTTTTTTTTTTTTTTTTTTGGAGACAGGGTCTCCCTCTCTTGCCCAGGCTGGAGTGCAGTGGTATGATCATGGCTCACTGCAGCTTCGAACTCCTGGGCTCAAATGATCCTTCCACCTCAGCCTCCTGAGTAGCTAGGACTTCAGGTGCTTGCCACCATGCTCAGCTGACTAAAAGCTTTTTTTTTTTTTTTTTTTTTTTTTTTTGGAGATAGGGTCTTGCTGTGTTGCCCAGGCTGCTCTCAGACTCATGTGATCCTCATGCCTCAGCCTCCTAAAAGTGTTGGAATTCAAGGTGTTGAGCCACTGCACCTGGCTTGAAGTACTTGTAATCAGTAATGGTGTGGGAAATATATAACTTAATTTTTTCAAGGTTATGTTTTTTCTTTTTTCTTTTTTTTGAGACAGAGTCTCGCTCTGTTGCCCAGGTTGGAGTGCAGTGACATGATCTCGGCTCACCACAACCTCCGCCTCCTGGATTCAAGCAATTCTTCTGCTTCAGCCTCCCGAGTAGGATGCGCACCACTGTGCCCAGCTAATATTTGTGTTTTTAGTAGAGATGGGCTTTCACCATGTTGGCCAGGCTGGTCTTGAACTGCTGACCTCAGATCATCCACCTGCCTCAGCCTCCCAAAGTGCTGGGATTACAGGTGTGAGCCACCATGCCTGGCCTGATTGCTTTTTCTGTAGTAAAATATAAGAATCATATGAATAAATGAAAAATTCCCTAACTTAATATTAGCCAAGAACTTCCTCTCCAGCAGAGCTTAGCTCTTACCAAATATATATGATTGATTTGCATTCTACCTATTTTGTTTTTTTCCTTTCCCTTTTGTGGGATAAACTTGAAACAGGACCTAGAAATTGTAAGACTCTGAATGCTTTTCAGTTTCTTTCTGCATTTCTTTAGAGTGGTGTGTGAAAAACTTCAGCCTCTGTTCCTTAAACATCTTTCCCCAGGGTGTCAAAGTAAGACTGGAAAAGGAATATTTTTGTCCCAGAAGTTATTCTAATATGTGATTTCAAAATCAGGTAGCATCTTAAAGGTTAAAGACCTTTAAAAAAAAAGTATAGTATTTTGTGTCTAATTGAATCATAATCAGGGAAAAGAACATGAATTTTAGAATTGCCATTAGTCTTCACCTCTGAATTTAGATAGTCCCAGGAATGAGATTAATGGTCTTCTAAGTGTGAGTAGGTCTGGTCTGTCCATTTTTTCCCGAGAGGAATTCTATAATCTCTTGTTGAGGCTACTTACCTGGCTGATAATGTTTGGGGAACAAGGCAGGATAAAGGTGTCCCACTTATGAGTATGCAGACTTTGCTTAATCTCCACTTTTAGATTTGTGCCTCACCCTTGATCTTAGTTCCATGCTGGTCTGAGTCTGGAGCCTCTCTGGTTCAGTTGTTCCAGTAATCCTCTGGCCTCTTGTGTTACGAGAGGCTAGTGGGCATGGTAGGGAAGTTGTCTCATGGATATTTAGTTAGAGGAGACCTGAGGGTGTAACCATCCTGTATGTTCAGATTTTCTAACAGCCCCCTTGTACCTTGCCCCCTGTGTTTTTAGATATGCTTGCCTTTCTTTAGTATTCCCCTCTCTAGGCATTTGTAGGTTGTAGCTTCCTCTTCTGATTTAGTTACCACTGCATTGCCTGCTTTTCATCATCAAAAAGTTTGTTGAAATTTCTAGTTGGTTATTTTTTTTTCTTTTTGTCCTTGTGGATTAAAGATTTTTCTTTTTTTCTTCCCTCACTGTCATTTTGTTTCTCTTTATGGGGGGAATATGGCAGACATTTGTATATGGTGAATTCATATTTAACTGGAGGTCATTGTAAACTTTCTGTGAAGCTTATAATACAAACTATATTAATATATAATAATGATTCTTAAATAGATGCCTATGTTGAATTAAGATTTATATTGAGTGGTAGTAGAAATCGTGTTATTTTCTAAGAGAAAGCTAGGTTGCTTTTTTAAAAAAAATTAAATTATATACAGCGTAGTATGTATAACCTTATAGAAAAATGTGTAACTTATAGAAAGGTAGTAAAACAAACATCAAGCCTAATAAATAGAGCATTCTAAAACCTTGAGGCCTTCCTTTGTGCACCCTCATCCTCTCTTCCCCATTTCTTCTAGGTAACTTGTATCAATAGTGTATTTTAAAGGTGAAAACTAGGAGTGAAACAGTAGTTTTGTATATTATTATTTGTAATGTTGTCTTAAAACCATTGCATCTAATATTTTATATCATAGTCTTGTAAATTTCCAAATTTACTGTAGCATTCTTCAAAGAGGAGGATTCCGTAGGAGAAGGTGGAGAGGAAAGTTTTGGAGACCTGAAAATATGTATAGGGTGAACGTGGTGGTTCACATCTGTAGTCCCAGCACTTTGGGAGGCTGAAGTGTGCAGATTGCTTGAGTGCAGGAGTTTGAGACCAGCCTGGGCGATATGACAAAAACCTGTGTCTACAAAAAAATACAAAAAGTAGCTGGCTGAGGCATGTGCCTGTGGCCCAGCTACTTGGGAGGCTGAGGTGGGAGGATCGCTTGAGCCAGGAGGTTGAGGCTGTAGTGAGCTGTGATGGCGCCACTGTACTCCAGCCTGAAGGACAGAGCATGGCCAATATATGTGCTCATAGATTTCAGTAAGTACATCTGGTGATGTTTGTGGAAGAAGGGACTTAAGTTAATTACCACAGTGATTTACCCGGGGTTAAGTCTTTTTTTTTGAGACTGAGTTTGCACTCCTGTCACCCAGGTTGGAGTACAATGGCGCTATCTCGGCTCACTGCAACCTCTGCCTCCTGGGTTCAAGTGATTCTCCACCCTCAGCCTCCCGAGTAGCTGGGATTACGGGTGTCTGCCACCATGCTTGGCCAATTTTTGTATTTTTAGTAGAGAAGGGATTTTGCCCTGTTGGCCAGGCTGGTCTCGAACTCATGACCTCAGGTGTTCCACCCACCTCAGCCTCCCAAAGTGCTGGGATTACAGGCATGAGCCACCGCCCCTGCCCTGGGTTAAGTCTTGAAAAGTGCTCAGGCTTATGTGTCAATGCTCTCATCCACGAAGAAGTTGAATCGTCAGAGTTATGAGAAAAGTCCAGCTTTTTGGCAAGACCATTAAAGTCTGTGTTACACCTTAAATGTTTTTGTCCTTTTTTTTTTTTTTTTTTTTGAGGTGGAGTCTTGCTCTGTCACCCAGGCTGGAGTGCAGTGGCACAATATTGGCTCACTGCAACCTCCACCTCCTGGGTTCAAGCCATTCTCCTGGCTCAGCTGCCCCAGTAGCTGGGATTACAGGTGCGCACCACCGTGCCCAGCTAATTTTTGTATTTTTAGTAGAGACGGGGTTTCACCATGTTGGCCAGGCTGGTCTCGAACTCCAGACGTCGTGATCCGCCCACCTCAGCCTCCCAAAGTGCTGGGATTACAGGCGTGAGCCACCGCACCCGGCCTTGTCCATTATTTTTTTGGATACATTTAAAAAACTCTTAGTAAAACATAAAAATAGTTATTCCTTTACTGGGCTTATAATAAGTATTCTTTGTGGCTATAGGTATTCTCTGCTAAATCTTGCAAACAAGCATTCTCCCTTACGCTCCCCTCCTCCTTCCTTTTGCCCGTTTGACCTTTGGTATCACATTTACTTAAAGCAAGGTTCTTATCCAGTCATTCTATCAATAAAAATGAGTGCTGATTTATATGCCAAATCAGCTGTGTTAAATGCTCACACATCATTTGGGAATGAAATAGAGTTTTTGCTTTTGTGAAATTACATTCTAGGCTGGGCACGGTGGCTCATGCCTGTAATCCCAGCACTTTGGGAGGCTGAGGCGGGCGGATGACAAGGTCAGGAGATCGAGACCATCCCGGCTAACACGGTGAAACCGCGTCTCTACTAAAAATACAAAAAATTAGCCGGGCGTGGTGGCGCGGGAGCCTGTAGTCCCAGCTACTTGGGAGGCTGAGGCAGGAGAATGGTGTGAACCTGGGAGGCGGAGCTTGCAGTGAGCCGACATTGTGCCACTGCACTCCAGCCTGGGTGACAGAGCAAGACTCCGTCTCAAAAAAAAAAAAAAAAAAAGAAATTACATTCTAGTACTCCTGTAACTATATGAAAAATAGTTTGGTTCTCTTGTACCTTTCCATATTTGAATTTTTATAGAGAGCAGATGTTTTAATAATTAGGAAGAACTTTATTTTGGGAAATGTTTTCTGGAATATGAATTAACAATGTTAAATGCATTGTTAAAGTTTAATAGTCATTTGTTGTATATATGCTTCCTAAAGGTAGTTTTTGGAGGAAGGAGATGTGGGAGGAGCAAGGAAAAGATATGAAAGAGTTATTGTAGGAAGTTTGATTGCTGGCTCACTGGAAAGTTTAGTGAGATGCCTGTGCCCATTGAGATTGACGACTGTGGATGTAAAATAACATCCATCTGCATGAGTGCATGCATTCTTTTCTCCTACAAAGTGGGAACTAGTTGAATGTGCCAGGCATGGAGGGACAATGGAATTTTGCAAAGAAATGTTTAGGGGCTAATGGATAGGGCATGACAACATCAATGAATTAGAGATCTTTGTGAATTGAATTCTTGAAATGAAGCAAGTAAGAAAAGGAGGTTGTAGTTGGAAAATGAAATGTTCGAGTTAGTGATTTTGAGGGTGGTGCAGGTTCTGCTGGAAATGTCTAAGATGTGGCCTCGGAAGTGGGTAGCTGAGGGTGGAAAGTAATGATGAGGAGTTAAGTTGGAGCCTGAATGGCCAAGGCAGGTACTAAAACTTTACTTCAGTGAATGACAGGATGACCTAGAAGATGGACTGTCCAGTACTATGGCCACTAGTTCTGTGTGGGTATTGAGAACTTGAAATATGGTTAGTCCTAATTAAGATTTGCTGTAAGTGTAAAACATACTGGATTTCGAAGACATAGTATGAAAAAAAGAATGGAAAATATCTCATTAATGATTGATATTGATTGCATGTTGAAATAATATTTTGTTTATTGGATTAAGTAAATATATATCATTAAAATTAATTTCACCTACTTGTAATTTTTTGAAATAGAGATGTGGCCTCACTATGTTGGCCAGGCTGGTCTTGAACTCCTGGGCTCAAGTGATTGTCCTACCTCAGCCTCTGAAAGCGTTGGGATTACAGGCATGAGCCACTGTGCCTGGCCTTTTTACTTTTTAAAATGTGGCTAGTAGCACATTTAAAATTACGTGTGTGTCTCAATATTTGCAGCTTACATTGTATTTCCTTTGAACAGCACTTTTCTAGAGATATTACTGCTCATAAGTAGAATGGGAATTAGGTGGGAGGACAATTGTAGGGGTTTGTAGAACCCAGTGGCAGAATCCTTTGGGAGAGGGAGTGGACATTGAGGCTTATTTTCATTGAGTTGCTGGTGCTTTCTCTTCTGCTGTTGTTTGTTCTTGGAATTAATGACCTTCTTTTCACCCCCGCCCCCCCGCCCCTACCTCCCTTCCCTCCATGGAGTGGCTAACCCCAGGGAGTTTGCTTCATTCTTTTTTTTTTTTTTTTTGACAGAGTCTCACTCTGTCGCCCAGGTTTAAGCAATTCTCTGCTTCAGCCTCCTGAGTAGCTGGGATTACAGGTGCATGCCACCATGCCTGGCTAATTTTTTGTATTTTTAGTAGAGACGGGGTTTCACCATGTTGGCCAGGCTGGTCTTGAACTCCTGACCTTGTGATCCACCTGCCTCGGCCTCCCAAAGTGCTGGGATTACAGGCGTGAGCCACTGCGCCTGGCCAGCTTCATTCTTTTGAGGAGAAAAATAATAAACGATAATAGAAAGCAGTACCAACAAAACAAATAACCATGTAAATCTAAGTAGTTAACAATGTATTCATAAGAGGAAGAGGTCACTTCTGGCTAAGCTTATTTCAGACTGGGCCTTAGAAGAGTTTTGGAAGTTGGTGGCCAGGCACAGTGGCTCACACCTGTAATCCCAGCACTTTGGGAGGCTGACGTGGGGCGGAACACTTGAGCCCTGGAGTTTGAGACCAGCCTGGCCAACTCTACAAAAAACAGAAATTAGCCATGGGGAGTGACGTCAATCTGTAGTCCCAGCTACTTGGGAGGCTGAGGTGGGAGGGCTGCTTGAGCCTGGGAGGTCAAGGCTGCAGTGAGCCATGATCATGCTACTGCATTCCAACCTGGGTGACAGAGTGAGACCCTGTCTTTAAAAAAAGAAAATTAAAAAAGGTGATTACTGGGATATTCTTTGAAGCAAGGGTAACAGCATGAGCAAAGGTAATGAGGAGAGAAAACATTGAGGTATGTTTGCGGAACAGCTACTAGATCCACATGTGGATATCTGTGTAAGAGAGTAATAAGAGTTAATGGGAAGTTGGCCGGGCGCAGTGGTTCATGCCTGTAATCCCAGCGCTTTGGGAGGCTGAGATGGGCGGATCATGAGGTCAGGAGATCGAGACCATCCTGGCTAACATGGTGAAACCCCGTCTCTACTAAAAATACAAAAAAAATTAGCTGGGCGTGGTGGCGGGCACCTGTAGTCCCAGCTACTCGGGAGTCTGAGGCAGGAGAATGGCGTGAACCCAGGAGGCGGAGCTTGCAGTGAGCTGAAATCAGGCCACTGCACTCCAGCCTGGGTGACAGAGCGAGACTCCATCTCAAAAAAAAAAAAAAAAAAAAAAAAAAAAAGAGTTATGGGAAGTTGGGGCCAGATTGTTATGAGAATTTTCCACATTGAAACTATGTATGGAGTCTGAAACTATGTTGAATGCTATAAAGGAAAGGGACAGAATTCTGTAAGAACATTAACTAGGAAACCTGACTGAGTTAGTGTACTCAAAGAAGTCTTCCCTATTTCTGAACCATCTGAACTACAGACTTCCTCCACATCCAAGTCTTTTCAAATCTTCTTAATGTTATGCCTTCCTTTCCTTCTCAGTTGTTACCGTCACTATTTCAGACTCTTGTAGTGTCAATTTTGTATTCATAAAACAGCCTCTAAATTGGTATCATATCTTACATCCCTTTTCAAATTATTTACTCTTCAATTAGATTTATTTTTTTATGTCCGTTTCCTCCCTTTAACATTTTCTGCAATTGAAAATGTTTTTACAACTTCTCATTCTTTGTAGGATTAAGTATAAACTTCAGTTTTGCCCTTAAAACTAAAAAATTATTGTTTGAACACTAGTTGCTGAGTTTGGATGCCAGTATGCTCAGTAGGCACTGGGTACATTTATATAATGTCCTTATTTGTGAGAGGTTATATGTATAATTTCTTTTTTTATTTTTTTGAGATGGAGTCTTGCTCTGTCGCCCAGGCTGGAGTGCAGTGGCGCAATCTCGGCCCACTGCAACCTCCGCCTCCTGGGTTCATGCCATTCTCCTGCCTCAGCCTCCTGAGTAGCTGGGACTACAGGTACCTGCCACCACGCCCGGCTCATTTTTTTGTATTTTTTAGTAGAGACGGGGTTTCACTGTATTAGCCAGGATGGTCTCGATCTCCTGACCTCGTGATCTACCCATCTCGGCCTCCCGAAGTGCTGGGATTACAGGTGTGAGCCACCGTGCCCGGCGAGGTTATATGTGTAATTTCTAATATATTTGCATTACCAATATGGTTTGTAATAATTGACAGGTGCCAAACCGTTGTTACTCATATTTATTAATGATGAACAAGACAGTCTCTATAGACAGAGCATGTATTTTGGTTAAGAATTGACAAGTAAACAGGGCCTCTCTACATATGGCATAAGAGCGGTAAACTGAGTTAAACAGGAGAGCACATAAAAGCGTAAATTTTTTTAATGTTAGGAGTGGATTAAGGAAAATATCCCAAAGGTTGTGACATCAAAATTGAGAACTTACTGATTTGGAGTTAGCTAGTAAAAGGCTGGGATAGGAGGGGGGAGAAGAGCTTCTCCTTGAAAGAACAGCATATATAAAAGTCCTGGAAGATGGAGAGTTGGTTAAAAGATTGGTTACGGTGGTCATGCTAAGGAGATGGGGCCTCTGAGTGCAGTAGGTGATCATGGAAAAGTTTAAGCACAAGCGTGACATCATTGGATTTATATTTTAGAATGATCACTGGCAATAGTGAGGAGAATGACTTGGAGAGGATAATATTGGAGGCAGGGAGAAAAGTTAAGAGTCTCTTGCAGACTCTGAATTAGAGTGGTAATAGGGACTAAGATATTTTAAGGTGTTAAGATTGACAGGACTTGGTAAATAGATTGGAGGTGAACAAGAAGATGGTGTAGCAGCTTCTGGCATTGACGGGTGATTAGGTGGATGGAAGGTTTGGAGAGAGTTGATGTGTTAGATTCGAATATGTTGAGTTGATGACTCTTGGGATATAAGGAGAGGTGTTTAGCAGATGTGGATTTGGAGTTTAGGAGACCAAGGTTAGGCTGGAAATAAAGATTTGGAAATTGTTAATTTAGAGATAGCGTTTTGAAGTTACGAGTGGATGAGATCACTCAGGAAGACTGAGCTGAGTGAAAGGATTACTTTAGACTTAGGATTCAGTGATATTGTTCTTCTTCTGTCATAGAGTTTATCTCTACTTTTTTTTCCTTTTTTAAAAATTAAATTTAAAAAAATTTTATTTTTAGACAGGGTCATGCTCTTCCGCCCAGGCTGGAGGCTTGATCTGCTGGGCTCAAGCCATCCTCCCACCTCAGCCTCCTGAGTAGCCTCCCAAAATGCTGGGATTACAGGAAGTAAAATAACTTTTATTTTTAAACTTTTAAGAACATTGGCTGCATTGAGTATTTGGAGAAGTACTCTGGAATTTGATTAGCTATATGTTCAAGGAATGGTATTAAGAATGAGTTTTCAGTAATTGTTCTTTTTGACTGATTATGATAAACCTCATATTTTATTTCACTTTCTAATGTCCACAAAAGATAAAAGACTTTTTTTATAAAACCATAACCACAGATCATTTCTTCTTTTGGCTAGTTTATGAATTGTCCTTTAGACATGGACAATTAAACTTTTTTTTTCTTTTTGACAGAGTAAGTTGTAGATAGATAAACTTTGTTTTTCTCTTTTTGTGCTTTTAAAAAAATTGCTTCTTATCTGGAACTTTAGCATTCCTTTTTTTTTTTCTTTTTGCTTTTTTGTTTAATGTTTTGGATATGTTAAAATGGATGCTAAAAAGTATAGTCTGTTTGGGTTTTTAGCCTCAGAGTTTTGTGAGTAGCTCATTTTCCTTTTCCATAAATTTCACGAAGAATGTGTAATATGTTTTCATGAGCCTCACCTTGAAAATGAATTTTTATGTACATTAATGGAATTTTTGAAAGAAAATAAAAACATTTTCTTTCTTTCTTTCTTTTTTTTTTTTTTTTTTTTTTTTTTGAGGCGGAGTCTCTCTTTTGCCCAGGCTGGAGCGAAGTGGCGTGATCTTGGCTCACTGCAACCTCCGCCCCCCCAGGTTCAAGCAATTCTCCTGCCTCAGCCTCCTGAGTAGCTGGAATTACAGGCACCCACCACCACACCTGGCTAATTTTTGTATTTTTAGTAGAGATGGAGTTTCACCATGCTGGCCAGGCTGGTCTCGAACTCCTGATCTCAGGTGATCCGCCCACCTCGGCCTCCCAAAGTGCTGGGATTACAGGCGTGAGCCACTGTGCCCAGCCAAAACATTTTCTTAAACTTGCTTTTGCTACTGTAGTAACTTTGTAAATTTTACTTTAAATCATAAAACTTAAATTTTAATCATAATAATCTGTTCTGAAGATAATGATCATAATGATCTGTAAGTTTTGTGGAAAGTTAGCAGTTTTACTTTACATAGACTAAAGGATGCTTTTGTTGTGAAATTATTTCTCTTATCTGTAACTAGTAGAATATTCAAGTGAAAGTCTTCCATTCTGTGTAGAAAAGAAAGGGTCGTTATTATTAATAGGCTTCTGATGGAATTTTAAAAAATATTTAGGCAAGCTGTCATTGCAAGACCTGAATAACTTTTTGCTGTAACCTATTTTTTTCTTTTTAATATTTCTCTGTGTAGTTTGTAAGGAATCATTCCTAGGGCTTTTTTTTTTTTTTTTAAGATGGAGTTTTACTCTGCTGCGCAGGCTGGAGTGCAATGATGCGATCTTGGCTCACTACAACCTCGGCCCCCCGGGGTTCAAGTGCTATTCCTGCCTCAGCCTCTCAAGTAGCTGGGATTACAGGTGCCCAGGACCGTGCCTGGTTCATTTTTATGTTTTTAGTGGAGATGGGGTTTTACCATGTTGGCCGGTCTGGTCTTGAACTCCTGACCTCAGGTGATCTGCCCGCTGCCGCCTCCCCAAAGTGTTGAGATTACAGGCGTGAGCCACCGCTCCTGGCCACCTAGGGCTTTTAGAACATTTGTGTACGTCTTTTTAAAAACTTGTTTCTGTCTAAAACTTATAAATCAGGACTGAAATATGATAACCTTAATTTTCTTGTGCACTCTGGAAGATGTTTATTTTTACCTTAAGATAGGGGAATCAGGCTGGGCGCGGTGGCTCACGAATGTAATCCTATCACTTTGGGAGGCCGAGGTGGGTGGATCATGTCAGGAGATTGAGACCATCCTGGCTGACACGGTGAAAGCGCGTCTTTACTAAAAATATAAAAGATTAGCCAGGCATGGTGGCATGCACCTGTAGTCCCAGCTACTCGGGAGGCTGAGGCAGGAGAATCACTTGAACCCAGGAGGCACAGGTTGCCAAGACTGCGCCACTGCACTCCAGCCTGGGCGACAGAGTGAGACTCTGTCTCAAAAAAAGAAAGAACAACAACAAAAAAGATTGGGGAATCCTAGGAGAAAAGAGTCATCTTAATCGCAAATAGTTGAATAATCTTCATTTGTAGCCTTAAATTTTATTGTTACTTGGAGGATAATCTCTTATGATATGCTCAGGGCCCTAGAGAGTTGACACTGTCATATTCCAAGTTCTTAAGGATGACTTGGGTGAATATTTAAGGGCACAATTCTCAGATTTTATATATGACACGGAACTGGAAAGGGTGTGTTAAGATTATAAAAGGAAGAGGAATTCATATCATCATCTGTTGGGCACTTACTTGGTGTCATTAACTATACTTGCATAGGGGATATGGAGATGAGTGTTTACCCTTGAAAAACTCAAAATCTATGGGAGGACATAAACTGGAAAATCAGTGTTTTACCACATTTCGTGATAATTGTACAATAGAGGGGTGTAGGATACAATTTTTCAAAAGGGGTTTGAAAGGCTGGAATGAAGAGCTGAAAAACATGAAGTTTAATGGCATGAAACATTACGTTCTACTTTTAAATTAAAAAAATTGTATTCGAGGATGAGGTGGTTTGACTTTATACTGTAGCCATTTATGTGAAAAAGATAGAATAAAGGTTTTAGTTAACATAAGCAACAGGATGATGTGGATGCAGCCCCCTCCCTGCTGAAATAAAAGAATAACACATACCATACATCCCCTCTTGTCCAAATAAAACAAACCTAAAACGTGAATGACTTGTTAGGTTATATTGGTAAAAATACCATGTTCATATTAAGAGGGATAGTAATACTGCTGTGTTGGAGACTAGTCACACCATATCTAGATTATTTCATTCACTTCTGAGTACTATGGACTGCAGAATGCTTGAGAATGATCAGGAGTGGGAAGGGGTCTAGCTAGTTGAAGGAAAAGAGTCCTTTTAACACATTTTAAGCATTTTAAGAGTCAATTTTGGTATACCAAGAGGACGAAATTTTAGAGCCATTGGGCGGACTTTAAAGGGAACTTTCAATTCCTAGAGCTTTTCGCTAATGTGGGCAGCTTTTAAAGGTTGTGAACTCTTAGAAGTGTTTTAGCAGAGGCTGGGGGCCCAGTCAAGAAAGTTGGAGTAAAACTTCATATATTAGATGGAGTTTTAGACAAGAAGATCTTTAAGTTCTGTTTTTGATACTCTGTTGCTGTTATTTCCAAAAACATTTTCATACTATGTGATAGTGTCTGTAGTTGTTATTACCATGTAGCATTGTGTGGACATTGGCATTTGCCTTTTGAGTCTGAGCTCCACTACTTGCTAGCTCTGTTACCTTCAGTAGGTTACTCCTGTTACTCGGAAATAGTTCAGTACCACCCCTCTAGGACTTTTCCTTAATCTCTATACTAGGACCCAGACTGAAGGCTGTAATTTAGACTCTTTAGTTTAGAAGATGCATTCTTGTCACTTTTTGTTTTGTTAATACGTGTTTCTTCTTTTAGGCTTTTCAGCTTTCTCTCAGATAGGGTATACTGTTCATTGTCTCTTGTCTTATCTGAAACTTAGATCATCTAATTGCAAATGCAGTGTTTTGTTTGTTTTTGGTAAGGGGACAGTTAGGAAAGAATAATCATCTTTTAGAATTTAATAGACTTAAAACTTCTTAAAGCCCTACTTAGTATTTTTAAATTCTAGATTTTATTTGAAAAGTGAATGATGATTGTTCTCATGATCAAGTACAGTACTAATTTTTAAAAGACCTACCTGTTTGTAGAATATTGAACATGGCCTGTAGTTTTTCTTTGCAGTATTTCTTGGTCCTGTCTCCTGTATTTCCACTGCACAGTTCCTTCTTACCTTACATGTAGATAAATCCTGCGTGTTGCCATGTCTTTTAGCCAGAAGGTTTATTTCTTAGTTTTTTTCTTATTTCAGCCATCCTATTGGTGGTTACTTCGGTAACTTCCTTAAGCACTATTTCAATTACATCTTTACTGCCTCTAAAATATGCATTTATTCCACTGCCTGCTCATGTTATACTGTATAAATTCCTTGACTGTCATTTAGTGCCCCCGTCACCCATTTCCTGTCCGTGTCTCAGTGTAACATATACTCAGCTCTGGCTGAGCTTGTGATAAGACATTGTATTAGTTATGAACTCTGGAATCAGGTCAGATTTGAGCCCTATCTCCATCATGTAGTTACTGTGTGATTTTAGATGTAATGTCAGTTTTCTTATCTATACAGTGAGAATAATAATGCTCTGTCTTGTAGGTTCATATGAGGATTAAATAAGATAATCATGCTTACTATAATTAGTATGTTACTGGTACATTATAAGTATTTAATACATATTATGTTTTGTCATTTTTAGTCTGTCAACCCATGTAAATGACGCTAAAAATTATGATTGAAAACATTTTTAATATAGAAAGATTTCACTAACTGTATGTATTGTATTTCCCCAACTGTAGAAGAGTAGAAGAATGAGAAGAAAATTTCATTTAATACAGTTACAATGTTGAATTTTGAAATTTTAAGGAATCTTTGAGAACCTCTAGTTAATCCCTCTTTTTTTTTTTTTTTCAAAGTGAGAAAACAGAACCTGTAAGATTGTAATTTGGTAAATTAGTGGCCAAGTCAGTACCAGAATCCAAATTCTGTATTTGCCAGTACCATTATATTGTATTGCACATTTATTCAGCATATTTTAGGTATTCAGTAACTTTTGAGAATTGAATTAATACGATGATTACGCATGTTTCTGAAGACTAGTTTATTTCTATGTGTTCATTGTTCCTGTCTTCTCTTCCTATACATACTCATTTAGGGCCTGTGCATTGATCCAAAAAGCATTTATTGAACATCTGTGTGCAGAGCAGCCTTTTTCTTAAATAAGAGCCATATTTTCCCACCTCTGCATAAGAAGTCTGGCAATGTGTTAGAAATTTGCACTCTAAATTTTAAAATTAAACTAAGCCCTTTAAAATTTTTTTTCCTTTTTTCTTTTTGAGACAGTGTCTCACTCTGTTGCCTAGACTGGAGTCCAGTGGTGTGATCACAGCTTACCACAGCCTCGAACTCCTGGGCTCAAGGGATCCTCCTGCTTCAGTCTCCTGAGTTCCTGGGTCTGTAGGTGTGTGCCACCAATGGGCCTGGCTAATTATTTTTTATTTTTTATTTTTAGTAGAGATGAGGTATTGCTGTATTGCCCAGGCTGGTCTCAAACTCCTGGGCTCAAGTGTTCCTCCTGCCTCAGCCTCCCACAGTGCTGGGATTACAGGTGTGAGCCACCACACCTGGCCTAAACTTTTTAGGAAAAATATTGTACTCCAATGTTATAACATTCTGAGTTGGATTTGTTATTTATTTTTTTGAGACAGAGTTTCGCTGTTGTTGCCCAGGCTGGAGTACAATGGTGCGATCTCAGCTCCCTGCAACCTTCACCTCCTGGGCTCAAGCGATTCTCCTGCCTCAGCCTCCCGAGTAGCTAGGATTACAGGCATGCACCACCATGCCCGGCTAATTTTGTATTTTTGGTAGAGATGGGGTTTCACCATGTTGGTCAGGCTGGTCTCAAACTCCTGACCTCAAGTGGTCTGCCTGTCTCAGCCTCCTAAAGTGCTGGGATTACAGGCCTGAGCCACTGCGCCTGGCTGGATTTGTTATTTTTAATGTTCAGGTTATCGTCCAGAAGGAGCTTTTTGAAGGATAGAAGTTTCATGAAATGTGGTAGTATATAAATAAGGATGATGTTTAAATTATCTATCAAAAATTAAAGCCATGGTGTACCATTTCAACAGTGTTTATACTTTGTTTAAAGAAGAATGGGATCTCTATTTATGTATAATTGCAATATTTTGTCATTTTGTGGGACCTCAATGCAGTCAATAAGATGGACCTGGAGAGGTGGAAGATAATTAACTAGAGGAGTAGGCACTACAGGTCATTTTCCGGTTGTCTTATGCTGCAAAATAGATAAAAGTTGAGAAATTGGGTGAAACAAGATTATGGAGAAGTATGTAACCAACCTGATTTGCTGCTTTGAATAGAAACTGTCTAACTAGGTTTTCTGGTTGAATGGGGCATTGTTGACAGATTGCTAATAGCTGCTTATTAACAATTTGTAATGAGAAGATTTAGAAATCATCCAAAAGTAAGCCCCATTGAATGAAGAATCTGACTTTGAAAATAATAAAATACTTTTGTTGTTGTGTGCAAGCTTTAATGTGTGCAGTTACAGAATTTGTGATTATGCATTTGCTTTTGTGGATGAAAGGCAAAAGTATAAATGAAATATTATGACATTATTAAATCCCTATTTTGTCTGTCTTTGGAATTCATTCTGGTTTACAATTCGTTATAAATTGATACCAGATAAAGACTCATAATATAGTCTGCTTAATGACTAATCCTGTAAACCACTGCAGTGGGATGTGTGAACAAGAGTAATTATGTTGTTCAACAAGAAGTACCTAATTCTTATCCACAGTGTAGATATAACCTTCAATAATGGAAGGTCACAGCTAATGAGACAATAAAACTGGCACTTTCTGTTTAGTTGCAAAAGCCTGTTTGCTTGTTGACGTTGTTTGAGTATTGTCTGTATTTATCTTTCTCAGAACATGGCCCCTGCCTCTGTGTAGTTGGGACAGAGTTTGCGTACATATATATCTGTGTTTTTGTAAAGTTTTACATATCTGAAAAGGGGATTGAATAAAATGTTATTGTCTTGAATGTATTGAACCTCCCATTCTGCACTACTCTGCCCTTAGAACACTAGAAGCCAGCCTTATACCACCAAAGCAGGAGATTGGGTTGTTCCTCTCTGTCAAAAGTGATCAGACAAAAGGAAGCAAAGGGAATCCAAACAAAATAGCCAGGTTATTGCCCAGTCATTCTAGATGAAGTACCCTGGTCTGCTCACTCACATAGATTTTCCCATCATCTTTTTAGTATCTTACTCTTAACTATGTATGCACAGCCCAGGATTGTCTCTCATTTAAGGAAAGCTTCAGGCATGAAAGGCAGATACCAGTGTAGGGAGAAGAAGAAAACAACATCAACACCCAATTTATATTCTCAAAAAAGAAAAATAACAAAATGTAGAGGAAAAAGAAAAGAGAAATGCAGAAAATTAAAAGAGTTCATGGAAATTAAAAATTTAATGTAAGCGTTAGGAGATAAAATTGAGGAAAATCCCAGAAGATAGAGCTAAAAGACAAGAGATGTAAAAATGCACAAGGAAAAAGAAAATAGAGTAAAGGAAAAATGAGATTATCAGTCTAGGAAGACCTGTGTCTGAATAATAAGTGTATAAGAAAGAGAACACAAAGACATGGAAGGAAGATTATTGTAAGAAAACTTCCCAGAACTGAAGGGGACATACATCTCTAAGTTTAAAAGGATCGACAGTTATCAGTTTATGCAATTAAAAAAAAAAAAGACCAACCCCAAGGCACAACATTGTAAAATTTCAGAACAGATTAAGAGAAGCTGCTATGATTCCAGATGGGGATATATAGTTGACTATGAAGGATTATGGGTCAGATTGGTACTAGGCTTCTTAACACTGGAAGCCAGAAAACAATAAGGAAAGGCCTTCAAAATCTTGACACAACATGATTTCCTGCCCAGCACTCTGTACTGAGCCAAACTCAGTCGTAAGGGTAAATGAAGATTTTAAAAATACAATGCAAGGAATAAAAACATCGTACCTCACATGCCCCCTTTCTCAGAAAGCTGCTAGAGGAAATACCCCACTAAAAAGAGAAAACCAAGAAAGGGGAAGTAGTGGCATAAGGAAACGGGATCCAGTATAAAAGAGAGACAAGGGAATTCCTGGGATAAGCTAAAGGGAAATTCCATGACCATAATTGTGCACCAGGCTTGGAGAGCCTACAGTCCAAATTGGAATATGGTGGAGGGCTACAGGAAAGAAAACTGATTTACCTGATGTATTTGAATATATTGAGAAGAAAGTTAATACTTTTAGCTGTTTGCAGATGAATTAGCAGTAGGTACCTAGAAACCTAAGCAAATGGAAAAATGGTGTAGTTATTAACTGTAAGGAAAGCAAAGTTATACAGAAAAGAGTAATCATGATGTACTTTTGGCTCAGCTGTGAATATTATTTACAGCCATAGTAATAATGTAAGTACTGACAATTGATTCAACCAAAAATTATGATAGAAAGATGAGGGAGAGAAGATGTAACAGAGCTAAACCATTATATTTTATAATAGGAAGTCAGTAGAGTCCTCAAAGAAAAAATTAAACAGCTGCATAGACCTACTACATAGAATATAGAGAAAAAAATGCCAGAAGAACTAGCTAAAAAGACTTGAAAGTGGTTGCCTCGGGGATTTGAAAATTGTGGGGTATGTTAAAGGGGGAAGGGACTGCTGTTTTTCTTGTAAAACTTTTTGGTTTTTTAAATTGTGTTCACGTCTGTCAGATTATGAAAATTAGTTTTAAGAGGTTGCTCCTTACAGAATGCTCTTGCATTCAAAATATATACAGTTCTGAGGCATTCTAAATCCCCTAGGATTCTGAGATCTCTATCAATTGAGGACGTAGAGTCAGCAGAATGCTACAAAATTGCTGAGGAAGTAATGATTTCTAATAGTAGTAGTGGTTGATGCAATCCTTAGTTGTAAATATTTATTTTGTTGTGCTAACAAATGGAGATTTTTAAACACCTTAAATGCAGATTAAAATATATTTCATTTCAACAACTCAGATGTGTTAGTGTTTAGTTTTCCTCAGTGTTGTCAACACTTTTCATTGTGAATTGACTGCTTTATGCTTCTTTGCAGCTTTTCTGTTGAAAGATGCTTCAGTGTTTCCCGCCCCCTTCTTTTATTTCATTTTAAAAAATACTGCATGCTTATCACAGTCCTTAAGAGTATGCAACAGCTGTTCCAATAATAGCAATAGATAGCACCTGATTTTTCATTATACCTGATTATAAGTTGCAATGGTTAATTTGAATCCACATTCTTTTCTTATCTTAATCGCCAGTTTTTAAAAGCCAAAATGTTGAAGCTTGAAATGGAGATTGAGTTAAATAAATTAATCTTCAAATAGGTTTTTCTGTTATCCAATTAAAGGCATGTGGTTCGTTTCCTCTTAATGTCAACATATTATAGCATGAAAGAAAGTACATTTGGAGTAGAACCAGTTGCATGACATTCAACACGTTTCTTAACCTTGCTAAGTCTTATTTTCCCACCTGAAAAGTGAGAACAGTACCTGCCTGATAATTATGACAATTGATGATGAATCCTGTAAAAAAAAAAAAAAACACCCAGTTACTCAGGAGGCCGAGGCAGGATCACTTGAGCCTAGGTGTTTGAGAACAGTCTGGGCAACATAGCAAGACCCTATCTCTTAAATAACAAACAAAACTAAAAAGCTTGGCTTGCTGATAGCAGCTACTATTTGAGTACCTACTATGTACCAAGTATTGTTATTGCTGCTGCTACTCTTTGTTTCAGAGAGAGACAAAAAATGTAATTGAGGGCGCTCAAGTTTATTGTTGTGTCATAAACTTTTTTGGACCATCAAGCAAGAGATTTTATGAGAAATGTCAACATATTCTTCTACAAAAATAGGAAAATGATACATCTGCATTGCATCTGAATCTTTGTACCTATGGAATAAAGACAAAAGCTGTCATCAATGCAGAGTTTACAGTAGTCACTGAATTTTGCTGGTTTGTTTTTGATTTAGGAGAATGGAGTTGAAATAGTTCTCTTCAAAATTTGTACTTTTTTTTTCTGTAAAATGCAGTACATTTGACCCATGCCAACTTAAATTTATTTTTAACCTCTAATCCTTGAAGTTTCATGTTATTTATTTAAAAGCAGTTTACTTATTAATAGTACATTTCAGTTTGAAGTCCCTGTTCCTTTTTAAATAATAAAAGTCTTTAGAAGTATTTTGTACTCTTTTGGTGAGTAGGGAGAAATTGATATCCTGCTGATATTATAGTTAGTAATTGTTTACAATCTTTGATAACATTAAAAAGAGAAAACATTTCTAAGATTTGGGTGGAATTTGTTAAGGTTTACGTTATATCTTTGCATGCCTCTACAGAACATGAATTTGAGCATTTATTTGGATAAGTTATCGCTGTAGATGCTACCTCCCACCCTTTCTTCTGGTGTCCTTTCTTACTTGTTTATTTGTTCGTTCATTCATTCACTCATTGATTATGCAGGCATTTGAAGAGTTTCCACTGTTGTCAGGCCCTAGTTGTAGATGCTGAGGGTAATATGGTTGTGTACCATGGAGAACCCTGGTTTGCTTATAGAATCACTTGTGTAAACAGAAAATTACAATAAAGCAAAATAAATGCTAAAATACAGATGCGAAAAGTGGCCTTTGTAAAAATAGTGAGAGTAAAGATCATCCTACCAAGGCTAATGGCCAAAGGCTAACAAAAGCTGGACCTTGAGGAAAGAGTTTTCCAAGCCAGAGAAGTAAAGGAAGGACTCATATTTCTTTGATTAACCAGCTATATTGCTTATAAAGCTCTTTATATACTTTTCTCCTCAGTATTTTATTTTTTGCTTAATGGTTTTGCCACCTGCAAAGAACCCTTAGAGAATTGGCTGGGGTTATCATTGTGAGTGGTGGTGAGTTAGGGAAGGCAGCATAAGCATAGCTTTTGTGTATTTGGTATGAGGTGAAGGAATTAGTTGGAGAAATAGAGAGCAAATGGTAAGCTTACATGTGTCTTTTTATCCTAATACTCCCTGTCAGTGGTGATGCAATCTTTTAGGATTCTGCTAATAGCTGTGTGATCTTGGGTAAGTGATTTCTTCTCTTTGGATTCCATTTTCCACCACTTTAAAATGGGAGGATTGGTATAGATGGTCATTTCCTATTAGTAGGTGGGGAAAAAGGAGAAAGGGGGACTAAATAAGTTTGCGAACATAGGTAAACAAAGTTAAATAGATTACTGCAGCCTCATGCATTATGGCATATGAATTGGGTTGCTGGACTTCTAGCTTGGCCTTGCAAGTTAAGTGAGAGTCAGTAATATGAGTCCAGCTCTGTCTTTTTCCTAATGGTTTAGTGGAAAGAGCATGGGCTTTAGAATCAGACATATCTGGGTTTGAATCCTGACTACTCCTTAGTAGCTTTATGGCTTTATAAGTTATCTAACCTTTCTGAACTTGTCTCCTCATGTATAAATCAGGCAGGATAATACCTTGCGGAGTTGTAAAGATAATGACATTCCATGTGAAAATATCAAATAGAATATCTGATATATAATTGGTCAAAAAAGGTGTAACTTAAGTCTACAAATTCCAGAGTTAGTACAGAATGTAAGTAACACTTGATAATAGCTATTGATATCCTGCCTACATCTGGTGTTTGAGATGGACTGTTTGTTGTTTCATATATACTTATAATTCTTCCCCAAGAAAACAAAATATTCTTGAGAGCACATCATTACGTTTTGCCATCTACATAGCACTCGACATTCTCCTGGAGACTCAGTAAGTGCTTGATAAATACCTGACAGTTTCATCAAAACAGTGGAATAAAGTGAGGTGTGGTTTTCCCTGGTGTATACTTTATCCTATATTTCTTATAACCAAGGGTAGAAGTCAATGAATTTATGAATATTAATTTTAAATTTCTTTGGTTACTTAACGTTAAATGATTAAATTTGAAGTTTGAAATAATAGGATTATAAGTGAGCTGGCCTTTATTTGCTTAAGTAAACCATAAGAAGGGGGTTATAATAAAGTGTCATTTAATAGTGTAAATTATATTATTGGAATACTAATGTTTTACATTTTGTTTTTTCTCTAAGCAAATGGTTATGAGCCTTAGAGTTTCTGAACTCCAAGTACTGTTGGGCTACGCCGGGAGAAACAAGCACGGACGCAAACACGAACTTCTCACAAAAGCCCTGCATTTGCTAAAGGCTGGCTGTAGTCCTGCTGTGCAAATGAAAATTAAGGAACTCTATAGGCGGCGGTTCCCACAGAAAATCATGACGCCTGCAGACTTGTCCATCCCCAACGTACATTCAAGTCCTATGCCAGCAACTTTGTCTCCATCTACCATTCCACAACTCACTTACGATGGTCACCCTGCATCATCGCCATTACTCCCTGTTTCTCTTCTGGGACCTAAACATGAACTGGAACTCCCACATCTTACATCAGCTCTTCACCCAGTCCATCCGGATATAAAACTTCAAAAATTACCATTTTATGATTTACTGGATGAACTGATAAAACCCACCAGTCTAGGTAAGATTATTGTATGATAGTATTTGGTTACTTTTGCAGGATGAATTTTCGTTTTAGGCTTTTACTTTGACCCAGTTTATTATTCATAATGAAATTTTCATTTGATAGTAACAGCTGGATAATAATGAAGATCTTTCAAATTTAGATAAAATCAAATATATAAAAGCTGTCTTTCAGGAAAAAAGGTAGTATAGTGATGGTTACTGACAAAGTAAATATTAAAAAGTTTCAAGAATATAAACTTCCAAAGAGTAGTATTTTAGAAGGTTGATTAATATTTTATAATATCTCATAAATTAAATTAAAACCAAATGAATCACTACAAGTCTCTGATTAGTTCTTAATTTTCAGGGGTTGATGATCTCTAAAACAAATCACTGACTAGTTTTGATTATTTAAATGAGTGAATGGTTTTAATGATCATAAAAGGAGACTTGAGCTTTGATGTATGCTAGTTAAATTTCAGCTGATTTTTTTCAAGTGGAGAAGTGCATGCTTTACAGGCATGCACATGCACATGCACACTCATGATTACGGTTATATAATATAAGTGCTTGAAATTTATTTTACTGTGTTGTTCCATCATTTGATTTGTAGTCTAGCATATAGAATTCAATATATTAATCAACTTGTAATTTTAATTGCTATAATGCTACCTTATTTATTTAACGTAGAATAAAACTCAACTGTTGTGACCTCTGATGCCTTTGGTATAATATATTTAAAATATCAGACTTCTAAATGCTGGTTTGTTGGCATACTACGGCTGGCAAGCTAAGTCCAGTCTGTGGCCTGTTTTTATGTGGTTCTGAGCTAAGAAATCTGAAAAATATTCCCAAAGAGTTATTAACAAAAAAGGAAAGAAACAAAAACAAAGAATGTGTAACGGAGACCATGTGTGCCTGTAAAGCACAAAATATTTACCCGTATAGTAAAAGCTTGTGAATCCCTGTTACAGATCATTGAACATTTCAGTTTGGGGGACTGGCAAGTGTTGAGAACATTTTTTGCGAATTTTTGAGAACATTTTGAAAATGTTTACTGAAATTCTATCTTTGAAATATGAAGTGTTTGTTTTTAATTATATTTAGCAGAAATTATCTGAATACACGAAGATTATAGGAGTCATTTTCAAACAACGTGAGTTTTGTATCACATTATTTTATTTTTTAAGTGGCCATAATAAGAAAACATTTTTTGAGAATCTACTGTATGCTTATAAAACTGACACATGCTCATTGTAAAAAATGGAATTGCCAAAGTTCCTTCCTTGTTAGCTGTTTAGTGTGTATGCATATATAGTATAAGCAAATTGTTTCTTGTTTTTTACAGAAGGAATCATATACATAGTATTGTATAACTTCCCTTTTTTCCCCTTAATAATATATCATATGCATCTTTTCTTGTCTGTCTGATTATGTGTGTGTATATATATATATATATATATATATCCCATTTTAAATTAAAGGCCATATCTGTATCTATCCATATCTCTGTATATGGTCTGTGTACATGTATGTATGTGTACATATGTGTTATGTATTGATCAGTTGATGAAAACGTTGTGACCAGGGGCTTGCAGGAACCTAACCCTATACTTCCCCTGGTAGCAGTGATTATATATTCGCAAATTCAGTGTTTGTGGTGATTTTATGAACATAAATGTCACAAATAGCAATAATTGACTATATTTGAAGTATGATTTGAATGCCAGTTTTCATGAATAAATCTGCTGTTTGTGGTATGTATTCACAGAAAGTCACCAAATGAATAGGTGGTATAGAATTGCTTAGTGATATGTAAATAGATTTTCAGTATCTCATCGTTATAGAATTAAAAACAAACCAATTTAATATGCATAAAAAGATCTCACCACAAAGTAATTTGTGGAAGTTTATTGGCTCAATAAATATTTGTTGAAGGGCAATGCTTATTGAATGTGAAAAATATTTATTGAAAAAAGATTTTATGTAATTAGTCTTCAGGGTGTAGGATGAGTATATTTTAAGGCTCTGTTTTTATAAATTCTTTAACATTATTAAGACTTTTTCTGTACTTCATTAAATGAAGTGGCTACATTTGTCACATAACTTAGTTTCCTAAATGATTATTTTTGCCGGTAGTTCATTTGTTTTAAATCTAAGAAAACCACGTTTTCTGGAAAATTAAATAGCTTCCAGCATTCTCTTCATTTCTAAACGTACATACATTTAAAATCAAGTTTTTGAGAACATAGTTTCGAACACCAGCTGGCTAGTTGATCACAACTATCACTGAGTCCAGAATGGGACAGGCACATTTACTTTTTCATTTTTTCCCTTCCATTGTGGCCTTAAGCACTAGATTTAAACAGATTTTAAGATGTTCAAATGTAAACTGAATGTTTTTATGCATGGTTTTGTATTTCTAACTAAAATGGAAGACAGTAGTTCTGATAATTCCCATTTTATTAGGTAATTCTCATTCATTCTTACGATCATTTTGTTATTTCTTTAAAACAATTTAAAATAATTTTAAGGCCTTTATTTTGGAGCCATAATTAAAGTATTCTTTTCATTGTCCATAATTAACTGTAAGAATTGAGAGGTGAAGTAAAAGGTGGTTGTAAAGTAAGATGTTTAATTTATTGTTTACTTTGGCCTCTCATTATCTCAATTCTGTTTGTTTCTATGAGGCTTATTTCAAATGCTTTTTTTCTTTAACCTTTTTCATTTATCTTTCTAGGCTGTCCTCCTTTCATCTGTACATTTCTTCCCCAGCCAGAATCAATTTCACTTTCCCTGCATGCTCTCATAACATTTATTTTTTATTTTTATTTTTTTGAGACAGAGCCCCATTCTGTAGCCCAGGCTGGAGTGCAGTGGCACAATCTAGGCTCACTGCAACCTCCGCCCCACTGGGTTCAAGTGATTTTCATGCTTCATCCTCCCAAGTGGCTGAGACTTACAGGCACGTGCCACCATGCCCGACTAATTTTGTATTTTTAGTAGAGATAGGGTTTCACCATGTTGGCCAGGGTGGTCTTGAGCTCCTGACCTCAGTTGATCCGCCCACCTCGGCCTCCCAAAGTGCTGGGATTACAGGTGTGAGCCACTGCACCCGGCCTCATAACATTTATTTTTTAAATTTTATTTTATTTTATTATTTGAGACAGGGTCTTGCTCTGTTGCCCAGGCTGGAGTGCACTGGCACAATCTCAGCTCACTGCAACCTCTGTCTTTCCGGCTGAAGCAGTTCTGCCACCTCAGCCTCCCCAGTAGCTCAGACTACAGACACGTGCCACCATGACTGGCTAATTTTAGTATTTTTAGTAGAGTCAGGGTCTCATCATGTCAGCCAGGCTGGTCTCGAACTCCTGGACTCAAGTGATCTTCCCACCTTGGCCTCCCAAAGTGCTAGGATTACAGGCGTCAGCCACCACACCCAACTTAAATTGTATTTAATAATAATAATAATTATTATTATTTTTTGAGACAGGGTTTCGCTCTGTCATCCAGGCTGGAATGTGGCGGCGAGATCTTGGTTTGCTGTGGCCTTAACCTCCCTGGCTCATGCAATTTTCCCAACTCAGCCTCCCAAGTAGTTGAGACCACAGGCATGCACCACCACACCTGGCTGATTTTTGTTTTTATGTTTTGTAGAGTTGAGGTCTCATTATGTTGCCCAGGCTGTCCTAACATTTAATTTACCCTTTATTAAATGTTTTTGTTTTGTTCCTCAAAATGATAAGGCTTCTGAGGCATTTATCTATAAATCCCTATAATAGCTAGATATGAACCTGTTACATGGTAGTTCAGTAAACATTTATTAGCTCTCCAACTCGTTTTAATGCAGTAGATGGAATCTTTTATTTCATTTTAATTCAGTGGATTTTAACCATTTTACCTTGCAAACACAACTGAGCCATACCACACTCTGTAATTACAAACAGTGGCTATGATAGGGATGGGAAATAGAGTAGGGAAGAATGGTATTCTTCCTCTTATTGCCCTATCCTGTCATCTCTGAGGTTAATTGATGTCTTTGAAATTTAATATACTCCATTTAAAAAAAATTTTCCCTAATTACAAAAATGTTATGTTTAATGTAGAATCCATAGAAATTATAATTACTTGCTTACTTTACAGATAAACTTTTAAAATACTTCTGTGGTATTCTTTTTGTTAGTCATTTACGGGTGTGTGTGTGTGTGTGTGTGTGTGTGTGTGTGTGTATTTCTGGTTTCATTTTGAAGGAGAGGAGAACCTCACTAGCTCACGTAACCTGGCAGCCGCATGTATTATTGATCCATATAAATAATGGAAGAAAATTTTAATCTTGATAGGATGTTGAGCACATGTGTTAAGGGGTACTTTGTTTGAAATACCTTATTGCTTAGTGTGCCAATATTGGTGTTGATGAGGTGTGAAATTTACATAATTATGAAAATAAAAGGAAAAATAATTTTGGATTAAAATATCTTGTCCATTCAGGGACAAGATAATTATTTGATATTTCCTCTCAATCCTTTAATATTGTTTTGTTTAGAATAATACCTGTATCATTCAAAATAGTTTATAATATTGTTTATAGTTATTGTTTAAATTGGCTTTGTTAGAACATAATGGCAAAAACACAGAATACTTTCATGGTAAATAAAATAATAGTTCTTTAGGATACAGTATTTGATTTGATTCAGACTTAAGTATAAACAAATCTATTAATAGATTTATATTTGTTACTAGTTTAGCTATTTATATCTTCCTTGACTCAGGTAAATTTTCAAATAGAAAATACATTTTTAATATAGTGCTTTTAAATATTTTTAATATTTTTAATTATTTCAAAGGCCAACATGTATAGAACAGAGAGCTTTGCATTCATTTGGACTACAGATACTCCTCTGGTTATGTCCCAATAAATCCATCATAAATTGAAAATATCCAAAGTCAGAAATGCACTTAATACACTTAACCTACCAAACATGATAGGTTAGCTTAACCTACCTTAAATGTGTCTAAAACACTTACATTAGCTGACATAACATCTAACACAAGTCCTGTTTTATAATTAAGTATTGAATAGCTCATGTAATTTATTGAATATCGTACTGAAGTGAAAAACAGAATGGTTTTGTTACCAACAGAATGGTTGTGTAGGTACTCGAAGTAATTTCTACTGAATACCTATTGTTTTCTTACCACCATGAAGTTGGAAAATTGTTAAGTCGAGCCATCTGTAGTCATATAAAAGTATGGTGACTCATCTTGTTTGCTTTATATGAGATTGAAGTCAAATTTTACCTTCTCAGGGGATGTCTTTTCAAGTTTTTAAATATCTCAGGCAATATATCTGAATAAGTTCACATCATATGTCTTTATTGATTAGAGATTTCTCATTGATTGGTATGAGGCATAATAATTATTGACTATGAGTGTTACTTATTTTTTTTCTTTTTTTTTCCGAGATGGTCTCGCTGTATTGCCCAGGCTGGAGTGCAGTGGCACATTCTTGGCTCACTGCAACCTCCGCTTCCTGGCTCAAGCGATCCTCCCACCTCGCCTCCTGAGTAGCTGGGACGACAGGCAGGAGCAACCATGCCTGGCTCATTTTTGCATTTTTTGTAGAGACGGAGTTTTGTCATGTTGGCCAGGCTTGTCTTGAACTTCTGATCTCAAAGCAGTCCGCTCACCTCAGCCTCTCAAAGTGCTAGGATTACAGGTGTGAGCCACCGCACCCAGCTGACTATGAGTGTTATTTCTAATGTTCTAATTCAATGTTCTTCTACTTGATTACTGAAGGATAGAATATCTCCTTGCTGTGGTCTGAATGTGTCCCTCACAAATTCAAATGTTGAAACCTAATTCCCAATGCAATAGTGTTAAGAGGTGGGGCCTTTAGCAGGTGATTAGGTAATGAGGGCGTGGCCCTTATGGATGAGATTAATGCCTCTTATAAAAGAGGCTCCAAGGAGCTTGTTTGCCCCCTTTCATTTGCCCCCTTTCACCCTGTGAGGACACAGCTAAAAGGTGCTGTCTATGAGGAATAGGCCTCACCAGACACAAAATCTGCAGATGCCTTGATCTTGGACTTCCCAGCTTCCAGAACTGTGAGAAATAAATTTCTGTTGTTTATAAATTATCCAGTCTGAGGTATTTTGTTATAGCTGCCCAAATGGATTAAGATACTCCTTTTAGCCAATCTAGTTGAAACCAGTAGTGAATTGATAAAAAGTGATACATAAGTTAAACATCTTACTTTAATGTATATTTATTTGCCAATCTTTTGATGTTGGTCAAGGCCTTTTCTTTGACAGTGATGACTTCGCAGTTTTAGATTATTTTAGCAAGAAGACTTAAAGGCTTTTATGAAGATATTTGAGTATAGAATCTGTTGCGAATGGGGAAAAATCTTTTATAGTTGGCTTCATTGGCATTTTTTAAATAGCAACTTGGCTTTATCAGGTCTTTCCCAGAGCATTTAACTTAGTTTTCATGAAAACAGCAACTTTCTTTTTAGACTTACATTTTAGCAGCTTTTGTAATATTTAATTCAGTTTTGTAATTACAATTACAAGTGCAACTAACATAAGCAAGTTTGAGAATAAACCTCTGGTTCTTGGTAAGCATACCACATGGTGTGAGCAGAATTGTGCGGAAGCACTGTAGAGTTGTCTACTGGCCACAGGCAGTTAGCTTGGTAGGGCATTGGTCTGGATGTTCTATAAAGGGAATGGAGAGCATCAGTTAATCATAATATCAGTTAAGAGGGCTTCTACTGAATTTCTTTTGCGCCATTCTTCTTAAACTCCCCAAAGGCATTGAAATTAGAAGTTCATTTTCTTGCCTGAGAATAATTTAAGTGGTTTATTTTGTGGGGGAACAACATGGATCATAATTGTGGTTGAGTTTTAAAAGAAATCATTTAGCTCCCTTTACCCCTTTGAGAGGGTTATAATGGGGGGAAGGATTGGGAAAAGTAGAGAAGCAAATTATGTTTTTTATCATACAGTTGTATGTTTTCTTTTCTCATCAAGCACAGTGACAGTAAATAATGAGTATAAAAATGAAATAATTTCCTAGTCATTTTTTCTTGTCTGTTTTTTCACCAAAAATTATTTAAAATTTTGAAATTATCTGTAAAGATCACTGCCTTTTCTTGGTCCTCCTAAATTCTGAAAGTATTCTAATATTGTTTAGAAAGTGTTTGGACGCTACAGACTGAAGAATCTGAAACATTGAGAAACACTTAAATTGACCACATGGGTGTCCTTCAATTTGTGATTAAACAAACTGTGTTTTATTTTTTTCATTTTTAAGCCTGGGAAGGTGGCTTCTATTTAAATTTTGATGTTTATGAAACAATCTTTTCCATTAAACACCAAGAATGTCTATTTTCTGGGCTATATATATATTTGAATTTTCCTGTGCTTTTTTAAAGGTACAGTTGTTCTTACTTGACATGGGATAGTATACCAATAATTCTGGAGAAGACCGGCAACCTAGATGTGCTGGGCGTATAGTCTTAGTATTTAAGAAAACTAGATTGACCCTTTTTCCTATTTAAAGTAGAATATTTCTTTGGAGATATTTACACCTCTTTTAGGCTTGAGAAGATGTAGAAATAATTTATAGAAAATATTTGAAATATATATATATTTATATAAACTTGGGTTTTGCTCTAGGCAAAAAGGGAACAGATGCTTTAACACTCCTAAATAGTTAAAATGATCCATCAGGTTTTGTGCAGTGTGGGTAAGGTTTCTGCTACATCTTAATAACATTGGTTACCAGTGTTTTCTGCCAAGGGCTCCTCTGACATTGGATTATATTTCACAGTTTTCTTCTTTTCTCATTTTTTATAATTGAGTTTTCCTTTTTCCACATTCTTAATATCCAGTGCCTGGAGATCAGGTGATACAAATTCAAGGACGCAGGCTCTGATAACTATTAGAAAGGGCATTCAAAGGTTTTATGATTCATTCTACTCTACTTTTAGATAATTCAGCATAAACTGTGCTCCTCTATACTTGAATTTTGGGAAATCAAGAGCACTAATTTTTCTGTAGGTGGGTTTCTTTGGAAATTTTTCTCCCTAATTGGCAGCACTGGTTTCTGACCTTCAAAATGAAGTCTAACACTTACCTGCTAAGTCGTACATTCCTTTATAGATAATATTCTGTCTTTTTATCTGGTGATTTTAATGTAATAGTCGTGTTTGTATAGTTGTCCAGAATTCCCCAAGGCATCCAGTATTTTTGATAAATGGATGTCTGTGTACTTGAGTGTGATCTTGGGAACTAAGAATGATTGGCTTTTTTGGGTTTGGAAAGGAATCTTAACCATTAGAATCAGTGAAAGAACCACTCTATACAATTATAATTATGAAATAATTTTTTTTAATTGAGAGATTAAGGAGCCAAACACTTAGGGTCAGAAGTAAGTACAGTTTATCAAAGAAATCCAACATTTAAGATCTTACTGGGATCGAATTTAAAGATCAGACATCTAGTATAATACTGTATAGTGTTTGAAATGCAGCATTTCAGAATTTAACAGCGAATTCTGCCGTGCTTCGCTCAGCCTCCTGTGCACAAATTGGGTTGCCATGAGTTTGCATGGCAGCCAGCTGGAGGACTTGGTTGTGGTAATCATGGGGCATGTGGTCATCATGGGGTAGATAGGATAATGTAACAAAAGGGAGAATCTAATTTTGGCGATCATTTCTTTCTTTCTTTTAAAAAAAAGACGTTTTGTTGACACATAGCTGGGTGTTTGGAAAATAATTTTAAGACATTCTTTTTTTTTTTTTTTTTTCTGGAGATGGAGTCTCGCTCTGTCACCCAGGTTGGAGTGCAGTGGCATGATCTCGGCTCACTGCAACTTCTGCCTCCCGGGTTCAAGCAATTCTCCTGCCTCAGCCTCCCAAGTAGCTGGGACTACAGGTGCCCACTGCCACGCCTGGCTCATTTTTTGTATTTTCGTAGAGACAGGGTTTCATCATGTTGCCCAGGCTGGTCCCAAAATCTTGAGCTCAGGCAGTCTGCCCACCTCGGCCTCCCAAAGTGCTGGGATTACAAGCGTGAGCCACCACGCCTGGCCCATTCTTTTTCTTCATTCCTGACAGTGCTTGCAGCAGACCCCAATAGCTCTGGGCAGAGATTAGTTATTGTAATTCTTTGGCACTACTCTTGGCTAAATTTATTAAAACTGAAATGTAAATAAGCTTTAGATGTGCCAAAGATGGAGATATTACAGTACAAAAGAAACCGAATGTTGGATGTAGTATTATAATTAAATCACTTTAAGATAGGTAAAAATAAAAAGCCTGAATTGTTGAAAAAACAAATAAATTAGTTTATTATCTCTATATGTCCTTTCAAGATAATCTGCAGTTCCTAGAATTTTATTTAAATGTTTATTTTGAAACTATATGTTTGAATAAAAACTGAAGACTGTCCTTTTTCCATTGTGTGGTTTTGACAGCCTTGTCAGAGATCATTTGGCTATGTATGTGTGAGGGTTTGTTTCTGGGCTCACTATTCTGTTCCATTGGTCTGTATGTCTTTATGTCAAGACCACACTGTTTTGATTACTGTAGCTTTGTAATACGTTTTGAAATAAGGAAGTGTGAGGCTTGCAGTTTTGTTCTTTTTCAAGATTGTTTTTGCTTTTGGGAGTCCCTTGAGATTTTATATCAACTTTAGGATTTTTTTTTTTTTTACTATTTTTGCAAAAGATACCATTGAGATTTTGATAAAGATTACATTAAATCTGTAGATTGCTTTGAGTATTATGGACATTTAAACAATATTGTTTTTGATTCATGAGCATTATCCTTTTTTTTATATTTTTAATTTCTTTCAGAAATGTTTTGTAGTTTTCAGTGTACATGTCTTTTGCCTCTTTGGTCAAGTTTATTCCTAAGTATTTTATCCTTCTTGATGCTACTGAAAATTGAATTGTTAAGTTCCTTTTCAGTGTGTTCATTGTTTGTGTATGGAAACAGGACTCATTTTTTGTGTGTCGATTTTGTATCCTGCAGTTTTCCTGTTTGTTTCTTAGTTCTAATATTTTTTTTCTTTTGCATGAAACTTTTAGAGTTTTCTACATACGTCATGTCATCTGTGAACAGAGATTAATTTTACTTCTTTTTAAATTTGAATGCCTTTCATTTTTTTGTGTGTGTGTAATTGCTCTGGCTAGTACTTCTAGTACTATGTTGAGTAGAAGTGGCAAGAATTGCCTTGTTCCTGATCTTAGAGGAAAAGCTTTCAGTCATTCACCATTGAATGTGATGTTAGTGGTGGGTTTTTCATATATGGTCTTCATTATGTTGAGATAGTTTCCTTCCATTCCTAGTTGAGTGTTTTTTATCATGAAATGTTGTTGAAACTTGTCAAATGTCTTTTCTACATCCATTCAGATGATCATGTAGTTTTTTTCATTCTGTTAATGTGGTGTATTATATTGAATTTCATACACTGAACCATCCTTGCATTCCAGGAATAAACCCCACTTGATCATTATGTAAAACCCTTTTCATATGCTATTGAATTTGAAGTGTAGATATTCTTTTCTTGTTCCTTAAGAAAAGCATCTTGTCTTTCACCATTAAGTATAATGTTAGCTGTGGATTCTTTCATAGATGCCCTTCCTGTTGAGTTTTTTAATTATAAAAGCATGTTGTAATTAATTAATTAATTTATTTATTTATTTTTGAGACGGAGTTTTACTCTTGTCACCCAGGCTGGAGTGCAATGGCATGATCTCAGTTCACTGCAACCTCTGCCTCCTCAGTTCAAGTGATTCTTCTGCCTCAGCCTCCCAAGTAGCTGGGACTACAGGCACGCACCACCACGCCCATCTAATTTTTGTATTTTTATTAAATGCGGGGTTTCCCCACATTGGCCAGGCTGGTGTCGAACTCCTGAGCTCAGGTGATCTACCTGCCTCGGCCTCCCAAAGTGCTGGGATTACAGGTGTGAGCCACCGTGCCCAGCCTGCATGTTGTAATTTATTAAATGCTTTTTCAACATCTGATGAGATGATTGTATAGTTTTTCCCATTATTCTATTAATATGGTGTCTAACACTGATTGCTTTTCATATATTAAACCAGTAGCTGTTGGATTTTGTCTGATTCCAGATGACCTATGCTACCTCCTAGAGGAGTAAATAACATTTTCCACTTCTGACATTTGTGGGGTTTTTTAATCAATTCTGAATTTTATTTTTGTTTACATGAGTATAGGGCTCTAATTTTATTTTTTTCCCAAAACTTCCTTTGAATATTATTCTAGATCTTACTCTGTTCCACTGGTCTAATTGTATACTTTTCTGCTAACATGGAATTATTGTATAGTTGACCCTTGAACAACAAGGGGATTGGGATGCCACCTTTGCAACACACACAGTCAAAAATTCACATGTAACTTTTGACTCCTCCAAAACTTTACTATAACCTATTGTTTACCAGAAGCCTTACCAATAACATAAACAGTTGATTAACACGTATTTTGTATATGTATGTATTGTGTACTGTATTCTTACAGCAAAGTAAGCTAGAGAAAAGAAACTGTTACTAAGAAAATCATAAGGAAAGAAAATATATTTACTATTAAGTGGATCATTATAAAGGTTTTCATACTTGTTATGTTTGCATTAAGTAGGCTAAAGGGGAGGAGTAATAGGAGGATTTTCATCTTGCTGTCTAAGAGGTGACAGAGGTGGAAGAAAATCTGTGTATAAATGGACCCACACAGTTAAAATCTGTGTTGTTCAAGGGTCAATTGTACTTAATTTTTTGATTGTTTTTAAATTTTTAAATAGATAATACATTGATGTACAAAACTCAAAAGTTACAAAAGGGTTTGCAATGAAAAGGAAGTCCCTCTTTCACCCTTATTTCAGTCACAGGTGTTGCTTTCAGTTCTTTTTATATTTTTACTGGGGTAGCTGCTGCACCTACAAACAAACATATTTGCCTCATTCTTTTTTAGCAGCTACTTAGTAGGCAATAGATTCGTTGGATTCTGTGTTATTAAATATTCCCCTGTTGGTCAACATTTGGGTAGTTTCTTGCTGTTGAAAACATTGCTGTAGAGAATATTCTGTGATATATATCACTATGCACTTGTCTAAATATAGCCAGTAGTTTTATAATTCCTAGAAATAGAAAGTGCATCTAAATATTTTTTGTAGATGTTGCCAAATTTCCCTCTAGAGAAAGGTGTGTTTGCTAATTTATAATCTTACAGGCTCTGTAAGAGACTGTTTTTTCCTCCTGTGCCTTCAACGATACCATGTGTTATTAAACTTTTTGATCATTCCAAATTAACAGCGAAAATTTATAACTCATTATAGTTTTAACTTGCACTTCTCTTATGGGTGAGGGTGAAGTTTGTTGTTGTTGTTGTTGTTGTTTTTAAAAATATATTTTTTAAATTATAAAAGCACATCGTTATTTATTTATGAGCGGAGTTTTACTCTCGTCACTCAGGCTGGGTGACTATATATGTATATATATTTCTTTTTTTTTTTTTTACTCTTCAAAGTTCCTTGAGCTTTTTATTTTGAAATTTGGTGGTTGGGCTTTTTACCCTTTTTTATAGACTTAAGAAATTTAGCACTTTGTGATATAAGTTGTGACTACTTTTTCCATTGTGATTGTCTTTTGAGTTTTTTTTATGATTGGTGTTGCACATTAGCCATCAGTTCTTTTTTATTGCTAAGTAATGATTCATGGTATGGATATATCACAATTTCTCTAACTATTCGAATTATTTAAGAGCATTTTGGTTGTTTACAGTTTCTGGCTATCATAAATAATGTTATCCTGAGTATTCATGTACAGGTGCTTGTATGGACATAAGTTTTCTTTTCTCCAAATACATGCCCAGGAATGGAATTGCTGGGTCATATGTGTAAGTATATGGGTTTTTGGGGGTTTTTTTTTTGGGAGAAAATACCAAGTTGTCTTCCTGAGTGGCTGTACCACTTTCTGTTTCTTCTGGTATTGTATGAGAGGTCCAGTTTTTCTCTGTCTTTGCCAGCATATTTGTTATTGTCACTTTTTTTATTTTTAGATGTTTAAGTATGTATGTAGCGATAACTCATTTTGGTTTTAATTTACATTTTCCTAATGACTAATGATGTTGAACATCTTTCCACATACTTATTTGCCATCTGTCGACATACTTATACTCTTTGGTGAAATGTCTGTGCATATTTTTCTCATTCTTTAATTGAATTACTTGTTTTTATATTATTGACTTTTGAGAGTTCCTTTGCATATTGTAGATACTAGTTTTAGTCAGAGATGTAGTTTGCAAATGTTTTCTTCCAGTCTGTAGCTTGTATTTCTTCGGGAAAAAAAAAAAAAAAACACCTTTTGATCTTGAAATAATTACAGATTTGTAGGAAGTTGAGAAATGTATAGGAACATCCTGTGTACTCTTAACCTAGCCTTCTCCATTGTTAACATCTTTCTTAATATAGTGCAGTATCCAAACTAGGACATAACATTGGTACAATACACAGAGCTTTTCAGATTTTATTAGTTGTATTTGCAGTCATGTGTATTTGTAGCTCTGTGCAGATTTATCACATGTAACTACCACCACAATAAAAGATACCTAACTGTCCTGTCACCCACAAGACTCCCTCTTGCTAACTTTTTGATAACCTCACCCACTCTCTCTAGCCCCAGTGGTTCATCCAAGTTGCTGTGTATATCACTAGTTTGTTCCTTTTAAGGGGCGGGGAGGGGGGCGCTGAGAAGTATTCTATCATATAATGTAGTTTCATTTGTTTAAACATTTACCAGCTGAAGAACATTAGTGTAGTTTTCTGTGTTTGGCTGTTAATGAATAAAATTACTATGAATATTCATATACAATTTCCTGTGCAAAAATAAATTTTTATATCTCTGGTAAATGCCCAAGGGTTATCAGTTGCTGGGCTGTATGGTAGTTTTAGTTTTAGTTTTAAAAGGTCTGCAAAATTATTTTCCAGACTGACTGTATCATTTTACATTCCTAGCAGCCATGAATGAATGATCCAGTGTTTCTGCATCCTTGTCAGCATTTGATGCTATCACTATTTTTTAGTTTTGCCATTTTGATAGGAGTATAGTGATATCTCATTGTGTTTTGTTGTTGTTTTTGTTTTGTTTTTTTTTTTTTGAGATAAGGTCTCGCTCTGTCACCCAGGGTGGAGGGCAGTGGCATGATCATGGTTCCCTGCAGCCTCAACCTCCCTGGCTCAGGTGATCCTCCCGCCTCTCAAGCCTCCCAGGTAGTCAGGACTACAGGCACACGCCACCACACCTGGCTAATTCTTTGTATTTTCTGTAGAGACAGGGTTTCACCATGTTGGCCAGGCTGGTCTCAAACTCCTGGAGTCAAGTGATCTTCTCCCCTCAACCTCCCAAAGTGCTAGGATTACAGGTGTGAGCCACCGTGGCTGGCCTTCATGGTGGTTTTAGTTTGCATTTCCCTAATAGCTAATGATGTTGAACATCCTTTTATTTGTTTATTTGCCATCTGAATATCCTCTTCAGTGAAATATCTTTTTATGTCTTTTGTCTTTTCTAATTGCAGTGTTTTTTTTTTTTTTTTAACTTATGAGTTTTCAGAGTTCTTTCTAGATTCTAGATTCTAGTCCTTCGTTGGGTTTGTGGTTTGCAGATCTTTTCTCCTGTGGTGTAACTTGTCTTTTTTTTTGTTTGTTTCCTTGTTTGTTTTTGACATGGGATCTCACTGTGTTGCTCAGGCTGCAGTGCAGTGGCTGTTCACAAGAGTGATTATAGTTTACCTTAATCTCAAATTCCTGGGCTCGAGCAGCCCTCCTGCCTCAGCCTCCTGAGTAGCTGGGACTACAGATGCATGCCACTGCGCCTGGCTTGTCTTCTTAATAGGATCTTTTTACATAGAACAAAATGTTTAATTTTGAGGAAGTCTCATTTACTGATTTGTTTCTTTGTTAGATTTGTGTTTTAGGTTTCTAGTCTAACAACCCCACTTGCACACCCACCCCACTTTTTTGACTTGCTCTGTCACCCAGGCTGGAATGCAGTGGCATGTGATCATAGCTCACTGCAGCCTTGAACTGCTGGGCTCAGGCAATCCTCCTGCCTCAGCCTTCTGAGTAGTTGAGACTACAGGTGTGTGCCATCGCGCCCAACTAATTTATTTTTTACTTTTTGTAGAGACGGGATCTGGTCTCATACTCCTGGCCTCAAGTGATCCTCCCACCCCAGCCTACCAAAACACTGAGATTATGGGCGTGAGCCACAGTGCCTAGCCAAGTCAAAAACCTCTCTGCCTGACTTTAGATTTGGAGATTTTTTTTTCCTCGAAAGTTTTTATTTTTACATTTTACATTTAAATCTGTGATCCATTTGTTACTACTTTTTATAAGGTGTGAGATTGAGATTGAGCTTCATTTATGGAGATCTAACTGTTCTTAGACCCCTGTTGCAAAGGCCGTCCTCCTCCATTGAATTACTTTTGCATCTTTATCAACAATCATTGTCTGTACCTATGTGGGTCTCTTTCTGGGTCCTCTGTTCTGTTCCATTGATCAGTGTTTCTGTCTCCCACCATTACCACATGGTCTTGATTACTATGTCAGACTATGTAATAAGTCATAAAATTAGGTAGAGTAATTGCTTTTACTTTGTTTAAATATTCTTCTAGTTCTTTTGCCTTTCCACACAAATTTTAGAATTATCTTCTCGCTCTACAAATAGTCTTGCTGGGATTTTGATAGGAATTGCATTAAACCTGCATATCAATTTAGGGATGATTAATAATTTTTCTATTTTGAGCCTTCCAGTATATGAACATGGTATGTTGCCATTTGTTTAGATCTTTTTTAAAATTTTATTCATCAGCATTTTATAGTTTTCAGTATATAGTTCCCACACTTGTTTTGTTAGACCTGTACTTAAATATTTTGTTTTTTTCTGAGTGATTATATCTTGTGACCTTGCTGAGTTCACTTATAGTTCTAGGAAGTTTTTTGTAAATTTGAGGGGTATTTCTTCATAGACTACCTTGTTTTCTGCAAACAGGGACAGTTTTTATTTCTTAACCATCTGCCTGCTGCCTTCCATTTATTTACTTTGCCTTATTGCTTTATGGCTCTAATAGAGTGTTGAATAATAGTGGTGACAGTGAACATCCTTCTTTGATTTTTATTTCTTTTTTTTTTGAGACAGGGTCTCATTCTGTTGCCCAGGCTGGAGTATAGTAGCACAGTCTCGGCTCACTGCAACATCCGCCTCCTGGACTCAAGTGATCTTCCTGCCTCAGCCTTCTGAGTAGCTGGGACTATAGGTGCGCACCACCACACCCAGATAATTTTCGTATTTTAGTAGAGATGGGGTTTCACTATGTTGGCTAGGCTGGTCTCGAACTCCTGGCCTCAAGTGATCTGCCCGCCTCGCCCACCCAAAGAGCTAGGATTACAGGTGTGAGCCACTCTGCCTGACCCTTCTTTGATTTTGATCTTAGGGGGAAAGCTTCAAGATAAAATGATATTTTTTTTTCTGTGTTTAGGCTTTTGCCCTTGAATCTACCATGTTTTGTATTATTATCCTTTTTTTTTTTTTAAGCTTTTCGTTAGCATTTGTCTGACATAAACTTTGTTCTTTTGTTTTCAACCTTTTGTGGTGTTTATTTTTGGGTTCTTTTTGATTTTTTGTTTTAAAATAGCTTTATTGACATATAATTCATATACCACAAAATATATTCCTTTAAAGTGTACAATTCATTGGTTTTACTATATCCACAGAGTTGTGCAGCCACCATCACTATCAATTTTAGAACATTTTCATCACCCAGAAAAGAGCCTCTCTACCCATTATCAATCACTCTTTAGTGCCACCTCTCCCATCCCCTGAAACTACTAATACGGCATCTGTCTTTATAGATTTTCCTGTTTTGGACATCTCATATGAATGGAATCGTATGGTATATGACCTTCCGTGACTGGCTGTTTTCATTTAGAATGATGTTTTCAAGTTCATAAAGTTGTATGTGCCGAAACTTTGTTCTTTTTAATGGCCAAGTAATATTCCGTTATATGGATATACCACATTTTGTTTATACATTCATCAGTTGATGGGCATCTGAGTTGTTTCCACTTTTTGGCTAATATGAATATTCGTGTATAATTTTTTGTGTGGAAATATGTTTTCAATTCTTTTGGTTAAATACCTAGAACTAGAAATGCTGGCTCATATGGTAACTTTGTTTAACCTTTGAAGAACTGCCAGACTGTTTTCTAAAGCAGCTGTACCATTTATATTCCCACCAGTGATTTATGAGGATTCGCATTTCTCTCCACATCCTTACCAACACTTGTTATTATATGCCTTTTTTAATATAGTCATCCTAGTGGGTGTGAAGTGACATCTCATTGTAGTAGATTTCTCTCTTACAAATAGCACGTACCTGGCTTTTTAAAAACTCAGTCTTAAAATTTAACTTACTCTCATTTTATGCTAACGTTGTTACATTTGGTCTTTGTTCTGCCATCTTAATTTGTTGTCTGTCATTTTTTTCTGACCTCTGTGATATGAATTATACTTTGTTTCTCTTTTATTTTCTAATGGTTTGGGAGTTCTGCCTTCTATTTCTGTAGGTAGTTACTATTGAAATTTTACCCAACACATTTAAGCCTAAATTTTACTACCAACATCAACAACTTTTAAGAGTAATTACTGTGTCTTGCCTCTTCTCCTCTTCACTAATTTATTCTATCAGACATGTATTCATAGTTGTTTCTTCAAAATTCATATTAACCACAGAGAGACAAATATTTCGTGTTCTCACTTATATGTGGGAGCTAAAAACAATTGATCTCATGGAGGTAGTGATGATGGTGGTTACCAGAGGGAGACTGTAGTTAATAAGAATTTATTATGTATTTCAAAATAGCCAGAAGAGAAGATATGATGTGTTCCTAGCACAAAGAAATGATAAATGTTTGAGGTGATGGATATCCTAGTTACCCTAATTTAATCATTGCACATTGTATGCATGTACAAAAATACATATTCCATAAATATGTACAGCAATTATGTAACAAAGTTTACATAAGGGTCTCTGACAGAAGAAGCATTTTCCCACATTGCATAGTGACAGCCAAAATCTTAATAGGTACAATAATTAAAGTTATGAAAGAATTGCTATTGAATGAAGAAAATATTTGTCTTTAGTGCTTTACTTTAGATTATTTTGAGAGGACTATAGTGTATAGCTAAGAAGCAATCATTCAACTCAGGGTAGGTGGGTTAGGTTTAAGAAAATCTGATGACTCCATTGAGAATTGTATTAAAGCTCAGCCAAGAGAGCTGAGCTGTAACAATATTTAATTTGCCACATTGCAGTTTCATCCATCTAGAAGTGTAGGAAATTCAGGTTTTCAGGTTCACTCAGGATATGAATTGTTAACTTCCTCTTAGCAGAGATAATATATTACTATTTACCAGATAATCTTAATACTCTAACTTATATTTTTACTTCAGAAGTTTTTCTAGAATTTATCTAGGTTACTTTTAGATAAGTAAATCAGGCCATTTGTTTGTATTTATTATTGGTATATTTCTGTATAATTTCCTTATGCCTGTGTAGATCGTGGAGTTCTTTTGAAGTCAATTTCAAGTCAAGATTATATTTATGTACATGATTTTTTTCTCATATTTCTCACTTTCCCACCATATGATCTAGGTTTGCTACATCAGAATTGGAGAGTGACATTTAACTTAGTGTTTCCGGAATAAAGAATCTGGAGCTTTTACTACCCCATAAGTAATCTATTTTAGCCTTTCTAAGTCTGCAGCTTCCTTTCACTTTGCTTTCCAATCTAGCATTTCACCTCTAGTTTTACCCCAGTTATGCTTTATAGATTAAACCTCTGAAATGTGTTTAATCTGTATGAAATGAAATTATAGCTGGGCACAGTGGTGCACACCTGTAGTCCCAGCTACTTGGGAGGCTGAGCATGAGAGTCGGTTGAGCCCAGGAGTTCCAAACCAGCCTGGGCAACATAGCAAAACGCCATCTCTAAAAAAAATTTTTTTTAAATAAATAACTAACAGTAACCTTAAAATGAAATTATGGTTCTTAATGATAGTGGCTTGTTACATCTCTTATAGCCCCACATAGGTTAGATTTTTCAATATAAAATTAGAGGATAGGCACATTCTTTCTTTTTAGATGCTTAAGAAATTACCTCACATAAACATTTTACCATTTAAAAAATGATGTTTACCAGTCCATTTCAGTTCTTCAACTGAGGTCCATTATAAAATATACTACTTTTGCTGTATACCAAGCTACAGTTGTAGATATTGATTCAAGTAAAGGTGATACTTCCTCTTCCAGTTGATTTTTATACTCTTAATTTGTGTATACATACATTTTCACACATGAATATGTGTGTGTAAGAGACAGAGTGCATTCATTTGCACCCAGGGTTGGAGGAAAGAAGAGAAAGAAATGAGAATATGTATATTGGAGATACTTGGCTATTTGTACCTCACCTGCCCATGAAGGCTAAAAATGGATGGTTAAACACCTGTCTCTGTGCTCATGATGAAAATGACCTTTGCAAAAAAAAAAAAAAAAAAAAAGAATAAACAAAAGAAACACAAACAAAAAAACTTTAGAAAATAACCTTTGCTTCTAGACCTTCTAAATTTTTCTGAATGGAGAGTTTTGTGGTTTCCAAAAGTGAAATAGTAGAAGCAGGAAGAAAATATTCTCTTACCTAGGTGCAAAACTGGCCCAGGCCAAATTCTAATAGACACTTGCCTTTGGCAGTCTCCCAGTTGTCTCTCTTCATGTTTCCCCCACCTTTGTCTGCCCCCTCCTTAGTTGTGTGTTGAGCTCCTCACTGTGCCATTTTCCTCAGGTCTGTAGACATGCCTCTTCTTATACCCCACAAAATCCCCTCCAGTTTCCTCCTAATATTATCTATAAAGCAGAAGAAAATAGCCTGATCTGTAGAGTGAAGGGGGATTAGGCTCTAACGTCAGTGTATTAGCCCTACTGCTGAAAATTCCTGAAATTCTTAATCGATTACAATAGTGTTCCATACTTAAATACAGCACAGCAAGCTTTTCTCCAGCATTGTGTTGGATCGCTGTTTCTTTGGTTGAACACAGATGATGTTGGGTTATATTTAGGGGCCACATAGTTTGAAAATAATTCATGAGTGTTTAAAAGACTAGCATATTCAGCATGGTAAGATGCACTCGTGAGGAGATGGGACCCTTTGTACTTCCTAGAGTACAAAGAAACACTGACCTAGAGAACCATATTCTAAGAAGTCTACTTTTGTTTAAGCATTTTTCTGGGTCAGCTCCAGTAAATGAATCTTGCTATTCATAATATTTCTTCTTCTGAACCTATAGGTTTTTAACTTAGGGATGAGAGTCCAGGATAGTAGCTATTTGTACATGTTTGCTTATTTTCAATTTATGTGTTTGTTAGGGATTGTCCATTAACTTACAGCTGTTTTCACTCTGATCATTGTTCCTAGCAAGTATGCTTAGGTATGGTCTCACTTCCTATCACCTCACTCTAATGAGTCCTCTTAATCCTTATCAGAAGGAAATTCCATTTCTTCTTAGGGGAAAGTGACCATAATAGTGTGTAAGATTGAGTTACCTTAAGTTGTATATTTCAGAAGTATAAATCAATATTTACTCAAATGCCTGGAACTTCTGGTTCATCTGTTGTGAATATAAAACCACTTATGGGCAAATGTTAAGTGTCTAGTATTTATACCAGATATTTATAGTCTTTGGAGCCTTTCCTAGGATCATGAATTTAGGCTGCTACTCAATTTTTAATACTTTACCCTTATACTTTCATTTGAAAAAGAAATGATTGTTTAGAATGGATTTGAAAGTGTCTATTAAACTATATCTAAGAGCAATTATAAAACTAATAATGTGTGATGAAAGATAAGATGGTCATCAGTTATAAACAGGAAAAAAGCTGATGGTAAATACTTATGCTTATACTTAGCTAGATAAAACACACATTTAAGAAAAAAAAAAACTCTAAATATACAGTTACTTTGTTCCTATATATACCACCAGTAAATACGATACATGGTTTGTAGGTAGTGAAATATTATTTTAAATGATTTTTCTTTCTAGAATTAGAGTATAGCCAGAAACTATTAACTAATCTTGTACAAGAAAACTACTAGAAAATCAACAGTGAGGAAGAGTTAGAATTAATTAAAATCTACCTAAAACTAGCATAAGCATAAAAGCTAATCCATCAATTTATATAACCAAAGATTAAGGAGCTTGATGCAGAGCTCAATGAACATCACCATAATCTTTTTCTTGACTCTCCATTTCTCTTGCCAGCCCCTGCCACATTGCTTGGATCCTCAGCGTGGCAAAATTCCATAGATAAGTTTTCTGTAGTCACTGTCTCCAGTTCCTTACCTTTCATTCTCCTGTAAGTCTACTCCAGTCATGCTTTTGCTTCATTCAATCCACTGAAACTTCTCTTGTCAAGAACACCTGTGATGCCAAACCCCATGATCTGTTCTCAGTCTCCAGGTTCCTTGATCTGTTAGTACTTGACACAGTTGATGAGGTTCTCCTGCTTGTGCACTTTGTCACTTGACTTCCAGGATTCCACACTCTCTTGATTTTCCTCCTATCATGCTAGTCATTTCTTCTTAGATGTCTTTCCTCGTTCTTCCTCTTCTCTTCTCACACTCACTCCCTTGATGATTTGAACTAGTCTCAAGGCCTTAAATAGTAATTAAACACTGAGGACCCTAAATTTATATCTCAAGACCTCTCTCATGAGTTCTGGAGTTTCATCCGACTGCCTGCTTTATATCACCATTCATATAGCTATCTCACACTTAACCTGTCTAAAACAACTTTTTTTCTTCTTCCAAAATGAAGTCTACCCTCAGTATTCTCCCTTTTGGTTAAGAGTATCTTCATCCTTTTTGTTGCTCAAGTCAAAAACTCTGGAGTTATCCTGACTCTTCTCTTTTGTTATGTTCCAGTTTCATTAGTTAGGATGTTTTATTGGCTCCACCCTTAAAGTATATCTAGAATCTGACCATTCTCATGACCTTTACTGCTACTATGCTTATCTGAGCCACCATTATCTCTCACCTGGATTATTATGTTAATCTCTGTGCCTACCTTTGTTCCCTGTATAATATTCTGAATTTAGTAGCCAGAGTGATACTTTTAAATAAAAGCTAATCATGTTACTCCTCTGTTTAAAACTCTCCATTTGCCTGGCCATCTTTGTTACCTGTCTGATATCATCATCTATAACTATTCTTTCTGTTACCTTGACTCTAACAACACTGGTCTACTTGCTGTTTCTCAGATACTGTGTATGCTCTTGTCTTGGGCCTTGGCATGAGTGTTTTCTTTACCTGGAATACTCATCCCACAAACATTCACGTGGCCATCTCCTTCATCTTCTTCTAGTCAAGGTATTAATATGTCTGATGAGACACCTACCCTGACTACCCTATTCTTTCCAATTCCCATTACACTGCCCTATTATTTCCATAACATTGTCAGCATCTGACATACTTTACTATGTGTATTATTTATTTTCTTTCTCTTCTCATTACAGTGTAAATGCCATAAGGGCAGTGGTTTGGGTCTCTTGTTTATTGAAGTATGCTAAGCACCTAGAATATTATTTTACATATACTAGGTACTCAGTAAATATTAGTTGAGTAAATATTTGTAGAACAGATTCATTTCATATTCTCCATTTTGTGGTTCTGCTTCCTTTATGTCAAGACCATGTTTAGGCATTATATGGGTCCCAGAAGTTCCTGAAAACCCTCCAGATTCAAATCTAGCCAGAAAGAGGATAAATCTTTGTCCTAGCATTCCCAGGAAAAAGACTGAGGTTCACTAAACTATTTTAAAATGCCTTATTCAGCCCTTGACCAGTCAGCCCTGGCCAGGAGAAACGCAAAACTCTTTTTGGCCTAGACTTGAAAGTTGGTCATATGTTCCAAGTCTGAAACTAGAGGTAAAGATACAAACAAAAATGTCTATTCAGGGAATTAGAAGCTACTGAATAAGCACACAAGAAATGTCTACTCACTTTTGTATACCATTGGTTTACAACTGTGATCCTTGGTTACTGGCTGCATGGGATGTTAGTAGGTGCTCTTTGACCATGCCCCATTAAGTTAAAAAACTTAAATTTAAACAATTTTTACTCCTGTGGAATTTCTCAATTTTTAATATGGTAATGTATTTTGTGAATCTCTAAGCCAGATATATTTTATGCATCAGTTTCCCCAAATTCTTTGAACATGAAACCGTTTTTCCTCCAGAATATCTCAAGGTATATTCTCATGCAGCTCACTATGAGAAATATTGGTATGTCCGCTAAGAATTAGAAAATTGAAGAAAAATCTCATGCAACAATAAAAAAGAAAACAAAAGAATACTTTTCAAATGTACAGGACCTATTTGAAGAAAAAATTTTTTACAGGCCCCCAAATATTTTAATATATAGAAAGACAGTCCTTTGAAAGATACTTACGGCTGGGTGCAGTGGTTCACGCCTGTAATCCCAGCACTTTGGGAGGCCGAGGTGGGTGGATCACCTGAAGGTCAGGAGTTCGAGACCAGCCCAGCCAACATGGTGAAACCCCATCTTTACTAAAAATAAAAAAATTAGCCCGGTGTGGTGGCGGGTGCCTGTAATCCCAGCTACTCAGGAGGCTGAGGCAGGAGAATTGCTTGAAACTGGGAGGCAGAGGTTGCAGTGAGGCAAGATCGCACCATTGCACTCCAGCCTGGGCAACAACAGTGAAACTTCTTCTCCAAAAAGAAAAAAAAATTAGCTGGGCATGGTGGTGCGTGCCTGTAGTCCCACCTACTCAAGAGGCTGAGGTGCAAGGATCACTTGAGCCTGGGGAGATCAAGGCTGCACTCCAGTCTGGGTGATAGAGTGGGACCCTGTCTCCAGAAAAAAAAAAGGTATTTATTCTCAATAAATTCTATGTAGTTGCAGTTTAAAATCTAGTTTAGTAGAGAGGGGTGTGACGGGAAGAGGAGAACTTAATCAAATGATTCTAAAGTTTCATTTTGTTGTAGACTGTTTTTATTGCAAGAAAGCATAATACCTCAGGTTACCTAAGAAAAGTTTATTGTATTGAATATATAGGGTTTAAAACCAGTATCAGACAGTTATGATATGTACTTTCTCTGGTTGGCTGTGTGCTTTTTTCTCTCCCTCTGTGGCATCCGTATATATTTGTAAGCATCTGTTTTGTTTGCTTATGGTTATCTGCTCTTAGTCCCCATACTCCATACTCCAAATCTTGAATTAAACTGCTTTGGGTTGATTTTAGTTAATCTGTCACTAATGGATGGATCCTTTTAGGCCTTCTCATTTTATTGATTGTCCAGAAGCCAGTAGATGGGCTATCCCTGGGAAAATTATGCTCCCTGATCCTGTCAGCATCTGCTCAATCCTACTTCTGTGGTCAGAGGTAAGGGTTGGCAAGATTTAACTAGAAGGCGAAGTTGGGTGTGTTAGGCATCATGACTAAAATAATCTAGAAGAAAAAATAAGAATAGCCAGAGGAATTCTGAAAAGAGAGTATCTCTATATATTGCAGGGGTGTAGTAATTTAAGCTGTGGAACTGGTGCCTGAATAAGCAGTTAATAAAGTAGAAATACAATTTTCAAATAACATAAAAGTGAAATTACTAATTAGAGGTATGAATTGGATGTTAAATTGTTCAGGAGTACCTAATTGGCCGTTAAAAAGTAAAATTCCTATCCTGCAATTTAACACTAATATCAAAATGGTTTAAAGATTTAAATGCTTAAAAATGAAATAGTATCAGAGGAAAGTACAGGTTGCGTTGAAATAAATGCATAGATAATATTTAAATAATATTGAGGTGAGGAAGGAATTTTCCCTAGCGTAAAACTACTGAGAGTTCATTAAGATTTTATTGTGGAGATTCAAAAAGAAAGGTTTATTATACTAAACGGGAAAATGAATAAACTAAGGGGGAATATTTGAAATATGACCATAGTACATATTTTAATATAGAAAGGACTGTTAGAAACAATTTGTGTGTGGATTGGGGGTGCTTAATCCTACCTGGCCATCATACAGTATTACCCTAGTCCATACACTCTCCATACACTTTCTTAGGTGACTTTTGTATCTTATTCTCTTACTACATACTTCCAACAACTGTTGTTGAGCCGTAACTCTTTGGTGATTACTTTGCGTTTTATTTCTTCCTCACTGAGAAAATGGAACCAATCAGAAGATAACTTATAAAGGCTTCCACCAATATATACCTTATGCCCATGTGCCTACATCTCTGTCCGTTTACCGTATATGTTTTCTTCTGTAACTGAGGGTGAATGCTCTGGTATCTGTACTGAGACCAGATTCTACACTTGCACATTAGATCCTACTCACTTGCTTATTCAAGGATATTGCTTAGTAATTCTTTCTCTGCTACATTATCAATTTTTTGCCTCTTTACTAGCTCAGTCCCCCATCTTAAAAAAACTACTTTTCTCCTAATTTCCCTCCAGCTACATCCCTATTTTCTTTTCCTTCACCACAAATTCCTTTCCAGAGATGTCTCAATTTACTGTCTTTGATTTCTTTCCTCCTTTCTCTCATGAACCCTTTCCAGGTAGGTTTTTGACTAGCTCATGCCAAAGAAACTGTTGTTATCTAGGTCATCAGTGACCATTATACCACCAAAAAAAAGTAGTCATTTCCCAGTTTGGAAGAATTAAATCTTTTTAAAAAATGTAAAGAATGCCTACTACAGCCTAATAGGGTGGTTCACAATACAGAAAAAGGCCAATAAGGGTATGAAAAGTAGTCAATTTCTAGAAAGTCAAAGAAATGCAAATTTAAGACAATAAGATGTTTCTTATTCACTGTCCAGTGTCGGCAAGGAAATCTAGAACTCTCATATACCATTTGGTTATGCAAATGAAAATTGGTACATTTCTGGAAGCAATTTGACAATTTTTACAAGAGCTTTAAAATTGTGTTCGTCTTTTGACTTGCCCATTCTGTTTCTAAGAGTATGTCTCGGAAATAACACACAAATGCATGATGCATCCACCCACATACAACCAGGGAGGGAAGGATTCATCAAGGCATTAATTCTGGAAGGGAAACATGAAAATGACCTAAGTGTTTGACAATAGGAGATTGGTTAAAGTATGCTACATCTATATGGTAGAATACCAAGTAGCTACTTAAAATGATGACATTGGTTTGTTTATTTATTTGAAATTATTTTAAACTTTTTTCACATCAAGTTGCCATTAAAGATATGTTTATTAACATGGAAAGACTTTAATATGTTTTAAGAAGTGTATTCAATGCAAATTTTGTGGGGAACAAAGTATATTACATGCATGTGGTTATATGTGTGCACATACATAGGTACATATCAATGTATGTATAGGAAAATGCCTAGAAGATTGTATACCAAAATGTTTTTCAGCTGCTGTCAAGTAGTACAATTTTAGATGTTCTTTTAAAACTTGGAATGCTTGCATTAACAACAACAAAAAAAGAAAATGAAAGTTTTGCAAAAGAAAGAAAATCAATATCCCAATTATAGTCTGCTTACTTTTTCTGGTTTTACATTCAAACATTGATCATTAGACTTGGTTCATAGCTGGCTGGCTTGAACTGACCCAGTCCTGTTTCATAACCCTGCTGGACTTAAAACAGCCTAATGGTCTGCCAGCTGTGAGAGAATAGATGAGCCAGATAAAGTGTATTTACCATACTTTTAACTCCTGAGCTGCTTGGGAGTCTTTATAGACTCCTTTGATTAAGTCTACCAGGAGACCAGCTACTAACTCAGTAAACTAATCTGAGGAATAATGTAAAGTTAGAATAACTAGGATAGGTAGAGTTAAACTCCAGAGAAAAAAGGTGATGAAAAGTATAAGGCAAGCTTATTAAGGATGGGCTTATTAGGAACCTGATAAAAGGATGTGATAAAAATGAAATCAAAGGGTTTTACAGTGCTAAAGTTTAATAGTATTACATGTTGGAATTGTTTCCTGTTTCTTAGTATAGGTAATTTCTGTATGAATGGAAAATTCATGTGTAATTTTTGTTGTACTCCAAAGAACTTTAGCCACAATTTATTGTGAAATATTTGCAACCTTGAAAATTCAGAAATCTAGCAATAGGATCTCTCTCTGTCTCTCTCTTGCTCTAGCAAACGACTGCATATATTTCATACACACACACACACACACACACACACACACACTTATATACATGTATAGTATATTGGTTTTGTATAAGGTATAAAAAGCAAATTATTATAAAAACAATACATATGCTCAATGTGAAGAATTTTGTAAATAAAAGTTACAAAGGAGTCAATTTTTGCTGCCTTTTTCAATCTTTCAACGCATAATATGTAAATTTGCTTATTTATGCTCTATACTTCATGTTTATATCTTGTCTTTTTCACTTAATATTTTATGACTGTATTCTCATATCATTAAGTATTCTTTCCTTTAAAAATTCCCATTTAAAGATAGTCAAAGCAATATGAATTTGTTAATGATTTAGTATATGAATTGGAGAAAACATATTTTCTGCAGTCTTCTTTCTTAATGGGAGCTGACAGCCTAATGATGAAACTATATCATTCCAGCTATATTTTAAAAAATTACATAGTTGTCAAGTTTTTGTTTGACTAAGTCAGAGGGTTCATTAAAGATTGTAAGGCTGACATTCGTAGATAGGAACTTTAGTTTCACTTTCCCTAAGACAGCAAGAAATATTCTATAACAGAAAGATGACTATTTTTAGCTTTTCTTTCTGCTGGTGAGGTGGAATAGCAAATATTTTTAGAGCAATTGAAAGTACAGCCTCTTAGATTAGCTCAGTGTTTCTATCATCAGAATCTCAATTATTTTATGTATCTAGATTTTTTTTTTACTTCCAATGTTTTGAGTTTATGTAAATTGCAACATGATTCGTCTTTTTATTTTTGATCTAGTTCGTTTCTCTGTGGAACAATATAAAAGATGAAATTTCTAAAACCTTAACTTTTCTTTCTGCACTTTTTATGTATTTTGAGTTGTAATTATATTCTGCTTATTGTGGGCAGTTCTCTTCTTTCTTGGAGATGAAACTTTGATAATTAATACTTACGGGGAGATGGTGTTACAAATCTTCTCTCATAATAGGCTCTTAATATTCACAAGAGAGATCCCCCATGACCATTGTAAGTACCCTTAATTATGAACACCACTAGAACATTTCATCTTTCCCCAAAACGATGCCATAGGATAAGTGAAAATTTGAGGGACTTCTGTTTTTACCCTTAATGAAGGACATCTTGGTTGCTTCCAGGTTTTGGCAGTATAAATAAAGGTGCTGTAAGCATCCATGTGGAGGGCTTTATGTGGACATATGTTTTCAGCTCCTTTAGGTAAATACTAAGGAGTGTGATTGTGGGACTATATGGTAAGAGTATGTTTAGCTTTGTAAGAAACTGTCAAACTCTCTTCCACAGTACATGGTGCTATACTGTAAATGGTATTTTTTTTATTTCAGTTTCTGATTGTTTGCTGTTATTATATGGAAATACGACTGGTTTTTGTATAGCATCTTCACCTTGCTAAATTCGATTGTTCTAGAAGCGTTTTGTAGATTCTATTGAATTTTCTACATAGGTCATATTTTCTATGAATAGACAGTTTTACTCTTTTCCAGTCTTGATGCATTTTTCTTGCTTTATTGTGCTGGCAAGAACCTTCAGTATAATGTTGAATAGAAATGGTAAGAGTGGATGTCACTGCCTCATTCCTAATTTTTGAGGGAAAACATTGATTCTTTCACGTCTCAGTAAAGTGTTTCCTGTAAATTTTCATAGCTGTCTATTATCGATTTGAAGATGTTTACTTCTATTCCTGGTTTCTGGAGAGTGTTTATTAGGAATGGTTGTTGGGTTTTTGTCAAATGCGTTTTCCTCATCTATTGAGCTGTTAATATGGTGTTTCTTTTTTAGTGCGTTAATATGGTGACTTGATTTTTGAATGGTGAACCAGCCTTGTATTTTTGCAACAAATCTCCCTTAGTTATGATAAATTATTGTTTTTCCATATGGTTGGATTTTATTTGCTAAAGTTTTATTAAGAGTGTTTGCATTTATGTTCATGACAGGTAAATGGTTGGTAATTTTTTGTCTAATAAGGTCTTGGTCTCATTTTGGTACCAAAGTAGTACTGGCTTCATAGAATGAGTTAAGCATTTCTTTCTTTTCCATTTTTTTTTGGCGAGGATGGGGAAGAGTTTGTGTAGAATCAATATTTTTTCTTGTCAGGTAGAATTCTTCAGTGTTTTGAAAACATTTATGTAGGGTTGGTATTATTTTTTTCTTAAGTATTTGGTAGAAGTCCCCCGAGAATACACATGGGCCTAGAGTTTTCTTTCAGAGAAGTTATCAAATTACAAATTCAGATTCTTGTAGGGCTATTCAGGTTATCTTTTTTCTTAAGTAAACTTTGGTAGTTTTTTGTCTTAAGACATTTGTCCATTCTTGCTGAGTTATAAGTTTTTGTCATAAAGGTACGCCAAATATTAATAATATTCTCTTCACATCCATAGAATATGTAGTGATATAACCTCTTATTCCTGATATCGACAATCTATGTCTTTTCTTCTTTGTTCTCTTGATTAGTCTTGCTAGAGATTTCATTTTGATTTTCAAGAAGAAACCAGCTTTTGGTGTCACTGATTTTTCTATATTTTTGTTTTTCAATTTGATTATTTTCTGCTCTGATCTTTATTATTTTCTTTCTCCTGATTCCTTTGGGTTTCATTTCTCTTCTCTTTTTTTAGTTTCTTAAGGTATAAACTGAAACCATTGATTTAAGACCTTTTTTTTCTAATATAGGCATTTTAGAGCTGTAAATTTCTCTCTAAATACTGCTTTAGCTGTATCCCACAACTTGTGATATTTTTTGTTTTCATTTTCATTCAGTTCAAAATATTTTGTAGTTTTCCTTTTGATATCTTTGACCCAGGGGTTATTTAGAAGTGTAATAGTTCCCAAATATTTGGGCATTTTCCTGATATAGTTCTTGTTTTTTAAACTAACACATAAAAATTGTACATATTTATGGCGTACAATGTGATGTTTCAGTACATGTATAAATTGTGTAGTGTTCAGGTCAGAATAATTTGCATGAGGCCTTAAACATTCATTGTCTGTTTGTGATGAGGACATTGAAAAACCTCCCTTCTAGCGTTTTTTTGTTGTTGTTTTTGTTTTTTTGTTGCTGTTTCGTTTCTTGAGACAAAGTCTCATTCTGTCTTGCCCAGGCTGGAGTACAGTGGCATGATACTGTTTCACTGCAGCCTCTGCCTCCCGGGTTCAAGTATTTCTCCTCCCTCAGCCTCCCGAGTAGCTGGGACTACAGGTGTGCGCCACCACACCTGGCTAATTTGTATTTTTAGTAGAGTTGGGGTTTCACCATGTTGGCCAGGCTGGTCTCGAACTCCTGACCTCAGGTGATCCACCTGCCTTGGCCTCCCAGAGTGCTGGGATTACAGGTGTGAGCTGCCATGCCTGGCCCCTTCTTGCTATTTTGAAATATGCAATACATTATTGTTAACTCTAGTTATGCTACCATGCGTTAGAACACGAGAATTTATCTATCTAACTGTAGCTTTGTACTTGTGGACCAATCTCTGCCTATTTCTCTTCCCTCTGTCCTCCCCAGAGTTCTCGTACCCCTATTCTATTCTCTACTTCTGTGAGAACAGCCTTTCAGATTCCACATGTGGATGAAATCGTGAGATATTTGTCTTACTATGCATGGCCTATTTCACTTAATGTCTTCCAGGTTTATCCGTGTTGCCACAAAAGACAGGATTTTATTCTTTTTGTGGCTGAATAGTATTCTATCATGTCTCCATACCACATTTTCTTCATCCATTCGTCTCTCTGTGGACATTTAGGTTGATTTCATATCTTGCGATTGTGAGTAGTGCCACAATAAACATAGTTCAGATATCTTTTTCACATGCTGATTTCATTTCCTTTGGGTGTATATCCAGTAGTGGGATTGCTAGATCATATGGTAGTTCTATTTTTAATTTTTTGAGAAACCTCCATACTGTTTTCAGTAATGACTGTACTAATTAACATTCCCACCATCATTATGTTAAGGGTTCCCTGTTCTCCTTATCCTTACCAACACTTGTCTTCTGGTTTTGTGTAGAGTCAGAGTAGGCCAGGTGCAGTGGCTCACGCCTGTAATCCCAGCACTTTGGGAGGCCGAGGAGCGGGGCAGATCACCTGAGGTCAGGAGTTTGGGACCAGCTTGGTCAACATGGTGAAATCCTGCCTCTACAAAAATTAGCCAGATGTGGTGGTGTGCACCTGTAGTCCCAGCTACTCTGGAGGCTAAGACATGAGAATCACTTGAACCTGGGAGGTGAAAGTTGCAGTGAGCCAAGATTGCGCCACTACACCCCAGCCTGGATGACAGAACGAGTGTCTGTCTCAAAAAAAAAAAAAAAATAATAATAAATAAATAAAGAGTCACAGTCTTGCTCTGTCTCCGAGGCTAGAGTGCGGTGGCACAATCATAGCTCACTGCAGCCTTGACCTCCTGGGCTGAAGTGATCCTCCTGCCTTAGCCTCCCAAGTTGCTGAGACTATAGGCATGCACCACCATGCCCTGCTAAGTCTTTTAATTTTTTTCTTTTGGAAATGGGTTGTCACTATGTTCTGCAAGCTGGTCTCTAACTCCTCGCCTCAAGCGATCCTCCCACCTCAGTCTCCTGAGTCACTGGAATTACAAGTGTGATCCACTGTGCCCAGCTGTCTTGATTTTTTGACAGTAGCCATTCTAACTGGAGTGAGGTGATTTCTCACTGTAGTTTTGATTGATTTGCATTTCCCTTATTATTAGTGATGTTGAACATTTTTTCATATATCTGCTAGCCGTATGTATGTCTTCTTTTAAGAAATATCTAAATTCAAAGTGAATTAGAGATTTAAATGTAAGATCGGAAACTATGAAAATAGTAGGAAAAAAACATAGGAGAAAAGCTCTGTGACATTGGTCTAGACAAGGCTTAAACCTTGAAAGCACAGAGAACAAAAGCAACTATAGACACATGGCATTAAATTAAACTAAAAAGCTTCTGCACAGCAAAGGAAACAATCAAGAGAGCACAACAACCTACAGAATGGGAGAATATATTTGCAACCTATACATCTGATAAGGGGTTAATATATAAAGAACTCAAACAACTCAGCAGCAACAAACCAAATAACCCAATTAAAAACTGGGCAGGCCGGGGCATGGTGGCTCACACCTGTAATCCCAGCATTTCGGGAGGCCGAGGTGGGTGGATCACTTGAGGTCAGGAGTTTGAGACCAGCCTGGCCAACATGGTGAAACCCCATCTCTACCAAAAAAAAAAAAAAAAAAAAAAAAAAAGTATATATATATGTACACATACACACACACATACTCCAGACGTGGTGGCGCACACCTGTAATCCCAGCTACTTGGGAGGCTGAGGCAGGAGAATTGCTTGAACCCGGGAGGCTGAGGTTGCAGTGAGCCAAGATCATGCCACTGCACTCCAGCCTGGGCAACAGAGCAAAACTCCATAAAAAAAAAAAGTAAATGGGCAAAAGACCTGAATAGACATTCCTAATATATTTCTGTTATTTAGTTTAATTGAATTCTACTGTGGGACAGTATACTTTGTATGACTTGAATCCTCTTAAGTTAATTGAGATTTGTTTTTGACTCAGAATATGGTCTATCTTGGTAAATGTTCTGTGTGCATTTGAAAAAATACACATTCTGCTGTTGTTGAGTGGAGTGTTCTATAAATTTCAAAGATCAGATTGGTTGGTAATATTGTTCAAAGTCTTCTGTATTCTTCCAATTTCCTGTCCAGTTGTTCTATCACTTATTGAGAGAGGGATGTTAAAATCTTTGCTCATAATTGTGGATTTGTTTATTTCTCATTGTAGTTCTATCAGTTTTTGCTTCATGTATTTGGAAGCTCTACTATTATGTACATGTCCTCTTGACCCCTTTGTCACTATACAGTGACTCTCTCTATCCCTAGTAATATTTTTTGTTCTGAAATCTACTTTCTCTGACAGCTTTGGTTTTTGTTGTTTGCTTTTTGCTTTTGTTTTTATTTTTTAAAGATGGGGTCTACTGTGTTGCCCAGGCTGGATTCAGACTCCTGGGCTGAAGCGATCCTTCTGCCTCAGTGTCCTGAGTAGGTGGGACTACAGGCCCATGCCACCATGCCCAGGTCATCCAGCTTTGTTTTGGTCATGGTATATCTTATCCTTCTTTGTTACCATGATGTATCTTTTCTATACTTTTACTTTCAACCAATTTGTGTTCTTATACTTAAAGTGGATTTCTTAAAAACAGGTTATAGTTGTCTTTTTTTTTTTAACTCTCTCATATCTGCCAGTCTGATAATATCAGCCTTTTAATTGGGTTATTTAGACTATTTACATTTTATGCTATTGTTGATATGGTTGCTTTTAAATTTACCATCTTGGTATTTATTTTCTTTTTGTCTTATCTGTTATTTTATTCCTCTTTCCCCTTTTTCATATGCCTTCTCTAGGATGATTTTTTAATGATTCAATTTTTGTCTCCTTTGTTGGCTTATTAACTATAACTCTTTGTTGTGTTATTTTAGTGGATGCTTTAGGTTTTGTAGTATACGTCTTTAATTCGTCACGACCCTACTTCAGGTGACATTTTACCACTTTACAACAGTTCATTTTTATTTTCCCCCTCCTGGTCTTTGTGCTATTCTTGTCATACATTTTACGTCCATGTAAGTTTGTTGTTGTTGTTGTTTGAAACAGAGTCTTACTGTGTTGCCCAGACTGGAGTGCAGTGGCGTGATCTCAGCTCACTGCAACCTCCACCTCCCGAATTCAAGTGATTCTCCTGCCTCAGACTCCCAAGTAGCTGGGATTACAGGCACCCGCCACCACGCCTGGCTAATTTTTGTATTTTTAGTAGAGACAACTTTTCACCATGTTGACCAGGCTGGTCTTGAACTCCTGACTCGGCCTCGCAAAGTGCTGGGATTACAGGCATGAGCCACCGGGCCTGACCTACTTCTATAAAAGTTTTAAACTGCAGTATGTTGTTGTTATTTTTGCTTTAAACAATCAGTTCTCTTTTGTGGATACTTAAATAAACAATTCTTTATATTTATCGATGTTGTTTCCATTTCTGATATTGTTCATTCTTTTGTGTATATCCAGATTCTAATCTGGTGTTGTTTTCCTATTCCTTGAAGGACTTTCTTTACCATTTCTTTAAAATGTAAGGACTGTGGTGAATTCTTTTACCTTTTGTATGTCTCAGAGTTTTTATTTTACCTTTGTTTTTGTAAGATGTTTTTGCTGAGTAAAGTGTTAACAGTTGACATGTTTTTTTGTTTTTTTTTTTTCTTTTGGCACTTCAAAAATTTTACTCCACTTCTTACTCTGTTTTCTGCTTGCATTATTTTTGACAAGAAATCTGCTGTTATCTGTATGCTGTTCTATATATTTCCTTTGTCTTTTTTCTTCTGGCTGCTTTGAAGATTTTGTTTTCACTGGGTCTTAAGCAATTTGGTTATGATTTGCTTTGGTGTTGCTTTATTCTTGTTTTTTTGTGCATAGGGTTTATTGATTGCCCTGCCTCAGCACTCCTATTTCTTTTAAATTCTCTCTTCTCTTGCTTTTTCTTCTGTATTTCTGGCCACCTCTTATCTTACTTAACCTTTAAATATTGGTGGTCCTAGGGATTCTGTTGTGTTTTGATTCCACAGGGTATTCTCAGGTCATCTCATTCACTCCCATAACTTAATCTGCTCTCTGTATGAGAGATTTCCTAATTGTTTATCTCTACCCAGACCTCTCTCTAAGCTTCAGGTTAGTATTTCTTTACAGCCATCTCTACTTAAATCCAAAGAAGCCCTATTGAACGTATTTGGAATGAATAGACCTGGAGGACAGCTCACTAAAAAACTTCAAGAGGCTGGGCATGGTGGCTCACACCTGTAATCCCAGCACTTTGGGAGGCCAAGGCGGGCAGATTGCTTGAGTCCAAGTGTTTGAGACCAGCCTGGGTGATATGGCGAAACTCTGTCTCTACAAAAAATACAAAAAATTAGCCAGATGTGGTGGCACACACCTGTAGTCCCAGCTACTTAGGAGGCTGAGGCAGGAGGATCACTTGAGCCTGGAAGATGGAGGTTGCAGTGAGCCAAGATCGAGCCACTGCACTCCTGCCTGGGTAACAGAGCAAGACCCTGTCTCAAAACAAACACCAAATAAACTTTAAGGGCAAAGGATAATCTCAGAGTACTTGGGCAAGTTGCTAGAAAACAGTATTCTCAGGGGAAGCATCAAAGGGGAAAATGGCCAAGTTGATATGGTAGTTGACTTCATTGTAGTTCCACCAGAAAGACAAAAAATAAACAAACAAAACCCTTATATCTGACAGTCGCAGGTAACATAGCGTTGAATACTGTGGTGAACAAGAAATTGAAACTATAGTTCTCAAGGGAGTTAGGCCCTAGAAGAATCACTTGTGAGCCAGAAGGGAGGAATAAGGACAAGGGAGTCCTAGGTGGCAACTATTGGATGGTTTAGAACTCTGCCAAGCTAAAAGGATAATGTGAGATTTACCTGAACTCATGAAGTGAAATGCAATCCTAGAGGCTAGTAAGTTGCTGCTAGGAAATAACAATGAAAAAAATCCTTTCACAGTGGTTCTAAAACACTTTATAAATCCTATTTCTTTTAATTATTTAATCATTTTATTTTGGTTGGTTTTATAGGAAGAAAATGAAATGCTATTAGCTTAATTTGATTGCCACACCAAGATGAGTAGACTCTCTTCATAAAGTGGGGAACAAATGAAAATCTTTGAAACAGAAGTGATATGATCAGCACTGTGCTTATTATATATACCCAAAATACATTTTTGGAAGAGTAATAGTCACTATTTTTTCAAAACTTAGCAATGCAGTATCTGCAGTGATTCCCTTTCATTTAGTTTCTCATCCAACTAAATAAGCCAACTAGAGGAACCCTAAGAAAATAGAATTTTATTTTCTTTCTTGGGAAGTATCTGCAAGAATTGAGAAGCTTGGAAACATTTCTTGTAAGGTAAAAGCTGTTTTTTTTTTTTTAAGCCTAAATCTCAGAGTGTTATACATACAAAATTCTTTTTATTTTTTTCTTTTTCTTTTTGAGAGAGAAGGTCTCATTCTGTCTCCCAGGCTGGAATGCAGTGGTACAAGCGTAGCTCACTGCAACCTCAAACTCCTAGGCTAAAGTGGTCCTCCTGCCTTATCCTCCCAAGTAGCTAGGACCTACTGGTGTGAGCCACCATGCCTGGCACATTTTTAAAACTTTTTGTAGAGAGTGTCTTGTAGTGTTACTCAGGCTGGTCTCAAACTCCTGGCGTCAAGCAGTCCTCCTGCCTTGGCCACCCAGAGTGCTGGGATTACAGGTGTGAGCCACCACACCTGTCCCAAAATTCTTATATGCAATTCTACATACCCTCTTACACACAGAGACACACAAAGTTATGAGTTTACTGTTCTGGGGCATTTTTTAAATGTTAAAATTGCAACTACTACTTAGTCTCATTTTCTTGTCTATAAGTCTTGGCATATGTCATGTATCTATTTTAGAAAAGTAATTTTAAAGTTAGTAGATTAAGAAACAACATGGTTGTACTAAAAAGTGCCTTATATATAAAAAAATCTTTCCATGGAATACCATGGAGACTATTTTTCCTTATGTTAAATAACATGGAGGAGTCTGCACTATAGGAAACAATTTGCTTAGAAACTAATTTAAAATTACTCAGAGCCACATCTAGAAATGTAAGTGAACTCACAGGAGTAGTACCTAATTAAGTATATTCTGTGATATTATAGAAACCTTATTTATAAAAGGAAACTTGTATAATTTCTGTCTTCAGGGCATTTATTGATAAAATAGATGTACCTTCACTACTGCTATGCTTCATTGTAAATGATAATGTTGATCTGTATTTGTACCATGTCCAAACATAATTATAGGCGGAAAACACAGGCAACAAAGATGTGGACATAATATAAACCTAAATATAGGTATATGTATACATATGTGTGAATATACACACACACACACGTATACATATATGTACACATACGTGTGTACATATGTATACACATGCACAAAAAGATCTGAGAAAGTATATGCTAGTAATACCTTTATCTCTCTGTGTCTGTATTGTCTGAATTTTTATAATTGTGTAATCTTTATTGATAATGATGGTGGGAGGTTATTTTTATTTTGAAATGAAAAAATAACATGGGTATTCCAGAGAATTTGAATCAGGGTATTACTCTTGCATTCTTCAACTACTGATGGCTATAACTATGTAAAGAAGTAAAACATTTCCTGTAAAGACAGTCAGAAGTTAGGAAGATCTCATCTTTATCCTGTGGACATACAGATATTTTTTCTTTGGCCCATTTACCACAGTCGTGACTTCCACTATTTCTTGGGTTGTGGTTTTTTTTGTTGTTGTTTTTTGTTTTTTTTTTTTCATTCAAAGTTATAAATGAACAGCCAGGTGTGGTGGTTCACTCCTGTAATCCCAGCACTTTGGGAGGCCGAGGCTGGCGGATCACTTAAGGTCAGGAGCTTGAGACCAGTCTGGCCAACATGGTGAAACCCCATCTCTACTAAAAATACAAAATTAGCCGGGTGTGGTGGTGCATGCCTGTAATCCCAGCTACTTGGGAGGCTGAGGCATGAGAATCTCTTGAACCGGGAGGCAGATGTTGTTGTGAGCTGAGGTTGCACCACTGCACTCCGGCCTGAGCAACAGAGAGAGACTCTGGCTCAAACAAACAAACAAACAAATAAACAAAACCCAAAAGTTATAAATGAATATAGTTTAAAATGTCAAATAGGCTCATTTTAAAAATCCCATGTTCTCATATTCTATCATTTCTGTCTTTCTAGGGGCAAGTATTTTGATCTCTTTTGGCTTTTAAAAAAATGTATAAGTAATATGCTTGCATTGCAAATTGTTGCATTTTCAGTTTTAGGCATTGTATATTGATTTCCCACCATGGGAGATAAGATTTGGCTTATTTGCCACTCCTACCGTATAATCTGTTTGTCGCCCTGTCTTGATTATATTGTAATTTTGTTTGGATCATCCCATTTATACTTTATTATGACTATGTAAACACTATTTGTAAGTGAGCAATGTAGTGAACTATTTTTCATTTCTTGAATACCTTTTTATTTTCCCTGTTCTGGTCATTTTCTTTTCTTTTTTTTTCCCCCTGTGTACTTATTTCTCATTCATTGCCAAAATTTTTTTGCCACTGTGTAAATCTCCAGATGGATAAGATGAATGTCTAAATTCATGTGCATGAGGTAATTCTGTCAATTTCATGTTCTATGAGAATTCCCTACCAGAGCCTTCTGAACTGATACTCTGCTAAACCCAAACACAGGATACTCTGTCATCTTGAGGTCTTCTTTCATTACATCTCAGATATTATTTTGCCTCTTGCCTGTGTTAATCTTGTATTTCATAGGCCCATGTCCTGTTCTTTCTTAGTTTTCTCCCTCTTTTTAGTGTGGCATATCTCTTAGTAGTTCATAGGAAAAAGCTGCATGGAAGGTAATTTTTTAAATAAAGCATGCCTGAAAATGTTTTATTCTATACCCATACTTTATTTGATAATTTGGCTGGGTGTAGACTTCAACATAAGAATAATTTTCCTTTAGAATTTTGAAGGCATTAATTTTTCCATTGCCTTCTAATTATAGTGTTGTTGAAAAGTTCAAAGTTAGGCTGGTTTCCGATTTTTTTTTTCTCCTTTTTAGAGACAGGGTCTCACTGTGTTACCCAGGCTGGAGTACAGTGGCATGATTATCGCTCACTGCAGCCTCAAACTCCTGAGCTTAAGCCATCCTCCTGCCTCAGCGTCCTGAGTAGCCAAGTCTAAGGCCTGTGTTATCATGCCTGGCTAATTTTGTTATTTTTTGTAGAGACAGGTTTGCTATGCTGATCTAAGCTGACCTCAAATTCCTGGCCTCAAGCAATCCTCCTGCCCTAGCCTCCCAAAGTGCTGGGATTACAGGCATGAGCCACTGCGCCCCAGACCAGTTTCTGATCTTTTTCTGTAACCTGTTCTTGCCCCACCTCTCCAGAAACATGTAGGATTCTTTTTATGTGCAGTGTTCTGAAATTTTATTGCCATATGAACCAATTTTAGCCATTATATTGGGAATACAGTGGTAATCTGGAAACTTGTTCTTTACTTGTAGGAACTTGTCTTGAATTATTTCATTAATTATTTCTTATTTCCTTCCTTCTGTTTTCTCTGTTCTCTCTTTGGAACTCCTATTCCCAGACTAACCCTCTAATTTTCAAACCTGTTTTCTTCCTCCTTGTCTTTTTGCTTTACTTTCTGGGAGATATCCTGAACTTTATTGTCCAGCCTGTCTATTGAGCTTTTCCTTTGTGCATCGTATTTTTACCCTCCAAGAACTTTGTGTATACATATAAAATACAGATGTTTCTTTTTTTTAAACAATAACTAGTTAATTGTTTTTGTTTCTGTTTTTGAGACAAGGCTGGCTCTCACCCAGGCTGGAGTACAGTGTTGGAATCTTGGCTCACTGCAACCTCCACCTCCCGGATTCAAGTGATTCTTATGCCTCAGCCTTCCCAGGAGCTGGGATTGCAGGCGTGTCCCACCACGCCCAGCCAATTTTTGTATTTTTAGTAGAGGCGGGGTTTCACCATGTTGGCCTGACCTCAAGTGATCCACCCGCCTCAGCATCCCAAAATGCTGTAATTACAGGCATGAGCCACCGCGCCTGGCCTTGGTTAATTGTTTTATAGTTGTACCATGGTTATAAATGGTAGCTTTTTTCGGAGCCTTTGGAAATTTATCTAATTGTTGCATAATCTCTGCCTGTTCCCAGCTACCTTTTTTTTTTTTGGTCATTTTGGTCACCATTATTCCACATTGAAGGCTTTCCTCTGATACTTAGTCGTGCTGGCATGTCTGTTCATTTTTTTTGACTTATTTTAATTAATTTATTTATTTTGAGATGAAATCTTGCTCTGTCACCCAATCTGGAGTGCAGTGGCATGATTTCAGCTCACTGCAACCTCTCCTGGGTTCAAGTGATTCTCCTGCCTCAGGCTCCCGAGTAGCTGGGACTACAGGCGCACCATGCTGGGCTAATTTTTGTATGTTTAGTAGGGATGGGGTTTCACTATGTTGGCCAGGCTGGTCTTGAACTCTTGACCTTGTGATCTGCCCGCCTTGACCTCCGAAAGTGCTGCGATTACAGGCTTGAGCCACCGCGCCTGGTCATTTTTTAAACCTGAATGTGACATCAAGCTTTATAGACCCAGTTCCAGTTTTGAATTTCTTTTTTTTTGAGCAGTTCTATCTGACTTTTGCAGGATGAAGGAAGGGCAGTTGTCTAGCTAACTAGAGAGGATGAATGGACCTGGGGATCTGATAACTTCATAAGCAGGTTTTCAAGAAATTCCCCTTGCTTTAGCTATATTCTGTTAGCCCCACTTGTACAGGTATTTTGCATTATAAATTAGATCAGTTCTCCTATTTCACTCAGCTTCACTGCTAGTTGAGGATGCGTTTTTCTTTGGTAACTTTGTTACCACTCATATATTTGCTTTCCAGTTTCTACACTTTTTGTTGCCCTCCTATTTCTTTCTCCTCATTTGGGTTTATTCTTTTACAACACAAAAACAAAACAGGCAAGCAAAGAAAAATCTTTACTGACCTTTTATTGGAATTTTAGGATAGAGTAAAAGAAGATGATGTGCTAAGCTAGCAATCTCTACCAAGACCACTTTTTTCCTTTTGTTTTCATTTTATTTTATTTATGTATTTATTTATTTTTGAGATGGAGTCTCGCTCTATTGCCCAGGCTGGAGTACAGTAGTGTGACCTCAGCTCGCTGCAACCTCCTCCTGCAGGGTTCAAGCAATTCTCCTGCTTCAGCCTCCCAAGTAGCTAGGATTACAGGTGCACGCCACCACGCCCAGCTAATTATTTTGTATTTTTAGTAGAGATGGGGTTTCACCATGTCAGCCAGGCTGGTTTCGAACTCCTGACTTCAAGTGATCTGTGTGCCTCAGCCTCCTAAAGTGCTAGGATTACAGGCGTGAGCTACCATGCCTGGCCTTTTTCTCCCTTTAGATCTTTTGTTTAGGCAGTTCAACTTAGCAGTCTAGAATGGGAATTTTCAAATATGGCTGCCCATTTAGAATCACCTGGAAAACTTTATTATTTACTTATTTTTTGAGATAGGGACTCACTCTGCCGCCCATACTAGAGTGCAGTGGCCCAATCACAGCTCATTGCAGTCTCAACCTCCCAAGGCTCAGGTGATCCTCCTGCCTCAGCCTCCTGAGTAACTTGGGTTACTGGCGTGTGCCACGACGACCAGCTAATTTTTGTACTTTTAGTAGGGACAGGGTTTTGCCTTGTTGCCCAGGCTTAAATGATCCACCTGCCTCGGCCTCCCAAAGTGCTGGGATTACAGGTGTGAGCCACTGCTCCTGGCCAACCTGGAAAACCTTTAAGAAATATTATATCTGGATCTCACAATTAGTGGGATTGGTTGTTGGCTAGGGTGTGGTTTTAGTTCTCCAAGTTATTCTGTTGTATAGCTGGATTTGAGAATTCTGATCTAAAAAAAAATTTTTTTTGGAACAAATGAGAAAAAGCAGCAGATTCTAAAAATATGACTGTTTTTTATTAGAACATCATCTGTTAAAACATTCCAGATTCTGCTAGAAGTAATAACCTTTCTCAGTGGTATTAGGAATTGAGAATGAGTTTCTCTGAAGGGTCTGTTCCTGTTTGCATTCCAACAAATGGACGCAGTATCCAAAATTAAGTCTTCATTGGAAGTGAGAAATAGTATTGTAGAAAATCAAATTAGTAGAACAGAGGACAAACTTGAGAAGCAGTCACAGAATGTACAATAAATAAATGTTAGAAAAGATAAACATTGATAATGAAAATCTAAAATAGAAATAATTTTTTTTCTCTTGGAAAACTAAAAGACATGGATAAACAGCAGTAATCAGTGATAAACAGAAAAAAACTTTTAATATATAATGTGTTATATAACATGTATTTCTTAAACTTTGTAACTTATAAATATTAGAGGATACAGTGTATTACTATTTTTTAGAGACAGGGTCTCTCTGTCACTCTGGCTGGAATGCAGTGGTACGATCATTTTTCACTGTAACCTCGAACTACAGGGCTCAAGCAGCCCTTCCCACCTCACCCTCCTGAGTAACTAGGACTGTAGGCACATACCACCACACCTGGCTGATATTTTAAAGTTATTTTTTGTAGAGACAGGGTCTCACTATATTGCCCAGGCTGCTCTCAAATTCCTGGCCTCAAGTGATCCTTCTGCCTCAGCCACCCAAAGCACTGGGTTGACAGACCTGAGCCACTGCACCTGGCCCAGTTACTTTTCAAGTGTCTGCAATATTTATAAAGCTATATATATACTTGACCGTAAACATAATAGCTAATTCAAAACAGCAGAAACTATAAAAGTTGTTGTTGTGAGTATACTAAAACAAAGATTTTTAAAATGACATTAAAAAAATAAATTATGAAAATAAGGCATTAATGAAAAGCCAAAAGAAAACACTGCATGCTTTTATGATTTAAAAAGATGAAGAACCAAGAATTTAGTATAAAATTTAAGAAAAATAGAAGTAGTATATTAAAGATAAAGGTAAAAATTATTTTTAAATTGTGTTTATATAGTGGATACTTTGCAGACATTGAAGTGGATTAGATAATTTATGTATATGTTGAAATGAAAACATGTCCTCAAAACTTAAAATCTTAATGAAAAAGCAGATTGCAAAATAATTGTATTTACACACACACACACACACACACACACACACACACACACACACTCTTACATAGATTTATGTGTGCTTATAAGTCCCTATAGTTGTATACCAAATTTTTCATAATGTTCAGGGGTTTTCTTCATCCTGTAGGGAAGCAGCTAGATTATGGGGTAGACTTTTATTTTGTAATCTCTTGTGGTTTTAATTTTTGTTTTTTACAGTGAGTATTGCATATTTTCTATAATTGGAAATAAAAAAGATATGTTCATTTTGAGGGGGGGAAGCAATATTTCACCATACGAAACTAGAAAAAATAGTTTATTACGCATTGCATGCCTGTATCAAAATATTTCATATACCCCATAAATATATACACCTGTATACCCACAAAAATTAAAAATAAAGATTTTTTAAAAATAGGAAAAAAGGTGGAATTAATAAATAAACCTTAAAAGAAAAAGGCTTATGAAAGAGGCAAAATATATAAGCTTCTTGCAGATCTGATTAAACAAAATCAACCATAGAAAGTAGATTTAAATCACATAGAAGAAATATATGTATATAAATATTAGGAGCAATACATTTACACAGTTATATGTTAATAAATTTCAGAAACCTCTATGAAGTTTCCAGATATATTAAACATTCCAAATGTTTTTTTCTACATGTATATGCAGTGAAAATAATGTATAAAATGTGATATACTGATAACTTGACAATATTATCAAAGAACTACTTTTTAAAAAAAGAAAAACTCTGGGTTTGATACATTTGCTGGTAAATTCTTCAGAACTTTTTTTGAGGAATAAACAATTTCTGTATACTACAAAATGTTCTCAGTTATTAAAAAGTAAGCAGGCCAAAGAGGAATACAAAGAAACAAAGGTAACACTTAAAAAAAAAAAAAAAAAGCTATCATTCAGTTTCACTTTTTGAATATAGTTGTGTTCCTTAAAATATTAACTGGTAGAATTTATCAGAATATTGGAGGAATAATAAGATTTAAATTAGGCTAAGTCTACTGGACTAAAACCTTGATAGAGATATATATCCTCTATCCAGAAGTCATAAATAGTTCAGTATTAAGAAATATATTAATTCATCAGATGTAATAATAGCTAACATTTATTGACTGCTTACTTTGGGTTAGGTAGGCACTGTTATAAGCGGTTTTATATTTTTATTTAGTTATCAAAATAATTCTAAGGTTTCTCTAGGGTTATATTACCTAGATGAAGAAATTGAAGCATGGAAATGTCAGACAGTGTGCCCAAGGTCACACAATTACTGAATGACAGAACTGGGGTAAGCACGCGGACTTCTGACTCCAAGAATCCATTAGCTTATTTGGAGTTTAAATAGAAACTTTAAAAGGTTTCATAAAATTAAATGCCCATTAATAATTTTTTTAAAAAGAAGTAGAAAAAGTGTTCTTTAACATTATAGGGAATCTTTATAGTCAACAGACAGCTTTATATTTATTTATTGAAAAATTATAGATGTATATATTTATGGGGCACAGAGTGATGTTACGATCTTCGACTACCATGTGAAATGCTTAAATCAACTAATGTATCAAGCTGATATGTTAATCAATTTCCACAACTATTTTACATTTTTTAGGTGATGAGAACATTTGAAATTTACTCTTAGCAATTTTAAAATGTTACTAGCTATGTTCACTGTGTTGTGCAATAAGATCTTATTAAAAAAAAAACTTATTTCTCCTATCTTCTAACCATATCTGGTAACCACCATTCTACTCTTTGTTTCTATGAGTTTGATTGTTTTAGATTCCACATATAAGTGAGAGCATGCAGTATTTGTCTTTCTGTATTTGGCTAATTTCACTTAATAAGCATAGTATTGTCTAATTCCATTCATGTTTGTCACAAATGACAGAATCTCTCTCTGTTTTAAGGCTGAATGCTTTTCCATTATGTATACTTATTTAGGACCACATTTTCTTTATCCATTCATCTGTTGATGAACACTTAGGTTGATTCCGTACTTGGTATTTTGAATAGTGCTGCAATGAACATGGGAGTGTAGACATCTCTTTGACATACTGTTTTCGAATCTTTTGGGTAAATACCTAGAAGTGGGATTGCTGGGTATTTATTTATTAGTTTAAAAAAAAAATCCTAGGCTGGGCGTGGTGGCTCATACCTGTAATCCCAGCACTTTGGGAAGCCAAGGCAAGTGGATTGTCTGAGTTCAGGAGTTTGAGACCAGCCTGGGCAATGTGGCAAAACCTCCTCTAAAAAAAAAAAAAAAGAAAAGAAAAGAAAAAAAGAAAGAAGAACCCTAGAGGTAGTTACTAATAATGGAGGTGCATCAGAATTATTCCCAGTGGGGGCTAAACTCCCAGACATGTATGTTTTGAAGCAGCTTTGTGGGTGATTGTTAAAAACTACAGTGTTGGCCGGGCATGGTGGCTCACACCTGTAATCCCAGCACTTTGGGAGGCTGAGGCGGGCGGATCACGAGGTCAGGAGATTGAGATCATCCTTGCTAACACGGTGATACTCCGTCTCTACTAAAAATACAAAAAATCAGGGCGTGGTGGCCCTCACCTGTAGTCTCAGCTACTCGGGAGGCTGAGGCAGGAGAATCACTTGAACCTGGGAGGTGGAGGTTGCAGTGAGCCGAGATGGCACCACTGCACTCCAGCCTGGGTGACAGAGTGAGACTCTGTCTCTAAAAAAAAAAGGAAACTACAATGTTAAAGGTACATCAAATTTTACAGCAAAGAAGTCACCCTGGAAGATCTACAAATATTCTTGTAAAAGTTCTGGCCTATACAATAAGACATGAATTAGAACTAGAGGTATAAATGTTAGAAAGGAAAATTAAATTTTTCCTTACTTATGGTTAAGGGAAGGTTTATCTGCAAATCCTAAGGAATTGGCTATAAAACTAGGGTTAAGTTCAATTTGAGTGGCAAAATAGAGCTTAGAAGAACAAAAACCGAAATTATGTAATAACCACTTTGAATAACAACCAAAGTGAGAGTCCACGCAAAATATAAATATTAAAAAGTTAGAAATACTCATTTTTGCTCAGTTTTATCTTTTGAATTTGATTTAAACGTAAAAATTAACTAGAAAACTATTAAAATTCTTCCTATTTCTTATCCCATTCTCTGTCTCTCATAGGTAATCATTTTTAATTAATTTCAGTTTATCCTTCTGGTTTTCTTTTCTTTTCTTTTTTTTTTTCCGAAAAAAGCCAGTAGCTTTATGTATTATTACTTCCTCTCTTACACAGAAAGTAGTAGCATACTGTATTTTTTTAATATTGTCGTTGTCACTTTAATGATGTATCTTAGAGAGATCACTCCCATACCAACACATAGAAATCATCTTCATTCTTTCTTTGGTTTTAGGGTATTCTATGAATGTTTATTCAATCATTCTTCTATTGGTAGGTATTTTACTAAGAATGACATTAATGGGAACAGTGTAACTAATCTATGATAGAAATAAAACCTTGAAGATATGAATAAATGGACACAGGTGCAATAGTCCAAGACAGGAAGGTTAAAGATGTAAATATATCAGCTCTCAAAATAATTCATAGGTTTATTGTAATTCTATTCAAAATACTATTGAGCTTTAAAAATCATAACAAAAAGATTTGGAAATTCATCTAGATGAATTAAAAAAAATGGATAGAGAAAAACCTAACTATAAGATAATGAAACAGTGAAGCTATAACAAAAAATAGAGTACCAGCACCAGGATAAAAAAGATAATTGGGAACGTGGTCCAGAATGAAACATACAGGACATAAGGATTTAATATATGATAAAAGAAGCACACATATCCATAGGGAAGGGAAAGTTTATTTAACAAATGGTGTTAGTGTAACAGTAAGCAATTTGGAGTACTGAAATTTAGATTTTTATTTTTATTTTTTATTTTTTTTTTTGTTTTTTTAATTTAATTTTATTTTATTTTATTTATTTATTTTTTTTAATTGATCATTCTTGGGTGTTTCTCGCAGAGGGGGAGTTGGCAGGGTCATAGGACAATAGTGGAGGGAAGGTCAGCAGATAAACAAGTGAACAAAGGTCTCTGGTTTTCCTAGGCAGAGGACCCTGCAGCCTTCCGCAGTGTTTGTGTCCCTGGGTACTTGAGATTAGGGAGTGGTGATGATTCTTAACGAGCATGCTGCCTTCAAGTATCTGTTTAACAAAGCACATCTTGCACCGCCCTTAATCCATTTAACCCTGAGTGGACACAGCACATGTTTCAGAGAGCACAGGGTTGGGGGTAAGGTCACGGATCAACAGGATCCCAAGGCAGAAGAATTTTTCTTGGTACAGAACAGAATGAAAAGTCTCCCATGTCTACTTCTTTCTACACAGACACGGCAACCATCCGATTTCCCAATCTTTTCCCCACCTTTCCCCCCTTTCTATTCCACAAAACCGCCATTGTCATCATGGCCCGTTCTCAATGAGCTGTTGGGTACACCTCCCAGACGGGGTGGTGGCCGGGCAGAGGGGCTCCTCACATCCCAGTAGGGGCGGCCGGGCAGAGGCGCCCCTCATCTCCCAGACGAGGCGGCTGGCCGGGCGGGGGGCTGACCCCCCCACCTCCCTCCCAGACAGGGCGGCTGGCCGGGCAGAGGGGCTCCTCACCACCCAGTAGGAGCGGCTGGGCAGAGGCGCCCCTCACCTCCCGGACGGGGCGGCTGGCCGGGCGGGGGGCTGACCCCCCCCACTGCCCTCCCGGACGGGGCGGCTGGCCGGGCAGAGGGGATCCTCACTTCCCAGTAGGGGCGGCCGGGCAGAGGCGCCCCCCACCCCCCAGACGGGGCGGCTGGCCGGGCGGGGGGCTAACCCCCCCCACCTCCCTCCCGGACGGGGCGGCTGGCCGGGCGGGGGGATGACCCCCCCACCTCCCTCCCGGAAGGGGTGGCTGGCCGGGCGGGGGCTGACCCCCCCACCTCCCTCCCGGACGGGGCGGCTGGCCGGGCAGAGGGGCTCCTCACTTCCCAGTAGGGGCGGCTGGGCAGAGGCCCCCCTCACCTCCCGGATGGGGCGGCTGGCCGGGCGGGGGGCTGACCCCCCCACCGCCCTCCCGGACGGGGCGGCTGGCCGGGCAGAGGGGCTCCCCACCTCCCAGCAGGGGTGGCTGGGCAGAGGCGCCCCCCACCCCCCGGACGGGGCGGCCGGCCGGGGGGGCTAACCCCCCCCACCTCCCTCCCGGACGGGGCGGCTGGCCGGGCAGAGGGGCTCCTCACTTCCCAGTAGGGGCGGCCGGGCAGAGGCGCCCCTCACCTCCCGGACGGGGTGGCTGGCCGGGCGGGGGGCTGACCCCCCCACCTCCCTCCCGGACGGGGCGGCTGGCCTGGCGGGGGCTGACCCCCCCACCTCCCTCCCGGACGGGGTGGCTGGCCGGGCGGGGGGCTGACCCCCCCACCTCCCTCCCGGAAGGGGTGGCTGGCCGGGCGGGGGCTGACCCCCCCACCTCCCTCCCGGACGGGGCGGCTGGCCGGGCAGAGAGGCTCCTCACTTCCCAGTAGGGGCGGCTGGGCAGAGGCCCCCCTCACCTCCCGGATGGGGCGGCTGGCCGGGCGGGGGGCTGACCCCCACACCGCCCTCCCAGACGGGGCGGCTGGCCGGGCAGAGGGGCTCCCCACCTCCCAGCAGGGGTGGCTGGGCAGAGGCGCCCCCCACCCCCCGGACGGGGCGGCTGGCCGGGGGGGGCTAACCCCCCCCACCTCCCTCCCGGACGGGGCGGCTGGCCGGGCAGAGGGGCTCCTCACTTCCCAGTAGGGGTGAACGGGCAGAGGCGCCCCTCACCTCCCGGACGGGGTGGCTGGCCGGGCGGGGGGCTGACCCCCCCACCTCCCTCCCGGACGGGGTGGCTGGCCTGGCGGGGGCTGACCCCCACCTCCCTCCCGGACGGGGTGGCTGCCGGGCGGAGACGCTCCTCACTTCCCAGACAGGGTGGCTGCCGGGCGTAGGGGCTCCTCACTTCTCAGACGGGGCGGCTGCCGGGCGGAGGGGCTCCTCACTTCTCAGACGGGGCAGTTGCCAGGCGGAGGGTCTCCTCACTTCTCAGATGGGGCGGCCGGGCAGAGATGCTCCTCACCTCCCAGACGGGGTCGCGGCCGGATGCTCTCACATCCCAGACGGGGCCGCGGGGCAGAGGCGCTCCCCACATCTCAGGCGATGGGCGGCCGGGCAGAGACGCTCCTTACTTCCTAGATGGGATGGTGGCCGGGAAGAGGTGCTCCTCACTTCCTAGATGGGATGGCGGCCGGGCAGAGACGCTCCTCACTTCCCAGACGGGATGGCGGCCGGGAAGAGGCACTCCTCACTTTCCAGACTGGGCAGCCAGGCAGAGGGGCTCCTCACGTCCCAGACGATGGGTGGCCAGGCAGAGATGCTCCTCACTTCCCAGAAGGGGTGGCGGCCGGGCAGAGGCTGCAATCTCGGCACTTTGGGAGGCCAAGGCAGGCGGCTGGGAGGTGGAGGTTGTAGCGAGCCGAGGTCACGCCACTGCACTCCAGCCTGGGCACCATTGAGCACTGAGTGAACCAGACTCCGTCTGCAATCCCGGCGCCTCGGGAGGCCGAGGCTGGCGGATCACTCGCGGTTAGGAGCTGGAGACCAGCCCGGCCAACACAGCGAAACCCCGTCTCCACCAAAAAAGTAAGAAAACCAGTCAGGCGTGGTGGCGCGCTACAGGCACTCGGCAGGCTGAGGCAGGAGAATCAGGCAGGGAGGTTGCAGTGAGCCGAGATGGCAGCAGTACAGTCCAGCTTCGGCTCGGCATCAGAGGGAGACCGTGGAAAGAGCTGAAATTTAGATTTTTAAAATATGAACTAAAATTCCAGATATATTAAATAATTACATAGAAACAATAAGCCAAAAAATTAATTGTGTATTTATTGAATTTATGCAAAGGAACAGCTAAGTTCAGAATTAGCAGAAGAATTTAAAAGGAGATTGTTGACAGATTGGACCACATAAAAATCTTTTATATCATCTAAAAATATAGCCCAAATGAAATTTAAAAAATTGTAGCAGACTGGAGGAAATATTTGTAGCAAATTTCCAGGGTTTTAATATTCTTGTATATGAAACCCTTATGCAAATACATAAATAGGCATAGGACAAGGCTGGACAATTAGTTAAATAGGAAATTCAGCAAATAACAAAACATGGAAATATTTTAGATGTGAATTAAACTTCTCAAGAGTTACCAGGATCCATTCATTAAATTAGCAGCAACTCCCATGCTGGCCAGAGTGTAATCACTAGATGCATAAATTGCTGATGGTCTTATATGTAAAACAACCATTTGAAAAGCACTCTTGCGATGTGTCAGGATTCATAAAAATCTTCATACTTTTTGACCCTGAAATCTCACACCTGGGAATTGATCCAAATAAAATAATAACCTGCCCCCCTTCCAAAAAACAAACCTTTAAGCCCAAAGATATCCACAGAGTTATTTCAAATAGTGAAAAATTAGAAATAACCTAAATGACTAATCAGGGGAGTAATTAAAATGTTCATATGTCCCCTGAGAGAATACAGTAATTAAAAATGGTAATAGAGACTGCAATTGAAAATGTAATAAGGGTAATTTTTTTAAAGCAAGCTTTCATATTGTATCTATAGTTTGATATGAGAATGACTGGAAGGAAATAGATAAAAGTCATAAGCAGTTACAATAAGAGGATAATAGGTAATTCTTTTCCGATTTTCTGTGATCCAGTGTAATGCAAGGCTGCACTGGTAGGAGTACAGCACCGAGATCAAGAGAGCTAATAAACCTATGTTATGAGAGGAACACGGACTTTGGAGGCAGGAGATGTACAGATTGAGTTCCAGTTCTGAGTTTTCTACTTACAAATTTGAAGGCTTGACAAGTTAGTAATTACTCTGAACCTCAATTTCTTCATCTGAAAAATGGTCTGATAACATTGTCTTCATGATTATTGTATGGATTAACTACTAGAAAGTAGTTAATGAAAGTAGTGTTCTACTGACATCACATCTGGAAGAATATATCAATCAACTTAGAAGCAACCTTAGATCTCAATGGCTAACAACTATTAGAAACAACTAAAGAAGATTTGGGCATGTAATCCCAGGACTTTGGGAGGCCAAGGTGGGAGGATTCTTGAGGCCAGGCATTCCAGTTCAGCCTGGGCAACACAGCAATACCTCATCTCTACAAAATAAAAAATAAAAAAAATTAGTCGGGCATGGTGGCACCCACTATTGTAGTGCCAGCTACTGTAGAGACTGAGGCAGGAGGATTGCTTGAGCACAGGAGTTTGAGGCTGCAGTGAGCTATGATCATGCCACTGCACTCTAGCGTGGGAACAGGGCAAGACCCTGTCTCTAAAAAAGAAAGAAAAAATAACCAAAGAAATAAAGCTTCTTTCCCACTTATGTTATTTAACTAGCTGTAGACTGTGACTCTGCTATATGTTTTGTTTGCTCTGGGATCAAGGCAGAGGGGAAACAAAGACAGTAAAGCCTTAGGTGCCTCTTGAACTGCTTGAAAGTGGTACACTACCACTCCTATTTCATTGACCAAGGGTAATGTCCATGGCCCTGAACATTATCCTCCCATTGGGATAGGCCAATACAGAAGGGCAACACATATTTTGAACAAATGATATGTGCTGTGACAGTGCTGTCCAGTTCTGTCACTTTATTTATTTATTTATGAATGAATGAATGAGACGGAGTTTCACTCTTGTTGCCCAGGCTGGAGTGCAGTGCGGCGATCTCGGCTCACTGCAACCTCTGCCTCCCAGGTTCAAACTATTCTCCTGCCTCAGCCTCCCAGGTAGCTGGGATTACAGGCGCATGCCACCACACCTGGCTAATGTTTGTATTTTTGGTAGAGACAGGGTTTCACCATGTTGGCCTGGCTGGTCTTGAACTCCTGACCTCAGATGATCTGCCCGCCTCAGTCTCCCAAAGTGCTGGGATTACAGGCGTGAGCCACCATGCCCAGCCAGTTCTGTCACTTTAATAAGGGTGTAACAACCTGGGGTACGTCTGGAGGAGGAAGATTTGGACAGTGAGTAATTCTGAAATCTTTACTAAAATACAGTGGGAAGAGTCATTGGAAAGGGAGGGGCATATTAAGTCTCTTCAAATATTTGAAGAATGGCTGTCACTGGATGGTGAGATTAGTTCAGTGCTGTGTGGCATCAGTGGGTGGAAGTTACGGCCTCATATATTTTGACTCAGTATAGTGGTAAGGAGAAAAGTGAGAAGAAAAGGAAATTATTGGTTGTTTTCAATATGTTACTCATTTACATTCTTCAAAATAATCCTAACAGAGCGTGTATGTTTCTGTGTTTAAATATTGGAAGAAAGACTCAGAGTGAATGAATACCCAAGGTCACATGGCACGTAAGTGGCAAAACCGGTTTGGAATCCAGGTCTGTGTAATCTTGTCCCTTTCTACAATATTCTACTACTCTCTGTTGGGCTGCAAGCATTTTTACAATTAAACTGTTCATCACCAGTCATCATCTGCCTGACAAAGTAAAGGCCACATCTCACACATGTCTAAAAGGGTTCAAACAGAGAATGAATGGAAAGGTTGAAAGGAAGGTTGAACTCTAGATCAATGATCTGCAAACTTATTTGATCATAAGTACCTCTTAGCAAAGTACTTGTACATACTATATATGTAGCTTATACATAAACTATTGTACTCATATGTTGTAAAGCATATAGGACATTCCCAGTACAAAGAAATGGTAAACATTTGGGATGATGTGTGTGCTAATTCCCTTGATCTGATCGCTATATACTGTATGTGTCAAAACATCACCGTGAACCCCATTAATATGTATAATTATTATTTGTCAGTTAATTTTTTTAACCTATAGGAAAAATAAGAGTTTAAAAAGATTAAGATTTTATATAACATTTTAGTTTTTTTATAAATTAGATTTCAGGTTTTATGTAAAATCTCATCTTTATAAAACTTTGTTTTGCAGATAGATACTTTTTTCTGTATCCCTGTGGATTGTCTTTTGTACCCATGGAAATGTATACCCCCAACATTGGAGGTCATTGTTTTGGATGATTTTGTAAGACTCATTTCAGTATGAAGATTCTGTAATTCTTTTTGTCCAGAATTTTTTTGAAAGGGCTAATGGTAGCTTACTTCACTTTCAGAAAGGTTTTTAAATAGTTTTATCTAAAACCAAAACTATAGACTTCACTGTCATTTGTAACAGCAATTAAGCCCAAAAACTACAAAGTGTGAAAGGTGCTATTCTAGATAAACAGTAGCAACCCCATGAGCATTACAATGTATATATAAATGGAGATGGAAGTGTAGGGGCTATTATTAAGTAAGAAACCTGATTTTTATTTGTGACATAAGAAATAGCCTTGTTATTTTAGTTATATCTTCTCTTTCTAAACCTATATATATCCAAAACTTACTGTAGTCATATATTCTAAAATGCATCTGAAATTTTGCCTAGAGAGTAATATGAATTTTTGGACTTGAGAAATTATTTTAGCACTTTTTAAAAATAGAGCCAACGATTTAAATTAGGCTAAGTCTACTGGACTAAAATCTTGATAGAGATACATCCTCTAAGAAGCAAAGAAGTTAGTTACTTGCATTGCCTGACAGAGGGAAATGTTAGCTGGTTTTCTACATTCTGGGCCTTAGTTATTGGCATTGCCAGGTTGATGTTTCACAATTAAGACAACTTTTTCTGTTAGTGACTGCTCCTTGGTGATAGATTCTTTAAGAAAAAGCCATCCTAGAACACATAAAGCAGAAAGCAAACCTAGCCTTTTAAAGATACTGTTAATGTTGAGATAGAATTCTAGATCAACAAGTGCTCTTTTCTATTTCTTTCTCTTAATGATACGTTTGGTATCGACTTTTTGCGTGACATATTGCAGTTTGGTTGGAAGTTGTAAAGGAAGTGTTTCTTGCAAGTATGATCAAACTCAGTTTAAGCAAGAGATTGAAACAGCCAACTTCAGCTGCTTATTCAGCACAGGCCTTAAGTGCCCCAGAAGCCGATAGTTTCTTAATAATAACTCTTAGTGATCATTTTCTTCTAGAAAATTACCCTGGAAAAGTAGTATAAATAGTTTAATCTGCTATTTCTTAAAATTTTGTATTCCTTTACTCATTCAACAAATAAATAGTATTCAGTGCTTCTTTGTGCCAAGCACTGAGGGCTCATTAGTGAGCAAAAGGGATATTAACCACTGTTTTAAAAAAAAAATGTATCTAACATGTACTAAAAGCCAATGGATGTGGTGATGCATGCCTATAGTCCTACCTACTTAGAAGGGTGAGGCAGGAGGATCACTTTGAGCCCAGGGGTTTGAGTTTGTGCTATAATGGTGCCACTGTACTCCAGCCTGGGCAACAGAGCAAGACCCTGTCTCTTAAAAAAGCAAACAAAAAGCCTTTAATGGAACTATTGTTGCTCATAACGGCATACTTTAGAACCCCTGGTCTAGTCTGACTGTGCTTACCTACCTGCTTGCATGCGTTTCTCTTTCTTCCCACCTCTCTTCCCCTCCCTTCCTTCCTTTCTTAATTCTCTTCTGTTTTTTACAACTCTTTTCCTTCTTTGAGTTAGTGACAATAAGCAAATTTTGAACTCATCTAAGATTAGGAGAAAAACTGTATGTGATATTTATTGTATAAAACTTGCATGGTAGAGTTAAACAGGAGATGATAAAATTCTTAATTTACTTTATAAACCAAATGTCATCTCACCTGTCTAGCTCTCAAGGTGGGTATGTTTGTTACTTCTTCCAGAAACCATGTCTCTTTAAATGGGTTTATATCATTCTATTTTAAATAAAATTCGTATGTTTTTATACAAGTGTGCTCTTTAGATGCAAACATTTATATGATTAGATAAATTTTCCTTAGTCTTTCTTTGATTATGTATTGTCTGAATTTGAATCCTGATGTGTTATTCTGGAATTAGCCATTTTTGTTTCTATTTCTGTTTGTTATGTTACAATTAGTGTATTTCTTATTTTTCAGTGCTTTAATTGCCTTGTTATCTAAACTCTAGAATATATACCAGTTAATTAAAGACATGTGTGTTTTTTTTTTTTGCTTTTGTCTTTACTGGCGAATTTAAAGGTAATTGAAAGTATAATTCTTGTCTTCTTTAGCATCAGACAACAGTCAGCGCTTTCGAGAAACCTGTTTTGCATTTGCCTTGACACCACAACAAGTGCAGCAAATCAGTAGTTCCATGTAAGTTGTCGTCAAGTGTAACTTGAAGTTTGACCTTTGAATCCAGTAGTCTATAATAAATGATTTTAAAAAACAGTGATTGGTGAGTTAGTATTTGTGTGATGCAAATATTAGTAATGAAAGTATAGTGTGTTAGTTACTGTAAGAACAGTTATATTTATGATAATTTGAAAAACTTTTCTGGAGTAACAAGGTCTTTGAATGAACTTTCATGCAAATACTTTAAAAGTAATTGTAATTCCTATTCTGTCTCTTCTAGGGATATTTCTGGGACCAAATGTGACTTCACAGTACAGGTCCAGTTAAGGTACAGTGCTGACTATAGGATATATTCAAAGTTTAAAAGATAATATTCCTTTTCACAGTACGGGTCCAGTTAAGGTACAGTGCTGACTGTAGGATATATTCAAAGTTTAAAAGATAATATTCCTTATCAGGAAGGGGAAATGGAAAAAAAATTTTAAGGAATAAGAGGAAATCTACCTGATTTTTCAATAAGTGTATTGAAAATATTAGGTTTAGATATTTGGGTGAGGGAAAACATTCTCCTGTTATGAGATATTCTAATTTTCATCCAATTTAGATTTTTCCCCTGCCCGCCCACCCCCCAGTTTAGATTTCAATATAGCAAGTCATGTTCTATATATCTAACCATATTTGATTGCCCTCAGTTGGTTGAGAAGCTCCAGCTAATGATATCTTACAATATCATATCAAGTTTTATGAAAGCATGGGCCTTATCTCCATAAGAGGCAAAGTACTGTGGATAAGGAATTAGTACTTAAGTCTACAGTATGTCATGGACTAACAAACATCAAAATATTCTAATTTGTTTTGTTCTGTATTTTAAATAATTTAAATATGCTCTAATTTAGGATCCATTTGAGACATCTCTTAAAAATGTTCAAAGACTAATGGGAAATTTTCCAACATGGATTCACAACCCCTTATTGAGTTTCTTTTCTTAGCCCATTCATTTGTCTTAGAATATCTAAGAAATATTTTGTATTATTTCTCTCCCTTATATATCTCCCTTTTATATACATATATATATATATCTCCCTTATATAAACCATCATATTATGCTTTATTATTCGATTTACCAACTTAAATGTCCACACTGTTGGAATAGGGATGGAAGAGAAAATATAAGACAGTTGTTTTCCTCAGTAAGCTGTTTTCCCTATAATTGTCAGGAGGATAAATCAAACAGTTAGCCTTGTCTCAATAATCAGATACTAAGTTGTATGTACAAGTTACAAATACACTAGGAGGCTAAAAAAGGGATTAATCTAAAACGCCTGTTCAGCACTTCATGGAACCATGTGAAAACCTCTCATCTAAGCTTTGAAATAATAAGGTAAAAACAGTGAGAAAGCAGAGTTGAAGTCGAAAGTTGAGTTGAAGATTCTAAAGAGGATATGACTATACTTAATAACTTTTATACCATAAAACAGTATGACAGGACCTTACTGCAGTAGACTAGTGATAATCTAAGTTTCAGTTTTGGAAGGCACTGCTAAAGATGATTCTGTATAAAAGGTATATTTTATGTCGGCCAGATTGTGATAATGACTGAAGAAATTAAAGGACAAAAATAAGATGTCTCCATAGTTAATTATGTATTGCTGTAGTCTTCTTTACTTCCTGCCTCAACAGTTTACATTTTGCTTGTGCTGATACTTGACATTATCCTTTAAATCAGTGGTTTTCAAACTTGTTGCATGGAGCCACCCTTAGGGGTTCATACTCTTCTGCCATCCTCCTCTTCTCTCCTAAACACATACACAGTCTGAACCAAAGTGGGGCTTCTTTTATCTCTTTTATCTGTTTTGCATGTTTGACTCTGGGTTAATTTTTGCTTAAAGACAGGGTCCCAAGACTAAAATAAAGTTTAAAAACCGTAGCTTTAGAATAAAAGATCTAGTTACTAAGTATTTTGTATTAATATACATACATTCTTTAAAGCAGCAACAGGTGTGGTCCACATTTTGAAGTAAGGTTGTCTAGATAGATGAGCTATAATTCAGAGATTCCAAGGGTATCTTGATGACTGCTATTTTAATTGAAATGTATCTCCAGGACTTGGAAAAAAAAAAAAAAAAAGAACCATGTTGTGTTATATTTGGTAATTGTTAGGTGGTTCTTTGTGTTTTAATAAAACAGTTCATCTCTCTCCCTGCCCCACGTTGCTAGGTCTGCAACCATAGTGTATTATTTAAGTTAGGAGTGTATGCCTATCTGCTATCCTAATTAGAAATGTTTATCTAAAGCATAAAAATAATTAGTTGAGAATTAGGATCCAAGTTTTCTTTATTAGACACCTAGTCTGTTTTCATTTATGTTGTGCCTCCCTGCTCCACTCCCTCCTCTCTGCCCCATGAACCACTTCACAGAAACTTTCTGCTATTCCTTTTTTTCTTTTTTCTCTTCAGTTCATTAGGGTGATTTAGATTAGTTGAATAGACACTGTCTTGTCATTTAAATTACTCTTTTCCTATAGGAAAGGGTTCAGGCAGCCAGGGTCCATGTTTTAAATTGATCACTGCATTGGAATAATTATTTAAAAACTGTGACATCCTTTTAACTATTGCAGCCTAAAGAATTAGCCTGTAATGGAAGGTTCTGCTGGGGTTAGGAGTGGTCCTGTGAGCTTTGACATCTGTTTGCTAAGTATATTTCTAGAAAATCTTTGTAGATCAGTAAATCTTAACTTTTTTATGGATCCCTGATCCCTTTGAGAATTTGATAGAAGCTGTGAATGGTTTCCCTATAAAACTGAACATGTATATGTACTCAAAATAATTTACATATAAAATTGTTTTATATTGTGCACGATCCCCGTACTCAGATTTCATGGCCAGCAGGTTAAGACCCCATACCGCAGGTGTTGAGAGGAGTTGTTGGCACATGAGGAATATTTCACAGATTTCGGAGATAGGGTTCTCCCTACTATGTAACTCAGGGGTGCTATTAGCATTCTATAACAGTGCAATGAGCCTTAGGTGTATATTGAGAATAGGTACTAATAAAGAATAAATGCCTTAAATAGCAAAATAGTAATAAGAGTGAATAGACTGAGAATTTATGAATTATGTATCTTTCCTTGATTTTTCCAAAAGACTGCATTTAATTTAGAAATATTTTTATAAGTTTCTAAAATAGTATTCTAAATTTATGTGGCTATAACACAAATAATATTCAATATCTTCAGTTCTCAAAAAATAAGGAGTACTTTGGCTTACTGATCCTGGGGATGGACTTAAAAGCATTCTCAGTATTTTCTGCTAAGAACCAGAAAAGTGTTTCATAGGCAAATAAATTTGGAAAATACTGCATACAGGTGGTAGGTCTTCCTCTTAGAGATTTATAATGCTTATTAGCCTATTAAAAGCTCTGAAAAGTTCTGTATTAAGGAAGCTTAATTTAATTGTTTTGATTCAGAATTTCTTAATTTTATTTGACTAACGAGTCTTTTTTTCTTTTAACATCTGTTAATCACTGAAGAAACTAGTGCTTCTCAGAACATGCTTAACCAAATAATTGGCAGTATCACGAAGACAACTACAGGGTGATAGTCATGATTACCACAACTCTACATTGACAGAATTATTTATTTTAAACCTATTTACATATACTTATTAATAGGGTGAAAAGTCCAGTTTTTATAGTTTTCCCTTTTGGTTGTTTTTAAATTTACCATCTTTTAAATTTATCTATTTAACAATAATACTAATGAAGTCATCCTTTAATAAAGGAAATTAAACTTGTCCTTTATTGTTTAGGTTTTGTTTATCAGAAACCAGTTGTCCACAAGAAGATCACTTCCCACCCAATCTTTGTGTGAAAGTGAATACAAAACCTTGCAGCCTTCCAGTAAGTCCTAAGAGCTGTTTTTTAAAATTCATTGCCAACATAACTATCAAATAAGTCATCACAACTGTTGTTAAATCATAGTTTTTCCTTAAGAAAACATTTTTATTTTGGATATATATTCATTGACTGGGTGAAACACTTGTACCAACTATGTACAGTTAGCAGCAGTGACATTAGCTTTGGGGACATAGGATTTGGAGTTGGGTATGGTAGCTTTAGTGTTGTACTGGATTTTGGGGCGAAGTTTTTTCAACAAAATCTCAGCTGTGTTCATGTGAGTCTATAAGCCTATGGTAGAATGGAGATTTGAAGAATGCTATGTCTTAAACAGGAGGTAAGGGTGAGGACTGTTTTTGGTGCCCTTGAAATACTACTACTCATGTACCTATCTAAGCTTGTTATGAATTCATCCTGATTTTTAAATTTAAGAGATTTTGAATTTTCATCACTAATAGTTTTCTCAGGTTTACTATAAGGAGAGTATAAGGTTGTTTGGAAAAATAATAACACAAGAAACTTGTAAATGTTTGCTTCTCTACTTTTTAATGAAAACATTCATATTTTCTAGTATGCAGTTTGTAGGGGGTTTTTTCTTAAGGAATGGAAGTCAAAATGATTGTGGAAATAATAAGTATAAATAAATTACATTTCATTTTTAGGGTTACCTTCCACCTACAAAAAATGGCGTGGAACCAAAGCGACCCAGCCGACCAATTAATATCACCTCACTTGTCCGACTGTCCACAACAGTACCAAACACGATTGTTGTTTCTTGGACTGCAGAAATTGGAAGAGTAAGTAAATTTTTGTTTCTACCAGATTTTTGTATTATAAGGAGGGGTTAATCACCATGCCTATCTGAATTTATATGTAAATTATGTAAAATGAGCTGCAAAAGGATTTATTTTTGTCTCACAATGAATTTTCAACATGTTTCCATTTGAAAAATGGGATTATGAAGTATCCAGTGTTTTATAACCTGGCCCTTTTACTCCACAATTGATCATAAATGTCCTCCTGTATCATCACATGTTCTTCTGCATTATTTTAAGTGATGATATCATATTCCAATATGAGTATGCCATAAATTTGCCTGTTCCCTACTATTGAGCGTGTTACTTGATTTATTGATTGATTCATTGGTATGTCAAAGAACATTTTGAAGACCATCTTAGTAGCTATAACTTTGCATGCATATGATAATTTCCTTAGGGTAAATTCTCAGAAGTGGGATTGCTGAGTCAAAGAGCCTACAGAATTTTAAGAAATTTTGTGTACATTGACAGATTACCTTCTCCAAAGGTGTTGTACAAATTTATTCTCTGACTTTCAGTGTTATTTGCGTGCTCGTTAACACTATTATCTTCTTTGAAATTTTTACCAATTCTGTTAGGTAAATAATGCCACCACTGTGTTTTAATTAGTACTTTTTTCATTATTACTGAGATTGAATATGTTTTATATTTGTGATTACATTTTAAAACTGTATCCGTGTCTGTTTCTCTATTGCTGTTTTTGTTATTGATTATGAGATCTTCATATAGTAAAACTTAACTCTGTTTCATGTTACAAATATTTGTTTCCAGTTTGTTGGCCTTTTATTTTTATGTTATTTAATATGCAGAATATTATTAATATTATTTATATTGGCTACACAAAGTTTTCGTATAGCCAAAACTTAACCAGTTATTTCCTTTATATAGTCTTTTCTCGTCTCCATCATGCTTTGCCTATCTGCCCTTCCCAAGCTATGGAATTATTTGTTTATTTTCTTCTAGACTTCCAAGGTTTCATATTTTACCTTTAAATATTTAGTTCATATTAAATATATGTGTGATGTGAGGTAAAAATTGCTTTCTTTCACTTTTTAAATAGCTGGTTCTAACACTGTTAACTAAATAAATGTTGATTCTGAAGCCACCATTGTTATATATTTAACTTTTACATATCCTGAGTGTGTTTCTGATCTTTTTCTATGTTGTTTCTTAGTCTAACATTCTTTTTTGGGACAATTTTCATGATATGAACTCATATGTATCCACCAGTTCATTTGAAATTTATTGAATGCTTACCATGTGTCATCTACTATACTCAAAACTGGCAGTACCATAGGGAGGGAAAAAAGTTCATTTTCATGAGGCCTGTGATGTAGGGGCCTGGTGGACACATACAAAGAATGTGAACTTACTTATAAGTACTATAAAAGAGAAGCACATGGTGATTTTACAGTGTATCAAAGGGCACTTTGAACGAGAGAGAGCAGTCAGGGAGGGCTTCCCTGAGGAAGCAGTGACTGAGCCAAGAGCTGAGAAAAGAGTTGCAATCAGGTGAAAGGTTCAGAGGAAACTACCCACACAACAGCCCAGTGGTAGGAGTGAGCCTGGTTTTTACAAGAAGCTGAGAGGGATTCACTGACTAGAGTGCAGAGAATGGGGAAGAGTGGTATATGAGATGTGGCTAGAGGGGTAAGATAGGACTAAACCATTCAGGGCATTGTAGGTAATGTTAAAGTTAAGGATTTTCTTTTTCTTTTTCTTTTTTTGAGACAGAGTCTCACTCTTGGCCAGGCTGGAGTACAGTGGCACAATCTCGGCTCATTGTAACCTCCATCCCCTGGGTTCAAGCGATTCTCCTGCCACAGCCTCCCGAGTAGCTGGGATTACAGGCACCTGCCACTGCACCTGGCTAATTTTTGTATTTTTAGTAGAGATGGGGTTTCACCATCTTGGCCAGGCTGGTCTTGAACTCCTGACCTTGTGATCCACCTGCCGTGGCCTCCCCAAGTGTGGGATTACAGGCATGAGCCACTGTGCCTGGCCAGGATTTTCTCTTTTTAAGCAGAAAGTTTATAGTGCTGTATTTCTTTTTAGAAAAGATCACTCCTTGGAGTGGTAAATAGTTTAAATGGAGGCCAGAATCGTGCAGAAGGACATCTCTTAGGAGCCAGCTCTTGTGGAAGTATTAGTGAAATGGTATCTTTGTCTAGAGTGGTGGCGATAGAAATGGAGGTAAGTAGGGGCATCTGCAGGATTGAGTGATGAATTGAAAGTCGAGGGCTAAGAGAAAGGGAGATGTGACTGATGAGTCCTTGGTTTCTGGGTGGGGGGCTAGGCAAATGATATTGCTGCTGAGATAGAGGAAACACTGGAAAAGGACTGAGTGTGGGTGTGTTTTGTTTTGTTTTTGTTTTGTTTTGTTTTACTTTGAAGAATGGGCATTGGAGGACAAGATGGAGAAAATTATGAATTTACTTTTGAAACTTTTGAGTTTGAAATGCCTGTGAGACATCCTGAATAGGCAGTGGGGCAGATAGGCTTAAAGGATACATTTGGGCTAGAGGGAAAAAATGTGTGAGTCATCTGCATATTGGTGGTTATTGGAACCACACTGGCAGGGCTGACATTGATTCTCCTGCATTACTTTTTTTTTTTTTTTTTTTAAACATTCTTTCTTCCAGATAAAGTAGAATTACTTTATCATATTTCTTTTCCTCGCTCCTGTACCCCATTTGCACATCTTTCTGAGAATTTGGATGAGATTTCTTTAAAGTTATAGATTAAGTTAGGGAGAATTTATTTACAATATTTAATATAACCATTCTAGGAACTGTATTTTCAAATCTTCTTTTATGTTCCTCAGCAATTTAATGGGTTTCCTACAATTCCTGCATATTTTTTGCTAATTCCCATGTTGGTTGTTATTATTACTGCTATTATAAAAAGAGATCTTTTTTTCTGTTATATTTTCAAAGTATTTATTGTTGGTTTACTTAAAAACTAGTTATTTTTAATATTTATTTCATAGCTAAATTCATATATTGGTTCTATTAGCTTTTTAGATGATTTATTGGTATTTCTATGTTGACAGTTTTGAGTTTTAGGTATGTCATATAAATTATATTACCCTAATACTTTTGTCATTTATTTCTTGTTCTACTACCTAGAACTTTGTAAACAGCGTTAAACAATGCAGGCACTAGTGGACATATTTGACTTGCTCCTTATGTTAATGAGAATACTGCTACTGTTATAACATTATTATAATGTTGCTATTAATTTTGATAGAATATTATATCAATGATGTATTTCTATATTTCTCTTACTGGATTTTTTTTTAGAAATGGATTTTGAATTATATCAAAATTCTTTTTGACATCTCTCAGGGTTATATTTTTTTCCTTTAACTCATATGTCACCATTAGGTTTTTAAAATCCTTTTAAATATTTTATTTCTAGTGTACCTTGGAGTTCCCTTTTTCCTCCTTTTTGGGGAAAGTTTTGAAAATGTTTTGTTTTTGTGTATGAAAAGAATAGCTCACCAAGGAAGAAGGGGAGTGTTTTTGGTGAAATAGGAAAGAAGTCTGAAACTGTAGGAGAGGAGGGGAATATGGCCGCTGATAAAAAGCACTAGAGGAGGGGGGAAATACTCTTCCATAGGAAGGCTTCCAGCTACAAAGATTTGAAGACATTTTTCTGGGGAAGTAAAACACTAAATCAGCATTATTTTCCAAAGCCCAGAAAATAACTTAATAGATTGTTTTTAAATTACTGTTTTAATTCAGCTTGTGAAGATATTCTGAATAGTTCATGTAGAATATCTTACTATTTTGCAGATACTTTTGTATAAATAGTTGCCAGTGAGAAATGTTGCAACTGTGTCTTTTCAAATGAAGTAAATAGGAGAGCTAGTATAGCGCCTGAAAGAAGTAAGTGAGTTATATTGTAACTTCTTGCTCTACCTCAGGGTAAGCACTCCTTTTAGCATTTATTAAACTCTCATTATTTGTAGAGAAATTATTTAGATGTAGGTTGAGTATTCCTAATCTGAAAATCTGAAACACAAGATGCTCTAAAATTCAAAACAGGATGCTCAAAGGAGATACTTGTTTGAGCATTTCAGACTTCAGATTTTCAGATTAGGGATGCTGAACTGGTAAGTATAATGCAGATATTCCAAAATCTGGAAGAAAAAAAAAATTCAGAGTCCAAAATACTTATAGTCCCAAGCATTTCGGATCAGGGATACTCAACTTGTACTAGTGTAAGGGGCACATAATGAATAGAGTATATTTCAATTACAGAGAAATTATCTCATGAACTTGACAAATAATTTTTAAGACTTTTGAAAAAGCAATAAACAAAACTATCAGTATAATATAATATAATATAGTATAATATATATCAGTAGTTGGAATTAGTATTTGAAGGATTAGCAGGAACAATAAAATACTGTCTACCTAGAAAAGAATCTCTGTCACTATTAAGCTTTGGTGGGGTTTTTTTTGCTGCTGAACCTCTTTCATATGATGTAAAAATTTCATTTTATATTACCAGTACAAGTGGCATTTGTTAGTACCACATTCTTTTTGCTGCTTTTATTTTATTTTTCTATTTGCTTACATGTTTCAACTAGAGTGAGCATACCTTTTCACTGAACTTGTTGCAGTTTCTGCTTGATCTCTTCTTAAATATTTATATAAAGCCTTAGGGTAATTCCAAGTTCTGAAGATTCAAGTTGTCAATACATAGTTTCACATTGTTAATTAGCATTTCTCCAGTTTCTGTCATACTTGAAGCATTAAGCAAGTAAATAATAATGGTGAATAAGATTTTTTTCTAAAAGAAGCTTTCCAGTTGGGCCTGGTGACTCATGCCTGTAATCCAAGCACTTTGGGAGGCTGAGGCAGGCGGATCACTTGAGGTCAGGAGTTCAAGACCAGCCTAGCCAACATGGTGAAACCCCATCTCTACTAAAAACAAAAAAAACAAAAAAACAAAACACACACACACACACACACACACAAATTAGCTAGATATGGTGGTGCACACTTGTAGTCCCAGTTACTTGGGATGCTGAGGCAGGAGAATCACTTGAACCCGGGAGGTGGAGGTTGCAGGGAGCCGAGATTGCGCCACTGCACTCCGGCCTGGGTGACAGAGCGAGACTCTGTCTCAAATTAAATAAATAAATAAACAAATAAAGCTTGTCAATGCTATATCAGATTAGTATGTTGTATGCTCTAAAATTTAGGAATTTTTTTTTTTTTTTTTTTTTGGGGGGGGAGACAGAGTCTTGCTCTGTCACCCAGGCTGGAGTGCAGTGGCGCCATCTTGGCTCACTGCAAGCTCTGCCTCCCAGGCTCACGCCATTCTCCTGCCCCAGGCTCCCAAGTAGCTGGGACTACAGGCACGTGCTACCACACCCGGCTAGTTTTTTGTATTTTTAGTAGAGACGGGGTTTTACCACGTTAGCCAGGATGGTCCCGATCTCCTGACCTCGTGACCTACCCACCTCAGCCTCCCAAAGTGCTGGGATTACAGTCATGAGCCCCTGCTCCCGGCTGGGAAAGTTTTAATGTTACTTGTTCCTCATTAATGTGAAATTTATTAATGAAGGTAAATTCGCTTTTTTGACACTTCTTTTTCCTCCCTCTCAGAAAATGTGTAGCATGTAAACACAGATAGCTTTCCGAACTTTAAATAAAAATATGACCTTCCAGAGAGTATTGTAGTATATTTTCTGTCAAAAGAGGGGAGTGCATTAAGTTCCATGTCTTAATATTCCCACCCTTTCCCTTTGGTTTCTAGTGTCTGCTCTGTCATCAAGCAGTTGCCTAATCATGAGCAGATTGCATAATCTTTTTGTGCCTCAGTTTCATCAGCCCTTCACTTAGAAAAATACCTATCCTACCTGTGTCTTAATAGGCCTTGTGCAAAGTTTAAATGAAGTAGGCAGCGTATGTTAAGAATGCTTTGAAAAATGTGTGTAGCTATAAAATACAAGATGGCAGCAATTATTTTTCCTTTTACTTCTTTTCAAGTCTCTTGATCTTCCTCTTGATCCCAGCACCAAATAGAAACTGATCCTTCTCATTTAGATCTCCTTCCTACCCTTCGTGAACCTCAGCCGTCTTTTCTTTCTCTTACCCAACCATGTACCCTTCACTTAGTCTTAGCTTGTTGATTAACTGTTTTTTTTTGGTTTTGGCTTTTCTTTTTTTTTTTTTTTTTGGTCCCCTTCTACCTCTGTCATCTCTGGGTAGTCTGTCTGCTGGTAATGGATATTCATCTGTTCATTTGCCAAACCAGCAGCTTCTGTTTGAAAACCTTCTTTAATATTCCCTCTGCTTGTTGTGATAATGGCCCAAGTATAATCTTTTCAAGAGCTACTTGAAGGCATAGAGAAAGGTTAAAAGGTATAAATTAGGAAGCCCATCTCATTTGTCATTTAAAAAAAATAGATACTATTTTAGATATATCTGTTACCTACTAAATATGGTTTATAGCTTTGACATCTTATTGTCTTTGGCTTATACTTAGTCTTAACAGTATTCTTTCATGTAAGTGCCTTAAATTCATTAGCTTCAAGTATAGGTAATATTAAATCCAAGACAGACCTGGGTTTAAATTCTAGGTTTGTTACTTGAAAATTGCAAAATTAGGGCAAGTTCTTTTACTTCTCTGTACTTCAGTATCCTCATCCATAAAAACAGGTTTATGATCATCTCGGCAGCTTTTTGGTCAGGATTAAATGAATTACTGTTCATGAAAACACCTAAGACTGCTTGACACACAGTAGGTGTTTTAAGAAGTGTTAGTTTTCTTTCCCTATCATGGTGAGATTAAAATAGATGTACTATTTACTTACATATGTTGTTTGTTTTCTACTTCTTTTTTTTTCCAGAACTATTCCATGGCAGTATATCTTGTAAAACAGTTGTCCTCAACAGTTCTTCTTCAGAGGTTACGAGCAAAGGGAATAAGGAATCCGGATCATTCTAGAGCTTTAAGTACGTATGATAAACTTATTTCACTTATTCAGCTATTTTGTTAAAGGTTAGAGTAGTATTTTCTCAACTCAAGAAATTTTAGAATTTGTTTATTCACTGGAGCCTGTTGTGTAGTTCTTAGAGTAGTTCTGATATCTTTGTCATGAGCTATATTTTATAATCTATATTTTACTAATCTTAAAATTAACTTTGTGAAGTCAGTGCACAAACATGGAAGAATATTATTCTACAACTTCATAAAATCAATGTTTAAGGAATTCTGGGAAATGGGAAGGGCATCTTGGCATAAATTTCAAGAAAGTTATTTTAGATTGGTGGTTTATCCAGGAAAAATGTACAGAATTATATCATGGCCTCACCCCCTGCATTTACAAAGTGAAGAGAGCCAGTGGGGTGGTAGAAATAATAATTCTGCCATTAATCAATTATATGACTGTGGACAAGTAACGCTGCTCCTGAGTTTCATCTTCCTCATCTGTAACAAGAAGTTTATGCCGTCTGATTTCTAATGCTTCTGCGAAGTCTGGGTTCATACGTGTGAATTACTGGATGGTTTGTTTTGATACGTTGAATTTGAGATTCAAGGTCTTCAAATGGGGCTGTGCTGACCTCTGTTTTTAAGGGTTAAGGTCAGAGGGTTTGGCCTTTCCAAAGAGGTGAACTAAGTTCTTCGTTTATTCTTTTATTTGTGAGAGCCGGGGGCTGCGTGGATTTAGGAGTGAGGGCTGGGGACTTAGAAACAAAACTTTTATAGGCAGGTGTTAGATAGCTATCCTTTAAGGACTTTTGATGTGAACTGATTAATGAAGCCCATTATCAGATTTGTACTTAGGAACACTCTGGTGGAAAGAACTAAGATAATAGCAGCTTTCCTTTTGTAGCATAGCTATTACCCCTTTCTGTAACTTATTTCTGTGGCAGAGTAAAAGATCCCACTACCCCTGAATATCAATATACCCTTAATAGTTCATTGAAGAATTTTTCTGTATTAAAATGGTCCTTTAAAAATGCAGCTAATCCTGAATCAATGGGAGCACACTTTGGCTAATGCCTCTGTAGGCATGCATTGACAGATGATGGAGACCTAGAAGGGCAGCACTGATTTGGGATCTGCGGGAGTGGTGGCACCATTTGGCAGGGATAAGAAGATGGTAGGGATCCTGAAAGAAAAGACAGACATCTGCCTTGAAGGAGAGTATAAGATAACTTGTCTTCTATCACAATCTTGCTGAAGTTATTCCTGGTCATTCTACTGAGAATCTTCGTATTTGCCTCACAATACTAGAATCTCAGCCAGTCAGAAAGCAAAGAATTATGTGAGCCTGTATGGAAGAGGGAATACCAAGAAATAAGGCAGATGAAGTTATTTTATTTAATAGTAACAGCAACAACAACAATAAGGCCAACTGTCTTTGCTCAAGCTGTTAACTCTTCTCCGCTTGTAGCTATAGCACCACCTGGAGGGAGAGTGGGAACGTGAGTCTGGAATTGAATTATTTTATTTTCTCCGAGAAACCACTATTAGCTACCATTAAGCAGCAAAAACTGTTTAATTCAAAAGCTATTTCTAGTCTGATATACTGATGGATGTGGAGAATAATTGTACACTGGATGAGATTTTTGTGGAAATTGATACCTTACCTTACTTATTGGCCAGGGAAGCCAATGGAATATTAATTTGGATCCCACCAGTAAGAAATTTGTTGTAATTTACTAAAAAACAGGTTATCTACCTTTACCTGTATGCTGCCTGTAAAAAAAAAAAAAAAAAAAAAAACCAAAAACTTTCCCAACAAATTATGTAATTAAAATTCTGTTTACAATAACTTGACAAAAGGAAATGTCAGGTATTTTAAAAGAGTCAAATCAGTTACAAATATGTTCTTTGTAAGTCATTCTTAATAAAATAAGTACTTCTAGCAAAGTTTTAGTAGTCAAGCCAGACACTCTTATGTTCTTGAAAGAATAAAGTTGGTATTATTTAGACTTTTCACAGAGAACTCCATTCTCTGAATCATTTGATTTAGTAGGATTTTGTCTTGCAGTTTCTGCCTTTGTGTAGAGTTGTCCCCTCACAACTATGAAAAACAGTCTTTTACCAACTCTTAATCAAGTTTCTTTCTCCTCTTCCTTCTCCCTTCAGCAGTTATTTCAAGCCTTAGCCATAATCTAATCAAACACTATCCCCCTCTCTCAGCACTCTGCCAATGCATGAAAATTGGGGCTACAAGACATGAATTACCTAAACCACCCATTTCTTCCTTAATCTCAGTGCCACCATAATTACTTTTTTAGCTTATCTACATTTGTGCCCAGTCCTCGCTTTATTTTGTTCAGTGTCAAGAGGAAATCTCCCTTTCCCTGCTTATTCATTTATTCTTTTCATTCAAGAAATTGTGTTAAGAGTCTACTGTGTTCCAGGAACAGGAGAATATAACATTAAACAAGACACATACCATCTCTGCATCCCCCAGAAGTTTGCAGTCTGGTAAGAAAGACAGGCATTAAATAATTGCACAAGTCATTAATGAGTTAAAGTTTTGACATGTGCCTTGAAGAAGATAGACAGGGAACTCTGTAGAGGTACAATAGGGGAACGTAGTCCTCTCTGATACTGTGATACTTAAGGCAAGATTATAAGTATGAGGAGAAGTTAAGCTCCAAGATGGGAACAGAGTATGCCAGGAGAAAAGGCCAGTGCAGCTGGAATAGAGAGAGCCAAGAAGGGCTGGGTGCAGTGGCTCACCCTTGTAATCCCAGCACATTGGAAGGCCGAGGCGGGTAGATCACTTGAGTGAGGTCAGGAGTTCAGACCAGCCTGACCAACATGGTGAAACCCTGTCTCTACTAAAAATACAAAAAAATTATCCTGGCATGGTGGCATGTGCCTGTAGTCCCAGCTACTCGGAAGGCTGAGGCACGAGAATCGCTTGAACCCGGGAGGCAGAAGTTGCAGTGAGCTGAGATCGCACCACTGCACTCCAGCTTGGGCAACAGAGAGAGACACTGTCTTTAAAAAAAAAAAAAAAAAAAGAGAGAGAGAGAGAGAGCGCCAAGAAGGAGGGTGACCAGAGAGTTGGACAGGTATAAGTTGACATAGACGATATGAAGATAGATGATAGAAAACCATTAAAAGATTTTTAAGCAGAGGAGTAAATGACACGATTACATTTAGACAATCTGATTCTCACTTTGAAGACGAATCAAAGGAAGGCAAGGCTAATGCAGTGAGGCCAGTTGAGAACCTGTTTGTAATAGTATACGTAAGAGATGATAATGTCTTGAACTAAGGTGATAGTGGTAGATAGAAGTTGACAGTTTTGAGAAGCATTGAAATGGCATTGACTGTGTGTGTGGAGTGATGAGTCCAAGGAGGAGTGCTAAGCTTCTTACTCAAGCACTAGGTAACATGGTAATGCCATTTACTGAAACAGAAAACTGTGTTGAAAAGATCAGATTGCAGGGGGGAGATCAGAGTGGACTGTTAGACTTGTGGTGTTTGAGATGGGATGAGACATCCAGGTAGAGATGCTTGGTAACAGTATTATGAGACCTGGCTCCCTCATATATCTGCTCTTTGTCCTGTGTTTTCAGTTCCTCTCTGTCTGCAGGCTTTTTCTGTCACTCTGTGCTGTCAAGACTCTTTTATCTTTTAAAAAATAGGAAAACAAGCTCCTCTATGGATAGAGCTCTGTGTTCCTCCCATTGTTCTCATCCGAATTTTTGTGAGAGTAGTCTACACTTGCTCTTTTTACCTCCTCACTGCATCTCATTATGGTCTTTAACCCTCTATCATTCCACTGAAATTGCTCTTTCAGATGTCACAAATGATGATCTGATTGCTAAATTTAAAGTGTATATTTTCAGTTTTCATCCTGAATACTTCTGCTGCATTTGATATGAACCACTTTCTCCTTGAAATTCTCTCCTTTCTTCTCTGACCATATCTTCTCAATCACCTGCCTTCAATGGATTCTCTTAAGGGAAGCATTCTAAATGTGGCTGTTCTTGGAGTTTTATCTTGGGTGCACTTTTCTACGCACCCTTATGGTTTAAAACTAACACCCACCCCAAAATACATGTCTTCATCTCAGACCTCTCCCCTGCGTTTCAGACTTATATAGCTAACTACCTTCACCTAAGCATTTCACTGGTTCCTCAAATTCAAGTATTTAAAACTGAACTCACCAACTCCTGTCAAACTTACTCCCTAAATATTTCTCAAATGTGCCTTCTGTCTATCATGCTATCATTGCCCTTGTTTAAGCTCTCATATCCTGCTTTTATTTTAAAAACCATTCTTAGATAAAACATCCCTCTCCTTGACGCCTTTTTCTATCTCCTCTGGTAGCCTCCTAAGTGATTTATACAGATCTAAAATCTTACCATTCTCATTCCCTTGCATTTCATGGCTTCTTAACACCAAGGGAATAAAAACTCCAAGTATGTTAGCATGACACACAAACTTTCCATCATGTGGCACCTGCTTATTACTTTCCAGGGTCGCCTGTATTCACTCTGCTTTTTAAACTTTCCATGACGTGGCACCTGCTTATTACTTTCCAGGGTCGCCTGTATTTACTCTTCTTTTCATACTTCACATTCCATTCCAAAAATATGGAACTCTTTAGTCTTTCTTCAGTGCTTTAGTTTTGTGCTCTATGCCTCAAAACTCCCCTGCTGCCTTCTCTGCCTAATGTCATTATCCTTTGTTTCACTTTTTTCCAGGAGACATCCCAGAACCCCCAAAATTGATGAGTTGACTTTTGGTTAGCTTCCTGAACATACTCCATCAGAGTGCATTAGAGATGATCTCACTGAACATCTTTACCCTCTACTAGATTATGAGTTCTTTGGAGGAGGAATTTAATCTTATTTTTTTTCTTGAATTCCTATTGCTCAGCACAGTGCCACATACATAGTAGATCTGCATATTTTTGAAGTAAACTGATGAAAAGACAGCTACAGAAAAAAATCAGGTCTTGGTGCCTGTTTCTTTGCTTATAAAATGAAATATTGATCTTAATATGTTTGATTGTTTTCGGCCTTAAAATTTTAAAAGGCTGAATTAAAATAACCTGATATTAATGAAGGATAGAAATTATCTTGAAATAATAACAACCCCAGAACACCAGTAATAGAACAATCTGTGATAATGGAAGTGTTCTCTATCTGCACTGTCCCATATGGTAGCCACCAGCAACATGTGGCTATTGAGCACTTAAAATGTGGCTAGTTTAACGGATGAGCTGAATTTTTATTTAAATTTAAATACAGCGTCATGTGAGTAGTGGCTAACTCCTGTAGCTCATGACAACAGGGATTAAAAACAAGATTAATTCTGCTCCCCAAATCGACTTATTGGGTAAAACAAGATTAATTTTAAATGTGACTAGCTGTAACTTTATTATAGTCATATAATAAAATACTGTTAGCACTGCAGATCACTGTAACAATGTGAAAACTTTAACTCCCAGAGAACTTCCCACATGTTGACTGATTACTGCAGGACAAATATTATATGTCTTATTTTTATTTTTTATTCCCTTGCTCACAAGTAATAAGTGCTTCTACTTTTACTTTATTTTTTCTTCATACTTTCTTATGATTAAATATAGCATAGTGCTTTTCCCCTCCGTTTTCTCTCTTTCTTTTGAGAAAGTTTTTTAAAGTATAACTTATAGGCAATAAAAATTCCTTTGACAGATGTATACAATCATGAACCACTGCCACAATCAAAATATAGAACATCCTTTACCCCAGAAAGTTCATCTGTGGCCTTTTGCATTCCATCCCATCCTTTTACCATTGATGTGATTTCTGCTCTGTAGTTTTGTCTTTTCCAGAATGTCAGGTAAATGCAATCCTACAATATGTAGCCTTTTGCGTCTGGCTTCTTTCACTTAGTATAATGCTTTTGAAGTTCATCCATGTAGTTTGTTCTTTATTGCTGCGTAGTATTTCATTTATGTACTATAATTTATCCATTTGATAAATGATGGACATTTATCCATCTGATAAATTGATGGACATTTGGATTATTTCCAGTTTTGCAGCAATATGAATAAAGCTGCTGTAAACATTTACATTTTGCATATGGATACCTCAGTTTTGTAGACATATGTTTTCATTTCTCTTGGGTAAATACCTAGGAGTGGGATTGCTGGGTCATATGATAAGTATATATGGAAAACAGTTTGGCAATTTCTTTTAAAGTAAATATACCATTTTTGCATTCCCACTAACAATGTGTGAGATTTCAAGTGGCTCCACATCCTTACCAGCATATGGTATCATCAGGCTGCTTTATTGTAGCCATCGTGATTGGTATGTAGTGGTATTTCTTTGTGCATTTTTCTGATGTCTAAGGATGTTAAGCATCTTCTCAGGTGCTTATTTGCCATTCTTATAGCTTCTTTGATGAAGTATCTGCCAAATTTTTTGCCCATTTTTTAATGTCATGCTTTTGATATATTATGAAATCTTTGCCTAAATGAAAGTCACAAACACTCTCTTCTATTTTTCTTCTAGAAATTTTATTGTTTGAGCTCTTGGATCTAGGTCTGTGATTCATTTTGAGTTAATTTTTGTATATGCAAGGTGAGAGTAGAGATTCATTTTTTCCCCCACATAGATATCGAAATATTCCAACAGCATTTGTTGAAAAGACTGTCTTTCCTTCCATTTCATTACCTTGGCACCTTTATCAAAAACCAATTGACCATAGATGTATAAATCTATTTCCGGACGTTATTCTTTTCCATTGACCTGTATGTCTATCCTTATGCCAAACGAGTCTTAATTACCGTAGCTTGATAGTAAGTCTTGAAATCAGTTAGAATTCTCCAATTTTGTTTTTCTTTTTCAGAATTGTTTTGAATGTTGTTAAGTCCAGTAGGTGAAACAATACATGGTGACCAAACAGAATTTATTTCTGTAATACGAAGTTGGTTTCAGCATTCAAATGCTGAAATATAATTCACCTTCTCAACAAACTAAAAATGAAAAATCATATGATCATCTCCAGAGATGCAGAAAAAGCACTTGGCCAAATTCAACATCCATTCATGATAAAACTGTCAGCAAAATCGAGAAGGGAGCTGCCTCAGTGTAATAAAGAGTATTTACAAAAAGTCTACACTACAGCTGATATCATCACTAATGGTCTAAAACTTGAATGCTTCACTCCTAAGATTGAGAACAAGGCAAGGATATCTGCCCCTAGCGTTGCCCTAGAGATCCTAGACAGCACAATAAGACAAGGAAAAGTTTTAAAAAAGAAACCAACACACAGGTTAGAAATGAAGAAATAATTATAGTCTTTATTTACAAATGACCTTATGGTCTGCATAGAAAAAGATCCCAAAGAATCTCCAAAAAAGCTACTAGAAATACTATGTGAGTTTAGCAGAGTTAGAGAATGCATGGTCAATATACAAAAACAAATTGTATTTCTGTTAGTAATGAACAATTGGAAATTGAAATTCAAAAAAGATTTTACAGTAACATCCAAAAATATGAAACACGTGGGGATACATCACACAAACTATGTGCAAGATTTGTATGCCGAAAACTACAAAGCATGGTTGAGAAAAACTGAAAGAAGACCTGCATAAACGGAGAGATATATCTTGCTAAGAGATTGAAAGATTCTATTGTTGTATGTCAGTTCTCCAAATTAATCTGTAGAATTAATCCAGTCTAATCAAGATCCCGGTAGGACCTTAAAAAATATCTTTACAAGAATAAAAGGACTAGGATTGGGTCTGTAATGGCAAAAGAGAAGGCATAGGTTTTTTTTTTTTTTTAATAGAAATTGGCAAACATTCTAAAATAATTTCAGAAAATTCTCCCACCTCTGAGAGAAAGTGAATATATAAATCGTGTTTTATTTTAAGTAACAATAGCTAATATTTATTGAGAATAATATTAGGCTATTTTAAAACTTTTTTTGTTGCCAGCATGGTGGCTATGCCCATATTCCCAATACTTTGGGAGGCCAAAGTGGGCAGATAACCTGAGGTTGGGAGTTTGAGACCAGCCTGGCCAATATGGTGAAACCCTGTCTCTGCTAAATACAAAAATTAGCTGAGCCATGGTGGTGCACACCTCTAATCCCAGCTACTTGGGAGGCTGAGGCAGGAGAATCACTTGAACCTGGGATGCAGAGGCTGCAGTCAACCAAGATCTCACCACTGACTCCAGCCTGGGTGACAGAGTGAGACTCTGTCTCAAAAAAAATTTTTTTTTCTTGTCGTTGTTGAGACAGGATCTCACTCTGTCACCCAGGCTGGAGTGCAATGGCAGCAATTTCAGCTCACTGCAACCTCTGCCTCCCAGGCTCAAGTGTATTTTGAAACTTTTTATGCATATTAACTCAATCCTTAAAACAGTTCTGTGAGGTACTATTATTGTTCCCATTTACCGGATGATGTAACAGGCATAGAGAGGTTAAGTGATTTAACTGAGACTAAATTCTAAGCTAGGCTATCCCTAGGTCCTATGCTCTTAACCACTACTTTATGTTGCCTCTCTTATTTCAATTTATTTTCTAAGCACTAAACACTGAGCTTTGTTTTGTATAAGGTTGATACTATGATCTATAATATTGCTTCATTTAAGTGGAAATTTAAATATGCAAAGTTCAAAGTCAGTTACTATGCCCATTGCTTGCTATGTCTATAAAGGGTGCTGGTGGGATGGTTGGTGAAGGCATGTAGAGTGGTTATTAGTCAGGGTTCTCCGGAGAAACTCTAGGAGGGGAAGGAGAGGAAGAGAGGAAAAGGAGAGAGAGAGATGAGAGAGAGTGAGTTAAGAGGAGATGTATTAGGGGAATTGGCTCACATGACTATGAAGGCTGAGAATGCCCACAATAGATAGGCCATCAGCAAGCTGGAGAACCAGCGAAGCCAGTAATGTGACTATTGAAGTCCAGGGGCCACAGATCCAGGAAGCCAACTCTCAATCTAAGGCCAAAGGCCTAAGAGGGGTGAGGAGAAGGGCTGATATGGTGGTACAAATCCCAGAGTCCCAAGCCCAGAGAACCTGGAATTCTTTCTTTTTAAAGATGGGGTCTTACTGTGTTGCCCAGACTGGTCTCAAACTCCTGGCCTCAAGCAATCCTCCTACCTCAGGCTCCCAAGTAGCTGGGATCACAGAAGTCCAAAGGCAGGAGAAGAAGGGTATCCCAGCTCAAGGAAAAAGAGAAAGTGAATTTATTTTCCTTTCCTCTGCCTTTTTGTTCTTTCCATGCCCTCCAGCTGATTTGATGGTGTCCGCCAAGATTGAGGGCACATCTTCCTCACTCATCCACAGACTGACACACCAGTCTCCTTTGGAAACACACTCGCAGACACTTTCAGAAATTATGCCTTGCCAGCTATGTAGGTAGCCCTTCGTTTAGTTAGTTGACACCTAAAATTAGCCAACACAGTGAGTAATCACATTAGAATTCTATTTGCATGTTTATTTCATATGGCGATTATTTGTTGCCTTTAACAAAGATACTACTTTTTAAAATCATATTTATAAGAAAGGATTGACTAAGATTTGGTGTATAATGACAAAGGCATACTTTTTGTAATTTATATATGGTATTCATTAGCATAGTGTTACAACTATATTTTCCAAACTAAAAACCAGAAGTTGTATGCCTTTTTTGTGTGTCAGGAGACAGCCTGTGAAATATATTAAGACTTTGAAAATTTGGAATTTCCAGGCCATGAAATGACTTTTTAGTCTGGCATTAGAATCATATCTGGAGCTTTTAAAAAACTACCAATTGGTGTCCCTCTTTTCATTCTGATTCAGGAAGCTCTGTAGGTAGGTCTGATGTGCACCTTACTTGAGATCCACTAATTTATGGAAATAGTTGGATAGGATCTCCAGGATTTGGACCATCTAAAAAAATCCAGACTAAAATCCAGGGGACTGTGTTTAATAAAGGTAGGATTTCTCATAAATGGTTATCAGAACAGTAGACTCTGAAATTGTAACTTACCCGAGTACTTCTCCCTCTCTTCGTTTTCTTTTCTATATGGTGTCTTATCTGGTCACACTTAGTTGTACCACAGCTCAGAACTTCTGTTGACTGTGTATACAGCTACCCAACTTACGGCCCCTTTGTACAATATAGACTTTAAAGTTATTATGGGACAGTTTCTAAAATTGTTGGAATATTACATATATGTATTTCCTGTCTCACCCCCTATAATGTTTTTTCTTGTTACTGTTATTGAAGTTTTCAGAGGTAACAGCTAAGGTTTCCAGATGAGAAGTATAAAGAGTCTTTCATATCAGACTGAAAGAGAATGAAAGAACAGCCTTGGAAAAGTAAAATTACTAGTGTCTCCTCCCTTAAGAACCATAAGAAGTTTGAAGTGAAAAGACTTAAAGATTATCTAGTGTGGGTTCCAATTTTACTACAAGTAAAATTAAGCTGAGAAAGGAGGATTGACTTGCCTAAGAGGGCACAAGTATTTTATAGAGAAATAGATTAAAATTCAAATAATTGTATAGTTAAAAAAAAGAAATAGGACTCTTTTCATAATTTGAAGTTTGAATTAAGCTGTTTTACAGTAAATATTTTTATTTTCTGAGCTTTCAAAAATGTATAAATGTTATTCTTATTATTAATGTCCTCGAAAGTAGAAGAGCCCAAGTAATATTAGTCATAGTTTAAAAGAAAGAAAACCTTGATCCAATATCTTAGAGTTATAAAAGAAAAAGGGTCTACCATTAGTTGAATATGTCAACATATTAGAGAAATTTCTCTCATATTGCTGCAGGTTTTTGTCCCCTGAGTGAGAAATAGGAAATTTATAGGAAACATAGTCATTCTACAGATAAACAATTGTTTTCCATCCTTTGCTTATAGAATTAAAAGCCATATGGTTGTTTTTATCTTTCCATTCAATTGATTGGGAAATAATTGAACAGATTTGTTTAAGCTTTTTATTCTTTATAGTAATGCTCCAGTAATGTATCTTTAATAAAACTCTGTTTGCTTTTTTTCTTCTTCTTCAATGAATATCAGTTAAAGAGAAGTTGACTGCGGATCCAGACAGTGAAATAGCTACAACCAGCCTAAGGGTTTCTCTACTATGTCCAGTAAGTGTTAACTATTACTTGCTTTCCAGAAAGTTTAACATACATTTTCTCTTTTTATTAAGTATTTTTACTATTTGAGAAATTCTGTTTGCTTCTAAAATATGTCCACCATTGTTACAGTTTATGAAAAGTGGAAAGACATCTAGGCATTGCATTTGGAATCTAAACAAGTCTTTAAAAATGATCTACTCTTAGTAAGACATATCTAAATATGGCCTGTGATTAATGACCATCTCTCAGGCTCAAGTGTAAAATCTCAAAATAAGAAATGTTTATTGTCTCAGTGTATTTATAAAAATTTTACATTATTTATTTTTATTATTGTTATTTTTTTGAGATGGAGTTTCGCTCTTGTTGCCCAGGCTGGAGTGCAATGGTGCCATCTCGGCTCACCACAACCTCTGCCTCCCGGGTTCAGGCGATTCTCCTGCCTCAGCCTCCTGAGTAGCTGGGATTATAGGCATGCGCCACCACACCTGGCTAATTTTGTATTTTTAGTAGAGATGGGGTTTCTCCATGTTGGTCAGGCTGGTCTCGAACTCCTGACCTCAGGTGATCCACCCGCCTTGGACTCCCAAAGTGCTGGGACTATAGGTGTGACCCACCGCACCTGGCCAAAAATTTTACTTAAGATAGTACCTTTCTGAGTAAAAATCTAGCCATGATTACCCACACATCTCATTTAACCATTTTGCTAACAATGACCACATTATAACAATTCACCAATTAAAAACTTCTGTTCAGCCTAAATGCTGAATTTGTTATACATATAAAAAAACCTTGAGATATTTTAAGCCAGAAAATGAGGTCAGAATCAATCATTTTCATGAAATAAATATATGGTCCCAAGACTTAGCCAAATTATTAAACCTGTAAGGGAAAAGGTCTCAAAAAAATGTTATACTAATCTGATGTTAGGCTCTTTGGTAGGGGTGGTGGTTGAATATGGCCATATGAAAATATGTGAAAAATTTAATAATTAATTACCTTGACATTTTGGTTACTTTTTGTTCTATAATTAATCAAACTAATCATATTTTAAATTTGGGAGAAAGAATGAAAGGACATGTCTGTTTCCTGATTTGTCTGATTGTTCAGACAGGCCTGATATTGAAAGCTTTTGATACTGAGATCCTATTAATCTCAGATGATGATGAAGTTACTGTATTCTTAAAGAAACAAAGAATTTAAATAGAAATTAAATGTTATTTGTAATTACAAATATTAGTCTTTTGTAATTTATGAAACTTCAAACATGAAAAAATTAGATCATGAATTAGTTTCTGTAAGTTATAGAAAAAAATACAATGAAGTTAATTAAAATCATCAAATTGTATCATTGTGTATATATCTTTCTATTCCTGTAACGTTTATTTTTATTCCTTTTTATAATAAAGCCAATTTTTTTCTTGTGAAAAATATTTTGACTCCAGGCTTTTTATATTAGTGTTAAAAATTCTTTAAGTAACCAGGTAAATGTTATAACAGCCTAGGTTGTAAAGGAGACTGGTGTGGGTTTTTGTGTGTGTGGTTTTTTTGTTTTTTTATTTTTTTTTTCTTTTCATGCTTAGAAAAATGATTCACAGACTGGGGAAGTAGAGGGTGAGAAAAAGACAAATTTTTTTTTTAAAGAAAAAGGTAAAAAGGTGTATATTTATTCTACCCTCTTTCTCCGAAACCCTGATTTATCCATTCCCCCATCTGTTGTTCTTTGCCGCCTCATTTTGTTGTAAAACACCAATTCAGAAAATACGTTTAGAAAAGTACATACACTTCATTTTCCATTTAAATCACTGGAAAAAGTATTGTTTTTCTGCAATCTCACTTAAAAGTGTTTATAGTTGTACTAATATATATGATGCTTTATGTTTAACACATATATGAAGCATTTATTCGTATAAATAAGCACAGTAATATAAATCTTTGAAGTTTTATTTGTGGAACTGTGTTTCAATTCTGTAGTGCAGGTGCTCATCTCTGTATTACTAGAAACTATTAATCACATTTTGCTCTTTGCACCTTTATTTATTTTCTTTTTTGAGACGGGGTTTCACTTTGTCACCCAGGTTGGAGTGCAGTGCTGCCATCTCAGGTCACTGCAGCCTCCACCTCCCAGGTTCATGCAGTGCTCCTGCTTCAACCCCCCAAGTAGCTGGGACTACCGGCATGTGCCACCACACCCGGCTGATTTTTGCATTTTTTTGTAGAGACAAGGTCTTGATATGTTGCCCAGGCTGGTCATGGACTCCTGGCCTCAAGCAATCCTCCTGCCTTGGCCTCCCTTGGGATTACAGGCGTGAGCCACCACACCTGGCCAGCAGTTCATTTTAAATTGACATCTGCTTTAAAAATTCAGATTATAAAACAAAACAACTATATATGTATATTGTGTGTGTGTGTGTGTGTGTGTATGTGTAAAATGTATAATTATAATACTTTCATGGGTTTCTATTTGGCTAAAGGGATAATCCCTTACAGTTATTCTGAAATAGTAAGATCATGTATTTTAGGTATGTTTTTACTCAAAAATAAAATTTAATAATACCTATATATCAAATTTATGGGATAATAAAAGAGATTTGTGCTCTTTGAAATATGTAAATATGATGTCTCACTGTGCATTACAGTTGCCCTTGTGATGTACAGAGCTCAAAATAAATGAGTTTCTTTTGTTTCTGTGCCATTTAGCTAAAGGCAACAAAAATAATTAAAAATGTTTTTACTCTTTGGGAATTTTATGGTTCTGATTTATTAAAAATAGAGGTGGAGGAATCTTTGAAAAGCTGCTTTGTAAACCCAAATACAAATAACGTGGAATTGATAGAAGAAAAGAAGATAAACTCTGGAAATGTATTTATGAAATATTTATTATTGTGAAAAAAACTTGTGAAATTATTCTTTTTGTTTTGTTTTGTTTTTGAGACAGAGTTTTGCTCTGTCACCCAGGCTGGAGTACAGTGGCCAGATCTTGGCTCACTGCAACCTCCACCTCCCAGGTTCAAGCAATTCCTCTGCTTCAGCCTCCCAAGTAGCTAGAACTACAGGTGCACGCCACCACGCCTGGCTAATTTTTTGTATTTTTAGTAGAGATGGGGTTTCACCATGTTGGCCAGGCTGGTCTCAAACTCCTGACCTCAGGTGATCTGCTTGCCTTAGCTTCCCAAAATGCTGGGATTACAGGTGTGAGCCACCACTCCCAGCCTTTTTAAAATTTTATTTTTTGAGACAGAGTCTTGTTCTGTTGCCCAGGCTGGAGTGCAGTGGTGTGATCTCAGCTCACTGCAACCTCCACTTCCTGGGTTCAAGCAATTCTCCTGCCTCAACCTCCTGAGTAGCTGGTATTACAGGCGCCTGTCACCACGCCCGGCTAATTTTTGTATTTTCAGTGGAGATGAGGTTTCACCATGTTGGCTAGGCTAGTCTGGAACTCCTGACCTCAAGTGATCCGCTTGCCTCAGCCTCCCAAAGTGATGGGATTACAGGTGTGAGCCACTGTGCCCAGCTGAAATTATTTTTAATGTCACACTTTTTCCTTTCCTTTTGCAAGGAAAAAGCACGTTTTATTGACATTTTTAGGGCTTTTTAAAAATATAAGTTGGTTAAAACTTTTATCTAGAATGTTTTCTCTTGCAGCGTCATCAGTTACTAATATAGATAGCACTATTATTGTAAAGTTAGTGGCGTTAGAAAACACATTTGGGAGTTAAAGTGCTTATTTGCAAATAATGCAAACATAATTTGTGTCCTATAAAGGGAAAGGAAGAATTTGTAATCACAAGATGAAGACGTTCAAAGCTCAGCTTCTCTCTTGTTACCAAGTTAGAGAAAATCGATATCTGTTTTTCAGATAATTATTTAGAATTTAGTGATTTTTTTAAAAAAAATCAGGAATATGAGAATTATCACATAATAGTTATTTTATGATTCTAAGGCATTTGTGTGGCAGCTAATAATGCATTTGAAAGCGAGCTTTTGCTTTCACATACCCATTTATGTCTGTCTTGTACCATTTCTGTGTCAGCGTTCCTTAAAAACTCTGTAGGTCACCTTGTCAGTATAGCTGAAGATAAAGGCTTGAGAGTTGCTCTCTTGCCTAAAAGATATGAACTGACAGCTGGAGATCATGGGGTAAAGGTATGTGAGATGAAGGCCTTTGGAAAACAGCTGCTTTTCAGAGTATAAATTTCATGGCCTGTAGCTTGGATTCTGAAACAATCTTTATTTCTTATCATCTTATCTGTTGTTTTCATAAACGATCAGAAGTAGTCTGATAGTTCTACAGTTCATAAACCTTGTGTACTATTACTGTATTTCTCTAGAATTTTTAGTCTGTGGTTTCTCTACTTAGTATTAAGGCAATAGCAAAAGTACCTTATAAAATAGGAATTTGTATTTCATAGATAAGCTAAGGTCTGACATAAGATCTAAAAACGTAACTTGGCACCACCAACCAGATTGCTATTTGGAAAATGTTTCTGAACTAATGCAACATGGTATCTTGCCTAATGGTAATTTTTCTGTTATAATAACTACTTTGTTCTTTTGGCCTTTTTATCAGGTGCTTATGTAAATCAAATCATAAAAAATTGGCTGGGCATGTCGCTCACGCCTATAATGCCAGCACTTTGGGAGGCCAAGGTGTGCAGATCACTTGATGCCAGGAGTTTGAGACCGGTGTGGCCAACATGGCGAACCCTGTCTCTACTAAAAATGCAAAAATTAGCCAGGCATGGTGGCACCTGCCTGTAATCCCAGCTACTTGGGAGGCTGAGACAGGAGAATTGCTTGTGAGACTGTTTCTCAAAAAATACAAAGATTAAAATTGAGTAGAAATGCAGTAAGGGAGTCTAATGAAGCTGTTTAATACTTTGTGAGCCCAGAGTAAAAGAATGACTACTAAGCTGAGGTTTGGGTGGGTCTCCTAGTGTACAAAGTGATTTTTAAAGCAAATATGTTTCTGTACTTTAATTAATACTACTGTTATTTATTGAAAAGTTACTATGTGTCAGGTACTGTGTAGTAAACGTAATTGAATCCCCACAATCATATTGTGTAGATCCCATTTTTATCCCCATTTTACAAAACTGAGCCTCTGAGTGATTAAGTAAAATAACATTCAGAATTCACACAGTAGGTAGGTAGTGGGGCCAGGATTCATTCTAACACCAGAACTCATACTCAGGCTGCACTATAAATGACTGAGTATGACCTGCATACCTTCCATGAGTGGTGCCTCCTGGAATTGCCCATCATGCAGAACTGAAGCCTTATCAGTGCACAGGACTGTCTTACTGCTGTATATTTCCAAGTATGGGAACAAGGAAATTAGTCCAACCTGTTTCTAGTAGGAGGAGACACACATAAATAAATAACAATCAGTTTTGCATGCCTTAATGATAGGGATACCTTTTGAGAAATGCACTATTAGGGGATTTTGTTGTTATTCAACAAAAGCATCATAGGTGTGCTTACACAAACCTAGATGGTATAGCTTACTATGTACCTTGGCCTATTGCTCCTAGTTTGCAAAACTGTACAGCATGTTACAAAACTGAATACTGTAGGCAGTTGTAACACAATGCTAAGTATTTGTGTACCTAAACATAGAAAAGGTACAGTAAAAAGTATAAAAGATGAAAAATGGTACACCTGTATGGGGCACTTACTATGAATGGAGCTTACGGGACTGGAAGTTACTCCAAATAAGTCAGTGAGTGGTGAGCAAATGTGAAGGTCTAGGACATCACTTTACATCACTGTAGACTTTATAAACACTGTACACTTTGGCTACAATAAATTTAAAATATTTTTCTTTCTTCAGTAATAAACCTTAGCTTACTGTAACTTTTTTTTTGAGACAGAGTCTCCCTCTGTCACCCAGGCCGGAGTGCACTGGTGTGATCTTGGCTCACGGTAACCTCTGCCTCCCAGGCTCAAGCGATTCTCCTGCCTCAGCCTCCCAAGTAGCTGGGATCCCAGACGTGTGCCACCATGCCTGGCTAATTTTTGTATTTTTAGTAGAGACGGAGTTGCGCCATGTTGGCCAGGCTGGTCTCAAACTCCTGATCTCAGGTGATTCTCCCTCCTCGGCCTCCCAAAGGGCTGGGATTACTGGTGTGAGCCACCACACCTGGCCACTGTAACTTTTTTATTTTATAAGCTTTTTATTTTTTTTAACTTTTGACTCTTGTAATAACAACACTTAGCTTAAAACACAAGCACATTGTACAGCTGTACAAAAATATTTTCTTTCTTTATATCCTTATTCTATAAGCTTTTTTCTATTTTTAACATTTTTTACTTTTATTTTCTACTTTTTAAACTTTTTTGTTAAAAACAAAGACACAAACACACATTAGCCTAGGCCTGCACAGGGTCCGGATCATCAGTATCACTACTTTCCACCTCCACATCTTTTCCCACTGGAACGTCTTCAGTGGCAGTAACAGACATGGAGCTGTTCTCTCTTATGGTAACAGTGCCTTCTTCTGGAATACCTCCTGAAGGACCTGCCTGAGGCTGTTTTACAGTTAACTTTTAAAATATATATAAGTAAAGGGAGTACACTCCAAAATAATGATAAAAAGTATAGTAAATACAGAAACCAGTAACATGGCTGTCTTAATTTGAAGACCTCTATCGTATATGCGGTTCAGTGTTGACCAAAATGTTATGTGGTGCTTGATTGTAATCATATGCAGGAGTGTAGAGTTGGGAGTACACAGAAGGGAGTTACCAGTTTTTACTCTAGGTCCCTCCAGGTTATACTTCTGATACTGTAAACTGGCATTGCTCTAGTCTCAGTAAGTTTATAGCATGTTCAGTGTTCTATTTTTATTCATCATGGCTACATCTGGTTGAAGTAAGGAGGAAATAGTGTTAATTTAGAGAAAGTAAAAGAGGCCCAGAAAGGCTAAATGCCTTTCTTAGAGACACAGTAAATCATCGGTATCAAAGCAATTATTTTGGGCCCCAAATGACAGTTAATTTCCTGGTAGACTAGGAAATTTCACATTTCCCTGAAATTGATCTAAGTAAGCCAAGAATCTTTTCCTCATTTAACTCATATTCTTTTCAAGCCTTTATATTTTTCTTTCATATATATTTTTTTCTTTTATATGTTTTATATATATATAAAATACTTTAAGTTCTATGGTACATGTGCACAACGTGCAGGTATACATGTGCCATATTGGTTTGCTGCACCCGTTAACTCATCATTTACATTAGGTATTTTTCCTAATGCTATCCCTCCCCCAGCCCCCCACCCCAAGACAGGCCCTGGTGTGTGATGTTCCCCGCCCTGTGTCCAAGTGTTCTCATTGTTCAGTTCCCACCTATGAGTGAGAACATGTGATGTTTGGTTTTCTGTCCTTGTGATACTTTGCTCAGAATGATGGTTTCCAGCTTCATCCATGTCCCTGCAAAGGACATGAACTCATCCTTTTTTATGGCTGCATAGTATTCCATGGTATATATGTGCCACATTTTCTTAATTCAGTCTATCATTGATGGACATTTGGGGTGGTTCCAAGTCTTTGCTATTGTGAATAGTGCTGCAATAAACATACGTGTCCAGTGTGTCTTTATAAGTAGCATGATTTATAATAATCCTTTGGGTATATACCCAGTAATGGGATTGCTGGGTCAAATGGTATTTCTAGTTCCAGATCCTTGAGGAATTGCCACACTGTGTTCCACAATGGTGAACTAGTTTACAGTCCCACCAACAGTGTAAAAGCATTCCTATTTCTCCACATCCTCTCCAGCACAAGCGTTTATATTTTTCAAGTTCACAAATCTTTTCCTGGTACTTGGCAAATAATGTGGTTATTGAAAGTAGATAACTTCTCTGCTATATGGTGGCCATTGTGGGATCTGGGGACTCTACAGTGGTACAAGCTGGCTTCCAGGGAATGAGATAGTGATGTGGTACCTCCCTGTGCAGGTTTCTGCGTGGCTTTTCTGCCTTGGGCTAAAGCTAGCAGCTCAGGGACCAGATGAAGCAGATTTCCTCTTCCTGGATAGACTCAACCCGTGTTAGCTGAAGCAATATTTGCAGGGCAAGAAGTCTCCTGACATGCTGGAGATGCTAGAGGTCCAGGGCTGTAGGCTGAATTGCTCGTGATGGTTCCCAGTGAGGAAGCAATGCAGAGTGTGTGCACCTGCCTTCCTCCTCAGAGCTGCCACTTGGCAATTATGCCAAACATCATGGGGAATGATCACTATTGATTCAGTTTTGTCCTGTGAACTACTTTCATTCATAGATAAGACTGATAGCAAATATCAATGCATCTCTGTATTGTGCAGTATTTAATAGGGCATTCTTTATTTTCCCTAATCCCTAGTAAGGTGGTTCTTAAATTTTTTTTGGATCAAGGACTGCTTTAAGAATTTGAGAAAAGCCGGGCACAGTGGTGTGCGCCTGTATCCCCAGCTACTCTGGAGGCTGAGGCAGGAGGATTGCTTGAGCCCAGGAGTTTGAGGCTGTAGTGTGCTACGATTGTGCCTGTGAATAAGAGTTGGCACTTCAGCCTGGGCAATATAGCAAGACCCCATCTGTTTAAAAAAAAAAAACTGGTGAAAGCACTCTCTCCAGAAAAATGCACACACGAAATTTTGAATGTAATTCAAGGGGTTTATGACCCTCTCCACCAAAAGCTGATCTGTGAGCTGTGGATTTTAGTAAATAACCCTTGTTGTAGACTTTCCATAGTCATTTTGTTTGATAGCCAAAGAAATACTGTCATTTTTTAACCTATGGATATTTCACAGGAAATGTGTTTAATGTTCTTCTACATTGATGAAAAGTCAACACTGTATGCTTTAAATCAGCATGCCTACCTGTTGTGTTCTAGGAAATTTTTGTCAAAGCTTAAATGTTGAATAGCAATTATCTAATATTTACTTTTTCTCCCTTTTTAAAGCTTGGTAAAATGCGGCTGACAATTCCGTGTCGGGCCCTTACATGTTCTCATCTACAATGTTTTGACGCAACTCTTTACATTCAGATGAATGAGAAAAAACCAACCTGGGTTTGTCCTGTCTGTGATAAGAAGGCTCCATATGAACACCTTATTATTGATGGGTATGTTACTTTAAGTGTTTTTGGTACCTTGAAATGACCATATATTATCTGGGTTTGTTACACATCAGATTTGGGATGAAAATTCTAAGTTATATATTTGTAGGATTTTTGTGAGTCTGCAAACCAATATTTTCAAAGTAATTTATTTCAAATTAGTGTTATGAATATTTTATCTTTTTAAATTGATGTTCCCTTGGTTTGAAAATGCGTGTGTTACTGTCAGTGCCTCCTGGCATTTGTCGTTGAAAGCACTGGTGCTTTTAAGCAGGGTGTGCTTATACCTTTTCCTTTTCCTGTCATTAGTCCATCCATCCCTAGATATGCAGACCATATTGGAACAAGAATGTATGGGGAAATTTGGGTTAACTCAGGTTCATCCAAAATTGGGCTTTTCAATAGAAGTTAGCCTATTTCTGGAGATTAGATCCACCTTCAGTCATGGTCTTCTTTTTCTTTTTTGTCTTGCCCACCTATAGCATCACAAAACCAATTATTGCTTTTAACACCTCTTTGTTTTATCTATCCTACCAGACATCTTGGAATGTTCCTCTAAATTTTCTTCTATTCTGCAGCCCCCTTTTCCTCCTGCTTTTTGCCACTAAACAAAAACAAATTGTGAAAAGGAGGACATCTCCTTGATTTTTTTGGGGATGGGGGGTTAGAGACAGAGTCTTGCCATTTTGCCCAGGCTGCTCTCGAATTCCTGGGCTCAAGTGATCCTCCTGCCTTGGCCTCCCAAAGTACTGAGATTACAGGCATGTGAGCCACCACACCCAGCCTCTACTTAATATTTCCTGTACTTTCTAGCAAAACACTTAAGGCAACTTACCTGTAGTATTTAAGAAAACATAGGAGCCTAAAGGTGGTAATATCAGAAATTAAGTATATTTAGCAATACAAGTATAACCTGGAGCTTGAAAGATGTCAGACCAGTCATGGGAAACAAACAAACAAACAACATGTAACTTAAATGTTTTATGTTTAATTTTTCAGAAATGTCGGTGATCACTTACTAGTAAATCAGAATTAAATAGTGATATTTTCCAACTTTATATGTTACATAGCTTTAGGTTCTCCCATTTCTTGTTATAAAAGCCATGTACACACATACTCTTTTAAAGAAAAATTGGAAAACACAGGAAAATAAAAAGCTTTTTTCGGTATATGATTTTCTGATTTTTGTCTTTCCATAATTGTGATTGTACACTGTTAATAATTTTTGTCCTTTGGTTTCATTTAACATTATAACCTAAGAATTTGGCCGTAATTAATTTTATGCTTTCTTTATACATGTTTTTAAATGTCTGTCACGGTATTTTATCAAAGAGATTTAACCTTTGATTACATATTTGTATATGTTTTGCTTTAGTTTATCAAATAAGACATGCTTATTGTGGGCAATTTAGAATATGCAAAAAAGTATAAAGAAGAAAAATAAATACTCATGAAGGTATCACCCAGAGGTAACTACTGTCTATATACTACTCACACAGAATTTTATTTTTGAAATGAAGCTTTCTTTTGTTGACGTTTTCTCACTTTTTGTGAACATTTTCCCATATGATTAAAAATCTTTGAAAATGTCATTTTTCATGGTCACATGATATTTTCTTACATAAATGTGACATAAATTAGGCAGCTATATTCCTAGTTAGTACTAGATTTTAAGAATAAATATAACTTAAGTTGTTCAACCTTTATGTTCATTTAAAATATATTCTAAGGATGAATTGTTTTCTTATAGCTTGTTTATGGAAATCCTAAAGTACTGTACAGACTGTGATGAAATACAATTTAAGGAGGATGGCACTTGGGCACCGATGAGATCAAAAAAGGAAGTACAGGAAGTTTCTGCCTCTTACAATGGAGTCGATGGTGAGTAGTTCTTCACAAGGAAGAGGCAGTCTCCCTACTGCTCTAAGTCTGGTTTTCAATATTAAAATCCATATATTTTTAAAAATCACTGAGCAGTTTGTGGATAGCTTAATAATTCCTATTAACTTATTGATTAAATGTTCAGAAGTAATAGAACTCCTTTTAAATTCACTTTTTTGCCAGCTTTAAAAAATTTACTGATATAAGATTTCAAAGTAATGTAATATAATTAGTCATTTGTAAACTCATACTTTTGAAACTGTACCCTTTTTAAATTTTTAACAGATTTGATACAGAGTAGTAAAGGTTCTTTTTTCATTTATTTATTTTTTCCTGGCTTTTAGTATGTTTTTGCTGTAAAGACACTATGAGTTTTGAAAATGCTATCATCGTATTTAAGTATGTCAGATACTATACAGACAAAAATTAATATACCGTCTGCTCTCAAATTACTTTTCTTCTGAAGTGGACATATGACACATTTTGATTGTTTGCTCTAATTCAGTAATTTATTATTTTGAAAAATAATTTACTATTATTAAATAATAGTTTTAAACTTAGAAGAACAGAGCCACTGTTGGTTTTCTACTCTCTGGCTCCAACAATATTGTGAATCTAAACTGTAACTGATAAACTGTAGTGACACTGAGAAAAGAGAGATGTCATAGCTCTTCCCTTGCCTTGTATTTTAATCATTCCCATATAGGATGCTTGAGCTCCACATTGGAGCATCAGGTAGCGTCTCACCACCAGTCCTCAAATAAAAACAAGAAAGTAGAAGTGATTGACCTAACCATAGACAGTTCATCTGATGAAGAGGAAGAAGAGCCATCTGCCAAGAGGACCTGTCCTTCCCTATCTCCCACATCACCACTAAATAATAAAGGGTAAGTGCTGAGACATTTAAAAAAAAAAGTAATCATGAAAATTAACTTGGCAAATAGGGATTAAAGACTTGCCAAATAAAATGATTCTTGATTGTGAAACTTAACTTAGCAATCAAAGAATAGTTTGAATTTTTCCCAGGTTTGTAATACTCTGGAGGGATTGGGGTAATGCACCAAAAGGGTACTTGGATATAGTATTCTTCATATCAAAAGATCATTCTAGTACCGTGGTTCTCAAACTGTGGTGTACGTACATCAGAATTACCTGAGAGCTTAATAAAATGCATACATTGCGCCCCCATGTCTGAGTCAGGAGTAGAGACTAAGAAAATTTGTCTTTCTAGGCCAGGCGTCATGTCTCATACCTGTAATCCTAGGACTTTGGGAGGCTGAGGCAGGTGGATTGTCCAAGCTCAGGAGTTTGAGACCAGCCTGGGCAACATGGTGAAACCTCATCTCTACTAAAATACAAAAATTAGCCAAGCGTGGTGGCATGCGCCTGTAATCTCAGCTACTCTGGAGGGTGAGGCAGGAGAATCGCTTGAACCCAGGAGGTGGAGGTTGCAGTGAGCCAAGATCGTGCCATTGCACTCCAGCCTGGGCAACAGAGCGAGACTTTGTCTCAAAAAAAAAAAAAAAAAAAGAAAGAAAAAATTTGTATTTCTAGTTAAGTTCCCAGGTGATCCTGCTCCTGCTCACAGGATGTAGAACATTTGTTCAAACTGGAATGTATGCTGTAAAATTCACCCCAAGTTGAGTGTTTCAAGTGGAAAGCAGAGGAAGACCAATGATTTAAATCTGCTTCAGAATGTGAATGAGGCTGGTAGTGAATGACTTCTGTTGCAGCACACAACATTTCCCACTTTGCAGAGTTTTCTCCCATATTTTCCATTAGTCTTATATCAATAACAGTGTACCTAGGTTATACTTCAGTTCATGAAACATTGTTATCTACTTTGTATAAAACACCCTCAGCTAAGCATGGATGATAATAAAATGAGTAAGTACAGTCTTAACCTTAAACAGCTTAGCACTTTCTGGGGGGTGGTAAAACAAGTAGCATACTCCAACTATACTCTCAAAACAGGCTGTTAGTCCTGTAGACACATCAGGGATTCTGAGCAAGATTTCTAATTGTGCTGAAGCACAATTGTAGCACACTAATTGTAAATCTAGAAATAGATGTGTCCCTTTTTAGGTATAAAGCAGGAGAATCACATGGCCTGTTGCAACTGAATAGAAGCTAACCAGAAACTCTTCCAGCAAGCATTAGGGACTAAAGAAAGAATGTAGGAGAGAGAAGGAAGTCCATAGATGGCATTGTTACAACACCAGATCAAGAGCAGGCATTTCTGTGCCTGGAGTCAAATCATTTTCAGGTTTGACATTGTATGATGAGATTAAAGATTTCTATCAGTTTGAGACCAGCCTGGGCAACATGGTAAAACCCTGTCTCTACCAAAAAATTAGCTGGGTATGGCACTGTGTGCCTGTTGTCCCAACTACTCGGAGGGCTGATGGGGGAGGATCACTTGAACCTGGGAGGTGGAGGTTGCAGTGAGCTAAGATCGTGCCACTGCACTCCAACCTGGGTGACAGAATGAGACCCCATCTCAAAAAAAAATAAGATTTCAGTCAAACATTTCACACATCGGTATTTTCATTCTACAGTAGTCCATCTTGGCATACAGACAGAAACAAAGACATTAAAAACAGTATCATCATTCTAAACAAAGTGAATAATTTAAGCACAAATCCTACTGTTATGAACATGACCTCTGATAAAAGCCTATCTTGATGGCTATAACCCAGCAAGCCTGACCTTGTTATTACACCAATGTATTTTATGTCTGAGTAGGAGAAAAGGAAAAGTCACATTACCTAAAGTTAGAACAAGTATCTATAGAATTTCAATTCCAAGATATTTTGTAAATATCAAACCATAGTATGACCAAATACACATTGTCATGTGATTTTTTTAAGTGCCATAATCACAATTTTAAAAGATATTTCATAAACCTCTGGATATATAAATACTTTTGGGCTAAATGCATCATAATATATATATTTGTTCTGTTCTTTAGACTATTAATAGTAATATGTATTTATGTAAACTATGCAATAGTATTACTGACTATATATTTTTTCTTTAAAGAAAACATTTGAGTGTTTAGGAATCTAATATTTCTTCTTTGGATATTTACTTTGCTCTTTCTCCAAAAATATTTGGAGAAAATAAAATAAATAATGTTTATTATGTTTGGAAAATTACATTAAATGCATTAAGTACTTCCTGAATTTCCCAGTGACTAATTGAACCCAGCTATAGTATTTGCAAATGCCAGACATTTCTCTCTCTATTTGCAGATAAAAACAAGAAACTTGAAAGTTTACATCCTTAGAAGGAGAATAACACACCATAGTCAACACTAGTAGCCATTTTATAATAATGACTAGTTGGTAACTGGAAACCTCAGTACAGCATATTGTGTTTGTTATTGTGCAGTATAAAGGTTGAAATGCATTTCAAAACATTATCACAAATTGAAAGAAAAGCATGCAGCCAGGAATTAGAGGCAAACACTAAATGTAAAACATTTTGTTGTCTTTAGCCACTGAGTGCTTAATGTTCATCCAGAAATTGTCTATGCTGTTTGAGATGTTTTCAAAGACTAGCATTTTAAATCCTCTCTTATAATCTCTTAGACATTGTGAGAAGACTCAGCTAATGGTAAATGGTACTTTTTCTAGATATAAGAGGTTTAACAAAGTTTCCATTAGATGAAACATTTTTATGAGGCAGACGAGAGTGTGTTTTATGCTTCATATCCCATTCATTAAAATGTGGTAGATGGTCATAACTGGAACTCTATTCCTAGAAATCCAACCTTGTCATCTCGTGAAATGTTCTTTTTTTTTTTTTTTTTTTTTTTTTTTTGAGACAGAGTTTCACTCTTATCTCCCAGGCTGGAGTGCAGTGGCACCATCTTGGCTCACCACACCCTCCGCCTCCTGGGTTCAAGTGATTCTCCTGCCTCAGCCTCCCGAGTAGCTGGGATTACAGGCATGCACCACCATGCCTGGCTAATTTTTTGTATTTTTTAGTAGAGACAGGGTTTCTCCCTGTTGGTGAGGCTGGTCTCAAACTCCCAACCTCAGGTGATCCATGCGCCTTGGCCTCCCAAAGTGCTGGGATTACAGGTGTGAGCCACCACGCCCGGCCCTCTTTTGAAATATTCTATACCACTGAAATTGCATCCCCATGCCCCAGGTACTTTACATGAAGCATTAAAAGCAAAAGACAGCCTCTTTATTGCTTCCTTTCTCTTTATTTTCTATAACACATACACCTTCAGCCTCTTGTATTGTTGGGGTAACATATAACCCTTATGTTTCCTTCTAAGAGGGCTACTATAATTGTTTTTCTTTTCAAAATTAGCTTTGTTTTTGTTTTTGTTTTGTTTTGAGACAGGCTCTTGCTCTGTCACCCAGGCTTGAGTGCAGTGGTGCAATCACGGCTCATGCAGCCTCGACCCCCCAGGCTCAAGCAATCCTCTCATCTATCTCCCAAGTAGCTGGGACTACAGATACGTGCCACCAGGCCTGGCTAAGCTTTTTAATTTTTCGTAGAGACAGGGTCTCCCTATGTTGCCCAGGCTGGGCAACTTCTGGGCTGAAACTATCCTTCTGCCTCAGCCTCCCGAAGTATGGGGATTACAGGAATGAGCCACCATGCCTGGCCCCAAAGTTAGTTAAATTATTATTTTTTCCTTCTTCTCCTTTTTTCCTTTCCCTTAATTGTTAGTAAATTTTAAAAAAAAAGCTACTTAGCTATTTAAACTTTTCACTGTTTTTTAGAGTCCTAATTCTTGTTTTATGTTTTCTTTTTCCAGTTATACTGTTCTCTCTTTAAAAACTCTCCACTACCTATTCGTTTTGGAGTATTTCTTCTTGTTTCACTACATTAGATTCAGCAGGGCTTTTATGCAAACAATGTGCTGATAACTGTACTGGGCATTGGGTATACTAAACAATACCCAGTTTTTGCCCTCCTAAAGATTACAATCTGAGGGGCCAGCTGGTAACTCCGAACCACTCAGATTGCTTCATTCCCTCTGTCTTATTATATGTATTTTCTTTGCTAGGGCATACGTATGCTTCTTAATAGCCAATACTCTGGTGTTGTTTTAAAAGGGTTTCCGACTTTCATTTGATGTAGGTATCTTTCACTCATATCCCGTTAAAGTGGCTCAACTGTACCTTTCTCTTGCATTTTGAAAGCATAGGTGATGATATTCCAAAGGCAATGTGAGGTTTGTGAATGTTGGATACCATTGCATCTGTCCACTTCTTCCTGTGGCCTCTGTTAAATGCTATTATGTATACAAATTATTTTCTCATAATTGTGTATAATCTAAATTATACATTGCTTTGCTTGGTTTTGTTCTTATTTCCAGCACTAAACCGAGGGTTCATTGTGAGATACAACCCCTTTTTTTGTTAACCTTGAGAGTTTAACTGGCTAATGAAAACTATGCCAATCTTTCCTTCTTCCAGCATTTTAAGTCTTCCACATCAAGCATCTCCAGTATCCCGCACCCCAAGCCTTCCTGCTGTAGACACAAGCTACATTAATACCTCCCTCATCCAAGACTATAGGCATCCTTTCCACATGACACCCATGCCTTACGACTTACAAGGTGAGTCACTGGTTCTTCTACATTGTCACATAGCATTATGAATGCCTTTGATCTATATAATTCTCTTCTAGGTGAATCTAAGGAAGAACTGGAAGACTGAGCCAACAGGGCCTTGGACCCAGGGAACTGAGAGAAATAATATGCCGTTGTTATAAATACTGACCCAGTTCGTTGATTGTACTGTCATCAGTAGCCAGTGTTTTACTCCCAGTGGTAAAACTAGTGCAATAATCTTTAGTTTTTGTGAGCTCCTGAGTACTCTGCAAATTGTTTTTGAATGACTGCTAGTATGTGGGTTTGAATTTTGGTATTTATGAACATTATTTTTTTTTGCCGTGGGGAACGGAGTCTTGCTCTGTTGCCTGGGCTGGAGTGCGGTGGCACGATCTCAGCTCACTACAACCTCCGCCTCCCAGGTTCAAACAATTCTCCTGCCTCAGCTTCCCGACCGAGTAGCTGGGATTATAGGCGCCCACTACCACACCAGGCTAATGTTTTATATTTTTAGTAGAGACAGGGTTTCACTATTTTGGTCAGGCTGGTCCTGACCTCGTGGTCCTCCTGCCTCGGCCTCCCAAAGTGCTAGGATTACAGGCGTGAGCCACCACGCCCAGCCCTGTGAACATTATTTATTGTACCCTGACTTTAGTTGTAATGCAACAGGCATTGTGGGTAACTATGTTGTATTATGTTTTAGATAATGGTGAGTTGAGACATTTGAAAGTTTTAGTTTTTATTCTAATGAATTTGATCCTTCTTAAAAATTTTTTTTTTAATTTTGTGGGTACATACTAGGTGTATACATTTATCTGATCCTTCTTTTTAAAAGCTGTTTGAAATGTCAGTATACTCATTTATATATTTTGAGTTCATAATAATCATTTATATTATCAAAAAGAATTGTTTTTATATCTTTGTAGCATAATAATTTGAATATTAGTCATATAATCTAAGAACTTTTTTTTATTAAAAAAGCCATATATGCTCATTGTAGAAAATTCAACACAGAAACATAAAGTGAAAGTTTCCCTCTACCTATCCCCCAACCCCATTCCCGGGAAGTTACAGCTAGTGTGTGTGTGTGTGTGTGTGTGTGTGTGTGTGTGTCGGAGTTTTGCTCTTATTGCTCAGGCTGCGTGTGTGTGTGTGTGTGTGTGTGTGTCGGAGTTTTGCTCTTATTGCTCAGGCTGGAGTGCAATGGCGCGACAGGCATGTGCCACCACGCCTGGCTAATTTTGTATTTTTAGTAGAGACGGGGTTTCACCATGTTGGTCAGGCTGGTCTCAAACTCCCGACCTCAGGTGATTCGCCTGCCTTCGCTTCCCAAAGTGCTGGGATTACAGGCGTGAGCCACTACGGCCAGCCAGTTACAGCTGCTCTTAACGGTTAGATATCTTTCTATACCTTTTTTTCTACATGTATGAAACGCACTGTCACTATCAAGAACAACAGTGCTATGCATTTTGTAAGCCTTCGTGTTGTAATCGGTTATAATGTAGACAGTGAGTAGATGCCCAGAGTATCTGTGGTGTTGTAATATATTTATCTATAGCTGCGTGTTTTACCTTTCCCCAAGTTTAGATATCATAATGAAGCATTTAATTCATGCTTGTTCACTTGCTCTTCATCGCATTACACACTGGGTGATCTAGAAAAGAATGTTAATTGGAAGGGGCCTCCTTGCAGTGAATCCTCAGCAGCCAGGTAGCAGAACTACTCCTTCTTATGTAATAGTAGCCAGTTTGCAGGCACTCAAACCTCTTCTCCCCTCATGCCACTGCAGTCTGTCAGTTGAATCTGATAGCAAATGAGCAAATTTAAGAAAGAAAAATCAGTACTACAACTTACTTAACCTAACTCTTTCAACTTCAAACTTTCTCACCTGCAAAATGAGGGCAAAACTAATTACATACCTCATGAAGTGCTTGTGAGGAGTAACTTAGAGCAGATTGAAAGTTTCCTTAAGAGGAGTCCAGAGCATTTGTTAAAAGTACTATGCCCGTTTAAGGATCAGTGTTAGATCTGACAGAGTAGTAATGGCCCCAGTCCCCCAAATGGGGTCACGGAGAAGACAAATCATTGCCAAAGCTTAGTTTTCAGCCTTAGTAATCTAAAGAAAGGAGAGACGTAAAACGTTTAGCTCAACTCTTCATGTTTAAATAAAATTCTGAGTGACATAGCATATAAGACTTGTATTTGTTTTTGAAGTATTGGGGCATTTGGAAGAGTTTTTCCTTCTTTTTTTTTTAAACTGAAATAATTTTTTCTTCCACAGGATTAGATTTCTTTCCTTTCTTATCAGGAGACAATCAGGTATGTTATGAAAAATTTACTATTATTTTAATTGTACATTAAAAATACAGTCATGCGCCACATAATGACATTTTGGTCAATGACAGGCCATATATGCATTCCATAAGATTATAATGGAGCTGAAAAATCCCTACATCAATTATAGCCATGGTAACATTGTAGCACAAGGCATTACTCACATGTTTGTGGTGTTGCTGGTGTGAACAAACCTATGCTGTCAGTCATGTAAAAGTATCACACGTATAATTATGTACAATATAACGATAATAAACAACTCTGTTACTGGTTTATGCATTTACTATATTTTTTATTGTTATTTTAGAGTGTACCTCTACTTTTTTTTTTTTTAAGTTTGCTGTAAAACAGTGTGCCATGTTATTCCAGGACAGCCTCATACATCCCAGTTTGCCACATCTCTTGATTGCATCATTTCCTCTTGTGCTTGATGAAAATCTTGTCTTGTTTTGTTCATCATGGCCCCTAAGCATACAAAATCCACAGCTAATGTTGCCAGTAAGAGGCCACATCGAGTGACTGACATGGAAAAAAATTAAGTGATTAAGGACGATGAAAGTGGAAGATCAGTGATAGTTATTGCTCACCAGTCAGGCAGTCCCATTCTACCATAGCTACAGTCTTAAAGAACAAGAACAAAGTGATAGAAGCTGTTAAAGGATCTGCTTTGTTCAAGGCAACAAGACTAACAAAAATTTGAGAAGGGCCTGTATCAGATATGGAGAAACTTGTTAGTGACCTGGATTGAAGACCAGACACAGAAACATATCCCTCTCAGCACCATAATGATCATGGCCAAAGCAAAAAGTTTGTTTGCAATGCTTAAAGAAAAGACTGGACCCAACTACAGTGTTAAATGTACTGCTAGCTCCGGGTGGTTTAAACGATTGAAGAATCATTATTCATTATGTAATATCAAAGTGAGTGGAGAGTCTGCAAATGCAGATGTGAAGGCAACTGAAGAATTTTTGGAAACTCTAGATAAGCTGATTATGAAGGAAGATTACTTGCCAGACAAATTTTCAATACGCATGAAACCTCCCTATTCTGGAAATAAATGGCTGAAAGGACTTTCATCCATAAAGAAGCCAAGTCAATGCTAGATTTCAAGGCTTTTAAGGACAAGATAACAGTCTTGCTTGGGGCCATATTGCAGGCTACAAATTGAAACCCTTTGTGATCTGGCACAGTGAGAACTCCAGAGCCTTCAAGCATGTCAGCAAGCACACACTGCCCGTGTACTACAGGAGCAATAAGAAGTCATCGATGACCCAGCTTTTCTTCCAGGATGTCCTCCCGAATTGCTGTGCCAGCAAAATGGAGAAGTACTGTTGAGAGAGTAACATACTTTTCAAGATGATGATTTTTGTTGATAATGCTCCCACACATCCTCATTTCATTGGTGATCTTCATCCCAATATCAAAGTGTTGTGTCTCCTTCCATATACCACCTCTTTGATCCAACCAATGAATCAAGGAGTTGTAGCAGTTTTTAAGGCCTATTAAAAGATCCTAAGGAGGATCTTTGCCCAGGCTATTGCTGCAACTGAAAAACACCGAGAGGACACTGATGCAATTCTGGAAGGTTTACAACAGCTATGACTGCATCAAGAACCTTGCTTGGGCATGGACTGATGTCACCAAGGAGTATGTGAATGACATCTAGAAGACACTGAAGAAGTTTGTTCATGACTTCAAAGAATCTGCTAAGGATGAAGAGGTTGCAGAAATGGACAAGGCTGTGGTTGACATGGCAAACAACTTTAACCTAGATGTAGATGAGGATGACATTGAGAAGCTCCTAGATGTGGTTCCTGAGGAATTGACTAATGAGCTGTTGGAACTGGAACAGGAACACGCAGCTGAAGAAGGTGCAAGAGAAAAGGAAACTGCAGGAGACAAAAAGGAAGAACCTCCAAGAAAATTCACAGTGAAAGGTTTAGCAGAAGCTTTTGCAGACCTCAACAAGCTCCTTAAAAAATTTAAAAACATGGGCCCTGGCTGGGCGCTGTGGCTTACACCTATAATCCCAGCACTTTGGGAGGCCAAAGCGGGTAGATCATGAGGTCAGGAGTTCGAGACCAGCCTGACCAACATGGTGAAACCCCGTCTCTACTAAAAATACAAAAATTAGCTGGGCGTGGTGCTACACGCCTGTAATCCCAGCTACTCGGGAGGCTGAGGCAGAAGAATCACTTGAACCTGGGAGGCGGAGGTTGCAGTGAGCCGAGATTGCGTGCACCACTCTACTCCAACCTGGGTGGCAGAGCGAGACTCCATCTCAAAAACAAAACAAACAAAAAAAACATGGGCCCTAACAATGAAAGGTTTTCATTAATAGAGAGGAATGTTTATGGTACATTATCTACTTACAAGCAAACCTATGATAAAAAAGAAACCAAGCCAAACACCATGGACATATTTCTGAAAAGAGTGACACCTCCTTAAGAAGAGCCTCAGGCAGGTCCTTCAGTGGGTGTTCCAGAAGATTGTTGTCATAGCAAATGACAGCTCCATGCATGCTATTTTCCCTGAAGACCATGCAGTGGGACAAGCTGTGCAGATGGAAGACAGTGACATCGATGACCCTGACCTCCCTGTGTAGGCCTAGGCTAATGTGTTGTGTGTGTCATTTTTAACAAAAAAGTTAAAAAGTAAAAAATATTTTAAAATGTTAAAAATAGAGACTTACAGAATAAGGATATAAAGAAGGAAATATTTTTGTTCAGCTGTACAATGTACTTGTGTTTTAAATTAAGTGTTACAAGAGTCAAAGTTTTAAAAAATCAGTTTATAAAGTAAAATTAGTTAGCTAATGTTAATTTATTATTGAAGAAAGAAAAATATTTTTAACACATTTAGTGTGGCCATAGTGTACAGTGTTTATAAAGTCTACAGTAGTGTACAATAATGTCCTAAGCCTCACATTCACTCACCATTCACTCACTGGCTCACCCAGAGCAACTTCCAGTACTGCAGGCTCCATTCATGGTAAGTGCCCTATACAGGTGTATCATTTTTTTATCTTTTATACCATATTTTTACTGTACCTTTTCTATGTTGAGATATACACATACTTAGCATTGTGTTACAGTTGCCTACGGCATTCAGCACAGTAACATGCTGTACAGGTTTGTAGCCTGGGAGCAGTAGGCCAGACCACACAGCCTAGGTGTGTAGCAGGCTCTACTGTCTAGGTTTGTGCAAGCACACTGTGATGTTTGCACAGCCACAAAACCGCCTAATGATGCATTTCTCAAAACACATCCGTGTCATTAAGCGACGCATGACTGTATTTAAAAGTATAATGTGTAGCCAAGAGAAAGATAAATTTCCTTGGAAAACTTAGAGTAATCATACCCATTATCATTATGGCTTTAAAATTTAAATAAAAATTCTAACTTTCAGTGGTGCCTGAGTGTATAATAAGAACAGTGTCTGTTGGTTTCCAGTACTGTTTTATAAAGAAACAGGGCAGTGAGTCATATTGACTGATAGATTTCTTGGCTAAGTATCTCCTTACTAGCAAGAGCATGGACTGTCTGCCCCTCCTGCTGCTTCTGAGCATATGCTTCTTGGGAAATAGAATTGGTAATTGCTTGCAATACAAACTAAAACAAAAAACAATAAAATTTATATTTTGTTTTTCCTCCAGTTTCAGATACAAAAATGTCTTCTCAAGATCAATGCTCCAGTCCTTACATAAGGCCATTTGATTTTGCAAAATGTCTTAGTAAATATTTCAGAAACCCTAGATACTCAGGCTATCTTAAATTTAGGGCTGTGTCCCGCTGAGGAGAAAATATATTAATTTGGAAGTATAATTAACATTTTTGTGTCTTTTGTTTCCCCTCCCTAGCATTACAACACCTCCTTGCTTGCCGCTGCAGCAGCAGCAGTTTCAGATGATCAAGACCTCCTACACTCGTCTCGGTTTTTCCCGTATACCTCCTCACAGATGTTTCTTGATCAGTTAAGTGCAGGAGGCAGTACTTCTCTGCCAACCACCAATGGAAGCAGTAGTGGCAGTAACAGCAGCCTGGTTTCTTCCAACAGCCTAAGGGAAAGCCATAGCCACACCGTCACAAACAGGAGCAGCACGGACACGGCATCCATCTTTGGCATCATACCAGACATTATTTCATTGGACTGATTCCCAGGCCCTGCTGCTCCCATCCCCACCCCAGATCGAATGAACTTGGCAGAAAGAAGAGAACTTTGTGCTCTGTTTTACCTTACTCTGTTTAGAAAAGTATACAAGCGTGTTTTTTTTCCTTTTTTTAGGGAAAAAATTAAAAGAAATGTACAGAGAACAAAACTATATTTTCAGTTTTACTTTTGTATATAAATCTAAGACTGCCTGTGTGATAAAACACTTGTTTAAAAAAAAAAAGGAAAGAAAAGAAAAAAGAAAAACAAGCACCCACAAACCACCTTCAGTTCATTTTTTTCTGGATTCTGAAGATTTTTCATTATTTGTCCTATGGTTTTGGTTTTATTTGACTTCGATGGCATTATTTTATTTGCAATAACAGAAAAGGAATTGCATGTATGAAGTTTTCAATCGTGGGCTTTTCTTTGTTGTGGGGAGGGGGTCGGGGGATAGTTTGATTTCCATTTTCTGAAAACGACAGACTTGGATTCTGTTTGTGTGTGCATATTTTATCCAGCCTTAAGTTATAAAGCTCATCTGTCCCGCTGCATTCCCTGTGTATTTTCAGGACATGGCTCGTGGGTGTGTGTGTTCATTGTGTGCGTCTGTATGTATTTTTCTGTCATCACTGTTCCCTCTCCTCCCGAGTGTGCATTCAGTTAATATAATCAGTTGCTTGCTTCTTTCAAAGTGCTTTGAAGGTCTTGAACTCACGTGTGAGCATCTTTATCAACTATCCCAATTGCATGTTCTCCATCACATATTCTCTTATTTGCTCTGTACCCCCTGAGAATATGTTTTAGAGATATTGGAATAAAGCTGTCTGGGTAAGGAGTAGGCTTAGCCGACCTATGAATAATACACTTTAGTCTAGTTCTTTATTCTAAATCTGGATTGCCAGTATTGTGTATTTAAACCAAGTCTGTGAATACCTGCTTTTTTTGGCCACAGAGTAACAAGTTTTCATGTAAGATCTTCATACCAAAGTAGGAAGTAAAAATAGCTTAGAAAGCTCTGTCAGGTGTTTTGTGCAGCTGACAGAGGTAATGTTACATCACCTAAAAAAGAAAGATACACGGTCAGTTATCCTAAAAATAAATTGTTTGGAAAGTACAATGCACCACATTTTTGTAGAAGTCTACTATTTGATAAACAGTTGAAATTCAAGATGTGTTTGACCCTTAGTCATTTTTACTCTTTGGTTCTGAGTATACCTATTTTCTTAGCGTATCTGCCTTGTTTATCTTTTTCTTCACCTTTTAACAAGTATGACATAGGAAAGTCATTTTTTTTTAGAATTCATGGATCAGTCTGATCTACTCTTATTCATAATGGAACATGTAAATATACTGAAAACTGTTTTTCAGGAGAGAAATATGAGTTGGAGGGAAGGAAAAGTGGTTCTACTAATGTTCCAAAATCCTCATCAGAGAAGGTATGATGTTCTCAGGTGTGGAAAATATTTTTTAGTTGATTGAGAATGCAGGTTTAACAGAAGAGATAAGGGGCATAATGACTGCTGGTTTTCCAGACTGGATTTTCCTACCGCAACTATTAATGTTCTCAGAGTTGATGAGGACCACCTTTGTGTATACACTTGTAGTTTTAAACCTTGCATTGGTAACAAAATGATCAACTTTAATCCAGGTAGAATTCAAGATGGCTGTACTTCAGTTGTATGATAAAATTAATGGTTCTCATGACTTGTGTGGCATCTAAAAATAATGTTTTTATAGCATCTCTCTGCCACTAAATTGTTGACTTGAATTTTGGGAAAAAAAAAAGTTGGTGTTGATATGTATATGTGTGTGTGTATATATGTATTTATAAACAAGTGTGTTTGAGTAACAAGTGAGTTTCATAGTCTTCCCCTACGCATGTGTATTCCACACACAAATGGCTGAGTTATAGTCATAAAACAATTTGCAATAAAAAAAAAACCAAAACAGATTGTCAGTTAACCAGGAAACAGTTAATGTTTTTTAATGAATCTGGCATTATAGTGAGCAAATGTCGTATTAATTTAGGCTAATTTCTAATACTACCATAATTTGTGTCTAAATTTCTGTTGGGGTAGAAATTACTAAAATTGTGGGGAGTTTTTTCTGATTTTTACATTGCTTTAGGAAACATTTTTACTAATTCAGCTGTCTTAGGTAAAATGAATAGTTTTCTTCCTGTTTTTTTATGTGTCATTGTTAGTGGTCTCAGAATTCTGATCAGTAACTTTGTGTATGATGCTGAATTACAAACCGTTTGAATGATCCAGTTGAAAACGTATCCCTCTACTTTCTTCAGTTGTAGAAAAGGTTAATTTCCCTCAGTGTCCCACATTATACCAACCTAAGAGAAGAACAGGTAATAGGGAGAAATAAACATACGGTGGTTTCAGTGGTTTTGGTCATGTGTCCACAGGAGAAACTAACCATTCAGTTGTCTTAATTTTAGTTCGTTCTACCCTGTGAGGAGTTTGTTTCCATCAGTTGTTGACTTTCCAAAATGTTGCATTAAGTAATAGTTGTCACTCTGTTGGTCTCATGGTCAATATCAATCAGACTTTCATGATCTCTACTAATTATTAGTAGAGTCCTGTACTATGTCTGTAACTACTAAGTTTAAAGAAAAGCACATAGTCACTTCATCTCTTTTTTTCTTAGCCTACGCTCACTCCCCAACCCATCCCAACATTGACATGCTATCTGTGGACAAATAGCAGTTCTCAGAATCTAGTCAAGTTGCCATCATCCCCCTTGCCTTGGCCGTTCATAGTAGGTATGCATATGTTTGTTTCTGTACAGTACTGTGTGTGTGTGTGTGTATATATATATACATCTGTATGCACACATCTTTGATAAAATAGCTATTTGACTAGCAGGGTTAAAGTGGCTTTTAATTACTTCGTGAGTGTTATTGGATACATCTTAAAAAAAAAAAATCTGAACCAGAACCATGCCATACTTGGTTGACTATTTTGAGCATTAAAATTGCTTTACTAATTATTTAGACATGATCACAATTCTGTATCTTTACTGAGGAAAGATTCACGTAAGCTCTGAAAAATCGGATTCTTTGGCAGATTTTCCTTTGAGTCAAGTGTCTGAAATGGAGTGAAAATATATCCTAACTAAATTAATGTGGAAAGAGCATTTTTTTAGACAATTTCAATTTTAAACACATAAAACTTTCAAGATCTTCAGGACTTTTTAAAGCACATTTGAAATTATTTTAGTAAGAATTTTGTTTTATCAATAGATGTTGAATTCTGTTTTTTAATTAAATACAAAGCTTAGATTTCAGAAAGAGAGGGAAAATAGCTGGTGGTCCCAGAGTGTGCTGCTGTTAATTGTTTAACAAAGGGGAAAATGTACATAAACAGATAAAGTTACCATAAATTCCATGAACTTAAATCTGTGATTCATTGCCTTAAAACTTTCTCTCTTAGAATTTCCATACCGCATGCCAAACCAGTAAAATGGCTTTTAAAAATGTATAGTAGACAATGTCAGTTTGTATAAAAGTACCAAGTGAAAATATTTATTACATGCATTGGAAAAAAATTGTTTACCTATTGAATGTTACCTGTTTATGTAGAGCTCTTTAGATGTAATAAAAGAAAAGCCTTCAGTTAATTTGTCTTCTGTAAAATAACACTGCTGGATGTTCAAGGGGACAATCCCTATGAGACAAGTGATAATGGTTTGTGCTTCCAAAGCACCTTTCATCCAGAGATTTCAAAGCATGACAAGTAACTAACTAATTTTCTTGCAGCATGCTTTGAGGTAAGTAATGAATATAGCCATCATTTCCCTTTCTTGTTGAAATATGGCTAACTCTTTAATAAATCACAGCATCTGTTTAGTATCTGCAGTTTGAATGCTAAGAGCACCGTGGCCTTCTTGTAAACAACACTAGGTGCTAGAGAAACCAGCTGGAATTTCAGGAATGAGCTTGAAACCAGGACCAGGAGTAAGGTAACAGCCCTTCCTCGGGTAGAGGTTTGAATCAAACACTTAATAGGATCTTAGACTCTGGACCACTGAATCCCTTAATGAGCAGGGAGTCCGTGAAGAGGAGCCCCAGGTTCTAATGACCATTCCACACCAACTGTGTGTTTTTGGCAAGTTATATTTCAGATTCCTGTTAGGCAAATGAGATTCATAAAACTTGCTTTAAAACCATACTGGGACTATTCAGTGATAAATATAGACATAGAAAAGCTTTGACGGAAAGTACCCTCATTTATTATATCCAGAACTTGCTCTTCCTGTGCCATCTAAATCATTGGTATCTATCTCCCATCTAATCTTTGGTATTCCAGGTTGGCTGTGCAGGATTTACTTCCTAATGTCCATGACTGGAGCTCAAAAGAACTGTGGGCCTAGGACCTTTGAGCTTTGCCTGAAAGTGACAGCAGTTCTCTCGGCGGGGCCAGCATCTAACCGGCCCTCTGGTGGATTTACCATGAAGGTAATGAAGTTTAAGCACCAGGACCCTTCACTTGTTCTGGTCCTAGGAGCAGCCCCAGAAATTCTGCATTTCTGTTTTTGTATTCTTAAGGCAGCCAAATCTCGTAAACCTCAGACCCCACAAAACATCTGCTCCTACACTGTGTGGACCTGGGCTTCCCAGCCAGATGGTCACAACTTCACCTAGTTGGCATTTGGGCCATTTATTTACCCTCACCCCACAAAACTCTTTGGCTCCTAGGAATTCCTCCTCTCCTTGCAGTTATGCTTGGGGAAATGAGAGTCTCCTTCCTCAGGGCCTTGTTTGGGTCTGAAGCCACACAGCATCGTTGAGACAGTTGCACTAACACTACAACTCTTGTTCCCTGCAGTTTTCCCTGTGCCCGGTGCCTAGTGAAAGATTTGTGTCTTGTACATCCTCCCAAAAGACACATCCCATTTGATTTGGTTTTCTTCTACTTTAGCCACTGTGGTACTACTAGACAAAGCCACAGCCCAGAGAACCCACTTTTGATACATACATGGATGCAAATCTTTGTACTTGAAGCCCTGCACCCCTACCTGTGTTGGTGTGGTACTCCAGCCCTTTTAGGACTGTGCTGGCACTACGAATGATCCAGATTTGACAAGTGTATGGCACCTCTGAATCTCTGGCAGCACCAACCTGGCACCTTCTAGCTGTGTAACTCACTCAAAGCCACTCCAGCTGGATGGACTCCCAGAAAGCCTAGTGCTCCTACTACTGTTTTCCAGGGCTGTTGTACCCTGGCCATTGCTGGTTACATCCCCTTATTTCTCTCCGTAAGTCCTGGGGAGGTGGCTTAAGGCAATGACCAGTGTGGGCCACTTGAGCAGACCATCCCGGAACCTCTCTGCCTGTTAACAGAGCCCAGGGAACAGCTCGGAATTCTCACAGCATTGGAAGCCCCCTTCTTGAGCTCTGCAAGGCCAGTCAATTTAGCAGCTCACATCTGGTTTCCTTTGGTGTGGGGTGTAAAGTAGATCGCTCTTCCTGCTCTCAGCTGATGCTGCCTCATTGTAGCATGTGTTTTCACTCTAGTGTTTTCACTCTACACTCTGTGTTTATGAATGAATAGCCTGAGCTATGTCACTATATCTGTTGAGATGGAAATGAGAATTTGTAAATGGGCCTCTGGCACTGCAAGAATTGTTGTCATAAGTGTTACAGCTTTCTGTTCATTGCTGCTTCTCAGCTAGCACTGGCTTCATCTTGGAAAATCTTGGAAATATGGAAGATGGTTCTAGCCCCCAAATACAGAATAAGTCTCTTGGTAGATTGCCCTTAAGTCATCAGCTCAATCCTTCCTCAACAGGCTCCATGAGGTAAGAAGTGGGAATCCAGCTTGTGTGGGGGGGCTTTGAGGAGTGAAATGATTTGCCCAAAGTCACAGTGGGAAGCAGCAGAGCCAGGACTGGAACCCAGGCCAGACTCCAAACCGCAGGCTCCTTCCATGCTTGAAAGGGCCGGACTCACGGTAGTTAATAAAATCAATACAAATCTTTTATTAAAGATCTACTCATACCATGGCTGAAATCATCTATTATTGTTGCTAGTTAGCCTCTCTTCTATAGTTGGGTAATGTTGTCTTGCCACTGTGTTTGCCATCTCTCCCAAGTGAAAAGAACACTTTTTAAAAAAAATTAATTGCTCCAAGTTTTCAGGCCCAGGGGAGGCTCTCCCATTCTCCTCCTTCAATAGTCCCGTCCAGGAAGGGTGATCTTGTGGATAAATTCATCATACTTCACTTTGCCATTGGGTTCGATATCTGCTTCCCTGAAGAGATCATCCACTGCAATAAATCACATTTAATTTTTCAGTTTGGCTTTAGTGTTCCATTATAAAACAGTGAGTTTTTTGGGGACTGGAGCTCCCCTAAGGTCTTCCCTGAGCGTGCAGTTGACTATTCCTGTAGACCAGGAAGTAAACCAGTGAACAGAAAGGGACAACCCATCCCTGCACTCCTGAGACCCTTATTCCATTTTGAGCTAATCGGGCTTTCTGCAGGGGCAGGGAGTAGGGAGGTGTACTGGTAAGGATTCGGTCACTGATGCCACCGTGTGCTTTTTTTTTTTTTTTTTTAAAACAGTTTCGCTCTTGTTGCCCAGGCTGGAGTGCAGTGGCACAATCTCAGCTCACTGCAACCTCCGCCTCCCAGGTTCAAGCGATTCTCCTGCCTCAGGCTCCTGAGTAGCTGAGCTTACAGGCAAGTACCACCATGCCCGGCTAATTTTTGTATTTTTAGTAGAGACGGGGTTTCACCATGTTGGCCAGGCTGGTCTTGAACTCCTGACCTCAGGTGAGCCATCCACCTCAGCCTCCCAAAGTGCTGGGATTACAGGCATGAGCCACTGTGCCCGGCCCACCCTGTGCTTTTATTTTTATTTTTTCATGAAAATATGACCCCTGTGCCCATATTTCTAGAATCCTTTGGCCTGGAGTTTTTACCTTCCGCAGCTCAGCCTGCAAACAGAGCGAACATCCTCCACAGTCCCAGGCTTCGGCCTGCTCCTCACTTGCCTGCCTTTTCCCCTAAGCCGGTGCTCCTCACCACCTCTGCCCCCACCCCAAGAGAGGACTTAGTGACAAGCACTGTCTGCTACCATCACCTCTAAAAAAAAAAAAAAATGTTTGGGGGATGGGGTTTATATGAGAGAAAAATAAATCCAACTCTGTTGAGAGCTCACAGTATACAAAACAAAACTGCCATTGTTCTCCATCACTCCAAAAAAAAAAAAAAAATCACTTCATTTGCTTGTTTCTTCTGGTTCTGGATTCCTGGGATAAAATAATAGCTTGTCCCAGGCGTTGGCAAGAGCCATTTCAGCTTGTATTCTCCACAATGGCCTCTTGGGGTCAACCTACCATGGCTCTTTAGCCTGTCCTCATCTCACTGCCCTGTGTCAACTTCCCAGGCCTGGATACCTTCCACACACACACCTCCGGTCGTCAGTTAGAAAATATCCTGTGATTCTCTGCTTAACTATCCTTCTCGAAAGTATAATCACCATGCCTTGGCCTAAGCTGATAGTAGTTCTGAGTATTTATTGGGAGAATGTTGAGGACAGTATAATTCATCTCATTTTGTGGAGAAGTTTCCACAATCAGCCAGGTGGCTAAAACCATCCTGGGGGATAGGCCAACATCAGCTCCAGGGCCAGTCACTGCAGCCTCTTCCCATCTGGGCGAGGGACAGCACTTAGCCAGGTGCCAAGTCTGAGGACACCTGAGTAGAACAGCCTTTCACTCCATCTCACTTCAAAGACCCATAGAAAGCCAAAGTGCTAAAGTCAGCCCATCCCAGGCCTCAGGAGAAGGCTTCACCCACAGCCATTCCAAGGATGCTTTTTAAACTGAAAATTGTCTTTCGATCACCCAGAAAAAGGATTCCTGCTGCTGGTATCATTCTTCCCATCTCCCGTGGCAAGTGGGAGGGAAATCGGTGTCCCTGCTTGTCTGGAACACAGCAGTTTCTGTGAAACAGTCCTCTGCTGGTTATTAGAGATGTATGTGAGTCTGGGGCCATGGCATTGCTTAGGACAGAGATCATTAACCACAAAAAGAAGGCCCTGCTCCCTCTGCTGACTCCACCTGCTGTCTAGAGGGCCGGGCAGTGTCCTGGGGGGAGTCTGGGAGGGAAGGATGACCCATGTCTTCCCTATCCATGTGAAAACAGCCACGAGAGGTGAACCTGGAAAAGCTGGGTATGGAGACCCAGCCTGCTGTTGGGCGATTATTTATTTATGGAGATAAAGTCTCATTCTGTCACCCAAGCTGGAGTGTAGTGGCGCAAGCTCGGCTCACTGCAACCTCCGCCTCCCAGATTCAAGTGATCCTCCTGCCTCAGCCTCCCGAGTAGCTGGGGCTACAGGCGCCCGCCACCACGCCTGGCTAATTTTTGTATGTCAGGCAATTTTTAAACTCTGCAGCAATTTTTAAACTCTCTGCACTGTGCCTTAATGGCAGTAGCTAAAATCTGAGCAGAGTGATTTGTAGAGTGGTAGCTCAGAGGGACCTGAGGGGTCACCTACTGTACCCTCATTTCCAGCAAGGAAAGCGAGGTGGGAGAAAGGTCTCCTGGCACCCAGGATTCAAACCACAGCCTCAAAGCTCTCCTCCAGTGGTTTATTGTGATTTAACCAGAGACGGAAAGTCCGTCATATTGAAGCCTCTTTCCAGCACCCACTTGTGGCCAAGCCCAGCTCTCCTGTCCAAACCACAGGCAAGCAGGGCAGCCTACCTAGAAACCCCAGGCTCTAAGGTCGGGGTCCCTGGCCTCGGGCAGAGGCAGAGCTGGCTGGCTGGCTGCTGCGAACATGGCAGGGCTAGGCAGGAGGGTCCGCAGGCTGGAAGAACAAAGGCTGTAAATGGCCTTGGCGTGGGGATCCCCTTGACAGTGTACAAAGGGCTTTCCTAGAAGACCCCAGGCCTCGTCCTGCTCTGAGGCAGGACAGCCTGCTAGGCTGCAGGAAGGTGCAAAGCAAAGACCCCTTTCTCGTGGGGCTCTGGAACCAGGAACCCTGCCTGTCTCGGCAGTTCTCCAACTGTCCTGGCAAAGTTCCCTCTGGAGCCCCTTTCTGGAAGAGCTTAGAGCAGCCTGAGTTGGAAAGGGAGCAAAGCAGCACCTCAATTCGGAAACTCGACCTCAGCAGCAACTGCAGACTGCTGTGATGGGAAAAAGGGCAGGGATGTCTAGACCTGCCTTCGCTCCTGCGCCGCTGCTTGGGAGCCGCTCACTCCCCCTGCTTCTTTATCAGTAGGAGCAGGCATTTGTGCTCCCAGGGGTGTCATGCACTAGATGAAGCCCCACAGTGAGAGCTTGAACACAGGGGGAGACCAGACTGCACGCTCCAGCTGCCCTGCCTTGTGGGTTCCGAGCTGGGTTTCCCCTAGGCTGTCCCTTCACCCTGGCAGACCTCCCTGCGCCCTTCCAGCCCCTCTAGTTCTTCCCCAGGCTCCAGTCCAGCACCCACCTAGTGTGGCATCTGCTCACAGTCTCCTGCGCGCGCATCAACAGAGGTGGTCTGTACCACCCTGGTGGCATCAGCTAGGCTTTGGTGCCCTCCTTCCAACTCCCTAACCCCCTCCAACTGTTGGGAGACAGGACCCAGGCTGTTACCTTCCTTGTGGGTGAGCTTCTCCCCCAGACTCGTGAGTTTTGACCGCAGGTCGGACGCCATGACGTAACCTTTCTTCTCCTTGTCCACCATCAACATGGCTAGAAGAATTTCTTTCTTTGGGTCTTCTTGTTTTATTTGCATGTGCATAATGGTCAGAAAAGTGGAGAAATCCAGCTCTCCATTTCCGTCTAGGAAACCCGCAAACACAGCAGAGTGAGCAGAGGGAAAAAGACTCCTAGGAAGCCAGCTGGCCTCCTGCTGGACCTGCACAGCCGGTTCAAGGTCAACTGACCAGGGAATGCCAGGATGTGGCAGTGGTCACAGTGAAGAGGATGCATCCCCTCCCACCGAGTTCCCACGACAGGCCCCTCACTGGACTGGACATTCTTCATTTCAGCAACGTCCTCAGTGACGATGCTTATCATCACCCCAAAGCTCAAGAAAGTGGGTTCCCAACCACAGATGGAGGACTGGGCTCCTCTGCTCCCTTCTAGCGCTTCCCTCCTGCCCTGAACTGGAGGGAAACAGGTCCATGTGTGCATTCCACCTTTGACAGCCACCACAGTACATCTTACCAGGATGGATCAGCACCCCCACCTGGGGTCTCAAGCCTCAGTCGCAGGCTGGGCTGCTCACCTGCCTTCCCCTCACTGCAGTCTCCATCCCAGCCCCTCCTCCACGGGCCCTGGCTGGGATGTAACTGCAGGAAATCAAAACTTCCCTGGACTACAACTTCCTGTTTGGAGGGGACAGAAATCAAGGAAACCACCACCCCTTTGGAGCTGGACATGGGGGATCTCAGGTATCAGACCACTGAGCAACCCACCGCCAGGCTGCAGGCTTTCAGAGGCCCACCTGGGCCCAGCGTGGCCTGCCCCAGGGTGGGCTCCCAGCGCAACTGCAGGCATCCTCTAGTGGGGCCTCTGGTAACCCTAGCAGATGGTGGTGACCCCCCTGAGATGAGGAAGCTGGTGACCTGAGACTGAGCAGCAGCCTATGGGCTCCGGGTCAAGTGCTATTCCCAGCGGATGCCCTTCCCCTGCGCCAGTCCCTCCTTCCTGAGTGTCCAGCCCCCAATGCAAACAGCAACCCCAGGCTCTGAAACTACTTTTTTTCTTAGAAAAAGCAAAACAAAACATAAAACTTGTTTCTGATTATGAAAAGCTGTATGTGTTCTCATTGTTGAAAATACAGGAAACAATAAAAGGAACAAAAATCACCCATAATCCCATTACCAGAGAGAACCACTTGGTAACATCTTGGATGGGTTTTCTTTCAGCATTTTTTTTCTAGCAATAGTTTTTCTAAAAACTATTGCATAGTTTTTAGGTCAGTCTTTGATATCAGAAGAATTGGGTACTAATCCTGATGCCATCATTGGCTCAAGAACTTAATGGATGTAAACCTTGATCTTTGCTTGTAAAATGGAGTTAGGAGAAAGCTGGGCGCAGTGGCTCAGGCCTCTAACCCCAGCACTTTGGGAGGCCGAGGCAGGCAGATCACCTGAGGTCAGGAGTTCAAGACCAGCCTGGCCAACATGGCAAAACCCCATCTCTACTAAAAATGCAAAAATTAGCTAGGCGTGGTGGCAGGCACCTGTAATCCCAGCTACTTGGGAGGCTGAGGCAGGAGAATCACTTGAACCTGGGAGGCAGAGGTTGCAGTGAGCCGAGATCTCACCACTGCACGTCAGCTTCTCGGTGACAGAGCAAGACTCTGTCCCCCCTCAAAAAAAAAAGGTTAGGAGAATGCCTACTTCATAGGGTTTTTGGAGCTAAGCACATGACAAATACTCAACAAAGGGAAATGTTCCTATAAAGCAACATGGGATCGCTGTCAGCGCGATTTTTCTCTGGGTTTGGTAAGTCTGTTGGAACGCCTAGATCCCGAGGTCTGTGAGATGGGGTATCACTGGTTGCTATGAGGATTCCAGGAAGCCCAAGTGAGGTACGGCACTCCTGGTCTGGGGCTGCCACAGCTGGATCCCCAGGAGGCCTCCCTGCCACCTGCCCCTCAAACTGCTGAGCTTTTCACACCTCTACTGTCTGCACCCACCTGCTGGGCCCCTCCCCTCTCCCCGTTGTTCCCACCACCACTCACCTATCCCGTGGGTCTGCAGGTGCCGCTGCACCTCCCCTGGCGTCGGGCTGGCCCCCAGGCACCTCATGGCCACCATGAGGTCGGTGGCTTTTATCTTCCCCCTCTGCTGCTTGTCATACAGGGAGAAGCATTCCTTGTACTCTGCACACGGCCCAGAGGGAGGGTCAGCAGCGTCTGGTCACTCTCCGCCCATGCCGCCCTCCCCATCCTTAGTCTCTTCTCCCTCTTTTCCCCTTCCTTTTGCCTACTCCCTCCATCCCTCTCTCCCCTCCCAAGGGTGCTAGATACAGCAAATGAAAATACAGGACTGCCAAGTTAAACCGAATTCAGATAAACACTGAATATACTTTTATTGTATGCCCCAAATTTTGCATAGGACATATACTTCTATTGGAAAAGTATTTGTTGTTTGTCTGAAATTCTAATTTAACTGGGTGTCCTGTATTTTATCTGGCTCCCCTTCCCTTTCTCCCTACTCCCTCCCTTCCTTCTCCCTCCCCCTCCCCGCCAACCCACAGGACTGGAACTCCCAGGACAGTGCCCCTCCAGGGCCCACAGGGGAGAGCAGGAACCCACAGCAAGGCGTCCAGACCCCCAGGGGACCTCTGCAAACACAACTTTTCTGGACAATGGGAATAATAAGGCCTCAGGATTACTGTGAGAGCCAGAAATCCCAGGAGGCCTGCCAGAGAGTGGCCTTCATATGATGATATTATCATCATCATCAGAGCTGGGGCATTTCTGAGCCTATTGCCCCTGCCCTGGCCTCCAGGCTGCTAAACCCTCAAGCTGTCCTTGGACTCGGGCCCTGGTCCTGTTCTTAGAGACTTCAAAGGGTCCTGCTGGGAAATTCTCCCAGGGTCTGAAGCCCTTTCTCCTTCGGTACTTGGTGGAGGTGGAAGGCAGCCGGAGCTAGCTCCCCTAAACCCACAGACTCCCGGCCTGACACAGCCATCCCACGGGCTCCCGGCCCTGGGAGGCCCAGGAAGGCCAGCTGGGAGTTCAGGAAAAGTCCCTGAACCGCACTGACTGAGCATCTGATTTAGGGGTAGGTGGGGCTGCCATCAGGACAGGGAGATTCTCGTCCAGCCCAGACGAGGCACCCGGGCCTGTGGGTGGAGCCGTGGAAACACAGTGGCCTGGCGCTGGCCCTCCCAGGCTGGGGCTCAGGGCTCTGTTCTCTCTCCTGCTTCTCACACCACCCAGGTAGGTCCTTAGAGGCCTGGACAATAATAGCCCCTTAGCTGATGACAGCAACAATGACAATTCACGTTGCTGAGCACTCCACCCCCAGGCCCTCGCTTCATCCCCACAACCCTGTGATGCGCCCCCTCATATTCCCATGTGCGGACAGGACATTGAGGGCTGGAACACTGAGAGCCTGGCTGTGGGCAGCTCTGCCCACCAGGCCACACTGCCTTCGGTTCCAGGGCAGACACCACTGAGAGCAGTAGGGTGAGGGAGAGGATGCAGAAGGAGCCCCCCAAATCCCCAGCCCAGACCAGGGGTCCCTTCATATTCCCTAATGAAGGCACTCAGGCCTCCCTGGTAGGATTTCAGGGGGGTCACTAAAGACAGGCAGATCGCCATGTACCATTTAGAGACAAATTCGCGGCCTTTGTGGAGAGACTGAGAGGAAAGCCCCAGCCCCGCACAACTGCCCTTTCAGAACATTCCAGAGCCTGAGCTTCCGAAGGGGCAAACCAAAGTCAGGACCAGGTGGCAGGGGCCAAAAAGGCCCAGGGGAAGCAGGGCCAGAGCCTGGCCTAAGACCCCAGGTTTAGTTCCCATAAAACCCAATTGCCTGCAAGAGGGCCCAGTGCCAGAGGGGACAATGCCATCACCTCACGTCAGGGGGACAGAGAGAGGGCTGCCCCAATCACAGAGCTTAACCTTAGCACTACAGGGGGTACCCCTGGGGACCTCTCATGGCCACCCTCACCTTGTCTTTCTGTCTGGGTTTGCCCTTGGGTGAGGGTGGGCCCAAGGCCCACTGCTCTCCCTGCCTGACCTGTGCTGGAAGGTGCTCATCACACCCTTGGGGTCCAGAATCAGCCTGGATCTGCAGATGGGGGCACTTCACTACTCCCCGACAAGCCCTGTCAGTCACTGGGGGCCTGTGGTCCTTGCCAGCAGCAGGGCCAGGGCTCAAATAGAGGCCCACCTCCTCACAAACCTTCACATCAGATACGTGCTGTCTCCCTGCCTCAGACGCCTTTAAAGACCTGGAAGGCCACATCTGAACTTTGCATTCCTGCACTGGAACAAGACAACAGGGTGCTGGAGACCCAGCTGGGCTTCCTGCTGGCCCCTTCCTCCACCATCTCTTCACTCTCCCTCCTCACCTCCTGGCTCTCCTTCCTGCTTTTTCTCCTGACAGGTCGGCCCTCTAACATACTAGCACATATATTTCACCACGTTCCCCTCCCTCGATGGTGACCCCCTGTGAGGAAGGGATTTTTGTCTTTGAGTTCACTGTTGTATGTAGCTCCAGGCACAAAGAAGGGACACAAACATTTGTTGAATGAAAGGATTAATTGGGTTAAATGAATTGGATTAAAAATCCCCTTTAAGTCTTCTCTTTGAAAATGCAAATCCCCCAGGACAAGAAAGAGACCTGTGCAAGGCCTAGGATAACACCAGCTGTGCTGGATGTTTAACCACCAGCTCTGATCATAAATGTACTTGTGTCCTCTGCACTGTACAAACATAAAGGATGTGTAGCACACAATTTACAAATAATACAGAAATGTACACTATTCTTTATTATAAATTCCATCTAGGGCTGGGTGCAGTGGCTCACGCCTGTAATCCCAGCACTTTGGGAGGGTGAGACAGGAGTATCGCTTGGGCCCAGGAGTTCGAGACCAGCCTGGACAATATAGTAAGACCTCATGTCTACAAAATATTTACAAATGTTTTGTGTGTGGTGGTGCATGCCTGTAGTCCCAGCTACTCAGGAGACAGAGGTGGGAGAATCCCTTGAGTCTGGGTGGTGAAGGTTGAAATGAGCGGAGATCATGCCATTGCACAGAGCAAGACTCTGTCTCAAATAAATAAATTCCATCTAGCCACTTGATTACCACAAATGAGTTTTGCCAACTTTTTTTTTTTTTTTTTTTGAGAGAGTTTTGCTCTTGTTGCCCAGGCTAGAGTGCAATGGCACAATTTCAGCTCACTGCAGCCTCCACCTCCCAGGTTCAAGTGATTCTCCTGCCTCAGCCTCCCAAGAAGCTGGGATTATAGGCATGTGCCACCATGACCGGCTTTTTTTTTTTTTTTTTTTTTTTTGAGACAGAGTCTCGCTCTTGTTGCCCAGGCTGGAGTGTAGTGGCTCAATCTCGGTTCACTGCAACCTCCGCCTCCTGGGTTCAAGTGATTCTCCTGCCTCAGCCTCCTGAGTAGCTGGAATTACAGGTGCCTGCCAGCACACCAGGCTAATTTTTGTACTTTTAGTAGAGATAGGGTTTCACCATGTTGGCCAGGCTGGTCTCAAACTCCTGACCTCAGGTGATCTGCCTCCCTCGGTCTCTCAAAGTGCTGGGATTACAGGCATGAGCCAACTGCACCTGGCCAGTTTTGTATTTTTAGTAGAGATGGGGTTTCACCATGTTGGCCAGGCTGGTTTCAAACCCCTGACATCAGGTGATCCACATGCCTCGGCCTCCCAAAGTGCTGGGATTACAGACGTGAGCCACTGCACTCAGCCCAAGTTTTGCCAACTCTTATATCCATTGCCAACCTATAGTTTCGATTCAACCATGATTTGACAAATGAAGCTGCGCGCCAATGAGTGCGATTCTTTTTCCAATGAATGAATGGTCATTAAACCTGATGTGATCTACTGTTAAACTATTTCTCACCCTTTTACCAAACACATTCATTAAATTGAAACTTCTTTCAAATCTCCATCTCCACTGATCACAATAGGGCTGTCTTTTTAACTTTTTGTACAGATAGATGTAGGGATTGAAACACTGTTTGATCCTACATTATTTAATAATGGCTGGCTTTAACATCCTGCTTGCAAAATTCCTAAAACTATGGCTCTTGCTAGCTGTAGTGAGCCAGCCCCAGCCCACATGTGGGTGACACCTGGCTATGCCTGGCCCAGCGTCCAGCATGTAACTGACATTATTCCCCTCTGTCCGTGGCTCGCAGCAGCCTGGTAAGGTGGCATATCCTACTTCATAGGTGAGAAAACCGAGGCTCAAGGGTGATTAGGCTTCAGGTCTGCTGCCTCCAAAGCCCCTGTTCTTCCCACTTCGCTAGGCCACCCCATCCAGTCTTTCACACACTCATTAAACACTGGTGGCCACTTTCTTGGTGTCAGATACTGGGATACAAAGACAATTTACCTTCTTCCCTTCTGGGAGCTTTGGCTATCCCAGGAGGGAGGGTCAGTGAGCCTCAAAACCAGGCATGGGTGGGAGGATGCTGAGGCTGAAGGCTGGACTCCAGCCCTCAGTCCACCATTCATTATCACCGTTAGACCTGGACAAGAGGGCACTGCCCCGGGCCCTGTGTTTTAAAAGTCCCTGCTCCTGCCCTGGCCCTCCTCTTGGGATAAAGAGTTCCAGGGTTCTACGTGGAGGTGCCCACCTGGAGCTCACAATTCCTGCCCCTCTGGACCAAGCTCAGAATACCCAGAACTCTGGAACTCCTGCCCAGGTAACCCTAACCCCACTTGGCTGGGCTCTCAGGACCCTACCCTGGATCACAAGGGCCCAAGGTGCCTGTAATTTTATCTCCAGTGGTCAGCGAAGGACTCACTGAGAAGGCGATGTTTCAGCAAAGACCTGGAGGAATGGGATGCCTCGGGGGACTCTCAGGCCCATTGACGTCCACTGTTGGGACAGGTTTCAGGGTCACAACCTCAAGCAGCAGCTGGCTGTGCCTCCTGGGCCTCTCCTGCCAGGTGCAGGGGGGCTGCAGCCATGAGGCTCCCCTGGCTCAGGTCTGGGCCCCCAAGTTCTTTGTAACGCAACTCTTTGCTCTTGGCCTTCTGGAAATAGAACCCTGCACGGTGTGAAACTGAAGCCTGGTCGAGGGCTGGCAGAGTAGGGGACCCAGGGAATAAAGTGCTCACGCCCAAACCAGGCTTGATGCCAGGGCAAAGGGGGCTCAGTGGACCCTCCATTTTACAGATAGGGAGACTGAGGCGCAGAGAGTAGACGCATCCTGCCAGAGAGTGCAGACCTGGCCTCTGTTCTGTCTCAATTACAAAGCCCCTCCTCTTTCCCTGCTGCCAGCCATACCTTTAATGGTCTCTCTCTCCATCCCCAGTCCCCTCAGTCCCCAAATCCAACTGGTCAGGTTCTGGAGGGAAACCTAGTAAGTTCTGTCTTAGCGCCCTGGCTTGTAAGTCACACTGACAAGTATAAAGCCACATGTCTATTTTGGAGGCTTACCCCCAACCCCCACCCCGCCAACAGCAGCCTCCCCGCAGCTCTTGGCCCTGGGTGGGCCCAGCTCTCCCACAGCCACCTTCCTTCCCACCAAGAAAACATGAGCAGAGCAAATTGCCTAATGAGACCCATATTTTGCTGAGTTGCTAATCAAAGAACAAACCCAACCTACCATTAATTTGGTCTTGGGAAAGAAACTTGGCCTGCAGCAGAGAAAGGAAAACAGTCAGGGGAGGGCTCCACCTGAGGTTCACGCCCCCAGCCCTGGCCAGGCCGACACAGACCCTCACACTCACCATTCTGGGGCCTCGGCTGCTACCCGTGGGCTTGCTGCTCCCAGAACCGCGTTCAGTTCCCTTTCCTCCAGCCTCAAGTCTAAAGTCTGCCAAGCTGGGTGGAGGCCCGGGTAATAAATGCTCGGCTGCCATGGAGACTGGGCCCGACGCCACCAGGGTCAGATTCCAGCTTCCTGAGCACAGCTCATGACCCGCCACCTGGGCAGGTTGGATTTTTGAGGAAATGGGGCTGCAGAAGGCTCTCCCTGGGCTCAGAGTCTCTGCCTCCAGAAGCCGAAGCAAAGGGACAAATGCCAGTGTTTCTTCCCGGGAGCCCTGGACTCCAGGAAGGGGTCTTCTCTCTCTCTCCTGGGACTCGGCGGGGATGCCATCAGGCCCCTACTAGAGTTGGACACTTTACACCCCGGGTCGTATTGAAGGCTCCTCACACACCATCTTGTAGGAGGAAGGGAACCCTTCCAAGACGGCCTAACTCAGAGATGGGCACCGGGGCTCGCAGGCTTGGGGCTCGGTATTGCAGGGATACAAGCTTCGGTGCTCTCAGGCTGGGATTCAGTCCTCCCCGTCTGCTGACTTGCTGAGTGACTGGCGAATCATTCTACCTCAGTCTGTGCCTCAGTTTCCTCACCAGCTGAATTACAGGGCAGCTGGCAAAATCAAGTGGCCAGCGCACAGCCGGTTCCCATCCTGTGCCAGTTCAGTTCCCACCTTCTGAGGACTTTAAGGGTGGTGGAGGGGCCTGAGCCGGGTCTCCAGCCCCACCACAGGCTCCTCGGGGGCTTGGAGTGAGGCCTCTTAGTGCCGGTTACCCTGGCCAGGAAGGCTCCCCTTTTCTTCCTTCCCTTCCTCTCTCCACCCTCAGCCCCACCCCTTCCGCAGAAGCTGCTGACGCTCCCAAGTCTTCAGGAGTTCGTGCTGCTCCCCTCCCCCACATAGGAGGAAATGGGGGCAGGGTGTGAGGCCTCCCCAGCTTCTTCCCCTTGAGATCCCATTTCCCTGTTTGGGGCGTGAGGCTTTTGTCCACAGCTGAGTCTATGAGGCTCTACAAGTAGGTGTGGCTGCACAGGTGTGCCCTACACAAAGGCCCCCAGCCCAGGTGCGAGTGGTTGCTGGCCAGGGGCTGCACTGCCAATAGGAAGGGGGGCATTGTGCCACTTTGCACACAGGCGCATAGACGGGAGGCGCTGCCTGTGCCCCACTCTCCCCTCCCCGCTCCTTTCCTGACCGCCTCTGTGTGGAAAGTGTGCTTTTCTCCCAAATCACATCCCCAGAATCGCTTTACACCTGTTTCTAGACCCAGAGAATTTTAGCTGGGGACTCCGACTCCTCCCTGTCAGAGTTTGAGGCTCCCCCTCCCAAACCCCATGGCAGGGATAAGAGGAGGGAAGGCTGCCTCTGTGCAGAGGATGGAGAGAAGGACATCAAGGAAAGTCACTTGGGACTCTGGAAGCCTGAAGGCGGCCAGGCCAACATGCTCCCTCTGAATCCCCTTGCCTGTGGGAAGGGGCTCCAGAAGAGATGAGGTGCCTCCTTGGAGTTAGGCCAGTGTGTGCTGGGGTGCCCCGGCCAACTCCCTCCTTATGTGTGTAGGTGTCTCCGGGGGTGACGCACAGATGGAAAACACCAGCGTGGGGCAATGGCTGCGTGAGGGTTCACGATACAGCAACTCACCATGCTGTAGGGCGCACCGTGTGTGCTACACCTCAGCACGAAAGGGAGAAAAGACAAAAAACACCTCTAACACCACTTGGGGCTGTGACTGTATTTACTTCATTCTTGAATCCCGCGTCCCCGTGGCTGGGGGCTGACACATCCCTGGGCACCACTGTGACTTCCTGTGGGTCCCTTCCCTTCTGTCCCTGACTCTGTAGACCCCCCACAGGAAGGGTCCTAGGTAGGGGGAGGTTCCTCCTCCCTTGAAACCCTGGGCCACTCTGTCAAGGCAAAGCCTCTGGGCCCAGCACCTTGTAAAGGCTTTGATGAGAGGAGCTCTGGCTTTTGCTCAGGGCCTTTGGCACCCCACCCTCCAGCCCCCAGGAATGCAGGCGCTCAAAGCCTGTGGCTAGGCTGCCCGAAGCGCGTGCCGCAGTTCTTCTGGAGTGGGAGCAGGGGGACAGAGCTTTGGGTAGAGGAGGGTCACCTGCAAAGCTGGAATGCCAGGGGAGTGGGCGGTGCCTCCAGCTCCTGGGGGCCAGGGTGTCTCCATACCTCATGGGCCTGAGCCTGGGCAGGGGTCTGGAGTGCACATAGCCCCCAGGCAGGGAGAGGGCAGTGACAGGACAGAGCCACTCATCTGTCCCAAAGCTGCACCCAAGGGGTGTCAGCAACCCCAACCTACTGACCTACTTTGGGACCACAGGCCCATCTAGTGCAAATGAGGCCCAGAAAGGAGAAATGCTTTGCTCAACAGCCACAGTAGGCTGACGTAACCTATGTAATGTAGGGTCAGGGTGGGCCTGAGGGATGAGCCAGGTGGTGGGCAGGTGACACACCAGGTCCCCTCCTGGCCTCTGCCCCACCCAGCCCTCTCCTGCACGGCTACCAGAAGATGTCCGGGAAGAACAGACTAGCCCTGAGTAGGGAGTGTGGTCAGGTGCAGAGGAGGGCAGGGGCCCGGATCCTGGCCCAGAAACACTCTAAAACAGAATCCGATCCTGAGATGATCCAAATCAAACAGAAACTTGACGGAAATAGTAGAGTCTGAAAATGATGCACTCTGCGCACACATATACAAGACACACACACACACACACACGAATCCACGCACACGAGGCACACCCCACTCATGCTCTCGGTCTCTGGTTACACACCCACACCCCCCCTACTCCTGTATTCAGATGCCCTCCATGGCCCACCCTCCCACCCAGCAGAGCGCCAGAGCCTGGTGCCAGGGACTCAGTGCCGACTGCTGACGTGAAGGGTGTAGAAAGCCCAGGGCTCAGGGACGTAGATGACACCCGGGTACTTCTTCCTGAGAACAGGGTCATTCCACAGCCAGGCGACCCAGAGCGCCACAAGCAAGAGGGTCAGTGCGAAGGAGGAGAAGAGGAAGAGGCCGTTGCTGTCCAGGAAGAGGCGCTTGCGCTTCTGGTGCAGGACGAGGGCCAGCATGGCGAAGAAGGTGAAGATGAAGAGGATGAAGATCTGGCCCTCGGTGACCAGGTACCTGGAAAGGCCAGGGGTGAGTGAGGCAGCTGCCGTGGCAACCCCGTCCTGCCTGGCATCCCTTCCTGTGTGCGAGAGCCAGGCTGCCCTCCAGGCAGGCAGAAGAGTCCTCTGGTGCCAGGGCTCAGAGAACTATGCCGCTCTAAGCCACAGCCCATGGGCAGCATATTGATTTAGCTGGTATAGTTACTGTTTTTTAAATGTTGAGTTTGTTGCCAATATTTAAATAACAGAATACCTACAAATGTATATTTCTGGCTTCTCTGGTCACATTAAGTTTATACTTCCACACAACAAAAACTGACTAGAGGAGAAAGCAACAAACAATTGCCATTACGACGGCAGCCACCCCCGCGGCAGGATGCCGGGGTAAGAACCAGCAGGAAGCGCTCCCCTAACGTCTTTCCCGCTCACTGTAGCTGCCACCCATTCTTTTTAATCCCCAGAGAGCATACAGATGAGCCCCAGTGGGCCATCTCAGCCACATAGGGGACAGGCCGGGGAGAGGATCTAGAGCTGGCCCAGGAAAGGAGGCCCTTTTCATTTTGAGGGAGGCCTCCCATCAGAGAAGGGTCCAGTCCTGCCCCGACCCTGTCCTTCCCATGATACCCACAATCCCAGGGTGACCTGTCTCCAGGGCAGAAGTGACAGACGAGGGCTAGGAGACTGGCTGAGGCCTAAGTCCTCTGCAATGGGAAGAAGAGAGAGCCAGAGGGAACAAAGACCCAAGGCCAGAAGCCCCTACGCCATGAAACCCCCCAGTCTGGCCTCGCCATAGTGCTTTACATTTGACAAAGCCCCTCTCTGTCCTCAGCATCCTCATCATCTGAGAGGCAGACAGGCAGGTACCATCATCCCCACTTCACAGAGGTGGAAACCGCAGCCCACTACAGGGCTTGGTGTCGGAGGTGGATTGTACCGGCCCCAGGGCAACACTGGGGTTCTTGAGATGGGGCACAGAGCGAGAGGGGCTTGAGGATGGAGACAGACTGTGCAACCTCGCCCTCTCCTCCCACCTCCCTGCCACACCCAGGCCTGGGCTTCATGGAAACAAAGAGGCCACCACAGGGCATTGTCACAGTCCCCACTAGACACAAGAAGAAGCACGGGCCCAAAGAGGGCCAGTCTCCCTGGGGCCACACAGCAGGTCCATTGGCAAGTGCAGAATTTTGCTGCCGTGGCTCTCTCAGTGCCCCTGCCTCTGCCCCCATGCTGATGTCCACTCACCAGTAGTACAGGCCACTGGGTGCCACCAGGAGCAGGGCAGGCCCTGGAATCAAGCTCTCAGCTTTAGAGGCAGTAAAGCAGCCGCTGAAGTACATGAAGAGGATGAGGAAGAAGGGGATGTACCTGTGACAGGAAGGCCAGTGTCTTAGAGGCCTGCTCAGCGGCCCTCTTCCCCACAACCTCTGCAACCACTCCCATGGGGTCTCATGGAGTGCCACGTCACAGTTTACAAAACGCCTAGCCTGGGTGAGAGGCGCTCCTCTCCACCCAACCTTGCCTGTGCTGGGCGTCAAAGGTGGGACAGAAACAGAAACAGGAAGGCAACGCACGTGTGAGTCAGAGGCCCAGAGGCATCCACACCGCCCAGGGCACCTCACTCACTCCGTGGGGGTAAGGGGTGTCTGGGGGGTTGTCTGTCTCATGCACCGCAGACACCAGCAGCCCAGCACCACACTAGCCTGGAGACAGAGGCACCTCCCGGGCTGAGGATGGAGGTCCACATGTTAAAAAAGAGAACAGCACCTGCAGGGGCCTCTTGGTGAAGCACTGCACCCACTCTCAGCACACAGCCCCACCCCCACCTCAGACACCTCACCCCAAAATACTACCCTCTCCCCTCTCCACACACCGGCTCCCTTTCTCCCACCTGTGCTTTCACCAGTATACCCGCCTGCCTCTTCTCACCCACACCCCCTTCCTGCTGGGGCTCCAGCTCTCTGTTCCTAGCCCCTCCACCCTTCCCCAACCTTCTGTGGGAAGAGGCTCTGGCAAAGGCCAGGGAAAGATGGCAGGAGGCCTGTCCAGGGACCCTGGACCAGCTGAGCCAGGAGGATTGACATCGCAGGGCCCGAAACACCCTGGAAATGCCCGTGCAGGGTGCGTGTGCTGTGAGCACCAACTCAGGAGTGAGCCGGGTCCAGGGCTGGCCCTCACCTCCCAGCTGCAGCCTTCGGAGCCCTCCTCCCTCTGGCCTCAGTTTCTCCTGGGTAAGATGGGAGGGTGGAACAGATGAAGCCTCCCAGCCTGGGCCCGGGATCTCCTGAGGCTGAGACCACATTTCTGAGGTCTCCCCCGACTGAGGGACGGGGTAGGTAGGAAAAGGTGCCCCTCTGGGAGTTCTGAAGAGGGGGGAGCGCAAACAGCACGCCCCTCCCCAGCCTGATCCAGCTGGCTCCCCGCAGCTTCCTCCACTCCCAAAGAGCAGGCCCGACACGGGTGGGGGTCCCTGGCTGTGCCCCCACCCCCTGCCATCACCATCTGGGGGTTGTTTATCAGGGACGCGTCCTCCTCCCCCACCCTCAGGGCTCAGGCTTGGCGAGGAAGGACCAAAGCCACTCGCTGCCCTCTGCTGGCCACAGCGGGCACTGAGGGCTGGGCGGGGGTGGCGATGCTGGGGGGATGCTGGCTGGAAGCCGGGGCCTGGAGCCTGGGACAGCAGCTGGGTCTCCCGGGCAACCTCGGGGACAACTTCACTGGAGGTTGAGCTCACAGTGCCTTTACAGGGGATGAGACTCAACACATGGAGACCCGCAGCCCAGACAGCCTTGCTCAGTGTGTCCCTGAGCCAGTGACAGGGCTAGCCGGTAGTTGGGGCCCCTGGGATAGACAGATGGGCCCATCACTCACCACATGCAGTGACCCAGGTACTCATCATAATAGTAGAGCAGCTCAAAGGAGTCGATCTGAGGGAGGAACGGGCAGGGCAGAGTCGGGGGATGTCGATGTCAGTCCAGGGAGGTGCTGGGGCCCCAAGCATCCCCTCTGACCACCCTTCTCCCAGTCCCAGGCCTCCCCCACTGCCTTATTCCCTACCCGGGGCCTCGCCTTCTGTTACAGGGGCCCAGGTGGGAGGCAGTCTGTGCACCACTTCCTAAGAACACTTGAGCATCCTAGCTTGGGGCAGGCGACAGTGCCCTCACCTAGCAGAATGCCTTTGGTGAAAGGACAGGTGCGGCGAGGGGTGGGGGCCATTTCTTCAGCCTCCCAGGACAGACTGTGCTCCTAGGGCTTACAGGCAGGGAGCAGGAGGTGGCCTCACCAGCGTCTCCGGCTTGAGATTCTTGATGATGGGGTTCTCACGGACAGACAGGTGGTGCTGGTAGCCACTGAAGAGCAGGCGGTGGTTGACAGAGTCACCCACCAGGTGGATGCTGGCACCCATGATGAAGATGATGATGCTCACGTACGTGATGGAGCGTGGCAGGGTGCGGGGGGACCGCTCGATGAGCTGGGGTTCAGAGTGGGGTTGGCAGCATGACCCCACCTCTGTCACAGTATGTGACACCCTCTGCTTCCCCCCTCACACCTGGGGTGGGATGGACGCTTCCAGCTGGAATGTCACTCCAAAAAGTGGCTGGTCCCTTTAGCAGGCCAGCCCAGCCTCCAGATCCTCCCGTGACCCCTATGAACCCCGGAGGGAATGTGGAGCAGCACCCCCCGCTGACTTTACCCAGGGAGCAAAAAGACCAGAGGGCCCAACTCCTTTCCCAAAGTCACACATGAGCTGTAGGCTGGAGGGGACAGCCCAGCCTTCAGTGCAGGAGTCCAGGCTCAGGCCCAGCCCTCCCACTGTCCCTGGCTGTGTCCCTGGGTGGCTGGCCCAGCCTGCTGAAGGCACCTTCTGATTTCTGAGTGGTCCCAGCAAACATGAAGAAAATGTCAGGGATGGGGGCAGGTGCTTCTGAAATGCCACTGTTTAACTGAAAACACACCGGAGTTCTGGGATTATACCCCTCCTACTTCTGGAGATTTGAAGTATCTTTCTTCAATACAAAATGATGGTGATAGTAAATGGTGATACAGGCTGAGCATCCCTTATCTGAAATGTTTCAAATTTCAGATTTTGGAATATTTGCATATACACAATGAGATATCTTGGGAATGCATATGCAAGTCTAAACATGAAATTCATTTCTTTCATTTTTCTTTGAGACAGGGTCTCACTCTGTCACTCAGGCTGGAGTATAGTGGCTCAAGAGATCCTCCCACCTCAGCCCCCAGAGTAGCTGGAACTACAGGTGTGCACCATTATGCCCAGCTAATTTTTAAATTTTTTGTAGAGATAGGGTCTTACTATGTTGCCCAGGCTGGTCTCAAACTACTGGCCTCAAGTGATCCTCCTGTATCAGCCTCCCAAAGTATTGAGATTACAGGTGTGAGCCACCATGCCTGGAAAAATTCATTTATATTTCCTATATACTTTACATACACAGCCTGAAGTTAATTTTATATAACATTTTAAATAATTTTGTACATGAAACAAAGTTTGTGTTAAGTACATATGTGTAGAATTTTCTTTTTTGAGACAGAGTGTTGCTCCATCGCCCAGGCTGGAGTGCGGTGGTGGAATCTCGGCTCACTGCAACCTCTACCTCCTGGATTCAAGTGATTCTCCTGCCTCAGCCTCCCAAGTAGCTGGGACTGCAGGCGCACACCACCGCACCTGGCTAACTTTTTTGTATTTTTAATGGAGATGAGGTTTTGCCATGTTGGCCAGGCTGGTCTCGAACTCCTGACCTCAAGTGATCTGCCTGCCTTGGGCTCCCAGAGTGCTGGGCTTACAGGCGTAAGCCACCATGCCGGCCCTAAGTTTTTTGTATTTTTTTCTTTTTCTTTTTTTTGAGATGAAGTCTCACTGTCTTGCCCGGGCCGGAGTGCAATGGCGTGATCTTGGCTCACTGCAACCTCTACCTCCCGGGTTCAAGTGATTCTCTGGCCTCAGCCTCCCGAGTAGCTGGGACTACAGGTGCCTGCCAGCATGCCCGGCTACTTTTTTTTGTATTTTTAGTAGAGATGGAGTTTCACCATGTTGGCCAGGCTGGTCTCGAACTCCTGACATCAGGTGATCCGCCCGCCTCAGCCTCCCAAAGTGCTGGGATTACACGCATGAGCCACTGCGCCTGGCCAATTTTTTCTATTTTTAATGGAGACGGGGGTTTCACCATGTTGGCCAGGCTCCTGACCTCAAGTGATCCACCCACCTCAGCCTCCCAAAGTGCTGGGATTACAGGCTCCAGCCACCGCGCCTGGCCGAGTTTTCTACTTATAGTATCATGCCAGTGCTTAAAAAATTTCAGACTCCTTTGGAGCATTTCAGATTTCAGATTTTTGGATTAGGGATGCTCAACCTATAGTAGTTTTAAAGGCCTTACTTGGCAAAGTGCAAAGCCAGCAGTTCCTGCTAGTGCTCCCAGTGACATCTCAGGGCTCTCCAGGGCAGAGGATGGAGTTCAGCTGCTGCTGCTGCCTCTCCTGCCACCTGGCTTCTTCCTCTCTTCCCAGTGGGTCCTTGACCTCTCCCTGGACCTCCAGTCACTTCTGCCTCAGCCTCCCCAAATGTTTTACGGTTTCCCAAGCACAGCCTTGTCTTTAGGTCCTTCTACCTGAACACCTCTCTGCTTCCCCCACTGGCACGCCAGGCTGAGGCTCAAATCAAAAGCCCTTTCTTGGGGCATATTTTCCATCCCTCCAGGCCACCGGCAGCTCCGCCTTCCCCGGGCCCCAGGCCCTGGACATGCTGCTCTGTCACAGCCTTCACCCCCCAGCAGCAGGCAGGAGCGTGCTTGAGTCAGGACACAGGGCTTAGCATCACCTTCCTGCCAGGTGTGCAAAGAATGGGGATGACAGGAGAGAGTGGGGGCCCTGGGACAGTACCTTGAGCAAGAGAAAGGGCGTGATGACGTTGTAGGCCATGTGGAAGTAGTCCCCAACACTGGGCTTGTTGAGTGGAAACCACTCGAGAGGGAATACCAGCTGCGGAGCAAATGGAAGAATGGGCTCACCTGGGCACAGCCCCACGCGGCCCTCGGGCCTCAAGGGAGTCTGCCCCTAATGCCGCCCACCCCAACTCCTTTCACCCCCCACCCCATCATGTACACTTAATTCTTCCTGTGATCGCTGGACCTTCTCGGCAGCCTTGGGACAAAGGTTTATCCAGACAGGAAAGCTGAGTCCCAGAGGAGGTAACGGACTTGTCCCCAGACACAGAGCAGATGCAATTCCAGTCAAGGCCTGACCCTGTGCCCCTCACCCAGCAGATACCAAATAAATGACCCTGATGCCAGCTTGGGAGTTGGTAGGCTTCTCAGGGACTCCGTTGTGGCACCAACTTGCTGGGTGACCCTGGGCTAATACTTCCCTTCTCTGGGCCTTGGTTTCCCCATCTATAACACAAGAGAGGTGGCCCAGAGGGCCTACTTGGACCGTTCGGGTTCTGGCGCTCCTGAGTGCCAGATCAGTCTCCTGAGTGCTAGGCCCTGATGTGGAGGGACTGCTTCCAAACCAGGTTCAAAGTACACGTTAGGAGACAAAGGAGAAAACAAGAATGCTCTACAAAGTAGCTGCAACTCTTCCTTCCCAGAGAGAGGAAGGCAGGCCAGGGGCAGTTCCTCCTTCTGCAATGCTCTCTCTTCTGAGCCCTGGCCTTGTCCAGGCCAGTGTGAAAACCCCTATGCGGGGTTAAAGCATTTCACAACCCCCAAACTGTACTTCTAGTATCTGTTGATTGAAAACACACATAAGGCCCACAAGTTTCAAGGAAGGATTTAGATGGTTCTCTCTTTTAACACAGAAATGCCATATTGGATAAACTAAACCCGCAGAAATAAAACTCACAGAATGCAGCAATCTCAGTCTCTCTCTCTCTCTCTTACTCAGTGTGCATGTGTTTATCTGCCTCTTTACCTACATCATATATATACTTGCTAAAATACTCTGTGATAGCAAAACATCAGAAATAGGCTGACTCTTCAATCAAACAGGACCAGTTGAATCCCTGATAGTACTTCTTACCATGGAAGGTTAAGTAGCCATTAACAGAAATGACACCTTATATGTACTGACATGGAGAGAGAGCTATATTTTTTTTTCTTTTTTCTTTTTTATTGAGATGAGGTCTCCTTATGTTGACCAGGCTGGTCACAAACTCCTGGGCTCAAGCGATCCTCCCACCTTGACCTCCCAAAGTGCTGGCATTACAGGTGCCAGGCACCAAGCACCATTAATTTTTAAATTATTTGTAAAAACAGGGTCTTGCTATGTTGCCAGGACTGGCCTCAGGCAATCCTCCTGCCTTGGCCTCCCAAAGTGCTGGAATTACATGCCACCATGCCCACCATATGATATATTCTAAAGGAAAACAAGCAGGTTGCAAAATAAAGTATAAAGCAAAATCCCATTATGGTTAGAAGGGAAAAGGATGTATATATGTGTTTGTACAAGCAGAGAAGAGTGAAAGGGGTGTTCCCGAAACTGTCAGCAGTGGGACAGGAAAGGGGTAGGGAGAGTCTAACACTTCTTTATGTTACAACTATGTTACATCTATGACATGTTACTTTTATAACTTGTAAATGTTTTTGTTTTTAACAAATTTGCAACTATTATGCATACATTTGAAAATCTCTAGCGTATACAAGAGCTTTTCAAATGTCTACGTTCCACCAAGTCCTACTTAGGGTTACAGTGGTCACAGCAGCTCTAAGCAGGATGGGGGAAGTGATTTGCCCAATAGGAGACCCTGTTATGCCAGTAGAAGCTGGGTCCTAGTGAGTGAAGGGAGCCACGAGCCCACTCCTGGCCTCATCTCTCTCTCTAGCACCAGTTTGATGGGCAGCTTCTTTGGCCCCCAGTATGTGGTTCCTTCATGCTAGAAGAAGGTTCAGAGCAGCCAGTCCAGCCAGTCTTCTTGGAGAGAGAAATGAAGCCCAGGACAGTGACTTGCCCTAGGTCACCCACAAACCCAACCAGATGCCCCAACTCTTGGCTCAATTCCTCTTATTTTTCCACATTTAAAAGGCAACCTTCAAAAAGACTGCAGGAAGGAGAACCAGCACCCACCATCACTCCCTGACAGCATTGCCAGGACAGCTTTTCTTTACACCTATCAAGTCTTTGATCCCAGGTAGACAAGCTCGTTATTGACTTGCAATTAGTCAGTCTGCATGTCATTTAGGAACCTTTTTTCTCCTTAAATATTCCAGGTTGCTCTATAGTATCCATAATTTCTGCTTAATTGCCAGGAAACATTCTCTATAATGGACATAGCAAAACTGATTTACCCAGTCCCTAATGCTGGACACGCAAGTCACTTCTAAGGTTTGGCTATCATAAACACCACTGCAATGAACATCTTTGAGTTAGAGGAAACTGCTGTCTTCTTGCTGATTATATCCCTACGGGCAGATTCTCGGAAGGGTATTACTGGGTCAGAGGGATGAATATATTAGGATTCTGGATATTTATGTGACAGAGAATTCAACCTTGTCAGAAAGGGGCTCCAGGGCCAGAATGCCTGGGCAGATGCTGGCCTCTATGCTTGACCTCGAGCCAGTTACTTATTCTCTCTCTCCTCAAGTTTCCTCATCTATAACATTGAGATCAGCAATAGTGTTGATATGAGAATTAAATAAACTGAAACACATAAAGAGCTTAGAACAGAGTAAACATTCGATGTTAGCCACTATTCTAACTTTGCTATAATTATTATTCATTCAGTAAAAATGCATTAAACACTTATTGTGTTAGGCACTATTCTAAGTACTAATCTTGCCAAGTTGTTACTTATGAATTATTACTGCTTTCCAAAAAGGCTTTGCTTTTTGTTTGTTTTGTTTTTTGAGACAGGGTCTCACTGTGTTGCCCAGGCTGGAGTGCAGCGGTGTGATCACGGCTCACTGCAGCCTCAACTTCCCAGGCTCAGGAGATCTTCCCAGCTCAGTCCTGAGTAGCTGGGACTACAGGTGCACATCACCACACCCAGCTAATTTACAAATCTTTTATAGAGACAGGGTCTCATTATATTGCCCTGACTGATCTCAAACTCCTGGGCTCAAGTGATGTTCCTGTTTCAGCTTCCCAAAGTGCTAGGATTATAGGCATGAGCCACCATGCCCGGCCCCAAAAGGGCTTTGCTAATTTGCATGATCACTAGTATGTACAAAGTGCCAGTTTCAGCACTGGATATTGTTATTTTTACACTTGAATTTGCTGAGTGACCTTCGAAAAGTCACTTCCCGTTTATCTTCCAGTAAACTGAGAGTATAGGCCTGGATGCCTTCATATCTTTTGGCTCTATGACTGTGGCCCGTCAGGCAACTGTCAGCAAGTTGGGTGGGAGGGGTCTGGGGGCCATGAATAGTCACACTGTGCCCCCACTACCAAATAATGACTTGATACCTGGTGATATCTCACTTAATTTTCTTCACGTTCGTCTATTTATTATCTATCATCTGTCAATTATCTACCTACCTACCTACCTACCTACCTACCTACCTACCTACCTACCTATCTATCTTCCATCCTCCCACTACAAGCAAGGGGCACTGGTGCCCTCCCAGCATTAATCTTGTCTGTGGAGGCCACCACTGGATACTAAAGCATGAAGTAGCCTTGGAAGGCAGGGGATGGTTTCACTGGATGGCATTAAAAATTACCCATGGCTCACAGTCATATATAATATGCAAAATCAGCCTACGCCCTTCAACTCCAGAAAAAATAATACTATCCCAAGGTAATGGGGAAGGACAGGGGAGACGGAGGTGGGGGTGCGGTGCTCCACTTCCTTTCCTATACCCCTTTGTCTGTCTTGGTGATTTGGTTCAACCTGGTTCACCTGCTTCCAGACACAGGCCAGAGGGGGTTACAGTATTACAGTATGACTGTTCAGGACCACCAGTTCCCCCATGAGAGTTGGGGCAAAGTATGACTCTTCAGGCCCCCCACTTGCTGGCAGTTGCCTGACGGGCCAAGTCATAGAGCTAAGGATATGAAGGCATCCAGGCCTATTCTCTCAGTTTACTAGGAGATAAAGGAGAAGTGACTTGTCTAAGGTCACTCGGCAAATTCAAGCCACACTAAGTGTCCTCAGTGCTGGTCAGAGCCCTGTGCACCATTTCACACTCACCATGGCAATGGGACGCCCAAAGTCCAGAACCCAGTTCTGCAGTGTGAAGTAGAACCAGAGGTCGAGGTGGAAGGGAGCCGTGCGGGCAGCCTCATCAGCGCTCACAGAGCCATGCCTGGGAAGGAACCAGACGAGAGAAGTCAGCTCTTCTCTCCTCCTCCACCAAAATCTTCCCCTGAGATTAGCCACAAAGAGGTCTGGGGACTTGAGGACAGGAGGAGACACACATAATTGAGTTCTATGGATAGGGTTTTGCTGGATATACTGGGGTCTGGCCCTGTGGTCAAGGAGAAGGTGGACTTCAGCTGCCCCGACCTTAGCTTCTCTCTGATTCAGGAAGGAAACAGCTGAACAGGTGTAATTGCTGGGGTTTCTCCGCTACTGAAAGATGGAGGAAATCAAGAAAGGCAAAGGACGCAATCGTGGCTGAAAAGCATGAAACTTGATGATGGATCATGGCAGCTGACCTTAGTTGAGCACTTACTATATCCCAGGCACTACTGTTAGCTGTTTACATGTATTATCTCATTTAATCCTCACAGAAACCTTTCAAGGCTGAAATATTACCTCCATTTTAGAAACGAAAAAACTGAGGCCCAAGAGGCTCAATAACTTGCTCAAGGTCACACAGCTAAGGATTTGAACCCAAATGATTGGGCTCCTGAGCTTATACTTTTAACCTCCATCCCATAGTTGGGTCCATCAGGATTGGTCTATGGGATGGGCATGTGACCAGAGCTTGGCCAATCAGAGCCCTCCAATGAAATGTGCTTTAGAGAGACTGAAATGGATAGGGCCTCCTGCTCGCTTGATTCCAGCACTGTGAGGAGGTCAGGTTGGGCTGCTGGTAATCCTCTTCTCAGCAGTCCACAGTAGAACCTGAGAAGGAGCCAGCAGAAGCAAGGTGATGTGAGAGACACAGCAGGAAGTGGAGTACTGCCTCACGATACATCTTTGGAGGCCTGTCCCTCTCACTAAACAGTTGGTCATCTGCTGTTCACAGATGCACTGAAGTTCCAGGACCAGTGCTGCCTCCTCTGGGAAGGCTTCCCTGATGAAGCTTTTCCCAAAGCCCCACCAGCCCACTGCAGGGAGCATTTCAACGCCAACCCAGTCTGGCATAATGGGGCTGGAGCTGTACTCTCCCATCTAGACCCTCGAGAACAGGGGTGACCTTTAAGGTTCTCCCAACTCACCCACCTCCCTATCAGAGTCCAAATCCTCTTTACAGAGTCCCTGCAATTACTTGCACACCTCCAGGGACAAGCAGCCAGCCACATCCTAAGAGGACTGAGGTGTGGGTTTCATCGTCTCGTTTGTGCCAAGAACAGGCGCCATGGACCACAAATCTGTATTCCTCCAGAGTTCTGAGCTCAGGCCCTGGTCCATGCTCAGCAACTACTGGCTGATTAAAACAGTCACAACGACCAGTTACTCCTTTTGTAGTGGCAAACATTAGCTTAGAGGCACTGCAAAGACTGTCTTCTGTCGATACTGCTGTTGCTTCCCTAATTTTCTGAGATCCCTTCCTGCCAGTTCCAAGGATGATCCATACTGGCTGGTAGAGTACCCCAGGACAGGGAGGCAAGCTCTTGGGAGAAATCTCATTTTCTAGTGGCAGGCAAGACAGGTTGGGTAGGCCTTCCCTAGGTCAGCTAAGTCTTCCTGTCCCCTCTACTCGGTATCTTCCACCCCCTCACTGAACACCAACTATGTGCAATGCTAGGTCTTTACCTGCACTATCTCATCTAATCCACGCATCTGCTTTACAGATGAGGATACTGAGGCTTAGAGGGATTAGGTGCTTAGCCAAAGCCACCCGTGTAGTAAGGAGCTGTGGCAACAATTCCTTTTGTCAGCCTATTTCCCACCCACTGCTTCTTCTGGTAAGACATGATATTTTCTTAGCCACAGGAAGGGCCAGTGATCTAGACTGGCCCAGTGGGACTTTTCCAACTGCAGGTGAGGAAAAGAGCTCCTTCCTTTATAGTGCTGGGTTCTAAGGGTGCAAGCCCAGGACTGCCTACAGCCAAGGTTCCACCCTCAAGGGACATCCAGGTAAGAATGAAGTAGCCTCGCAGAGAGGATCAGGGAAAGGGGGAGAAAAAGTGCTGACAGTGTTCATGTTGCCAGTTCATGATCTGGCCATATGAGCCAACACATTCCTTTTTGCTAAGGATGGTGCAGTTCACACTGGCTTTCTGTCACTTGCAACCCAGTCGTCCTGAATAACACACACAATTCAAACCTGGGTTTATGTTAATTCAAGACCTGTGCTCTTAATAGCTTGCTATTCTGTTTTTTTGTTTTGTTTTTTGGAGACAGGGTCACCTAGGCTGGAGTACAGTGGTGTGATCACAGCTCACTGCAGCCTTGGCCTCCCAGGCTCAAGCATTCCTTCCACCTCAGTCTCCTGAGTAACTGGGACCACAGGTGCATGCCACTATGCCCAGCTAATTTTATTTTATTATTATTATTATTATTATTATTATTTTTTGTAGAGATGAGGTCTCACTATGTTGCCCAGGCTGGCCTCAAATTCCTGGGCTCAATAATCAACCCACATCAGCCATCCATAGTGCTGGGATTACAGCTGTGAGCCACCATGTCTGGCCAACAGCTTGCTATTCTGTTTTTGATTACTAGGCTTATCAGGAGATCAGGTTAGAAAGGGATCTCCCTCCCCCCTCCCCCAACCCTCCCCCTCTCCCTCGCTTCTTCCTTCTCCCTCTGTTGCTGAGGCTGGACTGTACTGCCGTGATCTCAGCTCCCTGCAACCTCCCTGCCTCGGGCTCCCGTGATTCTCCTGCCTCGGCCTGCCGAGTGCCTGGGATCGCAGGCACACGCCGCCACACCTGACTGGTTTTTGTATTTTTGGTGGAGACGGGGTTTCGCCGTGTTGACCAGGCTGGTCTCCAGCTCTTGACCTCGAGTGATCTGCCCGCCTCGGCCTCCCGAGGTGCTGGGATTGCAGACGGAGTCTCGCTCACTCAATGCTCAATGTTGCCCAGGCTGGAGTGCAGTGGCGTGATCTCGGCTCGCTACAACCTCCACCTCCCAGCCGCCTGCCTTGGCCTCCAAAAGTGCTAAGATTACAGGCTCTGCCCGGCCGCCACCCCATCTAGGAAGTGAGGAGCGTCTCTGCCTGGCCGCCCATCGTCTGGGATGTGAGGAGCCCCTCTGCCCGGCCACCCCATCTGGGAGGTGAGAAGCGCCTCTGCCCAGCTGCCCATCGTCTGGGATGTGAGGAGCGCCTCTGCCCGGCCGCCCCGTCTGGGAAGTGAGGAGCGCCTCTGCCCAGCTGCCCCGTCTAGGAAGTGAGGAGCGCCTCTGCCTGGCTGCCCATCGTCTGGGATGTGAGGAGCGCCTCTGCCCGGCCGCCCCGTCTGGGAAGTGAGGAGCGCCTCTGCCCAGCTGCCCCGTCTGGGAAGTGAGGAGCCCCTCTGCCCGGCTGCCCTGTCTGGGAGGTGAGAAGCGCCTCTGCCCGGCTGCCCATCGTCTGGGATGTGAGGAGCGCCTCTGCCCGGCCACCCCGTCTGGGAAGTAAGGAGCCCCTCTGCCCGGCCGCCCCGTCTGGGATGTGAGGAGCCCTTCTGCCCGGCCGCCCCGTCTGGGAGGTGAGGAGCCCCTCTGCCCGGCCGCCCCATCTGGGAGGTGAGGAGCACCTCTGCCCAGCCGCCCCGTCTGGGAGGTTAGGAGCCCTTCTGCCTGGCCGCCCCATCTGGGAAGTGAGGAGCACCTCTGCCTGGCCGCCACCCCGTCTAGGAAGTGAGGAGCGCCTCTGCCTGGCTGCCCATCGTCTGTCTGGGAGGTGAGAAGCGCCTCTGCCCGGCCGCCCCGTCTGGGAGGTGAGGAGCGTCTCTGCCCGGCTGCCCATCGTCTGGGATGTGAGGAGCGCCTCTGCCCGGCCGCCCCGTCTGGGAGGTGAGGAGCGCCTCTGCCCGGCCGCCCCGTCTGGGAGGTGTGGAGCACCTCTGCCTGGCCGCCCCGTCTGGGAAGTGAGGAGCGCCTCTGCCCAGCCGCCCCGTCTGGGAAGTGAGAAGTGCCTCTGCCCGGCCGCCCGGTCTGGGAGGTGTACCCAACAGCTCCGAAGAGACAGCGACCATTGAGAATGGGCCATGATGACGATGGCAGTTTTGTCAAAAAGAAAAGGGGGAAATGTGGGGAAAAGAAAGAGAGATCAGATTGTTACTGTGTCTGTGTAGAAAGAAGTAGACATAGGAGACTCCATTTTGTTCTGTACTAAGAAAAATTCTTCTGCCTTGGGATGCTGTTAGTCTATAACCTTACCCCCAACCCCGTGCTCTCTGAAACATGTGCTGTGTCCACTCAGGGTTAAATGGATTAAGGGTGGTGCAAGATGTGCTTTGTTAAACAGATGCTTGAAGGCAGCATGCTCGTTAAGAGTCATCACCACTCCCTAATCTCAAGTACCCAGGGACATAAACACTGAGGAAGGCTGCAGGGTCCTCTGCCTAGGAAAACCAGAGACCTTTGTTCACGTGTTTATCTGCTGACCTTCTCTCCACTATTATCCTATGACCCTGCCACATCCCCCTCTCTGAGAAACACCCAAGAATGATCAATAAATACTGAAAAAAAAAAAGAAAAGGATCAGCGTGGCCTAGGGCAATACACAAAGCTTGCATGAGGGAAGGGAGCCTCAAAGCACGGATGGATGAATCTAACTAGGCAGAAAAGCAGGAAAGCAGGGTAAAGGCCTGGAGGTGGAAGTGAAGAAGGTTCTGCATGGAGCTGAGATGCCTGGCTTACTGGAGCCAGAGAAAGAGAAGGGACGGGCGGCTCGATCTTCAGACTGGACAGATAGCCAGTAACCCTGAGGACTGCTCAGTGGTCTGAGACGAGTGACCAACACAGAGGCCCCACCCAGCTCCTTCCTCAGTAGCCATCAGGGTAAGGCCTCAAAAAGCAGAGAGTGATAACCTCCAGGCCCAGAGAACTTGGGTGGCGAAAGAGGTAACAGCCTTCAGTTTCTTGCTCTGATACCTCCAAACTTGGCAAAAAGTAGGATGTTCGGTACGAGGAATAAAGGGATTTTGGAAGCATGAACACTTAGATGTGTGTATCTGGAAGTTATGTGTACCCAGCATACACTAGAGGCTCAGTGACTACCTCCTCCTCCACCTCAGGAAGCACCTTGGTCAATGAGAATCCCTGTCATTAGTCCAGCCTAACTTAGTAGGACAGGAAAAAAAAAAAAAGAGGGGGGCTGGGCCCAGTGGCTCATGCCTGTACTCCCAGCATTTTGGGAGGCTGAGGTGTACAGATCACCTGAGGTCAGGAGTTCGAGACCAGCCTGGCCAACACAGTGAAACCCTGTCTCTATATAAAAATACTAAATTAGCCAGGCTTGGTGGTGTGCGCCTGTAATCCCAGCTACTTGGGAGGCTGAGGCAGGACAATCACTTAAACCTGGGAGGCGGAGGTTGCAGTGAGCCAGGATCACGCCATTGCACTCCAGCCTGGGCAGTAAGAGTGAAACTGTCTCAAAAAGAAAACAACAACAACAACAACAACAACAAAAAACAACTCTAAAAAATTAAAAATTAAAAATTAAAAATTAACTGGGTATGGTGGCACACATCTGTAGTTCCAGCTACTCAGGAGGCAGAAACAGGATGATCACTTAAGCCTGGGAGGTCAAGGCTGCAGTGAGCTATGACCGTACCACTGCACTTTAGCCTGGGTGACAGAGTAAGACCTTATTGCAAAAAAAAAAAAAAAAAAAAAAAAAGCAGGCACACAGAGTGGACACTCAGCAACCAGCTTGCAAATCAAGATTAGACTGGGCACAGTGGCTCATGCCTGTAATCCCAGCAGTTTGGGAGGGTGAGCTGGGCAGATCACATGAGGCCAGGCATTCAAGACCAGCCTGACCAACATGACGAAACTCCGTCTCTACTAAAAATACAAAAATTAGCCCAGCATGGTGGTGCACACCTGTAATCTCAGCTACTGGGGAGGCTGAGGCATGAGAATTGCTTGAACCTCACAGGCAGAGGTTGCAGTGAGCTGAGATGGCACCACTGCACTGCCTGGGCAATACAAAAAGACTCTGTCTCAAAAAAAAAAAAAAAAAAAAAGATTAATCAGCACCTGCCTGGTTTTCTTCTCCTGGAACTCTGCCCACGGGAGGCAGATCATGGAATGGTAAAGGCATCCTCTCCCCCAGCTCATGTCCTGAGGATGAGCAACCTCAACCCTGTCCCAAGTTCCTGGCTCCACAGACTTAGCACACTGAGCCCCCAGCCTGTGCCAGCTAGGTCTCAATCACTAGCAAATGCTGCTGAAAACAATGGTGATGGCACAATGGCAGATAACCTGAAACAAGGTTAGACTCTTCTCTCCTTCCCAGCTTTCCAAGTCTACCATATGGGGACAATGACACCACGACAGTTGAGGAGTGCATGCCATACACTTAAAATCCTCAAGGCAGTCAGCAGCATCTGCAGGGCTGCCTGGCAGAAAAGGAAGGGGTTTCATCCTGAACAAGTCAAGCGGTAACCCACAAATGGGGACCACAGAGAGACTAATTTTGCTTCTATTTAAAGAATGGTGACATACAAGACAATGAAAAGCTTGAACAGAAAAAAAACTAAGGAAATGAAGGCAAATATAATGAGAGAATAAAGAAAGGCAACTAGAAACTCCAAGAAAAACAAAAGTAACATAAGAAAGCAAATGTAACTGTTAAACATTATTTGGCTCTGTTGGAACAATATTTATTAAATACATGGCTTAAATAACATACACATTTTATATTAATTTTCAATGTTTAGAGTCAATCCACAGATAAAACATGGAAGATAATTACGGTTTTAAAGCAGCAGATAATTATAGTCTACTTTGATAACATGAAAACAGAGGACAGAAATTGTAGGAAGGGGTGAGGAAAGCTAAAGTTTAGGGTAGGGGACTAATATCATCTTTTTATTTTAGTTTTGGAGACAAGGTCTTGCTCTGTCACCCAGGCTGGAGTGCAGTGACACAGTCATGGCTCATTGCAGCCTTGACCTCCCAGGCTCAAGCAATCCTCCCATCTCAGCCTCCTGAGTAGCTGGGACCACAGAAAGGCATGTGCTGTCACACATGGCTAATTTTTAAAATTTTTCCTTTTTTCTAAAAGGAATCAAAGGCTGGGCGCAGTGGCTCATGCCTGTAATCCCAGTACTTTGGGAGGCCAAGGCAGGTGGATCACCTGAGGTCAGGAGTTAGAGACCAGCCTGGCCAACACGGTGAAACGTCATCTCTACTAAAAATACAAAAATTAGATGGGCGTGATGGTGGGCACCTGTAATCCCAGCTACTCGGGAGGCTGAGGCAGAATTGCTTGAACTCTGGAGGTGGAGGTTGCAGTGAGCCAAGATGGCACCACTGCACTCTAGCCTAGGGGACAAGAGTGAAACTCCATCTCAAAAAAAGAATAAAATAAAATAAACCAAGAAATAGCAGTTGAGTGTAGTTTTTAAGAGTGTGGACTTGGCTGGGCGCGGTGGCTCAGGCCTGTAATCCCAGCACTTTGGGAGGCTGAGGCGGGTGAATCACAAAGTCAGAAGTTTGAGACCAGCCTGGCCAACATGGTGAAACGCCGTCTCTACTAAAAATACAAAAAATTAGCTGGGCGTGGTGCCGAGCACCTGTAATCCCAGCTACTTGGGAGGCTGAGGCAGGAGAATCGCTTGAACCCGGGAGGCGGAGATTGCAGTGAGCTGAGATCATGCCACTGCACTCCAGCCTGGGTAACAGTGTGAGACTCCATCTCAAAAAAAAAAAAAAAAAAGAGTCTGGACTTTGGAGACTGTTTGGGTTCATATCCCAGCTCTGCCACTAACCAGATCTTGAGCAAGTCACTTAACTTCTTGGGCCTTAATGTCCTCATTTGTAAAATGGAGATAATAGTAGATCCTATCCCTTTTTTTTCTTTTTTGAGACGGAGTCTCACTCTTGTTGCCCAGGCTGGAGTATAATGGCGCGATCTTGGCCCACCGCAACCTCCGCCTCCTGAGTTCAAGTAATTCTCCTGCCTCAGCCTCCCGAGTAGCTGGGACTACATGCGCATGACACCATGCCTGGCTAATTTTTGTATTTTTAGTAGAGACAGGGTTTCTCCATGTTGGTCAGGCTGGTCTTGAACTCCTGACCTCCTGATCCGCCCATCTCGGCCTCCCAAAGTGCTGGGATTACAGGCATGAGCCACCACACCTGGCCAGTAGATCGTATCTCAAGGGTCGTGGTTTAATTAATACATGCAAAAACTTAAGAGCAGGGCCTGATCCATAAAAAGTGCTAGTGTTTTTTATTGTTATAAACATATTATTTGGAAATAGGAATTTGACTCTGGAAAAAAGAGCTAAAAGAAGCTAGGGTGATTGTCTCTGGTGCTAGGGAAGAGTGGGACAGGGATTACTACTTTTTAAAACTTGAAGCCTTTGCTATTTGATTTATCACGGGCACTAATTATAATACTTTCTTTTCTTTTCTTTTTTTACTTTTTTTTTTTTTTGAGACAGTCTCACTGTCATCCAGGCTGGAGTGCAGTGGCGCCATCTCGGCTCACTACAACCTCCGCCTCCCAGGCTCAAGGGATCCTGGTGCCTCAGCCTCCTGAGTAGCTGGGATTACAGGCATGGGCCATCACACCTGGATAATTTTTGTATTTTTTAGTAGAGACGGGGATTCTCCATGTTGGCCAGGCTGGTCTCGAACTCCTGGACTCAAGTGATCCACCCACCTTGGCCTCCCAAAGTGCTGGGATTACAGGCGTGAGCCATGGCACCCGGCCTAATTGTAACACTTTCATTATAATACAAAAACTGGCAACAAAGCAGGTGGACGTTGGAATGGGTTACCTTAAGAGGTAGTGAGCAAAGCACGGATGCAGCAGAGGAAATCCAAGCATCCTAGGAACTGGACAGGATGATTCTGCCTACTCTCTTGAGCAGCAATGATACTGGGAATGGGCTGAAGCCACATTGTGGGGGGCAGAGACACCCTGGGAGACAGAGAGCTCCCACCCTCACACCACCCCCCTGGGAATACCCTGGCTGGTGGGGAGCTCACACAGGGGAAGAGGGACATGACTCCTTAGCAGCCAAAGTGGAGTCGTAAGAGCAGAGCCCGTAAGTCAGAAACCCTGGGTTTAGGCCCTGGTTCTTGCCAGCAAATGATGTAACCTCTTTGGGCCTCCATTTCCCCATCTGTACATTGGAAGTGACATCTGGCAGCTCATTGTCAAGACTGAGTAAGATGCTAGACATGGGAGCCCCACACAGGAGATAAAGTGGTGACCCTATCTGAGACCCACAGGCTGTTCCCATTGGGCTGTCACAGTTCAGGGCAGTCAGTGACCCCCAACTTGGCAAGGATTCGGAACAGAGACATCCCGCAGGCAGAAGAGGCTGCCTGGAAGAGGGGAGCTGGTAAATGGGTTGGGTCACAGCAGAGATGAAACCACTGGACACGGCGTGGGGCAGACAGCCCGGGGACTCAGCCAGTCAGGCTCCTCAGCCCATCTAAGCCTATTTCCTCATCAGTAAAATAATACTTAACTCACAGGCCGAGGGAGACAGGTGAGCTACAGTATGCGGTCTATGGCCAGTACATTGTTTCTAAGTGAAAACGGACACAGTCCGCAGCTGCTCAGCCCGCATGTCCGCAGCAGCAGAAACGAGCCATCCCTCACCTCAGCCCAAGCGCTCAGACTTCTCCCTTCATCCAGGTCGTACCAAAAACTTCCTAACAAGGACTTTGCGCATGCTAGTGCTCAGAAACTTCTCACGACTCCCCAGTGCCTATGGGATAAAGACTGTGTCCTTAACCTGTCACCTAGGACAGGAACTAGGGTGAGACAAGCAAGGCCTCCAAGGCCCAACATTTGAGGCGGCACTCACGGTCACGGCAGTGCGCCTACCCCTAAGTTTTGCAATCTAGGTCCTCAACTCGAGTCCTAGACTTGCTGCAATTAAAGGCCCTTCACAATCAGTCTGCATCCTCCTGTCACTTTCTTTTACAGCCGGAAAGCTCCAGCACCACTAAACTCCTTGCCCTTCCCCACTGTTTCCCTGGATGGAACAGCCTGTCTTCCCTGGGTCCCCTACCAAGTCCTCTGAGACTCAGCTCAAGTGCCACTTCCTCCATGAAGCCCTCCAAGATGACCGCTCACTCCCACTTGGGCTCTGTCTCTCCTGATCCCTACAGGACCGTAAGCCTCTCCCACCTTCACCCTGCCTACCCCCTTACTGCCTGGCACAGCGCTGGGCATACCACAGGCGCTTAAAGAATGCCTGCTGAATGCAGTGAATGTTTCTGGTCAGTAAAACGGGACGAAGGTAGAATGGAGCTCTGCTCGCCCAACGAGATAAACCAAAAACTGAGAAGGGCTCCTCATTCATTCTCTGGACGGCAGCTTCCGCCCTTCCCCGCTGTCTCTTCCATTACATTCGCACATTCTTGGGTGCCCCAGGTCAAGCAGACAGCCTCCTGATAAATGACAGAATCAAGTCCTACTCAGGGCTGGAGGGACCCCGAGAACGCGGAGGTGGCGCCCGGAACTTGCGGATAAGTTGGGGGTCCGAGTGACGAGGTGTGTGTACCCACCGCCCTGGGGAGCTCTCCCAGCGCAGCGGCTGTCCCGGCGCCAGCCCGGGTCGCTGGAACGCGGGAAGGGAGGAAAACCCCAAACTTCGGGCGGGCGCTCCTCCCACCCGAGCAACGGCGAAGCGGGGAGGCCGAGCCCCGCTGGGCCCCAGGCTCCCCAGACAGAGAAGGAAACGCGGGGGCACCGCCGCCACGGTAGCGCGCCTCCAAGCCCCCCGCGCTCCGCTCCGCCCCGGCCAGCGCCGCACACGAGGTTCCCGCCCGGCAGCCCTAGGAGCGTCACGTGGCGGGTCCCGAGGCCCCAGCGCACAGGCGCCTAGCCCGCCCTCTCACCCCGGCGCGCGCCCACCTGGCCTGCAGGAAGGAGGCGCCCAGCTGCGCGCCTGGGCCGCCCGTCGCTCCCAGGTGCTGCCGCCTCCGCGTCGCCTCCATGGCTGCCCCGCAGGCCCCTCGGCCCTGCCTTTCCGAGGAAGAGACCGGTTCAGCTCGGCTGCCCCGGCGGAGGCCGCCGCAAATTCCCAGCGCGGGGCGGTTCGGGGCGGGCCGGCGAGAGCGCGCGGCCCTCGGGAGGAACAGGCGGGGCTGCGGACCCGGGGCGGGGCGGAGCGGAGCGGAGCGGAGCGGAGGGAGGCGGGGCGGAGGGAGACGGGGCGGGCTCCGCTAGGGGAGGGCCGGGCGCTGCGAGTGTGGCGTCCTCGCGGGGCGGGGGCTGCTGGCCTGTCCGGGCTGCGCGCGTGACCACCAGCGGGCTGGGATGTGTTAGGGTCCCTTGCCTGCCTGGGTACGGGAATCTCTGTCTAGGGTGACTGAGGCCTGGGTGTTGGGCTGGGGCGGGGTAGCGACCTGGAGATAGACTAAGCTGATTTAAATGCTCCCCGGGGCAGAGGGTTCTGTGGGATTTCCCTTGTTCTTACGGGTGGAGGAGAGGAGGCAGGACTGGAGACCTGCACGTGTAGCACCCGCGTGGTGCAGCACGTGGGTTGCAGATGTTCTAGTGAGGGGCTGGCGGTGACAGTGGGAAGGAGCGAGTTGGTGACATCTAGAGTCGTGTGAGAGGTATGGTGACTGGGACTCTGGATGTGGGGGGTGAGGGGAGAAGAGTTCAGGCAGTGGCCGGATTCTGCCCCTGGGTGGATAGTGGAGGCACCCCCCGGGAAGTGGGCTAGAGCAGATTTCGTGTAAATAAAGATTCATCTTTGAACGCATTAAGCTTGAGGTGGGTCAGGAAGGCTGTTGGACCGGTGGTCTGAAGCTGAGGCGAGACCTGGGAACCCAGTGGACAGGCTCGTGAGTCACCGGAGCATACAAGACAGACAGAACCTAAGGGGACAGCATCCTCAAGTGAAAAACAGAACCAAAGGTCAAACCTGAGAACAGCCTGCAGGGCAGATTGCCAGGACTTCATTAGTGGTACCACTTTGAACTAGCTGTGATGCGGGCAAATGGCTCAACCCCTCACAGCTTCAGTTTACTCATCTGTAACAAGAAGATGCCTATTGCATCTACTACATTGGAGTTGTGATGACTATATGAAACTCTTAGCAGAGAGCCCAGCACTGGTGGACTAAGTTATTTACAATAGCCCGTCTCGAGACCTGAGGTTTCCCTCCACAGAAAGGTTACCTTCCACACCACTGTCAATGTCACAAACTCTCTCCTCCCCACGGTCACTGTCAGCAGCCCAGGCCGCTAACTAGAACAACTGCAACCAACTCCCATTCTCCCCACCACCCCCGTGCTACACCAGGCGCACACGACATGTGCAGGTCTCCAGTCCTGTCTCCTCTCACCCAGCCCTCAAGCCGCTGCAGAAGGGATGTGCCTCTTGGAAGGGATGTGCCTCAGATGCAAATGCAATGTGCCATTCCCCTGCCCAGTATCCTTGGTCTGCTTCCCAGACCATGAGGGGTCTGAGCTATGCCTATTTCCATTCTATTTTCTTTCCTGTCTTTCTTCTTGGGAGATGTTTATTGGATTTATTTCTTTCCCCTTTGGTCAGAACCTGCATGTCCTTTCTTGGCTGTGGGAGGCTAGGACTGCCTGCCTGGGAGTCATTTTCCATCAGCCCCATCCTGGGCTCTAGCAGCCCACAGGCCACACCTCAATCCCCCCCCTCCGCCCCTGGTCCCCTGAAGAACACATTTGCTTTAAAGCTTTCCTTGTTTCATTTGATCCACACACACCAGGTCGTAAGGAGAACAGGTGATTGTCTCTGTTTTGTAGCAGAGAAAAACCTAGGCCCTGAGCTGAAGTACTGTGCCCAAGGGTCAGCCAAGGACAGCACTCAGACGGGGCCCCAGATTTAATTCTGGTGAATCTGATCTACACATCGATCTCGGTATACACCAGAGAAGAAGGATTGAGGCTTCCCGCTCTGACCCCAATTTCTTATCCTCTGCAGGCTTTGCAAGCCTGCTGGGCTCCAGAGGGAGGGGCATGCAGTGCCCATGATGTCATCATCGATTTAATAACACTCAGAGGTGGGCTTCCAGCCATCAGAGGATGAGGCCGTGTGGAGGGAGCCTCTCTAGCTCATTTAATCCTCCAATCTCTTAAATACAAACACATCTGCCTTTTTTCTGGAGTCCGCTGCTACCCCTTGAGGGGAGGGGAGTCCAACCTGGCAGGGGGCTGGGCCTTTCTGAATGAACAAGATGAGAATTCTCCCTGTCCGGTGGGATTATCAGCCCCCTCTCTTTCCCATCCCACCAGGACACTTTAAAAACACCATCTTCATTAGCTCTTTAAATTGCATGGAAATTTGGGGGAGGAGGATAGAGTAAAGCTGAGGGGTACACATTTGCAGGATCTTGTTTGTGATTATCTGAGAACATGGGCCCTGCACATCAGAAGGGAGTCTAGTCTCAGCTCTCTGAGCTGCAATTTCAGTGGCCAGCATCAAGAAATCTTTCAGCTGAGAAGGTCCTTTGGTATTATGCATCTTGGTGGTTTTGACTTTTCTTTTAGTAGAGGTTCCCACTACTTTTCAATTATAGCTGTATCCGATATTTTTTTTTTTTTTTGAGACGGAGTCTTGCTCTGTCGCCCAGGCTGGAGTGCAATGGCACGATCTCGGCTTGCTGCAACCTCTGCCTCCCTGGTTCAAGTGATTCTCCTGCCTCACCCTCCCAAGTAGCTGGGACTACAGGCATGCACCACCACGCCTGGCTAATTTTTTATATTTTTAGTAGAGACGGGGTTTCACCATGTTAGCCAGGCTGGTCTTGATCTACTGACCTTGTGATCTGCCCGCCTTAGTCTCTCAAAGTGCTGGGATTGCAGGCGTGAGCCACTGCACCAGGCCTGTATCAGATACTTTTAAATGTATCGCCTAAGATCCGTTAGACACACCAGTCTTCCAGCTCCTTGCCACTTGTTTTGTCCAGCTGCTGTGACAACTGACTTCACCCAGGCAGAAGTCAACTGCACCTCCTCTCCCCTTGGCCCCACACCCTTGGCCTCAGAAGTGCAGGAGTGTTGGACACTCCATGGAGTGAACTTTGACCAGCAAGAGACAGGGATTAGCAAATAAATTTTTCTCTCTTCCTCTTTCTGGACAGACTGGCCTGAGTTCCGAGTTCACACAGCCACTTTAAAGAAGGTCCTGGGCCATGCGCAGTGGCTCACACCTGTAATCCCAGCACGTTGGGAGGCCAAGGTGGGTGGACCACGTGAGGTCAGGAGTTCAAGACCAGCCTGACCAACATGGTGAAACCCTGTCTCTACTAAAAATACAAAAACGAACTGGGTGTCGTGGCATGTGCCTGTAATCCCAGCTACTTGGGAGGCTGAGGCAGGAGAAATTGCATGAACCCAGGAGGCAGAGGTTGCAGTGAGCCGAGATCACGCCACTGCACTCTAGTCTGGGCGACAGAGCAAGGCTCAGTCTCAAAATAAATAAATAAATAATAAAGAAGGTCCTGTAAGGTCTAGCATCCTTCCAGACGGAGTGGTGGCCAGCTCCGCAGTGCACTCTCTTGTGTGCCCTCCCTTCTCCTCTGTCTCACTCCCCCTTGTCCTCACTTCCCCTTCCCAGCCACCACACTCCCCAATACAGTGTTAGCATACATGCTGCCCTGCTCTGCTTCTTTGGAAACCTGGGCTAAGACAAAGATCTTTCCAGCATGCTCAATGTATGAAACACCTACGGGGGGGTGGGGGGGGTGGTGCCCTGAGTGAAGAGAAGCAGGGTCCCAGGTGCCATCTCTTCTCCCCTTATGGTTACAAGGCCGTGGCCAAGTCACCTCCAAAGGGCTCCCTGGAAAGCCTTTGATCTTGCCTAATTTCATCATTCTGCAGCTGCGGAAAATGAAGCCTAAAGCCACACAGCGAGTTAGAAGCCAAGCCAGGCCAGAATCCAGTCTCCACTCCTAATCCAGTACCCTTTCTATCCAGTCTCTTAAGAGCTTTTGAAAATTTCTCTTTCTTCAAAACATCTTCCCACACTGCCCTGCCACCAGAAGGCTTTGAAGGCCCCTGCTAGACTGCAGCTACCATCTGAGAGACATGACACACAGAATCCTGGATCCAGAGGCTGGGACTCCAGAAGGCAGACAGACGAAGTGGGACCAGGAAAACTCAGTTACTTTGGAGAGAGGCAGCCAGGAGGGGCCTGACTAGGGGATCTCTAAGTGTGGGCAACAAGACTGTGCACAGTGAGAAGGCTGCACAAGGACAGACAGCAAGGGACTGGGGCACTGGGGGAAGATGGAGACTGTCTTTCTGTGTCAACTGGTATTGCCTGCAGGACACTCCCCATCTGGCTGAAGAAGCTGGGAGGGTGACCAGAAGTCACACTGTGGGGAGAGAGAAGGTCCCCAGGTTGTGTTTAATTCAGATTCTTGTGGTTGTGATTACTAGAAGCAACGGGGGACAGGTTGATGACAAAAGGGGATTTCTATTACAAGGATTTAGGGGTGTCTTAGGGAACCTAAGCATAAGGATGCAGTTGGGCCTCAGGAACTGAGAATGGTGCTGGGACTTTGGGAGCCCAGGAAGGCACCACCCACAACACTGTTTCCATGTCATCCTTCTCTCTTTCTCCCTGCAGACTGGCTTTCCTGGCTTTCCAGGAAATACAGCAGCCGACGGCCTCAGTCAGCAGCTCCCAAGTTTATCTTTCTTCCATCCAAGAGATAAGCAGAATGTGGGTGGCCTCTTCTGGGCCCAATTCAAAATTCCCGCGGAGGGATTCTGATTGGATGGCTTGAGCCAGTGCCCACCCTGAGCCAGGCAGTGTACCGATATGGCTGCTCCTTCTCTAACCAGACAGCCAAGGGAAGGAGAAGTGTATAGTTCACGGCCCTGAGTTTGCAACTTGAACAAAAGCCCTAATATAGGGCTCTATTTCCACCCATTAATGGAAGAGATCACTGCCTTTTACATGTGGCTATAAATTCAGACCCTGCCTAGAAGCCTGCTGTCCCCATGACAGCCCAGAGCTGAATTGCTCTCTGCTAGCCCGTTCCCCTCCCGTCTGCTGCTGAGAGCTAGGAGAAGCTGAGAGGCTCCCAGAGCCCTCCACTCTTTTCCTTATCATTTCTTTTTCCTTATAATTTCTTTCACTCTTAACAGTTGACAAAGGCCGGGCGCGGTGGCTCACGCATGTAATCCCAGCACTTTGGGAGGCCAAGGTGAGCAGATCATTTGAGGTCGGGAGTTTGAGACCAGCCTGGCCAACATAGTGAAACTCCGTCTCTACTAAAAATACAACAATTAGCTGGGCATGGTGGCAGGTGCCTGTAATCCCAGCTACTCGGGAGGCTGAGGCAGGAGAATTGCTTGAACCCGGGAGACGGAAGTTGCAGTGAGCCAAGATTGTGCCACTGCACACCAGCCTGGGTGACAGAGTGAGATTCTGTCTAAAACAAAACAAAAAAAGAATAAAACAAAACAAACAAAACCAATAGACATTTATTGTACAATTCCTGTGTGCTAAACCCTGATCTCAGTGCTTAATGTGTATTATCTCATTTAATCCTCACAGTAGCCCTAAGGGATAGCGCTAACCTTGGCTCCTGCTTATAGATGAGTTAACTCAGGTACAAAGAAGCTGAGTCATCTACCCCAAACCACACAGCCTGTCCATGGTGTAGTCACAGGTGGACCTGGGCAGCCTGCCTCTGGGACCTGCATTCTCCAAAAACCACCACACAACTGCCTGAACGGAGAGGCCATGGAGGCTGGAGGGAGGTCTTTCCACAGCCACGGTGAGCCACGAGTAATATCTGCTTTGAAATTGTTTCAGAATTGTCAACCTGAGCTCTGTATAGTCAAATTGTGGAATTTAATGACTTATTAGAGTGCTACAGGAGACCCACAGCAGGAGAATCACTTGAACCCAGGAGGCAAAGATTGCATTGAGCCGAGATCGTGCCACTGCACTCCAGCCTGGGTGACAGAGCGAGTCTGTGTCTAAAAAAAAAATAAAAATAAATATATATATATATATATATATATATATATATATATATATATATATCGATTAATCGATGGAATACATAGGGCACAGGGCTTCTGTTTTCCTAACCAGACACTGACTGACAGAGGCTAACATAGCTCTGTATTTGTCAACACCCTGGCACCCAGAAGAAGCAAATGTACATGCTATTTGGGGTTTACTCTCCTGCTTAGGTCCTTGGAACCCAATTATTCATTCAACAATGATTTGTTAAGCACCTGTTAGATTTCAGTCATGGTTCTAGATGATGGGAATATAGCAATGAATGAAACAAAAGTCCTTCCTTGCATTTCTCCAGGAATGTATTAAACACAGAAGAAAACAAGCCACCATGAATGAGAACAGATGACAAAAAATAACACATTTAGAGCCCTAAGCTTTTTGGTTATTGAAATGATTGAATAGCAGATTTAAAATAACTAGGTAGGAAATGTTTAAATAAATAAAACATGGTATCACAGGAAAAAGCAAGGGATGAAAAAGACAAACAATAACACATGTTGGTGAAGATGTGGACAAATTGGAACTTTCATATATTCCTGGTGGGATTATAAAATGGCACAGCCCCTTTGGAAAATAGTCCAGCAGGTCCTCAAACTGTTAAATACAGAGTTAGTACATGACCCAGCAACTCTGCTTTTAGGTATAGGACCAAGAGCTCTGAAAAAAAAGTCCACAGAAAAACTTACAGATGAATGTTCATAGGAGCATTATTCATAATAGCCAACAAGTGAGAACAACTCCAAAATCCATCAACTTGTAAATAAATAAATTATGGTATACAAATTCAGTGGACTATTATACAGCTATAAGAAGGCACTAAGTACTGATGTAACATGGTTCAACCTTGGAAACATTATGCTAAGTGAAAAATGCAAGTCATAAAAGGCCATATGCTGTATTAGGCCATTTATATGAAATGTCCAGAATAGGCAAATCTACAGAGACAGAAAGTAGACATAATGGGGATAGAAGGAAGTTGATAGTGATGGCTAATGGATACAGGATTCCTCTTTGGGTTGGTATAAATGTTCTGGCATTAAGTAGTGGTAATGACTTCACAACTTCTGTGAATATACTAAAAACCACTGAATTATATACTTCAAAAGGGTGAATTTTATGACAAGTGAATTTTATCTCAATAAAGCTATTATTTAAGAAAATAAGGCAAAGACCTTTGCAATTGATCAGACATATCTGAAAAATAAGCAAATAGAAATTTTAGAGCTTAACAATTTGTTGACATTAAAACTGAATGGAGGCGGCCGGGCGCGGTGGCTCACGCCTGTAATCCCAGCACTTTGGGAGGCCGAGGCGGGTGGATCATGAGGTCAGGAGATCGAGACCATCCTGGCTAACAAGGTGAAACCCCGTCTCTACTAAAAATACAAAAAATTAGCCGGGCGCGGTGGCGGGCGCCTGTAGTCCCAGCTACTCGGGAGGCTGAGGCAGGAGAATGGCGTGAACCCGGGAAGCGGAGCTTGCAGTGAGCCGAGATTGCGCCACTGCAGTCCGCAATCCGGCCTGGGCGACAGAGCGAGACTCCGTCTCAAAAAAAAAAAAAAAAAAAAAAAAAACTGAATGGAGGCCAGGCACAATGGCTCATACCTGTAATCCTAGCACTTTGGGAGGCAGGGTGGGAGGATCACTTGAGGCTAGGAGTTCAAGACCAGCCTGGGCAACATAGCGAGACCCCTATCTCTACAAAAAAAAAAAAATTAAAAAATTAGCCACTGTTGTGGCATGCTCCGGTAGTTCCAGCTACTGAGGAAGCTGAAGCTGGAGGGATCCCTTGAGCCCAAAAGGTCGGGGCTGCAGTGAGCCATGACTGTGCCACCAAACCCCAGCTTGGGCAACAGAGACCCCATCTCTAAAAACAAAATGAAACAAAACAAAACAACAATAACAAAAACTCAGTGGACAGGCTAAACTATAGATTAAATAAAGCTGAGTAGTGAATTGGTAAACCAAAAGACAGATTGACAAAATTACCTAAAATGCAGCACAGGTTGCTAAGGAGATGACAAACATGAAGGAAGAGTTAAGAGAAGAAAGGGTAGAATGAGAAAGTCTAAAAAATATCCAATCAGAATCCCAGAAGGAGAGAGTAGAGAGAATAAGAGAGAAGCAATATTTGAAAAGCTAACTACTGGATAAGAATTTCCAGATCTAATAAAAGACATGAGCCCACAGATAAAAGAAAGACAGCACATATCAAGAAGTGCCTCACAGCCTGGTGTGGTGGCGCACGCCTGTAATCCCAGCACTTTGGGCGGCCGAGGCGGGGGGATCACAAGGTCAGGAGTTCGAGACCAGCCTGGCCAATATGGTGAAACCCCGTCTCTACTAAAAATACAAAAATTAGCTGAGCGTGGTGGTGGGTGCCTGTAGTCCCAGGTACTCGGGAGGCTGAGGCAGGAGAATTACTTGAACCCAGGAGGCAGAGGTTGCAGTGAGCCAAGATTGTGCCACTGCACTCCAGCCTGGATGACAGAATGAGACTCTGTCTCAAAAAAAAAGAAGTGGGTCACGCCTGTAATCCCAGCACTTTGGGAGGCCAAGGCAAGCAGATCACGAGGTCAGGAGATTGAGACCATCCTGGGCAACATGGTGAAACCCTATCTCCACTAAAAATACAAAAATTAGCTGGGTGTGGTGGCACGTGCCTGTAATCCCAGCTACTCGGGAGGCTGAGGCAGGAGAGTCACTTGAATCAGGGAGTCAGAGGTTGCAGTGAGTCCAGATCGCGCCACTGCACTCCAGCTGGCGACAGAGTGAGACTCTGTCTCAAAAAAAAAAAGAAAAAGAAAGAAACCCACATCTGGACATGGTGTAGAGAAACCACAAAGCTCCAAAAGCAAAGATCTTAAAAGTAGCCAGAGAGAAAAGAAACCTTGTTTACAAAGAAACAAAAACTATATGGTGGCAGCAACAGTGAATTTAGAAGACAGAAAAATATCTTCAAAGTGTTAAGAGAAAGTTAACCCAGAATTGTGTGCCAGCAAAACTGTCTTTCAAAAATGCATGTAAAATAGAAACATGAAGGTGAAATAGGAACATTTCAGAATAAAACCGAGAGATTTTACCACTAACAGGCCTTAACTAAAACAATTTCTGGAAGATATACTTTAGGAGGAAGGAAAATGATCGCAGAAGAAGGGAAACATTTCTAAAAATATATAACTTATCATTGCAATGCAAGAAAGAATGATGAGCAAATCAATTATTAAGTATGTAAATAATTCCAAAAATTGTCTGCAAAAACTTATAATGAAAGGTGATGATGGTGTATAATTTGTGGGGTTAAAAAAGGACAGAAACAAATACTGGACAATAATATTTATAGATGGGGGAAGAAGGCCCGAGGTTGGTGGGGAGAGTTAGACTATTCTAAGTTCTTTGTATTCTTCTTAGAGAAGGTTCAAGTATTTGTTCACTTTAGATGTTGTTAAATGTGCATGGTAAAATTTCAAGGGTAATCACTAAAAACAGAAAATGTGTAACTTCCATACCAGTAAAAAGTAAAATAGAATAAGAAAACAAAAACCCAATGCAGAAGAAAAAGGAAAAAAATAAGTTTAAAAAAGGAAAACAAATGGAAAGCCAAAAAAGGGTATGGTAAAAATCTAAATATATCAGTAATCACAATAAGTATAAATGGACTAAACAATAAACTAAAAGACACATTCTTAGACCTAAATTAAAAAAAAAATAGACATACCTAAAATAAAAGGACACAGAAAAGATGAAAGTAAAATGATGAAAAAAGATATAACAGGCAATACTGTTAGGTTGGTGAAAAAGAAACTGTGGTTTTTGCTATTACTTTTGTGCCAACCTGAAGTTAAAAGAAAGTTGGTGTAACTATATTGTCATTTGACAAAATAGACTATAAGAGATAAATAAGGACTTTATACAATGATAAAAGGTTTTATTTATCAGGAAGATGTAATAGTTCTAAAGTTGTGGGTACCTACTAAAATAGCATCCAAATATATAAAATAAAAATTTATAGAATTATGAAATGAAATTGACTAATCCACAGACATAGTGGGGTATTTCAATACAATGCTCCCAATTATTGATGAGTCAAGAAAGATTTGAATAACACAATTCACTAGCTTAATTTAGTGAATTTAGTGAATAAATTACCTTGCATTCAACAATCAAGGAACAGGCATTCTTTTCAAGGACACTTGGAATATTTTTAAAAATTGACCATATAAAAGGCCATAAAACCAGCCTCAACAAATTTCAAGAATCTGATTTACATAAACCACATTTTATAATCCACAATCATAGATTTAACTTAAGCAACCAAATTAGAAGTGCATAAAAGAAAAAGAAGTGACACATCCACTAGGTTTTGGAAATTAGGAAGTATACTTCTAAATAACTTGTAAGTCAAGTAAGGAATCATAAAAGAAATAAAAAGTTGAACAGAATCAATGATAAAAATTACACTTATCAGGACTTATGGATGCAGGAAAAATAGTAATTCAGGGAAATTTATAGCTTTAGCTGCTTTCATTAGAAAAGAAAAAAGACTGAAAATTAATAAGCTAGGCTTCACTGTAAGAAGAAAAAAACTCCCAATAGAATAAACCCAAAGAAAGCATAAGGAAAGAGATAATAAATATAAAGGAAAAATTAATGAAGCAGAAAACAAACATGCAATAGAGATGATCAACAAGCCAAGGCCAGGCCAGGCGCAGTGGCTCACGCCTGTAATCTCAGCACTTTGGGAGGCTAAGGCAGGTGGATCACTTGAGGTCAGGAGTTTGAGACCAGCCTGGCCAACATGGTGAAACTCTGTCTCTACTAAAAATACAAAAAAAATTATCTGGGCATGGTGGCACATGCTTGTAATCCCAGCTATTTGGGAAGCTGAGGCAGAAGGATTGCTTGAACCCAGGAAGCAGAGGTTGCCCTGAGCTGAGATCGTGCCACTGCACTGCAGCGTGGGCAACAGAGCGAGACTCTGTCTAAATAAATAAATATATACATAAAATAAAATAACAAGCCAGGGGAGGGCCAGATAAAATAGATAAATGTTGGGCAAGATTCCTTTAAAAAAAAAAGGGGACAGGGCCGGGTGCGGTGGCTCACGGCTGTAATCCCAGCACTTTGGGAGGCCGAGAGAGGCGGATCACTTGAGGTTGGGAGTTCGAGACCACCCTGGCCAACGTGGTGAAACCCTGTCTCTACTAAAAATACAAAAATTAGCTGGGCGTGGCGGTGGGTGCCTGTAATCCCAGCTACTCAGGAGGCTGAGACAGGAGAATCGCTTGAACCCTGGAGGTGGAGGTTGCAGTGAGCCGAGATCGCACCACTGCACTCCAGCCTGGGCGACAGAAGGAGCCTCCATCTCCCAAAAAAAAAAAACAAAAAAAAAAACACAGTAGCATTCACAAATAAGCAAGAATATGAATGAAGAACAGAAGAAAGCTGCAAATATGGAAGAGATGAAAAAGATAAACATGCCATAAATAACATTATGCTAGTAAATTTCAAAATTTATTAGAAAGGGAAACATTTCTAAAAACATATAACTTATCAAAGCTGCATCAAGAAAGCCTGGAGACTTCCAGTCCAAAACTGGTGGTGTAGAAGCAAGCTGGCTACATTCCTTCCCACAGAAAACCAAAAACAAATACACAGTGCTGAGATGATCAGCACTATGCCAGCAATATTCCAGAACCCAAATATGAGGATGAGGCAGTTCCTGGAGTCATAGAGAAGTGAAAAAGCTCTGAGCAGTCAGTAAGATAAATGGATTTCTACATCCATGACTCCCCTCCCTATAATCTGCCCAGCACCAAGTGTGTGGGAAATTTCCCGACTCAACGATTTCTGCACTGGAAAAAGTGAGATTGAGGTGGACGACTAGCTTTTCCACCATTGTGGGTTTCCTGGCAGGAGACCTTGCCTCTGCCTCAACCCATGGGAAGCATCATGATTGCCTGAAGGAAGAAATATCTCTGAGGACACTGAGAGACCAAGGAGGGAGGTGGGGATACTATCCCTAGCCCTAGAAACATGGTTCTGTAACTCGGCCAAAGAAGACACCAAATCAGAGTGGCTGTTAGCAGCACCACACTGTAGCAGCTGCATTCCACAGGTCTCCTGGGCACTAATCCCCAGCCAGCCTATCCATACTGCCAGGATATCTGCTCTGGGACCTCCCCCATTTGGAACTTCAGTGTTCCAATTGTTTATTAGAGCCGAGGCAAACCTGGGCTTAAGAAATCATCTAGTGCCAAAAAGGAGGTAGTGACCTAGTGGAAAATAAACAAACAAATAAGAAATTCAGCAGTATATTACAAAGACTCTATAAGCAAACATACCCAATAAAAAGCAAAACAGGCCACACAGAGAAGACTAGAATAAATAAATAATCCTTCAATGCAAAGATGTAGATGTATATCCACAAGAAATAACAGGAAACAGGAAACCATGGGCACCCCAAACAGACAAAGCATGGAACCAGTGATGGCCCTAAGAAGATGGCAATATGTGAGCTCTCTGACCAAGAATTCAAAATAGCAGTTTTAAGGAAACTCAGTGATCTACAAGATAATACAGAAAATCAATTCGGAATTTATTAAATTTAACAAAGATTGAAATTTTTAAAAATCAAATCTTGGAACTGAGAAATACATTTGCTAAATCAAAAAATTCATTAGAGACTCTCAACAGCAGAATGGATCAAGCAGAGGAAAGAATCCATAATCTCAAAGATAGGCTATTTGAAATTACATAGAGGAGAAAAAAGAAAAAAAGAATACAAAGGAATGAAGATTGCCGACAAGATATGGGAAATTGCCTCAAAAGATCAAATCTAATAATTATTGGTGTTCAAGAGGGAGTTGAGCAAGAACAAGGGGTACAGAACTTACTTAAATAAATAATAAGGAGACTCCATCTCAAAATAAATAAATAAATAAATAAGGAAAAGAAAAATAAGTGCTTAAATAAAATATTTTGTCAGAAAAATAGAAACTAATGCCTTTTTGTTCACGTGACTTTAGTAACCTTTTGGAAATAAAGACAGTTTTAAAGATTATTGGTAAAATAAAATGTCTTGAAAGTGTAGACATTTGGTTTAAATTAAGGTCAGATATCAGACTTGCTAAATGCTTTAAGGTCAAACTGTTTCTTTGACTTTTGAAAATGGTTTGATTTACCTACTTTGGAGCATTAGATGATAGGTAAGGCCTGGGGACATGTGGAGAGCCATGCCCACCAGCTATGCTAAGAGTCAGACCTTATCTTCATTTCTGTCTAATGTCCTAAGCTCCACCCCAGTACATAATTGAAATTGCTTACTTACCAGGTTTTTCACTAAAAATAAAAGTTGCTAAGCGTTAACATTGTAATATGTAGTTGAGACGACTGCAGAAACAGTTTTATATACAAGGTGTATGGGGAATGTGCTTTTCGTAAAAGACTGTAAGAAGTCACAGAAATACGGCTTTTGTTAAAGGGAATGTAATTTTGTCTAGTTCAGAGGGTTTTAAACATTGTCCTAACCTAAAAGAGTAATGGAACAAAACTGAAGGTTTAAGCAAAGTGAAAAGGGTTTGTAAAACCCTTTTAAAATTCTGTGAGTATAAACAAGTTGGCTAAGATTTAAAAGGAATTATTTAGCTTTTTTCCTTAGGTTAAAACACTGAAATCATACTGATATGGGGCCAGAATCTCGGCCTACTTTTCCGAATAACAGAGTTTTCTTAGAAAATTAATCTGCTGTTTGATGGAAAATTGTAAAGGGTTCTAAAAAGTTCATGAAAATCTTACCTTATGGTCAAACTAATTAAGACTGGATAGATATAAAATTTTATTTAAAAAACTAGCTTTGGCTGGGTGCGGTGGCTCATGCCTGTAATTCTAGTGCTTTGGGAGGCCAAGGTGGGTGGATCACCTGAGGTCAAGAGTTCGACACCAGCCTGGCCAACATGGTGAAACCGCATCTCTACTAAAAGTACAAAAATTAGCCAGGCATGGTGGCATGCACCTGTAATCCCAGCTACTCAGGAGGCTGAGGCAGGAGTATCGCTTGAACCCAGGAGGCAGAGGTTGCAGTGAGCCGATATTGCGCCACTGCACTCCATCCTGGGTGATAGAGCAAGACTCTATCTCAAAAAAAAAAAAAAAACACAAAAAAAAGGATGGGCATGGTGGCTCACGCCTGTAATCCCAGCACTTTGGGAGGCTGAGGTGGGCGGATCACAAGGTCAGGAGATCGAGACCATCCTAGCTAACACAGTGAAACCCCGTCTCTACTAAAAATACAAAAAAAATTAGCCGGGCCTGGTGGCGGGCGCCTATAGTCCCAGCTACTCGGGAGGCTGAGGCAGGAGAATGGAGTGAACCCGAGAGGCGGACTTTGCAGTGAGTTGAGATAGGGCCACTGTACTCCAGCCTGGGTGACAGAGGGAGACTCCATCTCAAAAAGATCAAAAAAACAAAAAACAAACAAAAAAAAAACTAGCTTTAACATTAAAGATGCACTAATGCAAAATAATAATAATAATAATAACAGAAAACTTTCCAAAGCTCAAGAAAGTTATAAATATCCAAGGACAGAAAGATCAGAGAACACCAAGCAGTTTTCGCCCAGGTAAGACTACCCTAAGGCATATAATAATCAAACTCTCAAAAGTCAAGGACACAGAAAGGATCCTAAAAGCAGCAATATAAAATAAGCAAATAACACATAAGGGGATTCCAGTTCATCTGGCAACAAGACTTCAACAGAAACCATAAAGCCAGGAAGGAATGGGACAGCATTTTCAAAGTGCTGAAAGAAAAAAAAAACTGCCATCCAAGAATACTATATCCAACAAAGCCATCCTTTAAATATGAAGGAAAGATAGTCTTTCTCTGACAAACAAAAGCTAAGAGAATTCACCATCCCCAGACCCGTCTTAAAAGAAATGCTAAATGGAGTTCTTCAATCTGAAAGAAAAAAACACTAATGTGCCAAAAGAAAACATTTGAAAGCATAAAACCTACTGGTAAAATTAAGAACAAAGACAACCCCAGAATACTCCAATACTCTAATTAAGATGTAAAATTCACTCATAACTCTAATATAAAGCCTAGAAGAGAAATCTATCAAAAACAGTAGCAGCTACAGCAACCTGTTAAGAGACAGGCAATAGCGGCCAGGCACAGTGGTTCATGCCAGCACTTTCGGAGGCCAAGGTGGGTGGATCACTTGAGGTCAGGAGTTCGAGTCCAGCCTGACCAACATGGTGAAACGCTGTCTCTACTAAAAATATAAAAATCAGCCAGGTGTGATGGTGCACACCTATAATCCCACCTACTTGGGACGCTGAGGCAGGAGAATCACTGGGTTGCAAGGAGCTATTGTACCATTGCACTCCAGCTTGGATGACAGAGCAAGACTCTGACAAAAAAAAAAAAAAAAAAGAGAGAGAGAGGCAATATAAAAATATGTGAATTGAGACAACAAATAGTCAAAATGTGGGGAGATGGAGTTAAAGTGCAGAGGTTTTTTTTTTTGGTTTTGCTTTATTTCTGCTCTTTTTTGTGATCTAAGGTAAGTTATCATCTCTTTAAAATAAGTTATCGGTTTTTTTGTAAGCACCATGGTAACCATAATGTTAAAACCTATAACAGATACAATAAAAATAAAAGGTGGCCAGGCGTGGTGGCTCATGACTGTCATCCCAGCATTTTGGGAGGCTGAGGCTGGCAGGTTGCTTGAACCCAGGAGCTTGAGATGAGCCTGGGCAACATGTTGAAACCTCATCTCTACAAAAAAAGTATAAAAATTAGTTGGGTGTGGTAGCACATTCCTGTAGTCCCAGCTACTTGGGTGGCTGAGGTGGGAGGATCACCTGAGTCGAGGGAAGTTGAGGTTGCAGTGAGCCATGATTGCACCACTGTACTCCAGCCTGGGTGACACAGTGAAACCCTGTCTCAAACAAAACAAAACAAAACAAAAAACAACAACCAGAAAATAAGCAACAAAATGGCAGTAGTAAGTCCTTACTTATCAATAATACACTGAATGTACATGGGTTATTCAATGTTATTATTAAGTTTAATTGGAGAATTCAGTCAATTCTCTAATTAAGAGACAGACAGTGGCTGAATGGATAAACAAGGCCCAACTATATGCTGGGTGATATTAACTAATATGTTATTATCACATGAACACAATGAAGAATAAGAAACCCAACTTACCAATAGAGACACACATAGACTGAAAGTGAAGAGATGGAAAAAGACATTCCATGCAAGTGGAAACCAAAAAAGAACAAGATTAGCTATACTTATATTACATAAAATAGACTACAAGTCAAAGACTGTAAAAAGTGACAAAGAAGATCAATATATAATGATAAAGGGGTCAGTTTAGCAAGAGGATATAACAATTATAAGTATCTATGCACTCAACACTGGAGCACCCAAGTATATTAAGTAAATATGAATCAACCTAAAGGCAGAGATAGACTGTAATACAATACAGTAGGGGACTTCAACACCCCACTTTTCAGTAATAAACAGATCATCCAGACAGAAAATCAACAAAGAAGCATCAGAATTGAACTACACACTAGACCAAATAGGCCTAACTGACGTTTACAGAACATTTCACCCAACTGCTGCAGAATACACATTGTTTTCATAAACACATGTAACATTCTCCAAAATAGACTATATCTTAGGCTACAAAACAAGTCTGAACAAATTCAATAAAGTAGAAATTATATCAAATATATTTTCTGGCCACAATGGAATAAAACTGGAAATCAATAACAACAGGGATCTCAGAAACTACATAAACACATAGAAATTAAACAACTTACTCCTGAACAACCAATGGGTCAATGAAGAAATTAAAAAGAAAATTTAAAAAATTTTTCAAACGAATCAAAATGGAAATAAACATAACAAAATATATGAGATATGGTAAAAGCAGTACTCAGAGGGAATTTTATAGCAATAAATGCCTACATCAAAAAAGCAGAAAGACTTCAAATAAACAACCTAACAATGCACCTCAAGGAACTAGAAAAACAAGAACAAACCAAACATGTTAGAAGGAAATTATTAGAATGAAAGAAATAATAAATATCAGAGCAGAAATAAATGAAATTAGGCTAAAATATAGAGAAAATCAATGAAATGAAAATTGGTTTTTTGAAAAGATAAACAAAATTAACAGACCATTAACTAGGCTAAGATAAAAGGAGAGAAGTCCCAAATAAATAAAATTAAAAATGGGCTGGGCACGGTGGCTCATGACTGTAATCCTAGCACTTTGGGAGGCCAAGGTGGGCAGATCACTTTAGGTCAGGAGTTCGAGACCAGCCTGGCCAACATATTAAAACCCTGTCTCTATTAAAAATACAAAAATTAGCCTGGCGTGGTGGTGCATGCCTGTAATCCCAGATACTCGGGAGGCTGAGGCAGGAGAATTGCTTGAAACTGGGAGGTGTTCTAAGCTCTGGAACAAAACAAGGATGCCCACCTCCACTTTTATTCAACATAGTATTGGAAGTCCTGTCCATAGCAATTAGGCAAGAGAAAGAAATAAAGAGAATCCAATTTGGAAAGGAAGAATTCAAATTAGACTTGTACACAGAAGACATGATCTTACATTTAGAAAAACCTAAAGACTCCACCAAAAAACTGTTAGAACTGATAAACAAATGCAGTAAAGTCGCTGGATACAAAATCAACAGACAAAAATCTGTAGCATTTCTATCCAATAATGAACTAGCAGAGGAAGAAATCAAGAAGGCAATCCCATTTATAATAGCTGCAAAAACAAACAAACAACAACAACAACAACAAAACCTAGGAATAAATTTAACCGAAGAGGAGAAAGATCTCTTCAAGGAAAACTACAAAGCACTGAAGAAATAAATTGAAGAGGACACAGCAAAATGGAAAGCTATTCCATGTTCATGGACTGGAATAGTTAGTTGTTAAAGTGATAATTCCACCCAAAGCAGATTACAGATTTAATGCAATTGCTATCAAAATACCAATGATGTTCTCAACAGAAATAGAAAAAACAATCCTAAAATTCATATGGAACCACAAAAGACCCAGAATAGTGAAAGCAATCCTAAGCAAAACGAACAAACCTGGGTCAGGCATGGTGGCTCATGCCTGTAATCTGAGCACTTTGGGAGGCTGAGCTGGGTGGGTCACCTGAGGTCAGGAGTTCAAAACCAGCCCAGCCAACATGGCAAAACCCCATCTCTACTAAAAATACAAAATTAGCTGGGTGTGGTGGCACATGCCTGTAATCCTAGCTACTTGGGAGGCTGAGGCAGGAGAATCACTTGAACCTGGGAGGTGGAGGTTGCAGTGAGCTGAGATCGTGCCATTGCACTCCAGCCTGGGCACTAACAGTGAAACTCAGTCTCAAAAAAAAAAAAAAAAGAACAAATCTGGAAGCATCACACTAACTGACTTCAAAATATACTACAAAGCTATAGGAACCAAACTAGCATGTTACTGACATAAAAACAGACACATAGACTAATGGAACAGAACAGAGAATCCAGATATAAATAAATGCATTTGCAGCCAATTCATTTTCAACAAATGTGCCAAGAATATACAATGGGAAAGGATAGTCTTTTCAATAAATAGTGCTGTGAAAATGAAATAACCATATGCAGAAGAATGAACTATACTGCTATCTCTCACCATACACAAAAATCAAATCAAAATAAATCAAAGACTTACATCTAAGACCTAGGCCGGGTGCGGTGGCTCATGCCTGTAATCCCAGCATCTTCGGAGGCCGAGGTGGGCGGATAACGAGGTCAGGAGATTGAGACCATCCTGGCTAACACGGTGAAACCCCGTCTCCACTAAAAAGAAAAATACAAAAAATTAGCCGGGCGTGGTGGCGGGTGCCTGTAGTCCCAGCTACTTGGGAGGCTGAGGCAGGAGAATGGCATTAACCTGGGAGGCGGAGCTTGCAGTGAGCCGAGATTGTGCCACTGCACTCCAGCCTGGGCTACAGAGTGAGACTCCGTCTCAAAAAAAAAAAAAAAAAAATCTAAGACCTAAAACTACGAAACCACTAGAAGAAAACCTTGGGGAAATGCTCCAGGACATTGGTCAGGGCAAAGATTTTTTTGTGTAAGACCTCAAAGGCACAGACAACAAAACCAAAAATAGACAAACGGGATTACATCAAGCTAAAAATCTTCTGCACAGTAAAGGAAACAATCAACTAAGAGGAGATAGCCCAAAGAATAGGAGAGAATATTTGCAAACTATCCATATGACAAGGGGGATTAATAACCAGAATATACAAGGAACTCAAAGAACTCAATAGCAAAACCAACAACAACAAAAAACAACAACAACAAAAAAATTCAATTAAAAAATGGGCAAAAGATCTGAATTGACATTTGTGATAAAAACATACAAATGGCTGACAGGTATTTTTTAAAATGCTCAACATCACTAATCATCAGGAAAATGCAAATCAAAGCTACAATGAAACATTATCTAGCCTAGTTCGAATGACTTTTATCAAAAAGAAGGAATAACAGAGGCTGGTAAGGATGTGGAGAAAGGGGAACTCTCAAACACTGTTGGTGGGAATGTAAATTACCACAGCTGCTATGCAAAGCAATACGGAGGTTCCTCAAAAAGCTAAAAATAGAACTACCATATGATCCAGCAATTCCACCACTGGGTATATATCCAAAAGAGAGGAAATTGATATATTGAAGAGAAATTCGCATTCCCATGTTTGCTGCAGCACTATTCACAATAACCAAAATATGGAATCAACCTAAGTGCCCATCAACTGAATGTATGGATAAAGAAAATGTGGTATAGATATACAATGGAATACTGTTCAGCCATGAAAAAGAATGAAACTCTGTCATTGTAGCAACATAGATAGAACTGGAGATCATTATGTTGAATGAAGCCAAGCACAGAAAGACAAATATATCTCATGTTCTCACTCACATATGGGAGCTAAAAAGTGAATCTCATGAAGATAGAGAGTAGATTGACAGTAAGGGTGGGTGAGGGGATGGAGAGGTTGATTAATGGGTACAAATACACAGTTAGGTAGAAGAAAGAAGACCTGATATTCGATAAGGTGACTGTAGTTAACATTAATCTATTGGACATTTCTTATTATTTTTTTGTGTATGTGACGGAGCCTCACTCTGTTGCCCAGGCTGGAGTGCAATGGCGTGATCTCGGCTCCTGCAACCTCTGCCTCCCGGGTTCAAGCGATTCTCCTGTCTCAGCCTCCCGAGTAGCTGGGATTACAGGTGCGAACCATCAGGCCTGGCTAATTTTTGTATTTTTAGTAGAGACGGGGTTTCACCATGTTGGTCAGGCCGATCTCGAACTCCTGACCTCGTGATCCACCCACCTTGGCCTCCCAAAGTGCTGGGATTAGAGGCGTGAGTCACTGCGCCGGCCACTATTGGACATTTCAAAATAACTAGAAGAGAATAATTCAAACGTTCCTAGCATAAAGAAAAGATAAATATTTAAGGTGACAGCTATCCCAATGGCCCTGATTTGATTATACAAATGTACCAAATTATCACATGTACCCTGAAAATATGTACATCTATTATATATCAATGAAAAATAAAAAAATTAAATTCCTACTGAAGAAAAGAAAGCCCAAGTAGTCCAATAGCTATGGGATAAATTGAATCAGTGGCTTAAAAAAAAAAATCAAGCCAGCTGGTCACGGTGGCTCATGCCTATAATCCCAGCACTTTGGGAGGCTAAGGCAGGCGGATCAAGAGGTCAAGAGATCAAGACCATTCTGGTTAACCAACATGGTGAAACCCCGTCTCTACTAAAAATACAAAAATTAGCTGGGCTTAGTGGCGCATGCCTGTAGTCCCAGCTACTCGGAAGGCTGAGGCAAGAGAATCGCTTGAATCCGGGAGGCGAAGGTTGCAGAGAGCCAAGATCGCACCACTGCACTCCAGCCTGGGCGACAGAGCGAGACTCTGTCTCAAAAAAAAAAAAAAAAAAAAAATCAAGCCTAGATAGTTTTCACGCAATTCGTAGCAGATTTTCATGGAGCAAATGATACCAAACATCATAGCTTATCCTAGCCTAACTTAAACATGCCCAAAACACTCACGTTAGCCTACAGATAGGAAAAGATTAAAATTCAGGCTTTGAAGTACAGTTTCTATTGAATGTGAACTACTTTCAAATCACCATAAAGTAAAAAAATCATAAGTTGGGGACTGTATTTGTATTCTAATTTTATACTAACTCTTACAAAGAATATCAAAAGAAGCATACTTCTTAACTCTGTATGAGGTTAGTATAAACTTAATATAAAACTAATCAAGGACTGTATGAGAAAGGAAATAACAGACCAGAATCTCTGATGAACATGGATGTAAATACTATAAACAAAATATTAAGAAACTGAATCCAACATTATGTAATAAAGACAATTTATGATGGCTAAGCTGGATTTATCCAAAGAGTATAAGAATGTAAATCATTCTTATACTCTAACATCAAATCCATAACTTTAGTCCATCACATTAAATGGATTAAAGGAGAAAAGTTATATAATTATCTCAATAGATATAGTAAAGGCATTCAGTAAAAGTTAACATCCATTTATGACAAAAGCTCTTAGTAAAGCCGAAATAAAATGAAACTTCCTATTGTTAAAGGTTATTTTTAAAAAGCCTATAATCTTCATCATTCTTAATGGTAGATCACTGTAAACATTGTTCCATTAAGAGCAGACTAAGACAAGGTCAGGCGCAGTGGCTCACACCTGTAATCCCAGCACTTTGGGAGGCAGAGGCGGGTGGATGGATTGAGCTCAGGAGGTCGAGACCAGGCTGAGCAACATGGCAAAACCCCTTCTCTACAGAAAATACAAAAATTAGCTGGATATGGTGGTGCACACCTGTAATCCCAGCTACTTGGGAGGCTGAGGCAGAAGAATCGCTTGAGCCTGGGGGTTGGAGGTTGCAGTGAACCAAGATCGCCCCACTGCACTCCAGCCTGGGTGACACAGTGAGACACTGTCTCAAAACAAACAAACAAACAAACAGAATAAGGCAAAGATGTCTGCTATCACCCCTTCTAGTCAATAAGGTGAAGGGTAAGACAGAAAACAGTACTGTCATTATTTGTAGGTAATATAATTGCATATATAGAAAACCTCAAAAGAATGTTCAGACAAATTATTAGAATTAATAAGAGAGTCCAGCAAGGTTGTTAACTGCAAAAATGCAAAACTGGAAGAAGGTATTTGTGACATGTAGAACTGACAAAAAGATCTAGCATGTGCGTGTGTATGTGTGTGTGTGTATGTGTGAATCTTTTTTTTTTTTTTTTTTTTTTTTGAGACGGAGTCTTGGTCTGTCGCCCAGGCTAGAGTGCAGTGGCGTGATCTCGGCTCACCGCAACCTCCGCCTTCCGGGTTCAAGCGATTCTCCTGCCTCAGCCTCCCGAGTAGCTGGGATGTACAGGCAGGCACCACCACGCCCAGCTAATTTTGTATTTTTAGTAGAGATAGTGTTTCTCCATGTTGGTCTGGCTCGTTTTGAACTCCCAACCTCAGGTTATCCACCCATCTTGCCCTCCCAAAGTGCTGGGATTACAGGCGTGAGCCACCACACCCGGTCTTGTGTGAATCTTAAAATAAGAAAAAGACAAACCAGTAGGAAGATGAGCAAAATACATGAATAGGCACTTTACCAAAAAAGGAAGCATAAATTACCAACAAACATGAAAAGATGCTCAACCTCATTGACAATCAGGTAAATATAAATAAATGCCACAATAAGCATTTTATTCCAACTCTATTGGCAAAAATTAACAAATTTAGTAGCAAGTACTGGTGAAGATATGTATCAGTGGAACCTCTTTTATACCACCAATATTGTGTAAATTGGTACAATCTTGAAAAACACTTTGGCAATATTTTGTAAAATTGAACTGGATATATTGCAGGGAAGTTCTTGCACAAGCATAACAATATTCAGTGCAGTACTATTTACCAAAAATTGGGGTCTACCAAATGTCTACTGATAGGAAAATGGAAAAATAGTGATATATTCACAGAGTGCATGTACTATAGCTACACACATCAACCTGGTCAAATATAATGTATGAAAAAGGCAAACTGTGGAAAACTAAATAAAGTCAAACTTGCATAAAGCTCAAACAAGTAAACTAAACAATATCTTGTTTAGTTATATCTATGCCTATGATAAAACTACATATTTTTAAAAATCAAGAATATAGTCAATCTGAAACTCAAGCTAGTATTACCTCTGGTGAGGAGGTAGAGCAAGACAGGAAAGGGGAATACAGGTGGATGCATGAATAGGCAGTGTTCTAGTTCTTAAGTTGAATGGCGAGTTTCTAAGTCTTCATTTCATGTTGCATTTGTTCTTTTGATGTATCAAATACTATAGTTTTTAAGAGAGCTGTAGTTTCCCTCTTTCGCCACTACATGGCAGGCTAGCACCTTAGTGAAATAAATCCTGAATGGGAAAGGCTGGTGTAAATGGACATGTACCTAATAGCTTTCTAGCAGCATTCTAATTTCCCCATGCGGATACATATAAAATAGGGCTTGATGTGCTCAGAGTGTTTAAATGCACAACCACAGCATCTCAGGCGTACATCACTGTGGCATGGATCTTGCAGCCACGTGACCGGGTTTTTTGTTTTTATTTTTCCTTTCTTTCTGCCTGGTTATGTAACTATTTTTGCAAACTTAGAAGTGTTTCTGTTTGAATGCTGAGTTTTATTTCTCAGAATGTTCCAATATTTCCCAAGGCATTCATTCCTAAATTAATAACATGGAGCGGGAGGACAGTCCCTCATGGCAATTGACACATCTAACTTGCACTTTTATGTCTAACATTTTGGAGCTGTGTTTTTCACCACTAGCATTAGAACCACTGTTTAATAATGTCTGATGACACTATTGCAATATATAAAGTAATACTTAAAATTTAGTAACAATCAATGTTAAAATAGCAATGCAATAGTCATCAAAATCACTCACAGAAAGTCTGGTGCCAAATAGCTTGTTCACATGATGTGATTGATGTGACAGTGACACAAATGTCGGCAGATACTTCTTTTTTAGCCGCCGATATTATGCCACCAGTGGCGACACACAAACAGCATAAAGTCTAACTTCTATAAATCTCAAGTAAACTAAACAATATCTTCTTTGGTAATACCTATGCCTATGATAAAACTACATTTTTTTTTTTTTTTGAGACAGAGTCTCGCTCTGTCGCCCAGGCTGGAGTGCAGTGGCGCAAACTCCGCTTGCAGTGGCTCACTGCAAGCTCCGCCTCCCGGGTTCACGCCAATCTCCTGCCTCAGCCTCCCGAGCAGCTGGGACTACAGGCGCCCACCACCGCGCCCGGCTAATTTTTTTTGTATTTTTAGTAGAGATGGGGTTTCACCGTGTTAGCCAGGATGGTCTCGATCTCCTGACCTCGTGATCCGCCCGTCTCGGCCTCCCAAAGTGCTGGGATTACAGGCGTGAGCCACCGCGCCCGGCCAAAACTACATATTTTTTTAAAAATCAAGAAAATGGTCGACATGAAATTCAAGCCAGTATTATCTCTGGTGAGGAGAGAGAGCACGATACGAAAGGGGCATAGGGAGCATACAGGTGGATGCATGAGCAGGTAATGTTCTCGTTCTTAAGTTGGATGGTGGTGAGCCACCCACTTGCAGCTTCACTCTCTAGACTTGCCCTGTCTGCTACCATAGCACTAGACACACGTGGCAAGGGAGCACTTGAAATAAGATGTGCTGTAAGTATGAAATACACACTGGAGTTTGAAGACTTAGTATGAAAAAAGGTCAAATGTCTCTTAATAAATTTTAATGTTGATTACATGTTGAAATGATAATATTTTGAGCAGTGTGAAAAAGAGGTGAGAACGACCCCAGGACAGATCAAAGCCACGCTCCCAGCGCCTATGTCCCGCCGCCGTTGCCGCCACCACCGTGCCCAGGAGAAAGGCTGAAGGTGATGCTAAAGGAGATAAAACCAAGATGAAGGACAAACCACAGAGAAGATCCACGAGGTTTTCTGCTAAACCTGCTCCTCCAAAGCCAGAGCCCAAACCTAAAAAGGCCCCTGCAAAGAAGGGAGAGAAGGTACCAAAAGGGAAAAGGGAAAAGCTGAAGCTGGCAAGGAGGGGAATAACCCTGCAGAAAATGGAGATGCCCAAACAGACCAGACACAGAAAGCTGAAGGTGCTGCAGATGCCAAGTGAAGTGTGTGCATTTTTGATAACTGTGTACTTCTGGTGACTGTACAGTTTGAAATGCTATTTTTTATCAAGTTTTACAAAAATGCAGAATTTTGTTTTACCTTTTTTTTAAGCTATGTTGTTAGCACACAGAACACTTCACTGTGTTTTTTGGGAAAGGGGCATATGTCACTAACAGAATGTCTCCGAAGCTAGGTTGATGTGGGGAAAACCCTTTTCCCTTCTAGTTTTGGGAGACTTGCCCTTGGCTCCCAGGAAGGGGGATTCCCTGACTTTGACACACAAGGTCCCTTGGCACAAAAGCCTCGTGGGACGGAAAAACAAATTCCTTTCTATGTCCTCTTCTCCCTTTCCACCTTTCAGCATAGATTTAACTCCCTTAAACCCAGACACCTGTTGGACCTGACCCCCCCCAATAATTGGTTACTGGTGTGTCAGGCAATCTAGCCTTTCCAGTGATGCCACTGAGATGGAACCCCTCAAAAAAGCAGTGGTTCTGTTTCTAGATTGTGGATCTTCAGATAAATTCTGCCATTTTCATTTCACTTCCTGAAAGTCAGGGTCAGCTCATGAAACATTGTTAAACAACATGCTAAACATGAACTATCAACCTCACTCTAAACTTTCCCTGTTCAGAGCATCAGATGAGGACTTCATTTGGGTTTTATAGTGGCTTTCTGATTTTTGGTAGTCCTTTGAAGAAGGGAGTTTGAAAGTCACTGCATATGTTAACTATTGTTTGCCCATGCCCTGCCTGAAATGCCATGATTGTTTATGGAGAGTATCTTTAATAAAGCTGGATACAGTTTGGCTTGGGAAAATAAAAGAAACAATATTTTGTATATGTTTGGTTAAATGAAATACTTCAATTCATTTCACCTGTTTCTTTTTACTTTTTCTTTCTTGTTTGGAGTCAGGGTCTCCCTCTGTCACCAAGGCTGGAATGCAGTGTTGCAGTCACCACTCACTGAAACCTCAACTTATCAGTTTTAAAAGATCCTCCTGCCTCAGCCTCCCCAGTAGCTGGGACTACAGGTGCGGGCCACCATGCCTGGCTAATTAATTTTTGTACAGACAGGGTCCCACTATGTTGCCCTGTCTGTTGTCCAACTCCTCGCCCGAAGTGATCCTCCTTCTTCGACCTCCCAAAGTGCTAGAATTACAGGCATGAGTCACCGCCCCCAGCCTTTCCCCTCTTTTTATTTTATTATTATTATTTTTTTGAGACGGAGTCTTGCTCTGTCTCCCAAGCTGGAGTGCAGTGGCGCCATCTCGGCTCACTGCAACCTCTGCCTCCCAGGTTCAAGCGATTCTCTTGCCTCAGCCTCCCAAATAGCTAAGATTACAGCCACGCGCCACCATGCCCAGCTAATTTTTTTGTATTTTTAGTAGAGGCGGGGTTTCACTATGTTGGCCAGGCTGGTTGAGAACTCCTGACCTCAAGTGATCCGCCTGCCTCTGCCTCCCAAAGTGCTAGGATTACAGGTGTGAGCCACCATGCCCGGCCATTTTTCCCTTTTTTAAATGTGGTTACTAGAAAATGTAAAATTACATATGTGGCTCGCACTGTATTTCTGTTGGGCAGCACTGCTCTAGCCGTTATTACCAATACAATACTTGTGTTATAGCACTCCTGTATCACAGTATTTGTTATTACAATACTCTCTTTGGGATCCCCACACACGTGGCTGGCTTCAGGGGTGTGGGCAGTGCAGTCGCACAGGGCCCCACGTTCAGAAGGGCTTCGCCCTTGGTTTAATGCGCTGCTCTCATTGCCTTGAAACTTACTTTTTACCTTTGAATTTGAGTTTTCTCAGCGAAGTCTCACAGGACAATGGCGCCTGCGCCAGTGGCTTGAAGGCTCGGCTCAAGCCCGCCTCGCCTCCCTCCCTCCTAGGGATGGCTCCCAGTGTCTCTGGCCGGGGCCTGCCTCTCGCTCGCCGCTCCTTCCCGGCAACGGCTGCCATTTTCCGCCCAGGCAAGGTCCTGGGCGCGGCTCTGGGGAGGGTCAGGGTGCGCGTCCCACCGCGTCGTGGGGCAGGGTGTAGTGATGGTCACGCATCCCTTCCCTGGGCTTCTCCGGCACACCTGTATCTAGGGACTGAGCGCGACTGACGCAGAGGTCGCAATACCGCTGGGGGCTGCCTGGTGCCATGCGGTTGGGCCGCGGGCCCAAGGGAAAGAGAGACACCTGGCCTGACTTCTGCAGGCCTCTCCCCGCCAGCGAGCGCACGGCAGCGGTGCCCAGGGGCTGGAGGCAGCGGAACGCACGCGCCCGGCGTCGCTGAGGGCTTGCGCCAGCCCCAGAGTACCCGCGTGCCCGAGGGAGCGCGCCCGCCTCTGGCTCCGAGCTTGGGGGAGGGGCGGCGTGAGGGAGGGAGGATCTTGTTTTCCTGCTTGCAAGCTTCCTGAGTCTTTGTTGCGCTGTTTGTCTCTTCTGGCTAGTCAGAGCACCCTCTGGGGACAAGCCGTAACATACGAATTGTGTAACTCGGTGATTCCACATTGCACAATATGAACATAAATGGTAAAATTCGTGCTAATAATTTAAAATTGTATTTTTTCTTTATTTAGAAATTTTCATAAGTAGCATATAAAAAGCACAAAAAGTCCAGAGAGAGAAGGCTAGAAGCAAGGTAAAAGCTTTTACTTGCCTTTTGAATAAGGCATCCTCATTTTGCACCGGGTCCACAAATTATGTAGCCAGTCCTGCTTCCATAATCTAAATTTCAAGCATTCCAGGCTCTGACCACTACTTTTGGGTTGTCCAGCACCACAAGTCCAGCAATCTTTTGATTCCAATAGGACCTACAATTAATAGATCTTACCACCTTTTCTCTGGCCTTCATCTCATATATATATATGATATATATGAGATATATATATGATATATATGAGATATATATATGAGGAGATATATATGAGATATATATGAGATATATATGAGATATGATATATATATGAGATATATATGATAGATATGAGATATATATGATAGATATATGAGATATATGATAGATATATGAGATATATATGATATATGAGATATATATATGATAGATATATGAGATATATATATGATAGATATATGAGATATATGATATATATATGAGATCTATATATGATATATATGAGATGTATATATGATATATATGAGATGTGTATATATGATATATATATGAGATGTATATATGATATATATGAGATGTGTATATATGATATATATATGAGATGTGTATATATGATATATATGAGACGTATATATGATATATATGAGATGTATATATATGATATATATGAGATGTATATATATGATATATATGAGATGTATATATGATATATATGAGATGTATATATATTATATATATATGAGATGTATATATGATATATATGAGATGTGTATATATGATATATATATGAGATGTATATATATGATATATATGAGATGTATATATATGATATATATATGAGATGTATATATGATATATGAGATATATATGATACATATGATATATATGATATATATGATATATAGATATATGATGATGATATATATGATATATATGAGATCTATATATGATATATATGGGATCTATATATGATATATGATATATATGAGATATATATGATATGTATATACATATATCTCACATATATTATATACATATATGTATATCATATATATGAGATCTATCTCATATATGATATATATGATATATATGAGATCTATCTCATATATGATATATGAGATATATATGATATATATGAGATATAGATATATATGATATATATATATATCATATATATCCTGGCTTCCCTTCTTTCCCGGCTTAAATTTCATTGTCAACTATTTTGGTCATTCCTGTGGATACACCCTGAACTCCCTTGCCCCGTCTCCATTCACAATACCCATCTGGCCAACTCTAGTAAAGCCCAACTCTCTGCTCTGTGCGGTCTCTCAGGCTCCACTAGGCAGCCCTGAGTGTGCCTCACTTTGCTGTCTCCAAAGAGCAACAACAGGGGAAGCCCCAGTGTGCAAGAGCTCTTCATACCTCTGCTTTAAAGTCATACTACCCCGGCACAAGTCACAGGGCCAAGCTCAGCCTCAAAGGGTGGAGAAATAGATTTCATCTCTTGATGAAAGAAGCTACAAAGTTACATTGTAAAGGGGCTCATGTACATAGATGGAGAAAATTTGTGGCAATTTTTTCAATCTACCACAAACTTTAAAAGGAAAGAAAGTATATCTCAATCTTTCTCCTCCCGGGAGATATGTTAGTTTCTGCAAATCTGACTACTGTCTCCAAGAATCTCAGTTACTGAGATAATAGGAAGGAGAGGGGCAACTTTGTCAAATCATTAGATTCTCCAGAATTATGATAGCCTGGTCACTATACATGAGGTGACTACTGCTTAAAAAACTTTTTTTTTTTTAAGACAGTGTCTCAGTCTGTTGCCCAATTGGAGGGTAATGGCTCAGTGCAGCCTTGCCCTCCAGGGCTCAGGTCACCCTCTCACCTCAGCCTCTTGGGTAGCTGGGACTACAGGTGCTTACCACCATCCCCAGCTAGTTTTTTTTGTTGTTGTTGTATCTTTTTTAGAGGCAGGGTTTTGCCATTTTGCCTAGGCTGATCTCAAACTCCTGAGTTCAAGCTATCCACCTGCCTCGGTCTCCCAAAGTGTTGGGATTACAGGCAAGAGCCACCATGCTCGGCCCCCACAAAAAAAAACTTTTAAACATCTATTGAGTACAGTGTTTTGCATGGATTATAAAATACTTGCTCCCCATGACATTATATAATCATTGAGGAAATAGAGTCAAGGTAGTTAAAATATAAGCATGAAGTCACACAAGCAGGAAGTGGTAGAATCCAGATTTGAATCCAGGTCAAGCCAGAGCATGCAACCACTATGCTGTGTTATCTCCTAATGCGTTTTTTTTTTCCTAAAATAAGGCTTGTTTCATGTGGCATAAGCGTGGCTGATAAATACAGATGGTGCCTGACTTATGATGGCTTGACTTGGGATTTTTCCACTTTATAATGGTACAAAAGCAATACACATTCAGTAGAAACTGTACTTCAGCTTTTAAATTCTGCTCTTTTCCCAGGCTATGATACTGGCATATGTGCCCATGCTGGGCAGCATTAGCGAGCCGCAGCTCCCAGGCAGCCACTTGATCATGAGGGTAGACACCTGATACTCTACAGTGGACTGTGTTGCCAGATGATTGTGCTCAACTGTAGGCTAATATCAGTATTCTGAGCATGGTTAAGGTAGGCTAGGCTAAGCTGTGATGTTCAGTAGGTTAGGTGTATTAAATGCATTTTCAACTTGCACATTTTCAACTTACAATGGGTTTATTGGAACATAGTCCCATCCTAAGTTGAGGAGCATTTGTACTTTTTTTTTTTTTTTTTTGAGACAGAGTCTTGCTCTGTCACCCAGGCTGGAGTGCAGTGGCACGATCTCGGCTTACTGCAAGCTCTGCCTTCTGGGTTCACGCCCTTCTCCTGGCTCAGCCTCCCGAGTAACTGGGACCACAGGCACCCGCCACCACGCCCAGCTAATTTTTTTGTATTTTTAGTAGAGATGGGGTTTCACCGTGTTTGGCAGGATGGTCTCGAGCTCCTGACCTTGTGATCTGCCTGCCTCGGCCTCCCAAAGTGCTGGGATTACAGGCGTGAGCCACTGCACCCGGCCCCTGTACTGTTTTTCAAGAAATTTTCATTCTATAACTTTATTACATGTCAACTACATAATCATCAGTTAACTTCTTTAGTGAAATATGATTAAATTAATTGTATATATTATATCCCATGGAGTCAGATACAGAGACATAGCATACAATAGCATAGTAATGTTAGACCCCATACTAGATTGTAAACTAGATTGTAAAGGTCATAAACTTGTATATCCCCATTTAATTTACTTTTTAATCTTTTTTTTTTTTTTTTTTTTTTTTTTTTTTTTGAGGCAGGATCTCACTCTGTCGCCCAGGCTGGAGTACAGTGGTGTGATCATGGCTCACTGCAACCTCGACCTCCTGGGTTCAAGCGATCCTCCCACCTCAGCTTCCCAAGTAGCTGGGACTACAGGCACATGCCACCATACCTAGCTAATTTTTTGTATTTTTTATAGAGATGGGGTTTTGCCATGTTGCCCAGGCCACTCTCCAACTTCAGGGCTCAAGCAACCCTCCTGCCTCGGCCTCCTAAAGTGTTGGGATTACAGGCGGGAGCCACCACACCTGGCCTTAATCTTCAAAGAAAGATTGTTCTAAAATTCAAAGAGAGATATTCTAAAATTTATTCTTGAATAGGTAGGACATGCACACAGTACAGTAGTCCCCCATTCTCTGTGATTTCACTTTCTGTGGTTTTGGTTACCTGCAGTCAACTGCCATCTGAAAATATTAAATGGAAAGTTCCAGAAATAAAAATTCATAAGTTTAAATTTTGTGCCATTCTGAGTAGGATGAGGAAATATCTTACTGCCCTGCTCTCTGTCTGGGGTGTGAATCATCCCTTTGTCCAGAGTATCCATGCCGTATATGCTACCAGGCTGTTTGAGGTTTGGTAGCCATCTTTGTTTTGAGATGAACAAACATACTATACATAGGGTTCAGTACTATCCGAGGCTTCAAGCATCCACCGGGGATTTTGAAACATATCCCCCAAGGATAAGGGGGGCTTCTATATACAATTTAAAAGGCATACATCTATAGCAAACAGTTTGGTGGCTTTCCACAAGGTTTTTTTTTTTTTTTTTTTGAGACGGAGTCTTGCTCTGTTGCCCAGGCTGGAGTGCAGTGGCACGATCTCGGCTCATTGCAACCTCCACCTCCCAGATTCAAGTGATTCTCCTGCCTCAGCCTCCCAAGTAACTGGGATTACAGATGTGTGCTACCACGTCTGGCTAATTTTTGTATTTTTAGTAGAGAGGGGGGTTTCACCATGTTGGCCAGACTGGTCTTGAACTCCCGACCTCAAGCGATCCACCCGCCTTGGCCTCCCAAAGTGCTGGAATTATAGGCGTGAGCCACCATGCCCAGCCGCTTTCCACAAGTTAAACATAAAATTCCCATGTGACCTACCAACGCTGCTCTGTGGTATATAACACAAATAATAACGAGCTCAAGCAAGAAGTATACACAAATGTTCATAGCAACTTTATTTGCAATAGCTAAGAGGTAGAAACAACCCAAATGTTCATCAATAGATGAATGGATCAACAAAGTGTGGTATAGCCATACAATGGAATATTATTTAGCTATCAAAAGTAATGAAGTACCGATGCAGGATACATGGATGAACCTTAAAAACCTTGAAAATATTATGCTAAATGAAGGAAGCCAGACACAAAAGACCACACAATGTATGATTCCATTTATATGCAATATCCAGAATAGGCAAATCATAGAGACATAAAGCAGATTAGTAGTTTCCAGTGGCTGGGGGACAGAGGAGTGACTGCTTTATGGGTACAGGGTTTCTGTTTGGGATGATGAAAACATTCCGAAGCTAGATCATTATGATAATGACATAACATTGTAAATGTACTGAATGTCACTGAATGGTATACTTCTAATGATTACAATGGTAAGTTTTATGTTATATGCATTGTACTACAAAAAGAAGCCAGAAAAGGGGTACACAAGAATGTAGAGTAAAAACTGAGAGGCTGACTTGGGGTTCACTGCCTATGAGTTAGCACTGGTCTGCAAGGAGCAGTACCATTCAATAAAATATTGCTGCCTATACATATATTAAAAAAAAAAACAACGAAAACAGCAAAAAACCTTGAGTCTTCCTCACATCCCTGTCTTCTAGCACTTAATTTCTCTCCCCAGAAGTCACTCCTGCTATCAATTTGTTCTATATTTGTACTGACAAATTCTGTGCATCTATGAACACATATATTTGTATTTAGTTTAATAATATTTTCATATAATTGTAAAATATTGTAGTATCATATACCTACTGTTTTTTTTTCTCTTTTGTTCCCCCAGCTCTCAGTATGGAGATTCCTCCCTTTCACTACCAAAGCAGAACTAACCCATTCTTTTACATAACTATTCAATGTTCCTTTGTTTCAAAGTTTTAACATTTGTTTATCATCTTTTGATAGAAATGTCGGTGGTTTCCTATCTTTTGTTTTCTTTTACTTTACAAATATCTTGTGAGTACTTACGCTAAATCAGGGATTAGCAAACTACAACCCAGGGGCCAGATCTGGTCCATCATTTGTTTTTGTCTGACCTGCAAGTTAAGAATAATTCTTCATTTTTAAATGGTTGAAAAAAGTTTTAATTTTTTTTTTTTTTTTTTTTGAGATAGGGTCTGGCTCTGTCGTTCAGGTTGGAATGCAATGGCACGATCTTGGCTCACTGCAACCTTTGCCTCCCAGGCTCAAGCAATCCTATTAGCCATCATGCCTGACTAATTTTTTATGTTTTGTAGAGATGGCATTTCATCATGTTGCTCAGGCTGGTCTCAAATTCATGAGCTAGAGTGATCTCAAAGTGCTGGGATTACAGGCATGTACCACCTCACCCCATACCCCCCACTTTTCACATGTATGAATGTATCTATAGGACAAATTTTTTAAAAGTAAAATTGTTAGGTCAAAGGAAATGTGCATTTTATAATTTAATAAATATTACCAAATTGCTCTCCATAGAGGTTGAATCACTTTACACAGTTTGACCAACACTGTATGTTTTCAAACTTTTTGATCTTTGACAATATGATAGATTTAAAAAAAAATGTATAGCACAAGCTATCATTTATGAGACAGAAATTTGAACCCTGATTGAATATTTACAAATATTAAGGAATTATTGTTAATTTTTTAGATATAATGATGGTATTTTGGAACACTGAATAGATATTTTGGAAGATATTTTGCTTAGATATGATGATATTTTGGTTATATATTATTGAAAGATATAGACTAAAATAATTATTAATGAAATAATACAATGTCTGGGATTTGCTTCAAAATAATAGAATGGGAGTGTGTGTGGGATGGGGTATGGATGAATCATGACTATGAGTTTATGATTGTCGAATCTGGGTGATGTGCACTCTACAATTTTCTCTTCTTTTGTATATGTTTGAACCTTTCCAAAAAAAAAAAAAAAATTCACTTCCAAAAAAGGGAGTGACTGAGAGGAGAGTAATTGGAAACAATGAGTCCAGACAGCTCTCTTAAGGAATTTTGATATTTAAAAAAAGAGGGGAAAAAGGCCACTAGCTAGCAGGATCAACGGAAAGGTATATTTTAAAAAGAAATTTAATTATTCAAGTATTGCATGTGGGTGGAAAATGCACAGCACAATGAATGATCAGTAAGTGAACATCCCTAAATATGAAAGAAAAGGTTTACTTATTGGATTTTTTGGTAAACATTTTTGTTGAAGTATAACTTACATATAGTAAAGTGCATAAACATTAAGTATACCAAACTTGATGGATTTCAGCAATGAGTTATCCCCATGGAACCAACACCCTAAGTCAAGAATAGAGCTGTAAATCACTGTGGTGTCTGCAGGGGCCGGGGGAAAGAATAGAGCTGGGTGTAGTGGTGTTTACCTGTAATCCCAGCTACTTGGGAGGTTGAGGCTGTAGGATCACTTGAGCCCAGGAGTTTGAGGTTGCAGTGAGCTATGAACATGCCACTGCATTCCAGCCTAGGTGATAGAGAGAGATCCGGTCTTTAAAAACAAAACAAAACAAAAACAAAAACAAAAACAGAAAACATTTCCAGAATGCAAGAAGCTTCTTCCTTGTTGCCTTCCAGTCAACCAGTTAATACTCGCTGCAAAAGGTAAACTCTCTTGCCTTCTTTTGAACTTTCTATCAATGCAATCAGTAAAGTAGTGACTCTTTTGTGTCTGGCTTATTCTGCTCAACATGATGTTTGGACATTCATCATGTTGTTGCATGTAAAGGGCATTCATTCTCTTTTTGGTGTATAAAAATACGTAATAGTAGAACATTCTGATGTATGAATATAACCACAATTTATCCATTCTACTGCTCATGGACATTTGAGTTTTTCCAGTTTTTGACTATTACCAACAGGGCTGCTATAAACACTCTAGTATATGCTTTTTGGCATACATATGCACTCATTTCTGTTGGGTATATACATAGGAGAAGAATTGCTGGATAATAGAGTATGTATCTTTTTCACTGGTGGGCACCAGTTTTCCAAAGTAGCTGAATCAATTTATATTCCCACCAGCAATGTATGAGAATTGTTATGATCAGTGTTTTAAAGTTAGACACTCCAGCAAGTGGATATCGGTATCTCCGAGCTGTCTTAATGTGTACTTCCCTGATGACTAATAATACTAAACTCTTTTTTAAAAATATGCTTATTGAGCATTTGAATATACTCTTTGGTAAAGTGATTGCACAAGTCTTTTGTTCATTTTCCCCCTTGGCAGTCATTTTCATAGTGATTTGTAGGAGTTTTTATATATTTTGGATCCGAGTCCTTTGTGAGATACACAACACACACACACGTATAAAATAAATATTTACATTATTATATATTATATAAACAAATTGTATATAAAATAAATGTTTTCTCTCAATAGTGTGTATCCTCCATGTTCTTCTTCCTTCTCAAGATTGTCTTTGCTGTTCTTCATCCTTTGTAATTTCCATATAAATTCTACTGAGCTTTTTTACTTCTACCAAAAGAAAAAAAAAAAGGATTTTGAGTGACATTGCATTGAACCTAACGAATAATTTGGGAAGAACTGACATTTTTACAATATTGTGTTTTCCAAAGTATAAATGTTATCTATCCCTCTGTTTACTTAGGTCTTTAAAATTTTAATTTAATCTAATTTTTTTTGAGACAGGGTCCCCCAGGCTGGAGTGCAGTGGTGTGATCCTGGCTCACTGCAACCTCCGCCTCCTGGGTAACAGAAAAACCTGTTGATCAAGCAAAGTAAGTCTGAGTACTTATTTTAGTACTTACTTTTAAAGTAAGCGGGTAGGGCATAAGTTGTATTAGCCTTACTGCAGAAAGGAAGAACACTACCTCGATAGAGAATTAGTAGTATGTCAGAGGGAGATTTCAAGAAAGGATGTTTATAGGATTTGGGGGTCTGGGCTCAAATGGTTTAAGATGGTCTTACAAAGAAAGAAACTGATAGGAATTAAGCACAGTTTGTAATATTTAGGAGAGTTAGGATTAGTAGACACAGAGAAATAAAAGTCTCCATGCAAGCCTTGATAAATAAACTGTCATATACGTGAGCTTTTTGCCTATTTGAGCAGTCTGTTATCCTGACAGGAGAGTTCTTTGGCCAAATGAGCAAACTGTTTTCCCCAATATGTTAATTTCTTGAAGCAAACAATAAATGTATTTGTTGGTTTACCACCTTGTCTTCCTGGGCAAGAATTTCCTAGGAGACTTGTGTCATGTTGACTCAAGTGGTCTTAGTCCTCATTCAACAAGACCAACTTCTTAGCCTGAAATCTCCTGTCTCATAAAAGTGGAGACCTATTTTTGCTGTCTGTTCTTTCTATACTGTGACTTTACTGTGGGTAGGGCATAAATCTTATGCTCCTGGATGTGGGTTTGTTTATTTTTACATATTTGTAGCCAAATGTATATTAATTATTATTTATAATATTTGCTTTTATTTTTTGCTTTTAAAAACTTAATAGTGCATCACAATAACTTTCCCATTATACAATCTTTATAAAAACTATTTTGATGGTTCTATTATTGAGATTGTTGAGGTTATATCATTAGCTAGATTCCAAGAAATTGAATCTCTAAGACAAAAGGTATAAACCTTTCTAGAACCTTCATAAATATTATCAATTGCTTTCCTACACTTGATCTTAGCCAAAAGGCCAAGAAGCAATCAACTGCTTTCCTAAATAATTTTACCAATTTGCACACCTTTCAGCCAAATATGAGGAGTCCTATTTTACCAACTCTCCATAACACTGGATATTAATATTTTAAAAAATACTTGCTAATTTGCTATTGCAACTGATATCTTATTGTTATATGGATTTATATTTGTTTGATTCCTAAAAATGTTCAGATTTTTTTCATACACTTGTTTGCTGGTTCTATTAAATTCTTAAATTATTTGTTGTATTTTTCAAAATTGTACTCAGGTCATCAGGTGTAGAAAAGTAATTAATTGCACTTCTCACTTCATAGTTTATTGTCCTCACAGGTTAGTACAATTACTCTCTTGAAATTTTTCTTTTTTCTCCCTTCTTCTCTGATTCCTACCGTACATACCCATTCTTTTTTTTTTTTTTTTTTTTTGAGATGGAGTCTTACTCTGTCTCCCAGGCTGGAGTGCAGTGGTACGATCATGGCTTACTGCAGCCTCGGGCTCCCAGGTTCAAGTGATTCTCCTGCCTCAGCATCCCAATTAGTTGGAATTACAGATGCCCACCACTGCACCCAGCTAATTTTCTGTATTTGTAGTAGAGATGGGGTTTCAGCATGTTGGCCAGACTGGTCTCGAACTCCCAACCTCTGGTAATCCATCTGCCTTGGCTTCTCAAAGTGCTGGGATTACAGGCATGAGCCACCGCACCTGGCCCATACATACCCATTCTAAAGCATTTGTTATACATCCTTAAATATGCATGTATCCTCAGAAAACATGTATTATTATATTGTGTGCATATGCTATTTAATAAATAGAATCTAGTTATAAATTTCATTCTGTTTCTGTACTTCTGCACTTAACCCTATGTTTGTGAGGCCTATCAATGGTGTTTTATGCATATCTATTCCATCACTTCTTTCTCCAGCATTGTATTTTCATAGTGTACTATGTATTAGTTGCAGTAACACTAGTTGCTGTAATAAACAAACCCCAAAGCACATAATGCTGAACACAATTGAAGTTTATTTCTTGCTCTTAAAATCCAAAAAATGGGTATTCCTCATTGGTGTGTGGGTTTCTCCCCAGTGGTGATTTAGAGAACCCGGCTGCATCTATCTTGTGGCTCTGCCTTCTTTAACATGGCTTCCAAGATGGTCGCATCCACCTGCATTGCATTGGCAGAAGGTGAAAGGCATAAATATCTTGTGTGAGAGGTTTTCATGGGCCTGGAATAGCAACATCATTTCCATTCATATTCTTTGACTAGACCTCAGTCAAATGGTTGTGCCTAACTGCAATGAAGACTGGAAAATGTAGTCTATTTGTGTGTCTTGGAAGAAAAGGAGATAGACTTGGTGAGCCACTAACCAATCTTCCCAGAGTGAGCATCCATCGTATGGTTCTTCTCCATCTGTGATAATGAATACCTAAGTTGCCCTCACTTCCCCACCACTCAGATAAAGCCATGAGGAAGGTCTTTGTACCTAAAAACCTTTGTGAGTTCTCTGTGATAAACACTAACATTTGATTTTGCCTATCTAATTTTTACCATTCTGACGTCCAAGTATAAAAAGTGGTATCTTGTGATTGCGTTCCTCTGATTACTAATAAATTTGAGTATCTCTTCTATTTTGGGCTTTTGCTTCTGTGAATAGCTTGTTCTTTTCCTATGCCATTTTTTTCTATAGGGTTTCCTGTGGCATTTTTTTTTCCTACCGATTTGCCTGAGTTTTTATATAACCTAGAAGATAATCACTCTTTTGTTTTAGATATTATAAACAAGTACAGAAAGCACATTCTTCTCAAGTACACATTGAACATTTCCCACAGATACACCACATGCTGAGACATGATCAAACCTCAACAAATATCAAAGGAATGAAATCCTACAGATTGTGTTCTTCGACTGTGGAATTAAGCCAAACATCTGTCATATGTAGCTAATAATACAATCCCCCACCGCTTTGAGATTTGATAGGACTTCTAAATAACTTATGAATAAAATGAAAAAAATCACATGAGATTTAGAAAATATTTTGAACTGAATAATAATGAAAACACAACAAACCAAAACTTGCAGGATCATTACAACTAAAAGTTCTCAAATGTAAATCTATTGCTTCAAAATTGTTCGGACCATAACTTCATTTGTTCTTGTCTAAATCCTTTTTTGATTTCCTACATCACCAAACCTAGCAAAATTATAAGGCAGGATAAGAGAAAAACCACTTATGAAAACAAAGATAAGGTGGAAGAACAACAATATATTTTAAACTAAGAAAAAAAAGCAAAGAAAACTGTGGCTTGACATATTTGAAAGGTTTGCATCATCTTGGTATATTATATTTGCTGTGTAAATAAGTATGTTAGAGAAGCTGATACAATTTCTTAATTTGATTCTTGTAATAAACACATATAATTTTATTTTATAAACTGTAGGATGTCAGCCAGACAGTGATTAGAGGAAAATGTATGGCCTTAAATGTATATATCAGAAATGAAAAAAAAAAAAAAAAAGACTAAGAATTGGCTGGGCGAGGTGGCTCATGCCTGTAATCCCAGCACTTTGGGAGGCTGAGGCAGGTGGATCACTTGAGGTTAGAAATTCAAGACCAGCCTGGCCAACATGGTAAAACCCTGTCTCTACCAAAAATACAAAAATTAGCTGGGCATGGTGGTGCACACCTGTAATCCCAGCTACTTGGGAGGCTGAGGCAGGAGAATCGCTTGAACCCGGGAGGAGGAGGTTGCAGTGAGCCAAGGTTGTGCCACTGTACTCCAGCCTGGGTGACAGAGCAAGACTCCATCTCAAAAAAAAAAAAAAAAAAAAAAAAAGACTAAGAATTGGCTGGGCGAGGTGGCTCAAGCCTGTAATCCCAGCACTGTGGGAGGCTGAGGCAGGTGGATCACTTGAGGTGAGAAATTCAAGACCAGCCTGGCCAACATGGTAAAACCCTGTCTCTACCAAAAATACAAAAATTAGCTGGGCATGGTGGTGCACACCTGTAATCCCAGCTACTCGGGAGGCTGAGGCAGGAGAATCGCTTGAACCCGGGAGGAGGAGGTTGCAGTGAGCCAAGGTTGTGCCACTGCACTCCAGCCTGGGTGACAGAGCAAGACTCCATCTCAAAAAAAAAAAAAAACAAACAAACAAAAACACTAAGAATTGAAAATCAGGAATCTAAAAGAAGAGCAACCAAATTAGGACCAAATAAAGAAAAAGCAAAGAAATAATAAAGAGCAAAAATCTGTGAAATAGAAAAAAATTTGCAATATGGAAAATAAATCCAAACATTCATTCTTTGAAAAGGTTAAAAAAACTGATAGGCCAGTCACAGTGGCTCATGCCTGTACTCCTAGCACTTTGGGAGGCTGAGGTGGGAGGATCGCTTGAGCCAAAGCTAAGGCTGCAGTGAACTGTGATCATTTCACTGTATTCAAGCTTGGGTGACAGAGTGAGACCTTGTATCCAAAAAAAAAAAAAAAAATTGATAAATAGTAGTAAGACTAAGAAAAACAAAGAGAAAATATGAATTATCAGTATCAGGAATGAAAAAAGCAGGCTATAAAAACAGATGCTACAGATATTAAAATGATAAAAAGATATTATAAAAAATGTGCGCTAATAAATTTGAAAATTTGAAGGAAGTGAATCAATTCTTTGAGAAGCCCAATTTACCAAAATGAACATAAGTACAAAATGTACATATACCTACATCTACTTTAAAAACTTTAATCCATAATTAGAAACCTTCCCTCAAAGAAAATACTAGAGAAAAAAGGGAAAATATCTCAACTTTCAGGCCAGCATAACTTTAATATAAAAATATATCAAAGTTATTAAAAAAGGAGAAGTTACAGACTAATGTCTCTAATAAATAATAGAAGGCGGCCAGGCATGATGGCTCACACCTATTATCCCAGCACTTTGGGAGGCTGAGGCAGGTGGATCACCTGAGGTCAGGAGTTCTAGACCAGTCTGGCCAACATACTGAAAACCTGTCTCTACTTATTAAAAATATAAAAATTAGCTGGGCATAGGGGCACATGTCTGTAATCCCAGCTACTCGGGAGGCTGAGGCAGGAGAATCACTTGAACCTGGGAGGCAGAGGTTGCAGTGAGCCAAGATGTCGCCACTGCACTCCAGCCTGGGTGACAGAGTGAGACTCCGTCTCAAAAAAAAAAAAAAAGAAAGTTCTATCCAACTCCATTAGTCAGGAAACCTCTTCAGAGCTCTCCTTGTCTGGAAGGCCCCTGACACTAACTCCAGGAGGCCAGGGCTTGGATCTCAGTTGTACGAACTGGAGCTGGCTACTTAATCTTTTTGTGCCCAGTTTTCTTCGTCTGTAACATGAGACCTTGTTACCTAACTCACTGGCTCACAAGCTCAAAACAGAGTGAGAACATTCGAACACATTGCCGGGGGAGTGTAAACTGGATGTATTTTCTGGAAAGTAATTTGGCTAGATATATTCAGAAATATTCAAATCCTGTGAGCTAGTAATTCCATTACTAGAAATTTATTATTGGCACATAATCAGATATACAGACAAAAATACAAGTAAAGAGGTGTTCGTGGCACTGTTATTTTAATAGTAATATTTTCGTAAACATCTTGAAAGTCCAACAATCAGGGCATGGCCACCGAAATTATAACACATCTATTCTGATAAATGCAGCCATTATGAATTGCTGTAGCAGAATATTTGGTAACATTGAAAAATGCCAATGACTTTATGTTAAATGAAAAGAAAAAAAGATATGGAACTCTTTGTGTGGTATGGCTCCAATTTTGTTTCATGAACTATATATGTCTGTGGACTCAGAAAACAGACTAGTGGGAAATTTACTGAAAATCTTATTGCTGGTGGTATAATTCTGTATATATTTAAAATTGACATTTGAAAAGTTGTCCCAGCATTCCTCATAAGCATGTGTTGCTTTGTTAATAAGAGAATCAAATATTTAAAAAGTAACCCAAATTAAAATTATTTGTGGGAAACCTCTTTGAAAATCATTGTGCTACACGTGAGATGTAAGTGCGTTTCTGGGGCTTTAGAAGCACAGACGGATTCCTGTTTAAATCAATACATTTGACTGCAAGGAAGATAAATGGGTGAGTGGGTGGCCATGCTGGGCACGGCTCCTAAGTCAGGCGCTCTGCCTGCCTGCTCCGCCCCTGCAGCCCAGCAGCGAGAGTCCTGCCAGCCCTAACCCCGTTTGTTTTTCTTCTCCCCCTGGATCCACCACCCACCTCTCCTTCCTCCGGTAGGTATGAACATGAACGAGTCTGTCTGGTCTTGTCTGCTAAGTGAATCATGCCTCAGAAATGGGAAATGGCCTCAAGGCCAGGGCCTGTCTCCATGGAAGAGCTGGGACTAGCCTCAAATGTGACATCAGCGTGAGTGCTGAGGGTTTCGCTGCAGCTTCCAGGCTAGATGGCAGGTGTGGGTGTTGCCATGTTTCTGGGCTTCTGGGCCAGGTCCTGATGGAATGCTAAAGTGATACGACCAGACACAGGTGAGAAGAAGGCTGCTTCTCCTGTGGTATGATTTGAGGGCATCCTTAGGTCTCTCTGGTGCTGACTCACCCTCCTCCCATCCTGAAATCACCATTATAAAAACTCCTTTGCCAGGGAAGACAACTGAAAGGAGTGGACAAGGAGGCTCCTGCTGAAATGCATGGGATCACACAGGGCAGCAATATCTCCTAATATTAGCACTGAGGCTCTGGAATCAGTCAAGCTTAGGTTTGGATCCCAACTCCACTACTGCTTGGGGATGTCCCTTGGTGCCGCTGACATCTGTAAATGATGACAAAAAGCACTTACATATACCAAGCAGATGCCAGGCACAATTCTAAGTGCCCTTCTATTAACTCACAACAACCTTATTAGGAAGTTACTCATAATCACATCCATATTACAGAGGAGGAAATTGAGGCATGGGGTGGTGAATTAACTTGCTCAAGGTCTCACAGGATCAGCACTAGGATGAGTCCACACCCAGTGTGGCTCCTATGCTTTTAATGACCATGTTTGGGAATCTTATTAGTATCAGATGGGATAATAATAGAAACCATGACTTATTAGGGGCTTACTCAGTGCCAGGCACTGGACTAAATGCTATATAGGAATTTCCTCATTTGTTCATCCCAGTGCGTGGATGAGGCAAGGACTATTGTTAGGTGCTAACATCACCCTGGCAGGACAGCCAACTGTATACAAGGCCCTATGTTAAGGGCTGGGCCTTCAGGAGATTGCTATGGCATAAAGAGTTAAAATGTGTCCATAATAACTGTGATTCATGGTAGAATCATAGGTTGATGGAGCTGGAAGAAAGCTTAAAGGTCATCTGGTTCAGATGCATTTTTACTGATGACAAGAACCAGAGTGTGTGTGGGAGGGTGGTGGGAAGGTTTAATCCCACAGGAGTTTTGGGAGAAGATTTAGTGAGATGATAACAGCAGCCAGCACTTACTGAGTTTGGGTGCTGTGTATGCTTGTATGCTTATCTCATTCAACCCTCCAACCAGATAAGGGTGACATTATTATTATCCCAGTTTCACAGATAGGGAAACCGAGATGTTGAGAAGTTGAGCAAGTACCTTGCCCAGCGGCACACAGCTAGCAAGTGGTGAAGTTAGGATGCTGCAGGCTGGATTCCAGAGCTCAGGTGCTGAATTACCATGCTGAATGCCATCCCAGTGATAGAAGGAGGTTAAAAGGCCTGGGAAGAAGCTGGACTAGGTGGATGGGAAAGGCCTTTGGAGACTATGAAATCTTGTACAGACACGAGTAATTTTTGGAAAGAGGCAAAGGTCCCAAGAGAGGTATAAAGTGGTATAGACCTCAGGGGCAAAATCAAGGAAGATGTCCAGGATGAGATGGCATTTGCTCTGGATGTGGATCTGTGCTCCTGGGGTAGGAGTGAGGGCTGTCCAGACTATGTGTGGGATGGTGGTGGGGTTTCCTCCAGCCCTTCCCCATTGGCATGGGATGGCTCAGTAAGTTAATTGGCCCCTTAGCCCAAGTGAAGTGACCAGGACCACAGAAAGCTTTGGGCACCTAAAGCTGGGGTCCTGACTGCAAAGAACATGATGGGTGGGGAGAACTGAGAGGGCACAGAAGGTTGGTAGCAGGTGGGGTGGAGGTGGCCAGACAGCCTGAGTTCAAATCCTGATGTTCTCCCACACTCCAGTTATGAGGCCACAGACAAGCTACTCCACAGCTCTCTGCCTTAGTTTCTTCATCTGAAGAATGGGAATGATAATAATGGCATGTACTTCAGAAGCTTGTGTAAATATAACATGCTCATCTGTGTGAAATGTTCACTGTGATGCCTGGCACACATATTTCTGTCATTATAAGCCCAGGATACCGATTGGTACCACTATCCAGAGAAGAATGGGGTTAGAACAAAGCAGACACACGTCTATTTCAACCTACTTTCCTGGTAAACCTAAATCTGGCAGAGATGAATGGCTTCGCAAAATAACACAGACTAGCCACCCCCTCTCCTCCAGCCTTGGTTTTGTTTTTGCCAATCATTAGATTTGCTTTTCAGGGAAAGGCAAGGAGAGTGGGAGGCAGAGGAGGCAGAGGCCAGTGGGCTGCCAGTTTTGTGAAACCGGGCTGATAGACTGTCACTGGTTTCTGAGTTATCACTCTTATTTCTGACATCATCCTTGTGCAGCTCTGTTGGAATTTCTGAACTCTTGTGAATTAGCCTCCCCAGCCCCTTGTATACCATGGGTTTACTCTCCATTCTTAGAGGCGGGCACATTCTTGCAGAGAAAATGCAGATGGGGACAAAGTCCTTTCTTGAGCAGGTTAATGGCAAAATAGAAGGATTTTGCCAGGTGGGCAAAATAGAAGAGTTTTGTAACGTGGGCAAAATAGAAGGATTTTGTCAGGTGGGCAGGAGGGGAATAAGAGGAAAGAGAAACTAGTATGTACTGAGGCACCCCTTCATAGGACCAGGCTTGGTGAAGAAGCTGGCATGTTCCCATCACACCAGCCCTGCAAGGAAAAGATTTGACTCCATTGTACAGATGTAGAAACTGGCCCAGAGCCACAGCTTGTCCATAGATATGGAAATCCCACCCAGATCTATTCAACACTAAGGGTCACCCTCTTCCTCTATAGTACGTGCAAGGGGTATAAGATTAAAACAAGTGTCTTTACTGGTGCTTGAAAAATAACATTTTTGCATGCACTTTATCTGAGGAACTTCATTGACTTACAGCTGCAGGCTGGATTGACCTGACTTGGAAAAAGAATGCTCCATGGAAGGCATGGCAAATTCTGCTCATAGGCCACTATAATGCCTAGGAAGCAAAGTGCGGGGAAAGGTCAGTCCTGCCTTATTTCCAGGTGGAAGGCTGCAGTTTGTTGTCATCAGCAAATCAATCTCCATCAGGATATAGCTACTTGTAGTTATGTTTTACTATTGCACATTTGCTCAGTGGCTTTCTGTCCAGGGAGGAGGAAATAGGTCAGAAGCACAAGGAACTATTTCTGGGCCCTGGCCTTTGGGAAAGCAGCCTTGTCCTGTTTACATATCCTCTCTCCAGATTTGCACAACCTGACCACAGAAACGTCACCCTCTAAGCCCAGGTAAACAAGCAACTAAATAGTCTCCAGTCAGCCAATAGCTATTAAGAAACCAAGGGAGCCCAGAAGCCTATACGAAGCAACTTTGATAAACACAGAAGAAAACAGCAGCCCAAACCTCCTGACTTTGGGCTGCTGGAGCAAAGAGGTATTCCCATCTTGGGATGGAGGCCACACAATGCAAGTTCTGAGCCCCTCTCTAGCTTGACCCTTGGAGCAGTCACCCCTTGTAGTACCCATCCAGTTATACCACCAAACTGAGGTAGAGAGGGCACGAGGAAGAAGGGAGTCTCTTATTCAGCAATGAGTCTGGATGAATCAGGTCTCCCTTAGAAAACAAAACTGGAAGAAGGGGCCTGTGTCTGGACTTTTTTACATCACCTTCTTCAGAAAGTTGGTTCGGAATAGAATGTAGAATGATTCAGGAACATAATAGGGTAAAAGGCTATGAGGAGATGGTTTTTCTAAAGAGCCAGGCACTCCTCCAGGTCAGCTTGTGCCCAGGTAATCAAAGTGTGTTGGCAGAGGAGAGGGAGGGTGGTAGGGAGACGGAGTTAGAGATATGGAGAGACAGAGAGAGATAGAAAGGCAGAGAGGAGACAGATGGTAGATGAGGTGCATGCTTGCCGTATGGAGCCAGAAAAGGAAGTCATCACACATCTGAATGTGTGAATCCGAGACCAAAAAGCCTGGGTCCCTGTCAAACACTGGGTTTTTTCATGACCCTGAAGTCCCCAAATAAACCAGCCAGCTTCCCCCACTTCTCTATCAGCTATTTCAGAGACGCTACCAGTAGAATCTTACCTTCAGCCCTTATTGCCAATGCTGTTTTTGTTTATGGTAAGGAGAAAAATAACTCGTGTTTCTGTAGGGATCTGCAATAAGTGGGTAAAGCTGAGCTGTAGAATGGAGAGAATTTGAGAAGTGACCCACACCTCCACCAATAGCTGCAATGGAAGTGAGGCCTTTACCTCCTAGAATTGGAATGGTGGGGTTCAAATAAAATAATGTATGTGAACTTGTTGAGCCGAGCCCAGTCCCTTGGAGCCACATAAATGCATTTGTTCTTTCTCTATGGTAAATTTTGTCCTTTGGGGAAGGGAGGAAGAGGGAGGAAGTCACTTTCATATTGAGTTTTTTGAGACTGTCCCAGAAGCTTCATCACCTACCATTCACTCCTACCATCCTAATCCAAGGCCTGTCCCCCTATCTACTCTTGCCTTCCAGAGTTTATTCTCCATACAGCAGCCAGAGTGATCTTTTTAAAAAACACAAATAGCATCTTGTCACTTCCCTCTTTAAAACCCTTCAAATGCCCCCATCACAGAGTAGACTTAAACCCTTTGCTATGGGTTATTAGGCCCTAACGTGTGTTGCATCCTCTGACTTCATCTATCATTCTTACTGTGGCCCACTCTGCTGCAGCCACACTGACCTTTCTGTTTCCGAGCTCACCAGACTGTTCCCTCCT